>NC_000013.11:43408106-48408106 GCF_000001405.40 Homo sapiens | reverse complement strand
AAAATAGAAAATGGAGCAAACTTCATATTCCCATCCGAGAAACATTTGGTTCATGAATGGTACATAGTTATCAAGAATCTGAAGCAATTGCTTTTTGGTCCTACAATTTTGGACACCTGATGAACCAAGTATTTTGTCCTTTGTCAATATATTAAATTACTATTTCCAAGAAGAAGCATCACTACCTTCCAGCACCTAAACTTTTTTCGTGCCTAAATGCCAGTCCAACTCTGGATGTCACAAATGTTCTTAGTTGTGAATAAATTTTTGTGTAGAAACAATTTTATAAACAGTGCTTAGGCAGGGATGAAATCTTAAAGACTCCAAAAACAAACTTTTTAAAAAGCTTTTTGGGGCTTTCCTGAAAACTGAATTACCCATTTATAACATGGCTTCTAAGAAATAAATTACAAATTAAAAAGGACTAATGAACAAACTTAAGAATGTAGAACACACATTAATATCTAAACCGACCAGAGTACTTAATGATCAACAGCATTACTTATTTAGCAATATTTTCCAGAGATCAGCATGTACATAACTCCTAAAATCTCTAATTCTCAAATTTCTATTTTCTCTTTATCATTTTTACTTGATGTCAGACAGTTTTATAAAAGTACAAAGAATGTCAATTAAACAAGGCAACAGATCAGATAATAAATGAACAGGAGATTAACACCAGGCAAACTTCTCTCTCTTTTTTATTACCTTAAAATGATAGTGTTAAGCCTCTCCTACCTTCCTGTCTTCCTGCTCCCAAAAGATTTACTACAATAACCTCTTAAAAGGGTAGAAAATTACCTCTTTCATTGGAAAAGCAGTGTTAAAAACAGAATTCAAAAGATAGAGCCCCAGAAGGGGTATAATTCAAAAATTTAATAATCAGTTTTCTCAAAACTTGGTTTACTCATAATAGATTTCAAGTGATTTTTAAAAATAAATAATTGTAAGAAACAATTATGTGTTGTATACTTACAGCAGCGTTACAGTTAATAGCCATGGGGTAAATGTGCTAGGTTCCATTATCGTCCTATCAAAATGGCTTCTGGAACATTCACAACTTAGAACAGAAAGGGCCTGATGGTCATCTGATGTAACTACACCTTAGGCTGGGGAAACTGAGGAACTGTAAGACTAAACAACAGACACAATGTCACATAACAAATTAATGTAGCGCCAGGGTAAGAACCCTGTTTGTTTGTTTGTTTGTTTTAATAGAAAGATGAGGTCTTGCTATATTGCCCAGGCTGGACTTGAATACCTGGGCTCAAGCAATCTTCCCACCTCAGCCTCTCAAGCAGCTGGGACTACAGGTGCAGGCCACTGCACCTGGCTGAACCCAGATTCTTTGTTTTTACTTGTCTAGTTACTTAATGGTGGCAAGGCAAGCACCACAGGCAAAGGCCCTGTGGGAGAGAATTTGGATACTGAAAGAATTAAAACATTCAAAGTGGCTGGAGAAATAGGGCTAACATCTTACACGTACTTATATGCCATGTTAAGACCACGTTAAGTGCTGAGAAGCTGTGGAAAGTCCTCAAGAATTTCAAGGTAGGGGAGACATGATCAAATAAAGATTCGTCTGATACAGGGTAGAGATGCATTTGTCTTCAGCAAGAAAAGAAAAATAATCACAACAAGAACTATATTTATACAATTTAAAGGGCTCTTCTTATCCTTTTTTTCTGATTTGTCCTTTTTCCTTTATTAAAATGGGAGAAATTCTTTTTTAAATGATGGTGATAATAGATGAGAAGAATATTTTAATGTCATTACTTGGCAAAATTTGGACAGTGGCCGTCATGGAGAAATTGCTACCTTCATACATTTCTGGTGGGAATGAAAAATAGTACAAACCTTATGGATGGGATTTGGCAATATCTAACACACACATACACACACACATTAACCCTTTGACCCAGCATTCTTACTTCTAGGTATTGATCCTCAAGACACAATTTCAATTACATAACACACACATACATACATACATACACACACACACACAGAGTTATTTATTGTGGTAATAGTTGAAATTGCAAAATACTGGAAACCACCTAGATGTCCAATCATAGAAAACTAGTTGAACAGACTGTAGTATATATACAAAATACAGTACTATGCAGCTGTAATAATGAGAAATATCTCTATAAATTGATATGGAATGACTTCAAGAAGGTAGTGTTAAATGAAAAAAAGCATAAAAGAGCACACATAGTATGCCACCTTTTGTATAAGAAAAAGGCAAAATAAAACGTGCATACCTGCTTATTTTTATAAAAAGAAACACAGGAAAGATAAACCAAAAAACAAGGGTGGGGTTGGAAATGGGATAGAAGGAATATCAAAGAA
This sequence comes from Homo sapiens, assembly GCF_000001405.40. NCBI lineage: Eukaryota > Metazoa > Chordata > Mammalia > Primates > Hominidae > Homo > Homo sapiens. The sequence goes on along the minus strand of NC_000013.11, from coordinate 48,405,754 downwards.
TATGACATTTTTCAGATTATACCTTTTTGTATAGTTACGACTTTGGGAAACATGTTAATGCTTTATATTGGGTATTGACAAACTTTCTTCTCAAGGAGTAGATAGTAAATATTTTCGGTTTGCAGGCTCTACTTTCTGGCTGCAACTTCTCAGCTCTGTACTGCAGTGCAAAAGCAGCCACAGACAATATATAAATGAATAAAGCGGCTGTGTTAAAACAAAATTTATGGTCTGTGGGCTGTGCATGCCATCTCCTGTTATATGCAGTCAAAACTATGGGCCAACAAGGATGGGAGAAAAACACCCTAGAACTTCATTTATTTTAGTGTCTGGCACATAATTGGTCTCAATAATTAGAATGAATCTTAAAATTCTTCAAAAGCCCGAGGAAAAAAGGCAAATTTTCTTTTGTTAATACACAAATTCATTATTACTCTTATTACTTGATTTATCAACTTTAAACTGTATTTGTTAAATTCCCACCATTTAGATGAGGTTATACAATTGTTAAAAGAAACCATTTTGTTGTTGAAGGCATTCTTTATGAAACTATCTGATTTCTCATGTGGAACAAACATTTTCTGGGCTTGTTGCATCGTAGGATTTTTTGCATTTTTCTCTCTGCTCTGGTGTGACAGTTTTTTTATTAGGTCTTATGATTTCCCTTTTGTGGATTCTTTTTTCATTTTTTTAAAGCATATTCCCTAGTAATTTCATTTCAAAAGGGCAGTCAAAAGATAAACATTCTGAGTCCTTGCATTTCCAAATTTCATTTTGCTGTCATATTTGACAAATTTTAGGTTATAAAATATCCAGTATTCCTAATGAGAACTTCTGTGCTGATCTGGATCTCATTCCCCTAAAATAGCTTACTTTTTCTCTCTGGAAGCTTTTATAATTTTCTCATTATCTTTAGAATTCTGAATTTTTTGCTGGGTGGGGTGGCTCACACCTATAATTCCAGCACTTTGGGAGGCCGAGGCAGGCGGATCACGATGTCAGGAGTTTAAGATCAGGCTAACCAACATGGTGAAAACCCGTCTCTACTAAAAATACAAAAATTATCTGGGCGCGTTGTCTCGTGCCTGTAATCCCAGCTACTCAGGAGGCTAAGGCAGGAGAATCGTTTGAACCTAGGAGGCAGCGGTTGCAGTGAGCGGAGATCACACCATTGCACTCCAGCCTGGGCGACAGAGCGAGACTGTCATTAAAAAAAAACAAAAAGTATCCACATTCATTCATCATGCTTGGCACTATGGGCCCTTTCCATCTGAAGCCCCCTGGTTTTCATTAGTTTTGGAATTTTTTTTTTCTGTTCTTTTTTATTATTTTCTCTCCTCCATTTCCTCTGGTCTTTCTTATGGTAATGAATAAATATTGAACTGAGGTACCTGAAAATACCAAAGTAAGGAACTACATAACCTACCAGTACAATACTTTGTTGTATTTTCCTCCTAGGAAGAACTGCCTTTCCTATTTCTTTTTCTTTAGGTCTGTTACAGAAGTCTCGGTTTACTTCAATTTCTGTTCTGCTTCTCTCTTTGGCACCATCAGGAAACCCTAGCCCCGTGTCTGTAAGTGTACACAAAATTTGAAGGTGGGCGCGGGCTTGTATCTGTACAGTTTATGCACTGCACAACAGCATGGGGCTTCAGCCTAAACTCTGCATACCAAGCTTAGGGTTGCTGTGTCCGGACGGCATCTTTTTATAATCCATTAGTAAAGAGGAAGGTGCTTTTTTTTCGTTTTTCTTTGAGACAGTGTCTCATTCTGTCACCCAGACTGGAATGCAGTAGTGCAGTCACGGCTCCCTGCAGCCTCAACTTCCCAGGCTCAAGCAATCCTCCCTCCTCAGCCTCCCAAGTAGCTGGGACTACAGAGGTGCATTTTTTTTATTCTCATAGGCTGGCATGGCCTTAGATGGGGGACTGGTCCAGGTGTTTCATGTTCTTAAAATGTTGCTCACAAAGTGTAGTACCCAGACCAGCAGCATCAGTATCACCTGGAAACATATCAGAAATACAAATTCTTGGACCCTACACTGGAAACTTTGTGACTGGGCCCAGCAATCTGTAATATGTGTTTTAACAAGCCCTCCTGGTAATTTTGATGCATGCTCAAGTTTGAGGACCATTGCCAAACAGCACTTTAGAAAACCTTCCTGATTATTGCCCCACTCTCTGTATCTGCTACTTTGAGCTTGGGGGCTCTCTAAGACTCCCACTTCCACCAGTCCCCTTTCCTGGGGGTGTTGTGTGCTGTGGTTTTCTCTACTTTATTGTATCCACAATACACTCATCATTTATTTTTTATACTAAAAAAATGAATCAACTCCTCCACTTCCCTCCACAGTTTTTCTGCTTCACAGTCTGAGTACTGCTGGGTTTCACTCCCCTGTGATATGTGTCTTTTTTGTCACTTCTGTAGGGTTTGCGGGGAGAAAGGAGGTAGAAGTGTGTGTTCAGTCTGCTCTTCCGATACACTGAGTTCCATTATCTCATTATAAATGAGAAATAGTTTCATTTTTAAAAGCAATTGCACAATCCAAGTTACACAAAAAGTCATACTACTTAAGCCCTTTGACTGCTGCTAAAAAATAGTGTTTTTACATCAAAACACAGGAGATCTTTAAATTACTAACAACATAACCTTCAATTTAATTTTCTTTTAAAACTGATAATTTTCCAACTAATTTTACCAATTATTGTTAGCTCATATTTTAATAGGACATAAAACCTATGAATCATAGGTTTTATATATAAAAAAGGTAAAAAGGTTTTATATATAGTACTTTACGAACAGAAGCAATTTATTTAAATAAAAATGAATACTACTTAAGACTTAGCACTAAAAAATTATACCATTTGATTTATATGTCATATAGGTAATTTTTGCTAATGGCCAAAATTATTGGACAAAAATTACTATACTTTATGTTGTGGTCTCATAAGACTTCCTGAGATGACAAAGACTGAAACACACATGATTCAATATAATCTTAGCTACCTAAAACGAGGGGAAAAAATGGACCTGCATTTAAAGAAAAATAAAGCAAAGGACACATATAAATAGTTTCTGTAGGCCAAGAGTGGCAGCTCATGACTAATCCCAGCACTTTGGGAAGCCAAAGCAATAGGATCACTTGAGTCTAGGAGTTTGAGACCAGCCTGGGCAACAGCAAGACCCCGTCTCTACAAAGAATAAAAAAAATTAGCTGGGTGTGTTGGCTCACACCTGTAGTCACATCTACTAAGGAGGCTGAGGTGGGAGGATCACTTGAGCCCAAGAGTTCAAGGCTTCAGTGAGCTATGATTGTGTCATTGCACTCCAGCCTGGGAAAACAGAGTGAGACTCATCTGTTTAAAAAAAAAAAAAGGTTTTCTACAAGGGATTTCTTTACCACTCTCCATCCCTTCCCCAGGCCATTTGTTCTTCATTGGAACTGAAATGTGCAAACGTTTATTTTCAGAAGACCCCGTTAAAATATGTGGGTTCAACTAAATCAGATGCCAATCTAAAAGTGTACACTATTAAAGGTGTCTGATATTCCTATGAAAAAGATAATGCAAAAAAATTATATTTTCAAGAACAGATAGTAAGTTCAGTATTGGATTAGTGTATCCTATGTTCATTTTTGTTTATGACTCATGTAAAAGACAAGTAATTTCACTTCTCCACCTTTTTCATCTTAATGTTTAAAAGAAAAAAACTAAATGATAAAACCTAATATAAAAACTATCATTACTTAATATGTAAATTTAAAAACTTTTAGACAATTAAATTATCTTAAAATAAGAAAAGGGCATAATGATAAAATGACCAGACTTAAAAGATAGCAAGACAGATTTATGTTAGTCTTTGAAGAATTCTTAAGGAATATAATCAAAATCTTAAAGATAAATTTGTTGTTATATTTAGTGGAGATAAGAACCACTGAAACTTAGCAAAGTAAGAAAAGGCTTTTTTGAAAAGGCTAAGAAACAAATCCAGCTGTTTCCTATTCTACGTTTCCTTATCATGTTCTAAATCTAGCACTTACAGGAAGACACCAAAAATACCTTTGATATTTGGCCATTTCTGAGAAAAGCTGAAAATATGAAGACCCAATTAAGTAAATTAGTAACAACACCAAGGACCACAAATGTGTATGTTGAAACAGACTGGGTCGTGACAGTTCAGAGTTTTTAAAACATGCTATAAATAGTTGGAAAAATGAAATGCCAAAAAGTTGTTCTATTTTATAATTAAAGGTAAGTAAGCTTAGATGATTGAAGCATAATTGCCTTAGAGTAGTTCTAAAATTTTAGTAAACTCAATAATTAATAACAGCCTTTTATTTTGCTGCAGAAATTCAGAAGCCACACTAATTAGGATCGATTTCTCCTATTTCTCTTCTTTGTTTCTTGCATATCCAGAATTCTAGAGCCCTTCCTCACAATTCCAGTTAAGATTTGACTGTAAGTTTACAAACTGAAAATTCTAAAACTAAATTCAAGTAATTATCTAACATCATGACTCTTTATAAAATTCTCTGAATAAGAGTATATGTGCTTCCATCCCACAGGTTAGGTACAGAGAGTATGTCCTAGCTATTCTTCTACCATTGCTACTTCCCTTCTTGTTTGTACTTGAATAGTGAACTAACACCACCCTCAGGGTAATTACTGACATGATTCATAACTAAAGCAACATAACAAATTCCAACTGTAATATAACAGTGAACACTGCCCATACTTAACAATGCTGGAGTCCCATGATGCCTTTTCCCCCTGAACTTTTTCCATTTTGAGAAGGTGATGGGGGAGGAGGGGTGCCTCAAGAGAAGAGAAAAATTCTCTGTACTTATAGTAAGCCAAGATAAACAGGTTAATACTGTGTAACTGAATCCTCGGTTCTCTGTTCTTATGAAATCACTGTATAGCAGAGGAAAAGGAATGAAGGGTACTAACAATTAATTGTTATGTTTCTAATTACTATTCTCATAAATGCTCATTTATTCCTCACAACAACTGAAAGTTATCCCTATTTTACATACAAGGAAACCTGAGATACAGAGACATAATTTGTTCAGAACCACACCAAAGCAAGTTACATGACATCTCTGGACCTCAGGTCTCTTTATCTATAAAATAGGGATAGCAGTGTTTACACTTCCAGGCTTCTGTGAATATTAAGTAAGATCCGCTAATTCAAAGTCTAGGCCCTTTTTGCCATAGCATAGTAACACTCACAAACACAAAAATACAAACACAGATAAAACATGAGCAAATAAACGAATCATGACAATGCACATACCAAACAGTAAACTAATATACACTAAAAGGCAACATAGAGGCTAAAAGTATAGTCTCTGGAACCAGATAGCCTGAGTTAAAATTCTGGCTCTGTCACCAACCAGTTTTGTGGACACAGGAAAGTTTCTCCATCTGTGAAACAGTGATGACAGAATCTATTTCATAGAGTTGTGAGAAGTTATGAGTTAATACACTGAAGCACTTTTAACAGTACCTATAATAGGACATATGCAAAAACATTACCTATTATTACTTCTACACTGAAATGTCACACACATAAATGAGAGTTATTTTGATGCTGGTCTGTATAATTATCAGACAAACTTCCAAAGAAGTAAGCAAGTGATGAGCACTACTTCCTAAACTAAGTTTCTATGAGCTACCTACAGGACATTCCTGAGTTGTTAGATTTTTGTTTGTTTTTTATTTTTGGACATCCTTGAATTTCTTAGTCCCTTTTGCCAATTAATGAACAAAGAGAATGGGTAATGTGTATAATATGGATGGTGTGGTGGGGAGGAGTGACATGAATAGACAAGTTATGAATATTTCTCTACAGTAAACTCTGGCATTTTTTCATATGTCAGAGTGTTTTAAAATTAAAGAAGGGTATAGATACATAGAGAAAAGAATAGACTTAGGGATCAGACATAGGACTCAGGTACTACAAGTTACTTGAGCAAAGGTTTAGAAATGAAAATGATTTTATGTTTAAAATCATAAACAGATCTGGATGAAGAACTCAGGCTTACATAAGCATTTAACACAGAATACCTGCATTGATTTATAAGTTATCTCAGTTTCTTTAGATTTTCTTATTGTTGTCCTTTTTAACATATGAGGACCCACATGAAAACCCATTTAATGCCTTATTAATCCTTAACAATGATGAAGAAAGTTATTTTATTACATTGAGCTTATATTCCTAGATCTTTAAGCAATCATCTAATTACATTTCATATGTAGCATATCCTTGCTACATTTCAGTGGATGATTATTCATATGAGTTAAATTACTATCTTTTTTTGTTTGTATTCTTTCTGCTTATCTATCTTAAAATTTTTGTAGATTATTAGTTCACTAGCAGAAAAATAATGTCACTATAAAATATTTATTCCTAAGATATTGCCTTCTTTTATTTTCCCTTCTTTGTCGTTACATTTTTGCATTCGTATAGAAGATGACTTTAGGCATACCTGGAATCTTTTACTAAAAACAGAGAAAGAGTAAAACAACAACAAAAACCTCAGGTCCAATGTTTCAGTCTACGAAAACAATCTAGATGTCTATTTCACCTCATTGTCACCCCTTCCCTTGAAAGTTGATCCAAATACCTAATTTCAACCTAAATTATTGTGGATTCTGAAAACACTTATAGTAAATTCTCATTTCTAGGAGTTGCATGAATGAAACATATATGCATACTAGCATTTACTTTTATAATATAGTTTGCTCATTTTTGTAAAGTCTTCTTTTAATCCTTCTTCCTGAGGAATAAGCCAGACCAATAGTCACAGTGCACTGCACAAAGGAGCTAGTCAACAAATGTTACTTTTCCCTTTCTTGTTACTTATTAGCTCCTAGGCAAAACACTTCCCTTGTTACTCAGGATAAAAAATACACATACATATTATGCTTTCACTTAGAATAAAATTAACTTACTATTTGTATTGCTCCCTTTATACTGTCCCATATGCCTGACTATATATTATAGAGGTAGTAAAAACAGCATGAATGATTTCACAGAAATAATGTAGTACAGTGACAGAGACCTTTACTAGAAACCAGTATGGAATTTGGAATCAAACCAATATGAGTTCAAATGCCAACTGGGTGACCTCAGACAAATTACTTAAAGAGAGCTGATGATCTGTTCTAGGGAAGTGTAATGAAGTATATTAAAATAATAATATAATAAATATGAGAGACAGCTTTAAAAAAAAATTACAGGACTCTATCAAACTATTGAGAAAGAAAAGGAGAAAGTGCTCAGTATTTAAGCCCAGATGATTTGAAAAGTAATGGAAAAATAGACATAGTGGGAAGCAAAGTTGCATTTAGAACAAGCTAAATAATTTCAGTTTTGAATAATGAAGTCAAGTCTCCTAAATCACTTGAGAAACTAGTATTTAGCTGTGGAAGTCAAGGGCAAAGCTATATTAGGAATATATTGGGTCAGAGTGAGAAAGGTTAAAGCTTTAGCTATGTTTTCAGAATTGAATTTTTTAAAATTAAAATAAAATGTTTCCTCTTTCTGGCAAAGAAAAGTAAATACATGGTTATTTTAGGTAATTCATGAGAAGCTTTTAAAAATATAGCATAATTGCTTTATCATTATATTAGCATGGCTGTTGTGTAAAAGTATATATGGCATCATACTGCTTCATTGTCCTGGCCCATGCTTTTAAAAAGTGTTAAATGTGGCTTAATCGTTATCTTACAATTCACTTGCCTTCCTGAGTTGTAGCTCTCAGCAAAATATAACTTAAAACAAATAATGTCCAATGGTAAATACTTAAAATACTTCTGCAAAGTACACCAAAGGTTAATGACCCACCATACAAACATACAACAGATATCCTTTTTGGTTTTTTCAGAGCCACAGACTGTTCTCCCTTTTGTGTTTGCTTCCCATCAATTTTGACATTTCAAAAGAATACCAAAAAAGCTTAAAATTTTGTTTATAAGTTTGTCAATGAATCAGGACTCTAAAACTATGGGCTATTCATTACAAATTATACTCATACATAAAATGACCCTCGATTTAAATTTGAAAAGATAATTTGAAAGATATATTTTAAATATTTTCTGTTTTTTTATTATACTTTAAGTTCTAGGATACATGTGCAGAATGTGCAGGTTTGTTACATAGGTATACGCGTGCCATGGTGGTTTGCTGCACCTATCAACCCATCATCTACATTAGGTATTTTTCCTAATGCTATCCCTCCCTTAGACCCGCACCCCCTGACAGGCCCCGGTGTGTGATGTTCCCCTCCATGTGTCCATGTGTTCTCACTGTTCAGTTTTAACTTATAAGTGAAAACATGTGTTGTTTGGTTTTCTCTTCCTGGTTAGTTTGCTGAGAATGATGGTTTCCAGCTTCATCCATGTCCCTGCAAAGGACACGAACTCATCCTTTTTTATGGCTGCATAGTGTTCCATGGTGTATATGTGCCACATTTTCTTTATCCAGTCTACCACTGATGGGCATTTGGGTTGGTTTCAAGTCTTTGCTATTGTGAATAGTGCTGCAATAAACATATGTGTGCATGTTCTTTTTAGTAGAATGATTTATAATCCTTTGGGTATATGCTCAGTAATGGGATTACTGGGTCAAATATTATTTCTGGCTCTAGATCCTTGAGGAATCGCCACACTGTCTTCCACAATGGTTGAACTAATTTACACTGCCACCAACAGTATAAAACCATTCCTATTACTCCACAGCCTCTCCAGCATCTGTTGTTTCCTGACTTTTTAATGATCACCATTCTAACTGGCATGAGATGGTATCTCACTGTGGTTTTGATTTGCATTTCTCTAATGACCAGTGGTGATGAGCTTTTTTTCATATGTTTGTTGGCCACATAAATATCTTCTTTTGAGAAGTGTCTGTTCATATCCTTCACCCACTTTTTGATAGGGTTGTTTGTTTTCCTGTAAATTTGTTTAAGTTCCTTGTAGATTCTGGACTTTAGCCCTTTGTCAGATGGATACATTGCAAAAATTTTCTCCCATTCTGTAGGTTGCCTGTTCACTCTGAAGATAGTTTCTTTTGCTGTGCAGAAGCTCTTTAGTTTAATTAGATCCCATTCGTCAATTTTGGCTTTTGTTGCCATTGCTTTTGGTGTTTTGGTCATGAAGTCTTTGCCCATGCCTATGTCCTGAATGGTATTGCCTAGGTTTTCTTCTAGGGTTTTTATGGTTTTAGGTGTTATGTTTAAGTCTTTAATCCATTTTGAGTTAATTTTTGTATAAGGTGTAAGGAAGGGGTCCAGTTTCAGTTTTCTGCATATGGCTAGTCAGTTTTCCCAATATCATTTATTAAATAGGGAATCCTTTCCCCATTGGTTGTTTTTGTCAAGTTTGTCAAAAATCAGATGGTTGTAGATGTGTGGCATTATTTCTGAGGTCTCTGTTCTGTTCCGTTGGTTTATTTATCTTTTTTGGTACCAGTACCATGCTGTTTTGATTATTGTGGCCTTGTAGTATAGTTTGAAGTCAAGTAGCGTGATGCCTCCAGCTTTGTTCTTTTTGCTTAAGATTGTCTCGGCTATATGGGCTCTTTTTAGGTTCTATATAAAATTTAAAGTAGTTTTTTCTAATTCTGTGAAGAAAGCCAAAGGTAGCTTGATGGGGATAGCATTGAATCTATAAATTACTGTGGGCAGTATGGCCATTTTCACGCTATAATTTTTCCCATCCATGAGCATGGAATGTTTTGCCATTTGTTTGTGCCCTCTCTTATTTCCTTGAGCAGTGGCTGCTCTTAATATTTTTTCCTTCATTTCAACCTTGGTGAATCTGACGATTATATGTCCTGGGGTTCCTCTTCTTGAGGAGTATCTTTGTGGTGTTCCCTGTATTTCCTGAATTTGAATGTTGGCCTGTTTTGTTGGGTTGGGGATGTTCTCTTGGATAATATCCTGTAGAGTGTTTTCTAACTTGGTTCCACTCTCCCTGTCACTTTCAGGTACACCAATCAAACATAGGTTTGGTCTTTTCACATAGTCCCCTATTTCTTGGAGGCTTTGTTCATTCCTTTTCATTCTTTTTTCTCTAATCTTGTCATCACGCTTTATTTCATTAAGCTGATCTTCAATCTCTGATATCCTTTTTTTCTGCTTGATCGATTCAGCTATTGGTACTTGTGTATGCTTCACAAAGTCCTCGTGTTGTGTTTTTTCAGTTCCGTCAGGTCATTTATGTTCTTCTCTAAACTGGTTATTCTAGTTAGCAATTCCTCTAACCTTTTTTCAAAGTTCTTAGCTTCCTTGCATTGGGTTAGAACATGGTCCTTTAGCTCGGAGGAGTTTGTTATTACCCACCTTCTGAAGCCTACTTCTGTCAATTCGTCAAACTCCCCTTGCTGGGGAGGAGTTGTCATTCTTTGGAAGAGAAAAGGCGCTCTGGTTTTTGGAATTTTCAGCCTTTTTGTGCTGGTTTTTCCTCATCTTCATGGATTTATCTACCTTTGGTCTTTGATGTTGATGACCTTCAAATGGGGTTTCTGTGTGGACGTCCTTTTTGTTGATGTTGATGCTATTCATTTCTGTTTGTTAGTTCTCCTTCTAACAGTCAGGCCCCTCTGCTGCAGGTGTGCTGGAGTTTGCTGGAGGTCCACTCCAGACCCTGTTTGCCTGGTATCACCAGTGGAGGTTGCAGAAGAGCAAAGATTGCTGCCTGTTCCTTCCTCTGGAAGCTTCGTCCCAGAGGGGTACCCACCAGATGGCAGCTGGAACTCTCCTGTATGAGGTGTCTGTTGATTCCTGCCAGGAGGTGTTTCCCAGTCAGGAGGCACAGGGGTCAGGGACCCACTTGAGGAGACAGTCTGTCCCTTAGCAGAGCTTGAGCACTGTGCTGGGAGATCTGCTGCTCTCTTCAGAGCCAGCAGGCAGGAATGTTTAAGTCTGCTGAAGATGTGTCCACAGCTGCGCCTTCCCCCACGTGCTCTGTCCCAGGTAGATGGGAGTTTTATCTATAGGCCCCTGACTGGGGCTGCTGCCTTTCTTTCAGAGATGCCCTGCCCAGAGAGGAGGAATCTAGAAAGGCAGTCTGGCTACAGCGGATTTAGGGAGCTGTGGTAGGCTCTGCCCAGTTTGAACTTCCTGGTGGCTTTGTTTACACTGTGAGGGGAAAACTCAAGCCTCAGTAATGGGGAATGCCCCTCCCCCTACCTAGCTCTACCATCCCAGGTCGACCTCAGACTGCTGTGATGGCAGCGAGAATTTCAAGCCAGTGGATCTTAGCTTGCTTGGCTCCATGGGGGTGGGATCCGCTGAGGTAGACCACTTGGCTCCCTGGCTTCAGCCCCCTTTCCGGGGGAGTGAATGGTTCTAACTCGCTGTCATTCCAGGCACCACTGGAGTACGAAAGAAAACTCCTACAGCTAGCTCGGTATCTGCCCAAACAGCTGCCCAGTTTTGTGCTTGAAACCCAGGGCCCTGGTGGTGTAGGCACCCGAGGGAATCTCCTGGTCTGTGGGTTGCGAAGACTGTGGGAAAAGCATAGTATCTGGGCTGGAATGCAATGTTCCTCATGACACAGTCTGTCACAGCTTCCCTTGGCTAGGGGAGGGAGTTCCCCAACCCCTTGTGCTTCCCGGGTGAGGTGATGCCCCATCCTGCTTCAGCTTGCCCTCCGTGGGCTGCATCCACTGTCTAACCAGTCCCAATGAGATGAGCCAGGTACCTCAGTTGGAAATGGAGAAATCACCTGCCTTCTGGGTTGATCTCGCTGGCAGCTGCAGACCAGAGCTGTTCCTATTTGGCTATCTTGCCAGCCCATCCTAAGTATTTTCTTATGTAAAAGTATGTTGGCCAAGTACTTGTGTAACTGAATGAAGAAATTTGCTAATATTTGGTGACCACAGAAAAAGAGTATGACAGAATCCAATTAGTAAGTCAGCTACATTTGACACATTTAAAGGAGACTCAATGTTTATGTGACGTACCAAAATTTAATACAAAAAAATAGTTAATAACTAGTACTTCTATGTTCTCCATATAGTAAGCACCCCTCTGAAACAGTATAATGCATCAGTCAGAAGACCTGATGCATTTAACACAAGGAAGCGGAAATGATACCCTAAATATTCTGTAAGTGTACATATTTCATATTTGTAAATACTTCATCAATCACTAAGCCTTACGTTTAGTAACCCTGCCAGCTCTGATGAAGAAACAGGGACCAGATTCGTTTAAACAACCACAAAATTGAACAACATAAATAAAAGAATTCTTTTTACACAATAAACAACAGGCAGTACAGAACAGCAATCCCTGGGAGAAGGAAAACAAATGGTGAGCCTCATTATTGCCACAGCTTACTGCCTGGGGACAGTTTATGGTCCACAGTCCAGAGATGAGAAACTGGAATGCAGCCCAGTGGTCCCCCAGTTGAAGAAACAGAGTTAAGAAATGGGAGATGCCAAGGCAAACTAAAATTAGCAGGACAGAATACTAGAGAGAAGAAAGCTACAAAAAGAGAACTCCAGAGGTCTGCAGAGGGTTAAGCTTGAGTCTTCAGCTGAGTACTGATCAGTGCATGGATGTGATGATACTACTCAAAACCAGGGAAGAACCATGGGAAGGAGTAGAATCCTTCCAGGAGCTGACACAGGGTCAGGAAGAGTTCTGCTTTCAACTAGCCAGAGTGGAAAAACCTTGTCATATATGGGATATTCAGTAGAGTACTCAGAAGAGCAATGCCTGGATAGTGAAGGAAAATCGGCTATTGATTAAAGACTGCTCTGTGTCCAAAAACAAAAACCAGATAAATAAATAAATGAAGCCTTAAAAAAGTCAAATTATTTCCAGATAATTTAATTGTGTTCCAAAACACAGGTCAAAATAGTGAAAGGAATACAAAAATATCCAGGACCCACTAAAGCAAAATTCATGATATCTGGCACCTAACAAAAAAATCACCAAGCAGTCAAAAAAGCAGAAACATACGACTCTTAAAAAAAAGAGAGAGAGAGAGAGAACTATCAGTCAAGAGAAACAGACCTAAAAAGACATAGGTACTAGACTTAGTAACAGGGACATTTAAAAAGTTATAATACCTATATCCCATATGTTCAAGAAGGTAAAGAAAAGCATAAACATAATAAAAATAGATATGGAAGATATAAAAAGGACCCAAATCAAATTTCTAGAAATGAAAACTATAGTAAGACTAAAAATACAATAAATGAGATTAATAGCAGATTAGATACCTCAGAAGAAAAAAATTAATAAACTTGAAGACATAGCTTTAGAAGGTATTCAACATGAAATACAGAAAGAAAAACCTGCAGGAAAAAGATACAGCAAAAAAAGAACAAGGCCAGGCGTGGTGGCTCATGCTTGTAATCCCAGCACTTTGGGAAGCCAAGGTGGGTGGGTCACCTGAGATCAGGAGTTCGAGACCAGCCTGGCCAGCATGGTGAAACCCCATCTTTACTAAAAATACAAAAATTAGCCGGGCATGGTGGCATGTGCCTTTAGTCCCAGTCACTCAGGAGGCTGAGGCAGAAGAATCGCTTGAACCTGGGAGGCAGAGGTTGCAGTGAGCTGGGATCATGCCACTGCACTCCAGCCTGGGCAAAAGAGCGAGGCTTCATCTCAAAAAAAAGAAAAAAAGAAACAAGGCAAACCAGAAGACAGTGGAGCAATATTTTTAAAGCACTCAAAGAAAAAACAAAAAGACTGTCAACCTAGAATTCAATACCCAGCAAAAGACCTTTTAAAAATAAAGGTAAAATGTTTTTTTCCAGACATAAAAGCTGGAAGAATTCATCACTAGTAGACATGCACACAAGAAATGTTTTTTGTTGGCTGGGTGCGGTGGCTCATGCCAGTAATCCCAGCCCTTTGGGAGGAGGCCGAGGCAGGCAAATCACGAGGTCAGGAGTTCGAGACCAGCCTGATCAACATGGTGAAACCCTTTCTCTACTAAAAATATAAAAATTAGCTAGGCATGGTGGCGTGTGCCTGTAATCCCAGCTACTCAGGAGGCTGAGGCAGGAGAATCGCTTGAACCCAGGAGGTGGAGGTTGCAGTGAGCCAAGATCGCGCCACTGCACTCCAGCCTGGGTGACAGAGAGAGACTCCATCTCAAAAAGAAAAAAAAAATAGAAATGCTTTTTGTTTGTTTTATAAGAATAGAGACAGAGTTTTGCTTTGTTGCCTAGGCTGGTTTTGAACTCCTGGCTTCAAGAGATCCTCCCGCCTCAGCCCCACTAAGTGTTGGGATTACGGGTATGAGCCACTGCCCCTGGCCAAAAAAAGTTTTACAGTCAGAAGGAAAACAAAAGGAATCTGGATCTACACAAGGAATGAAGAGTACTGGAAAGGTAAATATGTAATCAAATAAAAACATCTTTTTTCTCTTGTTTTGAATTCTCTTTAAGAGATAATTGGTTTAAAACAAAAGTTATGAGTGTATTGTAGAGCTTATAACTTCTGTCGAAGCAAAATGTATGACAACAACAGCCCAAAGGTTGGAAAAGGGAAAATGGAAATATACTATTCTAAGATTCTTATACTGTATGTGAAGTAGTGTAATACTATTTAAAGAAAGACTATTAAAGATTAAAGATTCATATTATAAATCAAAAAACAATTACAAAATAAAGAAGTATAGACAGTAAGCCTACAAAGAAGATAAAACAGAATTTTAAAAATTCAATCCAAAAGAAGGCAGAAAAAGAGGAAAGGGAGGAAAAGGGAGATGAGACAAATAGAAAATGAATAATAAGATGGAGAATTTAAACCCAACCATATCAATAGTCACATTAAATTTAAATCTAAACATCCCAATTAAAAGGCAGATACTGTTAGGCAAGATTTAAGAAAGCAACACCCAACAATATGCTGCCTATAAGAAAATCACTTCTTTAAGAATAAAGACACGTATAAGTTAAATAAAGAATGGGGAAAATATGCCATGTTGATATTAATGGGAAGAAAGCTGGAATGGCTTCACTAGTATCAGGCACAAGTAGTTTTCAGAGCAAACAATATTACGAGGGATAAAGAGAGGGTCATTTTATAATGATTAAAGAGGTAAATTCATCAAAGGACATTACAAATCTAATGCTTTATGCACCTAAATTCTATATGTTAGACATTAGATTAGGTATTGAGAGAGAGATTAGTTTTTTTTTAAGTGAGCCAGGAGTTTTGCTTTCAGGACCTCTCTAGCCCTCTGCCCCATTTAGTCCCACTTGTCTCCTGGTTACTCCCCTCAAGCACTGAAGACATTAGTCTTTATTTCAGTCACATTCCTCCTTGCTACATGTCCTGGACTCTTGCTCACTGTACTTTCTGGCTCCTTGGCCAGGATCCTCATGCACTCCCAAGATCATTTCTTAAAATACAGTAAACTACCCAGAAATGTTCTGTCTCCAGAAATTCTAAGGTGAAACAACTCTTTGACTACAACCTCCTACACTTTCATTCTCATTGTTACTCCCACTACACCTATTAAACTTCATTAAATTCATTACGTTCAACTTCATTATTTAATGAATGAATTATTTAATGAAATATCCTGTTACTTTTTGTTTGTTTGTTTTGGGGTTGTTTGCTTGTTTTGTTTGTTTTTGAGGCAGGATCTCATTCTACCACCCAGGCTGGTGTGCTGTGGTGCAATCACAGCTCACTGCAGCCTTAACATCCCAGGCTCAGGCAATTCTCCCAGTTCAGCCTCCCAAGAACCACAGGTGTGTGCCACCACACCTGGCTAATTTTAAAAATTATCTGTAGAGACAGGGTCTCCCTATGTTGCCAAGGCTGGTCTTGAACTCGGGCTCAAGCAATCCTCTCACCTTGGCTTCCCAAAGTGCTGGGATTACAGGTGTGAGACACTGCACCCTGCCAAATATCCTGTTTCTTAAAACCTCTACTTTCACTATGAATCTCCTATCTTCTCTCTGCAGGTGAAAACTCCAAAGCTTAACATTCTAACCACTCTAGGGAGGGAGGATGGGAGGAAGAGAGCTGAGTGTGCACCAAGGAGCGGTAAGATGCCAGACCTGTGAGTGAAGAAGCATCTTGGAAGTGGACCCTATAGCTCCAGGCACCTGCTGACACATAGTCGGAGACAAACCACCCAGTCAAGTTCAACCCAAATTCCTGACCCAAAAAATCATAAGCAAAATAAAATATTTGTTTAAAGCCACTAATTTGTTATCCAGCAATAGAGAACACTTCTAATGGCTCTTTTCCATCAATATTTAAACCCTACCTTTCTGATTTAAAAAATATGTTTATATTCCCTCTACTTCACATACATCAAGCTGTATCTTTACTTCTGTTATATCTTTATTTCTCTTCACAGGCAAAACTTTTGATAAAAGCCATCTATTTGACTGTGTCCACTTTATCTCTCATTCAGATCTCATCCTATCCCCACCCCTTCATTTAACAGTCCTTGTCACTGTCACCAGTGACTTCATTGTTGCTAAAACTTTTCAGCTCCTATCTGAAAAGTCTGAGTGAGCAAGCACTCACTCAGACTTTGTAATGTTCTCTCTCTCCTTTTCCTTTTTTTCAGTTTTTAATTTAATTTAATTTTATTTTATTTTATTTTTGAGACAGAGTCTTGCTCTGTCACTGAGGCTGGAGTGCAGTGGCACAATCTTGGCTCACTCAACCTCCGCCTCCCGGGCTCAAGCGATTCTCATGCCTCAGCCTCCCGAGTAGCTAGAATTACAGGCATTCACCACCAGGCCCAGCTAATTTTTGTATTTTTAGTAGAGACAGGGTTTTGTCATGTTGGTCAGGCTAGTCTCGAACTCCTGGCCTCAAGTGATCCACCTGCCTCAGCCTCCCAAAGTGCTGGGATTACAGGCGGGAGCCATTGCACCTGGTCGGTCTCTCTATGATACCACTTCTCCTGATTTTCTTCTTATCTTCCTGGCTGTTCTATTTCAATCTCTTTTGTAGGCACAGGCTTCTCTTTTCTGTCCATCCTTTAAATGTTAGAGCTCCTTAGAATTCTATCTTTAGCCTCCTTCTCTTCTCATACTATATTCTCCCCTTAAGTGATCTTATCCCTTCTCCAAACTTCAGTTACTCAGCAAAGCATAAGGATTAATAGCTTTGGAGCCAGAAAGACCTGGGTTCAAATCACAGATCTTGCCATTTTGCTTGTGTGGTCTAGGGCAAGTTATTAAACTTTTCTAAGCATTCATTTCCTGATCTAGGGTAAACTACCTCATGGATTATGATGAAAATTAAATTTAAGAAGTGCTCACCAAAGTGCCTGGCACAAGATAAACTGTCAAAAAAGGGTGGCATTTTTTATGGTCCATAATCTTAGCCTAGATTTCTTTCCTAAGTTCCAGACACACATATCCAACTGCTACTTGACACCTCTATTGAAATGACCTATAATTACTTAAAACTCATCAAATGAAATTCATCTTCCCAAGCAAACCTCATTCAATCCTAGGTATCTTATTTTAATGAATGACACTACTATCCACTTAAGTTATACAAGCCAGAAACCTGCATGTCATCATAAGTTGACTCCTCTCTGTTCTTTACCCTTATGTAATTAACTGCTACATTTTATAATACAATGTCAGATATTGTTTTAAGTACTTTACATGAATTTAACATGAGATATGCACATATAGTAAAACAAAGTTTATAAATGACTAGTTAAGTATATAGATAATAAACAATTTAAGACTAAATGAGGGAAGAATGACTATAGACTAGGATGATCAGGAAAGGCAAAATGGACCTTAAAATCTGGTCAAGAAAAAGGCAGAGGAAAGCATTTCAAGACTCAGGGACAGGCAAAAACAAACATGGTTGTGTGAGTGAAAGACAAGTCTGAGTGGGGAAGAGAATACAGGCAAGGGTTCTCAAACTTTTTGGACTCAAAACCCTTTTATATTCTTAAAATTACTAAGGACCCCAAAAGCTTTTGTTTGTGTGGGTTAAATCTATTAATATTTACTTTGTTAGTAATTAAAACTTAATTTAGTTAAAATTTAATTAAAACAGAAATTTAAAAAATTACATCCTATACAATTCACCCATTTAATGTGTACAATTCAATAGTTTTTAGTATATTCACAGAGATGATAAAAGTGTTATAAAATTGACTACAATAATGAGTCAATTTTACAACATTTTCATTATCTCAAAAAGAAAAACCATACTCTCTAGCCATCATCCTCAAAACACCTAGTCCTCCCCACCAGCCTTAGAAAACCAATAATCTACTTCCTATCTCTACTGAATTGCCTCTTGTGGACATTTCATATAAATGAATTTATACAATATGTGGTTTTCTGTGACTGGCTTCTTTCAACATCATGTTTTCAAGGTGGTTATATATTCTTCCATTAGGAAGCATAAAGTAGCTAATAGCTTTTTTACATTAAAGGATGTTGAGGGCTCAAAAGAACTTGAGAAAATTTAAAAATATTTATCTTAATAAACCCATTATGTTAACATAAATAATTTTTAATGAAAAATAACCATATTCTACAAAACAAAAAAGATAGAACAATAGCACTGTTTTATGATCTTCTGAATGTCTTCACTATCTGGCATAACAGCAAAGAGCTGAATTTTCCTATCCGCTTCTACATTTACTTTGTTGCAATATGCTGTTTAGGTTGAAGTATACAAAGAAAAATCTGGCCTCATATGGAAAGAGGAGGAGTACTTTAATAACCTTTTCAGATAATTATGGTTACTGTTTTCTGACACTACGCCAAAACTCGACAAGTCATAGTTTCTTAAAGGTTAGTTGCAGGGCGGAACTGGAAACAATCTCAATGAACCGAAATAAATTTTTCGTATTTTAAGACTTTAAAATCCATTGGTTTATCTTGAACTTTTAATGAATATCTTACCCGTGAATGATTTTATAACGATGTATTTGGTCATTTGGAAATACTGGTTCACTGAATTATGTACTTCTTGTAAATGTTTACAAATCTCTCACATTCATTGATATCACCACCGATTTCATCAGAAAAGTATTTTATATATTAGGACTCTGTCAAGCTTTCAGTGGTGGATACAAGTTTCTAAAATTCTAATTTTTACTTGAAAACACAAAATTTATCATTGGCAACCTTTACTGTCAGTTGTTTTCTTTGAAATGACAGGCTCACTTTGTTCACTTTCAAGAATCTACCACATACCCAAGCATAAATAAACACAATTGCTTATCAGTCTTACAAGTAACACATGTGTTTCACGAAAAGAGTGACGGGTTCAGTTCACAACTCAACCAATAAAATAAGTATTTTTCCTCAAGACAGCTATCATACTTTGGTATGCAACTTTCTACATACTTCAGTTTCATCACATTGAATATTAAAAAGACATACTCAAGAGTGGAGATTAAAAAAAAAATACCATACAGGTCTGTAGTCTAGAAGCAACAGGCTATTCCTACCCTGATGTGTAGCAGGCTATACCACCTAGGTTTGTGTAAGCACACTCTATGATGTTCACACAATGACAAAGTTGCCTAAATGAAGTATTTCCTAGAATGTATCCCCATCATTTAGCAATGCCTAACCAAAGTTAACTTAAAGCTCCCATTCTAGTTTTTTTGTTTTTATTTTTTATTTTTTTGAGACAGAGTCTCGCTGTGTTGCCTCAGCCTCCCAAGTACCTAGGACCACAGGAACATGCCACCATGCCATCACACCTAGCTTTTTTTTTTTTTTTTTAAGAGATGGGGTCTTGCTTTGTTGCCCAGGCTGGTCTTGAACTTCTGGGCTCAAATGATCCTCCCACCTCAGCCTCCCAAAATGCTGGGATTAGGTGTGCACCACACACCTGGCCTAAAGCTCCTATTCTATAAACCAGCATTTGGTTTCTTTGACCTTCTTTCTATGCTGGATAATTTTAGAACTGTATCCTGAACATCATAAATGTTACATTGTGAAGATCCTAAATTCTGTTATTTTTCTAAAATGAGAATGGTTTTGTTGTAAGAAGCAATTATCTTTGCTTAACTTGAACTGTTCTGTTTATTGGGCAGCAACTCCAGTTTCAGTTCAGATCTTTTGCCCTTCATTTGGCTGCTCTGAGTCTGTGACACACAGGAATTATTCAGATTTCAGACAGAATCTGGGTACCCTTTCTTGGCTCTTTCCCTTGCAGGATTCTTCCACTCTCTTCAGTGGCCAAGGTTTCCCTAGCTTCAATTTTCCAGTTTTCCTGGTGAAGAGACCCATAGTTTTCCCACTGACATCCCTGCCCTACCTTACTGTCCTTCCCTATACCTACTGCACTTAGCCCTAGACTAAAAGCCTTCTCCTCAGGCTCCCAGCTCCCCTCTTCTCTTTCTCAACTAGCATCTGTTCTTCCTGTCCAGTAATTTCAGTCAGTTACTTTTTGTATTCCAAACAGGTAGTATAGTGGTCTTTTTTGCAGAAAGCCATATGGTAGGGTCTTCTTCCAACATTACCAGATGAATATGTCCTCCACAGGAGGTTTTTTACCTGAGGAATTAGCATGATGAGATTTACATTATGAGCAGATTTCTCTGGCTGCTGTGAGAGAAATGGTCTCAAGGTAGCAAATGAGAGATCAATAGGAAGAGTCCAGAATAGTCCAGGAAAGACAGATCATATAGGGAATAAAGCATCTGACATACTTTGATTTATAAACATTTATTGAAAAAATATGATAAATTCTGAAAATACTGAAACTAAGGCATCCAAATTTCATTTCATCACCTGCTGGCATTATAAACCTCTTAACAGATTTAATAGGGCCAAACTCTTGGAAGTCATTTCATCTAACCCTTAGGTATGATGCATTCGATAGCACCTGTAATCCCCCAACTTTTCAGAGAATGAGATTTCACTAGGTTTCTCAACAGACTTTTCCAGTATCTTACACTCATATATTGCCCATTAATCTCTCTGGGATGAAAAGAAACAGAAGTGGGCTTTTTCCTTATGGATTTATTTTATCTCAAGGCTGTCAAGCAAAAATGCTGAACCCAGTTCCCCACACAACCATTAAAAATAAGATGATGTTCTTTCTTTCATTAAATTATTGGCAGGAGAGAAGTAAGCAGCACCTCATTTGAAATTTCCCTCAGTCAACAACTCTGTGTGAATATGTTCCTATCAATCTACAGTTTTAACGAGAATTTTTTATTATGACACAGAATCAAAAGACTATGAAAGCTTGCTCTGGGCCTTTATCTGGGTGTTGTTTACACGGATGTGTTCAATTTGTGACAAATTCACCAAACTGTCACTTGAGATATATACTTTTCTTAATATGTGTTATATTTCAAATTTTAAAAAAAAGTCTGTGAAAACGCAAATGTATCTATGCCATATCCCTTCTCTATAATGTCAATTATTCTCACAGGAAAAATACACAGTATCCTGTTTGTGTGGCATAACTTATCTTCACAAAGTTATCCACTACCACTCAAGGTTTTTATGATTAAAAATGTAATATAAGACTCAAACACTAAAAATATATGACTAAATAAAAGTCCTCTATAGTTTCATCTGCCAGAGATACTACATTTAATATTTAAATTCAGAGGCTTATGACTTCCACGTCTCCTATTGTAAATCAATCATACTCTTTTCCAGATTTGGGGCTTGTCACTTTTTCTCCAAAAATTCTCAAAAATAAAGGAATATTGTTTAGAAGCCCTAAATAACTGAGCTAAACAGGCTTGAGTACAAACAATTTTTAAACAGTAAATTTCTATTACATCCTCCACAATTTTCCAAGCCTTTATCTTTTTTGTATCTTCACAGTATCTCTCTCAATTCAAGGCATATGGCGTATGTTCAATAAATATGTGTTGATAGAAATAAAATTAATTCTCTAAAAGAAATAACAATAGTCACTTTCAGATGATACAGGAATATCTCAATATCAATTTCTGGGAGGAGAGGACACATAAGCCTTTAAAAAGTACTCTATGTGCTTATTTTATTTACTTATCTATTTATTTTTACTTTCACTTAATTACCCAGATTCAGAAAGTTTTCTTCTAAGTACTCCTTATCAAGTGTAAATTCATTCCATAAGTAGTTATGAAATTCAATAATAGGAGTGTAACATTCTTCTATCAATTTCCCATGTTTCTCTCCTCTATTCACTCTGTCTATATGGCAATACAAGAAAACACTAAGAAATAAATTATCGCTTAGTCATTAAAAATTCAAAACGTAAGGAAATTAAAACTAAGGTTACATGTGCAAATTAGGATTATGGCATACCTAAAGTCTTAATTTTTTAATTACCACTTCTATATACTGATACAAATTAAAAGATATATACTTAGCATGCAACACAGTTTCAAAAGAAACCATTAATTTACAAAACTGATGATTCACAAAGTATTATCCAACTATGTTGATTTGAAGAGCATAACCTCAAGTTGCCACTTTTATTAAAACAAAAGCCTTATCAATAGTTATAATGCTATAAAGAGAATCCTAGACAATATAATTTGTGCCCCTATATTGATTGAACCAATACCTATAATTGAACAATAGTATACATTTTTATACTTTAATAATGGGAAAAAATGAATCCTACTATATTTAACAAGAAAAAAATGCACTTTTTAATAATCTAAATAGCATAATCTCACAATTTAAGAGCAGACATTTGCATTTTCAAATATATAACAACTGTACTTTAAATAAATTATCTAAATACTTTAAAGAATTCTGTTTTGGTTTAGAACAGGGCCCTCAGAAATAATACCACACATCTACAACCATCTGATCTTTGACAAACCTGACAAAAACAAGAAATGGAGAAAGGATTCCCTATTTAATAAATGGTGCTGGGAAAACTGGCCAGCCATATGTAGAAAGCTGAAACTGGATCCCTTCCTTACACCTTGTACAAAAATTAATTCAAGATGGATTAAAGACTTAAATGTTAGACCTAAAACCATAAAAACCCTAGAAGAAAACCTAGGCAATACCATTCAGGACATCGGCATGGGCAAGGACTTCATGACTAAAACACCAAAAGCAATAGCAACAAAAGCCAAAATTGACAAATGGGATCTAATTAAACTAAAGAGCTTCTGCACAGCAAAAGAAACTACGATCAGAGTGAACAGGCAACCTACAGAATGGGAGAAAACTTTTACAATCTACCCATCTGACAAAGGGCTAATATCCAGAATCTACAAAGAACTCAAACAAATTTACAAGAAAAAATCAACCCCATCAAAAAGTGGGTGAAAGATATGAACAGACACTTCTCAAAAGAAGACATTTATGCAGCCAAAAGACACATGAAAAAATGCTCATCATCACTGGCCATCAGAGAAATGCAAATCAAAACCACAATGAAATACCATCTCACACCAGTTAGAATGGCGATCATTAAAAAGTCAGGAAACAACAGATGCTGGAGAGGATGTGAAGAAATAGGAACACTTTTACACTGTTGGTGGGACTGTAAACTAGTTCAACAGTGTGGCGATTCCTCAAGGATCTAAAACCAAAAATAGCATTTGACCCAGCCATCTCATTACTGGGTATATACCCAAAGGATTATAAATCATGCTGCTATAAAGACACATGCACACGTATGTTTATTGTGGCACTATTCACAATAGCAAAGACTTGGAAGCAACCCAAATGTCCAACAATAATAGACTGGAGTAAGAAAATGTGGCACATATATACCATGGAATATGTGGCACATATATACTATGCAGCCATAAAAAAGGATGAGTTCATGTCCTTTGTAGGGACATGGATGAAGCTGGAAACCATCATTCTGAGCAAACTATTGCCAAGACAGAAAACCAAACACTGCATGTTCTCACTCATAGGTGGGAAATGAACAATGAGAACACGTGGACACAGGGTGGGGAACATCACACACTGGGGCCTGTCATGGGGTAGGGAGAGGAGGGAGGGATAGCATTAGGAGATATATCTAATGTAAATGACAAGTTAATGGGTGCAGCACACCAATATGGCACATGTATACATATGTAACAAACCTGCACGTTGTGCACATGTACCCTAGAACTTAAAGTATAAAAAAAAAATCCGTTTTGTTTTAAAGTGGCATGTTTTAAGAAAAGCTATTCTTAAATAAATCACTGTGCTGTATTAGATGGTTTAGGGTGCTCGATTAAAGCTCCATTCTAATATTCCACTTGATCCTTGGGCTATAGACTGAAATAACATTATTCATTAAATTCCCTATATGTTCTTGAGGTAGATGTTAAGAAACACCTCTCACTAACAATAATTTGTTAGCCATATGCACATGAATGAATTTCTTCAATTATTTAGCTACTTACTGAGAGCCATGCAAGGGATTCCATGATTCGATGTTCACATCGTTCTAAATGTTTTATCATTTCTCTTGTCAAGTTGCCTTCTGCTTTGATAAAACTTTCGATCACTTTGTAAAAATCAAAGGCTTTTAAATTAAGCACATTCAGAATCCATGGGAAAGACAAATCTGTTCCAGAATCAAGATTCTGAGATGTACTTCCTAAAAATGAAAAAAAAAAGTAACTATTTATGAAATATTAACCCTTGAGCTAGGTATTTTTTTGGAAGTTATTATCAGACAAAGAAAACAGTAGAAAGGTTAAACCATTTTTATTTAGAGCAGAATTTTTTATTTTGGAGTCTACGGACTCATAGGAAATAGCCTTCCAATTTTGAGTGTAAGCAAATCTGTGTTTTTCCTAGAGAAAGGACTTATAGCTGATCTCAAATTTTCAAAGATTTAAATACCCTAAACTTATATCAGGAACAGGTTTAGTATCTTATCAGCCATTGGCATATCTATTTTAATTCTCATTAATCCTTGGTAAGAGGATAGACAGATTCTTCAAGATTCTGCTAATTTCATTAGTTACAAAATGGTATCTCATTAAAATATGCATTTCTTGGTTATAAATGAGGATTCACAGTTTTCCTTATCTGTTTACTAATAAGGAAACTAAAAGTTCCTCTTTTTCTGTGTTTTGCATCCTTATACAAATGTTCCTTTTGTTTCTGCAAGCAAAACTTTCTTTTAACATTTGCAACATAATTTGCAAAGTGATATACATTTATGTTTTTAAAAACATTGTAATTGGCCTTTGTTCTGTTTATCCAGTGGATTCTAGCTTCAATCTTTAGTTTCATAACCATGGAGGTTACAGCAGTGCTTCCATATCAGTAGAGGCCACTCTTGAATACTCCTTTGGCACTCTACAATCTCAAAGGTCTTCGGAGGGATTTCAAAAAGTACCTTTTTTGGATTCAGTATACCAGTATACTCAGAAGAGAAGCCTAGTGAAATATTATCCCCAAGATGGCCTCAAATAACTCAAATAAGCCTCTTAAATGGCTTATAATGACCAATTACATTCTTCAGTATATAGTGATCTAAAATAAGCATTCCTTCTCCTTAACCTCACACTATCCCTCTCCCCCGACCAAAGAAACACACCACATTTTAACTTTAAATTGAACAAAAGTGTTTATTTATGAAAATTTAACTTACTGCTATATGTGGCCATTACAACCTCAAGAGCGCACGCCAATAAAGACATATGAAAAATGTTGTCATTCAGAAGTTTGCTAAAGGAAAAAAAAAAAGATTATAAAATACTTACTTCTATAAAAAGAAAAAAATTTTTTACTAAAAGTAAAAAATTTACCTAAAATTTTGAATGGATAATCGTTCTTCTTCCTGAAACAGATAATTTAAAAAAAAAAAAAGAAGTTGTTTAATTGAAACCTTATTTGTGTCAGCATTGAATTTTTTTTTTTTTTTTTTTTTTTTTTAGATGGTGTCTTGCTCTGTTGCCAGGCTGGGGTGAAATGGCACAATCTTGGCTCACTGCAACCTCCACCTCCCTGGTTCAAGGGATTCTCCTGCCTCAGCCTGCCAAGTAGCTGGGACTACAGGTCTACACCACCACGCCCAGCTAATTTTTGTACTTTTAGTAGAGACAGGGTTTCACCATTTTGGCCAGGATGATCTTGATGCCTTGACCTCCTGATCTGCCCACCTCGGCCTCCCAAAGTGCTGGGATTGCAGGCGTGAGCCACCGCGCCCGGCTGAAATTTTTTTATATTGTTTTTAACTTACTGATTTAAGCATGGATTCCATTACTCGGTAATACAAGCGAACTCCAAGTTTGTATCGCTACAAACAAACAAAAAGAAAAATAAGAGCCTGCTATTTTAGAAAATCACAATTATGAAATTTTTTTTTTTTTTGAGATGGAGTCTCACTGTTTTGCCCAGGCTGGCCTTCACACTCCTGGGCTCAAGAGATCCTCCTGCTTTGGCCTCCCAAGAGGCTGGGATTATAGGCATGTACCACTATACCCAGCTGACAATTACTAAAATTTTTTAAAAAGCCTTTTCTTAAAACATACTTCTCACCCTTCTTACAAATATGGCCGCCAAGACAACACAAAAGCTAGCTTGTCTAAAACTCACAACTTAAGTATTAAGTGGTGATTAACATTCCCAAGTAAATTAACAAGAGGGTAGGTCCAGTACCTGGATTTCCTTAACTCCATTTCAGTTTATATCATTCATACTAAAGATAGGTTATGTGCCCAGTACTATTTTAAGCACTTTATGTACCTTATATAACATTTCTCATGACCTAGGACATGTATTTTCAAGATAGCTGTCCAGGATTAAGAGGACAGTCTTTGTCCATAAATTTAGTAAAACTGACACAGGCAAAAATCAGATCAAACTGACCTTATGAGCAAGAAGTTTTAGCCAAATAACTAGTTCCCATTATTTGAAAGAATAACCAAATTTTAGAAATATAAACACACACCATATTATTTCCTTCCAAACTAAGAGCAAAAATCTCATATATAATCATGCACCGCATAACAACGTTTTTGGTCAATAACTGACTGCATATCTAACAGTAGTCCCATAAGATTATAATGGAGCTGAAAAATTCCTATTGTTTAGTGTAATGTAGTGCAATGCATTACATTACTCACATCTTTGTGATGATGCTGATGTAAATAAACCTATTGCACTGCCAGTCATATAAAAGTATAGTACATACAATTATGTACAGTACATAATACTTAATAATGAACATGTTACTGGTTTATGTATTTATTATACTATACTTTTTATTAGTTTAGAGCATCCTCCTTCTACTTGTAAAAAAAAAAAAAAGTTAAATGTAAAACACCCTCAGGCAGCTCCTTCAGGAGATATTCCAGAAGATAGCATCATCATCATAGGAGTTGACAGCTCTATGCATTTTATTGTCCCTGAAGACTTGGGACAGAATTTGGAGGCAGAAGACAGTGGTATTGTTAATCCTGATCCTGTGTAGGCCTAGGCTAATGTGTGTGTTTGCCTTTGTTTTTGGCAAAAATCTTTATGAAATTGAAAAAATTTTTAAATAGAAAAAAGTGTACAGAATAAGGATTATAAAGAAAGAAAATATTTTTGTACAGCTGTATAAGGTGTTTGTGTTTTAAGCTAAGTGTTATAAGAGTCAAAAGTTTCTTACAAACTGAAGATTTATAAAGTAAAAAAGTTACAGTGAGCTATGGTTAATTTACTACTGAAGAAAGAAAAAATGTTTATGAAATTAGTTTAGCCTAAGTGTAGTATTTATAAAGTCTACGATAGTGTACAGTCATGTCATAGGTAATATTGTAGGCCTTCACATTCACTTGCCACTCGACTCACTGACTCATTCAGAGCAACTTTCAATCCTGTAAGCTCCTTTCATAGTAAGTGCTCTGTGCAAATGTTCCATTTTTTATCTTTTGTACTATATCTTTACCTTTTCTATGTTTGGATATATTTAGATACACAAATGGTAACACATTATGTTACCATTACCTACAGTATTCAGTACACATGCTGTAGAGGCCTGTAGCCTAGGAATGAATAGGCTATATCATACAGCTTAGATGTACAATCGGCTATACCATCTAGGTTTGTACAGACACACTCTACCAGGTTCACACAACAAAATTGCCTAATGATGCATTTGTCAGAACATATCCCTGTTAAGTGGTGCATGGCTGTAGAATCAAAAAGAACCATTAAATATCAATGTTTAAAACACTGATGGCATCAAAATATAACCTCACTACACTGAAATAAATGTGTACAGTGGACTCCAGTTTTCCAATATATTTTTGTATATTATCCTCATTAATGCCACACAACAAAGCAGAGCAAATATAGAACCTGAATCTCAGAGAAGTTAAATGACATGTCCAAGATCAACAATGGTAGAACCAAATATAAACCCAGGGCTGTCACTCCATGGCCCATACTCTTACCTATTATATTAGCTTTAGATTTCCTGAAATAATATCACTCAATAATATCACTGACAAATGGCATGTATAGTCCCATTCACATTAGGATATGCATACATGAACAGTCATACATGTAGAAGTCAAAGCAAAATCAAAAATTTAATATCAAAGATTTCAATTTTTTTCTTAGTTGTATTTTCCAAAATTTCTACAATGGCTATGTGTTCCTTTATTACATAGTTTTTATAATGGGGTGGGAGGTAGTTTTCCATAAAGTTACCCATAAATAGCAGCATACACAGGCAGCAGGGATATAGTATCTGACAGTATTTTATACTACTAGACAAATACTGTTAGAGTATTTATACGAACTGGAAAGATGCTGCTTTTAATATTATTACTCTATAGTACCACGAATTACAATGAATTCAAGTTACCTGTGATCCAATTTCGACACAACCCTGTCCCACAGCTTTAGCAAATTTCTCTTTAAAGATGTATCCTATATCCTTCACTCTTTTCAGTATACTTTCTTTTGGATTCACTGTGCAGTTCTTTAGGAGGTAAAAACAGAAATCAATGTCGAGGATACTGTGTAATCAGAATTAATATTTTCTGCTCCATAATATATGACTTTTTAAATTGTTCATAAAAATGTGGAAACACTTCCATAATAACTAGGTAACCACAACTACTGAACATAAGCAGACAATATCATTTCACTGGATGTTAATGAGCAAAAAATACTACAGTACAACTAAAAAACCCTATTATCTAAATTTTCTGCCACTAGGCTAGAGAAGAGCAAATTTGTTAAGCTTTCCATCCATCAGAAAGAGCCTCATACATTCTCATAAAATACCTTCAATTAAGAGTTATATTGGGATGTATGTTGCTTCCGAAAAAGCAAATGAAATAAAACCAAGGCTTGAGCTTGGTATCATTTACTAATTTTTTTTTTTTTTTTTTTTTGAGATGAAGTGTCACTCTGTCGCCCAGGCTGGAGTGCAGTGGCGCAATCTCGGCTTACTGCAACCTCCGCCTCCCAAGTTCAAGTGATTCTCCTGCCTCAGCATCCCAAGTAGCTGGGATTATAGGCAAGCGCACCACGCCTCACTAATTTTTGTCTCTTTAGTAGAGATGGGGTTTTGCCATGTTGACCAGCCTGGTCTCGAACTCCTGATTTCAGGTGATCCAACCACCTTGGCCTCCCAAAGTGCTGGGATTACAGGTGTGAGCCACCATGCCCGGACCATTTCCTAATTTTAAAACGTGCTTTGAAAGAGTTATGAATTAGCTAAATCATTTGATTACATTTTCAGAAATACAAGATAGGGAAATTGTTGCAAAAGAAGTTCCAATACATGTATCATTTGGAGTGGGGCTATTCAACTTTAATAATTAAAACACATCACAAGATGATGTATTAAAATGCATATTATATAATATTATATAATTCATATTATGATATATAAAAAGTAATCACAGCATGATTCTCATCAGCTACAAAGATTTATTCTATTTTTTATCCTTTATACATAAAACACATTCAATATATACATTCAAAAATAAAGTTTCTAAAATTAAGATTATGGCCAGGCACAGTGGCTCATGACTGTAATCCCGGCACTTTGGAAAACTGAAGTGAGCAGATCACCTGAGGTCTGGAGTTTGAGACCAGCCTGGGAAACATTGTGAAACACCATCTCCACAAAAATTACAATAATTAGCTGGACATGGTAGCAGGCTTCTGCAATCCCAGCTACTTGGGAGGCTGAGTCACAAGAATCGCTTGAACCCAGGAGATGGAGGTTGTAGTGAGCCAATTATCATGCCATTTCACTCCAGCCTAGGCAACAGAGTGAAACTCTGTCTCAAAAATATATATATATATAAATAAAAATAAGATTATAATTTTCATTGTAATGTGCATTGTCTGGCGACATTTTCACATTCTAGAATATCAGCAATTCTATATTCCTAAAAAAAAAAAACAGCACACAAACTTAGAAACATATAACAAACAAGCATTTCCTGTCATAAAAGAATTGTTGCCAAAATGTCCATTAAAATGTTCATAGCTTCTAAGATTTTACATGGAGGGAAGGTGGCATTAATTTTAAAAATGAAGAAATTTGAACTAATAAGGAAGTAAAATGAAGGAAAAACATAATGACCTTCAAGACATGTTCACTTTGACATATGCAACTTATCATCTACATAATTAAGCTTTTAAGCTTCATTAAAAGTTAAGCTTTAAATTGAGCTCTAGAAAATGTCTTTCACATGCACTCATATGTTCACTGGTATGCTATTCACAATAGCAAAGACATGGAATCAACCTAGGTGCCCTTCAGTGGTGGATTGGATAAAGAAAATGTGGTACTTATACACTATGGAGTACTATACAGTCATAAAAAAAGAATGAAATTATGCCCTTTGCAGCCACATGGATGTAGCTGGAGGTCATTATCCTAAACAAATTAATACAGAAAAAGAAAACCAAATACTGCATGTTCTCACTAATGAGTGGGAGCTAAATATCAGGTACTCATGGACATAAAGATGGCAGCAATAGACACTGGAGACTACTAGAGGGAGGAGGGAAGGAAGAGAGCGAGGGTTGAAAAACTGTATAAAAACATAAAAAAAGATCATATAGTTTCCAAGTTTAAAAAAAAGTCTTTGAGGCAGAATTTTTTAAATAAAAAAGAACTCCTACATACTCCAAATATTGGAGGAAGTATTCAAAATGATATGAGAAGAAAGGGCTTATCATTCTTTTAAATTCTTTCATTAGCCCTTGCTAAAAGGTTTAGGTAATTGGGGTACATATGTTTTGGCATATATTCTTGTGCTATAGATAACTCATAAACAAAAGCGACTTTATGCATATTGGACAAACAAAATCAATTCTGAGCCAAAACAATTACGAACATGATGACAGAAATTACTTTGCTAATTCCTGGGGGAACATAGCAAGAGATGACAACAGATTATGACAAAATCACAGGCAGGTTATGGCAATGAATGAATTGTTAACAAGTACAAAAAGCACAGTTGCTGAAATAAGCCAAATTTTAATAAGTCTCCTGACCCTATGTCCAATTTTAGTGGATGAGCATTTCAGTGGGTCCCAATCCTCATCTGAGTTTAAGTAAGGAGTGAAGGAGCAAGCAAGCAATATAGATGATAGTTTCATTCTCTCTCTTTCTTTCTCCTTGTCTTTAGGGGAGAGAGGGTATCAGATGCCTTCAGATATTAAACTTATTGTCTATCAGGAGTTGCAAACTATAATGCTAACAGGGCCAGGTAAGAATTGTAAATAAAAATGGGTTAAATATTGGATGAAAAAGATTGTAGGGGTATGGGGAATGTTAAGTCCTATCTAATACTACATTCAAAGAAAAGATCTTAAAAGTAGCCAGAGAGAAAAAGACAGATTAACTACAAAGGAACAACAGTTAGATTGAGTGGCATAAGACTTCTTAATTAGCAAAAATGGGATCCAGGTAATGTATTATCTTCAAACTTATAAGAGTCTAAAAAGTAAATGTCAACCTGGAATTGAAGATCGAGCAAAGCTATCTCACAAAAAAATAAGGGTAAAGAAAATTTCAGATCAAAAAACAAAATAAAACCTCAAAAAGTTCATCCCAAATTAATACCACTAAAGTAATTATCAAAGGATATATCTGAAGAAGAAAAAAATTATCTCAGAAGTGAGGCATAAGTTGCAAGGAAGAATGGTGAGCAAGGCAAATAGGTAAACATAAAAATGTTTTAAATAACACTGTATAAATAAAACAATACTACTAATAATATATAATTTGTAAGATTAAAAAAGCAAGAAAAGATTATGGATAACTACATGTTAGATAGGAGATTAGTATTTTAAAAAGAACTCAGTACTTTAACTTTTAATTTCAAGTTTCTTTGCCAAGATATTACAATAAATAATGTTTCATATATGGCTTACGTTAAAATAGGAAATCAGATTTTCTGAAGGTTGATCACTTGCTGAATTTAAAATCATCATTAATTGTTGGATAGTGTTCATAACAGTCCTAGAGGGGATAAAAATAGGAAAATGTGTTAAGCAATGAAGGGAGAAAAAAAGAAAAAATGAAATGTTTTCCATCTCCCAAGTTAAATGTATCTTCAAATACACTGCCTCCCACTTGTCTCTACATTCCCTCAAATAAGACTGTGGTTTATAAGAAATTACATTTTACTTAAATCTTTAAGAAAATATGTATTCACAATCAATAAGTTTATAGTTATAGAACAGATATACTTATTTACTAATAAAACTACATATCAATAAAATAGTGGCATTATTTTTAGGAGAAACTATATAAACTGGCAACAAAATGGTATTGTTTTAAGAAAACATTATTACAACCAAATATTAAACATTTTCAAATTAAAGACAATAAGATACTTAGCAACTCAAGTAAAGAATCAGATGATTTTTCTTTACAGAGACCTTCAAGAAGAAAGGATACTAAGATCCTGGATACATTTAAAAATCACCACTTTCACAGCATAAAATTAGGTCAATCTCTTAAGATCTTGTTAATTCTATAATTTTATGTGTGTGTATTATGAAGGGGGCAGTATATGGTAAATATCAATGTTACAATTTTGGAGTAGCTGAACATTTGGGACACTTTAATTATGCAAAGAACTGTAGAATGTTTAGGGCTGAAAAGATCCTCAACTATTATTTAGTAAAATATGCTCAGTGTTCTCAGCTAAGCATGTCTAAACCAGTATTTACACTTCCTCATCTTTCTTTTCTTTTTCTTTTTTTTTTTTGAGAAGGAGCCTTGCTCTGTCGCCCAGGCTGGAGTGCAGTGGCGCAATCTTGGCTCACTGCAACCTCCACTTCCCGGGTTCAAGTGATTCTCCTGCCTCAGCCTCCTGATTATCTGGGATTACAGGTGCCCAGCTGGGCTAATTTTTGTATTTTTAGTAGAGACGGGGTTTTGCCATGTTGCCCAGGCTGGTTTCGAACTCCTGTCCTCAGGTGATCCGCCCACCTTGGCCTCCCAAAGTGGGATTACAGGCGTGAGCCACCACACCCAGCCTCGTCTTTCAAATATATTGCAACACAGCTTCTATATGCTTCTGTGTCCACTAATCATATTTAAGCTACAGTGATTAAAGCCACAAATGACCAACTGATAAAAACAAAAGACTTTTCTCATTTGTTCTAATACTTGACCTTCCTTGAAGCATTTGACACTGTTAGAGAAATACTTGCTCTTAATGAAACTCCCTCCCTCCCTCAGCTTTCTTCGCTTCAATCTCTGCACTCCCCAATCATACTTTCCCATTCTCTAGAACAGCAGTCCCCAACCTTTTTGGCAACAGGGACTGGTTTCATGGAAGACAATTTTTCCATGGACCATGGAGAGTAGGGGGAATGGTTTTGAACTGTTCTACCTCAAATCATCAGCCATTAAATTCTCATAAGGAGCATACAATCTAGATCCCTCACATGCGCAGTTCACAATAAGGTTCATGCACCTATGAGAATCTAATTCCACTGCTGATCTGACAGGAGGTAGATCTCAGGCAGTAATGCTCACTTGCCTGTCTACCACTCACCTCCTGCTGTATCACCCAGTTCGTAATGGGACACAGACCAGTCTCTGGCCCGGGAATTGGGGACCCCTGCTCTAGAACCTAACAATTTCTGTCTAGTCCTTAATGCTAGCATCCTTTAGGCTTCAGCCCTTAGCCACCCACTCTTGCCATTATGCACCCT
This sequence comes from Homo sapiens, assembly GCF_000001405.40. NCBI lineage: Eukaryota > Metazoa > Chordata > Mammalia > Primates > Hominidae > Homo > Homo sapiens. The sequence goes on along the minus strand of NC_000013.11, from coordinate 48,371,695 downwards.
CCCTTCAAGCAATCTCATTTTTTTTTATGGGTTTAACTCCCCTGATGATTCCCAAATCTATAGAAGGCTATCCTACTGCTTACTAGATATCTTCTTCAGAAATGCCTCAAGAACAACATTCTAAGTATGAATTCATCAAATATTTATCAAATCTGTTATTGTTCCTTCATTCCCACCACTATCGTTGGTTCAGATCTTTAAAAACTCTCAAGTAAACTGCTACAACAGACAAGCCCAGAGATTTTTATACACTATGTCTGTGGTAGTAAGGCCTAGGCATATTCCTCAGTGGAATGGGACACAAAATTTTTAAAAAGAAAAAACAAAACAAAATTCCTCAGGTTATTCTAATTTGCACACATGGTTAAGAACCACTGAGACAGACTGACAGGTCTATTTCTCACTTTTTCTTATTCTCCTCAGTCTATCCCCCCACTGACTATTACCATGTGAACTTGCAAAAATTATGTCTGATTTTATCCTTACCCCTGCTTAACATCCATTTATAGCACAGGCTATATCATGCACATGCTACACTCCAAATTTGTGAGTATGGCATATAAGGCCCTTCATATCTAGTACCCACTCTCCTCTCCTGTGACTTCCTACTCTCATTTTATAGTCAATCAATACAGAGCTGCTAATAGTTCCCCAGACACATTGTGTTGTGTGATATTGTGAAATAGATGTTTGGTCTTTGACCCCATATCCTGACATACAACTCGTAAAATACTTAGAAACTCCAGTGATGTCCTTTTGTGTGCTAATGAATTGACATGGCTGGCAGCCCCTAGGAAGCATCTGGATGGGGGCTGGTCACTAGAAAGCCCGAGGCAGAGTTAGAGGGTTGGAACCTTCAGCCCCAGCCCCCAACCTCTAGGAAGGGGAGGGAAGCTGAAGGTTAGGTTGATAATCAATAGCCAATGATCTAATCTGTCATGCCTATGCAATGAGGCCTCCATAAAAACCCAAAAGGGCAGGGTTCAGAGAACTTCCGGATAGCTGAACATGTGGAGGCTCCTGGACAGCTGTCTGGCCAGGGAGGGCATAGAAGCTTCCCATCCCATCCCCCATACCTCATCCTATGCATCTTTACATCTGCATCCTTTGTAATATCATCTATAATAAACCAGTAAACAGAAGTGTTTCCTTGAGTTTTGTGAACTACTCTAGCAAATTAATCGAACCTAAGAGGTGTCATGGGAACCCCAACTTGAAGCCCTTTGGTCAGAAGATCCAAAAACCCAGACTTGCAACTGGCATCTGAAGTTGGGGCCAGTTTTGGGGACTGAGCCCTCAACCTGTGGGATCTGACACTATCTCCAGGTAAGCAGTGTCAGAAGTAAATTAGAGGACACCCAGCTGGTGACTGCTGCAGAACTGATTGCTTGTTTCTTGGTGAGGAAAACTTTCCCACATTTGGTCACAAAAGTCTTCTGTGTTGATTGTTGTCGGTGGTGTGACAGCAGGGTTTTCTCCACTTACATGTTTCACAATTCCAGCCCTTTGAACATGCTGTTCCCACTCCCTAAAATCTTTATCCTGTGACACAGGCCTTTGCATGTTTCAAAATTCAGTTCAGACATTGCTTTATAGTCCCTTCTGTGTCATCTCATTATCTTGTCCAAAGTATATACTATACTTATATGAAAATGTATCCATTTACATATCTATACAGTCATTTGAAATATATTACTGATTGCCTACTATGTACCAAGTTTTATAACAGGCCCTAATTATTAGACAGTGAACAAAAAGGTTATGGTCTCTGTGATATGGAATTTTAAGGCTATTTTGGGTATTAGTAAAAGCAAGCAAACACAAATGAATCTATCAATATAAATTGGGATACATGCTATAAAGGAATGGAACAGGATGATATGAGAAATAATAAAATACTTCAGAGAGAAATATCTTTTCAAAAGCAATATTTGTGCTGAATGAAGAGTAGCAGTTGGTAATCCATGGAAAGAAAAGGAGGAAATTTCAAGAAGAGGGAATATCAAGTACGAGGGTTTTCAAAAAACTTGGAAAGCCCAAGAAACAGAGAAGGCCAAAGTGTGGCTAACACAGAGTGAGAAAGAAAACAAGATGAGGTTGGAGAGGCAACAGAAACCAGACCATATAAGATCTTTTAGGCATTGTTAAGGAATTTGCACTGTATACCAATTGCAATGGGAAGCAGTCAGTGGGTTTAACAGCAAGGTGAATGTAACTGATTTACATTTCTAGGAGAAATTCTGGGGGCTCTATGGAGAATATCTTTGATGGTGAGGAGACAGGAACAATGATGAGACCAGAAGGAGCAAGATCAGGTAGTAGGCTACTGCAAAAAATCCAAGAGAAAGAGAACAATGTCTTGGACAAGAGTTGTGAGAGCAGAAATGGAGAAAAGTAGATGCACTCAGGAAATATTTTGGAGGTAGATTATTCAACAAGCCTTGATAACAGATTTTGATGTGGGAAATGAGTGAGGAAAAAGACATAAAAAATAGTTCTAATCCTTTAAGGTTGCATGCAGATCAAATAGTGATACTTTAATTTTTTCTTTTTTATTTACTGAAATGGAACACATTCCTATTTTAGGTTATGTTCTTTAAGAACAGACAAAACTAGGTCCAATAACCATATCTTCAGCAACCAGTAAAATGCCCAGCACACAAAGATTATATATACACATTTTTTTTTTGAGACGGAGTTTCGCTCTTGTCACCCAGGCTGAAGTGCAATGGCACGATCTCAGCTCTCTGCAACCTCCGCCTCCCGGGTTCAAGCAATTCTCCTGCCTCAGCCTCCCGAGCAGCTGGGATTACAGGCACACACCACCACCCCCAGCTAATTTTTGTATTTCTAGTAGAGACGGGGTTTCACCATGTTGGCCAGGCCGGTCTCAAACTCCTAACCTCAGGTGATCTGCCCGCCTTGGCCTCCCAAAGTGCTGGGATTACAGGTGTGATCCACCACACCTGGCCTTCAATATATATTTCTTACATGTATGTATGAATACATAAAGAAACGTGAACAAATCTGAAACACTATAAAGCCATGAATAACAAAATTATAATATAATTAAAAGTAGGAAAATTCATACCTAACTGGAGTGTGTGGAGGAATTACATTCACCTCTTCATCAAGGTTACTTTTTCGTGGTGTTCTCTGTGTTTCAAAACTAAATAACAATAAGTGAAGTCATTCACATACTGAAAATTTACAATTTGTGCTTTATGCATCAAAAAAGCAGTATAATGCTTCTGTTGTCTCATAAAATCATATAAAATGATAACTCAATAATAGATAGGATAGAAAATAGATGACCCAGCTGCTGCTTAAATAAAATATTTTTCACTACTCTTTTTAATTGTGGGTCTCTTTCCATTATGTTTATGACAAAGAGGTATACCAATCATTAAGTCTTTTTTTAAAAGTGAAAGTCAGATGCTTTCTCCCTGGTGGTATTGATAACCAAGTTGTTCAGTATTAAAAAGCATTAAAACTCAAGTTTTTCAATGCATTATTCCTTCTAAAAACTTTATTTCCACTTAAATAAAATTTAAAACATTTTACTGTGTTTAACTTCTAAATTACGCATATTTTCAGTTTCATATTAAAAGAGTTCATGCTAAAGACACAAAATTAACTTTACTTATGATCAGTCAAAAATTTTAACAATCACTCTCAACCATTCCAATTTTAGGTTTCTACATGATAATAACAGAGACTACACTTTTGTATAAACTTTTTTAAATAAACCAGGCAGGCAATAGTATATGAAAGGATAGAAATAAGGTAGAGACCACTATTTGAAGAAACTAATTACTTTAGCCATTATCTTTTGGTGCACATTTTAAAAAATTATATTCAGTTAACTGCAAAAAGGTAACTGTTATAGGACACACAATTCACATTAAATCTATATTTGTAGATAAGTTATATGCTTAAAATACTGTTAAACTTTTCTTTGTATAAAGACATTTGAAAGTAATTTGTTATAAATGATATCTAAAGGTCACTAAGCTAAAGACTATATAATCTACCTATATCAGTATCAACCTATATCTAAAGCAAATCAATCAAATATACCATGTGCAATACCTGTCTATAGAATCAGTCTGAAGAGTTTTATCATGATCCAAAAATAATCTTGCATCTAGATCTTTATTTTTAAGATAAATTTCTTCGTATCGTTTAGAAAGATTTTCAACCTTGAAAGAAAAAAGTCACTGACAATTATCCTTTACATGTCATTACATCTCTCAGCACACAGAGGCACAGATTTCATTAAAGAATTTTTGTATAATATACATTTAATTTTGTAATATACACTGAGTTCGCATGCAATATAAATAAGGTCTATCTAAAAGTGAGGTACAGAAAATTGCAACATTTGTTCAACTTTGATTTTAGGTCTATTTCGTGCATAGAAAATATTTATTAGAATTTTATGTAGACAAAGATAGCCAATGCTACAAAACAGTACCTAAGATAAAAATAGGTATTATAATAACTGTTTAACTGCCAAGATTTTCCAAACATCCCATATATGCTTTACTTTTAATCTTTTTTTTTTTTTTTTTTTTGAGATGGAGTTTCGCTCTTTCGCCCAGGCTGGAGTGCAGTGGCACAATCTCGGCTCACTGCCACCTCTGCCCCCGGGGTTCAAGCAACTTTCCTGCCTCAGCCTCCCGAGTAGCTGGGATTATAGGTACCTGCTACCATGCCCGGCTAATTTTTGTATTTTTAGTAGAGACGGGGTTTCGCCATGTTGGCCAAGCTGGTCTTGAACTCCTGACCTCAGGTGATCCACCTGCCTCGGCCTCCCAAAGTACTAGAATTACAGGCGTGAGCCACCGCGCCCAGCCTGCTTTTAATCTTTTATGCTTATCAATATAAAATATTTTTTCAAACATTGTTGCAAATCCTCTTGATTACATATTCTACCAATGTTTTCTAAACCCTTTGGTTCACTCCAGTACCCTTCAGTTAAGTATCTTGGGCAAGACAATTAGCTCAATTTATCAGTTCAATTAACACACTTGCACAATTTATTCCCAATCTTAGATACTTTTTCAATTGCTAGAATTTGTAAATCTTTCATCAGTTCTGATCCATAATTTTTTAATTATACTTTAAAAACCAATGCCCAAGAGAAAACTATTGGCATGCCTTCTACTGTGACTTTTAACGCCAAAGTGATTCCAACCTCAGAGAAGTAAAATTGCATTTTAAAAGGAGTGATAGGAAGAAATCCAATTAAATGCAAACTTTTCATTAATCTTCATAAATGTATTAGATAGAACAGTAATCCATGCTTATGTTTAATCATTGTTCCTGTCCTACCTTAGTTGAGGCACTAATTACCAGTCATCTATTGATTGGCTATATTATGTGAAATATTGGAGAAAAAGTAAAATTACTCTTAAGATTTATATTAAAACTATAATCCTTTTAAAGGAGAAAAAAAGATTGCTACAACAGATTTTAAAGTTATGAACAGCCTAGTTTTTGGTACCAAAAGTGGTAACAAGACTCATTAATATAACATTTGGTCCCTTCTTGCCTCTTCAGTACCATATTTTAATTGTTCTGCCCTGTATCCCAACCTTAATGAATTACTTAGAGTTCACTGATCAGACCATACTATCATACATCACTGCACCTTTGAATCTACAATGTCCAACCCTTGGAAATGCTATATCTGTAATGCTTACTCAGATTTGAAATCACATCACCTCTAAACTATTTTCCACAAAACCTATCAGCCCTAGTTTGGATTAGGTAGCTCTCCTTTGAGATATCACAGAACCCTGTGAATACTTTTTTCACACTCTTGTAGACTCCTGTAATGCTCTATTTCTTTGTCAGCCTCTCCCACTAGCACTTTAAGGATAGTGACTGAGAGTGAAATCTCTGTATCCATAGTATCTAGCACGTGCCTGACATATATTAAGCATTCAAAAAATATTTGTTGAATTAATAAATTAATTCAAAAACTAGCTATCAATTCAGGTTACAGAACTAGCAGTCTAGCTATTTTATTTCATGCCTTTTGGTCATAGTGACTAATACTATGTCTTCTAAAACACTGGTTTTGTTCTTCATCATCTATCACAGCATCCTTTTCTCCACATATTTCGTCTTACCATGCAAAGCTCTCAGTTATTCTGTTCTCATTGGAAAGACATTTGTAGCAAAATGCGAAACAAAACAGGTAGATGGATGGAATATCACTAAGGTAAAACACTTCTGCAATAGTCACAGTCATTTCAACAAATACATTTGTATTTTCAATTAAGCAGTTCTTAAAAATCCTCAAAAGAGATGTTCCACAATGTAGTAATGCCAATAATGTTGATGGCATTAATCATGGTTCCTACGCTTAATGAGGCTTACCAAAGCAAATTTAATGGTTTATATTTAGCTATTAAAATTTAGCTATTTAATGGTATTTAGAAGTTTAAAAGTCTATACTTTGATTTTGGAAAAAATTCAATAAAGATTGATTTCTAGTATAAATCACAAAATGATGCTAATACATTTGATTATATACTCAAAAGCTTTTTGTTACTATACAAAAGTTAGTTTCACCACAATTCTACTTGGCTAGATTCTTCTTGGGCAAAAAAAAAATGTGATACACAGTAAATTGATCTAAGAAAGTTAGACAATTATCCTCCCTCCACAGTCTCAAAACATTAATATTTTATTAAATTTCCTTTCAGATTACCTCTGGAAGTCCATTAGATGTTACAAGTCCAAGAGAATTCATAAAAGGTATAAAATTTTTGAAATAAACATTTTTCACCTGAAAAAGATGAAGTTACAACATGATCATTAAAATTTAAAACAAAATCTAATCTCTTGACTCTTGAACAATGCAGGGTAAGTTAGAGGTGTCAATCCCCCATGCAGTAAAAAATCTGTGTATAACTTTTTTATTTTTTATTATTTTCTTAGAGAAGGGGTCTCTCTATATTGCCTAGGCTGAAGTGTAGTGGCTATTCACAGGTGCAATCACATGCATTACAGCTTCAAATGCTTGGGCTCAAGCCATCCTTCCACCTCAGCCTCCCAAGTAGCTGAGACTACAGACCTATCGATTACTTTTGAGTACCCAAAATTTAACTAACAGCCTACTGTTGACTGGAAGCCAACCAATAACATAAAGATTGAATTCACATATATTTTGTATATGTACTATATATACATACTAAATATATCATCTTCTTATGATAAAGATAGAGAAAAGAAAATATTAGGAAAATTGTAAGAAGACAAAATACATTTACAGTAAGTTTATGTCATCTGTTAACAAAAATCGTCCGCCTGAAACAGCAGGCATCTGCAGCTACAGTTTTGTATGTATTTTATGGTATAGTAAATGATAAAATAGACTAGTATCTACATATATTTTGTACATTCAAGACATGCCTTTTTCTTAATTTTTTCTGTATTTGTAGGCTACACGGTTTGCTACAAATTTTTTCAAATTATTGCAAATCTCCAAAATTTTTTCTAATATATGTAATTAAATATATCTGTGTATAAACGGACCCATGCAATTCAAACCTGTTGTTCAAGAGTCAACTGTATATTTGTTGAAATTAGTAAGCCATAGTGCAAAAACTATGATATATCTTGATAAATCATTCTAATACTTCTTAAACTAGATTTTAGGACCACACTCTCACTCCTTCCCAAAGTTAACAGAGAAATTTCAAAGATGTAACATTTTTTACTGCTATCTGGTGTTAGTGATTGTGGACAATAAAACAAACTATGAGAAAAACTGTATGGTAAAAAGGAAAGAAGCAATAGTACCAGATATCCCAAAGTCTAATGTAGACGCTGTAAATAATAAGCTATCAGTCCCTGGAAGCTTGTTTACTCATTATAAAAAGGAGATTGAATACATTATTTGTAAGATTCCTTCTAACATCCACATTCTATGAACAAGACAAGTAATTCCTGGGAATTCATATGTATTCTCCAGCAGTCATTATGTGCTGTAATATTTAGAAAGAGAGTAATTATAGAAGGCCAAACAGAAATTTAATGTTGGTATCACTTATCACTAAACTAAAACACTAGAGCACTAGAGTTTTCTAAGCAGGGCTTTTTTGGTTTGTTTGTTCGTTTTTGGAGACATAGTCTCACTCTGGCGCCCGGGCTGGAGTGCAGTGGTGCAATCATGTCTCACTGTAACCTCAAACTTCTGGGCTCAAGCAATCCTTTTGCCTCAGTCTTCCAAGTAGCTGGGACTACAGGCACATGCCACCATGCCCAGTTCATTTTTTTAAATATGTATTTTGTAGAGACAGAGTCTCGCTATGTTGTTCAGGCTGGTCTAGACCTCCTGGCCTCAAGAAATCCTCCCACTTCGGCCTCCCAAAGAGCTGGGATTACAGGTGTGAGCCACCATGCCCAGCCTTGGCAGGGTATTTTAAAACATTAGGGGTATCAGTAACCTCAGAGGAATAAAAAAAAAAAAAAACTACATTTGAAAACTATTGTCTTGATTATATACTTTTCAGTGATTCCAGAGTGAGGGAGCTACTCTCTTTAAAATCAAAGTAACTAAATATAACGAATTAATTTTTTCTAAATATTTTGCTACTGCAAAAGAGTTAGCACTAATTACAAAAAAAACATGCTCATAACAAAAGAAGTAAATATTGTTAGGGAGAACTTACATCTAAATCTACTTTAACTGTTTTAAAGAAATCATGAAGTTAAATTACCTCATCTATATTACATTCATGTTCTTTACAGAGAACTTCAATAATTCTTGTATCATTTTCTAGTTGTTTTGCTATCCGTGCACTCCTGTTCTGACCTCGCCTGGGTGTTCGAGGTGAACCATTAATGGGTATAACAGCTGTTTCTGTAAAAGTGGTAAATTAGATAAGAACAATTGTACATCCATCATATAAAATAATGAAGTATTCTAACTATAACTTAGGTCAAAAATAATCTTGGTAACATTCTACTACTTTTACTTATTAGGTTTCATTAGAAGGATAACAATTTCATCCATATCTACTACAAATTATGTACTAATATTAGTTTTTGCCATCCCTCTTCTACTCTGCTCCCAAAAAGAACTGTAAACTACAGTCTCATAAACAAATACAAAGAGAAGGCATGGAAATAGCCAACTTTCAAACTAAATCTAAGCGTATTTTAGTCTGCAAGAGGAAAAAAAAGTTTTCTGTCCTAGAGTCTTAAAAATAATTAGCAAATATTTCTGAATTCAATTTCTAGACATAGCATAAAAACAATATTTTAAGTTTTAGTAAATTATGATGTCTTTAAAAGATAGGTATAAAATATATTATAGTAAATATAATAATATGATAATAAACTGTGATTTAAAAAAAAAATCTCCTGGATTATTTTCAGCATTCCCAATCCAAACTAAATACAGGTTCAGCTATTAAAAATATTACAGATGGCTGGGTGTGGTGGCTCACGCCTGTAATCCTAGCACTTTGGGAGGCCAAGGCAGGTGGATCATGAGGTCAGGAGTTCAAGACCAGCCTGGCCAACACGGTGAAACCCCGTCTCTACTAAAAATACAAAAATTAGCCAGGTGTGGTGGTGCATGCCCATAGTCCCAGCTACTCGGGAGGCTGAAGCAGGAGAATTGCTTGAACCCGGGAGGCAGAGTTTGCAGTGAGCTGAGATCGCGCCACTGAACTCCAGGCCTGGGCGACAGAGTGAGTGAGACTCTGCCTCAAAAAAAAAAAAAAAAAATTACAGATGATTAAGTATAAAAAGTATGTATTGCCTCTAGATCCAATCAACAACTTACAAGAAATTGAGAGGACAGAAGAACATGTTAAACTATACCACAGAATATGATCAGCAAAAACCACACTGTGGAAAACTCAAGACAATCTGATTATTTAAAAAATAAATTACAAGGAAAAAAAGAAAGGATGGAAGAGAAACTTTTAAAAGAGTTTTTAAAACATGTCAACCAAACACAAAGTATAAATCTTATTTAGATTCTCATTCAAACTGTAAAAAAATTTTTTAATTATTTTTACAAGAAAATCTGAGCACTTTCTAGATATTCAGTAATATTAAGGAGTCACTATTTATTGATTTGTAGGTGTGATAACAAAGAGCACTGTAATTATGCTTTTTAAAAAGTATTTTTTAGAGATATATACTGAGATGTATAAGGATGAAATGGTATGCAAAGATGTGCTTCAAAATAATACAGCTGGGGGAACTGAGCAGGCAATGGGGCTACAGATTAACTGTAAATTATCTGTTGAAGTTACATGATAAGTACATGGAGGCTTATTATACTACTATTTTTGTATTCATTTGAAATTCTCTACAACAAAAATTAACTAAGAGTTACCATATTCAGTCAGTTCAATAATACCCCATGCTGATTGCTCTTTAACAGAGCACTTAGAGAATTCACATGTACATTTGAATTATCCAAAAGAACAAAGATTGTCAACCTAAAGTAACTTGCAACATCAACTTATTAAAGTTATAACATTGAAAAAAGTGGGGAAAGGGTATATAAAGGAAATTTATAAAATTTGGGAGAAAATTTGAAGTATATTTGTTTTCTATATAGAATTTTTTTTATTTCTTTCTTTGCATGTGGTTTCTGCTAAATGAAGGTTTCTGCCTTCTCTGCCAAACCATGTTCAACACATCTTCAAAATTCTGCTCCATACTTAATTTTTCCACTAAATTCTTGTTCACAAAGTTTAATGAGCCTTCATCCTTCCATCCATTTCAACAACACTTTGAAACTTCCATGTTATCTATTATTTTTAGCATTAATACTTTCATCATTTCAGAAGCAAGGAATTAGTCTGACCTTAAGTAAGTTTACATTTTTCTGTATATAATAATATAATAAGTGACTTTGAAATCCTACTCTTGAAGCCATGAAAGGAAGCAATTCTAGGCTAAAAGGAATATACCTTACTCATACTTCCTTAATGCTATCTAATTATATTAGCAAGTTATTTTTATTTAAATATACTTCCCATCTCATCACTCATCACCCACTGAAATAGTATGAGTTATAGCTTATATACAAAAAAATACATAGTTATTACAACATCCAATAGTAATAAAAACTTAGTTAAGCTGTTCCCTTAGAATAGGCCACTCTTCCCCATGCAATTTCATTCATATCTTTTTCTTGTTTCTTGCTTTTCTTCACTGGGAATGCCCTCCCCCAACACTTTACTGAGAATGCCTTTCCCCAATCCTAACCACTCTTCCATGTTAATTTCAAATACTACTTCTTTTATATGGTATTCTTTGGTCTTCCACAGCTGGAAAAACTTTCTTGTCTCCCAAACCTCCATTTGTTGTATTTTGACCCAAACCACTTTCTACCATATACTCTAATCATTTGTTTCCATGTCTTATCTTTCCTTCTATAACTTACACTACTTATGGGCAAAGTCCATGTCTGATTTATTTTTTATCATCCTGTCAGCCTTAGAACCATGTTTGGTACCCACTAGACATTCAATAAGCAACTGCTGAATGAGAAAGTAAAAGGGGCATAAATTAAATACTTACTATATGGTTCTTTGAGCAACATGGGAGGTGAGAGTTTAATAAAATAGTCAAGGACACATAGCATTAACTGAAATGAAATCACCAGATCATCTTCCATTTGTAATACTTCCCCTGAAAAAAAAATGTACATTTTTAAAGAAAGTTAGAGATTCAGATCTTTGTATGAGAGAAAATCGCAGGGTAGAGTATATCCATAAATTTATTCATTCAACAATCACTATCAGCATGGTAAAGATTTTCTTTCTTTTTTTTGTAAAAAAAAAAAAAATCTGTTTTAAAAGGTATAAAATATGTAAAATAGAAATATGTAAAGTTATGGAATTATAAATCAAGTGTTAAGTCTACTCTGAGAATTTTACATTTAAGTATTTCTGTTATAATTAATTCTTTATGTCTAAAATCACTATAAATTTTGCTTTTTAAATTTATTTCTAATTTTAAGAACTATAGAATGTATTACTCCAGAGAAAGATTTTGAAGTATGATAAATGCTAATCTTTAATTCTAATTTTATAAATATTTTATTTATATTTGTATAATATTTTATTATAATAATTAGAATTCAAATTTTTAATTCCACTTTTATAAGTATATTTATTATATAAAATTACTAAGTTTATTAGAATTTATTCTAATTCCAATGATTCAATTAATTCTCATTATCTAAAAATTTAAAATAATTATTTTATTTATAAAATTATGATTTTATTCCAATTATTTATATCTAAACCTTATATATTTTTAATTTCAACCCCTCTAAAATCTTACAATAACCAAAACCATTAAGAGATAACAAAATTAGTATATAAATTTAAAGTCATCTATAAAATAATTGTTCACCATAAAATCTTTAAAGTTATTAGAATATATATACAACTAGATGGCTGTGAGAAAATAAATGCATATAACAGATACCTAAGAAAACAAATAGTGTAGCTACATAAAATATACAAATCATGATAAAACACAGCTATTACAAATTTGCTTATGGCTCCATGTCATACATTATTTTTAAAAGAGAAGTTCAATTTGATTCACTTTCTATTTTCTGAGTATCTGACTGCTAAACCAGTAATAATCTCAGCAAACACTGGATGTGCAGAAACTTTGTGAGAAAACAGATAACGTTGCATCTTTATAGGTTTTCTAGATACAATGGTATGGTGCAAAAAATATGTCTGCAATATATTCACAAATAAGTTATTTTAAAATACCATAGTGGTAAAGAACGATATCAAGGATTTCTAGGTAAAAACGGTGAAGTCAGATGAAAGAATCTCTCTCAAGTACATTCTTTTGCTTTCATTTTATTAGGTATTAAAGTGCTGGTACCAATATCAAATGAGAGACTGACTGAGCGAGACTAACTCAAACGGTATCCTCATCTTTTGCCTCTCTGACTTGGAGGGAGAAACTGCTGATAAGAGAAGAGTAAAATGGAGGAAGTAAACAACTATAGCTTATTTTTCTGACAACACAGAGACTCTGCATACTGTGTTGAACTGGGGACAATTTGAATCCCAAAACAATCCTGCTATAGAAAAAAGATAAAACTGCCACTAGAAGTGTTCTGTTATAAAGTTCATTCTAACAAAAACTCAGAACAACGGCTTGTATCATTACAGTTGAATTATCTACTTTCTCCCTTACCTCCTGACTAAAAGCAGATATAATAAAAATGCCTGCTCCCATACCATAGCTCTTTGGGGAACATAAACAAGTCACAGATTAAGTGCAGAGTGAAGGGATATTCACTCACATTAAATCAGAGAAAACAGAACATCAAATCAGGGTTACACATATACAGTCCCAGCAATACGAGGGGGAAAAGCACAGTGATTATGTAAACATAGAAAATCAAAAAAGAATCACAACATAAGAAGGGGAAAAAAATCAGACAGAGAACCCAATCTGAAAGATAATCTAAAAGAAGAAAATGCCCTATGAGTGCTTGCACTAAGAACTTAACCAGCTGAGGCTGATTTGAGTGATAACTCCAGTTCTCCCACATGGGTCAGCCTAGTGGTCAATTAAACTATCTCTACTGCAATGCCACAATCTTGGTGGATTGATTTTGTCTGTGCAGCCAGCAGGAAGAACCCATTGGGGGATTACACTTTCCCTTTACATTCCTTATCGCAAATGTAGTTAAGTATTTCTGTGATTGTTCATTTAATGTCTATCTCCCTTACTTGACTGTAAGTTCTAGCTGAGCAGGGAACATATACATCTTCCACCACTTTAACCTAGCACGTAATATCATGCTTGAGACATTGTAAATTCTAATAAATAACTAACTGTTGAATCAATAAATAAATGGTAATATTGAAGCTTCTCCTGATCATCATCTTACCCTCTCTGATGCACAACCATGACCTTTAGTCACCTGTAATGTACTATATGAAATGTAAACGTGCCTCTGAGATAAGAGGGTAGCATCACCATCACCACCTCATAGCTTTTACTTGGCAGCCATCACATCACTAAGTGTACCCCTCCCTGTAGAGACCTGATGCTAATCTAGAGTCCTTCTTAACACAATGGGCCGGGAAGCCACTAGCAATTGATCTGGGTTAGCAGGAGGGTTAAAATCCATTTGCTATTCTCAATATATTTGTTTAGTGATCCAAATACATATTATTGAATAATTCGTCTATTATAAATCCAATTCAATAAAAATGTATCATAAAAAGGAAATTAATGAACAAATTATATAAAAGGAAGGAACTAGACAAGCTAAGAAAAAAGATGAGGACCAAATAACACCATTACAAAAATAGTTTAGCTCAAAATGGAAAAAATGCTTGAGATAAAAACAGCCAATATGTAAGAAAAAGATTTAAAAATTCAGAATAATATGAGAGAAGACAATAAATAGGGAGAATAAAAGCAATCCAACATAAGAAAATGTTCCCAAAATACAATGGTATAGAACAACCTAGCTGAATAGAATATTTTTAAATAGAGTATGTTAAGATTTTCTAAAATGAACAGCAGAACCTTCAGTTTAAAAAGGGATACGGTGTTCAAAAAAAAAAAGCTAATACAGAATAACAAAATCAAGAAATGTTATCCTGTTTAAGGTATTAAACCTCAAATTAAAAAAAAAATTCTTCAGGAAGTAAATGAGGAGCGGAATTACGCTAGTCTCAGCTTTCTCAACAGCAATGTTCAATGCCAGAAAATATTGTCCTGAGGGAAACAAAATATGACTCAAGAATAGAATACATGACAAAGCTGTCCTTCAAGTATAAAAGCTATAGACATGATTCCTAAACATGTCAAACATAAAGAACATGGAACCAAAAAGCATATTTTTAAAAACTTGTTGATTGTAAAATACAGCCAGCTAAGAGATGAATAAAAATAAAGAACTGAGAAATGGAGAAACTATGATATAGGAGTTATGATAACCTTAGAATCCATTTAAATACAGAACTGAGACTAACCAAATGCAATAATTATAGTGACAAAATAGAATTTAAATGTTATAATACTTGATAATGTCATAACAATAAAATGGACTAATCTGAAAATGGAGAGGGGGAGGCACCAGGAAGAGTGAAGATAGTAACCTTCTTCAAACCAGATTAAAGTATATTGCTTTAAATAAAAACACAAACTTAAATAAAGATTGTAACCTCTTAATTTTTTCACATTTTTTCATAATCTTAGAGAAATAATTTTAGAAATAATATCACTTAAAGTGACAAAATACTTATCTAAATTTAAGCAATTCCTTCCATTTCTCTCTTCTATAAAATTTCAGTGAAATTAATTTTTATATTTTAAAGGTAGCACTGTAATATGAACCTAGTTTTAGAAAATTATATTCGTGAATGCACTCAACTACCCATCTTTTTAATCAAAATGTATATATGAAGATATCTGGAATGACAATTACATAATTTTTTAAATTTTAATTTTTGTGGGTACATAGTACATATATTTACGGGGTATGTGAGATGTTTTGATACAGGCATGCACTGTGAAATAAGCACATTATGCAGAATGGGGTATCCATCTCCTCAAGCATTTATCCTTTGAGTTACAAACAATCCAATTACACTCTTTAAGTTATTTTAAAATGTACAATTAAGGTATTATTGACTAAAGTCACCCTGTTGTGCTATAAAGTCTTATTCATTTTTTCTATGTTTGTGGACCCATTAACCATCCTCACCTCTCCCAAACCTCCACCACCCTTCCCAGCCTCTGGTAACCATCCTTCTACTCTCTAGGTCCATGAGTTCAGATTTGATTTTTAGATCTCACAAATAAATGAGAGTATGTGATGTTTGTCTTTCTGTACCTGGCTTATTTCATTTAACATAATGATCTCCAGGTCCATCTATGTTGTCGCAAATGACTAGACCTTGTTCTTTTTTATGGCTGAATAGTACTCCATTGTGTATATGTACCATATTTTCTTTATCCATTCATCTGTTGATGGACACTTAGGTTGCTTTCAAATCTTAGCTATTGTAAACAGTGCTGCAACAAACATAGGAGTGCAGATACCTCTTTGATATACTGACTTCCTTTCGTTGGGTATATACCTGGCAGTGGGATTGTTGGATAATATGGTAGCTCAATTTTTAATTTTTTTGAGAAACCTCCAAACTGTTCTCCATAGTAGTTGTACTAATTTACATTCCCACCAACAGTGTACGGGGGTTCTCTTTTCTCCACATCCTAGCCAGCATTTGTTATTGCCTGTCTTTTGAATATCAGCCATTTTAACTGCAGTGAGATAAATACCTCATTGTAGTTTTGATTTGCATTTCTCTGATGATCACTGATGTTGAGCACCTTTTCATATGCCTGTTTGTCATTTGTATGTCTTCTTTTGAGAAATGTGTATTCAACTCTTTTGCCAATTTTTTGGTCAGATTATTAGATTTTTTCCCATAGAGTTGTTTGGGTTCCTTATATATTCTGGTTATTAATTGCTTGTCAGAGGGGTAGTTTGCAAATATTTTTTCCATTCTGTGGGTTGTCTCTTCACTTCATTCATTGTATCCTTTGCTGTGTAGAAGCTTTTTAACTTGATATGATCTCGTTTATCCATTTTTGCTTTGGTTGACTGTGTTTGTGAGGTATTGCTCAAGAAATTTTTGCCCAGACTGATGTCCTGGAGATTTTCCCCAATGTTTTCTTATAGCAGTTTCATAGTTTAAGGTCTTAGATTTAAGTCCTTAATCATTTTGATTTGATTTTTGTATATGGTGACAGATAGGGGTCTAGTTTCATTCTTCTGCATATGGATATCCAGTTTTCCCAGCACCATTTATTGAAGAGACTGTCTTTTCCCCAGCATATGTTCTTGGCCACTGTCAAAAATGAGTTCACTGTAGGCATGTGGATTTGTTTCTGGGCTCTCTGTTCTGTTCCACTGGTCTATGTATCTGCTTTTATGCCAGTACCATGCTGTTTTGGTTACTATAGCTCTGTAGTATAATTTGAAGTCAAGCAACGTCGTCTTTCTGCTTAGGATAGTTTTCGCTATTCTGGGTCTTTTGTAGTTCCATATAAATTTGAGGACTGTTTTTTCTATTTCTGTGAAGAATGTCATTGGTATTTTGATAGGAATTGCATTGAATCTATAGATTGCTTTGGGTAGTATGGACATTTTAACAATATTAATTCTTCCAATCCATGAACAACATAAAATTTTTTTCCATTTTTTTGGTGTGCTCTTCAATTTCTTTCATCAGTATTCTATGGTTTTCATCATAGAGATCTTTCACTTCTGTGGTTAATTCCTAGGCATTTTATTTTATGTGTGGCTATTGTAAACAGGACTACTTTTTAAATTTCTTTTTCACATTATTCACTGTTGGCATACAGAAACATTACTGATTTTTGTATGTTGATTTTCTATCCTTCAACTTTACTGAACATGTTTATTAGTTCTAATAGTTTTCTTGTGGAGTCTTTAGGTTCTTCCAAATATAAGATTGTATCAGCTGCAAACAAGGATAACTTGACTTCTTTCTTTCCAATCTGGATTCCCTTTATATCTTTTGTCTGACTACTCTATCTAGGACTTCCAGTACTATGCTGAATAACAGTGATGACAATGGACATCCTCATCATGTTCTAGATCTTAGAGGAAAGGCTTTCAATTTTTCCCCATTAAGTATTATACTAGCTGTGGGTCTGTTATATATGGCTTTTATTACGTTAAGGTATGTTCCTTCTATCCTCAGGTTTTTTAGGGTTTTGGGCATGAAGGATGCTGAATTTTATCAAATGCTTTTTCAGCATCAATTTAAATGATCATATGATTTTTGTCCTTCATTCTGTTGATATGACATACCACATTGATTTGTTTATGTTGAACCATCCTTGCATTGCAGGGATAAATCCCACTGCGACATAATGAATGATCTATCTAATGTATTATTGAATTCAGTTTGCTAGTGTTTTGTTGAAGATTTCTGTATCAATATTCCTCAGAAATACTGGCCTATAGTTTTCTTTTTTTAATGGGTCTTTATCTGGTTTTGGTATCAGGGTAATACAGGCCTTGTAGAATGAGTTTAGAAGTATTTCTTCCTAGTCTATTTTCCAGAATACTGTAAGTAGGATTGGTATTAGTTCTTCTTTAAATGTTTGGTACAATTCAGCAGTGAAGCCATCAGGTCCCAGGCTTTTCTTTACTAGGAGACTTTATTATGGCTTCAATCTCATTACTTGTTATTGGTCTGTTCAGGTTTTGGATTTCTTCCTGGTTCAATCTTGGTAAGTTGTACATGTCTAGGAATTTGCCCATTTCTTCTATATTTTCCAGTTTATTGGCATATAGTTGCTTATAGAAGCCACTAATGATACTTTTAGTTTCTGCAGTATCAGCTGTAATGTCTCCTTTTTCATTTCTGATCTTATTTGTATCTTCTCTCTTTTTTCCTTAGTTAATCTAGCTAAAGGCTTGTCAATTTTGTTTAACTTTTTAAAAAAACACTTTGTTTCATTGATCTTTTGCAATTTTTTCATTGCAATTTCATTTATTTCTGCTCGATCTTTCTTTTCTTCTACTAATTTTGGGTTTGATTTGCTCTTATTTTTGTACTTCTTTAAGATACAATGTTAGATTGTTTATTTGAGTTTTTCCTCTTTTTTTCACCTATAACTAACCCACAGCCAACATCATACTGAATGTGCAGAAGCTTGAAGCATTCCCTTTGAAAACTGGCACAAGACAAGGATGCCCTTTTTCACCACTCCTATTCAACAAAGTATTGGAAGTCCTAATCAGAGGAATCAGGTGAGAGAAAGAAATGAAGGGCATCCAAATAGGAAGAGAGGGAGTCAAACTATCTCTGTGGCAGATGACATGATGCTATATCTAGAAAACCCTGTAGTCTTAGAGCCAAAAAGCTCCTTCAGCTGATCAACAACTTCAGCAAAGTTTCAGGATACAAAATCAATGTATAAAAATCACTAGTAGTTCTACACACCAACAAGAGCCAAGCTGAGAGCCAAATCAGAAAGGCAATCCCATTAAAAATTGCCACAAAAAGAATACATAGGAATACAACTAACCAGGGAGGTGAAAGCTCTCTACAACAAGAATTTCAAAACACTGCTCAAAGCAATCAGAGATGACACAAACACATGGAAAAACATCCCATGCTCATGGATAGGAAGAATAAATATCATTAAAATGGCCATACTGCCCCAAAAAAATTACAGATTCAAGGCTATTCCTATCAAACTACCAATGACATTCTTCACAGAAATAAAAAAAAAAAAACTATTTTAAAATTCAACTGGAACCAAAAAAGAGCCTGAATAGCCAAGGCAATCCTAAGCAAAAAGAACAAAGCTGGAGGCATCACATTATCCAACTTCAGACTATACTACAGGGCTACAGTAACCAAAACAGCATGTTACTGGTACAAAAACAGGCACATTTTTTTCAGAATAATGTAAACCAATGGAACAGAATAGAGCACCCAGAAATAAGGTTGCACACCTAGGACCAGCTGATCTTTTTGACAAAGCTGACAAAAGCAAGCAATGGGGAAAAGACTCCCATTTCATTAACTGGTGCTAGGATAAGTGGCTAGCCATATGCAGAAGATTGAAGCTGGACCCATTCCTTACACCATATACAAAAATCAACTCAAGATGGATTGAAGATGGCCAGGCCAGGTGTGGTGGCTCATTCCTGTAATCCCAGCACTTTGGGAGGCTGAGGTGCATGGATCACCTGAGGTAGGGAGTTCAAGACCAGCCTGGCCAACATAGTAAAACCCCATCTCTAGTAAAAATACAAAAATTAGCCGGGCATGGTGGTGCACACCTGTAGTCCCAGTTACTCAGGAGGCTGAGGCAAGATAATCACTTAAACCCGGGAGGCAGAGGTTGCAGTGAGCCGAGATTGTGCCACTGCACTCCAGCCTGGGTGACAGAGTGAGACTCTGTCTCAAAAAAAAAAAATAGATCCTAGACATAGGAACAGGCAAAGTCTTCATGATAAAGACACCAAAAGCAATCACAACAAAATCAAAAATTGACAAGTGGGATTGAATTAAACTCAAGAGCTTCTGCACAGCAAAAGAAACAATCAACAGAGTAAATGAACAACCTACAGAATGGGGAAAAATTTTGCAAACTATGCATCTGACAAAGGTTTAATATCCAGCATTTATAAGGAATTTAGACAAATTTGCAAGAGAAAAAAAACCAACCCCACTAAAAAGTGGGCAAGGCACATGAACAGACACTTTTCAAAAGAAGACATACATGCAGCCAATAAGCATATGAAAAAAAAGCTCCATATCACTGATCATTAGAGAAATGCAAATCAAAACCACAATGAGATATCATCTCACACCAGTCAGAATAGCTGTTACTATAAAGTCAAAAAATAACAGATACTGGTGAGGTTGCAAAAGAAAAGAGAACACTTATACACTCTTGGTTGGGAGTGTAAATTAGTTCAAACATTGTAGAAAGCAGTCTGACAATTCCGCAAAGAGCTAAAAGCAGAACTACCCTTGGACCCAGCAATCCCATTACTGAGTACATACTCAAAGGAATAGAAATCATTCTACCATAAAGACAAAAGCACGTGAATGTTCACTGCAGCACTATCCACAAAAGCAAAGACATGGCATCAACCTAAATGCTCATCAATGACAGAATGGATAAAGAAAATGTGGTACATATATACCATGGAATTCTATGCAGCCCATAAAAAAGAATGAGATCATGTCCTTCACAGGAACATGGATGGAGCTGGAGGCTATTATCCTTAGCAAACTAATGCAGGAATAAAAAACTAAATACTGCATGGCCTCACTTATAAGTGGGAGCTAAATGATGAAAACTGAAGAACACAAAGATGGAAACAACAGGCACTGGGGTCTACTTGAAGGTGGAAAGTGGGAAGAGGGAGAGGAACAGAAAAAATAGCTATTGGATACTGGGCTTAATTCCTGGGTGATGAAGTAAGCTGTACAACAAACCCCTGTGACACAAGTTTACCTATGTAACAAACCATCACATGTACCCCTGAACCTAAAAGTTTTTTTAAAAAAAGATGTTTTCCTCTTTTGGGATGTAGGCACTTACAGCTATAAACTTCCCTCTGTACTGCTTTTACTGTATCCCATAGGTTTTGGTTTGTTATGTTTCCATTATTTGTTTCAAAAATTTTTTTAATTTCCCTCTTAATTTCTTCATTGACCCATGGCCATTCAGGAGCATATTGTTTAATTTCCATGTATCTGTACAGTTTCCAAAATACCTTGTTATTAATTTCTAGTTTTATTCTATTGTGATCAGAGAATATGCTTGATATTATTTCATGCTTTTTTAATGTTTTAAGCCTAACACATGGTCTATCCTTGAGAATGATCAATATGCAGACAAGAAGAATGTATATTCTTGGATGAAATGTTCTGTAAATATCTATTAGATTCATATGGTCTATATAGTGCAGATTAAGTCTGATGTTTCTTTGTTGATTTTCTGTCTGGAAGATCTGTCCAATGCTGAAAGTGGGGTGTTGAAGTCTCCAGCTATTTCTATTGTATTGGGGCCTATGTCTCTCTTTAGCTCTAATAATATTTGCTTTATATATCTGGGTGCTCCAGTATTAGTTGCATAAATATTTAACACTGTTATATCCTCTTGCTGAATTGACCCCTTTATCATTATATAATGACCTTCTTTGTCCTTACAGTTTTGTTCTTGAAATCTATTTTGTCTGATATAAGTATAGTGACCCCTGCTCTTATTTTGGTTTCTGTGGGCATGGAATATATTTTTCCATCCCTTTATTTTCAGTCGGTATGTGTCTTTATAGGCAAAGTGTGTTTCTTGTAGGAAACAGATCAAATGAGTCTTGTTTTTCCATCATTCAACCAGTCTGTGTCTTTTAATTAGAGACTTTAGTCCATTTATGTTCAACGTTATTATTGGTAAGTAAGGACTTACTCATGTCATTTTGTTATTTGTTTTCTGGTTGTTTTGTGGTCTTCTCTTCCTTCTTTCTTTCCTTTCTGTCTTCCTTTAGTGAAAGTAGTTTTCTCTGATGATATGCTTTAGTTTCTTGCTTTTTATTTTTCATGTCTACATTGTATGTTTTTTGGTTTGAGGTTACTATGAGGCTTGCAAATACTATCTTATAACCCATTATTTCAACTGATAACAAGTTAACACTGTTTGCATAAACAAACAAAAATAATAAAAATTCTATACCTTAACTGCATCCCAATTATGTAATTTTAATGCCGATTATCCCTGGGTGGATTTTAGATAATTTTTCTTTGTGCTTTTGTGACCAAAATTATTTTATTTGAATTATTTATCATGAGCAAATATCATTTTTATGAAAACAGTAACATCATTATTCTTCAAAAAAAAGAAAGGGAGGGAAGATGGAATATTAGAAACAAAAATTAAATAAAGCATTTCCAAGGTTGTTTCTAGTACCAGAATTATAGGAACTTGCTAACAGTTAATAAGCCAAGCAGAGAATGAGGGAGGAGTACATTACTCAATAAAAATTGGGGAATTTAGTCCAAAGGAATGCCAATTTAATTATTACATTTGAAATATTAGCATTTAATAAATATAATGAACTTACCTTTAGCTAATAAAAATGTGATCCAAGAAACTTTTAGCACCAATGCAGAATTTATTTCAGTAGATATCCTATTAAACAAATAGAAAGCAGAAAAAAAACAGGAAAAATGTATCACTGAAAGAAAGTTTTCCAGATATATCTTTTGGGTGTTTCTTTTTGTGCATTAAAAAAAAAATGACCTTAGTTAAATGCATAATAGAATGCAGTCCATTTTAATTGCATAATTTACACCTGAGTTTATCTCTATTCATTTAATGTTTCTATGTCTTATAATTCTAAGATATGATATTTAGCCCACAGAATAGTATACATTCTTGACCATGAGAAGCTGCAAAAAAAAAAATTAAGAAAAAAAAGTATACATTTTGAAAGAAAAATTTTGTAAAAGAAATACTGAATATTTCAATTCTAATATAAAAATATATAAAAAACATAGTATGTTATAACATACTTTGTTTCAAATTACCTTAATATTTTTTGCTCTTTTTTCTGATTAATTATCAACACTGTGAGCAGAAAAATGAAGGTTTGGATGACTTTAGTTTGCCAATTTAACACTTTGCCTTGATAATCTTTCCAGAGACATTCACTTGTTGGAATTAATAGATTGATATCAATTAATCAGTAAATATACAATTTCCCTTTATATTAATTATCTTCAATACTACTCCAATGAGGCAGAAAATCTCATGTACTACTCATTCTGTTTCCAAGAAAAAACTCTGGAGCTCTACATGGGCATACTGTTAGAGCATGCATTATACATTTAAAATAATCATTTGGAAATTTTAATACAGATTTTTACATTTATTCTCACACAGAAATTATGCTGATTATTAGTTAATAAAGTGCCTGTAACAGACCCTCAATAAAGATTTAGTCAATGAATTTGCATTTGTTGCATTTTTCTCAGAGTTGGTGATATGCTGTCCTGAATCAATTCCACCTTATTAGTTCTTCTTTGTAGTACAAGGCATGTATTTTATACTATTTTCTTTGTGAGAAGATAAATAATCTACACAGGACTTAAATCTATGGGCTTAATTTATGAAGTAGCCTGCTATAATCGATCAAACTAACCCTAACTATCAAGATGTTTGAGATTATTCCATAAAAATCTTTTTTTTTAAGTGAAAAATAACATTCTGTGAACTACTTACGAACTGCTGGGTTGTGTCAAATATATAAGTTCACATGTCCTGAAAAGAAAAACATTATGACTTTTTAACATTTTTTCGTAATTTAGAAGTCATAGTAGTTTTCTCATGCTTTATTTATCTTCTTTTAAGAAGTATATATTTTAAAAACAAAAAATATATAGCATTATAAAACAAAGTTCAAGTAGATTTTCCCAATTTATGACATCTCACATCACTTTAATATATAATTACAGTTAATCCTCTCAATTAGTCTTCAAAAAAAAGGTATAAATAAGATAGAAAACACCCAGCTGATCCACCTAAGGTTAGTAAAGTTTACTCTTTAAATTATCTCATATGATTTGTCAATAAAAATTTTAAATCCCTTTTACAAAGTCCTGAGTGGTCTTTTGAGGCCAAATCCAACTGTTACTCCCTAGTTTAAAATCATTCAAGGAGTTTCCACTGCCTGCAGGGCAAAGCCCAAGATTACTACCAATCTGATCCCTTCTTACCTTTCAGCCATTAGCAATATCAAAGTACATCCTGATATCACTGCTTTGGCTTTGTACACATGCTAATCTCTAAGATGCTCGCTCCCAGTTCCCACTCATTTTGCTTGGTGAATTTCTATTTTTCCTGTAAACCCTATTCGGACATTGCCTTCTATGGTTTTTTCTCTGACCAAAATCACCACTATAGTTACCCTTCACCCTTAAACATATACAATGTAATGCTTTGTCCACTATGTAATTCCTGCTTCTTACAACAGAAACAAATATCCAAGCAGATTCCTTATCTCAGACAGCAGAGCAAACAACTTGGAAGCATCCAGTCGAAATTACTATAGCAGGAAAAAAAATCAGAACTGTACCCCAAATCACTCCTACCAATGAGTCCCCAAATTCTATATCTAGAAAAAAAAAAACCCTGATGATTATAGATCTTAAAGTACTTATATGTATAGAATACTCATTAAAGTTGGCTTAAAGAAGTTTTTGCTTGCTTTGTTTACTAGAAAGGTAATACATCCTCCTTACAAATGTAAGTTACTCATATAAAACTTGGGTTAACATTGTGGTAAACTTCTCTCCAGTCATTTCATTCTATGCGTTAGTGGTCTAGGTTTCTTCCTTACACACAGTCATAATCAGAGTATATCCTGCTTCATTTGTTTAACATTAGAAGCACTTGCCAATATTGCCATTATTCTTTATCACATTTTATTTTATATTTATAACATTTTATGTTTAGATATGTTTAATATGTATTGTTTAACTTCAGCTGTGAATATCAGTTGTTTCCAGTTTTTCAGGGGCCTAAATAATATTGTACCAAAAAAACTCTAAAGCAACATTGTATTTAGGATCATATTAAAATAAGCTACCAGATATGAATTAAAAAGGTTGTAAACAAGTTTAAAGAATAGAAAAAAATTTAGAAAGTCACAATTAGGTAAATTTTAAAAGCCACACACACACACACACACACACACACACACACACACACACACATATATATAATATTCTACTCAATGTGAAACAATACCCAAAGGAAAGAAACATTCTAAAATATGAAAAGTGATTCTCTCCACTGTTGACATTTTGGTCGATTCATATTTTATTTATGCCTTTCTGTGTTTTCCAAGTATTCTATAATTAGTTCATGTTTGTTATGCAAATTATTTAGATAATTTATCTCCATTAATAATTAAAAATTTCCCTTTTTCTTGTGCAAAAAGCTTCTATTCTCATCAAGAAAAGACCAAAAAAAAAAAAAAAAAAAGATGGCCAATGCTACCATATTACAATTAAAACCAGGGGCAAGAAAAGACAGTCCTTCAAAAGCCCTAGGCCTTTGAGTTTTTTCTCTAATTTTTCTCATCCTCCACCACAGTTGTGAAGTTTTAGTGGTCAAAAAAGAAAAAGGGGGAGAAAATAGAGCCATCCTCCTAAGGAGATGCTTCTTTCCACCTCTATCTCCATCCTCATTCTCTCCAGAATAGGGCCATGCCTCTTTTACCCTTCTCCCTTTACCATGCTATTACACAATTGCTTATTTAGCTAACACTGTAACTTTCATATTCTCTTAACCGCAAATGAAATGAGCCTCAAAACAAACATGATAACAGACATATGCCAAATTAAGGGCTGAAACATTTGGGGTAGGGAAGTACAGTTTTGATGAAAAGTATAGAAAAAACTTAACCTAAGCATATTAATTATGCTCCTACTCGAACTGTAATGGAAAAAGTCCTCTAAGCCACCATTGGGAGTACAAATCATTACTTTATAGTATAGGTCACATACACCATCCATTGCAAGTGTTTTCTCGTTCCAAACTAAATAACACTATTAGGAAGAAGTTTAAATTTATGTCACCATTCTATTCAGAACTAGAAGTTTTCTGGCAAAGAAGGCTAAAATGGGAGATAAGCTTAAAGTTTTTGAAAACAAATGGAAGACATGAAAGGATAATAAAACGGTTAATTTTCCAGGAAGCATTCAGAATGCATATTACTGGATAAATAAGAAAGCTAAGAATTAATGAGCTAACATTAAAAGGGACAAGTCTAAGAATTAATACTTACTAACTTTACTAAATGTGTTAAATAATTCCCAGAATCTAATTGTGAACAATGACATAAAAAATCAGAGTGTAAACCTAATAAAATGTTTACTTTACCTTTCCAATTTGCTGAAGAGTGCAAACAATACATCATACTTCTTCAACAGTCTTGACATAGCATTATCAACTTTGGTACTGGTATCAATTTCTTTTAGTAAGTTAAAGAATTTATGGACACTACAAAGGAAAGAATAGAAAAAAGTAAATCAGTAACCTTAAAAATTTGTGTTATTTCGTTTTCAAATCATAGATATTTCAATTCAAAAGATTATCAGCTCTACATCAAATCACTACTATATCCTTTGGAAGGAATTACTTTTTGCAAAAATAATTAGCCTTCAACTTACACCTCTATTATCTATATACCTATGCTTATATCTATTCATCATTGAGAATATAAGAAAACGAAGGGTCAAGAAGAGATATGCGTATATTTATTCTGTATCTGTCTATGTGTTTTAAAAAACATGAGTTCACATCCATTCATCCAATTCCAATATAAAACCATATGCTTCATTTTAGTGTTTCCCTTTCTATATTTGTAACTCTTCATTGACAGTGGGAAACCTGGAACCCATTCATCCTCAGTTTACTTACTCATTTAATCAATCCCCCTGTAAGTAACCATTTTCTATCTCCAAAGCCACCCCCTCCCCCGTGTGGACACTTTTCTGTTCTTCTCAGAACTGACTCCCAGTTCTGGACTTACCCCACCCCTTAGCATAGACACTTCCTCACTGTGGAAGGGTTCTGACTCCCCACAGCAGGCTGCCCTCCTCACCTCACTTGTGCACCGGCTGCCTGCACACCCTGCTTAGTCTCTGACACTGCACACAAAGCAGCCCCATCAGGTTGCCCCCACACAAAGGATGCCCTCCTCACCCTACTTTGACTCTAACATCCTGCTCTGGGCCCTGTGGCACCCTCCTGTCAGAGATACACACCAAAATGCATACTTTATTTGCCCCACCAATGATTTTAGAATTGAATTATTTTTGGAAAAGGAAAGTTGATTTAAATAATTTAAGCAGTTTAAATAATAACTTTAAATCACTCTTCGTTACTCTTTTCCATAAAAATTAACGTATTTGAAACATCAATATATACATTTTCCAATAGGATATTAAAGATAGCAATCATCAACTACATCTCACATGCTAATTTCTAATCATGAATTTTGTATAAGGAATTATACCAAAGCAGCTAACTGAAACAAAAGATAGTCACCTGACCCATCCATAGGCTGTCCAGCAACCAATGAGTTATAGCCCTCACTCAAAAAAATGGGCTGGACCAATCAAACACTGGGGAAATAAAAGCTTCAGCTAATCAGCAGGGGAACCAAAAGGTTATTAAAGTTCCTATGATACAGAAAGGAATGGGGGAGCCATGACAAGCTATGTGAAAAAGCAAATAAAGAAAGAGTAGAAATGACAAAGAATAGAAGATCAGAATGTTGATTAGAAGAGAAAAGAGAAAGGAACAAAAGTGCAGATATATCCAAAGAAAAAGAAATCAGCCTCAGAATAGCATTTATTAAAGAACTACTCTCAGTTCCAGTTTTTTTGAGGTATATGGCAATACCTGTCCTGAGATTACCATGAAAACTGAATTGTTACAACAAAGCCTTTTTTCTAGGGGAAACTTAAGGGAAGAAAACAAGGAAGGGAGAGAAGCAGTGAGTGCCTGTGGTGTTGCAGGTATTGACTCTATGAACTATTTATGTCATTTCTATTATTTTGTATATTTACAAATATACAAGGCCTTTGTTTCCACATTTTATTTAGATATAGCAAAAAAAGTATTTCAAAAATGCAACAATTTAATCTATCTCGTTTAAATAAAATATCAATTATGTTTAATTCTAGATGTCTTTGTTCAAGGAGAAACATAATTACCTATTTGGTAAAAATACATACTGTTGCATTTTTGTAAATATGTTGCAAAGAAAATGACTGGAAGTCCTGGATACTTTCTGAAGATAAAGTTCATACATTATTGAAAACACATTAATAAACTCTTCTTATGAGGCTTATAAACTCAACAACAAACACCTATTAAGTAATTAACTGGTTCAAGTATTGTAGCATGTTCAAATCAATATATAATCTGAAAAAAAGCATTTAGTTATAATATCCTCTAGTTAAAACAATCTTAGGCTTTAATAAATCTTACCTAAATACCTTTAAGATAAACTCAAACTACTTATATAAAGGTTTTAATATAAAACAAGCCTATTTACAAATCCTTGCTTTTCTGTTCACTTTATTAACAGCCACAATTAAGAAAGCTTACACATGAATAGTGAGAGACACAATGAAAATTTTTCCAGGACACAAACTGCTACCTCTTAAAGAAATACAGCATAAATACACTTTCATAACGGCTCCATGAGAGAATGGCAGTTCACTATTTGGTCCAAGTTCTTTTTGTTTTACTTTATTTTAGCATTTCTCACTAATTCACAAAAGTCTATTGAGAGGAAAATCCAGAATTCGTTTCCTTTTATGGCAGAGGCTTATATTTATACAAGAAACTTTACCTGATTTCTATGTTTTTCTGTAGCTCAGTAAAAGTGAACGACATCTCATCTAGGTCAACTGCTGCAATAAAGATACAGATTCCCCACAGTTCCTTTTTCTTTTGAATATAACCTCCCTGGGAACAAAAAATAAAGATCAAATATTTCATTAAATAATTCACACACTGGATACTATGTTAAAACTGTATTATAACTGATTTTTTCTTATTCAGCATACAAAATAAATGTTTGTAATACTGTATATTTGTAACACATCCTTCTGATGGCATATATTTGAAAGGATTTCATTTCACACTAATAACAAACATTCAAATTTTATATTATAAGGCAAAAAAGTATTAGAAAGATAAAAAATTAAATAAGTTATTGTGGAAACTTTAGGGGTCAGTCAATTCCTCAAAATAGTTTCATTTTTCAATAATCCAATGTCACTGAAGCTAAGTTAAGAGATCTAGAGTCCATAACATATAATTTGTTTGAAAAAAACAAGCCCACGTTCTTATTCGCTTATTCTTTCCTTGCTCTATTCATTCATTCCTTTTATCAATTTATTTATTCAATTATTTTTAACCTTGTATTTCATGTTTCAGTTCCTTAACTGTCTTTGTAAAATCAAAATAAGAATATGTACCCCATTTTGTAACAATTAAATGAAATTATATTTATAAAGCCTTTGGCGTAGTATATAGTATACAGTCAGTTCTTAATGATTGATGGCTATCATTATCACTAGAGTACTTTTTCATTATCTTTAGAACACATTTTTCCCCACAATATATACCACCCCTAAATATTACATTTTATGGGTAATTTTGGATTACATTAAGTTGGAAACAAAAGAAATGTCAAATTAATGTTCATTAAATAGTTGGAACTATTTACTTACTCTTAACTGGAGATTACAATAGAGCTAAAAAGCATGTAATACCATCTTACATTATTTTGAAATATCAATTATATAAAAGCTTTAGGATAAGTGAGTTGTTCCAGATTACCAAATTTTACAGGTAATTAAAGGTTTACCACCATCCAACTCTAAACTTTTTCTTAATTTTAGCTACTTGGGATGTAAATATTTTACAACTTAAATTACAATTATACACCCACTAGAATAGCTAAAATGTAAAAGACTGACAATATCAAGGGTCAGTGAGGATGTAGTGCAATGGAACACTTAAACATCACTGGTGAAAATGTAAAATGGCACAATCATTTTGGAAAACAAGTTTGGAAGTTCTTATAAAGTTAAATATGCACTTTTCATAACACATAGCAATTCTACTCCCAGATATTCATACCCAAGAGAAATGAAAACATTATATGTGAATGTTCATAGCAGCTTCAGTCATAATGGCCAAAAACTACAAACAACCCAAATATAAAAAAAAAAGAAGTGCATGGAAAAATAAATTGGGGTATATCCCTACAATGGAATGTTATTTGAAAATCAAAAGGAAATGTCCTAATATATATAACAATATAGATAAATCTCAAAATTATTACACTGAGAAAAAGCCAGACTCAAAAGGATGCATTGAATAATTCCTTTCATATGAAATTCTAGAAAAGGCAAAACCAATCTTTAAAGTCAAAAAGTAGATCTGTAGTTGCCTGCGGAACAGAGGGGAGGTGTTGGGAAATGACTGCAAAGGGGAATGAAAGAACTTTCTGGAGTGATCAAAAAGTTCTATATCTTAATGGTGGTGATTATATGAGTGAATATGTCTGTTAAAACGTATTGAACTGTGCACTTAAAATTGGCATATTTTGTGTATGTAAATTATACCTCAATAAATCTGATTTTGAAACTATGTTACATACTTACTGTTTCTGAAATTGAAGATACAAAGTATACACTGCTTCACTGTTTTCAAGACTAATTAAAAATATATATTTTAATAAAATGAACAAAAATCAACTTCTGTATTTGTGTTTATGTTAATATGGTCAATTTCTTGGGAACTAATAAGATGTCAAAGGTTGTTTGTCTCTTTAATAAATAACCCCAACTACCATAGTCTTTAAATTTTTATGCTTATTTCTTACCATTTTGGTTTGTTTCTTTGCACTCAGGCAATAACTGCTCTCAATATATGTCCTTTCATCAATTCCAGCCTTTTTTTTTCTCTCTCTCTCTTTTAAAGATTAAAAAATGAAGCGAAAGTTGCTAAAATTTAGTATGTTGTTTATTCATTTTTTTAAAACAGCGAATTTTATTAGAACATTTAGTAGTCAAAACAATGAAACACAGGATCATCTGATATGATAAAATGCATAAGTGAAATGTTCTACAAGTAGGTTCTGATTTTTAAGGACCTGAAGAACTTTCCTATGAGCAAAATGTAACCTTTATTTCAGATGCAGCTTGTGTTTTGACTTCCATAAGAAGTATATTTCAAGGAATAGAAGTTTTTAATTTTGATTAAGCTCAATTTATTCATTTTTTTTCTTTTATGGGTTATGTTTTCAGTGGTAGGTATCTATGAAATCTTTGCCTAACCCAAGCTCATTAAGACTTTCTCCTATGTCATCTTCTAGAAGTTTAGGTCTATGCTTCATTTCTGGTTAGTTTTTATAAATGGTGTGAGGTAAGGATTGAAGTTCATTTTCTGCATTTGGATACCCAATTGCTCCAGCATTATTTGTTGAGAAGAATATCCTTCCTCCATTACCTTCGCACCTCTGTAGAAAATGAACTTATAATAATATATATATGTGGGTCTACTTCTGGATTATCTGTTCTGTTCCATTGATTTACTTGTCTTTTTTCACCAATATCATAACGTCTTCATTATTGTAGTTTCATATATTTTGTTCATTTTAGTTGAGTTTGATTCAAAATTTTTCAATCTAAAAAAGTCATTGGATTCACTTCTCATCATACAGATGAAAAATTAAAGACTAGAAGATGGCCGAATAGGAAAAGCTCCAGTCTACAGCTCCCAGTGTGAGCGATGCAGAAGACAGGTGATTTTTGCATTTCCAACTGAGGTACCAGGTTCATCTCACTGGGGCTTGTCAGACAGTGGGTGCAGGAAAGTGAGTGCAGCCAACCAAGTGTGAGCCAAAGCAGGGCGAGGCATCACCTCACCTGGGAAGCACAGGGGGTCACGGAATTCCCTTTCCTAGCCAAGGGAAGCTGTGACAGATGGCACCTGGAAAATCGGGTCACTCCCACCCTAATACTGCGCTTTTCCAATGGTCTCAGCAAACAGCACACCAGGAGATTATATCCTGTGCCTGGCTCGGAGGGTCCCACACCCACGGAGCCTCGCTCATTGCTAGCACAGCAGTCTGAGATCAAACTGCAAGGCAGTAGCGAGGCTAGGAGAGGGGCGCCCGCCATTGCTGAAGCTTGAGTAGGTAAACAAAGCGGCCAGGAAGCTTGAACTGGGTGGAGCCCACCGCAGGTCAAGGAGGCCTGCCTGCCTCTGTAGATTCCACCTCTGGGGGCAGGGCATAGCCGAACAAAAGGCAGCAGAAACCTCTGCAGACTTAAATGTCCCTGTCTGACAGCTTTGAAGAGCGTAGTGGTTCTCCCAGCATGAAGTTTGAGATCTGAGAATGGACAGACTGCCTCCTCAAGTGGGTCCCTGACCCCTGAGTAGCCTAACTGGGAGGCACACCCCACTAGGGGCAGACTAACACCACACGCAGCTGAGTACCCCTCTGAGACGAAGCTTCCAGAGGAACGATCAGGTAGCAACATCTGCTGTTCAGCAATATTCACTGTTCTGCAGCCTCCACTGCTGATACCCAGGCAAACAGGGTCTGGAGTCAACCTCCAGCAAACTCCAACAGACCTGCAGCTGAGGGTCCTGTTAGAAGGAAAACTAACAAACAGAAACGACATCCACACCATACCCCCATCTGTACGTCACCATCATCAAAGACCAAAGGTAGATAAAACCACAAAGATGGGGAAAAAACAGCAGAAAAGCTGAAAATTCTAAAAATCAGAGTGCCTCTCCCCCTCCAAAGGAACGCAGCTCCTCGCTAGCAACGGAACAAAGCTGGATGGAGAATGACTTTGACGATTTGAAAGAAGAAGGCTTCAGATGATCAAACTTCTCCGAGCTAAAGAAGGAAGTTCTAACCCAACATAAAGAAGCTAAAAACCTTGAAAAAAGATTAGACAACTGGCCAACTAGAATAACCAGTGTAGAGAAATCCTTAAATAACCTGATGGAGCTGAAAACCATGGCACGAGAACTACGTGATGAATGCACAAGCTTCAGCAGCTGATTCGATCAACTGGAAGAAAGGGTATCAGTGATGGAAGATCAAATGAATGAAATGAAGCAAGAAGAGAAGTTTAGAGAAAAAAGAGTAAAAAGAAACAAATAAAGCCTACAAGAAATACCGGACTCTGTGAAAAGACCAAATCTACATCTGATTGGTGTACCTGAAAGTGACAGGGAGAATGGAACCAAGTTGGAAAACACTCTGCAGGATATTATACAGGAGAACTTCCCCAACCTAGCAAGGCAGGCCAACATTCAAATTCAGGAAATACAGAGAATGCCACAAAGATACTCCTCGAGAAGAGCAACTCCAGGACACATAATTGTCAGATTCACCAAAGTTGAAATGAAGGAAAAAATGTTAAGGCAGCCAGAGAGAAAGGTAGGGTTACCCACAAAGCGAAGCCCATCAGACTAACAGTGGATCTCTCAGCAGAAACTCTACAAGCCAGAAGAGAGTGGGGGCCAATATTCAACATTCTTAAAGAAAAGAATTTTCAACCCAGAATTTCATATCCAGCCAAACTAGGCTTCATAAGTGAAGGAGAAATAAAATCCTTCACAGGCAAACAAATGCTGAGACATTTTGTCACCACCAGGCCTGCCTTACAAGAGCTCCTGAAGGAAGCACTAAACATGGAAAGGAACAGCTGGTACCAGCCACTGCAAAAACATGCCAAATTGTAAAGACCATCGAGGCTAGGAAGAAACTGCATCAACTAACGAGCAAAATCACCAGCTAACATCATAATGACAGGATCAAATTCACACATAACAATATTAACCTTAAATGTAAATGGGCTAAATGCTCCAATTAAAAGACACAGACTGGCAAATTGGATAAAGAGTCAAGACCCATCAGTGTGCTGTATTCAGGAGATCCATCTCACGTGCAGAGACACACATAGGCTCAAAATAAAGGAATGGAGGAAGATCTACCAAGCAAATGGAAAACAAAAAAAGGCAGGGGTTGCAATCCTAGTCTCTGATAAAACAGACGTTAAACCAACAAAGATCAAAAGAGACAAAGAAGGCCATTACATAATGGTAAAGGGATCAATTCAACAAGAAGAACTAACTATCCTAAATATATATGCACCCAATACAGGAGCACCCAAATTCATAAAGCAAGTCCTTAGAGACCTACAAAGAGACTTAGACTCTCACACAATAATAATGGGAGACTTTAACACCCCACTGTCAACATTAGACAGTTCAATGAGTCAGAACGTTAACAAGGATATCCAGGAATTGAACTCAGCTCTGCACCAAGCGGACCTAATAGACATCTACAGAACTCTCCATCCAAAATCAACAGAATATACATTCTTCTCAGCATATCACACTTATTCCAAAATTGACCACATAGTTGGAAGTAAAGCTCTCCTCAGCAAATGTAAAAGAAAAGAAATTATAACAAACTGTCTCTCAGATCACAGTGCAATCAAACTAGAACTCAGGATTAAGAAACTCACTCAAAACCGCATAACTACATGGAAACTGAACAACCTGCTCCTGAATGACTACTGGGTACATAACGAAATGAAGGCAGAAATAAAGATGTTCTTTGAAACCAATCAGAACAAAGACACAACATACCAGAATCTCTGGGACACATGTAAAGCAGTGTGTAGAGGGAAATTTATAGCACTAAATGCCCACAAGAGAAAGCAGGAAACATCCAAAATTGACACCCTAACATCACAATTAAAAGAACTAGAGAAGAGCAAACACATTCAAAAGCTAGCAGAAGGCAAGAAATAACTAAGATCAGAGCAGAACTGAAGGAAATAGAGACACAAAAAACCCTTCAAAAAATTAATGAATCCAGGAGCTGGCTTTTTGAAAAGATCAACAAAATTGATAGACCACTAGCAAGACTAATAAAGAAGAAAAGAGAGAAGAATCAAATAGATGCAATAAAAAATGATAAAGGGGATATCACCACAGATCCCACAGAAATACAAACTACCATCAGAGAATACTATAAACACCTCTACGCAAATAAACTAGAAAATCTAGAAGAAATGGATAAATTCCTGGACACATACACCCTCCCAAGACTAAATCAGGAAGAAGTTGAATCCCTGAATAGACCAATAACACGTTCTGAAATTGAGGGAGTAATTAATATCCTACCAACCAAAAGAAGTCCAGGAGCAGATGAATTCACAGCCGAATTCTACCAGAGGTACAAAGAGGAGCTGGTACCATTCCTTCTGAAACTATTCCAATCAATAGAAAAAGAGGGAATCCTCCCTAATTCATTTTATGAGGCCAAAATCATCCTGATACCAAAGCCTGGCAGAGACACAACAAAAAAAGAGAATTTTAGACTGATGTCCCTGATGAACATGGATGCAAAATCCAGAAAGACCTCTATGCAGCATCTGACACTGTTGCAATTTTTCTCCTTCAGTATACCTCCATGCAACTTTTTTCAGTAGCTTTTTTAAATGCCCTCACATCCTCATTCTCTTCTCTTTTCCTCTCACAACTTTTTCATGGGGTTTCTCAACTCCATGGGCTTTTTTCCCACCATTCTCTTTTTTCCTCAGCACTCTCATCCACTCCTACAGCCCTCATCATCTCATATACAGATGATTCTCATATCTCATTCTGCTTTCCAGCCTGATTCCTCTTTTAAGGTCCAGGTCTCCTTTTCCAACAACAATTTGCAACCTAAAATCTGTAACTGATGTGTTTTCTTGAAAATTATGAAAAGGACTCAGGATAGCACTTTAAAAATTGTTGAAACAGAAGAAAAGTAATTCTTACCTAGCCAAAACAATTCCCCCACACACACCAAAAAAAGAACAAAAAATGGGGGGAAAATGGGCAAAGAACAAGCACTTTGCAAAAAAAAAAAGGTACTTTCAACAAACATATTTTCAACAAACATATTTGAGAATAATGTCAATTGAAGGACATTTTGTTAAGGTACATAAAAATCCTTAAAATACCTCAGTTTTATAGCTAAGAATTTAACAAGTAAAAATAGAGTTGAGTCAAGATTTAGAGTAACAGAACTGCATGCTTGCATCAGGGCATTTCATATGTCCCATAAATGTGTACACTTGATATGTACCCACAAAACTTAAAAATTAAAAAAAGATTTAGTGTAATAGATGTTTGAAAAGTTATTTATAATAGCAAAAATAGTAGGAAGAGCCTAAAAATCTTAAAACAGAATGGTTAAACATATTGTGATAGAGCTATATCATAGAATAATATAAAAACCCAAAACAGTTTCAAGGAATATTAAAGGGATATGTAAAAATACCCAACA
Organism: Homo sapiens; assembly: GCF_000001405.40. Classification (NCBI taxonomy): domain Eukaryota; kingdom Metazoa; phylum Chordata; class Mammalia; order Primates; family Hominidae; genus Homo; species Homo sapiens. The sequence continues at coordinate 48,335,181 of NC_000013.11, read as the reverse complement.
TATAACGTTAAGAAAAAAACAGAATAAAAAGTTCTGCACATATTTTGATTCCAATTTTGTGAAAAAACAAAAAAGAAGAGAAAATGAAAATATATATTAAAATGTTCACGATTATCTCTACATGGTAGGATTACGAACAGTTTTCATTTTCCTTATTAATCCTGCATACATTTTTTAAATTATCTACAATTGTAAAATAGGAGAAAAGTCAATAAGTGCTACATTTACATAAAGCAGGAGAGAGAAAAATTAGAAATACTCGAGAAAAATCTTTATCAAAATTTTAATCACATACATTACAGTTTAAAACAAAATCTACACTCAGTACTTGAAGAGATTACCAATTATACCATCATTTAGTTGAGTTCATTTGAACCAATCTAATGATAACCCCTAATTAGTGACAACTTATACTCGCTTTTTTAAACAATGCACTTACTTATAAAAGAGCTCCACCAAGTGGTGACATAAATCATCCTGGAACTATCAGAAAAGTACTACTATGTATGCTGTCACAACTGACATAAATTTAAGTTGCAATTTCAAAAGTTAAAAATAATGTTCTATCTAGCTTGCACTTTGTGAAATATGAAAGATGAAAATAAGTCATAAGAAACATGTGCTTTTGTGCTCTACCTCAGGGTCAAAAGATATATCCTTACGCATAGTTCATGAGACTGTAATAAGTAATTAGCAGTAGGGTTACATTAAATGAAATATGAAGGTATTACAGAGAAATAGGGGGAAGAACTGCCTTTATCTTTTGCTCCTAGATTTCCTCCTTACCTAGGTGATACGTAGGAACAGAAGGAATAACAGGCTAAGACGCTAGAAAATTTCACCTGTATAATATGAGCTTACAGCAGTCTAGTGTTAAGGACATTCTTGGATGTGCACAGAAGTAAAAGGCAAGAGTGGCAAAGCCAAGAAGAGGAATGTAAAAACTGACCTTACTTGTACTCAATCACATTTTTGAAACAACATGCAGGGGTGAACACCATGTGAATCAGTCACCCAGTTACACAATGCCTTTGTGGGTAAGAAAGTTGATTCTATTTCCAGAAAAACATGTACCTGGCAAATTCAGATTTACCTGGCCATCTGCCCAAAAGTTGAGCACCTGGGACTCCCTCCCTTAAGAACTCTTACAGATCATGCAGCATATGATCAGAAAAATTAAAATAAATTTGAAAAACTCCTATGGAACTCAGTTCATAAACCTGTCAGCTCTTAACTGAACTGTGACTTGCTTGCTTGCTCATTTGTCCCTATCTCAACTATGAATATGTAAGCATCCTGAAGGCAGAAATATTGTATCTAATTCACTACTTTACCCCAAGAGCCTTGTAGTGTCCAGCACTAACACTAGCGTAGTTCTAAAAAGGAAAAAAAAAAAAAGTTGTGGCAGTAGCTACAGAGTGGCTTTTTCTCTCTTTGTTTTTTTTTCTTTTTTTTCTCCATATGCTCAGAGAAACAAGCAGCAACTGAACCACCAAAGTGTAAGTTAAGACTGTTGGTTCCACTATAGTTTCTTCAGCTCCCATTCACACATTAATAGCAAACTGGTAAGTATCAATAAGGGTAACACACACACATACACACACACAAAGAACGACATTACAGACCTCATTTTCTGAACAGATGATACATAACCTACCTAGAACTAAGTTTCTGGTCAAGCTCTCTGCTTAGATTATTGAGCTCAAAGCCCAAAAATGATCCATCCAAAAAGGTATAACCATATAGGAAAGAAAACTGCCACCATACTCAAAGGGCTACTAATTAGCTTTTCTGAAAAATAGCTACAAAACTGATATCTACTACTCTTGGAAACAAGGTTGAAAACCATTGAGTAAGGAGATTAATTCCTACAACTCAGATCCAATTATATGGATTAACAATATCAACTCCTTTTACCAAATATGACATGTGCTGTTTCAAAAAAGGAAATCACCAACAAACAAATGAGGTCACATTTTTTTCCAGCTTTATGGAGGTACAATTGACAAACGAAAAAGTTTATATTTAAGGTGTTCAATGTGATATTTTGATACATCTATACAATAAGAAGTGATTACATCAGTCATTCCATATCCACGGTTTCACTTTCCACAGTTTCAGTTTCCCATGGTCAACCATGGTTTGAAAACAGGTGAGCGGAGTACCTATTTTGAGAGAAACAGACTACATTCACATACTTTTTATTACAGCATCTTGTCATAATTGTTCTATTTTCTTAGTCATTGTTACTAATCTCTTACTGTGGCTAATTTACAAATTAAACTTTAATGCAGGTATATATGTACAGGATAGGAAAAAACATAGTATATATAGGGTTAAGTACTATCTGTGGATTCAAGCATCTACTGAGGGTCTTGGAACATATCCTCTGAGGATAAGGGGGCACTACTGCACTACAATTAAGCTAATTAACATATCTATCACTTCACATAGTCACCATTTTGTCTGTGTGTATGTCGTAAGGATACTTAAGATTTCTCTTAGTGAATTTCAAGAATACAAAACATTATTATTAACTATAATCAACCATGCTGTAAATTAAGTGTCCAGAACTACTACTTTTTTTGTTTTTGTTTTTGAGACAGGTCTCATGACAGGGTCTCACTCTGTCACCCAGACTGGATTGCTGTGGCACAATAATAGCTCACTGCAGCCTCAACCTCCTGGGTGCACAAGCACTCCTCCTACCTCAGAGTCCCAAGTAGCTGGGACTACAAGTACATGTCACCGCCTGTAAAATTTTTTTTAATTTTTCGTAGAGATGGGGGTCTCCCCATGTTGCCCAAGTTGGTCTCTAACTCTGGCCTAAAGCAATCCTCCTATCTTGGTCTCCAAACGTGCTGGGATTATAGGCGTGAGCTGCCACATCTAACCCTTATTCATTTTATAACTGAAAGTTTGTACCCTTTGACAAACATCTCCACATTCTCCCCAGGCTCCCCACCCCTGCTAACCACCTTTTTACTGTTTGTATGTATTTGACTTTTTAAAGATTTTACATATAAATGAGATCATGCAGTATTTGTCTTTCTGTGTCTGACTAATACAACATAATGTCCTTCGGGTTCATCCGTGTTCTTGCAAATGGCAGGATTTCCTACCTTTTTTAAGGCTGAATAAAATTCCAATATATATAACAGATAGTCCTTGACTTACAATGGTTCAATTTGCGATTTTTCAACTGGGTTTGTCATGATCTTAATGCAATTTTAACTTAAGATATTTTTGACTTACAATGGGTTTATCAGGATATAACCAATCATTAGTTTAAAACAATCTGTACCACATTTTATCTATACATCTAATGACAGACACTTAGGTTGTTTCCATATCTTTGCGACTGTGAATAATGCTGCAATGAACATGGGAGTGTATGTATCTCTTCAACATACTGACTTCATTTCCTGTGGATATCTACCAAAAGGTAGGATTGCTGAATCATGTGGTAGTTTTAGTTTTAATTTTTTGAGGAGCTTCCATACTGTTTTCCATAAAAGACATACCAATTTACATTCCCACTAACATTGAACAATAGTTCCCTTTTCTCCACATCCTCTCTAACATCTGTTATCTTCTGACTTTTTGAATAATAGCTGTGAGTCCTCAGAGTCCTGAGGTGGTGCAGGGTATCGCATGGTGAGAGAACTGAGCATGCTAAGATGTTAGCTTGGGATAAAGCCACTGATGCCACTCTCAGGAAAACCAATTAATCCATGAATAGATTGATCCATTCATAAAGGCAGAGGCCTCAGGACTCAATCACCTCTTAAAGGCCCCATCTTTAATACTACCATATTGGGAATTAAGTTTCAACATGAGTTTTAGAGGGGGAAAACATTCAAACTGTAGCAAATGTCTTTTATTTCTTTTTCTTGCCTAATATCTCTGGCTAGATTTCCAGTACTATGTTGAATGCAAGTGACAAATGATCCTTGTCTTGATCCTGATCTTAAAGGAAAAGATTTTAGGTTTCCCCACTGAGTATAATGCTAGCTGTGGGCTTATCACGTATAACCTTTGTTGTGTTGAGGTACATTCCTTTTATACCTAACTTGTTGAGAGTTTTCATCATGAAAGAATGTTAAGTTTTGTCAAACACTTTTTCTGGATCTATTAAGATGATCACATAATTTGTCCTTCATTCTGTTGAAGTGGTATATTTATAGATTTGCATATGTTGAACCATCCTTGAATCCCAGAGATAAATCCAATTTCATCATGATGTATGATCCCTTTAATGTGCTGTTGCTAATATTTTGTTGACAATTTTTGCACATATGTTCATCAGGGATATTGACCTATAATCTTCTTTTCTTGTGATACCCTTGCCTGACTTTGGTATCAAGGTAATGCTAGCCTTGTTAAATGAGTTTGGAAGTGTTTCCTCCTATTCAAATTTTTGAAAACGTTTGAGAAGGATTGGTATTCTTCAAATGTCTGGTAGAATTCACCAGTGAAGCCATCAGGTCCTGAGGCTTTTCTCTATTGGTAGATTTTTGATTACTGATTCAGTCCCTTATTTGTTATTGGTCATTCAGATTTTCTATTTCTTCTGCTATTCAGTCTTAGCAGGTAGTATGTGGCAAACAATCTGTCTCTTTCAGGTCATCCAATTTGTTAGTATATAATTTGTTCAAAGTATTCTCAGGATTCTTTGTATTTCTGTGATATCAGTCATAATGTCTCCTCTTTCATTCCTGATTTTATTTATTTGAATCTTCTTTTTTTCTTATTCTAGCTAAAAGTTTATCAATTTTGTTTATCTTTTCAAAAAAACTCTTCATTTTGTTGCTCTTTTCTATTGTTTTTTGAGTCTTTCATTTATTTCTGCTGTGATCTTTCTTATCCCCCTCCTTCTATTACTTTGGGCTTATTTGTTCTTTTTCTACCTAGTTCTGAGAGATGTAAAGTTAGGTTACTTATCTGGGGTCCTACTGTTTCCTTCATGTTGGTGTTTATCACTATGAAATCTCCTATTGGAACTGTTTTGCTGCATTCCACAAATCTTGATGTGCTGTTTCCATGTTCATTTGTATCACATTTTTTTTTTTTAATTTCCATTTTGATTTCTTATTTGACTATTGGTTGTTCAGGAACATGTTTAATTTTCACATATTTGAGTATTTCCCAGTTTTCCTGTTATTTTTGCTTGCTAGTTTTATGCCATTATGGTGAGAAAAGATGCTTGATATTATCTCAATCTTCTTAAATATATTAATACTTGTTTTATGGCCTGACATATGATTGATCCTGGAGAATGTTCCATGTATGCTCAAATATAAAGGCATTCTTTCTATGGTAGTTGTCAAAATTGGTGTTTCTGAAGGACAGCGCTACTATTCCACCATCTTGCTGACATCAGCTGTCTAACCATTCTTATTCTACACAATGCTGAAAATTATCTTAAACTGACATTTCCACTTTGGGGAATATGTCCTGAGGAGGTACCAAGACAATAGAGGAAAGAATGGGTCTTTCCAAAAGAGCAATGAGTTGGCATTGGAATAAGAGAATTCCAAGTTGAAAGAGAACTGAAAGAGATCATTAACCATTAAGTCTCGTGGTCTGGGAGTTTCTAGGGTTCCAAGTCATATAATGATAATCTGGCGAGTTTTCCAATACTTTAAAAAACCTATATGTTTGCTTTCAATAAAGCTACAATAACTAAAATAGCAAATACTTTACCTTTGCTAAAATTCAACGCAGTATAGTAACACAATTTACCTGATGCTGATGAAAAGCACTAGTTGGCAGCTTTGTATATCTTGAATAAAACTAGGGAAAATAATTACTTAATAAACAAAGTTTGGTAGACAGTTTCTGAAACACAGATTCAATGTGGGTGAAAACTAATAATAGGTACCTGATGATTTTCAAGTACACTGTAATTCTGAATCAACCTGTCTTTAAAAATAGTTTTTAGAATATGAAAATGCAATATCAAGATGCATATAAATGAGGTAAATTAAAACAGGAACATAAGTAGAAATGTTTATTTTATATTCTTTGTTTAATAAAATAATTTACTCCAAAACTCTGCTAAATATCTAGGTCTCATAAACTTGATTAAATGTTTATAGTTGAATACATAAGAGACAGAAATAACTACCAATCTGAACATCAATAATTATGACTATCAGGCCTTTAAAATTATAATGTACATAAATAAGGAAAGTTATAATGTATATAAATAAGGAAAAAAATACTTCACTGACATTATAGCCATCTATTTCAAGACTACATCTGTTAGATCTATATTATATTTATATAGAATGGAGAGATATTTAAAGCACAGGAAAACAATTAGTTTTATTAAATTGAGACTTAAAGATATCCTAACTCATCTGGAGCCTATAATAATCTCCACACTGATTTGAATCCTATGAGAGAGGTGTTATAGCAGTGTTTGCTGTATCCTTCTTGTATCTATTTCTGACAGAAAGGACAAGACTTAGGGCTTGACTCTTGACTGCTGGGAGCTGGGGGTGGAGAAAGTTAAAAGAAATACCTTGTAGCTATTTTCTATATCTAATTATTTATATCCCAACTTGTATTAGAAAGATTTCTGAAATCTTAAAAAAACAATGCGGCGGGGGAAATGGCTGATGGGAAGGCGGGAGAGGAGAAGCCGGAAAAGTCGCAATGAGCTGGAGCTGCTGGAGTAATGGAGAGGAAAGTTCCAGCCGCAGCGCTGAGAAGCGATCAGCTGAAGAAGAAGCTGCAGACCTCCAACAAAGCCTGCAAAGATCTCCAACTTTGGATTTGCCATAGGTAGTCAGACGACAAAGAAAGCATCACCCATATCCATCAAACTTGGATCAAGTAAGCCTAAAGAAACTGTTCCAACTCTTGCTCCAAAAACTCTTTCAGTAGCAGCAGCTTTTAATGAAGATGAAGATAGTGAATCAGAGGAAAGGCCTCCAGAAGCAAAGATGAGGATGAAGAATATTGCAAGGGATACACCAACATCAGCTGGACCAAACTCCTTCAATAAAGGAAAGCATGGGTTTTCTGATAACCAGAAGCTATGGGAGTGGAATATAAAATCTCATCTTCGAAATGTCTATGACCAAGACAATTAAATGATGTTTTGAAATTGGGGTGTGGGTGGGTATAAAGTTAAAAAGAACAGTTTCCTTTTTTTAAGAATGGTATAAGACTACCTTTGGAGCCACTTTTTTTTTCTTTTTCATCTTTTTAAAAGATTGAGTGGTACACCAATAAATGAGAGTTTGAAATTAGAGGTAATTTATGTTTTGTATACAGATTTCAAGACATTTGCTAATTTGGTAGTTTTGTGTGATTAGTTTCCAAAGTTTACAGATAATAAAGAAATCAGAAATGGTACCTTTTTAAGAATTGCCTATTTTTTTAGACACAACTATTAGCACATTAAGAGGGAAGCAAAAAGTTAATTGTCTATTTAAAACTGCAAGCAGTTACTCTCTTAACTCCCTTATTACCTAAACTTGTCTGGCTCCCAGGAATAGCCTTATAGAGAGAGGGAGTATTGTATTGGGAGGAAAATGTTACTGAACTATTGACTGAAAGTACATTTAGATAAAATTAAAATACAGCTTTTTTCTTCATGGGCATTTGTTTTCTTTCAAGTCATCATAAACTAGGTGTTGCATTGCTATCAGTGGATACAGACGCTTAGCTCTTAAAATAACTTTTTTATATGTAAACTGTTGAATATTTGAAATAGCCCACTTCACCTTAATGGGTCTTGTCTATCTTCATTAATCTTCAAAGAAAAACCATTTGCTACCAAAGTAAATCAGTATTTTGAATGTGCTTCTCTTGTTTTTTGTTTATTAGCTAGTTCCTGTAAGCATTTCCACCAGAACTTGAAGCGAATCATAAGAAAACTGTTTCTTTTAAAATACAAACCACCACCAAAAATTTAAATGTACATATTGCTTAAGTATTTGGCTGCTTTTATTTTTTAAAAGGTATAAACACCAAAAAAAAAAAATTTAACATTGTATGAAGATGGAAAACAAGAAGATGCACTTTCTGTAACTTTGTCCAAGGATTTAAATTACTAACTTGTGAAATCCAATTTGAATTGAACTTAACTACTGGCTTTCTTACTAGTAAAATTATATGGTTTATTTTAAATGTATACATATTGACCAATGGCCTCTCAAAAAGCACATTTTAGATACTGAAATAGAAGGAAAGAAAATGCATCTTCAAACATTTTTTGGAATCTCACCACACATACTTTGTGAATTTGTGTATTGTAGGGTGTTTTCTTTTTGTATTTTTGTATTGTATACGAACTTTTTTTTTAATGTGACAGTTAAACACATCTTTAAAAGCACAGTCACAGACAAAAAAAAATACAGTATAAAAATTTCCTTGAAAACTCCTACTACAATATTGTATTTGGAGGCAGCTTCAGACCGTTTTATTGGTGGTAACTGCTCGCTGAGCTCTTTTAGTCGGTAATAACTCAGAGAAGCAACCTGTGTATATTCCTAACTCTTTGTTAACTAGTATTTAAGTTTAGAATAAGCCCCAGGTAAAACAATGGAAATGTATATAGAACTCTTAGTTCTTATATGATTTAATTATATCAAGATACTTGAATTTAACTCACTTTAATGTAGGCAAACTATCCATTTTTGTCCATTTTCCTGTTTGTTAAAATAACATACCTCTTCTGATATTCTTTTCTTGACCCAAATGAAATATTAACCTAAGGTCAAGCTGGGAGAGAGAAACAACTGAGATGAATGTCTTTAATAAAATACCAATAAATTTGTCAAACTCAAAAACAAACAAACAAACAAAAAACAAGACCAAAAAAATCCAAAATAAGTGGGTAAAGAAAGACAGTATTTTTTTTTATTCATTGAGATACAGAGGAAAAAAAAGAAATTAGGCATTTTTACGGAGGATAATTTTGGATACTGTTTGCTTATGTATTCGATTTATTCAATAAATATTTACTAAATGCCTACTAAGCATCAAACACTATTCTAACTGCTAGAAATATATATTAGTGAACAAAACAAACATTCCTGTTTCTTGGAGCAGAGGGAAAAAGACAGTAACCAAAAAGCAGTATAAATAGGTAAACCATATACTATGCTAGAAAAGGAATAGAGTGCAATGGATAGAGAAGTTCAGGGAGAAGTAGGGGCAGGTTACAGTATTAAGCAGAGTGGTCACGATAGGCCTCTTTGGTAAAGTGAGATTTGAGCAAAGACTATTCTATGAGCAAAGACTTCATTCTATGAGCAAATTTAAAATTTTTAAATGTGAATACCTTCTGACCTAGCAGTTCTACTTCTAGGAATCTACACTATAAAAGTACTCTCATTTGTGCATGAAAATGTATATATAAGGATAATTCACCGCAACGGTTTGTAGTATTACACATTCAAAAACAAACTAAATGTCTCTCAACAATGAAATTCATAAATAAATTATGATATACCCAAAAAATAAAAAAAAAATCCACTAAAAGGATTAAGCTAAATACAGAGGGAGATGTGCTCTTCAAGATATATTGCTAAATGAAAAAAGCAAGGTGTAGAATAATGCAAAACTAGAAACTTTTATTAGTTGCCTCTGAAGAGAAGTGGGTGGCTTAGGGAAAGGAATGAGGAGACTTTTTACTGTTTATACTTTTCTTTCGTTTGAATCTTGAACCATGTGAATCTAATGCCTATTCCAAAATTACTGATGATGACTTGTTAAAAGGTGTAGATAAGTAAGACTTCAATTGGGTAAAATTAAAATCCTTGTGTATATGCTGGAGGAAGGAAAAACTGGAGGGACAGAGTAAGCAAAAACTATCAATGGTCATTTCTATGGATATAACTAGGAATAGAAAAAGAGCAATGTTTTTCAGGGACATGGATAGAGCTGGAGGCCATTATCCTTAGCAAACTAACGCAGGAACAGAAAACCAAATGCTGCATGTTCTCACTTATAAGTAGGAGCTAGATAATGAGAACACATGGACACACACAGGGGAACAAGACACACTGGGACCTATCAGAGGGTGGAGGGTGGGAGAGGAAGCGGATTAGGACAAACAACTAGTAGGTATTGGACTTCATTCCTGGGCAATGAAATAATCTGTACAACAAACCCCCATGACATAAGTTTACCTATGTAACAAAACTGCACATGTACCCCTGAACTTAAAAAAAAAAACAAATCCCATGCAGTGAGATACTACTCAGTAATGAGAATAAATAAATTGTTGATGCATATGCCATCATGAATGAAGCTCCAAATAATTATGTTAAAACAGTAAAAAAAAACAAAAACAAAAACAAACAAACAAAAAAAAAACAAAAGCACAACTGCTTGTGGCAATGTAAATTAGTAGAGCCACTATAAAAGAATAGTTTAGAGGTTCCTCAAAAAAATAAAAATAAAACTACCATATGATACAGCAATCCCACCACTGGGTATATATCCAAAAGAAATAAAAACAGTATATCAAAGAGATATCTGCATTCCCATGTTGAATGCTGCATTTTTCCCAACAGCCAAGACATGGAATTAACCTGAATGCCCATTAATGGATGCATGGATAAAGAAAATGTGGTACATATAAACAATGGAATGTTATTCAGCCATAAAACAGAATGAAATCCTGTCATTTGGAACCAGAGAACATCATGTTAAGTGAAATAAGCCAGGCACAGAAGGACAAGTACATGTTCTCACTTACAAGCAAGAGCTTAAAAAAAAAAAAAAATATTGAACTCATGGAGACAGAGTAGAATGATGATTACCAGAAGCTGTGAAGGGTAGTGGGGATGGGAGGATAAAAGAGGAGTTGGTTAATGGGTACAAAAAGACAGTTAGATAGAAGGAACAAGATCTAGTGTTCTATGGAAACACTATATAGTCACAATACAGTGACTATAGTTAACAATAATTTATTGTATATTTCAAAATAACTAAAAGATTAGAATTGGAATGCTCCTAACACAAATAAATGATAAAAGCTTAAGATGATGGATACTCCAACTACCATGATTTGGTCATTACACATTATATGCTTGTATCAAAACATCACATGTATCCCATAAATATGTACACCTATTATGTCTCCATAATAATTAAAAATAAAAAATTTTAAAGTAAAAAAGGAGAGCAACAGAGATCCGCTCTTTATTACTATAAAGTGTGATTTATGTTAAAACAAGTCTTTATTTACTTATAATTGTGAAAGTAAAATATAGAAAGGTGAAAAAAATGACAAGAAAAATGTTAGTATCCCCCAAAATGCATGCTATCATGAAAGCTGGCAGTTAAAACAGTAACAAACAATTATAAGATTCATAGTATCTATAAGGTTAAATTAAATTAATTAGTTAGCTTCTCCAGGAAAGCTTAATGGGTCTTGGACCAAAGATTTCTTCCATGGTTCCTCATGAAGAAGAAAACACGCTGTAGTAAATAATATTGGCCAAGAGTGAAAACTTTTATGAAGTCAAAGCCTTAAAGAACAAGCAATTCTAAAAGTAGGCAGTACAATTATATATAAGATATATCTGACTATTACATGATGAAAGTACATGATGATGAACTTTAATAGAGTTATCCAATACACACATTAAGTATAAACATTGGGTAGTGAAAAAACAGGGAAAAATCGTTTGATCAAAATTTTTTAGAGAATAGAGAAATAAAGAAAAATCAATGAAACCAGAAAAAAAAACTTTAAATCACCAACATTGAGAAACTTCTAGTTAGACTGACCAAGATAAAAGAGAGAAGGCTCAAATTAACCAAAATCGGGAATGAAATAAAAAAAAATTACTACTAACCTTACAGAAATAAAAAGGATTATAATGGCAATGCCATGAACAATTATTTGCCAATGAACTAGGTAACTTAGATGAGGTAGACAAATTCCTAGAAAAATATAAAGTATAAAAACTGATTCAGAAAGAAACTGACAAACTGAATAAACCTATAACAAGTAAAATGACTGAATTAGTAATTTTGAAACTTTCCACAGAGAAAAGTCCAGGCCCAGATGGCATCACTGATGAATTCTACCAAATATTTAAAGAAGAATTAATATCTATTCTTCACAAACTGCCCCATCAAAACAGAAGAGGAGGGAACACTTCCCAGTCCATTCTGTGAAAGGCCAGTATTATCTTGATACTAAAATCAGACAAAGACAGCACAAGGAAAAAAACTAAAGACCAAAATCTCTTATAAATACACGTATAGAAATCCTCAAAAAAAAAAATTAGCAAACCAAATCTAGCAACATATCAAAAGGATTATACATTGTGACCAAGTGGGACTTATTCCAGAGATGCAATGTTGGTTTAACACCTGAAAATCAACTAATATACTACACCATTTCAATAAAGAACAAGAACTACATTATTATATCAATAGAAGCAGAAAAATCATTTGACAAAATCCAACACCCTTTCATAACAAAACACTCAACACCCTAGAAATAAAAAATTCTTCAACTGATGAAAGGCATCTACAAAAACCCCACAGCTAACATCTACTTAATGGTGAAAAACTGGATGGTCTCCCACTAAGATCCAGGAAGAGACAACAATGTCCTTCTCATCATTCTATTCAACATTCTATTGGAGATTTTAGACAAAGCAATTAGGCAAGAAAAAGAAATAAAAGGTATCCAGATTTTAAAGGAAGAAGTAAAACTATCTCTATTTGCAAATGACATTATTTTACATCTAGAAAATCCTAAGGAATTCACTAAGAAACTATTGAAGCTAATAAATTAGTTCACCAAGTTTTCAGAGTACAAAATCAACATACAAAAACCACCTGTATTTCTATATACAGCTAAGTAATATGGAAACAACCTATGTGTCTGTCAACAGAGAAGTGGATAAACAAAATGTAGTATATATAAACAATGGAATATTATTCAGCCATAAAAAGAAAGGTGATCCTGTCACTTGCCACAACACAGGTGGACATGGAGGCCATTATGCTAAGTGAAATAAGCAGACACAGAAAGAAAATTATTGCATGATCTCATTTATATGTGGAATCTAAAAAATAGGGGGTGTCACCAAAAACAAATGCAACAAAAACAAAACTAAGTAAATGGGACTTAAACTAAAAAGTTTCTGCATAGCAAAATAAATAATCAACAGAGAAAAGAGACAACCCTCAGAATGGGAGAAAATATTTACAAACTATACATCCAACAAAGGATCCAGAATCTACAAGAAACTCAAGAAAATCAGCAAGAAGAAAACAAATAATCCTGTTAAAAAGTGGACAAACTAGATGAATGGATTTTTTTTGTTGCTGTTTTTGCAATGCAGTTTCACTCCTGTCGTCCAGGCTGGAGTGCAATGGCGCAACCTTGGCTCACTGCAACCTCCGCCTCCTGGGTTCATGTCATTCTCCTGCCTCAGTCTCGAGAGTAGCTGGGATTACAGGCGCATGCCACCACGCCCAGCTAATTTTTGTATTTTTAGTAGACACGGAGTTTCACCATGTTAGCCAGGCTGGTCTCGAACTCCTGACCTCAGGTGATCCACCCGCCTTGGCTTCCGAAAGTGCTAGGATTACAGACGTGAGCCACCGCGCCCAGCCAAACGGACATTTTTCAAAAGAAGATACACAAATGGCCAAGAAACATGAAAAATACTCAACATCACCAATCACAAGGGAAATACCAATTAAAACCATAATGAGATACCACCTTATCACAGTCAGAATGAGCATTATTAAAAAGTCAAAAAAAGGTGCGGGGCGGTGGCAGCGGCGCGCGGGGAGGCGGGGCCCGGGCGGAGGGCCCTTGCCCCTCCTCCCCGCGCGGGAGCCGAGGTGGACAGGGAGACCATTATGCTAAGTGAAATAAGCAGACATAGAAAGAAAATTATTGCCTCATTTATATGTGGAATATCAAAAAGGGAGTGTCACCAAAAGCAAATGCAACAAAAACAAAACTAAGTAAATGGGCCAGCCCCAGAGACCCGGGCCCGCCGCCTCCCCCCGGATGCGGGACGCGGGACGCAAGCGCAGGCAGGGTCAGCGCGGTGGGTGGCAGGGGGCCTGGCCGAGTCAAAAGTCTATTTAAAAAGCAGAGAGAGGATGCGTCGGAGTGATAAAGGCCTTATCCTTGGGGCGTTTGGGGACACTGGCTGCAGTTTCACAGTCGACCTAGTTGCAAAGAGAATTTCAAGAGCTCGTTGGTCAGGTCAAGAATAAATCTATGCGTAACGTCGTCCTGATCCTGGGTTTATAGTCGTCGTCCTTTTTAAACTGCAAAGAAGCATTTGCAGACTTTATCTCATGGGCACCACTTGCCACTCTTTTTTTTTTTTTTCTTTTTTGAGACGGAGTCTCGCTCTGTCACCCAGGCTGGAGAGCAGTGGGGCGATCTCAGCTCACTGCAACCTCCACCTTCCGGCTTCAAGCGATTCCCTGGCCTCTGCCTCACGAGTAGCTGGGACTACAGGCTCACACCACCACGCCCGGCTAATTTTTGTATTATTAGTAGAGACGGGGTTTCAGTATGTTGGCCAGGCGGGTCTCAAACTCCTGACCTCGCGATCCGCCCGCCTCGGCCTCTCAAAGTGCTGTGATTACGGGCTTGAGCCACTGCACCCCGCTGCCAACCTTTTGAGTATATGAAGCTGGCAGAGAAATAAAGCGTCGTCCCTCTGCGCGTCCCTCCCCTTCTGCTAGAATGTTTCTCAGGAACGCTACTCCAGGGGTTGCTCCCCAGTCCAAATGGGAGGCCTTTGGCCCACCAGGGAGCTTTAGGTTCCCCGGGTGCTTCTCGGAGGCTGACGAGGGGGTGGAGAGCGTGTCGGTGAGCGCCCGGGTGCAGATGCTCATCAGCACGCTGCAGCGCAGCGGGGTTGCTCGGGGCACCACCGATGAGCGCGCTGCACAGAGGGGCCACAGGGCAGACGCCAAGCCAGCTGCCAAGCCCACCGTGCACAAGGAGCAGCCCGCATTGCCTGCCTGTGGTCTTGTTGCTGACTTTGACCCCATGAGGGAGGAGGAAACTGCAGACTTTGGCCCGTTGGTGCTAGATTCAATGATGATTCCGTGGACCGGGACATTGCGGAAGCCATCCGGGAGTACCTAAAGGCAAAGAGTGGAGCCGCACAGCCCGGGGCTGGCAGGGGCCAGCCAGGCGCAGCCCAGCCTTCCAGGGCTGCAGGCAGTGGCAGTAGATGTAAGCCAGAACTATCTCACGGCAGTGCCCCGACTTCCGTGTGTCCCCCCAAAACTTGTACCTGGCTCAGGTGGTGGCCCTGGCAGCCAGGTGAGATCCAGTGAGGACTAGGGTTCTGCCTTCCCGGTCAGAGCGAGCAGCAACGACTCCTTCGAGCAGAGCATTAAGGCGGAAATAGAACAGCTTCTGAATGAGAAGAGATAGCATGCGACCCAAAAATGTGATGGGGTCAATAGATAAAAAACCAGACCCAAACGAAAATTCGACCAAGTCACTCTTGAAATCCCACGAAGAGCTAGCCGCAAAGGTGGCGCATCGGCAGGGTCTGAAGGGCGCCCATAAAGAGTTCGCCTTTCGCAAACCTCCCCGGTTAGCAAAGACGAACGTGCAGCCCAGAAGCCTCAAGTCCAGGGTCACGACCAAGCAGGAGAACAAGGGCAGCCCGAAGCCAGCAGCCCCCTGCAGCCCTTCAGAAGCACCACAGAATAAAAGCGGGGTCAAGAGGAGCGCTGGCGCCCTGAGAAGGGGAAAGCAAGTCACAAGTGCGGCGCAGGCGCCCGAGGCGTCAGACTCCAGCAGCAACGACGGCACTGAGGAGGCCATCCAGGTGTACTAGCTGCGGCAAACACGCAAGGAGGCCAACGGGGACCTGCCCCAGAGGGCCCAGCGCCGGGAGGAGAGAGGACGCCTGACCCCGCACACAGCACAAGCAGCGCCACAAAAAAGTGCCTTGCGCGAGACCCACAGGAAAACACCCAGCTAGAGGAAGCCAGTGGCCACCAAGGCCACAGACCCTTGCCCGGGGTGCCTAGACGCTGACCATTCCCCACAAGCTCCCGAAGGAAACCAAAGCTCCGCCTCCAGCGAGCCCGGCTTCCAGGAACGAGTTTGTAGAACGGTCCTCGTGCCAGGCAGACACGTCCGCTGAACTGACGCGCGCGGAAGCAATCTTGGGCATTTCCAAGACTACCCTGCCGGCCCCCATGTAAGGCAGCAACAGGTCCCTTTCTGCAAGCCCACGCTTCTACTCCCTGAACGTGCCTTCCCGCTCTGACGGCGACAGTAGCTCCGTGGACAGCGACGACAGCATCGATCAGGAAATCCAGACGTTTTGACCCTCAAGGCATAGTCGGGGAGTTTGCTGGCCAGAGGTGAGAGCTGCTCGCAGGCTGCCCAGGGCCCACTTTCACCGCCTGGCCCCAACAGCCAGACCAGTGGCCCCAAGGCCCCCCTCTCTAAAACACCGGACCCGCTGCTGAGCTGCAAAAGGAAACGTAGAGGCGGCGGCCATGCCATGAGGCCGTCCACGCCCAAGAAAACGCGGGAGGTGGTGAAAGATGGTGGCCAGGATGCCGACCACAGCCAGGCGTGAGCCGTGCCCGGCCATGAGGGGCGGGACCTGCCCGTCCAGGGCAAAGCCAGCGAGGTCCCGGGAGGGGAGGGCGCAGCCAAGGGGCCCGGCGACACTCGCATGACGCAGGGCCAGGGTAAGACAGACGAGGTGAGGCACCTGGACGAGAAGGAGAGCTCCGAAGACAAGAGCAGCTCCCTGGACAGTGACGAGGACCTGGACACGGCCATCAAGGACTTAAGGTCCAAGCGAAAGCTCAAGAAGAGGTGCAGGGAACCCAGGGCTGCGTGCAGGAAGGTCAGGTTCAGCACTGCCCAGATGCACTTCCTGGAGCAGCTGGGCGGGCTCCCGAGAGACTGGAAAGACAGAAGCCCGCCGGTGCTTAATAGCTGACTCTCCAAGTCCAAGAGAGACAGCGGCGAGGGTCCAGGGAACAAACCTCCCAGTGTCTGTGGCAGTATGGCAGAGAAGACGAAGCAGGAGGGCGTCAGGAGCCAGGACACGGCCCCGGCCTTCCGAGTGAGGGGATGCGCCTCTGCCTCCGCCTCTGAAGGGAATCCATTTCCCCAGGGAATGCCAGGGCCCAGCTCCCAGCCCCGGCTCCCTGTCTGACGACAGGAGTTCAGTGGACAGTGACGAGAGCATCGAACTGTAGATTAGTAAGTTTTTGGCGGAAAAGGCCAAGGAGTCTGAGCAGTTCAGAAGTTCAGGCAGAGGGCCCTGCTGCTCTCGGGAAATGGGGCTCATTCAGGCCAGAGTTGCTGTGCAGGAAGGAGCGGGCCCCACCGCCTGGCGTGTGCACGCGGAGTCAGTGGGCCAGGGGGGTCCCACAGCCGGCAGAAGGGCCATGAGGTGCAGAGAGCGCTGGAGCACAGGGCACAGCCGACCTGTTCAGCCAGGGCAGGAAGGGGCTCCCCGCTGCTCCCGCCCAAGGGGATCCGGCACCGCCCAGGAGCACCAGTGGCAGTGTCTCCGCCAAGGGGCTCTCAGCGAGCAGGAGAAATGTTTACATTCAGAAAGACCAGCGCTCACGAGGGGCCGAGCATGCTGCCAGAAGTGCTTTTATTCAGCTGCCCAGCAGTGCCACAGCGGGCACCGAGGCCGGAGGTGCTGGGGGGAGCTTTCACATGGGCTGCGGGAGCCGGGGCTTCCTGACCCCTAGCCAGGAAGCTGAAAGGGACTCTGGAGCCCAGGCTGACCACACCCTGCCCTCGAGCGACTTCACCCACCGGAACCCGTGCGCGCTGCGCTCGGAAAGTAGAGATGCGGAGTGGAGGCGGGGCGTCGGGAGCGGGAAAGACAAGGGGTCCGAGGGCCCCGCCTGGGGCCTGCCCAGCCTACCCCTTGTGGGCTTCTCCCCGCGCTGTCCACCCAGCTCTTCCATTTTGGAAAGGGTGTCTCCCAGGGGGGCAGGCAGGCCAGCCTCTTCAGCCCGACATGGGGCTGCCTCCACAGGGCCCGTCCTTCTCTGCCTTCAGGGAGGCCCAGGCCGGGCCCAGCCCTGTCTTTGGAAGCCCACACTTGCTGGCGAAGAAGGACGGCGGGCCCTGGCCAAGCAGCAAGGCACAGACAGGGCGGAGTTTGCCCGACAGGAGGAACTCGGGCTCGGAGGAAAGCATTTTAGACCTGAGGTATTGACGAAGGGTCATCGATAGGGACGACCAGGACCAGGGCACCTTGGGCGGGCACGCCTTGGTTAGTGACGCCAGTGACTTCAGCGACACTCCGCGCACGGAGGACAGTGGCGGCAGCTCAGCAGTGAAGGTCTAAGCCCTCGAGTTGTGGGTTTGCGTCCCGGTTTGCGTGCATTTGTGGAAAGGAGCGTATCTGTGCGTGTATCCGTGTGTGTGTGTGTGTGTGTGTGTGTGTGTGTGTGTGTGTGTGTGTGTGTGTGTGTGTGTGTGTGATGGTTCTGTGGTTGCAGGGAGGAGAAACAGGAGTCGGTTATACATAGCCCTGTATAGACGTACACCAACATGAAACAATGCTTTTATTTAACAGATGTGTCCTGGTAAATATGATTTCTGTAGCTTTCTGTAAATTATTTAAAGTGATGTAAAAAATATTTTTAGAAAATACTGTTGTTCAATTTTGTAGGGTGTTCCTAATTGCAATTTCCTGTGTTCTGCATACAAGTCTTAGATTAGAAAACATTTGGTTCTTATCATCGCAGCCAAGTTCACAGAGACTCTGATGTTTTTTGGTTGATTGCTGGTGAGAATGTCCGTCGGTGGCTGCAGTGGTAGCCTGAGGAAGGCAGAGCTGCCCTCCCCGGGAATCGCTCAGATGCCCCAAAGTGTCCGTCGGGAAGCTCGCAGGACAGCACTTTTTATACAGAGGACACCCCCGCCCCCCACCGCCCCCCTGGTCCTTGGAGGCCAGAGCACATTTGAAAACTGCAGTCACAGCTGTCCGCTGGAAAAAACGATTTAAAGCACAATGGCCAGCAAGCACGTGAGAGCTCCCTGTTGCATGTGAAATCCCCGCGGATGTCAGCGGCTGCTCTGCAGCTCAGCCCTGGGCCTGGGTGGATTCATGTCCAATCTTTCTGAATCACTAGATGATTCTAACATCTAAATAAACCCCTTTTTATATGGAAAATAAAGTAAAAAAACAATAGATGTTGGCGAGGATGCAGTGAAAAGGGAATGCTTATACACTGTTGGTGGAAATGTAAATTAGCACAACCTCTATGGAAAACAGTGTGAGGATTTCTCAAAGAACTAGAAGCAGATCAACCATTCGATCCAGCAATCCCACTACTGGGTATCTACCCAAAATAAAAGAAGTCATAATATCAAAAAGAAACCTGCACTTGTTTATTGCAGCACAATTCACAACTGCAAAAGTATGGAATCAACTGAAGTGCCCATCAGCCGATTAGTGGATAAAGAAAGTGTGGTATATAGCTCAACAAACTAGGCATTGAAGGAACATACTTCAAAATAATAAGAGCCATCTATGACAAATCCACAGCCAACATCATACTTAAGAGGCAAAAGTTGAAAGCATTCCCCTTGAAAGGCAGAACAAAATAAGGATGCTCTCTCTCACCACTCCTATTCAACATGGTATTGGAAGTCCTAGCCACAGCAATCAGACAAGAGAAGGAAATAAAGAGCATCGGAATAAGAAAAAAGGAAGTCAAACTATTCCTGTTTGCAGATGATGATTTTACACCTAGAAAATCCCATAGTCTCTGATCAAAAGTTCCTTCAGCTGATAAGCAAAGTTTCAGGATATAAAATCAATGTACAAAAATCACTAGCATTCCTGTGTACCAATACCCAAGCTGAGAGCCAAATCAAGAATGCAACCCACTCACAATAGCCACAATAAAGAATAAAATATCTAGGAATACAGCTAACTAGGGAGGTGAAAGCTCTCTACAAGAATTACAAAACACAGCTCAAATAAATCAGAGATGACACGAACAAATGGAAAAACATTCCATGCTCATGGATAAGAAGAATCAATATCATTAAAATGGCCACACTGCCCAAAGCAATTTACAGGTTCAATGCTGTTTCTATCAGACTACCAATGACATTATTCACAGAGTTAGGAAAAAGAAAAAAAAAATCTATTTTAAAATTCATATGGAACTGAAAAAGAGCCCGAATAGTCAAGGCAACCCTACACAAAAAGACCAAAGCTAGAGGCATCACATTACCCAATTTCATCCTTTGAAAAGATGTAGTTCAAAGGATACGAAGTAGCAAATACATAGGATGAACAAGTCCAGAGATCTAATATACAACATGAGGACTATAATAAATAAAATGGTACTGTATTAGAGATTTTTGTTAAATACATAGATTTTAGCTGCTTTTTCTTTTTTTTTTTGCCCAGGCTGGAGTGCAGTGGCACGACTTCGGCTCACTGCAACCTCCGCCTCCCGGGTTCAAGCGATTCTCCTGCCTCAGCCTCCAGAGTAGCTGGGACTACAGGCGCATGCCACCACACCCAGCTAATTTTTTGTATTTTTAGTAGAGACAGGGTTTCACCATGTTGGCCAGGCTGGTCTCAAATTCCTGACCTCAAGTGATCCACCCACCTCGGCCTCCCAAAGTGCTAAGATTACAGGCGTGAGCCTCCGTGCCCAACTGATTTTAGCTGCTCTTATCCAAAAAAAATAGATTTTATTTCTATCCACCTACAATGAATAAGCCAAAAAGGAAAGAAAACAATTCCATTTATAATAATATCACCAAGAATAAATATTTAGTAAGATTTATACTCTGAAAACTGAAAACACTGGTGAAAGAAAGACTTAAACGAAAAGACATTCCATATGCATGCATCTGAAGACTTCATGTTGTTAAGAATGCAATATTCCGCAAATTGATCTAGATCCAACATAATCCCTATCAAAATCCCAGCTGCCTTTTTTTAAAACAGAAATTGACAAATTGATCCTAAAAATTCACATGGAAATTCAAGTACCAAGAGTAACAAAAGTAATCTTGAAAAAGAAAACCAAAGTTGTCGAACTCACACTTCCCTATTTCAAAACATACTACAAAGCTATAAAACATACTACAAAACAGTATGGTACTATCATAAGAATAAACATACGGCCAGGCGCGGTGGCTCACGCCTGTAATCCCAGCACTTTGGGAGGCCGAGGTGGGCGATCACGAGGTCAGGAGATCGAGACCATCCTGGCTAACACAGTGAAACCCCGTCTCTACTAAAAATACAGAAAAATTAGCCGGGCGTGGTGGCAGGCACCTGTAGTCCCAGCTCTTTGGGAGGCTGAGGCAGGAGAATGGCATGAACCCGGGAGGCGGAGCTTGCAGGAAGCCGAGATTGTGCCACCGCACTCCAGCCTGGGCGACAGAGCGAGACTCCGTCTCAAAAAAAAAAAAAAAAAAAAAGAATAAACATACAGAGCAATGGAATAGAACTGAGACTCCAGAAATAAACCCTGGTTTTTATAGTCAACTGATTTTCATCAAGGGCACCAAAACAATTCAATGAAGAAAGAATAGTCTTTTCCATAAGTGGTGCAGAGACAACTGGATATCCACATTCAAAAGACTGGAGTTAGACCTCTTCCTCACATCATACACAAAAATTAACTCAAAAAAAAAAAACAAAAAAAAACCCAAGACTGACAAGAACTAAAAACCATATGACTTTTAGAAGAAAGCACAGAATAAGTCTTCATGACCTTGGGTTAGTCAAGGCCTTCTTAGATACAACATCAAAAGCCCAAGCAACCAAAAAAAAAACCACCACCAAAAAAAAAATAGAAAACTGGACTTCATCAAAATTAAAATCCTACGCTGCAAATGACATCATCAAGAAAGTGAAAAGGCAACTCACAGAATGGGGGGAAAAGTCTGCAAATAATATATCTTATAAGAGATATGCATAAAGGAGAAGCTTTAACTGCATCTTAAAAACAGAATTTAGGCTAAAAGAAAAAAGAAGGGTATTCCAAAAAAAGGGGAGATCGCATGAATATGAATACTATCATATTCATATGGAAGATATTCATATGGAAGATTCATATGGAAGGGAAGAGAACACAGGCATTGGGGGCCAACAATGGAAATAAAAAATAAGACTGGAAGGAAGGTTAAAGCACAGACCATGAAGAACTACAAATACTGAGAAAGTTTGGACTTTACTTCTTCATAATGGTGGTGGGAGCATGGGAGGGTGTTACAATGGAGGCTACTGAGAGTGGGTTGTAACAATGAAAAATAAATTTTAAAGCAAAAGGGGCAAACTGTACACCAGTCTTTTCTAAAAATCAGGCACAGGATGGATTGGATGGAGAAAAGAAGAGACTAGTCAGAAAGAGGCACTAAAACATGCATAAAAAATGCTCAAGTCAATGACATAAGCTTCCACCTTCTGAAATTAAAAAAATAAAAAGGAAATTAAAACCAAAGCAAACAGTAAAAACCAAGCACTGCTGGTAAAAGAAATGAAGGGACAGACGTGAGAGGCAATGCAAAAAGATAACTTGAGACTGAACGGATAGGTTTAAAATAGAAGGAGTCTGGTATAGTTTTAATTAGTCCTATGGACAGACACTGAATACCAAGGTAAACCTGTAAAGAAAGCAAATGGTAGTGTAAAATTCCACTTCTTCCTAGAATGCAGAAAGCTGCAAAGAGTATTGCTCCCACCCTCACAACAAGAACAAGCCAGATAAGGAACAAAAACAACCTTTCTTGAAATCAACATATCCTTTCCTTATATTTCAGATTATTTAATTTCCCCTAAAAAAAGGAACCTCCAATGAGAGAAAAGATATAAATAATGGCTCATCTGTGGCACAACATGAAAGGAAGAGACACAGGGAACCCTAACAAAAGTAAAAAGTATTCAGCTAAAAATTTTTAATGAATGCTGATTACAAAACAACAAAAATCCATTTAAATATAAAAAAGAAATAGGTTAAAATCAAAATGAAGGTAAACGATACACATTGTAAAGAGTGATCACAAGAAAAGTGGAATCGATATGTGGACACTGCAGAACAAAAGATATAAATTTGGATAAAAAAGCACATTACATAATGATAAAGGTACCAATTTACCTAAAAGGCATAAAAATTCTAAACTTGTATGTACCCAAGGATAAAGCTTTAAAATACACTAATAAAGGCCAGGCACAGTGGCTCACGCCTGTAATGCCAGCACTTTGGGAGGCCGAGGGCAGATCATGAGGTCAGGAGTTCGAGACCAGCCTGACTAACACGGTGAAACCCCGTCTCTACTAAAAATACAAAAATTAGCCGGGTGTGGTGGCGCATGCCTATAATCCCAGCTACTCGGGAGGCTGAGACAGGAGAATCGCTTGGACCCGGGAGGCAGAGGTTGCAGTGAGCCGAGATCGTGCCACGCACTCCAGCCTGGGTGACAGAGCAAGACTCCATCTCAAAATAAAATAAAATAAAAAATACATTAATAAAAAACAGAATTTAAAAGGACCATTCTAATTATAGTTGGAGGCTTCATATTTCTCCCTCAATAATTAGTAAAACACATAGAAAGAAAATCAGTAAGGATATGGATGATCTACTGTACCTTTTCTATGTATAGATATACAAATACTTACCATTGTGTTACAATTGCCTACAATGTTCAGTACAGTAACATGCTGTACACATTTGCAGACTAGGAGCAACATGCTATATACCACACAGCATAGGTGTGTCATAGGCTATACCATCCAGGTTTGTGTAAGTACATGCTATGATGTTCACACAACGATGAAATCACCTAATGATGCATTTCTCAGATGTGTTCCCATTGTTAAGCAACACATGACTGTATTTATTTAAAATATAACCACCATATCACAAAAATAAGTAAGTGGTTCTATCAAGAGCAATATATCCCAAAGCTCTTTGAGATATGTATATCATACATTTCATATACATATATATGTATGTATAACAAAAAGCCTATGAGGTTCACATTCAGGCATTATTTCTGCCTTACAGGTGAGCAAACTGAGACTCACAGAATTAACCAATTTGCCTAAAATCATATAGCTACAATATAATTACAACCAAAGTTTCCTGCCTTGAGGTCCAAGGCATTTTCCATTCTACCATACTACCAATCAAGATGCAGAAAGTAAACCAAAATTCTAACAGCTGATTCACCTTAAGTCACAATATGAACATCACCTTAGCCAATTTCTTAATGGAAAGTCCTATTCATATGCTATAATCAGCATAAATACAATCTAACCTTATGAACAAAGCTAATCTTTATTATTACACTTTACTAAATATTTATTTTAAAAAAAGAAAACACTTTTCTAGACAAAATACCACAAACTTTTCCTTTAAAGGGATTAATATATGCTTTCATGTATGCATAAACAACTTTTCTGATGCTAAAGTACTTAAAAATAAGAATTTTAACAAACATTACTACATCAAAATCACTACAATGCATTTAAAATTGTAACCATTTTAACTGATATCCTAAGTTCTCCTAAAAAAAAATACATCAATGATAAAATTTTCTGGGGTATTTCTTAAGTAAAATTATTCTGTTTGCAAGACCTAATATACATACTCATTGACTCTAATAAGAGCTTTATATGCATTAATTTATTTAATCTGCACATAACTCCAAGATCCAGAAATTACTGTCAGTCCCTTTTACAGGTAAGAAAACTAAGGCTTGAAAATTGTAGATAACATGTTCAAGATAATGGAGTTCGGACATGGTATATCTGTTTGACTCTTAATCCTTGCTCTTAACCCATCCTCTATCCCAATAAACATCACCTACTTTCTATTGTTAAAAAGGGTTTCCTTTTTGACAATATTCCTCCTCTTGTTTCAAAGAAGAGAGACAACTGCCACTAGAATAGCTGCACTGGAAACACATTTATTCTGTCATTACATTTGCTTCTTAGAACACACTGTATCACATTCTCCCTTAGATATTATTATATAAATGAAGGTTAAATTCTCAGGCCAAACCTCAAAAACGTAACTCTAACTTAAAATCATATTTCAAGGAAAAGTCTGTTGATTTACAACAGGACAACAGGACATCATCTTCCATCATACCCTTCAAAAGCACACCTCAAATCCCAAAAATAACATGAAATTCCTTTCTTACCTTCCTCCAGTACCTAGCCATAAATAATTTCACACATCCTAGTCCCCATTATGAGCTCCATTAGGAAATAAGATTCAAACTGGGCCAGTTCCCAGGGAAGGTAGAGACAAAGCCAGGATGAAAAAGGGTAATAAAGCAGTAACATTTGCTTATATATGTATTCAATTCTGAAGCTCAAAAGAGCCTCTACTGTTAAAACTATTATTGTTATAGTTTAGTACAAAAAAAAATAAGTTATGTGAACCAGGCTGGAAACCTAACTACTATATCAAACTTGCAAACAGATTTGGAACACAATGCACTTATAAATTGAAAACTACAGTATGTATATTCACTAATGCTCTTTATAATCAGCTATCCCTTCCAAAATTTCTGAACACTAAAAATCTAGTATTTTAGGAAGAGAAAAGTGAAGGAGCTCTGATCCCATTTAATTGTATATGCACAAAAACAGCTTTGTACATGAGGTACCCAAGTCAGTTAAAATATACATTAGATGCCTGGGGATTATAATACCCAAGTCATACATTCAAGATACTTCAGTATTCCTCTCTTTTTACATAAGAAATGTGAGACTATGTTCAATTCTTTGGAAATCATGACACTTGTTTTCTCCTTTTTACTGCCAGAGATTTTATTTAATGGTTTTAAACAATTTTCTTATGGGACATACATAAACACATTCCGCTGTGTTAATCAGATCAGTAAAAACAGATATATACTCTTATACTACTATGTTGAGAAAGTAAATTCATTAAAAGTATCTGTCTGAAGTGTAATCTAGCAATAATCATCAAGAGTCATAAAAATGTTCATAGCTTTTGATTTAGTAATTCAACTTATAAGAATTTATTCTAATAAAATAATCAGAGATTCATTCATTAATTTATTTAACAAGTTATCAAGGACTCACTTTGTGCCAGGCATTATTCTTACGAATACAAATGTTTATTACATTATTTTATAGCATCAAAAAGTTGGAAAAAACCCAAATATCCAGTAAGAGTTAACAAATTAAAATACATCCACTAGCTAAAATATTATACTATCACTAGAAACTATATTACAAAAAAACTTTAATAAGAAAATGCTCATATGAGAAAAAAACAGGAAAATACAAAACTATGTGTAACTACAGGTAACTATACATAACTACATGTATAATCTCAAATTTATATTTGAGATCTTATTTCCTAGGGACCTTGGTCAAGTTACTCAACCTCACTCTACTCAGTGTCTTCATCTGTTAAATGAACATTTCACATTTTACACATAAAAAAAGATTTTATATTTCATATCTCAATGATTTTTAAATGAGTTATTCGTAGATTTGTAAAGTTCTGGGGTTTTTTTTGTTTTTTTTTTGAGATGGAGTCTTCTCTGTTGCCTAGTCTGGAGTGCAGTGGCATGATCACGGCTCACTGCAAACTCTGCCTCCCAGGTTCAAGCAATTCTCCTGCCTCACCCTCCCAAGTAGCTGAGATTACAGGCATCTGCTACCATGCCTGGCTAATTTTTGTATTTTTAGTAGAGATGGGGTTTCACCATGTTGGCCAGGCTGGTCTAGAACTCCTGACCTCAAGTGATCACCTGCCTGGGCCTCCCAAAGTGCTGGGATTACAGGTTTGAGCCACCACGCCCAGCCTTATTTTTATTTATTTTTTTTTGCAACAGGGTCTTCCTGTGTTGCCCAGGCTGGAGTGCAGTGGTGCGATCTTGGCTTACTGTAACCTCCACCTCCCAGGTTCAAGTGATCGTCCCACCTCAGCCTCCCAAGTAGCTGGGACTATAGGCACACACCACCATGCCCGGCTATGTAAAATTCTTATACTATTGCCCCAGTACATATAAAACTCTAGTAATTATTTGCTCCTTTTATTAAACATATACATCTATACTTACGCAAAGAAAAAATGAAAGGAATATATCAATATATTTTCAAGATCCTGAATTCTAACAAAACTAATTCTGAGTCAGTCAGGAAATCTGAACACTGATTGCATATTAGAAGGTATAAAAATTATTTTATAAGGTATGGCGGTGTTTTTTTAAAAGTCCTTGTATCATAGTGAATAAAATATAACTAAGACCTGCTTTAAAATAGTTTGGTGGGAGGCATTTATGGAGGAATTTTTTTCAAACTTTTTTTTTTTTTGAGACAGACTCTCGCTCTGTTGCCAGGCTGGAGTGCAGTGGCACGATCTCGGCTCACTGTAACCTCCACCTCCTGGGTTCAAGCAATTCTCCTGCCTCAGCTTCCCAAATAGCTGGGACTACAGGCGCACGCCACACCCTGCTAATTTTTTTTTTTTTTTTTGTATTTTAGTAGAGACAGGGTTTCACCATGTTGCCCAGGCTGGTCTCGAACTCCTGAGCTCAGGCAATCCACCTGCCTCAGCCTCCCAAAGTGGTAGGATTACAGGCATGAACCACCGTGCCCGGCCTCAAACATTTTTAATGTTAGCAGAGGTAAATTTCCTCTGGGTAATGGAATTATTATTAGCTTTTATTGTCTTTATATTTTTCTATCTTTCAATTTTTGTATAGTGATTTGAAGTTGTTTTTAAAATGAGAAAAAAAAATTTCAAAACGTTTTAAGAAAATCCTTACCAATACTCCATCCACAGATGAAACTTTCTCCCAAGTTAACCAAGCTCTCTCTCTGACATGATCTGGTATCTTTAATTTCTGACATAATGCAGTAAAATCAGGTTCTTCTGTTTCTTCAAACTCAAGCCTACCAAATGAAAATAATCATATAATTGGCATATACTTATAAATCAAATTGATTCAGTACATACTTGTTTCAATAGTTTGCACATAACACTACTGTGAAAAAGAACATTATTAAATACTTTAAGATCTTATTTTATCTTAGAAAAACATTACACTTCAAATTTAAACATATGATTATCTTTTTCATGGTCATTCCAAAATAAGGATACCACACAGTGAAAAATATTTGCTTGCATGGTAAGTCAAATATACTTCAAAGCAGCAAAACACTTCTGTGAAGGAAAGTAAATGTAATAGCTAAAGCTGTTTGGGAAAATAGGATAAAGATAACAACAAAAAGATAAAAACCCATAGATAATATTATACAATTCAACGCCAGTGACTTTGTTAAACTGTAGTCTTCTCTTATCAATGTTTCATATATCTCTCTACCTACTAGCACATCTTACATGATGCGACTGCTTATTTTTGTCCTTTCCCCTTAACAAAGACAAGCATTTAATAAATTCTTGTTGGCTAATTCATTTTCATTCATCTAATTTCTATGTGTTATCTACTAATAAGAATAGTATGAAGAATAATTAATAATTTTTGAGTATTTACTATGATCCTGTAGAAAGTACCTTAAACATATGGTTTCACTGAATCCCGACATCAGCCCTTTTAGATAAGTATTCTCATCTGTAAAAGTAGACATTTACAGATGTCTGTCAAATTGGAGAAGTTAAAGAACTTACCTGAGGTCTCAGCCGGTAAGAGGTAAACCACTATGTGAGCCCAACAGTCTAACTCTATAATCCATGCCCTTGACCACTATTCTAGACTGCCAATTCCTCCTTCAAAACATAATTAGTTTTTGTTTTTTTTTCTTGTTTTGAAATAGGGTTTCACTCTGTCATCCAGGCTGGGGTGCAGTGGTGAAATCATGGCTCACTGCAGTCTCAAACTCCTGGGCTCAAGGGATCCTCCCACCTCAGCCTCCTGAGTAGATGAGCCTACAGGTGTGCCACAGCCACTGGCTAATTTTTTAAAATTTGTTTTAGAGACAGGGTCTTGTTTTGTTGCCCAGGCTCCTCTCAAACTCCTGGCCTCAAGCAATCTTCCCATCTTGGCCTCCCAAAGTGCTGGCATTACAGGCGTGAGCCAACATGCCTGGTCAGCTTTTTTGTTTTTTTAAAGACTGGGGTCTTGCTTTGTTGCCCAGGCTGGCCTCCAACTCCCAAGCTCATGTGATCCTCCTGCCTCAGCCTCCTGAGTAGCATGGACTACAGGTACGCGCCATCACACCCAGCTCGAAACATGATTAACCTTTGATTATTTCAACAATGAATGTGGTATGCTGTTCCTAGTGACAGTTTCCCTTCCAGCTACATTACTTAGGCCAGAGATAAGGCAACAGAAATAAGATCTAAACTCTCAAATCAGGAATGGAATCTGTCACTGGAGGTGCAGTTGGACTGAGCCTTGATTCCATCTCCAGGCAAGATGCTCAGTATCAGACTGCACGGCAGCGGTTCTACCCTTGCTGGTTAATTTATAGAGTTCAACTGTCTATGTTAATGAAACCCTTTGTGGGTATGGATAATCAAGAACAGACTGTATCTTGTATGGTTTTGACTTATAAGAGAATTTTTTATAGTTCCATTACTTAAAATATATAAAATGAGTTAAAAAATGAAAGAAACAGTCCTCTTTTTTCCAAGCAGTGGCCACAACGTCAATATTCCTGGTTACCCTACATTAGAGTATGCTTCCAAAGCTGTGTGCATAACATGGAATTCTTTAGAGTAGCCATTACTGCATTTTCCCAAGGGAAATTTGCAAGAATTGGATACATCAGAATTTAATCAGAAACTAAAGCCATGTCTTTTCCCAGAACATGCCCCAGACGTGGTTTTTAATTTTTTGTTGTTGTTATTTTGGTTTTTTAACGAATATGGTTTTTAACTGACCTATAAGACAGTCCATTTAAATATATAAATTTTTAATAGCCTTCCAGGGGCCATTTCCTAAATCCCACTTCAATCTTTTCTGCCGTGAATTGTTAGTGTATACCGAGTGGAAAGAAATGGGTGAGGGTGAAAGGATTTGGTGATAGACAAGAATGGGAGAGAAAATAGTGAAAAACAGAAACAAGTCCCATTCCCTCTGCAATGAACTTGTCTCAAAGTAGAACCAGTGCTGACAATAATGACAATTACACTCTTTCAATCATAGCTATTTAACCATAAAGTAGAAAAATCAAGAAAAGTAAGATGTTGTAATACAATAAATACTTCCCTTCAAGATCTAGTGCATTCGTATGGACTTGCTTAAATTTAGATTCCACTTAATAAGGGAAAACGAAAATTTCCATTTGCGCACAGAACCACTAATTTTGTGCCAAAAACAAAGGCAAAAAGAGGGGACACCAAGATCCTTGCTGGTTCAAAGTCAAAAGGCAAAATGGAAGAAATAATGAGACAAGCCGAAGCCGACTAACACGCAAGAAGAGTTCATCAAACAGGAAAAAAAAAAGTTTAGAAACTTTCAAGCACTTCTGGTAAATGTCTCATGAAAGTTTTGCCCATGTTTCAGTTCCTCTAAAGAGTTACGCTCCATCAATCACTACAGATGGCTTTGAGTCCCCAAGGCCTCGATGCATTATTGTTCTAAGGAAACGCCGCAAAGCTCCTGAGCCGAGTATCCTGTGGGCAATGGACACTCAGGACCCTGCGCTTCTTGTCCAAGGCTTTCTGGTCGGCCTCTCCCACAAATGGACTTCAGATGCAGTGCACGCCCGGAAGAAAATACTTCCCAACTGTTGCATCGCGTGAACCAAAACAGAAAGTCAGACGACCACCGGAGTACTCCAATTCTCCGGTGAAAAACTCTCCCACAGACACCATTTTTGTATTTTTATTTTTCATTTTTTGCGTCTGATGGACGCTCGCAACGACCCTCTGCCTCCGAGCCTCACAAGAGGGAACTGCACCTGTCACTTCGCTCAGGACCCTAGCCCCACCCGCCCGACACCTGTCAAGTTGAAGCCGAGACCCCTCGCCCAAGAACCCAGAATCCTGTCACCATTCTGCAGACGCTCCGCCGTGGCGGGGGGCAGGGAGGGCGCCTCCTCCCGCCGGGACCCGGCCCCTGGCGAGGACGGATCCCCGCCGAGCCGCCTTGGCGCCCGCCCTACGCACACCCGGGGCGCCCTTCCCGCGTGAGGCGACGGCGGCTCTGCTCGCTCACCTGACGAGAGGCAGGTCCTCCGGGCCGCTGTCCTGCTCTGGGTCCTCCTCAGGAGGGGGCGGCGGCGGCGGTGCCGGGGGTTCCGCGGCGGCAGCGGCGGCGGTGGCGGCCGTTTTTCGGGGGGTTTTGGGCGGCATGACGCCTTTCCGCGGCGGGAGCCAGCGAGCTGTGGAGGAGCGCCGGGGAGGACGACGCGCGCGCACGTCGGGGCACGCCCCGTCCTCTCCCGACTCCCGTTACAAAAATAATTTCAACGTCCCCTGAGAAAAACCGGACGCGCCCTCCCCCGCCCGGCAACTGAGCGCCGCGTCCAACCGCGGGAAAACGTCACTTCCGCCCGCGGCGTCACGTCCGCGAGGCTCCCGGGCCCGCCGGCGTCTGTGGGGAACTGGGGCGCTGGTCGGTGCGCGGGCTGGGACGCTAAGTCATGAGGAATTAAACTGGGAAACCTGGCGTGGGTCCAGGCGCCTTCCAGGAGGCATCCGGCGCGGCCCGGACGTGCTTCTACCCAGAACCACCCCCTCCAGGCCGGGGTGCACTTAACGGGGCTATACAAAGAGTCTGGTGGGTGACTGTGGGCCTCATCCCTATCCCGGGGTCTGATAGGGAAGACTCTCGGGCCCCGCAGGGAATATCTGGCTAGTGCACCCTCGGCGGGAGCGCCACTCTCCCTCCTTGGGCGGCGCCCCCCACCTCTCATCCCGCCCAATCCGTTTTGCAAAGTCGGCCAAAACAAAAACAAACTTGGAGCGCTGATAGGTGCGGAACTTTACCAGTCACTTAGAAGATAGAAAATGTTAGACACTTGCTGGCCTTTTGGGATCACTGGTTAGGGAAAGGAAGGGAGGGAGCTGTGGGGAATGAACGGATAGTAGTGTAATAAAGGATTGTAGTGGTGTAAGAACGGGAAGCACCGTGGAAACGTCTGAGGAAGATTTTCAGGGGAGCAGTAGCTGCTGAATAGAAGTCTGTCAGGCAGGCCTGACATTTACTATGTACCAGGAACTGTGCTGGCCACCTTACATAATTGTCTTATTTAATCCCCAGAAACAGCCTTTTTTTTCTTTTTCTTTCTTTCTTTTCTTTTTTTTTTTTTTTTTTTACTTTAAGTTCCGGGATACAAGTGCAGAACGTGTAGGTTTGTTACATAGGCATACGTATGCCATGGAGGTTTGCTGCACCTATCAACCCGTCATCTAGGTTTTAAGCCTTGCATGCATTAGCTAAGAAACAACGCTTTCCAATGGGTAGTATTAGCTAGTCTACGTTGCAGATGAGGAAACAGGCTCAGAGGAGTTAATTTGTCCAATACCAGGGCCGATGGGTAGCAGAGAATTTGAACTCAATTCTATTTGATTCCACTTGTCCATTATATTATGTTTGATGAAGAAAACAGTGACAGAGAAGGAGCATGTGCAAAGGCACAAAGACATCAGAAAAGAGCTTGCTGGGACTACCACCATCAAACATTGGCTTAAAGCTGTTATCACTTCTGTGTCTCGGTATTTGTACCAATAGATTATCTAGTTTGAATACATTTTTTTTTCTCTTTGGCAGACACTGTTATTGCCCATCTGAACTCGTCAACTGAGAAGGAAAGAGATGGTTTATGCTGTGAATAAAATACAGTTGTGCTGTGATGTAAATCCCCTCATCCTGGAGCAGCTGAGCAAGGTCTAAGGCAGGAAGAACCTTCAAGCAGGTCATGGCTGTAAGCCTCCTGAGTTTATCCCAGCAAGTTGTATAAGGGATTATCTTTTTATCTGCATATTATGACATATGTGAGGATGTGTAAAGGTTTGGCAAGCACTGGCCTACTCAACAGCCAGTCCTACCTAACTTCAGAAATCTTTCTTGTGGGCAAATGTCAGGAGATAGGGCCCAGGCCCAGGTCCAGCTACAAAGAATGAATACAATTAAAGTGCTACTTCCATTCACCTCACCCCAGATTAGTTTAGGCAAGAGCTCAGGATGCAGTTTTGACATTTGAAAGATAAGGAGTAGTCTGCTGGGAGCCTGATAAATTGAAACAGGGATGGCACAGTTCTAAATATTATTAAATAATAGTAATAATATTAAGTATTACTGAGGATGTGACACTTCTGATTGCTGCAGCCATTGTAACGTGAGGCAAGCCAACCTACAGAGAAGGTAGAAATGCTGATATTGGTGCAGGAGGAATTTCAAAAGAATCTGGATCCTCAGTGTTATAAATGAGCCTCTGATTTGGCCAGCCCTGGAGCTGACCTAAGCTGAGCTGAGGTTTTCACTTGTTTGCAACAGAAAGCATCATGACTGATAATGTTTCTCCTGTGCTTATCTTCAGGATAGAGACCAAATCTTGGGTATCATCATTGCCTTAGTACCTAGCACAGTGTTACACACACAGTAAATGCTTGCTTACTAAAAGTAGGGATGGCAGGAAAGTGAAGGAAAGTTCTAGGAACTGAAGTAAACTCTCTTCATACGTAGATATCACTTGCTTTATTTAAAACCAGTTTATCAACATCTAGATTACATTTATGTAATCTAGATTTATTTATTACCATATTACAATTATGATAAAGAGATTTCTCAATTTACAAAAGAATATATGTCTTGACCATGGATTAATTTAACTATGTTCACTAGTATGTAAAATATATTTTCCTGCAGCCATAAAAAGGAATGAGATCATGTCCTTTGCAGGAACATGGATGGAGCCAGAAGCCTTTATCCTCAGCAAACTAACGCAGGAACAGAAAACCAAACACTGCATGTTCTCACTTATAAGTGGGAGCTAAACAATGAGAACACATGGACATGAAGAGGGGAACAACACACACTGGGGGATTACTTGAGGGTGTAGGGTGAGAGGACAGAAGATCAAAAAACTACCTATCAGGTACTACACTTGTTACCTGGGTGGTGAAAAAATCTGTACACACCAAACCCCAGAGACACACAGTTTACCTATATAACAAACTTGCACATGTATCCCTAAACCTAAAATAATAGTTTGAAAAAAGTGTGGTGTATATATCATAATATATACACATAAATA
This sequence comes from Homo sapiens, assembly GCF_000001405.40. Taxonomy (NCBI): domain Eukaryota; kingdom Metazoa; phylum Chordata; class Mammalia; order Primates; family Hominidae; genus Homo; species Homo sapiens. The sequence goes on along the minus strand of NC_000013.11, from coordinate 48,301,006 downwards.
GATACACACACACACACACACACACACACACACACACACATACACACATACATACCATAAAATAGACCCAGGAAGGGGAACAACACACACTGGGGCCTGTAGCGGGGAAGGGTGGGGAGAGGGAGAGCATCAGGAGAGCTAATGGATGCTGGGCTTAATACCATGGTGATGGGTTGATCTGTGCAGCACACCACCATAGCACACATTTACCTGTGTAACAAACCTGCACATCCTACACATATACCTGGGAGCTTAAAAGTTGAAGGAAAAAATAATAAAATATATTTTCATCCACACAACTCAGAAGCAATTGAGTTCACCATCAAAATCTTTAGTTTTCTGTTGCATTACCAAAGAAGTATTAGAATTTCGGCAGAGTCTAGACCAGGTACGGTGGCTCACGCCTGTAATCCCAGCAGTTTGGGAGGCCAAGGCGGGTGGATCACCTGAGGTCAGGAGTTTGAGACCAGGCTGGCAAACATGGTGAAACCACATCTCTACCAAAAATACGAAATTAGCTGAGTGTGGTGGCAGGTGCCTGTAATCCCAGCTACTCTGGAGGCTGAGGCAGGAGAATCACTTGAACCCAGGAGGCAGAGGTTGCAGTGAGCTGAGATCATGCCACTGCACTCCAGCCTAGGCGACAAGAGCAAGACCCCATCTCAAAAAATATATATATATATATATATATATATATATATATATATTTCAGCAGAGTCTTAAAAAAATTCCCCCTGAACTTCTTGAAATTCATGGATCTCTTCCAACCTGCTTGGTAATTTTAAGAAGATTGCTGTAAGACTCCTACAAAAAATATATGTATTTCTTAGATTTTCTATCTAGAGAGGGAACTCTCTTCAGTTTGAGACTCCTTCAGTGATATTAAAATTTGGGGAAGGGTCTAAAAAGTCTTCATCGTTCTAAAAAGCCTTCCTTCAAAGTTTTTATACCCCCAAGCTACCACACTATTTCCATTTCTTAACCATCTAGCTTCTTAGAAGGGTAGTCCCCATTGGTTCTCTCTGCTTCCCCAATTTCTCAGCCTGCTGGCCCCTGGCTTTCTTTCACTACCACCAAGAGCCCCCTTCTGAAATCACTCTTTCAAATGTCACTGATGATAGTTGTCAATCCCATGGCTTCTTTTGGTCCTCAACCTACTTGACCTTTCTTGCAGTCAATATAGTTAACCACTTCCTCTTAAAAATTCCCTAGTCTTCCACAAATCTATGGTCTCCTTGTTCTCCTCCCTTGTTACTTCACAAATTCCTTCATTAGTTCTCTTTCTGCCGGTCCCTTCAATGCAAGTGCTCCCTAGAGTAATGCTACTCAAAGTGTAGTTCTTGGACCAGTGACAGTCTGCGAACTGTTTGTGTTTAGTCCACAAGGAAATAAGTACAGAAATTAAAAGGATAAGTGCTTAGCAGTGTTTATATCAATTTGACATTTCAGGAATATCCGAGTGCATGATCATTGGACATTGCTTGTTAAACAGTTCAGGTATTCTTCAACCTGGTTCTTGAGTTGCAGGTGGCATGGTTGTGTCCCTGTCATATGCAATAGTACGATATTACAATGAGTAAAATTTCAAGGTTTGTCACCTGCAACCCAAGAGTAAAAATCTATGAAAATGTAAATATTTATTTACTTATATAACTTGTTATTTTTACAATCATTTTCATTTTTAATCAAGCCTATTTTTTGTAAATTCTTAGCTAAATTAGGGGAGTAAAATTTGTGTCATTTGTTTTTAACCCTAAATTATAGATGGCAAAACAATCCTTACTGTCCAATTTTGCCAATACAAGACACACATCAGTAATGTGTTAGTAATCACAGTAGTAAACTAAATAATGATCAGAGAAGTAATTCCAAAGAATTAAACAAATAGGAGTTTGTACTAATTTTACTCAGAAGTATAATCCCTTGTTATTGAGTTTGTAGCCATAACTCATAGTGAAGTGCTAAAATCATTACAGACTAATGAAACAATAAAGCCATCAAACTTAAAGGACATTTATATACAAAATATTAAAAAACTAATTATAAATTTGATAAAATATCTGAGTATTTTCTATCAAAACAAGCTCCACATGCAAGAAATTCATGGATCCAAAATCCGTTTATTTCATTGAAAGATAACTTGAGTGACAGTTTTTGAAACTGGCTACTGATGAAAGATTGAAGATGAATTTTGAAAATAACGCATTGTTTCCATCATTAAGGATAAAAGTTAAAAGTGATTATCCTGATATTGTTAAATTGCTTTAAGTCTTCTTCTGTTCCCTTCAACATATTTTTGAGAGACTAGTTTTTCTACTACTAGTGTTGTTAAAATAAAATATAAAAACAATTTAGATATACATCATCTCCTGCAAGTAGCATGTCACCAATCCAACCTAGATTAGATAATTTAACAAGCAAAGAGCCCACTCATTTCTCACATTAAAACTTCAAATATTAACATTCATGTTGTTTAGTGGGAAATTACTACTTCACTCCCAACTTTTTGTTAGTTGTTACGGCTGTGAGGTGATAAATATTAGGAGGATAATGGCAATTCTCTTTATTAATTATCTATCTGGACACTTTCAATAAGCAATGTACATTTTGTAATTTTTTCTTTTATTTATGTTTGTTCTGATAATTTTTATTGAAATGTAATTCTATTTCTGTTTAATCTAAAAAATGTGAGCTTGTACAATATTTGGTGTGCCTCTGTTTTCATTATAATTTTTTGCAATTTGTTTCTATTTTACATTCCAAAGTGTTAATATCACTTCATGACAAACAGTTAATGAAAAAGAATGAAAAGTTCCTTCACAGATAGTGTGGGAAACACTGGTCTTCAAGCGTCTTCAATCCTCCTCTCTTCTTGCTCTATTTCAATCCCATGACTTAAATAACTTCCCATATGTGCATGTTAGATTCTTTCAGGTTTCAAGGAACAGAGACCTGTTCAGTTTATCTGAATTATTCAAGGTTAATAATAAGGTCTGGGAGGAAAAGTAAAGAAAACAAAAAAGAACCCCTGCTGTTCCACTCATGTATCTTTTCATCCCCCAGCAGCAGACTCCACTCCTTCCCGCCATTGTGAATATTATCATCTTCATCTTTTTATACTGTACTACTTCTGCTACACTGACCTTCTCTCCATGCCACCAAACCACACTCCTAAGTGCAGAGAATATGATTGATTCTCCTACTATACCAATTTCCATGAGCAGGACCAATTACATAATTTGCAGGGTCCAGAGGAAAAAAAATGCAGAACTCCTCATTGAAAAATTACTAAGAATTTCAAGATGGTGGCAACAGAGCATTAAACCAACCACAGGGTCTTTCTAACATGGAGAACTAAGTGACTACACAGGCTACATGTCCACGAAGCCAGACAGTCTCTGAAGGTAGGTCTATATCTGTTCTCCTAACCAGTGGGGCTGCATGCCTAACATGTGCCTGGCACATAGTAGACATTTGACAAATACTTTTCCAATGAATGACTCTAACAACCTCATTTTAACTTAATTACCTCCGTAAAGACCCTATCTCCAAATGCAGTTTCATTCTGAGGTACTGGGAGTTAAGACTTCAAAATATAAATTTGAGGGAAACAGTTCAGCCCATGACACCTGGGGCAAGAATGTTGGTGAGACTTTAAGCTCTCTTCTGATAAAGAGGCTAGATATTTCTCAAAACAGATGGGGAAGGAGATTAAATGTTCAAACAAATCTAGCCATCACAAAGGCTCTGGCTCATTTCTGGGGTGGTGGGGCGGGTAACAGAGGTATAAAGATAACAGGCAGGCCTTTTAAAAAAAGAAAAAGTTAAAACATTTTCCATAACGTTTGTATTGATCCAGTATTCTCATGTCTTCAGTGCAGGCTCAACTCTGCCTGGCAGTGGCAAGGGCCAGGGCCAGTGACTGAAGCAACAAACTGCCAGATGACTGCAGCTCAAGCCAATGCACAAAGCCACTGCAACAAGAGAGGAAATTCTTCCATTTCCAAGTGTGTCGATTTCTCCCCATCAAGGAAAACAGCTAAGGCAATGTGTTGATATTTTCTTTGACCAAGTCATCAGGAGTCACATAGACATACAGCACTCAAGAAGTGGCTGTAACTAAAGGCACATCTCGTTCATCTACAACCCTTGTAATCCCAACCTTTGTCTGATGCACAAACCCTTCCCTAGTTCTCCCCACCACCACCACTGCACCTCCAAGTGGGGACAACGAATTGTTTCATTTGCATGTGGTTTTTCTCATGAAAAATATCATTAACATGAGACAGCCCCAAACCAAGGAAACCAGAAGTGGGGTTTGTGCTTGGTCTTACTGAGAGCTTTCCCTACTTGACCAGACCCCAGCATTGTTCTAGATTTGTCTCTTGTGGGCTACAGGAATGCAAACATTTTGTAGTTTCCTCTTTTTTGTTTTCTTAATGGCTTGATGAGCCACACATGTTTCTCTAAATGCATGATTTTAAATTCACACAATTTCTGCCAACTAAACTTAATGCATTCTCCTCCTCTTCTAATCAATAAGGGCTATCAGAATGTTTTGGGTGAAGATGAGCGGAAGGTAAGAAATTACATACTGTGGGCCAGGTTTGGTGACTCACATCTGTAACCCCAGCACTTTGAGAGACCAAGGCATGCAGATCGCTTGAGGCCAGGAGTTCAAGACCAGCCTGGCCAACATGGCGAAATCCTATCTGTACTAAAAATACAAAAATTACCCAGGCGTGATGGCTCATGCCTGTAGTCCCAGCCACTCAGGAGGCTAAGGCAAGAGAATCACCTGAACCCAGGAAGTGGAGTTTGCAGTGAGCTGAGATCACGCCACTGGACTCCAGCCTGGGCAACAGAGTGAGACTCTGTCTCAAAAAAAAAAAAAAATTACATACTGTCGAGTATGACCTAAAAACATAGAGAGACTATATTTCAATAGTATGACAGGATTATGTTAGCTGCTAATAACAGAACCCAAAATAACAATAGATTAAATAAAAGATTAGTATCCCAGGTAAAAGTCTAGAGGTAGGAATTCTAGGACTAAGTGAAGGTTCTGCTCAGTGAAGTCCTCAGGGACACAGGCACCTTCAGCTCATAACTCTATCATCCCTGGAGGGTACTTAAGGGTCCAGGATGGCAGCCAAAAGTCGTACCTACGTTTTAAACAGCAGGGTGCTGGAAGGCATAAAGAAAAAGCCAGAGGCACACGCCTGTTCTCACTTAAGGAAAATTCCTGGAAACTGCCACAATACACCTTCGCTTACATCCCATTGATCAAAACGTGGATGCAAAGCCACACCTTACTGTGGGGTACAGGGAAAAAAAACTTTTTTTGACAATCATGAGTTCATTAACAGAATTCAGGGATCTCTTAATACAGAAGCAAGGGAGAACAGCTGTTGGGGGACCACCGGAAGTCTCTGCTCTAAAGAACAATGTAAATACCTGGTGGTAGACTAACACTGATGGCCTACAATGAATCACACCTACTGACATTCATGCCTTTGTGCAGAGTTCCACACTGATGCTGGGCTTGGCCTTGTGACTTGTTTGGCCAATAGGATCTCAGCAAGCACCTTGATAAGTGCTTGTGCATTAGGGCTTGCTGTCCTGAAATCCAGGTGCCATGTAAGAAGTGTGGGTTAGTCCCTATGAAGATGACAGACCACATGGAGAAAGAGGCTGAGCCTATACCCACCCACCTACCAGAGAAGATCAGCAGAAGAACCAGTGAATCATTATTGCTTTAGTCATTAATTTGGGGGCAATTTGTTATACAGCGATAGATAAGTGGTACAGTACATAGACAAATTTCTGCAGTTCATCGAGCATTAGCACCAAATAAGTATACAACAGTGTTTGGAGCACTAAAGAGAGTATAAAATATTGCTTAAAATTGTTTCCTTGGCCTCATGAAACAGAAATCGGCTCTGATTAGCAACCAAAAAATGAGAATTTATTGGAAGAACACTAAATAGAATTAAAGAAATGCCGAAAACCAAGATTCAAGAAGGGCAGTGTGGTAGACATATCAAGCAGTGTATATGTCACCTATAAGCCAAACAGCCTGGCCTAACTCCAGGGTCATTGACCACTTGTTTTCCCCAACTGCCACCATAGCAACCAACTGTATGGGCCCTGCCCAGAGACTACTGAAGCAACAGACTTTACATTGGCACATCCCAGTGGTTCCCCTCCCTTTCCCCAAGCCACACACATCTCACCTCCCACCCCAAGAGGGCTGAGATAGTGCCTAACTGTTGGGCTTCTAACAAAGTGTAGCCGTAAGTGCAGTGGAGTTAATGTCCTTGGGGTAAATCTAATCAAAACAAGATGGGTCCAGCATATAAACTCCTCTCCTTCCTCCACCCAGACAGATTGTCCTGAAACACAGTAGTCCATACTACCTCTCAAAATATGACCCTCATGATACTGACCAATCACCCGGGCTTGATACCAAGAGGTAGCTAGTTCGGTAATACACTATTTTATTATTAATAGTTTCTCTTCCTTCTTTGCCCAGCCCGTTCGTCTTCACTCCAGTTTCTCTCAAACTACACTCAGGCTCTGTTTTCTACAGAACCCAGGCTAAAAGACTTGGCACCAGGAGCGTCCTGCAGACACTCAGGATGGAATGCTAGAGTTGGGTTACTTACCGACCGTGTGGCAATAAAGACCCATGGCACAGTGAGTGGGTAGTTATGAAGCAACACAGTGATACCATGATTACAAAGGCTTCCCACCTGTAGCTAATTGAGATGCAGTGCAGATAGAAGGTGGGGCATTGGGATAGGTAGTAGCCATACTGTTTGAACAGTGTGGGGACAATAACTGTAAGGACTATAGAGGGGCTTGATTCTGTTGATGGAATTGTATACCTTGTAAAACAAAATGATGCCTCAGGGCAGCCACCTGTCACCTTAAGTCACACCGTGAAGGCCAGAGGGCCTCTACTGGCAATTTTTAGTAATATTTAGTGTAGTTTGCTTTAGGCTACAGGAAGTCACGGAAGCTGATTGTAAGGGCAGAAGAGTTGAAAAGGCAACCAAATGCATGGACTTTCAGGGTCTCCTAGCCCACATCTTGTTCTTGAAAGGAAAAAGAGTATTACCCTAAGACCTAGGATAGGGCATTTGGATAGATGAGCCTGAGAATATTGAATCTTCTATGTTACCCCTGACTCTGTAATGTACTGGAAAGAAATTTAACAACCAGTTCTCAGGGGAGAGGGTGGTGGGGAAGGACATTTTAATATTTGCCAATTTCTGTTATGTAAACACTCCCACCTTGGTCAATTTCAAGCTACCAGCATAATGTCACCAAACACAGAATTAAAAAGAAATGCACACAAATGGCTTCTGCAAGGTGGAATGTGCTCACTGCAGCCCACTAGTGCTCTGAACCCTCTGGCTGGCAGAAGCACCACCTCAAGCTTGAGAAGTCTTCTCTTGCCTATAAGTTATGTAATGACTCCTTTTGATAGGTGGCTCCCCAAAATGACTCGTGGCCATTTGCTAGGTGAGAGCATGCAGTGGAAGAAAGAGGAATATCAAGTATTCAAGAACTGTTAGATACAAAGTCTGAGCTGACCCTGATACCAATGTAATTCTCCAGTTAGAATAGGGACCAGTGGAGTTTGGGCTCAATTCCAACTCACAGTGGATCTGATTGCCCATGAATGCATTTTATGTTTAAATCACTGAATGTCTAATTAAGGTAGTCAATCTTAGCTGGCAAAACCTTCACATTGGCTCCCTGACCCATGGATTAATAGTCATTATGTAGGAGGACCAAGTAGAAGCCTTTGAAACTGCCACTGTCACCCCAAGTCAGGATAGTAAATCAGAAGCAAGACAGCATTCTAGGAAGAATTGCAAAGATTTACATCACCATCAAAGATTTAAAGAATGCAGGGGTTGTAGTTTCCCTTATATTACCATTCAATTCTCCCGTCTGACCCCTGCAAAAAATGGGATCATGGCAGATGACAGTAGACAACTATACTCTTAACCAGGTATTAGCTCCAAGAGGCGCTGCCATACAGCATGTGGTATCTTCCCCTGAGAAAATCAACATTGACCTTGGTATGCAGTTACTAACTTGGTAAATGTGCCTTTCTTGATTCCCATCAGCAGGAAGGATCAAAAGCAGTTTGCCCTCATATACAAAAGATAAGAATACACGTTTACTTTCTGGCCCAGGGCTATTTTAATTCTCCTGCTCTCTGTCCGGGAGGGAGTACAAAGTACAAAGGGGCAAATACTCTGGATCAGTGCTTCTGAAACTCTCCAATTCTTTTTTTATTTTTTCCAAACTGTCTTGGAGCAATACTTTTGGAAATAACTGAACTTGAACAGTAGGTATCTTGCTGCATGTGCAAATCACCATATGAGTTTGACAATAATCACAATGATCTATACTTTGTTCAATGAGATTAGTCTTCTGATCATGTGCTTGGAAGTCACAGCAATGGCAAATTGCTATAAAATTTCTAAATATAGATTTTCAATTTATGAATTTATCTTTCCACAGGCTAGTAACCAAGTGTTCACCAGCCAACATCTGTCTGTAGACTACACTTTGAGTAGACAGGCTAAGTGGCCAGTAAAATACATGTAACCCAAAGAATGGGAGATAAACTCCAAGATAATTGAGGGCTTGCCACATTGATCAAGTTGTTAAGATTCAGTGCTCTGGGTATGCTGGGAGCATCACCTTTAATGTAAATGACAATTTATTGCACTTCTCACCCCCTGCCACTAAGAAAGTGGCTTATCACTTAGTGGGCCTCCTCTGATTTTGAAGGCAGCATGTACTGTCTTTGGGAATACAGCTTCAACCCATTTATCAGGAGACTTAGAAAATGTCCAGTTGCTAGTGGGTACCGTAGTCAGAGACATCTCAGGATTAGCTCCAGGCTGTGGTGAAAGCTGCTACTTGAACTATATAATCCAGCAGATCCAGTGGTGTCAGAGGTATTTGCTGTAGATAAATGCTATCTGGTGTCCCTGGAAAGTCCCAATAGGAGGCACACCCCTGAGGTTCTGGAGCAAGGCCATAACTTCTGCAACAGAGAATTATTTTCTATTTGAACTGCAGGCAGCCTCTAGGAGCTGAGGGTGCCCTCCAGCTGACATCCAGAAAGAAATTGAAGCCCTAGGTTGTGAAACCACAAGGACGTGAATTCTGCCAACACATAATGTGAGTTTGAAAGCAGATTCTTCCCCAGTTGAACTACCATCTGAAAATCCAGTTTGGGCTAACAACTTGATTGCAGCCTTTCAAAAAAGAATCAGCTAAGCTGTATCCAGACTTCTGACCCATAAAAACTGTGAGATAGTATATCTGTGTTGCTTAAGCTGTTAATTTTGCAGCAATATTTAAGTTGTTGCTGTTAAGTTACATAGCAATAGATAAATATAAAATAGTACAACCACTCTGGAAAATAGTTTGACATTTTCTTATTGCATTAAACATACACCAACCAAATGACCCAGCAATTCCACACCCTAGAGAAGTGGAAAACATAGGTCCCTCCCAAAAACTTATACCTATGTTATAAATACCTCGTTATTTATAACAACTTCATTTGTAATAGCTAAAAATCAGGAAAAAAAAGTCCATCAATACAAAAAAGGATAAAGAAATTATAGTATATTAATACAGTACAATGGATGCAACTCAGCCATAAAATGGAATGAACTTTTGATATAAACACAACATGAATGAATCTCAAAAACATTATGCTAAGCTAAGGAAGCTGGACACAAAATAGTATGAACTGTATGATTTCACTTTTATGAAATTTTGATACAGGCAAACATAATCTATTGTGAAAGAAATTGGACCAGTGGATGCTCTGGGGATTGAGGGCAAGCATTGACTTGGAAAGGGAATGGGATAACTTCCTGCAGTGATGGACATGTTCTGTGTCTTGAGGTGTAGGTCACGGAGGTATATGCATTCATCAAAACTTTGGAACTTAAGATCTGTGTTTGTTATTATTTGTAAATTATACTTCAATTTTCAAAAAAAAATTTTAGTAAGCAAAGAACAAGGGAACTATCTGTTTGCTAAAGGATGGTAGCATGTCTCAGCCAAATTACCCCCAAGACACTTGCAAAAATAAAGAGACTAACTGATGCCCTGTGGAGTCTGAAAGAACATAAGGCTCTGGGAAAAAAAAGACACCTGTGACTGGTTGTGCCCTCTCAGTTGATCTTTTTTGCTTTGAGCTTCATTGACTCAATCCACCCAAAGAAAATCATCCCTTCAATGAAAGCCATGAACTCCATATCCCATATCTAATCAATACGTAGTCAGAAAATAAGCTATACACAACCAAAGCTGCTCAAACAAGTTTCAGTGATAACTTGATCATCCTTACCATGTAGCTACTTCAAACATGATTTGCTTTTCACCAATTATAGATATTACCTAATTCAAAGTAATATTTGTTGTGGTACTCTAGTGTAAGCAAAGTACAGAGAATAAATAGTCAAAAGACCTATGAGCTCAAAACTGTCAGGGACATCAAAAACGAGAAAAGTCTGAGACACTATCAGAGTTCCAGGAGCTTAAGGAGAAAAGAAGACTAAATATAATGGGGTATCCTCGATGGAATCTTGGAACAGGAAAGGATATTAGATAAAAACTAAGGAAATCTGAATAAAGTATGGACTTTAGCTAATAATAATGTTTCAGTGTTGGTTCCTTACTTGTAACAAATGTACCATACTAACTTAAGATGTGAATAATAGGAGAAACTATGTGCAGGGCCAGAGGTGGGAAGGTATGGGAAATGTACCATTTTATCTACTTCTCTGTTAATGAAAAACTGCTCACAGCTAGGTGGGAGGAATAAGTTCTAGTGTTCTATACCACCGTAGGATGACTTTAATTAACAATACTATATTATACAGTTTCAAATAGCTAGAAGGAAGGTATTGGAAATTCCCCACACAAAAAATGATAAATATTTGAGATGACAGATATGCTATTAATAATTATCCTGAGCTGATCACATTATATATAGAAACACTGCTCTGTATCCATACATATGTACGATTATTATGTGTCAATTATAAAAAAGAAATGCAAAGTTCTTGTTCCATCCACCACTCACAGGAAGATAATCATTACTCATGTTAGTGCTTTAGTTTGGACTTTGCTATGGCTTGAATATGGTTTGTCCACACCAAAAAGCAAACCATCAAACAAAAAAAATTGCTCTAAAATTAAAATTTGTTTTTTTAAAAACCAAAACCTATGAGAGCAAATTTTTATATAATTTATTAGGAAGATCTGGGAGACAAGCACTGCAAGGGCATGCTCTGGGAGATTTATCACATACAAAAGACTAAGAAAGGACAGGATTAAAATATGAGGTCAGAAGAAAAAACTCAACACCCCAGGAACAGAATCAGTGCTTTTTCCTCCAAATAGTTATTTTGAATGTAATCAGCATCAACCAGCCTCTCTTCTGCCAGCTCTTATTATTTCTATTTTATCCCCTGCCAATCTGGATGTGGGACAAGTGCAAGTTCCTCCAAAGAAACTACTGGTGTAAAAGTATAAATGGGAAACGTAGTTGTTTTTGATGATTTTGTAAGAAAAATGGAGAAGACATTTATGTTGAACATGGAAAACATGTTTTAAATCTCTTTATATTGGAGATTAGTAATGATATTATTTGGATGATAGGAGAAATTTGAATATGGACTGAATATTAGATATTGTATTGTATCAAGTTTAAGTTTCTGGGTGAAATAACTATGTTGTGGTCATGTAGAGAACAGCCTTGTTCTTAGGAGACACATGCTGAAGTATTTGGTGGTGAAGTGTCGTGATGCTTACAACCAATTCTCAAACAGTTCAGAAAATTATACACAGGTGCACATTTGTCTCTTTATCTATTTATCTGCCTATCTATACACAAAATGTGTATACACAAATATTTATTAAAATATATACCCTCTTTTTCTGTGTACTATATGGAAGGGGTATATGAATAATTGCTATACTATTCTTGCAACTTTTCTAAATTATTGATATTTGTCAAAATAAAACATTTGTGAGAATCCCCCTTAATATATCTGTTCCTCAAAACCCACACTTGGCTCCTCACTTCCAGGGTGCTCGTCTTTAACACTGTCCCAGCTTTGATGGCTCTGGAGTTTTCCACAAGATTTCTGTCTCTCTCCCATATCAAATATGTTTCTTCTGTTATACAAAATGTTTACCTCTGCTTGGCATCTACCTCCAAACTCACAATCCTAAGCCCTTCAAAATGTTCTGTGAAATCTGGTGAGTTCCAGTTAATAAAGCCTGCTCCTCTCCTGAGAAGACAGTTTAGCTATCACCATGGGCAACCTGAGCATGCGTTTTTGAGATATCATCCCTACCCCAGGTCACAGAACACAATGGTGTTTCTACCCAATGCTACTGCACAAGAATTCTGAGGAATGGAATTTTCTTAATGTCATTTCATAATTAGGACTCCAACACGATGCTAAATTAGAAACACTAACGTTATTTCTAAACTTAACGCATGTCGCATGTCATCTGAAGCTTGATTGGAAGTCGACTTCCTAATTCCCAGTTTTCAGAACACTGACAAGGACTTTCTCACAGAACTATTAAACTTCCAGAGATGTCACAAAGCAAGAACGACTTGTTGAACTGACAGCCAAGGGCTTTCATAGTAAGCACAATAACTAAAAAGGCTTTCTAGTAGTTGAAAGGTTGAACATTGATTTCTAAAGCCCCAAGTACTGTTAATTTCTTATACTGAGGGCATTTGGAAGTGATTGTCCTATTCTGGAACTCTAAGTACAGGTCAATTACACCTTACACTAATTCTAAATGGATCTCCAAGGTAAATGAGCAAGAGCCTGACAGCTAAGCATCAGTAAACAGGATTTAATGTTATAATTATTTGACCTCAAGGCAGGATATCTGGGTTTGCCTCTAATACCCACATATCCCCCTTTCTCCCTTTTCCCCTCTTCTGAAATAGTTTTTTCCAATATGCCCATGTCCTTGTGTTGAGCTCTCTGTTTAAAGACCGCAGATGTGCTCAACACTTACATTATTTCTCCCCATTGTCTCCTCGACCGCAAACTGATACCCCAGATGGTGCAACTTTTTATTGTTTCAGAGCTCTTTCATGTAATTGGATCAATCCTCTCAGTAATTCAGTGGGATGTGTTTTATTAGACCCTTTTTACAACTGAAGTAACTGAGGCTCAGAGAAGTTAAGAGAATGCTCAAGGTCACACATCTATTAATGGGCAAAGTAAGAAATTCAACCTGGGTTGTGATTTTAAACCTAGCATTTTTTTCATACCTCAGATTAAATTCCAATTTCAATGGTTTAGGTTGAAGTATTTATGAATTCTGTATGAGAATCACAATGAAAACAAAAGGAATATTGGACATTCATTGGGCCCTTTTCCTTCTTCCTTTTTCTATTGTCTCTTCTTTCTCTTCCCATTAGAAAGAAGATCCTTTCCCAACTCCTCTCTTCTTCCCTTAAAATGCCCTCTAAGGCCGGACGTGGTGGCTCACGCCTGTAATCCCAGCACTTTGGGAGACCAAAGTGGGTGGATTACTTGAGGTCAGGAGTTTGAGACCAGCCTGGCCAACATGGTGAAACCCCATCCCTACTAAAAATACAAAAATTAGTCAGGCGTGGTGTTGGGCACATCTAATCCCAGCTACTCAAGAGGCTGAGGCATGAGAATCACTTGAACCCAGGAGGCAGAGGTTGCAGTGAGCCGAGATCATGCCACTGCACTCCAGCCTGGGCAACAGAGCGAGACTCAGTCTCAAAAACAAAACAAAACAAAACACCCTCTATTCTCACACTAGGTCACTAGGGACCCACATCCCACTCAGACCTACCTTTTAATAGTGAAACTAGGTTAGGGGATGCTATTAATAAAACAAACACTTTGTCCACATGATATGCGTATGAGGGATATTTGCATTTTAAAAGAGAATTGTATAATGGTTTCAATTTGCAGCCCACAAACCCAGCTGTATAAAAACATAACAAATTTATGTTTCTCTCTAACTTTTTTTCTATTTAGAGCCTCCATCCTGTAAGCAGTAACAATTTAAAATTAGTCAATATGTAACTGCAGGGAAATAACTAATTTCTGGGGTGCTTGTGGCATGTCAACATGTGGGGAGATGGGGTACCTGGTTCTAGACTGCTATCACCTGGGCCTTCACTGGGCCATCCATCATCCTGTTTAGTGTTCGTTTCCTGACATGCAGATGATTGCTACCTTGTCCCTATGATCCCATTTAAAAGGCTCCTGCACGTTTGACAACTATCCTTTCAACTTCTATAAAGCCTTTGGGGTGCCCAGGAAGTCATTCCACTGCCAGGCTGAGTCATGGAAACTGCAGGCTGTGACCCAAGACCCATGGACTCCTGCGGCACTCTCAGGCCCCAGAACCATCCATCTGCTTCCAGGCCACACTGTGACGTATGGGACTCTGTAAGCTGTCCCAGACTCATATCTGCCACATAGCACCTTAGTCTCTGAGATCTTGGGTCTCCTTGGGCCTTTGCCTGAGAACACTTCTAGATTGCCTCCCCTTTCAGTTCCCACAAACTTACCTGACATTTCTGTCATCTTCCTCTTCCCCACTGGAGCAGGCTTAGCACTCTTTTCAGTGACCCACCAGGATAAGTTCTCTCCTCACTCCATTTGCCATCTGGACATTCCCTTTCCCCTCAGCCCAGGGAATCTTTAGGCTGAAGTCAGGAAGCTTTTTCCTGATTCATATTACAATGAATTGTATATAACTTTTTGTGCTCTCATTCCTCTTCACAGGATGTGTGTGTGTGTGTGTGTCCACACTCGCCTGTATAAGTATTTAGGGTGGGCCAGAGGGGAGGAAAGAGAGAGATTGAGGACAAGAAACTAGAGGAGAAGCTATTCACTCATTCCTGTAGCTGTCTAATAGCAGCATGTTGCATAGAAGGAAAAACTTCATAGCTATCACAAATGTGATAGAGCAATTGAAAGTGTATGAAGTTATAGGACTACATCTGTACTCACCAACTGGTGAAGCCCACAATAGCAACTTTTCCATATTTATTTTTGTTGATTTATTTGTCCAATAAATATTTATCAGACTCCTACTGTGTAGGTACTCAGAATTCAGGGGGAACTTTGATAGATATAGATCCTGCCTTCATGAACCTTACAAGCCACTAAAGGAGGCACACATTACTCAGACTTGTAATTACAACCTATGATGGAACGGGACGCAGAGCTAGCAAAAGTATGATGAGCGAGTGGGGACTCAAGGACAGTCGCCTCGAGGAAGTGACATTTGAGCTGAGCTCTGAAGGATGAGTGGAAATTAATGAGTTGAAGAGTCAAAGGGACCAGCCTCTGGAAGGGCCTCTAGGCACTTGAGGAGCTAGAGGAAGGCCATGTGGCCTGAGCACAGCAGGGAGGAAGAAGGTGGCATGAGATGAGACCTGAGAGGTTGGCAAGGTCAAGGGCATGAAGGATCATGCAGGCCATCATGTGGGACACAGGAAAGGGTTTTAAACAAAGGAAGAACACAATCAGATTTCCTGACTGCTGTATGGGGAATGGAGAAGAGGAAAAGCACGGGCACAAGGACACCAGTTAGGAGGCCATTGTATTACTGCCTGATGTGGTAAGAACATCCTCATATTCTCTTGTCTGGATCTGCAAGTCCAACATCTTCTTGATGATGGGCTTCACCAGGAGGAGAAGGCCTTCAGGACATCTCTGTGACACCAGGTCAGTCTTTGGGCTGGTTGGCAGTCAGCCTTGCAGGACATGGTTTGATTAATGAGGTTTCCCAGAGCACCCAAATTTCCAATGGCCTATGTAAGATGTGGGGGCTTGGCATATGGATCACAGGAAACACAATGGCTAAGACCAAATGGCTAGAAGTAAGAGAAACAGAAGCCCTTGGGGAGGATCATTTGAAAGGGACAAAGCTGAGCCTCCTGTGGGCAATGGTACCTGGCTACACTGACTCACTCTTGGGTATCATCATGGCGGGGAGGGGGGGGCATCCTTGGAGATGGGGAGGTAGGGACGTCAATCTTGAATACTTGAGGCCCCTGGATAAAGTAAACTTGAACTGTTGTTACATTTTTGGTACAGCTGGTTTTATTGCCTGATTGACTTGGGGAGTTGCTGCCACTGCTGGAGAAGGTCAGTGAATGACTCCTGAAATTAATGACACAGTAAAGTTGGTGCCAATCTCTCTTTGGGTCCAGGAAGTGAAGGTTAGAGAAATTGTGGACCATTTACCAACTCTGAAGGGTCATTAAACCTATACAAAAACCTATCCTATGTAGATGGCTCCATCAGGGGATCTTCTTATGTTCATAGAAAGCTAACAATCTCCCTCCCAGTCTAACGGAATGGAAAATTGATTGTGTGTGGGACCTTGGCCACAGCTGTAGGATACAGGACCACCTATTAGCTGTATATTAATAGGAGTATCAAACTAGCAGAGTTCTCTGTAGGGCCTGACTGTGGGCAATTCAGCTGGTAAGCCTTGTATCAGAACTATGAGCCTATGAACAAGTCTTTTCTTTGTGTCGATATAGCATTTTTATGCATGTAGAATGGCTAGATATGCAAATAGATTCTTCACAGTTTTACCAGGAGAGAACTAGGGGTTGAAAAAACATAAGTTCTCTTGCTTCTTGCTAGAAGCAGGAGCTGGCAGCACAGAAGGCAGATAGAGATAGAAGCATGTAGCAAGTTCAATCTTTTTATTTATTTATTTTGAGATGGAGTTTCACTCTTGTTGCCCAGGCTGGAGTGCAATGGCGTCACCTCGGCTCACCACAATCTCCGTCTCCTGGGTTGAAGCAATTCTCCTGCCTCAGCCTCCTGAGTAGCTGGGATTACAGGCATGCACCACCACACCCAGCTAACTTTGTATTTTTAGTAGAGGCGGGGTTTCTCCATGTTGGTCAGGCTGGTTTCGAATTCCCGACCTCAAGTGATCTGCCCGCCTCGGCCTCCCAAAGTGTTGGAATTACAGGCATGAGCCACTGCACCTGGCCTGCAAGTTCAATCTTTGTCTAAGAAGCAGAAGAGACAGGCAGTACAGAATGAATCTGAGCAAAGATGAGGAACTGATATAAAATGATTCCAGTTCTCCATAGCTCACTCACTAGGTCTAACCAAATTAAGCACATTAACCCCAGATATTTTGAAAATAAAAGGGATCTACTTAATGAGTACTTGGATAAAACTCAATATCAAAAAAGAGATCAATGCCTCTCTAGCATCCCACTTCTGGTGGCAGATGCACACACAGACATTCCTCTTCAGGATGGCTGTGTTGCCAGTGGAGACGCTGGCTCTATTTCTGTTCACCTGGCCTGTCTTTAGGCCAGAGTTAAAACAGGTCAGCGTAGGTTTCAAAGCATCATATGTATAAGCAAGATGGGAAACTCAGCAGCCTCACCCTTATAATGCTCCATCCAGATCTGCCCGTCACAACAAAGCCAACTGCCTTTTGATTTCTCTACCCTAAAGCCACCTCATTAGAAGTGGAGGGCTCATTGAACTTAGGGAAACAAAATGTGAAAATAAACTGTTAGAAATCACAACACTTTTCTGGCCAGATTGAGGAGATCAATATAGAATGCCCTCTCATCCACTGTACATGTTAAACCAAACATTAAACGTTACTATACCTCTTGTTTCTCTTTTTCAAAGAAGTAAAACAAGTTGGCATGGACTTTACTTCTTTCCAATCCTTATGATTAGATAACCACAAATAAAACTCTAAAGAATTTCATCTATTATAGCTAACATAAATTATGTGCCTTCTTTCTTAATTCTCACAAACGTATAAGGTAGGTACTACCATTATACCCCTTTTATAGATGAGAAAACTGAGACTTTTGAAGGGCCCAGTAAATTAGTCAAAGTTACAAACTTCACAGGTAGCCAAGAAAGAATTTGAACTCAATCTCTTTGTGCTTTTACTTTCAACCATCCTAACACTACTGCCTCCTGACTGTGAGGATTGGCTCACAAGAAGTGAGTACGAAGACATTGGTGGGAAGGTGGGTGATGATTGGGTGGCTTTAAGATAATTAGCATATGCCCCAGAGAGGCTTGAACAATCCTAGCCCAGCAATTCTCAAACATTTTGGCCTCAGAATCCCTTTACATTCTTAAAAATTATTGAGGACTCCATATAGCTTTTGTTTATGTAGGTTGTATCTATCAATATTTACTATATTAGAAATTTAAACTAAGAACATTTTAAATATATATTTATCAATTTAATTAAAATAACAATAGTAAGCCCATTACATGTTAGCAAAAATGACATAGTTTTATGAATTCGTTCCAAAATAAAAACATTTAGTGAGAGTCACATCTTATTTTAGAAAATCTCTAAGTGGAAGACAGCTGGATTCTTATGTCTTCTGCATTCAATGAGTTGCAATATCACCTGTCATATAACTCCTTGAAAAACTCCATTGCATACTTGAGATAATAAAAATGAAAAACGGAAATAATATCTTAACTCATCAAGAAATAGTTCTGACCTCAATGGCTCCCTGTAAGGATCTCAGGGAATCTCAGGGACCTTCAGTTTACACTTTGAGCCACTGTCCTAGCTTCCTGGTGAAAATGATGGAGAACAGATGATTTCTATCAGATTGTTGGGAGGTTTGGAGGACATGGGGAGGTGGCAAGTATGGAAAGTGCTGCCCAAGTCAAACAGCATTAAGTGCAGATAGAGGTGGGACTCCCACTCACTGCCCCCAGTACAAACTGAAAATCAGGGGTAAACTGAGTCACTTTCTTGGTTGCCATTTCTAGCCACGCCACCAGGAAAGAACACTGATAAAACTTTACTGCCAGGAAAGGAAAATGCTGTGACATCTCTTGCCTCCCATCCATTTCCAATTCAACCCAACAATTTAGGATTATTCGTGCACTATATGTTTCAATAAAGGAAGGGTGAATCTAATATTATCTAAGTTGGAGGTTCAATGGGATTTAAACTAAGAAGAGATGGAGCAGATAAGAGAAATAAAATCCTTCTTTCCAATCTCCTTCCCCTGGCTCCTTCAGGGTTCTTTAGAATTCCCTAATGTGCACACTATTTGAATTCGTTTTTATATTTATGTATTATTTACATGGCCCTTTGTTCAGCTTTCTGCCCAATAAGTCAATGCAAAGTTTAAGAATCTCTCTAATTGCTTTTTTTGGCAAGTATCCAACCTGCAAAATTTTAAATTAAAGGCTAGAGGGAGATAAAGGACCTTTAAATTTTCCCTTTCACAAAGGTCATAAATTGATTTGCAGCTCTATGTCTCCTGATCTCAATGGTTGTCTGACAAAGAGCATAAACAACCACATGTACTACAGTAGGAAAGATCTATAGATTCTACATTTCTAAGTTTGGTTTTTAGATGACACAACTATTATTTAAAATGAATCTTGATAGAATTGAAATAACATCACATGCTCTATTGTTTTTTATTTGGCAAAAATTAGCCAGATTTTTCTAAATCTTCAAAATTGTATGGCAGTGGTTCTCAAAGTATAGTCCTGGACCAGCAGCAGCAACATCACCTGGGAATTGTTAGAAATGCAAATTATCAGGCCCCACCCCAGACCTGCTGAATCAGAAACTCTGAGGTGGGCTGTGTTTAATAAACCTTCCAGGTAATTCTGATTCGGTAGCCTAAATAAATGATAAATTATACAATGTTTGTGGATTAGAAGCCAACATTATAAATATGTGAATTCTCCCAAATGTTTATTCACAGATGAATAAACAAACTATGTACAAAATGATGAACAAAATATTTGGTATATAAGTACAATGGAATATTATTCAGCCTAAAGAGGAAGGAAATTCTGTCACATAATATGCATACATAAACCTTGAGAACATTATGCTAAGTGCAACAAGCCAGTCACAAAGAGACTAATACTGTGTGATTGCACTTATATGAGGTACCTAGAGTAGTTAGATTCACAGAGACAGACAGTAGTATGGTAGTTATCAGGGGCTAGGGGAAGCAGGGAATGGACAGCTATGTAATGATATTGCGTTCCAGTTTTGCAAAATGGAAAGAGTTCTAAGGATTGGTTGCAAAACAATCAATGTGAATGTACTTAACACTACTGAACGTACACTTAAAATGCTTAAGATGGGGACTGGGAGCGATGGCTCACACCTGTAATCCCAGCACTTTGGGAAGCTGAGGCAGGTGGATCATGAGGTCAAGAGATCGAGACCATCCTGGCCAACATGGTGAAACCCCAACTCTACTAAAAATACAAAAATTAGCTGGGCGTGGTGGTGCATGCCTGTAGTCCCAGCTACTCGGGAGGCTGAGGCAGGAGGATCACTTGAACTTGGGAGGTAGAGGTTGCAGTGAGCCGAGATAGTGTCATGACACTCCGGCCTAGGCGACAGAGCGAGACTCCATCTCAAAACAAAACAAAACAAAACAAAACAAAAAATGCTTAAGATGGTACATTTTTAAGTTTCGTGTATTTTACCACAATTAAAAAAATTTTTAATTTTAATTTAAAAATTATTATCAGGCCAGGTGCAGTGGCTCACACCTGTAATCCCAAAACTTTGTGAGTTCGAGGAAGGTGGGTCATTTGAGCCCAGGAGTTTGAGACCACCAGCCTGGGCAACATGGTGAAACCCTGTCTCCACAAAAAAAAAATTTTTCAATAAATAAATAAATTAATTAAAAACATTATAAGTCAATTGCAAATGTATAGATCTTATCTGGTTACTGATTCAAACATACAAACTCAGGAAGAAAACAAAACATTTATGAGATCATTCAGGACATTTCAAGAGTAACTGTATACTTAATGATGAAACTAGACTGGCTAAGAGTTGATAATTGTTGAAATTGGTTGATGGGTACATAAGAGTTACTTTTTCTGACACCCACACCCAACCACACCCACACACCCACCCACACCCACACCCCCCCCTACATATATATATATGTACATTTATACATAAACCTTGAGAACATTATGCTAAGTGCAACAAGCCAGTCACAAAGAGACTAGTACTGTGTGATTGCACTTATATGAGGTACCTAGAGCAGTCAGATTCATAGAGACACACAGTAGTATGGTGGTTATCAGGGGCTACGGGAAGCAGGGAATGGACAGCTATGTAATGATATTGTGTCATATATATATATATATATATATATATATATATAGAGAGAGAGAGAGAGAGAGAGAGAGAGAGAGAGAGAGAGAGAGAGGTCTTGCTTTGTTGCCCAGACTGGAATGAAGTGGTGCAATCATAGCGCACTGTAACCTTGAACTTCTGGGCTCAAGTAATCCTCCCACCTCAGCCTCCTGAATAGCTGAGACTACCAGCATGCACTACCACATCTGGCTATTTTAAAAAAAATTTTGTAGAGACATGGTCTTGCCATGTTGCTCAGGAACTCCCAGCCTCAAGTGATCCTCCTACCTTGGCATCCCGAAGCACTGGGATTACAGGCATGAGCCATCACATTAGGCTTCACTATATATTTTTAAAAATACCTTTTGTTTGAACATGGATGGTATCTCTATACTATTCTTTACTACTGGATATGCATATAGAAAATATGCTATGCTTCTGTCAATTTATTCTCAGCTCACAATGACAGAATTGTTTTCAATCTTGTGTAGTAAATCTGTTTCCTTCTGTCAAGTACCATGGAACTAAATAGTTCCCGCATTTCAATTGCTCAGAAGCCAGAATAAATGGCCATTTACCACATGGCACTATCAGTTCCTGTACACAATCCAGAAATATCATTAGAAACTGGACAACTAATGAACATGTCTGTCTGCTGAAAGATATCCTGTAAGCCACAAAGTGTCAAAAACCTGTTGACTGATTACTGCCCTACAAACAGGACAGCACTGGAGACACTGGGACTGATTTTAAGGTTAAATTTATCCGTGAAGGAAACAGAGAGGCAATGTTTATATGAAATGGTAGGAAACTGGATACTAAGCACATCATCTAGCTGCTTCAAACCATTGTCCCAAGAATCCGTTGCTGAATGAACAATTAGCTATTTCCTGCCATTTGTTTCTGCCCTTTCTGTTTGCATTTTAAAGTATAGCATGATGAAAGATTTTCCATCAATTTTCCCTAGTGAGTTTTCCATATTTGTACATTTCTATATTCAAGCATTTCTATATAAAAGTATGTTCAGTAATATTACAAGCAACCTTATTCTCTACTACCTTTCTTTTGGAACTAAAAGGTTGAATGTTTCTTAAAAGACATATTTATTTAAATTTAATCATGTAGGCAATTAGGTAAAAATAAAGAAACCCAAGAGAAAATATAATCTTAGCCTTATTTAAAATGTGTTTTCTCTCCCTGTCTGATGTCCTTATTGGAAAACTGGTCCTCAGCTTTCTCAATAGTAGGAAACCCTTCTTGGTATGTGTTTTACAACAGTAAGACATGCTTCTGAATCCAGTAAGTTCACTACTCATCCTAAGTGTAATGAAAAGATTACTTAAGCATTTTCTTCTGTTCATAGAAGAAAAAATCCTCAGAACAGGTCGAACTCATACAATGGTAATATACAACTGAAGGAGTAAAAGATGTTAAGTTCAATTCATGCCTTGATATCAAAGTAGTTGGATGAGCTGCTGAAAAATCACTCAACCCATTGGAGTTTTGGCCTCTTCATTACATATTGAGAATATTCCAGCAGGTAATCTTTAAGACACCTGTCAATTCTAATATTCTATGCTTCTTTGAATTAACTCATGTGATTAAAATTGGTATGACATAAGATTTATAGATAATCCAAAACCCAATGTCCTCCATTACAGATTTTTGCCTACCTTTCTATTCTTTTATCTATTTTAAGTTAAAAACTCTAACAACCAGTACCACAAGAAAAGAGCAACAGTAAAGATGAGGCCAAACATGGAAAGCATACAAAACTGTGTTTTTAATCTATGAAAATGGAGAACTTTCTGTACTTGTTTTCATATGCCTAAATGAATTTGCCTGGCTAAATGTCAAATAAAATCTCTCAAGCATTCTAAGCCACTATCAGGTTTTTTCATGCCCATCAAGTACATTCTTAACTGGCTAGATAGAATGGTCTTGTTTAACATCAATACCACAACATTCAGGAAGGAAATAAATATTAGGACTTCAGACTTGGAATCAAAAGACTCCACAACTCTTTGGACTTAGAATTAAAGACTCCAAGAGATCTGAGTCTCAATCTCCTCTTTTATAAAGTGAGAATACAAGACCTTGCTGACAAGGTCATTGTGAAGATAAATACAAGTAATGTACAAGTAATTGCTACATAGCAGGTGCTCAAACTGTATTTTCTCCCTCCCTCCCTCCTTCTTTCTTTCCAGAATCACAAAAATAATATCCATCCAAAATATTTGTTAACCAGTGGGCTTATTGGACAATCTTTAAGGGGGCAGTGTAAAGTCAGTAAGGAAGAGAAAGAAGGAAGTTTTAAGATTGATCAACCAAATAGAAAAAAAACTGAAAAGGTATATGCCAAATGTGAACAGCAGGCCTCTTTGGATTATAGGAATACCCTTGCTTTTTATTTTCCTCTTTGTTGCTATCTGTATTTTCTAATTTTTCCACAATGAACATATTACATTCATAATTAAGAATCTTACATAAAATTAGATGAATCTACCTGAACCAATTAATTAAGCTGAACATCACTTTCCATTGATGTGATGCAATAGGAAGATTATAACACAATCAATAAAGTATTCTTGCCCCACAGATTAACTGATTAACAATAATAAGAATTGAATTGAAGCCCTGTCTACCTATCTGTTCACAAAACACATGGGGATACAAGGACATTTAAAATGACACCGTGGAGATTCCATCAGAAAAATCCAGAATGAGGGGACTTCTACAGGACATACGACCCAACTTTTCAATCAGTAAATGGCAGGAAGGTAGAGACAGAAACAGAAATTTATAGATTAGAACAGACTTAAGGGATATAGCAACCAAATGCAAAGTGTAAACCTTGTTTGAATCCCAATTCAAACAAACCAACTATAAAAAGTGATATTTGAGCCAACTGAGCAAATTTGAACACAAATGTAGGTGTGCAGTAGACAATAAAAAATGATTATTAATTTTGTTGAAGACAGATAATAGTACTGGGATTTTGTTTAAAAAAAGAGATATATACTGCAGTATTTATGGGTGATATGATATGATGCTTGGAATTTGCTTTAAAATACTCCAGCAGAAATAAAAATGAAATCAAATAAGGGGATAGAGATGAAATGAGAAAGACAAATTATTGCTAATTGGTAAAGCTGAGTGATGGACTCATGAGAATTTATTATATCATTTTTGCCACTCTTGTGTCTGTGTTTAAAAATTTCCCTAATAAAAAGTAAAAAATGTATGTGATCTTTAAAAAACAAAAAGGAAGTAGTCCATGGACAAAAGTGTCTCTTCTGTTCCTGGTTGTTTCCTGCTGTGCTCCCTGCCTTGTCCCCTGTCCTGATCACACACTGTGTGAACACTTCATCTATCCAGTAAGTCCTCACTTAATGCCATTGATAAATTATTAGAAACTGTGACTTTAAGTGAAACAACGTATAACAAAACCAATTTTACCATAGGCTAATTGATGTAAACAAGAGTTAAGTTCCTACTCTATATTTCTGGTCACAAAAACATCACCAAATTTCTAAATAAAGACCTAGTATTAAACATCAAAATAAACGTGAGCTACATATTCATGTAAGAAAGATTAATAAAAACATTCCAGTTTAAGGTGGCTGGAACATATTCCGGCAGCTCAGGGCGCAAGGCGGGAGCCAGTGCTGGACAGGACACCATCCCATTGCAGGGCGCACTCTCACTCACTCGCACTGAGACAATTTATACTCACCAGTTAACCTAACATGCACCACTTTGGGATGTGGGAGGAAACAGGAGTACCTAGAGAAGACCTATGCAGACATGGGGAGAACATGCAAACTCCACCCAGATAATGGCCCTGGCCAGGAATCCTTTTTTTTTTTTTTTCCCTCATCAATATTATAAAGAACATTGTCAAATGAACTAACATTATTCAAGGACCTGCTGTACATCTAGAAATGGCTGGGTAGGTCAGTAACATTGAAAATTGTGTTTCAAACTCATTGCTGGGAGATTCGAAATTTTTAACAGTCATTCCAGGAAGCCCAAGGCTTTTGGGTAATGTATGACTCACGGAAGAAAGGACCTTCCAATTTTTAGCTAAGGCTTGATTCTTTGAGAGATCACAAGTTAATTGGTAGCAACTCATCTTAAGAATATCATTTTAAGGGGACTGCATCGACAATCGTCATCAACACTGAGCCAAGGAAGTTTCTGCCTGTTACCTTGTGTCTTCATGTGGAATTGATTGTTTTTTGTTAGTCTGAACTCTTTTTTTTTCTTTTCTTTGAGACAGAGTTTCGCTCTAGTTGCCCAAGCCGGACTGCAGTGGCGCAATCTCGGCTCACTGGAACCTCTGCCTCCCGGGTTCAAATGATTCTCCTGCCGCAGCCTCCCAAGTAGCTGGGATTACAGGCACGTGGCACCATGCCCAGCTAATTTTTTGTATTTTTAGCAGAGACGGGGTTTCACCATGTTAGCCAGGCTGGTCTCAAACTCCTGACCTCAGATGATCCGCCTGCCTCGGCCTCCCAAAATGCTGGGATTACAGGCGTGAGCCACTGCACCCAGCCAGTCTGAATTCTTATCTGTGACTTTTCCATTCTGGTTTAAATTTTCCTTGTCTGCAATGCCCTGTGTTTGTAGATCTGTGATCAACCAGAGCCAGTCCTCCCCATCCTTGGCCAAACTCCCTGTTCCATAGTGTTGATCTATACTAGACTTTAATTGAGCAAATGATTCACATGCATTTTTTACTTTGCAGATTCAGACTTTGTGTATACTCTGATACTTAAAAAGTGGGTTACTCTGTTCTATTTATTAATTCTGATTAGAATTTGGTGGGTAGAATGCCCTTGTGCTTGCAAGACCATAATAACCATCTTCCTGACCATGTTCTCTAAGTATCTGGGGAGGATGAGCTACATATTCAAGATTCATAACCCTCTCAGGCCTGAGCCTCATGTCTGACTCCAAAATGAGCAGACATTATATCAAATCTGATATGTCAATATCTTTTCTTCCACTGGAAGCAATAGATTCACAGAGAAAGGAGTTTGAATCATAATCCCAAAAGACAGAGTCCTGAATGCCATAACCCTGAATGCTGAAATCCCTTAAAATAAAAAAATCCCTAAAATCTAAAATCCCAAAAATCACAATCACAGGGTAGGTATATCATGTTGGGTGGAACTATTACCTTGCTATTGTCTTTATTTGGAAATTAAATATGGTTGAAGGAGAGGCATATGGGTGCCAAGTTGACAAGGGGTAGACCGTAGACCTAATTTTAGGTGTCACCTTGACTGGATTAAGGAATATCAAGAGAGCTGGTAAAACATTATTTTGAGTGTGTCTGTGAGGGTGTTTCCAGGGGAGGTTAGTGTGTGAATCTGAGTAGATTTAGTGGTGAATATGTGCCCTGAACATTGGCAAGCACCATCCAATTGCCTGGGGCCCAGAGAGAACAAATATAGGAGGCAAATTGGTCTGCCTCTGAGAGCGGGGATGGATTTTTCTTCTGTTGCCTTGGACATCAGTATGACAGACAGATTTGCTGGCTTTTGGACTCCACGACTTACACCAATGGCCCCCCAGGTTCTGGGGCTTTCAGCCTTAGACTGAGAATTAACCATTAGCTTCCCTGGTCCTGAGGCCTTGGTACTTGGACTGAGCCATGTTGCTGGCATTCCAGGGTCTCCATCTTGCAGACAGCCTGTTGTGGGACTTCTCAGCCACCATATTTGTGTGAGCCAATTCCTCTAATACATCCTCTTTCATATATCCATATACGTATCTTATTGGTTGTGTCCCTGGAGGACCCTGACTAATATGGATTTGGTATTGGGGAGCCAAGTATCAACCTTTCTAACTGTATTCCTTACAACACAATGGAATAGATCTGTGAAATTGTCCCCTCACAAAAATGCTGTGATAAGTGTACTTACCAATGGTAAAGATGAAAGTTTAAAAGCTAATCATTATTGGTACTGCAAAAGCAGAAAATCACTTAATTGCAATGTCCAGGCAGGAACTAGACTTTAAATGGACATCATATACCTACAAAATTCGTGGACCACAACCACTTTCCAAATACAAGTGCAGTAACTGTTTCACAGATCACAGAAGTTAAAATCAGGCGAAAAATACAAGGAATCTCTCCTGTTAAATTATCCAATCGTGTACAACTTCTGTGCCTTCACACAAAGCACCATGCTTATCTTAAACAATGCCCTTCATTGACGAATAAAAAGAATTTGACAAGCTCAGTGACTTTCTGAACCAAAGACACTTGCTGATATTGAGGTTCTTCCAGTGTTAAAAATCACATTAAATGTTGAACTATTAATTAGGGATTTGACTGCCACATAAAATAGACTTATATTTACCATTAAATCTAACATAGAAAAACTAGCACAGGCTTCACTTTGGCTAATGGATGGCACTTTCAAAACTGTTTCTTATTAACTACATACAACTCATGCCCCTGTGGAATCTGAAAATTCTAGAACTTATTTACTCATTTATGTAGTAATGACTGGAAAAAGTGAAACACTTCATAAATGCTTATTTGAAGATTTAGTGTAGAAGAAAATAGATTTTAAATGAATCCCCAAACCATAATGACAGATTTGGAATTAGGTAAAACCAAGGTTTCTAAAAGCAAATTTTGAGGGGTTGCCAACAAAGTTTGTCTCTTACATTCAACCAAATGTGTTTGCATTTGAAAATTCAGATGAGTGGATTGGTCATGCAATACAGCAATGATGAAAACTTCAGTTTAAAAAGGTGTCACTTGCCTGCATTGGCATTCCCTCTAGCTGATGACATGCCAGGAGCTTTCAATAAATTAAAGCAGCATGTGCCTGAAAAAGTTGGCTGGTTCAAAAATAATTAAGTGCGTGGTAGAATAAGAAGACACTTACACGATGGTGTTGCTGTTCAAGCACCAATATTATTTCTCCTGAATCTGTGGTCTGTATATGATGAGTGCATGTGAAATGGATTTCCATGCGCGCAAAACAACAAAGAAGCATTACACAGAAAATGAAAATGCAAAAATTTTATAGGGAATGCTTATGTCCATGTATACTGAATCCTAGAAGAATTTCAAAAAAAGTAGTGCCAAATAGAAAATGAATGTGAAAGAGAGCCATGCTTTAAAAAAAAAAAAAAAAGGCAGCTATTCATAGAGACCCAAGACTTCAAAATGATCATGAAAGTTGGCCAGCTCTTAGAAATTAGCTCTGGTGCAATTGCTCATACTCTATCCCTGTAATATACTTTTTAATATGTTTAATTTTCTTATTATTTGTGTTTTGGGATTTTTTTTTAATTTTTTTTCCCACTATTTTAAATTGTCAGCATTGGTTTTTACAATTTGCTATGCTTTGAATCATTTCCAGTACCCGAGATATGAACTGTGTAGACTTTTAGAGAGTTCTCATTTTATGCATCTTTTTTTTTTTGCAAATTTGACTCCACAAGTGTTCTCACAACGACTTTGTGTGTAAACATCGTACTTTGTATGAACATTTTTGTGTAAAGATATTGAAACTTCCTCAATAAGTGAAAAGATGTCCTTTTTGTACATCTGCATTTGTGAAAGGTAAAATCTCTTGAGATTTTGGTTCTTTGGACGACTGCCTATGTGGTGATGACCCATCATGGATTTCGACTGATCTCCTCAAAAGACTTAGGTTGTCCATCATGGTATTTCAGATGACCACAGTTATATAAGCTATTTATTTATGAATATGGTTCATCTGCTCATAATTGTCAGACCTGTGCAACTGCCATTAGTATGCCTGAGTGTTTATGCTTGCAAAAATGTTACTATTACCTATTTTAACGTGTAGAGTGGCCTATGAAGTATTGTCATATTTTTATGTTTCTTAAATAAATCCCCTTTGAAAAATGTAAACAAGCAACTTTTAAATAATTTTAAAGTTATTTTTTCCAGAATTATATTTTTGGGATTTTGCTCTTTCAGGATTTCAACATTTGGGATTATGGCCTCCAGGATTGTTATTTTTGGGGATTATGATCAACTCCCCAGAGAAAGATAGCCAAGTTCATTATTCTCCTTTCAACCAATACTCCCAGGCAGATAAGACCTGTAACCTCCTTTAGGGCAGAGTTTAGTGCTGTAATCTGCACATATGGGTGCTCACTATATGTTACTAATCAGCTACCAGGAAATTTGAATTTCTGGGTCATGTTGTAGCAAGTATTTCACTATAATGACAATGTTGACTTCCAAAAAATAGAATTACACTAGATACTTGACAAAATT
Organism: Homo sapiens; assembly: GCF_000001405.40. Lineage (NCBI taxonomy): Eukaryota > Metazoa > Chordata > Mammalia > Primates > Hominidae > Homo > Homo sapiens. The sequence continues at coordinate 48,271,479 of NC_000013.11, read as the reverse complement.
ATTTGTTGGGTTGGCTGTAGTGGCTCATGCCTGTAATCTGAGCACTTTGGGAGGCTGAGGTGGGAGAATCTCTTGAGACTAGGAGTTTGAGACCAGGCTGGGCAACATAATGTAGGCAAGACCTCATCGCCACAGAAAATAAAAACATAAATATATATATTTTTTTAATTTAAAAATTTGGCTGGGCGCAGTGGCTTACGCCTGTAATCCCAGCACTTTGAGAGGTCGAGGCGAGTGGATCACAAGGTCAGGGATTCGAGACCAGCCTGGCCAATATGATGAAACCTCATCTCTACTAAAAATACAAAAATTAGCCGGGTGTAGTGGCGGGCACCTGTAGTCCCAGCTACTTGGGAGGCTGAGGCAGGAGAATTGCTTGAACCTGGGAGGCAGAGGTTGCAGTGAGCCAAGATCACGCCAGTGCACTCCAGCCTGGGCGACAGAGAGACTCCGTCTCAAAAAAAAAAAAAAATTAAAATTTAAAAATTACATTAAAATGAATCAATGAGAAGCAGCTACCATTTCCATTTTGTGTCTCTACTATCCAAACCCATTCGACCCCAAAACATGCAGATTTTTTAAAAAAGCAGTCCCTTTCTCAGAGTGTTGTCTCCAAGAGGCCTTTTACCTGTGAATCAGTCTGAATTTCAATATACTCTTTGCCATTTTTTTCCTCCATTGTGATTCAGCACTATCACATTTAAGGGATCCCTACCTAAGAGGTAATTTGAACTTCGGGTATTAAAATAAAGTAATAGATTTTGATTCTGTCTACTGAAGGCACAAGGCCCAGCTCACTTTCTTAACATGGCAACATCACTAGCACCAAATCTGAGGTGTACAGAACTTGCATTCCTGTGGCCATTCCCACTCCCAGATGAAATTCTGAAACTACAATTAAAGAAAAAAAAAAGGGAAAAAAGCCAAGTTTGGTTTTGTTTGTTATCAGTTGCCCCTGAAGTCTATATAACAGAGCCAATTTTTAAAAAGGAGGCTACATAGAACCATGTTAAATTTATTGAACAAAGTTCATTCAGTAAATATTTAGTGAGTTCCTAATACGTGCCAGGTGCTTTACTAGGTGCTGAGGATGTAACATGAACAAAAATAATAAAGTCTCTGTTTTTAGGGAATTTACATTTTATTTGTAGAGACAGACAATAAACAAATACAAACATAAATACATGTCAGATGGTGATAAGTACTATAGAGAAAAATAAGGTAGTGTGGTCATGGCCAGGAAGGCCCCTAAGAGGGCAGAATGGAAAAGTCTAAGAGCAGAGGCATAGATAAGGAGCAATGCTCATAGCCACAGGGATACCTGGGCATAAGCCTTCTTGACCAATGACCATATTGCTCACTGGGCAGCAATATGATAGGGTTAAAGGAAGGGAAGCAGTGCCCACGGTTCTGTGCTTCTCTGCCCTAGTGGACATCTCATTCCACATGGGCTATGGAAATGACCACCTTCTGGAAAAGCCTCTGTGAGAAAAGAAGGGAAGCCAAGGGAAAGCTTGTCTCCAATTACTCTCTCATTTATTCTTTGCATTGTTTATTGGCTGTTTGAGGAATCTTGAGCCAAGTCCTAGTCATTATTTTTGCCCATCCTCGAACTTGAAACAGTCTTCATGGTCTGGCCTGCATTGTGCTAATCTGTATTGTTAAGAATACACTACAGACAGACATTGCCAGCATTGAGGGTGGAGGTGAGACTCACTTTAGAAAAGGTGATCAGGCAATACCTAATGAAGTGACATTCCAGCAGACTTAACTGAAGGAAGGCAGTGAGCCTTGGGATACATGTGAGGGAAGGAGGGTGTGGAATTCCTGGCCCAGAAACAGCAAGTGCAAAGGCTCTGAAGCAGGATTGCCCTTGGTACGTTCAAAGGAAAGTGAGGCAGCTGTGTGGCTGTAGAGGAGTGAGAAAGGGGGAGAGTTACAGGAGGTGATGTAAGAAGAGCTTTGGAGGCCTAGATTACCTACAGGTAGGGCATTGTTCGACTTTTATTCTGAATAAAATGTTGGGATTTGAGCAGGGGAGTGACATGATGTGGCTTAGATTTAGAAAAGATCGCTCTAGCTACTCTGTTTAGAAGAGGCTCTAGGGGTCAAGTATGGAAGCAGGAAGATCAGTTGTGAGGCCATTGCACCAATCCAAGCAAGAGATGATAGCAGCTTTGACTACTATGTTAGCAGTAGAGACAGTGAGAAGCGGCTGAATTCTGGATAATCCGTATCTTGAAGGTAGAGCACACCAGATTGGCTGATGGATTTGATGTGAGGTTTATGAAAAAGAGAGGAATCTAGAATGACTTCCTATTTTTAGCCTGTGCAACTGGAAAAAAAAAGGAGCTGAGATGAGGAAACCATGGGAGGAAAATCAAGTTTGCCTTTGAACATGTTGTATCTGATAATGCCTATTGGACAAGCAAAATGGGAATTTGGAAAAGACAGCAACGTATGCCTTAAGGGGAATTTATATGAGAAGGTACCCAAGTTATACTAGTTTACTTGAAGGGATACATTACATATTTGGTTAGACCTTCCATTCTAAAACAATGAGAAACTGAAATTTATAAATGGTTCTTGGTGTTTGTTATGACTGTAAACCTAATAATACTTGGACTCCTGCATTGTCATGTATTTATTATGTATATTTTACCAATCTACCCTCAAAAAGATATGTTTACAATAAAGATGATTTTGCAATGAAATCATTAAACAAACACTTTTTAAAACATGAGCTATCTACAAAGACTTGTACATGCATGTTCATAGCAACTTTATTCATACTTCCCAACTTGGAAACAATGAAAATACCTACACAGAAAAAAATGATAAATTGTGGTATACACAAAAAATGGAATACTGGCAGGGCACAGTGCCTCACACTTGTAATCCTAGCACTTTGGGAGGCCGAGGAGGGTGGATTGCTTTGAGCCCAGGAGTTCGAGACCAGCCTGGACAACATGGCAAAACCCCATCTGTACTAAAAAAAATAACAAAAACAAACTAGGTATGGTGGCATACGCCTGTAGAGTCTTAGCTACTCGGGAGGCTGAGGTTAGAGGATGGCTTGAGCCTGGGAGACAGAAATTGCAGTGAGCCGAGATGATGCCACTGCACTCCAGCCTGAGTTGACAGAGCCAGACTCTGTCTCAAAAAAAAAAAAATAAAAAATAAATTTAAAAAGCACACACACACACACAAAACCAAAAGAAATGGACTACTACACAGCAACTGAAAAGAAAGAACTGCTGAGTCATGCAACAACATGGACAAATGTCAAAACGTTATACTGAGTTTTAAAAGCCAAACAAAAAGATTATATATGTACGATTCCATTCAAATAAAGTTCAAGAATAGCCAAAAACTGAACTATGGTCATAGAAATGAAAAAGTAGTTTTAGCAGAGGGAAGGAATATTTGCCGGAAAGGAGCACAATGGTATTTTCTGGGGCAATGAAAATGTTTTGATGATTGTTAACATGGACAAAGAAAAGTGTCAAAACTCACTGAGTTGAACACTTAAGATATATGCATTTCGTTGCATGTAAACTATCTATAAAACTCACAACAAAATATGAGCAAACTGAAGGGTTACTTCAAGCCCTACCGAAAGGGTGATATACAGAAAAACCTAGGCTGAAAGTAATTAATCTAAGCACCGAGTTTGGCTCTGAGTTTCCCAGCAACCAAGGCAAAAGGGAAGCAAATGAATTCTTTAGATGTACTACCTAATATTAACATGTATCCTATGTGAAAAAAATTTTCCTAACACTAAATTTTAAAATACTTAGATAAGAAGTACTAGATATGACATAATGCTTTTAACAGCACTTTACAAAAGCTGAAGAAACATTTCTGGCTCATTTTTATTTCTATCAATCCTCAACAAAAGTCAAGAGAATAATATCATGCCATGGTTATACAAAGACATTTCTATGGGGAGCTAAAGGAAGGCACTCATAATTTTTTAGAGTGTCAGCTAGCTGCAGGGCTAGAATCTAGGGACTCATTCCAGAGACATGAAGGATTCTCAAATTTCACAGGCTCATCTTCCTGGATGCCTCAGCAGTGTTTCTGACAGAACTTGGGTTATCAGATAATTAGGGGTTAAATAAAGTGTAATGTTCCCTGGAGTTGATTAAAACTAGATAAGTTGTAGCTGTTACACTAGTATTTGGCTAATTATGTTTTAAGAAATGTTCTAAGAACTTGCCGTATTCATACCCAAATGGAAAACTATTCCTGCATCTTAGTCTGAAGGCTTAATGGATATATTTATCCCTGACATTCTGAAAGCTCTTCTCTCTCCTTTCATGCTTCCCAGCAGGGGCATAATTGGCAAATCAAGAAGGGCAGTAATTTTTTGTGCAGGACTCCCGGACTTTTAAGACATTTAGCATCCTGCCTGGCCTCATCTACTAAATACAAATGGCATCCTCTAGTCCTGTGACAATCAAAAATCCCCCCTACATTTTAAAATGTAGTGCCAATCCCTTTTGATAATCACTGGGCCTTAAAAGAATGTTGGTATGTTTTAAATGTGGAAAACCATCTGGCCCAAAAATACTATCCTAGAAGAAGGTGGCATTATGGAAGAAGACATAATCTTGGCTTGAAACATTTGTGGATATATATACACTTCTGTCATATGAAAATCTTAATATGGCCCCCACAGAACATTTTACTTAAAATGAGGCTCTAACTTTGAACAACAAGCCCATCAAGATGAAATAGCCTCAAAGTATAACCCTTACTAGCTGAACTCCATTTCATGGAGTTAATCCATGAAATGTAGCTCATTCATTCAACAAACATTAATTTCCATCTGAATAATGAAGATTGTCTGCCCAAAAAAACCCCCTTTGGTTTTAGTGAAGTAGATACCGTATTTCCTTTTTTTCTAGCTATAGTTACCAGATGTTTATTCCTTCCTTCAGTGTCAAGAAAACCTATTATGTGCCAAATACTGAGGACACAGTATGAGCATTTTGCTAATAGTCTAGAGGAGGACTTCATGAAGACAGGTGATGAAGTATCATGAAAGGTATGAGAAATAGAGAGCTATGGTGGCATCTCTGAGGAAACTTTTAGTCTGAGATCTGAAAGATGAGTAAGAGTTAACTTTTCTTTGTGGAGGGCAGGGGGTAGAGTGGGGACAGAGACAACTGTTTCAGGCAGGGCTGCAAGCTTATATGAGGCCAAAACTAAAAGGCTAGGATGCAAACAGAGAAATGGTGAGAGAAGTCTAGTGAGGGCAGGATTTTAGGGCTTGAAAAAAGGATTTTCTCTTAAGTGCAGCAGGACACCATCACTGAATCTTATATTCAAGGCAACTCACTCAGACCCATGGGGATGAGATCTGAGGAGAAAGTCAGACAACTGGTTGGGAAATATAATACCCAGAATAAAAATGACAGTGGGCAAGACTAGGGTGGTACGGGAAGGAATCATTCATTCATTCAATAAATAAGAGCTGCAACTATGTGTCAGGTGCCCTACTAACGTATTGAGCAGTCTAGTGGTGGAAATCTATTAACCAAACAAGCAACAAGGACAAAATATAAAATATTAATTATATTCAAGTCACAAAAAAGAGACAGATGATGCTATGAGACTGAGAAACAAGAGAAGCCTTTCCTAATGGTTCAGGAAAATCTTCTCTTGAGGAAGGGTCACCTGAACTAAATTCTGAAGGTTGAGTGGAAGCTAACTGAAGGGTGTCGGGTGAGGAGATGGAAATAATCTTCAGGAAGTAAGAATAGCATTTACCAAGAAACAGTAAGTCAGGCAATGTGGTAGGACACTAGGAGCAAAGAGGGGTGTGATTAAGATGAAGCTGGAGAGTGGGTTGGGACTGGACTGTGCAGCATTAAGTATTTTGGTCTTTATCCTAAGAACCAGGGGAAGCCAGGAAAGTGTTTTAAGCTGGGGTGTGACAATGAAACCATCAAGTTCGTGTTTTGGAAAGATTGTTGTGGCTTACGGGTGGGTGTGGGGAAGCAGAGAGAACCACTAGAGCAGAACAGCAGGAAGCTGCTAGGAGGTGGAGGACACAGTGACTGTGAAGACTGTGGGGTTTCTGGCTTGGGTTTCTTAAATATCCTCCATTTGCGACGGGGATAAGACCACACTGTTTGGAAAGAAGAAGGCGTTTGCATCTGCTTAGTCACTAGGGCAAGAACTAGGTCATTTTGTGTCACACATTATTGTATCGCACGTTAAACTGTTGGGGAATGGGACTGAGGAAGGAGGATGGTAGAAGGGCGGGAACATTTACTTTTTACCTTCAAAAACTGTATTATTTGATATTTTTACAATGAAAATATAAACACAAATGCAAGCTTAAAAATCAGATACAGAAGTCCCATCAAATTATTTTAAGTGGGAGGAAGCTAGGATTATCTTGTTTTATACCACTTAGGTCTCAATTTTGACCCCTAAGCCCACTCCCACTCATCCTGCTTCTCAGAACCAATCTGCAATAGGTGGCTGGAAGATTAAAAGTGTGGAATCTACAACCCATACATGTGTGCTATCAGGAAATAATTTATGGCCTCAAAATTCAGTAAATATTTCAAAAAAAATCTTAAATTGTGCTTAATTTTTTCAGTAAGATAAAAGCCTAAAATGATCAATAGAGAGCTGAGACTAAATCATGCTTCTTCCTCAAAAAAGCATTAGCCACAAAGACTCAGAAAGAAGAACGCTAGCAATAACTTTGGACAAGATATTGAACGAACTGATGGCTGTGTAGCTTTGTGGAAATGAAGAAATGTTCTTTTTCTAAATAGATACACATGAAGTCCTTATCTAGGAACCTAAGTCCCAAAGAGTTAAACATGCAAAGATTAGTGTGCAATAGAGTAGGATTTATATAACTCTGGGCAACAAACTCTTTGCTAGGTGGAAGAGAAGATGTCTAGTAAACTACTAAATGTTCACTTAGCAGAATCTTAGAGATTCTGCCCATATTAATTCATAACCACATTCAAACATAGAATCTAGACCTTTTCTATTCAATAATCCATTTGCCTTTTCATTTGCATTATTAATCAGCCTTTAAGTTTTACACTCCTACTTCTATTATTCGAGATAAACAACATTTAGGACACTGTGTACATTTTTTTTTCTTGCTTCTCACTAATATGGGTGTGGAATCTAAAAAGGGATACAGGGAAAGCAGAAGTGAACAATTACACATTACAAAACAAGATCAGTGTTTGCTTGCTAACATATAGCAGTGATAGGTTTCAAAAAAGGCACTGTCAACAACTGTACAGAGCTGTATGAAGCATTTTCATGCCTATTATTTTAATTCTCAGCCACCTCTTAAGCCAGATTCTCCAGATTCTCACTCCTGCATCACAAAAGAGCAATCACGGCCAACAACTTGTCAAGATTTATATAGTCTCATCTTGACTTCTGTACTTTTTTTTTAAACCAATGCAATAGGGGCAGAATGTGTTGCAAAGCAGCAAACTAGAGCTATCTTAGATAAATAAATAAATACACACACACACACATATGATGGGGTGCATTATGGAACTTGCTATGGTTTGAATGTTTGTGTCCCCCCAGAATTCATGTTGAAATCCTTACCCCCAAGGTGACAGTATTAGGAAATGGGGCCTTTGAGAGGTGTTAGGTCATGAGAGTGGAACCCCCATGAATGGAACTAGTGTCCTTGTAAGAGGAACCCAGAGTCATCTGTGATATAAGGTCACAGAGAGAAGAGAGCTTTCTGTGAGGAAGGAGGACCTCATCAGACACTGAATCTGCAGGTGACTTGATCTTGAACTTTCCAGCTTCTGGAACTGTGAGAAACAAGCTTCTGTTGTTTAAAGCCACTCAGTCTATGGTATTTTGTTATAGTAGCCCGAATGGACTAAGACAGAACTCAAGAAGAGGGAAGGATAGCTGAGTCTCCCTGGAACCCACTGGGAGACCTGGCAGTCCTCTCTGCATGTCTGATTCTCTGTCATCTTCTCATCCACATCCCTCACCCTCTGGTTTTTCCATGCCACACCAAGACCACAGTTTCCAGCATGGCACAAGGGTTCAAAGGGCACATTATTCATTCAGCCCTAGAATGAATAATGAGCCTGAAATCTCAGTTGGAGTTCCAAAATTCCTGGGACATGACTAAGCTTAGGTGAGAGGGGTACTCTCTACTCAATTGACTCTAAAGGAAATTATCAGAATAGTACTGGAAATGAAGTAAAATCATGGGTACCATGTTAGACCAATCTGGCCAAATCAATGATTGCAAATGTTGTGAAGAATTATCAAATGTTTTACTAAGATGATTATACAAAAACCTTTAAAAATTCAAATGAAAGAATTACATTTAGTAAAGTGTAAGTTTGGGTCCCTGGGAGTCTGGAGGTTGCCTGCCATACTGGACTGTGATGAAAGCATATTCCTACTGCATGAAGCCAGTGAGATGTTGGGATTATTATTGCAGTTCAGCTACCCTGATACTGCATTACTACTATAATCAACAGGAAAACAAACTAATAAGCTCCTTCCAAAATGCAAAACTTCAATAGTGGCCCATGGTCTACAGAATGAAGTCCTCAAGATGACATACATGGTCTTCTTCCATGACCTAATCCCATGCACTTCACATTCTGAAAGTCTCATTGACTCTCCTAAATGTTTTCCAAAGAACCTAGACCTGTTTTTCTCCCTCACACTACTGATCCCAATGTATTGTAATGAGTTGTTTGCTGTCCCTCTCTTTTCCTAGATTGTGAGTCTCCACGACGGCAGTGGCTTTTTTTCTTCTTTGCAGATATATCTTCAACACAATATCATATGTTGGGCATATAAAAGATGCTGAATGAATAATGTGCTCCTAAATGTTCACAGCTCCCTGAAAATTCATGTAATTTTAGAGCCTGGAAAGTAGGAAAAACCAATTCTCATTTTATTGAAACATATTGTCTTCTAAAATTGTTAATTCCTGAATACCCAACTCACTGACTTAAAGTTCTGACAATATTACTGAAATGAAATGAAAAGCCATGAGTAAATAATATCCTTTTGAATTAGAATTGGTTTCTAGACTAAATCCTTTAAGAGTTGGAAGCTTTAAAAACTCTGACCTCCTAAAGTCAGAATTGAAATTTTTTGTCTTAGGAACTTGAGGTGAAATGAATCATAGGTATTTTATTAAATGGGGGTGGATTCTGAATTATTTCAGAGAGGAAGCAACCTTAGAAACATAAAAATCATCATTATTAACTCAAAATGTTCCACTTGTGAGGCGGGCATTCTCAGAGAAGCACAGTTATTTTACGTTCCTTGGAAACTTTAGGCTTTGATTGCCTTTCCATCAAAAATAAAAGCATTTTATATTAAACAACATCATTCAAGGTTGAGGCTTAAATGTTACTTTAATAGTATCCACAAAGAATCTGGTTTAGTTATTAAAATGACTTATTTTTATTTAAAGAAAAAATCTGTGATTTTACTCATTGTATATATAGAAGTGAATTTTTAAAAAATAGTTTCTTCTTTTATGTGGATTCTCTTAAGATTTGAAGAACCAAACTATTCTTTGGTTTTATTATACGGGAAAAACAACACGCAGTCTAGTTAAACAACTTTGTGATATTTATATTCCATTGCACAGATATGGGTTATACAAATTAGTAACACAAGTTATTTCTTAAATTCCAAACATTTTCTAAAATATTATTACAGCAGATGCCTAGGATATTAAAACATAAAGGTGGAAATCATTCTCTAAATAGTTAAATATATTTGACACTGAAAATACTGCACATTTTAATTAGAGGAAAATTAAAATGTGTGCTCAAATGCACTAACAAACTAGGTAGCAGGGCAACTAACAACTACAAATAAGTCACTGTGGTCCATTTTTACGTATGCATATATATGATTATTCTCTAGATAATCCGTCTTCTTGAAAATGCTAATAAAACATAAAAATCCAGATAAATGATTTAAAGAAATTGTAATTCTTCCTACTACCTAAGGTGACATGTACTATTATCTATGACTTCATACAGTTACTAATTCAAATATAAAAGACACCACACTTCGAAAGAAAAAAATTTTAAGGTAATGGTTTTAATTGAATTAATGAGATGAAAAGATAGTAAAGCCCTGTTTGCTACTTACATGAAAGAAGACTTTAAAAAATAATCACTGCACAAAATGTAAAGGGTGGGGTTATGCTGTGATATTAATTTTCCTCAATAATGTTTTTCTTGACTGTTCAAGAACAAATTAAAGTTTCCACGGCAAATTTGTTTTCAAAATGCCGAATTGCGAAACAATTGCTGGCTTCACGTTTCTGAATACCTGTTGGAGAGGGAAAAAAGTTTTTTAAAATTTTGATTCTTTAATAATAAATATTCACATCATTTTTATAGTTATTATTTAGACATATAGAAGTATTTCACTCTATATTCCACAAAAACTTCTACAGTTTGAATGTTTACACTGAAGAAAAGTAATTTTTCTCCCTTTTCTGAACCAAGTATTAATATCTTGACAGATCACAGCAACATTAATAATGCTATCCAGACTGCTTACAAATTCATGAACTTGAAGGTATTGAAAATGTTCTGTATCTTGACTATGGTGGTGCTTGCAAGACCTTGTGTATCTTTGTGGAAACTCAGAGTTGCACACTAAAAAGGGTAAATTTCATGGCACGTGTAAGGCTGACTTTAAAAAAAATTATGAACCAAGAGAATTTTAAAATGTAAGAAATCAACACAGCAATAAAAAAGAAATCATGTCCTTTGCAGCAGTATGGATACAGCTGGAGGCCATTATCATAAATGAATTAACACAGAAACAGAAAACCAAATACCTACCTTACAATGCTCTCACTTATAAATAGGAGCTAAACACTGGGAACTCACTGACATAAAGATGGGAATGATACATACTGAGGACTATAAGGAAGGGAGGGAGGGAGGGAGGAGGTAAGGGTTGAAAAACTACCTATTGGGGAACGCTTTTACACTGTTGGTGGGAGTGTAAATTAGTTCAACCATTGTGGAAGAGAGTGTGGCAATTCCTCAAGGATCTAGAACCAGAAATACCATTTGACCCAGCAATCCCATTACTGGGCATATACACAAAGGATTATAAATCATGCTGCTATAAAGACACATGCACATGTACGTTTACTGTGGCACTACTCACAATAGCAAACTTGGAACCAACCCAAATGTCCATCAAAGATAGACTGGATTAAGAAAATGTGGCACATATGCACCATGGAATTTTATGCAGCCATAAAAAAGGATGAGTTCATGTCCTTTGCAGGGACGTGGATGAAGCTGGAAACCATCATTCTCAGCAAACTATCACAAGATCAGAAAACCAAACACTGCATCTTCTCACTCATAAGTGGGAGGTGAACAATAAGAACACATGGACACAGAGAGGGGAACATCACACACTGGGGCCTGTCGGGAGGTGGGGGCCTAGGGGAGGGATAACATTAGGAGAAATACCTAATTTGGTGACAGGTTGATGGGTGCAGCAAACCACCATGGCACCTGTATACCTATGTAACAAACCTGCATATTGTACACATGTAACTCAGAACTTAAAGTATAATAAAAAAAAGAAAAGAAAAGAAAAACTACCTATTGGGTACTTTGCTCACTACCTGAGTGATGGGATCATCTGTACCCCAAACCTCACATCAGATAATATACCCTTTGTAACAAACCTGCACATGTACCCCTGAATCTAAAATAAAAGTTGGAAAAAAAAAAAAAAAAGAAATCAAGCTGGTTTCAGATGACTCAACCGCCGGAGATGAGAGAACAGTATTATTTAAAATGCTAGCAAAAAGCCAGGAAAGCACTTTTACTGGGTGACACAATTCCAAAGAAATCACACCACAGTGTATCTGAATGGCACTTCTTACTTTCCACAGCTGCCACATGTACTTTCTTTTTATTTTCACAATGCTCTTAAAAGGAAATGGGGAGATACTGTAATTCTTATATTTCAGGTGAGAAAATAAAAGTTAAATGATTTGGCAAAGCTACAACATTAGTTGTATCAATGCTCTTAGTTCTTCACCCAAATTCCTTTCCAACTACCCTGACAGTGATTATTCCCAATATGATCCAAAAGGCAAACAGCCTGCTTAGAATCCAGATCCCTGAAAACACAGCTGAAGAGCTGGTCCCAAGACACCCTCTGGATAATAAAAACCCTTTCAGTATGGCTCAACCAAAGTGGTAGGATGGGAAGTTGGACAGGGTGACTAACTAGATGGAAAATGAGGTACCATCATCTCAAGGCAATGACATTTCACATTGACCTTTTCTCTCCACCTGAAAAGAGTGGACTTACTAAATGGAATTAAGATAATTCTATAGAAACCTGGAAATATTATATAACGACACAATATTACCTCACTCATGGCAGGTATATTGGTAACAATGACTAGGCTTCACCTAAATCTAGTTTAATGCAATGAACTTTTCTGCCCAACACTTTAATATTTAAAAAGTATTACCTTTAATAGTTTCTCTGCGTTGCAGTTTGTAAGTTTCCTTGTCATGACACAGTCGATAAATAAAGAAACCCAGGTGATCAATGTTTTCAATGCGATCAGTAATAACCATGTGCTCATGAATCAGATAGGACTGAGGCAAATAGGTTCCAGCCTACATTCAGAAAAGAATACATGACATGACTATCTCAGAACATACACTGAGTAGACTAGAGAAACAAGACAAAATTCTTACACATTATGGTATGGAACAGGTTGCCAAACTACTACCCACCATCTGTTTGTTTATGTTCTCACTATGTTGTCCAGGCTGGTCTCAAATTCCTGGCCTCAAGCAATCCTCCCACCTAGGTCTCCCAAAGTCCTGGGATTACAGGCATGAGCCACCGCCCCCGGCTTGTTTTTATAAGTAGAATTTTTTTTGGAATATAGTCATGTTCATCTGTTTTACGTATTGTCTATGGCACCAGAATTAAGTAGTTGGCTAATATTTACTCCCTGGCTCTTTAGGAAAACTTAAAACATTATTTGAGAAATTTATTTCAATTTCAAGATATAAAACATTAAAAACAAAAACCATGAGTATTAGTTCCTCTTTGTAAAATTCTTAACTACAGTCTGATAAAATGGGCTCCTATAGGGCTAATTTCTCAACAGGGAATTCCAGAACACTATGAAGGCATCATTCATCAAAAACAGTCAACATTCTTATACCTTGATGTTAATAAGTAACTCCAGTAGGTTTCTGGGTGGCATAACAATGGAAGTGTTCAGAGGGATCACATAGCACTTATCCAGGTTAAGATCTAAATAGGCTGTAAGTTTCTGGGAAGAAAAAGATACAGTGTAGTTACAGTAATACTTGCAAAAACAGGCAGCAACTGGATTTTTAAGAATAATTTGTATCATTAAAATGAATTGGCTTTAGAATGTATAAATCACTTGCATTTCAACAAATTCAGAATTTGGCTGGATAAAGTTGGAAGTGGGAATGGGAGAGGAAAAAATATTGCTACCAGTAAATAAAATGCTCATCGAGGGTATATTTCTATAATAAGTAATAATACCTATTCAAATTAACTGCAAATACTTATTATATAATTAAGCAATTTAACTTCCCCACTTATAAGCTCAAATGCCCTCTAAGGTTATCTGTCCATTGTTTGTAAAGATTAAATTTTCTCATATGTATCTTGAATACTACCATCCTTAGAACATTAGAAAAACAGTCATTTAAATGATTTTGTGTTCTGTGGTTCAAATGAGAAACGCTGGTTGAGAAAGACTGTCTCATAGAACGGTTTTTAAGAATAACTTAAATCAAATAATGTCAACATTTTGATTCCTAAGAGCTCAGTAAGTGTTAACTATTATTATTTACTATTTGCTTTGGAAGTTTATTTCCTTGAAATAAGTAAATTTTCAAACTGGTTTATAAACATCCATCAGATGTATTTATCAGGCACGAAATGTTTGCAAAGCTAACTTCAGTAATATATTCGAGTGTTCAAAATGGCAAGCTTACAGAGAGACATAAAAATCACAGGTGATACATGAACTTCTGAATCTCTGAATCCTGATTTGAAAAAACAAAAAATTCTTGGGACAAAAATTGGGGAAATGTAAACATAAACAGAAATGTAAACATATTAAATACAGTAGTCCCTCTTATCTGAGGTTGTGCTTCTCGAGTTTCAGTTACCTTTAGTTAACTACAGTCCACAAATACCTAGGTGAGTACAGCATAATAAAATATTTTGAGAAACCACCTTCACATAACTTTTATTATAGTATTTTGTTATAACTGTTTTATTATTATTGTCGTTAATCTATTACTGTGGCTAATTTGTAAATTAAATTTTAACATATGTATATATGTACACTAACAGGAAAAAACATAGTATATACAGGGTTTGGTACTATATGCAGTTTCAGACATCCACTGGGGGTCTTGGCATGTATCCCCCACGGATAAGGGGGGACTACTGTCCTATAAGATCATGTTAATTTTCTTAGATGTGATAATTATGTGGTTACGTAGGAGGACAACTCATTCTTGAGAGATAATAGCATAAGTACTTATGTCAAATGACAGAAAAAGAGATGAAGCAAATATGGCAATATTTGGAACAAAGTGGAGGATTTTGGGTATTCAACTTTTCTGCATTACATAAAAATGCTCAAAAGCTGGGGAAAAATATAGAATGAGAACTTAAAAACAGATTAACAAAATTATTGATTTTGAAAATGCTACCAAGAAACAGGAACATAAATTACCTCTTATCTAAGAAAATGTGGGAACATATAAAAAATATTAGTTTGCCAGCAAAGGAGGAACAGTCATGAGGTGGGCTTTAAGAGTAGGTAAGGCAAGGGGAAGGAGAGATAAGATATGAGAAGGCTGCATCAGCAGGGTCTGCTTCAGACATAGCAGAGCCCACCAAATGCTGACAGTTTATTAAACTAAACTCTAAATATAATAAATTAGCAAATATTGAAATTAAAACTACAAAAAGCATAAACTACAGAACCTGCATTCTTTCTACAATTCTGGACACTTGGCTCACCTTGTTAAAGTCATGAACAATGTTGGCAGGATCACTATCTGCAAACTCTGGGACAGGCACACTGATAAATTCAACTTCTTCTTCTTCAAAGATTTTAATATTTTCTTCAATTGTCTGGTAGAGAGCAGCTGGGGCATCTGCAGAGGGCTCATTTAAGATGACATCATCTTTGATGTACTTTATTCCACAGTAGTACACGTCATCTGGCTATAGAGAGTTTAAAGACTCATTTCAGCAATTCAGCATGAGACAGGTTTTTAAATAAGCATTACTTAAGCTGCCACCTCTATCTAAATAGCATTTTGCTTGCAAACTCTTGCTTTTAGATGACAAGTCAGACAGTTTAATTACAGAGTTAACATATTCTTTAAGATCAGGTTTTGAAGCACTGTAAAAGAACAGCTTCAGAAGAAAGGCAGCTGGTTTTCCCTTTACTTTTCCTGGTAGGTGAAAATAGAACATAAAAATAATTAGCTATCCAGTAACAAATAAATATAAAGAAACAACAGACCTACTCTACCTGTAAGCAGTTTTTATAGAAGAATACATTCCAAAACTAGTCAAGTTTTTCTGAAAGAATATATTAAAAAGTTTTGATATGGTCTACTAATTAAATGACTTTTTTCTTATTAGCCAAAAAAGGGATAATTTTTCTGAAATTTCTATATGCATATACGTAGTTCTACTTTTCCCTTTATATCACAATTCAGTGGAAAATATTAGATTACAGCAAATCTTTATGCTACTGTCTCACTTTTACAAAAAGAAAAAACAGTACATAAGGTCGGGTGCAGTAACTCATGCCTGTAATCCTAATACTTTGTGGGGAGGAGGCCTGAGACAGATGGACTGCTTGAGCCCAGGAGTTCAAGACCAGCCTGGGCAACATGGTGAGACCCTGTCTCCACAAAAAATAAAAAAATTAGCTGGGTATGGTGCCACGCACCTGTAGTCCTAGCTACTCCTGGGGAGGTTGAGGCGGGAGGATTGCCTGAGCCCAAGAGGTTGAGGCTACAGTGAGCTGTGATTGCACCACCGCACTCCAGCCTGGATGACAGAGTGAGACCCCATCTCAAAAAAAGCCAAACACACAGTACATGTACACGTGCGCGCACGCACACGCGCGCGCACACACACACACACACACACACACTACACACACTACACACACAATAAAGACTAAGGGTATACAAAATGTGAATGCACAGGGCCAGGCATGGTGTGTCACGCCTGTAATCCTAGCACTTTGGGAGGCCAAGGTGGGTGGATCGCCTGAGGTCAGGAGTTTGAGACCAGCCTGGCCAACATGATGAAACCCTGTCTCTACTAAAAGTACAAAAATTAGCCAGGAGTGGTGGCAGGTGCCTGTAATCTCAGCTACTTGGGAGGCTGAGGCAGGAGAATTGCCTGAACCCGGGAGACAGAGGGTGCAGTGAGCCGAGATCGCGCCATTGGACTCCAGTCTGGGCAACAAGAGAGAAACTCTGTCTCAAGAAAAAAAAAAAAGTTAATGCACCAAATGTTATCTCTGGAAAATGGAATTGCGATGATTTTTTCTATACTATATGTATTTCTTGTAAATAAAACTGTATTTAAAAAGATGACTAGTATTTTGGTAATGTCTATCAACATGTGATTGATTATCTTGAACAACACAGAAAATGAGCATGAAATTGAGAATGTTTCAAAATTAGTTAAATTATTTTAATAAGTCTAGTTGTCAACTGTTTCTCCAAATTTTGAAACAGCTGAAGTAGTCATAAAACCTTGAAAGTAATTTCCCCTTCAAAACTCCTAAAAAAAAAAATTGTGTATTATTGCCAAGAGAAATATATTACAAAATAGATTGTAAATTATAATCAATCACAAGGAAGACCTTTGTCTTAACCCACTGGGATTACTATTAAACACTCAAAGTTATAAACAACTTTCATCCTATGTTATTTCAATATCACTGCTGAAGTCACCCAGTTCTTTAGTGAAACCATGACTGGAAAAGAAGCAGAGACATGGTCTTACTGTATTCTGGGCCCAAGGGTACAGCAGGACCATAGGGGAGTCCAAGCTGACTATCAAGTTATGGCCTATCAACATGAAAACATTTGTGGCTGATGTATTTATTCAACTGGCAATTGATAATACTATTCCTCTCAACCCTTAATTATAGTAGGAAAATAAAGGTTAGTAAAATCACCCAATGACCTAAATAAATCCCTTAGTCACCAACATTTCAAGTTACTCTGCTTTTAGTGACTGTGTGTGATGGGCTCAGCAAACATATCATGGAGAGATGTTTAAACACAGCTTTAAAATAGAACTACCACTCTGGCTGAAGGTCACAGATAAAAAGTACAAGCTTAGCGCAAGTTGTAAACAATTTTGTAATGCACATCGGGAGAGGCAAAAAAAAAAAAAAATCAGAGACACAAAATAATTTTTCCACTTACTTGAAGTGCAAAATATTTGTACAAGTATGCTCCTCCTAGAATAACACCTGCAAGCATAAATGCTAGTCCAAAGCACATGCACCAACACCAGGCTCTTCTTTGGCCAACTGGTACCACATCATCTGGGTCCTAAAATATGAAAAAGACAGTTAAATATCTTATCTCCAGACAGAATAACAGAAGGCTCAGGACTAGAAAAACCTTAATGATTATCATTTTAATAAATGAAGACACAAAGACCAAAGGAGTTGTGTCTCTCATCAAAATCAACCCAGGAATGATTAAGTGGTAGCTCCAGGGCTCATCTTAATGGTTCTTGGACTGGGACATTGGTCTCTAGGAGAGTTGTCTACTTCTAATCTCAACACCCTACCTGCTAACCCTGCCTCAAGCAATGATACACTCCATAATTTTTACTTTCCATGCACAACTTTTGGTGATATATTCTATAATTTAATAATTTAGAAGAGGTTATGCTACAACTTAGTCACATAATATGATGATGAGCCTTGTACATTATAAATCCAGGGCATCTCTCTATCTGATCATTTATGAAATTATGTGTTAGGCCTGCTACAGGTGGTTTATATTTCATACCAGGTATAAAACTATTCTAAACCATCCACAAGAAAAAATTACAGGAAAATAAGGAAAAGAACAAACAATGATACTAAAATTATTTAAACAATTAGAATTTCAAAAAATAGGACAAAATTATATACATAGAAATACATAATCCTATTATGCCACTGCTCTACCCTAAACCATGGTCTGATAAAATTCTTCACTTTCTTTTAAAGATAGAAGCAGTAGAAAAAAATGAGAACATATTCAATGATAAAAATTTACTGATAAATTCAAGAAACAAAACTAGCACAGAATTTTATAAAATTTTCATTTCTATCCACTTAAGAAAACAATTTAGCATTAGAACATTATTTGGGGTCATGACATTCATAATTCCTAGATATTCCCTCCCTGTGCCCTTCTAACCTGATCCCTCTAATCTGTCACTTTAGAATTACAGCAAATTTCTGATTTGTACCCAAGTTCATGTGCAAAGAGCTAAGAAAACAAAGATACTTAAATAAGTAGTCACTCAATAAATAGTAAAGACTGCAAAAATTCATAGTATACATGAACAGCCTCTTTGAAGTACATGACTCTGTCCTTTACTTGGAAAACCCACTATGGAGTAGGCTTAAGGCAGAAAGCAGACTTCACCTAAACCTATATAATAGGATATAAAATTAGAAAGAAAAACTATGAATGATGCACAAAAACAGGATCGGTCATTGGAACAGCACTACACAACCTTTTTTGGCACCAGGGACCAGTTTTGTGGAAGACAATTTTTCCACAGACAGACTGAGGGGTGTTGGGATATGGTTTCGGGGTGAAACCGTTCCACCTCAGAAGATCACCAGGCATTAGATTCTCATAAGGAGCGCACAACCTAGATCCCTAACATGCACAGTTCACAATAGGGTTTGCGCTCCTAAGAGAATCTAATGCCCCCGCTGATCTGAGAGGAGGCGGAGCTCAGGCAGCAATGCTCACTGTGCAGCCAAGTTCCTAGCCAAGACCAGTTCCGGTACTGGTCTGTGGCCTGGCGGTTGGGGACCCCGGTATTAGAACATAGATTTGGTTGAAGCAAGAATTCAGTTACGAATGAAACCTAAGATTATATGTTTTTAATTCTAAAATGAGGAACTTTAACATGATACAACTGAAAAAGGTCTAATCCCAGATGTTGAAGCAACCAAGAACAATGTGATACGATACAGTGTGTTCCTAGGTTGAGATTTCAAACATAGAATTTAACACTGAACAACAAACAATGTGTATTCTAAGAATCAGTGCATTGCTATGAGAATGTCATGGTTTCTGTAGCACTTGTCAATATACTATGTGTGAAAGACAATGAGCGTATTGCAAGGAAGAAAAGTATGTAATGAGAATAAGTCTGAAGAATTTAGCAAGCCATGTAAGATATCCCAGCTGTGAAAAGAAAGCTACAAGAATTCCATGGAGTCATAAGGTATTATGAAACTTTAATGACGAAGTATACATCTTTTGCTTGAGCCCTTGTCTGACATAAATATCTAAGGAGGTAAGAAATCATTCCTAACATAATTAATTTTAGAGTGGAAGGAGAGTGGGGGGGATGAAAATGACAGATGGAAATAGTTATTTCCAACATTTGGTATCAGCTGCTGGGACAGCCAAATGTGCGCACACACCCACCCCATTTGGCAGGCTTTCTCTTCCAATAGTACATAAATGAATAGCCAAACAGCACAGGCAGACATCTGTAAAAGAATACGCAGCCCCAACTGGCAAATTGATGACAAGTTTCAAGGCATTGTAATATATCATTTTTAACTGTTCAACAATCATTTTGAGAATAAATTATAAATGTCTACTATGTGCCAAGAGCTGTGCTAGGCACTGGAAATGTATGCTCTGCCAAGAAAGAGACCTGTTAGATCAGTCCGGAAAACAGATAAATATACAAAAAGAAAATAAATATGATACAAACTCTAATAGGAAAATGCACAGAGAGCACATAAGAGGGGATGAGTTTCAGGAAGACTTCCCAAGGGAGAAAATACTTTAGTGGAATGTTAAAGGACAAATACTCATTACCTCAGCAGAAGATAGAGTTAAAGGAAATTTTATATATGGCAATGATTTTTCAAAATTTATGGAGCTAAAATGCATGACATTTCCAAGAGCCACATGTGCTTTGGCTGGAGTGCCCAATATGGTGGAGATGAGTATGAGAAATGATGGACAAGAAGCTGGTGCAGGTCACAAAAGACCTTTGTAAACCATGCTAGAGTTTGACTTCTCATGTTCATTCAAAAATCACTTCTCAGCACTATTGAATATTTTTTTAAAATTCAATTTCTTGAGGAATTTCACTTACAAATACTTCACTTATCCACAGGTCAATTTATTCAGCACCTCAACAACGTGAAACGTGGCTTAAGAATCAGGAAATAAACAAGAGTCTTTGGTCAGCCAAATTATAGACCCCAAACCTATGCACCACCATCATGTACTTCATAGAAGAGCTGTTTAATCTTCAAAGTCTATCTAATCTTTGTTCTCTAAATTCCTAATTATCACTTTTCTTTCATGAGAATAATTCACATAAAGATCTTATCTCTCTCTACTAGGCTATAAGATCTTTTAAGTATCCATTCATATTCATTTTGCATTACTGGTAGCTCCAAGCCAAGCTTAGGCTTGGCATTAGCTGGCACTCATATATTTGATGAGTGAATAAAACTTAGATCTTTTTTTTTTTTTTGAGATGGAGTCTCGCTCTGTTGCCCAGGCTGGAGTGCAGTGGCGCGATCTCAGCTCACTGAAAGCTCCACCTCCTGGGTTCACACCATTCTTCTGCCTCTGTCTCCCGAGTAGCTGAGACTACAGGCGCCCGCCACCACACCCGGCTAATTTTTTGTATTTTTAGTAGAGACAGGGTTTCACCGTGTAGCCAGGATGGTCTCAATCTCCTGACCTCGTGATTCACCCGCCTCGGCCTCCCAAAGTGCTCGGATTACAGGCTTGAGCCACCGTACCCGGCCAACTTAGATCTATTTTTTTAAAAAGCCTGGTTATTTAATTTTTTATGATTCATAAAAGTTATACCAGCAGCCAGCGTGATAATAAGGGAAGGGAGAGATGCAACATAATTCATAACGTAAAACAAACTGTGGCTAT
Organism: Homo sapiens; assembly: GCF_000001405.40. NCBI lineage: Eukaryota > Metazoa > Chordata > Mammalia > Primates > Hominidae > Homo > Homo sapiens. Next base: position 48,250,201 of record NC_000013.11, on the reverse strand, counting down.
TTAGCAAGAGCAGTAGCCTAGTTCAGCATTTATTAAGTAAGGCTTGCTATTTGCAATATACTGTGCTAGATCCTGTGGGAAATCAAATGTGATTAAGACATGGCTCCTACTTTGAGCGATTTATAGTCAAGAATTAACATCACGTATGATAGATAAATGATGTTCCATAATACAATCCGAGTCATGGAGAAGGGATTAAAGTATGCTCAAGATTTAAAAGTTTTTAATCTAAGAGATTTATTAAAAGTGTTTTTAGAGTGATTAAATTTTAACACTTCAAAGAGTAAGCTTTACTTAAAGAAAAAGCCACGTGAGATTTAAGAAGAAAAACCCCATGACTATCTCAAAATATACAGAAAATGTATTTGACAAAATTCAACTTCCATTAAAAAAAAATCTTTGCAAACTAGCAAAGGGTGAAATTCTTTAACATCAGTAAGGCTAATAATCAAAAGCCTATAGAAAGCCTCATACTTAATGGTGAAACTTTAATACTTCACCATACCCTTTTAATTGAGGAATACAGGAATGCCCACTAAAATTGACTGTTTCCACTGAACACTGTACTAGAGATCCTACAGCAAGTACACAAACAATAAAAAGATTAGGTATTAGAAAAAAGAAAAAACTGTTATTATTTGTAAATAATCTGTCTATGTAGAAAATCTAAGAAAGTCAAATTATTTAAACTAATTAGAGGGTGGCAAGATTTTTAAAGATCAATAATCAAAAATCAACTGAGTCAAAAATTTAGTCATGAATATTTACAGCATCATTATTTATATACTAGCCCCAAACTAGAAACAACCCAAATATCCATCAACTGATGAATAAATTGTGGTATATTCATACCATGAAATAGATAGCAATAAAAAGGAACAAAATAACACACACCAGCGGGACTGAATCTCAAAAACATGCTAAGTGAAAGAAGTTTAGCACAAAAGATTACTCACTATATGATCACATCTTTATCAAATTCTAGAAAAGGCAAAACCATAATGACAAAAGCAGCTTACTGGCTGGGGAAGGGGAGACTGACTACAAACAGGCATGAGGAAACTAATTACTTGGGTGATGGAAATCTTTCGTATCTTGATTGTTGGGGTGGATATATGACTTTATACAATTACCATAAATTCAATCAAATTGTACACATAAAATGCAGGAGTTTTATTCCATGTAAATTATATTTTGATATGGAGGGTGGGGAAGAAATCAACTGAGTTCCTGTCTACCAGGCAATAAAAGAATGTCTAACACCAAGTGCTAGAAAAAGTGTGTAACAAAGGGAACTTGGGAACTTCCACTCAATTGACAGAAATTTAGGTCCAACTGCTTTGGAGAACAATTTGGCAGTATCTAATAAACATACATCAAGCTTGTCCAACCCGTGGCCCATGGCCGTGTGTGGCCCAGGACAGATTTGAATGTGGCCCAACAGAAATTCACAAACTTTCTTAAACCATTATGACTTTTTTTGTGATTTTTTTTCCCAGCTCATCAACTATTGTTAGTGTATTTTATGTGTGGCTCAAGACAATTCTTCTTCCAATGTGGCCCAGGAAAGCCAAAAGATTGGACACCTCTGACATACATTTATCTTATGACCTAGCAATTCCATTCCTAGGTATAAATCCTGGATAAACTTTTGAATATGTAAGGAAATATGTCCAAGAATATACACTACATTGTCAGCAACAAAAAAAAAATTCGAAATAAATTATTATAGATTCATATAATACTGCTAAAAAGATTCAACTAGTGACCAGGCCCAGTGGCTCGTGCCTATACTCTCAGCACTTTGGGAGGCAGAGGCAGGAGGACTGCTCAAGCCCAGGAGTTCCAGACCAGCCTGGGCAACATAGCAAGATCCTATCTCTTTTAAAAAATAAAAATTAAAAAAAAAAAGTACTAGCACTGCTGATTTTTAGATAAGCCTAAGAAACATAATTGCTGACCCCCCCAAAAAAGGCACGTTGCACAACATATAACACCACATATTTAAGTATTATGTAAGTATGTGATATTTAAGACTTTCAAAACATATAAAATATACTTCAGGTTCTCTGTATTTTGTGTGCCTGAAATATTTCATAATTTTAAAAAGAAAAAAACCACTAACAAGTAAGAGCTTCTTCACTGGGGTATATAACTTTACCTGGCCTAATTTAAAACAAGTCACCGAGACGTTTCCTCCCTTCTACTGCAATAAAACTGGTGCACCTTGCATCGCGCTTAAAAGGTAACAGAACTCCCACAGGTGCTGTACAATTATCATCTAATTAATCTTCCTAAACCTCAAGTTTTTTAGCCCAGTTTATAAAAGAAGACACTGCAGCACACGCTGGCCTATAACCACCTTGCAACAGTAGATATAGAAAGACCTGGCTTTCAGGAGCACTCTCACTCTGGCACAGTACTAATTTCTAGTTCAAATAAATCTCAGCATTGGATAATAAAATAAAATTACTTAAGAAGTTATATCTTAAACAAAATGAAGGACAAATTCTTTTCTGGTACTTCAATTAGTTAAGAATTAGGTCACCTCAATCAGTTCCCTAAGAGGCTTTAGTAAATGTGCTTCAATTATAAACTTAAATAAAATGTATATTTTTTCGTATAATTTCAATTCTGTTCTCAAACTAACAAATCACTTTATATTCTTAGGCACCTCTATTTGAACATTTTTTTACAGGATGACTGAAGCTTTTAAGAGACATTTTTCAAAGTGCTCAGATACAATATTTTACATTTCTGTATCAAATTCAACAACAGTGCTTTAGGAATCAGGATACTAATGAGGAAAACAACTCTTAGTGTTAAAAATTATATTATCAAAAAATATACATAAAAAAAGAACCAATACCATTTATTCAACTCAAAATATACTGAACCTTCAGAAATAGATTTAGTTACTCAGAAACATGCTGGGTAACATAGGTAAATATGGGGGTGCATAGGACAGCTGCCCACAGATGTGTTGTTTGGCTGGTATAATGCTTTCCAAAACAGCAAAACAGCTGGGACATTAAAAAAATTTAGTGATTCGCACTTTTAAAAACTAGGATTTCCCGGCCAAGCGCAGTGGCTCATGCCTGTAATCCCAGCACTTTGGGAGACTGAGGCAGGTGGATCACAAGGTCAGGAGATCGAGACCATCCTGGCCAACATGGTGAAACCCGTCTCTAATAAAAATACACAAATTAGCTGGGTGTGGTGGCTTGTGCCTGTAATCCCAGCTACTCGGGAGGCTGAGGCACGAGAATCGCTTGAACCCAGGAGGCGGAGGTTGCAGTGAGCTGAGATGATGCCACTGCACTCCAGCCTGGTGACAGAGCGAGACTCCATCTCAAACAAAACAAAACCAAAAACTAAATTTCCCATCAATGTTCTAGTATTTTCAACTTCTCTCTTATCTTTTTTTTCTCTCTACTTGGAGACCAAATATAGGTTTTGAATTCTGATCTTCACTTCCAGCTATGACTGGGTATACTTCCTTCTGGGATCCTATTTATATTAAATAATCAATCTAAACTACTTCTCCATATAAAGGGTTTTGAGTTCTGGGTTTTGTACACTGGGACATATTCATTTGGTTTCTACATTAGGTTTCTTTCCTCAGTATGAAAGCATCAAAAGGACATGATGTGGTGATCCGCTAATTATTAACTGCACTGATTATCAAATATATCTGGTATATGTAAGACACAAAATCTCTGGCTGAGAAGTTAACAATCCATGAGGACATCAAACATTTGTTTGCATTTTTTCTTATTCACTTAAATCAGTATCTGAATTTTGCTTTTTAATTTGCCTTTTGAAATGAGATTGCTGCTGTCTTGACTGTAGTGAGGAAGTCCACGTGATAAATGTTTGACACATAAAAAGGAAGCAGTTTTCCTAGTGTCTGGCATTACACAGAAAGCTGCTCTCTATATTTGTGAGTACTCTATTTCACAAAGGCCTCTGACCTTCTGTCAATATTAGATTTCATTTAGTTAAGTTAAATTAGTATTTACAGTCAAAATTGGGAATTATACCAACATGTTATGATTAATGAAGTTATGGAATTATTCTGTACTGGAATTCGAACAGGGGAAGGCTTTAAAAAGGAGAACTTAGGCTGGGTGCAGTGGCTCACGCCTGTAATCCCAACACTTTGGGAGGCTGAAGCGGGTGGATCATGAGGTCAGGAGATTGAGACCATCCTGGCTAACACGGTGAAAACCCATCTCTACTAAAAATACAAAAAATTAGCCAGGGGTGGTGGCAGGCGCCTGTAGTCCCAGCTACTCGGGAGGCTGAGGCAGGAGAATGGCGTGAACCCAGGAGACAGAGCTTGCAGTGAGCAGAGACTGCATGCCACTGCACTCCAGCCTGGGCGACAGAGAAAGACTCTGTCTCGAAAAAAAAAAAAAAGAACTTAAACTACAAGGTCTATAAAACAGATTCCTCATTAACATACTTTTTTGTTAAAAAATCCTGCAATATAAAAGCAGTAATATAGAATGAAAAAAAATTAAAATTTAAAGCCACTGCATAATAATGTAACTACTGTCAGAAATCTATGAAACTTGAACCAAATTATTAGCATCACATAAAACTAGCACAGTTTTAGGTTAAATAAAAATAGGTTGGAACTTGAAAAAAAAAACAACAGGCAGATTATCAACGCAATGCATTTAGAACTGGATCATAACTTAATCACTTTTGTATCAGAGACAAGCAGATTAGTGCAAAGTAGAATATTTATATGAATAATAAGTTTAAAATCTCTTATTCTTTTTTCTACATAGTTTAAAAAATGACCATCATTTCTCTACTGTGTTTATTCAATCTATGCTGAACAGAACTGTAACCATTTTTTTTTTTTTTGAGACGGAGTCTCACTGTCACCCAGGCTGGAGTACAGTGGTGCCATCTCAGCTCACTGCAACCTCTGCCTCCCAGGTTCAAGCAATTTTCCTGCCTCAGCCTTCCGAGTAGCTGGGATTACAGGCACATGCCACCAGGCCCAGCTAACTGTTGTATTTTCAGTAGAGACGGGATCTCACCATGTTGGCCAGGCTGGTCTCGAACTCCTGACCTCAAGTGATCCGCCCGCCTCAGCCTCCCAAAGTGCTGGGATTACAGGCATGAGCCACTGCACCCGGCCTTGTATCCGTTTTATAAAGTGAAATTTTAGCAGAATTTCAAATTCATATTGGTGAGTAAAAGGCACTGGGATAGCAAAAAGCCTAGATTAGCACAAACAGGTAAATGTTCATAAACAACAGCATTATATACAAATGTTATTTATTGTTAATAATATCCTTTACCGGGATAAATTGGTGAAGACAGATTTTCTCTACCACTGGCTGAATGAAACTCCACATTGTTACCAGTATCAACAGTTTCCCTAAAAATTTTAAGCACAATTCGAATGCTCTAATTTTATATAATTCATTATAAAATTCAGTGTCAAGATTAAAGAAAAAAAAGAACAAACCTGTTCTAGACTCACTTTTATATAAATGCTGGCTTTTAATGTCTTTCAACAAGATAATTATACATTCATATTCAAATATGGGTAATTTCATTTAAAATGCAGAACTTTTGGTAAGAAAATTCCAAGTATATTCATCTGAAAGTATAACATAATTTAAATGTGGATAGTTAAGAGAAAATTTCTGTCCAAGTTTGGAATTCTAAATGTTAAACAAGATGACTACTAGAAAAAATAGTTCTAAAGATCAGGAATACTTGTCTCTCTACATGTGAGAAGTGCTTTGATCCTATGAGCCCTACTGCCTAGCACTGAAGGCATGTGCAGTAAAAACTCAGTGGTAATATTGAATGTTGCTCCCTTACTCCACCACTCTCCTGGCTCTTGGATCCAGCGGTGTGATTTTCTTCTAAGAATAAATATAGGCATTTAAATAGGTTGTGACTAATTTGGTTTTCATAACTGGTTGGTCTTCCCTAGCTACACAATGTTTCTTGAAAGCTGGGGTGTTTAGCAATTTTTAAATTCCAGGTATAGTACCTGGCTATCCAGTAGGTGCTTCTGAATATATGATCAATACAGTTCTCAGGAATAGATCCCCTATGGAAGTACCATGAAGGTAGTTTAATCCAATACATCATTTACAGATAAATATGAGGCCCAGAGAAGTAAAATTATTTATGTAATATCACAGAGCTAATAAAGTCTGAATATTATCTTGACTCTATGTGCTGCTTAAGGAAACTGACTCAAACAGCTTAGGCAAATTAACTCTGGTAATAAATGAAGTGACAGACACCATGTCACACTTGGATAATACTCCTAACCAGAAACCACATAGCCTGATTTTTTTTATTAAATATATATACTTTTTAATTAATTAATTAATTTTTTTTTGAGACAGGGTCTTGCTCTGTCACCCCAGCTAGAGTGTAATAGTGCAATCACGGCTCACTGCAGCCTCAACCTCCTGGGCTCAAGTGATCCTCCTACCTCAGCCTCCCAAGTAGCTGGGACTACAGATGTGCACCACCACACATGGCTAATTTTTAAATTTTTTTGTGGAGGTGGAGGTCTCACTATGTTGCCCAGGCTGTTCTTAAGCAATTCTCCTGCCTCAGCCTCCCAAAGTGCTGGAATTATAGACGTGAGCCACCATGCCCGGCCCACAGCATGAATTTCTACTGTTGTAAAAGGTTTACTTAAATTGACCCACACTAATAAGCCCTACATGTGTGAACTATTACAAAGGCAGTAATATTACTTTTAATATGTTGTCAAAATTAATAGGGCTTTTCTCTGTTGTTCAACAAATTACAAAGGATGGTAGCAAAAAGTATTAAAATCACATACATGTGAACTTAAAACAATAAAGGAAAATAACTAAGGCACACCAGCACATAAGCATTTCAACATAAATGAAAAAGGCAACATATTAATTACAAAAATGAAACTTTTTTAAGTTAGTTGGAGTAATAATGCCACAAAGCAAAACTACAAAGTTGGTAATGAGTTGCCTCTAAAATTCCTCATGAAGGAGACAATCTTGGAACTTTGAAGAGGACGATCAGAGGATGCCTCATCAATCTTTCTAGACCATCCTGTCTGATCTTAAATTAATGCTAATGGTAATTCAGATGGTTTCCATTATTATCCATTATTAATTATCATTAAGTCAATTTTTAATGTAAAAGGAAATATTCTAACAAATCTTTAAAAAGCTATCAAGATAGCTAAGTTGAAGTTCTAATATTGATTTCCAGTGAAATGTTTGTTTACTTCCTCCTGAAAGCTCAATAAAGCGACAGTAAAGGGATAAAACAAATAAACCTTAAGCCACAAAGAATGAAAATGAATGACAGCAGACAAGTCATGTCAATAAAAATGTTGAAAGCTGAAAGCATAAAAGAAAAAAGAAAAAAAAGATATAAGGAGAAAATCACCAGCCTGTAGACAACCAAAGGGGGAAAAAAAGTCATGTACAAACAAGGAATCAGAATGGCATCACATTAGAAGATAATGGAGCAATGCCATCAAAATGCTGAGAGAAAAATGAATGCTAACCTAGAATTTTACACCCAGATAAATTATCAAATATGAGGATGGAATAACGATTCTGAGACACGTAAGATTTTTTAAAAATTTATCTTTTTCTTCAGATTTATGAAACTGTAGATCTAGCATGTGATAAAGACAAAGGCAATTCTTCCAAGATGATTATGACTCTCAGGACATTTGTATGAGTGCAACCAGTCTGGAATAGAAAACTAATGAATGATGGGCAAGAAATCATCAAAAAAAAAAGAAAGAAAGAAAGAAAGAAACTTGGTAAGTTACCTGGTGAGTTTGAAGACACAGAAAGACAATTATACTGCTGTCAGAGTCTGAGGAATGAATGAGCAGTAAGTATGTAGAAAATTAAGGAACCCTCTCTCCTGCCCCAAGAAGCATGATCAAATTCAGGGAAAATAAAAAGTTGTTATACAAGAATGGAAGTAAAATAAAAGTATACTACAATACTCAAATGTAACTAATGTTTATGTTAATTATAATAAAAAACACTAAATATCAATTTAACCAGAAATTGCTAGAACAGGAGAAGAGATCATGTGTGCAGTGTGTAAATATTCAGAAAAAGCTAAATATTCACCTTCCATGTAGCTATTATCAATAGGTATTATCTAAAACTGCAAAAAATAAAACAAATGAAAACAAACCATGAAACAGCAGTATAAGCAAATATTTAGAATAGATGTTCTGCAAATGTGGTCCAGGAACACACCCGTTCAGGGGGTCCACAAGGTCAAACTTTTTTCATAATAAAACTAAGACTGTGTTAGTTTAAATAATAAAACTGTCATTTTCACTTTCATTCTCTCGCTATGTTTATATACAATAAAAATTGTACAGTGCAATTTTCCAGAAGCTAAGCACCATATCACAACAGACTGAATGAAGAATTTGATAGGAAAATCCGGCTATCTTCTATTAAGCTATTCAATAAAGGGCACTGCCGAATGTAAAACAATGTTACTGTTAGTCTTCTTAAATCTTTTTGGTTATTTGGAAATATATATAACCTACATAAAGCAAAAGCTCTTTGGGATCCTGAACAATTTTTAAGACTATAAAGGAGTTCTCAGAGCAAAATGTTTAACAACCACTGATTTAGAGAAATAGGGAGTTAAAAGAGAAACATGGAGGGCCAGGTGCTATGGCTCAGCCTGTAATCCCAGCACTTTGAGAGGCCGAGGTGGGTGGACCACTTGAGGTCAGGAGTTCCAGACCAGCCTGGTCAACATGGTGAAACCCCGTCTTTACTAAAAATACAAAAATTAGCTGGGAGTGGTGGTGGGCACCTGTAATCCCAGCTACTCGGGAGACTGAGGCAGGAGAATCACTTGAACCTGGGAGGCGGAAGTTGCAGTGAGCCGAGATCATGCCACTGCACTCGAGCCTGGGTGACAGAGCAAGACTCTGCTGCCCGCCGCACCACGCCCTACTGGGGCAAAAAGTGAGAAACATGGAGTTAAGATCGCCATGTATGGTTGGGCAGGTTGTTTCCAGTACAAGGATGCCAGGCCAAGGGAATCAGTAGGTCTAGAAACCAACTGATGCTCTATTCTCCAAACCACCAGAGAGGGGATCTTTTTCTAAATTGCACAAAGGCAGAAGAGGGTCTAGTGGTCACCATGGTAATAAAAGACCATAAGAAGCTAATAAGTGAATATGATTGCTTTGAATTAATCTATGGGGAGAAAAATTAGAATAGTGGTTACCTCTAAGGAGAACAAATTGTAAAAGGACACAAGATAACTTTCTGAGTTGATAACAATGTTCAGCTTGATTGGGAGTTAGAGCCCAGGTATACAGACTTAAAATTATCTAACTGTACACTCATGATCTATGCATTTTACTGTATACAATGATGCTACAATTTTTTTAAAGTATGTTCCTCTGACATAGGGCAGGACTATATATTTGCATATTAAAATTTAGTATTACTTTGGTAAAACTCAAATTCTATTAACACCTATTATGTAATGAATAAATAACATTTTTAAATGAAATCGGTACAGCTACTGAATCCTAAGGGTTTTTATGTTGCAGGAATCAATCTTTACCAGAATGCCTTGCTGTGAAAAAAGTACCAACAATATTGTTACTGACATGTGAGGCAGGGATAAGCAGTAACAGTAATATAAGAAGTAATATTCCAAAACAAGAATGATGAGGAGAGAAAACTGGGACTTTAATAATAGTAGTTGATCAAGAGGTCAGGAGTTCGAGACCAACCGGGCCAACATGGTGAAACCCCGTCTCTATTAAAAATACAAAAAATTAGCCAGGCATAGTGGCAGGTGCCTGTAATCCCAGCTACTTGGGAAGCTGAGGCAGGAGAATCACTTGAACCCGGGAGGCAGAGGCTGCAGTGAGCCAAGATCACACCATTGCATTCCTGCCTGGGTGACAGGGCAAGACTGTTTCTCAACAAAAAAATAAATAAAAATAACAGTAGCTGAAATCTACTAATTTTTAACTCTGTTCCAGGCATTGTGCTATTATTGTTACAGATTATTATTTTCCCTATTTTGCTGATGAAAAAACTGAGACACAGAGAACTGAAGTAACTTACCCAAGGTATCAAAGTAAGTGATAGAGACAAAATTTAAATCTTTTGAAGAATGACTGTATAACCTGAATTCTGCTAGTGCTGCTGCTTCCTGAATAGCAGCAGCCCCTCCCCAACAATTCAGTGAGGGTACTGGGCAAAAAGGAGAAATATCATTCCTTTGATATTTTTCCCAACCATTAAAAAATATAAAAATCATTCTTACCCCATGGGCTACAGAAAAACAGCAGGCAGGCAGTATTTGAAGATATAGGCTATAATTTGCCAGTCCTGCGTTCCACTTTAAAGGAGATTATAAAATAGTGGCCCATGCCTTCAGTGTTTTGGGCTAAAATTGTTGTATAAATTAAAATAGTACTGATTTTTAGCTTGCCTTGGAAAATTGGAGGATCCAGCAACACTGGACTCATGTTTTAAAAATGAAAACCAAGAATATTCTTTTGTTTTTTGAGACAGAGTCTTGCTGTGTCACCCAGGCTGGAATGCAATGGCGCAATCTCAGCTCACTGCAGCCTCCATCTCCCAGATTCAAGCGATTCTCCTGTTTCAGCCTCCCAAAAAGCTGGAATCACAGGCGCATGCCACCACGCCTGGCTAATTTTTGTTTTAGTAGAGACAGAATTTTGCTATGTTGGCCAGGCTTATCTCGAACTCCTGACCTCAGGTGATCCACCAGCCTCAGTATCCCAAAGTGCTGGGATTACAGGCGGTGGCTTGCGCCTGGCAGGAAAACCAAGAATATTCTTACTTGTTTCATATGCAAAAAGTCCAGCTTCAACAATTCATCTGCTTCAGCCCAGGAGACACTGAATTTGCCTTCTCTGCTTAAGATGCCTAGCACGGCCCTAGGTAAAACTGATAGACAGGAAATTTTATGTCCCAGTATTAAAGGGAGGAAAAAATGAATTGGATAAAGTTATATAAAATGAAAAACTGAAAACTGATAATGCAAAGCTAAATAGACTAGCTCTCAAAAATCATTTTCCCCAGCATAAAAATGGGTCTGCTTTTGGATACTGCAGAGATTCAAGTGATTTAATTAACAATGCATCTTTTAAAATTTTTATATAAAATAATTTAAAACATTATAATCATATATAAGCAGAGAAAATAGTTAAGACTTAAGCTTTATCCTTAACTCATTCTGAAAACAAACAACTTTTAAAAATAATTTGCATCTTGACTGCTCTGCCTATGCAGTACCATTCTTTTACTCCTTTACTTTCTTAATAAACTTGCTTTCACTAAAAAAAAATAATAATTTGAGCCTTAAAGTTAATCATTCAAATAAACACAAAAATCCACCAAACTTGTTTTTTAAAGTATGAAATTCAACTATGCCAAAAACGGTTTATGCAAATATTTCAAAATTTCAAAGTACAAAATATCCACCACCATACTTAGTATCACTTTCCCAAATAAACGTCCAGGATATTTAACTCAGAAGTGGTATTATATATAAGCTGTGAAAATTTTATTTCTCTTTTGTCGTACTTATGTTAGTTCAACATCATAAAATTATTGCTGGTAACTTATCAGTACTGAAAGATAAAACATTAAGTGAAAAATCAGAATATATCTCTACCATAAAAACAAGGGTAATTTCCTCATCGCTACAACTCAAGATTCAAACTTTTCTGTTTAAGAATAAAAAGTCTACGTTCATTCTTACCTGATTTTTCCCCAAGTACAATTATAGAAATACTGCAAAAAGTTTTTTCCTCTAATAAAAGAGCTTAAAGAATGCACAATAATTTAAAATAATCTTGTTCATTCAATTGTTGATAACACTTATAAAATGAGGTTGTATTGTAGATCTCCTTAAAGCTATTAAAAATATGTGTTGTAAGTACTAATTAAAAGGGATAATCACAATTAAGTGGAAATTTTTCAAAAATGATGTCCTTAGTGTTATAATTTCCAATTTTCAACTTTCAGCTGTCTACTTTGGAAAAGACTTTCATTGTGAAGCACAGCTCCAGTGTTAATATTTTGTATATCATTTAGGCAAAAATCACCTCATTCAGAAATTCAGAATTGTCAAATCCTTTAACAGGTTTCAGTAACGGTCTAAAGTCCTTAATTTCTTTTCCTTTAGTCTTTAAGCTCTAATAAAATGCCACGTTTGCCAAAAAATTTAAGAGGATGATTTTACTGGTAACCCAAAAAGATTTTTTTTTCTGAGTCTTCCTTTACTGACACTGACATACAAAGCAGTACAAGAAGCTTTAGTTAAATCTAGGAATTCAGGAAGTAGTATTTCCTTTTGGAAAAAGAATGTGGGTTTTGAATAGACACGCCAGACATTTAAGTTATGGTATGATAAAACTAAGAGAAATAAAATCTCCCCCAATGACTACTTAGTACATGTTTCTATGTACATTTACCCACAAGTCAAGATTTGGAAATGCATAATAAACACCTTGTAAGTCAAATTCTAAATTAATTTAAATAGGCCTGTAACATAAACGTATTTGAGATATTTCTGCTTAAAAAATACTTCCAGTCACATAAACCTTTTATATGTCAGAGTTGAATTCCATGAGGTCACTCAGGCTTATTATGCCAAGTATATTATACTCATTTCTGTCTAGTTGGGAAGACTACAATCCTGTGCAATATGCAACCTTGCACACCCAATATGCTACAGCAGTGTCCTGTCAGGGATGTGTACACAGGAGGTCCTGCCAAGGCATTTGGGATGCACAGACGCAATTCATTTATTTCCCAGCACTAAACCCTCAATTCAGATATTAATATCCTCATGGAGAACCAAAATGTAATGTAAAAGTTTCACTGGCCAATATCTGCAAACACGGAATTACATAACTAGGTAATAAGATGCACTTTGGTTAAAGAGAACCAAGCTCTCAATCCCTTGAGAGCATTATATCAACATTATAGTAAATGGCCAGCCATGCATTTTATGTCCCTTCTCCTCACTCCCCAAAAAACACACAAACAAAACCACCACCACAAACGAAAAGCTTAATTATCAAAACCTTCAGTCTTGATTGTGTGAATAGGGAAAACCAGAAAGGGTAAAGAACCAGGGTCTAAACAGCCATTTGTCATGGGTAACTCAAAACTTTTACTGGGTGAGTCGGCCTTCACTTTCTCTCTTGCACTCACCCTGCCACTATTTTCTCTCCTATATCAGCACTTTACTTTTCTCTCTCCTTTTAAAGAATATCTACAAAGTGGGGTAGAGAGAAAGCAACACTATTTGTCAGCAAAACAACTTGCAGGGATACATATGAAGCAAGCTTAAGCTATTCTGTGGCCTGATACTGGAAAAGGGGTTTCATAAGCAGGCATTGCAACAAAGAGGTGCTGACAACTTCACTGTTCACTGTGAGGTAAACAGAAGTGACAATGTGCTTTATTACATAATACCTCTACCCATCTCCTTTCTCTTTGACCCACTGCTACTTGATATGAGGGAAGAATGTAACATGTTAAACACCAAAAGGAAGAAAGGGAATAGTCTGGTTAGAGTGAGGAGGTAGTTGCTATTTTTCACAATTAAAACAATTTAATGTCTGCCAAATATAATTATGTAATCCTAGCATCTTCATAGATTTTTGAAACTGGAAGAATCCTTACAGGCCATCTGGTCCTACCCTCTCATCTTACAGACAGAAAACCTAAAAATTTAAGCCCAAGATCAAGTAGTTATGTAATGACAAAACTGGGACTTCTGATACAGTACATCAAGTATTTTGTTATCTGCAAATATAAAACAATTTCCCAAGGTTCAAAGTATTGCCACAAAAATATATGAATTGTTGCCTATAGCATAAAACATGTATATAATTTCAAATTCACTTCTGCTACCCAAAATACATCCCATCTTTGCTGTCTCTATAGCTCTAAGAGCTTTATGCCTACTAGGAGAGGAGGAAGGTGAAAACAATTAAGGGGAAAATGCAGGAAAAGAATAAACAGCAAGCTAGTTGAGATAAAACTATCAATAGAAATGGCTGTTAGGATTAATAGCTGCTGAAAAGATAAGACTGAAAAATGGGGTAATAGAACTGTTTCTGGAGAGTTCTCACCCTGCAGAAGAAAAAAATAGAAAGACAGGAGCAATGTAAAAGTACTGGAATGCATGTTATATAAGCCAGCTGATTAGAGTGATCAGAATTCTTGTGGCATAAGGTAACAGAATCTGCATTTTAAAACCAGAGCAGGTGGTCCCTAAGAGCACATTTTGGAAAACAATGGTCTGCGGGATATTGTGATCTGGGAGGGTTAAAGATAAGAAAAATTCTTGTTCAGGAGTTCTAGGCCATTAACTAGCTTGGTTTGATTCTTTCAACCAACCAGGCAAAGGAAATGCCCTCGGCAAAACACATTAAGGCTGATTCTGTTCCCAGTCCAGGCAGTCAGACAAGGTGGCTGCCACAGAGCCACCCGCAAGGAGCCAGAGAACATTATGTAATCACTGCCCAAGCTCTGAAATGAAGAGATCAGAACTTCTTTCACAAAAGTCTGTCATTAAGGTTTTCCTTTTCCCGTTAAGCGACTGACTGATTATAAGGATTCTACTTTTAATGTAGAGAAATATTTTGTCATCCCCTAAAGAAGTCTTTCAGCTTATAGCTGGAAAAAGAATTAGTCATTTTTTATCTACCAACTCATCCGTGACTGCTGGGTGGTTTACAAAGACGACTCTGGCCCTCACTCTTTAGTCCCAGTAGTATTTTTCTTTGGATATGGAGGATCTGAGAAAATAAAAAATGGAAAACAAAGCACGGAGCTACCAATGATTACTTATAGCTGCAATGACCACAAAATTTAAATATGGTGAACTCGTGAGCAATTTTGAGAATCTGGCAGAGTCACTATTTCAGAAATGACAAAAATTGTCAGAAGTCAGATTTAATGGTGCTCAGCAAATGTAATTCTGATGTTTGTCCAGAGTTTCAAATCTCCACTACAGCGGAACAGAGAAAAGCTGTCTGAAGTGACATCATCCAATGCTCGCTCACTCTCTCCTTTCTAAATGGGAGCAGTTATATTTGTTAATAGGATTTTTAAATGTATGTGTGTATATATATATATGTGATAGCATTAAGACTACATATATTTGAGACTGTTGTGACTGGATACTTGACTCTCAATCTATTTTAGGTACAACGAATGTTAGATAAACAAAGAGCTAACATAATAATTTGCTACTGCAATTTTCATCTGTGCATTCCAAACATTTTCTTTAAAGACCAAGATTGTTTGCAATGGCTTCAGGAAAACAATACCAATACGAAAACCAAAACCTTTAATCCTTTTAGGGAATCAGTTCACTGTTCCTATTTCAAGGCAAGGCAAGTCATTTAGAAATCAACCTCTGACGTGTCTGTTTTTATCAGAACATTTCCAGAAAGTAAGATTACCATTATATTCTGAAGATAGATTATATTCAGAATATAATAAATTATAATATGATGTCTAGATTACCATTATATTGTGAATTTTTTACAGTATATTAGTGGCCTGTTTTTCAGCAATAATTTTCATTCGTCCATATAAAAACTCCCATTATTCATACGTGGCACACCAATTTTTTTAAGTTAAAACTAAATTTACCCTACTGATAATAGGTCTTGAAAAATGCTAACAACAACAAAAAATAAGATAAGCAACATAACTTTACAGTTAATTTCTAATTTTTGCAGCCTAAAAAGGGTCTGGGTAAGAGGCTGTGGGCTTTTTTAACTTATGAGACAATTACACTCATATTTAAGTAAATATGATCGTAACCTACTAAAAGTCAACACAGTAACAGCCCCACTTCATGAATTTTCCTAGGATTAAAGGGAGATTTTGTAAAATAAAGGAGAATTTTATTAGGGACCCGGGGGCAAATTTCTCATGTTTAGTTTCACGCAGCAGGAGTCCTCACAAAGACGCTGATACAATTTAAATGCCAACAATTGGTTTTTCACTAACATCCACATAGTCATTACTGGCCTTTACTAGTAATGGTAAGAGACAGCCCAAACCTACTTCGGGCGGACTGTCCCTTCGTCCCCTCTCCAGGTGAAGTTCACCTGCCACTACCGAAGGGCCGTGGAAAAAGGAGGTAAAGAAACGCTTTTAAAATTAAGACGCTTACAGTTGCTGGACTTAGTCCAAGTGCTGTTCAAGCCTAGAAACGAAAGTGGGAAACAACAGAGGTTTAGGCTTGTAATGATGTCAGCCATTTTAGGTACATTATTTATACTGGGAAGGAAGTGCCAAACTCGGTTGTTGTTGTTGTGCCTGTCGCTGCCGGTCCCCAGATCGAACAAGCCAAGTCCTGGCTGCACGCACGCTCCCCGGACTGCACAAACGACCGGGAATTCGGCACAATTAGCCAATCGTTCCCTCTCCAGGCCTCCCAAGCCCCCGACCCCGCGTCAGGCACCGCTTCCAGCACACGCACTTCCTTACAAAGGAGCTGCGGACCCACAGGAAACGGGAGCGCCGGGCTCTCTCGGGGACTTGTCCCCGCGGCGCGAGCCCCGCGCCCGCCACCTCGGGGCGCACTGCCGCTGCAGTCCGCGCAGCCCTCCCCGGCCGGGCCCAGCACCCGCTTCCTCGACCTCCCCGGGCTCGGACCTTGCAGTCCACCGCGACGGCGTCGGGGGGGATGATGAGCGCCTCCTCGCCGCTCTTGGGCTCGTCCTTCTTGGCCTCCTTCTGGGCCAGAGCGGAGTTGAACGTCACCTTCACCATGGCGCGGCCTGGGGCGCCCTCGAAGGGCGGCGGCGGGCTCGGGGCGCGGGCTGCGGGCTCCCGGCTGCGATTGCAGCCTCTACGGCCGGGCTCCGGGAGCGGCTCCGGGCGGCTGAAGAGGTTCGGGAAGCTCCGCGGCGGCAGAGGCGGCTACTGCGGTAGGGATCTCGCAGCCTCCCAGCTCCCGCGCGAGGGCGGAGACTGCTCGCACATCCCCTGGGAGGCGGGGCGGGGGCGGGGGCGGGGCCAGCGGCCGGGGGTGGGGTGCTGCGCGGGACCCTGCCCTCGCCCCGCAGCTGGGCGCCGGATCCCGGCGCGCCTCGGAGAGGGATGGGTGTCCCTCTGGGCCGCCTGGAATTTCCAGTTCTGAATTCGCTCCCAACCAGGTTACCTCCAGGCCGAGTGCTGCAGGTTTGTAGCGAAATCGAGTGAACTTTCCTGAGTTCGCCGGGTACAAGGGACTAACCTTTGGCAGCACCAGACCGCCGCTTCCCTGTACCCTGTCCCCACCGCGAGCCTAAAGGCCATGGAATTTTTGTGCATCCACATCTTCATTTTCTCACTTATTAGGTAACCGACTCAGTGGAGCACAAACATGTTTAAAGCTCTCTGTCCTTGAGATCTGACTTTATCTTTCACGGACCTCACCCAAGGGCGTTTACCTGGCTCAGACCTGCCTGGTCTTCCTTCCCTCTCTCAGGAGGTCAGGGCCTGTTCTGCCTAGTCCCAGACCAATGTGGAGGAAGCTCTTGGCAGATTTGTATTTCAAACATCTCACACTCGTAAAACGAAATGTTCCACTCTTGTGCGTACTTGGAAAAAAACCACATGCACACTTGGCTGATTTGTGACTCAAAGTACTCGATGACGAGTCCCTTTATTTTTCTGCAAAATGAAAAAATAATTAAGGATAACGCAAAATTCTCATGTTTTGAAGACGTTTCATTTACAACTAATGCGAGGTAGAATACTGGCTCCCGTCGTTACTGCGTTCATTACTGTGTCAACAGACGGCCCCCTTGGACAAATGTGTTATCTTGTATCCTTCCACCCCATTCTGTCCTGGTTCATCCAGAGTTGTGGGTGTGCTCTAGAATGTTACAGCTGTGTCAGCTCTGCCTTGGGCCAACCCTGAAAAAAGTGGGTTCAGTCTGAGATCTTTGGGGATTTGGCCCTGCTCAAGGAGGGAGTTGGGTATTTCCATAGAATGTCAGATCATAAGTCCCAGGGAAACAGCCCAAGATCTCCAAATCCTTCTGTTCATGTATTTCAGAAGCATCCTGGGCTGAGATAGAAACCCAGGCCAGACTTTGAGTTTGCTTTGGGTATTCAGAAATTCCTGTCAAAATGAAATCTGCTCAACCAAGAGGAGGATGAGTTAGGTTCCAGTTCTGGTGAGTTTTAACAGTAGCTAACCATACTTGCAGCAACTTATTTAAACTCCTGGGTCGCCCTTGTGCAGGCATCGGCTCTGTGAGGTTGACTCTATGGACTGGACTTTCATAGTATCTAATGTTATCTAATTCCTCAAAGTCAACGACTGCTTCCAGCTCCCTAGTTTAATAGGTTCCCTGAGACATTACAGTTGAAGACTAAGTATTTCTGGAAGCAAGATCTGGAGGATTATAAATAATTATATGTACATCCTTCCTACTTCGTTCTGTGTTAAAATAAGATGGTAGAAAAATACTCAAGGCATTTTGCAGTAGATGATAGAGAAGAATCTGGCTGTCATTATACTCCGGGGGGAAAAAAGGAATTACAGAAGAAAATAAAACAAAATTCTTCGTGAACAACACTACTGAACAGACTAGGAAGCTGAGGCAAAGGATGAACAAATGAGGTTGACAAAACTAGAAATCCTCCCCGCCCCAGGATTTCTATTTTGAAAGACTCATGAATAAAAGACCATTCATTATTTTGTGTACTTGCAGTGAGCAACAGTTTAAAATCAGTTGGCAACCGGTCTGGGAATAATCTCCTGGTTTTTTTTCTCCATTTTATCTCATGTGTCTACAGAACTGTGTAGTGCACAACAGCAGGGATAATAAAGACGCTGGAGCAAGACCAAACATAGCAAATCCAGTCTTGTGATTTAGAAAAGGTTGCCCGTTGACCCTGAAAACTTAGGAGCCAGGGAGGAGGAGAGTCCATGACTCAACAAAAGAAAGTTAAAAACATAGTTATAAGTTACTATTAACTACCAAATGTAAAGGGAGTCTTAGAGGACCTTTGTTTTCCTTTTTGACGTTGAGTTTGAGAGAGCAAGATGAATCTGATTCCAGCTCTGCATATCACCAGCAACCATGTTTGTTTTTATGCTTACCAAAGGAGGGAGGAAAAAATGGAAGTGGGGAACTGAATTCTAAAATATTTTAATAGATTTGCATTATGTGCTTCAACAGGGATTTTTTTTTTCTTTTTAGGTTCTTTACATCTCTATTCTGTCTGTTCTTTCTCAAGGAAACAATTCCTTATTCAGAGAAATTTCTTGTGGTTTTACAGAATGATTGGAAAACTTTATTTTATTTTATTTTTCACAAGTATAGGGTCCTTGGTGAAACAACGTCACTGAATAAGCCCTTTGAAATGTGCTCCTGTTGCCTCTTCTCTTAACCCAATGTGTGAGTTTAGCTGGTCATCTTGTGGCTTTGTCTGAACTTTCATAAAAGAAGTGTTTCTTCTAGGTGAGAGCTTTGAAGGCTTTGACTGACCTCTTCAGAGACTTAAGCACTGTTTATTTTTCTTACCGACTTCCTATTTCAATATTATATATGCTTTTCAATTATTTTAATTTATTTTATATAAATTATTTTCATGTAATTTTAAAATAATTTATCATTATTTTCCTTGAACTAGCAGATGCATTTTTTTTTCTTTTTCAAATCTTGGGCTCTATAATATCCCGAGACCCTTTAGGAATTATCCTAATAACAAATGCAGATCTCTTTTGATTTGACTGGCTGTGGCACTTGGGATTTTTGTTTTGCTTTGTGAAAAGACTGGATATGCTCTGCACTGATGAAAGAGAGGGAGAAGCTGGGTGAGGTGGCTCATGCCTGTAATCCCAGCACTTTGGGAGGCCGAGGCAGGGAGATCACCTGAGGTCGGGTGTTCCAGACCAGCCTGACCAAAATGGAGAAACCCCGACTCTACTAAAAATGCAAAAAATTGACCGGGCGCGGTGGCTCACGCCTGCAATCCCAGCACTTTAGGAGGCCGAGGCGGGCGGATGACGAGGTCAGGAGATCGAGACCATCCTGGCTAACACGGTGAAACCCCGTCTCTACTAAAAAAAAAAAAAAAATACAAAAAATCAGCCGGGTGTGGTGGCGGGCGCCTGTAGTCCCAGCCACTCGTGAGGCTGAGGCAGGAGAATGGCGTGAACCCGGGAGGCGGAGCTTGCAGTGAGCCGAGATCACGCCACTGCATTCCAGTCTGGGCAACAGAGCCAGAATTCGTCTCAAAAAAAAGAAAAAAAAAATACAAAAATACAAAAAATTAGCCGGGCATGGTGGCACATGCCTGTAATTCCAGCTACTCGGAAGGCTGAGGTAGGAGAATTGCTTGAATCCAGGGGGCAGAGGTTTCGGTGAGCCGAGATTGCGCCATTGCACTCCAGCCTGGACAACAAGAGCGAAACTCTGTCTCAAAAAAAAAAAAAAAAAAAAAAAAAAAAAAAAAAAAAGAGAGAGAGAGAGAGAGAAAGGGAGGAAAAAGATGGAAAAGATGAGAAACACAAACCATAGAAAGAGTGAAATCAAAAGATGGGAAGACAAGCCACAGACTAGGAGAAAATATTTGCAAAACATGTATCTGATGAAAGACTTGAATCCAAAATACACAAATAACTCTTTAAACTCAACAATAACAAAACAAACCACCTCATTAAAAAATAGGCCACCAAGCTAAGTGCAGTGTCACAAGCCTATAGTCCCAGCTACTCAGGAAGCTGAGGCCAGAGGATTGCTTGAGTCCAGGAGTTCAAGGTTGCAGTGCGTTATGATCGTACCTATGAATAGTCACTGCACTCCAGCCTGGGCAATATAACAAGACCCCGTTTCTATTTTAAAAAATTATTTTTCTTAACAGGGTGTAGTGGTGCATGCTATATAGTTCCAGCTACTTGGGAGGCTGAAGCAGGAAGATCACTTGAGCACAGGAGTCCCTAAAAATAAACAAACAAATAAATAAATACAAATCAAAATTAAATAAAACAAAAAATCCAGTTCCCTAGTTGCAATAACCACATTTTAAAAAAATGGGCAAACAATCTGAAGAGACCCCTTACCAAAGAACATACACAGATGGCAATTAAGCATATGAAAAGATACTCCACATCTATCTTTACCTGTATCATTAGGGAATTGCAAATTAAAACTACAATGAAATACCCTGAACACTTATTAAAATGGCCAAAATCGGCAACAGCGACCACAACAATTACTGATGAGGATGCTGGGCAACAGGAACGCTCATTCATCACTGATGGAAATGGAAAATGGTACAGCCGCAGTTTCTTACAAAACTAAACACACTCTTACCATAATATCCAACAATTATGCTCCTTGGTATTTACCCCAAGGAGTTGAAAACTTATGTCCACCAAAAAACGCTGCATATGTATGTTTATAGCTGCTTTATTCATTATTACCAAAATGTTAAAGCGACCAAGATATCCTTCAGTAGATGAGTGGATAAACTGTGGTACATCCAGATAATGAAATATTATTCAGCACTGAGAAGAAATGAACCATCAAACCATAAAGACATGGAGGAAATGTAAAGACATATTATTAAGTCAAAGAAGCCAGTCTGAAAAGGCTACATACTGTATAATTCCAACTATATGACATTTTAGAAAAGGCATAACTATAGAAACAGTAAAAAGATCACTGGTTACCACTAATCAGTAAAACGATCAGCGTTAGTGGCAAGGGAGGAAGGGATGAATAGGAGGAGCAGGGAGGATTTTTAGGACAGTGAAACTGTTCTGCATGATACTACAATGGTGGATAGATACTACAATGCCATTATCCATTTGTCAAAATCCATAGAATGTATCAATGTAGGTTCATTGATTTAACAAGTGTATGAGCCTGGTGGGGGCTGTAGACAGTGGGGGAGGTTGTATGTGTGTGGAGACAGGGGGTATATGGAAACTCTCTATACTTTCTTGCTCAATTTTGCTGGGAACCTAAAAGTGCTCAAAACATAATGTTTATTAAAATGAAAGAGAGAGAAATGCACAAAGGTTGGTGGTTGAATGGATAGAACCCACTCAGAGGACTCAGACCCTTGTCTTGTCTGAACCTCACCATGCTTCATATTTTCACTGGTAATACTCTGCAAATAAACCAACTGTTTATAGCATGATATTGGAGTCTAGACTGAGCTGGAGCAGCCTGGTAAGGTTTCACAGAAGAGACAAAATTTTAGTTGGAGAAATGGAAAGGGTTTAGGCAAAGACAAAGGAAATGGAAGAAGAGCCTGAGTGGAGGGAAGAGCATGAAGAAGAGAACTGAGACCAGGAAAGAGGACTGAGGCAAGAGGAGAGAAGCCCCACTCAGGCTGAGGGTGTATGCTGAGTAATTGTGGGGAACACAGCTGGATGGGCAATGGAGTGATAAAGCTGCATGTCCTGTTAGAATTAGTCGTATGGACTTTACCCTCAAAGGGACTGTGGAAAGTTTCTGCAAATATCAGTTGTTTTTTACTTTATTTATTTATGTTTTGAGATGGAGTCTCGCACTGTTGCCCAGGCTGGAGTGCAATGGTGTGATCTCGGCTCACTGCAGCCTCTGCCTCCTGGGTTCAAGCGATTCTCCAGCCTCAGCCTCCCGAGTAGCTGGGATTACAGGTGCGCGCTACCATGCCGGCT
Organism: Homo sapiens; assembly: GCF_000001405.40. Taxonomy (NCBI): domain Eukaryota; kingdom Metazoa; phylum Chordata; class Mammalia; order Primates; family Hominidae; genus Homo; species Homo sapiens. The sequence goes on along the minus strand of NC_000013.11, from coordinate 48,227,479 downwards.
CATTTTTGTATTTTCAGTAGAGATGAGGTTTCACCATATTGGCCAGGCTGGTCTCAAACTCCTGACCTCAAGTGATCTGCCCGCCTCGGCGTCCCAAAGTGCTGGGATTACAGACAGTCATGAGCCACTGCACCCAGCCATGCAAATATCAGTTTTTAAAATAAAAGGCTGCTCTATAAAGATTGATCTGGCTTTCTGAGTGAGTGGGAAAGGAGGAAACACCAGAAGCAGAAAGAGAAGTTCAAATAGCTTCTCTCCTTTTTTATGAGGATAAATGAGATAAGATTCTAATGCCCTTTTATTTATGTTGGAAGAAAGAATACCAAATAAATCCAGCATTACTAATAACAATGTCTAATAAACAGTACTTGTATTTATAAGTCAAGTGACATAAAAGACATATGCACCAAGGCTGGCAGAACATTGTAAAAATCTGTCCTCCTTTGGTTGAACCTTACCAAGTGTCCTACTGGGCTTCATCCAGGAAGGCTTTGAACTTCCAGGCAAATGGCATAAAGGCATTGATGTTGTCATAGCCATTCTTTTGACAACAAGGATTGTAGGAGGAGACACTAATATTTAGCATGATTGCATTTATAATATGTGGCGGGGGTGTGCGTGCGTGTGTGTGTGTGTGATCTAAACTCCTCTATACGTTTCTTAAGGCCTTCCATAACCTTGCGTGGTGACATCCCACCAAGCCAACCTTATATCTCTCATGTACTCTCTCCACTCTGTTCTTTCCAGCGTTTAGTGTAGGAATCTGCCTTGCTTATTATCTTTATCAAAATCATTAATTAAGATAGAGAAAGCATGTAGCAAATTTTGTTATAACAAAAGAGGAATATTAAGTTAGTAAGAAGAAATTTCTTTCAGTGGGTTTCTTAGAAGATTGATCAAATTTCCAAAGTACCATTTTCTTTTTTCCCCATTTTTCTAAAATGAGATAAACCTGACACATATGTAGTAGGACACATAAAGGTTCCTGAAGGCAGATTCCATCTAATCTTGATTTTTAAAGATGTATCAATTACCCTAAGATCTAATTTAAAGTCCTCATGTGATCCCTAAATATTTTTTTTTCTTTTCTTTTCTTTTTTTTAACCTTTTCCCCAGAGCTAGGACAAAAGCAATGGTAACTTTATGTGAGTTGCTATGAATTATTTAACATTATGGCACTTTAATGAAAAAAGAAAAGGTTATCACTTAACCTAGACTCTGAAAATATCTTTTAAAGTGTGGATGCTTTCATCAGTGGAACGTATGAAAATGTACCTTATTTCCTGGAAACATTTGATAAATCTAATTGTTAACTAACTTTAAAATTTTGCCCAGAACCCTTACGAGAAAGACTGACATAGACTAACCATGGTTATATGATATACCACATCTTTAAATATATACATGATATACCACATCTCTAAATATTTTTGTATGTTATATCTTGGACAGTTGACACCGCATATCTATGTATTCTGTATCTGTGGGTTTTGCATCCATGGATTCAACCAACCAGGGGTCAAAAATATTTGAAAAAAAAAAAGGATGGTTGTGCCTGTACTGAACATGTACACACCTTTTTTCTTGTCATGGTTTTCTAAACAATACAGTATAATAATTTATATAACAGTTACATTGTATTTTGTATTATAAGTAATCTAGAGATAATTTAAAGTATATAGGAGGATGTGCGTAGGTTATATGCAAATACTATGCCATTTTATATAAGGGACTTGAGCGTCTGTGGATTTTGGTATCTGAGGGGAGTCCTGGAACCAGTCCCTCATGGATACTGAGAGATGACTGTATTTTGTAAATACTTATTATATCTAAGGCATATGTGCAATTTAAATCTAAGTCAAAATAGGAAAAAAAAGTGCTGGTCAGGAAATCAAAAAACAAACTTGGCTGGCATGGGAAACTCAAATTTCTGAAAACCATAAATTTGAAGTCTCATCTTCTCAGACTTAATAGCCAGAAGACTTTGCCTTGTGTTCAAACAATGTTCTAGCTAATAGAATCAAAGAACTGGAAAAAAAAAAAAAGGCTTTAAGATGACTTCTGATAGTTCTTTTTCTGCCTAGTCCAAGGATAGATTGCAACCCAGTCTAATGGGAAGATCATGCTTATTTAGACAGACTTCGTTTGTTTTTTTTTTTTGAGCCACAACAAAATTACTTTTCTTATGATCATTTAACAAATATACTGAAAAAATCAAGGAAAACTTGAACTATTTTTATCTCCAGAAGAGCTGTGGTCAATGGCAGCTATAGGTGGTCAGACACTAAAGTGATCTTTCCAATTTGAAACCCCAAGACACATTGCATCTGGCAATAGTTATTAAGCAAGAAAAACATTCATAAAGCAACATAATTAATGGGATTGAAACAGTAAGAGCTTTATCCCACATTTAGTCTTCCTGGCTTCTGGGTGGTATGCAACCTAGCCATAGATACTGTTGAGACTGTTTTCTATTAACTCTGGGATCATTTCCTAGTCCAACATGATAGACTATGCCTAGTTAAACCCATCCCCCATATTCCCAGCCCTTAGTAGACACATAGACCGGGAAAGGCCTTACAATGAGTTATTGACAAACCCTTAGAAGTGAGTGGCACAGTGAGTCTGTGTTGTCCAGACTCCTTGAATCATTACCTAGGGAATGCGGGGGTATTGCTTGTACTTGAAAGGTACGTATCTCAAACTTGGTGAAAACTGCAAGATCTTTGGGTTGATGCAATGAATTTGTTCTCCTGGGTTCTGCCCCAATACTTCCTGTTTTAAAATTTCTAAAGATTTGTTTTGATGTTGAAGAAGAGACTATTAAACAAATGTGTCCCCTTAGTGAAGTGATAGCTGTAAAGCAAATTGGGAGGTTATAACTAAAGGAGCTCCAGGTGGGATGAAAGTATATGAAATGAACTGTGCTGGGTGACCCATGCCTGGAACCAAATGAGGCCTGAAAGAAGTATGTTTGAGACCCCTCCCATTATGGATGGCTTCCTACAGCACACTTCAATACAAAGGGGATTATTTTATTCCCAAATCTGCCTGGGTTCCAGGCTAATTTAACCTACTTGTGAAAGAATATGAGAAATGCATGGGCCGGGAGCGGTGGCTCATGCCTGTAATCCCAGCACTTTTTTGGGAGGCCGAGATGGGTGGATCACAAGGTCAGGAGTTGTAAACCAGCCTAGCCAATATGGTGAAACCCCGTCTCTACTAAAAATACAAAAATTAGCTGGGCACGGTGGCGCACACCTGTAGTCAAAGCTACTTGGGAGGCTGAGAAAGGAGAATCGCTTGAACCCGGGAGGCGGAGGTTGCAGTGAGCTGAGATTGCGCCACTGCACTCCAGCCTGGTTGACAGAGCGAGACTCCATCTCAAAAAAAAAAAAAAAAAAAAAAGAGAAATGCAAACAAGTCCACCAAAACAAGAGAAATCTACTTGGATTTTTACTTTGTTTGTTTGTTTTAGATGGAGTCTTGCTCTTGTTGCCAAGGCTGGACTCAGTGGCACGAACTCAGCTCACTGCAACCTCTGCCTCCTGGGTTCAAGTGATTCTCCTGCCTCAGCCTCCCAAATAGTTGGGACTACAGGTGTGCACCACCACGCCCGGCTAATTTTTTGTATTTTCAGTAGAGACAGGGTTTCGCCATGTTGGTCAGGCTGGTCTTGAACTCCTGACCTCAGGTAATCCACCCACCTTGGCCTCCCAAAGTGCTGGGAAGATTTTTACTTTGAATCTGGTATAATCAACTTCCTTGTGCTTGGAATTATTGAATTACAGTGAGAACATATAACCAAGATAAATTCGTACTTTGAGTCAGAAAGCATCTAAAAAGACTGTTTCTGTATAATCTTTCATCTGCTTTTCCTCTGGCTTATTTTCAGAAAAGGGAGGAAAGGTTTGATTTATTAAAATTCCAGAGAACAAAGATACAAATATTTACATAAAAACTCCTTTTTGAATTTTTAAAGTTTTCCTTAGAGGAGGTTTTAGATAAAAATAAGCACAGTGTCAAGATATACCTTTGGAAGGCCAAGGGAAATTCAGCATGTTAAGTATACTATATTATACATAATATAGTATATTATATAAATATAGTATATTTATATGTAGAGAGAAACATGGAAGTTTCTCCTTGGGATACTTGGGTTTGGTTGATTGCACAGCATAAAAGCCCTGTAAATTCCATCTTAGAGAAAGTGCATGACCTAAAGCAGAAATAGCATGTTTAACTGCCATTTGCTTTAAGAGACCACACACAGAGGGGAAAAAAAATTATAAAAGAGAATCTGATCAGATGCTAAAAGATATACTAAGGAAGTAGTCTGCTTTTGGTTTCACCAGTGAAAATAGCTAAGGAATAGAAAATAGTCAGTACCTCCCTTCCCTTTCTAAACGCTCAGGGGGCCATTTTTTAGGCATAGAAGGATTAGAGGAATGAACACAATAAGACATTCCCTAAGAGAATAAAATTACATGGAACTGCAAATAAACCTCTACTCAACAGAAAAGAAACAAAAATCGCTAGTGTTTCAAGAAATACCCATACAGTCAGAAACTTCTTCAAGTAGTCTAGTCTCAGTTAAAGTCCAGTGAGTCACTAAATGAGGGGAATAATACCTCAGTGTAGCTATGCACTGTTAGTATTTGTCCCACTTGACTCTTTTAATGCCTTTGTCTTTAGTACTATGGGTCATACTATTGAGGGAGCCTGCTGTTTCATGTATATCTTAACTAGTTTTTCCTTTTTTTTGGCTTGATCCATTTTTAAACTTTGATATTCGTCTCTTTCTGAAAGTGAAACTACGTTTTGCAAGGAAAAAGGATACTCTTGGAGGCATAGTAAAACATTGCGTTATAGTCATTACTAAGAAATTGCACAACTATCATTCTGAGATACCAGCGCTAGTTTTGTTGTTTTTTGTTTTGAGGCTGATGGAGCCTTACTCTATTGCCCAGGCTGGAGTATGGTGACGCAATCTCGGCTCACTGCAACCTCCGCCTCCCGGGTTCAAGTGGTTCTCCTGCCTCAGCCTCCTGAGTAGCTGGGATCACAGGCACTTAACACCACGCCTGGCTAATTTCTATATTTTTAGCAGAGACGGGGTTTCACTATGTTGGCCAGGCTCAGACTCCTGACCTCAGGTGATCCGCCCACCTCTGCCTCCCAAAGTGCTGGGATTACAGGCGTGAGCCACCATGCCGGGCCCCCAGCGTTAGTTTTATGAAGAATTGGACTGTGTATAACAGAAACAAACACATACATACTGCAAACTTGGAGTCTTAATGGTATTTAATCAAAAGCAATTCAATTCACTGTTTAAAAACCTTTGCCACATTACCTATTCACTTTATAAAAATCACGTTCATCATCATGGAGATGAAAAAGGTTCCTTGTTAATGGCGAGTAAGTGGGTGGCTGCAGAAGACTGTGCAAAGATACAGACATAAAGGAAGAGAGAAATTGGGCAGAGAGGGCGTGGGGTATGGGAAGTAGAAGAAAGGACACATGTCATTAAGAACAAGTCGTTCTGTGAAACAGGAATTTGAACTAATAAATCCTGTTGTCTAATGGAATGCACCCAAGAAGAAAATAAACAGCTCAGTTGGTTGAAGACAGATTTCTAAGAAGTTTTTCTTATTGAGTACCCAAGGGAAAGCCAGTATTTCAGAAGCTCTGGTGTCCATGGTCAAATGGTATTTTCAAACAACTGTGGAGAGAAGTCAAGATGCATACACTTGGAGTCATTAAATAATGAGGAAGACAAGGTGGTGAGAAATCATTGCTAAACTGCAGTTCACCCCGTGCCTGCCAACAGATACAGAGCAGACAAGCTTGTGTTCCTGAGGTTACGCTGCTCTCATTTAGAGCACCACTAAGCCAAATGAAGAATATTACTTATATATAGCAGACTCTTCCTCAGGGAGGAACCCGAGGAAAGTCACAAAAAAAGTAGAGGAAGCCGAAAGAGTGTTTTTAGTCTCACACATCCTGTACTTTTTTTTCAGCTGCTATTTTGAAAGATAAACATTACATTTGTGGTTGAGTCGTCTTCCAGGTTAGAGAAAACAAAACAATATGGTTGTGAAAAGAAGAGGCCTGTGATGGAGCTAATGACCTTGGAAAGGCAGACTGCTTTCCTGGTTTTCAAAACAAAACAAACCAAAACAAACCATTTTTAAAAAGTGGTTGAACAACGGTAAAGCCCTTGCATCTATCTCCAGTGCCCCTAGGCCCCCAGCTGGTTCTAGAGTGACCTAGACACAAAGATGCTCTGTCCAGTGTGAGCAGAGGAATGGCATGCCGTCCCTGTATAGCCAATTCCACCTTCAGCTTTCATTCGATTGGCATTTTGTAGGCAGGAAGTTGTGTTCAACTCAGGTTTTATTGAAACTAGGGCATTTCTATATTCTTCTTAATTTGAAAATGAAAGCAAATTTTATTTAGGAAGCTAGTGGAGTTTTCTTGTGGGTTTGAAGGCAATCTCACTTTACCAATGGGTCAATTCCATAGATCCTTTTGTTTCCTATTAGATACCAAAAGTGGCTCCTACTTACTATATCCAAAACCCTGCTGTCATCACACAGGGCACCGCTAAAGCCTATAGTCAGCTGAGAGATCAGAGAATTTGAGAGGAAGAAACCAACCTATATGGCATTAGTAGAGCAGTGGGTGGAAATGCCTGCTGGTCTAGATATTATTGGGCCTCCTTGAGAAATTACTCAATATGACTGATAACATGTGTTGAAAGGTGTTGCAGAGTGGCTTCCTTTATACAGTCTACAGTGGAATTGACTTGTAATGGTGCCATTAGGTCGGAATTGGAAGACAGATAGGGATCCAGAAGACCCCAGATGCATGATTCTTAAACCTCCCAATAATAAAATATATTGTTGATTGGCATTGTGTTAGGATTCCTATGGCTGCTCTAACAAATTATCACAAATTTTGTGGCTTAAAACAACTGAAATTTATTCTCTCACAGTTCTGGAGGCAAGAAGTCCTAAATCAGTGTCACCAGGCAGAAATCAAGGTACTGGCAGAGCTGTCCTCCCTCCAGATGCTCCAGGTGAGAATCTGTTCTCTGCCTTTTCCAGTTTCTGACATTCTTTGGTTTGTGGCTTTATCACTTCATTCACTCCATCTTCAAATTTTTCTCTGCTCCTTCACATCATCCTCTCTCTCTCAATCTCTCTCTCTCTCTCTCTCTGTGTCTGTGTGTGTGTGTGTGTGTGTGTGAGAGAGAGAGAGAGAAAGAGAGAGAGAGAGAGATCTCCCTCTCCTTCTCTCTTATAAGGACATTTATAATGACATTTACAGCTCACTGGATAATCCTGGATAATCTCCCCATGTCAAGATTCTTAATCACATCTGCAAAGACCCTTCTTCTATGTAAGGTAATGTTTATAGTTTCTGGGGATTAGAACCTTATATCTTTGGGATCATCATTCAGCCTACTATAGGCATGCACTCTGTTCTCTCTCACATACATAGTAACACTCGATATATATACTAGGAGTCATCACTGGACGACTTGGAGAACACTAACTAATAAGTGCTTATTTTGAGCACCTGCTCTGTGCTGAGCTCTGTCCAAGTTGCAGCAACAAAACAAAGGAAGTGTGAAACACAACCTCTGCCTTGAAGTAAAAGACAAATATGGTTGGAAGAAAAGACTCATACACAAGTGACATAAATAGAAACTCTACAAAACAGAAGATAGTCATATAGTATAGATTATAAATGCTATGAGTTCAAATAAAGGAGATCTTTATTTAAAAAGAATAGAAAATATTAGCAATTTTAAAGCCTGCAGTTTTTCAGAGACAATCTACATTTTTCACTATTTGGGGAGTTCCATATAAAATTACTTGTAACACCTACAAGGCACAAGTGAATAAAAAACTGGATGATTAAATAACCTTAGTGGTATTATTGACTTTTGCAAAAGCTTGAAGCAGTATCTTATATCCAACTGGTCATCTTTGTTATTAATTATAATTGGATGTTGATGATACTCTGTATTGAAGAACAAATTGGTTTGTAGAAGATGAATTTCTTTCTTTTTTTTTTTTTGAGACAGGGTCTCACTCTGTTGCCCAGGCTGGAGTGCTGTGGTGCTATCACAGCTCACTGAAGCCATGACCTCCCAGCCTCAGGTGATCCTCCCCGCTCAGCCTCATGAGTAGCTGGGACTACAGGCACATGCCACCATGCCCAGCTAATTTTTTGTAATTTTCTTTGTAGCGACGGGGTTTTGCCATGTTGCCCAGGCTGGTCTTGAGCTCCTGGGCTCAATCTATCCACCCACCTTGGCCTCCTAAAGCGATAGGCTTAAAGGTGCAAACCACCACGCCCAGCCGGAATCAGAACTATCGATAAAATGGGGCATATTACCAGAAACAAGATGTATATGCTTGAAAGTGTTCAGTGGGCATTGTGGTGGATGTTCAAACACTCATTCCAGTCCAATTATATTGCCACGTATTTGTTTCTGTATTGGGTACCTACAAGGAGGAGATAGTCCCTTCTTCCTCTAGACTTTGCCATATCTGGATATGATGCTTGGGATTACTTAGCCACTTTGCTACCAATATTTGCAAATCTAAGAGCTGGATAGAACTTGGTGTATGATGGCATTACTGAAAGGATATATTGAGCAACTGCAGATTTTGCCCTGTTCAGACCTCTTATTAACTGAGTTAAGACAATTCCTTCTTCTTTAAATCAGTCTTTATTTGGTTTCCTAATATTGTACTACACAGAATCTTAACTGATACAAAGTATAAAAATAAAGAAACCGTATATGTCTTAATGCAATTTTAAAAAGAGAAAGCAACAAAATACAGAATTTATATGAAAATATGTAACTGCTAGGAATGGTTAACTCTTAAATGGGATTTATTTGGTATTTATTATAGGTTGGACATTGGACTAAATTCTTTATATATACTAACTAATTTAATCTTTACAGTACTTCTAATTAGGTGGTTACCATTATCATCCCCATTTAGGAGATGACAAAGTATCTGCTGTTAATTTGCTAGTAATTGGCAGAGCCAGGATTAGACCCCAGGCAGTCAAATTCTAGACTCTAATTCCAGGCACTGTAATTCCAGTGCTCTAATGCATTATGCTAGACTGCCTCTTGCTTCTTTATTCCTCTCTGATTTTTTTTTTAAGTGGCTATTGGGCCAGGTGCTATGGCTCATGCCTGTAATCCCAGCACTTTGGGAGGCTGAGGTGGGTGGATCATGACGTCACAAGTTCGAGACCAGCCTGGCCAATATGGTGAAACCCTGTCTCTACCAAAGATACAAAAATTAGCTGAGCATGATGGCGCTTGCCTGTAGTCCCAGCTACTTGGGAGGCTGAGGCAAAAGAGTTGCTTGAACCCGGGAGGCAGAGGTTGCAGTGAGCCAAGATCATGCCACTGCACTCCAGCCTGGGCAACAGAGTGAGATTCCATCTTAAAAAAAAAAAAGTGGCTATTTCAAATAATTAAACAAATATATGTCAACATCCCAAATTGCACTCAATAGGTGGTTAAAACACATATATATGCTGTATCAGTTATCTATTGCTGAGTGTACTAATCTGTTCTCACACTGCTAATAAAGACACACCTGAGACTAGGTAATTTATAATGGAAAGTGGTTTAATTGACTCACAGCTCAGTATGGCTGAGGAGGCCTCAGGAAACTTACAATCATGGCAGAAGGGGAAGCAAACACATCCTTCTTCACATGGTGGCAGGAAAGAGAAGTGTCAAGCAAAAGGGGAAAAGCCTCTCATAAAACCACCAGATCTCATGAGAACTCACTCGCTATCACAAGAACAGCATGGAGGTAACTGCCCCCATGATTCAATTACCTCCCACTGGGTCCCTCCTATGACACATGAGGATTATGGGAACCACAATTCAAGGTGAGATTTGGGTGGGGACACAGCCAAACCATATAATTCCATCCCTGCCCAAATCTCATTTCCAAACATTTCAAAACATAATCATACCTTTCCAACAGTCCCCCAAACTCTCAACTTATTCCAGCATTGACGCAAAGGTACATGTCCAAGGTCTCATCTGAGACAAGGCAAGTCCCTTCTTCCTATCAGCCTGGAAAATCAAAAGCAAGTTATTTATTTTCTAGATACAACGGGGGTACAGGCATTGGGCAAATACACCCACTCCAAATGGGAGAAATTCACCAAAACAAAGGGCCCAACAGACCCCATGCAAGTCCAAAATCCAATAGGATTTAAACCTTATAATGTTCCTTTAGCCCTGCCAAATGCTGTGTTCAAAATTTTTAATTCTTTTTGAGATTTTTAAGTTAGCATTTTTTTTACATTGTGACTGCATTTTTCCCGCTTCACAGCTGAGTTCCTATTTGTATTGTCTCATGTATAAAAGTGTCATTAAAACTTAACCAGTCATTAAACCTTAAAGTTCCAAAATGATCTTCTTTGACTCCATGTCTCACATCCAGGTCACACTGATGCAAGAGGTGGGCTCCCATGGCCTTGAGCAACTTCTCCCCTGTGGCTTTGCAGGGTACGGCCCCCGACCTGGCTGCTTTCACAGGCTGGCATTGAATGTCTGCAGCTTTTCCAGGTGCATGGTGCAAGCTGTCGGTGGATCTACCATTCTTGGGTCTAGAGGACAGTGGCCCTCTTCTCACAGCTCCACTGGCCAGTGCCCCAGTCGGGACTCTATGTGGGGGCTCTGACCCCACATTTCCCTTCTGCACTGCCCTAGCAGAAGTTCCCCATGAGGGCTCTGTCCCTGCAGCAAAGTTCTGCCTGGATATCCAGGCATTTCCGTACATCCTCTGAAATCTAGGCAGAGGTTCTCAAACCTCAATTCTTGACTTCTGTGCCCCTGCAGGCTCAACACCACCTGGAAGCTGCCAAGGCTTGGGACTTGCAACCTCTGAAGCAACACCCTGAGCTGTACCTTGGTCCCTTTTAGCCCCAGCTGGAGTGGCTGGGATGCAGGGCACCAAGTCCTGAGGCTGCACACAGCAGGGAGGCCCTGGATGGGCCCAGGAAACCATTTTTCCCTCCTAGGCCTCTGAGGCTGTGATGGGAGGGGCTGCCATGAAGGTCTCTGACACGCCCTGGAGGCATTTTTCCCATTGTCTTCATGATTTGCATTTGGCTCCTTGTTACTTATGCAAATTTCTGCAACTGGCTTGAATTTCTCCCCAGAAAATGTATTTTTCTTCTGCATTGTCAGGCTGCAAATTCACTTCTTAAATGCTTTACTGCTTAGAAATTTCTTCCACCAGATACTCTAAATAATCTCTCTCAAGTTCAAAGTTCCACAGATCTCTAGGGCAGGGGCAAAATGCCAGTCTCTTTGCTAAAGCATACCAAGAGTCACCTTTGTTCTAATTCCTGGGAAGTTCCTCATCTCCATCTGAGACCACCTCAGCCTGGACTTAATTGTCCATATCTCTATCAGTGTGTTGGTCAAAACCAACAAGTCTCTAGGAAGTTCCAAACTTATCACATCATCCTGTCTTCTGAGTCCTCCAAGTCTCTAGGAAGTTCCAAACTTTCCCACATTTTCCTGTCTTCTTCTGAGCCCCCCAAACTGTTACAGCTTCTGCCTGTTACCCAGTTCCAAAGTTGCTTCCACATTTTTTGATATCTTTACAGCAGCACTCTGCTCTTTATGGTACCAATTTACTGTATTAATCTGTTTTCACACTGCTAATTAAGACATACCTGAGGCTGGGCATGGTGAGTCACACCTGTAGTCCCGACAATTTGGAGGCTGAGATGGGTGGATCACCTGAGGTCAGGAGTTCAAGACCATCCTGGCCAACATAGCAAAACCTCATCTCTACTAAAAATACAAAAATTAGCCATGCATGGTGGTGCATGCCTAAAATGCCAGCTCTTGGGAGGCTGAGGCAGGAGAATCACTTGAACCTGGGAGGTGGAGGTTGCAGTGAGCTGAGATCACACCACTGCACTCCAGCCTGGGCAACAGAGCAAGACTCCATCTCAGAAAAATAAAAAATAAAAAAAAGACATATCTGAGACTGGTAATTTGTGAAGAAAAGAGATTTAATTGACTCACAGTTCCACAGGGATGGGGAGGGCTCAGGAAACTTACAATCATGGTGGAAGGGGAAACAAACACATCCTTCTTCACATGGTTCAGGAAGGAGAAATGCCAAGCAAAAGGAGAATAGCCCTTTATAAAACCATCAGATCATGTGAGAACTCACTATCACAAGAGCAACATGGAGGTAACCACCCCCATGATTCAATTACCTCCCACCAGGTCCCTCCCACAACACAGGGATTATGGGAACTACAATTCAAGATGAGATTTGGGTGAGGACACATCTGAACCATGTCACTCAGTAACAAACCAGCCCCAAATTCTGTGGTTTACAACAAAGACAATTATTTATTTATCTTGCCCATCAATCTTTAATTTGGGCAAGGCTCAGCAAGGATGCCTTATCCCACAGCATCATCGGGGGTGGCTGGTTTGGGCACTGAAGGATATCCCTTCAAGATGACTCACCCATGTGGCTAGCAAGTTGCTGCTGGCTGCTTACCCAGCACAGCCTAGGCTGAAAGCTGGGGCCCTTGGTTATGCTCCACTTAGGCTTCCTCATTGGCTTCTTGGGCTTCCTTACAGAATGGTAGACCAGTTCCAAGAGCAAGGGTATTAAAAGAACCCAAGCAGAAGTTGTTTTGCATTTTATAACCTAGAGTTGGAGGTCACACAGTGTCAGTTCTGTCAGTCACAAGACCAGACAGAATCAAGGAGAACATAGATCTCACTTCTGAATGAGAGGAGTGTCAAAGAAGAGCATGTGGGTTGTTTGGTTGCTGCAGACAGATTGGAAGAATATACTCTACCACAAACACTTTTATATATGTGACAATACAGATAGGAAGTCAGATGTGAGATGGGAAAATGCAGTAACAATGTAAAAAATGCTAAATTAAAAATCTCCAAAAGAATTAAAAATTTTGAACAGTGTTTGGCAGGGCTGAAGGTACATTATAAATTGGTTTAAGTTTTTTTGAACACTTCTTGATAGTATTCATACTCTGAAATAATATAAAAATATGGAAGCATTCTAAATACTAATAAGAAGTTAGTGAACATGGTGATTCCATATTGTTTAATAATTATATGGCTAGTAAAAATGGCAACTTTGTAAACTTATAAGTAAATGGACACACTAACAAAACAACACAAAAATAGTATGCATAAAGTACTAGAATTGTGCAACAGGTATATATATATAATGACAGATTAGACGTGAATAGAGAACAATAGAAATATAATTGAATGGTCATTGTGTTCTTTTTTCTATGAACTTGCTTAAATATATGGTACTAATAAATGATTTTAACACACTATATAAATTAAATGTATCACAAACTCCAAAAATCATAAATACAATACATTAAAGAAAGAACTCACAAAAGATACAGCAATCCCACTACTGGGTGTATATCCAAAGGAAATGAAATCAATATGCTGAAGAGATAGCTGCACTCCATTGTTTATTGCACATATAGCCAATATATGGAATATATATATTACCCAAGATATGGAATAATAATATATTAATGTATATAATAATAATAGCCAAGATATGGAATCAACCTAAGTGTCCATCAATGGATGAATGGATAAATAAAAGGTGGTTTATATATACAATGGAGTACTATTAAGCCATAAAAGAGAACATGGCCAGGTGCAGTGGCTCATGCCTATAATCCCAACACTTTTGGAGGCCAAGGCAGTCAGGCAGATCACTTGACCAGCCTGGGAAACATAGCAAAACCCCATCTCTACAAAAAATTAGCTGAGTGTGGTGGCATGTGCCTGTAGTCTCAGCTGCTTGGGAGGCTGAAGCAGGAGAATGACTTGAGCTCGGGAGTTTGAGGCTGCAGTGAGCCAAGATCATGCCACTGCACTCCAGCCTGGGTGACAGAGTGAAACCCTGTCACAAAAATAAATAAATAAACAAACAAACAAATAAATATAAAAAATAAAAGAGAACAAAATCCTGTCATTTGCAGCAATATGGATAGAACTAGAGGTCATTGTGTTAAGCAAATAAGCCAGGCACAGAAAGACCACATGAACTCTCTCATAGATGGAATCTAAAAAAGCTGACCTTATAGAAGAGGAGAATAGAATGGTGATTACCAGAGCTTGAGCAGTTAGGGGACAACGGGACTGGGAGATGTTGTTCAAAGAATATGTAATTACAGCTATATAGGAGGAATTTTTAAATGTCCAGAATAGGCAAATAAATACATGATTGTTCAGGGCTGGAGGGGCAGAGGGGAAAGGATGGGTTTTGGAGGGTGGAGAGAAATGGAGAATGAGTACTAATTGTTATTAAGTTTCTTTTTTGGAGGATGAACATGTTCTCAAATGATAGTGGTGATGGTTTCACAACTCTGTGAACATACTAAAAACTATTGGATTTTACACTTTGAGTGAATTGTATGATATGTGAATTATAACTCAAAGCTGTTAAAAAAACTCAAAAAATAGAACCATCCTACTTTTATCATGTATAGGCTAGTAGATACTATTGATTAACAACATGGAATATTTAGTTAAGAATAATTTACTTGCCGTTTAGAATTTAGAAGAATCACTGAGCTATAACTTGGAGGCTTCCGGTACAACTTAAAGCAATAGTCTATAAAGTTAAATCTTGCCCACTCTTCTCTGCATGCTTTTTGTTATCATGGTAGAACTATCTTTCTAGGAGATTAAATTGGAATGGAGGACTGTGCAGAAGGGTCTCTCTACCCACCTGCTCCAATGCCTTAAGTTTGCAAAAAGTTATGAAGGAGAGAAAAATTAATACTATTGCTTGAAAATAACAAAATGTGCTATCAGTATATCTAAATTTTTTTTAAATTCCAGAAATATTGAAAGCATATTATCAGATTAACAGAGCAAACCTCAGTTTAAAATGTAATGTAAAGCCTAGTGCAGATTATAACAAATGTACCAAACTGCTGCTGGATGTTGGTGGTGGAGGCTGTGTGTGGGAGTGGGTGGATTATGTAATTTCAGCTCCATTTTGCTTTGAACCTAAAACTACCCTAAAAAATAAAGTCTATTAATTTAAAAAACAAAATAACAAAAAACCTAGTGTACCAGAGACTTTACAGGTAGGAGTTGTTGTAAGAATGTTCACATGTTCTAAGCTTTGGATTTAGCTTATGTTCTAGGCATTGGATAAAGGAAGAGGAGAATTCTTTGGTCAACTGCTTTGGAAGCAGAAGGCAAAAATAACATTTACTGGTAGGACAGTTAATGCAGAAAAACAGGGACGTTCTTCAGAGCATGATTTTTAGCTGGAGGTGATATTACTCCCACCAGGGCAAAACTTAGGTCTTGGGTGGGAAATTTTGGGGAAAGAAAACAAAAAAACCTAAATATTGCTATAGTCTGTGGCTCCAACAGGCCACAGTATGTACACAGAGATGTAGCCCATCTGTGGTACTGACATTTCGTGAAGGAGAGGTGGTGATTAGGAAAAAAATGTCTACAAAGTTTCCTTAGGAGGGTGATAATGAAAAAAAGATTGAGAAGCATTGCTCCAGAACGTAGTAACCCAGAAGAGGGGTGGAAGAAGGGATGGGCTGCTAGTTTTGATGTGTCTGGCCTGGCTCATCCACAAGCAGGGCTGTGCAATCACAGAGACCAGCAGCAAGCCAAGAATCACCAGACTTTTAAGGAAAACCAACACTGTGAAAGACAGGCACCAAACCCAATAAATATAAGTATGAATGCCCAAGGAAACAGTCAATAGAGCAAACAAGATTTTAAGTTGGACTATAATTAAAAACCTTAGAGCTATAAAAGGATACTGCAACCACAATAGCAGATAGTTTTTAAAGAATCAGTTATTGATTTTGAAAATAAAAAATATGGGCCAGGGGGCCAGGCACGGTGGCTTACACATGTAATCCCAGCACACTGGGAGGCCGAGGCAGGCGGATCACCTGAGGTCAGGAGTTCGAGACCAGCCTGGCCAATATGGTGAAACCCCATCTCTATTAAAAATACAAAAATTAGCTGGGCCTGGTGGCACGTGCCTGTAGTCCCAGCTACTCGGGAGGCTGAGGCAGGATAATCGTTTGAACCCGGGAGGTGGGGGTTGCAGTGAGCCAAGATTGCACCACTGCACTCCAGCCTGGGTGACAGAGAGAGACTCCATCTCAAAGGGGAAAAAAAAAAAAAAGAGGCCGGACATGGTGGCTCACACCTGTAATCCCAGTACTTTGGGAGGCCAAGGTGGGTGGATCACTTGAGGTCAGGAGTTTGAGACCAGCCTGGCCAACATGGCAAAACCCGTTTCATCTAAAAATACAAAAATTAGTCGGGTGTGGTGGCACACACCTGTAATCCCAGCTACTTAGGAGGCTGAGGCCAGAGAATTGCTAGAACCCCAGAAATGGAAGTTGCAGTGATCCGGGATCATGCCACTGCACTCCAGCCTGGGCGACAGAGTGAGAATCTTTCTCAAAAAAAAAAAAAAAAAAAAAGACAAGAAAAAAAGAAAAGAAAAAATATAATCACTGAAATAAGGGGCCTACTAGATAAACCAAATAGCAGAATAAATATAGCAAAGAATAAAATAGTGAACTGTAAGAAATGAGACAAGAATCCAGCCAAAGTGGAGCACACCACACAGAGATGGAAAGCACAGCCGAAAAAGGAATAAAACAATAAGTTCATGCATCTTAATTGCACAATTGTATGTTTTTTGGGGGGGTGACAGAAAAAACTTATACCTACAGATAGATATGATAGGTAGTCTTCTAAAATGGCCCCGTTTTCTTTTCCTTTCTATAGGAGGGGAACTTCCTAGGACAACTTTATAAAATCCTTACTTCATAGAGTTATTGTGAGAATTATTATCACAAGATGAACCTCATTTGTGCAGCTCACGAAGTAAGACACTTTCCTTTATTCTCAACTGCACTACCATTACCTTATGTGTGACTAAGATCTTTCGTGTCATTACATGGTGAGATCTTAGTATCAATAAGCAGGTTTGAAATGATTCAGTACTTTCTCTAACTTTATTGCACAATAGTAGTGAGTAGAGCACTGAGTCAGTTGGAGAAAAAATAGCCTGTCTTAAGTCAAGTGAGTAAGAACTACAAATAATAGAAGCCCTCAAACTGCATATTAACTGCACTTTACAATTAGTTGTTAACTGTAATAGGAAACTAATCATCCACGTGTTATAGGTTCAGGAAAATAGAAAGACAGAGTTTGCATGATTTTTTCAATGCTGTCAAACAACAGCAATACTGGGACATCCCGTAATTCCTTTCTGCTATTCCACTGGACTTTTGCAATGCACTTGTGGCTCATGTAGACTTAACTATTCTCTGGTAAAGATAATAGTAAATATTGATTGAACACTATTATATTTCAGGCATCTAGGTGCTTTACATGTATTAACTCAGGTAATTAATCCACAGGACATCCATACAAGGTAAGTATTACTATTATCCCCATTTTATAGGTGAGAAAATTGAGGCTCACAGATGTTCAAGCAATGTCCCTAACAACTAGTGACAGAGTCCAGGGTGAACCAGGCAGTCTGGCTCCAAAGCCTATGCTCTTAACTTTGTGTGCAGTGGAGACACTTCGGGTTTATAGACTGAGACTGGAAGTACTGGAGGCTTTGAAACGTTTCCTAGGGTGGAAGTAGAGAAATTCATTGTACTACCGGGCACTCAGACATTTCAGAAAGAGTTGTTACTGGCTGGCAGTAAATGCTGATTCCACTTCCAACGGTTTACTTGTATCTTACTTTGTTACTTTCTCTTGACTTCTTTTCTTCCTTTTTTTCAAGCCTAACTAAAGAGGAGGGTGGCCGTAAGTACCAAGCTGGCAGGCCCCTTGTACTGAACAGTGTGTACACATGAGAGAGTAGTTTCAAGGTACCAGGGGGAGGCACACATATGGTGATCTTTCAAATTTCAAAGTAAAATATGGGAAGCCTACTTTCATTCTTTTACCATATTGGTGTTTTTCAAATTACATTTGCTATTGGTTTGGTTTTTGTCAAGATTTTCATAGAAAGACGTATCTGTACTACACTAGCTTGTGACCATGTTTTAAAAAATTATAATAGTAATATATGCTCATCATAACAAAAAAATTGAAGAGTACAGATTTGCATAGAGCAAAAAACCTTCCTTTGGGGCAGAGATTTAAATGTAAATATGAACCTTAAATTACTAGAAGAAAATATTGGTGAATTTAAATAATTATCTTAGAATGAGGGAAGGACTCTAGGCATAAAATAATATCCTGTAAGAATAAAGGAAAACATCAGTACATTAAATTGCATAAACTTTCTCATGAAAAATGTACCGTAAAAAACTAAAAAGATAACAAAAGCAGGGGGATACAATTTTTAATACTATGAGAAATTGCTATTTTTAAAAACCATACAAACAGCTGCTTCAAATCAACAAGAAAATTATAATTAAATAGAAAAGCAGGCAAAAGGCATGAAAGTTTAACAACAAAAAGCCTATAAAATGGATGTAATGGATGTATTTTTCATATGATTATTAAAGATTTAAACTTGGAGACGCAATTTCACTCTTGTCACCCAGGCTGGAGTGCAATGGCACGATCTCAGCTCACTGCAACCTCTGCCTCCCAGGCTCAAGTGACTCCTGCATCAGCCTCCTAAGTAGCTGGGATTACAGGCGCCTGCCATCACACCCGGCTAATTTTTGTATTATTAGTAGAGACAGGGTTTCACCATGTTGGCCAGGCTGGTCTCCAGCTCCTGACCTCATGTGATCCACCTGCCTCGGCCTCCCAAAGTGCCGGCATTACAGGCGTGAGCCACCATGCCTGGCCGATTTAAACTTTTTATAGTATCCAGTGTTGGCAAGGATGTGAAGAAGTAAGTAGGCTCACATACTCTTAGTGGAAGTAGAAATTGATATAACCTTTTGGAAGGCAATATAGCAGTATTTTTTTTATTACACTTTAAGTTCTCAGGTACATGTGCACAATATGCAGGTTTGTTACATAGGTGTATGTTGCAGGAAGTCAGGGACCCCGAACGGAGGGACCGGCTGGAGCTGAGTCACAAAAACATAAATTGTGAAGATTTCATGGACATTTATCAGTTCCCAAAATTAATACTTTTATGATTTCTTACACCCGTCTTTACTGCAGTCTCTGAACATAAATTGTGAAGATTTCATGAACATTTATCACTTCCCTAATACTAATAATACTCTTATAATTTCTTATGCCTGTCTTTTTTTTTTTTTTTTTTTTTTTTTTTTTGAGACGGAGTCTCACTCTGTCGCCCAGGCTGGAGTGCAGTGGCGTGATCTTGGCTCACTGCAAGCTCCACCTCCTGGGTTCACGCCATTCTCCAGCCTCAGCCTCCTGTGTAGCTGGGACTACAGGCACCCGCCACCATGCCCAGCTAATTTTTTGTATTTTTTTAGTAGAGACGGGGTTTCACTGTGTTAGCCAGGATGGTCTCGATCTCCTGACCTCGTGATCTGCCCACCTCGGCCTCCCAAAGTGCTGGAATTATAGCCATGAGCCACCGCGCCCGGCCACCTGTCTTTACTTTAATCTCTTAATACTGTTATCTTCATTGGCCGAGAATGTATGTCACCTCAGGAACACTATTGTACAAATTGATTGTAGAACATGTATGTTTTGAACAATATGAAATCTGATTGTTAAACATGTGCGTTTGAACAATATGAAATCAGTGCACCCTGAAAAGAACAGAATAACAGCGATTTTCAGGGAACAAGGGAAGATAACCCTAAGGTCTGACTGCCTACGGGGTTGGGCAGAATAGAGCCATATTTTTCTTCTCACAGAAAGCCTATAGACAGATGTGCGAATAAGAGAAATATCACTGAATTATTTTCCCAGCAAGGAATAACCCTGGGGAAGGAATGCATTCCTGGGGGCAGGTCTATAGACAGCCACTCTGGGAGTGTCTGTCTTATATGGTTGAGATAAGGACTGAAATACGCCCTGGTCTCCTGCAGTACCCTCAGGCTTACTAGGATTGGGAAATTCCAGCCTGGTAAATTCTAGCCAGACTAGTTCTCTGCTCTCGAGCCCTGTTTCCTGTTAAGATGTTTATCAAAACAATATGTGCACAGTGGGACATAGAACCTCATCAGTAATTCTAATTTTGCCTTTGCCTTGTGATCTTTATGGCCCTTTGAAGCATGTGATCCTTGTGATGTACTCCCTGTTCGTACACCCCGTCCCCTTTTAAAATCCCTAATAAAAACTTGCTGGTTTTGCGGCTCGGGGTCATCATCATGGTCCTACCAATATGTGATGACACCCCCAGAGGCCCAGTTGTAAAATTTCTCTCTTTGTACTCTTCCTCTTTATTTCTCAGACTGGCCGACACTTAGGGAAAATAGAAAAAACCTACGCTGAAATATTGGGGGCTGGTTCCCCCGATAGGTATGCATGTGCCACGTTGGTTTGCTGCACCCATTAACTCGTCATTTACATTAGGTATTTCTCCTAATGCTATCCCTCCCCCAACCCTCCACCCCGCAACAGGCCCCAGTGTGTGATGTTGCCCTTCCTGAGTCCATGTGTTCTCATTGTTCAACTCCCACTTATGAGTGAGAACATGCGGTGTTTGGTTTTCTGTCCTTGTGATATTTTGCTGAGAATGATGGTTTCCAGCTTCATCCATGTCCCTGCAAAGGACATGAACTCATCCTTTTTTATGGCTGCATAGGATTCCATGGAGTATTTGAGCCACATTTTCTTAATCCAGTCTATCATTGATGGACATTTGGGTTGGTTCCAAATCTTTGCCATTGGGAATAGTGCCACAGTAAACATACATGTGCATGTGTCTTTATAGCAGCATGATTTACAATCCTTTGGGTATATATCCAGTAACAGGATTGCTGGGTCACACGATATTTCTAGTTCTAGATCCTTGAGGAGTCGCCACACTGTCTTCCACAATGGTTGAACTAGTTTACAGTCCCACCAACAGTGTAAAAGTGTTGCTATTTCTCCACATTCTCTCCAGCATCTGTTGTTTCCTGACTTCTTAATGATCGCCATTCTAACTGGTGTGAGATGGTAGCTCATTGTGGTTTTGATTTGCATTTCTCTGATGACCAGTGATGATGAGCATTTTTTCATGTGCCTGTTGGCTACGTAAATGTCTTCTTTTGAGAAGTGTCTGTTCATATCCTTCATCCACTTTTTGATGGGGTTGTTTGTTTTTTTTGTTGTAAATTTGTTTAAGTTCTTTGTAGATTCTGGATATTAGCCCTTTGTCAGAAGGATAGATTGCAAAAATTTTCTCCCATTCTGTAGGTTGCCTGTTCACTCTGATGATAGTTTCTTTTGCTGTGCAGAAGCTCTTTAGTTTAATTAGATCCCATTTGTCAATTTTGGCTTTTGTTGCCATTGCTTTTGGTGTTTTAGTCATGAAGACTTTGCCCAAGCCTATGTCCTGAATGGTATTGCCTAGGTTTTCTTCTAGGGTTTTTATGGTTTTAGGTCTTACATTTAAGTCTTTAATCCATCTTGAGATAATTTTTGTATAAGATGTAAGGAAGGGATCCAGTTTCAGCTTTCTACATATGGCTAGCCAGTTTTCCCAGCACCATTTATTAAATAGGGAATCCTTTCCACATTGCTTCTTTTTGTCAGGTTTGTCTAAGGTCAGATGGCTGTAGATGTGTGGTGTTATTTCTGAGGCCTCTGTTCTGTTCCATTGGTCTATATATCTGTTTTGGTATCAGTACCAAGCTGTTTTGGTTACTGTAGCCTTGTAGTATAGTTTGAAGTAAGGTAGCATGATGCCTCCAGCTTTGTTCTTTTGGCTTAGGATTGTCTTGGCTATGCAGGCTCTTTTTTGGTTCCATATTAACTTTAAAGTAGTTTTTTCCAATTCTGTGAAGAAAGTTATTGGTAGCTTCATGGGGATAGCATTGAATCTATAAATTACTTTGGGCAATGTGGCCATTTTCATGATATTGATTCTTCCTATCCATGAGCATGGAATGTTCTCCCATTTGTTTGTGTCCTCTTTTATTTTGTTGAGCAGTGGTTTTTAGTTCTCCTTGAAGAGGTCCTTCACATCCTTTCTAAGTTGGATTCCTAGGTATTTTATTCTCTTTGTAGCAATTGTGAAGGGGGTTTACTCATGATTTGGCTCTCTGTCTGTTATTGTTGTATACGAATGCTTGTGATTTTTGCACATTGATTTTCTATCCTGAGACTTTGCTGAAGTTGCTTATCAGCTTAAGGAGACTTTGGGCTGAGACGATAGGGTTTTCTAAATATACAGTCATGTCATCTGCAAACAGAGACAATTTGACTTCCTTTTTTCCTAACTGAATACTCTTTCTTTCTTTCTCTTGCCTGATTGCCCTGGCCAGAAATTCCAATACTGTGTTGAATAGGAGTGGTGAGAGAGGGTATCCTTGTCTTGTGCCTGTTTTCAAAGGGAATGCTTCCAGTTTTGCCCATTCAGTATGATATTGGCTGTGGGTTTCTCATAAATGGCTCTTATTATTTTGAGATACATTCAATTAATACCTAGTTTATTGAGAGTTTTTAGCAAGAAGGGCTGTTGAATTTTGTCAAAAGCATTTTCTGCATCTATTGAGATAATCATGTGGCTTTTGTCTTTGGTTCTGTTTATGTGATGGATTACATTTATTGATTTGAGTATGTTGAATCAGCCTTGCATCACAGGGATGAAGCCGACTTGATCATGGTGGATAAGCTTTTTGATGTGCTGCTGGATTCAGTTTGCCAGTATTTTATTGAGGATTTTCACATCAATGTTCATCACGGATATTGGCTTAAAATTCTCTTTTTTTTTGTTGTGTCTCTGCCAGGCTTTGGTATCAGGATGATGCTGGCCTCATAAAATGAGTTAGGGAGGATTCTCTCTTTTTCTATTGATTGAAATAGTTTCAGAAGGAATGGTACCAGCTCCTCTTTGTACCTCTGGTAGAATTCAGCTGTGAATCCGTCTGGTCCTGCACTTTCTTTGGTTGGTAGGCTATTAATTATTGCCCCAATTTCAGAACCGGTTATTGGTCTATTCAGAGATTCGACTTCTTGTGAGTTACTCTTGGGAGGGTGTATGTGTCCAGGAATTTATCCATTTCTTCTAGATTTTCTAGTTTATTTACATAGAGGTGTTTATAGTATTCTCTGATGGTAGTTTGTATTTCTGTGGGATCGGTGGTGATATCCCTTTTATCATTTTTTATTGCGTCTATTTGATTCTTCTCTCTTTTCTTCTTTATTAGTCTGGCTTGTGGTCTATCTATTTTGTTGATCTTTTCAAAAAACCAGCTCCTGGATTCACTGATTCTTTGAAGGGTTTTTCGTGACTCTATCTCCTTCAGTTCTTCTCTGATCTTAGTTATTTCTTGTCTTCTGCTAGCTTTTGAATTTGTTTGCTTTTGCTTCTGTAGTTCTTTTAATTGTGATGTTAGGGTGTCGATTTTACATCTTTCCTGCTTTCTCTTGTGGGCATTTAGTGCTATAAATTTCTCTTTAGACACTACTTTAAATGTGTCCCAGAGATTCTGGTACGTTGTGTCTTTGTTCTCATTGTTTTCAAAGAACATCTTTATTTCGCCTTCATTTCATTATTTACCCAGTAGTCACTCAGGAGCAGGTTGTTCAGCTTCCATGCAGTTGTGCAGTTTTGAGTGAGTTTCTTAATCCTGAGTTCTAATTTGATTGCACTGTGGTCTGAGAGACAGTTTGTTGTGATTTCTGTTCTTTTACATTTGCTGAGGAGTGTTTTAGTTGCAAGTATGTGGTCAATTTTAGAATAAGTGTGGTGTGGTGCTGAGAAGAACTTATATTGTGTTAATTTGGGGTGGAGAGTTCTGTAGATGTCTATTAGGTCTGCTTGGTCCAGAGCTGAGTTCAAGTCCTGGATATCCTTGTTAATTTTCTGTCTTGTTGATCTGTCTAATATTGACAATGGGGTGTTAATTGGACAGTCTCCGATTATTACTGTGTGGGAGTCTAAGTCTCTTTCCAGGTCTTTAAGAACTTGCTTTATGAATCTGGGTGCTCCTGTATTGGGTGCAAATATATTTAGGATAGTTAGCTCTTTTTGTTGAATTGATCCCTTTACCATTATGTAATGGCCTTGTCTCTTTTGGTCTTTGTTGGTTTAAAGTCTGTTTAATCAGAGACTAAGATTGCAACCCCTGCTTTTTTTTGCTTTCCATTTGCTTGGTAGATCTTCCTCCATCCCTTTATTTTGAGCCTATGTGTGTCTTTGCATGTGAGATGGGTCTCCTGAATATAGACCACCAATGGGTCTTGACTCTTTATCCAATTTGCCAGTCTGTGTCTTTTAGTTGGGGCATTTAGCCCATTTACATTTAAGGTAATATTGTTATGTGTGAATTTGATCCTGTCATTATGATGCTAGGTGGTTATTTTAACCATTAGTTGATGCAGTTGTTTCATAGTGTCGATGGTCTTTACAATTTGGCATGTTTTTGCAATGGCTGGTACCGGTTCTTCCTTTCCATGTTTAGTGCTTCCTTCAGGAGCTCTTGTAAGGCAGGCCTGGTGGTGACAAAATCTGTCAGCATTCACTTGTCTGTAAAGGATTTTATTTCTACTTCACTTATGAAGCTTAGTTTGGCTGGATATAAAATCTGAGTTAAAAATTCTTTTCTTTAAGAATGTTGAATATTGGCCCCCCCTCTCTTCTTGCTTGTAGGGTTTCTGCTGAGAGATCCGCTGTTAGTCTGATGGGCTTCCCTTTGTGGGTAACCCGACCTTTCTTTCTGGCTGCCCTTAACATTTTTTCCTTCATTTCAACCTTGGTGAATCTGATAATTATGTGTCTTGGGGTTGCTCTTCTCAAGGAATATCTTTGTGGTGTTCTCTGTATTTCCTGAATTAGAATGTTGGCCTGCCTTGCTAGACTGGGGAAGTTCTCCTGGAGAGTATCCTGAAGAGTGTTTTCTAACTGGGTTCCATTCTCCCTGTCACTTTCAGGTACACCAATCAAACATAGATTTGGTCTTTTCACATAGTCCCATATTTCTTGGAGGCTTTGTTCATTTCTTTTCACTCTTTTTTCTCTAATCTTGCTTCTCGCTTTATTTCATTAATTTGATCTTCAATCACTGATATCCTTTCTTCCGCTTGATCAAATCGGCTATTGAAGTTTGTGTATGCTTCACAAAGTTCTTCTGCTGTGTTTTTCAGCTCCATCAGGTCATTTATGTTCTCTACACTGGTTATTCTGGTTAGCCATTCATCTAACCTTTTTTCAAGGTTTTTAGCTTCCTTGAAATGGCTTAGAACATGCTCCTTTAGCTCAGAGAAGTTTGTTGATACTCACCTTCTGAAACCTACTTCTGTCAACTCATCAAACTCATTCTCTGTCCAGTTTTGTTCCCTTGCTGGCGAGGAGTTGTGATCCTTTGGAGGAGAAGAGGCATTCTGGTTTTTGAAATTTTCAGCCTTTCTGCTCTGGTTTCTCCCCATCTTTGTGATTTTATCTACCTTTGGTCTTTGATGTTGGTGACCTACGGATGGGGTTTTGGTGTGGATGTCCTTTTTGTTGATGTTGATGCTATTCCTTTCTGTTTGTTAGTTTTCCTTTTAACAGTCAGGCCCCTCAGCTGCAGGTCTGTTGGAGTTTGCCGGAGGTCCACTGCAGACCCTGTTTGCCTGGGTATCACCAGCGGAGGCTGCAGAACAGCAAATATTGCTGCCTGATCCTTCCTCTGGAAGCTTTGTCCCAGAGGGGCACCTGTCTGTATGAGGTGTCTGTTGGACCCTACTGGGAGATGTCTCCCAGTCAGGCTACATGGGGGTCAGAGACCCACTTTAGGAGGCAGTCTGTCCATTATCAAAGCTCGAACACCATGCTGGAGAACCACTGCTGTCTTCAGAGCTGTCAGGCAGGGATGTTTAAGTCTGTAGAAGCTGTGACCACAGCTGCCCCTTCCCCCAGGTGCTCTGTCCCAGGGAGATGAGGGTTTTATCTATAAGTCCCTGACTGGGGCTGCTGCTTTTTCTTCAGATATGCCCTGCCCATAGAGGTGGAATCTAGAGAGGCAGTCGGCCTTGCTGAGCTGCAGTGGACTCTGCCCAGTTTGAACTTGCTGGCAGCTTTGTTTACACTGTGAGGGTAAAACTGTCTACACAAGCCTCAGCAATGTCAGATGCCCCTCCCCCCACCAAGCTTGAGTGGCCCAGGTGGATCTCAGACTGCTGCGCTAGTGGGGAGAATTTCAAGCCAATGGATCTTAGCTTGCTGGGCTCTGTGGCATGGGACCCCTCAAGGCAGGCACTGGAGGACATCTCCTGGTCTGCCGGTTGCAAAGACCATGGGAAAAGCACAGTATTTGGGCAGAAGTGTACCATTCTTCCCGGTACAGTCTCTTATGGCTTCCCTTGGCTAGGAAAGGGAAATCCCCTGACCCCTTGTGCTTCCCAGGTGAGGTGATGCCCCACCCTGCTTCAGCTCACCCTCTGTGGGCTGTACTCACTGTCCAACGAGTCTCAATGAGATGAACCAGGTACCTCGGTTGGAAATGCAGAAATTGCCTGTCTTCTACCATCTTGGAAGAGTCTCCAACAATATAGCAGTATTTATGAACATTTTAAATTCTCAGACTTTTTGACCAAGCAATTCCACTAGAAATTCATTTTATGCACATATTGATACAGACATACCATAATATGTGTCACTGTGCCATGTTTGTAATGGGGAAAAACTGCAAACGACCTACATATTCCACAGTAGGAGAAGCTATGTTGTGTCACTTCCACAAGATAGTACCCAGTGTTTAAATAATGAAGCAAAACTGAATGTGCTTAGTTGGAAAGATGTTCACAATATATCATTTAGTGAAAAAGGCAATTTACAGTAAAACATATATAAAATGATCCCATTTGGGTATGTGTATTTTATAGTGTATATATGTGTGTATGTGGTGTGTGTGTGTATTGGCTAGGTTGCTTTTGTTGCAAATAAATGGAAAACCATGAAATATATTAGGTTCCATAGTTGGAAGTGCAGAGGCTGGTTAGGCTTAGGGTTGGTATGAGTGGCTTAATCCAGTGGCCTGACTCTGTTTCTGTGATTCTCGTGGCTCAGCTTCCTCTGCTGACTTTTCCTCAAACTGGTTCCACATTTGGGGGTCACCTCCAACCTTGGTTCTCTGAGAAGAAACCCCCAGCAAATTTCTCCTTGAATCTCATTACTCTGAACTGGGCCATGAGAGCGACTCATGTGCCCATTCTCAACACAGTCCCTGGGACAGGAAAATATCCTTTGCCAATGGCTTAGGCCTGGATTTCTGAACCAGTTACTGGTAAGGGAGAAGGATGTAACATAATTATCTAAGACTAATCAGGGCTTACCCAAGAATTAGAACTCACCAAATGAAATGGCAATTATACATGGAATGGAATGGAGTCAAGGGCTATGGGGGTAAACACAGATTTTTATTTTTCCCTTCTTAGCCTTCTAAACTGTTAACTTTTTTTTAATAGTTGCATGTGTCTGACTCAGGATCTTAGCAGGAAGCATATGAACAGATGGCATACTCAAAAGGGCTTAATAAAGAGACTTTAACCAAAGGACTATTTACCTAGGTGTGGGCAAGGTTAAAGGAACAAAAAAAGAGGTCGTGAAGCATGCAGGTACTAACAACAGCAGGAATTTATTTCTACTTCTAGGCCTGAAGGGGAAAGGGGGCAGGGGTGGGGCAAAATGATGGTGAGGAAGCCTCAAGTGAGCCTGTGCTAAGCAAGAGGAATGAAAAGCAGCTACTGCCTGAATAGTAGTGAGCCAGGAAGTGGGTGTTCATGTGGGGCAATAAATAAAGACCTCTTGCTGGGTGTGCTGGCTCACACCTGTAATCCCAGCACTTTGGGAGGCTTAGGTGGGTGGATCACGAGGTCAGGAGTTCGAGACCAGCCTGACCAACATGCTGAAACCCCATCGCTACTAAAAATACAAAAATTAGTGGGGCATAGTGGCACGTGCCTGTAATCCCAGCCACTCAGGAGGCTGAGGCAGGAGAATTACTTGAACCCAGGAGGCGGAGGTTGCAGTGAGCTGAGATGGTGCCACTGCACTCCAGCCTGGGTGACAGAGCGAGACTCTGTCTCAAAAATAAATAAATAAATAAAATAAAAATAAAGACCTCTTGCTCTCTGTCTCCTGATGGTGCCTCCCATTAGCCCCCCAACCAGAAACCAGAGAACATGGGTGAGGCAATCTGTAGAGGTCAGCTTCTGGGTCTCAGAGCAGGGGGAGAAGGATGGAGAATCGGTGATCGTGGGGGAGAGCACACAGGTGAGACAATCAGCCAGCATAGCTTATTTTACCTAATTGAAAACATGAATGCTCCTTCCTTCTTTCCTTCCTTTCTTTCTTTAGGAGTTTCACTCTTTTGCTCAGGCTGGAGTGAAGTGGCATGATCTTGGCTTACTGCAACCTCTGCCTCCTGGGTTCAAGCGATTCTCCTGCCTCAGTCTCCCAAGTCGCTGGGATTACAGGCATGCACCACCATGCCTAGCTAATTTTTGTATTTTTAGTAGAGACAGGATTTTGCCATGTTGGTCAGGCTGGTCTTGAACTCCTGACCTCAGGTGATCCACCTACTTCGGCCTCCCAAAGTGCTAGGATTATAGGCATGGGGCACTGCGCCTGACCTACATGAATGCTTTTTTAAAATTAAAAAAATGTGGGAAATTCTTTCACTTGCTACAACACAGATGAAGCTTGAAGACATTATGGTAAATGTTAAATAAGCCAGTCACGAAAAGACAAATACTGTATAATACCAGTTATTTGAGGTAACAAAAGTAGTTAAACTTATAGAGACAAAGTAAAGGGAGTTGTTAATGAGTATAGAGTTTCAGTTTTACAAGAAGCAAAAGCTCTAGAAATCTATTGTACAACAACGTGAATGTACTGTTACATTCACTACTGAACTGTACATGTAAAAATAGTTACGATGGATTCTAGCCATTCTAATAGCTCTGTAGGGATATCTCATGCTTTTAATTTGCAATTTCCTACTGACATGATGTTGAGCATTTTTCTTCTTTTTTTGAGACGGAGTTTTGCTCTTGTTGCCCAAGCTTGAGTGCAATGGCCCGATCTCGGCTCACCACAACCTCCACCTCCTGGGTTCAAGCAATTCTCCTGCCTCAGCCTCCCAAGTAGCTGGGATTACAGGCGTGAACCACCATGCCCAGCTAATTTTTGTGTTTTTTTAGTAGAGACGGGGTTTCACCATGCTGGCCAGGCTGGTCTCAAACTCTTGACCTCAGGTGATCCCCCTGCCTCAGCCTCCCAAAGTGCTGGGATTACAGGCATGAGCCACCGTGCCTGACCTAAAAGTATTTAATCTTAACAAAATCCAGCTTATCAATTCTTTTGCTAACAGCACCAAATACTGGCAAAGATGAGGAACAACAAAAACTTTCATTTATTTCTGGTAGAATGTAAAATGGAACAGCCACTTTGGAAGACAGTTGGCAGTTTGGTAAGTATATTCTTACAATATGTTCTAGTCTGTTTTGTGCTGCTATAACAAACACTTGGGACTGTTTAATTTATAAAGAACAGCATTTTATTTCTCACAGTTCTGGAGGGTGGGAAGTCCAAGATCAAGGCACCAGCAGGCTCACTGTCTGGTAAAGGATCCTCCATGCTTCCAAGATGGTACCTTGTTACTGCATCTCACAGAAAGGAAGAACACTGTGTCCTCACACACCAGAGGGCAGAAAGGCAAGAGGAGCAAATGCTTCACAAAGCCTTTTTTTTTTTTTTATAAGGTGCTTAATTCCATTCACAAAGGAGTAGCCCTCATGGCCTAATTGTCTCTTAAGGCTTCACCTCACCAGATGTGGTGGTATCTGCCTATGGTTCCAACTACTTGGGAGGCTGAGGCCAGACAATCATTTGAGTTCAGGAATTCAAGACTAGCCTGGGCAACATAGCAAGACCCTATCTTTAAAAAAGGAAAAAAGATCCACTTTTCAGTACCATCACATTGGCCATTAAGTTTCGACACCTGAATTTTGGAGGGGATACATTTAAACCATAGTGTCATATGATCCAGCAATCATGCTCTTTGGTGTTACCCTAAGGAATTGAAAACTGTGTTCACACAAATACCTGTCCATAGATGATTATAGCATCTTTTTTCATAATTGCCAAAACTTGGAAGCAACCAAGATGACTTCAGAAGGTTAATAGATGAATGAACTGTGGTACATCTATATAGTGGAATACTATTCAATGATAAAAAGAAATGAAATGAGATATCAAGCCATGGAAAGACATGGAGGAATCTTAAATGCCTATTATTAAGTGAAAGAAGCCACTCTGAAAAGGCTACGTACTGTATGATTCCAACTATATGACATTCTGGAAAAAGGCAAAACTATGGAGATAGTAAAAAGATATTGGAGGCTGAGCATGGTGTGATTCATACCTGCATTCCCAGAGATTTGGAAGGTCTGAGTGGGAAGATAGCTTGAGGTTAGGAGTTTGAGACCAGCCTGGGTAACACAGTGAAACCTTGTCTCTACAGAGGAGTTTTAAAATTAGCTGGTCATGATGGCATGCACCTGTAGGTCCAGCTACTCAAGAGGCAGGGGCAGGAGAGTTGCTTGAGCCCAGGAGTCCAAGGTTGCAGTAAGCCATGATCACACTACTGTACTCCAGCCTGGCGAACAGAGCAAGATCCTATCTCAGAATAAAAAAAAAAAAAAAAATCAGTGGTGGCCAGGCGCGGTGCCTCACACCTGTAATCCCAGCATTTTGGGAGGCTGAGGCGGGTGGATCACGAGGTCAAGTGTTCAAGACCAGCCTGACCAACATGGTGAAACCCCGTCTCTACTAAAAATACAAAAATTAGCTGGGCATGGTGGTACACGCCTATAATCCCAGCTACTCAGGAGGCTAAGGCAGGAGAATTGCTTGAACTCGGGAGGTGGAGGTTGTAGTGAACCAAGATGGTGCCACCGCACTCCAGTCTGGGTGACAGAGTGAGACTCCATCTCAAACAACAACAACAACAAAAAAATCAGTGGTTGCCAGAGTTTTGGGAATAGGGAGTGATAGGTAGGCAGAGCACATAGGGTTTTTAGGGCAGTGAAATGACTCTGTATGTGCTATAAAGATGGAAACATGTCATTATACATTTGTCAAAACCCATAGAATGTACAACAACAATTGATAACAACATTGATAACGATTTTTCAACGTGGGTGCATTAATTATAATTGTTAAATAAAATTTAAATTAGGTCATTGATTTGGACTGAGTTCCTGCACTAGGCCCCAACAGACCAAACCAAAATATGGTCATTCATGCTGAAGTTCTGTGCCACCAAACCGAAACTAAGTTGTTTATCTGAATTTCCAAGAAATCCGGAGAGAGAGAGATAATATCCAAATCCTTGAATAAGCCGTTTTTAACCAACATTCTAAAGAAGTTGCCTTGGCTTTAACCTTTACTGGGAAAGTAACTTTGAAATGACCAATCCACTTTTTCATCCTTATTTCTGCTTTCTTCAGCCTGTTTCTTTTCCTTCTTTGTTTTTTTCTTTTTGAGATGGAGTCTCACTCTGTCGCCCAGGCTGGAGTGCAGTGGCGCAATCTTGGCTCACTGCTACCTCCACCTTCCAGGTTCAAGCAATTCTCTGCCTCAGCCTTCCGAGTAGCTGGGATTACAGGCACCTGCCACAACGCCCAGCTAATTTCTATATTTTTGGCAGAGACCAGATTTCACCATCTTGGCCAGGCTGGTCTTGAACTCCTGACCTCATGATCTACCAGCCTTGGCCTCCCAAAGTGTTGGGATTACAGGCGTAAGCCACTGCACCTGACCTCTTCAGCCTTTTTCTGTCTATAAATACCCATTGACCATGTTGCAGAGGATAGTTTTCTGAGCCTCTCTGGTTTTGAGGGCTGCCCAACTCAAGAATTGTCCTTCGCTCAAACAAACTCTGTTGCATTTATTTTGTCTAAAGTTTTTCTTTTATCATAACAAATGTACCATACTGGTTCGGAATTTTGCTGGTGGAGGAGGTTGTACATATGTAGGGACAGGGATATATAGGAACCCTCCGTACCTTCTACTTGGTTTTGCTGTGAAGCTCAAGTTACTCTTAAAAAATAAAGTCTAGGCCGGGCGCAGTGGCTCACACCTGTAATCCCAGCACTTTGGGAGGCCGAGGCAGGCAGGTCAAGAGATCGAGACCATCCTGGCCAACAGAGTGAAACCCCGTCTCTACAAAAAATACAAAAATTAGCTGGGCATAGTGGCATGCGCCTGTAGTCCCAGCTACTTGGGAGGCTGAGGCAGGAGAATTTCTTGAACCCAGGAGGCAGAGGTTGCAGTGAGCCAAGATCGCACCACTGCATTCCAGCTGGTGACAGAGTGAGACTCCATCTCAAAAAAATAAAAAATAAAAAAAGTCTATTAAAAAAATAGTTACCATAGTAAATTTTATGTTCTGTGGTGTTTTTTTAAACCACAATTTAAAAAATTATGTCTTTTCTTTATTCCCCATTCCCCAATCCCATTTGCCAGCAACAAAGACCATTAACAGTGTCCATATTTTTAATCAGATTTTAAACTTCACACTCTTTTATTTCCAAATGATTATTTGAAGACAAATACTGTGTTCAGAGTATTTGAAGGCAAACACTATGCTCAGAAAGAAGTCCCGACTCAGAAAATACAAATCTGAGAGTCCCTGGCATGGGTGTGATACTTCTATCATGGGAGTGGACAAGCTCTTTAGGGACTATGTGCACAGAAAGCAGAAGAAGCTAAGGGGAAACCCAGGGAAACCTAGATTAAAGAGTCAGAGAGAGAAGGGGAAGTCTGCCAAGAATGAGAAACAAACAAAGAACTAATAGAAAAGCCATGAGCCCAAGGGCAGATAACATTTTAATAATAAATGTGGCCAGGCGCAGTCGCTCATGCCTATAATTTCATCATTTTGGGAGGCTGAGATGGGAGGATTACCGGAAGTTAGGAATTTGAGACCAGCCTGGCCAACATGGTGAAACCCCATCTCTACTAAAAATACAAAAATTAGCCTGGCATGGTGGCATGCATCTGTAGTCCCAGCTACTTAGGAGGCTGTGGCAGGGGAATTGCTTGAACCCCAGAGCCAGAGGTTGCAGTGAGCTGAGATCATGCTACCGTACTCCAGCCTGGGTGGCAGAGCAAGACTCCGTCTCAGGAAAAAAAAAAATGCATAAGTCAAAACCACAATGAGATATCATTTCACACCCATTAGGATGGCAATTATCAAAAAACCCGAAAAGAACAAATGTTGGAGAGGGTATTAAAAAGTGCATTGCTGGTGGGAATGTAAAATGGTGTATACACCGTGGAAAACAGTATGGTGGGTTCTCAGCAAGTTAAAGATAGACTGTTTAATATCGAATGTTTGGTATGATGCAACAGTTCTACTTCTGGTTATACACCCAATAGAACTGAAAGCAGGGACTCAAATATTTGTACACCAATGTTCATAGCAGCACTACTCACAATAGCCAACAGGTGGAAAGAATGCAGATGTCCATTGATCAATGAATGGATAAACAAAATGTAGTTTATACATACAATGGAATATTATTCAGCCTAAAAAGGAATGAAGTTCTGATTCATGCTATGATGTGGATGGATCTTAAAAACATGCTGACCAGGTGTGGTGGCTCATGCCTGTAATTCCAGCAGTTTGGGAGGCCGAGGTTTGTGGATCACTTGAGCCCAGGAGTTTGAGACCAGCCTGGGCAACATGGCAAAACCTCGTCTGTACACAAAATACAAAAATTAGCCCAGGATTTTGTGGTCCTTGTAGTCCCAGCTACTCAGGAAGCTGAGGTGGGAGGATCGCTTGAGCCCAGGAGACGGAGGTTGCAGTGTGTGGAGATTGTGCCACTGCACTCCAGCCTGGGTAACAGAGTGAGATCCTGTCTCAAAAACAAACAAACAAGCAAAACCATTATGCTAAGTAAAATAAGCCAACCACACACAAAAAAATTGCATAATTCTGCTCATATGAGCAGAATTATAGAATTTAGAATTTAGAATAGGCAGAATCATAGTGACAGAGTAGAATTGATGTTACCAGGAGCTGGGGGAGGAAAAATGAGGAGTTATTGTTTAATGGGTTCAGAGTTTCAATTTGGGAAGTTAAATAATTTCTAGAGATGGATGGTGATGTTAGTTGCACAGCAATTTGAATGTACTTAATGTCACTGAACTGTATATTTAAAATGGCTGAAATAATAAATTTTATGTTATAGGTGTTTTATCACAACAAAAAGAGGAATAAATGCATAAAGAAGCCGAACACAAAAGAGTACATACTGTTTGAGTTTATTTATATGAAGTTCAAGAACAGGCAAACCTAACTGGAGGTGGGGGTACAGCCATAACAGCAGTTACCTTGGTGTATGCATGTGGGAAGGAAATTGGAGAAAAGAAGAAACAAACTGTACATTCAAGGAGTTTGAAAAGGGGACAAATATTGTTATAAATAAAGGGTAATGTTGGCTAGGAAGCCTAGCTTTTTTTTAGGAAGGGGAAAATTGAATGTATTTTTAGTTCGAGAAACAGATGGAGAGAGAGGGAAGGATGACAATGCAAGAGAGGGAAGAGACAGATGACATCCGGAGGTGTGAGGGGAGGGAACAAAAAAGGGAGGGTGGGATTAGCCTTGGAAAGGGGTAGGGACGTATCTTCCACCGTGCTTATGAGAAAAGGGAGCAAGAATGGGTGAGGATTGACTAAGCGAGGAAGTGGAAGGGAAACACATCAAAGGAGTCAGAATTGCATAGTTTTTCTTTTCTTTTCTTTTTCTTTTCTATTATCTTTTTGAGACAGGGTCTTGCTGTATCAAGGGTACACTCATGGGCGGGAGCGCAGTGGCACTATCTCCACTCACTGCAACCTCCGTCTCCTGTGCTCAAGTGATCCTCCCATTTCAGCTTCTGAGTTGCTGGGACTACAGGTGCGCTCCACCACTCCCAGCTAAATTTTGTATTTTTTGTAGAGAGGAGACCAGTGTTGCCCACGCTGGTCTCCAACGCCTCGGCTCAAGCAATCTGCCCACTTTGGCCTCCCAAAGTGCTGGGATTACAAGCATGAGCCTCAGTTCCTGGCCGTTTTTTTTTTTTTTTTTTTTTTTTTTTTTTTTTTTTTTTTACTGTACTGAACTGCCTCCTCCTACCTGCTCTGTATCACCAATATGCTGGCAGAATTCAGCCCCTCTGATCTATTTCTTACTCTAAAACTAATCTATGCCACTAACTACCATTTCCAAAATCATTTCTGTTGACATTTTTCCCATCTGAACATATAGGTATTTGATCAGAAGACCTCTACGGTTTATGCAAGCTACAACATTTTGTTTTGTTACAGATGTGAATTTTAGAATAAATTAGTTGGAAAATATATGTATTTTTAATTTCCTCTGTGTCCTGAATTTAATAAGTGCAGCTGGGAAATAGACGTACTTCCAAAATTATGTTGTTAATACAAAGCTATCTGCCTTTCTTACAAAATTCTGGGTTGTTTTTCTTTTTTTTTGAACTGAGAATTTTCTTTTCGTTTTACAAGGAAAACTGATTTCACACTTAGATAGCTAGATTAAATATATCCACATGCAATTGATGTATCAAAATTTTGTTAGAAGGAGGTAAATAATTGGAACAGGTTTCTCTCTCTGTCAATTCAGAACAGTGAAGACTTCATTGTTGTGTATTAGCCCATGATAAGATTCTCGGGCAGCTGTAGGGTGTAAAGTCTCATTCCCTCAGAAGCAGAGGCCTTTGCTGAAGAGCAGGCAACATTGCAGTAGGAGCCTGGCTAGAAAACTACTTCATCAAAGGTGTTCAGAAAATCCCCTTTCAAAATACACACAGGCAATTCAAAAGGCAAAGTTATGGGTGGTTAATGCATGTAGAAAAATCGGAAGCTTCATTAATATTCAAAAGATGCAAATTAAAATGACACTCAGATGCCATTTCAACTTATCCAATTAGCAAGATTTGTAAAAGTAATGCTTAAGGGTTAAGTGTAATGGGAAATCTCATGGACTGCTTGTAGAGTATAAATTGGTTTAATTTCTTAAAAAGCGATGGAAGAATGTC
This sequence comes from Homo sapiens, assembly GCF_000001405.40. Classification (NCBI taxonomy): domain Eukaryota; kingdom Metazoa; phylum Chordata; class Mammalia; order Primates; family Hominidae; genus Homo; species Homo sapiens. The sequence continues at coordinate 48,191,229 of NC_000013.11, read as the reverse complement.
TACCAAAAGCCTTACCAATGGCCTTACCTTTTGAATCAATAACGGTAGTGCTAGGATGTCATGCTTTAAAGAATTCAGAAAAGTGGATAAAAGCTTTCTCACACAAAGAAACTCATTGCCCTGCTAATTATGATAGAAACAGCTAGAAACACCTGAATGTCTAACTACAAGGAATTCAGTGTGTGTGTGTGTGTGTGTGTATTGAGACAGGGTCTCTCTGTGTTGCCTAGGCTGGTCTTGAACTCCTGGGCTCAAACAGTTCTCCCATGTTGGCCTCCCAAAGTGTTGGAATTATAGGCATGAGCCACTGTGCTCAGCCAAGCATTTCAATTATGAAAGATGCATATGATATTATATATTTTATAGCCATTCAAATGCTTATGAATAATTTTTAATGATGTAGGGGAAATGTGACATAATGATAAGTGGTACACTATTATTTCCTCTGTGTTAAAATATGTATGTGTATAGAAAAAGACTGGGAAGTGTCAGAATGTAAAGTAGTTACATCTAAGTGGCAAGATCTGATGATTGTGTTTTCCTTCTTTATACTGCTATTTTTCACAATGTATGATCACTATTTTAAAAATCTGAATCTGAAGTTATTTTTTGACAAAGGAAGAAAATGTCCTTTGATTATTTTTGGTAATCATTAAATCCCTGTACTCCAGAGAAATGGGCCAAAACATTCAGCTAAGTTCAGCTATTCATTCAACAACATTCAATAAACATCTACTGTGTACTAGGCTCCACAAAATGTACTGGGAATTCAAGGGTAAAGAAGACGCCCAGACTCGTGCTGGCCCTCAGTGAGCTTAGTCTAGGGGAGTGCGCAGTAGATTAGTTTGCTAGGGGTGCCATAACAAAGTACTCCAGACTGAATAGCTTCAATCAACAGAAATTAATTTTCTCACAATTCCAGAGACTAGAAGTCCAAGGTGTTGGCAGGGTTGGTTTCTTCTGAGACCCGTCTCCTTGGCTGGTAAATGGCTGTCTTCTGGCTGTGTCTTTATATCACCTTCCCTCTCTGTGTGTCTGTGTCTAAATTTCCTCCTCTTATCAGGACACCAGTTATATTGGATTAGGGCCCCACCCTAATGATCTCATTTTAACTTAATTACCTCTGTAAAGACCCTATCTCTAAATATAGTCACAATCAAAGGGAGTTAGGACTTCAACATATAAGTTTTGGGGGGAACAACTCAACCCATAATATCTAGCAATTAAATAATTGCATCAGGCCGGGCTCCGGTGGCTGACACCTGTAATCCCAGCACTTTGGGAGGCCGAGGCGGGTGGATCACCTGAGGTTGGGAGCTCGAGACAAGCCTGACCAGCATGTAGAAACCCCATCTCTACTAAAAATACAAAATTAGCCAGGCGTGGTGGTGGGCACCCATAATCCCAGCTACTTGGGAGGCTGAGGCAGGAGAATCGCTTGAATCCAGGAGGCAGAGGTTACAGTGAGCCAAGATTGCACCATTGCACTCCAGCCTGGGCAACAAGAGCGAAACTCCATCTTAAAAAAAAAGAAAGAAAAGAAAAATTGCCTCAGAAAGAAGGGCTGGAAAAGCTGAGATTAAGACTAAATAGTATCCTTACACTCCTAGCACTACTGGTAATTTCTGCGGAATGGTGTGATTACTATTACTTCAGCATTTGCTTTTAGTCTTCTTCAGTGCATGGTTTGTAGCTTCTTTATTTAACAGCTTAGGAGTAATAAAACAAATTTCCATCTAGTTACAATAAAATGCAGCTGACATTTTAAATGTATCTTCTCTTCAGAGAGTCAGAGAATGAATATTTATTATTTGATGACTGATATTACAAAGTCATTATCTTATCTTTCAGAGTTCAGATTGGGGTGTGAATCAATACTTGCTAAGTGCCCAGATGAGTATATGGCATGACTTCCAAGAAGGGCTTGGCTGGTTCTAAGTCCCTAAAGCTGTTAACAGAGTTCTGGAGAATGAACTCTGCCCTGTCTAATAACTTCTCTGTGATTCGTTTTCAATACTTTTCAAAATTCAGAAGAATAGTTTTTTATGGAACCATGTATAAAATCTAACTAAATTCACAATCTACTTCCTATACACCTGTCATTTGGCATCAAATTCTTTATGGCATGTGGCAGACTACAAGTAAATTCATTAAAAATAAAACAGATTCTTTAGGCTGCATAGATCACAGTTGGAAAATACTTGTTATATTACATTCATATATACAAGTAATTGCCCGTCCATTTCAAGAGACAGAATTTTGCATAATCACTTCAGAAGCAGTAAAAAGATGGGGTAGTCTGGTGGTGAAGGGTCTGGGCTCCTGGGAGCAGCTCTACCACTCCCCACCTCCAGGAGGATGGTGAAAATGAAATAAGCAAACCCTCCTTTACAATAGAGCTCCCCGAGGAGCCCTTTACAATAGTTCCTGGGGCACAGTGACATGTGCAATATTCAAGAACATGTGCAATATTCAATTATTATACATTGCAGAGTTGATTTCCTGTCTTTGATGCATTCTTTCTCTCTTGCCTTTTTCCCACACTGTGTCCAGACTTAGCTCAGTTACCCAAGGGCTAGTTCAGAATCAACAGTGAATGCTCTATGACAACTTTGAGCCCTCTTGTTGATGACATTTTAATAAGGTAAACACCTGACCCCTTCACTCTTTGAAGTTCACCTTTTGGCTTGTTGGATACACACAGTTGCAGTGATTCCCTTTCTATGGCTGGCAAAATTAAAATTTGTAGAAGTTTGGAAGTATGTATTTTGGAGTTCTTTCATTAATGTGTAAGCACTTCTCATTCTCCTGAATTTCTCCAGGTCATCTGTGAATTCTTCCCTATAGCACAGTCCCACTTGCTGCTTGCTTCCTCTTAAAGTCATTGTGCTGGGGTTATAGGGCTTCATTTTTTCCAATCTCTATGGCTCCGTGGTTGCTCTTCCTAGTTCCAATGCCCTGTTCCTCTTCACCAGCAGTACTCCTCCTTTATTTCAAAATTGGACCCCAGTCCCCTAGGATCTTGCTGTTTTTATTCCTTTGCCTTGATGGTACTCATCTTCTGCATTATTTTAATTTGCCCTTATGAATTATTGCTTGAAAAATATGTTTCTTATTTGTGCCTTTTGTCTTATTTGTGCCTGTTAGATTGTATGCTCCTTGGCAATACAGCACAAGTCCTTGAACTATTTTGTACATGATCCTACTATTTGAGGATATACACTAAATATCACTTATTGCTTACACTGGCCTTTTTATTGCTTTTTCTCCCAGTTACTCTCCTCTACCTTTTAATCTGGCTTTTCTAGCTGGTATCCTTTTGTTAACATAGACCATCTAGAATGTTTTCTATCCTCTTTTATCTTGTATCCTCAAATATCTTCTGACACTTATTTTAGTTTTCTTTGTTGCCCAATCTATTTACATGTTATACCAGTTAAATTAAAGAGAAAAATGTTTCCCACAGCATACAAAGGGAAAAAAATAGGTGAAGTGCCCCACTGAGCGAAACTGTGAGCCCTTCCTCTTTGTGGTCCCCCTCCCCCAGTATTCTTTAATCACACCATCTCGTGTTATCTTTCACTTATTTTTCTCTTTTTATTGGATTGTAAGACTATGTCTTATTAGTTTTATGAATCTCTAGCACTTGGCCCATTGCCTGGAACATAGTAAGTGTTTAACAAACTTTTTGTTGAAGAAATGAAAGATTTAGTAAAGAGATTCACCCATGAAAATGTGGTAGTTATAATAGGCTCCTTTGTTTTCTAAGAATCTGGCTTGAGACTAATGTTGTAAAGGGTAAGCACTGGATCATACCACTACGTTAATACCCCTGCTCTTCCACTTGCTGGTTAGCAACAGAGGGTAAATTACCTCTCTGAGACTAGACACATCATATACAAACTTTCATAGGGTTGCTTTGAGAATTTTACTATTTAGATCAGTACTCAGTATATAGCAAGCACTTAAGAAACTTAGCTACAGCTATTATTAAAAATGACATTGGCCGGGCACAATGGCTCATGCTGTAATCCCAGCACTTTGGGAGGCCGAGGCAGGTGGATCGCTTGAGCCCAGGAGTTCAAGACCAGCCTGGGCAACATGGCAAAACCCCATCTCTACAAAAAATGCAAAAACTAGCCAGATGTTGTGCCATATACCTGCAGTCCTGGCTACTGGGGAGGCTTAGGTGTGAGGATTGCTTGAGCCTGGGAAGTTGAGGCTGCAGTGAGCCATGATCATGCCACTACACTCCAGCTTGGGTGACAGAGCGAGACCTTGTCTCAAAATAAATAAATAAATAAATAAATAAATAAATAAATAAATAAAGATATTAATATATCAATACTTACTTATTCAAGGAGACCAGGCAAATAACTGTCACATCATTAACACCACTTGCATTTACTGAGTGCCCAATTATCCAAAGACCATGGAAAATTCACCATCAGCATTAGACCTAGGTGTGGTGACAGGAAGAGAGAGTTTTTATCCATGTGGATAACCAGCAATGTCAACATTTAGAATTATTTGCATTAATTAGACTTTTCATTTTTAAAAAATTGTGGTAAAATATGCATAACATGGAGTTTGTCATTTAACCATTTTTAAGTATACAGTTCAATGGCATTAAGTACGTTTGCATTGTTGTGCAACCAACACCACTATACATTTCTAGAACTCTTTTCTTCCTGCAAAACTGAAACTCTGTACCTATTAAATAACAATTCCCCATCCCCCCTTCACCCAGCAGCCCCTGGAAACCACATCCTACTTGCTCTGTGAGTTTGACTACTCTAGGTAGCTCCTGTAGCTGAAATCATATAGTATTTGTCCTTTTGTGTCTGGCTTATTTCACCTAGTGTAATGTCTGCAAGGTTCATCTATGTTTGTAGCATGTGACAGAATTTTCTTCCTTTTTAAGGCTGAATTAAGTTTTAAATTTTAGTGGTTGTAAAATATTCCCTTTCTTTTGGTTTTTGTTTGTTTTTTGTTTTTGAGACGGAGTCTCACTCTGTCGCCCAGACTGGAGTGCAGTGGCACCATCTCAGCTCACTGCAAACTTTGCCTCCCGGTTTCAAGTGATTCTCCCTGCCTCGGCTTCCCGAGTAGCTGGGAATCTCCCTGCCTCAGCCTCCCAAGTAGCTGGGATTACAGACACCTGTCAGCACACCTGGCTAATTTATATATATATATTTTTTTAGTGGAGACGGGGTTTCACCATGTTGGCTAGGCTGGTCTTGAACTCCTGACCTCAGGTGATCCACTCTACTCGGCCTCCCGAAGTGCTGGGATTATAGGCCTGAGCCACTGCACCTGGCCCAGTTTATATTGTTGTGTGTTTAGGTGGTTCCCCATTTTTAGCAACCGCAGCTAATGAAAATCGGGCTCTTTCAGTGTAAGTATTTCTTTTTTTTTTTTTTTTTTTTTTTTTTGAGATGGAGTCTCTCGCTCTGTCACCCAGGCTAGAGTGCTGGACTGTAGTGGCACAATCTCGGCTCACTGAAAGCTCCGCCTCCTGGGTTCACGCCGTTCTCCTGCCTCAGCCTCCCGAGTAGCTGGGACTACAGGCACCCGCCACCATGCCCAGCTAATTTTTGTATTTTTAGCAGATACGGGTTTTCACCATGTTAGCCAGGATGGTCTTGATCTCCTGACCTCATGATCTGCCTGCCTCGGCCTCCCAAAGTGCTGGGATTACAGGCGTGAGCCACCGCGCCCGGCCCATCAGTGTAAGTATTTTGAGGCCTCAAATAATAATGGAAGATTGAAAGAGAAAAGACAAGTCTGGTGCCCAGAAAATCTCATTAAAAGCACATCTTTTTGCTTTTATCAGAAACATTTATCCTGTATTTTAAGATGCATTTAATTAAGATTTTGTTTAAGACATAAGGAAAAAGGTTTGCTCAAATGTGTAGCTTTGTTGTTGTTCATCCACAGTGATTACCACATCATCTTGGTCAGTGTATTCACTGACCATAAAAGCAGAAAACTGTGCATTTCCTTGATAATATTAGTAATGAGTTGGCAAGTGATCTCTGAGCCCTGGGATGGGGTGAAAGATGAAATGGAAGATGTTCTAACCTGCCAAGACTTGAGTTAAAGCCTTTTAAACTGTTTCTTTTCCAATAATTGCTAAGATTATTAAATTGCAAAACTGGATAAGGAAGCTTGTGGCATGTATTTTGTTTCAGACAGTAAGCTACTAAAGAGCAAAACAGTGAAACATCAGAGAAGCAAAGAACAAAATTACATATAACAATCTTGATAATTTAAAATGTATTTTTCAATATAGATGAGAACTCTGATAACAAGCTAAAAACTTCGTGGGTATAGACGTTCCCCTTTTCTTCAAGGGAAGGAAATTTTAAATTGGACTTATTTTATTATCCCAGGTGGAAGAAACATTTTTGCATTCATTATTTATACCCTGCCTAGTACAAAAATTATTTGAGGCAATTTGAGAGACTGTTAAAGAATGCAATTGAAGAAATCTGAGTAGAATTTCCCCAGCTTGTCTTGTATAGTTCAGGCACTGACCTTTTATCTGAAAATACTAACAGAAACCTTAAAAAAGAACATAAACTTTGATGACTGGAGGGAAATAGTTTAGCAGCTTCTTGCATGGCAGTGGCTAGGTCTTGTCTACCGAGGGCTGGTCAGTTCCGTTTTCTCTTGTAATTAGGAGTTTCTTGGCCTGTAAATAAAGTAACCATATGTTCTAGATTTTCTGGGGCAGCCCCAATTAAAAATATTCTTTCCTGTTGTTAGACCATGTGTCAGACCATATGTACTGATATTTTTATGAAAAATGTGGTCAGCTTACTCAAAATTGTCAGTATTTCCCTAACGGGCCTTTTCTTCAAGGTACCCAGACACCTCTGTGTGGGTTGGGGTTCACGTCCCACCCATTCTGTGAGAATCAGCTGATGTCTTTGCATTTTTGTAAAGCCTGACCTGCTTTCTTCCACAAACCTTCCTTCTCCCATCTCCCACTCCACCTATGGAGTGCCGCACTCTGCCTAGCATTTCATTATACACCATCTTTTATTGTTATGTGTGGTTAATTTCATCTCCTCAACAATATTGCAGTCTGGAGGAAAGGAATATCACCTAAGTTTCTCCCACAACTTCCATGGGGCCTCACTGGGGGCTAGGCATATGGCAGTTCCTGTTTTAAAATCAAAAAATAAAAAGATTGATTAATTTGTTTGTGTCATTCAGGGCAGGGACCCTTTTAGTCTCTATCACAACCCTGCATTGAACTTGTAAATATTTTACTATTGGTTAAAACCCTTACCACAGCACCAGATTTCTATTCTAATTCTAAGCATTTGATTTTATAAACACACACACACACACACACACACACACACACACACACACACACACGGACTTCAGAAAGTTCATGGAAAAATTGAATTAAAATACATAAATAAAAAATGCAAACTTTATTTCTCAACATAAGTGCCATCAAGGTCAACATGTTTTTGTAAGTGATGATACCAGCCACTTAGTCCATTCCTAAAGAACTGAGGGTCCTGGGAATTTACCCATATCAATGCAATCCTTTTTATATTATTAACTGAAGAAAAATGGGTACCCTTTATAGATTTTTAAGATTAGAAACCAAAAAGAAGTCAGAAGGAGCCAAATCAGGACTGTAAGGTAGATGCCTAATAATTTTACCTCAAAACTCTCCCAAAATTGCCCTCATTTGACATGGGCAGGAGTGTTGTCAGAGTGGAGAAGGACTCTCTGGTGAAGCCCTCCCAGGCATTTTCTGTTAAAGCTTTGGCTGACTTTCTCAAAATGTAATCATAATAAGCAGAAGTTATCAGTCTCTGGTCCTCAAGAAAGTCTCCAGAAAGTTTTTTGGGATGCTTAAGCAAAATGCCTTGAGCATCCCAAAAAACTGTTGCCATGACTTTTAATCTTAACCAACCCACTTTTGCTTTGACTGCACCACTTCCACCTCTTGGTAACCATTTCTTTGATTGTGCATTGTCTTCAGAATTACACTGATAAAGCCATGTTTCATCTCTTGTTACAGTTCTTCAAAGAAATGCTTCAGGATCTTGATCCTACTTGTGTAAAATTTCCATTGTCTGCAGCTGATCTGGCCTCAACAGTTTTGGCATCCATCAAATGGAAAGTTTGCTCAACTTTAATTTTTCAGTCATAACTGTGTAAGCTGAACCAAGTGAGATGCCTATTGTGTTGGCTTCTGTTTGTGCTGTTACACCAGTCCTCTTCATTTGGGGCATGGACAAGATGAGTTTTTTCCTCACAGATTGATGTGGATGGTCTGCCATGGTGAGCTTTATCTTAAATATCACCTCGTCCTTTCTTAAAATGAGTTATCCATTTGTAAACTGCTGATTTTGGGGGGTGCATTGTCCCCATATATTTTTCATAAAGCATCAATAATGTCACCATTCTTCCACCCAAGCCTCACCATCAATTTGATATTTGCTCTTTCTTCAATTTTAGCAGAATTCATGTTGCTCTGATAGAGGCTCTTTTCAAACTGATATTTCATCCTTCTTAGTGCCTCAAGGAGATCCCGTTCAGACATGCTATAACAAATTAGTATGAGCTTCTTTTAGTGCAAAAAAAATTTGAAATCTACACATAGTTTTCTCATTAAATGCATTTTCCATGAACTTTTAGAAGTCAGTCCCCTTGTGGCCGGATGTGGTGGCTCACACCTGTAATCCCAGCACTTTGCGAGGCTGAGGCGGGTGGATCACCTGAGGTCAGGAGTTCGATACAAGCCTGGCCAACATGGTGAAACCCCGTCTCTACTAAAAATGCAAAAATTAGCCTGGCAAGGTTGCAGGTGCCTATAACCCCAGCTACTCAGGAGGCTGAGGCAGGAGAATCACTTGAACCCAGTGGGTGGAAGTTGCAGTGAGCTGAGATCACACCACTTCACTCCAGCCTGGGCAACAGAGTGAGACTTCATCTCAAAAAAATATATAATAATAATTAAAAATAAAAAAAGAAGTCAGTTCCCTTGTATATATTTGGCATGTAAAACTCAGGCCTTAGTTTCACATATGTACTAAGGAAAAATGGTTTTAGGACTTTGTAATTTTGTCCTAGAGCTATAGGTAGATATAAAGTGCTATCATTTATTTTTCAGGCTTATCTTCTTTCTCTCCCCTCACTATGGGTGTCCTCCCAAGCGTCAGTGCTAGACTCTCTAACTAACCATCTGCTCTATGGAAGTTGCTTATGAAGGGACACACTATTCTCTCCAGGTGATCACTGTCAAATCTGCATTTCCACAGCAGCTTTTCTCTGCGCTCCAGCCAATGAGTCAGCTAGGCAGAAGGTATAATATATGGGGCACAGACAGGGGAGTATGGAGTAGGGAGTTTGGGGAGTTGGACAATATCAGGAAACAGGGAATGTTTTCAAAATATTTATAGTAGATGAGATTTAGTAGGTCTCGGGTGGGACTTGGGCAACTGTATGTCAAGGGACTCAGTGATTCTGATTTCAGAGAACCACAGTTCCAGAACTCTTAGTTTCAATTCCTTATAGTACAACTTTAAAGGTTGCTATCAGCATAGCTCTACGACACCGTCTTCCCTTTCCAATTTCCCCATTTGGTTCAGTATTAATACTCTTGCTTTTTCTGAGAAATTGGAATGTTTAAGGGAGTTTAATTTGCCACATTTGTACATTTGATGTGTTAGGTTGATAAGAATTATTTAAGTACTTGGGGGAGGTTTTGCTTATTAGGTTATAAGTTAGCTCTTCAGGCATTTGAAATGTTTAAAATAAAAACTGACTTGTTAAATTTATAAATACAGTTTAAAATGTTTAAGGAGATTTAATTATCTACTTTGTAAATGGTACTGAATTGTTTAATTAAATTTGGTTTCTTTAATATCAGCTCACCAAATATTAATCATAGAAAAGTGAATTATTCTTCATTTGCATAACAAGATTAGTAATTTAAACTCAAGAAAAACTAGATTCTTAATTGTGTAATAAAAATGGAATATTAATTTGCTATCCCAGTAAGTGTAAATAGTTTTTTCTACTTCTAAAGATTCCTTTCCTGCCCAAGACCTAAAAACAAATGAATAAACCTCCACAATATCAAAAGATAGAGCCTAAATATGTTTAAATGTAAATGACACTTATTCCCCACAGTTTCTATACTCCTTATGGTTCTGAAATTTCTGGAATATAAGTGACTCAAAACACCCTTCATTAATCTGACGAGATGAATTATGAGCACCTTTCAAGTTATCTTTTAAATACAAAGTTCCTTCAACATTGGATATGTAATTTGGAATACATTGTACTATGGAATGGAATTTGCTCACTTGGTGAGTACATGATTTGTGTTAATCCAAGCCTATCACTAAATAAATTACGGAGACTCTTCTGTTAGCTAGAAAAATATCTCAGACCTGGCTGGGCGCAGTGGCTCACACCTGTAATCCTGACACTTTGGGAGGCTGAGGCGGGTGGATCACAAGGTCAGGAGTTTGAGACCAGCCTGGCCACCATAGTGAAACCCCGTCTCTTCTAAAAATACAAAAAATTATCTGGCCGTGGTGGTGGGCACCTGTAATCCCAGCTTTTTGGGAGGCTGAGGCAGGAGAAATGCTTGAACCTGGGAGGCGGAGGTTGCGGTGAGCTGAGATCCCACCACTGCACTCCAGTCCAGACAACAGTGCGAGACTCCATCTCAAAAACTAATAAATAAATAAATAAATAAAATAAAAATATCTCAGACCTGACGCCTCCTCTTCTCCTCCAACTCCCCACCTACATTAGTTTTGAGTCTTAGGGTAATCCAAATGAAAAAAAGAATTGTGACGCCAGCAGATCCTAACATAAATGTAAAGCCTAAAGTCTTCAATATTGGGAAAGTTGACATAGTAGACTGTTGTTTTCTCACTTTCAGACTGTGCACGTCTGCTCCTATAAAACTGCAAATGAAGCCATTACTACTGTGCAGGCACACTGCGCCTGATTAAATGCCTAGCCAGGCTCCATAGCATCTTTCAAGCACTGTCACTCTCTTGCCACATTGACTGGGCAGGAGCAAATGGCCTATGCCATGGCCTGTCATGATCACTTCACGCTATAGATGACCACTTTTTTTTGTCGTTGTTCTTGCTTTGGAGGCTTCTTGCTATTCATATTTTTACTATGGAAACAAAAATTCCTATGACACTACCTTCTGAGTTAGTTTAATTGAAGGGTACCTTGGGATTGCAGGAAAATTGTAAAATACAAAAATAAAAATAAAAATTACCATATGTAAGTACTTATCATGTGAATCAAAGTGAATCAGGATTTTTCTTAGTACCGTAAAACCAAAATAAAATTCAGAAATAAATTGGATACTTGGATGCTAAAGCTAATGCAAGATGCAGCTATCTTCCATCACCCCCAGAATTAAAATGTTTATGTTTATTTAATCGGTTTTCTTTATCTTTTGGTCGACTCTATTATAAACGCAGGTTATATGTTTAAAACTATAACATAAACCATGCTTACTTTAACAACCCAGGTTTTTTGTCTGCTTTATACCACTAGTATTTCACATAAGATTTCATTTTCAGAAAGTGTTCTCTCCTAAGGAAAGTTTCAAAAGCCACTGATTTATTAGGCTAAGAGCCTCCTAGTTTTCCTCTGGGATTCCAGTCCTTCCCTTCTTTATCTTACCTAGAGCACCACCAACATAGTAATTTTTCCAAAATTTTGTTATATATTCTCCCTCTTCAATAATCTATACAGCCACTTTGTAGACTATGAAATTAAATTCAACGTTTTCAACGTGGCTTTCCAGGCAGACATAATCTGGTCCTACTCCAGTTATCCAAATATGTTTACGTAGTCACCCATACAGACTCTGTAGTCCAGGAAAGGTAAGTCTGTTGTGCCTCTACTTCCTTATCTCCTGCTCTTGACAGATCCTGCCAATCCTTCTGCACTGAGCCATAGCTCACTGGTCACTGGCTTTTTTTGGTAAGGCCTGCCCCTTGTGTGCCCTGTGTTTTGGTGAATTATGTTCTTAAACCTGAGACTTTTGCCCCTCTCCATTCACCTACTCTAATTCCTTCTTATCCTTCACAGTACACATATGTATGGAGGCTGCATTAGCTTCCTGAGTGCATGATGATCTCTTCTTCCCACTGATTTATAATTTAGTTTTGCCTAAGAGCTTTCTTTGTTCTCTGGTCTTCCTTCAGGATCACAGATGTCTACATTTCTTCACAAGGTTGTGATGTCTGTAGGGATCTATTCTTGAAAGGTAGAAGGTAACTTGGACAAGAGTGGTAGTAAAAGGGGGTAGATTGATGATAGGTTTAGGAGACAGGATTAAAAGAGCTGGAGATAGATTGGATGCAGAGAAGGAGCATGAAGGAACAGTCCAGGATTCCAGCTTAAGCAATTGGGTTGAAGAGATACGATCCATTCATTAAAATGAGCAAAGGTAAAGGGGGAATAGATTAGATGTGGCTCTGGCTGGGAATGCAGGTATTATGGAGTGAACATGAGTTCAATTTGAATATGTTAAGTTTAAGAAGCATATGGGACCTCCCAGGAGAAATGCCAAGTGGCCATTTAGGTATATGGCAATGAAGATTAGTAGAGAGGTCCAGACTGTCCCAGACATTTGGAGGTCACTGGTGTATAAAAAGCATTTAAAGCCCTTAGGATTAGAGAAGTCACCTAGGGAGAAAATGTAGAAAAGAAGCAAAGAGAACCACCAGTCTCTTGTGAGTTATGTTCTCATCAGTCAGATTCCTACAGCCTATCAACTCCGGATGGGTTAATAAAATCAGGTTTCTTAACTGGAACAACTTCATAATCATTTCTTCCTCCGTCATGACTCCAGTAAGGTAGCTAGCCAAAACAAACAGCAGACCATTCCATCATGGCAATTCTATTTTAAAACACAGCAGAGATTATTATCCCCATTGTACAGAGGAAAAAGTGACTATGAAAGCTTAAGCAATTTAGTTAAAACTGCAGAATCAGTGAGTGACAGACAGGAATGAGATTAAATTCAGGGCATAGAATTGCAATTAAGAAGAGCTCTTTCTACCTTTCAAGAATAGATCCCTACAAGTCATCACAAGCTTGTGAATAAATGTAGACATCTGTGATCTCAAAGGGAACACCATAGAACAAAGAAAGTGCTTAGGCAAAACTAAATTATAAACTGATGGGAACAAGAGATCATCATGAACTATTATCCTGTGATTAGATTATTGCAAAATTCTCCCAACCGGTCTCACCATCTCTAATTTAATGACCCCTCCAAACCATTTTTTAAAATTTTTATTTATTTATTTATATAGTTTTTGAGACAAGATCTCACTCTGTCACCCAGGCTGGAGTGCAGTGGAGCAATCATGGCTCGCTGCAGCCTTGACCTCCCCAGGTTCAGATGATCCTTCCACTTCAGGCTCCTGAGTAGCTGAGACTACAAGTGCGTGCCACTACACCTGGCTAATTTTTGTATTTTTAGTAGAGATGGGGTTTCACCATGTTGCCCAGGCTGATCTCAAACTCCTGGACTCAAGTATCCACCAACCTCGGGCTTCCCAAAGTGCTGGGATTACAGGCGTGAGTTACTGCACCTGGCCTCCAATCAATTTTTCACACAGCAACCAAAGGATCTTTTTAAAGCGCAAATCTCATCATATATAATTTTATCCTTACATATCATATTCAAAATAAATCCAAACTATCTCCAAGTGGCCACTAAGGGCCTTTGTGACCTGGTCCCTGCCTACCTTTCCAGGCTCATTTCCTGTGTGCTCTTCTCTCCCTTGATCCCTTCCAATCCGTATCGGCCTTTCCAGATCCTCAGATACACTAAGCTCTTTACTACCTTCTGCTTTACAGCTTTCCCCTCAACCCATCATCTGGTTAACTCCTAGCTCCACTTAAAGTTTAAGAAAAGACTTTCCTAATCCTCTAACACAGTAAGTAGCACAAGATGCAATTATATTTTTATTTGTGTGATTATTTGTTGTCCGTCTTCCCTCTGGACATGAGGGCAGGAACTACTTACCACTAACTTATCTAACTTACCACTGTATAGTCACAGTGACAATTAGAGCCAAGGTATTTGTAGGGTCTCAGGAGAAACTTTGTTCTATGAGTTTTACCTGTGTTGTCTCTCAAGCACATGCCTCTTGTTTGGATGGTGCTGGATAAACATTACTAATGCCTGCCCTCCCAGCTTTTCAGTTCCTCTGCCCTTCTGCTAGATCCTTGTGTGTACATGCAATTACGTTGCTTCAGACAATCAGATTATAATATTGACTGGGTAATGGAATTACTCTACTAATAATAACAGTAGTCATGCCACCAATATCACACTTGAAGGTTTTCTAGGCCGGGCGCCGTGGCTCACGCCTGTAATCCCAGCACTGTGGGAGGCCGAGGGGGCAGATCACGAGGTTAGGGGATCGAGACCATCCTGGCTAACACGGTGAAACCCCGTCTCTACTAAAAATACAAAAAATCAGCCGGGCATGGTGGCGGGCGCCTGTAGTCCCAGCCACTCGGGAGGCTGTGGCAGGAATGGCGTGAACCCGGGCGGGCAGAGCCTGCGGTGAGCCGAGATTGCGCCACTGCACTCCAGCCTGGGAGACAGAGCAAGACTCCGCCTCAAAAAAAAAAGTTTTCTAAATGCTCATAGTGAGCATTATCTCATTTAATCTCGGAGTCTGGACCCGAAGATGCATTCTGCTACCTCAATTCATCTGGATGATTCCCAAAGCTGTATCAACAGCAGCTTATATTCAATTCATCACTGAAGGAAGGGCAACTTCAGCTGACAGCTGATTTTATGCTTTTTTAGTAGTTCCATCTCAAGACAGTGACCTTTACATTACTCAAATTCTGGGGACTCTTACTGTATGTATCCCTCAGTTTACTGAATATAATTCCTTCTAGGATTATTGGAATGGATAAATGAGATAATAATAAGTAATATTTGTTGAATGCTTACTATGCTCTGGACAATGTTTTAAGTGCTTTATTTTTTATTTATTTATTTATTTTTTTTTTTTGAGACGGAGTCTCGCTCTGTCGCCCAGGCTGGAGTGCAGTGGCGGGATCTAGGCTCACTGCAAGCTCCGCCTCCCGGGTTCACGCCATTCTCCTGCCTCAGCCTCCCAAGTAGCTGGGACTACAGGCGCCCGCCACTACGCCCGGCTAATTTTTTGTATTTTTAGTAGAGACGGGGTTTCACCGTTTTAGCCGGGATGGTCTCGATCTCCTGACCTCGTGATCCGCCCGCCTCGGCCTCCCAAAGTGCTGGGATTACAGGCGTGAGCCACCGCGCCCGGCCTAAGTGCTTTATTTGGACAAATTTATTCACACCTCAAAACTCCCCACGAAGTAGGTAGCATTGTTATGCATTGTTATACTCATTATAAAGGGAGAAATTGAGACACAAAGAGTTATACCAATTATTACTTTGCTAATAAGTGGGGAAGTTGGAATATGAATCCAGCAGTCTGATTCCAGAGTCTAGGCCCTATGCAGCATGTATGTGAATGCTTACTCTTTGGTAATATTTATTCTTTAATGACATTACTTTTTAATGTATTTACCTACATTTTAGGGAGAGCTTACTGTGTGCCAGGCATTAAGTGCAGTGCAGGAACATAGTTTGCACTCTAGTGAGGAAGGTGGATTTGAATGATGATTGTAACAGTGATGAGTGTTATGACTGTGAGGGACCTGTGTGTAGTGGGAGCATAGAGCAGTGGGACTCAGTCTAATCTGGGGCTCAGAAAGTGCCTTCTTGAGGAAGGAACCTTTTGGTAAGATGTGTGCATAGTGTGACAGCGCATTCTATGAATGACTGAGGAACTAAAAGAAGTCAAGACAGCTGGAGTTTCTTGAGCAAGGAGGCAAGTGGAGGGAGATGATGCAGAACCAAGCACTGGCTCCCATCACAAGGGCCTTGGATGCCATAATAAGGATCTGGTACTTTATTCTAAAGGTCTTGATGTCTATTAAAAAGATCTCAAGTACAGATTTTGGAAAAGACTGTGCCAGCCGAGCATGGTGGCTCAAGTAATCCCAGGAGTTTGGGAGGCCAAGGCAGATCACTTAAGTTTAGGAGTCTGAGACCAGCCTTGGTAACATAGGGAGACCTTGTCTCTACTAAAAAAATCAAGAAGTTAGCCAGGCGTGGTGGTGCACACTGTAGTCCCAGCTACTGGGAGACTGAGGTGGGAGATCACTTGAGCCATGGAGGTAGAAGCTGCAGGGAGCCATGATCACACCACTGCACTCCAGCTTGGGTAACTAAGTAAGACCCCATCTCTAAAAAAAAAAGACTGGCCGGCTGTGGTGGCTCATGCCTGTAATCCCAGCACTTTGGGAGGCCGAGGCAGGCAGATCATCTGAGGTAGGGAGTTCGAGACCAGCCTGATCAACATGGAGAAACCGCATCTCTACTAAAAATACAAAATTAGCTGGGTGTGTTAGCACATGCCTGTAATCCCAGCTACTCGGGAGGCTGAGGCAGGAGAATCGCTTGAACCCAGGAGGTGGAGGTTGCAGTGAGCCGAGATCACACCATTGCACTCCAGCCTGGGCAACAAGAGTGAAACTCCGTCTCAAAAAAAAAAAAAAAAAAAATACTGTTCCAGCAGAGGGAAGTGGGAGTGAGAAGGCAGAAATCAGTGGGGAGGTTGTTGCAATCTTCCAGGAGAGAAGAGCTGGTTGTGTGAGCAAGGATGGTAGCAGGGGTCATGTGAGAGAGTGGGTGGGTTCTCAACATATCTCGGAGGTAAAGTGGACAGAACTTGGTGGTTGATCGGATGTGGAGGGTGAGAGGAAAGAAGGAGCCAAGCTTTCTGACTTGAGCAAAGTTTTGATAACGGAAATAGAAATGGGTAAGAGGAATGAAAGCAGTTTAGGGTAAGGGGATTGACAGAATAATGAATTGAATTTCAGGGGCATCGAAACAGAAGTGGATGTGTCCAACAAGTAGGTGGATTATAAGGGTCTAAAGCTGAGCAAGGAGAGGTGGGCTACAGAATATCTTTAATCTTAAAATGGACATTATTCACATTTATTATTTCCAAAATTATCATGTATCTTAAAATTCAGTTTGCTTGCTGGGAGCGGTGGCTCATGCCTGTAATCCCAGCACTTTGGGAGGCTGAGGCGGGAGGATCACAGGGTCAGGAGATGGAGACCATCCTGGCCAACATGGTGAAACCCCATCTCTACTAAAAAAAATACAAAAATTAGCTGGTTGTGGTGGCACGTGCCTGTAATCTCAGCTACTTGGGAGGCTGAGGCAAGAGAATCTCTTGAACCAGGGAGTCGGAGCTTGCAGTGAGGCGAGGTCATGCCACTGCACTCCAGCCTGGTGACAGAGCGAGACTCCGTCTCAAAAAAAAAAAAAATTGCTTGCTTATCAGTGTTTCTTTTCTCATGAATATTATTACAAATTAATGATAAACTGTAATTAACAGTGTCTTAAAATAGAGGATATTCTATGAAGTAAGAATATCCTATAAAGGAACAATTAATTTGTTTTTAATGGTGTTTTGAGAAATCGGAGAAAGAGCCTTTAAAATACCTTTTTATCTTGAAGAAAGATATGTTTAGCCTAGGTAAAATTCAGCACTAGCATGAATTTTGGCACAAATGCCAAATTGGTACAGTCCAACTTAATGGGGCTTTACCATAATTATTAACGGGCTTGAAGCGTTTATTCTTTTTAAATAAGTCCAAATCCTTCCTTCTTTCAATTCTACCTCCAACACAATTTTGCTTACACCATTAACTTCATTAGCAGTCTCTATCTCCATGTTACAAAGGTACGCCTTTGTCAACGTGGAATACAATAATGTGTCTGATTTTTAGGAACTCAAATTAATATGATTTTACTGTAGTGTGTTTATGTTTCCCCGAGCATAAAATGCTGAATCATGGCCGGGCGCGGTGGCTCACGCCTGTAATCCCAGCACTCGGGAGGCCGAGGCGGGCGGATCACAAGGTCAGGAGATCGAGACCATCTTGGCTAACACAGTGAAACCCCGTCTCTATTAAAAAATATAAAAAATTAGCCGGGCGTAGTGGCGGGCGCCTGTAGTCCCAGCTACTCGGGAGGCTGAGGCAGGAGAATGGCGTGAATCCGGGAGGCGGAGCTTGCAGTAAGCCGAGCCCAGATCGCGCCACTGCACTCCAGCAGTGCAGCCTGGGCGACAGAGCGAGACTCCGTCTCAAAACAAAACAAAACAAACAAACAAAAAAAACAGCTGAATCATGGCAGTGTTTCACATATTCATTCCTCCATCCTCAGCCATATAGGTGGGAGAAGAGGTAAAGAAACCGTAAACTTAGTTTAGAAGAAGAAAGACTTTACCAACATCCCATTCTCAAATCCTACATCATTTACTGTCTCTAAGGTGTTTTTGGTTTCTGGGGGGTTTTTTGGCCAATATACTGTCTTCCACTGTTAATGTTTATATTTATTTATTTTTGAGGTAGGGTCTGGCTCTGTCGCCCCAGCTGGAGCACAATGGTGTGTTCTCAGCTCACTGTAACCTCTTCCTCCTGGGCTCAAGCGATTCTCCTGCCTCAGCCTCCTGAATAGCTGGGACTACAGTTGCATGCCACCATGCCCAGATAATTTTTGGATTTTTTAGTAGACGGGGTTTCGCCATATTGCCCAGGCTGGTCTCGAACTCCTGAGCTCAGGCCATCCACCTGCCTTGGCCTCCCAAAGCACTGGGATTACAGGTGTGAGCCACCACACCCAGCCTCCATTGTTAATTTAATATTCATAAATGTGTATATAACCTTCCCAATGCGATATTAACCTAGCAGGGGAGCAAATAACTATGGCTACTCCCCGACAATCTTTACGTCTGAGATCTTTACCTAGTTTTCTGTTCCATTCCTACCAGGTCTTCCCAGGCCTTCCAACTAGGGCCATCCAGATCTCAGAAAGATCACTCCTTAGCATAGTCAAGGTTCAGGGAATGTTTTGAAACAAACCATTACTTCCTAATCTGTTCTTCCCTAATCTCCAAACCAGATAAAGAGATTACAAGAAAGAAAAACTGCCAGGCACAATAGCACACATCTGTAGTCCCAGCTAGTTAGCAGGCTGAGGTGGGAGGATCACTTGAGCCCAGGAATTCGAGGCCAGCCTGGGCAACATGGCGAGATCCTATCTCTTATTTAAAAAAAAAAAAAAAAAAGACAAACAGAAAAACTACACAGCGGTATCTCTCGTGAACATAGATGCAAAAGTATTCTAACACAAAATATTAACAAATTGAATCCAACACTATATAAAAAGAATTGTATACTGTGACCAAGTGGGATTTATACCAGATATATAAGGCTGGCTCAACATTCAAAAATCAATCAATGTGGCCAGGCACAATGGCTCATGCCTGTAATCTCAGCACTTTGGGAGGCCAAGGCAGGCGGATCACCTGAGGTCAGGAGTTCGAGACCAGCCTGACAAACATGGTGAAACCCTGTCTCTACCAAAAATACAAAAATTAGCTAGACGTGGTGCCAGGTGCCTATAATCCCAGCTACTCGAGGCTGAGGCAGGAGAATCGCTTGAACCCAGGAGGCGGAGTTGCAGTGAGCCAAGATTGCACCACTGCACTCCAGCCTGGGTAACAGAGAGAGTCTCAAAAAAAAAAAAAAAAAAAATCAATGTCACCCACCATGTCAACAGGCTAAAAAAAAAAAAATCATATGATCATATCAATTGATACAGAAAAAACATTTGACAAAATCCAACACTTATTCATGATAAAAACTCTCATCAAACTAGGAATAGAGAGAACTTCTTCGACTTGATAAAGAGCATCTACAAAAAGCCTACAGCTAAGATCATACTTCATGGTGAGAAATTGTATGCTTTTCCTGTCTGATCAGAAAAAAGGCAAGGACGTCCCTTCTCATCTCTCCTATTCAACAATGTATGGGAAGTCCTATTAGTGCGATAGGACAAGACAAGGAAATAAAATGTACACAGATATGGAAGGAAGAACTAAAACAAGCTTTGACTAAGAAACAAGTGGAAGCATCTCCAGTTTCTTTTTTTTTTTTTGGAGACAGAGTCTCGCTCTGTTACCCAGGCTGGAGTGCAGTGGTGCAATCTTGGCTCACTGCAACCTCTGCCTCTCAGGTTCAAGCGAGTTTCCTGACTCAACCTCCCGAGTAGCTGGGACTACAGGCTCATGCCACCATGCCTGAATAATTTTTTGTATTTTTAGTAGAGACAGGATTTCACCATGTTGGCCAGGCTGGTCTCAAACTCCTGACCTCAAGTGATCCACCTGCCTTGGCCTCCCAAAGTGCTGGGATTACAGGTGTAAGTCACCACACCTGGCCTCAAGTTTCTTTTCGAATTTATAGACTTTCTTTATTGCATATTTGTTTTCTATTTCAAAGGTTTCTGCTGTTATCTTTTTATTATTGACTTCCTTCGGGTTTAATTTGCTGTTCTCTTCCTAGCTTCTTAAGATAGAAGCTTAAATCATGTGAATTTGCAATCATTCTTTTTCTCAAATGTATACATTTGAAGCTATGAATTTCTTTTTAACCACCCCCCCTTTTTTTTTTGACAAGAGTCTGGCTCTTGTTGCCCAGGCTGGAGTGTGGTAGTGTGGTCTCGGCTCACTGCAACCTCCACCTCTCGGGTTCCAGCAATCCTCCTGCCTCAGCCTCCTGAGTAACTGGGATTACAGGTGCATGCTACCACACCTGGCTAATCTTTTGTATTTTAGTAGAGACGGAGTTTCACCATGTTGCCCAGGCTGGTCTTGAACTCTTGAGCTCAGGCAATCTGCCCACCTCAGCCTCCCAAAGTGCTGGGATTGCAGGCGTGAGCCACCACACGCGGCCTTTTAACCCTCTTTACTTGTATCTCAGATGTTTTGATATGCCTTATTTTTATTATTATTTAGTTTTAAATATTTTCTAATTTTATTGCTATTTCTTCTTAGACTTATGTGCTATTTAAAAATATGTTGCTTAATTTTCAAACACTTGTTGGGAGGGGTTTCTAGTTATCCTCCTGTTATAGATTTTTAGTTGGATTCCATTGTAGTCAGAGAACACACTTCATACAATTTCAGTCCTTTGAAATTTTTGAGACTTGCTTTACACGCTAGCATATGGTCCATTTTGATAAGTATTCATGTGCTCTTGAAAAACAGTATTTAGTCTGCATTTTTCAAGTGCAGTGTTCTATATATGTATGTCAACTAGGTCAATTTAGTTACTTCTGTTATTCAAATCTTATATATCCTTACTGATTTTTTTGTCTGCTTGTTCTATCAGCTATTGAAACAATCTCTAATAATGATGGTGGATTTGTCTATTTCTCCTTTTAGTTCTGCCAACTTTGCTTAATATGTATTGAAACCATGCTGGGTAACATTTTTTAAAAGATTTATAAATTATAAATTCTTAGGTATATTTAAATTTAGGACGGTTAATTGATCTTTTTATCATTATGAGACATCCTTCTTTAGAGATATTTCTTGCTCTAAAGTCTGTGCTGTCTGATATTAATACAGCTCTACCAGCTTTTTTTTTTGTTACTGTTGGCATGGCATGGCATTTTGTTTCTCCTATTCTTTTTTTTTTTTCTGAGACAGGGTTTGTCTCTCTCTCTTGCCCAGGCTGGAGTACAGTGGCATGATCATGGCTCACTGCAGCATCGGACTCTTGGGCTCAAGAGTGATCCTTCCACCTCAGCCTCTGGAGTAGCTAGTACTACAGGCCTGTGCCCACCATGCCCAGCTAATTTTTATTTATTTTTATTTTTTTGATACTGAGTCTTGCTCTGTTGCCCAGGCTGGAGCACAGTGGCATGATCTCTGGTCACTGCAACTTCCACCTCCCAGGTTCAAGTGATTCTCCTGCCTCAGCTTCCAGAGTAGCTGGGACTATAGGCTTATGCCACCACACCCAGCTAATTATTGTATTTTTTTTAGTAGAGATGGGGTTTTGCCATGTTGGCCAGGTTGGTCTTGAACTCCTAGCCTCAAGTGATCCACCCGCCTCGTCCTCCCAAAGTACAGGAGTACTGGAATTATAGAAGTGAGCCACTGTGCCCAGTCTCCATGTCTCCATTCTTTTTCTTTAAACTTTGTGTCTTCTATTTAAATTGAGTCTCTCTCTCTCTCTTTTTTTTTTTTTTTTTTTGAGACAGTCTCATCTGTCACCCAGACTGGAGTGCAGTGGCGTGATCTTGGCTCACTACAATCTCTGCCTCCTGACTCAAGCGATTCTCCTGCCTCAGCTTCCTGAGTAGCTGGAATTACAGACATGCACCACCATGCCTGGCTAATTTTTATATTTTTGGTAGAGACAGGGTTTTGCCATGTTGGCCAGGCTGATCTTGAACTTCTGGCCTCAAGTAAACCACCCTCCTTGGTCTCCTAAAGTGCTGGGATTTCAGGCATGAGCCACTGCGCCCAGCCTAAATTGAGTCTCTTGTAAACAGAATACGTATTTTTCTTTTTTGTCTTAAAGTAATTCTGATCTTCTAATTGGGGTACTAATCCATTAACATTTAATGTAATTATTGAAATATTTATGTTTAACTCTATTACCTTGTTAACTTGTTTCTATTTCTGTTCTTTATTTCTCCTTTCTTGCTTTTTGAGGGGAGAGAATCAAGTACTTTTATTATTCCTTTTTTTCCTCTCTTGTTTTAACTTATTGGTTATCAGCTTTAAGAGGGGGTCTCACTCTGTTGCCCAGCCTGGAGTGCAGTGACTATTCACAGGTCTTTCTCGGGGTTTCAACCAATAGTTTTTACCTATTCACCTTGGTGGGCTTTGTTTTTCTATCTTCTCAGTACCATGCTGCTGCAAAAATCTTTGCCCAGCTCTCCAGCCTCCTAGCTGCTGCTTTTCTTTTGGTTCTCCTGCAGTCTCTGCTTGTGCTTGCTCAGCTTAGGAGTTTGCAGACATCTCAAGGGGAGATTGCATGTAGCCTTTTGGGTTTATTTCTCTGCAACTCTCTCCTCCTTGAGATTTTACCATCAAGTCGCAGCCACTTGAGCAGCTTTAAACTCTAATCCGTCTCTTCAGCCTAATGGAACTGCCACTTACTTTATTCCCTGACCTGTGAGTTGGGCCAGGGTGAGTATAGAGATCACTTTGATGTGCCTCCCTTCTCTTAGGGATCATCTGTCTTGGTTGCCCTCCAATGCTTTCAAATGTTGTGCTATGTACTTAGTCCATCTGGTACAGTTGTTTTCAACGGGAGGGTTAGCTCAATATAAGCTACGCTGTTATGGCTGGAATCAAACGTCTTCTATTTTACAATAAATAAAAAATCTAAAAGAATTCAAAAGACTGGAATAAGGAAATTACAAAAGCACAAAAACTGAATCACAGATTACAAACTTCAGTCCTAATCTAAAGCCATCCTTAAGTCTTCTGAATTCAGCATTCTGTTTAGAACAAATGCACTCTTTTCTCATCTTCAGTTTGGTTCCTTGGCAAGAGCTTTGACCTAGACTAAGAAAGTCATGGTTTGGTCTCTGGACTTTTATATAAAAAGTATGTGATTCTGGACAAACTTATTTTTATCACTTAGTTTTATCACTAGTCAGGGAAGATGGCCCTTAAAGCCTGCTTGCCTTAAGTCCTTTAAGGAATAAGCTGGGTATAAGTAAATAAATAAATACAATGTGAAGTGCTTGCCCTGTCTTCCTTGCAGAGTTGATATGAGGTCAGCTTAGCTGTAGAGGCAAAGTTCACAAGGGTGCCTTCCCCATAGGGATGTGGGTGCTTTTACAAATTTTCCAGCTCTTGGACCATTTCTTCTCATGCTCTATTTTTCTCTTATCCCCTAATTAGAGCTGTGAATTAGACAAAAACATGATTGCAATTTCCTCCCCCATCTGGGTCAGATTGTCCTGCCTAACCTCTAAAATAAAAGAGAACACAGGTGTTTGAGTGGGATGCCGGGTCAGGAGAGCTGGCTGGCCAGGTGAGCCTGACCGGAGAAAATTCCCTGTGGACAGGCCAAATAGGACCCCAAACTATCAGAAAGGTTTTGGTCAATGTGGAATCTGAACAAAAAGGGCTGTTTATGTAATTCAAAAGTAGAACAGTATTAAGTTCAGGCAGCCAGATGGATGTGTTCTCATGATTGGAATGACCTTTTGGGCTGAATTTTGGGGCCTGATGGGACATGCCTTCAGAGGCACAGCCTCACTTTGTCTCTAACTCTGCTTTTTCTAGGCTTTGTGTCTGACAATCCCCTTCTAGTTGTCATATCCTCCTTTAGGTGTTTTACCAACTTCAGCTTGGTTGATATCCTGCTGGTCTCTTCATGGTCACCTTATGTCTCTGCTCAGGTGCTTTATGTGCTCAATTTCCATTGTTTTTAGAGCACATTGTTGCTTTCTGTTCCCAAATTTGCAGGGAAGACCTTATTATAATCCCCATGTCCACAGTGCATAATGGACCAGGTGCTTTATCTCCTGATCTTCACTCCAGTCTGGAAGGTCATCAGCTTCATTTCCACAAAGATGTGGAAGCTGAGGATGATAGAGGCTAAGGATCTGCCCAAGGTTGGACAGCTTGAATGTCACAGAGTTTGTGTTCAAACTGAGGGCTTACCCCAAACTCAGAGTTCTGCCTGCTGCTGCTGTTGCTGCTGAATAAGCACCAGGTTGTGAATTATTCCAAATTTTCAAGTCACCTGTAGAGGAAAGGGGAACTAAAAGAAAAAGTGATTTAGTCAAACAAAAAACTTCCCAATGTAGCATACCTTTATGTCTTTTTGCCTTAATTTGTGTTTCTTTTCCTAGAATTCCGTCTGTTTATATCTATTGAACACCTACTATGTGCCAGGAACACATAGTAATACAAAAGACATGAAGGCTATGATCTAGTAAGAGTGTAATTGGTACAACCTCTGAAGACGGTAAGTTAGCAATATTTTTCATCTTCCAAATGTGTATAATCATTGACCAGAAATTCTACTTCTGGAATTACTCACATATGTCCATAAAGCCTATAGTCTAACTGTGAATATTGGAATATACATAATAAATGCAAAGTATATAATCCCAAATTGAGATAAGTATCACAAAGGAAAAAAGAGGTGCATTAATCAGGGTTAGACCAGAGAAACAGTGCCAGTATATAAATATATATATATATGCGTATATACATATATACACAGACAGAAGGAGAGCAAGAGATTTGTGACAGGAGTTGGCTTATGTGATTGTGGGGACTGACTAGGCAAGTCTGAAACTGTAGGACAGGCCAGCAGGCTGGAAACTCTTGAGCAAGAGCTGATGTTGCAGTCTGCAGGTGGAATTTTTTCTTCTTCAAGGAAACTTGTTTATTCTCTTAAGAACTTTCAATTGATTGGATGAAGCCCACCCAGATTAGCAAAGATAATCTACTTCAAGTCATTTTTAGTAGATGTTATCACACCTGCAAACCTTACTAGTAACTCCTAGGTTAGTGTTTGACTGAATAACTGGGTACTGTAGCCTAGCCATGTTGACACATAAAATAAACCAGCACAAACAGGTCAAAACTATGTTGCTTAAGATGCATTCAACAGCAAGAAACAGATAATCTAAATCCAACTACCTTAAACATAGGAAATGTATTGGCCTACAGCATGGGTTGTCCAAACATAGGCTGGGGTGTCTGGCTCTGGCCGTCCACTTGGCCCTCCCACCTCTGGGGGAGGGATTTGTGCTCAGGCTGCCGGACAAGATGGTGGTGGCAGTTCCAGACCTCATCTTCTGTATAAGGAAGAGAGAAATTATCTCTTCCTGCAACTCTCTGAAGAGTAGGAAATTTTTCAGATGCCTCCAGCAAAACTCTTGTCACATCTCATTGGCCTGAACTGAGTCATGAGTCCACTTTTGGGCTAATCTCTGTGACTAGGGAATAGCATGCACTAAATGACTTAGTACTGAGGTCCTGAGTCAGTCACCAGTGAGAGGAATAGATGACTATAATTCCCTTAGTCCGGAGCCTCCCTATCTTTTCAACAAATAATAATGCTTACATAGCTAGCAGATTGGAATGACTCAAAGCAAGCATCCTGGGCCTCCAGGTGGCCCAGGATTCAGCTGGCTATCCCAAAGGATAAATGTCTTTGCATATCAATGGGTGGCAGTATATATATTGGATTAGACCACCTGGGGACAGGATCCATTCCTAAACTACAAGGCTTCTACCCAATGTGGGAGGAGTGCAATGGCTATTGAGCAGACCATGGGTAGCGAGGGGTAGGAAAGGTTTAAGAATCAAGGATGTTTCCCAGGGTTCTGGTTTCAGTAACTGGGTAAATTCCAGTGGTGTCCTGGGTCTCAATTGCACTGGCTCTCAAGAGCCAATTGTATGCATTTTGTCCCAACTCCATGTTCATTGGTGGGAACCGATACAATTGATACAAATTGGCAAATGATACAAATCAGTGCTTTTTATTGTGGTGGGGAGGTATCTTTTGTTCAACCTTGATCAGCACATCATTAGTAGAGCCATGCCAAAAAGACAGGTGCACTGGAGGAAGGACAGGCTTTGCCTTTAGCTCCCTGTTGCAATCCTGCTCCTTTTTTTTGTTGTTGTTGTTAAATTGAGGTAAAATTTACATAACATAAAATCCACTATCCTTTTCATCCTTTTTGAAGTTCACTCAAACTCATGTATTACTGCTTCTTTATTTATTCTTCATTATAATAGTATATTTCTTTTTAGGCTGGATGTGGTGGCTCACACTTCTAATCCCAGCACTTTGGGAGGCCGAGGTGGGCAGATCACTTGAGGTCAGGGGGTTGAGACCAGCCTGGCCAACATGGTGAAACCTCATGTCTACAAAAATACAAAAATTAGCCAGGCATGGTGGTGCATGCCTATAATCCCAGCTGCTAGGGAGGCTGAGGCCAGGAAAATCACTTGAACCCAGGAGGTGGAGGTTGCAGTGAGCTGAGATCCTGCCACTGCACTCCAGCCTGAGCAACAGAGCAAGACCCCATCTCAAAATAAATAAATTAATAATAATAATAATAATAATATTTTATTTATTTTTGAGAAAGTAATACATTTACATGGTTCAAAATGCAGAAGGTATATACAAAAAAGATATACAGTAGAAGGTCTGTCTCCCCGTCTGTCCCCCAGCTGGCCAATTTCCTTTTCTAGAGATAAGTGAATGGATTTTTAAAATATACTTCCAGAAAGTTATACAATAATAAATATTTAGAATATTTCTAAATGCATTTGCACACGTGTTACCCACATATACATGCACACACACACGCATTGCTCTCTCCTTGCTTTTCTTCATTTAATAAAACATCTTGAAGATCATTCTATACCAGTACATGCAGAACTTCCTTAGTCTCTTCTACAGTTCTGCATAATAATCTATTTGCAAATCAACAGAGCAGTTGCAAATAAATTTCTCTGTACTTGCTTTTTTCATATATATGGGTATATCTATAGGATAAAGTCCTACAAGTAGAATTTCAGGTCAGGGTTATATACATTTGCAAAATAAAAGATATTGTTTAAATTGCCTTCTGGTGAGATGGTACCACTTTACATTCACTAGCAACAGGTAAGATGCTTGTTTTCTCACAGCCTTGCCTGCAAAGTACATTATCAAACTTTTTGCAGTCTGTCGATCTGATAGGCAGAGAATGATATATTAGCGTAATTTAAATTTAAATTATATTTAAATATGGTAAAATTGAATTATTTAAATTAACTTATGAAAACATTTTCTTACATGTTTATGAGGCACCTCTATTTCCTTTTTTGTAAACTATCTGCTTGTATCCTTTTCCTTTTTTTTTTTTCTGTTGGGTTTTTGGTCTTACAGTATTAAGTTTGGAGTTCTTTTTATCTGAAGGAAATTACATGTTTGTGATGAGAGTTGCCAACACATTTTTCTCATTTTGTCATTAGTCTTTTTTTGGCTTTGTTTCTGGAAGTTAAAAAAAAAACTGTATATTGTTCAAGCTATCAGACTTTTATGGTATTTTGGCTATATGTAATACTTAGAAAGGTCCTCCTTACTCCAAAAACTTTTTTTTTTTGAGACGGAGTCTCGCTCAGCCGCCCAGGCTGGAGTGCAGTGGCGCAATCTCAGCTCATTGCAACCACCATCTCCCGGGTTCAAGCAATTCTCCTGTCTCAGCCTCCTGAGTAGCTGGGATTACAGACACCTGCCATCATGCCCAGCTGTATTTTAGTAGAGACGGGGTTTCATCATGTTGGCCAGGCTGGTCTTGAACTCCTGACCTCATGATCCACCCGCCTTGGCCTCCCAAAGTGCTAGGATTACAGGGGTGAGCCACCACGCCCAGCCTCCAAAAAGTATTTTTAAAAAACCATTTTTTCTCTATTACTTTTATTCTTTTATTTTTACACTTAAAACTCTGCATCATCTGGGTTTTGTCCTGTTTTTTTTCCCATGAGACTATGGTTGCCTTAATATTATATGTTGTAATATTCATATTTTCCTCCACTGTTCTGAAATTCTATTTTTTAGACTTGAACTTATAGAAGAGAAAGCTGTTAAGTATTGGTAACTGGGCTTTATACAAATGAGAAATTTCCCTGTCTTTGGTGAGTGGCAGCAGAAGCATATAGCTACCTGCTTAAAACGATAGATGTCTATGTGTGCTTTAATCTCTTATTAAGCATTCTGTGTGTGGGGAGAGTGGAACAGGGAGCACAGGTTGTTATGACACTTGAGAAACTGAGTTACACAATTCATTGATTTTTTTTTTTTTGATGGGGAGATTATACAAATCAGAGAAGGAATCAAATATAGAAAAAGCTCTTTTTTGCGCCTCTGCTTTCAGTTGCATGGTTAGTTCCTCCTGTTATCAAGAAGTTCCTTGTTTATTTCTTGATGGGGTAGCATAAGTTTTGCTATTAACTATCACCACACAAAACAAAAATGAGCACAGTGAAAAATACATTAAATATTTCATATGAAAGAAAGTAAAGTTCCTAGCCATAAAATAAAACATTTTGGTCATTGTTTTGGAGGATGGAGAATATCATCTTGACCAAAGCTAATCTTGGCATCAGCATCTGTAGCTAGTGGAAACATCAACAGTCATTGTTTATGAGGGGAGAGAGGAAAGGAAAAAGGAGGAACTGCAGATAGCTGACAGAGTGACCGGAGGTTGTGGCTCTGTCACAAGCTGGTCTCCGGAAATGGTCTAGGCCCGGGAGATGAGGGCTTCTTTGGTTGGAGGAAGTAAGTGGCCAGGGCAGTGTGTTCATTATGGGCTTCACCTTCTCCATGGGGTGCTGAGCAACTGAGCAGAGCTGGGAGGTCGGCGAGGCTGCCTGTTGGAGCTCATGGAGGCATCCCACCTAGAGGAGAAGAGGGCTTGGCCAGCTGAAGCTTGAAAATATCAGTAACTTTGTCTTCCAAACTACACCTAGCAACCCAGAGAATCTGGAGTGACTTACTTCCCCCCTTCTTTTGTCCACACACTCTGCTTTCTTGGCTTGTAGTGGCTTCTTTACCCTTTGTGGGGTCCTTGGTGTTAATTTTCATTTGATTTCACCTGTATGTATTGAAGTGGGGAAAAGGAGGCCAACAGGCAGAAGAGGTACATTATGGTTGTCCCAACTCTACAGAATAACCCTGGGCCCCATGTGCCCTCCCCACCTGAGGAAATCTTACAGAGGGCATGAGCAGAGAGCAACCTGTGGGGTCTTTGCTGCTGCCCCAGGGTGGACTGTTAACCAGGGCTCACTGGTCAGGGCTGATTTTAACTTGTTCTTTGCCAGTTTGAGAAGGAGGGGGATCTTGTCCTTGGTCTTGTTTTTTCAAACCCCCAACTCACCCTTATTATCCTCTGACACTCTTTAGGTGGCCCTGTGGCTCTCAGCACCTGATCAATGATCCCTTCACTCTTAACATCATGAAACAGAGGGAAGACCCTTTTTCCCCTGTCATGGCTGCTAAGCCCATTGAGTAAAAAAGTCCAGCTCACTGACACGACTCTATTCTCAAGTAAAATATTAAACCTATTGAAAACCAAAATGAGTGATTGAAGCATAAGATTCAAATCATCCAGGTTTTGAGCCAGTGTGAGGGCGTGCCCGGGAAAAAAACATGAGTCACAGAAGCATCTGTGGCTGTTTTTTCCAAAGAGATTCTCAGGAGGTTTAGTATTTATTCATTTTCCTTTAAAAGGGGTGGAGGAGGGGTGACAGTGAGACCAATGAGAATGTATTTGTGAGACTTAACTAGTGCCCCCAAAATCTACATTTTACACAAGGTAAGGCCAGCATTGAAGAAAAAGGGAATAGAGGAAGCAGAGGTCTTGGGGAGTGATGAAGGAACCATTAACCTCATCTTGTCTTTGTACTGTGTCTGGGAAGACAAGCTAGTAGTCTGTTGAAAGGGCTGGTTTCTGTTTAGACCTTCGAGAAGGAAACCTAATGACTTTTATCGAGGGAGGAGGTGTCAGACTGTGGCCATGAATTCAGCTTCCAAGGTTTCTTTGGGGCTCCTTTGGCCAAGAGAGGGTCCATTCAGTCAGTTGGGGGCTTAGAATTTTATTTCTCACCATGTTGTGTAAAGAAAGTACTAAATTATTAAGTACATATAAGACAAATATGATTGCATTCCTAGTATGTCTGTGTCTTGAGGGGTAGGAGAAAAAGGAGAAAGAGAATGTAATTGTAGAGAAACCAAGGAGAAAAGAACGAGACAAGATATAGGAAGGGGCCATGGATTCAGTGGAGGAAGGTGACAGTGTTTACTCCTGTATAGCCGCCCTCCCTTTTGACATGCCAAAATTTAAAAAGCCCAACTATTTACAGTTTTCCATTTTGCTTCCATCTTTAACTATAAAGGGTCAGTTCTGATTGAGGTAGCCAAACTGTCGCCACAGTGGAAATCATTTTCTAACCTGGAAAAGCAAGAACTTAAGTTAACTACATCAGGGTCCCATCAGAAGCCAGAGAACTGGAGAACCCATCTATTGCCTGAAGGTCATGGTTGTAGTGAGGACTAGGGGTACAAACTATGCATGTCTATGCCACCAGGAATCTGTATTTGAAGGTCATCTCAAGGATTCTGATACTAGTGAAAATTATTGGCAGGTCTCATAAATATTTGCATTTCAATACAGACCTCTTAAATGCCAAGTCTCCTGCAGTTCACAAAGGAATGAGTCACTAATGGTTAAACTTCAGGCGCCACTACAAGTAGAGATTTGTTTCTCGGGGTGAGGAGGAGGAAAACTTTTTCTAGTTTTTTTCGAATAATTTTTTTTTCTTTTTTAAGTTTTAACTCTGCCATAAGCCAGAGATGCTCTCCCTTAAGAGATCCTTTCTGGAAATATTTATGTCAAAACACCTTCTCCCTATTTTTCACCTCCTTTCTGACCTTGTACATATGCTAAGTGCTGCTTATTCAGTACTTGCTGCTGGGAAAAGGGAGAGGTTGTAGGGGATGGGGCCTCCCTCTCTTCAGTTATTACCAGCTTCTCTGGCTCCCATTTCTGCAGGGTGACAGGGAGGGTCCCACCCACTGTGACTAATGCCCCTGGTGAAGCACTTAATTGCTGCCCCCTGAAGCATCTAGTGGCCCATGTGCTACACCCCCACTCTGAGGATGATCCATAAACTCCTGCTGCTGCAGGGGGTGTTTTGCTGCAGGGGGAGTTTTGGTTTTGGGGATGAAGGTGGAGAATGAGTCACTTTCCATTCATTTTCTAGAACCTTCTACAGCAGAGTGCCTTTAGAGAGTTGGGTAATGTAGCCTCTCCTAGTTAATAAAGCCAATGACAATTTCATGCCTAAGAACGTCATTGGTTTGAGGGCAATGATTTGCATTTAATGAAAATAATAATTTTCCACAGCCTCTGAAAAACACAATTTGGCTTCACTGTAGTAGAAAGTGCTTACTTTCTTTCACACCAGCCCAATGAAGTTTTCAAAGTTCAGAAAACTTTCCTCACTAGCAGTGGATTAATAATTGCAGGTGGAAATGTCTTTGTCAGTGGGGTTGAGGTAA
Organism: Homo sapiens; assembly: GCF_000001405.40. Taxonomy (NCBI): domain Eukaryota; kingdom Metazoa; phylum Chordata; class Mammalia; order Primates; family Hominidae; genus Homo; species Homo sapiens. The sequence goes on along the minus strand of NC_000013.11, from coordinate 48,159,174 downwards.
CCAGCATGTAGAAGATTCTTGCCACCTAAAGCAAGAGGAACTGGTTTTCTGTGACCGGTTTTGTAACACCAGTGGGAAAGCTCCACAGCTGGTTTGTTCTGGATTTTCATGCCTGCCTCCTTCTCAGTCCTCACCTTCTGTCAACCATCTCTCCCTTGGTTTCAATTCCAGAAATGCAATCTTCCTGACATGGCTCTTCTCTGACAACCTGGGTACCCCGCTGCCTCTGGCCGCACCTTGCTTCTAAGACAAATAAGGAACTTTAATTTGGGCTCCCGAGTGGAAATAACAGATAGTTATCAAGAACAGAGGGCTCAGGCTGGGTGTGGTGGCTCATGCCTGTAATCCCACTTTGGGAGGCCATGGCAGGTGGATCACCTGAGATCAGGAGTTGGAGACAAGCCTGACTAACATGGTGAAACCCCGTCTCTACTAAAAATACAAAATTAGCCGGGCATGGTGGCACATGCCTGTAATCCCAGCTACTTGGGAGGCTGAGGCAGGAGAAGTGAGCCAAGATCATGCCATTGCACTCCAGCCTGGGCAACAAGAACGAAACTCTGTCTCAAAAAAAAAAAAAAAAGTAGAAGAACAGAGGGCTCTTGCTTGGGCTTGCTCAGAAAATCCCCACTTCAGAGGAGGGTGCAGCTGTCACTCCAGCTTCCTGGTTATGCATCCCTTGTCAAATTAACAGGAAGTTTAATTCTATTAAATATTAATCCTTGTCCTGAAGGCCTTGGTTGCTTTAGTAGAGAGAATTGAGGGTAGAAGGTGAAAGAAAAGAGAAAGGGAAAGAGCATGTAGAAGGCAAACAGAGGAAGAGAGATGAAGTCAGGGAGGATCAGAAGGTAGAGGGAAGAGAATATGAGGGAGAGGATGGCAGTTCAGCAGGTTAGTGGGGGAGTTTCTGATCTCACCACCTGCTCTTTGCCGATCAGCTCTCTTGCCACTGTTCCTGGCTCTGTCAGAGCTTTCATTCTTATTTTCTCGGAAAAAAATACATAATTACACAGTGAAGAAAGTCAGGTTAAAAATGGCATGTACAGTATGATTCCCTTTTATATTTATTTATTTATATATATATTTTGAGATGGAGTTTCACTCTTGTCTCCCAGGCTGGAGTGCAATGGCACGATCTCGGCTCACTGTAACCTCCTCCTCCTGGGTTCAAGCAATTCTCCTGCCTCAGCCTCTGGAGTACCTGGGATTACCGGCATCTGCCACCATGCCCTGCTAATTTTTGTATTTTTAGTAGAGACGGGGTTTCACCATGTCGGCCAGGCTGGTCTCAAACTCCTGATCTCAGGTGATCTGCCCACCTCGGCCTCCCAAAGTGCTGGTATTACACACGTGAGTCACTGCCCCCGGCCGATTCCCTTTTAAATACATGTTTGCATAAATATATTGAAAGCTATGAGTAAACATTTTCATTATTTTGGAATGGTAGAATTATGAATTCATTTTTATTTTCTTCTTTTTTGCTTATCTATATTTTCTATAATGAATATCTATGCATATAATAGTAAAGTTCAAGTTATATTAAAAGTGAGGGGAGGCCAGGCATGTTGGCTTATACTTGTGATCCCAGCACCTTGGGAGGCTGAGGCAGGAGGATCATTTGAGAGCAGCCTGCGCAACTTAGAGAGCTCTCCATCTCAAAAAATAATAATAATAATAAATTAATAAAATAGAAAGGAAAGGACAGAGTCAGAGGAAGAAAAATATGGAGTTGGGAGGAGAGCACAATGTTTTTTGAGGCACATGATGATCCAGATAATCTGTTGAACTATACATTTCCCAGAGTTAATTGACTGATCTTTGCATTCAGTAGCCATTTGACTACTATGTTCAGTGTTTTAGGGATTCTAATTTTTTTTTTTTTTTGAGATGGAGTCTGGCTCTGTCGCCCAGGCTGAAGTACAGTGGCGCGATCTTGGCTCACTGCAACCTCTGCCTCCCGGGTTCAAGCAATTCCCCTGCCTCAGCCTCCCGAGTAGCTGGGATTACAGGCACCCGCCACCACACTGGGCTAATTTTTGTATTTTAGTAAAGACGGAGCTTCACCATGTTGGTCAGGATGGTCTCGAACTCCTGACCTCATGATCCGCCCGCCTCGGCTTCCCAAAGTGCTGGGATTACAGGCGTGAACCACTGCACCTGGCCTTTAGGGGTTCTAATTCTTGTATCTTTAGAATTGTATTTTTAAACCAAAGGTGCACATGGGAATCAGCAGGGAAACTTTTTCAAAATGTCCTTGCTAGTGTTTTAGAATTTTGCTCCTGGTTTAGCTAAAACCAGGTTCTTGTCACATGACCAAGAAAATTAGGCACGTGGACACATTGAAGGGTGAATAGAGCAGGATTTTATTGGGTGAAAAGGGAAAAATGAAAAAAAACCTCAGCAAAGCGAAAACAGGCTCCCCACTTCACAGATTGAATCCCAGGGCTCCTCCCCCTGCCTGTGACTCCACCCTGCTCCCCCAGGGCTCATGTGGGCATGCTCAGACAAGGCCCTGGGCAAGTTCCTTCGTCTGCACAAAAACATCTGATGTAAACACCTGTGGGGAGGGTTAGAGATTCTCCGGGGACCCCTTTTTATCTGCCTTGGCGTTTGGCTGTCTCATTAGGGCCTTACCCTCAGAAGTTCTGATTCAGAATGCCTCGGTAGGGTCTGAGTAGGAGTCTTTCAAAAACCTTGTCTAAGTGTTTGGATATTCATCGTGGTGGAAAATTCCATGGTGTTTAAGATGATCCACTGAGGTACTCAAGGAAAATATTAGAACTTCTAATTTTATTTTCTATTGCATCCTCTAAAAAAATCTCTACTTATTTGGATGTTAGTATTGTACTGATATTGATATGACATGTATAACCTGCAAATAAATACATTTACATATTTGAGGGTATGCTGAAATGTTTTTCTTATAAGGATGTACAATCAAAAAATTAGGAAACAACTAATGGCTTCAGAAGATTCATTATAAGTGGGATAACTCGTGTGCAACTGAATTGAAAACTCTTCTCTGGGCTGAGGTAACAATAACCTAAGAAATTTCACACAACGGATGATGACTCATTGTGACCTACTTCATTTCCTGCTTATAGCTGTATTATTTTTTATTGGTCTTGTGTCACAATTTGTGGGTACATTACCTTCTCCATGTCAGCCACAGCTGTCTCCTTTGTAAATATACATGCACATACATGCAGATACATGCAGATATGACAGAGCTCAGCACTTGGGAACCACTCAAAGCCTTAAAGGCTGATCATTATTTTGCAGTTTTTACATGCTATACTCTCATAGCTGCTTTGAAAAAAATGAACTAGATTATCTTAAAAAGCAAAACAATTCTTGCCAGGCACTTGGCTCACGCCTGTAATCCCAGCACCTTGGGAGGCTGAGGTGGGCGGATCACAAGGTCAAGAGTTTGAGACCAGCCTGACCAACATAATGAAACCCCGTCTCTACTAAAAATACAAAAATTAGCTGGGTGTGGTGGCACACACCTGTAATCCCAGCTACTCAGGAGGCTGAAGCAGGAGAATCGAAGCAGGAGAATCGCTTGAACCCGGCAGGGGGAAGTTGCAGTAAGCTGAGATTGCGCCATTGCACTCCAGCCTGGGTAACAGAGAGAAACTCCATCTCAAAAAAAAAAAAAAAAAAAAATGTGAAACAATTTGCGATAATTAATAGTTTGTAACTAAAACATTGATTAAACAATAAAACAACAGAAAAAATTAAAGAGTGATAAGTAAATCTCCCAACTTCCAGGTGCAGATGGAGAACAAAACACACACACAGACACACACATCTGGCCTTCAGGGTTGCTATTGAGAAGTCTGATGCCATTCTGATTTGTCATCCTTTAGGTAGGACTTGTTTGCTCCTCCTCTTTGGAAGCCTGTAGCATCTGTTCTTTGTCCTCACTGTTTTGAGCTATCACACTGGTGTGCCTTAGTGTGGGTCTATTCTCTTTGTGCTGGCATTTGGCATTTTTTATCTTTCTGATAAAAAGGGAAGAAATGATAGCAACAACATTTTTTTTCAACTCCCCATAGCAACAATATTTTGAAAGCTAGAAAGTAAGAAGTGTGGCCAACAATACAACAGACCTAGGAAAACTGAATCCTAAGTCAGCAGTGAGGAAATTTGAGAAACCAACCAGAATCCCACAAAGGCTCAGGAATTGGCAGCGCCAGGTTCCTGGAAGTGATGTGGGGCCTCCTAAAACTAGGAGTGGTTCAAAGTCTGTTTAGGAAGCAGTTTGACTCTCAGGTCCCTCCCCTCTCTGCACAACCAGGCCGGTAGCCTGTCCGCACCGCAGAGTCTATAACAGAAGGTCCACAGATAGGAGGACACTGGGCAGAGATGAGGGCTGGGTGCTGTGCTGGAAACCGAGAAATTAAGTGGACAGACACTGAGACCCACTGCTCTTTCCCCAGTGAGCTCCCATGATGTGGTGGCCAGAATTATATCCTTTGAGCATGAGCCCGGAAGAGTCTTCTAAGGGGAATTTGATCTCCCCAAGAGTGAAAATTTAAAGGCAGTGCTGTGTGGGTCCTTTAGCCAGATAACCCAGCCAGAACGTGTCGTGGAGCCTCTGGCCAACAAGGCCCTATTGGTTCAAAATATCTACTCAGCTTTTTAGCTCCATTCTTAAATATTAACAGATAATCAAGGTTTAACAGGCACTGAGGAAAACCTCTCACATGAAAAACAGAGACCAAGATGAATAGGAAAAAGCAACTTCAAGGAAAGAGAGACTGTACAGGTTGAAGAAAATGTCAAATATCCTCTGATTAATATCCTCAGAGGTAAGACATATAACCATCAAAAAGGAATATAACATTAGTAAAAGGAGCATTCAGGGAACACATAAGAGCTCTTGGAAATTAGAAATATGATAACAAAATTAAAAATTCAATAAGAGTTAGAAAATAAAGAAAAGCAAATCTCTCTGAAATTAGAGCAAAAGAGAAAACAGAAGGACAAACGAAAGGAAATACAAGAAAATCAGGAAAATATAGCTGGGCTTGGTGGCAGGCACCTGTAATCCCAGCTACTTGGGAGGCTGAGGCATGAGAGTTGCTTGAACCTGGGAGGCAGACGTTGCAGTGAGCCGAGATTGCACCACTGCACTCCAGCCTGGGCGACAGAGCGAGACTCTGTCTCAAAAAAAAAAAAAAAAAAAAAGAAAGGAAAATCAGGAAAACAGAACAGAAGGTTTAATATTGCAAATAGGATTTCCAAAAAGAGTGAACAGAGAAACCAGAGGAGTGAAAGTCATTAAAGAAATAATTTCCCACAACTAACAAGCATGCATTTTTGGAATGAAAGGGCCACCAAATGCCAGCACAAAGAGAATAGACTGACGCTAAGGCACACCAGTGTGATATCTCAAAACAGTGAGGACAAAGAACAGGTGCTACAGGCTTCCAAAGAGGAGGAGCAAACAAGTCCTACCTAAAGGATGACAAATCAGAATGGCATCAGACTTCTCAATAGCAACCCTGAAGGCCAGATTGGAATGGCTTTCAAAATTCTCAAGAAAAATTGTTTCCACTCTAGAATTCTATACTTGGCCCAAAGAATCCATCAAGTGTCAGAGTAGAGTAAAAATAAACATTTTCTGACATCCAACTTCTCGAGAATTTATATTCCATGTCCCTGCCTTAGGATGTCCCCAAACATATGTCAAAATAATAAACTAAGAAAGAGGACTCTGAAGTTTAAACAGGAACAAGGCAAGAGAATCTCTGGGATGCTGGTGAAGGGAGATTCCAAGATGAGAGCTATGTCTCAGGTGCGGGTTAGAGCATATTCTATAAGGCTATGGGAGAGTTTTTTTTAGGAGACTGGTGAAATTATTAGACTATCTGAAAATTCTGAATGCCTTGACAGCAGACATAGACCAATAGAAAATATAAATACTGTACACAGAAAATGAAGCAAACGAAAACCAAAACAGTTATTAGCTCCAGGAGCAACCCTGTCTCAAAGAAAAAAAAGGTGTTCAGAAAAGAGAAAGTGGTCATAGTTTACTATATGGCTTAGCTGTGACTATTGCTCTAACATACACATTGAACATTCACGTTACCAGCATTACAACATAATTCTGTTGGAAGGATGGGAGATGGGGAAGGATAAGTGTATCCCACTGGGACAGCAGGAGGAAAGACACCAAATCCTAATCTTCTACCCATTATCTATAGATAATGGCTATAGTTGAAAAATCAAGGAACAGTATTTCAAGCATGTTAATGTAGACACCTGAAAGTAAATACCAAAAGAATTATCTAAAAGGTTAAAGTGTAGAAAATGGGGAGGAGAGATTAAAGGACTGCTATTTTTTTTAATAACAAGACTTGTTTGACATTTTGGATTAAAGGCATGTATAACTCTGGGAGGAAAAGAGGAAAACAAAAATAGGATCTATTAAAATTGTATTTAGGAAAAAAAACAAGTAAATCTCTTTTCCTCTCTGGATTCCAACTCTCCTGGCCCAGATCACTAGAGACCCTCACTGTTCTTGGTGTGTCCTTCCAAAAATATCCTATGGGGGTCCACTTAGGATTGCTTCATAAACTGCAGGGCTGAATGGATCTTGTGAGCCACCATGGACTTTTGAAGTTGAGACATCTGGGCCACTAGCCTCATGTTTTCAGGCTCCCCATACATTAACAAAGGAAACGATGCAAAAATGAAATTATTAAACTGGCATGCTTTGCATGTTTTTACATTAACAAACACCTTATCAGATATTGAGAGATGTCAGGAGTCTAAATTTCAGGACATATGTGAATGGAGGCCCACGCCAGTGGCCCTCCTGCATCCCCTCACACCCCCTACTCTGCAGCACTGACCTTGTCTCTGGACACTTTTCTAATTTTGCAAGGTCTTCCCCAGCCCTGCCAGTTATTGTGCTGTGTCCTTCCCTGTTACAGACGGTATATTATCCTGCATTTGCCTTCTCTGAACTGCATTCAACTCCCAGCAACTCATCTGGCACCTCCTCAGTCTGCTGTCACCTGCCCTGAGAATCAATAAACTGTCCGTCCTAACAACCCTCATTAGTGAATTAAAATGCCCTCCTCCTCCTGTTTTCCATTTGGTGCCACATTCACATTGAATTCACATGCTGGCCATTCCATGCTGCAGGTCACAGAATGAGAATCTTCATCACCTGTGTTCTGTCCTCCCAGATTAATGATAACCCACCGGTACTCATTCTCTAGGAATGCAGCCACGTCGTAATTATGTTGGTTAGAATTTAAATTGTAGACCAGTGGTTTGCAAACCTGGCTGCATATTAGAGATGCCTAGGGAGATTTTTAAAATATGGATCCTGGATCTTACCACAATCCTATCATACTGTGCTAAAAACTTGGCCTGATAAATGAGCCCGGTCACCTTAGATACACAATTTTCTTTGTCTATTAAAGAGAAGAAAAGTAAAATATTGGGGTGACTTGCAGGGCCTTGCAACAAAAAGGAGAATCTGCCAGACTTTTAAGTTCTACTTTCCTTTCCTTGCATTCTAACAAAAAACAAAATTTGAGAACTTGGTCATGGGTTTTAGTTTCCTGTTTCTGCTGTAAAAAAAAAATTACTAGAAATTTAGTGGTTTAAAGCAATGCAAATTTATTATCTTGCAGTTCTGGAGGTCAGAAGCCTGATGTGGGTCTCATTAGGCTAAATCAAGGTGTCAGCAGCAATGTGTGTCTCTTTGATAGCTTTAGAGTAGAGCAATCTGTCTCTTGCCTTTTTTAACCTTTTTTTTTTCTTCTTCTTCTTTGAGACAGAGTCTTGTTCTGTCGCCCAGGTTGGAGTACAGTGGCACGATCTCGGCTCACTGCAACCTCTGCCTCCCAGGTTCAAGCAATTCTTCCTGACTCAGCCTCCTGGGTACCTGGGATTACAGGTGCCCACTACCATGCCTGGCTAATTTTTTATATATTTTTTAGTAGAGACGGGGTTTCACCATGTTGGCCAGGGTGGTCTTGAACTCCTGACCTCAGGTGATCCACCTGCCTCGGCCTCCCAAAGTGCTGGGATTACAGACATGAACCACTGGGCCAGGCCACCGTTCCCAACTTTTTTTTTTTATTTTTGAGATGGAGTCTTGCTCTGTTGCCCAGGCTGGAGTGCAGTGGCACGGTCTCGGCTCACTGCAACCTCCGCCTCCCAGGTTCAAGAGATTCTCCTGCCTCAGCCTCCTGAGTAGCTGGGATTACAGGCGCCTGCCACCACACCTGGCTAATATTTTATATTTTTAATAGAGATGGGGTTACAACATAACTCTGTTGGAAGGCTGGTCTCCTGACCTCGTGATCCATCCGCCTCGGCCTCCCAAAGCACTGGGATTACAGGCATGAGCCACCATGCCCAGCCAACCTTTTCCAACTTCTAAAGGCTGTCCACATCCCTTGGCTTGTGGCCCCATTTCCTGGCAATGTGGAGCTGAGTCCTTCTCATGCTGTTATCTCTCTTGATCTCTCTGTTGCCCCCCTGTTCAGCTTCTAAGGACCCTTGTGATTACTTCGGGCCCCCTCAGAGAAACCAGGATAATCTTCCCATCCGTCAGTCAGTTAAAACAGTAGATTAGCAACCATCTGTTTTTACTGTGTGACCTAACATATTCACAGTGTCAAGGAGTAGGATGTGGACGTCACTGGTGGGGGGAGGGGATGGGTATTATTCTGTTTATCACAAGACCATATTCAGTTTTCTTCTAATAAGTTTTAGGTATGATGCAAGTGGATATAAAATCATGTTGCTAGAATTCTCCATGAAGGTCATAGGCCCCTGGGGAGAATGACACACCCTGCCTTGTACCTGAAGGCCTGGTTCTGAAGCCAAGGGAGCTGCTGTAACCAGGGTCTGGTCTCACGTCGGTATGGAGAGTGGCTGCCACTTCTTGGCTTTAGAGAACCCCCACCTTATGTGGCCAGTGGCCCCCATCATCATGGGATCATTGTGCTCAGTGTAAGCTGGAACTGTTTTTCCATAGGTACTGGGGAAGGGAGGTCCTGGGATGGTGGCAGTGAGATCATCTCTGGGTTAACCTCATTTTGCTGTCAATGTCTATGGCTGCACAAAGGCTTCTAAGCCATAGGCTCCTGTTGGGGAGCCCCTGGTACCCTCCTGTGTTTCCCAGTGAATCAGAAGCTGAAGTGGTGGGCCCAGGAATCAGTATTTTATAAAACTCCCAGTTTAATTCTGTGTACAGTCAGATGTAAGAACCACTGGTTTAGACCACATTTTTAATTTTACTTTATCTATTTTTTTTTTATTTGAGACAGAGTCTTGCTGTGTCATCCAGGCTGGAGTGCAGTGGCACAATCTCGGCTCACGGCAACCTCCACCTCCTGGGTTCAAGCGATTCTCCTGCCTCAGCCTCTCGAGTAGCTGTGATTACAGGCACGCACCACCACGCCCGGCTAATTTTTTGTATTTTTAGTAGAGACGGGGTTTCACCATGCTGGCCAGGCTGGTCTTGAATTCCTGACCTCATGATCCACTCACCTCAGCCTCCCAAAGTGCTGGGATTACAGGCATGAGCCACCACACCTGGCCTAGACCACATTTTTTAATTTAATGAATATATTGTAAGGAATACAATTTAAACCTTGCTAAAATCAAGATGTACTAGTAGTATCTATTATTTTTAATTATTTTTTTTCAGAGACGGGATCTTGCTCTGACACCCAGACTGGAGTACAGTGCTGTGATCATAGCTCATTGCAGCCTCAAACTCCTGTGCTCAAGCAGTCTTCCCACCTCAGCTTCCTGAGTGGCTAAGACTACAGGCATGTACCACCATGCCCAGCTGTATTACTTTTTTTTTTTTTTGACATATCAGAGATATATGTCTCAGTCTCTGATAGAAGAAAATCAGATTAAAAGAACGCTCCATTTAAGAAAATCCAATTGAGTTGAAACCAGATTTACAAAAATAATAATTTCCTTTAAGCAGCAAATTCCTCTGGGTCACTCAAAGTATCAATTTACAAAAATTTGATTTATATATTGCTTTTCAGGAACATTTCTATTGCATTATATACAGTGCACCTGAATCTTAAAGGGTTTGGAATTTCGGTTTGCAGAATTTTTCTGGTCCGCAGAGTCTGTTGACCAAGTCTTCTTCCCCTTAGAGTCCCAGCTGCCAGCCTGGCACAGGTGTGCTCTTCATTTACTACAGCCTTGTTTCTATCACTAGGCCCACCAGGCCCCACCTTTAAGCTAAAAACCCCAAGCTCACCTCTGGGATGGGTCTTAAAGTCAGGGGAGTTTCAGCATTTCCTAGCTCAGCACGGAGAACAGGCATCAGTTAGTGCTGAGCTTGGTGCTCACTTCTGATAATTGGGTTCTTCGCTTTTTTCCCCAAGTCCTGACTTATGGCTTGAGCCTCTGCTTGCGGTCTCTGCTTTCCTTGAAGCTTTTGGACTGTTCCCTTCCATGGCAGGCTCTGAGGACGTTTAACAGGAAACCTTAACCATGTGCAGACCTTCAGTTTGTCCCTGAGAAGACAGACTCAGACCCACCAATCAGCAGTGCAGGAGTGGGCCTTGCTGTCTGTAGCTGGGGATCCTGTGGTAGGCCCAGGCTCTCTCACCCCCTTAGGAGTAGGTTCTCTCAGCATCCCACCACGTTGCTGGTGTGGCAGTGTGACCGAGCTTGCTTCATTTCTGCTCCATTTCCCTAGCTCTGTCGCAGGCTTGTGCTGGGCTTCAGCCTGCTTGTTTAAAGCCTTAATACCCTGCTTAATTTTTGCCTATTTCTTGTCCCTGAAAAATTAGACTCCATTCCCTATATCTCCACTGTTTATTGAGATCTTGTTTGAAACCAAAGAGACCTTCTAGATCCATCTTAATGGGAGCAGTTCTTCCACCCGCGAGCAGAGCCCCTGAGATCTCAACCCTGGCACAGAATGAGCCCCACTCCAGCACCCTCTACATGCGGTGGACTGCGCTTTTCTCCATCCCCTGTGGGACCTGCCTTGAGACAGGGTAGTCTTGTATCTGGCCCAGGGATGTTTGTTATGGAGTTGAATCCCAATTCTGCCACATCATAGATATGAGACCTTGGATAGTTTCACTTGTTTGATACTTAATAGCTTTGATGGGTTTCTTCCTATCTAAATGATACGACTTACTTCTTTTTTTTGAGACAGAATCTTGCTCTGTCACCCAGGCTGGAGTGCAGTGGCTCGATCTCAGCTCACTGCAACCTCCGCCTCCCCGGTTCAAGCGATTCTCCTGCCTCAGCCTCCCGAGTAGCTGGGACTACAGGCGCACACCACCATGCCTGGCTAAGTTTTGTATTTTTAGTAGAGATGGGGTTTCACCATATTGGCCAAGCTGGTCTCTAACTCCTGACCTCGTGATCCGCCCGCCTCAGCCTCCCAAAGTGCTGGAATTACAGGTGTGAACCACTGCACCCGACACGATTTACTTAAGGTAGCTATGGAATAATGTATGTAAAATGCTTTGTGTTTGGCATATGGTAGGGTGATATGACTATTTCTCTTTTCTTCCTTGATCCCCAAGGACTAGTGGTCTGAGTGGATAGGAGCTGCTATGTCTCATGGCCAAACAGGTCCGGAAATTCTTATTTGCATCACCTATCTCATCTGTACTTTCTCAGAGGTCAAGGGAAGCCTGAGACACTTGCAATTTTTTAGGCTCTTAGTATATTAAATAAACGTTAAGTGAATGAAAAGACAAGACATAGACCAAGAGAAAATATCTGCAAAATACATATCTGATAAAGGACTTGTGTCCGAAACATACAAAGAATTTTTAAAACTCAAAAATAGGAAAAGAGGCTGGGCGCAGTGGCTCACGCCTGTAATCTCAGCACTTTGGGAAGCCGAGGCGGGTGGATCACAAGGTCAGGAGTTTGAGACCAGCCTGGCCAACATGGTGAAACCTCATCTCTGCTAAAAATACAAAAATTAGCCAGGCGTGGTAGCAGCTGCCTGTAATCCCAGCTACTCGGGAAGCTGAGACAGGAGAATCGCTTGAACACCGAAGGCGGAGGTTGCAGTGAGCCAAGATCATGCCATGGTTGCAGTGAGCCGAGATTGCACTGTTGCACTCCAGCCTGGGGGACAAGAACAAGACATCGTCTCAGAAAAAAAAAGGCCATTAAAAAGTGGACAAAGGTCTGAACAGACATAACAGACATCTCCCGGAAGAAGATATAGATGACAAATATTCATATAAAAAGATGCTCCACATTATATAGCGTTAGAAAATTGGAAATTAAAACAACAATGGGTTACCACTACATACCTATTAGAATGGCCAAAATCCAGAACACTGACAACACCAAGTGTTGGCAAGGATATAGAGCAACAGGAACTCTCATTCACTGCTGGTGGGAGTGCAAAATGGCACAGCCACTTTGGAAGACAGTTTGATGGTTTCTTACAAAGATAAACATAGTCTTACCATGTGATCTACCAGTCATGCTCCTTGGTATTTACCTAATTGAACTGAAAATTTATGGCCACACAAAAACCTGTGCACAGATGTTTATAGCAGCTTTATTCACAATTGCCAAAAATTAGAAGCAACCAGATGTCTTTCAATGGGTGAGTGGATAAAAAAACTGTGGTATATCCAGACAATGTTATAATAATCAGTGATAAAAAGAAATGAACTATCTAGTCACAAAAAGAAATTTAAATGAGCATTTCTAAATGAAAGAAGCCAATCTGAGATGACTGTATACTCTATGATTCCAACTGTATGATATACTGGAAAAGGCAAAACTATAGAGACAGTAAAAAGATCAGTGGTTGCCAAGGGGAGTGAAGAGGGGGAAAAGTGAACAGGTGATGCACAGGGGATTTTTAGAGCAGCAAAACTACTCTGTATGACACCATGATGGTGAATACATGACCTTATACTTCTGTCAAAACCTATAGAACTGTACAACAGCAAGAGTGAACCCGAATGTAAACTATGGACTTTAGTTGGTAAAGTCCAATAACTGGTACCAATCATGTACCAATATTGGTTTTCATCAATTGTAACAATAAACCACACTAACACAAAATATGAATAATAGGGGAAACTGTGCTGGGAGCAGGGTGGAGGTGGAGGGAGAACATCGGAACTCTATGCTATCTGCTCAATTTTTCTTTTTTTTTCTTTTTTTCTTTTTTTTTGAGATGAAGTCTCGCACTGTTGCCCAGGCTGGAGTGCAGTGGTGCGATCTTGGCTCACTGCAACCATGGTGCAATCTCAGCTCACTGCAACCTCTGCCTCCTGGGTTCAAGCTATTCTCCTGCCTCAGCCTCCCTAGTAACTGGGATTACAGGCACACACAACCACACCCAGCTAATTTTTTGTATTTTTAGTAGAGACAGGGTTTCACCATGTTGGTCAGGCTGGTCTCAAATTCCTGACCTCAGGTGATCTATCCTCTGCGGCCTCCCAAAATGCTGGTATTACAGGCATGAGCCACTGCACCTGGCCTCAATTTTTCTGTAAATATGAAACTATTCTAAAAAAATTAAGTCTATTAACTTCAGAAAATAAAGAAATACTATAACAGGGCTAGTTTTAAATGTGATACATTTTAAATGTCTCTAAAACCTTGGGGCTTTTAAATCAAAGAAAAATATGCAATGTAATTGTGCTGCTCATAAAATAATTGTGGGATTATAAATACCTTAATTTATAATGCAGGACAGATGAATGGTTTAGTAATGGGAAGCATGTTCAAAGCTGTATGGTAAGAGTCACCTTCTTTCAGTCCTTTTAGTGCATCACTGTAAAATGTGAGGCCTCACCTGGAAATAACCAGCTCAGAGGTCCTTTAGGAATGTGAGGCCTCTGTTAAATGGAGCACTATGGTGCGCCTGCTGGGGGCTTAATTTTGTTTTTGTTTTGTTTTGTTTTGTTTTGTTTGTTTTGCTTTTTTGAGACCAAGTTTCACTCTTGTTGCCCAGGCTGGAGTGCAGTGGCATGATCTCAGCTCACTGCAACTTCTGCCTCCCGGGTTCACGCAGTTCTCCAGCCTCAGCCTCCCAAGTAGCTGGGATAACAGGCACTCACCACCACACCCGGCTAATTTTTGTATTTTTAGTAGAGATTGGGTTTCCCATCTTTTAGTAGAGGTGGGAGTTCGAGATGGGTTCTTGAACTCCTGATCTCAGGTGATCCACCCACCTTGGCCTCCCAAAGTGCTGAGATTACAGGCGTGAGCCACTGTGCCTGGCCATGGGGCTTAGTTCTTACAAGCCCACCTTTGACCCCACCAGTCCTGGTCTTGGACTCTGGTAGCGTGGCTGCCTACATGTAGACATTTCTGTAGCGTGAAGTGTCCATCTGCCTAGACTTCCAAGCCTCACCTGAGGCAACCACAATACTGAACAACTGCAATGACTGCAGCCACCCTTTTTAGCTATTGTGTTTTGCCTGCTAGGGTGGACTTCCTCCTGTATCTGGAGTACATTGAATTAGTAGTACCCAGCAGATATGGGACTGGGGATTTGAAAAGGAGAAACAGTTTCATCATGAACAACACGGCCTTCCTGCCAGGGTCACGTCTGTGTCTAGATACTGTTGCTGTACTTCCTGTATTCTCAGGGGTGGGCCTACTTCCAAGACAGATGCAATTCAGTACACTTACTGACGTCACTTTTCTTAAACTTTTTGCATTTTTTTCCTAATTATGATAGTGGTAAGAATTCCTTCCAGAAAATTTGAAAGTCACAGAAATGTAAAAAGAAGCACAGAAAAAAAAAATTATCCCAAATCCTGTATTACCCAGAGAGAACCACTAATGTCATTTTAGTTGTGTTATTTTTAGTTCCATATTTCATTCCTTAAACTCGCACAGTTTGGATTTTGCCTCCTCCGTTTTCCTAAAACTGCTCTCCCATAGGTTAAAAAATCTGTTGGCGAAAACTTCTCTGGAGTTCTCTGGATTCTATTTTGTCCTCCTTCTCAAGGACTTTATGCCTGCAATTATTCACCTTTTACTGCACTGTTAGTCTCTCTCTTTATGGAATGATTTCCCACAGTTTGCAAACATGCCTTAATATTGCTCATCCCTCTTGAAACCTCCTTAACCCCATATTTCCTCTGTGCTTTTCTTCATGGTAAAACATCTCAAAAGAGACATATGTATTTGTTCTCTCTACTTTCTCACCTCCAGTTCCCTTCAATGTACTCCAGTCGGGCTTGTCTTCATCGCTCTAATAAATGGCTCTTATTAAGGTGTCCTCCATTTTGCCAAATCTAATGGTCATTTCTCGGTCCTCATCTTACTTCACTTTGAGTAGCATTTGACATAGTTCACTCCACTCCTCTTCCAGAAATAATCTTGGCCTCTGTTGACACCATGCTCTCCTGGTTTCCCACCTATTTCATTCTTCCTTTGCGGTCTTCTTTGCTGGTCTTACTTTCTGTGTCTGACTTTTTTTTTTTTTTTTTTTTTTTAGACAGGGTCTCGCTTTGTTGCCCAGGCCAGAGTGCAGTGGCACAATCTCGGCTCACTGCAACCTCTGCCTCCTGGGTTCAAGCGATTCTCCTGCCCCAGCTTCCTGAGTAGTTAGGATTACAGGCGCACACCACCATGCCTGGCTAATTTTTGTATTTTTAGTAGAGATGGGGTTTCGCCATGTTGGCCAGGCTGGTCTTGAACTCCTTCAAGTGATCTGCCCACCTCGGCCTCCCAAAGTGCTGGGATTACAGGTGAAAGCCACCATACCCAGCCTCTATGTCTGACTTTTAAATGTTGGTTGCTTCCAGGTCTTCTCATTTCTACAATCTCTACTTGGTAATCTCATCAATCCCATTATTTAAACATCATCTACATGTTTTTTTTTTTTTTTTTTTAGAGACAAGATCTTGCTCTGTTGCTCAGGCTGGAGCGCAGTGGTACAATCATGGCTCACTGCAGGCTTGAATTTCTGGGCTCAAGCAATCCTCCCACCTCAGCCTCCCAAGTAGCTAGGACTACAGATGTGCACCACCATAGCTGCTAACTTTTTAACCTCTACCTGCAGGGGTCACGCAATTCTCCTGCCTCAGCCTCCTGAGTAGCTGGGATTATAGGCACCCACCACCACACCTGACTACTTTTTTTGTGTTTTTAGTAGAGACGGAGTTTCACCGTGTTGACCAGGCTGGTCTCAAACTCCTGACCTCAGGTTATCCACCCACCTCGGCCTCCCAAAGTGCTGGGATTACAGGTGTGAGCCACCATGCCCAGTCTAAAAAATGTTAAAGAATTCTGATCAAATGTTCTCTCTCATAGGTGATCACTAACCAAATAAATTAGAGAATTTCTTTTGAGGAATATGGATAGAGGTTGAGATTGAGATTGAGGGAGAAAGAGAAATACCCTATCAAGAGCAATAGAAGCAGAGGCAGAGTGGCTCTGTGACTAGAAGGACTCCTGTGATGGGCACGTGAACACGTAGGCTGGTCCCAATAACTGCACCTCAATGACCTTTCAGGCTCCATGAGTCCTGATTGCTGTGTGACAATGTATTCTAGCTTCCTGTGCAGCTTTACAATAACCTCAGTATCTGAGGTCACTTATCTCTGTTCCTCTTCTGGCAAAAGAACCTAATAAAATACATTCCTGAGCAGTTTCACAAGGTTGATTCAACAACTGTTTATCAGCATGTCCTACTGTCATTTACTCATTCACTTTCATAATTTGAGCACTCTGCTGTTAATTCATCAACTGCATCTCTATCCCGACCAGTTTCCTGAGGTACCAGTTCTAACTTCTGGGCCCCACTGGCCCTCCAAAAAAAAAAAACCAAAACACCGAAAAAAACTTCCCAAACAAATTTATGATTTCTTCCTTTCTTTTCTTCCCATGCCCTCCCTGGCACAAATCTGACCTTCCTCTTTGTTTGCTGTCTCAGCAAATGACATGACCTACTCCTAGTGACCTGGGCTAGGGGTCTTGGACTGATCTTTGCCACATGCATCTTTATCAGTCATCATCTGTGGGTGCATTGGTCTCCTTCTTTCTCCTTACAATGGCCTTCAAGGCTATATATGACCTGACCCTCCTCCACTCCTTCTCTTCCCACCACTCCCCACCCCCACATTGCTCACTCTGTTCCCAACCACACTGACCACCTTGCATTCCTTGAACAGGCCAGATACAATCCTGCCCCAGGGTCTTTGTATTTGCTACTCCCTTTGTCTTTTTTTTTTTTTTTTTTTTTTTTAGAGATGGAATTTCGCTCTTGTTGCCCAGGCTGCCGTGCAATGGCGTGATCTCAGCTCACTGCAACCTCTGCCTCCCAGGTTCAAGTGATTCTCCTGCCTCAGCCTTCTGAGTAGCTGGGATTACAGGCCCCTGCTAATTTTGTATTTTTAGTAGAGACGGGGTTTCTCCATGTTAGTCAGGCTGGTCTCGAACTCCTGACCTTGGGTGATCCTCCCATCTCGGCCTCCCAAAGTACTGGGATTACAGGTGTGAGCCACTGCGCCCAGACTGCTCCCTTTGTCTAGAATGTTTTTCTTGAACTCAATTTCTCACCTTCTTCACATCTTCACTCAAATATCCTTGCACCACTTTACCTCATCACCTCTTTAAACTCTAAGAACCGGACAACAGACTCTCCCAAACCCCTTCCACTGTTTTATTTTTCTCCATATGTGTCTAACATTGCTGCATTTGCTGCTACTTTTTATGTATTGTTTCCCCCTCTCCTTATCTTGCAATCCCACACTGTAGCATGTGTGCACCATGAGGGCAGGAATTTTTATCCCTATGGCTCACAATAGTGCCCAAACATAGTAAACATTCAATAAATAAGTGTTTAATTAATTAACTGCTCTACCTCCTTCCTGCTACCATTCTTGGAGTTTCACTGCAATGCTGTATGGTGGGTATATGTTTCTGATCCACATGGAAAAATTACAAGTCTGTCCATTTGGAACTGTCATCTGGAATGGCATGAGCTTTTCCTAATAAGCTCTGTGTCTGGGTGGCCACTGTGGACTTAGATTTGGCATAGTGTTCCCAGCTACAGCAAACCCTTCTTTGACCTTCCCTCAAAAGGCAGTATCCTGTGCCTTCTGGAAAACGGGAATACCATCTGGCTCCTTCAGGAATTCGGTGGAGGTTGAATTCTCCATGTCTCTGTGATCTTTTTCTTTTAGTTTTCTACTAGTACTGAAGCTTTTGTTCCTCCCTCTTTTCTAAGAAGTAAATATCAGCTTAGGATGATTTGTTTCTGCCTAAAAGCCATACTACACCCTGCTTTTTAAAAAAGCTTTTGTGTGTGTGTGTGTGTGTGCGTGCGTGTGTGTGTGTGTGTGTGTGACAGAGTTTCACTCTTGTCTCCCAGGCTAGAGTGCAATGGTGTGATCTCGGCTCACTGCAACCTCCGCCTCCTGGGTTGAAGCGATTCTCCTGCCTCAGCCTCCCGAGTAACTGGCATTACAGGCATGTGCCACCTTGCCCAGCTAATTTTGTATTTTCAGTAGAGACATGGTTTCTCCACGTTGCTCAGGCTGGTCTCGAACTCCTGATCTCCCATGATCCACCTGCCTCAGCCTCCCAAAGTGCTAGGATTACAGGCTTGAGCCACCACCCCCATCCTAAAAAAGCATTTTCTTATTATAAAAACAACACATGCATGTTTCATAAAAATATTTTAAATAACAGGGCAAAAAAATCACCCAAAGATAATCATTATTCATCTTTTATTATGTGTCTTTCTGTTAATATTTTCCATATAAATATATATTTCCTGCCTTTTAAAAATAAAAGCATTATAGAACAATATTTCAGTATGAATATAAAACTATTCATACACATAATTCTTAATAAATAAGTTTTTAATCTAATTTAGGCAATTTATTTTTTTCCTTTTTTTAATCATTTGCCAACATTTGGACACGTTTCCAATTTCTTGCACTAAACTAAAATTGAGATTAACTTCCTTGTGTATGTGGTTTTTCTGACTCTGGGATCATTGTCTTAGACTGGAGCTCCAGAGAGGAATTATTGGATCAAAGACTGAATGATTATAAAGCTCTTGATATCTATAACCTAACTTCTTTTCAGAGGTGTTTTCCTT
Organism: Homo sapiens; assembly: GCF_000001405.40. Taxonomy (NCBI): domain Eukaryota; kingdom Metazoa; phylum Chordata; class Mammalia; order Primates; family Hominidae; genus Homo; species Homo sapiens. The sequence continues at coordinate 48,140,096 of NC_000013.11, read as the reverse complement.
AAGCTCCTTTGGATGCAAAGAATCACTCAGATTACCTCAGTCATTGGGAGGTTTGTAGGAATGACAATTGTAGAAATATTTAGGGCAGGAATCTAAGCCATGAAACCAGGCCTCATAGTAACTGCAAAGAACAAATAAGAACTCACTGAGCCACACAGGGTGCAACTGCAGGTCGTTCAGGATGCAGGGGAGCTCTGGGGACCAGCTACCTTGTCCCCCATCAGCAGTCACAGCTCAAGAAGCTCTGCTCCAGAAATCAGCCATTCACAGCTGGCCTTTTTCATCTTCTGCTCCCATTACCAACTCTTCAATTCCCATCCATATTTTTAGTTCATTTTCCCCACATAAGAAATCGGACTGGCTTAGCTAACAGTCATCATGCCTATTTAGGCGGAATTTTCCCTCTGGCTACCTCATTGGTCACTCGCACACATTATATTTGGCTGTCCTTGGTAAAGTACCTACCTCTGTCTTAGTCCTTTGTGGGGTTAAGGGGAGCAGAACATGTCCCCCACTTTGTTGAATTTATGGTAATCTGTTCATAATTATTCAAAATATTTAACCACTGATGGCACAGGCACTGGAGGACCAGTCCCAACCAATGTGCCATTATGGAGCAACCCTGCCAGATGCCTGGATGAGAGCCTAGCAAGCATGGTAATCAGTTTGCCCAATACCAGTTTACACGCCCATCAGAAAGGTAAGAGATCATAGCAGCACTGTTCACAATAGCCAAAAGGCAGAACAACCCAAATGTTCATCAACAGATTAATGGATATAAAAATTGTGGTATATACATACAGTAGAATATTATTCCCTTATAATAAGGAATGAAGTTCTGATCCATGCTGCAATTTAGATGAACCCCCTTGAACACATTATGCTAAGTGAAAGAAGCCAGACGCAAAAGACTGCATATTGTATGATTCCACTTATATAAAAGGCTAAGAATAGGTAAATCCAGAGACAGAAAGCAGATTGGTGGTTGCCAGAGGCTGGGGATAGGGGAGGTTGGGGAGTGTGTTAATTCATTCTCACATTGCTACGAAGAAATTCCTAGGCCAGGCTTGGTGGCTCAAGCCTGTAATCCCAGCACTTTGGGAGGCTGAGGCAGGCAGATCGCTTGAATACAGGAGTTTGAGACCAGCGTGGGCAACATGGCAAAACCCCATCTCTACAAAAAAAACTACAAAAATTAGCTGGGCATGGTGATGTGCACCTGTAGTCCCAGCTACTCTGGAGACTGAGGTGGGAGAATCGCCTGAGCCCAGTGGCAGAGGTTGCTGTGAGCCATGATTGCACCGCTGCACTCCAGCCTGGGCGACAGGGCAAGACATTGTTTCAATAAATAAATAAATAAATAAAAGAAATTCCTGAGACAAGGTAATTTATAAAGAAAAGAGTTTAATTGGCTCAGGGTTCTGTAAGCTGTACAGGAAGCATGGCAGCATCTGTTTCTGGGGAGGCCTCAGGGAGCTGTTATTCATGGTGGAAGGCAAAGGGGGAGCAGGCGTCTTACATGGCAGGAGTAAGAGCAAGAGAGAGTGTGGGGAGGTGCTACACACTTTTAACAACCAGAGCCTGCAAGAACTCACTCACTATGACGAGAACAGCACCAAGTGGATGGTGTTAAACCATTCCTGAGAAACAACCACCATGATTCAATCACCTCCCACCAGGCCCCACTTTCAGCACTGGAGATTATGATTGAATATGAGATTTGGGCGGGGACATAGATCCAAACCATATCAGAGAGCAGCAGCTTAATGAGTACTAGGTTTCCTTTCGGGGTGATGGAAATATTTGGAACTAGGTAGAGCTGGTGGGTGATGGTTGCTCATCATTGTGAATGTACTAAATGTCACTTAATTGTCTGCTTTCCAATGGTTAATTTTATATTATGCAAAATTCACCTCAATTAAAAGATATGAAAATGTAGAAGGGTGCTTTACACCTGCTCGTGACAAATGAACAGTGGCCTTCTTTTTAATTTTTTTTTTTTGCCTGTTTTACAGGCCAAATTAGTGTCTGTTTGTTCTAAGGTCCATTTATTTTATTATCAGTAATGTTTATTCACTTGCCCAACAAATGTTTTAATAAGGGTCTTCCAGGTATCACATGCAGTGCTAGGTGCAGTGAACAGCAGCCACTGCCCTGGTGGAGTGTAGGAGGCCATCCCTCCCCACTTCTCCCGCAGTGAATTGGAATGATCCCTGTGCAAAGCGCCATGAAGGAGCTGTACGGGTGCTTCACTAATGTGCAACGGGGGTTCTGGACTGCTTTGGAAAGCCTCCCTGACAAAGTGGGCTTTTAGGTGAGATCTGAGGTGTGAGGAGGAGTTGGTTAGGTCACAGGAGGTGGAGTGATGAGTGAAGACAAAGGATAGGGCAGTCGGGGAGGGTACACCAGTGTTTAAAAGCCCTGAAAGGAGAAGAAGCCGTAAAGAGGTTTAATCTTTGCCTTATAAGCACTGGGAGGTCAGTGAAGGGTCTTAAAGGTGTGTGCATTTGAGATATAATTAGATTCGTCTTTTAAAATGATCCCACTGTGTAGAAAATGCAATGAGGGAGATGTAGAGGGAGTCCAGGAAGGCCATTTAAAGGGTGTTGTGCTAGTCTTTTTTTTTTTTTTTTTTTTTTGAGTTGGAGTCTCACTCTATTACCCAGGCTGGAGTGCAATGGCACCATCTTGGCTCACTGCAACCTCCGCCTCTCAGGTTCAAGTGATTCTCCTGCCTCAGCCTCCTGAGTAGCTGGGATTACAGGCATGCACCACCATGCCCGGCTAATTTTTGTATTTTTAGTAGAGACGGGGTTTCACCATGTTGGCCAGGCTGATCTTGAACGCCTGACCTTGCGATCTGCCTGCCTCGGCCTCCCAAAGTGCTGGGATTACAGGTGTGAGCCACCATGCCTGGCCTGTCTTTTTTTTTTTAATTGACACAAATTTTTTAATTGACACAAATTTAATTCACATAAATATATATATTTATGTCACAATAGTATATATTTATGGTGTGAAACATGTTTTGAAATATGTATACTTTGTGAAATGGCTAAATCAGGCTAAATGGCATTGTGCATTGCCTCGCTTATCAGTTTTTTTTTTGTGGCAAGAACATTGAAAATCCATTCCCTTAGCAATTTTTCAAGAATACAATATTGTTTTTAACTATATTCACCATGTTGAACAATAAATCACTTGAACTTACTCCTCCTGTGTAACTGAAATTCTGTATAGTTTGGCTGATAACTCCTCAATGCCTCCCTCTCTCAGCCCCTGGTAACCACCATTCTACTCTCTGCTGCTATGAGTTTGACTTTTTTAGATTCCACATATAAATGAGATCATGTGGTATTTGTTTTCTGTGCCTGGCTTATTTCACTTAATATGATGTCTTCCAGGTTTATGTATGTTGTCACAAATGGCAGGATTTCATTCTTTTTATGGCTGAATGGTATCCATTGTGTGTGTGTGTGTGTGTGTGTGTGTTTTTCTTGATCCATTCATCTGATGATGGACACTTGTATTGTTTCCATATCTTTGCTACTGTGAATAGTGCTGCAATAAACAAGGAAATGCAGATATCTCTTCCACATGCTGATTTCATTTCCCTTGGATATATACCCCAGAAGTAGGATTGAGGATCACATGCTACTTTTATTTTTTAATTTCTTGAAAAACCTCCATACAATTTTCCATAATGTCTATATTAATTTACATTTCCACCATCAGTTCATAAGGATTCACTGTTCTCCACACCCTTGTCAATGCTTGTTGTAGCTTTGTCTTTTTGGTAATCGCCATCCTAATGGGTGTGAGATGATATCTCATTGTTGTTTCAATTTGCATTTCCCTGATGATCAGTCACATTGGGCATTTTTTCATATACCTGTTGGCTATTTATATGTCTTCTCTCTTTCTTTCTTTTTGAAACAGAGTCTTGCTCTGTTGCCCAGGCTGGAGTGCAGTGGCAATCCTACTTCACTGCAGCCTCGAACTCCTGCACTTAAGCTATATTCCTGCCTCAGCCTCCCAAAGTGTTGGGATTACAGGCATGAGAGTCTGTGTGTCTTCTTTCAAAAATGTTTATTCACGTTCTTTGCCCATTTTGTGCTAGTCTTAAAGGGAGAAAATGGTGGCTTAGACTAGGGTGAGAACAATGGAAAGATATTTAGAAGGCAAAATTGACAACACTTTGCAGTGTGTTGAATTTGTATGGAGCAGATGATGGAAGCTAATGATGATGTCTAAGCTTAATAATTTTATGTTTTTAGAATTTCTTATTCATGTCTGTAGCTCATTATCAATTAGACAGTTTTAATGTTTTCCTTTTATTTTCTGTAAATGGGGGTATTCAAGATAATAAATCCCAGTGTTTGTTTGCCTTTATTTCTTTTGAAGTGGGGATGTTTTAAATTTCTCACATAATTAAATATTTTCATTGGTATTATCCAGTTTTTCTTAAACTCTTAAATTCACTCAGATAATTTTCATAGTTTTTTTGATAGAGAGCTGATTATATGAATACTGCAGAAATGAATAGGTATGAATTTTAATTTGATGGCTAATGAGCAACTGAACAGCATTTCAAAAAGATGCCAAAAAGGTGTCTGGAAATACCCCCCTCCATGAGTGTGGCCAAAGTGAAGAACAATATATTAAAATTTAGCCAGGCACGATGGCTGACGCCTGTAATTCCAGCACTTTGGGAGGCCAAGGCAGGAGGATCACCTAAAGTCAGGAGTTTGAGACCAGCCTGGCCAACATGGTGGAACACCATCTCTACCAAAAAATACAAAAATTAGCCTCAGCCTCGGGAGGCTGAGGCAGGAGAATCGCTTGAACCTGGGAGGCAGAGGTTGCAGTGAGCCAAGATCTTGCCATTGGACTCCAGCCTGGGTGACAGAACAAGACTCTGTTTCAAAAGGGGGAAAAAAATATGTATATACATACTTTTTTTTTTTTTCATTTAACTTCTGAATAGTGAATATACATCTCTTGTATGGGGCTATAGAGTGAACAATCTCATTCCCACCTCAGTGCATTCCACTCAATGTCCCCTCCCTACAATCACTTGTATTCATTTCCAGAACTTATTTATGTAAAAATAAACAAAAGTTAATGTTTCTATTCTTCCTTCTTTAGTTTTAAAATGAAAGGTAGCATACTGTACACATTGTTCTAAGCTTTGTTTTTCTTCATTGGGCAATATATCTTGTAGCCCTTTCCATATCAGAATATAGACTGTGTCCTCATTTTTCAGAGCTGTACAGTATTCCATTATGCAGGATGTACCATGATCTGTTTAACCAGATCCCCACTGAGTTCAGCCTTTTTCTGTTACAGTTTTGCAGTGACTAACCTTGTACACATGCCATTTCATAACTGTACAAGAACAACTCTAAGATAAATTCCCCCGGTTGAAATTTTTCTGAGGCATTTGGGTAATTACAAATACTGATCCAGGTTGTATACCTGAACAATTATAATTTTGTGAGCCTTCATTAAGAAAAATAATACAAGAGTGAGAAATTTCATCATGCTGTGTAGGGACTAACAATGGACACCCAGAAGGACATTCAAACCCCAAAGCAGCAGCCAATGGCATATAACTGTAGAGAATGTCACACAGAAAATGACATGAAGTCCAGGGATCCAGTCAAATGTGGAGAATGTGGTTACAGAATAATATATAAGAAAAGGACTGAAATATTGGTGGGTTTTGATGCCCAGTGAAACCTGGGAATTCAGAGAACATTTTCGTTTGTACTTGGATTTGCCATTAATGTTTCTCATTGTGTAGCTTTCAATTTAACATTCTTATCTTTATGATTATAACAATATACACATGAATTCATTTTATTTTATTTTAAAAACCATATTATATTTAGGCCTCTATTAACACTTTGTATAAAAAAATTTTTCTTCTATTACATGATTTACAACTTAATATTACTGTATATATAACCTGACACACAATGAGGGTTAAAATTACTTCCCAAAACATACTTTTAATTCACCTAGAATCCTCATTAAAATGAGGGGAAGTGGGGAAGGGCATCCAGAGGGGAGGTCCTCTTTAAAAATGCAGCTTTCTAGGGCCCTCTGAAGTTCTGATTAAGTAAGTTCCTTGGAAACAAACAAACAAAAAGAATACAAATTATCAAATCTAAAGTAGGTACAAAACCAAATAACTAATGTAAACAATAAAATGAAATCACAATAAATTACTAATTTTAAAAAGCTAACAAATACCATAACTATCACAGAACCTTGAAAAATAACATAATATTTTTACTAATTAACTCTGACACACATTTATAAAGCTTTTTTCTCTATCTTTTTTTGCTGTACAGACTTGGATTACGTCCTTATGTGACCACAGTTTTGTAACATCATTTTAAAGACAGAAAGCAGAAAGTGAATTCAGTCTTCTCTTTAGCATGGTTGATTGAAATTCTTTTTTTTTATTATTGACAGCTGTGATGCATTAAGCATTCAGTTTCACACAGACATGCTTGCTATGTCTAGTGCTGCTATAGGTTTGTATCCTACAACCCGGAAATTCTGAGAAATTCTATTTCATGTGATTCCCATTTTTAAAAAAAGACTATGAATCTATGGTGTGTTTTTTAATTGCTGCATCATCAGGTACATTCCTGATAGATTAAAACACCCATTTTGACCCGGCACCTGTAATAATGAAACATTCTGCTCGTTATTTTACATGGCTAGTATTAAAATAATTTTCCACAGACTGGCTTCTGGCTCCACGTATTTCCAGCCTTGTTTCTTTTCTACTACCTACATAATTCTGGTATCAAGCGTTATAAGACATGTTTATGTTTCAATACGACCTCTGGTTCTACATCTTCTAGTTAGAGTGGCAGGTGGTTAGCACAGTGGGTGGTAGGAGTATTTCTGGAAACCATTCCTACACCAGGACACCTAGCAATAACCTGGCTATACATGTGGAGATTGCACAAGACATAAATTCATCCTAATAAACCCAAACCTTAATGAATCTCCAAGTCAATTTCCCTTTAGCTAGATCCCAAAAGTTCCTGATGCCACTCCATTGCCACACTTCACAAAGGAAAGTATGATGGAGGAGATGTCCAAGTAGAAAGAGAGCAGTGGTCTTAACCAATTGTAACTAAAATCCCTCAATTGGCAAAGATTCCAAAAACATATAATATATTGAAAAATCATTAGGGCTCCTCCCAGAGCCTCGAAAAGGGGTTGTGCAAGTGAGGGTCCCTGAAGCTTATGCTTTGTTAGTTTCAGGATAAATCATCCTTTGGCTGCGTGGATTTGTGATTTTGATAGATATTGCTGAATTGTCCTCCATAGAGGTTGTACCAATTTACCCTCCCACTCATAATGCAGTCTTCCCTTCCCGAGGTCTTGACTACAGAGTATGTATGAAATTCGTAGATTTTTGGCAATCTGATGCATGGGGCACAACAACTTAGTACAATTATATCCTGTGTTTCTCTAATTATGACTTTAGTTGAGCATCTGCTTTTAGGTTTAAGAGCCTTACATGCTTCCTTTTCTGTGAACTCTGAATTCATTTTCTCTGCCCTTTTTCTATTGTTTATCAGTCCTTTTCTTATTGATTGCTAGGAACTCTTCATATATTGGTAGATTGTTATTTTATCTTGATATGGGTGGCAAACCTTTTTTGTTTGTTGTTAATCTTTTAATTGTTCTTATTATGTGCATATGTTTTGTTGTTCTTTGCTTTTACTAAAGATTTTAATTATTCTATTAACTTTACTAACTTTATCATTTTAATTTGTAAGCTCTTGATTTTTAGAAATAGTAGAAAGCCCTTCCCCACTTTAAGATGATAAATAAATTCTTCCATATCTAGTATAAAAATTATTTGAATCTTTGGTCTATGTGGTATGGAAAGTTTTTAAAAGTTGATGTGAAGATGCTAGGGTCTTCAGAAGATGAAATTCTGGATACTAATCAAAGGAAGAGAACTGTTCCTAAAACTTACCTTAAAAAAGCTGTACTTCTAATTAAAGCTTAAATGTTAATATATTTTCTTCATTGAGCTAGTATTTATTGGATACCTGTTATGTGCTGAAAAATACAACACTGGGAATGAAAGAGTTCCAAATAAAGACTAGTCTATTATCAAAAATAGAAATGATAAATAAATGTAGCCAGAAATAAAAATTCTTCATGTTTCCCAGACATCTTAATATTTATAGCACGACAGATAGTTCTGTTCTTTTTTCACGGTTGGTGCCACATGCTTCCTGTGGAGGAACTCATCCTTCTGTGGAGACAAGCAACCTTTCTTTGTAGTGCAGGTACTTTTTTTTCCAAGTAAAGATCAAATGCTCCTCTCAGCTGGAAACACCTACTCTCCATGCAGTTTCAAAGGGTTTCTCATTCTTGCATTCCAGACATGTCCAAACTAAACCCTGGTCAGAAAAAGACCTAGCACTGATATCCAACACAACTTATCTTTCACTCTGGAATTAGATCAGAAAAATATGCTTAATGGGGAGCTGCAGGACAAAGGATACAAAATAGCAGATATGAAGGATGAACAAATCTAAAGATGGAATGTACAACATGAGAACTATATTTAATAATTTTTGCTAAAAAAGTAGATTTTAGGTACTCTTGCCACACACACAAAAAAAGTATAACTGAGATGATGGATAGGTTAATTTGCTAACTATACTAACCTTTTCACTCTCTATATGTATATCAAGACATTATGTAAACCTTAAATATATACAATAAAAACTTATATGCTTATTATTTATGTACAATTACAATTTAATAAGTATGTAACAATTTTACATTAATACTTATTCAAGATTCATCATTAACAAAGCTAGTCTTTATTCTTCTGTGGTGTTAAAGATGAATCCCAATCGGTCCTCTGGTTCTTCCTTTGGTACGCTCTTTGAGCAAATTTAGGGAACTACAACCAACTTATTGCTGAGGAAAAGTGCCATCTCTGAAGCATAATCAGAAACAATGAACTAAAGTAATATGAAAATTGAAAGGTGTCTTTGAGATTGCTTGGTGCAACCCTTTCATTTTAAAGATAAGGCAGCAGAGGCCCAGACAACTTTGAGCTTAATGACATGTTACCTATATTTATCTCAAGTTATCATGCCATGAATAAAAGAGCTACTCAGCCCTCTTTATTAATTTTATTTGATTACTTCATTAGTTAGTATGTTAGTTTTGCTTATTCTTAAAAAAAGTGTAAGTGTAAAAAAGTAGGGGAAAAATCACCCTAAATCTCTCTGCTTAGGTATATTCACTGTTAAAAGGCAGCAGGACCATCACAAAGCTTTGTTGTCAGTCAGTACCAGATAGAACCCCATGAGCTCCACCACTGATTGGCTGTGTGATCATGGTCTAGTTACTTAAACTTTCTGAGCTTCAGTTTCTTTATATGTAAAAGAGAGATGACAATATTCGTCTCATTGTGAAGATTAAAGTATATCACACAGGTAAAGCATTCAGGTCAGTGATTGGCACTGTTGTATTTAATTAATGTTAGCAATTATTAGTATTACAGTTGTGATAATACTCTATAAATTTTTGTATCACGCTTTTTTCACTTATTATATATATTTTCCCAGTTTACCAATGAATCTTTATTAATGTACATTTTTATGTCATGAACATCTTTTTTTTTATTTGATATGGAGCCTCGCTCTGTCGCCCAGGCTGGAGTGCAGTCATACAATCTCAGCTCACTGCAACCTCTGTCTCCTGGGCTCAAGCGATTCCTCTGCCTCAGCCTCCCGAGTAGCTGGGACTACAGACGCCTGCTATCACGCCCGGCTAATTTTTGTATTTTTTGGTAGAGATGGGGTTTCACCATGTTGACCAGGCTGGTCTCCAACTCCTGATCTCAGGTGACCTGCCCTCCTCAGCCTCCCAAAGTGCTGGTATTACAGGCATGAGCCACTGCGCCTGGCCCATGGACATCTTTATAGAGCAAAAAAAGATTATTTTCTACTCTAAACCCAAGGTTACATATACGCTTTCCCCAATAAGCTGAATCAGCAGCTCTCAACAAAGGAAAAAGGAAACAAGGGTTAATTCAGAAGAACTATTTTGAAATAAACAACTGGATTTACAAGGGTGGGCATGAACATGCTTTGATGCATGCATTTAAAGAGTAAAGGATATAGAATAATTGATGGCTATCCTGGCAGATCAAAGCATCTCAAGAGCATTGCAGGCTGTGGAGTTAAACCGTTTGCACTTTTCCTGCATTTAGTGTGTGTATTTTGTGAGCATACTAATAATTTGTCCTTACACAGGACCTTTCATCTAGGGAGGAGCTGAAAGCCCTTTGAAGATGTTAATAAGAAAGAGACCTGCTAATTAAGATTGCTTAAAAATAAAAACTCATCTTCCAGTATGTTTACATGATTGCTGGGAAGGTTCTGACTCAAAGAGATTTGCTATCACAGGTGAGTTGTTTCATATGTTTTCTTTCAAAATCATACTGTTAGATTCCATGTACTGATAAAATGGCTTTCTCTAGACAGTCACACCAGATATAACAATACTAATTCAACAATTTATGGCATACTTGATTTGGAGATCAGACATTTACCCAGAACATTTTGGGACAGAGCAAGGAGCGGTGCCATGTTGAATATTTGTAATGAGTTTTAAGATTATCAGACAAAGCTGTAGACTAAACTCAGTGAAACAAGTTTAGAAGAAGACAAAGCAAGAGCCGAGCACAGTGGCATGTGCCTGTCATCTCACAGGAGGCTGAGGCAGGGATCGCTTGAGCCCAGGAGTTTGAGACTAGCCTGGGCAACATAGTGAGACCTCCATCTCAAAAAAAAGAAAAAAGAAGGACAAATCATTCCCAGATCTTTATGAAATTATTTTTAGAGGAAATTCAAATAGCAAAAACTGTAGAGCTCCTTGCCTCAGTGCATGGTGAACAGGATGACTTTGTTAAGAGTACAAGCTTCCACCTCAACTGCCCCACATCAAACAGACTAAAGCAAATCCCTACAGAGATGAAGTCAATTCAGTGAAATCTTCCCTAATTCCAACTGTCAGAATTGGTAGCACCTAACTTTCTACTCCCTGGGCAGATATGTTATAATTAATCCAACTATTTAGTATGTAAATCATTTTTCTTACATTTTATATATATATATATATATATATATATATATATATATATATTTTTTTTTTTTTTTTTTTTTTTTTTTTTTTTTTTTTTTTTTTTTTGAGACTGGTCTTGCTCTGTCGCCTAGGCTGGAGTGCAGTGGCTCAATCTCGGCTCACTGCAACCTCTGTCTCCTGGGTTCAAGTGATTCTCCTGCCTCAGCCTCCCAAGTAGCTGGGATTACAGGCATGTGTCACAACGCCCAGCTAATTTTTGTATTTTTAGTAGAGACAGGGTTTTGCCATGTTGGCCAGGCTGGTGTCAAACTCCTGATCAAGTGATCTGCCTGCCTTGGCCTCCCAAAGTGCTGGGATTACAGGCGTTAGCCACTGCACCTTGCAATGTCAATTTTTTTTAATAGTTCTCCCATACAAAAGAGTAAACTCCAAGATGGCAGGAAACATATTTTATTCATCCTAATATCCCGTAGAGGGCTTAGCACAATGTCTGATCCTTAACACAACACATCCATTAATAACCACATCTTTTAATTAAGAATTTTATTATAGCATTCTTGTAATAGAAAAAGAAACTGGGACTAGCACAAATGTTCGTCAGTAGGGCACTGGCTTAGTAAAGTTATGGACCATCCATACAATGGAATATTGTGTCACTATAAGAAAGAATGGATCTGATTTGGAAAAGTCGGCTTCATTAAATTGAAATGAAGTTTCATTTCAATTAAATAAAAAACTTACACAAAAGAATATATATCATATATAATATATTATATGATATATATTATATATAATATGATATATATTTTTTATATATATATCTTTTTGGCAAAAACCAAACCAAACCAAATGGGTGATTAATAGATGCATAGAATGAATAGATGGAGAGCCAGACAGATAGACTGATCCATTTTGCAGAAATAATGCATGGGAAAAAGGAAACCCCGAAAAATATAAGCAAATTCTCAACTGTGAGTATTTCTGGTAAGTGGGGCTGAGGAGAGTGGGCTGGTCATGAGAGGACAGTCCTTTGATTTTTACTTTAGCCTCTGTATTGTTGGTTTTAGCAATGAGCAAGTATTACTTTTGGGCATTAAAAGGGGAAATAATGTATTGACTCAAAGTTTGAATTTGTTGAACTTGCTTCAGTTGAGCAGGTGACCTAATATCCCATATTTCTTAGCTTCACAGCCTTTCTCCCTGACAGAGCTTCTGGCACTAAGCTGACAGAGGGGACAAAGTCTTCCTTTTTCAAGAGTAAGCATTTGGCTGGGTTCAGACGGACTCCCTTGGGCATCTCCCTGGGGCACCTCTCCAAGGCCTTGCTTTCTAAACTTGGTTATACTAATGGGCTGGGACAGATTCCCTGGCTGACTCTGGAAGCTGTCAAAATCTCTCTGGTAATTTTCCTAGGCTTTTCTGGTCTTTAATGAGGCATCAACCTTTTTCAGTTGTAAATCAGCTTAGATCAAAATTCAAGCAGGAGACTTTTCTACCCCTCAGACCCTTTCGATGTTTGCTTTCTAACTGCTGAGTTCTTGCTTACTTGAAACTCCTGCTCCCCGGGGATAATCAGAAATAGCTACCTGCACTAACTTCTTAAGTCATCATTCTCCTGTTTTGATCAGCAGGAGGGGTGTAATCTGTTTTCGACAGTTCATGTAGATTGGCTTGCTGCCAGCATGATTCTCTCAACTGAAGGAAAACTCAACAGTCTCTAAAATGGAAGGGCAAGAGGGAATTTGTGTGAATGATGTAAGTTAATCCCATTTCCTGGGATCTGGCCTGGCCCATTTTTAGTGGGGCTGGTTTAGGGTTAGTTTGTGATTACATAAACTCATCAACATTCCGGAAGAGGAAAGAACACCCCCTGGTGGTAAAATTATATCTCTGCACCACATCCCCTAAATTTCAACTCCCAGCCAAGTTACCTACTTACACTTGTACCAGGGTACACAGGAGCATTCTTGGTCACAGAAGTCTGTATAAACTAACTCAGTTTTATTCCTGCATTACATACAGAGAAACAAGCATTAGAATTTCCAATATTCCTATTATGCTTTTTTGTTCAGAATTACTGTGTTATACATTACACATATTAAAATCCTTAGCTTTATCATTTTATTATGGAAAAAAAATCCCCATTACTACACAAACTCTATAGCCCTAATTAGTTTTGTGCATGACATTATTAATGATGTTGTTATTGTTATGCTTATTTCAGGCCCATTTCATTTTTTCAAATGTGTCTGTTCTGTGAAATGCACACAATATAAAATATGTGGCTGGGTGCGGTGGCTCACGCCTGTAATCCCAGCACATTGGGAGGTCGAGGCGGGTGGATCATGAGGTCAGGAGTTCGAGACCAGCCTGGCCAACATGGCGAAGCCCCGTCTCTACTAAAAATATAAAAATTAGCCGGGCATGGTGGAGGGAGCCTGTAATCCCAGCTGCTTGGGAGGCTGAGGCAGGAGAACAGCTTGAACCCAGGAGACGGAGGTTGCAGTGAGCCGACATCGTGCCATTGCACTCCAGCCTGGGTGACAAGAGCAAGACTCAGTCTCAAAAAAAAAAAAAAAAAAGTGATGTATATTTTTGATGCTCCTAATGTACTACTTCGTTCTTCTACATGCTACAATATCCAAAATGTATTCATAGTCATACAGTCCAGTCTTCTTTTTCGTCTATTTGCACACATTCTCAGGGTTGAGTTGATTTCAAAGAACATTATCAAAACAGATGCTCCAGCGCTGTAATTAGCAGGCCTCGTGTGGAATGTTCCGCATAAGTCAGAGTTCCTGTGGATCCTGGACATTTGCCTTCCTGAGGCTCTGCCTTTGACTTTCCTTTTGGAATAATGCCATAAAGGTCACTGTTTCCAGTTCAGAATATTCCCTTTCGTTTCTGTTTGTGAGAACTATGTTTAAGCTTTTTCCCTTCACCAGTTGTCCTAATGGGCCTGGCATTGCTTCTGAAGTGGAGAGAGTTTAATAAACCCAGGACTCCTGCTTAGTCCCTGGGCATTTTTGCCTGCTCCTCGGCTTGTTATAGGAGAGTGGAATGTCCTTGGAGAGGCCGAGGCACTGGAATTTGAAGTGAAAGAAAGTAAAGAGGGCTCTGTTCATGACTTAAAACGTTATTTCCTTCTTGTCAAGATGCTTACTGGCCACCTGGTAGGGTGACCCACCTTTCTGGTTTGCCTGAGGGGTTGCCTAGGACTTTCAGTGTTAAACCCAAGATAGAAGGCCTTGGGAGGATTGCTCAAGGCTAGGTGTTCAAGACCAGCCTGGGCAAAACTTAGCAACACCTTGTCTCTACAAAAAAAAAAAACAAAAAAAAAACAACAACAAAAAAAAAACAAACAAACACAAGAAAATCCCAAGTGAAGCAGACCACGTAAAGCACACCAATGGGGCTCGCACTGTGTGAACCAGTTCCTTGCTCTTCTCATTCTCTTCAGTTAGTTCTTCATCTCTCTACCCATATCTGCCAGGTGCTCTTTCTTTTCTTTTCTTTTCTTTTTTTTTTTTTGAGATGGAGTCTCACTCTGTCACCCAGGCTGGAGTGCAGTGGCATGGTCTCAGCTCACTGCAACATCTGCCTCCCGGGTTCAAGCAATTCTCCTGCCTCAGCCTCCTGAGTAGCTGGGATTACAGGCGCCTGGTACCACGCCCGACTAATTTTTTGTATTTTTAGTAGACATGGGGTTTCACTGTGTTGGCCAGGCTGGTCTTGAACTCCTGACTTCGTGATCCACCTGCCTCGGCCTCCCAAATCGCTGGGATTACAGGCATGAGCCACGGTGCCTAGCCCACGTGCTGTTTCTTATGCCTCCTAACAAAATCCATGATGTTTGAAAATGATTACACATTAGGGATTTACTACATTTCAAAAGTAACAAAGGAAAACTTTTTTTTTTTTAATGGGTGTGTGTGTGTGTGTTTGTGAGTGATGGAATCTCGCTCTGTCACCCAGGCTGGAGTAAAGTGGTGTGATCTTGGCTCACTGCAACCTCTGCCTCTCAGGTTCAAGTGATTCTCGTGTCTCAGCCTCCCGAGTAGCTGGGATTACAGGTGCCCACCACTATGCCTGGCTAATTTTTTGTACTTTTGGTAGAGATGGGGTTTCATCATGTTGGCCAGGCTGGCCTTGAACTCCTGACCTCTTGTGATCCACCCACCTCGGCCTCCCAAAATGCTGGGATTACAGGCCTGAGCATTCGCGCCTGGCCCAACTTCTTCATTTGAGTTTACAAATCACACAAACATGAACTTGACAATGGTGCACCTAAACCACTATACTATAATAACTTGTCATTGTTTGTAGGCGTATGTAGTGAAGGTTGACTATTCCGTGTAAGGTCCAGTGGTAAGGAGAGGAGCTGAGTGGACAAGCAGATAAATGCCACCACACTTGCCAAGTGAGTGCTGTAGGAGGCCCAAGAACAGAGAGATTACTGTGGGCTGGGACAACTGGGAGAGGCTTAATACAGGCAGTGGGATGTGGAGAAGACTGCAGAGGAATCAGAAGAAAGGTGGGCTTCAGTGAGAAGAGACACTATTCCAAGCAGAGGAAACAGCTGCCTGCAGGACCAGGAATGCCTGAATAGAAGCTGCAGTGGCTGGTTTCCCTGAAGCTAAATTTTCAAATGCGTGATCAGTTTGAAGAGGGTGTGTGTAGGACAATTTCTGTATTTCTGTATTGTTGTTTCTGCATTTATTACAGGCAAAAATAAACACAACCTTACCAAACGGGAGCATTTTTTTCTCCTCCTGGCTCTTTGCCACCTTTTGTAGTGTTAGGCCTGGTCTCCCTAAAGAATTATCCGACTGTTTCAGTAAATATTTGGGGTGCAAAGAACTGGAGTATTGTCAAAACTTTTTGTGCCAACCCCGCCCTTCCTTCCATTGAGTCCAGTGCAGGGTGGGGCAGCCCTTGTAGTTCGAGTGAGGAAGCCATCCTTCAGCCCCATGTAAACAAGCGCTGGCATGCTCAGAGCACCAGCCCTGGTACTCATGTCCTCAGCAAATGCGATGCACGTTTCTACGTGAAATGCAATTTTCAATGACTACTGGCTTCCTTACACTTCACATCTCAATAATAGGCCTTCAAAGACCTTATCATAGATTGGACATAGCAAAATATCATAGCACGATTTCACCTAAATAGCCTTTTCCTTACATGAATTCTGCTGTTTCTTAGAGAAAGGAACCTCTTTCAATCCAGTCAAAGACAGGGTGAAGATGTGCCTTGTAAACTAGATACCCACTGTTACAAATGGCACCAAGGAAGAGAGAGTAAAAATAGAAAGTGCCTCTAGGGAGGTTTGAGAGAAGGGACACCAGGAAGGTTCGTATAATTCCACACCAGCTTTTTACCTGAAAATTCCTTCCACATAAAGATGAAGCTTTCAGATACTCTTGGAAGATTATGTCTTGCCTTACACACCAAGAGTCTACATCAATATTTTCTCCTTGGTGAGGAATAGAGGGGCCTCTGGTGCTTAAAGAGAAGAGACCGCAGATATGAGAAAACACTGCCAAAAAAGGAGACTCAGGATCTGAAAACCAAATCTCTTATATCCAAATTTTGCTAAAACTCACCATAGCTTTTATTTGAAATTGTGTGCATCATGGCAGCACTCTGAAAATCTGTCTTTTGTTTTCCTTGTTTTGTATTCGTGGTTCCTTCATACTGTATGGTGTTGACCACCTACTGCTTTCGGTTAGTTATTCAGTTTCCCTCCCCCTCTCTCAAACTCTTTTTTTATAAACTATTTTCATCTACCCTATTTCTGATCCTGAACATCCACCTTGGTTCCTACTGGCCGTGTTTATTTATTAGCTCACAAAGCTTGCTTCCTTTCTCAGGTCTGAGGAAGCCTGACGATAGGATAGGATAGGATAGGATAGGATTCTGTGATGGAGAAGACATGAATTCAAGGATAAATTATTGAGTTGAATAACTGCATCTGTTCAAAATAGTGTGATCACCCTTCTGCTTTTAGTGTGTTTGTTTTGTTTGAAGTCATAGGTGGCGTATTCTTATGCTTAAACACATGGGAGGGAAAATCCATTAGATAATGAGAGTGTGGACTAATTAGACACATTTTTCCTTTTTAAAAAACTGGCTTTATCC
This sequence comes from Homo sapiens, assembly GCF_000001405.40. NCBI lineage: Eukaryota > Metazoa > Chordata > Mammalia > Primates > Hominidae > Homo > Homo sapiens. Next base: position 48,122,804 of record NC_000013.11, on the reverse strand, counting down.
TTATGTGTCCACTGGTCCTTAATCATAGCTACAGCTGAGACTGCTTCTCTCCCTCTTCCCTTTGTCTCAGGCATCCTTTCTTCCACATCTCTTTGTAAATCATTACTTTTTTTTTTTTCCCAGGCTGGAGTTCAGTGGCACAATTTTGGCTCACTGCAACCTCTGCCTCCCGAGTTCAAGTGATTCTCCTGCCTCAGTCTCCTGAATAGCTGGGATTACAGGCACATGCCACCATGCCCCGCTAATTTTTGTATTTTTAGTAGAGATGGGGTTTCACCATGTTGGTCAAGCTGGTCTCGAACTCCTGACCTTGTGATCCACCCGCCTCGACCTCCCAAAGTGCTGGGTGGGTGCTGAGCCACCGGGCCTGGCCAAATCATTACTTTTTAAAGAAACTTTGCAATTGGTTCTGCCCTTGATGGTGTCAATTAGGACACTATCATTTGAATTAAATGCTAAGGTATATTTGCTATTAGGTTAAAAGTTTCCTTGGAGTGGGACCAGTTCTTTTCATCTTTTTTTGATAAGCAGTTGCTTTCAAAGTCCTGGCTTGAAGATCCTTATTTTGAATTAGGAATTCTTATCTCTGGATAATTTGAACAGTCCCAGACAATATGGGCATCTCCCAAGTCTACCAGACAGTCGTCCTCTGTTGGAGCAACACAGTGTAAGTCTAGCAAGGAATTCAGCCGCAGTGGACCGACTGCTGTTGTCCTAAAGGGCGATTAGGCAGCTGAACCAAGACATGTAAAGAAGCTGCTAGGAGAATATTCTACCACTTCTGTCAATTTAAGTAGCACTGCCAAGTCATAGTGTTCTCTGAAAGTTCAGTTAGTCCTGGTTTATGGCCCAGAGCACTTAGCATAGATCAGCCCATTAGCCCTCCCTGCATTCCTCTGAGTCAGGGAGCTGACAAGTGGAAATAACCCAGTTTCCAAATGTGGACTCAGAGGTGCAGAGGGTTTAAACAACTGCCACAGGATCACTAATTCAGGCAGTTGAGCGGTGCACATGTAAGACCAAGAATGTATCAAAAGGGTCCATAAGACTGAGCATAGTAACCATTCCAGCACCAATGTTCCTTTAAGTAGCAGATACTCAATGCTGTGCACCATAAAACACCTCTTCTCCTTATCCCTAATACTCAGAAGTGAACAGGCTGACTTTTGGCGACATTGTCTATGTAGGGAAGTTTGTCTCCTGGGTCATTTTTTCTCTGAGACAATTTTCTTTCACTCTGTGGCCAAAAGTGTGGACTCTTGGGCTAGAAATGCCAGAAATCAACTCTTGGCCATTCTGCTATGTCCTTGGGCAAGTTACCAAACCTCTCCATGACTTTGTTTCCTTATCTGTAAAATGAGATTAGTAATAGTACCTACCTCAGGCAGGGTGCTGCGAAATTGAAAGAGTTAATTCACGTAAAGCACTTGGAACAGAGCCTGGCACATAAATACTCAATAACCGTGAGCTGTTTCTTTTCTTATCATTTAATATGCTTCCTTTCCTTCTCTGGAAAACCACCTCATCCCAGGGCCTCCCATTCTCTTACTTCCTCTTCCTATCAAAATAGCCAATGATCCACTATCAGCCATTAACATTTAGTGAGCAAAGTTTCATGTCACCTCTGCCAGCTGATTTGCTTGTGGTCAATCTTTGTTTCTAATTGCGTAATGAAAAACTTTATTCCCTGTTTAAGGAATTTCAGGTACCACAAATGTTTTGAGGGGATGAGGGAAAGTGGGAGACGAAAGCAACAAAAAATTCAGTTACCCTTGAAGGTATTCGAAAGAAACCTGCTTAAGGTTCCTCTTCTGCAAAAGCACAGGTCTACCCACCTGACAAGAACTGCCCATCCCCTGCCTTTTTAAAATTGCCCTTCTCGATTCCTATCCTGTTCCTTCCTGGCTCAACAGGAACAATGTTCCTTTTACTCACTCTTAGCATCTGGTCTTTTTTCCTCTCACTCTCAACCAAGACCTCCCTCCAATCAACAGAAGCATGGGGTCTATTTTCATGAATCCTCTGCCCTCCTGGCAACTTTTGACCTAGGTTGTCCTCACTGCAACCTTGCTTTTTTATGATACTGTCGTGTGGACCAAAAGTGAGAAGATCGGAGCAGTAAAAGTATAATTTTCATGTATGAAAGTAACACCAGCTACATATGTAATTGCTTACCAATTATGTCTCTTTGCCTATCAGTGTCATAATAGCGTGTGATTAAATATATAAAATATTCACTTTATTAGTCTTTACTTGGAAAAAGCTAAACTCACATATGCTTAGCCTTTTTAATGAGTGACTCTTGTAGCATTACCATTTGATCATAGCGTGGGTCATTGTGTCCTGCCTCCAGGTGCATGTAATTAAATACATGAAACTCAACTCTCAACCCTAAGTGAGCTATGTGGGAGGGTAGATAGGATAGAAAGAATTCAAAGGCCTGAGATTACTTTCTCCCAGGGCCTGTTCCTAAACTGTACCACCCAGAGGTAATATTTTTAAACTATAAGGCTTAAAAGGCAGCGATTCTCAGATGTAACTTCCAGTCATCCATGAATGACAATCTACCTTTTAAAGACTTTTTATTTCTTTATTTTTTTAACAGAAATAGAGATCATAGCTCATATCACCGTTTTAAATGTCATAAATAACTTGGTTCATCAGAAACACCAGGCAGTTTTTCTTATAGCTTGGGGAAAGCTTGAGGTGGTTGTTGACCTCTTAGTCTTTGTTTTCTGACTAGCTCATTACTCTTTTTAAATGTTCTTTATTAAAGCCCCATTATTTACATTTTTATATGAAGAAATGTTATATTTTAATAAATAAATTTTTATTCATTACCTCACCAAGATTATATTATATGTTTTAACGCTCCTTTGTTTACTCATAGTACCCTCCAAAATAACAGGTTTTATTTCTTCTAAGTTAGTGTCTCCTGTTAACTGTTTTCCTTGGCAGTGTCAATCATATACCCTTCAAAAAAGACCAGGATCATGTCTGTTTGCCTAGTCACCAAGATGTTAGAAGGAATTCTCTCAGTGGAGCCAGCTTTATAAGTTGCCAGTGGTTATTTTAGCATGAGTGGGCCAGATGTAAAGGACTCAACCTCACTATAATCACCATAGGATATATAGCTTTGTTTTTTGGCCCAGTAATGGAGTGGTTTCCAAACTGTGTTCCATAAAAACTTCAGGGGTTTGACAAGAAATCTTTGAATATCTGGCCGGGCACGGTGGCTCACACCTGTAATCCCAGCACTTTGGGAGGCCGAGGCGGGCAGATCACTTGAGGTCAGGAGTTCGAGACCAGCCTGGCCAACATGGCAAACCCCTGTCTCTATTAAAAATACAAAACTTAGCTGGACATGGTGGCACGCACCTGTAATCCCAGCTACTTGGGAGGCTGAGGCAGGAGAATTGCTTGAACCTCGGAGGCAGAGGTTGCAGTAAGCTGAGATCATACCACTGCTCTCCAGTCTGGGTGACAGTGAGACTCTGTCTCAAAACAAAAACCAAAAACAGACTGGGTGTGGTGGCTCACATCTGTAATCTCAGCACTTTGGGAGGCTGAGACGGGCAGATCACGAGGTCAGCAGTTCAAGACCAGCCTGGAAAACATGGCGAAACCCCATCTTTAGTAAAAACACAAAAATTAGCCAGGCGTGGTGGCGGGCTCCTGTAGTCCCAGCTACTCAGGAGGCTGAGGCAGTAGAATTGCTTGAACCCAGCAGGTGGAGGTGGCAGTGAGCTGAGATCGTGCCATTGCACTCCAGCCTGGGTGACAAGAACAAGACCCTGTCTCAAAAACAAAAAACAAAAAACAAAAAACAAAAACAAGAAATCCTTGAGTATCTTAGGGGAAAAAAATGTATCACAATGTATATTTTTGGTTGGTGTCCCAGTTCCTCTGCACCAATCACCACCTCGTGACAAACTACTACTCCACTCGCAATTACATAGGAAATTTGTGAATGCTTGGCCACATGTATGATTCAAATTTAATAACTCAAATCTTATTTTGTATGTATGCTGTATTTATTGAGTTCTTATATATCAGCACTTAATTGGATTGATTGAATTAGTCCTCTTAACAATTCTATGAGGTGGGTGCTCTAATTATCTTCTTTCACAGATGAGGAAGCAGAGACTTAGAGAGGTGAGGAAACTTGCTCAAGGTCTCAGAACAGAAGGAATTTAGTCATGATTGTAACCCTGGCATTTGGCTCCAAAACCCATGCTTTTAAACACCACGCTCTGCTACCTGTGAGAGGCAACTGCAGGGGAATAACATTCTACGAAATGAAGCATTCCTTTTATACAGTAAGCTTGGCCCGCCTTCTCCAACATACCCCACCTTGACAAATGTATAAATTATAAGCTTGGATTTTTAGGTGTCCACGTTAATCATGTACTGGGGAGGGGGGCACCCTGCAGATGAACCCTGGGGCTGTTTTCCATGCAGCTAGTTGAAAGCCTGCCTATATTCCCAAGCTTCACTTGCTAGTAGAATGGCAATGACTTCCTTCTCTGATGACCGGTCCTGTGGCACAACCTCCTCCCAAAGGCCCTTGGGTCAGCATTGCTCAGGGAGGGGAAGTGCGGTCCCTCAACTCTCCCCTGGCACCACCCACCCCTCGCCAGTTTTTCAGCTCCTGGCTGCTTGGGAGACCAATGAGCTATCCCTGGAGGTTGCCCTCACCTCATTGCCTACAGGTTTGCAGAAACCTTCACTAGGGGCAGTTTCTGTGTGTCTCGGAGAGGTTGATGGATTGCTGTTCTCTTATTATTCAATCATATCAGTCTCTAGCTTGAGATTTCCTGGGAGCAAAAGAGTTTATATTGCTGGTGCCTTATTGCTGCTGACCCTACCAAATCTCTAGCTACCAAATGCAGTCCCCTGGAGCTCACTGAGGTCTGCAAACAAGCTCTTGCTGACTGCACTCCCAAAGGTCCTTCATTCCTCACTCCCCCATAGTCCATCCCTTATGGGAAGTAGTTATTCTGGGACTATAGTCATGACGACTGTTCAGTGGCCCAAGAAACCCATAACTCTGTCTCCCTCAGGCACATGGAGCCCTTGCCTCTCAGGGTTTCTACTCCATGGACAGGAATAAGGTAGACAGGCCTTCTGTCCTTCTCAGTAAGTCTTGGAGCTCTTACTTGTTCTTCAGTCCCACAAAGATAACCTTGTTTACCCAGTAGCAGTTTTCTCTACTGGAGGTACAGACCAGACTCTTGGGAGGATGGATTAGAAGAAGCAGTGGCAAAAATTGATCCAAGTTTCCTTCTTCCCAATGATTCTAGGATTATATGCCCTTTTAGTGACTCTTCTGGGCCCAAGTCAATCTCATCTATCTTGTCCACCCTTCACTTGAGCACCATTTTCTTTATTGTTGTGATGGTTTTTCTTTAATGGCAGGAATCCAGGAGTCATCCATCTATCCATCCATCCAACCAACCAACCATTTATCCATTCATCCATTCATTCAACCATCCATCCATCCAACCATCCATCCATTCATCCATCAATCCCTCTGTACATTGATCCACTCACTTTGTATAAAGCATTTACTGAGCCCTTCCTGTTAGTGGCTTTTTAAGCATTTGGACTTACAGTGATTAATAATACACAGTCTCTGCACTTGAAGAGCTTATAGTCTATTGGAAAAGACTGAAAAATAAGTAGGTAATTACAGTATCACATATTGTTATAAGAAATGTATACCATTTCCGAGCACTGAGGGAGGCACCTGCAAATGACCTTGACCTTCCACGTCTCTCTTTGAGGGTAAGGCATATCCTATTCCATTGTGATTACTGACCAACCTCCATAGACTCTTCAGGGTCTGCGCTAAAGTTCAGTTTGTAAAAGGGAAGTGGAAAATGCTGCACCCTTTGCTAATGAACCAACCCACTTCAGAAGCAAAGGTAATATATCAGTGATACTGGGAGAAAACATGTTTTGTAGCTTAAGTCAGCTTTTCTTCCTTTCCTTTTTAAAATGAACTACTTAGAGCACTGGCAAATGTTAATATCCGAAGTATCAGGGTCCTTATCTGGTCAATTCTTCAAACTACAAATTAACTTTCCAGTGTTCAGTGGGTATGTTGTAATGTTCACAGTTAAAAGTGCTTCAGAAAAACAATTATTTTGTCACGCACCTCAACTCTGAACATGTTGATGAAGCAAACTATCTTGGAGTTCTTTCTTGATATTCTAGACCCAGTGGGACATTCATGTTTCTGATGAGTCTTAACTTGGATCACCCCTGCTGCTTCATGGCAACCTCTGCAGACTTCCCAGAATAATTTTGACTGACACTTGCTCTATTTTCCCCAGGTCAACATTTTGCCCTTCATCCTACTATTTCAAAAACAGGTCATTGGGCCAGGCGCAGTGGCTTATGCCTGTAATCCCAGCACTTTGGGAGGCCAAGGCAGGCAGATCACCTGAGGTCAAAAGTTTGAGACCAGCCTGGCCAACGTGGTGAAACCCCGTCTCTACTAAAAATACAAAAAATTAGCCGGGCATGGTGGCAGGTGCCTGTGATCCTGGCTACGCGGGAGGCTGAGGCAGGAGAATCGCTTGAACCCAGGAGGCGGAGGTTGCAGTGAGCAGAGATTGTGCCATTGCACTCCAGCCTGGGCGACAAGAGTGAAACTCTGTCTCAAAAAAAAAAAAAAAGAAAATCATTAAATTAAAAGTCTTTTCATTCTTGGATCCCCAATTTAGTCAATTCTTCCCCTGTGCAAGACACCCTGATATTTACAACAAACACTCTTGAGTGTCTTCGCCATTGTTGGCCTGACCCAGTAATGGCTCCAACATTCAACATCCATCTTTTTCAAGCTGAAAAAGCTTCTTGGATAGAAAACTAATACAATCAGCATCTGATAGAGTGTAGAAACTATGCTAAGCATTTTTCACTTACGCTATTTCATGTAATTCTCAAAATAACTTTATGAACTGGGTAGAACAGTACCTGTCACATAGGAGATGTGCCAGGAGATGCTCATAAAATATTTGTTGAATCAATGAAAAAATTACAATCCCCATTTTACAGACTAGAAAACTGCAGGTGAAAGAGGTCATGCCATTTACTTGAGACTCCTCAGTGGCCAAAGCAGGTCTGTTTCTTTGTTCATGTCCTCTATATTACCTGCCTTTAGAGCAGTAACAGTTAAGTTCACTCTTCAAGAAAGCTTACGTTGCATCATCATTTGACACTGAAAGGATTTTCTAAGTCATTGCAATCAACACTTACTAAGCCCCCTTAAATAATCGAAGTCCTTTAATCCTCAAACGTGAAAGCAAAAGGCAAGGCTGTTTTTGTCTATATTGGATAAAAGTCTCTCCTGAATCTCATCTGCCTTGGATATCAATTATCCAAAGAAGTATAGAGACACTCTTGGGAAAATTTGCCAGGTATCATCTTTTTCACTAGGAGTGTAAAAAAAATCACATAGTAAAATTAATTTTAATGACTTTAATTTATGTAAGAGCTCAGGAAGCAACTATCTTACTGACATAATCTTTGCCACATCACCCTTTGTCTGCCTTGCTGAGTTTGAACTCCTTTCCAGGTTGCAGCCCCACCCTGTGTCCCACTCCCAACCCTCCACCCACCCAGTGTGCCCCTGGGTCCTGATTCACACCCCCTGCCCCCAACACATGAAGCTTATTCTTGGCTATAAGCCATTCTTTGGAAACTCTCCGAGTACCTGAAAGATGGCTATGCCTCCCAACGATTTGACCTTTTAAATCAAAGCTCCTCTTCTTGTGCCACCCACAGTCCTATCTCCTTGTCTAGAATTAAGTATTGCATTAGTGGACATTTGTTATATAGACCTTAGCTTTATCTTCCTACCTTGATTGGACATTTGTTGCCCTCATCATAAGCATACACCTAAACATGTGTATATGTTAAGAAACATGTTTCTTAATTATTCCCAGGCAAATCCTGGGTGTAAGAGATGGGTAGTGTAAAGTCCTATTAAGTACTCTTTCGTTGAACCCAGGAGGCGGAGGTTGCAGTGAGCCGAGATCGTGCCTCTGTACTCCAGCCTGGGCAACAAGAGCGAGACTCCATCTCAAAAAAAAAAAAAAAAAAAAAAGAGACAGAGTCTCACTGTCACCAAGGCTAAAGTGCAGTGGTGCAATCATAGCTCATGGCAGCTTCGAACTCCTGGGCTCGAGCAATTCTCCTGCTTCAGCCTCCCGAGTAGCTAGGACTACAGGCATGTTCCACCACCCTTTGCTAATTAAAACAAAAATTTTTTTTTTCCCAGATACTGGATTTTGCTATGTTGCCTAGGCTGGCCTTGAACTCCTGGCCTCAATAGATTCCCTATTAAGTACTTTTGATTGGCTGCTCCCACCAGGAGCACCTGGTCTCTATCAGGCACCAAATAAAAGGAACCCTGACACTCTCACCTTTCATGGCCTTAGCTATGAATTTCTTCTGCAAAAAAAGGAGAGTCATAATGGTAATAGCAATTTGCAGTTTTCTTTCTCTCTATAAACTGGACTACAGGCTATGTTCTTCAAGTGCCATGAGCCCAAAGCTGAATTCTCCATTTCCCTCAAAACCTATTCCTTCTTTTATATTATTCACCTAAACTAGTGACACTGCCTCCAGTCTCCATCATCTAATCTAACCATTTAACTCCTCCCCCACCGCCTCAGACACACTCCCTGTCCTCCCAAGTCAATCAGCCAATTCTTATTTTATCTACTAAATATTTCTCAAATTTTCTATTCCTTTTTATTCCCCACTGTTTAAGTCAGACCCACATTATTACTTTCTTGGATTGTTGTAACATATCCACTGATTTCCTTCCTCTTGTCTTTCCTCATTCCCCTTTAACCTAGTCACCATGTGGTTCTGTCACTCCCTTGCTTAAAAATCTTTCAGTGACTTATAAAACCAAGTCTAAGATTTTGATCTTGGAGATAAAAAATGCCATTCATGACATGGCTTCTCTTTATTTATTTATTTATTTATTTATTTATTTTTAGTTTCTTGTAGAGATGAGGTCTTGCTATGTTGCCCAGGCTGGTCTCAAATCCCTGGCCTCAAGCAATCCTCCTGCTTCAGCTTCCCAAAGTGCTGGAACTATAGGCATGAGCCACCACGCCCAGCCTCATGGCTTATTTTTAACATTCCAGGCTTTTATTCTGCTATTTCCTACCTCTCACTTTTTCTGGTATTCCAACTCCTCCCAAATACAGTAGTCCCCTTTTAGACAGTTTCACTTTCCACAGTTTCAGTTACTAGCAGTCAGTTGAGGTCTGAACACATTAAACAGAAAATTCCAGAAAAAAAAATATGTAAACTTGAATTGCATGTCATTCTGAGTATCATAATGAAATCTTGCACCTTCCCACTCCATCCTGCCTGGGATGTGAATCTTCCGTTTGTCCTGGGGATCCATGCTGTATACACTATCCACCCGTGAGTCACTTGGTAGACATCTCTGTTATCAGATCAAAAAAACATAGTCTATAGAGGGTTTGGTACTATCAGACATCTACTAGGGGTCTTGGAACATATCCCTCATGGATAAAGGGGGCCTACTGTACACCTAAAATTTTGCACTTACTGAAATCCCCTGCATAACTATGACTCATCCTTTATATCTGAGCTTAGATGTCATATTTTGAACCTCCAGGTTGATCTAAATGCTCTTTGTAAACCCATAGAACCTGTGCTCACCTGTCTTCTCACTTACCACAGTATATTAATAAGTAAGTATGAGGACACTAGACTAAGGTGGTTTTAAAGGCTTGTGTTCCTGCATTAGCAGACAGAAACCTAATTCAGACTCATTTCCTCAAACACCTCCCCCCAGCCTCCCTGCTTCGGGGCCTTTGTACTTGCTGTTCGCTCTACCTGGACCTCTTCCCTCAGTGGTCACACAGTTATGTTCTCCTTTTCATCTCTTAGCTCTTTTTTTTTTTTTTCTTTTGAGACAGAGTCTCACTCTCTTGCACGGGCTGGAGTGCAGTGGTGCTATCTCGGGTCACTGCAACCTCTGTCTCCTGGGTTCAAGCGATTCTCCTACCTCAGCCTCCCGAGTAGCTGGGACTACGGGGGCACGCCACCATGCCCAGCTAATTTTTTTGTATTTTTAGTAGAGATGGGGTTTCACCATGTTGGCCAGGCTGGTCTTGAACTCCTGATCTCAGGTGATCCACCCATCTCTGCCTCCCAAAGTGCTGGGATTATAGGCGTGAGCCATTGCGCCCAGCCCCATTTCTTGGTTCTTAGCCATAGCATCACCCTCCTCAAAGAGGCCTTCTCTGGCCCTGCTGTGTAATGTGGTTCCCACCTCTTCGCAACACTTATCATAAACTAAAATTATCTGGTAAATTTACTTGTTAACACTCTGCCCCACCTCCAGTAGAAAGTAAGCTTTAGGAGGGCTGGGAATTGTTTGACTGGTCCTCCTGTATCACCAGAATTTAAAACAATTCTTAGAAACATAGTTGCTCAATAAATATACAGAATGAATGAATGAATAAATGAACAGAAAGTCTTGTGCTCAGAGTTGAACACAAGATTTCTATCTGAACTCTCTTCAGTTTTCTGCCATTATAGTTTCCTAAGAAAAATGCAAAAAGGAGACAGTTCAGCCAAGTGTACACCAACTGTCCTGATAGAGGCTGCTGCATAGTCTGTTCTCCCCTGCAGACTCCTCCAGGATCCCTGATTCTCCCTCCCCCTTACTTCAACCTCTGACATTGACATTGACTGACAGCCAGTCCCTGCAGTCTTCCTTTCTCCCTGTTTCCTGGGGCCACCCTGAACTTATCCAGGTTTCTGCAGGGGTGTAAACCAAATAGAAACTGTGAGTATACTAAGTATTATGTGGAATAAGAAACAGGATTTATTAGAGTTTTGTAATCCCTGGACATCTCCCTACCTTGTTTTCCTTGGTAATAGACGTGGGCCAGGCTCTTCAATTGTGTTGGGGATGTAAAGTCTATTAACCAACACCTTAGGATGCCAACAAGTCAACAGGGTACATTTTTGCAAACAGATTTAAATATGCATCTGTCAGATGGTCACTTGCCACATGATGTTTGTGTTCTATAATTCCACCACTTCACATCTAAATCTGGTATTAAGGGCTCTGTGGGTTTGATGTCTAAGGACTTAAAGAAGAACCACTGACACTTCTAAAATCAAATTAGCTAAACTGCCTTTGAAATTGTAAGGCCTTTGTTGAGGAATGTCAACAAAGTGGTCCTGCCAGAATCTGAGAAATACCTTTGAGGCACTTTGCACAGCATACTGGCCAGGCAGGAGCATTGTATACAGCAGATCTTGGAAATGGATTGCCTGGTTATACTGAAAATGAAGCATTATGCATTTTTCTAGTTGAGAAGAGATAAAAGCCTGTATCAGATGGAGTGAAATGTTCCCAATGTTTGGCAAGGGCTTTCCAATGAAAATAAAAGGTCGAAACAAAGAGCAGAGCATGCAGTTTCAGATCTCCTAGGAGAAAGAATTTGGTGTTTGTAATTAGAAATTTTATATCAGGTGTTAGATTCACAAAGTGGGCAGGCAACTTTCTGGAAAGCTAACTGCTGAGACAGGGAGTCACTGTGTTCACCACTGGACTGGGGCTGGCTGAAAGGGATAACTTATGGGGAGGATTGAGGAGCAGACCTGGCTGAAGCCCAGCATGTCAAAGAGCAACGTTTTATCCAAGAAGAGGCAAAGGCCAAGCCACAGAGAATCTGAAAGGACAAAGAAGCCACTGTTCTGCCCTGACAAGTGCCAAGAAACCTCCTTTAACCTCTTTGCTTTTACTCAAAGATTTAACGGTAAACTCATCCTTATGGCTTTTAATGGTTATATATATATATATAAATAAATATATATATACCCACACATACATATATATATATATATATATATATATATATATATATATATATATATATATATATATACATATATTCTGGCCAGGGTCAGAATCAGATAGCATGAGTTTGGATGTATTTGAAAGTAAATGGAAAGTAATGATACTGTAGTTACCAAGAAGGCTAAATGAGCTGGGAATTTGGTGGTTTTGAGTTGGATTCGATTCTTCATTTCCTGCCACTTCGATGTTAATCTCTGTGCCATTGTAGGGGAGATACAGTGACTCATTTGCACACAGGGTCATGTAGTACTTTCTGAATTGTGATAAACATTCAGAGACAGGGTACGACCATCAGAGGCAAATTTTGCCAATTAAACAATATTGTGTAAATCATAAAGTGTTTTTCTAAATTAAATCAAATCAGTAAGTATTTATCAAGCAGGTACTTATGTGAGAGGCTAACACACAAAAACAAACAGGATTTGAAATGCAAAGAAATGAAAAACAAGGTGGAAAATGGGAATTATAGTTGATCTTTTCTGAATTGTTTCCACAGACTCAGAGACAGGAAGTGAACTAACTTACTAACAGCCAGAAAGGAAAATTTTTTCTGGGAAATCTCTCTTTATAGAGCCAAAACAAATATTTTGATCTGGGAGAAAACAAAATTTTAAGTGAATGTAAAACTGACCTTCCCATTCAGATACTAGATAAGTCAAAGAACTTCAATTAAATACTGGTCACTTACTCTGTGGTAGGTACTGCTTATAGGAAGTTGAAAAGATATGGTGTCATTTATGAAGACATTTAAAAATATATTATTCTGTGCAAAACAGGTACTATTCTGTGCCAAAAAATTTCCTTTGTCCTCAAAACTTCTTTGTTGTTGTTATTTAGGAATGTTAGAAGGATAAGAAAGTTAAGAGTTATTGTTATCTGAAGTTTATGACTTTGGCAAAATCTATCAGAGACTCTTTGTCCATCAAATGAAGAAATGTGGACTGGGTGATGATATCATTAGGTGGTTTTGTTTTGGTTAATTGGCTGTGCCTCAGCACCATTGATTTTTTTTTACTGGTTGCTGAGAGTAGTCAGCCTCCACCTTGAGTCCTTGAATCCCAGAAGGTTCTTAAAAGTATCAATGCTATTGGGACTAACTGAAATATCAAATATCTTTGCTGTGAACTGGAATTATATCAACTTCACCACCAAGTGCTAGATGAGTAAAGTGGGAAAGGACATTTACTGTATATGTCATTTACTCACTTCTTTAGCTACCCTAAATTCTATCCTTAAATCAGATTAGGCCACCAGAAGACCGTATGCTTGAACCACATTAAATTAGCCTCTCACCAAATGACCTTTGCTGGCCGCAGAGGCTCTGAGAGGCAAGGTTTCCCCAAAAAGAAGGTGAGACAAATAAAATTCTGGATATGATGGAACTTTTGGAAGACAAATGAAAAATTATTGTAAGAGGTTACAAGAAGAAAAAGAAATAGAAACTACTGGAAGAACTAAAAGCTGTATAGGAAGGAAATTATCACCATAATACCCTACTTGGCTCTGCCCTGAGCAGCAATTACATAGTTACTATACTGAAAACATTGTTGAATATCTAAATAGAATTTAGTGGTAATGGATCTGAAAAACACAAAGATTTTTTCAAATAAATTTTTTATTTTAGAATAGTTTTACCAGCCTAGGCAACATGGTGAAACCCTGTCTCTACAAAAAATACAAAAAAATTAGCTGGGAATGGTGGCGCGTGACTGTAGTCCTAGCTACTTGGGGAGGCTGAGGTGGGAGGATCACTTGAGCCAGGGAGGTCGAGGCTACAGTGAGCTGAGAAAAAATTCTGCACTCCATCCTGGGAAAAAATTGTGAAGATAGTAAAGAGTTTCCATCTACCTCATACTAGTTTTCCCTATTATTAACTTCTTACAATAATTAAGTACATCTGTTACAATTAACAAACCAATACTGGGCCAGGCACGGTGTGGCTCACACCTGTAATCCCAGCACTTTGGGAGACCGAGGTGGGTGGATCACCTGAGGTCAGGAGTTCAAGACCAGACTGGCCAACATGGCGAAACCTTGTCTCTACTAAAAATACAAAAATTAGCTGGGTGTGATGGTGGGCATCTGTAATCCCAGATATTTGGGAGGCTGAGGCAGGAGAATTGCTTGAACCTGGGAGGTTGCAGTGAGTCAAGATCATGCCACTGCATTCCAGCCTGAGCAACAGAGTGAGACTGTCTCAAAAAAAAAAAAAAAAGAAAAGAAAAAGAAAAGAAACCAATACTGATACATTATTATTAACTAAAGTCAATACTTTTTTCCAGAGTTTTTTAGTTCTTACTTAATGTTGCTTTTCTGTTTCAGGATCTCATTCAGGACACCACATTACCATTAGTCACAGTGTCTCCTCTGGCTCCTCTTGGCTGTCAGTTTCTCAGAGCGTCCTTGTTTTTAATGGCCTTGAATATTTTGAAGAGTATGGGTCAGGTGTTTTGTAGAAAGCCCTTCACTTGGGATTTATCTGATGGAGTTAGAGTTTGGAGGAAAACCCCAAAGGTAAAGTGCCATTTCCATCACATCCTGTCAAGAGTGCTGGTGTTAGTCAGTCAGGGCTGCCATGGCAATATACCACAGACTGTGTGTTTTAAACAACAGAAATTTGTTATGAAGCCTGGAAATATAAAATCCGCAGGGTCGGTTTATTCTGAGGCCTCTCTCCTTGTCGTGCAGATGGCTGCCTTCTCATTGTGTTCTCACATGGCTCTTTCTCCATGCACCCACCTTCTTAGGGCTTCTCTCCCTGTGTCCTAATCTCCTCTTCAAAGAAACTACCATCAGAGTGAACAGGCAACCTACAAAATGGGAGAAAATTTTCGCAACCTACTCATCTGACAAAGGGCTAATATCCAGAATCTACAATGAACTCAAACAAATTTACAAGAAAAAAACAAACAACCCCATCAAAAAGTGGGCAAAGGACATGAACAGACACTTCTCAAAAGAAGACATTTATGCAGCCAAAAAACACATGAAAAAATGCTCATCATCATTGGCCATCAGAGAAATGCAAATCAAAACCACTATGAGATACCATCTCACACCAGTTAGAATGGCAGTCATTAAAAAGTCAGGAAACAACAGGTGCTGGAGAGGATGTGGAGAAATAGGAACACTTTTACACTGTTGGTGGGACTGTAAACTAGTTCAACCATTGTGGAAGTCAGTGTGGCGATTCCTCAGGGATCTAGAACTAGAAATACCATTTGACCCAGCAATCCCATTACTGGGTATATACCCAAATGACTATAAATCATGCTGCTATAAAGATTCATGCACACGTATGTTTATTGCGGCATTATTCACAATAGCAAAGACTTGGAACCAACCCAAATGTCCAACAATGATAGACTGGATTAAGAAAATGTGGCACATATACACCATGGAATACTATGCAGCCATAAAAAATGATGAGTTCATGTCTTTTGTAGGGACATGGATGAAATTGGAAATCATCATTCTCAGTAAACTATCGCAAGAACAAAAAACCAAACACCGCATATTCTCACTCATAGGTGGGAATTGAACGATGAGATCACATGGACACAGGAAGGGGAATATCACACTCTGGGGACTGTGGTGGGGTGGGGGGAGGGGGGAGGGATAGCATTGGGAGATATACCTAATGCTAGATGACGAGTTAGTGGGTGCAGCGCACCAGCATGGCACACGTATACATAGGTAACTAACCTGCACAATGTGCACATGTACCCTAAAACTTAAAGTATAAAAAAAAAAAAAAAAAAAAAAGAACACCAGACAGCTTGAATAGGGACCGTAACGGCCTCACTTTAACTTATTACCTACTGAAAGTCCCTGTCTCCAGATACAGTCCCATTCTTTGGTCCTGGGACTTAGGGCTTCAACATGTGAATTTGGGCAGGAGGGGGACACAATTCAGCCTGTAACAGGTACTATCAACTGACTTCTCGCCGTTGTCCTTGATCATGTGGCTGAAGTAGTGTTTGTCAGGCTCCTCCTCTGTAAGTTACTCCCTCACCCCCAATCTCTGATACAGTTTTTAATTTTATTTATTTATTTATTTATTTATTTATTTTGAGATGGAGTCTTGCTCTGTCACCCAGGCTGGAGTACAATGGTGCAATCTCGGCTCACTGCAACCTCCACCTCCCAGGTTCAAGCGGTTCCCTGCCTCAGCCTCTGAGTAGCTGGGATTACAGGCGCCCACCACCACACCCAGCTAAATTTTGTATTTTTAGTAGAGACGGGGTTTTGCCATGTTAGCCAGGCTGGCCTCGAACTCCTGACCTCAGGTGACCCACCTGCCTTGGCCACCCAAAGTGCTGTGATTACAGGCATGAGCCATTGCGCCCGGCCTCTGATATAGTTTAGATATTCATCCCCTCTAAATCTCTTGTGGAAACTTGATCCTCAGTGTTGGAGGCGGAGCCTCGGAGAAGGTGTTTGGATCATGTGGCAGATCCCTCATGAACTTCTTGGTGGCATCCTCCTGGTAATGAGTGAGTTCCAGGTCTATTAGGTACCTCAAGATGTGATTGTAAAAAATGGCCTGGCACCTCCTCCTCTCTCTCTTGCTTCCTCCTCCCTCACTGTGTGGCACACTTGCTCCCCTTTCTCCTTTTGCCATGATTGGAAGCTCCCTGAAGCCCTTACCAGAAGCAGATGCTTGGCTGAATGTAGTGGTTCATGCCTATAATCCCAGCACTTTGAGAGGTGAAGGCAGGGGGATCGAGACCAGCCTGGGCAATATAGCAAGACCCTATCTCTGCTATTTAAATATTTTTAAAACTTAAAAAAAAAAAGATGTTCTTGCCATGTTTTTTTGTACAGCCTGCAGAACTGTGAGCCAAATAAATGACTTCTCTTTTAATTACCCAGGTTCAAGGAATCCTTTATAGCAATGCAAATAAACTATAAAGGATTCCTTGAACCTGGGTAATTAAAAGCAAAGAGATACATGTATGTATACCAATCAGCATATAGAAACATATCCATAAATATTTCTATTTGTAACCCTGTGTACCTATGTTAAGCTATATAAGAGTTCATACTGATCTAATCCAGTACCACATGGATCATTCTAGCCTTCTCCCCTTCTCTGCAACTTTTTCCTCCCTTCTTTCAGGGGATGAAACATTCATAATACAGTTAGATTCTTTTTTCACATTCTGCACTCCATACTGGGATCATCAAACTTCCTAAATAATTGTTTTAATTTGCATACATTAAGGTTTATCCTTTGTGCTGTAAAGTTCTGTGGATTTTTATAAATGCATGGTTTCATGTATCTACCATTACAATATCATACAGAATAGTTTCTGTACCTTAAAGAAATCCTCTGTGCTTCGCCTACTCCAGTCTCCTCATCCTCTGATTTCTTCGTAACCACTGATCTGTTTACTATCTCTATAGATTTACCTTTTCCAGAATGTCATATAAATGGAATCACATAGCATGTAGCCTTTACAGATTGGCTTGTTTCACTTAGCAATACACATTTAAGATTCTTCCATGTCTTAGGGTGGCTTTGATAGCTCATTCCTTCTTGTTACTGTATAGTATTTCATTATATAGATGTACTAATGTTTGTTATGTAATTCCATTACTTATCCAACCCATTGAATGACATTCTGGTTACTTTCAGTTAGAATTTTTTAATATGTTGCAAACTTTCATGTATCCACAAAGTAATATGACTTCCAAAAAACTTACTGAATGCATTGGGATATGCTGAAGGAAGTATAATAGTTATGATGATAGCTGCTGGACATTGCGGTATGGTGGTGAAGAATACTGGCTCTGACTTTAGACTGCCTGGGTGCTGCCACCCCCCAGTATGTGGTCTTAGATGGATGACCTAACTTCTCTGTGCCTCAGTGTCCTTTTTTGTAAACAGGGATAGCAATTGTACCTATAGGGTATGAAACAACACCCAGTCCAGTAGACATTACCCACTTCTGTAATTTATTTTTATTTGTACATGCAATGCAGCAAGCACATTACTTACATCCCTTTATGCCTTCCAGCAAAAATAGGGAAAGCTTCATTTCCCCATTTTATAGACTGAGAACCTGAAATGCAGAGACTATAAATCATTAGAACCAGGACTTGAATTGAGGTTAGTCATTTTACGAAGGCTGTGATCATTCAACTTCATTACAGTGATTCCCCAGACCAAAAGAGAAGTTTCCTTTCATGCAGCCCTAGACATACTGGACCTGCAACATCATCTTTACTCTGGGTTGTCACATTTTATGAAGGACAAACTAGAATGTATGAAACAGATGATCAAGTTGATGAAAGGTCTGGAAACCCTTTTAAATGAGGTTTGACTGAAGGAACTAGGGATGATTACATGGGTGAAAAAATAAAATATTAGAGATGAAATAAACCAAAATGTTAACAACGTGTGTCTCTCAATGGTGGGCTAACAGGCGATATTTATTTTTTCATATATTTCTAGATTTTCTATGATGCATCATATATATGCACATATACATGCATCATAGTAAATCTAGACATATAAAAACAAAATCGGCCTGGTGCGGTGGCTCATGCCTTTAATCCCAGCACTTTGGGAGGCCAAGGTGGGTGGATCACCTGAGGTCAGGAGTTTGAGACTAACCTGGCCAACATGGTGAAACCCTGTCTCTACTAAAATACAAAAATTAGCCGGACATGGTGGCAAGCGCCTGTAATCCTAGCTACTTGAGAGGCTGAGGCACAAGAATAGCTTGAACCCGAGAGGTGGAAGTTGCAGTGAGCTGAGATTGTGCCATTGCACTCCAGCCTGTGCAACAGAGTGAGACTCCATCTCAAAATAAATAAATAAATAAATAAATAAATAAATAAAAATCATAATCATAATCATAATATATATTTTCTATGATGTATATATGAGCATATATATGCATCAGAAAATCTAGAAAATATAAAAAATGCATCATAGAAAATATAGAAAATTTTAAAAAGCAATAAAAATATGCATGTATATATGAAATTTTGTAAGAAAAAATCTTAATAAATTGTGGTTTAAAAAAATTAGGCTGTTGTGTGAAAGACAGATTAAATGTTTTGTTTATGACTTCAGAAGACAGAGTTTGTGCTCAATATGTGAAAATTATCTTGAAGCACATTTGGGCTTATTATACATAAAATTAGCTGATGTGAGGTAGCCACCTCCCCTCTACCAGAAAGGGTTTGATCACAGGCTGGGATCAGGCTAGATCAGATGACTTCTGAGATCTCTTTAGCTTTTATTCCATAACCTGGGCCTCTACTTAAGAACACAAAATGTTTTTAATTGTTTTAGCTCACGATGTACAAATTGATGCTGTTAATATAAATACATTTAGTTTATTCATCTCTCCAAGCACCCAAGAACACTTAGAGATTTGTTTTATGTATTAGGATAAAATGAACCTGTATTTTCTTAGAATAATCTGAGAATTTTTACTCATTCAAACTAGACTTTTTTTCATCTTGTATTGGTTTCCTAGGGCTGCTATAATAAATTACCACAACCTGCGTGGCTAGAAACAACAGAAAATTTTCCTCTCATGGTTGCAGAGGCGAGAAGTCCCAAAATCAAGGTGTCAACAGAGCTGTGCTCCCTCAGAGGCTCTAGGGAAGAGTGCTTCCTTGCTTCTCCCAGCTTCGGGAGGCTGCAGGCATTCCTTGGCTTGTGGCTGCCTAACTCCAGTCTCTGCCTCTGTCTTCACATGACCTTCTCCTCTTCCTTCTGTGTCTCTCCTCTGTGTATCTCTTATAATGACACCTCGATATTGGATTTAGGGTCAACTTGGATAATCCAGGATCATCTCATCTTGAGATCCTTAATTACAACTCCAAAAACCTTTCCAAATAAAATCACATTTACAAGTTCTGGGAGGTGGACATATATTTTGGGAAGGCCACCATTCAATCCACAATTAAGAAGTTTGTGAGGCATTTTGACAACTTGCTTTCTGATACTGATTCTTTGTTCTAGTCCTTCTTCCTCTAGACCTGCCAATCTTCCTGCCCACCTCTGATACTTATTCCAGCCACCTTCTATCTTAAGAATCTCTGCTTTCACCCCATCCAGGAGGCCTTTCCTGACCAATGTTGTCTTGCTCACCTCTATAGGCCTAGCATTTAGTGTGGCATATACACAGAACTTAATAAATATTTGTTGAAAGAATCAACGAATCTACCAAAGGAGGTCAAAGATGATGCCCACCCTTCTTCTGAGTTACTGAGAAGTCGTAAATTTTTAATGATGCCTGGAGAATTTCAGGGAGAGGATGACATTTCTCGTATTTGAGAGTCTGATAAATTCCAGGAGATTTTTCCATCGATATCACACTGCAAATATTTAAGGGAAATGAGGCCAGGTGCAGTGGCTCACGCCTGTAATCCCAGCACTTTGGGAGGCCAAGGCGGGAGGATCACCTGAGGTCAGGAGTTTAAGACCAGCCTGGTCAACATGGCGAAACTCTGTCTCTACTAAGAATACAAAAATTAGCTGGGTGTGGTGGCACACGCCTGAAATTCCAGCTACTCGGGAGGCTGAGGCAGGAGAATCGCTTGAATGCCGGAGGCAGAGGTTGCAGTGAGCCGAGATTGTGCCACTGCACTCCAGCCTGGGTGACAGAGTGACACTCAGTCTCAAAATAAGTACATAAATAAAAATAAATAAATAAAGGGAATGAGAGGCTTAACCTAAACTGTTTTTTATTCTCAAGGCACAAGAATGTAGGGAGTTAAAGTCAAATGCCACAGTTACTAGAGGGCTAATGACTTTAATTAACTGAGTAATTTTGAAGAGTGGGAGTTTTTTGTTGTATTGCTTTTGAAAGTGCAGGCTGAGGTTCTTTTGAGGAAAGCCTCAAAATGTAACTAGGATGGGGGCGTGAAGGAGTA
Source organism: Homo sapiens (assembly GCF_000001405.40). Taxonomy (NCBI): domain Eukaryota; kingdom Metazoa; phylum Chordata; class Mammalia; order Primates; family Hominidae; genus Homo; species Homo sapiens. The sequence continues at coordinate 48,101,971 of NC_000013.11, read as the reverse complement.
AGGGGTGAATCTTCTCTTGAGGTGGAGCAGCCCTAGTTGGTTCTAAGTGAGATAACTTGGCTAATTAAAAGCAGTTAAAATGGCACATTTTGAGGCTTTGTAATTTATTTAAAAATTAGATTTGCTTCCCTATATGCCAGCAACTTGCTGGGAATTCATCCCTTTCTCCCAGTAGCTTTTTGAGAGGTGATTTATGTCTTCAGAAACCATAAATGGTGGTTCTTGATATTGGAGCTTGATACTGAATTGAGTGTTATTTTTACTTGGGATTAAAGGCTCTGAGGTTCATGTCTTGAGGTAGAGTTTCAACTCTTTTTGTTTCTTGGAGAAGAGTTAGTGAATGCAGTTGTTCTGTTTTCCTTCTCTCACTACCTGCCTGCCAGGAAAGAAATACCTGACTCTGACTTTCCATCTGAACCTTGACCTTGAATATGTTTTTTTGTTTTTTGTTTTTTGTTTTCCTCAGTGAATCAAGTGAGGCAAGATCCTAAATTGAGAAAGAGGAAGGGAAAGGAGATGTTGAGGGGTGGAGAGAGGCAATGGTGTGAAATTGTATGAAGGACAGTGGAGAGGGGTCAGAATAGGGATGCATAGTCTCATTACCCAGAAGCACTAAGGACCCACTGAAGATTTGGGGGTTAAAGTCATGAATTTCAGTTACAACAAACTGACTGGCTTTTGTGTTTTTCTCCATCCATATTCAGCTGCATTGGTATAGGCATGTAGTAGGCACAGCTGCATGTAGCTCAGTGCGTGGCCTTGCCAAGGGAATGAAACAAATCAAGATGGGGGCAAGAAAGTCAAAGGTATGTGCAAGGCAATGATTAGACATCTCCAGATGCCCATTGACCTGCAACCCCTCTTTATTAGTCTGCTAGGGCTATCATAACAAAATGCCACAGACTGAGTGGTTTAAGCAACAAGAATTTATTTTCTCACAATTCTGGAAGCCAAAAGTCCAAGATATAGGTGTCAACAGGACTGGTTTCTTCCAAGGCCTCTCTCCTTGGCTAGCCCGTGTCTGCCTTCTTGCCATATTCTCACATGGTCTTTTCTCTGTGCACACTCATCCCTGGCATCTTTTCCTCTTCTTAAAAGGACACCAGTCAGATTGAATTAGGGTCTACCCTAATGGCCTCATTTTAACTTGATCACCTCTTTGAAGACCCCATCTCCAAAGCATTCACACTTTTTCAGTACAAAGTAAAAAATACATTTTACATTTGACCCAGTGCACACATACCTAGATATTTAAGTGAAAAAAGTTTCCACAAGATGCACAATGCACTTTGATATTTTAGATATTTTCTTTTCTATTAAAAAAAATCTCCACAGGGATATGTTAGGCATGTCAAACAAATAATAATTACATAGTTATGTGTAGATATAGTGTAGTAATGTAAACACTAACTATTGACTTAACAAAGAATTGTGTTTTGTTTTTTTTTTGAGACTGAGTTTCACTCTTGTTGCCCAGACTGGAGTGCAATGACATGATCTTGATTCACTGCAACCTCTACCTCCTGGGTTCCAGCGATTCTCCTGCCTCAGCCTCCTAAGTAGCTGGGATTACAGGCATGTGCCACCATGCCCAGCCAATTTTTTGTACTTTTTTAGTAGAGATGGGGTTTCACCATGTTGGTCAGGCTGGTCTCAAATGCCTTGGCTTCTCAAAGTACTGGGATTATAAGCATAAGCCACCATGCCTGGCCAGAACTGTGTTCTAACTAATGGGAAGATAAATGACACATGTAAGAGAGATAAAATCCTCATTTATCATAATAGGAAATAAATTTCAAAAGCAGTTGAATAGAGATATAGAATATATGCATATTATTTTAAAATATGTGAGCAAAGAATAGAAGTAATGGTTAAAAATGCTGAGAGTGCCCACCTTTAGTGAGAAGGATATGCTAGGAAGTGGGGCTCAGGAGGTGGTAATTTAGAACTTTTTTATTTTCATTAGAAGCTTCTGAGTACCATTTGACTTTAGACTATGTATATATGTTGTTTGATGAAAATAAAAAATAGGCCGGGTGAAGTGGCTCACATAGCAAGGCTCTGCCTTAAAAAAATAAAATAGGCCAAGCATAGTGGCTCCTGCCTATAATCCCAGCATTTTGAGAGGCCAAGGCGGGCAGATCACCTGAGGTCAGGAGTTCGAGACCAGCCTGGCCAACATGGCGAAACCCCATCTCTACTAAAAATACAAAAATTAGCCAGGCATGGTGGCACATGCCTGTAATCCCAGCTACTTGGGAGGCTGAGGCAGGAGAATTGCTTGAACCTGGGAGGTGGAGGTTGTAGTGAGCTGAGATCGTGCCACTGCACTCCAGCCTAGGTGACAGAGCAAGACTCTGTCTCAAAAATATAATAATAAAATTAAAAAAATTTTTTTAAAGATACATAGTGTATTCAGCTATCTATTCCGCCTACCCTTAGGGACAGCCTTGGTTGAGTTTCTCGCTGCACCTCCAAACCTCCACACCAACTGCTTGCAGCTGCTTTTTGCTCAGAATTTCAAGCTGTGCATTTATTTGATAGTGTTTGTATGAGGGGTTCTTCAAAAAGTTCATGAAAAGTGTGTATTATAGAAAAACTATAGATGCATTTCAAAATATTTTTCCACCAAAATAAAGTCATACTAACTTGTTATAACATGTATGAACAGGATCTAGTTTGAGGCACAAGAAGGATAAGACATCAGTTTGACAAGAGCCCCTATCAGAACAATATGAATTCTACTAAAATTGAAGCAAGAATATCAAATTGATGGTGAAGCTTGTGTGGAAGAATGGTGAAATCTTGATGCTTTATGAAAAGTTTATGAGGACAATGCCCTAAAGAAATCAGCAGTTTTACAAATAGAAAACTCATTTGAAGAAGGGATGAGATGATGTTGAAGATAAAGCCTGCAGCAGCAGACCATCCACATCAATTTGCAAGGAAAATATTTATCTTGTTTGTGCCCTAATTGCAGAGGACAAGCAATTAATAGACAACACTATAGACATCTCAATTTGTTCAGCCTATACAATTCTGACTCAAAAACTAAAGTTGAGCAAACTTTCCAATCAATGGATGCCAAAACTGTTATGCCCAAATCACCTGCAGACAAGAGCAGGGCATTCAATGGAAATTTTAAACAAGTGAGATCAAGATCCTGAGGCACTTCTTTGAAGAGCTGTAACAGGAGATGAAAAATGGCTTTACCAGCACAATCCTGATGATAAAGCAAAATCGAAGCAATGGCTATCAAGAGGTGGAAGTGGTCCAGTCAAAGCAAAAGCAGACCAGTCAAGATCAAACAGCATGGCAACAGTTTTTGGGATGCTCAAGGCATTTTGTCTGGTGACTTTCTGGAAAGCCAAAGAATGATAACAATGGCTTATTATGAGAGTGTTTTGAGAAAGTTAGCAAAAGCTTTAGCAGAAAAACACCCGAGAAAGCTTCACCGGAGAGTCCTTCTCCACCACAACAATACTCCTGCTCATTCCTCTCATCAAACAAGGACAATTTTGGAAATGTTTCAATGGGAAATCATTGAACATCCACCTTACAGTCCTGATCTGACTTCTTTTTGTTTCCTAATCTTAAAAAAATCTGGGCCAGGCTCAGTGTCTCATGCCTGTAGTCCCAGCACTTTGGGAGGCCGAGGGGGGTGGATCACTTGAGGTCAGGAGTTTGAGACCAGCCTGGCCATCATGGCAAAACCCCATCTCTACTAAAAATACAAAAATTAGCTAGGCATGGTGGCACATGCCTGTAATCCCAGCTACTCGGGAGGCTGAGACAGGAGAATCACTTGAACCCGGGAGGTGGAGGTTGCAGTGAGCCAAGATTGTGCCACTGCACTCCAGCTTGAGCAAGACAACAGAGCAAGACTCTGTCTCAAAACTAAATAAATAAATAAAATCTGTAAAGGGCACTCATTTTTCTTCAGTTAATAATGTATTGGGAGGATTGCTTGAGCCTGGGAGGTCAAGGTTGCAGTGAGCTGTGGTTGCACCACTGCCCTCCAGCCTGAGTGACAGAGAGTGAGACCCTGTGGCAAAAAAAAAAAGAAAAGAAAAAAGTAAAAAAGACAGCATTGACACGGTTAAATTCCAAGGGCCCTCATTTATTTAGGGATGAACTAAATGGCTGGTATCGTCATTTACAAAAGTGTCTTGAACTAGATGGAGCTTATGTTGAGAAATAAAGTTTATATTTTAAATTATTATCTTTTAATTCCATTTTTCCATGAACTTTTTGAAGTCCTCTCATATTTTAGGTCAGAGGTTCCCAGTCCTTTTAGTACCTGAATATCCTTCTTTCTTTACAGAGAGCTGGGATAACCAGTGGTAAAGAGCACAGACCCTGGAGCCAGACTCTGGGTTCAGATTCCAGCTTTGCCATTTACTATATGACCCCGGCATGTGTCTTAACATTTCTGCCCCTCAGTTTCATTATCTGTAACATAGGGATAGTAACAGTACTTACCTCATAGGAGTGTTAGGAAAATTAAACAAGTTAATATTTTTGAAGTGCTTAGAACACTGCCCACCATGTCAATAAAATTTCATGAGAAAGTAGTGTCCTTTTTGAATCTACAGATTGAGAAAATATGTACCTAACTCCAAATTACCATGAATTCAGTAATACTATATAAAATAATTCATATTTGTTTATCACGCCTGGATTTGTACAATTTGCAAGACAGTATATCTGTGAAAGATGCTATTACTTATCAGTCTATAGAAACTGTTTAATATGCATATGAATTTGCAATAAATCTGAGGAGGTCAGGAGTTCACAATACACATACATGCTCCACACACTGATCCTCAGTGTCTGCAAAGTAGGACTATAATTGGTCATTTTTAACTAATTAGAATCCTTCTAGAATTTTTATGTTTACACTAATATAATGTTCTCTCTCCTCCTACCAGAGTCATGGCTCAATATGACCCGTGAGAGTTGAGTAAACAAAACCAACACATACCGCAGAAGTTTGGCACCCTGGAAACTTAACATAAGAAATGATTGACTAGAGTACTGAGAGGCATGTTTAGAATGCAAGTGTAATGAACAAAGCTTCAATCTACTTTAGCCCATTGCCTGAGAATTGACTGCATTAACAAAAAAGGGTTAGCCAACAGCAGATGCAGGGAACGGTCAGAAAACAAAAGGTGACAAGGATCTCTTGCACTGTCTAGAGGAAAAGGTACCCTGACCTATGAACACAAATAATCCAATCTCTTGAACACAAATATCCCTACACTGTGGAGACACAAAGCCTCATGATTGTGTCATTAATTTTTAATCTATCCTTGTTTGTTCTGATCCAAGTTTAACAAGCAACATCCTGTGATAATATGGCTTCTCATATAGTTTTGTCTATGGGAAAAAGATATGTTTGGCACTATTACTTTTCATCGTAAGTGAGTAAATCAGCATTCTAGATTACGCAGCAGTTGCTATGAGTGAATTTATTTAACATGAATTTCTAAAAGACTTGTCAACTCTGGGTGCCCAGGAGTCAGGTTTAGCACCTCCAAAAAGACAGAGTAGAGGATGAGACCCTGAAATGAAAGGACTACAGGTACTACTACCTCATGGGAGTGAGGCAGTCCCAGACCATCTTTTATAATAGCAATATGGAATCCTCATTCCCAATAGGCTTGTAACTTTGCTTTTTTCTGGTAGAGAGTGATCCCTACTACATTGTTATCCCTAGGAAAAGTAGGCTAAGACGTATTTTTGCCTTTGACAACCAGTTCTGGTTTGGAATGTGTGGTACATCAATGACTTAAACTATGTTAATTAACTACTACTTATGTACTGTATTGGTTCCTTCAGTTCAATAATTAACCTGAGTAATGAGCAAAACATTTTGTTGGAAGATGTATGGCTATAAAGATGGATTATAGCAATGTGGAAGTAACCTAACTGTCCATCGTCAGATGAATGGATGAACAAAAGGTGCCATATGCATACAATGGAATATTAGTCTTAAAAAGGAAAGATATTCCAGCACATGCTACATCATGGATGAACCTGGAGGACATAATGCTGAGTGACATAAGCCAGACACAAAAAGACAAATACTGTATGATTCTGCTTATATGAGGTACCTAGAGTAGCCAAACTTACAGCAATGGAAAGTAGAATGGTGGTTGCCAGGGCCTGGAGAAGGGAGGGATAAGGAGTTAGCATTTAGTGAGTACAGAGTTTGTTTTACAAGATAAAAGGTTTTGGAGATGGATAGTTGCTCAACAGTATGAATGTATTTAATGCCACTGAACTATCCACTTAAAAATGGTTAAGGTGGGCCGGGTGCGGTGGCTCACGCCTGTAATTCCACCACTTTGGGAGGCTGAGGCAGGCGGATCACGAGGTCAGGAGATTGAGACCATCCTGGCTAACAAGGTGAAACCCCGTCTCTACTAAAAATACAAAAAATTAGCCGGGCGTGGTGGCGGTCGCCTGTAGTCCCAGCTACTCGGGAGGCTGAGGCAGGAAAAATGGCGTGAACCCAGGAGGCGGAACTTGCAGTGAGCCAAGACATCCGCGGCGATGCACTCCAGTCTGGGCAACAGAGCGAGACTCGTCTCAAAAAAAAAAAAAGAAAGAAAGAAAGAAAAAAAACCATTAGGCCCAGGAGAATCAGACTGCGTTGCCCCCACTGTTCTCAGTTCAGCTGTCGCTCCCAGGGTTTGGACCAGAAAGCCCTCGCCGGCCCAACAGATGGCGCCGGTGTCCGCAGTGCGCCTCCAGGCCCAAAGGGGGCGCTCTCGCCAGGCCTCTTTTTCCTCTCCTGGGTGACTCTTCCGCCTTCCGAGCCCGCCTTCTCGCCACGCACCTGCGTCAGCTCGCTCTGCGCGTGCGCCGGTGGCGGGACTCTGGGGAAAATGGCTGCGTCTTCGAGTGGTGAGAAGGAGAAGGAGCGGCTGGGAGGCGGTTTGGGAGTGGCGGGTGGTAACAGCACACGAGAGCGGCTGCTGTCTGCGCTTGAGGACTTGGAGGTCCTGTCTAGGTAATGCGGCGAGCCTGAGAGCCGGGCTGGAGCTGGGCCGGGGGACTGACCCCGGAGCCGGCCGGCCCTGCGTTTGTGCTCGTTCTCGGGGTTCGGCGGGGAGGGCCAGCTCGGGAGTTTCGGGTGCATGAGGGTCATGGACGTGGGGTCCGCAGCCCTCTGGCACTCTGGGCGGCGGTTTTTCCCGTTAGAGGGAATTTTAGTAATGATAAGAACTCGCGCGGTCTGAGCCTCTTCGTCCGCGGCCAGCCACTTAACATTTATGGAACGCTCCTTGGGGGCTCAGCATTGGGGAGACGGTAGTGAAGGGTAGACTGGATGCCAGCTGTCGAGAGAGAGACAGATGTGTAAACTGGCTTGGGGCCTGTTTTTATTAGAGGGCTGCGCTGCGGGGTACTGGAGCACAGGGACTAGGCACCTTTTTTGGTTGTAGTCAGGGCAGGCCCTCTGAAGAAAGTGCTGCTTGGGAAGCATGAGCTCGCCAAACTCACTAGGCAGCACAGATAGATGGAACAGCAAGTGCAAAAAGCCTGGCTTGGTGGAGTTGCAAGTTGTTTAGGATGGTTGTGTGTCAGAGATAGGAGATGAAATTAGATGTCGTTCTTCATATTCTGTCACCTTTCATGATAAGTCTTTCAAGTTGAAGCCTTCCTTGACTCCCTCCCATTGACTTGGATGGTAAATTATCTTGGTTCTACCTCCTAAAGTGTCGCTCCAATTTGCCCTCTCGTTCCAACCCCGCTGTTCATAACTCCTTCTTAAATGTAGCCTCCCAAACAGTTTTAATTGCCTCATGCTTCTGCACTTTATCCTTTTATATTGGCCGATACCAGTTTTAAAAGGCATCTTATATCACTTTTCTGCAGAAAAATTATATAAAAGCTACCTCATTGGTAGGTTTGCGTTGTCCAGTGAGGTAAAGTTCAAATTCTTTAGTCAGACTTCCACATCTTCAGTGCCATTCCCAGTCTACTCCCGATTTGGTGAATGATTCATATATCCTTCAGAATCCAGCTCAAATGTCACTTTTTCTATAGCCAACATTCTTTGACAGCTTTAGAATAAATCTTACCTGTTGTATTTTAAAATATACGTGATATAATCAGCACTTTATTTTTGGTGTAAATTTAGTCCTTGCCATCGTATTGCTACCAAGTTACCAGGTCAGCACAATATTTAATGATGGAAGAAAACCCGAAAACACCTAGACAGCAGAAATTAAATGGCTTATGTGTTTGATCCACTGTTTAAAATAAACTGTATTAGGGCCGGGTGTGGTGGCTCACGCCTATAATCCGAGCACTTTGGGAGGCCAAGGCGGGCGGATCATTGGAACTTCTTCACAGAATGAAGCTGCTCTGGTGGTGTGACTGGCTTCCAGAAAGGTCTCATGTGTTCACTCAGAGGTAGTTATGTGTACTGATTCTGTGATCTGTGAAGTTTGTCAGTCTCTGAATGTAATTTGTGTCTGGCTTGCATTTATGAAAATGAGAAGAAAAATCACGAATATACCTTACATATTTTTAGATTTAGCCTCTTTAAAAATAGTGGATTTATAACTTAGGATCTTTTTTTTTCTATTAACCTGATTATATAGCCTTTCGGGATATTTATTAGTTTATAAAATGTAATGCAAGGAGATAGTCTTAAAAAGTTGAAACACAGGTTGTAGGCTAAACGTTTTTTTTAACCCATTTGTAACTCAAAACTCATTGTTCCACAGAACCATGTTGATAGGAATCTTGAGTTTTCCACACCAGCCTGTTAATTCTGTTTACCTGAAAAGTGTATTACTGCTAATAATGTAGGCTCTAACCGCTATGGAAATTTTATTTCTATGGGGAATTGTGTCTGGATTCTAATGCAGTATGCTGGGAATGCACCTTCTTTTTAGCAGGACAGGGCTCTTGAGTGTGGGGGCTTCCTTTGGCCTCTTTTTCGCAGTTGGGGAGGACAGGGGTTTCTATTTTGTCCTGGACTGTTACAGAACATGACTAAGTCTTAGAGACTTCTACCTCCCCTCTACTCCGGCGCCTAAGGCAAGCCTTGTAAAGCCTTCTGTGGACTCACGCTCCCAGATTTGCAAGAACAGAGGAAGGCTTATCCCACATCTCCTACCATAGCCCCACTCTAGTCAGCACCACTCCTGCCCCACCTGAAACCAGCTTTTACTTAGACCAGAGGTTCTCAACCGTCTATGTCTCACTTGTGGCGTACACTAAAAAGTTTACTTAACATGCTGTTTTCATACGCTGTTGATCCATCAGCAAGTCCTGTTAGCTCTACCTCCAAAAGATATCTGAAATCTGTCCATGTTTCTCCCATCACGATTACTAAGTCCTGGAGGCTATAACCTCGTCAAAACCAGTGTCATTTTTTGCCTGGAACACTACAGAAACCACCTAACTTACTTCCTGTTCTGGCCCTCTTACAGTCTATTTACCAGATCACTCAACAGTTTTTAAAAGTATAAATCAGGTCATGCCATTTCCCTGTTTAAAATAACCCAGTGGCTTCTCATTGCATTTAGAATGAAACACTAGGCCGGGCGCAGTGGCTCATGCCTGTAATCCCAGCACTTTGGGAGGCCGAGGCCGGCGGATCACCTGTGGTCGGGATTTCGAGACCAGCCTGACCAACAGGGAGAAACCCCATCTGTACTAAAAAAAAAATACAAAATTAGCCGGGCGTGGTGGCACATGCCTGTAATCCCAGCTGCTAGGGAGGCTGAGGCAGGAGAATTCTTTGAACCCGGGAGGTGGAGGTTGGGGTGAGCCGAGATCGCGCCATTGCACTCCAGCCTGGGCAACAAGAGCAAAACTCCATCTCAAAAAATAAAAAATAAAAAAAGAATGAAACACTAATCTTTACCATAACTATAAGGCCCTACGTAATCTCACCCCTAGCCACCTGGCTGCTACATCCTCACTTTGCTTTCCTCTCCCCATTGTGCCAGGCCCTGGCTACACCTCCTCAGCTCCATCTTTGGGGCACTGAACTGTCTGTGTCTTCTACTGTGCTCTTTCCTTCCAGACATCTTGGCTGACTTCTCTCATTTAATCCGTGTCTTATGTCAAAGCTGTGCCCTTAGGAAGACCTTCTCTGACCACCCTATTGAAGTAGCCAACCCACTCCCCCAGTAGTCTCTAATAAAACATTGCTTTATTTCCTTCCCAACCCTTATCACTCTAGGTTTATTTCTTCTCTTAGTTCTTCTTGTCTCTTGTATTAGAATTTAAGTGCCATTGTTCACTTTGATACCCCAAGTATCTAGAAAGTGCCTGGCACATGATAGGCACTCAATAAATATTTGATGAATTAGTGAATAAATGAAGACTTTGCATTCTTATATCTACTTTTTTCATTCATTGATTAATTCATAAATAATGGTATGGGGAAGTAGTAGTGGGAAGGGTTGGGTCTAATTGACATGATCCAGAAAAATGATATGATGCTAGCTGGAAGGAAGGTGGAAATTTGAAGGTAAAAATAGCCTGGTAGCCAGTGAGAAAGTACAAATGCTCAGGCTGATCAGAGCAGTGTCAGGTAGCTAGTTGTGAAGCTGCCCCTTCTGCATAATTTCTCAAAAGTCCCATCTATCAACAAGTTTGAAACTAATATATAAACATTACCTGCTATACATTTTTCCCAATCTTATTTTGCTCATCAGATACTAATTTTCATACAGGGAAATTGTCATATTTATTAAATGAGCATTCTAAAAGGATATCATTTTATTATGTGTAAGGATCCCTCTTAGTTGATGTTTAATTTAAAAAATTCAAATAAAGTGGAGAATCATTAAAAAATGGTCCATGCATCCCTTAATTGTTTTATTTTACCTTAAAATATATAAACATATGTTCATTCACTAATCATGTTATGTAAGACAGGAGTCAGAAAACTTTTTCTGCAAAGGCCAGATAATAAATACTTTTGGGTTTATGGGCCATATAGTCTCTGCTGTAACAACTCAACTCTGCCTCTGTATTTAGGGAAAACTGCCATAGACAATTTGTATATTAATGGGCAGACTGTCTTAGGAAAATGTTATTTACAAAAACTGCAGAAGTGCTGGATTTGGCCTGTAGACCCCTGATGTATGAGTTTTTCTTGCATAAATCGCTCATAATGCATTGTCTGCAATTTGTAGTTTGATTTCTAGATCAAATCAAAATGAGAACTTATCCTCTTATCAAGCAGTCTTAGGGCAGACCCTTAGTTTTTATGACTTTTCCCTGGTCCTTTCTTTATAGCTGTCCTTTGCAAGCCTCTGTAGAGTCTTTCCAAGCATTAGGCTTAGGTTTTTATAGAAAGAACTCTCTCTATTCACAATAGTCTTTCATTGGCATTTAGGTGATAGCTATTTATATAATGATAGTATTAAGTAGAACTTTTATAAATAAGTTTGGTAACCGGCACAAGCGAGTCTTGGTGAGCTGTAGTTCACAGTCAATAGCGGACTGTAGGGAGTAGCCCTGAGTGTTCAGTATGCTGTGAAAGGGTTTTTGTTGTTGTTGGTTTTTTTTTTTTAGGGAACTTATAGAAATGCTGGCAATTTCAAGAAACCAAAAGTTGTTACAGGCTGGAGAGGAAAACCAGGTAAGTGGCTTCTTTTTAAATTAGTTAATTTCTCTTTGTTTTTTAATTAAAAGAAAAAAACTTGATTTCTGCAAGTTTCCTCTTTATATTTACTTTGTGTGGGAACAGGAATGTTGGATCCTTTTAAGTTATTAATTAAAACTTTAATATTGGTATTTTCTTTGTATCATTTACTTAAGATAACAGTGCGCTTAAGAAGAATAGTTGCCTGAGGGTTTAGCAGTATTTTGTTATTTTCTCTTACAATTCTAGTCACACTTACATGTTTATTTATTTTTGTCCTTTGAATTAACCAAGAAAGGCTTGTTGTATGGAGATTACAACAATATTTAGAATCAAAAGTTAATGCTCAAAAACTTACCGTGTATTGTAAGTATAGTTCCCTAATGCAACTTGAACATGCAGGGAAATAAAAGAGCATACAACTCTTATTAGACATTGCCTTATAGGGGTGAAAGTACGGGCAGTTTTTATTTGCTCACTTTTCGGTGCTTTCTAATTTTCCATGGTGGGTGAACAGACTTTTTTTCCTGATTCAGAATTTTTTTAGAGGTAAGAGGATAAATTTTATATTATGTTTTTGGCACAGTTTTTTCTTTTTTGAGACAAGTTCTCGCTCTGTAGCCCAGGCTAGAGTGCAGTGGCATGATGACTGCTCACTGCAGCCTCAACCTGCTGGACTGAAGCGATCTCCCACTTATCCTCACCAGTATCTGGGACTATAGGCATGCGCTATAATGCCTTGCTAATTTAAAAGAAATTTTTTTTTTTGGTAGAGACATAGTCTCACTGTGTAGCCCAGGTCAGTCTTGAACTGTCTTGAACTCCTGTCCTCAAGGGATCCTCCCCACCTTGGCCTACCAAAGTGCTGGGACTATAGGCATGAGCCACCATAGCTGGCCAAAAAAAATGTTTAAGAGAAAATGAATGGAGAGGATTAACCTTTCTAAAGATGATGTAAAGGAGAAGAGGAGACAGTAATAAATCTTTTGTCTGCATCATTACCTTAGTTCTGTCTTACGTTTTGAGGGCAGGGAAATCTGACGGACTCAATAGAAAAGTGTCAGTGAGCCTCAAAAGGGGAGGAGGGGATCCAGATGAGGCCACAAGCTAGGAGAAACAGCTAACCTTAGGGGTAGTAAGGTTTTTGTTTTGTTTTTTTTCAAAAAAGAAAGAGGCTAGAGATAAATATGTTAATAGAAGACTACTAGTCTCTCAGGTACTCTGTTAATACCCGTGGGATTAAATAGGAATTTATACAAAGTATGCAAGAAGTAAAATGCAAGGCTTGACTTTATTTGATAGACACTTATTAAATGCTTGCTATGAGCCAGGCACACAGATTATTCAGAAGGTGATAATTAAGACCTATAATCAGCACTGATCTTTCTTGCACTTTTTAAAGAGTAGCAATTTGTGAATTGTGTCTTAGTACTGTGGATTCCTATGTAATTTTCATTGAAACTGTTACTATTAGAGAGGGATGTGCCCATTTGAAAATTTTCTAGCCACCATTTTATTTGGATATTTATAATTTTATATAGAATTTTAGAATTAGAAAGGATCTTAACGATGTTCAGTTCAACCTCCTGTGAGAATAAGCTCCAGGGTGGACGGATGAGGTAGAGGTTAATGGTGAGTGGAACCAGAACCTAGGTCTTCTGACTTTAGTTGAATAATTTTTTTCTACTGAACAATAAGATCTAAAGAGAATATTTTTTACTCATGGGTAGTATACAAATTAATTCAACCTGTGTAAACTTCTTGAAAGTTGTCAGGGAACTACTGTGTACTACTTGCTTTAATAATACAGCTTTTATAGAAATGGAAACCTAGCTTTCTCCTACGATGTGGGAGGAATGAGGATTAGAAGTCTGTTAAATAAATAGAATATACTTTACTTTTTACAGAAAAAGCTTTCTGTTGTTATTTAAAATACTCTTAATATTTGGCAGTTTGTAGCTCAGTCTTTTGTCTATTGTATTAGAAGAATTCCTATAAAATGAGAAGAACTTCATGTCAAAAGGATCTTGAAGAGGCATACCTGTACTTTTTAGTCTTCAACAAATCTTTTTAAATAGTTTTAAAATTGATTCTGAATTTTGATAGATATTTTCTTTCTGAAGTAGTATTCTCTACTTAGCACAGTAAAGGATATTTAGACTAGACTTGCATCTTAATTCTGTACTGGGGTAGTGATCGTAATAACTAGCCTTTGCTGAACTCTTCCTGTATGTACTTAAAGTGCAATATATCATGAATCCTCACAATAGCTTCATGTAATGGCTACTATTAATATTATATTCCTTTTCCTATTAAGAACACAGGCTCAGAGAGGCTGGTAACTTTCCCTGTGTCACACAGCTAGCAGATGGAGGACTAGAGATATGAACCACCAGACTTTCTATTTTATGTGTTTTAGCCTTCATGGTTTTTGCCGTATCTGCATACCACTTGTTTGTTTACTGTTTTATGAAATCACTGTATTTTTTTTTTTTTCCTGAGACGAAGTCTTGCTCTGTCACCCAGGCTGGAGTGCAGTGGCGTGATCTGGGTTCACAGCAACCTCCGCCTCCTGGGTTCAAGCAATTCTTCTGCCTCAGCCTCCTGAGTAGCTGGGATTACAGGCATGTGCCACCACCCCCGGCTAATTTTTATATTTTTAGTAGAGACGAAGTTTCACCATGTTGGTTAGGCTGGTCTCAAACTCCTGACCTTGTGATCCGCCTACCTCGGCCTCCCAAAGTGCTGGGATTACAGGCATGAGCCACTGCGCCTGGCCGAAATCACCGTATTTTTAAGATCATCTTCATTGTAAACAATACTGTGCATAAACTCAGAGTTTCAGTGTCTCAGTTTTTTCTAATATATATTAGCACAAATGTGTAAGTGTAAAAGTTTTCTTAAGTTCTTGGTGCCACCTAAAATCATCTCAAATACCAAATTTTGGGAGAACTTTCATTATTTATATATACATATATATATTTGCGATGGAGTTTCGCTCTTGTTGCCCCGGCTGGAGTGCAATGGCGCGATCTCAGCTCACCGCAGCCTCTGCCTCCGGGTTCAAGCGATTCTCCTTCCTCAGCCTCCTGAGTACCTGGGATTATAGGCATGCACCACCACGCCCAGCTAATTTTGTATTTTCAGTAGAGATGGGGTTTCTCCATGTTGGTCAGGCTGGTCTCGAACTTTTGACCTCTGGTGATTCGCCTGCCTCGGCCTCCCAAAGTGCTAGGATTACAGGCGTGAGCCACCGCGCCTGGCCTATATTGTATTTTTAAGGATAAACTTTTTTTTTTTTTTGAGACAGTGTCTTACTCTGTCACCCAGGCTAGAGTGCAGTGGCGTGATCTTGGCTCACTGCAACCTCCACCTCCCAGGCTCATGCAATTCTCCTGCCTCAGCCTGCTGAGTAACTGGGATTTTAGGCGCCACCACACCCAACTAATTTTTGTATTTTTAGTAGAGATGGGGTTTCACCATGTTGGCCAGGCCAGTCTAGAACTCGTGACCTCAAGTGATCTGCCCGCATCAGCCTCCCAAAGTTCTGGGATTACAGGCATGAGTCACTGTGCCCAGCCATAAGGATAAACTTTAAAATCGTGTCTTCCCTAGGAAATCACTAAACTTGCTCATGTTGCCATATTGCTAGTTCTGAAAGGCTAGTTTTATTTTGTTTTGTATGAAAGAATATCTGAAAAAGTAGAAAAGTTTGATATTAATGTTTCCCAAAATAATCATAGGTAGGCTCTTTTTATTCTTAACAAGAATTAGGAATAAAATTTTGAAGGTGTTGAAATTTATAGCCTAGCCAATTCAGTTACGGATTCTTTGTTTCATTGGAATGCAGCCTTTCAGTAGTCTATTGTCTGATTTAATTGACTGTTATCTGACAGGTCCTGGAGTTGTTAATTCACCGAGATGGGGAATTTCAAGAACTAATGAAATTGGCACTTAATCAGGGAAAAATTCATCATGAAATGCAAGTTTTAGAAAAAGAAGTAGAGAAGAGAGACAGTGATATTCAGCAGCTACAAAAACAGCTAAAGGAAGCAGAACAAATACTGGTAAGTTGACAGAGGTTGGTTCTTAAGGTTAAAAAGGATGTTGTTTAATCTGTTTCTGAAAAATCTGTTATCAATATTTTGAAGAGCAGAAAACTAGACTTTCCAAGTCTAAAGGTGATATCTTGTCACTCACCATTGCCAGTGGTTAAATGAAAGGCTATTGTCATTCTCTTTTTTACTTACTGTTTTCAAATAGTCTGCATTACTTGTGAGCCACATTTTCGATGCTTAAAGATTTTACAGTATTGAATTATAGAAATGGAAAGTTTTACTTTTATCCTGGTCTGATATAAATTTTAATTATCAGTAGTCTAAATCTCTCTTTTTTTTTTTTTGGTCTCTGATCCTTAGCATAAAAATCAGGGAAATTTTTCATTTTTTATATATTTTGAAATCAATAAAAATATATACACATTTTATAAATTGATTAAAATTGACATTAATTTAGTCATTCATCCTCATCTAGGTAGGATTTGGACATAGATCAAGGATCCTAGTTTTCCCTTTGCTGTTCTTGGCTACTATTTCAAAGAGGCAACTTATTTGCTATTATTTGCCCAGTTACTTCACTAAATACTAACTAATATAACATGATAGTATTGCAGAAATAGCTGAGCTTGATTCTCATGTCGACCAGACATTGCTGGCATCCTTACCACTGATTAATCTCTTAACAAATGTATTAAAATGAGCTCCAGTAACTAGAAGCCTGGGCAGTTCAGGGTAAATTAATCACCTCTACTAAGGAAACAACTCACTAGTAAATAGTTTTTAAAAATATATTAAAATCAGGCCGGGCATGGTGGCTAATGCCTGTAATCCCAGGGCTTTGGGAGGCCAACGCAGGTGGATCGCGAGGTCAGTCTGTGATTGAGACCAGTCTCAGTTCGAGACCAGTCTGGCCAACATAGTGAAACCCTGTCTCTATTACAAATACAAAAAATTAGCCAGGTGTGGTGGTGTGTGCCTGTAATTCCAGCTACTCAGGAGACTGAGGCAGGAGAATCGCGTGAACCTGGGAGGCATAGGTTGCAGTGAGCTGAGATTGCGCTATTGTATTCCAGCCCAGGCAACAGTGCAAGACTCTCAAAAAAAAAAAAAAAAAAAAAAATTAGCTGGGCACAGTGGCTCACACTTGTAATCCCAGCACTTTGGGAAGCCAAAGTGGGCAGATCACCTGAGGTCGGGAGTACAAGACTAGCCTAGTCAACATGGTGAAATCCATCTCTACTAAAAATACAAAAAAATTTAGCTGGGCATGGTGATTCACGCCTGTAATCTCAGGTACTTGGGAGGCTGAGGCAGGAGAATCTCTTGAACCCGGGAGGCAGAGGTTGCAATGAACTGGGATCACCCCACTGCACTCCAGCCTGGGCGACAGAGGGAGACTCTGTCTCAAAATATATTATTTATATGTTTGTATATATTATATATATATTAAAATCTGTAAATATGTATATAAAAATCCTTATGTATGTAATACTTGCTTATCAAACAAAATTCAGAAAATACAGAAAAATGGAAAGAAGAGGGAAAAAATTGTCTTTAGTTCAGCTGCGGAAAGAATGCCACTATTCATAGTTTGGTCTATTTCCTTTGAGTCTCAGGTGTATTAATTTTTTAGGTAATTGTAGTTAGCAGGATACTAACAGACTTTCAATTACTGTTTATTGAAACTTAAGCATTTTTCATATAATTGTATCCACTTTGTTTGATTTTCCCACTTTGTGTTATAAATAATTAAAGACAGTGAACACAGGACCATAAAACTGAATTTCATGACTTAAATAGTAGTAACTAACATTGATTGAGCACTTAGGCACCAGGCCCTGTGCCTTGCATTTTATATGCATTACTTCCATCTTCCTAACAGTTTATATCAAGTCAGTGTCGTCATTTAGAGGAAGAAACCAATACTTTAATAACTAACTTGCCCATGGAGGCTAAAAAGTAGATTGAATTTAAACCTTGATCTCTCTGACTCCATACTCTTTTTTTTTTTTTTTTTTTTTTTTTGAGACAGAGTCTTGCTCTTGCTCTATTGCCCAGGCCAGAGTGCGATGGCACAGTCTTGGCTCACTGCAACCTCTGCCTCCTGGGTTCAAGCGATTCTCCTGCCTCAGCCTCCCAAGTAGCTGAGATAGGCGTGTGTCACCATGCCCATATAAATTTTTTGTATTTTTAGTAGAGATGGGTTTTTACCGTGTTGGTCAGGCTGGTCTCAGACTCCTGATCTCAAATGATCTGCCTGCCTCGGCCTCCCAAAATGCTGGGATTACAGGTGTGAGCCATTGTGCCTGGCCTGACTCCATACTCTTAACCACAGTGTCATAGTCGAAGATATGCATATACTAGGTTAACTTCATTTTGTCCTTTAGTGTACCTGAGGGCTTGGAGGGAGTGTTTTTGTGATAAAGTCATTAAACATTGAGCTGATATATAAACGAATAAGAATATGAATTCAAGGTTGTATCTTCCAAACTAGGGGAAAAAAGGGTATTTTATTCTTGAACTAGTTGCAAGAATAGGATGCTTTTGGGGTCGTCCATAGTCTGGGTGTCTTCTGCATGTTTATGGTAGAAGACGTGAAGAAAAAGACAATCCAATTTATGTTTTGTTTCTACAACTAATTTGTGAATGGGAGACTAGTTCATAAATATAATATTTCTTTCATTAAATATGACTGAAATAAATAATGTCAAGTGGTATTTCAGAACATTACAAATAAATTGTTGGGATTTCCAAGTTTCAAAGATTGTTCTTGTAGGCTAAAGGATCTTGTGAATTAAGCCAAAAACTAAGTTTGATATAGTTGAAGAATAAACCACGTTTTTTAAATGTTGTTTAAATTAGGCAACAGCTGTTTACCAAGCGAAGGAGAAACTCAAGTCAATAGAAAAAGCAAGAAAAGGTTAGTATCATGGGAAGACTGAATGACCTGAAAAGTTAAGGTTCTGGTTTCAGGAAACCAATACAAGAGGATATTACTGATAATCATTTGCTGCTGTTGAAAAGATTCAGTAAATTTTTATTGTAAAGTGTGTTGTGTTCTAGCATTGTGCTGGGTTTTGTGAGGGAGGTAGAAGTATCACATCTTTTTTCAGATTATAAAAAGCAATTAATACAAGGCAGTTTATGGCTGTGTGCCCAAATGTGCAGTAAAAACAGTGAGTTTATAAAATTGGTGGGAGAGGGAAAGAGAAGTATGGGTTAGAAGTGGGATTTGTACCAAATCTTGAAGGTTAGGACAGAGAGAGTGAAAAGACATCCATTGGGCAACTGCGCTGGGACTGAAACATCATGAAGTCAGAGCCAGACGTACATGAAGTCAGAGCCAGTTATACCCTTGGCATATAAGCACATTTGGTGGTGCAGAGGCCCACATGCCTTCCTGCCCTGCTGTCCCTTTTTCAAAGGCTTCTGTTAAATAGCTAATACTCCTTTTTTTTTTTTTTGAGACGGAGTCTCGCTCTGTCGCCCAGGCTGGAGTGCAGTGGCGCGATCTCGGCGCACTGCAAGCTCCGCCTCCCGGGTTCACGCCACTCTCCTGCCTCAGCCTCCCGAGTAGCTGGGACTACAGGCGCCCGCCACCACACCCGGCTAATTTTTTGTATTTTTAGTAGAGACGGGGTTTCACTGTGTTAGCCAGGATGGTCTTGATCTCCTGACCTCGTGATCTGCCCACCTCGGCCTCCCAAAGTGCTGGGATTACAGGCATGAGCCACTGCGCCCAGCCAAATAGCTAATATTCTTTTGAGAGTTAGGTTAGGCTTCTGTAGCAAGAAACAAATCTCTAGGAGAGATGGCTGAGGCTGGCTGTTGACTTCTAGACCGTTGTTTGATTCTGTTTTTAATCTTCAAAAACTGTACACACATACACTTTGTTACATTGAAACAGTATCTAAAGTTTGTAAAATGAAGTGTGTGGTTCTCACTTCTCAGAGGTAACTATTAATGTTTGGTATATGTCCTAGATTTTTTTTTTCTAGATCTGTGAGTATGTATGTAATAAAAATACAAATACACATATGTACATACATTTTGAACAGTCGGGTCATACCGTACATATTATTTAGCAGTTTAGTTTTTTTTTTTACCTAATGAATACATTGTAGACATCTTTCTATTTAGGTCTACTTAAGAGCCTTAGGGCATATTGATCGAACAGAGTGGTGTGAACTGTCTGCTCTGATTTCATAGCTTGGATGTCTTTGAGAAATGAAACACTGTTTTCTCTATTTTATTTGTGCTCACTATGCTTTCAGAAGAGGAATGGTATTTAACGGTAGTTAATAATTGAGATTATTGAGTGCTATGGTGCTAATCTCCGAAATTTGTTTATGTCAGCTAATTTTTCTGGATTAGTGTCCTGTTTTTGGAGATTTAAGTTTATACTAAACATGTAGGTATTGTTAAGGAAGGCAGGTGACTGAGATTATTTTATTTTCAGATAATTTAAAATTAAATACGATGTGTAACTGATAGATACATTTCTAAACTTGTATGTTTGTTAGACTACAGGTTATACTGTCCTCTTAAAACTCTTTCAGGTGCTATCTCCTCTGAAGAAATAATTAAGTATGCACATAGGATCAGTGCAAGTAATGCTGTATGTGCTCCACTGACCTGGGTTCCAGGTAAACATACTCGTCTTATTATACTAGATATATGTGGTTTTGAAGATTCTTAGGTGACTATGTACAGACATAGATTTAATTTAAAATGTATTTATCCTTAGAAACCTCTGCCACATATTTTCACATCTTTAATGGTTTATAAGTAATGATATAGGCCATGGGTTTTATAAATTTGGTTTTCTGTGAAGCCATTGTTGCTAGGGACTGTGTTTCTTTCGTCTTTTGAAATAATAAATTGATAATTTTTTAAAGTACGAGATAATAATGTGATGCTTCTAAAGCTTTGGATTTATATACCATTTTATCAGGGCTGGCCAGAAGCAAACTCTTTAGAGCCATTAGGATTTCCACAAAGGTTCCAGCCTGAGAAAGACAATTCCAGTTCTCTTAGATGCTAAAGACAAAGCACTACGCACCCAACAGTGAACATACAGGCTTGGAAAGAGCTGGGATAATTAGACAGCAAAAGAGAGGATCAAGCTGCAACTATATTGACAGTGGATGAAACATAAAACAGGAGACGTAAGGTAGCAGCCTTATTGGAGGAAGGGGAAATATTAGTAGTTATCTCCACTTCAAAATAACTTCTGAAGGTGCTGTGTTACCATGCTGAAAGCACTAAGGGTGACTATAATTTTGGGGATGGATAAGCTGCAGTTGGTGAGATGTGCCCAAAAAGTCAATCCAAATCTGGTCAAGTTTTTGTCAACCACATACTGCTATTTAGTGTGCTTTCATGTTTGGGATGGACATTACCTGCTCCTGCTATTTTGCCACTTACACGAATTAGTTTCTGAATTACAAGATCAAAGAGGTTGGTTAGAAAAAGGTTTTATCTTAGACAAGGTGGCATGAGGAAAATAAAAGTAAAACAAAAAGATGAAAAATGTAAAAAAAAAAAAAGATTTTAAATTGAGACAGTCCTTCTATTAAACATTCCAGTCCTTTCTGTCTTATAAGTGTCATGATTTTTTTCTCCCTTGCAGCATAATCATTGTCATTTTCTTGCTAGAAAATACAGTTAAGTTTGAATAATTGAGATTATTATAATTTTCTTAAGTTGTCATCTGGAATGTCTACAAAAAAATGACATCTCTTTTTTTTTAAAGTGTAGAAAATAGTATATTCTTGGGAAGATTCAGAAAAGAAATTAAAATGCGTGTATTTTAAAAAGTAATATGCTATTAATAACAATTTATAAGGTGACTTTTATATTTCTTTCTTTCTTTTTTTTTTTTTTTTTTTTTTGAGACAGGGTCTTGCTCTGTGGCCCAGGCTGGAGTGCAGTGGTGCAATCTCAGCTCACTGCAACCTCTGCCTCCCGGGTTCAAGCGATTCTCCTGCCTCAGCCTCCCGAGTAGCTGGGATTATAGGTGCGTGCCACCACGCCTGACTAATTTTCTTATTTTTAGTAGAGACGGGGTTTCACCATGCTGGCCAGGCTGGTCTTGAACTTCTGACTTGAGGTGATCCACCCACCTCGTCCTCCTAAAGTGCTGGGATTACAGGCGTGAGCCACTGCACCTGGCCAGATGACTTCTGTATTTCAAAATTGAAAATGTAGCCTGAACTTTTCAGCATGAACCAGCGAAAATGAGTATGTCAAATAACATATTAACACTTATTTTTTAAAATATGATTGAATTAAATGCAGTCTTTATTGTTTTAGGGGACCCCCGGAGACCCTACCCAACTGATTTAGAGATGAGAAGTGGGTTACTGGGTCAGATGAACAATCCTTCCACTAATGGCGTGAATGGCCATTTACCAGGAGATGCACTTGCAGCAGGAAGATTGCCAGGTAATGTTAAGCCGAAGAGTGTTTTCAAACAGATCAGGGTTTTCCAGAGATGACAAGGTTGGAATATCTGGCGGTAAAGCAAGTTTGAGATTCCCGACACAATTTTTTTTTTTTTGTAAATTTGAGACAGTCTTGTTATGTCACCCAGGCTGGAGCGTGTTGGCGAAATCTTGGCTCCCAGGTTCAAGTGATTCTTGTGCCTCAGCCTCCCGAGTAGCTGGGATTACAGGTGTGTGCCACCAGGCCTGGCTAATTTTTGTATTTTTAGTGGATATGGGGTTTCGCTCTGTTGGCCAGGCTGGTCTCGAACTCCTGACCCCAAGCAATCACCTGCCTCAGCCTCCCAAAGTACTGGAATTACAGGTGTGAGCCAGTGTGCCTGCCTCTCAGACCCAGTTCATTGTAATAGCTAGATTCTTTGCCGGTTTATTCTGCTCTAAAGATTCTCCTTGAGGGAGGTATGAAATTAGAACAAGCTGCCTTTCTCTTATTTGTAAATATTACACTGTCTTCCTCAGGCATTTGGCCTCTCTTTTTAAATTATTGCTCTAAACATAGCTTTTTTATAATTGTGAAACATGCTATGTAAATAGAGTAAGATAGTTTACGGAATAAAGTGAACACACTCCTGAACAACCCCCAAGTTAACAAAATGAATAACAATAGCTTTTTATAAACTTTTATAACTTTATAAAATAGTATTTCTGTGAGACCCAGTTCATTCTGAGCTTCAGTTTTCCTCAAGTTTTTCATAGGTTTGTGCTATTTTTATATATATTTGTTTTATATTATTCCTCATCTTTTATAGTTTGTAGGTGACTTTTGTTTTGATGTGGTAGAACATTTGGGAAGTAGAAAAAGGCATTTAAAAAAGGAAAAAAATATACCCTTTCTGAGGCAGTCACTTTAAATATTTTAGCCTGTTTCCTTTTTTCCCCTATACATTTTTTGCTTAATGTTACATCATAAGGCTGTCCCTGTGTCATTAATAATGCTTTGTATGCATCATTTTTGTTAGCTACCTAAAGTACAACCAGGGGAACTCAACTGTGATATCCTTGGATATCACCTCATATTTCTCATGTTTTAAAAGTACAGGAAAAACAGATATGGGGAGTCACTGCCACATTTTGGACCAAGGAAGGGACAGACCTAAAAACAGTCTTCCCCAGCTCCATCCCAAGGCCGATACTCTCATATCATGGTGCTGTCATTGGAGAGGGTGCAGTGTAATGTGGCCCACTCCATGGCAGAGAAGTTAGATGAGGCATCAGAGGCCAGAGCTGGCAAGCAGGAAATTACCCACTGGGGTTCCAGGGAGACTTGCTGGGAAGCTGCCCTTTGGGATTCTGGTGAAACCTGCTAGGAAACCACCTTTAGAGGCGCCACCGAAAGTTGCTGTGGTGAACACCACTTAATGTCCTGCACACCAACCAGGCATCACAGCAGTAAAGGAGACAAAACCACCTGATCCAGGAAGTGAAACTTGTTTGCTAGTGGAGTCCCACCTGTGCCCTCTACTGACAAAACTTAATTGTGGCAGCTGGCAAAGGAGAAATGGTTTCAGGGGCCAGAGAGAAGGGTAGATTTGAGGCTAACTGGCATACCTTTCTAGTTAATACCATAACTCTTTCTTTTGACCCTTTAAAAATCTGCCTTCTTTATTTGAGTCTTGAACTATACCTGTTTATGTGCTCTGTCCCTTTGCTTCAGAAATACAGACTTTAAATGTAACTTGGGCCCTTTTTTAAGGTATTTCATATGCATACATTGCTAATCAACCTCTCTTTGATGAGAGTCACTTACAATAGCAGTTCCTCTATCAAGAAATCATTCAAATCTATTATAATACTAAAGTACCTATTACTTGTTTATAATATGTAGAATAATCTACATAACCTAGTATACATAAGTATGTATTATATATGCATATAATAGATACATAGATACAGGAAAAATTTGTAATTACAAATGTCTTACAAAAGAAAAATTATGTCAACTGACTAAATAGTTTCTTACAGAGTAGTATGATTTTTTTAAAAAAGTCCCCAGTTGCTAAAATATCAACTTTTCCTTGATAAATTTGATTTTTATTAATTTGGCTAAATGTGTATTTTTTTCCTAGTCTTAAAAAAATTGGCACAATAGCTTATGCCTGTAATCCCAACACTTTGGGAGGCTGAGGTAGCAGGATAGCTTGAGCCCAGGAGTTGGAGACCAGCCTGGTTAACATAGTGAGACCTCATCTCTACAAAAACTTTAAAAAGTACTCAAGCATGGTGGCACATACCTGTAACCCAGTTACTCAGGAGGCTGAGGCAGGAGGATTGCTTGAGCCTAGGTCAGGGCTTCAGTGATGTATTCGTGCCACTGCACTCAAGCCTGGGTGACAGAATGAGACCCTGTGTCAAAAAAAGAAGAGAAAAAAGTAAAATTAAAAAAAATACTTCAAATTGTTGCATAAAGGGAAAAGTAAGAACTAGATTAATTACAGATAGAGCTGTTCTTATCTATGCTTCTTTTTTTCTCCAGATGTCCTTGCTCCACAGTATCCATGGCAGTCAAATGACATGTCGATGAATATGTTACCACCAAATCATAGTAGTGACTTTTTGTTGGAACCTCCTGGGCATAATAAAGAAAATGAAGATGATGTAGAGATTATGTCAACGGACTCCTCAAGCAGTAGTAGTGAGTCTGATTGAAAAACCTTAAAAGACAATATACAGAATTGAATACTGTAGAATTCTGTTTCTTTAACAGTAGCAGGGAAATGTAAACTACAGGTGACAAAAAATACCCAGGTAAACACTGGCTTTGGTAGAATTGTGCAGTCATTAAAAGTCAAAATTTTTTGACTTTCTTTTTAAAGCCAAAGACCATAGTTTTAGTTTTAAGCCACTAGGTAGATATTTAGGGGAATAGTCAAAATTTACTGTTGAAAAAGCAGTTGCTATGTGCTTTCTTACCCTGTTCTGTTCCAGTTTTGCTGGATTTGTACATAGCCATTCTAGAAATAGAGTTGAGGGAAATTATCCATATACATATCACTAATAGGCTTCTTGGAATTATTTAGAAAAGCATTTTTAAACTGGCAGTGGATGACTGAATAGGCATCATATTTCTTTTTGTGTGTCATTTAAAAGTAACAAAAACTGCCATTTGACAGTAAAGGCTCTTGGCTTCTGTTGGAGGCATGGGAAATTGTCTCAATTTGTACAGTTTGTAATTGTAATTTTTGTAAATAAATTTGTTTGTACATTGTATGCTTTTTTTTTAGTTTAAATATACTGTCAGTGTAGGTAGGAAATTATTTCTGTAAATCCAGTTGCATTTTATAATACTTGAGTGACTAACTGAATTGAAACCTATTACAATTAATAGGGTTCTCAAAGGCCTATTCCTATTAGAAGAAATAATTTTTTTTAATAATTGAAAAAATTTACCACAGCCTTGTCTGATTTTAAGAATAGATTGTGTGAAGATTTAGAATGGAAAGCAACCATTTCTTCCCTTCACCTTCCTCTTCTTACAGTTCCCCAGGAGTCATTTTTAACCACTTTTAATTTCTGTTGGTAACCTCTGTGTTTAGGTAATATGCTTATACAACTATTTCTTGATGTATCAGTTTTAGACAATGTATCTTCTGATTTCAAAGGTAATACAACATTTAATGTGAAACATTTAGTGAATACAGTAAAGGAGAAAATAAAATTGTTAGCATTCTACCCAGAGATAATATCAATTCATATTGTAGTGTAGATTTTTTTAAAGTTCACATACACTTTTTTGTAAAATGAGAATAATGTTTATTTCCTGAGATACTGCTGTATTTTTTAATTGCTAATCTGTATTCTTCAAATGAACTGAGAATTCCATTTTTCCATCATTTTTTCCTTTTGATTATTTTCGATCTCTAGAAAAATTGGAAAATAGGAGATTAATCTTATATTTTCACCATCTAGAATTAAGGACATACAATGTTTGAATGTCTTTCCCTCCAGGGTTATTTTTAGGAATGGACTAACACAATATCTAATTTTAACCTTGCCTTGTCCGTATACTAGGAATATTGATCCATGTGTATACATTCTTGAAAGATTTACTTTAATGGCTAAAATTTTATTGTGGTATGTGCCATAATGTAACTGCCTGTTTTTATCACCAAATCTTTAGGGTAGATTCAAAAGGATTGTGTTTTTCAAATTCTTTAATACTGTATTAGTTTTCAGTTGCTGCCGTAACAAATTACCACAAACTTGGCTCAAAACAACACAAATTTATCTTAGTTTTGTACATCACAAATGTGAAGTGGGTCTCACCTAAAATCAAGGTGTGAGCAGGGCTGCATTCCTTCCTGGAGGCCATAGGGGAGAATCTGTCCCCTGTGTCTTCCAGGTTTTAGAGGCCGCCCTTGGTCCTGCTCCAGGCCCCTGGTTGGTGAGTGTTTCTCATTCTGCATTACTGTGATGCTCTTCTGCCTACCTGTCCCATATTTAAAGGATCCTGTGATCATTCTGAGCCCACTGGATAACCCAGAATAATCTTCTTATTTAAAGTGAGATGATTAGCAACCTTTATTCTGTTTGCAACCTTAATTCTTCCTTGCCATGTAACAAAACAACATTCATAGGTTCTGTAGATTGGGATTTAGACATCTTTGGGGAAAGGGGGTCATTATCCAGCCTATCAGAAATAATCCAAACTTTTCCCCTGAAAATTACACAAATATACATTCTATCAGTACTAAGTCAATATCATAAGTCTATATATTTCTGAATTTTTTTTTTTTTGGAGACGGAGTCTTGCTCTGTCACCCAGCCTGGAGTGCAGTGGCTCTATCTCGGCTCACTGCAAGCTCCACCTCCTGGGTTCACGCCATTCTCCTGCCTTAGCCTCCTGAGTAGCTGGGACTACAGGTGCCCACCACCACGCCTGGCTAATTTTTTTGTATTTTTAGTAGAGACGGGGTTTCACCATGTTAGCCAGGATGGTCTTGATCTCCTGACCTCGTGATCCACCCTCCTCAGCCTCCCAAAGTGTTGGGATTACAGGTGTGAGCCACTGCGCCCAGCCTGAAAAATTTTTTTAAAGGTTTTTGTGTGTGTCCCAGTAGATGCCCTTAAAATAACTGCCTCTGGAAATGATGTCTATAAAAGGTCATAAACTCAAATTTATCTTCAGAGACGAGGCCACTCACACAAATGTAAGGAGTTGGCTAGATATTACTTAACAGGGAGTGGTAGAAATTTTGGCCAAAACTAGAGTGTATGCCCAGGCTTTTAAAATTAGATTATATAAACTGTGGGACAAATCTAGCCCAAAAGTGCCTGTTTTGTTTGTTTGTTTCTTTGTTTTTCCAGAGATGAGGTCTTACTTTGTTGCTCAGGCTGTTCATGAACTCATGGCCTCAGGCAATCCTCTTGCCTTAGCCTCTCAGAGTTCTGGGATTACAGGCCACCATGCTGGGCTCAGAAGTACCAGTTTTTGATCTTGGTATAACTTTGTGCAGTTGTCGCTTTGGGAAGCTAGAGTGAGATCTGCCTAAGAATTATGTATTCTGAGGTTGTGAGTGGACAAATCCATCCCTCAGCTGCATCAGCAGTTATTTTTAAGTGGTAAAGGGAAACACCTTGGGGATAAAAACAAAGGGTAGAGGAAGAAAAACATTTGCAAAGCCACACTTCTGTAGGCAGATTTCTAAATTTGTTCATAGGAAGTTACTATCTTGTATTTGTTTCTCCAATGTCCCCTCTAAGGAAATCTGTAGGCTGTTTATTCTTTCCTACTGATAAGTATAACTTTTAACTCTGGGGATGTCGGTCAGCTTTTTTGAAATGATCTTGGTGCTAGAAAGACTTGTAACTGTTTAAGGGTCTCTCTTCCACTAATCTTATCCTCCTAAACTTCTGCCATACTTGTGACATGTGAAATGCAGGGGTGTTCTGAGTAGGTTTCTGCCTTCTCAGCATAGTGCTTGGCACTTTGTAGGCCCCCAGGCCCCCAGTAAATAATTATTGCAAGAATGAATCTCAGCTCGGTGCAGTGGCTCACACCTATAATCCCAGCACTTTGGGATGCCAAGGTGGGCAGATTGCTTGAGTCCAGGTGTTTGGGTCCAGCCTGGGCAACATGGCGAAATCCCATCTGTAGAAGAAATGCAAATATTAGCCAGACATGGTGGCACATGCCTATAGTGCCAGCTACTAGGGGTGACTGAGGTGGGAGGATCACTTGAGTGTGGGAGCTGTGATCGTGCCACTGCATTCTAGCGTGGGTGACAGAACAAGACCCTCTCTCAAAAAAAGAATAAATTTCAATTTATGTCCCTGGAGGACTGGCTTGAAGATGTTAAAGAAAACTCTAAGGGCCCCCTTTACACCTCTTGTTTAAAGCCAGAATCCACTTAACTAGCGCTAGACCCTTGCGGGGTGCCCTACCTGCATCTCCCCTAATTATATAGCCAATACAAAGAATTAACCTCCCATAGCTCACTGAAAGAAGAGAAAATAACAAATAATATCGTATAAAGAGGCATTTCTGAGGTAATAGATGTTATTTAATTATAAATTGAGTATTAGATGATAACGAAATTTTGTGAGCAGTTAAACAATGGCAGTGTGGTTCTGTAGAGCTATGTCTGCATATTGAGCTGAACCGTAAGAGTGAAATGGGGTGACGCCAAGGATTGTCTTTAAGATACCAATGGGAATGGTAGAGAAAGAACCTATGAAAAGCCACTCTTTAAGAACAATGAGAACAACAAATATGTCAAAATGAACTCCAGAATTCAGGAAATTAACCAAAGGCAATGTGGGAAGTTTTACTCAAGAAAACCACCTGAATCTCAGCAAGAACAGCCTGCTTTGTAGCATTTCCACTAACCCTAATTTCATCTCATCTCCCAAACTTTGTGTTAGCCTTGACAACCAACAGTGCCACAATCCCAGGGAAAACCAGCAGCCACTGGAGGGTGTAGAAGGGGCTCTGAAGCTCCCTCAAAACACCATCTGCTGAGAATTGTTATTTGACCTGACAGTTCTGTGTGGCATTTTTCTGGAAACCCCCCTTCACAATGTTGCAGAATTTTGCTCCTTCAGCTAAAATTGGGATCTTGTCACACAACCAGGAAAATTTGGGCATGCAGACACATTGAAGGGTGAGTAGAGCAGGATTTTATTGGAAAAAAGAAACCTCAGCAAAACAAGATGGAGTGCTGTTAATAGGCCCCCCACCCCACAGATTGATTCTGAGATCAGTCACCACACAAGCTGAAGAGAGCAGGCTCCTCCCCTGTGAGACACAAATTCCCTGGGGCTCCATCCACTTCCCCCAGTGCGTATGTTGGGCTCCAGTCCTTTGTGGGCATGCCCAGACAAGCCCTGGACAGGTTCCCTCATGTGCAAAAAAGCATATGATATAAACACTTATGGGGCGAGGCGAACATTCTCAAGGGACCCTTTTTTATCTGCCTAGGCATCTGGCTGTCTTATTCCCTCCTCTAAAGAAGTACATCTAACTGCTTTTAGAATAAGGATAAGGATAAGGATGAAGATCGAGCTTAACTGCTTCCTGGTAACAAGCAGTGCTATTTTGGGAAAATGGCAGTCAGATTTCCCTCAGAGGCATACCTAAGGGTCCCTGGCAAAAGGGACCATCCTCTGAGGCTGCTTTGCATGACTATTTGGAATTTGACGGCCCAAAGGCTAGAAGAGACAAACTGGGTTATTGGAAAACATATCAAAACAAAGCAGGGCGGGGGTAAGGACAGCTCAGAAATCCCGAGGCCTTTTACCAGTTTGCACACGGAGAAAGAGGCCAAAAGCCCCACTGGTAAAAGACCTTTTACCCTTTTGCCAGCATGTCAGGCTTCTGGGTTGCCTTCCCCTAAGCCCAATCCTAAGCCAAAGTCTAAGGTTTGGGAAATTAATTCTTCCCAGTTTGGAGGATGCATCTCAGGGGAGTGTCCCATAGTATGGAGACATAATTGCTTATTAGTGAAGAGAGGACAGGAGGAAAAAGGAAAAAAGGTGTTTTTTCCAGAGGAGTCCCAGATGTTCAGGATGCATTTGAAAGTGGTACAGACTGGCCGGGTGCAGTGGCTCATGCCTGTAATCCCAGCTGTTTGGGAGGCTGAGGCAGGTGGATCATCTGAGGGTAGGAGTTTGAGACCAGCCTGAACAACATGGTGAAACCCCATCTCTACTAAAAATACAAAAATTAGCCAGGTGTGATACACACCTGTCGTCCTAGCTACTCTTGAGGCTGAGGCATGAGAATCTCTTGAACCTCAGAGGTGGAGGTTGCAGTGATCTGAGATAGTGCCACTGCACTCCAGCCTGGGCGACAAAGCAAGACTCCATCTTAAAAAAAAGAAAGGAGTACAGACTGAAGATGAATGTCTACTCATTTAGAACGAGGGGAATGAGGCATTCCAGGTTCCCTTCTCTTCCTAGCAAATACCCGGGGTATGTGAGGGGGGGAAAGCAAGGTGTCACTCTTTCTGTCTTCTGTCCTTATATCCCCATTTCCCAGCAACCGTGACATGGTGCCACCCATGGGTGTCAAAGCGGCTTTCACCCATGTTAACGGGGGCCTAGGGTGTGGGAGTATCCACTCTTACCCATGTACACCGTACCTCCCCTGCTATCAGTAGTCTTTGAATTCCCTAGACCTTGTTTATGCTATGGATACTAGCATGACCTTTATCCATGAAATGGGAAGCTTGGCTTTATTGCCAGGAATTAGTCATGCTCACCTATGCTGTGCCTTTTAACCTCCATATCTGCCTCTGGATCCCTCAGACCCAGTTTTCTTTCCAAGGGCTTCAACTCGAAGCTTAGAATTGAGTTTGGGACAAAATTGTGTCTTGAGGGGTTGCACTGACTCCTCATCATAAGCCAAATGCTAAGGTGAAGCTGTGGGATTGAGTCCTCCTCCAACAAGGGAGAGAAAAGAATGTCCTGTTACACACCCAGATAACTGGTGGCTATAGTTATGCTTGCTAAGATTTGGGTGCATGGGGCTTGGCTTTGGTTAGCTCCCTTGGTCTTACTTTCCCAAAAAGGAAACCCCCATGTTATGAGCACCCTATTTATTCCCATCACCTGGCAGGATTCGCAGGATAATTGCTCAAAACTAGACTATTGATCCAGATTTTTATATCACCCATTCTCTTTTGTTCCTTCTGAGCTGCAGCCAGAGATTTCTGGTTAGTTCACAGCAACAAGCATGGTTAGTCTAAAATGTAGGCAAAAACTTAAAAACAACTAATGAGTTTATAATTTAATGACAAATGTATAAGTTTTGAAATATAATTTCTCTCTCTCCAGTCCTCATTTTTGTTAAAAAAAAATCATGATAGGACTGAGTTGTTTGCAAAATAGACTTTAGTCTTGTACTTAGCCTGATTATTGCATAAAGTGCAGTAAGAATAACTATATCTACATAGGCCTTTTAGATTGGCTTTGGTGGAACTCTGTTCCACAAGAAATCTCAGATAAGATCTTTTAAAGCTGAGCCCAGTCATAGGTTTGTATCCTCAGATACCTGTGAGTTGGGTGATCCTCTCCTCTTAAGGTCCCAAGATAAACTTGGAGCTCCTGGGCCTGTTAGAAAGTGACATTCTTTACTGACTACAGGTCAGGAAGCTGTAGTCTACAGGGACTGTGTAGACAAGGGCATGAAGCCAGTTTTCCTGAGGGGCTTTTATTGGCTCTGCAAGTCGAGCTTGACTCCTTAAAGGGAAGCATATCCTTCCAGTCAAAGCCTTGGTAAAACAACCAGTTTCTCCGGTTGCATCCTGTTGCAAAAGAAAATGGATTTTTCTTGCACCAATGCAAACAACTATATTGCCATAAGTTAAGAATACTCACAAGTAGTTCCCAAATTCTGGAGAAGCCAGGCAGAGAGAGAGAGACAAATATGCTCCAAATTTTGTTCACAGGAGTATACCTTACTCAATTATTAAAGGCTATAAATAGCTCAAAATAAGTTTCCTTGACTCTGAAAAACAAACAAAAAAAAACAAGGACCAGCAATATTCCAAGCAAAAGTCAAAAAGATTACTTCAGTTTTCTACTAGTTCACTCCATTCAGTTAACTCTTGTTTTGCTTGATATTCATGAACATTTCAGCTCTTCATGACTCCTGTACATTTTTCCTTTATCCCAGTGTCACAATCTCCAAAGTTATTAGAAACCTGTATTTGAGAGCACCTGTCAAAGATATACAGCTGATTATAAACGATCTTTTGAAGAGGATCCAAACAAGACAACAATTGTCTATGATAACAAAATGTCCAGAGTAGTTACAGTTAGAAACATAATTGACAAAGACATAACCCCCTTAATTATGATTGATAGCATATACTTCAGACATTAGAATTTTAGAAATCCCAAGTAATTTTGGAACATATAGTAGTAGTATTCACTAAAATATAACCTAAAGAAGATTGAATATCATTTTGACAATCCCATGTACCTAAACATGTCAAATAATCCTGTTTACCTCTCTTTTGGATACTCCGGGGGCCCTTTTCACATCCAAAATCCAAGCATCAGGAAAGACTATTTTGAAACTGAAGTTTGATTATTTTGGGGAGCCTGTTAAATACGTTAGAGGTTTAAAACACTTGATGTTATGAAACAGAATTCCAGATTACTGTAAGTTATTTATTTTGCCAAAATGATGACTCAGAAATTTTGAAAAAGCAAAAACTTTTTATAACCCTTTACAAATTTTGCTAGAGATTAGTGTCTTAAGAGGACTTTGTTGTGCTTTTATTTCAATGCTCAATTTATAGAAAAACCATATAATACCTTTGTGAATTTAGTCAATATGTTCCCACATGGAATTTCTTTTGCAAGATTAATTTTTACAGTCCTTCCACAACTTGTTTGAACTTTTAGCTTATCTAATTCAAGGCAATCCTTTAACTTAGGCAAGAATTTACATTTCCACACCTTCTTATAATCTTTTTCTAAAGACTTACTTTACTGTTCTTATGCACCTCTCATGTAAATCTATTTCCAGTAGTTTCAATTACATTATAATGGTAACTCCTAGCAATTTGTAACTTTAATGTAAAACCTGTTAAGATGTTTTAATTACGTGCTAGGTGCAGCCAAGTTTTGACTCCTTCCAGCATAATTAAGGTTGTGGTTAATTCCGTATGTCCCCAGGGCTTACCAGTTGTGAAACAGGCAAGTCAAACAGTTCTCAAAGACCAAAAAAGCAGTTTATTACCTTAAAATATTTAGCAAACTTAGTATCTGACCTGCATAATTTAGTCCACCTATTTACATTTTGATCACATCTGCATTTTACCAGTAATCTTTAAGACTGTTTTTATTTCTCAAAGATTAAAGTCATGTAAACTGAAAGGTACCACACCTTTTATCCTCCCTTTTACAAAATATTTGATTCAAGTGCTTATCCTTCTTTAAGTAAATTAGAGCTCTTTTTTATAGATGTCACATGCACACACATATGTAACTACACAGACAGGCAGAAGGATTTTTAGCAGCCCTAAGATTTTTCATTTGCCAATCTCCTAATTGGATTATTGGCCTCCAGGTGGAGCCCTTTAAGAGACAGGGCTAGAAAAACATGCAGCTTCTAAGGCCTAATAAACAGGCATAGGTTGGGCAAAAACAGATTTTGAGAGGGATCCAACCACTTTTAATTCCTGGGGTTCCATGAGGAAAACAAGTTTCTTCCCAAAATGGAGTCAGTGGTGCCTTCTCTGTTTTTCCCAAGTAGTCCCATGCCCCCAGGAGTTATCTTGGGGCTTGTCATGCATGCATTGAGAGTGACAAGGCAAAATGAAGAAAAATAATTCGGTCGACTGAGAAAAAACCCTTTTTCCAGCAAAACAAGATCCAAGAAAAGAAAAACATAAAGGCCTTTTAAATATACTGATAACTTAGATATCCACTTTTAATTAACCTGAGTGCTCTTTACTAAAATCCTTTTAAATCCCTTGTTATCTGACTTTAGACATACCAAGCGGCCATATTATTTGCTTTCAAACTTTACTAGAGGCTCAGAGAAAGGAAAATCCAAAGTGGTTCATGAGGGGAAGAGAATCAACAAATAGCAAAGGTTGCACAGACATCAGACCAGAAAGGATACATTCCCTAAGCCAGGATTGAACCCAGCTGCCATTGTAAAATGGGCTAAACAAAACATTGCCACATGGTTACAGGTCATGCTCTCAAGGATGTAAAACAAGATGGAGGCCTGCAGCGAAGTTTGCTGCTGACTATACAGAAAGTCATGCAAAGCACACCAGATTGGCTACAGCTTAAGACAAACCTTACAGATCCTTTTTCATAGTTAAAACTTTACAGAGAATATAAACAATGATCCTTATCATTTCTGGCCTAGTAAAATGTCTTCTAAAAAGAAAAAAGAAAAAACTCTTACTTAAAAGTTAACTGCTGACAGGGTAGAGAAAAGGAAAAAGTTTAAAGTGCAGGGTTGGAAAGACACCTGGAGGAAGAACCTCTTACTCTTAAATGCAAGTGGGTTCTTCCAACAGGGAGAGAAACTTAAGAGGGGAGCAGGGGAGCTGCCAGTTTGCCTGTCTATCCAGAAAAAGAAGGAAAAGGCTGACATTCCCAACCCCTGGGAGCAACAGTGGTTGGGGGGGGAGGGAGGCATAGTTTTCTCTACCTTCAGAAGTTCGAGGACAAAAAGGCTTAGAAGCAAAAGGAAAAAAGTTTTTGGTTTGCATCTTACTCTTCCTCAAGTCCTACATCTGGGTGCCAAAATGTAGCAGAATTTTGCTCCTTAGTTCAGCTAAAACCAGAATCTTGTCACACGATCAGGAAAATTTAGGCACGTGGACACATTGAAGGGTGAGTAGAGCAGGATTTTATTGGGTGAAAGGGAAAAAAAGAATAAAACTCAGCAAAGCAAAATGTAGTCCTGCTAACAGGCCCCCCCCACCTCACAGATTGATTCCCAGGTCACCACACAAGCTGAAGAGGGCAGGCTCCTCCCTTGCATAAGGGGTGAATTCCCTCTGGCTCCACCCACTTCCCCCCATGTGCATATCAGGATCCAGTCAGTTATGGGCATGCCCAGACAAGCCCTGGGCAGGTTCCCTCTGTGCAAAAGTATCTGATGTAAACACTTGTGGGGCAGGTTGGAGATTCTCTGGGGACCCCTTTTTATCTGCCTAGGCATTTGGCTGTCTCAATAAGGTTTGTCTTTATTTGACCTGACTGAGCGCTCTCTCATTGTGAACAGTCTTTTCTCTGGATGCATTTGTCAAAAACAATCAGTGACAAGAGTTTAGTATCACAGCTGCCTGAGGCTGCAATAACAACTGAAGCAAATAAACAGCTGACTTAAAACGTAGAAAGGAAAGTTTGGAAAATAAGATATCCACATTGGGCTTTGAAAAGCTCTGACATATTCCTGGAAATCTAGAAGGTGACATGCATGCTCAGTGTTGTGTGTATGCCCAGGTAATACCTAAGATGGCCCTAATCTGTCACCTCTGTCTGACCTTGAGGCTTCCGGCAAGCAGGGAGTGAAGGCACGGTAGAGTTGTAAACTGCCTGCAAAAGCATTGAAAGTGTGCTCCAACATGCACGTAGAGCTCACTTGGCAAAGGCAGGGAGACTTACTTGTTTGAGGTAATTATGGAAACCTCTGTCTAATCATAAGCTAACCACTAAACTAACAGTAAAACTTCAAGGATCATACACAATATATTACAGATGACATGATCTTGCGTATAGAAAACCATAAGAAATCTACTAAAAAGCTATTAGAATCAGTAAGTAAAATCAGTGAGGTTGCAGAATACAAGATCAACATGCAACACTGCATTTCTATACAGTAGCAATGAATAATCTGAAAATAAAATTAATAAAATAATTCAATTTACCATAGCATAAAAAAGAGCAACACACTAAGAAACACATTGAACATAAGAATTGTAAGACTTACATTATAAACTCTAAAATATCATTGATATACCCAAAAGAATTGAAGGCAAGGACTTGAACAGATATTTGTACACTCTTGCTCATAACAGCATCATTTATAATAGCCAAAAGGTAGAACCAACCCATGTCCATTGACAGATGAATCAATTTTAAAAATGTGGTATATACATACAATGGAATATCATTCCACCTTAAAATGGTAGGAAATTCTGACACTTGTTACGATACAGATGAACTTTGAGGACATGATGCTAAGTGAAATAAGGCAGTCACAAAGGGACAAATACTATATGATTCCACTTATATGATGTACCTAGAGTAGCCAAACTCATAGTGACAGAAAGTAGAACAGTTTTTGCCAGCGGTAGTGGGGAAGGGAGATGGAGAAATTGGAACTCTCATATATTGCTGGTATAAAATGTGACAACCACTTTGATAAACCTTTTAACAATCCCTCAAAAGCTAAATACAAGGGTGGGTGTGGTGGCTCATGCCTGTAATCCCAGCACTTTAAGAAGCCAATACAGGTGGACCACTTGAGGCCAGGAGTTCGAGACCAGCCTGGCCAACAGGGCAAAACCTTGTCTCTAAGAAAAATACAGAAATAAAATTAGCCGGATGTGGTGATGCACGTCTGTAATCCCAGCTACTCAGGTAGCTGAGACACGAGAATTGCTTCATCTCAGGAGGTGGAGGTTGCAGTGAGCCAAGATCATGCTACTGCACTCCAGCCTGGGCAACAGAGCAAGACTCTGTCTCAAAAATATATATGTAAAAAAGCTAAAAACAGTTAAACTTTATGACCCAGCAATTCCACTTCTTAGTTATATACCCAAGAGACTTGAAAACACATCTGTGCAAAAACTTGTACACAAGTATTTATAGAAGCATTATTCATAATAGTCAATAGCAGAAACAACCAAACTGTCCAACTAATGAGTGGGTTAATAAAATGTGTTAAGTCCATATAATGGAATATGCTTCGGCTATAAAAAGGAATAAAGTACTGATATATGTTACAACCTGAATGAACCTTGAAGAAAATAGATACTAAGTGAAAGAAGCCAGACACAAAGCCCCATATGGTGTGATTCCACGTATATGAAATGTCCAGAATAGACAAATCTTCAGAGACAGAAAGTAGATGAGTGGTTTCCAAAGGGATGGGGGAGGGAGCAATGGGGAGCAACTAATAGGTGCTGGGTTTCTTTTCAGTGCAGTGAAAATGTTCTGAAATTAGATGGTGGTTCTTGAATAACTATGAATGTACTAAAAACCACTGAATTGCACACTTTAAAAGGGTAAATTTTATGGTGTGTGAATTATATCTCAATGAAAAAGTATAATATGAATTTGAAATATGTCAATGTAGGGAAACAACTTAAAAAATTTGTGTTTCAACTTCTGCAATTTCCCAGGGACAAAATTGTTTTTTAGATTGGTAACTTGAAATATTATAGGGCATAGAGTCAGTATTATAGTTTGGAATTCTGACAGTGTAAATATGTTTTCTCAGTTTAGTTCAGTTTCTTTACCTTTGTATGTATACCAATATACATAAATTAAGTCATCCCATAGTGCATTGAAGAAAATAAAATGTTGATGGGCCAAGCATGGTGGCTCATGCTTATAATCCCAGCACTTTGGGTGGCTGAGGCGGGTGGATCACCTGAAGTCAGGAGTTCGAGACCAGCCTGGCCAACATAGTGAAAACCTGTCTCTACTAGAAATACAGAAATTAGTTGGGTGTGGTGGCGTGCACCTGTAGTCCCAGCTACTTGGGAGGCTGAGGCAGGAGAATTGCTTGAACCCAGGAGTTGGAGGTTGCAGTGAGCCGAGACTGCTCCACTGCACTCCAGCCTGGCAACAGAGCGAGACTCCGTCTAAAAATAAATAAATAAAATGGTGATGAATAAAAAAACATACTACAGCTAAGGAAAATAGGGGGCATGGAGACAAGGAAGCAAATAAGGTGAAATCGTGGTACTCGTTGAATGGTGATAGGTGTGTGGGAGTTCATTGCCCTATTTTCTATTTCTGGTATGTTTTAAATTTTTCATGTAAAAAAAATTCCTTTGTTCTCCACATCAAAAGTATTTCCCCAATACCCTGTTTTAAAATGCCAGGGAGTGGAAAAGTTTGGGCACTCTCTAAAGATGTCCTTGATGTTGCCAGAATTCCAATTCAAGGATGATAGATGTGGAAGGAGTGTGTGGGGCCCACTGTAGTGAATATTTATTGACTCTATCACAGTACTTTGAACACAGCTGTGAGATTTAGGCCATCTGGATTAGTTTGCTAGGGCTGCCATAACAAGATGCAGTGATTTTGGCTTGCCTATGGCCACCTGCTCGCTGAATCTTCCTGTGGCCTTTTCTCTGTTCATGCATCCCTAGTGTCACATGTGTGTCCAGATTTTCTCTTCTTATAAGGACACCAGTCAGAATGGATGAAGGCCCACCCTAATTACCTCATTTTAACTTAAACTGCCTCTTTAAAGGCCCTATCTCCAAATACAGTCACATTCTGAAGTACTGAGGGTTAGGGCTTCAGCACATGAATTTTGGTGGGACACAGTTCAGAGCATAACACCACCCAAGAGCCTGTATAAACTTTATTAATTAAATGTTGAATTAATATGTAATTATTTTATTTTTTGAGACAGTGTCTCACTCCATCACCCGGGCTGGAGTGCAGTGGCATGATCACGGCTTACTGCAGCCTCAAACTCCTGGACTTGGGTGCACCTCCCACCTCAGCCTCCCAGGTGGCTGGGATTAGAAGCGCCACCATGCCAAGCTAATTTTTTGTATTTTTAGTAGAGATAGGGTTTCGCCATGTGGCCCAGGCTGGTCTTGTACCCCTGGGCTCAAGTGATCTGCCTGCTTTGGCCTCCCGAAGTGCTGGGATTATAGGCATGAGCCACCTGGTCCAGCCCAATACATAGTTCTTTCCAGCAGTTTTTATACGACTAAACCTTTGATCAGTGATATTATCTCCCTAATTATAATATTTGAATGGGAAAATGGTTTTCTTTGTAACAACTGACTTCATGGCATTTTAAAGGAAAGTTTGGTTGCTACAAAGTAGCTACTTTTAAAATTCCTAATAAGGAGTTTAGTATTCTCTCCTGAATCTTTTGCTTAAACCTCTCTTTTAAATGCTTTGGCTATTTTAACTTCTGATACGTAGAATCAAAGAATATTAGCATTAGAGACCTTTGAGGGCATGCAATTCAGGGATATGGAATACGTTTCAGTTGTGCACCATTACCCATCCAGTGACGCTGGTCGCTGTGTTGAAAAGGCTTCCTAGGCTGAATCTGGGCTCAATCAGTGAGAAACAGTATATACCATACCCAGTGCAGCCTAGTGTCCTCATAGCTGTCAATCATCATTCACCATATGTTTGAGAACCTCTGTGTGCCAGGCACTTCTCTAGGTGCTGAGGATATGGCAGTGAATAAGACAGAGTGAGCCTGCCTTACCAGAATTTATGAGTCAGAGGAGCAGGGTTGGGGGAGTAGGGGAGAAGACAGATAATAAGCACATCAATAAATAGAATAAGTCAGATAGTGCTAAGTATAATTTTCATGTGAGTCTGTGTGAAGAGACCACCAAACAGGCTTTGTATGAGCAATAAAGCTTTTAATCACCTGGGTGCAGGCGGGCTGAGTCTGAAAAGAGAGTCGGTGAAGGGAGATAGGGGTGGGGCCGTTTTATAAGATTTGCATAGGTAAAGTAAAATACAGTCAAAGTGGGGTTCTCTGGTGGGCAGGAGTGGGGGTCACAAGGTGCTCAGTAGGGGAGCTTTTGAGCCAGGATGAGCCAGGAGAAGGAATTTCACAAGATAATGTCATCAGTTAAGGCAGGAACAGGCCATTTTCATTTCTTTTGTGGTGGAATGTCATCAGTTAAGGCAGGAACCGGCCATCTGGATGTGTACGTGCAGGTCACAGGGGATATGACAGCTTAGCTTGGGCTCAGAGGCCTGACATTCCTGTCTTCTTATGTTAATAAGAAAAATAAAATGAAATAGTGGTAAAGTGTTGGGACTGCGAAAATTTTGGGGGGTGGTATGGAGAGATAATTGGCGATGTTTCTCAGGGCTGCTTCAAGCGGGATTAGGGGCAGCGTGGGAACCTAGAGTGGGAAAGATTAAGCTGAAGGAAGATTTTGTGGTAAGGGGTGATATTATGGGGTTGTTAGAAGAAACATTTGTCATGTAGAATTATTGGTGATGGCCTGGATATGGTTTTGTATGAATTGAAAAACTAAAGGGAATAAAAGAAGGAGAAAAACAGGTATTAAAGGTCTAAGAATTGGGAGGACCTAGGACATCTAATTAGAGAGTGCCTAAGGAGGTTCAGCATAGCCTTGCCAGCAAAGATTATTTATTTACTTTAAGAGTTAAGAGTGGCGGTTTGGGGATAGTACCAGGAGATATCAGCTGTGATGGCTTGGAGAAACAGTGTAAACCGGCAGTGTAATCAAGAGCAGGGCATGTATGAGTAGTTGAGAACGGTGAATAGGAGTATGACTAGAGAGAAGATAGTAGGGATGACAAGTTTTTTGGGGCACAGTCTAAGTTGGTCTGGTGTCTGGAATGAGACTGGGGCCTAATAAAAAGGAGCATCTATACAGGAGCTTAAATGGGCTGTA
This sequence comes from Homo sapiens, assembly GCF_000001405.40. Taxonomy (NCBI): domain Eukaryota; kingdom Metazoa; phylum Chordata; class Mammalia; order Primates; family Hominidae; genus Homo; species Homo sapiens. The sequence goes on along the minus strand of NC_000013.11, from coordinate 48,061,218 downwards.
CCCTATAGCATTCCAAGGACAGGCCTGAATTCTGAGAGGGGAAAGTGGTAAAAGTATTGTCCAGTCCTTTTTAAGTTGGTGGCTGAGCTTGGTGAGGTGTGTTTTTAAAAGACCTTTAGTCCGTTCTACTTTTCCTGAAGACTGAGGACTGTAAGGGATATAAAGGTTTCACTGGATACTAAGAGTCTGAAAAACTGCTTGGCTGATTTGACTAATAAAGGCCAGTCTGCTATTGGACTGTATAGAGGTGGGAAGGCCAAACCGAGGAATTATGTCTGACAGAAGGGAAGAAATGACTGCGGTGACCTTCTCAGACCCTGTGGGAAAGACCTCTACCCATCCAGTGAAAGTGTCTACCCAGACTAAGAGGTATTTTAGTTTTCTGACTTGGGGCATGTTGAGTAAAGCCAATTTGCCAGTCCTGGGCAGGGGCAAATCCCCGAGCTTGATGTGTAGGGAAGGGAGGGGGCCTGAATAATCCCTGAGGAGTCATAGAATAGCAGATGGAACACTGAGAAGTTATTTCCTTGAGGACAGATTTCTACGATGGAAAGGAAATGAGAGGTTCTAAGAGGCAGGCTAGTGGCTTGTACTATAGCATAGCCTGCCTTTGCTGGTGTGTGGCGATTAGGCCTGGTGGAACTGCCATCAATAAACCAAGTGTGATCCGGGTGAGGAACAGGAAAGAAGGAAATATGGGGAAATGGGGTGAATGTCAGGTGGATCAGAGAGAGACAGTCATGGGGGTCAGCTGTGGTATCAGGAATAATGTGGGAGACCAGATTGAAGTCTGGGCCAGGAACAGTGTTAATTGTGGGACTCAACAAAGAGTGAGTACAGCTGAAGGAGCCAAGGAGCAGAAAGTATATGTGTCAGGTGTGAGGAAGAAAATAGATTTTGTATGTTATGAGAACTGTAGAGAGTGAGTTGAGCATAGTTTATGATTTTAAGGGCCTCTAAAAGTATTAGGGTGGCATCGGCCGCTGCACGCAGACTTGAGGGCTAGCCAAAACAGTAAGGTCAAATTGTTTGGATAAAAAGGCTACAGGGCACGGTCCCGGTTCTTGTGTAAGAATTCCAACTGCACAGCCCTGCACTTTGGCTGTGGGTAATGAAAAGGGTTGGGATGAGTCAGGGAGGGCTAGGGTGATGGCAGTCTCTAAAGCTGTCTTCAAGGAACAGAAAAAGGAGTGGGGAAAGGATGTAGGAACTATGGGGTCAGCTAGGTTTCTTTTTGTGAGTTTATATAATGGTTTTGTTAGGATGGCAAAACCAGGTATCTAAAGTCGAAAGTATCCAACCATGCCTAGGATGTAGAAGGTGTTGGGGTTTGAGAGATCAGTCAGACACGATCAGCAGGGAGTGCACATGTGTTTTTATGAGAATTACACCGAGACAGGTAACAGATGAGGAAGAAATTTGGGCTTGACTGAAGTAATGGGGGCTGTCAGTGAAGGCTTGTGGCAGTACAGCCCAGGTAAATTGCTGAGCCTGATGGGTGTCAGCGTCAGTCCAAGTGAAAGTGAAGAGAGGCTGGGATGAAGGGTGCAAAGGAATAGTAAAGAAAGCATGTTTGAGATCCAGAACAGAATAATGGGTTGTTGAGGGAGGTATTGAGGATAGGAGAGTATATGGGTTTGGCACCACGGGGTGGATAGGCAAAACAATTTGGTTGATAAGGCGCAGATCCTGAACTAACTTGTAAGGCTTGTCTGGTTCTAGGACAGGTAAAATGGGGGAATTGTAAGGAGAGTTTATAGGCTTTAAAAGGCCATGCTGTAACAGGCGAGTGATAACAGGCTTTAATCCTTTTAAAGCATGTTGTGGGATGGGATATTGGCATTGAGCGGGATAAGGGTGATTAGGTTTTAGTGAGATGGTAAGGGGTGCATGATCGGTCGCCAAGGAGGGAGTAGAGGTATCCTATACTTGTGGGTTAAGGTGGGGGGATACAAGAGGAGGACGCAAAGGAGGCTTTGGATTGGGAAGAAGGGCGGCAGTGAGATGTGGCTGTAGTCCAGGAATAGTCAGAGAAGCAGGTAATTTAGTTAAAGTGTCTCGGCCTAATAAGGGAACTGGGGAGGTGGGGATAACTAAAAAGGAGGGCTTAAAAGAGTATTGTCTAAGTTGGCACCAGAGTTGGGGAGTTTTAAGAGGTTTAGAAGCCTGGCCGTCAATACCTACAACAGTTACGGAGGTAAGGGAAACAGGCCCTTGAAAAGAAGGTAATGTGGAGTGGGTAGCCTCCATATTGATTAAGAAGGGGACGGACTTACCTTCCACTGTGAGAGTTACCCAGAGTGTCTGTGATGGTCCTGTAGGCTTCCGAGGCGATCGGGCAGTGTCAGTCTTCAGCTGCTAAGCCAAGAAGATCTGGGAAGGAGTCAGTCAGAGAGCCTTGGGCCAGAGTTCCAGGGGCTCTGGGAGTGCTGCCAGGTGAGTTGAACAGTCCGATTTTCAGTGGAGTCTTGCACAGATGGGATGTGGCTTAGGAGGAATCCTGGGCTGTGGGCATTCCTTGGCCTAGTGGCCAGATTTCCGGCACTTATAGCAAGCTCCTGGGGGAGGAGGTCTTGTAGGAATGCTTGACTGCTGAGCTTAGGTGTGTGCGGCTTAGGCATTTTGAAGTTCTTGTATGCTGGAGGTGTGGCTGGGTTTTGTCTCAAAGCAGAGGCAAGTAATTGTAACTCAGAAATGTATTGCCGTCTGGCTGCTTCCTCTCTATTATTGTACACCTTGAAGGCGAGGTTGATTAATTCCTGTTGTGGGGTTTGAGGGTCAGATTCTAATTTTTGAAGTTTTTTCCTAATGTCAGGAGTGGATTGGGTGATAAAATGCATATTGAGAATAAGACGGCCTTTTGACCTTTTAGGGTCTAGGGCTGTAAAGCGTCTCGGGGTTGCTGCCAAATGAGCCATGAACTGGGCTGGGTTTTTATAAAGAGCCTAAACGCTATCTGATTTGGGATAAAGAAAAAGGAGCATTAAACTTGTCTATACCTTTAGCTCCAGCCACCTTTTTAAGAGGAAATTGCTGGGCAGGTGGGGGAGGGCTAGTCACAGAAGGAAACTGTAAGCTGGACCGGGTGTGAGGAGGGGAGGTGATAAAAAGGATTATAGGGTGGAGGAGCAGAGGCTGAGGAAGAACTGGGACCTAGCTCGGCCTGGCAAGGAGGGGAGAGGTCAGATGGGTCTGTAGAAAAGGAAGATTAGAAAGACTCAGCGATGCTTGGGGTTGGGACTGAGGGGACAGGCAGGAGGGAAAGAAGGAAGATTTGGGACGAGTTGCATTGGGAACAGAGACCAGGGAGGGACCGATGTGTAAAAGAATGCCTGGACGTCAGGCACCTCGGACCATTTGCCCATTTTACGACAAGAATTATTTAGATCTTGTAGGATGGAAAAATTGAAAGTGCCATTTTCTGGCTATTTGGAACCACTGTTGAGTTTGTATTGGGGTCAAGGGCATTGCAGAAGAAAATAAGCCATTTAGGTTTTAGGTCAGGTGTGAATTGAAGAGGTTTTAGGTTTTTAAGAACACAGGCTAAGGGAGAAGAAGAGGGAATGGAGGGCGGGAGCTTGCCCATAGTGAAGGAGGCAAGCCCAGAGAAAAGAGAGAGTAGAGACATGGAGAAAAGGGGTGGGGGGTTCTTGCCCCCCAGAAAAGCAGTGAAGGGGTAGAGACACGGAGAGAAGGGGTCGGGGGGGTTCTTGTCCCCCAGAAAAGCAGAGAAGGGGTCGGGGCATGGAAATAAGGGGTTGGGACGCAGAGATAAGAGGTTGGGGCTTGGAAAATAAGGGGTTAGGGCACAGAGATAAGAGGTTGGGGCACGGAAATAAGGGATCGATGTGCAGAAATAAGAGGTCGGGGCATGGAAATAAGGGATTGGGGCGCAGAGATAAGGGGTCGGGGCGTGGAAATAAGGGATAGAGAGAAGGGGTAGAGACAGGGAGACAAGGGGTCAGGGTTCTTGTCCCTCCCCCAGAAAAGTGGGACTTGCCGCTAAGGGTGAAGGACCAAGGCAGGCGTCCCTGCGTGGTCAGACACCTCTGAAACGTGGGTGAATAATCAGAGAGGCGTCCCTGCAATGATTAAACACCAAGGGAAGGCTGCCTTCCTGAGTCCGTGACCGGCGCCGGAGTTTTGGGTCCACGGATAAAATGTGTCTCCTTTGTCTCTGCCAGAAAATGAAAGGAATTGAAATTAAGAGAAGGGAGAGATTGAAGGGTGGCACCAAGATTGAAAGGAGAAAGTGGTTGAGGGATAGTGAGAGAGGTTGGAGAAGAGAGTAAGAGGAGGCTGCTTATCCAATTTAAAATTGGTGAGATGTTCCTTGGGCTGGTGGGTCTGAGGACCCGAGGTCGTAGGTGGATCTTTTTCATGGAGCAAAGAGCAGGAGGACAGGGGATTGATCTCCCAAGGGAGGTCCCCAATCCGAGTCACAGCACCAAATTTCATGCACGTCTGTGTGAAGAGACCACCAAACAGGCTTTGTGTGCGCAATAAAGCTTTTAATCACCTGGGTGCAGGCGGGCTGAGTCCGAAAAGAGAGTCAGTGAAGGGAGATAGGGGTGGGGCCATTTTATGATTTGGGTAGGTAAAGGAAAATTACAGTCAAAGGGGGCTTGTTCTCTGGCGGGCAGGAGTGGGGGTCACAAGGTGCTCAGTAGGGGAGCTTTTGAGCCAGGATGAGCCAGGAGAAGGAATTTCACAAGATAATGTCATCAGTTAAGGCAGGAACAGGCCATTTTCATTTCTTTTGCGGTGGAATGTCATCAGTTAAGGCAATCAGTTGAGGCAGGAACTGGCCATCTGGATGTGTACGTGCAGGTCACAGGGGATATGATGGCTTAGCTTGGGCTCAGAAGCCTGACAATAATAAAGAAATGAAAATATAAGGAATGAAGAATTCCTAATTCAACAATTATTACAACACCCTTGTTTCTCAAAAGGAGGTAAAAAATTCCTCCCGAGGGCTGTGGCAGAGATCAGAAAGGTATTCAAAGACAAATAAGTAAATATTTGAGTGTTAAAGATATTATGATTAAGGATATGACAAAACATTTTATAAACACGTGGGTCTCTTATGAAGTACAATCCAAAGTTTGCATACAATTTAAAACAAAAGCAAGAAATGTCACGCTTTGGGAACACTGTTTTTCTCACACTAAAATGTTCTATCTGAAGCAAGGGGAAGTGTCCAAATTATAGTTCACAAAATACCTTTATTTTCTCACAACAAAATCATCCCTAGTCAGCGGCCCAACATTACTCATTTCTGTCATCAAAAACACCCTTTCTGTGGGTTGGTATGAAATATCCGCAGGCATCACAAGTACTATAAGAAAGGGCTTTTTCAAAATGTCCTGTACTCACTCCTCTTCTAACCTGGGTAAGTTTTCTGTACACAGAGAGTACCGTGTCCTCCTACTGTGTAACAGTAGGGTCTCTTTCACTCGTGTCCATGTGAAGAGACCACCAAACAGGCTATGTGTGAGCAGCAAGGCTGTTTATTTCACCTGGGTGCAGGCAGGCTGAGTCCGAAAAGAGAGTCAGCGAAGGGAGATAGGGGTGGGGCCATTTTATAAGATTTGGGTAGGTAAAGGAAAATTACAGTCAAAGGGGGGTTGTTCTCTGGCAGGCAGGGATGGGGGTCACAAGATGTTCAGCAGGGGAGCTTTTGAGCCAGGATGAGCCAGGAGAAGGAATTTTACAAGGTAATGTCATCAGTTAAGGCAGGAACAGGCCATTTTCACTTCTTTTGTCATTCTTCAGTTACTTCAGGCCATCTGGATGTATACGTGCAGGTCACAGGGGATATGATGGCTTAGCTTGGGCTCAGAGGCCTGACAGTCTCATTTTGATGAAATGTAATGTTGATATTTGGTCAAATTTATTATAACAGTGTTCTATTTAAAGTGTCCAAGGTTTGAAATAATGTGCTTCAGTAACCTACAATTACCTTTAGGAAAAGCACACCCCATACTAATGATGTTAGACTTGTGCAAGGCACAATGGTCATATTTGTTATTTTTTGTTTGTTTGTTTTTTTGAGACAGAGTTTTGCTCTTGTTGCCCAGGCTGGAGTGCAATGGCATGATCTCAGATCACTGCAACCTCTGCCTCCCGGGTTCAAGCGATTCTCCTGCCTCAGCCTCCCAAGTAGCTGGGATTACAGGCGCCCACCACCACGCCCAGCTTATTTTTGTATTTTTAGTAGAGACAGGGTTTCGCCATGTTGGTCAGGCTGATCTCAAACTCCTGACCTCAGGTGATCCACCCGCTTCGGCCTCCCAAAATGCTGGGATTACAGGCGTGAGTCACCACGCCTGACCATTTGTTAAATTTCAAAGTGGTATTTCTCAAAGTGTAACCATGAACCATGCATATCAGAATCACCTGGGTGTTTGTTACAAGAGTGATTCAAGAACCTGTTCCTTACCATCTGAATGGGAAGTTTTGTGTGAGACCCTATGCATATTTGAGCACTGGAGCCCTGAAGCCTTTAAGGACCTGTCTTAGTCATTGCCATTCACTATCTGAGAATCTTAGCACCTCTTTCCCCTAGGCGTTTTTATTTATAAGCCAACATAGACAAAGATAACAACAAAGAAACCCAAACAGAAAAACAGGTAGAACTAAGAATACATAGATTACTTTTAAGAAGCATTAATGGGGAGTGAATTTAAAAAAAGAAATGGGAATTTCACATGTGCCTCTAAGAAATAAAATTGCTATGTACATGTTCATGTGTATTTATATATATAGCTCCATAACCCCTCATCCAAAACCTTTGGGTCTAAATGTATTTCAGAATTTGAAATTCTTTTTTTGCATTTTGGAAGGTTAATAGGATTTATATACCATGTGTTATATGTCCCCATTAAAGCCAGCAGCAGCACCTTATAAGTCAAACAAGCATATGAAAATTTGTTTGGCAAAAACACATATACTCCATGACCCAGCCTTTTCACTCCTAGGTTTATATTCTTCCAACAGAAATAAGCACACACGCACATGTAAAACAGATGTGCACATTATAGAAGCTTTATTTGTAATAGCCCTGAATTAGAAACAACGCAAGTGAACATCAACATTAGGTAAATTTTGTTATAAACAATGGAATACTATGAATTACAGCCATACAGAGATAAGTATCTCAAAAACAATGTTGACTGAAAGATACCAGACACAAAAATGCATAATGTATGATTCCACTCAGACCAAATTAGAAACAAACTATGAGATGGTGGTAATAGTGGTTATCTTCGCAAGGTGACACTTTTGGGGTGATGGTAAAACAGTTCTTGATCTAGGTGGTGGTTATATAGGTGTGTTCATTTTGTAAAAGTTCATTGAAAGCCTATGTGCATGCTATACCTGAATTTAAAAGTTAAAAAAAAAAAATGCTGCCACTTTACTTAATTAGCTATCGTCTTGTTTCCATAATCCATTTGAATCTTTCAAATAGATTCAAATATTTATGGAGCCCTACTAAAACGCCAGGGACTACACTAGGCATTAAGGATACCTAAAGAGCCTTATTTATTTATTTATTGAGATAGGGGCTCACTCTGTCACCCAGGCTAGAGTGCAGTGGCACAATCTTGGCTCACTGCAGCCTCGACCTCCTGGGCTCAAGTGATCCTTCCACCTCAGCCTCTTGAATAACTGCCACTAAAGGTGTGTGCCACCATGCCCAACTAATTTTTGTATTTTTTTGGTAGAGATGGAGTTTCACCATGTTGGCCAGACTGGTTCCGAACTCCTGACCTCAAGTGATCCACCCACCTCGGCCTCCCAAAGTGCTGGGATTACAGGTGTGAGCCACCGCGCCTGGCAAGAGCCTTCTTTACTTAGCACAGAAGATTGCTTAATAAATACTTCTTGGTTATATTGCTTGCCTGTTTTGTTAGATCCTACATAAAACAAACTCTTAGGGGATAGAACTAGCTACTGAACTGGTGTTTCTACCACCGTTCTTACCATCGGTTCTGGCAACTATTTCTCCTGGCCACTTCACTTCTAGCCCTTTGGGTCAGTCAGCTAGACACCCAAACAGTTCACCTGGGATGGCTCATGGAGAAAAATCCGTGCATGGTAGCTGGGGTGGGATGGTGGCCTCTCGGGACCTCACTGCACTCTCCTGTTCTGACCTGCTGATCTACTATTTCCCTGATTCTAAACTCCTCATTCCATCCCCCAGCCCTTTAGTCCCTTAGTATGGTTCTTGCCCAACATGGCATCTTTCATTACTGAACCTGTTGACCACCTATTCTTTCTCCTTCCATTTGAATTCAACTCTTTGGTGGTGGCATGAGCAGGGACGTTGGTTAAGTTAGTGAACTGCCATAAGTATTTGTAAACCCAGTGTACGCAAAAGCCATTAAGAAAATGAAAACTCTCCTGGCCATGGATTGCTTCTGTGTAGCACTGCTGATAAGAAAGACGGGTGAAGCAATGTGTGGTCGAGAGCACTTGGTTTATTTTCACCAATGGCAACAACAGAGGGAGGAACAAAGTGCAGGTGTGTGTCCTGCAGTTCTCAAACTGGTAGACCTAAAACATTTTGTGGACAAGTTGAGCCCTTCTTCATACTGTCTTAAAGCTGCTTCCAACTCCCTCAAGGCAGTTCATGGCTCCTACTTGACAGACTTCCACCTGTGGTCTGGTTTACCTCTCTTGGGGTTGCAAGAATATCTTACCTAAATAGTCACTTTCTCTGCATCCCAAGTATCTTGTTGATTGAAACATCTTATTGTGTGAGTCAGGTTTATCTAATTCTACTGATTTATTTCCACTAATAAAACACAACATAATAAAATTCTCAAATATGCATGAACACATAATTATATCCCTTTAAAAATACAGAACCTGTTATAAGGTACATTTCACATGCATGTTACTTAATAATTTCCCCTACAACATAGTAAGTTACCCTCATTTTTCCTCACATTAGTAAATTGGCATTTGGATTTCAGCTTCCTTACCCAGTTGTGAACTTTGTGTACATCTTTAGCCAGAGTATCACTTCTGTTTCTATTTTGGACCCTAACTCCTCCTTACTATAGAAACAGATATTCTTCATGTCCCTGCCAATAATTGGAATGCAGTATTTGCATTTCCTATTCTGAGGATCCTCAATACTACTTGTTTTCTTTCTGACCCAGAAAAAGAAAAAGTTAAGAAAAAGAAATACTAAAAGGTCACTTTTTTCATTCAGCTAGTATATATTAGGCATTTAGCATTAGCAGTTACCACTCTGGCTGCTAGGTATATAATAGAAAGACATGGTCTTTAGTCTAAAGGAGTTTACTTTCTACTGGGGAGACAAGCAATCAATAGAAATCAACATGACATCTTCCATAATATACAAGTACTGGCAGCCTTATCAGATGCATCAGACCTAAATCCTCAAATAATCAAAGCTGTGCTCAGCCACAGAAAATACCCTTCCAGAGTCACATGTGATCCCTGAAAGGTGAACATATTTCCTTTTCATTCACATGAATAGCACTTATGAAAACTACAATATTGATGTATACTTGTCTTCAGCCATTTTGAAGGAGGAGGCTGACTTGCGGGCATTTTATCTGCAGAATTTAACTTATTGCTTCACAAATGCATCAGAGGTGAATTCAACCCATTAGAAATTTAAACCATGCTATTCAAAAAGACAAAAATGGGCGGCTTTGGAAGAACACAACTTGTGACATGTCTCATTTAAGCCTAGGGCCTTATGAAATCAAGCGCTACCTCTGAAGTCAACATACAGTAGAAATGGTGTAAGGTGAGATATGTCAAGGTCCAATTGGGTGAGTCCAGGTTTCACAGAGGAAGGAACCTTGAACTAAGGTACGAAAAACTAGTAAGGATCTGTTAAGGCACATTGAAGGTGGGTGTCGCATTCAGTTCAGAAGGAGCTGCAGGCGCACTGGCAAGGAGGTAGGAACCAGCCTGTTGCACTGGATGAAGCACAAAGATGCTGAGAGTGCAGGGTGCAACAGCAGGGTGTGATATAATGAGAAAATTAGTCCAGGGAAATTAGGAAAGCTCATACGTCAGGTTAGGGATTTTATTCTACAGGTGATGGGAACTTCCAAAGACGTTTGGGAAGATGAGACATAACTAAATTTATGCTTTGAAAAGTCACTCCAGGAGTAATGTCAAAAATGAATTGGAGGGTTAAGATGGTAAGTTTTATGTTACGTGTATTTTACCACAAGAATAAAAATAAGCCATTCAGTTGATTGGCGGAGTAAAGCTGCAGGAAGAGTCTGGGGAAAAGGTGGCACGGGCCTGGCCTAGGGGAGAGGCAGGTGGGACCATGTGATGGGGGTGGATTCAAGAGACAAGAAACAGAATGGACAAGAAAGAGCAACTGCTGGATGCGGGGAAGGGAATCAAATTTGAGCAATTCAGCAGATGGTAGAGCCCTTCTCTGAGAAGAATAGGAGGAAGTTCAGTCTGAAACACAGCAAGCCAGAAGGATGTGGACAATCAAGTAGAGATGCCTGGTGTGCGGTGGGGCCTGGAGCTTAGAAACATCTGGGCTGTAGATAATATTGTTTGGGGAGTCATCCAAGAATAGGTAGAAAGTGAATCTATGAAGGAAAACAAAAAGTATCAAGTTATCAAAAATAAGTCTTGTTATCAAAAATAACAAGTATCAAGCCAAACTGAAGTTCGTGAAAAGTTTGGCTTACTTGCTACTATGTTGCTTTTGCCCACGAATTGATCTGATAAACAAAATGAAGAGTGATACATGATTGAATACAACGTTATTAACCAATATTATTATGCAAAAAGCCAAATATTTAAATATTTTATTTTTTGAGATAGGGTCTCACTCTGTCGCCCAGGCTGGAATGCAGTGGTGGGATCATAGCTCACTGTAGCCTCGATATCCTGGGCTCAAGCAATCCTCCCACCTCAGCCTCCCAAGGAGCTGGGACTACAGGCAAGCACCACCATGTCCCACCAACTCCACCACACCTAGCTAATCTTTAACTTTTTGTAGAGACAGGGTCTCACTATGTTGCTTATGCTGGTCTCAAACTCTTGTGCTCAAGTGATCCTCTGGCCTTGGCCTCCCAAAGTGTGGGGATTACACTGTGCCTGGCTATTTAAACATTTCTTTCTTTTCTGTTTTGAGACAGAGTCTCATTCTGTCCCCCAGGCTGGAGTGCAGTGGTGTGATCTTGGCTCACTGCAACCTCCTCCTCCCAGGTTCAAGCACTTATCCCGTCTCAGCCTCCTGAGTAGCTGAAACTACAGGTGCATACCACCACACCCGGCTAATTTTTCTATTTTCAGTTGTGACAGGGGTTCACAATATTGGCCAGGCTGGTCTTGAACTCCTGACCTCAGGTGATCCACCTGTCTCGGCCTCCCAAAGTGCTGGGATTACAGGCATGAGCCACTGTGCCTGGCCTATTTAAACATTTTGAACATGAAAATGAGAAAAAGTCTGGAATGGGAATTTAAGGAAGTGTGGTAGGTTTAACTGACAGTACAAATATTGTAAAGTCCTTATCATACGACTTGGCACACAATAGATGAAAAATTAGATGTTTTGGAGAACCTTAAGTATTAATTTATACTTTTAATTTATTGAAGTACATAAAATGGAAGATGTGGAACACAATGCACATTGTTACCTTTAATTTTCACTTTTTATAAAACTACTCAGCTGGGCGCGGTGGCTCATGCCTGTAATCATAGCACTTTGGGAGGCCGAGGCAGGCAGATCACCTGAGGTCGGAAGACCAGCCTGACTAACATGGAGAAACCCTATCTATACTGAAAATACAAAAACTAGCTGGACGTGGTGGTGGGCACCTGTAAACCCAAATAGGAAGCTGAGGCAGGAGCACTGCTTGAACGCGGGAGGCGGAGGTTGCGGTGAGCCGAGATCGTGCCTCTGCACTCCAGCCTGGGCAACAAGAGTGAAACTCCATCTCAAAAACAAAAAAACTACTCAAGTGCAGCACAGACATCTGCGTACAACATAAATAATTACTAAAAACAGAGGCAGCTTCAATATATGATTTTATGTTGAAAGAAGACTTTGGATGTCTTCTCTTATATGAATGATTCCCTGAGCTTGCTTTCTCCCACAATCTCCATTTATTGTGATCATTTCGTGCCACAAAGAAGAGACTATTTCACCTAAAAGTATTTGCCTTGTTTGGGAAGCTGGCAGTCAAGATAACAAAGAAGTGACTCCTCCAAGTGGATCGGAAAGAGGCCGAATTCACCTCAGGCTCCACTGGGAAGACTTTTGGTAAGGTGTTGCCAGAGTCAGTATAGGAGCACTTGCCTATCCTGGGACAGATGACACCTCAGGGTTGGTCCAGCAAATAGACGAAAAGATATTTCCCTCCCAGCAACCTGGCAGTAAAGTACACTTCCGGAACTCTAGCTGACATTTAGTTTTATGAGAATGTTGCTAGTCAGCTTTAGTTTTTTTTCTATTAAAGGCAATACTCAAACCATCCAGGCATTAACTGCTTTCTTAACAGTTCTAAATCCTGCTTCATTCATTGACTTATTTAAAGAAATATTTCCTAATTACTGAGTTGTCACTGAATGCCACCTGAGCACATTAAGTGCTGATGTACACACAATCCCCTTCTAATTAATATGGAATTCTTACCTTTTTACCTTTTCCTATGAATAAAACTCCTGGTTAGTTTTTTCTTTCCATTGAAACACATTTCATGTCAAGTTGGTTGAGTTAAAAAACAAACAAACAAACCTCACAAGCTTTCAATGAGTTTGTCATTGCCTTCCAAGTAGCTGGGACCACAGGCATGTGCCACCATGCCTGGCTAATTTTTAAATTATTCATAAAGACAGGGTCTCCCTGTGTTGCCCAGGCTGGTCTTGAGCTCCTGAACTCAAGCAATCCTCTCACCTCAGCCTCACAAAGTGCTGGGTTTACAGGTGTGAGCCACTGTGCCAGGCCTTGTGATGAGTTTTTGAAGCTATAAAATATCTGCATGGATAAGTACTAACATAAAGAGATATCTTAATGAATTACCAATGAACTGTAGTTGAGATAAACCTATGAAAGGATTTAATCCATAAGCTCGCCTGCTTTCTTATCAAGCTTCACATGTCTATCACTTAGGAGAAGCCAGGGACAGGGATTCAGTCAACTGAGGGACTGAATTTTACTGAAATTAAGTAAAATGAGGAAGCAAGCAACAGAAGGACATGGAATAATCAAATAGGAGTAGAAAAATTAGTGTGAAATTAATCCATATATCCAAAGAACAAGGCATACATACACACTTATTATATTTGAGCTCTTCAAACATTTCAAAATCATGCATCTAACATCAAAAATATGGGCAGGGCGTGGTGGTTCATGCCTGTAATCCCAGCACTTTGGGAGGCCAAGGTGGGCAGATCACTTGAGGTCAAGAGTTCGAGATCAACTGGGCAACATGGTGAAACCATCTCTACTAAAAATACAAAAATTAGCTGGGCGTGGTGGTGCATACCATACCTGTAATCCCAGGTACTCAGGAGGCCGAGGCAAGAGGATCCCTTGAGCCTGGGAGCTGGAGGTTGCAGTGAGCCGAGATTGCACCACTGCACTCCAGCCTGGTTGACAGAGTGAGACCCTGTCTCAGAAAAAAAAAGAAAATGAGATTTCTACATGACAAATTATACAATGTACATATATAATTTTGAAAAAGCAAACAAGAAAGAACTTAAAAAATGATACTCACTGGAAAAAGATTCCTTAGCAAGTATTATGATAGTACTGGGGTCTTTTGAAAGAGCAAAATTCAAAGGTAATCAACTCTAAGAGAAGCACAGGATTTCACAGAAGTGCGCTCAAAATTAAAAATGTGAGCTTTTGGCCTAATCTGGCAAAAATTTGGATCCCTTTGTACTCTTAAAAATTACCAAGGACCACAAAGAGATTTTGTTTTTGTATGGTTTTATCTAGAAATATTTATCATATAGAAATGAAAACTGAGAAATTTCTTAAAATTTTTATTAATCATTTGCAAGTAACAAGAACCAAGTATATATAAACACATAAAAACATTTTTGGCAAATAGCTAATTTTATTTTTTTCACATATTAAAACCCACTAAAAATAACCATTTTTCTAACTAACCACAACAAAAATTAGTGAGAAGAGTACTGCTGCTTTACATTTCTCCAAATCTCTTCAATGTCTGATGACAGACGAAAGCTGGAATCTTGTATCTGCTTTTGCATTCAGCCTATTACAATATCACACCAGATAGCCTCTTGAAAACTCCTCTGCATACTCATGAAAAAATGAGTGAAAAAGATAAATGATGGCTGGGCGTTGTGGCTCATACCTGTAATCCCAGCACTTTGGGAGGCTGAGATGGGCAGATCACTTGAGCTCAGGAGTTCCAGACCAGCCTGGCCAACATGGTGAAACCCCGTCTCCACTAAAAATACAAAAATTAGCCAGGTGTGGTGGTGGGTGCCTATAATCCCAGCTACTCGGGAAGCTGAGGTAGGAGAATTGCTTGAACCCAGGTGGCGGAGGCTGCAATGAGCTGAGATCGTGCCACTGCACTCCAATGTGGGCAACAGAGCAAGACTCCTTCTCAAATAAAAAAAAGGAAAAGCTATAAATAGTGAAATGATGTCTTAGTGTTATAAAAACAGCTTTGACCTAGAATACCCTTGAAAGGCTCTTGAGGCCCCCCCAGACCACACTTTGACAACCACTGCTCTAGACGAATCTCTTCATATATATGAATCTCTTCATATAAGGACCCTGGACCTCAGAAAGAGTAAGTGAGAAACTCAACATCACAGCCTATTAATAGCATGATACAGATATTAGATGGTTTGTCTCACTTCTCTTGGTTTAGATTCTCAATTGGAAACCTGGGAAATACACCCTAATGACCTGTCCTATTCCCTGTAAGTTGCAAAAATTGTCACAATATATTACCCTCTCCCCAACATTTCTTTAATAAAAGAGGTAATCAACAAATTTGGTAAATTTTGCAACAGCCATACTCTGTTTGAACCTAAACTACAATATTTGAATTCAGGTCTCTATTTGAACAGAAACACTAAGGCAAATTTGACTGCATCCTACTCCATGCAAGCTAGTAATGACAAACTGCACAGTAAATATCATAGGTAAATATGGAAAGCAGATTACCCATAATATCAGTATTTATCATGTATTCTGTGTCTGGAATACAATTCAATGACATATTTCAGAAAAATTTTCTCAAGTACTGGCTGAAAGAGTGGGGGATACATTAAGAGACTGCAAATAAACTGGCAATCACAAGAACTTTTTTAGATAAAATGGAGTTGTTCCGAAATGTATACATTTTTCATTCCCTAACCAGACCTTATTCTTGTCTTTTTAAAGAAAATCAAATCTTCTCGGCCACCTAGAGATGATTTCCTTTGTATCCCACCAGATGGTTCAGATCTTCTTTAAATGGATCATAGCCTTGTTCTTTTAAACAACGCAGTCCCCAGAAAAGCTGGTCCAGGGGAGGTAGTTCTTCCCAAGGAACCCACTCCCAACCTAGAAAAGAAAGATGCTAAATCAATTTATTTAGATAACAGAAAACAAAGGGTGTTTATTTGGGTAAGCTAACCTATATTTAGAAAAAATTAATTGAATTTAAAAATAACTTGCTACTAATAAACTCATAGTGATGCTTTGCATTTGCTTGGCTATACAAATATAATTTGCATGTAGAATGAAGGTCTTATGAAGAGAATGGTGGTCATTTAAAACATTGTGTTATTTGAATGTGAAGCCCAGTTTACAAAGGCTATGCCATGGTAAACCCAGATTTAGTATTAGTCAATGTTTATGTAAATATTTTTGTAAAAAATGCAAATAACGTTATATACTATAGGTTATACTACATTAAAATAAACCACTTCCTTCACCTATAAAATAAAGTAGATTACAAAGTTTCTAAGATATCCTCCATCTCTTAAAAAAGTAGAAAGCTGTGCAGAGGAAAATAAAATATTGTACCTTGGTATATTTTAAACAAATACAGAAGGAGATGATTTTTAAAAATCCATTGAAACAAAGATTTAACAGTGTCTATCAGTTATAAAGTACATGAAATTCTAGAAAAAGATTCTAGAGAATGGTGTTTCTTTCATGATTTAAATGTAAATAACATAGACGCACAGATGCTTATGACAAATACCTACATATTATATTAAGATACACACTCCATGTTCTAGTTTCTTTATGATCACCTGTTTTTACTATGTGTAAGCACTAAGTATCTTTCTGTCCATAAAATACAGGTATATAGGTACGTATTTTCACTTTGGGAATGCAGGGGCCGAAAATCCATGAAACTGGAATAAGTACAGGAAGAGTAACTGTGATCAGTAACTGTGACCATACACTAATGAGGTGGGGGCGGGAGGGGGAGAGGGAGGGCGGGAGAGGGAGAGAGAGAGAGCGAGAAAGAGAGACAGACAGACAGACACAGACAGACTGAGTACCCAACAATGTGGTGCAAGATGCTTAATTAACCAGGTCTCCAAAAACCCATCCATGAAGTTTACCCCATCCCCTAGAAAATGAAGTGTCTGGATGAGCCTCCGAACTATAATTAGATGGTTGGAGGAAAGATGCACTAAATAGTAAACTGAAGCAGGCTACCCAGATCCAAGGCCTGAGGAGCACGGGATAGAGAGACTGTGTCTTTATCCTAGAAATAAAACAAAGACCCACCAAGTCCTTGTACCTTGGCTAGGCTGCAGCTGGTTATCAGTGTAGTTGGTTATCAGGCTGCAACTGGGAATAAAGTGAACATAATTCCTGCTGTATTGTTACTAACAGATATAGAGCAATAAATGTTTTTGATCAAATCTGATTTGATGCTAGTAATCTTGGACCTTGTAAATCATACTGCTTTATTTGAGACTACTAGCAAGGTTCATGTCAGGGAGTTAACAAAATGAAAGTGAACAAATAAAAAAGTTACATAAATGAATTTTAAAAACCACAAAGCATGTAAAACTACTCCTAACTACTATATCCTAAGAGGAATAAAACAATACATATAGTTACATGGTTATAAAAACTCATGATTTAGTACTTAAAGTAGAATAGTAATCTTATGGAAGTTATTAAAAAGTAGGGCAGTCTAGTACTAAATGACAGCTTCACAGGAAGAGGTTGGCTTGTATGTTCATTCACTGGGTCCTTCCTTCCTTCAACATATTTTGAATTCTGATTATGAGTCAGACACTGTGTTTGGCAGGGAAGAGTTCAAAATGTATAAGCCAAAAGAACTGTTCTTTATAGATTCAAAGTTCAGTAAAAAAAATAATGAGCATAATTTGAAGTTGAGTTGAATTTGAGATGCCTTCTGAACATTAAGGGAAGATACTTAGAAAGCAACTGGAAACACAGGCCCGCAGCTCAGAGGAGTGAGATTCAAAATTATAACTTGCATCAGGATTCCCCAACTCAAATCCCTACAGAGGCTAGACAGGGCAAAAAGAGGACTGAAGAATGAGGAAGCACCCAGAGGTGGCTTGGTGAGAATGGTCAAATAAAGCTTGTGGGACAGTCAGTGACCTTGGTGTTTTCTCTATAGCACCTTCTCTAAAAATGAAGGCTTTCTATATCTGCTTCCTGTGAAGGATACTGAATTTAAAAAAAAACTATTCCATCATATTTGTCTCTTCTAGTCTCAGCTTTATTTGCCCATAGAAAAAAGAAAAATAAGAAAATGTTTAGTCCATTTCTTCTTTTTGAGACAGGGTCTCACTCTGTCGCTGCTCAGGCTGGACAGCAGTGGTGCAATCATAGCTTACTGCAGCCTTGATCTCCCAGGCTCACATGATCCTTCCATCTCAGCCTCCCAAGTAGCTGGGATTACAGGCATGTGCCACCACTCTGGCTAACATTTTTAGTTTTGTAGAGACAGGGTCTCACTATGTTGCCCAGTATATGTGTGTACATCCCTTTGTCAGAGACCCTTCCTAACCACCCTATCTGATACAGCACTCATATATCCCTTTCTTACACAGCTTTATTGCTCTTTTTAGTCCTTATTGCTACTATCATAAAATATCTGTAATCTGTCATTTCCCCCGCCCACTAAAATGTAAAGTCCAAGAGGGCAGGGACTTTGTTCTACGCACCATTGTTTCTTTAGTGCCTAGAACAGTGTCTCAATACTCAAAACACTGTACTCAATAGGTATCTGTTGAATGAAAAGATTCTTCCCTATTAGAGAAGAAATTAAATGTTTAGAGGGGAGGTTCAATACATAAGACCACTTGGATAAAGTTTCATATGGCAAGGAATATATTCAAAAAGTTTGATATTTTTCTCTTTAGTTCCTTTTCTGACTGTTTTATGAGAATTTGAGGAGAGATGGTAAACAGAAAACCCTTAGAACAATGCTTAGCACACGGTAAATAAACTTTCAGTGCACTCAATTCAACATAGAGGGTAACAGATAATGAAACCACCTTTGCAATATTATAACAGTGAGAGATATCTAACAAAGCTGACTCCACCTTGCTTCTAACCTCACAAACTGTCTCCTCATTTCTACACACAGGCCAACCTAACTATGGGAGGAATTTAGTTTACAGTTTAACTTTAAAGCAAGGATGGTAATAGTCCTTTCCCAAAACTAACCCCCTCCTTGTTAAGGGACCAAAGCTGCTTTTGTAGAACTAATAAAAGGCCACAAGGTTAAAATTATGGTAAGGGCCAGAACTCTATTAATAAAGATGTAGGCATAGTTAAACTCTAACCAGGCATCATTTTATAACTTGCTTTTTTGTAACTGCTTACTGCTCAGGAAGCATGTAGCCCGTGGTCAAAAGATTTATAACTTTCCTATTTACACCTACAGATGACATTGCTATTGTAAAACCTAAGACTAGTGTTTGAGATATTTTTCAGACTTTGCATTCTAATGGACCAACTGGTACCACCCAAATCGGTAAGCCACACAAAGAAACTGACTCAAGTGGTCCTGTGAACCCCCCATCGAGGAACTGACTCAGCACAAGAAGACAGTTTTGACATCCGTATGGTTTTATCCCCAACCCAACAAAGCAGCATTTCTCATTCCCTAGCCCCTTGCTTGTCAAACCATCCTTGAAAAACCCTAGCCTCTGAATTCTCTATGGGTAGGATTTAAGAATTATCTCCCGTCCTCCTCATGCAGCTGCCCTGTGATTATTAAACTCTTTCTCTGCTACAACTCCTACTGTCTCAGGGTACTGGCTTTTTCTGGGTGGCAGGCAAGAAGAACCCAACTGCTGTGAAACAATAATTGTTTTATCAGTGTAATTATTTACCGTAAATGGATGGTATTAACTCTCCTGCGCAGGTGAGAAAACTGAGTAAAACAGATAAAATATTTTCCTTAAAATTACTGCCTGAAACAAAATTAAACAATAACAATAAAACTTACTGTGTTCACGAGGTTCTTCGTATGTAAATCCTTACAAGAATCCATCCAAGGTACTTATTATTATCACGGATAAGAAAAGAGGCCCAGGCATGAAATAATTTGCCCAAGGTCACAAAGCTCTAAGAACCAGGACACAAACACAGTCTGGTTCCTCATGGTCCAAATATATTTACCTATCTATATCTCTATATTACATCTCTACATTCATATATCTTAGGCTATTTGGACTGCTATAACAGAATACTTCAGACTACATGGCTTATGAGCAACAGAAATTTATTTCTCAACAGTTCTAGAGACTGGGAAGTCCAAGATCAAGACACTGGCAGATTCCATATCTGGGGAGGGCCCACTTCCAGGTTCACAGACAACGATCTTCTCTCTGTATCTTTACATCATGGAAGGGGTCAGGGGTCTCTTTTATAAGGGCATGAATCCCATTCATTATCTTATGATCTAATCACCTCCCAAGGGCCCCAACCTCCTAAAACCTCGTCATGGGAGTTAGGATTTCTACATAGAATTTTGGGGGAACACAAGCATTCAGACAATAGCATTCTCTTCATATGGCAACATACTGTAATATTCCTCCAGACCACTTGCTCTCCTGAAAGAAAAATGCATGATTATATATAATTCTCTTACTTTCATTTTTTTCAGGCTCTACATTCTTTGGTTCTGAATCATGAGTCACATCCACTTCTCCTTTCATTAATATAGTAACATAATGGTAATTCTCCTTCTCAATGAAAGAATTCACAACTGAGGCAAAGTGAACATTTTTCAGGTGAAGAGCTGCTTCTTCCCAGGTTTCCCTTTGAGCACATTCTTCCCAGGTTTCACTGGAAAACAGAAACAAAAATTAGATTAATTCTATTTTTTTATATATACACATGTGTGTGTATATATATGTATATATATAAATGTATATACGTGTGTGTGTGTGTATATATTTTGCCATGAAATTCTTGGCTAGAAAATTCTAGTGTAAAACAAAAAGAACTGTAATTGGTTCCTGCTTTAAAACAACAAATCAGCTGGGCATGTGGCTCATGTCTGTAATCTTTTGGAAGGCCGAGGCAAGAGGACAGCTTGAGTTCAGGAGTTGGAGACCAGCTGAGGCCAACATAGTGAGACCTCATCTCTCAAAAAAAAAAAAAATAGCCGGGCATGGTGGTGCGTGCCTATGGTCTGTGGTCCCAGCTACTCAAGAGGCTGAGGCAAGAGGATAGTTTGAGCCTGGGAAGTCAAGGCTGCAGTGAGCCATGATGGTGCCATTGCACTCCAGCCTGGACAAACAGCAAGACTTTGTCTCAAAAAATAGTAATAATAATTAATTAAAAAGATAAAGATTTAAAACCAGTAAATCAGCAACCTTGCCCTTGACATTATATCCTGTATCTAGTTATCTAAAGATGAAAAGGACTTAATATTGAATAAAAATTAACATTTAGCCATCTCAGCACTAATTTACAGCCCTGGAACCTGTGTGTAACAAGGAGGCAGTTTAGTGCATTAAGAGCAGACTTTGGAGTCAACTAGACCTGGGATTGAGCTCAAAGTTCATTACTTTCCACCTTGGACAAGTAAAAAGAGATTATATTACTTCCTCATGGGGTCACTGTAATTGTATCAAGAAGTGCCACTATGTCTTTTCCAGCAGTCTCAGAATTTCAATTTAAGCCTCAAAACTGAAGACAATAGGTAAAAAGCACTTCTAAATTCTCAAGCAAAAGGGCAAACAGATGTCATCTGAGCTCAAGCTCAAGCTAAGGAAGGCCAGACTAGACCTGTGACTTCTCCGTATCCAGGCTACATAAGAAAGACAGGAGGCCGGGCGCGGTGGCTCACGCCTGTAATCCCAGCACTTTGGGAGGCCGAGGCGGGCGGATCACGAGGTCAGGAGATCGAGACCATCCCGGCTAAAACGGTGAAACCCCGTCTCTACTAAAAATACAAAAAATTAGCCGGGCGTAGTGGCGGGCGCCTGTAGTCCCAGCTACTTGGGAGGCTGAGGCAGGAGAATGGCGTGAACCCGGGAGGCGGAGCTTGCAGTGAGCCGAGATCCCGCCACTGCACTCCAGCCTGGGTGACAGAGCGAGACTCCGTCTCAAAAAAAAAAAAAAAAAAAAAAAAAGGAGATGTTTGAGACAGAGGAAAGTTTGGAGTTTTCAGCCTAGTAGGAGCATTTCCCTTCCAGACTACAAGGGGCCAACTCTGCCCCCCCAAGACAGGTGAGGAACATTCCAAGAGAATCAGTCACAAGATTGGGAGTGACTCAAGAAGGAGATACTCAGTGTGTCACTCCCCTGCTAAAGACATCCTGAGCTGCAGAAACTCACAGGCCTACCCCAGTGCATCAGAAAAGGTGTGCTACAAGGGTGAAAGCTCTTGGGTAAATCTGAAATGTGTCCCTCGGAGTTTCCAGATGCAGATGAATACAGAGGTAGAGCAAGGAAAAAGGGCAGCAGTGGAAATATCATTCCCATTGTGTGTTTCCTTTGGGCCAAGCAGATGCCACAAGAGACTGCTGGGTAATCAAATAGGAGATCCCAGTAGAAAGAAAATGTGGGGTGATGTGCTAAAAGCAAGAGCTAGGAGGTGGGCCAGCATCACAGAAAGCCCGTCACCTATGTCAGGAAAATCTCTGTGGGACTTCCCAACAACTGACAAACATACCCTGAGAAAGCACACATGTGGATATCATGCCCAGAGGACACCAATGGATGGATCAGAGCAGCATCAGTCACCTGAATGGCTTGCTCTCTCTCCTCCTCCAACACACTGGAGAAAGAAGGAAACTCAGAGACAGCCAGGTGAGAAGAGGAGGAGGATACAGAAAAGCAGAACAATGGCTCACACCTCCTTTATGCACTGCAGGGGAGGGATTAGAAACTGGAAGTGACACTGAAGGTTTAAATTGGATTGGACTTTTAAATGCTTGGAAGTGAATCATACTGACCCAAATGTGATTTATTTTTATAACCAAGTGACAAGAAAACTATAGAATTTGCAGGAAACGTCACTGAAGAGGGAAAGAAAAAATCATGTTTGAAGGCAGTGGAAGGAGAAAATAAAACCATTTCCTGTTTGTTCTCCCATCAAATTTAGCCCACTGAGTATGCCAGTTATGTAAAGATCAAATGAAAGTATACATGCAAAGAGCTTGGCATATTATCCAGCCTTTAACAAAAAGCCCATTAGAGCTCAATGTTGGCTATGGTCATTGACCTCACGGGTGGATCACCTGAGGTCAGGAGTTCGAGACCAGCCTGGCCAACATGGCGAAACCCCGTCTCTACTAAAAATACAAAAATTAGCACGGCGTGGTAGCGGGCGCCTGTAATCCCAGCTACCAGGAGGCTGAGACACAAAAATCGCTTGAACCCAGGAGGCGGAGGTTGCAGTGACTGGAGATAGCACCACTGCACTCTGGCCTGGGCTACAGAGCGAGACACAGTCTCAAATCAATCAATCGATCAATCAATCAATCACATGGAAACGGTGCAATGTCTTAGCTGACAATATCGGGCTGCTGGAGGTTTACACACACCTGCTTTCCTCCTTTTGTGTGTAAGCTGTGAGAAACACACCTCACAGACGAACTCCCAACCACCACCCAGCAGGGGCGCAGCCGGAAAGACCCAGCTAGCAAAGACCTCGCCTGACCCAGCACAGCGCCCCCTCCTGGGCGCGATCCTACGTCGCCCAGAAGTCGAGGGGAGGAACCGAGGGAACGCGCAAGAAAGGACGCAGCGTCAGCGCGGACGTTCTCACGCACGGCACACGGAAGCAAGCACGGCGTGAGTTCGTCCCTCTGCGCACGCCCCGGTTTCCTCGCGTCCGCGGCTGCTCACCCGAACTCCAGATGACCTCCAGGGAGTTGGAAACTGCCAGCTCCAACCGAGCCTTTCCTCTTCCCCAGGAGGACGCAACGCGGATGCTTGCAGCTGGTCACCACGACTCCGACTCCGACTCCTGGCCGCCGCCCGCGCGGCTGTGCGCTGGCCGTCATAGCGCGCGGGAGGACGCGCCTGGCAGCGGCAGGAAGTGACGCGCTCACTACCCCGTCCCGCGGCCGCAGCCAATCTCTCCCCGCGAGGGCGGAGGCGCCGAAATCAAAGCGAGAGCGCCTCGGCCTCTCCAGCTGTCCGCGGTGCGTAATGCGTCGCGGAGGGCTATCAGGTTGGGGAATGCCGTGTTTCCTTCCGAAGGGCAGCGTGCCTTAGAGTTTCGCTGTAACTAAAGTCGCTTACAGTTGTGCTTTGAATATTCATCAC
This sequence comes from Homo sapiens, assembly GCF_000001405.40. NCBI lineage: Eukaryota > Metazoa > Chordata > Mammalia > Primates > Hominidae > Homo > Homo sapiens. The sequence continues at coordinate 48,037,481 of NC_000013.11, read as the reverse complement.
CCGTCAGCCTATCCACTCCCAGATTCCTGCAAACCATGCATTTACATGTACAAGCCGCCTGCTCTTACCAACCTCGGCACCACTGCACATTCTTTTTTCCGTGAATGACCTCGCCCACCATGGTGCACCCATTTGCCCTGTAGCTCAAATCAGCGTGGTACCAGGATAAGGATAGGTCGTTTAGAAACATCCCATTATAAACAACTATGCTTAAGGTATATTCATAAGTCATGGGAGGAAATAAAGGCTAATTGATAAATCATGCTGGGAAGAGTTAGTTACAAACAGTGGAAAACAGACATTTTCAGATGTTTGCACACCATGCACCATGCAAAATACAAACCAGCTGAATCATAAAAACAAATGACTAGTTACTGGGAGGGTTTTCTCTCTTTCTCATTATTTTTACTTCTACCAAAGTAATGTGCACATACTGGTAATTTTATTTTATTTTAATTTTCACCAAGCTAGCTAATTTTCTTTCTTTTTTTTTTTTTTGTGGAGGTGGGCTGTCGGTCTTTTGTCGAGGCTGATCTCCAACTCCTGTCCTCAAGCAGTCCTTCCACTTGGGCCTACCAGAGTGCTGGGATAACAGGCGTGAACCACTGCGCCTGACCTATAGCTATAATTTTAAGAAGTAAAATGGTGCAAAAACCGCAACAAGAGCAACCTGACCCTCCTACTTTCAGAAACAATCACTTTTAACTCTTTGAACTGTATTTCTGATATTTGCCTACTTATTTCTAAGTAATATGCTTACTCTCCATGTTATACTAAATGGGTATTAAGCTTTTCACAGCATCTCTCCTCACTATCAACATTCACATTCATTACAAAGGTACTTACAATATCTTCTCAAAAAATGGTAGTATATAAAAAGGATAATATATTGAACAATGAGATTAATCCCAGAAATACTAGGTTGGCTTAATATTTGAAAAGCCAATGTAATTCAGCATATTAACAGAGGGAGAAAGGAAATACATATAATCATCTCAATAGATGCAGAAAAAAATTAATAAAATCCGATACTCAGTTGTGATTAAAAAAACTCCACAAAATCTCTGAGCAAACTAGAAATAAAATGAAACTTTAACATGATATATGGCATCTACAAAGACCTACAGCTAACATCATATTTAATGACTGTTTTGAGCTGAATTGTGTCCCCTCAAAATTCCTATGTCGAAGTCCTATCCCCCAGTACCTCAGCATTTGGAGACAGGATCAAGTTAAAATGAAGCCACTAGGGTAGGCCCTATTCTAATGTTATGACTGGTGTCCTCGCAAGAAGTAGAGATTAGAACCCAGACTGTGTTCTATTGGAAGACTGTATGATGACACAGGGAGAAGGCAGCCGTCTACAAGCCAAGGAGAGCAGCCTCAGAAGAAACCAAGTCTGCTGACACCTTGATCTTAGAATTCTAGCCTCCAGTATTGTGAGAAAATTAATTTATGTTATTTAAGCCACACAATCTTTGATACTTTGTTATGGCTTGATACTTTGTTATGGCAGCCATAGCACTAGCCTAGCCTTATCTTGGTGAAAGACAAGATTTGGGAGGAGCTAGGGTATCCACTCTGAGCACGTTTAGTCATCATGTTGCTGGAGATTCTAGTTAGCACAACTCATAAAATTTAAAAATCAATAAAACGTAGTTAAATTGGAAAGGAATAAGTAACCGTCTTTTTTTTTTAAAACAATCCTGAGGAATTAATTAAAAAGCCATTAGAAGAAATAAGTTTAGCAAGGTCGTAGGATTCAAGGTTAATATACACAATTGATTATATTTCTATATATTAGCAATGAACAATTGAAAAGTAAATTTTTAAAACAATACCATTTATAATACCATAAAAAACATAAAATACTTAGAAATATATTTAGCAAAAGATATGGAACACTTGTATACAGAAGACTATAAAACTGAACCAAAAATAAAATTCTAAGCACCTCCACCCCCAGCCATCTGAATGGACTCCTTCCTCTTGGCCAGAGCACTCCAAAGTTAACCTGAAAAACTGGTTGAAGCCATGACAGAGCAGGGGTCAGATATGCCTCATTATGCCACCTTTCTTTTGGAATTCAGGAAAAGCCAACTAGCATTTAACATTAACACAGACCTTAAGTCTGATAAGAAACATTTACAATCTAGTCTCTCTGAAGCCTGCTACCTGGAGGCTTCAGCTGCATGATAAAATTTTGGTCTCCACAACGTCTTATCTTAACCCAGACATTCCTTTCTATTGATAATAACTGTTTCAACCAATTGCCAATCAGAAAAATTTAAATCTACCTATAACCTGGAACCCCTGCCCCACTTCAAGTTGTCTCGCCTTTCTGGACCAAACCAATGGTCAATCTGTATCTTAAGTGTATTTGATTGAAGTCTCATGTCTCCCTAAAATGTATAAAACCAAGCTGCTCCCCAACCACCTTGGGCATATGTTGTCAGGGTCTCCCAAGGGCTGTGTCACAGGCCATGGTCACTCATATTTGGCTCAGAATACATCCCTTCAACTATTTTACAGAGTTTGACTTCTTCCTTTTTTTTAATTTCAAGTTTTTGGTTACATGGATTCGTTCTTTAGCTGTGATTTCTGAAATTTTAGTGCACCCATCACCTGAGTAGTGTACACTATATGTAGTCTTTTATTCCTCACTCCCCTCCAAACTTTCCCCTCCGAGTCCCCAAAGCCCACTGTATCACTCTTATGCCTTTGCATCCTCATAGCTTAACTCCCACTTGTGAGAACTTACAATATTTGCTTTTCCATTCCTGAGTTACTTCACTTAGAATAATGGCCTCCAGCTCCATCCAAGTTGCTGCATAAGACATTATCTTGTTCCTTTTTATGGCTGAGTAGTATTTTATGGTGTATATATACCACATTTTCTTTATCCATTCGTTGGTTGATGGACACTTAGGTTGGTTCCATGTCTTTGCAATTGCAAATTGTGCTGCTATATGTGCATGTGTTTTTTTTTTTTTTTTTTTTTTTGGAGACAGTCTCACTCTGTTGCCCAGGCTGGAGTGCAGTGGCGCAATCTCGGCTCACTGCAAGCTCCGCCTCCCACGTTCACGCCATTCTCCTGCCTCAGTCTCCTGAGTAGCTGGGACTACAGGCGCCCACCACTGCGCCTGGCTAATTTTTTTGTATTTTTAGTAGAGACGGGGTTTCACCATGGTCTTGATCTCCTGACCTCGTGATCTGCCTGCCTCGGCCTCCCAAAGTGCTGGGATTACAGGCGTGAGCCACCGAGCCCGGCCGCATGTGTGTTTTTTATGTAATGACTTATTTTCCTTTGGGTAGATATTCCGTAGTGGGATTGCTGGATTGAATGGTAGTTCTACTTTTAGTTCCTTAAGGAATGTCTATACTGTTTTCCATAGTGGTTGTACTAGTTTACATTTCCAGTAGCAGTGTAAAAGTGTTCCCTTTTCCTCACATCCAGGCCAACATCTATTGTTTTTTTACTTTTTTGTAATGGCCATTCTTACAGGCGTAAGGTGGTATCTCACGTTTTAATTTGCGTTTCCCTGATGCTTGTGATGTTGAACATTTTTTCATGTTTGTTGGCTGTTTGTATATTTTCTTTTGATAAATGTTTATTCATGTCCTTTGCCCACTTTTTGATGGGATTGTTTGTTTTTTTCTTGCTGATTTGTTTGCATTCCTTGTAGATTCTGCATACTAGTCCTTTGTCAGATGCGTAGTTTGCCAGAGTTGGACTCTTTTCATTGATAGAATGTTGCTGAAGAAAATAAAATACTTAAGTAAAAGAAGAGAAATATTATACTCATGGATCAGAAGACTCAATATTGTTAAAATATCAATTCTCTACAAATTAATTTATATAGATTCAATGCAGTCCTGATCAGAATACCAGAAGGCTTCCCTTTCCAGTAGAAATAGATAGGTTGATTCTAAAATTGGTATGGAAACACAAATAACTAGAATAATAGAAACAGTTTTTAAAAAGAAAACATTTAGAGGGTTCACACCATTTGATTTCAAGACTTAGGATTAAGCCACAGTAATCAAGAGAGTATGGTGTTGGTAAAAACATAGACATATAGATCAGTGAAACAAAATGGACTGGAAATAGATCCATATATATGTATATATCCATATATAAATTAATTTTTGAAAAATGTGCAAAGGCAATTCAATAAAGAAAAGATAGTATTTTTAACAAATGGTGCTGGAACAAGTTGACATAAATGTAAACAAAAAGCCTTGATTTATAATTGGCACCATATATAAAAATTAGCTCAAAGTGGATTGTAGACCTAAATAAAAACATCTAAAGTATACAATTTGTACAAGAAAATATAGGTAAAAATCTTTGTGATCTTTGGTTAGGTATAGATTTCGTAGCTATGAAAAGAATGACCCTTAAAAAATGATAATCTGGCTTTCACCCAAATTAAAACCTTTTTCTCTTTGAGAGATACTGCTGTGGACTCAACTGTGTTCCCACAAAATTGACATGTTGAAGCCCTAATCCCTAAAATGATGGTATTTGGAGATGGGGTCTTTGGGAGGTAATTAGGTTAAATGAGATCGTGAGGCTAGGGTTTTCATGATAGGATTAGTGGCCTTGTAAGAAGAGACCACAGAGCTTTCTTGCTCTTGCGAAATGAAAACAGAATTCTAAGCTTCCAACTGACTGAATGGACCCCTCACACCCCCAACTTGGCCAAGGGAATGCCAGAGAAACCTTGGATGCTGAATTTACATCTATGATAGGATAGGAGGTTGGACACACCTCATTATACCCCCTCCCTTGTTAACAGTCATTAGGTTTTCAGCCGGGCTCTGTGGCTCACACCTGTAATCCCAGCACTTTGGGAGGCTGAGGCAGGCAGATCACCTGAGGTTAGGAATTCGAGATCAGCCTGGCCAACATGGTGAAACCCCGTCTCTACTAATAATACAAAAATTAGCCAGGCGCGGTGGCTGGTGCCCGTAGTCCCAGCTACTTGGGAGGCTGAGGCAGGAGAATCGCTTGAACCCAGGAGGTGGAAGTTGTGTGTTGGGAGAAAAGCTGAGTGTTGGGAGAGAAGCTGAGGCAGGGCTTGCATGTCTGATATAATGTGAAAGAGTCTTGGAACATGTCCGGGGTCCAGGGTCTAAAACCCCTCGTGGCCTTTAGAACACCAAGCTCTGTGCTAAAGGGTGGAAGGCTGCCGTGCCGCACCATAATCTAAGGCCAGGGCATAAAACCCCTCATGGCTTGGATGGAACCCAGGGCTCAGGGCATAAAACCCCTCACGGCCTCTGGAATGTGTCAGACTTGCTGGCTCCTTGCTTCTAGCACTCCCATTATCTCAAGTAGCAGAACATGTTCCATATGCTTCAAAGAAAATGCTAAAGCATCACAGCTATAGCTTATTTGCTTGATGCATCGCTACCTTTCAACCTCCACATCCTCACCACCTGTTTCTTTGTTTGATCACCAACAAATAGCGTGGGCTTCCAGAGCTCAGGGCCTTCACAGCCTCCATACTTGCGTTGGCCCCCTGGACCCACTTTCTCTCTCAAACTGTCTTTTCTCATTCCTTTGACTCTGCCGGACTTCATCACCCCCCATGACCTGGTGTTGGGTCTGATCACCCCAACATTGTGGTGAACCGAGATTGCACCACTGCACTCCAGCCTGGCTGACAAAGTGAAAGTGTCTCAGAAAAAAAAAAACACAAAAAACAGTCATTAGGTTTTCTTCCCTAAAGGCTGAACAGAAGCTAGCCCTTTCAAAAGACTGCTAGTTTTATCTTCCCAGGTGTAGAACAAAAACAAGATGAAATTAATAGTTCCTTCACCAGTCCCTGAGATAAGATGAGATTAATGGTTCCTTTACCTCTCCCCTAGATGGCTGCTTCCTCTAGTCCCTTTTTCTTCAAATGTTCACCTTATCATATGTAAAATATAGATTTACTTGGCTTTAACTAAAGTCTCATAAGTAGGTAATCATTTATCTCACTGCTGTCTCCTGTTTTTTAAGGAAAATGTATAAATACTAAAGCTCCTGTGAACCTTTTTGGAAAAAATAGCCACAGATGCTTCTGTGACTTACGTTTTTCCCAGGCACAGCCTCAAGCTGGCTCAATAAACCTGGGTGATTTGAGACTTATGCCTCAATCACTCATTTTGGTTGTCACTCTATCTGCTGTGGTTTGAATATGTACCCCAAAGTTCATGTGTTAAAAACTTAATCCATAGTGCAACAGTGTTGAGAGGTGAGAGCTTTAAGAGGTGATTATGGCAGAGCCCTCATGAATGCATTAATGCTAATATCTTGAGAGGAGGTTAGTTATTGTGGGAGTGGGTTCCTGATAAAGAGACGAGTTGGCCCTTCCAACTTTTCCCTTCTCTCTCTCTCATGCACACGTGTGTGCATATATGTTCTCTTAACCCTCTACCCTTCCACCATGGGATGATACAGCAAGAAAGCCCTTATTAGATGCCGTCTCTTGACTTTGGTCTTTCCAGCCTCCATAACTGTCAGAAATAAGTCTCTGTTCTTTATAAATTACCAAACAGAAACCATCCCTTATAGTGGCACAAAACAGACTAAGACAATCTCTCTGCTCTGTGAGAAGACAGTGAGAAGGCAGCCATCTGCAAGCCTGGAAGAAGGCCCTGACCAGGAAGAAACCCTACTGTCACCTTGATCTTCTTGGACTTGCCCGCCCCCAGAACAGTGAGAAATAAATGTCTCTTGTTTAAGACACTCACTCTATGGTATTTTGTTATAGTAGCCTCAGTTCACTAAGACACTAGTTAAGAAAACAAAAAGGCAAGCTGTGGACTGGGAGAAAATGTTTGCAAAGAACATATCTTATGAAGGACTTGGACCTAGAATATGTAAAGAATCCTCAGCAATCAATAATAAAGCAAACAACCTGATAAATATATGGACAAAAGAATTGAACAGATATTTCACCAAGAAGAGATATTGTATTAGTCCATTTTCACACTGCTTATAAAGACATACACAAGACTGGATAATTTATAAAGAAAAATAGATTTAATGGACTCACAGTTCCATGTAGCTGAGGAGGCCTCACAATCGTGGTGGAAGGTGAAAGTCACATCTTACATGGCAGCAGGCAAGAGAGAATGAGAGCCAAGTGAAAAGGGATACCCCTTGTAAAACCATCAAATCTCATGAGACTTATTCACTACCATGAGAACAGTATGGGAGAAACTGCCTTTATGATTCAATTTCTGTCACTGGGTTCCTCCCACAACTTATGGGGATTATGGGAGCTACAATTCAAGGTGAGATTTGGGTGGGGACACAGCAAAACCATATCAGATATGATGGCAAATAAGCACATGAGAAGATGCTAAACGTCATGAGTCATTAGGAAAATAAAAGCCTAAACCAAACTGAGGTACCTCTGCACATCTATTAGAATGAATAAGAAAAAAATCCCCATGAAAACTGGCAATACCAAAGGCAGGTGAAGATACAGAGTTGTTAGAACTCTCATACATTGTTGGTGAGAATGCAAAATTGCACAACTGCTTTGGAAAACATGTATAATGTTAATCATACACTTATAATAGAACCCAGTAACCTTACTCCAAGATATTTACTCACGAGAAATGAAAACTTACGTTCATACCAAGACCTGTATGTAACAGTTACACTGGCTTTATTCATAATCATCAAAATCTGGAAACAAACGTTCTTCAACTGGTGAATGGATAAATCAACTGTGGTAAATTCATACAATGGAAACCCACTCAGCAAGATAACAGAGCAAACATCTGATACACTCAACAACATGGATGAATCTCAACTGCATTATGCTACATGAAAAGAATCAGATATAAATGGCTACATGCTGTATGATTTCATTTATATGCATTTTGGAACAGGCAAAATTCTGGACATAGAAAACAGGCCAGTGTTTGCCTGGGGCTGAGGATGTGGAGAGGGGTTGACGACAAAAGGACATGGGGGATTTTTTGGGGGTGATGGAATGGTTCTGTATCTTGATTATCATGGTGGTAATATGATGATGTATTTGTTAAAACTCATAGAACTGCACACTAAAAAAGATGAATTTTACTATCTGTATATTAAAACTAAAATCAAACTTTTTTAAAAAGCCAAAAAAAGAAAAATGTAACGTGGATTTGCAGAAAGAAAAAAATCAAGATACAATTCAGCAGTAGAAAGGGTCAAAGCAAAGCTGAGCTGAACTGCTCCACTTAATATCAAAAGTGGTCATCCTTGTGGGTGGAGCTGAGTTTATGAAGATTATATATCTGCAGAGGCTAGCCTTAGCAGGTTCCTCCTCTCTCTGGGCCTTAGAGGACTTGGAGAGCCTGGCTCTGGGGTGATGGTATTCATCGTCCCAGGCATTCCTGTTGAGGTGAGTAGGCCGCTCCTAGAACATAGTAAGTAGGAAATCTGGGGCTAAGAGGGGATGGGAAGGTGAATAGGAGAACCTATACATTCAGAAGTCACATTTGCTAGCCAGTTTAAAGTTTTCTTTTATTGCATAGTAGTTGCATTTTATTATCCCAAAACCTTCAATAAAACCTGGTTATATGTTATAGCCTGATCTTTACTAAGCTTTGAAGAGTTGGAATAGCCTAAGTCTACCCTCCCATAAAGGAATGACAAGAAAGGAGCATCAGCCCAGAGAAGCATTAAAGTCAAGGAGGATGCCTTTGATGTCAGTATCTCTAGTACCCAAATGGTGACTAACACATATGTACCCCATAAATGAGTATTTGAGTAAAAGCTGCTCTACCTTATACCAGTGTAACAAAATACAGATGTCCCCAGATTAAATGGTCTGATTTAATGATTTTTCTATTTTACAGTGGTGCAAAAGCAATAACATTCAGTAGGCTCCTTATGATGGGCTATTTCCAGATAAACTCGTTGTAAGTTGAAAATATAGTCAAGTTGAAAATCTTGTTTTCAACTTACAATGGGTCTATTTAGATGTAACCCCATTGTAAGTCGAGGAGCATCTGTCCTTTTAAATAGTTAAACTAGAAAACATTTTTCTTCTCCTGAAAACTTTAGCCTGTGTGGAGAAAGGTGGCATGATTCACATAAAGTACAAATGGTCATGAAAAAAAAAGCACCAAGCTGATGTTTATGAATCATATAAAAGAAGTGTCAACCCACATAAATATTACTCTAATTAGAGAACCCCCATATTGAATTCCCTTCTGCAGGATTCTCAACCAGTTGAACAGGATCTACCAGGAGTTATTGCAGCATGAGAACCTGATGCAGCTCCTTATTGCTACACTTTCTTTTGCATTTTTCCAGATTCCTAGATGAAGGAAAGGTGATCCAGGCAAAGAGGCCCCTCTCCTGCCCAATTCCAGGACTCTACCAGGAGAGCACCATTTTCCTCCCTCCATTTACACAGAAATAGCCTCAGTCTGGGGGATGCTGGAATGCTCCTCATACTGGCTATTTTGTTCTGCTCCAGTATATCCTTATGTTAATGGCAGCCTCTCTGTTCTATTTTCATACCTCTTTTATGTATCTATTATTATTGAGTCAGCTTTTTACCAGAAGATAACTGAGGCTGAGAATATTCCTAGCAATGAAGTATGAAGCAGGCCCTCCTTAATTTACCTGAAGAACATGTAACGAATACAGTTAGGTTATAAGGTGAAATAATGCAGTTAAGGTCATGCTGCCCAATTCCTCTTTCCTTCACCTGTAACTCTTTCTCAGGAGATTGATTTGGAAGAGAGAGTCCACTGTAGCTGGAACCATTCTTTCACCCCACCCTGCCCTGGGCAACCCTGTGCTGACTGGATGTGCTTGATTATTATTTTATTTTATTTTATTTTAATTATATTTTATTTTATTTTATTTTATTTTATTGTAAGATGGAGTCTTGCTCTGTCGCCCAGGCTGGAGTGCAGTGGCACAATCTTGGCTCACTGCAAGCTCCGCTTCCCGGGTTCATGCCATCCTCCTGCCTCAGCCTCCTGAGTAGCTGGGACTACAGGCACCTGCCACCACGCCTGGCTAATTTTTTTGTATTTTTAGTAGAGACGGGGTTTCACCATGTTAGCCAGGATGGTCTCGATCTCCTGACCTCATGATCCGCCTGCTTCGGCCTCCCAAAGTGCTGGAATTACAGGCGTGAGCCACCGCGCTGGACTGGATGTGCTTGATTCTACTCCCAGACCTGAGCCTCTTGTTTAAACTCATCCAGTTTCTTTTCCCTCTTTCCTCTGGTCTATCCCTATGTTTGATATTTGAAGCTTCATATGTAAAACTCAAGAATCCACCTTATGGTTTCATGTAGTATTATATGGTATGTATTGTAACTGAATCACAAATTTAACTCACACTGCAACTCAGATGTGTGAAGAAAATGAGTTTCTTTCTTTCTTTTCTTAATAGGGAGTCTGATTTTTTCCTAAATCTCTTTGTCATTAGTTGGGATATGGGTCTGTGTAAAATGAATCAAATGTTCAATGTGGTTCAACTTGGTCTCATTAAATCATGTTCACTCTGTCCTGGTTTAAAGGGCTGTCCTCTCAGTCATCTTTCTTCTTCTTGTGCCTCTTTTTTTTTTTTTTTTTTTTTGAGACAGGGTCTCACTCTATCACCCAGGTTGTAGTGCAGTGGTGTGATCTCAGCTCACTGCAATGACCTCTCAGATGAGGCCTCAGATGGGAAGCACGACAAGGCTGGGGCAGAACAGGAGAATCCCCTCCTGCCTTCAACACTATCCTCATTTATCTAATGCACCTTCTTTCACCAGAGTAAAGATCACAGAGATGAAAAACTAACATTTCACTCCAGTCTTTCCTCTTTATTTCTATTTACTACTATCCTTATGGGACAGAAAGGGGAAGGTTACCACCCTCACTCTATAAAATCTATAATTTATGGACTAGCCCTGATCTTTCATATTCTTAAGGGAGAGATATAGGTCCGACTTGCAGGCATATTGCCTTACTCCATAATCCTATTTTGAATGTTAGAAATTGAATATTTAGTCTGGACACGGTGGCTCAAGCCTGTAATCCGAGAACTTTGGAAGGCCAAGGCAGGCGAATCACTTGAGTCAGGAGTTTGAGACTAGCCTGGCCAACATGGTGAAACCACATCTCTACTAAATTACAAAAATTAGCTGGGTGTGGTGGTGCATGCCTGTAATCTCAGCTACTTGGGAGGCTGAGGCACGAGAATCACTTGAACCCAGGAGGTGGAGGCTGCAGTGAGCTGAGATTGCGCCTCTGCACTCCAGCCTGGGGGACAGAGCAAGACTCCATCTCAACAAAAAAAAAAAAAAAGAAAAAGAAATCGAATATTACATTGGTCTATCTCTTTGCATTCCTTCTGCAACAAACACTAATTATTTGGCCCTGCAAAATGAATGTGTTAGTCGTATGTCAGCCTGTGGTAAATTAAAGACAATATTAGCCAAATTCTTTGCTACTTCTTCCATTGAGATGTGGAATTTATTTTCCCTTCCTTTGGATCTGGGCTGCCAATAGTGACTTTCTTACAGTCCCTCTATCAAATATTTGTTTTGCAGATATTTTATCTCAGTGCACAGTTTGCTTTTATATATATATGAGTTTATTAGGAATAATTAAATCACATGATTACAAGGTGAAGTCCCACCATAGGCCACCAGCAAGCTGGGGAAAGAGAGAAGCCAGTAGTACCTCAGTCCAAGTCTGAAAGCCTCAAAACCAGGGAAGCTGACAGTGCAGCTCTCAATCTGAGGCCAAAAGCCCAAGAGCCCATGGGGGGCTGCTAGTGCAAGTCCCATAGTCCAAAGGTTGAAGAACTGGGAGCTTGATGTCCAAAGAGGACAGGAGGAGGAAAAGCTGACTTCCAGCACCACACAGGAAGAGAGAGAGAAATCTGACTCAGAAAGCCACGCTACTTATCCCCCTTCTTCCACCTGCTTTGTTCTAGCTGCCCTGGCAGCTGATTGGATGGTGCCCACCTGCACTGAGGGTGGGTCTTCCTCTCCTAGTCCACTGACTCACATTTCCATCTCTTCTGGCAACACCCTCACAGACCCACCCAGAAACAATGCTTCATCAGCCATCTAGGCATCCCTCAATCCAGTCAAGTTGATGCCTAATATTAACCATCACAGCATGGAAGTAAGAGTTCATAATTCATTACCCTCGTGTTTGCTACAAGGAGAGTACACCTTAATATTAAACCTTATTTGTATCCCAGGTACAGAATCCCAAAAGGTGGTGTATATCATTTTTCCTTAAGTAACTCTTGACTGCAACCATTGGCTCTCTAAGTTTCAGGACTTGGTAAGCATCTTCCAGACCGAGCCATCAGCCTTTTAACTCTATTCTTCTGAAGCAAGTAGTATTGTCCTTTTGATTGACAGAAATGTAACCACACCACACAGATCTCTGGTTTCTGAAAATTTTTTCTATTGGCCCAGATTTACTTGATGTTTGACTACATTAGCTTGATTTCCTAAGAAGCTCTCTACTACCACTGTAAATGGTTCCCTCTCCCCAGTGCTGCACCCGCTTATTTATTTTTTATTATACTTTAAGTTCTGGGGTACAAGTGCAGAACGTGCAGGTTTGTTACATAGTTATACGCGTGCTGTAGTGGTTTGCTGCACCCATCAACCCGTCATCTTCATTAGGTATTTCTCCTAATGCTATCTCTCCCCCAGCACCCCAGCCCCCGACAGGCCCTGGTGTGTGATGCCCCCCCACCTGTGTTCATGTGTTTTCATTGTTCAACTCCCACTTATGAGTGAGAACATGAGGTGTTTGGTTTTCTGTTGTTGTGTTAGTGTGCTGAGAATGATGGTTTTCAGCTTCATCCATGTCCCTGCAAAGAACGTGAATTCATCCCTTTTTATGGCTGCATATATTCCATGGTGTGTATGTGCCACATTTTCTTTATCCAGTCTATCATTGGTGGGCATTTGAATTGGTTCCAAGTCTTTGATATTGTAAACAGTGCTGCAGTAAACATACATGTGCATGTGTCTGTATAGTAGAATGATTTATAATCCTTTGGTTATATACCCAGTAATGGGATTGCTGGTCAAATGGCATTTCTAGTTCTAGATCCTGGAGGAATTGCCACACTGTCTTCCACAATGGTTGAACTAATTTACACGCCCACCAACAGTGTAAAAGTGTTCCTATTTCTCTACATTCTCTCCAGCATCTGTTGTTTCCTGACTTTTTAATGATTGCCATTCTAACTTACATGAGATGCTATCTCATTGTGATTTGGTTTGCATTTCTCTAATGACCAGTGATGATGAGCTTTTTTTCATATGTTTGTTGGCCGCATAAATGTTTTCTTTCGAGAAGTGTCTATTCATATCTTTTGCCCACTTTTTGATGGGGTTGTTTGTTTTTTTTTCTTGTACATTTGTTTATGTTCTTTGTAGATTCCGGATATTAGCCCTTTGTCAGATGTATAGATTGCAAAAATTTTCTCCCATTCTGTAGGTTGCCTGTTCACTCTGATGATAGTTTCTTTTGCTGTGCATAAGCTCTTTAGTTTCATTAGATCCCATTTGTCTATTTTGGCTTTTGTTGCCATTGCTTTTGGTGTTTTAGTCACAAAGTCTTTGCCCATGCCTATGTCCTGAATGGTATTGCCTAGGTTTTCTTCTAGGGTTTTTATGGTTTTAGGTCTTATGTTTAAGTCTTTAATCCATCTTAAGTTAATTTTTGTATAAGGTATAAGGAAGGGATCCAGTTTCAGCTCTCTGCATATGGCTAACCAGTTTTCCCAACACCATTTATTAAATAGGGAATCCTTTCTTATTGCTTGTTTTTGTCAGATTTGTCAAAGATCAGATGGTTGTAGATGTGTGGTGTTATTTCTGAGGGCTCTGTTCTGTTCCATTGGTCTATATCTCTGTTTTGGTACCAGTACCATGCTGTTTTGGTTACTGTAGCCTTGTAGTATAGTTTGAAGTCAGGTAACGTGATGCCTCCAGCTTTGTTCTATTTGCTTAGGATTGTCTTGGCTATGCGGGCTCTTTTTGGGTTCCATATGAAATTTAAAGTAGTTTTCTCCAATTCTGTGAGGAAAGTCATTGGTAGCTTGATGGGGTTAGCATTGAATCTATAAAATACTTTGGGCAATGTGGCCATTTTCATGATATTGATTCTTCCTATCCATGAGCATGGAATGTTTTTCCATTTGTTTGTTTCCCTCTTATTTCCTTGAGCAATGGTTTGTAGTTCTCCTTGAAGAGGTCCTTCACATCCCTTGTAAGTTGGATTCCTAGGTATTTTATTCTCTTTGTAGCAATTGTGAATGGGAGTTCACTCATGATTTGGCTCTCTGTCTGTTATTGGTGTATAGGAATGCTTGTGATTTTTGCACGTTGATTTTGTATCCTGAAACTTTGCTGAAGTTGCTCATCAGCTTAAGGAGATTTGGGGATGAGATGATGGGGTTTTCTAAATATACAGTCATGTCATCTGCAAACAGGGACAATTTGACCTCCTCTTTTCTAGTTGAATTCCCTTTATTTCTTTCTCTTGCCTGATTGCCCTGGCCAGAACTTCCAATACTATGTTGAATAGGAGTGGTGAGAGAGGGCATTCTTGTCTTGTGTCGGTTTTCAAAGGGAATGCTTCCAGTTTTTGCCCATTCAGTATAATATTGGCTGTGGGTTTGTCATAAATAGTTCTTATTATTTTGAGATAATGTTTCATGAATACCTAGTTTATTGAGAATTTTTAGCATGAAGGGCTGTTGAATTTTGTCAAAGGCCTTTCTGCATCTATTGAGATAATCATGTGGTTTTGTCATTTGTTCTGTTTATGTGATGGATTAGGTTTATTGATTTGTATATGTTGAATCAGCCTTGCATCCCAGGGATGAAGCCGACTTGATCGTGGTGGATACACTTTTTGATGTGCTCTTGGATTTCATTTGCCAGTATTTTGTTGCCGATTTTTGCATCGATGTTCAACAGGGATATTGGCCTGAAATTTTCTTTTTTTGTTGTATCTCTGCCAGGTTTTGGTATCAGGATGATGCTGGCCTCGTAAAATGAGTTGGGGGGATTCCTTCTTTTTCTATTGTTTGGAGTAGTTTCAGAAGGAATGGTACCAGTTCCTCTTTGTACCTATGGTAGAATTTGGCTATGAATCCATCTGGTCCTGGACTGTTTTTGTTTGGTTGGCTATTAATTACTGCCTCAATTTCAGAACTTGTTACTGGTCTACTCAGGAATTTGACTTCTTCCTCGTTTAGTCTTGGGAGTGTGTGTGTTTGCAGGAATTTATCCATTTCTTCAAGATTTTCTAGTTTATTTGTGTAGACGTGTTTATAGTAGTCTGATGGTAGTTTGTATTTCTGTGGGATTAGTGGTGATATCCCCTTTATCATTTTTTTATTGCGTCTATTTGATTCTTCTCTCTTTTCTTCTTTATTAGTCTGGCTAGCAGTCTATCAATTTTGTTGATCTTTTCAAAAAGCAGCTCCTGGATTCACTGATTTTTTGAAGGGTTTTTCGTGTCTCTATCTCCTTCAGTTCTGCTCTGATCTTAGTTATTTCTTGTCTTCTGCTACTGTTTGAATTTGTTTGCTCTTGCTTCTCTAGTTCTTTTAATTGTGATGTTAGGGTGTCAATTTTAGATCTTTCCTGCTTTCTCTTGTGGGCATTTAGTGCTATAAATTTCCCTCTACACACTACTTTAAATGTGTCCCAGAGATTCTGGTACATTGTATCTTTGTTCTCATTGGTTTCAAAGAACATCTTTATTTCTGCCTTAATTTTGTTATTTACCCAGTAGTAATTCAGGAGCAGCTTGTTCAGTTTCCATGTAGTAGTGCGGTTTTGAATGAGTTTCTTTTTTTTTTTTTTGAGACGGAGTTTCGCTCTTTTTGCCCAGGCTGGAGTGCAATGGCACCATCTCGGCTCACTGCAACCTCCACTTCCACCACGGTTCAAGTGATTCTCCTGCCTCAGCCTCCCGAGTAGCTTGGATTACAGGCATGCACCACCACTCTGGCTAATTTTGTATTTTTAGTAGAGATGGGGTTTCTCCATGTTAGTGAGGCTGGTCTTGAACTCCCGACCACAGGTGATCCGCCCGCCTTGGCCTCCCAAAGTGCTGGGATTACAGGTGTGAGCAACTGCGCCCAGCCTTGAATGAGTTTCTTAATCCTGAGTTCTAATATGATTGCACTGTGATCTGAGAGACTGTTATGATTTCTGTTCTTTTGCATTTGCTTAAACTCCCACACAATAATAGTGGGAGACTTTAACACCCCATTGTCAATATTAGACAGATCAATGAGACAAAAAATTAACAACGATGTCCAGGACTTGAACTCAGCTCTGGACCAAGGAGACCTAATAGACATCTACAGCACTCCTCACCCCAAATCAACAGCATATACATTCTTCTCAGCACATCGCACTTATTCTAAAATTGACCACATAATTGGAAGCTTTTTAATTTTTTATAGTGCCTCTTGAAAAGCAGAAGGACCAGATGGTACAAGCAGGCTGGTGACCAATAGGATGTGACATAAAGTATGCTATATGTTTTGCCAGGCTAGGTCATAAGAATCCTTGCAGTTTTTTTCTCAGGCTCTTAGACTACTCACTCTAGAGGAAAATCAGCACCATGTAAAAAGTATGATTGCCATACAACTGCCATGTTTTAAAGAAGCCCATGCTAGCCACATAGGGAGGCTATGTAGAGAAACGGACAAAGCTTTTCAGGAGCCGCCCTGGGCGGAGCTGGACTTAGATCTTCAGTGGCCTCATGTAAACTCGGCAGCCAGCCTCTTCTAGAACCCTAGCCCAAGGACTGGAGCAGGAAATGGACCTTCAAAGTGAAGACTGCCTTGTCCTGCACCTCCTTCTGGCTTAGATTGAACAATGGGTTTCCTAATGGGTTAAATCCTTTAAAACAAGGAGTTGGGGGGGAAGAGTGTCGTGCATTCCTAGAGAAAGGTACACAGTTGTCCGGCTGGGAACGTGCTTGGCACGACCCCGCGGGCATCTGACTGGTCTTCCAGCTCAGGAAAAAGGATTTGAAAGAGGCTTAGCGTGAAGGGGAATCAAAGAGGAGGTTGTGATTTGGCTGAAGGTGACTGGTTTAGTGCTATAATTGTCTTATTTTATATATATATATATATATATATATATATATATATATATATTTCTTGGAGTAAACATTTTAAATAAACGACATCATCTAAAAAAAAAACAGGAGAAAGGGACAAAGATGCTTGGCCATCCGTAACTTTTTCATCCATTCCAACACAGGCAACCAGATATGTGCATAAAGAAGTCATCTTTGACATTTCTGTGTATGCAGACAAAAGGTAGAGAAGAATGAAGAACCCAACTGACAACCAGAAGTGAGGGACTGGCTACATAATTTGAAGGGCCCAATGATAAAAATGTGGAACTCCTTATTTGAAATTTGTTGAGAACTTCAAGATGGTGGGACCTTTTTATTATTGCGTAAGCACAGGTCACACATCCATGAATTCAGACCTGCTCCAGATATATGGCCTGTTTGAAGCCATCCCAACAATCTCTAGTGTCTTGAGCCACAGATTAATATTTTGAATATATAAAGAACTCCTATAACACAACAACAACAAAAAACAAACAACCTGATTAAAAAATGAACAAAGGACTTGAATAGGCATTTCTCCAAAAAAGATATACAAATGCCTAATAAATACATAAAAAGATTGGCCGGGTGCGGTGGCTCATGCTTGTAATCCCAGCACTTTGGGAGGCCGAGGAGGGTGGATCCCCTGAGGTCAAAAGTTCAAGACTAGCCTGACCAACATGGTGAAACCCTGTCTCTACTAAAAATACAAAAATTAGCCAGGCCTGGTAGCACATGCCTGTAATCCCAGCTAACTGGGAGGCTGAGGCAGGAAAATCACTTGAACCCAGGAGGTGGAGGTTGCAGTGAGCCAAGATCGTGCCATTGCACTCCAGCCTGGGCAATACAGTGAGACTCTGTCTAAACAGCAATAACAACAAAAAAAACTACATGAAAAGATTTTCAGCACCACTTATTGTTGAGGAAATACAATAAAAAAGCTACAATTAGGTCAGGCATGATGGCTTATGCCTGTAATCCCAGCACTTTGGGGGGCTGAGGTGGATGGATCATTTAAGGTCAGCTGTTCAAGACCAGCCTGGCCAACATGGTGAAACCCTGTCTCTACTGAAAATACAAAAATTAGCCCGGAGTGGTAGCAGGTGCCTGTGATCCCAGCTACTTGGGAGGCGGAAGCAGGAGAATCACTTGAACCTGGGAGGCGGAGCTTGCAGTGAGCCGAGATCACTCCACTGTACTCCAACCTGGGTAACAGAGTGAGACTGTCAAAAAAAAAAAAAAAAAAAAAAAAAAAAAAAAATCTACAATGAGATCACTTCACACCCATTAAGATGGATTATAAAAAACAACAACCAGAAAATAACAAGTGTTGGTGAGAATGTGGAGAATTTGGAACCCTTGTGCGCTGTTGGGAATATAAAATGGTACAGCCACGGTGGAAAACAGTATGCTGGTTCCTCAAAAAAATGTAATGTAGAATTACCATATAATCCAGCAATCACACTTTTAGGTACATATACAAAATAAATGAAGGCAGGGCAGGGACTTAAACAAATATTTACATACTGTGTTCAAAGCAGCATTATTCAGAATAGCTAAAACAAGGAAGCAACCCAAGTGTTCATTGATGTTTGAATGGACAAACAAAATGTGGAATATAAACACAATGAAATACTATTCCATCTTAAAAATTAATTAAATTTTGACATAAGCTACAACATAGATGAACCTTGAAGACATTATGCTAAGTGAAGTCAGCCAGTCACAAAAGGACAAATATTGTATGATTTTACACTTATGATGAGGTACCTAGAGTAGGCAAATTCATAGAGACAGAAAATAGAATATTGGCTGCGAGGGGCTAAAAGGAAAGGGTATTGGGAAGTATTTAATGGGTACATAATTTAAGTTGGGGAAGATAAAAAAATTCTGGAGATAGATGGTAGTAATGGTTAGTAAACAATGTGAAGGTACTTAATGTTACAGAACTGTACACTTTAAAAGGGTAAATTTTGGCTGGGCATGGTGGCTCATACCTGTAATCCCAGCACTTTGGGAGGCCAAGGTGGGCAGATCGCTTGAGCCCAGGAGTTGGAGACCAGCCTGGGCAATATGGCAAATCCCCATCTCTACAAAACATACAAACTTAGCTAAGTGTGGTGGCACGTGCCTGTAGCTCAAGCTACTCAGGAGGTCAAGGCTGCAGTGAGCTGTGATCATGCCACTGCACTCCAGCCTTGGTGACAGAGGGAGACCCTGTCTCATAATAATAATAATCAAAGAAAAAAAAGAAAAAAAGGATTCACTGCCCAGTTGTGAAGAGCATGGTTAGGCAACAGTGTCCAGTGGTGGCTCCTTCAGGGTCCCCCTCTATTTGAACTGAGGTCACACTTTTCTCAGGGTGTCCCCAGCCAGTGACTGTGATTATTGTCAGAATCAGTGGTATAAGGCATTTCCACCCAATATGGAATTCCTCTAACAGGCAATCTCTGCTCCAGAGCTCCGTGTTGGGCTCCGGTCTTTCTGGCTTCTTGTCAGGTTATGATTTGATGATTCCTCTGTCCAATATTTCTTTTTTTAAAAAATTTTATTATTATTATACTTTAAGTTTTAGGGTACATGTGCACAACGTGCAGGTTTGTTACATATGTATACATGTGCCATGTTGGTGTGCTGCACCCATTAACTCGTCATTTAGCATTAGGTATATCTCCTAATGCTATCCCTCCCCCCCGCCCCCCACCCCACAACAGTCCCCGGTGTGTGATGTTCCCCTTCCTGTGTCCATGTGTTCTCATTGTTCAATTCCTACCTATGAGTGAGAACATGCCGTGTTTGGTTTTTTGTCCTTGTGATAGTTTGCTGAGAATGATGGTTTCCAGTTTCATCCATGTCCCTATGAAGGACATGAACTCATCATTTTTTATAGCTGCATAGTATTCCATGGTGTATATGTGCCACATTTTCTTAATCCAGTCTATCGTTGTTGGACATTTAGGTTGGTTCCAAGTCTTTGCTATTGTGAATAGTGCTGCTATAAACATACGTGTGCATGTGTCTTTATAGCAGCATGATTTATAATCCTTTGGGTATATACCCAGTAATGGCATGGCTGGGTCAATGGTATTTCTAGTTCTATATCCCTGAGGAATCGCCACACTGAGTTCTACAATGGTTGAACTAGTTTACAGTCCCACCAACAGTGTAAAAATGTTCCTATTTCTCCACATCCTCTCCAGCACCTGTTGTTTCCTGACTTTTTAATGATCGCCATTCTAACTGGTGTGAGATGGTATCTCATTGTGGTTTTGATTTGCATTTCTCTGATGGCCAGTGATGATGAGCATTTTTTCACGTGTTTTTTGGCTGCATAAATGTCTTCTTTTGAGAAGTGTCTGTTCATATCCTTCACCCACTTTTTGATGGGGTTGTTTTTTTCTTGTAAATTTGTTTGAGTTCATTGTAGATTCTGGATATTAGCCCTTTGTCAGATGAGTAGGTTGCAAAAATTTTCTCCCATTCTGTAGGTTGCCTGTTCACTCTGATGGTAGTTTCTTTTGCTGTGCAGAAGCTCTTTAGTTTAATTAGATCCCATTTGTCAATTTTGGCTTTTGTTGCTATTGCTTTTGGTGTTTCACACATGAAGTCCTTGCCCATACCTATGTCCTGAATGGTATTGCCTAGGTTTTCTTCCAGGGTTTTTATGGTTTTAGGTCTAACATTTAAGTCTTTAATCCATCTTGAATTAATTTTTGTATAAGGTGTAAGGAAGGAATCCAGTTTCAGCTTTCTACATATGGCTAGCCAGTTTTCCCAGCACCATTTATTAAATAGGGAATCCTTTCCCCATTTCTTGTTTTTGTCAGATTTGTCAAAGATCAGATAGTTGTAGATATGCGGCATTATTTCTGAGGGCTCTGTTCTGTTCCATTGGTCTATATCTCTGTTTTGGTACCAGTACCATGCTGTTTTGGTTACTGTAGCCTTGTAGTATAGTTTGAAGTCAGGTAGTGTGATGCCTCCAGCTTCATTCTTTTGGCTTAGGGTTGACTTGGTGATGTGGGCTCTTTTTTGGTTCCATATGAACTTTAAAGTAGTTTTTTCCAGTTCTGTGAAGAAAGGCATTGGTAGCTTGATGGGGATGGCATTGAATCTATAAATTACCTTGGGCAGTATGGCCATTTTCACGATATTGATTCTTCCTACCCATGAGCATGGAATGTTCTTCCATTTCTTTGTATCCTCTTTTATTTCATTGAGCAGTGGTTTGTAGTTCTCCTTGAAGAGGTCCTTCTCATCCCTTGTAAGTTGGATTCCTAGGTATTTTATTCTCTTTGAAGCAATTGTGAATGGGAGTTCACTCATGATTTGGCTCTCTGTTTGTCTGTTATTGGTGTATAAGAATGCTTGTGATTTTTGTACATTGATTTTGTATCCTGAGACTTTGCTGAAGTTGCTTATCAGTTTGAGGAGATTTTGGGCTGAGACGATGGGGTTTTCTAGATATACAATCATGTCATCTGCAAACAGGGTCAATTTGACTTCCTCTTTTCCTAATTAAATACCCTTTATTTCCTTCTCCTGCCTGATTGCCCTGGCCAGAACTTCCAACACTATGTTGAATAGGAGTGGTGAGAGGGGGCATCCCTGTCTTATGCCCATTTTCAAAGGGAATGCTTCCAGTTTTTGCCCATTCAGTATGATATTGGCTGTGGGTCTGTCATAGATAGCTCTTACTATTTTGAGATACGACCCATCAATACCTAATTTATTGAGAGTTTTTAGCATGAAGGTTGTTGAATTTTGTCAGAGGCCTTTTCTGCATCTATTGAGATAATCATGTGGTTTTTCTCTGTCCAATATTTCTTTCTCACCTTCTGGAAAACAAGTATTACTCTTTGCTAAACGCATTGCACTCCTAACTCCATCTCAACCTCTGTTTTCTGGAGACCACAACTGGCACCATTTCTTTAGAGAGGACTTACTCCCCTTACACCTCTACTTACACTAGAGCTCCTTTTCTAACTCCCTGTTTTTCTTCTATCCCATAGTTTTCTCATAATTATGTTGGATTTCTTTGTATCTCTCATAACAATGTAAAATAATGAATTCTTTTTTTGTTTTTTGTTTTTGAGACAGGGTCTTGCTCTGTTGCCTAGGCTGGAGTGCAGTGGTACAAGCACGGCTCACTGCAGCCTTGACCTCCTGGGATCAAGGGTAAAATAATACATTCTTTTTTTATGTAATTATTACTCGTTACTCCTTTCCCCTAGCCATTACACTGTAAGCTGTTTGATGACAGAGCTATTTCCTTCTTGTTCAATACAGTGCATCTAAACATAGTAAAGTGCCTGACACGTGCTAAACTGGTCACCCAGTAAATATCTGTTAGATTCATTTTGCGTGAATGGAGTACCTGACTTTTCAAGATCCCTCTTCCATCCCAGAGAGGGAGGTATAGCTTAATAGAAAGAACAAGGCTTTGGAAACAGATAGGCTTGTATATATATTTCTGTTCTGTCCTTTCTTCCTGTATATTAGTTAGCTTTTTCTGCATAACAAACCACCCCAAAAGTTGGTGATTCAAAACAACAACTATTTATTTAGCTTTTCATTCTGAGGCCCAGGTGGATGGCCATCTCAGCATGTCTCTGCTGGGCTTTCATGTATCTGTTGCAAGGTGGTGCACTGGCACATGCCTAGATGATCTAAGGTGGCCTCATTCACTTGTCTGGTGATGTATAGGCTATAAGTTAGTACAATAGGGGCAGCTGAGCCACGTGTCACTCATTTAGAAGGGTGATCATGGCAGCATGGTTCCAAGAGCAGGAAAAGGGCAAGTCCCTGTGTGCAAACATATTTCAAGCCTCTGCTTGCTGTATTTGTTAATAGCCCGTTAGTCAAAGAAACTCACATGACTAGCTCAGATTTAAGAGTGGAGAAAGAGTCTACACTTCTTGCTGAGAAGATCAGATATGCTATAGTATTTGAAAGCTCACCTGGGGAGGAGGCTTCCAGGGTACATTGCATTTTTGAAACAGTGACTTTGGAAGTCAGGGGACAAGGGCAATTTGCAAAGCTTCTCTTGAGGGGATAGACTTTCAATTTACTTTGTGCTGTATATCCACCTTATTTCCATTGAGGGAGGTTTAAACTGAATTTTCCCACCCATTTCCCCATCATACTACAACTGGAGCAACAGTCAATTCATTCTCACTTTTTTTTTTGAGACGGAGTCTTGCGCTGTCGCCTAGGCTGGAGTGCAGTGGCGCAATCTCGACTCACTGCAAGCTCCGCCTCCTGGGTTCACGCCATTCTCCTGCCTCAACCTCCCGAGTAGCTAGGACTACAAGCACCCACCACCATGCCCGGCTAATTTTTTTGTATTTTTAGTAGAGACAGGGTTTCATCGTGTTACCCAGGATGGTTTCCATCTCCTGACCTCGTGATCCGCCTGTCTCGGCCTCCCAAAGTGCTGGGATTACAGGCGTTCTCACTTTAACAAGTATATTTTAAGACATGCAAGGGTATGGTAGCCAGAAGAGGAAGAATTTTGATCATTTTCCCAATCTACCACACATACTTTGGGCTAATTGGAAAACTTCAGTTTTCCCTTAAATAAAATATGAATGATAAATACCTATAATACATTATAGAGCTACTGAAAGGCTTAAATGGGATCCATAAGTACAGGATATAGTGTGGTATATATCTATAGCAAACATTCTATGGTAGCTATCCACTAAGCTCCTAAGGATATAAACAATGTTTTTTATCTTCACTGCATTTTTCTTGAGACAGAGTTTCACTCTGTCACCCAGGCTGGAGTACAATGGCGCAATCTCTGCTCACTGCATCCTCTGCCTCCTGGGTTCAAGCAATTCTCCTGCCTTAGCCTCCGAAGTAGCTGGGATTACAGGCGCCCGCCACCATGCCCAGATAATTTTTTTGTGTCTGTGTATTTTTAGTAGAGATGGGGTTCCACTCTGTTGGCCAGGCTGGTCTTGAACTCCTGACCTCATGATCCTCCTGCCTCGGCCTCCCAAAGTGCTGTGATTACAGGTGTGAGCCACCACACCCAGCCTTCTTCACTGCACTTTTCTAGTGTTTACCACCATAGTAAATGCTCTGTAAGTGAATGAATTTTGTGATGTATTATATTATTATGCCAAATATTCATTGTCCCTTTCCCTATAAAAGGATTGCACATCTCTGTCCAAGGCCATGTGAATTTAGTGCATCCCTTGGAAGGAGTATACACCCCTGCCATAGTATCAGGCTTAGCAACGTGACTTCCTTTGACCAATAAAATGAGGTTGCAATATCCAATTCTTAGTAGAAGCTTTGAGTCTTTGCTGTTTGCCAGTAAGTCAATATTTTCCTCAGACTTGAGAATATGTCTCAGTGGAGACTGTTTGTTCAGCCTAAGTCCTAGAATGAAAAGAAAGATGGAGTGAAGCCATAGCCAACCTGCAGCCCCTAACATGTAACATGAGTGAGAAATACACTATTGTTGTAAGCCACTGAGATTTACGGGGCTGTTTGTTACTGTAACACAATCTAGCTAAAGCAGACTAATACACATTTTTGGTTCTTAGTTGTGCTGAAATAGAGGATATATCCTTGTTGATACTTTAAGGAAAAATTGTGTTTAATTTAAAAATTCTCATCTAGTGACTAATATTACTCTGAAACTATTTGAAAATAATAGTTATTTACTTATTTCCACTTTAGTAGCTTGTCATGCTGATTTCCTAAAATGTGTATCTTCCTCCCATTATAGGTAACAAGTTTTCCTGCAGCTCTGAATTTTCTCTTTTATATACTGTAGATGGTGTTTTGTGATACGTATTGACATTAAGTCACACAGCTGGTGTTTTAGCATGTTGTTTGCTTTTCTAACACGTTTCATTTTTATGAAATTTACTATATTGATTCTTCATCATTACTGTACTACTACTGAAATTATTGGAGATAATTTATTTTGGAGCTTTGTAATTCCTTTAGTTTGCAACCAATTTTACCCTAAAAATAGCTGTTATGTGCTTGTGAGGAATTTTAACAGGGCATAAATATTTTTCTACAGTTTTTCTAAATATCAAAATTATATATATTCGATATAGACAATACAGATATAAAGAATTGTACAAAGAAGAAAAAATGTCTCCTAGCCAGAGACCACAATGGTATTTTTAACATTATGCTGTATTTCTTTCCAGTCCTTCTAAGAATTAGCAAGTGTCTTATCTAGCCACTGCTCTTTCCTTCAGATAAAACTTAGAATAAAATTAATTGAGACCTGAATTTCCACCTTTGAGTTCAGGTGATTCCTAGTTACACCCTCTTCTAACAGGTCTCTCTTTCTCTCCTATTTCTCTCTTCCTCTCTTTCTCTCCCCTATTTCCACTACTGCTCAGCCTCTGCTATAGTACTTGAAAGCTCACCTGGGGAGGAAGCTTTCCAGAGAATTTCTGAAACAATGACTTTGGAAGTCAGGGACAGAGGCACTTTGCAAAGCTTCTCTTGAGAGTATAGACTTTTGTATTCGTTTGTTCTCACACTACTATGAAGAACTGCCCGAAACTGGGTAATTTATAAAGAAAAGAGGTTTAATTGACTCACAGTTCAGCATGGCTGGCGCAGCCTCAGGAAATTTACAATCAGAGTGGAAGGCAAAGGAGAAGCAAAGCACCTTCTTCACAAGGCAGCAGGAAGGAGAAGTGCTGAGTGAAAGGGAGGAGCCCCTCATAAAACTGTCAGATCTACTGAGAATTCACTCACTATCATGAGAACAGCCTGGGGGAAACCATCCCCGTGATTCAATTATCTCCGCCTGGTCTCTCCCTTGATATGTGGGGATTATGGGGATTATAATTCAAGATAAGATTTGGGTGGGGACACAGCCAAACCATATCAACTTTCAATTTACTTTGTGCTTTATATCCACCTTATTTCCACTGATGGAGGTTTAAACTGTGAATTTTCCTACCCACATCCCTTCCATACTACAACTGGAGCAAGAGTTAATTCATTCTCACTTTTTGTTTTTGAGACAGAGTCTTGCTCTGTCACCCAGGCTGGAGTGCAGTGGCATGATCTCGGCTCACTGCAACCTCCGCCTCCTGGGTTTAAGCAATTCCCCTGTCTCAACCTCCCGAGTAGCTGGGACTACAGGTGCCTGCCACCACACCCAACTAATTTTTATATTTTTAGTAGAGATGGGGGGTTTCACCATGTTGGCCAGTATGGTCTCTATCTCTTGACCTGGTGATCCACCCCCCTCTGTCTCCCAAAGTTCTGGGATTACAGGTGTGAGCCACTGCACCCAGCCTCACACAGCTTTTAGTCAAGTGATAAAACACAATCTTAGAGGCGGCCAATCTGTTTTCTCTTAAATGAATGAATATTTATTTATTCTACTATACCAGAAATAGCCTTTTTCCTCCATCTCTTCATCAACGTATCTTAACTGAAATCTGGTTTTTCCTGAGGTCAGCACTTTCCCAGACAAGGCCAAGCTAGCCCAGAGTGTGGGTCTGAACAATTTGAAAGGCATACCTTTTGAGCTGACACAGTCCACTGGAGCACAGCGTAGGCAATGATTCTTCTAACATGTCTCTTTCTCTACGTTTAGTGCTGGCTGTTTACTCTTTTCTGCTGCACTTACCTCAGGATCTGCCATGAGGTTTTGTGTCTGCCTTGCTTTCCACTGCTTCTTCTAGATCATTACTGCCTCACTCTCCTGAGACAAATTATCTCATACCACAGGTCATACTTTTTTTTTTTTGTAATGGAGTCTCACTCTGTCACCCAGGCTGGAGTGCAGTGGCACGATCTCAGCTCACTGCAACCTTCGCTTCCCAGGTTCAAGCAGTTCTCCTGCCTCAGCCTCCAGAGTAGCTGGGATTACAGGCACACACCCGGCTAATTTCTTTTTGTATTTTTAGTAGAGACGGGGTTTCACGATGTTGGTCAGGCTGGTCTCAAACTCCTGACCTCGTGATCTGCCTGCCTCGGCCTCCCAAAGTGCTGGGATTACAGGCGTGAGCCACCGCGCCTGGCAAGTCATACCTTTTGACTCTTTCCTAGTCCCTGTCCCATACTTGCCTCCAGGTTACACTCTATCATTCAACAAAGACTTAGATGTGTGGCTCACAGACTTCTCTTTCCAGTGTGCCCTCACCTTCCGTGGAGGGCCCTCAAAAACTCCAGTTTCCTCATTTCCACTAATCTCTCTACCTCTTCCATGTACTTCCACGACACTGTTATCACCTGGACCTTCTACCTTCAAAATAGCAAATTTAAGCATTTTGATCTGTAACCATGCCCTCCCCTCTTAACAGTCCCAGCCGGTCTCTGACCCTGGGAGGATGGAACCTGGGAGGGGGTAGAGCGTAGAGTGTAATCTGAGGCCTGTGCTAATAGTGATTGACAGAGGAGCAACAAGGATGCTAAAAAGTCATCACCTTTTACTACTTGTCTTTGCATCTTGGCTCTCACTGCCTAGCTTTCATGCTGTATCCTCTAATACCTTTTCATCATAATTTTAATATCCTGAACATTGTTGAAGAAGTGCAATGTTTGGAGAACGTTCGGGGTAGCTCCACCACCCCACTTTCCACAAGCCATGCTTCTACTTTCCCTTCTAGCCTCATATTCAACCATTTTCGCTATTGTTGTTCTTTAATCTCCTTGGGTCCTCCAGTCCACTACTGCCCCCTCTCCTTTACTCCTTCCAGTCCATCAGGCTTCTCCTCTTGGATTCATGGTCTTTTATTTCAATAACATTCTCACCAAATACTCTAAATTGCCTTGACCCACTGCCACTTCCTCATTACAATTTGGCAAAACCACACCCTGAATGAACACAATGGTTTGCTTTCCCTGTGTTTGCCCCGGGCCTCCCAGGCTGCTGGAGAAAAATTACACAATAGGCACATTTTTGTAGGTATATAGTCACCATCACCAACCTCAGATGGTTCTTAACACACCCCAGCAATCCTGCTACTTTTTTCTGTTAACTTTCTTTCCTGCACTCTATAATGAAAACTTCAAACCCTCTTCACTCCCTTCAAATTTCTGACTCCCTCACCTTTCACCTAATTTCCAGTAGATCATTTTGACTCCTTTCACTCAGACAAAATCTAAGCTTTTGACAGGACCTCATTCAATTCACTTGTACAAAACCTACCCTCTACCTACCTCTGCATCTACTTCCTCAGTTTTCCCTCCTGTGGCTTCAGGAGAGGTGTTTCTTCTCTCATCCAGGCTAGTGTCTCGACAAGAGTTGTAGAATTCTTTCTATCCTCAAGAGGCCTACTGTGTTATTTAATCATTTTCTCTCCTTTTATTGTTTGCTATTATTTAACCTCTCACATGCACCTGAATTATTCCCATTAAGTCTTAATCATACTCAGATCTCTTCCATCTAAAATCCAAACAAATAAACAAATGAAAACAAAATGAAAGGAACAAAAATAGTCAAGGTCATGGTCCTTTTTAACTGCTCTTGTTGAGCCGTACTCTTCATCCTGCAAAGCACATATTTTAGTTTTAGTTATTTATTCATTAGTGTGGGTATTTAACTCGTGTCTGCACTCCAAGTAGAGTGTAAGTCACGTGAACAGTGATGCTGTGTGGATTTTTGCTTGCCATTGGACCTTCAGCTGCTTAGATCCACAGCTGGAACAGAGCTGGCATTCACTCAATAGTTATTTTTTGGTTAAATTTCTTCATTCATTCAGCACTTAACTTCTTGACACTGAATCAGCACCAAAGATCAAGCGCATAGACTTGCCTTCAAGGAGCTCAAGTCTGGAGAGGAAAAGAGGTCAAATACCCCAGTGATTTCAATATAATGTGATATGTGCTGTGAAAAGGCATACACAGCACAACAACTTCTGCCTCAGCCACGGTGAGAGTGGAGCATGAGAGGTAGGCAGAGGCAGTCAGGAAAGGGTTCCAAGATGAGTTGTCCCTTGCATTGAATCCTGATAGAGTTTGGCTCTGAGTCCCCACCCAAATCTTGTTTTGAATAGTGGCTCCCATAATTCCTCCCTGTTGTGGGAGGGACCCGGTAGACGGATCAAGAGATTACAGGCTACAGACATATTAAGGAGGAAGAAAAGAAGTAGATCTTTCTGTATTCCATTGGCAGGGCAGAGAGGAAATGTGGTATTGTGGGGAAAATTCTGCAGCTAGAGTCGCCAAGTCTGGTTTAGAAGGTCAGCTCCGTCACTTATCGGCTAAGACAATTCTCCTTCCTCAGCCTCCTGAGTAGCTGGGATTACAGGCACACGCCAACACGCCTAGCCAATATTTGTATTTTTAGTAGAGACGGGGTTTTACCATGTTGGTCAGGCTGGTCTTGAACTCCTGACCTTGTGATCCGCCCACCTCAGCCTCCCAAAGTGCTGGGATTACAGGCGTGAGCCACCATGCTCGGCCTTTCCCCCCATTTTAATTTAAGTTTTAAATTATGGGCCCATGAATTTTTATTTTATTAATGACTTGTAATATGATACATTCTTTTTTAATGTTTACATTCATTATAGGTAGATAATTATAGGTTGAGATAATTATAGGTTCACATGCAGTTGTAGGAAATAATACAGAGTGATCCCTTGGACCCTTTACTTAGTTTCCAACAATAGTAACATCATAACTAAGATATTGATACAGTCTAGATACAGAACATTTCCATCACTAATAAGGATCCCTCTTGTTGTCCTTTTATAGCCATACTTCTCTCCCATACCTCTCTCTCATTCTGGCACCTACTAATTTGTTCTCCATTTTGTCATTTTGAGAATGTTATTTAAATGAAATCATATAGGCCGGGCGCGGTGGCTCACGCCTGTAATCCCGGCACTTTGGGAGGCTGAGGCGGGTGGATCACGATGTCAGGAGTTCGAGACCAGTCTGACCAACATGGTAAAACCCAGTCTCTACTAAAAATACAAAAATTAGACGGGCGTAGTGGCATGCGCTTGTAATCTCAGCTACTCAGGAGGCTGAGGTAGGAGAATCGCTTGAACCCAGGAGGCAGAGGTTGCAGTGAGCCGAGATCACGCCATGGCATTCCAGCCTGGGCGACAGAGGGAGACTCCGTCTAAAGAAAAAAAAAAAAAAATGGAATCATATAATGTGTAACCTTTTGGGATTGGCCTTTTTTTTTTTTTTTCTGAGACAAAGTCTCACTGTTGCCCAGGCTGGAGTGCAGTGGCCGGATCTTGGTTCATTGCAACCCTTGTCTCCACAGTTCAAGCAATTCTCCTATCTCAGCCTCCCTAGTAGCTGGGACTACAGACATGTGCCACCATGCCTGGCTTATTTTTGTATTTTTGTGGAGACGTGGTTTTACCATGTTGGCCAGGCTGGTCTTGAACTCCTTCCTGACCTCAAATGATCTGCCCGACTTGGCCTCCCAAAGTGCTGGGATTACAGGCATAAGCCACCATGCCTGGCTGGGATTGGCTTTTTAAACTCAGTAGAATTCTGAATGTATTAATCGTTTATTCCTTTTTATTTCTTAGTATTCTGTGGTATGAATTTATCACAATTTGTTTAGCTATTCATTAATTAGAGGACATCAGAATTATTTCTAATTTTTGGCTACTATGAATAATGCTGCTATAAACATTAGTGTACAGGTTTTTGTGTGAACACAGGTCTTCCTTTCACTGGGATAAATGCCCAGGAGTGCATTTCCTGGGTTGTACCGTAGTTGCATGTTTAGTTTTTTGAAGAAACTGACAAACTGTTTCCCATTTTACATTCCCACCAGCAATGTGTGAATGATTCATGCCCATGTCAGCATTTTTATTGCACTACTTTTTATTTTAGCTAATCTGACAGGTGTGTAGTAATACCACATTGTTGTTTTAATTTTTATTTCCCCCAATGTCTAAAGATGTTGAACATCTTTTCATGTGCTTATTTGCTGTTTATATGTCCTCCTTGGGAAAATATATGTTCATGTTTTTTGCCTATTTTATAATTGGATTATTTGCTTTTATATGTTGTGTTTGAAAGTAATTCATATATTCTATGTATTAGCTTTGTTGGATGTGGTTTGCAAATATTTTTCCTCTGTGTGTAGCTTGACTTTTTATCCTTTTTTTTTTTTGAGATGGAGTCTCTCCCAGGCTGTAGTGCAGTGGCTCATTCTCGGCTCACTGCAACCTCTACCTCCCAGGTTCAAGCAGTTCTCCTCCCTCAGCCTCCCAAGTAGCTGGGACTACAGGTCTGCGCCAACACACCTGGCTAATTTTTATATTTTTTTATTAGAGATGAGGTTTTGCCACATTGGCCAGGCTGGTCTTAAACTCCTGACCTCAGGTGATCCACCCCCCTCAGCCTCCCAAAATGCTGGGATTACAGGTGTGAGCCACCACACCTGGCTGAATTTTTACCTTAACATGGCCTTTTGCAAAGCCAAAGCTTTTATTTTGATGGGGCACAATTTATCAATTTTTTTTTTATGGATCATGCTTTTGGTGTTGTCTAAGAATTCTTTACCTAGTTTTAGATCTTGAAATTTTCTCCTATTTTTTTCTAAATGTTTTATGGTTTTGTGTTTTACAGTTAAGGTAATTTTGAGTTAAGTTTTGTATAATATGTGAGATTTTGGTCAGGGCTCTTTTTGATTGTTTGCTTGCTTATGGATGTCCAATTCCTCCAGCACCATTTGTTTAAAAGACCATATTTCCTCCGTTGAATTACTTTTGCACCTTTGTCAAAAATCAGTTGGGCATATTTGTGTGAGCCTATTTTTAGGTTTCTTATTAAGTTTCATCAATCTATGTGTCTCTCTCTCCAGCAATACCACACAGTCTTGATTATTGTAGCTATTATAGTAAATGTTGAACTCAGACTGTTTCTTCCCACTTTGTTCTTTTCAAAATTGTTTCAGCTATTCTAGTTTGTCTTTTCACATAAAGTTTATAATACTACGTCTGTATGTATAAAAAGTTTTGCTTGAATTTTAATAGAAATACATTAAATGTATATATCAATTTGGGGAAGAATTGACATCTTTACTGTGTTAGGTCTTCCAATCCATTAACATGGTAATATCTCTTCACTTATTTATCTTCTTTGATTTATGTCATCAGTATTGTGTAGTTTTCAGCAGGTAAGTCCTGTTCATGTTTTATTAGATTTACATGCATTTCATTTTTAAAAGGAATTTTAGGTGGTATTGTATTTTCGATTTGGGTCCATGTGTTCATTGCTTGTACCTAGAAATACAATTGATTTTTGTATATTTTTCTTGTTTCCTGAGATCTTGCAGGGCTCACTTATCAATTCAAAGAGTTTTTTTTTTTTTTTTTTGGTAAAATGTTTGGGATTTTATACACAGACAATCATCTTATTCTTGTCAGGCCTCTGAGCCCAAGTCTGCACGTATTCATCCAGATGGCCTGAAGTAACTGAAGATTCACAAAAGAAGTGAAAATGGCCTGTTCCTGCCTTAACTGATGACATTCCACCATTGTGATTTGTTCCTGCCCCACCTTAACTGAGCGATTAACCTTGTGAAATTCCTTCTCCTGGCTCAGAACCTCCCCCACTGAGCACCTTGTGACCCCCACCCCAGCCTGCCAGAGAACAACACCCTTTGACTGTAATTTTGCTTTACCTACCCAAATCCTATAAAACGGCCCCACCCCTATTTCCCTTTGCTGACTCTCTTTTCCGACTCAGCCCGCCTGCACCCAGGTGATTAAAAAGCTTTATTGCTCACACAAAGTGAGTTTGGTGGTCTCTTCACATGGACGCGTGTGAAAATTGTGTATAAATTACCTGAGGGTTGGTAATTCATAAAGAAAAAAGGTTTATTTGGCTCATGGTTCTGCAGGCTAAACAAAAAGCCTAGAGCCAGCATCTGCTTCTGGTGAGGGACTCAGGAAACTTCCCCAAATGGCAGAGGGTGAATGGGAGCTGGCATGTGCAGAGATCACACTGGAAGAGAGCAGAAGTGAGAGAGAGAAAGAGGGAAGGTGCTAGGCTGTTTTTAACAATGAGTTCTTGGGAGAACTCTCACAGGAGCCAATACAATGAGAACTTCTCATTACCCAGAGGACAGCACCAAGCCCTTCATGAGGGATCGGCCTCCGTGATCCAAACACCTTCCACCAGGCCCCACCTCTAACATTGGAGAATCAGATTTCACCATGAGGTTTGGATGGTCAGATATCCAAACTATAGCAACAATTATGTTATCTGTAAATAGTGAGAGTTTTCTTTCTTTCTTTTCACTCCATATGTTTGTAATTGCTTTTCTTGTCTATTGCACTGACAAGAACTCCCAGCACTATATTGAATAAAAGTGGTGAGAGCGAACACCCTTGCCTTGCTCCCAGTCTTATGAGAAGAGCATTCAGTCTTCTCTCACCATTAAGTATATTAGCCGTAAGTTTTTTGTAATCCGGTTTATCAAGATGAGGAAGTTCCCCTCTATTCCTGTTTATCTGAGTTTTTAATCATGAATGAATGTTGGAATTTGTAAGATGCTTTTTTTGTTTTTTTTTTTTTTGAGATGGAGTTTCACTCCTGTTGCCCAGGCTGGAGTGCAATGGCACGATCTCGGCTCACTGCAACCTCTGCCTCCCTGGTTCAAATGATTCTCCTGCCTCAGCCTCCTGAATAGCTGGAATTACAGGCACATGCCACCACACCCAGCTAATTGTGTATTTTTAGTAGAGACGGGGTTTCTCTGTGTTGGTCAGGCTAGTCTCAAACTTCTGACCTCAGATGATCTGTCTGCCTCGGCCTCGCAAAGTGCTGGGATTACAGGCGTGAGCTACCATGCCTGGCCTGTTTTTTTTTTTTTTTTGTAATGGGGGTCTCATTATGTCACTCAGGCTGGAGTGCAGGGGCACGATCACGGTTCACTGCAGCCTGGACCTCCTGGGCTCAAGTGATTTCCCCCCCATCTCAGTCTCTGGAGTAGCTGGGACCACAGGTGTACACCACCATGACTGGCTAATTTTAAAATTATTTATAGAAATGAAGTCTTGCTATGTGGCCCAACCAGTTTGGTCTCAAACTCCTGGGTTCAAGCAATCCTCCCACCTCGGCCTCCCAAAGTGTTTGGATTACAGGCATGAACCATTGTGCCCAGCTACTTTTTTTGTTTTGATCGAAATTATCATGTGATTTTTCTAACTTAATATAGTGCATTACACATATTTTCAAATATTAAAACAAACTTACATCTCTGGAATATATCCCACTTGGTCATATTGTACAATTCTTTTTATATATTTCTGAATTATATTTGCTAATATTTTGCTATGGATTTTTCCATCAATATTCATGAGAAGTGTTGGTATTTTTTTCTTTTTGTACGGTCTTTTGCTGGCTTTGGTAGTGGGGTGATTCTAACTTCATACAGTACATTGGCAACTGTTCCTTCCTCTTCTATCTTCTGGAAGAGGCTGTATGGAATTGGTGTTAATTCTTGTGTAAACATTTTATAGAATTCATCAGTGAAAGCTTTTGGGCCTGGAGATCTCAGGTTTTTTTTTTTTTTAGTTTAAAAATTACAATTACAATTTTCTCTAGTTAGAGGACTATTTAAATTACCTTTTCATATTAGGTTATTTGTAGTAATTTGTGCCTTCTGAAGAATTCGCTCATCTTGTCAAAGTTGTCAAATTTATGTTATGTGGTGTTATTTATGGCATTCCTTTTTGGTGTCTGAAGGTTCTGTAATTATATTCCCTGGTATGTTCCTCACATTGGTAATTTGTGTCTTCTCTTTTTCTTTTTTCTTTGCAGTCTTGCTGGAGGTTTGTTAAATTTATTTATCTTTTCAAAAACCAGATCCTTGGCTGGGTGTGGTTGCCCACACCTGTCATCCCAGCACTTTGGGAGACTGAGGCAGGAGGATCGCTTGAACCCACGAGTTGGAGACCAGCCTGGGCAACATAGAGAGATTCTGTCCCTAAAAAAATAAAATAAAAAAATCAACCAAGCCTGGTGACACACATCTGTGGTCCCAAACTACTCCAGAGGCTGAGGTGGGAGGATCCCTTGAGCATGGGAGGTTGAGGCTGCAGTGAGCTGTGATCGCGTCACTGCACTCCAGCCTGGGTGACAGACCAAGACCCTGTCAATCAGTCAATCAATCAATCAATAGCTTCCCTGGAGACTCCAGCCTGCCACCAGCTTTGGTAACTAGTGGCCGACTGTCAGGCCTCTGAGCCCAAGCCTGCACGTGTACATCCAGATGGCCTGAAGCAAGTGAAGAATCACAAAAGAAGGGAAATTGGCCGGTTCCTGCCTTAACTGATGACATTCCACCATTGTGATTTGTTCCTGCCCCACCTTAACTGAGTGATTAACCTTGTGAAATTCCTTCTCCTGGCTCAGAACCTCCCCCACTGAGCACCTTGTGACCCCCGCCCCTGCCCGTAAGAGAAAAACCCCCTTTGTAATTTTCCGCTACCCATCCAAATCCTATAAAACAGCCCCACCCCTATCTCCCTTTGCTGACTCTCTTTTCGGACTCAGCCCGCCTGCACCCAGTTAAAATAAACAGCCTTATTGCTCACACCCTGTTTGGCGGTGTCTTCACACGGATGCGCGTGACACCGATCTCTTTGAGCATCAGAAGCGCATGACACCGACCATCTTCTCTTTGAGCATCACAAGCGCGTTACACCGACCATCTTCTCTTTGAGCATCACAAATGGTTTTATTCATTGCTGTAGGCCAAGGGCTCAAGGCTGTTTAGCACGAAGTAGACACTGGGTAATCATTTCTTGAATGAAACACATTTTACAGATGAGGCAACTGAGGCTGAGAGAAGTTAAGATCACCCAAGTGGCGGCGCTGGTCACCTTTACATTGCAATTCACTAGGAAGTGTTCAGGTTGCTCTGACCGCAGGGCAGATATTGGGGCTGCGGTGCCCAGTTCCAAAGGTCAAAGCTTGCTCCGCGCCCGCCAGGGAGCTGGTCTAGCGGCTGCAGTGTTAACCCGAGGCCCCGCCCCCAACGGGTGGCGCGAGGCGGGGCGTAGGTGAGCGCTGCAGAGAGGCTGCGCCTTGGGCCGCCTGTCGCCTGTGCGCCTGCGCGCGGCGCCGAGGGGACGGGGTCCGACTCAGAAATGGCGGCCTCCATGTTCTACGGCAGGCTAGTGGCCGTGGCCACCCTTCGGAACCACCGGCCTCGGACGGCCCAGCGGGCTGCTGCTCAGGTAATGCCTTCCAGTCCGCTGTCGTCTCGAGGGTCGGCAGGAGAAAGGGTGAGGTGTGAGGGGTCCCGTGGCCCGGCTCGGGGTCACTTCGCCGGCAGTGACATTTTCTGGGTGCCCTGCAAGGCCCTCGGGCGACTTGCCTGGGAGTGCTGCTCGCCAGGACTACGAGCGAGCCCATGTTTGCGCGGCTCTGACCCAGCCCTTAGTCCGCGAGGATCCCCGGCGGCCCGGCCGTGGCTGCTCCTGCAGTTTCTAAGAGATGGGCGGG
This sequence comes from Homo sapiens, assembly GCF_000001405.40. NCBI lineage: Eukaryota > Metazoa > Chordata > Mammalia > Primates > Hominidae > Homo > Homo sapiens. The sequence goes on along the minus strand of NC_000013.11, from coordinate 48,000,911 downwards.
AGCAGGTGGGCTCTGAGTGGAGGTGAGGGGGTCAGGACATTTTCTGCTGCCATTCCGGCGTCTGGCACGGTGGGCTGAGACTTGCGCCGCCCCTTTTTGGGCAGGGGGGAATGCCCTTCAAAAGTACTTTTGTGTTTCTTGGGAGCTGTCATAGGTGGGAATGTCAGAGGACCAGCGGTGCTTACTGACTTGCCTTTTGTGGGGCAAGGTAGGGAAGTTTCCCCTCTCCTCCAAGTAGTTGTATACTGTTCTACTTGTTAATAGCAGTAATAAGATTATGTTTTCTACCTAACCAGTTGGAGAGGTAAGAAAATAATCTTTTGTATAGCCTTATTTCTGGATAGGCTATAGCATAATAGTTACTGGCCTTGTTTTGAATATTTGATGTGTGCCAGGTAATGTGCTAAGCGCTTTACGTGTAGTTTCTCAGGTTTTTCAGCAACTGTGAGGAAGTCATTCAACACCTGCATCATTGTTGAACATATTATGGTTAAGAGAACAAGTAATTTGGACTAGGTCATATAGGAGGTAAGATCAAAGCTGAGATTTAATCCCAGAGGTGTCTGGTTCTAAAGCCGTGTACTTGAGTTGGCTCCACAACTTCGAAAACAAACATCTTCCTTCCAACTTTGACAACAAAAAACTGTGGAAGGGCATTATTGGTGTCCTAAGTCAATTCCAGAGTTTTGGGTTTTTTTCTGAAGTAACTCTTCATACATGTCATAGTATGAATTGATTTAGGGCCCTCCCGCCCCTACCTTTTTTTTTTTTTTTCATTTTTATTGAAGTTGTTCATACTTTCAGCCTAGGGGTAGTGAGTTCTGTGAGTTTGCTTCCCGATAGAAGTGACTTTTTGACCTTGAACTTCCTTCTTATGAATCTTAGAAGAGTGCTATTTAGTTTTTAGAAAATGGGGAATTTAGTGACAAATACGTTTTCATTCTAGTCAAAATCTTTATCTTTTTGGAAGTTCATTTAAAAGCCTTCATTTCTCCTTATGGAAATTTCCAATATTATTTTCTTTATAACAGTTGCTGTCTTCTACCCTGGTATTAAGAAATGCAGCTCTAGAGTTTGGAAGGACCTTAGTCCAACCCTTTGCTTTTGTAGATGAGGACATAGAAGTACGGAGTCTTAAGAAACTCGTTCAAGGTCACACATTTAATTTAGCAATTTGTTTTCCACATTTTTTTTTTTTTTTCCTTGAGACGGAGTCTTGCTCTGTCGCCCAGGCTGGAGTGCAGTGGCGCGATCTTGGCTCACTGCAAGCTCCGCCTCCCGGGTTCATGCCATTCTCCTGCCTCAGCCTCCCTAGTAGCTGGGACTGCAGGCGCCTGCCACCACGTCCGGCTAATTTTTTGTATTTTTAGTAAAGACGGGGTTTCACCGTGTTAGCCAGGACGGTCTCGATCTCCTGACCTCGTGATCCTCCCGCCTCGGCCTCCTAAAGTGCTGGGATTACAAGCTTGAGCCACCGCACCCGGCCTGTTTTAAACATTTGTTTAAGTTCTCTGACCCTCCTCCAATTTCTTGGTATCTTTAGCCTAGTGTACCTTCGTTGAAAATAGATATTTCAGCATATGTCTTTAAGAATAAGGACATTCTTCCAAATAACCGCAGTGATCATACTTAGGAATTCAACATTGCTGTAACATGAATATATATAGTTTAGATTCAGATTTTTCTAGTTGTCCCCAAAGTGTTCTTTATAGACATTAGATTTTTTAAAAATTTAAACTGGGATGAGACCTTGTGACATTTTCTCTGACCAACTAACCAATTAGGTGCCACCTAGTGACTTATGTGCTAGTGACCTAGTGCTCTTATATGTGTTGCAGTTGTTTATTTACATGCCTGTGAACTCTGTGGCTGGGACCCAAGTGTCTTTATTTTTTTAGTGTCCCTAGCCCACTGTCTAGTTCATAGTCATCACAAAAAATATTTGAGTGTATGACTTTTTGCCAGGCTTATGCTAGTTACTCCCCTACCCACTAATTTTTATTATTATTTTGACGTATAATTTATGTACAGTAAGATGTACAGCTTAAGTGGATAGCTAGATTAATTTTTATGTATGTATTCACCTGTGTAACCATCGTCTGCATCAAGATATACAATGTTTCCAGCCCTCAGAAGGCTCTCATGTCCTCTCTCTTATCAATACTCCCTGACAGAAGGTAGCAACCAATTATGACTTCTGTCACCATAGGCTAATTTTGACTGGTTTTGAACGCTATAAAAATAAATCATGTAAGTATATATTCTTGTTTCTGGCTTCTTTCTCTCTACATTATGTTTGTGAGATTAATCCATCGATGTGTGAGCCATAGTACTTTTTTTCTTTTTATTTCTCTGTAGTATACTATTATATACATATACCACAGTTTATCCATTCTCCTGTTGATGGGCAATCAGCTAATTTCTGTTTTCTGTCTGTTATAAATAAGCCTGCTCTGGACACTCTAGACATTTTTATGTGTGCCTTTTGACAGATGTAAGGACTAATTTCTATTGATACATACCCAGGAATGGGATTTCTGAGTCAGAAGGTGGAGGTATACTAAACAGTAGTTTGAGAGGTTGCTGGGTTTTTTTTTCTTTTTTTTTTTTTTTTTAACTTATTTATTTGTTTTTTTAGACAGGGTCTTGCTCTGTTGACCAAGCTGGAGGACAGTGGTGAAATCACAGCTCACTGCAGTCTCAAACTCCTGAGCTGAAGGGATCCTCCTGCCTCAGTCTCAGGAGTAGCTGGGATTATAGGTGTAAGCCACTGTGCCCAGCTTGGTTGCTGGCTTTTAATATTGAAGTGACACTAAATCAAGGAATTGAGCTACCTAGGTCAAATGTTACCAAGGATTTTAGCTTGCTAAATGGATCAGAAATAAGTTGCTATTATATATGATTGATTTGTAAGACTAGTAGTTCTCATAACTGTAGGGTTCTTAAGAATCAACTGAGTGACTTGTTATGAATGCAGATTTCCTTGGGCCCAGTCCAGAGATTCTAATAGTGCAGTTGAGAATGGGTCTCAGGAATCTGCAGATTACAAGCACCCAGTTAATTTTGAGGCAAAAGCTTATGAACCTACTTTAAGAAACAGATTGTTTCTATGACCTCTTTAAATTTAATTCTTAGGACACTGTGTGTTTCATATGAACCATGTTTCAGTATACTGCATTCTGTATTGAGATTATGGAAATGCGTGGATAACATTTAAATGTGTGATTCCATTGACCAGTCATTGGGTGCAGGCTGACAGTGGGAAGGAGGTGTGACTTTGGGCAAGTAGGCTCCAGTAAGAGGACTTGGCTGAGAGCTGTCAGCAACCAGCACTCCCAGCAGCAGCAGTGGGGGCTATGAATGCCTTGGTCCTGAATGGGGAGTGCCAGGGAGATCTGGGCAGCATACTGCAACATCCACTACAGATGAAGCCATGGTTTTGAATATCGAGTGTATGAAAGAGTAATGGTATCAAATCATTTTATTATTACATATCTAGTGCCAGGTGACTTGTTAGGTGTGGAGGAATGGTAGAGAGAAGAAAATTGGGAAGGATTTTTGGTTTGGTGGAAAAGATGAGATTGGTTTTAGATCCGCTGAATTTGGCATTGAGGTAGAACTGCCCTGTAGATCATTGGAGATATGATAGTAAAGCTGAAATCTGAAATAAGGAATAGAGATGATGAGGAAATAATTAAAATGACAGTGGTAACAGTGATATTTAGCTGATAGGCTAGCTTTTAGTTTTATGCTGTAATTCAGGTACTCTGAATATTGTACTTTGCTAATGTAATGTAACAGTTTTGTTATAGTTATGAAGAACCAAGTAGTTAGCAAGAGTGACTGCCAAATCACTGTCATATATAAATATGTCCCCAATCTTTCTAGGTTCTGGGAAGTTCTGGATTGTTTAATAACCATGGACTCCAAGTACAGCAGCAACAGCAAAGGAATCTCTCACTACATGAATACATGAGTATGGAATTATTGCAAGAAGCTGGTGTCTCCGTTCCCAAAGGATATGTGGCAAAGTCACCAGATGAAGCTTATGCAATTGCCAAAAAATTAGGTACTAAATTAAGAAAAGCTTTTGCCACCTTGACATGAGAGCTCTGAGAAGATTTGAAGTTTGTTTTTGGTTTGATAACAACTTTTAGCTTTTTTTTAAAAAAAATACATTTTCTTTGCTTAAAATAGAAGGTAGAACTTTATTATTATTGAAATTCTAAAATTATTATTATTATTATTATTATGAGCACCCATAATGCCAGTGACGTGGGAGTCACTTACATTGGCATTAGGAAGCTGAAGTCCTGTTTTTAGTTGGAATATAATTATGGGGAAGGGAATTCTACTACTACCACTCTAACTACTCTGGAGCTTAAAGGATGGCAGTTGTGATGATTCTTCAGGGAAATGGTGAAGGAAAATCTTAGCTGTTTATGTGCTTATAAGGAGAGGTCCGTGCTTCCCCCTCCATTTTTTTGTCATGAAAAATATGGAACCAAAGGGGAACAAAAAGTAGAGTGCTAGAATGTAAACTCCTTGAGAGCAGAGTTTCTTTTTCTTTTCTTTTTTTTTTTTTTTTGAGACGGAGTTTCATTCTTATTGCCCAGGTTGGAGTGCAATGGTGCAATCCTGGCTCACTGCAACCTCCGCTTCCCGGGTTCAAGGGATTCTCCTGCCTCAGCCTCCCGAGTACCTGGTATTACAAGCACCACCACCATGTCCGGCTAATTTTTTTGTATTTTTAGTAGAGACGGGTTTTCACTATGTTGGCCAGGCTGGTCTTGAACTCCTGACCTCGTGATCTGCCCGCCTCCGCCTCCCAAAGTGCTGGGATTACAGGTGTGAGCCACCACATACAGCCCGAGTTTCTTTTTCTTATTTGTTCACTGATATATCCCAAAATCTTAGAAGAATGCCTGACACTTAGGTAATCAATAAATACTAAATGAATAAATATTAAATGAATTTAATAGTTGCCCATGTTTATTAGCAGATTCCTTTATTGATAACAGAAGCCTTAATAGCTTTTGTCAATTTGAATTAATCTCTTAATCAAAAAATAATTTTTGATTTCAGAAAATAAGCTTACATTTTTAAAGATTTAGCATGAAAACCATGAGCTGATGTACTAGCTATACACTGCAGTTTCTTTTTAGCAGTATTTTAAATCCCACCAATTTTACGTAGATTAGCATAAATAATCTCTCTTCTATGTACATTTAATTAATAGGCTTTAAATATGATTTGGTGAATACTTTGCTTTTATATTTTTTAAGAAAGATGAGCATTTTCAAAGTGATTGAAATTTTAAAAGTATTCATCTTGTGTAGTACTTATTTGTATCTAGAATGGATTTTTCTTTCAAAATTAAGGATATATACAAGTTCAGAAAACTGTCATATAAGCTATGTTTTTGAATGAGATGGCCATGATTTCCTTGACTTGGAAGCATGATTTTTCATTTATAGTTTTGTTGTTTTTATTGTTGTTAATCAGAAAGAATTATTTTAAATCAGATTACAAGCAAACTTTTTATTAAGCAAAAGCTTTGTATAAGTTCATACTAATTGTGGTGAAATTTTTGTTAATGGTGACCTATAATTGGAACTTCTGCATGGTTAATGTTAATGGGACCTGATTTATATATAATTACGTCGGTAAAAATGGTTTTCCTCTTGTTTCCAGATTTTAAAATTCCAAAAAAAAATTTTTTTTAGAGATAGGGTCACTATGTTGCCCAGGCTAGTCTGAAACTCCTGGGCTCAAGTGATCCTCCTACTTAGGCCTCTGAGTAGCTGGAACTACAGGCACATGCCACTGTGTCTATTTTTTGAGTATTATAATTGGTTTCTTTAACTAGTTTTCCGTATATTTTCTCATTTAGTGAAATTCCATTGTTTTGTCAGAAAAAATAATTTGCATAGAAACTTTTTCATAAAATGAATAGGATTAATTCAGATGCCAATCTGTTTTGATTATGCCTTATAAAAACTTAATGATTCTTAGGTACAGAAGAAAGAAATAATATGTGCAGGATAAACTGTAACTATGAGTATTTCTGGCAAGTTCTCTGGGACCAGAACTCACAAGTAATAAGAAGCAGGTAGGCAGCTCTGATTTTGAGCCCCTTGGAACAGATACCTTGTTCATTTAGAAAGTGTGTTTTTTGTCAAAGAATATTGCAAATGATGATTATAGTGTGGGAGGGAGACTAATAATTAACAAGGAAATTTAAATCTAGAGGAGCAGAAATGCTAGTTTTTAAAAGATAAATTTAGAAACGTCTATGAAAATATGGAGGACAATTTCGTGGTTTTTTTTTTTTTTTTTTTTTTGAGACGGAGTCTCACTCTGTCGCCCAGGCTGGAGTGCAGTGGCGCGATCTCGGCTCACTGCAACCTCCGTCTCCCAGGTTCAAGCAATTCTCCTGCCTCAGCCTCCTGAGTAGCTGGGATTACAGGTGCCCGCCACCATGCCCAGCTAATTTTTGTATTTTTAGTAGAGACGGGGTTTCACCATGTTGGTCAGGCTGGTCTCGAACCCCTGACCTTGTGATCCACCCGCCTAGGCCTCCCAAAGTGCTGGGATTACAGGCGTGAGCCACCGCACCCAGCCCAATTTTGTGTTTTTAGTGAGTCATTGATAACAAAAGATAACGATTATGGGATCTAGTTGCACAAGGTGTAGAATGAGGGACCTTAGAAATACACTTGGTTTTGTTCATGTAGCTAGCAATTCCCAATGCTGAGTTTTCATTACTTCAGGGTGATTTTTGCTTTTTGACTTTCTGCAAAATTCATAAAATGCTAATTTTCATTTCATAAAAACTCTTTTTTTTTTTTTTGAGACGGAGTTTCGTTCTTGTTGCCCAGGCTGGAGTGCAATGGCGCCATCTCAGCTCACCGCAACCTCCGCCTCCTGGGTTCAAGCAACCTCTGCCTCCTGGGTTCAAGCAGTTCTCCTGCCTCAGCCTCCTGAGTAGCTGGGATTACAGGCATGTGCCACCACCCCGGCTAATTTTGTATTTTTAGTAGAGACAGGGTTTCTCCATGTTGATCAGGCTGGTCTTAAACTCCCGACCTCAGGTGATCCACCTGCCTCACCCTCCCAAAGTGCTGGGATTACAATAGGCGTGAGCCACCAGGCCTGGCCTTCATAAAAACTCTTAACTCAGCGCTTTGCTCAACAAGTGACATAATAGAACATAAATGCTTTACAGGTGTGCCAAACTATTGTTTCTTCCCAGTCCTGTGGTGGCAGGAGAAGTTGAGTTAGCATGGGGTTTGGGGCCACTGAGCCTCTTTACCCAGTATTTCCTACCATGTCCATCATTTTCTGTTTGTGTGATGATGTGAAAAAAGTTGAGAGGCATTGTCCTGTAGGCAAGTTTTACCTGCTGTGAATAATTGAGGTTAGGAATGGAGGAATGGTTAGAAAGAAATCTAATTCTAATATTTTAAAAGACTATATGAGTCCCCAAAATGAAGGTTGGTGAGCTTGAAGATCATGAAGTTTCTGGAATAGATTATCAAAGGGATGGTTATTAGCACAGATAAATGTAGTAGATATTATTTGGGGTCAGTTCTGAGAGCAAATTATCTCTAACAGTTCATAGTTCAAGGAAATATGATTTTAGTAAGGGTTTGGCAGAATGTTTGTTGTTTTGTTTCTGAGACAGTGTCTTGTTCTGTCACCCAGGCTGGAGTGCAGTGGTGTGATCATGGCTCATTGCAGCTTCGACCTCCTGGGCTCAAGCCACTTCTCCCGTCTCAGCCTGCTGAGTAGCTGGGACTATAGGTGTGCTCCACCATGCCTGGCTAATTTTTGTATTTTTTCTTGAGATGGGGTTTCACCATGTTGCCCAGGCTGGTCTCAAACTCCGGGGCTCAAGCCTTCCACCCACCCTTGGCTTCCCAAAGTGCTGGGACTACAGGCGTGAGCCACTGCGCCTGGGCACAGATTTGGCAGAATTTTTATAATTTCCCTATTGACTATAGAAAGATAGTTTGGCTTCTAGTATATTTAAGGTGGAATCCCTATCTGGTTGAATAGATACATGTAAAGGGTGCTGATTAATGAATGTCAGCCCGGAGGGAGATTTCTAATGGCATATAATAGGACTTTACCTTCTTTCTTTCTTTTAAATATTTATTAGTTAGATACCTGTATACAAGGAATGCTTAAAATGTTTGTGAGTGACTAAAGGTAGCTGGGATAGTGATTGTGTTTTAGAGACAGTCTTGGGATCCAAAAAAGATCTTGTCTGACTAGAGCAGTGCCAAATGTAATAAGACTGCAGGTTCTATGAGGGCAGGAGAGGTCTCACTCACTGTTGTATCTACAACGCTAGCACAGTGTCTGGTATGTAGATGAACCTGTTGAGTGAATTAATGGAATTGAATAAAATGTTTGTTTCGACCAGTTGTCCTCAGACTTCTCTTCTAATCTTTCTTCCTTTCTTGATAGTTGATGAGACTGTATTTCATGAAAAATTTTTTTTTTTTTTTTTTTTTTGCTTTCGTTGTGAAGGGCTTTTTTTTTTTAGAAGGAACTTTCGAAGAATCATCTTTTGCCCTTAAAGACTTTATATTCCTAAAGAAAGGAAATTGACACTTTGCGGGGAAGAGAAGAACCTTCTGTCTTGCCAAGTGTTTTTGAAAAAATAGAGCTTCGTTACTCTTAATAGGTCAATGTGTTAAGTTCCCAGTTTAATGAATAGGAATGATTGAATTTAGCTCAGTAAAGCACAGTGTAACTATGACCATTTTTTACATTACATTTGCACTGTTTGCCTTGTAGTTCTCTTCTTCGGATATAAACAAATATTTAAAGTGCTGGAAAATCAGGACTGGACAGGTAAACAGAAACAAGTGGAATAAATAGTGGCTGCTCCCTTCCGTTTGGGCACAAACTCTCTAATTTGCCATGGTTCAGAGACAACCTGTAGTATTCTCAATAAGAACGTTATTGTTGGTTTTAAGGAAATTTCTGAGTTGTTTCTATTTGTTACCTAATATTAGTTGTGATACATTTGTGAATAGTAGAGACAGGGTAATTGAAAAGGGTTTGTCTTATCTAAACAAGATACTTTTTCTAATCAGCTCTAGTTGTAGTACTGTGCACCCAGTTTTTCCCATTGGGAGTTTTCGTAAGAGCAGTGAAGAAATCTAGATTTATAAGAATTCTGTTCATATTTTTAAATGTTCCTTTTTTTCAACATTCAGCAAAATATTATGTGCTAGGAACTCTCCCAGACGCTTGTTAACATCTATGAATACAACAAAGATTCTGCCCTCCTGGGCCTCTTTTCTGATGGGGAAGCAAAACAACAAATGATATATGTAAGAGAATTACATATGTACGAAGATGATGAATTCTATGGCGGAAAGAAGTGTAGTAGGTAAGGGGGATTGGTCACAGGTGGGCAGGTTAGTAGGGTAAGCTTCATGGGCAACATGAGATTTAAAGAGAAACTTGAAGGATCGGGGGCTTTTCCCACATGGACACCTGGTGAAGAGTATTCTAGGCAGAGGGTGCATTAGAGCCAAGTCCTGAAGGCAGGAACATGCCCAGGAATAGTGAGGGGATTAGTGCAGTTGGAACAGAGTGAGCAACCAGGAGGGCCTAGGAGATAAAAAGTGTAGAGGGTATTATAAGGTCTTCTAGGCCATTGTAAGCACTTTGGCATTTAACTGAGTGAGACTGGCATTCAGTGCAAGGTTTTAAGTAGAGGAATGGTGTGCCTGCTTTGGCTGCTGCCTTGAGAATATTCTGTGGGGGACAAAGGTCATATAGTTAAGAGATAGTGGTGGTTGGGATCAGAGTCTAAACTGCAGGTGATGAGGAATGGTGAAGATTCTGGATAAATTTGAAGATAGAACCAGTATGATTTCCTGGCTGAATGGAAGTGGGGTTTGAGAAAGACAAGTTTTTTAAACACTCTCTTGGCTGACTACGCATAGGGTCATCATCTGGTTTAAATAGCATGTATTTCTGGTGAAGGCTTACATCAGTAATTTTCTAAATGTTCTTTTAAAATAATTGTTAATGTGTAAACTTTAGGTTGTTTTTGTTTGGTTTCAAACTCCATTTCCTACCTCATTGATTTGGTTGGTTCATCTGATTAGGTGGGAGCTTCCTCTCATTCTGCTTGATAAATGCATCGTGGAGTGACATCCTAGTTGTAGAGGACTCTACTTCAGTCTGTTCAAATCCATGTTTATGGAGTAGTTGTTATATCCCAGAGACTTCCTTGTGCTTGGGATATAATGAATACAGTGAGACCTTTAGCCCTGATCTCAAAGGTTATTTTGCCATAATGTATAGTTGGTGCCACCCTGCCAGTGTGGGCAAAATGCTATGAGAGGCAAAATGAGGAGGCTCTGAATTCTGCCTGTCTGGTACACAGAGAATGCCTTTCTAAGAGGTATTACTCTTTTTTTTTAACTGATACATAATATTTTTGTGGTACATGTTATATTTTGTTACATGCATAGAGTGTGTAATGATCAATTCAGGGCATTTAGGATACCCATCACCCAGAGCATTTACTCTTTTGAGACAGCCTTGCTCTGTCCTCCAGGCTGGAGTGCAATGGCACAATCTTGGCCCATTGCAACCTCCGCCTCCCGGATTCAAGTGATTCTTGTGCCTCAACCTCCCAAGTAGCTGGGATTACAGACATGTACCACCATGCCTGGCTAATTTTTGTATTTTTAATAGAGATGAGATTTCACCATATTGGCTAGTCTGGTCTCGAACTCCTGGCCTCATGTGACCCGCCTGCTTCAGCCTCTCAAAGGGCTGGGATTACAGGAGTGAGCCACCGCACCGGGCCCATTTACTCTTGATCATGAATGATGAGTACTATCTAGGCTAAACAGCCAGTTTGCTGGTTTTCCACAGCAAATTAGAAAGGAGAGGAAAAGGGATAAATAGTAATCAGTCTACCTGTTAAAGAAGAAAAATTCAGTCCATTTATTTAAAAATATGCATAAGCTTTGCAAGCATAGAATTCTGAAATCTTTTGATACAGATACCTTAATAACTCCTGATAGTACTACTCATGCAGTACTGCTCAATAATGTATTTTAATAGAACTTTCTCTTAGTGGGACAGTATAAATCAGTATCAATACTGGTAATGGTAATATCCCCCAAATCATGACATATTCCTGCTATAGCGATATAACTCAGATGTTCTCAGGACAGCAAGTTTACATGTGAATAGAGAGGGAGGGACGTGTTAGGAAGACATGAAATTCAATTTTGTACTTTTGATACTTTCCAGAGTTCTAGATGACACTTTCCAAAGTGTCAAGAAATGGTTAAATTATTTTCAGTTTACTTTTAAGAAATGGTTTAATGTGGCCAGGTGCGGTGGCTCATGCCTGTAATCCCAGCACTGGCTCACGCCTGTAATCCCAGCACTTTGGGAGGCCGAGGTGGGCAGATCATGAGGTCAGGAGATCGAGACCATCCTGGCTAACATGGTGAAACCCTGTCTCTACTAAAAATACAAAAAAATTAGCCAGGCATGGTGGCGGGCGCCTGTAGTCCCAGCTACTCGGGAGGCTGAGGCAGGAGAATGGCGTGAACCTGGGAGGCGGAGCTTACAGTGAGCCGAGATCGCGCCACTGCACTCCAGCCTGGGCGACAGAGCGAGACTCTGTTTCAAAAAAAAAAAAAAAGAAATGGTTTAATGTAAGTGACGAATTTTGAAAATTGTGGGCCTTTTAGACAGTGATTATTTTAGTGTTCTAATCTAGAAAATCTACATAAAGAGAATGCCTTATTTTTGGACATTGTGAATAAATTAGACTTGATTTAATAACACCTGTCAATATGTATGTTAAATAACAAAATACTATGTCTGGCATGCTGCTCCATGCTTCATATTTAATAGAAGTGTTTTTCTTCTAGGTTCAAAAGATGTCGTGATAAAGGCACAGGTTTTAGCTGGTGGTAGAGGAAAAGGAACATTTGAAAGTGGCCTCAAAGGAGGAGTGAAGATAGTTTTCTCGTAAGTCACATTTTTTAAGGAAAAATCATCCTTGTTAAAGACTGATTAAAGATTACTTATTGAATTGATGAAAATACTGAAATTTAAATATTAGATGAGATAAAATTTTGGCTATTATGTGGATTTGCTTTTTCTCAACTGGAGGAAAGAAAAATTTGAGTTCTTTTTCTTATTTTAGTCCAGAAGAAGCAAAAGCTGTTTCTTCACAAATGATTGGGAAAAAATTGTTTACCAAGCAAACGGGAGAAAAGGGCAGAATATGCAATCAAGTATTGGTCTGTGAGCGAAAATATCCCAGGAGAGAATACTACTTTGCAATAACAATGGAAAGGTCATTTCAAGTGAGTAATTGTAGACATGATACATACGGGATAAATTTATGACATTCAATTTCAAAAGTCCATTATTGTTTCTATTTATGTGGGAAAGATTTTAAAAGTACAAATTATAATCTGTTTGTATGTCATGAGCATGATATTTATGTCATTTAAAAAACAGCTTCTTTAATGCCGTAAAATTTGATATATAATATCATGATCTTAAAATTATAGGAAAAATTCTGCTGTAATAAATTTCATGGGATTCTCAAATTGTTAATTCACTAAAAGCAGCTTAAATCATCTCTGGATCATCTCCAGATTGAGAAAATTATATCTAGCATAGTAAAATATTCTAATGAAAGAGAAAGTTGCTGAACCCACTAGAAGAATGTGTATCCATTGCCTCATCTTCTGTTTTCTCAACTTCTTGGGTTTGTTTTTTTTTTTTTAATAGTTTCGGGTTTGTTTCACTATATGATTCAATATTTGGTAAATTGAGGGATGACATTAAGTAGCAAACAATATGGTTTTAAGGAGTATTACATTAGCACAGCTCTCCTCTCTTTATGGAACCTAAAATGTTGAACATAAAGCTTCTGGTGAAGAGAAAATCCCTTTATAGACCTGGTGTTTGGAAGAGAGCATTGATAATCATTTTATACTAGAATTATCTGTTTTTCGAGGGTATTAGGTTTTACAAGCTGAATCTGTGTGTTAACTAGCTTGTTTTTTGAAGCAACTGGGTATATATTTGAAAGCCCCAGTACGGATTTCATGTAGAACATTAATTGTGTAGAATTTAGAGTAACAAAAATTTTAAGAGTCATGAAAATAATTTTCTTATGTAGAACAACTTTTTTAAAAATAACAACTTTCTGTATTGTGATTTTTCTTATTTACAATTAAATCTATTAATGTTTGAATGATATGTCTTTTGCAACTTTTAATTTTTATAAGGAAGTATTTCTAAAGATATAACACTAGATGGTAGTAAAAATCCACTCAGAATATAAAATTAAGAAGCATTGTTTTATTCTTAAGTGATATTCTATGTGATAGAATTTAGTTTGTAAGTTATTTTAAAAATCCCATGACAGTAACCTCATATATTACCCAAAATTTACATAAATTATATTTTTACACATTCACTTATTTTCACTACATTTTATTTTTCTTTTCATTGACATTATATATCGGCATCTGTCATTTTGTTAGTTATGTTTTTACTTTTTGTTACAGTAGCCAGAAACAAGGTATAAATACCTGGATGAATTGAGATAGGAGTTCTATCCATAGTAATTCATCTTTATTGTAGTAAAGGTAGGATACTGAATATGTATTATTAAAGATATGTTTAAGGCATTTGGGAAAAGGATCAAATTTGAGTTCATCTTATGAACTTGAATTTCCTGACAACTATTTAGGTCTTGTTGAGGATAAAATGTTTTTATTTTAATACTTGCTTACTAATAATACGTGGTTATAATTCAGGTTAAAAATACTGTAGTACCAGTAAAACTGTTTGACCGAAGACATTATAAATTCTTTGATATTATCACATTAGACCAATGTAGAGTTGGTTGGTGTTACTTTTTGGGGTATAGCCATGTTTTTGGGAATCCCTGTGGACAGATCTCTGTTGAACAACAAAAATTAGTCACCTATTTAAACTACAAAGAGCACTTGTGATTGAGTTAATGTCCCATGCATGGGAATTAACTAATCATTAGAAATTGCTTTTGTTAAAATGGGGAAAGGATTTCCTATTTAATAAATGGTGCTGGGAGAACAGGCTAGCCATGCAGAAAATTGAAACTGAACCCCTTCCCTACACCATATACAAAAGTTAACTCAAGATGGATTAAAGACTTAAATGTAAAACTCAAAACTATAAAAACTCTAGAAGGAAATCTAGGTAATACCATTCATTCAGGACATAGGCGCGGGCAAAGATTCATGATGAAAACGCCAAAAGCAATTGCAACAAAAGCAAAAATTGACAAATGGGATCTAATTAAGCTAAAGAGCTTCTGCACAGCAAAGGAAACTATCATCATAGTGAACACACAACCTGCAGAATGGGAGTAGATTTTTGCAATCTATCCTTCCGACAAAGGTCTAATATCCAAAGTTTATGAGAAACTTAAAACAAATTTTCAAGAAAAAAAGCAAACAACCCCATTAAAAAGGGGGCAAAGTACATGAACAGACACTTCTCAAAAGAAGACACAGGCTGGGTGTGGTGGCTCACGCCTGTAATCCCAGCACTTTGGGAGGCCGAGGTGGACGAATTACCTGAGGTGAGGAGTTTGAGACCAGCATGGCCAACAAGGTGAAACCCTGTCTCTACTAAAAATAAAAAAATTAGTTGGGCATGGTGGTGAGTTCCTGTAATCCCAGCTACTTGGGAGGCTGAGGCAGGAGAATGGCTTGAATCTGGGAGGTGGAGGTTGCAGTGAGCCGAGGTTGTGCTACTGCACTCCCGTCTGGGCGACAGAGTAAGAATCCGTTTCAAAAAAAAAAAAAAAAAAACTATACATATGGCCAACACACATGTGATTAAAAAGCTCATCACTGATCTTTAGAGAAAAGCAAATCAAAACCACAATGAGATACCATCTCATGCCACTCAGGTGGCTATCATTAAAAAGTCAAAAAACAACAGATGCTGGTGAGGTTTTGCAGAAAAAGGAATGCCTTTACAGTGTTGACGGGAGTGTAAATTAGTTCAACCATTGTGGAAGACAGTGTGGCAATTCCTCAAAGACCTAGAGGCAGAAATACTATTTGACCCAGCAATCCCACTACTGGGTATATACCCAAAAGAATATAAATCATTCTGTTATAAAGATACATGCATCGGTATGTTCACTGCAGCACTGTTCACAATAGCAAAGACATGGAATCAACCTAAACATCCACCGATGATAGACTGGATAAGAAAATGTGGTACATATACACCATGGAATACTCTGCAGCCATAAAAAAGGAATGAGATTATGTCCTTTGCAGGGATATGGATGGAGTTGGAAGCCATTATCCTCAGCAAACTAATGCAGGAGCAGAAAACCAAACACCGTGTGTTTTCACTTAAAAGTGGGAACTGAATGATGAGAACACATGGACACAAGGTGGGGATCAACACACACTGGGGCCTGTCGGGGTGGGGGTGGAGGGAGGGAGAGCATCAGAAAGAATAGCTAGTGAATGTTGGGCTTAATACCTGGGTGATGGGATGATCTGTACAGCACACCACCATGGCACATGTTTACCTATGTAACAAACCTACACATCCTGGACATGTACACCTCAACTTAAAAGTTGAAGAGAAAAAAAAAGAATAAGCAAAGCAAAACTAAAACAAAACAGAAAACAATTACTTCTATTACTGACTTGTTTTTAGGAGATGTATCATAGGTTCTACTGGTCTTTAGTACCTTTCACATCCTGATTCCGGGAGGTAACTTCTATGGGGTTGGCTTGCCAGAAAGTGAATTCAAGTACCTACTCTCTGTGTGATACCTTTGTTAAATTAGATTTCTTAACATTTGCCTAGTGCCTGTTGGGTACTTTTGGTCTGAGTCAAGTCTATTTAATAAATCACATTTACTACTTTTATTTTTCTGGTAAAACAACTGCAGTCTTCTGCAAATGAGTGGGACATTTTCCTGTGTCAATTTTTGACTTTACCTGAAATAGTTATAAAATGTGCTTAAGAATTCTAATTTTACTTCGTGTGATTTTTTTTAAATACACATCTTTATTTTTTATTTTTATTTTTAATTTTTTTGAGAGTCTTGCTCTGTCGCCCAGGCTGGAGTGCAGTGGTGCCATCTCTGCTCACTGCAACCTCCGCCTCCCAAGTTCAAGTGATTCCCCTGCCTCAGCCTTCCAAGTAGCTGGGATTACAGGTGCATTCCACGATGCCCTGCTACAGATCTTTATTATATCATGTGGCTGCTTTCTCATTTAAGCCTTTTACATTTAAGCCTATTTTAAGGCAAATTTAAAAAAATACCAACAAGAGAAGAAGAACTTAGGTTAAGAAAGTGAAAAGTAGGGCTGGGCGTGGTGGCTGACACCTGTAATCCCGACACTTTGGGAGGCTGAGGCGGGCGGATCATGAGGTCAGGAGATCGAGACCATCCTGGCTAACACAGTGAAACACTGTCTCTACTAAAAATACAAAAAAAACAAAAAATTAGCTGGGCGTGGTGGGGGGTGCCTGTAGTCCCAGCTACTCGGGAGGCTGAGGCAGGAGAATGGCATGAACTCAGGAGACGGAGCTTGCAGTGAGCCGAGATTGCACCACTGCACTCCAGCCTGGGTGACAGAGTGAGACTGTGTCAAAATAAAAAAAAAAAAAAGTGAAAAGTAGAATTATTAATATATTTGAAATTTCAGCTACTTGCTTGAAATGAAATTGTTTTGAAAGTTTATTACTAAGATTTAAAAGTGAAGCCAAGTCGTTTGAACATGAAATAGCTATTCATTCTACAGTGTTGACTAAATGTGGAACTATAGTCATTGTTTAACGTTTACCCATGCAAGTTGGTTTCTTTCTAATTGGTTGTGGAATTAAGACAAATAGAGACTCCACTTTCTTCTATGTATTATTGTTTCCTTTTTTTTCTAACTTATAACCAATTGTTGACTTAATTTTTACTTTAGTGAGAATTTAATATTAACTTTTCTCCTCGTGTTGCCTTCTCTGTGGCTTTTCATTTCTTTTACCAGTTGGTATAAAAAGAGAGTAAAACTAAAATGAAAAGAGGCTGGGTGCGGTGGCTCACACCTGTAATCCCAGCACTTTGAGAGGCCGAGGCGGGTGGATCACAAGGTCAGGAGATCGAGACCATCCTGGCTAACACGGTGAAACCCTGTCTCTACTAAAAGTACAAAAAATTAGCCAGGCGTGGCGGCAGGCGCCTGTAGTCCCAGCTACTCCGGAGGCTGAGGCAGGAGAATGGCGTGAACCCGGGAGGCGGAGCTTGCAGTGAGCCCATATCGCACCACTGCACTCCAGCCTGGGCGACAGAGCGAGACTCCGTCTCAAAAAAAAAAAAAAAAAAGGGAAAAGAAAACTAAACTAAAATGTTAGAATATTTTAAAGATTTGTTGGTCTGTACCTCTCCTGTTGAATAAAATTATATTTTATGGTTATCTGTAGATTTGTCTATATTCTATTTCAGTGGCATGACTAAAACTGAACCGCCTCTTCTTCAATCAGAATTTTTTCCTGCTCTTTAGATCTTTGTAAAAGCTAATAATTATGCACTGCCTTGCTAGAGAGAAAACGAAGAATACCCTTTCATTTGAAATTTATAGAGGAACTGAAAATTAAACCATCATTTCAAACATTTCTCTTTACTTAGACTTGCTAATGTTCTCTTCTTTAGCCTCAGAAGGCTCTGAATTCTTTTATTTAAAAAAGTTTTTTTTTTATATTGAAAGGAGTTCTAATACTAAGTGCCCATGGTTTAGCTAAACTTCAGAGGCTAAGAGCATAGTCCTGCACTTGATTGCCCTTACTTTAGACACCAGTCTCAATTTTGGTGGTCCCCAGGTTACCCTCATTTCTGACTAGCTAGCTACAAATTTGAGGGTTAATTCCTTAGAACGACTCACAGAGCTCAGGAAAATGTTAAACTTAGTATTACAGTTTTATTATAGCCAAAGGATATAAAAATCATAACCAGCCAACAAGGTCTGGGAGGGTTCCCAAACACTAAGTTTCCACTGTTCTCAGGAATGTTTTGTCTTGCTAGCATCTTAATGTGTGGCAGTATGCAGAATATTGCCAACCCAAAGCTCCCCAAGCTTTTGGTGTTCAGAGATTTTTTTTTTTTAGATTGTCAAAAATATAACAAAAAATTTACCTTACCCATTTTGAGTATGCAGTATAATAGTGCATTCTCAGAAAGAAAGAAGGAAGGAAGGAAGGAGGGAGAGAGGAAGGAAGGAGAATGTTAATTTCTCTTTTGGTAAAAGGAACAGAGTAAAACAATTTGTGCACATTTTGTGCAACATCTCCAGAACAGATATCCAAATCTTTTTTTTTCTTTAATTTTTCTAGAACTTTTTTTGTCTTACAAAATTAAAACTATTCATTGAACAGCTCCCTTTTCCCTCTCCCACTTCCCTCCAGCTCCTGGTAATCTCCATTCTTTGTGTTTCTAAAAGTTTGAGTATTTTAGATACCTGAAGTAGCTGTCTTTTTGTAACTGGTTTATCTCAGCATAATGTCCTCAAGGTTTATTCATGATGTAGCATATGACAAAGTTTCCTTATTTATGGCTGAGTACTATTCCATTTTATGTATATACTGCATTTTCTTTATCCATTCATCTTTTGATGGACATTCAGATTGCTTTCATCTCTTGGCTATTGTCAGTAATGCTACAGTGAACATAGATGTTCAAATATTTCTTTGAGATCCTGTTTTCATTTCTTTTGGATGTATACCTAGAAGTGGGATTACTGGATCATATGGTAATTCTATTTTTAATTTTTTTGAGAAGCTTCTATAATGTTTTCCATAGCAGCTGTACCGTTTTATTTAATTAATTATTTTTTTGAGACAGAGTCTCGCTATGTCTCCCAGGCTGGAGTGCAGTAGTGCAGTCTCGGCTCACTGCAACCCCAGTCTCCCGGGATCAAGTGATTCTTCTCCCTCAGCCTCCTGAGTAGCTGGAATTACAGGCACCCACCACCACACCCTGCTAATTTTTTTATTTTTGTATTTTTTTGAGACGGAGTCTCGTTCTGTTGCCCAGGCTGGAGTGCAGTGGTGCGATCTCGGCTCACAACCTCCGCCTCCTGGGTTCAAGTGATTCTTCTGCCTCAGCCTTCTGAGTAGCTGGGACTACAGGCGTGCACCACCATGCCCGGCTAGTTTTTGTATTTTTAGTAGAGACAGGGTTTCACTATGTTGGCCAGCTGGTCTTGAACTCCTGACTTCAGGTGTTCTGCCTGCTTTGGCCTCCCAAAGTGCTGGGAATACAGGCATGAGCCCACTGCACCTAGCTGAGCCGTACCATTTTATATTCCAACTAACAGCAGACAAAGCTTCCAGTTTTTCTGCATCCTCGCCAATATTCATTTTCTGTTTTTTTGGTAGTGGCCATCCTAAAGGGTGTGAGATTATATTTCACTGTGGTTTTTATTTGCATTTCCCCCGTTATTAGTGATACTGAGTATCTTTTCATATGCTTACAGGCCATTTGCAGATCTGCTTTGGAGAAATGTCTATTTAAGTCCTTTGCCCATCTTTAAATTTTTTTGTTTGGGTTTTTTATTTTTTACTTTTTTGGTTATTGAGTTGTAGAAGATCTTACATATTCCGAATTTCAGCTTTTAACTAGATATATGGATTGCAAATATTTTCTCTCATTTTGTAGATTGCCTTTTTACTTTGTTGATTATTTCCTTTGCTGTGAAGTTTTTAAGTTTGATAGAGTTCCATTTGTCAATTTTTGCTTTTTTTCTGCCTGTGCCTTTGGTATCATGTTTAAGAAATCATTGCTAAATCCAATGTCATAAACTTTTTTCTCCCTGTTTTCTTCTATGAGTTTTATAGTTTCAGGTTTTATGTTTAGGTCTTTAATCTATTTTGAGTAAATTTTTGCATATAGTAGTATTGGTAAGGGTCTAACTTCATTCTTTTGCATGTGGATATCCAATTTTTCTAGCACCATTTGTTGAAGAGACTGTTCTTTTTGCCCTCTTGTGTAGCTTTCCCACCATTGTTGAAGATCATTTAATCATATACCTTAGGGATTATTTCTGGGTTTTCTGTTCTATTCCATTGGTCTATATGTCTGTTTTTTTATGCATTATCATGCTGTTTTGATAACTGTAACCTTGTAATATATTTTAAAAGAAGTGTGAGGCCTCTAGTTTCTTTTTTTTTCTCGAGATTGTTTTGACTGTTCTGGGTCCTTTGAGATTATGTATGCATTTTAGTGTATTTTTCTATTTTTATAAAAAAAAGCCATTGGGATTTTGATAGAGATTACATTGAATCTGTAGATTGCTTAGGGTAGTATGCACAGTTTAACAATATTAAGTCTTCCAATCTGTGATCACAAGATGTCTTTCCATTTGTTTGTGTCTTTTTATTTTTATTTTATTTTTTATTTTTTTTTGAGATGGAGTCTCACTCTGTCACCCAGGCTGGAGTGCAGTGGTATGATCTCAGCTCACTGCAACCTGCATTTCCCGGGTTCACACCATTCTCCTGCCTCAGACTCCCGAGTAGCTGGAACTACAGGCTCCCGCCACCACGCCCAGCTAATTTTTGTATTTTTAGTGGAGATGGAGTTTCACCGTGTTAGCCAGGATGGTCTCGATCTCCTGACCTCATGATCTGCCCGCCTCAGCCTCCCAAAGTGCTGGGATTACAGGCGTGAGCCACCGCGCCCTGCCTGTTTGTGTCTTCTTTAATTCCCTTCAGCAGTGTTTTGTAGTTTTTGGTTCATAAGTCTTATGCCTCCTCGATTAGGCTATCCTTAAGTATTTTATTCTCTTTGATTTTAACTGGAATTATTTCCATAATTTCCTTTTCACATTGTTCACTGTTACTGTATTAAAAGGCAACTTATTTTTGTTTGTTGATTTTGTATTCTGCAACTTTGCTGAACTGATTTATTCTAAGAGTTTTTTTTGTGTGTGTGCAGAATCTTTAGGGATTTCTACATATGACAACATCTCATCTGCAAACACAGAATTTTACCTTTCCTTTTCTCTTTGGATGCTTTTTATTTTTCTTACCTGTTTTCTGTGTCTAGGACATCTAGTGCTGTGTTGAACAGAAGCGGCAAGAGTGGGCATCCTTGCTTTGTTTCTGATGTTAGAGGAAAAGCTTTCAGCTTCTCATTTTTGTGTATGATGTTGGCTGTAAGTTTTCTTTTTTATTTTTATTATTATTATACTCAAGTTCTGGGATACATGTGCAGAATGTGCAGGTTTGTTACATAGGTATACACGTGCCATGGTGGTTTGCTGCACCCATCAACCTGTCATCTACATTAGGTATTTCTCCTGATGCTATCTCTGCCCTAGCCCCCCACCCCCCGACAGGCCCCGGTGTGTGATGTTCCACTCCCTGTGTCCATGTGTTCTCATTGTTCAACTCCCACTTATGATGAGAACATGCGGTGTTTGGTTTTCTGTTTCTGTGTTAGCTTGCTGAGAATGATGGTTTCCAGCTTCATCCATGTCCCTGCAAAGGATATGAACTCATCCTTTTTATGGCTGCATAGTATTCCATGGTGTATATGTGCCACATTTTCTTTATCCCGTCTATCACTGATGGGCATTTGGGTTGATTCCAAGTCTTTGCTATTGTGAATCATGCCACAATAAACATACTGATTTATAATCTTTGGGTATATACTCAGTAATGGGATTGCTGGGTCAAATGGTATTTCTGGTTCTAGATCCTTGAGGAATCACCACACTGTCCTCCACAATGGTGGAACTAATTTACACTCCCACCAAAAGTGTAAAAGTGTTCCTGTTTCTCCACATTCTCTCCAGCATCTGTTGTTTCCTGACTTTTTAATGATCACCATTCTAACTGGCATGAGATGCTATCACATTGTGGTTTTGATTTGCATTTCTCTAATGACCAGTGATGATAAGCTTTTTTTCGTATGTTTTTTGACTGCATAAATGTCTTCTTTTGAAAAGTATCTGTTCATATCCTTCTCCCACTTTTTGATGGGGTTGTTTTT
Source organism: Homo sapiens (assembly GCF_000001405.40). Taxonomy (NCBI): domain Eukaryota; kingdom Metazoa; phylum Chordata; class Mammalia; order Primates; family Hominidae; genus Homo; species Homo sapiens. The sequence goes on along the minus strand of NC_000013.11, from coordinate 47,978,824 downwards.
TTCTTGTAAATTTGTTTAAGTTCCTTGTAGATTCTGGATATTAGCCTTTTGTCAGATGTATAGATTGCAAAAATTTTCTCCCATTCTGTAGGTTGCCTGTTCACTCTGCTGATAGTTTCTTTTGCTGTCCAGAAGCTCTTTAGTTTAATTAGATCTCATTTGTCAATTTTGTCTTTTGCTGCCATTGCTTTTGGTGTTTTCGTCATCATGAAGTCCTTGCCTATGCCTATGTCCTGAATGGTATTGCCTAGGTTTTCTTCTAGGGTTTTTATGGTTTTAGGTCTTACATTTAAGTCTTTAATCCATCTTGAGTTAATTTTTGTATAAAGTGTTAGGAAGGGATCCAGTTTCAGTTTTCTGCATATGGCTAGCCAGTTTTCCCAACACCATTTATTAAATAGGGAATCCTTTCTTATTGCTTGTTTTTGTCAGGTTTGTCAAAGATCAGATGGTTGTAGATGTGTGGCGTTATTTCTGAGGCCTCTGTTCTGTTCCACTGGTCTATATATCTGTTTTGGTACCAGTGCCATCCTGTTTTGTTTACTGTAGCCTTGTAGTATAGCTTGAAGTCAGGTAGCGTGATGCCTCCAGCTTTGTTCTGTTTGCTTAGGAGTGTCTTGGCTTTATGGGCTCTTTTTTGGTACCATATGAAATTTACAGTAGTTTTTTCTAATTCTGTGAAGAAAGTCATTGGTAGCTTGATGGGATACCATTGAATCTATAAATTATTTTGGGCAGTATGGCCATTTTCATGATATTGATTCTTCCTATCTATGAGCATGGAATGGAATGTTTTTCCCTTTGTGTTCTTTCTTATTTTCTTGAGCAGTGGTTTATAGTTCTCTTTGAAGAGGTTCTTCACATCTCTTGTAAGTTGTATTTCTAGGTATTTTATCCTCTTTGTAGCAATTGTGAATGGGAGTTCACTCATGATTTGACTCTTGTTTGTCTATTATTTGTGTATAGGAATGCTTATGATTTTTGCACATTGATTTTCAGTTTCTCATTATTGTGTATGATGTTGGCTATGAGTTTTCTTATATGGCCTTTATTATATTGAGGTTGTTTCCTTCAGTCTTTGTTGAGTATTTTTATCGTGAAAGGGTATTCAATTTTGTTAAATGCCTTTTATGTATCAATTGAGATTATTGTGGTTTTTGTCCTTCATTCTGTTAATAGCATGTATTACACTGAATTTTTGTATGTTGAACCATCCTTGTATTCTAGGAGTTAAGTCCCACTTGATCATGATGTAAAGTCCCTTTAATGTGTTGTTGAATTCAGTTTGCTAGTATTTTTTGAGTTTTTTTTTCATCATTATTTTTTCAGAGCTATTAGCTTGTAGTTTTCTTTTAATACCTTCTGATTTTGGTATCATGGTAATGCTGGCTTCATAGAGTGAGTATGGAAATTTTCCGTCCTTTTCAATTTTTTGAAAAGAGCTTGGGAAAGATTGGTTCAGTTCTTTAAATGTTTGATAGAATTTTCCAGTGAAGCCATTTGGTCCCGGGCTTCCTGTTGCTTAGAAGTTTTTGATTACTGATTCAGTATCATTACTAGTTATAGAGCTGTTCATATTTTTTATTTCTTTATGATTTTGAAGATTGTTTCTAGCAAGTTATCAATGTCTTCTAGGTTATTCAATTTGTTGATACATAATTTTTCATAGCAGTCTCAGACTCTTTCTGTGACAGCTGTAATGTCTCCTTTCACTTCTGATTTTTGTTATTTCAGTCTTTTCTATTTTTTTATAGTTAAAGGGTTGTCAATTTTATTCACTTTTTCAATGAGCCAATATGCAGTTTTGTTGATTTTTTTTTTTTCTGTTCCTTGTTTCTTTTATTTCTGCTCTAATCTTTATGATTTTCTTCCTTTTGCCAACTTTGGGTTTAGTTATTCTTTTTCTAGTTTCTTGTGGTATAAATATAGGTTGAGCATCCCAAATCTGAAATTCTGAAATCCAAAATGCTATAAAATCCTAAGCTTTTGGAGCACTGACATGACACTTAAAGGAAATGCTCATTGGAGCATTTTGGAATTCAGATTTTTAGATTTGGGATTCTCCAATGGTAAGTATAATGCAAATATTTCAAAATTCAAAGAAATCCAAAATCTTCTGGTCCTAAGCATTTCAGATGAGGAGTACTCAACCTGTTAAAAAATCAGGAGCTGGGTGTGTTTTCTTAGTTGTAGCAAGCTGTGTCAACTTCCCTCTGGGATGTTACACATTTTCTGGTACTGCCATGAGCCTGTGTACTCTCCTTTGTTCTCGATGCCCCACAGGCATCCAGAGTATGCTGGTTCCCCATCAGCACCCATATCAGTTGAGACAGGAAACAGTCCCTTGGACAGCCCTCCAAGAAGCTGGAATGTTGAACATGTGTTCTACTCTTCTCTTTCTCTCCCAATGGAGAAGCTTCTTAATCCCAAACTATGTTAGTTTGGAGTGGTGGGGGGAAGGATGCTGATGTGGATAAAATGAAATGGCTTTTCTTACTGATTTCATTGCAGATGTTCTTGGCTTTGAGCTTACCTGGGGTACTGTGACTTCCTAATTGGTTACTGTCATTGTCATAAAAGGTTTTTGGATCATATATTGTTGCTAAAGTCAGTGTTTTTGTCAGGGAGCAAGGTCTTGGGCTTCCTATTTTGTCATCTTGCTGACCTTGGTGTCCAGAGTTTTCATTGGGGTTCTATGGTGTAGGCATTAAACAAAAATTTTTTTTTAATTTTAAATTTTTGTAGAGACAGGTTCTCACTATGTTGCCCAGGCTGGTCTCGAACTCCCAGACTCAAGCAGTCCTCCTGCGTTGGCTTCCCAAAGTGCTAGGATTACAGATGTGAGCCACCACACCCAGCCTGGGTATCACTGATTGAATCATTGTCTGTGCAGTTGACTTAGCCCATTTCTTCTATGCAGAGTGGGTTGATACAATTTGACTGAAAGCCCCAAACCTCTAATCACATTGTCAATCTTTCTGGCATGGCCATTGCCCACCTGAGTCATCTCCTTAGTGTAAACTGTCTAGGGGCCCACCATGCGGCTCCTTGGTCGCATCAACTATCAGATGTGGTTGGAGGGTTTAGAAGTTACTTCCAAGACCCTGGGGACAAAAGTCATCCGAATTCCTTGTTACAAATGTATACAGAAATCGAATACATGGTACAAAATCATTTTTTTCCTAAATAAAAGTTTAACACTCTTAAAAAAGTGATAGATTCTTCTTTTTAATTTTTGTTATTGCCTTATTTTAAGTATTTGAAGGACTGTTTCGTTCTCTAAACAGTAATGAATGCAATCCTATTCCTTTAATTTATACTTTAAATGAGTATGTTACTAAAACACTAAGTGCTAGGATAGAAAAGTGGAATTAGGCTGGGCATGGTGGGTCATGCCTATAATCCCAGCACTTTGGGAGGTGAATCACCTAAGGTCAGGAGTTCGAGACCAGCTTGGCCAAGATGGTAAAACCCTGTCTCTACTAAAAATACAAAAATTAGCTGGGCATGGTGGTGCATGCGTGTAATCCCAACTACTTGGGAGGCTGAGAGAGGAGAATCCCTTGAACCTGGGGGGCGGAGGTTGCAGTGAGCTGAGATCGCATCATTTCACTCCAGCCTGGGTGACAGAACGACACTCCAGATAAAAAAAAAAAAAAGAAAAGAAAGAAAGAAAAGTGGAATTAGTCTTTTGATTAAAAAAAAAAGTTGTCATGCCTGTTTTTTTTTCTGGATGTAAGAGTAGTATGTTCATTGTAAAAAAATTTTATTTGGAAAATAGTTGCATTTAAAATAACAAAAGTCTTTTAATGTTTTATTTCCCACTCTTTTATTGTTTCTGTCAATATGGAGCACTTGAAACGCACTTTATGTTAAAAAATAATACAATTGAGAAAACGACCTAGGGCTTTGTATCATTTTTTTCATACGTAACACTACATGTACACATACACTACATTACCCACTACAGATCAGTAGTTTCCTGTCAGTAAACAATCTTTAAATGCAGTTTTACTATTTCTCTTTTTTTCATGTTAACATTATTTCTAGTTTAATGCATAAATTAGTAGATCTATTAGATAATTTATGATTTTTTCTTGATTGATTTTCAAGGCCTTAAATGTTAATAATTGTTAGTATTGATACCTTACCTTCTCATATTGTTCATGACAATAGCCAGAGCTATTCTTTCAAACTAGTTAGCTCTCTCTTTTATTTATTGTATTTTACTTTTTTTTTGAGACAGGGTCTTTCTCTGTCCCCATGCTGGAGTGCCATGGTGTGATCACAGCTGACTGCAGCCTTGATCTCTCAGTCTCAAGCCATCGTCCCATTTCAGCCTGCTGTGTAGCTGGGACTAAAGGGGCATGCCACCATGCCTGGCTAATTTATTTGTATTTTTTGTAGAAATGGAGTCTTACTATGTTGCCCAGGCTGGTCTTGACTCCTGAACTCAAGTAGTCCTTCTGCCTTGGCGTCCCGAAGTGCTGTGATTACAGGTGTGAGCCACTGTGCCTGGCCAGCTTTCTTTTTTATTGTCTTGCAGTAGGGCTAGAGCTTAGACTTTCCCTTTTCTTAGGCTTTTTCTTTCAAATATCTGTTTTCAGGATTTTCTAGTGTTTATGCTTTAAGCAATACTTTTAATGTCCCCTCAGTTTTTATGAAAAATGCATAGGTTATATTTCACATACATATGTTTACATATTTGGTGTTAAGTTTTTTTTCTTTTTTTTTTTAATTATACTTTAAGTTCTGGGATACATGTGCAGAAAGTGCAGGTTTGTTACATAGTTGTACATGTGCCATGGTGGTTTGCTGCACCCATCAACCTGTCATCTACATTAAGTATTTCTCCTAATGCTATCCCTCCCCTTGCCCCAGCCCCCTGACAGGCCCTGGTATGTGATGTTCCCCTCCCTGTGTCCATGTGTTCTCATTGTTCAGTTCCCACTTACGAGTGAGAACATGTGATGTTTGGTTTTCTGTTCCTGTGTTAGTTTGTTGAGAATGATAGTTTCCAGCTTCATCCATGTCCCTGCAAAGGACATGAACACATTCTTTTTTTATGGCTGCATAGTATTCCATGGTATATGTGCCGCATTTTCTTTATCCAGTGTATCATTGATGGGCATTTGGGTTGGTTCCAAGTTGTTGCTATTGTGGTATAAGTTTTTGTGTATATTTTAAATCTATTTTCCTTGCAGGCAAGCCATTATTTTCTTCTTTTTTTACTTTTTTATCCATTGCTTTAATTGAATATTTATAAGAGGGCACTGTGCTGGAGATGTGAGGATAAATTCTCAAGAAAATTTTAAAATGTGGGTAGAGAGTAATAGATGCTTACATCTGATATTATGCACGGGTAGGTTTTAAAGTTTCATTGATGAGTCTAAAATAAATCTAGAGTTTTGGTTGTTTACTTCCCTTGCCAGGGTCCTGTATTAATAGGAAGTTCACATGGTGGTGTCAACATTGAAGATGTTGCTGCTGAGTCTCCTGAAGCAATAATTAAAGAACCTATTGATATTGAAGAAGGCATCAAAAAGGAACAAGCTCTCCAGGTATGTTGTATTCCTGAAAAATTTCTAGCTTATGATTAGAGAATTATGATACTTAAAGATAACCGTACAACTGAAGTAATTGTCAAAACTTATTTAAACATTTTGAGTGTCAGGAAAGTTAATAACTTGTTTGAAATAGCTCATTTTGGAATTATTTACAATTTTTTCATATCTCTATAAATATTTCAATGTGGATTCTTTTAAAAGAGTCACTGGCCGGGCACGGTGTCTCACGCCTGTAATCCCAGCACTTTGGGAGGCCAAAGTGGGCGGATCATGAGGTCAGGAGTTCGAGACCAGCCTGGCCAATATGGTGAAACCCCCGTCTCTACTAAAAATACAAAAAAAATTAGCCGGGCATGGTGGTGCGTGCCTGTAGTCCCAGCTACTCGGGAGGCTGAGGCAGAAGAATCGCTTGAACCCAGGAGGCGGAGGTTGCAGTGAGCCGAGATTGTGCCACTGCACTCCAGCCTGGGCAACAGAGTGAGACTCATCTCAAAAAAAAAAAAAAAAAAGAGTCACTATACCATTACCCTATCTAGTAAAATTAACAATAATTTCTTTTCTTTTCTTTCTTTCTTTTTTTTTTTTTTTTAAGACGGAGTCTTGCTCCGTCACCCAGGCTGGAGTGTAGTGGCGCCATCTTGGCTCATCACAACCTCCGCCTCCCAGGATCAAGCAATTCTCCTGTTTGAGCCTCCCAAGTAGCTGGGACTACAGGCACCTGCCAACACACCTGGCTAATTTTTTTGTTTTTAGTAGAGATGGAGTTTCATCTTGTTGATCAGGTTGGTCTCGAACTCCTGACCTCAGGTGATCCACCCGCCTCGGCCTCCCAAAGTGCTGGGATTATAGGCGTGAGCCAGCGCGCCCAGCCAACAATAATTTGTTAGTATCATCACTTAGTCATTCAAATTTCTCTAGTTGTTTCAAATCAATTTTTCATTTACAATTTGTTTGAGTCAGCATCCAAATACGGTTCTTCATTGTTATTTTATTTATTTTCTTTGAGATGGAGTCTTGCTCTGTTACCTAGGCTGGAGTGCAGTGTTGCCACCTTGGCTCACTCCAACCTCTGCCTTCTGAGTTCAAGCTATTCTCCTGCCTCAGCCTACCGACTAGCTGGGACTACAGGCGCACGTCACCATGCCCGGCTAATTTTTGTATTTTGTTTTAGTAGAGATGGGGTTTTGCTATGTTGGCCATGCTGGTCTTGAACTCCTGACATCAGGTGATCCACCCTCATCGGCCTCCTGAAGTGCTAAGATTACAGGCGTGAGCCACCGCGTCCGGTCCCTTCATTGTTGTTGACTGATAAGTCTCATAGGTCTTTTATAACTTACAGGTTTCTCTTTTTTGCTGTCATCTTTTTTCTTTCAGTTCAGTTGTTGAAGAAACTGAGGTGATTATTATTCATTGTTTTTCGTAGTCTGGATTTTATATCTCCATGGTTTAAGTGGTTAAACATTTAAAATATTCCTGTGTCCCCTTTATTTTCTGTAAATTGTGTAGAATGGATGGGACACTGTCTTATATATCTCCATAATAGAGCTGTGGTTTATGAATGATTTTAAGAATTCGATGAACGCTGTGGTCCTTCTTTCAATTCTTTCAATTTGTATGTGTTCACAATAAAATTTTGCCTACAGTTTTACTGGTTTTCTCTATTGTCCTTGTGTGCTGCTTCCCCTCCATTCTTCCCCCCACTAAAAAAAAGCCCCCATTGAGTTTAATATTAAGGCCTGTGAGAGTTGCTTGGTAATATTTGTAATGCTGCTATCGAATTAAATTGTTTGCTTTGGATATAAAAATAAGTGACTCATCTTTTCGTTTGTTTGTTTTTGAGATGGAGATTCTTGCTCTGTCGCCCAGGGTGGAGTGTGCAGTGGCGCAATCTTGGCTCACTGCAACCTCCGCCTCCTGGGTTCAAGCAATCCTCCCACCTCAGCCTCCCAAGTAGCTAGGATTACAGGCATGCACCACCATGCCCAGCTAACTTTTCATTGGTATTTTTAGTAGAGACAGGGTTTCACCATATTGGCAGGCTGCTCCAGAACTCCTGACCTCAAGTGATCTGCCTGCCTGGGCCTCCCAAAGTGCTGGGATTACAGGTGTGAGCCGCCGCGCCTGGCCTAATGACTCACCTTAAAAGAAGAATTTGAATATTGGACTTCGAAGTTAAACATTTCTTTTTTTTTATTATTGATTTTTATTTTTAGTTTTTTTTTGAGACGGAGTCTCGCTCTGTCGCCCAGGCTGGAGTGCAGTGGCGCGATCCTGACTCACTGCAAGCTCTGCCTCCCGGGTTCACACCATTCTCCTTAAACATTTCTTAATGAGAAAACTATGTCAGAATAAGTTTGTGGTATTGAAGTACAGCAAGTGCAAGAATTATTTTTTTTTTGAGACGGAGTCTTGCTCTGTTGCCCAGACTGGAGTGCAGTGGCATGATCTTGGCTCACTGAAACCTCTGCCTCCCGGGTTCAAGCGATTCCCCTGCCTCAGCTTCCCAGGTAGCTGGGATTACAGGCGCCCGCCACCATGACCAGCTAATTTTTGTATTTTTAGTAGAGATGGGGTTTCACCATGTTGGCCAGGCTGGTCTCAAACTCCTAACTTCATGATCTGCCCACCTCGGCCTTCCAAAGTGCTGGGATTACAGGCGTGAGTCACCGTGCCCAGCCAAGTGCAAGAATTTTGACCGGCACAAAGTTTTAAGGAGATAAATGTTTCTGATGGAGAATAAAGCAAATTGATTTTGGCAAATGAATGATATAAATGTTTAAAAGGCATGGATTTGATTTATTAGGTAGTTACGTGAAGATGATGACTGGAGAGTGAAATTTAGATGAGGAAGAAAATACTTGATTTACAAGAATACATGGAGGAATAATCTAAGATTATAGCATTTTGCATGATGGTGATGAGTGGAAATAGAGCCTAGCATTAGAAAATTGATGTCATAATGGATTGATCAGAATTACTTTGTAGTTTTCAAATGTTTAAGCCTAAACATTTGGTTTTAGTTTTTGTTTTTTTAGGTGAGTTGTGACATAGTGAAAAACTTTCATAATAAAATGGTACTTTCATATTATTCTTTATTTGAAATAGGTCAAAACAAAAGATTACATTCCTTAGTGCTTTTTTTTTTTTTGTGGGGGGGAGACAGAGTCTCACTCTGTCGCCCAGGCAGGAGTGCAGTGGTGTGATCTCGGCTCACTGCAACCTCCACCTCCTGAGTTCAAGCAGTTTTTGTGTCTCAGCCTCTCGAGTAGCTGGGATTACAGGCATGCGTCACCACACCTGGCTAATTTTTGTATTTTTGATAGAGACAGTGTTTCACCATGTTGCCCAGGCTGGTCTCAAACTCCTGGCTTCAAGTGATCCGCCCTCTTTGTCCTCCCAAAGTGCTGGTATTACAGACTTGAGCCACTGCGCCCAGCCTACATTGTTTAGCTTGATCATTCACTTTACTTATTGGCATTTGACTCTTTGCAAATATCTTCTTCATCTTCAAAGAATTTAAGATTTTTTGTTATTGAAAATCAAAAGAATGTGTTACAACCTTAGATAGCAACTGAAAAAGAGGAAAGAATTCTCTATAGGGTTCCTGAGCAGTGGCAGCACTGTTAGAATAAACACATAGACATGTATCCTCTGTACCAGTGGTTCAGAATTGCTCATGGAACTTGAAACATGATAGATGCTTGATCCAGTAAAAAACTTGTCAACCAGAACTTCTGAGTTGGGACCTTGATATTGTATTGTTTAAAAGCTCTGTGGGTATCTCTATTTGGGAATCCCTCAAGACTGTAAACTCTTTTATTATAAAGTTAAACATCTTTATCTTTTGGGCCTAGCACAGTGCCTGGAATGTAATAGGTGCTTGGTAGATTTTTGAATAAATGGGATAACACTCATTTGACTGTATGACATGTATTCTTATTGCTTGGTAGACACTCTTTATAAATTATACAAAAGGTAAAATAGGGTCTTCTAATATTTTGGCTTTTCTTTGGACCATAAGGGTTGTCAGTCCACATTTTATATTTTTAGTAGAGATGGGGTTTCACTGTGGTGGCCAGGCTGGTCCGTAACTCCTGGCCTCAAGTGATCTGGCCCCTCAGTCTTTCAAATTGCAGGCATTACAGGTGTGAGCCACTGTGCCCGGCTCACATTTTATATATAGTTTTAATAAAATATAAACCTCTTCTTTCAGCTTAGGTTGGCAGTAAAGCTTAGGCAGTATGGACACTATGGAACTGGAATCTAGGCCAATGAATGGCAAGTTACTTGATCTCTCTGAATCTCTTTCTTATCTATAAAATGGGCATAATATCTATCTTTTGAAGATTTTGAATAAAAAGTTTTGTTTAACCATTTAGTAATGGTAGCTGCTATTTCAGTAATGTTTGACTATAAATGACTCATGTTTATCATTTAAGTGATAAACTACAAGGCTTTTTATTTATAGTAATGTTGATTAGACATATGCAAACTACCTATAATAAAAAGACATATTGATTTCAGCTTGCACAGAAGATGGGATTTCCACCTAATATTGTGGAATCAGCAGCAGAAAACATGGTCAAGCTTTACAGCCTTTTTCTGAAATACGATGCAACCATGATAGAAATAAATCCAATGGTGGAAGATTCAGATGGAGCTGGTAAAGTATCTTCTTTTGTCTAACATGATTATGCATTTATTTCTCTAATATGCTTCCCTAAGGAAGTTAAATCATAGAAGTTAAAGTAGTTAAACTTCTACCTATGTAGAAGCTTTTTAAAAAAAAATCAGATAGAATGAATATGAACAAATATTAAACCCATTAAAACAAAACACTATTAGACCCATTAAACAAACAAACAAAAAATAAAACAAACACCTTATAGAGACGTGCACAGAGGGGTCGGAACTGTACTGTCCAATACAGTGACTATCAGCCACACGTAGTTATTAAAATTAATTAAAGTTACATAAGATTTAAAAATTCATTTACTCAGTTGCACTAGTCATGGTTCAAATACTCAATAGCCAAATGTGGTTACCATATTAAAAGAGCACACACACAGAACATTCCCATCATTGCAGAAGGTTTTATTGGGCAGTGCTGGGTTAGTGTATGCAGTGTGGTGGTGATTGAGCTGTAATTTTATGGAATTAGCTATCTGGATATATAGATTGCATACTATATACATTTTGCATCTTTCTTTATTCACTTAATAACATATCCTGGGGAACTCTTTATGTATATGGGGTCTTTATATATTAGGGATGTCAATCTTTTTTCTGACATTTGGTGTGAATCTTTTTCTGAGATTGTCCTTTATTGTTTAATGTTATTTGATTTTTGGGGAAATATTTTTGTTTTTGCATGTACTCAAATCTCATTACTTTTTTTTTTTTTTTTTTGAGACTGAGTCTTGCTTTGCTTTGTCGCCCACACTGGAGTGCAATGGCGTGATCTGGGTTCACTGCCATCTCCACCTCTTGGGTTCAAGTAATTCTTCTGCCTCAGCCTCCCAAGTAGCTTGGACTACAGGCATGCACCACCGCGCCTGGATAATTTTTTTTGTGTTTTTAGTAGAGATGAGGTTTCACCATGTTGGCCACGCTGGTCTTGACCTCCTGACCTTAGGTAATCTGCCTGCCCCTGCCTCCCAAAGTGCTGGGATTACAGGCGTGAGTCACTGCGCCCAGCCGAGTTCCATTACTTTTATGCTGAGAGATTTTTTTATTCTCCATCTTAAGATCAGTAAATATTCATCCTCAATGTGTTCTGTTTTTTTCTTTTGGGTCAGTTTAGTTAGAGATGTTCTATTTTTTAAATTGTTTCATTTTTACTTTTAAGTCTTTAATCAATTAATATTTTACTTTAGCTTTACTTTTAGTTTTTTAGAGTATCTTATTCTACTTTTAGTAATGCTAAAGTAAAGGTTCTGCAGTGAGAACTTTATTTTCTTTTTTTAAGCTTTCTAGTAAAACTAAAATTAGATTAAATTGCCTTCACTAGATGTTCCTTATGCCCCTCTTCCCCCAACTTTTTAAAAATTTAATGGGCTACCCAACATTTAGAAAAACACTTTTTTAATCCAAATACTGATTTAAAAAACCTTAATACTGAGTCACAAATTAAAAAGTTTCAGCAGATATCCAAGAATTTATAACACAGATAATGATCTGTAAACACAAAGCAATAACATTGGAAATTAATATAAAATATTATATTTTTAAATTTTTTGAGACACGGTCTTGCTTTGTTGCCCAGGCTGGAGTACGCTGACACAATCACAGCTCACTGCAGCCTTAAACTTCTGGGCTCAAGCGATCCTCCCTCTTCAGCCTCTTGAGTAGCTGGGACTACAGGCCCATGCCACCACCATGCCTGGCTAATTCTTTTTAAAATTTTTTGTAGAGACGGGCCCTCAATATGTTGCCTAGGCTCATCCAACGCATGTACTCAAGCCATCCTCTTACCTCAGCTCCTGAAGTGCTGGGATTAAAGGTGTGAGCCATCACACCCAGCCTATTTTTTTTTTTTTATTTAAAGAAAATACTTGAAAATAATTTCTGAATTAATGAAGAAATAATAATGGAAATGAGAAAATATTTCAAACTGAACAACTGCAAGGAATGTAGGAATTGTGAGGAATACTCATTATCAAAGGGGTCAGTTTCTTAATATTTAGGTTGGTGCAAAAGTAATTGCAGTTTTTGCCTTTTTTTTTTTTTTTTAAAAACGGCAATTACTTTTGCACCAGCCTATCTAACTTAAATGTAATTATCTAAGGATTAACTAAAAACTGTCCAAGAACCATCCAAGAGTGGATCCTTATGCAATTTATATGGAAAGTAAAAGGATAAGAATTGCCAATTTTTTTCCTATTCAACAGCATTAATTTAATTTAATGGGTGATGTTTTGCTGAACTAAATCATTCCTTACTATGAATATGGTACCATGTGTGCTTTTTTCCCCTTACTTTTAAATTTTGATACAGAAATAAATACTATAAGGAACTCCTAAATACACTTTAGTCAACATTGCCGGTTGTTTACATTTCACCCTGTGTTTTATTCTCTTTCTGCTCTCTTTCTGTCTGTGTACACATGCATTTGTGTGTATAAAAATACAAATATATTTGGAACCATTAAGAGTAAGTTGGAGACATTGTTCTTCTAGTGTCTAAAAACAAGAATATTCTTTTCTTTTTTGAGACAGAGTCTTGCTCTGTCGCCCAGGCTGGAGTGCAGTGGTGCAATCTCGGCTGACTGCAAGCTCCACCTCCCGGGTTCTCACCATTCTTCTGCCTCAGCTTGCCGAGTAGCTGGGACTACAGGTGCTCACCACCGCATACGGCTAATTGTTTGTATTTTTAGTAGAGATGGGGTTTCACCATGTTAGCCAGGATGGTCTTGATCTCCTGACTTCGTGATCTGCCTGCCTCGGCCTCCGAAAGTCCTGGGATTACAGGCGCAAGCCAAGAACGTTCTCTTATATAACCTGACTACATTTATTAAAACCAAGAAATTTAATACTGAGAAAATATTATCTAATTCATAATACATATTCAAATGTAGCCAGCTGTCCTACTGATGTCCTTTATACTATTTTTCCCCAGGACCACCAGGATCACACATTGAATTGAGTTGTCACATCCATTTGACCTGGAACAGATCTGGAAGTTTGATTTATTTCTTGACCTTATTTTTTGTTGTTCCTGTTTTTCTTTGTTTTTTTTTTTTGTTTGTTTGTTTTTTTTTTTTTAAAGAAGGGGTCATTTATTTCATAGAATGCCCTTCAGTTTGTGTTTCTCTGTTTGATGTTCCCTCATGGTTTTTTTTTCCTTCATAGTGCACAATGTCAGGAGGTACATTATGTTGGTTTGTTCCAGTATTGATAATGTTAACTTGGCTCACTTGTTTAAGATCGTTTCCAGAAGCTTTTTTCATTATAGAGTCATTAGTTTTTCCCGTTGTAATTACTATGAAATTTGTGGGAAAATATTATATTCCTTGTCAAACTTTTACCCATTAGTTTTGGCATCTGCTGATGATTTTCTAACTACATCATTCCCTCTATATTTACTAGTTGGCTTTGTATTATACGGAAGAGCTTTCTCTTCTGCCCCATTCGTTTGTATCAGGATGGGCTCATCCATTCTTTAATCAATGAGTTATCCATTTTAATCCTTATTTTGTTACGCAGACTGTCCCAGATTTGGCCAGCAGAGGCCACTTTCAGGCTTGCTCCTGTGGCCTCTTTTTTTTTTTTTTTTAAATAAATGAAAAATTATAAATAAAATTATAATTTAACTTACAATATTGAAACAAATACAGACTTTCAGGAGGTTGTTAAATTAATAGTCTTGCATGCCCTTCACCCAGTGATGACATTTTTTTTTTGAGACGGGGTCTTGCTCTGTCACCCAGGCTGGAGTGCAGTGGCACGATCTCAGCTCACTGCAAGCTCCGCCTCCCAGGTTCATGCCGTTCTCCTGCCTCAGCCTCCCAAGCAGCTGGGACTACAGGTGCCCGCCACCACGCCCGGCTAATTTTTTGTATTTTTAGTAGAGACGGGGTTTCACCGTGTTAGCCAGGATGGTCTCGATCTCCTGGCCTTGTGATCCGCCCGCCTTGGCCTCCCAAAGTGCTGGGATTACAGGCTTGAGCCACCACGCCTGGCCCAATGATGACATCTTATTTAGCTGTATATACCCAAACAGTTAGTTGACATTGGTTCATTATTGTTAGCTAGACTAAATATTTTACTTAGTTTTCAACATTTTTTTTAACATTTTAAACCTGCAGTTATTTGTGTGTATATGTATAATTTTATTTAATTTATTCCATACATAGATTTGAGTAGCCACTACCACAATCAAGATACAGACTGTTCCATCAACACAGGAGACCTCTTTGCATTCACATTGTCTACCAATTCTTTCCTACCCTGTCCCTGTGCCCTGAAAATCACTAGTCTATTCTTCATCCTCTATAGTTTTTTTTTTATTTTGAGAATGTTATATAAATGCAATCATATAATATATAACCTTTTAAGGTTGACCTTTTTACTATACATAATGCCTTTGAGGTCTATCCAGGTTGTTGCATCTTTTTCTTTTTCATTGCTGAGTAGCATTCCACTGTATAGAAGTACCTGATTTCATTCAACCGTTTACACTTTGAAGGGTATTTGGGTTATTTCCGGTAGTTTTCTATTACCAACAAGCTGCTACAAACATTTGCAAGGTTTGTGTGACTGTAAGTCCTCCCTTTGTCCTTTTGATATGCCCATATTTTTATTTGAGCAAGCCTTTTACATTTTGTGCAACAAGATATTCCAGGATTATCTTCAGTTTTCCTTGTCACAGTTCGGCAATCCACCTTTTCTCCAAAGGACCCTGGCTTCTTTTTGTGGAAAACAATATTTATTAATAGGTACCAAGATAGACATACTACTTAATGCATATTGCTAATCTTGTGTCATTGCTTCCAGGCCTTTTCAACAAACAGAACCAAGAAGTATGTGTGTGTGTATGTGTATGTATATGTTTGTACACGTACATAAAAACACACCTATATTTATGTCTGTTTTTTTTTTTGTTTGTTTGTTTTGGGACAGAGTCTCGTTCTGTTGCCTAGGCTGGAGTGCAGTGGCGTGATCTCAGCTCACTGCAACCTCCGCCTCCCGGGTTCAGGCGATTCTCCTGTCTCGGCCCCCCGAGTAGCTGGGATTACAGGCACGTGCCACCATGCCTGGCTACTTTTTTGTATTTTTAGTAGAGATGGTGTTTCTCCATGTTAGCCAGGCTGGTCTCAAACTCTTGACCTCAGGTGATCCGCCTGCTTCAGCCTCCCAAAGTGCTGGGATTACAGGCGTGAGCCACTGCACCTGGCCTTCTATCTGTGTTTTTAAAAATCTCCAAATTTATACTGATAACTCTAATTCCACTTGAGTTCTTCAAGGTTCATTCTAGCTTTACCACTTTCTATGTTTATAATTTTCTTATTCAACATTTACATAAATGGTTTTTATTAGCTTCAATATAGTTATTCCTTTCGTTACCAAAACACCAGGGGTTTGGTCAAGGTCCTGCTGCGCAGACAGCCAATCACTGAGAAGTATTGCCAAAGAAGAAGGGTTTAATTGGGTGCTGCAGCTGAGGAGATAGGATCTCAGTCTCAAATCTATCTCCCTGACTGACTAAAACCAGGGGTTTATATGGCAGGGAAGAAACGTAACAATGTGTAAGAAAACAAGAACTAGGGAGGGGCAAGGAAGCAGTCATGATGAATACGTGGTAAGAGTCTCATTGTCTGGATGTGGTGATCTGGTGAGTTGCAGTTCTTCGATACATTTTTTTGAGAGGTCCCAAGGTCCCTTCCTGAGGAAAAACTCCTAAGTTTTAAGCTTTAAGACCAGAAAGGTCAATTTCTGTGTTTATCCAAAAGAACAGTCTATGGGACTGTTGGGTCAGTTTCAGTCTTCCCTTTCTATTTATCAGTTCCTCAATCATGAGGAATCCAGTCATTGGTCTTTCTGGCTGCTTCATGCTGAGGAAGGGTGTCATAGGCAGCTCCATACCATAGGTGACCATGTAGCCACCCAGGAATCAAAGTTTCATCTAATAGAGAGTTTCTTCTGACACATAATATTTCTCTCTCTGGTGTACCACTTCCACCAAAGACAAATCACAGCAGGATCTACCTGCAAAATAAGCTTCTACCAATCTACCTGCAAAATAATCTTCAGTCCCATATACTTGGCCTGATTACCCACACACAGTGCGACAAGAATCATTGCCCATAGATTCTTCCAAATTGGCTTTGCTGGAACATTTCACAAGGTCATTTGAGTCAAAGTCCTAGGAAAATAGCCAGTTCCTCTGGCTGTGTCCCATTACAAAAGAAAACAGGTTTTTATTAAATATATGCAAATAAACACATTTTCCATGAATTAAGAATATTCACAGTTTCCAAATTCTGGAGAAATTAGGCAGAGAGAGAAATATGCCTCAAATTCTACTTATTAAAGTATCCTCTACTCAATACACTTAAAGTATATATCAAGGCTATATATAGCTCAAAAGGAACATATTCTCCAGACTCTGAAAAACAAAAAACAAACAAAAGAATCATCAATATTTCAAACAAAAAAAGCCATAAAAATTATTTCAGTCTTCATTATTTCAGTCCATGCAATGAACTCCTGCTCTGCTTCATATTGGGTTAGCAATCTTTATAAACACATCAGCTCTTTAATTAGAGTCCTGAAAGGTCTCTCTAATCCAGGGGCACAAACTGCAAAGTTTTTAGAAACCTGCATTAAAGAATCCTTTTCATGAACTCCTCCAAAGAAGCAAGCCCTGGACCATAGGTGATTATAAGTCACTTTTTGAGGAGATTAAAAGCAATATATCAATTGTGGATGTTGAAAGTCATAAGACAGTCATAAAGACACAGTTGATAAGGATATTTGGTTACTTGTGTGGCATACAACAATTTAACATAATCATAATTACTACTGACAACATATATTAAGACACATCAGAATTTCAGGAATGTCGTAGAATCCTGGAATGCATATTAACAACATATCTAAATAAATATAACCCAAAGACAGTTAAATACTACCTCACATTTGATAATGCTTCCTGTATAATTCTAACATAACAAGCCTAATAAGCCTGATATATCTCTCTTGGATGTCAGGGAACCTAATATCCAAAAAAAATAGTTTGAGGTCAAAAAGACTGAATTTCGATCTTGAAATTTTGCTTATAGAAAGTTTGCCAAATATCAAAGTTTTAAGACACTTGTTATCACAAAATAGAATCACAAAGTCACTGTAAAATGTCATTCATTTAGCCAAAATTATACAAAAACATTTACTTTTTCATAGAGAGGAGACTAATTTTCCTAAGCAATAAGATGTAATAAAGATAGCATGCCAACTAAACCTGTCTGGCCCCCCCCACTCCATTTTCTCTTTGCAACTTACTCAGAAGGCAAACAAAATCTTTTATCTCTTAATATTACACAAACATTTTGTTCAAAAGCAAAAACCAAAATTTTCCTTTATATATTATTAAAGTTAATAAAACTATATAAACAAATCTATCTAATTTTAATCAGTTTGACCATAAGGTAAGATTTCCATAAACTTTTAATAACTGGCCCCAATTTTCTTTTTAAAGAGCATATCAGTGCTCCAAGAAAACCATGTTCTTCTAACACATAGACCCAGATGCTGGCCTTGCATCAGTGTGCTTTTGGTATTAATGTTTAATTTATAGAAAAACTCTGATCTTATCCCTCAAAATCGGCCTTTACAGTCTTACATGGCTACCTCTTCCGCAGTGATCCCTGGGCCTAGAGGGATTGAATCGTTTTAACTTCTGGCCCTGTGTCTCATAAAAGCAGTTCATTATGAGTGTTCATCTTCAAACCAGTGCGACACCTGCACATATTCTGTTTACAAGTACAGATGAAAGCCCATCATTGATAAACTTCTTGGGATCAAAAGTCACTAGAAAGTCTCTCTTTTTTTTTTTTAACTACTTAATTCAAATGAATGTCACTTAATTTTAATAATGGTCCACACAACTAAATTAGTTTGAAGAGAAATCCTAATCAATATAATTTCCTTAATGACAGGGCCCGTCTTTTCTGAACATTAAAACTTTGTACCCACATCACAGTTTTTCTTCATTAAATTATTGATTGAATTGAATTATCTTGGATATAAACATTTAAACATTTTTATTCTCCCCTACTTTTTCCAAATAACAGAATATATAATGTACTGTTCAGAACTTGTCTTTTATTATTATTTTTGTGTGTGTGCCAGAAATCTTAAAGCTCTTGTAGTTCTTTAGATCATCAGAGGTAAGCAAAATCCACCAAATTTTAAATGGCTGGTGTCCTCTATCAATTTTTAAAGGCTTGACCACAGTAGCTTAGGAACTTTAGATAAATAGGGCAAATTGTAGAACCAAACAAAAGCTTTCCATTAGAAACTTAAAAAGTTTACGGTTTTATATATATGTATACACAAGCAAAACCCACAGGAGAACAACAGCAAACAAATGAAAATTAGAAGCAAAAAACAAACAGGAAACCCAGCCCTCAATCTTTCCCCTACTCAGTCTACCCTGGAGGCTACAGTGTTACCCAGAACCTCCCAAAAAAACCACATGATGAATATTTTATTCCTGGTACACAATTCAATAACCTTAAGTCCACCAATATCACCATACATCTTGTGCAATCAAGAAATTCACTCTAGGCCCATGATCAGTAAATACTCCAGCAGTATCCATGCAAAACAGCTAACATAGTGTGAAGCAATGTAAGCATGTATGTGAAATATGGGTCCACACTAGATCTGGCTTCATGCTTAACTATTAAGAATTGCTAAATTGCTGATGCATTTCTTTACAGTATTTCTTATTTTACCTTCATCAAGACTAAGAGCTTTAACTATGAAATGTTAATTAGCCAAATTTCTCTCATTCTCAGGTTTTAAAGAATCTATTGTCTAAACTCTTCTGTGTTCTGTTTTCTCTTTTTGTGCATGAAGATAGACTATACACTGGAAAACCAGAAAAGCTACATATGACTTACACAGACCATCCATGACATGCCTGGGCTTTCCAATCAGTACCAGATTTTTTTCCTCTTCCTCCTCCTCCTTCTCCTGGGCTTTCCGATCAGTCCCAGATTTTCCTCCTCCTCCTCCTCCTCCTCCTCCTCCCCCCGCTCCCCTTCCCCCCTCCTCCTCCGCCCCTCCTCCTCCACCTCTCCTCCTCCCCCTCCTCCTCCTTCTCCCTCCTCCTTCTCCCTCTCCCTTCTTCTTTCTTATTTGTTTAAATAACATCATTTTACTCCAGGACAGCAAGATCTTTTCACATACAAAATTATTATCTTTATAACCTTCCTTACCAAAAATACATGATCATCATATACATAATTTTTTTCATACCTTTCTCCCCCACTTGTTTCCTTACTACCTTGTTTCATAAAAAACTTTTTCAAGCCCATAATTTGAATTAACTTTTAGATAACTTCTGAATTAAACAAAATTATTATTTTTCTCATAACATTTTTTGGGGCACATTTTTTAAACAGAATTATATCTTATCCTTAGTAACCTTAAATGTTAGTGAAACCCTAGAAAGCAGTCCTGAACTATATTAGCATTTTATAGATGAGAACAGTTCCACAATTTTTAGAAACGTATTTCCCTATATCACAACCCTTTCTTAACTGGAAATGACCCAGATATCCAATGAGCATCAAAAATAATTTCAAAATTTTAAATTACACAAGAAGTTTACCTAAAACATTTATCCCAATTACAAGTATTCAGTTCTTTCATTTTAAACAGTTTATCTAGATTACTTCTGAAAACATATATTAGATGCCATCATTTAAAGTTATTTCCTTATTAACCATTTTATAATCTATGAATATCAGTCATTCACTGAAATAAGAACTTTAAAGTTAACTACATAGGCATTTTCACCAATAACTATTTTCATTAAACCAATAACTTAATTACTCTTTTCAAAAAATTTGCACAAAGATCATTTTGTTTTGGCTGGGTTTATAGTTTTATAACCTTCTATGCCAAACCCTGACACCTCAAAATACCTACCAGAGACAAATATAAAATCCAGGCAAAAATGTATGCTGACAATTCTGAGGACGTTGCTATTTTCATTTTACTAACTATTTTAAAGCTAGCTTGTTTAGTAAAGATTTACTTAACTCACATGAACTTAAAAATTGCTTGGACTTAATTTATGAGTGCTCTTTTACTTATAAGCCAATTTGGTAGACACAACATATAACAATAAGTGTTCATACAAATAAACACATCTAGACATGTATGTATACACACACACAAATGAAAATCCAGTAGTGTTTACCTTGGAACTCTAGCCATGAGATAGCAATACAAACTCACTGATTTTACATGGTTACACTTTGTTTACTCCAATAGGTAATTCACTGAAAGCTGTGAACCAAAACTTTGGGTAAAGCAGTTTTCAGGGCAGTTTGATTTTCTAAAGGCCAAACCTCCCCAGACTCCAAAGAACACTGGGGCCAAACATCAGCAAAGGAGAACATCACATACTAACCAGGCTCAACCCTGCTTAGCGTAGCAGCACAAAAGTCTGGGTAACACACAACTCCATCCCACTTTTTCATTCAGCAGCAAACCCCAGATTCCAAACAACACTGGGACCAAACAGTATTGCAAAAGTGTATCATTTTACCAAATTCTAATTTCTCATGACTATATGAAACACAATCACCCAAACACAATCCAGCTGCTACAGCAACAAACAAGCCCCAAAAGTGTCCAAACTGACACACTTGAGGTGCTTCCTCTCTCCATTAGTTGGGCTTGGTCAACTGCAAACAAAAATTCCTTAGGAATTTCCCAAATTGAGAGGAGCTGATCCAACTGTCCGGTACCCACAAAGGACGCTCACTTGCCCGGACACAACACGCAATTACAGAAAAACCTCCAAGAATGTTCTTACTGAAACAGTTAGGGTGCTTCCCTCTCTCAGTCATTTGGGCTTGTTCAATCTACAAATGAAAATTCTTTAAAGATTTCCCAAAATGAGAGGAGCAAATCCTTATGTCTAGGCCCATAAGGGACACTTACCTATATCGATGCAATGTCAAGTTTCAAAGGCAGTTCTAATGAGGCAATCAGGAATGTGGTTGGGGCCGGCTGTGGTGGGGCCAGAGAGAGACTGACACTCACCTTCAGCCAAAACTGGGTGGGCAGCTGCTTAGGATGGCTTCTGAGACTCCCTGCCCACATCAGCTGAGTCACAAGCAACATGTTCCCTGTCAACTAACCAAAATCTGTTACGGAATCACTAGGGGTTTGGTCTAGGTCCTGCTGCTCGCCACACAGAAAGCCAATTACTGAGACAAGTATTGCCAAGGAAGAAGGCTTTAATCGGGTGCTGCAGCTGAGGAGATCGGAGCTCAGTCTCAAATCCATCTCCCTGACTGGCTAAAACTCGGGGTTTATATAGCAAGGAAAAAAATGTAACAATGTGTAAGAAAATAGGAACTAGGGAGGGTCAAGGAAGCAATCATGATGAATGAGAGGTCCAGAGTCTAGTCTCATTGTCTGGATGTGGTGATCTGGTGAGTTTCAGTTCTTTGACACATTTTTTTGAGAGCCATGAAGGTCCCTTCCTGAGGAAGGAACTGAGATAAAACAAATGTAAGCTTCAAGCTTTAAGACCAGAAAGATCAATTTCACTGTTTATCCAAAAGAATAGTCTGTGGGACTATTGGGTTGGTTTCAATTTGCTCATATATTTTTGTTGTTCTTTCCTACCCATAGATGAAGATTTACCAACATTGGCACTATTGACATTTTAGGGTAGGTTGATTTTTTTGTTGTTGTTATGGGAGGCTGTCCTGTGCTTGGTCGGATGTTTAACAGGATGTTTATCCAGTAGCATTCAGGTGCCAGTAGCAACCTCCATTTGTGACAAACAAAAATGCCTCCAGACATTTCCTGATGTCCCCTGTGGGACAAAACTGCCCCTTCTTGACATTTACTACTTTAGATTCAGATTTCCACGTTACATCCCTTGAGCCTGAAGAACTTTCTGTAGCATTTCTCTTAGCACAGGTCTGCTAGTGATGAATATTGTTTCCATTATTCTGCAAATATCTTTATTCTGTCCTTCTTTTGAAGTATATTTTCACTGGATATAGAATCTTGGCTTGATATATTTTTCTTTCATCACTTTTTTCCTGTCCCATTCTCCTTTTCTTCCAGTTTCACATTAGACTTCTTGATATTGTCCAAGAGGTCACTGAGGTGCAGTTTCTTTTTTCTTTTTTTTTCTTCCTGCAGATTGGATAATTTCTCTTTGTCTTCAGGTTCACTGACCCATCACCAGTCTGCTGTTAAGTTCATCCAGTGAATTTTTTATTTCAGATATTATACTTTTTAGTTCTGGATTTTCCATGTTGTTCCCTTGTTTTATTCTCTGCTTAGATTACCTGTGTGTTCATTTATTATGACCATATTTTCTCTTAAATCCTTAAACATGTTTTAAAAAGTTTATAATAGTCTTCTGATTATTCTAAATTTGGGTTACTGTGGGTTTGGTTTCAGTTGACTGTTTCTTCTCTTTACTAGTGGTTACATTTCCCCGTTTCATTACGGATCTAGTAAGTTTGACTCATACACTGTGCATTTTGGGAGCTATGGTGTAAAGACTGAATTCTGTTATCTTCCTCTGAAAGAATATTGACTTTTGGTATTAAGGGTACTTAACTTAGCTGGGCTCCAAACTTTTTCTCCTGTGTTGGGCAGCAGCTGAAATTGCTTGCTTCTTTCAACCCTGTATCTTTTCAGGAGCTGCAAGGAGAATGTTGTGGTTAGATTGGAGTGAGGAAGGGGTAGGGTACTGAAAGGTGAAGTCAGAGAGGTGACCTTTGTTAAGAGCCATTTTGGTAGAGTGCTGGGAGTAAAAGCCTGATTAGAGTGGGTATAAGAGAGAATGGCAGGAAAAAAATTTGGTACAAGGAGTTTAAGCACAGGGGTTGGCATTTAATAAGTATTTTAGGCTTTATGGATCACATATAGTTTTTGATGCTGCTGTTTTGCTTCTTCTTCTTCTCTTTCTTTTCCCCTTTTGACTTCATAATCCTTTAAAAGTGTAAAATCCATTCTTAGCTTACAGGCCATTTGAAAACAGGCACAAGTTGGGCTCAGTTGCTCACACTTTTAATCTCAGCATTTTGAGAGGCTGAGGCGGGTGGATTACTTGAGGTCAGCAATTCGAGACCAGCCTGGCCAACATGGCAAAACCCTATCTCTACTAAAACTACAAAAATTAGCTGGGTGTTGTGGTGCATGCCTGTATTCCCAGCTACTCGGAAGGCTGAGGCATGAGAATTGCTTGAGCCTGGGAGGTGGAGGTTGAAGTGAGCTGAGAGCATGCCACTGCACTCTAGTCTGGGTGTGAGAACGAGACCCTGTCTCAAAAAAATAAAAAATAAAAACAAGCACAGGCCGAATCTGGCCATAGTTTGCTCACCCCTCTATTTCTTTTTTTTCCCCAGAAACCCTTGTTCTGAGACCCCTCTTTTAATTAGACAAATCTTCAAGGAGTTGCTATGTAGTAAAGAGTAAGGGGGAGATAGGAGTTAAAAGATTTTTTTTTCTTTTTATTAAGGTGAGGAAATAAAACTGTTTTAGCAAGTCGGCAAGATTTAGCCAATAGAAAGGTAAGGGGTGGGGGGAGGCAGATTTATAATGTAGGGGAGACAGAATTGCTGGAACATTATTTTTGAGTAGAGGAGAGGGGATGGGATATGGGGCCCAAGTGATGGGGTTAGCTACGAACAAGGATAGTTAATTTTTGACAATTTTTAAATAATTTAAAATATTTTTGAGGTTTTCTTTTTCTTTATGTAGTGCATAGCATGGATGTAGACCCAATAACTTTGATGGGGCAGTTTTAATTCCCAAATATTCTTTTTTAAAGAACAGTTTGAATTCATAGTGAACATAAATTGAAATATTTTCATTAAGTAACAAAATTAAAATGTGTCTTTTCCCTAAATGAAAGACCATTTGACTATTTGATACTTTATTGTATCTGTCTTGAAATTAAGGTCATTTTTCTCTTTTTCCCTTCAAAGTATTGTGTATGGATGCAAAGATCAATTTTGACTCTAATTCAGCCTATCGCCAAAAGAAAATCTTTGATCTACAGGACTGGACCCAGGAAGATGAAAGGGACAAAGATGCTGCTAAGGCAAATCTCAACTACATTGGCCTCGATGGAAATATAGGCTGCCTAGGTACCATGTGTTTTTATGTTAGAATTGGATTCACTAAGTTTAATTTGGATTTACTAAGTTTAATTTATTTTCTCTGTGTTTGTTGCTTATACAAATCATTTTCCCCTATATAGTAAATGGTGCTGGTTTGGCTATGGCCACAATGGATATAATAAAACTTCATGGAGGGACTCCAGCCAACTTCCTTGATGTTGGTGGTGGTGCTACAGTCCATCAAGTAACAGAAGCATTTAAGCTTATCACTTCAGATAAAAAGGTAAGGGCAGGGCTTGATATATTTTTATATCATGTAAATATATAAAATAAATACTTATAAAAATGTATATTTTTATGTTTTAGAATTTAGAATTCATATATATGTCTTTTAATATATATTTTGAGTCTTTTTTTGCTATCATATCTTGAAGATTTTTGCAATTCACCAAGAGACTCTTCTGAAACACTCATTTTAATGTTTGTGTAATCTGTCATTATAGATGTGCCATAATTTAGAACTATGTGTTTATTAATGATTATCAAAGTATAAGGGATGTGAAGTATCATAATTCAAAAGACATATATATTATTAATCACTAGATATTTGTTAAGGAGTGTATCTATTGTGTGGCCAGTGTAGATTTTGTAAGGCTTACAAAAAAGATAATAATCTCTGTGGAACTATTCTTACTGGATTTAAACCGAGAATTCTTCACTGATAGGGATGATATCTTACTAATTGTTGCTTCTCGTAGTGTCTGGTATAATGCCCAGTACATATGTAGGTCATTAATCAATATTTATTATTGATGATGCTGCTGGCAATGTATATTTTTATTTGTGGTGTTAGACCGTAGAATTGTTTAAAATATAAATTTATTTCAATGCCTTTTCCTTTGAGCCTACAGCCTTATTTTCCATATTTATTAATTTTGCAAGGAGGATTAAACTAAATGAGATGTAAAATGTGCATTATTTCCCTTGTTTAGTAATTACTAAAACAAGTAAACATTTTATTAGAACTATATTTCTATAGCTTCTTTTGACAAACTCGAGAAGCAGAGTATTAAAGACAATCTAATTATCTAACTGTTGAGTACTTACTACTAGAATTGAGTTGAGTACTTACAACTAGAATTAGAATTCTAGTTGTTTATTTTTCTAAGCATGGCTTTTAGGGCCCAGGTGCAAGAATGGAGAAAAGTATATGAAGAGTTACAGTGTAGGGGACTGACATGATGGGCGTCAGAGTTGGAAACAGAATGGTAACCCAGGGTGTCAATGTGGATAGCATTGAAGTGGCCATATATTTTGTGATGGTCACTGTGCTTGGACTTGGAAATACATGGGCCCTTCTCTTAAGTTACTTATAGTTTTACTGGGGTGATTGACACAAAGTAGTGCTGTGGAAGAACAGAGGACAGAGGCAAAAACTGGGAGAATCAGGGTGGCCTTCACTGAATGGATGATACCTTAAGCTGTCTTGAAAATTAAATGAGGGCAAGAGGAAGAAAATGTACAAAGACATAGAATCCAGAGAGGGCCATTATGTTCATGGGGTGGTAAGATGCTTATGTGTAAGAATATGGCATTATTGGGATAAATGATAAGAGATAATGTTGGCAAATTGTGACCACATTTGTGAAGATCCCTATTATCTATAGTTAAGGAGTTTGGATTTTAACTCCCTACCCCAGCACATACACAAGAGAATTCATAATGAATTCTCTTGTGGAAGAGATCCCTGACAAAGGCAATATCAGTAAGAATAAATTAGAGGCATTTCTGAGATAGGGTCATTAAATTCATTTTTTTTCTTCTTTTCTGGGAGCCTCATAGAAGGGTTGGTTAAGTTAACATTAGGACTTTGGGCTGGGGAGAATCATTGGGTGGTGATGACTTTCATGCTGTCAGAGGCAAAGTCGAGGAATAGGTATTTCAGAATGAATGTCAAGTTTGGATTGTGGTGACTATATCTAGTAGACAGTTCATTGAAAAGATATTGTACTTCCTATATTGGAGAAAAGTTGAAGTCTTAGGAGTTGGTGAGGTGATCTGTGCAAGTGAGATGAGGAACCAAGAATGGAACCTGGCCCCTCCATTTTTGTTGAA
The DNA here is from genome assembly GCF_000001405.40 of Homo sapiens. Taxonomy (NCBI): domain Eukaryota; kingdom Metazoa; phylum Chordata; class Mammalia; order Primates; family Hominidae; genus Homo; species Homo sapiens. The sequence goes on along the minus strand of NC_000013.11, from coordinate 47,952,307 downwards.
GGGTTGAATAGAGAAGGAAAACCCAAATGAAAAACAGAGAACAAATGACAGAGATAAGAACAGATCGGGAGAGAGTGGTGACATCGAAGGACCAAGGTGAAGAGTTTTGAGAAGTAAGGCATTGGGAAACAATGTCAAATGTTGTAGGACTATTCAGACAGAGTAAGAACTGAAAGAGGTGAGTGGGAACCTTCGTAAGAATAGTAGAAGAGATGGGGGCATAGGCCAGATTGTAATGGATTGATTTGATGAGGAATTGAGGGAATAGAGATATCCAGGAGAGATTACTCTTCCAGGACTTTTTTTTTTTTTTTTTTTACAAAGGCATGGAAGGGATGCAGTGCTATCAGTCAAAGGCAGTAGGACTGAGGAGAGTTTTGTGGTGTATGTTTTCTTGCTTGTTTAGAAGATCAAGAAGATGAGCTCTTTCTAGTTGGAGGAAGAGAAGAGATTTGAAAATAAAGAGAGTGAATGTAGCTAGAGGGGTGAAGACCTGGAGGAAATACTATGTAGTAAATAGATGGAGATAATTATCTGGCCAGGTCAGCTTTGGAAAGGTGGTTACTCCTTTCTTGAGGTGCCACTAAAGAAAGGAAGGTTGTATGCTAAAAGTTAGAGAGCTTGCATGGGATAGAAGGCTTATGAAGAGAGTTAAAGGTATGAGGCTGACTGCTAAGTTGAGGATTGCTGATGAATTATTATTTTATTGCTCTTCAGGTTATGCTAGTGTTTCCAGTTTTGTTTTCAGTTTTTACTTTTTTACTTTTCCCTGAATAAGCTATGGCTGGAATCATCCAAAGATGCATTGTTTGAAGTAGGATGGCAGAGGAATAGGTATGACAGAATTGAGCATGCAGGTGGCAGTGACACTGAATTGCTTAGCCATATGTCCCAGGCTCTATAGTGAAGAAAGTCAGTTCCATTGAGAGCTAATAGAGTAGAAGATTAGAGAGGGATTGAGGGACTAGAGGCTTTTTCTTGGGAGCGGGGGCGGGGTGGCGGACTAGAGGCTTTTAAGAAGAAAAGATTGTGTTTGATAGAGCTAGAGGAGAAAGGCATTAAAGTGAAAGGGGAAGGAGGTTGAGCGGAGAATGAGATTTATACATTTAATATTCTAGAGACACTCATTCTGGCCTAGTCCAGGATTTATCCATGGTAGTAATTCGTTTAAATTGACTACAGGTGAAAGTGGCTTGGTAGAGTAAAGATCCAAGAACTTTAAGGCTGGAGTGTTAGATGGTGCCTGGTGGTGAATATGGAAACTCTCCAGAATGAGGTGAGAGGGAGAGAGATGAGAGATGCCAAAGGCTGCTATGAGTTCTAGTCTGTTATGAATTCCAGAGCTTCATTTCTTAAAGGTCTGGGAATAATAGTGGTAAGGTAAAGAATGTATAGTATAGCTCAGTGTGTCTCACCCCTTTTCATGTCATGGCATTCACAGAAGGTATTTCAGTGGGGCCTTGGAGGTAGATGGAGAAGATTGCTTGTAGTCAGAGTCCACTGGCCCTGAGGCTCCTGCTGCCCCAGAACATTACTAGCTGCCCCAAGAATTGAGGGGAATGATATTTTGGTGTATCTACAATGCATTTTAATCTCATTGTTTGAGAAGCCCTGGTATAGCTGAGTGAACTAAACCTCTTTTTTTTAAAAAAGAGAGATTATTTGGAAAGGATAGGAGAACACTGATTCAGAACTATCATTGTGATGTTGAAAGAATGCTGACCCAAACAGGTCCTGAGATTTGGATGTGAAATGTACCCAAGAGAGGGCCATACAGGAGAAGCTGGGTGATTCTTAGGGCCTGGTTTGTGTAAAACGTTGATTACATTGATGGGGATTGTTTTGCAGTGAGCAGGTCTATGCATATGTACCCCCAGAGGCCAGGGGATCTGAGAGGCCAGAGAAAGAGGCTGGCAAATCCAGTTCTCAGAAAGAAACTAAATTTATATAGGGACTTAGAAACAGAAGCTATGGCTTGGGTGGCTGCGAGATGGTGGATCCCCACACTAGCCCTCCAGAAATTATCCTTTATGTAGTGAGCTTTTTTTCTTGGTAACACTTGCACAGCTGGTCACATCTCAGACCCTCTTGTCAAACTTGTGACCATTGAGGAAGTTAGGTAAACATCTTTATGAGTTGTCATTTATGCTACAGGCATTGTTTCTTTATAAGGGTTATCTATGTTACAGGCAGTATTTCTTGACCTTGCTGCAGAAGGCCTTGCTCTGCAGGAGTCAAACATTAGTCATTATGACAGTTTTGCTTCAGGATGGTGTTACTCTTGCCACACAACACGCCCTTTTCCTACAGGGATAAATGAGGAAATGATAGGTGACAAACACTAAATTGGAGATCTTGCACATGAGACTATCTTACAGTATGATCTGGGGGTAGTCACGTTGGTGAATGGCCAAATTTAACAAGAGAAAGTAAATGGAATTAGATGGTCTTGTTCATATGGGATATAGTAGAGAAGGAAATGTGAACTAGGTGTTGAAATTACCCAAGGAGATGGAAATAAGTTCTGGTGGGCAGTGGACTACATAGACTTCAATAAAGAGAGCTAGAAGAGGGTATTGTGGTTTGGTCTGAAAATCTTTCTATCAAGTTAATGTTTATCATGAAGCACATATACTAGTATTTTTTGGGGAAAAGAACTTAAATTTCTTTTAAATTTTAATCTATCAGAACACTTTATTCATAGGTACTGGCTATTCTGGTCAACATTTTTGGAGGAATCATGCGCTGTGATGTTATTGCACAGGGTATAGTCATGGCAGTAAAAGACTTGGAAATTAAAATACCTGTTGTGGTACGGTTACAAGGTGAGTATAAAAGGTATCTTGCAGTTGTTCCTAATTCTTTAAAAGTTCACATTTCCATGGAGTTCAGTTTGTTAAAACATAGTTTTTAAATAGCTGTGTCTTTGAAAGCATTATACAATATGAAATTAAAACTATAGTTTTTAAAACATTTTAACATTGGGGCAAAATGTTTATACTTTTGCTTGGTATAATTTGATACACTTTTTATTTGTTGTGATTTGTCTTGAATTCTGACTTGCCTGAATTACTAAGCAAGTCAGAATTATTGTAAGGCAAAATATTTTATAAGATAACCTGGGCTTTTACAGTGTTTTCTTTGGTTTAGAAGTGTTTATACTAAATAATGGAAGTCTCCTCTGTTGAGGTTTTATTCTTATACCATGTTTTGGCAAACATTTTAAAATGCTTTTGTGTGTGTATTTAAAACATTTATATTTGCATAAATCATTTACAGGTACACGAGTCGATGATGCTAAGGCACTGATAGCGGACAGTGGACTTAAAATACTTGCTTGTGATGACTTGGATGAAGCTGCTAGAATGGTAAATTGGCCATGTTCATCTAAGGAGGATTTATAAACACAGATTCTAAAATGAACCTAATTATTAATACAGCTAATAATTTGTGTTTCAGCTAAATATTATGAGTGTAATGAATGGTTAAAGAAAACGATTATTCATGACTCTTGCTGAAAGATGTTAAGGCAGACTTTATTCAGAGGGACTGTTGCAATAAGCATAGAGACTACTGCAGTGGAGTTTTGCAGTAGGGGAGAAAGATTGGGCCCAACTCCAAATACAGCAAGGAAAAGTGGGAATTTATAACCAAGGAAGAGGGTCGGGGCAGTGGATGAAAAATTACTAAAAGGATACATTATGGGTAAGGGAGGATCCTGGCTAAACTGACTTAAGCAAGATTCTTGGTAAAATTGGACTATGCAGGGACAAATACAGAAGTCCAAAAGTTAGGGCCAAGTTGAGAAGAGAGTTCAGAGTAGCCTTTGGGAGGCTGAGGCAGGAGGATTGCTTGAGTCCAGGAGTTTGAGACTAGCCTGGGCAACATAGGGAGACCCTATCTTCACACATGTGCGCACACACACATGCACGCACACACACATGCACGCATATGTATGTATGTGTGTGTATCTATCTATATATTCGATAAATATATATTGAAAAAACAAAAGAGAGTTTGGTCAAGGAGAGAATCTTTGTCAGAACGTCTTATATCTGTGATCATCTTAAACAACGGTCAGCTCCTGCCCAATCTTGTTTGTTGTTTTGTCTGTATTCTTACTTCCTCCCACAACTGTGATTATTTTCAAGCAAATCCCAGACATTATATCATTTCATACATTTCATCATGCATCTGTAAAAGATAAAGGTATTGATAATGGTATAAAAAAATTACTGTTACTTGTTTTAGGTGGGGTAATGGTATTATGGTTATGTTTTATAAAAATACAGTCTGTTGAAATTTCTGAGTCTCTTATATCTTTTGTTTAAGTTCTTTGTAAGGGTCAGAATAAGTCTCTGCATTGTAGTTGGTTAATATGTCAGTAAGTTTCTTAATCTGTTGGTTTCCCCTTTTAAAAAGAAAAGTATTTTCTGTGGTTTATTTGTTGAAAAATCCAGGTTGATGGTCTTGTTAAGTTTCTCATAGTCTGGATTTTAATGGTTGCATCTTTAGGCTGTCATTCATTTACTGTGTTCTCTGCCCTCTCTGTGTTCTCTGCCTTGTGTATTTCCTGTAAACTGGGAGTTCAGTCTGTAGGCTTGACCATATTCATATTTGATTTTGGGGAGCAGGGAACAAGAATATTTCATAGTAGGTGTTTAATTTCATCAAAACGTATACAATGTTAATCTTTTTGTGGTATTACTAGCCATTGACATCATAGCTTAGATCCAGTATTTTGTTTGTGTTGCAAAGCGTTGCTATTGTAATTCTGTCATTCTTCACTTATTATATGTAATGCTTCTAAAAAGTAATACTTCCACGTGTCAACCATTTGTTACCATGGAGTACATTTTGCATAGGAAAAGTAGGATAATTACCTGATTATTTGCCTTTATTGACCAATTTTCAAAATAATGTTTGTTCTATTATGTCCAATAAAGGTGACCTAGGGTTTTTTTTGTTTTTTGTTTTTTTTGTATTTTGTTTACTTTTTGTTTTCAGGTGTGTGTGTGTGTGTGTGTGTGTGTATTGTGCGTGTGTGCATACACATGCATACACATGTGTGTTCCACTGGCATACTGTTTTGAACTTATGACTTAAAACATTGATGTAGTTCAGTTCATGTAAGTTGTGATTGAAATTGTCCAACCTTTGGTCTTTGGGAACCTCTTCAGGTTAACTGTTGCATCCTTCTGAGAAGCCCTCTATCTGGTATGATAAAATGTTTCAGGCTCATCTTTACGTTTCTTGAGTCAGAACTTGAATGGGCCAAATGGTATTTAGAGAGCACAATTTGGCCTTATGAGTATTCATAGATACTGGGTTGATTATTGTTTCTGAGCTTTTTAAGTGGCAAGTCTGAGAAAACATGTATTTTTTAAAGAGGTAATACTTGAGTTCATACTGATATTTTCAATGCAAGTCCAGGAGTATAGATTTTTTTTTCTTATCTGACATCTGTTTGTACCTTCGTTCATGCCATACTATCATAATTATTCATTTGCTTTGTCCCTTAGTACAGATATGACAGTTTTATAATAAGAATACCAACAGTCTGATTACTGAAAGCAATTATATCTGCATTTCTTTCTGTCCTTTAGGGTATGTCCCACAACTTAGTGGATTTTAAAATTCATGTGAAATAATTCTCTGTGTGTTTTGTCTCAGCTTTGTATAGTTTCATTGTTTTTAAAGGGATTGCTTTTTTTAAAAAAAAAAAAACACAACCTTTTGTTTTTTATTTTGTATTTACATGATTCCAAAGTGGAAAGTATAGAACAAGGTATTATCAGGGAATCTAGCTTTTATATATTTCCCTCTTTACTTCTTCCCCAACAGGCAACCTTTTTACCTTTTTTTTTTGTTTGTTTTTTAAGAAAGTTTTGGTTTATCTTTCCACTTCTTAAAAACATAAGCTAATTGTATGTATATAACTATATGTATGTGTGCAGTAGTCCCCCCTTATCTGCAGGGAATGTGTTGCAAGACCCCTAGTGGGTGCCTGAATCACAGATAGTTCCAAACCTGTATATACTGTGCTTCTTCCTGTACATATATTCCTTTGATAAAGTTTATGTATTAGACATAGTAACAGATTAACAACAACTAATAATAAAGTAGAACAATTATAACAATATACCGTGATAAATGTGAATGTGGTCTCTCAAAATATCTTATTGTTCTATACTCACCTTTGTGGTGATAATGAGATGATAAAATGCTTACTTGGTGAGATGAACTGAGGTGAATGATGAAGGCATTGTGACATAGTGTTAGGCTACTACTGACCTAATGATGTAACAGAAGGAGAATCATCTGCTTTGGTTCATCCTGGATCATTGAGCCATGATGTTGATTGTTGGATGTCAAGAGTAGATAATGTTGATGACTAATGGAAGAGTAGTTTATACAGCGTGGATACGCTGGGCAAAGAGATGGTTCACATTCCACTTGGAGCAGGATGGTGCAAGATTTCATCACACTTCTCAGAACAACACACAGTTTAAAACTTAATGACTTTTTTATTTCTGGAATTTCTCATTTAAAATTTTTGGACCACAGTTGACTGCAGGTAACTGAAACTGTAGAAAGTGAAATTGGATAAGGGGGGGACTTTGTGTGTGTGTGTGTGTGTGTGTGTGTGTGTGTGTGTGTGTGTCTCCCTTTTCCCACTTTAGATTAATGGTAATCTATACTTTGTTTCTTTTACTTAACAATAATGTGTATCAGAGAACACTTCATAGTAGATACAGAGAGATGAGAATTTTTTGTCTTCCCTTCCATTATGTTTATAGACATTTCATTGAACACTCGAACACTCTTTGGGCTCTATAGCTTAATCAATAGTAGATTCTTGATTTTTTTTTTTTTTTTTTTTTTGAGACTGAGTCTTGCTCTGTCACCTAGGCTGGAGTACAGTGGCGTGATCTCAGCTCACTGTAACCTTTGCCTCCTGGGTTTAAGCAATTCTTGTGTCTCAGCCTTCTGAGTAGCTGAGACTACAGGTGTGTGCCACCACGCCCAGCTAATTTTTTTTTTTTTTTTTTTTTTTTAAGACAGAGTTTTGGTCTTGTTGCCCAGGCTGGAGTGCAGTGGTGTGATCTCGGCTCACTGCAACCTCCATCTCCCAGGTTCAAGCAATCCTCCTGCCTCAGCCTCCCAAGCAGCTGGGATTACAGGCATGTACCACCATGCCTGGCTAATTATGTATTTTTAGTAGAGATGCGGTTTCACCATGTTGGTCAGGCTGGTCTTGAACCCCTGACTTTGTGATCCACCTGCCTCGGCCTCCCAAAGTGCTGGGATTCAGGTGTGAGCCACTGCGCCCAGCCTTGTATTTTTAGTAGAGATAGGGTTTTGCCATGTTGACCAGGCTGGTCTCGAACTCCAGACCTCATATGATCCTCCCACCTCGGCCTTCCAAAGTGCTGGGATTACAAGCATGAGCCCCCAGGCTTGGCCAGACTCTTGAATTTACCGAGTTAATGTGATGTCATTTCACAAAAATAATAAAAGTCTTATGTCCTTCTTTGGGAAAGTACTTACTAGTAAACAAAATTTAACTCTAGCTTGGAGACAGAAGAATTTAAACTTAAACCTGAATTAAAAATAAAGAATTTGAGCAAGGGAATAGTAGGAGAAAGTATTTCAGAAAGCCTATTTTGACTTTGAGATGTGGGATATATTGAAGGGAAAAGGGGAGAGATAGTAGGAGTCCATCTAGTGCAATACTTAGATATGAGAAAAGGTGAAGGTAATAAATAGGTTATAACTTGTCTCTGAAAGTGCACTTTTTTGGAATGAAAACTTAAATTAAGAAAAGCTTGGAGGACATGAAAAGAAGGAGAAGAACCAGTAGGACCTTGATCAAATAGATCATGAGAGGTAAAAGTGAACAGTTGATTTAAATTATGACTACAGTGTTTTTATTGACTGGGAGATTATAGAAGTCATAACAATAATAATATTGAATGAGATGATGATGATATTAGCAGTTACTACTGTTTATTGAGTGTTTACTGTGCATGCAATGCTAAGCTGTTTTCTTCAAGGATTATCTCATTTAATATGAATTTGGTGATAAAATTTCCATTTTTATAGATGAAGAAACAGGCTAGATAAGTTAACTTATTCAAGGTTGTATGTCATAAGCATCAGAGGGGGGATTTGCAGCCAAAGATATCTAACTTCAAAGCCTTTTCTTAACTAATTTACTGAGGAAGAGAGAAGCTGAGTTTGTTTTTTTGGTCTTAGACATGTCTAAATTTGTATGATGTTTTGTATGGTAACTGGTGGATATTTTTAGACAGATTGTAGAGAGAATTGGAACTCAGGTTAGCAATTGTTAACTTACTGACAAAAAGTAAAATACTAACTAGTAGACCCAAATTTCTATCCCAACATTTTAAGTTAAGATTGTATACTTATTTCAAAACAAATTTTTACTTAGATGTGCTTTGAGTTGTGGAGTATCCAACAAAGACACTCACTGTTTCTGTCTTTAAGATAAAATTTAGAATAATATATATATATATACACACACACACACACACACACATACATACACACACATTTTATACACACATATATAATCTTATGTAATACATATGTGTAATCCTAGCAGGTGGTATAACATCTTAATCAGAAAGTATTTAATTGAAGTTTGGACTATGAGGAGTGTCAGACTTGATTATCCTTTGAGAATGTCATTTGCTTATAAGAACGTAATGTGATTTATAGCAATGTCAGAATAGTCCAGATGTTTTAAATGGAAAAAATTGAGTGTACATTAATTTTGCACTGACCTGTAGTTCTGAATTTACCTTTTTGTGAAAATTCTTCGTTCTTTTCTTTTAGGTTGTAAAGCTCTCTGAAATAGTGACCTTAGCGAAGCAAGCACATGTGGATGTGAAATTTCAGTTGCCAATATGATCTGAAAACCCAGTGGATGGCTGAAGGTGTTAAATGTGCTATAATCATTAAGAATACTGTGTTCTGTGTTATTGTTCTTTTTCTTTTTAGTGTGTGGAGATTGTAATTGCCATCTAGGCACACAAACATTTAAAAGGATTTGGACTGCATTTAATTGTACCATTCAGAATGGACTGTTTGTACGAAGCATGTATAATGCAGTTATCTTCTTTCTTTTGTCGCAGCCAGTCTTTTTTGCTTCTCCTACAAAACGTAACTTGCAATTTGCCAGTTTATTATTGTTGGATACAAAGTTCTTCATTGATAAGAGTCCTATAAATAAGATAAATACGAAGATAAAGCTTTATTCTTTAGTGTTAAAATACAGTATATCTAATAACTAGCCTCATTAGTAGAGCAGTATATTAAAACAATGTTTTATGTAAAAAGTGTTTATCTTCAGCACCAAATACATGATAAATGTATCAATCACTATTTATAAACAGAGCTTTCAAACACTCCTCAGAATATTCTTCTAAGTATTTTGATGAAGTAACTTTGTAATTATTTGAACATTGTTTTAATCATTAGGAAACACTGATTAACTGCAAGTCTTCATGATTCTGTCATATTAAGAAACACCTGTAGGTTTGCTTCAAATAAAGGCATATATACCAAGGACTTACAGACAAAATTAAGAATGTCAATTTAAGTTAATAAAAATCTCCCAATATGATTTGGGTTCATGGCTTTTGTTTGCTTGTTTTGAGGTAAACACAGTAGAAGTTGATTTGTTCGTTATTGCAGTATAGAGGTCTAAGCACCAATTCTTAGATCATATACTTGCCATGACAGTGATTTGTTTTTTTTTTTGAGTCAGGGTCTCACTCTGTCACCCAAGCTGGAGTGCAGTGGTATGATCATGCTCACTGCAACCTCTGCCTCCTGGGCTCAAGCAGTCCTCCCACCTGAGCCTCCTAAGTAGCAGGGACTACAGGCACACACCACAAAAAAACATATGTGTTTTTTTTTGTTTTTGATTTTTGTTTTTTTTTTGGTAGGGACAGGGTATCACTATGTTGCTTAGGCTGGTCTCTTACTCCTGAGCTCAAGCAATCCTCCTGGCTTTGCCTCCCAAAATGTTGAGATTACATGTATGAACTACTGCACCCAGCCAACCATACATATTATACAGCTACTTATAGATAGATAGTTCACTGGAAGTCTGCTATTTATGTGTATGCCATCTAGTATATCCTCTAAAGGAAACAGAGGGGAGAATTGAATCCAAGATGCCTAACTTCAAAGCCTTTTCTTAACTATTTTACTGAGGAAGAGAGAAGCTGAGTTTATTTTTTGGTCTTGGACATGTCTAAATTTGTATGATGTTTTTGTTTTTGTTTTTGTTTTGAGATGGAGTCTCGCTCTGTTGCCCAGGCTGGAGTGCTGTTGCACGATCTCAGCTCACTGCAAGCTCCGCCTCTGGGGTTCACACCATTCTCCTGCCTCAGCCTCCCGAGTAGCTGGGACTACAGGCGCCTGCCACCACACCCAGCTCATTTTTTGTATTTTTAGTAGAGGCAGGGTTTCACCGAGTTAGCCAGGATGGTCTTGATCTCCTGATCTCGTGATCTGCCCGCCTCGGACTCCCAAAGTCTGTATGATGTTTTATATGGTAACAGGTGGATATTTTTAGACAGATTGTAGTCACATGGTTCTTTTTGTCCATATATGTAAATATATGTGTGTGTGTATATATACATATTGACCTTTTGCTCACTGCATAAAACTTGGTAGTTAACTAATGCCATGGAAGGAAATGTTGACCAAGCAGTAGACTATTTAACCATACTGATGGATTTAAGAACTTCTACCTATTGTGATGTTCTTAAAGTGTGATCAGATGTATATACTATGAGAGGCAGCATAACGTAGTGATGATGAGCACAGACTTTGAAAGTAGACTGTCTGCTTTGAATCTGGATCCACTACTTACTAGCTGTATGAGGGCTTCTTTTGTTTTTTGTTTTTTTGAGACAGGATCTCAGTCTGTCAACCAGGCTGGAGTGCAGTGGCACAATCATGACTCACTGCAGTTTCAATCTCCTGGGTTCAAGTGATCGTCCTGCCTCAGCCTCCTTTTGTAGCTGGGACTACATGTGCATGCCAACATGCCCAGCTAATTTATTTTTTATAGAGATGGGGTCCTGCTACATTGCCCAGGCTGGCATCAAGCAGTCTTTCTGCCTTAGAGTAAGTTTTAATGCTAGTGTCCCTCAGTTTACTTAGCTCTTTTCTTATCAGTGAAGTTTATTTAGTAAGGGAAGAGAACAAAAATATGTGAGAGAATTTATATGTAGAAAACAATATGTATTTTTAGCCAAATATATATTTGGTAGTTTACATATATATGACACAGAGTATCAGAGCCATAAACCATTTAAAATTATAGCCAGGTGCGGTGGCTCACGCCTGTAATCCCAGCACTTTGGGAGGCCGAGGTGGGTGGATCACCTGAAGTCAGGAGTTTGAGACCAGCCTGGCCAACATGGTTAAACCCTGTCTCTACTAGAAATACAAAAATTAGCCAGACATGGTGGCGGGCGCCTGTAATCCTAGCTACTTGGGAGGCTGAGAGAGGAGAATCACTTGAACCTGGGAGGCAGGCGGAGGTTGAAGTGAGCTGAGATCACGCCACAGCACTCCAGCCTGGGCAACAAAGAGCAAAACTCCATCTTAAAAAAAAACAAAACTTGTGATAATTAAAAGTCCAGTCATTTAGTTTTTACTTTTTAAAGATTCATTCCAAAGAATACCAGCCAGTGATTAACTAAGATTGGCATTATTTGTATTATTTGTATTATTCAAGGTCTACTTAGGAGTTAAAAACAATGCTTGGTATATCAGAGAGGATATAATACAGATTATTGGTAATACTAGTGTTTTAGTTATCTATTCTTGCATAACAGATTACCCCAAACACTTAGTGAGTTTCAAACAACAACATTTACTATCTCATTTATATCTCATATCTGTAGGTTTGGGATCAGTTTAGCTGGGATTAGTTCTTGTGCTGCAGTTATTCAAAGGTGACACTGAGCCTGGATGACCTACTTCCAAGGTGGCTAACTTGTATGGCTGTTGGCCAGAGGCCTCAGTTTCTTACCATGTGGACCTATCCACAGGGCTGCTCGTGTCCTTGTGACATGGCAGCTGGCTCTTTGCTGCCCGCCCCCTGCCCCCCAAGCCACAGTGCCTTTGTGTTCTAGTCTCATTGTCACTTCTGCTGCACTGTTTATTAGAAAATCCAGCCCACAAAGGGGAGGGAAATTAAGCCCCACTTTTTGAAGGGAGAAGCATCAAATATTTTGTTAACATTTTTCAAAACCATCACAATTCATGCTTGGAGACTGAAAGAACAAACAGTGGATGTTGAGTTAACTCAGAGTTTAGTAGCTGCTAGGACAGAGGTGGTACTTCGAATCTGCTAGGAGTTTGGAAGACGTCTGATGCTTGGAATGCAAAAAGAAGAGTGCATGGCTTTAAAGTGTTTCTTAAGTGACTGAAGGGGAAAACTGTAACAAAATTTTAGGGAAGGCAAGGGAAAAATATTTCAAGGATAGAGTCATCAATGGTATCTAATGCAGCTCAGAAGTCAAGTATAGTAAGGACTAAAAAGTAACCAGTGGAATTGAAACTAACTAGTCTTGGCAAGAATGGTTATGGAGAATGATTGTGGAGAATGGAGACTTGAAACAACCAGCTGGTAGCTACTTACACACCTTCACACCTCATTTCCTAAAACACATAAAACCTTGAGTATTCTTTATGCAGTGCTGATACTTGCTTCCTTGTGGCCCTACCCGCTTCATATGAAAAAAGCCTATTTTAACATTTGAGTTCTCTAAGGTATAGTTGAGTAGATACTAAATACTATGGTTTGTACCAAGAGTATAACCAATTTTGACTGTTAACCTTGCAGTTGCAAAGCCTAGACCAAGCCAGCTTGATTCTGGCACTTGGTAGCAGATGCCCATGAAGGGGAAAAATAAGCAGGCAAAAACCAAAAAACAGAAACCAACTCTCAAAACTCCAGCAGAAGGCAATGAAGCTGTTAATATTTTGGTGAGTTGTTTCCATCTGGCAAAGAATTCTATTTAGAGAAGTTGCAAGGCCGGGCACAGTGGCTCATGCCTGTAATCCCAGCATTTTGGGAGGCCAAGGTGGGCAGATCACGAGGTCAGGAGATCGAGACCATCCTGGCCTAACACGGTGAAAGCCGTGTTAGGTTTCTAAAAATACAAAAAATTAGCCGAGCGTGGTGGTGGGCACCTGTAGTCCCAGCTACTTGTGAGGCTGAGGCAGGAGATGGCGTGAACCCAGAAGGTGGAGGTTGCAGTGAGCCGAGATCGTGCCACTGTACTCCAGCCTGGGCGACAGAGCGAGACTCTGTCTCAAAAAAATAAAAAAATGAAAGAAGTTGCAAAATGATGGATGTAAATGTTGGATGGTGGGTCAAGGGTAGAGGTCTGTAGTTAGTCATACTCTTTTGTCCTGTCAAAATGTAAAGGGTGAGGAAAGTCCTGTGGCTTTTAGATTTCTATAATTTAACGTGTAGTGGTAAAACAGATTTAGAGGTTTGCAGTATAAAATGAGGAAAAAAGTAGGCTGGGAGCAGTGGAGCACACCTGTAATCCCAGCACTTTGGGAGGCTGAGGCAGGTGGATCACCTGAGGTCAGGAGTTCAAGACCAGCCTGGCCAACATGGTGAAACCCCATCTCTACTAAAAATACAAAAACCAGGCATGGTGGCATAAAATAGGGGAGATTATCCTGGATTTCCCTGCAGGCCCAGTCTAATCACATGAACCCTTAAAAGCAAAGAATAATCCACAGCTGGAGGCAACAATTCAATGCCCTGTTGCTGCTTCTGAGATGTAGGGTTTGTGTGCAAGGACTGGAGAGAGACCTTTAGCTGAGTGTGGCTGTTAGCTGACAGCGAGCAAGGATGTGGGGGTCTCAGTCCTACAAGTGCAAGGAGCTGGCTTTTGCTAGCCATCTGAATGCATTCTGAGGTAGGTTCTTCTCACAGCCTCCTGATGAGAGCACAGCTCACTGACTCCATGATTTTGGTTTTGTGAAATTAAGCAGAGAAACCAGCCAAGCCTATCCAGATGCCTGCCCTACAGAACTGTGAGATAATACGTTTGTGTTGTTTTAGGCTATGAAATTGCTGCTAATTTTTGATGGCAGAGTTAGGAAATTTAATACACTACCATATTTATGCTTCTGTGCATAAGTTATAATAAGCCAGCTCTTAAACTGAGAGGAAAGATGAGTTTTTAAAAATAAGGGCCATTTTTTTTAAATTGGAAATTAAAATTCTATAATGGACTGATTCTTTTATAAAAAACAATTACTAGAAAAGTGAAATTTTCAAAAAGCACAGAAAAGCCTCAATTCTTTTATTCATTTATTTTTGATTCTACAGGATAAAATTGCTCTTTCAAACTGCTGTAGAAGTTTCTAAATATTTTAAAATATCTGTTTATCACTTGCAGATTTGTGATCTGTTTGTGGACTGGCATCAGTCCACAGATAACATTTTGAGCAGGACTGAAAAAAGCACCATCACATCCAATTTGTGAAGATATAAACACAAATTGGAAGTAAGCTATAAACAAATGTCTAGGGATAAGAGACTCAGCATTGAGTAGTTGTGATTAACATTATGGTACTCATAGCTATGTAAATCTGCGAAACAATTGCCATTAACTAAAGAAGTCATGACTGTTGGGTGCCCTAGAGTCTAGTCAGCACTAATACAGTAACACAGAAATCACTAAGTTTAGCAAGTTGGGAGAAGTATTGAAAGGGCCAGGAGTGGCCTAAGCTTCCTGGTTCATTTGTTGCCAATTATATTAGTCCATTTTCACACTGCTAATAAAGACATACCTGAGACTGGGTAATTTATAGAGGAAAGAGTTTTAATGGACTCACAGTTCCACATGGCTGGGGAGACCTCAATCATGGTGGAAGGCAAGAAGGAGCAAGTCATGTCTTACATGGATGGCAGCAAGCAAAGCGAGAGCTTGTGCAGGGAAACTCCCCCTTATAAAACCAGTGGCTCACGAGCTGTAATCCTAGCACTTTGGGAGGCCAATGCAGGCAGATCACCTGATTGTCAGGAGCTCAAGACCAGCCTGGCCAACATGGTGAAACCCTGTCTCTACTGAAAAAAAAATACAAAAATTAGCCAGGCATGGTGGTGTGTGCCTGTAATCCCAGCTACTCCAGAGGCTGAGGTAGGAGAATTGCTTGAACCCGGGAGGTGGAAGTTGCACTGAACCGAGATTGTGCCATTGCACTCCATCCTGGTGACAGAGCGAGACTGCATCTCAAAAAAAAAAAAAAAAAAAAGAAACCCAAAAAGCAAAAACCAAAAAACCATCAGCTCCCACAAGACTTATTCACTGTCACGAGAACAGCACAGGAAAGACCCACCTCCGTGATTCAATTACCTCCCACCAGGTTCCTCCCACAACACATGAGAATTGTGGGAACACAGTCAAACCATATCACCAACTAAACACTAACATCTATTAATGTCTTCAATAGGAGTTGATTGACCACCAGTTGAGAGCCTGCAGTTCATCAGTTGAGAGTGACAATTCCAGAGTGACCAGCTGAGCATGTAATATGAAGGAAACTGGAGAAAAGCCTCAACTACTTTATGATTATTCCTATGATTTGTTCTTAAAGCAGAGAAGCATCTTTTTATTTGTTTTTGATATCCTTGTTTGATGAAACCAGCATCGTTTTAGAAAAAATATCTTTGTTTTAGTAAAAATGACACATACTCATTGAAAAAATAAACCCCTTCAAAACTGGAATGATACAAGAAAGTGCAGACAAGTAAAGATCACCTGCAGTGCCAGAACCCAGAAATAACTAATGTTAACAGTTTTGTAAACAATCTTCTGGTCGTCTCTAAATATGAGCATATGTGGATAGATATGAATACACTTTTATATAAATAGGATCATAAACATAATGTTCTATAATCTGCATTTCTTCAAATAAGGATCTTTCCATGGCATCAAATATAGGACTACATAATTTTTAATAGCTGCACATACAAGAGAATGTGTATATCATGGTTTATTTAACCTAGCCTTGCAATTATTGACATTTGGTTTATATGTCTTTAACATTATAAATAATAGGTGAACACTCTGGTGCATATGTCTTTCAGCACATGGGTAATTTCTCCTTAGGGTAAAAACCTGTAAGTGGAATAGCTGTGTAAAAGCATGAACCGCTTTCCAGAAAGTCTCTTTTGGTTACTCTTCCATTCATAATGCACAATAATATTTCCATACTTGATAACATTGTATTGCTAATTCCAATGGGCAAAAACCATGTCCTGTTTAATGTTGATTGAGCTTTCATCTGTTGACTGGGCATTTGTGGAAGTGTATGTGTGTGTGTGTTTGTGTGTGTCAGCGTGTGACTTCCTTTTCATGTTCTTTTTTTTTTTTTTTTTTTTTTTGCGACGGAGTCTCGCTCTGTCGCCCAGGCTGGAGTGCAGTGGTGCGATCTCGGCTCACTGCAAGCTCCGCCTCCTGGGTTCACGCCATTCTCCTGCCTCAGCCTCCTGAGTAGCTGGGACTACAGGCACCCGCCCCGCTAATTTTTTGTATTTTTAGTAGAGACAGGGTTTCACCGTGTTAGCCAGGATGGTCTCGATCACCTGACCTCGTGATCCGCCTGCCTCAGCCTCCCAAAGTGCTGGGATTACAGGCGTGAGCCACCGCGCCCAGCCCTTTTCATGTTCTTTGACTGTTTTTCTATTGACTGTTCATTCTTCCTAGTATTAATAACTTTTTGTATATTTGAGATTAACCATTTTTGCCTATTATGTATTTTATATATATGTCATATGTCATTTTAAATATAATGAAATGTATTAGTCTTTGTGGTTTCTAGTTTTCATGATATGTTTTGAAAGGCTTAATTGTTTTGTTACAAAGTCTGAACTTGAGTTATGAATGCAAATTTCCCCTCTCAAATGCCTAATCTGTTTCCCAAACACCATTTACTTATCCCTTAAGGGATTTACTTTTCCCTATTTGATCTATTTCCCACCAATTTTAAAATGTCATCTTTATCATATACTAACTTCCTGTATGTTCTTGCGTGTATATGAAACTGGCACATACAGGGAGACTCTTTATTTAACTTTTACTTAAAGTAGGAGGTAGGAAAGAGATCTGTTGAAACCATGACAGAGAGTGTTGCAGCGCCTGTCAAAGTTATCCTTGCTTATTTGTAGAAAAATTGAACTTTCCATTTTCCTAACTTTCAACTTGCAATTGAATGACACTGATTCTACTAGGAAAAAAGTAAAAGCTATACTATTTGATGCCAGATGTATGACTGTGGGCTGATGAGGAAGAACTGGAAACAAATGACAGGTGATTCACTGCTTTGTGTCTGGTGTGCCATGACTCTCTTGAAGGGGGGCAGTGTTGATCTGAATCTTTTTGTCTAATGCTTTTTCTTCCTCTGGGAGGGATGCTGAAGAGGGGCAGCTGAAGGAGCAGTCTTAAGCAAATTGGTCATGGCTTTCTTAAATATTGTGATTCGATTGATATGGAACATTTTTTCAGTCTGTGAGAGACTTTTCATTATGGACTAGCTCATAAAAAACCGTAGATTTAATTTGCCCAGGCTGTTGGTTCTCTTGTGTTTGTTATCATACGTCAGCATGAAACCTTTGGCCTTTGTGGAAGCCTTGTGGAGACCACTGAACAGACTTGGAGCCATATCTGACTCGCCTGCCAGCATTCCTGATGTTCAGTGCCTGTTATTGCCCCTCTCCATGGCATTCTCCTCTGTGGTTATGTGAAAGGAAAATAAATCACTAAGCCAAGGGAAAAATCAAACTGGGAGCTATGTCAGGCAAACCTGCCTCCCATTTTATTCCTAAATAACATAGCTACATACCTCCCTCGCAATTTGCCACAGATCCTCGTCCACAAGGAAATTCACTGTGGACAAAGGACAGACAGAACTCAAAGTCATCCCTCTGAGACTCACCTGAGACAAATGCATATCTGATTGCTTCCTTTGCCCTATTGTTTATGTAAAAATGCAGATTCACTGAGTCAGACTAAGTTGTGTATTGAGTGGAAGGCTCATCAGGACTCAAAAGAATGCACCCTAATGTCTTTTATCTACTTCTAACCTGGAAGCCCCCACATTGAGTTGTCCCGCCTTACCTGGCCAAACCAATGTACATCTTACACATGTTGACTAATGTCTCATGTCTCCCTAAAATGTATAAAAGCAAGCTGTACCCCAGCCACCTTGGGCACATGTCGTCAGGGCCCCCTGAGGCTGTGTCACGGGTGCCTCCTTAATCTTGGCCAAAAAGACAAAAGAAAAACTTACTAAATTGACTGAGACCCGTCTCAGATACTTTGGGTTAACAGTTAGGTTCTACCCTTTGATGCCTGTTTACTTGACTGTGTACTGAGACCAGTTGCTTCACTGAACATTAATACCACAACAGGCAACGATTTTGTTTTGTGGTAGGGTACTTGGCCTAGTGCCCATTTTGTAGATGTGTCATTGCTGAGAAGGCAGAACAGTAAGGGGATTTAAAAAATTTATACACTGTTATACATTGTCACTGAAATGCCAAATGATTTAGCTTTTGTTATTGTCACTCAGCCTGCTTACTTGAGCAGGGTTTGGCAAGCCAGTAATTTAGGGGACTTGTGAGTGAAATACCATGTGAATAAAGTCCATTGTTTCCTTAGTTAGAAAAAGGCTAATTGACTTACATGCTGTTTCTGAGGTGAGGAAGTTCCATTAACAAAACGAAACCAAGCCAAAGAATCCAGTGTTTCTCAATTTAACCTAGTCAAATATCTGACATCTCTTTGAGAAATGGATACCCAGTGTCAATAATCCTATGAGGTTAATGGCAGTTAAACAATGGTTTGCTTAAACAGTAACTGGCAAATGCTATAGGGCAAAGCCTATTTGTGGTGTAGGGGGTGCTTGCATCAGTTGATCGGCTATGCTGTATTCACTTGCTTTCTGAAATATCTGTGGCAGGGACAAAAGTTCCTATTTGGTGCTCACTTTGGACTTTTATTTTTGTTTCCTTTGCAGTTGCAAAGATCTTTTCTGTAGCCTCAGCTGATCTAATGCAGTGGTTCTCAGATTTCAGTGTACATAAATCTTTTGGATGCCTGTTAAGCATACAGATTCCTAGGCCCATACCCAGCTATTCTAATTCAGCTGGCCTGGCAACAGGCATGTTTAATAAATTTCTTAGGTGATTCTAATGCATGTGTTCCTTTGAAAAAAAATTGGATTGGGTCAGGATGTAGGAGAAAAGGAATTGATACCGTTTTATGCATGTGTTATGTACTAGATCTGGTTATGGCAGGATGCCTCATTTCAGTGGTTCCCTTCTAAACCCCAAATACCATGTCCACCTGTTCGAGACATAATATCCCTATGTTTGTGAGAACCTGTGCTTAGGGAATGATTCCTTCAGTTTGAAGCTTCTTATTGTCCTTTAAAATGCAGATATGCAGGAGGAGATATCTTTTTATGGCTTAGCAGAATGCTGCTCAAAGCGCCAGTCTCTGAAGCTCTTTGTTCCTGACTTGCAACCAGGTAAGGATCTTTTGCCAGGATTTAAGTCAATTATGTCATGAAGCACACTATTTAGTTCATCTGAAATATATTTTTATCTTGGTAGCAAGGTAGCAAGACTTTTCCAATGCAGGAAGCTTCAGTGCTTTCATTTATATTCTGATGTAAGTTATCTTATTGCAGACCGGTAACAAACACTGTCTTCACAGCCATTTGAGCCTTAGGTATGAATGGAGCAGCTTTGGGTGGAGGGATATCTCCATGACTGGGTGGGAAAAGGTCCAGAAAGACAACATTGGAGTCACCAAATACTAACTGTTCACTAGGCTTGGCTGTTATAAAAGCTGCCAAAATTCATGCTTATGGTTTGACTGGATTTCTTTTCTCTGCTTAGTATGCCCTTCAGTAGAAGTGCCAAAAAAAAAAAAAAAAAGACAAACCCAGTTATATAGCCCAAAGAAGAGGATTAAGTTAGTTATCTGCAGCCTCTGGATTGACTGTGAAGTCTGTTTGAAAATGGGAGTGTTGGCCAGTAAAATGTTTCCCTAAAAAACTCGAAGCTGAGGCCGGGCGCAGTGTCTCACGCCTGTAATCCCAGCACTTTGGGAGGCTGAAGCGGGTGGATCATGAGGTCAGGAGATCGAGACCATCCTGGCTAACACAGTGAAACCCCGTCTCTACTAAAAATACAAAGAATTAGCTGGGCGTGGTGGCAGGCGCCTGTAGTCCCAGCTACTCGGGAGGCTGAGGCAGGAGAATGCCGTGAACCCGGCAGGCGGAGCTTGCAGTGAGCCCAGATAGCGCCACTGCACTCCAGCCTGGGTAACAGAGCAAGACTCCGTCTCAAAAAAAAAGAAAAAACAAAACTTGAAGCTGAGTGTTTCTGGGGACTCTCATGAGCATTTTTGACCATCAATTTAGAAGAAATATTCTGATATTACTATTGCATTACCATTATTTTATCTAGATTAAATTGCTTCATTTCTTAAATGGTTCAGTCTAAATGGGAAGACTTGATAATAAACAAATAATAACTAAAAGGATTAGAAAGATTCTATGATTCTAGAATTCTTTCAAGTACACAGTTATTTTAGAGATCCACTTCCAGTATTTATTCACTTCATTCAACAAATATTAAGTGCACACCTCCTATGTGCCACACAATGTACCAGGGCTACATGGTATACAATGATCAATAGGAGACATGGTCCCTTATGGTGTTTGTAATGTAGTGGGGGAGATATAAGCAATTAAATCCAAGTCAATGTATGAATAAATATATAACAATGAATCGTGAACCTCATACGAAATGAAAAGGCAAATAGTTAATAATTGTCAGACATAAATTTCAGTTCAGTTGAATTCAGCAAATGGTTTTTGAGCATCTATTTTGTGCCAGGCACTGTGCTTAGTATTAAGGATACAGAGATGCATAGGAGAACATTCTTGTCCTCAGATCCACTTGGCACTATACCTGAGTAACACCTACGCCTCTCCTCAACTCCCATTTGATTTTGTTGGTTGATTTGTGTAGGTTTGGCTATTTCACCTGCTGTTCATTCCACACTCTTAGTGTGTAACAGTGAGGTAGGGCTTTCTGGTACCTGTTTGTCTGCAGATGTAGAATCAACTCTTGTGTTTGTGAATTTGACTCAGAGAAAATATTTAAATGATTTGACCTTTGAGATGCCCAGCTGAGCTGCTGAGCGGACACAGACTCAACAGAACTAAGAATTGTTGAACATCTATCATAAAATTATAGGCTTAGATTCAAAGTGATCACAGGATATGCTCATTTCTTCCCTTCCCTTCCCTTCCCTCCCTCCCTTCCTTCCTTCCTTCCCTTTCTTCCTTCCTTCCTTTCTCTCTTTTCTCTTTTTCTCTTTCTCTCTATTTTTCTCTCTTTCCTTCCTTTCTTTCCTTCCTTTTCTTTCTTTTTTTTTTTAGCTTTGCTTTGCTTTCTTCTTTCTCAGGGTCTCCCTATGTTGCCCAGGCTAGACTCAAACCTCTGGGCTCAAGCAATGCCCCTGTCTCAGCCTCTTAAGTAGCTGGGACTACAGGCATGCACCACCATGCCCAGTTTGCTCATTTATTTATTGTATCTGGGAGTCTTCCACATGCTAGGCACTGTTCTAGGCACGGGGTAATAGCAGTGAACAAAACAGACACACACCCCCTCCCCTCATGCAACTTGCACCTCACCCAACGTTTAACATATCCTGACAGTCGGTCATTCCTTTCAACTTAAACATCTTCACTATCAGAGAACTCATCTCCTTATGGGGAGTTGTCTCATTTTTAAACAGTTTGAAATATTGGAAAGCTCTTTATTATACTGATCCCAAATCCTTTTCCCTGTAGCTTTTACCTGCTAGTCTGACTAAGGTTCTATATTTGAACCAGTTTGGAAATAGCTAATCCTTCTTTCTGGGAACCCTTCAAATATTTGAAAAAAATACTTGTGTTTCTTTTAAGGCTCCCCATTTTGTTAGCTGATATAGAGAAATATGTGTAGATACACGAGTACTTGGATATCATCTAATAAAGCAATTGCACCTCGAATTTTGCTTGTTGGGTGTATTTGTCCTTTAGTTCTCAGAATCTATGAAGTGCAGGCATGTTAACCATCTCTCCATCACGGTTGAAATAGAAACTTACCCTTTCATGTGCAGTCATTTGATGCTCACAACAATCCTGTGTGCCAGGTGTTATCATCACCATTTAACAGATAAGGACGCTGAGATGAAAAAGTTAAGAAGTGGCTTACCCTGTGTGTCATAGCCTATGACCTGAACCAGGCCTTCTGCCTTCAAATTTTATGTTTTTTGTTTCTTTCTTTCTTTTTTTTTTTTTTTGTATTTTTTTGTAGAGACAGGATCTTGCTATATTGCCCAGGCTGGTCTAGAACTCCTGAGTTCAAGCCATCCTCCTGTCTCAGCATCCCGAAATGCTGGGATTACAGGTGTAAGCCACAGTGCCCAGCCTCATGTTCTTCATACTCTATTACTACCCACCTCCTCCATACCTTGCTGGTCTTAAAGTGGAAGTGATGTTAGGCTTTAGAATTTCTGACATCAGATAGTTGTTGCTGGAAGAATAGTGAGTTCAATCTACAAAGGATCCTTTTCTGCATGTTAGGAGAACTAGATCGGAGGGCAGTTCCTGGTGGCGCCCACTGTGCCTTACCACTCCTGGGATTCGTTTCACTTATTCCTCTTCCCTGCTTCCCTTCATTTCCCTGCCTTTCTTTTCTATTCTTTGTTTTTCTTTTTGCTTTTCTCTTCTGCTAATACATAGGTTTTACTCTCATGGTCTGAGCTCTGACTTCAGAGCTAAAGCATTCTTTGTCATTGGCACGAGCAGTGGCCAGACTCCAAGTACCTCTGAGTCTGCAGAGGAGGTGCAATAAGCATACCCATTAAGCCACCAAATTGAAAAGTATTTGGAGGAAATTGCTCCAGCAGTAGATTCTATGCTCCATGTTAGGGGGCAGTGAGAAAATCCCACATAAAGTATAATATACAACTTAGTAAACTACAGTAAAGCTGGAGGGAGTTTTGGTTTAGGACATAGATACCAAATGTATAATGGGATGGTGCTGCTATAGCTTGGATATCTGACCCTCTAAACCTCAAGTTGAAATTTGATCTTCAGGGTTGGAGGTGGGGCCTCGTGGGAAGTATTTGGGTCTTGGAGGAATCTCTCATGAATGACTTGGTACTATCCTTGAGGTAATGAATGAGTTCCCACTCTATAAGTTCCTGTGAGAGCCTGAGAGCTTGTTGTTAAAAAATGTCTGGCACCTCCCTTCTCTCTTTTGGCTTCATTCTTGCCATGTGCTTTCTGCATATGCAGCCCCTATTCACCTTCCAGCATGAGTGGAAGCAGTCTGAGGCCCTCACCAAAAGCAGATGCTGGCTCCATGCTTCTTGTATAGCCTGCAAAACCATGAGCCAAATAAACCTCTTTTCTTTATAAATCACCCAGTCTCAGGTATTCCTTTATAGCGACACAAATGGACTAAGATAGTGCTGTTATAATCATATTCCAGAAAAGCTGTTAATGTTGCATGGGAGTAGAAAGAATATCAGACCTTATGAGAAGGAATGAGACATGAACTCCCTAGAGGCAGCATAGTGTAAGGAACATCTTGCCCCTTAATTTTCAAGGATTAAAAAATCTCTTCTGTCTCTGGCTAAAAATAACTCCAGTAGTTCACTGATGCTGTACCTTTAATCAGCAAAGAATACATATCTGGGTAGTAAATAACTTATGCAGAGTAAGATTTGTGCTTACAATTTGCTTTCATTTTACTATAAGCTGTCACCTTAGGTCGGCATTGGCCAGGATACTGCTTTTGCCGTTTTTAGACAAGATAGTGCTATTATTAACTGCCCAGGAATTAGCTGCTTTTTCTCATATGGAAATCTCTATCACCCTGAAAGACAGCATCAGAGATTTATTTTCCTCAACTTAAACCAAATAGTTCTTTATGGGTTAAAGGTTCTGTCCTTATTTTCTATGGTGACACACCTAAGATCCAGCAAAAGGGCGTCTGCAGGAGGGATCGTTTCTTTCTCTGAGAGGTAGAGCTACTGCTTACCTCGTAACTCAATCTATTTCATATTTCAGTTTTATTTATATTCTTCTTTCAACAAAAGGACTTTTGGTGGCTACAGCAAAAGACTTGCAGTTCCATTTGGTTAAACAAAATAGACACTTAGTTGGAAATAGGGAGTGCAAAGATGACTGAGGCATGATTTCTGCCCTTTAAGGAGCTTCGAGGGAAATACAGGAAAAACACGCTGCCCTTTTACTAGACTGTAGCTTTCACAATGGTATATTCAGGGTGCTGAGGGAGAAGAGATGGTGTGGAGAGAGGGAAGGCTTTCAAAGCCAGATCTTGAAGCAGGAGTAGGAATCTACCAGGTGGGGACAGGTAGGCTGGAGGGACTGAGCACACGTGGAGAGGTGAGATACTGTGGCTTGTGAGCAGGTACCATGTGCCCAGGGACACTAGCCTAGAAATGGAACATTAGGATAGAAGCAGGGAGGAGGACTAGGTGATGAAATATGAAGGTAGTGGTGTTCCTCCATTCATTTCTGAGTTTCCAGGCAGCCAGTAGGGCCCAGGGCTCAAAGGATCTTTATGAGTAGTTATTCTTGAATGACAGCATAATAGAGAAAGGACACTTACTTCTACACTTCACACCTGTAAGGTGAATTTAAATTTGTTTTGTAACCACTTGTTGTGGGACTTGGAGTCTTAATCATTTCTTCTGAGCTTCAACCTTGTCTTCCAAAGGTACTTTAGATTTTCTACATCTAATGGTGGCAAATAAATCCACTAGCTGCCAAATACATGGGAAATGATCTGTGAAAACCACAAGTGGCCCAACAAACTGTACGTCTTCAATTTGACAGCACAAAGGAATTATTGGTTAGTATTTCATTGGTTGAATCTTTTGTTTAATCTGGCCTGGAATATTAGTATTAAAAGACTTAAAAATTTATTTGGAAATAATTCCAAACTTACTAGAAGTTGCTAAAATAAAAATAGTACAAGGAATAGTCATGTATCCTTCACCCAAATTTGCCTATTCTTAACATTTCACTCCATTTGCTTAATCTTTTGCTCTCTCTTTCTCTTTCTTTCTTCATGATGTTTTTTGAACCAATTGAGAGTAAGCTACATATATCATGGCTCTTTCTCCCTAAATGCTTTGAGTATTTCTTAAGGATAAGAATATTCTCTTCTATTGTTTTATCCACAGAACAGAAGCTGAAAAAGCATACTGCTTGCATTTCAGGTGAATAATTTATGATTTATTCTTCAGCTTTAAATTAAACTGATTAATTCACTTCAAGGCCTTAAATTATCTTCAATGTCTTCTCTCCTTCATATAATACCTTAATTTTTCTATTGTATTTTGTCTTTTTGATCAAGCTATCAGGATTGCATTAGCTCTATAATGCGGTAATATTGATGAGATATTAGGTTTTAAAAGGCTCTTCCATTATTTTGAGAAAAGAAAAATGAATTTTATAGGGTTCATCCTATGCTACCTCAAAGCTTAAAATTAGATTATCTTTAAAAGCACTCTTATTGGAGATTACCAGTCATGTCTCCAGTCTTAGTCTATAAATATAGGAGAATCTCCTTACCCTTAAGGTCAGTTATGGCAATATACTGCTTTAATTCTAGTGTATTTTTCATTTCAGGGGGCAAATGTACAATGAGTTGGCCCAAATTTTTAGTAAAATTCGTGATGCTTGTATGTTAGCTGTCCAAA
The DNA here is from genome assembly GCF_000001405.40 of Homo sapiens. Lineage (NCBI taxonomy): Eukaryota > Metazoa > Chordata > Mammalia > Primates > Hominidae > Homo > Homo sapiens. Next base: position 47,926,421 of record NC_000013.11, on the reverse strand, counting down.
AAACTGTGGGTTTATCCAAGTTTACAATATAGAGAACTGAGGTTAGGATTTCATGAAGGAAGCATGTACTATATGGAAGTAATTTTTTAAAAAATTGTATGGTCATCTACATTTACATGAAGAATTCTGTACATGTTAAAAGTGAGGATGGCCAAATGTAAATAATGTAAATTTCATGACTGGGCCAATTAAGAAAGAGATATATATGTATATATATGCACGTTTAATGTGTAACTTTTGTATGCTGAGTGGTACGCACATTTTTTTATTTGTTTTTGAGGAAATTAATAAGGTATAATTAATTGTGTCTTTACTTTTGAAAAACTCTTTTAAGACAGATGGAGGCAACAGGGATGTTTGTGATAATAGATAAGACAGATATCCTTGATTATAGCTAAATTGGTTTGGATTGCAGATATTCATTGTTGAACTTACTCCTGTTTTATCATACTTTGGAAAAGACACCTGAACAATAAATGAATCCTGCATAGGCTACTCTCCTTCAAACAATGAACTGATATTATTTGCTTGTAGGAGATGCATACTAAAGGAGAGAACTCTTGGGCTTTGTCAGGCCACGCATTGAACCTTACCCTGACGCCACTGCCTTGCTTTCTCCTTTGTGTTTCAGTTACTGTACTCACATTGTGGATGATACTGCAATTCTGCATAATGTCAATAGAAGAAACTATTTATAAACTTCTCAAATAACAGAATATTCATTTATATAACATTAGTACTGTTGTCGGTGTGAGACATGCACATTGATAGAATTCTTTACCATCTATATTCCAGTTTTGTCAGTTGACCTCATAATGTCTTTTGTGGCATTTCTCCCTCCAGTGCAGGATTCAGTCTAGGGTTAGGTATTGCATGTAGTTGTCATGTCTCAGGCTTTTTTTAACCTGAAACATTTCCACAGCCTTTAACAAACTTTAATGTTTTAAATTTTATATTGATCTAGTTTTTTTCTTATGATTAGATACAGATTCTGCATTCTTGGCTTGAAAGAGCACTGTGTCATTCATTTTGTGCTCTCAGCGCATTGACAAGTGCATGGTGTCTGTCTGGCCCTCACTGGTGATCATTTCAATTACTTTGTCAAAGTTTTCCTCCATTTCTCCACTGTAATACATTTACACTTACAATTACACATTACCATTACCTCTCTTCTTTTTTCTTTGTAATTAATATGCATTCTGTAGGGAGACACTTTTAAGACCAGCCAAATATTGTGCTCATTAAAAATTCCCCCTTGGTTTTAGCATCCATTGATGTTTCTTGCTTTATCCAGACATCACAGTGATAGCCCCCAAATGATGATTTTTTCCAATTTGTTCTGCATTGACTAGTCACCCCTCAGCATTCTGTTAGGTTGGTGCAAAAGTAATTGCCATTGAAAGTAATGGCAAAAACCACAATTACTTTTTTTTTTTTTTGAGACGGAGTCTCGCTCTGTCGCCCAGGCTGGAGTGCAGTGACACGATCTCGGCTCACTGCCAACTCCACCTCCTGGGTTCACGCCATTCTCCTGCCTCAGCCTCCTGAGTAGCTGGGACTACAGGCACCCGCCACCATGCCCGGCTAATTTTTTGTATTTTTAGTAGAGACGAGGTTTCACCGTGTTAGCCAGGATGGTCTTGATCTCCTGACCTCGTGATCCGCCCGCCTTGACCTCCCAAAGTGCTGGGATTACAGGCGTGAGCCACCACGCCTGGCCAACCACAATTAGTTTTGCACCAACCTAATACTACAAGCAGGAGCCATCTCTTGCTTGGACTCGTGAATTCCTGTTTTTCAATGGTTTACAATTCACTACTATTTTACTTTTTACTTTTTTTGTTTTTCCCATCTGTCTTAATTTTTTTTTTTTAATTTTAATGGTTTTTTTTTTTTTTTGTGGAGGGGAACAGGTGGTGTTTGGTTACATGGATAAGTTCTTTAGTGGTGATTTCTGAGATTTTGGTGCACCTATCACCCAAGCAGTGTACACTGAACCCAATATGTAGTCCTTTATCCCTCACTCCCCTCCCACCCATTCTGCTGAGTCCCCAAAGTCCATTGTATCTATCCCTCACTCCCCTCCCAACCTTTCACAAACTCCACTGTATCATTCTTAGGTCTTTGTGTCCTCATAACTTAGCTCCCACATATGAGTCAGAACATACGATGTTTGGGTTCCCATTCCTGAGTTACTTCACTTAGAATAATGGTCTCCAATTCCATCCAGGTTGCTGCAAATGCCATTATTTCATTCCTTTATGGCTGAGTAGAGTTCCATGGTATATTTATACCACATTTTCTTTATCCACTCATTGATTGATGGACATTTGGGCTGGTTCCATGTTTTTGCAAGGGCAAATTGTGAGTGTAAAACATGCGTGTGCAAGTATCTTTTTCATATAATGACTTCTTTTCCTTTTGGTAGGCACCCGAGAGTGGGACTGCTGCATCAAATGGTAGATCTACTTTTATTTCTTTAAGGAATCTCCCAACTGTTTTCCATAGTGGTTGTACTAGTTTACATTCCCACCAAAAATGTAAAAGTGTTCCCCTTTCACCAGATCCACACCACCATCTATTATTTTTAGAGTTTTTAATTAAGGCCTTTCTTGCAGGAGTCAGGAGTAAGGTGGTATCACATTGTGGTTTTGATTTGCATTTCCCTGATAATTAGTGATGTTGAGCATTTTTTCATATGTTTGTTGGCCATTTGTATATCCTCTGTTGAGAATTGTCTGCTCGTGTCCTTAGCCCAGTTTTTGATGGAACTGTTCTTTTTTCTTGCCGATTTGAGTTCCTTGTAGATTCTGGATATGATTCTTTGTTTTTTTGAGTCTCTGTCACCCAGGCTGGAGTGCAGTGGTGTGATCTTGGTTCACTGCAACCTCCGCCTCCTGAGTTCAGGTGATTCTCCTGCTTCAGCATCCCTGGTAGCTGGGATTAGAGTCATGCACCACTGTGACCAGCTAATTTTATTTTATTTTTTTTGTATTTTTAGTAGAGACCAGGTTTTGCCATGTTGGCCAGTCTAGTCCTTTGTTGGATGCATACTTTGTGAATATTTTCTCCCATTTTGTGGGTTGTCTGTTTAGTCTGTTGATTATTTCTTTGGTTGTGCAGAAGATTTTTAGTTTAATTGAGTCCCACCTATTTATCCTTGTTTTTTGTTGCATTTGCTTTTGGGTTCTTGGTCATGAAGTCTTTGCCTAAGACAATGTCTAGAAGGATTTTTCCAATGTTATCTTCTAGAATTTTTATGTTTTCACGTCTTAAATTTAAGCCTTTGATCTATCTTGAGTTGATTTTTGTATAAGGTGAGAGATGGGGATCCAGTTTTATTCTTCTATATGTGGCTGGCCAATTATCTCAGCACCATTTGTTGAATACTTTATGGTTTTTTTTTTTTGTTTTTTTTCTTTGAGACAGAGTCTTGCACTGTCACCCAGGCTGGAGTGCAGTGGCGTGATCTTGGCTCACTGCAAGCTCCACCTCCCAGGTTCATGCCATTCTCCTGCCTCAGCCTCCCTAGTAGCTGGGACTACAGGCGCCTGCCACCACGCCCAGCTAATTTTTTGTATTTTTAGTAGAGACGGGGTTTCACCGTGTTAGCTAGGATGGTCTTGATCTCCTGACCTCGTGATCTGCCTGCCTTGGCCTCCCAAAGTGCTGGGATTACAGGCATGAGCCACCGCGCCCGGCCAAATACTTTATGTTTTTGTTTGCTTTGTCAAAGATGAGTTGTCTGTAAGTATTTGGCTTGATTTTGTGGGTTGTCTGTTCTGTTCTATTGGTCTATGTGCCTATTTTTATACCAGTACCATGCTTTTTTGGTGACTATAGCCTTATAGTCTAGTTTGAAGTTGGGTAATGTGATGCCTGCCTCCAGATTTGTTCTTTTTGCTTAGTCTTGCTTTGGCTACACAGGGATTTTTTTTTTTTTCTTTTTTTGGTTCCATATGAATTTTAGGATTGTTTTTTCCAGTTCTGTGAAGAATAATGGTGGTATTTTGATGGGAATTGTATTGAATTTGTAGACTGCTTTTGGCAGTATGGTCATTTTCACAGTGTTGATTCTACCCATCCATGAGCATGGGATGTGTTTCCATTTTTTTTTTGTCATTTGTAATTTCTTTCAGCAGTGTTTTGTAGTTTTCCTTGTAGAGGTCTTTCACCTCCTTGGTTAGGTATATTTCTAAGTATTTTATTTTTCTTTGCAGCTATAGTAAAAGGGGTTGAGTTCTTGATTTGATTGTCAGCTTGGTTGCTGTTTGTGTATAGCAATGCTACTGATTTGTATATTAATTTTGTATACTGAATTCATTTATCAGTTCTAGGAGTTTTGTTTTGCTTTGTCTTGTTTTTGAAATGGAGTCTTGCCCTGTTGCTCAGGCTGGAGTGCAGTGGTACGATCCCGGCTCACTGCAACCTCCATCTCCTGGGTTCCAGTGATTCTCCTCCCTCAGCCTTCCGATTAGCCTGGATTGCAGGCATGTGCCACCACACCCAGCTAATTTTTGAATTTTTAGTAGAGACAGGGTTTTGCTGTGTTGGCCAGGCTGGTCTCGAACTCCTGATCTCTAGTGATCTGCCCACCTTGGCCTTCCAAAGTGCTAGGATTACAGGCATGAGCCACTGTGCCTAGCCCAGTTCTAGAAGCTTTTTGGACGAGTCTTTAGAGTTTTCTAGGTATACAATCATATTGGCAGTTTGACTTCCTCTTTTCTAATTCGAATGCCCTTTATTTCTTTCTCTTTTCTGGTTGCTGTGACTAGGACTTCCAGTATTATGTTGAATAGAAGTGGTGAAAGTGGGTATCCTTGTCTTGTTCCAGTTTTCAAGGGCAATGCTTTCAATTTTTCCCCATTCAGTATTATGTTGGCTGTGGGTTTGTCATAAATGCCTTTTATTACATTTAGGTATGTCCCTTCTATACCCATTTTGCTGAGGGTTTAAATGTTAAAGGGATGGTGGATTTTGTTAAGTGATTTTCTGTGTCTATTGAGTTGATCATGTGATTTTTGTTTTAAATTCTGTTTATGTAGTGTATCACGTTTATTGACTTGCATATGTTAAACCATCCCTGCATCGCTAGTATGAAACCCACTTGATTGTGGTGGATTATCTTTTTGATATGCTGTTGGATTCAGTTAGCTAGTATTTTGTTGAGGATTTTTGCATCTATGTTCATCAGGGATATTGGTTTGTAGTTTTCTTTTTCTGTTATATCCATTCCTTATTTTGGTATTAGGGTGACACTGGCTTCATAGAATGATTTCGGGAGGATTTCCTCTTTCTGTATCTTTTGGAATAGTGTCAATAGGATCGGTACTGATTTGTCTTTGAATGTCTGATAGGATTCAGCTATGAATCTGTCTGGTCCTGGACTTTTTTTGTTGTTGGCAATTTTAAAATTACCATTTCAATCTTGCTGCTTGTTCTTGGTCTGTTCAGAGTTTCTATTCATGGTTTAATCGAGGAGGTTTGTATATTTCCAGGAATTTATCCATCTCCTTTAGGTTTTCCAGTTTCTTTTCAAAGAACCAGCTTTTTGTTTCATTTATCTTTGGCATTGTTTTTTGTTTGTTTGTTTGTTTCAATTTAACTTAGTTATGCTTTGATCTTTGTTATTTCTTTTCTTCTGCTGGGTTTGAGTTTGCTTTGTTCTCATTTCTTTAGTTCCTTGAGGTGCGACCTTTGATTGTCTATTTGTGCTCTTTCAGATTGCTTTATGTAGGTATTTAATGCTATGAACTTCCCTCTTAGCACTGCTTTTCTGTATCCCAGAGGTTTTGATAGGTTGTGTCACTATTATTGTCCAGTTCAAAGAATTTTTAAATTTCCTTCTTGATTTCATTGTTAACCCAATGATCATTCAGGAGCAGGTTGTTTAATTTCCATGTATTTGCATGGTTTTGAGGGTTCCTTTTGGAGTTAATTTTCAATTTTATTCCACTGTGGTCTGAGAGAGTACTTGATACAATTTTGATTTTCTAAAATTTATTGAGACTTGAAAAGTGGCCTATCATATGGTCTATCTTGGAGAATGTTTCGTGTGCTGAGGAATAGAATGTATATTCTGCTGTTGTTGGGTAGAATGTACTGTAAATACCTGTTAAGTCCATTTGTCCTAGGGTGTAGTTAAGTTCATTGTTTCTTTGTTGACTTTCTGTCTTGATGACCTGTCTAGTGCTATTAGTGAAGTATTGAAGTCCCCAACTATTATGTGTTGCCATCTATCTCATTTCTTAGGTCTCGTAGTAACTGTTTTTATAAATTTGCGAGCTTCAGTCCTAGGTGCATATATATTCAGGATTGTGCTATTTTCCTGTTGGACTAGTCCTTTTATCATTATGTAATGTGCCTCTTCATCTTTTTTTAACTGTTGTTGTTTTAAAGTCTGTTTTGTATGATATAAGAATAGTTACTCTTACATACTTTTAGTGTCCATTTGCATGGAATATCTTTTTCCACACCCCTCTTTTTTTTGAGATGGAGTCTGACTCTGTCACCCAGGCTGGAGTGCAATGGTGTAATCTCCACTCAATGCACCTCCCAAGTTCAAGCCATTCTCCTGCCTCTGTCTCCCAGGTAGCTGGGACTACAGGTGTGCGCCACCATGCCTGGCTAATTTTTTTGTATTTTTAGTAGAGACAGGGTTTCGCCATGTTGGCCAGGCTGGTCTTGAACTCCTGGCCTCAGGTGATACGCCTGCCTTGGCCTCCCAAAGTGCTGGGATTACAGGCATGAGCCACCACACCTGGCCTATGCGAGTTGTTCTGTGTTAGAAATGAGTCTCTTGGCTGGGCGCGGTGCTCACGCCTGTAATCCCAACACTTTGGGAGGCTGAGGTGGGTATCACCTGAGGTCAGGAGTTCGAGACCAGCCTGACCAACATGGAGAAACCCTGTTTCTACTAAAAATGCAAAATTAATTGGGCATGGTGGTACATGCCTGTAATCCCAGCTACTTGGGAGCCTGAGGCAGGAGAATCACTTGAACCTGGAAGGCGGAGGTTGTGGTGAGCTGAGACTGTGCCATTGCACTCCAGCCTGGGCAACAAGAGTGAAACTCCGTCTCAAAACAAAAAAGAAAAAAGAAATGAGTCTCTTGAAGACAGCAGATACTTGGTGAGTTCTTAGCCATTCTGCCATTCTGTATCTTTTAAGTGGAGTATTTAGGCCATTTACATTCAATGTTTGTACTGAGATGTGAGGTAGTATTCTATTTGTTGTGCTAATTGTTGCCTGAATACCTTGTGTTTTTTTTCTTCCATCGTGTTATGATTTTATAGGTCCTGTGAGACTTATGCTTTAAGGAGGTTCTATTTTGGTGTATTTTGAGGATTTCTTTAAAGATTTAGAACTCCTTTTAGCATTTCTTGTAGTGCAGGCTTAGTGGAGGTGAGTTCTCTCAGCGCTTTTTTGTCTAAAAAGAACGATTTTTCCTTCATTTATGAAGCTTAGTTTTGCTGGATACAAAACTCTTGGCTGGAAATTGTTATGTTTAAGGAGTCTAAAGGTAGGATCCTGATCCCTTCTAGCTTATAGGGTTTCTGCTGAGAAATCTGCTGTTAATCTGATAGGTTTTCCTTTATAGGTTACCAGATGCTTTTGCCTCACAGCTCTTAAGATTCTTTCCTTTGTCTTGACTTTAGATAATCTGATGACTATGTGCCCAGGCAATGATCTTTTTGTGGTGAATTTCCTGGGTGTTCTTTGAGCTTCTGGTATTAATATCTGCATGTCTAGATCACTAGCAAGACAAGGGAAGTTTTCCTTGATTATTCCTTCAAATGTGTTCTCCAAACTTTTACATTTCTCTTCTTCCTCGGGAACACCAATTATTCTTAGATTTGGTTGTTTAACATAATCCAAAACTTTTTGGAGGCTTTGTTTATTTTTTAAAATTCTTTTTTCTTTGTCTTTGTCAGATTGGGCTAACTCAAAAGCCTTGTCTTCAAGCTCTGAAGTTCTTTCTTCTACTTGTTTGATTCTATTGCTGAGACTTTCCAGTGAGTTTTGCATTTCTCTAAGTGTGTCCTTCATTTTCAGAAGTTGTGATTGTTTTTTATTTATGGTATCTCTTTCACTGGAGATTTTTCATTCATATCCTATATCACTTTTTGGATTTAAGTTGGATTTCTTCTTTCTCTGGTGCCTCCTTGGTTAGCTTAACAATTGACTTTTTGAATTCTTTTTCTGGCAATCCAGAGATTTCATCTTGGTTTGGATTCATTGCTGGTGACCTAGTGTGATCTTTCGGGGGTGGTAAAGAACCTTGTTTTGTCATATTATCAGAATTGTTTTTCTGGTTCCTTCTCATTGGGTTACATTATGTCACAGGGAAGATCTGGGGCTCAAGCGCTGCTGATCAAATTCTGTTGTTCAACAGGATGCTCACTTGATGTGGTGCTCTCCCCATTCTGCTAGGGATGTGGCTTTCTGAGAGCCTAACTGCAGTGATTGTTATGTCTCTTCTGGGTCTAGTCACCCAGCAGAGCTACTGGGCTTTGGGCTGGTACTGGAGGGTGTCTGCGAAGAGGCCCATGATGTGAACTATCTTCAGGTCTCTCAACTGTGGATACCTGCACCTGCTCTGATGGAGGTAGTGGGGGAGTGAAGTGGACTCTGTGAGGGTCCTTGGTTGCAGTTTTGTTTAGCGTGCTGGTTTTGTGTTCGTTGGTCTCCAGCTAGAAGGTGGCGCTTTCAAGAGAGCACCAGCTATGGTAGTATAGGGAGGATACAAGCTTGCCTAAGCTTGCCTGGATAAGTTTTCCTGTTCCTCAGGTGGTGGGTGGGACCATAGAGCTCCCAAGAGATTATGTCCTTTGTCTTTGGCTACCAGGGTGGCTAGAGAAAGACCATCAGGTGGGGGCAGGGTTAGGGGTGTCTGAGTTCAGACCGTCTTTGGGTGGAACTTGCTGTGCCAGTGAGGGGGATGGGGTGTGGTTCTTAGGCTGATGGAGTCATGGTCCCAGGGGGATTATGGCTGCCTCTGCTGCTTCTTACAGGTCCCCAGGGAAATGGGGGAAAGCCTCACCCAGGTCTCACACAGCTGGAAAGGCCAGTCTCACTCCCACTGTGCCCCCTCAACAGCACTGAGTTTATTTCCAGGCAGCATATAAGCAGGGCTGAGAACTTGCCTCAGGTTACAAACCTCCCTGCTGAGAAAGCAAGCAGGGCTTTTGGGTTTCACCACTCCTTGGCTGCCATGGCTTCTGTGCTGGTACCTGCTCTCCCGGTTTACCCTCTCTCCCAGATTCTGTCCGGGAAACTTTGCATTCAGTTGAAATTGTTAACTTGTTAACAGAGTTCAGCTGGAAGTTTCTTTCTCCCTATGACCTTTCCCCAATTCCACTAGCAGCCCTCCTCAAGGATCCCTGCAAGACAAAGTCGGAAATGGCTTCCCTGGGGATTGGAAGTGCCCACAGGGCTCTTCCTGCTGCTTCCTTTACCCCTATATTTTGCTCAACTCTCGAAATTTGTCTCAGCTCCAGGTTAGGTCTAATCCTTCTCCCATGATCTGGACTTTCAGGTTCTCCAGTGAGGATGTGTGTTCAGGGGTGGACAGTCTCCCTTCACACTTTGAGGACTCACAGTTTTTTGGCTGTCTCATGGAGCCTGCAGAAGCAAGCCACTTCCTTTAAAGGGTCTGTGGATTCTCTTGGTCTTCCTGGTATATTTCTGCAGTATTTCTTGCAGTAAAAATTCACAATGTGAGTCTCCACATGCTTCTGTTTTCATCCAGGTGGGAGCTGCAAATTAGTCCTGCCCCCTATTCACCATTTTTCCCTACCTCATTACTATTTTAAACTATTTTGGTGCTCAGTTTACACCAGATTTGACCAATGGAAACCCCTTCAAGCTGGCTTCTATGTCTTCATGATATGCCTCATCTTTTTTTTTTAAAGCACTTTCTTCTTAGGCTTACTTTGTTCTATCCATGGAATCAGAAGTTTCTCCCAGGATCCCTGTTTCCTTTAGTGGGAAGTAGTACTAGAGACCAAGATCTGGGCTGTAAGTATACTCATTTCTACTGGGATGTCACTGCTTCTTGGCCCTTTAGCAGACAGAACTAGTAAATTAATGCATGTATAATATTCACACACGTGTATGTATGTGTATGCACATGCAGATGTATATACACCCTGTGTGTGTGTATACTTATTTTAGAAATCATGAACTCACACCAATACTCTAATTTCAATCTATATCAACAGGGATTTTTCTTGCTGTCTCCCATTTGATATCTATTCCATGATGAAATCCTATATATCTACAGTATCAACATATTCACTCTTTTGCTCAGTTCAATAATACATCCACAGTAGTTACAGAACCGTTTTGCTATATCACTATAAAACGAAGCCTATTAAGAAGCGTTTAGGATTTGTTTTTGCTTCTTTCCCTTGTCCCATATTCTACCCTCCCCAGACTGAGGATATATGGTCAAATACTTTGCTATACTGTATTCATAAGTTACTTGCACTAGTTCTCTTTTTATTGTTTTTCCCTTTGCTGTGGTTATGTTATTTATTTGAAATACAGTTAGGTTCATTTGTTTGAAATTGCTTTCAATTTGAGTTTTTTCCCCCCAGTTTCTAATCTTATTGATTTAACTTTATCGTTTTGAACAGGTAAGATATAAATATGCTTTCAAAAGTCAAAACTATACAAAAAGATATATTCAGAGAAGCATCACTTTCCCATTTTTCCTTCCCTCCTCATCCTTTGTACGTAATGAATTACATTGTTTACTAGTTTGTTATTCTGGTTTTTTTTGGAATGATAAGAAAATATGATTTTTTTTCTTGTTTTCAATAAATTTACCTAAAAGTTGTCTTTTTTTCTTCTTTTTTACTGGGCAGTATCTCCTGGAAATCTATTATTAGTTCACAGAGGATTTTCCTCATTCTTTTTAGGTGCGTGGTACTCTTGTGTGTGTATTTTCCATATTTTATGCAACCAATCCCCTTTGCTTGGACATACAGGTGGTTTCCAATATTTTGCAGTTATAATTAATGCTTTAATGTATGTGGTCATGTATTTTGATGTTATTGAAGTTGTATCTTTTTTAGGGTGAATTCCTAGATGTGAGTTTACTGATTTGAAGAGTAAATGTACGTGTAGTTTTTTTAGATATTGCCAAATTGTCCTCCATAGGGGCTATTCCATTTTGCATTTCCTTCCAACAATGTATGAGTGTGCCCATTTGCCCACAGTGTTGCCAGCAAAGTATATTGAAACTTTTTGAGTTTTTTGGTCTGATTTGTTATTTTTTTCTGATAAGTGATAAATGCTAACTCAGTAAAGTTTTAATTTGCATTTATTATGAGTGAAATTAAACATCTTTTCATTTGCTTTAAATCCATTCGTATACTGTATCCTTTTTGTGAATTATCTGTTGATGTCTACTGCCTATTTAACATACGATTTTTGATCATTTTCCCTCAATTTTAAAGTTTAAAAAGTGAATTGGGGATATTAGCCCATTAGCTATTATATATGATGCAAATATTTATTCCCAGTTTTTTGTCTTTCAGCTTTGCTTATGGTATTTTTAATCATGCAAAAGTTTGAGACAGTGTCTCATTCTGTTGCTCAGGCTGGAGTGCAGTGGTATGATCTTGGCTCACTGCAGCCTCTACTTCCCAGAATCAAGCTATCCTCCCACCTCAGCCTCTTGAGTAGCTGGGACTACATGTATGCACTACCACATCTGGCTAATTTTGTTTGTTTTTGTAGAGATGGGGTCTTACTATGTTGTCCAGGCTGGTCTTCAAATTCTGGGCTCAAGTGATCCTCTTGCCTTGGCCTCCCAAAGTGCTGGGATTACAGGAGTGAGCCATCGTGCCCGGCCAAAAGTTTTAATCTTTTTAAATGTTGTCAAGTTTATCAGTCTTTTCTTTTATTGCCTCTGAATTTTGAGTCATGATTAGAAAGGCTTTTTCTACTCCAGAGTTAAAGGAGAATACACTCATGTTTTCTTCATGTACTTGTATATTTTCCTTTTCTGCATTTGGACCTCTGATCCATTTGAGATTTTTTCTTTTCTCCGCTTTAAGGAATGAATCTAATTTTATATTTTTTCTAGATGGCTGTCTAGTTGTACCAACACCATTTACTGCACATGACTACATTTGTTCCAGTGTTTTGATATATCACCTTTATTATATGCTTGATCTTTATAAATAGTTGAGTCTGTTTCTGAACTTTCTATTTCTTTGATCTATTTGTCCAGTCATATGACAATACTACACTGTTTTAGCTATGGAGGCGTGTAGTGTATTTTTATTTTTATTTTATTTATTTATTTATTTTATTGTACTTTAAGTTCTAGGGTACATGTGCACAACGTGTAGGTTTATTACATAGGTATACATGTGCCATGTTGGTTTGCTGTACCCATCAACTCACCATTTACATTAGGTATTTCTCCTAATGCTATCCCTCCCCCAGCCCCCAGCCCCCCAACAGGTCCCAGTGTGTGATATTCCCCTCCCTGTGTCCATGTGTTCTCGTTGTTCAACTCCCACTTATGAGTAAGAACATGCAGTATTTGGTTTTCTGTCCTTGTGATAGTTTGCTGAGAATGATGGTTTCCAGCTTCATCCATGTCCCCACAAAGGACATGAACTCATCCCTTTTTATGGCTGCATGTTATTCCATGGTATTTATGTGCAACATTCTCTTAATCCAGTCTATTGTTGATGGACATTTGGGTTGGTTCCAAGTCTTTGCTATTGTGAATAGTGCTGCAGTAAACGTAAGTGTGCATGTGTCTTTATAGTAGCATGATTTATAATCCTTTGGGTATATACCCAGTAATGAGATTGCTGGGTCAAATGGTATTACTAGTTCTAGATCCTTGAGGAATCGCCACACTGTCTTCCACAGTAGAGTTGAACTAATTTACACTCCCACCAACAGTGTAAAAGCATTCCTATTTCTCCCCATCCTCTTCAGCATCTATTGTTTCCTGACTTTTTAATGATCCCCATTCTAACTGATATGAGATGGTATCTCATTGTGGTTTTAATTTGTATTTCTCTGATGACCAGTGATGATGAGCATTTTTTTCATATGCCTGTTGGCTGCATAAGTATCTTCTTTTGAGAAGTGTCTGTTCATATCCTTTGCCCACTTTTTGATGGAGTTGTTTTTTTTCTTGTAAATTTGTTTGAGTTCTTTGTAGATTCTGGATATTAGCCCTTTGTCAGATGGGTAGATTGCAAACATTTTCTCCCATTGTGTAGGTTGCCTGTTCACTGTGATGATAGTTTCTTTTGCTGTGCAGAAGCTATTTAGTTTCATTAGATCCCATTTGTCTATTTTGGCTTTTGCTGCCATTGCTTTTGTTGTTTTATTCATGAGGTCTTTGCCCATGCCTATGTCCTGAATGGTATTGCCTAGGTTTTCTTCTAGGGTTTTTATGGTTTTAGGTCTTACATTTAAGTCTTTAATCCATCTTGAATTAATTTTTGTATAAGGTGTAAGGAAGGGATCCAGTTTCAGCTTTCTACATATGGCTAGCCAGTTTTCCCAGCACCATTTATTAAATAGGGAATCCTTTCCTCATTGCTAGTTTTTATCAGATTTGTCAAAGATCAGATGGCTGTAGATGTGTGGTATTATTTCTGAGGCCTCTGTTCTGTTCCATTGGTCTATATATCTATTTTGGTACCAGAACCATGCTGTTTTGGTTACTGTAGCCTTGTAGTATAGTTTGAAGTCAGGTAGCGTGATGCCTTCAGCTTTGTTCTATTTGCTTAGGATTGTCTTGGCTATGCGGGCTCTTTTTTGGTTCCATATTAACTTTAAAGTATTTTTTTCCAATTCTGTGAAGAAAGTCAATGGTAGCTTGATGGGGATGGCATTGAATCTATAAATTACCTTGGGCAGTATGGCCATTTTCACGATATTGATTCTTCCTATCTGTGAGCATGGAATGTTCTTCCATTTATTTGTGTCCTCTCTTGTTTTGCTGAGCAGTTGTTTGTAGTTCTCCTTGAGGAGGTCCTTCACATCCCTTGTAAGTTGGATTCCTAGGTATTTTATTCTCTTTGTAGCACCTGTGAATGGGGGTTCACTCATGATTTGCTCTCTCTTTGTCTGTTATTGGTGTATAGGAATGCTTGTGATTTTTGCACATTGATTTTGTATCCTGAGACTTTGCTGAAGTTGCTCATCGGCTTAAGGAGATTTTGGGCTGAGACGATGGGGTTTTCTAAACATACAATCATGTCATCTGCAAACACAGACAATTTGACTTCCTCTTTTCCTAATTGAGTGCTCTTTCTTTCCTTCTCTTGTCTGATTGTCCTGGCCAGAACTTCCAACACTATGTTGAATAGGAGTGGTGAGAGAGGGCATCCTTGTCTTGTGCCGGTTTTCAAAGGGAATGCTTCCAGTTTTTGCTCATTCAGTGTAATATTGGCTGTGGGTTTGTCATAAATAGCTCTTATTATTTTGAGATATGTTCCATCAATACCTAGTTTATTGAGAGTTTTTAGCATGAAGCGCTGTTGAGTATTGTCGAAGGCCTTTTCTGCATCTATTGAGATAATCATATGGCTTTTGTCATTGTTTCTATTTATGTGATGGATTACGTTTATTGATTTGCATATGTTGAATGAGCCTTGCATCCCAGGGATGAAGCCTACTTGATTGTGGTGGATAAGCTTTTTGATATGCTGCTGGATTCAGCTTGCCAGTATTTTATTGAGGATTTTTGCATCGATGTTCATCAGGGATATTGGCCTAAAATTCTTTTTTATTGTGTCTCTGCCAGGCTTTGGTATCAGGATGATGCTGGCCTCATAAAATGAGTTAGGGAGCATTCCCTCTTTTTCTGTTGATTGGAATAGTTTCAGAAGGAATGGTACCAGCTCCTCTTTGTACCTCTGTTAGAATTCGGGTGTGAATCTATCTGGTCCTAGACTTTTTTTGGTTGGTAAGCTATTAATTATTGTCTCAATTTCAGAACCTGTTAGTCTATTCAGAGATTCAGCTTCTTCCTGGTTTAGTCTTGGAAGGGTGTATGTGTCCAGGAATTTATCTATTTCTTCTAGATTTTCTAGTTTATTTTCGTAGAGGTGTTTAGAGTATTCTCTAATGGTAGTTTGTATTTCTGTGGGATCAGTGGTGATATCCCCTTTATTATTTTTTATTGCATCTATTTGATTCTTCTCTCATTTCTTCTTTATTAGTCTTGTTAGTGGTCTATTTGTTGATTTTTTCAAAAAACCAGCTCCTGGATTCACTGATTTTTTGAAGGGTTTTTCGTGTCTCTATCTCCTTCAGTTCTGCTCTGATCTTAGTTATTTCTTGTCTTCTGCTAGCTTTTGAATTTGTTTGCTCTTGCTTCTCTAGTTTTTTTTATTGTGATGTTAGGGTGTTGATTTTAGATCTTTCCTACTTCCTCCTGTGGGCATTTAGTGCTATAAATTTTCCTCTACACACTGCTTTAAATGGGCCCCAGAGATTCTGGTACATTGTGTCTTTGTTCTCATTGGTTTCAAAGAACATCTTTATTTCTTCCTTCATTTTGTTATTCAACCAGTAGTCATTCAGGTGCAGGATATTCAGTTACCATGTAATTGTGTGGTTTTCAGTGAGTTTCTTAATCCTGAGTTGTAATTTGATTGCACGGTGGTCTGAGAGACAGTTTGTTGTGATTTCTCTTCTTTTGCATTTGCTGAGGAGTGTTTTACCTCCAATTATGTGGTCAATTTTAGAATAAGTGCAATATGGTGCTGAGAAGAATGTATATTCTGTTGATTTGGGGTGGACAGTTCTGTATCTATTAGGTCGGCTTGGTCCAGAGCTAAGTTCAAGTCCTGGATATCCTTGTTAACCTTCTGTCTCGTTGATCTGTCTAATATTGACAGTGGGGTGTTAACATCTTCTATTATTATTGTGTGGGAGTCTAAGTCTCTTTGTAGGTCCCTAAGGACTTCCCTTATGAATCTGGGTGCTCCTGTATTGGGTGCATACATATTTAGGATAGTTAGCTCTTCTTGTTGAATTGATCCTTTTACCATTATGTAATGCCCTTCTTTGTCCTTTTTGATCTTTGTTGGTTTAAAGTCTGTTTTATCAGAGACTAGGATTGCAACCCCTGCTTTTTTTTTTGCTTTCCATTTGCTTGGTGGATCTTCTTCCATCCCTTTATTTTGAGCCTATGCGTGTCTTTGCACATGAGATGGGTCTCCTGAATACAGCACACTGATGAGTTTTGTCTCTTTATCCAATTTGCCAGTCTGTGTCTTTTAATTGGGGCATTTAGCCCATTTACATTTAAGGTTAATATTGTTATGTGTGAATTTGATCCTGTCATTATGATGTTAGCTGGTTATTTTGTCTGTTAATTGATGCACTTTCTTCCTAGCATTGAAGGTCTTTACAATTTGGTATGTTTTTGCAGTGGCTGGTACCGGTTGTTCCTTTCCATGTTTAGTGCTTCCTTCAGGAGCTCTTGTAAGGCAGGCCTGGTGGTGACAAAATCTCTCAGCATTTGCTTGTCTGTAAAGGATTTTATTTCTCCTTTGCGTATGAAGCTTAGTTTGGCTGGATATGAAATTCCTGATTGAAAATTCTTTTCTTTAAGAATGTTGAATATTGGCCCCTACTCTCTTCTGGCTTGTAGGGTTTCTGCCACGAGATCTGCTGTTAGTCTAATGGGCTTCCCTTTGTGGTAACCCTACCTTTCTCTCTGGCTGCCCTTAACGTTTTTTCCTTCATTTCAACCTTGGAGAATCTGACAATTAAGTGTATTGCGGTTGCTCTTCTCAAGGAGTATCTTTGTGGTGTTCTCTGCATTTTCTGAATTTGAATGTTTGCTTGCCTTGCTAGGTTGGGGAAGTTCTCCTAGATAATATCCTGGAGTGTTTTCTAACTTGGATCCATTCTCCCCGTCACTTTCAGGAACACCAATCAAACATAGATTTGGTCTTTTCACATAGTGCCATATTTCTTGGAGGCTTTGTTTATTTCTTTTCACTCTTTTTTCTCTAATTTTGTCTTCTCACTTTATATCATTCGTTTGATCTTCAATCACTGATATCCTTTCTTCCACTTGATCAAATTGGCTCTTGAAGCTTGTGCATGCGTCAAGAAGTTCTCGTGCTGTGTCTTTCTGCTCTATCAGGTCATTTAAGGTCTTCTCTACACTGTTTATTCTAGTTAGCCATCCATCTAACCTTTTTTCAAGGTTTATAGCTTCCTTGAGATGGGTTCGAACACCCTCCTTTAGCTTGGAGAAGTTCTTATTACCGACCTTCTGAAGCGTACTTCTGTCAACTCGTCAAACTCATTCTCCATCCAGTTTTGTTCCTTTGCTGGTGAGGAGCTGCGACCTTTTGGAGGAGAATAGGTGCTCTGGTTTTTAGAATTTTCAGCTTTTCTGCTCTGGTTTCTCCCCATCTTTGTGGTTTTATCTACCTTTGGTCTTTGAAGATGGTGACCTACAGATGGGGTTTTGGTGTGGATGTGCTTTTTGTTGATGTTGATGATATTCCTTTCTATTAGTTTTCCTTCTAACAGTTGAGACCCTCAGCTGCAGGTCTGTTGGAGTTTGCCGAAGGTCCACTACAGACACTGTTTGCCCGGGTATCACCAGCAGAGGCTGCAGAGCAGCAAATATTGCTGCCTGATCCTTCCTCTGGAAGCTTCATCCCAGAGGGGCATCTGCCTGTGAGGTGTCTGTCGGACCCTACTGGAAGGTGTCTACCATCAGGCTACATGGGGTTCAGGGACCCATTTGAGGAGGCTGTCTGTCCGTTCTCAGATTTCGAACGCCGTGCTGGGAGAACCACTGCTCTATTCAGGGCTGTCTGATAGGGACGTTTAGTTCTGCTGAAGCTGTCTGCTGCCTTTTGTTCTGATATGCTCTGCCCACAGAGGTGGAATCTACAGCAAGGCAGTAGACCTTGCTGAGCTGCGGTGGGCTCCGCCCAGTTCAAGCTTCCTGGCCTCTTTGTTTACAGTGTGAGGACAAAACTATCTACTCAAGCCTGAGCAATGTTGGACTCCCCTCCCACTGCCAAGCTGCAGCATCACAGGTCGATCTCAGACCACTGCACTAGCAGTGAGGAAGGTTCCGTGGGTGTGGGACCTGCTGAGTCAGGCACAGGAGGGAATTTTCTGGTCTGCCAGTTGCAAAGACTATGGGAAAAAAACAGTATTTTGGCAGGAGTGTACTGTTCCTCTAGGTACAGACTGTCTCAGCTTCCCTTGGCTAGGAAAGGGAAATCACCCGACCCCTTGTGCTTCCCGGGTGAGGCGGCACCCTGCCTTGCTTCGGCTTGCCCTCTGTGAGCTGCACCCACTGTCCAACCAGTCCCAATGAGATGAACCAGGTACCTCAGTTGGAAATGCAGAAATCACCTGTCTTCTGTGTTGATCTTGCTGGATGCTGCAGACTGGAGCTGTTCCTATTCAGCCATCTTGGAAGCCTCAAGAGCTGTGTAGTGTATTTTTAATATCCGATTGAACTTGTTTTCTTCAGAGCCCTTCCTTGTCATCAGTGTTTTCTTTTCTTTCTCTCTTTTTATTTTTTTTTTGAGATGGAATCTTGCTCTGTCACCCAGGCTAGAGTGCAGTGGCACAATCTTGGCTCACTGCAACCCCCACCTCCTGGGTTCAAGTGATTCTCCTGCCTCAGCCTCCCAAGTAGCTGGGACTACAGGCATGCACCACCATGCCCAGCTAATTTTTGTACTTTTAGTAGAGATGGGGTTTCACCAAGTTGGCCGGGCTGGTCTCATACTCCTGACCTCAAGCAATCCACCTGCCTTGACCTCCTGAAGTGCTGGGATTACAGGCATGAGCCACTGTGCCCAGCCCCTTGTCAGTGTTTTCTTAACTCTTCAGTGTGTTTATTTTTCCATGTGAACTTAAGCATTATCTCTTATCTGAAATTTAATTATTTTCTTGTTATTATTTATTTATTTATTTTTTTTTTGAGACAAAGTCTCACTCCATCACCCAGGCTGGAGTGCAGTGGTGTAATCTCAGCTCACCGCAGCCTCTGCTTCCCAGGCTCAAATGATCCTCCCTCCTCAGCCTCCTGAATAGCTGGGACCACAGGTACATGCAACCACACCTGGCTATTTTTTTTGTATTTTTGGTAGAGACAGGGTTTCGTCATGTTTCCCAGGCTGGTCTTGAATTCCTGAGCTCAGGAGATTCACCCACCTCAGCCTCCCGAAGTGTTGGGATTACAGGTGTGAGCCACTGTACCCAGCGTTGACATTTAATTCTTGATTGTATTCATTCCTGCAGGTGTTCTGGGACTCAGTGTTAGAAGCTGTCTGTCTGTAAGAATCTTGCTGTCTCTGCCTCATGAAAACAATTGCAGTGATGAGAACCAGTTACTAATGGCATACATCACACATTTCAGGTATTTTGGGCATTAGCACACTAAATCTTAACGTTGGCTGTAGATTAGAATCACCTGAAAAGCTTTTAAGACTTATCAATGCTGGCCAGGCATGGTGGCTCATGCCTGTAATCCCAGCACTTTGGGAGGCCCAAGGTGGGTGGATTGCTTGAGCCTCGGACTTCAAGACCAGCCTGGGCAACATGGCAAAACGCTTTCTCTAAAAAAGAAAAAAAGAAAAGAAAAGAAAAGTAAAAAAGAGACTTAGTGCTGGGCATCCCTGAATTAAATCAGAATCTCTGAGGGTGAGGCCTTGGCAATGACATTTTTAAAAAGCTCTCCAAGTGATTCTAATGTGCAGCTGGGATTAAAATTTGTGGTTTCAGAGATGTAACCAGGAAAATCCTCGTTTAACTTTAATGAAGTTTGCCAGGACCCAGGAAATTTTATGTAATGAGTTGTGGTACAGGCATACAGCCAGAAATACTAGTCCTAGAAGAGAGTGAAGGTGACTGAGAGCTAGTGGAAAGTGACAGAATGGTGATATTTGGAATGGAAAATTGTGAGAAAGAGAAGATGCTGACTACCAGGATGGCCTAGGAATTCTCAGAGTGGACATAGAGCATAAACTTCATGTTACTATCTATGTCAAATAGCATGCTCTATTAATTATAGTTGAAATCACTGAGGGTAGAAATGTTTTTGTCAAACTTCAGAGATACCCAGGAGTGCTAAAAAGTGGTTTTGCATGTATGTGGGGAGAGGGCAAAGATATTTCCTCAAATAGTAACTTAAGAGAATTCAACTGAAGTTACATGAACCAGGAGCTACTCTCTGGATAGAAGAAACTATTTGTTTGTGAGGGGTGTGGGTGTGGTGTCTTCCAGTTCTCTTCTGGAACATTTTCACAGCACACTAGGTTATCATCATTGGAAAGTCCACACTATTTGACCAGGTAACAGCAGTCATTTTGTACTTGGTTTTAGCTGAAAGACTGAGAAGTGATACAATAATCATTCTAATTTTCATGCTGCACACTTGTGTTTTGTCAGTTACCTGTCTTTGAAGAGTAGTTTTTGTACTTTTACCTACAGTTTCACCAGTTATAGCTGAGATATATTCAAGAACTAGAAGGAAGGAATGAGAATGTTTTAATTTTTTTTTTTTTGGGGGGGGGTCAGGGTGTCACTTTTCCACCCAGGCTGGAGTGCAGTCGCATGGTCATAGTTCACTGTAACCTCGATCTCTTGAGCTCATGATCCTCCCACCTCAGTCTCCCGAGTAGATGGGAGTGCAAGCATGCCCCACTGTGCCTAGCTTTTTTTTTTTTGTAAAGATGAGGTCTCACTATTTTGCCCAAGCTGGTCTCTAACTCCTGGCCTCACATGATCCTCCTGCCTTGGCCTCCCAAATTGCTGGGATTACAGGCATGAGCCATGGCACCTGGCCTGAATTAAAATATATTGTGTGTGTGTGTATGTATGTAGGTATGTATGTGTGCATATATATATATATATATATATATCAGACCAGCTCCCAGGAACATGCTTCTCATTATAAGTCTTTTGCAGGTTATGTCAACCGCATTGTCCAAAGATTAATTATAAAACCAGTCTCTCTAACTGCATCTTTCTTTGAAGCCCATCTTCTGGGTGAGCAGGTGGTTGAGCTGTCCCTCGCCTTTGAATCAGGAAGTTAGCATCAAAAATGGTATGTTGCTTTTCCTTCCTTTTATTTTATTCAGTCTTGGCATGGTGTGTCACCTAATTAACAAAACAAATGTAATTTTATGTGACTTTACCTCTTTTCATGGCTCATTATTTTCCTCCAATGTAAGAAATTGATGTTCACATCATTTCTTATCCTCCCTCCATCTAAAAGGAAATGTCCAATTTGGAAGACATTTTCTTTAGTCTTCTATGAAAGCCCTCTCATGACCTTTCTGCTTGCAAACAAAAGAATCATTTCCTGATCAGCACCAGCAGTCAGCTCCTTTACAATGGAACCCATTTAAGGTCAGTGCTGGCCTATAATAGAACTACTTAAATAAGTGTAACTTCAAAGAAAAATGGAAATAATGTGTAATATTGAGATGTGATAACATCTTAGAGAAAATAGTTCGTTTTTCTGCTATTTTTAAAGTAGTAGCCAATGGTGTGAAGCGGTTTCTAAAGAAAGCTCACACCACATCCCACCACCAGAAAGCTCCTCCACAACGTGGGCTGGATCCAATTCAGTTCCCAATATGGCGTTTCAGGAGAGATTGTCATGGATTAGAGGAAGGTATTCAAGATGATAAAGGGCCTAGAAAAAATATCTTGTTGGGAGTGTTTAAAAAAAAAAACTTTAGACAAATTAAATTGAACAGATTTTAACTGAGTGAAGAACGATTTGTAAATTGAGTAGCTACCCCCCACCTCCCAACCCGAATAGGTTCGGAGTTACTCAGGCATTGCCAGGAGTTCAAAAGGATATACGCAC
The DNA here is from genome assembly GCF_000001405.40 of Homo sapiens. Classification (NCBI taxonomy): domain Eukaryota; kingdom Metazoa; phylum Chordata; class Mammalia; order Primates; family Hominidae; genus Homo; species Homo sapiens. The sequence continues at coordinate 47,904,557 of NC_000013.11, read as the reverse complement.
AGATAAAGGAAAATGATGTACAGAAAATCGAAGTGAGGTACAGAAAACGGAAGTGAGGTACAGAAGACGGAAGTGAGGTACAGAAAACGGAAGTGAGGTACGGAAACTGCTGGGTTGCTTACAGCTCGCGTTTGCCTTCTTAGCACGGTTTGAGAGGTTGGCTGCCTGTGAGTGGTCAAAGTCTGGCTGCTGGGATTAGCTGAGACTTAGCTACTTGTTCCAAGAGCAGGTTCCGGTCTGTTTCCACATCCAGTCAGGTTTCAGTTCACTATGTACCCAGAAACCTTGAGGCTGAACTTAAAATATGCGAGGAAGCAGCTTTAGGTGAAACAACGTAGCAGGAGTATAGCAAAAGTTCAGTCTGATATAAAGGAGATAGGACAGACGGATGCCTGTGGCCATTGTCCATCTTTGAGAGGGTATTTAAAGGCTGGCTTGTTCTGTTTTGCTTCTGAGACATACTAAGTACCGATCGGTAGAAAGTGAAAGCAAATGATGGCAAGGACACCTCATAAATTAGTGAGTCACTCCCCATCATTTGAGAGTATTAAGCAAGAGGGTCAACGATTATTTGTAGGACTATTTTAGTCCTACAAATTTTAAAGGCATTTCCTGTGCTGGGTGGATTTTTATGATTCTTATATGAGCATGCTCCGTTTTTCATGATGCTAAAGAGGAAATACTTGCTTTGTTAATTTAAAATGGATTAATTTAAACAATTCTTGGCTGGGCGCAGTGGCTTACGCCTGTAATCCCAGGACTTTGGGAGGTCGAGGCGGGCGGATCACAAGGTCAGGAGATCGAGACCATCCTGGCTAACATGGTGAAACCCCCTCTCTACTAAAAATACAAAAAATTAGCCGGGCGTGGTGGCAGGCGCCTGTAGTCCCAGCTATTCAGGAGATTGAGGCAGGAGAATGGCGGGAACCTGGGAGGCGGAGCTTGCAGTGAGCAGAGATCATGCCACTGCACTCTAGCCTGGGTGACAGAGCGAGACTCTGTCTCAAAAAAAAAAAAAAAAAAAAAAAAAAAAATCCTTGAGTCTTTTCACATCATAAAATGTGCACTAAAATTTTAGGTTGCAGAGAAATTTTTAATCTACCTGAGAAACAGTTTTTCAATATAAAATGTTAAGTATATGTGAGTTGTTGCTTATAAATATTCACAAACAAAATGCTGCTCTACTCTGAATATTAGACACACATGCACTAATTTCCAGCAAGCACTGTAGATGGAGCAATTTCTATGGCCTTCTTCATTCAGCTTCAGAGAATGGGAATTATTACAGATCCTGTTGTAAGTGAGAAGTCCTGAGAATCCTAAGCCAAGATATATCAAATTGATAAACTTCAAGAGTTTGGCCCTTTCTCTTAACAAGACACTTTCTCACCATTTCAACATGCTGTGTTCAAAGTCAGTATCTGTTGTCTTTGTTTTCTGAAATACCATCTTGATATGGGTGACATGAAGCCAACTTATTCAAGGTGTTAAATCAGACCTAGAAAGAAGTGTCTGAGATAGTCTAGGATTTCCTAAAATAAAAAATTGTTCTCTTTACTCTATAAAAAGAGAAAAAGGAAAACTTCCACCTGTCTTTTTGACAACTAGAACTCTCCTCCCCATGTAGTCTGATAAGCTTTTCAGCCTCTTCAGAACTTTCTTATTTATAACTTATCGCTGATAAGTGTCCACACTTACTGCTTATCATTCAACAAATCCAAACATCCCAGGGACAAAGTTTACTGTTATCTGCTTCATAGGGAGGATTTAGTTTGGGTACCTGCAGTATGTTACAGTCTTGGCCTCTCACTTTTCTTGTGACAAACACTAAAGATAATTTATATCCATTTTTTTTAAAAACACGTTTTTGAAAGCATGTGATGCCCTGGTGAAATGCCATAAGTTGGCAGGCTTCATAGCATAAGAAAACCTCCTCTTCAGCAAAACAATTAATTATACTCAAAGCACCCTCAGTCCTCCCATGACTGTTTTGATGTTCAAAATAAGGTTAGGACTATTTAGCATTTAGGTGTGTCAGGCACTGTACTAGGTGCTGCACAGATTCTTTCTTGCTTAATCTTCTCAGTGACACCAAGAAGTAGGTGTTACTGTCCTTACTTTGCAGATGAGGGAACAAAGGCTTGGGAAAGTCAAGCAGCTTGCCCATGATCACACAACTGATAAATGATAGAGCTAGTCCCTGTTTCTCCAAGGCTGATGTTTTCCCCACTGTCAAAAGATTTGTTAAGGTAGGCCATGTGATGGATGCCCATAAGATTGTTGTCTGCCCTCCCTTTCCTGCTGGTTCCTTCTTCCCCAGTCCATTCCCACAATTGTGGTAGGAGTTGCCATGTTTCTACAGAACCTGGACTTCCTGCCACATTTGTCTGGTCTGGGGCATTTGATCCAACTGGGGCCAATCAGTCATTTCCCTGAGATTTTAGGCTGGGGAGTAAGAGCTGGAGATAGGCTTCTTGTTGGGTGCATGACTGAGAGTGTAGAAATCCTGGGAGCAGTGGTGGCCAGGTCCCACCACATAGATGGAGAAGCAGAGGAGGCTGGTTTGTAGTAACAGGGAAGAATAGAGCAGACATAGAGGGAGAGACAGATGGGGTGTTGCAGAGAGATGCCTCCAGGTTCTCTACAGGGCTCCAGCCATGGTTCCATTCCTGAGGCTGGCTGCATCCCTGTCTTTGAAGTTTGTGAGAAACGCTGGATCTTTCCAGTGAATTCCTCTGTTCAGTTAACCTGGTTCAAATTAGGTTTTCACTGTAACCAAGAGCCCTAACTATGAGTAACACAGGATTCATTGAAAAGACTCTGGGGGCAATTCACGAAAGGGAAATAAAAGTGTCACAAGTGTGGGAAAGGCTGTGGGCAGGTGGCCTGGAGGCCACAGCTACAGGAGCTTCTGGCCCTTGTGCCCTGACTTAGTTCTGACCCCTTCCACATATGTGAGTCAGCACTGGAGCTTTACACTCTCAAGGAAGAGAATGATAAGCCCCTGCTGGGGCACTGTTCATTCCTGTGGTGATTTCTTTACAAGGGAGAAAATCTACTGGCTGACAAAGTCAGAAGCCATTTCACGCCTGGACCTGATTTGCGCTCTTCTGATTTCCCTCACATCAGTGTATTGATGGCTTGGTTGCCTGGGGAAAGAGAGGAATTTCTGTTTCTGAAGTTTTGATTAATCTCTCTCTCTTTTTTTTTTAATTACACTTTAAGTTCTGGGGTACATGTGCCGAACATGCAGGTTTGTTACATAGGTATACATGTGCCATGGTGGTTTGCTGCACCCATCAACCCATCACCTACATTAGGTATTTCTCCTAATGTTAACCCTCCCCTAGCCCCGCACCCCCAAACAGGCCCTGGTGTGTGATGTTTCCCTCCCTGTGTCCAAGTGTTCTCATTGTTCAACTACCACTTATGAGTGAGAACATGTGGTGTTTGGTTTTCTGTCCTTGTGATATTTGCTGAGAATGATGTTTTCCAGCTTCATCCATGTCCCTGCAAAGGACAAGAACTCATCCTTTTTTATGGCTGCATAGTTTTCCATGGTGTATATGTGCCACATTTTCTTTATCCAGTCTATTATTGTGGACATTTAGGTTGGTTCCAAGTCTTTGCTATTGTGAATAGTGCTGCAATAAACATGCGTGTGCATGTCTTTTTATAATTGAATGATTTATAATCCTTTGGGTATATACCCAGTAATGAGATTGCTGGGTCAAATGGTATTTCTAGTTCTAGATCCTTGAGGAATCGCCACACTGTCTTCCACAATGGTTGAACTAATTTACACTCCCACCAACAGTGTAAAAGCGTTCCTATTTCTCCACATCCTCTCCAGCATCTATTGTTTCCTGACTTTTTAATGATCGCCATTCTAACTGGCATGAGATGGTGTCTCATTGTGGTTTTGATTTGCATTTCTCTAGTGACCAGTAATGATGAGCTTTTTTTTCATATGTCTATTGGCTGCATAAATGTCTTCTTTTGAGAAGTGTCTGTTCATATCCTTTGCCCACTTTTTGAGGGGTTGTTTTTTTCTTGTAAATTTGTTTAAGTTCTTTGTAGATTCTGGATATTAGCCCTTTGTCAGATGGGTAGATTGCAAAAATTTTCTCCCATTCTGTAGGTTGCCTGTTCACTCTGATAATAGTTTCTTTTGCTGTGCAGAAGGTCTTTCATTTAATTAGATCCCATTTGTCAATTTTGGCTTTTGTTGCCATTGCTTTTGTTGTTTTAGACATGAAGTCTTTACCCATGCCTACATCCTGAGTGGTATTGCCCAGGTTTTCTTCTAGGATTTTTATGGTCCTGGGTCTTATGTTTAAGTCTTTGATCCATCTTGAGTTGATTTTTGTATAAGATTTAAGGAAGGGGTCCAGTTTCAGTTTTCTGCATATGGCTAGCCAGTTTTCCCAACACCATTTATTAAATAGGGAATCTTTTCCCCATTGCTTGTTTTTGTCAGATTTGTCAAAGATCAGATGGTTGTAGATGTGTGGTGTTATTTCTGAGGCCTCTGTTCTGTTCCATTGGTCTATATATCTATTTTGGTATCAGTACCATTCTGTTTTGTTTACTGTAGCCTTGTAGTATAGTTTGAAGTCAGGTAGCGTGATGCCTTCAGCTTTGTTCTTCTTGCCCAGGATTGTCTTGGCTATGTGGGCTCTTTTTTGGTTCCATATGAACTTTAAAGTAGTTTTTTTCCAATTTTGTGAAGACAGTCATTGGTAGCTTGATGGGGGATAGCACTGAATCTATAAATTACTTTGGGCAGTTTGGCCATTTTCATGATATTGATTCTTCTTATCCATGAGCCTGGAATGTTTTTCCATTTGTTTGTGTCCTCTCTTATTTCCTTGAGCAGTGGTTTGTAATTCTCTTTGAAGAGGTCTGTCACTTCCCTTGTAAGTTGTATTCCTAGGTATTTTATTCTCTTTGTAGCAATTGTGAATGGGAGTTCACTCATGATTTGGCTGTCTGTTTGTCTGTTATTGGTGTGTAGGGATGCTTGTGATTTTTGCACATTGATTTTGTATCCTGAGACTTTGCTGAAGTTGCTCATCAGCTTAAGGAGATTTTGGGCTGAGACGATGGGGTTTTCTAAATATACAATCATGTCATCTGTAAACAGAGACAATTTGACTTCCTCTCCTCCTATTTGAATACCCTTTATTTCTTTCTCTTGTCTGATTGCCCTGGCCGGAACTTCCAATATGTTGAACTGGAGTGGTGAGAGAGGGCATCCTTGTCTTGCTGATTAATCTCTTACTAAGAAATACAGTGTCCAGAGCAGAGGAACCTGGACAATTTGCTCCCCCACACCCCTTGATGCCATTCAATCTCTCTGTCCTGGATAGATCCTCTTTAGCTTCCTGACTACTACTTACCAGCAGCATGACCTTGAGCAAGGCATGTCATTATTCTGTAAAATGGAAATATTACTAGCACCTACCTTATAAAATTGTTGCAGGCACGAAATGAGGTCGTGTTCATAAAATGCTTTGTCTAGAGCCTGGCACCTAGAAAGTGATTAACAGCTGGTAGCAATTATTATGTTTACTTGCAGATATTTTGATTATGAGCTCTGAATTCTGAGCTATCTTAAATACTGAGCACTGAAGCCTGATAGCTCTGACCTGAGCAACCTAATTGGAATCTCCCTTACTCATCACTGTTTTAACACTGACGTCTTGAGCTCCCATAGCCCATGCTTTCAAATTTTTTAAAAGAATGTAGGCCGGACACAGTGGCTCACGCCTGTAATCCCAGCACTTTGGGAGGCAAAGGCGGGCAGATCACGAGGTCAGGAGATCGAGACCATCCTGGCTAACGCGGTGAAACCCCGTCTCTACTAAAAATACAAAAAATTAGCCGGGAGTGGTGGCACGCGCCTGTAGTCCCAAGCTACTCGGGAGGCTGAGGCAGGAGAATGTTGTGAACCTGGGAGGCAGAGCTTGCAGTGAGCCGAGATTGCGCCACTGCACTCCAGACTGGGAGACAGAGCGAGACTCCGTCTCAACAACAACAAAGAAAGAATGTAATATACCTACAGATAAACACCATCTTTTTTTTTTTTCAACTTTTATTTTAAGTTCTGGGGTACGGGAGCTTAATGTGCAGGTTTGTTACATAGGTAAACGAACACACATCTTTTAAAATTTTACCTATGTATATACCCCTGTAATCACCATTAGGACAAATATCTAGGACACTTCCAGCATCGCAGAAAGTTCTTTTATGTCCCTTCCCAGTCAATACTCACCCTCTTCCCCAGAGATAACCCCTAGTCTGACCTCTTTCACCACAGATTTGTGTTTCTGGTTCTTGAACTTAATGGAATTATACAGTAGGTACTTTTGGTGTCTAGCTTCTTTTACTCAATGTTATGTCTATCCATATTGTTGAATATAAAAGGGGTTTATTCTTTTTGTTGTTATGTAATAAAATATGAACCTGCCACAGTTTGTTTGCCCATTGTACTGTGGATGTACATTTGGATAGTGTCTAGTTTTTGTCTATGATGAGCACATGTCTTCTGAAAGAGACATACACTCAGTTTCTTGGGCATATGCTCTGCAGTAGAATTGCTGGGTCATAGGGTAGGCACATATTTAGTTTTAGTAGATTTGATCAGATAGTTTCCCTGAGTCTCATTTGAACCTTGAACTTGAAGCCTTTGCCTTGGTGAGCTTCAGGTTCCCCAGCTTACTCATAATGCAGTACTTCTGAGCCCAGAGACTGGGGAGAGGATATGTGGGAAATAACTGGGAGCTAAGTGGCAGCTTAGCTGGAAGGTCTCTAGTACCTTGCAGGAATTTCAGGAGCAACCCCAGCCACCACTATCAGACATCAAAGATCAGACAGGATAAGGCAGGTGGCCCCTTCACTTTGTGAGAAAGCCAGAGCCCAGAGAAGCCACAAATTCCATCTAGGACAGGCCAGGAAAGAGGTGGTATGGCTGCATTCCAGGCTCAGCGTGGGAAGCGATGAATCAACAGAACTTGCTATGATTCTGGATCCACATGCAGGGAAGTAAGTACCTGGTTTCAGCAGTAAGTTCTACAAGAGAGGATTCCTACTTGACACTGGGAAGGCAGGTCCCAGCTGACCTGATTCATCCTCACCTTAGAAACTGCAACAGAAAATTAGTTACTGTCACCTACACCATGGGCTTCTTTCCAACATTTTTCCAAAAATGATGCTTTGATTCTGAGGGTGACATCTCTGCCTAACTTGAGAATGGACATTTGTTCTGATACTTAGTTTTCACAGTTATCATAATTTCTTTTTTGAACAAGATATTTTAACTCTTTTCACTGCACATATTTATTTTCCCAACTGTTCTCATTTGCCAAACTAAAGCTTTAAAAAGTATCTCAGAATTTGTAATGGCTAACACTTTTAAAAATGAATTTGGTTTTATAAGTCAAGCTGACACAACACAATTTTTCGGACAAATTAAGTCCCCAACTTTGCTGTTGCCTGAATAATTTGTGCCCCAAGTTACAGAGCTATTGACATCATTCTCCTTTGGACCATCACCCAAAAAACAGAGTGTTTCTATTCTAGTTCTCCTCCTTCAGGGCAAGACACATGTCACTTTTTCCAGACAAATTGACACCCAGGCAAATTTCAAACATTGTTGTATAACTACTTTAGAATCAGAGACTTCAAACCTTTGACTAGTAATATGTAAAAAAAAAAATTTTTCAGTACTGTGCCAGAGAGCACTGTTCACATTTACTATTGCAGAATGCCTCGGTTCAAACCTTGTATTTGCCATCTGCTAGCTCCGGACCTTGGGCAAGTCTCCAAACAGGGATTTCCCCATCTGTGAAAGTCAGGATACTAGAAAGGTCTTCCCAAGGTGCTGTTGTGAGGTAACAAGTAACTGTTGTTTTTTTTTTGATATTCACAAAAATATATGTGTATTAAATTGAAATTATTTTAGAAAGTTATGTGATTTATATAATACCACTTATGTCAATTTAGGGTTTATTAGACACTGACAAATACTAAGAACCTACTGTGTCAGGAACTGTTCTAGGCAAGCAATAGAAGCCTTCCCTGTTAAAGCAGAAAGGAAATTGATGAGAAAGTATGGAGTAACTTATGGAATCTCCAGAAGGACCAGGCTCAGAGGCTGCAGAACGAGTCCTATGGAGATGAGTCGCCCTTGCCATCAGGAGCAGGTCCTGCTGACACCACGCACACTGTGGATGGGCCACGCTGGCTGCTGCTGCAGGGGCTTCTGTTGCAGGCACCTCCTGGAGCTGCATGGAGTGGCTGCTGTTCTGCCGCATGTCATCTGAAGGGAAGTCCCTGCTTCTCTGCTTCAGAGCTGTGGCAGATGTGTCTGATGGGCAGAGCCCAGGCCACATATCCTGGCCCCAACCACAGGGAATCCTGAGAAAGTGAGGAGCTGCCTTTCTTGCTTTATAGCGAGAGGTAGGTTTAACCTTCTGTATGAGTTTGCTAAGGCTGTCATAGCAAAGCACCACACACTGAGTGGCTTAACTAGCAGAACTTCCTGCCTCACGGGTCTGGAAAGTCCAAGTCCAAGATTAACGTGACGGCAGGGCCGTGCTTCCTCTGAAGGAACTGGAAAAGGATCTGTGCCAGGCTTCTCTCCAGTTTTTGGTAGTTCCCTGGCTGTGGCAGCACAACGCCAGCCTTCATGTATTCTCCCTGTGGATATGATTGTCTCCAAATTTTCCTTTTTATAAGGACACCAGTCCCATGGGATTAGGGGCCTACCCTACTCCACTACGAACTTATCTTGACTAATTAGTCACCCTATTTCCAGATCAAGTAACATTCTGAGATATGGGCATTAATATATGATTTTTGAGGGGACATAAATTCAACTCATAATACCTCCTATGGGTGGGAGACTTTTCTTTTTAATGTTTTCAGTTTTTCTTGAGAACGAGTCTCGCTCTTTCACCCAGGCTGGAGTGCAGTGGCACGATCTTCTCTCACTGCAACCGTTGCCTCCCAGGTTCAAGTGATTCTCCTGCGTCAGCCTCCTGAGTAGCTGGGATTACAGGCAAGCACCACCACGCCTGGCTATTTTTTGTATTTTTTAGTAGAGATGGCCAGGTTGGTCTCAAACACCTGATCTCATGTGATCCACCCACCTCAGCCTCCCAAAGTGTTGGAATTACAGGCACCGTACACGGCCAGGAGACTCTTTAAATGCAGAAAAAAGTAAAAAAGAATGAGAAATATCAAGTATAAATTCAGAAAATTGTATTTCCAATCTGTGATGCTTTAACAGCTTATTGTTGATAATACAGTCTTATGTGGCTATTAAAATTATTTTAAATAATTTAAAAATTATTTTCTATTAATTATTTTCTAAAAATTATTTTCTATGAATATTAACCAGAATGAATTGAAGAAACTGAAGCCATTACACTTTTACAGCTGGAAAGAACCTTGGCAATTCACCTGATATTTGCTTTCTTCCAGTGAAAAAATACAGTGGTCCAGAGGAGTTATGTGACTTGCTTAAAGTCACACAGCAAAGATAGAGCCAGATCTTGAACTCTGTCCAGAGGTTTTCCTGCTCATGGTTCCTTTCAAAATTGGGTTTCTTTTAGGTCCAAACACCAGCATCATATTAATGCAAATCTCAGGCTCTGATTCTCTGTGAGGATTGTTCTTAGAGACTCAACACCCACCTGCTGTACCCTTAGCTGACGGGCTGCAATTTGGTCTTGGGTTGCTCTGATTCAACACAGTCCTGGCCCTGATTGTGGGGCAAGAATGACTTATGGGAGGTGCAGAGCCCATTCCTGGAAGCAACTGCCAGCTTTTTTTGAGAAAGAAGAGGAGAGGGCCCTGGAAGGATAAACCCACTGGCTTTCTCTGCTGGGAAAGGATATAGAAAGAATTTCAAAAGGAATATTTAGAAAATAAAATATTTGTGCTATGCTATCCTGCTAGGACCATGCTCTAGAATCAAGTTTAGATCTTTGCCACTTGAAAAATAAGGACTCTGGGCTCTCCTGATGGAAGGTTTTCTTCCTGAGATGTCTGGGAATGCTTAGCTTCCCAGTGGGTGGATTTGTGGGACTTTGATTCTTAAGGCATTAAGGTAGAATATTTAGTCTCTGCTTTTCTATTTTAACATTGTTGATGTCTTAAAGATTCGTGATAGTGAAATGGCTTCTAAAGATGTTCATCCCTGGGTATTAATGATAAAAATATACCAATTGCCAGACCTTTCTTTCCTTTTTGCCATTTCTCTGTTTTCCCTGTCCCCCTGTTTTGTTATATTTTTATCCAAAGACAGAGCTTAGGTTTGAGTTTTCCCATCTCCCTACTTTTCTGAGCATATCCAAGAATATTATCTAAGTGTTGTGCCACCTGTTCTTTTCCATTCTGCTGATTATGGCCCTAGTGAAGGAGGTTGTTCTGATGACAAACTCTGGAAAGTTTTTATAGTTCTTGTTCCTTTCTCAATTGTCTCCTTTTGAGTTGGAGAATTTCTCACATTGAACAGCCACAGCTTCTCCTCTGTAAGAATGGCCAGTCCACACATGTGGATTTCTATACTTTACTTTTCTTCCTTGTCACGCTTGATTGTCTCACCTCTGGGAGAGACTGAGGCAGTCCTGATGGGGGTGAATCCATCAGTTATTTGAGACTCAGGTCACATGGAAAAGAGGGAGAGGTTTTGTTTATTTAGCTAAAGTGAGATTTTTGAAGAACCTGTTCTTTCTTCCCCCTGTCTGAATCCTCATGACCTTGGAGAATTAGATGTGTTTGCCAGTGCCTCTCATTGTGACTGGCATTCGATCAATGTTTGTTATATTAAATTGCATCTTATTAGTCATGGCACAGAGTTTTGGGTGAATTGGCTGAACATCAAAATAACCAGAGAGCATTTTGTGGCTTCCTATTGAGGAAGTCTTTTTCCTAGAGACTTTAAGTTTTTAACAATTGATCTGTTACCATATAGTCTGCTAGGGCTGCTGTCACAGACTAGGTAGCTTAAAAAACAGAAATTAATTTTTTCCCAGTTCTGGAGGCTGGAACTTTAAGATCAAGGTGTGAGCAGAGTTGTTTCTCCTGAGGCCCCTCTCCTTGGCCTGCAGATGGCTGCTGCCTCACATGTCCTCACACGGTCTTTCCTCTGTGTGCATGCATCACTGGTGTTTCTCTTTTTGTATACAGATTTTTTCTTCTTATAAGGGTACTGGTCAAACTGGATTAGAGCCCACCCACATGACCTCATGCTGGTAATGCTCATATCCAAATAATATCACACCTTGAGGTACTGGTGGCAAGGGCTTTAACAAATTAATTTTAGGGTGACATGATTCAGCCCGTAACACTGTATTATTCTCTGTACCTGGAATAGATACTAAGTCAAGGACTGGAGTGGAGTTCAGATGCCTGGTCCTCCTCACTCACTTTACAGATGAGGAACCTGAATTTAAGAGGGAGAATGGAAACTTTTTTTTTGAGATAGAGTCTCGCTCTGTTGCCCATGCTGGAGTGCAATGGCATGATCTTGGCTCACTGCAACCTCTGCCTCCCAGGTTCAGGTGATTCTCCCTACCTCAGCCTCCCAAGTAGCTGGGATTACAGGTGCCCACCACCACGCCCCACTAATTTTTGTATTTTTAGTAGAGACGGGGTTTCCTCATTTGGCCAGGCTAGTCTTGAACTCCTGACCTCAGGTGATCCACCCGCCTCGGCTTCCCAAAGTGCTGGGATTACAGGTGTGAGCCACTACGCCTGGCCAGAAACTCTTTAATGTTCATATTTTTAAAATCTGGGCTAAAAGAAAATAGAGAATCCCAACTTTCTTCCACCACAAGGCCAACGTCTTTTAACTCTGGTCTGGGCTGAAGTTACTACCTACCCTTCTCTGTGCAGGTACAGAAGACAGTCAGCCAGAACCTTCCACAGGTTAGCAGCCGTGTCCCAGAGGCAGGAGGGCAGTGGTGCCCGTCTCCTTTCTTTGTGAAGAGGGCTCCTCCCAGCTCCAGGTGAAGCCTTTCCAACCCTCAGCCTTTTCTCATGTTTGCATTGTCTGCCTTAGCAACAAACTGACCAACCCAAGCTCGTTTTAGGGTTCTTGCTGGAATCTCCAGCAGTGCCCACATCAGCTACTACCCCCCCTGCACCCCCACAGCGCTCTGCTCACGTCTCCTTTGTAGAAGTTCTCATCCAGCCCTGTAATTGTAGGGAGATATGTTGGTGTCCCCTCCTAGACTGTAAGCAACTCTTTTTAAATGTGGGTTTTATTATTATCCAGGTATGGTGAGGCCAACGGATTAAGAGATGATTGCCACTGAAAAGATAGTTTGTTGCTCACAGTTCCCAAGAGGAGGGGCATGCCACACCATGCTGGGCCACCTGGGGAGGCACCAGGGTCAGTCAGGAGGCAGGGGAGTGAGAGGGAAATGTGGGCAGGAGCCTTTATCATGGTTTCTGTGGGAAAGAGCTGGGGAGGAAGGGTAAGCATCTTAGGATTGGCTAGTTCAAATGATTTCAGTGGGTTTTGGGGCATAGGGATTGTCCTGAGTTGTCTGGTACCTGCCTGGGGGTGATTAGGGTGGGGAAATAAAAGCTCTGTGTGTCAGAGTCTGATAGAGGAGGTGGTGGGGGCATGGGCTCTGGATTGCTCGGAAGGTGCACTTGCAGGCAATTTATTTACTATCTCTAGGAATTGGCTAGCCCTGGGAAGGGCAGTCTCTCCAAGGTCAGCAAAGCCCCAGATGCCAGAGCATCAGATATATATAAAACAAAAAGCTATGATTAATACAGCAGTAAAAGAGCAGGGACAGCATTCCCTTGTCCTCTGCACCCTGCATTTATTTGGAGCATAGTAGACATTCAATATATGCTTATGGAATGAATGTTATTCCTAATTTCCTGGCCACTGCTCAGCATGGTCACAGCTTGGTTGGGGATGATTAACGGCTTGTGTTCACTCTGAGTGTTGAAGAAGAGGTAACTGATTATTGCCATGCAAACTGATGGGGTAGGTGCTCCATATCTCCACTTCATTTTTTTTTTTTTTTTGAGACAGAGTCTTGCTCTGTTGCCCAGGCTGGAATGCAGTGGTGTGAACTCAGCTCATTGCAACCTCTGCCTCCTGGGTTTAAGCGATTCTCCTGCCTCAGCCTCCTGAGTAGCTGGGATTACAGGCATGTGCCACCACGCCCAGCTAATTTTTGTATTCTTAATAGAGACAGGGTTTCACCATGTTGGCCAGGCTGGTCTCGAACTCCTGACCTCAAGTAATCCTCTCACCTTGGCCTCCCAAAGTGTTGGGATTATAGGTGTGAGCCACTGCGCATAGCCATCCACTTCATTTTGTTACTCATTCATTACTTCAAACATCTTTTTTTCTTTTATTTGTAAAATTGACATATAGTAATTGTATATATTTATGGGATACAGAGTGATGTTTCAATATATAATGTATAGTGATCAGGTCAGGGTAATTAGCTTATCCATCAAATTGAACATTTATTATTTCTTTTTGTTGGGAACATTCATTATCCTCCTTCTAGGTATTTGAATCTATATATTGTTTTCTGTAGTCATCCTGCAGTGCTATGGAACATTAGAACTTCATGCATCTTGTAAGCACCTACTCTGTGTTGCGCAGTAGACAGAAGCAAAGCATATTCCCTCCTCTCAAAGAGTTCTACATGGTACACTGCAGAACTGGAAAATTTGTCTTTTCCACTTGACATCATAGATTTGGTAGAATAGAGACTTGAAGTTACAGTGCTGGGCACACAGTAGCCTCTGAAAAGTTCTTAAATAGCTTAACTTGGCTTGTATACTTCTGATACCTTTTATGAACACTGTGGTATCACAGTGCAAGGTGTCACCTGAGAAATAAAGGCTGACTTACCTGTTTTGTTGTGGTTTGCCTTGATATTACTGGAAACTCATTTTGGTTGTCTGCACTCTTCAGGCTAGTCACAGCTTCCATATCTACCACTGTTCTCAATTCTAGAAAGAAAAATAAAAGACTGAAAATCTTTTCATGACAGTCCTGCAATTATTGCTTACATTCTTGCATTAATATGCCAGGTATTAAAATATAATTTTCATGATAATTTTGGGGAGTGATAAATCTTTTGCCAGGGACCTTTTTTTGGATATGAGGTTGCTAGAATGATGAAATTCTCAGTGTGCATGACAGGAAGCTGGGGTGGGGCTATGAGGAGAGGAAGAAAGGAGGAGGCTGTACATTCTTTCTGTGGAGGAACAGCAGCAATTGATGAATTTACTTACCTCAGATGCAGTTTTAACCCTTTGCAGTTTTTTTCAATAATTTTTCATTTCTAAGATACAGTAGAGCCACTTTTATGCAGTTGAAAGAACATCCTATAAATGTATAAAGTTAAATCTTTTGGTTAAAAACATCTGCTTTAAATAGGTAATACAAGCCCGTGATATAAATATACAAAGAGTATACAGTGGAAAATGAGTGGAGGGGGGCATTAGTTATTCTTCTTAGTATTGTGGTAAAATATACATAACATAGTATTTATCATTTTAACCATCCTTAAATGTATAATTCAACGGCATTAAGATTATATTAATATAATCATCACCATTTTTTTTTTTTTTGAGATGGAGTCTCACTGTCACCTATGCTGGAGTGCAGTGGTGCAATCTCCACTTACTGCAACCTCTGCCTCCTGGGTTCAAGCAATTCTCATGCTTCAGCCTCTCGAGTAGCTGGGATTACAGGCGTGCGTCACCGTTTCCAGCTAACTTTTGTATTTTTAGTAGGAACGGGGTTTCACCATGTTGGCCAGGCTGTCTTGAACTCCTAACCTCAAGTGATCAGCCCACATTGGCTTCCCAAAGTGCTGGGATTATAGGCTTGAGCCAATGCACCTGGCATCTTCCATGTTTTTGTGGTTTGATAGCTCACTTCTTTTCTTTCTTTTTTTCTTTTTTGGGATAGAGTCTCACTCTGTTGCCCAGGATGGAGTGCAGTGGCACGATCTCAGCTCACTGCAACCTCTGCCTCCCGGGTTCAAGCGATTCTCCTGCCTCAGCCTCCCGAGTAGCTGGGACTACAGGTGCCCGCCACCACGCCCAGCTAATTTTTCTATTTTTAGTAGAGATGAGGTTTCACCATATTGGCCAGGCTGGTCTTGAACTCCTGACCTTGTGATCCACCTGCCTCGGCCTTCCAAAATGCTGGGATTACAGGCGTGATCCACCACGCCCAGCTGATAGCTCATTTCTTTTTGGCACAGAATTAATATTCCATTGTGTGGATGTACCACAGTTTATCCATTCACCTACTGAAGGACATCTTAATCACTTCTAAGTTTTGGCAATTATGAATAGAGCTGGTGTAAGTATCCATGTGCAGATTTTTGTGTGGACATAACTTTTCCGCTCCTTTGACTACCAAGGATCATGACTGCTGGGCCATATGGTAAGAGTATGTTTAGTTTTATGAGAAACTGCCAAACTCTTTTCCAAAGTAGCTGTACCATTTTGCATTCCAATGAGCAATAAATGAGAGCTCCTGTTGGTTCACATTATTACTGGCATTTGGGTGGTCAGCATTCTGGATTTTGGCCATTCCGATAGGTGTGTAGTAGTATTCTTTAATTTTTGAAAATGTAAAACAGTATATTATTGCCTTATTCACTAGCCCTCACTTTAGACTTGAGAATGTACACTGTGGGCTGCAAGTGTTAATTAATAATTGAATAATTTTCCAATATCTGTGCTTGGGGCTGGGCAGGGAACAGGTGCTGCTGCCACTGTGAAGCTCTGTCTATTTCCTGATGAATTAAAAGGCAATGGCGAGGGTCTGTGTAAAAAGCTCAATAGGAAGGGGCAAGGAGTGAAAAAACAAGATGGGATCTCCATGTACATCAGAGTCAAGAGGCTGAGAAAACTGTTATCTGGAGAGATATTGCATTGTTGCTGTGTTCTGTGGTCTCTTCTCCCACTTCAGCCTCGTCACCAGATACTGTTACTGCTGGAATCCTTGATATTTGACCCCCAATCCCAGAGTAGGGTTGATTTGGGTCCTATGTACCTACATTAGGGTATGTAGTATCCTGGAGGGCTCTTTTAAGGCAACTTCTTACATCTCAGGCTGGAATGCCTGCCTTGCTTTGTCCTACCTAGTGGCTTTGGGTCTGAATTTTTCAGGAAGGAAAGGAAACGAATAAATAGAAAGAGGGGATTTGTCTTTTGAAAAGGCTACTCTTGCTACAGTGTGGGAAGCAGATTTAGGGGAGCTCAGAATTGATATGTGGACCCAGTCAGGAGGTGGCCACGGTCATCAGGTGAGAGTTGATGGCAATTTGGATGAGGGTAGTGGTGGTGGAGGCAGAGATCTATGGATGGATTCAGGAGAATTCTAGGCGGCAAAGCCATCAGGACTGGATAATGAATTCTCTAAGCGTGTGTCAGAGAGGAAGGTATGAAGGAGACAGGTTTCTGGCTTGTGCAAATGGTTGCAAGGTGGGCAGTTCATAGAGACAGGGAACCTTGGAAGAGGAACAGGCTTGGTGGGGGAACTTATCAAGAGGATGCCTAAAGAAAGAACATCTCCCGTAAAAGAATAAATGCATTAGAGTTGTTAATTCATTCCTTCATCAGTTATTTATTGAGAACCTAGTGAATGAAACTTTTTGGAAATGGCTGTAACTACATTGTCTACCCCATGTAGCCATGGTGAAGAGTAAATGAGTGCTCTTCATGTTGAGTGCACAAAGCACTCAACCTGAAGCCTCATCATTCTCCTTAACTATTTGGAAATGGTTTCTGTTTCCTTATCTATAAAAATGAGGGCCTTCATATGGGTACTTTCTAATGTTCTCAGTAGTTATTGTATTGTGAAAAGTGATATTTCTGCTTCCTGCCTCTGTCCTACTAGTCTTAGACTATAACTTCCCTTGGGGTGGGGTTCATACTACCCCTTTACCAACCCTACCCCATAGGGGATGGACATAATTCAGCTCAACATTCATTATAAAAAAAACAATCTTCTTGTTATGCTTTCTGACATTAAATAGCCTACCTTTTCTGTAGGGTATTCCAAGTCCTAATCACTTGAATATATTTTTATCTGCATCCATTTCCTGCAGTAAACTTGTTTCCGAGTCAAGAGAGAGAGAGAAAAAAAAAAGCCACCAAAGAACCGAAAACAAAGCAAGTTTATATGATTCCTATCTATGTCTCTTAGTAGCCAGGAGGACTAGATCCATTTGAACTATTCTGAGCTCCTTCTCCAAACATCCCCTGGGGAAAGCCTTTTGGGATCCAGTCAAAACAATTCAGGGCAACAAGAAGGACATTCAGGCTCAGAAGCCATTTTATGGGACAAAGCAAAAACCAATACCAAACCAAAAAATCTGCTCCAAATCATAAGCAACTGATATGGTTTTGCTGTGTCCCTACCCAAATCTCAAATTGTAGCTCCCATAATTCACACGTGTCATGGGAGGGACCCGGTGGGAGGTAACTGAATCATGAGGGTGGGTCTTTCCCATGCTGTTCTTGTGACAATGAATAAGTCTCATGAAATCTGACAGTTTTATAAAGGGGAGTTCCCCTGCTCATGCTCTCTCTCTTGCCTCTGCCTTGCAAGACGGGACTTTGCTTCTCTTTTGCCTTGCCACCATGACTGTGAGGCCTCCCCAGCCAGCCCCCTCCTCTGCTATACACACACACACACACACACACACACACACACACACACACACACACACTCGGTGCCCTTCTCCGAGGCAGTGAGCATACAGTGGGACTCTGACTTGGCCCCTTCCAGTCAGAGTCTGGGGCTATCTTTTGCTCATCAGCACCTTGTCCTCTCCGTTCTGCTGTCAGTGACTTCTGAGGACTCTTAGCAGTGGACACAGCAGCAAGCAGGTTAGACTCCGGTTGGTGCCTCATCTCCTCCATGTCATTGCAGCCCTCACCTGTGCTGAGCCAGAGCTGAGCAGTTTGCCATCATTGGCTCTGAGATCATCGCAGCCACCGCCCTTGTGACCTGAATGTCTTGGTCTTTGTTTAAAAGTCTCTAGGGCCAAGACTTAGGGGAATCTTGCTAGAGGCAGAGCTGTGAGGTAGTGGGTCATATTTCTAGGAGCTTCTCAACAGTTAACAGAAGTCTTGGCCAGTTTCCTGTTTGTTTCTTAGCATATCTTTAAAAGTGAAGAAATGCCAAGACAGGATATTAAAACTTGTGTGGCTTACATGTTTAAATTTAATAAGGAAATATCTTAACACATGTAAATATAGTTGTTTTAGTCCTAAAATATAAAATTAACATTATTTCTTTTTACAGTAGGAAAATGTTGTGTTTCTAATCAGTGGAGAAAAGATGAATCAGTCAACAAATGGTGTTGGGACGCACCATTACACCAAAAATAAATTCACAGTGGAGCAAATATTGAAAAACAAAACAGATTCTCCCCACCCTTACAGAGGAAGTTGTGCATATTCCTAACTCCATTTTTTTTTAAAGAAATGTGTGCCAAAATGCTTCCATTGACTCCACTTCCCCAGGATCAAACAAAAAAAAACAAAACAAAACAAAAAAGTCAATATGTCCTTCAATAAAAAAGAACCCGAAGCTTAATTTATCCAATTTGCACTATTTTGTTATATCCAATGTTTAAATTGACTTTCAAGTAATTGCTAGGCCTTTTATTATATATGGCAATGGTTCAAGAATATAAATTCAGTCTCTTTGAAGAGACTGTTATTCCCCTTACCATAAACTCATCTTTTCCTAACTTAAGAAATATGCCATTTTAATTACAGAGGAAGTGACTGTGAAAAGTCAAGCTTTGCCTATTTTTGTAAACTGAAACCTCCTAGGACACAAATTACCCATGCAGCCCACATGTGCCATGCCAACAATAGACCAGGCTTAGCAGCAAGAAGGGAACATCACTGAGACACAAATATAGAGCAAAGATGTTAGTGGTAACTAAGAAAGAAAGCAAAATGCATCTGGCCTTTTTTTCCCCTTACAACTCCCACTACTGTGATAGTTACGAGAGATGCACTCATTTCTTTTATTAGCATTTAAAATGGGTGGGTGACACATTATGGAATTTACTTGCTGAATATAAGAGGCATCATTACATAAGATGCCAAAATAGGCCGGGCGCGGTGGCTCACGCCTGTAATCCCAGCACTTTGGGAGGCTGAGACGGGCGGATCACGAGGTCAGCAGATTGAGACCTACCTGGCTAACACGGTGAAACCCCGTCTCAACTAAAAACACAAAAAATTAGCCGGGCGTATTGGCGGGCACCTGTAGTCCCAGCTACTCGGGAGGCTGAGGCAGGAGAATGGCGTGAACCCTGGAGGCGGAGCTTGCAGTGAGCCGAGATCGTGCCACTGCACTCCAGCCTGGGGGACAGAGCGAGACTCCGTCTCACAAAAAAAAAAAAGATGCCAAAATTTTGCTCTACTGGCAAATGGGTACCCTGGCTCTTTTAAGCCACACTTTATATGCTAGCCATTACAGCACTAATAGAATATGTAGGTGCTGGTGCTGGGAGGCTGAGATCAGATATGAATAGAATTTCAAGGTCTGGGAGGTAAAGCAAGAGTGAAGCAAGGGTGGTATTAGATAAGATATGCACTTAATAGAAGTAGCTGCCAAGGATGGGAAGGGCCAATGGTCTGGGCTGGGCCAGACCTGCTGAATTGGCAAGGTAGAAGGAAAGGACAGTGGGACTAGAGAACATATCTGTGAGATCAGGTAAATTCACACTGATAACCATTCTTGGTGTGGCCAGACCTCTTTTCAACCCAGCCCTGACAGCCTTGGAGAAGCTGTATTCTGTGCCGGGGCATCTGAGAATACCCATCTTTATGCATCTAAACTCTCACACCTGCTTCACCATGCTGCCGCTGTAAAGGTTTCCAGTGGGGGCCATACAAAATTGCTGTCCCCAGAGGTCACTGAGAATGAGGAAAATACCCATCAGTCAAAGAGGAGTAGAAGTGACAAGATGAACTTGCAGAGCCCTCCAAGTTTCTGCTTTCCAATAGCCTTCACAAGCAATTACCCCCGACCCCAAACCACCACATCTGCTTTGTAATCCAAAAGCCTTCCCAACTGCAATAAAGCTGCTGTATCGATTTCATCCAAGTGCAAAGAAAAGTAACCAGAGGGCATCAGAGAGAAGGAAAGCACAAAGAATTAGAACTAGCAGCTTCCAAAGTAAAGTGATGAGGATTCGGGGAGTCTTAGAGGGTCAGTATGAGACTGTCAGGGATTCATTCATTCCTTGCTCACTGGCCATATTCCAGGAACCTTGTTGGGTATGAGAAGATGAAGATGAAATTCATTTGTAATCTCAAGGACCATCACATCATTGCATAGCACAGTGTGTTACTACAACAATGAATAAATGCTGAAGGTGTATGGAAGGGAGGACAAATAACTGTTGAAGGGTTGATGGACTTCATGGAGGAGGTGGCCACTGAACTAGATCTTAACTATGGAATAGAGATTCCAATGAGGCCTGAATGAACAATCCAGGAAGAAGAGCTGGCATGCAGGACCTCTGATGGATCTGTAAATAAAAAGCAACAGGAAACATAGAATCCCTGTGTAAGATCACACAATTCTTTCCTTTGCTGTCATGATTTTCTGGTATGAGCAGAAACACGCATCTTGAATTTGAGTAGAAACTGGGCCCCAAAATGATGCCATTTTTTCTCTTTAAAACATTATCTGTTGTGAATGCACACTTTACTATATGATCTTAGATCCTGAGCCAGAAACAAAATGACATAATAGATATTGGAACAATCAGCAAATTGGAGAAATTTAATTAAGGTATACACAAGTCATTCAGGGTAAAAGGTCCCTGATGAAGATCTTCTGTCTTTCTGCAAAGGAGTGGGAGTCAAGCAAGATGACTTACCTTTCTGAAAGTGATCTGATTTAAAATAACAGCAAAACCTGGGACTCTCAAATACTAAAAGTGTCAGGATCATGCCAAAGGAACAAAGGAGATGGCCTCTGTTCTCCCTTAGCATCTCCAGCTGGTAATGTTTGGGGTGATTTGCCTTTCAAATCATAAAAGCCTAAAATTAGTATTTATACGTGTGTAAGTCAAAAGTGTAATATTTTATATTTCTGTAATCCATAAGATGTGGATAATTGTGTTAATTTAGAATCTTGAAATAAATATGATGAATAATTAACATTAGTAATTTTGCTTCACAAAAAACACTTCAGAGTGATTGTTTCCTGCCATGTGGCGTCTAACAGGAGTCCACTTGCCAATCTCCGGGAAATGTGAGAAGTTGCAAGCAGACAGGCATCATCTCATTCCACTGGAAGCCTTTTTCACCACCAGTTGGGGAGAGCACCCCGAGGCCTCCATCTGCGCAGAACCTCTGATAGGTCTGCAAATCAAAAACAATGGGCAGCATAGCATTGCTGTGTAAGATCACACAACTCCCGGCTTTGCTGTCATAATTTGCTGGGATGAGCAGAAACATGCACCTTGAATTTGAGTAGAATCTGGACCCCCAAACAATGCCATTTTTGTCCTTAAAACTTTATCTGTCATGAATACACGATTTAATATAAGATCATAGATTGGCTCCTGAACCAGAAAAAAAAAAAGATATAATAGATATTGGGTCAATTGGAGAAATTTAATGAAGGTATAGATTAATCCTATATCAACGTTAAATTTCCTGATTTTGATAAGTGTAATATGGCTGTGTAAGAGAATATCTTTATTCTTAGTAAATACACACTGAAGTGTTTAAGAGCAAGTGGCATGATTTCTGCAACTTATTCTCAGATGGTTCAGAAAAATAACATACAGTGAGAAAATGATAAAGCATATGAGGCAAAATATTAGCAATTGGTAAATCAGGGTAAAACATGTACAGGAGTTTTTTAAATTGTAGCTACAATATTTCTCTAAGTTTGAAATTTCAAGATAAAATTTAAATTGGGTTGTACTGTGCCTCTCATAGTGCACTGAGCCACTTCCTGCCTGCTTCCTACCATCACGTTGATTCCTTCCATCTGTCCTTCTTCTCTGTGATTTTCGTTATGGCTTGGGGAGCATTTATGTCAGAACCACCATGCTAGGAACTCTCAGGGAAATAAAGATCAGTGCAATGCAAGCCTCACCCTCAGCTCAGTGGGGGGTTCAAGTATGGACACCATGACCACCCTGTGAGATGGAGGCTGCCACATGCAGGGCCAAACATGAGGAAGGACACAAGAGCAGGGAGAAGGCATGGGGGCTTGTTGAGACCATGGAAGGGATCATGTAGAGGACACTTGAGGTCAGCCATGAGGACAGGTGGAATTTGACAGCAGAACACAGTGCAGGACAAGTGGCACAGACAAAGGGGCAGAGGGAGTGTCATAAGAAGAGCCCCAGGCTCAGAAGAGCAAGGTGGGTTCCATCTGGGTGAGTGCTCTGGGAATGTGATGGGCAGGACTGGGAAATAAGGCTAGAGAGGAAAGACACGCTCAGATGCTGAGTGGCCTTAAAGGATAAGAAAGGTATTTTGAAATTTATTCTAGACAATAGGGAGTTGAGATTGTTTCCTTCCAAGACTGGGAACCATGGCTTGAGTATCTTTTGTGGAATTTTACTTCATACATAGTTCACACTGAAGGGGTTAAAAAATACCGCTTTCACATATTGACTGTTTTGAATTAAAGGCATTTGAAAGACAGAAATTGCAAGAAGATCATTCTGACCTCTTTTCTGTTTCTTAAAAGCAGAAGATGAAATTCCCATGTGAAAGACACCCTTCCTATACTAGAAGGAAAAGCAACATCTGTATCCTTAAGGACGAGAAGCCAAGGCTGAAAGACTTCTTTACAGACCTTGTTAAGATAACTCATATTGTTGAAGTCTCCCCACATAATTTAGTTGCTTCTTCACAACTTAGTATTCTTTTGTCCAATGCAGTATATAAGTAACTGACTGTAGCTGGTTTTTTGGGTCTTATTTTCCTTATGAGGGCTCCCCAGGCCACATAAAACTTGTATTAAATGAATTTGTATGCTGCTTTTCTCCTGTTAATCTCTCTTATGTCAATTTAATTCTCAGGCCCAGCCAGGACTTTAAGAGGATGGAGGTAGAGTTTTGCTGCCCCTGCAATAGTCAATAAATAGTGGTGGTGTGATGTTTGCAAAAATGAACATTTACAACCTCATGCAATTTAATTCAAATTCAAATATCAGAGATATATGTTGTTAAAATATGCAGTCAATGAAAAAATTTTTTTTGGAGAGACAGAGTCTCACTTTGTTACCCAGGTTAATCTTGAACCCTGGTCTCAAGCGATGCTCCCACCTTTGCCTCCCAAAGTGTTGGGATTACAGGCATGAGCAATTGCACCTGGCTGAAATCAATGTTGAAGGAGGAAAAATTGTTGGGCAAGATCCATGTACCAAATGTTTTACCTATTCTATCTTATTACATATTCTATCTTATTTAATCCTCCCAGATTCCCACACTTCACAAGTGGAGCTAAAAGATTGAGTGACCCCCCCAAAATCAGAGTTAATCAGATCAGTCAGGGTTCTTTGGTTCCAGGCAACAATAATGACGTTTGAGCAGGAAGATGGCGAATAATTTAAGAAATGAAAGGAAAGTTTGGGAACCAGATTCAGAAATTTCACTCATGAACCAAGGCAGTGGTTGCTAAGATGAATCAGCTTTGTTGTTTCTAATTTCTTTGTCCCTCCACTCAAGATACCACTTCTAGGAAGAAATCATTCATAGATGTGTTCAGTTAAGGAAAGGTGTGGCATCCTAACTGACATCCCCATGAGACAGTTTCCATGGGGCAGTAAAAACAGAGTGTGTGTTTAGAGGCCATGGTGGCCATGGGAATGAGCCTCGGATCTCCTGCTGCAAGGACAGAGTTGTCTGGCAGCCCCTGCTGTTGCCCTCTGGATGCACCATCACTTTCCTCCTGAGCCACACATCTCCCAGCTTCTCCCAGCCAGTGATTGAGCACAGTCGGGTCACTAAGTGAGGACCAATGCAGGGCCATTCCAGTGAGACACAGGATTCCTCTCATGGGCACCTTTGACTTGATGAATCCCCAGAAACCTGGCCAAACCGTCCTTTTGGCACTACAGTTTGAGACCTCCCACCCCATCCTCCTTCCCTCTCTCTTTCTCCAGGTGTCAGACCTGCACGTGATCTGAAGTTCTGTCTAATCCCTTCTGACAGTCTGCTTCTTAACAGACCAGAACTAATGCAGAGGCAAAGCTAAGAGTTGAGCTCTAGTCTATGTGACCTCAAATCTATATTATGTTATTTTATGTTTTATTTAACAGCCTTCGGGGTGGCTGTTCTGGCAGGCTGGGAAGCACAGCCTTCAGCCAGAAGCCAGAAACAGATACTTTTCAAATCTGTGTTCTTTTTACTTTACTCACAGGAATAGTTGTAGACAGAAAAAATTGTTACTCTAATAATTACAGCTAATAAGAACCCATTATCTTAGATGTCAAATAGCGAATGGACTAATCCATAACACTGGACATGAAAATAATTTAAAAAATCAATTAAGGGGTAATTTTTATTATTTCCTAAATTATTGGACCCTTTAGGGGATTTTTTTCAACTTCTGAGTTCTGAGAGTGTGTTTGAAACATGCAGTGACTTGCCTCTGTGCTCCTGGATGCTTGCTCTGTGGGAATGGAGCTCCTGTACTTGCCAATAGCATGCGAAAAGTAAGAGTTTAATATCTCTCTACCCAAGCGCTCTTCCCAAATTGGACATAGATGCAAGAGTTAAGTCCCATTGATAACAGAGAAACAAAATCACAGGTATCAGGCAGCCTCAGTCCTGCTGCCACCCTGTTAAGGTCAAGGTAAACAATGCCTTTCAGACAAAGAAAAATTGTATCTCCATCAGTTGAACCAAACCCTGGTGGCAGCCCTGTGTCAAGAGACTATGGAGACATCAGCCAGAAAGACCCACGACCGTGTCACTCAATTCAGCAGTGTGAAAGATCCAAGAAAGAGAAAACTACCTGTCCAACTGGGAACTACATTGAAGTGAGACATTTTAATCTGTCAGTTCTTTCCACAACACACAACTAATAAAAGATATTTCTATACTACTGAACTATGTCTTGAGGAAAACTGAAGGTATTCATAACAGAACAAAATCAGCTAGAGGTCTTAGGAAAAAATCTTCACCGGAATCAGGAACCTTCTATTTATCCATTTATTTAGTAAATATATATTGAGTACTTCCTAAGTACATAGCTGCATATATTAAATACCCCTTCCTTCAAAGAATTTATAATTTAAATAAGGAAGTAGGGATGGTGAATGGAACTAACATTTGTTGAGTACATTCTGTGTTCCAAACCAGGCATATTCTTATGAAAATTTCAATAGCAATATGGAAAGAAAGGTCTCTTATCTCAAATATAAGAGTGAAATATATCTCTTATTTCACTTATACAACTAAGTGAAAAACACCAGGAATATAGATCAGTGGTTCTCAAAGTATGGTACTAGAAAGAGCATTGGCAGCTCCTGGGAACTTGTTAGAAGTGCAAAATTGCTCACACCATCCCAGATCTCCTGAATTCTCTGGGGGTGGGACCCAGGAATCTGTGTTTTTACAAGCTCTCTGGGTGATTCTGATGCATGCTAAAATCTGAGAACCACTGACATACAAAATAAGGTTTTGCACCTCCAAGGTGAGAGCTCTGGGGGCTGAAGTGGTCAGTGAAGACATCTCAGGGCCTAAGTTAGACCCTGGAAAATGAGTAAGAGTGAGGAGAGAAAGAGAAGTACAAAGAATGAGGAGAAAATGGCACCAGAGTAGAGAAGGGCTGGTATGTGCACATACCAGTGAATCCTCTGCCACTGTCCACATGGGACCTGAAGGCTTCGTTTTTTCTTTTTCTTTTCTTTACTTTTTTTCAAGATGGGGTCTTGCTCTGTTGCCCAGGCTGTACAGATTGTGCCCAGTGGCACAATCTCAGCTCACTGCAGCCTCCACCTCCTGGGTTCAAGAGAGTCTCATGCCTCAGCCTCCCGGGCAGTTGGGATTAGAGATGTGTGCCACCACGCTGGCTAGGTTTTGTATTTTTAATAGAGATGGGGTTTCACCATGTTGCCCAGGCTGGTCTCAAACTCCTGACCTCAAGTTATCTGCCCAGGTAGGCCTCTCAAAGTGCTGGGATTACAGGCATGAACCATCGCACCTGGCTGAAGGCTTCATTTCATCATTCATTCATTGATTGCTGAAGGTAATCAAATTGCTGCATCATAGTTAAGAGTAGATTCAAAACACATTAGCCATAATTTTATCAGTGAATAATTCAGTCTAATCCTGGGCTCTGATACTTGATCTAATTTAATCTCTCAGTTAAAACAGTTCAAGCAGTCCTTAGTCTTAAAAAGATGACATTATTAATTCTTAACCTCAGATAAAACACTCTCTAGTTAGCTCCTTTCAGGTATTGCTACCTTGGTTGTTTTACAAACTCCCTTTGGTATCTTTCGCTTTCCTCTGTCCAAATAGAAGTGGATTTTAAAAGGAAGATTTTATGAAGTATTAAAAAAAGAGAATATGAATTTTAATCTACCATTCCATGGAGAATTGCACATTTCAAAGAATTATTTAAAACTTGGTTAGCAACTTGTTTCAAGTTGCAGCTGCAACTTAATAGCCAATCACAGCACAGCACTATGTGGGAATTTCTAGCAGTTTTGCAAATAATTCTAAGGCTCATCAACCTGTTTCCCAAAATGCCTCTCTATTTTCCCAGCAAAATTTGCATTTCATCTGCCAATGTCCTGCCCTCCTACGCACCCATATTTCTTTCTAGCACTCCCCAAGGCCCCAAGTATAGTGAGAACAAGTTATAGCTAAAACTGCATAGTTAAAACTATACACTGATAGAAACAAGTTTTTCATTCCAAACCACCAAATGAAACCTGACAAAGACCTTTCACTCTAAACAGAGCCCACTATTCTGCTCGTTTTATTCATTCAACAAACAGTTATAAACACTTCCCATTGGGAGATGCCACCCACCATGGGCCCCGAGCATCTTGCATGTTCTTGCCAACTGTGCCAGACCACAAGGCTCGTCCATTTCCTGATACTGAACGATCAAGGCAGTGACAGTATAACCACCATGTAACTGCTTGTTTCCCTGAGGAGGGGGATTGGCTTGTTTCTTGCTGCTTGCTCTAAAAGGTATGAGGACTTTGGCCCTGGGTTCCTCAACTGTGATGTAACCCATGGCATGTAACACCCATCCCGAGCCATCATGCCCCACAAGGGTGGTGGAACTGGTCCCGCTTTGCTAATGTTCCTGCTGGTTACTCTGCTATGAGTACTAAGGTGATGGCTCTGATTCTTGAGTTTTGTCTGCTTTTGGCACTTAGAGAGTTGGTAATGGGTTTGCTCTTTGCCATTCCCTGTGAGATTGGGGTTTTTACTGACACCAGCTATGTGCCATGACCTAGGATACTTCCTGTTGCCCTGCCTCCCAATACCGAAATGCCATGGGCCCCACAAGGCATCACAAGGGATGTTGGGATGGGACTTGGACTCATGGACATTTTCTGGATCTTTATGCAAAGTCTTATGTCAATCTTATTTAATATATATTGTTGATTCATTAACACTGAACTCATGGCCAATGGCACTATCACTCCTGCTTGAAGGAAGCTTATCGAACACTTGCCTTGCACTTAGGAATACTAGACAGCCCGTCAGCTCTGTGCTTGGGGAGACCATTGTAAATAGCAAAATCATCCACAGAAAGCACAATAATGCAAAAAGCAAGGTACTAAATAGACCACAAGAAAGACTCTTGTTTACAGTATGAGAGCTGGAACAAGAAGGCAGAGTGTCACCTTGTTTGACCTCAGCCATGACTGTGCACATTGGGTGAATCAAATTTTTCACTGCTCTGCATATGTCCACTAATGACCATGAAAGCACCATTGATTTTGGGGTTACAAACAAATCCTGTGAGTAGACAAATTCACAAATATGGAATACACAAATAATGAGGATTGACTGTGCATGATTATGCATGGCATTATTTTTATAACAAAATTTTAATTTGGTTATCCAGGAGCTAACCTATGCTTAGTTAACCCCTGTCTGAGGAAATCCTTGATCCCACAGAGTTCTGCTTTGATCTGTAGAGAGAAAGCATAGGAAGATAGCAACAAGTGGACCAGGTGCTTGCTTTGCAAATCTGAAACCCTGCGTGATAGCAAAGGCCCTTTCACTAGTTCAGGGGTTAAAAACAACAGCCTAAGCAATGACTATCCCATGTGCCTCACCACCCTCATGAGAAATCACACAGACTTAATCTACTTTTGCCTTCCCTCCGTAACTTACAACAATTAGGGCATGTGAAGCATGGAAGGATTTTAATCTTGAGATAAGACTCCCATCACAGGAGAGTCAGGAACACAAGGATATTGCCAAAGCTAACCTTGCATGTCTCCTGAGACAGGCCCATCAATTAAGCAGTCTGCAAAAGAGGACACAGCCCAGGGATTTAAACCCAGGCATTATCACTAGGTTCAGGAATTCGATTCGAATGTGCCTTGGTGTGTTTTTCTTTTTTGTTTATCTTGCATGTGGTATTTTAAACTTCTTGGATCTAAGAATTTATAGTTTTCATAAAATTTGTAGAGATTTTTCATTTGTTAGTTCTTCAAATCTTTTTTTGCACCCCTCCCATCCCCACCCCTCTTTTTGAGATTTCAGTTTCATAAATGTGAGACAACTCTAGACTTTTTTCTAAGTCACTGAAGCTCTGTTTATTCTTTTTTTTTTCCTTCCTTTTTAGTCTTTTTTTCTCTCTGTGCTTCACTTTGGATATTTTTGATTGCTCTGTGTTGAAACTTACTAATATTGTTTTATATAGTGTCAGATATGGTTCGGGTTTGTGTCCCCACCCAAATCTCTTGTCAAATTATAACTCCGGTATTGGAGGAGGGGCCTGGTGGGAGATGAGTGGATCACAGGGATGGATTTCCCTCTTGCTGTTCTCATGACAGTGAGTGAGTTCTCATGAGATCTGGTTGTTTAAAAGTGTGTAGCACCTCCCCCTTCACTCTCTTCCTCTTACATGCTCTGGCCATGTAAGATGTGCCTGCTTCCCCTTTTGCTATGACTTAAAGTTTCTTAAGGCCTCCCCAGCCATGTGTCTGGTACAGCCTACAGAAATGTGAGCCAATTAAACCTTTTTTCCTTATAAATTACTTAGTTTCAAGTATTTATTTATGGCAGTATGAGAATGGACTAATACAATGTCTAACCTGTTGTTAGTCCCAACCAGTGAATTTTTCATCTTAGATGCTATATTTCATATCCCCAGAAGGCTCTCCTTTTTATCTGCCATGTCTCTCTTCACTATATTCTTGTTTTTAGAAAATATAATTGATCATAGTTATAACAGCTTTTTTCCTTCTGTCTGCTAATTCTGTTAATTTTCTGGGTCCATTTCTATTGATGGCATTTCCTTCTGGTTTTGTACCATGTTTTCTTGCTTCTTGATATGTATAATAATTTTTTGTTGAATAATACACATTGTGATTTTTACATTGTTGAAAATCTATACTCTGTTCTCTTCCTTTAAAGAGTATTGGTCTTTGTTCTAGCAGCCAGTTAAGTTAACTGCAGCACAGTTAGGCCTTTTAGAGACTTGTTTGTAAGATGTATTACAGTAAACAGAGATTACTCTTTAATGATAGTTTACCACACTACTAAGGCATGGCTCTTCTGGAGTCTACTGAATGCCTCCAGTGATCACAATAATTCTTCAAACTGGCTAGTTAACTCAAATGTCTCAAAAGCCCTGTGAGAGGTTAGGCAGTTGTTTGGATCACTGCTCCCTTGTCTTTCTATGCTCTGCTTCATGGAGTTTCATGCTATACCCTCATGTATTCAGTAAAGACACAAAGGGACCTATGCAAATTTCTGGAGTTTGGCTGTGTCCCCACCCCAATCTCATCTTGAATTGTAGCTCCCACAATTCCCACATGTTGTGTGAAAGATACAGTGGGAGATAATTGAATGATGGGAGTGGTTTCCTCCATACTGTTTTCATGGTAGTGAATAAGTCTCATGACATCTGATGGTTTCATAAGGGATTTCTGCTTCCAATTGGCTGTCATTCTCTGTCTTGCCTGCTGCCATGTAAGATGTGCCTTTCATCATGATTGTGAGGTCTCCCCAGCCATCTGGAACTGTAAGTCCATTAAACTTTTTTTTCTTATAACTTACCCAGTCTCAGGTATGTCTTTATCAGCAGCATGAAAATGGACTAATACAGTAAATTGGTACCAGGAGTGGGGTGCTGCTGAAAAGATACCTGAACTTTTGGAAGTGACTTTGAAGTGACTTTGAAACTGGGTAGTGAGCAGGGTTTGGAACAGTTTGGAGGGCTCAGAAGAAGACAGGAAAATGTAGGAAAGTTTGGAACTTCCTGGAGACTTGTTAAAATAGCTTTGCCCAAAATGCTGATAGTGATATGGACAGTAAAGTCCAGGCTGAGGTAGTCTCAGATGGATATGAGGAACTTGTTGGGAACTGGAGCAAAGGTGACTCTTGTTATGTTTTAGCAAAGATGCTAGTGGCATTTTTCCCCTGCCCTAGAGATTTGTGGAACTTTGAACTTGGTAGAGATGATTTAAGGTATCTGGTGGAAGACATTTCTAAGCAGAAAAGCATTCAAGAGGTGACTTGGGTACTGTTAGAGGCATCCAGTTTTATAAGGGAAACAGAGTATAAAAGTTTGAAAAATTTGCAGCCTGACAATGTGATAGAAAAGAAAATCCCATTTTCTGAGGAGAAAGTCAAGCTGGCTGCAGAAATTTGCATAAGTAACGAGGAGCCAAATGTTAATCACCAAGACAATGGAGGAAATGTCTCCAGGGCATGTCAGAGGTCATCACAGCATCCCCTCCCATCACAGGCCTGGAAGCTTAGGAGGAAAAAATGGTTTCATGGAAGGGGCACAGGGTCCCTGTGTTGTGTGCAGCCTAGGGACTTGGTGTCCTGCATCCCAGCTGCTCCAGCTGTGGCTGAAAGGGGCCAATGTGGAGTTCAGGCTGTGGCTTCAGAGGGTGCAAGCCCTAAGCCTTGGCAGCTTCCACATGATGTTAAGCCTGTGAGTGCACAGAAATCAAGAACTGGGGTTTGGGAACCTCTGTCTAGATTTCAGAGGATATATGGTAATACCTGGATGCCCAGACAGAAGTTTGCTGTATGGGAGGGGGTCTCATGAAAAACCTCTGCTAGGGCAGTGTGGGAGGGAAATGTGGGGTCAGAGCTGTCACACAGAGTCCCTACTGGGGCACCGCCTAGTGGAGCTGTGAAAAGTGGGCCACTATCCTCCAGACCCCAGAATGGTAGATCCACTGACAGCTTGCACCATGCACCTGGAAAAGCCACAGACACTCAATGCCAGCCTGTGAAAGCAGCTGGGAGGGAGACTGTACCATGCAAGACCACAGGGGCAGAGCTGCCCAAGACCATGGGAACCCACCTCTTGCATCAGCATGACCTGGATGTGAGACATGGAGTCAAAGGAGATCATTTTGGAGCTTTAAGATTTGACTTCCCTGCTGGATTTCAGACTTGCATGGGCCTGTAGCCCCTTTGTTTTGGCCAATTTCCCCCATTTGGAATGGGTATATTTACCCAATGCCTGTACCCCCATTGTATCTAGGAAGTAACTAACTTGCTTTTGATTTTTCAGGCTTATAGTCAGAAGGGACTTGCCTTGTCTTGGATAAGATTTTGGACTGTGGACTTTTGAGTTAATGCTGAAATGAGTTAAGACTTTGGGGGACTGATTGATTTTGAAATGTGAGGACATGAAATTTGGGATGGGTCAGGGGTGGAATGATATGGTGTGGCTGTGTCCCCACCCCAATTTTATCTTGAGTTGTAGCTCTCAAAATTCCCACATGTTGTGGGAGGGATCCAGTGGGAGATAATTGAATCATGGTGGCAGTTTCCCCAACACTGTTCTCATGGTAGTGAATAATCTTATGAGATCTGATGGTTTTATAAGGGATTTCTGCTTTTGATTGGCTCTCATTCTCTCTCTCACCTGCTGCCATGTAAGACTTGCCTTTTGCCTTCTGCCATGATTGTGAGGCCTCTCCAGCCACATGGAACTATAAGTCCATTAAACCTTTTTCTTCTTTATAATTTACCCAGTCTCAGCTATGTCTTTATCAGCAGTGTGAAAATGGACTAATACAGTTATTATTCTGCATCATTCTCTACAACTTTTAGCTGCCTCGGCCTCTCTCAACTCTGATCACTGTCTCTTAAACTCAGTAAAATAATCATTGTCTGCTTCTGATCAACATGCTATCACTCAGCTCCATGATGTGGAGTACCACCAGGCAGAAATCTGAAGTGATCATAGGGCCCATCTCACCTGTTTCCCTTTTCTCAAGGATCACAGCCCTGTGTCATTTGTTGTCTGAAAACAGATCTCTTATATTTTTCCAGTTTTCTGATTATTTATGGTGGTGGGAGGAGAGGAAGAAAATCCAGCCCTTATTATTTCATTATGGTCAGAAGAGGGAGTCTATGAATGTATTTTGAAGTTATAATATCCATATATGAATATGAAGTTTTACCATTATTTTGTTATACATCATTTTAAGCAACATTTGTTGGGCTCCAACTACATATAATAACACTGTAACGTACCACGGAGAGCCAAAGATTTAGAAGACAGGGGTCTGACCTTAATAGAACCCTAAACTCCTGGGAGAGATAGACCTGTGCACTGGTGATAAAACATGTTAAGAAATGGAATTGAGGCTGGGTGCGGTGGTTCATACCTGTAATCCCAGCACTTTGGGAGGCTGAGGTGGGTGGATCACTTGAGGCTGGGAGTTCGAGACCAGCCTGGGCAATATGGTGAAACCATGTCTTTACTAAAAGTACAAAAATTACCAGGTGTGGTGGTGCACACCTGTAGTCCCAGCTACTCGGGAGGCTGAGGCATGAGAATCATTTGAACCTGGGAGGCGGAGGTTGCAGTGAGCTGAGATCATGCCTGGGTGGCAGAATGAGACTAGACATGGAATTGACATGCTAAATCAGTATAGACGAGGAAGGCAATATTAATAGGATTAAATATGGCTTAAAGGAGGAGGAAGAATATGGGCTGAAAATGAATAAAATTTCAATAAGAGCACATATCAATAAGCAGTACAGTATAGTCAGTGCCTGGTGGGCAGTGACGGGTCTTGGAGAGAGAGGGAGAATAAGTTGGGAGATGAGTCTGGACAAGAGAGCTAAAGGTAAACTCTGGAAACCTTCTGTGACATTCCAGAGAACTTGGATATGAAAGCTGATATTTGTCCAGGCTAGTTCTTCTTTAGCTTACCATCAATATGGCAATGATGTGCAAGGCTTGCATAGAAAGAATGCTCATAATTTTAATATTAGACCTCTAAGCTCTGATATTTATCCACTCTGCACTTGAGCCCTTACTCCTTCTACTCAACAGGCTCAATTATCCAATTGCTTCCTACTCTCCATTTATACTCTTAATTTCTCTTTATCTTTTACCTCTCAGCTCCCCTTGACAGCATTTCCATCGAGAATCTCTCAGGCAAGAGCCCTTCCAGCTTGACTCAGTTCCTATGACAGTCTCTTTAGCATGTTCTTTCATTCATGTATTTATTCAATATTTAGTAACCCACTATTAAATGCCAGGTAGTATAATAGGTACTCAGTAGATAAAATAGCTATAGGACTATTGGAGTTTGTATTCAGTGGGGAGATAGTAAACAAGTAAACACATAATTAAGCAACATAACTCTGATATGTGAAGGAAATAAACAAGACATTATAACAGAATAACTGGAACAGGTGTTACATTAGATCCTTGTCAATCAAGTGTGGTCTTTGGACCAGCGGTGGGGCCCTTACTTGGAAGTCTGTAGAAAATGTAGAACCACTCCAGACCTATTAGGTAAGAATCTACATTTTAACAAGATCTCCCAAATCTGAGAAACACTACTTCAGGTAAAAGCTATTGCAGACCTCCCTTGGCCTGATGCAATGCACTACAAGAACTCATACACCACTAACTGATAAAGAAAACAAAGGGAAAGGGGAAGATTGGTGAAAGCTAGATCATGACTTTTTTTTTTTTGGCTTAAAACAACACACATTTATTTTCTTACAGTCCTGGGGATCAGATACCCTAATTGGGTCTCACAGGTGTGTTAGCCAGGGTTGTCCAGAAGGACAAAACCAGTAGGATATAGGTATATATAAAAGGGAGTTAATTAGGGAGAATTGGCTCACACGATTACAAGGGGAAATCTCACAATAGGCTGTCTGCCTGCTGGGGAAAGAAAAAAGCCAGTAGCATGACTTTTGTTTTGAATAAAATATGGGTGTATAACTCAGGAGAAGGTTCAGAGTTAAAGCTGTAGATTTGGGAGCTAAGGTCTCCAGAATGAAGCAGGATACAGAGTTTATGGTTTACTCATTAGTTAGTCATGTGCCAGTCAATCTGATGAACCAGGGGATTCTCCACTTTAGCCACACATTAGAGTCATCTAGGAAGCTTTAGAAAATGGTGATGCTTGTGACTTACACCCAAAGATTCTGATTTAATTGGTCTGAAATGTAGACTGGGCATTGGGACTTTTGAAAGCTCCCCAGGGGTGATTTTAATTTGGAGACAAGATTGAGAGCCACTGTTGATCAACACACACACACACACACACACACACACACACACACACACACACTCACGAGCCATGTTCAGCATTTGGGACCTGAGCTAAGCTTCTCCTGTTAGGAAATTGCTCAGTACATAAAATTGTAATTCTTGGACAGCACTCATTTTCTTAATGTTAAATTTTACTTTAATTGCCCAATTCATAAATATCTCTTCCTTGAAGTCACATGAAAGAATAATCATTCAAAGGTTATTGAAAAACCCTTTCCAGCAAAATGGCCACAGGTAGCCACATTTTAATCAAAATTTTCCACAAACATAGTCATTAGAAAGGCAAAGGAAGTAAATTAGTATTGATAATTCCTTGACATTTGGTGCAAGGTGCTGAACAGTGAACATGTCAAGGGTATTTTATAACTTGAATTTGTGTTGCTTTTGGTCAAAAACTCTTGGAATTGCTTCTTTTCATCTCAAAGCAGAGCATGAAATTTCAGGCTGGCATGAAGAAATAGCATCTCCCAAAAGGCCTAATGAAGAGATGACCCTCAGATTACTACATAAGCAGCCAAGCACTCTGAGACTATAAAAATTAAACTTTATTATTATTAATCAGATTTTAAGCTCTTAAAACTTAATGAGGATAGTCAAAATAATTTGAAATCTATCTCAAATTATCGAGGAATAGTCTTTAGTGACTTCAGTCCTCCAGTGAAAACATTTTTTAATTACAGCTTTTTTATAACTCACCAAGGTAGTGTGCAGCGTTTTGATATTTGAAGGGGAAAATCCAAACTACTTAGTGATACCATTTGTGAATCCTACCTACTTGTGATAGATACAAAGGGCTTCTCAAAACCTTTTCTAATGTGGGGGTGGGGAATACCACACAAGTGGAAGACAAGTCTGCACCTTCCTCTACGGAAGCCAAAGAGGGCCAAGTATTCACTCTCTGAGCAACCTGGTCCCATGGGCTCAGCAAATCCAGTGTTTCCACTTGAGCCCTCCAGTCTTAAGGGAATGACTCAAAGGCCCAGGGATCGTCAAGTGTGGTGAAACCAAGGGCACCTGAGTTAGTTTTGGTTGATTGTAACCAACCAAGAACTTGAGTGGAACTGCACTTCTCAAAGTCTTCATTCTTTCTTCATTTACTTCTCTCTGTACCTGCCAAGCACATACAGAGTGGAATATGCAAACACTCTTGGTCTCCTCTGTAGAGCCAAGACTTGATTGTTTATTATTAAAAATTTCAGATATTCCCGTCCTTAATTTTTCCTTTGTCTTTTCCATCCCTTTAAACTCAATATGTAGATTTTTTTTTGTTACTTTGTGTATTTTGTTTTTAAATAAAGTGGACCTTTTCATTCAAGTAGACATTCCTTTTCCTCTATGTCCCCACAAAACTACATTCCTGGTAAACCTTCAATGAATATTGACTGCCATTTTGGTTCAATTATTTGAATGAAAAGACAACCTGAGTGAGCCCTTTTGGAAAACAAAACAAAACAAAACCAACCCAACCAACTTTTGCTTAGTTGCCAAGTGTGAGGAATTAAACATGGACCAAAAGAAAGACAAAAAAGTTCATTGTCTTATGTCATCCACATAACACACATCACCAGAAGCAGTGAGCAGACTCGCTGGTGGAATGTCCTCATAGAAGGAAATGTGATAAATTAAGTCTCCTAATTTTTAAGACTTTCTACAAACAAATTTGGGATAATTATTACTTCAAAATTTGTCCTGAGTGTTAAAAACAATGTAGAAGGAAGCATAGAACTTGGATTTTTCAGTGGTAGGGACATAGCAATAGAAATCCACTTGCTGCCAGGAGCAGTGGCTCATGCCTGTAATCCCAGCACTTTGGGAGGCCAAGGTGAATGGATTGCTTGAGTTCAGAAGTTTGAGACCAGCTTGGGTAACATGGTGAGACCCCCATCTCTACCAAAAAAAAAAAAAAATTAGCTGGGCCTGATGGTGTGTGTCTGTAGTTCTAGCTACAAGGGAGGCTGAGGTGGGAGGATCGCTTGAACCCTGGAGGTTAAGGCTGTGGTGAGCCATGATCACGCCACTGCACTCAGGCTTGGGTGACAGAGTGAGACCTTGTCTCAAAAAATAAAATAAAGTAATAAAAAAGAAATCCACTTGCTCATAGGCTCCGTGAATTGTCCACTGGTAATAGTCAAAAGGATCTCAAGCATCGTCCAAGTATAAGCCTTGCCTAGTTTCCTTTTGTAAAAAATCCAGTGGTTCTCACTCAGAAAAGCACAGCTTTTCACAGGTGAGCCACCATAGAGCAAAGGGGCTTGCACCTAGAGGAATGGAGTGATAACCATACAAAGTTATTTTTCACCAAATCCATCCTTCAAGTGGATATTCAAGTCTTAATTCTTTCAAGAATATAGCTAAAAACATAGCACATACTCAAAAATAGTTGCTGAATGCAAAAACGTTAAGAAGCAGTTTGGTAATTTTTTCACCATGTTTCAGTTTGATATGGCTGATATAAACTTTAAAAGCTCAACATCATGCCATCAATAACATTCAACTTCAATTTAAATGATTAACTGTTTCCTAATAATTGCATACTCAGAGCAGTAAATTGCACAAAAGATCCATTGGTCTACTAGGGCGTGTGCTAGCCGTTCAAACATAAAAAACAAAAAGAAAAACAACCCTAAAAAGAACTATGAGCTGGCAGTGCCCCAAGTCCAATGGGGGTTGCATTTCACCCTCTGGGCCCTTATGAAGCTCAAGACAGAAGGGACACATATAGATAGTATTGAAAGTTTCAATTCTTGAACTTCATAGGTCTAGAATTCTAGAAAGGTTCAGCAATATATTAATAACACATTTGATAAAAGGTCTAATTCAGTTTTTATTTTGCATTTCTAAATATGTAATACTTTCGGCCTGGCGCAGTGGCTCACGCCTGTAATCCCAGCAATTTGGGAGGCCAAGGCGGGCAGATCACGAGGTCAGGAGATTGAGACCATCCTGGCTAACACAGTGAAACCCCATCTCTACTAAAAAAAATACAAATAAATTAGCCAGGCATGGTGGCAGGCGCTTGTAGTCCTAGCTACAGGGGAGGCTGAGGCAGGAGAATGGCGTGAACCCAGGAGGTGGACCTTGCAGTGAGCCGAGATAGCACCACTGCATTCCAGCCTGGGCAACAGAGTGAGACTCCGTCTCAAAAAAAAAAAAAAAAAAAAAAAAAAAGATGTAATACTTTCTTTCTCCAATCCAGACAGTTTCACTTTGACAATCTCAGGTTGCCTTTTCATTGCCAAATTGATTTTTATGGCCATTTTGTTTATTTCCCCTTTTCTATGTTGTGTTTCAATCAAATTATGAAAGCAAGAGTGTTGGTATAATTCTCAGCTTTATGCAAAAATCAGATAGTTGTTTTGGCTTGTCAGTTATCAACTATAGCAGAACTTTTCTTTAGAACCACTTCTGGAGGGAGAGGAAGGTAAATAAAGAGGGAGAAAGGAGAGATTGCAATTTCTAATCTAATTCGATAGGCAAGATTCCCACATGAAATTATTAAAATTGTTAAGGAAATAGTATTTCAACCATATGAAATAAGAAAGGTTTACATCATGTTTTGCAAAATCTGACTTATGTAAGTGCCAAAACTAGGATGTAGCCAGGCGCCTCAGAAAGTCATGAATTCTTAGGAAGTCTATTGAACAGTCACCATCTGTAGATGGGAGATAGCCTGTCTTGACCCAAGATGCCCAATCAGAGTCAGGAGTATCACCTTCGGCCACAAGACCTCAATGCAGAAATTTACCCTAGATAAGAAGTGAACTTCCTCATTGAAGGAAAAGAGTGCTCTTCAAAATTAAGATCTGGCCAATGCCTCCTCTCCTCTACCACCACCTGTAAACTCCCACCATGGCACCTCCGGCCCCCAGGATCTGACACACAGAATAAATGCTTCCCCTGAGAATCACACCTCCCGCCAAATGAAACTGGCTTTCTCAGAGCTGTGGTCAATATTTTATTGACATCCAGTTGCTCTCTTAATTTCTAA
Source organism: Homo sapiens (assembly GCF_000001405.40). Lineage (NCBI taxonomy): Eukaryota > Metazoa > Chordata > Mammalia > Primates > Hominidae > Homo > Homo sapiens. The sequence continues at coordinate 47,865,784 of NC_000013.11, read as the reverse complement.
CTCAGTTGATGTGATGATTTTCTTGTGATCATTAACATAGTTTTATTGTTTAGAAAAGGAATTAGCAAAAAAAAAGTGGCAATGCAGTTAAAGTTTGAAGCTGCAGAATCTTTTCTCAGGTAATTCCCGTGTTGCCAAAAGGCGACTGTGATTTTGCAATCACAGGCAAATAGAACTTCCAACTATGACCTGCTTCCAGATGGATTTATACAAGAAGGAGCAAACGGAGAGAAGGAAGGAATGAGGGAGGGAGGGAGGGAAGGAAGGGTCAAAGCCAAAAAAGCCAATTGTAATGCATGAATAACAGGTACCCTGACTCAAAAAAATATATCAGAAAGAGTCATAAGGTTCAGCTCTCTATTCCTATCACCACAAACCAATTCCATCTAGCTGCATGCAGCGGTTCTTAGGAGAAAGAAAAGCCCCCTTTATCCAGAAAAACTCTCTTTGGATCCTAGTATCTCTCACTGTCAGAGGCAGCATCTTCTGAATGTAGAAGCTATTAAATGCAATGGTACTGTGTAGTGTAAGTGTAAGTGACCCCAGGATATCACCAGAAGCAAGCTGCAAAATAAGGGGAAGGGGCTATGAAGACATCCAGTGCCTGACCCAGGGTCTAGCCAGGTACATATGGGGGTGGGCCAATTTTTTTGTTATTTATTTATTTATTTATTTATTTATTTTATTTGTATAAATTTGTGGGGTACAACTGCAATTTTGTTACATGCATAGATTGCATAGTGGTTAAGTCGGGGCTTTTGGAGTATCTGTCACCTGAATAATGCACATTGCACCCATTAACCAATTTCTTATCCTCCATTGCCTCCTGCCCTCTCACCTTTCTGAGTCTCCGTTGTCTATCATTCCACTCTCTATGCCCACGTGTATACATATTTTAGTACCCACTTATGAGCGAGAACATGCAATATTTGTCTGTGTCTGGGTTGTTTCACTTAAAATAATAATCTCAAGATCTATTCATGTCGTCACAAAGGATATGATTTTATTCTTTTTTTTTTTTTTTGAGACGGAGTTTCACTCTTGTTGCCCAGGCTGTAGTGCAGTGGCGCTATCTTGGCTCACTGCAACCTCCGCCTCCCAGGTTCAAGTGATTCTCCTGTCTCAGCCTCCCGAGTAGCTGGGATTACAGGCATGCGCCACCACGCCCAGCTAATTTTTGTATTATTAGTAGAGACCGGGTTTCACCATGTTGGCCAGGCTGGTCTTGAACTCCTGACCTCGTGATCCACCTGCCTCAGCCTCCCAAAGTGCTGGGATTACAGGCGTGAGCCACCACGTCCGGCTGATTTTATTCTTTTTTTACGGCTGAATAATATTCCATTGTGTATATATACTACATTTTATTTATTGAATCATCCATTGATTCACACTTAGGTTAATTCTATATCTTTGCTATTGTAAACAGTGCTGTGATAAACATACAAGTACTGTTTTTGATATATTGACTTCTTTTCCTTTGGGTAGATATCCAGTAGAGGGTTTGCTGGATAAAATGGTAATTCTGTTTTTATTTCCTTTTTTTTTTTTTTTTTTTTTTTGAGGTGGAGTCTCATTCTGTCGCCCAGGCTGCAGTGCAGTGGTGCGATCTTGGCTCACTGCAACCTCTGCCTCCTCAGGTTCAAGTAATTATCCTGCCTCAGTCTCTTGAGTAGCTGTGATTACAGGCACACGCCACCACACCTGGCTAATTTTTGTATTTTTAGTAGAGACGGGGTTTCACCATGTTGGCCAGGCTGGTCTGGAACTCCTGACCTCAGGTGATCCACCCGCCTTGGCCTCCCAAAGTGCTGGGATTACAGGTGTGAGCCACTGGCCATTATTTTTAGTTCTTTGAGAAATGTCGATACTGTTTTCCATAGTTTCCACAGTTTACGTTCCCACTAACAGTGTATAAGCATTTCCTTTTCTCCACATCCTCTCCAACATCTGTTATTTTTTGTCTTTTAAATAATAGCCATTCTGACTGGGGTAAAATGATATCTTGTTGTGGTTTTAATTTCCATTTCTCTGATGAATAGAGAGGTTGAGCTTTTTTTTTTTTTTTTTTTTTTTTCCGAGACGGAGTCTCGCTCTGTCACCCAGGCTGGAGTGCAGTGGTGATCTCGGCTCACTGCAAGCTCCGCCTCCCGGGTGGGTTCATGCCATTCTCCTGCCTCATCCTCCGGAATAGCTGGGACTACAGGCGCCCGCCACCACGCCCGGCTAATTTTTTTGTATTTTTAGTACAGACGGTGTTTCATCATGTTAGCCAGGATGGTCTTGATCTCCTGACGTCGTGATCCGCCCGCCTCAGCCTCCCAAAGTGCTGGGATTACAGACGCCAGCCACCGCGCCCGGCTGAGGTTGAACATTTTAAAAAATATACCTCTTGGCCATTTGTGTGTCTTCTTTTAAAAAATGTCTATTCATGTCATTTGCCCAAGTTTTAATGGCGTTTTTTTAGTTGTTGTTGGGTTGTTTGAGTTCCTTGTAGATTATGAATATTAGTTCCCTGTTGGATAAATAGTTTGCAAATATTTTTCCATTCTGCAAATTGTCTGTCCTTCCGCTGATTCTTTTTATGTGCAGAAGTGCATTAGCTTAATTAAATCTCATTTGTCTAATTTTTTGTTGCCTGTGCTTTTGAGGTCTTAGTCATAACTTCTTTGCATTGGCCAATGTTCAGAAGAGTTTTCCCGAGATTTTCCTCTAGTAATTTTATAGTTTCGGCTCTTACATTTCATCCTGAGTTGATTGTTATGTATAGTGAGAGATGGGGTCTAGTTTCATTCTTATGCATATGGCAATCCAATTTTCACAGCACCATTTATTGAAAACAGTGTCATTTCTCACAGGGAGGGGAACATGACACACTGGGGCCTGTTGGGGGGTGGGGGACTAGGGTAGGGATAGCATTAGGAGAAATACCTAAGGTAGATGATGGGTTGATGGGTGCAGCAAACCACCATGGCACGTGTATACGTATGTAACAAACCTGCATATTCTGCACACTTACCCCAGAACTTAAAGTATAATAATAAAAAAAAGGAAAACAGTGTCATTTCTCCAATGTATATTCTTTTCAGCTTTGTCAAAGATCAGTTGGCTGTAAATATATGGTTTTATTTTTGGGTTCTCTATTCTGTTCCATTGGTCTATGTATTTTATACCAGTACCATGCTGTTTTGGCTACTAAATCCTTGTCATATAATTTGAAGTCAGGCAGTGTGACTATAGCTTTTTTCTTTTTGCTTAGGATTGATTTGGCTATCAGATACTTTTTGGGGTCCATTTGAATTGTAGGATTGTTTTTTCTGATTATGTGAAAAACGATATTGGTATTTTGATAGGGGTTGCATTGAATTCATATATTGCTTTGGTCAGTATGGTCATTTTAACAATATTAGTCCACAAGCATTGGATATTTTCCCATTTGTTTATGTCATTTACAATTTCTTTCATCAGTGTTTTGCTCCTTGTACAGATCTTTTACCTCCCTGGTTAAATTTATTCCTAGGTACTTTATTTTTTGCAGCTATTATAAAGGGAATTGCTTTCTTGATTTCCTTTTTAGCTAGGTCATTATTGAGGCATTAATGGATCATTATTGGACCATTATTATTTAGTAAAGTTGCAGGATACAAAATCCACATACAAAAATAAGAAGCATTTCTGATTTTTGTATGTTGATTTTGTAACCTGCAACTTCGCTAAATTCATATATCAAATCTAAGAGTTGTTTGGTGGAGTCTTTAGGTTTTTCTAGATGTAAGATTGTATTGTTAGCAAACAGGGTAATATGACTTGTTTTTTAATTTGGATGCCCTTTCTTTCTTTCTCTTGCCTGATTGCTCTGGCTAGGACTTCCAGCACTATGTTGCATGTACTGGAAGTCCTAGCCAGAACAGTGGTGAAAGTGGGTATACTTATCTTGTTCCGGTTCTTAGAGGAGAAAGGCTTTCAACTTTTCCCTATTCAGTATGATGTTGACTGTGGATTTTCATATATGGCTTTTAGTATTTTGAGGTATGTTCCTTTTGTGCCTAGTTTTTTGGGGGTTTTTATCATGAAGGAATGCTAAATTCTATCACATGCTTTTTCTGTGTCTATTGAGATGACTATATGGCTTTTGTGCTTCATTCTGTTTATGTGATGAATCCCATTTATTGATTTGCATATGTCAAACCATCCTTATGTCCCTGGTATAAAGCCCATTTGATCATAGTGTGTTACCTTTTTAATGTCCTGTTGGATTTTGTTTGCTAGCATTTTGATGATGATTTTTGTGTCTATGTTCATCAGGGATATTGGTGTGTCTTTCTTTTTTTGTTGTGCCTTTGTCTTGTTTTGCTGATACTGGTCTCATAGAATGAGTTAGGGAGAATTCCATTCTCCTCAATGTTTTAGAACAGTTTTAGGAGGATTGGTATTAGTTCTTCTGTGTATGTTTGGTAGAATTCAGCTGTGACTTCATCTGGTCCTGGGCTTTTTATTGTTGTTGGTAGATTTTTTTATTAGTGATTCAATCTCAGCTTGTTATTTGTCTGTTCAGGTTTTCTATTTCTTCTTGGCTCAATCTTGGGAGGATTTATGTTTCCAGGAATTTATCCATTTCCTCCAGGTTTCATGTTTGTGAGTGTACAATGCTTCATGATAGTCTCTAATAATCTTTTGTATTTCTGGTATCAGCTGTAGTGTTTTCTTTTTCATTTCTGATTTTGTTTATTTGGGTCTTCTCTCTTCTAGCTAGTGGTTTATGAGTTTTCTTTATCTTTTAGAAGAACCAAGTTTTTGTTTCATTAATCCTTTGTATTGTTTTTTGGTCCTATTTAATTTAGTTCTGCTCTGATCTTTGTTATTTCTTTTTTTTTCTGCTAATTTTGGGTTTGGTTTGTTCTTGCTTTTTTAGTTATTTGAGGTGGGTTGCTAGATTGTTAATTTGTAATCTTTCTACTTTTCTGATGTAGGCATGTAATGCTATAAACTTTCCTCTTAGCACTGCTTTTGCTGTATTGGGGGGTGGGTCAATTGAAAAGTCTATGCTTTGTCCCATTATAGAACCACATTCTGGCAGTGCATGATTTAAAAATTTTTATTTATTAATTAAATTAGTAATTCATTCTCATAATATAAAATATAAAAGGTTTAAGTGCAACAAAATGAAAAAATAGATCTCCTTTCCATCTCTGTCTCCCAGCAACCCTGTTTCAATATAGCTTTGATATATATTCTTAAGGTAGAAACATAACATACTATGTAAATTGTTCTGCACTTTATTTTTAATTTTTTCTTAACAATATGTTTTGGAACTTACTCCATATTGGTATATAAAGATGTACTTAGTTTTTTAGTAGCTGTGTTGCATTGCACACATTTGCACTATTTTGTTTAACCCATCTGCTCTTGGTAGACATTTAAGTGGTTTTAATATTCTATACCATGCTGTAATGAAGGCTCATATATCTGTCATTTTATACTCGCATGGGAGTAACTCTAGGACATAGTCCTAGAAGTGGTTCATGGAGGCCAAAAGGCACATACATTTGTAATAGAGATCAGTGTGAGCACATTGGTCTCCATGGAGTTTTTACTCCCACCATCAAGCTATATAAGAGTGCCTGTTTCCTACGCCTTCCCTAACAGAATGTTATCAAACTTTTTTTCGTATTTTCAAATTTAATAGGTAAAAATGATGCCCTAGTGTTCTTTCAACTTGCATTCTCTTATTAGGTATAAGGTTGGGCATCTGTTTATATGTTTGAGCCACTTCCACTTCCTTGACCTTAAGCTATCAGTTCATATCTTTTGTCCACTTTTTCATTGGCTTGTTGTTTTTTATTAAATTATAGAAGCTCTTCATATATTAAGAAAAGCAATGTTTAGTCACTTAAATGAGTTGTAGATTTTTTTCTTATTTGTTATTTGTCTTTTGATTTTAATTATGGAGGATTTTTGCCTTGTAGAAATGTTATACTTTCATTTGTTTAAATATATCAACAATATCCTTTCTGCTTCTGCATTTCGTATAATACTTTAAAAATATTTAAACTCAAACAATGAAATCATAAATGTACTTGAAAAAGCTATGGAATAATTTTTAAAAACTGCTTTTGGCCTCAGGTACTATAGATTTAAAGCATATACATTTGGCCTCTTATACTTGATGCACACCACACATCTCCTTGCGGATTCTAAAGGGGTTGCTGATTCTTTGGTTGAGACACTGTAGTTCTCAGTCCCTGGAAATTCCAGAAGCAACAGCCTATAAGAAGCTAACGAAGGCATTAGTGCTTGATATGTTACTGCTGACCTGGGACTAGTTAAAACTGCAGCAGTGTGTTACACCTTCAATAAAAGGAATGGTGACAAATTGCTGCTATGAATTTCTCAGAACCATCTGGAAGAAATTTGAGGTTGACTTGAAGGAGGAAAAATCTTTAGGAGAAAGTATGCTGCCTCTGGTGGGAAAAAAAAAATCTCACTATGGGCAAAAATTCCTGCATCATCTTTGCATGTAATTGAAGTGAAAATACTTTTAGCCTGAGTTATTTAGCTAACTGCTTCAATTTTCTACCTGGCATGTCAGTTAAGATATGAAGCATATGAACTGATAGCTATGATGTGAATAAATGCCTAGTTCTAGTGATGATTGAAATAATGGAAGTGCAGGGGACCATGAAGATCAAGTCCTTTTCTTTTTTGATTATTTATTTAGCAAATATTTGGGGTCTACTGTATGTACAGCTTTGTACTGAAAAGTGGTCACAATTCTGTCCTCGAGAAGTGGCAGTTTAACTAGGGCTTCTGAAATGTGAATATGTTGGTAAGCCTGTCCAGCACGAAGCCAGATGGTGGCTTTCTGTTCCTTGATAATCCTACGTACAAAAGGTGAAGTCTAATTTCCGTTCATGTGAGTGTGAACATAAGCTGTACTTGGTGACTCACTTCTAACTAACAGAATGTGGTGGGAGTGATGTCCTAATCTAGGTCATAAAAAGGATACAGCTGAGAAATGGAACTAAGTTTTGTTGGAATAATAGTTCTGGATCTCTAACTCAAATCACATTCTAGCTGAACAGACAAATCTTTTAATCTAGTTGAAGTTGATGTAACCCAGTTGAGCCGTGCTAGACTATAAAGCTTGGTCAGTCCAGGTCTGGGGAATGGTGAGAGTGACAACTTAGATTAGACTTGGCGAAGGTTCTTTAGCTAGCTAGCAGTGCAAAGATACACAAAAGATGAAGGCTACATGCTGGTATTGGTGGATGTGGCTTCTCAATATCTTCTTTGTCCCTTGTGGAAATGTTCTGTCCAAAGTTCAGAGGTCTCAGCCATGTGCAGTGAAGCAAGAATGGGTCTAGTCAGAGGAGCTTGTGAATTTATAATTATTTGCTGCACTACAGTTAAATAACTAAATTCTAGAATGTATCTTAGCTTGGGTTCCCCAGAAAGCAGAGCCTGAGGCAAAGATTATGTGCTCTTATGCTATCAAGGAGTGCAATTCCCCAGAGCACATGAGGAACAAGAGGAAGAGACAGGGAATGACAGGGATAGAGAGCCATTTGAGGTATCCACTGTGATCATCGCTTGATCTCAGTGGAACCATGTTTCAGGAGGTCATAGAAAGGACTGCCTCTTTTGATCGTCCACTGAGGGAGAATTATTAAAAAGTCATCTGCTGTCTCCATTTCCCTGGATCCAAGATTTTCATCATGGGACATTAATTCCCCAAGGACGTCCAGGTTGCATGTATATGGGTGCCGCTGAGACCCACGATGTCTCATGCCTCTATGCCAACAGTGCAACCATAGGGCAGGAAGTGAGAATGGGAGGCACAGGCATGAGATGAAATCCTGATGGATTGTGATCCCTGGTCACAATGTCTTCAGCAAATGTCTGTTGATATTCTCTTTCAATGCTTTCTACCTGCCTGGTTTCTTATACATATATCCCTTTCCTTATTGGCTTTTTAACTCTAAACTATTTTTGTATCACAGTTATGGCTATTACAGTTGACCTAGTATTTATAGTTATTAAAATCAAAATTAGTTACAATTAATCTCATAGCACACCACCCTAGGATTTTTTTCTCACTGGGTGTGAATTTCCAAAAAAAGAAGCTCAGGGTAGGTCAAAGAAATAACTTGCTGATTCAGAGGCTTCCAAACGCCGGTACCGGGCTGGGGAACGTTATAGATCACACTTCCTGTAAATATCCAAACTGCTTAGAAATAGACTGTTCCCTACACAGTACAGTATGAGAGTCACTGCAAGTTCTCTAAATTAAAAAAAAAAATCAATGGATTAGCTGACCATATGTCCCAGACCCACAATCTGGTCACAGTTCATGGAGAACAGGCTACTAGCTGCTAGTTTGAAGTTACTGGTGACAAGTGAGGCCTGGGAGGATCTGAAGAGTGCTGTAGGAGCCGTCCTTGCACACAGTGCTTATGACTTACCAACTTCTCCATGGTATCCCTGGCTGGTGCGCCCACTGAGGTTTTGGGATAGTGGATCGAGCCATAGACTCCCACACTGGTTATCTTAAGAGAGTGCTTTGTAAACTACCTGTGTCAGAATCAACTAAAGAGAGGAAATGCTCCTTAAAATGTAGATTTCTGGGTCCCACCTCAGATCTATTGATTCAGAAGTCTCTGGGGATAGGAACTAAGATAGGCATACTTAACAAGTAGTCAGGTGATTCTTAAGCTGACTAAACCTTAAGAACCACTAAGAAAACATAGGCTATCAGACTCTACTGGAGTTAGCTTTATTAAATCTTGCTCAACACGTTCAAAAACAGTAATGTATCAGAGTAGACTCGGAGGTAATTTCCATATAAAGTAATTTATCCTACCAGGCCCCGTTTATTTTAAGAATCCTGACAGGCTATTACCATTTCAATCCACTAACTGTATTTTATTTAAAATGCCAAGTACTGAAACTACTTTGAATACTTGAGTACATTTCACAACAACTACAACTGTAGCTCTTATAAAAACACACTTCGGTGGTCACCCATTATTTTAATGAATGTTCCCCTAGCCATGGAATTAATTTCACAGGGCCAGCTCTCTGAGGTCCCTGGGCTTCATTACCTGGACACTGCCCAGACAGCTGATAAAAAGCTGTTCATGAAGAAAACTGCTGCTGTACTGCTTTATGGATTTAAACTTAAAGCACAAAGAGACCATAAGTTAAGTCTCCAGTATACTAAATGTATAAGGACATATGGTCAGCTAATCCATTGATTTTTTTTTTTAATTTAGAGAAACTGCAGTGACTCTCATACTGTACTGTGTAGGGAACAGTCTATTTCTAAGCAGTTTGGATATTTACAGGAAGTGTGATCTATAACGTTCCCCAGCCCACTACAGCGTTTGGAAGCCTCTGAATCAGCAAGTTATTTCTTTGGTCTACCCTGGGCTTCTTTTTTTTGAAATTCATGCCCAGTGAGAAAAAAATCCTATGGTGGTGTGCTATGAATTTAATTGTAACTAATTTTGATTTTAATAACTGTGAATACTAGGTCAACTATAATAGCTATAACTGTGATACAAAAATAGTGTAGAGTTAAAAAGCCAATAAGGAAAGGGGTATATGTATAAGAAACCAGGCAGGTAGAAAGCATTGAAGAAGAATATCAACAGACATTTGCTGAGGAACATTGCTCCATGAAAGAAACTACACCAGGCCCTGCGCGGTGGCTCATGCCTGTAATCTCAGCACTTTGGGATCCTGAAGTATGTGGATCACTTGAGCCCATGGGTTTGAGACCAGCCTGGATAATAGAGCAAGACCTTGTTTCTACAGAAAAATACAAAAAATTAGCTGGACGTGGTGGTGCACACATGTAGTCCCAGATACTCGAGAAGCTGAAGTGGGAGGATCACCTGGGCCTGGGAGGTTGAGGCTGCAGTGAGGCATTACTGTCCACTGCACTCCAGCCTGGGTGAGAGTTAGACCCTGTTTCAAACAAAAAAAAAAAAGCTACATCAGGGCTGGCAGGGTGGCTTATGCCTGTAATCCCAGGGCTTTGGGAGCAAGGCAGGAGACTCGCTTGAGCCTAGGAGTTTCAGACTAGCCTGGGCAATATGACAAGACCATGTCTCTACAAAAAATTTAAAAAATTAGCTGGGCATGGTGGTGTGCACCTGTGTTCCCAGATACTCAGGAGGCTGAGGTGGGAGGATTGTTTGAGCCCAGGAAGAACCATGACTGCTCTGTCGCACTCCAGCCTAAGTGACAGAACGAGACACTGTCTGGGGAGAAAAAAAAAAAAGAAGTTACACCAGAGCTGACCTAAGACAGTGGCATGATTGGCTGCCAAGAAGACATCCTGGAATCAAAGGGTACCAAAGGATAGTAGGTCCAGCCCTTCCAATAAGACCTAGGTAAGATTGTCTGGTCTTGTCCCATTTCCCCATTGACCAACAAAAGAAGTGCTAATCTAGTATAGAAACGTTAGACTCAGAAAAGTGGAACTTTTCCAAGGCAGTCCAAAAAGTCTATTGAATACGACTGGCCAACTCAAAAATTTGTATATCAACATGTAGTTATTATGAATTAGGTGATTGTGTGCGTGTGTGTATGTGTGTGTGCTGATGAAATTTTGTGATTACAAAACTTTTAAAAGTGGAAATTTTTGCCTCTGCTATTTGTCTTAGGTTTCTAATTTTAGAGGTCTTGCATTATGGAATTTTCTAAGCTGCTGTATGAGACCTTGTTCATGTGCCTCCATAGATTCTCATTGCTCGCCCTGTCCCCCAGGTCCTGAGCAGCTCGCTCAATGGAAGGCCCCTCATCTTCTCCCTCTGGGTCTCAGTCCTCCCCCGCCCACTTGGCGATGGTTGGGCTCTCCATGGTGTCCGTGGTGCATGTCTTGGCAGGAGCTGCATCAACCTTGCACCCAGCCATCACCTAAGGATCGGGGGAGTCTTGGCCCATTACTCCACTTCTGCGCTACAGGCAGCGGGACCTGGGTTCCCTAGTGGGTTGCCCTACTGGGTGAAGACTTTGAAAGTGTGGAGGGAACATTCTGACTAATGAAGGCAGGAGATGTGCTCAAAGGTTCCATTCATTTCCCTTTCTTCCCCTGCTGGACTCTTCTGAGGGGAAATGGTTTTCCATGATCTGTCTGGAAGATGGGCCACATGGCCAAGCAACTGGCTGTGTTGTCTTATAAGCTGTGGCTAGATAAGTGGATAAATGAGGTGGACCTTATATTTGCTAACTTGATCTACTTCCTTCCACACTCTTGCTGTCCTGGGATTGTCCTTTTTTATAAAGCCTCAGTACATGGGTAACTGCCACAGGTTTTGTTTTCTAGGAAACGCAGGTAGAGGAGTGGGTCTAGAACGCAGACCCTCAAGACTGGATTTTGGGTTGAGTTGCCTATCTGTCTGAAAGCATTAGGAACTTCATTGCTTGTGGAAAATGAAATGCTGACAATTCTGGCATACAGCAGCATCCTGAATTAGCTATTGCTGTCGTGACAAATTACCATAATCTTAGTGGCTTAAAACAACACAAGGCATTAATTATTTTTTTTTAAATTAAATTTAAAAAATTTTTTTGAGATGGAGTCTCACACTGTTGCCCAGGCTGGAGTGTAGTGGTGTGATCTTGGCTCACTGCAGCCTCTGCCTTCTGGGTTCAAGCAATTCTCCTGCCTCAGCCTCCCAAGTAGCTGGGACTACAGGCACCTGCCACCATGCCCATCTAATTTTTATATTTTTAGTAGAGAAAGAATTTTCACCATGTTAGCCAAGCTGGTCTCGAACTACTGACCTCAAGTGATGCACCCACCTCAGCCTCTTAAAGTGCTGGGGTTACAGATGTGAGCCTGGCCTAATTTATTATCTTAAAATTTGTAGGGTGGAAGTCTGATAGAGGTCTCACTGGGCTAAAGTCAAAGTGTCAGTAAGGCTGTGTTCTTTTCCAGAGGCTCCAAAGGAGAAGCTGGCTCCTTGTCTTCTCTAGCTTCTAGAAGTCACCTGTACTTTCTTGGCTTGTGGCCCCTTTTTCTGTCTTCAAAGGCCAGCAATGCAGTAGCAGCTCCCTGACCCTTATTCCATGGTCACTTCTTACCCAGTTAGGAAAGTATCTCTGTCTTTAAGAACTCGAATGGTTAGACTGAGCCCATTTGATAATCCAGGATAATCTCCCCATCTCAAACTACCTAACCTCAATCACATCCACAAAGTCCCTTTTGTCTATATGTAAAGTGGCATATTCACAGCTTCTGGAAAGTACATATCTCTGCAGGGAGCATTCTTCTGCTGATTACTCATAAAAATTACTGAAGTTTTCACTTGTGGTTTATTGAGAAGTGTAGTTATAAGACAAGGCATTGGTAGATGCGTGACTGATGCATCTGGTTGTTATGAGAGGAACAAAATTTATAAGGATTGTGGCATGAGGTATCTTCTTTTGATGGAATTAGTAGCTTTATAAAAAGAGAATCACAGACACATTTAAGCCATGCTTTGTCAGCCAGAGTGTTCCTAAGGCAGCTTTAAAGGACTCATTTCTCACAGCTACCATGAAGCCTGTGCTGAAAATCCAGCTCTGGATTTAATTATAAGGGCGGCAGAAATGCAAGACATATTATGCGCACCATCTCAACAAGGTTCCTCTGACAAATTTAGCACCCTGAGAGGAAAAGATGGGCACTTTGAGACACAGGAGGGTACCGTAAGGGTCCCAGTTCCTCTGGATCCTCCTCATTGGCAGAAGCAGCTCCATCACCCTTTCCAAAGGAAAACAAGCCCTCTTGCTTCCCATTGTCTGGATACTTTGAGAAGCTTCAGGTGAGGGCGAGGCAGTCGACTGGCTGGTTCTCCTCAAGCTCAAGTCCACCACCCTCATTGCCTTCAGGCCGATAACCAGATTCAGGTCTCAGCTCAGCCTGAATGGGGAAGTAGAGCCCTTCTTTAGGGTGAAGTGGTCCCTATAAAGGAGTTAGAGAATGTGGGTAAGAAGTGCCCGGAGGAAATGAGGCAGCACATCAGAGGTGGATCTTGAAAATGTTAGTCCTGAGAGGGAGGAGTATAGGCTGGATAGGGGAGAATTCTGTGATAGAGGGGCACCCATAACTCAGGATTCAGTGTTCCAGTCACACACTGGGTGCTTATCTTAACAGCTTGCTAGAAGGACCCCTTGAAACCTAAATTGGGCAACACCTTTCAATGAATAAGATGGAGATGCCATAATTTCTTTGCCTTAGAAAGTGGTCAGAAGGCTCAAGGAGCTTTTGAGGTTTTGAGGATGGATGGACTGCGGATGACTTGAGAAGCCACCATGTGACTATGTCCTACATGCAATTTTACATCTCTGCTTATTCAAATTTAAGGTTGTTTCTGGATTCATGAATTTGAGCCACTGGGCAAAGCAGAGCTTTATTCAATTACTGATTCATTTATTTAATAAATATTCACTGAAACCAATTATATGTCCACCAATATGCAAAGGTGCCTATGACATAAAGAAAATCCCTTGCCTTGAGGAGTTCCTAATCTAGTATGGAAGGCAGACCCCTGGGGAGAAAAATCATCTACTCTCAAGACCACTCCACTGAAAATCCTTCAGTTATATGCTGTGGCATATGAATTTCAGAGCAGTTGTCCTGTAAGTGCTGCTTTTCTAACACGATAAAATGTTATGATCTTATGCTAGGTGTAGAAATAAGTGCAGACACTTGAATAGGCTTATAAACATTTCATCTGAAGACTTCAATTTGAAAAAAGACTCAAGAGGAAAAATATATAGATTCAGACAGTTGTTTTTTAAATATATTTGTATTATTTCTTTATCTTTTGAGATTGTCATTTGGAGGCTATACAATTGTTTTTCAAGAATTACTGAAAATGCAGACACTATTTTGGTGAATTTTTAATTTAAATAGATGTGGGTTTAGAGGGATATGCTTCAGGCAAAAATCTCATTAATTCTTCTTGCTTTCCATTTTGAAATGAACAAAAAGGCTTATGAATGAGGGGCAGAGGAAGAAAGATGAATTTCTGTCTTATTTCATTTCATCTGCCACTCAGACATTGTAATTTCTTTAAAGCAAGGAAAACCACTTAGTTTTTGATAATTTAAGTTCCTCACATAATTAATAGATAGTTTTTCTGGTCTATCAACTTCATCATTTTTTCAATTTTTTCATGTCTTGTAGTGTGAAGTAAGCATCACAGTAATAGCTAAATAAGATGATAAATCAGTATAACATGCATTTATTTTGATGATTTTTATTGCAATTAAAAGTTTGGAATATTATTATAAAGATTAATATCAATAAAATTGTTTTGGGAACAATTCATGGAAAATGATTATGGTAGGTAGAGGGTGATCAATAAATATTTGAATGACACTGCAGAAGGAGTGAGTTTATAATGTGTAAAATCAGCCATTTCCTTTACCAACAATTTCATTCTACTTCTTTGCATGAGGAGAATGTTTGTTGAGTGATTTTACATAATTAAGTAGAGAATGCTGCATTAGGAGTGCTGAATTCTGACATCAATTCCAGATGTGTTTTGGCAAATAGTATTATGAAAATACCATATTTTCCTCTTGTAAAAGAAATATGTTGTTTATTCATATATATATATATTTAAAAAATACAAGGAAGTTTACTCATATGGCTACCACCAAGAAATAATAACTGTTCATAGTTTGGTATCTATTATTCTAGTATTTATGTGTGTAACCATTTTATTAAGTAGACTTAAATCAGCAAAAGATATTATTTTTCCCTCAATGCCTTAAGATATGTTCTGTTGTTTCTTCATTCCCTGTCTCTTGACAATATTTCTGGCATTCTTCATAGTGTTTCCATTTTTCCTCTCTCTCACACACTTTATTGGCTATCGTGGGAATATTTACACCATGGAAATTGGCAAATGCTGCAAATCCACATCTTGCCCTGAGTCCATGTTTACTGCTCCAGGTAATTGAATACTAAGCCATTCAGTACATGATATTCCCTTAGTTCAAGGGATTGCTTTAGAGGTTGTCTAATCAATGTGATGCTTTGAAAAATTTTTTGGGAGTTGTGGGACACAGGAAATCTCTTTCTTTTTGGATGACAAAGAATATGGATTTACAGCCTGAACTTGCTGCTACCATTGTGTTACAAAGAAAAGCTATCCTGAAGAAACAACTCACACAGAAATAAAGTCAGGAGCAACATAATACTGAACAGGGAAAAGTTGAAAGCGTTGCCCCTGAGAACTGGAACAAGACGAGGATGCCAACTTTCACCACTTCTACCCAACATAGTACTGGAAGTCCTAGCCAGAGCAATCAGACAAGAGAAAGAAGTAAAGGGCATCCAAATCAGTAAAGAGAAAGTCAAACTGTCGCTGTTCACTGATGATATGACATATACCTAGAAAACCCTGAAGACTCATCCATAAAACTCGAAGAACTGATAAATGAATTAAATAAATTTTCAGGATACAAAATTCATGTACACAAACCAGTAGTATGACTATACACCAACAACAACCAAACAGAGAATCAAATAAATAACTCAATCCGTTTTACAGCAGCTGCAAACAAAAACAAAAACAAAAACAAAAAAACCCCGAAAAACCTAGGAATGTACTTAACCAAGGAGGTAAAAGATTTCTACAAGGAAAACTACAAAACATTGCTGAAGGAAATCATAGATGACACAAATAAATGGAAACACATCCCATGCTCATGGATGGGTAGAATCAATATTGTGAAAATGGCCATACTGCCAAAATCTACAGATTCAGTGTACTTCCCATCAAAATAGTATCATCACTTTTCACAGAACTAGAAAAAAAAATTCTACAGTTCATATGGAACCAAAAAGGAGCCCACATAGTCAAAGCAAGACTAAGCAAAAAGAACACATTTGGAGGCATCACATTACCCGACTTTAAGCTATAATACAAGGCTACAGTTACCAAAACAGCATGGGGCTGGTGTGAAAATTGGCATGTAGACCAATGGAACAGAATAGAGAACCCAAAAATAAATCCAAATACTTACAGCTAACTGATCTTTGACAAAGAAACAAAAACATAAATTGGGGGCTGGGCGCCATGGCTCACACCTGTAATCCCAGCACTTTGGGAGGCCAAGGTGGGCAGATCACTGAAGTCAGGAGTTTGAGACAAACCTGGCCAACCTGGTGAAACCTCATCCCTACTAAAAATACAAAAATTAGCCGGGCATAGTGGCGGGTGTCTGTTATCCCAGCTACTTGGGAGGCTGAGGCAGGAGAATTGCTTGAAACTGGGAGGCTGAGGATGCAGTGAGCCCAGATTGTGCCATTGCACTCCAGCCTGGGTGACAAGAGTGAAACTCCGTCTCAAACACACCACAACAGAACATAAATTACGGAAAGATCACCCTATTCAACAAATGGTGCTGGGATAATTGGCAAGCCACATGTAGAAGAATAAAACTTGATCCTCATCTCTCACCTTATACAAACATTGATTCAGGATTGAACAAAGACTTAAATCTAAGACCTGAAACCATAAAAATTCTAGAAGAAGACATCAGAAATACTCTCTAGATATGAGCTTATGCAAAGACTTTATGACCAAGAACCCAAAAGCAAATGCAACAAAAACAAAAATAAATAAATGGGACCTAATTAAACTAACAAGCTTCTGCACAGCAAAAGAAATAATCAGCAGAGTAAACAGACAACCCACAGAGTGGGAGAAAATATTTGTGAACTATGCATTTAACAAAGGACTAGTATACAGGAACTCAAACAAATCAGCAAGGAAAAAGAAATAATCCCAACAAAAAGTGGGCAAAAGACATGAACAGACAATTCTCAAAAGAGGATAAACAAATGGCCAACAAACAAATAAAAAAATGCCATGGATGAAGCTGGAAACCATCATTCTCAGCAAACGATCACAAGGACAAAAAACCAAACACCACATGTTCTCACTCATAGGTGGGAATTGAACAATGAGAACACATGGACGCAAGAAGGGGAACATCACACACCGGGGCCTGTGGTGGGGTGGGGGGTGGGGGGGGCGGGAAGGATAGCATTAGGAGATATACCTAATGTAAATGACGAGTTAATGGGTGCAGCACACCAACATGGCACATGTATACATATGTAACAAAACTGCACGTTGTGCACATGTACCCTAGAACTTAAAGTATAAAAAAAAATACTCAGCATCACTTATTATCAGGGCAATGCAAATAAAAACCACATGTGATACCACCTTACTCCTGCAAAAATGGCCATAATTTAAAAATGAAAAAAAAAATAGATGTTGGCATGGATGTGGTGAAAAAGGAACATTTTTACACTGCTGGTAGAAATGTAAACCAGTACAACCACTGTGGAAAACAGTATGGAGATTCCTTAAATAACTAAAAGTAGAACCACCATTCAATCCAGTAATCCCACTACTGGGTATTCTTCACACAAAGGAAAGGAAGTCATTATATGAAAAAGACACTGGCACACACATGTTTATAGCAGCACAATTTGCAATTGCAAAAAATGTGGAACCAGCTTAAATGTCCATCAAACAATTAGTGAATAAAGAAAATGTGGTATATATGCACCATGGAAAACGAATCAGCCATAAATCGAAACAAAATAATGACATTTGCAGCAACCTGCATGGAGTTGGAGACCATGATTATAGGTGAAGTAACTCAGGAATGGAATGTTGTGTATTCTCACTTATAAGTGGGAACTAAGCTATGAGGACACAAAGGCATAAACATGATGTAATAGACTTTGGGGATTCAGGCGAAAGGGCGGGTGGGGCATGAGGGTTAAAGGACTATGCATTGGGTACAGTGTACACTGACCATGTGATGAGTGCACCAAAATTTCAGAAATCACCACTAAAGAACTTATTCATGTAACCAAAACCAGCTGCTCCCCAAAAATAATGAAAATGTTTGAAATATTGAGAGAATTACTAAAATGTAACACAGAAACATGAAGTGAGCACATGCTGTTGGGAAAATGGCACCAATAGATTTGCTGGATATAGGGTTGCCACAAACCTTCAGTCTGTAAGAATACGATATCTGCACAGCACAATAAAGTGAAGTGCATAAAACGAGGTGTGCCAGTATAAGCAGTCGAGACCTCAGTCTATGGGAAATACTCGGATTCACAAAATTTTATTTCCATGCCTGTGATGACAGCAGGAAATACGTACCCGTGACCATACAGACGCAGAATCCTAAAACTGAAAGTAAATGGAATTATAAGTTTGGAAATTGGTGCTAAGGACAGGGAAAATTGATTTGGGTAAATACTGATTCTAACAAGAATTGAAGTTCTGAAAACCCTACATCCAACACAAGAAGATACCTTGGAATGTGGTGGGCTTCCTGCAAAGACTCAGAACTTCTCCTTGCCAATGTAGGTAGAGAGTGTCATTTAATTATGTGACAGAGGTACTTGTCTAAGGCAGCTGTACACCCTGGATTTGCTGGGGCAAACACAATGACAGATATTCTACCCAAGTGGCTCCATAGGACACTTGTTAGATCACATTTGGGTAGCACAAGATATTCACTGATAAAAAGAGCTGTGAGTCTAGCCCTAGAGTAAGGAAGCCCAGCAGCTGGAGCGAGCTGTCTTGCCACAGCATTGACACTACTTATCAGCATGACCCTGAGCAAGTTACTCAGCCTGTCTGGGCCTTGGGTTACTCATCAGTATATGAGGGGTACTAATGGGACGTACTTCAAAAGATCGTTTTAAAGATTAGATGAGATAGCATAGTGCTTCTCCATTCATCTGTGGTGAAAGAACATATTTCTAAAATTTTCAATCTGTTGTGGACGAATACTCATACAAATACAAAAAAAAATACCAGTTACATAGCAGTGACAAATACAAGTTTCTAAATACATACTCTCAGTTTTTCTACTTATCATGTCTTAAATTGGTAACAAACTGTGTCAGTCGGCACTAGTTCCTGGACCACACTTTGAGCAATACAGCAATCATATATTTAAAAGGCTTATCATGGTTTCTGGCATACAGTAAGAGCTCAGTAAATGTTGGCTTTTATAATTATTACTGCCTGGTGTGCCCATTTTATGGTAAAAGCTTTTATTGATGGGAACTGCGTTGTCAGGACCTGTCTCAGGCTGAGCTAACTAGAACTGAATTGCCAGAGCAGCAAGTTAAAAGCAGTGCGCCAAAATGAAAGCAAGAGTGAAGCCTTTATCCATGTACTGTGATAATAAAAGCAAGAGGCTAAAACCAGAGAAAGCTGTCGTCTCTTCCCTGTTCCATTTCTGCATGGAACAGTGCACCTGTTGAGGATCAGATGGATCCCTGGGGGTGGGGTAGGGGGCAGTGTCTCATTGAGTAAGAAGCCTGGAACAAAAGGCTTTTGCAGTTTTATGGACCTGGGACCCAGAGGAGAGGGGAGGGCTAGAAGTGGAAAAGTTACTGGACACTGAGTCAGTCAGAGTGGAGAAAATATCTTCAAGGTTTACAGATAAGGAGGCACCTTTTCCAGTGGAGGTGCCTGGCTAGGAAGTCACTGTGCATAAGAGCATGACCAGCCAGTGGGCAGGACTCCTTGTCTCTTGCAGTGAAGAGACCGCAGGTCTCCTCAAAGACCACAGTGCACTGGCTGTGCACCAAGGCTGTGTGGGCAGGGCAGATTTCCCCAGAAGACTGCCAGGGAAAGCCTTTGTTGTTGCCTATGGAAAGGCCAGAACATTCACACATAGATTTTTTTTTCCCCCAGAAACTGGTCTCCTAACATGTAGCCAAAGCAACTTCCTAAGAAAGGGCAAAATTCAGATGACAAACACTTGCCCTTCCCTGTGGCTTTTTTTTTTTTTTTGAGACGGAGTCTCGCTCTGTCGCCCAGGCTGGAGTGCAGTGGCGGGATATCGGCTCACTGCAAGCTCCGCCGCCCGGGTTCACGCCATTCTCCTGCCTCAGCCTCCCAAGTAGCTGGGACTACAGGCGCCCGCCCTGTGGCCTTTTTTGGAGAAATATTCTGACTCAATGAATGACCTCATTTGAGAAAACCTTTTGTAACTCAGGTGTTTGCAGATGAACAAATAGTACCATTTAGGAAATCCAACTCAAAAACAGATGCAAAGTCTATGAATAATTTGAACAAAATGAAGGATCTTTTTTAAAAATGTATAAGAAGACAGGTGACATAGCAAAACCCAACTTTTTCTTCCTTTCTAAGGAATATTGCTTAAAAACCATTCCATGAACCACAGACTTAGTTATAACTTTTTCACATAATATTTCAAATTACTTGAGTAGGAAAATGTATACACAGAATTCTCATTAGCTCTGCCTAGTAGATTTACTAGAGCTGATTATGTCAATGCTCACTTGTTTTAGTCTCCTCTTATGATCAACGTATTCTATTTTTTTTCTTTTTCTTTGTTTCTTTCTTTTTTTTTTTTTTGAGACATAGTCTTGCTCTGTCACCCAGACTATAGTGCAGTGGCGCAATCTCAGCTCACTGCAACCAACCTCCCCCACGACAAGCCTCACCCCAGGTTTAAGTGATTCTTGTGACTCAGCTACCCAAGTAATTGGGAATATAGGCATGTGCCATCAAGCTCAGCTAATTTTTGTGTTTTTAGTAGACATGGGGTTTTGCCATGTTGGCCAGGCTGGTCTCGAACTCCTGGCCTCAAGTGATCTGCCTGCCTCAGCCTCCCAAAATGCTGAGATTACAGGCGTGAGCTACCACTCCTGAGACATTACTTTTAAGGACTTTGCCACACTGGACAGGACTCAAAGGTAGGTGATGAGGATAGTAAGGAACACAACTTGGGAATCTTTTGCTGCAAAAAGAGACTCGTAAGGGTGGGTAGGCAATAACATAATTGTCTTCAATATTCCCTAGATTAGACATAATCAGAGCTAAATTAACAGGGACCAATGAATAAAGCAACAAGGAAGTATATCTGATCTATACACATACACACATACACAGACAAATATTTTAACACAAAAACATTCAAGAATTTTTAACAATACAGCATGTCTTAGTTCAAGTTGCTAATACCAAAAATACCATAGACTGGAGTGGTTTAAACAATAAACATTTATTTCTCACATTTATGGAGGTTTGGAAGTCTAAGAAAAATGTGCCAGCAGATTTGGTGAATGGTGATGGCCCATTTTCTGGCTTGTAGACAGCCATCTCTTCTCACTGTAGCCTCATGTGGCCAAGATAGAAATCATTTCTCTCATATCCTTTCTTATGAGAGCACTAATGCCATTCATGAAAGTTTGCACCCTCATGACCTAATAACCTATCAAAGGCCCCACCTCCAAACACTATCATACTGAGGATTAGGGCTTCAACACATGAATTTGGGGGAGATACAAAAATTCAATCCATAGCAGGCTACCTGATTAGAAAACCAAATACCCTGCCGGGCACAGTGGCTCACGCCTGTGATCCCAGCACTTTGGGAGGCTGAGGCGGGCGGATCAAGAAGTCAGGAGATCGAGACCATCCTGGCTAACTCAGTGAAACCCCGTCTCTACTAAAAATACAAAAAAAAAAAAAAAAAAATTAGCTGGGCGTGGTGGTGGGTGCCTGTAGTCCCAGCTACTCAGAAGGCTGAGGCAGGAGAATGGTGTGAACCTGGGAGGCGGAGCTTGCCATGAGCCGAGATCGTGCCATTGCACTCCAGCCTGGGCAAGAGAACGAGAGTCCGTCCAAAAAAAAAAGAAGAAAGAAAGAGAGAAAGAGAGAAAAGAAAGAAAGAGAGAGAAAGAAAGAAAGAAAGAAAGCCAGCCAAATATCCGTAGTTCTATAAATTTTTTAATGCTAAAAATGGCAATGGATGGGTTAAAGCCTGAATACAAAAGCAACACACACAAAAAAATTTAATCAACTTTATTCATTCAGAGTGCATAATATTGATCAAGTCAATGAAACTAGTGGCAATAACAGGAATAAACTGGTCTCAAAAAATTGAGATCTATTCAATAAGCATATGTTTACATTCTGACTCCAGATTTATTTCACAGAGAGTAACTCTTAACATGTTTCTCAACTTGTATTTAATTTTTATTTCAACACCTTTCTGAAAAAGAAAATATTTTCAGAAAGTTAGGTAGAAGCAAAAGTTGCCTAAACTTTAGGCACATAAATTTCATAAGTTTCATAACAGTTCTGGAAGTAATATACTGAATTTTAACATGACACAGAATTCTGCATCACCTTGGAAGTCTTCATCATCCTTCAGCTCAATCAAGTCCCCTCAAAACTAAGCCAAACTAATAGGACATATTCCTCAATATTTCAAACACTTTCATTATTATTATATCCATTAAAGTGATCTGTGATTTGTGAACTTTGAAGTTACTATTGTAATTGTTTTAGGGTGCCATGAACCATGCCCATAGATGGCAAACTTAATAAATGCGTGTGTGCTCTGACTGCCCCACCGACCAGCAGCTCCCCCATCTCTCTTCCTCTCCTTGGGCTTTCCTATTTCCTGAGGCAGAACAATATTAAAGTTAGGTCAATTAATAACCCTGCAATGGCTTCAGACTGTTCAAGTGAAGAGTCATGTGTTTCTTTAAATTGAAAGCTAGAAATGATTAAGCTTAGTGAGGAAGGCATGTTGAAAGCTGAGATAGACTGAAAGTTAGGCCTCTTGAGCCAAACAGCCAAATTGTGAATGCAAAGGAAGAGTTCTTGAAGGAAACTAAAAGTCTACTCCAGCGAACACATGAATGATAAGAAAGTGAAATAGCCCGATGGCTTATATGAAGAATGTTTGAGTAGTCTAAATAGAAGATCAAATCAGCCATAGCATTCCCATAAACCAGAGCCTAATCCAGGTCAAGGCCCATAACATCAAGGAAAGAACCTCCACCAGCAAAAAGATTACAACTTGCTGAAGGCTCAGACCATCATTAGTATTTTTCAGCAAAAGTGTTTTTCAATTAAGATATGAACATTTTTCTAGACACAATGCTATTGCACACTTAATAGATTATAGTCTATTAAGCATAGTGTAAACATAACTTTTATGTGCACCGGAAAACCAAAAAATTCTTGTGACTTATTTTACTGCAATATCTGCTTTATTGTTGTGGTCTGGAACTGAACCTACAATATCTCCAAGGTATGCCTGTACTGAAGAGCTCAGTGCTAAGAGCAGCCCTGATTAGGTGTGAATGCCTATATGCAAAGAGCTAATTTTCTGGGGTTAAATCCCTTATATATTTTCCTATCTATGATTCCTTGGGTGAAAGGTAGATTAGGATCAAAACCCAAAACTTCATGAGAAATCCTTGATATGGAGAGGATGGATGATTTTACAGTGTATTTCTTTTGAGGAAGAGTAAGAATGAGGGGCAACTGGAGGTAAGAAAAACTAGTAGCAGTTTCACGTGGTTGGTTCTGGGTAGCGGAACTTGGTATTGGGCTGAGTGGAGTGGGAGATTGCTGCTTTTACTGTATACTCTTCTCTATTTGATTTTTTTTTTTTTACCATGTACACATATTACTTTGAGCAATTAAAAACAAATCCTAGGTGGGGTTTTGTGTTACATCCCCCTAGCCTACCCCTGAATTTGGCTCAGTGTAGTGGGCTGTTCCTTGCAAGGTTGGATTTCCCTTCTGCTGACAGCATCTTGCTCCAAGCCTGGCTTTCTTTTTTTCCTCTGCTTCGAGGACCTTCTTCAAAATCGTGGGAGCCCTCTTGGCCCATGCACAGGAGCAACCAGGAAGTGGAGAGGCACACAGACCCCTGGGGGATAACGTTTCAACAGAAGATGGTTGGAATGAGTGGATACAACTTCAGGCTGATAATTAGGGGAAGAATAAGAACACTTCCCAAAGGTCCCCAGCATAGTGGAGCCCCTGTTGCCTACAGAGATGACTCAATAACATACTCTGAAATGGACATTTTCCCTTTCTCTCTCATACTCCCCTGTTACTGCTTCCTAGGCTCGTCTCCCAAATAAACTACCTGCACTGAGTCCTCATCTCAGGCTCTGCTTTCAGTAGAAACCAAACCAAGACTGTTCCTTATCTGAAAACTAGTAATCCTGAGATGAGATTTGCAGTCTAAGGTTTCTGGACCCTGCTATCTGCAGTTCCATGGACCCTGGGAGCTGCTGCTGTGTGTGCATTGGGCTTAGATGCAGACGGAGAATTACTCCATTCTGAGCAATCAATGAACAGTTCCAGAAATGTACAATGGGGGTGCTTCATGGCTGGGGGAGGGGGCAAAAGATGCCATAAGGGAGACTGTAAGTAATTTTCTGGCCAGCCAAAGAAGTGTCATAGAAGAAGAAAGAAGGAAGATAAAAATGAGGGGAGAAAAGAAGTTGGCATCATACAGAGAAAAGGAAATGCCGTCTCTCCCTTTCCTCCTGTCAAGACAGCTAAGAGGTGTGAGCAGCAGATTGCAAAATAATCCGGGGAGCCAAGGACACCGCCAACTTGCTGTAGATGTTGGAACTGTCTCTTGAGTTTTGGAGGCCAACCACTAGAGCTTGGGGAAGATGACCAAATACAGACATTGCTTCCTTCTGCCATGTAGGTGGGGTGAAGGAGATCCACTGACTGAAATTTTGGCATGTCTGAAAATTCTGCTCCCAGGGTGCCTCCGGATTTCCAGTTTCCAGTTCTGCTCCTACCTGACTGTGAGTGGCTGCTGGCTTCTGTGAGACACTGATCCACCCTTGTAATACTGCACCCACCACCTTTTCCTTAAGCTACCTTGGCCTGGTTCTTGTTATTTGCAACCAAAATTTGTGACTGTTATGGTTACCCTCCCCAGCAGACCGGAGTGTCCTTGGGATTCCCTTCCCCACTCTTGCACTCTTGTTTGTTTCTTTCTATATATGTGGCTTAGGGTTGCTGTTTTCCTTCCTCAGTCAGATCATGGACCTTCCTCTCTTTCTGTTTTCCAGTTAATTATGTTTTCTTCTTTGTTTTCCACACCCTTGTATACATCTTAGTACTTCTAATAAACCTTCATGTGGGATGCCATCAGCTAAGTGGAACAGCAAAAATAACCCTCCAGCTTGTTAATGCTAAAACCACCAATAGGAAGTGACCTGTGGGGTGTTTCCCACAATTTAAGTGTCTGCCTTAGAGGGGAGGGTAATTGCTATGCTGTTCCTAAGCTCTCCATGACTCTTGGGTATCCACAGCCAACACAGCTTCCCACTTCTCCCAATCTATTCCCCGGCCTCCTTGTTGAATGAGGGTCTTATTGGAGAGCTCCCTTGCTTAAGGCTTGTACTCTTGGCTCCTCTATCAAGATTTCATAGAAGCATGTCTGAAAAACAGGATCTCTAAAACCAACTTTCCCTCTTGAGCTGGATTTCAGGAAACATCAAGAGTTGAAACAAATTCTGCTTTTTCTATCACTTAAAAGACAAGTAACCTGCTCACATTTTTGAATCTTGTCCTCAATACCTGAACCTGAGGCAGTAATGTGTATGAATGCCTTATAATGGCAACTGATATGCCCCAAATGGGTTTAGATTCTTTTTTTTCTATTAATTCTTGAAATTTTAAATAAAAGCAATAGCTGCTTATTTAAAAAAAACTAAAGCAGTACTAGAAAGAAGGAGCAGGCTGGGCCAGACTGCATGGGTCAAACTATCTGCTGTAGCCAGTACAGGCTTTCAGGGTGTGACCTCAAGCTCTCTGTCTTCCCATTCCTTATCTGAAATGTGGGGATAGCAATAGCACCTACCCCAGAGGTTCTCATGAGAATTAAATGAGTTGATATCTATAAAGAGCTTAAAACAGTGCTTGGCACATCATAGCCTTATATTAGAAAGTACTATATGAAATCAAAGATTTTCAAATATTTTCCACATTTTTAATATCTATGTGAGCATATCAACAAATTATTTTTCTGCTTATATAAGTAGGCTCCTCATACATAGAGTGGACCTCTTTTATTCCCCCTTGATAATGTGTCTTAGACATCTTCATTGTCAGTATTTAGAGATTACCTCATTCTTTTTAATGACTCCATATATTCCATTGTATGGGTGTAGAATAATTTATTTAACCAGTCCTCTAAAAATAGACTTGTGTTGCTTCCAATGAGTATGTTAACAAAGAATGTTATAATGCATAGATGTGTGCATTTATTTCTGCACACAGGCAAGTAAATTCATAGAAGTAAAATAAATTTTGGTAGGTCTTGCTGAATTGCCCTCCAAAAGGTTTATCCATTTATACTTGGTTTGGACTCTTTTAAATTAAAGTACAATGACAACGCTAAGCACGTATTTAGTTGATGGGAATGAATTTAAGATTCAGAGAAATGTGTCTATGGCGATGTTTGGCAGAAAGTTTGGCAACACATGGACTGAGATAAACTTAGACCTTATGTTTTGAATAGGAGCTCACCCTAGGTCTGAAGCTGGATTTAAGAATACACAGAGTGGCCGGGTGCCATGGCTCACACCTGTAATCCCAGCACTTTGGGAGGCCGAGGTGGGTGGATCATGAGGTCAGGAGTTCGAGACCAGCCTGGCCAATATGGTGAAACCCCGTCTCTACTAAAAATACAAAAATTAGCCGGGCCTGGTGGCATGCACCTGTAGTCCCAGCTACTTGGGAGGCTGAGGCAGAAGGATCACTTGAACCCAGGAGGCAGAGGTTGCAGTGAGCCAAGATCACGCCCCTGCACTCCAGCTTGGATGACAGAGAGAGATTCCGTCTCAAAAAAAAAAAAAAAGAGAATACACAGTGCACTGTTTGCAAAGGTAGTATCTACCCTTTGGCGCTGCACGCCTTTCAAAAGCATCACCGCATGCCTAACAATGAACACAAAGAACATTGCTTTGCTCCATATGTGTGTCTAGCACTTAGCATCAATAGGTGAGTCCATGTGTCAAATATTGAGCAAGTAAATCTCTTTTTAACTGTGCCCTAACTACAAAAGACAACTACAAAGTAAGCTTAGAAGATGAATGCAGAGATTCTTCCAGAATACAGGGTATTGGAGGAGGAACGCAGGAGACCTGCAGGCCAAGCCCTGGCTGGCAGTTGCTTCTTTCCTTCTAAGGATCACCTCATCCTCTCCCCTTCAGACTCCCTGTTGGCCTTTCTCATGCATGGCAGTGAATTTCCTCTACCATCTTGCAAGGCTCAAAGATGTAGCATGGGATATTCATTCTATAGAACCCAAATGAAAGAAGCATTACTGCTGTGGAATTCCTGACTCAGAGAAAAATTCATTTAATTGGAATGATAAATCTTTATTATTCATTTCTTTAATCTTCAAAAGGTATGAGTCAGGTTAAAATATTTGAATAATGAAAAAACACTAAAAAGAAGGCAAATGTTACCTGTAATCACAATGCTTAAAAATTATATAAAATAAAAAGTCAAAAACGTACACTCTCAACCACCTCCTTCTCCCCCTGCTACCTCCACGCCTCCAACTGCTGTTACTAGTTTAGAGTGCATCCTGGCATTTTTAGTCTTTAACACAATTCATATGATAAGGGGGAAAAATGAGCTCTGAGTGCTTCCTCACTGAGCTACCAGCAGCTCATCTGAGTCTACAGCAGTACCCTCAGGAAACAAAGGAGAGGAAGAGGAGCAGGGCTAAGGAGACAGAGGCTTGTACTGGTTAAGGAGATAGATGCTGGGCCAGACTGCACGGTCGAAACTCTCAGCTGTCACTAGCACAAGCTGAGGAAGGAGTGAGGCAGCAGGATGGGGAAAGTGGGATGGGAGAGGGCCAGAAATGCCAGGGATGGGGCTCTGCTTCCTTCTGCATGCACACTGACCACAGAGTCGGAGAATATCAACGCCTATCTAGTCCTGCCTCCCTATTCTCAGATGTGTTTTCCAGCACTCAGTTTTTGATGCAGCCTGGAGAATAGAAGTTCCCAATAAACATAATGAAGATGATAATAAAAACCACGGCAATAATTTCTGGAATATTAACTGTGTGCTCGGTCTTTAAAATGTATTATCTCCTTTGATTTACCAACAATCCTATTGTCTTCATTATATAGAAGGGGAAACTGAAGTCAGGAATGTGAAGTATAGCCTAAGGCTACATACTCAGCTACCTGACACAGGTTCACAACTACCTAATGGAGTTCAGAATCCCAGCTCACACAGTTGGACCCCAGATCATGAATTCCTCCCACTGAATAATAATCCTGCAGACGACTCAGTGGGGCTCCCTTTGACTATTCTACAGAAAAGGATTCCTGAAAGCTATCCTGGAAACCATGGGGAAACAGCATTCCACAACATCTTCAGAACCCACCTCTAATCCCCCAATATAGTCGGAAAGGTTTTCTACATGCGCTTTCCTCCTTATGTTTCTAGAAGGGGAGAAATTGTTTTTACCCATACTTAGATGAACTGGTTTTGTAAACTTCATGGCTTAAAAATAAAGGGCCAGGAAAATGTCAAAAATGATGCCCAGACAGATAGTACCAGACAAAAAGCAGAGCCATAAGTAAGGGAAGTTAATGGATGATTCAGAAGTGGTGATATTACTGAACCATACCTTAAAAGTTGGCTTCTAGGAAGCTATGTAAAAGGTTTGGGCAATCAGGAATAAGATACAGACATTACTGGTAATTCTTGGCATGGATGCACATCAAAGCAGGGGTGACTTTGAAGAAGTGCTTACATTGAACCAACAAAGCTAAATGGGAGGCTCAGGGAGGCCTGGAGGAAGGGTTCAAAATATATACTGGATGCAAACTCAGGGGAAGTACAGTGCTCTATAGACTGTGGGGAAGAATGAACGGTGGAAGGAAATCACTTAGCTTGAATGTAGGGTCAATGGGTGGATGGAGTGGGTAAGGAGATGACATTCAGATGCCAGCTTGTCAGGGCAATGATGTCTCTCCGAGGAGTGGTGGTCCCTTCCGGATGTGCTTCCTTCATGCCTGACACCTGCTGCCATTCCCCAGCACTGGACCTGTAGGCCAGCCCACAGGCCAATTTGGGGGCCAGAACAGAAGGCACAGCTGTTCACTGGGCTGTGAACTTAGAACTGCAGGCACATTGCTCTGGAGAAAATAATCCCCAAGGGGCTTGAGAAGTCAAACTCGTTAAGGACGACAGGGAAATATATATTGCCTGAAAGTCCTAGGTGCTGGGCACTGTGTCTGGGCCTTTAAACAAGTTATTTTGTTTGAAGCCTTTCAACAAACGGAAAAGACACAGGTAAAATTGCTTAGGCAGATGTTAAACCTACAAAGAGGTGGACAAAGAGAAGGCAGTGCTGGGCTCTCCCTAACTGTTGGGAGAGGGTCGATGGACTCTTCGGATGATCGAGGATCACATTAGTTTCTGCCAAAGCTCATGACTACCTCAGAGTTGTGGGTGATTGTGAGAATTAAATGAGGTAATATATGTAAAGCATTTAGAACAGGACCTAGAACATCATAAGCCTATTTGTGTTAATTATCATTATTAGTTATTACCAACAAATGTTACCAGTAGAGGGTCTTGACTGCAAGTTGTCCAGGTTCTTGGTATTTTGAACAAAGAATTGGACAAAACACACATCAAAGCAAGGAAAGCAGAGATTTATTGAAAGTGAAAGTGCACTACATAGGGTGGGAGCCGCCAGAGCAGCGGCTCAAGGGACATGGTTACAGGATCTTCTGGGGTCCAAATACCCTCTAGAGGTTTTCCACTGGCCACTTGGTGTACACCTCATGCAAATAAAGTAGTGGCCCGCAAGGCTGAAGTGAAGTTACAAAGTTACACTCCTATGCAGATATCTGATTGGTTCTTTTCGCAACCAATCAGAGGTACTTACTTTCAATTTTCCATCTTCCAGGCAGAAAGGGGGTTGGGGGTTTGCAAAGGGAGTAGCCTCCAGTCCTTCTGTTACTTAGGTGTGGAAAGTTGGGGTTTTCCTTTTGATTTAGTTCTACGAAGTCAGAGTGAATCAGCCTTAGGTTCCCTGCCTCCAGACCCTATTCTCCTGCCTCACAAGAGTTGAAGAAAGACCACCAGTAAGTAGAACAGCCAGTGTTTATTGAGTACTTACGGTGTGTCAGCTCTTTGCTAATCACTTTATATAGGAGGGGACTGGGACAGGGAGGTAAGTACACTGCCTGAGTCACCCAGCTGCGACTGTAACCCAGGGTTCTTTGTTTCTAAGTCCACGCTTTTAAGAGCTAAGCAGGAAGTCTTGGAGGGAACAGAAAGGAGGCAGCCTGAGGATGTGTGAGGAGCAAGCTTTACCTCCACTAATGCTTATGTTTGGAAGGAGACCAGAATGGAACCAGAAGTGTTGGGTTTCAACTGCTCAGAGAAGTGTGAATGGTTTTCTTACTTTTTTTGGCTCTTTAATTTCCCATCTTTTCTATTGAATAATCATTTCTCTTTGGGCTCTGCAGTGGTTCTCAAACTTGGCTGCACATTACAGTCACCTGGGGAGCTTTGTATAGGCTCATCCCAGACCAATTACATGGAAATCTCGTGGGTGGGGGTGGTCCAGGCACCAGTACTTAAAAAATATCCCCAGGTGATGCAAATTACCCTAAAGTGTCTCAGTTATAGAAGCTTTTTTGTATCATCCAGGAATTTTTAAACAACATCCAGGCCTTGCCCTGCCTGATTCACTTGGTCTGGGCTGGGGCTTAGGTACCATGGTGTGTAAAAGATCCACAGGTGATTTGAATGTGCAGTCAGATTTGAGAATCGTTGTCATCAGTGAGACTTTGGGTAGCAACCCAGGAGAAAATACGTTATTTATTTATTTAGAGACAGAGTCTCGCTCTGTCGCCCAGGCTGGGGTGCCATGGCGTGATCTTGGCTCACTGCAACCTCCGCCTCGCAGGTTAAAATGATTCTCCTGCCTCAGCCTCCCTGGTAGCTGGGATTACAGGTGCCCGCCACAATGCCTGGCTAATTTTTGTATTTTCAGTAGAGACAGGGTTTTGCCATGTTGGCCAGGCTGGTCTCAAACTCCTGACCTCAGGTGATCCACCTGCCTTGGCCTCCCAAAGTGCTGGGATTACAGGCCTGAGCCACTGCACCCAGCCCATAAGTTATTTGTTAATAAAGGAGTTAGAAAGGTAAAATTGAGAACATTTATATATGTCAATGATTTCCATGCTTATGACTTTACGTTAATTTCACATTCTATGTCATTCTTGTGGCAAAGCTTAGTTAATAAAAATGCTGGCCAGGTATGATGGCACACACCTGTAATCTCAGCACTTCGGGAGGTTGAGGCGGGTGGATCACTTGAGGCTAGGAGTTCAAGACCAGCCTGGCCAAACATGGTGAAACTGCATCTCTACTAAAAATACAAAAATTAGCTGGGCATCGTGGTGCACGCCTGTAATCCCAGCTACTTGGGAGTCTGAGGCAGGAGAATCTCTTGAACCCAGGAGGTGGAGGTTGCAGTGAGCTGAAATTGTGCCACTGCACTCCAGCTTGGGCGACAGAGCAAAACTCTGCCTCAAAAAAAAAAAAAAAAAAAAAAAAAGCTATACATTGAGATTTGTTGGAATGCCTAGGGCGATAAAATAGATAATATTTAAATGTTCATAATATATGATCCAAAGGGATATTTTGGGACATCTTAAGAGCTGTTGGGGCACATGAAAATGATAAAACAAGGAAGCATGGAAGAAAGGAGACCCTCTCGTTCTCTTTGCTCACGGTCACATACAGCATAATCTTCACAATGCTAGTAATAGCTATAGCTGCTGTCCTGTCATCTTCAGCCTAGCCGCTTACAGTCTGTGCACTTATGCAAAGCCTCTCTGGTGATCCTGGTGGAGATACAATGACAGATTTCAGGCTTGGTTGTGAGGGTAGGACACAGCTCCTGCTGTAAAGGCGATATGCAGGCTGTGTTCTGGGGCTGAGATCTTCATGGGTGAAGAGGGAGCCTCCTTCTGTCCACCTGGGTTGATACCTAGCCTGACTGAGAGTTAAGTTGTAAAGTGAACAGTGAGTCTTCAATGTTTGCTCCCCCTTCTGCCTTCTCCCAACTCCCTTTACCCACCTACCTGCTCTCCCAAGCAGCACAGTAGCTGGTGGAGAGTCTAACATGACCATTAGCTTGCTTGGTGACTTTGAGTGAACCCCTTACTTCATTGAACCTCAGTTTTCCCATCTGCAAAACTGGGCCAATAGCACCAGTTTCAACGGCTGTCATCAGGATTAGAAGAAAGGCACTTAGAGCAGCCCATGGTTGGTGCTTTGTACATTTTACCTGCTGCTGGCTGGTGTGCAGAGAGAAACAGGGAGAAAGACTTTGTGGGCTACATAGGGCTGTGTGCTGGTGATCACGGATACGTAGGGCGGCAGAGAGAGAAAAATGTTAGTCTGGGAACGTGTTCCACTATGGGCTTGTGCATTCACCTGTCAGATGGGCAAGCGACTCCTGCTGGTTTCCATGGAAATATGGAAATTCATCCGTTGTTCATTTCGCATAAGGATGAATTAGGAAGGTGGAGTTTTGGGAAGAAAAGTGCCCATTACATTCTAGGTTAAAAGATTTAATCATTCGATTTCAATCTTCAACATTCTTGGCAAGTGATGCCAAAAGTTATTGTTTCATTTATTTTACTAATTAAGTGTATCCGTAGAAAGGACGGATGCACATTAAAAATAAATTTATTTGTAGGAATATATCTCTGGTATTTACCTTCGTTATGTGCATCAGTGGAACAGGATTCAGGTTATATCTAACCTTTGGCTAGAAGTTTCCTAAACATTAATTTGTAAAGCAGCATTTTGGTATTTTAAGGGCATTTGTTGCCCTTGGAAAATCTGCTGTGTATGCACTGTGCTAGGCCTGTTTGTAAATGTCTTTGGGACACAATGTAGCTAAATTGCTGATGTTAATTAATTCTATAATTCATTATGGAATAGGACTCAGTGCATGCAGAAAAGGAAAGGGATCTTGACTTGTCCTTGGCACTCACCTGTCCTAGGCAAATTTCTAGAATGGAAGAGGCTAAGTGTGTCATTAGCATGTTCTGACTCCTTCTCTGCACTCCTTATCTGCCTTCTGGGGCACTCTCCTGTCTCCAACATCAGTGTCCTAACTGATACCCAGAGGTGCCACTGTGGCATCTCTGTGACTGGGAGCCCTTTCTCCAGACCACCCGTTCTGCCTCTCTCTCCCCACCCAGTGGCAGTGTTGCAGCTGATCTCTGCCAGGAGGAAGAAGAGAAGTGGGTAGATTAAATTAATTCACACTGTTGTCTGGATGAGTGATATCATTGTGTGTTTATAGTGCTATTTTTTAGAAAACAGAATTTTTCTCCTCTTCTTTCTTTCCTTTCTTCACCATTTTTTTCCCAAGGGAAAAACATTTCAGGCCATTTGACAAAGTGAAGTGAAAAAATTCAGACAACCTGAAAGATAAATTTTGTAAGCAGGAGAGGTAATATATCCCACCTGGGGGTTTTTGCTGATTTCAGTTCTTTTATGACATCTCTTCCCAAAGTATTTTCTCTGGTTGTTTAGACACAGGTGTTGCCAATATGGGAAGACTCTATCAGGAAGGACTACAGAATTTGTGGAACCCAGGGCAAAATGAAAATATGGGGCCCCTTGTTAAAAAATTCTTAAGAATTTCAAGATGGTGACCACAGAGCATTTTAGTCTGTGGAAGTGTCTTTTGGACATTTCTTGGTGTTCTGCAGAGATTCTTTTGGGATGCTCAAAACTGTTTTCTTTTTATGGTGTTTGTCCTTGCTTCACTTTAAAGCTCCCATACTTGTATATCACAAACCTCAATGTTCAAAACGAAGCTCCACTATCCACTAAAGGAGGGGATGGGTAGAGGGGTTTCTCTAAGGTGGCTGCAGAATGAAGCCTGGGCTGTGGGTTGAGCTCCTTGCTTTCTAGGTCATTTTGGGGTTTGGCTCTCTGATGAGCCAGGTGTAGACAGGAGTCTGCCTGTATTTCTCGCTTTCCAATGCTCCCCAGTGAATGGTGGCTTTCGCTGATGCTGAGCACGGGTGCATTTCAGCCACACTCTATCCACTCTGTTCTCTGCAAGTTGTTGCAGCCTCTTGAAGTCCTATGGACAGGAAGGTAAAAGGAGCTCTGAGTGATGACTCCATTTGTCTCCCTGCTGCCATGGTGGCCAGCTGCGGAGGCAGGGGATCTCCATAAGAAGTGAGAGGTAAGGAGCAGGACAGTCTACACACATACTTAGTATCGTGTTACAGTTGCATACAGAATTCAGTACAGTCACATGCTGCACAGGTTTGTAGCCTAGGAGCAATAGGCTGTACCATAGAGTATAGATGTACAGCAGGCTATCCCATCTAGGTTTGTGTAAGTACATGCCATGATGTTTGCACAATGATGAAATTGCCTAATGATGCATTTCCAGAACATATCCCTGTTGTTAAGCAATGAATGACTGTATATCCAAACTAAGAGGATGCACAAAGGAAAATGTGGAAAGTGTTAAAAGGCAAGGTGCCCTACTTCTGTCTTCTGATGAACTTAGTAGATGTTTGTTTCATCAGAGATTCTGAAGGTATTAGCAATTCTTCAACTTTGTTTGGTTTTAAATTAGAGTCTTCTAGCAATGGTAATTTTTCTCATTTTCTGGGACTACTTTACTCACTTCATAAAGAAAGGAACCAGGCCCCTAACCCCAACATATGTGCTTCAGTTATTTTAGAGTCTGTTTACAGGAGATAAATATATATAAGAGCCAATATGCTTTCTCAATTGTATTTCCTAGTGAGACTTGTTTTGCCACAAAATTCAAGTTTATTTTCTTTCTAGGCATTTTTTTATTTTTTTTGAGACAGAGTCACTCTTTCACTCAGTCTGGAGTGCAGTGGCATGATTATAGCTCACTTTAACCTCAAACTCCTGGGCTCGAGGGATTCTCCTGCCTCAGCCTCCTGAGTAGCTGAGACTACAGGCACAAGCCATAACACCTAGCTAATTGTTTTTAAAGAGATGAGATCTTGCTGTGTTCCCAGGTTGGCCTTGAACTCCTGACCTCAGGTGATCCTCTGGCCTTGGATTCTCAAAGTGCTGAGAGTACAGGTGTGAGCCACTGCATCTGGCCAAAAGGCAGTGTCTTCATTCCAAAAATTAAAAGGAAATAACCACTTAAATACAATTTTGGGGGAGAAGATACAGTTCTGAGATAAAAATAAAACATATCCCAGAGCCTATGTACTTAACATTTTTGAGTTAGATAGGTTTTAAAAAGTCAGTCATGTGAGATTTAAATTACAGGGAGGCACATTGATTGGCACAGCTGTGACTTGACAGCGATTAGTGGCCTGAGGCTTTGAGGTGGTGCTCAGCTCATGTGAAGCAGAATCTGGAATTGACTGAGAAAACCGTGAATCCTTCATAACCAGTCTTCCCCTACATCACCACTTAGGTGAATATTTGAGTGTGGGGGGCGTTGCATCCTGGGCAAAGTAAGAATAAATTAGTTGTGACTTCTGGAAAGTGACAATTCAAGCCAGGGATCCTAAGGGATAAATCTCCAAGTTGACTCCCTAAGTACTAGGGCACCAGGCATACCACAGACTTCAATCAGGATTTCAGAAGTGAGTCCTGGGAGGGGATGAGGTAGGACATTGTTGGACCATTCTTACCATAGGGCCAGCCCAAAGCTTTCAGGCAATTTCTCTCTCTCTCTCTCTCTCACTCTCTCTCTTTTTCACACACACACACACATGATGATACGTAGAATCAGCACCCAGCTCTGCCTCTTGGAAGAGCCATGTAGCTCATCCATATTTCATTTCGCTTATAACATAGGCCTATCTTGTTTTTTCTAGGGTTTTCTGTGCTTGGGTTAATTTGAATGATTACAACACATCTAGCAGACATGAATCCAGATGAGGTCTGCTCTGGACATCAGAATTGTAACTATATTTGTCATGAGGGACCAGATAATCTACACTGATCTGTTCCAGAAGTGGTCCTGTGACTCAGCACTTTATGAAGAGAAAAAACCCAAAGTATTTGAGTTCACATTATGGAAAAAGAACTATACACATTTTACTATGCAGTCAACAATGTGTAACTAATAGTGCAGAAATATAGATATAGTAGACTGCTTCCTCACTGATGAAAATATGTACTTTGGTTCTCTCCAGCAAGAAGTATCAGAGACCACTACTTTGGAGAGTGAGTCATTTTTGGGGGACTGAAGGACAGGAAGTGCCCCTTTCAGCAGAGGGGGATGAACTGGAGCTTGTGTGCAACCTGTTCATTTTCAGAGGTCTGGAGACAGAGGCTGCAGTGCCCTGTGCAGATGGAGCGGCAGAAAAGGCAAGGTTGTCCTGGACTCCCGCGCTGCCTCCAATCCATGAGCAGTCAGGTCTGGGGCTGGAGGGAACTTCCTTGGGTGCACATCTGCTCTTCCAGATGTGGAGCCGTGGTGGGAACAGAGGACCCAGACCCAGCCTTTAGGTCTGGGAGACACAGGAGTGGGACTGGTGCTTGCGGTACCCATCGCAAGAGACTGTTCCTATGTTTCGATTCTCTGAGGCCTCAGGTGAAGTGAGCTGGGGATTGGGGCTCGAGTTTCCTACCCTGGGAATGGAGGTAAGCTGGGTGGGCTGAGGGGAGGAAAGAGCAAGAAGGGCACTAGAGAGATGATGCGGTTGGAAATATCCTGTCCTTTCCCTCTGAGGAAACAACCAAAGCCCTTACTGGTGTGGTCAGGGAATTACTTCGGTCTGGGCTGGATTCTTCCTGCCATGTCTGAGTTCTCTAGATTCCTTTGCACGTCTCACACTTCTTTTCTCACACCAGTCTACGTAGGATTGGATTTTCCAGAGTCAGGTGCACAAATCTTCTGTCTGTGCATCTGTGCTTGCTTTGGGTTTCTTTAAGCACCTTATTTATCCTGTGCTTTGCTATGGAGGCTTCATCCTCCCTCACCCCAATTCTGATACTTTAAAGGGAGTGCTGGCTGCTTGCTTTACTTATTGTCTATTTCCCTGGAATAGTTTCTTGTTTGGTACTGCAGCTTTGCTTTCTAAGCCTGGCTTTTCTCTGCTCTGTGACTGTTGTCTAATGGAAAGGGAGTTGTAGACATCTCGTGGCATGAAGAATCACTTCTGATTGGCGTTGGACCCAAAAACAGAGCTCCCTGTTGAGCAGAAGAATCATGGAAGCCGGCTTGGTTTGTGTTACCCCATTAAATGCCTTGGTGGTGGTTACGCGGCTACATGTGCTCATTGTGCTATAGTCGCAACTTAAGGAGCCTTGAACAAAAGCAGTTCTGAGCTAGCTGGAGAGATTATCATTCCATTTCATCACACGGGGGCTGTGCTTCTCTCATTTTCTGATGACTTCAAGTGCTGAACTAAGTGAACCAAGTGAAAAAGTATGGCCCAGAAACAAGATATTTTTATTTATTTTTGGTATAATATATAAGGCCTCGGCACATGCCCACATTTCCCCCTTGCTATGCCATTTCCAGTCCTTTATCCCAGCCACCTTGAACTAACATCCTCCAGCTGCCTGTCTAGTGCCTCTGCACACAAGTTTCCCTCTCTCTGAAACTGAATCCATATTCATCTGGCAAGACCCTGTTCAAGGGCTGAAAAGTTTTTCCTGACTTTTCTCCATGCAAATTGGCCCTGGGGGCAGCATGTCCTCACTTCTAATATCTAATACCAGAAATGCTCCATTTCAATTGTTGATAATTTGTTTCTATAGAGCGTAGAATAGTCTAGCGCAGCCCCTGAACTCAGCCAGCCCGATTTGAAATCCTAGCTTATTCTGTGTGTAGCCTTGGGCAAGTTTCTTACCCTTTATTGCTTCAGTTTTCTCATCTTTAAAATGGGGATGATAACAATAGTGCACTTATCTTACTGAGTTGTTGTGAGGATTAAATGAGTTAATATATATAAGGCACTAAAATATAACAGAATTATATAGGACAGTGCCTGGAAAGGAATCAGTGCTGTATAACATGTTTGTGGTTATGGCTACTAATCTGAAAGTCTTTTGTGGGCAATGTTAGCATCCCTGGTTTGGGTCCACCATGGGTGGTCCATGGTGGGAGTTGAAAAATGTTAGTGGGATAACTGAACAGCCAGAACACCTTCCTTCCATCTCTGAGTGCAGTGTCATTTCGACAGCATCCATATTCCTTAAGTCTGAAAACAGAACAACAGGAATGATTTCTGAAAAATAGAAAGCACAGTGAGACAACCGAGACGAGAAACATTCACATTCATGGCCTATGAGCTGCGCTGATCATCAGTAACCCAGTTACAGTCTTTGGAGCTGATTCCCAGGTGGGACCTCTGGTTGAAGGGTCAATTGTTTCGTTGACTTCTGCCATTTCCCATCACTTTACCAAGCAGGACTTTTTCGTATCTACTGAGTGGTGCTCTTAGTTTAATTTGTCAGCTCTCCTAGTGGATTTACTCCGCTAAACATGCCATGCCCATTGGACTGGACAAATACCTGCCTAGGGTATGGCCTGGCTCCCCTAGCCTTGTCTTCATGTAATACTGTTGCCTTGGTGAGTTCAGAACATTTTCCTGGATATGTAGTTTTTCAGTATCTCCAACAAGCAGGAGGAAGGCAGGAACATGGGCGACCTATTCTTGATTATCTTGGTGCTTTTTATGATTATCATGATTATTTTTTATTATTACTTTTTGAGATGGAATCTCACTCTGCTGCCCAGGCTGGAGTGCAGTGGCGTGATCTCGGCTCACTGCAAACTCTGCCTTCCGGGTTCAAGCGATTCTTCTGCCTCAACCTCTGGAGTAGCTGGGATTACAGGCATGCACCACCACGCCCAGCTAATTTTTGTATTTTTAGTAGAGACAGGGTTTCACCATGTTGGTCAGGCTGGTCTCGAACTCCTGACCTTGTGATCTGCCTTCCTTGGCCTCCCAAAGTGCTGGGATTACAGGCGTGAGCCACTGCACCCGGCCTATCATGATTATTTTTAGGCCTCCTTTTTCCTATGAGTTAGAAAGTGGGTTACTAGTTTCTGAGGCAAAAAGAACCTACCATCACAAGGGTTCATCAATTAGCCCCTTGTCTGCTCTTTCTCTTTCTGTATTTCCAGTTTTATTCCATGATGTCACAAGCTTCCACGTTCACATGCTGGAGATGTTTATACCATTTTTTATCTTATACTCATAAGCTCAGACTTTTAAAAAATTTGGCACCTACCCAACCTCCAAGTCACTGCCGGACTTCAGGCCTTTATTATTTCTTCACTAGACTCTCATTCTAGGCCCTTAATCAGTCTCTCTGTCCCTTCACTTTGCTGCCAGGAAAATACTTCTAAAAAAAATCTTGGGTTATATTACATAATAGAGGATCTTAAAAATGTGTACTTTCTGAAAGTGTGCATTACCAAGTCAATGACTGCAGTGGGTTACTAGGACTTAACCCCAAGGGGAAACTCTGGGAGAGCAAATAAAATCTGTGCCTCACTATTGTTTAAATATTGTGCGCTGTATTCTATCTTCTACTATCTGAAGTGATTAAAATGTTCTTTGTATACCTGGCCTGTAGGTGAAATGTTGATAAGCCGAGGTATAGATGAGAATCCCAAACTGAGACAGCTTAAGAAATGTCCAGAGTCTTGTAACAAGTGAAAATGTCATATGTCATGAGGTCATGTTGGAAAACCTTAAAGAGGATAAAAGATCTTCCACAAGCAACAGGTCAGTTTATAAATGGATCTATGTGGGATTGTTGTCAATGTCCACCCTTGACCCAAGAAAGGACCTGATCCATTGGAAATGTTTTGTCTCTCTCACAAAAGGAAGCAGGACATAGACAGGACAAAAGAAGGATTTTGGATTATTTTCAGGGCAGAAGTCCACACTGGTGAGCTACCTTTGAGAGCTGACAGCTTATTGAGACATGTTAGAAAATCTTGAAGAGGATACTGAAAGCCATGGATGAGGTCACTAAGGGAGTGAGGCAGATGTGGAAGAGGAGAGGCCTGATGAAGAGCAGCTGGGGCTGACAATGGGCTGGTGAGGTAGGAAGAGCAGAGAGCACTATGTCCTGGGACACTGCTGGTGGGTCAGTTGTGGTAGGTGCAAACTGAGAAGTGAACATTGGGTTTGGCAACAGTAGGTGGATAGGCCTGATTGCAGTGGGCTCAAGAGAGGACCGGAGGAGAGGGTTGGAGATAGGATGAGTGATTCTTGCAAGAAGTTGTACTTAGAAGGGTGATATGGTTGGCTGTGTCCCCATCCAAATCTCAGCTTGAATTTTAGTTCCTATAATCCCCTTGTGTTTTAGGAGGGACTTGGTGGGAGGTAATTGAATCGCGGGGATGGTTAACCTCATGCTGTTCTCATGATAGTGAGTGAGTTCTCACAAATCTGATGGTTTTATAAAGGGCTTTTCCCCTTTTTGCTTAG
This sequence comes from Homo sapiens, assembly GCF_000001405.40. NCBI lineage: Eukaryota > Metazoa > Chordata > Mammalia > Primates > Hominidae > Homo > Homo sapiens. Next base: position 47,825,427 of record NC_000013.11, on the reverse strand, counting down.
TACTTCCCCTTCCTGCTGCCATGTGAAGAAGGACGTGTTTGCTTCCCCATCTGCTGTGATTATAAGTTTTCTGAGGCCTCCTCAGCCCTGCAGAACTGTGAGTTAATTAAATCTCTTTTCTTTATAAATTACCCAGTATTGGGTATGTCTTTGTTGTGGCGTGAGAATGGACTAATAAAAAGAGAGTGGAAAAGTTGGGAGGTGGCTGGAAGCAAAAATGGAATCAAGAGAGGCTTTTATTAAGGGGAGTGGTTGGGATGCTCAGAAATGTTTCTATGGACTGGCAAAACTACATTCAGCATCCTGGCTTTTATTTGATTTTGTAGGACTGAGAAACTGTCAGAAAATCTAAAGCCTGGAGATATTTCTGGGCACTGATGAAAGATTGAAACCGTTTGTAATAGAAACGTAGCAGCGAATCTGGTCTTGCTGGACAGGGGAGAGCGAGGCCTCTGTGAGTTTGCTGTGGGAGCTGTAGAGAACAGGCTGGGCTTTGCTCTTCCCAGGTGGGCCCTGTCCTGCCCTGGTCCATCCATCCCTGGGTCCTGTTCTTAGCTGTTTTCCCTAAAACTGGCCACAGTAGATTTTGGGAACAATATAACCAAGACATACTAAATGCTTTAGTAACTTATTGTGGACTTAATGATAGTACTACTTATTGAGGCACTATGTTGGGTATTTAATTAGTTTTATTTCTCACAACAATCCTACAAGGTAGGTACTTTTGTATTCACTTTATAGATAAGGAACCTAAAGTGCAGATAGGTGCACTTGAATAGCAGGGCCGTTATTCAACCGAGGTCTATTTGATTCCAAAATTTATATCATGTAACAGTATTTCTTTATTGCTCTGATGAGTAGGATTTTGCTTAATCTTTTTTATTTTTTTCTTTTTCAACTTTTATTTTAGATTCAGGGGGTACCTGTGCAAGTTTGTTACATGGATATATTTCGTGATGCTGAGGTTTGGGGTACAAATGATTCTGTCACCCAGGCAGTGAGCATAGAACCCAATCGGTAGTTTTTCAACCCTTGTCCTCCCCTGCTCTAGTAGTCCCCAATGTGTATCGTTGCCATTTTTATGTCCATGAGTACCTGATGTTTAGCTCCCACTTATAAGTGAGAACATACAGTATTTGTTAACCTTTTTCAGACTCCACTTTTTTTTTTATATTCAGTTTTTAACTCTTGAGGTAGGAAGTGAGGAAAGATCCCATAACACCTGTTGCAAGAAGTACCTTCCATATATGGTAACAATTACTCCATTTTATCTTTGACGTATTTCTTTTAGACATGAAGAGCTTTCCTTTAAGGCTAATATTCTGAAATGTGGAGAACAAAGACATTTATTCCATTTTTTGCTATTTATTGTTTATTTATTTCTAGCTTATCACTTTTCTGACTTTTCACCCCAACACAGCAAGGCTAACTTTTCACTGTATTCCCAGGTGGCTACCACCTACTCCCTTCGGCCTTGTGTTCTGCCTTCTCTGCACTCTTCTTAGTAGCATTGTAGTAGTCCATTCTTACACTGCTAATAAGGACATACCTGAGACTGGGTAATTTATGAAGAAAAAGAGGTTTAATGGACTCACAGTTCCACATGGCTGGGGAGGTCTCACAATCATGGCAGAGGCAAAGGAGGAACAGAGGCATATCTTACATGGTGGCAGGCAAGAGAGCATGTGCAGGGGAACTGTCCTTTATAAAACCATCAGATCTTGTGAGTCTTATTCACGATCATGAGAACAGCATGGGAAAAACCTGCCCCCATGATTCAATTACCTCCCATTGGGTCCCTCCCATAACACGTGGGAATTATGGGAGCTACAATTCAAGATGAGATTTGGGTAGGGACACAACCAAACCATATCAAGCATGATGCCATTTTTTAAGCAGAGCTTCCCACAGAGCTCTCTCGGGAATGCATTATGGCTCTGAATGAGACAGGAAAGTGCATTCTATTTTATTTCTATTCTGACTCAGAAGAACCCCTAATATTGTAAAGATAAAGCCAAAGGCCACAGCAGCCCATTGGACTGATGCCTTTAAGCTGACATCTACTTTAGAGTGACTCTGAGAGTTATAAGCTTGGAATCTTTTTGCTCCAAACCAGCATTTCCCAAGGTGGGTTTTATGGAACACAGTTCAGGGAGATGTGACAGGAATGCCAAGAATAGGTAGACCCAACCACAGCACATTTGGGAGCTGCTGCGTGTGCTCTGCCTCTCTTGAGGACTGATACTGTTCATTAGTGTGTTAAAATGCTAAGAAGTCACATAGGGTATCTTAGCTTGGGTTTTCCTAGTAGCAGATTGTGAAAGCAGGGTCTCAGGGCAAGTAATTTATTTGGGAGATATAGGATATGATAGAAGAGAAGTAGGAAAGTGATACAAGGATGGAAAGAAAGCCAATAAAGTGTGCATTACCAAGAAAGTGAATAGAGCTTAACTCCAAGGGGAAACTTTGGGAGATTATGTGAAATGCATGCCTTAGAATGGTCCTACTTGAGGAACAAGAAGCTGTGTTATTTTTACACCAACTTCTGTCAGCTATTGCTGATAGCTGCTCCCAATTTCTTGCACTTCCAGCCTGTCACTGGCAGAACAGCCTCCCAGGCTTTGGAGAAGTCTCTCAGGGAAAGCAATACAGATCATGGCCATGGAGGTCAGGTAGAGGAATTTAGGATGAACAGAGTATATGGACGTTGTTTGTTATGTAGAAAGAACCCTAACCCAATATTTCAAAAATCTGAATTGGGCATGGAACACTGGTTCCTTGGCACACTTCTAAGGAGTAGTCACAGGCAGCAGGCATCTGCCGAGAGAACACCAGGACCAAGAATTGTAAGCAACGCCTTGAGGTGGAAACCAGGAGTGGGAGAAGAATAGTGAAACATTCTTATATGTAAGAAGGAGCTGGAGGCATCCATGTGGGCATGGGGCACACCTCCCCACATGGACCCCAGGGAGGCTTCTAAATGTGCCAAGGGATTCCAGTTTAAGAAGTATAGGTGTAATAGGGTCACAAATTTGATACGCTATGCAAGACTCCTAAAGAAAATAAAGCTGGCCCTTTTAGAACACCTGGGTCCCCTCACCAGAGCACTCAGGACATTCTGAATCTCCTGAATGTGTCACAAATATTGTGAGAAACCAGAAATACTGCCTCAGGGTCAAACACAACAAATACCACACTGCTGCTCCCAGGCCAGATGGCCAGATACACAGGCAGAGCAGCTCCCAGAGCGGGGCTGTCCCAGAGGGTAGCCACTGGTGTCGTGTGGCAATTGAGCACTTGGAATATGGCTAATACAACCGAAAAACTGATTTTAATTTTAATCTTAATTATTTAAAATGTAAAGGAAGATACAAGGATGTGGCTTGTGGCCACCTTATTGGACAGTGTGATCCTAGAGGCATGCCGCCTCCCCGGGGTGCATGTGGGGAGGTGTGCCCCATGCCTGCGTAGATGCCTCCAGCTCCTTCTTACATATAAGAATGTTTCACTATTCTTCTCCCACTCTGGTTTCCACCTCAAGGGGTTGCTAACATTTCTTGGTCCTGGTGTTCTCTCAACAGGTGTCTGCTGCCTGTGACTTCTCCAGCAACCTGCAGGGAGCAGCTTTCTCCATAGGCATCCAGAAGATTCCTCTGAACCCTTCCAAATGGCCTCACAGCAGAGTGCTGCCATTGAGACACCTTCCCATGCTTGCCTTCTTTAACTCCTCATGGGGCTTTGAAGTGAGGTCCTAGGTGAAGCACCTTTTTGAGGCTAGCTTTGTCCTGCACCCCAGAGGGGTGGTTTCCAGCAAGTTCCACTCCTGTGGCACCTCAGCAACTTCTCTGTCATCTAGTGACAGCTCTCCCATGAGTTTTGCATCTAAGCCTGAGAGAAGGAGCCTCTTCCCTGGGTGCTCCCTCAGCCTCATAGTCGTGGCTGTGCCTCCTTTTGTGATTCCTAAATTCTCAAGAATTCTTTTTTACCTCTTACTAGTCAATCCCCTGTCATGCCAATCCCCTATTTTAGTTAATAATTCTTTTTTTTTTTTTTTTTTTTTTTTTGAGATGGAGTCTTGCTCTGTCACTCAGGCTGGAGTGCGGTGGTGTGATCTTGGCTCACTGCAACCTCTGCCTGCTGGGTTGAAGCAATTCTCCTCCCTCAGCCTCCTGAGTAGCTGGGACTACAGGCACGTGCCACCATGCCCGGCTAAGTTTTTGTACTTTTAGTAGAGATGGGGTTTCACCATGCTGGCCAGACTGGTCTCGAACTCCTGACCTCGTGATCCGCCTGCCTCGGCCTCCCATAGTGCTGGGATTACAGGCGTGAGCCACTGCACCCAGCCCCAATAATTCTTTACATTCAATTTCCTGCTCAAATTGCTAGTAGTTGCTGTCTCCTGGTTGGAGTCTGACTGACACACTGTAATAATCTGACCTTCATTTGGAAAAGGATAACATCAGTAAATTGTCACTAAGAGAGGTTAGGATCCCAAGAGATGATATATACAAGTTATACACTTAGAGAGAATGGGCCGGGCGTGGTGGCTCACTCCTGTAATCCCAGCACTTTGGGAGGCTGAGGTGGGCAGATCACAAAGTCAGGAGATTGAGAGCATCCTGGCCAACACGGTGAAACCCCATCTCTACTAAAAATACAAAAAATTAGCCAGGCATAGTGACATGCACCTGTAGTCCCAGCTACTTGGGAGGCTGAGGCAGGAGAATTGCTTGAATGCGGGAGGCGGAGGTTGCTGTGAGCCAAGACCACACCACTGTACTCTAGCCTGGGTGACAGGGTGAGACTCTGTCTCAGAAAAAAAAAAAAAAAAAGAGAGAGAGAGAGAATGAGAACATAAGTTATACTTCAAAAATCTCTATACCTGGCTATATAACTTGTGATGATAATTTTTACCTACTTGCAACTTTCCAATATCACTATTAGAGAATAGAGGAAGCCCACTGTTCATTGCTCCAAATGAGAAATGAAAAGCTGTAACGGGATATATTACTGTCAATTATTCAGGATAAAAGAGGGAGGAGGTGACCTCACCTCCAGGAAGAGTGAGCAGGGATGGTCCATGAAGGTTGACAGTAGAAGGGACTCTTTTTACTTGACTTGTGAAAAACAGAGGGGTCCTCACTGAAATCCCTTTTAAAGCCTTTCATGACAGAAAACTCACCAGCCAAGGGCTAAGTAGAAAATGAAGGGGCTTTGTGTAAAAATCCTTCTGGTTGATGTCCACCTCCTGGTGTTCTGAATTTTTCCTTCACAATCTTGTAAAAATGATTTGTTTATTAAATTAGGACTTGACAAGGAGAAGACAGTGCCCCTTATCTTGGCTGAGAATTCCCCTAAAATAGAATCTTCCTTATTGACTTACTTCTGTTAGTGCTGTAACTATCACAATTTAAAGCTGTCATTTGTTGGGCTAGGTCCTAAGCTCAGCACTTTTCAGTTATGTCTTATTTAACCTTTAAAAAATGCCAGCAGACAGATGAATAAATTGAAGTTCAGAGAAGTTAAGTAACTTCCACAGGGTCACATGGCTGTGGCAGTGCTGGGCTCTGAAGCCAGGTATGACTGACTCTAGATTCCTGTTCCTTCCACTCTGCCACTAATGTCACTGTTCATGGAAAAACTATTTTCAATTTTGCTGATTCCCTTAGAAAACACCATCACTGCCTGCTTTAGTTCCTTCTCATGCTGCTCTAAACACATACCTGAAACTGGGTAACTTATGGAGAAAAGAGGTTTAGTTGACTCATAAAAATGTTCCATAGGCTGTAAAGGAGGCATGCCTGGAAGGTGAAGGGGAAGCAAGCATGTCTTCATACGGCGGCAGGAGAGAGAAAAAGAGTGAAGGGGAGATGCCACACACTTTCAAACCATCAGATCTCATGGGAACTCTCTCGCTATCATGAAAACAGCAAGGGGGAAATCTGCCCCCATTATCCAAATCCACCCGCATGGTCCAAATTCATCCCCATGATCCAAATCCACCCTCATGATCATGATCCAAGGGACCTCCCACCAGGTCCCTCCCCCAACATTGGGAATAACAATTCCACATGAGATTTGGGTGAGGGCACAGAGCCAAACCATATCACTGACTGAAGCAAAAGAATAGAAAGGGCTCCCAGGAACTAATGCTGAAGATAAATGGGGGTATTAGGGGTAGAGGAGATGTGTAAAGAGAGGGCTTTGGAGGATAAGAAGGGCGAGGACACTGAGAAATAAAGATAAACACATCAGACTCTGTTGCAGTCTGAAGGTTTGCACTAGCTAACAAGGCCAACAGACCTACTTGGAGCAGGGTCATGACAGGACAGGGGAGCGGGGGTAGTCTCCAGGATGCAGGGAAGAATGGTGCATGACAGTTAGGCGGGGAAGAACATTCACCTGGTGTCCTTGGAATTCTCATAGCTGATGGTGGAAATGGGAAAAGGCACTACAGTATTCTTAAATTCATAACTACCCTGTAGCTGATCTGTACTCAACCAGGATTGTATACTGGGGATGGCAGATGGTTTAGTTTCGGAGTATAGTGGCAGAACAAATATCCTTAGAACTCACTGGCTCACCTTTTCCATGTGTGAGACAAGAATATAATAAAAAGAAAGGGAAGCAGAAACCATCCTGATCCACAGATGCTACTTCCTGGGGAGCCTCTTCTGACACCGGATACCAGGGGCAGCCAGGAAAGGGGAAAGATGAACTCCCAGGACTGGTGCTGCAACTTTCTTCCGGGCTGCATGCTCCTGGTCTGCAGGTATGGTGCACGTCTCTGTAAGCACAGTCATCGGGAGAATTTTTAAAAGGTGGAAGGTCAGTGGAGGTCTGTGCCATGGCTTCCCTGGGAGTGGGGAGGGCAGCACCTCTTATCTACTTACAGAAATCCCCTCATGCAGGGATGAGGGGGTGAACTTGTCCAGTTTATGAGCCTTGATTCATTAGCTGCTCAGAAACCCCCCAAATCTACAAATTGGGCCCAGAATCAGAGCTGCTAAGGAGGACTTTAATAATGAATAATGATTGTCATGATAACAACATCCCCAGTGATGTCAGTAACAGTAGCCTTAGGAATATTCCCCATAGGCCATCATTTACTCAGTGCTCACCAACATCCCATATATTGTGCCTGCTTCTTTACATGCAGTGTCAGTTAATCCTCAGACCAACCATCTGACATTCTGTACATATGCAAAAACTGAGGCAAGAAGAGGCTAAATAATTAAGGTTAAGGTCTGAAGCTGGAATTTCAGTGCTGGTCCATGGGACACCAAAACCCACAATTGTAATCATGATGCTTTTGCAATGGATACTATTGGCTGCCTGTCCTCTTCTTCCTCCCATCCTAACAGGACAGTCCTCTGATTTGGTTCTGGTGTCAGCTTTTCTTCATTTAGTCCTGTGATTTAGGGAAGAAATATGTGACAGTTCTGCAGTCAATTATTGGTCTAGGTGAGGCATGAGATTTAACTACGCCCAAGCATGGCCTTATGTTTCACGATGAGGGGAGAGATTGTCTCACCTACAGGAAATAAACAAGATAGTAAGTTGTGCTAGTCATGGCTGGTAGCCTTCTTGAATGAGGACAGGTGATTCAGTAACCTATGAGGACAGGGAACCTGCAGACAAAACGTACACATAGGCACATAGAAGACATCTGAATCAAATGAGCTGTAGGCAAACAAAACTGGAACCCTGGTCATTTTGTGCGTGCAGCCCCCTTGACTATTGACTTCCTCGTATGTAATCTAATAAACTTCCTTATTTATTTAAGCCAGTTGAATCAGGGTTGCTGTTACTTGCAGTCCAGCATATCCTAACTGATACAGCTCTGCCCTCCCTCAGTAACCTACAGAATCAAGTGCCCAGTGTCTTTAAGGGGTATGTACTCTCAATTATACCAAACATGTTCTGGTTTTATTTAACCTTTAAACATCTCTTAGCATCTCAAAATGCTTTAAACATAAACCTAAGTCCTCTAGTGGTCCTTAAAGCTATGTTCTTCTTTTTCTTACTTCACAAATAGTCAGTAACTTCCCTCACACCAACCCAGTAAGGGACCCTAATTATATTTCTTAGCCTGCTTTTTTCCCCCTCTGATTTGATCAATATTCTAGGATGAAGGATTACAAAAGTAATCTTTTCAAAGAAAGTAATGATGAATTATAGGGAGCAAAACACACCATCCAGAGCGAAGCCTCTTTCTGACAACACACAATAATGCTTGTGGCATGTTTCCAAGCCCCACAGAGAGCTGAGTGGAGAGAAGTGAATGGGGACCGATCATATTCACAAATGGGCCTTGGGTGAGGCTGAGGTGGTGGGAAGGGAGGCAGGACCCAGAAAGGTCAGCGGCCCGGCCCAATTATTCCATTGCTGATAAGAATAGAGAAGGTTGAATGGAGATCATTAATGCCCTACTCTTATGTTAATGAAGCCCTGCTGAGAATGGGAGGATAAACCACAGAGAAGCAAGTTAGAAATAACTGCAATTGTATGTATACAACGAAGAAGTGCTGTGTGCAGGGAAAGCCTAAGGTTTAGGAACAGTGGCCTGGGAGGGTGCCTGGCTGGTTTTTTAGGGACTATGGAGAGAACCTAAGAAATGAAGTTGGTTGAGTTATTAGGGAAGATGGATGTCACCAGATTCTGTATGCAAATTACTAGTGGAGGCAGATTTATTCTATGTGGCATCATACAGAGAGAAAAGGGAACAACAGTTCTAGAGATGCCTGATGATATTGAAATATTGGATCTGGGCTGTTACTTTTTCAATAGTGTCAACTTGATATGTGGTCAAATCACCATGGTTTTGCAGTTTAATTTTCGAGCATCTAATTTCCTATCAATATAAGAAGGGGATACTTCCCTGGGCATGGATTATGTTAAGTATATTTCTTCCCCAGGGTACAGGCAACATCATCAGTTGTTTTCTTTTGTCTCTGCATTCACCTTTTGATATTCTTCTTTATAGAAAACCAGAATGTCATTGCTCCCTCTTTATTTTGTCAGAAAGGACAGTGGAAGCTGGTCAAATAATTATGGCAGGCCATTGCTTTAAGAAGGAAAACTTAGTTAAAGTAGATGGTTAAAAAAAGGGTGGAAATAGGAGGAAACTGGGTTTTATGCCTTCAACTTGCTACCTAATTCCATCCTATATGATGGTTGTATTAAGTCCTTATTTTCTCTAAAAGCAATATCATAAATTAAGACTATTCCTGGAAACCCAGTTAATAATACAAAAATACTTAAAATATTGGTCACAACAATAAACAGAAAATGTACAACTGGGAAATATCTTACAAATAATAACTGGATGCATTTAAATGTTTCTTTTAAACAAAGTTCTCCCTATAGCCTTCCATCTTTTCAGTACAACTAAGAAGTTTTGAAAATAGGCATGGGTAAGACAGAATTTTCTAGATTAATTTAGTAGATCAAGAACCAGTCCTGAAGGATGCAGATGCAGGGTTGTTCCTTTGTCTCCAAAATTTCAAAGTCCTACTTCCCAGTAGTGGAGGAAGGATATGAAACAGAAAAAGTAAAGTACAAACTCCATGGTTGTTGATTGCCGAGAGCGACAAGGAAAGACAGGTGGAAGGACCAGTTGTCCTCTGTGATCTGTGTGAACAAGAAACAGTCTTAGGATATTTCTGTTTTTATCAAATGTTATTGCAAATGCTTTTTTGTAAGTATTGAGTAAAAACTAAGAGATCAGAATTTATGATAAGGGGAGGAAGTTAGCTACTGCAGTGTTTGCACGTGATTATGGAGTTAGAATTATTATTTCCACATTTTATTTTTAATATATTTTCCTCATTATAAAAGCATATGCTCATTGTAAAAAAAGAAACTACTTTCATCGTCTGGAGCAATCACTTAGCTTTAGTGCATTTCCTCCTGCAATTTTTAAAATGGAAATCTGAAGAATTCTCAGAAGCTTCTGGGAAACATGGATATGAATTTAGCAAGAAAAATTTAAGAAGACAAAACAGGAGATAAGAGAGTAACAAATGCATGAAATACTCAGGGCTGAATTTCCAAATCTTAGAAACACTGTTTGAATAAATCTAAAAGAGTGGTCTGGTATATTTTATTATCTTAATTTATATTATAATGAGAAATGGAGCACATCTGACTTCAGAGTCCTCATCTACTATTTTAAGACTGCTCTAAAAGTGACCCATTATAGAGAGAATTAATAAATGAGAACTAATGAACCCAAACCAGGGACAAGTAAATATGACAGTAAATACACAAACAACTTTTAGACACAGCCAAAGTGTGAATCATATGAAGGCAGCACTCAGTAGATTACTTTTTACTTGAGATATCTAATGATCCTTGTCCAAAATAAATTTAATTGTCACAGTTTCATTACATTTTTCCATATCTCAGTGACCTGGAAATTCTTTTGAGAGTTGTAGGTTTAAAAAAATTAAATTGCTGCTTAACAAGCATTGACTTTAGTAAGCTTTTGAGTTTTGTTTTGCATGAAATTGTTAATAGCAGAATGAGGAGATATGGTGTAGACCAAATGTTTCCAGTGTTGGCCTCTTTACAAAGTGAAATGATGTTATAGACCCTCATATAATAATGTTTTTGTTTACTTCGTTGAAGTAAATATGTATGTGGATTAGTGGGTTCTGTGAAATAATTACCCAGCCCCAGTCCATAGGCTGGGCTTTAGCCACTGAGTTACTAGAGAAGAGGAAACAAATTGTAAAGAAAGACTCTTATTGTGGGAAATGGAAGTGTTCCCAGGGGCCCCTCTTTTTCCCCCTGGAAATGTCTTCATATTGCAGAAATTTTTCCAGCTTCCTTGTTGTGTGAATTTATCTTATTTAGGTCTCTCATGCCAGGCCCACACAGGAAACCATATTCCTGCAATATGGCCCTGTGTCTCCTTCCTTTGGAATATTGTAAACACCCGCTTTGTCCCAACAGAATTAAGCCAAATGATGACATTGCAAAGAGCCTCTTGGCTGGCTATTGGTCTTGTTTTTATTGTTACATGTGGGCCAAGTGTCTCAGAACTTTTCTCATAATCTTGTGTGCCTCTCGCCTGGATTGGCATTGGAGAGCAATAATGCAACTTCAGTGCGATTCTGCAGATTTCCTTCCGAAGTGAGAGAAGAAATAGAATCACATTTTGATAAGATATTGCATTGTTGACACTTCTTTTGATTTCTCTGGGGTGCCAATCTTGCAGCTTTCTGCCCTGTTTTAGCTTTAGATATAACCATTCCTGGTTATTATTGGTTCAGAAGAGAGAGAGTGATATTTTGTCAATTCAGCCCATTCGGGATGGCTGGAGAACATTCATGGCACAGTTGGAAAAGTAGTCTGTTGCTTTTATTGAAAGCAGTGATCTTTCCTTTGGCAGGAACAAAACCCATATTCTATCTTATCTGGCAGAGAGAAACACTTATGCAGACAGAAAGACAGTTGCTTTTAGCTTTTAGAAAACATACCAATTGAGAAGTAGTTTTGTGATGCAAATTTGGTGCCAATGACTAAGCTTCTTTGAAGAGTGAAAGTTGGAGAGTTGCTTTGGCAGAGGCCTGGAGCCCTCCAGGATATTCTGAACAGATGCTGAAGTTCTTACCTTTCTTGGTTTGAAGGTTGTCTCTCTCACACTGAACATAGTATCTTTGTCAAGAAACTTCAGGAATGTAGTACATTAAAATTTAACCCCCTCTGAAAGTAAACCACCTGTAGAAAGGTCAGTATAATATCTGGGTTTAAAGCCACTTCCTCCACTTACTGTGTGAACTTGAACAAGTTACTTCACTGAGCCTCAGTTTCCCCATCTGTAAGGGGGGAAGGTAATAGAATTGACCTAATAGTGTTATAGGGATTAAAGGAGATAGGGCACGGTGTCTGGCAGGGTGTAGTAGCTCAAGTAGTGCTAGCTATTATTACTATTATCAATCAAATATCTAACAGTAGCTGGTATTTTGTGATCATTCTAAGTTTGAACTTCTAACTCTCATCTCATGTTTTTGTTTTTTGTGTTTTTTTGATGTAATACTCCATTAATGATGTCCAGCCAAAGACCTCCAGAAACACTCTTGTACTTGAATAAGGCTGGTTCATTACTTGTTGCAGTGAGGGAGAACACACATTATGGGAATTATGGGTGTCTCAGTAAGAGAGTGTTAGAAAGGACCTTGTAAGATTGGACTTTGATTGGGTGATTTGAGGCAGGGTCTGAGGTAGCAGGGATTCCCTCTAGATTGGATGGTGTTAGAAAGCCGGGCAATTCTCTGATTATGGATCTCAATGACTTTTATCTATAGGAAGGGGAAACTATAGGGAGAATAAAGTTGTCATTGGTAAAGAAGTAGCAGTCCTCATTTCAGCCAAGAGATAGGGTGTTTGGTATTTTGTGGGTGGTACAGTGACTTGCTTTTGTCTGTACTTAGACAAAATTATGAAGTGGCCCTGCTTGGTCTTATGTAATCATGATCTCAAAGTTGCCTGGTCAGAGGCTGGTTTTCTGTGAGATGGTTCATGTCTAATGGGAGAATCACAGGGTCTACCTGTGAGAGCCAGGCCAGCTTCTGGGTGTCAGGGGCTGCTCTTTTTCCTTCCTCAATTGTTACAACTACAATTCTAAAGAAATATTCCAATGATTTAAATGAGCAACACATCTTTCCCTCCTGAAGAGTTGAATAGACTAGCCAAGTTTTCAGGAAAAACACATCATTCATTTGTTCATTCAACAAATTTTCCTTTGGAAGTTACTACTGGCCTTGTCATATGTGCTGGGGCTCTAACAATGAACAAGAAAGAGGATGTGTGTACATTAGAGCATCTAGTAGGGGAGACATTCAAATAGGGGAGACATTCAAATAGGGGAGACAGACATACAAGGAAACAAAAGAAGAAACTCAGTGTTTTCTGCTCTTGATAAGTCTCCAAACTGACTGTACAGAAGGCACTCTATACTGTCCATCCTTATTTTGAGAGATGGCTCTTTTTTATTCCTGGATTTGATGACTGTTTACTGGAAAGTGGCAATGTTTTGAGACATAAACACCTGTCTATACCATACATGACTACATTTCTTTTCTGATATTGTGGACCTAAAGATGAAGTGAGAAAGGCTGAGAGAAGAGAGACTAGGGATGGAAAAGACTTCCAGATATTAAACATAAAAGATGAGTGAAAGAAAGATGATTTTTTTGATTTTGATGTATTTGAAGGAAGAAATCAGTGATGATTTCCCTAGATTCCTGTGCTATTCTAATGAACAGGCTGCTTTCAAGCTAAGAATATTTGGAAAACTCAGGTTTCATTTGTGGCTTCCTTGTCTACTCCAAGTGGTGCTTTATGAGTGGGTTTTTTCTTCACTCAAGATTCTCTTTCCAGCCCTACTATGTGTTATTTTTAATTTGTTTCCCTACGTTGGTTGGCAAGGTCCATGCTAAGTACTTATCAGGTTTTTGATGAATAGCTGTGGATTGATTCTTGGATTCCCCACATCCTGTAACCCAGATGTCAGCTGTACTGTCATCCTCTGGCTCCAGAAGCCACAACCACCTTCTCTGTGTTCATCCTGTAACTACCTGGATGCAGACCCAGCAACTCTTTGTCATCTCTTAAAGAAGCAACTTACCCAGATACCTGGTAGACCAAAGAAGATGTCACTGAGGGTTTTATAGGGAAGGCAGAGGAGGAGATTTTTCCACATCAATCAAGTTTTACATTTTCACTCGACAAAGTCTGTTTTTTCCTCAGCATGGTAGCAACTGAGGCTCTCTGCTCACCTTCCCAAAATGAGGCCCTTCTCTCAATTTCCTGAATTTTCTTAGGGCACTTTAACATTTTCATATTTTTATCCTGAAGAACAATGAAAACTATCATGAGAAATTCTTTTACCAGCTGTGATGGTTAATTTTATGTGTCAGCTAGACTGGGCTAAAAGATTCCTAGAGAGCTGGCAAACAGTACTTCTAGGTGTGTCTGTGTTTCTGGAAGAGATTAACATTTGAATCTCTAGGCTGAGTACAACCCACCCTCATCAAGGTGGGCAGGCATCATCCAATCCACTGAGAGCTTGAGTAAAGCAAAAAGGCAGAGTGAAAGCCAATTTTCTTCCTGTTAGAGCCGGAACATTTATTTTCTCCTGCCCTCAGACGTTGGTGCTCCTTGTTCTTGGACCTTCCAACTTGGACTGAATTACACCGCTGGTTTTCCTGATTCTCCAGGTTGCAGGTGGCAGGTTATAGGACTTCTCGGCCTCTATAATCACGTGAGCCAATTCCCATGAAACATCTTTTCTCTATCTCTATTTATGTGGAATCTATCCTATTGGTTCTGTTTTTCTAAAGAACCCTGGCTATGAGACCAGCTTTAACCAACATAATAACTGCCTATTAGCTTCATTCTAAAGCCACTTTCTTGGCTGATTGCACCTTTTTCTCTCCAGCTGTCAGCTTACTTGAGAGTAAATGTAGAAAGTAAAATGGGCAAATTGTGTAAGTGAATATGTGACTTATATTTTTACAAATGATTGCTACAGTTTTAGGCCATTAATTTTAGGAAAGAAGAAATAAAGTTCAAAGAACAAATTTCCTTTTGTGTCTTGGATTCATGGCTTCCCTCCTGCTGTGTCTCTGGGCTTACTTAATTTGTTGGCCGTCTTTGCCATTTTTACAGAGCTCGTCATTTAGTGACTTTTTGATTGTCCTTGGATGAAGCTGGGATCTGTGTGAAAAATGAAATGTACTATCCCTATTCCTAGGGATAATCACTATCACTAAACTTTTTTGAATATTTATTTCAGCGTCTTTGAGAAGGATTGCAAAATAAACTTATTGAATTTTATCTTCCTTGCATTTTTAGCCTATCTTTGCTGGAGAAACATGTTTAACAATGAACACAAATGTTGAAGTAATGAGTGCTTATATTGATGGTTTGCTCTTCAGGATGGAGACCTATTCAGAAAAATCCGTATCAAAACTTTTAAGAGAAACAACTCAGAGCCTATACTCTCTCCTACAGGCGATCTTTCTTATCTTAATCTCCAATTATTCTATGTGTCTTTGGAAGTAATTTGTGATCAGATGTAGTGGCCAGTTTCACTTTAGACAGCCCTTTTGGTCAGAAATGATTTATAATGCGTGGCTGCATCTTATACTTGCACATCCATCTTTCCTTTCCTAACCAAGCTGGAATTTATCCACAAGAGTCTCTACTAGGGGGATGTTAAAAGTAATAATAACTGTTCTTATGTGTTATTTGGTATTTTTTGTTTAAGGAAAAATCCCCCAATGCCTGGGGTAATATGCAGCTCCTCATATATTTATGGAATAAATACCGTTTCAAGTTTCCAAACCCCAATCTTGATATAATTCCTCTTAATTTTGGCTAACGTTCTCTGTATTCTCCATGTTCCCAGCTACTGTTAGTGGCTGTGGTGAAAGGACAGATCATTATATAATTATAATTGCTTACATTCATTTTGTGTTTGTTTTGTAGAAGTATTATAGAAGGTGCTTTATAAATATTTTCTTTAATTCTCACAGCAATCATAAAAGGAAGGTATGAACATCCCTTATTATAAAAAAGAAACTGGTTCAAGAGGAGCCCCAGTTACACAGCTAAGGAAGAGCAAAGCTGAATTTCAAGCCACGTTTCTCTGGCTCAGTAGCAGAGCTCTCTACTATGTTGTTTCTCTGCTCTTTTCCAGGATGCTGATGCAGCTCTTCCCAACTCTGCATTATCCTCTGACCCATGGGCTCACTCCATGACTTGCCCTGAATGCCAGGTTACAGTCCCAGGGCCATATCTGGACTAACCACATTCTTTGGATACTTTAGACCATTTGGCTAAGCTCTCCCTGGCCAGCCATTGCTACTGGGCCCCTTGCTACAAGTTTTTGCCTAGTTTTTCCTCATACCCCACTTTGCTGGCCTCCAAGTTGCCCTCCCATCCCAGCATGTCTTGCTTTTGAATTCATTTACATTAGGAAGGAGCTATGAGTTGAGCCATCCTGAGAGCTGAACTTTGGAAAGAAACTGAATTAAATATTTTAAAATCAAAGAACGTAATCTTAATTTCCTATCCACTTGAGGTACTGAAGGATTTTTAACACCTTTAAGGAAGAAAAAAGCTCAGGTTACAGCTTTGCTTGATTTGCTTTGAATGAAATTGCCCAGTTTCTCCTGCTTTTTTTTTTTGTTGTTCTGGGCTATCTGATACTGAACCATATAGCCTGAAATTGAGTTTTGTGCTCAAATTTGAGAGAGAGAGCGAGACACAAGAGCAAGTATTTGTAAAACTTGGGGAAAACAAGGGCAGCAGCAGTTACTTTCGTTATCCCTATTGCTGTAACCCTGGAATTTTGGGTTCCTTGGTCAGTTGCAGTATCATCAGAACCTGGTAAAGCAGAACCTACCACCAACCCCAGTAGTCCTAATAATTTACCCTGGGTCTCACCCACATCATCATTCTCCTAAATGTAAGAAGGAACTCAAAGTTCAAGTCAACTGGCCAGGTTGGAATCCTGATTCCCAAATACTTAGAAAAATCTCTTCCCTCTTCAATATATCAAGATGTGAGTCTTTCAACATCTTCCTCCAAGAGTTTAAGAAATCATCTCACTCACTAGGTTTAAATTGAATCCCTTGAAATGACTAATATCCACTCTCAGTACCTCCAGCAACAGATGCCAACTGATAAATTATATCTCCAAATGCTAATCACATATGAGCCTGGAGGCATAAAATGACGGAACCAACATCTTTGTGGGCCATCCCAGCTAGTGTGGCAGAGAGAAACGAGCTTGAGATTTGAAGCCAGAGGACCTTGGTGAGTCCAGCAGGAACCTCTAAGTATGAGTGATTTTTAGATCAGTCACAAAATAGGGAAAATAAAAATACTCATTTCACAGGGCTGTTATTTTTATTGAATGGGAATTATGAGTATTAAAATACTTTGTAAAATGTAAAGTACTCTACAGGTGATTGCTATTTCTGCTATTATTGTTTTAATTATCATTACCTTGTTAAAGAGAAGGTAATTATTGAAAGGTTCCAAAAAGCAAGGAAGGGGGGTCTCATTTAAACTTGTGATATTAGGAGCTAATAATGAGTAATTCTGGATCAGAGAAGTTGGCAAGTCAGGGTGTCAAGAAGCACAAAGATTTGAATGTTTAGGAATTTCACTGTTAGCTTCTTGGATGAACTTTCAAAGGGAAACCTCAGGTCTCAGTTCAGTTAGGATCAACACATCTTTAATGAATTTCCTGTTCCATCTACTGTATTACGTGCTGAGATTCTGAGTTAAATGAGACATCATTCCTGCCTTTTAGAAGATAACAGGCTAAGAGAGGAGCCAACAAAACAGACCATTTTGATGTACCATGGTAGTGTTAGAATGCAGGTACATTCATGGTGCTCACCAGCTGTCTCTAGATCTCCAAATCCAACAGGGATTTTTCAGTCCTTATCTTACAGGAATGCTTTGCTGATTTTGAACCTTGATACTCCATTCTTCTTGAAAGCTGAGGACCTTCATCAGTTTTCATCTCCTTCATGAATTCTCTTACGCCGTCTTACCCTTAAACACTGGTGATTCCAAAGGCTTCAGCTTTGGTCTTTGTTCTTTTCACTGAATGTTCTCTTCCTGGTCTCTCTCATCTGCTCTCTAGGTTTTAACTATCGCCATATACTATGATTCCTTATCTGTATATCTCCATGCTTAACCTCTCCAATTTGCTACAGATTCCCACATCTAGTTCTCTGTTGGGCTCTTTTGGATTTTCTTCAGGTTTAACTTGTTCCATACTACGTCTGTTTACTATAACTTGAGATTTGAGTTACTTTCTAGATTTCCAGCATTTTGATAGTTTCCCATGTTGGTAGTCTCACCATTTCATGATAGATTAAAAAATTTTTGTTCTAGGCTATTTGGAAGAATGCGATTCAGGTACTTCCAGTCAGATACATCCGTGCAAGACTTGGATAGAGAAGTAACATAAGGAGGCAGCTGTGGGAAGACTGACCATCTGGTAAGCGATGGTGGAGGTATCTGGTTCTTCTGGGGCTCCTGTGGCAGAGTTTTGGCATCCAGTCCCATGTGTGTTCTGGGACAAGTGGCCGGTGGCCAAGGTGGCTAGTCTTTCCTGTGATTATTGCTTGTGGATGGTTTCAAGATATGCACCATTTAGATGGAATTCTTTGGTTTCTCTAGAAATTCTGCAAGCTAACCATATCCTTTAATAAATTACCTTCTGTTTAAACCAGAGAGTATTGTTTGCAACTACCAATACTAATTGCTATGGGCCTCAAATTAAGAGCTTTGATGTTATCTCTCAATGGAGTTATACATACATTTGTATTTTTGTGTGTGTGTATGTACATGTTATAAGCATTAATTTTTTGAATAGATTATTTTTCAGATCAGTTTTAGATTCACAGCAAAATTGTGTGGAGAGTACACAGAGTTTCCATATTCCCTGCCCCGACACATGCATAGTTTTCTCCATTATCAACACCCCCCACAAGACTGGTTACAATCGGTGAATCTACAATGACATGTCATTATCACCCATAATCCATAGTGTGCATTAGAATTTACTCTTAGAGTTGTACACTGTACGGGTTTTGGCAAATGTACAATTATATGTATCCAATATTATAGTATCATGCAGAGTCATTTTGCTGCCCTAAAAATCCTCCATGTTCCACCTCTCTCTCCCTCTTTCCCCTTAAGCCCCTGGCAATCACTGATCATTTTACCTCTCTGTAGTTTTACCTTTTCCAAAATGTCTTAGAATTGGAATCACATAGTTTTTCAGATTTGTTTCTTCTACTTAGTAATATGCATTTAAGTGTCCTCCGTGTCTTTTCATGGCTTAATAGCTAATTTCTTCTTAGCACCCAATAGTATTTCATTGTATGGATGTATCACAGTTTATTTAACCACTCACCTACTGAAAGACATTTTGATTATTTTCAAGTTTTGGCCATTATGAATAAAGCTTCTATAAACATCGATGTAGAGATTTTTGTGTGGAAATAAATTTCTATCTCATCTAAGTAAATATCAAGGAGCATGATTGCTGGATTATGTGGTAAAAGTACATTCATTTTGTAAGAAATTGCCAAACTTTCTTCCAAAGTGGCTGTATCATTTTGGATTCTCACCAGAATTAGAATGAATGAATGAGAGTTCTTGTTGCTCATCCTTGCCAGCAGTTGGTGTTGTCAGTGTTTTGGATGTTGGCCATTCCAATAGGTGTGTAATGGTATCTCATTGTTGTTTTATTTTAAATTCCCTAATGACATATGATGTTGAGTGTCTTTTTATATGCATATTTGCTTAAAAGTATTACTTTTTAAATCATAAATTTGCAATTCTATTTTGGTTCTCTTTGTATTTCATTTTTCTGGGAGCCTAAAAAACTAGAAATCACCCAGGGTTCTCTTGAGCTTTGAGATGGTCTGCCTAAAGTTGAAGACGAAGGATAAAGCAGGAAAAATGGGAAATCACTGTGAAGAAGTAGACTGTCACACATAAACAGTGATGCTACTGAAAATGAAATATTAGAGAATAGACAATATCTTTTCCTTTCTGAAGGAAATCAGAAATCCTTTCTGAAGGATTCTGAAGAGTGAATCAGAGTCTCATGTGTTCTACTTGCTGTTTGGTGAGGAGGAAAGTAGCTATGAAATAGGTTTTTATGTGTAGTGGCTCAACAATGACCTCAGGCTGATATAATGAGGGTGATCATCCTTATTATGTAGGAAATACCCCTGCATGCTTTCACCTTGACCCGCTTCAAAGGAGGGAGTTTGCAAAGCTTATTGGTCTATTAGCAAACCTCATTTCCCCTCTTTTTTTCTGAACAATGAGCATCTACCTATCATAGAGATGTTATTAAGATAAAATGTGATAATGGTGTGAAGGTATTTTGAAAATATGAAGTATTTTACAAATGAAAAAGTTTAAAGGCTTGATTTTCCACTTTGGCTTCTTTTTAAAATTTTTATTATTTTTATTATTTTGTGTTTTTAAAAATATGTATATTTATTATACTTTAAGTTCTGAGGAACATATGCAGAACGTTCAGTTTTGTTACATAGGTATACAGTGCCATGGTGGTTTGCTGCACCCATCAACCCATCACCTATATTAGGTATTTCTCCTAATGCTATCCCTCCTCTAGCCCCCCACCCCCCGACAGGCCCTGGTGTCTGATGTTCCCCTCTGTGTGTCCATGTGTTCTCATTGTTCAACTCCCACTTATGAGTGAGGACATGCGGTATTTGGTTTTCTGTTCCTGTGTGATACTTTGCTGAGAATGATGGCTTCCAGTTTCATCCATGTCCCTGCAAAGGAAATGAACTCATTGTTTTTTATGGCAGCATAGTATTCCATGGTGTATATGTGCCACATTTTCTTTATCCAGTCTATTATTGATGGACATTTGGGTTGGTTCCAAGTCTTCACTGTTGTGAATAGTGCCACAATAAACATATGTGTGCATGTGCCTTTATAGTAGAATGATTTATAATCCTTTGGGTGTATACCCAGTAATGGGATTGCTGGGTCAAATGGTATTTCTAGTTCTAGTTCCTTGAGGAATTGCCACACTGTCTTCCACAATGGTTGAACTAATTTACACCCCCACTAACAGTGTAAAAGCTTCCTATTTCTCCACATCCTCTCCAGCATCTGTTGTTTCCTGACTTTTTAATGATCGCCATTCTAACTGGTGCGAGATGGTATCTCATCGTGGTTTTGATTTGCATTTCTCTAATGACTAGTGATGATGAGCTTTTTTTCATGTTTGTTGGCTGCATAAATGTCTTCTTTTGAGAAGTGCCTGTTCATATCCTTTGCCCACCTTTTGATGGGGTTGTTTTTTTCTTGTAAATTTGTCTAAGTTCTTAGTAGATTCTGGATATTAACCCTTTGTCGGATGGATAGATTGCAAAACTTTTCTCCCATTCTGTAGGTTGCCTGTTCACTCTGATGATAGTTTCTTTTGCTGTGCAGAAACTCTTTAGTTTAATTAGATCCCATTTGTCAATTTTGGCTTTTGTTGCCATTGCTTTTGGTGTTTTAGACATGAAGTCTTTGCCCATGCCTGTGTTCTAAATGGTATTGCCTAGGTTTTCTTGTAGGATTTTTATGGTTTTAGGCCATACGTTTTAAGTCTTTAATCAATCTCGAGTTAATTTTTGTATAAGGTGTAAGGAAGGGTCCAGTTTCAGTCATTGGCTTCTTATCGACTCATATTCACTTAGTTTATGGGAATTTTACGGTATAATATTCATCTAATTAATGGGAAGATTTATTTCATTTCCCAAACTAATCTTGTCAATAAACACCTTATCATTTTATTTTGTAGTAAAATATATTTTCTGACTACTGAATAACATTCTTAATAATGATTATGTGAATGTATTATTTAATCACAATTTATTACTCTTTCCAAGAGCTTTCAGTTAGCAATATCTTTTGTGGAAATTTCCTTTCACATTAAAGACCATCTAAAACTTGGAGTTGGGTTTTAAAATGTGTTCTATTTTCATAAGTAAAGAGAAAAGAATGTCAATGCAATTTTTTTATTCTCTTCAAAATCTTCAGGTGGTATTTTAAATGTCTTTTGTTGTCCAAATATTATGTTTTTAATTTTGGAAAGAGGTTTTCTTTCCCTTGGAGGAGAACTAAAAAACTATATTTTAGGATAAAATGCTTAAGAAAATGACTAGAATAGAAATGCTGGGTAATAAATTTTTTACTGAACATTTATTATGGACACTATAAGAGGAAGCAATAGTTATAATACTGTTTTCATTGGATCATTAAAGGTCAGCAATTGCTAACACTTCAAGACTGTGAGAAGTTTTTAGGCCAAATTCTTATGTGCAAAAGCATAAATTCTCCCAAGGTTTTACACTAGTCAGACTCCTGATTAATGTTTAGATAAGCCAGTGAATGTTGGTGTGGACTAGTTGGATAATTAAACACCACATGACATAGCTTACCACTCTAGCTTCTGTAAATTTTAGAGATATTCATTCATCAACATTTGACTGTAACCAGGATTACAGAAGTCTAAAATATCTCTAGCTTTCCTACTTTGTGACAGCATCATGCCTTCGGTAGTTGTGTTAAGCCGTAGGGTGAAAATTTTCTATCCTAGAGCAAAATAGTTTTAAGCTGGTTGTTTGCATAAGATTGATGACTTATTCTGAGGGCTTCAGGGAACTTTTTCTTCATTTCAGTGGAAGCCTTCAGAAAGTGGAACTGAAGAGCTCAACTTGAACACATTAAAGAGGCTTTTTACAAACAATTCATTTTTTACGGTTCTGAAAAACCTTACACCTAATGATTGCTACATCAGCACATATGAAGATTTCAGTACTTAGCATTGCAAAGCAGTTGCTTGACATTTAGTGATGGGAAGGGGCATCCAAAGGTTATGCCACTAGTGAAAGAATAAATGACCCTAGAGGAAAGGAAGTCAGAGGCAGATATGGAATTTACATGGCTCTGCACTGGGCGGCTGAGTGCTATGGAAAATAGAGGAGAATAAATTAATTGGGAAAATGTTGGCAGTGCCCAATATATATTAACTGAATTTAGCAAACCAAAAAAACATTCATTTTAACTTCAATTAATTAATAATTAATTCAAGTTAATTTAAATCTCCTTTAAAAATGTGTGCAACTTGACGTATCTAGACCTGAGCTGATCATCTTCTCCACCTTCCCTGTCCCCCAACCAGCTTCTCCTCTTGATTCTTTTTTCAGTTAGTGGCTCCTGTGCTCTCGAGGTGTCTCAACCCAAGATCTGGGAGTTATCTGAGGTTCCTCCTTCTTGGTTAGCCTCACATTTGGCACAAAGTCTTAATCAGTGTTACCTCCTAAGTATTTCTTGAATCCATTTCTTTCTTTGAATCCACCAGCTTCATTAAATCACTGCAAATGTTCCTGCCTTATCTCTTGCCACTCCTTCTTCTCACCTAGAAAACATCTTGGTTTTCAAACTTGCTCCAAATATTGCCTTTTTCCCATTAAGATTGGTTTTTAAAACATTGGTTTTCAAAACTTGCTCCAAATATTGCCTTTTTCCCATTAAGATTGACTCCAATTCCTCATTGTGCAGGTAAAACAGTGATTCACAGCCTTGGCTGCACTTTGGAATCACCTAAAGTGTTAAAAAAAGAAACCTGATCCGCCCGCAGATATTCTGATTCAATCGGTCTGGAGTGCCCCCTGTCATGGGAGTGCTGAAAACTCCTCAGGTGATTCTAAGGTGCAGTCAAGGTTTGCAAACCACAACATTAAAATAATCTCCCCCTTATTTTGCCTCCTCTGCTGTACCTTATAACAATATTCTGAAACCTGGTTAAACATCAACATCACTGAGGTACTTTAAAAAATAAAGATTCTTGGGGTTGTGGTGGGCTAACTTTAAGGTGATACCTGTCAAGTCCACCTTTTGGTGTCCACACCCTTGTAAACCCCCTCCGTGAGTTTGGGTGGGGTCTGTGACTTGCTTCTAACCAGTGGAATATGACAACGGTGATGGTGATCATATCAGGTTATGTAAGAATCCTTGCAAGTGGACTTGCTCTTCCCCCTGCTGGCTTTGAAGAAACAATTGGCCATGCTATGAGAAGGCAATGGAGAGGGCCATGTGGCAAGGAACTGTGAGTGGCCTTTGGGAGCTGCGAGTGGCAGTGCTTAGGAGCTGACCAGGGCAAAGGAGTGGATTCTATTTAACAGCCCCAGTGAGCTTGGAAGATTTGTTGCCAGTTATGCCTTTAGAGGAGACCTGAGCCCTGGTGGACATCTTGGTAGCAGCTTACAGAGGACCCATATAAGCTTTGCCCAGAATCCTAAGCTGCAGAAATAGTGAGATAATAAATATGTGTTGTTTTAAGCTGCCAAGTTTGTGGCAATTTTTAATGCAGCATAGAAAACTAATATATAATATGAGGCCTGGCATGGTGGCTCACACCTGTAATCCCAGCACTTTGGGAGGCTGAAGTGAGTAGATTGTTTGAGGCCAAGAGTTTGAGGCCAGCCTGGGCAATATGGCAAAACTTGTCTCTACAAAAAGTACAAAAATTAGCTGGGTGTGGTGGCTTGCACCTGTAGTTCCAACTACATTGGAGGATATGGTGGGAGGATTGCTTAAGCCTGGGAGGTCGAGGCTGGAGTGAGCTGTGATCGTGCCACTGCACTCAGCCTAGATGACAGAGCAAGACCCTGTCTCAAAAAAAACCAAAAAAACAAAACAAAAAACAAAAACAAAAACACAAAACAAAAAAACTAATATAAGGCCTTTTAACCTTTTTCTTTATAACCTATCCTACTTAAGGCCTCATTTTAACGTGAAAAGATGCAGACTACTTCCCTGGTCAAATATCTGTATGCCTGTGGAATGACCTAAGAGCTGTCATCCTGAAATCCATTCAGGTTAACCTCAGGACCCCCAATCCAGCTCTTCCATTCCCAAAGCCTTTGTATAAGAATGTGCTGGTAATGAGAGCAAAGGCCAAACTCATGGTGTTTTCGGGGTCTTCTGATCTTACTGGTGATGCTTGGAGGTAACCTCATGTGGAAGGAAATGCCAAGGTGTACTGTCAGGTGGTTCCTAGGACTTGAGGGGGCGGTTACTGAAATGAGAGGGCTGACTGACCTGGTTAGTGAAACCAGTTCTGGTAAAGAATCACCACTCATCTTTTTTCTGATGTGCAATCTTCCTATTGAGGTTTGAAAGCTGAGGGCCAGGTGATAATGTTGAGAGGCCTCTTTTTGGGCTTTCTCCTTTGGGATGCCCCCTTTGAAACAGGTACTAGGGTCCCTATTTTCCTAACCCAGCAATGGAGTAGATGATTTTCAAAGCAGAGACTGTTGTCAGCTATATTTAGGCAAAGATTTGATGGGCATGTCAGGGAGGAAGTGGCAGGAATTCTACACTGGGCAAGAGATTGGATGATACAACTTTCAAGGTCTTTTCTAATCTAAGATATTTGATTCTAGGAGCTGCACTACTCCTAAAATAATTTAGTGAGAAGGAAATTAGGATCTAGGTAAATCAGATGGTCATTAGTACTAGTCTGCTGATAAATGTCCACTCACCTCTCCTAGTCCAATAACATCTATAAGTTGGCAGGATGTTATCAGACTTTCTAAATCAATTGCCTATTAGAGTTCCTTTAATCATTATTTTAGATTTTTAAAATGCATATTATTCCAAAATGAGATACCATTTTGGCTCCAAAGAAACATATTTCTGGTAATTTACATTTGGTTCCATGAGTCACCTTACACATTAGCATTCAATTCACTATTTTTTGTAGTAAACTTTCTAGTAATTATCTTACCTTGAATTCTACATTTAAACGATCAATTTTCTTTTTGAAATACAGTAAAGAATAAAATATCTTTTCAATAGGGTTTCTTTCATTGTATTAGAGATATCGAACATAAACTTGGAATACCTAATGAAGAGTCACAGAGTATTTTTCTTATCATTTTTTTGATAAATTTTCTTATCATTTTCCTTATATTTTTCTTGAAAGTAGTAATCCTTTAATACTATTGAATCATCAATTTCTTTTTAAATATTGAGTGGGTTTTTTTTTAATCACATCACTTCTGACACCAAATCAGGGGATTTTCACCTCCTGATACCAAATACATAATATCTTTTCCAACACCACTTTTCTAACTCTTTGACAGGGCTCAATCCCACAAGACTGTCCCATTTCAGATGCCAACTGCAAGTCCCAGGCCAACTGTATTTCTGACTGACAGGCTATAAATTCGGGATTCTCACAACCCTCAGGTTTGGTAATCTGCTTAAATGGCTCACAACTTAGGAAGGTACTTTACTTACATTTAATGGTTGAGTTGTAAAGGATACAGATGAATTGCCTGATGAAGAAGTATATAAAGTGTGGTCCAGAAGGGTCCCAAGCACAGAAGCTTCTGCTCTTGTGGAGTTGGGATGCACCATTTTCCAGAATCTCAGTGTGTTTACCAACCCAGAGGCTCTCAGAACTGTATGACTTAGGGATTTTTATGGAGGGTTCATTCCATACATTGTCTTCTGTCTGTGTATGTGTATCTCAGTGTCTTCTCCTTATAAGGACTCCCACCAGTCATGTTGGATGAAGGGCCCACTCTACTCTAGTATGACCTTATCTTAACTTACATCTGAATTGTATCCACAAAGCCCCTATTTCCAATTAAGGGGTCACAATTATAGTTTTTGGGGATTAGGACTTTGCTTTGTCTTTTTGGGAGTCATAATTCAACCCATAGCACCACCTATTGGGGTTAGTTAGGAAGCATTGAACTTGAATACCCTGAATGCTGCACTGAGGGCTTCAGCTGTAGGCATTGTGAGCCCATGAAGAGTTCTGAATGTGTGTGTCTGTTGCAGAGGAAGGCTCATACATAAAGGTTATTAAGTTGCCAGCTGACAGTTGGGAAAACTGGAAAGATAAATTATTTCAGGAGGGGAGGACAGATAATTAGAGTTGGAAGGGACCTTATAGATAAGGTGGTTAAACCTCATTTTGTGGATGAGGAGCTAGTTAGGGGATAGTGACAATGGTGTGAGGATGGATGATGGAGCCTGGATTGCTGTGGCCTGGTGCTGCCTGGTTCCTGCCTCCTTTTGCCTCTCCAGAAGCCACTCAACACATGCGCCAGCTGTTCTCTCAGCTTTTGGGGTCTGATTCTAGGAGATCTAGCTACATACTGAGGGATTTGGCATTAGCCCCCTTCTAACCTCATGTCACAGTCCTAATAATCTGTTTGAGGTTCCACATCCCTTGTGTGCTTGCTTGGGCATTGGCTTCTGTGTCCTCCCTGTGCCCGAGTTCACATCCTTAACACTGGGCCTCTGTCTTCTTGTCAGGCGCCTCCCCAGGACCCACTTTGACTTGTGAGCCCCACAGCCTGCTGGAAGGCTGCCAAATGCCAGCTTTCTGCCTGTGCACCTGGACAGCCAGGTTGCTCCTTCCCCTGATCCTGGAACCGAAGTCTGTCGCTCTGTCCTCCAGATGTAGACTGTCTGCAGCCTTTTGTCTTTTGGGTACTTTTTGCTGAATCATCTGGATGGAACGTGCAGTACCTTTGTTTCCCTGCTGCCGGACCTGTTGTAGAAGGTGGTGATGTTCTAGATGCCTGCCCCTCCCAGTTTTCCCTCCCCATCCAGTTAACCAGAGTGGGACTAACTGTTGAGAAGGGATGGGAAAAGCCTGGAGTCCTGTCTGACTCTGGGGTGAAGAGAATCTTTCCTAATTAACCATTTCAATGCACTTAGAGGAACAAAATATATAACAGTGTGTGTGGTGTGATAGAGTTTATATTGAAAAGGTGATATACACTTGTATATGTAGAGAATACTTTGGGAAGAATCTACAATCTGGTCATAGTAGTTGCCTCTGGAAAGAGGAACTGGGGCCTTTGGGACAGGAGTGGGAGCTGAGACTTAATTTCCACTGCATTTAACTTAAGCAATATTTAATTGCTTCTATTTTGTTTTTATTATTTATGTATAGAGACAGGGTCTTGCTTTGTCACACAGGCTGGAGTGTAGAGGTGCAATCATAGCTCACTGCAGCCTCAAATTCCTGGGCTCAAGCAATCCTCTCACCTCAGCGTCCAGAGTAGCTGGGACTATAGGCACCACTACCACCACCACACCTACATTCTTTTTTTTTTTTTTGAGGTGGGGTTTGGTTATTTTGCCTGGGTTGGTCTCAAAACTCCTGGCCTCAAGCAATTCTCCCACCTCAGCCTCCCAAAGCTCTGGGATTACACTTGTGAGCCACCTTGCCTGGCCTAATTGCTTCCATTTAAAAACTCTGTACATGTATCACCTATTCTATAAATAACTTAAAAAAAAGCAAAAAATACATGTGAGGCATTTTACTAAGTAAAGCAATCTTGGGGTGACTTTTAAAAATTTGCAATATTGTCATTAGAGAGTAAATGTGTTTGTTCTCTAGATTTAAATGTCTTCATATGGCATTTTCTAGATCAAGCAACTCTGTATGTGAAAGGACCGGTCTTACGTGATAGCAGATAGACATATCTAGTTGGTCTGGGTGTTTAAATGCTGATGCTCTATTTGTGGCTGTCTTTTCTGATGTCCATGTTGCTTTGGGGCATTTAACAGTAAACCCATGTTGTTCTCCTTGCTTTAAAGTTTAAAGTTGCATTCTAATTCTCATGGAGTGAAAGATAAGACTAATTATACTGCCTGTATGACTGAGAAAGAAGGATGACCTTGTCCCATATGCTAAAGGACCTGAAATCTAGAGAACAACTTGACACATCTATTTCCAGCCAGAGCAGCAGTGACTGGCAGGAAGACAAAGAGGAGGCGGGTCTATAAGGAAGACGTCTGGTTGGCAGCGGTGAGTGGGAAACGTGCACGTGGCCACTTGCACGGGGCCCTGCATGGAAACCTGGCCGAGAGGAGAAATGGGGACTGAATTGCGTCTGCCGTGGGTGTGTGACGGAACTGCTATTCTTATTATGCCTTTAGTATTACCTTTGTCTCCAGGCCAGTACATTCAAAGAGACAAGAATGAATAATTATGGGAACCAGATGGGACATTCTTGTCATTGTTGCAGTGTTTTCCAGAACATTGTCACCAAATCCTCAAACAAGACAATATTGCAAATATCTAATTATTGGTCTTTATAATCTTTGGGTGGCTTAAACAATGGAAGTACTTGGAATTGGAAAATAATGGATTAAAATTAGGCATAACATTTACTTGTCTTTAATTACTTCAATTCAAAGAAGAGTACATTTGAGCTGAGTACCCTGTTCTTGCAATTTGGCCCTCCATGGGTGTCCAGTGGCTCGTTAGGGAACAGCCACTAGCAAATGGGAGAGAGGCTCACAGCCCGAGAATTAATCAATTAAATCCAACATGTTTACTGAACACCAGTCATAATCTAGAAACTGGGGAAGATAAATAAAGCGTTGATCTCAGTCTCTGCTGGGAAAGACAGACATTTAAAAAATGTACAGGTCCATAATCCCTGAGTCACGTTTCTGAAATCCAAAAAACCTCATAAAATTGAATTCTTTTTTCCACAACTTTTCTGGCAGCAAAACTTGAACTGATGTGAGTCTATTTATGTATATCCTTTATTTGTCCCACTTAGTGTGGATCTTCATATGTTTTGCTTAAGAAAGATTAACGGGGTGTTGCCCCAGATCCCACTGCAGAAGTTATATAATATTGTTGATTATGCACCAGATTTCTTTCCTAAAATCCCCACAATTCAGAATTCTAAAACATACCGGGTGCCAAGGGGTTGGGATTAGGGTCTTTAGACCTGTAATTCTTCAAAACTTCTTTCTCTGGAGAAGACCCTACTTTGAGGGCACCTGATATCTTCTGGGATGAGGACGTAGGCTATGTTGTCTCTGCTTGCTACAAAGAACTTCAGTAAGTAGTGGCCTCAACCCGGCTTTCTCTAGAACTAAGGTCTTCTTTTTTCTCCAGCTAGAATCCTAAAATTTCCTTAGGTTTTTTTTGAATAATTTACTTTCTTCACTGAAAGTATTACCTTGCCAAGGATTTATTCCGTTTTCCTATTAGAGAGATTAGTACCTCCCAAGTTTCTCCTTATAGATATTGTTTAATCTTGGCATAGTTTGGTTGTTTTTTCTTTTCAGAGTTTTAATTAGTCTGTGTCCTACTTAAGCTGTAGGGGACTCCATTTGAAATATTAGGTATGGTGGTACCCAGGAGTCTGCCCCCAACCCAGGGAGGTTCCTGTTTTCAGATAAAATTGCTTTCTGTAGTCTTAATAGAAGGTTTCTAAATAATGTTCATTTCATTCTTCTTTCCTCCTGGTCTTTTCCCTGTAGATTAACACTGGCTTGTTTAAAGTTTTGTTGGAACAGGTGCTAAATTCTCTTTCTTTGGGAATACAAGAGCAAGCCCACATGAGAAGACCCCTGGATATCCAATTCTTTCACATGAGTGGGACAGTGGCTTGAAGTGACCATCATTCCTGTGAACTTTGAGGAGGCTGAAATTGTGTGTATAGGGAGATTCCCCTTTAGAGCTTCTCTGGCATTTGAGATATAAACCCCTCACTGGATGGGGTGGGGGCCTTTTCCAGGGGCTTGAGGAGACTGCAAATGCAGTGTTGAGTTCCTGATACTTCTTGTAAGGGGAACCCTTTCCTGGTTCAGGGGAGGACCAAGAACACAGGGAGGGAGTAGCCTGGGTGACTCCCCCTACAGGAATTGAAGAGAAGAGCAGGAAGGCTTTAGGTGTCTAAAGAATCATCCAACAAAGTAAAACCAGGATTAAAAACAGCAAATAAATTTGTAATAGTTTTAGTTAACGTCGTCTGTTTCCCATCCACATCAGTTAGGAGAAAAGCTGGTAAAAAGACAATAAAAAGCTAGTGTGATTATTTTTAGGGAGAGCAAGTGAGAATTCCTTTTATTATCTGGAATCTTCCCCTCCCTTCCATTTAAAAATTTTACTTCAAAATACATTTTTTCATAGAAAATTTAGAAAATACTGCTCAGTCATAGAAGAAAATAAAAAAGTCCTCTTATCCTGCTGCATAGAGATAATCACTTCTATCATTTTGGCATACACCCTTACTTTTTTCTATGCCTGTTTTTAAAGTGCTGGGCATTTACAGGCTTAATAATAATTTATTTCTTTTTCTTTTTTCCTTCCTTACAAAACTTGTTCAGAACAGAGTCTCTCTTTGCAGAATTAGGGAATGGTGAGTTTTACTCTGAGCTTATCCTAAGAAATGTTCAGGTTAAGTAGTTTCAAGGTGGTAGGAAAAAGAATCCCTAATAATTTTAAATTTAATACTCTTTGCTGCTGTGATCACTTGTCAGAAACAGCAAGGAAAACCCTGGAAATGTACATGCAGCAGGGAGTCATCATGGGACATGTAGACTAAATTGTAGCCAGTGCAGGGAAGGTGCTGGGCACAGAGTAAAATAGGCTTCGGAGACCCTCAAAGTAGGGTGCTGTTCACACTTACTCATGAAGGACACTGGGGGCTGCACTCCCATGGGAGACAGAAACCAATTATTGCCTACTTTACAGTCCAGTTAGATCTTTTCTATGTATTGTATGTGTATGAGCACCTCAGTCTTGTGAATCTCAGAGGGGTGCTAATTAAAGACATCAAATGACTGAGTAGTATAGGTGTTTATAGCAGTTGATACAGGGGTGAGGGCAGTTCTCACCTAGAAATGGAGTACTTTAAAAAGTTTTTTAGCAAAGTTACTGCTTAGGTAAAATTGCAAATATGAAATTATAGAGAGACAATATGGCAGCCCCCTCCCATTTATTTTGCATCTCAGATAACCCACGAGCACATGGTGACAAAGGGGATGCTGAGTCTTTTCCTTCCTGTCTCCCATAGAGGATGTGTGAAATGAAAAGCCAACATGAGGGTGTTTGAGAAACTTTCAGGGGAAAAGTAAGTGCTGACTTAGTGGGTCAAAAAGCACAGCCAGCTTTATGTTATGACTTTTTCCCCACTCAAAATTTACCTAGGATGTGTTGGAGACATATGCATATACACACACACACACACACACACACACACAAATATATATACACATACATACACACCCACTCACCCACACATATATAAGTTGTAAATATAAATATGTAAAAATTATAAGTAAATTAAAAATATATAGATAAAAATAGAAAAATATTTATAAATATATAAATTATATATTTTATATATAAATACATATGAAATATATAAAAATTTAAAACTTCTACCTTCTCCCATCAAGCCATCTATCTGGCTTGAAGCCTTTGGAAATGCCCCCACTAAAGATCTGGAAGGAAACTAATCTGTACAGAGTTACAGAATCAGTCAGGGTCATTCTCTAAACATGCTCAGAATTTTACATGCATTTTTTGCCATCTCGGTTGCCAAAGGTGTTTCTGAAGGAAGAAATGCTTTCGCCTGACAAATTTCCTTGCACAGATCTCAGTTACACTGTGTTATCTCAAAATGCCCTGGTGAGTTAAATAATGTGTTGTCACTGAACATAATTTTTAGTTTCTTTGGGGATTGGCTATTTCAGATGCTCATTGAATAGGGGATGTTTTTACTTCATTATTAGAATGAGAATGAATCGCCTCATTTTCTCATCTTTCAAGGTGAAGTCTCTCAACTAATAATTTTTTCACTGTGAGATAGTAGGTAAAAGCTAAAATTTTAGAAAATTCTTAAATTTGAAGTAATTTTTAGCCTTTTCAACTAAGATTCTGCAATTATAAATAAATCAATTGTTAGTCTTGAAAGGGTAGTGTTTAATTCTGTATGGAAACATCCTCCAGCAGCTCATTTGCTTCTGATATTCTCTGAGGATTTCCATAGATTCTGATCACAGTCTTGTGTTTATTTACTTTCTTTACAAAATACAGCTAAGGGCTGAGCAATTAGCATTTTAATTTTATGCAATGTGATTTCTCTCCTTCACTTAAAAAACTGAAGAAGTGCCTGTGCAGAAAAGAAATGTTAGTAACCTTTTCTTCGTTTATTAGGCGTCTATAGCATGCATTGAACTACTCATATAGTATCATGGAATGAATTATTTTTAACATGCACTGTGAATTTTTTCATAATTTTACTGATGGTGGTTTGCACACA
The DNA here is from genome assembly GCF_000001405.40 of Homo sapiens. Taxonomy (NCBI): domain Eukaryota; kingdom Metazoa; phylum Chordata; class Mammalia; order Primates; family Hominidae; genus Homo; species Homo sapiens. Next base: position 47,792,737 of record NC_000013.11, on the reverse strand, counting down.
CCAGGTGCTCAGTGTCTTATAAACTGACTACAATACATATTAATATATATTGCCTTTTGGTCTTATACCATTACATTCATCTTTTATTTTAAATTTTTTAACAGCTCAACTGAGCTCTAATTACATCTGTGAGATGTAATTCACACACCATACAATTCACCATTTAAAGTGTACATTTTAATGGTTTTTAGTATATTCACAGTTGTGCAGCTATCATTACTATCTATTTTGGGGCCATTTTCATCATCTTGTACTCATTAGCAGTCACTCCTTATTTCCATCCAACTCCTCCCTTGCCCCTAAACCCTAGACAACCACTGATATACTTTCTGTCTCTATAGATTTGCCTGTTCTGGACATTTCATATAAATGGACTCATACAATATGTGGTCATTAGTGACTGGCTTCTTTCACTTAGCATGATGTTTCCAATGTTCATCCATGTTGTAGTATGTGTCAACACTTAATTACTTTCAATTGCTGAATAATATTCTATTTTTTGCATTGTATTAGTTCATTTTCATGCTGCTGATAAGGATATACCTAAAACTGGGCACGAAAAGATGTTTAATTGGACTTACAGTTCCACATGGTTGGGGACAGTCTCACAATCATGGTGGAGGGTGAAAGGTGCTTCTTACATGGCGGCAGCAAGAGAGAATGAGAGAAGAAGCAAAAGTGGAAACCCCTGATAAACCCATCAGATCTTGTGAGACTTATCCACTATCATGAGAATAGAATGGGAAAGACAAGCCCCTATGTTTCAATTATGCCCCCATGGGTCCCTCCCACAACACATGGGAATTTTGGGAGATATAATTCATGTTGAGATTTGGGTGGGGGCACAGCTAAACCATATCATTCCACCCCTGGCCCCTCCAAATCTCATGTCCTCACATTTCAAAACTAATCATGCCTTCCTAACAGTCCCCCAAAATTTTAACTCATGTCAGCATTAACCCAAAAGTCCACAGTCCAAAGTCTCATCTGAGACAAGTCAAGTCCCTTCTGGCCTATGAACCTGTAAAATCAAAAGCAAGCTAGTTAATTCCTAGATAAAATGGGGGTACAAGTATTGGGTAAATACAGCCTTTCCAACTGGGAGAAATTGGCCAAAACAAAGAGGTTACAGGGCCCATGCAAATCTGAAATCCAGCGGGGCAGTCAAATTTTAAAGCTCCAAAATAATCTCCTTTGACTCCAGGTCTTACATCCAGGTCATGCTGATGTAAAAGGTGGGTTCTCATGGTCTTGGGCAGCTCAGCCTCTGTGGCTTTGCAGGGTACAGCCTCCCTCCTGACTGCTTTCATGGGCTTGCATTAAGTGTCTGTGGCTTTTCCTGGTGCATTGTGCAAGCTGGCAGTGGATCTACCACTCTGGGGTCTGGAGGACGATGGCCCTCTTCTCACAGCTCCACTAGGCAGTACCCCAGTAGGGACTCTTTGTGGGGGCTTTGACCCCACATTTCCCTTCTGCACTTCCCTAGCAGAGGATCTCCATGAGGGCTCCGCCCCTGAAGCACACTTTTGTCTGGACATCCAGGGGTTTCCATACATCTTCTGAAATCTAGGCAGAGGTTCCCAAACCTTAATTCTTGACATCTGTGCACCCACAGGCTCAACACCACATGGAAGCTGCCAAGGCTTGGGGCTCCCATCCTCTGAAGCCACAGCCCAAGCTCTAAGTTGGCCCCATTCAGCCATGGCTGGAGTGGCTGGGACACAGGGCACCAAGTCCCTCGGCTGCACATAGCATGGGGACCCTGGGCCTGGCCCATGAAACCATTTTTTCCTCCTGGGCCTCCAGGCCTGCGATGGGAGGGGCTGCTGTGAAGGTCTTTGACTTAGCCTGGAGATATTTTCCCCAAGGTCTTGGGGATTAGCATTAGGCTTCTTGCTACCTATTCAAATTTCTGAAGCTGGGTTGAATTTCTCCTCAAAAAATTGTTTTTTCTTTTTTATTGCATCATCAGGCTGCAAACTTTCTGAACTGTTATGCTCTGTTTCCCTTCTAAAATTGAATACCTTTAACAGTACCCAAGTCACCTGTTGAATGCTTTTCTGCTTAGAAATTTTTTCCGCCAGGTATCCTAAATCGTCTCTCTCAAGTTCAAAGTTCTACAAATCTCTAGGGCAGGGGCAAAATGCCACCAGTCTCTTTGCTAAAACACAAGAGTCACCTTTGCTCCAGTTCCCAACAAATTCCTCATCTCTATCTGAGACCACCTCAGCCCAGACCTTTTCGTCCATATCACTATCAACATTTTTGTCAAAGCTATTAAACAAATCTCTAGGAGCTTCCAAACTTTCCCCCATTTTCTTGTCTTCTTTTGAGCCCTCCAAACTGTTTCATGCTCTGCGGGTTACCCAGTTTCAAAGTCCCTTCCACATTTTCAGGTATATTTTTAGCAACACCCCACTCTACTGGTACCAATTTACTGTATTTGTTTTCAGACTGCTGGTAAAGACGTACCCAAAATTGAGAACAAAAAGAGGTTTAATTGGACTTACACTTCCACATGGCTGGAGGAGGTCTCACAATCATGGCGGAGGGTGAAAGGCATTCTCTTGCTGGTGGAAGCAAGAGAGAATGAGAGAAGAAGCAAAAGTGGAAACCCCTGATAAACCCATCAGATCTCATGAGACTTATTCACTATCATGAGAATAGCGTGGGAAAGACTTGCCCCCATGATTCAGTTATGTCCTCCTGGGTCCCTCCCACAACACATGGGAATTGTGGGAGATACTATTCAAGTTGAGATTTGGGTGGGGACACAGCCAGACCATATCATGCATGTACTACATTTTGTTGAGGCGTATACTACATTTTGTTGATCTATTCATCTGTTTTTAGACATTTACTTTTTCCTGGCTCTATTTAGGTGTAATTGACAAATAAAAATGATATATGCAGTATTTATCACATACAATGTAATTTGATATATGTATGCATAGTGACATGGTTTAAACAAGCAAATTAACATATCAATCATGTCACAAAATTTTTTTTTGTGGTGAGAATATTTAAGATCTACTTTCAGCAATTTTCAAGCATACAATATATTAATATTAGCTGTAGTTACCAAGCTGTATAATAGATCTGTGGAACTATCCTAAGTGAAACTTTGTACCCATTGACTGATATTTTCCTGTTTCCCACTATCCTTCACCCCCTGACCCTGGCAACTATCATTCTATTCTCTGCTTCTAGGAGTTCAGTTTTTTTTTAGATTCTACATGTAAGTGAGATCATGAGGTATTTGTCTTTCTGTGTCTTGCTTATTTCACTTAGCATGATGTCCTCCAGGTTCATCCATGCTGTTACAATGACAAGATTTCCTTCTTTTTAAAGGATGAATAATATTCCTATATCTGTATATATTATATATATGTTATATATACATCACATTTTCTTTATATGTTCACCTGTTGATGGACACTTAGGTCGATTTAATGTCTTGGCTATGGTGAGTAATGTGATGAACATGGGAGTGCAGATATTTCTTCAACATGCTGATTTCATTTCCTTTGGGTGTGTATACAGCAGTGGGATTGCTGGATCATATGGTAGTTCTAGTTTTAATTTTTTTGGAATGCCCATACAGTTTTCAGTAATGGCTCTACTAATTTACATTCCCACCAATAGTGTGCAAAGGTTCCCTTTCTCCACACCCTCACCAACACTTCTTATCTTTTTGATAATAGTCATTCTACAGGTGGGAGGTGATAGCTCATTGTGGTTTTAATTTGCATTTCCCTGATAATTAGTCATGATGAGCATTTCTACATATGCCTGTTTGTCATTTGTATGTCTTCTTTTGAGAAATGTCTATTCAGGTCCTCAGCCCATTTTTAAATTGGGTTATTTGTTTTCTTTCTATTGAGTTGCTTGCATTCCTTGTGTAGTTTGGATATTAACCCCTTATCAGGTATGTAGTTTGCAAACGTTTTCTCCCACCCTGTATGTTGTCTCTTGGTTTTCTTTTTCTGTGCAGAAGCCTTTTAATTTGATATAATCCCATTTGTCTATGTTTGCTTTTATTGCCTGTGCTTTTGGGGTTATATCCATGAAATCATTGCCCAGACTAATGCCGTGGAGCTTTTCCCCTATGTTCTCTTCTGGTAGTGTTACTGTTTCAGGTCTTACATCGAAGTCTTTAATTCACTTTTGAGTTGATATTTTATATGGTTTGAGGTAAGGGTCCCATTTCATTCTTCTCCATGTAGATTTTCAGTTTTCCCAACGTCATTTATTGAGGAGGGTGTCCTTTCTGTATTATGAACTCTTGGTACCTTTGTTAAAGATCAATTGACCTTAAATGCATGGATTTATTCTTGAGCTTTCTGTTCAGTTCCATTGGTTAATATGTCTGCTTTCGTGCCAGTTCTATGATGTTTTGATTACCATAGCTTTGTAGTATATATTGAAATTGGATACTTTGATGCCTCCAGCTTTGTTCTTTCTGCTTGAGATTGCTTTGGCTCTTCAGAATCTTTTGTGATTCCATACAAATTTTAGAATTGTTTGTTTCTGTGAAAAATGCCATTGCCATTTTGATAGGGATTGCATTGAATCTGTAGATAACTTTGGGTAGTATGGACAATTTAACAATTTTAATTTTTCCAATCCATGAACACATGATATCTTTCCAATTATTTATTTATTCTTCAATTTCTTTCATCAACATTTTATAGTTTTTAGTATACAGATCGTTTACCTCATTAAATTTATTCCTAAATTTTTTTCTTGATATTGATTTAAATGAGACTGTTTTCTTAATTTCTCATTTGTATAGTTCGTTGTTAGTGTATAAAAACACTACTAATTTTTTTTATTATACTTTAAGTTTTAGGGTACATGTGCACATTGTGCAGGTTAGTTACATATGTATACATGTGCCATGCTGGTGTGCTGCACCCACTAACTCGTCATCTAGCATTAGGTATATCTCCCAATGCTATCCCTCCCCCCTCCCCCCACCCCACAACAGTCCCCAGAGTGTGATATTCCCCTTCCTGTGTCCATGTGATCTCATTGTCCAATTCCCACCTATGAGTGAGAATATGCGGTGTTTGGTTTTTTGTTCTTGTGATAGTTTACTGAGAATGATGATTTCCAATTTCATCCATGTCCCTACAAAGGACATGAACTCATCATTTTTTATGGCTGCATAGTATTCCATGGTGTATATGTGCCACATTTTCTTAATCCAGTCTATCATTGTTGGACATTTGGGTTGGTTCCAAGTCTTTGCTATTGTGAATAATGCCGCAATAAACATACGTGTGCATGTGTCTTTATAGCAGCATGATTTATAGTCCTTTGGGTATATATCCAGTAATGGGATGGCTGGGTCAAATGGTATTTCCAGTTCTAGATCCCTGAGGAATCGCCACACTGACTTCCACAATGGTAGAACTAGTTTACAGTCCCACCAACTGTGTAAAAGTGTTCCCATTTCTCCACATCCTCTCCAGCACCTGTTGTTTCCTGACTTTTTAATGAGCGCCATTCTAACTGGTGTGAGATGGTATCTCATTGTGGTTTTGATTTGCATTTCTCTGATGGCCAGTGATGGTGAGCATTTTTTCATGTGTTTTTTGGCTGCATAAATGTCTTCTTTTGAGAAGTGTCTGTTCATATCCTTCGCCCACTTTTTGATGGGGTTGTTTGTTTTTTTCTTGTAAATTTGTTTGAGTTCATTGTAGATTCTGGATATTAGCCCTTTGTCAGATGAGTAGGTTGCGAAAATTTTCTCCCATTTTGTAGGTTGCCTGTTCACTCTGATGGTAGTTTCTTTTGCTGTGCAGAAGCTCTTTAGTTTAATTAGATCCCATTTGTCAATTTTGGCTTTTGTTGCCATTGCTTTTGGTGTTTTGGACATGAAGTCCTTGCCCATGCCTATGTCCTGAATGGTAATGCCTAGGTTTTCTTCTAGGGTTTTTATGGTTTTAGGTCTAACATTTAAGTCTTTAATCCATCTTGAATTGATTTTTGTATAAGGTGTAAGGAAGGGATCCAGTTTCAGCTTTCTACCTATGGCTAGCCAGTTTTCCCAGCACCATTTATTAAATAGGGAATCCTTTCCCCATTTCTTGTTTTTGTCAGATTTGTCAAAGATCAGATAGTTGTAGATATGCGGCGTTATTTCTGAGGGCTCTGTTCTGTTCCATTGATCTATATCTCTGTTTTGGTACCAGTACCATGCTGTTTTGGTTACTGTAGCCTTGTAGTATAGTTTGAAGTCAGATAGTGTGATGCCTCCAGCTTTGTTCTTTTGGCTTAGGGTTGACTTGGTGATGCGGGCTCTTTTTTGGTTCCATATGAACTTTAAAGTACTTTTTCCAATTCTGTGAAGAAAGGCATTGGTAGCTGGATGGGGATGGCATTGAATCTGTAAATTACCTTGGGCAGTATGGCCATTTTCACAATATTGATTCTTCCTACCCATGAGCATGGAATGTTCTTCCATTTGTTTGTATCCTCTTTTATTTCCTTGAGTAGTGGTTTGTAGTTCTCCTTGAAGAGGTCCTTCACATCCCTTGTAAGGTGGATTCCTAGGTATTTTATTCTCTTTGAAGCAATTGTGAATGGGAGTTCACTCATGATTTGGCTCTCTGTTTGTCTGTTATTGGTGTATAAGAATGCTTGTGATTTTTGTACATTGATTTTGTATCCTGAGACTTTGCTGAAGTTGCTTATCAGCTTAAGAAGATTTTGGGCTGAGACAATGGGGTTTTCTAGATATACAATCATGTCGTCTGCAAACAGGGTCAATTTGACTTCCTCTTTTCCTAATTGAATACCCTTTATTTCCTTCTCCTGCCTGATTGCCCTGGCCAGAACTTCCAACACTATGTTGAATATGAGTGGTGAGAGAGGGCATCCCTGTCTTGTGCCAGTTTTCAAAGGGAATGCTTCCAGTTTTTGCCCATTCAGTATGATATTGGCTGTGGGTTTGTCATAGATAGCTCTTATTATTTTGAGATACGTCCCATCAATACCTAATTTATTGAGAGTTTTTAGCATGAAGGGTTGTTGAATTTTGTCAAAGGCTTTTTCTGCATCTATTGAGATAATCATGTGGTTTTTGTCTTTGGCTCTGTTTATATGCTGGATTACATTTATTGATTTGCGTATATTGAACCAGCCTTGCATCCCAGGGATGAAGCCCACTTGATCATGGTGGATAAGCTTTTTGATGTGCTGCTGGATTCGTTTTGCCAGTATTTCATTGAGGATTTTTGCATCAATGTTCATCAAGGATATTGGTCTAAAATTCTCTTTTTTGTTTATGTCTCTGCCCGGCTTTGGTATCAGAATGATGCTGGCCTCATAAAATGAGTTAGGGAGGATTCCCTCTTTTCCTATTGATTGGAATAGTTTCAGAAGGAATGGTACCAGTTCCTCCTTGTACCTCTGATAGAATTCGGCTGTGAATCCGTCTGGTCCTGGACTCTTTTTGTTGGTAAACTATTGATTATTGCCACAATTTCAGTTCCTGTTATTGGTCTATTCAGAGATTCAACTTCTTCCTGGTTTAGTCTTGGGAGAGTGTATGTGTCAAGGAATTTATCCATTTCTTCTAGATTTTCTAGTTTATTTGCGTAGAGGTGTTTGTAGTATTCTCTGATGGTAGTTTGTATTTCTGTGGGATCAGTGGTGATATCCCCTTTATCATTTTTTATTGCATCTATTTGATTCTTCTCTCTTTTTTTCTTTATTAGTCTTGCTAGCGGTCTATCAATTTTGTTGATCCTTTCAAAAAAGCAGCTCCTGGATTGATTAATTTTTTGAAGGGTTTTTTGTGTCTCTATTTCCTTCAGTTCTGTTCTGATTTTAGTTATTTCTTGTCTTCTGCTAGCTTTTGAATGTGTTTGCTCTTGCTTTTCTAGTTCTTTTAATTGTGATGTTAGGGTGTCAATTTTGGATCTTTCCTGCTTTCTCTTGTGGGCATTTAGTGGTATAAATTTCCCTCTACACACTGCTTTGAATGTGTCCCAGAGATTCTGGTATGTTGTGTCTTTGTTCTCGTTGGTTTCAAAGAACATCTTTATTTCTGCTTTCATTTTGTTATGTATCCAGTAGTCATTCAGGAGCAGGTTGTTCAGTTTCCATGTAGTTGAGCGGTTTTGAGTGAGATTCTTAATCCCGAGTTCTAGTTTGATTGCACTGTGGTCTGAAAGACAGTTTGTTATAATCTCTGTTCTTTTACATTTGCTGAGGAGAGCTTTACTTCCAAGTATGTGGTCAATTTTGGAATAGGTGTGGTGTGGTGCTGAAAAAAAATGTATATTCTGTTGATTTGGGGTGGAGAGTTCTGTAGATGTCTATTAGGTCCACTTGGTGCAGAGCTGAGTTCAATTCCTGGGTATCCTTGTTGACTTTCTGTCTCGTTGATCTGTCTAATGTTGACAGTGGGGTGTTAAAGTCTCCCATTATTAATGTGTGGGAGTCTAAGTCTCTTTGTAGGTCACTCAGGACTTGCTTTATGAATCCTGGTGCTCCTGTATTGGGTGCATATATATTTAGGATAGTTAGCTCTTCTTGTTGAATTGATCCCTTTACCATTATGTAATGGCCTTCTTTGTCTCTTTTGATCTTTGTTGGTTTAAAGTCTGTTTTATCAGAGACTAGGATTGCAACCCCTGCCTTTTTTTGTTTTCCATTGGCTTGGTAGATCTTCCTCCATCCTTTTATTTTGAGCCTATGTGTGTCTTTGCACATGAGATGGGTTTCCTGAATACAGCACACTGATGGGTCTTGACTTTTTATCCAATTTGCCAGTCTGTGTCTTTTAATTGGAGCATTTAGTCCATTTATATTTAAAGTTAATATTGTTATGTGTGAATTTGATCCTGTCATTATGATGTTAGCTGGTTATTTTGCTCGTTAGTTGATGCAGTTTCTTCCTAGTCTCGATGGTCTTTACATTTTGGCATGAGTTTGCAGCGGCTGGTACCGGTTGTTCCTTTCCATGTTTAGCGCTTCCTTCAGGAGCTCTTTTAGGGCAGGCCTGGTGGTGACAAAATCTCTCAGCATTTGCTTGTCTGTAAAGTATTTTATTTCTCCTTCACTTATGAAGCTTAGTTTGGCTGTATATGCAATTCTGGGTTGAAAATTCTTTTCTTTAAGAATGTTGAATATTGGCCCCCACTCTCTTCTGGCTTGTAGGGTTTCTGCCGAGAGATCCGCTGTTAGTCTGATGGGCTTCCCTTTGAGGGTAACCCGACCTTTCTCTCTGGCTGCCCTTAACATTTTTTCCTTCATTTCAACTTTAGTGAATCTGACAATTATGTGTCTTGGAATTGCTCTTCTCGAGGAGTATCTTTGTGGCATTCTCTGTATTTCCTGAATCTGAACGTTGGCCTGCCTTGCTAGATTGGGAAAGTTCTCCTGGATAATATCCTGCAGAGTGTTTTCCAACTTGGTTCCATTCTCCCCATCACTTTCAGGTACACCAATCAGACATAGATTTGGTCTTTTCACATAGTCCCATATTTCTTGGAGGCTTTGCTCATTTCTTTTTATTCTTTTTTCTCTAAACTTCCCTTCTCACTTCATTTCATTCATTTCATCTTCCATTGCTGATATCCTTTCTTCCAGTTGATCACATCGACTCCTGAGGCTTCTGCATTCTTCACGTAGTTCTCGAGCCTTGGTTTTCAGCTCCATCAGCTCCTTTAAGCACTTCTCTGTATTGGTTATTCTAGTTATATATTCTTCTAAATTTTTTTCAAAGTTTTCAACTTCTTTGCCTTTGGTTTGAATGTCCTCCTGTAGCTCAGAGTAATTTGATCGTCTGAAACCTTCTTCTCTCAGCTCGTTAAAGTTATTCTCCGTCCAACTTTGTTCCGTTGCTGGTGAGGAACTGTGTTCCTTTGGAGGAGGAGAGGCGCTCTGCGTTTTAGAGTTTTCCAGTTTTTCTGTTCTGTTTTTTCCCCATCTTTGTGGTTTTATCTACTTTTGGTCTTTGATGATGGTGATGTACAGATGGGTTTTTGGTGTGGATGTCCTTTCTGTTTGTTAGTTTTCCTTCTAACAGACAGGACCCTCAGCTGCAGGTCTTGGAATACCCTGCCGTGTGAGGTGTCAGTGTGCCCCTGCTGGGGGGTGCCTCCCAGTTAGGCTGCTCGGGGGTCAGGGTTCAGGAACCCACTTGAGGAGGCAGTCTGCCCGTTCTCAGATCACCAGCTGCGTGCTGGGAGAACCACTGCTCTCTTCAAAGCTGTGAGACAGGGACATTTAAGTCTGCAGAGGTTACTGCTGTCTTTTTGTTTGTCTGTGCCCTGCCCCCAGAGGTGGAGCCTATAGAGGCAGGCAGGCCTCCTTGAGCTGTGGTGGGCTCCACCCTGTTCGAGCTTCCTGGCTGCTCTGTTTACCTAAGCAAGCCTGGGCAATGGCGGGCGCCCCTCCCCCAGCCTCGCTGCCGCCTTGCAGTTTGATCTCAGACTGCTGTGCTAGCAATCAGCGAGACTCCGTGGGCATAGGACCCTCTGAGCCAGGTGCGGGATATAATCTCATGGTGCACCATTTTTTAAGCCGGTCCGAAAAGCGCAATATTCGGGTGGGAGTGACCCGATTTTCCAGTTGCGTCCGCCACCCCTTTCTTTGACTCGGAATGGGAACTCTCTGACCCCTTGCGCTTCCGAAGTGAGGCAATGCCTCGCCCTGCTTTGGCTCACGCACGGTGCGCGCACCCACTGACCTGCGCCCACTGTCTGGCACTCCCTAGTGAGATGAACCCGGTACCTCAGATGGAAATGCAGATATCACCCGTCTTCTGCGTCACTCACGCTGGGAGCTGTAGACTGGAGCTGTTCCTATTCGGCCATCTTGGCTCCTCCCCACTACTAATTTTTTGTATGTTGATTTTGTATTTTGTGACATTACTGAATTCATTTATTAGTTCTAACAGTTTTTTGATATACTCTTTAGGGCTTTCTATATATAACACCATATCATCTGCAAACAGATAATTTTACTTCTTCCTTTCCTATTTGGATCCATTGTATTTTTTTTTCTTGCCTAATTTTTCTGGCTAGGACTTCCAGTTCTATGTTGAATAGAAGTGGTAAGAGTGGCCATCTTTGTCTTCTTCCTTAAGCTGATAGACATTTAATTTGTTTTCACTTTTCTGTTTATTGTAAATAGTGTGCTATAAACATTCATTTACAGATTTTTGTGTGAATATACATATGTATTTCTCTTGGTTATATGCCTAGGAGTGGAATTTCAGGTTCATATGGAAACTCTGTGTTTAAATTTTTGAGAAGATACCAACTTGCATAAAGATAATGATAATAATAGCCACTATGTATGTTGTATTATATCTCTGCTGCAGACAGTGGTTAAATTATAAATGTTATATGTAAGTGCAGACTTAAAGTACTAGTTTATAATGAGTTAAGTTGGCTTGAAAGAAATTTAAGTGTGGGGATGTTTTTGTGGACAAAAGCAAGAAGATGCTATTGCAAGTCTGTAGGAAGAGACCCTCACAGGTACCATAAGGAAAATAATAGGCTAGTTAAAAGAACCATCAAGGGTTAAAACTCCTGTACAGAGCAGGCACTTAGAACTCACTCCTGGGGAGGTAAAGACTACAGTAAAAGTTTATTGCATGAACAGAGGCATCCAACATGTTTGTTGCATGAACAAAACAACTTCTTTTGCATTAGGAAATATATGTATCATGTTTACCATAGTCCAAATAACATGGAATTATAAAAATATATACAAAAATTCTCTGATACTTCTTCTTTCAAGAGTTAAAGCCTAATTCCTCTCCCCTTGAGTGTGAGCTGGATTTAGTGACCCGCCTTTAAGAAACAGATAGAAGTGGAAGTGATGGCGAACACTTTGGAGAATAGGTCATGGAAAGGCACTGTTACTTCTGCCTTGTTCACTTTCTCTAGAATTATTCGCTTTGAGGAAAGCCAGTTTCCATATTGCTCTGTGAAGAGGCCTACATGATGAAGAACTGAAGTCTCCAATCAACAATCACATATCTAAACTTGAAAGTGAATCCTCCAGTCTCAGTTGAGCTTTCGGATTGCTGTAGCCTGTCCCCCCTACCCTATGGACAGATTGACTGCAACCTCATGATAGCCCCTGAACCAGAAGAACCTCATAAATGACTTCAAAATTCCTAACTCTCAGAAACTATGTGAGATGATAAACATCTGTTGTTTTAAACTGTTAAGCTGCTAGGTTTTAGCATAGTCTGTATAAGCAGTAGATAAATAATATACAAGGGGAAACCTCAGTAACTAATAGTGGTGATGGTGGTAGTGGTGATGGTGGTAGTGGTGATGGTCGTGGTGATGATGATGCAAGAGGAGGAGGAAGCTGCTGGTATGAGCCCCAAAGTCTCCTGTTTAGGAGGTAAAATAAATCTTTTTTATAAAAGCCCTTTTGTATTTTTTCTTTTTCTCTGAACTATGGTGCAAAGAGTGTTGCAATGTTGCTTCAAGGGAGAGGCTCTTGCTGGTGAGTGAAGAAACTCTACTTGTTCATGACTGTGTTGGTTTCTCTCCTGGCACCTTGACCCTGTGATGCTTTATGGGAGGATACACACAAGTGATATTTCATTTCATGCAGAGCTCTCTGCCTAGATGTCAGCAGACTGCTTTTTCACTTTCTGTCTGAAAGTTCAGGTCACTGAGCAGAGAGTTAGTTTATCAAAATTACTTACCTAGACAAAATTCAGGTACAATCTAAAAATCTGTACTTACATATGTATAAATGACTGTTGTGACTTCTGCCATGTTTGTTCTTTAAAATAAAAATAAGGACAATTGCCTTTGGGTTCTGTCAGTCACTAATGTTGCATAGATGAACTGTAGAGCAAGGGTCCCCAACCCCCAGGCCATGGACCAGTACTGTCTGTGGCCTGTTAGGAACTGGGCCACACAGAAGGAGTGAGTGGTGGGTGAGCGAGCATTACTGCCTGAGCTCTGCCTCCTGTCAGATCAGCTGCAGCATTATATTCTCATAGGAGTGTGAACCCTGCTGTGAACTGCGCATGTGAGGGATCTAGGTTTTGTGTTCCTTATGAGAATCTAATGTCTGATGATCTGAGGTAGAATAGTTTCATCCTGAACCTAACGACCACCACAGTCCATAGAAAAATTATCTTCCATGAAACCAGTCCCTGATGCCAAAAAGTTTGGGGACCACTGCTTTAGAGGACTACATAAGGATAATGATATTAATAGCCACTATGTATAAGCTAAACACCCCACACAAACATATACATCATCTACTATGCTCATCCAATCCTGATCACTGAGAAGAAGATTGCATTTCAAAGGTGTTAATTAACCCAAGGGTACTTGCTGTGGTGAGGCTTGGCTTCAAATCTGGTTCTCATGGTCTCCAAAGAATGAGTTCCATCAATACCTACTTTATTGAGAGTTTTTAGTATGAAGGGGTGTTGAATTTTATCGAAGGCCTTTTCTGCATCTATTGAGGTAATTGTGTGGTTTTTGTCATTGGTTCTGTTTATGTGATGGATTATGTTTATTGATTTGTGTATGTTGAACCAGCCTTGCATCCCAGGGATGAAGCTGACTTGATTGTGGTGGATAAGCTTTTTGATGTGCTGCTGGATTTGGTTTGCCAGTATTTTATTGAGGATTTTCACATCAATGCTCATCAGGGATATTGGCCTGAATTTTTCTTTTTTTGTTGTCGGTGTAAATTAGTTTGACAATTGTGGAAGACAGTGTGGTGATTCCTCAAGGATCTAGAACCAGAAATACCATTTGGCCCAACAATCCCATTACTGGATATATACCCAAAGGATTATAAATCATTCTACTATAAAGACACATGCACACGTATGTTTATTGCAGCATTGTTCACAACAGCAAAGATTTGGAACCAACCCAAATGTCCATCAATGATAGACTGGATAAAGAAAATGTGGCACATATACACCATGGAGTACTATGCAGCCATAAAAAAGAATGAGTTCATGTCCTTTGCAGGGATATGGATGAAGCTGGGAACCATCATTCTCAGCAAACTAATGCAAGAACAGAAAACCAAACACCACCTGTTCTCACTCATAAGTAAGAGTTGAACAATGAGAACACATGGACACAGGGAGGGGAACATCACACACGGGTTGGGTGGGGGTGGCTAGGGGAGGGGTAGCATTAGGAGAAATACCTAATGTAGATGACGGGTTGATGGGTGCAGCAAACTGCCATGGCACGTGTATACCTATGTAACAAACCTGCACGTTCTGCACATGAATCCCAAAACCTAAAGTATAATTTAAAAAAAAGTTAAAAAAAAAAAAGAATGAGTTCAGGAGATCCCTCTATGACCACACTGTCTCCCTTCCTTACTACTCAATTGATGCCTCCTTTAAGAAGGTAAATGCTTTTATCCAATTTATAGAACTGTTTGAACTTGATGGATATAAATGTAAATGTTTGAATGTTTTTCTCCAATGCCTTTTTCACCTGTGCTTTGTTCAGGCTTCTTTCTCCAGCCATAAATGACATTTTGGGTAGCACCATAGCCCTCAGATCACTTTCAGTTATTCTGTTAATGCAGTCTGTGGGAGGCAGCTTCTGGAATGACCCTCATGTTGGAGAGGCCCATATGGCAGGGAACTCAGGGTCACCTCTGGCCAACAGGAAGGGAGATACTGAGGCCCTCAGTCTAAGAGCTCATAAGTAATGGAATCCTGCCAACAACCACATGAATGAGCTTGGAAGTGGATTCTTCCCAGTGGAGCCCTGAGATTACTGTAACCCCAGCTAGCATCCTGATTGCAGCCTGAAGCAGAACACCCAGCTAAGTTGTACCCAGATTCCTGACCCATAGAAACAGAGTAAATGTGTGTGGTTTTAAGCCACTACATCTCTTATAAGAGACCAAACTGTGTTAGTCCATTCTGGTATTGCTATAAAGAAATACCTGAGGCTGGGTAATTTATAAGAAAGAAGAGTTTGTTTTGGATCATGGTTCTGCAGGCTGTACAGGAAGTGTGGTGCCAGCATCTGCTCCTGGTGATAACCTCAGGAAGCTTCCAATTATGGTGGAAGGAGAAGGGGAACCAGTATGTCATATAGTGACAGAGGGAACAAGAGGGAGAGAAAGGAGAGGTCCCAGACTTTTAGACAACTAGATCTTTCTAGAACTAACAGCAAGAACTTACTTATCCCCAAGGGGATGGAGCTAAACTATTCATGAGGGATCCACCCCTATGATCCAGTCACCTCCCACCAGGCCCTACCTCCAACACTGGGAATCACATTTCAACATGAGATTTGGAAGGGACAAACATCCAACCTATATCAATAATGAATGTACTGACCCAGCTTAAAATTTCAACTGGACATCCAATTTAATGATTATTTTCTATCATCCTCCTTTCCCCTTTCTGTCTGTGGTCAGGAGACTTGCAGAACCTGCCCTTTCATTTCTTCCTCCACCTCTGCTCTTTTGGGTTTCTGTCTCCTTTGGTAGGAGCTGTGGAGGGATATGGAAAGACACAGTGTTTCTTGTCTGACATCTTCATCATTTTTCTGCTGTTACTTTGCTTCTCTGGCTTTGAGTAAATGTCTCTTGGACAAGCATTCCCCTCTTTCAGGACATATGTGTGAGTGGGTTCTTTGTAGAACGCTTTGGAGCTTCCCCGCAGGTTCCTGATCTTTTCTGATTCCTCTATAGAGTCTTCATCCCAGACAATCCACTCTACAGGTTCTCATTGTTGGGATCCACCTGCCAGCAGGATCTTGCGTGGGCATCTGCAAGCTGGCTCAAGTCCAGCTACCTTCAATTTTGTCCATTTTCCGCTGTTCATCTGCCTCCAGCTCTTTCTGCTTTGCTGTTCCTCCCAATTCCAATGGCTGGGTTGAGCAAATAAAACACAGGACACCCAGCTGAATTTGCACTAGATCTTAGCCAAAGGGCCAAGAAGTGATTGATGTCCAGTTAAACTTGAATTTCAGATAAACAATGCATATTTTTTAGTATAAGTAAGTTCCATACATCGTATAATTTATCTGGCAACCCTGTCCCCATGCTCTTGCATTTTTCTCAAATAGACACACAGAGAGATCAGCAAGGCCACTGCCCAGTGAGAGAATAAAATGCTAGTATCACTTCTGGTGGCCAAGTAGAATGATTCTCTTGGCCAGTTGCTTGCTTGACCTGAGATAGGGATCCCAGGGAAGGGTGGGGAAAACTCATAATGAATACTGCATTTCCATTGACTTGTATCCTCCAATGATTTCTTTGATTCTCAGGTTTGCATTTATAGACTAAGAGAGGGATGGGCAGTGAACTTTGAGAGTCTTCCGTGGTGGGTGTCCATCTCTAGTTGTGTGTTATGTGTTGTTTTCTTGGTCTCAGCTTGGGGTAGCTGGCTTCAAATTTTGGGAATTAGGAAAAACTCTCTTCCACATCCTGTACATACTACAACACAGCTGCATCAAGGCAATCCCAGACTTTCTCATCTGAAGTTGTGATAGAACTTGCTTTTGTTATTCTAAGTAGTCTCTTGTATTTCAACAGCATGTGGTGTTGGAATATGTCAGTTTCCACATGGTGAAAAAGGTTACCTTGTTTAGCTTCCCTCCCTTTTTCTTGTTTAAATATTTTAAAACAGTTTCTTGCTGCCTGTTTGAGAACTTGAATCTTCATTCAGACATCTGTTCTGGAGCTAGTGAGACTGTTAAGCTCTGATGTACCTGGAGTTCTCTGTGGTGTCGTCTCATACCTCTTCCTAAATTCCCTGAATGTCCTGCAGATGCTCTTTGCCCACAGTGTTGCAAGCACTACCCAGATCCCCCAAAGAGGACTCCGGCATTCACTTCCCAGGCTGCTGACAGCTCACAGCTCAGTCACTTCTAGGGAATCGCCCTGAGGTAAAGGCAACTGCTTCACCCAAGTTTCTGGCCCAAACCTGGGGACAGCCTACACTCTATACCTGGTCACTGGGGAAAGCTGAGAAGCAGATGACACAAAGGCCTGACCACTTCTGACATATTTAGGACAATCTCATGTCAACTTGAGGGTACCTCCGGAGGGTTAGTCTGTGTCCATTGTTTCAATAGTATTGCTTAATTCCTGAACTGTTCTTTGTTGTTGTTGTTGTTGTTATTAATGTCTTTTATACTAAAATGTCCTTCAAAACTAGCTTGGAAAACACAACAGGATTAAATCCCAAATGTTTCTATTTCAAATGTTGTTTTTTTACTGATTTTTTTTCTCAAAACTAGCTTGAAAACATGACATGCATTACAACATGCTTAATTTTCACATTTTCTGTTAAAAATAGTGTTTTCTACCAGATTTTTACTCAAAAGTTGCTTGAAACTTCACTTCATTTTTATCCCAGCAGGCACTCTGTACTTTTCTGTTAAGAATTCTTTTATTAGATTCTCCCTAAAAATTAGCTTGGAAACATGATTTCATCACAACACATTTAAATCCCCTAGTTTTCAGTGGAATTTGAGTGCATTTTGATGAAAATAATTTTTACAAGCTGGATTTGAGGAAAAAAAATCTAGTATAAAACAACTTTTCAACAGAAAAGTGTTTAAGAATATTGTGATGATAGTCATATTTCCAAGGTAGTCAGAGATTTCTTATTAGTATTATGTGATTGATTTTCTTGCCTGTTATAATAATTTATGAATAGACTTTATATTTATGAATAAATTCAGTTCGGCATGTTTTGCTTGTATAGATGTCTAACATTATTTATGACCTGATACCTGTCAAAAGGTTGTCTGTCCTTTGGTGAAACTCTTGCCATCTTGTTCCCACTCTTACCTAGTCCTCTTCATACCCTTAAAAAACATCCTCTGCAGCACACAGATATGTGGTGATATCATCCTCTGATTTAAATTCTTCCCCAGTTTTATGTCATCCAGAAACTGGGTTTGACCCAGTGTTCTGCAGTGCTCTTGGGCCATACATCATCCTCTGCAGCCACACAGGCAGCCACACAGCTGTGGAGGTTGGGGGCCTGGAGCCCCCTTGGATTCAGACTGATAGTTTCTGGTGTATCTAGTTCCAGAGTTTCCAATATAATTCCTCTATAAAAAGGATTCCAGGGATCTTTAAAAAGGCTCCTCTTTCTGTGATATGAGTTGCAAATTTTTTTTCCAGTTTGAATTGCTATATATACAGTACTACAGGACAATTATGGCTGTAACTTCTTTGTTTTTCATTTTAACAGTAACAACAACAGAAAAAACCACAAGGTAAGCGGAACTCGCTAATGCCAGATTTGGAGGAAGTTCACAGCATCTTCCTTTTAGTGTGCTTCCTGATATTTTATGAACTCTAGGGACTTACATGTATGTAAGGGTTGCGATTAGTGAGGGAAACATGGAGATGGGTCAGATATTGTCATTACTTCTTGCAGCCACACGGTGTCACTGTGAACAGTCAGTCATTTTGACAGATGCTGCCAGCCTGCTTCTGGCTCAGGTCTGTGTAAGCCACTGAGAATCTTTAAAGGTTAGTCTTCAGTGGTGTATAACCCACTGTTTCTTTGTCATGTTTAGTAAAGGGTATCACACACTTGAGTTCTTAGGGATACAGCTTTTGACACCCAATTCTTTCTGGCCCATTGAAGTCATTTTCCAAGGCACCAGAAGCCCCAAGAGCACTGTTAACAAACTGACACTGGAGTCTGCTCCTTGCAAAACAATGCCTAGCCAGGCACGATGACTCATGCCTGTAATCCCAGCACTTTGGGAGGCGGAGGCAGACGGATCGCCTGAGGTCGGAAGTTCAAAACCAACCTGACCAACATGGAGAAACCCGGTCTCTACTAAAAACAGACAAACAAACAAACAAAACCAAAATTAGCCGGGCGTGGTGGCGCATGCCTGTAATCCCAGCTATTGTGGAGGCTGAGGCAGGAGAATTGCTTGAACCGGAGAGGTGGAGGTTGTGGTGAGCTGAGATGGTGCCATTGCACTCCAGCCTGGGCAACAAGAGCGAAACTCCATCTCAAAACAAACAAACAACCCAACAAAAAACAACAAAAAACAATTCCTTAGGTCTCTTTGCAAATTTATATTATTAGGGATTGGGCAACTTTTACCCTTTCACCTCTTGCACTATGAAGGGTCTCATTGCATTAACTTTCTTGAAGTTTAGGACTATCTACACTTCCTACCTTAACAAGGTAGGAACCCCAACACCTTCCCTAAAAGTCTTCCCTTCCATGGTGGTTTTCCTTTCATGCTAATTAAGATGAGTTCCTGTCATTCCTTGCTAGATAAGAGAATGACTTTTCATCCTCCTCCAGTCCTTCATGTTTTACTCATTAGC
This sequence comes from Homo sapiens, assembly GCF_000001405.40. NCBI lineage: Eukaryota > Metazoa > Chordata > Mammalia > Primates > Hominidae > Homo > Homo sapiens. The sequence goes on along the minus strand of NC_000013.11, from coordinate 47,773,423 downwards.
AGCACACTCTCCAATTGATCTTGATCACTTCCTTTGAGAAGTTAATGTCTGTCAAAAGAGAAAAAGATATAAGGATATCATTATTTTATACTTTGATAAACATAACACTTTATAGCTTATTTTTTCCCCTTGTGTTTCAACAAAGTGAAAACGTCTTTAAGAGGGAACCTGATCCATCCCTCCTCACTGGGTGGGGCCTCCCTGCAGGAATTTCAGCAACTGCAGCCAAGGTTATATGGAAAGAACTCGGATCTCTCCCTGGGATGGAGCCCCTCAGGGAGGTGCAGCTGACATCTCTGTGGTTCAGTCAATGCAGCCTTGCCAACCTGCTGGCTCTGGAGAGTCCAGGCAGTCTGGACGAGGAAGGGTTCCCCTCAAAACAGCACACCTGCTCTACCCAAAGCAGCCAGACTGCTCCTTCAAGAAGGATTCTGATCCTGTCCCCCAAGACTGGGTGAGACTTCCCAAGAGGGGTCTCCAGACACCTCCTACAGGAGCATCCAGGCTGACAACGGGTCACTAGCCCCCTGGGATGGAACTCCCAGAGGAAGGAGCAGGCTGCCATCTTTGCTATTTCACAGCCTTCATTGGTGATACCTCCAGGTAAGGGGAAAACTGAGGCAACTAGGGTCTGGAGCGATCCCCCAAGAAACTGCAGCAGCCCTGTGAAAGAATGGCCTGACTATGAAAAGAAAAACAAACAAATGGAAAGCAACAACATCAACATCAACAAAAAAGACCCCACAAAAACCCCATTTAAAGGTCAGTAGCCTCAAAAATGGAAAGTAGATAAGCCCACAAAGATGAGAAAGAATCAATGCAACAAGGCTGAAAACTCAAAAAGCCAGAGTGCCTCTTCTCCTCTAAATGACCACAGCACCTCTCTGGGAAGGGCACAGAACTGGGCAAAGGCTGAGATGCCTGAATTGACAGAAGTAGGCTTCAGAGAGTGGCTAAAAATGAACTACGCTGAGCTACGGGAGAATGTTGTAACCCAGTGTGAAGAAGCTAAGAATCATGATAGAACAATACAGGAGCTGATAACCAGAATACCCAGTTTAGGGAGAAACATAACTGACCTGATGGAGCTGAAAAACACAACATGAGAAATTCACAGTGCAATCACAGGTATCAATAGCAGAATAGACCAAGTGGAGGAAAGAATTTCAGAACTTGAAGACTGTCTTTCTGAAATACAATAGGCAGACAAGAATAGAGAAAAAAGAATAAAAAGGAATGAACAATGCCTCTGAGAAATATGGGACTATGTAAAAAGACTGAACCTATGACTGATTGAGGTGCCTGAAAGAGACTGGGAGAATGGAACCAAGTTGGAAAACATACGTAAGGATATCATCCAGGAGAACTTCCCCAACCTCACAAGACAGGCCAACATTCAAATTTAAGAAACCCAGAGAACCCCAGTAAGATACCCCATGAGAAGATCTATAATATCATCAGATTCTTCAACATTGAAATGAAAGAAAAAATATTAAGGGTAGCCAGAGCGAAAGGCCAAGCCATCTACAAAGGGAAACCCATCAGACTAATAGCAGACCTCTCAGCAGAAACCCTAGAAGCCAGAAGAGATTGGGAACTAAGGGGACTAATATTCAACATTCTTAAGTAAAATAATTTCCTACTCAGAATTTCATATCCAGCCAAACAAAACTTCATAAGTGAAGGAGAAATAAGATCCTTTTCAGACAAGCAAATGCTGAGGGAATCCACCACCACCAGGGCTGCTTTGAAAGAGCTCCTGAAGGAAGCACTAAATATGGAAAGGAAAAGCCATTACCAGCCACTACAAAAACACACTGAAATACACAGACCTGTGACACTATAAAGTAACCACATAAAGAAGTCTGCAAAATAACAAGCTAGCATCATGATGACAGGATCAAATTCACACATAACAATATTAACCTTAAATGTAAATAGGCTAAATGCCCCAAATAAAAGACACAGAATGGCAAGCTGGATAAAGAGTCAAGACCCATCAGTATGCTATTGTCAAGAGACCCATCTCCCATGCCAAGACACACGTAGGCTCAAATTAAAGGAATGGAGGAAAATTTACCAAGCAAATGGAAAACAGAAAAAAGCAGACATTGCAATCATAGTTTCTGACAAAACAGACTAAACCAACAAAGGTACAAAAAAAGACAAAGAAGGGCATTACATAATGGTAAAGGGTTCAATTCAATAAGAACAGCAAACTATCCTAAATATAATATGCACCCAATACAGGAGCACCCAGATTCATAAGGCAAGTTCTTAGAGACCTACAAAGAGACTTAGCCTCACATACAATAATAGTGGGAGAATTTAACACCCCACTGATATTATTAGAGAGATCATCAAGACAGAAAATTAACAAAGATATTCAGGACCTGAACTCAGCTCTGGATCAAACAGACCTGATAGATATCTACAGAACTTTCCACCCCAAAACAACAGAATATACATTCTTCTCATTGCCACATGGCATCTCCTCTAAAATTGATTACATAATCAGAAGTAAAACACTCCTTAGCAAATGCAAAAGAACTGAAATAATAACAAACAGTCCCTCAGATCACAGCACAATCAAATTAGAACTCAAGAATAAGAAATTCACTCAAAACCACACAACTACATGGAAATTGAACAACCTGTTCCTGAATGACTCCTAAGTTAATAATGAAATTAAGGCAGAAATAAAGAAGTTCTTTGAAACTAATGAGAACAAAGAGACAATGTACCAGATCTCTGGGATGCAGCTAAAGCTGTGGTAAGAGGGAAATTAATAACACTAAATGCTCACATCGAAAAGCTAGAAAGATCTCAAATTAACAACCTAACAACACAACTAAAAGTACTAGAGAATCAAGAGGAAACAAACCCCAAAGCAAGCAGAAGACAAGAAAGAACCAAGATCAGAGTGGAACTGAAGGAGATAGAGACACAAAAACTTCAAAAAATCAACAAGTCCAGGAGATGTTTTTTGGATAAAATAAAATAGATAGACTGCTAGCTAGACTAATAAAGAAGGAAAAAGAGAAGAATCAAATAGACACAATCAGAAATGATAAGGGGGATATTACCACTGACCCCACAGAAATACAAATAACCATCAGTGAATACTATACATACCTTTATGCACATAAACTAGAAAATCTAGAAGAAATGAAAACATTCCTGGATGCATACGCCCTCCTGAGACTGAACCAGGAAGAAATTGAATCCCTGAATAGACCAATAACGAGTACTGAAATTGAGGCAATAATAAATAGCTTACCACCACCAACAAAAAAAGCCCAGGACCAGAAAGATTTATAGCTGACTTCTATCAGAGGTACAAAGAAGACCTGGTACCATTTCCACTGAAACTATTCTAAAAAATTGAAAAGGAAGGACTCCTCCCTAACTCATTTTATGAGGCCAGCATCATCCTTAACAAAACCTGGCAGAGATACAACAACAAAAAAAAGAAAACTTCAGACCAATATCCCCAATGAACATTGATCGAAAATCCTCAATAAAGTATTGGCAAACTGAATCCAGCAGCACATCAAAAAGCTTATCCACCATGATCAAGTTGGATTCATCCCCAGGATGCAAGGTTGGTTCAACATATGCAAGTCAATAAATGTAATTCATCACATAAACAGAACTAAAGACAAAAACCACTTGATGATCTCCATAGACGCAAAAAAAGGCCTTTGATAAAATTCAACACCCCTTCATGTTAAAAACTCTCAATAAACTAGGTTCTGAAGGAACATACCTCAAAATAATGAGAGCTATTATATGACAAACCCACAGTCAATATTATAGGGAATGGGTGAAAACTGGAAGCATTTCCCTTGAAAACCAGCACAAGGCAAGGATGCCCTCTCAGCACTCCTATTCAACATAGTTTTGGAAGTTCTGGCCAAAGCAATAAGGTAAGAGAAAGAAATAAAGGATATTCAAATAGGGAGAGAGGATGTCAAATTATCTTTGTTTGCAGATGCCATGATACCATATGTAGAAAGTCCAATTGTTTCAGCCCAAAAGCCTCTTAAGCTGATATGCAACTTCAGCAAAGTCTCAGGATACAAAATCAATGTGCAAAAATTGCTGGCATTCACATAAACCAACAACAGGCAAGCAGAGAGCCAAATCATGAATGAACTCCCATTCATAATTGCTACAAAAAGAATAAAATACCTAGGAATACAGCTAACAAGGGAAATGAAGGACCTCTTCAAGGATAACTACAAACCACTGCTCAAGGAAATAAGAGAGGACACAAACAAATGGAAAAACATTCCATGATCATTGATAGGAAGAATCAATATCATGAAAATGGCCATACTGCCTAAAGTAATTTATAGATCCAGTGCAATCCCCATTAAACTACCATTGACATTCTTCACAGAATTAGAAGAAACTATTTTAAAACCCATATGAAACCAAAAAGAGCCCAAATAGTCAACACAATCCTAAGCAAAAAGAACAAAACTGGAGGCATCACACTACTCAACATCAAACTATACTACAAGGCTAGAGTAACCAAAATAGCATGATACTGGTACAAAAACAGACACATAAACCAATGGAACAGAATAGAGAACTCAAGACCACACACTTAAAAATTGTCTGATCGTTAACAAACCTGACAAAAACAAGCACTGGGGAAAGGATTTCCTATTCGATAAATGGTGCTGGGAGAACTGGCTAGCCATATGCAGAAAATTGAAACTGGACCCCTTCCTTACAACTTATACAAAAATTAACCCAAGAAGGATTTAAATGTAAAACCTAAACTGTAAAATCCCTAGAAGAACATCTAGGCAATACCATTCAGGACATAGGCACGGGTGAAGATTTCATGACAAAAACACCAAAAGCAACTGCAAACAAAAGCAAAAATTGATAAGTGGGATCTAATTAAGCTAAAGAACTTCTACACGGCAAAAGAAACCATAATCAGAATGAACAGACAGCCTAAAGAATGGGAGAAAATTTTTGTGATCTATTTATCTGATGGAGGTATAATATCCAGAGTCTGCAAGGAACTTAAACAAATTTACAAGAAAAAAAAACCCATTAAAAAGTGGGCAAAGGACATGAACAGACACGTCTCAAAAGAAGACATTCATGCAGCCAACAAACATATGAAAAAAAGCAAATGCAAATCAAAACAACAACGAAATACCATTTCATGCCTGTCAGAATGGTGATTATTAAAAAGTCCAGAAACAACAGATGCTGGTAAGGATGCAGAGAAAAAGGAATGATTTTACACTGTTGGTGGGAGTGTCAATTAGTTCAACCATTGTGGAAGACAGTGTGGCAATTCCTCAAAGACCTAGAGGCAGAAATACAATTTGTCCCAGCAATCCCATTAGTGGGTATATACCCAAAGGAATATAAATCATTCTATTATAAAGATACATGCACACATATGTTCACTGCAGCACTATTCACAATAGCAAAGACATGGGATTAACCCAAATGCCCATCAATGATAGACTGGATAAAGAAAATGTGGTACATATACACCATGGAATACTATGCAGCCATAACAGGGAATGTCCTTTGCAGGGACATGGATGGAGCTGGAAGCTGTTATCCTTAGCAAACTAACACACAAACAGAAAACCAAATACCGCATGTTCTCACTTTTATAAGTGGGAGCTGAATGATGAGAACACATGGACACATGACGGGGGACAACACACACTGGGGCCTGTTTGGGGTGGGGGTGGGGGAGTGAGAGCATCACGAAGAATAGCTGAGGAACGCTGGGCTTAATACCTAGGTGATGGGTTGATCTGTGCAGCAAACCACCATGATACACATTTACCTATGTAAAAAGCCTGCACATCCTGCACATGTACGCCGAAACTTAAAAGTTGAAGGAAAAAAAAAATCATTTATGGAGCTTGTTTAAAATGCATGTGCCTGGGCCATACTGAGAATTTTATTTCAAGTCTGTTTATGCATATTTAAAACCCCTCTGCTAAGTCTGATGAACACATATCCACAATTAAGAACTATGACTTAATGTCATGAGACTATATTTGTCCTTGATTTATTTTCATATCAATGTGAAGATATAATGAGACAGAGTTCTGTTAAAACCAAGAATTCTTCAGAAATGAATGTGAGCAGTGACAAAACATCAGAATAGTGAGAAATGGTAAGACCATGCAACTGTTTCACATTGCAGCATGTGCCCAACTAGAATATAAGGTGCCATCCATGACAACCCAACATGACAGCCCAATGTCCTCCAGGCTATGCTGTTGGTTGGAAAAAATCAAGAATGTAGGCTATAACCCAAGAGTTTCTGACATACCATTCAGGCTGAGGAAGACCCAGAAACTTCTGGGCCATGTAAGCCACAGCCACAGCCTCATCAGCAAGCACCAAAAGCACTCCGGAGGCAGGAGTAATACTGGTGGCAAGCATCACCACAGGATCAACTTTGACAAACCTCACCTAGGTTCCTTTGGGAAAGTTGGTATAAGGGTTACCACTTAAAGAGGAACCAGAGCTCCTGCTCAAATGCCAACCCTGATAAATTGTGGACTTTGGTCAGTGTACAGACACAGGTGAATGCTGCTAAAGACAAAACTGGAGCTGCTCCCACCATTGATGTGGTGTGATCAGGCTACTACAAAGTTCTGGAGTTCTGGGAAACGGAAATCTACCAAAGCAACCTGTCATCATGAAGGCCAAATTCTTCAGCAGAAGAGCTGAGGAGAGGATTAAGGGTGTTGGAGGTGGGGCTTGAGTCCTGGTGGTATGAAACCACATGGATGGAGGTTTGTTAAATGCTAACAACTGCTACAAAAAAAAAAAAACAACAAAAACCCAAAATATGAAGTTAAATCCAGGTACTGTGATTGCTCACCTGATTTTTGGTTCTTGTGATGGTGCTTTCCCGTGTGCAGATAGTTGTTAAAATTTGGAGTTCCAGCAGTGGGGAGATGAATGGTGTGGCTTCTATTCCTCCATCTTGCTGCACCCTCTGTGGTTTGGTTTTTTAAAATTAGTTTTGGAAAGTTCTTGGCCATTATGTCTGAAAAGGTTGGTTCAACATATGCAAGTCAATAAATGTACTCCAATTACATGTATGTTAGAAAGCTTGGTATTATCCCATGTGCCTCTCACATTGTGTTTTCCCCCCACATTCTTCTCTCTCCATTCTCCAGTATGAATAATTTAATTGACAGTATTCAAATTCATGCACCCTTTCCTTTGATGTTCAATTTGCTATTAAGCCTTTCCAATTTATTCTTAATTTCAGATACTATGTTTTTCAATCTTAGGATATACGTGAATTAGTTTTTAGGGATTTCACTTCTCTTTTGAAGTTCTCCATATTTTTGTTCGTTTTGTTCATCTTTTACTCCCATTTATTTAACCTACTTACAGGTTAATTTAGTCTATAAGAGTCAATTTAAAGTCATTTTATTCTAATTCCAATAACTTTTTAATCTGTTGGTTTCCTTTCATTGACTGTTTCTTAACTTTCTGTTTATCAGTCATATGTTACTTTTTTCACATCTCATACTTTTTTATGGTGTGCTGGATACTGCATTTAAGAAACTTTTAAATTTTAGAATAGCTTTAGATTTGCAGAAAAATTGTGAAATTGTGTGGAGAGTTTCCACATACCCCTGTGAGAAAACATTTAAATGGTCCATTTTCAAGGCATGATAAATCTTATGTACTGGCAACCAGCCTGTGGATGTGACAAACCACACGGCTCATGCACCTAGAAAGTCACAATAAGTGGACAGAATGTAGAGGTGGGTTAGCCCATAAAAGGGAAAAAAGTTTCATTATTGGGAAATCAAAACTTAAGCAGGGAAAGGGACTGGGGTATAATCTTATAAGGGGGATAATGAAACCTAGGTGACATCCAGGAAGATTTTAATCCCATAGCACTCTACCAATGAGGACCTGGGGGAGAGACTTGCATGCTAGGAGATAAATTACCTGCTGTAACTGCTTCAGATGTGCCTGCCTACCAGACACCTGATCTTCCAAGATCACCATTAAAAGACTTGCTTCCACTGTTCTTTGTGTCTCTGAGTCCAGAGACACAGTTTGGATTGTTAAATGTGTTTCTCATGCCCCACATCCAGTTTTTCCTCTTATAAATATCTTACATTAGTATGGTATGTTTGTTATAATTAATGAGCCAACATTAATATAGGCATACCACAGAGATATTACAAGTTTGGTTTCGGACTACCACAATAAAGTGAATATCACAATAAAGTGAGTTACACATTTTTTTGGTTCCCAGTGAATATAAAAGTTATGTTTTCACTATACTGTAGTCTATTAAGTGTGCAATGGTATTATGTACATGCAATGTGCATACCTTAGTTAAAAAATACTTCATGACTATAAAATGCTGACACAGAGATATGAAGTGAGCATATGCTGTTGGAAAAATGATATCAATAAATTTGCTTGATGTAGGGTTGCCACAGACCTTCATTTCATAAAAACTATAGTGTCTGCAAACTGCAATAAAGCAAAGTGCAATAAAAAGAAATATGCCTGTATTATTAACTAAAATCCATACTTCATTCAGATATCCTTAGTTTTTACCTAATGTTCTTCTTTTGTTCTAGCATCCCACCCAGAACACTACATTACATTTAGATGCCATATCTTCTTATACTTTGTTTGGTGGACAGTTTCTGACTTTCCTTGTCATTAATGACTTGAAAACCTTGAGTATTGATTACACATTTTGTATAATATTCCTTAATTGGAAATTGTTTTCTTTGCAATTAGGCCAGGGTATGCATTTTTGGGAGGAAGGATTTTAATCCTTCTTTGGGTCATAGTCTGGATCATTTTCCTCATCTCCTTCTTGTTCTCCTTCCTCATCTGCTTCTTCACCTTCTTCATCATAATCATCATCATCCATCTTCAATAGCTTCTCCAGTAAAGTGTAACACTGATCCTGAGATTATACGTTCAGGTAAAAAGTGACCAGTTTCGAAGTCTGCAGCAAGGATTGTTTTAGCATCATCATCCCGATCTCTGCTCTCAGAAACTTCAGGAGGGGCAAAAAATTTAAAGAAAGAGTCATTGGAAACTGTTTTAGTCACAGTACTAACTGTCCCACGTCCCTTGTGTTTCTGCTTCTTCTTAATGGTTTTCAAAGTGACATTCTTTCCTTTTTTCCAATCTATCTGGCACCCTGTAAAACCCATAATTTCTGGTCCATCAAAATAAAAGGGATCAGAATCATCTGGTTCTGACCTCATGCTATACGTCTTTGTCAGCACTTCATTTGTAAAATATTCATTGTCTTCAAAGTGAAATTCTAAGACAAAACTCATGGGCTGGCAAGCATCTGAGAACTTCACTTTAATATCTTTCAAGTGTTTCAGAATAGGTTCATCACGCTCCTGAAGCATATCACTGAGCAAGTCAACATTCTTAAAAACAGTTAACCGAAATTCAGGAATTCCTTTGGAATCTTCTTTTTCTTCATCTTTTTTCTCATCTTCAATCATGGCCTTTTCTTTCAACTCCTCTGAGATCTCATCTTCTTCATCTGGTTTCCATTCTTCTTCTGTAGGTTCATAATTGCATTAATAATCTCAAATTGCTTATCAAATAGAGGCTGACAGAGAACAGCATACTTCCTTTCAAAATTGTGAACTTCCTCATTGAATTTGGCTTCTATCTGTGCACATTTAACTTACAGGTGTTTGAGAGCATTCACTTGTTTTTTAACTACCCTAGGCAGGCTTTCAATGTATCCTGTTGGTGTTTCTATTAGACCATCAAGTCTTTCTTGAAGGGCTGCAAGAATCTGAGGATTTTGCATCATCTGAACAGTTAGCTGATGTGCTTTGATTTTTGTTTCTTCACCAGTTCCTTCTTCTACTTTTTCAGCGTCATCCAAATCTTGATCAAGTTCAGACTGTTCTTTGTTGTCAATGTCTGCCATGTTGTAAGAACTCCAAATATTGGCAGCTAGTATGGGGAGCCAGGCGGCCAGAGCTGTGCAGGCAGTGACTCAGGGTTGCAGCGGTGGCTCCATGAGTAGATGGCGCCAAAAAAGCCATCACACATTTTCAAGATTGGTTTCTAGATACAGTAGTGACAACTGATTAGGTAACTTTCACCACTAAAATTTTCAAATATAGTAAATAATAATCCATTGCACATTTCTAAATCACTGAGAGTAAGTTTCAAGTGTTCTCACCACAAAACATGACAAGTACTTGAGGTCATGACTATGTTAATTAGGTTGATTTAATTATTTCTCACTGTATTCATAAATCATAGCATCACATTGTACTCCATAAATATATACAACTATAATTTGTTAAACTACAATAAAAATAAAGATTAAAAAAATCAACCTGTTTTTTAAGGTCATATGAATGGCTTTTTCTGATTCTTTCCTGAGAACTTTTTTTTAATAGGAAGAGAACTCAAGGATACAGTACGTGGAATCCAGGAAGGATAACATGGACACACAGGAAGGGTTATGGCAGGGAAAGAATGTAGATACGATCTAGAAGGTTGGGTTGACACAGTCACATTTCTCCTACTCAGATATTTTACTTGGTCAGCCAGTGTGAACTGCCAGTTTAACATGTGGAGAAAGTAGAACAGTGCATGTTTCAACCTCCACCATCTTATGAGGCTGCAAATCTTGGTTCCTTTATTTTACCTATTCTCTGTGGGTTACCTACCTGGGGACTGAGCCACATGCATTATTCCCTACTTCCTAAGAGCCACACTGATCTCCCTCTTTTTCTATCTTTGAGAATTTTCCTTAGACGTCAAGGTCAAGTTGCAAGGGGGAGCTGTAATTGTTCTGGTTTGGTATCCTTGGGTTAAGAGGGAGTAAGGAACAGTTGTCAAAGCACCCTTCTTTCTTTTGATCACAGGTGATCCTATGCTGAGAGGAGTATGGTATGTTTTATAAGCTTTTCAAGAAGTGGCAAAACCAGGCAGTGAGAAAGCAAACCTCTTCTCTTTAGTGCAAAGTGTAGAGGGGCCATGATAATGCTTAGAGCATGATGCAATACATTATAAGCACTCAATAGCTATTAGTTGAGTGAATCAAGTGCTGTGGGTTTCTTCCCTCTTACTTGTCTTTATGGCACCTTATTACTCTTTGGGTATCTGTAACTGATGCTGATGATGTCTACTGATGTCCTGATGTCCCTCAGTAACTTCTAAACTTTTCCCAGTGTTTTTCTTCTCTGAAACACTCTGGCATTTGAAGGTCTTACAATTCAATCTAACCCAAGTTACATACCACCTTGAACTTTTGTTGTGTCTCATAAGTTAGGTAGTGTCTATCTGGAAAATAGAGAGGCACATCATTGGGGCCACCACTGCTTTCCCACCCTATTTTGACCAAAGAGTGCCCAAGGAGGTCCTATCTTCAGAAACCAGCAAGAGCCTTAGTAGGGAACATATAAATGAAGTGGTCACTGCTTAAGGGAGTTTCCTGGCCTGCTTTAGAATTAGACTTTTGTCCTTTCCCATTCTTTTCTGAAGAATGGTAGAAACTCCAGTTGGAGAAGAAACCAGGTTTCTATCCACTCTATGCTATTTTAAAATTTGGTTTACAGCAGAGAGAAGGATGTCTGCTTACTCTTACAAGAAGGACTCTATCTACACAGAAGGGTACTTCCTGAGCCTATATAAAGGTTTCTCAATATGTTAGGTGCTAAGCAGAGAGGTGGAGCCTGTGAAATATAGCTTTTATAAAACAAAGGGACTAAGAAGCCCATTTGGAGGAATTCTTTGGCCCAAACTGCAGAGCCATAGGAAAATTGAAGTCATTCTTTAATTATGGAAGCCCTATTTAGGGGTTTTCAATGTGTGGTCAGAGCTTATATCAGAATCATCAGGGAGAAGTTATTTAAAATGCTGATTCCTGGTCAACTCTTTGCCAGCTGAATTAGAATCTCTAGGGTTGGGGCTAGGAAAATCTATGTTGTAAACTAATTTCCCTTATAATTCTTCTAAGTCACTAAATAATGAGTGCTCTAGGGGCCGTCCTTTAAATTTTATACTCTAAACTTGAAGAAAACACTCTCTGTTTGTTATATTGATAATTTTAATGTTATTTTTGGCTTAAATAGTGTGGTAGGCAGAATTCTAAGATGATGCCCAATGACTCACCCCTTGTAAAACTCTTTTTCTTGACTATGGGTAGATCCTGTAGCTTGTGTCTAATCAGTAGACCATAGCAAAAATGATGGAATATTACTTTTTGGATTATGTTACCTTATATAGCAAAGGTAAAGGAATTTTACAGATGTAATTAAACCCCCTAATTAGTTCACTTTAGGTTAACCAAAAGGGAAATTACTTTGGTAGGCCTGACCTAATCAGTTGAGCCTTTTAGACGAGGGTCTAGAGGTAGAGAGAAAAGAAGCAGAGATGTCTTCCTGCTGGCTTTAAGGAAACAAACTGCCACATTGTGGAGAGGGTCATACGGCAGGGAACATGTGCAGCCTCTAGGAGAGAGAGATCCTCAGTCCTACAATCCTAAGACTTGGATCCTGTCAGTAACCAGTGAGCTTGGAAGAGGAGCTCAGCCTCAGATTGCAGCACCAGCTGACATCTTGAGGCAGCCATGTGTGACCCTGAGCTGAAGACCCAGTGAAGATGTGCTGGGATTGTGTGTACTTAGACCCATGGAAACTGTGAAGTAATAAATGTATATTTTCTTCTGCTGATGTTTGTTATACAGTAATAGAAAATTCATGCACATAGTAGAGAATAAAATGTCTTATTTTTCAAGAATTGTGAATTACATATAATCTTCCCAGTTGCTTTGACATCTATAGCAACATTGGGGTCCTGGTACCTGTTGGGGAATAGGAAATCTTTCCAAAAGCTACATGGGAAAAAATTGTTTTAAGAGCATCAGTTTACATATGTTCAACATCCATACATACTCTTTTCTGTGATCTATTGTCTTGGAAAGGAGCCTGCAATTCAGGAAGCCACGTGCATCCTTCTTTTCTGCCTTTGTTTTCACTTTCCAAAAGAAAGGCATAAATTCACACCTCTGAAATCTTACCACAGTGAATAGTTCAGGGGTATAAAAATCTCCAATCCAATGAAAAATATCAGTTATGATGATGATTTCACTGATTAAAGGATTTTATGACTTTCTCTGTCTTTTACATATTTCTGTGGGGTGAAAACTGTGGCATTAGAAATGGTATTTCAGCTTCTGTGGCAATGCTCCAAACTCAAATATATTGTAAAGTAGGGTAGCAGAAGAGATGACATTTTCTTATATCCCCTACTTGTCAATGACTGCAATACTTCCCAGGGAGAGGCACATGAGAGGAGAGAGAAGGGAATATGCTCCATTCTCTCTTCACTTCAGGATGCAGTCACAGAGCAGCTCCTACCTGGTATGTGGCAGTGCTCACAACAGAAGGAAGAGACATAGCAGTAAAACGTGGTTGCTCCTAAAGATGCTTGGAAATATTGAAGATCAGAGAAGCCTTATTTTGTCCAGGTAGCAACTTCATGGAAAAGGTCTGTTTCAATATATATATCTATGTTAGAATTCAGAAGTGAGATGCTTGTTACAAGAACATGTGTTAACAGTTACTTAGATTGAAAAACGAGGACAGACTTTTTCTAATAGAAAGCAAATCCAATTTGACTGATTGATTTTGTAATGACAACTGGCTTTGCGTGGTGGATACCTCCACAAGTTGACAGAGCTGAGTCTGCAGTTATGAGGTTTGGATGCATATATTGAATGATCAGATAAAAATATGTTATCAGCTGGGTGTGGTGGCTCACACCTGTAATCCTAGCACTTTGGGAGGCCGAGGCGGGCAGATCACCTGAGATCAGGAGTTTGAGACCAGCCTGGCTAACATTGTGAAACCCCGTTTCTACTAAAAATACAAAAAATTAGCCAGGTGCGGTGGCTCGTGCCTGTAATCCAAGCTACTTGGGAGGCTAAAGCAGGAGAATTGCTTGAACCCGGGAGGTGGAGGTTGCAGTGAGCCGAGATCATGCCATTGCACTCCAGCTTGGACAACAAGAGTGAAACTCTGTCTCAAAAAAAAAAAAAAGTTATCAAAAATATTTTTTGTAAGGAGTACTATAATTAACAATATTTTCATTTTCCAAATTCATTCTATATTAGATTACACAAAATGTTTTCACGTAGAGTAGCAGGTATATATATTTGTTGATAAGCCTCAGTAAAGCCATTTAAAAAATAATTCTCAGAAATTAAGTGAATGAGTATAGTGACGAGATAATGAATAATTTTAAAACTCAGTTATTTACAATTCTTAGGTTTTGACAAAATTAAAGGAGAATCTAATTGAGTTGTCAGCCAATAAAACATTAAAATAATTTTTGACAGATTGCAATATAATTTTTGGCATTTAAGTCAGAAGCAAAATTTTTTTCATTCTAATTTACTTACCTATGTGAAGAATTTTTTAATTGCTTACATCTATAAAAATGAAAAAAGAGTAATGGATTTGATTTTGAAAGAGTTTGAATAGGTGACTAATAATATCAGAATTTGACTTTGTGGGGAAAGTAAATTGAAAAATATAAGTTCTGGAGCAAAAAGGAATGATGTAAATTTTCTAACTATCAAAGAAAACTTATTTATGTCATTTTAAACCATATGATAGCTTGTCTTATGACTAGATATTTTACCCAATTTGGCATGTTTGAAAGAATGATGGAATAGTTTTATTTAAATGGTTGATTTTTACAATGTGCTGCAAATGACAACTTTTGAACATTTTAAGGCATAAAATGGAAAGTTTTAGCTGTTCACTTTAACAATTTAGAGGAGACTTCTAGTTTCTCAAAAATTATTTTAGGATATATACAGTTAAAAAATGTGAAGGCCATTGATTGCCTTAGTCAACAATAGTCTAAGGAATACTGGGTGAATTCCAGACCTCAGAGGCTTACAACAATGTGGATTTGTTTCTCGTTCATCTTACTTGTGCCTCTCCTCCATGCTTCAGGCCAAAGAGGTGCCTACCTGGGACGTGACTGTGTTCTTGGCAGAGGTGAAAGACATGGAGGTCACGTGGTCACTTTCAAAGCTTAAGCTTGGAAATGGTGCCACGATTTTCATCCCATTTTCCGGACCAAAGCAACCCACATGGCCAGGCCTGACATCAATGGAGCAGAAAGCAAAATCATCCCACTGGAAGGATCAGCAAATAATTAGGAATAAAAATAAAAACTACCACAGTGATCTACAGAATTACAGACACTTATAATGGGGTAAAATATGGAAATGCACAGTAAAAACGAAGTTGCATAAAAGAGAAAAATCAAGAGGGGCCTCAATATAAAAATAGAGGTACAAGGACAAAATTTAGTGTGTTATTAAGAAGATAGACTTTTGCTTATTTGGAACAACTTGTTTTCTGACTCATTTGAAATAATTTTAGTTGCAGTCATTTAAATGCTTCATGGAACAGAGCTTTAAGGCTGCTGACATATATGTGCGTCAAGTCCAATCAATAGCAATTTTTTTTTTATCTGAACCCTTACGAAATTTGATGTTTTGTGTTGGCAGGTTTGTTTCATCTTTATCTTTCCAGTAAGTACAGCTTCACCACTTGCCATTTGTGAAATGATTTGTTCGTCTATTTGGAAACAGAATGTTAAAAGTTTGTCAGGGAAAATGATGAGAAAACAAACCCTGTTTTGAAATCTTAAAAGTTTCCCAGTGTAAGAAACTTCGTAGAAACCTTCTGGAACTCTAAGATGAGAACTCAAAGGATCAGCCAGTCAGTCAGCCAACTCTTACTGCCAGTCTGTAACATAAATGCTTCCAATATTCAAAGCTGTTCTGTCAATTGATATATTTTAATGTGGAATCTCACCTCCTACAACTGTATTGGGAGTTTTTGAAACATGAAAATTTCATATGTAAGCTCCCAGAATTATTATGTGTTTAACATATTTAAACATTTTTTTCCCTTAAATTTCAATCTGGAGTAGTAAAAAGATTGATACATTGTGGTTTAAAGAGAGTTTAGGAAAAACATTTATGAGCCATTATCTCTTTATTCTCTTTTACTCCCCATAAACTTATTTCATAGCCACTATAATGTACTGTGAGGCATTATATATTGATTATAAAAGACCCTTTCCCTTTGGAATACTACATGCAAAATACTTAGCATTTTTCCCAGATATACAGTAAATACTCAATAAATGTTAGCTATTAAAAACAATAAACACATTCCCAACAGTTTGATGGGAT
Source organism: Homo sapiens (assembly GCF_000001405.40). Lineage (NCBI taxonomy): Eukaryota > Metazoa > Chordata > Mammalia > Primates > Hominidae > Homo > Homo sapiens. The sequence goes on along the minus strand of NC_000013.11, from coordinate 47,757,150 downwards.
GGGGGAGAATGGTTAGGCAACTGTTGGCCAGAGGGAAAAAACTTTATTTTTTAAAGGAGTTTAGGGTGTCTGTATTATTTTTTACATCGGCAAATAAAATTGTATATGTCATGTACATTGTGATGTTTTGAAATATGTTACATTGTGGAATGGCTAAATCAAGCTAATTAGTATATGCATTATCTCACATAGTTATTTTTTTTTTTGGTGAGAACACTTAAAAATCTCTCAGTGTTTTTCAAGAATACAATATATCGTTGTTGGCTGTAGTCACCATGTTGTACATTATACCTCTTTTAAACCTTATTTCAAAAAGTTATTTTCTTTTTTAGTATGTAGAGCAATGGGTGTGTTAGTGAATAGTTTAAGAGAGTTGACTTAGCAAGTTCAATCAGAAAGGGTAGGTGAGCAGCAGGATTCTGAGGATCAATTGTGTTTGTGGTTCTTTTTCTCTGATGATTTCTTAGACCTTTTACTGGTGATCTGAGTGTCATCTCAATGTTTTGCACTTTATTCTGGAAATTCTTCCCACAGATCTAGAAATAGGAACACTTTATTTGTTGTGATTTATAATGGCAGTCAAATAATTATGCCTGTTAATCATCTTTTACTATTTTATCCATTAGTAAGCACAATATAACTGTATGTAACTTTTTATCTAAGTGAAATCTCAAATAGTTTTAACTACTCTTGTTTTCAGAATTAGTGGACTGGAGTTAGGATTCTTTAACGCTATTCTGAAAACAAACTGGACCCTTTTTTTTTTTTTGCCTGAAACGTGATCAACCTAGCAAATGCAAGCTCAATAATTCCTTCCTGAAATAGTCAATTTGAATGCAAAGTTAGTTTTTAAGAGTTTGTCTGTAATTGCTGGCATAGCACAATTAAAAGGAAAAGGTATGAATTTGAGAAGTTGGAAGAAAAACCTAGTTTTCTGAAATCTTTTTGATGCCTATCATCATTTTCCCAATTTAAGCCTAACTGCTAAGTTGTCTTCCACTGTCCCCAGTAGGGGAAAGGTGGAAAGAAACAATGTTTAATTGGATTGCAACTACATGACCCCAGCACTTTTCGTTAAATCCGTGACAAGTCAGCCGAACTACTTTGGTGTCTTGAAGCCAAAACAACTTCTTGATTAACTAAATTTCTCACTTTTTAAATTGGTGGTTTTCTTGTTGCATGGATACAGCATTAGCTAAACCAAATAAAAATTAGAGATTTTCTGTAAACCATAGGAGGCATTTATGATACCTGTCAAAGCAGCTCTAGCAGGGCCAAGTTGGGAGCTCCTGAACATAGTGGCAAAGGCAAAATTAGCTTTGCATCCTCTCTGCTCTACTTAAAGATCCCTCCCACTCTAGTTCTGGTGACCCAGCTCCAGGTACCAGCACATGGGGTATGGAAACACCCACTCAGTTTTGTGATCCCACAGAGCTATCTGTCTTGTAATCCTAGCTGGGAGTTAACTAATAGTGGAGTTAACTAATAGTGACTTCAGGCTGTTACCTTCCAGAGAATATTTGAATTCAAATGAGTGATTGGAAGGAGCAGCAACTCTAATGATTTTATTTCAAGTAGATAATGGATGAAATTTTGGAGGTTAGGAAATTCTCAGATCTTACCCCATAGATAGCAGTTTGCCTATGCTGCTATGGGCTGGTCCGTGTAATGAACACAGATGATACATAGACAAGGTGAGACATTGAGGGTATTAGTCCAATTCTTCATCTAGACTGCCATTTTTTTTATTATACTTTAAGTTCTGGGATACACATGCAGGATGTGCAGGATTGTTACATAGGTATACATGTGCCATGGTGGTTTGCTGCACCTATCAACCCATCATCTACATTAGGTAGATTTCTTCTAATGCTATCCCTCCCCTTGGCCCCCACCTCCCAACAGGACCTGGTGTGTGATGTTCCCCTTCCTGTGCCCATATGTTCTTATTGTTCAACTCCCACTTATGAGTGAAAACATGCAGTGTTTGGTTTTCTGTTCGTGTGTTAGTTTGCTGAGGATGATGGTTTCCAGCTTCATCCATGTCACTGCAGAGGACATAAACTCATTCTTTTTATGTCTGCATAGTATTCCATGGTGTATATGTGCCACATTTTCTTTATCCAGTCTGTCATTGATGGGCATTTGAGTTGATTCCAAGTCTTTGCTATTGTGAAGTGCTGCAATAAACATACATGTGCGTGTGTCTTTATAGTAGAATGATTTAAATTATTTGGGTATATACCCAGTAGTGGGATGGCTGGTCAAATCGTGTTTCTGGTTCTAGATCCTTGAGGAATTGCCACATTGTCGTCCACAATGGTTGAACTAATTTACACTCCCACCAAGAGTGTAAAAGCATTCCTATTTCTCCACTTCCTCTCCAGCATATGTTGTTTCCTGACTTTTTAATGATCACCATTCTAACTGGTGTGAGCTGGTATCTCATTGTAGTTTTGATTTGCATTTCTCTAATGACCAGTGATGATGAGCTTTTTTTCATGTTTGTTGCCTGCATAAATGTCTTCTTTTGAGAAGTGTCTGTTCATATTTTTTGCCCACTTTTTGATGGTGTTGTTTTTTTCTTGTAAATTTGTTTAAGTTCCTTGTAGATTCTGAGTATTAGTCCTTTGTCAAATGTATAGATTGCAAAAATTTTCTCCCATTCTGTAGGTTGCCTGTTCACTCTGATAATAGTTTCTTTTTCTGTGCAGAAGCTCTTTAATTAGATCCCATTTGTCAATTTTGGCTCTTGTTGCAATTACTTTTGGTATTTTAGTCATGAAGTCTTTGCCCATTCCTATGTCCTGAATGGTATTGCCTAGGTTTTCTTCTAGGGTTTTTATGGTTTTAGGTCTTATGTTTAAGTCTTTAATCCATCTTGAGTTAATTTTTGTATAAGGTGTAAGGAAGGGGTCCAGTTTCAGTTTTCTGCATGTGGCTAGCCAGTTTTCCTAACACCATTTATTAAATAGAGAATCCTTTCCCCACTGCTTGTTTTTGTTAGGTTTATCAAAGATCAGATGGTTGTAGATGTTTCATGTTACTTCTGAGGCCTCTGTTCTGTTCCATTGGTCTATATATCTGTTTTGATACCAGTACCCTGCTGTTTTGGTTACTGTAGCCTTGTAATATAGTTTGAAGTCAGGTATCGTGATGTCTCCAGCTTTGTTCTTTTTGCTTAGGATTGTCTTGGCTATACAGGCTCTTTTTTGGTTCCATATGAAATTTACAGTAGTTTTTTCTAATTCTGTGAAGAAAGTCCATGGTAGCTTGATGAGAATAGCATTGAATCTATAAATTACTTTGGGCAGTATGACCATTTTCACGATATTGTTTCTTCCTATCCATGATCATGCAATGTTTTTCCATTTGTTTGTGTCCTCTCTCACTTCGTTTAGCAGTGGTTTGTAGTTCTCCTTGAACAGGTCCTACACATCCCTTGTAAGTTGTATTCCTAGGTATTTTATTCTCATTGTAGCAATTATGAATGGAAGTTCACTCATGATTTGGCTCTCTGTTATTGGTGTATAGGAATGCTTGTGATTTTTGCACATTGATTTTGTATCCTGAGACTTTGCTGAAGTTGCTTATCAGCTTAAGGATTTTCTGGGCTGAGGTGATGGGGTTTTCTAAATATACAATCATGTCATCTGCAAATTGTACAATTTGAGTTCCTCTCTTCCTATTTGAATACCTTTATTTCTTTCTCCTGCCTGATTGCCCTGGCCAGAACTTCCAATATTATGTTGAATAGGAGTGGTGAGAGACAGCATCCTTGTCTTGTGCCAGTTTTCAAAGGGAATGCTTCCAGCTTTTGCCCATTCAGTATGATATTGGCTGTGGGTGTGTCGTAAATAGCTCTTATTATTTTGAGATATGTTCCATCAATACCTAATTTGTTGAGTGTTTTTAGCATGAAGGGATGTTGAATTTTATGAAAGGCCTTTTCTGCATCTATTGAGGTAATCATGTGGTTTTTGTCATTGGTTCTGTTTATGTGATGGATTACGTTTATTGATTTGTATATGTTGAACCAGCCTTGGAACCCAGGGATGAAGCCAACTTGATAGTGGTAGATAAGCTTTTTGATGTGCTGCTGGATTCAGTTTGCCAGTATTCTATTAAGGATTTTCGCTTTGATATTCATCAGGGATATTTGCCTGGAGTTCTCTTTTTTTGTTGTGTCTCTGCCAGGTTTTGGTATCAGGATGATACTGGTCTCATAAAATGAGTTAGGGAGGAGTCCCTATTTTTCCATTGTTTGGAATAGTTTCAGAAGGAATGAAACCAGCTCCTCTTCGTACCTCTGGTAGAATTTGGCTGTGAAGCCCTCTGGTCCTGGGCTTTTTTTAGTTGGTAGGCTGTTAATGTACCAAACAGTGAACTAGATACACAGGTGAGTAACATAAGGTAGTGTCCTTGTCCTAATGGTACTTGCTCAGATAGTGGTGGGAGCTAGCAAATAACCATACCAACATGCATATGTGTGTATGCATGTTATATGTATATATGTATGTCTATGTGTGTGTATTTGTGTGTATATTTATATGTAAAGTATGAATTTTAGTAAATACTGTGAATGAAAGGCAGCCATTCAATTTTGCCTCCTAGGGGCAGATTAACTCAATGGTTAAATTCACAGACTCTGGATCCAGGAGGCCTGGATCAAATTCCAGCTCTGCCACTTCTTAGCTGTGTCATCTTAGGTGCATTACTTAAGCTTCCTGTGCCTCCTTTTCCTCATCTGTAAAATGGCGATAATAACACCTACTTTATAGAGTTGTTGTGAGGACTGAATGAATTAACATATGCAAAATGATTAGAACAGAGCCCAGCACAGTGTTAACCTTTAGCTAGTATTATTACTGGGGGTCAGGGAGAGAGCCTCATTGAGGAAGTGACAGGGATGATTAGGAGGAGGCCCTATGAGAGGGTTAGGAAGTGTGCCCCAGGCCAAGGGAAGAGCTTCTGAGGGGAGAAGCAGTTTGGCACACTGGAGAAACAGAGAAGAAGCCCATTGTGGTGCACCAAGTAGCCACAGGATGGAGAGGAGGCTCCAGAGTGGGGACAGAGATCAGATCATGTCAAGATTTGAAGAGCATTTTAAGGATTTTGGATTTTATTCTAAATGTGATGGAAAGCGACAGACATGTTTTACACTGGAAAATGACATGATATAATTTATGCTTTAAAAACCAACAGTCTGGCTACCTTGTGGAGACCAGACAGGAGAGCTCTGGTAGGGAAACCACTGTGGGGGCTATATTATGGTTCTCCAGAGAGCATAACTAGAGGTTAGGGGCACAGAGAGAGAGAGAGAGAGAGAATGTTAAGGAGATGGCTCACTTAATTGTGGGGGCTAGCAAGTCTACAGGGCAAGTGGGCTGGAAATTCCAGCAGGGGTTGATGATGCAGTCCTGAGTCCAGTGGCAATCTGGAGGCAGAATTCTTTCCTCTTCAGGGGACCTAGATCTTTTCTCTTCAGGCTATCAAAAATTGCATGAAGCCCAGCTATGGAGGATAATCTGCTTTCCTGAAAATCTACTTATTTAAATGTTAATCACTCTGAAAAACACCGTCACAGACACTTCTAGATGGGTGTTTGACAAGACAGCTTGACATCACAGCCTGGCCAAGTTGCCATACAGAATTAACCATCTCAGGGGGTATTTCCACCATCAAAGTGAGAGAAGATGGTGGACTAGGGTGATGACTGAGGGGATTGAGAGAAGTGGCTGGAGTCAAGCTTTAGTTTGAAAATAGAATGAGCAAACTTGGTGTTGATTGCGAAAGGGGATAAAAAGCAGGAACAATCAAGATCATCCCCTCAATTTCTGGGGTAAGCAAAGAGCACAGCCCTACCTCATCCATCCAGGCAACTTCAGTGGGTAGGGGAGAGAGATACTACCAGGGAGAGTGGAGAGAGAGGGAAGGAAGAAGGAAGAGAGAGAAAGAAACAGTGTGGGCATCCTTAGGTGCAGAAAAGGCAGGGAAGGCGGGGAGCTTAGCTCAGATGTTGAGAAGCTGATATTTCACCTGGGAAATGCCATGGCAGAGTGAGCAGGGGACATGGCATTCTCCATCAGTGATCTTATACAATAGTGCCCTCAACTCCTACTAAACATGGCCCAAAGGATGTCAGGAAGGACTGGTTCATTGCACTGTGAACCAGAGCAGGAGTGTGAGCTGAGAAGGCTTCCTTTGTGGAAAGCATAGGGAAAATTGTTTCAAAAGGGGGGCAGTCTTAGCTGTGCCAAATGAAGTCAAGAGTTCTAGGTCTGATTTAAATGTTAATCCCATTTGAAAAACATCTTGACAGCCACTTCTAGACTGGTGTTTGACCAGATAGCTTGACATCACAGTCTAGCCAAGTTGACACATAGAATTAAGCATCTCAGGGGTATTTCCACTATCCAGGTGGAAAAGAGCTCATTCAGTTTGACAATGTGGGCATCTCTGGTACCCTTGAGAGTAGCTTTGCTGGTGGTCCCATTTGCAGACGAATAAATTGGGGTGAGACAGGTGAACTATGTAGTCTGAGTTCAAACTCACAACTCAGTTTGCCTGCCTCAAAGACCATGCTCTTAATTTCTTTTTTCTTTTCTTTTTGAGATGGAGTCTCACTCTGTTGCCCAGGCTGGAGTGCAGTGGTGCAATCTTGGCTCACTGCAGCCTCTACCTCCTGGGTTCTAGTGATTCTCCTGCCTCAGCCTCTCGAGTAGCTGGGATTATAGGCGTGTGCCACAATGCCTACCTAATTTTTGTATTTTTAGTAGAGAGGGGGTTTCACCATGTTGGCCAGGATGGTCTCAATCTCTTGACCTCGTGATCCACCCGCCTTGGCCTCCCAAAGTGGTGGGATTACAGGCGTGAGCCACTGCGACCGGCCCATGCCCTTAATTTCTGTACATGTTTCCTCCCTCTGAGAATGAGCACAGGGTAGAGTCTTGCTACCTCTGCCCTGATTTTATGCCCTTTATGTGTTGTGGGTGGTGGAGGGCTAGTGCTCTGATCCTGGATTTTAGCCCAGATAAAGAACTGAGTTTTCTGAGAACACCTCACATTTCCAATAGTTAAGACTTTTATTAAACTTGTAATATTTGGTAACATTTTCTTAAAGTCTTGGTGGTGGTAAACTATCACTTTATAGCCCCAGTTCTTTATATTCCTTCTTGGTTAGGAGACGCAGGCAATTAAAGCAAATTTATGGAAACAGATTTCATACTTAGCCTTGTAACAAAATTTCACCCCAAACTAAAAACAACCACTTAACCATATGGAAGAGCTAATTTAGTTTCAACCCAGCAATTTTGAAATAAGTACTCGTATAATAAAATTTCAATTATAGTAGTTCTTCTCTAGAACTTACTGTGTATATACTTAAAATTTTGTAATCCATGCTATTATGGTTGATTTAATATTCTGTTATTTCCAACTCATATTAAACTCCTTTTTTGTTTTTTTTTTTTTTTTAAAATTTGACTTCTGGATTCACGTCAGTGACTCTGTAACCATGTTTCTTGTTCCTTTCTTTATATAATGGGTAAAGGGGAGATGGCCTTGGGTAGTCTAATTTGTAGCTCTGGCAGTGATGTCTTTTTAACCCCCCAGAATATATTTAAGAAATATGCATGTAAATCATAGTCATATCTAAGGAATAAAAACGATAAAAAGAACAAAGTAGCTGGGGTTGAAACAGAAAAGGCAGACTATCTCTTCCCACTACCCCGTGAATCAGATAGATGGATGTGTCTGTGCTTAGGCGACCCATGGTGAGACAGGCAGGGAGGGGTGGGGGGGGCAGGAGAGAGACAGAGAGAGAGATAGGGAGAGAGACAGAGAGAGAGAGAACTAGAAAAGTTCTTTATTAGTATTTCTACAAGAAATACACTAGATGGTTTGGGGTCAAAACCAGTCGGTTTTATATGTGACCCTCTGCACCCCACTTTTAATGTGTTTTCTCTGCTCAGATGGCATTTAAAAAATCATATAACAGTTTCCTTCTAAAACAGACTTCTGGACTTATTTTTTCCTTTAATCTATACCTGCCAGTTTGGGACAGTATTGCCTTCACTTGATGAAAATCTTTGCTATTAATTGAGGATGTAGCTAATATTTCTGTCATAGACAGCAAGGTGACACAGGATTACTTTTCATATATCTCTCATGCCCGGGGAGAATGAACACAAAGGTTTCCCTTTTCAGCACAAGATAGAAGATTCCTAATTTTAATGTCAGAGTGACACCTTAGCGGAGTTTGTATCTGGTTAAAGGGTTGTAAGTATCAGGATAGCCTGTTCTCCAGTACTTCCCGCATGCCCTCTTCATAAGTGGGACCCCTCATCTCCCTTTATCCATCTCTAGGGTGCTCTGAAGGTAGTCAGTGTTTCCCTGTGCATCTGATTTGATCTTTAAAGACCCACAGCACTAATAGATTTATCTTTTCACATTCAAAGCATTCAGCTTATAATAGTTCCCCATTTCATGACTGATAATTTTGTTGTACAACCTTAAATGACTCCAAGCACTGGTAAGGGCACCCTAATATTTTCCTGTGACTTTACCTAATTTCCAGACTCTGAGCAACAGCCTCCATTACACATATCTCCTTGTTCTTTTGGACAATTACATTATGAACGTAGCAGTCAGGACACAGTCAGGAGACAGAGACCACCACTTGTTTTGTTTTAAAAGAGAGAATTTAATGTAAAGAACGGTTAACTAAGAAATGAAAGGCAAAATGAATGAAGTTATTGTGGAGGGATCAAATGCAGGAAGTAGCTACCACTGTTGGGGCTGGGAGAACAAGGAGAAAAGGTGGGAATTGGAAAACCTTAGAAACATGGAAGAGAGATCTCACGGAGCTGAAACCGAGAATTCTGAGAAGGAGCCATTGCTTAGCAGGTACTTGTTTCTCTGAGCTGAGAGTAGGTTTCCTGGCTTCTAAGGCAGGGACACTGGTTGGCCGGTATTTCTGATGGCATACAATGGGGCTAGATGCACAAGTACCGGGAAAATGCACTGGTTCCGTTGATGCTCTGGGAAGGAGCTGCACCTGCTGGTGTAGAGAAGGAAAGCAGGGTGACACAGGAAGCAAGGAGGAAGGAGCAAATCTCTTCTACCTCCTCTAGCCTTGCAATCTCTGTTTAATTCTCCTGTCGGCAGCACCTGACAAGGAGAAGCTGGCAGGAGAATCACAGGGGAGAGTACAGAGGGTGGGTTTGGCACTGAGAGGCAGTGGCCTATTATCTGGCACACTGAGCTATCACTGTACAAATGCTTGTATTTGCAAAGGATTGTTATTCAAATTCTGTAGTTTCAATGCAGTCAGCATGCCACACATAAAGAATGACTGTGATCAAAGTATTTTATCACTTTCAAGTCATGCTTATAAAATGCTCAATAAATGTATTTTTTTAAAGTGAGAATATTTTACTGAACACAAACGGTTTCATCTGGGGACTACACAACCTTATGTGGTGGTTTTAAAATATGTCCACGAATCTTTCAAAATTGCTCCTTCGAAAGATCGTACCTCATGTCCCTCCCCTTCTTAATTTCCCTCCCCTGGCATGTGCGTAGACTTAGTTATTTGCTTCTAACTCATAGAATGTACTGGAAGTCACAGTATGTGACTTCTGAGGCTGGATCACAACAGGCGCTATTTCTGCCTTGCCTTCTTGGATTGCTTTCAACAGGGGGTCACTCATCACTGTGTTTCAGGACATCCAAGCTGCATGAGGAGAGGCTCACGTAGGGGGAAACCGAGGTTTGCAGCAGCGACTCGCCAGGCGTGTGAGTGAGCCAACCTGGAAGCAGATCCTCCAGTTCCAGTGAAGTGTGTGGATGACATCAGCTCCAGCCTTCATTTTGACCACAACTCATGAGATGCCCTAAGCCAGAACCACCCTTGAAGCTGCTTTTAAATTCCGAAAGTGGAAATAATATATTTTATTGTTTTAAATCACTACATTTTGGGGTAGTGATTTGTTTTGCATGCCATTTGTTATGTTGCAATGGATAACCAATACATCTTGACTTTTGGAAACCATGAGGAGGGATCAATGTTTTAAAAAGATTCATTGTCCTCATTTAGGTAGTCACTATTATTATTTCTTAAGGGAGTATGCCTACCAGGACTATAACATTTCCAAGGAAGTGTTTATGAATACAGCACTGCCATGGATATTTAAAAGCAAGCTTGTGGATTCCACACCAGCTTTGAAATAGAATATCTGGCACCTAGCAGTTAGCATAAGATAAAAGGAATTATTTCCCAAATAAAGCCATATGTTATTGCTATCATCATCATCATCATCACCATCACTGCCATTAAACATCTAGGTGCAGATAATACCCATAATAGTGTCCCTTTGAATGAGAGAAATCAACAAAGGTCCCAAAAGGCAATTGCACAGGTCCTTATTTACTGATTTTTCCTAAATAATCAAATAGATCTTTTACCTTAAATGCAGATAATATCATAATTCATCAAACTAATTTATAATGGTGAACTGCCGCTTAAATATTGTCTTATAAATGATGCCTTTTGAAGTTAAAAGTGATGTTGATTCAATCAATTTTGAAAAAATATCTAGAACATATTAAACAAATGATATTAGAAGTGAAAAAAACTGTCTTCTATTAAGTCTTCTAAGAAAGACAATTATGATAAGTTCCTGGTCAGATAAAAACCATTCCATCATTAAAGGAAATAAAAAGAAGCATAAATAAATTTGAATAGAAATGTATGTATGTTTCTTGGGTTTTGTCCTTCTGTACAAGGCTGGACCTTCAGAGTTAGAATTATATTCTGGTTTTCCCTCTATAAGCAAGAAATGACCTTAATGTGTTAGTGAGACATATTTCTTCACCTATTGACGGTCACTCAGTGCTCTCATGTCTATAAGATCTGTTGTGTCACCTCTGCTGACCTTCTCAGGCATCTCCACAGGAGGATGGGGAAATGCCCATCCTCTTCAAGAGGGCTCGACCCAAGTAAGGAATCAGCTCAGGGCTTTCCTTGCACTGGCTTCCTTCTTTCTAAAGCACTCCAATGCAGAAGGAAAACCCAGCCTGATGAGTCATTATCCAGCCATGATGTCCACCTTAACCTTCCAAACATCACTGATGTGAGGCAGAACCATCACAGACTGGAATGGCTACAGAATCTTTCTGACCCAGTGGATCCACCACTCCTAGACCCTCTCCAACTGACCCCGGTACAGTCAATTATTCTTCCTCCAAGTAATTACTTTCCTCTTGTCTTAAAATCCTTAATATGTATAAGTGTGGTGATGCTTATATTAGTGTGATGTAGCCAGTGTTCCATGGGAACAGACATTTGTGAGTCAAGGCAAGAGCACTGAATATGTAAGCATTGCATTGAAAATGCTACTGTCAACTCAGCCATTAGCTTCACTTTGCAAACTGATTCTCTTTATTGTTACCCATATTGGATGACAGAGGAAAGGGAAGAAATAGAAGGAAGAAGTAAGCCTGTTGTGAGAACTGCCCTCTTCCCTCTCTGCAGGAAATAAAAAATCTTTATCCTTTCATTCCTCTAAGCATGCCAGTTCAGAGTACATTTCAGCAAAGAACTCAAATGTTAAAAAGCCCAGATGACATTTCCAGAACAATACATTATCCAAGTTATAAGCCAGGGACAGACAAGGTGACTAATGGCTGGTAGGTTGGTCATGTGCCCTGGAGAAGTGTAGTAGTCACGATTTAAAGTGATTCCTCCAGGGAAGCCAGCAACCGGATTTTGAAACCTATGATTTACTTTCTACAGAACAAGCCAAACATTGGGCCTTCATACACCAGTTGCATTCCATGCAGCTAGAGGTAGAGCAAGGATGCATTTTCTTTTTTTCCATCCTCCGTTTGGTGGCTCTCAATTTGCTACTTGGGCTGGGAATACTAGCCTCCCTTACATATGTGGATGTCAGAGATAAAAAGTACTTTCCCCAACTCTTCGTTACAAAGGAAACTTGATGCTACATTACATGATGTAACTCCTCCTTTTTTTTTTTTTTTTTTTGAGACGGAATCTCGCTCTGTCTCCCAGGCTGGAGTGCAGTGGCGCGATCTCTGCTCACTGCAAACTCCACCTCCCGGGTTCCTGCCATTCTCCTGCCTCAGCCTCCCAAGTAGCTGGGTCTACAGGCGCCCGCCACCGCGCCCAGCTAATTTTTTTTGTATTTTTTTAGTAGAGACGGGGTTTCACCGTGTTAGCCAGCATGGTCTTGATCTCCTGACCTCGTGATCCACCTGCCTCGGCCTCCCAAAGTGCTGGGATTACAGGCGTGAGCCACCGCGCCCGGCCAACTCCTCCTTTTGATTATAGGGCCTTTAGAGGAAGGTCACATGGACCGCTATTTCCGGTTTAATTCAATATAAGGATAGACGCAAGAGGGAGGAGTCAGTGCTCATGGGAGAGGGAAAAAAGGCAAGGAGAGAAAGGAGAAGTAAGAGATTTGGAATTGCAAATCTGGAGTTAAAAGAACAGCTACAGCATGGGCAGTGTCCTGCAGGCCCTCCTCTCACCACTCTGCACACCTGAACCTTCTCCTGTGAGGGCCCCTGCACAGCCGCGTGACACCTCGCACCTTCTACTTTGTCCTCTGTTTTAGGAAGACCAATGACAAATAACCTGATGATATGTCCAGGTTAGCATGAAAATAAGGCAACTTTCCTTTAAGAAAATAAGAAAGAGAAACAACCTTTGACTGTCGATCAGGAGTCCCTCTGCAGCAGGGCCAAACTCTATTTCGATGGTCCTTAGCAGCCTCTGTTCCAAGGGACCTCACAAACCTGACCTCATGGGAAGGAGATTTGAGAGATGGTTAGAAAAATTTGGGGATGTCACATAGTTTAAATCTCTGTTGTAACATACAGAGATATAGTAATGTTGTGCTTAAAAATGCTTTGCTCTAAAAGAGACATTAGATTTTTTTTTTTTTTTTGAGTCGGAGTCTCGCTCTGTCGCCCAGGCTGGAGTGCAGTGGCACAGTCTCAGCTCACTGTAATCCCTGCCTCCCAGGTTGAAGCGATTCTCCTGCCTTGGCCTCCTGAGTAGCTGGGATTAAAGGTGCATGCCACCACGCCCAGCTATTTCTGTATTTTTATAGAGATGGGGTTTCACCATGTTGGCCAGGCTAGTCTCGAACTCCTAACCTCAAGTAATCTGCCCACTTCAGCCTCCCAAAGTGCTGGGATTAAAGGCATGAGCCACCACATCCAGTCAAGACACTGGACTTTTGAGAACACAATTTCTAGGAGTTTGGATAGGCAAGAGAGATGTCCAAGACAGTCTGCTAGGAGCTGCTAGGGAAGCACCTTAATTTAAATTATGATAGCAGTAATACAAGCTTCAATTTTGAAAGGCAGAAGTCTAAGTTAGAAAGAAAAGGACTTGTCATTCCTTATTACCATGGGGCGTAAGAACTGAGTGTTTCATATGGCTGAATGTTTTTGTCTAATTAAAAATAAAACGAAATTATTTTGGAAATTAAGGCTTTAAAGAGTTTTTCTTCTATCCAGGCCAATAATATTTAGTCTTGAATGATGGCTCTTATGTAAGTTCTGGGAATATTTTTGAACTATGGGCTTGTACTAATTTGCAAGGTATTGCTAGGTAATTGTTCTGGCTGGCATGCTGCTTCCCTCAGGCATTTCCAACGTTAAGGTCACTCTTTCTCCTTTTCGCTAACTAGGTGTGTTTAGTTTTGCAGGGGTATTATAATTGCTGAGCCTTAGTTCCAGCTGTTCAGGTGGGTGGTAACCTATAGAAGCCCTCTATTCTATTTTTATTGGGGTTGAGGCATTATAATAAGCTCCTGGAATTTCCTCATAGGCACTACTGTAATAATTTTAGGGATATTTTTTATGATTTCTTATTAAAATGGAACACATTATCATAGCCACTGAAGAACTTACAATAAGCCTGGTAAACAGATGTATATGTTTCTTTTTTGTCAGTTTTTTTTAATTTTTGATCTTTGTGGGTACGTAGTAGATATGTATATTTATGGGGTACATGAGATATTTTGATATAGGCATACAATGTGTAGTAATCTCATCATGGAAAAGAGGATATCCATCCCTGCAATCATTTATCCTTCATGTTACAAACAATCCAATTATATTCTTTTAGTTATTTTAAAATACACAATTAAATCATTTTGGCTATAGTCACCGTGTTGTGCTATCAAACGCTAGGTCTTATTCTTATTCTTAACCATCACCACCTCCCCTCCACCCTGCACTATCCTTCCCAGCCTCTGATAACCACCTTTCTACTCTGTATCTCCATGTGTTTTATTGTTTCGAGTTTTAGATCCCACAAATAAGTAAGAACATGTGATGTTTGACTTTCTGTGCCTGGCTTCAGATGTATATGTTCCTGAACTTATATTATCTTGGGTTTCTAGTATCTTGTGAAAAATATTTAGTTTCTCACAGAGAGTTCTAATTTCTTCCAAATCTAGTTCTCCTCTCTTCCTAGGCACATAGGAGGATTACACTTTCCTGCTTCCTTGCAGTTGAGTAATTAATTATTGCCCCTGGGTTGTGAACAAAAGAGCTGTGTCACGTCTGGGCTAGAGCATTTCATGGCTGCTGTGCAATCCTCCAGCTCTGCTCCTTCTTTGCATTGGTGAACCCCATGAAGCATCACAGGAAAACGGTGGCATCTCAAGACACAGTGAGCAAATGGAGCAATCTGCACGTGGAGCAAAGCCGACCTGCCAATCTGTGCTAGCATAGAGTATGAGTGAAAAATCAACTCTTCTAGTTTTTTAATTATTATCATTATACTTTAAGTTCTAGGATACATGTGCACAACGTGCAGGTTTGTTACATATGTATACATGTGCCATGTTGGTGTGCTGCACCCATTAACTCATCATTTACATTAGGTATTTCTCTTAATGCTATCCCTCCCCCTTCCCCCACCCCAGAACAGACCCCAGTGTGTGATGTTCCCCGCCCTGTGTCCAAGTGTTCTCATTGTTCAATTCCCACCTATGAGTGAGAACATGCAGTGTTTGGGTTTCTGTCCTTGTGATAGTTTGCTCAGAATGATGGTTTCCAACTTCATCCATGTCCCTACAAAGGACATTAACTCATCCTTTTTTATGGCTGCATAATATTCCATGGTGTATACGTGCCACATTTTCTTAATCCAGTCTATCACTGATGGACATTTGGGTTGGTTCCAAGTCTTTGCTATTGTGAATAGTGCCACAATAAACATATACGTACATGTGTCTTTATAGTAGCATGATTTATAATCCTTTGGGTATATAACCAGTAATGGGATCACTGGATCAAATGGCATTTCTAGTTCTGGATCCTTGAGGAATCACCACACTGTCTTCCACAATGGTTGAACTAATTTACACTCCCACCAACAGTGTAAAAGTGTTCCTATTTCTCCACATCCTCTCCAGCACCTGTTGTTTCCTGACTTTTTAATGATCACCATTCTAACTGGTGTGAGATGGTATCTCTTTGTGGTTTTATTAATTTTTTTATTGTACTTTAAGTTCTAGGATACATGTGCACAATGTGCAGGTTTGTTACATATGTATACATGTGCCATGTTGTTGTGCTGCACTTGTTAACTCGTCATTTACATTAGGTATATTTCCTAAAGCTATCCCTCCCCACTCCCCCCACCCCATGACAGGCCACGGTGTGTCATGTTCCCCACCCTGTGTCCAAGTATTCTCATTGTTAAATTCCCACCTATGAGTGAGAACATGAGGTGTTTGGTTTTCTGTCCTTGTGATAGTTTGCTCAGAATGATGGTTTCTAGCTTCATCCATGTCCCTACAAAGGACATGAACTCATCCTTTTTTATGGCTGCATAGTATTCCATGGTGTATATGTGCCACATTTTCTTAATCCAGTCTATCACTGATGGACATTTGGGTTGGTTCCAAGTCTTTGCTATTGTGAATAGCGCCGCAATAAACATATGTGTACATGTGCCTTTATAGTAGCATGATTTATAATCCTTTGGGTATATACCCAGTAATGGGATCACTGGATCAAATGGTATTTCTAGTTCTAGATCCTTGAGGAATCGCCACACTGTCTTCCACAATGGTTGAACTAATTTACACTCCCACCAACTGTGTAAAAGTGTTCCTATTTCTCCACATCCTCTCCAGCACCTGTTGTTTCCTGACTTTTTAATGATCACCATTCTAACTGGTGTGAGATGGTATCTCTTTGTGGTTTTATTAATTTTTTTATTGTACTTTAAGTTCTAGGATACATGTGCACAATGTGCAGGTTTGTTACGTATGTATACATGTGCCATGTTGTTGTGCTGCACTTGTTAACTCGTCATTTACATTAGGTATATTTCCTAAAGCTATCCCTCCCAACTCCCCCCACCCCATGACAGGCCACGGTGTGTCATGTTCCCCACCCTGTGTCCAAGTATTCTCATTGTTAAATTCCCACCTATGAGTGAGAACATGAGGTGTTTGGTTTTCTGTCCTTGTGATAGTTTGCTCAGAATGATGGTTTCTAGCTTCATCCATGTCCCTACAAAGGACATGAACTCATCCTTTTTTATGGTGGCATAGTATTCCATGGTGTATATGTGCCACATTTTCTTAATCCAGTCTATCACTGATGGACATTTGGGTTGGTTCCAAGTCTTTGCTATTGTGAATAGCGCCGCAATAAACATATGTGTACATGTGCCTTTATAGTAGCATGATTTATAATCCTTTGGGTATATACCCAGTAATGGGATCACTGGATCAAATGGTATTTCTAGTTCTAGATCCTTGAGGAATCGCCACACTGTCTTCCACAATGGTTGAACTAATTTACACTCCCACCAACTGTGTAAAAGTGTTCCTATTTCTCCGCATCCTCTCCAGCACCTGTTGTTTCCTGACTTTTTAATGATCACCATTCTAACTGGTGTGAGATGGTATTTCATTGTGGTTTTGATTTGCATTTCTCTGATGACCAGTGATGATGAGCATTTTTTCATGTGTCTGTTGGCTGCATAAATGTCTTCTTTTGAGAAGTGTCTGTTCATTCATATCCTTCGCCCACTTTTGGATGGAGTTATTTGATTTTTTCTTGTAAATTTGTTTAAGTTCTTTGTAGATTCTGGATATTAGCCCTTTGTCAGGTGGGTAGATGGCGAAAATTTTCTCCCATTACCTGTAGGTTGCCTGTTCACTCTGATAGCAGTTTCTTTTGCTGTGCAGAAGCTCTTTGGTTTAATTAGATCCCATTTGTCAATTTTGGCTTTTGTTGCCATTGCTTTTGGTGTTTTAGTCATGAAGTCCTTGCCCATGCCTATGTCCTGAATGGTATTGCCTGAGTTTTCTTCTAGGGTTTTTATGGTTTTAGGTCTAACATTTAAGTCTTTAATCCATCTTGAATTAATTTTTGTTTAAGGTGTAAGTAAGGGATGCAGTTTCAGCTTTTTACATATAGCTAGCCAGTTTCCCAGCAGCATTTATTAAATAGGGAATCCTTTTCCCATTTCTTGTTTTTGTCAGGTTTGTGTTATTTCTGAGGCCTCTGTTCTGTTCCACTGGTCTATATCTCTGTTTGGTACAAGTACCATGCTGTTTTGGTTACTGTAGCCTTGTAGTATAGTTTGAAGTCAGGTAGCGTGATGCCTCCAGCTTTGTTCTTTTTGCTTAGGATTGGATTGTCTTGGCAATGTGGCTGTTTTTTGGTTCCATATGAACTTAAAGTAGTTTTTTCCAATTCTGTGAAGAAAGTCATTGGTAGCTTGATGGGGATGGCATTGAATCTATAAATTACTTTGGGCAGTATGGCCATTTTCACAATATTGATTTTTCCTATTCATGAGCGTGGAATGTTCTTCCATTTGTTTGTGTCCTCTTTTATTTGGTTGAGCAGTGGTTTGTAGTTCTCCTTGAAGAGGTCCTTCACATCCCTTGTAAGTTGTATTCCTAGGTATTTTATTCTCTTTGAAGCAATTGTGAATGGGAGTTCACTCATGATTTGGCTCTCTGTCTGTTATTGGTGTATAAGAATGCTTGTGATTTTTCCACATTGATTTTGTATCCTGAGACTGATGAAGTTGCTTATCAGCTTAAGGAGATTTTGGGCTGAGACGATGGAGTTTTCTAAGTATACAATAATGTCATCTGCAAACAGGGACAATTTGACTTCCCCTTTTCCTAATTGAATACCCTTTATTTCTTGCTCCTGCCTGATTGCCCTGGCCAGAACTTCCAACACTATGTTGAATAGGAGTGGTGAGACAGGGTATCCTTGTCTTGTGCCAGTTTTCAGACGGACTGCTTCCAGTATTTGCCCATTCAGTATGATATTGGCTGTGGGTCTGTCATAAATAGGTCTTGTTATTTTGAGATACATCCCATCAATACCTGGTTTATTGAGAGTTTTTAGCATGAAGGGCTGTTGAATTTTGTTGAAGGCCTTTTCGGCATCTATTGAGATAATCATGTGGTTTTTGTCTTTGGTTCTGTTTATGTGATGGATTACATTTATTGATTTGTGTATGGTGAAAGAGCCTTGCATCCCAGGGATGAAGCCAACTTTATCATGATGGATATGCTTTTTGTTGTGCTGCTGGCTTGAGTTTGCCAGTATTTTATTGAGGATTTTCACATCAATGTTCATCAGGGATATTGGTCTAAAATTCTCTTTTTTTGTTGTGTCTCTGCCCGGCTTTGGTATCAGGATGATGCTGGCCTCATAAAATGAGTTAGGGAGAATTCCCTCTTTTTCTATTGATTGGAATAGTTTCAGAAGGAATGGTATCAGCTCCTGTTTGTAACTTTGTTAGAATTTGGCTGTGAATCCATCTGGTCCTGAACTTTTTTTGGTTGGTAGGCTATTAATTATTGCCTCAATTTCAGAGCCTGTTATTGGTCTATTCAGGGATTCAACTTCTTCCTGCTTTAGTCTTGAGAGGGTGTATGCGTCCAGGAATTTATCCATTTCTTCTAGATTTTCAAGTTTATTTGTGTAGAGGTGTTTATAGTATTCTCTGATGGTAGTTTGTATTTCAGTGGGATCGGTGGTGATATCCCCTTTATCATTTTTTTATTGCATCTGTTTGATTCTTCTCTCTTTTCTTCTTTATTATTCTTGCTAGCAGTCTATCAATTTTGTTGATCTTTTCAAAAAACCAGTTCCTGGATTCATTGATTGTTTTGAAGGGTTTTTTTTGTCTCTATCTCCTTCAGTTCTGCTCTGATCTTAGTTATTTCTTGTCTTCTGCTAGATTTTGAATTTGTTTGCTCTTGCTTCTCTAGTTCTTCTAATTGTGATGTTAGGGTGTCGATTTTAGATTTTTCCTCCTTTCTCTTGTGGGCATTTAGTGTTATAAATTTCCCTCTACACACCGCTTTAAATGTGTCCCAGAGATTCTGATATGTTGTGTCTTTGTTCTCATTGGTTTCAAAGAACATCTTTATTTCTCCCTTCATTTCGTTATTTACCCAGTAGTCATTCAGGAGCAGGTTGTTCAGTTTCTATTTAGTTGTGTAGTTTTGAGTGAATTTCTTAATTCTGAGTTCTAATTGGATTGCACTGTGTTCTGAGAGACAGTTTGTTGTAATTTCTGTTCTTTTACATTTGCTGAGGAGTGCTTTATTTCCAACTATGTGGTCAATTTTGGAATAAGTGGGATGTGGTGCTGAGAAGAATGTGTATTCTGTTGATTTGGGATGGAGAGTTCTGTAGGTGTCTATTAGGTCTGCTTGGTGCAGAGCTGAGTTCAAGTCCTGGATATCCTTGTTGACCTTCTGTCTAATATTGACAGTGGGGTGTTAAAGTCTCCCATTATTATTGTCTGGGAGTCTAAGTCTCTTTGTAGGTCTCTAAGGACTTGCCTTATGCATCTGGGTGCTCCTGTATTGGGTGCTTGTATATTTAGGATCATTAGCTCTTCTTGTTGAATTGATCCCTTTACCATTATGTAATGGCCTTCTTTGTCTCTTTTGATCTTTGTTGGTTTAAAGTCTGTTTTATTAGAGACTAGGATTGCAACCCCTGCTTTTTTTGCTTTCCATTTGCTTTGTAGATCTTCCTCCATCCCTTTATTTTGAGCCTATGTGTGTCTCTGCACGTGAGATGGGTCTCCTGAATACAGCACACTAATGGGTCTTGACTCTTTATCCAATTTGCCAGTCTGTGTCTTTTAATTGGGGCATTTAGCCCATTTACATTTAAGGTTAATATTGTTATGTGTGAATTTGATCCTTTCATTATGATGTTAGCTGGCTATTTTGCTCATTAGTTGATGCAGTTTCTTCCTAGCATCGATGGTCTTTACGATTTGGCATATTTTTGCAGTGGCTGTTACCGGTTGTTCCTTTCCATGTTTAGCGCTTCCTTCAGGAGCTCTTTTAGGGCAGGCCTGGTGGTGACAAAATCTCTCAGCATTTGTTTGTCTGTGAAGGATTTTATTTCTCCTTCACTTATAAAGCTTAGTTTGGCTGGATATGCAATTCTGGGTTGAAAATTCTTTTCTTTAAGAATGTTGAATATTGGCCCCCACTCTCTTCTGGCTTGTAGAGTTTCTGCTGAGAGATCGGCTGTTAGTCTGATGGGCTTCCCTTTGTGGGTAACCTGACCTTTCTCTCTGGCTGCCCTTAACATTTTTTCCTTCATTTCAACCTTGGTGAATCTGACAATTATGTGTCTTGGGGTTGCTCTTCTCGAAGAGTATCTTTGTGGTGTTCTCTGTATTTCTGAATTTGAATGTTGGCCTGACTTGCTAGGTTGGGAAAGTTCTCCTGGATAATATCCTGCAGAGTGTTTTCCAACTTGGTTCCATTCTCCCCATCACTTTCAGGTACACCAATCAAATGTAGATTTGGTCTTTTCACATAGTCCCATATTTCTTGGATGCTTTGTTCATTTCTTTTTACTCTTTTTTTCTCTAAACTTCTCTTCTCGCTTCATTTCATTCATTTGATCTTCAATCACTGATACCCTTTCTTCCACTTGATCGAATCGGCTGCTGAAGCTTGTGCATGTGTCACATAGTTCTTGTGCCATGGTTTCCAGCTCTATCAGGTCATTTAAGGTCTTCTCTACACTGTTTGTTCTAGTTAGTCATTCATCTAATCTTTTTTTCAAGGTTTTTAGCTTCCTTGTGATGGGTTCGAACATCCTCCTTTAGTTCAGAGAAGTTTGATATTACCAACCTTCTGAAGCCTACTCTGTCAACTTGTCAAAGTCATGCTCCGTCCAGCTTTGTTCCATTGCTGGCAAGGAGCTGCACTCCTTTGGAGAAGAAGAGGTGCTCTGGTTTTTAGAATTTTCAGCTTTTCTGCTCTGGTTTCTCCCCATCTTTATGGTTTTACTACCTTTGGTCTTTGATGATGGTGACCTACAGATGGGGTTTTGGTATGGATGTTCTTTTTGTTGATGTCGATGCTCTTCCTTTCTGTTTGTTAGTTTTCCTTCTAATAGTCAGGACCCTCAGCTGGAGGTCTGTTGGAGTTTGCTGGAGGTCCACTGCAGACCCTGATTGCCTGGGTAACACCAGCAGAGGCTGCAGAACAGCAAATATTGCTGCCTGATCCCTCCTCTGAAAGCTTCGTCTCAGAGGGGCACTCGTCTGTATGAGGTGTCAGTCAGCTCCTACTGGCAGGTATCTCCCAGTTAGGCTACATGGGGGTCAGGGACCCACTGGAGGAGGCAGTCTGTCTGTTCTCAGAGCTCAAATCCACGCTGGGAGAACCACTGCTCTCTTCAGAGCTGTCAGACATGGACATTTAAGTCTGTAGAAGTTTCTGCTGTCTTTTGTTCAGCTATGCCCTGCCCCCAGAGGTGGAGTCTACAGAGGCAGGCAGGCCTTGTTTTGCTGCGGTGGGCTTTACCCAGTTCAAGCTTTCTGGCTGCTTTTTTAACTACTCAAACCTCGGCAATGGCGGACGCCCCTCACCCAGCCCAGGCTGCCATCTCGCAGTTCGATCTCGGACTGCTGTGCTAGCAGTGAGCAGCGCTCCATGGGTATGGGACCTGCCGAGCCAGGCATGGGATATAATCTCCTGGTGTGCTGTTTGCTAAGACCATTGGAAAAGCGCAGTATTAGGGTGGAAGTGTCCCGATTTTCCAGGTACTGTCTGTCATGGCTTCCCTTGGCTAGGAAACGGAAATCTCCCAACCCCTTGCACTTCCCGGGGAGTCGACAACACTCCCTGCTTTGGCTCACCCTCCATGGGCTGCACCCACTGTCCAACCTGTCCCAGTGGGATGAACCAGGTACCTCAGTTGGAAATGCAGAAATCACCCATCTTCAGCATCAGTCCTGCTGGGAGCTGCAGATTGGAGCTGTTCCTATTCGGCCATCTTGGAGAGATCAACCTCAACTCTTCTAGTTTTAAGCCACTGAGTTTTCTGAGATTGTTACTGCAGCATAATCTAACCCATCCTAACTATCATATGCTTCCTCTTCAGAAATATATACAATATCCAGCTTTAATTCAAGGCTTAACAAACTGCAGCCTGCCTGTTTTATTTTTTTAAATTTTAATTATTTTTACTTCTTTTATTGTGGTAAAATATTTATAATAAGATTAACCATTTTAACAATTTTTATGTGTATAGGGATTCCATGGCATTAAGTACATTTGCATTGTTGTTCAACCACCATCCATCTCCAGAACTCTTTCATCTTCTGTAACTGAAATTCTCTACCCATTAAACACTTACTCTCCATTTCCCCTTCCCCTAGTCCCTTGCCAACCACCATTGTACTTTCTGTGAATTCGTTTACTCTATTCCAATAAAACCTTATTTACAAAAACAATATGGAACTAGAAAAAAAACCAAGGCTTAAAAGAATTTTAAGTGGAATCATACAATATTTGCCCTTTTGTGACTGGCTTATTTTACTTAACATGATGTCTTCAACGTTCATCTATGTTGTTGCACATGTCAGAATTTCCTTCCTTTTTAAGGATGAATAATACCCCATTATATATATGTATATATGTCACATTTTGCTTATTTGTTCTTCTACTGATGGACATCTGGTTGGGTTCACTTTTAGTCTATTGTGAATAGTGCTGTTATGAACATTGATGTACAAATACTTGTTTTTGTGCCTCAGTTTATTTCTTTTGTGTATATACCTAGAAGTGGAATGTCTGAGTCATAAGATAATTCCATGTTTAACTTTTTGAGGAATCACCATATAATTTTTCCACAGTGTTTGCACCATTTTACATTCCTACTAGTAATGCACAAGAGTTCTAATTTCTCCATGTCCTTGTCAACACTTGTTATTTTCTGTTTTTTTAAAATTATAATAGCCACCTTAATGTATGTAAAGTGGTACCTTGTAGTTTTTATTTGCATTTCCATAATGTTTAGTGATATTGAGCATCTTTTTGTGTGCTTGTCATTTTTATATGTTCTTTGGAGATGTGTCTCTTCAAGTCCCTTGCTTATTTTTGAATTGGGTTGCTTATTTTTCTCTTGCTAAGTTGTTGCTGCCTATTTTTGTAATTAAGGTTTTACTGGAATTCAACTATTCCCGTTTACTTACATTTTTTTTTGTGGGTGCTTTCAAATTTTAACAACAGAGTTGAATAGTTGTGATAGAAGCTGAATGGCCCACAAAGCCTAAAACATTTACTATCTGGCTTTGTACAGAAAACGTCTGCCAAGTTTTGCTCTAGACCATTCTGTTTCTATTTCTACTTCTATTTTCAATTTCTTTAGGGAACCTGGTAAGTTGTTCTCTCCCTATCACTTGTGCTTTACTCCTGCTTACCCTTGTCTTCAAGGTGTGAGACTTGGTCCATTGGTCAAAGACTAAAGGCTGTGAAAAAAGGCAGAATCTGTTTTCCATTTGCTTGGTAGAAAGATGTACCAAGCAAATGGAAAACAAAAAAAGGCAGGGGTTGCAATCCTAGTCTCTGATAAAACAGACTTTAAACCAACAAAGATCAAAAGAGACAAAGAAGGCCATTACATAATGGTAAAGGGATCAATTCAACAAGAAGAGCTAACCTAAATATATATGCACCCAATACAGGAGCACCCAGATTCATAAAGCAAGTCCTGAGTGACCTACAAAGAGACTTAGACTCCCATACATTAATAATGGGAGACTTTAACACCCCACTGTCAACATTAGACAGATCAACAAGACAGAAAGTCAACAAGGATACCCAGGAATTGAACTCAGCTCTGCACCAAGGGGACCTAATAGACATCTACAGAACTCTCCACCCCAAATCAATAGAATATACATTTTTTTCAGCACCACACCACACCTATTCCAAAATTGACCACATACTTGGAAGTAAAGCTCTCCTCAGCAAATGTAAAAGAACAGAAATTATAACAAACCATCTTTCAGACCACAGTGCAATCAAACTAGAACTCAGGATTAAGAAACTCACTCAAAACCGCTCAACTACATGGAAACTGAACAACCTGCTCCTGAATGACACTGGGTACATAACGAAATGAAAGCAGAAATAAAGATGTTCTTTGAAACCAATGAGAACAAAGACACAACATACCAGAATCTCTGGGACACATTCAAAGCAGTGTGTAGAGGGAAATTTATAGCACTAAATGCCCACAAGAGAAAGCAGGAAAGATCCAAAATTGACACCCAAACATCACAATTGAAAGAACTAGAAAAGCAAGAGCAAACACATTCAAAAGCTAGCAGAAGGCAAGAAATAACTAAAATCAGAGCAGAACTGAAGGAAATAGAGACACAAAAAACCCTTCAAAAAATTAATGAATCCAGGAGCTGGTTTTTTGAAAGGATCAACAAAATTGATAGACCACTAGCAAGACTAATAAAGAAAAAAAGAGAGAAGAATCAAATAGATGCAATAAAAAATGATAAAGGGGATATCACCACCAATCCCACAGAAATACAAACTACCATCAGAGAATACTACAAACACCTCTACGCAAATAAACTAGAAAATCTAGAGGAAATGGATGAATTCCTCAACACATACACTCTCCCAAGACTAAACCAGGAAGAAGTTGAATCTCTGAATAGACCAATAACAGGCTCTGAAATTGTGGCAATAATCAATAGCTTACCAACCAAAAAGAGTCCAGGACCAGATGGATTCACAGCCGAATTGTACCAGAGGTACAAGGAGGAACTGGTACTATTCCTTCTGAAACTATTCCAATCAACAGAAAAAGAGGGAATCCTCCCTAACTCATTTTATGAGGCCAGCATCATCGTGATACCAAAGCCGGGCAGAGACACAACCAAAAAAGGGAATTTTAGACCAATATCCTTGATGAACATTGATGCAAAAATCCTCAACAAAATACTGGCAAACCGAATCCAGCAGCACATCAAAAAGCTTATCCACCATGATCAAGTGGGCTTCATCCCTGGGATGCAAGGCTGGTTCAATATATGCAAATCAATAAATGTAATCCAGCATATAAACAGAACCAAAGACAAAAACCACATGATTATCTCAATAGATACAGAAAAGGCCTTCGACAAAATTCAACAACCCTTCATGCCAAAAACTCTCAATAAATTAGGTATTGATGGGACGTATCTCAAAATAATAAGAGCTATCTATGACAAACCCACAGCCAATATCATACTGAATGGGCAAAAACTGGAAGCATTCCCTTTGAAAACTGGCACAAGACAGGGATGCCCTCTCTCACCACTCCTATTCAGCATAGTGTTGGAAGTTCTGGCCAGGGCAATTAGGCAGGAGAAGGAAATAAAGGGTATTCAATTAGGAAAAGAGGAAGTCAAATTGTCCCTGTTTGCAGACGACATGATTGTATATCTAGAAAACCCCATTGTCTCAGCCCAAAATCTCCTTAAGCTGATAAGCAACTTCAGCAAAGTCTCAGGATACAAAATCAATGTACAAAAATCACAAGCATTCTTATACACCAATAACAGACAAACAGAGAGCCAAATCATGAGTGAACTCCCATTCACAATTGCTTCAAAGAGAATAAAATACCTAGGAATCCACCTTACAAGGGACGTGAAGGACCTCTTGAAGGAGAACTACAAACCACTGCTCAATGAAATAAAAGAGGATACAAAGAAATGGAAGAACATTCCATGCTCATGGGTAGGAAGAATCAATATCATGAAAATGGCCATACTGCCCAAGGTAGTTTATAGATTCAATGCCATCCCCATCAAGCTACCAATGCCTTTCTTCACAGAATTGGAAAAAACTACTTTAAAGTTCATATGGAACCAAAAAAGAGCCCGCATCACCAAGTCAATCCTAAGCCAAAAGAACAAAGCTGAAGGCATCACACTACCTGACTTCAAACTATACTACAAGGCTACAGTAAGCAAAACAGCATGGTACTGGTACCAAAACAGAGATATAGATCAATGGAACAGAACAGAGCCCTGAGAAATAACGCTGCATATCTACAACTATCTGATCTTTGACAAACCTGAGAAAAACAAGCAATGGGAAAAGGATTCCCTATTTAATAAATGGTGCTGGGAAAACTGGCTAGCCATATGTAGAAAGCTGAAACTGGATCCCTTCCTTACACCTTATACAAAAATCAATTCAAGATGGATTAAAGACTTAAACGTTAGACCTAAAACCATAAAAACCCTAGAAGAAAACCTAGGCATTACCATTCAGGACATAGGCACGGGCAAGAACTTCATGTCTAAAACACCAAAAGCAATGGCAACAAAAGCCAAAATTGACAATGGGATCTAATTAAACTAAAGAGCTTCTGCACAGCAAAAGAAACTACCATCAGAGTGAACAGGCAACCCACAAAATGGGAGAAAATTTTCGCAACCTACTCATCTGTCAAAGGGCTAATATCCAGAATCTACAATGAACTCAAACAAATTTACAAGAAAAAACAAACAACCCCATCAAAAAGTGGGCGAAGGATATGAACAGACACTTCTCAAAAGAAGACATTTATGCAGCCAAAAAACACATGAAAAAATGCTCACCATCACTGGCCATCAGAGAAATGCAAATCAAAACCACAATGAGATATCATCTCACACCAGTTAGAATGGCAATCATTAAAAAGTCAGGAAACAACAGGTGCTGGAGAGGATGTGGAGAAATAGGAACACTTTTACACAGTTGGTGGGACTGTAAACTAGTTCAACCATTGTGGAAGTCAGTGTGGTGATTCCTCAAGGATCCAGAACTAGAAATACCGTTTGACCCAGCCATCCCATTACTGGGTATATACCCAAAGGACTATAAATCATGCTTCTCTAAAGACACATGCACACGTATGTTTATTGCGGCACTATTCACAATAGCAAAGACTTGGAACCAACCCAAATGTCCAACAATGATAGACTGGATTAAGAAAATGTGGCACATATACACCATGGAATACTATGCAGCCATAAAAAATGATGAGTTCATGTCCTTTGTAGGGACATGGATGAAATTGGAAATCATCATTCTCAGTAAACTATAGCAAGAACAAAAAAACCAAACACCGCATATTCTCACTCATAGGTGGGAATTGAACAGTGAGAACACATGGACACAGGAAGGGGAACATCACACTCTGGGGACTGTTGTGGGGTGGGCAGAGGGGGGAGGGATAGCACTGGGAGATATACCTAAGGCTAGATGACGAGTTAGTGGGTGCAGCGCACCAGCATGGCACATGTATACATATGTAACTAACCTGCACATTGTGCACATGTACCCTAAAGCTTAAAGTATAATAATAATTTTAAAAAAAAGGCAGAATCTGGGAGTTGTGAGGAAGAGAATGGATATTATAGGAAGGACAAAATTTCAAGACTGAGGTGAAAACATGAAAGTGGGACTCCTCAATGTTAATTTTTAAAAACTAATGTTTATTAGTTCTTTAAATGTGCCAGGTACTGCTAAGCAGTTTCTATGCATAATAACATTTAATCATCAGAACAAATCTCTGAGATTGTTACTCTGATTATTAACCCCATTTTAAAAATGAGGGCACTGAGGCTACTTGCCCAGAGTTATATAACAAGTGGCTGAATCAGGATTTGAACTCAGGTCAGTCTAACACCAGAGCCTAAGCTTAACCACTGAAACACTGTGCGGAGCAGATACAAGCTGCATTTGGAAACAGAAAGCACACCAACTAGGTTGGAGGAAAGGCTGTGTGTTGAGAAGTGGAGGTAGCTAAAGTAAATGTAGATTTGAACCAAATTTCAGGTGGCCTTACATGGCAGGCTGTAGATTTTGGACTTTATCCTGAGAACTGTGGGGGCTTAGATAATAAAAATCAGTCTAGAGTTGTGAAAAATCAAAGGGCATGAGAAGAGGTGAGGCAGAGAGAGCTTTGGCAGGTTGCAGTAGTATTCGAGCACAATGATAAAGCCTTGAACTGGGATGCCATAAATTCAAAACTAGATAATAAGAAGTCATGAATCTGCATTCTCAGAGTAATGACCTCTAAAGGTATTTCTAGGTTAATTTAGAAGAGATGTTGGTTGTCCCTCTCCTGTCCCTGTGTCCTTGGCTGAATTTTTCATCTACCACGTGGAGAATACTGGGAGATATGCCACAATAAAAATGGGAAACAGGATTCAGCATTCCCTGAAGTTACATTTACTATGGTAGCCGTTATCTGTGCCTTTCTCAAGGCTTACTAGGGCTTTCTTCATGGTCATGAAGACTGAGAACTTTAACTTGATCGCCTTCCAGTTCCTAACATACTACAATCTTACTCTGTTGTTGATATCAGATAGGACTCTTTATAATATTTTTCTTAGTTTTATCAGATAAGCAGAAAAGAAAGGTCTTAATTTATTAATATTTAGGAGGGGTCTACAGGTGGGATAAACTTGTTGCTACAACTGCTCAGATGCCATAAATGTTTGAGAGTTGGAGGCCCATCTATGCCCAAGAAGGTTCCTGGTATTAAGAAAGGTCCAGGATGGCCAGGCGTGGTGGCTCACGCCTGTAATCCTAGCACTTTGGGAGGCCAAGGCAGGTGGATCATCTGAGGTCAGGAGTTTGAGACCAGCCTGGCCAACATGGTGAAACTCTGTCTCTACTAAAAGTACAAACATTAGCTGGTCATGGTGGCAGGCGACTGTAATCCCAGCTATTCAGGAGGCTGAGGTAAGAGAATCACTTGAACTCAGGAGGTGGAGGTTGCAGTGAGCCCGAGATCATGCCATTGCACTCCAGCCTGGGTGACAGAGGGAGACTTGGTCTCCAAAAAAAAAAAAAAAAAAAAAAAAATTAGTCCAGGAATGAGGCAGGCATTTTAGGTATTTCTAATGAGAAACATACAATAATTATATCTAGCTCTGTGTATTTATCTTAGTAGAGGCGGGGTTTCATCATATTGGCCAGGCTGGTCTCCAACTCCTGACCTCAGATGATCCACCTGCCTTGGCCTCCCAAAGTGCTAGGATTACAGGTGTGAGCCACCGTGCCTGGCTTTGTGTATTTATCTAAAGTTGATTTAAATTATAACATATTCATAATACAGTTGAGTCACATGATTTGCAGTAGTTGTGACCTATAAAGTCACTGTAATCACTTAATACCAAACCATTGCTTCTTTTACCTATTTATGTATGTATTTATTTATTTTTATTTTATTTTATTTTATTTTTTGGAGACAGATTCTTGCTCTGTCATCCAGGCTGGAGTGCATTGGCATGATCTTGGCTCACTGTAACCCTTGCCTCCCAGGTTCAAGCAATTCTCCTGCCTAAACCTCCTGAGTACCTGGGATTACAGGTGCACACTGCCTGGCTAATTTTTTGTATTTTAGTAGAGACGGAGTTTCTCCGTGTTGCCCAGGCTGGTCTCGAACTCCTGAGCTCAGGCGATCTGCCCACCTCGGCCTCCCAAAGTACTAGGATTACAGGCATGAGCCACTGCGCCCGGCCGTATTTATTTATTATACTTTAAGTTCTGAGATACATGTGCAGAATGTACAGGTTTGTTACATAGGTATACATGTGCCATGGTGATTTGCTGCACCCATCAACCTGTCATCTAGGTTTTAAGTCCTGCATGCCTTAGGTATTTGTCCTAATGCTCTCCCTTCCCTTGCCCCATATCCCCTGACAGGCCCCGGTGTGTGATGTTCCCCTCCTTGTGTCCATGTGTTCTCATTATTCAACTCCTACTTATGAGTGATACCAAACCATTGCTTCTAGGGGAAATACAGGGTTAGGTTCCTGCAAACCTCTGGTCTCAACGTTTTCACCAACTGATTGATACGTAACCTTATTTTATGTGTGTGTCTGTTTAAAGACATCTTATTTCATATATATTATTGATTCATTAACGTGGAACTCATGGCCAACAGCACTATAATTCATGCCTGAATGAAGCTGATCTAAGATGTGTATTTTCTCTGTAAGACACATCACAGTCTTTTTATGATTAGAGACACTTGACAGCGCTTTGGTGCTGTGCTTGGGGCCATTTTAAATAGCAAAGTCGCCAACAAGAAAAACAACACAGAAATGCTAAAAACGTAGCACTAGACAGATCACAAAAAGGATAATTATGTACAGAATGAGACTTGAAACCAGAAGGCAGAGTGTTATCTTGTTTGATCTGAGTCACATGTTGGGTGACTCATTTTTTCACCACTCTGCACAGGTTCACTAATAACCATGAAAGCATCACGAGTATTGATCTTTGGGGTTACAAATAAATTTTAGTCGGTAGGCAGATTTACAAACATGGAATCTATGAATAACAAGGACTGACTGTACATAATTATGAATGACACTATTTCTAAAACAAAAGTTTAATTTGGTTAACTAGGTGCTAACCTATGCTTAGTTAACCCCTGTCTGAGGCAATCCTTTATCCCACACAGTTCTGCCTTGACCAGTAGGTACTAACTGGACCAAGTACTTCCTTTGTAAATCTAAAACCCTACATGACAGCAAAGGGCCCTTCCCTAGTCCAGGTGTTAGAAACACCAGGGTAAGCAATGACTACTACCAGCCTACTAGTGAGAACTCATGACATACTTAATCTACTTTTGCTTTCCTATACACTTATAACAATTAGGGCATGAGACGCATGGATGGGTTTTAATTCTGAGACAGGATTTCCATCATAGGAGTCAAGGACACAGGAACTTCCCGAAGTTAACCTTGCATAGACATCTCCCAAGACAGGGAAATCAATTAAACAACTGGGAAAGGAGGATGCCGTTTGATGCAGTCCAAACAATTAGACCCGTATGTAGATAGAACAGGACATCTAACCTGGGTTTTGCCTAAAATATCTGGCTCATAACTCTTGGCAAATTAAATTTTCATAGGTGAAAGCCAAAGAGGTTGGAAGGATGACTCAACCTAGTTAATTGCAAAGTTCGATACAATATTGAAAGCTATTAAAGCACCATCGTAATACGTTCCTGTCCCACTTGAATAGTGAGAACATTTGAGGTCATTTCAGATTTTGGAACCGATTGCCGAATGTGGAACTGAGCCCCAAATTCCCTAGATACAAGAGGTTCCAGTGCTGGTTTATTGTCCTCTACAGCAGAGTGGAAGCAACGCCAGGTTCCACCTTGAGCATCATCTCCTGCACTCCTCCGGCACCCAGGGTCCTCACAGTGCTGTTGATCCCCACAAGCCTGCCCTCTGTTGCAGGACTTCATACTTCTAGACCACTCATTCTTTCTCCTTCTATCAAAATGTCTGATTTTCTGGTCAGGATATGACCCACTTAGCCCTGTCTGAGGTTTTTAGAATAGTAAACCTGCTGCCTCCAAGCTGCTCTGACCATTTCCAGACTAGTAATGGGTTAACTGAGTGTCAGCTGGAGTCCTTGGCCTGCAAAGAGAGCATTCAGTCACTTCTGAACTCCCTCTGCTGGGAAGCTCTCCTTACCACCATGTTCCTGTGGGGAAGCCAGGGACCCCTCCTGGCTACCTCTGGTGTTCTTCATTGATGCCCTAAGCTTTATTAAAGTACAAACAGTAGCAGATACTAACATTAGAAGTTCTGGAGAGATAGAAGTGACAGTAGAAAGCAAGGATGACTTCAAAGGAGAAGGTATTTTCACAAGGAGCTACAGATATTTTGAAATATAGTGTAGACACCCCCAGCAGGCTGGAGCAAGATATGAGTGTTCAGTGTTGGAGCAAATGGAACCTCAGGGGCATTAGAATGTTCATGCAGAGTACAATAATTGATACCCATAATGGCAGCTCTGATATTCAGGGAATGTTAAACTGTGTTCAGACACACTGCCAACTAGGACATAGAAGTAAAACAGTCATCCTTCCTACCTCTATGGCTTTCACCTATGAAAATTTAATTTGCCAAGAGTTATGAGCCAAATATTTTAGGCAAAACCCAGGTTAGATGTCCTGTTCTATCTACATACAGGTCTAATTGTTTGGACTGCATCAAACAGCATCCTCCTTTCCAAGTTGTTTAATTGATTTCCCTGTCTTGGGAGATGTCTATGCAAGGTTAACTTTGGCAAGTTCCTGTGTCCTTGACTCCTATGATGGAAATCCTGTCCCCCAGTTGAAACCCATCTATGCTTCTCATGCCCTAATTGTTATAAGTGTATAGGAAAGCAAAAGTAGATTAAGTATGTCATGAGTTCTCACTAGTCGGGTGGTAGTAGTCATTGCCTGGGTGATCTGGCGAGTGTTTCTGTTTCATGGCTTCCAATCAAGCCCTGAATGCTTACAACAACAACCCTAACATAAAAACGATACCAGCTAACATTTTACTGAGTGTTTATGATGTGCTGGATACTGTTCTAAGACCTTTACACATATTAACGCACTAATTCTCTGGATAAGTCCATCAGGTAGTGTGATCGCTAGTCTCCAAGGTAATCCCCAATGATCCCCATGTCCTGGAATTCACATCATTGGGTGATCTCTTCCAACATTGTATCAGGGTGGGTCTGTGTGGCCAACAGTGTAGGACACAAAGGATGGTATGTCCCATTCAAGATTAAACTACAGAAAATTGCAGCTTCCTTCTCGGAGAGGAACTGAGGACTTGATCCAACAGCCCATAATGAATGAATGTTGCCAACAACCACGTGAGGGAGCTAGGAAGCGGATCATCTTATTTCAAAGGATTGCAGCCCTGGCTGACAGCTCTACTGCACCCTCACAAGAGACCCGGGACAGAACTTCCCAGCTAAGGCTCTGTTGATTCCTGATTCACAGAAATGACTGGTTTATGTGCCAAGTTTTGGGGGTAAATAGTTACACAGCAATGGATAACAAATACAAATTGGTACTATTTTTTTATTTTTTTTTATTTTACGGAAGAACCAAGACACTGCCAGATATGTAACTTTCCCAAGCCGACCCTTAAATGATGAGTTGGGGTGGAAATTCCAGTCTGTCTGTACAGCCTGTCGCCTGTAGGCTAGATTGCCTCTGGGCATTTTTATAGATGTATATTGTGAGATCATCTGGGGTGCTCTTCAATGTGGAAGACGGGGTATAAATCTGTGGCCACTATGGGAAGAATAAGCTCCCTGCTCACTGTGGGTCAACTTTCTGCATCAAGGATGCTGTGTATGTAGGACTTTCGGCCAACTCAGGATCACTCTATAAATCTGTGACTTAAAGGGCTCAAGTGGACCTAAAGCCTGAGCTCACTAGGCCTCTCTCTCCAATATTTGGTGCCTGCCAAGGATGTGGAATTGTGTCAAGGATAAAGAGAATTTGTTTAAAACATGGGTTACACCTTTGAGAGAGCTTTGTTTAGTCACAGAGCTTGTTCTTGCTCCAAGCAGTGGGTTAAGTCCCATTTCATATTCTTTTCAAATTTGTATTAATTAATTCCTCCTCCCAGTGACCTCTGGATGTGTCAGATTAAAAGCTCTTGAGAGACTGAGGTCCCAGAAGAGATGTTAGACATTTAGAGAAGTTGTAGAATATTCATTCCAGAGACAATGCACACTCAGGCTCTTAGCCTTCAGTTTACCAAACCAAAGTGTGGTCCAAAATAAAAATACTGTTTGCAATAACAAGCCTTGTGTAACTTCACAATTTATCTAGCTCTTTTAACTTTTCAGAATACCTCCACATATTTTTTTTTTCCCTCAGAATATACTTATTCTGTCACAGATGGGAAAAAGTGACTCAGGAGGCCAATTGATTCCCTAAGGTCATACATTAATAGATTGTTTTTTGGTGCTTACTGTGTCTTCAAAGCACTTTGTACATATTAACTCATTTAATCCTAACAATAGCCCTGTGAGGTAGAGTCTACTCTCAGCCTCGTTTTTATAGATAAGAAAACTAAGACCCAGTTAATTAGCTTGATTTCATAGCAAAAAAGCCATGGATTGAGTCAGGATTTGAACTCAGGAAGTCTGACTCATGGAGGCTGCCTGCCTCCAAAGCCTTCCAGGTAACCAGCCCATGCTGGTTTTACTGGCCATTAGGTTTTACTGTAATTAATTCACAATATAGGCTGACATCTGAACCCAATTTTACCTTTTCAACTCTAATTTTATTGCCATGTCAAATATAAAATTTTATATCAGATGTTCATTTATTTGCAGGTGGAAACTTTTGTTTTAGAAAACGTAACGAGTTTATTTGTAAATATGGTCTATCTTTCCTGTTAAGTTGACTGCCATGTTTAATGGAATGACCTTCACATGATAGCATTGAAAAATGCAATCACCTGACTGTCATTTCTGAGTCCTGAGGGTGCCACACAGACCACAGAGCGTCCTGGGAGGTTCCAAGCCACATGTCATTGCCAGATGGACTATTGACTTCAGACTGCAAGTAGCTCCTGTCCTGGGGAGGGTAGGAGCTGGGAGGACCCCTTTTTCCTCTCTAGACTGGGACCTAAATGGAAATTACATTCAAGATCTTCTGTTTTCTTTCCCCAGGCCCCAGGCTGAATTTGACTCTCGAGGTCTCACCCCTCTAAGGGTGAGAACTGAGATCTGGGGCTGTCTGCTCATTGTCTATATTAGTCAGTTCTTCAGAGGGACAGAACGAATAGTGTGTGTGTGTGTGTGTGTGTGTGTGTGTGTGTGTGTGTGTGTGTGTATGAGTTTATCAGATTAAAAGCTGACACAATTACAAAGTGAAGTCCCATACTAGGCCATCTGCAAGCTGAGGAAAGGCAGAAGGCGGTAGTAGCCCAGTCCAAGTCCTAAAGCCTCAAAACTAGGGAAGCCTACAGTGCAGCCTTCCATCTGCGGCTAAAGGCCAGAGAGCCCCTGGGAGGCTTCTGGTCCAAGTTCCAGAGCCCAAAGGCTGAAGAGCCTGGAGTCTGATGTCCAAGGGCAGAAGGAGAGGAAGCAAGATCTCAGCGTGGAGAGACAGCAGGAGTGAGAGGGTGCAGCAAGCTGCTTACCCCCTTCTTCTACCTGCTTTGTTCCAACTGCACTGGCAGCCGATTGGATGGTGCCCACCCACGCTGAAGGTGGGTCTTTGACTCCCAGCCCACTGACTCAAATGCCAATCTCTTCTGGCAACACCCTCACAGACCCACCCAGAAACAATACTTTACCAGTCATCTAGGCATCCCTCAATCCAAGCAAGGTGACACCTAACCATCACATTGCCTTCAGCATTTGTTACTATTTTGTGTGATTGATCATTTCTGTATTACTTATAGGAGGCAGTATAGTGTCAGGGTTAAGAGACTGGGTTTAGGGTCAGCTGGCCTGGCTTTTTATTTCTGTTCTACAATTTCTTTTCCTAACAACTCTCCTTCTCTTCTGTGACTTGTGTGAGCTGAGTAGAAGCAGCATTGAACATGGCTTGAGCCCATTTCTCCTACCCAGTGTCAAAGGCTGGGCCTCATTACCCTTTGTGCTTTCTGACCTAAGAGGCCACCAACAGTTCTTACACTCTGAGGGAAGAGGGTCACAAGGGGAGAGTGGCTGGAAAATATTCCTATGTCTGCAGAAATACCATGACTACCAGTGCACACAGTACTCTAGTGCTTACGTTAGAAAACTTTCTCACATGTAGTTACATTGGATTCTCACAATTCCATCTACTAAGTAGGACAGTTGTCTTACCTATCCTAAAAGATTATCCTAAATGGTCTCACAGAGGTTTCAAGGCATGATGAAAGGGTAACACGAGAATTCTAATTCATGTCACACTGCTTTGCCCATTACCATGCTCTTTCAAGAGCTTTTCAGGACATTATAAAGATCTTACAGAGTACACAATCACTAGCTTGGAGCCCGATAATTTAAAGTTCACTGTAACGACAGAAACAACCATAATCAGATCAGCTTATAGTTACTGAATGCTTACTGTGTGCCAGGAACTGTGCTGAGAACTTCATGTGCATTATCTCCTTTAAGCTTAAAACAAGAACCCAGACAAGCTTTGCCCTTCAAAATGTGGTCCACAGGCCAGCAGCATGGGCATCGCCTGGAAGCTTGTTTGAAATGCAGACCTCAGGTCCCGCCCCAGACCTCCTGAATTAGAGCCTGCATTTTAACAAGAGACCAGGTGATTTATGTGCACATTAAAGTTTGAGATGTTATTCTGGCTTCTCTGTGAGGAACTGTCATAGCCCATTTTACAGAGGAGGAAAGGGAGGCTAAGAGAGATTTAAGTAACTTACATATTCATTTATCCAGTGGAGTAAAACGAGGTAACTTGCCTCAAAAGCCTTGCACATCACTACTGGTCACCTTCCTTCTTTGAACCTTAGCCTACACACCTGACGCATGGAAATAATTGTGTCTTAGAGCTTTGATGTCATTTCGTGAAATGCAAGAATCATGCAAATTGGCAGGCTCAGTGTTTGGCCCACAGATAAAGAAAAGCTTGATATATTTCCTGTAAAATAGTCTTTCTAATACTCACTTGTCAGTATTCCAAAACTTCTACCATAACGCCTGCAAAGGACTTAGCCAGAGTTTAACAAACGATGCTTATTATGTGTACAAGAATGAAAACCTGTGGTTGAGGACTGGACTGAGCAAGTATTTTTGCATGAATTTCCAGGCAAAGTGTGATTTCTGATTGTTTTCAAGGACAAAAACCCTTTCTGTACACACACGCGCACACACACACACGCACACACACACACATGCACTCCTGTTGCAAGAAACCTGGAGCGAGATAAGCGGGATCAGAAACATCATAACTACCCAGAGGCATCAGGCTTCTTTTGAAATTATTTGCTTAGCGGGAAGCAAGCTGGACCATGAGCAAATGTCAGTTTCTGTATTTTCTAGCAATATCTCCCAGCTATGGATGTGATTCTGGAAGTGTTTCAGCTTGAGTGAGTGAATGCCATTTTTTTGTTTAGGAGCAAACTATAGCTGGCTTGCAATCTGTAATACAATCTACACATTCTTAATTGCCCAAATTTTCTTCCCTGTGTCGTCTTATGTCATAAGGCCCCTTTTCTTTGTCACCAAGGAGACATCTTGGTTGGCACACACTGGGGCCAGGGGGTCACACAGGGACATGGCATACTGGGATCTGGCCATTGGGAGGCTTGCTGGTATCACGGGTGTGAGTGTGACCTCTGACTGATGAGCACTGGTCCCTCACCCACTCTTTGTACCCTTCTGCACCCTCCTCCTGGATTAAGCACCCTCCTGCTTTGTACACCTTTTCCTGGGGTGACCAGTGCCATTCCCCTTTCCTTGAATGCCTTACATTGTGTAGCTACTAAGTCTAGGGTTTCTGTTTTCATTGTTTTCCATTTACAGTGAGACAAGGGTACAGTGGCCAAGGCACCTCAGTTTAATAGACTGCCTAAGTTGAACTCCTGGCTCTGCAGCTGACTTAACTTTTTTGTGACTCGTTTCTTCTGTATTAGGTTGGTGCAAATGTAATTGCGGTTTTTACCATTACTTTCAATGGCAAAAACTGCAATTACTTTTGTCCCAACCCAGTAAAAGGGTAATAATAAAAATACCTACCTGCTTTATAGGGTTGTGACATTTTAGTCAAACTTAGAACAGTGCACACACAGTAAGTATTCAGTGATGCTCTTGGTACCTTTTTTTTTTCCCCAGAAAATCTGTGATCCGGTCAGGACAATTTTGTGTTCTCCTTTAACAGATGAATAATTTGGAGTCACCCAACTACAGGTTCATAATCCTTTGTGCCAAAAAACCCTGAAAACAAAAGGGAATTCTTTTTAAAAAGTAATTCCTTTGATGACCAGACTGACATGATGGTACTTGTAATCTTTCATCCCAGTTTGTGTAAATATTTATGTGTCACTGAAACGTAATGTATTTGGTTGTGGATGTGGCTACATGCACCGCTGGGGAGTTGGCGAAGTTCTCTGAGCCTCAGGCCGCTTGCCTGAAAAACAGGGTTAACGATTCCCCCCTCTTTGGATAGCTGGGGGATGAAATAAAGGAGTCTATAAAAAATGAGGAGACAGGGCCATCCCATTTCTCTTCTCCCAAAGGGAGACTAACGACAGCCAAGACTCATGGAAATAATTTAATATGACTGTGTCCTGAATGGGCCATTTAGTGTGTCTCTTGTGTAAACAATTGGGTTATACCATTAAGGTGTGCTAAGGCCAAGTTCTTAATTCTGCAGGCTCCCAGGCAAGCAGGGAAAGAGCCAAACACTGCTCTGCGCACCAGTCGACCCTGCAATCCTGCTTTCTTCCCCCTTTTCTTTTCTTTTTTTTTTTTTTTTTTCATGTTGAGTCTCTTAAGTCTCTTTATTGCTCAGAAGTCCCTGATCCCCTTTTGTTTTGTGCAATAACTTTTTTCCCAACATCATATTACTTGTCCTGTAAATTCCAGCAGTAGAGGATTTGTCTGGTTGTTCCTTGTGGTGTCATTTGAGTTCATCTTCTATTCCCCATGTTTTTGTAAATGGAAGGTAGAACCTTGAGTGGTTTAAGGTGTAATGTTTTTTTTAAAATTATTATTATACTTTAAGTTTTAGGGTATATGTGCACAACGTGCAGGTTAGTTACATATGTACACATGTGCCATGCTGGTGTGCTGCACCCATTAACTCGTCATTTAGCATTAGGTATATCTCCTAATGCTATCCCTCCCCCCTCCCACCACCCCACAACAGTCCCCAGAGTGTGATGTTTCCCTTCCTGTGTCCATGTGTTCTCATTGTTCAATTCCCATCTGTGAGTGAGAACATGCGGTGTTTGGTTTTTTGTCCTTGCGATAGTTTACTGAGAATGATGATTTCCAATTTCATCCATGTCCCTACAAAGGACATGAACTCATCCTTTTTTATGGCTGCATAGTATTCCATGGGGTATATGTGCCACATTTTCTTAATCCAGTCTATCATTGTTGGACATTTGGGTTGGTTCCAAGTCTTTGCTATTGTGAATAGTGCCGCAATAAACATACGTGTGCATGTGTCTTTAGAGCAGCATGATTTATAGTCCTTTGGGTATATACCCAGTAATGAGATGGCTGGGTCAAATGGTATTTCTAGTTCTAGATCCCTGAGGAATCGCCACACTGACTTCCACAAGGTTGAACTAGTTTATAGTCCCACCAACTGTGTAAAAGTGTTCCTATTTCTCCACATCCTCTCCAGCACCTGTTGTTTCCTGACTTCTTAATGATTGCCATTCTAACTGGTGTGAGATGATATCTCATTGTGGTTTTGATTTGCATTTCTCTGATGGCCAGTGATGGTGAGCATTTTTTCATGTGTCTTTTGGCTGCATAAATGTCTTCTTTTCAGAAGTGTCTGTTCATATCCTTCGCCTACTTTTTGATGGGGTTGTTTGTTTTTTTCTTGTAAATTTGTTTGAGTTCATTGTAGATTCTGGATATTAGCCCTTTGTCAGATGAGTAGGTTGCAAAAATTTTCTCCCATTTTGTAGGTTGCCTGTTCACTCTGATGGTAGTTTCTTTTGCTGTGCAGAAGCTCTTTAGTTTAATTAGATCCCATTTGTCAATTTTGGCCTTTGTTGCCATTGCTTTTGGTGTTTTAGACATGAAGTTCTTGCCCGTGCCTATGTCCTGAATGGTAATGCCTAGGTTTTCTTCTAGGGTTTTTATGGTTTTAGGTGTAATGTTTAAGTCTTTAATCCATCTAGAATTAATTTTTGTATAAGGTGTAAGGAAGGGATCCAGTTTCAGCTTTCTACATATGGCTAGCCAGTTTTCCCAGCACCATTTATTAAATAGGGAATCCTTTCCCCATTGCTTGTTTTTCTCAGGTTTGTCAAAGATCAGATAGTTGTAGATATGTGGTGTTATTTCTGAGGGCTCTGTTCTGTTCCATTGATCTATATCTCTGTTTTGGTACCAATACCATGCTGTTTTGGTTACTGTAGCCTTGTAGTATAGTTTGAAGTCAGGTGGCGTGATGCCTCCAGCTTTGTTCTTTTGGCTTAGGATTGACTTGGTGATGCGGGCTCTTTTTTGGTTCCATATGAACTTTAAAGTAGTTTTTTCCAATTCTGTGAAGAAAGTCATTGGTAGCTTGATGGGGATGGCATTGAATCTATAAATTACCTTGGGCAGTATGGCCATTTTCACGATATTGATTCTTCCTACTCATGAGCATGGAATATTCTTCCATTTCTTTGTATCCTCTTTTATTTCATTGAGCAGTGGTTTGTAGTTCTCCTTGAAGAGGTCCTTCACGTCCCTTGTAAGTTGGATTCCTAAGTATTTTATTCTCTTTGAAGCAATTGTGAATGGGAGTTCACTCATGATTTAGCTCTCTGTTTGTCTGTTATTGGTGTATAAGAATGCTTGTGATTTTTGTACATTGATTTTGTATCCTGAGACTTTGCTGAAGTTGCTTATCAGCTTAAGGAGATTTTGGGCTGAGACAGTGGAGTTTTCTAGATATACAATCATGTCATCTGCAAACAGGGACAATTTGACTTCCTCTTTTCCTAATTGAATACCCTTTATTTCCTTCTCCTGCCTAATTGCCCTGGCCAGAACTTCGAACACTATGTTGAATAGGAGTGATGAGAGAGGGCATCCCTGTCTTATGCCAGTTTTCAAAGGGAATGGTTCCAGTTTTTGCCCATTCAGTATGATATTGGCTGTGGGTTTGTCATAGATAGCTCTTATTATTTTGAGATATGTCCCATCAATACCTAATTTATTGAGAGTTTTTAGCATGAAGGGTTGTTGAATTTTGTCAAAGGCCTTTTCTGCATCTATTGAGATAATCATGTGGTTTTTGTCTTTGGTTCTGTTTATATGCTGGATTACATTTATTGATTTGCATATATTGAACCAGCCTTGCATCCCAGGGATGAAGCCCACTTGATCATGGTGGATAAGCTTTTTGATGTGCTGCTGGATTCGGTTTGCCAGTATTTTATTGAGGATTTTTGCATCAATGTTCATCAAGGATATTGGTCTAAAATTCTCTTTTTTGGTTGTGTCTCTGCCCGGCTTTGGTATCAGGATGATGCTGGCCTCATAAAATGAGTTAGGGAGGATTCCCTCTTTTCCTATTGATTGGAATAGTTTCAGAAGGAATGGTACCAATTCCTCCTTGTACCTCTGGTAGAATTCGGCTGTGAATCCATCTGGTCCTGGACTCTTTTTGGTTGGTAAACTATTGATTATTGCCACAATTTCAGCTCCTGTTATTGGTCTATTCAGAGATTCAACTTCTTCCTGGTTTAGTCTTGGGAGAGTGTATGTGTCGAGGAATTTATCCATTTCTTCTAGATTTTCTAGTTTATTTGCATAGAGGTGTTTGTAGTATTCTCTGATGGTAGTTTGTATTTCTGTGGGATCGGTGGTGATATCCCCTTTATCATTTTTTATTGCGTCTATTTGATTCTTCTCTCTTTTTTTCTTTATTAGTCTTGCTAGTGGTCTATCAATTTTGTTGATCCTTTCAAAAAACCAGTTCCTGGATTCATTAATTTTTTGAAGGGTTTTTTGTGTCTCTATTTCCTTCAGTTCTGCTCTGATTTTAGTTATTTCTTGCCTTCTGCTAGCTTTTGAATGTGTTTGCTCTTGCTTTTCTAGTTCTTTTAATTGTGATATTAGGGTGTCAATTTTGGATCTTTCCTGCTTTCTCTTGTGGGCATTTAGTACTATAAATTTCCCTCTACACACTGCTTTGAATGTGTCCCAGAGATTCTGGTATGTTGTGTCTTTGTTCTCATTGGTTTCAAAGAACATCTTTATTTCTGCCTTCATTTCGTTATTTACCCAGTAGTCATTCAGGAGCAGGTTGTTCAGTTCCCATGTAGTTGAGCAGTTTTAAGTGAGTTTCTTAATCCTGAGTTCTAGTTTGATTGCACTGTGGTCTGAGAGACAGTTTGTTATAATTTCTGTTCTTTTACATTTGCTGAGGAGAGCTTTACTTCCAAGTATGTGGTCAATTTTGGAATAGGTGTGGTGTGGTGCTGAAAAAAATGTATATTCTGTTGATTTGGGGTGGAGAGTTCTGTAGATGTCTATTAGGTCCGCTTGGTGCAGAGCTGAGTTCAATTCCTGGATATCCTTGTTAACTTTCTGTCTCATTGATCTGTCTAATGTTGACAGTGGGGTGTTAAAGTCTCCCATTATTATTGTGTGGGAGTCTAAGTCTCTTTGTAGGTCACTCAGGACTTGCTTTATGAATCTGGGTGCTCCTGTATTGGGTGCATATATATTTAGGATAGTTAGCTCTTCTTGTTGAATTGATCCCTTTACCATTATGTAATGGCCTTCTTTGTCTCTTTTGATCTTTGTTGGTTTAAAGTCTGTTTTATCAGAGACTAGGATTGCAAACCCTGCGTTTTTTTGTTTTCCATTTGCTTGGTAGATCTTCCTCCATCCCTTTATTTTGAGCCTATGTGTGTCTCTGCACGTGAGATGGGTTTCCCGAATACAGCACACTGATGGGTCTTGACTCTTTATCCAATTTGCCAGTCTGTGTCTTTTAATTGGAGTATTTAGTGCATTTACATTTAAAGTTAATATTGTTATGTGTGAATTTGATCCTGTCATTTTGATGTTAGCTCGTTATTTTGCTCGTTAGTTGATTCAGTTTCTTCCTAGTCTCGATGGTCTTTACATTTTGGCATGATTTTGCAGTGGCTGGTACCAGATGTGCCTTTCCATGTTTAGTGCTTCCTTCAGGAGCTCTTTTAGGGCAGGCCTGGTGGTGACAAAATCTCTCAGCATTTGCTTGTCTGTAAAGTATTTTATTTCTCCTTCACTTATGAAGCTTAGTTTTGCTGGATATGAAATTCTGGGTTGAAAATTCTTTTCTTTAAGAATGTTGAATATTGGCCCCCACTCTCTTCTGGCTTGTAGAGTTTCTGCCAAGAGATCCGCTGTTAGTCTGATGGGCTTCGCTTTGTGGGTAACCTGACCTTTCTCTCTGGCTGCCCTTAACATTTTTTCCTTCGTTTCAACTTTGGTGAACCTGACAATTATGTGTCTTGTAATTGCTCTTCTCGAGGAGTATCTTTGTGGCGTTCTCTGTATTTCCTGAATGTGAATGTTGGCCTGCCTTGCTAGATTGGGGAAGTTCTCCTGGATAATATCCTGCAGAGTGTTTTCCAACTTGGTTCCATTCTCCCCGTCACTTTCAGGTACACCTGTCAGACGCAGATTTGGTCTTTTCACATAGTCCCATATTTCTTGGAGGCTTTGTTCATTTCTTTTTATTCCTTTTTCTCTAAACTTCCCTTCTCGCTTCATTTCATTCATTTGATCTTCCATCACTGATACCCTTTCTTCCAGTTGATTGCATCGGCTCCTGAGGCTTCTGCATTCTTCACATAGTTCTCGAGCCTTGGCTTTCAGCTCCATCAGCTCCTTTAAGCACTTCTCTGTATTGGTTATTCTAGTTATACATTCATCTAAATTTTTTTCAAAGTTTTCAACTTCTTTGCCTTTGGTTTGAATTTACTCCTGTAGCTTGGAGTAGTTTGATCGTCTGAAGCCTTCTTCTCTCAACTCGTCAAAGTCATTCTCTATGCAGCTTTGTTCCGTTGCTGGTGAGGAAGTGCGTTCCTTTGGAGGAGGAGAGGCGCTCTGCTTTTTAGAGTTTCCAGTTTTTCTATTCTGTTTTTTCCCCATCTTTGTGGTTTTATCTACTTTTGGTCCTTGATGATGGTGATGTACAGATGAGTTTTTGGTGTGGATGTCCTTTCTGTTTGTTAGTTTTCCTTCTAAGAGACAGGACCCTCAGCTGCAGGTCTGTTGGAATTTGCTAGAGGTCCACTCCAGACCCTGTTTGCCTGAGTATCAGCAGCGGTGTCTTCAGAACTGCGGATTTTTGTGATCCATGAATGCTGCTCTCTGATCGTTCCTCTGGAAGTTTTGTCTCAGAGGAGTACCCGGCCGTGTGAGGTGTCAGTCTGCCCCTAATGGGGGGTGCCTCCCAGTTAGGCTGCTCTGGGGTCAGGGGTCAGGGACCCACTTGAGGAGGCAGTCTGCCTGTTCTCAGATCTCCAGCTGCATGCTGGGAGAACACCTGCTTTCCTCAAAGCTGTCAGACAGGGACATTTAAGTCTGCAGAGGTTACTGCTGTCTTTTTGTTTGTCTGTGCCCTACCCCCAGAGGTGGAGCCTACAGAGGCAGGCAGGCCTCCTTGAGCTGTGGTGGGCTCCACCCAGTTCGAGCTTCCCGGCTGCTTTATTTACCTAAGTGAGCCT
The DNA here is from genome assembly GCF_000001405.40 of Homo sapiens. Taxonomy (NCBI): domain Eukaryota; kingdom Metazoa; phylum Chordata; class Mammalia; order Primates; family Hominidae; genus Homo; species Homo sapiens. Next base: position 47,712,602 of record NC_000013.11, on the reverse strand, counting down.
GGGCAATGGCGGGCACCCCGCCCCCCCCCCCAGCCTTGCTGCTGCCTTGCAGTTTGATCTCAGACTGCTGTGCTAGCAATCAGTGAGACTCCATGGGTGTAGGACCCTCCGAGCCATGTGCGGGATATAATCTCCTGGTGCGCCGCTTCCTAAGCCTGTCAGAAAACCACAGTATTCGGGTGGGAGTGGCCCGATTTTCCAGGTGCCGTCTGTCACCCCTTTCCTTGACCAGGAAAGGGAACTCCCTGACCCCTTGCACTTCTCGAGTGAGGCAATGCCTCACCCTGCTTCGGCTGGCTCACGGTGCGCTGCACCCACTATCCTGCGCCCACTGTCTGGCACTCCCTAGTGAGATGAACCCGGTACCTCAGATGGAAATGCAGAAATCACCCATCTTCTGCGTCGCTCATGCTGGGAGCTGTAGACTGGAGGTGTTCCTATTCGGCCACCTTGGCTCCTCCTCCTCCTTCCCCCTTTTCTACCGAGCACTTATCTAATATATTCTGATCTGTTGAGTTATCTTCTTCTTGTCCCTCTCCCCTCATTGGAATGTAAGCCCTCTGGGGAGGGGTTTCTCAGTCTTGGTCATTACCATGTTCCCAGAGTTTAGAACAGTGCCTGGCAATCCACTAATTGTGAATAATGAATGTGTGAAATAAATGAGTTAAGGAGCGGAAAAGGGAAACTCATCCTGGAAGACCCATATTCACTTTATACGATGGTGTCTGGATAGCCAGATTCCACCACTTTTCCCCACTTTGAAATGTTTTGAGGAGCTTGGAAATCCTGCTGGCATCATGGGAAAGCAAACCCTAGACTTCTCCAGCCCCAAAAGTGTAGACTTGAGAAAAATGCATGAGGCAAAACATCATATCCCTAAAGCAGTTTCCTCTAGTTAGGGGATGAGGGAGGAAGGAGGGCATGGGGTGGGAAGTGTTAGGATTATGGGACTTAATTATTTTTGTAAAATATTGTTACTTTTTAGAAAAAGAATCACAGGTAAATATAGCAAAAGTGTTTAGATTTGATAAAGCTTGGAGGAGGATGCACAGATATTTAGTATATGATTCATCACAGTTTTCTCATTGTTGGAAAGACTTTTATATTATAACATACTATGCAGAAATAGAGATTCTGTAAGATCCAGGAGAGTGAGACTCCTTTCTGTGGATAGGGATGATTTCACTGAGAGATGGGTGGAATTCACACATGGACACTTGCAGAAAGAGGTGACTGGGAGAGAGAGAAGTAGGAACTGCAGGGCAGGGCAGCCAGGTAGGATCTGTGGAGTATCCATGAATGATCCTCTTGTGGAGTGTTCATTTCCTTGGGGACTTTCCCTCTGGCTTCTGGAAGTAGTTAATGAAAACAGCCTCTCCTTCTCTCCATGTTGTAATTCCTTTTTAAAACTTGTCCTAACCCTTTAGTGAAGAAATTCATGAAGGTATAGCTTCTTGCAACAGCCGCGGGGAAATGGAAGACTCACTCCTATCCTGGAGAGGAAGCCTCATCCTGTTGAGTTGACAGTCAGGATTTCTGCACATGGCCATTAGTGCTGTGAAAAGTTGCTCATGCTGGGGGTTAGGAGGGATGGAGGATGAAGTCTTGATACTGAGAACAGCTCCTCAGGAGCCACTCACAGCTGTATAAAGCCTGTGCTTATCCTTATATGTTAGGAGGCTGGAATCTGAGCAAGAAAGGGAAGTGGACATCTGGATTTTACATGTGTGGTAGATGTGTAATAGAATGTCAATGGAAGGTCAATCTCCAAAATTTGGTTGAAGTCTGTATTAGTCTGTTTTCACGCTGCTGTTAAAGACATACCTGAGACTGGGTAATTTATAAAGAAAAAGAAGTTTAATGGACTCACAGTTCCATGTGGCTGGGAGGCCTCACAATCATGACAGAAGGTGAAAGGCACATCTTACATGGTGACAGACAAGAGAGAAATGATAGCCAAGTGAAAGGGGAAACCCCTTATAAAATCATCAGATCTCATGAGACTTCTTCACTTCCATGAGAACAGTATGGAGGAAACTGCCCCCATGATTCAATTATCTCCCACTGAGTCCCACCCACAACATACAGGAATTATGGGAGCTACAATTCAAGATGAGATTTGGGTGAGGACACAGCCAAACCCTATCAAAGTCCAAAACCTTAGACTAGGGGATAAGTATCCTCACATTTGGAAAGACAAGTAATAGACACATCCAAGCCAGTCTTACTAAAAGATAGAAAATCTGATCCAGCAAATAGCACCCCCAACCTGGCCGCATTTTCAGCTTATAAAGAAATGAAAAGAAATTCGAATGGGTTTTATTGGAAGGAGTCCACATAAATAGAGATCTCTGCCCTTTTTCTCAGGGTGTTTCCAACAACTCTTCCCCTCCTCCAGCAAGTGAGACCTCCCAGGAGGACCCCTGTAGAGACTGGCAGTGCCCGCAGCCTACAGAAGGGAGGACTGGTTCTTCAGTCTTGGCGGGAGGTCTGTTGGGGAGTGTCACCATCTGTATGGAGCATGGAGAGGGAGTTCCTGGGAAACCTCATGTGTCCACAGATGTGACATTAAGACTGAAGCCTGTGTCCTGCAAGTTCTGAAGGCAGGAGGGTATCTGAAGTAGCCCACAGAGGCAGAGGGTGGGTGGGCTGTACCTGGGCGGATTTATAGCAATGCTGATTTCCCAAGGACCAAAGTAACAGGGCCATCTGGATGAGATCCTTTCCAAAGATCACCTACAGTTAGATCTTTTGGGGGTTTGACTGCTGTGGATAGGAGATGGAGGTGATGCAGGATTTTTGCTCCTTAGTTCAGCTAAATGTGTGTTCTTGTCTCACAGCTAGAAAAAATTAGGCATGCAGAAACATTGAATGGTGAGAAGGATGGAATTTATTAAGCGAAAAAAAGCTCTTGGCAAAAGAGGGGAGGTCCTGCCAACAGGTTTTCACCTCCCTAATTGAATATCAGGGCTACCACACACGCGCTAAAGAGGCCACTCCTCCCTTGCATAAGGCATGAATTCCTGGTGGCTCCATCCCATTCCCCCAGTGCTCAGGCAGGCACGCCCTGGCAAGCCATAGATAGTATTGGAAAAGGCAGCATTTGATTGGTTGAAAGGCCTTATTCAGAAAGAATCAATTGGGAAAGGGTGGACAAACAGGGGCAGAAGTTTTCCCTCTGGGTTGCAGGTTTCATCCGGAACCAGCACTCTGGTCTTTCAGCTTTCAGGCTGCTTTAAGCTTGAAGCGGGGGTCTCACCCGAGACCCTTCCCTAGCTGCCTAGGCATTTGTCTGCCTCCTGCCTTTATTAGAGCAAGATTGAAAGAGGCTGGCCAGAGAGCCCCTTGCCCAGGTCTGAGAGCTCAACACAGCTGCGGGGAACCTTGGAAGTATGGACGTCTTCATCACTTGAGGGCTGATGTCCAGCTGGGGTGATCTCAGGGGGAGTTTCTGTAGTTTGCTCCTCTTCCCCTTTGGCTCTATGAGGCTGAGAGAGAAGGAAGATAGAGAAGGAAAGGCAGAAAAGACATGAGAGACCAGTTTGGGCACCCTTATACCTACTGTAGTTGTCTGACCTGCAGGCTAGGCCTGGGTTAAAGGGGAGGAGAAAGTTGTAAATGTGATCTTGGTGTTTTGATATGACTCTACTGGACTTTCAATATCTAAGAGTGAGTCTTAAAGTGAATGAAAGTGGTGGGAGCTGCCTGAGCTCTTGTCCAGGGATGGAACAGAAAGCTTTGACGTAGCAGACCAGCAATGGGAGAAAAAAGAAGTGTTTCCTGGTTGTACCTTGTTGTGACCATCTCATGTAATAAGCCACACAGAACCTGATATGTTGCTGTAAATGGCAAATTCTTGGTAAGTGCTAAGTGAAAGGCAGTTTTGTGATCATCCTTTTTATCTTCCCTGTGTATCAAGTGAGTCAGAACTAAATCACCACTTTGCAGACACAGAGGGCACGAGGTAACAAGAGTTAAGCAATGCCTGACAACCAAAAATCCAAGAATGTCAGTAATCAAATCATACTTTAAAGTTCACCCTCTGACCCACTTGCCTGGGAAAATGCCAAGGAAATAAACAGGAAAGACGAAGTCTCTTAATACACAATACGCATTTGTATTGAACAAATGTGCTGTCCCTCCCAGGGAGCAGGATGATGTTGACACACCTTGAGTGACATTTCCCAGATGCTGTCCCTGAAAAGCCCCCTTTATAAAGCCTTCAAGACATTTCAGTAAACTGGGGAAGGAGTTGTGGTTTTCAATGGTCCATAGGTCATGGGAATAGCAGGGTGTGAATCCATTCCTGCTCTTCTTGGCTTTGGTGTGGGATTAGCATAATTCCATCTTTTTGTAATCCTAAATCATGCCATTTCTCCACGTCTGCATCTTATAAGTAGAGAAGAGCCTACGTACAAACTCTCAGGGTAAGGAGGATCTGGAAGGCATGACTATGCTAGTGAATATCAATTTTCATGACATGAACTGGCCTGGGGAAAGCATAGATGATTGAAATACACACATAATCCAAAAATGTCATCTTAGTCAATTGCATTAATCCTTACCAGCCATCTTCACTGAGACCTTAAGTTCTTAATAGACTAGTTTGAGTTTTATTTTTTTTTCTTCTTGCCAACCTAATACTTGGGGATAATGACAAGCACTGAAATGAAAAGAAAGTAGGTAAAATGATGGAACAGGGTAGTCGAATTTGTAAACTGGATCATCAGCCTTTGAATGCTTTGGAGTCAGCTATAAATACTGTTTTGTGATTATGTGTAAGCATCTGGGTGATTTAAACCCACAGTCTGTGAAATGTGACAGGATAGATGTACCCTGCACCTGTTTTTCTTCCTCTTTGGATTTGTTAATAATGAAGCTTATACAACTCAAGAAAATTACCACTGACAGAATCACAGGAGGCTCAGTGCTTTGGGCGGTATAAATTTTAGGCGATTGAGTCTGCATGTGAAACAAACCTTTGTTGGGTCAGACCACTTCCTGGAATAGAACACTATTGAGATTTGCCATGATTGATTCTGAGAATCTTGGGGTCACTTTCTCTAGTATTGTTAGAAAAAAAAAAACCCACACATAAAATCAATACAGTCAGGAATAGCATCTACCGAACAGTTTAACATGTCCTTCTCTCCTTTAGGAATTAGCTTATTTTTCATTCACAGGAATACTTTGCTCTTTTGAATGCTTACCCTACCTTTATTCGAGCTGACTGGTATTCAGCTGCAGCCCAGGGACCTGCCTGAGCCTGTGTACAGCTCTCTGCCCCCACTGAGACCTCCAAATACTGTCTGCTCCTGATTACCTTAATTCATATATATACCCCCATTCATTTCATTCATTTGCCATATACCCCCCAATCATTTCATTCATTTATTATATATCTTATTTATTTATTTACTTTTTGAGATGGAGTCTTGCTCTGTCACCCAGGCTGGAGTGCAGTGGCATGATCTCAGCTCACTGCAAACTCTGCCTCCCAGGTTCAAGCCATTCTCCAGCCTCAGCCTCCCGAGTAGCTGGGACTACAGGTGCATGACACGTGTCCAGCTAATTTTTGTACTTTTACTAGAGACGGGGTTTCACCATGTTGGTCAGGATGGCCTTGAACTCCTGACCTCAGGTGATCCACCCACCTTGGCCTCCCAAAGTGCTGGGATTACAGGCGTGAGACACCATGCCTTGCCTCTTGTTCATTTAATCCATTGTTATACATCTTGCTCATTTTGTTCATTTGCTGTATATCTCCTTGTTTAGCTCATTGATTTGTCATTCAGCTCTGCTCATTTGCTGGGGCAGGGCTGGCCAATGGGAATAGAAAAAGCTTCAGGACAGAAGAAATGACAGGAACCTTGTCTCCTTACAACGAAGACTGAATGAATGTGGGAAAACCTCAATCAAATCCAGGGCAGTCTCACTATCCAAGGAACCAGGTTGAACTTTAAAAGGGCCAGGGTACCCCAATCCTGTCTAAAATATGGGTTTGGTTTCCAAGTAAGAAGAACCAGTAGCTGGTTACAACTCTCAAGGGAATTGACAAGTACTAGGCAAAGTATATGAGGTTGCCTGGCTCACTGGTTGGAACTGAGGACCACTGCTTGAGTCCCCTCTCTTTGGAGTGGTGGTAGGTGGTTGGGGGAAGGGGGGATTAAGATGGTAGCAGGTTCTGGTCAAGGTAGGAACACCCTGTGGAATTGGAACAATGCAGAAAAGCCATAACCTTATGCTGGTATTGCACTTAGAACGCTCTGCTTCTAGATATTCAGATTTGAGGTAAGAGATAGCTAAGAATTTTTCAATTTGATGCTGGACTGGACTTTACTGCTTCATAGTTAAGCAATCAGATGACTGATCTTAGTCTATTTTCAGTAGCCAGAGTTGGGTGACGCTTCTTGAGGACAGGCTCTGTGCCTTATTCACCCTCCTATGTGTTTCAGCACCTCTCACTAGGCATTGGGTATAGTCAACATGTCAAGGCAACATTTGAATATGTATTTGATTGTTTTGATATTGAGCTTTTCTCTATCAACCTTATCTATTTTTTTTTCTCATTTCTATAGACTTTGTGGTTAGAAAGACCTGGATTTCGATTCAAGTTGTGTTAGTTAATAGCTGCAAGACTTCAGGCAAGTTACCTTCTCTGAGCCTCCTTACTCACCTCTGAATTGTGGATGACACAGCTATATCTTAGCATTATTGTGAAGATGCAGTAAAGTAGAAAGTATAACATACCTAAGGGTGCTAACAAGGAGGTGCTGAATCTTTTGCTGAATCTCCTTACTGTCCCGGACCATTGCGAGACCCTCCCTTAGTGGTTAGTGTGCCTCTTCATGCATCACTCTAAACTATTGTTTTTATCATAAGATGTATTATCTTTATTTCCTAGTAAAAAAAAAAAACAAGTTAATTTATGCATGGATATAGGTCTGGAGTTCAGCATAGCCAGGATTCAAATCCCATTCTTTCTGACTCATATGCCCACAGACTCTTTTTTTCTCTTATTTCTCTCTCTGTTGCAATTAGCAAGATTCTAGCATTAACTGTATTTTATTTTACTGTGGCACTTTGAAAATTGGATCAAGTTTTTGCAGTTTTGTATTCTCGCAGAATCACTTATGATAAACACAAAGCAGACAAAACAAAATGCTAAATTGCTGTGGTTATGTTTTGCTGACTCAATATTCCATTCCTCAACTTGCAGAAATTGGTTTCCTTTGTGCATACGTCTGCACTTTCACATATACCCACGTGTGGTCAGCTGAAAAATGACTCCTCGAAAGATATTCATATCAAACTCCTGGCAGCTATGAATGTGACTTTATTTGGAAAAAGGGTCTTTGCAGGTGTAATTAAATGAAGGATGTTGAGATAAGGTGATTATTTGGGATTGCTCAGGTTGGCCCTAATTCGAATGATGAATGTCTTTATGAGAGAACGGCAGAGGGAGATTTGAGACAGATAGGAGTGAAAACACAGAGAGGAGGAGGAGGCAACGTGACCATGGAATAAGACATTGGAGTGAAGTAGCCACAAGCCAAGGAATGCCTAAAGCCACCAAAAGCTGGAAGACGCAGGAAAGGAGCCTCCTGGAGAGATTTCTGAGGGAGCACAGCCCCACCGATGCCATGATTTCAGCCTTCTGGTTCCCAGAATTGTGAAAGAGTAAATTTCTGTTGTTTCAAGTGGCCAAGTTGGTGGTAATTTGCTACTGAAACCCCAGGAAGGTAATATACCATGTTTTTATCTGTATATGATAAATATAATTATAAGAAATTATATCTCTTGAGGACCTACCCTCTTCTGTGATTTCTATCTCGACATTGCTCCAAGCTTTGAAGCAACTATCAGCTTTGTTTCTTATCTTAACTAAGATATAAATCTTAATGCAGCAGCTGCCTCAGCTGGTAGTGTAGCTGCAGCGTCTCCGCTAACCCATCTTGAATAGAGCAAGGTCAGATGACTTCGAGTGGAGTTTGGAGAGTTTGGAAAACTGGGTCTTGAAGACCCAAGGTCAGCTTTTTTGCCTGTAATCATTTGCTTAGAGGAAGGCAGAAAGGTGAGGTCAGAATTTCCATTAAATATGGAAAATATTAATTAGGGAAATGGGCAAAGAAGATTGCCTCATTACCTGGCAAATTAATTTTAGCTCACCAGCAACATGGTACCACTAGATTTGAAGATCCTGCCAATGAGTAGTTTAATACATTCTTTGCAAGGAGGTGACAACTGCCACAGTGAAGAGTATGCATCATTTTAAAATGAAAGTAAATTCCTGTAGAGTACTATTGAGGTAAAAATCAGAGTGATCTCTTAACGTCTAGAAATGAATAAAATGACCAAGGGTTATGTGTAAGTGATTTGTAGTGAATAATTGCAGACTTAAGATGGAAAATGAAATAGATTAAATCTTAAAGACTTGAGACAAGGATTCTGTTTCTGAAGCGAATGCGGTGCAGTATCTGTATCTTACTAGTGAGGAGAGAAAGAAGAATGGCATTCTGATGAAAGAAACCTGTCCACAGCGATGAGTTCTCTAAGGGCCTATTTTCATTGTCAGAAAATCCAAGAGAAAAATTATGTTGCAAGGGCACAGAATTAATCTTTCTCTGAACAGCAACAATAACAAAAATGCCATTAAAATATATAGATTTACACCTGGAAGTCAATCTGTTCAAAAGGATGCAGTTCCTCTTTGAGTGTCAGGTGAGTAGGGACTCACACATGAATTAAAAAATCTTCCTGGTTACAAGAGCTGTGGAAGTTGGGTTTGATTTCAGGTCAGAGTTGTTGGTCACTCAGAGGTGGCCTAGCTCTGTGCTGCAGGAAGGGCAAATTAATTCTGGTGAGCAAAAAATAGAAGTGGAGATGTTCCTGTTCTTCCCCATTTTGTCACAATTTTATAACTTCTCTATTTTAACTGTAATATCCATCATAAATTCTATTTTTTCATGGCTGATACTGGGTCAGAGACATCACACAACTGTCCCTATGGCTCAGGTCCCTTCCTCTCTCTCTCTTTCTTTCTTTCTTTTTCTTTTCTTTCTTTGTTTCTTTTTTTTTTTTAAATAAGTCCCTATCATTATCATAGTGCTTGAATGAAAGGTAAAAAAAGAATATAGAGGGCAACAGTCCTTTCCCCCCAACTGTTAATGCCTACATGTAGTTTTCTAGGGAAATAGATAAAAAAGAATGTGTAATTTTTGGAAATCAGCTATTCAGTGGCAAATATAAGGCATGATTCTTCTTTTCATGTAAATATAAGAATTTTAAAAAAGTACCAAGAAAGAAAACTAAAATAAGGAAAGCAGTGAGTGTTCTCTCTTGGAGATTCCTATCACTATCACATCTGGGTTATCTGAGACTCCTGGACAAGGTTTTATTCATGTTGGGTGTATATTATCATTGTTGTGTAACAAACTAGCTTAAGACTATCATCTTCAAATAGCAGACATTTATTATATCTGAGTTTCTCTAGATCAGAAACCAAGAAGCGGCTTGGCTGGTAGTTCTGTCTCAGAGTCTGACCTGGGGTTGTTGTGAAGTTGTTGGCTAGGGCCGTAGTCACCTCAAGGCTCGACCGTGGGAGGATCTGTTTCCAACCTCATTCACGCAGTTGCTGGCTCTTGGCAGAATGGGCAGTTAGCAGTGGCTGTAGCCAGGTTGGCCTTGGTGAGTGGAAGTCCATGTTGCTGAGCCCATGCATAACCTCCATTCTTGCCTCCATGGCCTCTTTGTGAACCAAGTGGGCAATGACAGGAATGGCAGGGAAGGAGGCTGACTAACCTCCACAGACTGGCCCTCCAACCCACCTGATTATTATAATCCTTCCCTGAGGTCACTTTTTAATGAGCATTCATGAGGGACACAAATATCTTTACACTCTACTCATTTGAACATATCTCTCTACATACTTCTTTCCTAGACTTCCTAGCCACCAGTTTTCTAGTTGTGTTTCTTTCAAGTCTCTGACCATCCCGCCAAACAATTTATTAGCCACAGCTCATAAATTGGTATAGACGTGTATCTTTGGGCATCTCTCTTTCCTGAAAAGTGAACAATCTGGTGCATTGCTTGAAGTTCAGCCCACTGGAAGAACCTCCCTTCACCTTCTGGGTTTTTCCAGATTGGGACTGTAATATTGCAACTCTCCACTTTGGTTGGTAACTGCATATTGCGCAGAACTATGTGTAATCCAAGCCTTAGATTTTTTTCTTCAATCAAATGATCATAGAGAACTCCCTAAGAGGCCATAGATATTGTGTGTGTGTGTGTGTGTGTGTGTGTGTGTGTGTGTGTGTGTGTGTGTGAGAGAGAGAGAGAGAATATAATGTATCATGATTGAGGCCATGGGCATCTGGATCATTTCTTGTCAGACTTGTGTCTAAAGACCTGCTTAAGCCTGACCTCATAGTGCTGCTGTGCATGCCCATCTCTATAACTGGGTGAGTTAGAACACACCCAGTTCATGATGCGCAGTTCAGGTTTAATGTTAACTTGATATCCTATGGACAAGTATTCAGTCTCTACCAATGCCCAGCAGCAAACCAAATGTTGTTTCTCAAGATCAGTGTAATTATCTTCAGAGGTTGGAATAACTTTGTTCCAAAATCCTAACGATCTTCACTAAAATTCATGTATAGGGGCCTGCCAAAGGCTTCAAACAGCATCTTTATGGGCCACTGCCACTTCAAGCACCACCAGATCTGCTGAGTTGTACAGGCCATGTAGCAGAGTACCTTGCATGGCAGCCTGGGCCTGTTGCAGAGCCCTCGCTTATTTTGAGCACCACTCAAAACTGGCAGCTCCTATGGATCACTTGGTAAGTGGGTTGAGGTATACATTGCCCCTCAAATCAAAAGAGGGCTAATAGGTGTTATACTTCTTTCTTATTGGCAGGGAGGACCAAGTGCAGCAACTGTCTTTCTCTTGGAAAGCCTATCTCAACATTCCCCAGACAAGTGGGCCTCTAGAAATTTCACTGAGGTGGCAGGCCCTGGAATTGTTGTGGAATTTATTTTCTATTCTTTGGTCTATTAGTATCTTATCAGTATAGTTAGAGTAGTTGCTATTCCCTGATCACCAGGACCAATCAACATCACATCATCAATGTAACGGACATCCTGTGGAGGGGAAAGGCAGTCAAGGTCCCTGCAAACTTGATCATGACGTAGGTCTGGAGAGTTGATATACCACTGAAGTAGGTCACTAAAGGTATTTGGCCTGTCTTCCTAGCTGGAAGCAAACTGCCTCTGATGGTCTTTACTAATAGATCTAGAAAAAAAAATAATTTCCCAAATAAATTCCTGCATAACAAGTACCAATGGATGTGTTTCCAAATGAAACCACATTTGGAAGAACAGCTGCAATTGGAGTCCCCACCTAATTACACTTGTCATAGTTCACTGTCATTCTCCAAGACCTGCCTTCTTCAGAAGCCAAACAGTCAAGCTGAATAGGAATGTGTTAGGAGTTGGGAATAAGCACCCCTGCATCTTTTAAGTCCTTGATCATGGCATTAATCTTTGCAATTTCTACAAGAATGGTATGACTTTTGGTTTACTATTTTCCTAAGTAAAGGCAGTTCTAGTGGCTTCCACTGGACTTTCCTACAGTACTAAGCCTTATTCCATGGTCAGGGAACCAATGCGGATATTCTTCCAGTTTGTAAGCATATCTATTCCAATTACGCCTTCTTGAAATGGTGTAAAAACCATACATTGTGTTTAGACTCACTGGGCCTACTATAACAGACCTGAGCCAAACTCCATTGATCTCCATTCACCTGACCTCCACAAGCTTCTTTTGCTGTGATGTGATAGAGAAGTGACACTTAGGTCTCCAGGAATTAGTGACAGTTTAGAGTCAGTATCTGGTAAACCCCTAGAAAGCCTGATTATTTCCCCTTCCTCAATGTGCAATTACTCCAGTAAATGGCTTCAGGTACATTTTGGGACAACTGAGAAGATTAATAGTATACAGGCACTTTTTTGGAAGCATAGCAGGATTTCTTCTTAGAAGGATCTGGCCTCCTCTTTATTTAAGGAGATCTGGGCCTATCAACTGGCTGAAGCTGGGGATTGAGTGAGGGACTGTGACTCTGTTTTGGTGATTCAAGTTAGACTTCTGTTCACTATCTCTAGAGCTTTCCTCCTATACAGATCAAGTAAGATTTTAGTCGGCTGACCTTATATTTCAGTTCTAGGGTTACCATGATCAACTAGCCAATAATGAAGATCTCAGACTATATGAATACTGCTTTGGCTTTGCTGTGCATTATGGTGACCAGGCACAACTTGCTCGTGGATTGCAGAATCAGCTCTTGCCTGAGAGTTTTCAGCCTACCCTTCTCGACAATTTGCCTTGCAGATTTTGCTTTGCCTAGCCAACCCCGACAGTCATTAATTCCTTGCAATAAATCTCTTAATGCATATTTCCCATTGGTTCTTTTTCTCTTGTGGAGCTCTGACTGATACAGAAGCCATGCTTCCTCCCACTATTTTCAAGCTTTTATTCTCATGTCATTCCCTCATATTTCATTATTTGTCTCCTCATTGTTCAGTAGCAGCCATGGTATATCAAACAAGATCATCTTTAGTGGCATAAAACTGATTAATGTCTTATTTCAAAGAGAGATTGATTATTCTCATATAACTATTAGTCTAAAGGTGGCAGTCCAGGCTCATTCCTCAAGGGAAACCTCAAGGATCAAGTTTCCTTTTAACCTCCCACTACCATCCCTAGGACATGCTTTTCCCACTCTTGATTTTAAGAAAATAGCAAAGTTCTTCTAACCTTTTCTCTACAGCTTTGTGCCTGGATACTAGCAGGAAGGAAGAGGAGGAGCAAGAATGGAAGGCTTGTACCAACAAGTTCTTATCCTTTTTAATGAGGAAAACAAGAGCATCCCTATTCTGCTCTTATCTCACCGAGTTCCATGGCCATTCTGAGCTGCAGTGGAGTCTTGGGAGGTGAGTGTTTTTTACTGGGCATATTTTCTTCCCAAATAAAAATGGGGTTGTCTACGGAAGGAAGAGAGGCATAATGGATATTGGAAGTTCCTACTGCTTGTGATTTTTTTCTTTTCCAGAATTTGTATGTGTTGAAGTTGGTGGATAGACATGAGAAGCAGATTGAGGGATCTGTGGAAAGGGAGAGGAAGAGGAGGAGGGGGCTGTCAGAGGAGTAATGGATGCTAGAGGAATGGATTCCCTCCAGTTTTAGTAAATATAGGTAATTTTCACTGCATGTAAACTCTCATTCTCTTCTTAAGAGAGAAGGCTTGGGAGATAAAGATTCCTTAAACTTCAAGCCACTTCTGCTGCCTTTTCTCTCTGAAAGGAGAACCTCTTTTTCCCCATTATTGCTTGCTGGGTCTTATGAGGGTTTGCTTTGGCCCACGATACCTGTTTGGTGATCTTGTGTCTTCTCTGTCAACAACCAAAGTGACTTCTTTGGGTTTGGATTTCCATTTTTCCATTCCTTGGAGACATTGTTTGTAAATTTGCTGTCAAAGTAAGAGAATGACTCTCAGCTTATGATTTTAGGCTGAGTGGTTAGGAAGGACAGAATTTATAACATCAATGAAAGAGTTCCTTTCAGGCAGGTGGAACTTGGGCAGATACCAAGTCACACCATACAGAAGTCTCCTACTTGGCCTAAACACAGGTATGGCTGTGGAAGTTCTCCTTAAACTCATTGTAGTGGCACTGATTACCCAGGTCCCATCTGAATGCTTCCTGAATCCCTGTGGAATAAACTTGGAACAGGGTGGCCTACCCTGCAGAAACCTTCTATCCTATGGTCATGACAATATTTAATTAACAAGACATCAGCTGTACTGAATATTAGTTAAGTGGCAGGCCTTTCTGCCAACAAGTTATTAGTATGCCATCTTCTGACACTGTACCAGAATAGAACATTGATTATTTGGGGGCGGGGCTGTGGTAGTTAACTCATTTGTGATGTGCAACTCTGTACTATATCCTCTAGTATATCTTATAAATCATACATATATAAATTGACAAACTGACAGGATGAAGCTACGTAAGCTACTGCACCATACAATTTCTGCATCTAGACTAATAATAAATATAGTGAGATAAACCTAGTGTCACAGTTCATAAACTTTTGAGAAAATATGTTAATTTCTCTTTTGCTCCAAGATAAGTATTGCCAGTCTAAATGGAAAACTATTCAAATTATCAGGGTTTCTCCTTAGATTAGTAGGCTTTAATAATTTAAGTCATATCTTTGATTTCTAAGCTGTCTCCATGGTAACATAGTTGGAAGTCTTCGTGGCAACTAAGTGGGTGAGAACATGTCCCAAGGCCACTTTGACTTGTGGAAAACTGCCAATAGCTGTTTATTCTTATCAGATACAGAGCATCTCATTAGAGCTGTATTATCCCCAAAAATTTTGTACTGAAGAAGATTTAGACACTTACATTTCAGGATGGGGGACTCCACTGCTCTCTGCCTGACATGTCACCACCTACCCCCATGTCCTACCCCTCCAGCCCATGTTCTCTATTGTGGTGTGGCCAATGTCCAAATTCCCTGATTCTGTTGGAAATTCAAATTTCTCAGAGGCAGAATGGCTTGTGGTTGCTAATATGGTCGTCGTTTGTGACATTTATGTGCCCTCTATGATCCATACTCTGTGATGACTTTGTGATTTTCTGCCTTCGCCAAGCCAGGCATATACTTTGTCAGCTGATCTATCACCACATTTGAATAAAGTTCTCTTAATGTTCGTGACCCACTTCTGCATAATAACAACGTAAAGTGAAGGAAGAGGAAGGAAGGCTTAGAGCACTCAATTCTTCATTGCCTGCCATCCCATTCTCTGGCAGCTCATTAGACAAAGCTGCCACATCCCAAGGTGAGATGTCAGGCTACTTTGGAAACTACATTTACTAAAAACTTCATTTGTAACAGACACCTAGGAGAACATAAGAGAGTTTCACAGAACAATTAGCTGACGATATTTTTTTTTTCTGAATCTATTATTTATCCTTTTCTTGCAACTGTCAGAACATATTTGTTTGGGCAGTCATTTCAAAATGCTGGCAGGAGTTTGTAGAAATCCATTTTTTAGTTTATCTTCTATGGTGGTCTCATGGAGCAGTTGCCTTGTTCATGCCCTAGAGAGATACAGCCCACAGGAATTCAGAAAGTTAAGGCTGAGTAGTTAGGAATTCAGGGAGCATTCAGATGGGGCCTGGATAGTCAGTGCCACTAGAATGAGTTTAAGGAGAAATTCTACAGCCAAAACACCTTTGTTTGGGCAAAGTAGGAGACTTCTGTATGGTGTGACCCGGTATCTTCCTATGTCCTACCTGCCTAAAAGTAACTCTTTCATTGATGTTGTAAATTCTGCCTTTCATAACTACTCACTTACCTAAGTCAGGGACTTCAGGTAAGCTGACTAGGGAAAGTGTGGGATAAGAAATCCTCTTATAAATAGATTGTAATACTTCAACATCTCATTTACTGTTTCTATCCTCTCTTTCTTTTCTTTCTTCCCACAAAAAATTCTTTTAAAAAATGGTAATTTCTCAGATTTTTAATCTCCTCAGATCAACCACAGTCCTGCATTCTGTGGTTTAATTGGCCATGGGAGAGACCACTAGCTGTCCGAAACAAATTTGCGCTCCTCTTTACACAGTGGGCAGCTGCCCAGTGAGACTACACTTCCCAGAAGCCTTTGCATCAAGGCAGGGTCACATGACTAGTTTTCACCAACAGAATGTGAGTGGAATAATATACTCCTCTTCTGGGCTAGGGTTTTAAGAAATGTTTGTGTGTTCTCTACTCTTTCTTCTCAGGACATTTGGCTGGATTCAAAGAACTTTGAAGCCCAAGGGGATGGAGGAACCACGGGATGGAAGGTGCCTGAATCCTGAATGACTGTGTGGACAGTTTATAAACATTTGGGCAGTGCCATCTCTATCACATAAATTTATTTTGTCTTCTTTTATTTCTTCTTACCTTCCCATGATTTTCCTGGGTGAATGGCTAATTAGAAGAGTAAGATGAGGTAGAGGGTGGAATAGAGAGATTGTAAATTCTGCTTTGGGGATATTAATCTGAGTTGTGTGTGAGATGTTCAAGTGAAGATGTCAAGCAAAAATTTAGATATTTGCACCCCAGTGTGGTGGCTCACACCTGTAATACCAGTACTTTGAGAGGCTGAGGCGGGTGGATCACTAGAGGTCAGGAGTTGGACACCATCCTGACAAACATGTTGAAACCCTGTCTCCACTAAAAATACAAAAATTAGCCGGGCGTGGTTATGGGTGCCTGTAATCCCAGCTACTTGGGAGGCTGAGGCAGGAGAATCGCTTGAACCTAGGAGGCAGAGGTTGCAGTGAGCCAAGATCATGCCATTGCACTCCAGCCTGGGCAATAAGAGCAAAACTTGTCTCAAAAAAAATTTAGATATTTGCCTATGGATTTCAGAGGAGAAATGCGGCAAGAGCAAAAGTTTCAGAGTCAATAACCTAATACTTGCATTTAGCTCCAAAAGAATTGTTGAAATTATATAGGGAAAGAGGGTAGAGAATAAAGAAGTGCCTGAAGTTGAGACTTAAGATTCCTCAACATTTAGAGTTTGAGTAGGAATGGAGTTCAAGAAAGAGCAGAAGGAAAAGTAGAAGGGATATCAGGAGAGCATGAGGTCAGAGAAGCCAAGAGAGAAATATTGTGCAAGATGGAAGATGTGGCCACCATTATGAGTTCTACTGACTGGTAAAGTAACCGTGGGAGCCATCAGTGGCCTTGACAAGAGACATTTCCTGGGATGATGGTTGGAACCTAGACTAGAGCAGATTGAGGAGACAACCAGTAGTAAGGCTACAGAGAAAAGGGAACACTTACACACTGTTGGTGGGAATGTAAATTGGTTCATCCACTGTGGAAAACAGTTTGGAGATTTCTCAAAGAACTTAAAACAGAACTACCATTTGACTCAGCAATCCCATTACTGGGTATATATCCAAAGAAAATAAATCATCCTAACAAAAAGACGCATTTTCTCATATGTTCATCACAATACTATTCACAATACCAAAGACATAGAATCAACCTAATACTCATCAACAGTGGATTGGAAAAAGAAAATGTAGTAATATATACCATGAAGTACCACAGAGCCATAAAAAAGAATGAAATCATGTCCTTTGCAGCAACATGGATAGAGCTGGAGGCCATTATCCTAAGTGAATTATGCAGGAGCAGAACACCAACTATCACATATTCTCATTTATAAGGGGGAGCTAAACATTAGGTTCTCATAGACATAAAGATGGCAATAATAGACACTGAAGACTACTGGAGGGAGGGGGTGAAAGGGGGAAGAGTTGAAAAACTAACTGTTGGGTACTATACTCTGTACTGGGCGATGGGATCATCTGTATCCTAAACTTCAACATCATGCAATATAACCTAATAACAAATCTGCACTCCCTGAACCTAAAATAAAAGTTGAGATAATAAAAAAAGTTGTTCATCATCATTAGCTATTAGAAAAATTCAAATTAAAATTACAGTGCAGGCTGGGCACGGTGGCTCATACCTATAATCCCAGCACTTTGGGAGGCCGAGGCGGGTGGATCACGAGGTCAGGAGATGGAGACCATCCTGGCTAACACAGTGAAACCCTGTCTCCACTAAAAATACAAAAAATTAGCTGGGCGTGGTGGCGGGTGCCTGTAGTCCCAGCTACTCAGGAGGCTGAGGCAGAAGAATGGTGTGAACCCAGGAGGCGGAGGTTGCAGTGAGCTGAGATCGCGCCACTGCACTCCAGCCTGGGTGAGAGAGTGAGACTCCGTCTCAAAAAAAAAAAAAAAAAAATAAATTACGATGCAGTATCACTACACATCTATGTGAATGGCTAAAATAAAAATTAGTGACAAGACATAATGCTAGCAGGTTACAGGGAAACTGAATTACTCTTACATTGTTGGTATGCATGGGTGGGAATGTAAAATGGTACAGTCACTCTGAAAAAGTTAAGCAATTTCTTATAAAACAAAATATGTATAGTACACCTCAGAAATTTCACTCTTAGGCATTTATTACAGAGAAATGAAAACTTACATGCACACAGAAAACTTATACACAAATATGCATGAATATGCATAGCAGCTTTATTTGTAATAGCCAAAAAGTAGAAAAAACCCAGATATTATTTTTACAGGTGAGTGGTTAACAAACTATAATACACCCATACTGTGTAATATTACTGAGCAATAGAAGGGAATGAACTATTGATACTAGCTACAATTATATAAATCTTCAGAATTTATGCTGAGTGAAAAAAATCAATCCCCAAAGATTACATACTGTATAATTTCAAATACACACACACACACACACACACACACACACACATATATACATGCATATATGTATTTTTTAAATGATAAAATTTTACAAAAGGAGCACATTAATGGTTTCCAGGGCTTAGGGAAAGAAAGTTGGGTGGGGAGGAGATGAGAAGGAGAAAGGGGTCAGGAAAGAATGAGAGAGGGGGGGCGTGTTTATTAAATGGCAACCAACTGGAGGGATCCTAGTGATGATGGAATGGCTCTGTATCTTGACAGTGGTGAAGGATACATGACCCTATACATGTGATAAAATTAAGTACAACTAAATAGACGTGCGTGCACACACATGCACAGGACAAAAAGCTGCTCAAATCTAAATAAGATCCATTGATTATATGAATATCAATATCCAAGTCATGATATTGTATCATAATTTTGCAAGATGTTACCATTGGGTAAAGGGTACATGACATTGCTAAGTTTTATTTCTTACAATTGCCTGTGAATCTACAAATTTCTCAATTAAAAATTTGATTTATAAAAAGAAAAAAAGAAATTACATAAAAAGAGGGGCAGGGAAATCAGGTAGAGTGGGAGGGGATGTGAAGTGTGGGGTCAAGAGGAAGATTTTCTAAAGATAAAAAGTGCTCGAGCCTCTTCTAATACTATTGGAAATAATCCAGTGGGGACAGAGAGAGAAATGATGAGGAAAGAGAGGGAGGGAGGGAGGAGAGAGAGAGAGAGAGAGAGAGAAAGAGAGAGAGAAAGAGATATTAAAGAAGAGAAGTCCTTGAGAAAGAGATGAGTGATGAAGAGAGGAACCCCAGTGGGGGAACTGAGCTTTGAGAGCAGGAGGGACATGTCTTCCACTCTAATAGGAGAGAAGGAGAGGTATCAGTTAGGCAAGGATGCAGGCAGATTTGGTGGTGGGAAGATGAAGGATTTTATTTCTATTTTCTGAATGAAATATGAGGTGGAGACCTCAGATGGAATAGAGGGGAAGGAGATGGTGAGAAAAGTCTAAAAGAGTAGGTATGAAGGTTGTAGTAGACAAGGATATCCAGTCCTAAACCCTGGAATCTGTAAATGTTACCTTACATGGCAAATATTTTGCAGATGGGATTAAGGATCTTGCCTTGGGAAGACTGTCCTGGATTACCTGAGTAGGCCCTAAATGGGATCACATAAAAGGAAGGCAGAGGGAGATTTGACACAGACACTGTGTTAGGCCATTCTTGTATTGCTATAAAGAAATACCTGAGAGGGGGGAGGGATAGCATTAGGAGATATACCTAATGCTAAATGACGAGTTAATGGGTGCAGCACACCAGCATGGCACATGTATACATATGTAACTAACCTGCACATTGTGCACATGTACCCTAAAACTTAAAGTATAATAAAAATAAAAATAAAATAAAATAAACAAACAAACAAACAAAAAGAAATACCTGAGAGGAGTAATTTATAATGAAAAGAGACTTAATTGGATCACAGTTCTGCAGGCTGGACAGGAAGCATGATGCTGGCATCTGCTCAGCTTCTAGGGAGGCCTCAGGAAGCTTTCAATCACGGTGAAAGGTGAAGGGGGATTAGATACACCACATGACAAATGCAGGAGCAAGTGAGAGAGAGTTAGGTTGTAGGAGCCACACGCTTTTTTTTAAAAAAAATTATACTTTAAGTTCTGGGGTACATGTGCAGAACGTGCAGGTTTGTTACATAGGTATACACGTGCCATGGTGGTTTGCTACACCCATCAAACTGTCATCTACATTAGATATTTTCCGAATGCTATCCCTCCCCTTGCCCCCCACCCCCTGACAGGCCCTGGTGTGGGAGGTTCCCCTCTCTGTGTCCATGTGTTCTCATTATTCAACTCCCACTTATGAGTGAGAATATGTGGTGTTTGGTTTTCTGTTCCTATGTTAGTTTGCTGAGGATGATGGTTTCCAGCTTCATCCATGTCCCTGAAAAGGACATGAACTCATCCTTTTTTATGGCTGCATAGTATTCCATGGTGTATATGTGCCACATTTTCTTTATCCAGTCTATTACTGATGGGCATTTGGGTTGGTTCCAAGTCTTTGCTATTGTGAATAGTTCTGCAATAAACATACATGTGCATGTGTCTTTATAGTAGAATGATTTATAATCCTTTGGGTATATACCCAGTAATGGGATTGCTGGGTCAAACACACTTTTAAATGACTGGATCTCATATGAACTCAGAGTGAGACTTCACTTATCAAGGAGATGACCCAAGCCATTCATGATGGATCTGTTCCCATGCATCACCCACCAGGCCTTACCTCCTGCACTGGGGGTTACAATGCAACCCCCAGTGATTTGGGTGGAAACAAACATCAACACTATATTAGGCAAATAGACGAGAAGGTGGTGTGAAGATGGAGAAGAGAGGGGCTACCAGCCAAGAAATATCAGTTGCTACCAGAAGCTGGAAGAACTGAGGGATGAATTCTCTTCTGGAGCCTCCAGAAAGAATGTGGCCCTGCTGACACCTTGATGTTAGCTCATCAATACTGCTTTCAGACTTCTGGTCTTCAAGCTGACAGAATAAATTTCTGTTGTTTAAGCCACTAAGTTTGTGGTAACTTACTGCAGCAGGCATAGGAATCAAATACAAAGGTACTCTACACTTGTATTTCATTCAGTAGCTCTCTGTAAGACACTGTGTGGGGGTGAAATAATTTCTCCTAGGATAGTCAGTCACCTAGTACTAATTAGTACTTTTGTTAGTACTGGTACTAATAATCTAGCTAGTTTTCTGTGCTGCTAATAATTTCCAAATTTCACACACACACACACAGACAGACACACACACACACACACACACACATTTTTTCTCCCTGCAAAAAGTACAAATTTTTGAAGGCAAGCAGCTGCTCTATAGGTTTTTTGTTTTTTTCTAAAATGTTCCTTTATTGTGCTTAGAACAGTACTGGGATGTGACAGATACTAAAAAACTAGTATTTGAATTTAAATGAAGTAGTCATTTAAGTATGCATTTAATTTTGTTTTAGTCCATATATAAATCTATGGTCTTTTGGCCTGTGAATTTTGGGGAAAAGGATGTCTATTTCACTGTAGTGTTGACAGAATGAGGCAGTGGATGGGAAAGTGGCTGTCCATCGTGGTGCGTGAGCTTGTTTTGACTTGAAGCCTCCTCTTTCTAGGGCTTCATAACTCCAGTTCTAATGGATTTCCCTGGGACAGAACTGTGTTTTCTGAAGACTTTACAAAAATTCTTTTATGAAACAGATTTGGTAGTGTTGCATATTTTACTTTTTGAGTCAGATAATTTGTTTCAATTAATTTATTGTTGATTTTTCTTCACTTAATGGGATATACATACAGATTTTCCTATACTTAATAGAATATGTTCTGCTTTCTTAATTCCTGGGGCACTTTGCTTTGATCTTCCACTTCCTCCTTATCTAGGCCTTCACTTCTAGTCTGGTTTATTTACCAAGTAAAGAAATGTTTTAAAAACACTTATATGAGAATGTAGAATTGACACACAAAACAAACAGGGTGTGTTCTCAAGTAGATTATAATTCATTAATCTATCCATTTATTAATCCATCTATCCATTATCCATCCATTTTGACAAACATTTTTCAAATACTTATTGTGGTCCAGGCCCTATATTATAGGTATAATAAAAATAATAATATTAGTAATAGAAAAACATGCCACCTCTTTCATCAAGAAGTATACACCTGGGGAGGTAAGGGAGAGAAATCACTATCGTATTGCGTGCTTTTAGTGCTATGGTAGAGATGAGAACATGCTGCTTTAGCAGCATGGTGGAGGGCCATCTAGTAAGGGGCAAGGGGGCTGGGAGAGGTGAAGAGAGCACAGAGAAAGTCAATCTCAATTGTGAAGAACCATAGATTATGTGGGTGAGAGCTATTCTAAGCATAACACAATATGGCACCACCCGACCGGAACCATTCTTCTAGATAAGGTACAGTCTCTTGGTACTCCATGGAGCCTTCCTTGATTGACCTAACCTAAAGTTACCTCAGTCTCCTCCAGTCTCCAGAATGCATACTATGTATGGTGTTTTTCGCATCTGCCCTGCACAGCTTGGTGTGGTGGGAGCACCAGGGTGTGGTTGAAAAGACTGGGGTTGAGTCTTCCCCCACCTATCTGCCAATGCTTCTCGATGCACGTGCCTTTTCACTCCTACCTTCCCACTTTCTATTCCAGCCATTCTGACCTACTTGAAGTTCCTTCATGTGCATTTCCCCATAAATTCCTGACCTTTGCAGGGGTTAGTTGCCTGGTCAGGTAAGCCCGTATCCTCTTCTCCCATCTTGGCATGGCTAACTCCTATGTAGCAAACTCAAGTATTTTCTATATAATATTTCCTTGATATCTATAGTTAGATTCTCCTCCAGTGTGCTGCTGCAGAACTGCAAGCATCCCTCTGCAGTGCACTTATCACAGCAAAAGACAATAGTCCTTGCCACTCTTATTCTCCAGTAGACCTTGAGCACTTTGACAATAGCGACCATGGCCTGTTTATCTTTGGATCCCAAGTAACTTGCATAGTGTCAATGACATGATAGGCATTCAAAACATACTTAATGGATGAATGGGCAACTGAAATAGGCAACAGATTGGCTGTTGTTTCACTGAGTTCGTTGTTATTAGTAATCTTTACCTAGCACCTAACAATACATTTTTTCTTATGTAGGCTCAAAAATACCCTGCATTTAATCACATACAAGATCACTATACTTAAGGATTAAAAAATGTCTATTCCATTGCTAGAAATTTAGTAAAATATATTCTAGTTATAGACGACATGGCTTAAGAAACAAACGTTAACAAATATAGAGTTGAAATTAGGTAGAAAAATACAATCTATTGATTAGATCTAATTCTACTGCTTGGAACAAAGCTTTTGATTTTAAAGAACTCAAGGGGTATTATGCAGTGTGTTTCTGCTGCTGAGAAAGTTAACTTACATTAGGTAAAGAGGACTAATATATGATGTAATGTCAAGAGTAATTAAATTGATGATGACAAAATATCTTTCCGGTTTATCTTTTATTGAAACGAAACTGTTGTTTTAATCCCCCTTTGAGATGGATTGGGAGTGGGGAGGGCATGATGTCTCATTTTCAGGGTAATTTACTTTATGAAATATGTCATTTTCAGTGGGACCATTTGTTAATTACCAATAAGGGATTTGAAACGCCAGACCTAAAATTTAAAGTCATAGCAGTTGGTTTGTTTGAAGAAATAAGTCACCTTGCAGGCTCTGATTAGAAGATGCTCTCAGTACTCAGAGAATTGTTAGGATCTCCTCTGGGAGCTTGTTAGAAATGCAGAATCTGAAATCCCAGCACTGCTATCCATGCTAAGATTTTAGTTCAACCATTCTGCACCACACCCACCACCCCCATCTCTGGGCCTTAGTTTTCCATCCGTAGGTTGGATAGAGTGGGGTTAGTCACTAGGTTCTTATTCCTGAGCTTGAAGAGACACTGAAGTGGAGGGACTGTTGGGAGGGAGAGAGCTATGTCCGTGCCAGATACCTGGCAAGTGCTGTGCTGAACATCATGGACTTTGTATCCTGTAAAATGCAATGTACATGCAAAACTGTTCTATCAGTTGATGAAATGCCAGACCAGAAAAGGTGACATTTTTTCCTTTGGAGTGCTATACTGTGATGGCAGGGGTCATCAGCCATCAGTTATGGACAACAGGGAGCTGAAGTCAAAGGAGAGAGAGCAAGAGAGTAAGGGCATGTGAGCTCAGGGCAGAGCAGCTGCAATGACCTGGGAGGACAGGACCAAGTTAGAACAAAGTGGAAGGAACCAGAGCCATGGGGCTTGGCGAAGTAGAGACTTAATAGGGGCAGAGCAGGGCTGTCTGACAATTTGAGGGGTGTAAAACTGCAAGAGTGAGAGAGTGTTTGATCCATGGGAGATTTCAGCATGAGATGCAAATGGAAACCTCAGTGCAAGATTTTCCAGAAGAGCTGATGAGAAGGGGATAGACTCAAGGGATGTCTGACAGCTTGAATCATGAAATGGACAGAGTACTGAAGTATACTTCAAATCAATCCTCTCTGCTCTCTGTGTGTGGGGTGGGAAGGAGAAAAGGAAACAGGGTGTTATCTTTTCGGGCTACATTAATAACAGCACACTCACCTTGCTTTTTCCTCCACAGAGTCCTCATTGGATCTATCCCAGTGACTTCCACCTAGTCTTTACTGGTCTACTCATGTTAACTACCATTAAATATTTGCCTGGTCTTGATGTGCCTGAAATCTTTTTTCATTTAATGCTAGCCTGAGAGCTCCGGGGTCTTTTCTATTTCACTTCACCCTCCCTATCCCCCTGTTCAAAAATGCCACAGTACATCTCACAGGTGCTGCCTGGAACTGACAAACAGCTGTTCAGTTAAGCTGTTCCTTTTCAGTCCCATCTCCTGCCAAATTTTTACATGAGCTACAGACGTGCAGAGAAATCAGAAATGACTGAAAAGCTAGCATTCCAAATAGTGCCAAAAAACAACAAAAATAAACTAGATAAGTGAAAGATAGCATAATTAACCCTTGCACAATGTGGAGGGGACTGAGTCACTTGTCACCTCTGCTAGGACCTCTGAGAGAAACTGATCCTCAGGGGCTGTTGTTACCTATTTAGAGGGGACACGTTGTCCATAGTGCCCCATCTTTCCTTAATATCAAAAGGATTGGCTTTAGTCCCTTTAAATTTAGTTGTTTGAAATGTTCTGTAGCGATGTTTCTTAAGACGTCTCTGACTTTTTCATTGTAAAGATGCTGTGGTATAGAAAAATCAACTTTGGGTCTGGAGTTGGAAGACTAGGTTCTGACTCACTAGCTAAGTGCCCTTAGGAAAGTCACTTAGTCTTTTTGAGCATCTGTTGTCCTGCAAAGTCTGTTCCTTCCTCCTGGGCACATGGTTGCCCAGCTAAGGACTACATTTCTCAGCTTCCTTCATAGCTGGATATGACCGGTCTCATGACTAAGTTCTCACGAATGGAATATAAGGAGAGGTGTTGTTTCAGAAAATTGCCTACCCTAGACTCTCTCCTCCTTCCCCTTCTCTTGAGCTGGATCCTGGACCTAGGGGTGATCCAGATTCTATGGTGCAGATGAGAACAACTTCCCTAGGAACAGCAGACCAAGAAGACGAAGGAACCTGGTTCCCAAGATGACTTTGTGAAGTATAGCTTTCCCACCAGCTTGGACCTCTTAGCTCCACAGGATAAAATGGGAGAGGATCAAATGTCTGTCTTATTTAATCCTCTGTATTGTTTGCCTCTATATGATACCTGCTTAGTCTTAGCCTTAGTTAATAGAACATCTGTATCTTTATTGGTAAGATTGGGGAAATCATATGTACCTTGCAGAGCTGTTGTGAGGGTTAAGTCACATGATATATACAAATGTTTTACAAATTGTTAAGTACTATGACAATGTTATCTTTTGTAGTTGTTGCCATTCATTGCATTTGTAAGACCAAGAGGTGGAGCATGGCAAATGATTGGATATAAGGTGAGTACCAATAATCAAGTCTCTGGAGGGGCGTGCAGCACTTCTGGTGGTCTATCTCCTGCCCCTGCAGGGAAATAGGGGTAGGTATGATTCGAGAAACATGATGTCCTTATAGTAGAATGATTTCTACTCCTTTGGGTATATACCCAATAATGAAATTGCTTGGTTGAATGGTAATTCTGTTTATATATATATAAAATACTTTAAGTTCTGGGTACATGTGCAGAATGTGCAGGTTTGTTACATAGGTGTACACATGCCATGGTGATTTGCTGCACCCATCAACCCGTCATCCACATTAGGTAATTCTCCTAATGCTATCTCTCCCCTAGTCCCCCACCCCCCGACAGGCCCTGGTGTGGGATGTTCTCCTCCCTGTGTTCATGTTTTCTCATTGTTCAATTCCCACTTATGAGTGAGAACATATGGTGTTTGGTTTTCTGTTCCTGTATTAGTTTGCTGAGAATGATGGTTTCCAGTTTCATTCATGTCCCTGCAAAGGACATGAACTCATCCTTTTTTAATGGCTGCATAGTATTCCATGGTGTATATGTGCCATATTTTCTTTATCCTGTCTATCATTGATGGGCATTTGGGTTGGTTCTAAGTCTTTGCTATTGTGAATAGTGCCGCAATAAACATACATGTGCATGTGTCTTTATAGGTGAATGATTTATAATCCTTTGGTTATATACCTAGTAATAGGATTGCTGGGTCAAATGGTATTTCTGGTTGTAGATCCCCGAGGAATTGCCACACTGACTTCCACAATAGTTGAGCTAACTTACACTTCCACCAACAGTGTAAAAGCATTCCTATTTCTCCACATTCTCTCCAGCGTCTGTTGTTTCCTGACTTTTTAATGATCACCATTCTAACTGGCATGAGATAGGGCAAAGACTTCATGACTAAAACACTGAAAGCAATGGCAACAAAAGCCAAAATTGACAAATGGGATCTAATTAAACTAAAGAGCTTCTGCACAGCAAGAAAAACTATCATCAGAGTGAACAGACAACCTACAGAATGGGAGAAAGTTTTTGCAATCTATCCATCTGACAAAGGGCTAATATCCAGAATCTACAAGAAACTGAAACAAATTTACAAGAAAAAAAAACCCATCAAAAAGTGGGAGAAGGATATAAACAGACAATTCTCAAAAGAAGACATTTATGTAGCCAACAAACATGAAAAAAAGCTCATCGTCACTGGTCATTAGAGAAATCAAAACCATAATGAGGTAATTCTGTTTTAAGTTATTTGAGAAATCACCAAACTGCTTTCCACAATGGCTAAACTAATGTACTTTCCTGCCAGCAGTGTATAAATGTTTCCTTTTCTCCACAACCTCACCAGCATCTGTTTTTTTTTCACTTTTTAGTAATAGCCATTATGACTGGTGTGCGATGGTATCTCATTGTGGTTTTGATTTGTATTTCTCTAATGATCAGTGATGTTGAGCTTTTTTTGATATGCTTGTTGGCTGCATGTATGTCTTCTTTTGAAAAGTGTCTGTTTACATCCTTTTCCCACTTTTTAATGGGGATGTTTGGTTTTTGCTTTTAAGTTTGTATAAGTTCCTTATAGATGCTGGATATTAGACCTTTGTCAGAGTCACAGTTTGCAAACATTTTCTCCCATTCTGTAGGTTGTCTGTTTACTCTGTTGATAGTTCCTTTTGCTGCACAGAAGCTCTTTAGTTTAATTGGGTCTGATTTGTCAATTTTTGTTTTTGTTTCAATTGCTTTTGGCATCTTCACCATGAGATCTTTGTCAGGTCCTATGTCCAGAATGGTATTTCCTAGGATACCTTCCAGGGTTTTTTATTTTTTATAGTTTTTGTGTTTTAAATTTAGGTCTTTAATCCATCTTGAGTTGATTTTTTCTATATGGTGTAAGAAAGGGGTTCTGTTTCAATCTTCTGCATATGGCCAGCCAGTTATCCCACCACCATTTATTGAACAGGGAGTCTTTTCCTCATTGCTTGTTTTTGTCAGCTTTGCTGAAGATCGGATGATCGTAGGTGTGTGGCCTTATTTCTGGGCTCTCTATTCTGTTCCATTGGTCTATGTGTCTGTTTTTGTACTAGTACCATGCTATTTTGGTTATTGTAACCTTGCAGTATAGTTTGAATTCAGGTAATGTGATGGCACACATATGTTCATCGTAGCACTATTCACAATAGTAAAGACATGGAATCAACCTAAATGCCCAGCAGTGGTAGGTTGGATAGAGAAAATGTGGTACATGTACACCATGGAATACCATGCAGCCATAAAGAAGAATATTGCCCTTTGCAGCAACATGGATGGAGCTGGAGATCATTATCCTAAGCAAATTAACATAGGAACAGAAAACCAAATACTTCATTTTCTCACTTGTAAGTGGGAGCTAAACTTTGAGTACATATGGACACAAAGAAGAGAACAACAGAATTCAGGGCCTCCCTGAGAGTGGAAGGTGAGAGGAGGGTGAGGATCACAACTACCTATCGGGTACTATGGTTATTACCTGAGTGGCAAAATAATCTGTACACCAAACCTCTGTGACACACAATTTGCCTATATAACAAACGTGCACATGTACTCCTAAACCTAAAATAAAAGTTAAAAAAAAAGGAGAAGCACAATGGCCTAATGCAAAGCTTTGATTCACACTGCCCGATTTGAATTCAGGACCCGCCACTTACTATCTCAGGCAAGTTATTTAACCTCTTTTTTCTTCAGTTTTCTTAGTAAAATGAGGATAATAACGATGGCACCCTTGTTGGGTGGTTGTAAAGATTAAATGTAAAAGAGGATTACTGCATGTATAAACGACGCTGACAACATGGGAATCACTCCATAAATATTATTGCTATTTGTATTACCTATATGCTTACAGGAAAGGACAAGTAGAAGTGGGAGATATGAGGTACATAAATGGGTAAGCAGCTTCTTCATCTTAGATTCACTATTAGTTAAGACTACTTCAATGTTTTTATAGATGACTTACTAGCACCAAGGTCCAAAGTTCCTTTTCTTCTCAACTTTCACTAGTATACCTTAGTTCTAATGGCTCTAAGAGGTACATTTTTTTTCACATGTCTAAAATTGGGATGCATCTTAAAATTGATAGCGTTGTTGGTGGGAGTGTAAATTAGTTCAACCAGTGTGGAAGACAATGTGGTGATCCTTCAAGGATCTAGAACCAGAAATACCATTGGACCCAGCAATCCCATTACTGGGTATATATCAAAAGGATTATAAATCATTCTACTATAAAGACACATGCACATGTATGTTTATTGCAGCACTATTTACAATAGCAGAGACTTGGAACCAACCCAAATGCCCAACAATGATACACTGCATAAAGAAAATGTGGCACATATAAATCATGGAATACTGTGCAGCTGTAAAAAAGAATGAGTTCATGTCCTTTTCAGGGACATGAATGAAGCTGGAAACCATCATTCTCAGCAAACTAACACAGGAACAGAAAACCAAACACCGCATATTCTCACTTATAAGTGGGAGTAGAACAATCAGAACACATGGACACAGGAGGGGAACATCACACACCAGGGCCTGTCACGGGGTGGGGGGGCAAGGGGAGGGAGAGCATTAGGACAAATACCTAATTCATGCAGAGTTGATAGGTGCAGCAAACAACCGTGGCACATGTGTACCTGTGTAATAAACCTGCACGTTCTGTACATGTATCCCAGAACTTAAAGAAAAAATTTAAAAAATATTGACAGTGTTTTACAATTGCCATAGACCAGGCAGGAATTTTGATGTAGTTGTCATTGCCTGTCATTGCATACACAAACTAGATCATAGCTACTCATACTGTTGTTACTGCAGTGGACTCGTGTACCTTGTCAGTTTAGTTGCTATTTTAAATATCTTAATAAGAATTACACTGATATTTGGCATTGAAACGATAAACTATGAAAACAAGTAGACATGGAAACAGAACAGCAGCATGTGCATTTGATATTACTGAAATAGATATTTGTAGTTGGAGGCATAATTCCTTATTCTTTTGAAGAGCAAAAGCCGAGTATAATAAGATCTAAGGAAAGAAGATTCCCTCAAGTAGATGAAGCTGTGTTATGTTTGTGGAGATATCTGTACAAGGATTGTGGACCCCATGGCTACATAAGTAACTGAAGATGGAGAAATTATAAAACTCCTCAGTATACATGAAAAATGTCAAAGCCACAAAAACTGTGTATTGAAGAGAACTATGATTATAGCATTAAATCACTGAACAACAATTGGTCAGAAACTTCTTGCTAACTTTGAACAGAGAAGTTGATTAATTTCTAGCAACATATGATTCAATTGAGGGAAAACGTATGAATTAAATGGGAAATGTTGATGAAACCTCAGTGGTTTTTGGCATGCCTAGAAATTTATACTAATGGTACTTAAGAGATAAAGCACTTGATCATGGATTGGAAAGCACCATATCCTTTAATAATACACATAATTGCACTGGTCAAAAGTCACCATATTTAATTGAGTCCACAAAAATATATCAAATAATGAGATATTCCTCAAAGAGGAAAGAAATGGATGAATAGGTGATGGTTCAATTGGTAGAGTACTGGCATGAAGTCTCATTTGTCTATTTTTGTTTTTGCTGTATTTGCTTTTGAGGTCTGTATCATACATTCTTTGCCTAGGCCAATGTTGGACATCCCAATGTTCACATTCACACTCCAACCAGAATTTCATGGCCTTCCAGAGTTCTTATTCTCTTACACAAAATGTGTTCTTTGCTTCAAGGAAATCTCCAATTGCCTTAGTTCCTCTTTTCCATTTTCCTTGCCAGTTCATGTCTCCCCTCCTCTGTCTACTTCACCATCCAGTCTGACCCCATGGCACAACTCTTCAGCTACTCTCCTGCTGGCACCTTCAACTTTCCAGTACTTTCCCTTTAATCCCATGTCATAGTTGTTTAGCTAATTGTCAACTTTGTATCAATATGCTTTAATTTCTTCTTTAAAAATTAATTACAATATGTGATATGATTAGGCTTTGTGTCTTCACCCAAGTTTTATCTTGAATTGTAATCCTCGTAATCTCCACATGTCAAGGGAGAGACCAGGTGGAGGTAACTGAATTACAGGGCCAGTTTCCCGCATGCTGTTCTGGTGATAGTGAGTTCTCATGAGATCTGATGGTTTTATAAGTGTTTGGTAGTTGCTGCAAGGAAGATATTTCTTTATGTGTCTTTGAGCTTGTGTGCAAGAATCTGTCTAGGGTATAATAGAAGTGGGATTGCTGGATGGCAGGATATACATCTATTGAAGTTTACTAGGTATTGCCAAATTGCCTTACAAATACACCAGTGCTCTATGTTGATTTCTGTCATAGAGAAGCTTTAAATATTAAAGAAACCAAGTTTATCAATCTTTTTCTTTATGAATTTGTACTTTTCAATGTGTTATGTAAGAAACCTTCTCTTACCACAAGGTCATTAAGATATTTGACTATATTTTCTTCTAAAAGCTAAAATTTTTCTTAAAAAAATTTTGTCCTTTGATGTACTAATATTAACTTTTGAGTATGGGATGAAGTTAGAATATAATTTTATCATTTCCCACATTGTGGGCCCTTTGTCCTAGCACACTTTATTTCATTCCACTGGTCTACGTGATTATCCCTGTTCTCACATTTTAAATTCTTGTAGCTTTATAGTTTGTCTTAATTTCTGACAGGGAATCAAAGGTTAGTGACTCATGGTGGAATCAAGGGTTAGTGACTCATTGTTATTTATTTTCTTCAAAACTGTCTTGGCTATTTTTGGCCTTTTACTCTCTCGAATGAATGTTAGGATCAAATTTTATGAAAACCCCTGTTGGGATTTTGATTAAAATTGTGCTGAATCTATAAGTAAGTTTGAGGGAGAACTTATATTTTTGTGGTACTGAGGGGGACATCTTACTAAATAGGGTCTTGCTCTTCAGCATGTGATCTTTGGGCTAGTAATATTGACATCACCTGGATGCAGCATTTTGGGTGCCATCCTGTTCTTACTGAATCAGAATCTGCATTTTAACAAGAGCCCAGATTTGCCTGCACATTAAAGTTTGAGAAATGTGCTTCTAAGGGCATCTCTCCCCTCATTCTATGAGTTTCCAATCACCTTAGGCTTATATTTATATTTCAATAAAACTCACATGAATGAATTGGCATGTCCTAAGTGTGTGTCTTGCCACAGTGTTTTTGACAGCTGTGTAACAAGAAATAAGCAGATAACACAGTGGGACGTGTTAAAAACATCTTATCATTTTCACATAATAAAACATGGATACTTTTTCATCTGATGTTCATGAGATAATACATATTGTCTGGTGTTAGAAGTCAATAAAAAATAAATATAGCTATTGATTTAGGGTTTGGACGTCATTTTTCAAACCTCCCTCTCTACTAGATTATCTTGAGCAGAAAAGACACATGCTAAAACATCTATCATTTTAATAAAGATACCCCAACCTCGGATTCCGACTCCATCTCATTATTGTCCACTGTCATTGTCTCCCTTCACCATCAAACTCTGTGACAGATACTTTTGTGCTCCTGGTGCACACTTCCTCACCTTCCAGCCTTCTGAGGCTTCTAGTCCCTATCATTTCATCAAAACTGCTTGAGTTTAGGTTACAGAGGACCTCCTAATATCCAAATCCTCTGGGCATCTCCCGGAACTCACTTTACTTGACCTTCTTGCAGCATCTCTGCACCTTTTCACGATTCACACATTTCTCCTATATTCACAGCATTTGACTCAGTTCAGCTTCTAATCATCTTCCTTATACCCTTGCAATTCTCTCCTAACCAATATTTTCCTCTCCAGCCCATGCCTTCAACTCTCTATAAAGCTTCTACAATTCTTCTAAATGTAAACCAGAACACGTTACTCCTTCACTTAAAACCACTCTGTAGGGCTCACAAATAAAACCTGAAACTTCTTGGCTCATCATCAGAGGGCCTTGTTGATTATGCCTGGCTGTCTTCATTTCCTTCCCATTCCCTTTCATGAGACTTATGTTCTAGCCAGTCTAGTTGACTTGCAGTTACCTAATAGACATTCCATTCTATTTCCTGTGTCCATGCCTTTGCATTTCCTTGCACCAGAGCTGTCCCTTACTCCTGTGTCTATGTATCAAGCACTTACTCATCCTCTGAGATACAGTCCAAATGTCTTTTCCTCTGTGAAGCCTTTCATTCCCACCTAGACAGAGAATCTCTGCCACCTTGGGCTGCATTTTTATGATTTGCTGTCACAGTTTACAGCAACTATTGTTTACCTTTCCTCCCCTACCAGCCTGTGAGCTTGTTGTGACTGGACTTACTCGTACTCATGTTTATACCCCCATAAAAGCATATAGTTAGGCACTCAATAAACGTTTATTGCATGAACAAATGGAAGACTGAATCAGGCTACTAAAGGAGATATTGGTTCATGGTGTTTACTCTATTTGCTTGCAGTTGTTTCTGCTTCTGAAGTTTGAGCACCTCCTTCTGGGACCATTGCAAATTATTCCTCCTCTGGAAAGTCCTTCCTGAGATGCTCCAGTTGGAGGGAATCTCTCATCCTCATGTGCTTAAATACCAATTCTAGCTGATCCCTCTCTTAGACACTTCCCTCTTGCTCTGTATTTGAGTCTCTCTTGTTCAACCCAAGGCATTTGTAAGTTCCCCAAAGAAAGAGATTCTGCCTCATTTTTTTTCATCCTTTCCCCAAATGCCCATCTCAATGCTTTGACATGGGAAGTGCTTGATTGATGTCTATTAAAATGAATCAACATTGTTTTAAGTCAAGCAATGAGGAGTTTTCCAATGAGAACATAAAGGAGCTGTAGATTCCTAAACTGGTGAGAACATTATGTGGGTAGAGCACATGCTGTGATTATTAATGTCAGACAGGCCAGTCATTCCAGAAATCAGAAGCTGAATACTTGCTGAGAGAGAGGCTTGTGGAGGTTTGAAAAATCCACCTCCACAAGGAAGCTGCCCCACAGAAATGCTCTTAACCCACATAGGAGTGTTTGGTATATCCTCTGTACTCTTATCCTGGGGCAGGAGCAAAAACTGCCTTTTCACTAAGCCCATCTAAGCTTCTGATTGGACTTTGGGGCTAAGTTCGGTGAAGCTTCTAAAAGGCTGTTCTTAGAAGATGTCAAAGAAGGTGATTAAATCTTCTTGAGCCATGGGAGACTGTGGGAGACAATGCATTCCCTCCGGCTCAGTTCCCTTGGCTGAAATATCACGATTGAGGAGTGTTCCTTTCTTGCTCCCAGAGGTCTTAGTAGTCTAATCTCTGGTTAAATTAAGCATCACTGGAGAGGAAAAAAAGCCTGACTTGGTAAAAACAATAAACTTAAGTGGAACAACCTGAGCTTCTGGTACAGCGCATGCCTTTGGCAAGTAAATGAGCTCAGACCTCATCCTTATTCTGATCTACACTCCTGACTAGAAGGAGGGGCCCATTAAATGTCAAATTTACCAACAATCAACATTTCATTTGATTTTCTCATAAGGCATTAGAAATTTCAATATTTTATTTTAATATGTTTTCATCATGTGCTGTTTCAAAACAGGCTTGAAAACAGGCCTGCAGCCCGAGCTCCTTTCTTGCCTGCTAAGGGAAGCAAGGCTGTGCCTAGCCCTGGATGGCTCATACTTGTACCCTGGTCATTCCCGAGGTGGAGGTAAGTGATGACCTCCCCACAGTTCCTCTAACAACAGGACAGAAGTCCCAGCAAGGTGACCTTCGGGCTTCTAGGACTTGAAAATGCTTATTAAAATATGCGGCATGAGACACGGCCATTCTGTGACCCAGAAAGGTTCACGTTTAATTTTTAAAATCCCTCAATGCATTAAACCCCAACAAAGCATAGATGGACATTTCTCCTGTGAAGGCTAAAGGACAGCAGTATTTCAGTGGCTTCATTTTTTCCAAGTAGAAACAAAAAGAAAACATTGAAGATAAGTAGAAGAAAACTCTAACTTTATTCTTGTGGTCAGTGAGCTTACTGAGTACCCACTCATTTCCTGCATCAAAGAGGCATGTGTCCTTCTTCCACTGAAGTCAGAGTTTAGTTGGGAGAGATATTGTACCATATAAATGCAATGATTGAAGTTGTGTTGGATGTTTTCTGTTTGTCTTTCTAGCTCTACCTCCTTCTCTTTCTCTGATCCCTAGGAGGTTAATCACTACAAGCTGAATCAGAGGGCTCTCTTGCCCTCTGGCTCCAGGTGGTGTTTGATCAAAGGATCGAACTAGCAAGAGATGGAAGGAAAGGAGGATCGTAAGGCTGGGGTGTTTATTTCTTGGCTCTTCCCTGCTGGTCACTGCAGGTTAGATGGGTTTCTACTTACAGCCACAGCTTCTGTTAAGCAGTCCTCCCTTACAATTTCACCGACTTTCTCAAGATTTTGGCAGTTGTCTCTTCCCTCTGCTGCTTCAGACCTTGGAGGAAGAAACAGCTCCCTAATGTTGCTACTCTCAGTG
This sequence comes from Homo sapiens, assembly GCF_000001405.40. NCBI lineage: Eukaryota > Metazoa > Chordata > Mammalia > Primates > Hominidae > Homo > Homo sapiens. Next base: position 47,677,181 of record NC_000013.11, on the reverse strand, counting down.
TACTACATTATCCCTTGTCCCTTAATCCTGGCCAAATTTTGGAGAGTCCTGATATGGTTTGGCTGTGTCTCCACCCAAATCTCACCTTAAATTGCAATAATCCCCACCTGTCAAGGGCGGGGCCAGGTGGAGATAATTGAATCATGGGGGCGGTTTCCTCATACTGTTCTCGTGGTAGTAAATAAGTCTCACGATATCTGATGGTTTTATAAATGGGAGTTCCCCTGCACAAGTTTTCTTGTCTGCCACCACGTATAAGACGTGACTTTGCTCCTCGTTCACCTTCCACCATGATTGTGAGGCCTCCCCAGCCACATAGAACTGTGAGTCCATTAAATCTCTTTTTCTTTATAAATTACCCAGTCTATGGGTATGTCTTTATTAGCAGCATAAGACCAGACTAATACAAGTCCGTTTATTAAGGCCTCCTCTAGTGCCCTCCCTGAGTGTGCCAATTGTTTTCTGCTAAGACCTTGCCTGATATAATAGGTATCTTGGAAATATAAGATGGGACACTTAATACAGCATGTGGAAATTCTAGAAGGTATTTGGAGGAAGTCAGGCATGAAACAAATTGTGGGTTAGCCTAGTGGGGAGGAGATTTCAAGCAGCTGGAACTGAAGAAAGTACTAGTTTGTTGTGGTTGAAACATATTGCTCCAAAGGCAAAGGCATCATTACCTATCTTGCTTATTGTTACAGGCTCAGCTTCCACTGAAGCCCCAGATACATCATTTGTGATCAATCACATTTGCCAAATAAATGGAAGAATGAAGGAAGGCAGGGAATTGAAGATGCTGGGGTATGCTGCAGAGTTCAGATGACAGGGAAATGGTTAGGCCATGGTAAAGAGCTGGGGTAGACAGAAAGGAACACATTAAAAATTGTGTAGAAGGAAAACAATAAAAAAGAACTTGGCGAATGATCAGATGAGTGGAATAAAAAAATTCAAGAATGGCAACTACTATAAAACCTTGCTCATCGTTTTTAATAAGCTATTTTCTCCTGTATTCTTTTGGGGTCCTTTTGCAACTTTCAATGATTCATTCATACTGAACTGTCGAGAATTCCTGCTAACTGAAAATTCTAACCTGAGGCAGATTTTACCCTACATATTTAGATCTTCAATTTGATAAAATGCCCTGGGGACACCTGAGTTAAAAAGGACACAGATGTTCTTAATCTTTGCCCTTTATTAAGACTCTCCTTCCAAAGTCCAGGCTCCTGGAATCAGCATGAAGCTCATGCCAAGAAGGCAACACCTTTTCCGCCAAACAGGCAACACTTTCTGAGATGTTAGTGCATTGCTTTTGAAAGGGTTCTTCTTTAAAATGTAAATACTTTAAACAACTTTTTAGATTCTTTTCCACGTGAGTCTTCATCCTTCTTTTTACTAGTATTCACTGAAAGCCTACTGTATGCCAGACATGGATAGATTTGGGAATTACAGAGCAAAACAGACACAGTCCTTGCTTTAAAGAGCTTAAGGCAATTTCAATTGTAAATACAAGACGGTATTACCTCCTGCACAGGTTGTTCCTGAAAATATCTGTAGTAGAGTGTTTGAAGTTAGGGGAACAAAGTTCATCTTGAGACAGTTGTGTGTACTAAGATGGTTGCAGAGAAGTGATATGGCCACAATTTCAAGTTGAAGTTCGTGGTTGGGAGGAAACATCTCTCTGAAGGTGTGGTAAAGCAGCCAGAGATGGATGGAAGTGCACAGAGAGGGCACAGTACTCAGTTTCCTGAGGTTAGGAACATCTGCTAAAATGAAGTTGCGTCTGTGCTTAGTCTTAAAGGAGAATTAGTTTGCCGCCCTATGAGGTGGGGGATGGGGAAGGTGAGGTTTCTGTTAAGAGTTAATGGTGTGTGCAAAGGTGAACTGTGTGGGAGACAGGTGAATGGCCATGAGCTAGGCAGGAGTCAGATCACAATACAAAATTGCCTCCTATTTTATTTCCTTTTTCTATTAATTAGCTTGTATTCTATTATCAGAATAGTTCTTTTAAGTTTTTTAAATTATACAGAAAAATACAAGGTGAAAGGTAAGTTTTTCACACTCCAGTCTAACTCCCTAGAGGGATCAAAAAGCATTAAGACATTTCCATGTTTTCTTACAGATAATTTTTTTTGCATACCTGCCTGCACATTCATATATTCCATATTTTGCAAGTAAAGTTTCAACCTAGATTATGTACTCTATGTAAAATGCAAAATTTTAAAAATATAATGCCATTTAATTTCCATCTGACTTCTAATTATTGCATGGTATTCTACATTAGGAATCATCATAATTTAGTAACCAAACCAAATGAGGAATATTTATGTTGTTTGGTATTACAACAGTATAGAAGTTGGAATGGACAGATTCTTAAGAGTGGAATAGATAAATTCAAGGAAAGTAAGTAGCTTTAATTTTGACGTCCATTTCCATGTTATCTTCCAAAAGCTGAACCTTTTTATGCTCACATCCATAAATGTATGAGAGCACTGGATACTAAATTTTATTCAACTTGACAAATCTGAATGTTATTACACTTAATATTTCATAAGACTGGAAAATAGACTTTTAATAGTTGTCTGATAGGTGAACTCCTACTCATTTTTATTTATCCCATCTCTCCCTACCAAATAATTTATTTAGGCATCGATAACTTCCACTTCTCATTTATGAATTGCAAACCCCAGTTAGAATAAAAACAAAGAAAATCTTTTTTTTTTTTTTTTTTAAGATGGAGTCTTGCTCTGTAGCCCAGGCTGGAGTTCAGTGGCATGATCTCAGCTCACTGCAAGCTCTGCCTCCCGGGTTCATGCCATTCTCTTGCCTCAGCCTCCCGAGTAGCTGGGACTACAGGCACCCACCACCACGCCCAACTAATTTTTTGTATTTTTAGTAGAGATGGGGTTTCACTGTGTTACCCAGGATGGTCTTGATCTCCTGACCTTGTGATCCACCTGCCTTGGCCTCCCTAAGTGCTGGGATTACAGGCGTGAGACACCACGCACGGCCAAGAAAATCTTATAAGTACTAATTAAACACTTGTTATTTGACCATTTTAGTTTTATTCCCTATATTCACTTCCTTCAGGATATTTCTACAGCTTCTGAAATGTGTTTTTTTTCCCCCATCTTAAATACGTGAGTATTTTAAATTAGCTTACATATTAATTTTTCCCTTAGCTCATCTTTGCTGCTTTCTCTGGCATTTAACATAATTATTATTTCCTAGTTTTTCAAGGGTAATCTGGAAGTGCAATTTCTGCATATGTTGTAGTTAGGAGGGCAGAAAATGAACAAGTGAAAAAGAAACCAATATGATTTCAGGTGGAGATAAGTGCTATAAAAATAAAACAAGGACAGGGTTTGAGTTTATGTGCCTTGGGGGATGTGGGTGATAAAGCTGGTGCTCAGATATGTAGTGGATGCAAGACCTCCTCGAGGAGGCAACATTTGAGCAGATTCTGAATGATAAGGAATGAGATACATGAAGATAGGAGGGGTTGAGGGGTGAACCAAGTAGAAGTATGTGCAGAGGTGTGGGAAGGAGCTTGGGACATTTGAGATCAGCAGGAAGACAGCTTGGCAGGACTCTAGTGAGCAAGGAGAGGAAGGCAAGGGCAGGGCCACTAAGGGCCTGGCACCCACTGTAAGGAGTTTGGATGTGTCTGGATTGAAGGGATACCATGGGAAGGTGTTAAGCTGCAGAGTGACATGTGACATGTTTTTAACAGGTCCTTCTGGTGACATGTGCTACCCTGGCTGCTTCCTCCTCTTTCCATCCCACTCAGCCTCAGGAGACTTCTCCCTGCATAAATATAGCCCCCCGTTATACCACTTGACATTGTGAAGTTACCAAAGGTGAGGATTAAACTGCAACGATGGCTTTGCATGTGGTCTTTTATCTCTCCTCCAAGTCGTTCAATTTATTACATCAGATGTAGTTTAATTATGCCAAGTCATTGAGTAATAGCTGAAGTATTCTGGATAGATCTGTTAAGAGTAGACGTCATTTGAAAACCACCACAGTTATTTTAGACCATGTCCAAGTACAGAACTGGATTGCTTAACATTAACTGCTGCTTTGACTCTTCAGAGATGCCTGAAATGTTCCATTCCCATGAAACTTTAAAAGGAAAGCAATTTCAAACAAATCTTCCCTTTTTGCCTCTTTCCAATTTTTTTTTTACTATTTTTTTCCTTGTTTAAAAACATTGCCAATAAAAGTCAACTTGTGTGTGAATTATAATTAGAGATACAGTGTCTGAGGTTGCCAAATTATGTTCTTCACAGATCCATTAACATTTCCCCAGTTGTCTGTTGGCTGATATAGATCCAGTACCAGGAGGTCTTTTGGCTACTTCTCCATTTAGTCTCTGCACATAGGCTGATAATTGTGGGCTAATGCTGTAATAAATGCATCCCAGATGTTTTTCTCAGTCTCATGAAGCTTGTACTCTGTTCTCTTCTGTACTTATATCTTTGTCAACTTGCATAATGCATAAATATCTAATCTCTCACAAACAGTGCCCCTCCCCTTGCTGTAAACTCTGGATTAAAAAATATCCTTGCTGACTGCATTGAGTTTAGTTCAGGAATTTTGATTAACAGCAAAAATCAAGTCTGGAAGACTTGGTTATTTTGAACTAAAATCTGAGAATATACAACAGAATAGCCCAATCACACAGTGCAAATACAGGAAGAGTTCAGGATTGAGAGCGAAAGGGAGGTGGCAAAGGAAATGAAAGAGCAGTGCTCAGGCTTTAACTCTGCTGTCTTTTGCTATGTCTTACACGTTACTTTCTACACAACGACAATTAAGTGGACCTGCAGTTTCAAGGTGATGCCAGCTATGCCTTTCACCTTGTTTTTACTCTAGAAGTTTGGAATCTGAGCTGACACTTTCTAAATCTCAAATGACAAACTCTTCAGCATCATGGGTGGAAATTTTTTTAGCAGTCTTTTACAGCCATAGCCTTTACCAGTGATCTACTGGTGACATATTGTTCACATATTGTTTTTTAAAGGATGCCCACCCTTAACCACCATCCCATTTAAAATTGCAACACTACAGCCACCACTCCATGCCATGTTCTTCTTTTGTTTTTCTTAGCACTTGTCACACTCAAAGCTACTATGTTACTTATTTGTGAATCTTAAGACTGCAGGGACATTTGTTTTGTTCACTCACATATGCCGAGCACTTACTTAGAATAGTGCCTGGCACGTAATGAATGAATGATGTCTCATGACAAGAATAGAACATGACCATCAGCTCTCAAGTTTATTTCTTATTTTGGGCAGCCAATTAATTCAGCTCTTCAAGCAGTCTTCACTTGTGAACATTTTCATGATGTAATATATCGACATCTATCATAAGTTTTAACATGAATTCCTTACCAATCATGTACATTTTCGTCTTACTCTTGGCTACCAAACCCCATAAAATTAGCTCTTTGCGTGGTAGTCAAACTGATCTAATATAGTCTGATCCTCATAATTATGTGATACCTTGATGTCTTTTCATTGTGCACCACTTTCTATTTTATTTTCATGTGACCATCTCCTCCTCCTCTGGATTTAGCATAGCACTAGGCACTTTGTAGATACCAATTAAGTATATGGTGATTAACTGTAAAGTGCTGTAGGAATTTTCCATCTTACAATAACTATTTTCAAAACATAGGTTGTTAATAGTTCTATTATTGACAGCTATAGCACCTCAGAGTCTATTCTCATGAAATAGAAATTGCACTTGCCTGCTGCAAATGTTGCCTCCAGACTGTTTTCTCTGTCTCTAGTCCTTTCTGCCTCTGCATTATCCTCTACAACTCCATCCAGTTCCCTCCTTAAAGCCCAGATCTGACCATCTCATGCTAACCTCAGAAACGTTCCATCATCCCCAGTGTCTATATAACTAAGCAGAAATTCTTCAGCAACTTACTCAAAGCTCTCTTTAAAGGCCTCGGATTACCTTCATAGATTTTTTGCTGATCATTTTCATATTCCCAGAAAACTAGGAGAATTATGCTTCCTGTTCTGTACTCTGGGCATTTCTGGTTCTACAACTTGGCTCATGCTGATTCTCTGACCAATTCTTTTCCTCTTTCAAACTTAGCCCCAAGGCAACCTTCTTTATGAAACTTTTTCTAATTCCCCCAGTTGGATGTGCTTCTCCTTTCTCTAAACTACCACGACATTTTGTACTTCTAATATACACCTTATTATTATTTTTTTTATTATACTTTAAGTTTTAGGGTACATGTGCAAAATGTGCAGGTGAGCTACATATGTATACATGTGCCACGTTGGTGTGCTGCACACATTAACTCATCATTTAGCATTAGGTATATCTCCTAATGCTATCCCTCCCCTCTCCCCCCACCCCACAACAGGCCCCAGTGTGTGATGTTCCCCTTCCTGTGTCCATGTGTTCTCGTTGTTCAATTCCCACCTATGAGTGAGAACATGTGGTGTTTGGTTTTTTGTCCTTGTGATAGTTTGCTGAGAATGATGGTTTCCAGCTTCATCCATGTCCCTACAAAGGACATGAACTCATCCTTTTTTATGGCTGCATAGTATTCCATGGTGTATATCTGCCACATTTTCTTAATCCAGTCTATAATTGTTGGACATTTGGGTTGGTTCCAAGTCTTTGCTATTGTGAATAGTGCCGCAATAAACATACGTGTGCATGTGTCTTTATAGCAGCATGATTTATAATCCTTTGGGTATATACCCAGTAATGGGATGGCTGGGTCAAACAGTATTTCTAGTTCTAGATCCCTGAGGAATCACCACACTGTCTTCCACAGTGGTTGAACTAGTTTACAGTCCCACCAACAGTGTAAAAGTGTTCCTATTTCTCCACATCCTCTCCAGCACCTGTTATTTCCTGACTTTTTAGTGATTGCCATTCTAACTGGTGTGAGATGGTATCTCATTGTGGTTTTGATTTGCATTTCTCTGATGGCCAGTGATGATGAGCATTTTTTCATGTGTCTTTTGGCGGCATAAATGTCTTCTTTTGAGAACTGTCTGCTCATATCCTTCGCCCACTTTTGGATGGGGTTGTTTTTTTCTTGTAAATTTGTTTGAGTTCATTGTAGATTCTGGATATTAGCCCTTTGTCAGATGAGTAGATTGCAAAAATTTTCTCCCATTCTGTAGGTTGCCTGTTCACTCTGATGGTAGTTTCTTTTGCTGTGCAAAAGCTCTTTAGTTTAATTAGATCCCATTTGTCAATTTTGGCTTTTGTTGCCATTGCTTTTGGTGTTTTAGACATGAAGTCCTTGCCCATGCCTATGTCCTGAATGGTATTGCCTAGGTTTTCTTCTAGGGTTTTTATGGTTTTAGGTCTAACATTTAAGTCTTTAATCTATCTTGAATTGATTTTTGTATAAGGTGTAAGGAAGGGATCCAGTTTCAGCTTTCTACATATGGCTAGCCAGTTTTCCCAGCACCATTTATTAAATAGGGAATCCTTTCCCCATTGCTTGTTTTTTTCAGGTTTGTCAAAGATCAGATAGTTGTAGATATGTGGTGTTATTTCTGAGGGCTCTGTTCTGTTCCATTGCTTTATATCTCTGTTTTGGTACCAGTACCATGCTGTTTTGGTTACTGTAGCCTTGTAGTATAGTTTGAAGTCAGGTAGTGTGATGCCTCCAGCTTTGTTCTTTTGGCTTAGGATTGACATGGCAATGTGGGCTCTTTTTTGGTTCCATATGAACTTTAAAGTAGTTTTTTCCAATTCTGTGAAGAAAGGCATTGGTAGCTTGATGGGGATGGCATTGAATCTATAAATTACCTTGGGCAGTATGGCCATTTTCACGATATTGATTCTTCCTACCCATAAGCATGGAATGTTCTTCCATTTGTTTGTATCCTCTTTTATGTCATTGAGCAGTGGTTTGTAGTTCTCCTTGAAGAGGTCCTTCACATCCCTTGTAAGTTGTATTCCTAGGTATTTTATTCTCTTTGAAGCAATTGTGAATGGGAGTTCACTCATGATTTGGCTCTCTGTTTGTCTGTTATTGGTGTATAAGAATGCTTGTGATTTTTGTACATTGATTTTGTATCCTGAGACTTTGCTGAAGTTGCCTATCAGCTTAAGGAGATTTTGGGCTGAGACAATGGAGCTTTCTAGATATACAATCATGTCATCTGCAAACAGGGATAATTTGACTTCCTCTTTTCCTAATTGAATACCCTTTATTTCCTTCTCCTGCCTGATTGCCCTGGCCAGAATTTCCAACACTATGTTGAATAGGAGTGGTGAGAGAGGGCATCCCTGTCTTGTGCCAGTTTTCAAAGGGAATACTTCATTTTTGCCCATTCGTTATGATATTGGCTGTGAGTTTATCATAGATAGCTCTTATTATTTTGAGATACATCCCATCAATACCTAATTTATTGAGAGTTTTTAGCATGAAGTGGTGTTGAATTTTATCAAAGGCCTTTTCTGCATCTATTGAGATAATTATGTGGTTTTTGTCTTTGGTTCTGTTTATATGCTGGATTACTTTTATTGATTTGTGTATGTTGAACCAGCCTTGCATCCCAGGGATGAAGCCCACTTGATCATGGTGGATAAGCTTTTTGATGTGTTGCTGGATTTGGTTTGCCAGTATTTTACTGAGGATTTTTGCATCAACGTTCATCAGGGATATTGGTCTAAAATTCTCTTTTTTTGTTGTGTCTCTGCCTGGCTTTAGTATCAGGATGATGCTGGCCTCATAAAATGAGTTAGGGAGAATTCCCTCTTTTTCTATTGATTGGAATAGTTTCAGAAGGAATGGTACCAGCTCCTCCTTGTACCTCTGGTAGAATTCGGCTGTGAATCCATCTGGTCCTGGACTTTTTTTGGTTGGTAAGCTATTAATTATTGCCTTAATTTCAGAGCCTGTTATTGGTCTATTCAGAGATTCAACTTCTTCCTGGTTTAGTCTTGGGAGGAGGGTGTATGTGTTGAGGAATTTATCCGTTTCTTCTAGATTTTCTAGTTTATTTGCGTAGAAGTGTTTATAGTATTCTCTGATGGTGGTTTGTATTTCTGTGGGATCGGTGGTGATCTTTACTTATATTTGGTGTATAAACTTGCATTGTTTCCATCTTCTATTGGAAGCCACCTGTGGGCAGGGATTGATGATAGTGATCACATGCACAGTGGCTAGCGTATGATGTTACACTGCCACACTAATGTGAAAGAAGAGCCTTATCCTGAATAATCAAATATTTTTCATCCTTGTATTTGGCCTTATCTCAAAGTTTAAGTAAGTTCAGCTTCCCTGGTTATCATATCAGAGTTAGAGGGATTACTTCATGAGATTGCCTCCTAGAATATCTAACTTTCATTTAGCATAAAAATCAAAATTAATGTATATGAAAGCACTTTGAAAATTAAAAATAGTTATGCAAATGTAAACTATTTTTATTTTATAGATCTAGCACACTGCCTGAAATGTAGCTGACACTTCATAAATCTCTGTTGCACTGCATGGAATGGAAAATTAATTGAATATTTGAGATACATGATGATAAGTTGACTGTCACTATTGGGTCCTTCCTCTGTGCCCTTCTATTGACATGAGGCAGCTTCTTCTGGAATCCCTATCCAGGGTTGGGAGTTTTGACAGGGTGTGTTTGGATGCTCTCCGGTGCCACTCTGCATCTGTGGGCAGAGGCCATCTCTGCCTAAACACTCTCCATTCCCAGTTCTCCTCCACCTCTACTATTGCTGATCTGCCAAAAATCTTCTGAATGGAAAGTTGATATTTTGTTATTAGAATGATTGGTTTGGATACTTTGTCATTTAATTGTAGGTTACAAGGAGTGCAATTATGCATGAAAACAATTGAAAGGGCAATAAAAGCATCAGTCTCAATTGGCTACATTCCACTATATAGTCATTCATTTATTCCACAAATGTGTATTTGATCACCTAATATGTCAAGGCTTTCTAATAGGTGCTGAAATAAAAGGTGAAAAAGTGTAATTCCGGCTGTGAAAGACTGACAATGCCACTGTCAAGACAGACACATTAAAGTGTTTTATTACAATTCCACAGGGTAAGAGCTTGATATAGGTGTGAACAAAGTACCATGGCCACGTTTTGCCTGGGGTTGTCTAGGGATACCCACAGAGATGGGTGACATTTGAATTGGGTGCTGAAGGTGGTAACAGGAAGAGATAGAGGGGAATGATATTCCTGGCAATGAGACTTGAATGTGTAGGATCAAGATTTGTGAAAGGGCAATGTGCTTAGGAATGGTGAGATACTACATGTGACTAGAGTCCCTGGTGTGGAGGTAATTACATGTCTGAAAAGACTTTTATGTCAGTTTACGGAAGGTGGTTTTATGTTGCAGCCCAGGGGTGGAACAGATTCATGCTCCAATCTATTTCCACCTCTGGTTAATGTATAGAGGTTGTACTGAAGTGGGAAGGCTAGGATCGGTTGAAACCACATTGGAGACTATTTGTAATATTCTAGCTCTGAAATGATGAGGTTCCCACTAAAGCCAAGGCCATGGGCATGGAGATGCTGGCCTGGGCTGGAGGGGGACATTTCTAAGGATGAATAGCAGGATGTGATGACTGGTTAGATATGGAAGATGAGGTGGGCTGTAAGGAAGAGGGAAGACAGGCTCTTTGGCTAACAGGGTTAGTAGGCTCCATTAACTGAAACTTGTAGAATTGGAATGAGAGCAGAAATGTGTTTTTATGCATATATTAAGTCTGGAGTGCTTTAGAGATACTGAGTAGAGCTGGAATTCAGGTAAGGAGCAATGGAAGAGGGCAATAATGAGATCATCAAGGCAGGTAAATATAGGGAGAAGATGACCAAAGATGGAACTCTGAGCTTATCCAACAGTTATGGAGTTAACAGAAACAACCACCACTACAACAAGAAAAAGTGGGATCAGAGAGGCAGGAGGGCAGCCAGGTGCTCTGGCAGGTAAAGGGGTGGAGAGCATTAGGGAGGGGCAGGTGGCCAGCAGTGTTGTTGCTGCCATGAGATCCAGGAGGGTGAAGAGTTCATTGAGGCCTTTGAGTCTGGACATAAGGAGGTCTATGGTGTTCTTAGGACCTTCACCTTTACAGTGTGAAGGCAGATGATAAAGCAGACTAGAAGACAATGACCAACTGCAGCTTGTACTTAGGAGACAATTGACAGTAAAAAAAACAAACCAGAAGACAAAATGAGAACAAGGGGAAAAGAGCTATATTTTCATGGAAATTGAGGGAACTAATATAATTATTGTAACTTTTCTTGTAATGAAATTTAAGTTTATAGGCTGATGGATAGGAAGGAAGAAAGGAAGAAGGGAACAGTGAGATATGAAAATAGAGAGGGCTGAAAAAAATGGAATGTGGTTCTGAATAGCATGGAAAAGGATGGACCAGTCTCTTTAGCAAAAGGACAAGGCCAGGTATGTTTAGAAGGTAAAACAGAAGAAAATAAAAAGATGGGTTGATAGGATGTATGGCAAGTTTTTTGCACGGTAGAAGGAAAAATGAAAAGGAGTGAGTTGGCAAGAACATAGAGGGATTGATATGATAAATGAGAATTTGAAGTGATTTGATGGGGAATGAGAAAGAGGGTTAAGTGACCCTCTAAGGACTAATGAAAGTTCTGCTAAGGTATGAAGGGGACCCAACTGAGCTGGCAAGGTGAGTCATTATACATTTATGTTGCTAAAGAATGAGGAATAATAATCATTTACTATGTGCTAAGCAATATACTAAGCATTTTACAATAATAATTTTATAATAACATTTTACTAAATATAACTCCCTATGTGGCATATGTCATTTCCATTTTACATGCGAGGTAACTGAGGCTCAATGATTTATTCATGCAGCTAATGAGTGGCAGAGTCAGAATGAGCCACCAGCTGTTTCTGGCTGCACATCTGGGGCGTTTTATATTCATACTATCCTGTCTCCATGGGAGCTGAGCTTGCAGGCTGGAGGCATACTTTAGCTCAAATGCAGAGCTAAGCCAGAGAGCAAGTCCCATCGCTTTTGGATTTTAGCTTCCCTGTGTGTAAAACTGACAGGAGGTGTTGGGATTGGGAGGAATGGGAGGTGTCCTAGGTGGTTTCCAAGATCCTACCTAACTCAAACATTCTGTGATTCTAATCCTACAGCAAATATGCCCAAACAGAGCTTTTACTTGGAATTACAAAACAAGATACAACAGCCTATGCAGGGTGCCTCTGACGCGTTGCCTTTGTATAGGACAATCTCATTGCTATTGTTTTCAATTCAGACTGAGAATCTAGGCCTGACACAAATATTTTTTTTCTCAGCCACATTTTACCTTTCACCATGCTTGGGAGGAGACAGGGCTATTACATTTTCTTCTTTTCTGCAAACTCCCTATTCTTTGTCCCTGCTTTTTGGCACTTTTGTGATCATGGTAGCTAGAGTATAAAAGTTTTCTTGACCTTTTACAGACTGCAATCTCATCTCAATCAGAGTTGTCAAGTGGATTTCTGAAAGCCAGTATTTAGCCTGATTGGGGAATGGAGCCCTACCTGCCTGGAGACACCTCCTTGCTGAATACTTCCCAATTCTAGTACATTTGCTGCTTGGATACACGCTTTTGAATCACACGGTCTGCTCACTCTGACCTCAGCACCTCTTACTTCTATGAAGTTGGAACCAATTCTCGGAAAGAAACACTCTCCAGTAAGTTTAGGGATTTTCATTACTGCAGTTGTTTTCTCTTGGATCAGAAATGCACTTTTTATTGTGAAGGACTGCATGATTTTTCATCTTTAAATGGATGTATAATTAGTTTTGTTTAAAGGTTGAGTCTTAGAAAGCAGTCTTATGCTAGTATTTATGTAGAAATAAGCTATAGGGTCAGAAAATCTAGGAGTAAATTAAAAACGCATTTTTGATTATGTTACATTCAAATCATCCAGGAGATTAGTATCTGTTTTATTAGTCAAGGTATACAAACGGTTATCTTTCTTGATGTATGAACTATGATTTTATCAGCAATATTTATACTGTTGTGGAGCTAGCCCATCAAAGATAAATCTCCACAAGTACTCCCAGAAATTAGAGCTCATCCGTGCACAAATCCATTGCTTATGGGGAAGGATGTGCCTAAAGTTTTAGGTCTCCAGGCATGGGGCATTTGGCCTTCTATCATTAAGAGAACCTGAGAATTTCCTAAGTTTTATTTATAATGAAACTCTACCAGTTTGCCTTCCATTTAGCAATTACGTTACCTGTCTCTAGTTATTCCTTATTGATAGGCAAAGAACAACTTTTAGCAAAGAACACAGATATTCAATTTGCACACATTTCCCAAATGCCTGTTTTCTGTGGGTACTGTGCACCACAGGGAATTTTAAAATTAATAAACTGGAGTCACAGTGTGGCAGGGACAGGTACAGACATAAATAGCTTAAATACAAGGTAATTCTCCTTTTTGTATTTTTTCAGAAATTATTTTATGATTTCTTTAAAAAAATAGATTTAGGGGATATAAGTGCAGTTTTGTTACATGGATATATTGCTTATTGGTGAAGTCTGGGCTTTTGTTAGAGACATCACCTGAACAGTGTACTTGTACCCATTAAGTAATTTCTCATCCCTAACCCCCTTCCTGCACTTCCTAGACTCCAATGTCTATTATTCTACTCTCTATGTGTGTGTGTACATATTATTTAGCTCTCACTTATAAATGAGAACATATGGTACTTGGCTTTCTGTTTAAGTTATTTCACTTAAGATAATGGCCTCCAGTTTCATTCATGTTGCTTCAAAAGACATGATTTCATTCTGCTTTATGATGAAACATTAAACATTATTCCATGGTGTATATATACCACATCTTTCTCTCTCTCTTTTTTTTTTTTTTTTTTTTTTTTGAGACGTAGTCTCACTCTGTCACCCAGACAGGAATGCAGTGGCATAATCTTGGCTCACTGCAACCTCCGCCTCCTGGGTTCAAGCAATTCTCATGCCTCAGCCTCCCGAGTAGCTGGGACTACAGGCATGCACCACCACGCCTGGCTACTTTTTTGTATTTTCAGTAGAGACAGGGTTTCACCATGTTGGCCAGGCTGGTCTCCAATTCCCGACCTCAGGTGATCTACCCACCTCAGCCTTCCAAAGTGCTAGGATTACAGGCATGAGCCACTGCACTCAGCCTACCGCATCTTCTTTATCCAGTATTTCATTGATAGATGCTTAGATTGATTCCATATCTTTGTTATTATAATTTGTTCTTTGATAAACATACAAGTGCAGGTATCTTTTTAATATAATGACGTATTAGGGTTCTCTAGAAGGATAGAATTAATGGAATATATATGGAGAGATAATATATAATGGAATGTATGTATGTGTGTATGTATGTATGTAGGCAGGCAGGCTGGGAAGCTAGGCTGGTCTCTCTTTCCACATTTTTCTGCCTGCTTATATTCTAGCTGCACTGGCAGCTGATTAGATTGTGCCCACCCATATTAAGGGTGGGTCTGCCTTTCCCAGCCCACTGACTCAAATGTTAATCTCCTTTGACAACACCCTCACAGACACACCCAGGATCAATACTTTGTATCCTTCAATCCAATCAAGCTGACCATACTAACCATCATAAATGATTTCATTTCTTTGGGTAGATACCCAGCAGTGGGACTGCTGGATCAAATGGTAGTTCTATTTTTAATTCTTTGAGAAATCTGAATATTGTTTTCCATAGAGGTTATATTTACATTCCCATCAATGGTGTATAAGCATTCCCTTTTCTCTGCATCCTCACCCATATCTGTTGTTTTTTTTGTCCTTTTAGTAATAGCCATTCTGACTGATATAAGTTAGTATCTCATTGTGGTTTTAATTTACATTTCTCAGATGATTAGTGATGTTGAACATTTTTTCATGTTGGTCATTTGTGTTCTTTTGAAAAATGTGGGTTCATGTCCTTTGTCCACTTTGTAATGAGGTTTAAATTATAAGGTAACACTAATAAGTTTTGTAATTAGGATGTTGAGAAAATACTGGAGCTTAAGAGATTAATGCTTCTAAAACACAAAAGACTTTCTCCCCTCTTGTTTTCTCCCAGAAATTTTCTTAGACTAACATTCTTGGTGTCTCTCCCCACCATGTGAGCAGGAGTAATGTATTAGTCTAGTGGCTTTGGAAAAGGAGCTCAGCTCAGGCCTGCTTTCTTCAATGTTTTAAAGTTAGTGGTAGAAACCCTCAGAAGCAAAGGCTGTATCAGTCCATGTCTCCCTGGGCTTGAGTGGGAAGCTTAGATCTGGGCTTCATCTTAGGCCTCTTGGACTGTAACACATAAACCTTTCTTTTCAACAATGATAGTAAATTAATGAGAATAAAAGGGATTTGTTAGTCTCTGGCTGATTTCTCTGAAACTTCTACTGTATCCTAAATTCAGGTTTTGGGGGAAGGAGCAGTTTTTAAATAACCCCCCAAAACCCCAAAGAGGACATTCCAGGAAGAAGAAACTATGTTGTTAGAGATGAGAGTGAGGGGTATAAAATGCATAGAAACACTTTCATCTGGAAACAAGCATTTTAATTGTAGGGAATATGCTAAGTTACTTCTCATTTTATTGATCCATTACTTGGAAAATTCTATACTATGTTGTCAGCATTTTGCTGATACCATATTTTATAATGAACAATTCAAAAATTCAGTCTCTTATGACAACAAATATTCATTACTTGTAAGTCTGAGAGTTGGCCAAGGCTCTGCTGGGTTTCACCATGCTTGCCATGTCTTCTCACTCTGGGATCTTCTCTGGGATGAGTTACTGTCATGGTGGATGGCAGGAATGCAAATGGAACAAACCAAAACTTGTAATACCTCTCACAGACGTTGCTCACATCTGGCATACTGTCATCTCCACGCACATTCAATCAGTTAAACTCACATGACTAAGCCCAAAGCCAGTGGGGGCAAGGAAGTATGATTCACCCACAGTAAATTGTGGCACGGATGGGACTGTGTTACAGTCTCCCACATATGCCATTGGCTTTCATTTAGCTTCCGTATATAATATCTTTAGCTGCTTTTTATGCTATTTGCATTATATAACTTATTTATTTATCTGTCTTTGATAAAACTCTGAAGATTTTCACTTTTTTTTTGGTTTATTTTCCTGCTGTAAAGAGCTATTAAACGTTCTTCTATATGAATGCCTAGACTACTTTTCTGAGTTATTTTAATATTTTATTCATGAAACTCTGGGGAATCCAGTGAGACTGGACATATTCTTTCTTACCGGAAAATATTTTATTTATTAACCTTTGGTGGGAGAGTAAATTAGTTCAACCATTATGGAAGACAGTGTAGTGATTCCTCAAAGACCTAAAGATAGAAATACCATTTGACCCAGCAATTCCATTACTGTGTATATATCCAAAGAAATCTAAATCATTCTATCATAAAGACACAGGCACATGTATGTTTATTGCAGCACTATTCACAATAGTAAAGACAGGGAATCAACCTAAATACCCATCAACAATAGACTGGATAAAGAAAATGTGGTACATATACACCACAGAATACTCTGCAGCCATAAAAAAGAATGAGATCATGTCCTTTGCAGGGACATGGATGAAGCTGGAGGCCATTATCCTTGGCAAACTAAACAAGAACAGAAAACTGAATACTGCATTTTATCACTTACAAGTGGGAGCTAAGTGATAACACATGGATACATAGAAAGAAACAACACACACTGGGGCATTTTGGAGGTTGGGAGTTGGGATGAGGGAGAGGATCAGGAAAAATAACTAATGGGTACTAGGCTTAATACTCAGGTGATGAAATAATCTGTACAACACACCTCCATGACACATGTTTAACTATGTAACCTGTACATGTACCCCTGAACTTAAAAGTTAAAAAAATTAAATGAACCAGGCTCCTTATAACTGTTCCATCTGTGATAGGCAGACTCCAGGGTGCCTCCTCGACCCCTGCCTCCTGATACCCCAACCATTGTGGTCCCCTTGCTTTGAAAGTGGGCAGGATCTTTAACCCAGGATCTTTAACCAATAGAATATGACAAGAGTGATGGGTTGTATGTGATTAGGAAACTGAGGTCCTCAGTCCAACAGCTTATAAGAAGTTGATGCTGCCAACCACCATGTAGGCTTCGAAATGGATCCTTCCCCAGTCAGTCCTCAGATGAGGCTGCAGCCCTGGCTGATATTTTGACTGGAACCTTATGATATGAAGTAGAGGACTCAGCTAAGCCTTTCTCATACTCCCGATTCATTGAAATGGTGAGATAATAAATGGGTATCATTTTAAGCTGCTAAGTTTGTGGTAATATTGTTACACAGCAATAGAAAACTTCTAAATCCATTGTTTGTTTTAGAGTACCAAGGATAAAGTGTCTTAATTTGCTTCCTGCCAGTTCTATGCTTTATTTCATTTTGATCTCCTATTTTATTACAATTGGCTTAGTTGATGTATTAATGTCAAGAACTTTTGTTGGTAAGCACTGTGTAAGCAGATTTGCTTAAATCCCTTTATGTCATATGTGCTTGTGTTTACAGAGAATTAAAAATACATACTTGTTAAGTTACTAAACCTCTACAATGTATATGGCACAATTCTACGTAGTGGAGTTGGATACACAGACAGACATGATCCCTGCTTTCATAAAGCTTATTGGAAGAGTCAGAATAACAATTAAATACAATTTAAAAATTACACATTTGAATAACTGCATAGAAGACATAAATAGGCTACTGTGCTCTAGAATAACTAGAGGATCTTTTCTAGCAAAGTCTCTTGAGGAGTTAGCATTTAAGTTGAGATTCAAAAGAAGAGAAGAGGAAAAATACAGTGTTTAATTCTCATTAGTTTTGAATTGGGTGAGTTGGTGCAAAATTGTGTTTGCTCATGTGTGTAGATATAATATAGATGAGATTTATAATAGAAATTCAGAAATAAATTTTATAAGCACTTTAAATTCTGGAAATTGAAGGAAAATATAACAAAACGAACAAAAAGTGTATATATTTGGAATGTAATCTGGTGATAAGTTGGGTAAGAATGGTATGGTGAAATACTATGTTAGAAATTCTTAGGATAAGAGAAAGATCTTTTAAAATTATAAGGAGTTATACTGAGTTCTATCTAGCATATATTGACCAAGCACATGGCTAGACTCGTATTTACAAGAGCAGAGTCAAGCTGTTTTTGAAAGTACTTTGTACATCCATCTCCCTCTGGCATCTCTATTATTTCTCTGCAATTGCTCTGCTGGCTTTTATTAAGCTACAGATATCTCATCCCACTGTGAATCTAAATCTTTTGCTTCTATCACTTCAGCGCACACATTGCATTTTAGAAGAGGCCAGTATGCAATTCTCGGTGTGCGAAGAAGGAAAGAGAGTTTTCTCTTATTTTGGCTTGAACTTTTTTCTTACCAAGTAGTTCTCAGAGGTGTTTATCTCTTAGGCATTTCTCTTGATGGCAATAGTCTTTCTCCCAAAAGTATGTTTGGGTTTGAAAGTGCATCTGTCTTGAGAGTCTGGAGCCATCTTAAATGTAAATGTGTACTTTGTGAACATTAGTAAATTCTTGGGAAAGAAAAGTGATGGCGATTTGATGTATGAATTCTGTGTATATGTGAGTAACTGTGTGTGTGTGTGTGTGAGAGAGAGAGAGAGAGAGAGAAAGAGAGAAAGTAACAGGGAGAAGGAGAGAGAAAGGGAAGGAAAAGGGAGTGGAGAGAGAGAGGGAGGGCCAAAGTGTGTGTGTGTGTGTGTGTGTGTGTGTGGGTTGGGCAGGAACAGGGAGAGAGAGAGTGAGCGAAAGTGCAAATAGGAGGGAGTCAGAAGGAGGAGGCAGATGAGAAAAAAGAAAACATAAATTCTTTGAAACAGTCGATAAACATAAATCAGTTTGACATGAAGCAGGT
Source organism: Homo sapiens (assembly GCF_000001405.40). NCBI lineage: Eukaryota > Metazoa > Chordata > Mammalia > Primates > Hominidae > Homo > Homo sapiens. Next base: position 47,658,254 of record NC_000013.11, on the reverse strand, counting down.
GCCAGGGTTGCAGAGACAATCACACCAGGACTATGTATACTAATTAGACAGCAAGAAAATGATGAGAAAAGGGAAGCAACCACTTAGGGTAACCTTTTCAGATAGACAGGAAGGCCCCAGAGAAGGAAAATAGGAATGATGTGAGAATCCTGCTACTCTTCCTTTCCTGAGTTCTGTGTTCTAGAAAGAGAGGCTAATTCAAGGTCCTAGTGACAATAGAGGAGGAACCCTTTTCTACATAAATAGCTGACCTGTGCAGCCATAGTTTCAAAGTGCAATACGAGAGGAGGATTACTCAGAAATTGATCTCCAAAGGTACTTTTTTCCCCAGTATCAAAAAGTTGAGCGCTTGGATTGGGATTACAAGCAAGTAATGACACGTGTGGAATTGGAAATGGAATAGAATAGAAGGCTGATTAACACATTATAGGGTGTTAGTGCAGTCTAGAAGTGACTCTGTATCTATAAATTCCAAGTGACTCCAGAAAAGTGAAAAGATAAGGCAATAGTCCTGATATCCTACTTGGATTTTGGCAAAAGAAGAAAGGTTATTACATCTAGAACTCCTGGGAGGCATCTATTAATCTTGCTATTCTTCCCTTCTCATCCCCACTCTTTACTTCAGACACATCATTTTCAGCTCTCTTTCTTGAACATTTGTCATCATATTTAAAAAAAAAATCCTGTTTCTTTTTTCTTTTTTTCCCAGTGGCTAACACTGAAGCATAAAATCTTTTCTTTTACTTTTTAAAATACCCAACCTCTAATCTTTGGGACATTTCTTCTTTAACTCACTATGCTACTGAACCTTTAAAAGCAAACATATATTATTCAGTTAGATTTAATTCAACCACAATTTATTTAATTTTTTTCATTTTTATTTTAGATTTAGGGGGCACATATGCAAGTTTGTTACAAGGGTATATTGCATGATGCTGAGGTTTGGGCTTCTTGTTGATCTCATCACCCAGATAGTGAACATAGTACCCAATAGGAAGTTTTTCAGAACTTGCCTGCTACTCTCCTTCCCTCCTTTGAGAGTCCCCAGCGTCTGTTGCTCCCATCTTTATGTGTACCCCAGATTTAGCTCACACTTGTGAGTGAGAACATGATATTTGATTTTCTGTTTCTTTTCTGTGTTAACCCGCTTAAAGTGTTGGCCTCCAGCTCCATTCATGGACATGATTTCATTCTTTTTTATGGCTGCCTAGTATTCCATGGTATATATGTACCACATTTTCTTTATCCATCCACCATTGATGGACACCCAAGTTGAGTCCATATCTTTGCTACTGTGAATAGTGCCGTGATGAACATATGAGGGCATGTATCTTTTTGGTAGAATGATTTATATTCCTTTGGGTTTGAACCAAGTAATGTGATTGCTGGGTCATGATTCAACCACAGTTTACTGAATGCTCATATACCAGATGTTTTGCTCAGTGTGTGGATGAGATGAGAGATGAGAAATCTGCCTCTGTTTTGTTTGACCTTATTGCTCCAGCAGTTTAGTGGGGGAAAGACTTGCCTTCAGCAGATACTGCTTACAGCCATATATGCTTAACAAGGGAGGTTACATTTGAGTAGAATATTGAGAGATAGTAATAGCTCACTAAATGGTGGGAGATGGAAGTGGAGATATGCCATGGGGGAAAAAGAGGGGAAGGGTGTTCAGGGTGAAGGGAATGTCCTGGGTGATATTAATAGTGTGGAGAGAACAAATAGCATGGTTCCTTTCAGAAGTGGATGGAAGGTTCAAGGAAGTGATGAGAGATTAGATGAAAAGGTGAAGAGGAGCCAGTTCCTGGAGCATGGTGTAGGTGATGGTCAGCTATTAAAGGATTGAGGCAAGAAGAATTATGATTAGGTTTTGGTTTTAAAGATAAAATATCATTAGTTGTGCTGAGGATGGATTTGAGGACAGGTTAAATAGAGGAAGAAAACAAGTTAGCATACTATTGCAACTGTTGGTATGAGAAGTCTGAAGTAGGTGGGAGTGATGGGATGCATACAGGAGTCAGATATATTTAGGAGGTAGAAACAATAGCATTTAGTAACTTGTTGGATATTAGGAGTGGAGAGGAAAGGAGATTCTATAATTCAGGAGGTGGAAAAGACATTTTGGAGAGAAATAATTTACCTTTGGACATGTGCTTGAGGGGTCATAGAAGTCAGCCTTATATATAATAGTGACTAGAAGTCAGCCTCATATACAATAAAGAGTGTACTTTCAAAGTAAACAGGATCACCTGGGGCATTACAAAGAGTGAGAAAATGGATCTTTGGGAATACCAGCAGTTGAAAAACAGGTAAAAGAGGAAGACAAGTCAGCCAAAAACTAGATTTGCCAGAAAGATAGGAGAACCTCTTAACCATGCAAAATGCCTCTAATCTCATAGGTTAAATGGCTAAAATGGATTACTTCAGCAAATGAATGGAATCATCAGTCAAATAACAGGCATGCTCAAATTTAGAGCTCTTTCTATTGTTAATGCTCAGGATAATATTCCAGAATGAATGCTTATCCTAAAACTGAGTGTGTCAAAAGACTCTTAATTAGTCCTGAAGAGGGAGTGGAAACTTATAATGTAAGGAGCCAATTTGATCCAGAATACAGAAGAGCAAATGAAAAACCCTCAGTTTGAAGGGAACTTTCTCTGAGTAGTTCATTTGAAAGCTATATTATTTCTCTCACTTTTAATATATTACCTTAATTCTTCTTTCTAGAAGTTTAGTTCAAGAAAACATTCATGTTCGAAAGTTAGATTTTATTGAAGAGATATTTTAGAAAATAGTATCTGAAACATTAAAAAATATATATACATAGATACATCAGATATAATTGTGTCCAGTGGCTCTCTTTTTATTTCATTTAAAAGTATACCTTAATTATCTTTTTGTATCAGTACACAAAGAATTTCCCTATTTCTTTAATGTTTCTGTGCAGTATTCCACTGAATGAATGTACAATAGATAGCCAACCCCATTTGATGAAACTTTAGGTGATTTTAAATCTTATCCATACAAACAATGCTGCAATGAATAACTATGTACATATGTCACTTTTACAATCTGCTATTGTAGGATAAATTCCTGAAAGTGGAATTGCTGTATCAAATAATATGTGCATTTGCAAATTCAATAGATACTGCCAAATTGCTTCTGCAGGGGTCATTCCACATTGCATCCTCACCAGTAACATACAAGAGTTCGTGTTTTCTCCACTGCTGTAGCAACAAAACCTGTCCAAATTTTCAAATGTTCACAATCTGATAAAAGAAAAACAATGCAGTATAGTTTTAATTTGCATTTCTTTTTTGAATGTGATCAAATATATTTTCTGTTTGAGAGCCATTTGTAAAGCCTTTTCTGTGACCTACTTATTCTTTTAATTTTCCTGTTAATTTTTTTAATTGGTTGTAGAAATTTATTATGTATTAGCGAAATTAGTACGTACATTTTCCCCAAGTTATTCTGTCTTTAACTTTGCTTATGGTGGTTTGTGCTTTGCAGAAACCTTTGACTTTTCTGTGATCACATTTATTATTTAAAAGTATTTCTAAATTTCATAAGCTATACATTCTAAAGTTATAAGAAAAAATCTTTTATTGCTTTATGGTTTTGTTTGTGTTTTAATTTTAAGGCTATTTGGAATTTTTCCTGATGCACAGTTGGAGTTCCTGCATAGGGACTTAGCTTAGACCTAGAAAACGTTGTTTTTAAATAAGACATCAATTAACAGAGAGAGAAACTTGAAGTTCTTTTAAAGAGCAGAGCAATTGAGGAAACAGTTTTGTTGTCAAAGATGGCTGACATGATCTCAAAACACAAAAGCACTAGAAGTAATTTCATTTTTCGTGGTTTATTTTAGCAATGTTTTAAATAGAATTTAGCTGGGTAAAGAAAGTCTTTAGAGGGTTTTGGAGTCAGACACAAAATTATGACTATGCAAGTCAAAATCACAATGAGATAGCACCTCACATCTGTTGGGATGGCTATTATGAAAAGATGAAAGATGCCACTATAGAAAGCAATTTGAAGATTTCTCAAAGAACTTAAAACAGAACTGCCATTCGACCCAGCAATCCCATTACTGGATATATTATGCAGCTGGAGGCCATTATCCTAACGAATTAATGTAGGAACAGAAAACCAAATATTGCATGTTCTCACTTATAAGTGGGAGCTAAATATTGAGTACACATGGACACAAAGAGGGGAACAATAGACACCAAGGGTTACTTGAGGGTGGAAGGTGGGAGGAGAGAGAAGGAAATCCTGCCATTTGCAACAAACATGGATGAATCTGGAGGACATTATGGTAAGTGAAATAAGCCAGATACAGAAAGATAAATACTGCATGATCTCACTTACATGGGGAATCTAAGATAATCAGTCTCACAGAAGCAGAGAGTTGGATGGTGGTTGCCAGGGGCTGGAGGAAGCAGACATAGGAAGATTTTGGTCAAAGAATTCAAAGTTTCACTTATACAGGATGAAAACATTCTGGAGATCTAACGTACAGCTATGGCGACTACAGTAAACAATACTGCATTGTATACTTGAAATTTGCTAAGAGAGTGGACCTTAAGCATTCTTACCACTCCCTCCTTTCCCCACACACGAGAAACAAAATGGTAACCATGTGAAGTGATAGCTATGTTTGCTTAATTGTGTTGATCATGTTAGGATGTACACATATATCAAAACATCAAGTTGTACACCTTACATATACTTGTCAATGATACCTCAATAAGTCTGAAAAAAATAGTTTATATGCCATTCCTATATACACAGAAAACCCAATTCTGAGTTAAAGGTAGGTATGGAATGGAAGAATATAAATCAAGAAGCCTTAGAGTATTATGAGAGCATAGGACCAGACAGTTAAGGACAAATCACAAGTAGTTCTTTTTTCTTATTTTGGCTACTAACCAGATTTTAGAATGAAACTGCAGAAAGATTATTGAAAAAAGTGTTGAATTGTAGCCCTGATGGTGTGATAAATAAAGACTTTATATAGCTCTTAGGTCAGGTTTTGTCATCAGTTTGGTTCAGGTCAGGTCAGGTTTTGCTGCCAAGTGAGTTTCTGAAAATCTTTTGGTTTTAGAGCTTTTAGGATGTGAACATTTCAGTTAAGAGAAATAATTTTCCTTGTATTTATCAGTGTCAGAAGAGGGTTGTTGTCCTCTGTGGCAGAGTGGAAGTGTATTTTATTCTTTGGAAAATCATTACAAGAGGAGAAAAGAAGACTCATGCTTTAAATATATCTTTACCTATAGTTTCACTTGATTGAATGGTATGAAGAAATTTTTTAAATCAAATACATATGTATATGGAAAATGCTCAGACAAAACCAAACTTCATTCTTCTCTGTACATTTTATAGTTTTGGATCATTTATATTGTGCATTAATATCCTGCTGGCTAAATATTCTGCTTATGTGTTTATACAGTGCATGGTGTTAGGCATCTGGCAAACAAAAAAAGAGACGCCCTCTGTTAAGTATTTGTAGTCAATTTAGTGAGACAAGCAAACCAGTAAGTATAGCCCAGTATGGAGAGTGCTAGGTACAAATTGGCATAGGGTGATTTTGGGGCATGGAGAAAGCACAGCTAAGCTAAATAAAGGGAGGGAAAAGCTTGAGCTGAGTTCTGAAGGAACTTGTTTTCTTCAGAAAACAAGTGCAGAAATGGAAAAATAAATTAGGGAACAATCGACTGTAAGATGTGTGGGTGTGGAAGTTCAACTGGCTGAGCTGGGCTGCAGTGAAAGGTGCATGTGAGAGAGTGAAGAAAACAAAACCAGTGAGGCAGGAAGGAGTCAGATCATGAAGGATCTGATGTCCTAAGTGAGGGCACAGGACCGCTGTTTTGAAACACACACGGGTAGCAGATACTACTGAATAATTTTAAGCAGAAAACTGATGTGACTAAGTTTGCCTTTGACAAAGACCACTGTGATATCTGTGAAGGATAAATTTGGGCAGGCCACAGAGAAAGCCAGGAGACCCAGGCAAAAAATAAGGGCCCGACCTAATAGGGTGGGTGGGAGGAGGAAAGACTCAAGAGACATTCAGGTAGTAGAAGCTATGGGGATTGATAATGGAATGTGGAAGAGAAAGAAGTGAAATTGAGCCCCAGCTTTCTTGCTTGAGTAGTTTGGTGGAGGATGGTACCTCTAATGGGGAGGAGTTGCCTTGGGGAAAGTTGATCATTTCTGTTTTGGATATCTCAAATTTGAGAGGCTAGTGGTATAAATGAATGGAGCTATCTAGGAGGTGGTTAGCAAAGAGTGCTATATGGCAGAGAGGTTAGAGCCAATAGATTTGGGCGTTATTAGAATATATCTGGTTTTCACAGCAAAGATTTGGGTAGGACCATGCAAGATGGGGCTGTAGAGAGTAAAGAAGAGAAATTCTGGGTTGATGCCCCAAATGGACAGAGGTGTTTCCTGTACAAATTGGGCAGCCATTATTATTATTATTTTTTAACAATTTCCTGATGAGGGTACCTAAAAGCAATGAATGAACATTTCTAGCTATATGGATCAGCTGCTTGTTGGTTATCATGTAGCAGAGGATGGCTAGAATGGAAAAATCAGTGGTGCCTGACCCTGTTGCACTTGACTGGGCTGTGCAATATTGCTTAAGTTTTCACTCTAAGTAATCTCAGGGGTCCAATCTTCTAAACTGGAGGTGGGTCTTCTGGGGAGGTCAGAACAACTGATCTGGGTAACAAATAATGGCCCCCACTGGTCAATCATGAAATACTCTCAATTTCTTATCTTCCTGTATTTTGTCAGTGGAAGAATGTTGGAATGTTGTAGGCTTAATGTACATGGAGATTTGGAATTTTGATGAGGATGGTCAAGCCAAGTTTTAGAATTTAAGCCTCTGGAGTATTTCTGTTATCATTGATTGTGAGCCATCTGCCATTGTTCTCCTCTAATCTGTCACATCAAAATTTTCTATCTCAGAATTTAAGGGAAAAATAGGAGACAAAATTCCAGAACTTTTGTCCATCACCATTTTGTGTTACAATCCCACTCAGTTACTGTGTTCTAGTGTCACTGGTCTGGCTTCATTCTCTCCAACTCATTGAGCTGTTTTATCTACCACAGGACTTTGGTACATTTTGCCTGGAATTTTTTCCACCTAGTTTTTATCATGGCTGGCATTTTCTTGTCCTTCACATTTCCATTCATACGCCACTTTCTTCCCTGATCACCAAATGCAGGTTCATCTCTGTCTCTCTCTCCCTCTTCTCAGCAGTCGGTCAATTTGCCTACTTGTTTTGTCTATTTCCTTTACTCAGTTTTTACTCTGACAAGGTAATAATTCATGTCTGTGTTCAATATTATATCAAAATAACAATAATCAAATATATTTTAAATTCATTCTCATTTAAACCATCTTGACCAATGAGTGGTATTAACATTAACCTCATCTACAAATGGGAACATTTGAGGCCTGGAAACTCAGGTGACTTACTCAGGGCCACACAGCTAGTAAGTGGAGAGTTGCACTTGAATGTAGAATTTCTGACTGACAGGCCATACCTGCTTTTAAAATATTGTCTTGAGTGCAGGTCATAATGTCATCTTTCTAAAGAGTAACAATTTTCTCAAAGAATCTGTCTATTGCAAAGTTTTCACCTCTGTCTGTCTCTCCCTGTGAGTGAGTCCCTTTTATAAACCCTGAAATCTTAAGTGGATCTGTTAGAACTCCACAGAGGAATGATTTTGTTTTCCCTGGGAAAGGGAAATAGCTCCTTTCAGAACTGATTAGAAGTGATAGCTTTCCCTGGGGACATAATCAACCCTGGACAGTTGGTTCTGATGACATCTGAGTTTGTTTATCCTGCTCTGCCTTGGGGGAGGTAAAGGGTTTTCAGTCTTTACTTCTTAATGACCATTTAAGGGATCAAGAACAAGCTGATGGCAGAGGAGAGATCAGTCATATTGGAAATGGTAATGGGACATGTGAGGTTATAAGCCATGTGTCACTGGCAGGGGGCTGATTTTGGAGTCCTTTCCCCATACATGGTAATTATTTCAAGGCATTCAATCAAATCCACTGTTGGCCCTGTGTAAATCAAAGGGAGAGTTAACTAATTGCCAATTTCTCCCTTTAAATTACATTTCTGCCTATCATTAAATAACTTTGTAGCACAGATGCATAAGTGAAAGTGCCAACTCTATATTTACTTGCACGATCTCTTCCCTCAATACTACTTCTAGCAAGAGGGGGCAACCCTGATGAATCAGAATTTCAAAAAGCACTGACAGCCATCTAATTAGAAGAAGATGAGACATAAGTTGCTCTGGGTGAGGAATATCTTCCTTACTCTCTTGAAATTATCTTGACATTTTTTAAAGTAAAAAAAACCCATTTCTGACTTTTATATTGTTTTCATGCTACAAAAATACATCACTCTCACACTCTGATAAATTCATCCTCAATTACAGTGCTAGCATAAAGGAGAACACTTCGATACCGTTGTCTCTATTTCGTCTAAGCAGAACATAAGGAAGTAGAAAATCCCCTTGAGGGCACAGCAGTTCTTCCCACTATATCAAGAAAGGTGTCAGAACAACTCAATGCTCACTGTTGTGCAAATGTATCACCATATTTTGCATATTCATGTTGAAGCAGAGATTTAATTTCTAATCTCACCAAAAGCTTCTGTACCTACAACACAGATGATCAAGGAAGTAACCTTTCAGTAACTATGGCTGCCTCTGGAGCAGAGACATAGGGTGCTGGAGGAATGCATGGAGAGGGACATGAAGGAACATCTGGGGTGATGGAAGTATTCCATATCTTGATTAAGGAGATTACTCAAGTGTAGGCAATTGTTAACTTATACATTCAAAAGCTGTGTATTTTAGTACATGTAAATTAGATCTCAAGATGTTTTAAAATGTGATATTTTTTCTTATTAATTGATGTACAGGGCCTTTCTACCAGTATCATTATAATAAAAACATAGCTATATGACACATTGACTTCAGGTTCTACCTGACACCCACAGGTGCCAAACATCATTTGAAACCACAAAAGTTAGAAAAGTTTGAGGAGTTTGCTTTAGAGTGCTATAATCTGAATGTATCCCTCCAAAATTCATGTGTTGAAACTTAATCCCCAAATCAATAGTATTAAGAGGTGGGGTCTTTAGGAGGTGATTAGGTCGCAAGGGTGGAGTGCTCATGATGGAATTAGTGCCCTTACAAAAGAGGCCTTAGGGAGCTTGTTTTCTCTCCCACCCTGTGAGGACACGCAAGAAAGCATCATTCCTGAACCAGATACCGAATCTGCCAGTGCATTGACCTTGGACTTTCCAGCCTCAAACTGTGAGCAATAAATTTCTGTTGTTTATCTATGCAAACAAAAACTAAAGACTTGGGTCTTCAGTCTCTTGCCGGACCATACCCATGCTCCATGGAGTCATTAACTATTCCAGCTGAATTTTTCCAACTAGTGTTCAGTTGGGTCTGCCCCAGGTAAGCAAGTGTCTATGTCCTATGTTTCTCTGCAGACGTCTGTCTCTTTTTTTATTTTGGAATAATTTGATTGTCTGTCACCTCAACTCTGGTTTTAAGAAGACTTATGAACTTGGAGTTTACTTGTCTTTTTTTTTTTTTTTTGGATGTAAGAGTCGGAAAAAAACTCTTTATAGTCCTTTACATCCATGAGTGGAAACTGCTATTTTTAATTATTAAAAACTTATTTTTTTGTTTTTAAAAGAATGGGCCAGACCTTATTCCATAAAATAGAATGTGTTCCCCTATTTTGATTTTTAAAAAAATAAAAGCTGCAAATTTGGATTTTTGGGTAAAATCTTTTTAAAGGTTATAAGTTGGGTATTTTGAAAAGCACAGACTTTGTTGAATTCACCTCTTCTATGGACAACAACTATTTTTTGATTTCTGATAAATCCAAAAACCTCATTAATTTACAAATCATAAAACTGAGTTTCAGAGATTTTGTGGTTTGCTCGAAGTTACTAAGAAAAGGTCAGAGGTGGAATGAAATGAAATCCACTTTTTTTTCTTTTTCTTTCTTTTTTTTTTTTTTTACTGTGGTGAAATATAAATAAGGTACAATTTACCATTTTAATCATTTTTAGGTGTACAAGTCAGTGGGCATTAAGTATATTTACAATGTTGTACAATCAGCACCTTTATCCATTTCCAAAATTCTTTCTTTCAATCTGAAACTCTGTACCCTTTAAATAACAACTTTCTACTCTCATTTTCCCCTACAGCCTAGTAGCCACCATTCTGCTTTCTGTTTCTATGAATTTATCTATTCTAGATACCTCATAAAAATGGAATAATATTTGTCCTTTTGTGTTTGGCTTATTTCTTTTAGCATAATGAATGAAAAGCTCATCCATTGTAGCATGTGTTAATTGTCTTCCATTTTAAGGCTGACTATTCCACTATCCACATTTTATTTCTCCATTGATGGACACTTGGGTTGTCCTTTTGGCTGTTGTGAATAAAATGCTGCTGTGAACATTGGTGTACAGGTATCTGTTTAAGTCCTTGCTTTAAATTCTTTATGGGCATATACCCAGAAGTGAAATTGCTGGATCATATAGTAATATGTTGAACATTTTGCGGAAAGGTCAAACTTTTCCGTAGCAGCTGTGCCCATTTCTTACCAGTAATGCACAAGATCTCCCATTTCTATATATCCTTGCCAACATTATTTTGTGTTTTAAAAAATATAATAGCTATTAGCAGGTATGAAGTAGTTAAATATACTTCTTTTTATTCTCAGTGTAATTCTGCTTTTCTAGAATCACATCTGATGATACCAAATGGACAAGTTACAGGAAAAACCTTCATGACAATGAATGTGATTTGGTAATCTTTATTTGGGGTTAATACAGCAGAAAAAAAAGTAAGGCTCTGTGTTACTTCCCAGATAATCTTGAGGTCAAAACAGATCCAAACTTCCATAAATTGGAGACCATTTTTTGGCAGTTAAAAAGAAAAGAAGGAAAACAAAAGCTCATCTCTCAAGCATTCCAGTTATAAATTGTCCCCTGATGACCCTGCTACCCTGCTGGGTATCTTCATAACAAAAACAGTGTGACTTTGGCAACTTGTGTCACCTCTCTGTACTTTTGTTTTCTCATCTGAAAATAAGAGCAATGAGTGTTTTCCTTATAGGATAGACATGAGGATGACATGATTTGATTTATAGAACTTCTTAGGACTCTGCCTGGCACAGAGCAAATGCTCCACAAGCAGTATAAATAATCTTAGCATTTCTCTTCAGTAGTAAAAACACAATTATAACAATAATAATAATTTTAAAAGCTTTAAAAATAGGCTTTTAAAATAGGAGGGATGTTAAAGATGGTGGGAAATTAACTGGAACCAGAATTTCTCATTTATACTTTTGCTATCCCTTCTTCAGGAGCCAGGGTTATTTCAAGAGTTGACACACACCCAGTGGATCTCAGGCAGAGTAGATTTTCCCTAATTCAGTCATGTATTTATTTATTTTTACTCTGAACAACTTATAGAAAGAATTAAAGTATTCTAGTTTGCAGAGGCCACTGTGATATTTATGGCAAAGGTGGTGTTCTGAGTTTGCCATGTGTGGGTAACTGAAAAGGAGTAAAATGGCTCATCTGATTTGTTTTCTGTGATTGCTCATGAACTCTGTTAGGTCAGAGCTTCCATGTGGAAAAAAGAAAAGCTTGATTTCATTGTTTAATGGGAGAGGCATTCTTTCTATTTATATAGATGACAATCCCACAGTGCTTTCATTTTGTTCCTTGATCTAATGGTAATGTTGTTCTAGTGACCTATTAACTGGAATAAGATCAGATGTTGAGTTTGTTGCCTGCTTCACATTTTCTTGCTCTTTCCATTTATTTATTCATCAGCATTCCCACTCATATCTGACAGGGGCGCAGCAAGAAACAAATGTCATATGTAAATTGGGGTAATTTGAGTATGGCTGAATAAACAACCTATTTTTAAAGGCATTGTTGGATATAGGGTACCCCAGGTGACAGTGGATCACCCAGTACTGGTAACAGAGGGGACTGTGATGGGGAAAGGGAGGGTAGCTCCTGGAATCTCAAAGCAGCCAGTGTGAAGAGGGCCACTTTAACAGGAGTGTGACCATTGCAAGACAATGAAAGCAGCCAACCAGAAGTGATCCCATAGGGAGAAATCTGGGGGACCAAATATTCCCACTTCTCTCTCCTCTTTCCTACCAGTTTCTCACCAGGATTTCACACTGGCTGATCCCAAGGGAAACTAGAGCTTCAGAGCTGGTTGGGTAGTCCTCACAGGTCAGCCTTAGCTGAGTAGAGCAGGTTTGCATTGATTGCATGTGGTATCACATGCTACCTGTCCTTTATTTCTTCTCTTTGACATCTGAGGTGGGCATGCAATGCCTGGAGCACCCCATCTCCATTAGTCATCCTTTCTTTCCCACATCATTGATCTTTCCCTTTCCACTGACTCCTTCCTATCACAGGATACTTCAGCTCATTTCTTTCATCTTAAAAATAACCACTGCCACCCAAGCTTTTGCTCCATGCCATGGATCCTTTTAGCTTTCTTAAAGATTTGGCAGTTAAGACCTGAGGACTGAGTTGGTGTTAGCCAGGTGAAGAGTGCATTCCAGGATGGGAAAACCATAGCCTCAGCAAAATTCCTAATGAAGAAGCAAGGGTCAGTGTGTTTGAAGCCTGGTGACCAAGGCACAAAAAAGGCCAGGGGAATAGCAAGGAGCCAGATCATGCAGGGCCCTGTAGGTTCCAGAAATAATTTTGGATTTATCCTGAGGATGATGGGAAGCTGATCTAGCCACTAACGCTGTATAACAAATTACCTCTCAATTTAGTGGTATAAGAACAACCATTTTGTTTCTGCTAAAAATGTTGTGGGCCAATATTTAAGGAAGGGGCTGTTTAGGAAGTTCTCATTCAGAGTATCTTATGTGGTTATGGCCAGGTGTTGGCTGGGGCTATAGTCATTTGAAGTCATGACTGAGCTGGATGGTTGAGATGTGTCACTCATGGCCGGCAGTTGGTCCTGGGAGTTCAGCTAAGGCTGTTGATTGGAACGCCTATGTGTGGCCTTTGCAAAACAGTAGTCTCAGGATAGCTGAACTTTCATGTGCCAGTTGGCTTTTCCCAAAGCAAGTGCCTCAAAGAAAACAGATTACTGTTTTCAGATTACTAGAATCTTCATGGCTCTTCTTGACGGTAGGCTTTGAAGTCACATGGTGTCACTTCCACTGCTTTCTATTGGAAGTCAATAATAAGGCTAGATCAGAGTCAAGGGAGGGGAGCTATACTCCACCTTTTGGTGGAGAAGAATCATAGTGACATGCCTTAGTTCACTTGTGCTGTTATAACAGAATACCCGAGACTGGGTAATTTATAAAGAACAGAAATATATTATCTCACAATTCTAGAGGTTGGGGGGTCCAAGATCAAGGCACCAGCATCTGACGAGATGTCTTCTTGCTGGGTCCTCATATGGTGGAAGGAGGAAGGGAAAGAAAGATTAAACCCACTCCCACAAGCCCTTTTTGTAGCAGCATTAATCCATTCATGAGGGTAGAGCCCTTATGACCAAAACACCTCCTGAAAGTCCCCACCTTCCAACACTGTTGCACTGGGGACCAAGTTTCCAACACATACATTCTGGGGGAGACACATTTAGACATAGCACATGTGGTCATACGAGCCTGTGGGATGGAGTTATTTTGGCCATCTGTGGAGAACACAATCTCTCAGTCTATTGAAAGATTTTGAGCAAACAGTAATGTGAACCAATCTGTGTTTTACAAAGATCACTCATTGCTGCTCATACTATAGAGAGTGAAGAAAACTGTGGCAGCCTATGGAGGCAATGCAGGCATGGGGTGATGGTGGCTTGATGTAAAGCACTGGCAGTGGAGTTGGAGGGGCAATGCAGAAATTTATAAAGTGAAGTAAAGTTATATAGAGACTGTATTGACAAATCTTGGTGAAGGGCTGTGCAGAGTGTGACTTCTAGGTTTTTGGGGTTGAAGCTACTAGGTAGTTGCCAGTGCCATTTACCGAGAATCTGCAGGCGGGAGGAGAAGCAATTAATTCTGAAGCAGAAAAATCAAGGTTTTGGTTAAGATGAGTGTTAAATTGCTTTTGGGACAACTAAGTGGACTTTTCAAGAGGCTGGCTGCACGTTCGTGTCTGGAGCTCAGAAAATAATTCTGATCCAGAAATACAATTATGGTAGTCATGATATACAAAGCCATGAGAATGGAAGAGATATGCTTAGGAGAAGCCTGCAGAGAGAGGAGAGAGAAAATCTTAGGTGAAGGAACTGAGAACCTGTATCTGAACTTCCAAAGGAAGTGGAAATGGCCAGAGATTGTATTTTTGGTGGGGAAAAAATAGATATATATAATATGTAAAATATATAATGTAGATGTGTCTGTAAAATATAGAATATGTATATTCTGTATCAAGATTTTATATTTATGTGGGTTAGAAAATTGTATATATACAATATATTATATAAATATATATTTAAATATTATATATAGTATGTGTATAATATATATTGTATATGTATACAATTTCTAACCTAATATACAATTCAATATGCAATTTCCTAGCCCATGTAAAATAATACAAAATCTCTGTCAAAAAACTGGAAATGTTAAATACGCCTCTCCAATTACCTTTAAAAAGAGCTTTTCCTTTTTCATCAAGCACCTTTCATATTTCATAGTCTAATAGGCAGTTTCTGATGATCTGTGATTTCTGTGAATGAGATGTTTGCTTAAAATAATTAAGCATTAGAAGTGTTATGTTAGAATGCTGATCTCTGTTCCCAAATAACTTATTTAGCATATTGTGTTCTTTTTGTTTAGAAGCTACCTGAGTGTAAAGGGAATAAAATAGTAGTCTACAATTAATTTCAAAAGGTGGGTATCAGATGGTTTGCTTTATTAGAAGTAGTTTATTCAGCTTCTTACTTGTCAGAGAAATAACTATTTTGAGGTAAATGAGATGAGAACTTGAAAAAGGAGATGCCAAATTAGGTAGTAGATATAGATGGTGTTTCTTTGAAAGCAAAGAAAGCATGGGGTAGTTTGGATGACAGGAAGAATGTGGCTGAGATGTATCATTTGGCGCAATATGAAAATAAAACATCCAATATCCCACTTTTTTTTTTTTTTCCAAAATCACAGGAGTGAAGACTGCCAAGGGGAAGTAGGGTGGGGAATGGCAGAGGTAAGATGAAATATTGAAGCAGAAAAATAGGAAAAAGAGTTGTGTAATTCGTGACTAATGAAATGAGGAACACAGAGAAATCACATGGAGGAGATTTAAAAACATCTTTGACAAAGAACACATTTCAGCTTTAATATCGATCCATTTCTATAAATGATCATTGGAACATCATTTAGTTTTGAACTGGCACCTTCTGGAACTTCCAAGATGGCCCATAAGCAGTCATAGGTCTCTGTTGGAATCACTCACTCATCTCTGGAAAGTAGAGAAATATTTCAGACCTGCTGATGAGGGGGCTTTCTTTACTCAGATGGTGGTCTTTTCACAGTATGAATTTTAATGCAAATAACAACGCAAATGATGAAGCAAGAGTGGCATGATCTGATTTGTTTTTTAGGATGGAGAGGTGGACAGTTGGTCAGACCAGAGGCAAAATAATCAGTTAGAAAACCTGTAACAACTTGGGTTAGATGGAATGAGACTGAACCAACTAATTGACAATGGAGAGCCTAGATTTGAGAGAAATTTTTGAAGTAGAATAAACAGATGTTGGTGACTGATTCGATTGAGGTAGGTGAGATAAAGAGAAGAGACTGTGATAAGGCCAATGTATAGCCACAGGTAGAACAGGTTTTCTACACACATCAGATTTGGAAGAAGGAAATGAGCAATATGTGGCATGGTAGTAGAAGAATTCAGTCTTTCTGGGGCAAGCCCTGATGGGAAATCTGGGGAAAGAGTTGAGTCCGGGCAGAAAAGAGGTTCTTTTTAGGGCAGGCTCACAGAAATATATATGGAGGAGCAGATGATGGATACGATACCAGTGTGACAATTACGGAATACATGTATGCATTATCTTCCGAAGAGCTCTTTGAAGTGGGTCAGACAGGCATTGTTACTTCTCTCTGAGAGAATGCAGCTCAGTTCCATTGCAAAGCTTAAGATTTCTAGGATGTGTAGAGTCACTTCTTGCTTACCGCTGCCCCTCGGGTCTGGGGAGTAGAATTTAGGGAAGGGGATTGTCCATCTCACCCTGACACATTCTAGGCATTGAATGAAACCTTCTTCTATCCTTTTATTTATGGTTCTCTCTAGGAACACAGTCCAAGCAGTCAGCTAGTTATGACAACAATCTTAGTGTAAACTGTAGCAATTTTATGATGGATTGGCTTGCACATTACTCATTCCAATTCCCCTTCCAGTATGCCTTTCAGTACTGGGGAGGCCGGAAAGTTAATAGCGACAATTTTCATGCTTTCTCGCAGTCAGAGCTCCATATATGGCTCAGGTTTTATACACACATGAGATTTGGAAGAAGGGAAGGGAACAATGTGTGGGATGACAATAGAAGCATTTAGTTTTTCTGGGGCAAGCTCTGATGGGAAACCTGGGGAAAGAGTTGAGTCACAGGAGGAAAGAGGTTTTTCCTAGAACAGTCTCATGGTGGATAGATGTTTCTCTGTTTGCAGGTGCTCCTGGCTACGGAGCATCTATTCTTGGCTCTTGGCCCTCCTGGAGATGCTGTACATCACCCGGTACTGTCTAATAAATGCCTTTCTGATTAAACTTGCTGGAGTAGATTCTGTTGACTACACCTAAGAATGATGATGCTTAAACTATATATATCCACGTGTATCTGTTTACTAAAATAGACATATATATGTTCATGTTGAACAATTCATCTTGGAACAAATCATAGCTTTGAGAGTGATTTCAACCTGAAACTGACATTTTCAGCTTGAAAAATTATTTAGCAGACATTGAGAACTTAAGATTTATAATGCACTGTGCTAGATATAGATAATCTGATACAGTCAGACCTGGCCTTCAAAAAAATCTCAAAATCTAGTGTCACTCTCTTATAACCCCCACTGGAAAATAACCTATGAAGGTAGAGACTATTTTCTTCTTGTTAACCACTGTATCTAGGGCCTAGCATCTGTGCTCAACACACATAGGTGAGCACAGACATGTAAACACACATACACACATGCATACTCACATCCATATTCACACACATATAAACAGATGCACATATGTATTTATTACATGAACGAATTAAGCTATATACAAAGAATACTTAAGTAAATACAATGAGGAGGGGTTATTTTGGGCTATTTTGTGCCTAATTGAAACTTCCGTACTTCTAGTCACCAAACCCTAGTTTAAAAATGACTCTGTAATGCCAGCTCTTTGGGAGGCTGAGGTGGTGGATCACCTGAGGTCAGGAGTTCAAGACCAGCCTGGCCAACATGGTGAAACACTGTTTCTACTAAAAATAAAAAAAAATAAAAAAAAAAATTTGCCAGGCATGGTGCCGCATGCCTGTAGTCCCAGCTACTTGGGAGGCTGAGGCAGGAGAATAGCTTGAACCCAGGAAGCAGAGGTTACAGTGAGCCCAGATCATGCCACTGTACTCCAGCCTGGGTGACAGAGCAAGACTATATCTCCAAAAAAAAAAAAAAAAAAAAAAGAAAGAAAAAAAAGACTCCAAGTTTCTCTAACATAATTTTCTTATAGTAAATTGTCTGTTTCTAAGGTAATTTTCTTAGGCCAGAATTGTCTTGAAAATTTTGTTTTGCTTTCTGATTGTACAGTTTTTCTAAAAATCTGCTTTCTCATTATGATGATCAAGATTCCCGGTTGAAATTAACACATGTATTCCAAGCAGATTCTAGGCAATCATTTAACCAACCAACTATTTATTTTCAGGACAAACATTGGATTATCTATTACCCAATCTGTCTACTCACATTAGCTAACCCAGATAGCTATCTCTATAGGAGTTTTTTTGCAAAGTATGATTTTTTTTCCAGTTTAAAGTTGCAGTGCAAGTGGACAGTGAGTTATTTTGCCATAAAGTTTCATTTTATAAATGAGAAAACAGTGACATAAAGTTATGCAACTTGCCTAAGTTCACTCAAAACTAGAGGAAGAGTCAGTTTTGCTTCTTAATTTCATTGTCTTATATTCGATGTTCTTGTTCAAGGTCATCTGCAATCTGTTCTTTCAACACACTCCTAAGGCTTTTAAAGTAGGGATGACTCAGGCATAAAATGACAGTGGTGGCTTAAAGGAAATTATTGGGAGTCCTCTCCAATCCTGGCTGTCAGACCACAAATAACCTCAAGTAGAACAACACATCATGTGACAGGCACTGGGCAGGTAGGCCTCACATTGCTTAGGAAGGTGTTTAAAGCCTAATGTAGTTTTTAGAGTTACATTCTTTGAGGCTGAAATAATCAATGAGAATGGAGACCACCATAGTCACTTCTAAAAATAAATAACTGTCCACTTGCTTCTCAAACGTTTTCAGGTTTACCAGAATGAATGATTCTTGGGAAAACTCAAATACAATCTTAGATTTTCATAAACTTAGCCGTGGCTTGGTACCATTATCCTAAACTAGCTTCATTGAAATTCAGCTTTGAATTCCGCATTGTCAGAACACAAGCTTGTGGCATATCAGAAAACTGCCTTGTGCTGCCTTAGGCCAAATCAATTTAGTAAACACTTATTAAACATTTTTCTCAAGAATGTTCTGTAATAGGTGCTCTGGGGGTAAGAGATTAGAAAAATGTCCTTCCCTTTATGGTTTTCAGACTAATTGGGAAATAGTCAAATAAAAACAAAATAGGACCAAACAAAACCCACCTAATCACAGACTATAATATGATGTATTGTAATACGGATGCCTGTAAAATGCTCTGCAAGAACTGATGCAATAACTAAATGCTTAAGTCCCCAAGCAATCAACCCCAATATTTTGAAGTTAACCTTACAGACTCAAGTAATTGTCAATCAACATTCATCTTAGAGGTTTTAGAGTGGAAAGTTAATACATAATAAGAAACTAAAAAAATAATTTTCAATGAAACCCAAAGTTAACAGAAAAGGAAAAATAAAGACCAGAAAAGAAACAGATAGATTAGAAACAGAAAAACTAAAGAGAAAATCAGTGAAACCAAAAGCTCATTCATGAAAGGGTTGATAAAATTGATATCACTAGGCAGAATGGTCAAGAAATGATCAGAAATGAAGAGAGGTGACATAAAAAGATTCTACAGATATAAGGACAATAAAGGAATATTGTGAACACTTTATTCTAATGGATATGACAAATTAGATAAAATGGGAAAATTCCTTGAAAGATAAACTGCCATAGCTCATTCAAGAAGAAATAGTTGACCTTAATAGCCCCATCTCTTATTTGAATTTCTAGTTAAAAATCCCCCTCCTCCCTCTCCCCTTCCCCCATCTCCCCTTCCCCCATCCATGTCTGAACTTTTAGTGTACTCATTACCGGAATAGTGAACACTGTACCTAATAGGTAATATTTTTAGCTCTCATCACCTTATGGTGTATTATTTTTTGATATGCTCCTGCATTCTGTTTGGTAATATTTTGATGTGGATTTTTGCATCTACATTCATCAGGGATATTGGCTTGGAGTTGGTTTTTTTTTTTTTTTTTTTCTTGCTGTCTCCTTGTCTGGTTTTGGTAGCAGAATGATGCTGGCCTCATAGAATGAGTAAGGAAGAATTCCCTCTTCAATTTTTTGAGGTAGTTTGAGGAGGACTTGTATTCTTTTTCATAAATTTGGTAGAACTTGGCTGTGAATCTGTTTTGTTCTGGGCTTTTTTAGGGGGAGACTTTTAATACTGATTAAATCTTGTCACTCATTATTGGTCTGTTCAAGGTTTCTGTTTTTTCCTGATTCAATCTTTGTAGGTTTTATGTATATAGGAATTTATCTATTTCCTCTAGGTTTCCAATTTTTTAGTATGTAGTTGTTCATAATAGTCTCTAATGATCTTTTGCATTTCTGTGGTTATCAGTTGTAATGTCTCCTTTTTCATTTCTGATTTTATTTTTGGGGGTTTTTTTCTTGGTTAGTTTAGCTATAGCAGTTTGATTTTGTCCATTTTTTTTTTTTTTTTTTTTTTACACTTTTCAGTTCATTGATCCTTGGTATTTTTTCCCCTCTATTTTAATTCTGTTCTGATGTTTATTATTCTTCTACTAATTTTAGTTTTGGTTCTTGCTTTTTTAGTTCATTTAAGTACACAGTAATGGGATTACTGGGTCAAATGGTATTTCTGGTTCAAGATCCTTGAAGAATCACCATATTGTCTTCCATAATAGTTGAACTAATTTAGATTCCCACCAGCAGTGTAAAAGCATTCCTATTTCTGCACATCCTTGCCAGGATCTATTGTTTCCTGACTTTTTAATAATCACCATTCTGACTGGTGTGAGATGGTATCTCATTGTGGTTTTGATTTGCATTTCTCTGATGATCAGTGTTGTTGAGTTTTTTTTCATATGTTCACCACATAAATGTCTTTTTTTGAGAAGTGTCTGTTCATACCCTTTGCCCACTTTTTGATGTTTTTTTTTTCTTGTAAATTTGTTTAAGTTCCTAGTAGATTCTGGATATTAGCCCTTTGTCAGATAGATAGATTGCAAAAGATTTTCTCCCATTCTGTAGGTTGCCTGTTCATCCTGATGATAGTTTCTTTTGCTGTGCAGAGGCTCTTTAGTTTAATTAGATCCCATTTGTCAATTTTGGCTTTTGTTGCATTTTTGTCGTGAAGACTTTTCCCATGCCTATGTCCTGAATGGTATTGCCTAGGTTTTCTTATAGGGTTTTTATAGTTTTGGGTTTTACATTTTAGTCTGTAATCAATCTTGAGTTAATTTTTGTGTAAGGTGTAAGGAAGGGGTCCAGTTTCAGTTTCCTGCATATGACTAGCCAGTTTTCCCAGCACCATTTACTGAATGGGAGATCCTTTCCCCATTGCTTGTTTTTGTCGGGTTTGCTGAAGATCAGATGGTTGTAGGTATGTGGTGTTATTTCTGAGGTCTCTGTTCTGCTCCGTTGGTCTATATGTATGTTTTGGCACCAGTATCATGCTGTTCTGGTTACTGTAGCCTTGTAGTATAGTTTGAAGTCAGGTAGCATGATGCCTCCAGCTTTATTCTTTTGCTTAGGATTTTCTTGGCTATACAGGATCTTCGATTCCATATGAAATTTAAAGTAGTTTTTTCTAATTCTGTGAAGAATGTCAGTGGTAGTTTGATGGGAATAGCATTGAATCTGTAAATTACTTTGGGCAGTGTGGGCCATTTTTATGATATTGATTCTTCCTATCCATGAGGATGGAATGTTTTTCTGTTTGTTTGTGTCCTCTTATTTCCTTGAGCAGTGGTTTGTAGTTCTCCTTAAAGAGGTCCTTCACATCTCTTGTTAGCTGTATTCCTAGGTATTTTATTCTATTTGTAGCAATTGTGAATTGAAGTTCCTTCAAGATTTGGCTCTCTACTTGCCTATTGCTGATATAAAGGAATGCTTGTAATTTTTGCACATTGATTTTGTATCCTGAGACTTTGCTGTAGTTGCTTATCAGTGAAAGGAGTTTTGGGGCTGAGATGATGGGGTTTGCTAAATATACAATTGTGTCATCTACAAACAGAGACAACATGACTTCCTCTATTCCTATTTGAATACCCTTTATTTCTTTTGCTTGCCTGATTTCCTTGGCCAGAACTTCCAATACCATGTTGAATAGGAGTGGTGAGACGGGTCATCCTTGTCTTATACCAGTTTTCAAAGGGAATGCTTCTAGCTTTTACCCATTCAATATGATATTGCCTGTGGGTTTGTCGTAAATAGCTCTTACTATTTTAAGATATGTTTCATCAATACCTAGTTTATTGAGTTTTTAATATGAAGAGATGTTGAATTTTATCAAAGGCCTTTTTTGCATCTATTGAGATAATCATGTGATTTTTGTCTTTGGTTCTATTTATGTGATGGATTACATTTATCGATTTGCAAATGTTGAACCAGCCTTGCGTCTCAGGGATGAAGCTGACTTGATCATAATGGATAAATGTTTTGATGTGCTGCTGGATTCATTTTGCCAGTGTTTTATTGAGGATTTTTGCATTGATGTTTATCAGGGATATTGGCCTGAAGTTGTCTTTTTTTGTTGTCTCTTCCTGGTTTTTGTATCAAGATGATGCTGGCTTCATAAAATGAGTTAAGGAGGAGTCCTTCCTTTTCAACTGTTTGAAATAGTTACAGAAGGAATGGTACCAGCTTCTTTTTGTATTTCTGGTAGAATTCAGCTGTGAATCGATCTGGTCATGGGATTTTTTTGGATGGTAGATTATTAAGTACTGCCTCAATTTCAGAGCTTGTTATTGGTCTATTCAGGGATTTGACTTCTTCCTGGTTTAGTCTTGGTAGGGTGTATGTGTCCAGGGATTTATCCATTTCTTCTTGATTTTCTAGTTTATTTGCGTAGAGGTGTTTATAGTATTCTGTGATGGTAGTTTTTATTTCTGTGGGGTCAGAGGTGAGATCCCCGTTATCATTTTTAATTGTATCTATTTGATTTTTCTCTCTTTATTATTCTAGCTAGCAGTCTATCTATTTTGTTAAGTTTTTCAAAAAATCAGCTCCTGGATCCGTTGATTTTTTTTTTTTTGAAGGCTTTTTCGTGTCTCTCTTTCAATTTTCTCTGATCTTAGTTATTTCTTGTCTTCTACTAGCTTTTGGATTAGTTTGCTCTTGCCTCTCTATCTCTTTTTAATTGTGATGTTAGGGTGTCGATTTGAGATCTTTCTAGCTTTCTAACATGGATAGTGCTATACATTTCCCTCTTAACTCTGCTTTAGCTGTGTCCCAGAGATTCTGGTACATCATCTCTTTGTTCTCATTGGTTTCTAGGAACTTCTTGATTTCTGCCTTAATTTCATTATTTACCCAGGAGTCATTCAGGAGCAGGTTAATTTCCATGTAATTGGGCGGTTTTGAGTTAGTTTCTTAATCCTGAGTTCTAATTTGATTGCACTGTGGTCTGAGAGACTGTTATGATTTCAGTTCTTTTGCGTTTGCTGAGGAGTGTTTTACTTCCAATTATGTGGTCAATTTTAGAATAAGTGCCATGTGGCACTAAGAAATATGTATATTCTGTTGATTTGGGGCAGAGAGTTCTCTAGATGTCTACTAGGTCCACTTAATCCAGAGCTGAGTTGAAGTCCTGAATATCCTTGTTGATTTTCTGTCACATTGATCTGTCTAATACTGACTGTAGAGTGTTAAATTCTCCCAGTATTGTGTGGTAGTCTAAGTCTGTTTGTAGGTCTCTAAGAATTTGTTTTATGAACTTGGGTTCTCCTGTATTATGTGCATATATATTTAGAATAGTTAGCTCTTCTTGTTGAATTGTTCCCCTTACCATTATGTAATGCCCTTCTTTGTCTTTTTTGATCTTTGTTGTTTAATGTCTGTTTTGTCAAAGACTAGGATTGCAACTCGTTTTTTTTCCCCTTTCCATTTGCTTGGTAAATTTTCCGCCATCTTTTTATTTTGAATCTGTGTGTCTTTGCATGTTGGATGAGTCTCCTGAATGCAGCACACTGATGGGTCTTGACTCTTTATCCAATTTGCCAGTTTGTGTCTTTTAATTAGGGCATTTTGCCCATTTACATTTAAGGATAGTATTGTTATGTGTGAATTTGATTCCGGCATCATGCTATCTGGTTATTTTGCATACTAGTTGATGCAGTTTCTTCATAGTGTCATTGGTCTTTATATTTTGGTGTGTTTTTGCACTGGCTGGTATTGGTTTTTCCTTTCCATATTTAGTGCTGCTTTCAGGAGCTCTTGCAGGGCAGACCTGGTGGTTAAGAAATCCCTCAGCATTTGCTGGTCTGGAAAGGATTTTATATCCCCTTCACTTATGAAGCCTAGTTTGGCTGGATAGGAAATTCTGAGTTGAAAATTCTTTTCTTTAAGAATGTTGAATATTGACCCCCAATCTCTTCTGGCTTGTAGAGTTTCTGCTGAGATGTTCACTGCTAGTCTAATGCTCTTCCCTTTGTAGGTGATCTAACCTTTCTCTCTGGCTGCCCTTAACAGTTTTTCCTTAATTTCAGCCTTGGAGAATCTGATGATTTTGTGTCTTGGGGTTGATCTTCTCATGGAGTATCTTAACGGTGTTCTCTGTATTTACTGAATTTGCATGTTGGCCTGTCTTGCTAGGTTGGGGAAGTTCTCCTGGATAATATTGTGAAGTGTGTTTTCCAGCTTGTTTCCTTTCTCCCCATCTCCTTCTGGTACTCCAGTCAATTGTGGGTTTGGTCTTTTTATGAAGTCCCATATTTATTGGAGGCTTTGTTCATTCCCCTATACTCTTTTTTTTCCCCTATTCTTGCCTGCATGTCTTATTTCAGTAAGGTGGTCTTCAACTGATATCTTCTTCCACTTGGTTGATTTGGCAGTTGATACTTTATACTTGTGTATGCTTCACAGAGTTCTCATGCTGTGTTTTTCAGCTCCATTAGGCCATTTGTGTTCCTCTCTAAACTGGTTATTCTAGTTAGCAATTCCTCTAATCTTTTATCAAGGTTTTTAGCTTCCTTGCATTGGGTTAGAACATGCTCCCTTAGCTCAGCATAGTTTTTTAATACCCATTTTCTGAAGCCTACTTCTGTCAGTTCATCCATCTGATCCTCTTTCCAGTTCTGTGCCCTTGATGGAGAGATGTTGTGATTATTTGGAGGAGAATAGGCACTCTGGCCTTTTGGGTTTTTAGCATTTTTTCATTGATTCTTTCTCTTCTTCATAAGTTTGTCTAGTTTCGGTCTTTGAGGCTGCTGACTCTTGGATGGGGTTTTTGTGGGGACTTTTTGTTATTGATGCTGCTGTTGCTTTCTGCTTGTTTGATTTTCTTTCAATAGTCAGGTCCCTCTTCTGTAGGGCTGCTGCAGTTTCCTGGGGGTTCACTTCAGGCCCTATTCATCTGATTCACTCTTGTGCCTTGAGATGTCACTCAAGGAGCCTGGAGAACAGCAAAGATGGGTGCCTGCTCCTTCTTATGGGACCTCCAAGCCCAAGGGGCACCAACCTCATGCCCGTAGGAGCACTCCTGTTTAGGGTGTCTGACAAATCCTGTTGGAGGTTCTCACCCAGTTTGGTGGCATGGGGAGGACATGTTTAACAAAGTACTTTGTCCCTTGGTGGAGGGGGTGTGCTTTGCTGGGGGACCCCTCTCTTCTGGGCTCTCCTGATTCCTCAGAACTACCAGGAGGAAAGGCTAGGTCTGCTGGTTACAGAGACTGTGGCCATCCCTCCCCTTAGGGGTTCAGGCCCAGGGAGATCTAAATTCTGTTCCTGAGCCTCTGGCTAGAGTTATTGAAGATCCTGCAGGGAAGCCCAGCCCAATGAGGAAGGATGGGTCAGGGTTAGGCCTGAAGAGGCACTCTGGTGGCACACTGCTACAGCTGGTGTGTTGGGCTGTGGGGGACACCTCTTGAGACCAATCATCCAGCCTCCCTGGCTCCAACAGGGGAAAAGTACAGCCTGGAGCTATAGAAATGGGTGCTGCCCTTCCCCCACCCAGGGATCTTAGCGTGTTAGGCAGTTGTGAATCCCAGTGCTGGCTGTTGCCCCTCCTGCAAGGAGCTCAAATGGCTTAGACAGCAGGCAGCCACAGCTGGTGCTGGTCGCCCCTCCCCCTGGGAGTTGGGTAGTCTTAAGTAGATTCCAGCTGAGAGACTGTAAAAATCTGTGCGTTCTGGGTTTGGGTTGCTAGGCCTTGGTGGTGTGGGTTCACGAGTGAGATCTTCTAATCTGTGGTTTGCACAGTTCTGTGGAAAAAGTACAGTTTCCCCGACTGGGTAGCATGCTCACTTACCGCCTTTCTTGGCTGTCAGGGAGGGGGTTCCCCAGCCCCTGTGGCTCTCAGGTGGGTCACCGCACCACACTGTTCTTCCTTCTCTCTGTGGGTCATGCCAGCCTTCTAGTCAATTTTGATGAGAGAACCTGGATACCTTGGTTGGCAGTGAAGGATTCATATTCTTATTATGGTTTTTTTTGATGACAGCCTCCGAATGCTGCTGCTTCTAGTAGACCATCTTGGCCCTGCCCCTATAATACGTATTTCCAAGCATAACATGTCTGAGAATAAAGTCATAGATGTGAAAGGAGTTAGCTAGTTTGCTTTAGGCAGACAGCAAGGGAAGGGTCCCCAGAGAACCTCTGACCCACCCCACAAGTGCTTACATCGGATGTTTTGTGTAGATAAGGGAACTTACACAGGGGACTTGCCTAAACATGCCTGCAGCAGACTAAGGGCCTGCATGTACTGGGGGAGTGAGAGGGAGCCACCAGGAATTCATGCCTTATATAAATAGGGAACCCAGCCCTATTAGCTTATATAGCCCTGATATTCAACTATGAAGGGGCAACTGGAAACCTGCTTTTCGGGACCCCTCTCTTTGCTGAGAGCTTTCCTTTTGCTTAATAAATTCTACTCCACTCTCTGGTGTCTGTGCACCTAATTTTTCCTGGTTGTGAGATAAGAACCTGTCCTAGCTGAGCTAAAGGAGCAAAAAAGAAAAAAAAAAAACAAAAAAACTGTGCATCAGATGGATTGGAAAGATTAAATCCAAGAGAGATGGTATTCAGAGTCAAGAGGAATAACAACAAAAATAATAGTAATTAATGAAAAAGAGCTTTGTGTAGTCTCATAATGGTAGTTCTCTCTATGAACTGAGGGGGTCATCTGATATACACATCAGGAGCACTCTGCAACTCCCATATAGAAAGGGAAAGTTTCTCAATGACAGTGGTGAGAGGGCAAACACAGCAGACTTGGGAGTAAAAGTCACTTGAAATTTCTGGCATTGGAAGAACTTCAAATGGAGTGGGAGATGACACAGCTGTAGTCTGGAAGATGACAAAGACATAATATGTACAAGATATACAGGGATGATTATTGGGCCTCTAAGAACAATTTATAGAAAAAAATTGTTCACTCTTTTTTTTTATTATACTTTAAGTTTTAGGGTACATGTGCACAACGTGCAGGTTTGTTACATATGTATACATGTGCCATGTTGGTGTGCTGCACCCATTAACTCATCATTTAGCATTAGGTATATCTCCTAATGCTATCCCTCCCCTCTCCCCCCACCCCACAACAGACCCTGGTGTGTGATGTTCCCCTTCGTGTGTCCATGTGTTCTCATTGTTCGATTCCCACCTATGAGTGAGAACATGTGGTGTTTGGTTTTTTGTCCTTGTGATAGTTTGCTGAGAATGATGGTTTCCAGCTTCATTCATGTCCCTACAAAGGACATGAACTCATCATTTTTTATGGCTGCATAGTATTCCATGGTGTATATGTGCCACATTGTCTTAATCCAGTCTATAATTGTTGGACATTTGGGTTGGTTCCAAGTCTTTGCTATTGTGAATAGTGCCACAATAA
This sequence comes from Homo sapiens, assembly GCF_000001405.40. Taxonomy (NCBI): domain Eukaryota; kingdom Metazoa; phylum Chordata; class Mammalia; order Primates; family Hominidae; genus Homo; species Homo sapiens. The sequence continues at coordinate 47,630,698 of NC_000013.11, read as the reverse complement.
ACATACGTGTGCATGTGTCTTTATAGCAGCATGATTTATAATCCTCTGGGTATATACCCAGTAATGGGATTGCTGGGTCAAATGGTAATTCTAGTTCTAGATCCCTGAGGAATCGCCACACTGACTTCCACAATGGTTGAACTAGTTTACAGTCCCACCAACAATGTAAAAGTGTTCCTATTTCTCCACATCCTCTCCAGCACCAGTCTTAAAATAGACTTTGGGCCAATAGCCAGAAGCACTCCCTGTTTTAAGATTTGTAAACTAAATTTTTATAAATTGACTAAATGGTTCTAATGGAGTAGTGGACTCGGATGGCATCATCAACTGATGTATCTTTAGCTCCAATTTTGATTTGGGGAAAAGAATAGTAATTTGTGAGGACTGCTCAGGGCTGACTGCTCTCAAAGGCCTTAGTGGCTACATTTGGAGAAAGAACATGTATAGACATTTATAGGCACACACATTTCCTCTGAGTGAATTATTTTCTTTTTCCATTGTTACTTTTGCTTTTGAAATTGAAAAGATATACTTTAAACAAACAGGTGTCTGATTTTGGTCACTCTTGTTGTCTGTTTGACTACTGGTTAGAAGTTGACAAATACAGAACAAACTAACCTTGAATTCCATGCCTGTCCTGTTTTTAGTGCTTCTGCCCCATAAGTTTCTCTCCAGGGACTAAGAAAGAACTCAGCATGCCTAGCAGAGCCTCAATTGGCTGGTTTCACTTCCTTACAAATCACCACCTTTCATGATTTTTTTTTTTTTCAGGACAACTAAGTGCTGACATTTGAATATAAACCAAAAATCAATTTATTGTGTCCTAAGGGTTTTTTGGGTTTAATCTGGTATTTTAATAAAATACTTTTGAAGCAGCAGCTATCAACTATGAAAAGCAATTGATGTTTCCATTAATCTTTTTCTGGGAGAAAACCTTGGTTCCAAGGTTATAATATCCTCTTTAAGTAGAATTTGAGATAACAGCATTTAATAAGTAGTCTTTTAATATAATAAAAGCACATGTTAATAAAAAGTCAACTCTATCTTTTTTGATAATAAAATCAATAAAAAGCCAAATAGTATGATAAGTAGGAAAACAGGGCATCTGGCTGTGCCTAATAAAGTGTCTGCCAAAGTAAAATTTTATAGGGGAGGTAGGTAGCGAGCCTCAGAGCCTGGAAAGATAAATATATTTTTGCAGTGGGACAAGGGCATTATAAGCAGAGTGAAAAGAATGTTCAGAGGCACAGAGGATACCTTCAAAACTTTCTACTGTGACCACAGTTTAAAATACTGACTCTAATCTGGTTTTAGTGTTGGGTTATGATAAAGCATGATGGTACCTCCAAATCCTAGGACTGAATATTTGAATCATGAACTTAAATACACACACACCCACCCCACTACCACCACCATTATAGAAAACATTTCAGAGATGTGTATCTCATAATTCTAGTATTATAATTCTGTTCCATAAGCTAGCCCAAGACAAATCTTAATTAAAGGTGCAATTCTAGGATTGCAACATGGAAGAAGTGAAATATAGAAGTAGAGAAAGTGAATACAAGGTGACATGTTACTGTGCTGGTGATGGTCCTTCAAGAAACGCAGCTGGTGCTTTATCATGTGCCATGTCTCTTAACTGGCCATAGGGAACCACATTGCCTGAAAACCATTCTTGTGGTGAAGGGGTGGGAGTATGAATGGGCAAGGAATTTATCCATCAGCCCCATTCATCTGTTTCTCTGGGTTCAAAGTCTGACACATTGTTCCTCATTACTCATTATTTTTAAAAGAAATACATATCCGTGCACACTATTTGTCATGCAGCTTTGCAGTTCTCCAGCCAGGTTGACAGAGTATATTCCCCACCTCACCAATGTTGAGCTAGGCCACTCTTATGTAGGGTGATTCACTGAGCATTATTGTCTGTCTTAGTCATTTTGGGCTACCCTAACAAAACACTGTAAATTTTGTGACTTTTAAACAGCAGAACTCTATTTCTCACAGTTGTGGAGGCCGGCAGTCAGATCAGGGTGCCTATGTGGTTGGGTTCTGTCAAGGGCACTCTTCTGCACTGCACATTGGTGGCTTCTCACAGTGTCTTCACATGGTGGAAAGAGGGAGAGAGCTCTTTAGGATCCCTTTGTTTAGGGCACTACATTTATGAGGATTCCACCCTCATGACCTGATTATTATCTTAATACCCTCACACTGGGGGTTAGGATCTCAGCGTGTGAATTAGGGGGGTCCACAAACATTCAGTCCAAAACACTGACTGACTGATAGAAAAAACACGACAATAGGATGCTTTGGCAAGATTATAAGATCATAAAGCTTGGATTACAGGATTCCAAGATGTAGATGGGCCCTGAGCACAAAAGAATCCTACCTAATTCAGTTGTACCCACACATCTGACAATCAGTGTTGTCAGGATATGGGAACAAATTCTGCCAGCCAGGGCCCAGAAGTGCTTGTCTAAGAGTAAAGGAGGCAAAAAGACCTTGTAGATGGAGGGAAATGTGATGGCAGCAGAAGTGAACTGTGGGAGATGGTAGCTAGGTGGTGAGACAAGGAAAACATTGCCGAGGCAAGGGTAGAGGAGTTGGACAGCTCCAGACAGCTGGAGTAAAATAGCATTTCTCACAGGTAAGGATGTCCCTCCATTGCCACGTTAGTTCACATACCTCTGAGTGAAACCATTTCATGGCTGTACATGGAAGTCTGCACTGAAATTAAAAAGAAGGGGGATAAGCAACGAGGGACTGTATCTTAGAGGATATGATCACAAATTGTGGAATCATGCAAATCTATGCTCAAATCCTGGCTCTTTTTCCATGTAACTGTGGGCAATATTCTACATTTCTGTAAGCCTTGCTTGTCCCTCTGTAAAATGAGGTTAACGAAAGTCACTACTTCATTCAGCTGTTGGGTAGGGATAAAGAAAAAGGATTTAATGCACGTTTGTAGTCATTAATGCTGTTCGATGGGAGACTGTTCACCTTCCAGGTCCATGGTAGCACTGCATATCCTAGCTCCTTTTTGGTTGACTGGGGCCACATGATTTATTCCTGACAATGAGTTGTGAATGGAAATGATCTGTGTCATTTCAGGGCTGGTACAAGACCCTCCAGAGACCCCTTCCTCTCTGGCATGGTGATCAAATGTTCAGAATGGTGACTTCTCTGTTAATTTGGCTCACTGAATAACTACTGCGAGCAAAATCCCACTGCTGATCTTCAATGGGCCTGTAGTGTGAGGAAGCCATTAACTTTTGTGGTTGTAGCCACAGAGATCTTTGGTGGTGTTGGTTACAGCAACATAACCTGTCTTTTCCTGAAATAGTATGAAAGCACTTGACAAAGCTTCTGGTACACAGCAAGTAGTCAAAAATATAGTGATTAAATGAGAAATCTTATTATGGTTTAGTTAGGCATATTCTCCAAAGATGTTTTGTTTCAATGTCTTGTAATTAATGAGAAATAGGAAAGAAGAAGCAAAAAATATCTGTGGAATTTTGAGCTTTCTTTTTTATAATCAGTAATACATGACCATAATGAATAAGCATGCAGGCAGATCGTTATTGCACATGCAACTATATTAGGAATTTCTGAAATTGTTGAGACAAGTAATTGATTGCATGGAAAGTTGGTGCAGAAGCTTAGGTATAAATGCATGTTGGTGTCTTTTCTTTATTTAATACCAGTGATCATTTCTACCTGGCTGTTTATCTGGATGATAACTCCAGATAATACATTGATTATTCATTCGAGGGCTATTATAAACATAACAGGACAGAAGAAAGCATTCCGCTATGTTCTTAAGGTGACTTTCACACTGTTATTTGTGATTCCCAAATAAGAGTCATCAGAATTACCTGGGGTATTAAATGAAAAACAGTTTTACTTTGAAATAATTTTTAAATCTGCAGAAAATTGCAATATTAATACAGAGAGCTCCTATATCCTTTTTATTAAGATTTAATAATTTTTAATGTTTTTTATATTTCCTTCAATCAAGGATATTCTTTTATCATCGTACAGTTATTAAGTTTCAAGAACTTAACATTGCTATTTTTATTTGTCTATATAATTTATATTCCAATTTTGTCCATTTTGTTAGTAATGTCTTTATATAATAATTTTTCTTCCAGTCCAAGCTCTAGTCTAGGATTATGTATTGCATTTAATTTTCATATTTCCTTAATCTCTGTTAAAGGAATATTGTCTTTTTTTGTCTTTTGTTGCATTGATACTTTAAAACAATAGAGGTCAGTTATTTATAGAATGATCCTTGCTTTGGGTTCATTTAGTGTTACCTCATAATTAAATTTAGGTTATGTATCCCTTACCAGAACACTACAAAAGTGACGTATGTCTTTTGCAGGGCTTCACATCCAGAGGTGCCACAATACCTATCTGCCTCTTGGTAGTTTTAATTTTGATCACCCGGTAAAGGTTTTATCCAGTTTCTCCACTGTATAGTTACCATTTTTCCTCTTATAAATAATTTATGAGAAAATGCTGTGAGATTGTGCATATATCCTACTTGTCATTAAACATTGCATCTAAGATTTAACAACCATTGTTGATTCTTGCCCAAGCTAGTCTCCACCATTATCAGTTGATTTTCTACTATAAGGAACAAGCCAGTATCCTATATATCTATGTATTATCTATATATTCTATTCATCCATCATCTATTTACATCTACCTCTGTTATCCATATGGACCCATAGATTCCTATTATACTCAATGGGTTATAATCTAATCTTATTTATTGTTCCAGCTTTGGCCGTGGGAACCCCTCTTCTTCAAGCTGGCTCCTATGTCTTTTTGACATGCTCACGTTGTGTGTGTGTGTGTGTGTGTATGGCGAGAAGTGGTTAGCAACATATCCTTACTTTCCCGAATAGCAAGATGTTCCAGCTCCTATTGTAACTACCTTGTTCCAGACCTGGGCTTACAGATCCCAACCATAAGCTAACTGAATTAAGTGTCAGGAAGTGTGGTCCAGATAGCTGTACTTTAAAATAAAAGCTCCTAAATGGTTCTGATGCTCTGCAGCTGTACAAACCACTGTGTTATTTAATAAAAGGGGCTATAAAATGCCTCATAATCAGGCTAATGATGGGATTCCCTGGCTCAGTGGTGAGTCCTTGATTTCTTCAGGAGTCTGTTTTACAATTTCAGACTGCCAAGATGACACCCAATTACCGTCCAGAAATGTCATCTTACTCACTGGTCAGATTGTGACAGTGTGGTTCTTTCTTTGTAATGTGTTTCCCTTTTAGACTGATTTTAATTCTGCATTACCTTAACATCTTTAATCTCAGCTTCAGATGCTGGATATATTCTTGCTTTCCCTTCCTCCCTGATTCATTGTTCAACAGCATAAAAAGGGCTTAATATAAGATGGACTGTCTACTGATAGTATGAGATGGACTATCAGATTGCAGAAAGGGAAGCAAGTTGTTGGACATGAGAGTTTATTCCTTGCATTAGTCAACATGTATTTATCGAGCATCCACTATGTTCAAGGAATTGTGATGTGCATGGAGCAGTTAACAAAGCAGTCATGTTTCTTTTTCCTTGGAAATTACTGTTTAGTGGGTTAAATCAATATTAGGAAAAGAACACATATTTGTAAAATTAAAAATGAGACGAAAGATCCAGGAAATCTTTCCTAAGTAAAAGATGATTGAGCTGAGGATTTGCAAGAATTAGAGGAGTTAATAGATATAACACTGGGGGATGAGAAGAATGTTCCTGGCAGAGGAGACAGCCTATGCAAAGGCCCTGTGGAAGAAGAGTATGGATCATTGTAAGACCTGAAATGTGACCACTGTGGCTGGAAAACAGAATAGTGACTAATGTGGTGAAAAATAGTATAGAAAAAAATAAAGAGCCAAGGTAATGCAGCCCCTATAATGTATATTAAAGATTTCTATCTTAAAAACAATGTAAAGCCATTGGAGCATTTAAATCTGAAGAGTGACATGATCAGATTTCTGTATTGGAAAGGTCACTATAATAGGAGAAATAGATCAAAGGAGGCAAGAGAAGACAAGGGAGGGGATCTTCTAGCTGTTGATGGACAGAAGAGGATAGATTCAGAAGATATAGAGGAGGGAAAGCGGCTGAATTTGTTGATGGATTAGTTATTGGGAGTAAGGGAGAGGCAGGTAAAAAAGCAAACTCATTATTTGAGACATGCACAAGACAACAGTGATACTATCACTGAGATGGGAATGATTTGAGAAACAGGTTTGGGGAAGATCACAAATTCACTTCTAGACATGTTGAAATTGAGGTGTGTTTTCAATATACAAGTACAGATGTTAAGTAGTCAAGAGCTCAGGAGAGAAATACAGGTTAGAGATATTTAGGGAGCTCTGAGTTATCTTTGTAGATAATCTTGAGTGAGATCACACACGTGAATAAAATGACCTATTAAGACGGTAGAGAGGAAGAAGAGAAAAAGATCTAAAAATGAACCTCGGAAACTCTAACATTTACTGGCCAATAGACTGGAGGAAGAGCATGTTGTGAAGAGTACAGAAAACAAGTGGCCAGAGGACAGGGCTGTGTCACAGGGCAAAGCTAGAGAATGTTGTAGGAAGAAGTGCCTGGTCAGCAGGATCAAGTGTTACCAAGAGGTAATGTAAGATAAACAAAAATTGTCCATGAGCTTAAGTGGCATGGAAGTCATTGTTGACTTTGCCAAAAGATGTCAGTGAAATGATGAAGGTAAAAGTAAAATATGAGTAAAAGGTTAGAAAAATGAAGACAGAATGCATAAATAATTCTTTAAAGAAATTTGGGTAAAACTCAAATGAGAGAATTGTGTTGCTAACACTTTAAATTCCACCCTAGGTAAGTAAACCTCTGCCTTTGAAACACGTTCAAGGTCCCTTTTACCTTGTTTTGACCACCCTGAGCCTTACTCTACATATCTTTCTATAATCATACCTGGAGAGAAAACTTAACCTTGGTAATAGTCTTTGCCCTTTCATCTTCTAGTTCACTGATTTCCAAGGTTATATGATGTTTATATGTCAGGAAGCCTATAACTTTTCAGAAAGCCCTTGGTCTGTTTGTGTACTTGATCAACATGTTAAGCAAAATCCTTACCTATAATATCGCTAAGAGATTAAATTTCTCTTTTTTATGCTCAACAAAATGCTGGCCACCTGCTTTAATTATAGAAAATGGTGGAGGTGTGTGTGTGTGTTAACCTGTTTGCAGTGAACTTTCAGCTCTTCAATGTGTGTTCTAAGTTACATTATGGTAAAATATTTAAACTCCTTTTGGCTGAGAGAATAACATTTTTGGAGCTACTGCTGGAATGCATCCTTCATTGGACAGACACAAGGACAGACATAGACACTGTGTAACCCTAGGGCTTCCTAAGCTTATCTAACTTATGCCCAATGTCATGGGTGAGGTGACAAGATGAAGGCTTTCCACCCTTTTGAATGGAGAAAGCTCTTTACTTTCTACTCAGATCTGAGACTGCAGGGAGTGTGAGCGGCAATGTCTGTAAGTCACATGTGATTGTAGCTGAAAGGGAGGTAGCTTCATTCCCGGGGGCTTGCTGGCCTCTATGGCTGCAGCCCCTTCCCACAGAAACATCCCCAAATAGGAGCAGGGCTTCCAAGCTGATATGGCCCCTTGGATAAAAGTCATCCTGAAACTTAGAAAACGATTCCAAGTTATATTAAGTTGGTGCAAAAGTACCTGCGGGTTTGGCCATTACTTTCAATGGTACAAACGGCAATTACTTTTGCACCAGCCAAATAGCTATGTAGTTGATTAATTAACAGCATTGCTTCATGGTCTCTACATTAGTTTGAAACTGGAACTTGCTGGGGTTATTTTTAAAATGTGTGTGAAATCAGCCTTCTTTGTTAAATGGGCTATTGGCAAAGTGAAACAGGATTCAAAACTTATTTTTCTCTTTTTTCTTTTGGTCTGAATGCTTGAGTGTTCACTGATGAAGAAATTCTCTAAAATGATTAACCATTGATAATAAAGCCTTAGCCAGAAAGTTAACTGATATTAAAATTTGTGAGCTAAATAATCTCTGTTCCATGACAGAGATTAATGTGTGGTAATGTATGCTTTTGCATTTCTTTCCTCTGCAAATACCCCATAAGTAAATTTTTGTATGATCTTTTTGACAAGAGATAAGGGGCTGGTATAGAAAACAAAGAAGCCGAAGATCTGAATGTGGAGGGTGGAAGAGGCGAGGCAGACATCAAATCCTTAAGACAAACAAATGGTAAATCCCTGTTTCCAGAAAGAAGGCAGAATGAAATATGAGATAACAATGAGTCTGCATGGCAGTCCCCACTGAAGAAGAAATTTTTGATATGAGAAATTAGAAGTCAGACAGAGCCTTCCTTGAAAACCCGATAGACATCACAGATTTACAATGGAAAGTCTAAGGAAAACTAGGAGTGAAGTACTGCTGGATATAAGGCTGGGGACAGGACAATGGAACCTATTGTTTGTATGGCCAAAAGGTCTGAAAGATATTTCCTCTAAATTTAAAGCATAGAACAGACTTCTGAGTGAGTCAGCCTGGTTTCAGGGTTTCACAATGAAGGACTCAGGTGGAGAAAATCCCTAAGCAAGATGTATTTCTTTCTTTGGACTCTCCAACAGCAGTGGGATGCTGTGTATATCCTGAACAGTCCTCCTAACAGAAGAAAATGGATTGTTACACTGAAGCCTGCACAGTCACAATTGTCAAAGGATCACCCCGGGGAAATTGCCTGTTGGCCAGGAAGCGTGAAGATCTATTTGATCCGTTTTCTTCTTTAAGCCTCTTTTCAGTTGACAGGAGTAGAGTTTCCCTACTGGCTGCTGGTGTGATGAAATGAAAGTTCCATTCACACCAGCATTGAAGGATAGGTCCTTTAATCCCTTTGCTGATCTTTCTCTTTCAATCATTTTCCTCTCATGGAAACACATGGTGGTTTTTCTCTCAGTTTTAGTGCCTGCAAACTCCCAAGGCTCTCATTGCAGCTCTGGCTTAGATGAGGCAAGATAATCGAAAAGTAGTTAACCAAGATGCAAGTGTTACCCAGAATCTTGTGAAAGGTAAAAGGGACATTAGGACAGGGAACTGAGGGACTCACTTCAGATGATCTTCATTGCTTGGATCTGGGGCAAAACTACTCAGCTGGTCAAAAGGGAGGAGAATGTGATAGAAAGTAAAGATTGCTAAACCAAGTCAGTTGCATTGTTCTTGAAGTTTAGCAGAGCTCCAGAAAAACTGAGATTTTTCTACCTCAATTGAGGCAGTCTGAACAGCAGATAAAACACTTCTGTTCATCTGGTTAGAAAGATAGTTATAGGGAAACCTGTAGGGCAAATGTGCATAATGAGGTTGTCATTTAGCAAAGGTAGAGTTTTGAGAAATTTAATGTGTTCCCATCACACACTTATAACTCTTCCTTTGTTGTAAATTAAGTGAACTCATTGTTTCCAAAAATAACCCCAAAATAATGTGCACATCGTCTTTTAATGAATAATAGCAATCCTTAGAACAAATAGAATGCACAAACTTAAACTCCTTAATAAAGGAGCACGGCAGAATCATGTGCTAGCTGGTAGATGGCAGCCTGTGGAATTGATGTGCTCTTCATCAGGGTATGTTTGTTTTATATCAGGCTTAGAGAAGAAGGTTTATTTTCTGTGTTTTGCTGACTTACACAATTCCTCTTAAGAAAAACAACAGCAAAAGCAAATCAGTTCATCAAAGCCCCAGCTAATAGCATCAGCTGAGTAAAACACTGCTCTTGCCCCTGGTGTGTCCAAATGGCTGGAGTTGGGGGATGAGTCCCCATGGCTCAGCAGCACTTGGATCCCTGCCTCTCAGGGAGTGCCTCCCTGCCCAACTCTGTCCTCCAGGACCACAGTCCTTTGAAGAAACAGGCTGAGTCCCTGTGTAGGATTTCACCTCAGGTGGAGGGACAAAGCTGTTTTCTACAGGAGACTTTTAGGATTTGTGACTTTGTTTTGAAGATCTTCTGAACAAAATGCCACAGGGGATTACTACAAAATAAATCGAGTGAATGGATTTTAGATCATGTATTGGTTTTATTAGTATTTGAAAGTGCTCCCTACTGCGCTGCCTACTCATCACGGATTCAGCTGCCTGCTGTTCCTTGGGTGCAGTCCCCCTTGATGGCTGCTGCTCAACTCCCAGAGACAGGCCGCTGGTGTCCTCTCTTAGGGGAGCAACAACAAATTCCATCAAATGCTCAAGTAATAAGGTCAAGAGAGGTTCACATCTATCAGAAATCCTCACTCTGTGTGCTCAGAAGAGCAGAAAAAATTTAGAAAAGCGAGCACTTTTAGGAGAGACAGATGTAGCTGTTGAAAGCATCTTTGTGTTGGGTATGGTTCTCTTTATGTATGTAAGCCTGTATTACTGGAATACAATAGCGTTCATTGATTCTTCTACTTGTCCAGTCTCTGGAGCCATATGTACATTTAACTCTTCCAGGAACTAGAGTTACTAGAAGTTAAAAAAAGGCAAAATTTATTTTAATAATATATTTTATTTAAACCGAGATACCCAGAATATTATCATTTTAATATGTAATTAGTATACAAATAATGAGTTATTTTATATTCTTCTTTATCATAAGTCTTTGAAACCTGATGTTCTACCCTTATTTTAGCTTTTTATCACAAGTACTTATATCGCTAATTCCTTTATTCAACACAATTTCTAATGCTTGCATATTATTGCATCACAGGTAAGTTCTGTCATTTTGTATTTCTGTTTTTGGACATGGAAGTTTGTCATTTTGAGCTGGTATTATAATTGATGGGATGTTTAGCATTTTTGTGTAAAATTATTTTCAGGTTTATGATTTTCTTCTTAAACCAGATTGATAAGAACAGATTTACTGTTTAGATGTCATAAAACCTAATGCCAAAAGTTTGTACCATCCAAACTTTCATTAGTATTCTATGAGAGAGCTCATTTTACTTCATACTTGTAAATGAAAGAGGAAGGGGTCAACAAAGGTGTCAACATTCCTCAAAGCCTTAAATTACTTTTAAGACAGGAAAAAATCTGTGAAAGACAGTGAATGAGAGAAGTATGTTTCCTCATTTGCCGATCAAAATTAGATAGGAACCTGTGGAGTGTGGAGGTGGGGAGAGAGACAGAGAACCTGGACATAAAGCAAGAGACTTAGGCCCTGATGTGGGAAGCTGTGTGCCTCATTGTTTTTTCCTATGGACCAAGTCTTGGGCAGGGGAAAGAGATGAAGGAATCTTATGCCCCCCTTTAAGTTTGGAGATCCGTGAGAAAAGGAGGTGAATGCCACCCTTGGGTGGCTTTCCCTGAAGGCTGTCTTTTCTCATGGAAGCATCCTTATGCCAAAACAACCCATCAGAGATAGCTGCATGCAGCGCCTAGGCAGATGGGTCAGAGTAACCCCATCTGGATTCTTTTTAACTCCATGGCTGTTTGGGAAGCGGACTCATATTTTCATAGATGGTAAAGAGTGTCTTGAGTGAGGCACTGAGAGCAGGAAGGACTCAGAAATGGCTATGGTCCTTTAGCAGTTGCCATGTGGATGGCTAAGTGTTAACCAGATCAGTGGAGAGTCAGGATGACAGTCTTTTAGACCCTGCCTTCTTGGTACCCGGGTCCTTGTCAGGTGTCCAGGAAGAATCAGGTCACACAGAATTGAAGGATGGTGAATGTGGGAAATTTATTGAGTAATGGAGGTGGCTTTCAGCGGAAGGGATGGGGAGTTGGAAAGGGGATGGAATGGGAAGATAAATCTTCCCCTGAAGTTCGGCCATTCTGCGGCCAATCTCCTCTCCAACCATGCCCAGCTGAACTCCTCTTGATGTTCAGATGCTCCGTCTCTTCTCTCTCTCTCTCTGCCATGCCATTCTGCCACTCTGCCAATGGAGCTTGGGGTTCATATGGGCACAGGATAGGAGCATGGTAGGCCAGAGTGGTCTTGGAAAAGGCAACATTTGGGTGCGCAAACAGGAATGCCTGGTTCCATTTAGGGCTGTAGATTTCCAGGCTTGAAGGTGGGGCCTTTGCTGGGGAACCACCCTCTTCTACCCAGGATTTCCCTGCCTCTTGTCCATGGGATGGATGAACTCCAGGGGAAGATTATCTTCCCACTCCATCCCCTTTCCAGCTCTCCATCACTCAATAAAATCCCTGCATCCCCCATACTTCAGTTCTGTGTGACCTGATTCTTCTTGGATGGTGGACAAGGACCTGGGTACCAAGCAGTGTATAAAAGGCTGTCACCCTGACTGGTTAACACTTAGCTGTCCATGGACAGCAGCTGCTAAAAGAGCATTAATTGTAATACACCCCAGATGCTACTGTGGGGCTGGAGCCCAAAAGTACTTGTCCTGGCTCCTGCATCTGCCTGTCTGCGTGCTCCCCCTCCTGTAAGGGGTTTGGGCATGTGGCAACCGAGCAAACAAGCCACACCCCTGTTGCAAGTCCCACAAGAGGGTCAGGGAACTCTCCCATTTCATCATGACTGGGCAATGTATCTTTGGATAGCAGTATGGACAATGCAAGCCTGATGAGGGAAGTGGCTTCCCAGCAGATATCAACATTATTGAGTGCCCATGGCCTCAGCACAGGCCCTTATAGGGCAGATCAGGACAGAGGAGTGGATAGCCTCCTCCTACCAATGCTACATCCTGTAGAATAAGGGGTGGAGACAATGCTAAAAATGAGTGAGTCTTAAACCCAAATGATTTAGAGGTCACTGATTTGACAAAATTGTCTTGGAATTGAGTCAATTAGGTATTGTGCCATCAGTTGGAGGTGGTGGTGGGTAAAACAAATTTAGTCTGATTATAGAAAAAAGAAGAACTTATATTTTGCAATAAAAAAGAGGGGAAAATGAAGTATTCATTATTTAAAATATGCATTATTTCTGTACTTTCTGCTGTGGCAATTTTTTTCAGAGATGAAACAAAAATAAATGACTTAGGTTGTTCAACTGCTGCAGAATTGCATATAGCTCCCAGGTGGTGATTATTCTCCTTGAGAAAGACAGTAACCAAACACAAGTTATTTCATCTGTCTTTATTTGACATGCCATTTCAGCTCGATCAAAAGTTTCTGAGTTTCCTGAAAAATAGTTTCACTTATCTCTTCTGATGGCAAAACAAATTAAGAAGTGTCTTTCAACAAGAACAGTGTAGAAGCTCACTGAGGCAAAGAAAATAAGGCATGAGGTTCACAGAACTTTTTAACAGGAGAGTAATCTTCATATATCATTGAAAATCAGCATAATTGAGATGCCCTGCATGAGTCCTGCTTAAGTGTAAAGAAATTGGTAGTAGATATGGATGTAGTTCAACTCAGTTTCCATTATTTGTTATAATTTACTTAAATAGTGGATATTTTCTGGAGGGGACAGGTTAACACCCACATCACCATCATTGCTGAAAAGTACAATCAAGCATACAGTATAGTATAGAGTGTTACAAGGAACATATTCTACTTTTTTCTGTAGTTTGCCCTCAGCAGAAGATAATGTGGACAAATGGTAAGTCGTGGAATTTTAGAGGGGATGGGAACCTCAAAGCATTCAGTCCAGTAGCTTTCAAATGTTCAGACCCAAGAGCACGTTTTATAACAAATATTTTGTAACACCCCTGTACTACCCTAAAATAAAATTCATACCATAATTTATATACTCATATAACTAAAAATGCCCTAACTAAAAGTGAGAAGTAAAATGAGTCATTTATGATAATATTTATATTCAATATATAAATGCACAGATCTGATATACCAGTCTTGAAGACATGTTGAATTAGCCAGAGGCTTGTACTACTTTACAGTGAATAAATTAAGATTTGAAAGAAGATCTGGAGCCATTCTGTATAAGCAAAAAGAAAAACGCAAGAGCAGAAGGGACAGGTGGATATTAGAATAGAAACTAGATAGTAGGATCCATATACATAAAAATTGTAAAACAGAGTTAAACTCTGTAACATAAACTCTGTAAAACAGAGTTAGGTGTTAGGCTTATTAATGATAACAAGGGTTTTCACCTACCTCAATGTCAGAAGAGCATTAGAAAGCTGTGCAGGATGGAGGACAGTTCTTGGTTGTGCCAGACTATGCTAAGCATCCAGGACATTCAGCGCCCCCATCCACACCTGCTAAATGCCAGTAGCACTGCCCAATCCTTGCAACAAGCAGAACTTTTCTCCCACATGGTCAAAATGTCCCCCTGTGGGGCAATGTGGAGAACCTTGTGGAAAACTATGAGTCTAATGGAATGCTTTTGTTTTGGAGAGAAGGAAACAGAGGAGCAAAGGAGTTACATGGACTGTTCCAAGGTCACTAAGCTGTCACTAAGTGGCAGAACAAGGAGTAGTTCCCCATGACCCCTGCCCAGAGTTATCTCACACTTTGCTATATTCCATCCTATTGCTCCCTAAACGTTTGAGTAAATAGGAGGTCAAAGTTCTTCCAGTTTTTGGAAGAACAGGACCACAATTGAGGCTAAGTTTTCATTAACAATGTAGGCTTATTTGAAATGGCTTGAAGGTCTGATGAAGATTAGGAAGGATCTCCCCCTGCACCCTCCCAGCACTCGTAAGTACCCCTTTCAGTTGTCATTTCCTTTGGTCCATTTCTCACTCTCTGCCTTGGGAGAGGCTCTGTTTTAGGCTATTCTTTTCTTCTCAGGGGTATAAGCAACTTAATACTAGCACCAATCATTGCCTCTCCAATATTAACATTAATAATTACTTTCCTATTGCCTCATGGTCATTTTATGTGGATTATATTTTTCTGCTAATTGCAATTCTGAGTGAAATACTACTATACATCTAGTATGTGACAGGCACTTATCTAGGCCCTTTCACAGCCTGATTTATTTTCCTCATAACACTTAAGATAGGAATTATTAGCCTCAATGTACAAATGAGAAAACTTATGCTTACAGAGATTAAGGAGGGAGGGATAGAAGAAAGCAGTCTAGGCAGTTAGTGGACTCTGCAAAGATCTGGGAGCCATAAATTAGTGGCCAATTAAACCAAAATCCAAAGAATTTGTGTAAATGAGTTGCAGTTCTTTTATCTCCATCACTTTGTTGTTCCTTCTGAATCAGTTTTTTAGCCTCATTTCTCCCTTTTTATTTATAGTACATTTTCTGAAAGAGGGTCCATACATCTACACACCATCTTTGCAGGTTTGAATTTCTTGCAATATGCCTCCACACCCTAATACCTTGCTGAAGTTAGTCTCAGGAGCACGTCCAGTAACCTTTTTACATCTCCAATTCATTGAGTAGCTTTGAGTTCTTTACTTTGAAGGTTCTAAAGTTATTTGCACAGATGGCCATCCATCCGCCTTAAATGTCTCATCTCTTGAATCTCTGTATTATTTCTCCTGTTTTTTCCCATCTACTACATTTACATATTCTTTCTATAACCATATATAAAAAATTATTTCCTATAACTACAGATGCCATTCTGTATTTCTAGCCTGTCATAATTTATTTGAATTAAATTAATTAACTCACATATGACTGTATTCTACAAAGGCTTTGAAACATCTGGTTTGTAACCACACAGAAATACAAATAACCATCAGAGACTACTATGAACACCTCTATGCACACAAACTAGAAAATGTAGAAGAAATGGATAAATTCCCTGACCCATACACCCACTCAGGACTGAATCAGGAAGAAATTGAAACCCTGAACAGACCAATAACAAGCTCCAAAACTTAATCAGTAATAAGTAGCCTACCAGCCAAAAAAAGCCCAGGACCAGATGGATTCACAGCCGAATTCTACCAGATGTACAAAGAAGAGCTGGTACCATTCCTACTGAAACTATTCCAAAAAAAAAAAAAAAAAAATGAGGAGGTGGAACTCCTCCCCAACTCATTCTATGAGGCTTGCATCATCCTGATACCAAAACCTGGCAGAGACAAAAAAAGGAAAACTGCAGACCAATATCCTTGATGAACATTGATGCAAAAATTCTCAACTAAATACCAGCAAATTGAATCTAGCAGCACAATGACAAGCTAATCCACCAAGATCAAGTAGACTTAATCCCTGGCATGGAAGGTTGGTTCAATATGTGAAAATCAATAAATGTGGTTCATCAAATAAACAGAAATAAAGACAAAAACCACATGATCATCCCAATAGATGCAGAAAATGCTTTCAATAAAATTCAACACCCCTTTATCTTAAAAACTCTCAACAAAGGGGGTACTGAAGGAACATACCTCAAAATAATAAGAGCCAGCTATGACAGCCCCACAGCCATCATACTGGGTGGGCAAAATCTGGAAGCATTCCCCTTGAAAACTGGCACAAGGATGCCCTCTCTCCCTACTCCTATTCAACGCAGTATTGGAAGGGCTGGCCAGAGCAATCAGGCAAGAGAAATAAAGGGCATCCAAATAAAAAGAGAGGAAGTCAAACTATCCCTGTTTACAGATGACATGATTCTATATCTAGAAGACTCCCTCGTCTCAGCACAAAAGCACCTTCAGCTGATTAATAAACTTCAGCAAAGTTTCAGGATACAGAATCACTGTGCAAAAAATCACTAGCATTCCTATAAGCCAACAACAGTCAAACCAAGAGCCAAATCAGGAACTCAATCACATTCACAATTGCCATAAAAAGAAAATACCTGGAAATACAGCTAATCAGCAAACTGAAAGATCTCTGCAATGATAATTACTAAACACTGCTCAAAGAAATCAGAGATGATTCAGACAAATGGAAAAACATTCTATACTCATGGATAGGAAGAATCAATGTTAAAATGGGCATATTACCCAAAGCAATTTATGGATTCAATGCTATTTTTATTAAACTACCAATGACATTCTTCACTGAACTAGAAAAAAACTATTTTGAAATTTATATGGAACCAAAAAAAGAGCCTGAATAGCCAAAGCAATCCTAAGCAAAAACAATCAGAAGGCATCATGTTACCCAACTTCAAACCATACTGCAGGGCTACAGCAACCAAAACAGTATGGTATTGGTAAAAAAAAAAAAAAAAAAAAAAAAAAAAAGTCAGACACAAAGACCAATGGAACAGAATAGAGAGCCCAGAAATAACTCTGCACACGTACAACTGTCTGATCTTCGACAAAGCTGACAAAAATAAGCAATGGGGAAAAGACTACCTATTCAATAAATGGTACTGGGATAACTGGCTAGTCACATGCAGAAGATTGAAACTGGACCCCTTCCTTATACCACATATAAATATCCACTCAAGATGGATAACAGACTTAAATGTAAAATCCTGAACTATAAAAATTCCGGAAGACAACCTAGGAAATACCATTCTGGCCATAGTAATAGGCAAATATTTCATGATGAAGATGCCAAAAGCAATTGCAACAAAAGCAAAAACTGACAAATGGGATCTAATTAAAGAGCTCTAGCACAGCAAAAGAAACTATCAACAGAGTAAACAGACGACATACAGAATGGGAGGACATTTTTGCAAACTATGCATCAGATAGAAGTCTGATATCCGGCATCTATATGGAGCTTAAATTTACAAGATAAAAAACAATCCTATTAAAAAGTGGACAAAGGACGTGAACAGACATTTTTCAAAAAAGTTATATGTGCGGCCAACAAGCATAAGAAAAACTCAATATCGCTGATCTTTGGAGAAATTCAAAACCACAATGAGATACCATCTCATACCAGTCAGAACGGCTATTACTAAAAAAGTCAAAAATAACAGATGCAATGCTGACAAGGTTGTGGAGAAAAGGGAATGCTTATATACTGTTGGTGGGACTGTAAATTAATTCAAACATTGTGGAAAGCAGTATGGTGATTCCTCAAAGAGCTAAAAACAGAACAATAATTCTACCCAGCAATCCCATTACTGGATATATACCTAAATAAATATAAATAATTCTATCATAAAGACACATGCACTCATACATTCATCATAGCACTCTTCACAAGAGCAAAGACATGTAATCAACCTTAAATGCCCATCAATGATAGATTGGATAAAAGGAGATGTGGTACATACACACATGGAATACTATGCAGCCATAAAATAGAATGAGATCATGTCCATTGCACGAACATGGATAGAGCTTGAGGTTTATCAAGTACAGCTTGATAAGTACAGCAAACAAAGTGTGACACGTTCTCACTTATAAGTGAAGCTTAATGATGGGAATGCATGGACAAAAAGAGGGGAACAAGAGACAATGGGACCTACCTTAAGGTGGAGTGTGGGAGGACAGAGAGGAGCAGTAAAGTAACTATTGGGTACTAGGCTTAGTACCTGGGTTATGAAATCATCTGTACAAAAAGCCCTTGTGACATAAGTTTACCTAAACAAACCTGTATGTGTACCCCTGAACCTAAAGTAAAAGGTTTTTCTTTTTTTTTCTCCTCTTTTTTTTTATTCTTATTATACTTTAAGTTTTAGGGTACATGTGCAGGTTAGTTACATATGTATACATGTGCCATGCAAAACTAACTGATGTGGCCTCTTTCCTGAGCCATGATTTTGAATTTTTAAACATTTCCAGAAAATTTCCGCCTAGTGGTCATATTTACATCTAAAACTGGGTATAAGTAAAAAAGGAATTTTTTCTCTCATAAATAAGCTCTTCTACTTCTTGATATTTTTTCTTCATAAATGACATCATTATTCTTCCAACCTCTTACTAGTAACCCTTTCTTTTTCTTTGTTCCTCAAGTTCATTAAGTCATTGGCTAAGTCCCATTGGGTTTACCTTTTTGGAGTTGCTCATGTTTGTGTGTGGTTTTCCATTCTCACTGCCCCTGGCCTGACTCACTGTGAGTTGTTATAATAATACTGTCTCTACATTTCACTTTCTACCTCCTCCAAGGCATCCTGTGCCCTGCTCCCAGATGATTATTATAGTGCTCCTTAAACTTGCAATGACTCCCACATCCTCCATTGCATGTATATTTAGTTGAATACTATTTTGATGTATTAAATACCTTTTTTTCATTCCCTTGATTTCCCCTCCTGATATAGTTTGGATATTTGGCCTCACCCCAATCTCAAGCTGAAATGTAATCCTTAGTGTTGGAGGTGGGGCCTGGTGGGAAGTGTTTGGATCATGGGGGCATATCCCTGATGAATGGCTTTGGCCATCTTCTTGGTGATAAGTGAGCTCTCAGTTTGAGTTCACACAAGATCTGGTTGTTTAAAAGCAGGTAGCACCCTCACCCCCAATTCTCTCGTGTGCTCCTGCTTTCACCATGTGATGTGTCTGCTTCTACTTCGCCTTCCACCATGAATAAAAGCTCCCTGAGGCCTCCCCAGAAGCAGAGGCTGGTGTTAGGCCTTCTATACAGCCTGCTGAACCATGAACCAATTAAACCTCTTTTCTTATAAATTACCCAGGCTCAGGTACTTTTTTACAGCAGGGAGTAACAGTCTAATACACCTCCTCATTCTCTCAGTCAGCCAGCCCTCTGCTCATTTTCTCAGGGCAGGAATGAGATGCAGAAATAATCAGGGATTCTTCCTAAATTTTGCTTCCAAACCCTAAGCCCCAGAGAATAAATCAAAAGAGAGATTAGGTTATTAAAATTTTTTTTTTTGGTCAAACATTTTCAAGACTAAAGATTGTTCCAGACTAAAGAGCAATTTGATCCTGGGCTTTAGGGAAAAGAAGGGTGGTTATGGTGGTGTCATCGGTGGTAGTAGTGGTGATAGCGTTGGAGGTGGTGGTGATGGTGGTGATGGTGGTAGTGGTAGTGGGGAAGGTGGTGATTGTCGACTTGGTAGAGATGGTGGTGGTGGTGGTGTGTTAGTGATGGTATAGTGGTAAGGGTCATGCATCATTTTCCAAGCAGTGCTACCAGTAGATGAGAGGACCTTAAAGAAGTTTATGATGCTCTAGAGAGTGGAAACCTGTGCTTTCCAGAATCACTGCTGGAGATGCAAGGTGCTGGGTGTGGCCACATATTATATTAGATACAGCCATAATCAGGTTTGTAGAAAGCATCTCAGGAACTGACACACTGGGAAAAACCACAACTTTTCAGTAAAGTTCATGAAAGACTAAAGGATCCAGTGGTCCTTCCAGCACCTTAGCATGATGCTAAATTTCAACTCAACTTCTCAGGGTAACAAAAGGAGAGAAACAAAACAACTGGGATTAAATTCTCCTGCCAGCCCAGCAGAATAGGGCCCAAAATAGAAATTGAGTAGTTGAAAGTAAAGGAGGCTATAATGCTTACACACAGAAATTTACAGACTGAGATTCATTCATTTAACACAACATTGACATAGAGCCTTGTAGAATGGAACTTGAATCAACATTTTAAGTTTTTTTAATGTCCATTTTTTACTATTTCTTATCCTATCACATTTCATTTTATCTTTTAATTCTATTTTAATTTTTTTATTGAGGTAAAATACACAAAATTTATCATCTTTCCCATTTTTAAGGGTACCATTCAGTGGTAATATGTACATTTATATTATTTTTTCCCCCCTTTCTTACCCCTTCTCCCTAGTTTTCCTGGCCTCTGGTAACCACCAATCTACTCTCTATCTTCATGAGATCTACTTTTTTAGCTTCCAATATGAGTGAGAACATGCAATATTTGTCTCTCTGTGCATGGTTTATTTCACTTAAGATAACAGCCTACCTCTAGTTTCATCCATGTAGCTGCAAATGACAGGATTTCATTTTTTTATGGCTGAATCACATTCTGTTATGTATATAAATCAGATTTCCTTTATCCATTTATCCATTGATGAGCTCTTAGGTTGATTCCATATTTGGCTATTGTGAGTAGTGCTGAAATAAACATGGGAGGGCCGATATCTCTTCAATATATTGATTTCCTTTCTTTTTATATATACCCAGTAGTGGAACTGCTGGATCATACAGGGGTTCTATTTTTAAGTTTTTTGAGGAACCTCTATACTGTTCTCCATAGTGGCAGTACTCATTTATATTCCCACCAACAATGTATGAGGGTTCCCCTCTCTCCACATCCTCACCAGTATCTTTTATTGTCTGTCTTTTTGATAAAAGTCATTTTAGCTAAAATGAGATGATATCTCATTGTGGTTTTGATTTGTATTTCTCTGATGATTAGTGATACTGAGCATTTTTCATATACCTGTTGGCCATTTGCATGTCTTCTTTTGGGAAATGTCTGTTCAGATATTTTGCCCATTTTTAATCAATTATTTGTTTTTCTTGCTATTGAGTTGTTTGAGCTCCTTCTATATCCTGGTTATTAATCCCTTATCAGATGGACAATTTGCAAATATCTTCTGCCCTGCTGTACGTTTTCTCTTCACTTTATTTCTTTTGCTGTGCAGAAGCTGTTTAGCTTGATGGAATACTATTTGCCTATTTTTGCTTTGGTTGTCTGTGCTTTGGGGTCTTACACAAAAATTCTTTGCCCAGACCAATGAAGCATTGCTCAATTTTTTTCTAATATTTTCATGGTTTCAGGTTTTAAATTTAAGTCTTTAACCATTTTAAATATGATTTTTGTGTATGGTGAAAGATAGGGGTCTAGTTTCATTCTTCTGCATGTAATTATCTAGTAGTAAGTAGTAGCATGTAGTTATCCCAGCACCATTTATTGAAGACACTGTCCTTTCCCAACAAATGTTTTTGGCGCCTTTGTTAAAGATGAGTTGATTGTAAATGCATGAATTCATATTTGGGTTCTCTATTCTGTTCCAACGGTCTATGTCTATTTTTAAGCCAGTAACATGCAATTTCGATTACTATAGCTTTGTAGTAAATTTTGAAGTCAGGGAGCATGATGCCTCCAGTTTTATTCTTTTCACGTAGGATTGCTTTGACTGTTTGAGCACTCTTGTGGTTCTATATGAATGTTGAATTGTTTTTCTATTTATGTGAATAATGTCATTGGTATTTTGATAGTGATTGTGTTGAATCTATAAATTACTTTGGATAGCATGTCTACTTGAACAATATTAATTGTGTCTTCTTCAATATTTTCATCAGAGTTTTATAGTTTTTTTGTATAGCTGTGTCACCTATTTGGTTAGATTGATTCGTAAGTATTTTCTATTCTTTGTAGTATTGTAAACGGGATTGCTTTCTTTATTTCTTCAGATTGTTCACTGTCGGTATTTATAAATGCTACTGATTTTTGTATGTGGACTTTATATCCTGCAACTTTACCAAATTTGTTTATTATTTCTAAAGTTTTTTTTTGTTAATTCTTTAGGTTTACCTAGGTATAAGATCATGTTGTCTGTGAGCAAGGCTCATTTGACTTCCTCCTTTCTAATTTGGATACCCTTTATTTCTTTTTCTTGCCTAATTTCTCTGGCAAAGACTTCCAGTATTGTGTTGAACAAAAAGTGGCTAAAGTGGGCATCCTTGTCTTATTACAATCCTTGGAGGAAAGGCCTTCAATTTTTCTATGTTCACTATAATGTTAGCTGTGGGTTTCTTATATATAGTCTTTATTATTTTGAGATGTGTTTTTGTCTACATTCAATTTGATGACAGTTTTTCATCATAAAGAGATGTTGAATTTTATCAAATGTTTTTTCAGCATCTATTGAGACAACCATGATTTTTGTTCTTGATTATATTAATGTGATGTATCATGTTTATTGATTTGCGCATGTTGAACCATCCTTGTACCCTTGTGATGAATCCTACTTAATCATGGTGAATGATCTTTTTAATGTGTTGTTGTATTTGGTTTGCTAGTATTTTGTTGAAGATTTTTACATCTATGTTCATCAACGATATTGACCTGTAGTTTTCTTGTTGTGCCCTTATCTGATTTTGATATCAAGGTAATAATGGCTCTGTAAATGAGTTTGAAAGTATTCCCTCTATTCAATTTTTTTTTGAAGAGTTTCAGATTGAGATTATTCTTTAGATGTCGGGTAGAATTCAGCAGCGAATCCATCAGATCCTGGTCTTTTCTTTGATGAGAGACATTTTTATTATGGCATCAATCTTGTTATTTGTTATTGGTTTGTGGAAGTTTTCTATTTCTTCATGGTTCAATCTTGGTTGTATGTGTCAAGGAATTTATCAGTTTCTTGTAAGTTTTCCAATTTGTTGGCATATAGTTGTTCCTAATTATCTCTAATGATTCTCTGTATTTCTGAGGTCTCAGTTGTTATGTCTCCTTTTTTCATTTCTGATTTTATTTGAATCTTCTCTCTTGTCTTAGTGTTGCTAAGCATTTGTCAATTTTGTTAGTCTTATCAAAAAAACCCAACTTTTCATTTTGTTTATCTTATGTACTGATTTTTTGGTCTTAATTTCATTATTTTTTCCCCTGACCTTTATTATTTGTTTTCTTCTATTAGTTTTGGGTTTGTTCTTGATTTTCTAGTTCATTGAGTTGCATTGTTAGTCTGTTTATTTGAAGTCCTTCTACTTTTATGATATAGCCATTTATTATTATATAAATTCCCTCTTAGTACTATTTTTGCTGTATGCCATAGATCTTAGTATGTTGTATTTCCATTTTCTTTCAAGAAATTATTAAAATTTTCTTAATTTATTTTTATTGACCCATCGTTCATGCAGAAGCATGTTATTTAGTTTCCATGTGTTTGTGTATTTCCCAAGGTTTCTCTTATTGATTTCCAGTTTTATTCCACTGTGGTCAGAAAAGATACTCGATATGATTCCTTTTATTTTGAATTCATTCAGACTTGTGTGGTGGATTAAAATATGGATTATTCTGGAAAATATACCTCCATATGCTGATGAAAAGAAAGTGTATTCTGCAGAAGTTGGGTGACATGTTCCATAAATGCCAGTTAGGCCTATTCGATCCGGGGTGCAGTTTAACTCCAATGCTTTTTTGTTGACTTTATGTCTCTCCATTACTGACAGTGGGGTGTTAAAGTCTTCTACTATTATTACATTGCAATCTATCTTTCCCTTTAGATCTATTAATGTTTGCTTTATATACTTGGGAGCTTCTTTGTTGGGTGTATAGATATTTATAATTGTTATATCTTCTTACTGAATTGACCCTTTTTTCATAATATAATGATCTTCTTGGTGTCTGTTTATAATCCTAGTTAATTTTATTTGATATAAATATAGACATTCCTGCTCTTTCTTGGTTTCCAGTTGCATGGAATATTTTTTCTACCCCTTCACTTTCAGTCTATGTGTGTCTTCATCAGTGAATTGGGTTTCTTGAAGGCATCATATAGTTGGGTTTTCTTTATTTATTCAGCCACTCTATACCTTTTACTTGGAGAATTGAGACTGTTTACATCCAGTGTTATTAATAAGTAACTTACTGTTGCCATTTTATTACTTTTTTTTCTGGCTGCTGCTAGATTTCTCCCTTCCTTCCTTTCTTACAATCTTCCTATATGTTTAAGTAATTTTCTCCAATAGTATGCTTTATTTAGTAGTTTTCTATTTTTAGTGAATCTATTATATGTTTTTGCGTTGTGGTTATGAGGCTTACAAAAACATAGTATTGATATAACATGTTATTTTAAATAGATGATAATTTAGATCACAAAGAAATGAATAAAACCAAACCAAGGCAAAAAAAAAAAAAAACCCATAAAAAATTCTACACTTTAACTCTATTTTCTCAGCATTTGACTTACTTGTTTCAATTTACACATTTTTATATTATGTATCTTTTAACAGGTTGCTATAGCTATTGCTTTTGATAGGTTTAACTTTGGGGTTTTATATAGAGTTATGAGTGAATTGCACACTACAATTACAGTAATAGACTATTGTAGGTTTTTCTGTGTACTTAGTTTTATTAGTGGGTTTGAAAACTTTTCTTTTTATGTGCTAGTGTTTTTTTCTTTCAGATTGAAAAATGCCTTTCAGCATTTCTTGTTAGACCAATCTGGTGGTGGTAAATTATCTCAGCTTTTGTTTGTCCGGGAAAGACTATCTCTCTCCATCATATTTGAAGGATAATTTTGCTCAATACAATATTCTTGAATGGCATTTTTTTCCTTTGAGCACTTAGTGCTTAGACTGTTATTAGAATAACACTTAACGGTGTTAGTCCACTCTTTCCTGGCCTTGCACGGTTTCTGTTGAAAAGTCTGTTGCCAGATGAATAGAAGCTTCTTTATAGGTGATTTACTTCTTTTCTCTTGCTTCTTTTGGGATCCTATGTTTGTCCTTGACTTTTCAGAATTTAATTATTATATGCCTTTAGGTAGTCTTATTTGGATTGAATCTATTTGTTGTTCTCAGACCTCCCTGTTCCTGGATATTTATCTTTTTTGAAAGTTTTGGAAAGTGTTCTGTTATTTCTTTGATGAAGTTTTGTACTTGCTCTTGCTCAGCTCCCTCTTGAACATCAATAATTCTTAGATTTGGTTATTTTCTATATCTAGATGATCTTTATTCCTTTTCATTCGTTTTTCTACTCTGATTGTATATTTTCACATAGTTGATCTCAGAGTTCTCTGATTCTTTCCTCTACCTGGTTCATTGTGCTGTTGGCATCCTCTAATGAGTTTTTCAGTTCAGCAAGTGTACCTCTCAGTTTCATAATTTCTGTTTAATTTCTTTTTTATTGTTTCAATCTGATTGTTACATTTTTCAGATAAATTTCTGAATTGCTTTTCTGTATTATCTTGGGGAGCACTGAGTTTTCTTAAAATGGCTATTTTTAATTCTTTTTCAGGGAGCTCACATATTGCTGTGTTACAGGTAGTCACTGGATTTTTGCTTTGTTCTTTTGGAAGATCATAGATCCCTGTTTGTTGTTGTTTCTTTTGGGTATATGTCTAAACATATATGTCTTTTCATTGAAGAATTTGGTTATTTCATATTTCTGTCTGGCTTTTTTTTTTATTGAATATGTTTGCTTAACAAATCTTTATCGCTACATTGTTGCTTCCTTTTTGGGTCTAAGTGGTACCTTAGGTAAACCTTGGCTCTAGTAAATGATTGGAGCACTATCTAAATAAGGGAGGCCCCAAAGGGATTATTTTGACATTGTGAGAAGCCTGGCTAGGGGTTTGTGCTGCAAATCAGCCACTCTGACTTGGCATCTCCTTTGGTGGAATTACAGACCAGAGTTTCCAGGGCTGGTAGTCCCACCTGCCCCCTTTGTCTCTGCCTTTTCCCAGAGATATATATTTTTTTCCCTCTTGCTTTTTTTTTTTTATTATATTTTAAGTTTTAGGGTACATGTGCACATTGTGCAGGTTAGTTACATATGTATACATGTGCCATGCTGGTGCGCTGCACCCACTAACTCGTCATCTAGCATTAGGTATATCTCCCAATGCTATCCCTCCCCCCTCCCCCCACCCCACCACAGTCTCCAGAGTGTGATATTCCCCTTCCTGTGTCCATGTGATCTCATTGTTCAATTCCCACCTATGAGTGAGAATATGCGGTGTTTGGTTTTTTGTTCTTGCAATAGTTTACTGAGAATGATGATTTCCAATTTCGTCCATGTCCCTACAAAGGACATGAACTCATCATTTTTTATGGCTGCATAGTATTCCATGGTGTATATGTGCCACATTTTCTTAATCCAGTCTGTCATTGTTGGACATTTGGGTTGGTTCCAAGTCTTTGCTATTGTGAATAATGCCGCAATAAACATACGTGTGCATGTGTCTTTATAGCAACATGATTTATAGTCATTTGGGTATATACCCAGTAATGGGATGGCTGGGTCAAATGGTATTTCTAGTTCTAGATCCCTGAGGAATCGCCACACTGACTTCCACAATGGTTGAACTAGTTTACAGTCCCACCAACAGTGTAAAAGTGTTCCTATTTCTCCACATCCTCTCCAGCACCTGTTGTTTCCTGATATTTTTTTTTTCCTTTAGGCAGTAACAATGCTTCCTGTAGGTTAAGGCAAGGACATATTTACTGAAAGAGAACTCAAGATGGTGGGGAAGCTGATTGACCACCTCAGTCTCACTTTTTCTAGTGTAGAAAATGAGTTGGGGGAGATTATCCACCTCTTGATGCTGGACAGAATGGGGTTAGGGGCTTTGCAGATGTGGAATTCCAATTCTCTTACCATCTGCTTGTAGTTTTCTCACTTATCTTTGGTGCCAGGAACTGTCTCATCTTCATATTTGTGTTCTGGGTTGTTCCTGGTGATTATCTCAGCACTGTATATTTGTTTTTGGTTTTCTGTGGGGGAGTGGGGAGAAGTGAAGCCAGCTTGCTTCTGTGCAGCTATTTTAAAACCAGAAGTCTCCATTTTTTGTTTTCTATATTTTACTTAGACATAGTCTATTCTCAATTTCCTGGTCATGTTTTCCTGTTCCTGATCCTTTGCTGGCCTTTCTCTCTCTGCCTAGAAAAACCCTCCTCCAACATTCCTTTCCTACATCCCACCAGCTTTTCAACACCATCTCAAAGCCATCTCCTTCACAAAACCGTTCTGTTGTTCTCCTTTCCTAAACTCACAAGACATTTTGCACCCACTTATCCTCTGGCCCATGCTGAATAAGAAAGGCCAGACACCACATTTACTCTCATCTCTGATGTCAATGCAGCCAAACCCATAAGTTCTAAAATTGTATGTGTTCACTCTTGCAAACTACAAATGCCTGCAAGTTTTATTCTCATAACTTTTTTCCCCATTAATAATTAATAGGCAGAGGGTCAAAAAGAATAAGTTTTATGGTAACCATTTTGGATAACCAGTAGGAGTAGGGACCATTGGTCAGCTCAGATGGAGGATAGGGGAGGGAATAGTTCATCAAATGAGCTTAAAGGGTGATATGAAACCCAGCTCTAGGGACTCAGACATGAGAGTAATGGCATTAAGTGTCATATCTGAATCCATAATAGGAACATTCATTGCAAAAATTTTTAATAACCCTGAGTCTGTTTCACTCAGGACTTTCCTGACTTGTGGTTTTTCTGAATGTTGCGGAGTTGTAAAAGAAGCAGCAATCTTGGTTCCCCAAATCTACCAGAAAAGATAGTTGCTTAAATTGGGGAGACCTCCAGCCACATTTACAATCTGCCTTGTGTCATGATTATTTAAGTATGTCTTGGTTTTATTTTGTTCAGTTATAAACTGCTTGAGGTTAGAGGCTATTCACCTATTTTTATATTCTGAGTAACTAGCCTGCAGTTATGTGGTCAATAAAAATTTATTAAATTGGATTCGTTAATAAAATTTATTAGTCCTATTAAATATTTTCATGAATCATTATTTTTTTAAAATTAATCTCAAAATGAGTTGAGACTGTTAAGTGCCTAGAACAGACTATAGTAATAGAGACTATCTTAGATTTTCTAGGACAGTATCGTTTCATGTATTCTTTTTTTGCTTTTCAGTAATAGCACTTCATTCACTATAAAACCACATGCAATGTTATTTTTCTTCATTTATAAGATTTTCACACAAATACATTTATAATTCAAACTATGTATTAGGTGATGTGTCTTTATCTTTATACTTGAAAATATGGTTACTGTTCACATTATAGGTATCCAATAATGTTAGTTGATTCTAAATCAATTATATTTACCAAGTGTATTTTGCTTATAAAAGCAAATTGGACAGGGTTCTTCTCCATGAGATATGAATTTAAATCAAAGATGATGATTCAAACACATATTTTGGGCATGTGTTTTTGTTAAATGCAATATGCTTCTGATCAGTGCTTATTCAATTGCAAGGTTTAGATTGAAAACAACTTTGCTGTGTCCCTCCCTTTCTTACTAGGATAATGACATTAATTCATTTCATACATTGCAGGGTGTTGCATGGTTCTAGGAAGAAAAACCAGTTTAAGGGAGTAAATGCCAATTAGAGATAGTTATGATCTTGCTGGACCACTCTGGAACCAGAACCAAATAACTTATAGACCTTTAGAATTCTCAGTTTTCAAGTATGCTCAACTTAGGAAATTTTTTGTTGTACCAAGCAATGAAGAGGACTAGGATGTGACTTTCAGTCTTAAATAGGTACACAGAAACCAATCTTGCTTCCTCTGAGAATTGACCAGATGCCTTCTTTTCTGGTATTTCATGTGGCATTTGAGGCATTGGGGATGTTGGGGAAAAAAAGGCATTTTACGAGAAGCACTAGCCCCACTGGAATGAGACAGCATATGTGTGTATGAGTATGTGAAGGCAGGGATGGGGAGGGTGACAGCACACCAACATGATCAATTTTGGGTTTACAAATGCACAAGTAATTGATTTTCGCAGTATCTATACATTTTATGAAGGCAGGAGCTGGGTTCATTTTGCTTGCCCTTCTTTATCCCATGCTCTAAAAAGTATAAGTGATTGCAAAAAAAATTGTTGGTTTGGTGAAAGAATTATTTATCCGAAGATCAGTTTCCATGTGAATCAATAGGCCCCTTAAAACTATGAGTGCATCAAAAGATTCAAGAAATGTTCTGAAAGCTTTGGCACTTGGCAACTGCGATGGTTAATTTTATATGTCAAATTATCTGGGTCACAAGGTGCCCAGATATTTGATCAAATAATATTCGGGATGATTAGGCAAAGGTTTTTGGATGAGATCAACATTTTAGTTGGTAAAGTTTGCTCTCCATAATGTAGGTGGGCCTCATCCAGTTAGTTGAAAGCCTGTGTAGAACAAAAGGATTGATGCTTTCCTGAGTAAGAGAGAATTCTTTTTTGTTTTTTGTTTTTTTTTTTTTTGAGATGGGGTCTTGCTCTGTCACCGAGGCTAGAGTGCAGTGGCGCAATTTTGGCTCACCGCAAGCTCCCCCTGCCGGGTTCACGCCATTCTCCTGCCTCAGGCTCCTGAGTAGCTGGGACTACAGGCGCCCGCCACCATGCCCAGCTAATTTTTTGTATTTTTGATAGAGACGGGGTTTCACCGTGTTAGCCAGGATGGTCTTTCACCGTGTTAGCCAGGATGGTCTCGATCTCCTGACCTCGTGATCTGCCCGCCTTGGCCTCCCAAAGTGCTGGGATTACAGGCGTGAGCCACCGTGCCCGGCGGAGAATTCTTTCTAAATCTCTTCCTCTATATGCTATTGGCTTTTCCTGGAGAACTCTGACTAATATAGCAACTGATTAATTGTAGGCAAGTCACCTATTGTCTCTGAAGCTCTCTTTCCCCATGTCTAAAAGTAGAGATAGTAATATTTGCCTTTGAGTTAGGATTATATGTGATTGAACACATGTATCAATGTCCCAAATTAATATGCAATTCTAAATGATTAAAGATAGTAGCTCAGTTAACCCTTATAACAATCCAGTGAGATAACATTCCCATTTTATAGACAAGGAAACTGAAGCACAAAGGAGTTCAGTAACTTGCCCAAAGTTACATGGCTAGCAAATTGTGTGGCAGAGACAGTGTTATGTGTTCACTAAAACCAGTTACCACTTTCCTGAGTATACGGAAAGGCTACATTTCCTAGTCCACGCTGTGGATAGGCAGAGGCTGTATGATTGATTTTGGTCTAATAAAAAAGTGGGCAGAAATAATGTATATTATATCCAGGCCTGGCTATAAAACACACAAACTGTTGCTTTCCCTCTTTCTTTTTCTCTGGCAACATTGAAGTCATTTTTTGATGATGGTGGAGCTGCAAGACTTAAAAAATAAAATCCTAGGTCTTAGGTCATTGCTTAGAAGAGAACTGCTAGACAACCTCTTCATCAGATACATCTACATTAAACTTTGTTTCAGGATTTATTTGTTAGCACAACAGAGTCTAACCTAGACTATCTAACAGTACCTTAGCACTGGGGTTTGAACCAAAGCATTCCGGCTGTAGAGATTATCCATCTCTAGCTGAATGTAGTATAATGCTTTTCAGCTCCTGGCACATGGGATACTCTCAGAAAATATTAGTTCTGATTATTTTCTTACCTGTTGAGAGGTCTTCATAAATTGAAATTAAATACATTTGGATATTCAGTTTAAGTAAAGCTATACAGTTTCCTTTAGTTGGACTTCTTAATATGCTAGATAGGATGAAATGTTTCCTAAAATTACTCTTTCCATTGAACACTTTTTGTAAAAATACACTTCGGGGAAACATTGGAGGCAGCGTATGTGGCAAGTGTTCTGGAGCTAGATTCTCTGGGTTCAAATCCAACTCCTCCACTAATAATGGTATGACCTTGAATAAACCACTTCACCAAGATGGAGATAATAGTAATTACCATATAGGATTGTTATGAGACTTAAATTATTTTTAAAGGGTTTAGAATACTGACTAACATATTGTAAATGCTGTGTGCGTGTATTAGTCCATTCTTGCATTGTTATAAAGAAATGCCCGAGATTGGGTAATGTATAAAGAAAAAGGGTTTAATTCGCTCAAGGTTCTGCCGGCTGTATATGAAACATGATGCTGGCATCTGCACAGCTTCTTGGGAGTTCTCAGGAAACTTAAAATCGTGATGGAAGGCCAAGGGGAAACAGGCACATCTTACATAGACAGAGTAGGAGCAAGAGATAGAGGGAGTAGGTGCTAACACTTCCAAACAGCCAGATCTCACTATTGCAATGACAGCACCAAGGAGGGTAGTGCTAAACCATTAGAAACTGCACCCATGATCTACTCAGCTACCCCTAGGTCCTACCTCTAACATCAGATATTAAATTTGACATGAGATTTGTGCGGGAACACAGATCCAAACCATATCAGTGCGCGAGTGCATGTATGTTTGTGTGTAAGAGTATGTGTATTTAGTAAATTAATGAATAAATAACTTTTGCATTGCCTACTAGTTTATTATACTATGAACTCCTTGAAAGCCAGGAGTGCCTTTTTCAATATTTGGCAGTTCACTGCCTTAATATGTAGAAATACTTATTAAACATATACTTGGTGCTTAAAGATGTACCAAGGGTAGGAGGGAAGTAATCCGAAACTAAGTTTTTCTGTTATCTTTAAGAACACTCAAGTTAAAAAGTACCTACCTTTTGGCATTGTTATCAAAGGATATCTGAAAGACCAGAATCCAACAAATAACTTGCCAAGATTCCAGTGCTTGCAGTACACAGATAAGATAAACAGCAAACATTGTTTTACTCCTTGATTATCTTACATACCATATCAGCACCTAGGGCAATAGATTTTCATTAATTAAATGGCAGAATTAGATTAAAGACACTTAGCAAAGTTTTCTGAAGTTTTCTCAAAGCTTTAATTAATGTTATATATTTTCCCTTTTATACACCAGAGGGCGTTAATCACAAGTTCACCTTTGTGCATATTGGCCATATGATTCCCAGACTCTTTAACCAAAATTTCTAATTGTGGAGAAGAGAAACCTGGGCTAAACAAATGCAATTTATGGACAGAAGGTAAAAATGAGTTTGACAAAAACTGAGGAATAATAGCAGAAAAAAGTAAAATGCTAAAATTAATAAGAATTTGCACTGCATGGAGAAAAGGATCAAACACTATGCTTTCCAGGCAGAGGTCAGGAAACAGGCAATAACACTGGGTAGGTTTGCAGAAACTAAGAATGGTCTTTCCCTGAAGTAAGACATATGGCAGGGATAACTGGAAGTGTCTCACTGATGATGTAATATATGTCCACAAAATGTCATCTGAAAGTAAAACTAAAAGATAATCAAACTAAAAACCACTTACCAGTCTTGAACTTATCTCTTTTCATGAAAGTGGGTTGAAAAAAGAGAAGGTTGTTGTAATTCTATGTTTTTTCAAAGTGGAGTTCCCAGCCTCCTGAGACTAAAACATGTATTCTTAGACCCCTGAGAGTTCTTTATAAAATTTTTCAGATAATATATTTTCATTTGGAATCCAAACTCACGCCATCCCTCCTCTTCAACAAATGAATATTCTAGATTATTTATATGTCTGCATTATTTTTATGGAAATATGGTAGAATATTTCCACTTGATTTCAGTGCCCGAGTTTGCTATGTGTTCGTGAGAAAAATAGGCAGATTGTATATGAATATGAATGTTAATGCCAAGTGACAGCTGAATGATGCCACGGTGTGCTAGAGTAGAAGTTTGAGTAGATAAAAGTGAAGGGATAACTAAGTTGTCAAACAGCAAATGGCAATGTGACTCAATATTTTTAAAATATTAAACAATTGTTTTCGTCTATACAGTTTTTAGCAGACAGGCTAGAAGAGCCCTATCATCCTTCAACTTTCCTGTGCATCTTGATTCCTATACAGACTGTGTAGGGAATGATAAATCTTAACATATATTTGGGGAACCCAAGAGTAGAGGATATCTGGACTTGGCTTCTAGGGTTAGAGAGTCCTCTGGAGGTGGCAAAACCCACATGGATTATGGCTATTGAGTATGTCTGGGAAGATGGAATGATTGACCGTGTGATGCACATTTCTGTGCCTCAGCTAGGCGTAGACATGAGAAGAGAGCACTGGGAAACTGAAGGAGTGCAATGGATAGAAATGAGGGAATTCTTCATGGTAACTAGCATATGTTGACAATGGGTTTCTCCACAAGCACTGGTGTGGGTGGAGGATTTGAAGATCAGACTGTGACCTTCTCTGTTCCACCACCCTTTCTCCTACTATACATCCCTCTCCCAACTCAATACACTTTGGTACCATCTAAGAACAACAGAACTTAAGTGCAGTCATGGAGAGAAGCAAGACAAACCCTCAACTGACTGAGATTAAGTTTCAACTGTCATGGCAGATGACAGCTAAAAAGAGAAATTAAATTGAGAAACTGAAGTAATGAAGAAAATGATTTTCAGGTACACCTGAGATTATGAACACAGGGGCATGCCCCTACAATATTTATTATAGGCATACCAACTCAAATGAACCTGCACAATAACAAATCAATCCCTGTTCTTGTTGTAAGCAGTGATTTAATTTTAGCAAATCAAGATTATGTGTCACATTAAATTAATGTTAATTGGAATTCTATTGGCTTTGCAGTTTTTATATTGGTTTTTTATAGTTATTTAAGAGTTACAAGAGTTATATCAAATTTTATGTTTGTACATGTTGAGTAGCATAAGATCAGTAATTTATGTCAACATGACAGTAGTCCACTAGGATATTTTTTCTTTAAAAGGAGTTTA
This sequence comes from Homo sapiens, assembly GCF_000001405.40. NCBI lineage: Eukaryota > Metazoa > Chordata > Mammalia > Primates > Hominidae > Homo > Homo sapiens. The sequence goes on along the minus strand of NC_000013.11, from coordinate 47,596,657 downwards.
GGCCGGGTGCAGTGGCTCACACCTGTAATCCCAGCACTTTGGGAGGCCGAGGTGGGCAGATCACTTGAGGTCAGGAGTTTGAGACCAGCTGGGCCAACATATGGTGAAACCCCATCTCTACTAAAAAAAAAAATACAAAAATTAGCTGGACGTGGTGGCATGCACCTGTAGTCCCAGTTGTGTCTGGAATTGGTTCCTTCCAGTGAGTTCTTGGTCTTGCTGACTTCAAGAATGAAGCCGCAGACCCTTGCAGTGAGTGTTACAGCTCTTAAAGATGGTGTGTCTGGAGTTTTTTCCTTCAGATGTTCAGATGTGTCCAGAGTTTCTTCCTTCTGGTGAGTTTGTGGTCTCACTGACTTCAGGAGTGAAGCCACAGACCTTCATGGTGAATGTTACAGCTCTTGAAGGTGGTGTGGACCCAAAGAGTGAGCAGCAGCAAGATTTATTGTGAAGAGCGAAAGAACAAAGCTTCCACAGCGTGGAAGGGGGGACCTGAGCAAGTTGTGCTGCTGGCTTGGGTGGCCAGCTTTTATTCCCTTATTTGGCCCCACCCATGTCCTGCTGATTGGTCCATTTTACAGAGTGCTGATTGGTGCATTTACAAACCTTTAGCTAGACACAGAGTGCTGACTGGTGCATTTTTACAGAGTGCTGATTGGTGAGTTTACAAACCTTTAGCTAGGCACAGCGCTGATTGGTGTGTTTACAATCCTTTAGCTAGACGGAAAAGTTCTCCAAGTCCCCACCCAACCTAGAAGCCCAGCTGTCTTCACCCCTCACCCGCTACTTGGGAAGCTGAGGCAGAAGAATCTCTTGAACCCGGGAGGTGAATGTTACAGTGAACCAAGATTGTGCCACTGCACTCAGCCTGGGCGACAGAGTAAGACTCCATCTCTCAAACAAAACAAAACAAAACATAAAAGGATTCTAGACTTTTTAAAATCTGAGAAGCACTTTTGTAAAGACAAAGTTGTAAACTTCAAGAAATCTGGGAACATGAAATTAAGAAGTATTTACCATTGTTTTTAAATCTTTGATAAAAAGACTGACCACCATTAACTCTGCAAAAACAATTACAGTTAATTACAGAAACCATTTTTGGATAAAAAAGTCATCCATTTATTTTAATCAGCATTTAGTAAGTATACATTGAACACTTACTTGGTATCAAACCTTGCGCTAGGAGCTATACGTATACAAAGATAAATAAAATATGGCTTCTCTATTCCAACTCCAACTATAGGGAAATGTAGATGGCACAGTAGTAGTCCACTAGGATATTTTTTCTTTAAAAGGAGTACAGCTAAGTGAATAACATAATATTGCACTTGGGATTTGAACAATATTGCATGGGAAGAGAGTGATTAGTGTTCCTTTTGTATAAGGGAGTGTGGTATGTTGCAAAAACTGGTTACAAATTTATCCCCTTCCTGTGTCCATGCCCTTGTAATTTCCCATGCAGACATGGAATCTATTTCTGTACCCCTTGAATTTGGGCTGGCCTTGTGACTTGTTTTGGCCAATGGAATGGATCAGAAGTGACAGTGTACCAGTTCTGAGTTTAGGCCTAAAGAGCTATTATGTACTTCCTCTCTTGTTGTGGGAACCCTGCTGCCACCATGTGAGCAAGCCTGGGATAGCTTGCTGGAGGATGAGAGACCATGTGGAGCAGAGGCCAGGTCTCCTGGCTAAGAATCTCCAACACTAGCCTGTCAGTAGCTAAGCACAGACACACAAAAAATCCCAGCTGAGACTGCAGGAAACAGAAGAGCTGCCTAGTTGAGCTCAGCTTAAATTTCTAACCCATCAAATATGAGTTAAATAAATGGTTGCTGTTTTAAACCACTACATTTTGGAGTGATTTTTGCAAAAAATGCTAACTGAGACAGCAAATCAGGGAACACTTTCACCAATGAGGTAACACTTGACTAGATATTGAAGGAAGTGGTTTCCATAGACAGAAAAGAAGGGAGAGGAAAGGATGTTACAGGCAAAGGAGGAAGCATGAACAAAAGCATAGAGGGCAGAACCTCCTGTTCATGGTGTGCTGGAACAGCCAGTGCTATAGTTTGGGGCATGAGGAGTTTAGATTAAAACAAAATACATATGGCTGAGGACAAAACCCTGAGGTTCCCCTGTAGTGAAGGCATGGGATGAGAGTCTTTATAAGAGGTGATTTAAAACACACAAAAAACAATCTGTCGAAAATGTTAGAGAAGCAGAAGAGGGAGGCTTGTGAAAGGATAGCTTTGCAGTGAGAGTCGTCAACAGTGCTGAATTAGGTCAATCAAGGCGAGAACTAGAAAAAGTTTATTGGATTTGGCAGTGCTGAGGAAGATACTAGTGACCTCTGAAGGGTAGTTTTGGTGGAATGGTACAGGCCAAGAGGCAAATTGTCTTATAGAAAACAAAACAAAGACAAAAAGTGGTTAAAACAGCTCTAGTTTATTATCACATCATCAGGCTCAAATAAGGATTTCCAGTGTGTGCCGATTTTCCGGTTTTTAAATGCAGGGTAATCTTACGTTCTGTCCTAGCTAAGTGCAATTCATGATTTCTTCTTTCATGCTGATCATGCAAATCTTTTTTTCTTTATAATGAGGATGTATTGCCTGTGAGCTATGGGAAAAAAAGTTTATTTCTTACCTATTTCTTCATATTCCTATTATGTATCTCTCAGCAATTTCAAATGCCCAGGATCATTACAGTCTCTAGGCTTTATCATCAGTGCCTACATAACACATCTTTGAGCTTGTGTGTTATGATTTCAATGATTGTGTCCTCTCCAAAACTCATGTTGAAACTTAATTCCCAATGCAACAAAAAGAGATGTGGCCTTTGCAAGGTCATTAAGTCATGAGGGCTCTGCCTACATAAATGGAATGAGCACCCTTATAAAAGCGTTCAAGGTTGAAGGAAGTGTTCTCTTGGTCTTCTGCCTTCCATCATGTGAGGATACAGTAATAAGGCACCATCTTGGAAACAGTGTTCACCAGACACTAGACCTGCTGGAACCTTGATTTTGGACTTCACAGCCTCCAGAATTGTAAGATACACATTTCTATTCTTCATAAACTACACAGAGTATTTTGTTATAGCAGGCCAAACAAATTTATACCAAGAAACTGGGTAATGGGTGGATGCTGGAAGATTGTAGCGGTGGAGGCTAGAAAAAGCCTACATTGCCATGGTAATTCTGGTGAGAGCTCAGAAGATGAGGAGAGCTGTAAACAGAGCCTGAATCTTCTTAAGATGATCTGAGTGGTTATGATCAGAATGCTGGTAGAAAGATGGAAAGTAAAGATCATTCTAATGAGATTTTAGATGGAAATGAGGAATATCTTATTGAAAACTGGAAGAAAGGCCATCCTTGTTATGAAGTGGCAAAGAATTTGGCTGCATTATGTCCATGTCCTAATGCTCTGTAGAAGGCAGAACTTAAGAGCAATAAACTAGGATATTTGGCAGAAGAAATCTCTAAGCAAAGTGTTCAGGGTGCCACATGGCTTTTCTCAGCTGCTTATAGTGAAATTTGAAAAGAGAGAAAATAATGAAAGACAGAAGTTATAGTCAAAAGAGAAGCAGAATTTAAAGAGTTGAAAAATTCTTAGCCTGGCCATATAAAGAATGACAAACTGAGTTTGGGAGAGAATACCAAGGGTGTGACAAAGCTACACTTGAAAAGAAGATTAGTATAAATAGGTGGAAGTCAGGTGCTAGTCATTAAGACAATGGAAGAATGACTCCAGAGGCATTTTGGAGTTGTTCTAGGCTGCCACTCCCATTACAGGCCCAGAGTGCAGAATGATTTCAAGAGAGGGACCTCAGAGCTCACTGCTCAGGGCCTTCTCAAGTTTCTGCTCCCTGAATTTCAAAGCAGCATTCCTTAGTGTCACTAGCTGTGCCTCAAATGCGCCTCAGTGGGGCTTGGGTCCCTGCTTCAGAAGATACAGGCCATAAACCTTGATGGTGTTTGTAAGGTGCTAACTCTGCAGGTGTACAGAGTGCATTAGCTGAGGGAGCATGACTACCTGCACCTAGATTTCAAAGGTGCCTCAGAGAACCTTGAGGCCCACGCTTTGGACCTGCTGCAGGAGTGGGGCTACCACAGAGAGCTCCAATTAGGGCAGTGCCCAGCAGAGCCCTAGGGTCAGGGCCACTGCAGAGAGCCCCAACTTAGGGCAATGCCTAGTGGAGCCACTGGAGCAGGGCCATCCCTGAGACCCCAGGCCTGAAAAGCCACCTGTGTGCAATGCCAGCTTGGGAGAGCTGTAGGCCTCTGACTCAAACCTGTTAGAGTTGCAGTGTGGGCTGTGTCCAGAAAAGCCATTGGGCAGGGTACCCTGGACTCTTGGGAATGCAACTCCTGCCCCAGTATGTCTGAAAAGTGGGACATGGAGTCAAAGAAGATTATTCTCAAGCTTTAAGATTTAATGTTATTTTCCCTGTTGGGTTTTGGACCTCCTTGAGACCTGTTACCCCTTTATGCTTGCCTAGTTTTCTCTTGTGGAATGGGAATGCCTATCGTATGTTTGTGCCACGATTATATTTTGGAAGTGCATACTTGCTTGATTTCACAAACAAGCTGATTTTACAGCTGGAGAGATATTTGCCTTAGGTTGCATTGTGCCTTGAGTCTCACCCATATCAGATTTAGATGATATTTAGATGAGACTTTGGACTCAAACTTGAAAGTTGATACTGGAATGAGTTAAGAATATTTCGAGCTATTGGGATGGAATGAATGTATTTTGTATGTGAGAAGAACATGAATTTTAGGAGACCAGGGGCAGAAAGCCATGGTTTGGATGATAGTATTCTCTCCAAAATTCAAATAGAAACTTAATCTCCAATACAACAGTATTAAGAGGTGTGGCCTTTGGGAGGTGATTATGTTGTGAGGGCACCACCCTTGATATAGTTTCAATGTATGTCTCCACCCAAATCTTTTTTTTTTTTTTTATTATACTTCAAGTTCTAGGGTACATGTGCACAATGTGCAGGTTTGTTACATATGTATGCACGTGCCATGTTGGTGTGCTACACCCATTAACTCGTCATTTACATTAGGTATTTCTCCTAATGTTATCCCTGCCCCCTTCCCCCACCCCATGACAGGCCCTGGTGTGTGATGTTCTCCACCCTGTGTTCAAGTGTTCTGATTGTTCAATTCCCACCTATGAGTGAGAACATGTGGTGTTTGGTTTTCTGTCCTTGTGATAGTTTGCTCAGAATGATGTTTTCCAGCTTCATCCATGTCCCTATGAAGGACATGAACTCATCCTTTTTTATGGCTGCATAGTATTCCATAGTGTATATGTGCCACATTTTCTTAATCCAGTCTATCATTGATGGACAATTGGGTTGGTTCCAGGTCTTTGCTATTGTGAATAGTGCCACAATAAACATACGTGTGTCTTTATAGCAGCATGATTTATAATCCTTTGGGTATATACCCAGTAATGGGATGGCTGGGTCAAATGGTATTTCTAGTTCTAGATCCTTGAGGAATCGCCACACTGTCTTGCACAATGATTGAACTAGTTTACAGTCCCATCAACAGTGTAAAAGTGTTCCTATTTCTCCACATCCTCTCCAGCACCTGTTTCCTTTTTTAATGATCACCATTCTAACTGGTGTGAGATGGTATCTCATTGTGGTTTTGATTTGCTTTTCTCTGATGGCCAGTGATGATGAGCATTTTTCCTGTGTCTGTTGGCTGCATAAATGTCTTATTTTGAAAAGTGTCTGTTCATATCCTTCACCCACTTTTTGATGGGGTTGTTTGATTTTTTTCTTGTAAATTTGTTTAAGTTTGTACAAATCTTATATTAAAATGTAATCTGCAAGGTGGGAGGTGGGGCCTGGTGGGAGGTGACTGGATTATGGGGGCAGTTTTCTGATGAATGGTTAGCACCATCCCCCTTGGTACTATCCTCATGATAGTGAGTGAGTTCTTGTGAGATCTGGTTGTTTAAAGGCATGTAGCATCTCCCCCCTCACTCTTGCTTCTGTTCTGGTCATGTGACATGCCTGCTACCCCTTCACCTTCTGCCATGATTGTAAGCTTCCTGAGGCCTCCTCAGAAGCTGAGCAGATGCCAGCACCATACTTCCTGTGCTGCCTGCAGAACCAATTAAACCTCTTGTCTTTAAATTACCCAGTCTTAGGTATTTCTTTATAACAATGTGAGAATGGACAAGTACAACTCTTATGAGTGGGATTAGCGCTTCTACAAAAGGACTCAAGGTTGAAAGAGATGCACTCTTGCCCTTCCACCTTCCTCCATGTAAGGATACAACAAGGCAGCATTCTGGAAGCAGAGAGCAGCCCTCACCATACACCAATTCCAGTGCCTTGATCTTGTACTTCCCTGCCTCCAGAACTATAATAAATAAATTTTTGTTCTTTATAAATTGTCCAGTCTAAGGTGTTTTCTTACGGACAAGACAATGTGGAATTGGAATAAGTATTAATTATCTGGGGAAATTAGCAAAAATATTGGAAAAAACTGATGAGAAATCTTTTAGAGCAGATTTTTACAATATAGATATAAAAATCTATCTTCTTTACTGTATTCTTTCTTAAAAAAAAATTTTTTTTTTCATATTTTCCTTACCCTTGAATCCCCAGAGCTACAAGATGAAGTCCATTGTCTCCTTGTATTTCTCCTGATGCATTCAATCTAATCCCTAACATTTGCCATATTAGTTTTGTCTGCCCCCACCCCCAGTCCCAGGAGAAGATAATCCTTCCCTAGGGCAGTACAGCCAATTACTGCTTTTCTTCCTACTACTGGCACCTCTGCTGCATCCGGTGCCTCAGCACCCACATCTTATTGGTTTCTGTAGTTTTGGCCAATAGGAGATCACTAAGCGTTGGTGCCAAGGAATGCACAAAGATTATCTGAGCCTGAACATTATTGGATGTGTCTGCACCAACTCCCCATCCCTTTTCCTGTCACTGAAATCAAATCCTACTAAAAACACTGATATATGTGTATGTGTGTGTGTGTGTGTGTTTGTATACATGTGCACATATGTGTGGCAGATTCTCATTTGTTACTCAGAATGACTACATCTCTTTGGAGCAGCAACAAAAAAAATATGAGCAATTTCCCTGAACCCCAAAGCATGATTTAATCTGATTATTAAAGGAACTTTTCTCTCTACCCCTAGTTGCTCACTGGCTCCTGAGGGTGGCATATCTCATTTTCATGGCGAGAAGGAGCTCAGTTCATTCTCTGAATGTATTTTTTCCTCAAAAGCAACAATAATTTCTGGGATACTCTATTTCACCTCCTCATTATTTTCCCTTTACAACTTGTGTTTTCACACTTTCCTATTCATATTTTCTTTAAACTGGACCTCAGATTTAATATTTCCCCCTTTTTGATATGTGTCTTTCTACTTCAACAAAATATCTTGGACACATACTCCATTTTTCCTCTGCTGGGAATATGACTGAACAAGCTGTGGTCTGTACCCTGAGGAAGCTCCCACAGCACTAAGTTATCCTTTATTTTATTTTTTTAAGAGACGAGGCTCACTCTTTCATCCAGGCTGGAGTGCAGTGGTGCTTTCATAGCTTACTAAAGCCTTGAACTCCTGGCCTCAAGCCATCCTCCTTCCTCAGTCTCCCAAAATGCTGAAGTTATAGGTGTGAGCCACTGTACCCAGCAACACTAGGCTTTTAAACCTGCTAGGGCAGAGACCACCACATTAGAATCTTCTCAACTAAAGTAGTGTGCCACCTTGACCTACCCAATGTCTGCACTGTGTTTGCCACCTAGTGGATGTGGCAAACATTTCATCATTAATCAATTATTAAATTATTTGTGCCTTGGTTTTCTCATCTGTAAAATGGTATTAATATCAACTTCATGGTGTGATTAGGAGAAATTACATTAATACATATGAAGCCCTTGGCAAAGTTCATAGAATACTGTGAATGCTACTCAAGTGTTAGATATTATTATTCTACACTATGCCAAGCCCTGGGCTTTTAGCCTGAATAAAACAGAAATATAACCCATTCCTCAGTGAAGTTTCATTTTAGAAGATATTAATTTAACAAATAATTATGAGGTATAACAAATAAATGAACTATAGTTCTCTCTAGTTGTCTTAAATTTCAATCACCTTCCAACTCATCTCTTTTCTTCTGAAATAGATAAATAAATGAAGTCACTGGACACACATGACCACAAAGGTCTGGACACTGTCAACTTGGCTGGGACAGGTTTTCACTGAAATTATAAAAAATATTTTCTCTACAAGTTTGTACATACAAGTGGTTTATATGCTATTTAGTTATTAATTTTGGCTGTGTGATTTGTGACTTCTCGACATGCCTCCAGAATAGTCCAGGATGGTTGTATTGAGTGAAAACAGCTGCTTTCTCCTGGAGGGGCCAATTGACCCTTGGCCCTTCAAGGGTGCAGTTGGCAAGTTCCGCACTGTAATTCTTACCCTCAGTGTGCTCCTGAGGTTGGTAATTTAATTAAACTATGTGGAACCTTACTAATTCACCAATGACACTTTCAGCTAATTAAGAGTAAGTCACATCAATGATCTCCTTTAAGTACTTGTACCTAAAGTAATATCATAGGGGCAAAAATAATCACTTCACCTTCCAAAGACTCCTAGGAACAAAGCATATATTTGAACATTCTTTCCAAGGATAATGTATTTCAAACATGCTACCTGTGTTGTCTCTAAAAGGACGATATAATTTGACATTTACTTCTGTATCTAATGAGGCCATCTTGAAAGAGTATATTTAGCTTCAAGGTATATTTCCACTTTGGAACACAGACTAGAATGACATACAAAATATTTTTTATTGAGGTATAATTGACTTAAAACAAATTGCATATATTTAAGGTATAATATTTGATGTTTTGACATGTATACACACCTATGGAACCAGCCTTATGATCAAGATAGTGAATGGATCCATCATGCCCCAAGATTTCCTCCTAGCCCTATGTGATCCCTGTCTCTGGCTCCTCCCCACGTCAGCTCTCTCCAGGTATCTACTGATCCACTATATACTGATTTACTTTCTCTTGAGTTTCATATAAATAAAATCAAACAATATGTACTTTTTTGTCTGCTTTTTTCACTCAGCATAATTATTCTGAGATTCATCCATGTTGTTGCATCTATTAATGGTTCATTCTTTTTTGTTACTGAATAGTATTCCATTGCATAGATATGCCACCTTTTCCTTTTATCCATTTACTTACTGATGGCCATTTGGGTCATTTCCAGTTTTTGACTATTACAAATATACCTGCTTTTATTGTAGTAATTTTGTCTGTAGATCTTTGTATAAAATTATACTTTTTTTATCCTCTTGGTAAATATCTGAAAGTGTAGAGGCTAGATTATGGATTTGATGTATTTTTAACTTTTAAGAATACATGAAGAAAAATCGTTTGGCTTTTTGAAGAGAGATTGTTTGACTTTTTCTTTTCCTATTTCGATGCCTTTTATTTCTTTTGCCTGATTTCTCTGGCTAGCACTTCCAGTACTATGTTGAATAGGAGTGGTAAGAGTGGGAAACCTTGTCTTGTCAAAATTCTCAAGGAGAATGCTTCCATTTTTTCCTGGTTCAGTATGATGTTGGCTGTGGGTTTGTCATAGATGGCTCTTATTATTTTGAGGTATGTTCCCTTGATGTCTATATTCTTGAGGGATTTTGTCATGAAGTTGGATTTTTGTTTTTAATTCTGTTTATGTAGTGAATCACATTTATTGATTTGTGTATGTTGAACCACATCTTGCATCCCAGAAATGAAGCCTACTTGGTCATGGTAAATTAACTTTTTAAAAAATGTTTTTGGTTTTGACATTTATTTGGTTATTTGATTTCTTTTGCATTTACCTATAAATTGTAGCGTCAGCTGGCCAATTTCTGTAAAAAGACAGCTGGGATTGTAACAAAAATTGCATTGAATCTGCAGATCCCTTTGAAGAATGTGATCTTACCAAAATTAAGTTTGTTATCTTTGAATATTAGCTGTCCTTCCATTTATTTAGATTGTCTATTTTTTTTCAAAAAATTTTAACTTTTTATAGTGGACAAATCTTAAACTTCTTTTGTTAAGTTTATTTCTAAGTATTTTTGAGTTATTGTAAATGGAATATTTTGTTCTTTCCTACTTCCATTTTAGATCCAAGGGGTACATGTGCAGGTTTGTTACATGAGCAAATTGCATGTCTTGTTGGTTTGGTGTACAGATAATTTTGACACCCAGGTAATCAGCATAATATCCAATTTGTAGCTTTTCAATCCTCAGCCTCTTCCCACCTTCCTCCCCACAAAATGCTCTGGTGTCTATTGTTCCCTTCTTTGTGTCTATGTATACTCAATATTTAGCTCCCACTTATAAGTGAGAACATGTGTTATTTGGTTTTCTGTTTGTGTTGATTTCCTTAGTATAATGGCCTTCAGCTACATCCATGTTCCTGCAAAGAACATAATCTCATTCTTTTTTATGGCTACATAGTATTCCATAGTATATATGTACCACATTTCTTTTTCTAGTTCACCATTGATGGCCATCTGGGTTGATATTATGTCTTTGCTATCATGAATAGTCCTGTGATGAACATATATGTGCATGTGTCTTTGTGGTAGAATGATTTATATTCATTTGGGTAATGGGATTGGGATTGATTCAGTAATGGGATTGCTGGGTCAAATGGCAGTTCTATTTTAAGTTCTTTAAGAAATCACCAAACTGCTTTCCCTACTGGCTGAACTAATTTACATTCCCACTAGCAGTGTATAAGTGTTCCCTTCGCTCTGCAACCTTGTCAGCATGTTATTTTTTGACTTTTTAATGACAGCCATTCTCACTAGCATAAGATGGTGTCTCATTGTGGTTTTGATTTGCATTTCCTAGATGATTAGTGAGGTGGAGCATTTTTTCATATTTTTGTTGGCCGTATATATGTCTTTTGAGAAGTATGTTTATGTCCTTTACTCATTTTTCAGAGTTGTTTTTTGCTTGTTGATTCATTTAATTTCCTTATAGATTCTGGATATTAGATCTGTGTCAGATGCTGATATGGTTTGGCTATGTCCCCACCAAAATCTCAACTTAAATTGTATCTCCCAGAATTCTGAAGTGTTGTGGGAGGGACCCAGGGGGAGGTAATTGAATCATGGATGCTGTCTTTCCCATGTTATTCTTGTGATAGTGAATAAGTCTCACAGGATCTGCTGGGTTTATCAAGGGTTTCTGCTTTTGCTTCCTCCTCATTTTTTTCTTGCTGCCATCACGTAAGGAGTGTCTTTCACCTCCCGCCATGATTCTGAGACCTCTCCAGCCATGTGGAACTGTGAGTCCAATTAAACCTGTTTTTGCCACCATGATTCTGAGGCTTCTCCAGCCATGTGGAACTGTGAGTCCAATTAAACCTGTTTTTGTTCCCAGTTTCGGGTATGTCTTTATCAGCAGTGTGAAAACAAACTAATATAGTAAATTGGTACCCATAGAATGGGACGTTGCTGAAAAGATATCCGAAAATGTGGAAGCAACTTAGGAAATGGGTAACAGGCAGGGGTTGTGGAACAGTTTGGAGAGTTCAGAAGAAGACAGGAAAATGTGGAACCTCCTAGAGACTTGTTGAATGGCTTTGACAATAATGCTGACAATGATATGAACAATAAGGTCCAGGCTGAGGTGGTCTCAGATGGAGATGAGGAACTCGTTGGGAACTGGAGCAAGGGTGACTCTTGTTATGTTTTAGCAAAGAGACTAGCGGCATTTTGCCCCTGCCCTGGAGATTTGTGGAACTTTGAACTTGGGAGAGATGATTTAGGGTATCTGACAGAAGAAACTTCTAAGCAGCAAAGCATTCAAAAGGTGACTTAGGTGCTGTTAAAAGCATTCCACTTAAAAGGGAAACAACATAACAGTTCAGAAAATTTGCAGCCTGACGATGCAGCAGGAAAGAAAAACCCATTTTCTGAGGAGAAATTCAGGCTGGCTGCAGAAATTTGCACAAGTAGCAAGGAGCCTAATGTTAATCCCCAAGACCATGGGGAAAGTCTCCAGGCCATGCCAGAGACCTTCACAGCAGCCCATCTCATCACAGGCCCAGAGGTCCAGGAGGAAAAAGTTGTTTAGTGGGCTGGACCCAGCGTCCCCATGCTGTGTGCAGCCTAGGGACTTGGTGCCCTGTACCCCAACCACTCCAGCCATGGCTGAAAGGGGCCAACGTAGAGCTCAGGCTGTGGCTTCAGAAAGTGGAAGCCCCAAGCCTTGGCAGCTTCCATGTGGTGTTGAGCCTGCAAGTGCACAGAAGTAAATAATTGAGGCTTGGGAACCTCCACCTAGATTTCAGAAGATGTATGGAAACGCCTGGATGACCAGGCAAAATTTGCTGCAGGGGCAGGGCCCTCATGGAGAACCTCTGCTAGGGCAGTGCAGAAGGGAAATGTGGGGTCGGAACCCCCACACAGAGTCTCTACTGGGACACTGCCTAGAGGAGCTGTGAGAAGAGGGCCACTGTCCTCCAGACCTCAGAATGGCAGATCCACCAATAGCTTGTACTGTGCGCCTGGAAAAGCTATAGCCACTCCATGCCAGCCTGTGAAAGTAGCCAGGAGGGAGTCTGTACCCTGAAAAGCCACAGGGGCAGAGCTGCCCAAGACCATGGGAACCCACCTTTTACATCAGAGTGACCAGGAGGTGAGAGCTGGAGTCAAAGGAGATAATTTTGGAGCTTTAAAATTTGACTACCCTGTTAGATTTCAAACTTGCATGGGCCCCATAACCCCTTTGTTTTGGCCAGTTTCTCTCACTTGGAATGGCTGTATTTACCCAATACCTGTACCCCCATTGTATCTAGGATATAACTAGCTTGCTTTTGATTTTACAGGCTCATAGGCAGGAGGGACTTGCCTTGTCTCAGATGAGACTTTGGACTGTGGACTAATGCTGAAATGAATTAAGGCTTTGGGGGACTGTTAGGAAGACATGATTGATTTTGGAATGTGAGGACATGAGATTTGGAGGGTCCAGGGGTGGAATGATATGGTTTGGCTGTGTCCCCACTGAAATCTCAACTTGAGTTGAGAATTCCCAGAATTCTCACATGTTGTGGGAGGGACCCAGGGGGAGGTAATTGAGTTATGGGGGCTGGTCTTTCCATGCTATTCTCATGATAGTGAATAAGTCTCACAAGATCTGATGGGTTTATCAGGGGTTTCCACTTTTGCTGCTTCCTCATTTTTCTCTTGCTGCTGCCATGTAAGAAGTGCCTTTCACCTCCTGCCTTGATTCTGAGGCCTTCCCAGCCATGTGGAACTGTAAGTCCAATTAAACTTCTTTTTGTTTCCAGTTTCAGGTATGTCTTTATCAGCAGCATGAAAATAAACTAATACACATAGTTTGTAAATATTTTCTCTCATTATGTAGGTTGTCTGTTTACTTAGGTCTCACTTGTCAATTTTTGTTGTTGTTGCAATTTCTTTTGGAATCTTTATCATAAAATATTTGCCAGGGTCAATGCCAGAATGCTATTTCCTTGGCTTTCTTCTAGGTTTTTTATAGATTGAGATTTTGTATTAAGTCTTTAATCCACCTTGAGCTGATTTTTGTATATGGTGAAAGGTAGGGGCTCAGTTTTAATCTTCCATATATGGTTGGCTGGTTATTCCAGCACCATTTAATGAATAGGCAGTTCTTTCCCCAGTGCTTGTTATTGTTGACTTTGCAAAGATCAGATGATTGTAGGTGTGCAGCTTTATTTCTGGGTACTGTATTCTGTTCCATTAATCTGTGTCTGTTTTTGTACCAGTCCCATGCTGTTTTAGTTCCTGTAGCCTTGTAAATTAGTTTGAAGAAACGTAGTATGATGCCTCCAGCTTTGCTCTTTTTGTTTAGAATGTGAATTAACTTTTTGATTTACTATTACATTTGGTTTGCTGGTATTGTGTTGAGGATTTTTGCATTTATGTTCATCAGAGATGTCACCTGTTCTTTTTGCATTATGTTTTTGCTAGGTTTTAGTATCAGGGTAATGCTGGTTTCATAGTTTCAGTAGAATTGGTACTAGGTCTTTGTATGTTTGATAGAATTTGAGTGTAAATTCACTTGGTCTAGGGATTTTTTTGGTTGGTAGGATTTTTATTACTGATTCAATTTTGAGACTCCATATTAGTCTGTTCAGTGTTTTACTTTCTTTCTGATTCAGTCTTGGGAGATTGTGTGTTTTCAGGAATTTATCTATTTCCTCTAGATTTTCTAGTTTGTGTTCATAAAGGTATTCATAATAGCCTCTGAGAATGTTTTGTATTTCTCTGGGATCAGTTGTAATGTCACCTTTGTTGTTTCTGATTTTGCTTATTTAGAGCTTCTCTTTTTCTTTGTTAATCTAGCTACTGGTCTATGGATCTTGTTTATTCTTTCAAAAATCAACTTTTGGTTTTACTAATTCTTTGTATGGATTTTTGAATCTCGATTTCATTGTGTTCCACTCTGATTTTACATATTTGTTTTCTTCTGCTAGCTTTCGAATTAATTCTTGTTTTTCTATTTCCTCTAGATGTGAAGGTAGAGCATTAGTTTGAGATCATTCTGACTTTTTGGGCAGGCATTTAGCTCTATAAACTTTCTGCTTAACACTGCTTTTGCTGCATCCCAGAGACTTTGGTATATTGCATCTCTGTTTTCATTTATTTCAAATAATTTTTAAATTTCTGCCTTGATTTCATTGTTTACCTGAAAGTAATTCAGGATCAAGTTGTTCTTTTCTTTTCTTTCTTTCTTATTTTATTTATTTATTTTTTAGACAGAGTCTTGCTCTGTCACCCAGGTTGGAGTGCAGTGGTGCAATCTTGGCTCACTGCAACTTCTGCCTTCCGGGTTCAAGCGATTGTCCTGCCTCAGCCTCCTGAGTAGCTGGGCTTACAGGTGCACACCACCATGCCTGGTTAATTTTTGTATTTTTAGTAGAGATGGGGTTTCACCATATTGGTCAGGCTGGTCTCGAACTCCTGACCTCATGATCTGCCCACCTCAGCCTCCCAAAGTGCTGGGGTCTATGTAACAGTGTGGTTTTGAGGGATCTTCTGAGTATTGATTTCTATTTTTATTCTACTGTAGTCTAAGAATATGATAGGAATAATTTCTTTTTTTTAAATTTATCGAGACTTGCTTTATGGCTGAACATTGGTAGATCTTGGAGTATTTTCTGTGTGCAGATGAGAAGAATATATAGTCTATGGTTGGTGGGTGGATTATTCTGTAGTTTTCTATTAGGTCCAATGGACGAAGTGTCAAGTTTACATACAGAATTTCTTTGTTAGTTTCCTAACTTGACAATCTCTCTAAAGCTGTCAGTGGGGTGTTGAAATTTTCCACTATTATTCTGTGGCTGTTTAAGTCTTTTAGGTCTAGAAGTACTTTCATTACTTATATGGGTGCTGTAATGTAGGGTGCATATATATTTAGGATAGTTAAGCCTTCTTTATGAATTGAACCCTTTTTCATTATGTAATGCCTTTCTTTGTCCTTTTTTACTGTTGCTAAAGTCTGTTGTGTCTGATATAAGAATAATGACCCCTGTTCTTTTTTGTTTTCCATTTGCATCATAGAATTTTCTCCAACCCTTTACTTTGAGCCTATTGGTGCTGTTATGTTTGAGATGGGTCTCTTGAGGACAGGAGATATATGGGTGGTCTTCTTTTTTTAATCCGACTTGCCACTCTGCCTTTTAAGTAGGGTGTTTAGACTATTTACATTGAAGGTTAATATTAATATGTGAAGTTTTGATCCTATCATGAAGGTGTTAGCTGGTTGCTTTATGGTTTCTATTTTGTGGTTATTTCATAGGGTCTGTAGGCTATGTACTTATGTGTGTTTTTCTGGTAGCAAGTATTGTTCTTTTGTTTCCATGTTTAGAACTCCCTTAAGAATCTCTTGTAAGGCTGGCCTAGTGGTAACGAATTCCCATAACACTTGCTTCTCTGGAAAATATTTTATTTCTCCTTTGCTTAATTTGGTGGGGTATGAAATTCTCAGTTGAATTTTTATCTTTAAAAATGCTGAAAGTAAGTGCCCAGTCCCTCCTGGCTTGTAAGGTTTCTGCTGAAATCCACTGTTAGCCTAATGAGGTTTCTTTCATATGTGATCTGTCCTTTTTCTCTAGCTACCTTTAAGATCTTTTCTTTAGTGTTGACTTTGGACAGTCTGGTGGCTATATACCTTGGTAGGGTTCATTTTGTATAGTATCTCACCAGTGTTCTCTGGATTTTTTGTATCTGGATGCCTACCTCTCTAGCATGATTAGGAAAATTATTCTTTCAAATATATTTTTTCAGGTTGTTTACTTTTTCTCCTCTCTCAGGAATGCCAATAATTTGTAGGTTTGGGAATTTTACATAATCCCATATTTCTCAAATACTTTGTATATTGTTAAAAATTCTATTTTCTTTATTTTTGTCTGATTGGGTTAGTTTGAAAGACCAGTCTCCAAATTCTGAAATTATTTCTTCTGCTTGGTCTAATCTATTGATAAGGCTTTCAATTGTATTTTGAAATTCCTTAAGTGAGTTTTTCAATTCTGGAATCTCTGATTGATTCCTTTTTAAGATGTCTGTCTCTTCATTTCCTGGATTGCTTTAGAAATGTATTTCTGTTGATTGTCAAGCTTGTCTCGAATCTCACTGAGATTTTTTGCAACCCATGCTTTGAATTATTTATCAATAATTTTCAGTTTTCACATTGGTTAGGGACCATTACTAGAGAGCAAATGCAATTCTTTAATGGTGCCACTACATTTAGATTTTTCATGGTTCCAAAATTTTTACACTGGTTTCTTCTCATCTAGAGATGCTGGCATTTCTAATTTTTGTAATTATTTTCATGCAACTAGATTTTTTTCTTTTTCTTTCTTTCCCTATATTATTATTATTTTCTTTCTCTTTTTCTTTCCCCCCTCTCTAGGGGGTGTGACAGTAGAGAAAGCTGCATAGGATCCTTTAGTTTTGCTACTATAGCCCTATGCACTTCTTTTGGCAGGTTTTATATTGCATTGTGTAGTCTGACTTACAAGCTTGTAGATGGCAATTATACATAAGAGCCAGCTGTGGCCAATGTGGCTTAGTATATACTTAATATACTTTGAATATGTGTCCTCGCCAAATCTCATAGTGAGATGTAATCCCCAGTATTAAAGTTTAGGCCTGGTGGGAGGTTATTGGATCATTGGGGTGGATTTTTCATGAATGGTTTAGTACCATACACTTGCTTGCTCTTCTCATGATATGAGTTCTCGTGAGATCTGGTCTTTCAAAAGTGTGTGTCACCTCCCCCCCAAACTCTCTCTCTCTCTTGCTCCTGCTCCCACCATATGAGATGCCTGCTTCTCCTTTGTCTTCCACCACGATTGTAAGCTTCGTGATGCCTCACCAGAAGCCAAGCAAATGCCAGCACTATAACTGCCCAGTGGGTTCACCTTACCCACTGCCTAGACAGAGTTGATTTATCAAGACAGAGAAATTGCAATGGAGAAAGAATAATCCACATAGACCGGCCATGCAGGAGACTGGAGTTTTATTATTACTCAAATCAGTCTCCCTGAGCATTAGGGGATTGGAGTTTTTAAAGATAATTTGGCAGGTAGGGATTCGGGAAGTGGGGACTGCTGATTGGTCAGGTTGGAGATGAAATCATAGAAGGGTTGAAGTGAGGTTTTCTTGCTGTCTTCTGTTCCTGGGTGGGATCACAGAACTGGTTGAGCCAGATTACCCTCTGGGTAGTGTAAACTGATCCATTGTGCAGGGTCTGCAACATATCATAAGCACCAATCTTAGGTTCTACGATACTGATGTTATGCCCAGGAGCAATTTGGAGAGGTTCAGACTCTTGAAGCCAGAGGCTGCATGACTCCTAAACTGTAGTAATTTCTAGTCTTGTAGATAATTTGTTAGTCTGACGAAGACAGACTAGTTCCCAGGTGAGGAGGGTCTTTTTGGGAAAGAAGTATTATCAATTTTGTTTCAGAGTCAAATCATAAACTGAATTTTTTCCCAAGGTTCAGCCTATGCTCAGGAATGAACAAAGACAGCTTAAGGGTTAGAGGTAAGATGGAGCTGGTTAGGTCTAATCTCTTTCATTGTCATAATTGTCCCAGTTATAATTTTTGCATAGGAGGTTTCAGCACCACACTTCCTGTAAAGCTTACAGAACCATGAGCTGATTAAACTTCTTTTCTTTATAAATTACCCAGTCTCAGGTATTTCTTTATAGTAGTGCAAAAACAGTCTAATACAGAAAATTGATGCCAGGAGTGGGGAATAGCTATAAAGATACCTAAAAATGTGGAAGCAGCTTTGGAATTGGGTAACAGGCAGAGTTTGGAAAAGTTTGGTGGGCTCAGAAAAAGACAGGAAGATGTGGGAAAGTTTGGAACTTCTTAGGGACTGGTTCAATTGTTGTGACCAAAATGCTGATGGAGATATGGACAATGAAGTCCAGGCTGAGGAAGTCTCAGATAGAAATGAGAAACTTATTGGGAACTGGAGTAAAGGTCACACATGTTATGCCTTAGCAAAGAGGTTGGCTGGATTGTGTTCATGCCCTAAGGATCTGTGGAACTTTGGACTTCAGAATTATGATTTAGGGTATCTGGCAGAAGAAGTTTCTAAGCAACAAAGCATTCAATAAGTGATCTGGCTGCTTCTAAGGGCTTATACTCGGATGTGGGAATGAAGAAATGACTTAAAATTGGAATACACATTTCAAAGGGAAGCAGAGCATAAAAGTTTGTAATATTTGCAGAATGGCCATGTGGCAGAGAAAGATAAAGCTTTTTCAGGAGAGAAATTGAAGCAGGCAGTGGAGCAATCACTTGCTAGAGAAATTTGTATATGTAAAAAAGGCTCAAGTGCTAACAGCCAAGACAATGGGAAAAAGACCTTGAAGCCATTTCAGAAATCTTCCAGGCTCCCCCTCCCATTGTTAGCCCTGAGGCCTAGGAGGACTGAATGGTTCTGGGAGTCAGGCCCAGGGACACATTACTGTGTGCAGCTTCATGACACTGCTCCCCATATCCCAGCCACTCCAGTCATGGCTCAAAGGCACTCAGGTACAGCTGCCACTTTGGATAATATAAGCCATAAGCCTTGGCAGTTTGCATTTGGTGTTAAGCCTGCAGGTGTAAAGAGTGCAGGAATGTATGAGACTTGGCAGCCTCTGCCTAGATTTCAGAGGATATATACAAAACCCTGAGTGCTCAGGCAGAAGTCCACTGCAAGGGCAGAGCCCTCACAGAGAACATCTGCTGGGGCAGTATGGAGGGGAAACGTGGGGTTGGAGGGCCTACAGAGTCCCTGCTGGCGCATTACTTAGTGGAGCTGTGGGAACTAGGCCACTGTCTTCCAGACCCCAGAATGGTAGATCCACTGGCACTTGCACCCTCTGTGTGGAAAAGCTGCAGGCACTCAATTCCAATCCATAAAAGCAGCCTCAGGAGATAAACCCTGCGAAGCCACAGCAGCAGAGCTTCTCCAGGCCTTGGGAGCCCACTGCTGCTATCAGTGTGCTTTGGATGTAGTACATAGACTCAAAGGAGACTGTTTAAGAGGTTTAAGATTTAATGACTGCCCTGCTGAGTTTTGGACTTACATGGGGCCTTGTAGTCCCTTTCTTTTGGCTGATTTCTCCCTTTTGCAATAGAATGTTTACCCAATGCCTGTACCTCCATTGTATCTTGGATGTAAATAACTTGTTCTTGATTTTACCGGCCCATAGGTGGAAGGGATTCACCTTTTCTCAGATGAGACTTTTCACTTTGGGTTTTTGAGGAAGACTTTGGGGGATTATTGAGAAGGTATGATTGTATTTTAAACTGTGATGACATGAGCTTTGGGGAGCCAGGTGAGGAATGATATAGTTTGGATATTTGTCTTCACCCAAATCTCATGTTGAAATGTCATCTCCAATGTTGGAGGTGGAGGCTAGTGGGAGGTGATTGGATCATGGGGGTAGATTTCTCAAGAATGGTTTAGCACCATCCCCTTGCTTTGTGCAAGAACTCACTATTTGTGAGTAGTTTAAAACTGTGTGGTAGGCATGGTGGCTCACACCTGTAATCCCAGCATTTTGGGAGGCTGAGGCAGGTGGATCACCTGAGGGTCAGGAGTTTGAGATCAGCCTGACCAACAAGGTGAAACCCTGTCTCTACTAAAAATCCAAAAATTAGCTGGGTGTGGTGGTGTGCACCTGTAATCCCAGCTACTTGGGAGGCTGAGGCAGGAGAATCACTTGAGCCCAGGAGGTGGAGGTTGCAGTGAGCTGAGATCGTACTATTGCACTCCAGCCTGGGCAACAAGAGTGAAATTCTATCTATCTCAAAAAAGATTAAAAAAACTCTTTGGTGCCTCCCGCCCCCCTCTTGCTCCCATTTTGTGAGATGCCTGTACCTCTTTCACCTTCTGACACGATTGTAAGCTTCCTGAGGCCTTTCTAGAAGCTGAGTAGATGCCAACATCATGCTTTCTGTAAGGCCTTCTCTGAACCATGAGCCAATTGAACATCTTTTCTATTAAAATTACCCAGTCTCAGATATTTCTTTATAGCAATTCAAGAGTAGCCTAAAACAATACTTGATCCTTGTTTACTGGCAGAAGCTTTCTTTTGCCTCAGGCAATGGCCCAATTTGTGAAATGCACAGTGGTCTGAGCTCCCCGCTCAGCCTCAGGGGCTAGGGGAAAGATACGTAGTGCTGGGCTGGAGAAGTTTGCCTACAGATCTGCCGATGGCAGGCACAAGCACCAACACTGAGGGAGAATCCAGTGCTGCCACCAAATGCCCAGTCTTTTGCCTAGACATGGAGCTGGGAAACATCTTTGGCCTCAAGCTCTCCACACATGGATGGTAGGAAGGGGACAGGCTAAACTCCTAATCTAGGAGAGTGGGTGCTCTAGATGCCTGCATGTCTGCCTGGATGTGAAGCAAAGAGGGCCCCCCTGTGGCAAGATCTGTAGAGGAGGTGTAGGGTGACTCAATCTGATAAACAAGACAAGCTGGTGTTATGAATGCCATGCCTAGAGTTCTTCCTGGGCATATACCAGAGAGGGCCCCCCATAGCAGGAACCTTGCATGGGAAGGGTAGTGTGGCTCAGGCTGCTTAACCAGGTGAGTGGGTGTTCTGAAGTTCTGGTGATCTGCCTGGGCGTGAAGCAGAGAGGGTCCTCTTGTACTAAGATGTCTGCATAGAAAGAGTGGGGCAGCTCAGGCTGCTGATCCAGGTGAGCAGTTGCTGCAAATGCCTGGAGATCTGCCTGGGCTGGAGCAGAGAAGGCCCTGTTGCACCACAATCTATGTCCATGAATGGTGGGGCAGGTCAAAGCTGTTGATCCAGGCAAGTGGGTGTTTAAAATACCTTCAGATCTGCCTGGTCTTGGAGCAAATGTGAAAACCCCTCTGCACCATGATCTATGCCTAGGAAAGGTACGGTGGGTAAGGCTGCTGATCTAAGCAAACAAATGCTTCAAATGCTTGGATTTCTGCCTGGCTGTGAAGCAGAGAAGGCCCTGTTTCACCATGATCTCGGGGGAGCTGTGTGGGGCACCCAGCAATGACAAACAGAAATCAGTTCCAGGTTGTCAAGCTGGTCCTAGCTGCAAGTCTCCCCACCCAGGAGAAACTGCAGCTGTAGCAGCTCCCCTCTTGCCCTAGACTTGTGACAGAGGGGAGCACAATTCTAGCACCTACTCTTGAAGCACTTTCCACAGTTCTGGTCATGGAGGACCATAGCCCACTGCAGAGCAGACTCCCCGATCTCTGGCCCAAGACTAAAAATACTTGCTCAGTGACACTGCCAGGTTGCTAAAGAATGGCTGACTTTATATGCTCAGATTAAAAACGGCATCCTGCTCTCAGTCTTAGCTCTGGGAGTGTCTCCAAGCCTTTCTCCTAGTTAGCTCCAGGGCTCAGAAGAAACAAAGTGCTCTCCCTCAGCCTGGTTTGCTCAGATCCCCAGTGGAAAGGGGAGTCACAGGAGGCTCTCTGCCTCTTTCGTGTACTGGGGCTTCATTCACTTCTATCAGCTGGACACCATCACAGGGACTGTTTGTCGGCATTCTCCTTTCCAGGATCTGGGGTGTCCTTCACAATTCTGGTGGTTTCTCATTTTCCTTCTTGAATTAAAGTTCACATAGTTGAACTTTACTCTGTTGCTA
Organism: Homo sapiens; assembly: GCF_000001405.40. Lineage (NCBI taxonomy): Eukaryota > Metazoa > Chordata > Mammalia > Primates > Hominidae > Homo > Homo sapiens. Next base: position 47,574,448 of record NC_000013.11, on the reverse strand, counting down.
TTTCCAAGTGGCTGAGGCATACTGAAAGCCTTTAATCTGCCATCTTGGGGAAAATAAAACCTTATTTTTATTTTACAGCATGCTCCTACTTATAAAAAATATTAACTGTAAAACAGCTTCAGGCAGGTCCTTTGGAAGATATTCCAGAAGAAGGCATTGTTATCATAGGACATGACAGCTCATGCATGTTATTGCCCCTAAAAACCTTCCTTTGGAATGAGATGTGGAAGTGAGAGACAGTGATATTGATAATGCTGACCCTGTGTAGGCCTAGACCAATATGAATGTTTGTGTTCTGGCTTTTAAGAAAAATGTTTAAAAAGCAAAAAAATAAAACTTAAAAACAGAAAAATGTGTATAGAATAAGGATATAAAGAAGACATTTTTGTACATCTGTACAATGTATTTGTGTTTTAAGCTAATTATTTTTATAAAAGTCCAAGAGGCTTAACAAATAAAAAGTTATTTAAAAATTACATTAAGCTAAAGTTTTTGAAGAAAAATACTTTTTATAAATTTTGTGTGTCTAAGTGTACAATGTTTATAAAGTTTACAGCAGTGTCCATAATACTAGGCCTTCACTTTATTCTCCACTCACTCACTGGCTCACCCAAAGCAACTGCCAATCCTGCAAGCTCCATTCATAGTAACTGTATTAGTCCATTCTCACGCTGCTATGAAGAGATACCTGAGACTGTGTAATTTATAAAGGAAAGAGGTTTAATTAATTTACAGTCCTGCAGGGCCTGGGAGGCCCCAGGAAACTTACAATTATGGCAGAAAGGTTAAGCAAACACGTTCTTCTTCACATGGTGGCAGGAGGCAGGAGAGAGAAATGCTGAGTGAAGTGGGGAAAAGCCCCTTATAAAACCATCAGATCTCATGAGAACTCACTATCATAGGAACAGCATGGAGTAGCCACCTCCATGATATAATGACCTAATCACCTCCCATGAGGTCCCTACCCCAACATGTGGGGATTATAATATGGATTACAATTCAAGATGAGATTTGGATGGGAACTCAGAGCCAGACCATATCATTCTGCCCCTGGCCCTCCCAAATCTCATCTTTCTCACATTTTAAAACACAATGATGCCTTTCCAACAGTTCCCCAAAGTCTTAACTCATTTCAGCATTAACCCAAATGTCCAAGTCCGAAGTCTCATCTGAGACAAGGCAAGTCCCTTCATCCCATGAACCTGTAAAATCAAAAGCAAGTTAATTACTTCCTAGATACAGTGCAGGGTAGAGGCATTGGGTAAATGCACCTGCACCAATGGGAGAAACTGGCCAAAACAAAGGGGCTACAAGTCCCATGCAAGTCTGAAATCCAATAGGGCAGTCATTAAACCTTAAACTTCCAAAACAGTCTTCGTTGACTCCATGTCTTATATTCAGGTCACATTGATGCAAGAGGTAGGCTCCTAAGACCTTGGGCAACTCTGGGCCTGTGAATTTGCAGTGTACAGCCCCAGTCCTGGCTGCTTTCATGGGCTAGCATTGAGTGTCTGCAGCTTTTCCAGGTGCATGATGCAAGCTGTCAATGGACCTACCATTCTGGGGTCTGGAGGATGGTGGCCATCTTCTCAAAGCTTCACTAGGCAGTACCCCAGTGGGGACCCTGGCGGCGGGGGGCTTCAATTCTATATTTCCCTTCTGCACTGCCCTAATAGAGGTTCTTCATGCAGGCATCACCACTGCAGCAACTTTTGCCTAGACATTCAGGTGTTTCCATATATCCTCTGAAATCTAGGAGGTTCTCTAACCTCAATTCCTGACTTCATGCACCTGTAGGACCAACACTGTGTGGGAACTGCCAAGGCTTGGGGCTTGCACCCTATGAAGCAACAGCCTGATCTGTACTTTGGCCCCTTTTAGCCATGGCTGGACTGGCTGGGACACAGGGCACAAGTCCCAGGCTGCACACAGCAGGGGGCCTTGGGCCCAGCCAACAAAACCGTTTTTCCCTCCTAGGTGTCTGGGCCTGTGATGGGAGGGGCTTCTGTGAAGGTCTCTGACATGCCCTGGAGACATTTTCCCTATTGTCTTGGTGGTTAACATTCAGTTCGTCATTACTTATGCAAATTTCTGTAGCAAGCTTGAATTTCTCCACAGAAAATGGATTTTTCTTTTCTACTGAATCATCAGGCTGCAAGTTTATCAAACTTTTATTCTCTGCTTCCCTTTTAAACAAAAGTTTTAATTCCAGCCCATATCTTTGTGAATGCATAAAACTGAATGCTTTTAAGAGCATCCAAGTCACCTCTTAAATGCTTTGCTGCTTAAAAGTTTCTTCCGCTAAATATCCTAAATTATCTCTCAAGTTCAAAGTGCTACAGATCTGTAGGACAGGGACAAAATGCCACCTTTTTGCAAAAGCATGGCAAGAGTCGCCTTTACTTTAGTTCCCAAGAAGTTCCTCATCTCCATCTGAGACCACCTCTGCCTGTTCTTCATTGTCCATATCATTATCAGCATTTTGTTCAAAACCATTCAAAGAGTCTCTAGGAAGTTCCAAACTTTCCCACATCTTCCTGTCTACTGAGCCCTCCAAGTATCTAGGAAGTTCCAAACTTTCCCATATTTTCCTGTCTTCTTCTGAGCCCTCCAAACTGTTCCAATCTCTGCCTGTTACCCAGTTCCAAAGTTGCTTCCACATTTTCAAGTATCATAGCAGTACCCCACTATCTCAGTACCAATTTACTGTATTAGTTTGTTCTTATGCTGCTATGAAGAAATACCCCAAGACTGGGTAATTTATAAATGAAAGAGGTTTAATTGACTTACAGTTCTGCATGGCTGGAGAGGCCTCAGTAAACTTACATTTATAGTGGAATGGGAAGTGAACACGTCCTTCTTCACATGGTGGCAGGAGAGAGAAGTTCAGAGCAAAGCAGGGAAAAGCCCCTTATGAAACCATCAAATCTCATGAGAACTCACTATCATGAGAACAGCATGGGGGAACCACCTCCATGATCTAGTCACCTCCCATGAGGTCCCTCCCCCAACATGTGGGGATTACAATTTTGATTACAATTTAAGATGAAATTTAGTTGAGGACACAGAGCCAGGCCATATCACTGTCTTATACAGGTATACCATTTGTCTTTTATACTGTATTTTTACTGTACATTTTCTATATTTAGATGTGTTTTGATACCCAAATACCATTGTGTTACAGTTGCTTACAGTATTCAGTGAAGTAACATGCTGTACAGGTGGGTAGCCTAGGAGCTTAGACATTGTACACACATCATAGAGTGGACTTACACAAACCTATATGGTATAGCCTACTACACACCTTGGCTATATAGGGATTAGTTTAAAAAGGGACAGCTCTTTAGACACTAGGAAATAACCTCCCCATAGAGAGTAAAACACTACATAACAATAGCTGGCCTAAAATCAGCCATCAATTAAGAAAGCGTTTAAGCTCAACATTCATATGTTCTTAATCCCAAACAATTTACCTAGCTCCTAGCACCACATTGCACTAATCTATTATTTAATAGAAGAAATACTGTTAGTATAAGTAACAAGAACTCATTCTCCCTGCATAAGCTTACATCAGACCAGAAAATCTGATAATTAACAACTCAATATTAATAAATAACAGGCTGGGTGTGGTGGCTCAAGCCTGTAATCTCAGCACTTTAGGAGGGCTAGGTAGGCAGGTCATGAGGTCAGGAGTTTGAGACCAGCCTGACCAAGATGGTGAAACCCCATCTCTACTAAAATCACAAAAATTAGCTGGGCGTGGTGGCATGCACCTGTAATCTCAGCTACTCAGGAGGCTGAAGCAGGAGAATTGCTTGAACTCAGGAGGCGAAGGTTGCAGTGAGCCAAGATTGCACCTCTGCACTCCAGCCTGGGCGACAGAGCGAGACTCTGTCTCAATAAATAAATAAATAAATAAATAAAAATAAATAACAAACCTTATAGCCTAGGTGTGTAGTAGGCTGTACTATCTAGGTTTGTGTAAGTCCACCCTGTTGTTTCGCACAAGGAAGAAATCATCTAAGGATGCATTTCTCAAAATGTATCCCCATCATTAAGTGATATATGGCTATATTTCATTCATTTTGTTCATTGTTTTAGGAAGGCGAATAAATCTGTCAGAAGTAGAGGTCTTAAATTAGTCTTGAAATGCTTTAAATCAATTAAACTGCCCCATCTTGACACAGCATCTCTGGAGAATCATTTCAGAGAGAAATGGAGCTCTTTAGAAAAGTGAATCCTCATTTTACAAATGTGGAAATATAGGATAAGGGAGGTTGAGTAGTGTGTCCAAGGCCACAAAGCCTGTGGCAGAGTCAAAGTTGGAATGTAGAACTTCATATTAGGGCATATTCTACAATAAGAAACTCTTAGCAGAATAAAATTAATTAATCTCACTGATTGAATGCTAATTCTCTTTAGGCTATTTTTTTTTTTGTTTAAGTTCTGGGGTACATTTGCAAAATGTGCAGGTTTGTTGCATAGGTATACACATGCCATGGTGGTTTGCTGCACCCATCAACCCGTCATCTACATTAGGTACTTCTCCTAATGCTATCCCTCCCCTAGCCCTCCACCCCCTGACAGGCCCCAGTGTGTGATGCCTCCACCGCCGTGTCCATGTGTTCTCATTGTTCAACTCCCAATTATGAGTGAGAACATGCAGTGTTTGGTTTTTTGTTCTTGTGTTAGTTTGCTGAGAATAGTGGTTTCCAGCTACATCCATGTCCCTGCAAAGGACATGAACTCATCCTTTTTTATGGCTGCATAGTATTCCATGGTGTATATGTGCCACATTTTCTTTATCCAATCTATCATTGATGGACATTTGGGTTGGTTCCAAGTCTTTGCTATCGTGGACAGTGGCACAATAAACATATGTGTGCATGTATCCTTATAGTAGAATGATTTATAATCCTTTGGATATATGACCAGTAATGGGATAGCTGGGTCAAATGGTATTTCTAGTTCTAGATACTTGAGGAATCGCCACACTGTCTTCCACAATAGTTGAACTAATTTACACTCCCACCAAAGTGTAAAAGTGTTCCTATTTCTCCACATCCTCTCCAGCATCTGTTGTTTCCTGACTTTTTAATGATCACCATTCTAACTGGTGTGAGATGGTATCACATTGTGGGTGGTTTTGATTTACATTTCTCTAATGACCAATGATGAGCTTTTTTTCATGTTTGTTGGCTGCATAAATGTGTTCTTTTGAAAAGTGTCTGTTCATATCCTTCACCCACTTTTTGATGGAGTTATTTTTTTTTTCTTGTAAATTTAAGTTCTTTGTAGAGTTTGGATATTAGCCCTTTGTCAGATGGATAGATTGCAAAATTTTTCTCCCATTCTGTAGGTTTCCTGTTCACTCCAATGATAGTTTCTTTTGCTGTGCAGAAACTCTTTAATTAGATCCTATTTGTCAATTTTGGCTTTTATTGCCATTGCTTTTGGTGTTTTAGTCATGAAGTCTTTGCCAATGTCTATGTCCTGAATCATATTGCCCAGATATTCTTCGAGAGTTTTTATGGTTTTAGGTCTTATGTTTAATTCTTTAATCCATCTTAATTTTTGTATCAGGTGTAAAGAAGGGATTGAGCTATAGCTTTCTGCATGTGGCTAGCCAGTTTTCCCAACACTATTTATTAAATAGGGAATCCTTTCTCCATCGCTTGTTTTTGTCAGGTTTGTCAAAGATCAGATGGTTGTAGATGTGTGGTGTTATTTCTGAGACCTCTGTTCTTTTCCACTGGTCTGTATATCTGTTTTGGTACCAGTACCATGCTGTATTTGTTACCATAGCCTTATAGTATAGTTTGAAGTAAGGTAGCATGATGCCTTCAGCTTTGTTCTTTTGGCTTAGGATTGTCTTGGCTATGCAGGCTCTTTTTTCATTCCATATAAAATTTATGGTAGTTTTTTCTAGTTCTGAGAAGAAAGTCAATGGTAGATTGATGGGGATAGCATTGAATCTATAAATTACTTTGGGCAGTTGGCCATTTTCACGATATTGATTCTTCCTATTAATGAACATGGCATGTTTTTCCATTTGTTTGTGTCTTCTCTTATTTCCTTGAGCAGTGGTTTGTAGTTCTCCTAGAAGAGGTCCTTCATATCCCTTTTAAGTTGGATTCCTAGGTGTTCCATTTTCTTTGTAGCAATTGTGAATGGCAGTTCACTTATGATTTGGCTGTTTGTCTGTTCGTGTGTAGGAATGCTTGTGATTTTTGCACATTGATTTTGTATCCTGAGACTTTGCTGAAGTTGCTTATCAGCTTAAGGAGATTTTGGGCTGAGTTAATTGGGTTTGCTAAATAGACAATCATGTCATCTGCAAACAGAGACAATTTGACTTCCTCTTTTCCTAACTGAATACCCTTTATTTCTTTCTCTTGCCTGATTGCTCTGGCCAGAACGTCCAATACTGTGTTGAATGGGAGTGGTGAGAGAGGGCATCCTTGTCTTGTGCTGGTTTTCAAAGGGAATGCTTCCAGTTTTTGTCCATTCAGTATGATATTGGCTGTGGGTTTGTCATAAATAGCTCTTATTATTTTGAGATACGTTCCATCAATACCTAGTTTATTGACAGTTTTTGGCATGAAATGCTGTTGAATTTTGTCAAAGGCCTTTTCTGAATCTATTGAGATAATTATGTGGTTTTTGCCATTGGTTCTGTTTATGTGATGGATTACGTTTATTGATTTGTGTATGTTGAACCAACCTTGCCTTCCAGGGATGAAGCTGACTTGATCATAGTGGATAAGCTTTTTGATGTGCTGCTTGATTTGGTTTGCCAGTATTTTATTGAGGATTTTTGCTTCGATGTTCATGAGGGATATTGGCCTGAAATTTTCTTTTTTTCTTGTGTTTCTGCCAGGTTTTGGTATCAGGATGATGCTGGCCTTGTAAAATGAGTTAGGGAGGATACCCTCTTTTTCTATTGATTGAAGTAGTTTCAGAAGGAATGGTACCAGTTCCTCTTTGTACCTCTGGTAGAATTTGGCTGTGAATCCATCTGGTCCTGGACTTTTTTGGGTTAGTAGGCTATTAATTACTGCTTCAATTTCAGAAGTTGTTATTTGTCTAATCAGGGATTTGACTTCTTCCTGGTTTAGTCTTGGGAGGGTGTATGTGTCCAGGAATTTATCCATTTCTTCTAGATTTTCTAGTTTATTTGCATAGAGTTGTTTACAGTGTTCTCTGATAGTAGTTTGTATTTCTGTGGGATCAGTGATGATATCCCTTTTATCATTTTTTATTGCATCTATTTGATTCTTCTCTCTTTTCTTTATTAGTCTGGCTAGCTCTCTATTTTGTTGATCTTTTCAAACAACCATCTCCTAAATTCATTGATTTTTTTTGGAGGGTTTTTTTTGTGTCTCTATCTCCTTCAGTTCTGCTCCGATCTTAGCTATTTTTTGTCTTCTGCTAGCTTTTGAATTTGTTTGCTTTTGCTTCTCTAGTTCTTTTTATTGTGATGTTAAGCTCTTGATGTTAGATCTTTCCTGCTTTCTCTTGTGGGCATTTAGTCCTATAAATTTCCCTCTACACACTGCTTTAAATGTGTCCCAGAGATTCTGGTACAGTGTGTCTTTGTTCTCATTGGTTTCAGAGAACATCTTTATTTCTGCCTTAATTTTGTTATTTACCCAGGAGTCATTTAGGAGCAGATTGTTCAGTTTTCATGTAGTTTTGTGGTTTTGAGTGAGTTTCTTAATCCTGAGTTCTAATTTGATTGTGCTGTGCTCTGAGAGACTGTTATGACTTCAGTTCTTTTGCATTTGCTGAGGAGTGTTTTACTTCCAATTATGTGGTCAGTTTTTAGAATAAGTGTGATCTGGTGCTGAGAAGAATGTATATTCTGTTGATTTGCAGTGGAGAGTTCTGTAGATGTCTACTCAGTCTGCTTGGTCCAGAGCTGAGTACACGTCCTGAATATCCTTGTTAATTTTCTGTCTTACTGATCTGTCTAATATTGACAGTGGGGTGTTAAAGTATCCCGCTATTATTTTGTGGGAGTCTAAGTCTCTTTTTAGGTCTCTGCAAACTTGCTTTATGAATCTGGGTGCTCGTGTATTGGGTGCATATATATTTAGGACAGTTAGCTCTTCTTGTTGCATTGATCCCTTTACCATTATGTAATGCCCTTCTTTGTCTTTTTTGATCTTTGTTGAAGTCTGTTTTATCAGAGACTAGGATCGCAACCCCTGCTATTTTTGCTTTCCATTTGCTTGGTAAATATTCCTCTATCCCTTTATTCTGAGCCTGTGTGTGTCTTTGTCTGTGAGATGGGTCTCCTGAATATGGCACACTGATGGGTCTTGACTCTATCCAATTTGTCAGTCTGTGTCTTTTAATTGGGGCATTTAGCCCATTTACCTTTAAGGTTAATATTGTTATGTATGAATTTGATCCTGTCATTATGATGCTAGCAGGTTATTTTGTCTGTTAGTTGATGCAGTTTCTTCATAGCGTCAATGGTCTTTACAATTTGGTATGTTTTTGCAGTGGCTAGTACCAGTTGTTCCTTTCCATGTTTAGTGCTTCCTTCAGGAGCTCTTGTAAGGCAGGTCTGGTGGTGACAAAATCTCTTAGCATTTGCTTGTCTATAACAGATTTTATTTCTCTTTCATGTATGAAGCTTATTTGGCTGGATATGAAATTCTTGGTTGAAAATTCTTTTCTTTAAGAATGTTGAATATTTGTCTTCACTCTCTTCTGGCTTGTAGGGTTTCTGCAGTGAGATCCACTGTTAGTCTGATGGGCTTCCCTTTGTGGGTAACCCAACATTTCTCTTTGGCTGCCCTTAACATTTTTCCCTTCATTTCAACCTTGGTGAATCTGACAATTATGTGTCTTGGGGTTGCTCTTCTTGAGGAGTATCTTTGTGGTGTTGTCTGTATTTTCTGAATTTGAATGATGGCCTGCCTTGCTAGGTTGGGGAAGTTCTCCTGGATAATATCCTGAAGAGTATTTTCCAACTTGGTTCCATTCTCCTCGTCACTTTCAGATACACCAATCAAATGTAGATTTGGTCTTTTCACATAGTCCTGTATTTCTTGGAGGCTTTCTTTCCACTCTAATCTTGTCTTCTTGCTTTATTTTATTAAGTTGATCTTCAAATCTCTGATATCCTTTCTTCTGCTTGATAGATTCAGCTATTGATACTTGTGTATGCTTCTTGAAGTTTTTGTGCTGTGTTTTTCATGTCCATCAGGTCATTTATGTTCTTCTCTAAACTGGTTACTCTAATTAGCAATTCATCTAATCTTTTTTCAAGGTTCTTAGATTCCTTGCATTAGGTTAGAACATGTTCCTTTAGCTGGGAGGAGTTTGTTATTACCCACCTTCTGAAGCCTACTTCTGTCAATTCATCAAACTCATTCTCCATCCAATTTTGTTCCCTTGCTGGTGAGGAGTTGTGATCCTTTGGAGGAGTAGAGGCATTCTTGTTTTTGGAATTTTCAGCCTTTTTGTGCTGGTTTCTCCTCATCTTCGTGGATTTATCTACCTTTGGTCTTTGATGTTGGTGACCTTTGGATGGATTCTCTGAGTGGACATCCTTTTGTTGATGTTGATACTATTCCTTTCTGTTTGTTAGTTTTCCTTCTAACAGGCCCCTCTGCTGCAGGTCTGCTGGAGTTTGCTGGAGGTCCACTTCAGACCCTGTTTGCCTGGGTATCACCAGTGGAGGCTGCAGAACAGGAAGGATTGCTGACTGTTACTTCCTCTGGAAGCTTTGTCCCAGAGGGGCACCCACCAGATGCCAGCCAGAGCTCTCCCGTATGAGGTGTCTGTTGGTCCCTACTGGGAGGTATCTCCCAATCCGGATACATGGGGGTCTGGGACTCACTTGAGAAGGCAGTCTGTCCCTTATCAGAGTTTGAATGCTGGGCTGGGAGATCTGCTGCTCTCTTCAGAGCTGTCAGGCAGGTACGTTTAAAAGTCTGCTGAAGCTGCACCACAGTCACCTCTTCCCCAGTGCTCTGTCCCAGGGAGATGGGGGTTTTACCTATAAGACCCTGACCGGGGCTGCTACATTTTTTTCAGAGATGGCCTGAATCTAGAGAGGCATTCTGGTCGCAGCAGCCTTGCTGAGCTGTGGTGGGCTCCTCCCAGTTTGAACTTGCTGGCAGCTTTGTTTACACTGCGAGGGTAAAGCTGCCTACTAAAGCCTCAGCAATGGCAGATGCCCCACCCCCCACCAAGCTCAGGCATCCCAGGTCGACCTCAGACTGCTCTGCTAGCAGCTAGCAGCGGGAATTTCAAGTCAGTGGATCTTAGCTTCCTGGGCTCCGTGGGGGTGGGACCATCCCAGCTAGACCACTTGGCTCCTTTGCTTCAGCCTCCTTTCCAGGGGAGTAAACGGTTCTGTCTCACTGGACTTCCAGGTTCCACTGGGGTATGGGGGGGAAAAAAAAAAACAACTCCTGCTGCTAGCTCGGTGTCTGCCCAAATAGCCACCCAGTTTTGTGCTTGAAATCCAGGGCCCTGGTGGCTTAGGTACTGGAGGGAGGGAGTGTCCTGGTCTGCTGGTTGTGAAGACCATGGGAAAAGTGCAGTATCTGGGCTGGAGTGCACCATTCCTCTGGTACATTCTCTCACAGCTTCCCTTGGCTGGGGGAGGGAGATCCCCTGACCCCTTGAGCTTCCCTGGTGAGGCAATGCCCCATCCTGCTTTGGCTCGCCCTCCGTGGGCCGTACCCACTTTCCAACCAGTCCCAGTGAGATAGACCAGGTACCTCAGTTGGAAATGCAGAAATCACCGACCTTCTGTGTCAATCTTGCTGGGAGCTGCAGACTGGAGCTGTTCCTATACGGCCATCTTGCCAATGAAGCCAGGCTATGTTTTACTTAAAGGAAAATATTTATTTACTTTTTTGGTCACAATTAAACAAAATTTCGATCTGTTGTATTTTAAAAGTTTTTCTTTCCAAAAGAAAGTCAAACTATAAGAAAACAAAAAGTTACATAATATTAATTTTTTAAAAGAACACTTCAGGCTTTGTTTTGGGGTCAGTACACAATCAACCTGATCGTTCACATAAACATCTTGGTATAATGAGTATTGATTTTCAGTCATTCAGAATGACCTCAGTCTTCTGTAACATATTGTATTTTTAAAGAAAAATGCTTTTTTGCAGCTACACTGCAATTCTCAGCAAAGCAGAAAAGTTATCTGATATTTTTAGGATGATTGTTTCTCTCTTAAATTTGGGGATATATTCCTAGATGAATAACTGATAGGAAAACAATATTCCACTCATTATTTTCTCTACTTTGGTATTAATGTTTCTAATCCTGGCAAAAAATTTAGGGATTTCACTTCACAACACAATATAGTAATGGTAGCATTAGAAATATAGTAATGAAGGTTTTTGTTATCTTTAGTTTATTCCTCTGACAAACAAAAAATTACGATACTATAAAGAGTGCTATTTTGAAAAACCTAAGCAGATTTTAGCAGGGATAGCCGTTGTACGGCTGTGAAGCCTGTAAACAGTAAAGCCTATAAAATTATATAGACCAGAATCCTCTTGTTACAAAGAGAAGTCAGAAAATTATTGAGAACATTCTTAGCGTCAATACTCTTGGTAATGTCAGGCCTTAAAAATGTAGAAATATGGAAACATTTTGGCTGAAGGTATGGCTCAGTGCTTTTAAATATTCAGTTTGTATAAACCGAAGTCAATTACTGACTAATACTTTATGTGTCTCTTATGTGCTCCTACCATCATTCCCACAGACTGCTTCTGAAAGCAGGAGTGCTATTTTTTTAATGAAATTTGGACCGTTAATCAATCAAATGTGAAATAAAATACTGATTCTACAGATCCTAGACTTGCATTTCATTTTTGGTTTGTAGACTTTTCCATAATAAAATTTTACACATTAAATAAATAACAAGGCTGCCAGTATTGCATATAACTACACTATGGTCTTTTTGAGAATTTATAATAGAGCTACATCACATGTGCTTCATTTTATTTTTTGAGACAAGGTCTCACTCTGTCCCCAGGCTGGAATGCAGTGCTATGATCATAGCTCACTGCAACCCAAAAGTCCTGGACTCAAGCAATCCTCCTGCCTCAGCCTCCTGAGTAGCTGAGACTCTAGGCATGTGCCACCATGCCTGGCTAATTTTTATTTTTAGTAGAGATGAGGTCTTGCTATGTTGTCCAGGCTGGTCTTGAACTCTTGGGCTCAAGCAATCCTCCCACCTTGGCCTCCCAGAGTGTTGGGATTGCAGGCATGAGCCACTGTGCCTTACCCACTGGGTAAGCCAAAGGATCTTCCAAGTATAATTTTGACCATATGCCATCTTCTTTTTTCTTTAATAGCCAAATATCTGCATCACACATGAATCTACTGTATGTTGAATTATAAGAATAAAACAAAATCATGTAAAGATCAGGGTGCCCTGTGCTTTAAATTTTCCCCATAAAAATATCAAGTCCCTGAAACAGAGACAATGGGGTAAACTGTAACAAGTTTATACTCTGCAACCAAACAAGAGTACTTTGTTTAGCAGATTAATTTCCTCCTACCTGCAACTAGTTTTAAACAGGTAATAATTTTGTTAAAATTTAATTACATACACTGTATTATACTTTTAATGTTCACCAAAATAGTGTTAATTAGCCAAAAGTTGGATGATTTGCTGAATAATTTACAGAGCATACGCTTAAGGTATTAAAATCTTTGTTTGCTTTTTGGTTGTTTTGAGCATCCAAAAGTAGTAGGCTTTTGTTGTGGATAACTAGTTAAAAATCTGTACACAGTATCTCATGCGTCTGTGAACTCTGAATATGTAGTTTCACTCTATTTGATTCAGAGTCAACTTACTGAATACCTATTATGTGCCAACACAGAGTTAGTACTTTTAGGACATTTAGAAAATATGAAAAAAAAAAAAAAGAAAATACAAAAAGTATTTGGAATTTATCAGTGGTTTTTTTCTTTTTTCTGTTGTTGCTTTAGCAAAATTTGGCTCACAAAGTATACAAAGACCGAAGTGACTGCGTGGACATTGGGCATCCTCCGCCTTGTCTTTGTCATTACTGTATAAAAATACTCATTGGTGTCTATTAAGAGCTCTCCTTACAAAACACTACACATGGATTAATGGTGACATCTGCAGAAGGGAACACCATTTCTGTGACCAAGGCGAGCTGCTGGTCTGAGTATGGAGGTGGATTTGGCAGATGCGGGTAATGAAATTAATGGAAAATCTTGGGGCTTTTAGAAGAATTAGGTCCAGAAATTATGAGGAAGAAGGGTAATAGTAATAATCTATATAGAGGTAGAAGAACAAAAAGAAGCCTTTGTTGGACCTTTTGTACTGGACTATAACACAGAAAAGAGAATATCTAAATCAGGAAAAAGACTCATCAATTTAAGGTGAAAGCAAGCTGTTTCAAATTGACTGGAGACCATGGTTAGAAGTATAGTTTACTAGGGCTCTGGTTAGGGTAAAGAATAAACTAAGTGTTATTAGAATTCTAAGGGCTCTAATAGATAAAGAAACTAAATGGACAATACACTTAAAAAGAAATACGAAGAATGGACAACATGTGGAAACATGTTTATGTAGCAGCCATTTATGCTTTTCATGAAATTTTTATTTTTGCTACCAGACACAAGGTAGATTTACTTATCACACATGGACATAGGCTTGCTTTGGGCAATGAAATGTGAGTAAAATTGTGTACATCACTTTTAGCAGGAAGCATTAACAGCCAGCGTTGATTCACTGAGCTCTCTGTGCCGTGGCTACTGCAATACTCCAGAGAGATCAGTTGTTCCTTGAGCCTGGATCCCCTGTGAGAATGACAGAGACCCCAGACAACCCATGGTGGGGATCTAGCATGAGCATCAAATAGCCTTCCGATGATGTAAGCCTATCTCATCCATCCTGACAAATGCAAACTTCCACAGTAATCAGAGATACACACATTCAAATAAGAGAATTTTCCATTGTCTCGAGTTTTTGAAAGCAGTTTACTTATTTTTTTAATTATTGAAATGACATACTAATCATAGCTAATTATACACATATTCAAACAATACATAAAAGAATGAGGAAAAAATTAAAAGCTTTTGAAATCTTAACCTCCAGAGATAATTGCCAATGGACCTTGTTCATTGCCGATGATAGAATCTGTTTAATTTATACATTAAGTTTTTTGTTTCAGTGGTTCTGCTTTTCATTTCTAGAAACTCTCTCTGGTTCTTTTCAAAGTTTGCTTTTTCCTTTTTATATTGCTTTTTGACCTATTTTTTGTTTTAATCAGATAGTGGTTACTTTTCAAAAGGAGGGAAGATAAAAGAAAGGGACCACTTGACCATGTTGACTTAATGGTTGTTCCTTTACAAGTAATCTGTTTATTCTCTCTGATTGTTTTATACGTTTCTATTTGTTTTCAGTGTTTTACAGTTTTCTTCTTTCTTTCTTTTTTTTTTTTTTTTTTTTTTTTTTTTTTTTTTTTTTTTTTGAGACAGGGTCTCGCTGCATCACCTAAGCTGGAGTGCAGTGGTGTGAACGTGGCTCACTGTAGCCTAGACCTCCTGGGCTCAAGCAATCCTTCCACCTCAGTCTCTCAAGTAACTGGGACTAAAGTCATGTGCCACCACACCTGAATAATTTTTAATTTTTTGTAGAGACGGGGGTCTCACTTTGTTGCCTAGGCTGGTCTCAAATTCCTGGGCTCAAGTGATCCTCCAAAGTGCTGGGATTATAGATGTGAGCCACTGTACCCAGTCTCTTCCTTTTTTTGAATATAGACATGAATATATTTTGTTTGGGACTCACGGATTCTTATTTTTCACTATGGAAAAAAATAAGCAATTATTTCTTCTGAATTTCTCCTCTACTTCTCACTTTCTCATTTCTGGAACTCTTATAGACAGTTTTGGGGACCCTCTCATTTTCCTTAACTTCCATCTTTTAATCTGTCTATACTGCTTTCTGTGTAATTTCTTTCAGTTTTCTAATGATCTTGCTGGGTGTCTCTAATCAGCTAGTCCCTAGCCATAAATTTTTTTTTTTTTTTTTTTTTGAGACGGAGTCTCACTCTGTTGCCCAGGCTGGAGTGCAGTGGTGCCATCTCAGCTCACTGCAACCTCAGCTTCCTGGGTTCAAGTGATTCTCCTGTCCCAGCCTCCCGAGTAGCTGGGACTACAGGCATGCGCCATCATGCCCGGCTAATTTTTTGTATTTTTAATAGATACGGAGTTTCACCATGTTAGCCAGGATGGTCTCGATCTCGTGACCTCGTGATCCACCTGCCTCGGCCTCCCAAAGTGCTGGGATTACAGGTGTGAGCCACTGTGCCCCGCCACCATCAAGTTTTTACATTCAATAACGATTATTTTTATTTCTAAGACAGCTGTTAGATTTAAAGTTTTTCTGTTCTTTTTATAGCAATTGGCTCTTGCCTGTGGTTTTTATTATTTCGTTGTATCTTTACTATTTTTAAGCTTAATGTTATAGATGACTTAAGATCAATCCCTTTAACAATATTTATTGAAGGTACACTATATGAAAGATACTGCTCCAGGCACTATAGTCTAGCAATGAACAAACTGGTAACAATCCCTGAACTCTGGGAAGTTGCTTTCTAGTGAGGGGAGACATATAATGAACAAAGAAAATATAAGTGTGTTAGATGATGATCAATTGCTATGGAGAAAAATAAAGGAGAAAAGGGTGTGTGTGATGGAATGTGAAGAGTGGTCAGGGAGGCCCTCACTGAGATGCTATTTGAGCAGAGATTTGAAGGAGACAGGAAAGCAAAGCATGTGGGTATTTAGAAGAGAAACATGGGAGAATGCCTAATGTCTCAGAGGAAAGCAAGAAGCTCATTGTGGCTGAAGTCAAGTGAGTCCGGGGAGAATAGTAGGAAATGGGGTTAAGAGGTAGTGAGGGATCAGATAACACAGAGCTATGGGCCATTGTAAGGCTTTTGCCTTTACAGTTTGGGCTGAAGACTGGCATGGCCTAACAAATGTTTAATAGTCATTCTTTCTATGGTGCTGAAAAAAGATTAAAATAAGCAAGGAAAGAAGCAGGAAGATCACTACAGAGGCTACTGCACTATTGAGGAGAGATGATGGCGGACTGACCCAAGGTGGTGAGCAGTGGCTGGAACCATTGAGGCTAGAAAAAGGATATAACATTGCACTTCAAGGTGGACATTCAGGGACTTGGGGATCACCACTGTAAATAATTTTGGTTGTTATAAAACTCCTAAATTCTGCATGTTATACTAGAAATTGGGGCCACAAAGAAATTATCACTTAGAATAAGGAAGACGCTGGGTAGATGTGTTTATGTGCTCAATTTCTATTTCATGATGCTATAATTTCAAATTAGTTATTTTTAAAATAAAATTGGTTCAGTAGTATAAATATAAAAACACTGTCTCATCAAAAAAATTACAATATGAAATGAGAATGTGATCTTTGAGAAAGCCATTAGGGTCTGAGTTACTTAGCGATTCTTTTGCTTTGAGTTTTTAAATAGTGAGGATTCATGCCTAAAAGAAAGTAACCAATCATTTTAAAGATAATAACTTAGTTACTCAGAGAAGTAATGTCAATATTACAAAGTTCTGGCCTAGAACGTGATTACTGCTTTGTTGTAGGCCGGATTTTTTGCTTTATAAAATCTGATCCTTCCTTCTACTCTGTGACTGGGGAAGTATATGGATATTGAAGATACCTTGAATAGACTTCAGTCCTTAACATCAGCCAGTCTCCACCTACAGGGCTGACCCCCTACACCCAGTGGTCTGAGAGTAAAGCTAATCAAGTGGCATGGCAGCCAAGGCGTCCCCTGCCTCCCCACGTGGCAGATGCTGCTTACCAGAGGACTGTACTGTTCCACCCACACCAGTCCTCCTTTTGACCCTCAAGGAAGCAGTTAGGTTCCTTGGGTAACCCTAGGACTGCTGCCTGAGTCAACTCCGGTAGCATCCACCAACTTCCAGACCTCCTCAAATCTTTGTGTCCTTTGCTGTATTCAGTCATGACCTAAGTAAGGGCATAACTTGCTCCCCGACCCTGGTGGGGAATCTGGGGTTGTATCACTGTCAGGATGGGCTCCTGCTGAGAAAAGTCTGTCATACTCCCCATAGTCTCCCTGGAGAAACTGGAGAGAGAGAGGGAGAGGAGAGGGGGAGGGAGGGGAAGAGACGGGGGGATGATAGATCAATAGAAAGATTGATCAATAGATAGGTAGACAGGTAGATAAGTAGATAGATCAACAGAAGATAGGCGGACAGATAGACAGGTAGACAGATAGATACTACTTTGGTGCGAAAGCAATTGCAGTTTTTGCCATTACCTTCAATGGGAGCTGAGCCTTTGTACCCATGACATTATGTAACCGTTCATGCAGACTGCACGGAGTGGGTGCAATTTTGGGTAAGGCAGCCTTTTTTTGGTGAGGGCAGTTCCTGGAGAAGGCTGAAGCTGTGAATCCTAGGCCCTGGGTATTTAATAGAGCATCTCAGTTCTGAGGGGCCAGGGATCTGGGCAGCTCTCCATGGTATCTACTCTGCGTTCCCTCCTATCAACTCTGGAAAATAATTGCTATCACTCTATGTGTTAGAATGAAAACCCACAACACAAAGCTAATGGCATAGGATGCATTGCCCACAGCTTCTAATGCTAAGGTTTCCAGCTGTAGTGAAAAATCAGCCTTAGGTCAATGCAGTATTCATTGAGGAATGAGACCACAAACAGCTGAGCTGACACCTTGCTGGGGAGACCATAAGATGCCACCTGCATGTTACACATGGCCCAGGATAAGAAATCTTGGTTGGGCACAGTGGCTCATGCCTGTAATCCCAGCACTTTGGGAGGACTAGGTGGGTGGATCATCTAAGGTCAGGAGTTCAAGGCCAGCCTGACCAATATAGTGAAACTGTCTCTACTAAAAATACAAAAATTTGCTGGGCGTGGTGGTGGGTGCCTGCAGTCCCAGCTACTTGGGAGGCTGAGACAGGAGAATTGCTTGAACTCGGGAGGCAGATGTTGCAGTGTGCCAAGGTCGTGCCACTGCATTCCAGCCTGGGCAACAGAGCGAGATTCCATCTCAAAACAAAAAAACAAAACAACAAACTTGATAGAGTCAGAATGCTTTGGTCTGGAGGAAAGAAAGCCTTAATATTCTCAGAAAGATTTAGAACAACAAGAGAGACTGCAAGAGATTTCAGAACATAATAGACTTAATCTTTGAAATTCAAAATTCAGATAATTACATTGTGGTTAATTATTGAGATTAATTCTTGCATTGTACCTTGAATGTTAATGCCCAGTCCATGTCTCAAATACACTTTTAAATTCAAATTCCTGACTCCTACTTAGCTCTCTAAGAACCTAGATCTTGTACATGATAAAAGCATTATGTGTGCAAGAATACATTGAAATCATAACGGACTATTTTGAGTTGATTAATATATGCAGCTTAGTGCTTGTGCAACAGACGGCCTTCATTAAGTGGGTAATAAATATTTTTCAATATTAAAGTGGTTGGAAAGCAGCAACTTTCTGCTTCTTTAGTCACATAGCTGACAACAGAGTCATTTAGAAAATAGCTCTAACACATAAAACATATCCAGAAGTCAAGGCTGGTATTGTGCTTGGAATTTCCATTTATGTTCCATGACTTGCCATTTTTAAGTTTTGAAAAATACCTAGTGGAGTAGTCAAAAGAAAAAGAAAGTGAAGAGAATCTTACTGAAGTAAAATTAATGAGTAAAAAGAACAAAATATTGATTATTGGAGAGGTGGAACAAAGAAGGCAAGGTGCTCAGACTGTTCTTAGGATTCTACACAAATTTGGAGAAGCAGCATGGTGCAGGGAGAAAGAATTAGATTCATGTATAGAAGACTTGGATCCTGAGTGAGTTTTTTCTCTTGCCAGCTGTGTGCACTTGAGTAAATAATGCCATCACTCAAAACCACAGATTTGTCAACTGACAAATTGAGGTGATTAGGGTAAGGTAGGGTTGTGTGGTCATGAAGATTCCTTCCTGTTCACACTTACATGTGCACATTCTTTACATTTTCTAAAGTGCTAGTGAGAACGTAATAGGCCTCTCTTATTATGAATCAAATATCAGAGAGTGTATTCAACTTCCTCACCTTGAATTAGAACTTTTCTGTTTCTGATATATGTGTCCTGGATGATGTGTGGCTCTGACTAGTTCTTTAGGTCATCTAATAATTTGTTAATAGAAAATATACTTGTAAATTGCTATGCTCTTTGGAGATCTTAGAGATCTGAAACAAAACTAAAAATGTTAAGTTTTAAAATCATTTTGCACATGAAACAAATGTGTCCCACAACATTTAGAAATCATTCCCATCATATATTTTTACTGATAATCATGCGAAAAAATTTTAAGTGTAATAAAGGATTTGAAGCCAGCTCAATTATCCCATAGAACTGAAGCTTGAGAAACTTATATTTGTTGTAGTTCAGTTCTTTTCTCAGGAAACCTACCATCGGGCCTCCTGAACGGCATCAGGGAACTGAGGCTTTCGAGATCACTGCACCCAGACAATGAGATGCACCTGCTGCCTGTTGACCAACTCCTCTTCCTTGCCTCTCCTGTTTTTTTCCCCTGCTATATAAATGCCTACCTTTAATCTGTTAAGGAGAGATGGATTTAGGCTGACACCTGCAGTAAAGCTGCTCTTTCTGGGCGATACTTGTCTCAGTGATTGGCTTTCTGTGTGGCAAGCTACCAGACTTGGGCCAGACCTCTGCCATTTGAAACCAGATTTCCAATTTGAGGCAAAGTTAATCCATTGATGGCAGGTAAACATGTTTGAATCTCCTTGAGGAATGATAGATAGCATGGGTTTTATAGGGAAATACTTTTGCATAAGAGATCAAGTTGCTTCTTGGGAGGGATCTGAAAATTAGTGAAAGAGAATCAGTCATGGTCAGCTTTGTCCAATAACTGAAAAGTTAGAATGATGAGGATTTTCTGAATACAGATTCTGAAATTTAAATCACCGAGATTTCAAGGTGTATCTGATATGGCAGCTGGCAAGCATTACATTAATATCTACCCCCAAGTCTTTGTGGGCCTAGGGTAACCGGTGACATACCTAACTATAATACCATTTGTGGATACTTTTTTTCTTTCCTTTTTTATTTATATTTTATATGCATGTAATTTTT
This sequence comes from Homo sapiens, assembly GCF_000001405.40. Lineage (NCBI taxonomy): Eukaryota > Metazoa > Chordata > Mammalia > Primates > Hominidae > Homo > Homo sapiens. The sequence goes on along the minus strand of NC_000013.11, from coordinate 47,554,245 downwards.
TTTTAGTTTTAGGGAATGCCCCAAAATGAAACTCTTAAGGTTATAAGATAGTGACTGAGAGCTTGGATTAGGCCACAGACATTTTTGTTGTTGTTGTTTGGCCTGTGCAGTAATTAAATATTGTTTGGATTCATTGTCAACACACATGGACACACACATACATACCTGGCTTCTATAAAAAAAAAACAAAACAGAATATTTTCTAACACCGGATCTGTATCTGAACAAAAGCTCAGGTGTAAGGTTCTCAAATGGATTTGAAAGAAATGCAGCAGGAAAGTTCCCCTGTGGACATTCTAGAGAGACTAAAAGCCCTCCAAGAGAAGACCAGAGCAGAGGTTTCATGAGTTTAAGGTGTCAGGAGGAGTGCCTATACTGTGCCTGGGAGTACAGGCAATGCTTGGCTGGGCTGAGCAGAGGCTGTGCTTGTTGATGGGGGAAGTCTGTGTTCTCCAGTTGCCTTTGAATCTGCCTCTCTGAATTGTGTCATGGCCAACCCACCTTTCTTATTCATATTCTCCGCCATCCCTCTGGAGCCCTAAGGACTTGTTAGCCATTTTCTTTAGAAAGAGTGCTTATGCTTTCCAAGAGGTATTTGCTGTTACCTTGTTTCTCCCAATGATATTTGAAATGCCATTCTAAGCTCTAGAGGGCAGGATGGCTTGCTCTTACTCCTTTTGATTATTTTTTTAGCATCTGGTATACTCCTGGGCGAAGTACAGGCACTCTACCTGACACCTTAAACTCGTGAAGCCTCTGCCTTGGTCTTCTGCTTGGATGGCTTTTAATCTCTTTAGAATGTCCACAGGGGAGCTTTCCTGCCGCATTTCTTTCAAATACATTTAAAACCCTTACACCTGAGCTCTCGTTCAGTTACAGGGCATGAGGGTGGTGCGTGTCAAAATGATGGCGCCACCAAAAATTGTGACCCATTCCTCACCTGGGAATATGAAACTATCAATTACTGCATACCCCACTATACTAACAGGAAACAGCCATAATGAAGCCCCAGGGAGAAACTGAAGGGAAGGAACACTGTATTGTTAGCTCTTCACACAGACAGATGAGGGTGGGAAGTACAAACTGAAGTGTGGATAAAGCTTTTCTTTAAGGATAACTAGGGTGGTGAAAAGTGCTTTCTAAACGTCTTCTGGGGGATAAAGTAAAGCTTGTCTTAAAAAGAAGCACTTGAAATGATTAAATTTGGGGTTACATAAGTAATATGTCTTAAGGCAACAACTCATAGAACAGCATAATATCCTTTATGACCTAAGAAATCTGAGAAAATGGTTTAAATTCTCCCTATCATTTTTGTTGAATTTTAATTGTTTATCACTTTTGTTTAACTTTAGAGACAGTCCCTTTTTGTCATGGCTTTCTCTTCGTGACCTTACTCAGATCTGTTTCTTTCTCCTGAGTCTAAATGAATGAATCAGGCCTATATTAAGTCAGGGCCGGTGAAATAAATGGGCATTATTTAATGAAAGTAATTTCAACTTTGAGCAAAATTCTGCTTTAGTTTTTCCCTTTTCCATCTGGCATGGTAGTCCCCATGTGGCTTCTGAGGCAGCCTCTGCCCTTATGATGCCCCTTCTGCCTCTCAGGCTAGGGGGTTGTGTTCTCAACCACATTTTGGGACTGGATCTCTCCTCCGTCACCCTCCTGGCTGATGTGCTTTTCTATGAGCAAATCATGGTTCACATTTCTTTTCCTTTTCTTTCAGACTAGCTCTGAAATTCAAGTTTCATTTTCCCTTTCTGGATATATAAAGGCAAGCCTACAGATCGATTTCAGCTATTGGATCTTTCGTGAGGCCAATTTCTTGAGAAGGCTATTTGCAGAACTGGTTCCTAGAGCTCCAGCCTGCTCTACCAGCCAGGCCCTACATTGCGGGTGGAATCTGTTCAGGCAAAGTAATTCTTAGAGCATACAGCAGATATCATGCGGTCAGTGTCAGTGACTTGTGAGATTGTTTTCAGTATCAACTGGGCATTGATAGGGACTTCTAGTGAGCCTCTAAAGTTTCCAATTTGGTAAATCTCAAGTATTAAACCACTTCTGACACATTCCAATCTTGACTTTCTTTGTTTCTAATTATGTGTAGAAATAGATGTGCTTATTCCACAAGCCCTAAAAAGTGGTAATAAGAAGAGATTAGATGGGTCTTAGGACAGGAATTGGGTGATACTTTTTTCTATTGGTAGATAGGTAAAAGGAAAAGGGAAAAGAAAGCAACTCTGACTGCATTTCTCATGTCGTTTTTGGTAATAAGCAAATGTGAGATGTGGATACAAGCTGATATATATCTATTTATATTGGTGTACATATGTTCCTCTTTTGTGCATGTTATGTAGAATCTGCCTCTTATTTTGTCATCACAACTAATATGCATAACCATGGCACAAAGTCTTCTACAGTGGACTGATAACAAGTGAAATCCTTCACATCTCAAATGAAGCTGATGTTCCATTCAGTGTTAGCATATGGTCACCTACAAAACCCTGTCTGTCTGTGAAATCTGAATTGTGTATATTTTGTTCTAGGTCTGGTAAAAAAAAATTCCCTCACTTTAAGCATGTTTCTTTGAATTTATCTTTGCTCATCTGCATCCCTGATAACTAGTGAAACTAAGGTGCTTGAAAATGATTGCTGGCATGTTTGTAATTCTTATAAGGAAGGATAGGAAGCATCTAGGAAACAAAAGGTTTCTGAGTAATATAATCAAAGAAAACAAAACCCACCATATTCTGGCTTCTATAAATAATGTAAACATCAGTGGTCATAATAAGCAGCCATGGAGTTGAAACAACAGTTGCACAGAGGTTTTACTCCCCTTCCTTGGAACAGAGATATGTTTGGTAATGGCTATGGTCTGAATGTTTGTGTCCCCTCCACATTCATATGTTGAAACCTAATCACTAATGTGGTGGTATTAGGAGGTGGGGGGTCTTTGGTAGGTGATTTAATCCCGAGGGAGGAGCCCTCATGAATGAGATTAGTGCCTTTTTAAAAGAGGCCGGGCGCGGTGGCTCATGCCTGTAATCCCAGCACTTTGGGAGGGCAAGGTGGGCAGATCACAAGGTCAGGAGATCGAGACCATCCTGGCCAACACAATGAAACCCCGTCTCTACTAAAAATACAAAAAATTAGCTGGTCATGGTGGCGGGCACCTGTAGTCCCAGTTACTCGGGAGGCTGAGGCAGGAGAATGGCATGAACCCGGGAGGCGGAGCTTGCAGTGAGCCGAGGTCACGCCACTGCACTCCAGCCTGGGGGACAGAGCGAGACTCTGTCTGAGAAAAAAAAAAAAAAAAAAAAAGAGGCCCCAGTGGATGCAGCGAGAAGCCTCTATCTATAAATAAGGAAATGGGATCTCACCAGTTACTGAACTCGCCAATACCTTAATCTGGGACCTTCCAACCTCCAGAACTGTGAGAAATAAATTTGTGTTGTTTATAAGTCACCAAATGTATGGTATTTTGTTACAGTAGCCCCAATGCGCTAAGACAATATTTTTAAAAGCAATAATAGGATCATGGAATATGTTGATTCAAATGTTCCATGGGGATCTGTCTTTAGTACAAAAAATGTCATGTTTATAATAATACAGACATTTAAATTCAGATCTCAGAAAAATTAAGGTATATTCTTATTTTGAATTTCACCCAGGTAATACTCTAGTTAGACTATTTGAGAAACATGAAAGTACAATCTCATTAATAACTTAATTTTAGCAATGAGAGAGCTCTGATGGGCACCTTCATGTCCTAGGTAAAATGTGCTTTTTTGTTTTGTTTTGCATTACTCTTCTAGACTTAGTGTCTTTATTTTCACTGTTTCCCAGAGAAAGAATAATAGTGAGAACTTCAAGCCTGGTAAGAGAGGAGGCTTTATACCAGGGATAAATAGAAAACCAAATTAGAGAAAGGAGGCTTCAAGAACTCATAAGCATACTTCCCGTTCAGGTTGGTAAGTAATTAAAGCAGTCATTGGGTGGTCATTCTTCAGCTACTGATCCATCTGGGAATGGCTCCTATACTCCTGGGCACATTATGGGCACATTATAGGCACATCGCCTGACACCTTAAACTCGTGAAGCCTCTGCCCTAGTTTTCTGCTTGGAGGGCTTTTAGTCTCTCTAGAATGTCCAAAGGGGAGCTTTCCTGCTGCATTTCTTTCAAATCCATTTGAAACCCTTACACCTGAGTTCTTGTTCAGATACAAGGCACAAGGGTGGTATGCATCAAAATGTTGGAACCACCCAGAATTGTGACCCATCCCTCACCTGGGGATATGAAACTATCAATTACTGCAACAGGAAGCACCTATAATGAAATCCCGAGGAGAAACTGAAGGAAAGAACACCCTGTCATTAGCTCCTCACATATACACATAAAGGTGGGAAGAGCAAACTGGAGCGTGGATAAAGCAATACGTGGTATTTACAGAAAATCATTTTTCAGCCAAGGTTAACTAATAATTATAACAGTAAGTATCACTTATTAAATGCTTACTTTGTGCCAGACACTGCTAATCACTCCCTCTGGACTATCTCATTCAGTCCTCACAACATCCATGAGAGGTAGGTACTATTATCCTGTCTTATAAGGAAACAGAGCTTTAGAGAGGTTATTCTGTTGTTTGATTTTTTAAGACAGACTCTTTTTAAAATATTTTGTCAGATGTCATCACACTGCATCTGAAAAATGGAGTCTTACAATTGCTTCAGCCAGCTAGAGTCATGTCTGTTCAGGCAGAGACATCAAGAGTGACAGGACAACCTGCAGAATGTGTACCAAAGATTTAGAAGAAAATCCCAGGGGGCAGTGGTGAGGCTTTAATCCTCAAGAGCCAAATGGGTTGTGGGGATGGTGAGAGAGACGGTATATTAGATTTTGTTAGCACCATTTTCCAATTTGGAATTAAACGTTGGCTAGCTCTGCATAACTGTGAAGTCAGCTCCTGTAGCTTGAGGTTTCCTTACAAAACACTGCATTACCCATGCTCTGGATGGACACCGAAATGATAGGGTGTGGAAAAACATAGTTGTCCAGTGATTCAGAAGAGTCAAACTGTGTGTGTGAACAGGTTTTAGAAATACATTAACCAATTTCTTTCACACATATTTTCCTTTTAACATACACACAAATGATGTATGATAAAAACCCATGGCTAATTAAATGTAGGCTTTCATTCTAAAATAAAGTGTTCAGCAGATAAAAGGCATTATGTCATAATCTATAATCGCTAATGTCTTCAATATAATCACCAGTGTCTTCAATTTATTAGGTAAATGCCTAGGACGAGATAGAGAGAAAGGTTTGTCTGCCTCTAGATATCAAGTTCTGAACATTAAGCCATAGTGTATTCACTAACACTGTTTTAAAAGTTCCTTTGTTGCAGACAAGCATGGCAAGACCACTACCTCTCTTTGGTTGCTACATCTGACACACAAAAGTAATAACAATAATAAAAATGTCATGTTAAATTTGTGTTGCTCTTCAGTTTGCACAGCTGTTTTGTTAATTTAACTTGTTGACTCTTTACAACAATGCTATGAATTGGAAATTGTTTTCATCCCCCATTACATGTCAAAACAGAGTTCCAGATGAATCCTCACACGTATTGGCTGATTTATGGTACGTTTCCTAGGAAAAGGTCTGTGAGCTGGAAATGTTTATTCAAGAAGTTTCTTGGTAAATGCTGTCAGGAACAATGACCTTTGGGGCTGGATGAGAGCAGGATTGAACAGTGTCGAGTTGAAGGCCATGCAGTTACAACAAAGGCCTCTGGTGATCCCATGGAGAGCTCTAGAGTTGGGATGGTCATTCAGAGTTGCCCTCGATTGAGGCAAGGGTTGTGCCTCTGTATTAACTAGCCATGAGATATGGACTTGCCCCAGAGAGGGTTTAATCTTTAGTGAGGCAACTCCCTTCAATGATAGCAATTCTTGAGGAGTGGCTCAGCTCTCAACACTTAAGATAGCTGACACTCTGAACATTGGTTCTGCAGGGGGTATCTGGGTGACACATCACAGCATCTCCTGAAGCTTACTTCTTGTGCTGCTCAGACTTGCTTGCTTCATATACTATCATCCTGTCTGGGAATGGCTCCTTTATGATTCTTGTTGGTTTCTTTTCCTGGGAAAACTGAGGAGGCAAATCAGATGAACCCAACCCCCTATTTCTGCAGTGAGATTCTGACAGCACCAATACTCTTCACCTCTTGCCTCTCCTACCCATTCCCCTCATCCTTGGCTAGGACCTCTTCTGGTCTAGGTGGCTTACCTTTATTCCTGAGAGGCCTGAGCTCCTGGCCATCATGCCTGCCTCTGGTCATGGTTGCTGTACTTGTCCGTTCACTATCAATGCTGGGCAAGGAAGTACTAGGATATACCCCAGTGGGTCACCAGTGTGTCAAACACCTGCCCCCATTGTGTAGTAGCAGTTCTACCTCCTCCTGATGATATGGTAGATATAGCTGAGAGTTTAATGGGACCCTTACTGTGTCCCCTGGTGGAAGCATGTACCCTCTGGCAGTCAGCATGTAAATTCACAGGCGCCAGAGGTTTGGAGCTGGCAAACAAAAATTCTCCAAAGGAAATATTGAGAGTGATGGAAAGCAAGGACAGTCTTGATTCTACCCTTTTTTTCTGTAACAGAATCTCCTATCATCCACCCTAGCAGGCAGAGGACAGCATCGCAGCTTCTCAGTGATGCTGGTATTCCTCGCACCAAGATTTCATATTATTGCCAGATGGAGCTCAAAGAAAGTGGCTGCTGTGGAACTGAATGATAAGCTCTAAAATCTAAGTGTGGAAGTCATGAAAACATTTCCTTTTTTAAAGAAGGGATGAAGGTGTTTCGACAGCTCCAACTATTGGGAAAGTTTTAATATATTACTTCTTTGGTGTTATTTTTACAAGTTTGTATTATTTTATTTAGTTAGTTTAAGGGTCCACAAACTATAAACTACAGACCAAATCCAGTCCATTATCTCTGTGCAAATTAAGTTATGTTGGAACTCAGCGATGCCCATTTGTTTATATATGTCTGTGGCTGCTTTCGTGTTGTGACAGCAGAATTGAGTAGAGACAGAACGGCCCATAAAACCTAAAATATTTACTATCTGACCCTTTTCAGGAGGAGTTTTCCAACCCCTGGTCTAGCTAGCTGAATTGTGATTAATAGTTTGTTTTATAGTAGAAGTAACAAGTTTAGTATATTTAGAAAGGAAGTTATAAATAAGAGCTTTTATTTGAATATCACATACTTAAGATTTTCAGAAAAAAGAATTCTTCCAAATATTTTGTGACAGCCTTCTAGTTCTAGTTTTCTTTTGGATTTCTGGAGTTTTCCTCACTTTGTTATTTCTCTCTAGTGGCTTGTTCGGTTTTGGTGTTTATTCTGTAGCTTAAGCTCATGTCACACTTCTCTAGCCAGGGTTTACTGAACTTGGGACTTGTGAATTCTTGTAGCTTTTTGATTTATTCCGCTTTGTAATCTTTTCCTTTTAAACACAGTCAGCAGCTTAATCCTCAAGTTCTATGTCTACAGCCCTTGAGTGCGGGGCTCTGGGGGGACTTGGTTTTCTCATTTGCTAGGAACATTCCACAACAACAATATGAATATAAAAATTGCATCTGGCTTCACTCCAGGGTCATTTTTCTCCTACAGGTGCCAGTGAGATTGTTGGGCCATTGTTTGATTACTTTCTGCTGTTGCTTGGTGAGGAGCTTCCAGAAACAGATCTTGCAGTTGGAGCCACAGCTCTTGTCTGCTGTCCCGACTAAGTCATGTGAAGACACAAATGTCTAAATAGCACTTGAGAGCTTTACTGTACTTTCAGGAGAACTCCCTGTTGAGCAGACTGACATCAGAATAGCCCCATTCTCATTCCAAGTGAGAATTCAACAACACAGTCATCTTTGTGCCATTCCTCAGAATGAGTCTGCTATGGTTGGTTTTCATATTAGGGATGAATTTGGATTCTTTTTCTAATCATGGGGGAGGTTAGAAAAAGTCAGAAGAGGGTGGATGGGGAGAGAAACACTGTGTGTTCCGGTATTACATAAGTGTCTGTTTGAGGAAGGGATTTCTTGGGCTCTCCCTGAACCCACCTAGTTATAAGTGAGCGTGAGATCCTTCTGCATTGCTATTCATCAATGCCCTTTGGGGTAGGGAGGTTGAACTTTGGGGTGGGGGAAGAAGGGTTTGGGTGTTGAAATTAGAACAGGGAGTTGAAAAGCAAAGTGCTTGTAGATCCTGCCTCGGTCACCTGCGGTTCCTCTGTGCTATCAAAATCCCACATTTCTGCATCAGGAGAATCTGTTGGTGCTTCTCAGCAAGCGTATAGCTCCAAGGCTCCTCTAGCCTGGATACACTGTAGCAGCATCACCATAGCAAGTCTGATGTTGAGCTACAGCTGAGCAATGCACTTCTGTTGCCAAAGCCTCTAACTGAATGAAACTACTCTAGAAAACAAGTCTTGCTTGAGGGCAACTTGTCACCAGTGGCAATCCAATTTTACTTTAAATAGACTTTTCTGTCAAATGCTTGGCAGCTAAAAATTCTAAATAATCCAATTTTTTAAAATGCTATCCAGGACAAGAAATTCTGACAACATCCTGACACATAGTAGGTACGTTAAGTGTCTACTTATTGTGCCAAGGTCTCCTACACATATCCTGAAGAATTTGTAGAAGATACCATTATTTTTCCTTTACACTTTGCTGAAGGTTGGCCAATGGCCAGATCATTAAGAAGATTCTGGAAGCTGGAAAGCCGAAGAATGCAGAACATTTCTTCAGAGAGAAGAGTCTGCTCAGGGATTGTTAAATCCTCTCCTTGGCTTGAATTGCAGGGAACAAGTCCAACATCCTCTATCCTCATCTTTTGCCAGAGAGATGAAAGGCATAAGTCAACTGAACAGCTTGAATGGGAGAGCAACAAGACAATTCATAGAAAAAGGAAATCTTTGTAGATACCCAAGCAGGTACAGAAAAACACAAAGAGGCTTCTGGACAGCCTGGACAAGCAAAGATGGTGTTCTGAGTAGGGATGGGGCACATTCGGGAGGTAGGAAGTCTCCCAGGACTTGCATCAGGCAGCCATGCTTATTTGAGAGAACAAATATTTCCTGAACTCCTATGATCTGTGTGCCAATCTGTAGAGACACAGTGTATGAGACAAAGTCCTTGGCCTCAAGGACTAGAGAAGAGAAGAATCCCTCAGACAGAATCATTTATATTATGGCTCTTTATTGGATTAAATAAGGTGAAATTGATCTTGTAAAATTTTGGATTTATGTGCTGAATGATACATAGGATTGGTAAGCATCCATCCTAGGTCAGATCTATGGGAAGTCTATTTTGTAATCCTGGGGCAGATCATAGCAGAGATCATAGCAGAAGAGTTGAGGAAGGTGGTCATGCTCCCTGCTGCCTAGAGATGCAGCTCTAGTCCTGGGGAGCAGCCATGGGGCTCAGCTTCAGACTGCACAGTGCTAACCTCCAAGGCCTTTGGATCCCCTTTGAGATCGCTCTGCTCCCTAGTGAGTACATATGTGTCTTTGGAACACTGAGCACGAATTTAGAACACCTCTCCTGGGATGGAAATTCTGAATTACAGATGAGAGAAAGATCACTTGTTAGGAAAATGTTTCTGTTCCAAAGTTGGAGACTTGAAGTGGTGTCTAGGTGTTAAGCACTGCCAGAACCTCGTTTGAGCACATATATTTGTTAGAAAATTAAAAAGATAGATGTATGAAAATAAGCTCTCATAAAAGTCGAGTAAAATGCTTCTTGATGTTGTGTATTAACTGAACTGACACTTGATACCATTAGAATTGACATTTTATACCATTATTATAAAAATAAAAGCCTATCTTTCTTCCAAAAGGAAGGGTGGCCTAAAGAATATTTGCAGTTGATATCTGTTCTTGTCAGGATTGAGGTGAAATTTTGTGGTCTGTTTGCTGGACAAACTGGGAAAGGACAGTAAAAATCACGGGAACTTCAGTATGGCTTATGAAAACTATAATAGTCCCTGAAAGCTTTAGCAGTTGTAAAATACATTTCCCTTTCATTTAAGCTAATGATTTAAAGCTTAAGTAAAAAATCATTCACAATCAGTTAAGAAGAATACATGTAATCTGGTGCAAGGTATGATGGCAAAGATTCCAGAAGGTCAGGGTGGTTCACTCTATAATGCCCAGGGCTGTTTGGGATGGTGGTAGCTATGAAAGAGACAAAGGTAAACAATTCCGCAGAAGTCCAGGCACAAAAGGGCAAGTGGTGTTCCATTGCAAGCTTTAGGGAGCATTTCCCAAGTGGCCTCATTTTGCTTTCCAGGAAATTTGGCCACTGAGGCAATTATTCTAATGTACAGTGTTTATCTTCTTATATAAAATACTCACCAATTATGTGTACTATAAATGCCCTATTTTTTCCTGCTTAAGAAGACAGAAGACCTTGAGGAATTTTGCTTCTTAGAGAGGATAAAACATTCCTAGATAGGATGTAAGACATTATCTAAGAAGGAAACTGAAAAGAGAAGAGAGAATTGGTACTGTGATGAAAACAGAAAGAACATTACTTTTATACATGAGATAATATTACGAAGGCAAGAATATTGTTCAGAAGTGAAAGAAATTTTGATAGCATAAGTAAGTAGTATATAAGCTGTCCTAATTTGAGGACTGTTGGTCTTCGCCATGGAAAAAGTTGTTGCTAAGTGTGGCTCTCACGTGGTGACCCGTGGGGTGGGCTATCTTTCTGGACTGAGTATCTGAGATGTGCTTGGTATCCTTGGACTCTTTACACTGCTTATAACTGCTGCCCACTCCTAACTCATAAGTGAACAAATGGTGCCAACAGAAGAACTCCAGAATGAATCATTGCATTCTGGATTGATGTATTTAAGGACACGTATAGCATTTTAGCTCTTAAGTTAAAAGTTGGGTCTTTAGAAAATGACAGCTTAGGAAATTAATGGGTGGTTTCATAGGTGGACTATGGCTTGATATTTTATACACTCATATTTATTGATAAGTAGTTTATTCAACATTCATGGAGCATCTACCTTATACTAGGTGGGAAAAATATAAAACTAAGACATAGTTCTTTTCAAAAATTGGATCTTTGTCTAATGGGGAAGAGAGAAGTAAATATAATAACACAGAGTGATAAGGGATACAATAGGACTATGCCCAGAGAACTATGAGGACATAGAGGAAACATTAACTCAAATTGGGGGCTCAAAGTTTTCCAAAAAAGACTTGTCTTGAGCTGAGTAGATATAATGTGGGGAAGGACACTCCAGACTGAGTGAATACTCTACATAAAGCACAAAATTACTGTATTCCTGGAACCTAAAATATTTTGCCAAGGGTGGAGCCCTGAGAGTGTTTGGAGACTGGAAGGGAAAGGAGGTAGCAGATGGATGGGGGTGAATCTCAGAAGGTCTTGGGGGTTAAGCGATAGATTTGAACTTAAACCTAAAAACCTATGGAGAATCATTAAATAATTTTAAGTGGGGGAATAATTTGCATTATATTTACATTTCTGTAAAGTCACTCTGGGATGTGTAGAGAATGATTGGGAGTTTGGTCCCATCAGAGCCCGGTAGATGGGAACACTAAACTCTAAAAAGGAAGGGAGTTCTAAGGAGTCTTAGAATAAATACTAGGTTCAGTCAGAGGCTTTCTGATCAAGAATGCTATAAAATAAAATTTGAGAGACAGAAAAACACTCTGGTAGACCTAGAAAGCAGAATATAATGGAGTACAACAAATGTATCATGAGAAGAAGAATTATGGGGGAGATCCTCAGATAAAAAGAGCAACAATTCACCTATTTTTTTAGTCAATGAAACTAGGGGTTATTTTTCATTCTGCATTCCCTCATTCCTTACACATAATATATCAGCAAGTTCTATCATCAGCTACTCTGCAAAAATATATCTCGAATCTGTCAATTTCTACACATTTTCACTTTTTTCCCTCAAGTCCAAAACACCATCACCTTTCATTTACACATACAAAGAGTTTCCAAACTTGCCCACCTGCAATCCATTTTCCAAACGGTTTATTTTATGACATAAATCAGATTCTGTCACCTCTATTCTTAAAAATCCTCATTGTCACTCCATTCTACTTCAATGCAATCCAAACTTCTTACATGGCTGATGGGACCCTACATGATTTACTGCCTCATCCTCTTCCAGCCTTCTGCTCAGCCAAACTGATTTTCCTTCAAACAGGTCAAATTCATGACTTAGGCCTTTTAACTTGCTGATTTTTGTATCTGGAAGTCTGTTCTTATAGACCTTCCAGTCTATGGGGCTGCTTTTCTCTTGTCAGGTCAGGAGTCAGCTCAGATACTTCCCCTTAGACAGCCCTTCCTGATGCAGTTTGAATCTTCCTCCCTCCCTCATATTCTCCATTTCATAACACAGTATGTTTCCTTGAAAGCAGTTTCCATAGTCTGAACTTTTCTTACCTGTTTCCTTGTTTGCCATCTGTCTTCCTCACTACACAGAAAGCTCCACGAGAGCAGGGGTTTCCTTAACTGATTGCTGCTCTGTTAAATTACCAATATCTGAAATAGTGACTGGTCCATCGCAAGTAACAATGGAGTTATGAGTGAACAGTTCCCAGTGCCTGGATCTATCCCTTTCCAATAGCTGGGGCTCCTTCATCGCTTCCCGTAGGTTCAGTCCTACCTGAGTATAATCCAGGAGGGATTTGTGGCCATTAGCTTGGATTTACCTTTGCTTCTCATCCAACTCTGACTGCGAGCCTCAGTCCCGACAAGATGCCTTTGCTTCACATTTGAGATCCTGTTCTATTTTGTTTCACTGTTCTGGTAACTGGATCTTTTCCTTTCCTTGGTCTTCTTCAAATGTTAGGTGCATCTTTATAATGTGCTGTCTTAGCAAATGAGAGTTATAAGCCATTGAAACAAGTTACTTTTAAAAAATATAGCCTTATTTGTTTCATAGATCGGTGAAACCTGAGGAAATTTGATTTGTGGTTAGAAATAAAGACAGAGTATTTTAATTATAAGAAACCCTAAGGGTTTTTATTAGCGCACATCAATAAAGGATGTGTGCAATGCCTCTGAATTGTATTAAATAGCCAGAAGAATAAAGAAATAAAATATATCTTGCCCAACTCTCAAGAGAATAGAACTCCCCTGCCATCCCCCTAATAAAAGGCACATGGTCACAGAGGCCTTATTTTTGCAGTACTTAACAATTTTGTATTACTAATAGGAGAGAATATCTCAGGGCTAATGAGGAGTGAGAACTATTAAAAAAATTAACCCAAAATGCATATTTTTCTGAGATTTGTAGTTTGTGTTTCAGTCTTCCTAGCCTGGTGGGTTTGAATTAGGATTTTAGGATAAAGAGGGAATGTTGGGGAAATATAACTAAAAACAAAAATCTTCCCTCAGCCCAGAAAACCTCTCCACAAAGGTAGTAGAGAAAGAAAACAGTTTTGTTATTGAAGTATTAAACCAAAATGTAATATGCATCACAGGAGATTGTAAAGACAGAAAGAAATGTTACTGTTTTATATAGCCAGGCAGATTACATAGCCGAGAACATTATGTACATGTCTCAAGACATAGAATAACTAGTCCTCCAGTAAGAGAACTTGACATGACCATTTGTCACACATAATTCATCCTACATTTACCTAGTAATTTGGGTGACCATCTGCATTAGCTAATTGGCTTTATAGAAAAGAAAAGCAAACTTCTCATGGTTTTATGACAGAATATAGTCTGCAACTTGGAGCAAGGCACCCACTGAAGTTAGGTTCTCACCTTCTCGTAGAAACTGGGAGATAGGGGTGCTATGTCCTTGATGGTTACATTTCAGGGATGTCTCCCAGGTCCTTGAGAAAGACATTCTTGGGTTGTAAAACTGTCAAGAGACTTTCAAAAACCAATGTATATCTCAAAGAGAAAGAATTTACAAGTTTACAGAAAAAAATCCTTAAGAAAAAGGAGGAAATTTTTTTTAATACTTATTTATTTATTTTTAGAGCAGTCTTAGGCTCACCACAAAATTTAGAGGAAGGTACAGAGATGTCCCATATGCCCCCTGCCCCTGCACTATAGTCGCCCCCACTATCAACATCTCCCACGAAACTGGTTGATTTGTTATAATTTGTGAACCTACAGGGATGCATCATTTTCACCCAAAGTTCATTGTTTACATTAGGGTTCGCTCTTGGTGTTTTACATCCTGGAGTTTTGGACAAATGTATGCACCACTGTAATATGATACACAGTGTTTTCACTGCCCTAAAAATCCTCTGTGGCTGCATATTTATATCCTGCTCCCTGCCAAACCACTGGCAACCATTGATCTTTTTACTGTCTCCATGGTTTTGCCTTTCCCATAATCTAATAGTTGGAAATCATATAATAAGTAACCTTTTCACTGGCTTCTTACACTCAGAAATATGCATTTAAGGCTCCTCCATGTCTTTTCAGGTTGATAGCTGATTTCTTTTCAGCACTAAATAATATTCCATTGTCTGAATGTGCCATAGTTTTTTATTTGCCTAATGAAGGACATTTAAATTGCTTCCAAGTTTTGGCAGTAATGAATTAATCCATTTATGCTGGAGGTTGCAATTTGTTGAATTGGAGATGTCTGAAAAACAGACTTTGGTGATGACCTTGAGCAACAGGATATAAATAACTTCCAAATGCTTAGCGTTCCAACAGTGAAACACTAGGCATAAATGTGTTAAGCTGCTGTAAACATCCACATGCAGGTTTTTGTGTGAACTAAATTTTCCAACTTATTTGGATAAATACTAGGAGACATGCTTACTAGATCATGCAGTAAAAGTATGTATAGTTTTATAAGAAACCGCCAAACTGTCTTCTAAACTTTCATTTCCACCAGCAATGAATGAGAGTTCTTGTTGCTCTCATGGAATGAGAATGTAAAACAGTGCTCAATACATTGTCACCAGTATTTGGATTTTTGCCATTCTAATATGTGTATAGTGGTATTTCATTGTTTTTTAAATTTGCATTTCCTGGATGACATATGATATGGAGCATTTTTTCATACACTTATTTGCCATCTGTATGTCTTCTATGATGAGATCTGTTAAGGTCTTTGAATCATTTTTTAATCTTGTTTTTTGTCTTTTTATTATCGAGTTTTAAGAGTTCATTTTATATTTTGGACACTACAGTTCTTTATCAGACATTTTCTGCTAATATTTTCTCCTAGCCTATGGCTTGTCTTATTCTCTTGACATTGATTTTTGCAGAGAAGAAGTTTTCAATTTTAATGAAGTCCAGCTTATCAGTTATTTTTTCCATGGATCATGGCTTTGTTGCTCTATTTAAAATTGGCACATCGTATCTAAGGCCATGTTGATTTTCTCGTATGTTATCTTCTATGACTTTTACAGTTTTGCATTTTACACTTAGGTTGATGATGCATTTTGAGCTAATTTTTGTGAAGAATATAAGGTCTGTGTCTAGATTCATTTTGGGCACTATCCAAATACTATATGTATTCAAAGCTATAAATTATTCTCTAAGCACTGCTTTCATTGTATCCCACAAATTTTCATAAATTATGTTTTCATTTTCATTTAGTTCAAATTATTTTTAAATTTCTCTTGATATTTCTTTTCGACCCATATGTATTTTAGAAGTTTGTTGTTTAATCTCTGTGCATTTAGGAGTATTCCAGTTGTCTTTCTGTTATCGGCTTTTAATTTAATTTCACTGTGGTTTGAGAGCAGACATTGTATGATTGTTATTCTTTTAAATTTATTAAGGTTGGCTTTATGGCCCAGAATGTGGCCTATCCTGGTGAATGTTCCATGTAAACTTGAGAAGAATGGATATTCTGCTGTTGTTGATGAAGTAGTCTATAGGTTGTTGATTATATCCAGTTGATTGTGGTGTTGTTGAGTTCACCTTCATCATAAGTGATTTTCTGCCTTCTGGAACTGTCCATTTCTGATAGAAGAGCATTAAATTACCCAACTATAATTGTGGATTTATCTATTTCTCCCTGCAGTTCTATTGTTACATATATACACATTAAGACATTAAGGATTTTTGTGTTTTCTTGCAGAATCGACCCTTTAATATGACATAATGCCCTTCTTCATCCCTGATAACTCCTTTTACTTTGAGATTTGCTCCGTCTGAAATTAATATAGTAACTCCTGCTTTCTTTTGATTAATGTTAGTATATTAATCTCCAAGCATTTACTTTTAATCCATATGTGCCTTTATATTTAAAATGGGTTTTTTGTAGACAATATATTGTTGACTCTTCTTTTTTGATCCACTCTGAGAAAGTATCTTTTAATTAGTGCTTTTAGACCATTGATATTCAAGGTCATTATTAGTATAGTTGGATTAATAGCTGCCATATTTGTTACTGTTTTTAAATTTGTTGTCTTTGTTTTTTTCCTATTTTTATCTTCTATTCTTTTTCTGCTTTTTTTTTGTTTTTAAATAATTAAAAACCAAATGATTTTTAAATAATGGTTTTTAAAACATGGTTTCAAATATTAAATAGCTTTCTGGGGAAACAGGTGGTGTTTGGTTGCATGGATAAGTAACTTAGTGATGATTTCTAAGATTTTGGTGCACCCATCACCCAAGCAGAGTACACTGTACCCAATGTGTAGTCTTTTATTCCTTACCTCCCTCCCACCCTTCTCCCTGATTTGCCAGAGTCCATCATATCATTCTTGTGCCTTTGCATCCTTATAGCTTAGCTCCCACTCATAAGTGAGAACATACAATGTTTGGTTTTCTATTCGAGAGTTACTTCACTTAGAATAATGGTCTCCAACTCCATCCAGGTTGCTGAGAATGCCAATAGTTCATTAGTTTTTATGTTTGAGTATTGTTCCATGGTATGAATGTACGTGTGTGTATACACACACACACACCCCAACATACCACATTTTCTTTATCTACTCGTTGGTTGATATGCATTCAGGCTGTTGTGTTTTTTTTTCTGTTTTTTATTTATTATACTTTAAGTTCTGGGTTACATGTGCAGAACATGCAGGTTTGTTACATAGGTATACAGGTGCCATGTTGGTTTGCTGCACCCATCAACCAGTCATCTACATTAGGTATTTCTCCTAATGCTATCCCTCCCCTAGCCCTGCACCCCACAACAGGCCCTGGTGTGTGATGCTCCCCTCCCTGTGTCCATGTGTTCTCACTGTTCAACTCTCAATTATGAGTGAGAACATGCAGTATTTGGTTTTCTATTCCTGTGTTAGTTTGCTGAGAATGGTTTCCAGCTTCCACCATGTCCCTGCAAAGGACATGAACTCATCCTTTTTTATGGCTGTATAGTATTCCATGGTGTATATGTGCCACATTTTCTTTATCCAGTCTATCATTGATGGGCATTTTGGTTGGTTCCAAGTCTTTGCTATTACAAATAGTGCTGCAGTAAAATCGTCACACTGTCTTCCACAATGGTTGAACTAATTTGCACTCCCACCAACAGTGTGAAAGCATTTCTATTTCTCCACATCCTCTCCACCATCTGTTGTTTCCTGACTTTTTAATAATCTCCATTCTAGCTGGTGTGAGATGGTATCTCATTGTGGTTTTGATTTGCATTTCTCTAATGACCAGTGATGATGAGCTTTTTTCCATATGTTTGTTGGGTACATAAGTGTATTCTTTTGAGAAGTGTCTGTTCATATCCTTCACCCACTTTTTGATGAGGTGGTTTGTTTTTTTCTTGTAAATTTGTTTAAGTTCCTTGTGGATTCTGGATGTTAGCCCTTTGTCAGATGGATAGATTGCAAAAATTTTCTCCCATTCTGTAGGTTGCCTGTTCACTCTGATGATAGTTTCTTTAGCTGTGCAGAAGCTCTTTAGTTTATTTACATTCCATTTGTTAATTTTGGCTTTTGTTGCCATTGCTTTTGGTGTTTTAGTCATGAAGTCTTTGCCCATGCCTATGTCCTGAATGGTATTGCCTAGGTTTTCTTCTAGGGTTTTTATGGTTTCAGGTCTAACATTTAAGTCTTTAATCCATCTTGAATTAATTTTTGTATAAGGTGTAAGGCAGGGGTCCAGTTTCAGTTTTCTGCACAGGGATAGCCAGTTTTCCCAACACTATTTATTAAATAGGGAATCCTTTCCTCATTTCTTGTTTTTCTCAGGTTTGTCAAAGATCAGATGGTTGTAGATGTGTGGTGTTATTTCCGAGGCCTCTGTTCTGTTCCATTGGTCTATATTCTGTTTTGGTACCACTACCATGCTGTTTTGGTTACTGTAGCCTTGTAGTACAGTTTGAAGTCAGGTAGCATGATGCCTCCAGGTTTGTTCTTTTTGCTTTGGATTGTCTTGGCTATACACTCTGTTTTGATTCCATATGAAGTGTAAGTAGTTTTTTTTCTGGTTCTGAGAAGAAAGACAATGGTAGCTTGATGGGGATAGCATTGAATCTATAAATTACTTTGGAAGTATGGCAATTTTCATGATATTGATTCTTCCGATCCATGAGCATAGAATGTTTTTCCATTTATTTGTGTCCTCTCTTATTTCCTTGAGCAGTGGTTTGTAGTTCTCCCTGAAGAGGTCATTCACATCCCTTGTAAATTGTATTCCTAGGTATTTTATTCTCTTTGTAGCAATTGTGAATGGGAGTTCACTCAATATTTGGCTCTTTTTTTGTGTATTATTTGTATATAGGAATGCTTGTAATTTTTGCACATTGATTTTGTATCCTGAGACTTTGCTCAAGTTGCTTATCAGCTTAAGGAGATTTTGGGCTGAGATGATGGGGTTTTCTAAATAGACAATCAAGTCATCTGTAAACAGAGACAATTTGACTTCCTCTCTTCCTGTTAGAATACGCTTTATTTCTTTCTCTTGCCTGATTGTCCTGGCCAGGTTTTCAAAGGGAATGCTTCCAGCTTTTGCCCATTGAGTATGATACTGGCTGTGGGCTTGTCATGAATAGCTCTTATTATTTTGAGATATGTTCCATCAATACCTAGTTTATTGAGTTTTTGGCATGAAGAGGTGTTGAATTTTATCTAAGGCCTTTTCTGCATCTATTGAGGTAATCATGTGGTTTTTGTCATTGGTTCTGTTTATGTGATGGATTACATTTATTGATTTGCATATGTTGAACCAGCCTTGCATCCCAGGGATGAAGCTAACTTGATTGTGGTGGATAAGCTAATGCTGAGAGATTTTGTCTCCACCAGGCCTGCCTTACAAGAGCTCCTGAAGGAAGCACTAAATATGGAAAGGAAAAACCTGTACCAGCCACTGCAAAAACATACCAAATTATGAAGACCATTGACACTATGAAGAAACTGCATTAACTAATGGGCAAAATAACCAGCTAGCATTGTAAAGACAGGACCAAATTCACACATAACAATATTAACCTTAAATGTAAATGGGCTAAATGCCCCAATTAAAAGACACAGACTGGCAAATTGGATAAAGAGTCAAGACCCATTGGTGTGCTGTATTCAGGAGACCCATCTCACATGCCAAGACACACATAGGCTCAAAATAATGGGATAGAGGAATAGTAACCAAGAAAATGGAAAGCAAAAAGAAAAAAACAAAAAAGAAGCAGCAGCAGCAGGGTTTGCAATCCTAGTCTCTGATAAAACAGACTTTAAACCAACAAAGATCAAAAAAGACAAGGGCCTTACGTAATGGTAAAGGGATCAATCCAACAAGAAGAGCTAACTATACTAAATATATATGGCCCCTATTCAAGAGCACCCAGATTCAGAAAGTAAGTTCTTAGAGACTTACAAAGAGACTTAGACTCCAACACAATAATAGTGGGAGACTTTAACACCCCACTGCCAATATTAGTTCAGTGAGACAGAAAATTAACAAGAATATTCAGGGCTTGAGCTCAGCTCTGGACTAAGCAGACCTAATAGATAGACATCTACAGAACTCTCCACCCCAAATCAACACAATATACATTCTTCTCAGCATCACATTGCACTTACTCTAAAATTGACCACATAATTGAAGTAAGGCACTCCTCAGCAAATGCAAAAGAATAGAAATCGTAACAAACAGTGTCTCAGACCACAGTGAAATCAAATTAGAACTCAGGTTTAAGAAACTCACTCAAAACTGCACAATTGCATGGAAACTGAACAACCTGCTCCTGACTGACTACTTGATAAATAATGAAATTAAGGCAGAAATAAATAAGTTATTTGAAACCAGTGAGAACAAAGACACAACATACCAGCATCTCTGGGACACAGCTAAAGCAGTGTTTAGAGGGAAATTTATAGCACTAACTGCCCACAAGAGAAAGCGGGAAAGATCTAAAATCGACACCTTAACATCACAATTAAAAGAACTAGAAAAGCAAGAACAAACAAATTCAAAAGCTAGCAGAAGACAAGAAATAACTAAGATCAGAGCAGAACTGAAGGAGATACAGACAAAAAGCCCTTCAAAAAATCAATGAATCTAGGCAGGTTTTATATTTTTTCAATTGTGAATTGTGCTATAATAAACATGCAGGTTCAAGTGTGTTTTTCATGTAATGACTCCTTTTCCTCTGGGTAGATACTTACTAGTGGGATTGCTGGATGAAATGGTAGCTCTACTTTTAGTTCTTTAAGGGGTCTTCATAATGTTTTCCATGGTGACTCTACAAGTTTACATTCCCACCAACAGTGTAAAAGTGTCCCCTTTCACCACATCCACGCCAACATCTATTAGGTTTCAATTTTTTAATTATTGCCATTCTTGCATCTCTCTAATGACCTGTGATGATGAGCGATGTAGGCATTTAATGCTGTGAACTTTCCTCTTAGCATCACTTTGCCATATCTCAGAGATTTTGATAGGTTGTTTCACTATTATTGTTCAGTTCAAAGAATTTTTTTAATTTCCATCTTGATTTCATTATTGATCTGAAGATCATTCAGGAGCAGATTATTTAATTTCCACATATTTGTAGAGTTTTGAGAGTTCCTTTTTGAGTTAATTTTCGGTTTTATTACACTGTGGTCTAAGACAGTACTTGATATAATTTCAATTTTCCTAAATTTTATTGAGACTTGATTTGTGACCTATCATATGGTGGGTCTTGGAGAATGTTCCATTTGCTGATGAAAAGAATGTATATTTTGCAGTTGTTGGGTAGAATTTTCTGTAAATATCTGTTCATTTGTTGTTCTACAGTATAGTTTAAATCCATTGTTTCTTTGTTGACTTTCTGTGTTGATAACCTGTCTAGTGCTGTCAATGGAGTATTGAAGTCCCCCACTATTAATGTGTTGCTGTCTATCTCATTTCTAAGTTGTAGTTATAATTGTTTTATAAATTTGGGAGCTCTTGGGTTAGGCATATATATATATATATATATATTTAGAATTGTGATATTTTCCTGCTGGACATAAATTTTTTTTGTCTTTGTCAGATTGGGTAATTCAAAAGCCTTATCTTTGAGCTCTGAAGTTCTTTCTTCTACTTGTTCCAGTCTATTGTTGAAACTTTCCAGTGTATTTTCTATTTCTCTAAGTGTGTTTTTCACTTCAAGATGTTGTAATTGTCTTTTCTTTATGATATCTATTTCCTTGGAGACTTTTCCAACTATATACTGTATTTTTTTTTGAATTTCATTAAGTTGTACGCACTTTTCTCTGGTACCTCCTTGAGTAGCTTAATAATCAACTATCTGAATTCTTTTTCTGTCAATCCAGAGATTTCTTCTTGGTTTGGATTTATTGTTGGAAAGGTAGTGTGATCTTTTGGCAGTGTTACAGGTCCTTGTTTTGTCATATTACCAGAATTGCTTTTCTGGTTCCTTCTCATTTGGGTAGACTGTTTCAGTGGAAAGATACAGAACTCAAAGGCTGCTGTCCAGACTCTTTTGTCCCACAGGGTGATCTCTTAATGGGAGCTCTCCCGCTTCACAAAGGGATGGGGTTTACTGAGAGCCTCAGGAATCTGTAGATTTTAAAATATTATTATTGCCCTTCTGGGTCTAGCCACCCAGCAGCCCACCTCTGGGCTGGTGCTGGGGAATGTCTGCAGAGTCCTGTGATGTGATATGTCTTCAGGTCTCCCAACCATGGTTACCAGCACCTGCTCTGGTGGAGATGGCAGGGGTTGAAGTGGACTCTGGGAGTTCTTGGTTGTAGTTTTTAGTGTGCTGCCCGCACTGTTGGCTGTGGCTTTTGCACTTGTATCTGCACTTCCCATTCACTCCTTGGATTCTGAGGAAAATTTGTGCTCAGTTGAAATTATTATAAAGTTCAGCTGGAAGCTTCCTTTATCCTGTGGCCCCTCCCCAGTTCTGCTAGCTGCCTTCCCCAAGGATTCCTGTGAGATACAGCCAGGGATGGCTTCCCTGGGTTTCAGCTGGGGACTGGAAGTGACTAAAGGGCTCTTTTTGCTGTTTCTTCTATTTTTATATTTCACTCAGCTCCTTAAATCCATTTCAGTTTTGGGTAAGGTTAAGTCGTTCTCCCATGATCTGGATTTTTAGGTTCCCCAGTAAGGATATGTGTTTGGAGGTAGACTCTTCTCCCCTCACACTTTGGGAACTCCCAGTTTTTTGGCTGTCTCAGAATTTGCAGCAGCAAGCTGCTTTTTTTTTTTTCTTTTCTTTTCTTTTCTTTTGCGACGGAGTCTTGCTCTGTTGTCCAGGCTAGACTGTAGTGCGTGATCTTGGCTCACTGCAATGTCTGTCTCCTGGGTTCAAGTGATTCTCCTGCCTCAGCCTCCTGAGTAGCTGGGATTACAGGCAACCACCACTGCACCCAGCTAATTTTTATATTTTTAATAGAGATGGGGTTTCACCATCTTGTCCAGGGTCTCAAACTCCTGACCTCGTGATCCACCTGCTTTGGCCTCCCAAAGTGCTGGGATTACAGGCGTGAGCCACCGTGCCAGGCCCAAGCTGCTTTTTTCTTTTATTTATTTATTTATTATTATACTTTAAGTTTTAGGGTACATGTGCACAATGTGCAGGTTAGTTACATATGTATACATGTGCCATGCTGGTGTGCTGCACCCACCAACTCGTCATCTAGCATTAGGTATATCTCCCAGTGCTATCCCTCCCCCCTCCCCCCGCCCCACAACAGACCCCAGAGTGTGATGTTCCCCTTCCTTTCCATGTGTTCCCATTGTTCAATTCCCACCTATGAGTGAGAATATGCAGTGTTTGGTTTTTTGTTCTTGCGATAGTTTACTGAGAATGATGATTTCCAATTTCATCCATGTCCCTACAAAGGACATGAACTCATCATTTTTTATGGCTGCATAGTATTCCGTGGTGTATATGTGCCACATTTTCTTAATCCAGTCTATCGTTGTTGGACATTTGGGTTGGTTCCAAGTCTTTGCTATTGTGAATAATGCCGCAATAAACATACGTGTGCATGTGTCTTTATAGCAGCATGACTTATAGTCCTTTGGGTATATACCCCCAAGCTGCTTTTTTCAAAGGGTCAGTGAATTCTTACATTTTTCCTGGTATGTTCCTGCAGTGGTGGTTGGCACAAAAGTTCATGATGTGAGTTTACACATGCCGTTTTGTCTGTCCAAGTAGGAGCTCCACATCAGTCCTGTCTCCTATTTGCCATTTTCCTCCTGTATTTTATGCTTTCGTGGTTTTTAACTAGCATTTTATATATTTTCTCTTCTCAACATATCAGTTATATTTCTCCTTTTAAAAACCTTTTTTTAGTAGTTTCTGTAGATTTTAAAATACACATTTATAACTAATACATATCCACTTTTTTTTTTGGAGACATAGTTTCACTCTGTCACCCAGACTGGAGTTCTGTGGCACAATCTCAGATCACTGCAACCTCTGTGTCCCAGGTTCAAGCAATGCTCCTGTCTCAGCCACCTGAGTAGCTAGGATTATAGGCATGCACCACCATGCCCAGATAATTTTTTTTGTATTTTTAGAAGAGACAGGATTTCACCATGTTGGCCAGGCTGGTCTCAAACTCCTGACCTCAAGTGACATACCTGCCTCGACCTCCCAAAGTGTTGGGATTACAGGTGCCACTTTTAATTAATACTATATAATTTCATGGGTAGTGTTAGTATTTTATAATAAATAATTTTAATTCCTCTCTCTTGTCTCTTGTATCATTACTATTATCCATTTTACTTATATATGAGCAACAAATCTGCTGACAACGAATTCCCTCAATTTTTATTTGAGAAAGTCTTTATATCCCTTTTATTTTTGAAGGCTAATTTTGAAGGGTACAGAATTCCATGTTGCTGTTTTCTCTCAACATTTTCAATGTTTTAATTTTAAAAATTTCACTCCACTCTCTTCTTACTTCCATGGTTTCTGAGGAGAAAGTCAGATGTAATTCTTATCTTCGCTTATCTGAGGAGAAGTCAGATGTAATTCTTATCTTCTTTCCTCCATAGGTAAGGTCTTTTTTTTTTTCCTGTGACGTCTTTCACACTTTTTGCCTATCTGATTTTCTGTAGTTTGGAAACGATACGCCCAATTGTAGTTTTGTTTTGGCATTTATCCTGCTTGGTAGTCTCTGAGCTTTCTGGACCTGGGGCTTGGTGTCTGAAATTAATTTGGGAAAATTTTCAGTCATTAATATTTCAGGCATTTCTACTGTTCCTTTCTCCTTTCTTCTCCTTCTGGTATTCCCAGTATGCACATGTTACACCTTTTGTAGTTGTCCCACAGTCCTTGGATACTCTGTTTTTTCTGTTTTGGTTGGTTGTTTTCAGTCTTTGATATCTTTACTTTTCTGTTTTGGAGATTTCTATTGAGATATCATCAAGCTCAGAGATTCTTTCCTTAGCTGTGTCCAATCTGCAAACTAGCCTCACCTATTATCAAATGCATTCTTTATTTCTTTTACAGTGTTTTTCATCTCTAGTGTTTTCATTGGTTCTTACATAAGATTTTCATTTTTCTACTTCCATTGCCTGTCTGTTCTTACATGTTCTCTTTTTTATCCATGAGAACCCTTAGCATATTCATTATAGTTTTAAATTCCTGATCTAGTAATTTCAACATCCCTGCTATGTCTAGTTCTGAAACTTGCTCTATCTGTTCAAATTGTGGTTTTTGGATGGGTATGGTGGCTTACACCTGTAATCCCAGCACTTTGAGAGGCTGAGGCAGGAGGATAATTTGAGGCCAGGAGTTCGAGACCAGCCTGGGCAACATAGTGAGGCCTCCCTCTCTGCAAAAAATAAAACATAAAAAATTAGTGGTGGCATACATGTATAGTCCCAGCTACTTAGGAGGCTGAAGTGCTCAGAGTTGGAGGTCACAGTGAGCTATTATCACGCCACTTTATTCCAGCCTGAATAACACAGCAAGACCCTATCTAAAAATAAATAAGTTTTGGGTTTTGCCTTTTAGTATGGATTGTAATTTTTCTTTCTTTCTTTCTTTTTTTCAGACAGAGTCTTGCTTTGTCACCGAGGCTGGAGTTCAGTGGTAGGATCTTGGCTCACTGCAACCTCCACCTCCCGGGTTCATGTGATTCTCCTGGCTCAGCCTCCTGGGTAGCTGGGATTACAGGTGTCCACCACCACACCCAGCTAAGTTTTGTATTTTAGTAGAGATGGGGTTTCACCACGTTGGCCAGGCTGGTGTCAAACTCCTGACCTCAGGTGATCCACCCGCCTCGGCCTCCCAAAATGCTGGGATTACAGGCATGAGCCACCATGCCTGGCCTGCATTGTGATTTTTTGATAATCAAACATAAATGTACTGAGCAGAATAAACTGGTATAAGTAGTCATTCAGTAATGTGGTGGTGAGATGAGGGGAAAAGGGAAGTGTTCTACTGGCCTATGATTAGGTCTCAGCCTTTTAGTAAGCCTGTGCTTCTCTTCTGTGAACTTCACAAATATTTATCCATTTTTTTCCTCCCCTTAGGTGGGATAGGATGGCTAGAACTGACTGATATTTTTTCTGATATTTACAGTGAGAACCTAGTCAAGCTCCTGGAAATAAACCTCATAAAATTGTGGGGGCTTCCTATGACTGAGTCACCTTGCAGTTATTTTTAACTCTCAGAGTTGTCTAGCAATTTGTCAATTACAGTTCAGGCTTTCCCACAGCAGCACTCGTTCTTGTGGCAGTTTCCGCTTAGAATCTCTATTCTGGTAAGTTACAACTCCCTGTATTCACCTGTTTCTCCAATATTGGGGGCAGTCTTTTTGTTTGTTTATTTTCCCTGTGTCCTCACTTCTCTTACGGATTCTAGAACACTTGTTGGTTTTTCAATCGGTTCAGCTTTTTACTTGTTAAGACGGAGTGGTGACTTCCAGGCTCTTAGACACAAAAGTAGAAACTGTCTCTTCCCTTATTTTTAACAAAGATAATTAGGCCTCCAATTTTTAATTTTTATTTTTCCTTAGATTAACAAGTTGAACCTCTATTCTCAGATTTTTAAGTCCTGAAGTCAGCAACACAACAGAACCAAGAGGAGCAGGGGAATTCTTTGAACATCAACTCCTGCAATTAAAGCAGAAAAAACACTTCCCACTCTGTTTGTGATCTATTCAGGGATTAGGCCATTTCTCATTTACTGCTGAGAGTTTCTATTATGTTACCAATTAATTGTTCTAGTTAAGAGAGAGAAAAAAATAAATCATCCCTTCTTTTAAAGACAGGTAGCTTCTCTGCAACAATTTGTCTTCGTTTCCTAAAGATGCAGTCTTTTTAGTTACTACTCTATGTAAGAGATAGAAAATATTTTGCCTGAGAATCAGAAAGGTCCTTTTGACAATATGCTGATCTCTGGAACAGGGTAGGAGTAAACTGGGGGACCTGAGGGACCTGGGCTTTGATATTTTTCAGAATCGGAGCCCCGTGACACTGGAAGCACATTTAATGGTTTCCACCAAGGTTGGATAAAAGCATCATGTTTGCCTGGTTTATATTCGTCGAAAATTTAGACTTGAAAATTCTTCAGAAAATTGGCAATTATTTTTTGCTAATCAATCTAGTTCAGCCCTAAGATACCTTCTCCCCTCCTTAGTCCACATGTTTTTGCCTGAGTCAGATCTCCAAATATTATGGGTGATTACAGAGAATAAAAGGATTCTGGAAAAAAGTTTAGATTTGGAACCAAATATTTGTCCATATATTGTCCCAAAGAAGCTCAGAGTTACTTGTAGGACTAAATCCATTTTATTTGGCTCCAGGATTGAGTTTATATGAGGATTTCCAGATTAGCAATGAACATTGCACACTTAGAACCCATCCTGGTAAGACATATTTCTGGAGATTGATCCATTTATAAAGCTGGCTTTTTAGGATGTCTTTGATCCTGTTAGTGCTTCTTAGGCTTGCAGATCAGGCTGTTCAACTTGTGTGAGAATAAAGTTCTAGAAGTAAAGACATTTGGAATGTAAAATCTTTCAATTTTGTTGAAATATTGACCTTGCATCACCATCCCCCTACACCCTACACCCCAAGTAAAATTAACGCATGTTATAACTTTGGAGGTATCTTTATGTAGCCCAGTGGAGTTGAAAGACCTTTTCTTTTAAAGCAGAGAGGTACCTTTTAAAATAATGTTTCTAATATTCTAGATTTCTACTGTGAGCCCTTCAATATAAATATCACCTCAACAGAGGTTAAATTTGCAGTTTGTATTTTAGGCTACATGCCCAAAGCTAACCTTAAAATTCTACCTAGCATGGAAAACACAGGGAAGCAAAATGTTTATGATCATTGACTTCATCTACTCTGGTATAATTGATAGGAGTTTACTATAAAAAATGAATTTAATCATGTGATACAAGCACACGGTTAGTAGATGAATAGGCTAATTTGATTATCCAGATTTTAATAAAGCACTTTGCTACTGTGCTTCATGAAGCCAACTTGGAAAATTAAGTCAAATTAGCTCAGATGTGAATATTGTCACAAGGGCTCAATTTTGGTCAAATTCTCATAAAAAAAAGAATAAAGATGGTCATTAATGTATTAAAACCACAGGAAGATGCCCAGAGTAGTGCCTCAGGAAATGGGCATGAGACTGGCTTCAGATAATGTTTCCATTAATAATATAAATATTATAGTGGAGGAAAGGCAGAAAGATGGTTGCCCAGTGGGCTTGATAAAATGTCATTCTGCATAAATGAATCCTTCATTTTTATTGTAACCATACCATAACGTATTGAACATCAGGCATAATCAATAATCATCCAGAAAACTCTTGGCCATTTTAAATACTCTTAAGTCCTTTTTGTGAAAGTAATTTCATATTTAAGTTAAAAATAAGTTGCATTAACTTTTTAAATTTGTTCCCTCCAGAATGTGTAAACCAGTTTATGTTAACTGTTTTGCACCATCATGTGTGAGATAGCACAACAGGATGAAAATAACTTCTCCAAGATGTGAGAGAGAGCTGCCGCACTGCATTCTGAAGCATTGGCAAAGCACCTACATTCATGTTTAGAAGTCCTTTCCTGAGAAGATTAAGGATTGGAATCAGCCACTTTGAATATTTAGAAACTTTTTTAAGGAAAAGTTATTGGTATTAATATGTACAATCCTGGAGGCAGAGGGTGAACTAGATGATGTTTATAAATAGACAAGGAGGTCCCTTCATGTTTGTGAAATAATCTAGGGACTGTGTATTGAGTTCAAATTATTCTTTTAATCTGTCATTTTGGAGCCTAATATTTTTGAAATTAACTAGAAAGTGGCATCTTAAGATCTCAGTTCTGTTTTTCCTCCTTTCTACCCTAGTTAAGGCAGAGCCCAAACAGTATGTTTTGCTATTACCTAATGGGTAACCTGTATGAACTGTTTTTACTTTGCAATTTTTGCTCTTGTCATTTGTAAAGTATTTGATTTTAAAAACCAGGTGCTCTCATTCAGCACTACACTGGTTTCTGGGGCAGAGGTGAGGCTGCATCTGTGTGTGGTCAGGTGAGATGCTGAGGAGGATGAGCTTACTGGCTCATCACTAGAAAGATGGGGACCCTTATCACTAAGATCTCAAGAAAGTGTTATGTGAGCCTAGTTTATATTGGCTAGGGGTTTGAACCATGGCCATGTTGCAAGTTTTCTGTGACTCTCCAAAAGAGTGATCGTGAAGATATCAACCATATGGGCATTATGGTAGACTAAATAATGGTCCCCCAAATGCCCATGCCCTATTCCCCAGAACCTGTAGAAATGTTACCTTAGAGACTTTGCAGATGTGATTAAGGATCTTGAATTGGGGAGATTATTATGGATTATCTGTGTGGGCCTTAAATGTCATTGTAAGAATCCTTATATGAAAGAGGCAGGGTGAGATTTGACTAGCAGCAGAGAAAAAGATGGGGTGGTGGCAAAAGCGAAGAATGCAGTGAAGTGCTTTGAGGATGGAGAAAAGGGCCACAAGCCAAAGATGAGACCTCACTAGAAGCCAAAAAGAGGCAAAAAAAAATGGATCCTCCCTTCAGAACCTCCAGGGAAAAACAAGCCCTGCTGGCACCTTGATTTAAGCCCAGTGAGAAACATTTCAGACTTCCAACTTCCAGAACTCTGAGAAAATAAATTTGTGTTGTTTTAAACCACTAAGCTTCTGGTCATTTGTTACTGCAGCAATAGAAAATGAATGCAGCCATTATTCACAAGGAATGTTCCACCAGTGTTACTAAGGCACAAGCGTGAGGATCAATATTGTTACATGTAACACTAAGGACACAGTTGTAAATGAACAGATTCAAAGACAAGATTCTGGGGAAGATAATACTATGCACATAAACATAATTAAAGCTTCTAAGGTCTAATATCAGTATTTGAAATACATAAAGGAAATGATCAGAATGATCAGAATAAAGAGAATACACCAAAAAAAAAGTAACTTGAATATGAGTAAAGCCCTGTTACATCCAAAGGAAGACTATATTGGAAATCATGGCAAAGATCTTGGGCTGCTGGGACAAAACCCCTAAAACCTCAGCATATAAAAGATTTATAAAAAGTCTTTCAAGCAGATTGGTAGCTTCCTCTATTATCTAGTTGCCTGACCCCAAGTTAGCTTTCCTGGGAGCAGACAGTCATTCTGTAAAACCTTCTATAGAACTGAACCTCTTAGATCTCAGTTAAGCTGAGTTTCATATAAAAGGTGACAGGTCCTTGGGGCTGAGAGCAGGATTTCACTTTTTTGGCTTGGCTTTTTTAGCACAGTTCACATGATTAGCATTAAAGAGGAGAACAAAGGATGAGAAGAGGTAAGGTTCCCAGGCTAGGTCAGGCTCAGGACAACTTTTTGCTGCATGGTGCCGAAAATGGGTAGATTGTTTTCTTGCTGTTAGTTGGCTGAGGTATATCAAACCTTGAAACTGCCCAATTTTATGGAACAAAAGATCACACAAGCCTAAGAGAATCAATAAATAAAGTGCTGGCAATAGAATTTCTTCCAGTGAAACAGGCACATTGAATTTCTCAGGAAATGATTTCAATTCCTAGAGAAAACTGTATTCAGCTTCTTGATTATTGTACAATTTATCTCAGGGGTTTTTCATTCTCTTTGGAGTAAAGTGTTTGCTTTCCAGAGAAAACAGCAAACCATTAATTAAAGCTGCTTCAAAGCAGTAAAATAGTAGACCAAAGCAAACTGGTATGAAGTATGTAGACTCTGCTGATTAGAGTTGTTTCTAATAAAATGCATCTTGGAAAAAGGTAATATATTTGTTAAGAAACTCAGCCAGATGAATAGAAAAATATAGAAAACAGTATTTTCTGACTGTAGCAAAGATAATACATTATTTTGCTCTGAGGGTCCAGAGCAAGTAGGGTGCTAATGGCCATGTGAAACATTTTGGCCTTTAGCTATGGGAAAATAAAAAGCTTTTGAAGAGTTCTGTGTGGGGTGGGGGTGTAATATAACTAGATTTGCATTTTGAAAAGGTTATTCTGGTACCATGTGGAGAATGGATTGGAAAGGGGCAAAGGTAGATAGGAGAAGCTAATTAGGAGAATGCTGCAGTAGACCAGGCTAGAGATAATGGCATATTTGGGGCTTAGGGGACAATAATGGAACCAGAGAAAGGTGAAAAAAATTCAGAGAGACTTGGGAAAGAATACGAAATAACTTATTAATGACTTGAATATGGAAGGAGGTATTAAGAACTCCTAAATTATCAATGCTTGGAGCAACAAGGTTATATAGCTTTTAAACATTTAGCATCCATTGATTTGATTGATTGATTGATAGGCTCTAGCTAAGCTCTGCAGGCTGGAGTGCAGTGTTGGGATCACAGCTCACTGCAGCCTACATTGTCTGGGCTCAACAATCTTCCCACCTCAGTTTCCCAAGGAGCTGTGACCACACACGCACACCACCATGCCTGGGTGATTTTTTAAAAAATTTTTTGTAGAGATGGGGTCTCCCTCTGTTGCCTAGGCTGGGCTTGAATTTCTGGGCTAGAGTGATCCTCCCACCTTGGCCTCCCAAAACTGTTGGAATTACAGGAGTGAGCCATCATGTCCAGCCCCTTTTCAATCTTTAAACTGTGTTTTAGATACAAATGTTCCCAGCTGACACTTTGCAAAAATTATAAATTGCACTAAAATGTGGAGATTTGGGGAAGAAATCTGTCCTGGGAAAGCTTAGAAGTTAAAAATCAATATTGAAACATACTTTTATTTATTTACAAAACTTGGTATAAAACTTAGTTCTCTAAGATCATGCCAATAGTCCACTTTATCTCCAACACTTAATTCCAGTTTAATGAAGGAATTGGATGATTACTTCAGAATTTTGAAATAAAAAATTATCCTGAATAAGAAAAGTTAGTTACTTTCTGCTATTTTAAAGTACCAGAATTTATAAAATACACTTACCCTGAGATCTTCTTGGTCAAAGTTTCATAGTATCATAAATTCTGGTAAAGCTGATATGTCACAACTATTTTTGGAGTCCATGTCACCTCTGATGTCTATTTCTGGTTGCCGTGGCTATGAGAAGTGGGTGTCCCAGAAATAGGATGACTTACATTTTTGTTTACTCATGTTATCTTGACTCTACTTTTTAATAAACATTGCTGTTACTATAAAAAATATCTCAGTTTGGGCTGGGTGTGGTGGCTCAAGCCTGTAATCCTAGTCAGACCCTATCAGTGCTCCTCAAAGCTCAAGTCCATCAGTGCAGGGCCATACAACTAATACCCCTACTTATAGGGTTAGGAATGGCTACTGCTACAGAAACCAGAATAGTAGGTTTATCTACTGCATTATCCTACTACCACACACTATCAAAGGATTTCTCAGACAGTTTGCAAGAAATAACAAAATCTATCCTTACTCTACGGTCCCAAATAGACTCTTTGGCAGCAGTGACTCTCCAAAACCGCTGAGGCCTAGACCTCCTTACTGCTGAGAAAGGAGGACTTTGCCCCTTCTTAGGGGAAGAGTGTTGTTTTTACACTAACCAGTCAGGGATCATACGAGATGCCACCCAGCATTTACAGGAAAAGGCTTCTGACATCAGGCAACACCTTTCAAACTCTTATACCAACCTCTGGAGTTGGGCAACATGGCTTCTCCCCTTTCTAGGTCCTGTGACAGCCATCTTGCTATTACTCGCCTTCGGGCTCTGTGTTTTTAACCTCCTTATCAAATTTGTTTCCTCCAGGATCGAGGCCATCAAGCTACTGATGGTCTTACGAATGGAACCCCAAATGAGCTCAACTAACAACTTCTACCGAGGACCCCCTGGACCAACCCACTGACCCTTTGGCTGGCCTAGAGAGTTCCCCTCTGGAGGACACTAACACTGCAGGGCCCCTTCTTCGCCCCTATCCAGCAGTAAGTAGCTAGAGCGGTCATCACCCAATTCCCAACAGCAGTTGGGGTGTCCTGTTTAGAGGGGGGATTGACAGATGAAGCCAGTTGGACTTCCTGGGTCAAGTGGGCACTTGGAGAACTTTTCTGTCTAGCTGGAGGATTGTAAACGCGCCAATCAGTGCCCTGTGTCTAGCTAGAGGATTGTAAATGCACCAATCAGCACTCTGTAAAATGGACCAATCAGAGCTCTGTAAAATGGACCAATCAGCAGGACATGGGCAGGGACAAATAAGGAAATAATAGCTGGCCACCCCAGCCAGCAGCGGCAGCCTGCTGGGGTCCCATTGCACATTGTGGAAGCTTTGCTCTTTCGCTCTTCACAATAAATCTAGCTGCTGCTCACTCTTTGGGTCCATGCCACCTTTAAGAGCCGTAACACTCACCATGAAGGTCTGTGGCTTCATTCTTGAAGTCAGCGAGACCAAGAACCCACTGGAAGGAACTAACTTCAGACACACTAGCACTTTGGGAGGCTGAGGTGGGTGGATTGCCTGAGCTCAGGAGTTCGAGACCAGCCTGGGCAACATGGTGAAACACTTGTCTCTACTAAAATACAAAAAATTAGCTGGGCGTGGTGGCACACGCCTGTAATCCCAGCTACTCAGGAGGCTGAGACAGGAGAATCATTTGAACCTGGGAGGCAGAGGTTGCAGTGAGCCGAGATCATGCCACTGCACCCCAGCCTGGGCAACAGAGTGAGACTCCAGCTGAAAAAAAAAAAAAAATCTCGGTTTTGGGGGCTAACTTAAATGGACATCTGACCACGAGATCAAAAAGGAATTTCAGCATAAAGGAAAGTTACTGGTCAGCAAGTAATCACGGCTTTTGGTAGGCAACATATTATATGGTAATTATCTCATTTGCTTCATATTTAACATCATAAAGATGGCCCATTCTGAAATTTTATTACCAAATATCGATTATAATAGTTTTATGATTTCATTAGACAAAACCAGTGCACACTAGTTAATGTTCTGTGGTGGCTGTAGAGATTCTGTGGTTAACTACAACTGAAAACTTAATCTCTTTTGGAAAACATAGAAAAACAATTTTTGCTAGGGAGCTAAGCCTGTTTATGGGAACTATGTGAACAGTGAGGAGAAAGCCTAGAGGTGTTTGCTAAATTTACTAAATGAGAGGGGCAGGAGAGTAATAGACTATAACAGAAGTCTTAGAATGGCTTGCTTTTTTTTGTTTTTTTTGCTTACTCTCTCCTGGGAGTGCTCTTTAAGGGTTTTTTTCTGAAGGCTAAGTAGAAACAAAAAGAACAATCCTATAGCGTTCTTTGAGCAGTTCACCTAGTTATGGACAAGGGAGATGAAAAGGGTTACAGGATTCTAGACAAGCCCGTCTATGAATTTTAAGGGAAAACCAAGCCAATGGAGGGCACTGAATTTTGAAATGCTGTCTGGTTGTTTCAGTTCATATTTTAATTAAATACAGTAAAAAATAGAAATGGGGAAACATCTGTAAACCTTCAGGAAATAATTATCTCTTGAGTAATAATGGAAGATACTGGCAGTCCAACAACTGATGCCAGAGGGATTTGATTGCTGTTTTGGTGGAACCACAGAATTAATTGATAACGGAAGTGCTGCAGAGACAATATCCTTTGTTTTTTGGTGAAGCACACAGAAAAGTATCTTGCAAAGTTTTCACACACAAATGTGGATCGAATAGGGACTGAGTCACATGAATTGAAAGCTTGTGAAAGACAATTGCTGAAGGGGATTGTGACCTAGACAGGCACCCACTTTGGTGTTAAGTCTTTCCTTAACTATTATTGAGTTAGAAGAAGACTGTATTGCAATCATTTTTTTTAGATATTAATTAAATGGACTATGTTGCACATACCAAATAATCTAGTTGATTTGTGACATCATTTGACAGTCTGGTCTGTAGCAGAAGAAGTCAAATGAGAATGGAGTTTGAAAATCCAAAGGGACTTCTCAAATTAAAAGAAATTGAATAATTATAGAAGTAATATATTTATTATACAAATATTGGAAAATGTAGAAGTTTCAAAAAAAATTGAAGTCACCCAAATCCACTTTCACTCCTTTCTGTTTGAGAAATTCAGTCTAGCTACCAAAACTAATTTTAAGTAGCTAAATTCTTATTACTCTCCCCTTTATTTTTCTCTCTTCTAACCTCACACATTTCAGTTACCGCTTCTTAATACTCCCTACCCCATTATATTAGGTTGATGCAATAGTAATTACAGTTTTTACCATTCGACATACATATCTGAAATTGTAATTGTTTATTCATTAATTCAGCAAATACATAATGAGTACCACAGCAGGTGCTGGGGCATAATTTAGACACAGATTTGTATTCTAGCTTCTCCATATAATATTATATCACAAGCAGTTTTCAATATACTTATTTTTCAAACATGTGCTTTTAATATTTTATTATATGGTTATATCTTATTTATTTCTACCCCTCACCTATTGTTGGAAACTAACTTTTACTATTTTCAATAATTCTGTAATAAACATCTTAAACCATGTATTTCTTAGTATCTCTGATTTATTTCCTTAGGTTACAGTCCTGAAGACTCCAGAACAATAATACTATATTACAAGATTACTAGAATGACAGGTAAGGCCCTTGTTACATATTGCGAAATATCTTTCTAGAAATCTTTCCAGAAGTTTTTATGAACTTTCCTTCCCACAATCAGTGCTATTTTAATCCAGCTTTGCCAATGTTTAGTATCTCACACATTTTAGTTGCCCCTGTTTTGATTAAATTTTGTTAAATAAAAAGTATGCTTCTTATTTTAATATGTATTTCTTTGATTACTAGTGAGGTGAGGAAAAAAACCTTTTTTCTTTTGATATTTGTCTGAAAAAAGATATATATATATTTTAAAGTGTATATATATGTATATATATATACATATACACACACACTACTGATACTTGAAATATATATGTATAAAAAACTTTAAACTAATAGTTCTCCTAGGGGACATTTGGCAATGTCTAAACACATTTTTGGTTGACACAACCGGAGGTGGAGGACAGGAGAGGTGGGTGGGGTGGGATTGCTACTGATATCTGCTAGGTACTCCCCACCCTCAAGAATATCAGGTCCTAATATCAGTAACACTGAGGTCAAGAAACCCTGCATTAAACTATTCACAATTCTTTTTGGAATTTGTGATAAGATAAGCTTGAATAATTCTTCAAATAGAGTGTGTGTGTGTCTCTTTTTATGCACGTATGTCTTGGCTATTTATTCTCTTCCACTTCTGCAGAAATTGAGTTTGGTGCCACTACCATATGGCTCTAATTATTATTGCATTTAAAAATGTATTAATATTTTATTGGGCTAGTCTGTTAACCAATAAATTATTTTGGAAGACTTAATGTCAATATAATATTCAATTTCCTCTATCACATTTGTAGAATATCTGTGTGTTTATTTCAATTGTCTTTGTAAATTCCCCAATCATGTTTCATAATTTTAATAAATAGCTGTACCCATTTCTTGTCCACAATTTTAAAGTATTTCCTCTTAGTATTGTACATGTGATTTTTCTGACCACTTTTTAAAA
Organism: Homo sapiens; assembly: GCF_000001405.40. NCBI lineage: Eukaryota > Metazoa > Chordata > Mammalia > Primates > Hominidae > Homo > Homo sapiens. The sequence continues at coordinate 47,517,824 of NC_000013.11, read as the reverse complement.
ACAGAAATGTAGTCTAAGATGTAACATATTTCCGTAATATGGTATATTAAAAATTACCGTGATTTTATTTTGTAGATCTATTTTTTAACATGATGCTGTCTAAATAATAACAATATAAAAATCCCCATGTGCTTAAAAAAATCAATGTAAGTTTAAGTCAAGTAAAATGTGTACATTGTTTTTCCTATCCACTCCTAATCCCATTCCTCACTGTAGAAGACCGTTTATATATAACTAAGGACTGAGTCTTCCTCCTTTTGTTACATATTTGCAAACATCACATTAAATGTAGATATAAGAAATATTTTTTACACAGATAAAATTATATCCTATATATTAAAAAGCCCATTGTTTCTTAGTGTATCTTAATCATTTTACATATGCATGTATGAATATACATTTATCTGCAGATGGCAGAATAGTCAGATGTCCAAAGTCCTAATCCCTGGAGCCTATGTTACCTTCTATGACCAAATGGGCTTTGCAAATATGACTAAGGTTGAGATGGGGAGAATATCTTGGATTTTCTAGGTGAGCCCAATCTAATTGCACCAGTCCTTAAAAGTGGAAAATTGAGGCAGAAAAGTAGGAATGAAGCAATGTGAGAAGGATTTGCCCTTCTCTTTCTGACTTTGAACATGGAGGAAGGAGCCAATGAAGGTAGCCTTCCAAAGTGAGAAAAGGCAAGGCAACATTCTCCCCTGCAGCCTCCAGAAAGAAACACCGCCCTGCCAACATCTTGATCATAGCCCAGTGAGACTTGTGTTGGACTTTTGATTTACAGAACTGTAGGAAATTATTATGAGGCCAAGTCTGGCTTAGTGGAAGAGGCTGCAGGGATTAGAGATGTCTGCAATTAATGCAGGACTGGAGGAGTGGCGGTACACCACATTCTTGCATGCTAGGCAAACCCCACTTCCCAAAGGTCACTACCACATAGAGTCATCATGAGAGGCAAGTGGAAAGTAGAGATTATTGGTCCTTCAATGTCTTTTTTGGTGACGGCTGTAGCGACAAAGCCTTAAAGAGTTGGAAGCACGGATGCTTAGCTGGTCATAGAGCCAGCTATAGGGATCTCAAATAGTGAGTCATCCATCAGATTCTTAGAGGTCAGCCTTGTCCAGCAAACAACATTACAATTTCTCCAAATTGAGAAACTACCTGAAGAAGTGAAGTAAAATAAATGGATCAGAATTTTCAAGTTTGACAAAAGAAACAGTAGAGTTGGAGTAGTAGGTAGGAGGCTAGGAAGAAGTTAATAAATAATATGTTTTTGGAAGTTGCTAATGGTGATCAATAAAAATGTTTTCAGTTGTCATTTGAGCACTTGAAAAGTTTTTTCATAAATATTTTAGAGGAGAGAAAGATTGTTGGGATAAATCAGTTTCCTTGAAGAGTAAAAGCCAAATGTCAAATCATGTAACTAGAAAATATGAAAAAAAGCAAGTTCAAAGTCTGGAAAAATTAAACTGTATGTAAGAGATAAATCAAGTGAAGTGAATATTTAAAAAATATTCTATATATATGTCAAGTGAATATTGATATATATATATGTTCTATATATAGCTAGTGAATATTATATATATATCTTAACTATTGAGAATAAAATAGAGCCATAAAATAGGCATTAAAGATTCACAGAAGGCCTATAATGGATTGCATACATCACATTATTATGATAGCAAATATAGCAAAACATGGAATGGATTTAGTTACACACTTTGAATCAGAAATGGAAAAGTTTCTGTTTCAAGTTGCTGAGTACATCTACATGATGCTTTTTGGTAAGTCTAAAGTGTGATAAATTTCAAAGTCTGAAATAGGATGTGAGAAATTGTATAATATCATTACATGCTTTGAGTTATTTAAGTTTGGGAGGGAAATTTTGAATTATGTACTTTAATGCATTTCTGAAGAGACATTTATTGTATACTTTAATAGAAAGGTTTGGAAATTGGAATCCAATGACCTAGGTTTGAAGTTGGTGTTGTCACTTAACTTGCAGTGTGACCTTTGACAGGTCTGTTAAATACTTAGCCTTCAATTTTCTTATTGATACAATAAAGAAGAAGCTAGATAGAAGGGAGATTTAGCTGTAGTATAGTAACCAGTGAGTATTTACGGTTGCTTTCCCTGACTGGCTGGTCTTGATTAGCAGGCAACTGTCCCTTGTTCTGCACAATGCAAACTCATCTATAATGGCACAAAACAGAGCAATCGTTGCCTGGGTAGAAGGTAGGGTGTGGGGGAGGATACAAAGATGTGCAAGGAAAATTTTGGGTCTGATGAATAGGTTCATTATATTAATTGTGATGATTGTTACACAGGTGTATACGTATGTCCAGATTTACTCAGTTTGCTGAGTGTCAATTATACTTTAATAGTTTTTTACGCTGTCTGAAGGACTTCTTTTTGGCATTTCTCATAGTGTGGGTCTGCTGATGATTAATTCTTTCAGCTTTTGAGTGCCTGAAAACATATTTATATTATCTTCATTTAAAGAGATATTTTCACTGGGTATAAAATTCTACATTGATAGTTTTATTATTTTACTACTTTAAAAATGCCGCTTCAATGTCCTCTCACTTGCAATGTTTCTGATCAGAATTATGCCATTGTTTTTATTTTTGTTCCTCTTTACATAACATGTCTTCTCTTTTTTTCTGCTTTTAAGATTTTTCCTTTTATCACTGATTTGGTGCCATTTCATTATGGTTATGATATGCCTTGGCATAATATTTTCGATGTTTCCTGTGCTTGGAGTTTCAGTTCTGTGAGTTTACAGTTTTTTCATCAAATACAAAAAAGTTTTCTCCATTATTTCTTCAAACATTTTTTTCTATCCCCCTTGTCTTCTTTGGGTATTTCAACTTCATGTATATTAATCTATTTAAAGCTATCTTACAGCTCACTGATACTTGGGGGGGTTTTTTCTAATTTTTTTAAATATGTAGGTTAGCAAACAAAGATAAATAAAATTAACATAGATTTTATTTCTTTATCTTCATGTTTACTAACCTTCTGCAAGATCTGATTTTCTATCAATCTCATCCATTGTATTTTTCATCTCAGTTGTAATTTTCCCCTCTAGAATTACTAATTGATTTTTTCATGGTTCTGCTAAACTTCTTGAACATCTTAAATAGTTATTATAACTGTCTTAATGTATTTTTCTGCTAATTTTAACATTTAACATTTGTGCCAGTTCTGGACCAATTTAGATTGGTTTATTTTTCTCCTCATTATAGCTATATTTTCCTACTTCTTTGGTGTGCCTGGTGATCTTTGATTTTTGTATTCCTGTAAATATGCTTGAGCTTTTTTTGGTATGTATTTAAAGTAGTTGGAAAGTGATTTTTTGTGCGTGTGGAGGATGGGTTGCTTGTATGATTTAAGTGGGACCAGAGCAGCATTTAGTCTAGGGCCAAATATTGCCTGCTAGTAAGACAAGACCCTTGTGAGTAATCTACCCAATACTCTGTGAATTATACATTTTCTAGTTTGTCTGGTGGGACATGTAGATCCTTTGTTCCTTTCTGCCTCTTGTTGTCTTTCTTTGTGATTAGATAATTTTCTGTAGTGGTATGTTTTGATTTCTTTATCTTTTGTGTATCTTATACAGGTTTTAGCTGTGGTTATTGTGAGGCTTACATGTAACATCTTATAAGTAAAAGCATCTATTTTAAGCTTATAACAATTTAATGTTAATCCAATGGTGGATTGAAGTATCAGTCCAGTATTTGTTCCATTGGATTTTATTTAAAAAATACCATGTCATTGAGCATCGGTTATCACAAATGTTGATGAGCTCCTATAAGATTCCTATGGGACTCCAATCACTTCTGAATCTTGGTGTTCTGACACATACCTAGAAAGAAAATTTAAAGGTATCTTTGATAGTTAAATATTTTTTAAAAGAAAACTCGTATAACCTAAAAAGAAGTAGAAATGGATCTCAAAAATAATATGATCTCAACTCAAATGTCCAAAGGTTCAAATAAAATTTTTAAATCAATTCAATGGATTATTAAACACTATTTGGCAAGCATGAATATTATGGGTAAGGTAACAACATAGAAGACAATATAAATTTAAATGCAAAATAAAATTCACATTTCAAAATTGAGATAAACTTTTTTTGGTGTCATAGTGATTTTATTATTTTTACAAAAATTTAAGTGCTTTAAATATGTTATTTAAAATTGTGGCATCAAAAAATACAACTTTGGGGGTAAATAACAATGGCTAGAATGTATAGAGCACTTTAGAGCTTTCACCAACATTATCTTGAGTATCAAGGATAAACCTGGAAGCAGAGTAATGTCAGCAAGATGGTGGAGAAGGAGGTCTCAGCCTTCATTCTTCTGACAAAGAACAATTAAATAGCTATTCACAAACACAAATAACTCTGGAAAAACCCCAGAGTCCACTTAAGCAGTTACGGTGGAAGAAATAATCCCAAAATTACTTCACAAAAAGGCTAAGAAGGACAGTTTCATTTTGACTCCATCTCCTTCCCATCTTCCAGGCCAGCACTGCTCAGCACAGAGCAGGAATTCCATAGCTTGCAAGTTCCCTTCACAAGGAAAAGGAGAGTTGGGTAAAAAAGCAGCTTCCCCAGCTTTTCAGGGCACTGACTGAGTGACCAGCTACAGTTTCACCCCACCCGGACTGCTGGGGAGACTGGCATGGCTGAGACATCTGAAGATGCCAGGGTATAAAGAAGAAAGATAGATGCTATCGTTATCAGCCAGATGCTGGGAGCCACAGCAGTCTTCAATGGCCTGCTCTGCATAGGTCTCCAGCAAATCTTCCCCACAAGGCACCTCAACAGCCCGTACGGCCACCACACACTCCCCACAGCTTTCACCGCCAAGAACCCTGCAATGTGCTCTTTAGCAGACCCCAGCAGCTTGCTCTAGAGGACTCCAGCAGCTTTAGTAAGGAAACCAATAGCCAGCACAGCTGCAGTGGACCACCTACAGCCTTCACCACGGAGGGCCACGCAGCTTTTCACCTTCATCGTCTTCAGGTACCTGAGTCACCATCTCTCTCTGTCTCCTTTCCAGAGTCACCCCAGCCGCTGCTGACCCAGGAACCTCAGCCCAGAGACCCTACACTGCCAACACATACATGCCTGCATATAGCCTTGAGCCCTAGCCCCCACTTCCACATGCGTACTTGTGCCTGACCCCTTGTATTAGTCAGGGTTCTCTAGAGGGACAGGACTGGACTAATATGGGTGTATATATAAAGGGGAGTTGATTAAGGAGTATCGACTTACACAATCACAAGGTGAAGTCCGACAATAGGCCGTCTGCAAGCTGGAGAGCAAGGTAAATGCAACTCCTCTGCATTTTTCAAAATCTGTGCATACTCAAGCCCTGAGGTCAACCCTCCAGAATCTGTATATGTGAAAATTTGGCCCTCTTTGTACGTGGGTTTTGCATCCTACAAATACTATAGTTTCAGTCTGTGTTTGGTTGAAAAAAATCCCCTTATTAGCAGACCTGCACAGTTCAAACTTATGCTGTTCAAGGGTCAACTGGATTTGATTTTTAAAACCATTGTTATTAAAATGACTTTCACCTATTAATTTATATGTTTTCTTAATGTGGCCATTAGAAAATTTAAAATTACTGTGTGGCTTGCATTCTATTTCTGTTGAGCAGTGTATGCAGCCTTAGAGTCTGAGGAAGGTTTGCTTTAGATAGTATAAGGGAAGATAATTTAATAAAACTAAATAAATCCTGAACAAAGATGTAAGCAAATCCAGGAAGCACAGTTAATTATCCCAGGCTGAACCATAGTACATTTCTCATCATATGTATACAGTGATTCCTGGTGTATGCCTTACTCCAATGTAGAAAACTATCACATTTTATGCTTCAGAGCAGGATTAGAATAGGATTCTGGAGTAAGCAAATGCAGAGAAGGGATGGGTACACTGAAGCTCATTGAACTGGCTTAAACAGGCCAAAAGGGTAATTGTGTGTTAGATCATCAGCCTATAGTCTGCATGTGTGTATATGTTGTTATTGAGATCTGCAGTAAGAAGCTTCCTGGGGAAACACTGGAAATGATGGGATTTTCCATGCATAATATATATAAGTTGTCTCATCCTGGCATCTGTTAGCTGCGTGAGATTAGGGCAGTTACAATATCTCAATGTTCTCATCATTAAATAAAAACCAACCTCACAGCAAAGGTGCTGTGAGAGTTAGAAACAAGCATTTCTAGCATTGTGCCTGGCACACAATAAATACCCCTTGGGTTGTATATTAGGATGAATCAGCATGTGTTCAGGGTTTCTGAGGAGGGCAGAAGGGGAGGACACAAAGTCCATGCCAGGCTCAAACTGTGATCCTCTCTGCCTCGTCTGTGACCTTTGACAAGTCACTAATGCTCTCTCATCCTTGATGTCCAAATGCATAAAATTGGGTTAATGACACCTTATCGGAAGAGGCAGGAGTGGCAGAAACAGGAGTGTGTGCCCTGAGGTGTCAGTTACCCAAGGCATTGTAAGTAGCCTACAGTGACACCAGGTATCAGTTCCTGGCAAGGATACATAGACGTCAAATCGTTAGGCAGAAATTTAAATTTTACTTCTATGTGGTCATCATAACCCTTGAATCTGGCAAGATTCTCTTTGCTGTTGCTAAAAGCTGACCCAGGACATGTCTGTACATTTCATATTTTTCCACCAAGTGTGCCAATTTACTTAAGGTTTCCTACTGAAGAGGTAAAATGAACACTGATCTTGCTATAGAATCAGTCATCATAAAGCCATTTATTAAAAAGCTAAACTTAAACTATTTTATATTATATCATGTATGCCAACTGATAAAGGGGATTACTTTACCAAGGATAGTCAAAGTGCTTGACTCTGAGCCTTTGACCTTGGTCTAGGAAGGGCCAAGAGCAACATCAGAGCGTTTCTAGAGCAGGTTCCTGAGGTGCTCTCAGGTGAGAAGGAGCCAGCCTGCCTGTGGAGTTGTGACAGCCTTTATGGGATGAGAACTTTTACTTTGCAGAGTCAGATGTAAATGTTTTCTTTCTTTTTCATTTTTTGGGTATTTATTTCTTTTATTTTTCCTTTTAACTGGGTCAATTTCTCTTTGAAAATGCCAATGTGTTTTCTTTAAAATAGCCTAAAGAGAAGTTTCTTCTTTGTTTAGGGTGAAATTAAGGTAAATCAAAAGTTATTATTTTTTGAAAGTATGTAACTAATACATGTTCATTGTAGAAAATTAGAAATCACAGAAAAGTAAATAAGAAAATGTAAATGAACAGTCCATCATCCTGATGCAACTATCGTTAACATCATGTTGTGTTTCTCCATAAATATTTTTATGGCTATGGCTCTCTTTCTCTCTCTATATATATATATCCACACATACATACACATATATATATAATTTTTAGAAAGTTGGAATTCTATATACAAAACAAATCACACAATGATTATACTACAGAACAATTCCTGGAAGATAGTAGGCATCTAATAAATATTGGAAGGATAAGTATATTCTTTATATCTTTTAAAACATATTATCTCATATATATTTTATTGCATTATTAAATATACCTTGAAAAATATAATTTTTAAATGGCTGCCAAATATATTTTTTAAGTAATAAGCAAAATTTATTTAATCAACTCCTTACTATTAGTCACTTAAAGTTTTTCATTTCTAAATTGCTAAAATGAACATGTCTTGTCTAAATTGCTAAAATGAACATGTCTTGTATATACTAACTATCATGTACAGCTCCAATTTCCTTAGAATAAATTCCTAAAGTGAAATTTTGGGGGGTCAAAGAATATGAACATTTTAAACCTTTTTATAACCTTTTTATAAATTGTCTTCCAGAAACTTTTGTTTAAAAATTACTAATTTTACTGCAGTTAGACCAATAAGTGGGTCTTGTAATGCAATTTAACAAGAGAAACATTCTCATTATATTAGTTTTTACTTCTGTGATTACTAACATGTCTGAATAATTTTTTCTTTTTCTTTTTTTTTTTTTTGTAGAGACACAGGGTCTTACCATGTTGCCCAGGCTTCCATAAATTTTCTTTTCTTTTTCTTCTTTTTTTTTAATGAATCATATATTTTTAGGTAAATTTTCTAATACTCTTTGCTTGTTTCGCTCTTGGCTTCCTAATCTACTTCTTTCATTTATTAAAATCTCTTTATCCCTAAGTGGTTCTATTATAATTTTTTTTTGGCAATGCAATGATGTTTTTACTTTTTATGTAATCAAGACTGTCATTCTTTTTCTTTATGATTTTTACCTTTTGTGCTTTAAAATAGCTTTCTGTGCCACGAAACCCATTTATTGTTCAATTATTACAATTTTTTTTTCACATGCAAGTTTTCAATCCACTTCAGTCTCATTTTGGTGTAAGAAAGGGCTAACACTTTTCCTCTAGTAGTTAATCATTTATCTCCATATGATTCATTGAATAATCCATCCTTAATGGGTTAAGTGTCACTTTTATCATAATAAACATTTGTAGGAAGGAATTGAGCTGCTGATAATCTTTCTGTTCAGTTCGATTGATCTGCCTATCCATTCTTAAGCTAGTACAAAACTATTTAGGTGTTTGTTTCAAGTCATTTCTCTTTCTTTAAAAATAAATGGTTTTTGGCAAGACATATTGCCTTCACTTCTCTCCTCCCTCTTCCTCGCAGAGTACCTCCCCACTAATCTCAAGTCCTGACAAGTCTACCTTTGAAATACCTTTGAGTCTTCCACCTCTTTATCTTCCCACTGCTTATGAGTACTCAGGCCACCAACACTTCTCCACTATTAATTGATCGCCCTAGCTCCAAGCTTACCACATCTCATTTGTTTTCTACTCTACAGCTAGTGATCTTTCTAAAATGCAATCTAACTATATGTCTCATTTTCTCAAAATCTTGAATGAATTCTCATTGGCATTATGCTCAAGTTGAAACTTCTTCAACTTATGGTCCAATCAGTTAGTGTTTTGTTGGCAAAAATCTATTTCCTACTCTGCACCTAACAATAGCCATGCCTCTTCTGACTTGGCAGAATAAGGGTGAGCTTGGGCGGGTGAATGGCTCTCACTTCTGTCTGTTTTGGTGATATCATATGGTTCTGACACTGGGGAATGTGCTAGCTGAAGTATGGTAACTGGAGGCATGAACACATGCTGTGCTTCTCTGCTATAGTGATTTTCAAACTTTTCTATGCGTGTGCATTGCCTGGGGATTGGTGTTAATATTCAGGTTCTGATTCAGTAGGTTTGGGGCGTAGACTGAAATTCTGCATTTCTAACAAGCTCCCCGATGATAATAATGCTGCTGGCCCAGGACCACACTTTGAATTCCAAGGCATCTAGCAGGTGCCTGGTAAATGTTTGCATTTTGTTTTCTTCTTTCTCTTAGTGCATTCTAGAGGATGCAATAACACAGTATTTCAGAGTATGTTAGTCTTTTTAGAAAATTATATTTAGAGACTGTATATTTTAGTTTAATTTCAAGTTTTGCTGTTATAAGTAATACCGTGAATTTGAACCTTTGGCCCATCTCATAGGGTTCCTGAGAAGGAGAAATATCATGTTAATAAAGAAATGAGAATGTGATGTACTGTGCTGTTAAGCTTTTGGATGGCTGTAATTTAATGGAGATATGAAAATGCATAAAGAAATGTGGACTGGACTTTACATTTTGATAATGAGCAAATAATCTTATGGTCAAAAGAAATGAAGATATTTTGGAGAGAAGGAAGGAAGCAATGAAGGGAGGGGGATATAGAAATGTGTATTGGTAACTTCTAAAGTTATGATTTATATTTGAGAGGAAGTACAGAGTAATGGTTAAGCGAGAGGGGTCTTCTCAAGTTAGAATTCTAGCACAGCCACCTAGCTGTGACTATGGGCCTAGTACATCACTAGCTGTGACTGTGGGCCTAGTACACCCCTTTCTTCTTTCTCAGTTTTGTCATCTATAAAATGGGAATTATGAGAAAATCTTTCTTATAGGGTTGCGGCAATTAAATGTTAGTTGAAAACAATTAAAATAGGTCTATTTAGTACTCAACAAATAATAGCTATTATTTGAAATGAATATGATACCACCCCAGAGAATACTGCATTTCAGCCCCTGGAAGCAACCAATCATTTGGTTGTTGTTACATTTTAATCTTGCAAACTCATATAATACTTATAACTCATGTTTGTAAATCATCATGTCATTAATTTGAATTTGAAACTACCTGCTCCAAATGGAGGTAGCCACCTGACTGCTAAAAGGGAAGAGAAATATACATGTATATTGTGTTTTTACCGGGCAAGGGACAAGTGACTGTCTCAAAACACCCCACGTTGAGGTAGATGACACCCCAGGATAAGATTGCCCTATCACAGAGTTATAGCACTTTCAAATGCATTGCCCATTAAAATAAATCTAGAGCATGTCAAGTTATGTTTTCCTATCAATGATTGACAGTGCAGAGGTTGTTAAAATGACTGTACATCTTTATTAGGTGTGTAAAGGTAATTTAAATATTATTCTGGGTGCATTTTTTAAGTCAGAAGAAAATGAGGTTTGTAGACTCATTTGAAACAATCTGTACTACATGGAATTATGAGCCACATAAACTCGATGTGAATATTTATTTTGTGAACATCTGCTTGAATACAAAATATGTGGCTTAAGCAAATCTAACATGAAAAATACTGCAATCAAAACTAAAAGCATTTAAAAAGTACACTTTCTTGAAAGCAATGGATTTTATTTGCACATAGTTGATAAGGTTATAAAACAATGTTTAATAAGTAGCAAATGACAACAAAATGGATTTGCTGAGATAGAAAATACTAATGAGAACTGTATAAAGAATTGCACATCCTTTCCTTCACAGTACTTCAATCAACACTGAAGGCAAAAGATATTTGAGTAAAAACTTAAAACAGACTTACAAAATTTTAATTAAACAATTTTAAATCTTATTTTAAAAATAATACATATGCTTTGAAGAAAAATTTTAAAATACAGAAAAGTATAAAAAAGCAAACACTGTTTATAACACTCTTCCATAATGGTATTATATATTACACTATGATAGTTTTCTTATATAGTCACTGAATATATGATTTTTAATATGTGTGGTTTTATAATGATTTTAATTCCTTTATTTTGTCCAGCAGGAAATGTCAGTTGAGTCAAAATGAGTCTAATTGGCCTATCTGCAAGAAAATTCTAGGTTCAGGAGACTAGAGTTTAATCTTCTTTTTCTGGGAATCCACAAAATGTTAGAGTTTGTTGGAGAGCAAGAAGGTGTTTTGTCCTATCAATTGTCTAAAGTTTACACTAGAGATAGAATTGTAGTAGCATGGCCAGAAATATTTAAAGGCCTGGAAACACACTACTGAAGTTTCACATACACACTGAAAATGTCATTAAAGGTAGAGTTCTTAATCAAAATTGAGCAGTGTTACCCACAGAGGCAATTATATGTGTCTTGTTATGGTTTAAAGAAGTAACTGGTCAACTTGCTGATATGGAACATATTAGACTGTACAGCAGGCAGTGGTTATCAGTTGGCCTTGCCTTCTTAGAACATCAGTGACTTACTAGGCATCAGGTTCTACTTTAGATGCAGTGGAACTCTCCCATTTCACCTTTTCTTTCACTGCTCCCCGCCCCTCACACTATATGATATTCAAACCCTACATGTTTGTACTGCAAACCTACATGTCTGTACCGCAAAATAGCCTCTGGGATGTTTTCTGTTGCACTTTTACCAGACAGTCTTTTCCTATTTTCATTTCACAGATAAATCAGACTTTCAAAAAATGTATTTTATGTCTATTCTGGCAGTATGGATTCATCATCCACAACACTCACTGATGAAGTCAGCCAGTATTTCACCTACCCTGTCCTAATCATTGTTATGGGTGTTGAAGATACAGTGGTGAGCCAGGGAGATGAGGTCCCTGCTTCTTGGAGCTTGAATTCTAGTAGTGGGGGACAGAAAACATGCAAATGCATACATACATATGTACACACATACATTCAAATGGAAGACAATTGCCATTACCAGTAGGTGCAGAAACACTGAACAGAGTGATATGATGGACAGTGGGCAGTGGGTGAGCTACTTTTCTCAGGATGGTCCTTTTCTGCAGTGAACTGGGTTTCATTGTCGCTGCTGCAGGGAGGGGTTGCCCAACTTCATGGGCCTAGAATGCAGCTGTCCATCCTGCCTGATCCTGGAGACAGGGCTGCTGGGGCTTTGAGGTCCAGGAAGACTTACTGGAGCCTTTGTTTACTTTGCTTTATTCTTTTTTGTATGACAGGTTTCATGTGTCTCCACTATATTTGGTATTTATGTTATTTAATATCAGGAACATTTTTGCTCTGATCCACATGTATGATAATGAAGCATCGAGGCTGTGTTATTCATCCAATTTTGGGCTGTGGGACTAATGTGATGAAAGGTGGATACATAGGTTAGACATCCATGGGAACAGAATGGTGGTTGTGATCTCCAGTTTTTTTCTTCTTGCTTCCTTCATTTCTCTTGACTCTCTTTCTAAACATCTTGGGATTAGGTCCAGAATGCAAGAGGCTTGGCCCAGTGCAGTGGCTCATGCCTGTAACCCCAGCACTTTGGGAGGCTGAAGAGGGAGGATCGCTTGAGCTCAGGAGTTTGAGACCAGTCTGGACAGTATAGACAGATCCTGTCCCTTAAAAAAAAAATTAGCTGAGTGTGGTTGCACATGCCTCTATTCCCAGCTACTTGTGAGGCTGAGGTGGGAGGATCGCTTGAGCCTGGGAGGTTGAGGCTGCAGTGAACTATGATTGTTCCACTGCATTCTAGCCTGTGTGACAGAGGGAGACCCTGTCTCAAAATCAAAACCAAAAAAAAAATGCAAGAGGTCTAAGTGATCTTCCATGTTGGCACCATTAAATACCAGCTGCCCTCAAAAGAAAGAAATCCTGACTTTCTCCCTAGGGGACCACAGGGAGATGTCAGCAAATTCAGGCCTCAGTCTATCAGCTAGAATGCCTTTACAGGCATTCTACTTTTACATTATCCCATTCATGATGTAAAAGCTCTGTTTGATGTAGATTTTATTCCAGAAATATTCAGTGTTGATATTTTCCCTCTTTTATTTTAAAAGAGTATTAATAATTTACCTAAAAATAAGAATTATAATTAATAAGATAAAACATTCTATATTTAAAAACTCATCTCGATGTGAAGGCTTTCTTGTCTCCAACCCTGCTGTGACCCTTTCAAGGAATGATTGTTTTCCATTTGCCCATTCACCTTTCATGATCTTATTGACTGTTCTGCCAGTGGGGTACAGAATCATAAAGCAAATGACAAATTTTTTTTCAGAAACTCTAGGTGCAAAAGGTAAGAAACAAGCCATTAGGCAAAGAGGATCCAGCTTTAAACATTCTTTTTCGGATAGAGAACTTCAATAGAAGTAGTGTTTCCATTAGTTTTCTGGGATATTGAAGTTTACAGATCAAACTTTAATTTCAGATCAATACTTGTAGTCTCATAGTAAGTACAATTGAATACATATTTTAAGAAATTAAAAAACATGTATAATAATATAACATGAAAGCACTTATCCTGATAATTTTTTATGAGCTTTTATAATATGATCTGGGTTCATAAAAATCAAATCATAAAGAATAAGTACAGATAGGACATTTCATTTACAGTTCCATATTCATTTTATAATTATATATACATTAAAATATTCATGCAATTTTCAAACATTTTGGGGGCTGGCCAGAATGTTTTCAGAAAGAGAAATATGGAAAGTTAGGAAGTTATATTTGCTGGAATACAAGTATTCATATTTTTGGGTTTGAATTATGATGTACTCCGCCCATAACCACAATCGTATATTGTACGGTAGTTTCCATGGTGAAAATGAGATAAAACACATTTTCACCTTAAAGGATTAAAGTCCCAATTTACCGACAGATTTCTTTGTGATTCAACTGCAGTCAAGTAAGATTCCCCAGATATTGTACCATATGCTTTATCACCTTTTACTTTTTATTTAGAAATGAGAGTATGTAATAATCTTTTCAAAATTGCATCATACTGTGCTTTCACTAGAGTAGGGCGGTGGAATTATTACCTCCACCTGTTCTGCCAAACTGGGAGGTAATGGCTTTATGCCAAACTATTTAAAAGCTAAAAAGTTTCATCCAACTCCTGACTGTGGGCATGTTGCCATTACAATTCTTTTATTGTTCTCTCTTTATTAGTGCCTAATCATCAACCAACCTGGAAGAGACACTAAAGACTACTTTTGACACAAAGAGAGTTCCTTTCTTAAAAAGTAGGGGAACATTTTGCCTGAAATTCAAGGAATCTAAGAAGGAATCTCTCCTCAAATCAAGGAAATCACAACTGAAATGTGAAGTGGTAAAAAACCTACATCGCCACTCTTCCTCAAATTTCAGAAGATACTGTGTCTGAAAAAGAGTTAGTCACATAGTTTGTGAGTTCACTTACACCAATGGTTTTATTTTCCAAAGTCCACTTATTTCTCCAGCAAACCCCAAACGAAAGAATATATTAATTTTATATAGTATATTGGTGTTGTAAGTTGTCATGATGAATTTTTATCTTTAGTATGATCCAAGAGAGGAAACAGAAAATGCATATGTCCACATAGAGGTTGTCACAAGGAACTTAGCAGAGCTAGTCAGTCAGCACACAGGCACACAAACATTAACCATGAAATTTTCTGTTTCCAGTTTAGCAGTTTTAATTATTCACATTTTGACACATGAAAGTATGCAATTATAGAATATTAGCCTCATCAGCTTGTATAAATCAAGAAGTTTATTTTATCATGGTGAAACATTTTTCTTTCCTTTCAGGAAACATAGATGAAATGCACATAGGTTTAAGTGGAGTTATTCAGAATGAGAACTTTAATGTGAAATAGTGTGGACTTTGAATTACACAGAACCCAAGATATATATTTCACTCTTATATGGGGTTTTTAGTTGCTCCTTAGGGACAATCATAACCGTAGCTGCTTTCCTCTTTCTCTGCTCCTTGATCTTAGACACCAGGAACCATGAGTGAGGCCATTCACCTGGGTACTCTTGAGAGACCAGAGACCATAGTTTCTGTTTTTGAATCAATTATAGTGACCCACTCTGTCATGCCCAGCTTCTACCTTGGGGTCTGAACCCAGCTCCATATGGACTGAGAACTGGCATATTGGCAGGGAGACTTAATGCCCAATTATTTGTGCCTATTAAGAATCACTTTCACTTTTGACTGAGACCCTGATGGTCCCTCTCCTGTCTGTGCTGCTCTGCTTCTTAAAAGGGTTTTCATAATTTCCCCTCAAGCCTCATTAACTGTGGTAAGCCTAGTCCAGCTGATTCAGACAGCTCTTTCTCTGCCTCTAGCGTATTGTTTAGCTGGTAAATAAATTTCCCAACCTAATTTAGTGTGACAATCTTTTGTTCAGTAGCTGGTCCCATTTGGAGAAGGGGTCTTTCTTTTTTGCTTTTTGGCTGCCAGCAATTCATTTTAGGAGGTCAAGCTGTCATTTATTTACCTCTAGCACCAAGAAGGACTGAAACGAACATTTACACTAATTATCCACCATTTTTGGAGGGCTTCTCATCTTCAGTGACATTTCCTCTCCCCTCCCTTCCCCCACTCCACTCCCCTCCCCTCCTCTAATGTTGTCTTTATCCTGGTCAGCTGTACTCTCATCTTTTGTCTTCTTGTATCTCTTCCCATCTTGTATCTCTTCCCATCTTGTATCTGCCATCTTTATCTTTTTATCTTCATTCAAACTCTGCATAGGATTTCTTTGTAATGAGATCACTGAATCTGGCCTTGTAGTAATAGAAGCATATACTTACCTCGGTCTCAGTCTTTTTTCAGAAAGGACACTATCCCCAGGACTAAGGTGTTAAGTAGCTTCTCTCTGCCCATCCAGTCTGTTTTTCTAGGGTCTCTTTGGTTTTAAAACTTTTAGGAGTTTTGTCAGTGAAGAGATGATGTTTAGGCTGAGACATGAATGAAAACACGTCAGCTGTGCAAAATCTGAGAGGAAAGGTATTCTACACATAACAGACTGCAGGGGCAAAGGTATGAGCCTGGAGTTTTGGAAGAAAAACCGCAGACCATGGGACTGGAGTGCAATGAGTTAAAAGGAGGAAGAAATATGTGACGAGGCTGAAGGAGGAGGCAAGGGACAAATATTACAAAGTGTGGCCAACAGTGGAAGGAGTATTAATCTAACTATTTGGTATGACAGAAAGTCATTGGAGAGCTTTATACATGAGTGATGCCATCACTTTGTTTTTAAAAGCATTGAAGCAGAGTTGTGTGGGGCATAGGCTGAAGGATACAGGAGTGAAGCAGTGAGATCATTTTAAGGTCATTGCCATAGTATGGGGGCAGCAGGTGATGCTAGGATTAGAGGGAGAGCAGTGGCAGTGGGGAGAAATGGGTGGATTAGAGAGATACATTGTGTTTAGAGCTGGCAGAACTTGCTGCTGGATTGATTTTGGGGTAGGAAACAGATGACATCTAAGTTTTTGCCTTATGCAAGGGTAGGACCATTTACTGAGACTGGGAAGATTCCCTAGGAACAGATCGGGAGGGGAGTGGGGCATTTTGGGCATATTTGAGGTACGTTAGTTGTCCCAGCAGATGTGTGAATGGGGGTTGAATGCACACAAGTGGCCAGCAGGAGGGATATATGCACATTTGGCATTGTTGGCCCACAGGATTTATTTAATGCCACAGGACAGGAGGAGATCACCTTCACAGTGGTAGAAGGGCAGACAGAATGAGAAGGGGGCCCAAGACTTGACTTTGGAGCAGTCTTTTCTTTATGACCATAGGAGGAAGAGGAGTGCAGCAGTTTGTAGCATAGTAGGGAAATTGTTAATGTCACAGAAGCCAAGAGAAGACTATTTTCAAGAAAGAAGGAGTAGCTGGCTGGGACAAATACCCAAGTCTGCTCTTCCTGGCTGCAGTGCCCAGGGAGCAGGAATGAAACAGGTCTTATTGGGTGGCTATCAGCTACCTCCCTAATTCATGAAACAATTGTTCCCTCCTAGGTGTTCTACATTTCCTCTGGAACCAGGCAATGAGCTCTTTCTTCTCCTAAAGGTCTTCCACATGAAACACCTTCAGTTAGAAGTAAACCTACCACTAGAGGCAGTTGTCTCATTGAAAGATGGCCCTACGTGCCCCTATTCCCCACCTAAAATGTATCTTTCCACGTTTTGTGAAGGGGACAAATGGCTGTGAACCTCCACTTTTATAGTCCTGGTTGGCTCTACAGTCATGTTAGGTACTGGAAGAGTTGAATCCTCACTCCATAGATTCCCTGTTAGGCAAAGATACCTGAGGTAGTCAGTTTGATTTGAATACTTAGTGATTTACAATAATTTTTATTTTTTGGTCTCCTAAATTCATTCCAGAAGCTACCATGTGTTATTAAATTTGATTACTGTTTTTGTTTCTTTCAGGATATGAACAGGTAACCAGTCTTTTAGGATGACGCTATTTCTTAATTAGCTACATCTCTCAGTTCATAATCCAAAGCTAGAAGTCGCAGCATTTCCTTTTGGAAATAGTAGTCTAAAGATACCAAAATCTTGTTGATTTATTTGTCTTATTCACCTTTAGAATAAGGAGAAAAGTATTCATCACATCAGTTTGCAGAGACACCCAATCACGGTTCGTTGAAAGTAGATCAGCCATACCATGGTCCACTAGTTTTGCATGAACAGATACTCTCAAGGTTTATAGAGTTCCTTTTATCCTTCTCCTTCTCAAATTTCTTCTTAAATTACTGTTTGAGTCACCACCCTAGTTATTGCTATGATTCATTCTACTCTGACGTGACTGAATGAGGCAAGCTATGACTTCCACTTTATTTCTTTGCCTCTAACATTTATAAACAGCTCAGTGCATATGTGTATTACTGTTTTTCTGCTATATCTTCATTTTTATATTTTCTGTCAATATTCTTATTTTATTGTTCCCTTGATCTTTTTTTTACAAAAGGGCATTTTACCTAATATATGTGTGTGTGTTTTCAAGGAAAGTGGAATAGATATTGATTGGAATGAAATCATCACCTTTTCTTCAGAAGGGAATGAAGTCTGACAGTCAAGCTTAGCTATAAAACTCCAATCACAGTAGGATGTACAATTCTTCACTCATTCCTCTTTCATTGCCACTCAGGAGGAAAGCTGTGATTAAAGCTGTAATGGGCATACGACTAGGAGGAAAACAGAGCAATGATGACATTTGAGTATCTGATTCATCTTCTGGTATTAATGCAACGAACTCCAGGTCATAGAGGACAGGACACTTTGTTCCAATGTATACTCCTCTCAAGACACGCTGAATCCGGCATCCTGTGTTTAGGAAAACCTGAGCAAGAATTCTCCTTCTCAAAATGTCTGTAAAGTGGTCTTCTAAATATAACTGGAGGAATAAAATCACCTCGCTGTCCTTGAGATAGAAGAAAGGCTGTGCAGTTATTAAGAACTGCAGTTGATCCTTCAGCTGTAATTTCAAAGTGTTAGCAGGGTCTTTGTGTTAATAGGAGAAAAAGCTGCTCCCTTTTTCTCTTGGCTTAAGGTGCAGATAACTCTTAAAGAAGAAACAGAGAGACAAGCTCATTTACTTTACTCCATTTATCACCCCTTTCAAGACACTAAAAGATTTCTCAAAAGAATTTTCCAGGCCGGGCGCGGTGGCTCACGCCTGTAATCCCAGCACTTTGGGAGGCCGAGGCGGGCGGATCACGAGGTCAGGAGATCGAGACCATCCCGGCTAAAACGGTGAAACCCCGTCTCTACTAAAAATACAAAAAAATTAGCCGGGCGTAGTGGCGGGCGCCTGTAGTCCCAGCTACTTGGGAGGCTGAGGCAGGAGAATGGCGTGAACCCGGGAGGCGGAGCTTGCAGTGAGCCGAGATCCCGCCACTGCACTCCAGCCTGGGCGACAGAGCGAGACTCCGTCTCAAAAAAAAAAAAAAAAAAAAAAAAAAAAGAAAAATTTTCCAGATGAGCCTACCTATGATGTTTATGTGGTGAGAGAATGCTTTCATTTCCTCTGCCTCTCCCATCATCAACCACCCTACTCCAGCTCTCTCCTCTCCACTGATTTCCTGGGCTCTGTCCTGCTGCCTCGTGCCCAGACAGTCTCTTTTTTCAGGGTTACGTGCTCCAGTAGTCAAGCCTCACTCACTCTCAATTTAGATGTCACATTGGCAGTGAGGCTATTGACTATCAGCACAAACCCATCTTCCTTACTCTGTTTTCCTGTGATGGGGCTGGAACCCTGCAATTCACATTTAGTTTTTGCCATGTGGCTCCCTGTTTGGTTCTTCACTGGTGGAGGCTAAAAGGAGGAAAGGAGAAGGAACTTACTCTTTCCTGCTTTGCTTCCTGTTGCTGTCAACATCGTCTCAGAATTAGCTCTTCATGCTGGACGTGGCAGTCTGTTCTACTTTACAGTTTCATCCACACTTCCAGAGGCAGCCTGGTTGCCACCCTCCGAGCAGCCAGCACCAGCCTGCACCAGCCAGCAGTTTCCCCTCTTTACAGGTCTGGTTCCCAGTTCTGCAGGACTTCTCACCCAAGCTTTTAAATTCTAGTAATCCCCAAAGCGTTCATTGTTCCTCAGCCCTGGGGGTGGTAGCTGTGCTTCTCACATTTACTTCCTCTGTGACAATTCACCGTCTCCCTTTGCCTTTGCTGTTCTCTATAATTGTCTATATCAAATTCTCTGCTAAAATAACTAGGTGGTTTCAATATCCTGGCTGTACTCTGCCTGATAACAGTCAAAGCTCCCCCTAAGTGTCCCACTCCAAAGCCTTCCTATAAGTTGGACCTCACATGACCCAGGCCAGTGGCTGGTGCAGTCCTACTTGGAAGTAGGAGATTGGGCTTGAAGGCCTTTCTTTGCTCCTTTCTTCACTGATACTACTTTGATGGTGAGTCTGGAGGGTCATTCATATCCCAGGGTATTTTGTGAAAATTTCCTAACTCTGATTTATACGTAACCTCCCAGGATGGTCCACATTTCCTCTTCAGGCCTCAGGCTCTTGGGAAGTTAAACTCTCTTCTGAGAAATATACCACCTTGAAAGTAAGTTGTATTTCAATGGCCAAGCAATTCCTTGGGAATAAAAAGTGGCTGAAGGCTAAATGAAGACAAATGGATTGCTTATGCTTGAAAAACTTATGTAGTATACACATGGGAAATTCAAGTTCTTTCCAAAGAGCTGGTGGGTTTATAAAGTGCATGTAAATTTTCAACTTGGACTTTAATCTGTTTGGTATATGACGAATGGATTTTTCTAAATAGCTATACTAGGGCCACAATTTTTAGCTTAGTTATCTATGATTTTTTCATTAAAAAAAGTACAGTTTGTTCTGTGCTTTTATTTTATTGGTTACCAGAGGTGTAAATTTATTTTAAAATTCTCATCATATATCAGGCACCCAGTGAATTCCTTCAAAATGTTTATGTACCTTGTCTTCCTAAGCAGGAGAGGAATACAGGCAGGGTTGTGTGATGACAGTGATGAATGAGCAGTGCCTGGAGCAGGGGCCAGGATGAAGGGAGGAGATGCTTTGTAGTCTCTCCTTTTCAACTCAATGCTGGATGAGAAGCATTTTGTATAAAGGTTCATTTTGTAATTTCTGGAAAAGCCTGGATGACTGAATCTTTTAAAGTGGCAAATGGTTAGAACTCTTTAGAAAATCTGTTATTTGTCAAATTAACATCAGAAATCCTTAAACGGGAATGTTGTAGAGAGTGTGTGTGTGTGTGTGTGTGTGTGTGTGTTACTAAGTTCATCCAATCACAGTATATTCAAATCATGGTAAAAGGGTGAGTTTACTTTCATTAGTATGTGTGTGTGTATATATATATATACATATATATATATACACACACATATCTACACATATATATGTGTATATATGTATTTAATATAGATTTTTTAAAGCATTTTTAGATTCATTGCAAAATTTAACAGAAAGTAGAGTTCCCATATAGCCCCTGCCTCCACACACCCACAGACTCCCCCACTATCAACTGGTGACATTGTCAGTGTTTGGGATTTTTGCCATTCTAACAGGTATGTAAGACATCTCGTTACTGTTTTAATTTGCCTTACCCTAATGACATATGATGTTGAACACGTTTTCACACGCTTATTGCCACCTGTATATCTTCTTTGGTGAGGTGTCTATTCAGATCTTTTCCCCATTTTAAAATTTATTTTCTTTCTTGTTGAGTTTTAAGCATTCATCATATATTTTAGACAACAGTCCTTTATCAGATGTGTCTTTTGCAAATATTTTCTGTGTCTTCTTGTTCTCTTGATATTGGTATATTGTTAAAGTACTGTATATATACATGTAGTTTTAAGTATAGGAAGACATTTTATATACATTATTTTATGTGATGATGCTCACAATAATCTCATACCATTGTTATCAGCCTTTGTTCCCTCCCCACCCCATAAAATGGGGATAATAATATCTCTTTCAGCATTGTGAGAATTAAATGAGTAAATACACATACGTGTAAAGCTTAGAACAGTGCCTGATACACCATACACGCTATAGAAGTGTTAGCTGTTGTTATTCTTGCTTTGAAAATGAAACTAAGACACAATCAGTGGGAAGGGAAGCCACTACTTGTTCTCAAAACGTTCTACTCCAATTGCAGTGCTCTTTCAACTGCAGCACTAAAGAAAGAACAGAGTGACAAGCTCATAAAGTTGCTCTTCTCTTACACAGTATGACTGAAGTTGCCCCTGCCTTTCCCTGGGGACAAGCTTTGATATCAGGAACATATTCCTTTGGATTTTTAAGGGTTTTTGCTTCTGATCTGAGTAGTAGCATTAGTCCATTAGCAGTTATTTGTTGAGGGACTGATCTTAAAGATTCAAAGTGATGGAGGACCTGTTAGGAATCGACTATTTCAGACTCTGCGGCATCTAATAAACCTCAGGTAGGGAAATCAGTGAGGCATAAAGAGATTGATTGACTGGGCAGGGTGCGGTGGCTCATGCCTGTAATCCCAGCACTTTGGGAGGCTGAGGCGGGCGGATCACGAGGTTGGGACATCAAGACCATCCTGGCTAACATGGTGAAACCCCGTCTCTCTTAAAAATTCAAAAAAAAAAAAAAATTAGCCAGGCGTGGTGGCGGGCACCTGTAGTCCCAGCTACTCGGGAGGCTGAGGCAGGAGAATGGCGTGAACCCGGGAGGCGGAGCTTGCATTGAGCCGAGTTCACGCCACTGCACTCCAGCCTGGGCGACAGAGTGAGACTCTGTCTCAAAAAAAAAAAAAAAAAAAAGAGATTGATTGACTTTTCCTATATTCCATTGACTCATGTGCAGAAACACAACTGCAACTTAGATCTCCAGGTACTTAATTGGGTGATCTTTCCATTTCACCATCCTCCTACTTGCTTTTGATTCTCCTCCTTCCTTTCCTTCTTCCCTCCCTTCATCCTTCCTAATCCACTTCTATTTCTTCTTTACCTTGTGTGCTATATGAAATATAATTAAGATACAGAAAAGTGCTACACACACATACACACACACACAGCCTTTATAAAGCAAACTCCCACAAATCACCACCCCAGGTCAAACTGGCCCCTTGGAAGCCACCATGTACTCCTCCCTGATCACCAACCATTCTCTCCGTTAACCCCACTGAAGGCAGCCAGTACCCTGACTTTTGAGTGTCATCATTTACTTGCTGTTTTGTAGTTTCACCGTTTTTGTGTGCATTTCTATTGAAAATAAGTTAGTTTTGTCTATTTTTACAGCTGTTTAAATATATTATTGAAATACAATAAACTGCACATATTTAAAATACACATTTTGGTACATTTTGACATACGCACACTCATGAAACCATCATCATGATTAAGATAAGGCACATATCCATCATACCAACAGTTTCCTCATGCATCTTTGTATTTCCTTTTTTGGGTTGCTCCCTCCCCCCTGTTTCATTCTCCTCACACAGCTTTCTCTAGACGATCACTGATCTGCTTCCTGTCATTATTGATTTGTTAGCATTTTCTAGAATTTCATATGAATAGAATCAATGGATATTTACTCTTTTCTGTCTGGCTTCATTCATTCTAGCAGGTATACAGTGATATTTTATTGTGCTTTGAGTTTGCATTTCCCTAATGATTAATAATACTGAGCATCTTTTCATGTGTTTGTTATCTGTGTATCTGCTTTGGTGGAATGTCAACATCTTTTGCATTTTTTTATTGAGTTCTATGTTTTATTGAGTTGTAAGTGTCCTCTGTATATTCTGAACACACTTTGGTTAATATATATATTTTGAAAATATTTTTCTGTAAGTGTGTGGCTTGTCTCATTTTAATAGCAGTGTCTTTTGAAGAATAAAGATTTTAATTTTGATGAAACCTAATTTCTTGAGTTTTCCTTGATGGTTCCTGCTTTTGTGTGTGTATGTTGTTTTGAAGAAATCTTTCCCAAAACCAATGTTACTAAAACTTACTACTATATCTTCTAGATGTTTTATAGTTTAGCTCTTACATTTAGATCTATAATCCATTTCAAGTTAAGTTTTGTGTATGTTGTGAGTAAAAGTAAAGGTTCATATTTTTTACATCTATACATAGCCAATTGTTACAGAACTTTTTGTTGAAAAGATTATTATTTCTCCATTGAACTGCCTTGGCACCTTTGTCAAAAGACACAGTATTTATTATAATGTGCCTATTTCAGCATTTTCTATTATTTCTCATGTGTCTATTTTATGCCAATATAACACTGTTTTATCAACTTCATAGTAAGTCTTGAAATTACAAAATTTATTTTCTCCAACTTTAAACTTCTTTCTCAAAATTCTCTTGGCTATTGTAGATGATTTTCATTTTCACAAAAATTTTAAAGTCAATTTGTTGACTTCTAAAATATATTCTGAGACTTTGAGATTACATTCAATCTCTAGATTAATTTGGGGAGAATTGACTATCTTAACAATATTGAACCTTTTTATCCATGAACATGGTATCTCTCTCTTACATATTTAGGTCATCTTTAATTTATCTTAGATATGGTTTTTAAATTATAGTTTTTTTGGCATTTTAATAGCTTTATTCTTCTTGGGGTTCTTTCAGCTTTTTGGATCTTTGTGTTTATAGTTTTCATCAAACTTTGAATATTTTTCATCATTATTTCCTCAACTATTTCTCCATCTACTACCTTATCTTCCTCTGGGACTTCAATTTTAAGTAAGATTATCTTATTTCAAAGGTCACTTGTGCTTTGTTCACTTTTTTTTTCCTCCGTTTGCTTCATTTTGAACAGTTTCTATTGCTACGTGGGGTCGCATTCTCTGATCTTTTTTTTCACCAGTGTCTGGTTTGCTGTTAGTCCCATTCTGAGAGTTTTTCATTTAGATGCTGCATTTTTCATCTGTAAGAGATGCATTTGGTTCTATTTGATTATTTTTTATACTTTGCTTTTCCCTCCTCATTGTGTTCATGTTTTACCCTATGTTCATGAATTTGGTGGAGTAAAATTCCAAGGGGAGAGAGTTTTTAGGTTAGGTGCTTGTATGTAGTTGTCTTTGCATCCGCTTTTAAATCTTGCCATGGGCTAAAAGATGAGACTATGCCCTAGGCTCACGATGAAGTTAATTGCTGGGGGCCAAGGATCCAACAGAGCCTTTAACGGTCTCACAGTGGGTAACAAATTTGGAGCCTTAAGAAGCTTCAAATATATAACCAGTTTCTTTGCAGGTCAGTGTCTAACCAATCAGGGAGCATCTTAAACTAAGGTTAAAGATAGACATGTTTCTTGAAAGGCCCAGGCAAATCAAACCTGGGCTTTAATTTTCATGCAAGGGCTCTTTTGGCTTACCTCTGTATTGATATTGTAACTTGGGCCCAGTACACACAGTAAAGGTCTCCTGTAGACTTCTTGGCTTATGACAATTGTGGATTTTGCTTTTTTTTTTTTTCTTTTTACTTTGTGAGGTTAAAAAAAAAGTCACAGGCTGGTAAAAAATGACCTTGTTGAAATATCACCTCCAAGTGACCTTTAATTCCCTGGCTTTTATTTTTTTTAACTATCTGTTGCAGTTATTGATTTAGTGCCTTTTCCCAAACACCCTTCATTGCCATCTCTGCAATAATGGATCTGGAACCTGTAAATAGTTTTCTTTTGCCAGGTGGCATGATATCAAACTATCAGTAGAGAGTGCTGGAGGGATATAGGAGGAGGAACGGGTTTCTCATTTTGATTCTGGTGTCTTTTTCTAGGTGGGTGTCTACTGGGTTTCTGAAACACGTTTGACTCTGGTAACAACTAGTTTCAGCACAGCCCAGTGGCCAGCAGAAACTAGGACTTCCCCATGATCAGCTTCCCCTGGAACACTTCTAGTGTCTTTTCAGAGGGTTTCATGAATAGCTTTGCCTAATGTCCCCTTGTGTAGCTTCATGGAGTGGCATCATCTCATGGGGAGCTTTCTCAGGCACCCCAGAGAGCACTTTCCCAATGAGTGTCGTGGCACTTTTCCATGGATGGCTTTCTCTGGAACCCCACTGGCAACTGTCATATCTAATCCTGATGTGTTTAAGCATATGATATCTGTCATTGCAACAGTATGGATGGACCTGGAGGGCATTATGCTAAGTGAAATAAGCCAGGCACAAAAGGACAAATACAACATGATCTCACTTATGTGTGAAATCTAAAAGATTTGATCTCATAGAAACAGAGGATAGAATGGTGGTTACCAGAGGCCATGGGGGTAAGGGGAAAGGGGAGATGACAGTCAAAAGGTACAAAGTTTCAGTTAGAGTTAGACTGGAAAAATAAGTTTCAGTGATCTATTGCACTGCATCATGGCTACAGTTAATAATTTTTGTATATTTCAAAATTGCTTAAAGAATAGATTTTTGACATTCTCATCACAAAAAATAAATTGATAAGGGATAAGATTTAACCTTTCTAAAATGTATACATAGATTAAAACATTATATTGTACCTCATAAATATAGCAACTATTATTTGTCAAATATAATTTAATCAATTTAAAAAATGTGATTAAACCTAATCCAATTTATTTTCAGCAGAGCTGTTGATTGAAATAATTTAGCCTGTCTTCACTAGAGACTTGAAACACAACTTGAATTTTTTCAAAAAGTTTGAGAGACTGTTACAGGAGTTACTGTTACAGTCTGCATTGTAGAGTGTAGCCTCTTGAGATGGAAATCATGCCATTCTTCTAATAATCAAAGCCTTTTTGACTTCCTGTTGGCCTGAAGATAAACTCCAACCTCGTTACCTGGCTGGCATAGATGGCCTATCGAGACTTTGCCATAATTTTCATTTCAATTTGAATCATTCAAATTGAATTTCTTGTGTTTCCCTCCATGTGCCATACTCTTTTCCATCTAGACTTTGCACATGCTATTCCAGCTTCCAGATAAGTTCTTCCCTGTGCCTCCAGTGCAGTTTGGACATGACCTCTGAAAATTTCTCCTGGTCATATTTATGTGCTTCTCCGAGGTGCTTCCATGAAGTACTTCTATTGGCACTTAGCACGTTGTATTCCCCTACTGATTGAAAAAGTAATTCATCATTCAGCAAATGTCTGCTTAGCATACTGCTCCCCTACCCAGGCAATGAAGATGCAAAGATGCAGAAGGCAACCATTACCCCAGCTTTACATTCTGATCTGTACATGTCTATTTAATGATCTATCTTCTTTAGACTATTATGAGGTTGTTATATTTTCAGGACCTGGAACAGTAGCTTCAAATAAGTACCAAATGTTTCTGGAATGAATTAATGAGTATGAGGACAGATAAAGGAGGAATTAGGAGGTTCCAAAAGAAAAAGCTTGCATTGATATATGTGAAAATGTCAACAATGTTTTAGCTATCTCTTTGTAGTGAGTTTTCAGGTGAATTTTACTTTCTTCTTTATATTTTTCCATGTTATTTGATTTTTGTATGGTTTAATTTAAATATATATGATTATATATGATTTGATTTTTAGCAGATTTATATACACAAGAATAAAACAAGAGTTTTCAAAAGACTTAAATCAGCTCTACAGCTGCTCACTGCAAGCCCAGACATTTTTGTATTATTCTGGAACTGCCTCAAGTCAACACACCCTGCTGTTTCTCTGAGTTCTGACAAATCAGAGCTTGAAGGGTTCATTGTATTAAAAATATCTGTGAGGACTTTTGGTTAACTACTTCAGAAGCTTATGCACAAATCACTGTCAAAGAAGATGTATAAAAAACTGGTCACTTAAAACCCATCTTCCTAATAATTTCCATAGACTTCTAAATCCAATTCTCTCAGGCAAATTCAAATCTGCATTTTTATCACTGCATTTTCAAAGTCTGACATTTCTAACAAATACTTTCAATTGCCCATTTTTAGCACCACCTGAAAAACAGCTCTCACTCTTTCAGCTGATGATGTATTTTTAGAACACTCGTATTTTTCCATGGGTTTGTAGGCTTTGCTTTTGTACATCTTGGGAGGGGCTACAGGATAAGACTTGTAGTTGGGACACATTGCTGCTACCTTGAGCATTCGATTTTAGAAAATGTTTCAGACTGTTGCTTAGATGGGGAGAGTACCTGAGCTGGAAGCCAAGATGAGTGGATGAGTGGTTCGTTTTCTCAGACTCATCATCAATTCTGGTGGGAGATGAGAACATTTTAAAAACCATAGAAGGGTTAGTCAACATTAGAAAAAGAAGTGTTTCTGAATGCAGATATTAGTAAAGGTCATCTTTTGAAAACTTTTTACTGTAAATTGACAATTTACAATTGTGTATATTTATGAGGTATAAAGTGATGTTATGATTTATGAAGACAATGTGAAATAGTTAAGCTAAAGAACATCTTCATCATCTCAAATACCTTTTTTTGTGGTGAGAACATTTGAAATTTACTCTTTGCAATTTTGAAATCTAATATTAACTATATTCACCATGCTGTGTAAGAAATCTAAAAATAACCTTTATTTCTCCTGAGATTTTATACCCTTTAACCATCATCTCCCCACCCCTCCTACCCTCCATCCGCTAACACCAGTCGACTCTCTGCTTCTTGGAGCCTGATTTAGATTCCACATGTAAGTGAAAATGTACAGTATTGTCTTTCTATACCTGGATTATTTCACTTAAAAATGACTTTGGAAGCAGTGCGGTACACTGGTAGGGATATAGGCTTGAAGGTCAAATAAAACCTTTGTCACTTATGTCTTGTGTCTCTGTCCAGATTAACCTCCAGAATTCAATATTCACATCAACAAAAGGGATAGTGTTAATATCCATCCAAGAAAATATGAGACTTATCTGTGTCCAGGATATACCTGAAGCACAATAAATACTAGTTTTCCTTTCCCAGTCAAATAAATGAAGAAAAAACCCTGAACAAATAGGTGCATTGCTTGGTGATGGCTTACATTCACTCTGTTGATTTCCTGTATTGTTACACATTTTTTTTTCTATGAGTGTGAATTACTTTTATTTATCTTTTCAGTTTTAATAAAGGGAGAAACACTGTATTGGAAGTCTGGGATAAATATTTGACTCAAAAAGATTGCCTATTAAAGATGTATATGTCAAAACATAGCAATCTAAAATTCTGAAGTTAAAACAACAAAATCAGAGACTCCTCAAAAGGAAAGAGAATGACGTACTGATTCATGGAAATGCAGTCCAAGGGAGAACTGTGCTGACTGATTTCTAATGCACTCCATGCTACCTTTCACTTCACATTTTCTCTCCTCCCCACTACACTCTTTTCCTACCACTCTTGCAGCCTAAGTTGTGGGGGTTAGGTGTAGGTAGAAAAAAAAGGTACTCTAGTGAGACATTTTTTTTCTTTCTCCTTCACCTTGCTATCCTCAAAAGCAGGAAGTCTGCTAGACTATGGAAGTGGGACCATTCCATGACTGTAGTGCAAAAGGGGCACTTCAAAATGGAAAGGTGGTTTTAGAATAAGGGAGTGACTTGGCCTGTCTATACCAAGGAGGAAACTGGGGAGATTCCAGCTTGAAGATAGCATATACCAGACAGAGCCACAGGCGCATCAAAATGATGAAAGCTTATGATGACAGAGCTCAAACAGAACCCTTTCAAGGGTTTTCCAGAGACAAATAAAATTGTATCATGATTGCAATGAAAAGTAGCCTTCATTGAACAATAATCAGAGGTGCCAACCAGTATTGTAACCTCTCCAGACTTAGTCTGGTGGAGAATTTGGGAATTAATAATCGCTAGCACTTAGACGTGACAGAAATGGTTATGAGTTCTTTATGGGTATCATTTAATTATCATTATAATCTATCTGGGTAGTCACTTTTATTAGACCATTTCTCCAGTGCAGAAACTCAGGCACAGGAGGGTTAAATAATTTGCCAATTATCATTTCTAGTAAGTGGCAGGGCTTGACCTTGAGCCACTAGGCTATGTTACTTGACAGGCTTCAATCTAGTAAATGGACAGTCAAATAGGATGCTCCATGATTATTATGGAAGTCCTTGGCTATTGAAGAAAATTAAAAGAAGATGGCAGAAAGTGTGTTGTGAACTGATGTAGCCAGTTGGTTCACGCATAGCTGTGTGGTTCTTTCTGGTATCCAGCTGCTACTTCTGATAACCTTGCTATCAAGTTATAATGAAAGCAAGTCTGCAGTGAAGTTTTTCTATGCAGGGACACATTTGTTAGGTAAATATTCATTAGCAAAGAATGCTCAACACATTTTCTACATCATATTTTTATCTCTAGCTTCAATAAAATTCCAGCTTTCTGCTCCTGTTTGAAAATTTCACTCAGGCCAACACAACTTCTGAAGCAAGATTGTCCCTATGTAGTCGGCATCCTATAATCAGAATTATCCTAAACCAATGACAAGAAATGGAACTGATTTGAGATCAAGCTATGGACTTCATCCCCAAGGTGAAGGGTACAAGCCTGAGTGGATTCCTATACCCTTTCCTTGGAGGGGTAGAGAGTATCTCTAAATAATTTTGGCCAGTGTATACAACTAGAATAACTTTATTTTCTTCTAATGAGAACCCATTTCTGATATTCATCACACTCAATGTCACTGGTTCTATCCATGAAAATTCATTTTGTTTTCTAGCATGCTAGCAATGTGTCATTGAGTGTCATTGATAGAACCAGTGATGTTATTGAGTGTGATGAATATTAGAAATGGGCTCTCATTAGAAGAAAAAGTTATTCTAGTTGTATAGATCGGCCAACAGAATGACTTGTAGGAACTGCCCCTGGAACATGGCCCTTTAGATATAAGGCCAGCGGGCTGCCTCTAAACTTTAACCAGCACAAACATAATACTGCACTAATTATGATGAAATATGTCAAAGTAGATCATAGACCTTGTAATGGTATCACACATTTCTAGTTTTCACATTTTTAGGGAGACCCCCCATTCTTTCTTTGGACACTGCTTCTATTTTTGAAAAGGTAATTTTCTTTTCTTGATAGACTTTTTGGTTTCACCCATGAAAAACAAGTATTGGATTTGTCTTCTGTGTTGTGTGTAATATTACACTTACAGTTATAAAAGTCAAACCATTTCGATGAAAGTAACCACATCTGTTAAGTGCTTCCAATAGTACTGAGAATTTTGGGGGGTACTTTGGAGGTATTGTTTAATCCTCACACTAATCCAATGATTAAGTTATTCTGGTTTGCAGCCAAATAAATCTAAGGCTCCAAGAGATTAAATAATTTGGCCAAGGTCATGTAGTAAGTGGCAGCAACGTTATTCAAAAACTAGTCTAAAATTCCAAG
The DNA here is from genome assembly GCF_000001405.40 of Homo sapiens. Lineage (NCBI taxonomy): Eukaryota > Metazoa > Chordata > Mammalia > Primates > Hominidae > Homo > Homo sapiens. Next base: position 47,486,939 of record NC_000013.11, on the reverse strand, counting down.
CCTCATGCTTTTAATCAATCTACTATACCACTCTAATAGGGTTATTTTAAAATACACATTGCTTCCTGAAAATGGTACATAATTTACCCCAACAGTTAACATTGTAATAAATGTTTAGGAACAACTAACCATAAAAGGATGAGATATTGTATGTCTTACTGGTGTGGTTGTAGGTAAAAATGCATGATGGCAGAAAGAAATAGGAGTGTGTGTGTGTGTGTGTGTGTGTGTGTGTGTGTGTTCACATGCACACACACTTGCCTCCACTTCTGAACATCTGTTTTTCACTTGATCTTAGCCAAAAGGCCAAGAAATGATGAACATCTGTTTTTCAATTGCAACATAATTATAATATTTTAAGGCAATTACAACAAATCCTGTGACCCAGGGTAAAAATGGTCCAGGCTAGTAGTACTTGGTAATTTTGGCTTAACAACCAAGAAACCTTCCAGATAACTGAAGAACTGTTTTTCCCCACTTTGCTTAAAGATTATTTACACTCCAGAGAGGTAGAGAGCTACATTCCCATTCCTGAAATAAAACACAAGGAGTAAGTACCCTAGGGTTTGTTAAATTGTTTGACAGTGACCCTCATGTAATGAATATATCTCTGTAACAATGCATGCATTGTTAGTCTTATGAAAAGGTTTTAAATATGATTGAATCCTAGAGAGATTAAAAAACATAAAAACACAAAACTTTCTCAGACCTTTAAGCTTAACATTTGTAGACAAAGAAGACTAAACATATGTTTGTGTCTTGCTCATATAAAATCCAATCAATCCTTGGGAGAATTACTCTGTACAGGCATTGAAAGACTCAGACTGACGGACATCTTCACTTTCAACATGAGACTCTCAAAGTCACCTTGAGCATTGAAATCCAGCTGAAAGTTGAGAGAAGACAGAAAATTGGGGTTCACATAGGAGATTTCTATGGGTCATGTTTGAAAGTGGGGTACATCTTTTCCACATACATTTTACTAGCCACAGTTGAGCTGCTTAGCTCTACTTAGATGCAAGAGAGGTCGGGAAATACAGCCTCTTTCTGGGCAGAAGCCTCAAAACAAACTCTCTAAATTAAGTAAGTACTACTAGTAAAGAACATTGGCTTCAGTGAAGTCACATACTTTAATATATAAACTAAGGGAGGCCGGGCATGGTGGTTCTAGCCTGTAATCCCAGCACTTTGGGAGGCCGAGGTAGGTCGATCACTTGAGGTCCAGAGTTTGAGAACAGCCTGGCCAATATGGTGAAACCCTGTCTCTACTGAAAATACAAAAATTAGCTGGATGTGGTGGCACATACCTGTAATACCAGCTACTTGGGAGGCTGAGGCGAGAATCACTTGAACCCAGGAGGTGGAGGTTGCAGCGAGGCGAGATTGCACCACTGCACTCCAGCCTGGGCAATAGAGCCAGACTCTGCTTCAAAATAAATAAATGCGTGCATGCATTTATGTATGTATGTATGTAAAATAAATAAGAAACCAAGGGATAGAATGCACAGAAAACCTTTAAGTCTGTAAGTGGCATGTAATCCTTTCTGATATTTTCATTCCATATTTATGGAATTAGTAGTATACAGGGGGATATTTTCTAGAATTAAAATGCAGGAAATCATATTTGCTAAAAGTTGTACCTGAAATGTTGTTAAAATGTTAACTATTACAGAAAAAAAGTCCCATTACATCTGAGTAATATTCTGTGTTTTAAAATAGCCCATGGAAAGAAGTACTGTGTATGAATTAAGAGCACATACCTTGGGGTCAACCAATCTGTAATGTTTCTGTAAAGGAATACAAGCAATGACATATTAAGGGAGGGAAACTATTTCAAAGCATACTCAGGATAATGGCCATTAAAATCTATACCTCAGGAAAGATCCTGGAGCTACTGTAAACTTTCCTGAAATTATCAGGCCAATAGTCAGGGCAACAAAGGCTCACAGTGTACTAAAGACCTTAACAAAGGATACTACACACAAAGCATAGAACATTAGTCTCATCTTAGACAAACATAGCACAACTGACCTTGGAGCGTCTAGTTCTGCTGCACTTACTGGAGACAACATCCTAAGCTAAAACCATTATTCAAACAGCTTTGAAAATAGAAATGTTGTGAGAAATACAATGTCTACATTTCCTTCTTGTTTCTCTTATTCTATTGGGTGACTCACACATATTTATAGTTCCAGGCTTGTGGTTTTTAAGTGTGTGTGTGTGTGTGTGTGTGCATGCGCATGTGCAGGCTTGCTTTGTGCACATACAATCCTCCTAGGCTATATCTGTGTGGTGCCTTAGCTGCTAGACAAAATAATGTCCCTTTAAGTTGACACTTCAGGACTAGAGCTACCAGATGCTCAAAAGAAACATCTGTTCCCGAAGGCCACAGGAGACAACAATGAAAGAAAAATTGGCTAATTTACAAGACAAAGTAAATACAACAAAGTGCAAATATAGATCAACTGTTCTGTTTCAAACTTGGCTGGCACATAAGGGGAAATAATAAAATAACATTTCCTATTATGCCACAAAGATTTGTTTTTATTTTAGAGGTGTGATATTGGGCAAGACATCATTTTTGTCAATTGTACGGTGTATGTGGTTAGTTATAGGGAAGGGACAATGAAGACAAATCTCACTTAAATCCCAATCTTATCCCCGTTCATCCATCCAAGACCACAGTGGTAAAATCAACAACCCTTACTCTTTGGCCATAATGATGGTCGAGTTGCCTGCACTTGAAGACAACTGAAGCTAACGCAGAAAAAGCAATGTGAGTTGAGGCCACAGGCCGCATCAAGCCCAAGAACCAGCATGAGTAGATGGGTGAGAAAGAGGAAGCCAGGGAAGCAAAGCAACCATCGCTAAATTGAAAGCTCAACCTTCATGGTGGAATATTCTGTGGTTGGGCTGTTCAGAGGGGAAGGGAAGCAGAAGGACAGCAAAAGGTTAGAAGGTGCAAAGCCTGTAAGTTCTAAATGCCAGGGAGTGAGTATCCTTTGAGTCCAGATAGGGCTTCCTGAAACTTCTTGGTCCAAAGAGCCTCCCAGTTGTGCTGGTGATGCAGTGCCTTTCCAGATGGCTCCTTGGTGACTGTCCTCAGCAGTTGGGCTCCTGCTGCCTTGCCTGCTGTGCACCGAAGCCCTGGCTCTTGGCCACCTCAGTGACCTTGCCTTACCTATAACCCTAAGCTGGCCCTCCTTGTATTCCTGTCCTACTGCCTGCTTCCCCCACACCCTGCCATGCTCAACTTCTGCTTACCCTCCCTTTTCTTTCACCTTGGGTCTTTCTGCAATGACCCTGGTTATTTTAATACTAAGAAGTGGCAGTTACTCCACTCCTATGTATTTTCTTTTTTCCAAAAATCTTGTTCCAAGCCCAACAGGTTGTTGTCTTCCATTGTTCTCCCAACCTCCCCATGCTCCTGTCAGTCTCCTAGGGATTGTGGCAGGTCCTTATTTCTTTTAGGTATTCATTTTTCAAAAATCTTAATCCTAACATCCAAATATCTACCTTCAGGCCTCTAATCTCCTCCACCATTTTTTCCTTAGAATCTATCATACAAAAAGCTCCTGGTGGTCTACCTGCTGGCTTGAAGTTCCAGAAATCCTGAGATGGTTGTGGGTATGGAAAATACCACCCCACTTCTCTCTTCTTTCTCTGTCCTTTCTCCTCTACCCACCCCTTCCACATATTAATATAAACACATCAGTGTTTTCCCGATTTTTAACCAAAGGACACTAAAAAATAATGTGCTAATTAAATCTCATTAGTTTAATTTTATTCTCTGAAAACTGTATGTTCCTGTGTGGAAAAACATATTGAAATGATAAAGGACAAGGAGATTATCCTGGATCCTTTGTAGACTCACACAAAGAGAAAGTAATAATCATCCTTAGCAGTGAATACACTGAGATTTTTCAGTGTCTGGGCCCAATATTCAGGATCAATTAATTCATCTCTTTGAAGGAATACACTTGTCAGTGTGTGCCCCAGGTCTCATTTTTCAGACTCTTGTGTCTCTTGTGCAAACTTCTGGGGCAGTGTCAGTGAAGGCAGGGTATTCCCACTTAGCAACAAGAATGGACCCGAGATCCTGCACTCATTGCAAACAGGTTTATCTCTGTTTGTGTAGCCCAGAGGCTAGTCTCATTGGTACCCTCCAAAAATCTTAGAGTAGTCATCTGAAGTCAGTAAAGGCAAAGGTGAAAAAGATCTTTCTTCTTGAGATCCAACAAGGTTATAGGATATGAACTATAATGTCCCAAACACATTCTCTTAAAGACCAGATAATAAATGTATAGTTATATTTAGAACCAATCCGAGAAACAACATCCCATCTAATTTTACCTGCACCTGAATCTCCCTTGAGTATAGTCTGTAGACTCTTGGAGAAGACAAGAGATCAGCCTGACTCATGGACTCTCAGGAGATACTGGTGATGATATGATGCTGATCAATGTTATGAGAACAGGCCATATTTTTTTAAAAAAACCTAACCAGCATCACGCAAGAAGCCTTGAATACAAAGATGAGTAATATAAGATTCTTTCTCTCAAAGGTTACCTACTGCAATGGTTCTCAAATGTTAACATTCATGGGAATCAAATGGAAAGTTATTTACAATATGGATTATGCCCTTCATTCTGCATTCTAATTCAATGGGTCCTTGGGAAATTTAGGATGCCACATTTTTAATAAAAGTCCCTGTGTGAGTCAGTCAAAAAATCACCCTCAGACAAGTACTGATCTAATGAGAAGGACCTAAAATTGAAGGAGAAATGATAATGAACACAGCAAAAATAAATTAGTCCTGTCCAGAGGATGTCCTTTATCTGTCCCACACATATATGACATATATTCTTCAGCTCATATCCAGAAGATGGTAATCAGGCATACAGTTTACACATTTGTCTCTCATTTGTACCTGCTGAACGGATGGCATGCTTGTGCATGCAACTATTGAGTTCAGCTCAGGGATTCCTAATTGAAAATGCACAACTCAGAGCAAGAAACAGCCTAACAATGTAGAAAGGGCCACTAGCCATATTTATTACTTTCTTTTCTAACTATGTTTTTTTCCTGGCAAAAAAGAGGCAGTAACATCTCAGGTATCTGTGGTTGCCATAGGGACAGAAGTTGTGATTTACTGTAGAACATTACTGCAAATAGCAATGAAATAGCAATTCCACAGAGGTCTGAGGCACAGATTCACTGAAGCTACAATCAAACCAGACAGCTGCTCAATCCATTCAATAAGAATTTTGCAGTTGCCATTGTAAGGTAAGTGGAAGAATGGTGAAATCCAGCCAAGTGTTTCCCTCTTGCTTACACATCTTCAAATGCCCCAAGGTCCTTTGCCCAGAGCTTTTGAGCTGCTTTGCCAGGTACTCTGGGCAATGGAAGGGGTAGACAATAGACAAAAAGGATATTTTTTTTTATCCAGTGACCCAAAAGTCAATATTCAGAACCACAAAGAGATTCTAAAATCTGATGCCTTATGATCCATCAGAAAGATAATAGGATTATATATTGAAAAGAAACCTGGAGTTTTCTGCACAAGTTAACTATGAGGCAACTTCTGACTTCCTAAAAGGTATAACTCAGTTACTGCTTAACAGATGGACATGATGTGAAAATATATTTCTATGTACACACACACACACAGTTGTTTTAACATTTCGCTAGCAATGGCATCTCCCCTTTCTCTTCCCTATGCATTTATTTCTGGAATGCAGTGCTCTGGAATGGTGACTGACCATCCTGCTGTCTTGGGGAAGACATCCAGCATGTCTCATGTCTTCTTCCTCATTTTCAGCAACGGATGCCTACAGCCCTGCTTCCTTTGTCTTTTAAGTTTCGTTTTTAGTATTTTTGTCTTCACTTTGTCTTTAAACCTGATCTTCATCTATTAACTATCTCACAACACTTTCTGTTACAATTGTGTGTGTGTGCATGCACAAAGTTTGGCAGCAGAGTGGTGGTGGTGTTCTGAACCCTGTATTTTAGACTTTACCCAAATATTTAATTTTTCTTTTTAATTAAAAAGTATTAGCCGGGCGTGGTGGCTCATGCCTGTAATCCCAGCACTTTGGGAGGCCAAGGCGGGCGGATCACAAGGTCAGGAGATCGAGACCATCCTGGCTAACACGGCCAAACCCCGTCTCTACTAAAAAGACAAAAAAATTAGCCAGATGTGGTGGCGGGAGCCTGTAGTCCCAGCTACTCGGGAGGCTGAGGCAGGAGAATGGCCTGAACCTGGGAGGCGGAGCTTGCAGTGGGTCGAGATCGTGCCACTGCACTCCAGCCTGGTGACAGAGTGAGACTCTGTCTCAAAAAAAAAAAAAAATTATTAGTAGCCAATTTGGTATCTACTCCCAAGTGACGGAATGTGGAACATGCAAAATAACACAAATTATGGTCTCTATCCATAAGGAACATAAAGTTTAGTGAGACTCTGGGAAAAAAAAAAAAATTAATGTATGAGATAGTGTGGACCACACAGGAAAAAATTAAGTGCTACATTGCCTTTTATAAGAATGTTGTTCAGTGGTGTTGCGATGACTCAATTTAAGCTAAGTGCCTTTGAAATGATGTGGCGTGATACATGCCTCAGAATGTGAACTCCCTAAAAGCCCTCACATGGAACAGGAGAAAGAAGGGCTCTAAGAGGCACATGTTTGATCTTTGATGGGCTGGGTGAGCCATTCGTTTGTACACATATGTCCTTTTCTTTTATCAAGAAAGACAACCATTTCCTCTGGAGCTCAGGCAAAGAAAGAGTAATTTGCCCCGATTCTGAAAGTGAATCTATCATAGCTGCTCTGAACTTACTGGGAAGCTGTTATGTTAGTTACCAGTATATCCTATTCTTAATCAGTATTGTAGCTTTTTCTTTTAAAAACATCTTTATGTTTGTTTTCTTTCAACATAGGGATACGGAGTTGAGTTAATCAGCGCATGACGCCGTGCTGATTAATTTACAGTATATCAGTGCTGTCATCATTGGTCCTCTAAAATTTATGTTACTGTTTTTCTCTTTCATCCATGGTCACCGTTACAATTACCCTTCTCTCCCCATGCACCTCTCCAAACATTAGGAGTTAATGTCGTTTGTTTAATATTTCCTTGTCCCATGTGAGTTTAATAAACATTCTCGCATAAATTTATATCCATGAAGAACACATACAGTTGTTTTGTGAGGTGATAAGTGTAGTGGTTAAGAGTGTGGGTGCTGGATCCACCTGCCTGGATGATACCCCAGCTCCATGATAGGCACATGTCTTTACATGTCTTTGGGGCTTATTAGTTAATATATCTGTGCCTCAGAATCTTCATCTGGACAAGGATAGTAATAGTACCCATCTCAATGGGTGTTTGAGTGGATTAAAATGCATATTAAGTACTAGAACAGTGTCTAGCACATGCTAAGCAGTACATTCATAGCTATTATGAGGTATATTTATAACTTTTGTGCCATTTGCACAAATGGCATTGACTTATAGAGCTCAATGGGTCACCACTGCTTATGCTTTTGCCCAAATAGCCCAGATCTTGAGAAATTTTATCTTTCACAAATGCAGATGTGCAAAAAAACTCTTCATTTATTGAGGAAGTTTCAACATTATGTACACACACAATGCTTACACACAAAGTCAACTTTGTGATAATGCACTTTTTGTGGAGTCAAATTTCTAATGTTCAAGGCAGCAGAAGAAAAGTCTGTCCCAGCTCTCAGAACCAATTTGCCTTGTGTATTTGTTCTCTCTGGGCACCAGGCCAGTTGGATGGTGCCTGCCAGCATTGATGGCAGATCTTCTCCACCTAGTCCTAGTTAGACTCACACACTAATCTCCCCTAGAAACACCCTCACAGACACACCCAAAATAATGCTTTACCATGTGTCTAGGTATTTCTTAATCCAGTCCAGTCAATATCTAAAGTTAAGTCCACAAGTTTACCCCTTGTCAGCTTGGCATCCATATGCTCCTCTTCAAACCATATTTAATTTCCAAATAAAGACAATAACAAGATAATAGTTCCATTTAACATGATGCAACTATCCTGTGCACAACCCAAAATGCACTAATCACTTCCCCCAGAATTCAGCTTTCAGAATGTCAACATTTGGAATTTTGATTTTCAGGATTTTAGACATTTTGGGGTAACATTTTGATTCCCTTCACTATTATGGCAAATAAAGGCTTAGTTATTATCATACACATTCCTCCCTCCATCCCTGCTTTTCTTCTTTCATCACACAATACAGTTATATTGTTCATAGCTGAACTGCATAGAATGCTATGGTTGTATCCCTTTATTACGTGTTTTTGGTTGTGTTTAACACTTGCCTCATTTTCTCATTTGCTATTTATCAGGAATGTCAAATTCCTTTCAATATTAAACACATTATCAGATAATTTTTTTTTTTTTTTTTTTTACCTAAGTGTAATTTAGGATTCACTGCTCTAGGCCTGGTGCGTAAGGACATTACTTTTTAAACCAATTTCTTAGGGATTCCCTTATATTTTTCTCCTGTGAAGCTATTTCCTGTTTCTATTGACTTCCTTTATTCTGGTTTACTCTTTTACTCTGTGGAGCACATCTTCCAGCAGCTTCTTGACAAAGAGTCTATAGAAGGAGGATTTGTGAGACTTTGCTTGGCTGAAAATATCTTCTTTTCTTTCACATTTCATTGACAGATTTCATGGGACATAATTCTACCTTTGAAATCATTTTACCTTAGAATGCAGAAATCAAGCCTTCTTTATATTCTAGCTTCCAGTGTTGCTATTAAGCCATCTTCCCTAGGTTGTTTTACCTACCCCTCCATAAGAGGGGAAAGAGGTGCACCTGCTGGTACCTTCTCTATGCCCCAAACAACCCTGGCAGATCCTAATGTTTCTTTGTATCTGAGGGTGGGACACGGGCTGACAGGACTCATTTCCTGCCTCACCACATTGCAGAATGGCCCAGCCAGGCCAATGTCAGTTAAAGAAAAGAAAATTCTTAGGCAGCATTCCTGGGCTCTCCCTGGTCCATAGCACTTAGCGCTCCTCTCCAGGATGCTTTTTCCCCAGGACCTGAGAACCCTCATCTCTGGGGTCCATCAAACACTCTCCAATTCTGAGAGGCAGCCAATTTGGGTTTAGGGTGGACACAGCAACTTGTAACAATATGCCATCTGATCAGAAACCCCAGGGGTTTCTTTTTATAGTGTAGGCAAATGTTCTTCAAACATATGCCAAAACCAGCATCTATTAGTTTCATTTTAATAAGTGATTGTTGGAATAGAACGTATATGTTGTTAATCTGTTTTCCAGTGATCCTCTGTCATTAAATGGCATCTCCATTCATCCAGATGCTAGTCTGAAATCTGAGAATCAGTCTTGGTTCTTCCCTTTCCTCATCTCATATATTCAATCCATCATCAACTCTTAGAGACTTTTTTCTTCAAAATACATCTTAAACCTGTCTACTTTTCTTTATGTCCCCCACTGGCATTGTGGTCCACCTCTTTTATTTCTTACGTGGACTACTACACTGGCCCTAAATGGTCCCGCTTCCAATTTTGCTCCCATTCTAATCCATTCTCCACACACAAGCCAGACTTAACTTTCTTCAAACGCCTCACCATGGTGTCTATGGCTTAGTATAATCAGCTTCTGGCCTTTTCTTCCCAATATTCAGAAATGCTATTCTCTCTCCATCTCCCACTAAATTTCAGTGCCTGAAGTACACCCATTCTTCCCTACGTCTCTGTTTTTTTTGTGTGTAAAATTCTCTTTTCCTTACTAGCTATTGCATACCCTTTGAATGTCAACTTGAATAATACTTCAGAGGTTTTTCCAGACCACTCATTCTAAAGCGAGTCTTCTCTAACATAAATTTCTCTTAGTGTCATTTTCTTTTCATTTACCCAAATGGTAGTCATATTGGTATTTATTCGTTTACTTAGTGTCTATCTCCCTAAGTGGATTGCAGACACCATAAGGCAGGTGCCAAGTCGGCTTTGCCCACCACTGTGTTTCTATTCAAGGAAATTGCCTGGGACATAGTGAGTATATATGAACTCAGTAACAAGGGGACAAGCTAGGAGTGTATTCCTCTGTAGATCTGGCTAAGTTTTGGACTGGGTATACTGGTGTTTTCTGCCATCTTTAGGGTCAGTTTTGCAGTGGATTAAAAAAGAGGATGAAGAACAAGGGGAAATGGCTTTAAATGTGTGTTTATTTGTTATGTGTATGTATGCTGAGTTTTGTAGAAGAGCAAATCAGAAATTGGGAAATAGGATACTTTAGTGGTAATATAGTTTAATACCATGTATTAGTGGTTTCCTGAAATGTGCAATGATTTATTCATTCTCCAAGAGTCTACTGTGCATAGGTCTCTGAACTAGGTGCTATAACTTAGAAAATTTAGACCCACAGTCTGATTTCAAAGAACCTTCAGTTAAACATGTGGTTGTGTGTTTGGAGAAAACAAAATGATATAGGTAGTTATAGTACGAAACACAGTAGTTTAAGTACTGCCACAGAACTTAGCATTGGGCCAATGGCTGTGGTGACACTTCACTAAGGCTTGAGGACACAGATGGCAGCTTAGCATCAGGCATGTGCAGGATTTTGACAGGCAGTGTTTGGTCTCCCTGCCCTTTAAATACTATGAGCAATACTGTAGAATGGATTAATTTCTGTGGTCAAAATGAGTTTAACAGGATTGCCTCTCCGTGGATCTTGAGTTTGCAAATAAAAATCTATGCTGTTAAAAATGCCGTACAAGGTAAAATTTTCGTATATTTACTATGAGAGTGAAAAAAGCTATTTTGGTGTTAATTAACTGAACTTTTGTGATTAGCCTGAAAGAAATTAAAATTCATCTGAATCATAACTTCTCTTTATAGAGCCATTATGAATTTTACAAAATTTTCAATACTCCCCCTGCCTTTTTAAGCAAATGCAGTCTATGAATTTTAAGATAAAGTCTAGAAATCAAGTAATTCATCTACCAAAATATTTTTGTTTACGTGAACACAGTCATCCTTCTATGTAGGACACAATTTGATACAATTTGAACGTAATTCTTATTTTCCTTTATGATCTTACTTGGATTGTATGATAGGCAGCACAGCTGATTGCTTTTGAGCATTTTAATGCGAGAGGGAATCACCCCCCATCTCGCGAGGCAATGTACTGTAAATAGCCAGGCAGTGTTCTTACGCGTGCAAGTCACATAGTGGCTTGTAAATGTTACAGCCTTTATTTAAAGGTGAAATGATGAAAGCAAAGTGACCACTAAGGATTTAATAACTTGTAGGGATCCAATTTTCTGTTGCATAACCTCCTTTTCCTTAGGAAACATTTAGTAGTGTGCAATTTGCAGTGGCAAATCAGATAGGAGGACAAAAATTTTAAAACGGCACACGAGCTACGTAAATAAAAAAGGAAACTGCACGTGGGATTCTCTGTTCTACAGAAGGGTAATAGGGGTCTGCTAATGAGCAAAGGAGCTTACCAAGGAGTGATCAGTCTTATTCTACCTGGACTTAGGTAGCTGTATGCAGACCAGTGAGAGAGAGCCATCAATTTCATAGTAGTTAATTCAGGAAAACTAAACCCTGATGCACTGAAAGTTGGAGTAGAAAAATAAATGTAATCAAATCAGAAGGTAAAGGAAGATAGGTCCTGTGATAAGAAATTAAACATTGCTACATAGTATACATTTTTAAAATCTTAGTTAAAATAACAGTCATTTAAAAAAGAATCACTTTGAACCTGGGAGGCAGAGGTTGCGTGAGCTGAGATTGCCTCACTGCACTCCAGCCGGGGCGACAGAGCAAAACTCCATCTAGAAAACAAACAAACAACAGAAAGGTTATTGGAATAGGGGTCACATATTTAAGGCAAACCTGTAAATGTTTACTCCACGTCTAAGATATTTTCACATATTACAACATATGTTGATTGAAATGAACGTCAATCCTCTCTGCTTAACGCTGTAGGGAACCGGGACACAGTCTTGTTTATTAGAAAGTTTCCCCAGCCCACCTTCAGGGCTTGTGAAACTTAATGTCTCGCTTTCTACCAGCTTTCTGTTTTAAATGCAGTTTTTTTCTAGTCACAATATTCAGAGACAGATCCACTGGATTCCAGCTTTGGATTGTCATTGAGAGGTTTAAGGAATTCTGCTCCAATCTCTCTCTCTAAAGGCACACAAGGCATCTATTGAAGGTAATGTAAGAATCAGATAGGAGGACATAAAAATTTTAAAATGTCACACAAGTTTAAACGGCACAATGAAATGTTTAAAAATATTAGACTTTATTTTTTTGGTTAGAGTCACAGGAAAATTAAGCAGAAAGTACATAGAGTTTTCACATAACTCCCACCCACACATACGTACAGCCTTCTCCCATTATCAACATCCTGTCCCAGTGGAGTATATTTGTTATGATTGAAGAACTTACACTGACATGTTATTATCATTCAAAGTCCATGGTTTGCCTTAAGGTTCACTCTTAGTATTGTATATTCTACAGGTTTTGACAAATCAATAATGATGTGTATCCAACAATTACTCTTTTTGAATTGACAATACAGAGAATTAAGTTGAAACAGATATCCAAGTTTGGAATTCTGGGTTCTGTAAGAGAAAAATTTCAGTTAAGCAGGGAAGGAAAAAATTATTTAAGATTATTGTGGCCCAGTGTGGTGGCTCATGCCAGAGGTCAGGAGTTCAAGACCAGCCTGGCCAACATGGTGAAACCCCTCTCTGCTAAAAATACAAAAATTAGCTGGGTGTGGTGGCACATGCCTGTAATCCCAGCTACTTGGGAGGCTGAGGTAGGAGAATCGCTTGAACCTGGAAGGCAGAGTTTGCAGTGAGCTGAGATTGCATCACTGTACTCTAGCCTGGATGACAGAGCGAAACTCCACCTCAAAAAAAACAAAAAAAAAAACCCCAGAAAGATTATTAGAATGGGGTGAAGACTATTCCAATGAAGGAAAGAGACTGAACCCAACTCTCCCTGAAACAAAAGGCAAGAGTGGTTTTAAGTATAGTCATGTGCTGTATAATGACATTTCGGTCAATGACAGACTGCATATACGACAGTGGTCCCATAAGATTTTGTCATTTTTTTTTTTATTATACTTTGAGTTTTAGGGTACATGTGCACAACGTGCAGGTTTGTCACATATGTATACATGTGCCATGTTGGTGTGCTGCATCCATTAACTCATCATTTAGCATTAGGTATATCTCCTAATGCTATCCCTCCCCCTTCCCCCCACCCCACAACAGTCCCCAGTGTGTGATGTTCCCCTTCCCGTGTCCATGTGTTCTCATTGTTCAATTCCCACCTATGAGTGAGAACATGCGGTGTTTGCTTTTTTGTCCTTGTGATAGTTTGCTGAGAATGATGGTTTCCAGCTTCATCCATGTGCCTACAAAGGACATGAACTCACCCTTTTTTATGGCTGCATAGTATTCCATGGTGTATATGTGCCACGTTTTCTTAATCCAGTCTATCATTGTTGGACATTTGGGTTGGTTCCAAGTCTTTGCTATTGTGAATAGTGCCGCAATAAACATACGTGTGCATGTGTCTTTATAGCAGCATGATTTATAATCCTTTGGGTATATACCCAGTAATGGGATGGCTGGGTCAAATAGTATTTCTAGTTCCAGATCCCTGAGGAATCGCCACACTGACTTCCACAATGGTTGAACTAGTTTACAGTCCCACCAACAGTGTAAAAGTGTTCCTATTTCTCCACATCCTTTTTACTGAACATTTTCTATATTTAGATTTGTTTAGATGTGCAAATACCATTGTGTCATAATTGCCTACAGTATTCAGTAAAGTGACATACTGTATGGGTTTGTAGCCTAGCTGTGTAGTAGGCTATGCTGTCTAGGTTTGTGTAAGTGCATGTTATGATGTTTGAAGATGCCTAATGACACACTTCCCATTATTAAGGGGAGCATAAGTGTACCAAGATGAACTAGTGAAAAAATCTTGGAGAATGTTGGGGGAAGGTTGGTCAGTGAGATTTGGCCTTCTGTGTTTGCCACTTGGTGTTTGTCAAAGTTAGGTTCCTACCTAACTTTGGGAATAGGGGCATTATTTTCCTTAATGGTTACTTATCAAAGAGATGGCTTCCTTACCCTTGAAAGACATTCCTGGGATGTAAAACTGGTAAGATGCCTAGAGATGATTTACATCTCAAAGGGGCAGATAAAAAACTTGTTACAAGTCCCTGCGTGCCTCCCCACCCCCGCCCCCACAAGTAAATGCTCTAAGAAAAGGGAGGTCAATGATGTACAGTCTGGAAGAAACCTGTCTAAAGTTTAATTAAGTAGAGGGGAACATTAAGACCTTCTTGGTTATTTTCCTTGGAAGAGATTTAAGGTAATTACCAGTGGACTGGCTTGCTTTCTTCTCAATTCCTTAATAATCAAGCTTCACTGACAATAACTGAAGCTAACTCTAGAGTTTCTTAAGTCAGGGCAGTTTCCAAAGACTCCACATTGGCATAGGGACAAAGGGATGTGCACTGAGCTGAGAAGGCAACAAGGAGAGAGAATGGAGCTAGACCTGTAGAACGAAAGACGTCACTGAGGAACAGGAGTTATAAACTTAACAACAGCCCTGTACCCCCAATTCTTTTTCTTCTTCCACAAAACTCTGAGCTCTTTCTTTTCCTGCTGAGGCTACCCTGTTTTTACAAATGTGTCGATGTTGGGGTAAAGCAATGGCATAGAGAGTGAAGACTCAGGAAAGGCCCTGTGCATAAGTCCCTTATAATTCAGACTCGTAGTGGTGACCCTTGTGGACAGTGGGAGCCTCCCAAATCTAGAAGTAGCATTTGATTCAGTGTACTTAGTAACTAATTGCATACAAAGATGAAACTTCAGGGTGTAGTAGTTTGGATTCCTAGGGGAGATGTTCCTGAACTGCAACTCAGAGCATCACAGTCCTAAAAAGAAATTGAGGCTGATGTACTGTGGATACCACTGTTGGACAGTAGAAGACCACGGCGTCACCAGCTGGGTAAACCAGACGCACCAGCATTTTCACACATGAGCAGGTTGAACTCCCATTTGCTTACTACTTTCAAAGAAGATGTTTCTGATGACATCCTGAGCTATGTCAAGTGTGGAGTAGGAGGAGGACAAGGGTTGGGAATTATATTTCCAAGATAACAGGAACCAGAAAGATCTCCACTTACCTAGAATGGGGTTTCTGAGTAGAACAGCTGCCAGACAGGATAGGAATACACATTTTAGATCACGATATGTTACAGAAGACAGAGAAGGTTCTAATTTTGGAAAGAGAGTGTGAGGATGGACTGTCTATTTTTCTATTGTTACAGGCTCAAGACTCTCTCCCCTCAAGATCCTGATGCCAACATACTCTCTTTGATTCTGTGGCTCATTTTGGGAAGAGATGGGGTCAGGGTCAGTACAGCTGTTTGGCTGTGGTAGGGAAGACAGGCTAAACCATCTCTCCATCTTTGAAATAAACCCCTGCCTCCTTTCCCCTCTGAAGAAGGTATATGTGCCCCACTCCTCTGCCTGTTCTAGCTCCCCATTCCAGATGCAGTCCTGTATCCAGATGACTTTTCTGGAGAGAAGAGACTTAGATTTTTAGGAATGCTGGCAGTCTATGGTCATAAATGGGGGCTTTGAAAAGGAGAACAGTAAGGGACCTTTTTTTTCTTTTTTTTTCTTAAACTCTCCTCTGGGAAGAAAGTATTGGAAAATGTTTGCAAGTTGAAAAAGGACAGAGGGGAAACAAAAGGTTGAGTTTCATCACTGAATATCAGCAAGTGTTTCCTCTGCTTGATTCCAACACTCAGTTCCTCCATCATTTTCCAAGTTGACTTCCTGGCACCGTCCCTCAGGTCAGAGTTCCAGTGCTTTTGCTCTCATTCATGTCCATTCCCTAATGTCCATTCCCTTGCTGATTTTTCCTCTGGTCTTACTGGATGAGCCACTCTTAGTGCAATATGCACACTCAGAGAAATTAACAAGCATGGAGATTTTATGGGCTCTGACTGGCACAGCCTGGGGTAGCACGTTATTTCCATTTGGAGCTTCGAATGATTTGGGCACATTATGCCAGATGTGCCTTAGCTTCACGGAATCCAGCCTAAACCTTCCAAGAAATTGTTTTGAAAGGCCTCTAGGGAGACAGTCCACGATATTGTGTGGTAGACTGTTCCAGCCTTTATTCACTTTGACTTAGATGTAAAAGTTCTCCTAGTGCAAGCATGGTCTCTTTCTACTGTCACTAGTCTCTCACCCTCCCTTCCTGGGCTCAGAGGACAAAGGCAGGATTCAAACCATTTATAGTGTCAGCAGGGAGGCCAAGGTTTTGGACTTGCAGGACCTCTGATTCCAGCTTCTACTACCTGATTTTTACTCTTATTGATTTCAACATCTTCTTTAGAGAAAGTGCCAAAGACTAGATAGTAGACAGCATAGGATTTAATTAAGATAATATTTTTCTCTTGAATTTGCCATTATTATCTTTTTCTTTTCCTCCATTTCCATGGCTACTGTCCTAGTTAAGGTTTTTGGCAGTTCTGCCTGGCCTTTAGCACTAGTTCTCTAACTTGTCTCCCTACTTTGGGATTCATCTCTCTTCTACGTATCTTACACCCTGTCTTTAGATCATAAAATGCAGATTAGGCAATTCTGTTTCCTTGAATAAAAACTGCTATAACCTAGAAGGTGAAAATAAAACTCATTATTGTGCCACTCACTTTAAAAATTTTCCCAACCTTTCTTTCCAGGCTTATCACCCAGCAATCTCCCAACTCTTCAACATACAAGCCACACCTTTGATGGTTTCCAGAAAGCATTGTGCCTTTTCATACATGGAGTATTGATGCATGCCGTTCCCTCTGCATAGAATATTTTTTTCTACACTTTTCTTTCTGGTCAACTGTTCTAATCTTTCACTACTCAGACTAAATCTCACCTCTTCTGTGAGAGTGTTGAAAATCCCTTAGACAAAGGAGTTAATCCATTTCCCCTCTCTGCATCTCAGCACTATGGCATTCTAATGCCATGGCCCACACTACTCTGTTTGTCCTGCCATGCAGTGAGCTCCTCAGTGACAGTGGTGATCTCATATTCATCTCTGTATCACAAATTCTTTCCCTAGCCCTACAGTTAAAGGTGCCCAGCAAGAGTAGACACCTGGTAAATGCTTGGAAAATGACTAAGACCAGATGAACAATTTCTTCTGACTGTTTGCTTGGGGAATTTTCTTTTCTTTTCCTTCAACTTTAAGTTCTGGAGTACATGTACAGAATGTGCAGATTTGTTACATAGGTATATGTGTGCCTTGGTGGTTTGCTGCACCTATTGACCTCTAAGTTCCCTCCCCTCACCCTCCACCCCCTAACAGGCCCTGGTGTGTGTTGTTCCCCTCCCTGTGTCCATGTGTTCTCATTGTTCTACTCCCACTTATGAGTGAGAACATGTGGTGTTTGGTTTTCTGTTCCTGTGTTAGTTTGCTTAGAATGATGGCTTCCAGCTTCATCCACATCCCTAAAAAGGACATGATATCATTCCTTTACATGGCTGCATAGTATTCCATGCTGTCTGTGTACTGCATTTTCTTTATGCAGTCTATCCTTGATGGGCATTTGGGTTGGTTCCAAATCTTTGCTATTGTGAACAGTCCTGCAATAAATATATGTGTGCATGTGTCTTTATAGCAGAATGATTTATAATCCTTTGGGTATATGCCCAGTAATGGGATTGCTGGATCAAATGGTATTTCTGGTTCTAGAGCCCAGAGCAATCACCATACTGTCTTCCACAATGGTTGAACTAATTTACATTCCCACCAACAGTGTAAAAGTGTTCATATTTCTCCACAGCCTCACCAAAATATGTTGTTACTTGACTTTTTAATAATCACCATTCTGACTGCCGTGAGATGGTATCTCATTGTGGCTTTGATTTGCATTTCTTTAATGATCAGTGGTGGTGAGCTCTTTTTCATATGTTTGCTAGCCACATAAATGTCTTCTTTTGAGAAGTGTCTGTTTGTATCCTTTGCCCACTTTTTGATGGGGTTGGTTTTTTCTTGTAAATTTAACTACCTTGTAAATTCTGGATTTTAGACCTTTGTCAGATGGATAGATTGCAAAAATTTTCCCCCATTCTCTAGGTTGCCTGTTCATTCTGATGATAGTTTCTTTTGCTGTGCAGAAGCTCTTTAATTAGATCCCATTTGTCAGTTTTGGCTTTTGTTGAAATTGCTTTTGGTGTTTTAGTCATAAGGTATTTTCCCATGCCTATGTCCTGAATGGTATTGCCTAGATTTTCTTCTAGGGTTTTTATGGTTTTGGGTCTTACATTTAAGTCTTTAATCCATCATGAGTTAATTTTTGTATAAGGTGTAAGGAAGGGGTCCAGTTTCAGTTTTCTGCATATGGCTAGCCAGTTTTCCCAGCACCATTTATTGAATAGGAGATCCTTTCTCCATTGCTTGTTTTTGTCAGGTTTGTAGAAGACCAGATGGTTGTAGATATGTGGTGTTATTTCTGAAGTCTCTGTTCTGTTCCATTGGTCTGTATGTCTATTTTCATACCAGTACCATGCTGTTTTGATTACTGTAGCCTTGCAGTATAGTTTGAAGTCAGGTAGTGTGATATCTCCAGCTTTGTTCTTTTTGCTTAGGATTGCCTTGGCTATATGGGGTCTTCGTTGATTCCATATGAAATTTAAAGTAGTTTTTTCTAATTCCGTGAAGAATGTCAGTGGTAGTTTGATGGAAATAGCATTAAATCTATAAATTACTTTGGGCAGTATGGTCATTTTCACGATATTGATTCTTCCTAAGCATGAGGATGGAATGTTTTTCCATTTGTTTGTGTCCTCTCTTATTTCCTTGAGCAGTGCTTTGTAGTTCTCCTTGAAGAGTTTCTTCACATCCCTTGTTGGCTGTATTCCTAGGTATTTTATTCCTTTTGTAGTGATTGTGGATAGGAGTTCATTCATGATTTGACTCTTTGCTTGTCTATTGTTGGTGTGAAGTAATGCTTGTGATTTTTGAACATTGATTTTGTATCCCAAGACTTTGCTGAAGTTGCTTAACAGCTTAATGAGTTTTGGGGCTGAGACAATGGGATTTTCTAAATAGAGAATCATGTTGTCTGCAAACAGAGACAATTTGACTTCCTCTCTGCCTATTTGAATACCCTTTATTTATTTATCTTTCCTGATTGCCCTGGTCAGAACTTCCAATACTATGTTGAATAGGAGTGATGAGAGAGGCGTCCTTGTCTGTACCACTTTTCAAAGCGAATGCTTCCATCTTTTGACCATTCAATATGATATTGGGTGTGGGTTGGTCATAAATAGCTCTTATTATTTTGAGGTATGTTCCATCAATACCGAGTTTACTGAGAGATTTTAACATGAAGGGATGTTGAATTTTATCACAGGCCTTTTCTGCATATATTGTGATAATCATGTGGTTTTGTCTTTGGTTCTGTTTATGTGATGGATTACATTTATTGATTTGCATATGTTGAACCAACCTTGCATCTCAGGGATGAAGCTGACTTGATCATGGTGGACCAGTTTTTTGATGTGCTGCTGGATTTGGTTTGCCAGTATTGAGGATTTTTGCATCAATGTTCATCAGGGATATTGGCCTGAAGTTTTCTTTTTTGTTGTGTCTCCTCCCGGTTTTGATATCAGGATGATGCTGGCTTCATAAAATGAGTTAGGGAGGAGTCTCTCCATTTCAATTGTTTGGAATAATTTCAAAAGGCATGATGCCAGCTACTCTTTGTATTTTTGGTAGAATTCAGCTGTGATTCCGTCTGGTCTTGGGCTTTTTTGGACTGGTAGGCTATTAATTACTGCCTCAATTTCAGAACTTGTTATTGGTCTATTCAGGGATTTGACTTCTTCCTGGTATAGTCTTGGGAGGGTGTATGTGTCCAACAATTTATCCATTTCTTCTAGATTTCTAGTTTATTAGTGTAGAAGTGTTTATAGTATTCTCTGATGGTAGCTTTTATTTCTCTGGGGTCAGTGGTGATATCCCCTTTATCATTTTTATTGTGTCTATTTGATTCTTCTTTCTTTTTCTTCTTTATTATTCTAGCTAGCAGTTTATCTATTTTGTTTTTTAGTTTTATTTATTTATTTATTTTTTCAAAAAACCAGCTCCTGGATTCATTGATTTTTTTTTTTTGGAGAGTTTTTCATGTCTCTCTTTCAGTTCTTCTCTGATCTTAATTATTTCTTGTTTTCTGCTAGCTTTTGGATTAGTTTGCTCTTGCTTCTCTAGCTCTTTTAATTCTGATGTTAGGGTGTTGATTTGAAATCTTTCTAGCTTTTTGATGTGGGCATTTAGTGCTATAAATTTCTGTCTTCACACTGTTTTAGCTGTGTCCCAGAGATTCTGGTATGTTGTGTCTTTGTTCTCATTGGTTTCAAAGAAATTCTTGATTTCTTCCTTAATTTCATTATTTACCCAGGGGTCATTCAGAAGTAGGTCATTCAATTTCTATGTAATTGTGTGGTTTTGAGTGAGTTTCTTAATCCTGAGTTCTAATTTGATTGCAGTGTGGTCTGAGAGACTGTTATGACTTCAGTTCTTTTGCATTTGCTGAGGAGTGTTTTACTTCCAATTATATGGTCGATTTTAGAATAAGTGGCATGTGGCACTGAGAAGAATGTATATTCTCTTGATTTTGGATGGAAAGTTCTGTAGATGTCTATTGGGTCCACTTGATCCAGAGCTGAGTTCAAGTCCTGAATATCCTTGTTAATTTTCTGTCTCTTTGTAGATTTCTAAGAACTTGTTTTATGAATCTGGGTGCTTCTGTATTAAGTGCATATATATTTAGGATAGTTAGCTCTATTGTTGAATTTATCCCTTTACCATTATGTAATGCCCTTCATTGTCTTTTTTGATCTTTGTTGTTTTAAAGTCTGTTTTGTCAGAGACTAAGATTGAAACCCTTGCATTTATTTTGCTTTCCTGTTTGCTTGGAAAATTTTCCTCCATTCCTTTATTTTGAGCCTATGTGTGTCTTTGCATGTAAGTTGAGTCTCTTGAATGCAGCACACTGATGGGTCTTCACTTTATCCAATTTGCCAGACTGTGTCTTTTAATTGGGGCATTTAGCCAATTTACATTTAAGGTTAGTATTGTTATGTGTGAATTTGAACCTGTCATCATGATGCTATCTGGTTATTTTACACACTAGTTGATGCAGTTTCTTCATAGTGTCATTGGTCTTTCTATTTTGGTATGTTTTTGCAGTGGCTGGTACTGGTTTTTCCTTTCCATATTTAGTTCTTCCTTCAGGAGCTCCTGCAAGGCAGGCCTTGTGGTGATGAAATCACTCAGCATTTGCTTGTCCGGAAAGGATTTTATTTCTCCTTCACTTATGAAGCTTAGTTTTGCTGGATATGAAATTCTGGGTTAAAAATTCTTTTCTGTATGAATGTCAAATATTGGCCCCCAATCTCTTCTGGCTTGAAGGGTTTCTGCTGAAAGGTCCACTGTAAGTCCAATGGGTTTCCCTTTTTATTAGGTGACCTGGCCTTTATCTCTGGCTGCCTTTAACAATTTTTCCTTCATTTTCACCTTGTAGAATCTGATGATTACATGTCTTGGGGTTGATCTTCTCTTGGAGTATGCTAGTGGTGTTATCTGTATTTCCTGAATTTGCATGTTGGCCTGTCTTGCTAGATCGGGGAAATTCTCCTGGATAATATCCTGAGTGTGTTTTCCGTCTTGTTTCCATTCTCCTCATCTCCTTCAGGTACTCCAGTCAATCATAGGTTCAGTCTTTCTATGTAGTCCCATATTTCTTGGAGGCTTTGTTCATTCCTTTTAATTCCTTTTTCTCTAATCTTGTCTGCATGCCTTATTTCAGCAAGGTGGTCTTCAGACTGTGATATCCTTTCTTCCTCTTGGTCGTTTTGGCTATTGATACTTGTGTATGCTTCAGGAAGTTCTCATGCTTTGTTTTTTAACTCCTTCAGGTCATTTTTGTTCCTCTCTAAACTGATTATTCTAATTAGCAGCTCCTGTAACCTTTTATCAAGGTTCTTAGCTTCTTTGCATTGGGTTAGAACATGCTGCCTTAGCTCAGCAGAGTTTATTACCCATCTTCTGAAGCCTACTTCTGTTACTTTGTCCATCTCATCCTCTGTCCAGTTCTGTGCCCTTGCTGGAGAGGCGTTTCAATCATTTGGAGGAGAAGAGGCCTCTGGCCTTTTGAATTTTCAGTGTTTTTTTTTGTTGATTCTTTCTCATCTTCGTAAGTTTGTCAAGTTTTGATCTTTGAGGCTCCTGACCCTTGGATGGGGTTTTTGTGTACACTTTTTTTGTTGTTGATGTTGTTGTTGCTTTCTGTTTGTTTTTCTTTCAGTGGTCAGGTCCCTCTTCTCTCAGGCCGCTGCGGTTTGCTGGGGGTTCACATCCGGCCCTGTTCATCTAGTTCACTTCTGTACCTAGAGATGTCACTCAAGGAGGCTAGAGAACAGCAAAGATGGGTGCCTGCTCCTTCTTCTGTGATCTCTGACCTCGAGGGTCACCAACCTGATGCCAGTAGGATCGCTCCTGTATAGGGTGTCTGACAATCCCTGTTGGAGGGTCTCACCCAGTTGGGTGGCACAGGGAACAGGACCCATTTAACAAAGCACTTTGTCCCTTGGTGGAGGGGGTGTGCTTCACTTGGGGAAAACAGAATCATTTGGGCTGCCTGGATTCCTCAGAACTACCATCAGGAAAGGCTAAATCTGCTGGTCTGCAGAGACTGTGGCCACTCCTCCCCCTAGGGGCTCAGGCCCAGAGAGATCACGGTTCTGTCCCTGAGACTCTGGCTGGAGTTGTTCAGTTTCCTGCAGGGAGGCCCCAACCAGTGAGGTTGGATGAGTCAGAGTCAGGCCTGAAGAGGCGCTCTGGCTGCAGTCTGCCACAGCCAGTGTGTTGGGCTGTGGGGGACACCACTTGGGACCAAGCCATCCAGCCTCCTTGGCTCCATCAGGGGAAAAGCATGGCTTGGAGCTATAGAGATGGATGCCGCCCTTCCCCCACCCAGGAAGCTTAGCGTATTAGGCCGTTATGAGTCCCAGTGCTGGCTGCTTCTCCGCCCACAAGGAGCTCAAACAGCTCAGACAGGAGGCAGCTGCAGCTGTGGTGCTGGTTGCCCCTCTCCCTGAAGACTTGGTAGGCTTGAGTAGATTCTAGCTGAGAGGCAGTTGAGAATCTGCACGGCTCCAGAGTTGGGACCCTAGGCCCCAGTGGCATGGGTTCGTAAGTGGGTCTTCAGCTCCATGGGGCGCACAGTTCCATGGAAAAAGCACGGTTTCCCCAGGGGGTGGCACACTCACTCACTGCCTCCTTTGGCGGGGGTGCTGGGGTTCCCCTGCTCCCTGTGGCTCTCAGGTGGGCTGCTGCACCACACTGCTCTTCCTTCCTCTCTGTGGATCATGCCAGCTGCCTAGTCAGTTCTGATGAGAGAACCTGGATACCTAGGTTGTTGGTGCAGGATTCACATGCTATTATGGTTCTTTTTGACAGGAGCCTCGATTGTGGCTGCTTCTAGTCAGCTGTCTTGCTCCCCACCCTCTTATGGAATTTTCATTGTCAAACTGTTCAGAATAAGAGTTCTGCCTGACCCAGGTGACCATCGCTACAGAAGAGGGCTCCCTTCCACATGAACCTTGGTCTTTGCTTTGGCATGGCCATCCATCCTTCTTATGCCTTTTCTGCCCAGGAGCATGCTGGTCCAGCCAACTGAGAAATGGATTAACAGCTCCTGGGTGGTGAGAGAAAAAGCTGCTGGCCACCTGCCACTTGCCATGTGACCTTACTTAAGTCACTCACCCCCTGTGATTAGACTTCTTCATCTGGAATAGGGAGCAGGTGACATAAACCGTGTGGCTAGTGCACCATTTTGCAAATCATCTCTTATATAATGATAATGGTGGTCAACAGGAGCAATAGGTATAGTCATCTTTTTGAAATAAAGCATCAGAAGAATGCAATTGGCAAAATAAGAAAGGAAGAAACAGAGAATAGAAAAGTGTTGGAGGCCGAAAGAATGAGAGTCGTGACCAACTCAGTGTACCACTGGAGGCTATATGAGTAAACAGCAAACTGTTCTCATGAAAGCAGGTTGTTAGCAAACTGACAAACTGCGTCTGCCACCCAGAGGGAATGCTGAGGGCAGTCGCGCCCCAGGCGCAGTGTTTCTTGTGATTAGGCACATCTGAAGCCTGTTAGCAATAATGTGAGCCTGTGATCAATCAAGCAGCTGACCAGTTGTTAGCTCCTCCTCCCTGCTCTTTCTGCCCAATAAATACAAAGGGCTGTGGAAGCTCAAGGCCCTTGCTCCCTAGAAGGAAGGAGCCCCCTGACCCTTTCTTTAAAACAGTTTCTTTTGTCTTAAGTTTTCATTTCTGCATTCATCCTCCTTCATTCAGTCTCATAGTAACTGTTGCAGAAAAGTATGAGTGGATGTCCCTCAATTGAAGAAAAGAAAGAAAGTGACAGAAAAGGCACAGATTAGAAATCGGTGAATAAAAAGTCACAAATTACTGGATTACAGTCACAAAACCTAAAGGGAAGTGTGTTCTGTCAAACACATGGGTGAACAACCAAAATCATAGAGGTCATGAAGCCCCACATGGATTTATTTAATTTATAAATTTAAGATGACCATTCCTTCTTCTCCCTCATAAACTAATATTATGTTGGGGCTAATAAGGTGAAGCTGTGGGGTGATTTACTATAACTATAAAAATTTCACTTTCTTAAAACACCTCTTTTTTTTCCATTTCCTGATACCTGCAACTCATTTGCCTGAAAACAAGATAATAGAGCTACTGACATTCATATTCATGAAAATGACTCACACCAGGTCTGTTTCTGGGAGCTGTTTTGATAAGGAAGGAGGCAGAGGAGAGAGCAAGAGGGCATCAAGCTACAAGGAAAATGACCTAAGGGATGTGGCAGAGGTGGGGGACGAAGTGATCTGGAGTCACCTTCATATCTATTGGGAACAACATTTCTGAATTTCTGTTGAGACTGCTGAGAAACATGAGAATGGTAAAAAAAAAAAAAAAAAAAAAAAAAAAAAAGACATGTAAATCTAGAAAAAACAGCTTCTAGACAATGTGGAAACTGTTGGCAGTTTTTAAAAATGCTAGGATTATTATTTCTATTATGAAGAGAAAATTGAGTATAATGAATAAATTCCTGGTTTCCATAGCAAGTTCAACTTCTTCATGCTGGGTATAAATAATAAATATATTGTTGTTACTGAAAATGTTTTCAGTTATGCCACATACATTAAAGACTGATAATTACATTAATGCAATATTGAAGTTATTAATACGAACTTTCAAAGAGATTATTTTTCATGAAGGCCAGGAGTTTTAGCTGAGAGTAACTGAGAGTAATTTTTTTTTGTTTTGCTTTTTTCCCCAACACAGAGTCTTACTCTGTCACCCAGGCTGGAGTACAGTGGCGCGATCTCGGCTCACTGCAACCTCCGTCTCCCGGGTTCAGGCAATTCTCCTGCCTCAGCCTCCCGAGTAGCTGAGATTACAGGTGCCCACCACCACACCTGGCTAATTTTTGTATTTTTAGTAGACACAGGGTTTCACCATGTTGGCCAGGCTGGTCTCGAACTCCTGAACTCATGATTTGCCTGCTTCAGCCTCCCAAAGTGCTGGGATTACAGGCATGAGCCACCGTGCTCAGCCAACTGAGAGTAATTTTTTTAACTGCAATGTAGAACAAGAATCTTCCTATGTGCAAAATAGTTTCATTTTTAAGAAACTGTTAGATTTATGTGGATTGTTAGCTTTTAGGCTGTAATGATCATTACCAAAAACAAATATACCTATCAACTTTTTATATTGATAAACAGTTTGTGTGTTTGGTTTTTGTTTTGGGTGGTACATACAAGAATAATTAAGAGTATAAATAGCACTCTGGATGGATTTCCATTATTCATGGTATTCCTATCTGCTCTTAGAATGAGTGGATAATGACCAGGGATTTCCCAGGGTGGTGGAATTCCCAATTATGATTTTTTTAGATATGAAATATAGGAAGCTTGATGCAGTCAGCAAATATCATCTCATAAAGCCACACTTTTCTTATCCACATTGAAAACACAATCCTTTTACCCTCTGTCCACCACTAAACACCTCCAAGGTTGGCCCCAGCAAGGAACTGTACTCACTCAAACCATCTCTGGGCAAAGGAAATTCGTGGAAACATATCACTACTACAGGAATTATCTGGGTCATAAACTAAAAAAGAAAAACAAATGCAAGGAAACTACATTTTAATTCCCCATTAAGCCATATGAAATGTGTATTAGGCTAATGTACCTAATATAGGCTGGCAATTCAACCAGAGGAGCTGCTCAGAGGATATTGAAATAAGTCATTTTGCTAATTCTAAAGAGTTTCTATAGATATGTACTGGATTTCTTTTTAATTATTCTGCATCTGTTTAGAGATATGCACTTTCCAGCTATGTAATTGGATTTTAAGTACTTTTACATTACTATAAATAAAGTGTTACATGCAATTACATTGAAAAATCTGCAGTGCAAAAGCAAAGCTGCAGCCCACAGGTTACCGCACTTCAGCATATGGAGGATGCGCTTCTTATGGGGTGATGATAGTCAAATTAAAAAGAACACTTTACTCCTTGAGCTAGATAATAGGCTGATTATATTTAAAGCATATTCACTTCCCACAATCATCTGGTAGGAAAGATGGAACTGCTCAAACTTCATCTCCACTGGACAGTATCGTGACTGGAAGGAATTATTAGTGGAAGAGAAGTATAAACTCACCCAAGATCTAGATCCAGAATGCTAATCAGACTTTTGAAGAGAGAGATTTATTTTTGTCCCGCTTTCAGACCTGACTTGTTTTTTCCCCACCCCAGTATAAAAGCTGCGACTTTCAATCTGTGGGGAAAATTTTGGGAAAAGGATTATGAGATATGTGTCCTTAGTATTATAAGTCTGAACCCCTTTTGGCATTAGCCCACACCACAGGAGGCCACATTAAAGCCCTCTTTCTCCAGTTTCAGTTGGTAATAATTTCAGGTTCTTTCTCACAGCTACCAATGCAAGAGGCAGCTAATCCTAAAGGCTTTTGTTATGAAAAGTGCTCGATTGAAAAAACACATGGCAGACAGGGGGCATTGGAGATCACTTTTACGCAATGACATTTAAAATGAGGGAAGTTTAAGTAAGTTGCTTGAGATGCAGCATACTGTCAGCAAGCTCATCAGTGCCCTCCATCAACTCAATTCCTCCTTTCTTTCCATCTTCTTTCCTCTGTATATGCCAAAGGGCTCTACATTTTAGCACTGGGTTGTTTATTTTTAATACACTTTGTGCTATTGTTAAAACTAATTCCTGTTTCATGGCTCATCCAGCACTATCACCTGCCCTCCTCCCCATATCCTTTCTTGCTTTAAGACTTAACTCCAGCTCCCTCCAGAAAGTTTATTTAACATGCTATCTACTTAAATACATGGAGCCAGAGTAGATACAATGTATATTCTGTCCAGCGACCTTACTTTGGGTGTTTTCCTATTTTTTTTAACTGCAAAGTAGAACAAGAATCCTCCTCTTTGCAAAATATTCCCATTAAAGAAATTGTTAGGCCGGGCACAGTGGTGTGTGGCTATAGTCCCAGCTATAATATTTGGGAGGCTGACGTAGGAGGATTGTTTGAGACCAGGAATTCTGGGCTGTAGTGCTCTATGCTGATTGAGTGTCCACACTGAGTTTGGTATCAATATGATGAGCGAAGGACCACCAGATTGCCTAAGGAGGGGTGAACTGGTCCAGGTTGAACATGGAACAGGTCAAAATTCCTGTGCTGATTAGTAGTGGGATCGCACTTGTGAATATCCACTGCACTACAGCCTGGACAACATAGCCAGACTCTGTCTCTAAAATATAAATAAAAATTGTCAGATTTATGTGGGTTGTTAGCTTTTAGGATGTAACAATTATTCCATTACCAAAGAGAAGGATACCTATCAGCTTTTTGTATTGTTTTAGATACCCGTTTTAGTTTTCCTATCAGGGTCCATAGTTTTTACTTCTTTTGTAACTCTTTTTGGCTCTGTCTCCTGGACCCTGCTCTGAGAATTTTGACAAACTGTAAGACAAAGTCTTTGCAGTTACTGAAATTTGTATTTCATCGGGGGAGAGAAAGCTTAGGCATATTGACTAGTAGTAAAGGTCCAGTCAGCCTGGTGCTGGTTCTAAATAAATCAATGATAGATGTTCAGAGAAGGAATGGATCATGGTAGATCATGCTCCTTCAGGTAGACCAATCAGCCCGTGTTGATAGGAGTCAATATAGCAGAACATTTTGAAGCCCATCTTGCTACAAAAAATAAGATATTAACTTATATTCCCCTAACTTACTACTTTGGGATTAAAATATGAGAAAAACATATTATGAAGATAGCATATCATTTAAATATTGTACAATTTGATTCTTTACTCATAAAAATAGTAACCAGATATTGCTGAGTGATTTTATAAGTTGAATTTCTTATCCATCATCTTGAATTTCTCCAAAGAATTTGTTTGTTTGTTTGTTTGTTTTGAGACAGAGTCTTGCTCTGTTGCCAGGCTGGAGTGCAGTGGCACGATCTCGGCTCACTGCAACCTCCGCCTCCCAGGTTCAAGTGATTCCCCTTCCTCAGCCTCCCGAGTAGCTGAGACTACAGGTGCGCACCACCACGCCTGGCTAATTTTTTGTATTTTAGTAGAGACGGGGTTCCACCATGTTGGCCAGGATGGTCTTCATCTCCTGACCTCATGATCCACCCTCCTCAGCCTCCCAAAGTGCTGGGATTACAGGCTTGAGCCACCATGCCCAGGCAAGAATTTGGGTTTTATGAGTAACAAGTTTTGGAACAATTTGCAATGGGTATAGATCCAAGTAATACTTTGTGTAATCTTAAATATCCTTTTCATAAGCATTTATGATTGTCATTTTCTGTCTTTCCCAGAAAGCATGAGTCATTATTAATTCTTCACACAGAAGACATAGAATTGGACATGTTGTAAACTGGGAATTCTTTTGGGCTGCTTCCTTCTTAAGAAATAACTGCTAGATGAGTGAAGCAATAAGAAAATATCCACTGTCATCCCCAGAAAGTGTATCTTGTGAGCCAGTGAATGTGGCACTTAGAAAATCAAATGTCTATATTTAGACATGTATATGCAGTTATATGTCTGCATTATAACTTATTATATTTGCCCTCAAATTAAGCAATACTACTTAGCCATAAAAAGAAACAAAATAATGGCATTCACAGAAACCTGGGTGGAATTGGTGACCATTTATTCTAAGTTAGATAACTGAGGAATGAAAAACCAAACATTGTATGTTCTCACTCACATGTGAGAGCTAAGCTATGAGCATGCAAAGGCATAAGAATGATACGCTGAACTTTGGGGACTTGGGGGAAAGTTTGGGGCATGGCGAGGAATAAAAGACTACACATTGGGTCCAGTATACAGTGTTCGGGTGATGTGTGCACCAAAATCTCAAAAATCACCACCAAATAACTTATCCATGTAAACACCACCTGCTCCCCAAAAACCTATTGAAATAAAAAAATAAAAAACTTACTAAGAAAAAGGAAACTGTTACTGAATTTTATTTGTATGTCAGAAACTTTTAAAATTGATATCTCATTTAACATTAACCCAAGACAATTTAAAGCCTATTTCTTAAGTTTGAAAAAATGATGACTATATGTGCAAAATATTCTAAGTCCTGCAGAATGCCAGACTGATAAAATCTAAATTATTATTATGCTTTATTTTAAAAAAATCTTCAAACTTCAAACTAAACCTTTTCATCCCTAAAAATATCTACAGTAGCAAATCTGGGGCCCTGCAAACATTTCTCTCAGCAAAACTGATTCCACTGTCTCTTCACAAACTTCCTTTACAGAAATCAGGAGCAAGAACAATAATCAAGTCTTGTGTATAATTGTATAATTTTCATTATGTCCAATTTTATATTTTGGATACACGTGTTTTTTTAAGTCAGTTATATTTCTTATGAATATTTTATCCCAGTCTGTGGTTTGTCTTATTCTCTTAATAATGTCTTTCATAGAGAAGAAGTCTTTGATTAGTAAAGTCAAACTTACCAATTTTTAAAAAAATGGATGGTGCTTCTGATATTTTATCTAAAAAGTAATTGCCAACCCCAGGGTCATTTAAATTTTCTCCTGTGTTTTCTTTTTTCTTTTTTTCTTTTTTTATTTTTATTTTTTGAGACAGAGTCTCGCTCTGTCACCCAGGCTGGACTGCGGACTGCAGTGGCGCAATCTCGGCTCACTGCAAGCTCCGCTTCCCGGGTTCACGCCATTCTCCTGCCTCAGCCTCCCGAGTAGCTGGGACTACAGGCGCCCGCCACCGCACCCGGCTAATTTTTTGTATTTTTAGTAGAGACGGGGTTTCACCTTGTTAGCCAGGATGGTCTTGATCTCCTGACCTCATGATCCACCCGCCTCGGCCTCCCAAAGTGCTGGGATTACAGGTCTCCTGTGTTTTCTTCTAGAGTTTTCTAGTTTTGCATTTTACATTTAGGCATATGACCCATTTTGAGTTAATTATTTTTGCATATGGCATAAAGTCTGAGTCTAGGTTTATTTTTCTGCATGTGGATGCCCAATTGTTCCAGTCCCATCTCTTGAAAAGACAAAGACTATCCTTTCTTCATTGAATTGCCTTTGCACCTCTGCCAAAGATCAGTTGACTGTCTTACTGTATTGTGTGAGTCTATTTCTGGGCTCTATTCTGACCCATTGATCTATATGTGTATTCTTTTGTCATCATGCCTGATTTTGATAGATGAAGAAATAATCTCAGGGAGGTTGAGTGATCATCTCAAAGCCACACACCACTAAGTTGCAGACTAGGAATTTGAACTTAGGGTTTTTGAAATCATATGCAATAACCAGTTCACTAAACTACAGCTACTTCTCTTTCAATGCAGAACCAAAAACACATGACCATTAATTGTAATACCATGACCAATCTGTTTCCCTTGCATTTTTCTCTTTGACCCATATGCCCTACAGCACATTGGTCACATGGGGGCAGAGCTGGCAGAGAGTGGCTACTGAGTAGACAATGCATTATACAAAGTAAGTCCCATTTACTTGTGTAATCTGAACCTTGGTATTGTAAAATTTGAGGCTCATTGCTTTAATGAAATACACACAGGTGCAAATTAAAACCCAGGACTCTTCACAGTCTAAGATGGAAGATTTCTGGTAACACTGTACTTGCTGGATAAGGACATGAGCTGCTAATGATGCAGGTGCAAAGGGCTTGATTATTGCTCCTGCTTTCTGTTAAGGAGGTCTGGGGAGAGAGTGGAATCAGTTTTACTGGTAGAAATGTTTTCAGGGCCCTCAATTTGCTACTGCAGAAATTTTTACATAAGAAAAGGCTTAGTTTGAAGTTTAAAGTGTTGTTTTTAAAAGAAGCAGAACTTAGATTTGTATCAGCCTGGCATTCTATAGGACTTAGAATATTTTGCACACACAGTCGTCATATTTTCAAACTTAAGAAAGGCTTTAAGTTAAAGGTCAGTGTTTCCTAGCTTTCAGGATGGAAGGACTTTCTTGTCATTGCCTCTCAGAGAATTATGCAACCAACAATGAAAGGAAACTTAAGCCTCAAGTTACATTCTTTGGAGCTTGGGCAAGACTTTGGGGAAAATTCTGGATAATGAATGAATTCAAAAACATTAGCCTTGTCATGTAGGACAATTAAGAATCCTGCTGTTCCACACGTTTTATGATGGCTCAGTGGAGCTATGGCAAGACGATAAATGATAATCTGGTTAGGATTCTTTCCATTCTCAGATTCTCTAGTACAGTTTATACTGGAGAGTGTACTCCAGAGAAGTTAGTATCTGAGATATAAACCATGTATCTTAATTATTTCATCACTTTTAAAGCTTAAAGTTTAAAGATAATTTAGGAGATATGGATCATAGAATAGGGTATCACTGAGTTACTAAAATGCTGTTAGTAGAAGAAATTGTGAGACGTTTGAAATATAAAATCTAGATTATCCTGAACAGACCAATAATGAAATTAAATCAGTAATAAAAAATGTCCTAACAAAAGCCCAGGACCAGACAGATTCATAGCCCAATTTTACCAGACATACAAAGAAGAGCCGGTACCAATCTTACTGAAACTATTCCAAAAAATGGAGGAGATATTTCTCCCCAACTCATTCTATGAAACCAGTATCACACTCGATGGAGCTGGAGGCCATTATCCTAAGTGAAATACTCAAAAACAGAGAAATCAAATACCATGTGTTCTCACATAAGTAGGAGCTAGACAATGGGTACGTGTGGGCAGACAGAAGGGAATAACAGATGCTGGGGACTTCAAAAGCAGGGAGGGTGGAAGAGAGTTGAAAAATTACCTCTTGGGTACAGTGTTCACTATTTGGGTGATGGGTACACTAAAAGCCCAGATTTCACCACTATACAATATATCCATGTAACAAAACTGACATGTACTCCATGAATCTAAAAAAATAAAAATAAGAAAATCTAGGTTCTTTCTAGTGAAAGAACTAAGAGATCAAGGTGTTATTAATAATTTCTATACATAGTAATATTGAAATACATATTCCTTAGGATGTTTTATGAATAAAAATAGCTAATATGAAGTCTCTTTTACTGAAATAAAATTACTCCTCAAATACTTTTTACTGATATGTTTTGCAGTGTAATCTTAGCAAATCAAAGTGTTCAGAACTCCAAACTTCCTCTGAGGCATAATAATGCTTTATAACATCTGTATTTCAAATATGGGCTAAAAACCTCACAATGCATATTCTCAGTGCTAGTTTTAGACTTTTACACATATGGAAACTAACAATTTTCTGTTAAAACTAATAGCTGTAAATTAAATCATTTTTAAACCTTACAGGAAAAAATAAAACACATTTCGTTGATGTTTGAAGGAAGCATAGAAGTTCTTAAATCCAACCTCACTACCTTTAGAAATTAGTAATGATTGCTGAGAACGTAGTGCCCACCTGAAGTCCCAGAACACACTGTTGACAGAGGCAAATCTCTGGACCCTGACACAGTTCCTTTTGCACACTTCCATGTTTCCCTTTAGCTTGAAAAGGAGTCCTTTCTGTTACATATTTATTTTAAATCAGTGAAAGCAATACATGCTTATGGAAGATCTCATTAGCTTTTCAAGGACAGGTTCCCTGTTGAACTTGTCCAGGACTCATGTGAAGGCTAATGATGCAAGCTGAGTGTGAGGGTGCCAGGTCTCACAAAGATAGTTGCAAGCTTATCCAAAATTATAAAAATGGGAACCTCAGAAGGTGGATCTGCTGCTCCAGAGTAAAATCAACTTGTTCCTTCTTTTCTAGCAATGAATACACTGCTTCAAATGTAAACTGGAAAGGTTTTCCAGTCTTTCTCTACAGGAACATTGACCTTTAAAGTTCCAGTTAATCAAAGATGTACCTCTAGGTTCAAAGTAGCACTGTAAAGGGATAAAGGACTAGAACACCTTACAGGAACTAAGATGCATTAATATCAGGGGTTTTCAAATTTTAGGGTATATAAACACCACCTAAGGCTTGTTTAGAATGTGGATTCCTGGATATTACCCAGATTCAGCAGATCTGGGATGGGGTCTAGAGATCTGCATTTATGTAAAAAAAAAAAAAAAAAAAAAAAAGTACCCAGTGTTTCTGCAGCAGGTGATTAGAGGGTGGAACTTTGAGAAATTTCTTTTTTAAAAATTTATTTCTTCTAAAAAAAAACGGGTTACATGTGCAGAACGTGCAGGTTTGTTACATAGGTATACATGTGCCATGGTGATTTGCTGCACCCATCAACCCATCCTCTAAGTTCCCTCCTCTCACCCCTAGTGTGTGATGCTCCCCTCTATGTGTCCATGTGTTCACATTGTTCTACTCCCTCTTACGAGTGAGAACATGTGGTATTTGGTTTTCTGTTCCTGTGTTAGACTGCTGAGGATGATGGCTGCCAGCTTCATCCATGTCCCTGTAAAGAACATAGTTGCATTCCTTTACATGGCTGCATAGTATACCATGCTGTCTATGTACTACATTTTCTTTATCCAGTCTATCATTGATGGGTATTTGGGTTGGTTCCATGTCTTTGCTATTGTAAACAGTGCTGCAGTAAACATACGTGTACATATGTCTTTATAGTAGAATGATTTATATTCCTTTGGGTCTATACCCAGTAATGGGATTGCTGAGTCAAGTGGTATTTCTGGTTCTAGATCCTTGAGGAGTCGCCATACTGTCTCCCACAATGGTTGAACTAATTTATGTTCCCGCCAGCAGTGTAAAAGTGTTTGTATTTCTCCACAGCCTTGCCAGCATCTGTTGTTCCTGACTTTTTAATAATCATCATTCTAACTGGCATGAGATGGTATCTCATTGTGGTTTTGATTTGCATTTCACCGATGATCAGTGATGTTGAGCTTTTTTTATGTGTTTGTTGGCTGCATAAATGTCATCTTTTGAAAAGTGTCTGTTCATATTCTTTGCCTAGTTTTTGATGTGGTTGTTTTTTTCCTGTAAATTTGTTTAAATTTCTGGATATTAGAATTTTTTTCTGGATATTAAATTCTGGATATTAGGCCTTTGTTAAATGGGTAGATGCAAAATTTTTCTCCCATTCTCTAGGTTGCCCATTCACTCTGATGATAGTTTCTTTTGCTGTGCAGAAACTCTTTAGTTTAATTAAATCCCATTTGTCAATTTTGGCTGTTGTTGCCATTGCTTTTGGTGTTTTAGTCATGAAGTCTTTGCCCATGCCCATATCCTGAATGCCTAGATTTTCTTCTAGGATTTTTATGGTTTTGGGTTTTACATTTAAGTCTTTAATCCATCTTGAGTTAATTTTTGTATAAGGTGTAAGGAAGGGGTCCAGTTTCAGTTTTCTGCATATGGCTAGCCAGTTTTCCCAGCATCATTTATTGTATAGGAGATCCTTTCCTCATTGCTTGTTTTTGTCAGGTTTGTTGAAAATCAGATGGTTGTAGATGTGTGATGTTATTCCTGAGGTTTCTGTTCTGCCCCATTGGTCTATATGTCTGTTTTGGTCTCACATCAACACCCTAACATCTCCATTAAAAGAGCTAGAGAGGCAAGAACAAACTAAACCCAAATGCTAGTAGAAGACAAGAAACAATGAAAATCAGAGAAAAACTGAAGGAGATAGAGAAATGAAAAACCCTCCAAAAAATCAATCAATCTAGGAGTTGGATTTTGAAAAAATTAACAAAATAGATAAAACACTAGCTAGACTAATGAAGAGAGAAGAATCCACTAGACACAATAAAAATAATAAAGGGGATATCACCACTAACTCCACAGAAATACAAACTGCCATCAGAGAATACTATAAACACCTCTATGCAAATAAACTAGAAAATCTAGAAGAAATGGATAAATTCCTGGACACATACACCTTCCCAAGGCTAAACTAGGAAGAAGCTGAATCCATGAATAGACCAATAACAAGTTCTGAAATTAAGAAAGTAATTAATAGCCTACCAATCAAAACAAAGCCCAGGGCCAGATGGATTCACAGCTGAATTCTACCAAAAATACAAAGTGGAACTTGTACCACTCCATCTGAAATTATTTCAAACAACTGAAACAGAGGGACTCCCTAACTCACTTTATGAAGCCAGCATCATCCTTATACCAAAACCGGGAAGAGACACAATAAAAAAAGGAAACTTCAGGCCAATATCCCAGATGAACATTGATGCAAAAATCCTCAATAAAATACTGGCAAACTGAATCCAGCAGCACATCCAAAAACTTATCCCCTATGATCAAGCTGGCTTCATCTTTGGGATGCAAGGCTGGTTCAACACATGCAAATCAGTAAATGGAATCCATCACATAAACAGAACCAATGACAAAATCCACATGATTATCTCACTAGATTCAGAAAAGGTCTTTGATGAAGTTCAACATCCCTTCATGTTAAAAACTTTCAATAAACTAGATATTGATGGAACATACCTCAAAGTAATAATAGGTATTTATGACAAACCCACAGCCAATATCATACTGAATGGTCAAAAGCTGGAAGCATTCTCTTTGAAAACCAGTACGAGACAAGGATGCTGTCTCTCACCACTCCTATTCAACATAGTATTGGAAGTTCTGGCCAGGGCAATCAGGCAAGAGGAAGAAATAAAGTGTATTCAAATAGGAAGAGAGGAAGTCAAATTGTCTGTTTGCAGACAACATGATTCTATATTTAGAAAACCCCATCATCTCAGCCCCAAAACTCTTTAAACTGTAAGCAACTTCAGCAAAGTCTCAGGGTACACAATCAATGTGCAAAAATCACAAGCATTTCTTTACACCAACAATAGACAAGCCCAGAGCCAAATCATAAATGAACTCCCATTCCCAATCGCTACAAAGATAATAAAATACCTAGGAATACAGCTAACGAGATGTGAAGGACCTCCTCAAGGAGAACTACAAACCACTGATCACGAAATAAGAAAGGACACAAACAAACGGAAAAACATTCCATCTTCATGGTTAGGAAGAATCAATATCGTGAAAATGGCCATACTGCCCAAAGTAATTTATAGATTCAATGCTATTCCCATCAAACTACCACTGACATTCTTCACAGAGTTAGAAAAAACTATTTTAAATTTCATAGGGAATAAAAGAAGACCCTGTATAGCCAAGACAATCCTAAGCAAAAAGAACAAAGCTGGAGGAATTATGCCACCTGACTTCAAACTATACTACAAGGCTACAGTAACCAAAACAGCTTTGAGGATTTTCTATAGATAAAATGAAAACCTCAAAAGTAGTCAATTGGCACTTGTTTGTTTACTCTCTGTTTCTACCTCTCCTTTCAAGCCTGATATGTTTCCTATTATAGATCTTACAATTCTGTGTTTTAAAGTCCAATTACATTTTTAACCCTTTTCTTTCTCTCTTTGTTCATACAGAGAAGCAAAGTTCCTGTAAGACCAAAACTAAATTTAGGAAATACTTTTTATTTTCATGATGTTTCCCACTTTTCACTTTAACTTCCATTGTGTAGACAGATATTTTCACTATGTTTTCTGTTTTATGTGTTCTGGCAACCTCCAAGAATCACAACTGCAATTTCAGAACACATATTGACTTGCAACTCCTTTAGTAAATGACATTTCTTTTCATGAAGCAGTAAACCTGTCAGAAATTCATCTAGTGCAGGGAACTTGACAATTAGTTCTCCTTATGAAAATCCCTATCCTGGACAAATATCCTAAGCAAACTGGGTTATCTCAGTCATCTGAAGAAAATGCTTTGCTCTCCAGAATGGAGTTAATGCCCAGTTTGTGTATGGCTTCATTTGTTCCTGACTGGTAGGTTTTAGTTCACATTCCAGTTGCTAGGCCAATAATCACAGCCTTTCATTAGGGATAAGGAATTTTGGTCTGAATCAAGAGTATGGGTACAAACTAACCATGTTAGAGAGTGGTGTTTTCCTTGTGATGACTAAAGAGATTAAAAAATTAGCATTGTTGAGACATTTTCTCCATATAGATTATTTGGCCTTTGGTCCATGTGTTAATCAGAATTCTCTGAAGAAACAGAACCAATAGAACGTGTATCTGTCTATCCATCCATCCATCCATCTATCGAGAGATATTGGCTATAAGGAATTGGCTGACATGATTATGGGGCTGAGAAGTCTCCAGATCTGCAGCTGGCAAGCTGGAGACCCAGGAGAGCTAGTGGTATAGTTCCAGTCCAAGTCTGAAGGCCTGAGAACCAGGAGAACTGAGGAGGTAAGCTCCAGTCTGAGTCTGAGTTCAAAGGCAGAAGACTGATGTCCCAGCCCCAAAACAGTCAGAGAGAGCGGATTCTTCCTTACTGAGCTTTTTGTTCTATTCAGGTCTTCAGTGGATTGGATGAGGCCCACCCACATTGGGGAAGGCAATCTGTTTCACTCAGTATACAGATTCAAACTTTAATCTCTTTTAAAAATACCCTCACAGACAAATCCAGGATAATATTTAACCAAATATCTGGGCAGCCCATGGCCCAGTCAAGTTGCCACATAAAATTAACCATCACAGTCACTTTTCATTTTTTTCCTCCTATGGGGTTGGTACTGTAAGATAGTTCACAGATTGGTTACCATTTGGGAAGAAAAAATAACATCTTTTGCCCTTGATCCCCTTCAAATTTCCTTAGCATGCCTAGCTGGAACAGATAGGATTGAAGGGGCACAACTAGAGCCAGAGTTCCCACGCCTGCCTCTTTCTAGGGAGAAATAGTCTCTGTGGTTTAAATATACTGTACGTCTTCTCCATAGGAGACTAAAGAGGGACTTGAGGCCAAATCCCATAATAGGCAATGTCATTTTTCTGGCCTCATTTTCTGTGAATATCACCTCAGTACAAAAGAAGAGAACTAGGTAGAATTTGTATGCCCTGATCTTATCTATATATTAGACACAAGTGACATAAGTTTGTAGCAAATTTTTACCAATAACTGACCCAGGGTCTGGTAACACTCCTTCATTTCATTTACTCAACAAATATCTTAGTGCCTATTAAATACAGGTATCAGAAGTAGAGCATAGAAGTCAGGTCTTTGTCTTTATATAAAAGACAAACATATTCTGAGTTTGTTGTTGAATAGTTAGTGTGTTTCTGGTGTCTGTGAGTCTGAAATCAATAGTTTTATTGAAAATAGTATGCAGAACCAAGATGTCATTCTAGTTGAGCAACTTTATTTTACTTGTCAAATTTCCCAGAATATAGAATAAGATTGCCAAAATCAGTTAAAGAAAACAAGTTGCTGAGTGAGAGAGAAAAAGCTCTTTCACATCTTGAGTGAGTATCAAGGGCTGGCGAATGAAGTGACTGCCAGGGCAGGTGGGGTGAGACCCATGAGTGACATTCTGCAGTATTTTCCTGCTGACTTCCCATGCCTAAGAGCATCACAGGGAATGTAAGCAAAGTACTTCAGTGAGTTTAGGAGATAATTATAATGCCTATTTAACCCCCAGTTCCAACCCAAGTTCATAACCAATTGAGAGATGAATGCAGGAATCCTGTATCTGGCCATGGAAATATTAGCTTTATTACCAGGAAAGCTACACTGAAGAATATTTGAAATATAATGGCATGAATTAAGCTTTCTGATACAGTGCTATCTCCTCAGACTCAGGCAGGATTATCTAAATGGTAGTTCTTCCCTATCAGGGCAGATTGTGTGGGGCAGAAGTTCCTACTCTAGGTGCTATTATGGACCATTGTTAGGAGAGAAGAGTTTTCCTCTCTACTATTTCTTGTTTCAGAATCAATGAATGCCGATTTGTGGCATATTCTTCAGTGTCACCTTTTTCAGGTTCTTCCATGGCTGATAAACTTCCTTCCCTTAAGAGGCATTTTACAAGACATTAAAACACACTCCCCATCACCCTCTCTTGGGAGAAGTTAGTCCAGATATAAGAAAGCTTACGATCTAGCCCCAGTGTCCTACTCAGTTTCAGTATGGGCTTTAGCCTGTATGCACAATTTCTCCATGAGGGATTAATTCATGAGCATCTCACAATTCAACAAGCCATTTATTCCATTATCCCTAAAGGATAACTGAAAGTTTAAATAGTAGAATCATAGTTACTTTCTTATTGCTAAGAACTATCTCCTTTCATTACCTAGGAACCACCCCAAATAAAATCGAGAAGGTATATCTGTCCTCAGGGACAACCTGTGTACCCCTTATCTTTAGCAACTCCTCCTTCAGGGAACCACAGCTCAAAGTGGCCCAGAACCTTTCTCCCAGGCACCTGCTGTGTTGAGAAACACTGTGTGTTTTATTATTTCACTCTGGTTTACTTCCTACTAAAGAGGATACAATTAGGCTTGAACAATAAAACAAATTCTATCACAGTGTAAGCAAGTTTTACGTCTCATGCAATGGTCATGTTTTCTCTA
This sequence comes from Homo sapiens, assembly GCF_000001405.40. Classification (NCBI taxonomy): domain Eukaryota; kingdom Metazoa; phylum Chordata; class Mammalia; order Primates; family Hominidae; genus Homo; species Homo sapiens. The sequence continues at coordinate 47,446,837 of NC_000013.11, read as the reverse complement.
ATTAAAGAATACTTGCTCCTAGAAGGCTGTAAGGCAATATTTCCCAATGTGTAGTCCTCTTTCCTTGAATGTTAATCCATTCTATGTGGTGAGGGGAAGGCTTTCATGGTCAAAAGACCCTCTTGGCTATTTTGAACAGATTTCTTTGGCTTAGGACTTCACAGAGCCCTTATTTTGTTATAGTACTCTGTGAATCTCTGTGGAAGGACATAATATGTGACTCTTTATTTGTGCAACATTCCATGAGACCACTTTTTCATGAAAACACAATTTGGGAAACATTAAAGATGTCCAGCTAACAGTGGTGATTGCAGACATAATGACAGATGGTTGAGGGGACAAATATTTATTTTTGGCCAATTAAAAAGTGGGCTCCCTTTCTTTCATAATGAATAACTAAGAGACCCAAGGCAATCCAGTGTAGTTAGGAAAAGGCAGTGGAATCCAAAGAACAAGGGCTTTGTTGAGAATATGATCTTGATTTAAACCATGTACCAGCTGAATAAAATTAGTAAATTTATTAGCCCTTAGAGCCTTGTTTGTCTACAAAAGTGGTTGTAATAATTCTTATTTGGTGAGGATATTCAAATGATTTTCTGAGATAATTCTGCAAGGACCTAGAAAAGTCTTTGGAAAAGAATGTTTGTAAAATTAATTTTCATGTCTTTTCCTTCTCCACGATTTTTTCTCTATCTTCTCAGGGATTAAATTTGAAATATAGGGTAAATATAGTTTTTCACTTCTCTAGAAAACCTCCTCTATTTTACACGATAACTTGAAATAAGCATTCACTGAGCATTTACTATGTATATATGTATGTATGTATGTATATATACCAGTTATTATGATCTAGCTTAATGGGAATAATTAAGATAAAAGAGACACAAACTTTGCCCTAATGTGATATTTTGTCTAGTATTCAGTCAGGTAAACAAATGCAGTTGTGTCATATGATTATAAACAATGGTTTATAATTTTATAGCATTTTTACATGTATTATCTAATTTAATCTTCACAAGAACTTTTGAAATAGATATTATTATTTCTCCATTTCTATATAAAGAAAAATGGAGCTCAGGGAAGTTGAGCAACTTGGTCAAAGTCACTCAGCTGCCAACACCAAGAGTATAAACAAGAATCCAAGTCCTGTAACTTAAATCTGGCAACCTTTTCACTCTTTTTGTGGTGACTATACTCACCACATTTTAAGTGACAATATCCTAGATAATTTTTTCTTTTTAAATGAAGGCCATGGGATTTCCTGTCAAAACAATGACTTACTGTCAAAGAGTCTAAGAACACCTTAGTTGCTTAAGACTAATATATAGTTTCAGCTACAGAATGTCCTTTTAAGTGCTCTTGAAATGTATATTTTGGAGGATTTCAGGAGCCTCGGCCTTGTCCTATTAACTCAGTGTGTGGCCATAAGATATTATTTCAAATAAAACAGAAATAAGAACTAGGCTTCTCCTTGACAAAAGGAACAATGTGATGTAATCTGGAAGTACTTTAGAAGGTATAAGATGGAATCTGGAAGTACTTTAGAAGGTATAAGATACTAAAGAAGTGTACTAATTTTTAATTATTCTTTCTAATGTGGGAAGCAGTGATAATATGAAAGCAATAAGGGGTTTGTGATTTGTAAATTTCATGATTGTCTTTGTTAGACAGGAATAGTATCCACCATTAATAGTCTGTTGTCCCCGGATGTTTACCAATGAGTGGCTTTGGGTTTCAATCTTGATGATTCTGAGAGCAAGTTTATAATAAAATTTGCTACAGATACTCCTAACCTATCTCAGGGTTGATTGTGTAAATAGTGTTTCCAAAATAAGAAGGCCATTCAACGGTAAAGCATTATGTTTACTCGAAGCTCCTTGGAATACTTTCTTAATTCACTGAAATATCTGGAAAATCAGTTGGTATTGTTTTAGGCTTTTTGTTTCTCTTTTCCACAAAAAGTGTTAAAAAATTCAAGCTTTAAAGGAGACTTTTCTTTCATAATGAGTTCTATAACTTAAGGCTTTACAGGGACAAAGATCTTCCAAAAATTTTTACCTGCCCCCTGCCCCCTACCACCAAGATCCTTTTATGGTATGTTTTTCTTTTCAATTTTTTTTCAACTTAAGATGTTCTTTGTCAGTGTCTAGAAAATTTAGACTAAAATGATATAATCCATTTTTGGCAGAACTCTGGGTAAACATTTAGAACTTGTCCTTCTGGAGTACAGTTTAGCAATATTTATTTAATAAATGTTAAGCACCAACTCTGGGCTCCTGGTTAGGTGATGAGAATATTAAGGTGAATGGTTTCTGCTTATAAGGAACTCAAAGTCTACCAGAGAAGAAACACATGTGACAGATGTGCTGATGAGTAGACAGCAGACCTCACCTCTGCAGAGGCCATAATTTGGCTACCCACACTTACAAACCTGCCTCCACGAACCCTGCGGTGGTAATATAGGACTGGGGCTAGGACTACCAGAGACTTTCCCTAAGATGTTTTCAATGTACGGCAGGTTAGAGAAACTTCGTTTCTTTCTGGAATAGGAGGTGATAGAATGTGAGTCCAGAGATGACTATAACAGCCATGGAGTACAGCTGATTTGAGAAAATGGAGATCTCAAAGCAGATTAGAGACAAGAAATCAAGAAAGGCTCTTGACAAACTTGGTTTCTAGATCTAGGCATCCTGCCTCTTTCCATGGTTTGGGTACTGGAGCCAATTAACTTTCTGTTTTTGCTTGGTCAAAGCTTGTTATATTATAAATAAAATAGAAATTTGTAAAACATTCTTATCTTTTCATTTACCAAGGGAGTGCATTTCAGCCAAATGTATAATAAAACAACGAATTTCAAGCTGGAAATATTGGGGAATGTGTGCCCTACTATCCAGTACTACTTTCTCTGCTTTGATTATACTGATGCTGGAGGAAAAAAGACACCCATGCAATAAGGCTGATAATTTTGGGGCGTATGTAACATGAATGTCAGTGGGTTTTAAACTTCATAATCAAGAGGCTTTAGGAAAGCCTGTATAGAAGTCCCAGCTCTAGAATTCCAAAACAGCTAGTCTCTCCTTCCACATTTTGAAAATTCGCAGTTGACCTCAGGATTTCTCATATGTGCTTTGAGCATTGGAAACCAATACCAGCCCTGCAGATCACTTACCTTAGGATAGCATACACCCTACACAGTGAGTTTCCATCTGGAAGTAGTTACGCAGGCAGGATGCTAGAAAAGATGAATAACATATTAATTAATTTTTAAATTACTTTTTTCCATAGCTGGAAATTGAAAATACTAACTACAATATTAAGCAATTTTACAGAAAAAAAGTTATGGCATGAATAACATACACTTTCAAGAAACTTATTTAATTAGTCTTGAATAGTATGGTCATTGTTTGCTTAGTTACTTTTTCCAGAACCACTGGAAAGAATTAAACCATGGAGCAGCCACTCTTACCTCAGAATTATCTAACAGGAACTTTAATTAACACTGGGAAAAACAAGATAGCAATCGCCATAATAGTAATTGCATTTGGAAGCTAGAATTCTCAATGCAGCTAAAATCCTAATTTATTCTATTTTTTGCATCACCCTATTAATTGAGGGGAACAAATATCTTTTCCCAGGACTATAGCTGTGGGCATTGTCTAGCATCACCCAGAACTCACAGGTGATTCTGTTGCACATATAACACCCTTAACAATCAATTCAATTCCTTAATTATATTGAAATTTCTTGTGCTCACCTCATAGCACCATGATTAAAGCAATAGCTGAAAAAATACAGGCACCTAAACCCACATTAAAGTCGTCATGTAAGAACCTGGCCTTTGGAAAGAAGTACTGGATAAAGTAAAATCCCTGAGAAATAATGTGACAGATACCTGATTCTTAAGCAAACTGTGTACAAGTGTTTGAGCAAAATTGAATTATTTCCTCCAGTCAGCTTCTTGTTCTACCCATATCTTTGATGTCTAGAACAGTGCCTAGAAACTTAACATTATTTGTTGAATGGATAAATAAATACATTAAGTAAAGAAATGTATAATTAACTATAAAACCCTGATACAATAAAGCAACATTGATGACATGACTGTAGAACAAAAAGGTGTGAAACATCAAAGATCAGAGAACCGAGCAGGGGAGCCACTGAGATCACACAGAACCGTTATTATTGTTTTCATCGTATACACACACCTGAGGGAAGTGTGTTACCTAGTGAGAAGATGACATACTTATGCTAGACTATCATTAAAGGTCAGATTAGGTCATAGCTAATGTGAGCAAAACTAAAAATGTGCTAGTGAATTTGGTGTTTTCCTACTTCAGTTGTTACATTAAACAAGCACACATTTATAAAGGAATCCTATCTTGAAGTAAAAATTCTCCATATATCTTAGCTGTATTTTATCTGTACACATTTCACTTATCTATGGAATATTTAATTTGTATGTATTTCATTTGTTAATCCATCCATACATTTGATATACACCAATTTCTCACCTATGATTTTAGGCCAGGATTGAGTTCAGCAGCTACATGTTAGTGGAAATACGAGGATGTAAACACTGTGCTGTGGCTGTGTGATGTTCCTCAATGTCCCAGGCTCCACATGTCTTTCTTCTTCATTGTCCAGGATGCTATTCCAAGAAAATATACCTAACAGGCACCAGAAGAGAGGGACAGTCTGTTTATAAAATAACCACCCATACAGAGAAAAATACCCGAACTAATTACTATAAACAAAATGAATCTGTCAAAGGACTACACAACTGCCTTCATAAAAAGAATTTAACAGATGAAGTAAACAAATCCTTAAGTTAATCTTTAATTCTTATTATATTCAAATATTTCACAGCATAGACAGGCAAGTAAAATTTTCAAATCCTTTTTACAAAGTCAATATTATGTGGGCACAAAAAAATCTTACAAAGAATACATTAAAAATACTGTGGATCATTTTATCTTCTGAATAATCATGGGATTATCCTAAATACACCATTAAAAATATATTCATGCACTATATTAACACCATAATATGGACATTGAAATGGGAGTTAGAAATATCTTTCAATATTAAGAAAATTGTTAATACATACAATTCATATGTACATGAATTGTACATATGATATATGTACATGAATTGTACATATGATATATGTACATGAATTGTACATATGATATATGTACATGAATTGTACATATGATATATGTACATGAATTGTACATATGATATATGTACATGAATTGTACATATGATATATGTACATATGTAATATGTGATATAATTTCCATTTTATTCAGGTATTCCAAAGTAATTACTTAGGATGGAGCAAAGTAGTAACTTAGGATTCTTATATTTTCCCCTTGACATGATGATGATCATCAGCATTATTTTCCTATTTTCTCTTTTTCTCTATCTTGAATTGAGAAAATGTTATATAGTTTTTTAATTTTTTTATTTGGAAGCCCAATCTTCTTGAGTTTTACATTTTGATAGAAATTTTTAATTATAAATATTCCTAGTGAATCAATATTCAGTATTTGAATCCTGCGGTCAATAAACTTGTTTTGTCTACTTATTAAACAACCCTCCTAATCCTGTTGAGAGTTTTAATCTTGGCCAAGTGCAATGTCTCGTGCCTGTAATCCCAGCACTTTGGTAGCTTGACGTGGGAGGATTGCTTGATCCCAGGATTTTGAGATCAGCCAGGGCAACATAGTGAGACCTCACCTCTACAAAAAATAAAATATTAGCCATGCACAATGGTGTGCATGTGTAGTCCAGCAAAATTTAGGAGGCTGAGGCAGGAGGATAGCTTGATCTCAGGAGGTTGAGGCTGGAAGGGGCCATGTTCACACCACTGGACTCCATTCTGGGCAACAGAGGAAAACTCTATCTCAACCCCCCACCCCAAGTTTTAATGTTATACTTCTAACAGTAACATAATTATGTATGTGTTTGCTTTGAGATATATATCAATATTTTAAATCACTTTTAGTGCTTATCATCATTTCTTCTCTTTCATCTTTCCTCTGGTAAATACTTCAATAGATTTTTTAGTACAGATCTGTGAATGGGTTAGTCCTTCTAGTGTTTCTATGTCTTTTAATATTATCATTTTATTCTCATTCTTGACTAATTTACTATGTTGACTGTCATTTCCCCTCATCACTCTGAAGATATTATTCAGTCTTCAGATAGAGTGTATTTTATTTCTACTATTCTATCAGAAATAATATCTTCAGAGTGATGAGGGGAAATAACAGTCAACATAGCTAATCCCATCTCTATTATAACTAATAAAAAGTCTGCTTTTCCTCTAGTCCTCTATCTGTGTAGGGAATATGCTTTTTTTTCTCTGATGGTCTTCACAGTTAATTCTTGATTTTTGATATCCTGCAAAGTCATTTTATTGCCATATGGAAAGATATATAAAGATGTATGTTTATGTTTAGATTTGTATCTAGTTTTCTATTCAGAGTGTACTCTGAAGGTCAGGATTCATGTCATTATTTCTGGAAGAGTCTCAGCAATTATTCTTATGCATGTTTCTTCTCCATTCCTTGTTCCTGGGAATTTACGTTAAAAATAATCCACTGGGGCTGGGCGCGGTGGCTCACGCCTGTAAACCCAGCACTTTGGGAGGCTGAGGCGGGCAGATCATGAGGTCAGGAGATCAAGAATATCCTGGCTAACACGGTGAAACCCCGTCTCTACTAAAAAATAGAAAAAATTAGCCAAGCTTGGAGGCGGGCGCCTGCAGTCCCAGCTACTGGGAGGCTGAGGCAGGAGAATGGCGTGAACCCGGGAGGTGGAGCTTGCAGTGAGCCAAGATGGCGCCACTGCACTCCAGCCTGGGCACCAGAGCGAGACTCCGTCTCAAAAAAAAAAAAAAAAGAAAAACCAACTGGACTTAAATGGTTTTTATAGTTATATATTTTTGTTTTTCTGTGTTGGTAAATTTCTTGGTGCTATTTTTCAATAACTTTTTTTTTGACTATTTCCAATTTAGGTTTTACTCTACTGATTTTTTAAGTTTTAAATACTATATATTTCCCTTCTAAGATTTATGCTTGATGATTTGTAATTCCTACTTGACTGAGCTTTCTGATCTGTTTCATAATCTCTTATACTATTGGAAGAAACATTTTTATGTATTTCTTTGAATATCCTAGAAATAATTATTGAAATGTTTTTTATGTGCTCTATAAAATTATCACCGGAAGTAATTTCCATTTTGAAAGCTGATTTTGTACTGTTTCCTTCAACAAAATTCTTAATATATTTTAATGTTTTTCTTGTCAAGCTCATTTTGATAGTGAATATATATATATATACATTTGTTTCATATATATATATATATATATATATTTCCATTGCTGCTTTCCATGTTATTCTCTTCATTGCCCTATTTCAACTTCCTCTTTCCTAATCCAGCTTCACTCTTAATCTCCGTCTCCTCTCTCTTCTTCATTCCCACCTCTTTTCCATGTATCAGTTTTAAAATTGTCTTCATCTAGACCTTTGCTCCCCCAAACAAATACCAAGTCTTGTAATTTAGCTTTGAGGCTTCTACCTGAGATGACCACAGAACAAATTGCAGGACCACCTAGTACTATTCCATTCATGAGTATGAGGCTCTTAGTGTTCTTCTGATCAGCTTTTATAACAACTGTGGGTAAGGATGCACAATAAGCACACCTTTTAGTTGAAGATGGGCGGAGCTGAGCCCCCAGATTTAAGCAATGACTCCAACTCCCATTACTCTTATCCTTCACTAAATCCTATTCCTATTTCATATGGAGCACTTTTAGTTTCCTTCACTCTGAAAGAGCCAAGCCCTCAATACCTGCTTCAGCATCCTGGGCTTAACACACCTCTGATTTCAGCCTGTTCACTCTTTGACATTTTGATTCCACCAGAGTTGCTTATATGTTTTTTTCTAATCTAGATAAGTCTTTTCAATATTCTTTTTGTGTGTGCATATCCATGTGTGTGTCTGTGCATGTATCATTGTCATGGATAAACTGATTGCACCATTTTGAATTGAAATGTTCCCATATTAGATGTTAGAAGACATTATACCAATTATTTTTACTGAAATTCAATTATAGTGTACTCTCTGAAATCACTTTTTAAATTTTGCTCATTGGAGAATACTATAGTTTTAGAATTTTTAAATCTTTGAAAATTTACAGTAATCATTAACTATGGCTTCAATATACCTAGATGTTTACAGTGTCTCTTTAAAAATCTGTTACAGTATATTAGCAAGAATCCACTCTCAAGTAATTTTATACATAACAATGTTTTGTAAATTCTAATGTCCATATATAGATGATTCAAAACATGTGATAAAACTATTAGTGGAATATACAAACAAAGAAATGAAAAACTCTTAACAGCTTTTAAATTAAAACACATAAAGACAACAAAATCTCTTGAGAAGTTAAATGGCTTAAGTTAAAAATACACAGGAAAAAAAATATGTTAGTAGTGAACAAGTGAACTCAGAAAAGCTGAATTTTGGCACTGAAATGTTTTATCCTGTGTCTTTTTTCTGGTGATATAACTAATCTATAAATAGCTAAAAAACTTATGGGTTGCATATGCAATAGAAGGCATAGTATATTAAGTAAAGCTGAAACAAAAGAAAAGCAAGGTCCTTTTGACTCTTGGGTTCCTCTGCATATTCTCTTCTTCATTCAGTGCTACATCTCTGTGTAAAGGACCATGATTAAATAGCCATATACAGGCAACACAGCTATTGTGTGGCAAAATTGCTGTAGCTTATGTTCCTGGTTTGGCTTCATGAGTTCTGAAAATTCCATAAGCTGGTTCTTTTATTTGAATTGACTCTTCAAAGAAATTCTTTGAACTACAGAGAGGCTAATATCCTCTATTTTTCCAATGGCATACTTGAATATACAAAAATACATAATATATTCTTACAAAACTATTTGCTATTCAGTACTCTATTAAAGAGAAAACTATTTAGGCAACCAATTGTCTAATATAAAAATTCCTGGGTTTTGTATTTTTTTTACTTTTCTTCTTAAGATATTTATTTTAAAATATTTGGAAATGGTATTTTTAGAAAGGTACTTTCCATATTAAAATAAATTTTGCCTTTAAGTAAATTCTACTGACCAATTCTGGCCTCCTTTCCAGTGCCACACAGAATGAGTCAAGCTTTGTTTACGTTATATTTTGTTAATTTGAATTCCTCATTTCAGTCTGTTAAACTCTTTGGTTTCTGATTCTGTTATTCAGCTTTCAGGCATTTCCCAGATTCTTGAAATCTGCAAATTAGGTACATTTGCTTTTTATGTCTGTCTTAATCCGTTTTCATGCTGCTGATAAAGACATATCTAAGGCTGGTTAATTTATAAAGAAAAAGAGGAGGTTTAATGGACTCACAGTTCCACGTGGCTGGGGAGGCCTGACAATCATGGTGGAAAGCCAAAGTCATGTCTTCCTCCCGTGGCGGCAGACGAGAGAATTTGTGCAGGGAAATTCCCCCTTATAAAACCATCAGATGTCATAAGACCCATTCACTATCACAAGAACAGCACGGGAAAGACCTGCCTCCATGATTCAATTACCTCCCACCAGGTCCCTCCCATGACACATGGGAATTGTGGGAGCTACAATTTAAGATGAGATTTGGGTGGGGACACAGCCAAACCATATCAATGTCCTCATTCAAATCATTGATAGAAACATTGAAGATGACAGGGGAAATCTCTGCAACATGAGACAAGGTGCATTCCATTAAATTGAACTTGTGTTTCATTAATGAGCCCTCTCTAGTCCTACAACAAGGTCCAAATCCATCTACCTATGGTATTATCAGCCTACATTTGAGTATCTTGTCCAAAACCTTTACTGAATTTCAGGTATTCTAACTTTATGGCATTCTCTCTATGAGTTTAGGGATTCTTTCAAAAAATAAATGAGATCAGCCTGGTATAACTTGTGAATGCATTTGGCTATCACTTCTTTTCCTCGTTAATGATAGACTGAGTGAAACTTTTGGTGAATCAGAGATTAACATGGTGGCTGATCCCAGTTGTATGCTTAGTGTTATATGAGTAGTGTTAGCTAAACTCTAGGAGCATGTGGTCATTACCTTACAGGTCACAACTAGGTATGTTGTTTACCTTTCCAGGATTCGTATGTCTATAGCAGGTCTTCCTGGAACTCAAACCCTTCAAGGACCACAGCTGTGGCCTCTACTTTCCTTGCCTCTGTAATTTGTATCATCCAACCTTAAATCTGTGGATCATGTGAAAAATTTGGCTGATGTCATAAAGTGAAGAGGAAAATATTTTTTTCCTCCTAAAGTCCTCATGCTTTTTCACCTTTGACTGGACATGAATAGTGGTCAAAATTCTGCCCTGAATCTGATGGCCTGCCTTTATATCCCGTGACTGCAATTTGTGAGTTGCCTTTGCCAATTAAGCTCTCCAAGTGCCTTTTTTAAAATCTATCAAATGGAAATAGGAATATTGTCTATTTCACAGGGTTGCTATGATAATTGAGGAATTGCATGTAACACATTTAGAAGAGTTCTTGGCACATAGTAATTGCTAAATAAGTATTGTTTTAATTGCTATTGTTGCTTGTGAAGGAGGTGGGTTTTCTTCTGTTTGGAGAAATGCTCATTGCTTGAAGTCTCCAGTTCTGTGTTATTTAACTGAGGTTGTCCCTGTACATACATTATTAAAATTATTTCCAATCCTGGATAGCTTAGCTCTTCAAAGAATTACAGAACTGGTGGCAAATGTGGAACAATATGACCCTGCTCCAGTAGGTACTGCCTTAAGATACCAGTAATGGCTTGTTTTCACAAAGTCCCTCTTCCTCTAACAAGCAGAAAGCACTCTATAGACATTGTCAAATAAGAATTTCGAGAAGTTGCTAGGCTACAAGTACTCTATGATTGTTTCCATTTTGCACAGGGATTCTAAGTAACTTGCTTATGTTCACATAGAAAGACAGCGGAAAAGCCCACTATATGGGCTTTGAAATCCCACCTGGAGGTTTGGGCTCCCAAAACAACTGACTTTGGAGCAACTGTATCACAAACATTCTCTCTATATGTAAGATTATTTAATCTAAATAACTGCAATGTGAAGTCTGGCAGTAGGACATCATCAATTAAATTTGAAACATATCCAGCTTCAGCTTGATTTAGTAACCCTAATAATCATAAAACCCAATACAATTGCTTCAAAGAGAATAAAATACCTAGGATACAACTTACAAGGGATGTGAAGGACCTCTTCAAGGAGAACTACAAACCACTGCTCAAGGAAGTACGAGGGAACACAAACAAATGGAAAAAATATTCCATGCTCATGGATAGGAAGAATCAACGTTGTGACAATGGCCATACTGCCTGAAGTAATTTACATATTCAATGCTATCCCCATCAATCTACCATTGACTTCCTTCACAGAATTAGAAAAAACTACTTTAAATTTCATATGGAACCAAAAAAGAGCCCATACAGCCAAGACAATCCTAAGCAAAAGAACAAAGCTGGAGGCATCATGCTACCTGACTTCAAACTATACTACAAGGCCACGGTAATCAAAACAGCATGGTACTGGTACCAAAACCCATATATAGACCAATGGAACAGAAAAGGGGCCTCATAAGTGATGTCATACATCTACAACCATCTGATCTTTGACAAATCTGACGAAAACAAGAAATGTGGGAAGGATTCCCCATTTAATAAGTGGTGTTGGGAAAACTTGCTAGCCATATGAAGAAAACTGAAACTGGACCCCTTCCTTATACCTTATACAAAAATTAACTCAAGATGGATTAAAGACTTACATGTGAGACCGAAAACCAGAAAAACCCTAGAAGAAAACGTAGGCAATACCATTCAGGACATAGGCATAGGCAAAGACTTCATGACTAAAATACCAAAAACAATGGCAACAAAGCCAAAATAGATAAATAGGATCTAATTAAACTAAAGAGCTTCTGCACAGCAAAAGAAACCACTGTCAGAGTGAACAGTCAACCTATAGAATGGGAGAAAATTTTTGCAACCTACTCATCTGACAAAGGGCTAATATCCAGAATCTATAATGAACTCAAACAGATTTACAAGAAACAAACAACCCCATCAAAAAGTGGGCGAAGGATATGAACAGACACTTCTCAAAAGAAGACATTTATGCAGCCAAAAAACACAGGAAAAAATGCTCACCATCACTGGCCATCAGAGAAATGCAAATCAAAACCACAATGAGATACCGTCTCACACCAGTTATAATGGCGCTCATTAAAAAGTCAGGAAACAACAGGTGCTGGAGAGGATGTGGAGAAGTAGGAACACTTTTACACTTTTGGTGGGACTGTAAACTAGTTCAACCATTGTGGAAGTCTGTGTGGCAATTCCTCAGGGATCTAGAACTAGAAATACCATTTGACCCAGCCATCCCATTACTGGGTATATACCCAAAGGATTATAAATCATGCTGCTATAAAGACACATGCACGCGTATGTTTATTGCGGCACTATTCACAATAGCAAAGACTTGGAACCAACCCAGATGTCCAACGATGATACACTGGGTTAAGAAAATGTGGCACATATACACCATGGAATGCTATGCAGCCATAAAAAATGATGAGTTCGTGTCCTTTGTAGGGACATGGATGAAGCTGGAAACCATCATTCTCAGCAAACTATTGCAAGGACAAGAAACCAAACACCGCATATTCTCACTCACAGGTGGGAATTGAACAATGAGAACACATGGACACAGGAAGGGGAACATCACACACTGGGGACTGTTGTGGGATGGGGGGAGGGGGGAGGGATAGCATTAGGTGATATACCTAATGCTAAATGATGAGTTAATGGGTGCGGCACACCAGCATGGCACATGTATACATATGTAACTAACCTGCACATTGTGCACATGTACCCTAAAACTTAAAGTATAATAATAATTGAAAAAAGGGAGATATTCAAAATATTGCTGACTGAACATTTTAAGATTGAAAAGACTTTAAGCTCAGTTTGTATATTATTTTCAAAAAGAAAACAGGGCTTTTCTGAAGAACAGAAACTATTAATATACTCTGCATCAATGACAATGGTAAGGAACTCAGTGAGTATTTGATGAGTCACACAATGCTGTCCAGGGGAGTGAGAGATCATCTCCAAACCCCCATTAGCTTTTATGTGGCCTCTTCGGCTTAAACTAGGAACCAAATGGACATAAGGCAGATTTACAAGAGAAAAACATATACATGTTGTTAGTTTTACATGTACATGGGGATTTTCACAAGAGACTGATGTCCACAGACATGGTCAAAGCAAAATGCTTTTATGTGTTTTGGACAAAGAATGAAAAATTTGTAAAGAAATGATGGGACAAGAGGACCTGGTTAGGGGCAGTAAATTCTAGGGAAGTCACTAGGAGATACATGGTGGGCGGGGTGTAAAACTACTGCAAGATAAGGGTTACTTCGGGAAGTTCCTTTCTTCAGGTCCATTGCAGCCCCCTGATTACCACTCTGGAGATAAAGGCTGTTTTCTCTCTCTGGTACAGGGACGGTATCCCTCCCAGAGGAATCTTTATGACTTGATGCATGCAGAAAGGGACAGGTCGTCTAGCCCTTTCTGAAACTCCAATTTCTCCAATGTTTTTAATTTGAAATAATCAATTTACCAATTTGGCAAATTTTGGGATGGTATATCCTTCAGTCCCTTAGCTACTTTGAAGTATTTGGTGGTGATATTGAATTATTGTGGTTTATGTGTTTTAATTATCTTGTATAATTATCTCATATAATTTCTCATATGAATTATTACTTGCCTGACAGATGCATGTGGTCTTTTAGCATTTTGTTAGCATTTGCAAGTTGGCAACTGTTCTCTTATATACATCATTCTCTCCATTAAATATCAGTGCAAGTGATTAAAGCTGGTAAAGAATAAAACAGGTGTCAGTATAATTAAAGTGGGACTTTAAAAACCAAACCAAATAAAGAAGAATGTAACAAAAATCATTTTTTGAGAGTTGTTTTGTATTTCAGGAGAGATGCATGAGAGATTATGGAGAAGATATCTAGTATCTAGTCCCTCCTCACTTTTTCCCTGACTGTATGAAAATGTCTCTCTACAGTTGCTTTGTTTGAATCAGGATCCAAGCAAGGCCCACATGTTGCATTTGGCTGATAGTTCTCTTAAAACTTTCTCATGACATTTATTGGTGGAAGGAGCTGGATCTTTTATTTTATTGAATATCTTAAATTCTGAATTTAGCTTTGTATACATGTGGTATCCTTTAACAGTTTTTTTTTTAATTTTTAAAAATTTTACTTTAAGTTCCGGGATACATGTGCAGAATGTGCAGGTTTGTTACGTAGGTATACATATGCCATGGTGGTTTGCTGCACCTATCAACCCGTCATCTAGGTTTTAAGCCCTGCATACATTAGGTATTTGTCCTAATTCTCTCCCTCCCCTTTTCCCCAACCCCTGACAGGCCTTGTTGTGTGTTGTTCCCCATCCTGTGTCCATATGTTTTCATTGTTCAACTCCCACTTATGAGTGAGAACATGCAGTGTTTGACTTTCTGTTCCTGTGTTTAACAGTTTTCTATATCCTACATAGATGGAAAAACTTGCTTATATTAGCATTTTTGTTTTGTGTGGTTTAAGGACAAGAATCTTTCATTGCTGGTGTTGTGCATGTCCTGTTGCATCACAGCAGGAGGCACATGTCTAGTCTTTTATTGATGAGAAGACATAAAAGTGGTGTGTTAATCCATTTGCATTGTTATAAAGGAATACCTGAGACTGGGTAATTTATAAGAAAAGAGGATAATTTGGCTCACAGTTATGCAGGCTGTACATGAAGCCTAGTGCCAGCATCTACTTCTGGTGAGACCTCAGGAAGCTTACAATCGTGGTGGAAGGCAAAGGGGAGCCAGCATGTAACATGGTGAGAGAGAGAGAGGGAGGAGGTACCAGCCTCTTTTAATCAACCAGTCTCACATGAACTCATAGACTAAGAACTCACTCATTACCATGAGGACAGCACTAAGCCATTCATGACCAAACACCTCCCACTAGGCCCACCTGCAACATTGGAGATCACATTTCAGCATGAGATTTGGAAAACACAAAATATCCAAACCATATCAGGTGGTTCAGGTGATACTAGCCTGATCCATTCATTATGAAAACCGTAGGCTTTATGATTTTAATAATTACTGCAAATAATTTTTTAGACCCATTCTCTTATTAGGTATTTTAACATGATGATTTTCTGCTTTCCACAATGGATGAATTAATTTATATTCCAATCAGTGATGAATAAGCATTCCCTTTTTTTCTGTGATTCCTAAAAGAACTTAAAATTACCATTCAAACCAGGAATCCCATTATTAGGTATATACTCAAAGGACTATAAATCTTTCTACCATAAAGACACATGCATGCATATGTTCATCGCAGCACTATTCGCAACATCAAACACATGGAATCAACCCAAATGCCCATCAGTAGTAGAAAGGATAAAGAAAATGTGGTATATATACACCATGGGATAATATGCAGTCATAAAAAAATGAGATCATATCCTTTGCAGCAACATAGATGGAGTTGGAGGCCATTATCCTAAGCAAACGGACACAGAAACAGAAAACCAAATACCACATGTTCTCACTTATAAGTGGGAGCTACTCATTGAGTACATATGAACACGAAGAAGGAAACAACAGACCCTAGGGCCTACTTGAGGGTGGAGGGTGGGAGAAGGGCGAGGATTGAAAAACTACTTATTGTGTACTATGCTTACTACCTGGGTGATGAAATAATCTGCACACCAAATCCCTATGACATGTAATTTACCTACATAACAAACCTACACATGTACTCCTCAACCTAAAATAAAAGTAAAAAATAAAAACTATTTTTCTAATTCTCTCATTTTTGCCTTTTATTGGCTAAAATTCTATTATAAACAAGAATTTTATCTCTTCTTTTAGATGAATTGATATTTTTATGATTCCATTTAACCTCCTGTATTGGCTTATTAGGTACATCTGTTTTTTGTTTGTGCTTTATTTTTAAGATTGCTTCAGACTTTATAGAATACTTCTTCAGCTTATTACAATTTACTTTCAAGTAATATTGTATTCCTTCACATGGATTAATAGTTTAAGAACCTTCAAGCGGTATACTTCTATTTCCCTCATTTTGCTATTTTTGTCCAACATTTACTTCTACATATATTATAAATCCCACATGTTAAAACCTTTTAAAACATTTTTAAAAAGTTGAAAAATAAAAATGTATATTTATTCATGTTTACCATTTTAGTGCTCTTCATTCCTTTCTGTAGATCCAGATATTAACCTGATATAATGTCCCATCTGCCTAAAAGACTAACAGTTATTGTAAGCAGGAATGCTGTCAACGAACTAGCTCAGCTTTTATTTTTATCTGGAAATATTTCACATTTGTGTTTGAAAGTTACTTTTTTTGAGTATAGAATTTCAGTTTGATGTTTTTCTTTCAATACTCCTAAGTTAATGTTTCTCTACTATCTTTTGGCTTGCATCATTTCTGAAGTAAAGTCTGCTGTTCTAATTTTTGTTTTACATATTACATGTAAGGTGTCTTTTTGTTTCTTCTTTCTTCAGATTTTATCTTTATCACTGAGTTTTGAGCATTTGAATTAATTTTTTTGTCATTAATCATGTGCCTTAATGGCTTTTTTCATGTTTATTTTCCTTCGCTTTGACTGAGTTACTTGTATCTGTGCATTTATAGTTTTCACCAAATTTGGAAAATTTTCTGCCATTATTCCTTCAAATATTTTTGTCCGCCATTCCTGCTTCTCTTTTGATACTCTAATACATATATATGGGGCTACTTAAAGTTGTCTCATAGCATACTGATACCCTGTTTAATTTTTTCTGTCTTTCCTCCCCCATCTTTCTCATTTTGAATATCTATTGCTGTCTTCCATTTCTCTAGTCATATGCTCTGTAGTGTCTAATCTGATGTTAATTTCATTAAGTGTTTTACTTTTTAAAATCTCACCCATGGTATTTTTGTTCTGTAGATTTCAATTTGTGTATTTTAAGAAATATCTTCTATGTCTGTCCTTAACATACTCATGCTTTCCTCTACCTTCTTGAACATATGAAATAGATTTACAATGACTGTTTTAGTATCCTTTTCTTCTATTTCTCTCAGCTATGTTATTTTTGAGTATGATTCTACAGATTGATTTTTTTCTTACTATATTTTGTATTTTCTTTCTTATTTTCATGCCTAGTATTTTTTATGTGATGACAGATAGTGTGAATTTTTCATTGTTGGCTGCTGCATTTTTCTGCATTCCTCTAATCTTGAGATTTGTTCCGGGGTGCAGTTAAGTTACTTGAAAATTGTTTGATTATTTCAAGTTTTCCATGCAAGCATTGCTATGTGGGACCAGAGCAGCCTTTAGTCCAGCTCTAATTGCCCCCCATGACTTAGGCAACACCCTTGTGAATATCCTACTTAATGTTCTGTGCAGTATGGGGTTTCTCAACTCTGGCTGTTGGAATTGTGAATTATTCTTAGCCCTGTGAGAATTCTGAGGATTGTTCTCTCCCTGCTTTTATCTAGAAATTCTTCTCTTAGCCTTAAGTACTTTCCTCACAAAGATTCACTGAAAAGTCTGCTGAAGATCTGAGGGAAACCCTCTAAAGAAGTCCAAGGCTCTCTTTCTGCAATGCTCTCCCCTTTCCTATAATCTTTCCTGCAAATTCTAAACACCTTGTCATCCCTCAGTTCTAAACTCTATCTCCCTATCACAGGGAGATTGAGATGCTCTGTTTGATACCCTCCTTCCTGCTCTTCAGCCTGGACATGTTCTGGAAACCATCGGTCTCACATCTCACTTGTTCTCTTCTCTCAAGAATCTGCACTGCCTTTCATCTAAAGTCTGAAAACTTGTTATATATATTTTGTGTGATTTTCAGTTGTTGAATGGGGGAGGAATGGCTATGACTGTTACTCCAGAAGCAGAAGTTGACAGGCTGGAACTTTAGAAGCTATCATTATAACAATGAAGAGAACTTTATTATTTTGTGCCCACGTGAACCCTAGAAATTTTCATTTTCTCGAAGCACTTAATTTAATTTCTTTACAGGCAAGTAGGCCAGGTTTTACTTTTATGAGCAAAGGTCCACTGTCTGGGCTCTTCATGCTTAGAAATTGTTATGCTTTTAAAAATAACAATTTTAAAAACATGGGAGCGGACCTGGTCATATGCTTCACTTCTGCATCACCAAGCTGCACGCCCTTCCCTCACAAATAAAAAAATTGTCTCCCATTCTTGCCTCTTTTTTGATACCCCAATTACATATATGTGGGGTTATGGCTACATAATGGATGTGGCTGTTTTATTGGCTAAGTGGTCTGCAGTTCATATTTATTGACCTTCAATTACACCTTTAATTTTCACTTTTTCTTCCTGCCACTTGCTCTGCTTGCTGACTCTTAGCTCAGAGGTGTTCAGATCTCTGCCCAACTAACTGACCAGCCTCTCTGTAGTTTCTTCCAAGTGTACTCAAGGCTTCAGTGTCTCTGCCTGCTTCATTCATTAACCTGCTTATGTGCTTCCCACTTCCAAAGGTTTGTTAAGATGTTTCATTCATTCACTTATTCATCCTCTTTCTTTCAGTGCTTGTTTCTTTTCCCACCTCCCCCTTTTTATTATTTGTGAGGGAAGGGCGTGCAGCTTGGTAATGCAGAAGGTAAAACGTATGCTCAGTCCACCACCATCTTTGGGCTTTTAAAAATAAACTTCCTTCAACTTATGTCACATGCTGACTTTTTTGGACTTCAGGGAAGTTTACATTTATTACAGTTTACAACTTTTATATTTACATTTGTTTACAGATTGGAACTTGTGCCTGTTTCTATCTAAAAGGATTGTTTCCTGTGCCATATTTCTCACTTAAGCTATAGAGAGCATGTGCTGCTCTTTGATTAGCCACTCAGATATCCTGGAAAAACAACTTTTCTAGATTCCAATCCTAACACGCTCAACTCTCCAATAACCAGCTGTTTTTATTCTCATACTCAGGGAATATAACATCTGCATGAATAAAATCACGGGTCTTTTCCTCCTCTTGAGGGCAACTTCCACATTTCTCAAGCATCAGTCCTCTCCAGAAACTCAAAGTAAAATCACTTAGGGTTCTCCTAAGGCTCCAGCCTATCTAAGCTTCTAATCCAACCCTGGAAGTGGTAGAAATTATTTTAACCTGTTGGCTTTTACAATGAAGATTTAAATTGTTTAGCTATGTCACACACTGATTCTATGTGAACTGGTATAAAAGGGCAAGAAATAGCCCTCCGAGAGCCTGGATACCATACCTAATGATGACTGCCCACATTCCATAAAGTGATCCCCAAAGATGTAGCCAATAACAGAGGTTAGGAAGAAAGTCTTGATTAAATACAAATATCAGCAAATGGCTGTGTTATGAGAAGTACATAAGTGAAGAATATGTGTGTCTGTAAAGATTAAACCGTAAAAAGGACATTGTATATGTTCCACTGAATTGTTTTTTATGGACAATCCCAAGGCTAATTTATATTACTCTTTCTTTCTTAGTAAGCTTTGACAGTCTCTACTCGGATATTTGATTATCCTATTAGTTTTCCTTTTTCTAAAAAAAAAAAAAAAGTAAAAGAATATGGGTTTAACCTATGTGGAAGAAGACAGCCATTTTTAAAGTGCATGTATCTCATTGTACTGTCTGCTCTTCTGAACAGTGAGAGATGACAGATCCAGGTTTATAGTCCTGTGTCCAAGCTACATATTCATGTGAAGGAAAAGACCAGGACCCAAACCCTCAGGGTCATATCCCTTTTCTCAGCCATGGGATATTGGGGGAGGGGTGCCAACAGAAAAATAGTGGCATCTCTAAGGTATTCCTCTCCTATTCCTTTCTCAGTCTTCACATCTCTAATACCTCAGGGGAATGTAAAATTCTGTGACCATATACAGGCACCCAAAGGAAAATAGAATTAAGGTGTACTTTTTCTGAGCTATCTTGTCCTCCTGCCAGGATTCAGTCAAGTCAATAAGTCTATTTTTTCCCCCAAGGCTAATATTGCCTCATGGAAGTTCATGTTGTCCAGGAATCCAAAAAGCCACTTTTGTAAGACTTTGGAAGTAGGACAACTTCCAGTGACTTTCTCGGATTAAGCATAATAAAATTAAAAGGGCTCGATGTAGCAGATTGTATTTTCTAAAGAAGTCCCCAATAATATTAATCTTCTGCATGCTTTTCTTCAGTGTGGCCTCCTCTGTCCTCTTATTCATTCTTTTGAATCTGGGTGGGCTTGTAGCCACATGAGCCAATAGAGTATAGCAGAAGTGATGCTATGACTAAGGCATAAATGGTGATGCAGCTTTTGCCTTCTTGGCTGGAGCACTCGCTCTTGGAGCCCTAAGCTGTTGCATAAGTAGTCTGACTACATTGTCACAAGCTTGTTGGAAGGAAGCCCAGAACAAATGAAGAGCCCACATACCACTGGTATGGTAGACAACACCAGCTGAGGTCCCAGGTAACTGCCAGTGTCAAATGACAATATGTTAGCATAGTCTTTTCCAAAAATAATGTACACATAACTGAATATCCACATGCAAAAAAGACCCATAATTTATACCTCATGCAAACAATCTTGGATATAGATGCATGTACAAAAACTAACTCCTCAGAATGGATCTAAATATAAAGCCTAAAATTTCTAGATGACTACATAGTAAATGTTTGTGATCTTGGGTTCACAAGTAATTTCTCAGATAAGACACAAAAATACAATCAATTTATAGACTGTAAAGTGACACTGAATTTCAGCGAAAAGAGTAACTTATATAGATGTTGGACTCAAAGCTGTTGCACTGGAAACGACAGTGTCTTATTCTTCAGTGGTTGGCGGGGAAGGGGCCAACTGAAACACAGAGAAGACAAAGCAGCTGATATTAGCTCAACAAAACTACAAGGAGGATTGGATCACAAAAAACTAGAAATTGTGAATTGTTTATAGTCAACCCAAAGGAAGGTTTGACTATAAAGAGGCATGAAAGAAGTTTTTGGTACGATGGAAATGTTCCGTATTTTAATTATGGTGGTGATTGCATTGTCAAAACTCATAGAATTGTACATTAAAAGGTGAGTTTTATTGTTTATGAATTAAACTTCAATAAATGTGTTTTGAAAAATAATAGGAGTCATATATTCAAGTGGGACTTAAACCTTTGATCCTTGATCTATAGTTTGGTGTTCTTTTCACTTGCTTTACTTATCTCCCAGGAATTATTTCTTTGTTTTATTCCTTTACATTTAAAAATCATCTTTACTAGATTTTTAAAAATTTAAAAATTGAATAAATGTTTTCATTCCATTGTGTCTCATAGGCTATGTCTGGGTGTCAAACCCACCTCTTTCTTTCTCCACAGTGTTCGATGAACTTGTATAATTATATTTTTATAAGGGCTTTTTTGAGAAAAGTTTACATCTGTAGGAAATGGCCCAGAGTAAGCTCAATGCTAAGAAATGTTGATATTCTGGGAAGTTAGCAGGTGGAAAATAATAATTGCATCACTCAGTTTTGGGAATACTAGAAATTTGCTCCTTTGACAAGCTACTCTTCTAGAATTCCTCCATGAAAGCCAGCACAAGATCACATTTGGAAGTGATGAGACTCAAGCTAGTAATGTAATGTCATATTATTATTTTAGAAATAATAATAATGATGGTATAATATATAATAATAAAAGTAACTTTTCAGGTCCCAGTGTAAAGAAAAATACACAGTTTTGTGTAAGCTTGCATTCTTTAATCACACTTCATGAGCTAATATTTTAATGACTCCTCTTGGATAATAATTAGCCATCTCAGCTCCTTACCTGTCATCTGAAAACTACAGTCACAGTTCAAAGCTTACCAGACAATGTTTTCTCCTCTTTTTTCTAGTAACTAAGATATTAAAAGTCTTCATGTGGAAAATGCTTTTTCCAACCATGCTAAAATTTCAACCTTGTACAGAATTTCCCTAAGTCTAATCAGAGGTACTTTGGTTGCACAAGCAGACTGAAATATAGTCACTGAAGATACTATCCAGTCTTTCATTTAATACATGTGTGAATAGGCTATGGGCTCAACCAGAAGAATCTAGCTAATTACAGTATCTTGGTAAATAGCTTGTTGTGTTTTTTTTTGTTTTCTAAATAGCCTAGGATGTAGATTCATCCTCTAACAATTTCTTTTTATTTTTAAAACAATGAAATAGAAAAGGGATATTTTGAATTGACTTTGGCTCACCCCAATATTGGACTTTAATGATAGTCTTTTGAGTGCAAATTTAGACATTTCTCAGTAATTTTAATGTTAGAATTTTGAGAGCACCCTATGAGTTTATCTAAATGTCAGGCTGTGTTGAGGTTGTGCTCTGTACTGGAGGACCTATTAATGCTGGAATCAGGGCTGCTGCAATGGGAACTGTGGTGGCTCCTTCATCAGTGCCTAGAGGGGCCTACTAACAAACAAATCAGAAAAAAAAAAAAAGAAAAAAAAAGAAACAGCTGGTATTAGCTAAGCTTGGAAGAGTACTGGGTCTGAGGGAGCCAAAAATTGTTAATTTTCTTTCTTTTTTTTTTTTGGAGACCGAGTCTCGCTCTGTCACCCAGGCTGGAGTGTGGTGGTGCGATCTCGGCTCACTGCAATTTCTGCCTCCTGGGTTCAAGTGATTATCCTGCCTCAGCCTCCTGAGTAGCTGGGATTACAGGCAACCGCTGCCACACCCGGCTAATTTTTTGTATATTAGTAGAGACAGGGTTTCACCGTGTTGCCCAGGCTGGTCTGGAACTCCTTAGCTCAGGCAATCCACCCTCTTGGCCTCCCAAAGTGCTAGGATTACAGGCATGAGCCACCGCACCTGGCCAAAATTATTAATTTTCATACAAATCCGTATTCTCCCCTTCCTCTTGGGTCTTCGTGCCCCTACTCTCTCTAATGACTGCTT
Source organism: Homo sapiens (assembly GCF_000001405.40). Taxonomy (NCBI): domain Eukaryota; kingdom Metazoa; phylum Chordata; class Mammalia; order Primates; family Hominidae; genus Homo; species Homo sapiens. The sequence goes on along the minus strand of NC_000013.11, from coordinate 47,423,743 downwards.
AACTCTAACAGAATGAGCAGCAGACTGGGGACCAGAAAAGTGACATAAGTCCCAGGACCACCACTAACTAGCCCTGTGATGCTTGCAAGTCATCAAGACCCAAGTCTCAATTTATTTACTTACAAAATGAGACTATTGAGTTAAATTTTTTTTTGGTTCCTTTCAACTTAAAACCATGTTTTGTTGAGATGCGGGAGGAACTCACTGTATGTTAGTTTAGTGTGTGCTAAGAAGCTAAAGATATATTAATGAAACAAAAATTACAATTTCAAGTTAAAGGAGCCTTCCTATTATTGAATCCATATATGCAAATTTCTTCTTTTTGCTTTCTAGGCACATAATACTCTTTGTATTGATCTGTTTACATCTGATTGAATTTCACATTCATAAATGCTTTTTTGAGTCCCATCCCTAGCCCTAGTACAATGTAGAGGCAATGACTTCTAAAGAAACATTATAGGTTAGAGGGTAGAGCAAGCTGATGAGTAAAGAGCATATTCCACTATTGGCCAGGCTCATTGACATATTGTACATAAATTGTTTAGAATAATGCTTGGCTTATATAATTTTCCCGGAATGTGTGCATGCTCTGCTTTCCTCAGTGTTTTACATGTTTTCCAAAATATCCTATGAGACAATCAGGGTAGCTGTTATTCTCCACATTTTTCAAATGAGAAATAGGTTTTGCATAAGTCAGTTATACATAAAACTTTATATCTAAATGAAACCTAAAAGGTTATCATGTTCAATCTCCTCTTTATTCAGAGAGGAAATTCAAGCATGAGAGAAATTAAGAAATGTTTTCAAGGCCACTCAGTTAAGTGATGGAACTCAGATTGTTTCTGAGATCCTTTGACTCCTAGGCTAGTGCTTCTTCTGAACTGACCAGGCCCTTTGCCCTTGAGAAAGCCAGTTTGAGATGGGGAAGCTTGGTGATTCAAAGTTATCTCTTGAGAGCATCACCAAGCAACAGGAGATTGTGAAAGAAGACATATACATTAAAACAAACAATAAAAGTTCAAGTTCTTTCAGCTGAGACACAGATTGGCTTGTGGGTAATAGGGTTTGAGTTTTCTGGTGGACGTCTCTCAACACTTAGCATTTCCTAAGAACTTTTAATATTGTTAGACGCTTTTGTTGAATTAATGAGTTTTTATTCATTAGGAAGACCTGAGGTGCTAGAAAATTCCAAATTTTTTACTCCAGAAAGAGTCTGAAATAAATTTGGGTTTAGTGTTGAATTATGAGCCCCATGAAAATTTTTTGCTTCACCATTGTTTTATTTTTACCCATATGCAGGGATAGAATGAAGAGAAAAGCAATTCCATGTTCCTCTTTTTCAACAGTCTTCAACAAGAGCTCTCTGTACATTGTGTACTGTGAATTTTCATTGATTGAAGGTCTTCTATGCCTAAGACCAATAATTGCTCCTAGACTTTTGAGGAAATCTGCCAAGCTATCTTGGGTGTCTCTGAGGTTAATCTGTAGTTCATCAGGCACAACAAAAGTGACACAAAATCTCTAACTTGAGTTTCATTACTACTTGTCAGACTTCCAGGTGTCTTCTGTAAATGGAGTGTCCAAGAACCAAGGTAGAAATCTCTTGGTTACCTCAGTCAAGGATGAGCCTCATTCTGCACCCGCCACAGGTGCACTTTGGTCCTGGGCTGTGAATCTGAGCCTGGATTTAGTCCAACTGCAGTCGTGAGAATTCGACCGAGGATACATGGCCATACGTCCAGAGAAATCCCACACCCAATAAAAAGCTTTTTTTTTTTTTTTTTTTTTTAAAGCGGGTTTGCCTAACATTGCAAATTTTGTAGGAATTGAATTCCTCAGGAAAACTCTCAAGCAGCAACATTAATATCTCTCAGGAAAGCCTACAGATGTAATGATTTATAGATTATGAGTAAAACCATGCTTAATGCTGCCAAAAGTAAGTGAGGCAGGGGTGTAGAGTCAGGGTGGGAATCTGTTTAAATGGTACAGATATTGACAACAAGCAGTTCTGAGGGAAATGAGCTATAAGAGTAGTATGGCAGTGTTAATCTTTGTAACCACTAAAATATCTAACTTGTGAACATGTGGTACCAGTAAATTCTCTCTCTCTCTCGTGTGTGTGCATGTGTGTGTCATGCTGAAGTCTGGGAATAAAGATTTTACTATTTCTATATATGTTCTGGACTGAATGTTTGTGTCCCCCCAGAAACTAATATGTTGAAATTCTAACTCCCGGTGTCAAAATATGTATCTGTCCTGCCAAAAGTCCGTGCTGTTTGTGCACTTTACATGGACAGGCTACCAAGTGACTTATGGACTTTCTGCCATAAAGCTCCTCAGCCAATAGCAAAATACTCTCTTTCTTGTTGGGAGGCAAACCTATTTAGTGGACTATACACTCCTACGGATGTGTCCTTACCTCCGATTAGTCTACATGTTCATTGGCAGCAGATCACTGCTAAGACAAATAGGTCTCTTGATCATTTTAATCCATTGTATACATGGGACTTCTCAACAAGCTGTTGGCTTGTATCCAATTTCAAAGAAAAGAAAGACCTTATTAAAAATATATACATCTTATAACTCTAAGGCAAAGGTTGCTTTCTGGTAACAGAATAGGCAGAGCGTGTGTTCGTGCATAGAATGGATCTATTCTACCCTCATGTGTGTCCTCAAAATGTATGACCCCTTCTCAGACTTCCATGGAAGCAGAGACTAACTTACTGATCAGGACTGACGTTCTGGGCCAAATGCTATTTTGTCCAATTTTATGGATAAAAATTTCTTCATATGTACTTATACCTTTTGAACATGTTGACATGAGCAGCAACTTGTGTAGCTGGAAACCATGCACAGTGTCAAGGTCTCACTTCCTGCCCTGGCTCACTTCTGAGTCACTAGCAAGCCTGCTGGCCCTTGAAGCCTGTGACATTCCTCCTCAATGTGCTTTTGTTTGATAAATAACTGTTGATTGTATTCAGTGACATATGCTTGCCTTGAAGTGACTTAGAGAGAGTCACAGAGTGCATAACCCACCATTTGAAGAACACATCTGAGTCACTGAGGGCCATTTCAGTTGACAGCACATTGTAGCGCTTAAATGTTTATGCCAAGGGTGGCTGCTGAAATCCTCTGCAAAACTACCTTTTTTTTTTCACCCCAAGCTTCCTGATGTCTTGATCACGTAGTCTGTAGGTTCTAGCCTGGAGCAAAGAAGGCTGAATCAATAAGTTAAATATTACAGGACACAAAAGAGGATAGGTAAAATGAAATCAATGTTCTCAGTAAACAGTTCAAAATCTTGTAGAGATGGCACAGATTTTTTTTTCATTTTCATCTCATCTCATCTCTGACTAGCTGTGTGACCTTTGTGGCTTGGCCTCCATAAGTCAGTTTTCTCATACTCACAAAGTGAATTTCTTAAAATATATTCAGTAGCTCAGAAATTGCTGGGAGAGCTAGAGAAATAGATTCAAAGCTAAGCTTTCCAAAACCATAATGAAAACCAGGCTACAGGAGTGACACCATGAGGACACTGCTGGTGCTGTCTCCACCTGCCTGCTAGAGTCCAGCTGCTAGGAACTTGATCTTCCTGGAACTGTTATTACCATTTCCAAAGCTGGACTTTTCTACCACCACCCATGTCAGCAATATAAATGCCCCCAAAAGCCTGCACACTCATATCGCTCACTTCCAAATGGAAGACTCATGAAGGTACATCTGATTGGTGGACCTGACTGAGGTCATCTGCCTGCACCACAGTTGAAAGAGAGGCTGGAGTGGTCAGTTTTCCTGAATTGATTATGCCAGTGACAGACAAAATTGATAACATGGGAAACTATGAAAATGTATGGAGGGTGTTTATAACATATTGGGCAGCCACATATGGCAGGTGTCCATAAGCTGACTTAAAAAGCCAATGAGAATATTCAACGTCACATTGTAAAGCTCCATCCACAGTGCCTGGCACACTCATGCTCCTCATACATCATATTTTTTTTTTCTTTCATTCCATCTCTTGTGGGAATTTTAAAAATCGTACTGCGGAGTTTCAAGAATTCTGTCAAGGATTTGTCCTATGTGTCATAGCTAATAGTGTGCCTCTGAATCTTTGCCTTAAAGTGGGAACAAAGAGACAGCCTAGTCTCTCCAAACTCTTCTGTGATACTTATTTTTGTTAAGGAGCTCATCAGCACAAAGGGTTAGAATGCACAGGACAGTGAGCTGTGTTCTGTTTCCTGGCCATAGGAAGATGATCTGCTCTAGAAAGAGGGGAAGGGGTTCTTTGTCCCCTGATTCACACCACCTCTGGGAAGCAATCGCGTGTGCCTCTGTGACATGCTGATTCATGGTTATCTCAGTGCTGTCTGCTTGTGGAGAGTGGGCCAGCTCCCTTCATCCTTTGGTGTCTGACAGGATTGTCTTTTGTCCTGAGTCACTCACTTTGCCAGAACCCAGGAAATGGGCATGGGAATAGAGAGGTGAAAAAAGAAATGTATTTTTCCTTTTTCAGGAGCATATCCTAGAAGGGGCACTAGCAGACTCGCTCACACTAGGATGGAGCCCTGGGGACCAGGACTTGGGTAGGATGTTTGCCAAGAGTCAACACTGGTAAGTCACCTCTGTCATTAAGGTCAGAAATAGGAGACAGTGCCTAGAAAGTTGAGGGCCAGGTCAGTGCAAAAGAAGGCTCAAAAGTAAGCAATGGTGGGAGAAATGTGAATCTCAAGGACAAGGGCTCCAAACAGCAACGGTGAAGACCAAAATGTGTTGTATCATGTGCTGCCTAAGTGAGCGGGACCTCTTGCAGATAATACAATTTGCTATTTGTAGAGTGGTCTGCAGTTCATCAAATAACTTCACATATTTTATATATCAGCCCATGTGATCTTAACCATAAACTCATAAGGTGAACAAGGTAGCTGGTATTATTGCAATTTTGCAGATGTCAAAAAGATGATGAGTGGAAGTAGAAGTTTAGTGGCTTTGACCAAAGTCACATGGCTACTCTGTGGAATCAGGGCTCAAACCAGATGCTCTTTCCTTATTTAGAACTCTGAGTTGTGACTAGCAGAGTCTATGAAACATTTCAATAAATATAGACAGAAATATGGGAAGACAAATGAGTTGTGGGAGGTTTACTAATTTGATTTCATATGGGCTTACACGGGGAGGTTTTAAATTTGATCTCATGGCTATTTTCTCTTAGTTTGTAATTGAGAATTCTAGAATTATGCAACTTGTGATGTGCAGTTTAAGCAAGGTTTGGATGTTCTGTCTTGGCTTTTGATCATTCTTGCCATTTCCACATCATCTTTGACTATGAGGGCAGGTGCTTGTTAATCGTGAGAAAAAACTGACTTCTTTAAATTCTCCGAAGTTTGTTCATCCTTGACAACTCAGCTGTTGAGCTGAAAACAGTTGATGACAAGCCATAAAAGAGAGAAATCCTACCCTTGGTAGGCTGTTTTAAGGTCACACACACCTGTAGAAAATTGACCCATAGAGGTCTGTAGTGGTCTTGGTGCTTGACATCTGGAGCTACTTTATGATAATACTTTCTGTGGCTCACACAAGGCTCCTGTCTGGGTAAGGCATGCTTCTGAAATGGCAGCAAGTTAACCTGATTTTTTGTTATGTATAAATTTGCTGTATTATTTGTATATATAAAACAATGTAGTTGCTCTCTGCCTGTCTACAGCATCCAGGAGAAGAGCGAAAGTTGGACTTAATCATTTAGAGTGTTTAGCTCCCTTCAGTTGGTAGGCTATTTGGTTGAGTTTTGGTACTTGTCCTAGCTGCTTCTTTGCATTGATGAGTGAAAAATGTGTTATTTTCTCTAAGAACATTTTGGAAAGGGTAAAGCTCTGAAGAAATTATGGTGATTGCTTTTTATACTAAAGGAACTCACAACTAAATTCACAAATATACTTACGGTAGGAAAAAAGAGATTCATTTCTGTATAGTAGGTTCTGTCTCTCTTACCACAAAAATGTTAATATAAGCCTGATTTTGTCACATCTACATGTGCTGTTGAATGTAGTTACAAATTGTGCTGACCCAATCACAAAATAGGTATGAACTCAAAAGATGCTCTGAAGGGAGTAGACTGATTCTTGCAACCCCATAAAATTTAAATCATTAATTTTTTCCTCTCAACCTTCTTAACTGTAATTTGCTATATTGTTGAATTTGAAATGAAGACTGCTTAAGATTTTATGCACTTCTAGCTGCCTAGCATTTATTCCAAGCGAAGGAGCTGGAGGTATTAGAGTTTCAGAAACTCGGTGGTGATGTTCAAAGGCCTCTTCCAGCCATGGTCTTCATACAAGAGCAAAACTGCATTCTTCTCACTGAATGCCCCCTTCCCTGCTTCAATAATTTAGTGTTCCCCAAGTCAACTACCTTCTGCTACCAACATTTGCGTACAAATTGCTCTTTAGGCGCATTAGCTATTACTCCTTTGGCATTAGCTAGCAAGCCTCACAGAAATATAAGAAATACTACACAATGTGGCTCATCTAGCTCAAAATTAATTCTGACTCAAAAAAGTAGTCACATTCCTCCCCAAACCTATTCTGTTGTAATGACTTGTTGTTATTGGCCTACAATCCATGGATTTATGCAAGTGAATTATTTATCATCAAGGGTAAGCATCAGAATTCCCTGGCATTTTTTTCCCCAAAACTACACTTGCTGAGACTCCACCACAGACTGGCAATTTGGGAAGTCCAGGATTAAATCTGGGCACATGTGTTCTTCATCAGAGCTTTGTGTCATGGTCATATAAGGTCATCCCCTTAGGTCACCATAACACGAAGCTCTGATGAAGAGCTATTTCCCCAAACTTTCCTCACTTATAACCTAAACAGAAAAAACAAAGCTTATGGATTGTTATCAATATATTCCTTTCTCAAACCTACTGTCCCTTTAAACTTTCTTTTATGGGGGTAATTTTCTCCTGCCCCCATGAAAGATCTGACAGTTTTCACTGGCTTTTCCACTCACCCTTAAGTGGTCTTTGGTTACTTTAAGTGGCAAACACAGCTTCAGTTCATGGCAGCATGAATGGCCAAACAACTTAGTGTGAAGTCTCTTCCCTTCTGCAGTTCGACATTCCTCTGGTTGTGAACCCGTGGGTAGGGATGGTGGGATAACCCTATGGCTGTCTCTTCTCCACCCGTTTTCCCTTCTCCTCTGTGCTTGCCTTTCTTTAGGACTTCTCCAAGATCCACGCTTGGGCAGGGAATAAAGGTAAAGGGGCAACACAATTCCTTCCTGGCTGGGTGGTTTTCTGCTCACTGGTCTTGGCCACTGATTCCACTGGTGAGGAAGGCCTGGCCAACCACTCAATTTGACTATCAATGGATGCTGCAATTCCCCTAACCTGAGTGGACACTTCTCTACTTTGGGTAGTCTCTAATGCCCCACCCTCAGTCCTGCATGTTGAAGGTAAACTTACAGCCTCATTTTTTTAAGAATTACTCTCCCCTCTAAGTGGGCAGGACTCAAGACATCTTTGTATGGGACTCTTTCTACAAGACTCACTTTTGGTCCAGAAAAACACCACATATCACTTGTTTTCATGATCAGTGAGGTGCAGGCACAGCCGACCCTCCTGGCTCTGTCCTCCAGGCTTCCCCCAGCCCCGAGATTTTCCAGGGCAAAGCAATGTCGAAGCTATCTGAGGGTCTGTTGAAGCCCTCCTTACTAGGCTTGTGGTTAGAAGGAAGCACTATCCCCACCTGTGAAAGGGGGAGGGTGACTCACAAGTTGGCAACAGCTGTCTCCAAAGAAAATTTTCACCCATCTCCTGTCCATTCTCTTTGAAGCTTTTTTTTTTTTTTGTCCTATTTCTGATTAGGCTGAGCAACCAAGAATCATGGAGCAGGTTCTTGGGGACATTTCTTCAGGCAATCTTCTTGTGGAGTGGGGGAATCAGCCTCAGATTCACTTTAGTGTCCTGCTATCTGTCACACTGGCATCTCAGTGCAAGTGATGCAGGCGATGTCTCATTCAGCCCTCTGGTTGCGTATATGTAGCATGAATTTTATGAGTTTACACACACCATAAAACCACTGGGCAGGGGAATATGAGGGAAGGGCCAATCTGTTCCCTTCCATGGAGGAAAGGGGATGGCAAGATCCCCAACACTGTAAGTTCCATTTTCTGTATTTACCAGATTTCTAGATAAGTCAGGATACTGTCCTTTATCCCATGCTGGCTAAGAGCAAGTATTCCTCTGCCCCATGCACTGCTTCCTTATAGTCCAGTTTAGGTAGCTCTAAATGAAGGAAGGAACTACCTGAGTGCGTAGAAGTACAATATACCATTACCAGTTTGGGAGGTCTGTGCATGAAAGCTTCTTGAAGTCCATTCACCTTCCGAAGTTGTGCAAGACCTTGCTCTGTGGCCTTAAGGCAGTAACTTCAAAACATAATAGCCCATTATCACAGCATTCTGTGTTGGCCAATATTAAATAACTGTGGGTTTAGCTTGGGTCTAGCACAAGTCAGGCCAAAGCCATTTTATTTTTAGTTTCTTTACCAGCATAAGAGAGATACATGCATTCGTGGCTTCCTTTCATGCCTCTGGCTTTCCTGCAAACACTTGCATGTACCAGAACCCTCACAGCTTCCTATGACCGAGCAACTATTTTCAGCACAGTCACTCTGTATTTTCATAGTCAAGATACACTTTTCTCCCTCAAAATGTCTCCAAAGGCTATAGAACTCTGGTTCACACTTCATAACTTACATTACTTAATAAAACCCTTAACTTCTCAGTCTAATGTATGAACATTAGGTTAATGGTGATTATCTTCCTCCCCAGGGATTGTTTAAACTGTTTTTGGTTAAATTAGGCTCAGTCAAATTACTTTTCTACTATCTGCCTTAAATGTAAATTCAACATTTGTTGTGGATACAGAAAATAGCTTGCAGCTTCAGATTGGCACGTTTTCTGTTTATTTGTTTAGGCTTCCTGGAGGAAAGTGTAATTCTTTACTACAAAGATGATGACAAGGTTTGGTGTTTCCTCCCCTATTTTCCAAAGTTGTATTTTAGCCTTCTCGCATTTTCTGAACACTTAGCAGCCAGGCATAACTGAAATAAAGGTATGGGCTCTGAAACTCCAAACCCTTTAGAAACAACACAAATTATCTAGTTTAAAGCAGAAGGACAGCAGGATCTCTTACACAAAATCATCCCAATAAGCCACTGGATATTTATATTTGGGTGTTCTTGGAAAAGTTTCTGTTAAGAGGCATTACAGTTAATACAGCTGGGCCTGTGGCTCACGCCTGAATCTTAACACTTCTGGAGGCCGAGACAGGCAGATTACCTGAGGTTGGGAGTTTCAGACCACCCTGGCCAACATGGCAAAACCTCGTCTCTACTAAAAATACAAAACTTAGCTGGGTGTGGTGGTGCGCACCCGTGGTCCCAGGTTCTTGGGAGGCTGAAGCAGGAGAATTGCTTGAACTGGGGAAGTGTATGTTGCAGTGAGTGGGGATCATGCCACTGCACTCCAGCCTCAGAGACAGAGCAAGACCCAGACTCAAAAAAAACAAAAAACAAAACAAAAAAAGTTATTATAGTTCATACAAGAAAATATTGCATATTATTTTCAGACTAAATTAAAATTAAAGTGATATGGCTGAAATGACTCAATATTTTCAAGGAATGTGAGAAATGATTCAAGGTATCATGCTTTTGCCATGTTAAATTTAGACCCAAATAATCCTGGTTTTGAAGATAGATTTCCTAAAGTTGAGATTCTTTTTGAGAGCATAGAAGGATTCTAATATTCCTCACATTCTGCCAAAATCAGTTTTGTCAATGGACTTAATTTTTTAGAAAGGAAAACTGACTTAAAAAAAAATCCACCTGGCTTAATTAGAAGGTTAGGGAGGTTAGGGTAAACTAATGGGGTCCTGAATTATGCAGACGAAAAGCTCTGCTACTTCATCTTACTTTGGCAGCTTAGATGCAGGCTCAGTCTGGGATGAAGAAATGTTGACTGTACATTCTCTGAAAGACATTTACAAGCACAGAAGCTCAAAGACAAATAAAAACTGTCTATTCCACTAGGATCTGAATGTATAATAAATAAAGCTAGAACTGTATCTTTTCTCCCTCAATTTTTCTTTAAAGTTTGTACAATGAAACTTTCAACTGGTCTTAAATGAAAAAACAAAACAAAACAGGATTGCTTATGAATTTAAATAATTCTGCTTTATTTCTTTAAATTGGAGACCAAGCAGTTTTTTTCTGTAACAGAAGAGTCACTTAATTCTGAAATGTAGAAAAGTTGCCAAAGCTGAGATAGAAAGAGTCCTTAACCCATGCTCCCTGTAGCCTCTTCTAAGTTAATCCTTTGCTTGTAGTGTTCTCCTTTGAGGCAGAAAAGCATCTGAGATTGATTTGAAATGATTTCATTCTGCACCATTGGGCTGCCTCATGACTCAGGGAAACAGTTCTCTTCATTTTTAGTTGTGGTGTCATAATACATTTAAGCCTCCGATATAGCTAAAGTACGTATGTGTGAAAAGACTGTATTTTTAATTAATACCTGAGAAAATGAAATTGGATATGTGGTAAAGTTGCGTTTAAAATTCAGCTTAATTTAGTATTTATGATTCACCACATTAGATAGTTTGGCTTAGTGGGCTTCTTTACCAATTAATATTTATTTTCATACAAATCAGCAATAAAAATATAAATATACAGCAACTCAGATTTTTAATTGCAACTTAGATTTTTTTTTAATTTGGGTTTTTTTTAATGTTTCTTCATGAACCCACCCACACATACAGAATTTTATTATAGCTGAGTATTTATTACCATTTATATAATACTGTCACATTAAAAATGCCCATATCTTACCCTACTCTAAACATTTTAAAGTGTAAATATAATCAAGTTATATTTGTTATCATTATCCTCTTTAAAAAATGTTTTAAGTTACTAGAGTAGTTAGTAAATCACAGTTCTGTAAGCTTACTTTTAAGGTCAACACAGTAAATTTTAGTTACTTTAGTTTTATTTATTTAAATTTAATAATGGCTAATCTTCCCTTTTCTGTTGCAAAAGTTGTGTTTATGTAGAATGCAAAATAAAACTCCAGGACCACTTTCCTGTAAGGCTGAAAGGCCCATCAGCAACTGCTTCTCCAGTAAGTGCTTTTAGCTAGGGTTATTTAAAAAAAATAGTAATAATAAGATGCTTCCACTGGTGGAGTCTTGATTAATTAAAAGATGCTGCTATTGCTTTGCAACTTTTGGTTGCACCCCATCTTTCCTTTACTCTCCTCATTGATAAACGAACATTCTCCTCTTAGGGGAGATGGCAACTTTAGCCAATGTGTTATCTTTCGGTACCATTACAAATAGCACTGGTACTGGCAATCCTAAAAACATACTTAAGTGACTTATTTTGAAGATGCAAGATGCTAAATGCCTGTTTAGCAATATTCTCATGAATTGTGTTTTTATGAGAAAATGACTTTGTTTATCTGTGTCAATTGTGGTTCCTAATGTAGGTAGTATATTTAGATTTCTACAATTCTTTGGTTTCATTTGCATCTATATCAGAAAGTCAAATTCAGCAAACCTTTTGAATTCTAAAAGCTCTTATCAAAGCAGAAGCTTTGAAATAAAGTTTACTCTTTGAATTATCTACCAGTAGAATTTTCTAATTGTTATGTCAGGCATTAAGGAATGAACTTTACTTTTTGACTGACCTCTACCCACCTTAAACAAAGTAAACCCAACTACTATCTTCCTATACCAGAATCTGCCGTTGTCCCAACTCTACACAATCTTACTTTGGGTAGGTTGATTTTCGCTCCTTCTTCTAGTCCTTAAGTGGCCTTATTCTTAGTTTATTTTCCCTGCAAGAACTACGTCACAGGTTTCCTGTATGAGACAGAAGCTTCTTCAATTTTGAGGGTTTTTTTTGTTGCTAGCACTTCAGAATGCTTCATTTTGATACTGAGAATCCATGTGCTTCCAGGCCCCTAAATGCTCATCTCAGTCCTCACTCTGAGTTCTTTTTCCTGGTCCCTTGTTTCTGAGCATTCTGAGCCTCAGCCCTTCTCACTTCCCACAGGAATTAGTTCTCAGACTTACCTAAGCTGGCCCAGGCCCCCTCTTTGCCCTCTTCATGCATTCTGCAAGTAAAACTCAAGTGTGTGGCATGCTGGGGTCAAAATTGGAATATTTTTAAAAGTAAAGCTATCCATGTGGCCCAAAACCACTTACACCTCAAAAGCTGTTGAAATACTACACACACACACAGGCACACACACTAAAAGTAAAGCTAATTGACTTGATGTTTGGGTGCAGATTGGAAGGAAAAGCCAAGAATGAAGAATCATTAACGGTATATCCCCCAGATGACAGATGTATAAACTGGATGAAAATTCATGCCACATGCTAAGATGGGAATGCTGTATTAGTCCATTTTCAGACTGCTATAAATACCCAACACTGGGTAATTTATAAAGGAAAGAGGTTTAATTGACTCACAGTTCCACATGGCTAGGGAGGCCTCAGGAAACTTACAATCATGGCGGAAGGGGAAGCAGTAACCTTCTTCACACTCATGAGAACTCACCATCATGAGAAGAGCATGGGGAAACTGCCCCCATGATCCAGTCACCTCTCACCAGGACTGTCCCTTGACACCTGGGGATTATGGAGATTACAATTCTAGATGAGATTTGGATGCGGACATAAAACCAAACCAGATTAGATGCCTAGGAGTGGAAAGGGCTTAGAGAGAAAAATAAGAGTTTTACTTTGAACATGTTAAGTTGGGAATGCCTGCTAGATTTCTAAGCAGAACTGTTAAGTGCAGAGTCAGATATGGACAGAAGCTGTAAATTCAGGAGTAATCAGGTGATACGTGTGTTTAAATTCATGCATCTAGGTGCTATGAGCTGGTAGAGAAGAAAAGATGGACATAAATGGAGTTTCACTTTTTTTTTTTTTTTTCTGCAGCTTAGCATGTGGGCAGTGGCAGTCACAGTGGCAAAGGCAGAGAAGCTAAAATTCCAGTACATTGGGGAATGTGCTAGGAATTGGGAATAGGAAAGAAAGGCAAGATAAACTGGCCTAGGTGTGGGGCTTTCTTGAAAGGGACTAGGAACTATGTAAGATTGAGTTAACTTGCATCTGGTATGGTAGCCCTATACTTAACTGCGATGATTCCTGGAACACTAATACTGACCTTCAGCTAAAATAAGGATGAAAAATAGTTGTTAGTGATTTATAATATGCTGATGAAAGTCCAAAACTCCCCTGCGTGAAACTGTGCTACCTTCTCTACATTGTTTACTGAAAATGTACAGCATTATGGTTTGTCCCTGATTTAACTGGTTTAACAGGCAGCTTGATTTTGTTGCACCATCAATAAAATGTAAAAGATCTCTCTGTAAATTTGTGCCTTGGCTTCCCTGAGACCAAAGTATCTTTGCAAATATCTTTGTGGTTAATAATTCAAAGACGAAGTGCAGCCCATGCTATTTTGAGAGAGGACCCTAGAAACTACCTGGAAGTCTCAGACCTCTTTGATGTTTGTCTGCACTTTATTTTCTTGCTGTACTATATCCTCACCTTTATTAAGGTTTTAGTAAAATATACCCTATAAAGTTTTGTGAGTCCTTTTAACTGTTCAACTCTGTAATTGTTGCAGTGACAAACCTCCTAGGTGGGACTTAACAGCAAGAGGTCCCAAGCAATGTCATTGATAGACGTGAGTCAGGCTGCAGGATTGCAGTCTGTTCAGAGTGTAACCTCAGACACCTCCTGAGAATATTGGAGAATGGCTCTTTTCTTTGGTGGAATAGATGGACAAGAGTAAGACAGTGCCATCTTTCTATGCCAGTATGTGGCATAGCCCCTGGCACATAGTGTACACTTAGAAAAGTGTTTTTAAAATAAGGGAATGAATAAAGAAATGAACAACTAAAGAGAAGTAGTCATACGGTCTGGTTTTCCTGGCCTACAACCTTAGAAGGTAATTCAAATCATAACAATGTCTGATTTCTCCAACAGACCTAGCATAATCCTGCTTCAGGACCTATACACTTTTTTCCAGGGAGACCTGTGCTGACCACCATATCCAAAACAGTGTTCCCATGCCGTCACTCTATCTTTTATGCTGTTTCATTGCTGTCCACAGAAAATCTCACCTCCTGATTTTATATTATTATAATATGTGTATATCTGTTTGTGTGTTTAATGACAGCCACACCGGAATGTAAGCTCCATTTGAGTAAGCACTTGTGTGTCTTCTTCACTGCCCTAGTCTCTGTGCCTAGAGCAGTGTCTGGCACATACTAGATGCTCAGAAAACATTTGTTGGAGGGATAAACTCTCATGTCAATACCATGAGCTTCAGCCATATGATTGGCTGGGCATTAGGTTCATCAATTACCCTGCTGCTGCTTTGCCAAGGCCTGAGGTGGTTCCAGGATGCAGGACCTTCAGTTTTAAAACCTAGATGATTTGGTCACCCTACTTTGCTTCCACGTCAGCTTCTTGTTTGCTCATTCATTCATTTGTTGATCAAATATTTATTTAGTGCTGACAGACCACATAGTAGACATTGGTGTAGGGACTGGGAATACAGCAATAAACAAATCATATGACGCATCTGCTGTCATGATGCTTATATTCGGCAGGAGAGGCATTAGCTTGGACTAATGGCACCTGGATGCTTACGTTCATCCTAAACAGCATGACTACTGTTAGATGCTACTGCATGGTGGACATTAAACTGCTGATCATTGGCCAGCAGGAGATGCTCAGGAAAGACACAGGGCGTGCTTGGGGCTGAGTCTGTGTTGTTGGTGGAAAACCCAGTAACTTCCACCAAGAAGGGCTCTGTTGCCTTGGGCTAACACCCTATTCAGTCTTTAGCCAAAATATATCAAAATCCACATGTCTCAACTCACAAATATTTTAACCAATTTCTCCTGCTAACATTACTAGTAAACATCTGGTGATTAGAAACATTAGCAACGCTAGCCTAAGGCAAAACTGAGGAAGGCAAAGTTCTGTTGCTTCCCACAGCAACACTTGTGCCTGAGGCATTATGTTGCAGTGTTCTTTCAGGTCGAACTTCACCTGCTTGAGACTTCCCCTTTACTGTCCCTCCAGAATTCTCCCCTCCTCAGGATTAGTCCTCCATCTTATCCCTCAGTGCTCTGAGGATACGCAAAATGTTAATTAATTCTCACAGATGTATATGCTTTTTATTAGATCAGCAACCATCAGATAATTTGTGTACACCTTGGGAGTAGTTTCCTGAAGGTAATGAGTGCCTCTACTGGCTAGAGTCTTATGGATGATGTCTTGCCTACCATGGAGAGCATTAGCTCCTCCTGTACATAGGGTCAGCCTTGATCAGCTCCAAGAGCTCCAAAATGCATTTAAATTTTCCATTTTCATTCTCACTCATCCTCATATTTTCCCCTTGGCTGTATTTCATTTCTTTCTGTCCTCAGGCCAGTAGGTCCCTGACAGACTTTTTGATATCATAAAACATGTGCCACAGACATTTTGAATATCAATATGCAACTTCCCTTTTCTCTTCAAACGGTTTAGCAGTTTCCCTTGTGTAGTAGGGGTGTGGGTAAGGATGGCATTTGAAGAATACTTGGCTCCGTGCATGCCTTGTTCCACTCTCTCAGCATCCCTGTCAAGCAGTTTAATTATGCAAATGAGCACTCCTTAGCCGAGGGCTGGGGGAGGTGTGGCGGAGAGAGGAACAGTGCAGAGAAGTGCTAGACAGGAATTAGGCCAAGAATATCCACACTTCCTATATCGAGAAACCTCCCAGGGAGGATTTTTTCTTTCCCACCAAGATGAAAAATAATTTGAAAGTCTGCTCTTTTAACTTCCTTTACATTTTTCTTCTATTCTACTTCCTGTTCATAAAAAAATGGCCATTTATAACTACTGGTTTCTGTTTTAGATTTTTGAGTGTTTCTGTTGCCCTTTTAGAGAGTCTCAAGGTAAAATAACAGAAATCCTCATATATCTGGGATCTAGCATAGTTCTAGGCAAGCAGTACCTTCTTAAAGTTAGGAGGTTCCGACTCAAAGATGAAATCGACTGGTGATGTTGATGGAGACAGCAATGGATTCCCTCCAAGCATGTCTTGTGCTCTAAAGTGTAACTGACCCAGCAGTTCTAGTGCAGGGTTGGTCATGGCTGTCCAGTCCACATGTAACTGCCGTAAAGGAATAGAACAAAGGCTAAAGAGGACAATGTTTGTCCAGCCAGCATCCAGCTGGGTCTTGTATATAAACCTTTTACTTTATTTTAAACTTTATGGACTTTAGTAATTCAAATATCTCAAAATCCTTCTAGGAGTTCAACCAGATTTAAAATATAGTATGATTATCTCCAAGTTTTAATGCATAATCAAAGTCATGTAAATTTTTAGAGACTTTTAGACTGTTTGCTCATATATGGTTAAAACTTTCAGCTCAACAAGTATTTGTAAAGGATCTACTACTTGCCTAGAACTATGCTAGACCCTAGATATATGAGAATACATAAAATAGACACAACAAGTTCTCCTCTAATTAAGCAGGGCACCAGTGGAGAAGACACAAGTAGCCCACATATAACTGTAGAAATGAAATGGTGTAAGTGCAATGAAGCACAATAATGGTTTTCTATTTAAAAAGGAAGCATTATATAAAAGCATAAAAAAGAATGACAAAAACCAGAAAAATATTAAATGTATCCATCCAACAGCTTTTTATCTGAAGAAGAATACATTAATCTAATAGTGCTTTTGGATGGAAAGATTTAAAAAATAGTGTTTTTTTAAAATAGATGAGGCTTTATCTCTAGAGTTTTGTTTTTGTTTTTGTTTGTTTGTTTGTTTGTTTTGAGACAGAGTCCTGCTCTGTTGCCCAGGCTAGAGTGCAGTGGCACAATCTCGGCTCACTGCAACCACTGCAACTCCAATGCTAGTGGAAAAAATGACAAAAGAAAATTCACATTTTATAGTGACCTCCTGGGTTCAGGCGTTTCTCCTGCCTCAGCCTCCAAGTAGTTGGGACTACAGGTGCACGCCACTGTGCCCGGGTAGTTTTTACACTTTTAGTAGAGACGGGGTTTCTCCATGTTGGCCAGGCTGGTCTCAAACTCCTGAACTCAGGTGATCCGCCTACCTCAGCCTCCCAAAGTGCTGGGATTACAGGCGTGAACCACTGTACCTGACCAACTCTAGAGATTCTAACTTAACTGTTAGCATACCTAGGCAGAACCTAGCTATTAGAATATATATGTATATATGTCCCAGATGATTTTCATATACAACCCAGGCTGGGAACTACTGAGATAACATAATAATAAGAAAAAAAATAAACAAAAACAAGCAAATACATAGAATAAGAAATGCTAGTGGAAAAAATGACAAAAGAAAATCAGATTTTTATAGTTGTTTCTGAAAAATAGAGGGGGAAATGCCCAATCAATTTTTGAAGCCTCTATAAACTCATTTTTAAAAAATGTTAAGAACAGCACATGCAGACGCATACACAAGTTATAGTCTTAGTATATGGATTTCAAAATTCTGTATAAAATTTTACATAAGTGAATCTGCTGTTCATTTAAATAAATAAATCATGATCAAGAAGGTTTTATTCCAAGAATCCAAGAATAATTCAAAAGTAAAAAACCTATCAAATCAATCATATTAATGGACTAAAAGTGAATAATAGTATCAACTGCCTCAAGAGTTATAGTCATTTGATAAATTTCAATGATTATTTATAACTTAAAAATCATCAGAAATACTAGGGATAGAAGATAACTTTCTTAACTTGAAAAAAAAAAAAAGGTGTGTCATACCTCCATGTTCTCTCAAGTGTTAATACTATTCTTTGACATGCCCTCTCTCCCTTTTACACCTAACTGGTATTATTTTCTCAGACTTCAAGATTCATTCATGCTATGCTTTTTTGGAAAATCTTTTTTGATCACAGTTTATGTGCTATGGATCTCTATAGCTTATTGTACTTCTGAGATTATTAATTTACTCAGTATACACCCTTTTCTGTGAAGACTTTCTGACTTCCCATGAACGTCTAGGTAACCACTCAATAATTTTTTAATGATACCAAGAGAGACAGTTGAGTCAGGTGATGTGAGTTCAAATTCCAGCCCCACCATCTTCTAATTGGGTGACTTACTCAACCTACTCAACCTATTCAACTAAACTGTTGTGTCATGGATGGAGTGTTTGCTGGCCTTCTCACTTCTCATATTCCCCACTTTGAATGCTACTGGGTTGCAACCACTTTCTCTGTGACCCTACAAATCACAATATATGTAATTCTAAATACTGTACTTATATGTTAATTACTAATTGAGGGTTTTTTTAAGTTTCTTTAATATAGGAACAATGCTTTATTTATATTTACCAGACACTTAGCATAATACCTGGCACTCAATAGGTGCTCAGTGAATGCTTGTTGCATGACTATTGTTAACTTTTCTTTTAAAATAAAATATAATATAGTTAATTAAGAACTGAAGATGACAGATTCTCATGTTCACATTAAGCAATTGCTTGATTTGGCTTATGGGAAGACCTGGAAATAGCTTTGGGAAGGTTGGGTTGGTTAAAGGCCTTGGGCACTAAGAACAGTGAGATTTTCTAAGCTTTCTCCTCATTTGGCCTCTCCTCTAGGTAGGTTTCTCTGACCCTCCCACTGGTGCTAAGTTCCCTCCTTTTGGCTTTCTTAATACTTTGTGGATATCTAGTTGTGGCATTTGCCATATATTATAATTTCAGTTTGCTTGCTACAGTGTAAACACAGAGAGGAAATGGCTCATGACTGTAATCTTTTTCTTATGCATAATAGATGTCCTATAAATGCTTGACAAATGAATAAGTATGATTAGATTGGGAGGGATGAGGCAAAGGCCTTTAAGAATATTTGATGACACCTTGACATCCTCTGGCATCACAATCCCAGATCGAGAAAGACATATGTAAACATTGAATATCCATTAAAATTCAAATATCCATATAACACTTGTCCAGGACATATGCTTATTAAGAAAAGAGAGTGAATATATCCAGCAATTTAAAATAAGATCCCTTAAAATCAACAGTTCACTGCAAAGTAAGTGGGGTAGCTGTTTATTGGATGAAAAAGACAGGAAAATTGATGGATGCAGGTAGAGAGGACTCTGGGCAGAAGAACATGTAGTTCTGCTTTTATAATCACTTCGCTAAAAATACACATATAGAGAACACAGCTGTTAGAAAGGACATCACAATAATTATAGGACTCAGCATTAAAAGCTCTCATTGCTTAATAACCAATTCCTTTAAAAAAACAGAGAAGCAGCTCATAGATAACAGTTCATGAATTCAATCAATATTCATCATCACCCTGTACAAAAGCCTTCAAGCTCATTGTTACTCATGTGTCATGACACATGTGCACATACACACCACACACAAACACACACACACACATACACACAATTTCTTATTTAAAGGCAACCAGCACAGAAGATACATTTTAAAAACCATACCACGTCGAAGTTGGAAAACAAAATAAAGCACATCTTTCTGAGTAGTGACCACCTTGTCTAACTTTTACATATACTATATATTTAGTTACAATAATCTCAAGTTATGGTAATTTTTTCCCCTGGAAAACCAATACTTGATTCAAAATTTGAATTTTATATGTTTAACATAGAAGTGTTTTTATCTCAACAGTTCTCTTCCAAAGAAAGATTAAGAACAGTAAATCTATGCCTTCCAGAAAGCTTAATTTTCAAGGATACCCTCCTAAGTTATTAAATGAGCATTTATTTAGCACTTACTTTGTTCAGAGCAGCATGGGAGGCATTATGATATAAACAAAAGAGATAGAAAACAAGTTTTTCATAGCCTTGGATATTTCAAATACAGCTGGAGACACATATATATGATATTATATAGTTATAGATTTAATATTTTATGTATACAATCTGAAGTACTTATCAATGGATATATTAAACTATAGAAAGATAAGAAAAGAAATACAAAAAAATACAAGTGTTGGTCTGTATAACCTCTTCTCATTTCAATAAATCCTTCACTTTCCTGAACAAGTTATGTTTCTGATGGCATTAAATACTAAACTGGTTCTCTATTAAAAAATATTCTAAACTTCTCTGCACAGTATCCATAGCACTCTGACTTGTACCAACTCACCTCTTCAGCCTGTTACCCTGTCAATAGCCTTCCACATCCCATGGTTAGAGGTTCTTCAACTTCTCTGATCATTCCACATTCTTACATTCTTCCCTCCTTGAATTTTAGCCTGGACAGATTTTTTCAGCCAGCCCGGGATGCTCTTTTCTGTGTGCGTGTGTGTGTGTGTGTGTGTGTGTGTGTGTGTGTGTGTGTGTGTGTTTATGTTTCCAAGTGGAGCCTCTGCTCAATATTCAAGGCTCAATATAGAGATAATCTTTGAATACTTTTCTTACTTCCCATGAATGCCTGTGTAGCCACTCTGTGTTGTTGTTGTTGTTAAATGATGCCATGAGAGACAGTAGATGATGATGTGGGTTGAATGCCAGCCTCACGATCCTCCTAATTGTGTGGCTTTGGGAAACTTAATCTCTCTAAGCCTCTGACCTCTTATAAGTAAAGTGAGGATAATAATAGGACCTATCTTAGAGTTTTTTAAAGATTAATAAGAACATAAATATAAAGCACTTAGCATAGTGCCTGACACCTAATAAATATGTTCTAGCCAATATTTTTATTAGTTTATTTTGATGATGGTTGGAAAGAAAATCTCTTCTTGTAAGATTTAACAGAGAAAAATGTATCTAGATAGGGTAGAAGAAGTGACAGTATCTTATGCAAGTGTATATGATTAAAACTATAGCAATTTAGAACTATTTTTCATTAATTCATTCATTTAACAAACATTTTATTGACAACTTACTCTATGTTGGTCACTGTGCTTGGTATCGGGCATACAAAGATGAATATTACACAGAGACTGCCCTCAAGACTAAAGGGAGAAAGAGAGATAAATATGTATGGATATATATGCATTATAATATATCAAAATGTAATATAATGTGACAGATGCAGTAATAGAGATATGCCCGGACATTCCTAGGAACATAGAGAATGGACGTTTAACATAGCCAGCTGACAGGGCAGGGAAGACTTTTTAGAAGAGGAGGCAATGGAATAATATTTAAAAGGATAGCAAAGGTTTAACTCATTGGAATGAAGGAGGTGTGCCTGAGCTGGACTCAGGGAAAGGATCAGCACAGAGGGCTCAAGGATGAACGTGGAGTTGACTTAAAGAAGAAGGTGGAAAGATGCTCAAAAGTGAAGCTCAAGTGGTATGAAGAGGCCAGAAAGTATAGGTTTAACAATGGAACTTTGTGCTTATCTTAGAAGGAATGGGGAGCCATGGACGAGACATCTTTGTGTTTTAGGTAGGTCTCTCTGAAAGCTTGGGAGAAGTGATAAGACCAGAAGGAGAGAAATAATTTGGGAGGTGGTTGTCACAGTGCAGACAAGAGACAAGGATCTGAAACATGGTATAGTGATGGGACCATGTCAAAGGTGAGGGGATGGATTGGAGACCTACATGTAAGGGAATATTGGCCAAATATTTATTTAATCCGGAGTGTGAAAAAGACAAAGGAATTGTCTGACTTTTCTGGTTTCTAGCTTGAGGGACTGGGCATATGACAGTGGAAATATGCCAGTTGAAATGGAGAAAATGAGGGGAGAGCAGTTTTAGATGGAAGTATGACAAATTTAGTTTTGTATACATTGAGTTTGATATTTTTATGGGACAGATAAGATGCATTTGGACATATTCTTACATTGGATTCTTTGAATTGAAATGTAGCTTTGGGAGTCATTTGCATATAGCTAGTAATACAAATGATAAAAATTTACATGAGATCACCTAAGATGCAGGAAGAGTAATTAGCATCAAAAAGCTGTGAACCAACAACTAACTTTGGTGAACACCAAAAATTAAGGATGAGAAAAACAAGAGAAACCCACAAATAAGACAGGAAAGGAATACGAGAGATTCAAGATGAGCCAGAGGTATCCAATGAAGAAAGGATTTTAAAAAGGTGAGAGAGCTAAACAGTGCCAAAAGCATCACAGAGGTCCAATAAGAATAGGACTAAATAAATGTTCATCAAGCTATACAGCAGTTTATTGGAGTGGCTTGTGAGAATAATGGGTCTTTAGGAATTAGGGACAATGGTAGACTATTGCTTTGAAACTTTTGTCTGACATAGGTGCCCTAATTTGCTAGTGTTTACATAGGTAGAGATAGGGAAGATTTAAATTAGATTTTTATCTGTTTTATTTTTTATTTTTTTAAGGTATTTTAAAGAGGTTTATTTTGAGCTTATATGAATGACTGTGGCCCAGTGAATCACAGGTTTAAGGAGTCCTGAGGAACTGCATGCAAAGCAGTTGAATTACAGTTGATTTTACATTTTATTTTATTTTGTTTTTTAAATTATTATTATACTTTAAGTTTTAGGGTACATGTGCACAATGTGCAGGTTAGTTCATATGTATAATGTGCCATGTTGGTGTGCTGCACCCATTAACTCGTCATTTAGCATTAGGTATATCTCCTAAAGCTATCCTTCCCCCCTTCCCCCACCCCACAACAGTCCCCAGAGTGTGATGTTCCCCTTCCCGTGTCCATGTGTTCTCATTGTTCAATTCCCACCTATGAGTGAGAACATGAGGTGTTTGCTTTTTTGTCCTTGTGATAGTTTGCTGAGAATGATGGTTTCCAGCTTCATCCATGTCCCTACAAAGAACATGAACTCACCCTTTTTTATGGCTGCATAGTATTCCATGGTGTATATGTGCCACGTTTTCTTAATCCAGTCTATCATTGTTGGATATTTGGGTTGGTTCCAAGTCTTTGCCATTGTGAATAGTGCCGCAATAAACATACGTGTACATGTGTCTTTATAGCAGCATGATTTATAATCCTTTGGGTATATACCCAGTAATGGGATGGCTGGGTCAAATAACAAATGATTGAAAACAATAAAATATAGACAAAACATTAAGCAATAAGCAAAATATTTTTCGTTTTTGAGCAAATCATTCTGCATGTTTCTGCCGTGTAAACGATACTGTTTCTCCAAAAGTTATCTTCATTCTAATAGAGGACGTAATTTCAAAATGGCCAAAAGATCACTAAACATTAGTGTTTTTTTAATTGCAGAAGATCTAGTCTCTAATTGTTCAGAGCTTTTGATTAATAGTTATGATTTTATACCATAATGAAAACAGTGGAATACAGAATGTTTAGCATTTATTCTACAGTAATATGTTCAACTTGTTTTCATTAAAATTGAAAAAATAAAGCCAGGAAAAGCCAATTGCATCCCAAAGAACATGTATGAGATACAGTGAAGCCAAGTATCTGAGGTCTCTTGAACTTAAAGCTGACATTTCTCCTAAGCTGGTCAAGGTTACTGGAGACAAAGGGTGATAATTTTCCATTATCTCCAAAAAAAACTGGAATCTACAGCATCTTTTTATTTTTCTTCTTCCTGCACACTGACAGTAGAGTATTCTTAAAAAGGATATTTTATATTGTTAATTGTATCTTTCTTTTGTAAAAACCTCTGTAAGAGTGCTGATATTTTAGAATGCTGTATCCTTTCCTTCCATTTGGATGTGACTTGTCTTATAAAGGGCTATATTTATCAGGAGCAAGATATTTTGTGAAATTAAGTTGTGCCTGAGTACACACCCAGAGCTAAATTGGCATAAACACTAAGGTGTTAACTAAGGATTGCCTGGAAAGTTCGTGCTTTCAAAATACCAATTTGAATCTCAGTGACTAGAGAGACTGTAAAGCAAATCTTCATCACCAGGTGGCAATTGTTGGTTCGTCATACCTGGGCTGGGCCTGATGCAACCTGGCTTTCTTATCAAGGTTCTTCTGCTCTCATGATGTTTCAGCAAAGTGATGAAGACTAAGGATTTGGGGCCAGAATGGCCAGAGTTTTGGCTCTGCCACTTATTGTGTGTGACCTTGGGACAAGTTCCTCAGATTCTCTGCACCCATTAAAATGAGAATTCTATCACTCATAGAGGTTTGGAAAAGACTAAATAAGAACAGTCTGTAATATATAATAAGTATTCAGTAAATGTTAGCCTTATACTTTTTTTTTTTTTTCCAAGACAGAGTCTCACTTTGTCACCCGGGCAGGAGTGCAATGGCACAATCTTGGCTCACTGCAACCTCCACCTCCTGGGTTCAAGTGATTTTTCTGCCTCAGCCTCCTGAGTAGCTGGGATTACAGGCATGCACGGCCATGTCTGGCTATTTTTTGTATTTTTAGTAGAGACGCGGTTGCACCATATTGGCCAGGCTGGTCTCGAACTCCTGACCTTGTGATCCACCTGCCTTGGCCTCCCAAAGTGCTGGGATCACAGGTGTGAGCCACTGCACCAGGCCTATTTTTTAACTTATATCATTAGATTATGTGGATAGACTAGTTCTTAAGATATCAGTTAGCATAAACATCAGAGTCACTATCATCATCATCATCTCTCTATGATAGGTCACTATCATCAACCTATGACTTTAATTGAAGGCTTGTTGAGAGCCAGACAGACACCAGAAAGACATTGGAAAAAGCAGTAGATTTAAGACCACCCTTCAGAAATGGACAATTTGATCGGAGAGCTACAGTATGCATATCAGGAAAGAGACAAATACCAATGAAAAGGGATTTGTATTTTTGGCCAATGGGCAAATGCAGATAAACAGTGCCGATAGGTACATGATCACTGTGTGTGAAAGTGGTGAAGAGGGCTTCTGTGGCGAGTATGATCAAGAAGAATGCAGGATAATGAGCATCGTGGACAAAGAGAAAGGTGGGGAAAATTTTACAGATTCAATAAAAATATTAAGGGAATGTTGTATAAACAGCCTGACTATAGCAGAATATGAATATAGGGCAAGTAGTGGATACATTTGGAGAGCTGAACAGAGAGGCTTTGCCATAGGAACTAACTCTGGAATTAATCTTCTGTGAGAGGCATGCCTTATCTTCATTGCCTACTCTAGCTACCAGAATTTTTGTTTCAGTGGTTAATTGGGGTATGTCCATCCTAGACATTTCAAAGAAAACCTGGAGAATTTTTAATCCAGCACTTTTTGAAGACTACAAAAAAGAAAGTTTAAGTGCAGCAACAAAGGATAGTGACAAGAACCAGTTATTTGAAACT
The DNA here is from genome assembly GCF_000001405.40 of Homo sapiens. Classification (NCBI taxonomy): domain Eukaryota; kingdom Metazoa; phylum Chordata; class Mammalia; order Primates; family Hominidae; genus Homo; species Homo sapiens. Next base: position 47,398,442 of record NC_000013.11, on the reverse strand, counting down.
GAGTTCAAATCCTACCTTTAAAAAAAAAATAGTTCTAGCTATATACTTAAATAATAAGGCTTACTTTAAGAAGTTATATAAATTAGGGGAGACAGTGAATGACACTATCTGAAATAAAGCAGATGCTCAAGAAATGTCAGTTTTTATTATAGTTTAGACCAAGAACATCTAATCAATGGAATGAGAGCAGCATATAGTTAACCAGAGTATATGTATGTATATAAACAACCTAGTATATGTATGTGCTGTAATACCAACTTCCAATTCCTCTCTGCCAGAAACATGTGAAAACCTTTAGCCAAGCATGTGTTTCTGTGGCAGTCTACTCTGTAGATCTAATCTTACGTACTTTAGAGTCTTATCATTTTTATTCATGACACATGCTGCTCTCTTGGGTCAACAGTTTGCACTGGGATAACTACTTTAGTTAGTGACTCATTCTCCTTTGAAGAATACCTTTGGTTACTATCCATGCATTGTCATATGTTTATAATATGGTTTACAAAATGCCTATTGCTAATCATTTATTGCTCTCTCTTATCTTAGGGTTGGAATGCTGTGGTTCTTGACGGTATCCTAATCTCTCTTCACTTGTATGCCCCTTGGTCTAGTGCCCCTCCTTCTGATAAGAAAAGGAACTGCCTTATTTGGTCCTAGTTAAATGCCAATATGCTTGTATACATATGGATGCCATATCATTTCTTCAGTCAGCTATTAATGATAGTTGTTATTAAGTGAACATCTATTTGATAACATGGCTAGGATTTGCCCTTTGGGGTCCATGGACTTTCCTGTAGTTATATAAAACTTTTGAGAGCATTCACATACAATTCACTTTCTGGGAGGAATGTCTCTAGCTTTCATTAGATTATCAGAGTTCCTGACACTGTGCTTGGTACAGTGTGAATAGCTTTATATGACCACTAACCCTCATGGTAGTGAAATCCAGGGGCCCTATATCCCTAAAGATAGAGAAAATTCTGGTTCCCTCCCTTAGGTTCAATCCCATTGCTCTGTATTTAACCAAGAGAAATTAGCAGCTGATTATAAATGCCAAACACCATGGACAGGAGAGTAGGGAGGAGGTATAATTCTCAGAAGAAAATATGTTTTCAGCTTGGAAGAAAAATAGTAGAAAAGGATTCCTTGAGGAGAGGATTTGGCTAGCATGAAGAAGTTGAGCTATGTGAATAACAATGTCTTAAAATCTACTATGAATAGAGGGATAAGGAGGAGCACACCACAGCGTCACAAAAGAGGGGAAGTGCCCGGGAATATAACTCTTCCAGCATCACTCCTTGAGATGACAATAAGAGATGCAGGGAACTCCACCAAGCTTCGTTCAAAGCCTTTGAAATTCCTCAGGTCATGAGGAGAGCTCAGGTTCCTGAGAAACTGCAAGCTGAGGAGCCGGTTAGAACCAGAGTCGGGTAACTCACTGTGGACATGCCATGCAGCCACCCACCAGCTTCAAATCCTTGACCAAGTCTCAGCCTTGTCCTGCATCTCAGTGTCCTCATCTACATGAGGGGCAAACATTCGCATCTACTTCATAGAGCTGATATTAGGATTAATAAAAGCCAATCCAAGTAAAGTGCTTGGCATGGTCTGACCCTCAATAAGTACTCAATAAAATATTTCAGCTACTTGACCAGGCATGGTGGCTGATGTCTGCAATCCCAGCACTCTGGAAGGCCAAGGCAGGAGGACCACTTGAGGCCAGGAGTTCAAGGCCAGCCTGGGAAACATAGCAAGATTCCATCCTTACAAAAATTTTTCAAAAGTAGCCAAGTGTGGTGGCACGCACCTGTAGTCCTAGCTACTCAGGAGGCTGGGGGAGGAGGATCACTTGAGTTCAAGAGTATAAGCCTGCAGTGAGTGAGCTATGATCACGCCACCGTACTCCAGCCTAGGTGACGGAGTGAGACTTTGTCTTTTTGAAACAGGATAGCTGTCTCAAAATAGTAGCTGGAATATTACTTTGAAATAATAATATTCCAGCTACTATTATTATCGATCCCAGTTTACAGGTAAAGCTCAGGTAACTTGCCTAGTTTACACAGTAGCAGAGCAGAATTTAAACTGAGGTCTAACTCTTAGAACTGTGTTATTTTACAGCACTACACTGCCAATATAAATGTTCTATCTCCAGAACACTTGCTTTAGCCGTTTCAGTGTTGAAACGTCACTAGGCTACCCCTTTTTCTGTTTGTTCTTTTCTTCTTTCATCAGAGTATTTCTAGTCTTGTATTGCTTTGCTAGTCCATTTGTTTACTCAAGCAGCAAGTCAGGTGCTGAAACTTTGGGCCTGTGTATATTTGAAAATAGCATACAGTATTCAGTCGTTTAAGTGTATTTTAAAAATACACACATTTAGAAATCTTCAGCATAAAAACTGCTATTCAAATAATTGGGCAATACATACTTCCTACAAAATAGAGAAAACAAAATGAAAACACTATAGGAAACTGAAATGATATTTTTACAATACAGCACTAAACACTTTATTATTTCAAATAGCAAATTTGGAGACGTGTGTGTGTGTGTTTGTGTGTGTGTGTATGCACTGGTATTCAGGCATAGTGATAGTGCTAATTCCATCACTTAAATTGAATTTTCTAGTTTGTTTTGCCCTTGTCAAATGTTGTTAATTTCATCCATATTTAGATTTCCAGAAATCCTATCAGCCTTCCATGGAATTCTGAAACTAAGTGACATTTAACAATTTTCTTGTATAACTTAGGCTCTTTCTTTCTGCCTTCATACTAAATATGAGCTACAGGCTAAGATTTTAATAGAATAAATATTTGTGCCAGTTTTCAGTGTCTCCATGCATGCTTGTATTTAGCCCTGACTGCGATGTTTTCTAATTGCTGCTTTACATTTCTCCACTACCAGATAATAACTTCCTTTTGGTAATTTAGTTTTATCTATGGATCTTTAGTGTCTTTTGAATGAATGATGAATAAAAAGCAAAATGACTATGAATGAATATTACTTTTAATTTTTGTGACTAGAAATCATTGATTCATTTGTTTAAGCAGTAGTATACTGACTGATGACTTGGTATGTTGAAAACACTACATATTTATTTCATTCAAAAACACTGACATGTAGGTACCTCTATGACCTCCATTTAAAAAAAAGAATAAAGGCAATTAAAGAGAAGCTTAGAAACTTGCTCAAGGTCACAGAGCTTGTAAGTGTTGGGGCTAGGATTTGGCTCTTGTCAGTCTGACTCCAAAATTGGAGCGGTTAGCTTATGTACTAGCTACTACACTACTCCTTCCCCTAAAGGTTGGAGTATAAATCTCAAACAGAACACAGTTTCTGTTTGAAATAGAAAGCGAAATAGAATGTGCAAGATTTAGGCAAGATCAAAGGACAATTGTCAGCCACTACCAAAGCCACACACACAAAATTTGAATTGATAGAAAAGATATGCTAAAACTAAGGTATACCAATGGATAAAGTTAGCTTTCGCCACTAGTGAATAATTAAGCTTTGGAAAAATAAAACAAGTTAGAGAGAAGACACCCCAGGAAACATAACAGGACATACAGAAGGTGGAGCCATGGAGATCATGAAGCAGGGAGGAAGCAATTTGCTTTTGTTGTAGGAAGATTGACATTCAAGAGAGATATCATTGGGGGTCATTGAAGAGATGTCTTTTAGAACCCTGCTCTGAAAAATAATACATTAGAACAAGTAGGCTATGCTTGCAGTGCTTATAAATTCTTTGGGGAGCCATAAGAACTGGGGTTACAAGAGGACCAACCTGACCTCAGATTTGAGAAGTCTAACTTGACAACCCAATCTGTAAATAATTTAGGAAAGAGGTTCTGAGGGTAATTGGACAATCCATTTTTAAAATAATATGATCATATTACCTATGTACAATTGACATATGCTCCTTAAAAACAGTCTACATTGAAATGTTCATAGACAAAAATATCCTTACAAACAACACACACACACACACACACACACACACACACACACTACAATGAACCAAAGTTTTGCCACGCATCATTTTATTAAAATGTTATTAAAATCATGCAATGTGGAAAGCCAGTTGCATGAACAAAGAGGTGACACACCACTATTACCACATTGAAGGCACTGGGCTGTTTGCCTTTATCTAGATCTTTCCATTAAGAGAATCTGTGTGCCCTTCATCCTTTTTCTGCCTGGCGCACTTTGTTTTATAAACAATCTTTTAAAAAATTTATAGGTGATTTTAGATTCTAATTTATTTATAAAATAGACTACAAAAATATCCGTTGTATCCCATGCATGGTTTTCCCAATGGTAACTTATTTTATTTTTAAAGACTTTTTCAGCTTTATTAAAGTATAATTGACAAATAAAAATTGTACATATTGAAGAATTATTATAGTACAATATAACAACTGGAATATTGTTATTGATACAGTCAGTATACAGAACAAACAGTTCCATCACTATGAGGATCCCTCATGTTGGCCTTTTATAGCCACATACTTTCCCCTTTCACTCCATCCCCAGCCCCTGGCCCACTGATCTACTTTCTATTTCTGTAATTTTATCATTTCATGAATGTTATATTAATCAAATCATACAGTATGTAACCTTTTGTGATTGCCTTTTTTATTTAGCATAATATCCTAGAGATTAATCTAGGTGTAGCATGTATCAATAATTATTTTATGGACTACTATTCGATGGTGATATGGTTCGGATCTGGATCTGTGTTTCCACCCAAACTCATGTTCAATTGTAATCTTCAGTGTTGGAAGTGGGACCTGGTGGGATGTGTTTAGATCATGGGGGCTGAGTTCTCATGGATGGTTTAGTAGCATCCCCCCTTGGTACTGTATAGTAATAGAGTATTCACAAGATCTGGTTGTTCATAAGTGTGTAGCACTTCCCCTCTCTCTCTTGCTTCTGCTCAGGCAATGTAAGATGTGCCTGCTTTCCCTTCACCTTCTGTCATGATTGAAAGTTTCCTGAGGCCTCCCCAGAAGCAAAGCAGAGCCAGCATCACCCTTCCTGTACAGCCTGTGGAACTATGAACCAATTAAACCTCTTTTCTTTATAAATTACTGAGTCTCAGGTATTGCTTTATAACAATGCAAGAACAGACTAATACACATGGCATGAATGTACCATTTTATTTTTTAACCATTTACCTGTTAAAAAAAATCTAGGTGTTCTCTAGATTTGGCTATTGTGTAATGCTTCTATAAACATTTATATACCAATTTTTTTATAGACATAAGTTTTTGTGTCTCTTGGATAAATACCCAATAGTGTAATTTCTGGGTTGCATAATAGCTATGTGTTTGATTTATAAGAAATTGCTGTTTTCTTCTTTTTTTTTTTTTATGAGATTGAGTCTCACTCTGTCACCCAGGCTGGAGTGCAGTGGTGGAATCTCAGCTCACTGCAACCTCTGCCTCCTGGGTTCAAGGAATTCTCCTGTCTCAGCCTCCCGAGTAGCTGGGACTACAGGTGCACACCATGACGCCTGATTAATTTTTTGTATTTTTAGTAGAGACGGGTTTCACCATATTGGTCAGGCTGGTCTCGAACTCCTGACCTCAGGTGATCCACCTGCCTCGGCCTCCCAAAGTGCTGGGATTACAGGCATGAGCCACTGCACCTGGCCTGCCTGTTTTCTAGAGTGGCTGTATTATCTTACATTCTCATCACTAATATATGAATGAGCTCCATCAATAGTTTGTGAGTGGCCTAGTTTCTTGGCATTCTTGCCAGCATTTAATATTGCCAATGTTTTTTATTTTAGCCATTCTGGTAGGTGTGTAGTAATTTTTTGTGTGTCTTTTTTATTTTTAATTTTTTTCACTACATAGTAGGTATATATATTCATGGGTCGCATAAGATATTTAATACAGGCATGCAATGTGTAAAATCATATGAGGGTAAATGGGGTATCTATCCACTCAAGCATTTACCCTTTCTGTTACGTACAATCTAATTATATTCTTTTATATTAAAATGTACAAATTATTTTTTAGTATAGTCAGCCTATTGTGCTAGTAAACACTAGGTCTTATTTACTCTTTCTAACTATTTTTATACCTATTAGCCATCCCCAGGTCCCCTCCACGCACCCACTACCCTTCCCAGCCTCTGGTAACCATCCTTCTACTCTCTATCTCCATGAGTTCAATTATTTTAATTTTTAGCTCTCACAAGTAAGTGAGAACATGGGATATTTGTCTTTCCGTGGCTGGCTTATTTCACTTAACATAATGACCTCCAGTTCCATCCATGTTGTTGCAAATGACAGGATCTCTTTTTTTTTTAATGGCGGAGTAGTACTCCATTGTGTATATGTACCACATTTACTTTATCCATTCATCTGTTGACGGACACTACTTCGTTTGCTTCCAAATCTTGGCTGTTGTGATTAGTGCTGCAATACACATGGAGTGCAGATATCTCTTTGATATATTGATTTCCTTTCTTTGGGGTACATACCTAGGAGTGAGATTGCTGGATTATAAGGTGGATCTATTTTTAGTTTTCTCAGAAACCTCCAAACTGTTGCCCATAGTGGCTGTACTAATTTACATTGTCAGCAAAGTGTACGAGGGTTCCCTTTTCTCTACATCCTTGCCAGTATTTGTTATCACTTGACATTTGGATAAAAGCCATCTGAACTGGGCTGACATGATATCTCATTGTAGTTTTGATTTGCTTTTCTCCAGTGATCAGTCATGTTGAGCACCTTTTCATATACCTATCTGGTATTTGTATGTCTTCTTTTGAGAAATGTCTATTCAGATCTTTCACCCATTTTTAAATGAGATTATTAGATTTTTTTTGGTAGAGTTGTTTGATCCTCCTTATGTTTTCTACTTGTCAATCTCTTGTCAGATGGGTAGTTTGCAAATATTTTCTCCCATTCTGTGGGTGTCTCTTCACTTTGCTGATTGTTTCCTTTGCTATGCAGGAATTTTTAACTAGATGTAATTTCATTTGTCTGTTTTTGCTTTGGTTGTCTGTGCTTGTGTGGGTATTCTCAAAAAATTATTGCCCAGACAAATTTCCTTGAGAGTTTCTCCCAAACTTTTCTTTTAATAGTTTCATGGTTTGAGGCCTTAGATTTAAGTCTTCAGTCCATTCTGATTTGATTTTTGTATATGGTGAGAGATAGAGGCCAAGTTTCATTCTTCTGAGTATGGGTATCCAGTTTTCCCAGCACCATTTATTAAAGAGGCTGTCTTTTCCTCAGTGTATGTTCTTGACAACTTTGCCGAAAATGAGTTCACTGTGGTTGTGTAGATTTGTTTCTGGGTTTGCTATTCTGTTCCATTGGTCTCTGTGTCTTTTTTTATTCCAGTACCATGCTGTTTTGGTCACTATAACTATGTAGTATAATTTGAAGTCAGGTAATGAGATTCCTCCAGTTTCATTCTTTTTGCTTAGAATAGCTTTGACTATTTGGGGTCTTTTGAGGTATTTAATTTTATTTGTAGCTATTATAAATTGGATTACTTTCTTGATTTTTTCAGATTGTTCACTGTTGGTATATGCTTATTTTGTATGTTAATTTTGTATCCTGCAACTTTACTAAATGTTTACCAATTCTTATAATTTTTTCATGGAGTCATTGAGTTTTCCCAAATATATGATTATATCATCTGCAAATGATGATAATTTGACTTCTTCCTTTTCAATTTGTATGCCTTTTATTTTGTTCTCATCTGACTGCTCTAGCTAGGACTTTGAGTACCACACTGAATAACAGTGGTGACAGTGGACAGCATCCTTGTCATGTGCCAGATCTCAGAGGAAGGGATTTCAGTTTTTCCCTACTAAGTATCATACTAGCTGTGCATCTGTCATATACGGCTTTCATTTTGTTGAGGTATGTTCTTTCTGTACTGAGGTTTTTTAGGCTTTTTATCATGAGGGAATGTTGAATTTTATCAAATACTTTTTCAGCATTCATTTAAAAGATCATGCGAAACCCTGTCTCTACTAAAAATACAAAAAAAAATTAGCCAGATGTGGTGGCGTGCACCTGTAATCCCAACACTTTGGGAGGCCAAGGTGGGAGAATGGCATGAACCCAGGAGGTGGAGCTTGCAATGAGCTCAGATCGCGCCACTGCACTCCAGCCTGGGAGACAGAGCAAGACTGTCTCAAAAAAAAAAAAATAATAATAATAATAATATGTTTTTTTCCGTTCATTCTGTTGATTTGATGTATCACATACATTAATTGATTTGTATATGTTGAACCATCCTTGCATTCCTGAGATAAATTTCACTTGGTTCTGATGAATGATTTTTAATGTGTTGTTGAATTTGGTTTACTAGTATTTTGTTGAGAATTTTTGCATCAATATTCATCAGTGATATTGGCCTATAGTTTTCTTTTTTTGATATGTCTTCGGTTTGGGTATCAGGGTAATACTGACCTCATAGAATGAGTTTGGAAGTACTCCCTTCTATATTTTTTGCAATAGTTTGGGTAGGATTGGTATTAGTTCTTCTTTAAATGTTTGGTAGAATTCAACAGTAAAACCACCAGGCTCTGGGCTTCTCTTTGCTGGGAAACTTTTTATTACAGCTTTGATCTCGTTACTTGTTATTGGTCTGTTCTTCATGGTTCAATTTTGGTAGGTTGTATGTGTCTCAGAATTTATCCATTTCTTCCGGAGTTTGCAGTTTATTAGCATGTAGTTGCTTATAGTAGCCACCAATTATCCTTTGAATTTCTGTAGTATTAGTTGTAATGTCTCTGTTTCATCTCTGATTTTATTTATTTGGATTTTCTCTCTATCTTACTCTGGCTAAAGGTTTTTCAATTTTGTTTATCTTTTCAAACAAACATGTTTTTATTTCAGTGATCTTCTATATTGTTTTCTTCATTTCAGATTCATTTGTTTTTGCTCTGATGTCTATTATTTCTTTTCTTCTACTAATTTTGGGTTTGGTTTAGTATTACTTTCCCAGTTCTTTAAGATGCATTGTTAGGTTATTTATTTGTAGTTTTTTATTTTTTAACATAGGCAAATATAGCTATAATTTTCCCTGTTAATACTGCTTTCACTGTTTCCCATATGTTTTCAAATGATGTGTTTCCATTATCAAGAAATTGATGATAAGAACTTTTTAAGTTTCTTTTTAAATTTCTTCATTTGCCCACTGGTCATCCAGGAGCATATTGTTTAATTTCCATGCGTTTGTATAATTACCAAAATTCCTCTTGTTAATTTCTTGTTTTATTCCATTGTGGCCAGAGAAGATGCTTAATATTATTTCATTTTTTTGGCATGTTTTAAGACTTGTGTTTTTACCCAAAATATGGTCTATACTTGAGAAAGATTCATGTGCTAAGGAGAAGAATGTGTATTATGCAGCCATTGGATGAAATGTTCTGTAAATAGCTATTAGGTTCACTTGGTCTATAGTGCAGATGAAGTCCTATGTTTTTGTTAATTTTCTGTTTGGAAAATCTGCCCAATACTGAAAGTGGGAGTTAAAGTCTCTAGTTATTATTGTATTGAGGTCTGTCTCTCTCTTTAGCTCTAATAATATTTGCTTTATACATCTGGATATTCCAGTGTTGGGTGCATATATATTTAAAATTGTTACATCCTTTTGCAGAATTGACCCCTTTATCATTATATAGCGACCTTCTTTGTCTCTTCTTACAGTTTTTCTCTTGAAATATATTCTGTCTGATATTAGTATAGCTATTCCTGCTCTCCTTTTTTTTTTTTTTTTTTTTTTTGGTTTCCATTGGCATGGAATATCTTTTTCCATCCCTGTTTTTTCAGTCTGGGTGTGTCTTTATAGGGGGAGTGAGTTTCTTGTAGGCAACAGCTATTGTGTCTTGTGTTTTTGTTTTGTTTTGTTTTTGTTTTATCCATGCAGCCACTGTGGCTTTTGATTGAAGGGTTTAGTCCATTTACCTTCAATTTTATTATTGATAAGTATGTAACTGTTTGTGATCTTCTCTTCCTTCTTCCCTGTTTTCCTTTTAGTGAAGTTGATTTTCTCTGGTAGTATTAAGTACTTGCTTTTTTTATTTTTGTGTATTTGTTTTATGTTTTCTGATTTCAGGTTACCATGAGGGTTGCAAATACTATCTTATAATCCATTATTTTAACCTGATAACAACTTAATATTTTCTGCATAAATAAGCACCCAATAAAAACTCTGTATCTTAACTTCATCCCCCATTTTTAAACTCTTTGTTATTTCTCTTTTTGTCTTATTCTGCTGTCTATCTCAGGATAAGTTATAGTTATTATTTTTGATTAGCTCATCATTTAGTCTTCCTACTTAAGAGTGATTTACATATCACATTTACAGTGTTATTATGTTCTGTGTTTTTCTGTTTACTTGCTTTTACCAGTGAGTTTTGTACTTTCAGATGATTTCTTATTGCTAATTACCATCCTTTTCTTTCTGATTGATATACTCCCTTTAGCATTTCTTGGAAGAAGGTCTGGTGTTGATGAAATCCATTAGCTTTTGTTTATCTTGTTTTTATTTCTCTTTCATGTTGGAAGGATATTTTTACCGAATATACTATTCTAGTATAAAAGGTTTTTCTTTAGCACTTTAAATATGTCATGCCACTCTCTCCTGGCCTGAAAGGTTTTCACTGAAAAGTCTGCTGCCAGACGTATTGGAGTGTCATTTTATGTTATGTGCTTTTTTTCCCTTGATGCTTTTCTGATCCTTTCTATATCCTTGACCTTTGGGAGTTTGATTATTAAATGCCTTGAGGTAGTCATCTTTGGGTTAAATCATATTGATATTCTATAACCTTTCTGTACTTGCATATTGATATCTTTCTCTACATTTTGGGAAGTTCTCTGTTGCTATCCATTTTAATAAGCTTTCTACCCCTTTCTCTTTCTCTACCTCATCTTTAAGACAAATAACTCTTAGATTGGCCCTTCTGAGGCTATTTTCTAAATCCTCTAATGTGTGCTTCATTGTTTTTTATACTTTTTTCTTTTGGTGCTTCTGACTGTATTTTCAAACAGCCTGTCTTCAGGTTCACTAATTCTTTATTCTGCTTCATCAATTGTGCTATAAAAAGACTGATGCATTGTTCAGTATGTCAGTTGCATTTCTGAAATCCAGACTTTCTGCTTAATTCTTTTGAATGATTTAAATCTCTTTGTTAAATTTATCTGACAGATTTCCAAATTCTGTCTTTGTGTTTTCTTGAATTTCTTTGAGTTTTTTCAAAATAGCTAATTTGAATTTTCTGTCTGAAAGGTCACATATCTCTGTTTCTCCAGATGTCCTTGGTGTCTTATTCACTTCATTTGGTGAGGTCATATTTTCCTGAATGGTCTTGATGCTTATGGATGTCTATCTGTGCCTGGGCATTGATGAGTTAAGTATTTATTATAGACTTTACAATCTGAGCTTGTTTGTTCCTGTCCTTCTTGGGAATGCTTTATAGGTATTCAACAAAACTTCTGTATTGTGATCTAAGCCATATCTGGATTAGGGAACACCCTAAGCCTAGTAACACCATAGTTCTTGTGGACTCATAGAGATACCCTTTATGGTCTTGGATAAGATCTGGAAGAATTCTATGGATTGCAAGGCAGAGACTCTTGTTCTCTTTCCTTACTTTCTTCCAAACAGAGTCTCTCTCTCTGTGCTAAGCTGCCTGGAGCTGGGCTTGGGGTAACACAAGTACCCCCATGGCCACAACAACTGGGACTGTGCTAGCCCAGACCCGATGCTAGCACAATACTGGGTCTCACCCATGTCTTGCTGTAATCACTACTTGGCTGCCACCTATGTTTTCTCAAGGCCCTGGGGCTCTACAATCATCAGGTGGTGAAGCCAGCCAGGCTTGTGTCCTTCATTTCAGGATGGCAAGATCCTCTAGGCCCTGGGTGGGTCCAGGGGTGATATCCAGGAGCCAGGGCTGAAGTGAAAACCTTAATAGTCGACCTGGTTTCCTATTGTACTGTGGCTGAGCTGACACTCAAACCACAGGATTCAAATCTTCCAATTCTTTACTCCTCTTTCAACAGACAGAGGAATCTCACCCCATGGCCACCACAAGCACAGGCCCATAGAGAGTGCTGTCAGGCTACCACCAACTTTCCTTTAAGGTGCAAGTGCTCTTAAGTCAGCTTGTGGTGAATGCTCCCTACCATAGGTCTCAATCTTTAGGGAAGCGGGTTCCCCTCTGGCCGAGGGCAGGTCCAGAAATGCCATCCAAGAGACAGTGTCTAGGATCATGGATCCCAAGAGCCTCCTTGGTGCTCTATCCCCTCTGGTCAAGTTAGTACCTAAGGTGCAAGTTAAAATCCTCTTTACTTTTCCCTCTTCTTTTCTCAAGTAGAAGGAGTCTCTCCCCATAGCTACCACAGCCCAGAATGTGCTAAGTCTCACCTGAAGCCAGCAAGTCTCAGAGTGTCACCCAAAGCCCATGGCATATTACCTGTATATCACAGCTGCTTATACAGGCCCTAAGGGCTGTTTAGTAAGCAGGTGATGGATCCTGCCAGGATTGGGTCCTTCCCTTCAAGACTGCAGTTTCCCTTATGGCTTGGGGTGTGTTTAGAAATGTTGTCCAGGAGGCTGGGCATGGTGGTTCATGCCTGTAATCCTAGCACTTTGGGAGGCCGAGGTGGATGGATTGCCTGAGCTCAGGAGTTTGAGACCAGGCTGGGCAACATGGTGAAATCCCATCTCTACTAAAATACAAAAAATTAGCCATGGCCACATATGCCTGTAGTCCCAGCTACTTGGGAGGCTGAGGCAGGAGAATTGCTTGAACCCAGGAGGCGGAGGTTGCAGTGAGCCAAGATTGTGCCACTGCACTCCAGCCTGGGCAACAGAGTGAGAATCCTTCTCCCCCACCCCCCCCAAAAAAGAACTGTTGTCTAGGAGATAGGGTCTGGAAAGGAGGCCTCATAACCATGACTGTTGCCCTGTCGTACTAAGATTGTGTTGGTATCCAAGATGCAAGACAAAGTCCTCTTTTCTCTCTTCTCTCCTCAAGTAGAAGGGGTCTCTTTGAGAGCCATGAGCTGTGCAGCCTGGGGCTGGGGGAGAGGTTATGTATGTACTCCCTTAGCCACTCCAGCTGGTGTCTCTGTGGGTGGTATGCTCTCCAGGTCCACTGGCTCTGAGCCAACTTCAGCACTAGGATTCACCTAGGAGTTGCAGTCCTTATGGCCTAGACTGCCTTTCAAGTTTATTTAGGGCCCCAGAGCACTTTATCCCATAATAGTGAGGCTAGCCCAAACTCAAGTCCTAACAGATGTATGGATGATACCCCTTTGGCTAGGGCTGATTTAAATACTTCCTCCATGGGCAGGAATTAGCTGATTTCAGCCCAGTTTTGCTTTCTGCAGTGACAGGGCAGCACTGAGTTCAATGCAATGTCTCATAATTGCTGTGCTCTCTCTGTTCCAAGTGCACAGATTCTCTCTGTGCCATGTGGCTGCTGCCAGGAAATGGAAGAGTGGTGGCATTGACAATTCAAGACTGTCCTTCCTATCTTCTTCAGTGTCTCTTTTAGCTATATGAAATTAAAACCAGGTATTGTGAGTGCTGACCTGACTTTTGGTTCTTATGGGGGTGCTGCTTTTTGTGTAGACAGTTATTAAATTGATGTCCTTGTGGTGGAGCAGGGAGGTTCCACAGAGATTTCTATTCAGGCATCTTGATCCTGTGAGTGTCTTTTTAAAAAGAAAATAGACCTTACTTTTTAGAGCAGTTTTAGGTTCACAGAATAATTGCAAGGGAAGTACAGATATTTTCCATATACCTCTTCCCCAACATGTGTATAGCCTCCTCTCATAATCAACATCCCCTACTAAGCCATACATTTGTCACAATTAATAAACCTACATTGACACATTATCATCAAAAGTTCATAGTTTACATTAGGGTTCACTTGTGTTCTTGCATTTTTATGAGTTTGGACAAACTTATAATGACATGTATCTACCATTGTAGTATCACACAAGTAGCTTCCCTGTCCTAAAACCCTCTGTTTCTTATTGTGGTTTTAATTTGCCTTTACCTAAAGGCTAATGATGTAAGCATCTTTTCATATGCTAATTAGCCAACTGTATATTCTTTTTAGTGAAAGGTCTCATTGTGACTTTTGGTCCCTTTTCATTGGATACTTTGTTTTTCTATTGTTGAGTTTTTTTTTTTATTATACTTTAAGTTTTAGGGTACATGTGCACAATGTGCAGGTTAGTTACATATGTATACATGTCCCATGCTGCTGCGCTGCACCTATTAAATCATCTTTTAGCATTAGGTATATCTTCTAAAGCTATCCCTCCCCCCTCCCCCCACCCCACAACTGTCCCGAATGTCATGTTCCCCATCCTGTGTCCATGTGTTCTCGTTGTTCAGTTCCCACCTATGAGTTAGAATATGCAGTGTTTGGTTTTTTGTCCTTGGCGATAGTTTACTGAGAATGGTGATTTCCAATTTCATCCATGTCCCTACAAAGGACATGAACTCATCATTTTTTATGGCTGCATAGTATTCCATGGTGTATATGTGCCACATTTTCTTAATCCAGTCTATCGTTGTTGGACATGTGGGTTGGTTCCAAGTCTTTGCTATTATGAATAGTGCCGCAATAAACATACATGTGCATGTGTCTTTATAGCAGCGTGATTTATAGTCCTTTGGGTATATACCCAGTAATGGAATGGCTGGGTCAAATGGTATTTCTAGTTCTAGATCCCTGAGGAATCGCCACACTGACTTCCACAAGGGTTGAATTAGTTTACAGTCCCACCAACAGTGTAAAAGTGTTCCTATTTCTCCACATCCTCTCCAGCACCTGTTGTTTCCTGACTTTTTAATGATTGCCATTCTAACTGGTGTGAGATGGTATCTCATTGTGGTTTTGATTTGCATTTCTCTGATGGCCAGTGATGGTGAGCATTTTTTCCTGTGTTTTTTGGCTGCATAAATGTCTTCTTTTGAGAAGTGTCTGTTCATGTCCTTTGCCCAATTTTTGATGGGGTTGTTTGTTTTTTTCTTGTAAATTTGTTTGAGTTCATTGTAGATTCTGGATATTAGCCCTTTGTCAGATGAGTAGGTTGCGAAAATTTTCTCCCATTTTGTAGGTTGCCTGTTCACTCTGATGGTAGTTTCTTTTGCTGTGCAGAAGCTCTTTAGTTTAATTAGATCCAATTTGTCAATTTTGGCTTTTGTTGCCATTGCTTTTGGTGTTTTAGACATGAAGTCCCTGCCCATGCCTATGTCCCGAATGGTAATGCCCTAGGTTTTCTTCTAGGGTTTTTATGGTTTTAGACCTAATGTTTAAGTCTTTAATCCATCTTGAATTGATTTTTGTATAAGGTGTAAGGAAGGGATCCAGTTTCAGCTTTCTGTTTATGGCTAGCCAGTTTTCCCAGCACCATTTATTAAATAGGCAATCCTTTCCCCATTGCTTATTTTTCTCAGGTTTGTCAAAGATCAGATAGTTGTAGATATGTGGTGTTATTTCTGAGGGCTCTGTTCTGTTCCATTGCTCTATATCTCTGTTTTGGTACCAGTACCATGCTGTTTTGCTTACTGTAGCCTTGTGGTATAGTTTGAAGTCAGGTAGCGTGATGCCTCCAGCTTTGTTCTTTTGGCTGAGGATTGACTTGGCGATGCAGGCTCTTTTTTGGTTCCATATGAATTTTAAAGTAGTTTTTTCCAGTTCTGTGAAGAAAGTCATTGGTAGCTTGATGGGGATGGCATTGAATCTATAAATTACCTTGGGCAGTATGGCCATTTTCATGATATTGATTCTTCCTACCCATGAGCATGGAATGTTCTTCCATTTGTTTGTATCCTCTTTTATTTCATTGAGCAGTGGTTTGTAGTTCTCCTTGAAGAGGTCCTTCACGTCCCTTGTAAGTTGGATTCCTAGGTATTTTATTCTCTTTGAAACAATCGTGAATGGGAGTTCACTCATGATTTGGCTCTCTGTCTGTTATTGGTGTATAAGAATGCTTGTGATTTTTGTACATTGATTTTGTATCCTGAGACTTTGCTGAAGTTGCTTATCAGCTTAAGGAGATTTTGGGCTGAGACAACAGGGTTTTCTAGATATACAGTCATGTCATCTGCAAACAGGGACAATTTGCCTTCCTCTTTTCCTAATTGAATACCCTATATTTCCTTCTCCTGCCTAATTGCCCTGGTCAGAACTTCCAACACTATGTTGAATAGGAGTGGTGAGAGAGGGCATCCCTGTCTTGTGCCAATTTTCAAAGGGAATGGTTCCAGTTTTTGCCCATTCAGTATGATATTGGCTGTGGGTTTGTCATAGATAGCTCTTATTATTTTGAGATACATCCCATCAGTACCTAATTTATTGAGAGTTTTTAGCATGAAGCGTTGTTGAATTTTGTCAAAGGTCTTTTCTGCATCTATTGAGATAATCATGTGGTTTTTGTCTTTGGTTCTGTTATATGCTGGATTACATTTATTGATTTGCGTATATTGAACCAGCCTGGCATCCCAGGGATGAAGCCCACTTGATCATGGTGGATAAGCTTTTTGATGTGCTGCTGGATTCGGTTTGCCAGTATTTTATTGAGGATTTTTGCATCAATGTTCATCAAGGATATTGGTCTAAAATTCTCTTTTTTGGTTGTGTCTCTGCCAGGCTTTGGTATCAAGATGATGCTGGCCTCATAAAATGAGTTAGGGAGGATTCCTTCTTTTCCTATTGATTGGAATAGTTTCAGAAGGAATGGTACCAGTTCCTCCTTGTACCTCTGGTACAATTCGGCTGTGAATCCATCTGGTCCTGGACTCTTTTTGGTTGGTAAGCTATTGATTATTGCCACAATTTCAGAGCCTGTTATTGGTCTATTCAGAGATTCAACTTCTTCCTGGTTTAGTCTTGGGAGAGTGTATGTGTTGAGGAATTTATCCATTTCTTCTAGATTTTCTAGTTTATTTGCGTAGAGGCGTTTGTAGTATTCTCTGATGGTAGTTTGTATTTCTGTGGGATCGGTGGTGATATCCCCTTTATCATTTTTTATTGCATCTATTTGATTCTTCTCTCTTTTCTTCTTTATTAGTCTTGCTAGCGTTCTATCAATTTTGTTGATCCTTTCAAAAAACCAGCTCCTGGATTCATTAATTTTTTTGAAGGGTTTTTTGTGTCTCTATTTCCTTCAGTTCTGCTCTGATTTTAGTTATTTCTTGCCTTCTGCTAGCTTTTGAATGTGTTTGCTCTTGCTTTTCTAGTTCTTTTAATTGTGATGTTAGGGTGTCAGTTTTGGATCTTTCCTGCTTTCTCTTGTGGGCATTTAGTGCTATAAATTTCCCTCTACACACTGCTTTGAATGAGTCCCAGAGATTCTGGTATGTTGTGTCTTTGTTCTCATTGGTTTCAAAGAGCGTCTTTATTTCTGCCTTCATTTCGTTATGTACCCAGTAGTCATTCAGGAGCAGGTTTTTCAGTTTCCATGTAGTTGAGTTGTTTTGAGTGAGTTTCTTAATCCTGAGTTCTAGTTTGATTGCACTGTGGTCTGAGAGACAGTTTGTTATAATTTCTAATCTTTTACATTTGCTGAGGAGAGCTTTACTTCCAAGTATGTGGTCAACTTTGGAATAGGTGTGGTGTGGTGCTGAAAAAAATGTATATTCTGTTGATTTGGGGTGGAGAGATCTGTAGATGTCTATTAGGTCCGCTTGGTGCAGAGCTGAGTTCAATTCCTGGGTATCCTTGTTGACTTTGTGTCTCGTTGATCTGTCTAATGTTGACAGTGGGGTGTTAAAGTCTCCCATTATTATTGTGTGGGATTCTAAGTCTCTTTGTAGGTCACTCAGGACTTGCTTTATGCATCTGGATGCTCCTGTATTGGGTGCATATATATTTAGGATAGTTAGCTCTTCTTGTTGAATTGATCCCTTTACCATTATATAATGGCCTTCTTTGTCTCTTTTGATCTTTGTTGATTTAAAGTCTGTTTTATCAGAGACTAGGATTGCAACCCCTGCCTTTTTTTGTTTTCCATTTGCTTGGTAGATCTTCCCCCATCCTTTTATTTTGAGCCTATGTGTGTCTCTGCACGTGAGATGGGTTTCCTGAATACAGCACACTGATGGGTCTTGACTCTTTATCCAATTTGCCAGTCTGTGTCTTTTAATTGGAACATTTAGTCCATTTACATTTAAAGTTAATATTGTTATGTGTGAATTTGATCCTGTCATTATGATGTTAGCTGGTTATTTTGCTCGTTAGTTGATGCAGTTTCTTCCTAGCCTCGATGGTCTTTACATTTTGGCATGATTTTGCAGCGGCTGGTACCGGTTGTGCCTTTCCATGTTTAGCGCTTCCTTCAGGAGCTCTTTTAGGGCAGGCCTGGTGGTGACAAAATCTCTCAGCATTTGCTTGTCTGTAAAGTATTTTATTTCTCCTTCACTTATGAAGCTTAGTTTGGCTGGATAGGAAATTCTGGGTTGAAAATTCTTTTCTTTAAGAATGTTGAATATTGGCCCCCACTCTCTTCTGGCTTGTAGTGTTTCTGCCGAGAGATCCACTGTTAGTCTGGTAGGCTTCCCTTTGAGGGTAACCCGACCTTTCTCTCTGGCTGCCCTTAACATTTTTTCCTTCATTTCAACTTTGGTGAATCTGACAATTATGTGTCTTGGAGTTGCTCTTCTCGAGGAGTATCTTTGTGGCATTCTCTGTATTTCCTGAATCTGAATGTTGGCCTGCCTTGCTAGATTGGGGAAGTTCTCCTGGATAATATCCTGCAGAGTGTTTTCCAACTTGGTTCCATTCTCCCCGTCACTTTCAGGTACACCAGTCAGACGTAGATTTGGTCTTTTCACATAGTCCCCTATTTCTTGGAGGCTTTGTTCGTTTCTTTTTATTCTTTTTTCTCTAAACTCCCCTTCTTGCTTCATTTCATTCATTTGATCTTCCGTCACTGATACCCTTTCTTCCAGTTGATCGCATTGGCTCCTGAGGCTTCTGCATTCTTCACGTAGTTCTCGAGCCTTGGTTTTCAGCTCCATCAGCTCCTTTAAGCACTTCTCTGTATTGGTTATTCTAGTTATACATTCGTCTAAATTTTTTTCAAAGTTTTCAACTTCTTTGCCTTTGGTTTGAATTTCCTCCTGTAGCTTGGAGTAGTTTGATCGTCTGAGAACTTCTTCTCTCAACTCGTCAAAGTTATTCTCCGTCCAGCTTTGTTCCGTTGCTGGTGAGGAGCTGCGTTCCTTTGGAGGAGGAGAGGCGCTCTGCTTTTTAGAGTTTCCAGTTTTCCTGCTCTGTTTTTTCCCATCTTTGTGGTTTTATCTACTTTTGGTTTATGATGATGGTGATGTACAGATGGGTTTTTGGTGTGGATGTCCTTTCTGTTTGTTAGTTTTCCTTCTAACAGACAGGACCCTCAGCTGCAGGTCTGTTGGAATTTGCTAGAGGTCCACTCCAGACCCTGTTTGCCTGGGTACCAGCAGCGGTGGCTGCAGAACAGCGGATTTTCATGAACCGCGAATGCTGCTGTCTGATCATTCCTCTGGAAGTTTTGTCTCAGAGGAGTACCTGGCCGTGTGAGGTGTCAGTCTGCCCCTAATGGGGGGTGCCTCCCAGTTAGGCTGCTCGGGGGTCAGGTGTCAGGGACCCACTTGAGGAGGCAATCTGCCCGTTCTCAGATCTCCAGCTGCGTGCTGGGAGAACCACTGCTCTCTTCAAAGCTCAGATGGAAATGCAGATATCACCCGTCTTCTGCGTCACTCATGCTGGGAGCTGTAGACCGGAGCTATTCCTATTTGGCCATCTTGGCTGCAACCCAACCTACTTTTGAGATTTTTATGTTATTTATGTATTCTAGACACAATTTCATTGTTGGATTAAAGGTTTACAAATACTTTTTCCTAGTCTGTATCTTATCTTCTCATCATCTGGAACAGGCACTATTACAGAACGAAACATTTAATTTTGATGAAGGTAAATTTGCCAATTTTTCCTTGTATGTACTGTACTTTTTTGGTGTCAAGTATGGAAATCTTTCCCAGCCCTGGATCCCAAAGTTTTTCTCTATTTTTTTCTAAAAGTCATACAGTTTTATATTTTTCATTTAATTCTATGATCCATTTTGAGTTAACCTGTGTATAAAGTATGAGGTAGAGTTCTACGCTGATGGTTTTTTGGTCTAGGATTTCCAATTATTCTAGCACCTTTTGTTGTAAAGGATCTCCTTCCTTCATTGAATTACCTTTGCACCTTTATAAAAAAAATTAGTTGGAAAGGTAAGCAGGTTGGAAAGAATGAAGAAAAAGAAACAGTGATAGTCAAAAATTACATGATTATAGCAAATACCAAAGAATCTATAAAACAAAACAAAAAACTGGATCTAAGAAGTAACTGGTAATGTCTCAGAGTGCAAGTTCAGTACACAAAATCAATTGCTTTTCTACTACCAGTAATGAACAACTTGAATTTGAAGTAAAAATAATGTAAATTCCATTAAAAGTAAAGACTATTAACAATAGCATCAAAAATAAAATACTTACATATGAATCTAATATGTAGAAAATGTGGGAACTATTAAAAGTGATGAAAATAAAGGAGTTTTAAATAAATGGAGAAATAGGTATTTCATGTTCATGGATTGGAAGACTCAATATTTTTAGGATGGCCCCTCTTCCTAGATCAATGTATAGATTCAATACAATTGCAATAAAAATTTCAGCAAGCTATTTTGGGGATGTCAGTAAACTCATTCTGAACTGGATATGGAAAGGCAAAAATCCCAGAATAGCCAACACAATACTAAAGAGGAACAAGTTGGAGCACCTAAGTGATTTCAAGACATACTGCTCATAGAAGTCATGAAGTGAACATAGCACTGGCTAAGCAATAGTCAAATAGATTAATAGAAAGGATAGTAATCTCGGAAATAGATCTCCACAAATATAGTCAATTGATCTTTGACAAAGAAGCAAAAGAAATTTAATGGAGAAAGAACTATTTTCAATATGTGGTGCTGGAACTGTTAGACATTTATACACAAAAAGATGAACCTTACATCTTTTACAAAAGTTAACTTAGAATGAATTATTGACCTACCTGGAAAATGCAAAAGTATAAAATTACCAGAAGATAATAATATAGGAGAAAAATCTAGGTGACCTTGAATTTGGAGTTGAGTTTTTAGATACAACACATAAAATCACAATCCATGAAAGAAAAATTGATAGGTAGACTTTATTAAAATTTAAAAACCTCTTATTTGTAAAAGACATTGTTAAGAGAATCAAAAGCAAAGCCGCAGATTGGCAGAAAATAATTTCAAAACACATATATGATGAATATACTAAGAACTTTTAAAACTCAATAGTAGACTAGATGATGACAGCAGAAATGATGGAGTAAAGACATTCTAGAGTCAGTCTTCTCCTTCATAAAAACAAAAACACTGGAAAA
Organism: Homo sapiens; assembly: GCF_000001405.40. Taxonomy (NCBI): domain Eukaryota; kingdom Metazoa; phylum Chordata; class Mammalia; order Primates; family Hominidae; genus Homo; species Homo sapiens. The sequence goes on along the minus strand of NC_000013.11, from coordinate 47,377,013 downwards.
ATTACAATTTTTTTTTTAGACCTCTGGAAATTAACCAAATGCCTGCAACAATCTGGAAACAATTTATTAAAAAAAAAAACACACAGCTACATATTGGTACGAGCAGAGAGCTTTGAGGTTTTTTAACTTGGCTTAATTGCATTAGCTTTAACCCATCTCAGTAGTAGGTTTAAAGACCAACAGCCCACAATCACATTTAAAATAAGCAGCCTAGCAGTCACTGGAGGGTAACATAACAGTTGAAGTTTGGAGCGCCTAAAAAAGCCCTGTTCCCAGCCAGCTATTTGACTTGTCTGGCAGTTCTGTAGAAAATTGCAGGAATCAGTCTTGTCTTCTTTGGCTGACTCTGAGATCACTGAGTGTAAATATGAGGCCCTAGAGGCATTTGTTAGTAAAAATCAGTGGTAATTGTTTAAAATCATGTCTGCCTAACATGGTGATAACAGTGGGGGTGAACAACACACAAACCAAAGTACTTAACAGAAGAAACTAAAGAATGAGATATCTGTAGGGAATTGAAGTAATGTATCATACCTGAATGGTACACATGCCACATGCTCAGGAAAGACCTGAGTATGCCATATGCCCTCACCTATACCTGCCCTTAAGACTCTGCATAAGCAAGAAGTGAAGACTAAGGCAGAGTTGTAAACTGCTGGACTGAGTGTTGAAGTCTGATCCTATATACATATTGAGCACCTTAGCAAAGGCTAGAATATTTGTTGGTTGCCAGTGTTTAAGAAAATCTCTGTTAAATCATTACATGACCCCAAAACTAGTCAGACCAAGACATTAAGGACCCCACAAATTCTGATTATTTATCAGAAACCATGCAAGTCAGGAGACAGTGAAATAACATATTCAAAATGTTTACAGTGAAATACTGCAAACAACAAGTCTGTGCTGAGAATAACTATACTTTTAAAAGAAAGAAAGATTAAGATATTTCCAGGTGATATTGACTTTATAGAATTAGTTCTGCTACTTCAAAGAACAAATTGCAACAATAAAAAACCCTGAAGAGAATGAGAATCTGATTTATAGAGTTGTAATATTATATATTTTTAAATTTCCCATTTCCAAAAAATTATAAGACTTGCAAAGAAACAAAAAAATCTATAATGCATACACAAGACAGAAGGGTAGTCAATAGAAACTGTCCCTGGGGAAGACCAAATTTTGATTTACTAGACAGAGCCTTTAAATAAACTATTATAAATATGCTCAAAGAACAAAAGAAAATAATCTCTAAAGAACAAAACAGTGTGCAAAGATGTCTCACTATATAGAGAATATTAACAGATTGAAATAATAATAATTATTATTAGAGACAGGCTATCACTCTGTTGTCCAGGCTGGAGTGCACTGGTATGATCACAGCTCATTGCAGCCTCAGACTCCTGGGCTCAAGTGACCCTTTCACCTCAACCTCCTGTGTTGTTGGAACTACAGTGTGCACCACCATGCCCAGCTAATTTTTAATTTTTTTGTATTTTTAGCAGAGATGTGGTTTTACCAAGTTACCTGGGCTGGTCTTGAACTCCTGGACTCAAGTGATTCACCTACCTCAACCTCCCAAAGTGCTAGGATTACAAGTGCAAGCCACCATGCTGGGTCTAGATATAAATTATTATTTTTTAAAATAACTAAATAGAAATTCTGGAGTTGAAAGTACAATAATGAAAGTGAAAAACTCACTCATTCACTTGAGGGGCTCAACAGCAGATTTGACAGGCAGAAGCAAAAATAGTGAAGTTGAAGATAAGTAAACAAAGATTTTCCAGTTTGAAGAAGAGAAATGAAAATGAAAGAAAACAAGCAGATCTTCAGAGATCTGTGGAACACCATATAATGTAACCCATAAACAAAATGGGAGTCCCAGAAGGAAAGGAAAGATTAGAAGAAATAATGGCCAGGAACTTTACACATTTGATAAAAACGTTAACTTACATGTACTGAAAGCTCAATGGTTCCAAGTAGGATAAACACATAAATAACCACAGCTATCTGCATAATAAACTGTCAAAAAAAAAACAAAACCAACACAGGATCTTGAAAGCAGCAGAGAGAAACAATTCCTCACATTAAAGGAGCCTCAATAAGACTAATAGCTGATTATTTATCAGAAACCATGCAAGTCAGGAGACAGTGGAATAACATATTCAAAATGTTTAAAATACTGCAAACAATAATTCTATGCTGAGAATAATTATACTTTTAAAAGAAAGAAAGATTAAGATATTTCCAGATTTAAAAAAAAAACTCTAAGAATTCATTTCTACCAGGTATACTCCATAAGAAATACTAAAGGATTCCTTAAGGTTGAAATAAAAGGACGCTAAAGAGTAAATAAAATCTGGCCGGGCGCGGTGGCTCACGCCTGTAATCCCAGCACTTTGGGAGGCCGAGGCGGGTGGATCACGAGGTCAGGAGTTCGAGACCATCCTGGCTAACACGGTGAAACCCCATCTCTACTAAAAATACAAAAAATTAGCCGGGCGAGGTGGCGGGCGCCTGTAGTCCCAGCTACTCGGGAGGCTGAGGCAGGAGAATGGCGTGAACCCCCAGGGGGCGGAGCCTGCAGTGAGCCGAGATTGCGCCACTGCACTCCAGCCTGGGCGACAGCGAGACTCCGTCTCAAAAAAAAAAAAAAAAAAAAAAAGAGTAAGTAAAATCTACAAGAAAAATAGATTGCCAGAAAAGGTACCTACATCAGTAAATAAAATAGACAGTATAAATACACTTTGTGTTTGTAACTCTTTTATAAAAGTCTGATTTTAAAAAGGCATTTGCTTACATAAATAACTATAAATGCATGCTGATGGACATAACAATGTACATAGCTGTAATTTGTATGAAAATAACAGCACAAAGGAGGGGGAAGGAAATGAAGCTATATAGTTACAAAGTATAGGTTAAGCACCGCAATCCAAAAATCAAAAATCTGAAACTTTTGAGCACTGACATGATTGCCATAGGAGGAAAGTTACACATTTGACTTCATGTGATAGGTCACAGTCAAAATGCAGTTGCACACTGTTTATTCAGTATCCCCAAGGAAAATGAGACCCTCCTAGCACCCTTGAGCTGCAATGTAACTTTTTCACATTCACTTAGATTTTCTTAGATAAGCACTTCCACAAAGGGTAATAAAATGCCATATGTGCCAACTGGTTGTGAATGACAGGTTTCCCACAATTTCCCACATGGGGCCAAGACCCACATGCTTTACTCCCTGTGTATTTCTATTTATTCTCTGTGGTGCAAAAATATTGTTGAAAATGTTAAAAAGGCCTGCAGATACCCCATGGGTAACAGTGATAAGAAAAAGAAGAAGCATTTATGTTACTCCATAGCACAGAAAGTCAAGCTCTTGGAGAAGCTGGACAGCAGTGTTAGTGTGAAACATCTTACAAAAGAATATGGTGTCAGAATGACCACTGTATATCACCCACAGAAACAGAAGGATAAGCTGTTGAAGTTCAATGCTAAAAATGATGAACAGAAATTAATGAATTTTTTAAAGAAAAAAATGCTGCATAAAGTTAAAAATGAAGATTTCAATCATGTATTGAAAGAGTGGATCTGTTAGGGTTGCAGTGAACACATGTCACTTGGTGGTACGCTGATCATGAAACAAGCAAAGATCTATCACGAACTGAAATTTGAAGAGAACTGAATATTAAACAGGCTTGTTTCGTACATTTATGAATAAACTTGGCATTGCATTTTTAAATACTAGTTGTGCTAAAGTATCACAAAGCAGTGGAGAAGTTCATTGAAGAGTTTGCCAAGGTCACTGTTAATGAGAATATCACTGCTTTCGCACTATTGCCCCAGAAAGACACTGACTACCTCATGAAACAGCCACTGCAGGAATTAAGGATACCAAGGACAGAATAACTGTGCTGGGATGTATTAATGCAGCAGGCACACACAAATGTAAGCCTGCTATGGTAGGCAAAAGCTTGCAACCTTGCTGTTTTCAAGAAGTGACTTTTTTGCCAGTTCATTATTATGCTAACAAAAAGGCATGAATCACCAGGAATATCTTTTCTCATTGGTTTCACAAACGTTTTGTACCAGCAGCTCATGCTCACTGCAGGGAAGCTGGGCTGGGTGAAGACTACAAGATTTTGTTATTTCTTGTCAACTGTTCTACTGATTCTCTAGCAGAAATTTTCATCAAAAATAATGTTTATGCCATGTATTTCCCACCAAATGTGACTTCATTAATTTAGCCATATGACCATGAAATCCTCAGATCAATGAGGAGTAAATATAAAAACATTTCCTTAAGCAGCATTCTAACTGCAGACACAGAGGTATGGGTGTGGAAAGTTTTCGAAAGGAGTTTAGCATGAAGGATGCTGGATGTGCTGTTGCCCATGCTTGGAACACAGTGACTGAAGACACAGTGGTTCATGCCTGGCACACCCTCTGGCCTGTGACTGTGTTTAATAATGATGAACAATGTGGGGACTTTAAAGAATTCTATGTGTCAAGTGAGAAAAGATGTCTGACCTCCATATATATGGAAAAACTATACCTTCAGAGTCTGTCAGTAAACTGGAAAAAGTGAATATTGAAGTTATTTTTAAGAATAATTTTATATTTTCACTTAAATATAATTTACATATTTTAAACGCACATGTGACAAATACATTCATGTAATTTGTAAAGATAAAACCAGTGTAAATTCAGGTTAGGCACTTGCTTTTTAGATATTAAGTTTTTATTCTGGTCCTAAAGGTAATTCCTATAATCAATTAGTGTTATCTAAGAGCATAAATGTTTCATCAAGTTCTAGCCCTAAGATTAATTGTGTGTGTGGTTTTAACCAATTTTGTAGCATTTCTGTGTCTTAAAGTTTTCATCTTGCAAATGGAAAGCACACCTTCAGAATTTTTTCTGTAAATATGAAATATGGCATGACAAAGAAAAACAATGTGACAAAATAGTCTTTCTTCACATACATTTTATAATAAAATCTGTACCAAGTAAAAAAAAATCAAACCAGTATAATTGTGATATCCATCACCTTAAATGTTTGTCTGTTCTTTAGGCTAGAAACATTCAAATTATTCTCTTGTAGCTATTTTGAAATACGTAATAGATTATTGTAAACTATAGTCACCTGACTGATCTATCAAAAACTGGGTCTTATTTCTTTTATATGTTTATCTGTAACCATTAATCAACCTCTCTTACACTCCCCTCCTCCCTAATCTTCCTTTTCTCTGGTAACCATCAATTACTTTCTATCTTCATTGAGATCTAATTTATTAGCTCCCACATATGAGTGAGAATGTGCAATATTTGTTTCTCTATGTTCAGCTTATTTCACTTAACATAATGACCTCCAATTCCATCTATGTTGCTGCAAATGACAAGATCTCATTTTTTGTGTGGCTGAAAAATATGCCATTGTGTATGTAAGCCACATTATCTTTATTCATTCATCCACTGATAGGCACTTACATTGATTCCATATTATGGCTATTGTAAATAGTGCCGCAATAAACATGGGAGTCCAGATATTTCTTTGATATATACACTTCCTTTCCTTTGGCTATATAACCAGAAGTGGAATTGCTGAATCATATGGTATTTCTATTTTTAGTTTATTGAGGATACTACAGTTTTCCACAGTGTTTGTACTAATTTGCATCCCCAGCAACTGCGTAGGAGAGTTACCATTGCTCCACATTATCAACAGCATATATTATTACCTGTCTTTTTCATAAAAGCCATTTTAACTGGGGTAAGATTATATCTCATTGTATTTGATTTGCAATTCTCTGATGATTGGTGATGTTAAGCATTTTTATATGCCTGTTGCCCATTTGTATGACTTAAGAAACTTCTATTTTTATATTTTGCCCATTTTAATTGATTTTTTGGACTTGTGCTGTTGAGTTGAATATATATATTCAAATATGCATATTCTGGTTATTAATCCTTTGTTAGATGGATAGTTTACAAATATTTTCTCCCATTCCCTGTGGGTTGTGTCTTGATTTCGTTGATGGTTTCCTTTGCTGTGCAGAAGCCTTTCAGCTTGATGCAATACTATTTGTCTATTTTTTCTTCAGTTGCCTGTACTGTTGAGGTCTTACACAAAAATTCTTTTCCCAGCTCAATGTCCTGAAGCAGTTTCTCAATGTTCTCTTCTAGTAGTTTCATAGTTTCAGATCTTAGATTTAAGTTTCTATTAGGTTGGGGCAAAAGTAATTGTGTTTTTAGCCATTAAAATACTGTCAAAAAACTCGATTTCTTTTGCACCAATCTAATAATTTATTTTTATTTGATTTTTGTATATGATGAAATATAGGGGTCTACTTTTTGCTTCTGCGTATAATTATCCAGTTTTCCCAGCATCATTTATTGAAGAGACTTTCCTTTCCCATTTTATGTTCTTGGTGCCTTCGTTGAAGATTAGTTAAGATCTTCATCTTTGTTCCAAATGAGATATAAATTCATGAGCAAATGCATGAATTTATATCTGAGGTCTCTATTCTGTTCCACTGGTCTTTGTGTCTGCTTTCATTGCCAGTACCATGCTGATCTGGTTACTATAGCACTGTATAATAGTATATTTCGAAGTCATCTAGTGTGATGCCTCTGGCTTTGTTTTTTTTGGTAAGGATTATAAAGAGGTGAAATTTATCTTAGATCACAATAAAAAGAATAGAAACAAGCAAAGAAAAAAAAACTTCTAATTAAACTCCACCCCTCCCCATTTTTCCTTTCAGTTATCTCAATTTACATATTTTTATATTACCTATCTCTTAGTAGGTTTCCGTAGTTAATATTGTTTTTCATAAGTTTGTCTTTTGGGCTTCATACTAGAGTTTTGAGTAGATTGCACACCTTACAGTCATAGAGTATCCTGGGCTTGTTCATGTCCTTAATTTTACCAGTGGGTGTTTTACCTTCAAATGTTTTCTTTTTACACTTTAGTTTTTTCCTTTGAGATTGGGGAACTCCCTTTAGCATTTTTTTTTTAAAACAAGTCTGGTAGTGGTGAATTCTGTCAGCTTTCATTTGTCTGGGAAATACTTTATCTCTCCTTCATATTTAAAAAATAATTTTGCTAGATACAGTATTCTTGGATGACAGGCTTGTTATTTTTCTTTCAGCACCTTGAACATGTCATTTCACTCCCTCTTGCCCTGTAAGATTTCTGTTGAGAAGTCTGTTGCCAGAAAATTGTAGCTTCTTTATGTTATTTACTTCTTTCCTCTAACTGCTTTTAGAATACTCTCTTTGTCCTTAATCTTTGAGAGTTTATTGTATGCCTTTGAATAGTCTTATTTCGGTCAAGGCCTTCCTGTACATGCATATTTATATCTTTCTCAAGTTTTGGAAAGTTTTCTGTTATTATTTCTTTGAATAAGCTTTCTACCCCTTGCTCTTGCTCAACACTCTTAAACACCAATAATTCTTAGATTTATCCTTTTGAGGTAATTTTCTATATCTTTTTGGTGACCCTTGTTCTTTCTTTTTCATTCTTTCTTTTCTCCTCTGACTGTGCATTTGCAAATAGCCTGTCTTCAAGCTTACCGATTTGCTCCTCTCTTTTGTATTTGCAGTCTGTCTTCAAGCTCACTGAATCACTCCTCTCTTTTGTGTCATTTTGCTATTGAGAACCTCTAATAAATTTTTCGGTTTATCAAATATGTTTTCCAGTTCCAGGTTCTTCATAGGATTTTAAGAAATATGTCAATATCTTCATTAAATTTATATGATAAATTTATGAGTTGCTTTTCGGTGTTACCTCAGAGATCATCAAGTTTTCTTCAAACTGCTATTTTGAATCCTTGGCCAGGGAGTTTATATATTGCTGTCTCTTTAGGGTCAGTCATTGGTTCCTTGTTTTGTCTGTTTGAAGATGTCATGATTCTCTGTTTGCTACTGTTCCATGTGGATATATGTTTGTGTCTTTGCATTGAAGGACATGATTAAAGGGATATCACCATTGATCCCACAGAAATACAAACTACCATCAGAGAATACTATAAACACCTCTATGCAAATAAACTAGAAAATCTAGAAGAAAATGGATAAATTTCTAGAAACATACACCCTCCTAAGTCTAAACCAGGAAGAAGTTGAATCCCTGAATAGACAAATAACAAGTTCTGAAATTGAGGCACTAATTAATAGCCTACCAACCAAAAAAAGTCTGAAACCAGACAGATTCACAGCTGAATTCTACCAGAGATACAAAGAGGAGCTGGTACCATTCCTTCTGAAACTATTCCAAACAATAGCAAAAGAGGGAATCCTCCATAACTCATTTTATGAGGCCAGCATCATCCTGATACCAAAACCTGGCAGAGACAAAAAAAGAAAACTTCAGGCCAATATCCCTGATGAACACTGATGCAAAAATCCTCAATAAAATACTGGCAAACCGAATCCAGCAGCACATCAAAAAACATATCCACCACAATCAAGTTGGCTGTATCCCTGGGATGCAAAGCTGGTTCAACATATGCAAATCAATAAACTTAATCCCTCATATAAACGGAAGCAATGACGAAACCATATGATTATTTCAGTAGATTCAGAAAAGGCCTTTGACAACATTCAACAGCCTTCATACACAAAACTCTCAATAAACTAGGTATTGATGGAATGTATCTCAAAATAATAAGAGCTATTTATGACAAACCCACAGCCAATATCATACTTAATGGGCAAAAACTGGAAGCATTCCCTTTGAAAACCAGCACAAAACAAGGATGCCCTCTCTCACCACTCCTATTCAACATAGTATTGGAAGTTCTGGCCAGGGTAATCAGGCAAAAGAAAGAAATAAAGGGTATTCAAATAGGAAGAGAGGAAGTCAAATTTTCTCTGTTTGCAGGTGACATGATTCTCTACTTATAAAACCGCATCATCTCAGCCCCAAATCTCCTTAAACTGATAAACAACTTCAGCAAAGTCTCAGAATACAAAATCAACATGCAAAAATCACAAGCATTCCTATACACCAATTATAGACAAACAGAGAGCCAAATCCTGAGTGAACTCCCATTCACAATTGCTACGAAGAAAACAAAATACCCAGGAATACAACTTACAAGGGATGTGAAGGACCTCTTCAAGGAGAACTACAAACCACTGCTCAAGGAAATCAGAGAGGACACAAATAAGTGGAAAAACATTCCATGCTCATGGATAGGAAGAATCAATATAGTGAAAATGGCCATGCTGCCCAAAGTAATTTATAGATTCAGTGCTATCCCCATCAAGTGACCACTGACTTTGTTCACAGAATTAGAAAAAACAACTTTAAATTTCATATGGATCCAAAAAAGAGCCCGCATAACCAAGACAATCCTAAGCAAAATGAACAAAACTGGAGGCATCACGCTACCTGACTTCAAACTGTACTACAAGGCTACAGTAACCAAAACAACAAGGTACTGGTACCAAAACAGATATATAGAGCAATGGAACAGAACAGAGGCCTCAGAAATAACACCACACATTTACAACCATCTGATCTTTGACAAACCTGACAAAAACAAGCAATGGGGAAAGGATTCCCTATTTAATAAATGGTGTTGGGAAAACTGGGTAGCCATATGAAGAAAACTGAAACTGCACCCCTTCCTTACACCTTATACAAAAATTAACTCAAGATGAATTAGAGACAAACTTAAGACCTAAAACCATGAAAACCCCAGAAGAAAACGTAGGCAATACCATTCAGGACATACGCATGGGCAAAGACTTCATGACTAAAACACTAAAAGCAATGGCATCAAAAGCTAAAATTGACAAATGAGATCTACTCAAACTAAAGAGCTTTTGCATAGCAAAATAAACTATCAGCAGAGTGAACAGGCAACCTATAGAATGTGAGAAAATTTTTGCAATCTATTCATCTAACAAAGTGCTAATATCCGGAATTTACAAAGAACTTACACAAATTTACAAGAAAAAAAGAACCCCATCAAAAAATGGGCTAAGGATATGAACACTTCTCAAAAGAAGACATTTATGCAGCCAACAAACATGAAAAAAAGCTCATCACTGCTCATTAGAGAAATGCAAATCAAACCCACAATGAGATACCATCTCACTCCAGTTAGAATGGTGATCATTAAAAAGTCAAGAAACAACAGATGCTGGAGAGGATGTGGAGAAACAGGAATGTTTTTACACTGTTGGTGGGAGTGTAAATTAGTTCAAACATTGTGAAAGACAATGCAGTGATTCCTCAAGGATCTAGAACCAGAAATACCATTTGACCCAGCCATCCCATTACTGGGTATATACCCAAAGGATTATGAATCATGCTACTATATAAAGACACATGCACACGTATGCTTATTGTGGCACTGTTCACAATAGCAAAGACTTGGAACAAACCCAATTGCCCATCAATGATAGACTGGACAAAGAAAATGTGGCACATATACGCCATGGAATACTATGCAGCCATAGAAAGGATGAGTTCATGTCCTTTTCAGGGTACGTGGGTAAAGCTGGAAACCATCATTCTCAGCAAACTAACACAAGAACAAAAAACCAAACACTGCATGTTCTCACTCCTAAGTGGGAGTTAAACAATGAGAACACATGGACACAGGGAGGGGAACATCACACCCTGGGGCCTGATGAGGGGTGGGGAGCTAGTGGAGGGATAGCATTAGGAGAAATACCTAATGTAGATGGCAGGTTGAGGGGGCAGCAAACCACCATGGCATGTGTATACCTATGGAACAAACCTGCATGTTCTGCACATGTATCCCAGAACTTAAAGTATAATAATAAAAAACCTCAAAGCACCCCATAAACAGTAAGCATAACTTAAATCTTGGCCAATTAATATTTTTTAAAAACAGAAATTGTCCATATAAATTCTACCTTATCAATAATTACATTAAATATAAATGATTAAGCATTCAAATAAAAAGTACAGATTGACAAAATGGATACAAAGTAACCCAACTATACGTTATGTACAAAGGAAACACTTTAGATTCAAATACAGAAATAGAAATTACTAGGACAAAAAAGATACGCTATGTAGACAGTATTAAAAAGAGCAGGAGTGACAATTTCAGATAAAATGGATTTTAAGACAAAGATATTACTAGACGCAAAGAACTTTTGAAAATGGTAAAAGGAGGCTGGGCGCAGTGGTTCACGTCTGTAATCCAAGCAGTTTGGGAGGTTGAGGCAGGTGGATCATCCAAGGTCAGGAGTTCGAGATCAGCCTGGCCAACATGATGAAACCCTGTCTTTACCAAAAATACAAAAATTAGCTGGGTATGGTGGCAGGTACCTGTAAGCCCAGCTACTCAGGAGGCTGAGGCAGCAGAATCATTTGAACCCCAGAGGTGGAGGTTGCAGTGAGCCAAGATTGCCCTGTTGCATTCCAGCCTGGGCGACAAGAGTGAAACTCCATCTCAAAAATAAATAAATAAATAAATAAATAAATAAATAAATAAATAAGATAAAAGGGTCAATTTATAATTATAGATGCATCTAACTAAAGATCTTCAAAATACATGAAGCAAAAAGTGATAGTGTTGAATGGAGATATAATTTCAAGAATAGCAGAGACTTCAATATCCATTTTCAATAATGGATAGAACAACTAAACAGAAGATCAGCAAGAAATAGAAAACTTGAAATATACTATAAACCAGCTAGAGATAATAGTCACATATAGAACACAGCACCCACAACAACAGAATACACCTTTTTCTCTACTGCATATGGAAAATTACCCAGGATGGATTATATATTATGCCATAAACAGGTCTCAGTATATTTAAAAAGATTGAAATCATACAAAGTATGTTCTCTCACCATAAGGAGATGAAATTAGACATTTAATAACAGAAGAAAATTTGTGAAATTTATAAGCATGTAGAAATTAAACAACACTCTGCCAAATAACCCATGGGTCAAAGAAAAAAAAAGGAAATTAGTAAATATTTTGAGGTGAATGAAAATGAAAACATACCTAAATTTATGGAATGTATTTCAAGAAGTGCTTAGAAATTTATAATGATAAATGCCTGTTTTAAAAAAGATCTCAAATCTAAAACAATCTTCTACCTCAAGAAACTAGCAAAAAAAGAGCAAACTGGAACCCAGAGCAAATGGAAGAAAAGAGACAAATATTAATTTGGAAATAAATAAAACAGAAAATAAAAGTGAATACAAAAAAAACAACAAAAATTGATTCTTTGAAAAGACCAGCAAAATTGACAAAATTTTCACTTAAATGACTGAAACAAAAATCCAGACAAGTCTCAAATTACTAAAATCAGGAATGAGAGTGGACATCCAAACTGACCTTACAAAAATAAAAAGGATTATAAGAAAACACTGTAACTATATGCCAATAAATTAGATAACCCAAATGATATAGAAAAATTCTTAGCAAAGCAAAAACTGGTGAAACTAACTAAAGAAGAATTAGAACACCTGAATATATGTATAACAAGTAATGAGACTGAATTAATAATCAAAATAGATTTCAGAAATAAATCCTAGTTTCAGATGGCTTCACTAGTAAATTCTACCAAAAATTAAAGAATAAGCACCAATTCTTCACAATATCTTTCAAAACACAGAAGAGAAGTGAATACATTTCAACTTATTCTATGAGTTTAGAATTTCCCTAATAACAATTCCACACACATTTCTAGAAAAGCGAAACAAAACAAACTACAGAACAAGATCCCTTATGAAAATAGATGCACAAATTCTCAAATAATTCTAACAAAATAAATCCATTAACATAGAAAAAAGATTAAGCATCATGACCGTATGGGATGTACTCCAGGAATGCAAAGTTGGTTCTACACATGAAAAACAATGAAAGTAATACAGCCCTGGAGAGCATTATGTTAAGTGAAATAACCCAGACACACAGAAACAAATACTGTATGTCTCACTTATATGTGCAGTCTAAAGTAGTAAACCTCATGGAAACAGAGAGTAGAATGTTGGTTGCCAGGGACTGGTAGAAGGAAATGGAGAAGTGATGGTTAAAGGGTATGATGTTTCGGTTATGCAAGATATATAAATTCTGGAGATACAGTATACAGAATAGTGCTTATACCTGTAACAATACTGTATTGTATACATACATTTATTATGTAGAGCTTATGTTAAGTGTTCTTTTTAAAAATTATTTTAATTGACAAAATTTGTATATGTTTATGGGGTTCAATGTGATGTTTTGATATGTTTGCAATGTGAAATAATTAAATCAGAGTACTTAAATCTATAACCTCAAATACTTATTTTTATAGTGAAAACATTTAAAACATACTCTTTTAGCAATTATAAAATATACAATGCATTATTTGTTACAGTCACCATTCTGTGCAATAGATCGCTAAAGCTTATTCCTCCTGTCTAACTGAAACTTTATTTCTTGATCAGTATCTCTCCTTTCCTCATCCACTTCCTTCTTTCAGCCTCTAGTAACCATTATTCTACTCTATTTTTTATGAATTCAACTTTTTTAGATTCCACATATAAGTGAGACCATGCAACATTTGTCTTTCTGTACCTGGCTTGTTTCACTTAACAGAAAGAACTTTCTAGTTTCATCTACGTTGTAGCAACAGGATTCTTCCCCTTTTTAAGGCTATAGCATCCTATTGCATACATATATCACATTTTCTTTATCCATTCATTTGATAATGGACACCTAGGATGCTACCATATCTTAGCTATTGTGAATAATAATGCAATAAATATGGGAGTGTGAATATCTCTTCAACATACTGATTTCAATTCCTTTGAATACATACCCAGAAATGGGATTACTGGATCATATGGAAATTCTATTTTTTGTTTTCTGAGGAAGCTTCATACTGTTTTGCATAATGGTTATATTAATTTACATTCTCATCAACAGTACACAGATGTTTCCTTTTCTCCACACCCTTGCCAACACTTATCTTTCACCTTTTAAAATAATAATCATTCTAATATGTGTGAAGTAATATCTCATTGTAGTTCTAATTTGCATTTCCCTGATAATCTGTGACTGAGCATTTTTCATGTATCTGTTGGCCATTTGTATGTCTTTTTTTGAGAAATGTCTGTGTAAGTGCTGTGCCCATTTTTGACTGGGTCATTTATTTTCTTGCCAGTGAGTTGCTTGAATTGAATTTTGTATATTAGCCCTTTTACAGATACTTGGTTTGCAAATATTTTCTCCCAATTCATGGTTGTCTCTTTATTCTTTTAATTGTTGACTTTGCTGTGCAGAGCCTTTTGAGTTTGATGAAATCCCATTTGCTTTTATGCTGGGCTTTTGAAGTCATATCAGAAAAATCTCTGCCTAGATCAATGTCATGGAGCATATCCTCTATGTTTATTTTCTAGTAGTTTTATAGTTTTGGGTCTTAGGTTTAAGTCTTTAATTCATTTTGAGTTGATTTTGGTATATGATGTGAGACAAGGGTCCAATTTCATTCTTCTGCTTATGAATATGCAATTTTTCCAACACCATTTATTGAATAAACTCTCCTTTCTTCGTTTTGTGCTCTTGGCTCATTGAAAATCAATTGACCATAAATGCATGGATTTGTTTCTCGGCCTTCTTTTCTGTTCCATTGCTCAATGTATTTTTTATGCCTGTGCCATGCTGTTTTGACTACTATAGCTTTGTAATATATTTTGAAGTCAGGTAGTGTAATAGCTCTGTGTTCTTTTTGCTCAAGGTCTTTTGTGGTCCTATGTAAATTTTGGACTATTTTCTTCTATTTCCCTGAAAAATGACACTGAAATTTTGATAGGGATTCCTTTCTGTAGGTTGCTTTGGGTAGTATGGACATTTTAACAACATTAATTCTGCCAATCCATGAACACAATATAGCTTTTTATTTGTGTCATCTACTATTGCTTTCCTCAATATCTTAGAGTTTTCTCTTTATATATTATAAATATATATTCTCTATAACACACACATATGTATATATTTATGTCCCAGGTTAAATTTATATATATATAATATATATATGTATATATATATTTAACATCCCAGATTAAATTTATCCCTAAGTATTTTATTTTTGATGCTATTGTGAAAGGGCTTAATTTCTCTTTCAGATAGTTTGTTGTCAGTGTAAAGAAATGCTGCTGATTTTTGCCTGTTGATTTTCGTACCCTTCAAATTTACTGAATTTTAAAAATCAATTCTAACAGTTTTTAAAATAGAATCTTTAAAATTTTGTGTATAAAATTATGTCATAAGCAAACAAAGGTAATTCCACTTCTTCTTTTCCTATTTGTATGTGACTTATTTATTTGTCTGATTACTCTGGCTAGACCTTCTGGCCTATGTTGAATAGAACTGGTAAGAATGGGCATCCTCTTCTGGTTCTTAATATTAGAGGAAAATCTTTCAACTTTTCATGGTTGAGTATAATGTTAGCTGTGGGCTTTTCATGTATAGACATTATTATGTTCAGATACATTCTTTCTAGGCCTAATTTATTGAGATTTTTTTATGAAGAGATGCTAACTTTTATCAAATGCTTGTTCTGCATCTATTGAGATGATCATATGGTTTCTGGCTTTTATCCTGTTAATATGGTGTATCACATTTATTAAACTGTTTATGTTGAACCATCCTTGTTCTCCACAGATAAATCCTATTTGATGATAATGAATAATACTTTAATGTTCTGTTGAATTCAGTTTGCTAGTATTTTGTTGAGAATTTACGTCTATATTTATCAAAAGTATTGGCCTGTAATTTATTTTCTCATAGTGTCCTTGTCTGGCTTTGGTATTAGGGTGATGCTGGTGTCATATAATATATTCCTTTCCCTTCAATTTTGTGGAAGAGTTTAAGAAGCATTGGTATTCTTTAAATGTTTGATATAATTCCACCATGAAACCATCTGGTCCTTGGCTTTTCTTTGATGGAAGGTTTTTTTAATTATTAAATCTATGTCCTTATTCATTATTTACTCATTGTTGGTCTGTTCAGATTTTCTATTTCTTCTTGATTCACTTGTGGTAAATTGTACATTTCTAGGAATTTAACAATTTCTTCTAGGTTATTCAATTTATTGGTGTGTAATTGTTCACTGTAGTCTCTTAAGATGCTTTGTATTTCTGTAGTATTTTTATATCTCCTCTTTCATTTCTAATTTTATTTTTTGAGTCTTCTCACTTTTTTTTATTAAACTGGCTAGAGTTTTGTCAATTTTTCTTATCTTTTCAGAAAACAATTCTTAATTTCATTGATTTTTTTTCTATTGTCATTGTATTGTCTATTTTATTTATTTCTGCTCTGATTTTTATTACTTTCTTTCCTATACTGACTTGGGGTTAGTTTATTTTTTGTTTAGTCCCTGGGAGTATAGTATTAAGTTGTTTACTTGAGATTTTTATTCTATTTTGAAAGAAAGATCATAGGCATTTATTGCTATAAGCTTTCCACAGTAAGTGTTCTTAATACATACACAAAAACAACAATAATAAACGGGATGAGAGGAAACTGTGGGAGGTGATATCTGTGTTGTTGGGCTTGATGGCAGTGACAGTTTCATGGGTATATAGTTATCCCTAAGCCCATTGAGATATTTATGATAAGTATATATAGCTTTTCACATGTCAATCATACCTGAAACAATTGAAAAATAAAGTTTATTTCAAAGACCTAAAATTAATACATTATATAACAAATAACAAAAACCATATGATCATCTGAATAGACACACATTTTTAACAAAATTAATCATCCTTCATAATGAAAACACTCAGTACATTAAGAAAGGAAGGAAACTTTGTTAACCTGGTAAGAAGCATCCACAAAACCTCAAAGCTAGCATATTTACAGATAAGCAACTGAAAGATCTTCCCCTAGATTCAATTACAAGGCAAAGACATTCCCTCTCACTAATCCTATTCAACATTGTACTCCTACTTAAGAAAATTAGACAAGAAAAAGAAAAAAATCCAGATGAGAAAGGAAGAAGTGAAATTATCTGTTTGTACACATCATAATCTTATTTATACAAAATCCTAAAGGATTTAAGAAAAAACTATTATTTCTGAAAAACAAGTTCAGCAAAGATATGTAATACAGAATATATATACAAATATCAGTTGTATTTGTATATACTAATAATGAACAATCTAAAAATGAAATTAAGAAAACAACTCCGTGTACAATAACATCATAAAGAAAAAATGCATTAAAAACTACAAAACATCACTTAAAAAAGCAAAAGTACACCTAAAGTTTTGGAGAGGTATCTGTGTTCATGGACTAGAAAATTAATATTATTAAAATGGCAATACTCTCCTATTGAGCTACAGATTCAATATAATCCTCATCCGAATTATAACAGCCTCTTTGCAAAAATTTTATAAGCTGATCCCAGAATTTGTATGCAAATGCAAGGAACCCAGCATGACTAAAACAGTCTTAAGAATAAAAAGATAAAGTTAGGGACTAACACTGTCCAATTTCAAAACTTACTACAGAGCTACAGTAATCAGATCAGCATGGTAATGGCATAGGATAAACACACTGATAAATAAAATATAATTGAGAGTCCAGAAGTAAACATTTTTATTTGCAGTCAGTTGATTTCAACAAGGTTGCCAAGACCATTTGATGCAGAAAGAGTAGTCTTTTTAACAAAAGTTACTGGGACAACTGGAGTCCAGATGAAAAAGAATGACTTTGGACCCATATCTCACATTATATCCAAAAACTAATTCAAAAGAAGAGCTAAAGCTCTAAACTTTTAGAAGAAAACATAGAAGTAAGTTTGCATGATCTTGGATTATGTAATTCTTTCTTAGATATGATACTAAAAGCACAAGAAACAACAGAAAGAATAGATAAATTGTACTACACACACAGACTCACACATCTTGTGCTTCAAAGGTTCTATCACGATAGTGAATAGACAACCCACAAAATGGGAAAAAATATTTGCATATCACATATCTGGTAAGGATTAGTGTCTGGAATGGGTCAAGGACCCATTAACTAAACAATAAAAATTATGAATAATCAAATTTAAAAATGGGCAAAGGATTCGAATAGACATTACTTCAAAAAATATACAAATAGCCAAGTACACATGAAAATTACTCAACTTCATTAGTCATCTGAGAAATGCATTTCAAAGGATATATCACTTCACACCCAGAAGGTAGGTATGTTTAAAACAATAAAACAAAACAACAAAGATATCAACAAGGATAAGTTGGTAGGTAGAAATGTAAAATGGTGCAGCTACTTTGGAAAACTGTTCTGTATTCCTCACTTGCATAAATATAGAATTCCTATGAGTCATAATTTCCATTTTTAGGCATATATATACCCAAGAGATTGAAAGTATATGTCTACAAAACAGTTGTTCATGAATGTCCATTGAAGCATTATTACATTATTCATACAGCCAAAAAGTGGAAACAGCCCACATGTCCAACTGAAGAATAAATAAAGTACATCTGGTATATATTCAGAAAATGAAATATTATTTAGCCATGGTACAACATTATGAACCTCAAAAACAATATGCTAAGTGATAGAAGCCAGTTGCAAATAATCATAAAATGCATGATTCCATTTATATGAGATGTCTAAAATAGGCAAATCCATAGAGGCAAAAAATGAATTTGTGGTTTCCTAGTGCTGCGAGCATTGTGGGAAGTGGGCATTGAATGCTAATGGGTACGAGGTTTCTTTTTGTGTTAATGAAAATATCCTAAAATTGATTGTGATGATGGTTACACAACTCCATGAATATACTAAAATCCACTGATTTGTACACTTCAAGTGAGTGAATTGTGTGGCATATGAATTATATCTAAATAAACTGTTACTTTAAAAAATGCTAAACATCATGAAAACAAACAAACCAATTAAGAAATGGACCAAAAATATGAACAGACTCCTTGCCAAAGATATACAGATGGTAAATTAACACATGAAAAATGCTGCATGTCATTTGTCATTTAGAAAATGTAAATTACAACAACAGTGAGATACTAGTACCTATTAAAATGGCTAACATTTAGAAAAATTCAAAACTTTGACATTACCAGTTGCTCATGAGGCAACTGCAACTGTTATGTTGTAACCATAAAGAAAAAAACCTGTAGTAGATACACAAAAGATGAGCAGAAGGGAATCAAAGAATACCACTACAAAAAGTCATCAAATCACAAAGGGGGGACAGAAAGAAAGTGCAAGGAACTACAAAACAGTCAAAAAACAATTAACAAAGTACAATAGTAAGTCCTTTCCTATCAGTAATTACCTCATTTATCTTTTGTGTCACAGTTTTAAGAATTAAATTCTTCAAAAGATACAGTGACTGAATGGATAAAAATGTTCTAACTACATGCTCCTTACAAGAGACTCATTTTAGCTTTAAGGGCACACATATGGTGAAAGTTAAAATATGGAGAAAGATATTCCATGCTAATGGTTAAAAAAAAAGAGCAGGAGTGGCTATACTTATATCAGTCAAAAAAAATCTTTAAGTCAAAATAGTCAAAAGAGACAAAGAAGGCCATTATATAATAATAAAAGGGCCAATTAATCTAGAGAATATAACAATTGCAAAAATGTATGTGTGAAACACTAGTCATGTAATTAAATAAATAAAGTATTAACTGCATGGAAGAGAGAAGTATAAAGCAATAGAATGTAGTAGGGTCCTTCAGTACTCCACTCTTAACAATGGATAGATCATCCAGACAGAAAAATCAAAGAGGGAACAGCTGACTGGAACATTATAGAGCAAATGGACCTAACAGACATATACAGAACATCCCATCCAGAAGCAGCAGAGTACACATTTTTCTTGAGTGCACATGGAACATTCTCCAAGATAGGTCATACGTTAGGCCATAAAACAAGTCTTAACAGCTTCAGAAAGATTGAAATCATATGAAATCTCTGCTGACTACAATGGTATGAAACTAGAAATCAGTAACAGAAGAAAAATGAAAAATTCACAAATATGTGAAAATTAAACAACACACTCCTGAACAATTAATGGGTCTGAGATAAAAACTTAGGAAAACAAAACCTAAAAAGGGAAATAAAACCATATCTTGAGACACAAAAAAAATGGAAAACGATGTTAGGGAAATAAAATCATATTTTGAGACACACAAAAAATGGAGACACAACATATCAAAACTTACAAGTCTTCAAAAACAGTTCTAACAGGGAAGCTTATAGCAATAAACAGTTAGATTGAGAAAAAAGAAAAGATCTCAAATAAACAACCTGTCTTTACACCTCAAGAAACCAGTAAAATAAGAACGAACTATGCCAAAAAATAGCAAGACAGAAACAAAATAGCAGAAATCACTAGGTAGACTGACTAAAAAAAGAGAGAAGACCCAAATCAAATCACAGAGAGACAAAGGATCATGAGCGACTACTATGAACAATTATAAGTTAACAAATGAATTAACCTAGAAGGAATGAATACATTCTTAGAAATATAACCTACTAAGATTGAGTCATGAAGAAACAGAAAATCAGAAAATACTAATAATGAGTAAGGAGGTTGATTCAGTAATCTAAAACCTCTGAACAACAAGAACAACAACACCTAAGGCCAGACGGCAACACTGGTAAATTCTACCAAATATTTAGAGAAAATTAATGTCAATACTCTCAAACACTTCCAAAAAATTGGTGAGGAGAAAAAACTTCCAAAACCATTTTATGAGTCCAACATTAATAAGAAAGCAACACAAGAACAATACAAAAAATTTCAGGCCAACATCCCTGATGAATATAGCCACAAAAATCCTCCACAAAATACTAGCAAACCAAATTCAATGGCACATTTACAGATAAATTAAAAGATACCCCATGTTCATGTATTGAAAGAATTAATATTGTTAAAGTGTCCGTACTACCCAAAGCAATCTAAGAATTCAGTGCAATCTCTACCAAAATCTGATGATATTTTTCTCAGAAATAGAAAAAAAAATTAAATGCATATGGACCCACAAAAGACCCCAAACAATGAAAGTATCCATGGGTAAACAAAAACAAAAACAAAACAAAACAAAAAACTGGAGGCGTCACACTATCTGACTTCAAAATATGTTACAAAGTTATAGTAAACAAAACAGGATGGTACTGGCCTAAAAGACACACATAGACCAATGGAACCGAATAGAAAGCCCTAAATAAATCCACACACTTATAGTCAATTGATTTTCAGCAAAGGTGCCAAGAACACACAATGGAGAAACATAATGTTTCTTCAATAAAAGGATGCTGAGAAAACTGGATAATCACATGCAGGAGAATGAAATTAGATCTTCATCTCACACCACATACCGAAAAAAAAAGAGAAGACCCAAATCAAAATAGATTAAAGACTTAAATGTAAGACCTGAAACTGTAAAATCATTAGAAGAAAACCTAGGAGGAAAGCTCTATGACATTGGTCTGGATAATGATTTGTTTGAATATGACCCCCAAAACACAGGCAACAAAAGCAAAATTAAGCCAATGGGATTCCGTCAAACTAAAAGCTTCTGCACAGCAAAAGAAACAACCAACAGTGTAAAGAGATAACCTACAGAATAGGAGAAAGTATTTTCAAAGCATGTATTTGATAAGAGGTGAATATCCAAAACGTATAAGGAGGCTAAGCTTGTTGGCTCACACCTGTAATCCCAGCACCTTGGGAGGATGAGGTGAGAGGATCACTTGAGGCCAGCAGTTTGAGACCAGCCTGGGCAAAATAATGAAATCTTTTCTCTATTAAAAAGGAAAAAAATTATTAGGCATGGTGGTGTGTGCCTATAGTAGTCCAAGCTACATAGGAGGCTAAGGTGGCAGGATTGCCTGACCCCAGTAGTTGGTGGCTACAGTGAGCTATGATCACACCATTATACTGCAGCCTGGGTGACAGAGTGAGACTTTCTCTAAATATATTTCACACATACATATACATATTATATAATATGTGTATACTATATAATATATGTATATATGTAATATATACATATATATGTATGTGTGTATCTATCTATATACATATATATATTATATATATATTTAACTCAGACAACTTACTAGCCAAAAAACAAACAACTTAATTTAAAAATCAGCAAAGGACCTGAATAGATATTTCTCAAAAGAAGACATACAAATAGCCAACAGGTATATGGAAAAATGCTCAACATCACTAATTATCAGAGAAATGCAAATTAAAATCACAAAAAGATATGCCCTCACATTTGTTATAATGGCTATTATAAAACAGACGAATGATAAAAAGTATTGGCCAGGATGCGGAGAAAAGGGAACCCTTGCATACTGTTGGTGGGAATATAAATTAGCACAACCATTATGGAAAACTCTATGGAATTTTCTCAAAAATGAAAAAATAAAAGCACCATATGATTCAACAATCTCACTACTGTGTATATACATCCAAATGAAATGGAGTAAGTAGGTCAAAGAGATATTTGCACTGCCATGTTCACTGCAGCATTATTCACAAGATATGGAACAAGCCAAAATATGGAGCCATCCTAAGTGTCATCAACAGAAGGATGGAATAAGAACATGTGTTATATACAATACACATATATAATAGAATACTATTTAGCCTTAAAAAAAGAAAAGCCTGTCATTTGTGACAATGGATGAACCCAGAGGTAATAATGTTAAATATAAGCCACATACAGAAAGACAAATACTGCATGATCTTACTCATATATTTGTTTTTTATTTGCCTTAACTGTAGAAAGAGGTGTGTTAAGATCTACCAATATGATTGCAGTTGTTGTTGTTGTTGTTGTTTGTCAGACAGAGTCTCACTCTCTCACCAGATCTGGAGTGCAGTAACGTGATCTTGGCTCACTGCAACCTCCGTCTTGTGGGTTCAAGTGATTCTCCTGCCTCAGCCTCCTGAGTAGCTGGGACTATGTGCCACCACACCTGGCTAATTTTTGTATTTTCAGTAAAGACGGGGTTTCACCATGTTGGCCAGGATTGTCTTGATCTCCTGACCTCATGATCCGCCTGCCTTGGCCTCCCAAAGTCCTGGGATTACAGGCATAAGCCACCACACCCGGCCATGATTGGAGTTTTTCCTTTTGTCTTTCTATTTTCACTTACATATTTTGGGACGATATTATTTTTTGCATACGAATTTAGAGTTGTTATATCTTCTTCATGAATCCAACTTTATCATTTACAATAACCCTCTTTCTCTAGCGATAGATAGCTTTAAAGTCTATTTTGCTTTAAACTACTATAATTAACACTAGGTTTTATTGGTTAGTATACCTTCCTGTAGTCTTTTAATATTTCTATGTTTCTGTATGCTAAATGCATCTCTTGTGAGCATCATAAATGGGGATGAGTATTTTCTTCTTCCAGGTTTTCAATCTTTGTCCTTTAACTGAAGGTTGCTTTGCTACCCATTCACCTTACACTGAGGCTGTCATTCCTTAGAAATGCAGACTGGATGCAGTCTCTATTGTTAGCGTCTCTGCTTAGGATAAGTCCTGTACTTTTCTCCCTTGTTCTCACATCTTTGTAGCATCAAAGCAAAACTAAAACCCAAAGTTTATCAAGTGATTCCATGAAAAAGTTCTCGTTCACCTTGTTTTCTGCCTCACAGAATTTCTTACTTAGTCAAAAACACAATGCATTTTTTAAAAGATTTCAAATATATTTTTAATCTAGAATTTTAGTTCAAATGGTCATTATATTTAGTCCACCATATTAGCAGAAATAGATCTTATAATTTCACAGGTGTGGATATTTAAATAATTGGTCTAAAATCATACATTTAGCAAACAGCAGAAGCAAGATTAGACACTGGAGGTGTTTGGTTGTTTGCTAACATGTGTTGCCTACTACTGTATTATTGGCTTGAATTCCTTCTAAAATTACATGTTTGATGTTGGTCAAAGTTGATGAATTTGCTACAGGAGAGTCTTCCTTCAGTTTCACTATTTTACTTAGGGAGCAATCAGTACCCAACCAGTTTCAACTCTTCAAAAATTCTTTATGACCTTTGACAAAATGATAGTTAATTATACTTTCTCAAACAATTCTAAAACCACAGTTAGCCTTTCCTTCCATTTATGTTCCAGAAAAAAAAAATATGAGTGTAGAGTCATACCTCAATTCTTTCTCAGAGAAATGGAATAGAAAATTGAGAGATTATCCCTAAGTAGCTTTGAGCTTCTTAGAAGAAAATTATGCTTGTAGTTTTTATGAGTTCTTTTTGGCTCTAAGTTTATTAAATTCCATAATATGAATTTATATGCAGTGGAATCTGGCCAACTTCAATTTTTAATAGGCTTCATTTTTTGACAGAAGTTTTTTGATCAATGGATCAGAAAGTTACTTTCTCGGAGAGAATATAGGATGTGGTATGTCGTATACAATTTAGGACTTTTTTATGTGGTATCTTTTGTTGCTAGCACACGGACAAGTTTTTCTTATATATTTTTTATTTCTTTAAAGAATGATTTTTATTTTCCTTGTTCTCAGAAAACTTAGAACAGTGCTGGAAACACTAGAGATATTCCCTAAGTACTTCTTGACTCTGGATAGATTTGATTTGTAAGTCAGCTACCAAACTGGAAAAAATATCCAATATTTTTGACTAATCTGATTTATTCCTATATCCTTTGCCTAGTAAGTTTGACTTCATGGGACTAGGTCTGACCTCCCTAGCCTGAAGGCCAGGATCAATGATACAGGTATAAGGTGGGAGAAATTGAAATACAAAAATAAAATAAGAATGAACAGATGTAATGGCGCCTAGGATGGGGCTCAGAGGACTGAAAGGGGCAAGTCAGACAGAAGACTGTTACACCTTCCTATGTACCATCTTGAGCTAGTTTTTAGAAAATATGTTTGATTACTGTGGAGTACAGAGTATAATTCTGGAAGCAGCTATAAATTTAGGACATGTCAAAGCTTAAAAAGAGTGAAAGTAAAATTTATAGGAAGATGAAATATAATGCAAACCTAAGCAAATTTCAATCGGAATCCTGGATACCTCAATTCTGGTGCTTGCTCTAATACATTCAGTAAATAATTTCTCTCTGGGCTTTAGTGCCCTTCATTGTGAAATAAGTGAATTGAGCTCAGGTTCTTGATTCCTGTTTCAATATGCATGCCACGACACCATCCTTCAATCTTCCCTCCATTATTACTGAGGACGATTGTACCAACACAGCCCAATACTGTGGCTTAGGTATTCCTCTCACATCTTCTTTTCCATTTCCAAAGTTCTACAGTTTTTTACATACTTTTTTCCAGTTAAGCTCCCTGCCAACAATAGAGATCTATGGTTTTCTGTGTCTAGATTCTTTGGCTGTAAGCAACAGAGATGGGTTCTAATTAATTTAAACAAGACAGGATTTTATTGGGAGGAAATAGAATGGCTAAGGGATCCTAAAGAAAGGCTAAATAGCTGTGCATGGTGACTCATGCCTGTAATCCCAGAACTTTGGGAGGCCTGGTGGATCACTTGAGGTCAGGAGTTCAAGACCAGTCTGGCCAACATGGTGAAACCCCATCTCTACTAAAAATACAAAAAAAATTAGCCAGGTGTGACAGCATACGCCTGTAATCCCAGCCACTAGGGAGGCTGAGACAGCAGAATTGCTTGAACCTGGGAGGCAGATGTTGTGGTGAGCCGAGATCATGCCATTGCACTCCACCCTGGAAAACAGAGTGAGACTTTGCCTCAAAAAAAAAAAAAAAAAAAAGGCTAAGTAACCAGATTTTAGGAAAAATACTTTTCCCACATATTTCTTTCCCAGGAAAGAGAGGCTGGTTGGCTGAGCTTGGGCTACATGCCTAGGGCAGGTGGCAGGAAGAGCTCATTAATTATAAAGTTCCATCAGGACTCAATGCAATGAGAAGGAAGAGTATTGCCTCCCCATAAAAGACTGCTGTTACCAAAAGAAGGTAGGCTGGGCAAGCAAAACCAAAAATATCCATGTAATAGTTCTATGATTTGGGGCCTGTTTTCTTTTTCCTTTTTTTTTTTTTTCATTTTATGCGAAAAGTGAGTCAGAATCATTCCATCTCCTCAGTGGATGGAATCAGGCTAATGTCATTGGATTCTGTGATATAGGAATTGTTTTCCAACATGTGCTGTTGAGCATATGATCCTCTGTGAGGGATGTGAATCCAAGTAAAACACATCAGTTTAATGTCTTGGGTTGTCTGTGGCAATATAATTTTACAAGTTAATAAACAGTTTACTCTTTTGTGTTAGTCCATTATAATCCACCAGCAATTTTCACACGTGAATGGATCTTCATGCCCCTATCAACAGCAGAGTCAAATGAATAACTCAGAGGGTTTGAATTATGATTTAATAAAATCTGGCTCTAAGAATTCTAAATTGGTCAAAGCAAAGTGCATCTTGCCTATTAGTTTAGCTTCTCAACTTTGAAATTGCTTATGTAAACCCACAGCATTTACATACTCAGGGCAGGGTTTCCTTCTGAAGGACTCAGAACACTTACAAAAATTTTATTAATCTGCTTAGTTTCTCTAAGAGATAAGTTGGTTGTCAATAATAACATTAAAGTTTTGAGAAAGTTTCTCAGAGGAAATTTATGAGCATAGAAAAAGTGACAATTATCTACATTTTAATGATGTTATAGAAAAATCTAAATGTTTTACTAGTGTAGAAATTATAGTCATCATATTGCTAACTTGTTTGGCTCCTCATTTTCATCTATAAAATAACTCATAACTATCACCCTAATCAAAAATCATCTGTTAAATACCTTCCTGCTTATGGCACTGCTTGGAGCTTGTTAGGTATAATCTATTATCACCAAATATTGATAATTAACAAAAGACCTCTTTTTTTTATTTTGACTTAATGATCACAACATTAGGGCCTACCCATGTAAGTGATCTATGTTTCATTTTAATTTTTATTTTTTAAAAAGAAGATGGGATTCAGGACACTAAGATATGCTGGAATTTTCTTATGTATGCTCCTTAGCATATTTGATTCTTAAGTTCCAAACTCCAGTGCTGTCAGTCTCTCAAAAGATCGGCAGATCTAGAATCACAGCGAATCCTGCTTTTGTTCATATTCTATAGCTCAGAGAAAGAGTCTCCTCTTGTTGGTTTTATGAAGAATAGACATAATTTCCATTCGCCTGCTCGAAGGTCGAGTATTTGGTGTTCTTAAAGTGAATTTTACCCATAGGCATAATATTAAACAAGACTTTGACTTTATATACAGATCCATCCAGAATGCTTTATAATTCTATATTTATGGTTTTGTTTCCACATAGGATAAACACAGATTTCCTTCTACAGTGCATTTTCAGAATGGGAGTTGTGTTGTGAGATTCCTGCTATTTCAAAATGGAGTAGATGTATTTTCAACCCTAGGAACCAATTTCCTACATCCAAGGCATCTCTAACCAGTAGCTCCCACTGGACCTGAAATATCTGTTTGGAATAAAACAAAACATAATGTCTATTATTTGGTGACTCAGTAGCAGACTTCAGATATGTGAAAGAAGGCTCTGCACTGGGCATCATTTTCTGTAACAGAAGGGAATCCAAGTATACTGTCAAAAGAAACTATAATGACAAAAATAACCTTCTGGCTGAAAGGCTGAAGACAGATTTGGACAGATAATTGGCTACTTCAGACAGAATTCACCATCCCTGTTTGCAATGTCTAAATGACAATGACCGTATCTTAAATATGTGTGTCCCAAGTTAGTAGTTGGGGCTGTGGAGACTTGGTTTTATAGCCATGGGAAGTTTTACATAAACAGAATCATCTTAAAATCCAATAACAGAGTTGCCAGTCATCTATACTTATGACAAGACAGGAAGGTTTGATTGTAGGAGAAGTTTTGCTTTACTGGTGTTTCTTCAATTAGCTTCCCTTCCCCCTCCACCTCCCCTCATTTTCCTTATACAGATTAGAGTTCTAGAATTGCTTTATTATCTTCTTGTCATTCCTGCTCTTCACATGAACAAATTTATTAATATGAGGTCTATGATTAGCTTGGTCTTAAGATACATGACTTTAAAACTTATTTCTTTAACACGTGGAGTAGAGTCTAATACAAGATCTGGCACATGATAAGTGCTCAATCAATATTTGGTGATTGATCATTTTGGTCAATTCCAAGGAAACATTAAACCAGGACCTCTCTATTGACTCCCTCTTTCCAATCAATGTAAAATACTGTTACATTTTGATTACATAGAAAAAGAGGAAATTGAGCTGATCTTTTTATGGGTAAGATAAATTTTAAGAGGCTTGAAAATCGTAACAAATATTCATGAACAATAATTGCATATTTCAACATTTTTAATAGAAAAAAATTCATAAACCTAAATATACATCTAGGATTGGCTAAATAAATTACAAGTTATACATATAGCCAATTAAAATCATGTTTCTCAGTAACATTTTGGGATATAGAAAAACATGATAAAATCTTAAGCAAAATAAAATTGTCCCACTAATATAAAATGGTCCCACTACACATGGCTAAAATTGTAAAATGCGTAAAAACCTGTGCTATGGTTTGATTGTAGCATCCCCTTCAAAATTCATGTTGAAACTTAATCCTTATTGTGGTGATATTAGGAGATGAGGCCTTTTGGGAAGTGATTAAGTCATGGGACTCCACCTTCAAAAGTGGATAAGTGCCCTTTTAAAAAAGCCTTCAGAGGCAGCTTGCCCCTTTATGCCCTTTCACCTTTCACCATGTGAGGATGCCATCGTGAGAAGACACCATCGGTGGAGCAGGCCCTCACCAGACACCAATCCTGGCACCATGATGTTGGACTTTACAGCCTCTGTAACTGTGAGAAATAAATTTCTGTCCTTTATAAATTACCCAGTGTGTGGTGTTTTGTTATAGCAGCACAAATAGACTAAATCAATCTGGATAAAGGCAAACTGTTAACACTGGCTATCTTTGGGATTGTGCTTTTCATTTCCTCATTTATACTCAGTGTATTTTTCTGTGGTTAAAGTTTTTTCTACAAAGAACACACATTATTTGTGTGTGTGTGTGTTTGTGTGTGTATACAGTGTTTTTCACATTTGAATGATATAAGGATATCCAATGAATAAAAAGGACTATTTTTATTGAAATAACAGAATTGCAAAATATAAATCACTTTTGCCTTTAGTTCTTAAGTAACTACAAAATAAAAATTTACAAGTACAAATAAAGCTTAAAAACAACAAAATTAATGATATTGTTATAACACATAAAGTATTAAAACGTAGCTAAATATTTGCTATTGAGTTTCATAAAGGGAATCTTTAAATACAGTCCATTTTTTTATTTTGACTTCATTACATTTCAATGAAAGTTATTTGCAAAATAGTATATGTATATTCCTATATCTATATACACACTGCTCATATAAACATGTTTACACATGCATGTGTATGTGCAAATATATATATACACATACATATACAGTATATATTATACAGTAAGTCATCACTTAATGTCATTGATAGGTTCTTGGAAACTGACTTTGAGCAAAATGACATGTAACAAAACCAATTTCTTTCTCATCAATGGTGTAACAAAACTACATTGAATGAAACATCATTCAAGGACCTGCTGTATGTCATTTCACTTAAAGTCACAGTTTCCAAGAACATATCAATGACATTGAGAACTTACCATTATATATATATATATTATATTATATACTATATATAGACTATATATTATATATATTGTATATAATATATAATATTTAGTTATATATTATACTATATAACATATATACTATTTATACACATACTATAGAATATACACATACTGATAGAATATATACATATTATTTGGGATCATCAGACTTCATGCATAACTGACACTCCACTAATGAACAAACCTCAAATGCACATTTTAATGATGTATTATTTGATATGTCTGAAAATTGCTGAATTTATTGAAAATAAGATCAACATTACAGGAGAAAGCTATAAGGTACAAGGATATTAAATCTAGTATTTGTGGAATAAGGAACAGAACATATATATATATTTATTTATATATTTTTGTTGTTGATGAGGTGGAGTCTCGCTCTGTCGCCCAGGCTGGAGTGCAGTGGTGCGATCTCTGCTCACTGCAAGCTCCACCTCCCAAGTTCATGCCATTCTCCTGCCTCAGCCTCCCAAGTAGCTGGGACTATGGCCACCCACCACCATGCCTGGCTAATTTCTTTTGTATTTTTAGTAGAGATGGGGTTTCACCATGTTAGCCAGGATGTTCTCAATCTCCTGACCTCGTGATCTGCCTGCCTCGGCCTCCCAAAGTGCTGGGATTACAGGCATGAGCCACGACGCCTGGCTGGAACAGAACATTTTTTATATATTTTTACTATTTCCCTTACTGCTACTTAACATGTATTAAAAGTTGATGAGTACAATGTGTTAGTCTCTTCAGGCTGCTATAACAAAATACCATGGCTTATAAACAACAGAAATTTATTTCTCACAGTTCTGGAGACTGGAAATACAAGATCAAGGCACCAGTGGATTCTGTGTCTCATGAGGGTCCACTTCCTGGCTCATAGATGGCTGTCTTCTCTCTGTGTCATCTTGTGGTGGCAGAGGCAAGTGATCTCTCTCTCTTTGTTTTTTGAAATGGAGTCTTGCTCTTTCACCCAGGCTGGAGTGCAGTGGCATGATCTCAGCTCAGTGCAACCTCTGCCTCCCGGGTTCAAGTGATAGCTGGGATTACAGGTGCCTGCCACCATGCCTGGCTAATTTTTGTATTTTTAGTAGAGATGAGGTTTCACCATCCTGGACAGGCTGGTCTTGAACTTCTGACCTCGGCCTCTCAAAGTGCTGGGATTACAGGTGTGAGCCACTGCGCCGGGCCTCTGGGGTCTCTTTTATAAGGGCACTATTCTTATTCATGAGGGCTCTTCCTTCATGATTTAATCACCTCCCAAAGATCCAACCTCCTAATACCAACATTTCAGAGGTTAGAGTTTCAGCATATGAATTTGGGGGTTACATAAACATTCAGACCATAACATACAACTTTTAATGCAAAATACACCAGCTGAGTCTACTAATATGGCATTGACTGATATGGAACCAACTCTTGAGTTTTTCTTATATTTCCAGTGATAATGTTAAGTGATAACTCAGTCTTGTCACATTTTTAAAAATTTCAATTCTTTTAAATACAATCTCTATTGTCATTTTGCGTGGTGTACTTTACACTGTTCTCACCCTAACAGCTTGATGAATATAACCATCGCCCAGTTAAGGCAACACCCTGATTGCTTCTAAAAATAATCTCATTCCCCTTCCAGTCAATACACCTCATCAACCACCAAAGGTAACCATTATTCTAATGTTTATCATATAAATTTAATTCCACCTGTTCTTGAAATTTATATAAATTGAATTATATAGTGTTTACTGTTTTGTATCTGGTTTCCTAAACTCAATATAATGTTTTTGAGACTTATTCTCATCACCAGAGCTGTGTACACTGTATCCAGTGTGTAGTCGTTTATTCCTCACCCTCTCCCACCCTTCTCCCTGGGTCCCCAGAGTCCGTTGTGTCATTCTTATGCCTTTGAATCCTCATAGCTTAGCTCCCACATATAAGTCAGAACGTACAATGTTTGGTTTTCCATTCCCGAGTTACTACACTTAGGATAACGATCTTCAATTCAATCCAGGTTGCTGCAAATGCCATTATTTCATTCCTTTTTTATGGCTGAGTAGTATTCTATGCCATATATATATATATATATACGTATATATATGTATATACGTATATATATATTCTATGCCATATATGTATATATATCACATATATATTTCACATTTTCTTTATCTACTCATTGAATAATGAACACTTGGGCTGGTTCCATGTTTTTGCAATTGCAAATTGTGCTGCTATAAACATGCATGTGCAAGAATCTTTTTCATTTAATGATGACTTTTCCTTTAGGTAGATACTCAGGAGTGGGATTACTGGATCAAATGGTAGATTGATTTTTAGTTCTTTGAGGGATCTCCACACTGTTTTCCATAGTGGTTGTACTAGTTTACATTTCTACCAACAGTGTAAAAGTGTTCCCTTTTTACTACATCCATGCCAATATCTAATTTTTTTTTATTATGGCCATTCTTGCAAAAGTAAGGTGATATCGCATTGTGGTTTTGATTTGCATTTCCCTGATAATTAGTAATGTTGAGCATTTTTTCATATATTTGTTGGCTGTTTGTGTATCTTCTTTTGGGGATTGTCTATTCATGTCTTTATCCCACTTTTTGATGGGATCATTTTTGTTTGTTTTCTTGTTTTGTTTTGTTTTTGCTAATTTGCTTGAGTTTCTTGTAGATTCTGGATATTAGCCTTTGTCAGATGTATAGATTGCAAAGACTTTCTCCCACTCTGTGGGTTGTCTGTTTATTCTTCTGATTATTGCTTTTGCTGTGCAGAAGTTTTTTAATTAAATCCCATCTATTTACCTTTGTTTTTGTTGCATTTGGTTTGGGGTTCTTGGTCATGAAGTCTTTGCCTTAAGCCAATGTCTAGAAGGATTTTTCCAGTGTTATCTTCTAGAATTTTTATGGTTTCAGGTCTTAGATTTAAGTCTTTCATCCATCTTAAGTTGATTTTTGTATAAGGTGAGAGATAAAAATCCAGTTTCATTCTTCTACATGTGGCTTGCCAATTATCACAGCACCATTTGTTGAATAGGGTGTCCTTTCCCCACTTTATGTTTTTGTTTGCTTTGTCAAAGATCAGTTGACTGTAAGTATTTGGCTTTATTCCTGGGTTCTGTATTTTGTTTCATTGGTCTATGTGCCTGTTTTTATACTACTACCATGCTTTTTTGGTGACCATGGCCTTATAGTAAGGTTTGAATTTGGGTACTGTAATGCCTCCAGATTTGGTCTTTTCACTTAGTCTTGGTTTGGCTATGTGGGCTCCCTGTGGATTCTATATGAATTTTAGGATTTTTTTTTCTAGTTCTGTGAAGAATGATGGTGGTATTTTGATGGGAATTGCATTGAATTTGTAGATTGCTTTTGGCATCTACAAATATTGATTCAATGACAGTATTGATTCTACCCATCCATGAGCATGGGATGTGTTCCCATCTGTTTGTGTCATATAAGATTTCTTTCAGCAGTGTTTTGTAGTGTTCCTTGTAGAGGCCTTTCACCTTCTTGGTTAAGTATATTTCTTAGCTCTGGTAGTAATTGCTTTATAAATTTTTGAACTCCAGTGTGAGGTGCATATATATTTAAGATTGTGATGTTTTCCTGTTGGACTAGTCCTTTTATCATTACATAATGTCCCTCTTTGTCTTTTTTAACTGCTGCTGTTTTAAAGTTTGTTTTCTGTGGTGTAAGAATAGCTACTCTTGCTCACCTTTGGTGCCCATTTGCATGAAATATTTTTTCCCACCCCTTTACCTTAAGTTTATGTGAGTCCTTATGTGTTGGGTGAGTCTCTAAAAAAAAAAAAAGTATTTTATTTTGCAGTTATTTGAAAAGGGGTTGAGTTCTTGATTTGATTCTCAGCATGGTCACTGTTGGTGTATAGCAGTGCTACTGACTTGTGTACATTAGTTTTGTATCCTGAAACTTTACTGAATTCATTTACCAGTTCTAGGAGCTTTGTGGATGAGTTTTTAGGCTTTTCTAGGTATACAATCATGTCATCAGCAAACAGGACCATTTGACTTCCTCTTTACCAATTTGGATGCCCTTTATTTTTTTTTTCTTGTCTGATTAACCTGGCTAGGACCTCCAGTACTATGTTGAATAGAAGTGGTGAAAGTGGGCATCCTTGTCTTGTTCCAGTACTCAGGGGGAATGCTTTCAACTTTTCCCTGTTTAGTATAATGTTGGCTTTGGGTCTGTCATAGATGGCTTTTATTATTTTAAGGGATGTCCCTTCTATGCAGATATTGCTGAGGGTTTTAATCATGCAGGAATGCTGTATTTTGTCAAATGCTTTTTTCTGCATCTACTGAGACGATCATGTAATTTTTGTTTTTCCGTTTATGTAGTGTGTCACATTTATTGACTTGTGGATGTTAAACCATCCCTGCATTATTGGTATGAAACTCACTGGAACATAGCGGATTGTCATTTTGATATGATGTTGGATTCTGTTAGTATTAAGGATTTTTTTTTTATCTATGTTCATCAGGAATATTGATCTGTAGTTTTTTTGTTATGGCCTTTCCTGGTTTTGGTATTAGGGTGATACTGGCTTCATAGAATTATTTAGGGAGGATTCTCTCCTTCTCTATCTTTTGGAATAGTGTGAGTAGGATTGGTACCAATTCTTCTTTGAATGTCTGATAGAATTCAGCTGTGAATCCATCTGGTCCTGGACTTTTTTTTTGTTGGTAACATTTTTTTTTTTTTTTTTGAGATGGAGACTCACTCTGTTGCCCAGGCTGGAGTGCAGTGGCGCAATCTTGGCTCACTGCAAGCTCTGCCTCCCGGGTTCACACCATTCTCCTACCTTAGCCTCCCAAGTAGCTGGGACTACAGGCGCCTGCCACCACGCCCGGCTAATTTTTTGTATTTTTAGTAGAGATGGAATTTCACTGTGTTAGCCAGGATGGTCTCAATATCCTGACCTCGTGATCTACCCGCCTCGGCCTCCCAAAGTGCTGGCATTACAGGCGTGAGCCACAGCGCCTGGCCGGTAACTTTTTAATTACCATTTCAATCTTGTTGCTTGTTATTGGTCTGTTCAGAATTTCTGTTTCTTCCTGGTTCAATCTAGGAAGGTTGTATATTTCCAAGAATTTATCCATTTTCTCTAAGTTTTCTAGTTTATGTGCACAAAGCTGTTAATATTAGCCTTGAATTATCTTTTGTATTTCTGTGGTATCAGTTGTAGTATCTCCCATTTCATTTCAAATTGCGTTTATTTGGAGCTTCTATCTTCTTAGGTAGCATTGCTAATGATCTGTTAATTTTATTTATCTTTTCAAATAACCAGCTTTTTGTTTCATTTATCTTGTGTGTTGTTTTTTGTTTGTTTCAATTTTATTTAGTTCTGCTCTGATCTTTGTTATTTATTTTCTTCTGCGGGTTTGGGTTTTGTTTGTTCTTGTTTCTCTAGCTCCTTGAGGTGTGATCTTAGATTGTCTATTTGTGCTCTTTCAGACTTTTTGATGTAGGCATTTAATGCTATGAACTTTCTTAGCATCACCTTTGCTGTATCTCATAAGTTTTGATAGCTTATATCACTATTATTGTTCGGTTCAAAGAATTTTCTAATTTCCATCTTGATTTTATTGTTGACCCAATGATCATTCAGGAGCAAGTTAATTAATTTCCATGTATTTGCATGGTTTTGAGGTTTTGAGTGTGAGGTGCATATATATTTAATTTTATTCCACTGTGGTCTGAGACAGTGCTTGTTATAATTTCTATATTCTTAAATTTGTTGAGACTTGTTTTTTGGCCTATCATATGGTCTGTCTGGGGGAATGTTCCATATGCTAATGAATAGAATATATATTCTGCAGTTGTTGGGTAGAACGTTCTGTAAATATCTGTTAAGTCCATTTGTTCTAGGGTATAGTTTAAGTCCATTATTTCTTTGTTGACTTTCTGTCTTGATGACCTGTCTAGTGCTGTCAGTGGAGTACTGAAGTCCCCTACTATTATTGTGGTGCTCTCTATCTCATTTCTTAGGTCTGGTAGTAATTGGTTTACAAATTTGTGAGCTCCAGTGTGAGGTGCCTATATATTTATGATTGTGGTATTTTCCTGTTGGACTAGTCCTTTTATCATTACATAATGTCCCTCTTTGTCTTTTTTAACTGCTGGTGTTTTAAAATTTGCTTTGTGTGGTGTAAGAATAGCTACTCTTGCTCACTTTTGGTGCCCATTTGCATGAAATATGTTTTCCCACCCCTTTACCTTAAGTTTATGTGAGTCCTTATGTGTTAGGTGAGTCTCTTGAAGAAAGCAGATACTTGGTTGGGAAATTCTTATTTATTTTGACATTCTGTGTCTTTTAAGTGGAGGATTTAGGCCATTTACATTCAATGTTAGTATTGAGATGTGAGGCACTCTTCTATTAATTCTATTTGTTGCCTGAATACCTTGGGTTTTTTGTTTTTTTTTTTTCATTGTGTTTTTGTTTTATAGGTCCTGTGAGATTTATGCATTAAGGAGATTCTATATTGGTGTATTTCAAGGATTAATTTTGAGAGTTAGAGCTCCTTTTAGCAGTTCTTGTAGTGCTGGCTTGGTAGTGCCAAATTCTCTCAGCATTTGTTTGTCTGAAAAAGATTTTATCTCTTCTTCATTTGTGAAGCTTAGTTTTATGGGATACAAAATCCTTGACTGATAATCATTTTATTCTAGAAGGCTAAACATAAGAACCCCAATCCCTGCTAGCTTATAGGGTTAGCTCTGAAATCTGCTGTTAATCTAATAGGTTATCCTTTATAGGTTACCTGATGCTTTTTCCTCTCAGCTCTTAAGTTTCTTTCTTTTGTCTTGACTTTAGATAACCTGACGACTATGTGCCTAGGCAATGATCTTTTTGTGATGTATTTCCGAGGTGTTCTTTAAGCTTTTTGTATTTGGATGTCTAGATCCCTAGCAAGGCTGGGGAAGTTATCATTGATTATTCCCTCAAATATGTTTTCCAAACTTTCAGATTACTCTTTTTCCTTGGGAATACAAATTATTGTTAGGTTTGGTCATTTAACATAATCCCAAACTTCTTGGAGGCTTTGTTCAAAAAAATTTTTTTTTTTTCTTTGAGACAGAGTTTCGCTCTTTCGCCCAGGCTGGAGTACAGCGGCATGATCTTGGCTCACTGCAACCTCTGCCTTCTGGTTTCAAGTGATTCTCCTCCCTCAGCCTCCTGAGTAGCTGGGATTACATACACCCACCACAACGCCAGGCTGGTCTCAAACTCCTGACCTCATGATCCACCCACCTTGGCCTCCCAAAGTGCTGGGATTACAGGCATGAGCCACCGTGCCTGGCCCCTGTTCATTTTTAAAATTCTTTTTTCTTTGTCTTTGTCAGATTGGGTTAATTTGAAAGCCTTGTCTTTGAGCACTAAAGTTTTTTCTTCTACTTGTTTGATTCAATTGCTGAGACTTTTCAGTGCATTTGTAACTGCCCAGTGGGTTCACCTTGCCCGCTGCCTAGACAGAACCAATTTATCAAGACAGGGGAACTGCCATGGAGAAAGAGTAACTCATGCTGTGTGGGAGACCAGAGTCTTCTTTTTACTCAGATCAGTCTCCCAGAACGCTGGGGATCAGTGTTTTTAAAGATAATTTGGTGCGTAGCGTCTTGGAAGGTGAGGAGTACTGATTGGTCAGGTTGTAGATGGAATCATGGGGGGTCCAAGTGAAGTTTTCTTGCTGTCTTTTGTCCCTGGGTGGGATGGCAGAACGGTTGAGCCAGATTACCAGTCTGGGTTGTGTCAGCTGATCCACTGAGTGCAGGGTCTGAAAAATATCTCAAGCACTGATCTTAGGTTTTACAGTAGTGTTGTTATCCCCAAGAGCAATTTGGGGAGGTTCAGACTATTGGAGCCAAAGGCTGCAAGACCCCTAAATTGTAATTTCTAACCTTGTAGCTAATTTGTTAGTCCTGCAAAGTCAGACTGGTCCCCAGGCAAGAAGGGGGTCTTTTGAGGAAAGGGCTGTTATCAATTTTGTTTCAGAGTCAAAGCGTGAACTGAATTCCTTCCCAAAGTTAGTTTGGCCTATGCCCAGGAATAAATAAGGACAGCTTAAAGATTAAAAGCAAGACAGAGTTGGTTAGGTCTGATTTCTTTCATTGTCATTATTTCCTCAGTTATAATTTTGCAAAGGCGATTTCACATTTTGCAATTCTCTAAGTGCATCCTTCATTTCCAGAGGTAGTGATTGTTTTTTATTTATGCTATTTCACTGAAGATCTTCTTCATATCTTGTGTCATATTTTTGATTTCTTTAAGTTGGACTTCACATTTCTCTGGTGCCTCCTTCATTGGCTTAATGGTTGACCTTTTGAATTCTTTTTCTGGCAATTCTGAGGTTTGGTCTTGGTTTGGATCTGTTGCTGGTGAGCTAGTGTGATCTTCTGGGGGCATTAAAGCACCTTGTTTTGTCATATTACCAGAATTGTTTTTCTGGTCCCTTCTCATTTGGGTAGACTATGTCAGAAGGAAGATATGCAGCTCAAAGGATGCTGTTCAGATTCTTTTTTCCAGTGGGGTGCTCCATTGATGTGGTGCTCTCCCCTTTCCCCTTGGGATGGGACTTCCTGAGAGTCAAAATGCAGTGATTATTTTTCCTCTCCTGGATTTAGCCACTCAGCAGAGCTACCAGGCTCCAGGCTGGTACTGGGGAGTGTCTGCAGAGTCCTGTGATGTGATCTCTCTTCAGGTCTCTCAGCCGTGGATACCAGCACCTGCTCTGGTGGAGGTAGCAGGGGAGTGAAGTGGACTCTGTGAGGGTCCTTGGTTGTACTTTTCTTAGTGTATTGGTTTTGTGTTGGTTGGCTTCCAGGCAGGAGGTGGCGCTTTGAAAGGCACATCAGCTGCAGTAGCATAGGGAGGATCAGGCAGTAGGTAGGGCCATAGAGCATCCAAGAGATTTTGTCCTTTGTCTTTGGCTACCAGGGCTGGTAGGGAAAGACCATCAGGTGGGGGCAGGGTTAGGCCTGTTTGAACTCAGACTCTCCTTGGGTGAGGCTTGCTGCAGCTGCTGTGGGGGATGGGAGTGTGCTTCCCAGGCCAATGGACTTATGTTTCCAGAGGGATTATGGCCACCTCTGCTGCATCACACAGCTTACCAGGGAAGTGGGGGAAAGCCAGGAGCCACAGGCCTCACGCAGCTCCCATGCAGTCCACAGCCTGAAAGGCTGGTCTCACTCCCACCATGCCCTCCACAACAGCACCAAGTTTATTTCCAGGCAGCCTTTGAGCTCGGCTGAGAACTTGTCTCAGGCTACAAGCCTCCCAGCTGAGAAAGCAAGCTGACTCACAGTTCCTTAGCTGTCCCACAGAGACTGCAGCAGCAATCCACCTCCTTCAAAGGGTCTGTGAATTCTCACGGCTTTCCTGGTATGTTCCTACTGTAGTTCTTGGAGCGAAAGTTCGTGATGTGGTTCTCCACATGCTGCTCTGTCTGTCTTAGTGGGAGTTGCAAGTTAGTCCTGCTTCCTCGCCACCTCCTATCCCAAATTATTTTTCAAGATGGTTCTACCATTTACATTCCAACCAGCAAAATATGAGAGTTCCAGTTCTACATCCTTGCCAAAATTTGATATGGTCATTTTAAAAAATGTTAGCCAGTCTTGCACATAGAAACTGATATTTCATGTTTTTAATTTGTATTTACCTTAGGATTAATAATATAAAGCTTATGATTATGTTCTTATTGACTACCTTTATCATCTTTTGAGAAAAGTCTATTCAAGTCTTTCAAATATTGTTTTATTATTTATTAAATCAAATATTATTTATTACTTTGGAGAAGTTGTCTATATATTCTGGATATGAGTTGTTTTGTCATATACAAGTACATCTTTTGCAGCTTAGTTGTTTGCATTTTCAGTTTTGTAACAATATTTTTAAATACAAAAAACTTTTAATTTGAGAAAGTCCATTATATCATTTGTTTCTCTTAAGCTTAATGCCTGTTGGGTCACTGGATATCTTTCCTATGCCAAGGTTGTCAAAATATTTACTATATTTTTTCTCCAAAATGTTTGATGCTTTTAGCATTTATATTTATGGTCTATAATCTATCTTGAGTTAATTTTCATATACATCATAGATATGAGGTAGACATCAAAGTTTATCTGTGTCTATGTGAATAGGCAGTTCTCCCAAGACCACTTATTGAAAAGATTACCCTTTCAATATTGAAATGCCATGGTACTGTTCCAAATAGCATTTTTGTGTCTATTTTAGGGCTGTCTACTCTGTTCCATCGATCACTATATAGTTATATTTATGCTAATACCATAGTTCCTGGATTTCTGCATCTTTTCAATGAGTCTTCAAATCAAATGTAATAAGTCTTCCAACTCTGTTGTTCTTTCTCAAAATTGTTTTGGCTATTCTAGCCATTTGCATTGCATATGAATTTTGAGATCAGTGTTTCAATTTTGATTGGAATGCTGTTGAATCTATAGACCAATTTGAGGAGAACTGATATCTTAGCACTATTGAGTCTCCCAGTCTCTTTGTATGGCATATCTCTAGATTTTATAAACATATTCTTTGTATTATATAGAATTTGTTTATCATTTAAAACTGAAGACTAAAGCTTGTGTATATTTATGGTGTATAACATGATGTTTTGATATATGTATACATTTTGGAAAGGTTAAATCAATCTATTTAACATATGCATCACTTCACAGTTATTTTGTTGTGAGAAAACTGAAAATCTCTTTCAGCAATTTTCAAGTATACAGTATATTATTATCATCTATAGCCACCGTAAGGTAGATCTTTTAAGCTTATTTCTACTGTCTAACTGAAACGTTGTGCCTTTTGTCAACTTATACCTAATTTCCCTACCCCCAGCCTCTGGTAACTACTATTCTACTCTTTGCTTCTGTGAATTCAGTTTTTTTTATTCCATATATAAGTCAGACCATGTGATATTTGTCAGTCTGTGCCTGGCTTATTTCGCTTATCTTAATGTCCTCTAGGTTAATTTATGTTGTTGTAATTGATTGCATTTTCTTCTTTTTAAAGGATGAATAGTATTCCATTCTGTATATAAAGTATATCATATTTTCTTTATTCATCTCTTGGACACTAGATTTATTCTTTAACTTGGCTATTGTGAATAATGCTGCAATGAACATGGGAGTACATGTATTTTGCCAGCATATAGATTTCATTTTCTTTGGATATATAAAAAGTAGTAGTATTGCTGAATTATAGTAGTTTCATTTTTAATTTTTTGAGAAAACCTCATGCAGTTTTATTTATTAGTATGACTATACTAACATACATTCTCACTTACAATGTACAAGGGTTCCTTTTTCTCCAAATCTTCACCAACCCTAATACTTTTGTCTGATAATAGCCATTTTAACTGGTGTAATGTAATAGCTCATTGTGGTTGTAATTTGCATTTCTACAATGATTTATGATGTTGAGCATTTTTTCATATACCTATTGGCCATTGGTATATCTTCTTTTGATGTCTATTCAAGTCCTTTGCTCATTTAAAAAAAATCAGTTGTTTTCTTACTATTGAATTGAAATCCTTATACAACATACTTTAGATATTAATCCCTTATCAGATGTGTGGTTTGCAGGTATTTTCTCTCCCTACGTTTTCTGATTAGTTGTATATGAGGAGTTTAGTGATGGGAAAGGAGGCCGGATAGAAAAGGGGGAAGAATTATTAATGGTTGGAAATGTGTAAAGTGAGAAGGAAGAGAAACGAGGTGGGTAAGGATCTTCTTAAAATCTTGGCATTTTTAGATGAGAACTAAGTATATAGAGGGAAAACGTACAAAGAAATAGGAAAAGGGGGCCGGGCACGGTGGCTCACGCCTGTAATCCCAGCACTTTGGGAGGCTGAGGCGGGTGGATCACGAGGTCAGGAGATCGAGACCATCCTGGCTAACATGGTGAAACCCCGTCTCTACTAAAAATACAAAAAATTAGCCGGGAGTCGTGGCGGGCACCTGTAGTCCCAGCTATTCGGGAGGCTGAGGCAGGAGAATGGGGTGAACACAGGAGGCGGAGCTTGCAGTGAGCCGAGATCGCGCCACTGCACTCCAGCCTGAGCGACAGAGTGAGACTACGTCTCAAAAAAAAAAAAAGAAAGAAATAGGAAAAGGGATGTTTGCTTCATTTTGGGCAGGAGCCACAGCCGAAGGCACCACTCAGTTTGTTGGGATACATTTTGGGGTCTTGACAACAAACTGATGTGACAACAAACAGAAATCTCTGAGCTTCTCACATTGTGGAAAAAGCAAACAAGACTCTGAAAACACTGTTAAGTTGGGACATTGGGGCAGCAGAAAAGAGTGAAAGAGACAGAGAGAATAGGAGGTAGAGAGATTTCACTCTTGAGGTGACAATGAAACATCCAGTTGTAGATAATTATGTAAAGTGGAACCAAAATGCAAGATTTCAAATTGGAAGAATAAGTTTGTGAATTATGTGGGAGCAGCTCATGTAAAAAACCATAGACATTGGAGTCAGGTAGACCCAGTTTAAAACCCTATCTCTGTCATTTTTTAAGTGCATGATACTAAGCATGTTTCTTAATTTTTAAAAATACTATAATCTATAAAATGGGTGCATTATGCATCATGGTGATGTTATAAAGGTTAACTACATCTATTATGGCACCTGACAATAATGGTTTAGTCTATTTCTCTTCTAGAAGATCAAAGTTTTGGTCAGACTGCATTGTGTTGCTTTAAAACTTCAGAAGCCATTTGGCATTTTGTCCCAGAACCACATGTTCCCTCATCTTCAAAATAAAATAGGAAGCAGAGTTAACACTGTTGAGTCACTGTATCAGTCAGGATTCTGGCAGAAAATAGAGATTTTAATGAAGGAATAGTTACAGAAGTATAAGCAGGGGTAAAGGACAAACAGCAGATGTTGAGTCACCAGTGATGAACAACTCCAGAAACCCATTACCAGTCCTGAGGCTGATGGAGTAGAGGGAAGAAATAGTGTTCCTGTAGCCCAGTGGGAGCCAGAGCCACGGGGGAGGGTTTGCCGGCAGATGCTGCTCGTAAAGAGACACATGTGCTAAAGCTGGGTAAGAGGCTAGGGGAGATACTCAAAACCTTTTCTCCTCCCAACTTCTGATCTTCTGGCAGTATTTTTCTTTCATTGAAATAATTTGGAAGCCAGAGAGAAAGGAGTTCAGATGCTACAGATGGTCAGAATCAGCCCCTGGTGAGAAAAGAATGCATCCAAGGAGGAAACAAATGTGCACATAACCAGTGCATTCACTATGGCAAAATGTACCAGGGATGAGAGACTAGCTACCGGTGAAGATCACTTATGCATCCCATAGCGACAGTCTCACTCTCACATTTGAGCGCTGCGAATACTGAGAAATTAGACTTGATGAGACTAACTTCATCCACCAACCCTAGGATGCCGTACCTCGGCGGCTGTGAATTTGCATTTCTCTGATGATTCGTGATGCTGAGCATTTTTTTCTTATACCTTTTGGCCATTTGTGTGTCTTCTTTTGAGAAAAATTTGCAAATGCAAAACATCTGCATCTCACCCAAGCTACTCGTCTGATGGAAACGTGGGCCTAAATCCCTTAAGCTTTCCTCACCTGGATTTCTCGCTAATTCTCGAAATGAATGATATAACTCCTGGTATCACTTTCAAAAGATTCCTCTTTACTCCTGTCTATATTCTCAGCAGACGTGAAATCCTTTCTACACATCTCGCAGGGTCAGAAGGCTGGAATGATTCCTGTCTCTTCTCTGAGCCAGAGTTTCCATCACTGGGTATTGAGACACATGTATTTGCTATTGTCACTTCCTGGCTACTTCCACTCATTCTTTAGGCCTAGCTTTGACATCACCTTCTCTAGATGGGTAACATGGCCCTTCAGTTTACTCTCCAGGTACCCTATACTTCCCTGCTTATCACTTATTACCCAGATTTGATATTGTCTAATTTCATGTTGGTATCCACTCCCCAGGTGCTAAGCATTTAAGGAGTAAGACGGTGACTCTCCAGGACTTTGCCCAGTGCATGACACTTAGCCAGGACTTGGTAAATATTTATGGAACTAGTGAATGCAGAAATATGTGAATGAATTAAAGTCATAATGTAACTGTGCTTGCTTGATGGAGGTGCATATGAACACATCTATGTGGCATCTTTATGACCTTGTACTTGGTACAAATCTTTTGAGCCTCGTTTTTAAACTTAAGGCTATTTGTGATCTTTTAAGAGTCTGTTAAGTACTAAAATGAGATATCCATGTTTTATGAAAAATAACAAATATGACCATACTTAATGATTTCTTTTGAGAAGAAAGAGTATCCCCACCCAAATCTCATGTTGAAATGTAATCCCCAGTGTTGGAGGTGGGGCCTGGTGGGAAATGATTGGATCAAGGGGGTAGATTTCCCCCATGGAACTATCCTCGCAATAGTGAGTGAGTGCTCGCAAGATTTAGTTTTTTAGTTTTTATTTTATTTTATTTATTTATTTATTTATTTATTTTATTTTTTTGAGGCGGAGTCTCGCTCTGTCGCCCAGGCTGGAGTGCAGTGGCGCGATCTCGGCTCACTGGGGTTTCACCGTGTTAGCCAGGATGGTCTCAATCTCCTGACCTGGTGATCTGCCCATCTTGGCCTCCCAAAGTGCTGGGATTACAAGCGTGAGCCACTGCGCCTGGCCGAGATTTAGTTTTTTAAAAGTGTATAGTACCTTCCCTCTCTCTCTCTTGCCCCTCCTCTGGCCTGCTTCCACTTTTGCCATTTGATAGGCCTGCCTCTCCTTCGCCTTCCCCCATGATTGTAAG
The DNA here is from genome assembly GCF_000001405.40 of Homo sapiens. Taxonomy (NCBI): domain Eukaryota; kingdom Metazoa; phylum Chordata; class Mammalia; order Primates; family Hominidae; genus Homo; species Homo sapiens. Next base: position 47,332,474 of record NC_000013.11, on the reverse strand, counting down.
TTTCCTGAGGCCTTCCCAGAAGCAGAAGTTGCCATGCTTCCTGTAAAGCCTGTAGAACATGAGCCAATGTAACCTTTTTTTGGTATATAAATTATCCAGTCTTAGCTATTTCTTTATAGCAATGTGAGAATGAACTAATACGGAATGGAATGTTTCTTTTTCAGAGAACAGGGAGGTGGCCTATAAGTGTCACAGTTAATGTGTCACATATTGCTTTTCCGTCCACCACTGAGGATTAGTTTCTGTGACGGTAAAGCACTTTTGGTCTCCATTTTACCTTTGAGTTTCCCAACACCTGTATTATTGAGTTTTGAAGAACACATATTATGATGCCTTATTAGGGATTTTAAAAAGTCTAATACTTCAGATCACTTTGATTTTTATAAACAATTATACTGTGTAGTACTAAAAGTAAGAAGAGAGCACAAGGAATATAGAGGGCCAAGGATCAGCATGGGCAGTCCACAGAAGTAGGGGTCTCTGTGGAGCCTAAAGTGAAGAGCAAGAGATGGTGTGGTTTGAAGTTAAGAGCAGGGACCTGGAGCAGTTAGACATGGGTTTGAAGGTCTAAGAGACCCAGGACTTTTCTGCGCTGTGTGATCTTGAGCAAACCTCTTAATTTCTCTTAACCTATAGCTCTTCACCTGTAAAATGGAAATTATAATTCTCAAAAATAGTGTGAGTAATAAATGAGGTGTGAAATGTAAAGGATCCAGTGCATAGTAAGTACTCAACAAATGGTAACCAGTGCTGTTATTATAGGCACAATATAGAATCACAGGTGATAAGAAATTATTATAAATTGTTTAGTTAATCCTGATGAATTAAATAACATGTCCCTAATATCAGTTTTATCATTGTTAGGGTTTATGGGCTGATTTCTTCTAGTAATAATAGTGCTTTACATACACTAACAATGAAGTCTGCAATAACATTTTTCAAAGCACCATTAAATGAATTACCTCATTTTGTTCTCATTCCAGTGTACAAAGCAAACAAAATGTTCCAAAAGCCCTCCTGTACTGAACCAATTGCCTGGATCAACTTTTTTGGGGGGAGTATATATTAGAACTAGATCTGGTTCCTTTCAAATGCTCAAAACAATTTTCTAATTTTCTGTTGACCTTAGAAAACAACTGCCAGTGACTTGATAAACTAATTAGTAAATTGCATAGCTTCCTTGGATGAATACCACTCAGATGTGGCAATCTGTATCTCTGAATATTTTCAAAGTATTCTATCTCTAGCATCAAGCTATTTCAACAGGCTTTAATTACTTTGCTGTCTTCCCAAAATCTTATTTTCTTTTGCTTAGGACAGATTTTGAAAAAAGGAGTTCCACATAAATTAATGAAACAGGCTAAGAAAAAAATGTTATTTGCCTATAATTAGTGAGAGTTTATTATGCAAGAGAAGTGTCACCAACAATGGCAGGAGCCAATAAAAGCATGTCAGCAGATAAATAGTCCTCTCTTCCCATGAAATCTGTTCAGACCATCCATCAATACACAGCACAGCGTTCCTATTCAGTCTAGCAGGTACCACATTATTTAATTTTGTTGCCCTGCTGTATGAAGACAAGTTTGGACCTTTTCTGATGGTAATAAATTTAATGTGGACAGAAACTGTGTTTCATAATGTGAATGAAAAAATAAATCACAAACAAAATAAATATTGAGGGACTGCTCTGTGCTAGGTGCTCCAAGACATTCAGGATGAATAAGGCAGAATCCTTTCTTCAGGGAACTTACTTTCTAACTGCAAAAAAAAATCACATACAAAATATAATACAAAGAATGAGTTAAAAAACATAAAAATGAGATGTAGTTAATATTTACAATGTGTCAGGCATTGTTTCAAGTAATCTACATGTCCTGTCTCGGGCAATCTTGTGACAATCCTTTGAGAAAAGCACTGTTTCTATCTTTATTTTACAAATGGGGAAACTGAGGCATAGAGCAGTTAAGTAACTTGCTCAAGGCTACTGGGCTATTAAGTGCTCAACTCACGTTTGAAATTCAGACAGACCCCACATCCATGTTTTTAAGCAATATTGAAAAGTAGAGCCAAAATAGTGAATGAGAATTTCTTGAATTCATTCCAGAGACTAGAGAAATTATTTTCAGATCTATCTCAGCATCCTTGCCTGTAAAATGTGAATAGCTATGATGCCTATTCATAAGAAAGTTATGAGATTAACGAAGATAATGCCTGCAAAGTACTTCACGTCGAGCTGAAGTTTAGACTCTAGCCACATGGGATCCCCCAACCACAGAGTGGATATCAACTTCCCAGCACCAGCTGAGCAGGCGTAACCCACTGGGAGCACTGCACCCACTATCCCTTGGCACTGAGTGTGCTAGAACCCCGCTGGACATACACGGATTTCAGGGGTAGTGAAGGGAGTCCACACTGTACCAGGCTGGTGTCCAGGAGAGCACTCAATATATTAGCTATCATTGATGTGCCAACTCCAATCCACTATTTGAGATGGTTTATAGACACCTGAGTTCAAAATGTGGCTCTAAAGACTACTGGAAGCTTTTTTCACTTCTGAGCTGGAAGGTTTCAAGGAGAAACTTTAAAAGTGTCATTGAGATTTTTATAACAAATGTAATTGCCCTAGACACATATTTTCGAATGAAAACAAAACAAAACAAATTTCATAAAGCTTTTTAACAAAGCAGGATATAAATAAAAGTGAATAGATGAATTTATTTCTCCTTGGGGAATAATAATTACCCCTAGGTATAGGATGGAATGGCAGGAGACATGTTAAAAACTTCAAACTTCTAAAATCACTCACGTCACTTTTCCTAAGTAGATCCTATTCTGTTCAGTAGGACACTATTAAATTGTTAACCTAGGGGAAATGTAATCAGTGCATCCTTAAATTATTATATCAGAGATTCACAAACTTTAACACAAGGATTTAAAATAATCTTAAATTTTAGGAAGGAAATCAAGTTGAAGCTGTGAATGTATGACAGGAGTAATTATTTGAAGAACTCAAGAAAAAATTAAAATTCTCTGACATAAAAATCTAGAAGGCACCAGATGTTTAAGAAAATTAAAAAAATAAAGAAATAATGTCGTTCTAAATATTCTGCCAGCTGGTGTCCTACAATTACCCAAAAGTGTAGCCTTTCCTCAAAAGGACTAGAAATGTGATAGTCCATTCACACCATGATCCCTATATCTGTAATTTGCATTTAGTGGTATTTTTAGTTTCTTAGTATCAAACTAAAAGTGCAGAATCAGCTCTCAAATCTGACAGTCTCCTTCACACAGCAACATAGTCACACACACACACATTTCTTTCAAAAGAGACAATTTATTAAGATTAAATTATATATATCAAAATGTTATTACATTTATCTTATTGTATCATCTAAAAGAATTGATACACTGGGTAATTTCAGAATTAATATTTTTGGTGATACTGTTAATGAATGAAATAGGCTGAATAATGACATCCCCCCAAAAAATATATGTATATATGTCCACGTTCTAATCCCTGGAACCTGTGAAATATATTACATCTCAAAAGGAACAGTGCAGATGTGATTAAAATAAGTATCTTGAGATGGCATGATTACCCTGGATTACTCAGGTGGGTTCCTTATTATAGGAAGGCAGAAGGGTCAGAAAGGGAAGCAGGAGAGAAAGCAATGTGATAAAGCCAGCAGACATCAGAGACAGAGAATTGCAAGGTGCTGTGATGCTCCCTCCTTTGAAGAAGGAAAAGGCCCTGAACAAGCAATGTAGGTGGTCTCCAGAAGCTGAAACAGGAAAGAAAATAGATTGTCCTCTAGTGCCTCTTGAAGGAACCAGCCCTGCTGACACCTTGGCATTAGCCCAGTGAAATGGATTTTGGACTTCTGATCTCTAAAACTGTAAGGTATAAATTTGTGACATTTCAGTCCTCTGTTTCACAGTAACTTGTTACAGCAGCTACAGGAAACTACTACAATTACTATTACTGTGTTTTGGGTTTTTGTTTTTTTGTTTTTTGTTTTTTTCCCAGAGCAGAGCAGAGGACAAGCAGCAAGCTGACTGAACGTACACTTCTCCTTTGTTGGATCCTACTGAACTGTCAAATACAATCTAAAAGTATGAGATGAAGTCCAGTTTATCATTTTATTTCTTTTATGGCTTATGTTTGTGGTGTCATATCAGGAACATGTTGCTTAACTCAAAGTCATAAAGATTTTCTTCTAAAAAATTTTGTAAATTTATCCACCATATTTAGGTCTATGATCCCCTTTGGGGTACTCTTTTTGTGCATGGTGTGAGGTAAGGATCTACTTTAATCTTTTCATTTGTGAATACCTAATTATCCTAGCAGTATTTGCAGAAGAGATGATTTATTCCCTCAATGAATCCCTTTGGCACTTTTGCAAAAAACCAGTTGACCACAGAGATAAGGGCTTATTTCTGAACTTCTATTCTTCTCTGTCGATTTATATGTCTACTCTTGTGCCAGCACTGTACTGTTTTAAATACTGTAGTTTAGAGTAAGTTTTGAAATTGGGAAGTGAAAGTCCTCTAACTTTATTGTTCTTTTAAAAAATTGTTTTATCTATTCTGGATCCTTTGCATCCTATATAAAATGTGGGATTTACTTCTTCATTTCTGTTGGCATTTTGATAGGCTTTGTGTTGAATCAGTTTAGGGAGAATTTCTCCTCTTTCTTAAACCTGGCTTGCCCAAGCTTTAGATAGCTATACATGTACTTAGTCATCTGATTAATATGTGGCCCCTCTTGGGTCTTATTATTGGTAGGACAGAGATGTGAAATCTTTTCCTGGAAGAAAGTCCTATCTTTCAATTACTGATTCAGCCTGCTTCAATCACGTACCTATTTGGCCGGAATAGCTACCCATTTTGCCTTCTGCATTTCCAGCTGGTACCTTTCCCATGTCCACTCAGCATTGTTCAATCTGCAATGGCCCCATTCCCACTCAGCCATTCTCTGGTTTGGCCTCAGGCCTCATTCACTTTCAGATTCCCCACTCTGCTTTCCTCTCCCAATAGAACGGTGTGGTTCCAAGTCCTGTGACCCAGAATCTCTTTATTATAATGTCAGCATTTGTCTCTCCCTGGTCCTATTCAAAGGACAAATGGGGCAATTGTGAAACAGTGGATCATATTTCAGAAGATGTTATGAAGGCTTTGGTTCCTAACCATATCACATACTAACTATGTAATCATGTGCTGGTTATTAACTCCCTGCATCAGCCCCTCATCCCTAAAATGGGGATATTGATAATTTTCCCATCAACCTTAACTTCCCATCAACCTTTGCTTGAAGATCAAAGTAGGTAACATATAAGAAAGTTCCTTAAAAGCAGAAACATACATTAGTATAAAATGCTATATTCATTATGCATTTGAAACTTAACATATATATTTTTCTCCTCAATTAGATTATATGATATCAGTATATTTTGTGGTATTTAATATTATAAAGTGCTTAGGATACCTGTAAATAGCTTAGTTGAAATAATAAAAATCAATGAGGCAGTTAGAAATAGTATTTGGACCTGGGACAGGATTATATAACTTGTGTGAGCACAGGCGTGCATGTGTGTGTGTGTGTGTGTGTGTGTGTGTGTGGCAGAGAGAGAAATAAAGAGACAGAGATAGACAGAGACACAGAGAGAGAAACAGAGAGAGATTACTTTTGACTAACATTGTAAGGACTCTGATGTCTGTGGTCCTATGGAGCAAATGTCAGTAGAGTCTTGAGAATGACCATACAAAACTGAAGCTTGTTTGTGAAGAGAACCACATATTGAAACTCACGTCAGTGGTACATAGTTAGACATGGTTATGTACCATCAACCCCACAAAAGAAGTACAGTTTTCATAGAAATAGAAAAGAGTAGATCTTTGCCTTCACTTCATAGTTCTTTAGAAACACAGAGGGTATAGAAAGAAACATGAAAGCTATAGCAAGACAACAGTTCTAACCAAAATCTCAGAACCCATCTCTACTTCGGTTTAACTCATTACCATAATTAAATCTTAATTTTTAAGATTTCATCAAAGATGACACCCAACGGTAGGTGCATGCCACCATATGCAGTTAATTCTTCTGAAATTTCTCAGGCCTTTCCTTGTTCTGTCTCATCCTTTCCTCATATCCTGACACATGTGTTCTCCAGAGTTCTGGATGTCAGGGCTCATTTCCCACTTCTGCCTCCAAGACATTGTTCAGTAAGTGCTGCCTGACTCATCCTTCTGTGCTTTGACACCCCACATGCAGCTTGGTCTGCATTAAATGCTTATTGAATTCATTCCTGGACAATCCTCTCTTCCTTATCTACACTAAACGTTTACTGTGTTGAGTTGACTCCTGGACAGTCCTCTCTTCCTAATCTCTTTTCTTCCAACAGAACTAAGTTTTCATTCATTCATTCACTATATGCATGCTTACTCCATGCAAACATGGTGTAGGGGATTAAAACTAAATTAATTAAATATATGACAATGTATTAATTAAAATCTATATAGCACAATTTACCAACTGACATTCTGGCATTGTAAACTGTAAGCCACTGTTGTTCATCACCTTTGCTGGAATAAAGCAATCTCTTGTAAAGAAGAGTTGTGATCTTAAATTTCAAAGAGCTCACTTGGTCTTGGCACTATGGTTGGGAGAAAGATAGAGTACATGTTCCTTCTACTCAGCCTAACTCACATTCCAATAGTACTTACTACGTAAGGTTGTTATGGGGAATGAATACATACATGCATGTAAAGTGCTTTAAACAGTTCCTACTGAGTGGTAAATGGTATATAAGGGTTTGTTGTTATTATTATTCTTATTTAAATAGGAAATTAGTTTGTATGTTGCAGTATATGTTCTTGTGCCTTCCTCATGTGATCAGTTACCTATTTAGAGGGCAGGTTCTTAGAGAACAGATGCTTTGTTTTTTGAATGGAGTGTGTGTGTGTACTCATGTCGTATCATACAGGAGTGTTAAGAAAAAAAAGGTAAAAGCCTACTCCTCCTTAATGAACCTTCTGTCTTGCCTCTTCATTGAAATAATACCAACTATCTTATAGTGTAGATGCAATGAAATCTGTAGGTACAAATTTAAATTCTTTCCACCAAACCAAGCCTGAAACATGGAAACTAAGGCTTCCAACAAGCAGAGTAACCAAGCACATTGTAAGTACACATTTCCTTTGATCTTTGCAGGTATCTCACTTCTGATAGTCTTCTAAGAAGCTTTTCCAAATCAAAGAAAAATGGGCTTAAAGAAGATGGCCCTGTTTGCCCAGAATGCTCAGGGATGACATATTGAAAAACATTGGCTTGAGAATTGGAGGAAGATAATTCTTATACCATGACTACTAGGCTTTTAGAATAAAAACATAACTAGAACTGTCTCAAACGGATTATACTGAGTAGAATCAATACTCCCACCTTCACCCTCCCTGAAAATAAAAAGGCTACGAAAAGGGTTTTCGTTCTCTAGATTCAGACGTCCCTACTGCCCTATTCATGAAGATTTCTCTCTGAAAAGCACAGAGGTGCTGAAAGAAAAGCCAACTTTTATTCCCACCTTGTCCATTACACTAAAGGGCAAAAATCAGGTTTTTTTTTTTTTTTCTCCAGGTTGTAGCAATGAAAGAGCAAGAGGTGAGAAGGTTCAATTCTCTCCCTCCCTTTACAAATTAGATCTTCCTTCATGGCATAACCTTGACATTGCTCTCAATCCTGAATTTCTTCTTTTTGAGCATGGAAATCATATAATTGACATTAACTAAAAGAAAACATGGTTTTAGCATATAAGTAACTCATATGGGAGACAATGTCCTTTGAAAATTCTTTTAGTCTTTTAATTTCATTTAAAGAACTCTAGTATGTTGCTTTCAAACACAATATCTAGACCTGTTTCTCAGTTACTTGCTTAACCACAATTATTTTAAAAATAAAAAAGATAAAACAATGATTTGTATGGCTGAAGGGAAAACCTTCCATTATTCAATACTAAGAAATCCTATTTTATTTCAAGTATTTAAAAAATTAAAATGGTTACAAAGAACATTGAGATGTGGTCAAGAAACTAAACAGGAGCAATTTATAATTGAAGAATGAAACACTTTGAATATTAAATAATGAAGGGAGATGAAATCAGATGCAAAAAATGCAAAATACTTAAAACCTTTCAATATGACAGTATGTCTTCCCCAGAGAAAAGTATGAATATTAAAGCTTGGCTGAATTTCTTTCTTTCAGTTTTTGATATAAAATACAAAATTCTTTCAATTGACAGAAATAATATCTGTATTTAGAGTCTGTCATGAAGAATATGTTAAATAGCCTAGGTTTTAAGGATAGACTTTATCTGTAGACTCCTGGATTCATTCTCAGGCTTCAATATCCGTTCCATTTCCTGCAATGTCTCACCTTCTGCTTTCTACTTGTCTCTCTTCCATTGCTCAAACTTGGAATCACTGTGCAATTACACTTATCATCTTTATGTTTGACTTCTAATATAAGTGTTGCTTAATGTTAAGGCTGGTACATTATGGACCTTTTGGAGGGTAATAACAGGTAGAGGGGTTATATTTTTGTCCCAATCAAAGAACCACAATGTAGTATCAGCAAATTTCTCTCCTTCTCCTTGGTTATTAGTTTTTTTCAAAGCGATGAAGATGGCTATAGTTATTGCTCTCTGTTGATTTCTCTTGGCCCACAGATGTATAGCATGGAAGCAGGAACTGTCTAAGGAAGGAAGATGTGCATGGAGAAGGATGTGTGGCACCAGCTTTCCTGGCCACTGAGTGCCTTGTGCTGATGGGCAGTTTAACCCAGGAGATAGAGAGGGCAAATATAAGCCCTGGAGGGTTATGCCCTCATGGAAATTACCATATAGCTGGGGATCCTAAAATTGAAACCACTAACTCCAATATGAAAGAGAATGGAAAGCAGTACCACATGAGAAGATTAAAGGGTGGACAAACATGGGAAAGAGAGCTTAAATATGACTGGATGACTTGGAAAGGCTTTACAAAGATGCCATTTAGCTTTAAGTTGGAATATGGATACAATTTTGATATGTAGAGAAGGAAAGGTAGAACATTCTGCCTGAGAAAAACAACAGCAAAGAAAACAGGAAATGTACGGTGGGTTCTAGAAGAGCAGTCAGGCTACTTGGCTGGAGGACATGGAGGAAGGAGACTGGAGCATATCAAGGACAAGGTGGTGTGGGTTTTGAGTGCCATTCAGAGCACTGGGGGCTGTGTTCTGCTGGGAAGGAAAGCTGTTGAACCTTTACTCCTTCTCCTAATCCTTCTCTTTATCTTCCTCTTACTGCTACTCCTGCTACTGATAGTTTCATGATAACAGCTAAATGACATGGTGTACTTTCTATCTACCATGCACTGTTTTAAACATTGTACATTTATTCACTCAATCCTTGAAATTAGGTACTATTAATATCATCTTAAATTCACCAGATGAAACAACTAAGGCACATAAAGACTAAGTAGTTTGCCAACCATTACAGCTAACACTTGACAGTCAGGACAGCAAGCAATCTGATTCCAAGGTTAGACTTTTATTCCCACCGTGTGCTGTCTCCGATGAAATTTTTAAAAATTATGTGGTTAAGACCAAGCAAGCAGAGAGGAGTGGGATGGCCCACTGTCACTGCTGGCAGCAGGTGCTGGCTCTGAGAGCCTCCCATCATAATTCTTCCTTATCCAGGAGGCAACAAAGAGACACCCCAAGTTCCCATTATCCAGAGTACTGCCAGCATGAAGACTTTTCCCTCTCCTCTCTCACAGAAGGAGGTACTCTGGGCATATGGAAGACATATCATTAGGGAGACCCATTGCTGGGGGCCCCAGGAAGAAGTTATATGAAGAAGCATGGAATAAAGTCATCTATAGCCATATGAATCCCACTTCTTGGGCTTCCTTTGAAGTTGAGAGTACTCCTCAGTCACACATGAGAAGACTGAAGATCAAAGAAGTTAAGTGACTTGATGCAGTTATATAAATCAATAGTGGCAAAGCCAGGACAATAGCCAGGATTTTTTGCTCTTAGACCAGAGCTTTCTTTACTTGCCCTAGTTGCTTCACTCATTATAGTCCATGAGGCATACACCCAGGGAGACAGACAAGATGTCACTAAAAAGCCAAGATGTGCCCTCACAGTAACAGTGGGAAAGAGCTAGTTAGGAAATACATTTCAGAAAACATGGAAATGTATGTGGCCTAAAGCAGAAGAATGGAGCCAGATACTCTATTCACCATACAACTTCAGCTCCAGGGATTTACAACAAGTGTGACAGCTAAGATAACTTTTTAAATAAAAACTGTCAGTGATTATAAACCCTGGAGATGTTATAAACAGATTATCAACTTTAATTATTTGAAATCATTTCCTAGAATTTGATCTTTTAATCTTGCACAAAAATGGAAGATACAGGTGTACAATTTGTTTTTTGTGCTTCTTTTACTATTTGTGAATCATCATAACACTGATGTAACTTGCCTTTGCAAGTGAGCTAATGGATGGTTAATATTTCTGTGAGCTCATTTTAAATCAATATTTTATGGGTGTCTGCCATGTGCAAGTATGTAGTTAGGTGCTGCGTAGTGTGTGCTAGATGATAGGGATGCTGCGTATACTAAAACAACAATGCAAGATTGACCCTGAAAGATACACATGAAATAAACAATTACAGGGATTGGTATCTTACACTCTACAGAGCCTCAAACCTAGTTCTCTCCTGGTGAATGGTTCCACCACTTTGAGGAGGAAATAAAATTCTGATAGATAATATTGTGAGAAGCACACGTTTAGGAAAAGAAGTGGCATGAGAATAGGTGAAGAAGATGTAGAAGGTGGCTTGAGCATTTAGTTCACTAGTTTTGGAGAATAAATGGGGAGAGATATGAATAGAAAAGTAGAATTAATATAACAAAAGACTTACTAACACTCCAGCCTACAGAGAAGGCGCTGTGTGTGGCAGGAATGTGGAAGAACTGAATGTTTCTGAGCAGGGCTGATGCTCTGTTGTTGCACTGAATAATGATTATGATAGATTGACTCTTTAGCCCATAAACTCTGAGAGTCTAACTCCGTGATCAAGTGGCTTTGTAAGAACGTTAACCAAGTTGGTCCACGAAGGATGAAAGAATCAGAAAGAGAGAAAACCATCAGGAGGCTATTACATTAGCTAAGTTGTGAAATAATAATAATAATAATAATAATAATAATAAAAACATTAACTGGGAATTAAAGGTGAAAGCCTGGGTGGGGATGTAAAGGTTGTAATAAAAGCTATAGAGAATGTAAAGAGAGCATGCAGGTGTGTTCAAGACTCAACAACTTACTATATGTAGAAGGTCATATGTGAAAAGTCAAAGATAAACTGTCTTGTAAGCTCCTTAAGGTTAGACTTCTCATCTTGCTGTTCTGTTGAATTAGTTTTCTACTGCTGCTGTGACAACTTCTCATAAACCTAGTGGCTTAAAACAACATAAATTTAATATCTTGCTGTTTGGGAGGTCTGAAATGGGTTTCACTGTACTAACATCAAGGTGTCAACAGGACTGAGTTCTTTCTGGAGGCTCCAAGGTAGAGTTTGTTCTCATGCCTTTTCCAGCTTCTGAGGCTGCCCCCACTCTTTGGCTCATGAGCCTCCTTCAACCTCTGATTCTGCTGTCAGATCATCTGTTCTTACTCTGACCTTGCTGCCTCTCTCATATGGGGACCCTTGTAATTTCACTGGGTCAACATGGATAATCCAGGGTAATCTCCCCATCTCATAACATTTAACATACCTGGAAAGTTGTCTTTGCCGTGTAACATACTTACAGGTTCTGAGATGAGAATGTGGGCATCTATCGGGGTCATTATCCTTCCCACTGCAATGTAGACCCTCCTAACTGCCCATCCCAATGTACATATCTGTCATAGAGAGGGGCTCAACAGTTATTTGTGGTGACTGAGATGATGAAGGTAAAAATAAATTAGTGATCAGCTGATTGTTCAGAGAACTCAAGAGAAGAAGATAAATCGTATAGCAGTATACAACCTAAGAAGGTGTGTGGAAAATGGCCACTTGGTACACATTCAGTTAGAGGAGATAGAGGGGAGTGGAGGAGCTTCCAGGAACTGCTAATATTTAAAAGGCACCAGGAACTTTGAATTATTTATATACTTTGGTTTAGAACTTCAGGTATCCAATGTGCGTATCTCAGGCACACAAGGTGGAAGTGCCCCTGAAACATGTCACTGTCATTTAATAAACCATCAAAGCTCTGACACATTATTTCTTACTCTCAGCCCACACTTGGGTTTTCAGATTGATTATGTACCTGTACTCATTCAGTCACTGAGCCATTTATCTATTTATTCACAATTTTTTAAGAGGCTATTCCTATACTTCTGCCTCTATTCTTAGTGCTAGGAGATTTAAAAATGTACTTTCATGGGCACCATCATGAGTATGTTTGACAATTAGTTGCTGTGTTATTCAGTTTAATATTTAATAACTTCTGTGTTCTGGACTCCACAAGGCAAGTTGAGTTCCTGCTCCCAAAATAAGATAAACTTGCATTGTGGTGTAGGAGGTTTGCAGACAATAAACAGAAAATAGCAGCATAATAAGGTAGAACTGCAACTAGAAATAGGTTTCATTCCCTAAAGGGTTAAGGAAGGCATCTTTGAGAAAGGAATATGTAATGTGAATCCTCAATAAAATGGCACTAGTGAACTTGCCCTTCTGAGTTTATGATGCAAATACTTGAGCCTTATGCTATAAATTTGAGAAATAAGCATTTATAGACTCAATAAATAGGCCACCCTTATCAATCAATCCCTATTCACAAAGCATGTAACTTGTATGAGTTCTCAATGAATTCAATCACCTATTCACCTTTCAAAGAAAAGCATTACAAATTCAGAAGCCTTGTGCTTATGTTACCCTAATGGAATTTATGGCTACATTATCTTCAGCCCAGCTCTCTGATGTTCCCCACCAAATGATTCCTACCAAATGACAGATTCTGGCTTACAATGTAAGTTTCTGCAAGCCACATCTCCTCTAGTACGTCCCCTCTTCAGTCTCTTCTAAGCTGAGCAGTTGCCCACCAAAGCATTTGAGTCAAACTTTTCTGGGAACACTGATAAAACTATTCATTAGCTAATGGATTTCTAAGATAATTGAATTGAATTTCCCCTTCTTCAATCCAACTGCTAGAACAGCAAATTCTTCACATTTTTATTCCAGGACCCCTGGTCTCCACTCGAAATGAAATAAACTGCCTGGAAACATGACCATTGCTCAAATTCATTTTTGTCCTTCAAGTTTTTAGTTTAATCAGAAATATGTGTGAGTCTGCATTAGACAGTGATCTGCTTGGGTAGCAGAGAAGGAGGAAAATAAATAAGAAAGAAAAAGAAAATGAGGAAGTAGGAAGGAAGAAGGGGAGGGAAAAGGGGAGGGAAAAGGAAAGAGAAAAGAAAGCACCTTTTACATTCTGAGCCTATCCAAGCAGTATCTATGAAAGGTTGTAGGATGTATCAATATTTATTTACCAATATGCTTTCCTCAGAAGTTTAGATCCTCTTCTAGGGCTGACAGCAGTATTATTGTTGAACCAGTCTACATTCATATAAACAGCACATAGAGAACACTTTACATCATATATTTGAACAAAAGAAACACAAATATTTCCCTACCTCCTCATCCCCTTTTCTGAAAAATCAAACAAGACAATGACATTTTTTGAGACAAATAGCACTTCCACTCCAATAAAAAGTTCTCCTCAGGGGAAATGTACATTTGCATGCTCTCTTAGCAACTTTAATAACTTATCAATGTTTAAGAAGGGCAAATACTTCCTGATACCACTTATATGAGGAAACAAAAATAGTCAAAGAAGCAGAGAGTAGGATGGTCCTTGCTAGGGTTGAGGGATAGTGGGGAAAATGGAGGAATTAGTCAAAGGGTGCAAAGTTTCAGTTACAGAAGATGATTTAGTCCTAGAGATCTACTGTACAGCATAGTGCCTATTATAGACAATACTGTATCGTATACTTAAAATTCTCTAAAACCAGAGATCTTGTGTTCTTATCACATGCAAAAAAAATAATAAAGAGGATGGGAATAAACTTTTGGAGTAGATGTGTGTTTATGATGTAGAATGTGGTGATGGTTTCACAGGTGTATACATATTTCCAAACTCATCCAATCATACACATTAAATATATACAGCTTTGTGAATGTCTGTCATACCTCAATAAAGCATTTTTTTTCCAAAAGAATTGTGACCATTTCTGATTTCTGATGGTAATGTTTTAGAAAAAAAGAAGAAATTCCTTCTAGGAGAATAAAACAGATAGCAGGGAAGAATAAAAGGGTTTCTTCTTCTTCCTAAAGAAACCTTGGGTGGGAGGGGGAGGAGGAAGAAGGAGGAAAGTAAAATTGGATCTTTCAAGGACACTGTGGAGACCTCTCCAGGGCAGATGGGACTTGAGAGCCATCAAAGTAGCTTGTCCATGTAGTACTCATGCAGGTGGGGACCTGGTACCTGGGAACTGCTAATAGCATAGAGGATCAGATGCAGGCACAACTTCTTGGTGTGTTTTAGCAAAAACAAAACGAGATGAATTTGCCAGCACACACTGAAACTACATGGAAAAAAATTCCGAAAACATTTCAAAGGATCAAGGTACAGTAGACCTAAATTAATAGTACAACATCTCTCATTACTAGAATGGAAACAACAGGTCTGGTTGATGCCTGTTTCATCCCACTTTCCTCTGGCTCTCCTGCCATTCTCTAAAGAAAGCTCGTTACTTGCCAGACAGATTCGGTACATAGAAAGGTGCACAAATGGTAAGTATGCAGCTTGATGAATATTCAAAACGTGGACACACCCATGAAACTGCCATCCACCATCACAGGAAATGGAATATTGGCAGCACTCCAGACAACCTCTGTGCCCTCAGTCATGATCCTCTCCCTGCAAAGTTACACACCAGCCTGACTTCTATCAAAGTTGTTTATTTTGACCTTCTTTAAACCTTATGTAAATGGAATTTTACAGTATATACTACTGTATCTGTCTTCTTTTGCCAAATGTATGTTGGTGAAATTATCCATCCATATGCCAATAAATTCCCATTGCTATATAATATTCTATTATATGACTGTACCACTATGCTATTACCATTGAATTTAGGTTGTTTCAGATTAGTGTAATTACGAAAGTGCTGCTATAAACATTATTTATTGAACATATATACTTTTAGAAACCTGTGTACACCTATCCAGGAATGAAATCACTGGGTCATATGGCATCACACTTTTGCGTTAGTGGATACTGACAAACAGTTATGTACTCATAGCATATGAGAATTCTAGTTTGTGTACTGGTAATATTTGGTATTGTTAGTCTTCAATTTCAATCGCTGTGGTGATTGCTTAGCAAATAGTTGTGATAGTAAGTTCTGGTTCCAGAATCCCTAACAAGTTTAAGCACCTTTTTAAAATATATATATACTTTAAATCCTGGGATACATGTGCAGAACATGCAGGTTTGTTACATAGGTATACATGTGTCATGGTGGTTTGCTGTACCCATTAACTGTCATCCAGGTTTTAAGCCCTGCATGCATTAAGGTATTTTTCCTAATGCTATCCCTCCCCTTCTCCCCACCCCCCAACAGGCCCTGGTGTGTGATGTTGCCCTCCCTATGTACATGTGTTCTCATTGTTCAACTCCCACTTATGAGTAAGAACATGTGGTGTTCGGTTTTCTGTTCCTGTGTCAGTTTGCTGAGAATGATGGTTTCCAGCTTCATCCATGTCCCTGAAAAGGACATGAACTCATTGTTTTTTAAGGCTGCATAGTATTCCATGGTATATATGTGTCATATTTTCTTTACCCAGTCTATTAGTGATGGGCATTTGGGTTCAGTCCAGTCTTTGCTGTTGTAAATAGTGCTGCAATAAGCATACGTGTGCATGTGTCTTTATAGTAGATTGATTTATAATCCTTTGGGTATATACCCAGTGATGGGATTGCTGGGTCAAATGGTATTTCTGGTTCTAGATGCTTGAGGAATCGCCACACTGTCTTCCACAATGGTTGAACTAATTTACACTCCCATCAACAGTGTAAAAGCATTCCTATTTCTCCACATCCTCTCCAGCATCTGTTGTTTCCTGACTTTTTAATGATCGCCATTCTAACTGGCATGACATGGTATCTAATTGTGGTTTTGATTTGCATTTCTCTAATGATCAGTGATGAGGAGCATTTTTTATATATGTTTGTAGGCTGTATAAATGTCTTCTTTTGAGAAGTGTCTGTTCATATCCTTCACCCACTTTTTGATGGGGTTGTTTATTTCTTTTCTTTTCTTATAAATTTGTTTAAGTTCCTTGTAGATTCTGGATATTAGCCCTTTGTCAGATGGATAGATTGCAAAAATTCTCCCATTCTGTAGGTGGCCGGTTCACTGTGATGATAGTTTCTTTTGCTGTACAGAAGCTCTTTAGTTTAATTAGATCCCATTTGTCAATTTTGGCTTTCGTTGCCATTGCTTTTGGTGTTTCAGTCATGAAGTCTTTGCCCATGCCTATGTCCTTAATGGTATTGCCTAGGTTTTCTTCCAGGGTTTTTATGGTTTTAGGTCTTACGTTTAAGTCTTTAATCCATCTTGAGTACAGAACAGAGGCCTCAGAAATAACACCACACATCTACAACCATCTGATCTTCGACAAACCCAACAAGAAAAAGCAATGGGGAAAGGATTCCCTATTTAATAAATGGTGTTGGTAAAACTGGCTAGCCATATGCAGAAAACTGAAACTGGACCCCTTCCTTACACCTTATACAAAAATTAAGCACCTTTTCATATGCTTGTTTAACTGCTTGGATATCATGTTTAGGAAAGTGTCTGTTCAACTTTGCTCTTTTTTCTAATGAGTTAATCCTTCCTTCCTTCTTTCCTTCCATGTTTTAAAAAATATACTGTATTTTTTAGAGCAGTTTCAGATTTACAGAAAACTTGTAGAAATTATTTTCTGTTAACACGTAGGAGTTCCTTTTATGTTCTAGAAACATGTTTTCTGCTATTTCTATGTATTGCATATATTTTATCCTACGCCATGATTTGACTTTTTATTCTCTCAGTATCGTTTGACAAGAGGTTCTCAATTTGAATGTAATTTACAAAACTTTTCCTTCAGCATTAGCATTTCTTGTGACAAGATATCTTCCCCATCCCAAGGTCATGACAATATCTTGTCCCCTACCTCATATCATATCAACAAATCAATTTCTGGTGACACATACACTCAAATTTTTTGTCCACTTTGTAGTATGTTGTTTATTTTGAGTTATAAGAATTCCTTATGTATTACAAATACAAATCCTTTTTCAGATATCTGTTTTGCAAATATTTTTCCCAGTCTATGACTTGCCTTTACTTCTTCTTATCATTGTCTTTTGAAGAAGAAAAGTTTTATTACAAATTAAACTTCAATTTATTAATCTTTTATTCTATACTTTATGCTTTTTAATGTCATGTTTTAAAAAATCACTGCTAAGCTTAAGGTTACTAAGATTTTTCTCCTAAATGTATCTCTGGATTTTATATCACTTTAATTTATATTTAGTCCTGTGACTCAAGTTAATTTTTATGTATTGTTTGAGGATCATATTTTTGCATATGAATATCTACTTGTGTCAGCACAACTTTTTGAAAAATTATCCTTTGCCACTGAATTGCTTTGAGACATTTATTAAAAATCAATACACACACACACACACACACACACACACACACATATATATATATAGGTTTATTTCAGGATTCTTTATTCTGTTCCATTGATATATTTGTCTACTTCTATATCAGCCCTACACTGTTTTTATTGCTATAGCTTTATAGTAAATTTTGAATCAGATAGTGTTCTTTTTCAAAGTTGTTTTGGCTATTTTTAGTATTTGGCATTTTCTTTGTAAATTTTAGAATCAGTTTGTTAATTAAAAATATACCTGATGGAATTTTAATAGGAATTGTATTGATGCTGTAGATCAATTTGGGGAGAATTTATATATTAACAACATGAGGCAGGGCACAGTGGCTCAGGCCAGTAATTCTAGCACTCTGGGAGGCTGAGGTGGGTGGATCACCTGAGGTCAGGACTTTGAGACCAGCCTGGTCAACATGATGAAACTCTGTCTCTACTAAAAATACAGAAATTAGCCGGGCGTGGTGGAGAACACCTGTAATCCCAGTTACTCGGGAGGCTGAGGCAGGAGAAGTGCTCCAACCCAGGAGACAGAGGTTGCAGTGAGCCAAGATTGCACCAGTGCTCTCCAGCCTGGGCAACAGAGTGAGACTCTGTCTCAAAAAAACAATATGACTCTTCTAATCCATAAATACCTCTCCATTTGTATAGCTTTTCTTGTATTTCTCTCACCAGTGTTTGCAGTTTTCAGAAAATTTTGGATATTCCATGTTCATAAATTACAAGAATCGATATAGTTAAAATGTCCGTGGTTCCCAAAGCAATCTATAGATTCAGTGCAGTTTCTATCAAAATATCAATGACACTCTTCACAGAAATATAAATAGAAAAACAATCCTAAAATTTATATAGAACCACAAAAGACCCAGACAGGTATACATTGGTCTGTAGTTTTGTTTTTTTGTTATGTCTTTTCCTGGTTTGGGTATTAAAGTGATACTAGCTTCATAGAATGATTTAGGAGGGATTCCCTCTTTCTCTATCTTTCAGAATAGTTTCAATAGGATTGGTATCAATTCTTTGAATGTCTGATAGAATTCAGCTGTGAATCCATCTAGTCCTAGATTTTTTTGTTGTTGTTGGCAATGTATTTATTACCATTTCAGTCTTGTTGCTTGTTATTGGTCTGTTTGGAGTTTCTATTTCTTCCTGGATTAATCTAGGAGGGTTGCATATTTCCAGGAATTTACCCATCTCCTCTATGTTTTCTAGTTTGTGCATGTAAAAGTATTCATAGTAGCCTCGAATGATCTTTTGTATTTCTGTGGTATCAGTTGTAATATCTCCTGTTTCATTTTTAATTGAGGTTCTTTAGAGATTCTCTCTTCTTTTCTTGGTTAATCTTCATAATAGACTATCAATTTTATTTATCTTTTCAAATAACCAGGTTTTTGTTTCATTTATCTTTTGTATCTTTTTTGTTTCGATTTCACTTAGTTCTGCTCTGATCTTTGTTATTTCTTTTCTTCTGCTTGGTTTGGGTTTGGTTTGTTCTTGTTTCTCTAGTTCCTTGAGGTGTAATCTTAGATTGTCTATTTGTGCTCTTTAAGACTTTTTGATGTACGTATTTAATGCTATGAACTTTCCTCTTAGCATTGCCTTTGCTGTATCCTAGAAGTTTAGATAGATTGTGTCACTATTATCATTCAGTTCAAAGACTTTTAAAATTTCTATCTTGATTTTATTGTTGACTCAATGATCATTCAGGAGCAGGTTATTTAATTTCCATATATTTGCTTGGTTTTGAGGGTTCCTTTTAAGGTTGATTTCCAATTTTATTCCACTGTGGTCTGAGAGAGTACTTGATACAATTTCAAATTTTTAAAATTTATTAACACTTGTTTTTCAGCCTATCATATGGCCTATCTTGGGGAATGTTCCATGTACTGATGAATAGAATGTATATTCTGCAGGTGTTGGGCAGAATGTTCTGTAAGTATCTATTAAGTCCATTTGCTCTAGGGTATAGTTTGCGTCCATTGTTTCTTTGTTGACTCTCTGTGTTGATGACCTGTCTAGTGCTGTCAGTGGAGTATTGAATAACTCCACTATTATTGTGTTGCTGTCTATCTCATTTCTTAGGTCTAGTAGTAATTGTCTTATAAATTTGGAAGCTCCAGTGTTAGGTGCATATGTATTCAAGATTGTGATATTTTCCTGTTGGACAAGTCCTTTTATCATTATATAATGTCCCTCTTTGTCTTTTTTAACTGCTGTTGCTTTAAAGTTTATTTTTTCTGATATAAGAATAGCTACTCCTGCCTGCTTTTGGTATCAATTTCCATGAAATATACTTCTCCACCTCTTTACCTTAAGTTTATGTGAGTCCTATGTGTCAGGTTAGTCTCTTGAAGACAGGAGGTACTTTATTGGTGAATTCTTATCCATTCTGCCAAATAAGTGGAGCATTTAGGCCATTTACATTCAATGTTAGTATTGAGATGTGAGGTACTATTGTATTCATCGTGCTGTTCATTGCCTGAATACTTTTTTAAAAAATTTGTTTATTGTTGTTGTTTTATAGGCCCTGTGAGATTTATGCTTTAAGGAGATTCTATTTTGCTGTATTTTGAGAATGAGTTTCAAGATTTATAGCTCCTTTTAGCAGTTATTGTGGTCCTGGCTTGGTAGTGGCAAATTCTCTTAGCATTTGTTTGTCTGAAAAAAATCTCTATCTTTTCTTCACTTATGAAGCTTAAATTCTTGCCTGATAATTGTTTGTTGAAGGAGGCTGAGGATAGGGACCAATTCCTTTTAGCTTGCAGGGTTTCTGCTGAGAAATCTGCTGTTAATCTGATAGGTTATCCTTTATAGGTTACCTGATGCTTTTGTCTCACAGGTCTTAAGCTTCTTTCCTTTGTCCTGACTTTAGATGACCTGATGACTATGTGCCTAGGCAATGATCTTTTTGCGATGAATTTCCCAGGTGTTCGTTGAGCTTCTTGTATTTGGTTGCCTAGATCTCTAGCAAGGCCAGGGAAGCTGTCCTTGATTATTCCCTCAAATATGTTTTCCAAACTTTTAGATTTCTCTTCCTCCTCGGGAATACCAATTATCCTTAGGTTTGGTTATTGAACGTACTCCCAAGCTTCTTGGAGGTTTTGTTCATTTTTTAAAATTCATTTTTCTTTGTCTTTGTTTAATTGGGTTAATTCAAAAACCTTGTCTTTGAGCTCTGAAGTTGTGTCTTCTGCTTGTTTGATTCCATTGATGAGACTTTTCAGTGTATTTTGCATTTCTCTAAGTGTGTCCTTCATTTCCAGTTGTGATTGTTTTTATTTAGCTATTTCACTGAATATTTTCCCTTCATATTTTGTATCACCTTTTTTTACTTCATTAAGTTGGACTTCACCTTCCTCTGGTGCCTTCTAGATTAGCTTAATAGTTGACCTTCTGAATTCTGTTTCTGGCAATTCAGAGATTTCGTCTTGGTTTGGATCCATTGCTAGTGAGCTGGTGTGATCTTTGCTGGGGGGTTAAAGAACCTTGTTTTTTCATATTACCAGAATTGTTTTTTTCTGTTTTTTTTTTTCCTTTTTTGGTAGACTATGTCACCAGGAATATCTGGGCTCAAGAGCTGCCATTCAGGTTCTTTTGTCCCATGAGGTTCTCCTTTGATGTAGTGTTCTCCCCTTTTTCCTAGGGATGTGGCTTCCTTAGTGCCAAACTATAGTGAATGTTATTTCTCATCTTGATCTAGCCACCAAATGGAGTTACCAGGCTCTGGGCTGGTACTGGGGGGTGTCTGCACAGAGTCCTGTGATGTGAGCCATTTTCAGTCTCTCAGCTGTGGATAGCAGCACCTGCTCTGGTGGAGCTGGTGGCAGGGGAGTAAAATGGAGTCTGTGAGGGTCGTTAGTTGTAGTTTATTGCATTAATTTTGTGTTCTTTGGCCTCCTGCCAGGAGGTGGTGCTTTCAAGAGAGCATCAGCTCTGGTAATATAGAAGTGATCATGTGGTGGGTGGGACACCAGAGCTCAGGAGAGAATATGTCCTTTGTCTTTGGCTACAAGGGTAGGTAGAGAAAAACTATCAGGTGGGGGCAGGGTTATGCATGTCTGAGCTCAGAGTCTCCTTGGGCAGGGCTTCCTGTGGCTGCTATGGGAGATGGGGGTGTGGTTCTCAGGCCAACGGAGTTATGTTCCCAGGGGGATTATGGCTGCTTCTGCTGTGTCATGCAGGTCACCAGGGAACTGGGGAAAGCTGGCAGTGACAGGCTTCATCCAGGTCCTATGCAACCCAAAAGGCTGGTCTCACTCCCACCCTGACCCCTTAACAGCACAGAGTTTGTTTAATGGCAGTGGGTGAGCAGGACTGAGAACTTGCCCCAGGCTACCAGCCTCCTGGCTTTCAGGTTTCATGCCTCTGCGCCTGCTGTGGCTTCTGTGCTGTGTCTGCACTCCAGATTCACCCCTTCTTTAGAGTTCTGTCCAGGGATCTTTGCATTCGGTCAAAACTGTTACAAAGTAGCTGGAAGTTTCCTTCTTTCTGTGGTCTTTTCTCAGTTCCTCTGGCAGCCCTCTCCAAGGACCTCTGCGAGACAAAGTCAGAAATGGCTTTCCTGGGGGCTGAGAAAGCCCATAGGGCTCTTTTCGCTGCTTCTTCTACCCCTGTATTTTGCTTAGTTCCCTCAAGTTGTCTCAGCTCCAGGTAAGGTCAAATCCTTCTCCCATAATCTGGACCTTCAGGTTCCCCACTGAGGGTGTGTGTCTGGGGATGGACTATCCCTCTTTCCCACTTTCACACTTTGGGCACTCACAGTTTTTGGGCTGTTTCCTGGGATCTGCAGGAGCAACCTGCTTCCCTTAAAGGGTCTGTGGATTCTCTCAGCCTTCCTGGTATGTTCCTGTGGTAGTTCTTGGAGCAAAAGTTCATGTCTCCACACACTGCTCTATGAGTCTGAGTGGAAGCTGCAATTCAGTCCTGCCTCCTGTCTGCCATTTTTCTCCCTTCTTGTATTAAATATTTAAATCTAAGACCTAAAACTATAAAACCATGACAAGAAAACCTTAGAAAAACTCTCCAGGACATTGGTCTGGGCAAAAATTTCTTGAACAATACCCCACAAGCATAGACAACCAAAGCAAAAATGGACAAATGGGATCATATCAAGTTAAAAAGCTTCTGCACAGCAATGGAAACAATCAACAAACTGAAGATAAAACCCACAGAATGGGAGAAAAATACCCATTGCAAACTACCCATCTGGCAATGAATTAATAACCCGAATATATAAGGAGCTCAGACAGCTCCCTGGGGAAAAAAGTCTAATAATGTGATTTAGAAATGGGCAAAAATTTGAATAGACATTTCTCAAAAGAAGCCATACAAATGGCAATCAGGCATATGAAAAGTGCCCAGTAGCACTGATCATCAGAGAATGACAAAAACTACATGACATATCATGTCACCTCAGTTAAAATAGCTTATATCTAAAAGTCACACAATAACAAATACTGGCAAGGATGTGGAGAAAAAGGAACACCGTACGCTGTTGGTGGGAATGTAAATTAGTACAACCACTATGGAGAACAGTTTGGAGGTTCCTCAAAAAACTAAAAAATAGAGCTACCATACGATCCAGCAATCCCACTGCTGGGCATATACCCCAAAGAAAGGAAATCAGCATATTGAATAGACATCTACACTCCCATGTTTATTGCAGCACTAATCACAATAGCCAAGATTTGGAAGCAAACTAAGTGCCCATCAACAGATAAATGAATAAAGAACATGTCATAAATATACACTGTGGAGTGTACTATTCAGCTATTAAAAATGAGATCCTGCCATTTGCAACAACATGGATGGAAGGGAAGGTCATTATGCTAAGTGAAATAAGCCAGGTTAAAAAAAAAAAACAACATGGCATGTTCTCATGTATTAGTGGGATCTAAAAATAAAAACAATTAAAACCATGGAGATAGAAAGCAGAAGAATGGTTACCAGAGACTGGGAAGGGTAGTTGGGTCTGAGTGGGGTGAGGTGGGGATAGTTAATAGGTACAAAATATAGTTAGAATGACTAAAACCTAGTATTCGATAGCACAACAGAGTGACTACAGTTAATAATAATTTAATTGTATATTTTAAAGTAAATAAAAGAGTGTAATTGTTTGTAACACAAAGGATAAATACTCAAGGGGATGGATACCCTATTTTACATCATGTAAAATAGGTATATATTTTGAATTTTTGTGGGCACATGCTATGTGTATATATTTATAGAGTAGATAAGATGTTTTGATACAGGTATGCAATACCCGCAAAAATATACCCACAAAAATTAAAATAAAAACTTTTTTCAAAAAGTAAAGAGAGGAAAGTAGGACCCTTGGGAGTATTATGAATATATGAAATATGGATAAATACTCAAGGGAATGGATACCCTATTTTACTTGATATAAAATAGTAGGTATAGATTTTGAATTTTTGTGGGTACATGGTAGGTGTTTATAGAGTACATAAAAAATGTTTTGATCCAGGCATGCAATACCCACAGAAATGTACCCACAAAAATTAAAATAAAAAATTTTTCAAAAAGTAAACAGAGGAAAGTAGGAACCTTGGGAGTACTATGAATATGTTAAATTCATAGTGCTATGAATATATGAAAGTACTGTGAAATATGAATGGTGCTAAAGAAATGCAGCAAACTCAATAAATAAACCTAGAGACTAAAAAACACGTAGTGGTTCTTTTATCCTCCTCACTCGGCTCTTTGTCTTTCAGTTGGTATATTTAAATTATTAATGTTATGTATTTATTGATATATCTGACATATTTCTTGTTCTGCTTGTTTCCTCTGTTTTTCCTTTTCTGTTTTTTTTTTTTCTGCCTTCCTGTAGGCTACTTAAACTTCTTGGAATTTAATTTTTACTTTTCTATAGTTTTACTTTTGTAATTTTTTAGATCTTTTTGTGTGTATTTTTTAGTGGTTGCTATCGATATTACATTATAGAGACATAACTTATTACAGTCTATTGGTGTTGACTTTTTACCATTATGAATACAATTTAGAAATCATACCTCTCCTTTAAGTCCTTTTAATCTTTCTCATTAGTCATACAAAGATCTTATATATTTTCTCCCATATATACATTGAAAATCTCATCAGACAATATTGTCATTTTTTATACTAAGTATTTTATTGTATGTTGCTGCCAGTGTATATAATACAATTAACTTGTGAAATAGAAATTCATGGAAATTCAGAGAGGTAGACGTTAAGGATTGATAAAAGTAAACGTCTGTGTATTATGGCACATGTATTACAGGCATAAGCTTTTGTATGTGCTTCAAGTTTAGCACTCTTGAATATTCACTGGTTCATGAGAAATAGTTTGGGAAACCTTTGAAAGATTCATTTTACTATGAAAAGGAACAGACCTTCTGAGGTCTGAAGGGATTCATACTTGAAGATACTCCAGTCAGCAGAGGTCTGTCTTGTTGAACATTCTGCAGACAGAATTGTTCCCAGCCTGCAGCTGCCTGGGAAATGTTTACACTGTTGAGCCTTGGCTCCAGCCAGAGCTGTTGAGCCACTTTTTTCATAGGAGAAAGTGGTTACACTGGAGGAACCAGACATGGCACATGCAAGAGTCTGACTGATTATTGGGTTGGTGGGTCATGGGTCCAGGGGTGCCAGATAGCAGAGCCATTATTGTCATTTTCATCACAATCATCAAACATAATTTAGAAACTTAAGAGGATAATAAAAGTCTATTGTATTTCCCATCTTTCCTCCTTTCATTGCTCTTCCTCCCTTCACGATGTTCCAAAATACTTCCTTTCTAATTTTCTGTTTTAAGAATTTCCTTTAACAATTATATTAGCATAGGTTTGCTAGTAACAAATTCTCTTAATTCTATTTCATATGAGAATGCCTTTATTTCTCCTTCATTCCTGAAAGACATTTTCACTGGATACAAAATTCTGGGTTGACAGTTCTTTTTTATTTTGGTCCTTAAAAAATCCTATGCCAATTTGAGGGGATAATCTAGACTTCTTACTCAGTCTCTGTTTATACCTTGGGTGAGGGATGACATCTCACTATGCCTTCTCAAATTGCCCCCACTGACACTGCAGGGTAGGGGCAGTGCTTATTATTATCCAGTGTATTCAAAAGTCCTGGCTCCACACTCAAACTTCTCTGATCCCATCGCAGTGCTTTACCACACACACAGCCAGGTGAGGGTGGAAGCTTCTGATGACCAAGATGAGTTAAGGCCAGAGTTTTTTATGTAGTGTTTGCTTGAAGTAGGACAGTTACTGTCTAAAAGTTTTGTGTCTTGCTATGCTGCATCTCTCTTGCTCCTTTGACTAGAAAGAGTAGGCTTTTCTTAGGTCCCTCTTGTCTGAACACATTGGTATTTCCAATATTTAAGCACCCAGTGGGACATATACGAAGCAGAAAGAAAACCCAGGAAACTCATTGTCATCTTGTCACTCAGGACCTGAAGTCCCTGGCCAATGTGCCTTCTTCTTGCCATCTTTCAGAGCATTCCTATGTTTTTCTTATATGCAATATCATACGTTTTCAGTGGTACTTAGTGGGAAGAACAACAGAGGAGTTCATCTACTACATCTTTTCCAGAACAGAAAATCCAATCACATTTTAAAAATTGGGTTGTTTGCCTTTTTATTATTTGGGAAGAACTGACATCTTAAAAATATTTAACTTTTCAATCAATAAACATCGTTTATATCTTCATTTATTTAGATGTTGTTGAATTTCTCTCAGTAAAGTTTTCATTTCTACCTTGAAAATCCCCATTTCTTTATTCACTATGTCCATTTTCCTTTAAATTAGCAAACATAATAATTGTTTAAAATCCTTATCTGCTAATTCCAATATCTTGATCCTTTCAGTGTCTGCTTCTTGTTTGTTTCTTCTCTCAATAATAGGTTATATCTTCTTTTTTAACATATCTTACCAGTTTTATTTATTTATTTATTTAATTTATTTTTTTGAGACAGAGTCTCGTTCTGTCACCCAGCCTGGAGTGCAGTGGTGCGATCTCAGCTTACTGCAACCTCTGCCTCCCCGGTTCAAGCAATTCTCCTGCCTTGGCCTCCCTAAAGGCTGGGATTACAGGTGTGTGCCACCATGTCTGGCTAATTTTTGTATTTTTTAGTAGAGATGGGTTTCACCATGTTGGCCAGGCTGCTCTTGAACTCCTGACCTCAGGTGATTTGCCCGCCTCAGCCTTCCAAAGTGCTATCTTACCAGTTTTAAAATCTTATTCGGAATACCGTGTTTTAAGCAACAGTGGAGACTAAAGTATGATTTTCTTTTAATTTTATTTTGTTTTCGCTAGAGGTTTCAATGCTATCTTCTCTCTGACTGCTAGAATAGGGGCTACTTATTCAGATTTCAAAAAAGATCAAATTTAACTGGTACTGGTTCACAGCTTTAATAGATTCAATTTAACTTTGGATAACATAGTTTTCAACCTCTCACACTGCTGCTATCATGTTACTGACCTCTATATTCTCAGCAGTATTTGAGCTGGAAAAGAGTTGTGACTCAGTTTTAGATAGATTTGATTAACCTTTGGATTGAATCCCACCAGGGGTCCAGAATTCAAGTACCAGTAGAGTCACTAGCACCTTCTTTACTGCTGCCTTCTCAGTAAAATTTAGTAGATAAAAGAGGATTATTAAGTTGAGTGATGTATTTTTTGTATTTAGGGATCATCTAGATCTCTGTCTATTTATTTTTCCATATCACCTTAAATTTAAAAGTTCAACTATTTTACTTTCCCTTGCAGTGGTATCTATTGTAGGTTTTCTTTCCTATCTGTTAAAACCCAAACCAGTTGGTTGACTTCATGTATGGAAGTTGATATAGTCATCTGCTCAACTCTGAAGGGTTCTTCCTTCTCCGGATGTCAGTTCACCAACATTTCCTTGAGTCCACAACTCTTTGATAACTCAGTAAAAAGTATGATGATAATTTTACCTCCATTTTCTTGTTTGTTATCATAGAAGCGAAGATATTTTTCATTCTTTCGCAATCTAACCTGATGTTCATGAAAGTGTTGTTTACTTGCATAATTAGGTTAAATTGTGGTTAAGCTGCAGCCGAGAGACACTTATCCATGGTTGGGTTTATGTTAACTGGTAAAATATGACTCCTAAAAATTATTAATATATAGCAAGAACTTCTCCAGTGTTCATACCTTTGGACTGATTTTTTTTCATCATAAGTACTTGAAAAATAATCAGAATTGTGGATAATTATTTATATCCCAACTGGTAATTACAGTAGTATTTATAAGAAAAAATTGGAAATCCCCCAAATCTTCAACAAAAGAGGAACGATTAAATTATGGAGAATTCAAATAATAAAATATTACTCAGTAATTAAAAATTTTGTATTGAGTTTTTAATAATTTGGTAAATTATTATGATATGCTAATAGAATGAGTAAGTACAAAGATAGAAATCTCTAGTTTAAGCTCAATTATGTAAAAATATATATTCACAGAGTATATATCAATATATCAAAATACTCTCTCTAGTATTATATCCATTACATGTTTCTGTAATTTACCTATTTTGACTGTGACAACTTTAAGAATAAATGTTAGAAGTCCAATATAGGGACTGCCTAGAAACAAAGGTAAGAATGGGTAGATGATTAGTTTGGGAAGGAACTGGCATGAAAACAAGGATGAAGGGAATTGAACAAAGTAACAGATACTTGTAAAGCTAATATAATTAAAGATATAGTGAAGCAGATGAAGTCCTTTCAATGAGACATGTTATGTTTTTTGAGAGAATGCAGCTATGGCAGGAAATGTTCAGCTAATTAGTAACTAAGACTGAGTTAATGTTACATATATACTAGGCCAAAGCAAGAGCTGAAGAACTTGTACATCCATCACATGGCTTGCACAAGAAAAACAGCAGTAAATGCTTCTTTAGGGTCACACCTTGTTTGAATTTTACCTGGTTGCATATTGCAACCTAATGTTATGATTATTTTTTCTTGCAGCCTAATATTATATCACAGGCAAGTGAATAGGATATTGAGGGGTATACCAGGCTCCTCCCAGGCTTCATGGTTTTGCGTTCCATTAACAGCTTATTTAATTCTTTCAGAATATTGTAGTCAATCACTTGAGATAGGGTTGCATAACAGACCTTTTAAGGGAGTGTAAATCTAATTATTCTATCATGGCATGTTGCAGAAATTATATTTCTTCAATTAATAATATTGTAAATAATATAATAATATTATTATAATAGACAAAGAGGCCATTACAGTTTAATAGTGATTAAATTGTGAAGACTGGAGCTAAATTTTAAGGGTTTGAAATCTAGCTCTACCACCCACTACCAATGTGACCTTGAACAGATCACTTGACCTTTCTTTGCCTCAGTTTCTTCATCTGAAAAATGGGAATAGAGTGACTGCCTTTTAAAGTAAACGTGACGATTAAATGACATGTAGTAAGACTTATGTTGATATTAATAATTCTATTATTATACATCAATTATGGTCTTCCCTTTTCTTTGCACCAAGGATGGGGGATAATCCCTGGGAATAAAAGATAGGAAAGCTGAACTGTATATCAGCATCTCTGTGTCACTGATATACCAAAGTCTTAAAAGGGAACGTCAGTTTCCACTTTCTCAGCTCCCTTAACCATGTGTGTCACTAGTTTTCCTCTTCATGGTGGGATTTTCCAGGATGTACTAATAGAACACAATCTGAGTTTGGATGTTAAACAAACATAGCAGCACACATACATGCACCTAGAGCTGATATAAAACAACCTCATTAACACATACCAATCCACAGAAACATTCTATTTAATGTAGAAGTTGTAGGTGGAAAAGAGAAATGATTTTTTTTTTTCAGAATTAAAAACGACAAACGCAGCCCATTTGTCATCAGTCATCAGCCTCCCACATTACATTTTCCTTTGAAGGTGTATTCATATTTTTTGTTTCAGGGCAAAACTTCTGGCCAATCTACTGTAGAAGAGTAGTAAAACTACTAAGTTATTTTTTTTTCCCTGTTGGCCCAGTTAGAATATACTTTTTTTATTAAAAATAATTGTATAGATCTAAATTATACAACTTCTATTATTTGCAGATAAGGTAATTTTAGATATGGAATTTAATCAGTCTACTAAAAATATTTATTCAGCAGCTTCTATTTCTCCAGGTCTGAACTTGATGATGTGAACAATACAGTTAAATTATAAGGCATGAGTTCTTCCAAGAAGCTGACAGGATTCAGCCCACAGATGTCAGTAGGCCTGCAGTGTCTGTGTAAATAGATTTGGCCATTTATAAAACTGAGACTCAACTCAAAATTTATCATTTTAATTCAGGTGAAACAAAAGGCAAACTAAATAAATAAATAGGCTCTCCACTGCCAAGGATGGCCTTTTCACACTCCCATGCAAAAGACACCAGGACATCCCATGGCCTGAGTTTGGGTTCCTGGAAAGGGAAGGGAAGCATCTTTTTTGTTTGTTTGTGATGGAGTTGTTGCCCAGGCTGGAGTGCAGTGGCGTGATCTCGGCTCACTGCAACCTCCACCTCCTGGGTTCAAGCGATTCTCCTGCCTCAGCCTCCTGAGTAGCTGGGATTATAGGCACATACCACCACGTTCAGCTAATTTTTGTATTTTTAGTAGAGACAGGGTTTCACCATGTTGGCCAGGCTAGTCTCAAATTCCTGACCTCAGGTGATCCACCCGCCTCGGCCTCCCAAAGTGCTGGAATTGCAGGTGTGATCCACTGCACCCGGCCGGGAAACATCTTAATACATTAGATAGGTAGGTATGTAGGTAGGTAGGTAGACAGACAGACAGACAGACAGACAGACAGATAGATTAGTTAATGGGGTAGCTATTAGGAAGAACAGTCTGAGCAAAGCACTGATGACTTTGCATGTATGGATGAAAAATATCAATGATTACAGGTAGAGAAATACAATGCCATCTTAGACTTTCTGTGCAAAGCATATGATAGACATGCAGGTAAATCAAAATGGAAATGTTTAGTGTCAAGCACGTAGTAAATCCCATAATAATGAATGAACAAATGAAGGAAAGTACAAAAATGTTGTGAAAAAATATTTGCTACAAATGCTCATCACTCAAGAAATAGAAGCGATCTGAAATAAGAATATATGATTACCATGTGGCAAGCAATGATGTAGGGAAGAACAATTGACATCTATTAAATGCTTTGATGTGCCAAGGATTATACAAGCATTGTCTTATGTAACTCTCATAACAATCTAGTGAGTAGGTACTAGTATTGAAATTCTATAGTTTAGGAAACTGAGACCAGTAAATAATAAACCTGGAGTGTGCACCAAGATCTGGCAGACGTCAGAGCTCATGCTTTTTACCATGAGCCTCTACTCTCTTACCAGAAGTTGAGGTCTGACTGCTGTTATCATGTATTGCTTTTCAGACTAATGAGTACAATGTTTTAATATTGTAGTTTGGAAATTAAAATGGAAATTTAATATCTCAGCCAGGGCTTCCTTCCACACCACAAGTAACTGAATTAAATATACTGGGAAAATGAAGCAATCATATGTGTATTATGCTGGACTCTTCCCAAGTAACAGGGTCTCTCTCAGAGGTCAGGTATCCACAGAGGATTAACAAGTAATTCTGATAAAGGTTACCTCTTCAACATAATGTCAGACTACCTCTTGCACCAGGCTCATGAAAATCAGGCCTGTGACCCAGTGGGAGTGCCAAAGCACTGGATTTCCAGGATTACAGTCATCCACCAGACACAATGCAGTCTCCTTTGGCTTATCAAGAACACTGAAATATCTGTCCTCAGATGGGATTTTTTTTTCTTTTTTTTTTTTCTTTTTTTTTGAGATGGAGTCTCACTCTGTCGCCCAGGCTGGAGTGCAGTGGCACGATCTTGGCTCACTGCAAGCTCTGCCTCCCGGGTTCACGCCATTCTCCTACCTCAGCCTCCCGAGTAGCTGGGACTACAGGTGCCCGCCATCACACCCGGCTAATTTTTGGTATTTTTAGTAGAGACAGGGTTTCACCATGTTAGCCAGGATGGTCTCGATCTCCTGACCTCGTGATCCGCCTGCCTCAGCCTCCCAAAGTGCTGGGATTACAGGCGTGAGCCACCGCACCTGGCCAGATGTTTTTATATTTGTATATATATGCTTCCTAATTTCAGGGCCACCTTTGAAAACATGATTTGTAATAAAAAATAATTTCATAAAGCTTTCCTATTTTTGACAAAGTTCCAAATAGCCTCCTCCCCTCCACACTGTCCTCAGCTATTTTTGAAAGCACAGTTCTGATCATGGAGCTCCTCTGCTGGAAAAGCCCAAATGGCTGTTCAACTCGGATTGGTTGTTAAGGTTTTTACGATATACGTCCAAACTATTTTTCAAACTTTGTCCTCAACAACACCTTCTTCTCTTTGCCCCAAACTGTGCCCTTTCCCAAACATTCTTACACTTTCGGATCTCAGAGCCTTTGCTCCTGCCATGCCTTCAGTAGGGTATCCTCTCCCCTCCCATTCTCCACTTGTCCACTATTCCTACTTACCGTTCAGGAAATTACAGATTACATTTTCTACCAATTCTTGTTATCCTTGAGTTTTCCAGTCAGAATTGCTTTCTGTTCCCTTTGAGTCCCATGGCTTGGTGCATATGCCTTTAATATTTATCATAATTTAACGTGATAATTGCCTATGTTCCTATTTTTCCCACTAGATTATGAGCTTCTTATGTAAAAAACAACAACAACAAAGGTTTATTCATTTTGGTGTCTTGTTGCCTAGCCAGAACATTTAGTGAACAAAGATCAACCATTAGTTAGTTGATTTTAATCAACTGGTGATGACTGATTCAAAAGATTCTTGAAGTCTAAAGAATAAAGTTCTGAGATTAAATTTGATTTCCAACTGGTCTTATTTTTATGGAATTCCCCTTTTTTAGATGAATAAACAATGTGGAACTCTTGTATTGTTTAATTTAAGAATGCCTCTTTCACCTTCCAATTAATTTTTTTCCAGCCAACATTAGGAGCTTGTTTGTATCTTACAGAAAAGACTGGAGGGTCAAAGAAACATTCCAAATGCAATATTTTACTGTGAGAAACACTGGCTTAAATAAAGAGAAGATAAACATACTTAACAGACATCCCAGTGTTTAGACCAGTTAAGGAAAAATTTAATCAAGAGTCCAGGAGACAGCTCAATGACTCATGAATATTTAACATGAATTTCATTAAGCCTAACAACATTGAGAAATGCTGTTATACTTACAGGAGTACCTTTGGAAATGGTCTGTAACACCCAAATGCCAACTATTGGATAGCCCTTCAATGTAAATCATATATTTGAACATTAATTTATACTATACCAGAATTGGGAATCATTGATAGAGCCAAGTAAGATACGTGGTAAATGTAATATTGTCCTTAGTTTAAAAAGCCATTTTGCTGGGTTTGAATTGTTGAATACAGGCAAATATGAAATAATATTTTGGGAATAATAGTGTGGTTATGGTAATAGCAGCAAAGAACAATCTGTGGACTGGAGACGTGCCCCTAACTTTCCCAAAGGCCTTAAACTAGGGATCTGGCAATAGGAAAGGATGAAGGAGAAGCATATTTTTAACCCAGTTCTCATTGCACAAAATGGGGCACAAAGCAATGGCTTGTTTCCTTTTCTCCTTGCTTCCTGTGGCTGGACATTCAGTGGTGATTGAAGTAGCATATGATACATCATTTGCAGCTTTCATATCCATGACCTTTAAATTGATTTGCCCTGTTTTTCACTTACTATATTTCCATCTTGATTTCAAAAACTTGCATCTCAATCATACTAGGGAGATTTCTGAGCCACAACCACTTCAAGCCATTAATCTGCTGTATCTTACATATCTGACATCAGCATGACACAGTGTTGGAAGTAAGGGCGATGTGCTGTAACAGTTGTCACCCCACCCATCCGAGATTATATTTGGCTGACCCTTCAGGTGACCCCTTCTTCATTCATTCTTCCACATGCTTCCTTTCAGACCAGAAGATTGGTGGAAGAGAATGATTCACCCAGAGAAAGGAAGGCCAGGTTTTGGTAGTGGGTATGATAAATGAGTGAAATATGATGAGTAAGAAAGGTAAGTTAGAAAATGAAGGAATTGGTACCCCAGTTGTATCTTTCTGTTTTCCTGGTTTAAGGATTACCATCAATAAATTTTGTATATTACTTTTTCTTTCTTATGTTCAGACCCAAATATTGAATTCCACTCTTCTAATAACCATTTGTACTGAGTCAAACACAGGTTTTACATGTTTCACTTAATAGTATATAAAGCTGAAGGTCTTTGAGTAAAATTTCAAAGTGTTTTATGTTAAAGAATTATATTAAACAGGAATAGTTTGAAATCTTTTCTATACCTAGAAAACCCCATACTTTTGGCCCCAAAGCTCCTTGATCTGATGCACAACCTCAGCAAAGTTTCAGGATACAAAAACCAATGTCCAAAAATCAGTAGCATTCCTATACATCAACAATATCCAAGCTGAGAGCCAAATCAAGAATGCAGTCTCATTCACAATTCTATTCTCAAAAGAATAGAACACCTGGGAATACACCTAACTGGGGAGGTGAACGATCTCTACAATGGGAATTACAAAACGCTGCTCAAAGAAACCAGAGATGACACAGAAAAATGGAAAAACATTCCATGCTCCTAGATAGGAAAAATAAATATTGTGAAAATGGTCATACTACCCAAAGCAATTTACAGATTTAATGCTATTCTTATCAAACTACCAACAACATTCTTCACAGAATTAAAAAAAACTATTTAAAAATTTTAAAAACTATTTAAAATTTTTTTTACATTTTATATTATATTTTTATTTTTATTATACTTTAAGTTCTGGGATACATGTGCAGAGCATGTTTGCTACATAGATATACGTGTGCCGTGGTGGTTTGCTGCACCTATTGACTGATCCTGTAAGTTCCCTCCCCTCGCCCCCTACCCCAAACTGGCCCTGGTGTGTGTTGTTCACCTCTCTATGTCTGTGTGTTCTCATTGTTCAACTCCCACTTATGAGTGAGAACATGTGGTGTTTGGTTTTCTGTTCCTGTGTTAGTTTGCTGAGGATGATGGTTTCCAGCTTCATCCATGTCCCTGCAAAGAACATGGTATCATTCCTTTTTATGCCTGCATGGTATTCCATGCTGTCTATGTACCACTTTTCTTTATCCAGTCTATCATTGATGGGCATTTGGGTTGGTTCCATGACTTTGCTGTTGTGAATAGTGCTGCAGTAAACATATGTGTACATGTGTCTTTATAGTAGAATGATTTATATTCCTTTGGGTATATACCCAATAATGGGACTGATGGGTCAAATGGTATTTCTGGTTCTAGATCATTGAGGAATTGCCATACTGTCTTCCACAATGGTTGAACTAATTTACACTCCCACCAAAAGTGTAAAAACGTTACTATTTCTCCACAGCCTCACCAGCATCTATTGTTTCTTGACTTTTTAATAATCGCCATTCTGACTGGCATGAGATGGCATCTCATTGTGGTTTTGATTTGCATTTCTCTAATGATCATTGATGTCAAGCTTTTTTCATATGTTTGTTGGCCAAGTAAATGTCTTATTTTGAGAAGTGTCTGTTCATATCCTTTGCCCACTTTTTGATGGGGTTGTTTGCTTTCTTCTTGTAAACTTTTTTAAGTTCCTTGTAAATTCTGGATATTAGACGTTTGTCAGATGGACAGATTGCAAAAATTTTCTCCCATTCTGTAGGTTGCTTGTTCACTCTGATGATAGTTTCTTTTGCTGTGCAGAAGCTCTTTAGTTTAATTAGATCCCATTTGTCAATTTTGACTTTTGTTGCAATTGTTTTTGGCATTTTCATGAAGAAGTCTTTGCCTATGCCTATGTCCTGAATAGTACTGCCTAGGTTTTCTTCTAGTGTTTTTATGGTTTTGGGTTTTACATTTAAGCCTTTAATCCATCTCAAGTTAATTTTTGTATAAGGTGTAAGGAAAGGGTCCAGCTTCAGATTTCTGCATATGGCTAGCCAGTTTTCCCAGCACCTTTTACTTGCATAGGAGATCCTTTCCCCATTGCTTGTTTTTTGTCAGGTTTTTCAAAGATCAGTTGGTTGTAGACATGTGGTGTTATTTCTGAATTCTCTGTTCTGTTCCATTGAGCTATATGTCTATTTTCACACCAGTACCATGCTGTTTTGGTCACTGTAGCCTTGCAGGATAGTTTGAAGTCAGGTAGGGTCATGCCTCCAGCTTTATTTTTGCTCAGTATTCTCTTGGCTTGTCTTCTTTGATTCCATATGCAATTTAAAGTATGTTTTTCTAATTCTGTGAAGAATGTCAGTGGTAGTTTGATGGGAATAGCATTGAATCTATAAATTACTTTGGGCATTGTGGCCATTTTCACAATATTGATTCCTGCTATCCATGAGGATGAAATGTTTTTCCATTTGTTTGTATCCTCTCTTATTTCCTTGAGCAGTGGTTTGTAGTCCTCCTTGAAGAGGTCCTTCACATCCCTTGTTAGCTGTATTTCTAAGTATTTTATTCTCTTTGTAGCAATTGTGAATGGGAGTTCATTCATAATTTGTCACTCTACTTGTCTATTGTTGGTGTAAAGGAATGCTTGTGCTTTTTGCACATTGACTGTGTACCCTGAGACCTTGCTGAAGTTGCTTACAGTTTAAGGAGTTTGGGGGCTGAGATGACGGGGTTTTCTAAATATAGAATCATGTTGTCTGCAAACAGAGACAGTTTGACTTCCTCTCTTCCTATTTTAATATCCTTTCTTTCTTTCTCTTGCTTGATTTCTCCGATCAGAACTTCCAACACTATGTTGAATAGGAATAGTGAGAGAGGGCATCTTTTTCTTGTGCCAGTTTTCAAAGGGAATGCCTCCAGCTTTTGACTATTCAATATGATATTGGCTGTGGGTTTCTCAAAAATAGTTCTTATTATTTTGAGATATGTTCCATCAATACCTAGTTTATTGAGAGTTTTTTTTAACATGAAGCGATGTTGAATTTTATCGAAGGCCTTTTCTACATCTATTGTGATAATCATGTGGTTTTTGTCTTTGGTTCTGTTTATGTGATAGATTAAGTGTATTGATTTGGGTATGTTTAACCAGCCTTGCCTCCCAGGAATAAGGCTGACTTTATCGTGGTGGATAAGTTTTTGATCTACTGCTGGATTCAGTTTGCCAGTACTTTATTGAGGATTTTCAGAGACACGAAAAACCCTCCAAAAATTGATGAGTCCAGGAGCTGGTGTTTTGAAAAAATTAAACAAAATAGACCACTAGCTAGACTAATAAAGAAGGATCAAATAGACACAATAAAAATGAGAAAGGGAATATCACCGCTGATGCCACAGAAATACAAACTACTATTAGAGAATACTATAAACACCTCTACACAAATAAACTAGAAAATTTAGAAGAAGATAAATTTCTGGATATATACACCCTCCCAAGACTAAATGAGGAAGAGGTCTAATCCCTGAATAGACTAATAACAAGTTCTGAAATTGAGGCAGTAATTAATAGCCTACCAACCAAAGAAAGCCCAGGAGAAGACGGATTCACAGCTGAATTCTATGAGAAGTACAAAGAGGAGCTGGTAACATTCCTTCTGAAACTATTCCAAACAATTGGAAAGGAGGAAATCCTCCCTAACTCATTTTATGAAGTCAGCATCATCCTGATACCAAAACCTGGCAGACACTCAACAAAAAAAGAAAACTTTAGGCCAGTATATCTGATGAACATTGATGCAAAAAAAAATTTCAAATAGCCAAGAGAATTCCGAGCAAAAAGAACAAAGCTGTAGGCATCAGGTTACCTAACTTCAAACTGGACTACAAGGCTATGGTAACCAAAACAGCATGTACAAAAACAGACTTACAGACCTATGGAACAGCGAGCCCAGAAATAATGCTGCACACCTACACCATGTGATCTTCAACTAAGTTGACTAAAACAAGCAATGGGGAAAGAGCTTTCTCTTCAGTCAATGGTGCTAGGATGACTGGCTAGCCATATGCAGAGGATTGAAACTGGACCCCTTCTTTACATCATGTACAAAAATCAACTCAAGATGGATTAGACTTAAATGTAAAGGATAAAACTTTGAAAACACTGAAAAATAACCTAGAAAATACCATTCTAGACCTAGGACCTGGCAAAGATTTCATGACAAAGGCTCCAAAAGCAATTGCAACAAAAATAATTGACAAATGGTATCTGGTTAAACAAAAGAGTTTCTGTACAGCAAAAGAAACTATCAATAGAGTAAACAGACAACCTACAGAATGGGAGAA
The DNA here is from genome assembly GCF_000001405.40 of Homo sapiens. Classification (NCBI taxonomy): domain Eukaryota; kingdom Metazoa; phylum Chordata; class Mammalia; order Primates; family Hominidae; genus Homo; species Homo sapiens. The sequence goes on along the minus strand of NC_000013.11, from coordinate 47,294,301 downwards.
AACATTTGCAAACTATGCATCTGACAAAGGTCTAATATCCAGAATCCATAAAAACTTAAATCAACACGCAAAAAACAACCCCGCTAAAAAGTGGGCAAAGGACACGAACAGACACTTTACAAAAGAAGACATACATACATGTGGGCAAAAAGCATATGAAACAATACTTAACATCACAAATCATTAGAGAAATGCAAATCAAACCACAATGAGATACTGTCTCACACCAGTCAGAATGGCTAGTATTAAAACAGAAAAATAACAGATACTGGCAAGATTGCAAAGAAAAAGGTACACTTATACATTGCTGGTGGGAATATAAATTATTCCAGCCATTGTGGAAGGCAGTTTGGTGATTTTTCAAAGAACTTAAAGTGGAATTACCAATTGACCCAGCAATCCCATTATTGGGTATATACCCAAAGGGATAGGAATTGTTCTACTGTAAAGATGCATGCATGCATATGTTCATCACAGCACTCTTCACAATAGCAAAGACATAGAATAAACATAAATGCCATAAGCAGTAGACTGGATAAAGAAAATGTGGTACATATACACTATGGAATACTATGCAGCCATAGCAAGAATGAGATCATGTCCTTTGCAGCAACATAGATGGAGCTGGAGGTCATTATCCTAAGCAAATTGGCATAAGAACAGAAAAACAAATATCACACATTCTCTTATTAAGTGGGAGCTAAACACTGAGTACACATAGACACAAAGAATGGAACAACAGACCCCAGGACCTACTTGAGGGTGGAAGAGGGTGAGGATCAAAAAATTACCTATCAAATACTATGCTTATTACCTGGGTGGCAAAATAATCTGTACACCAGATCCCAGTGACACACAATTTACCTATTAATAAACCTTAACCTGTACTCCTGAACCTAAAATAAAAGTTTAAGAAAGAATTATATGAACAGAGATTACTTAAGATAGTGGGGAAATGCTAATAATGATGAAAATAAGAAGAAAGCTGTTTTTCTTTACAATACCAAGGGTGACCAACCAGTAGTGGACAATAGGAGAGAGATGAGAATCTGTTCTGGCCATTGGGTATTTAGAGGCAAGATACTTTCCTGGTGTCTCTCTCTTCCAGTTGTGATGGTGATGATTGCATTGCCTAACATCTCTTGTTGAAAGTAAAATAAAGCCAAACTAACTTAAGTGGAAAATGAAACTTTTGGAAGTACATATGGCATCCCAACTAGGCTTCCAGACGGGAATTGCTGCCTGGAGTACTGTGGAAAACAAGGAAATTCTCTAAACCCATTCTCAGCCCTGCTCCTTACTACATATCTGCTTCAATCCTCATGCATGAATCCTCCTGTCTGTTTCCCAGTCTCAGTGGCATAAAGTGGCTTCTGTTCACGGATCTAAAGTTTTATGTGTTAGTTCTAGTTACCCTGAAGGAGGTTAAACTCAATCTCAATCTCTCCCTCTCCTGCTCCCTCTCCCTCTCATTCTCCCTCTCCCTCCTTCCTTCTGTCTCCTTTCCTTTGCTCCACAGTTACTGCATTTACCAAGGAAGGGACCAAGTGACCAAACTTGTCCAAACAGGTCTTGATATATCTTAAATCTTTCAAGGTAAAGTAACTATTTCCTAAAATAAAATAAAATAAATTTTAGGAAATAGCTACTTAAAAATATCTGAATTATACACTCTTTATCAATTTGTGCCCTCATTTTACACATTAATGTCCTCCAAGTACCCTGTAGTGTTCCTACAGTGTAGCTGGCATTTCAAGATACTGGGAGAAGCAATTTGGAATCTGTTAGTGGGAATTATCTTAGAAAGAGCCAGAAGAAACTTTTTAGAGGACAGTATTGTTACTTATATCTTTGGAAGCATCAATATGACTTTTTGGCAGGAGTTTCTCTGCCTTAAGAGCACGTTACTGCTATCCTTAGAGGTGGTGGATGAGTTAAGCTCCTTTTGACAATTGCTTTACTTTCGTAATAACAAAATGTTATTTAATACTAACTAAGTTGACTTGTTTCTTATATATGTATTGCAGGTAACTTCTTACCACAACGACGTTCTCTTAATTTAAAATGAAATTTTGAAATTAAATACTCTTCTCTTGTAAAAGGATAAGGAATAACCCCAATTTCAAAACAGAGTGAGTGACTGAATTTTCATCGTGACTTCATCTAGGCTTTTTAAAATGAGCATAGCATTAAAAATGAAAGAAAAAATCTGCCCTGCAGACTCGATACCCATAATTTAAATTGTGTTTATAAGTATTTTCTTCAGGGAAAAATCTTACCCCCCAAACTGCTAAATATTATTAGTGGTAAGTACATATTACACATCTTAACATTTCTTGGAGTGTGGTGGTCTTTTTTTTTTTTGAGATGGAGTCTTGCTCTGTCCCCCAGGCTTGCATGATCTCGGCTCACTGCAACCTCTGCCTCCCAAGTTCAAGCGATTCTCCTCCCTCAGCCTCCTGAGTAACTGGGATTACAGGTGCACACTACCACACCTGGCTAATTTTTGTATTTTTAGTACAGACAGGATTTTACCATGTTGGTCAGGCTGGTCTCAAACTCCTGACCTCGTGATCTGCCTGCTTTGGCCTCCCAAAATGCTGGGATTACAGGTGTGAGCCACCATACCCAGCCAGTGTTCTATTTTTAAATTAGGGGGAAAAAAAAAAAGCTAGGGAATAAAGTTGCTGACTTGTATTTCCTCTGTTTTGCCTGAAAACGGTAGGAACTCTAACACAAGGATTAGTGTTCAAGTTCCTTGCTGAAGGCTGGCTGTCATTTTCCCAATGACAGTTCCCAGTTCAGTGTTAATTCACAGGCTCCAGCATGTCTGCTTGCCTCTGAGCTGAGTGTCAGAGCACTTGCACCCTGAGCTGAAGGTGACCAAATGTATATTAGAAGGAGGCACTGTAGTGTTTTAACTAATTCCGACTCAAGTAATGACTTACTGCTTGACAAGGAGATTCTTGAAATATTTCCTCTTTGATCTATTTACTGATACTGTTGTATGTGGTTTTTCCCTAAGCACTTTGCTGACTTAATAGGAGGATGTCAAGTTTGTACTGATGTCATTCCCACCTGTGATAACTGTACTTAGGAAGAAAATAGACAAAACAAGGCAGGTGGAAGAAAATCTGTGTAAATTTTAGGCTGAGGAGTCTGCATTAGGGTCTGTTCCAAGCTGACATATTGGGAACTGAGTTTAGTTGATTAAATAGATCTTGAAAGTCATATTTCATTCCAAAGGTGCATGTACCCCATTCACAGTTCAAAGGTGCATGTACCCCATTCACAGTTCATTGTGTAACTTGTCTCATAAAAAAATGACTTAAATTTATACTCAAACCCAAATAGCATCTCCATTTTTCAAGTAAGGGAGCTCTAACAGAGGCTGATATCAGCGCTATACGGAGCAGGAAAGCCAAGGTCAGCAATTAATATGTTCTTATGTTCATTGGGTATCTAACATTTTACCGTGAGCTCTGTGGCTTTTATACGAAGAGAAAAGGCTATTTATGCCTTGCAAACATATGAAGAGCTGTTCCTCTTATACTTCACATGCAATAGTAGGACCACAGCATCAGTAGACACACCAAATGTCATCTGATTTAGATGCATTTGATTGAGAAAGATTTAGCTCAAACAAAAGTTAGATGTCTTAGTTGGTGTTCTACAATTTTTTTGACTTATTAGAACCTCTTTTTAAACTAAATATTAATTCTTCTGAACATTGGAATTTTATTTTTAGTTACCTCTTTCATTTTTAAAATGACATATTCATCCTCCAAAATTTATATTTCACATGCATGTATTAAGTGCATGAGGCTGAATAAACAGTCTTTGCTTTCAAGAGGTTTGCAGACAAAAATATGAGTTGAATGCAATAAATTTCCATTTTAGAAATCACAACAGCATCTACATATAGTGTAAAATACAAGTTATAGATGTGTGAGGTTTTTTAATCTGTCTAAAAAAGGTGATTGACGTATATACTGTTGGCAGATCTCTGCATGAACTTGCCCCCACACTTCTACTTCTACCCAAATTCTGTAGCCAAGTGATAGAGAACCACTGGCCTAAGCTTCCTCCTTTCTCCCAGGAAGGGCACCTCAACCTCCTTTTCAGAGACAATATAGAAGGGTGTTTGTAAAGGCATACTTTAGACCCAACTTCTGGCTCTATTATGACCAGCTATGTAATCTTGGGCAAGTTACTTAACATCTCTGTGCCTCTATTTATTTCTTTAAAGTAGAGATAATAATAATATCTATGCCATAGGGTTGTTGTGAGAATTAAACAAGTTAATACATATACAACACTTAGAAATGATGATTATTAATTATTACTATTGTTATTGCCATTTTTATTACTACTACTACTATTCAGTGCTGTCAAAGTAGGTACTGCATACTGCCTAGTTTGAGTCCAGCACTGACTCTGAAGCACAGCCTAGCAGTCAATCATGCGTGAGGGTGTGGCAAGATTAGCTGAAGCTGATTAAAACTTCCATTTAGAAAGCATTCCATACTTTGGTTCCTTTGACATGGTATGGATGACTCAGGCCTGTTCATTGTTTGCTGAGTGGATCCACTCATTCTTGTTTAGTGCTTTATTGATCAGGACTGTGTGTAGGCACTCTGCTCAGGAGCCCTTCCTGGAGGGTGTCTAGTATTGATGTCTGATTGCCAAGGAGACTCTGTGGGCTATTTCTTTTCTTTGTAGGAGCTGCTTAATAGCATCAGGCCATTGATCCATTTACTGTATTTGGCCCCCTGGCAATGGCTAATGCTAGGAAGCCCATGTAATGAAGTATTCTGCTTAGAGGGTTAGAAGAAAATAATATATTTTCCTTGACTGAGGGAGGCACGGAGCAGGGGGAAGCTTTTAGACATCTCTTTGCCACATTTATAGTAAGGTCTACAAGTTGCCACATTTATAGTAAGGTCTATACGTGTGTCATAACGTATCATTTACATTTCCTTTAGCTTTAAGTACGGTGCCCCTAAATACGTTCTTTTCTTTTTTTTTATTTTATTATTATTGTACTTTAAGTTTTATGGTACATGTGCACAATGTGCAGGTTTGTTACATATGTATACATGCGCTGTGTTGGTGTGCTGCACCCTCTTATCTTTTTAGAGAATTTTAAGTGCATCCTCAGAGGATTGTATCGAAGGTAATGAGAAAATGTGCTTCATTTTTGCTAAGCTGAGAGCAATAGAAAAGAACTTTATTTTAGATCAGAGATAAGAATACTTTTTGGCCCGTAGGTAGAAATGTCACTCAAAGAAGATGCAGGGTCTCCTTTCTGACACCATTATTTGTAGGGAAAAGATTTTCTATTATTATTTTAAGTTAAAATGTGGGGTAATGTAGAAAGCATGGCTTTTGCTTTCGGTAACGTTAAGTTCAAATGATAGCTGTAGCACTCACTGCCTTGTGGCCTTGAATACGTTGCATAAAATGTCTGGCTTGTCTATATCAACAGGATAATATGCGCTACCCCCATTGGCTGGTGTGAGAAGTAAATGAAATAAACGTAAAACAAGTGAAGCATAGTGGCCACAGGCATCCCATGAATGCTAGTTTCTGTCTGTCTGAAAAGTCTTGGTTGTCACACAGGCAGGAACATTAGTCTCTAGTCTGAGTCCTCAAATAAAACATGTGATGAGGCCTCCTTTCAGCCTCAGATTTGAGGGGTGTCTACTCCTTTGGAGGACACCACACTAGGAAGACTATTGCTTGGCAGATGGTTCTGCAATAAGAAAGGCTTACTCATGGGCAAATGAATGGACTCTCTTCATCCCTTGATTTTCCATCTCTTCTTAAGGTCTTTAAAAACACTGCTATATAAGTAAATGTAAGTGATAAGACAAGAGAAGGAAAGTGTGGAAAAAACATAATTCTATAGCAAATCTTTACATTAATTTTCATAAATATTCTCTGCTGTTTCCTGCGGGAGGTTTATTTCCTGCCTCTGATGGTAGGCATCACTGTGTGCCTTCCCCTGGGCAAGGGACCTGTGAGAAAAGTGCCATATGTCGTTTCTAGGAAGAAGCTGTAAGAGCAGACTAATCTCATCTTCAGTTCTCCTCCATGAGACCCATAATGTTTCAGATCCTAGCTGCCCAGCAGCTTGGGTTACAGGAAGGATTACCTGGAACAGTGCCACAGCCAACATGGTGGAGATGTAGCATGAATGAGAAATGAAGCTCTGTTTTGGGGAGCCACTGGGATGTTGAGGTTGTTTGCCACTATAGCATATGCCCATTCCTATCCTCTGTGATGCATTACTATCCCTGAAGTCCCAAAGCCAGATTTGTCCTGTGCTCTGCTACTTGGGTCAACTTGCATGGCCAAGTACTTCTTAAACCCTGCCTATTTTGAAGGTCCAGACCCCACCTTCTACAATTGGAGAGAGTATTGGGTTTCCAACACCAAACACATTTTTATTGTATTTTTATTTTAAAACTAAATCTCTAAATGAACTATGTGATAAGCTCTTCACCCATCCATAAATGCACACAATATAAGATCTACTTGAAGGATGCTGGCTGTTGATATTGAATCACTTCAATCCTGTGGTCCCTCTGGCATCCTGGGGGGTTTGCATATTATTTGAATGTCACACTGGGCTGGAATGTTATTTGACCTAAAGTTTGTTCTTTCACTCTGCCTCTAACTCACTATGGGGAACTTCTCTGTAGACCTCGGTTTCATCTTACATAAAAGGAGTATTATAATTATTCCTACAAGTAGGCACAGAGTTGTTTTGCAGAGCAAATAGATTAATGTACATAGAAAGACACTGGTGAACTGTAAAGCATTACACAAACACTGATTCCAATTTCTCTGGCATTTAGCTTCCTGAGTCATGGCTCCTTTATGTTTGCCAGCACACAAACCAATTTCCCCTAATCAAGAGCACCTCAGCAAGCATAGTGTGGTAAAAGGTGTTCTGCCAGCAGGCCTTTGTGGTGATGAGAAGATAGCCACAACCATCATCTATCAAGAAGCCCCCTGGTGTGAGCCTTCAGCTCACAATGTCAGAAAAGTAGAAAAGAAGATACTTGCAACTGTACTCTTCCACATTAGCAACTCTTTCCCTTTAAACATACACACATACACACAAACATATCTACCTGTAGACACATGTGCAAACCTATGCATACTGGCATACACAAACATGTGCACACATACATGTACATATGCACGTATTCACTCATACACACACATATGCACACAAATACACAAGGCTGCCAGGTTATCAGCGATGGCAAAGGGTGATTCACAGTTCTGACTTTTTATTAGTCTGGTAAGAGTTGGGAATAGGGAAAGTTTGTTTGGGTAATTTTCTCACCATTACAAACTAAGGAAGTTAAAGCTAGACGTGATTGTGATAGTGACTCTGCAATGGTGAATTTGAGGACTTGATCTGACCACATTTTACCCTTCCTTTATTCAGTGGTTTTGGAAACAAATTCAGAGCCCTTGTGTTTGAGAACCACTTCAAACTCATATGGGCAATCTGGAAATCCCTGGTTTTGCAGTGTTTGAGGAGCACGCCAGTGTGCTTGGAAGACAGAAAGATTTAGATAAAAGGAAGCTGTACATACTTTCCCCTGATCAATGTTATCATGAGTTAGAACCAAGGAACTACCAGTTCTTTCTGCTTGTGCAAACAAGCAAACTGCATATAAATCCATGTCTCATGGTTGGAAATGTCTTTTTCCTCTAATCTTACAAACGGCTACTTGTAATTATCCAAGAATCATAATTCCAGGCAAGCCACAGTTGAATTAGGCTTTATAGTTGGCAGTAATCAGAAATGTGACAATTTCTTCCTCTTCAATACTTTGTCTCTATGACACACACACACACACACACAAACACACACATACATATATATATATACACACACACACATATACACACACATGTATGTATGTAAGTATGTATACACATACACTCTCTTCTGGATAAAACCAGGGTAATTTCCCATAGAGCCCAACTGGCTTTTTGATGGATGGTGTCTGTACCAACATGATCTATTTGTGCTTTCAGGTCAGGGCAGTTGAGGTGGGCAGGTTGAAGCAAGGTCTTTCCCAAACTGAAAACCTGGGTGGAAGGTTAGACGTCATTTGGATTTGCTGTTCACTTTTGGACATGAAACAATCCCATGCACAAGTAAATCATTTAGTGACTGTTTAATTTTATTGATCCTCATATTTTTCTACTGAGACATAAAATGGAATTTTTTTTAACATATGTAAGCCTCTCTCATAATTTATTCAGCCCTTGTAAGCATTTAATCTAGTCATTATATCTTCTTCCTGGGGACTTTTGGAAACTTTTAGCATAAAGCCTCTATGAGCACCAAAAAATATCTTGAAATATCTGGGATCTCATGACTCCTTTGTACCAGAGTTACTAGCTTGGGTTGGGTTCTCTCCCTTTCTTTGGTATTAATATATCTGATAAATGCCAAAACTATATAGGTCAATGTTCTCAACCACAAGAAAGGTAAATATTAAATACTTTAAGATAAAAGGGAATCCTTTTTATAATCATATAACCCTTTTCAGTAGATACATGCTGGGTTTGAGGGGTCTTGAATTGTGAAACAAATAGGAATGGGAAATTGACGAAGCTAATTTTACTTTAGAACTCTATTCCTTAAGCATGAGGCCCCAAAATAACCCAATTTTAATTGCCTGTTGTAAGTTTTCTTCAACAATTATAACTGTTGTGTTTTTACTAGTAGAAATGCTCATTTTCGTTTGGACGGTTTTGTTTGTGTGGTGTATTTGAGAAACAAAAAATATAGAAAAGTATCAAGCATAGTATATCAGAGACACACGTAATTAACATCCCTACATGTACAATTTTTAGTAACTTAATGTATGTTCCTTAATGCTGTAAATGAATAAAATGAATTAAAGTGCACTTTCTTTCCCACACCTTTCTTCACAGAAAAGTATCTGCTATGGTAACTCTGGTGTGCATCTTTCCAAGTTCATTGTTATGTAGTTTTACATTCATATGGATATCTAACAAGAAACATAGTGATTTTTAGAGTATCAAAAATATTACATAAATGTTCAACTGTGTATCTCTCTCTCTGAAATCTGATTTTTTTAATTCGAAGTGATATTTTTCAGATCTGGGCATTTTGGTAAGATATATGCATATCTCAGTCTCTTCAACAGTTTCATCATTTCTGTAGTGTGAATATACCATATTTTATGTATCTATTCTCCCAAGTACAGTAGTTTTTAGGATAATTTTCCCAATTAATTATTCATTATTGTGAGTAATGCTGCATTGAATACCCTTTTGTATTTCTCCTGTGCACATGGGTAAAATTTCCTTCAGGGGATGTGTCCAAAGGTGGAATTGGTGGATGGTACGGTTCACACATTTTCAACTTTAATAGATGCTGCTAATTTGCTGTCACTAATGTTATACCAGATTTACTCCCACCAACACTATATGCTAGTTGTGTTTTTCCCATGGTTGCTAGTGAATAGCAGTATAAGCATTTTAAAAATTCATTTCAAATTAATGGGTATAAGGTATCAAAATGTCATTTTAATGTGTAGCTTCTTGATTACAAATGAAGCTGAGTATCTTTTCAGATGTTTATTAGCCATTCTGCCTCCCTATTCTGTGACTTGCATGCCCATTTTCTTATAAGTAAAATATGTCATATTTTATAGTAACACATTTAATAGAAAAACTTCATGACATTATATTAGTCCATGGACATCTCAGTGAAAATGGAACGTCAGATTTCTGGGAAATTGGATATTTTTATAAGCTCCTTGTTCCCTTTTAGTAAATAAAAGGCAGGGCAGAATCTCATTAAATGTAAAGGAGAACTTCCTTAGTTATCTATTTATCTAGTCTTCCATTGTGCTCTTTGCTGAGTACTCACCTGTGGTCCCAGGAGGTTAATATTCTCTATTTTATGTTTCTTAGTATAATATTTTGAGAATTTATAGTACTCATACCATCAGAATTATTTTCTAAGGTTCATTCTCAAACACTGTGATTTAAAATGTTTCTTTTAATTTCAATGAATTAACTAATAGTGTTTAAAATTTTTATTTCCTTCTAATCTGCATTCTTTGGTGATTTTTATACAGTTCAATAACTTTAAATATAATTTATATGTTGAAGACTCCCAAATTTATAATCTTACTGTTGGCCTCTCCCCTAAATGCTATGCTCATACACCCAATTACCTTCTTGGCATACGGATGCCTCATAGGAAGCTCAAACAACACATTTAAGAACTCTTAAATATTTCTCTTCCTACCTGCACTTCCCTACTCGTACCATCTCACTAAATGGCACCATAATTCACTTTGTGCTGAGATCAAAAATTGCAAATGATATTCTCCTCTGCCCTGTCACAGTACACATCCACTCTACTGGCCAGTCCTATGCTTTACCTTCACAACACAGTCTGGATTCATTTACCTTTCAACTCTGTCATTGTCATCCAAGTCCAAGCAGACTTCATCTTCTAACTTCCCCTTCTTGCTACCTTCTATTCAATCCACACAGCAGCCAGAATGATCTTTTAAAATATGTATAAACAATAGAAATTTTCAAAAAAGACATACATGTAGCCAAGAAGCATATAAAAAATGCTCAACATCACTAATCATTAGAGAAATGCAAATCAAAACGACAATGAGATGCCATCTCACACCAATCAGAATTGCTATTATCAAAAAGTCAAAAAAAATAACAGATGCTGGTGAGGCTGGGGAGAAAAGGAAATGCTTATACACTGCTAGTGGGAATGTAAATTAGTTCAGCTATTGTGGAAGGCAGTTTGGTGATTTCTCAAAAAGAAATCAGAACTATCACTTTACCCAGCAATCCCATTATTGGGTATATACCCACAGAAGTAGATATCATTCTACCAAAAAGACACACGCACTCCTATGTTCATCACAGCACTCTTCACAATAGCAAAGACATAGAATCAACCTGAATGCCCATCAGCGGTAGACTGGATGAAGAAAATGTGGGACATACACACCATGGAATACTACACAACCATAAACAACAATGAGATCATGTCCCTGCAGCAACATGAATGACGCCGGAGACCACTATCCTAAGCAAACTAACACGGGAACAGAAAACCAAATACCATATGTTCTCACTTATAAGTGGGAGCTAAACATTGAGAACATATTGACACAAACAAGGGAACAACAGAGAGTGGGGCCTACTTGTAGATGGAGGGTGGGAGGAGGGTGAGGACTGAAAAACTACCTATCAGGTACTATGCTTATCACCTGGGTGATGAAATCATCTGTACATCAAATCCCCATGACACACAATTTACCTGTATAACAAACCTGCACATGTACCCTGAGCCTAAAAGTTTTAAAAATAAACAAAAATAAAAATGGTATTTTCATAATTGGATGAGGAAGTTCAAGATTATGGTTCCAGCAAGTTTGGTGTCTGGTGAGGGCGTCTTCACGTGGTATTCTCACATGGCAGAAAAGACTGAAGAAGTTAAAGCCTCCTTAAGCCCTTTGGTAAGGGCACTAGTTCAATTTGTGAGGGCTGAGCCCTCTCTACCTAATCACCTTCCAAAGGCTCCACCTCTTAATACCTTCACCTTAAGGATTAAGTCCTAATATATTAATTTTAGAGGGACACATATATTCAAACCACAGCAGTAGCAAATAAGAATCAGGCTGTAAAACTGGGAACCATAAAGCAGTGTTTCTAAGTGATTCATCCAAACACCTGCACACGAATTACATGACTGGTTGTTTACAATGGAACCTTTTGGTTCTCATGCAGGAGCTCCCAGCTCAATATTTCTGGGAGTCAGCCATCTAATCTTGTTTTTTTATCAGTCTCTTTGGTGGTTCTTGTCTACACTGATCAATCACATAATTCAGGCTAAATAATAAATGTGTATCTTTAGTTCCAAGAACAAAGAGAAGCAAAATTGGGAAAATGTCATCATAGCAGAGTCTTATTCTGGAGAGAACCAGAGCCTGTGTCTTCATAGCTCTGTTTGTGTTTGTCACCACTCACAAGCAGAGAGCACACTGAGGTTGGGGAGCTGGGAAGAGTGAGCAGGGACTTTTCTTGGTGAGATGACAATGATGCGGAGGAGGCAAAATGGGAAGTAGGTGTCTTAAGAAATTAATTGAGAGTGTTGAAAAGGAACTTAATGTTTTCTTTTGGATAATTTTAAAAGCAGGTAGTTAAAGATGAGGGTGTAACTTTTTTTGAGGTAAAATAGGCTTGAGCTAACTACGCTGTAGCAAGCACATGGGAACTCCAATGAACATTTATTTTTAATTACTTAAGGGAATGTAAATGTTCTCTTTAAGTCAGCATAAAGAAGATTAAAATTAAATTTAGCAGTATTTAATAAGAACAGTGGAAAATTAATAAAAAATTATTAGACTATACCTAGTCTACATTTTTAACTCCTGTTTTAATTCATGTGTCTCTTTAAATGTGTGATGAAATATCTATTTTGAGGATGTGATTGTGTTTTTATTTTAATATCTAACAGTTACAAGCAATAACCCCCAAACACGATTTACAAAAAGGATAAGGTGAGCAAACCATATGTTTCTAGCTATATACCAGCCTAAGTAAGATCCATATTAGAAGAGACTTAGAAGAACCAGATATAAAAGTAATAATTAATTATAGAGAAGAGGGCCAATAACGGGAAAGTAGTTCACTCACCATAAGGTCAAGGAACAAAGAAAAGGCTCTATTTGACATTAATTCCCAAAGAATTTTTAGAGTTAAATCATAGAAATTAAGAAATTTTTCTGTCATGAATCTTTCAACAAATAGATGAATTAGATGCCTTAAATTAGTGTTAGACCCTCTAACGATAAACCATAAACAGCTACCATAACGGGATTGGTCACAACCCCCGAGTTTAGGTTATTAAAGCCTCAAATTGGAAAACTGACCAGCTACTATCAAACGGCAGCATTTTGGTCAAAAAGATCTTGATAGAGGACCATATTAAAATAAGAGAAGCAACCAGGGAGGAATTAGATGTCATATATCCAAACACTCAATAAACACAAAATGCAAAATCAAATGGTAATCAGAAATGCAAAGATGAGAACATAGAAGAAGCTCACTTAAAATTTGTGCTTGAAAATGGCAAATTGAATTTATAGGCTGTTATTGCTTGAAAGATCAGCAATGATCTGAATACACACTTTCCTCCATCCTCTTATAAATCACAGCAAATGTACACATTTTTCTAACTACTAGTGAAAACTACAGAAATCCTTTCAGTTGTCAACTAAAATCTAAGAAAAGACAAATCACCAACCATTTTGATGTTTCCCACATTTCTGGGCCAAAAATGAAAAACCTATTTCTTATAAAATGTTTATTTCACTTTTTGTGGTTGCAGCAGGAGATAGAGATAGGGTTATCAACTCAGGTAGGCCAGATGGCTAGATAATAAATTCTTATCCGCAATCTCTTTATAAGTTGTGTAAATGTAGGCAAGACAGTCTTCTGTGGTCTGACTCTTCCAATCTTGATGGTTTTTCCTTTCTATCCCACAAGAATTATGCTAACATATGATCATGTAATTAGCCATTTTTGAAAAGTTAAAAACATTGTATAAATGGCATGCTTTACAAAGCATTTGTATGAACAAACAGAAACTAAGAAGTTAGAAAATTGGAAATTTCTGCCCCAGGCTGAGCTATAAGAAAACCTACCTACCCAGAACCCATTGACCATGCAACAGAGGGCTGCCCACAGGTGCCCTGCAGAGAGGTTTTTTAAACTGCATCAGAACTCTTTTCAATGGCTTAGTTCGGTCCTCCACTTCTGGGAAGGGGGAAAAAAAAAGATTATTGATGTTCAGACAGGGAGAACAATGGTATTAGGTTAATCCTCAGTGCTGATGTGTGGATGGCCCTGGGTAAGGAATGAAAATCTACCTTCATAATAATCTTAATTTCCTGTGAATCGTAGGAAACAAAGACTTGTAGGAAATGAGTAGGGCCATTTGAACAATGATGGCCTTTGTTTTTCATAAGCAGCAAAAAATAAGACTAGAGAGAAATCAGTAGGTGGACAGAATATTCAGTGTCCACATTAATCTCTAGGTTATGGGAGAAAAAGAATGAGAGTTTCTCTGAAATATCAGGCACATGTTGTATGCACAAAAGCTCCATTAAGTCAAAGTGAAGGATTTAACAATAAGCTCTGTCATGATGCCTAGCCAGGGCCCTGGATAACAGACAGCCAGCACCTTCCACAAATGGCAGGCTATTCTAACTCAGCAAATAGAGCAGAAGACTTGAGACAAAATTAATGAGTGTTAAAGTGCTTCTTTATAAGAGCTCTTAGTTCTCATTTGGCCCTATGTGAAGGTTCTGCTGTAAGGCAGACTTTAATGGAGATAGAACAGCCAACCAATCCAATTACCAAACATTAGAAAAGTCAAAATAATGAAGATGGCTAGTTTGAGTAAGTGGAGGAAGAATGAAGAACATGGTTCTACAACCTGGAAAGGAAGAAGCAGACACCCAATTCTAAAAGAGACAGTCCAGGAAGGGGAGCTAGTTTTCCAGATCACCAATGACATCTTTCTCTTCTTGGACTCTTGGTGATGACCAGATAGACCTTCAGGTCAAGAACTGCTTACACTACTGTGGTTGGATGTCAGTACACTTCTCTTTAATTCCTGGTGGTGACTTTTGGAGCCCTTGGCTCCCAGGATGCCATTCCTTGAAGTGGCTGGTTTTATTCTCATCCTCTTTCACTATCATTTCTCTGTTTCAAACTGTCATGTCAGTGAAGTCGAACAAAAGCAATTCCTCTTCCCTAGGCTCCAGATCAAATTGCCAGAGGGAAAAAGCCAGGACAGGCCGGGCGTGGTGGCTCACGCCTGTAATCCCAGCACTTTGGGAGGCCGAGGCAGGCAGATCACGAGGTCAGGAGATCCAGACCATCCCAGCTGACACGGTGAAACGCTGTCTCTACTAAAAATACAAAAAATTAGCCGGGCATGGTGGCGGGCACCTGTAGTCCCAGCTACTCGGGAGGCTGAGGTAGGAGGAGCTTGCAGTGAGCTGAGATTGCGCCACTGCACTCCAGCCTGGGTGACAGAGTGAGACTCTGTCTCAGAAAAAATAAAATTAAAAAAGCCAGGACAAAGAACAAAACTGGATAAGCATGTATCTGTTTACACAAAACACTAACTTCTCACTAGGCTTAAGTTAAGGAAGATGACATTCCCTTAACACCTGCCAGCAACCCAGCAACCCCCTGGGGTGGAGATGGGACTCAGCATTACAACAGATACTCTGAAGACACAACTGCACAAATCCTCCTGTTCTTCATTCTGCCAAGCTATATGACTGATCTAGCTGAGATTTCAAAGTGGTGGAATATGTGTGCATGTGCAATCTAGCTTTCGACATTCTCAGCTACTGTATTTCTTGGTTAAAGCTAATTTTAACATCCTGGTACATATACAATGATAATAATATTATATTATCTGATAGGCCTCATTGTATTTAAGTTGAAGATATTGCTGAGAAAGAAGTATATTATATTGAACATGGTGAGAACCCTTGGAAGATATTTCTTCCAAGTGTTATTAGAATAACTATTTTTCTGTAGCACCTTGACTTTATCTTGGCACTGTATATTGTGTTGCTGATCATATTTTTCTTCCTGTGTAAAATTCAGAGCCTAGTTTATACCTTGCTGATAGCAAGTATATAGGACTCTATGTCGTGAAATTTTCTATAACTTCATATCTGGCACCAGTTTCTCTGAATAACTGCCTTACTTTGATTTTTCTATTTGACTTCTGAAAGGCAACATAATATATTCTTAAGAGCTAAATTTTTGGAGCAGGACACATGTGGGTTTATACTCTGGCTTTACCATTGCTGTATGACCTTTTCATTTCTTCTCTAAGTCTCATTTTTATTATCTGGGAAATTGTAATAAAACTAGTACCTGCTCCTGAAGATTATTATGGGAGCAATGCCTATAAAGCATGTAGGACTTGCATATAGTGAATGTTCAGGAACTAGAGGATACCATGATTATTGTATTCATTTTAGCATTCTGTTTTTTATAAATTTCTAAGTTTCTGGCAGTAAGTGAAAAGTGAATAAGTAAAGTAAAATAAGATATTTACATTTGCATAGCACTTGTGTTGTGCAGGTTACTTTAAAACATTATTTCTTCTTATTGACAAAAAAATAGCCCTTTTTTCTTGTGACAGAAGCTCACTCAGAGAGGTGAAGTGGTTTTCCCAGGATTGCGCAATGTGTGAGCAAAATGCAAGTCCATGTCTTCTGATTCTAAGTCTGGTGAGCATTTCACTAGATCACATATTTTTGATAACATGAGCACCATCACTGTCAATCATTTCCTATTAAACATTACATAGCATCAGAATCTCAAAGTAGATTAGATTGAAAATGTCCTACCAAACTGTATTTTTGCCTAGTTCCTTCTTTCATAGGCTTTTGGTTATTTTCAAAAACTAATTACCATCTTTTTTTCTTTGCCAAATATATTTCTTACTAACTGACCCTCCTCTATCAATTTTTACTCTGCCTCCAAGCCCTCTCTGTAGCCCCTCATCTCTCACATGTAAATTTTCTAGCAGTCTTTTGTGTAATCTACCTGTGCTGTCTTTCACCTGCCCAGCCTACCTTGTCCCACATATCATCACCAAATGCAGAATAGGATGTATTTCCTTTCTATTTAAAATATTTCATTCATAATATAGCCTATGTGTGTCCTCTTTTAGCCTCCCTTTCAACTCTCACATTCTCAGTCTGCCTTAAGGACCTGTGTGATATAGCTACCTCCATACTATTAACAGTATTAAACTTTACCTGGGCCTTGTGCTCCCTGAAAAGAGGAACAATGACGGAACCCCCTCACCCTTTTGTGTTCTAACAGCAAAGACTTCCCTGTTCTTGCATATGCTGAAATAAGACCCACTTCTATTCTTCCTCAATGATGTCTTTGTTGTATAAAACCTCAGTTATTTTTCTCTCATCTTTGAATCATACCCCATTAATGAATGTCCTTCTTATTGAAATAGCAGGAATAAAATCCTCTCCTTAATTGTCTGACACATTTCGTCTTTCATGACATCTTATATAGTTTGGATCTATGTCCCCACCCAAGTAGCATGTGAAATTGCAATCCCCAATGTTGGAGGCAGGGCCCAGTGGAGTAATCACCTGGGTGGTTTCTCATGGTTTAACGCCATCCCCTTTGGTGTAGCCATCGTGATAGTGAGTTCTCCTGAGATCTGGTTGTTTAAAGTGTGTGGCACCTCCCCTCTGCCTCTTGCTCCCGCTCCCACCGTGTGAGATGCGCCTGCCCTGGCTTTGCCTTCCACCATGAGTAAAAGCTCCCTAAGGCCTCCCCAGAAACAGAAACCACTATGCTTCCTGTACAGCCTGAAGAACCATGAGCCAAATAAAGCTCTTTTCTTTATAAATTACCCAGTCTCAGGTATTTCTTGATAGTAATGCAAGAACAGACTAACTCATCATCAAACCTGTTTTCTACTCTGATCCAACAAGAAGCCTCAACTTTAGACAAGACAACCTTCTCTCTGACTACAAACCCATCATCTTTGTCCCTCTGTTGCACCTTTGGGTATGTGGTCCTTAATCTTTTGTTGATATTCTAGCCTTCCTCCTTCTCCATGCCTTGAAAAGTTTTCTCATTTTGCCCCATTCCTCATATCCCAGTTCAAACCCCACCTCTCTCACTAAATCTTTCCTACTTAGGTTATCTTTTGTTGATCTCCCCTTTTAAACTCCTATAGTTTTTATGGTTCATATCTCCTTATTTATCACATTATTACAAATGTGTTGGGTGCTGAAATATGTATTTCAAACAAGATTTGCAATTCTTTGTCTCATCCCATTTTTTGATCTTCTTTTATGCTTTTTCTACTCGCAAGTTTTCCTCAGGGACAAGCATAGGAGTTGACAGTTAATCAGTACTCAATAGATATTTGCAATTAATCCCCATCTGGGCTTTTCTCTAGAAAAACAAAACCTGACATTCTTTCTATTACCTACCTAATTAAATACAAATACCAAGGAATTAGATAATATTGCTGGCGATATGTTTATTAAAGGTTTGTTTTTAGATATGTAGTATATTTGTTGATACATTAATTATTTTAATTGAATTCTAATTGCTTTAGCATAGCTTCGAATAATATTGTTTCTATATAATTAAGGGTTTATTCTGGCTCTATAACAGGACTTGCAGAATAATTTCCTGGATTAGCAGGTAATAGAATGCTTTGGTATAAATAAATCAAGAAAAGGTAATAATATTACATACAGTCTCTCTGCTAGGCGTCCTCTTGTTTGGAGGAAGGAAGTGGACATTCTTTGATGTGACAAATAACTTTAAAAGTTGTGTTTAACCTAGTTCTGTGAATGTAGCCTCTGTGGTCTACAGAATTAAGGAGTGCTTTGTAAGACTGCACTTGGACCCTGGTGATAGTGAACATGACAGAGATAGGCAACACATAGCAAGAAGTCTTTGATATGAGGCAAACAAGAGTGGCGAGGTGGAGACTGCAGTGAGCCGAGATCGCACCACTGCACTCCAGCAATGTCTCAGAAAAACAAGAGTGGCCATAAAAACCGTCCCAATCCCAAATTCACAAGGGAGATAAGGCTCCTAGCTTGGGAAAGCCATCGAGACTAACATATGAGGTTTAATCTTTTTTTCAGTCATGTGTTCATGAATACACACACACACACACACACACACACACACACTCACATACACTTTGCCTTCTTCGAAATGTACCTGGATTATGCCAATCTGTACAACATTTAATATCAAAATTCAGTCTTAATCTCTCAGCATTAAAATAAAAAGTCGTTACATTACTGTTTCTTGGTTTATATTCATAATTGAAACCCTATATGATCTGAGTTCAAGCAGGGATTCTCCTCTTTCCCTAGTTAGTTTCCCAATTACCGTAATCATCATTATCCTCATTATTTGCTAGGTTTGCAGTGACCTGTAGCATCCACTCACAGTGCTCCATTGTACATCCAAATGTGAATCAGTGACACTGAGCCTAGAACACACAAGATCCTTTATGTATCTGCACAGCTTTGTCACCTCTCTGAAGAAAACAACCAAAGGAAACAAAAGTATATACTTCTTGCTTCTACTTTTTGTTTTACATATATGCAAACATACAAACCCCATGCACCTATAAGCCAGAAGAACGGTTTTGTTTAGGAGAGCCAACACTTTGCAACTTTTTCATTCTTGCTTTTCTCCTACTTCTCATTTAAGATGTGTAACAAGTTCATCAAAGAGTCTCAATATGTTACTGTAAATATAAATTTAAAATAATAATGACCTTATTTTTAAAATAACTCAGTGATGGTTAATCTTATGTGTCATCTTGGCTAGGCTATAGCTTCCAGTTGTTTGGTCACACACTAGTCCAGATGTTGCTGTGAAGGTATGTTTTAGATGTGAGATGCACACACACACACACACACGAACCTGGATGAAAGAACGTATTGTCTTTTCATACACTTGCCTCCTTCTTTATTTCAACCTTCCATTCAGATTCTAGGGCCTTCGTTTTGCCCAGTGACAACCAGGGAAGCCTGTGCAGAGAGAAGATTCATTCCAAGAACTGCCCAGTGGTTGGTACTTAGAAGGGGCTGAGATATTTATAGCCCCAGTTGGAGTGTTGACTTCCACATAAATGTTATGCATGGTTTTTCTGGGGTCATTTTAAACCTTACCCTGGCCCAACACACTCCTGAAAATCCTCTTAAGAGGGACCAGCATGACTCCTTTCAACTCCAGCAGCGATACCCCAACCCCCCAACCCCCCAAAGCTTCTCCTGGCTGAATGCCTTCATTCAGCTCACCAGCAACCACAGTGGCTTCAGGGTTACTATCTCTCTGCCAACCTCCATGTTTTTTGTTTTGATCCTAGAATCAACAAATTCCCATTTCATATATTGTCAGTGAGAGACCAGAGAGTTGGAATGGGGGAGCTTGACTCCATTTTCTTCCCAGAACCATTACTCCACAGTCCCTCAAACCAGTGGGACTCCAGCAGGTCTTTCACTTCAGAAATGTCCAATCTAGAAGTGAGCCCAGCACCATGGTCTGCTATACCCCCAAAACTCCAGGGAACACATAACCAGTCCCTTCTTCACCACAGCAGGGAAGAAAAAGAGCAATGACAAAGTGTTGCACTGCTGAATGTCTATGATGTGAGCAGTGCACCTAGAATTGTGGCCTTGAGCCCATACAAACTGCTTGACCACGTGGCAGCCCTGCTCCTGGGGCCCAGGACATGCTCCCTGGAGCTCTCTTACCAGCTTGCACTCAGCTGGCAGTGTAAGTGTGTGCAGGACTTTGGGTAGCTCAACAAGAATACAGCCAGAAAATAGATGCCAGTCTACCCTTCATTCAGTCAACTAAACTTGTTATGAGTTATTTCTTAAATGTCCCTTCCTTGTGATTCATTCTCCACACAATAGCAATAACAGCTTCTCTGTGAACACCACGCTTGCCATCACACACTGTCTCTCCTTCTCTGTTTCTTGCTATATTGACACACTGTGAGGTGGCTGTCATTTTTGCTGTCTCACTGGTCGGTCTCACTAAAGGATCATGAAGCAGTTTTTATCCTCAGTTTTGGGCCTTAGCTACAATTGTGGGATAACAGATGGTGTCCCACTGGACATCCAGTTACATATACGAATATGCTTTGGACCTTATTGAAAAACATACTGAAGTATAATTTTGATAAGCCCTAAATAGTTTATCTTGAAAATGCTGTGCTATCTCTGACTAGAAGGAGAAACGTCCTTTAGTTCTCATGTGGAGAGGTACTGTGGTGTGGTAAGAAAAACAGAAACAGGTCTTTGGGCCCTAGTGCTTGACCCTGGTCAACACAAACCTACAGGAGTAGCATTAAGTGAAGATTTTGCAGCTTTCTCTAGTAGTTCTAATCTAAAAATGAAAAAGAAAATTGCAGAGCGAGGAATGAATTAGCTGGTATTGCTGTCTACATTGATCTTACTCACCAGATAATTGCTTGGCACCTTCACTCTGCCTTAGTGAACATTACCTAAGGAGCAGTTTCTGGATGACTGCCTGTGTTCTTGTTTTTATGTTTATTTGATGTGGACACAGCCAGCTACACCACAATTAAAGTTTCATGCCATAACCAGTAAATAAATAGGGCAAGTAAGATGAGACAAAACAAGATACCACACAGCAAATGTGAATGTAATAGTGCGAGAAAAAAAAATGCCTTGCTATTTATTCTGGTCCTTAGTACCTCCATGAGAATGCATTGCCTTAGCAACACATTAAGTCTTCTTTCCTATGTATTTAGTCAAGATAAAGTGTCATCACCAGTATCATGTATTGAAACTCACGAGAGGTATTAACAGTAACATTGCATTTAACAAGAAACACAATAAACAGGTCCACCAACTAAATATACCTAATCAGCATCTGTTCCCAGAAAGTGCAAAATACCTTTTAGAGTCTGTTCTCATTTCTGCTGATCTCATCGTAGGAAGCGTAATAGTATTCAAGGCTTAGCTTCCTTTGTAAGAGTCAGACAGACGATCTGCCTAGCAGGTTAGAGGAAATCAGGATAAGAAAGCCGGATTTTTTTTCTCTGACTCTCTTAATCAGTCATTCTTCATTAAGCCTCTTAGTCTTTTCTGAGAAATTTATTTCCTTCCCCAAAATTAAATCAAAGAAATGTGGAGTTTCCACATATTTGTGAATTTTCCAAAATCCCACCTGTTATTGATTTCCAGTTTCATACCATAGTGGCCAAGAAAACATACTTGATATGATAATTGTTAAGACTTGTTTTGTGACCTTGCGGCCTATATGATCTATCCTGGAACATGTTGTGTGTGTATTTGAGAAGTGTATTCTACAGTTGTTAGATGAAATGTTCTATATATGACTGTTGAGTCCATTTGGTCAAATGTGTAGCTCAAATCAAATGTTTCCTTATTGATTTTCTGTCTGGACAATCAGTCCATTGTTGAAAGAGGGATGTTGAAGTCTCCTACTATTGTATTGCAGTCTATCTCTCCCTTTAGATTAATATTTTTGCAACATAACTAATCATAGGAGAAATGCAAATTAAAACCTCAATGAGGTACTACCTCACACCTGTTAGAATGGCTATTATCAAGGAAAAAAAGACAGGATATGACAAGTGTTGGTGATAACAAGAGACAACAAATGTGGAGAAAAGGTAATCCTTGCACACTATTGGTGGAAATGTAAATTAGTACAGCCATTGTGGAAAATAGTATGGAGATTCTTCAAAAAATTAAAAATAGAACTGTCGTATGATCCAGCAATCCCACTTCTAGGCACATAGCCAAAGACAATGAAGTTAGTATGTCAAAGAGATATCTCCACATTATTTATAATAGCCAACATATTAAATCAACTTAAGTTTATCCATTCATCTGGATGGATCTGACAAATGGAATGGATAGAGAAAATGGGGGCATATGTACACAACGGAATATTATTTGGCCATTAAAAAAGAAAAAAAACTGTCATTTGCAAAAACATTTTTCCATAAGTTATTGGGGTACAGGTGGTATTTGGTTATGTAAGTTCTTTAGTGGAGATTTGTAAGAACCTGGTGCACCCATCACCTAAGCAGTATACGCTGCACCATATTTTTTGTCTGTTATCACTTCCCCCCAACTCCCTAAAGTCCATTGCATCATTCTCATGCTTTTGCATCCTCATAGCTTAGCTCCCACATATCAGTGAGAACATAAGATATTTGGTGTTCCATTCCTGAGTTTACTTCACTTAGAATAATAGTCTCTAATCTCATCCACGTCATTGCAAATGCTGTGAATTCATTCCTTTTTATGGCTGAATAGTATTTCATCATACACACACACACACACACACACACACACACACACATATATATCTCAGAGTTTCTTTATCCATTTGTTGATTGATAGGCATTTCGGTTGGTTCCATGACTTTGCTATTGTGAATTGTGCTGCTGTAAACGTGTGTGCAAGTATCTTTTTTGAATAATGATTGCTTTTCCTCTGGGTAGATACCCAGTAGTGGGATTGCCGGATCAAATAGCAGTTCTACTTATAGTTCTTTAAGGCATCGCCACACTGTTTTCCATAGTGGCTATACTAGTTTAGATTCCCACCAGCAGTGCAGAAGTGTTCCCTGATCACTGCATCCACACCAACATCTGCTGTTTTTAGATTCTTTGATTATGGCCATTCTTACAGGAGGAAGGTAGTATCACACTGTGGTTTTGATTTGCATTTCCCTGATCATTAGTGATGTTGAGCATTTTTCATATGTTTATTGGCCATTTGTATATCTTCTTTTGAGAATTACTGTTCATGTCCTTAGCCCACTTTTTGATGGGATTGTTTTTTTCTTACTGATTTGTTTGAGTTCATTGTAGATTCTGGATATTAGTCCTTTGTCAGATGCATAGATTGTGAAGATTTTCTCCCACTGTATGGGTTGTCCGTTTACTCTCTTGACTGTTTCTTTTGCTGTGCAAAAGCTCTTTAGTTTAATTAGGTCCCAGCTATTTATCTTTGCTTTTATTGCCATTGCTTTTGGGTTTTTGGTAATGAAATCCTTGCCTAAACCAATGTCAAGAAGGGTTTTTCCAATGTTATCTTCTAGAATAATTTTTATAGTTTCAGGTCTTAGGTTTAAGTCCTTAATCCATCTTGAGTTGATTTTGTATAAGATGAGAGATGAGGATCCAGTTTCATTCTCCTACATGTGGCTAGTAATTACATGAATGGACATGGAGAACACTATGTTAAGTGAATAAGCCAGACACAGAAAGACAAATACTGCATGATCTCACTTATATATAAGAACAATAATTTATTTCTTTCTGCAATTCACCCCAAATGACAATGCGTTTCACTCTCTTCACCATGTTCTTTCTTCTCTCCGCTTCCTTGTTATTTATTTTGATCTTTGTTGCTATTGTTTTCCCTTTTTAGTTCCATTTTTCTTCCTGAAATTTGGAACAAAGAAAAGAGCTGAAAGGGTTACAGAGAGAGGGAGAAGAAAGGATGGTGAGCAGGAAGTAGCCTGTGGTTCAGTGTCTTCATTCTATATATCTATGTCCTTCTTCAAAGGTGGCCCTAGAGAGAACCGAAAGGAGGCAACCATGGTTTCCAGCAGCTTCTTCCCTCACTCTTGTGGGGAAACATTGCCTGAAAAGACAGATGCCTCTTTCCTCATGAGGGAGCATTAGATTCTCTTTCTACCACCACCTGGACTTGTCCCTTAGGGGAAGAGGCTAATTTGATGGTGAGACTCAGAGAAAAGCCCGATAGTCATTGCACTGCAATAGATAAAGGGTGGGGCCAACTACATGAAGCCTCTGGCAGCAGTTCCTGTCACCACCTTTCTCATTCTCTGTCTTGAGTTCTTAGACTTTTGTTATTGGCTGAATAATGCCCTTTCCAAAGATTTCCAAATCTGAATCCCCAGAATCTGAGAATCTTTTACTTTACGTGGCAATAAAAGACTTTTCAAATGTGATTAAGTTAAAGATCTTGCCTTAGGGAGATTAGCTTGGATTATCTGTGTGTGCCCAATGTAATTACAAGGTGTTTATTTTTTGGTTTTGTTTGTTTGTTTGTTTTTTTAGAGACGGAGTCTTGCTCTGTCACCCATGCTGGAGTGGAGTGCAGTGGCACAATCTTGACTCACTGCAACCTCCACCTCCTGAGTTTAAGTGATTATCCTGCCTCAGCCTCCCGAGTAGCTGGGACTACAGGAATGCGCCACCATGTCTGGCTAACTTCTTTGTATTTTTAGTAGAGACAGAGTTTCACCATTTTGGCCAGGCTGGTCTCGAACTCCTGACCTCAAATGATCTGCCCGCCTCGGCCCCCCCAAAGTGCTGGGATTACAAGTGTGAGCCACCGTGCCCGGCCCTCAAGGGTCTTTAGAAGAGAGTGAGGCAAGAGGATTGAAGAAGTCCAAGAGGAGATGATATGATGATGGTAGCAGAGCGAGATGTGGAGCCAAGGAATGTGGGAAGCCCCATGAAGGAACGAGCTCTGCCAACACCTCGACTTTAGCCCACCCAGACTGATTTTAGACTTCTGACTTTTACAATTATTAAATGAGAAATTTTTGTTTTTTTAAACCACTAAGTTGGTGGTAATTTGTTACAGTAACAATAGGAAACAAATCCAACCTTCAAGAGCCTAGGCTTAGCTGATTCTTTCAGGCAGGCCCTAATTAGTGAAGCCAATACAGCTCCAGTTCCATTACCTAAACTAGTGGGCAAGTCAAGACTGGGAGGCTTCTAAGAGTTGGGTAAAGGAAACCCCACTGCATTCTGTACTCTAGCCATTCTGGAAAGCCCTTCTAAAGCTCATTCTTTCCCCTACTTTGTCCAATTCTCTGTGTTTATTCTCTGTCTGTCAGAACTCTGAAGGCAAGAGGTGTATGGTGGGACTTGAGTAGTGAATCCTAATCTAGATCACTAACATCTTGTTTAAACTTGCTTTTGGAGTCACCTTTATGAATTCAAGAACTAAAGGCCCCAGTTCCACTACTGCTCCCAGGCTTCCTCTCTCCAACTGCCTCAATCCTACTTTCACTTACTCCATGATTCAACAACATAACTCAATATTATATGCATTTATGGAGTGCCTTCTAGGGGCCCTGCTATATAGTAAACATTATGTTGTTATTGGAAAATGTATATGACGTCATGTTGGTTTTTTCTTCAAGGAAACACTTTCTAAGAGGACAAGTTTTACATATACGCAGACAGGGAATGTGCAAAGTATCTCTGGCTGTGTTACAAAATGAATAGTACAGACTATAAATGCTTTGTATTTTGTTAGAACTTTATTTATGATTGTAGTATTGATTATCTATTTTGTTACCTTAAATATTATTATTATTATTTTTTGGTGAGACAGAGTCTCACTCTGTCACCCAGGCTGGAGTCTAATTATGCTAGCGCAGTTCACTGCAGCCTCTGCCTCCTGGGCTCAAGTGATCCCCCAACCTCAGTCTCCTGAGTAGCTGGGACTACAGGCATGTGCCTCCATGCCTAGCTATTTTTTTTTTTTTTTTTGTAGAAACGGTATTTCACCATGTTGCCCAAGCTGGTCTTGAACCCCAGAACTCAAACAATACACCTGCCTTGGCCTCCCAGAGTGCTGGGATGACAGCATGACCCACAATGCCTGGCCTACCTAAAAGATTTAAAACAGCTTGACTATGATCACATAGTGCTTTACAAGTTATAGAGTACATTCACGTATATAGATGCTCCTCATCTTATGATGGGGTTATATTCTGGTAAACCATTGTAAATGGAAAACATTGCTAAGTCAAAAATGCCTAACCTATCAAACAAACATCATAGCCTACGTTAAACATGCTCAGAACATTACAGTTGGGCAAAATCACCTGGAAACATAGTAAATTTTAGGGTATCAATTGTTTCACGCTCATGACCATGGGGCTGTGGCTTGTGGGTTCTGCCCAGCATTGCAAAAACGTATCTTATACCTTTTGCCCCATTGTAAAGTTGAAAAATCTGGATTCAAACCATTGTAAATCAAGGTTTGTCTGTTTATTATTTTCACAATTCTGTGAGACTGGCATTAAAAATCCCCATCATCTGACAGATAAAGACAACTCAAAGGTCTGAGATGTTTACTTGGTTTCCCAAAGTTTTCGATGTAATGGTGGATGGAGTCTACAGTAGAACTCAGACCCTCTGGAGAGGGCCCAGCTCTGTCTTTTCTCAATTACATGTTAGAAATTTCATGTGACTCTTCCTGGCAGTTTGGTAGTGAGGTTGGGACATCTTCTTCACAGAGCGGAACATATTCACACCACAAGTCACCATCCTCCTTGTCTGAGTCACACAGCTTCTCATGGAAATTAGAAGGGACACAGGACTTGATCTACATGATCCTAATCCCTCTGGGAAGGCATTGATTGGGTTAAACAACTGGAATTTTGAACCATAATAATAAAGTAAAGTAATAAAATCTCAGTAAAGGTACACAATACTGAAAATCGATGCCAAATTCTCAAAAAACTCTGAACATAACAATAAAAAGTGCTAAAATAAAGACAAGCATGTCAAAACATAAACTTCAACTATTATTTAATTCACTGCCTTCTTATGTAATTAGGTCTCATGTACAGTACATCATGTTTTAAATATTATACACACAATGGAAAAGTCTCAAATTCCAGCCACTTACTTAATATGCACCTGAGGGAGATTTGCTGGCTACTTTTTTTCCCTGTCCATGCATTTCTTCTGCACTCAAACCCCATCGGCATCAGAAACAACCCCTGTGGTCGGCAAGGGAACACGAGCAGAACCTGGCCAATCACAGCTCTTTATTCATTCCTGTGATATAGTAATTGGTCCAAGAATGGACATGTGACCCATGAAGGGCCAACAAAAGTTTTTCTCTTTATATAAGCTCTTTGGGAAAGGATGCCCTCTTTAAGTTACAGTTAGTCAACTAAGAGGCAGCCAGACCACATCTTACCAGGAGCCTGGAGAAGCCTTCTGAGGAATGACGCCATGCGGGACAGGTAGGCAGAAGGCTGCCTGAAGAAGTGAGGAAAATCTTGGTGGTGTGAGGCCTTGTTCTAGTCCCTGCAGCAATTTCTTTGAACCTATGAACAACCTCAGAACAATCCCAGCCATTTATGCCAATAAGTTGTATCTTTTCCTTAAGGTGGTTTGTATTGGGAGGGAGAATAACCTGCCCACTCTGGGACAAAGAAAAAGTCAGGTTCCCTCCTTAGTTGTAGATAATCTGAGATGACAAATATTCAGACTTCAGGTATGAGGAGTGGAGAGACTCCATCAGGGCTTTGAATCCATCAGGACTTTAAACATTAGGCCTCATCTTTTCCTCTTATTTGAGCTACAAGAGTTTTCTATTTGTTAGGAAGATAAGATTTTCCTAAACTGAGGAGCTGATGGACAGAAGTAAAATGTGATGTCGGCCAGGCGCGGTGGATCACGAAGTCAGGAGATCGAGACCATCCTGGCTAACACGGTGAAACCTCATCTCTACTAAAACTACAAAAAATTATCCGGGTGTGGTGGCAGGCACCTGTAGTTCCAGCTACTCCGCAGGCTGAGGCAGGAGAATGGCGTGAACCAGGAGGCGGAGCTTGCAGTGAGCCAAGATCACGCTCCACTGCACTCCAGCCTGGGCGACAGAGCAAGACTCCACCTAAAAAAAAAAAAAAAAGGAAAATGTGATGTCAGGAAAAGTACAAATGGGGAAAACCTTATAGGAGACAAAGGAAAGAAGTGCTATTTCGAGTTTAATTCAACAGACTGAATTTTTCTAGATACTAGAGATTCAGTAGTTAGTAGTACATAACATAAAAAGTCACTACCATCAAATCCATTTTTAAAGTATCAGAAGTGATAAGTTCTGTAAAGAAACTTCCTTTGCTGTTGGTCAAGGAAGGACTGTCTAAAGAGGTTGTATTTAGGCTGACACCTGAAAGACAAGGAGACAGCTAGGTAAAAATCTTGAGAAAAGAGCATTCCTGGGAGAAGAAACAGCATGCAAAAGTCCTAAGATGGGGGAAGTTTGGCATATTTTAAGAGCAAAGAGAAGGCTGGTGTAGCTGGAAGGGAGTACAGTGTAGTACAGGGGTTTCTTCAGGCTCAGAACTGCTGACATTTTAGAGTAGATATTTTAAAGAAGTTGTAAATTTATCAATAATTGAAGATAGTATTAAATACCATGAATTAAGAGAATTAACAGAAAAACAAGAAATGTATAAGGTCTATGAGCATAAAACGTTAATGCACTCTTCAAGGACAAAAGAAATCATGAACAAATGCAAAGATGGAAAGTATGGACTAGGAAGACACAATATCGCAAAGACTCAAAAGAATGTAAATTCTCCAAAGTCAATCTGTAGCTTTAATATGATTTCAATATCAATACCAGTAGGATTTTATTCATGCACCTGGACAAAGTAATTATCAATTCATATGAAAATATAAACAAGTCAAGGAAAGTAAAAAACATTCTGAAAAATAAGAGTAATGAAGAAGAACCAGCCCTGTAAGATACTAAAACATATCATACAACCTAAATAATTATAGTATTGTGATACAGGCTCAAGAAGAGGCAACGTTGTAACAAAATAGAATCCACTCATATAAACAAATGCCAAGGGTAATTTAATAGAAAATGAAAGTGGTATTTTAAATCAATGAGAAAAATACTAAGAATTAAATGATATTGGGGTAACTGGGTTAGCCATATAGAGAAATATAACTTAGATCTAAACCAGCACTTTATATAAGAATAAATTCTCAATAGATCAATTATTTAAATGTACTTGTAAAAAATTCTTAAAACTATTAGGAAAATATAATAATAATGGAAGAATTATTTATAATCACAAAGTGTAGGAGACCTTTCTACTTAAAAACAATACCCTAAAGCCATAAAAGAAAAGAAAAAATTGAAAAAGTTGACTATATAAAAATTTTAAATAAATATTCATGGAGAAATCACTATGAAAAGATCAAAAGAAAACAGACAAACTCAGAAAATATATTTGCAGTCTTATTACAAAAGGCTCATTTAACATATTAAGAGCTTCTACCAATCGATAAAAGATCAACAATCCAGTAGAAAATTTGGTCGTTTATATACCATTTCTCACTTTAATATTGAACCATCTGAATATATTACCTTTCAAAAGACATAATAAAACATAAAAGTAGAGATTTTTTCTGACTACTATTGTGTTATATCTTCAATAAGGACTATCACACTTAGATATTGAGTTGTATAAGTGAGTGTCTCTGTGGAAGCTGATAAATGTTGAGTTTTACAGCTGAGTTGATACAGTATGAATATTAGTGTATGCACAATATGCAAAATCCATCTGCAACCCGAAGAAGCTGTTCAAAGGCAGAGGTAATTGTAAGAATGTAAACCCATTACACAACAACCCTTCCCCATCCTCACCTACAACTGTTAAATTGACAGAAATTTGAGGGAAAGTTTTAGACTTCTGGTAGGGGTGGGAGGGGCAAAACTAAATACTTAGGAAGTCTTAGTTCTTAAGTGGTAGAGTAATCAGGTGACATTTGGGTTATTAAAGAATAAAGCAAAGAACTAGAAGTAAAAAAAAAATCTAGATTCAAAATCAATCTGTGCTGGCTGATATGATGAATGGGCACAAAATCAAATGATAGGAATATCTGAATCTCCACAGTAACACAAGTATCTAGCACAGGGCCTGGAAGAGACAAAAGACTCAATACTCATCGCTTCACTTACCTTTCTCATTTGGATATTGGTTTTGTTGATATGACTATCTCACCCACATTAGGAACAATCTGAAACACGTTTATTAGTTGCTATTTGATGGGGAAAAAAAAATCACACGGCTTAAACAAAAGAAAGTAGTATTTCCCTCTAACGTTAAAAAAAAAAAAAAGTTCAGATTTATAAGTCCTGGGCTGGTAGGGATGCTCCATTGCTGTCACCAGGAACTCAGGTTCTTATCGTTCTGCTTACCATGTTAGAACACGGCTTCCATGTTCAAAGTCACTTCCTAGTTCCAGGCAGTTGCTGGAGCTCCAGCTATCAAATCCAGTCTTCATATAATTAGGAATGAAATAAGACAGGCACACAAAAAAAGTACATACTATGTGTGGCAGTTATTGATTTATTGCCTCTCAGCTCCACATCTACTCTTTGCCCTGCCTTTGTGATACTAGCACTTGACCCTATAAACATTCTCCTTAGCCAATTTACTCAATATTAGGCTTGTCCAAAAATGGCCGTGGAGGATCACTGCAAATCTGCAGCAAAAACGGCTTTCCCTGATGGCTCCACGATACTGTTTTTGGTGTGTCCAGCAGCTGGCAGATTGGCATTTGAGTTGCCCAGTAGTGCTCACTCCAGCAGCCCCCACAAATCCATGCAGGGCTGTGCCCTCCAGCAAATTCCTCCATCAACAGGCAGGCCACTTCTATGGGCCAGTTCTAGTTCACACCTTCCAGAAAAGTTCTTGGCCATAGCAGGCTGCCTGTTCCCGTGACAACTAAACCCTCTCCAACCAGGTACAAATGCCAGGGGTGAGAGTACAGCCTTCTTTAAATTCCTAGTTTCTTATTGACCACTCTCAGATCTAAATGCAGTTTGTTTTGCTACTTTTGTCTTCCTTCTAATCCTCTCTTAACCATTTTAGTGATTAACTATTCCTTCCTGTTTAATGATTCTTTATATTAATTTTTCCCTGTTCAAATTAATGATATTGTTTCTGTCTCCTGATGAGACCTTGGCTGATAAACTGTATGATTCTGTTTACATGAAATTCAAAATCAAGCAAAACAAATCCAACTTTTTCCCCTGGGAACGTTATTGACAGGGATAGTCATAAGGGAGGTTTCTGAGGTTCTGGAAATATTTTATATTTTAATCTGGGTAATGGTTTCCCAAGTATATGTGCATGTGAAAATCCATTGACTTACATGATTAATGTTTGTGCACCTTCTCTATATAAATTATTATTATTTCTCAATCACAAGAATAACAATGTATGTTGCAAGCTAGAAGAGAAGGTAAATAGATGGTCAAAAAGAGAATCTTGTGTAGCTGAAACAACCCCTTTTAAGAAGTTCCCCAGTAGTATCACACTGCAGTTACTCTTAATGCCACAGACTTGAATAAAATCCCATGGCCATAACTAGCTGCAAGAAGGGTTCAGTGGCAATATGCCTATATAAAATCAGGGCTCTCTAAAGTAGGGCTAAAGGAAAGAATGGATGCTGGTGTAGGCAACTAGCAATCTCTGCCACAATAGGTGTTCTATTAAATTACCAAATATTTATTCAGTGATAGCCACAGTACTAAGGCCTGAGGATATAGCAATTAACTAAATCGGCAGGGCTCTTGCTTTCATGAAAGTTATATTTTAACACTTGACTCTTAGAAGACGATAAAAAAATGTTTGGCGGATAAGTAGGTGAATGATGAGGAAATGAGTGAATGGATAAGCAGTAAATAAATACACAAACATATAAATATCATTGTTTCAATGGGACTAAATCACTTAGGGAACTGCAAGCACAACTATAATCTTGAGAAGAATATATGCCCCACTAGGAAGATGTAAAGGGCGGGCACGGCTGATGTATCATACCAGAGAAGCTTAAGCTATAAGTCACCCCATAGAAGTGAATTATCAGTGGAGGACAGAGCTGTATTTCCTTTATTGATTCTAGATCAATTTGTCACCTTTTTCAGAGCCCAGTTGGAGTTTGAGATCTCCCAGATATATGGTTTAAAATATAATGATGAAGAAAGGCATCAGCTAAAACGCACATAACCAAATTCCAGAGAAACACATGCTGCCCCTGAGTGGTAAGAAAGCATTTACAAACCAAAGGCTTCTCAGAAAACAGTTCACCTTAGCTGAGATTTTTTGAGCCTCAAGCTTGGGTTTTGCCACAGAAGGCTCTGTGCCTTTTTCAGGGTCCCTTGAGACACTTTTTGGATGCTTATCACTGCAAAGCACATATACACAAATCTCCTTTAAAGCTCTGAACTGGACAAGACCCACTGCCTGCCTTGAGCGTAAGAAATGAAAACCAAAATGGGGATACCAGTAGAGAGGACAGAGTGGGGCTGGATTTTGAGGAACAAATGCTCACAGGATGATGAGAGGAGAAGAAAGAAAAAGCCTAAAGTAGAATTGTCATTTCAAATATCAGGAGTAGCCAGGCAGGGTGGCTCACACCTACAATCACAGCATTTTGGGAGCCCCAGCCAGGAGAATCACTTCAGCCCAGGAGTTTATGACCAACCTAGGCAACATGGTGAAACCCATCTCTTCAAAAAATACAAAACTTAGCAGCCCATGGTATGCACACCTGTAGTCCCAGCTATTCAGGAGGCAGAGGTGGGAGGATTGCTTGAGCCCAGGAGGTTGAGGCTGCAGTGAGCCATGGTCATGCCATTACACTCTACCCTGGGCAACAGAGCAAGACCTTGTCTTGATTTTTAAAAAAATATATCAGAAGCACATAACCGAAGATAAAAGTCTGCGTAGGTGGGTATGTCAAAGGTGGTAGAATGGAAACACACAGATATTGGCTGTCATGTTCTTTTTACAATGGCACTGAAATCCTGTATGGGGCTGTTTTTCTAAATTAGACAGAGGATTTAATTACAAAAAAAAGCCCAAGAGGACAGTGCTTCTGCATCTTAATTTTGTAGCTATGAGCGATGACCTCTCCAAACCCGTTTTGTCAACCATAAAATGGAGGATTGTAATACATAACCTGAGTGGCTGGCAAAACAATAATACAATTCCTTTGAGAAAAATTAAATATAATTAAATTTTATCTGCCAGATAGGTACCTATTCTTTAAAATAAAAGTTTAAAAATGAATCATAAATCATTGCCATTTCCTGCCTGGAAATCAGAAGTTCTAATAGGAGCTATTTAATAGGTGCCTGGCATGTAATTTTTATTCACACCAGACCTTCTGTACGTTTAGTCAATTCATTTTATAATGAGATGGAAATGTTCCTGTGATAATACCCAACTGTAATGGAAGAGTTTGTAATAGGATGCTATGGTATACAGAATACGGAATCATGCTCTTATTTATTTATTCACTTATTTACATATACCCTGACTCATTCTTTAAAAAAAGAATTTGAGATGATTGCAGCAGAAACACAATAACATGATCAAATATAAATGAAAAAAGGAAAAAAGAGTATCAGGGCAAAGATAAATTAGAAGAATAGGTCATGACATTGAGAAAAATAAGAAATGTATTCTGTAAGGGATTACACAGTTGCTATAATTTATTTCTGAATTTGTTTCTGAACTTTCCTGAAACAAAGACAAAATGAAGAGATAGAGGGTTACATAGCTTTGTTTGTCTAATGTCAAAAAGAAAATCATACAAAATTATCAGGAAGATGAGGAACCCAATAATTTGAATTGTGGACTAGGCGTTATCTTCTTGGGTAAGGCATCCAGTGTTTCAGGGTATCTTTGATTCTTCACAAGATGACTGACCAGATGATTGAGTTTTAATTAATTTTGTGAGTGGAAGTGATATGTGCTCCTTTCAGATCAAAACTGTCCATGAGTGACCTCCTCTGCATTCTCCCATTACCAGCTACTAATTAATTCTCAGAGTTTCTTAGGTTGCATTAGGTTATAAGCAGACTCTGAAATGGAGGTTAGACTCTGAGCTAGATTTTTATTAGGGAGTGTGTTGGGATAAATACCCATGGGAGGGAGAGGAAAAGCAGGATTGGGCAGAGGAACAAGTCGGGCTGTGAAGCAGACCTGATGAGAAGCTTGGATACCCCATGGGCACTCAAGAGCTAAAACAGCCCATCGAAGCTGAGCTTACTAGTCTCTAGTTGTGGGCCACTCTAGAAAGTGACCACAGGTATGGCAGTTCTCTATAGTAGAGGCAATCCTGAAAGGAGATGACATCTGAAGGCATGCCCTACAGCTGGGGCAGCAAGTATCTTTTTGAAGGGTGATGAGGTGGTGAATCTTTGTATCCACACCCAGGGCAACCTTGAAAGTCAAAAGCTAAGCATGGCCAAGTCCAGCACACAACCCCCACCCTCTACTCTGTTGCCCCCCACCCTCTACTCTGTTGCATTGAACCACTGAAATTTTAAGGTTTAGCTGGAACAGCAGCTAGTATTGTATTATGTAACACACACAGACACAATCTTTAGGACATGCTCAGCACTTGAATAAAAGACCACCTCTGTAGTGAATTGGTAAGAGAATGCATAGTTCTACTTTGTTAAATTGAGTGTTAGCGTAGAGCCTAATCAGAGCTGTGAAGTTGACAAAAATTGTCTCCATGCCACAACCTTTATGCTTTCAACCTTTATTTTGTGACTTTCCCACCTTTCCATAATTTCCACTATTAGCCCCTCCCCAACTTATTTCATAAATTTATATCCTTATGCTCTTCACACTTGCTGTCTTGAAAAAGAGAGTCTTGTATTATCTTCATAAACTCAGCACTACTTCTAATAAAAGTTATAATTTTTTTCTAGAAAAAAATGGATTTTGAATCCCAGAAACGAAGGGATGTAAAACTGCAAGTAATGTGAAATTTCACACACATGCTGGGGGAGGTGGAGGAAATTTGAGGATATGAGGAATCCGATCAATTTACCAGAAGGGTATACACTGTCTTGTAAGAGCAGCCCCCTTTTCAACTACATAACTCCAAGCCTGTGTCCTCTCTGGTCTCAGGCTACACCACACTAGGAATTAAAATGTGGCCAATTCATAATACTTATCCATGATTTGCTCATTCTTAGCCACAGCTCCTAACACGCTTCCCGTATCTCAGAAAATTCTCTCTGGGAATCTCTGAAGTCATGTAGGAATTCTCAAGTGACCTTTTCCTACTCTTCTGCTTTAATCTCATCACTGAAGTTCATTGCCCAAGAACCCACCTGGTGCATGCATGTCTCATGGCTACAGCCCCAGTGTCACCATGGAATCTGGCGTTCTTGGCAAAGATGCTGTCTTTAGGAGCTGTCCAAGTGCCTCGAGGTGTCAGTGTGAAGCAAACAATCAGAATCATCTCTAGTTTGGAGCTGCTGCTCCATATGGAAGGAATGAGAAAGCCTCCCCAATTCTCAGGTTCTTGAGTGAACACTGCTGTTTTACCCTCCTATCCAGAAGAATCCTTGTAAAAATAGTGCCTCATGAGAAATACAGCCCCTCTTTCCATAGATTTCAGTTCTCAGTTCTTAGAATTGAATCAGCTAGATTTGGCTGGGCTGGGCCAAGAAGGGGACCCTATCAACTGTGAGATGGAGACCCAGGAAGGGGACCCACTCCAAGCTGTCTCTTTTGTCAGCAGAGGAGAAAGCTCTCTAACCCTCCTTTCACTAAAAAGCCTCATTCAGATCATGCCACTGCACTCCAGCCTGGCAGACAGAGTGAGACTCTGTCTCAAAAAAAAACAAAAAACCCCTCATTCAAATGGACTCCTGGCAGCAGCCCTGCTAGTTGATGTACAGTCATATCTAAATCCCAGTTAAGGGTTAAGCTGTGACTTCTATTACATATAAAAGTAAATTTAAGAAATAGGGTAGTAATATGAATAGCATTACACATATACTAATGACTAACATTTATTGAGGCTATGTACTAATCACTCTAAGTACGTCTTCAGCATTTTCTGATTTAAACACTATCAAACTCTGCAAAAGATATTATTCTTTTTTCTACATTATAAAAAAGGAAACTAAGGTAGAGAGAGTTAAACAACTGTCCAAGTTAACACATCTAGGAATTTTCTGAGCCTGGATATGAAACCTAAATATGAAGCTCACAGCCACTGTCCTCTGCACATGGTCACCAGGGACTGACTTTCAAGTTGCATGCCCTGCTGAGTGCTCTTTTATTATATGTAGCTAGGCAGAATCTATAGCTCTTGGATAACCCTTTTGATCTTGTACAATTTTAAACAGATATGACAAAGACCACTTGAAGCCAAGGTAATAATAAGGAATTCTACCAAGGACAGAATTTTTTCTGGGTAGGCAACTGTGTGATTAGAGGCACCCCTATCCACTCACTCTTTTCACAGAGTCTAAACATCTTTTAGTCTCAAAGTCTCTTGAATCTGAGACCCTCATACAAAGGACAGTTAACTACATAACAAAGATTCTGTTTTTGAGGGATACCAGGAGATACTAAGATGGGAAAATACATGGGAAATGTCAGGTAACCAAAAGACAGGGAGTGTCCAAAATAGGCTGTATTGTCTTGCCCAAGGTAAGCCCTGATCCTGGACTCATACAGGTGTGTGCTGCTATTCACACTCTTGGGGCTTACCAAAGTCAGTTGCTTCTTTTCAATTCCCATGCTATTGTCGTCCCTGCAGTATTTGACACCCCCTTTTCCTTTACTCTTTTTCCCAAAACTCCCTTAATATTAGAGTGTTAGTCAGCTTTTGTTGCACCTGCAAACAACCCCCAAATCAATGGCTTTCAAAACCCAATATTTATTTCTTGTTCACATTGCATGGGACCTGCAGATTGGCTATAGCCTTGGCAGGGATCCATGTGTCTTCTCATTTTGGAACCCATGATGAAGGATTAGCCACCATCTGGCCCATCCTCTTGTCACAGTGGATGATAGGAACAAAAGAAACAGAGACATTGCATGCACAACAATTAAAGCTTCTGCTCAGATATGGTGTGTGTCATGACTGGTAAGCATCCGTTGGCTTAAGTGAGTACACTTCCTCTTCAGGGGTGTGGAAATGGACATGAGCAGAATGAATGATGGGAAAATTGTAGGATGAACAATAACTGGGTCTCCTCCAATTTCTCTGACTGTGCCTGAGTCACAGAAGCTGGTTCTTCTCTGTCTGAGCCTCTCAAAATGCTGCATGCTCTTGAGTTCTGTCCTTGCTGCCTTTTCCTCTCCCTCTGCCTGTTTTCCTGAGTCCAGCCTGTCCATATCTGTGGTATCAGCTGCCAATATCTCTGCATCTACATCTTTAGTTCCACTTCTCTCCTTGACTTTAGGCCCACTTTCCCTATATATTGAATACTTCTATCTAAATATCTTTCCAATACCACAAACTGAAGTTATACAAAAACTAACTTATTATCTGAATGTCCTGAATTGCCTATTACCACCTCATGAATACAAAGTATTGACTGTTCTTTTTCCTTCTCTCCCTAAATCCAGTCATCGCAATAGCCTCATTTGTCTTCCCCACCCCGCTATCCCTGCCCTTCCAGTCCCTATACACCCTTATTGTCCTGTCAGTAGTAAGCCACTTATAGTGGGCTTCCAATTGGTGTCTCCTGCCCCAGATTCTTCCAGTTTAAATTCCTACTCCGTACACCTGTCAAAGTGATCATCTTAAAGCATGAAATAATCATAGTATTCCTACTTGATGGTCCTTTGGCCACCCTCTGTCAGTGCAGCTGAAACTGTTGGAACCACAGGAGTCCACACAGGTGCCTCACAGACCAACAAGGGGGAAAGGGTGGAAATTTATTCTCTCCTGTCTCTTAGTTTAGCCAAGGAAGCTCCAGTATAGCTAGACACCCTGTGCATGATTTGAATAAAGGGGTCTTGAAATATCAAGCCAATAGACAAACATAAATACTTTGACAATTCCTCACCTGCAGAATATTAAAAAAAAAATCTTAAAGTTGTACACTTCATAGTCAGGCTTCAGTCTCCTTCTCTAACCTCACCTTCCACCATGTTCTCCACCAATCCCATCTCATACACACACCATCCCTGCCAGGACAGCAGCCACACTTGAGACACTCAGTGTAGTTCTCTTGGCTGGAAATGTCCTTCCCTCGGTTCTTTTAATTCCATCCACCAAGATGACTTTTACTCATTCACCCTTTTAGACATCTAGTTTACACCTTCTTTTCTCTCTTGAATGTCCAGTATCTCTCTTTCAGCAGTTGATCACCTTGCATTATATTTCACTGGGAAAATGTAAATATAAAATAGGGCTTCCACACACTACCATCCCAACATCTACCTACCTACCTGCACCTATACCCATGTGCTTGCCTTCTGTTCTGTTTGTATTGGTACCAGTTTGTGCTCCTGTCTAAGGCCAGCTCCTCCAGCTATGTACCTGATCCCACCTCCTCTCACTTCATCAAAAGCATCTTCTTCAGCAATTACCCTCACTCTCCTAGATTATCACAGTTTCTTCTCTGCTCTATCATTTCCATTGAGACACAAATACAGTAAAATTTCTGCCAGCTTTACAAGTCCATCTCTAGTCCCATGGCCTCCCATGACCATTATCTTTCCTTTTAAAACAAAACTCTGTAGAAGAGTCTCCTAATTCACTATCTCCTCACTCCCTCTTCCATTATCACTTAAGCTACTGCAAGAATTCCTTTCTTCTCACCTATCTCCAAACTACTCTGTCAGTCACTCCAAACTACTCTATCAATCACCAAGACTTTCACCTTGCAAAATCCAACAGTAGTTCATATCCCTCATGTTACTTGACCTGTTAACAACACTTACATTGATAACTTCTTCCTGTTGAAACATTTCTCACTTGCCTTCTGGCACATTATTCTCCTGCCCCTACAGGATTAGCCCCTCTTTCTAAGTCTCTTTTGAGGATTCTTCCTCATTTTTCTGATATGTAAGTAAGTGTGTGGAGTGCCCAAACTGTCCTAGGTGATTGCATCTGATCTCACAGTTTTGAATAACACTTTTCAGCATCAAAGATATTTATAATAGCCTTCAAGGCCCAACATGATCTGGCTCCCATTGCCTTTCTAAGATCTAACACTCCCCCAGATCTTCTGCCCCAGTTTTCCCCAGAACAGTCTTCAGTATTCCTTGAACATGGCATTCGGCTCTCCCCTTAGGGCCTTTGGGCTTGTTGCTTCCTCAGTCTTAAAGGTTTTTCTCCAATATGCATATGGCTCACTTTTTTTCCCAGTCTATGATCAAATATTGTCTTATCATGATGCTTTCCCTAAACACCCAGTGTAAAATAGCAATAATCCCCCTATAATCCAGCATTCAGTTCATGATTTTTTTGTTCTATTTTGGTCCTTTCTATTACATTAATCAATTTCTGACACATTATATGTATTTATTAGTTGCATATTTGTTAATCATCTTGTCTCCCTCCTTGAGGGCAGGGGATACATCTGTTTTGTAACTCCTTTATACACAGCTCCAAGAATGGTGCTGGACATGTGAAATATTTTTTACATAAATGTACAAATAATATATTCTTTTTCTTCTTAAACATTCTTGAGTAGATTCTGATTTATGCTACAGTACAGGATGATAAAGGCTGCTACTCTCCTGGAAACTTATACAGCCTAGAAATGCAAGCTGCCAGTTTCTAGGCCTGCCTTTGATTGTTCGAGGTCCTATCTGACCCCATCCTTAAGCTAATTTTATTACAGCTATTTCTAGATATTTTATTTAAAACAAGTGCCCTGAGATCTCTAAAGGGTGAGGAACATTTTTTCAATAATAAATAAATACTTAATGTTTCCAAAGAATCTACATGGATTTAACTGAAACTCTTTTAAATAAAAAATAAATAATAATTGAAATCAAAGCTATATAGTTGACTTTCAAAAGTTAAAGCTTTATTGCTGATCCCTATGGTGTTTGAGCTTTGTGCCACCTTTCAGAGAAATCTCACTGATCCCTTAAAGAAGGAAAGTTGGAGCCCAAAAGGATCATCTAGATATCTTTGGTACAGGGCTCATTTATAAAATTCTAAGCACAACTCAACCTGTCCAACAAGGCAAGTAGTGAGGCTAGTTTTCTAGAAAGATGCTTGGAGTGACCTCTTGTCCATTCTCTTTTACTGCTGTCCAGCTTGCCTTTGAGTATAATGTCCTTTTGGTTCCCTACTACAGGGTCTATGTCTAGGATTTAGCATTCCCTCCTCACCCCTTAGAATATGTACAGTTCCCTCTAAACTGTCCAACAGAATAGCCACTACTCACCTGTGGCTACTTAAATTAAAATTAACTAAAAGAAAATAAGATTTAACATTCTGTTTTTCAGTTGCACTAGTCACATTTCAAGTACTTGGTAGCCACATGCGGCTAGTGGCTACAACACACAATATTATAGAACATTTCCATTTTCCAGAAAGTTCCATTGGATAGAACTTCTCTAGACTCTCAAGATCCATCTTCTGGAATCCTAACTGATTTTTCAATATGTTCATTCTTCAGCTTTTGCCTCAGATCACAATTCTCACTCCAGCTTCAGCCTCTGAAGCCATAATACTGGGCTTAGTCAGTCCCTAAGTCATAACAAGATAGTGATAGTGCCAAATCTGTTCTCAGATCTCCATATACATTTAAGTGTGTACATTTACATTAAGACTAGTGATGACCTTGAAGTCACAGGTTGCTAGAAGAGAATGTGTGAGAAGTACCAACCAGAGGGGATCTACTGCATAGGAGAAAGGGCAAAGCACCATGTCTGGAGGAAACAGAAAGAAATTAGTACATTCCAGTAAAACTATGCAGATGACAAAACCTCCAGGAAGGAGAGAGATCAATCAAGGAAATAAAACATGTAGGAAGATGGAACAGTTTGCATCCTTGTAATCATATGCAAGTAATAGAAACCTGACCAAATAGAGGTAAAGGTTTTGCTTACATCTGGATTGTGCATAGTTCATTAACTGAGCTATAGTAGTTAGGCCCCTAATTTATGGTAGCAGTGCTATTATGGGGAGAAAAACAAAAATAGTAACTGGAGTCAGGGACATTCTTTGGGCAAAGGCCTGGAGAGCAGTTTTGGCCAGATTTGTGCTTCTAAGCAAGTCATGAAAGGGAAGAATATGACTAATATATAACAAGATTGACTCCTTCCTGGGTTAGACAGAGTTACTGGGTAAAGTTTAGAACTATTGCTTAGAAAGAAAACCAGGATACCCAGGAGCCCAGGCTGGGAGAGGGCTAATTGCTCAGTCTCCCCGAGAAGCACTGATCAGGTTTTCAGCGTGCTATTGGCAGATTCACCTCAGATTGCTCTCCTGACATTTATTTAAGTCTTGCTCTGTCACCCAGGCTGGAGTGCAGTGACACAATCTCGGCTCACTCTAGCCTCCACCTCCTGGGTTCAAGTGATTCTCCTGCCTCAGCCTCCTGAGTAGCTGGGACTACAGGCGTGCACCACCATGCATGGCCAATTTTTGTATTTTTAGTAGAAATGGGGTTTCACCATGTTGGCTAGGATAGGAGGTCTGTCTCCTGACCTCATGATTTTCCCGCCTCAGCCTCCCAAAGTGCTGGGATTACAGGCGTGAGCCACCGTGCCCGACCTTTCCTGACATTTAATATCACTGAGACAGGAGGGCACACCAGGGCCCAGGAATAGAACAGTGGTGCCAATCAAAGGGATTTGCTTTTAAAAAATAACAAGAAATAAAGCCTTAATGAAGGAGTAGGTTTTCTGTTTAGAATGCCAGGCATCATGGAGGGGAGGAATTGGCGATTCTGACTTCGTGAAATCATATTACTAAGTCTACTTCTAAGCTCTAAACCATCCACTTCCCTCCCAACCCCCAGAGAGGGAGAGAGCCGAGCAATTATGCTGACCAGTGAAGTCATTCTACTAGTGGGTGTTTTAAAAAACGAGTTAACAGAGGCCATAAATACCCCAGTATGCTTTAAATTCAAGCAACATGTTTCAATAAAGCCAAATTTTTATATCATTGCCAGCATCAAATCAGTAGACTAAATGCTGCAAATGGAATTCAAACTATTAAAAAAATGACAAAATATGTGGCTAAGTCTTTGTATGAAATAAATTAGAAATTCTTTTCACCATAATGTACAAGCCATTCTTGCTCTGGGCCAGTATCTCTAATCTGTGCCGAATTTCTTTGAGACGTGTGGATACCAAGGCAGAAGAAAAGGGAAAAATGGTGCATGCCTTAAAAATCTTCAATGCTCTGTAAGACTCAGTTCCTTCATTTCAAAAACCTGGAAAAAAATTACTGATTTTCTGAGAAACAAGCAGGCAAGGATCAGCTAATTTCTTGAGGCAACTAATGGCTTTGTTATTTGACATTTCTGAAGGTCTTATCACGTA
This sequence comes from Homo sapiens, assembly GCF_000001405.40. Lineage (NCBI taxonomy): Eukaryota > Metazoa > Chordata > Mammalia > Primates > Hominidae > Homo > Homo sapiens. The sequence goes on along the minus strand of NC_000013.11, from coordinate 47,251,530 downwards.
CTCAATATACAGAACACTTCCCAATGGTGAGCAATGAACTAAAAGCAAAATGCAGAAGGGAGGTGAAACATTACCCTGGGCTGAAGAACTTTGAATGTGTCTGAACTGGTTTGCGTGGATGAGGTAAAGATATCATCATTCTGATTTCTGTCCTCCCTTTCTGGTCTCCAGGTGGACTTCCTGAGCCCTGAGAAGCCGTTTGAATGAGGATAAAGGCACAAACCCTTCACGTATGAAGCACTTACTATGGAGGTGATGTTGTACTAACCTCCTATGACTTCTTTACAACAATCTAGAGGCGTAGGTATTATTTAGTATTCCCAGTTTTCAGATGCAGCAAGTTAGGTAATTCATTCTAGGTTGCACAGCTTTATAGAGTGGAGTTGGATTCAAATTCAGGTTTCATTTTTTTTTTCATGGAAATTAGAATGATCCTCATTGTAAACAACATATAGGAACATATTTCTTAAACTCAAATCTCTGAATAATTCTCACAAAATGCCACTCGAAAGAGTTTTGTAGTTTAAGAATATGCTTCCATATATTTGCTTATAATGTGAACTTTTCCCAGACATTATATAAAGGGAGGCAAATGAAGAATTAAATAGAACTTGGTGCTGCACAGGAAGACAGGCATATGTAGTATTCTTGGACCTCTGCCGAGCTGCCTCCCAAAGTCACAAGAATTCTTAGTCAAAAATTGTAGACTTTCTGGATGCTCAGGGAGTTAACCTAAATGAAACCTGAACATTTTATTCCATAAAGGCATAAAAGCAAGTGAATGAAATGGGTCTGCACAGTTCTGGACCTGCAAGCACAAAAACATGCTGCCTAGCACTTAGAATTGACTTACCTCCTACTGGTGCAAGAAAAAGGGTTCCTTATAGCATTGCTTCTAAAAGCAATATCCTATAGGCCATTGTGACCTAAGGGAAGAGAAGTAGAGAGTCTGCTGTCTTCCATGTGGCAAAATGAGATCTCCGAGTTACTTTCAGCAAGAGAATGGTTACAGAAGCTTTCGCTCACAATTGGCTACCGTTCAGCAAAAGTTTCCAGAAAATATCTTAAAGGAGGCAAAGAAAATAGCCTAAGAAAACAGTGGGAAATACATCGTGACGTGGCAAACTGCACTCACGACTCAATAACTTTTTAGCCTTTCCTCAAGGCAAATAGTTCAAAAGATTGCTTGCTATTATTTGTAGCTGCTGGGATGTAGTTTCCCGCTTTGTGTGTCATCACAGGTAGCGATTGCCAAGAGGGAGAGTTAAATAAAATAACTTGTCAAAAGCTAATGCATGACTCAAGCATGGAAAGTTCTAGGGAGTGAAATTCCAGAAACAGAAAATCTTCCCTTAGGGAAGACATTTCCCATCAGATTTGCAGAGATGTGACCCAATATTGAGTGTCTAATATATGCTAGGTGCTTTATAAATAAAATTTAACCCTTTTAATTTAATCTCACAACGGCCATGGGAATTACCCATTATCATCACTTTACATGTGAGAAAGCTAGGCTCAGAGGGTTTTACAAAATTGCCAAGGTCACAGAGCCAGTTAAGTTACAGACATGTTTTCTGCTCGTTTGTTTTTTTTATTTTAAAACTTGTTTTGAGGTATAATGCTCATTTAATAAAGTCTATAAACTGCACTAGTCTTAAATGTACAACGAGTGAATTTCTACATGTGTATATGCTCAAGTAGTCACCATCTTGTTCAAGAGTTAGAGGAGTATTTTCACATTGCAGGAAGTTCCTTCTTGCCCTTTTTTTATTCAAAATGCACACAAGAGGTACCCTCTAGTCTACTTCTATAAACATGGATTAATAAACATGGATTAATTATGCCTCTTCTTAAACTCTGTATGAATGTAGCCATTGTGGTTTGCCTGAAGCTGAGGGGTTTTTGGGAGGTGGATTTCTCAGTGCAAAAATGAGAGCAATTGGTCACTCTATAAATGGGAATAGTGTGTGCTCTTTTGTGTCTGGCTTCTTTTGCTCAACATAATGTCTGTGAGAGTCATCTAGGCTGAAGTGAGGTTTTGTTCTTTTTATTGCCATGTATCATCCCACTGTATGACTATTCCACAATTTATTTATCCATTTTTATCCATTATCCTGTTGACATACATTTGGGATGTTTCTAGTTTTGGGATTTTATGACTAAATCTAGGAACATTCTCATATAAGTCTTTTTGTGAATGTGATTACTCAATTCTGCTGGGAGCAGAACTGCTAGGTCATAGGTAAGTATATATTTAGCTTTAGTGGATTCCACCAACGTTTCCCTACAGGGCTGTACCAATTTACACTCCTATTAGCAATTTATGAGAGTTTTGGTAGCTCCACATCTTCATCAATATTTAGTATGTCATTAAAAGTAATGACATACTAAATGTGCTAGACTGCTATTATAGATATTCATTCCTTTGTGTATCCCTTTCCCATACTGTCTTGCCCTTGGCTGCATGATTCGCTGTAGCCAATGAGACATTAGCAAGTGTGACATGAACAAAAGTTTGATAAACCTTGGACACTGGGACTTGTTCTTTTGGAACACTCACTAAGGCAGACTTGATTCACCATATAAAGATATCTGGCTGTGCTGCTTAAAAGACCCCATGGAGAGGTGGAAGGGAGGTGGAAATATTAGCATGGACTGCTCAGCTGGGCCCAGGGGTTCCATGCATCCCAGTGGAGGCACCACATGTGTGAGTGAAGAAGCCATCTTGGAACTTCCAACTCTTGCAGAAAAAAAACGCGACATATGACATGAGAAAATACTTGCAAGCCAAATGCCTGATAGGGGTTAATCTCCAAAATATATAATGAACTCCTATAACTCAATAGACAAAAATCAACCTAATGAGATGATTAAAAAGTGGGCTAAGGACTTGAGGAGACATTTTTTTCAAATAAGACATACAAATGGTCACTAGGTGTATGAAAAGATGTTTGATATCACTGAGCCATTGGGGAAATGCAAATTAAAACCATGATGAGCTATCACCTCATACCTGTTAGGATGGCTATTATTTCTTAAAAAAAACCACAAATATATACACCTACTATGTACCCACAAAAATTAAAAGTTGTTAAAAAAATAAAAAAGTGTTGGTGAGGATGTGGAGAAATTGGAACCTTTGCACACTGGTGATGAGAATACGAAATGGTGCAGCCACAATAGAAAACAGAATGAAGGTTTCCAAGAAAGTTAAAAATAGAACTTCCATAGGATCCAGCAATCGCACTTCTGGGTATTTATTTTAAAGAATTGAAATGAGTAACTGAAAGGGATATTATTTATCTCTTTTATTATTATTGTTAATACTGCTGCAATAAACAGCAAAACAGATGCTCTCTAGAGCAACATTATTCACAGTAGTCAAAATGTGGAAACCACTAAATGTCCATATAAAGGTGAATGTAAATGTCCATATAAAGGTGAATGGACAAAGAAAATATGTTCTATGCATATAATGGAATTCTATTTAGCCTTGAAAAAATAAGGAAAAGCTGCAACATATGATAATGTGAATGAAACTTGAGAACATTATGCTAAGTAAAATAAGACAGTCATAGAAAGACAAATGCTGCATAATTCCACTTATATGAGATATCTAAAATTGTCAAACTCATAGAAACAAAGAATAGAATGGTGGTTGCCAGGAGCTGGAGGGAGGGAGAAATGGGAAGTTGCTAATGAACAGACATAAAATTTTAGTCAAGCAAGATAAATAATCTCTAGACATCTGTTGTACAGCATTGTATCTGTCATCATATAAGGTAAATCTTGTGTTTTGACCACAATTTTAAAAAGCTGGTTCTTTAAGGAGATCAACAAAATTAATACTCTACACAAGCTAATCAAAAATTAAATGGAGAAGACATAAATTACTGGTATCAGAAATGAAATAGGGGCCATCACAAATGATCCCACAGACATTAAAAGGATAATAAAGGATATTACAAACAATTCTACACCCACAAATTTGATACCTTGGTTGAAAGTCCTTGAAAGACATGATGTGCTAAAACTCACACAAGTAAAATATGTAATCTCAATATGCATACACTAAAGAAATGGAATCAATAGTTAATAATCTTCCAAAGAAGAAAACACCAGGCCTACACAGTTTCACTGGTGAATTCTACCAAACATTTAAGAATGAAATGATATTAACATCCTATAATTTCTCCCAGAAATTTGAAGCAGAGGAAATACTTAACTCATTTTATGAGGCCAGCATTCTCTTAACTACCAAAACTAGATAAAGACATTATAAGAAAAGAAAATTGAAGACAAATGCAAAAATCCTCAACAAAATATTAGCAAATCATATTCAACAATATATTAAAATAATTATACACCACAACCAAATGGGATTTACTGCAAGTACTCAAATCTAGTTCAACATTTGAAAGTCAGTTGATGTAATCTATACACAGATGGAGAAGAAAGAAATAAAACTATCTTTGTTTGCAGATAACATGATTGTCTATTCAGAAAGTCCCAAAGAATTAACAAAAATACACCTGAAACTAAGTAATTATGACAAAGTCCACAAGATGTGATAATACAGAAAAATCAACAGATTTCCCATATACTCACAATAAACAATTGGAAACTTGAAATTAAAACCACAATACAACTTACACTAGCACAAAAAATCTAACAAAATATTTGTAGAATCAGTATGTGTAAAATGATCAAACTCTGGAGAAAGAAAGAAAATTTAAATAACTAGAGACATAGTCTATGTTCATGGACCTGAAGACTAGAGTTGTTAAGATGTCAATTATCCCAATATAATCTGTAGATTCAACACAATTCCAGTCAAAATCCCAGCAAGTTATTTTATGATATTAATAAACTAATTTTAAAGTTTCTATGAAGAGAGAAAAAGACCCAGAATAGAAGATGCAATATCGATGAAGAAAAATAAAATCAGAGGACTGACAGTATGCAACTTTGGAACTTAGTATAAAGCTACATTAATCAAGATAGCATAGGCCGGGCACGGTGGCTCACACCTGTAATCCCAGCACGTTGGGAGGCCGAGGCGGGCGGATCACGAGGTCAGGAGATAGAGACCATTCTGGCTAACACGATGAAACCCCGTCTCTACTAAAAATACAAAAAATTAGCCAGGCGCGGTGGCGGGCGCCTGTAGTCCCAGCTACTCGGGAGGCTGAGGCAGGAGAATGGCGTGAACCCGGGAGGCGGAGCTTGCAGTGAGCCGAGATCGTGCCACCGCACTCCAGCCTGGGCGACAGAGCGAGACTCCGGCTCAAAAAAAAAAAAAAAAAAAAAAAAAAAAGATAGCATAGTATTGGCAAAAGAGCAGATAGATTAATGGAACAGACTGAAAAGCCTAGAAATAGACGCAAAAATATAGTCAACTGATCTTTGACAAAAGAGCAATGGCAAATTTAATAGAAAAAAAGACAGGTTTTTTTTTCAACAAATCTTACTGGAACAACTGGGCATCCTTATGCAAAATAAAAAAAACCCTAAATACAGACCTTTTACCTTCCATTAATAATAACTAAGAATGGATCACTGTTCTAAATGTAAAATGCAAAACTATAAAACATCTAGAGGGTAACACAGGAGAAAATCTAAGCAACACTGGGCTTGAGTTTTTATATACAACACCAACCTTTTAAAAATAGATAAATTATACTTTATTAAAATATAAAATTCTGCCACGTGAAAGACATTTGTTAAGAAAAATTAAAGACAACTCACAAACTGAGAGTAAATATTTGTAAAACACATATCTAATAAAGACTCATATCCAAAATATACAGAGAATTCTTAAAACTCAACAAGAAGGAAACAAACACCCAATTAAAACTTGGAAAAAGATTTGAACAGACACCTCACAAAAGAAGATATACAGATGGCAAATAAGCATATGAAAAGATGCTCAATATCATTTGTCATTAGGGAATTGCAGATTAAAGTGAAAATGAGTTACCACTATTAGAATTAGCCTATTAGAATGGCTAACATTAACAAAAACTGACAATACCAATTGCCGGCAAGAATGTAGAGCAATGCAAGCTGTCGTTCTTCGCTTGTGTGGAAGCAAAATGGTGCAGCAAGTTTGGATGACAGTTTGAGAGCTTCTAGAAAATCTAAACATAGTCTTACCATACAGTTGTGCTCCTGAGTACTTATACAATTTTACTGAAAACATATGTCCACACAAAAACCAGCCCACTAATATTTATAGTAGCTTTATTTATAATCACCCAAACCTAGATGTAACCAAGATGTATTCATTAGGTGAACAGATAAACTATAGTACATCCATACAATGGAATATTATTCAGTGATGAAAACAAATTAGAGATCAAGCCATGAAAAGACGTAAAAGAATTCTAAAAGCATGATTCTAAGTGAAAGAGTTCTATTTGAAATTTTATATACTGTATGATTCCAATTACATGACATTTAGGAAAAGACAAAACTATAAAGATAGCAAAAAGATCCATGATTCCAGGGGTTCTGGGAAAGGGAAGGGATGAATAGGTGAAGAAGAGGGGAATTTTATTATGGTGAAACTATTCTGTATGGTGCTGTAATGGTGGATCTATGGCATTATGCATTTGTCAAAACCCATAGAATTGTACAACACAGAGTGAACTCGATGTATGCACATCTTTAAAAAATCATGTAATAGAGGTTGAAGGATCCCTAAAAGGAATACAGACCATGACAAGAGAATCTAATTCTGTTACAACTGTATGAAGCAGCTTCACTGAAGAGGATGTAGGGAAGAGGTGCTGACTTAAGTAACTCTGGAAATGAATGGAATCATTGTACTCTAGTTGATAAAGCTATTTCCTTCTCGATTGCAAGTTAACAATTCTGATCATGCTATACTTGTTTACTGGATTTGAGCAAATCAGTAAATGGACAGCAGATGGTAGGAGTCAAATTTCTCACTGTTGGAGTTTACGGATAAGCAAGGGTAGGAGGTTAGAATGATCCACACATGTGGTAATGGATTAGAATTAGAGATATCATAAGAACTTATGTTTAATATGGATACAGATGGTTACACATAGAAATATTTATAGGTATGTATGCATATAGGAGTTATCAAATATATACGTATATGTTTCTGTTCTGTTAGCTGAGAGGGTCAAAAGGAAGTGATACCCCCATAGCAATAAACACATTCAACTCCCAGACAGATCTCTGTTTTCAATATGATTTTGAGATAAAAGGAACCAGGGAAGCTTGAAGAAACTACTGATTCTAGGTCTGGGAGGACATACACAAGAGGAGAACAGGGGATCTTGTAGTGCCAAAAAGTAAGGACTTGTCAAAAACAGTGACACCAAAAACAACAAAATATTATTGATGTAGGTATGTCAAGAGGGTACAAAGGCCAAATGAAAGGGCTCCAAAAGGCCAAAGTGGGAACAGTTTGAGTAATAAGATGAAAAATAGTATTGGATTATAACTGATAGTGTAAAATAAATATTCATGAATTCATACTGAAATAAATTATTAAATAAATTAATGAATTATCTCTCCTTTTCCATTTTCTTATGCAGAAGTATTAGAAATAAATTATGCAGATTTTTCACCCTAAAGATGGGGAGAATAACTCATCTCTCCTTATGTGTGGGCTGAACATGAAAATGGCATTTTAGAGATAATCACTACATACCTATTAGAATGGCCAAAATCCAGAACACTGGCAACACCAAATGCGGGCAAGGATGTGGAGCAACAGGAACTTTTAGTCATTGGTGGTGGGAATTCAAAATGGTAAAACCACTGGAAGACAGCAGCCACACTCCTTGCTATTTACCCCAGAGAGCTGGAAAAACTCTTTGTCTAACAAAAACCTACACACGAATGTTTATAGCAACTTAATTATTAAATGCCAAAGCTTGGAATACCATCACGATGTCCTTCCATAGTTGAATGGTTAAGTAAACTGTAGGACATTTAGAATATGAAATGGAATATTATTCAGCACTGAAGGGAAATAAGTTATCAAGCCATGAAGAAACAGAGAAAAAAATTTAAATTCATATTACTGGGTGAAAGATGACTATCTGAAAAGGATACATACTGTATGCTTCTGACTATAGGATATTTTGGAAAAGACAAAACTATGAAGACAGAAAAAAGATCCGTGGTTGCCAGGGGTTAGGAAGAGGGAAGGATGAATAGCTGGAGAAGAGTGAATTTTTAGTGAAGTGCGAGTACTCTGTATGAAACTATAATGGTGGATACATATTATTACACATTTGTCAAAACCCACAAAATGTATAATGCCAAGAGTAAACCCTAATGTAAACTAGGGACTCTGAGTGATAATCACGTGTCAATGTAGGTTCAATGATAACAAATGTGCCCCTCTGTTACAGGACATTGATAATGGAGAAGCTATGCATGTGTGGGGCAGGGAGGACATGAGAAATCTCTTAAGTTTTTCTGTGACCCTAAAACTGCTCAAAAAAATAGTCTATCCACACCAAATCAAAAAGAGGCATTTTATCTCTGTAAGCTTCCTCCCCTAAAACCATAACTTCAGTGTAACTGTGAGCAAAACAAACTCCTAGAGGCTCATTCTACAATATACCTGACCTTAGGGTTTTCCACGGTGCAGTGGTCATCACGCTCACCTCACACTATACCTGATCAGTACTCCTTAAACTCATCAAAGTCGTCAAAAATCAGAAAATCTGAAAAACTTTCATAGCCAAGAGGAGCTTAAGGAGACATGAGGATTAAATATAATGTGGTATTCTAGAGCAGGAAAAAAGACATTAGGGAAACTCTAAGGAAATAAAAAATAAGCTATGGAGTTTAGTTAATAATAATGTGTCTATTTGACTTATTCATTATAACGAATCTACTGTTATAATGTAAGATGTTAATAATGTGGGGAATTGTGGGGAGGTACATGGGAACTCTCTATCTGCTCAATTTTCATGTAAATCTAAAACTCTTCTTAAAAAATAACACCTATTAATTAATAAAAAAGACCAATGTGCAATAGACAAGCCAGTGTCAGTGTGTTTCTTTTCTGTGATCTTCTAAGTATTAGAGCTTTAATCCTTACTAGGCAAGACCCACCAATTTATTAATCTCAAAGATATCAATATATCCCAGAAATAAATTACAGACGGCTTTAGGTAAGAACTTGAATTAGACTGAGTGGGGACCTCAATATGTTTTGGGATATATGAGCCTTGGGACATTAAGTCATGCAGCTTGTTTCACAGGATGAACTCGCTGCAGGAAACTGAGTTAGAGACTCAAGTGGATGCAACCAAAACCACTGTATGTGCTGCAGGAGAATATTAAAAATACTCAGGATCCATAACGCATATTTCAGTCATAGTGACATTAATACTGAACATTTAAAACGTTCATGAAAAACAAAAATATTAATTAGATTTGGCCAGGTTTACCCTAGTAATGCATGATAGGACCATTCATGTGATACCTTAAACTTCTGAGGTGGTGTTGAGAAAACAAATGTTTTACGAATATCACAGAGTTAAATGTCCTCTTCCTAGTACAGATGTTCTAGCTCCCAAACTCAGAACAATTTTAGCAACTGTTTATAATAGTTAAAATGAATCTTGGGAAATCAAATTCTGTTTTTTCATTAGTTTAGTTTTTTTTCAAACTTTTCATTATTTTAACTTTTTTATTGCTTAACATTTATCATTTAGCCTTGACTTCGAAACTTGCAACTTTGTTTAAAATTTCTCAGCATCTCTGTCAAGGTATAAACAATGGAAACACCTAAAGATCACACTTTCTAAGGCAGGGATCCCCAACCCCCAGGCCACGGACTGACTGGTACCTGTCCATGGCTTGTTACGAACAGGGCCGCCCAGCAGGAGGTGAGTGGTGTGGTGGGTGAGCCAGCATTATTGCCTGAGCTCCGCCTCCTGTTGGATAAGCAGCAGCATTAGATTCTCATAGGAGCAAGAACCCTATTGTGCCCTGCTCATGCGAGAGATCTAGGCTGTGTGCTCCTTATGAGAATCTAATGGCTAATTATCTGAGGTAGAACAGTTTCATCCTGAAAACGACCACCTCTCTCCCTGACCCCTCCATCTGTGGAAGAATTATCTTCCATGAAACTGGTCCCTAGTGCCAAAAAGGTTGGGAACTTCAGTTCTAAGTTCAAAATTTTTCAATTTTTCTTTTGTTTTATTAAGGTATAACTGACAAAAATTATATATACATATATATACACAGTATACAACTATATATACACATATATATACACATATGTGTGTGTATATATATATGTGTATATATGTGTGTGTATATATATATAAAAGTGTGTGTGTGTATATATATATATATATATATATATATAATTTATTTTATTTTATTTTTTGAGACAGAAGTTTCACTCTTGCTGCCCAGGCTGGAGTGCAGTGGCATGATCTTGGCTCACTGCAACCTCCGCCTTCCGGGTTCAAGTGATTCTCCTGCCTCAGCCTCCTGAGTAGTTGGGATTACAGGTACTTGCTATCATGCCTGGCTAATTTTTTGTATTTTTAGTAGAGACGGGGTTTCACCATGTTGGCCAGGGTGGTCTCCAACTCCTGACCTCAGGTGATCCACCTGCCTCAGCCTCCCAAAGGGCTGGTTTACAGACGTGGACCACTGCACCCAGCCCAAAAATATTTTGATGTATGTATACATTGTGAAATGTTTAAATCAAGCTAATTAATGCATCCATCATCTCACATACTTAGTTTTTGTGATGAGAACATTTCAGATCTAAGCTCTTAGCAATTTCCAATCACACAATACATTAATTATTGTCACCATGCAGCACAACAGATCTCCAGGACTTGCTCATCCTGACTGAAACCATTCTCCCAGAGTTCCATTCTAACATCCCAGAAAACAAGGTAAGAGGCCCAAATTAAGAAGCCTGTTCAACCATTGCGGAAGACAGTGTGGCAATTCCTCAAGGTTCTAGAACTAGAAATACCATTTGAGCCGGCAATCCCATTACTGGGTATATGACCAAAGGATTATAAATCATTCTACTAAGACACACACACACGTATGTTTATTGCAGCACTGTTCGCAATAGCAAAGACTTGGAACCAACCCGAATGATGACCAGTGACATATTGGACAAAGAAAATGTGGCACATATATTCCATGGAATACTATGAAGCCATAAAAAAGATGAGTTCATGTCCTTTGCAAGGACATGGATGAAGCTTGAAACCATCATTCTCAGCAAACTAACACAGGAACAGAAAACCAAACACCACATGTTCTCACTCATAAGTGGGAGTTGAACAATGAGAACACATGGACACAGGGAGGGGAACATCACACACCAGGTCCTGCTTGGGGGGATGGAGGGCTAGGGGAGGGATAGCATTAGGAGAAATACTTAATGTAGATGACGGGTTGATGGGTGCAGCAAGCCACCATGGCACATGTATACCTATGTAACAAACATGCATGTTCTGCACACATATCCCAGAACTTAAAGTATAATAATTTAAAAAAACAACAACAACAGAAAAAGAAGCCTGGCCAAGTGCAGTGGCTCATGCCTGAAATCCCAAGTTTGGGAGGCTGAGGCAGGAGGATTGCTTGAGCCCAGGAGTTCAGGACCAGCCTGGGCAACACAGGAAGACCCTGTTTCTACAAAAAATTAGAAAATTAGCCAGGTATGGTGGCACATGCCTGTAGTCCTAGCTACTTGGGAGGCTCAGGCAGGAGAATCATTTGAGTCCAGGAGTTCAAGGCTGCAGTGAGCTATGATCACACCACTGCATTCTGGCTTGGGCAACAGAGTGAAACCCTGTGTCCAAAAAAAAAAAAAAAAAAAAGATAAATATGCTAGGGCTGGGCACAGTGGCTCAGGCCTGTGATACTAGCACTTTGGGAGACTGAGGTGAGGGGCTCGAGACCAGCCCTGAAGTCATAGGTTCAAGACAGTCCTGGGCAACAGAGTGAGGGCCCATCTCTTAAAATACAAAAAAAAAGAAGAAGAACCTTAAGCTTACACTATCTTTGTTTTTCAGGTTAACTCAGCCACATGTGATACTCAGTTCAAAGTTCAAACTCCCAATCATTCCTCTTTTCCCATCAGAGTTTTCCTTCCTTCTCCCCTTTTCTGAGACATGTCTGGATTCAGGATGAACCTTATTTATCCTCATGGATTTATGAGGAGAAGCTTCTGTGGCATAGGTTTCCTTCCTGCTTTCCTGGTCTCTTTAGTAGTGTGCCTGGTTTGCTCTGGACTCTGTGCTGGTATCCACCTGGATGTTCCTACTCCCACTTGGACTTTTGGCCTTGTCCTGGCTCCTGATGCTGAAGTCTACAGTGACTGTAATTTGCCGTGGATATGAGGTCCCTGCGCTCTATAACAGGGCTTAGCAAACTTTTTCTATACAGGGATAGAAAGTAAATACCTTAGACTTCGTAGATCACATGCAGTCTCTGTCACATACTTTTCTTGTTGTTTACTATTGTTCTCCTCCTCCTGTTCCTTCCTCCTTTTCCTCTCATTTTCTTCCCTCTCTTCTGTCACCTTCATCTTCTTCTTTTCTATAGTCCTTTAAAATTTTTTTAAAATTATATCTCAGGGCTGTAAAAAGGTAGGCTGTAACAGGAGTTGGCCTGCAGACCACAGTTTGCCAAACCCTGCCCTGCGGCCTTTGTCTTCTGACCTTGGGTCCCTTCCTATTCCCCTACATGGATCCACATTCCTGGTATGCAGTCTATGGAAGACTGTAGACTATTATTACAGGTCCGTCTATCAAGAAAACTCCCTCTACTCACAGCTTCATTGCTTTTGCACCATTTTGATCCCAGAAACAGAGCAACAGCCAGAATGTTCTTTCATTCCCTCTCAACCTAGCTGGGTTTTTTGTTGGGATTTGATTGCTCGAGGCCCAGGAGATACGAGGTGCTAGGTCTGCTTTCAGGGACTCTGGCGGCAACATTCCCATTCTAGTGACATCGTCACTAAATTCCTCTGCTTTTCCTCTCAGCAAAGGGCTTTCTACTTATGTGGGGTGGGTTATGTCTTATGATAAACCATGGTTTATAGTAAAACTCTTCTACTATGTTATATTAGCCTTGTATTTTACTACATAGAAGGGAGATTTGGGAATTGAGGAAACAACTTTCATTCTCAACCAAGCTTAGTTTTATGTAAACTTCAAGATTGTTTTTTGTTTTGGAAATGGACAATTAAAAGCAGATCATTTTTCAATACAACATATTTCCCAATACATTCCTGAAATAATTATCCTAAGTCCCCATGTTACATAATTACTGTCTGATTTATCCATTACTCAGATGTACACAAGTTTTCTTAAGCAAGGGTGCACTGTATGTATTTCAAGTTACTAGACATCTAAACTGTTTACTGCTGACCATGAATTTGCCATACTTTGCAGGAAACATTCAGCTTCAGGGTAAAGTCAAGTATTCTAAAGTCGTATATTATAATCATCTATTTAAATATTTTAAGTGATCATTTATTCATAAGGCCCTACTTTTTTCTTCCCAAGATATTTGGCATGATGCAACAGCAATTAAACGGCACTTATAATCATAATCACAGCAATTATTATGTTTTCTGGCAGCTCTGTGCCACCCTTACATAGCAAGCCTCCAGAGATGTGTTCTGCCTCTGGAACAGAGAACATCTGCCCTCAGCAGTGGCTCCAGCCTGTGCTCCTGCCTGGATCACTCATGAGAGCCTCTGTAGTGACTCTGCCATACCCTAGGAACCATCGTCAGTGACTCAGTGTCACCCAGCAAATGAGAAGGCTGCTACAGTGCTTAGCTGCCCTTTTCCTCTCATAAAGATTCTTCATTCTTTGATATTTGCAGAGTTAAATACAGCAGATTTAAAATTCCAAATGCATCCTACTTTAGATGCCCAGAAATATGGCTCAAGCTTTGATTACAGAAAGAAGTAAAATGTATGAGATGGTTCACTGTGAATTTAAAAATAATTTTCAAAAAAGCTGGATTTCATTCAGAAAGGCCAAAGCTGCTTGCCTGCTTGCTTGTGCCTATGTTCTTGTTTTCTCTCTCTCTCTCTCTCTCTCTCTCTGTGTGTGTGTGTGTGTGTGTGTGTGTGTGTGTTTAAGAGGAGGAAGAAATGTCCAGTCCAGCATCATGAGCCTCCTTCTTCCTGAGATCCCTGGAGAATATGAGAATATGAGGTGGACACCACTGGGCTAGGCTGTTAAGGAATTGAACCTCCCACCTGCCTGGTCTGAAATTCCAGCATTAGAACCACCTCTTCTGGGAAATGTTCTTTTGCCTTTTCAAGCAGGGTCATGGGTTGCCTCTTCTATACTCCCACAGCTAAGGTGATTAAGTGTCCCAGTTTGCCAGGAACTATACCATTTTTGAAAAAAATGAAAGTCCCATATCCCAGAAAACTCAGGAGTCCTGGGCAAACCAGGGCAGTTTGTCACCATACTACTGTGTTCAAGGGTCAGTGTTTACACTATTATAATCATCTAGTTAGCTGCTGGTTGCCCTCATTAAATGTAAACTCCTTGAAGGTAGAAATTATGTCAAGCTCTAAAAAATTTTTTTGTTGAAAGAATGAAGGAGCATTTGAGAGAATGAGTAAGTGAATGAATGAATGAATGAATGAATGCATGGATGGAACTAATTAGTCTGATAAGGTTATCTATAGTTTTGAGAGGTTCATTTATCATTTTTCCTGAGAGGAGAGAAGCAAGATACTTCTCCTTCAGTAAATTTACTCAGATTAGTGCATTAAATCTAATAACATGCCTGGATTGCATGCTTGAATATCATGGCAGGAGATAATACCAGGATCAACATCAGGAAAGGTAAGTATACATGAAAGATTGCAGGGAATCTGGCTGCTAAAAGGGGTTAAACAACCAGAGATCATGGCCAAAGCTGAACACAGGCTTCTTCCAGGAGAAGATAGCAAGTTCTATGGTTTAAATATATCCCACAAAGTTTATGTGTTGGAAACATGATTTCTAATGCAGTTGTGTTGGGAGGTGGCACCCAAAGGGAGATGTTTGGATCATGGGGACACTGCACTCATGAATGAATTAATTATATTATCATGGGAGTGGACCCTTTATTAAAAGACAAATTTGTCTCCTCTTGCTCTCTCTCATGCCCTCTCTTTGCAGTTCCATCATGAGATGACACAGCAAGAAGGTTCTTACAAGATACCAGTCCATTGATCTCGGACTTTCCAGCCTCTAGAGCTGTGAGCCAGTCCGTTTCCGTTCATTATAAATTACCCAGTGTGTTGTATTCTGTTATAGCTGTGAAAAATGGACTAAAGCAGCAAGAGATCAGGATTTTGTTTGTGGTCCATCTTTTGTATTGGCAAATGAGCCAACTGTATACAATTTATGTTGTAAGAAGCTCATTATATATAAATGGCTACATTCAATGTATTATCTTTCATGTTCATTCAACTAAATGAGTTATGGGGCATCCATCAAAGCACTGTGGCAAGTGTGAGAGGTGAAGGTGGGAGAGAAACAACGGTAAATGTTGCATGTTGAAAGCTGGTATGAAGTCCCAATTAGTGCAAAGACTCAAAAGTTAGGAGGCCTGCATTTGTACTTCACAACTCCTACCTTCCAAATCTGTGATCTTGAGCAGGTTATATAGCATCATTAATCCTCAATTGCCTTACCTCTGAAATAACAGTAATAACACCTATTTTATAAAATTACTTTGAAGAGTAAACATTTGGCTTAGCATTTGACACATAAAATCTTCTTCAAAAATGGAAGTTGCTGTTGTTTTTAATTAAGATATAGCCCTTGGCATGTAGAAGCCACAGTTTGGCTCTTGTTATACTAAAGACTGTGATGAGAATAGTAAGTGCTACAATATTCATACAACCAAAATGCTATGGGGGATTTGGAGGATAAAGAGAGAGAGTGAAAGAGTGGGAAGAGGGAGAGGGATTGTTTCTAACTGGGAAAATTTGGGAAGATATAATTTAAAGAGACATTGAAGTATTATGTCAGACCATAGAACAAGCCGTGAATATATGACCTCTGGAAATATGAGATAATGTTTTTTCTCCAACTTCATAAACTGTTAATTTCTTGAGTTTTGGGACAGCCTTAAACCTTTGCATACTTTGGATACTCTGTAATTTTGTACAGGTCAATTACTAAATTTTTTAAATTAATGTTCACAAAATAGATCATAGCAAATTGAAATACAATCTGCTAAATAATAAGCTTAAATGTTCTTTAGTAATATGTAAGGACTGAAAGAAAGTTTGTTCACCTTTCAAGGTTCTTTGTAAGTTATTTTTATTAAATCATATTCTAGCATTATGCACACAGCTATAGAGCATTTCTTTAAATGTCCACGTGTAAATTTAAAAATAATGATAAATTCTTGTTTTCAAAGTTTCTCATAGAATTAAACAATTAATCCTCTATCAACACCCCTGTTGAGTTCAAAGCACTTTCTTTAACAGATATAATTATAAACCCTCAGATCTGTAAGAACTGGTTCCATTTTAAATCGGCTCCATTAGGCCTGCAAGAGCCCCTGTGACATTGAGGTGATCCCAAGGACTACAGAGTGGCTGAGTTCTAAATGGGGATGACATTGGAGACTGTCTTGTCAAACAGAGTACTGCTCCTAAAAATGGTTTTCATTCACAATATCTTGAAGCCTTTAAATGCCAATCACCAAGCTGGAGAGGTAAGATAAATGACATCCAAAACCTTTCTCAAAGCTAAGTCCTCATCCCAGGGTGAACTTGGAATGAAACAAATCTGAGCAATTAGGTCTCCTCTAATTTGACCCTTCACCCTTGGGAGGCCTAAAAGGTCTATAGTGATGAACTGTCAGGAAAAAATGGTCACCACATTTAACTTTCTTTAACTTCTCTCAGAAAAGAAAAAGTAAGCCATACCTTTATCCCTCAAATATCTGCTTCTCAGTGTACCTTAATTCTAACCAAACTAGGGCATATATACAAGATGCACAAGAAAGTAAGCAAAGCCCCAGGACAAACATCATGTCTTCCTAGGGCATCTATTTTTCCAGGATTTTGGTGGGAAAGCATTATCTTCATAGTTAAACAGACACAGATACATCATGAATTTTTATGATAAATCAGGAATCTAAAAATAAATGCCCCTTTCTAGGGCTGCACCCCAGACCCTGGGGATTCTGTGTTTACTCTTCTCTTCTGAAACTTTGTTGGAAAGTTTGAATGTCCACTGTGATGACATTTTCCCACCAGCCAAACATAAATACAAGTTTCTTGACTTTATGTTCTGAATTTACATGCATTTCTCTTGTCTTGCCAGTACTTAGGTATTCACAAAGCAAACTCTAGCTATAACAAATGCAGAAATCACTTTGCCCTTCACTCCACCCCCAGGTTCTATACACTTATATTCTCTTTATAGCAAAGAGGATTTTGTCCTTATGTTGTGTTTTTCCTTGAGGACTCAGAACTTCCCAAAATCATATATAACAGCTGGTGCTACTCTAAGATTCCCTACAAGGCAAAATGCAGATGGTGATGACAACCACCCACGCATTGTCAGTTTGCCCAGACATTACCCTCAAGGGACAAAATTTGCACCAGTGAAATAAGGACATTTTTATGCCAGCAAAGAACAGGCTGCTAAAAGGTTTGGTGCTCTCCAGATTCTGCCCTTATCCACATAGGCTCCAAATTGAGAGCAATATAAAATAGTGAAGAATCAAGGTCCCAGGATTAACTATGAAACAAAAAAAGCCACTTTGACTTTTCCAGGAATAATGAACTGCTTTGCATGTCAAGGAACAATAGTGGTCTAGGTGTGTGGGTCTCAGACAGAGGACAGGGTGTGGACCATGAACTCACAGAAGGCCCAAACATTCATTATTTTATCCCTTCGACCCTTCATTGTTCCTTGCATGGGGTCTGAGTGTCCAAATAAATGTCGAGGCATAAATAACTAAAGGAACAAATAGCCCTCAGTAGAGTTTTAGTTCTAGAAAGACTGATGCCCCAGAAAGGCCTAATAGAATTAGTTCACTATGGTATGATGGTTAGAATTCCAACCCCACCAACCGTCTCATCTTGTGTAAGTTATTTGGACTTTCCAAGCCTCTGTTTTCCCATACATAAAATAATATTTACCTTTAAGGGTTGCTATAAGAAGTAAATTACATAAAATAGCAAATGTACAATGAGTTATCAAGTGATTTTCACAAGTAGCCCTCTGAATAATTTGATATTCCTTCACAGGTAAGCAAAGCAATTCTGCCTTACTGTGTTACAGAACTCAAGGTGGAAAGCAGAGAATGAAAAAATAGAACTCTTATCCACACAATGAGGAAAACCAGTTAAACTGAAACGGAGTACAACTTGGAGTCAAAGATATATTTATTTGTTTGTTTTCCCTTGATTTTGCTAATTGGTAGCTGTGCAGTGTTGAGAAAATCACTTAAGGGTTTGTCATTCTCAGTTATATCAGCCACAAGTTATGACTATAATTTTTGCTCATCCCGTCATTTCTATTTTGAGATCTATATAAGATACAACCATGCTTTGTAAACAGTGAAGCGTTATACAAATATAAGACACGAATATAAATTGAGATATTTCAAGTTGCTATAATAATAGACACAAAGGGACTGGAAGTACATTTGGCTTGGCTAGCAGGCAAGGTGTAAGTATGAAAGAAAAAAATCACGGGGCCAAGGTCAAGTTACAAGTCAGAGTCCCTAATATTAGATCCAACAGACTAAACAAGTCTCATCTTGCAAACTTGGAAAACCTTCTTGAGAAGACTTGTGAGGATATGCCTGGGCCCAATTACAAGGAATGCCATTGTAGTGCAATCCTGGCTGCTAAGGATGCAGTAGGTAGGAGTGTCAGCGTGCATGCTGGGAATTTTCCATCCTAACATAATATGCCCTCTATACCCAAAATACCACCGACAGCCCACTTCTTAAAACTCTCTGTTCTGCAAACCCTGACTTGCTTTGTTTGCCAGTTACTTTGAATGTTCTTTCTCCGCTTCCTGGCACACCTTACTTCCTCCTACCATTTCTTTTTTTTTATTATCACTCTAAACTCATTTCCTCAGGGGGCCTCTTTAACTTCCATGGGAATTTCCATGTGAATCCTAAATTTACATAATTGTTCTGATATCTTCTTACCCATATCCATTTCTAATAAAGTCATTATCACCTCAATCCAAGATGGCTAAAAATTTATACATCATCATCCTCCCATTTCCCCCACCAAAACAAACATCTCCTCTTTCCTAATACGCCATTTGTCTCAGGGGTGTGCAATATTTTATATGTAGAGAGTTATATAATTTAAATGTATTCTATTGTATTGGAAGAAATGTAATCTCTTTAATTCAGGGATTTTCCTCTTTTGCTGCAGTGCATCTAAGTACTAAGGGTTTTGTGAAGCTATGGTGTCATGAGGAGTGGACCCCAGGTCCTTGCTGTTCTGCTCTTGCATCATTCCCTGAGAGTTCCATAATATCATTCACCAGCCTTCAGTAGTTAGTCCATACTCTTTGCTGCTAAGCAAGGCCTCACTCACATTTGCTAGGACCCTTTAGGGTACAGTGATTCTTTATGGCTAACAGCTTCTTAAATGAGGGGTAGCAGCTAAAGGGCAAAAAGGATGAAAGGAAAAATTATGAAAAGTACATTTAACTCATGTTTCAAAATTAAAAATATTTTCTAAATTTACTTCCAAACACAGTGGAGTAACAAAAATAGATTTACCCTTCCACATGCGAAACAACAAAAAAAATGGACAAAATATTTTTTTTCTTTTTCCTCAGAGACTCCTGTTCTGAGAAGATATCTTTCAAAAAATTTCAAGGCATTGGATATGAGGCAATGAAGAATGGTGATCCCTGAGAGATGGGAAGCAAACAAGGTGAGTAATGCAATAGCCCCAGCTTATTGCCTAGGAGTTTCCACAGTGTGTACAGGTTGGGGGAACCAGACAGAACCTGGAGTCTCCATGATTTGCAGAGATGGAAGTAGGGGTCCAGGAAAGCCAGGGCAGCTAGAATCCATAGGGCAGAGTAGCAGAGAGGAGACAGCTGCAGAGAGACAGAACCCCAGAGATCTGATCTGCATAAGATCCACATTGAGTATTTATCAGATAATTTAAAAAGCACATGTGAGACTAATACCTGAGATCAGAATTTTAAAAATACTCAAAATGATTAGAGGTCACAGAATGGAAGGAATATTTCCTGTTTTCACCAGTTAGAATGGATTGCCTGAGTGGGGAAAAATTAACCCTACATGAAACATTGCTCTCATCTTGCTTAACAAAGTCTAAGAGTAAGACCCAAAAGAACTGAACTTTTCCAAGTAACTTAATGCATCCTAAAACGAGGTCAAAAATATTTATAGGAATACAAAAATATCTGGCACCAAACAAGATAAAATGTATTTTTATCTGCCTGGCATTAAATTAAAAGTTATTAGGCATGCAGAAAAGTAGAAAAAGACAACTCATAATGCAAAGAAAAAAAAATCAAGTAGACACCAACCCAGAAATGACATAGCTGATAGAACTGGCAGGGGGAAAACCCCAATAAAACAATTGCAACTCACTTTAACATGTACAAGAAGCTAAAGAAAAGACCGAATGTGTTAAGTAGCAATATGGAAAATAGTAAAGAGGTTTAAATAGAAGACCTAAAGCTGAAAAATATACTTGACAAGATGAATGGTATATTAGACATTAGAGGAAAAAAATATTAGTGAACTTCAAGACAGCAATAGAAATTATCCAAAAAAGAACTAGAGAGAAAAATGACTCAATAAAAAATGTAGTGTTACTGAGTTGTTGGGCAATTTCAAGCAGCCAAATATACATGTAATTATAATCCCCAAAGAAAGAGTGAAGAAGAAGAGAAAAAAAAAATTGAAAAAAAGGCCACATTTTTCTTCCAAATTTGATGAGAACTATAAGCTAACAGATTTTAGAAACTCAACATACTCCAAGCACAAGAAACATGAAGAAAGCGACACCACAATACACTGTAATCAAATTGATTAAAACCAGTAACAAAGATAAACATCTTAAAAGTAGCCAAAGAAAAAAGACATATATGTACAGAAGAAAGATAAGAATGACAGATGATTTCTTGCTGGAGACTATGTAAGCCAGAAAACTGCAAGGCAGCATTTTTAAAGTACTAAAAGAAACAACAAACAAGCAAACGAAAAACAGTTCATCTAGAATCTATACCCAGTGGAAATATCTTACCATAATGA
Source organism: Homo sapiens (assembly GCF_000001405.40). Classification (NCBI taxonomy): domain Eukaryota; kingdom Metazoa; phylum Chordata; class Mammalia; order Primates; family Hominidae; genus Homo; species Homo sapiens. The sequence continues at coordinate 47,230,233 of NC_000013.11, read as the reverse complement.
AGGTGAAATAAACATGTTTTCTCACATAAAATAGTGGAAAGAATTTATCACCAGTATACCTGTGCTACTGTATAGAAGTAACTTAATGAACACAGTGGGCATTTAATAGGAACTTTAAAGCAGGCAACTACTAGGCATTCATTTCCTGATGCTGCTAAGGCACAGTAGTGATGTCTTTGAATAAAAAATATATAAAAGTTGGTATATTACTTTCCTAGGGCTGCTATAACAAGCACCACAAACTGGCTGGCTTAAAACAATTTATTGCATCACAATTCTGGAGGGTAGAAGTCTAAAATCAAAATGTTGGCAGGCCCATACTTCCTCTGACATCTGTAGGAGAATCCATGCCTCTTCTTGTGTTCTGGTGGTCAGTGATCTCTCACATTCTTTGGTTTGCAGCTGTATAACTCCAATCTCTGCCTCTGCTGTCACATGACATTCTCTCTGTGTCTGTGTCTTCACATCACAGTCTTTTTATGAGGACACCAATCATATTGAAGTAGGGGTCCACCCACTCCAATATGGCACCATTTTGACTTCTTTATATCACCAATGACCCTGTTTCTAAATAAGATCACATTCTGAGGTCCTGGGCATTAGGACTTTAACATCTTTTTTTTTTTGAGGCAAAGTCTTGCTCTTGTCCCCCAGGCTGGAGTACAATGGTGCAATCTCAGCTCACTGCAACCTCTGCCTACTGAGTTCAAGCGATTCTCCTGCTTCAGCCTCCTGAGTAGCTGGGATTACAGGCATGTGCCACCACACCCGGCTAATTTTTGTACTTTTAGTAGAGACGGCGTTTCACCATGTTGGCCAGGCTGGTCTTGAACTCCTGACTTCAGGTGATCCACCCGCCTTGGCCTCCCAAAGTGCTGGGATTACAGGCATAAGTCACTGCACCCGGCCCAACATCTCTTTTTCGGGAGGACACAATTCAACCCATAATAGTTGGGATTAACTAAAGGTTTTTCTGTGACAACATTTTTGGACCTTTATATCTTTAGAGTATATAAATGTACATAGACATTTTGTTGTGTTAATAGGTTAGTAAGCTAACTTGGGATAAGAGTTATTTATAGACCTATTGTTTTTTTTATTTTCATCACACTTGAGTAACAGGATTCAAGAGCAAGATTAACATTAAGGGCTCCTCTGAATTTCAAGATCCTATGAATAATTTCTGACAAATCATCCTCCACAAACATATTAACCTTACAGAAGCTGTATTCCACACAGAACTGCTCCACTTTCAGAGACAACAGACACACAGGCTTGGCCAGTCATAGCACTGTTTTCCTATGACCACAGTAATTATTTGAGGGATACAGGTGGGACCTAAGTCAGACCAATTAGATCTATCTCTGGGAATTTGCAAGAGCTATCGAGAAAAAGAAACTCTCTCAGTGCTGTCATAGCTAAACTGGTGGAATATAATCATAGAATTTATAATAGTCCTGTCATGGGAGGAATGAACCTGACATTGAATCCAACAAAAGAAAGGAAAGCTAACAAATATAGAAAAACATGTTGACTATATGTTGAGCACTATGGAAGAGATGGTAATGATCAAGTGTTCTAAGAGTACCCCTACATTTCCCAGTTTCTCCTCTGGTTATGTTGGAGCCATATGCCATTTCTGATCAATGGTATCTAAACATAAATGATGTATGTCATTTATATGTCAAAGTACTTGAGAGCAGATACAAATGATTCATCCTCTCTCACTTCATTGACCACAGCAATATTGGAAACCACATAATGAAATGGTAGCATCACAAATGGCAGCATCCCTGAAAATATGTTAAACAGATATCTAATGACCCACATTGAGCAGGACAAGAAATATTAAAGCCTCAAATTCTAGCTCAGAGATAAAAATAAACTGACCCCAGAAATAAGAATCCATCTGCATATGACCAGAGAAAATAGATATCTGGGCAGAACTCTGCATGGCAGAAATAATACGGCAATTATGTAAACATTCTAGAGCCAAAAAGAGGGCAAATAAACATATCATGTAAAAGTCAAACAAAGCATTTTGCCTGGGAAAAATAACTACCCGAAATGGGAAAATGTGTTTTTCATAATTGGAGCAACAATAAAATTTCTTAGTAAGAATATTCAGTACAGCAAAAGTTTAATGATGAGATTAACATCAGTGAAATGAAAGCTCAAAGATGAGAAGATAATACAAGAAAATTAAAATGTAGTTTATAAACTTTATGAAATAAACTAAAACATATATTAGAAACAGAAAGGATGAGAACTGATACTGCTAAAAGTTTAATTACTGGCATGTAGAAAAATCTTACAATCATTAGGCAATAAGTGAATGAAAATTTTACAAAGACAAAGATCAATGCAACTAAAGAGAAGCCAATAGGTATAGAAAAAAGATATAAGATGATCTAACATAAGGTATTTTGATGTTCCTGAAGTAGAGCCACAATAAATGTAATATAAATTAAATTTAAATTATACCAGAACATTTTCCTCAAATGAATGAAAAACAAACCTTGATTCTTCTATATAAAAAAGGGCACATTGTGTTACAGGAAAAATATGAAAACAGAACACTCCACACAAGACATAATCTAGATAAAATATTGAACTTAAGAAAAAGAAATAATTCTGGTATCCATCCAGACAGAGCAGGAAGACATTCAAAAGGAAAAATAGTAGACAGACCTTAGATTTCTCTAAAGCTTCATTCAATGCCAGAAGACAATAACATATATGTATTAAGAAGAAATAAAAGCATGACAGGAGATTATTATATACAGCAAAATATCCATCAAATATAGAAGCAACTAGCTAATATTCCCAAACATGACAGAACTTGAGTTTTTCTTGAAAGAAACAAAAAACTTAACAACGGAATACAGCCACTTAGGGGCTAAATCAAAATTAAAAAATTAGGGATTAAGAGATATGCTAAAAGTATTGGTCATGAGCATTGATAAATTTAAAGGTTAAATTGATTTATAGGACATAAGATTTTTACAATTATCATTTTAAAAAAATTTTCATCTTTGTACTTTGCAGCATTATGTGAATTCATTATAATGAGTGTATGTGATTTTTCAAAACCAGTAGAGTGAGTTTTCTTAAAAATAGATTAAATTAGAAAACTATTAATTTACACTTGTGGGACTATGTGCCATATTTGTTGTTATTGTCATTGTTTAGTCCAGTGCTATGAAAATTTGTTTTCAATTTTTAAAAATTAATATGTGTAAAATGAAACCAGGATAATCTATAAAAAGGACACAGCATTGACAAATATTAAAAGGAAAATCTGGAAATGAGATAGGAGACTTTGAGAAGTTCAGATATATTCCTAGGCATCAAGAAGGCCACACACATGTGCAGTGCTCTGTGGGTACCCAGAAAAAAAACTTAACCTCTCAGGTAGGCTCTAAATCTCTCAGTGCTGGCTCTTCTTGAGATCCTGCACAAACAGGAAGTGAAGCCTAAGCAAAGTTGGAAACTGATGGAGTATTGAGTCATGCCCAAAGCACATAGAGCTTCTTAGCAAAGACTAGGAGATTTATTGGTTCAAAAGCTTTTAAGGAAATCACAGTCCAGTCATTACCTGACCACTAAGCTAACTGAGCAGAGATGTCATTTGCCATCCATCAGGGATACAGACTTCACAGAATTAGTTCAAGAAAGTCACAAAATAAACAACAGAAATAGTAAGAACAACAGTGACCATAACAACACTAAGGAGAGGGGAATTTGATTTCCAAAGTTGTCACGATATTATTTAACTGTCCCCCAGTTTTGTTTTGTTTTGCTTTTTGAGATAGGGTCTCCATCTGTTGCCCAGGCTGGAGTGCAGTGCTATGATCATGGCTCACTGCAGCCTCTACCTCTGGGGCTTAAGTGATCTTCCCACTTCAGCCTCCCAGGTAGCTGGGACTACAGGAATGTACCACTGCTCCTGGATAATTTATTTATATTTGTAGAAACAGGGTTTTACCATGTTGCCCAGGCTGGTCTTGAACTCCTGAGCTCAAGTGATCTGCCTGCCTTGACCTCCCAAAGTGCTGGGATTACAAGCATGAGCCACCACGCCCAGCCTAACTGCCCAGTTTTTAACAACATTAAAAAAAAAAAAAAAAAACCATGCGAAGAAACAGGAAAATATGGCCCATACACAGGAAAAAGTAGCAAATAGAAAGTGCCTCAAAAGAATCCCATATTTAAATTTACTGAACTTTAATCAGCCATTTACTGATTTACTGACTTTAAATCAGCCGTTAGATATTCATGCAACAAACAAAAGAAAAAAATGGCTAAAGAATTAAAGAAAGGTATGAGAACACTGACTTGCTAAATAGGGAAACTGAAAAGAGACAGAAATTATTTCAAAAACTAGAAATTTTCAGGTAAAAGTACAATAACTGAAATTTTAAAAACCTGCTAGACCAGTTCAACAGTAGATTCGAAAAGGCAAAAGAAAAAAAATCAGTCACCTTGAAGACAGGCCCATGGAGAATACTCAACCTAAGGAACTAAAAGAAAAATAAATCAAGAAACTTAACAGAGCCTTAGAAAGCTGTGGAACAATGTCAGGTATACCAACATGCACACAGTGGGAATTTCAGAAAAGAGAGAAAGAGAAAGAGACAGAAGATGCTCCAATTAAAAGACACAGACTGGCAAATTGGATAAAGAGTCAAGACCCATCAGTGTGCTGTATTCAGGAAACCCATCTCACGTGCAGAGACACACATAGGCTCAAAATAAAAGGATGGAGGAAGATCTACCAAGCAAATGGAAAACAAAAAAAGGCAGAGGTTGCAATCCTAGTCTCTGATAAAACAGACTTTAAACCAACAAAGATCAAAAGAGACAAAGAAGGCCATTACATAATGGTAAAGGGATCAATTCAACAAGAAGAGCTAACTATCCTAAATATATATGCACCCAATACAGGAGCACCCAGATTCATAAAGCAAGTCCAGAGTGACCTACAAAGAGACTTAGACTCCCACACATTAATAACGGGAGACTTTAACACCCCACTGTCAACATTAGACAGATCAACGAGACAGAAAGTCAACAAGGATACCCAGGAATTGAACTCAGCTCTGCACCAAGCGGACCTAATAGACATCTACAGAACTCTCCACCCCAAATCAACAGAATATACATTTTTTTTCAGCACCATACCACACCTATTCCAAAATTGACCACATACTTGGAAGTAAAGCTCTCCTCAGCAAATGTAAAAGAACAGAGATTATAACAAACTATCTCTCAGACCACAGTGCAATCAAACTAGAACTCAGGATTAAGAATCTCACTCCAAACCGCTCAACTACATGGAAACTGAACAACCTGCTCCTGAATGACTACTGAGTACATAACGAAATGAAGGCAGAAAGAAAGATGTTCTTTGAAACCAATGAGAACAAAGACACAACATACTAGAATCTCTGGGACACATTCAAAGCAGTGTGTAGAGGGAAATTTATAGCACTAAATGCCCACAAGAGAAAGCAGGAAAGATCCAAAATTGACACCCTAACATCACAATTAAAAGAACTAGAAAAGCAAGAGCAAACACATTCAAAAGCTAGCAGAAGGCAAGAAATAACTAAAATCAGAGCAGAACTGAAGGAAATAGAAACACAAAAAACCCTTCAAAAAATTAATGAATCCAGGAACTGGTTTTTTGAAAGCATCAACAAAATTGATAGAACGCTAGCAAGACTAATAAAGAAAAAAAGAGAGAAGAATCAAATAGACACAATAAAAAATGATAAAGGGGATATCACCACCGATCCCACAGAAATACAAACTACCATCAGAGAATACTACAAACACCTCTACGCAAATAAACTAGAAAATCTAGAAGAAATGGATAAATTCCTCGACACATACACTCTCCCAAGACTAAACCAGGAAGAAGTTGAATCTCTGAATAGACCAATAACAGGATCTGAAATTGTGGCAATAATCAATAGTTTACCAACCAAAAAGAGTCCAGGACCAGATGGATTCACAGCCGAATTCTACCAGAGGTACAAGGAGGAATTGGTACCATTCCTTCTGAAACTATTCCAATCAATAGAAAAAGAGGGAATCCTCCCTAACTCATTTTATGAGGCCAGCATCATTCTGATACCAAAGCCGGGCAGAGACACAACCAAAAAAGAGAATTTTAGACCAATATCCTTGATGAACATTGATGCAAAAATCCTCAATAAAATACTGGCAAAACGAATCCAGCAGCACATCAAAAAGCTTATCCACCATGATCAAGTGGGCTTCATCCCTGGGATGCAAGGCTGGTTCAATATACACAAATCAATAAATGTAATCCAGCATATAAACAGAGCCAAAGACAAAAACCGCATGATTATCTCAATAGATGCAGAAAAAGCCTTTGACAAAATTCAACAACCCTTCATGCTAAAAACTCTCAATAAATTAGGTATTGATGGGACGTATCTCAAAATAATAAGAGCTATCTATGACAAACCCACAGCCAATATCATACTGAATGGGCAAAAACTGGAAGCATTCCCTTTGAAAACTGGCACAAGACAGGGATGCCCTGTCTCACCACTCCTATTCAACATAGTGTTGGAAGTTCTGGCCAGGGCAATTAGGCAGGAGAAGGAAATAAAGGATATTCAATTAGGAAAAGAGGAAGTCAAATTGTCCCTGTTTGCAGACGACATGATTGTATATCTAGAAAACCCCATTGTCTCAGCCCAAAATCTCCTTAAGCTGATAAGCAACTTCAGCAAATTCTCAGGATACAAAATCAATGTACAAAAATCACAAGCATTCTTATACACCAACAACAGACAAACAGAGAGCCAAATCATGAGTGAACTCCCATTCACAATTGCTTCAAAGAGAATAAAATACCTAGGAATCCAACTTACAAGGGATGTGAAGGACCTCTTCAAGGAGAACTACAAACCACTGCTCAATGAAATAAAAGAGGATACAAACAAATGGAAGAACATTCCATGCTCATGGGTAGGAAGAATCAATATCGTGAAAATGACCATACTGCCCAAGGTAATTTACAGATTCAACGCCATCCCCATCAAGCTACCAATGACTTTCTTCACAGAATTGGAAAAAACTACTTTAAAGTTCATATGGAACCAAAAAAGAGCCCGCATCGCCAAGTCAATCCTAAGCCAAAAGAACAAAGCTGGAGGCATCACACTACCTGACTTCAAACTATACTACAAGGCTACAGTAACCAAAACAGCATGGTACTGGTACCAAAACAGAGATATAGATCAATGGAACAGAACAGAGCCCTCAGAAATAACGCCACATATCTACAACTATCTGATCTTTGACAAACCTGAGAAAAACAAGCAATGGGGAAAGGATTCCCTATTTAATAAATGGTGCTGGGAAAACTGGCTAGCCATATGTAGAAAGCTGAAACTGGATCCCTTCCTTACACCTTATACAAAAATCAATTCAAGATGGATTAAAGACTTAAACGTTAGACCTAAAACCATAAAAACCCTAGAAGAAAACCTAGGCATTACCATTCAGGACATAGGCGTGGGCAAGGACTTCATGTCCAAAACACCAAAAGCAATGGCAACAAAAGCCAAAATTGACAAATGGGATCTAATTAAACTAAAGAGCTTCTGCACAGCAAAAGAAACTACCATCAGAGTGAACAGGCAACCTACAACATGGGAGAAAATTTTCGCAACCTACTCATCTGACAAAGGGCTAATATCCAGAATCTACAATGAACTCAAACAAATTTACAAGAAAAAAACAAACAACCCCATCAAAAAGTGGGCGAAGGACATGAACAGACACTTCTCAAAAGAAGCCATTTATGCAGCCAAAAAACACATGAAGAAATGCTCATCATCACTGGCCATCAGAGAAATGCAAATCAAAACCACCATGAGATACCATCTCACACCAGTTAGAATGGCAATCATTAAAAAGTCAGGAAACAACAGGTGCTGGAGAGGATGTGGAGAACTAGGAACACTTTTACACTGTTGGTGGGACTGTAAACTAGTTCAACCATAGTGGAAGTCAGTGTGGCTATTCCTCAGGGATCTAGAACTAGAAATACCATTTGACCCAGCCATCCCATTACTGGGTATATACCCAAAGGACTATAAATCATGCTGCTATAAAGACACATGCACACGTATGTTTATTGCGGCATTATTCACAATAGCAAAGACTTGGAACCAACCCAAATGTCCAACAATGATAGACTGGATTAAGAAAATGTGGCACATATACACCATGGAATACTATGCAGCCATAAAAAATGATGAGTTCATGTCCTTTGTAGGGACATGGATGAAATTGGAAATCATCATTCTCGGTAAACTATCGCAAGAACAAAAAACCGAACACCGCATATTCTCACTCATAGGTGGGAATTGAACAATGAGATCACATGGACACAGGAAGGGGAATATCACACTCTGGGGACTGTGGTGGGGTGGGGGGAGGGGGGAGGGATAGCATTGGGAGATATACCTAATGCTAGATGACGAGTTAGTGGGTGCAGCGCACCAGCATGGCACATGTATACATATGTAACTAACCTGCACAATGTGCACATGTACCCTAAAACTTAAAGTATAATTAAAAAAAAAAAAAAGATGTAGAACAAAGATGTAAAAAAAAAAAAAAAAGAAATATTTACAGAAATAAGGGATGAAAACTTTGCAAATTCAATTAAAATAAAAACAGTAATATGTACCTACAAGTTCAATAGTTCAATGAACTCTAAGACACACTAAAAAAAGATCCACACCTAGACACATCGAAGTGAAACTTTTGAAAGCCAAACACACAAAAAGAAAATCTTGAAAGCATCTGGTATCTTAGAGGATACATACATCTTCTTAAATACAATGGCACTGGAAATATAAACATTGAAAGTGCTTTTGCTAGTGTCTCAGAAATTACCAAAATATTATTGGACACTGGAAAAACATAATATTTGTTAAAAAGTGGCAGAGAATTTGGCAAAATTATGTTATTCTGCTGAGTAGAAAATAAAACTTGTAAGTAATGAATTTGGACATCCAGTTGAGATTACCAAGTGAGGTGTGGAAGGGGTAGAGTTGTTCCTCTTTGCTGCTTACAGTAAAATGTGAGGGGAAAATAGTCAAATCGAGGAGTGAATTGATAAAAGAAAAAGGAAATAGCACTTGATGATTTGAAAAATGTTAAGCTTATCTGGATAGTGTACTCTAAAAGAAGGGCCAAGAGTGTGGCTGAACAATCATTTGCTGAAGAGATTAGATGTGTGACTCATGAATCCAACCAGCCATCTCAACAGAGTCCAGAAAGAGAGAGGGGATTTATCCATTATCCATCAGAGATATGTGGAGGGCTCTCTTGTCTCATGATTTGGAGTCTTGTGAATTGCACAAGAGAACAATATAATTTTTGAGTTTCATACCAGCAGAAACACTGCTGACTTGGACTGAAAGGGACAGGGAGAGGATGAAATGAAGGAAGAATTACCCTGAAGAAAGAGCCACAGATGCAGAGCCCTATCCAACAGCGCCTCCTTGGACTGAGAGGTTTGGGGCTGCCACCCCAGTGGGCCGAGAGGGTACAGCTGCCATCCCTGCAAGCCAAGAAGACAGAGCATTTAATCAAGGAGGATTAATAATCAAGGAGGATTACTCTCAGCCCTTGAAACCTAATGTAACTTACCCTGCTTGATTCCAGACTTGTTTGGGACCTGTGACTCTTTTCTCCCTTCTGGAATGAGAATGTCTATCCTACTTTGGTCCTACCATTGTATTTTGGAAGCAGATAACTTATCTGCTTCCAAAGTTCACAGATGGAGAGCAATTTTGCTCCAGGGTGGATCATATCACAAATTTCATCCACAACTGATTTAAATGATTTATATCATGAGAGTTGGGACTGTGAATTGATGTTATTTAGATGTGATTTTGGACTTGGAGTTGTTGCTGGAATAGTTAAGACTTTGGGGATGTTGGGACTGAGTGAGTCTATGTTCCTCATGTGAAAGACGTGAATTTGGGGAAGGCAGAGCACAGACTGTTATTGGTTGTATTGTGTCCCCCCAAAAGGATGTGTTACAGTCCCCCCAAAAGGATATGTTAAAGTCCTAGCCTTAAGTACCACAGAACATCACTTTATTTGGAAATAGAGTTATTGTAAATGTCATTAGTTAAGATGAGGTCACAATGGAGTAGGATGAGCTCTAATCCAGTGTCCCAATGGGAAAAGGAGAGAAACAACATAGGAAAAGACAGCTTTGTGACAGCAGAGACAGAGACTGGAGTGATGCATCTCTATGATAAGGAACACCAAGGATTGCCAGCAAGGACCAGAAGCTGGAAGAGGCCAGGAAAAAATTTCTCCTACAGGTTTCAGAGGAAGCATGCCCCTGCCAACACCTTGGTTTCAGACTTCTAGCCAACAGGACAACAAAACAATAAACTGCTATGGTTTTAAGCCACCAACTTTGTGGTATTTTTGCTAGGATAGCCTTAAGAAACTAATACATGGCCAGGTATGGTGGCTCATGCCTGTAATCCCAACACTTTGGGAAGCCAGGGCAAAAAGATCGCTTGAGCTCAGGAGTTTGAGACCAGCCTGGGCAACATAGTGAAACATTGTCTCTATAAAATAAATTTTTTTTAGTTAGGCTCAGTGGTGTGTGCCTGTAGTCCCATATTCCCAGCTACTCAGGAGGCTGAGACAGGAGGATCATTTGAGCCCAGCAGGCTGAGGCTGCAGTAAGCCATGATCTTGCCACTACACTCCAGTCTGAGTGACAGGGTGAGACCCTGTCTCAAAAAAAAAAAAAAAAAAAGAGAGAAAGAAACAAATACATAATTGAATTTGGAAAATACATTTGTTTCAACAAATGATTTGAGAAATCTGGATATTCATAAGCAAAATAATGAAATTGCACCCTAGCCCACTCCATAGACAAAAATTAATTCAAAATTAGTCACAGACCTAAATTTAAGAACTATATACTATAAATCTCTTAGAAGAAAACACATGTGTAAATATTCATTACCTTGGATTAGGCAGTGATTTCTTAGATATGACATGAAAAGCACAAGCAACAAATGAAACTTCATCATAATTTCAAATTAAAATATTTCTTTCTTCAAAAATACCTTCAAGAATGTGAAAATGCAACCTGCATATTTGGAGAGAATAGTTATAAATCATGTATCTGATAAGGAACTTGTATCTAGTATATACATAAAGCTCTTACAACTCGACAATAAAAAGACAACCCAATTGTAGAACTCAGCAATAATTTGAATAGACATTCTCCAAAGAAGTCATGCAAATAGCCAACAAGTACATGAAAGATGCTCAACATCATTAGTCATTAGACATGCAAGTCCAGGCCATAATGAGATACTACTTGCCAATAATAATAATGATGATGAAAATAACAAGCGTTGGTATGGATGTGGAGAAATCAGAACACTCATACACTGCTGGTAGGAACATAAAATGCACAGCCACTTTGGAAAACAGTCTGGCAGTTCTTCAGAAAGTTAAACATAGTTTCACCCTGTGACCCAGCAATTTCACCCCTAAATGTGTACCCAAAGGAACAGAAAAACAGATGCTCACACAAAAATGTGTACATGAATGCTCATAGCAGTATTATTCTTAATAACCAACAAGCGGAATTATCAACAGGTGAACGGATAAATAAATGTGGTATATCTCTATAATGGAATATTATTTGGCAATATAAAAGAATGAAGTACTGATATATGCTGCAATGTGGATGAACCTTGAAAACCTTATGCTGAGTGAAAGAAGACAGTTACAAAAGACTATATCTTGTATGATTCCATTTATATGAAATGTCTAGAATAGGCCAATTCATAAAGAATGGAAGTAGATTAGTATTTACCAGGAGCTTGGGCAAAAGGGGACTAGAGAGTAACTGCTGTTATAGTTGGTATGGGCTCTCCTTTTGGAGTGATGAAATGTTCTAAAATGAGATATTGGTGATAGTTTCACAGCTGTAAATATATTACAAACCACTTACTTTTACACTTGAAAAGGTAAATTTTAAAGTATATGATTATATCACAATGTGGCCATTATAAAAAATGCTATAGTGGCACATGTGTACCTGTTCTGTATTTTTAATATGACTATTTATGTATGAATTACACTGCTTCTCCGTTGAGTGTAAAATAAAGACAGTTCTGGAGACATTAAACTCAAGTCATTTCTGTGTGTTCTTTGTTTCCCATCTTGTGTCTGTGTCGTGGCAGTACTATTGGATATTATTATTATTTAAGAAATACAATCAATAGATTAAAGGTCACAAAGTCAAAAGTTTGGGGAAAGCTAGGTTAAGAAGAGTCAGGGTTGGCCAGGTGGGGTGGCTTATTCCTGTAGTCCCAGCTCTTTGGGAGGCCCAGGCAGGCAGATCCCCTGAGGTCAGGAGTTTGAGACCAGCCTGACCAACACAGCGAAACCCCGTCTCTACTAAAAAAGTACAAAACTAGCTGGGCATGGTGGCACATACCTGTAATCCCAGCTACTTGGGAGGCTGAGGCAGGAGAATCACTTAAACCTGGGAGGTGGAGGTTGCAGTGAGCCAAGATCTCGTCATTGCACTCCAGCCTGGGCAACAAGAGCGAAATTCTGTCTCAAAGGAAAAAAAAGAGAAGAGTCAGGGTTTTTCTGCAGTACCTTTCAGACCCCTTATCATGATAATATGCCTCGTGACTTTCCAGTGGTGACTACATATGATGCTTGTCTCTAAATTGATCACTCTGGGCAATGATGCTCCATGGTGGGGAAAGAGATTTGAAATTATCCCTGCTCTCTTCATTCCCCATGATCACAGATGACCAAGGTAAATGACTATAAAGTCTTCTCCCTATGACTTAGTAGTCAAGTTTATAATGTAGCTTTCCTAAAACCAAAGAAAAACCATTATTCGTTCTATCAAATGAGTGAAATAACAGGGAGATTTAACAGTGGTGGAATGTAAGGTCCTAGTCTCTTGAGGCAGCAGCATGTTAGAGCAAAGTTTCTGAACAGATGTAACCTAGTCTGTTACTTAGAGGCTCTGAATAGGAAAGCATTTCTTAACATTTCTGAGCTTTCACTCATTCATCCATAAATTATAGATTTAAAAGGTACCAAACTCCCAGAGCTGTTGTTAGGATTTGATCAGATAATATATGCAAACTTCAGAATGACTCCTACACTTGGCAAATCTTGTTCTTGTTATCATTATTCTGAACTAGTAGATCCTGAAAAGAATAGCTTGATATCAACATGAGGATGTCAATTACTATATCCCATTATCCTATAGAGCATGCAATCTCTGTCCAATTTGAAAGAGATCCTGAGAAGACATTCAAAAAAATAATGTGAAATTAAATATAGTTTGGCCATATTGCCCCTGAATTAACAGCATTATGTCTTTTACACTGAAAATTCAATCCAGAGTGTCATTCTCACATCTTGTCTGTTTCTTTTAAATGATGTTAAGCAAATGATCAATCAAACATGCTTAGGGAGACAGCTGATTCATCCTGACAACTAAAGGACAGGACAGTTTGTGTTAGAGACCAAAGTTTCCTTCTGTCAATAAATGACAAATAGATAATTACAACTCTGAACTTATGTTTACTAAGTCTCTTACAAAGCCTCACTTTGGGGCTTATAGGTAATGCATACAAAGTAGCCTGGCAAAGATATATTGTCTTGTATCTACACCTGCTGATTTCTCTTTCAAGCAGAGGAATCACATGCTTGTGGCATGCAGAATCACTTTCATGTCATCTTAGAATGCCTGTCTCTCACTTGAGCCTGCAGCTAATTTAACAGTATGACTCAGATACAACTATATTCACTAAAGGGAACTAACAACAATCATCTTCCTTTTAACGTTGAGTTTATAATTATCTTCATCAGACTGTCTTAAATATACATTAGTCACACCATTTGTTCTCAAAAGTTGTATGTCTTTTTTTTGCGGGGGTGGGGTGGGGTGCTGATTTTGTTTTCCAAGTTAGGTAGAAACAACAAATTAAAAACAAAATACCGCATCTTTGCTGATGAGGATATGCTTCCCAGTGTCTTGGACAAGACCTTTTCTCACAAAAAAACACCAAAACCTAATTGGGGAAAACTGAAAAACCAAGGAAGTTCTAGATGCCAAACCACAGCCTTGGGCACAAGGCAGAGACTATATGATCCTTGGGCTGCAGCTGCCCCCATGAAACTAGCCTCCAAACATCTGCTACTAATGTGAGTCAATTGATAAGTATTCAAAGAATTAAAGTCCCTGGAGGGAATGTCTAACTGGCCAATGAAACTCCATCAGGTTCTATGAGAGAGGCAGCAGTGGGAGGTGATAAGAGGCTGGCGGCGGTAACTACCCTCCATCTAAGACCTACACACAATTGAGTGTTCTCTTCAGAGGGAAATTGGCAGGCTATAATTTAAAAAGGGGAGGAATGAAGATAAATACTGGACACCCCCCAAAATGATAAATATTCGCTATGAGTAGTGATAGTGATACTAACAGTGATCCCTTTTTATAGGATTTTAACTTTATAAAATACTTTAAAACAATCTTATTAATTACCTCTAAAAACCATATCATTATGCCCATTTCACCAATGATGTAACAGATGATGTTCAGATAGATTAAGCCATGGTCACATGGCTTCGGTATGATTGGCCAAAGACTGGTATATTATGCAAATAATGTACTCACTCACTAAAGAGTTTTTGAATAAACAAATGAATGATGACCTTTAAAGAATCATGTAAGCATTACCTCTTGGAAATAGCTTCACAAATGAAAGAATTATTTGAAAACATTTAGTCCAACACTTTATTTTAAAATACGGGAAACAAGCCGTGAGTTAAAAGGACAAATACTCAAGGTGATGGTTATCCTATTTACCCTGATGTGATTATTACACATTGTATGCCTGTATTAAAATAGCTCATATACCCCATAAATATATATACCTATTATATACCCCAAAACATTAAAAATTAAAAATTGATTCAAATAAGACAAAACAATTAACATTAGAATTCTGGTTTACTGAAATTCAGTAACTTGCTTTTATTCTACATTGTATTAACGTCCTTGAGTCCCCTGCTTGTCCTCTGTTGGGTATTACTGTTTTCAGCCCATGAAAGGAAATAAGCATAATGTAGTCCATGCTTTCTGGGACCTCATGTGAAACTTGGAAGTCAGTGTTTCTTGTGTATCATCCCAGCCTTGAAGGACTTTTAGGGTGCTTCTGATGCTGCTTGAGCAATCCAGGGCTCTTAAACTCCTGCTAATTCCCTTCTGTAAACCCTGCATCCTGGTTGCTACCAACCTTGGAGAGTTCTTTCTCCCACATAGATCCCCCTTTTATTACTTTATTACACATCCACCAGAGCCCACAATGGGACAGTTACCAAAAGATCCATTCCAAAGCCTTTGGCTATTGGGTCAATCTAGAACGGGAAGTTCCAACTGAATGAGACAATTGTGATTACACTTTCTCTGTTGGTAGTGTGAGACATGTGTCCCCATTGGAATGTATTCCATAGCGGCAAGCATCTAGGGTAACTCTATTTCACTATTTGATCTATAGTTAAGTACAGTACAGATAAGCTTTTCAAGGCAAGGCTGGTGCATCAATTAGTATGCTTGCAATTACAAGTACCAGAGCATACAACTAAAAGTGAATTAAATATTAAGAGTGTATTATATCCAGTGGTCCACTGGTAAATATTTAACGATTGACTCTCCAGTGAATTAAAATCCTTGATTTGTAGCATTTGCAAGTTCCGTGTTGTAAATACACCCATCATGGATGATTTTATGGGACTAACACAGTTACTGAAAGCAGAAGTGGAAAGAGATGCACACAATCATTTCTTACCATAAGAGCTAACTCCAGCACATTACATGATAAGAAATCAACAGATGAGGAGTCAACTCAGTGAGTGAACCATATCGTCAGGGACCCAAGTCTTTCTGCTTTCTCTTCTGCCATCCCCAGCATATTGGCTATTAACCTCAGGCATGGTTCTTCATGATGGCAGCCTCTGCCCAGACAGCATGTTCTTGCACAGCTGCTTCCCAAGGCAGAAAGGACAGTTTCTCCTGCCAGTCTCTGATTTATTTTTCTCAGTCAGCCACCCTATTCACCTTTTCCCATAGGGTAAGAGTGAACAGTTTCTCCTTTCTGTCAGAATTTGCTGGTTTTATAAGCTATTAGGATTGTTGATAATTTTCTACAGTTTTTCAAGGGAGTTATTATATATTCTCTGGTCATGTGCTCTATAATTGGATATCAGTGTTAGCAGCTAGATCCCTTCTTCATGCCCATTAAAGTTGATCATTCCCTGCTCATTAAGTAAAACAGCTATTTGGAGATTCTGAAATGTGTGAGTTGAATGTGTATGTGGTAGTATGAGCAGAACTATGGACTAAATGACTGGAGACCCCACATCTAGCTGTAACCTTGACACCAGTTAGCTGTGTGACCTTGGGCAGGTCACTTAACCTTTGCAATCTTGGCTTACTTATCTCCAAACAGAAGAAATTCTAGAAAATGGTCTCTAAGTCCCTTTCATGTCAAAAGGGCTGTTGTTCAAATTAACAGTAATGCCAAAATAAAGATGCTAGCTCCCTAGGTAACCTTGGTCAGTCTAATTAACCTGTCTGGATCTTAGTTCTTTATTCACCATATGCCTAATACAATGAGATACATTAGCACCTGCCTCCAGAGACGAATTACATAAGACTGGCTTAAAAAGGAAGAATTCACTGAGCAAAAACAATGACCTGATACTATTAGGTTGGCGCAAAAGTTGTGGTTTTTGCCATTACTTTTAATGCAAAAACCACAATAACTTTTGCACCAGGCTAATAAAATATACAGACACAACCCTTTGTACTGATGATGGGCAGATGCTGTCATATATTATCTAAAGATAGGTCTGAGTCAGGCAAGCAGTAATCCGGTGAAGCCGAATGAAATCAGGCAGTCCTAATCATCTATAAACCTTTTGCCAAGAGATGATGTGCTTCAGTATTAAAGGGAAGAATCCCAAAAGGTTTAGTGTAAAAGAAAAAAAATACAATTTGTGCATGTAAAATAGTTAATCCATTGCAACCTCAATTTACAAATGGTTTGTTCCAATAACAAGGTGTTTGGAACTCAGAAATTAATGTTATACGTGGAATTGGTTTTCCTGGATGACCATAATTTGTTTTAAGCCACAAGGTATTTATAGGAGAGTTTGGCACTTGTGAACATAAGTAAGGGTGGAGAGAAGACTAAAGATAGATGACATAGAAATCAAACTTTGTTGCCACAGCAGTAGGGAAACCAGGGACACTGCAAGCAAATATAACCTCTGGATTTGGGATTAGTGCTCCTATTTCTAATATTAATGCTCCATATTCTCATAACTCATGAACTGAGCTGCTCCCTGTGCCCACTTCAAGATCCCCTCTATCCCCATCAGTTAGGCCAAACCAGAGTCACCCACACTTCCAGGCACCACCTTCTATCCTGGCCTTAATCAATCATTCATGGCAGGGATGACTTCCAAAGCTGAAGCATCCCCTGCTCCATCTTCCTACACCAGCTACAGGCAAGGAAAGATGATTTTGCACACAGCTCCCTCCATCCTCCCACCACCAAGAACACCATAACCCACCAGAACTCCTCCTGAGAGGAAGTGCCCTGTTTCCTTCTTCCCTCTGTTTCTATCCTGTGCATGTTATGCAGCTATGCTCTATTGCAAATCGAGTTCCCCAAGGGTTAGAGTAAGGAGGGCGATCTAGCAGACGTCACGAGGACTGGGAATTTCTCAGTCAATGATAACATCCACTGGAAATAACATGGGCAAAAAAGAAAACTGGGTAATTGTAAATTGAGGTTATCCTGTGGAGGTCTTTCCAGGTGTAGCCATGTATAATGCTTCTATTCTTCCTTAGTCTCTTAAAAGAAGAGTGAAATATTCAAACAGAACACTCCAGAGTGGGTGTATTAATCAATTGAACATTAAGGTAGACATAAATTAAACCAAATACATTTTGTTTGGTTTTGTTTTTACTTTCAGAAGTTAAATTGCCAAAATTCCTTCAGTTTGTTGTTCTACAGTCCTGTCTTAATGTATAGAGTATAAAAAAAAAATAAGCTGAATGTTTTTTGGTTACAGGAGTTCTTGCTGGTCCCCAGGGTCTGTTCCAAACTTCAGTTGTTAAAATTATCTGTGCTAAACCCTAGAGATGTGGAGAAGGCTGTATGTAATCTGTATTAGTCCTTGGATTTTTTGGGAATTTCTATTTGTACTAAATCTCTCCTGTGAGATTGCTCTGCAAGAGACATACACAAGTAGTTCCAACAAATCAAGATTTTACTGTGCAACCAGATTTCTCCAAACTGCAAATAGAGATCTTCAAGGAGTACAACTGTTCAGACCTTATATCTCTTTGTTCAGTCCTCTTCAGTGTTGATTAAACAGAAATATTTTAGTAAAGCTCTTCCATTCTGTTTTAGCACCAAATCAATATAGTGCAATTCTATGGCAGGCTTGCTTGTTCAGCGTGTGTCTGTGCTTCCAGAAACTTTCTTTCCTGATTTAGGATTGGTAAATAAAATTCAAGATAATGTGTGTGCTCTTCCCGTCCAATTAAAGTCACAGGGGAAAAACAGAATCTACTCAGGGATGTCTTCTTTTCATGTTTGCCGAGTACAAATAGCTTAGAAATGTTACCTACTCAGTAGAGACATTTAATTTACAATGAATGTAACATCCTGTTTTTGACGGCAGTGTTTGTGCTGCTTTTAAATCCAAACACCTAAAATGACAAACTAGTGAGTCAGAGGTTGGAATGGAGGCAGGATGCAGCACGGGTACCATTTGTCTTTTCCTTCTGTCTGCCCTGATCACTTTCTGCCTGAGCCCATCGTGCTTTTATCCCTCCAGTGGTTGTCCCATTTATTCATCCCATGATAGCACCACTCGCCTCTCAGGGCTTCCTATTTCCCTTATCTTCCTATCTCTACCTCCTGGGGTTTCTTCTTTAGGCCTCCTGAAGAGTTGAAAGTGATTCCAGTGATAACATCCACTGGAAATAACCATGGCAAAAAGAAAGCTGGGTAATTGTAAATTGAGATTATCCTATGGCAGTCTTTCTGAGTGTAGTCATGTATAACACTTCTGTTCTTCCTCAGCCTCCTGTAAGAAGAGTGAAACATTCACACCGAATACTCGGGAGTGGGTGTAATTTATTTTTGTTGTGTGTTTGTGTGCATGCACATGTGCATATGCCCTTGAGTACACATACACTAATATTTATTGAACATTTACTAGTTTCCAGTGTAGAAAGCTCATCTCATCCTCACATGAACCTATTTACATTTTACAAACAAGGAAATAAGCCCTGAGAAAGCCTGTATAACTAGCCTAAAGAGCTAGAAAGTATGAGCTCATCTTCAAATCCGATGTTGTTATTTCTGAAGGATATGCTGTTAATTCTTCCATGAAATTGCTCACTAAAGGAGCCCCCAGCTAAGGTGCAGAGAGTGCAGTCTCTAGGCTGGGCTAGCTGAAGACCAGACACTGTGGCCCTGACCTAGCTAAAGGTTTGATTTCAGACACATATGAAAGTTGTCTCTCAAATTCACCTAACTTTCCTCCCAACACTGCTTCCCACATACCTCCTCTAGTCCACTGACCCGGAACATTCCACAATTAAAATTTTATTTATTTGGTCAAATGCTTCTTGGTGCCTGCTCAAATGAAAATTCCACTATGAGTTAGTATCACATTAAATTTTTTAAAAAAATTATTTGTATTTCAGTATGACAAATTTTATTAAATAATTTCCTGATTAAGGATTAATAGAGGCAGAAGATAGAGAGAACATGAGGCCACTCACTGGTCAGTGAGTAGAAGGAAAAATTACTTGGGAAAAGAATTCAGAAATGGGGAGACAAGAATCCAGTGTCAGGAGAAGCCTAGAGCAGCAGCCATATGCCACAGCGCATGATTCTTTTTTTTTTTTTTTTTCTTTTTTGAGACAGAGTCTCACTCTGTCGCCTGGGCTGGAGTGCAGTGGCATGATCTCGGCTCACTGTAACCTCTGCAGCCTGGGTTCAAGTGATTTTCCTGCCTCAGCCTCCTGAGTAGCTGGGATTACAGGCGCCTGCCACCGTGCCCAGCTAATTTTTTTGTATTTTTAGTAGAGACGGGGTTTCACCATCTTGGCCAGGCTGGTTTTGAACTCCTCAGCACACTGCACACAATTCTAAATGTGAATGTCACACACACACACACACACACACACACACACACACACACACACACAAAACCCCAAATACGTTAATTTAAGATGTTCCCACTCAATTATTTCAATATGCAACTGAGATATAGCTGAGATGTCTTTGGTTTATAAATATAACCATTTGTATATAGAATACAAACAGTTATTTCAAACTTCATATGTACAATATGCATAATGCATATAAAGAAGTGATTTAAAATGCTGCCTCTTCCAGATGTCCAAGTAACTATTGAGTAAGACTTCTTGAAATACTTAAAAAATATTCAGGCTTAAATATGAACACCTGTCCTGTTAATTCTTTGGGCTATAGAATCCAATTCCTCAAATTCCTACCAGCCAGAAGTGGGTCAGTGCTGGTAGCTGTGGCTGTTTGGGGAAATGCGTAGGGTACTTATCAGGCACTGCAAAGCATCTGTCACAGCCTCACATTATCATCACCAACATGGGAACAGGGTAATTAGAGATTTTACTGGTCAGTTTTATATTCATTATTTCAGTAAACAAATATTGAGCAATTACTATGTATAAGGCAGTGAAGATACAGTGTGGGAAAAACATAAATGGTACCCCCTCAAAGAATCAATGCTCATCTTGTCTTCGTTAGCTTAGCAAACACATTTTCTTCATGATGGTGTGACTAGGAGTGTATTAAGAGGTTGTTTTAGCTAAGGAACTCAGAAACCATCTATGAATCAATCATCCTTCTTGCAAAGTGCTGGACAAGAGAATTTGGATTGACATTGGCCAGTCAAGTCAAGGAAAGTAATCCTCAGTTTTGATAAGATAGAGTTATGCCCTAACCTCAATGCAGAGCCATGGTGATGTTGGCTGGACCACACAGAGGATTCTTGCCTCCTTTTGAGGTTTGGGGTACAGGGTCAAAGGACAAGAACCTCTGAAGTGAAGGAAACCTAATTCACCTATTTTTGCCCCAAAGTTTAAAACTGAGTCTCAGATCATACCATGCCAACCTAATGAAAAGTACTTCACTAGTGCCAGAAGGAAGGGATTAAGATGGCTAGCTGAATTCTGGGAACAGCTTCTTTATACCCACGAGTCTCTAGCTATAGAAAGATGACCCTATTAGAGGCCTGCAGCATTCCCCCTCCTTGAGAGAGCATAAGATAAAATAGCTGTGAGAAAGAATCAGGGAGCCTTGAGCTCACCCTAGAGGAAAGAATCACACATTGGTACACCCTTTCTCATGGTGCCCGCAATGTTTGCTGTTCACACAGTCTGGACCAGACACACTCTGACAGCAGAGCAGAGGCACTTCCAAAATAAGTCCTTTCCTCATTGAAAGGTCCTTTCCTCATTGAAAGGTCCTTTCCTCATTGAAAGGTGCTCTGTGAGCACTCACAGAGAGGTGGTTGGTTTCTAGGTTCACCCCCAGCCCTGAAGATCTCTGCCAGGCAGCTGGAGTCTGGGGAGGTGGTTCCAAACTCCACGCCTCCTCCTGTCTGCGGAGGGGGCCGTGGGTTTGTTTGGCAACCTCAGGGTGCTGGCTCCTCGCATGGTCCTTTCCTCACTGAAAAGATGAAAGAACAACTAAAACACAAGGCAGTATAGGATTCAGAGTCAGAAAATTATTATTCATATCTAATCCAACCTCAGAAAGGTGAAGAAATTTCCCCAAAGTCAATTGTTCCTCAGTGACAAAGACTCAGAGAGGACTCTGGAAACAGCAGTGTTTCCACGGCAATGCCCACTGCACCAGAAAGCAGGCTGAGCTGGCCCTCCAAGAGGCAGCAGGCAAATCTCCTTTGCAGGTAGATAATATGAAAGGCTTTGCCCATGTTACAGGAGTATTTTGATGGTTTTATGTCGACTACATGAACCAATCCTGAGGTAAAAATTTGGATGCAAATTTGTTACAGAGCTGACTTCAGGGACTTCATTTTAAATGTAGGTTAGTCCTGGGATGAGTCTTCTACAAATGGGTAAGATGATTCCAAGCTTCTCCCAATGTCTAATAAGAGTGAGCTAACCCAGTCATGGATTAACTACACCCTCACATCCAAGTCAAAACAGATAATTCCTGAATGGACAGTAAAACCCATTGAAACTCGCAAATATTCTTTAAAATGGAAAAGTCCTGGGTTCAGTGGGGTGAAGGAAAGTTGTTCTATGATCTTGGGTTTGGGCTTGGTGGCCACTCAGAGGCTTAAGAGTTTCTATATTCTTGGTTCTAAACCTTGGCTGCACATTAAAGTTACCCAGGGGGCTTTAAAAAAATGCCCGGACTGCACCTCTCATCAATGAGATCAACCACTCTGGGGGTGGGGTCCACACTTCCACGTGTTTTAAAGCCCCTCAGGTGATTCTATGGGCAGCTAAGCCTCAGAACCTCAGTTAAGCAGACTAATTCCAACTGATAAAGGCTGCATAAGCACCACAACTCTGAGTGGGGGAAGTTGGTCTGGGGCTACTGTCACCCACAGTTGTTTCTTACAATATCGTTTCTAAGCTTTGAAACTTTGGAATATGTTTAAGGATGCCTTCAAAAATTGTGAGGGGTTTAACCCAAGGAAATTGTAGCAAGATTCATATCAGAATATGTCATAGTTCCTTTATTAAAACTATAGCACACAACTTTAAAATCAACTGCTACTTAATTTCTACCCAGGACTGATTCATTCTCTTTGTAAAACAGTGTAACTGATGCCCAGAGAATGCAGCCTGCCTGCAGCTAGCAGGCTCTTCTACGGGGCGGGGCACCCATTGGCCAGCAGTTGAGGTGTGTGCCTGCTAAGGCCACTATTATTTGTCCTTTCCTATTAATGCCAGTTGTACCTGTTATCCTAATTAATGTTATTTTATATTTTATAACCCCAAACCAATATATGTGTGTGCTGAAGGAAATGTAGTTGTTTTTTTCAGTGAAAGTTAAGTAAAATGCTTGGGAAAATGTGATAAAGACATTTAATCAGTGTTTTTTCAGTGAAAGTTAAATAAAATGCTTGGGAAAATGTGAAAAAATCACTAACAAATATATTTTATTATGTATCATATATTATAAATATTGTATAGTGATATATGTCTATATGTATACATATTTATGTGCATACCTTTATATCATATATTATGTATTTGTGTTACATATATAGTGTATGCAACGTACATATGCAAGAAAACTATAAATGTTTTAGAAATATGTGTCAAAACTGAGTGGGAATTTGCACTTAGATTGCTTCATAAATGTCTTTAGATTCCAGTTTTGCTTTAATCTGAAAATCCTAGCAGATGCATTAGGGGTGTGGTTGATGCAAGAAAGATGACAACAAAAAGAGTTCCAATTAGCACATCCATATTCAGAGAAAAGGCCTTGGCCCTATATCAAAAGATTGGCACATAAATGTAATTTTATATACCTTAAGTTAAAACATTTAAGGAACTGTGTCTCATTATTTATGATTCTCTTTTTAAAAGGCTCTTTGAATTAATCAACTGTCAGTTGAATGGCTGAAAAAAGGCTTGTATTTTAGTGGTTGAGTAAAGCATGAATTGGTGGCCAAGGATTTTGTCAGAAATCATGCTTTGCTTTCTCGAGAGTAAGCTCATTTTTGCCGAGGCTGTAGTCCAAACAGATGTGCAGAGACGTTAAGAGCACAGGTGTGGAAATCAGGCAAACTGAATTTCCAAGGCCTGTTCTGCTACTGATTAGCTCTGGTCTTGGGAAGGTTATTTGCCCTCCTGGGGCCTCACTTGCCTTATCTGTAACATAATGCTACTAAGAAGACAATGATCAATAAATAAAATGAGATATGTGGAGAGGGAGGGTATGGTAGGGGTTATCAGCTTGGGTTTTGGAGTAGGAGATCTTAGTTTGAATCTCTGTAATACAACTTATTAGTTGTGTAAGCTTGGGCAAGTTTCTTAAATTTTCTAAGCTTGCAATTTCTCTTCTATAAAAATGGGAAAAAACCATAACACCTACTTTATAAAGTTTTGCAGCGTTAAATAAGATAATACATGTAAAGCACTTAGAATATAGTCAGGGATTTAATAAGTGCTAGAGAAATACTATTATTATCATTTGAAAAAATCAGGGACCTAGCAACTTAGGGTGTCTAATAATTAGTAGCGGCTGCTATTAATAATATTAATATAATTATACTTGGCTTGGATTTAAGATAAGATACTCTATGGTAATTTTGAACATACTGTAGAAATTCCATTTACTTTGACTCCCCAAGTCCTTAGAGGAACTAAGGTCATGCATCAAACAGGAATTTAAGTGATTAATAATACTGTGGCCTTTTGAGTTCTAGTGAGAAAATCCTATTACAGTATTTATTAGAGTATTTAAGATAAATATGTTGAGTGATGGCTGAGGAGTTTTTAATCTTGCTAAATACCCTGTGATTAAACCCATCATATCTCTGAACTAAATTAACAGTAAGGAGATTCTGATTTAAAGACATGGTTTTGTGACAATTGAATGCCAGAGTTTAGAAGAGACCTGGGAAGTAATTGCAAGGGAGGTAGCATCAAAGAGAGAACTTTGTCTATACCTGTTTTGAAATGTGTTAGGCTCACTAATCTGTGATCAATTAGATAAGATCTTTTTTGTAACTTTGTATGTGTGTTTGTGAAAAATGTGCTCTGGGATGGTGAATTCATTGCTGAATGGTGGACTTTTTATATTTCCTTTACTTTGAACCTGTTGCTCAGATTTAATTGAGAAAGGAATATTAAAATGTCCCACTAAAATGGATTTGTCGGTTTTTCCTTATATTATCATCATTTTTTGCTTTATATATTTTGAGGATATTTATTAGGTACACACCAAATTGTTTTATTCTTCTTGGTGAGTTGTACCTTTTGTCATTATAAATGATCCACCCTATAACAAGGTTGATTTATGTCTTAAAATATATTTGTCTGATAATTATATAGACAAACTACATTTCTTTAATTCTTTTTGCTTCATCTTTTTCCATCATTTTATTTTCCTAGAAACTTGATGTATGATTATGCTTTACATGTGTCTCCTTTAAACAGCATATATCTGTATTACTTTTTCAGTCCAGTCCAAATGGACAAGTTTGGTCAATTCACAAGTTCTATAATTCACAAAATATTTGAACATTTTATACTCTTATTATTTATAATTAAATTTGCCCAACTTTTTATATTTTTCCTAATGTTTTCTTATCTTTTTTACTGAGGTAAAATTCACATTACATAAAATTCACAATTTCAGTTTCAACCACTTTAAATGTACAGTTTAGTGACTTTTTTTTTTTTTGAGACAGAGTCTTGTTCTGTCAGCTAGGCTGGAGTACAGTGGCATGATCTTGGTTCACTGCAACCTCCGTCTCCCAGGCTCAAGCAATTCTCCTGCCTCAGACTCCCGAGTAGCTGGGATTACAGGCGTGTGCCACCATGCCCTGCTAATTTTTGTATTTTTAGTAGAGATGGGGTTTCACCATGTTGGCCAGGCTGGTCTTGAACTCCTGACCTCAGGTAATCTGCCCGCCTCGGCCTCCCAAAGTGCTGGGATTATAGGCATGAGCCACTGTGCCTGGCCCAGTGACTTTTAATACATTCAGTGTTGTGCAACTATCAACACTATCTAGTTCCATAACATTTCATCACATCAAAAGGAAACCCCATGCTTTTCAAGCAGTCATGCCCCATTACATCCCATTCCCAGCTTCTGGCAACCACTAATCTGCTGTCTCTATGGATTTGTCTATTGTAGATATATCATATAAATGGAATCCTATGATATGTGGCTTTTTGTGTTTACCCTTTTTCACTTAGTATAAATAGAATTGCTTTTTTAATTTCCTTTTTGAATTGGCCATTGCTAGTGTTAGAAATACAATTGATTCTTATATGTTAATCTTATATTCCACAATTTTGCTGAATGTGTTTATCAGTTCTAGTAGTTTTATTGTGAGCTCTTTAGGTGAGTTCATGAGTTCATGCTATCTGTAAATAGAGATGGTTTTACCTCTTCCTCTTAAAATTAGATGCCTTTGATTTCTTTTTCTTGCCTAATTGCTTTGGCTAGAACTTCTAGGACCAGGTGGAATAGGAGTAGTGAAAGCAGGCTTCCTTGTCTCATCCTTGATCTTAGGGAGAAAGCTGTTAGTCTTTTGCCATTGAGTATGGTATTAGCTGTAGGCTTTCATAAATACCCTTCATCATGTTGAGAAAGTTCCCTTTGTCTTAGTATTTTGAGTGTGTTTTTTTTTCTTTTTATCATGATAGGGTGTTGGATGTTGTCAAATGCTTTTCCTGCATCAATTGAGATGATTTTGTGAATTTTTTCCTTCATTATGCTAAGATGATATATTATATTGGTTGGTTTTCATATGCTGCATTTCTAGAATAATTCCAGTTAGCCATGGTGTTCAATCTGTTTAATATGCTGCTGTATTCCATTTTCTAGTATTTTCTTGGGGACTTTTACATCGGTATTCATAAGGTATTTGTCTCTAATTTTCTTATATCTATACCTGGCTTGGGCATGAAGTTAATGCTGGTTTCATGCTCCATGCATAAATTGGCCTCAGTTTGCTTGTTTGTTCTGTCTACTTTCAAAACTGGGTTTGAGAGTGGTATACTCCAGGTCCTCACTTCAAGAAGTAGTAAGTCTGTCTCAAGGCCCTCAGTTGTATGAAATAATTTTGTCCCCTCTACTACCCAGAGCCAAGGCCCTGACCAACATAATCCGCTTCATAATTCAGAGAACAACAGCTCAATAGCTTTAGCCACACACATCATTCATCATTTCACTTTTTTGTTCCAATAATGGTTAACCAAAAAATGTATATCATATTTTTTATATAACAATGTTCTTGATTTCTACTTTTATATTTATCTGTCATTGCTATGTGTTTGTAAATGAGGTATAATTGGAATGCAAACTATGATATGATATATATTAACATATAAAGCTAAAATAATGTTTTTTAGAGGTTTCATCATAAATTTGTTTAGTATAGTTGCTGCCTTGATATCCAATTTTAGGTCTGACGTAAGGTGTTTGAAACTCAGTCCTACCCTGTCACCTTTAGACTAGCTAAAACCTTCCCTCCCCGACTGTTTGTTTGTAATATGGCATGCTTTTTCCTCGTTGCACTGACCCCAAACCCAGCACATGCCATAGCTGCTTATCATGATAAAACCTAGTGGTGAAAACTAGAGACATGTAAATACACTCCCCAATTTGTGCATGTTTTCTTTAAACTACCCAATCCACAACCCCACAAGAAAGCCTAAGGCATAACACCCATGGGTCCTCACTCTCTCTCTCCACCCACTGGTGAAGCTCCTTGCCATTCCTAGATGTCCTCTTGGTACTCCCAACCCTTTTGGGACCTATGAACAATAAGTTTCTTCTGTTTTGTGCATTTTAGTTTAACTTCCTCATTGTGTCTCACCCGACACACACAACCAAACCTAACTCCCCCATCAGGGCTCTTGTAGAGAGGTCTATCTTGGCTTTTGGCCACACCCAAGAGGAATACCTCAAGACCAAATTAGAAAGAAACCATAACAATAGAAATCATAACAATATGACCAGGCACGGTGGGTCACACTTGTAATCCCAGCACTTTGAGAGGCCAAGGTGTGTGGATTTCTTGAGCTCAGGAGTTTGAGACCAGCCTGGGCAACATGATAAAACCCTGTCTCTATCAAAAAATCAAAAACTCAGCTGGGCATGGTGGCACGCATCTGTGGTCCCTGTTACTTGGGAGGCTGAGGTGGGAGGATTGCTTGAGCCCAGAGGGTGGAGGCTGCAGTGAGTGGAGATTGTACCACGGCACTGCAGTCTGGGTGACAGAGTAAGACTCCCTCTCAAAAAAAAAAAAAAAGAAAGAAAAGAAATCATAACAATATGATACATCACCATGATACTGGAAAAATATACCGATTAGAAGTCTGTTCGGTTTATATGGGAAGTCAAAATATAATGAAAATGACATTTCAAAAAGCAATAAGGATTAGTTAGTAATGTTGGGATTATCAGTTATGCATTTGGAAGAAAAAGAAATTGGAATGTTTTCTCTCTTCCAACAGATAGTGTCTCCTTATCCTTAATAGCTGAATGGGAAGAGAAATAAATCTGTATATGATTATAGCCTCTTGTAATTTCCATATCCAATATAAATTTTTTAATGGATACATTGGCAGTATCAAGGAACTAAAATACACCTACCTTTTAATCCACAAACACCATTGCATATAATTCATTTTATTTATATAATTTCACATATATGAAGCTATGCATATGATGGTGTTCATCACCACATTTATAATAACCAAAGATTCAAACTGGAAACAACCCAAATGCTTACTCACAGGAAGTTACTGAGTAATGGTATACAGGTAATGGAATACAGTGTATTAGCTAAAAAGTGTAAGGTTGCCTGGGTGTAGTGGTTCACGCCTGTAATCCCAGCACTTTGGGAGGCTGAGGAAGGCAGATCAGGCTGAGGTCAGGAGTTTGAGACCAGCCTGGCCAACATGGTGAAACCCCATCTTCACTAAAAATACAAAAATTAATTGGGTGTGGTGGCACATGCCTGTAGTCCTAGCTACTCAGGAGGCTGAGGTAGGAGGCTGGCTTGAATTCAAGAGGCAGAGGTTGCAGTGAACCGAGATCTTGCCACTGCACTCCACCTGGGCGACGGAGCAAGACTCTGTCTCAAAAAAAAAAAAAAGTGTAAGGTTAGTTTTTATGTGCTCATAGTAAAATATATCTAGCCCTCTTTCTAAATTAACTATATGTTGTTTATAAGAAATATGATAAAAACAAAAGGATATAGAAAGTTTAAAACTCAAAGATAAGTTCCACGTTCAAATGCAAAAAAGATATAGTTGAGGTGACAGTTTTGACAGCAAAAAATCTTTAGATATGTAATTTTATATTTATTAAAACTATAATACAAAATCAAGTCATAATAAGCTAGTAGAAGTTAGTCATGAGAGCATGAGAGTTTATGTACCTGATGGCAAAGCACCAAAACAAATGAAGAAAAAACTCTAAGACTTTTAAGGAGAAACAGACTAAAACATAATTATAATGGAACATACACCTATCTTAGCCACTGACACATCAAATAAGAAAATATAAATAAGGATTTAGATAATCTTTAATAATACAATGAAATGTATTATATTTTGAAGCTAACATACTCTTTTCAGCTGTTCATTAAGCATTTAAAATAATGACCACAACTGGCTTCAAGTTCTTTTTACTAAATCCAAAGCAAAACTTCAACATTCCACTTTTTAATAAAATGCAACAAGATTACAAACTACTGGCAATGTTTAAACAATTGAACAAAAAAATCTCAGCCACTTGGATATTTAATAAATGTTTTCTTAATAACCATTGGGTTAAAGAAGATAGCAAAGTTTTAATTATGATTATCTAAGAATCTAATGTTCTACATGAAGCAAAAATAAAATACAGTAAAAATTACCCCTAAAATACTTTAAAATATCCACAAAAAAATCCACATGTTGTTTAATAACTAGAATATACCCCTGAATTTGAGACTCACTGGGTTAGACTAAAAAAGAAAAAGAACAAAAGGAATGTCTATCTCTACGTGTGAGTTCTTGGCATTTAAGGCATCCTTTATAGTAACTCTGAAATTCACAGCAGGCATTAGGGAGTTTTTTTTTTTTGAAACAGGGTCTCGCTCTGTCACCCAGGGTGGAGTACAGTGGTGCGATCGTGGTTCACTGTAGCCTTGATCTCCAAGGCTCAAGTGATCCTCCCACCTCAGCCTCCAGAGTAACTGTAACTACAGGCGCAGGCCACCACACCCGGCCAAAATTTTTGGGTTTTGTAGACAGTGTTTCACCATGTTGCTCAGGCTGGCCTTGAATTCCTAAACTAAAGCAATCCTTCCACCTCAGCCTCCTAAAGCCCTGGGATTACAGGCATGAACCACCATGCCAGGCCACGAGGGATCTTACTGAGGGGATAAAAATGTTCTACAATTGGATTATGGTGATAGTTTTCCAACATAATAAATTTAGTAGAAATCACTGGTTGCACAGTTAAAAATGAGTTAAATTTATGGTAGGTAGATTATACTTCAATAAAGTTTGTTTTTTAAGTATCCCTTTTGGTACCAAGGTGTAACCAGTTTTTCTTAAATAAATTTTACTCTTTGAATTGTTATAAGACTGCTTAATTTTCAGAGTTCTGAACAAGTTGATGTTGACATTTTTTGCCAATGTTCTCACTGCTTTTATGAAGGAATGGATTTATGTGTATCCCCACTTTACCATTTTAGAGATTCTGGCTGTTCTATATTCTCTTTATACTTTATTGTTTTAGTGTATTAATATTTAGAACTTTGACATTCATTATTTTATCTACTCTGCTTCTAACATTCTTATCTGACAATTCAGAGAAAACTTAGAAAATCCTTTAAATGTCTGTTCAATTAATAAAAGTTATGCAAAACCGTGTAACAAACAGACCTCATATTGATTCCTTTATCTTTTATGAGCATAATAAGCAATTTTCCCTGCAGCTTTTTCATTAGATTTATTCCCTTGACAATAGAGTTCACATGTTTACTTCAAAAGTAATTCTAGACTGATCAGATCAGAGTACAATTTTGGATTTACATTTATATAAATCATTACACCCACTGTGAAACTTATTGTGTCAATTAAAACTATATCAGACCACATTAATTTGAAGGGTGCTAGTAACAAAGTCTCTAATTTAGATTACAAATATTACTGATAGAACTGCATTCCCTTGCCTTATTCTGAAAGCACTGGATTAAATTTAAGTACAGCCCATAAAATCTTCCATAAGTAAGGAGACAATCAAAACTCCTTCCAAAATTGAAAAGATACTTTGTATTTTGGCTGTGTTCTTATATATATTCTCTAGTTTTTTTCTGTATATTCTCCTTCTTCAATTTTTCCTATCATTGATAGTTTTCTTTTGGTCAGCCATTCAGCTGTTTTTTGTGCTTTTGCTTTTTGGTTCATGCTCTTTAATTTTTGAATCTGACCTTTTCTTTTATTCTTCCTAAGCATAGATTTTTATTTTGAGTAGAAGATTTACTTGACATTATCTTTCAGTTTCTGAATGATAACATCACCATATCCTCTCCTGTCCCTTGCTTCATGTAGTTTCTGAATCATGCAGCTTCAGCTACAGTAAACAAAGGAGGATTCAAATTGCATGTCCCTATTCACCTTTCCTGAATCACAGTGATGTTGGAGGTCATTTCAGAAGTGTTGGTCCCATGAGCAATGGAATGTGTCTACAACTGCCACCACACAACCCTCAGCTTCCTTATGAAGAAAATCAACAAAAAATTGTAAGCAATTATTACTGTTTAATAATTACAAATAACTATTTAATCGTTACAATTATTTATTTATAAGTAAATTTTACTATTTGTAAGTAAATAAATAATTTATTTATGACCTTCTCTGTTCTGGGCCTGGTGATAGCACCTTGAGAAATAAAGGTAAATAAGACAATGTTCCTAACTTCAAGGATACAGAGATATAAACAAATATATTACAACGCTATGCTTAGTGCAAATATAGAAGCCTGAATAACAGTTACATGTAGCAAAAGGAAAATATGTACATATGGTGAGGGGTGTCAGGGTTGGCTGTCTGTGATAGACTTTGAAAATATGATAAAACTGCTATGATTCTTATTTGGAAATAGAAATGGGTTAACTTGAGCAAAAACGGAATATACAGATGCTATTTGACTTACAATGGAGTTACATCCTGATAAACCCATCTTAAGTTGAAAATGTCTTAAGTCAAAAATGCATCTAAATAATCTACTGAACATCACAGCTTGTCCTAGCCTACCTTACACATGCTCATAACACGTTAGCCTGCAGTTAGGCAGAATTATCTAGCCCGACGCTATTTTATAATAAAGTGTTGTATAGCTCATGTAACTTGTCAAACACTGTACATTATGTCAAAATTATGACAGTTGCACACGATTGTAAAGTTGAAAAATTTTAAGTCGAACCATCATAAGTTGGGGACTGTCTATATTGGAGGAATAGAGATTAGTCCACAGACTTTTAGAAAAACTAGAGGGTCAGGCGCAGGATGGAGGTAGAAACAATGGGAGTCTGATGGTCACAGCCATGGACAAACAGCCTGGTGAGGACACCCTGCTGCTATCTGGACTGTAGATGGTGAGCCTGGCATCACCACCATTAAACACTGGATGTGGTGTGCTGGTAAATGTTAGAGACTAGCTTTCCAAGAAAAAAAAAACCCTTATTTGTAGCATTTGCCAATGTTCATGGTGTAAATATTTTCACTGTGGGTGATTTCAAGCTGCCAATACGATATCACTGAATTAGAGCTGGGAAAAAATGAACAGTAACACACCACACCACTATATAGAATTTATCATACATATACGATTATATGATATATATATCATATATATATACATGTTAATCATATATATATGGCAAGCATAAATAACCACAAAGGCATAAGAATTAGGAACTGATGACTGAGTATCTCTTACCTTTTTTACAGTATAATTTATGTAGTTATTAGTTTGTGTAATTTAGTAATTAATTCATAATAAATATGTTTAACAACTGATGCAAATCTGGAAATTTTAAGAATCGACTCTGGGAAGCCTGTGCCAGCTGGTTCCAGCACACCACTGATGGAGTCGTAGTATACCCACTACGGTACCCTGTATAACATGTAGTTGCCACAGAATGTCTTCTGATTATTTTTATAATTTATTTCCCGGTTCAAATTCTCAGGAAAAAGCATCTTAGACAACATTCCAGCACTCACATTGCCAGGGTTTTGCCTCTGTAAAGAGAAGGTTCCTTGAGCCTACCAAAAGTCACACAATGGCATATTTCCCATTGCAGGAAGACAGAATAGCTTCTGGATCACAAAAAAAAAGAAGAGAAATAAAGACAAATGTTTGCTATAAAGCAGTAGGGGTTGAACAGGTAGACAAGCAAGACCAGTGTAGAATTCTCAAGGAACAAGAGACTTTAAAGCAGAAGGAACAGCCTAGGCAAAGACCCAGGGCTATGACAATAGCAAAGCTCACAAGATGTGAGCTTGGGAATCTAAGAACAACACCATGTTGCCAACTGCTGGGCTTCTTATTTTTGGAGAGTTTCATGCCATTCTAACTGTTGAAAATACCAATAATATTCCTCTTCTATCCCCAAACACCCATTATGAAAAAAATAAGAGCAATGGCCTTGGATCATGTACCAGTGAATCCTGATAGTTAACTTGAGGAGAATTATCAGACAATTGGCAAGTCCCAAAGGAAGGCGATTAAGTGAACTTGTGGTTTCCACTCTGAAAATAAATCTGAGCAAGAACATATCAAGTGGGAATGAGATTTGACCTCCTTCTCTTTATCTCATTGGTCTAACAGTGATTGATACTAATAACAAGTATTGAAGGCTTATTGTATACTAGGCACTGGGTAGGTACCTTTCACGTATTATCTCATTTAATCATGACAACAATCTTACGTAGTTGGTTCTATCATTACCTCCATTTTATACATGAGAAAATGCAAGCACAAAGAGCTTAAGGAACTTGCCTGAGTTCTACACAGCCAGATAGTGGCAAGACTATGGTGAGTGCATGAGCGAAAACATTCAGTTCTAAAAATTTGACTTTACACTTAAGATTCCCTCATCAATAAAAGAAATCAATCTATAACAAATACTAAGGTGTTCAGAACTAAGGTATTTAGTAAGTTATCCCTACCTTTACTCCCAGGCCCCAGGAGAGTTCACTTTTACATGCAGGAAGGCAAGCCTCAGCCAATACATATCTCATGAGTGTCATCTCGCAGTGGACAAGATTGATGTAGGCAAGTGAACTTTTTGATGCTGCTCATATTAGACCAAATAGGTAACAATCTGAAGATAAAAGATTGCCCTACCTCTGGATATAGTACATTGGTTAAATTCCTAGAGCTAGGGTCCTTGGGTTCAAAGCTGAACTCTGTCTCTTTGTAGCTGTAAGAACTTGGACTCTATTTCTCTGGCCTCAATTTCTTCATCTGTAAAATGGAAATATAATAGCACTTTTTTCATAAGATTGTCAAGAGAATGAAATGTTTTACATTAAATATTTAGCACAGTACCTGGCACGTAGTAGGAGCCAGTCACCACAAATTGCTATTCTTCTTATGTTTTAAACTAGTTGACCAACACTTTCTGCCTCATGTCCACCACTTCACATAAAGGGCTTCGGGAAACAAAAATAAATCCAGGAACATACCAAGGTGATTGAATTTTGTACTTTCACTTGACCCTGCCCTGTTCTTATGAATGACTTGTTCATAGTTCTTCTCTGAATTACTGGGTAGTGAGTTGGTTAAAAAAAATTTTTTTTTTTGAGATGGAGTCTCACTCTGTCACCCAGGCTGGAGTGCAGCAGCACGATCTCGGCTCACTGCAACCTCCGCCTCCCGGATTCAAATGATTCTCCTGCCTCAGCCTCCTAAGTAGCTGGGATTACAGGTGTGTGCCACCACACCTGGCTAATTTTTGTATTTTTAGTAGAGTCAGGGTTTCACCATGTTGGCCAGGTTGGTCTTGAACTCCTGACCGCAGGTGATCCAACTACCTTGGCCTCCCAAAGTGTTGGTATTACAGGCGTAAGCCACTTACCCTGGCCTGAAATTCTTTCTTTCTTGTTAGACAGACTCATAGTTCTTATAAGCATTATAGATGCTGAGAATATTACAAAATATCAACTGGGCAAATTCTGATCCCCCTGGAAATTTAAATCACATTGAGTACCCAAACAAATTTGAAATAATCTCCACAAGTGTTTGCAGTTACTGTGATTTCTTTGCCTGGTGAGGATATGTCCAAGTCCAGGGGTCAGATTTTGCTAGGTCAATCCCAAACCACAGAGACTGTGGATATCAAGGGTACAGTAACATTACTGCATGGAATAACCACACAGTTAACTAAATTGCAAGGCAAGAAGTAGGCACTTGGAAATACTAGAATCTCTAGAAGGGGGCTATTCTATAAGCCCCAGAGAGAAGTCAAGTGTTCCAGTTTCTACTCCGTAAATAGAGGAATCAAGAAATACCCTTGACAATCATCACAAATAACAGGATCTGAAAAGCTAAATCACCAAAGTATAAAGTCTTAAAACATCCAAGGCACCTAAAAAAGGTCCTAGTGTCAGTTATAAAATTGAATTAATTTACTTCCCATACTAACATTTTTTTCTCAAACTATTAGTTTGTTTGCTTCCTTTCTCTGTTAACTTGATCTGGAAGAAGGATTTCTGAAACATCACAGTGTTAGTGGCTCCAAAAACTTGCTCAGAGGAGCTGTGGGAATTCCATCTCTCAGAGAGACTTATCTTCACGGTCAGACCCAAAGGAAGGAGCAGAGGAGCCACACTGCAGATGGGGACATGCATATGAGGATTGTTGTAGAAGATATCTGCCTTCAGAGATTTTCAAAAGGGTTCTCACACCACAGAACCTCAACATGCCAGTCCAAATTCCATAAGGCACAGGTGTTTCCAATATCGTTTATAGGCTTTCCAGGGCTGTATGACATTTTAAATAATCTAAACCATGATATGAAAATGAACAAGTCATGTTGTGATATCATGCATTAAACACACCTTGGCTTGTGCACTAAATGTTATCTGCTTGGCCTTCTGGTGGAGGTAAGGCCTTGGGAACAATAATGCATAGAAGAGACAGAGAAGGATTTCCAGCTTCTGGTCTGCCATGCAGAGAGCTTGAAAGTCACACTCCATCCTCACAACAAGGAAAAAGCCGAACAAACTGAAAATCAGGAACTTGTCTTAGAGAATTGAGGCCACAGGGAAAATTGCTGTCCAGAAATCTGAAGAGACAGGTGGATACAGAGAATCAC
This sequence comes from Homo sapiens, assembly GCF_000001405.40. Lineage (NCBI taxonomy): Eukaryota > Metazoa > Chordata > Mammalia > Primates > Hominidae > Homo > Homo sapiens. The sequence goes on along the minus strand of NC_000013.11, from coordinate 47,193,975 downwards.
AACTTACTGGAAGCAGAAGATGAGGAGAAGCCCTTACCTGGAGCCAGTAACCATATGAAAACTTAAACTGCAATTGATGAATTTTGAAGGCTCAATGTGGACTAACTTGAGAGTTCAAAACTCTAGAGGTGTGCCAACTTTCATGAGTTTTGCCTCCAGGAGTTCCACCAGGTTCTTACTATGATAATCAGAGAAAAATCATCTCCTGCCACTGGTAGGGGGAGAGGAAAAGTCATCATCTTGAAATACTCCTATAGCATGCTGTTCCCTTTCATAAAGGCTCACCCTCAAAGGAAACTATTTTATCATGGGTAGTTGACATGGAGGAAGATAAATATCCATCCCCAAGTTCCTCTAGCTTTCAACATGGGATCAGAAAAACCTTGTACCTCCAAAACCCAGAAAACTGGAAAAATGGAATGACATTTCTTCCTTCCCTTTCGGGTGCTTCATGGTCAGGTGGAAAAAATGTCCTCTACTTTGCTCATCTCATTCTATTTCCTTTAGTCATTCTTTAAAACTGTTCATTCTGAGATGTGTGTGTGTGTGTGTGTGTGTGTGTGTGTGTGTGTGTGTGTGATTTGTAGCTTGAAGAAAAATAATAAAAATAAACACTACCACTCAGCTTAAAAACCAGGTCTAAGTTCTAAACATGCATCCAACAACTCTGCTTCACAGCCTCTGAAAAAGAGGTGGAATTTCTCTTGCCTGGGGAGCAGGGGTGGGGAAGCTTAGGTGACTCCAAATGGCTGGTTGAGGCTCACTCCAAAGAGGCACTAATTCTGAGTCAAGTGTGTCCTGCTGTGCCCCAGAAGAGGGCTCTTGCCACCTGAGAGAGTCTTCAGTTTTTTCAAGTCTATGGTTTTCTTTTATTCCACACACAACACTGAGCTAAATAAAGCAGATATTGTTGTATTAAGTTTTAAAATAATGTAAATGAAAGAAAAATTACCTCTTGGTGTCACAACTTATGCCATAAGTTGTCTGATGTGTGTTCACTAAACGAATTCATAATGACATTAATTCATGATGTTTTAATTTACAGTGCACTTTTGTGGCAAAAGATTTAGGCAGTCCTATGGCAAATTTTACCTACTTAACAGTTACCCTAGGAATGACTGTCTATTCCCATATATATATTTTCATGAACAGCAGCCACAGTTTGTCTTCAATTAAATTTATGCAAAAACCAATCTGAGAAAGGTGAACAAAGTCAAAATACCTTTATAGAAAAGGGTTGAAGATTTTTTCATTTTTTAACTGACAAAGCTATAATATTTGGTAGTCAAATAATACTGTTTCATTATTATAGTCTTAAAAAATTCATTCCTCTAGTTTGACTTTTAAACAGTTGTAGTCCTGCAATGTTATGTGCTATCTTTTATGAAGCTGCTTGTGTCGTTATTCTATTTTGCCATACAGTGACATTTTAAAAAGATCAAGAATACAGATATTCAAGGCTTATGTTGCTAAAGAAAGTTAAGCATTTCTCCAGCCTGGCTCCAGAAAGATATCTACCTAATACATTCCATAAAAGAAACAATCACCTTATAAAGATTGTTTACAGTTGACAAGGTGGTGCATTTTAGAGGTCTCATCAATGACAGAAGAAAAAAATTCACTGAAAATCTCAAGTTATTCATTTCTACACAGCATAAGGAAAGTTCACTTTCAAAAAAAAAAAAAAAAGAAAAGAAAAACCTAATATGTAGTCAGCCTTGTACTGTTTATGCCTTTCAGAACTTGTCAATTTTTCTGAGATAAGATATGCACATGTGAAAAAGTTAGATAACAATACAAGCATTGGTAAGTAATGAAATGCTGAAGTAAGAAATGTAGTTATTAAATGTTTCAATAATCAAGGAAAGAAAGTTCACTGAGTGGAGCAAAGGCTAAAAAAGTTATTCTCTAGCTGACCCTTTGAAGCTAAATGTGATTTGAATAGATGGGTGAAGGAGAGCATTACAGATTGGAAAAGCATTTATAGCTTAAGTTGAATATGAGCTTATCAAAGCTTGGCTATTTGAGGAAAACAAAATACAGTGACACTTTAATTATATTGGGTCATAAATTTAGACTAACCTACTCTCAAAGGTAGAAGAAACATGACTTTTCTCCTGCTTTAACCTTTACTATGCTCACTAATCTTCTCTACAGTAAATGGCCAACCAACCTTTGCTTTGACACTTTCGACATCACTCCTCCCATCACATTGCTGAGGAGCTCTAGATATTAGAAGATTCTTGCATCAAGTCCATATCCTACCTCTAAAATTTCTTCTCATTGGTTCTTATTTGATTCTCCAGAAATATGTCTTTGCAGAAGTGCCAATAAGCCCTTCAAATGCTGTTGTACAAATATCTAGTTCTGCCTCTGCTATCAACTCTGTAACTCTGGGAAATTAAGTATCAGGGAGAAGAAAGGAGAGCTGACCTTAAAGCCATTATGAAGAAAACAATCATATTTAAAAGTGTCTTCTTAGAGAAAAATAAAATAATCAAAGATTAATGTATGGTGGTACAACCATGTGCCAAGCAAATAATGGAAAATTATTTCAAAACAAACTAAAAGGATCTACTATCACTTCTATGAAAGGTACCAAGAGGCATAATTAAAATACACATTCTACTAAGAATTCAGAGAAGTCAGAAAACAGCTTTTCTCATCTCCCTCTCCCTTCTATTCATTTATAGAGTAAGTTTAGTAATCACAAAATTCTCCACTCAGAATAAAAATGCTAGTTGCAAATGAACAAAAGACTCTGACCTTCTGTTCTCAATTAATGCAGTTTCTCTGAACAAATAAACCCTACAACTATTTCAAACCTTTTCCTGTCAATAATTTTCACTTTCATCTCTCATAAGACTTGTGCAATAGCCTCTGACAAGTAGCAAAATTGGTTTATGGGAGTTACATTTTTTCTCTCCTCTGCAATTCTTCCTCCAGTGGAGGTGCTAATGGACTGGGAAAACGGGCAGAAGGAAGACATCCAGAAGGCAAGAGACGAAGGGAAGGGAAAGAGGTCAAATCAACAAAAATCAAGGTTGTGGTTTGTTGGAACTGTGAATGTGGTCACTTTTGGTATCCACGTGGTCCCCAGCTCTTTTCATCATTTGCCAAGGTCTGCAAGGTTCTCCGTATGCTTGCCCTTCTCACTGCTTCAGCGAAACAATGTGGACGTAGGGTCAAACTGGTGGCCTTTAGCTAATGCAAAGCTAACCACTGCACCAAAAGCTGTTTTCTGTATGCAGAGACCTCAGGGCCTGAGATACTTACATAGACATAAAACAGTGTTGGCTCCAAAATGTTTGTCAAAGGTAACGACATCAAAAAGGAAAGTTAGGAGAGGAGATGAAAAATCTAGGTTTCAGGCCACTAATTTTATTTAAAAATCTATAAGAATACATAACAAATTTCTTAGGCCACATCACTGAGGGAGTATCACAAAGCCACTTTAATAGAATGAATTCAAATGTTGCTGGGCCACTATCTCATACCAAGGCAGGATTCTAAGGTATGTTTCCCATGTACCTGCAAACCAGATTATTCCTGTTTCCCTGGCTGTGAAACTTCTCTTTCTATTGCCCTGCACCTTCTTGGCTTCTCCAGCAAAAAACTACCCCTTTATGTCCCTCCATCACTCAGTTGAAAAGTGCATTAATCAGATGCGGGTTCAGGGAGAACAGGGCTAAGAGACAAAGTCGATTGTCTAAAGCCAAGCTCTCCACAGGTGTGTACATTCAACTGATAACTGAGGTTCTTGTATTAGTTTCCTGTTGCCACTCTCAAAAATTACCACTAATTTAGCAACTTAAGACAACACAAATTTATTATGATTGTTCTAGACATCAGGAGCCTGAACTGGGCTTCACTGGGCTAAAATCAATGGGTCAGCAGGGCTGGCTCCTTCTGGAGGCTCTAGGGGAGAACCCATGGCATGGCCATTCCAGCTTCAAAGGCTGTCAATATCCCCTGGCTTGTGACTGTGCTATGCCAACGTCTGTCTCTGTCATCACTGCGCCTTTCTCTCATCTGATACCGCCTCCCTCTGCCTACCTCTTGTAAGGACCCTTGTGATTATATGTAGGACCACCTCAAAAACCAGGATAATCTCCCATTTTAAGATACTTAATCATGTCCACAAAGCCCCTTTTGCCATACAAAATCACACTCGCAGTTTCCAGGGATTAAGACATGGGCCTTTGGGAGCCATTATTCAACCTATCACAGCTCTCTCATTGGGTCTGGCTTAAGGCACTGGCTCCTCCTTCAGGATGAGTTTTATGCTGATGTCTTGAACCCAACCAGTGGACATAGCCTTGATATGAACTGTGAGCATTTTCTCAATATCTCCTCACTTAACCCAAACCCATAGGCAGTAACATCCTGTTTTGAAGATGAAGAAACAGACTTCTCAGAGAGATGGAAGTGCTGTGCCCAAGTCTACCCAACCTGCAATGGAATTCAGGGCCCTGCCTTCCTCATCCATCTAAAAGTCTCCCATGAATCTGAATGATTGCAATCTCACCTTGCCCCAGCTCTCCCAACTTATTTCCACTCTGGTTGGAGAAAGTCTTTGCCGTCATTTTCCTCATACTACCATCCTCAACACAGAGGGGTCTGGTTCTAGCCTAAAATCCTGCATGTGATCTTAAAGGCCTGGCCATAGACAATTACTAGGCTTTGCCTGGCAGGCCTCCTAGCCAGAGGCTGCTCTCATCACACCAGTCCTGGTGCACAACCAATGAATTAGAGTTTTCTGGAGGGAGTTGCAGTTAAAGACTCAGTCTCCGACCTGCCTTTCCCCCCTACCTCCAACCAGCCATCCTCATAGACACATCTGCATTCTTAGCCTAGGTACTTCCGTTCAGAGACATCCTTATCAGATGCCTTGGCTGAAGCACTTTTCTCCACTTTGACTCAGCACCTTCCCACTCCTAGCCCTCTGCCTTCTTTCTTGCCCGAGTCATTGTCCTAACTGACCTCCTTAGCACTTGATTGCTCAACACCTGCCAGCCCTGCCCTTTCTCTCTCATGCTTCCTCACTTTCCACATCTCAGATTCCCATATGTTTTTCATCTCTTCTTTTACTCATGGCTTGTCCCCATAGTCTATTACTCATTTGTCTGCTACTGCCTGTTGCTTCCTTCCCTAAATAATCTTTTATCTAATGTAAGTATACGTTACCCTGTGTCTTTAATAGTAATTCAATAAATAATTGATTGTATAGTCAAGTTAGAAGGAACTATTAGAGAATAACTGAGTGACTGATTGTAACATCATAAGCTGCCTACAAATGTGTTGCAATCATAGTGCGGGGTTCACCTATGGGGCTACTAAAGACCAGACAAAAAACTATCAATCCAGACTTAATTCCTTGCTCCTAAGTTCCCGTTGGGGTGTGATTGTTTCATTTTAGAAAGAAGCTTCATTTATTTTTTTTTCCTAAGGCACTGCTGCGTGTATGTCAGAACAGGATATTTCATGTCTGGGAGAAAGAGACTCACAGAGGAGGGAAAAATTCTAGAGCTGGTATCTGAATGGGTCAATGGAAAAAGATTTGATGTATTGATTAAGGATGAATTCACTCTCCAAAGGCCTTGTTTTAAAGTGCATGTGTATATATTTTTATTAAATAAAATTTTCAAATTCTTCTGACATTATATCTTCAAATACTTGAGTAATATTTAGTTCATCTTTTTTCTCAACAACTTGGCATAATGATTCCTCATACCTGGAATCTTCAAACTCTCTAAATGGTTTCACACATGTAAGCTATATTAGTATACTATCACAGGACTTGATACTAGGTAGACATTCAATAACAAAAGTTAAATGACCTGGAGCCCTCTGTCATGGGTAAAGTGAGTGAGACTGTCATCCTCATTTTACATATGAAGCTAGCAAGCCTCTGAGAGTAGCAGGGATTTGCCCAGGGGTTTATAGCCAGTAAGTGCAGGAATTGCCATTAGATCCCTCTATTGCTGACTCCTAGTACAGTGGTGTTCCCAATTCACGGGACTAATTCTGAGATGGGAAATAGATACAATTACAAAAACAAGTAATTTGGATGTTATATTTTAAAGCATAATTTCTCACCAAAAAGGAATTTGTTTTGTGAAATAACAAATTAAATAACACACAACTTAAATAATAACCCTTAACCTAAAGATGAGCTGTTTGATGGAACTCTCCTCCTTTATATTGCTTTGAAAGACATCCATACGCGACAACAATCTCTCTAATAGTCTTTGTAGCAATATTTTCAAAAATGAAAATGTCAGTCTCACTCTTTCTGGAATAGAGCAAAAGCCTTATTTTCTTTTCTACCATCTCCATCTTTGGCTTATCAATAGCTTCCTTTAGAACATAGACCCTTCTATTTCCTGCCTTCAAGCAAAATAATAAGATATAAGGTAAATTTATGTAGCCAAATAATCTCTCTGTCTTGATTTATCTTGCCACAGAATGAATAATAACACATTTAGGTCATGAAAATTTTGCTGAAAGCATTTTGCTATCTAGGCATTTCTTTTCTAGCTACAAAAGTTCAAAGGGAAATAAAGCATCATTTGTTTGCAATTGTACACACACACACATTCAACAACCTTGAGGTGCTAATTTCTTATACAATATTATAAGACATGAGAAGAGAGAGTAAACTACTGTGTATACAGGTTACTCCAGAGACTCACGCTCATGGATTATAGTCCCAGGAAAAAGTGAGTGTCAGATAATAATGCAATCACAAACATCTGCTTAGGATGATATATTTTTAAAACACCTTTTCCATTTATGACCTCATCCAAATGTATATAATGACAATATTTATGTGAGTTTTTTCTTTCCTCATATTTTTCTAAAGGCTTGCCCATGATGCTCTGTAGCATAGTTCACGTATCTAGGATCATGAGTTGAGGATCGCGGTACTAATTATCTGTGTCATCACTGAGCTTTGTTTTCTTGATCTATAAAATGAACCACAGCTTCCCTAAAGTTTCGTTTTATCTCTGGCACTTATGGTAACTATTTGTCTCTGCTTGTTTTGAATTTGAAGAGGAGTTTGGTGTGACTTTTATAAATATTACCCCTTTCACTTCGGCAAAAAAAAAAAAAAATGGTTTACCACCCATCAACGTAACTACTTTACTGCAGTTGAACCCAAACCAACATTATTTTAAAGGTTTCTGACTTTCATAGAGTGCTTGTTGAGTAAAATAACTTGGTACACTAAAGATGTGAAGGCAGCCCTTGGAGACAGACTATGAGTTTACTCTTGGAATGGAATCCATTAAATCCCCGCTGACTCTGTTTTGAAGGCAGCAGCTCTGATAGAAATGGCAGTTAAGACCTCTGGAACTTGGCAGTGCTGAGTCTTCATAGTTTCTCCTTTGAACTACTTATTATGTTAAATCACCTAAAAAGGAAATCTAAAAGCCCTTACAATAAGACTCTTACACACTACCTTCACCCATAATTCTGCTTCATAGAGAAGAGTCTCATGAAGGGATTTCAATTAATCTAGAATTATAAACAATACTGGAAATTAAAATATTAAAGTATGACCCTAATAGTTCAGACGGCAGATGGCCTGTTGTATTTTATCGAAAAGAATTACTTATCAGTGAGCTCATGAAACAAATTTGATAAATAAGGATCATGTTTCTTTTATTATGTGGTGACTAATATTGACAATATCCTTTTGAGACAATAAATAGTAAGGAGTTGCCAGACACTGTGCCGAGCATTTTGCAGCCATAACTTCCTTCCATCCTTTAAGGAATATTATTATCCCCATTTTACAGTTGCAGAGCTGAAACCTCAAGAGGTTATCCAGCATACACTAGTCTCACTTCGAAGTCTAGGTTCTTAGATACTATATCGTTCTGGCTTCCCGAAAAGAGTGGAATTTATCTTTAACACTTCCTGCTCAATCATTTCCAACCGAACCATCTATGGTTCTAACTCCAGAGCACTGCGCCTATCTATCTCTTTTACATTTCACTGCTGGCTACAACCATGGTCCTCGTGATTTCTGCCCTGGAAAACTCTAAAACTTCCTAAATGACCTCTAAATCCATTTTATACACAATTGCCAGGTCTCTTCTCCTGCAGTTCTTATAGTACCTCTCTATTCCAAAACATGGCATGAACAGCAAAGACCACAGAATTTCAATATTAAAAATGTCAGGTAATTAATTTTTCTACAACTCTAGAGATTTTCCTTTTTTAGACTTTTTAAAAACAAGTTAGGAGAGTAAATGTTAATTGTTAACCCTTAAATTTGATAGTAACCTAGTAATGACAGCAATTTAATCATTTTATGGATTAAAAAGCAATAACCCATTGACTATATTTGCTATGACTTTGTTCAGTCTTGTATTTAAATATATATTAGCATTTTATGTTAGACATATATTTACATTGTAAGTCCTCTAACAAAGCAAGAACTAGATGAGTAAAACTGCTGAATAATTTTTAATGTTTTGAATGTCAGATATGATTAACTGGTTCTCTCTTTACCATTAAAATACTTTCCCAGAAAAAAAGAATAAAACATGCATCTTCTACAATGCTCTTTTACAGTGCTGTTTTTTACTGATACAAATTTTTGTGAAAAATCAAAATTCTCGATTAATAGCAACAAATTTTGAATCTGAAGCAGTGATGTCAATTAAAATCTAATCTTCTGTGCAGGCAATTCAAATGGACCATAATTTTTCTATTGTCAGGGATCGTTTAAAAGGCAGCTTTCTTTCCATCAAAGCAATTTCTATAATGTCTCTATCTTTTCCTAGAACCTTCATAATTCATCAAGTGCTTTATCAGTATTTGTACCTTTGATAAAAAAGCAATTTTAACACTAATATCTATTGTCTCTCAAGCCCAACTTAACTGACAAATATTAATCACTCTTCTTCCTAAATCAAAGAGCATTGTTCAAACCCTTCTAGGTTAAAAATCACAAATATAAAATGCAAAACTGAAACAGGTTACAGAAGGACACTAGAAATATTCCAGATGACTTGCTGGAAGAGTTTAGGGAACTCCCTGAAATACTAAATTGTATTGAAATAAAATAAAAAGCAGGAAAAACAAGAAAGAAAGAAGAAAAATGAGGTCTGCCAAATGTGCTGCACTATCCATGGACCCACAAACTCTTAGTCTCTGATAAAGAGAATATCATCATGTAAGAACACACTAAACCTTTTCTTCTCTAAGAGATCAATGAGAGCAAGACACATCATTTGAAATAGCTATATTCAGTGAGTTACCAAGGAAGGAGCTGGAGTAAAATGCTCAGAGCTGGCTTTATGACCTAAAAGTATAATTGTCTTCAGTATTGGTTCAGATCTTACTCTTACTTCTAGTAAAATGTCATTCTTGTGATAATGCCAAATCCCAAGGAAACTTTCATATGGAATTGCTTTCCCAAGATATTCTTAGTTGACCTACTTTTATCTGGCAAGAGGAAGGGTGAGTATATGTGTCACACCCCACTCTTCAAAATATACTCCTCCTCCTCATTGTGGTGGGACAGAAAAAACACAGGCTTCTCTGTTTGCTGTGTGACTGTGAGCTTCACTTTCTTTATCTGTAAATGGAGAGAATGATTCTGTGGGGGGGTTGTTGTAAGGTTTAAATGAGATAATATAAGTCATGCATGTGAAATGCAGAAGATGCTTAATAATTCTATTGTTCTATCTCCAAACTAGACCTTGAGTTTAGTGAACAATTAGTTTTCTTTAAGGGGTTAGTGAATAAGAGCTACAGACTCATCTCTCAAGAGTATTTGCATTCTAACAGGATGCTCTGAGGATTTATAAGACTTCAGGGCACCAGGAAATACATTTGCAAAAGTGGAATTGTGGACACTGTCAACATGTTTTTAATGACTCTCTTTTTTGCCAGTACTGAAAGCACAACAATGAATAACATGGTGCCTGTCCGCAGTGAAAGTAGGATAGAGGGGGAGGTATCCTGATACCACTTTCCTGTTTCTCAGAGGATAGCAACAGGAGAGCACAGGGCTAAGAGGTCAACTTTTGGTAGAAGGAATGAAAAGATTATATTCCTAAGAACAGAATAAAAGAATGGAACGGAATGGAATGGAATGGCATGGCATGGCATGGAATGGAATAGAAAATATTTCCTTCCAGGAGACCTCTTGGCTGTAGATTTTTTTCAGCAGGAAGATTAAATGCTGAAAATGCAAAAACCTTCTGAACCCTGCCCTGACCCTTACAGGATCCTGACCACAGGATTTGGAGCTCCTGGTGACCTTTGGCACTAGAGAATTTTTATTCCTCTCTTTCTTATTTTTACATGGGTTGTCTTCTGCATTGATAGTATCTTTGACTCTAGAAAACTGAGACGATAGGATTGGGTCAGGCTCAGATAAGAGAAAGCTGAGAGCTAACTCCACAGACATAGTTTCAGCACAGGCAAAAATGGTGAAGGAAACCTTCAGATATCTAATTGTTCAGTAAATTCATCAGGGTGGAGAAGAAGTGTTTCCAGTAAGAAATGATATCTGGGAATAAATATTTAGTTGAAGTATGCCTGATTCTATATTTCATGAAAGCCTGAGAAGGGAAATGGGGAAGTCCAGTAACAGTAAGCAGGCACTGACTATTGTAATAGTTTTCTATTGCTGTGATAATAAGTACCACAAATTTGATGGCATAAAACAATACATATTTATTATCTCATAGTCCTGGAGGTCAAATATTGACTGTTGGCATTGACTGTTGAAATAATTTTCTATTGCTGTAATAACAAGTACCACAAATTTGATGGCTTAAAACAATACATATTTGTTATCTTATAGTCTTGGAAGTCAAATATTCTAAATCAGTCTCACTGGGCTAATACTAAGGTGTCAGCACAGCTACCTTCCTTCCAGTTTTACAGAAGAATCCTTTTCATTGCCCTTTCCAGCTTCTAGAAGCCACCTACATTCATTTCTGGGCTCATGGCCCCTTCCTCTGTCTTACAAGTCAGCAGCCGACCATCTCCAAATCTCTCCTTCATTTTGACCTCTGCCTCCATCATCACATCTCCTTTTCTGACTCTCACCTTCTGTTCTCTCTTACAAGAACTCTCGTGACTATGCTGGGCCCAACTAGATAATTGAGGATAATCTCTCCACTTCAAGATCCTTAATATATCTGCAAAGTCCATTTAGCCATATAAGATCACATTTCCACAGATTTCAGGCATTAAGATTTGCACATCTTTGCAGAGGGCATTATACTTCTTACCACAACCAGGATCTGAGAAGCGGATAGTAGCGTTAACAGAATTATAAAAATATAAACATTGTAATAAGAAAAACTGGGATTTCAGCTTCACCTTTTTACCATAATGTAACCATACTTGCCTTTTCAGCTGGTGGGGAATACTCAAGTACCCCACAATAAACGATTACCAAAGGGAGACAGAAGCTCATTTTATAAGATACCATGAGAGCCTATTATTCATCTGAGAACCTGCTATCCCTCACCCTACCAGGAACCTTGACTGTCAGCACATTGATCACTGAATGATCCTTTGCTTTGCTCACATGTAGTCCAGCCTGTAAGGGATCATGATTGCTTTCTCTGCCAACAAAAAATCCTTTGGTTTTCTTGACCCCATTTCTGATGGATTCAAGGTTGTGACTTCCTATTTCCCTCACCTTCTACTTAGACATGAGCTAGTAGCAAATCCAGCACTCTCTTCATTTTGCCACTTATTGGAAGAGTAATGGAGCAGCCATCATTGCTGCACCATTTTACTTCTGTGTTTCGCATAAACAGTAGTATTGTTCTCATACACAGACATCTCATTGGGAATATTGTGCTGGAGACAGATATTCCTAGTTGGCCAGTGACCAGGAAACTGTCCCTGGTTGGCTGAATTGTGGAAAAACTGCAAATATGGACCTCTGCTTGGCAAGGAAACAAAAAAATGTATAAAGTTATTAAGGACATTCCTGTTATCCTGAAATTTCACCAAGACTAGGAACTGAAGACAATGGATATTAAATATCCCCACTTTCAATTCTGAAAGTTGTTAATGGATAAATCAGCATATTGTAGAGTAGATCTTGAACATCTTGAAGACTGAATGAGAGGGGGATTCACTGACATAAGAGGGCTTTCCAATGACTAAGGATTTAATATTCTAAGAATACCAGAAGCATGGATGGCTGCAGTGGTGAAGTTAAAATTCTGAAACTACATGGAATAGTACTGAAGTAAAAGTCATGAAACTCATTGGAGGTGAAAATGCTAGAGGGGATTTATTACGTGAAACCTAAAAATTCATCCTGGGAGCACCTAGAGGATACTCAATTCACTACAGTAATAAGGAACTGAATGTTAAGAGAGGTACTAGCATCTCTGATAAGATGAGAAGTAGCAGTCCTTGCAGGCTGAAATTAACAGTAGAAGATTCTATATTGGAACCTGGCCAGGATTCTACACTGAAACTTGGCTGCCCGTTTTCAATAAGAACGACAGGAATCTGGGATGGTAGAGTCCACGTAGTAGTATTTGGTCATCAAATGCAAGGTAGATTTAATGACTGTAAGGGGCAACAACCCAGGATGGCAACCAGGGCCTAGACCCACAGCAATTGCTGGTCATTAATTATATATTATGATGTTCCTAGGGGTAAGACAGATGAACAATGAAATAGGGTTTCTATCTTTCATTTTTAGAATCAGAAAAAAATCAAGAGCTGACAATCAGAAGGCTAAAATCGACTGCTATTATGGGAAATCTCTTGCATTTTCTTAGTCCAGAAGTAAACCGGTTCACAGACTCAAAGTCCATTAATCAAGTGTGGGTTGAGCCCCATTGAGGAAATTCAGTGGGCTTCCCCATTCCTTCCTAAAAGGGGTGTTAATGTGATTTACCAGGATAACTGCACTGTGGAAAGGAAAATCCCAAGACCTATAAAGGACAAGATGATATAGGATCTGAGTTGCCATTTATACTAGGAAAACCACACACTACTATGAACCTGTATTTAGAATGGTTATGGCTTGAGCATAACACATGACAAATGAAGTTCTAGCCCAAGTTCATTTCATAGTGGGTTCAATGGGATCATGGACGTGTCTGAGTGTACATTTGAGATGTATGTACTTAGCAGCTGGCATTATTCTCACATTGGTTTCCTGGTCCATAAAATCAGAGCCAATGTTTTAGGAAAACCAAGTATAAGTCCCTAAAACTGTCCTCCTAACTCTGGCCAAGATAGATAGTTTATCAGAAGCAATACCATGTGCTATGAGGAATTACAGAAATTGGTGTCATCATTAAAGACTTAGAAGTAATGGGCCCCATCATATTCTACTTTTTAAAATTGACACATAACAATTGTACATATTTAGGGGCTACACAGTGTTTGGATACACACAACATGTAGTGATCAGATTAGGGTAATTAGCGTATCCATCATTTCAAATGCTTATCATTTCTTTTGTTGGGAGCATTCAGTATCCTTTTTTCTGGCTTTTTGGAAATATATCCTGTATTATTGTTAACTATAGTCACCCTATGGTGCTATAAAAACACTAGAACTTGTTCCTGCTATCTAGCTATAATTATTTATCCTTTAACAATTCTCTCCCTATTATTTTCCACTTTACTTAAAGAGAGTTCCCATAAACACCAAATGTTGGCAGATGACAGTGGACTACTATAAACTTAAACAAATGGAAGCCTCAAATGCAGCTGTTTCAGAAACAGATTCACATAGCCTTTTGGACGTAGGTTGAGGCTAATGATCCAGCAAATGCGTTTTTCTCAATTCTCATCAATAAGGAAGATAAAAAAGAGTTGACTGTTATATGATGGAAAGGAGGGGACAAACAGCAGTACATATTCACTGTCCTGCTGTGGGGCTGTGTTAATTCACCTGCACTCTAAAAGGACTCTATAGAAATCTATAGATTTTTTATAATGTGTAGAATGTTTAAAATTCCACAGATCACACTGATTCACTAAGAAGTAAGCATTAACAACTACAGATGTCCTAGTAAAACACCTGTAGGCCAGAGAGGAGAAAATAAATACCACAAAGATTCAGGGCTTCTTACATCAGTGAAGTCTGTAGAAGTTCAATTTTGTGAGATATGCTGATATATTCCACTTAAGGTTAAAGACAAGTTCTTGCCTCTTCTATCAGTAAGAAACTTGAGCTACGTTATGGGTATTTTTAGACTTTAGAGACTTAGCCATAATTTTCTGATTCATTTAACAGGTTACTCAGAAAGCTGTTTTGAGTGGCTTCTTGATCTTCAGCACTGTGCTGCAAATGACCCTGGCATGTAGGCCATATGACCCAGGAGTTAAGTGGTACCAAAGTTATCTGTGATGATGCTGTGTGTGTTCTCTGGCAAGACCCAATAGAGGTCACAGTGCAGACTACTGGGCTTCTGGAACAAAACTATGTCTATTTTGAGAAGCAATTCCTGATGTGCTGCTGAGCTGTAGAAAAGACTGAGCATCTGAACATGAAATACCATGTGACTCCTACTGGAGAAACCCATTATGAACCAGATGTTGTCAAATTCCACAAGTCGTAAGATTGGGGAACGCAAGGAAAATTCAACTCACGCCAATCCCTCCTGAGGCATTCTCTGTGATCAATTAAAGACAGAAAATCTTGACCCAGATTCACAGATGACTTAGCTCAATAGGTTAGTACATACTTCAAAAACATACTGCCTCCACACTACAGCCCAACTCAGGGGTTGCCTGAAAGGAATGTCATGACTGAAACCCTCCCAGTGGGCAGATGTGAGAGCAGTATATTGATTTTTGTGCTTTATGTAGAGGAAGTAGTGGCCTGAGACACAGATACTCGTGAACTTTTAGGCACTGATGAATGGCTTAGTTGGGAGGTTATAAGACTTCCATGGAAACATTAGTCTAAGGAAACATTATCCACAGGTTGGCCCATGGAAGTGGGTAAAAAATGTAGATCTTTGTATTTTAAGTTGATGCTTCCCAGACAGCATCCATTGCAGGCAACAGTCTCAATAACCGTTAAGACAGGATGACCAAGCCTGTGGATGGATGTATACCAATCTGTCCTAGCCACCCCAGGGCTTGTGCAATGGGCCTAAGAATGGAGCGCCATGTTGGCAGGAATTGAAGCTATGCATTGAACCATGGTATGGGCTCTCATTCAACCCTTGTTACCTTGTCACTTCCACTACTACATAACTTTTCAGCGTCTATGCTGACACCATTCCAATGGCAATATCCCTTAAAGAGTCTAGTCAGATACAGTTGTCCCTTGGTTTCCATGGGGAATTGGTTTCAAGACCTGCTGCAGATACCAAAATCTCAAGTCCTGATATGTGCATAGGTTATATGCACATCCTCCCATATACTTTAAGTCATCTCTAGATTATTACAATACCTAATACAATGTAAATGCTATATAAATACTTGTTATACTGTCTTGTTTGGGGAATAATGACAAGAAATATGTCTGTACATGTTCAGAACAGATGAAATCCGCAGATGTGGAATTCATATATATGGAAGGCCAACTGTACTTAGTTTCCAGTTGATTAAATGAGATTACTTCTACCCTAGAGAAATAGTAATTCAGCCTCGCCAAATTCCATACTTACACTGATCTGAATTCCCTGCCTGCATTGCCTCTGTCAGTACCACCATTTTAGAGCCTACTTGCATGGAAACTTGCACAACATTGCATCAGACTAAGGGGCTGATTTCACAGCAAAAGAGGAACAACAATGAGTGTCTGTTCAAGGTATCTGCCCAAAGGTGGCTGCCCCAACAGAAAGATAAATTTCCCATGGTCTCACTTAAATGTGGGAACTAAACAACAACAACTGAACTCATGGAGATAGAGGGTATAATGACGAGTGCCAGAGGCTGGGATGTGTAGAGGGGAGGGGGGTTTAAAGGATAGGGTGACTATAGTTAACAATAATTTATTCTACATTTCAAAATAACTAAAAGAGTAGAATTGCAATGTTCTTAATACAAAGAAATGATAAATACTTGAGGTGATATATATCTCAATTACCTTGATTTGATCACTATACATTGTATGCTTGTATCAAAATATCACATGTACCCTGTAAATATGCATAACTATTAGGTATCCATAAAAAGTAAAAATAATTTTCAAAAAGTCCTTGGCTAAAATGCCAGCCCAGAGACAATACCCTGTGGGTTTGAGATGATGTCTTTCAGAATACAGTGTGTGCATTGAACCAGGTAAGGGAATGTGTCCCCAGCATTTAGAATTTGTAGGTTTAGGAATGAAGAGGCATAAGATTTACCCCCATTAACATCATCACACAAGTGACATTCTTGAAGAATATGTGCTTCCTTCCTCCACAAACAGGCTCTGCTGCATTAAAGGGCTGGATTCCCAGTGAGAAATGCTTTCAGCTTGGGGACAGATTAATGATTCTATTAAATTTAAGGCTATGGCACCCTGTCACTCTGGGTGCCTCATGCCAGTTGATCAGCAAGCAAAAAAGGGATAAGAAAGGAGTTACTATAATGGCAAAGTTAATAAACCTTAATTAGCATGAAAAGATAGCACTGCTGCTACACAATTAGGGCTGGAAAGATCACATCTCAAACTCAGAGTATTCAATTGGATGTCTCTTGCTGCTTTTATGATCAGAAATAAAGACAAAAAAGCAATTGTAGTATTCAAAGTTCAAATAGAGAAAGGCAATTAAAGATTCATCTTCCCTTGAGATGAAGATCTGGCTTAACCCCCCGGATAAACAGCCTAGACCAGCTGAAGTGCTATACATGGGTTAGGAAAATCCAGAATAGATGGTTAAGCAGGGAGATGATGAATATCACTTTAAATCTTGAAGCAGTTGTAACTAAAGAAACTGTAGCTAGCTCCCTTAGCTATTTTACATTGTCTTTTGTAGATATTGACTGGCACCACCTTGAAAGCTCTGTGAAGGATTGTCCTTAACAGGGGGCATGATCTAAATGGGCCAAGGATGGACTATGCTGAGCACTTCTTATACATTGCTGCATACCCTCATGGTATCAACCTTGATTTCAGTCATAGCTATGAGGATTTCCTTCCTTTTCTGTTTTACTCTCTCATCTCCATACTTGTGCTTACTTCCCAAATAAACTTATTTCATATAAATCTTTGTATAAGGCTCAGCTTCTAGGTCAACCCAAGCTAAAAAAAAATGAGTCATATTATGTGACGACTCTGCATAGAATCTCCAAAGCCCAAAGATCTAGTCCTCAGTTAAAAGCCCCTACATTATCTAGCACTTATGCTATTTTTTTTGTTAATTTGTGTTTTTTATTGTATTAGTAATTATTTCATATTCCTGGTCTATTTTTCTTTGTTATTTCTTTTTTAAACTTATTTTTAGTTGAAAAATGCAAATTGTATATATTTATGTAACACATGTTTTAATATATATATATATTGTGAAATGGCTAAATCAAGCTATTTACCACACATATTACTTCACAGAATTATCATTTATTTGTGGTGAGAGCACTTAAAATCTATTCTTTTAGCAATTTTCAAGCACATAATGTATTATTAACAAGAGTCACCACATTGTACAATAGATATCTTGAACTCATTCATTCTGTCTAACTGAAATTGTGTACCCTTTGACCAACATCACTCTAGTTTATCACTTCCCCCGTCCCTGGAAGCCACCATTATACTCTCTGCTTCTTTGCTTCTTTTTTCAGATTCCACATACAAGTGTATCTATTCCCTCTTTTTTTTCCTACTGAAAGAATCTCAAAGTTAGAGGGATAGGTCATTTGCCCAGCTATAAAACCCACTGGTCACCTTGCCACACATAGCCTTATTGGCAGCTAGGGGCATTTTTGTGATACAGGTGAAGCCAGTAAGCAGATGTTTCTGGATAACTTCCCAGAAGGGGGAAAAAATACCATCAAAGGAATTATTTTGCTGACATGTGGCCTTTGATTTTCATCCTTTGCCTTCTTCTTGCCTGAAAGATAGAAGGGACAATTGGAGTGGACCAGCTATCCCGAACACATGCATGAAGGCTTATGCTCCAAATGGTAGAGAGAAAAGATAGAATCTGTGTTCCTGATGGTGTCATGGAGCTTTCACACCAGTCTCTTTTATATGATGACAATTAAAACCCTTATCTGATTAAGCCACTATAAATGTGTTTCCTGTTGTGTGCAGCTAGACAAAATTCTAATTGATGACTATTTACTTATGCTGTTCCATCCCTCCTGGCCTCCTTTGTAATCTTTAAACATATCAAGTATGCTTCTGCCTCCTATTTTGCACTTACCACTTCCTCTGTCTGGAGAACTCTTTTCCCAGATGTCCACATGACTCACGTCCTTACTTCACAGAGGTCTCTACTCACATGTCACTTCATTAAGATTTCTCTGCTGATCCTATCTAAAATCTCCCTCCAGCTCCTTCTTTTCTCTTACCATGTGCTTTGTTTTGAATCACTTATTGGCCTTGACATAACATATATTAGCTTATTGTTTGTTTTACAGTTGTTCATTAAGATCCTAGAGAACAGAAACCTTGCATTATTCACTTATACACTCCCAAACCTAGAACAGAGGTCTGGATTCACGATAAATTGTTATTGAATGTGTGAGTCAACTGGGCACCAGAGCTAGGATTTAGCATCTCAGCAGATGCACATGAGCTTTTATTGCCCTCTATAACTCTGAACGTTGCTTAAAAGAAAATATTAACACAACTTGAACCAAAAACATCAAATCAAAACACCCTCAGGCAAGTAAAGAAAACTATAGACCACAATCCCTTATGGAAAAAAGACAAAATACTTGCAAAATGAATTCAACATCACATAAAAAAAGAGTATACACCATGATCAAGTAAGAATTATCCCCAAAATGCAAAGTTGGTTTAGCATTCAAAAATTAATGTAAATAACATATGAATAGAATAAAGGATAAATCACATGATTATCTTGATAGGTACAGAAAAAGCATTTAATGAAATTCAATACTCCTTAATAATAAGCACTCAATAAACTAGGAATAGAAGGAAACATCTACCTGATACAGGACATCTATGAAAAACCTACACCTAACACCACAAAGTGAAACATTTAATGCTTTTTCCCTAAAATCAGGAACAAGAAAAGGATGTTCACTCTTACCATTTCTATTCCACATTACATGGGAGGGTCTAACGATGGCAATCAGGCAAAAAAAAAAAAAAAAAAAAAAAAAGAAGAAGGCATTCACATGGGGAAGAATAAAAGTAAAACTATATTCTAATAAGACATGAGCTATAAAAAATCCTCAGAAATCTATTAAAAAGTTATTAAAATTAATGAGTTTAGCAAGATTGCAAATTATGAGATCAGTATATCAAAATCAATAGTATTTCTATATAAGCACAATTAACAATCTGAAAATGAAATTAAGAAAGCAATTCCTACAATAGCTTCAAAATAATAAAATACATATAAATAAATTTAACTAAAAAGTTCAAAACCTACACTCTGAAAAATGTAAATCGTTGTTGAAACAATTAAAGAAGACATAGACAAATGGAAGGACAGTTCATGTTCCTGGATTGGAAAACTTAATATTGTTAATATGACCATGTTATTCAAATTGATCTACAAACTCAGTGCAATCCTTATAAAAATTCTAGCTGGCTTCATTGCCAAAATTGACAAGCTGATCCTAAAATATATATGAAAATTTAGGGACCTAAAATAGCCAAAACAATCTTGAGGAAGGAGAACAAAGTTGGAATACTCACACTTCCTGATTTTAAAACCTACTTTAAACCTACATTAATAAAGACAGTGTAGGAGGACCCTCTGTTTACCTAGCACATAAATGGATCTTTGGATATGCCAAATTTTCTTGGAGTTGAGAAGGGAATGAAGGTAAAATTGTTCTATCTAAAAAAATGAGGGAAATTGAAATCCCTGGGAGAAATCCTGAACCACCACCCCTACTAGAAAAGAGAACACAGAAAGTATAGAAGCAGACAGAGCAGAACAAAGCCTTGAGGGAGTGAGAACCAAGCAACACATCAGGAAGTTGGAGCCCTCAGAAAAGGGTAGCCAGGGAGAAATCCCTAGTAGCAGATGAACCAAAGCAATTTTTAAAAACAGCAATGTCTCATATTCAATTTAAAGTTATTATATATCATTCTCATATAAACTACAACACTTCAATAAAGTTGGCTACATACACAAATGTCTTGCATGAGTGGAATTTTCTGGAAAGAAGTAATCCCAGTGGAAATTGAACTGTGCCCTATTTCTACGTTGGTGTGACGCAGAAGAGTGAACAATTAGAGGAGCAGACAGGATTTTGGAGACAGAAGTAACAGAATGTAAGGCACCACAATCTACAGAAATCATGGAACCAAAGCTAATTTTATGTAGATTT
Source organism: Homo sapiens (assembly GCF_000001405.40). Classification (NCBI taxonomy): domain Eukaryota; kingdom Metazoa; phylum Chordata; class Mammalia; order Primates; family Hominidae; genus Homo; species Homo sapiens. Next base: position 47,173,543 of record NC_000013.11, on the reverse strand, counting down.
CAAATGGCAGAATAACCTCAGCTAACATCTAGGCTACAATAGAAATGTTCACATGAAAATAAAGGCATGCTGAATACAATTCAATCTTTATTTGAGGAATTAAAGGGTGTTTCAAGACCTTGCTTGGATATTGCCAATACAGAGATTAGCCAAAAAAGTGAGAAGGATCTTGTTAATAAAGAAATACCAAGTTCATAGAACACTGCCTTTCCAATTATCTTTATTCTTATTTCAAGTTGGGCATAGAATTGTGCTTTGTGGATTTTATCTCAAAATGGTTTCTTATAAGTTCTATTATTAAGAATTATATTGTCAAAATCTCTTTCTAGCTTTTAGATTTAACAAATAATGTATCAATTATGTCACCTTATCTTAATACAACATAATATTTTACCTGAGAAAATTGCATTCAAATTCTTTTATAACTTTTTAGAACCTGAGATAAGACAAATTTGATTCAAAATGAAATCTTAGGATGTAAGTGTGTGCATCTGTGAAATATCATGAATCCCAAGGTAATTATGATTGGGATCAGAGTATTTTCAATGTATTATTTACTTCTGTCGAATAGTAATTTACCAGAGCAGTGATGAATAATTAATATAAACATTTATTTATGATTTTTAAAGCAACAGTGTTTTGATTTTACTACCGTATAGCAGACAAAATAACATTTATAATTATCTAAATAAAAGCTTGGTTCTCTATGGCATGAGATGATAAGGTTGATATTTCATATTATCATATATTTCAGCTGTTTTGAAATTCCTTGAACATTTGAGAAAATGAAAGAAACTCTACCCCAAACTTAGTATCTAATTGTTCTCTATATAGAATCACAGCCCACCCTCCCCACTCCCGCCCCCGCTCATCTTTCCTTCCTCTTGTACCCCCAACCTAGGTAAATTATGTTTCCTTGGAAGTGAAAATTCTGGAGCTTGTCTTTATTCTCCTTTACCCCTTACCCCCTTCATTGGTTCACCAACTCTTATTAATGCTACCTCCTAGATTGAGTCTCCTAAGTTACTTTCCTACTGGTCTCTTTCTGCTGCAGTTTACTATAGCATTGTTCCAATAAATAACTTTCTACAAACACCTCCATCATAATGTCTCTACTGCAGGGGTCCCCAACCTCTGGGCCATGGATCGGTACCTGTGCATGGCCTGTTAGGAACTGGGCCACACTGCAGGAGGTGAGGGTTAGTGAGCAGGCATATGGCCTGAGCTCCGCCTCCTGTCAGATCAGTGGTGGCATTAGATTCTCATAGGATGGTGAACCCTAATGTGAACTGCACATGTGAGGGATCTAGGTTGCGCGTTCCTTATGAGAATCTAATGCTTGGTGATCTGTCACTGTCTCCTATCACCCCTAGATGAGACTGTCTAGTTGCAGGAAAACAAGCTCAAGGCTCCCATTGATTCTACATTATGGTGACTTGTCTAATTATTTCATTATATATTAAATGTAAGAATAATAATAGAAATAAAGTGCACCAGAAATGCACTTGAATCATCCTGACACCATTCCCCTACTCCTTCCATGGAAAAATTGTCTTCCACGAAAGCAGTCCCCAGTGCCAAAAAGGTTGGGGATCACTGCTCTACTGAAAAACTTGTGATATGATGGGGGAGGGGGCACAAAGAGTATGAGGGAACTCTGTATTTTGTATTTAATTTTACTATAAACCTAAAACTGCTATAAAAAATAGTCTACTTTTAAAAATCAACTTAAAAACAAACAAAACAAAAACTTCTGACACCACTGCATCACCCACAAGGTAAACTCTCAGCTCCATAATGTAGAAACCTACTTCTTTAGCCTTTCCTTCCACCACTATCTCTATGTGTCTTGCCCCTCAGAAACCCTGATGTGCAGACCACTCGAAGCACCATGCTTCTCATGCCACAGTGCCCTCTGTTAATGCTCCCACTTATCTGTCATTCAAAAGGCCCTCCTTGTCCATTCACTTGTCTAGTTACTTCCCTACTCTTGCTGTGCTGAATACAGCCTCAAGCATAACAAGCATCTCATTGCATAATTATATATTTATACATTTGATTTCCTTTCTAGGCTTCTTTGGAACCAGGACTGAGTCTTACTTATATGTGCATTTTCCATGTCCAATTTTATGTGCTTTCAATTAAAAAAATCAATGTGTAATGAATAAAGGAAGCCTAAGGAAACAAAGTTTGATGAGGTCTTTGGTCTTGCAGAGTCTCTGTCAGTTACTCAAAACCTTTGCCAGCCTCCTGAGGCCTCCTCATCTCATCTCATGATATTGAGAAAGTTGGGATCTTAATGTGCATCTCCTCTCGTAAATCACCACTCTTCTATAAACTTGTTTATGTTCACAGCACTTTCTCTTCTCACATGAACTCTACTCATCCACTTCTGTTTCCCAACAAACTTGGCTCTTCTGCTTAACACATGAACTTGCTCCAGTAACTCCCATCTGAAAATATTAATAAACCCTCCAAGGCACTGTTGATTTTCTCTCTCCATCCCTTTTCATCTTAAATTTGCAGAAAGGCATCTGTTCTGATTCCTCCCACTCCCTCATCTCTCTTTTGTTTCTCAAACAACTGCTATCATCTGTTGCAAGCACTTTTCTGAAACTGCTCTTGCCAATGTCACCAATAACTGTATAACTGAAAAATAGAGTAAATCCCCCAGACCTTTTAAGGAAGGTCAAGGTTAACCATGCCAATTGTCAAATGTAAATTCTACAATAAAATATAATTTCATACCCACCAGATTGGCACTATTTTAAATGCCTTGGCAAGAGGTGGAGAAATGGGAGCGCCACTGCACAGTTGTTTGGAGGGTAAATTTACCTAATCACTTTGAGATAACAAAAGGAGGACTAATTAAGTAAGTTGAAGGTGTGCACACTTTGGGAGGCCAAGGTGGGCAGATCACTTGAGGTCAGGAGTTTGAGACCTGCCTGGCCAATATGGTGAAACCCCGTCTCTACTAAAAATACAAAAATTAGCCGGGTGTGGTGGCATGCACCTGTAATCCCAGCTACTCAGGAGGCGGAGGCACAAGAATTGCTTGAACCCAGGAGGCGGAGGTTGCAGTGAGCTGAAAGCACACCACTGCACTCTAGCCCCTGCGACAAGACTGAAACTCTGTCTCAAAAAAAAAAAAAAAAAAAAAAAAAAAAAAAGATGTATAGAGCCTTTGACCAAGATTTTTTCTTCTTGCAGTAATTCTTAGGGACATTCTGGCCAATATACACCAGGAAACACATGCACAATCCTTTAAAGCAATGTAAAAACTGAAAACAATTCAAATGTCCATTGCCAAAAGAAATGATAAATAGATCGTAGTATCATTCCTCAATGACATGCCGTACGATATTGCAAATTAAGAAGTCAAACATATTCATGAGGTTAAATCTCACAGTCAAACAAGCATAATGTTAATCAGAAAAAGACTTGTCATAAAATTTTATACAGCATAACAATGATACACATAATTGTGCAAAAGTAGACAATATATTATTTAGAAATTCAAGCAACTGTGGTAAAATTCTAAAGAAACGGAAAGGCATGAAACCCAAAATTCAAGATAAAGGTGTTATTTCAAGACAAAGCTTTCAAGATAAAGTGACTTTCAGAGAGTGGGTGTAACATCAAGATGAGGCACTGGGGCCTTAAAGTTATTGGTTTATGTCTTAAGATCAGTGTTGGATACATGTGTGTTTATTTTACATGTGAGTAACATAGATAATACTTATATATAAGTACTATCAAAATAACCATATCATTACTATTCTTTTGTATGTTTCAATAGTTGGTCATTTTAAAAAGTAGGAAAAACATTTATCTATAAGATGGCAGTTCTTTTTTTCTGGCCAAGGTGAGGTTTAAACTATTTTTAGATTAGAAGATTTTCCTGTTTTTGAATATGTCGAGGTCAGTGTGAGTGGTAGAGATTCTTTCAATTCTGATATCCTGTCCCAAATGAAAGCAGGTATTCTGAAACATGTCCTTTTGCAAGTAAACCAGAAAACTTACTTCTTGGAAAAGGTCTTTTGCTATTTCTTATACGGTCTAACAGATTCACCACTGATATTCAAACAGCAATAGGCACAGCTTTGATTTTTCTAAATGCAATAGATTAAAATTCACCTTTTCTCTTCATAGGACAAGTATTTTTTAAAATCCATTTTAAGTTTCCACTAGTAGAATTCTTCCTAATTTCCACATCTGTCTGATTAAAGTAAGCATCACATAATATCATAGTTGATATTAAACTAATACAAATAATAAAATGTAAAATACATTTTTATTATTGGCATTTAGTACCCCGAGAAAAAAGACTAGAGTGCAAATGAAAATTTCATTCTACACCGTTAAATCTTTTACAACAAACATGTATTATTTTTGTAATTAACAGGAACAAAAAGATATATAAATGATGTGTGTGTTATTAATGAGTTTATGTTTATGGACACAGTTTTAAAGTGTTTCTTCCAGTCAGAAAATTAGTTTTCTTTGTAACTAACATTTTGCGTTAGGCAAAATTGTAGAGAAATCAGCCTTTAGAAGAAACTTTCCACTTTGCTTTTCTTTTTGTAACCTCGTGTCATACGGTTGATCCACCCCAGGGCATTCACTCTCTAATCTCCTTCTGCCTGCTATAATTCTCCTCCTACGCAACAAAATTTCCCCTTCTGAATGTAAATTCCCACCCACTCAGCGCCCCTTTAGTTAGTGGTCATGAGAGTATCACAGGCTCGAATACAGGCAGCCCTTGCTTTGCGCTGTTCTGCTAAAAGCACAAATTTTGCACTCCTAGTACAGTCAAATAACATCAGTCCCCTAAAAACATGACTTAAATTTCAATCATCACGTATATTAACCATGTGTTTAAGTGCATAAAGTACACATTTTACAGCTAGCTCTCAGCCTGTAAATCGCTAGGTAAATATCAAAGGTGCATCAAAATCCGTGATCAATCACATCACTTCTTTGAAATGCTTGCAATGATTGCTCACTGTGCCTCTGCTATTCAGTTCAGGTACAGGTAGCAAATGTGTAGTTGTGTCGCTTCCTTGTCTCTCAGTGATAAGCCCACGTGACATTTTACAAAACTGAGGAAAATGGCCCAAAAAAAAAAAAAAAAAAAAAAAGCACAGCAAAGAAATGAAACGTAGTAATTCTGGAAGTGAAATTCAAATCCAACGTAAAAGAAGAAATGTTAAACAAGAAATAGCTGACCACAGGAATGTGGATGCTGCTTGAGTTCATATTCTCTAGATACACAAGGAAAAATGTATTGAAAGTAAGCTTATTGACATAAATGAGTCAAGTGGTCAAGGCTAAAAAGAGGGAGATTTCCCAGAGGAAGTGACGCCGGTGAAAATCTTTACATTAAAGGAATATTTCTCAATATTGAAAGTGCCGATGATAAAATGTTAAATGCTGATTCAACCTAAGAAAAGAGTATGACAGTTTGGCAAGGCATAGAGAAGATGCTCATTCTAATATCATAAGTTATATGACAAGATGGCAAGCACTATTAAAACTACTCTTGATAAGTTTTTTTACAAACAAAATATTGCAATTCTTAATATGCCTAATGATATAAGTTACAGCGTACTGAGTAAATATTAGTTTTACTTTTTTATACCATACATTGTTATATACTATATACATTTTAAAACAGAAATAAGAGAGTTTTTAATTTTATTAAACATTTTTAAAGTAAAGAAGCCTGTTTTATTTTTTCTGTTGACTCAGACCATTTTGCACAGTTTCAACTTGCATGGTCATTTTCACAGTTCTGAATTACCATGCAAAATGCTGGCTCCCTGTATTTGACACTCAGATGTCTACCACATTAATTGAAATGGAAGCAGCAGCAAATATTGGAAACTAATGGAACTTAGCATAAAGCCCTGACTGACACTTGTCCCCTTTGTGATCTTCACTTTCACTTCACGGCTCAGCTGTAGTTTTTCCATTTGTACAATAGATGTTAGTAATAGCACCCTTTGTAGCATGGTTGTGAGGATTAAATAAGATAAGGAAATGCAAGCAGTAAATTATAAAGCATAATATAAATATTAGTTACTATTAAGGAGCACAAGATTTTGAGTAGGTTAATATCTCCTCACTCATATTCATATTCTAAAATGCAGCAATTAGTAACATAATATACTCATCCAAAGAAATGAACACTAAATAAGAAATTTTCAAACCGTACTGAGGATCAGTGTTTTAGCAAACAACATAGGATATTTAAAGATAGAAATAAGCCCTGGAACTTCTTAAGTCCTACGCCAACCTCTGCTCCATATGTATAAGTTCTATTAACAGATGTTTATCCCCATATCTAACCTTTTTCTCATAGTATCATTTGTTATCTATGTGACAGCTTTGGAAAGTGTAAATAATCTAGATCCACAGTAAAATTTACAAATGGGTCCCAAATTATACTAACTTAATTGTAATCCCAGGCCATAGAGTTGGTTTCAAAAATGCTCACATGCAAGCCCTTATAATGAATGGGTCAATTTATTGGCTGAATAATAAAATCCAGTCTGCCTATAGTGCCCACAACCTCTCATGCTCTAATTTCAGTAATTAGATGGTTTACACACAGGGTTGATGCCATAAAAAAGCGATCAAAAATGGGTTGGCTCTCAGAAGGAAGGAGAGGAGTAAGCAGGATTCCGAATACCTGTATCCCCAAACGGTGCAAGCAAAAATCTTGCGGTTCTCAGGCAAGATGATGTTACCCAAATTTTTAAAATTTACTATGGAACATATAAAAGTAGAATAGCCCACTATTCTATTTATAAACAATAAAAATATTGTCCAGCCTCTGCAATTATCAACATTTTGTTAAACTTGCTCAATTATACTAAGGATCAGCAAACTTTTTCTGTAAAGGGTCAGATAGTAAATAGTTTCAGCTTTGCAGACCATATGGTCCCAGTCACAACTATTCGACTCTGTTCTTGTAGTGTGACAGTAGCCATAGACAATATATAAACAAATGACGGTGGCTGTGTCCCAATAAAATTTTATTTACAAAAACAGCCTATCCCCGCCACCCACAGGCAATCACTCTTCTGATTTCTATTTTCACAGATTAATTTTGCCTGTTCTTGCATATCACAAAAACGTACACTTTTGCTTCTTTTCCTGAGCATAAATTTGAGATTATTCCACATTGTTGTGTATATCAGGAGTTCAATCTTTTGATTCTTGAGTAGTATTCTGTCATATGAGAATAACATTACTCTGTTCACTCAGTCGTCTGTTGATGGATATTTGGGTTGTTTCCAAGGTTTTTTCTATTATGAATGAAACTAAATTAAACATTCTTATTCACATTTTTTTTTTGAGTCGAAGTCTCACTTTGTCACCCAGGCTGGAGTACAGTGGCGCAATCTCAGCTCACCACAACCTCCACCTCTCGGGTTCAAGCGATTCTCCTGCCTCAGCCTCCCAAGTAGCTGGGACTACAGGTGTGCACCACTGCACCCGGCTAATTCTTTGTATTTTTAGTGGAGATGGGGTTTCACCATTTTGGGCAGGCCGGTCTTGAATTCCTGACCTCAGGTGATCCGCCTGCCTCGGCCTCCAAAAGTGCTGGGATTACAAGAATGAGCCACCGCGCCTGGCCCTTGTTCACATATTTTTATGTAACAAAGGTTTAGTTTCCTGAGAGTGGAACTTAGAAATCATAAGGCAGGTATATGATTAGTTAAAAGCTGCTATTACAGTGGCTGTACCATTTTATTCCCCCTCCAGGAATATATAAGAAATCTAGTCGCTCTACATTCTTGTAAACTCTTGGTATTATCAGTCTTTTTAAAATTTTAGCCTTTCTAGTGGTTTTTTAATGATATTCATTGTGATTTTAATTAGCATTTCCATGATGACTGATATTTATAAGCATCTTTTCAAATGTTGGCCATCTCATACATTACTTTGGTGAAGTATCTAAGACTTTTGCCCATTACTAATTGGGTTGTTTGTCTTTTAATTACTGACTTAATTAAACATTTGAGATTTAAATATTTGAGTATCTTGTCAGATGTCATATTGGAAATATTTTCCCAAGGCTATAGTTTCCTTTTCTTAAATAGACTTTACTCTTTAGAACATTTTTAGGTTTACATAAAAATTGCTCAGAAAGTACAGTGTTACCAGTAGCCTCTCTCACTGCCCCCACCCCCAACAGTTTTTCTTGCTATTAACAGCTTGTATTACTGTGGTGCAGTCTTTGCAATGGATGGACCAATGTTCATACATTATCATTAACTAAAGGCCATAGTTGAATTAGAGTTCACTCTTTGTGTTGTACAATACCACGGGTTTTGACAAAGGCATAATGTCATGTATGCATCATTACAGTATCATATGTTATGTAACTCTAGAGTTAATAGTTTTATTAACTTAAAAATGCCCTGTACTCCAATTATTTGTCCCTACCACCTCCCTCCCCAAAAAACCTGAAAACCACTGATCTTGTTACTGTCTGTATACTTTTGCCTTCTCCAGAATGTCATACAGTTGGAATCATATAGTATGTAGCTTTTTCGGACTGGATCCTTTCACTATGCAATAGGCATTTAAGGTTTCTTCATGCCTTTTCATAGATTGATAGCTCATTTATCTTCATTGCTGATTAATAATAGGTCATTGAATATATGTACCACAATTTGTAGTAAACATTCATCTATGGAAAAACACCTTAATTACCTCCAAATTCCCAACCTGAGTCTGTGGCTCTGGGCTTTGATCTTGGCAAGTCCTTCTCAATTTACCCCACCCCATATGAGACGGGGGCTAATGGGACTGGAGTTGTGTGTTTCCCTTCCCCCACACAGGAGGGTAGAAGCCGGTGGAGTTTGGTATTCTCTTCCCCTACTTTGAAGGGTAGAGGAGGCTGGAGTTTGTTATTCCTTTCCCCACATGGCTGAGGCTCTGGAAACACATATGTTGGTTGGTCTATGGTAAAACAGTCACCCTTAAGGACAGACCTCTCCTTTGCAGGAAGAATAGAATGCTCTGGCTATATTTCACAATGGTTACTTTGCCCCTCTCCCTGCCAGAAGCATGACGGGATTTTTCTCTGCTCACAGTGGCAACGAGGTGGGGCTCCTGGATGTAAAACTCATAAAAGTTTTGGGGTCCCCTTAAGGTTATACCCTCAGAAGTTTTTAGTCTCTGAGTTCTCATCTTAAACTAGTCTATGCTCAGTCTCCAGCAATTAAACACTTACGCTTTAAGTATTCCTACCAGTTATTGGGTCCAGTAAAGTTTTCTGCTCCTGGTAAGCCGTGATTCTCTGTATCTGTCTGTCTTTCCATGTTACTGGGCAGCAGTTTGTTTTGTGACCTCAGTGATCTGATGGCTCTAAGATGAGTTATTGATCTTCAGTTTGTTCAGCTTATTCTCATGAGGTTGATAATAACAACCTCCAGGCTCTTTACATGTTGGGCTAGAAATTAAATGTCTGTAGCTTGCTTTTTAATTAACAATGCCTCTTGAAGAACAGAAGGTTTAAATTTTGATATACTTCAATTTAACATTTTTTTTTCTTTTTTGGTTAGAGCTTTTGGAGTTCTATTAAGAAATCTTTGCCTAATCTCCACTTTGCTAAGGTTTTTTTTTTCCATATTTTCTTTCTGAAAGTTTGTTTTTGGTTTTATAATCTATGATTATAATCCATTTTAAAATAATTTTTGTATATCACATGAGGTATGCATCTCATTCAGGTTTTTTTTTTTTCCACACAGATATCCAGCCAGTTATATAGCATTTATAGAAAAGATTGTTCTTTCTTCACTGAGTTACATTATTGCCTTTATCAAATATTTGATTACAGTTGTGGTATATTTTCAGACTCTATTGTGTCACATTTACCTATCTTTCTACCTTTACTCCAGAACTATGCTGTCTTGATAACTTTATAGTAAATCCTAAAATCAGATCATATGCCTAGAGAATATAAAGAACTCTTCCTCCTTTACCCTTCTTTTGCTATCCTAGGAATATGTCCTTTTCCATACAGATTGTAGTATCATCTTGACAATTTCTATAAAAAGCCCTTCTACGTTAGTGATTGGAATTTCATTAAATCTGTAGATTAATTGGGGGAAGATATTAAATCTTCTAACTCATGAGCCTGATGTGTTTCTTCCTTTTTAAAAGATCAGGGAGGTGGGAGGGATAGCATTAGGAAATATACCTAATGCTAAATGACGAGTTAATGGGTGCAGCACACCAACATGGCACATGTATACATATGTAACAAACCTGCACGTTGTGCACATGTACCCTAAAACTTAAAGTATAATAATAAAAAAAAAATCTTTCTTTACTCCCAATGACTGGGTTTCTTTTCAGTTTTCAGTGAGAAGGTCTTAGATTTGTTCCTAGATATTTATGGTTCTTTGTGCTTTTGTAATTAGCATTTTTTTCAATTGTTTTTGCTAATACATAGAAATATATTTTTTATATTGACTTTATATCCTGAGACCTTTCTTCACTCACTTATTACAGTTAGTGGATTTTGTGTGGATTTCTTTATATTTTCTTTGCACTTTGACTATGATGCGCCTGGGGGGCAGTGGAATTGTAGCATATTTGTCTTGCTATTTATTCAGGAGCTATAAATTTGTATTTTTCATCAACTTTGGAAATTTTCCAGTTATTTCTTCAAGTATTTTTTGTACCATTCTCCTATTATTCTGGAATGTGTGTGTGTGTGTGTGTGTGTGTGTGTAATAAGTTCATATATTTAGTCCCATTGCTATCTGACATTTTTATATTTTCTTAGTCATTTTTCCTTCACGTACTTCATTTTGTATAATTTGCATTAGGCCATTTTCACTTCACTTATACTTTCTTCTACAGTATTTGTTCTGCTTTTAAAACCATATAAAGCATATTCTATTTCAAATATTTGTTTTATATATCCAGAATTTCTGATTTTTCTTTAGTAATTTTTATTTCTCTGCTTACATTCTTTCTCTGCTGACTCGTTCTATGTTTTCCTGTAAATTCTGGGACATATTTATACTTATTTTAAAATCTTCATTTGCTAATTCTAATGTTGGGTCCCTTACTTCTTTTCCTCTGCCCCACCCCCGACCCCAGATTAAATTTGAGTCTTACATTCTTTTTTTTTTTTTTTTTTTTTTGAGACAGAGTTTCGCTCTTGTTGCCCAGGCTGGAGTGCAATGGCACCATCTCGGCTCGCTGCAATCTCCGCCTCCCAGGTTCAAGCAATTCTCCTGCTTCAGCCTCCCAAATAGCTGGGATTACAGGCTTGTGCCACCACACCTGGCCAATTTTTTTGTATTTTCAGTAGAGACAGGGTTTCTCCATGTTGGTCAGGCTGATCTCAAACTCCCGACCTCAGGTAATCTGCCTGCCTCGGCCTCCCAAAGTGCTGGGATTACAGGCGTGAGCCACCTTGCCTGGCTGAGTCCTACATTCTTTTTATGCCTAGTAATTTTTTATTGATTACCAGATATTATGTATAGAAAAACAGTGGAGACTGGAAAATATGGTTGCATTATTTTGTTTTTTTTCCCAGAGAGCAGGAGTTCCTCCCTGTATCAGGTAGCTAAAATGACAAGATACACTGGATTTCCCTGAGTGGTTATTTGATCAGTAACTAGCTTCGGCTTCAAGAGGCTGAGTTTAAGCCTAGTCTCCAACCTTCAGTCTTTCTGAGAGGTGAAACCAGCTGGACTTCCTGGGTTGAGTGGGGACTTGGAGAACTTTTCTGTCTAGCTAGAGGATTGTAAATGCACCAATCAGTGGTCTGTGTCTAGCTAAAGGATTGTAAATGCACCAATCAGCACTCTGTAAAAACGCACCAATCAGCACTCTGTAAAAACGCACCAATCAGCACTCTGTGTCTAGCTAAAGGTTTGTGAATGCACCAGTCAGCACTCTGTAAAAATGCGCCAATCAGCACTCTGCGTCTAGCTAAAGGATTGTAAACACACCAATCAGCATTCTGTAAAATGGATCAATCAGCACTCTGTAAAATGGACCAATCAGCAGGATGTGTGCAGGGCCAAATAAGGGAATAAAAGCTGGCCACCCGAGCCAGCAGTGGCAACCCGCTCAGGTCCCCTTCCATGCTGTGGAAGCTTTGTTCTTTCGCTCTTCATAATAAATCTTGCTGCTGCTCACTCTTTGGGTCCGCACTACCTTTATGAGCTTTAACAATAACCACGAGGGTCTGCAGCTTCATTCCTGAAGTCAGCCAGACCACAAACCCACCAGGAGGAACAAACAACTCCAGACACGCCACCTTTAAGAGCTATAACACTCACTGCGAAGGTCTGTGGTTTCACTCCTGAAATCAGCCAGACCATGAACCCACTGGCAGGAAGAAACTCTGGACACAGCTGAACATCTGAAGGAACAGAATCCGTACACACCATCTTTAAGAACTGTAACACTCACCGCGAGGGTCTGCGGCTTCATTCCTGAAGTCAGCTAGACCATGAACCCACCAGGAGGAACGAATAACTAGGGACGCGCCACCTTTAAGAGCTGTAACGCTCACCGTGAGGGTCCGTGGCTTCACTCCTAAAGTCAGCGAGACCACGAACCCACCGGAAGGAAGAAACTCCGGACACACCATCTTCAAGAACTGTAACACTCCATCTTTAGAACTGTAACACTCACCACGAGGGTCCACAGCTTCATTCTTGAAATCAGCGAGACCACGAACCTACCGGAAGGAACCAACTCCAGACACATTTCCAGTGCCCCAACAACCAGTGATGCCACCACTTCCACTGCCAGTCCCACCTCCCTCCCCGGCTGGTCACTTCCACCTCCACTGCTCATTAGGGACTATTTCTTAAAGAGTTTGAGTATTTAAAAGCCTCTTCTCCCTAGAAATCAGTTCATTGATGTTTTCTCCAGTCCACCTGATTGGTTCATGGGTGGCCAGGGGCAGAAGGAAAAAGCACTGTAAGTTCACATTCTGGTCTGTCAGCCCAGCCCCCAGACTTCAGGCCATCCTTGACTTGAAGGTGGGGCTTCAGGGACCCAGAACTTTCTACCCAGAAGCCTGTCTGCCTTCTGCTGTCACCCAGACTGTTCATGCTGAGTGGAGCCCGCAGGCCCATGCTGAGCTGCCCTCGGCCTCACTCCCGTGCTTGTCAGCGCCCAAAGTCCACAGGGGGCCAAGGCAGCAGGGGGCTGGTGTGTCAGCCTCAACTTTGCTCCAAGATTGGAACAGGCACAAGGAATGGGGAGAGGCCAGACAGCAGGAGCAGGCATATCCGAGCCTGCAGGGACAGAGATGCCTCCCTGGCCCCCAAGAATGCAGGGATGTCTGGGTCCACAGCTGCAGCTTGGGTGGCTTCAGCTGCACCTGGGAGGGTGGGGCTGCTGCCTGCTCCTGGCCCCCAGGAGCACAGTGATGTCTGGGTCCAAAACCATGGCTGGGCCGCAGCATCTTTGCCCAGGGAATATGAGGCTCCCGCCCTGCCAGCTTGAAAGGGGGTGAGAGAAGGCAGGGCTTCTGCGTGTTCCCAGCTCCTGCTGGCTCTGTGGAGCACACAGCCCCAGCAGGGCCTCCCCGCCTCCCCGATTGAAGCTAGCATCATGGCAGTAGCCACTCCAGACAGGCCGCCACTGCCATCATTGTAACACCTAAAATAACCAATTATAATTCTTTGTTATTTTATACCCAGTCCATATATTTCCCCATTTGTCTAAAAATGTCATCTTTCTATTGTCTTATTCAAACAAACATCTGCAAAGGATCCATAGACTGCTTGTATTTATTATATTTCTTGGGACTTTAATAATTTATAACAGTCACCCTCCTTTGCTATTTAATTTTTATATACCATTTATTTGTTGGATAGCCAGGTTATTTGTCTTATGCAATGTCTCACGTTCTGAATTTGGATGATTACTGTCTTGTGGTGGTATTTAGCTCTATAGTTAATGAAAACTATAAGACCTACAGAAAGCAGGCTTGATTATATCCAGGTTTTTTTTTTTTTGATACAAACATTTCATATCTGCATCTCATCAGGAGGCCCATAACACCTCTTATGTGATTCCAATATTGATTATTGTGTTCAAGTTGTATCAGTTTGATCACTTTACTAAAAACCTGCCACTGACTTCTTGGCAAGTGGTTTTGGTGGCTATTGATGATTATTGTCTAAATGCATTACTTTATTTGTGGTCACAAAGAGTGACTTCCCAATTTTATGATGTCCTGTCCATTTATTAGCTGGAATTCTTCTCTAAAGAATATCTTTCATCAACTCAAGTTATTTTTTTTATGAAATGATGCATCATGGAATTTTGTCTGATAAGTATAACAAGACTTATGGGAAAATAAGGGTGAGGCTGAATATAAACCTGAATAATAGGTGATAAAACATAAATAAAAGTATGTTACACAGTTTTAAAATATTAATTCCTAATAAAGAAATATTATGGTAAATAATAAACTTTACTTTGACGTAGACATAAAGTTTGCTTGGCAGAGTTGATGTATTAAAGAGTTTTAACTTTTAATTTATGGAGAAAAGGCAAAAGAAAGCATATTATCATTCTTAGGATAAAATGTAATAAAATTAGAAGCTGGAGTTCATTGCCTTGCTTTTTTTCTACATTGGCTTAAAATAGAGATTTGAATTTTATCAGTTTCTCTCTTTCACAAAGCAGCAGCTTGTACATCAGAGTGAGACCAGATGCCTCTAAGTGATATCCTGCTGTACTCAGCATTCTCATCCTTATCTTACAGTCTACTGCAGGAGCTGTTCAGTCTTAGTGAAAGATGATGATAACCATGATGTGTTAAGATCTATTGTTTCTTTTACTTGAATAACATTTTCTCTTAGGGTGCGCAGTGTAGATTACTTTAGGTTTACAGTCTCTCACAATAAAAAATATTCTCGTTTATTTTGAAACACTTTATTATTTCAGCCTTTGCCACAATACATGAGGTCTTTCTTTTCATTCAGTGCTTGTATTTTTATAACCAGGACACTTACTCATGTTTCAGATTCTGTATAAATAGTTTCCAAACTCAGGAGAAGAACACGATACACACTTGTAAGGCAATGCATATGAGTAATTGAAGTAAGAGACAGAAACTGACGTGAGAGTGCATGTTCTGTGTACCGCTTCACAAGCACTATGATCTTCCAGGATGCAATTACTGCACATGGTAGATGTAACTATAATAGGTAGTGCTAGACATTAATCTTATAAAAATTGTACGTTTTTCATTTTGAGTTTTGATGATTGTCTTATGTCCTAGACTATACGCTGCTGTAACAAAAATGTCATAAACTGGGGTGTGTGTCAACAATACAAATTTATTTCTTACAGCTTTAGTTGCTGGGAAGTCCGAGATCAAGGTGCCAGCAGGCTCAGGGGCTGATGATGGCCCAATTCCTGGTTCTTCACTCTGTCTTCACATGATGGAAGGGAAAAGGCAGCTCTCTGGGACCTCTTCTCTAGGGCACTAATCCCATTCATGAGGATTCTACCCTCATGATCTAATCACTTCCCAAAGGCCACATCTTTGAATGCCATTACCTTGAGGGTTAAGATTTCAACATATGAATTTGGAGGGTCGTAAACATTCGGACCATAGCAATGATTGTATTTTATCTTTTACCTACTATGTATGAACAAATGTGTACATTACAGACAAGCATTATACCAAAATAACTGTATTTGGGAAAGGAAAGACAGGATAAATCTTAATTCTTTCTCTTTATTGATCACTTTTCAGAGAATGAGGTGGTAACCAAAAACTTCCATTGCTACCCTGTGAGCTCTTTTTATATTTTATTAAGAACTCATGTAGTGGCGAGGGGGAGATGAAGAGAGGTTGGTTAATGGGTATAAAAATATAGTTAGATAGAAAAAATAAGTTCTGCTGTTCAATAGCACAGTGACTATAGTTATCAATCTTTTATTATATATTTCAAAATAGCCAGAAGCAAAGATTTGAAATGTTCTCAACACAAAGAAATGCTAAATGTTTGAGGTGACAGATATCCCAATTATTCTGATTTGCTCCTTATACATTGTATGCATGTACCAAATATCACATGCACTCCATAAATATCTATTAATATAACTATGTATCAGCAAAACATTCACTTTAATATATTTAACATATTTTAATCAGTTGCAGTTTTCATGTTTTTTTTTTAATTTCCAACTTTTAACTTCAGGGTTACTTGTGCAGGGTGTGCAGGTTTGTTATACAGGTAAAAGTGTGCCATGGTGGTTTGCTGCACAGACTGTCCCATCACCTAGGTATCATGTTGCACATTTTCTACCTCAGGCCTGGAACTTAATCAATTTTTCAAGGATTCCTGCTTCTTTTTAGTACACAATGATATGAGTAACCACAGTCTGAGTGATGAGGATACTCATTGTTACTGGGCTATCATTGCTTTTATGCTTTTTTAACAGACAAAGTCAAAAAATTGTATAAGAGGAAATAAATGGTAAGTTGATATTGCTATTTCTATTTCAAATGTGAGAATATAGGGCTTTTACTTGACTTTGATTTTATACTTGTATCTTTCTTTCTTTCCTGCTGAAAAATCTTATTTCCTAAAGATCTGAACATAATTACATATTTGGTTTGTAGTATAACATTTCTATGATAGTTTCAAAATAATAATATGAATATTACTATAAGTTAACTGAATACAGTTTATGCTGTAATGTGATTTTTTGTCTAGAAATAAATCTCACTAAGGAAGTACAACTAAAATACTGTGCTTTACATGCACTTAAAATAATTATTTTCTGTGTGTTTATGTCAACTTAACATAAGATAAGTTCGGTAGTTAGGTTTATTTGCTTTTTTACTCCCCCCTCCGATTTTTAGAGATTGCATTTTCTTCTCTATTGAACTTACTATTTTTAATTATGTAAAAACTTCTACAGGGTTCTAGAAAGAAAACTGTATAACAAGGTACATTCACAGAAATCTCAATAACATCTTTGTTTCCTCCACCTAGTTACCTTCTTCCCTATGCAAGTAAGTATATTTATCAATTTCGAAGTTATATTTCCACTGTTTCTTTTATAAAATATAAGTAAACACACACACATATATACACATGCATATATATGCACACATATGTATACCTGTGTGTGTGTATATGCATATACACACACACATATATATATAGACACCAAATTGCCTTTCCCATTTCTGACAGTGAAATATCTTACTATGAATACTCTTTTTCATTTTGCTTATTTTACTGAAAAATACTATTTTGTATTAGTCTTCTTGTATTAGTCTGCTTACCTGAGACTAGTTAATTTATAAAGGAAAGAGGTTTAATGGACTCACAGTTCCATACGGATGGGAAGGCCTCACAATCATGGCAGTAGACAAAGGAAGAGCAAAGGGATACCTTACAGGGCGGCAGACAAGCAAGCATGTGCAGGGGAACTCCCCTCTATAAAACCATCAGATCTCATGAGACTTATTCATTATCACGAGAACTGCACAGGAAAGACCTGCCCCTATGATTCAATTACCTCCCACCCAGTGCCTCCCATGACACGTGGGAATTATGAGAGCTCCAACGGAAGATGAGATTGGTGTAGGTACACAGCCAAACCATATCAATGCTATATTAGCATATTGATATCCTATTCATCCCCTTTTTATTTGCTTTTTTAGCCTTCATTGAGTGAATAAACCATAATTTTCTTCAACCAGTTCCTTATTAATGGACTTTTCCATTGCAATTATAAATAAGGTTTCTATGAATAGTCTTGTGCAAAGGACATTTAGTATTTTGCTGTGAGATAGATTTTAAGTGGGTCAGAGGGTAAATGAATATGTATACATTATTTATGAAGGAATATCTCTGGAGAATGAAAGTGAAATTTTAACTGTTACCGAGTTCTGTAATTGGACCTGAATCTTCTTATGATCCTGACTCTCAAAGGTCAGACTGAGTCAACATATTTATTTAAAGGTACAACTAAACTTTATGGGAGGCTAAAATGACTGGAAGTATATAAGCTTAGTTCCTGAGGTTTTCAAATGAAAACCCCAGATGTAATTATTATATATATATATATATATATATATATATATATATACACATACACACACACACACACGAGTTTATATATATGTATGTGTGTGCGTATGTGTACACATGTGTGTATATGTGTGTGTGTTTACTTATATTTTATAAAAGAAACAGTGGAGATATAACAAAAATTGATAAATATAGTTACTAGTGTAGGGAAGAAGGTAACTAGGTGGTAACTAGACACTAACATTTTATCAAGAAATGTTTGTTAAATGAATAATGAATAAATGGATCCATATCAAATGGCTAGTTATCTCTTTCATTATGTAGCTTGAAAACTGATGCAAATATTATTCTACCCAACCTAAAGACTGCCTCATCTTAGACTAGCATACATTGCTTTAGTCTTAGAATTAGACATAAATTAAGTTTTTCACAAAATTCCTGCAGCTATGATAGCTCTCAAGTTGTTGGAAGAATGGAGAGAAACTGTTTTAACTATATAACACCCACATGAACATGTATTTGGATTTGCACCATTAATAGGAAAAGCTTTTAATCCTCAGGAATAATTACTATTTGTGGCATTTTGCCTGTTCAGCATGTATACTTTATTTGGAAAACTAACTCCTCCACTATAAACATTTGTTTCTACTGAGCCTGCAATCATTGTATCTCATCTATCCAACCAGAAGTGTGTACATGATCCATCATACCAAGACTCAGCCAATCATAGCAAATTGCATGGTAAATATTTTAGGCTTTCATGACCAAAAAAGACAAAATGGAAGATATTATAGAGGTATGTAAAAAAACTAATGTAACCATTAAAAAATGTGAAAAACTTATTCTTATCCTGTGGTATTTAAAAAAAATTAAAAAGATGACAGGCCAGATTTGGCCCATGGACCACAGTATGTAAAGCCTATGTATTTCATTTTCCCAGCCACCCTGATTGGTTCAGGAGTAGACACGTTTCTCAAATCGGTCAACAAAAGTTTATATCTGAGATTTTTCAATTCAGTGCTGGAAGAAAAGGAAGCTTGCTTTTAGAACCATGAGAAAAGGATATAAATTACCCTGCTTGCTCTATGTCTATAAAGGGGGTGATACAGCTTAGCTGTATCCCCACCCAAAATTTCATCTTGAATGGTAATCCCCGTAATCCCCATAATTCCCTACATGTCAAGGGCAGAGGCAGGTGGAGGTAATTGGATCATGGGGGCAGTTTCCCCCATGCAGTTCTCATGATAATGCATGAGTCTCACGATATCTGATAGTTTTATAAGCATCTGGAGTTTCCCCTGCTTGCAGTCACTCTGTCCTGCCACCCTGTAAAGAAGGTGCCTGCTTCTCCTTTGCCTTCCACCATGATTGTAAGTTTCCTGAGGCCTCCCCAGCAATGCAGAACTGTGAGTCAATTAAACCTCTTTCCATTATAAATTACCCAGTCTGGAGTATTTCTTCATAGCAGTCCGAGAACAGACTAACACAGAGGGGAATAACGCCAAAACACAGAGAAATCAAGCGATCTGATTATTTCATTAGAGTCCCTACATCCATTTTTGCTTGGAGCAAGATCTACCTCTTTGTTTCCCAGTCACATAGGTCAATAAATTCCCTTTTAGATTTATTTATTTAGTTTCTCTTTTTTAGTTTTTTATTAGTTGTATTTCTTTCACTGGAAACCAGATAAAATTATAGCTATGTATATTTAGTATATACTTATATATAAATATATGTGTATGTACACATACACATCAATATATATTTACACATACAGACATAATACACATATATATTCAATAAATATATATTGAGGGCCTAATATTCACCAGATATTGTTCTAGGCACTGGAGATTCAAAGGTAAAATACATAGTTAGGCATGCTTTAAGAGTATCAGAAATTCTGGATTAAGATGGCACTTTAACCATATACATTTTCTTTCGTGCTCACCAAAAATCTCTCTAGGACAACAGTAAGGATTTTTTTTTTTTAAGTCATAAACTTAAAAGGACAAGGAGAGTAAGAGAAGATATAGCAACAAATTTTGGTAGCTGGAAAGCAGATGATTAAGAAAGCTCTCTTTTAATAGCCAATGCTAGGAAAAGCTAAGTGACTCACTAGTGGCCAATAACGGGGAAAACTAAGAAATAATCCAATTTATAACATTTATTAATGTTTCTTTTAATATACAGAAACATTAAAAGTTCCAGAAGCTGACAATTACCTCTGCAAGTAGAACTGATGAGCTTAAAAAAAAAAAAAGGAATTGAGGAATGACCAGATCCCCAAATTTTTCTCCTTCTCAATACTGGAGTTACCTTGTATACTTGGAAAGCATAAAACAGGTGGTTTTTGTACTGGGGGTGGTAACCAGAGTTGAAGATGGAACTGTGATGAAGATTAAGTACATATTTATATCCAGAATGAGGGAACACACACTTCCTTTTGCCACTCAGTTCCTCCAAGGACTCTTGAGTAGCCGAAAAAAATGAAAGAAATTCTCACCAGTAGACATCACAAGGAAATTACCTGGCCAGACACTCTACAGGGAAACCACAGTTAGAGAGTTATAAAGTAAAGCACACTAGTTCTGAGATTTCAGATCTTCTTTTTGCCCAAATCTTAAATTTGAATATATAGCCAAGGATTGGCAGACATCTGAATAAAGTTTCTAACATAAAAAGGACCAAAAGAATCATGTATCCATAGTGCACCTGGAAGGAACAGACTTCTCTGGGGCAAAATAATTTCAAAATAACTGTCACTACTATCCTCATAGAAAAAAAGAATATCATTAAAATAGCATTCTGAGAACAAAAAAAGAGCTTTTATAAATTAAAAATATTACAGAATAATTTTTAAAAGCCATAGAAGATTTGCAAAATAAAGCCCAAGAAATGCATATGAAATTAGACTAAGACATGGAAAATAGCAGGGGGGAAAAAGCAAGAATATTAGAAGACTAGATCTAGAGTTTCAATATCCAAACAAAGGAATCCAAATAGAGAATAGAGAAAATTGAAGGAAGGAAATCATCAACAAGTAATTTGTGAAAATTTTCCATTTATAAATGACAAAGGCTCCTAGATTACAAGGAGCAATTAAGAGACCAGCAGAGTAGATTAATATAAACACTCACCAAGGAACTCAAGGCACATCATCATGACATTCCGGCACTTCAGAACACTGACAACAAAGTGAAGATTGTAAAAGGTTTGAGAGAAGGAGAGAGAGAGAGAATATTATATACAAAGGTCAGAGGTAAGATTGACTTCTGACTTCTCAACACATGGAAGATAGAAGGCGGTGGAAAATGCCAAAAGCATTCTAAAGGAAAACAATGACCAACTATGTCAGAGCATCCCCAAGACCACCTCCCCAGATTCTGCAATTCACTAGAACTCACAGCACTCAGGATATAGTTGCACTAACTGCTATGGTTTATAACAGTGAAAGGGCACAAAACAAAATCAACAAAGGGAAAAAATCACTATGGGATGAAGTCCTGAGGATACTAGGCTTGAAACTACCAAGAGTCCTCTCCCAGTGGTGTCACAAGTGACATATTTAACTCTTCCAGCAATTAATTGTGATACCAAGAGTGAAATGTTGTCTACCAGAAAAGCTCATTAGAGATGCACTGCCCACATTTGTGTTTTTGTTTTTGTTTTTTTTCCCCCCACTGGGGACTGGTCATGTAGGCACCCTCAGCCTAGCATGTACCAAAATTCCAAATAGAATTTTCCCAAAAGGAAAGCAGGTGTTCCGCATAAACCATATCGTTTGCACAAATAAATTAGGAATAGTAAAGCACTCTTATCATTCCAGGAAGGTTTATATCAGTGTAAGGAACTGTTTACAATCCAAGTTCCCGGACAACAGTTAAGGGACAACCCTGCAAGGAGGCCTTTCCAAGGGCAGCATTATCAGGCTTACTAGGTTAACTCTTTTTCTGTACACCAACTATCAGTAAAACTATCAATCTAATGTGAACATAAAATGATGACATTTTCAGATGTTCAACATCTCAAAAATTTACATTCTATCCAATTTTTTTTCCTCAGGAGAGTGAATATCCAGCACCAAAATGATGGAGTAAACCAATAAGTAGAAAGAAAGGGAAAGGAGAAATATAGACACACAAAAGAGAGGCAATGGAATCCCCAAAATTATGATGAAAATCAATCCCAGGATGATAGCTCGTACTAGGTACAAAAGACAACCAGTTCGTAAAGGAACAGATCTGAAGCCTCCAGAAGATAACACTGTTAGGATATTTGATGGGCTGAATAGATGTAGAAGACATTTAGACAACTGGCAAGGTTCTAGGCATTACATTTATAACAAGTTCATAGAAGAGTAAGTAAACAATAAACCAAGATAATTATTAACTTCAGAAAATGTGAGAAGTTGAACTGGAAAGGAAAGATTATCATGAAATAATATAATCAGGTAAAAAAATGCAAAGTACATTTTACAATGTGTACATTATACCACCACTTGTGATTTTTCTTAAAAGGATATGCACAGACACACATTCATACAAGCATGGAATATCTCTGGGAAACTAGTAAATAATAGTTGTCTCCTGGAAGAGACTAACAGAAAAAAAAATTGTGGTGGACAGGAGACTTAAAGGTTTACTCAATTTCTATGTGAGTTTTTGCCATGAACATGTATGACTTTTCAAACAAACAGGCAAATAACATGAACTCTCAAAACCAAAACAAAAAGCAAAAACAAAAAGTAGCAGAAAATAGAGCAGCAAGATACACTTAGCTCCCCCACACTCAGATGGATAATAATCTCCTTCTGCATTAATGGCACCCCCAGCTTCATGTTCTCACTAACGAGCTGTAGTAGAACACATTTGCTTAGAAAAAGTTTAATTAGTTCTTGTTTTCCTTTAATAAGAAATGTCTTTAAAAAAAAGAGCTGTAGTTTCATTTGTAAACAAAACCCCTACATTAAAAAAAAATGTAGGGCTGGGAGTGGGGGCTGATGCCTGTAATCCCAGGACTTTGGGAGGCTGCGAATGGATCACTTGAGGTCAGGATTTTGAGACCAGCCTGGCCAACATGGTGAAACCCTGTCTCTACTAAAAATACAAAAAGTAGCCGGGGGTGTTGGCACACACCTGTAATTCCAGCTACTCAGGAGGCTGAGGCAGAAGAATCACTTGAACTTGGGAGGTGGAGGTTGCAGTGAGCCGAGACTGGGCCACTTCACTCCAGCCTGGGCAGTGGAGCAAGACTCCTTATCAAAAACAAAACAAAACAAAAACACAAAAACAAAAACAAAAACAAAAACAAAACTGTAGAAGGGAGGGGCCAAGATGGCCAACTAGAAACAGCTACAGTCAGAGGCTCCCACTGAGAAGAATGAAAACAGTGAGTGAATCCTACACCAGCAACTGAGGTATCCAGGTTCTTTCATTAGGACTGACTAGGCAGTTGATGCAACCCACGGAGACTGATGAAAAGCAGGGCAACAAGAGAGAAAGGCCAGGTCACCTACAAAAGGAAGCCCATCAGACTAACAGTGGATCTTTCAGCAGAAACCCTACAAGCCAGAAGAGACTGGGGGCCAATATTCAACATTCTTAAAGAAAAGAATTTCCAACACAGAATTTAATATCTGGCCAAACTAAGCTTCATAAGCTAAGGAGAAATAAAATCCTTTTCAGACAAGCAAACGCTGAGGGAATCCACCACCACCAGGCCTGCCTTGCAAGAGCTCCTGAAGGAAGCATTAAATATGGAAAGGAAAAACTGTTACCAGCCACTACAAAAACACCCTGAAGTACAAAGACAAATGACACTGTGAAGCAACTACATTAACAAGTCTGCAAAATAACCAGCTAGCATCCTGATGACAGGATCACATTCACACATAATAGTATTAAACTTAAATGTAAATGGGCAAAATGCCCCCAGATAAAAGACACAGAATGGAAAGCTGGATAAAAAGTTGAGACCCATCAGTGTGCTACTGTCAAGAGACCCATCTCATGTGCAAAGCCTCAAAATAGTCTCAAAATAAAGGGATGGAGGAAAATTTACCAAGCAAATGGAAAGCAGAAAAAAGCATGGATTGCAATCCTAGTTTCTGACAAAACAGATTTTAAACCAACAAAGATCAAAAAAGACCAAGAAGGGCATTATATAATGGTAAAGGATTCAATTCAACAGGAAGAGCTAACTATCCTAAATATATACGTACCCAATATAGAAGCATCCAGACTCGTAAAACAAGTTCTTAGAGACATACAAAGAGACTTAGACTCCCACACAATAAAAGCAGGAGACTTTAACACCCTACCATCAATATTGGAAAGATCATCGATACAGAAAATTAACAAAAACATTCAGGACTTCAACTCAGCTCTGGATCAAGCGGACCTGATATCTACAGAACTCTCCACCCCAAAACAACAGAATATACATTCTTCTCAGTACCTCATGACACTTACTCTAAAATCAATCACATAATTGGAAGTAAAACACTTCTCAGCAAACGCAAAATAACTGAAATCATAACAAATAGTCTCTCAGACCACAGCACAGTGAAATTAGAACTCAAGATTAAGAGACTCACTCAAAAACCACACAACTACGTGGAAATTGAGCAACCTGCTTCCGAATGACTCCTGGGTAAATAATGAGATTAAGGCAGAAATCACGAAGTTCTTTGAAACCAATGAGAACAAAGAAACAGTGTAGCAGAATCTCTGCCACACAGCTAAAGCTGTGTTAAGAAGGCAATTTATAACACTGAATGCCCACATCAAAAAGCTAGAAAGATCTTAAATCAACACCCTGACATCACAACTAAAAAAAACTAGAGAACCAAGAGCAAATAAAACTCAAAGCTAGCAGAAGAAAAGAAATAAACAAGATCAGAGTGGAACTGAAGGAGATAGAAACACAAAAAACCCTTCAAAAAATCAATGAATCCAGAAGCTGTTTTTTTTTTTTAAAGTTAACAAATAGACCACTAGCTAGGCTAATAGAAAAGAGAGAAGAATCAAATAGATACGATAAAAAATGTTAAAGAGGATATCACCACTGACTCCTCAGAAATACAACCAACCATCAGAGAATACTACAAACACCTCTATGCAAATGAACTAGAATATCTAGAAGAAATGGATACATTCCTGGACACATACACCCTCCCAAGACTGAATCAGTAAGAAGGTGAATCTCATTTGATCCTCAGCAATGCTAAGATAGGCAAAGAAGCTGCTGTTATCCATGTTTTTTTTTAAATAATGTCAGTGAAATTATAAATCTGATAATATTAATCCCGCTGAGCAATATTAAAGAGCTGAAATCTAGATCTCCTGAGGCAAACTCCAGGCTTTCTAAAACATTGTCTTGCTGGAAATCTCATGAAATCATTTGACTCTGGTATAATGGTCATGATAGCACAAGAAGAGGATAGAACATCGTGCAGTAAAATGCCATTTTTATTATTTATAGCACTGTTCTAATGGAGTAATTTACCACGCCACTAATCAGTAAACCAAATGGAATGGCTTTCCATATCTACCTCATGGAAAGGCTGTAAATGTAATTAAACATTTTTTAATCCATCAAACACAAGAGCTCCTTGGAGATTTAAAATAAATATGCCTACATTCAAAGCTGCAGATAAAGGCAAAAGTGCATATGAATTACTTTGTGGTAAGTGCAGCCCAGAGGCAGTAAACTTCCATCTGGTTTTTCTGCTTCCCTCTTCCCACTGCTGCCAATACAGGAACTCTTTTAGTTTTTACACACCACCTGCACTCATCCCACAGGCCTGTTCTCCTTTAAATGCCTGGAAAGTAGCAAGCAGAGCAGCAGGTGGGTGTAGCAAGTTTTCCAATCTACATTGATGCTTTCAGTTTATGATGCATACACCTTGAGATTATAGAACTCCAGAGAGGAAGTGATCTATCCTAGCAGAGAATCAACATAATGTCCTGCTGTTATCCCTACCAGAAAATGAGGGAAGATTGAGCTGACAAGGCTGAGAGCTTGAAGACTTCACATGAGGTTCCGCACTGGGTTTGTATCCATGTGGATTACATAATAATTTCAGACCTTCTTTCTGAGGGATGGAAGAGAGCTGAGAAGCCTCAGCTGATAGCAAGAAACAGAGAACAGAGAATGGGCAAACCCCCACTGCCAAGTTGGAAATTATGAGTAGAGACCAAATAGTTAAGCTATATTAAGAAAAGCTTCAGAACCATAAGTCTTGTAGACAGAGGTAAAAAACAAGTTTCACAAGACAAGAGCCATCAGAAAAGTACTGCAATAACCACAACAGCCAGTGAAGTGAAAGACATTTGGGAGGTCATGGTTTCACTATCATTCTTCTTATTTTCTTTCAATGATTAAACATTGTATATACTGGAGAGGATGAGCAGCGTCCACATTTGCCCTGTCATGCTCCTCCTCTGTCAGGAAGAGAATGAAGGTCCAGATGAGAATTTAAATGACACTTCTTACTCTAAACATAATGGGAACACATATGGGTTGCTGTGTATTTATTGGAACAACACTGCAGAGCTCACAATACCCTGAGTTCAACATTGTTTACAGGTTTTATTAGACTGAGTATTATAATGGTTAATATTGAGTGTCAACTTGATTGGATTGAAGGGTGCAAAGTATTGTTCCTGGGTGTGTCTGTGAGGGTGTTGCCAAAGGAGAGTAACATTTGAGTCAGTGGACCAGGAGAGGGAGACCCACCCTCAGTCTGGGTGGGCATCACTAATAAGCTGCCAATGCAGCTAGAATAAAGCAGGTAGAAGAAGGTGGAAAGAGCAGACTTGCTGAGTCTTCCGGCCTTCATCTTTCTCCCATGCTGGATGCTTCCTGCCCTTGAACATCAGACTCCAAGTTATTCAGCTTTTGGACTGTTGGACTTACACTAGCGATTTGCCAAGGGCTGTCAGGCCTTCAGCCACAGACTGAAGGTTGCACTGTTGGCTTTCCTACTTTTGAGGTTTTGGGACCTGAACTGGCTTCCTTGCTCCTCAGCTTGTAGATAGCCTATTGTGAAACCTCACCTTGTGATCATGTGAGTCAATACTCCTTAATAAATTCCACTTTATATGTACATCTATCCTGTTAGTTCTGTCCTTCTAGAGAACTCTGACTAATACAAGTATTAAATACTACATACAAACTCCTCTCTGCATTGATAGCTATGCACCCCACAACTGAACCACACACCACAGTTTTGTTTACACTTGATTTGGTTGTTGGGCCATTGCCTGGATGATGTACTGCATTTTTCAAAGTGTGTAACAGTGATCACTTTGCTTGGAATCACCTATGATCATGTTACAAATGGAGACTTTCAGCCCCACCCCCCAGACCTACTGAATCGGAATCTTCAGAGAGTGAGTCTTGGAGCTTTCTTTTAAATAGGGATTGTTACCTGCACTGAAGTCTGAGAATGGGTGAATTTGGGACTCCACTTCGGTAATACAATCCAAAGTGTTTATGGGGACTATGAATTTGCTTCTTATCTGCATTATTTATTCATTTGTTTAACCAGTAACTAATTATTGTGCTCTTTCTGTGTGTTACATACTAGTTCAGATAAGAGGGCACAATACTGAACAAAACACACATGGTCCCTGCCCGTACCAGGGTACTTACATCCTAATGTATCCTACTGTTTCAGAAGATTACCCTGAGGAGTTTGAGCAGCTGCCACCAGAGTGGTGACCAAGCTTTAGGCAGACAGCTTATTAAACATCATGCATATTCAGTAGATCTGGGGTGGATTTTAGGAACCTACAAAATTCACAAACTTTCCATGTAGTTACAACTTGAGAAACCCTATTCTGCAGAGTTAGGGTATAAAATACATAATTTGTTGTATATGTTTAATCTTAAGTTAACATAGTATCTATGTTTTAAATTCAAAAAGGACCAGATATTTTGTATTTGCTCAACAGTTTTCCTTCCAATTGTTCAAGCCACTACTTTTTATGAGTTGTAATTGTAATTACGTATATTTATATATTAACTCATGTATTTAGCAACTGTTGAGCACCTACTGTGTGTCTGGCTCCCTGATGGACACCAGGGAAGCAAAGATTGAAAATATCCATCAGGAGGCTGGGCGCAGTGGCTCACGCCTGTAATCCCAGCACTTTGGGAGGCTGAGGCAGGTGGATCATGAGGTCAGGAGTTCAAGACTAGCCTGGCCAAGAGGGTGAAACCCCATCTCTACTAAAAATACAAAAATTAGCCAGGCGTGGTGGGGGGGTGCCTATAATCCCAGCTACTTGGGAAGCTGAGGCAGAGAATTGCCTGAACCCAGGAGGCAGAGGTTGCAGTGAGCCAAGATTGTGCCGCTGCACTGCAGCCTGAATGACAGAGAGAGACTCCATCTAAAAAGGAAAGAAAGAAAGAAAGAGAGAGAGAGAGAGAGAGAAAGAAGTAAGGAAGGAAGGAAGGGAGAGAAAGAAAGAGAAAGAAAAAGAAAGAAAGAGAAAGAAAGAAAGGAAAAGAAAGAAAAGGAAAAGAAAGAAAAGGAAAGAAAAGAAAGAGAAAAAGAAAAAAAAGAGAAGATCCATCAGGAAACTCACAGTTGCACAGGGAAGGAGGTTGTCAGCAATGCAGCATTTCCTCAAGTGCTGTGATTGTCATGAACTAAAGTGATTCAGAAGCATAGGGGAAAATGACTAGTTGTGCCTGGGGAGTTAGCGATGTGTTCACCAAGGAATGGACATTGAGGCTTCAAATGGAATCTGACCAGGCAGAAAAACACGGAATGATCCTATGTGCCAGGCATTGTGGGAAGTGTTTTGAAGACATAATCTCCTTAATTTTCAAAACATCTTCCGAGGTAAATGCCGTTATTATCACAATTTTATAGAAGAAGAAACTGTAGCCAGAGAGGTTACAGAACTTGCTCCAGGTCACATGTTTTGTAAGTGGCTGAGCTGGGTGTCATACCCAGGCTGTGGGATTCCAGAGCCTGCAGGCTTAGTGGTTCTGCACTGTCCCATCATAGTGGGAACACTATGGAGAAGAGCCCAAAGTCACAAGGGACTCTGCCATGTTCAGGGACCTCAACCAGGCACATGAGTCCACAGGAGAACTTAAGTGAAAGGAGCGGGAGGGTAGGAGCAGAAACATGGTCAGGTCTTGATTCTACAAGACACACGTAAAAACCAGTCTCAAAACGTTACACTTTGATCAAGTTCACTTATGTTTTCAGGAGTCAACACAAGAATTTATTCAGGCTGGCACAAAAACTACTACAGTAGATCACAGTTATTCACAGATTTCATATTTGTGAATTTGCCTGTCCACTAAAATGTATTTGTAACTCCCAAACCCATACTTGCAGCACTTTCACAGTCATTTTTGGATACACATCTTTACAGAGTGGAGAAAGCTTTTAGTGCCCCATTGCACAAGTTCCCAGCTGAGGTTGAACAAAGCCATGCTCCACCTTCTTGTACTCTTATACTGCAAACAAGTGTGCATTCTGCAGTCTATTTAGTGCAACATTTTTCACTTTAAAAAAAATTTTTTTTTTTTGCTTTTTCTTGGTGATTTCACTGTTTAAAATGGCCTCCAGGCATATTGTTAAAGTGCTGGCTGGTGTTCCTAAGAAGATTGCATTAGAGAAAATATACTTATTAGATAAGCTTTGTTCTGACATGAGCTATAGTGCTGTTAGCCATGAGTTCAGTGTTAATGAATGCATGCAATATCTTTATACAGAAACATATATAAAACAAGGTCAGACATTGGTTGACAAAAATATGTTGTGACCAGTGGTTTGTAGGAAATTAACCCTATATTTCCTCTTGGAGTAATAGTTAAATACTTGCTAATTCAGTGTTCATAGTGACTTTATAGAATAAACTACTACAAATAACAAGAATTGGCTGTATTTGAATTTTCAGAAGTGAAAGAGTAATGATAATATCTTTAATATATTGAGCACTTGCTTGAATACTATGCTAACTGTCTTCTTTATGCATATTAAACAATTTTAATTCTTGTCACAACTGTCCAGGAAAGATATTATTATTGCTCTTCCACAGAAGAAGAAACAAAGACACAGAGAGATCAATTACCATCTCAGGATTTTACAGTAATCAACAGAGCCAGAATTTGAAGCACTGATTTCAAAGCCCAGGTGGTTGTATAAACACCTCTTCCATCATAATTCTGGAATTAAAGAAGTCTGCATGTTTGTAAGTATTCATCCCATTACATGTTCCTTTAATCAAAGTCATTTTGAATGAGGATATTACTTGTTGGGTCACTGTTCTTCCCTTCTTCACCTTCTTACTTGCTAGTAAGCTGGTCCTTTGATTTGGGTGTCTGTATTCTTCGGATCCTGATGGGTAAATCTTCAGAACCAATTTTCTTCAGTTTTAAATGTGTAAAGTCTTTCAGGGCAAGGTGAGTAGTTAAAATAAATGACCTTGGACCTCTCTGTACTATTTTTGCAACTTCCTCAAAACTATAACTATTTCAAAAGTAAAAGGTTCTTAAAAATTGTCTTGGCCAGGCATGGTGGTTCATGCCTGTAATCCTAGCACTTTGGGAGGCCGAGGCCAGGAGTTCAAGACCAGCCTGGCCAACATGGTGAAACCCCGTCTCTACTAAAAATACAAAAATTAGCCAGGCATGGTGGCACACGCCTGTAGTCCCAGCTACTCGGGAGACTGAGACAGGAGAATTGCTTGAACCCGGGAGGTGGAGGTTGCAGTGAGGTGAGATCACGCCACTGCACTCCAGCCTGGGTGACAGAGCAAGACTCTGTCTCAAAAAAAAAAAAGTCTTAAAAATTCCTTACAAACCTGAAACGCCATGATTTCCTGAACTTGCTTTATGTTGGTGCTTAGCACAAAATGATATAATTGTGCATATTAAATAAACCCCAGAAGACAGGAGCCGTGAGGGCTAATTCTTTGCCTGTGAAGAAGATCCAAGTTCCAGATGGTGATATCACAAGAAGTCTAGAACTATTTAAAGATATTGCATCAACTCTACATAGATACTATGAGGATACTTTTAGAGAAAGGCCGAGTTGATAAAACAGAAGTAGAAGCCTTCTGTATTGCAGAAGGCTTCAACAGTGTTACCATAGTGGGAATGACTTGCTTTAAAATAGCTTCAACTTTGTGTGATTAACAGAGTGTAACCACCTGTCCAAACATCCAGAGTTATTTTAAGACAAGGTAGTTAGGAGACAATTCAAACACGTTAAATGCTAAAAGCAAAACAAAACAAGAAACCTATGTGAAAATTTCCCTCATTTATATACCCCATAATGAGAATACAAATTTAGAAGCCTAAACTACTAATCTGAAATACAACATGCACAACATGGACACATTTGGGATTTCCTGGCTTTAAGGGCATAAATTTTTAGCCAACTCATTAAAATAACTTTTTGGACTTCTAATTACAGTGTTTAAAACCATAAAAATGTTGTCAGTGAAAAACCAATGCATAAAAATCTAGCCTAAGTAAAGAAAATGGAAATTCAAAACACTTGAGGCTATCCAGACATCCCCCACCTTGATGATTCATGAAACCTAACTGGATAAGTATCGAAGACAATTTTAAGATGTTCTTTTTTAAAATCACAGAGGTAGCAGTGAGTTTGCTACATGAATAGCCATAATATAATGGAATTAACTTCTGGAAACTATTTATCTTAGCAGGAAAGGAAGGTCTTTCTTAAAAGGTATTAAACAACTGACCAAACTTATAAGGCTTCACACATATTTAGTAGGAAGACTCCATTGAATATTGATTTTATAGAGTTTCAATCACATTTGTGTTCTTCCTGCTAAATCTCTAATCAAGTAGACTCAAAAGATTGGAAAAAATTTTATCTATGCCAATGATATCATCCATGTCAAGGATGTTACAATGAAATTTCAAAAGGCACAAGACAAGAAATGTCACCAAGGAAGAGCTAGTTGGCCACTTAAATCCCATGGGGTGACATATTCCCAATTACTTTTACCTTTTCTTACTCATTACATTTTTGTGTATATTTACCAATATGATTTAGTCAAAAGATTTGTATTTTACTTTTCTGTTTGAATCACATTGGCTCTGGAGGTCAAATGCATTTTTTTTTCAAACTTGTAGCATCCATACAACTGACTTTTATTGATCCAAACTTAGCCTTTCCCTGGGAATTATTTGTGAGATGAATCTCAGCATACTGCTAGCATGTTGATGATATTTGAATTTCAGTCCCTTCTCGTGAGGCTTGTCTGATTTAAAGCAGAAGTAGCAAGCGTATACTTGAAGTATTTTAGATTGGGAAACTTTCTTCAAGCAAAGACTAATGAATATGTGTTTCTTCTAAACAGTATTTAGTCTTTGTCCATAGACAAAGCTACTGAAAACTTACTGCAATAAATTGAAAGCTACTTTTGAAAATCAGAAAACCCTAAATTTTTAACATAAAATGTGAGGTGTAACCTTAATAGCAATGAGACCACCTGAAAATAAAAGATTTAGCCATGCTGGCCAAGTATGTTTATGAGTAGGTGATTTGTTTCTGCTGATAAATCAGGAAATCCTGCATTTGTCCGAATGATCGTAGTCACTGCAGCCATGGTTACCAGGCCACACTGGTTGAATTTTCCTTAAATACCATTTCAAGACAACATTATCAGCCTCCAAAATGCTCATGGACTTTTTCTTTGCTCTTTTTTACCATAGACACAACTCACTCATCACGGGATTGTGAGACATCATTTCCGTTTATACTTTCTCATTTTATTAAAGCCGTCATTTCTAGGGAGTCTAATTTCTTTTTGGCACAGCTTAATTTCTTTTGAGACTCTGAGCCTGGCAGTCCCTGATAATTTAACTGCCCAAACTCTATTGATAAGCTTCCCTCCTCTTGCCCTACCCTGCCCTTCCCCTCTAAGCTTCATCCATATGCCCAGTGCCTGCTTTCTGTTTATTGACTGTGTCAAGGTCTTTCCTGTCTGACAGCCTTTGTATTTGCTATTCCCTCACCCACAACACTCTGCTTCAAGATCCTTACCTGGATGAAATCTTGTAATTCACTTCTTAGGAACCAACCATGTCACCTCCCCAAAGAGGTTTCCTCAGTTATCCAGTCAAATGTGGCCAACCTACCATAACCCGTTTACCAAGAAAATTTCTATCAAATCATCCTCCCTAGACTCATTCTTCTTCCCTAGATTTACCATCATCTAAAATAATACTGTGCATTAATTTACTTATTTTTGATGTAGCCCAACTGCACTGTATTGTAGTTTGAAGATGAACCTCAAGCACAAGTTCTCTTGCTGACTTGGAATGACCCAGAAGAAGCCCACAGGTAGGGCCTTCCCCTGTAGAAACCTCAAGGGCTTCACAACGAGAGAGAGCTCTTTCCCCATTCACTGTAATATGAGTATCTATTAATTTTTAAAGAGGTAATTACATATTGTTATAGGCACTTGTTTTATTCCATTTGTGTTGCTATAAAGGAATGCCTGAATCTGGGTAATTTATTAAGAAACAAGGTTTATTTGGCTCACAATTCTGATGGCTGGAAAGTCCAAGATTGGGCATCTGCACATGGTGAGAACCTCAGGCTGTTTCTACTGATGGTGGAGAAAGGGAAAGGGGAGCCGTTGTGTGCAGGGATCACATGGCAAGAGAAGCAGCAGCAAGACAGAGCCCAGAGCACCAGGCTCTTTTTAACAAGGAGCCCTCACTCAGTAACTAATAGAATGAGAACACATTCACTTCCCCAACCCCAGGGCATTCATGCATTCATGAGGGATCCACCCCCACTACCCAAACACCTCCCATTAGGCCCCAACTGCAACACTGAGGATCAAACTTTCACGTGAGATTTGCAGGGGATAAACATCCAGACTATAGCAGCAATAGATATACTGTTGAAAAGTTGTGTGTAAATGTTTGTTTTTTAGAAATCACATTTTCAACTGCATTAAATAGAAAGTGTGCTATTTAAGAAATATTAATGCAAATTCACTTATAAATTGTTTTTCTATTGAATTAAGATTTTCTTTGATTAATAAAAGAACTATTCATTATAAAATATTTAGAAAATATAAACATAAAGAAAAAATATAAATAGCATCTTATCACAGTTAACATCCTGGTACTATTTTCATCTAGCCTTTTATTCTGTGCACATAAACCTGTATATTCATTACAAAAGTGAAGCCCTATAGTGTATGCAATTTAAAATCCTATTTTTTAATTTAATGCTTCATTATATTTTCCTGTGTCATAAAATATTTCCCTAAATAAAATATGTAATAGCTATATGGTACTCCTTCCTTTTTAAATATACCACATCTTATTTAGCCAAGGTTTTATTATTGAACATTTAGATTCTGACTAATTTTGATTATAAATAAAAATGTGATGAATATTACTGTACACATGTATATTCTAAATTATTCCAAATTTAGATCAAATGTTTCACCAGATAGGCCTGTATATCCAAGAAACACAAAACTGATGCTTCCATTAAGGTAAATCTAGATTGGTACTTTTTTTTTTTTTTTTTTTTTTTTTAGACAGTTTTGCTCTTGTTGCCAGGCTGGAGCGCAATGGCGCTATCTCAGCTCGCTGCAACCTCCACCTCCTGGGTCCAAGCGATTCTCCTGCCTCAGCCTCCCGAGTAGCTGGGATTATAGGCATGCGCCACCATGCCTGGCTAATTTTGTATTTTTAGTAGAGACAGGGTGTCTCCATGTTGGTCAGGCTGGTCTTGAACTCCTGACCTCAGGTGATCCGCCCATCTCGGCCTCCCAAAGTGCTGGGATTACAGGAGTCAGCCACCATGCCCTGCCAGATTGGTAATTTTTAAACAAACAGCTAACACCAAAAATCAAGTGGTGACTCCCAGCCAAGTGATTTTACCAGAGACTCACTACTTTTCTTCATTAGTGCATACTGATTTAACAAAATTAGACTGCTTTTACCGGAATGTATCACAGACGGGATCCAAGATGTTTCAGAGATAGGGTAGTCACATGATGTACATTTGTGACACTTCCGTGTTTTTCTACTATTAGATTGAGATGGAGAATTTGATGGTCAAAACTATAGTCTAGGTAAAATCAGCCGCAAGATTAGGGAAGATAAAATAATGATGGAAGGATTCTTCAGGTACTGTGTCCTGGCCTAGTTGGAAGACAGGATCTTTGGCGTCAAACTCAATGGGTTAGTCTTCTGGCTATATTACTTCTATAGGTTCAATCATGGGTAGTTCACCTACATTCTGAGATTGTTGCTAAGGGAAAATGGAGATAAAACCTATTTCACAGGTTTATTTTAAGGATTA
The DNA here is from genome assembly GCF_000001405.40 of Homo sapiens. Lineage (NCBI taxonomy): Eukaryota > Metazoa > Chordata > Mammalia > Primates > Hominidae > Homo > Homo sapiens. The sequence goes on along the minus strand of NC_000013.11, from coordinate 47,138,131 downwards.
AATGTGGTAAACTCCTAAATCAATACTTAGCACACACTAGATGCTCAATAAATGTTAGTTCTCTTCTTCTATCAAAGCAAAGCAATGGGTTATAAACTAACAATCAAATGATCATAACCAAAGTCCCAAGCCATAATCAAATGGACCTGAAGGTCAGAAAGCAGAGCAAGACCAAGGTTTAGGGTATAAACAAACAGTAGTAGACCAGGAAGGAGGCAAACGCTGAAAGAGAAGGGGGAAGGTAGAAAATAAAGAGTAACACACACTGATCTGGAGAAGGTGAGAGCATTGCGAAGGGTAGAGCCAGGCAGGCGGGGCTGAACAGGGAAAAGGTCTAGGGTGACTGAGACAACTCTTAGCATAGAGTGTTATATATTTTCTTTAAGGGCAGCTGCTATTCCAAAAGAGGGAAGGTCTTAAGGGTAAGTCAGAGCACCTGCTTGCGTTAGGAGCCATGGCACTAGCTTCAAGAATGTTAGACAACCTATTCATCAGTGTCTGAAGAGCAGAGCAGGTGCAGAATAGCTGTGCATCAGTTAGGATGTAATCAAGTATAAGTAACAGAACATCTGATTAAAATGACTTAAAACATAAACAAATATTTGTCTACTTAACGAAAAGTCCAAAGGTAGATGTGGTTGGTTTGGAAACTCACTGATGCCATCATGGATGCACTTTCTGTCCTTTAAGAAAGCTGCCTTGTTTTTGCCAGAAATGTCCAGACACATGGTCACAAAATAGCCAGCTGCAGTTCCAAACATCACATGGCAATGTCTCGAGCAGGCATCAAGATGGGTGGTGGGGAGAAAAAAGGCTTTCCCCTTATGTTCTCTCTTATACACTCTGAGAAGTCCTCAAAAGATCTTCAGTTATGTTGCAGTGGCTTTAATTGCACTGTGGTACCACAGCTACTCCTAGAGTGATAACTAGCCAATATCGCTATTCTCCTCTTAAACCAGTCATAATACCTCGCACAGAGCCAGGTATTTAGAAGGGAAAACAAAACTAGAGTTCTCTGAACATGAAAGAAACTGATTCTGGGTATGGGAAAGACCACCAGAAATGTGCCACAGGTTACAAGATAGTAAAGAGAGCACTAGATTTAGGCCAGAGTGCCTGGGCATTGTCCTCGCCTCTTTGTAAATCCACTGCTTGGGCATGTCATTCATTCTTTTGTACAACGGGGACTATAATACACTCACAAGGGTGTATTATTATGTTGTGAGGGTTAAACAAGACAACACATGTGAAAATGCTTTGTAACTTGCATGTGAAAGAGCACAGGTGTGACTCCAGTTGAATGACAGCAAGGCATTCGCTCTCAGCTTATGTCATCTGTAAGACAAGTGAAGGTTCATTCAAGAGGAAAGGCACTCTGTGGTACCATTAATATTATCACAGCTTTTAGAAGCACTGGCAGACAAAGCATTGTAATTGGTAATATACACTAACTAGCAAATTGGGTGGCCTGGAGCTTTTAAAAGCCTACTGAGCCTACCTTAAAGCTATAACATTGAAAATTGTTTACAGTGTATCTGACACAGTGGAAGCCACTTTAAATATTCTGGGAAAGACAGGAAAGTCTGGAGTGAACCCCAGCAGGAAAATAACTTGTCAAAGTCTCAGCAGGAGCAATTTTCAATTTATTCGAACTCTGAGAATTATATGCTTCAGTTACTCCTGGAACAAATCTCCATGCATGAATACACAGATAAATGCAAGGGAGACAAACCGGATGTTTTTGTAACCTGTTCTCTCAAAGGAATCTGCTAACAGCAGTGCGAAGGTGACTGTTACCTGTTTCCCAATAAATCAACCCAGCAACTTGGCAGTGACAGGAGGGAAAACATTCAACAGCCAGAAGACTGCTGTAACCATCTGATCGGACTCAGAGTTTGAAAAAGTGTCTGTTGTTGTGCCCAGGCTTTATTGATTTCTTTTTTGCAGTATCATGGCCTCCTGGAAATTGTTTTGTGAATTATTTACATGTGGGATTGAGAATTGGAAGTTTTCGGGTCAAGATGGTTGGGTAATGACAGAGGGTCTTCAAGCTGCCAGAACCTCCCTTTCTAGAGTGTAGAGGAAGGAGCATAATTGGGTACCATGTTGATCCCAGTAACCTTGTCCCTGCCCAGGGCAATGGGCAGATGGAGGAAAAGACTCAGAGGGCTGGACCAGTCTGTCCCTTCTGCTAATCACCTCTAGGCCTCAAGCTATCCCCCTGGTTCTCCTACCTCTGTACAATCATGTATTTTCACCCAGCTAAATGTCACAACCCATGAGTAACTTAACATTATCACCTTTCTCTTCTGGTCATTATATCTCTTCTACAATTACTGCTTTCCCTTTCTGAATCCACTTTTATAATAGCCTCCCCTGGAGATGCTGCAATTTGGAGGCCAAGAGGACACCATTGCTGCTCAATTCGCTATTATTTATACCATATATGTGCTAGAAATGGGATAGGAGGTAGGAAAGATAAGTGAATATATTGAAAGAGGGTGTAGGAGAACAAGAGTGAAGGTGGAGAAAGAAATAGATGTGAAAGCAGGAGATTAGTTCAGGTCAGCTCAGCCAATATTTTAGAGTTCCTTGTAGGTGCAGATGCTCCACAAAGTTTTGGGATTTAAACAATGAATATAAAGTTGGGAAGTATGATGTTCTAATGAGAGTGTCAGGCACATTCATAGACTTTTATTTTAAAGTGTGGTAAGTGAAAAGAGATATATACACTTGGGGTGACATGGGAGAGACGGTGCCTAAGTCTCAAAGGAGGAATAAAATGAGTAAAAGTGGGAACAGTGTTTCAGGCAGAAGAACAGATGAAAGGAAAGACAAGAGGGAAGAAATGAGGTAACGCAGGAACAAGATTCATAAAGCAAAAGAATTTTCTGTGCTCAGAATCGCAGAATGACTAAAATCACGCTAAAAATTTATATTTCAAAATAACACCTAGTTTACGTACATTACCTCATCTAGTTCTTGTGGCAGGCCTATGAAAGATAGGTACTGTTTTTGGTTTTGTTTTGGGTGTTTGTTTGTTTTTTGAGACGGAGTTTCACTCTTGTTGCCTAGGCTGGAGTGCAGTAGAGCGATCTCGGCTCACTTCAACTTCTGCCTCCTGGGTTCAAGTGATTCTCCTGCCTCAGCCTCCTGAGTAGCTGGGATTTCAGGCATCTGTTACCACGCCCAGCTAATTTTTGTATTTTTAGTAGAGATGGGATTTCACCATGTTGGCCAGGCTGGTCTCGAACTCCTGGCCTCAAGTGATCCACCCACATCAGCTTCCCAAAGTTCTGAGATTACAGACGTGAACCACCATGACTGGCTAGGTGCTATTATCCACATTTTACACTGGATAAAACTGGGGTACAGAGAAATTATTTCAACAAGGAAGGACCAGGTCCAGCAGAGTCTTCTGGTTTTATCTTCAGGGCCCTCTACTGTGCATAACATCTGCTTTTTAACAGAATTTTAGACCAGTCAAGAGAAGAGGAATCTTTAGGTACCATATAATCCAGTGACTTCAAAATTTTGAGCATGACCAGAAGAAAAATTACTTTTTCATTTCAATCTAGTATCCCTAAAACATATACGTAAAAGTAGCACTGAAAAGTAGCACTAAACAATACTTAGAATATATGATGCTCTCTGGTATTTTTTGCTCTATTCTGTTTCAATTCATTTAAATAAAAAATGCCAGCCACTACCACTAAATTAATTTTAGCCCCAGTAGACACTTGAGAAATTGGTTGTATTCTCAGTTAGAGATGCTGAAACTGCATACCTAAGGAAGGAAGGGTGCTGCTCTACATCATCCTACATAGTGATAAGGTCCATTCAGCACTAATTTTTCTCCTGCATATTCCAAGTATTTTACCCATCCTACCTTAGCTCATCCAGTGCCAACAACCACATGAAGGAAGCTCATTCTTGCCATCTCACGAGTGCAGGAGCTAAGGTACAGAAAGATTAAGCAGCAGGTTCATCCATGTTGCACAGCCAGTTGCAGGAACTACTGATCCCCAGGCCGAGAAAAACCTTGTTCAGGTACCTATTAATTTTGATGTGTAGCTCTCTTACGTGTGCATTGAAATTATTAGACTCTTCTCAGTTTTGTTCCCCCAGAACCTTTATAGCTTCAAAGCCACACTTGGGGATCTGGCTGAGACAATGCATTTAAATACCTCAAGAACTCTGTATTGATTTAAAGAAATCCAAAGATTTCAGGATTGCTAAATTTTGGAAATTATATCAGAATAACTCTACATTTGCTAGTATTGCTTTGATCCCATCAATTCTTTTCTGTTTCTGCAGAGCCAGAACAGCCTCTTAATATGCAGAAAATTGCAACTGCTTTACTAGTGGAAAAGGCTATAGGCTTCTATTAACTTACAAAGAACAGACAATTTTTGTGAATAGTAAAATCTACCAAGTTGACAGATGATTACCGGGGAATTTTAATGCATATCATAGGGTACATTTTTCGTGTTAAAATCCTGCTATTTCATTATCTCTAAATATTTGACCTTCTTGACAGTAATTTTCCAATAATTTAATTGCTATGTTCACACCCTCAAAAGAAAGTACAAATGTTTACCAGGGTCTGCTCATTTAGAATCAAGCTAGCCCTGAGTGGCAATGTCAGAGTTCAGAATAACATTTTTTAAAGAGAACTGGACTTTAAAAGGGGAAATATAACTTTAAGCAGTTAAAGTAGAACTGAGAGGATTCAGGAATGCAATTCAATATATGGTTTAATGAAATCTCACTGACAGAGAATCAATCTTTAGAAAAAAAAGCCTTGGCTTTCCTCCAAAGCTAGAAAAATGTATGAGACAACATTAAGAGATTCCAGAAAACAGAGAAAGGTTTTGAAAATATGGCATGAATTAAGCACAATCCTGCTTGCTCTTTTAACTTGTTCCTTTTTCCTGGGAGTCACTTAGACAATCTAGGCAATGATTGATTGTTCTCATTTGCTGTTACTTTTCAAGCTTAATAAACTGCCATAAAACTCGAGTCCTTAAGTGCTGTCACTTGAATAAGTAGTAAGGTTTTTCCACCCCACAATCCAAGAAATGACTTCACCATCCTTAAGACAGAAGTCAGGAATCCTTGTTGAAAATATTTTGCAAAAGGATCAGAAGAGGTATTTTTTCACCTGGGTTCTGATCCTGGCTCACTACTAAAAAACCACGTGCCTTGGATACATCACTTCCCCTCTTAGGGCCCATTTCCTGAACTAGGAAGTCAGAGGACCAGGCAGATAATCTGAGCCACCTTCCAGCTGTGACTTGAGGTCTCCTTTTCTCTTGCTCCTTTAACTCCTTTGACCCCTTCTTCCCAAAGCACTGGCTTACTCAGGTCCCTGAATATGAAATTAATATTTTCTTCCTTATATCTAAGTGCTTCTTACCCTTTCTGAGGGGAAATTCTACCTCTCTCATACTCAAGATTCCAGCAGCTGAATCAGCCTTCTTGGGTTTCTCTGAGAAAAGCAGGTTTGAATAAAATGCTCTCAACTGTTAGTCAATCAAAGGCTTCAAGACAGACTCTTGGATTTCCAAGGACATATTTTCTGGGATCTTCAAGTTCCCTGGTACACAAAATGCAACTCCACTCCTCAGGTCTCAACCCAGTTTTACTTCCAAACCTTTTTTATTTTGTTTAATACGTACCCTGGCTTTCACTTTTTTCTGTCAGTTGTACTTATTTTTCCATCTGAGTTCTCCTCAGGAGTGTATCTCATTTATCACAATTGACGGACAGCTCTCCTAGGCCAGAATCATGCCCCACACATCACATGCCTCTATCGTGCCCAGCATAGCAAACCTCACTGAGGGAGGCACCAAACGTTACTGGCTGAGCTTTCTGTCAAAGGCAATTTGTATATGGACAACAATTTTATAATAAATACACACATACATACATAAAAACAAAACTTGTAACTGGTCAAAATTTAAAAGAAAACTGGAATAGATGAAGGAAAGTTGAGGTGGCAGGTAGAATTAATGATGTTCCCAAATATTGTTATTTCTTTATACATAATATAACTCAGAATTATATTCAAAAGGCAAAGTCATTTGTAACAGCATGAATGAACCTGGAGAACATTATGTTAAGTGAAATAAGTCAGCTACAGAAAGGTAAATGCCACAATTTCTCATGCGTGGAATCTAAAGAAGTCGAACTCACAGAAGCAGAGAGTAGAATAGATGTTGCCATGGGTAGGTAAGAGCGTTGGAAGATGTTGGTCAAAAGATACGAAGTTTCAGTTGGATAGGAGAAATAAGTTCAAGAGCTCTATTGTACAACATGGTGACTATAGTTAATAACAGTGAATTGTACACTTGAAAATTGCTAAGAGAGTAGATTTTAAGTTTTCTCACCACACACAAACAAAATGGTAAGTATATGAGGTTATGCATATAGTAAATAGCCTGATGTAACCATTCCACAATGTATGCATATTTCAAAACATTATGTTGTATGTGATAAATATATTCAATCTTTGTCAATTAAAAATAAAAAGTAAAAATAAAAGGACTAAGAATTTGAAAAGAGCAAAAGACAAAGTAAATTCTAATAATTTGATAGAGATTTATGATCCAGTAATGGACACACACATATACACACACACATTCACAGCTACATATATCTGTGTGTATAGTATATATACATTTTATATATTATATATATACACACACAAGTATATGTACAAGATAGATATACAAGTATATGTACAAGGTATGTATACATATGATATATATATACACACACATACATACCTTGTACATATACTTTATATGTGTGCATATGTGTATACACATATAAAGTATATGTACAAGATATGTATGTATACATGTTATATATACATACAAACATACATACCTTGTACATACACTTTTATATGTGTACACATATGCACACTTGTGCTATTTACGTAGAAAAAGAACAATTTCACTCGATTTTCTCCTGTGAAATTTTCAAAAATCCTCTAAGAGGGAAAATCTCAGTTTACAGACATGATATCATTATGGCAGGCTGATTTATTGCACTATTAAATTGTGCTTTTCCTTCCTATAAATTTCCTTCTCCATTCACTTCACTTTCTTGCCTCAGGAATCATGGCTCCCTAAAGGGGAACAGAGAGAATGTGCCTTTGAAAAACAACAAGGATGAGAGGGGAGATTCTTTCAACCTGGGAAAGAGAGAGACCTCTGTGAGGTTCTGAGAAGGAAGGGTTTTCTATTATTTGGAAACTTCCCCTGTAGGGAAGTGACAAAACCCAAAAAGCCATAATACTGTGTTCCGCTTCCTGGGGCCAGCCTTGCCAGAGATTCTTGAAGTCCACAGATGGTACAGAAACCACAGCATCTGGAGACAGGAGGTGTCCGTGTAGCCCAGGACAGAGGATGTCCCAAGGTAGACTGATGCCTCTGCCCCGAGGGGGTCCTCTAGTGCTTTGGACAGATACAACCTAGGCACCCTAGGCCTTCCATCCCAGGGGGCAAGGAACCCAATAATGAAAGTTTTGAACTTTCTACCAGTAAGAGGAATAGGGAGTCTTTACAGAAAATAAACAAATGCAGTGCTTCTTGCTCACCTGGGTTTTCAGGCTCCAATTCTTTTCTACTGCTTTCCATATGCAATATGTGCCACATAAAAGTGTTAGTATTTTCTTCAATATCCAGTTTGTAGACAATAAATTGTATTAGGTTAGTTTTTGAGAGAGGAGATGGGATATAGGGTAAGAAGATATTCTACATCTGGTGAGTATTCTGTATAACCAGAAGGATTTCTAGATGAAAACTCAAGTAAGTCTCATCTTTTTATTTACATAAGACATTGCAACGCTGCCAACAAAGCAGCTATCTCAAATTCAAATTAGAAAATCGTCCTGGGAGTCCCTGTCACCAGGTATTATATTCGCAGTATTAAGCAACTCACAGCAGGACTGCCTTTGGAGAATGGTCACCTTGCACATGTCAGCCAAAACAAAAACAAAACCCGAACCCTGCTTGTCAGTGATGTATGGCCAAAAGGCTGGAGGTATTCCCATGATGCCCCAAGAGTCTGGTTCCCTTGGTTTTTATTTTGGCCACACTGCCTTCTAATAGGGTCCTGGTGACCTGAAACACTGTTGCCCATCACCCTTCCCTGACCTCTACAGAGTCCTCATACACTTATCTTTGCTCTAGACTTCTTTCTTGCCCCAACACAAGTTTTCAGCTGAGCTAAATAAATAGAGAAAACAAAGGCTCTGAGGTCAAAAGGACCTATATTTGAATCTTGTGTGTGTCCTTTATTTACTATAATTTGGTCTAAGTCACTTAACATCTCTAAACCACTCATCTGTAAAATAGAAATAATAATTCCTGCCTACTTGCTATAAATAATTGTGCTGAGGAGCAAATGAGGTAATGCATGAAAAAGTTTTATAATTGCCAACATGTGCTAAAAATGTAAACCATTCTTACAACTTGACTTACAAACTAAGCGTACTTCTCTCCATCATTTGTCCCTGAGGAAAAGATCGAATAAATAATTTTATACTTAATGTATTGTGCTACAGGGGCACTTGTGCTTTAATAGAGAAACATGCCTGATACAAAATAAAGCATCTTTAAGTATTTCAGGATGCTGGTTGGGTATTTTTGGATGGTGGTTTTCCTTTTTCCTTGTGCCTCTGTTATCAGCACATACACATAACACATGTGGCCAGTATTTCTCTTACCTCCACAAACAACCTCACTCCTAATTTCTGATCATTGCTTGTGTAGCAATAATAATGGCAGAAAGAAGGCTGGCTTCATAGCATTTATGCAGAACAGGACAGCCCTTGCCGATTCCTGTGGGTCAAGTCATAAAGTTTTGATGACTGCCAATTTGAACACATAAAATACTGGAAATAAGTTTTAACACTTCCTCAAGACGGGGTGCCTGATCCCCTTCCTAGAATTTAAACTGGAAGTTGGCTCCAGCTATCTGTTAAATGGCCACAGAAGTTCCCTTGTTGATTCCTAAGGGCCAGTGATAATATCAAGGCTATTTCTCTTCCCTGAGGGGAAGCTGGGAGACTGCAATTTCCTACTGAGGAAAGGAGTAGATGTGCAGTGTCAGCCCAGGGAAAGTGTGCAAAGAAAGGAGAGGCAGTGCTTGGCATATATGGAGGTAAAAAAGGCCCCCAAAGTTTTATGGATCTTCATGATAATAAGTCTGCCAGGAATTCAAGCTTTATGTGTTTTAAGGACCTCTTATTATCTTAGCATAGACTTGAGTCCCAATATTTTGTATAAACTCTCTCTCTCCCTCTCTCTCACATACACGCATACACGCATGAGACACACACACACACACGTGCAAACAAACATATTATTTGGAGTGGTTGTTGTGTTCCTATTTTGAAGTCCTGGAAGATGGTGTTTAGCCACCTGCCTACTAATTCGCCTGTCTTCTTATATTCCAATTTTCAGTAATCTTTGGCTAAATGTAAATTTTATTAGGACATCGAATCTGAGCTGCATCCAGCAGCAGCTGCCTGAGATGCCCACTAGGCAGGAGCAGAGGTGCAGAGCTTGCCAAATGAGAGGGTCAGCAGTAGTGACCCATCCACAGGTCCATTGGCCTACGTGGTAATCCTGCTGTCCAGAAACGGAAATGATGGAGCTGGAGTAGACAACTGACCATCAGAATCAGGGGCTGGGCAGGGGCTGGGAGATACATGAAGTCTGGCCAGAAGGAGGACAGCAGTACAGATAGGCGGTGTGGGAGACTCAGTCTATGAATGTGATACACCCAACAGGGTACCTTTGGGCAGGCTTAACCAGATATGACACTTTGCTTGTGCTACTACTCTCAACTTGCTTTCAACATTTATCCCAATTAGTAAATACCCACAGGCAGATTTGTTCATTATTTAATGTAATATCTTTTGAAATATAGGCTTGGCTAATCTATATGTCCTAATTTCTAAGAATATAAACCCAGCATTGGTCAAAGATCCAATTAAGATTATTCCAATCAACAGAAAACAAGTATCAGAGTCTTCACATGAGTTTCTAACATTAGAGAGAGGTGTAAGAAGTATGTTGCTTTCCCTTGTGAATTGAGGCTAGTAAATGACTGCACTTAAAGGAGGAAAAAGGAAAAAATAAATTCAATCCATATCTCGTTTGTATACTAAAATCAACACCAAATGAACCACAGACTCCAGATCTAAAATTATAAAACTTTTAGAAGAAAACATAAGATAATTTTTTTTTTTACCTTGGCTTAGGCAAAGATTTCTTAGATACAACACCAAAAGCACACTATTTAAATTAAAAAATTGAAAACCTGGACTTCATAAAAATTAAAAACCTCTGTTCTTTTCAAGGCTCTGTTCAGAGAATGAAAAGATAAACTACATACTGGGAGAAAATATTTGTAACCACACATTTGTAAAAGGACTTGTATTCAGAAAATAAAGAGAACTTTCAAAACTCAGTAATAACAGACAACCCAAATGCAAAATGGACAAATGATTTGCAAAGACAATTCACTCAAGAATATATTAATGTATCAGTGACAAAAAAAGCAGAGGTTCCATGTCTTTAACCATTAGGGAAATTCAAGTGAAAACCACAATAAGATAATATTATGTACTTCCTAGAATGAGCAAAAACAGCCAGACCCATCACCCCCCCCCCCAAAAAATGCACAGTAAATAATTCTATTTATACAAATTCTAGAAAATGCAAGATAATCCAGAGTGGCAGAGAGTAGATTGCTTGACGCCTTTGGATGGGGGTGGGTAGGAGAGTTGGGCATGAGGCATTTTGTGGGATATGTTCATTTTCTTGATTATGGTGATGATTTGCTAGCCTCAATGTATCTGCCAAAACATTTGAAATTGTACATACTTACATACGATAAACATGTGGACTTTATTGTATGTTTATTATACTCGAAGCTGTTTAAAAAGACAAAATACCGAAAAAAGAGTGGCAGTTTTTTCATTGTCAGTTTTATAAAACACGTTAAAACTGGGATTCTCAAGACAAATAGGCTTAAGATATAATACAAAACACATGTAAGTCTGTAGGGCTGGCAATGTCTGGAATTTTGTAACTCAGTTTCCCATCTTGTAGATCATGAAATGCCGAATAAGGACTTCTAAATAGACAAATTTCCTTGATATTGACTCTCTAATCATCCGTGTTGTTATGATTATGGAAGCTGGGTGAGTGGGAAGATAGATCTGAGACTCTACTATACTATGGTTGAAAGCTGCTCAGTGTGTGTGTGTGTGTGTGTGTGTGTGTGTGTGTGTGTGTGTGTATGACAGAGAGAGAGAGAGGCAGAGACAGAGAGAGAAAGCAAGTTTTCTTCTCTGATTCCTACAGGGAAGGAGCCAGAACCTTTGCCCATATGATGTCAAGAGGTAATGTCAGGAGGATGATGAAATTGGTCAAATGTGCTGTGGTTCTGCAGGCCTGACCTGTGTACACTAGTTAGATTTAAATGGGCCACAGCTCCCAGAAGAGAGGTCCTTCTGGTATGTACTGCTACCATCTGATGGCCTCTCAAAGCACAGAGCCTGGGAAGCTGGCAGGAGTCTTACTGCCTTCTGCTACTATCCTTGATTGACCACGTGGAATAGACATAGCGTCTACCAAAGGATCCTATTTTCCTTTGATGGAAATTGTGCTATTATTCCTTCCATTGACTTCAAAATTATGTTTGATATTACTGCATGAATAGATAGACAAACTCTGCAGCTATGAAGATAAACAAGATTTTCCTGAGTAGAGTGTTTGGGGGTTTTAAAAGACCAAAATCACCAAATATTCTCTCACATTTTTCTATAACTTCAACTGTGGAACAAAGATCATATAGGCAGTGTGTTTATTTATGCTCACTGGATTATTTCTATAAACTTGTGAACAATTTTGTTGTGGTTGCAGCTCCATTGTACCATTCAGGGAAATGAAATATAACTCTATTTACCCAAATTGCCTACTCATCCAATTTTTAACAACTCTTTCTTGCTGGCTTCCTCTAAATCCTTCTACCCAGAAGCGCCTTAGAAGAATTTTGCTTCCATACATTTATTTTTTTTGAAAATTCTATTAAAGAAAATATTTAAATACAGATAACATTAAATGAAACCATCAATTCTTCCCTTTATTTCTAGCTATGATTGTCAACATTCACTCATGTTTTGAAAATCAGGTGTAAAATTGGCCTATGAAGAAGGCCTGCCTTCCATTAAAATGCCTCTTTTATCAATCCTGAAGCCATATACCAAGAGCTGACTAAACACATCATAAAGGCTGTTAATTGCTGTAGGAAAGTTGCTCTGTCATTTGTAAAGCTTTCTTTTATTAGCCCCAGATTTCTCTTTAGTGAAACTCAGGTCACTGTCTTACAGCAGCCTTGTGACAAATAAAACCAAAAAGAGCATCAGTCAGCTACACAGATGGCACAAAGTGTACATCATTGCGTATGCAGTACTGCTCCAGCTGCTGACACTGAGGACACATGACTTTTGGCTTTGAAAAGCTGTAATCTAGAAGGAAAGCAAGGAAAAAGTAAATAAGTGTACATAGGATATAGACGGTGGCACTAAAGTCAAGGGCAGCAGTTTCATGACCAGATTCCTTCAGTTCATATTACAAATCTACCACTTCCAAGCTAAGTGACCTTGGTTAAGTTACTTCAAGCCTCTGTGCCTCTGTTTCCCTCAATGTAAAATAAGAATATTATTATCTAATTTAAAGGATAGTTGCGATGATCAGATCAATGAAGGCATATAAATGCTTAGAACAATGTCTAGCAAGTTGTCCTTGGTAAATGTAAGCTATTATTACACTTCTTATCAAGACAGAACAACCAATACAGTGTTGAGTAAGGCCTGATTTGTTTTTTTCATATGTGGCGGGGAGGGGGTTCTAAAATGTATTTGATCTAAGGTCTCACACCTTCCATGATCAGGCTCTTAGCTATCTTTGCAGCCTATCTTCAGCCACATTTTGCTGATACGTTGCATTCTATTTCCATTCAATTACTTGTTATGCTCTAACCCACCATTTTTTCTCCAAGGAAGGTGTTTCCTATAGAAACTCAAAAGGAAGAAAACATGGACAGTGCCATGCAATGACACAGAGAGGTGTGTGAGCTCATGAAATAGAGAGGCTATCAGGTTGTTGCACACATGGCCCAACAGGGTGGCCTTCAGTCCTTAGGGAATTCACTGCAGGCACTTCTCATTTAGAAGCCTGATTTTGTTATCCCACTGCAAGTGGATACCTCGCTGGTGGTCAAATTTACAAACTTAATGTAGTGGGCTAAATAGTGGCCCCAAATATATGGAGTTTTATCCTTGGAACCTATAAATGTTACCTCATTTGGGGAAAAACAGTGTTTTTACAGATTTGTTTTTATCTTATGATGGGGAGATTGTCCTGAATTATCTGGGTGGGCCCTTAACATCATCACAAGAGTCCCTATAAGTTAAAGGATGAGGTAGGTATATTTCACACAGAAACATACACATACACACACACACACACACACACACACACACACACTGAAAAGGCAGTGTGATCATGCAGGCAAAGTCTGGAGTGATGCAACCACAAGCCAAGGAATGCTTTCAGTCACCAGAAGCTGGAAGAGTCAAGAAATAGATCTTCCCGTATTGCCTCTGGAGAAAACATGCTCCTGCCAACATCTTGGTTTCAGCTCAGCTCATCTGGACCGTGGCCTCCAGAACTGTGAGAAAGTTTTTCTTGTATTAAGCCACCAAGTGTGTAGTAATTTGTTACTGTGGCTACGGGAAACTAGGTAAGTTTGCACTTACCAAAGTCACAAAACTGATGTACAAAAGCAGAATGTTGATTCTTAACAAGGATGATGATTTTTAAAAGAAGGTTGACTTTTAACTGTCTTAGGGACCTGAACACCCAAATCCCATACCAGAGGACATTCACTCCAGCGAGGCACATACCTGTGGAAATCCCAACACTCATCAGAAGTTTTCCCAGTGAGCACACAATCAGATGAATGGCAAGTCAAAGGCTGAGATAGCCTATGAGTGCTGCCCCAACGTGAACGTGCACTTGCAAACGGATGTGAGATGTGTGAAGTTCTTTAGTGGCACCCTCCTATCTCCCATGAGCACTGACAAGCACTCACCCTACTCCCTCTTTCCTCTGTCTTTGTGACTCAAAAATCCCCCACTGGATAAGCACACAATATTTCTTTAGATAAATTAAGAAATTTAATCAGGTTAGAAATAAAGACTGTCCTCAGGCCTGGAAGCCATCTGTTTGAGTTAAAAGATGGTTTTTGCGTTTGAAGTTTAAATCTCCAAAAAGATGGTTTTTGCATTTGAGTTAAAAGATGGTTTTTATATTTGAAGCCAGCTCATGTTCTTTTTTTCCAAGTTCTTGAGACCCACTCACAACATTGCCTCCTTCAGCTCTCTCTGTGGACATCTTCTCCAGCTGTGCCTTCTTCCCAACCTTATCCTCATTTATGGTTTCAACTCTACACTGAAATATCTATTTCCCAGCACAGAGCTCTCTCCTGACTTACCGATGTCATGCAGGGATGCAGAGAAGTATGTGTGCTCACAAGGGAGACCACATACCAGGTCATCCCCATGTGGCCCCACAGGGTGGGCTTCAGTTCTTAGTAAATCCCCCACAGTCAATTACCTGTGCTCAGCTCCACTGTGGATGTCCCATTAGTGCTTCAGACCCAAATTGAATTAATGCTCTCCATTTGTCCCTACTCCCAGAAATAAGATGTGAGAGAAGAACAATTTGTTATTCTTCCTGTATTTCTTAATTCATGGCAAGGCAGCAGTCCAATAGCCAACCATACCCTTTACATCTCCACCCAATGTTTCATATATATATATATATGATTTATTATGGTATATGATTGGGTCAAACATATGTATATATGTTTGACATTGGGTGGAGATGTATATATATCACAATATGTACATATGTACATATGTTTGACCCAATCACATACCATACTATATACATATATACATATATACTATATATGTATATATGTATACAATATGTACATATGTATATATGTATACATGTATACATGTATATATGTACATATGTACATGTTTGACCCAATCACATACCATACTATATACATATATATATTCTCTTTCATACATATATGAGATATATATAATATATATTTATATATATTATATATATATACTCTTCTTCCTCACACACTCATGGATGCATCCATTGCTGGGATCCTCATCAACTCTTGCTTAGATCTCTTTGCCTACAGATGCAACCACCTCTCAAATATTTTCTGCACTGCCTCCTTCTAAATCATGAATCTTTATTACATCATCCTCCAGTTTAAAATCCATCAATAATCCCCATTGCATTCAGGATAAAATCAAAATCCTTACCATTTAAAAAAAAAAAAAAGAAAAAAAGGAGCCGTTGACGTTCTTTCTCTTGCTGAACTGTCTTCATCTTTCATTACTGCTCCTCAGACCCAGTCTAATACTCGCCTGTGCACACTTACCTCACATTTCATTCCTGAAGTGTGGCTCTTGCTCTCATTTCTGAGCTTCTGCACATGCGGCTCTCTCTTCTTAGAGCCCTCCCACCTTAGGCTTGCCCACATCACCTAGTAAATTGTTTATCCTTTAAAGGAGCTTGCTTTTGTATTATCAAGAAAACATTCTGTAATTCAACAACTATTTATTGAGTGAGTTCTCATGGCCACAGTTCCTGCACAATCATCTATCAAAGTTTTTATTTCAGTGCATTTCATAGTGCGCTTCCACAACTAGAAACAAATCTTGAGATCAGGAACTGTTATGACTCACTTTTTATAGTTTTCTACCCAATAGAATGATTAGGTGAAACATACATCGTGAAGGAATGAGTGAGTGGATGGATGAATGAATGAATGAGTGAAAAGGGTGTGAGTACTTGAGAATACTTAATGTGCTAATTTAATATCTTTGGTTCCAAAAAGCTACATGCCCTTTAATAAAAAATATACTTTATTAAAAACCTAAAAGAGCTCACTTTTAAGGCTAGAAATTCTGCATCAGGAAGAGGCCTATAAAAGAGAAATTTTGGAGGGCAGGGGACAGAAATATTTTCCCAGAGCACAACATGTGAGGCAACTGCACACTCCAGCAATGGTTCTGAGCACCACCGTGATACCTATGTATGTATGCATGTCACTAACATAAAAACCTCCAGCTTCATCCCAAGACTGACTGATCAACTTGCTTATTTACGTTACTGCTCCCCAATGCATCTTGGACACTCTGAACCAGGATACTTCCCCAGATGTTCTGGGCATTTCCACCTAATTACATGAATTTCCTCTGCTTAAAATGCCCTCCCCCATCCTTGTCTGCTCAGCCAGGTTCTTCAATGTAGTGGAGAAACTTGAGTTTTGGGAATTGGGATTTGGGTGACCTGGCTTCAAACTCCTGCTAATTACTCACTTACTGTGTCACCCCAGCCAAATTACATCTCTGAACTGCAGTTTCCTTATCTGTGACACCCAGCTAATCTCATGTAGTTTATGGGATAGCCATACAGAGTCAATGAGATGACAGGGATTTACCATAGAAGTGAGGAACTCAAGCTCTGCCTTTGAAGGGAGGTTCTTAAGGAAGAATTCAAGTATTTCTGTCCAAGAAAGGTAAAATCAACAGAACACAGAGGAAAAACAAATGGCATTTGAAACAAAAGTTGATGTTGCACAGATGAAAGGTGTGTCTCTCTCTGCCCTTCACTGTAAGAGTTTAGGATTTCCTTTCACAGGAAAGATTTTAGAATGTCTCAGTGATCCAGGTGGCAATTGAGGCTATGCCTCAGGCAAGAAAGTCACTTCCTGCTTCTGAAAATAATAGAAATGAGTTTTAGTTCTACAACTGTGATCCTGAGATGGCGAGCTGAGAAAACACTCCCCTCTACCCCTTGAGAATTGTGGATGAAACAAAAGAATTTTTTGTTTCAGATAGAAACAAAATCATGGTGTGATTTCAGGGCTTTGGGAAAATTTTTGTTACAGATAGAAATACGAATTTCTTAGGTCACAGGATTCCAGTCTGTATTATTTATTTTGCTTCTTTCTAGCTGTTTGTTCTAGGAAACTTCCAAGCAGTTGCTAAATCTACAATCAGATAACTATGCTAAGTGTATCTGTGCACTTTACTTCAAACTTTTTTTAGGTGTGCTGGGGGCGAGCAAAAATGGGGGGGAGTCTGGGTACCCAAAATTCATGAAATCAACAGCATGAGGAGACTTGTTCCAAATGCTGGGACAAGGGTGTTCACATCTGACAAAGGCCTTATACTGTGCCTCGTATCCAAGAGGTATTAAAACAATGATTGCTGTGTTCATCTTAATCATGAGATAATCTTCCTCCTATCATTTTTAAGCCAATGAACCAAATGGAATTTCAACCCATATTGTTATACGACCATTAACTATGCAAGACGCTCTCCCTCAGCCTTTGCTTCCCACCTCCTTGCCTGCCTCTCCTGCCTTCTAGAACATTTTCTACCATCTCTTCTTGTTTCTCACACCTCCCTCCCCTTGCAGCTTCCCCGCACACCCACACCCTGCAGCCTCCGCCCCAGCTGGCTGCTTGCCATGGAAAAGGCTCAGCAGACCACCAGCTACCTCCCAATTGCTGCCTCCGCCATCACCCACAAGAAAACAGCTCTCAAAATACCCAATGAAAGTGCTGCTGGCTCTTGGAGTTTGCCTCAAATGTTACTGCTTCTAAAAGTTCAAAATAAACACTTTTAAAAGCCCCTTAATTCTGAAAATATCAGGCCTGAGATCACTCCTTTTCATTTGCATTCTAATGGACTCTAAAATGCTTCATGAAAATAACTTGGAGACTAATGGTCATGGATATTGATTTTTTTCAGGAGGGAGGGAGCATTAAATACGAATTTCAGCATAATTAATTGTAGCTGAACAGAGATGTAAGCCAGTTTGCAACACTAAATATACAGAAAGCTGAAGAGGTAGTGCACTAGGAAAAGTCATCCGTCATGGCAAAGAAAGAGCATTGTAGTCATACTTCTCATGACTGGTTCCTCTCACTGGGCTTCTTCAACCCATTTCAGTAAACACACATCATGAATAATGCATGTTATGGAAAGTAGCAGATAGGTCTTGAGAAAAGAAGTGTTTTTGTGAAACTTCTAATTAAAACTTACCTTGCAGCATTATTGCATCTTTATGTGTATCTAACTCCTTAATGCTATTTTATCCATCTAGGCCCCTAAATACCTGTGGTTAAATTCATCTGCATTAGATCTCTGCATTCTACTTCCTTACATTCTGATGGATTTTATCTCTGTTAGCATCTTTCAGCACCATTAAAGGGACATGAATACATTTTGTGCTGCTCCTTGATTGTACTTTCACTTGACTGTCATTAGAAAACTCATACTTCACATGTCCAGAACCAAAACTCTGACCTCCTTTCACTAAAACCAAACAAGACCCACCAACTACAGTCTTTCTCATTTCAGTGAATGGGAAAGTACTCATTGCATTTCAAGTATTTCAATTCAAACACCTTACAGTCATCCCTGACACCTCCCTTTCTCTCATCCTCCACATCCAATCTATCAGAAAATCTTCTCTGATGTTTGTTCTATGAGACTTCTAGGCAGTAGCTAAATCTGTCACCTCTACCTTCACAATAATCTCCACTTCTCACTAATCAAGTGCTACTGCTCTGGTTAGGAACACCATCACCTCTGGCCTGTATATATGACCTCAGTATTGCACCTTTGCTCCTTGACAGTGTATCCCTACACAGCATCCACAACTATCCTTTTAAAATGGAAATCAGATCATGTCCTGCCTTCGCTCAAAACTCTGCAACACCTTCCATCTCACCCAGGGTAAAAGCCAAAGTCCTTACAATTTCCTATGGAGTAGTTTGCTAGGGCCACAGTAACAAAGAACCACACAAACTGGGTGGCTTAAATAACAGAAATGTATTGTCTTGCAGTTCTAGAGGCCAAAAGACCAAGATCAACATGTCAGCAGGATTGCTGCTTTCTAAGGGTTGTGAGGGGGAATCTGTTCCATGGCCTCTCCTAGCTTCTGGTGGTTTATTGGCCATCACTGACATCTCTTAACTTGTGGAAACATCACTCCAGTCTTTGATTTAATCCTCATATGACATTCTCCCCACATGTGTGTCTGGGTCCAAATTTCCCCTTTTTATAAGGACACTAGTCATATTGTATTAAGGACCCACTTACTCCAATATGACCTCATCTTATTACATCTGCAATGGCCCTATTTCCAAAGAAGGTCACATTCTGAGGTACTAGAGTTTAGGACTTCAACCTATGAATTTGGAGAGAACATGGATTCAATATTCTAAGAGGCCCACAGAAACTGACTTCGAGCTCCCTCTTTCTCTGACTCCTGCCCTGCTGCTGGCTCATTCCACTCCAGCGATGCTGGCCTCCTTGCTGCCCGTGCACATGCCAGGACCTTTGCAGTCACTATCCTCTGAGCCTGCAAACTGCCTCTCTCAGGAGCACTAATTTTATCACCTTCTTCAAGACTTTGCTCCAAATGTCACCTGCTGGAGGAACTCTACACGAACCATTCCATTTTAAAGTGAAACTGATAATTCCCCCCAACACACTCCCAGCCCTCTTTACCTTGCTCTATTTTCCTTTGCGTAGCACTTGCCACCTTCGAGTATATGTGACTTACAATGTATTATGTTTATTATTGATAGTTGTCTTCCCCCATTAGAATGTAAGCTCCATATTTCTTTTTTGTTTTATTCACTGATAAATTCTAAGTCCCTCAAACTGTACCTGGAATAGGGCGAGATGTCAAAAAACATTTGTTGAAGGAATGAATAAAATGTAATTCACAAGTTCTTCTGATTCATAAGGAAAATCACAAATTGATCAGAGCTCTTTCCCTAAAAAATCCTGAAGAAACAGCTTTAAGAGAGAAGAATTCTGAAGGAATCCCTAAGGAGGCATATAATTTTTCATTCGAAATGTATGAACTTGGTAGAACCAAGAAAACAGTCCTTTCATCAAGTACTAGCAACCATGTCTGTAAAAATAAACGTGATCACTTTAGGCAAGGTACATCAATCAAGCAATTTAGACTGAAATTTACTTTACTATTTTGAATTAAGTATTTTGGCTCTGTACACAACCAGAAATTCCCACTTAATTACAATTCCTCATTTTATTTAGGGTCACATAGATTTGAGAAATCCTGAGGGTGAGGTGCTTTCATTAAAATGTGTGAACAGACTCCCAGACTCCTACTACAATAGGTCTAAATGCAAAAAAAAGAATTGCACTTAAAGATTTGACAGTCTTTGCCATAGGAAGCCAGGTGCTGGTAATAACATTTTATTTTAAGCAAAATGTTCTTCGGAGAAAAAAATAAAGAAGCATAATTGGGGAAATGAAAAAGTAAATGTCTTTTGCTTTTAATGTGTTTCATGTAGGGAGACTCAGACTGGACTCAAATTCAGAGGTCTTACAGTTTATTTGCTTGTCAGAGTGAATGTTTTCCTAGAAACTCTGGTGGAGCCGCACTGAGTCATCTACACTCTTTCCTGCTCTCTTGTGACAAGCAGCATCTATTTCTGAGATGATTGCGCAGGCTTCAGAGACAGCCTTTCCTGAAACCTGGCTGCTTTTATGTCCCTGAGTTCCAGGAGATATCTTCAGATCCTTATAATAAATCTTTTCCTTTGCATAAGCTAACTCTGTTACTTCCAACCAAATATACTTATGTTTGACATCTGTTTTCCACCATCCAGACTGCGTGACCTGGGTTTCCTTGATATAATTTTCCAGTATATGATATAAATCCTTTTCTCCACAATATTCTTATTTTATTGACAGTGGATATTTACAAAGCACCCATAGGTAAGGCTTCTACTGCCAAAGAAAAAGAGTTTTAAACTAGAAAGTTGGCCAAAAAAATCCATAGTATGTATGCAGTTTCTGTGAACAAAATTGTCACAAATATAAGCCTTTAAAATTTTAAATAAAGTATTCTGTCATTTAAGATTACGTAAATGCTTATTCATACTGCCTCAATAGAGACATTTATATTGTACCCAGTTTTCAAATATAAATATAAGTAATATATTCAGGTCACTGAATTTTTGTGCTACATTGATTTTTTTTTGGTTCATTCATATGACATCTGTGAAAATTACTGCTATCATTCTCTTTATGTATTAGTGCATAGCTCCAACCCTGTAATTTTAAAACACATTATTCAAATCCTAGCTTTATTGATCACTTAAAATAAGCTTTTTCTTTCTGAAATCAATCACCCTCCCCCACCACCCCCTCTCTTATTGACCAAGAATACTCAGAAGGTTTTGTAGAATAAGGAAAAGAAGGCTCGAAAGGTAAATATTTACAATGACACCTTCATCTCTACAAAGTAATATCATCCAACAGTTTTCAAAGTCTGTAAAAAATATGTGTGGTTATTATATTTCCTCCTCAGAAGCAGCACAGCTAGTATAAGTATATTCCACACAAAGTCTATTATGTTCTGCCCCCCATTGCTACCTCCCCCTACAGACCCCTGCTCTGTTACACCACCCTGCAATCTCCAAAGAGCCTCCCACCTGCTTCCCATCAGCAGTGGATATGGCCAATTAAGAAAGTATTTTTATGTGGTGAGGAGTAATAGAGAAAGATGGCATAGAGGGGTGGAGGTGAGGGCAGTAGAGCAAAGAAGCACATCTATACTATGACCACCTTTCTATTCCAAGGCCTCTTGTGCATACCTTTGATTATACAACACATTTATTAATCACAAGCTATATATAAGGCACCAACTGTAGCTATAAAGGAGAGAAAAAATGAGAAACACAGGCATTATACAACTAATTCTAAGTGTGATATATGTCGTGGAGAAGTACAGGTGCTCCACATTAACAGAACCACAGTCTCAAGGCCACACACACCTACACTGACTCAGTGACTCCTCCGCCCATGTAGCCCCTTTAGGTAGGGGAGATGACTGATTACACAGATGATGAAAGTGGGATTCCCAGGATTTAGGGGTTTGCCTAAAGTTTTGTAATGCAAGGTTTTTAATTCACAGAGTTGGATCGAGATGTGACCAACCATTCCAATTTGCCTGGGACTGAGAAGTTTCTCGGGATACAAGATTTCCAGTCTTGGGCAAAGTAGGAAGGTCATTCACTCAAATCCATTTCAATTCCCTTTCCAAATTGGCCAGTATTTATAGTTTCTTTTTAAAGTTGTTAACTGTTTATATTACAGAGCTTTCTGGGCATTGTCAATGTACTCAATGAGCAATTCACAAAAGAGAAAATAAAATTCTCCAGTGATTAATGAAAAACACGTAACCAAATCTGGTTGTACCCAACATACTATATGTCACTCTAGCAGATTTTTTTTTTTTTTTTTTTTTGAGACGGAGTCTCGCTGTCGCCCAGGCTGGAGTGCAGTGGCGCAATCTCGGCTCACTGCAGGCTCCGCCCCCTGGGGTTCACGCCATTCTCCTGCCTCAGCCTCCCGAGTAGCTGGGACTACAGGCGCCCGCCCCCTCGCCCGGCTAATTTTTTTTATTTTTAGTAGAGACGGGGTTTCACCGTGTTAGCCAGGATGGTCTCGATCTCCCGACCTCGTGATCCGCCCGCCTCGGCCTCCCAAAGTGCTGGGATTACAGGCGCGAGCCACCGCGCCCGGCCTCACTCTAGCAGATCTTACAGAGGTCTTACTGGTTTTTTTTAATATCAATGTCTTTTATTTACATATGTAGTATACAAATTCCATTGTAAACACAATTAGTCTCCTGAATAAAACAACATATTGATGGCAGTGCTTCAACTGCAGCCCAAATTTCTATATAAAGTTTTGCACCTTGGTTACAGCATGCAGGTTTCCCTACTTTGTACTAGATTTTCCTCGTATTTTCAATCATTTTCAGTTTTCAGAAAGTTTTCCTATCTTTATTTTCAAAGAGAGTCATTTCATCTAATCATCTATGTGATCTTTTTTCTAATGTCTTCTAAATGTTTCATTAGCAATTTCCTGCAGTTTCTCAAGGTCCTTCTTGAGAGGCAGTACAAGCTGATTAAAAACTCAGACCCTGATTCAGTGCATGGATTCAAGTCCTATTCTACTTTCTTTTTAGGTGACCTTGGAAAAGTTGTTATAATTCTCTGTACCTGAGATACCTCATCTGTAAAATGCAAATAATCATAGTACTACTTTATAAAGTTGTTCTAAGAATTCAGTGATTTTTATAAATCAGAGGACGTAAAGCAATTCCTGACACATAGTACGTACCTAAATATGTTAGTTAATGTTATTTTTCATATATGGTTCAGTAATTTTTATACTTCTAAGATTTTAAGATCAGAAACCTAAGATTTTTATTAACAGAAATGTATACAATTCCTAGAATACATATACCATGTTATTTTAAAATAGATGACACTGATTTAACGTTACATTTTAAAGAAAATATTAGATTCATTTCACAGTATGTGATGTGATAATAGGGTATGGGGTGCTCACTAGTATGCACAGGATATTTAGATCAAGAACTCAAGGGAGAAGTTTGAGAATATGGGTGATAGTTGACATTAGTCATGGAAATGGATGAGCATGGTCCTCTAGCTCTACTTTGCAGAGCTAGAAGAGAAGCGATCTCAGAGAGAATCCCAGGAAGAAATGGAGGAAACAGATCTTAAGGAAGATGAGAAAGAAAAACTGTAGAAAAGTGTGTCTATTCAGGGGTGAATGTTGAATTCTGCACATAGTCTTATGAGTTAAGCATTCAGGCACCCACTTTGAAGATACCAACAGTTTGATTCATCACTAGTCATCTTGGTAAAAAAAAAAAAAAGTGAGGTCTAGTGATGAAGGCAGAAGCAAGGCTGTTACAGCAGGCATAAGAGTGAATGGGAAGGGAGGAAGTAAAAACAGCAATAGCAGCAACTCTTTTCAGAGCTAGAAAGGAAGAGAGACTGTGATAAAGAGGATTAGTACTGAAGAAATGTGGCAAATCCTCCTTCTTACAATGGTGGTAGAAACAAGGTAGGATACCTTTGGCAGATGCCTAAACTGGGAAAAGTACAGAGTTGAGACCTTGTGGGAAGCCACGTCAAGGAAAATGAGAGGACAAAGAGATGGCCATTAAGACCCAGAATAAAAACAGAGATTGAAACTGCGTGTATAGAACTGGGGATCTAAGATCAAAGCAGTCTAAAGTTAAAAGCAGTGAAGAAGTATAGGATAATTCAGGAATTGCCTAGAGCAGAATTTAATTTTTGCGGGAGGTTCTTTGTGACAGCTGCCATGCACATACGTGGCTGACTTAGAAAGGATGGCATGGACTAGCAGGGCTGAGAGAATAAATATGAAGACTTGGCAATTTTAGATTCATAGAATGTTGAAGTTGAAAGAAGTTATGGAGGCTATGGAGTTAAAGTTCTCCAATTTATCAATTTACAAGTGCATGTTGTTATACAATAATTGCTTGTTAACTATAGTGTACCATGCATGATGCTACATGCTGGACATTTGTACAGAACAGCTTTATAGTAATTTTACCTATAGAGTCTGTAGTATAGATGCTACTTTCCTGGTTTTTGATGAGCCCAATAATTTTGTTCAGAAATTATTCCATTTTTGGTTTATTTTAATTCAATGTCTTCCTTTTCCTAACAACTTTGAGACCATCGACCTTTGACATTGTTCTCTGCTTATTCTTTTTCTATCCTTCTAATGTTGCAGATTCACTAATTGGAAATCAACAGACAAAAATTCTCTCCTAGTTACCCTGTATCTGCTCAGAGTGAATCCCATTTTCCCTCTAAATCCATGCTGCCTTAGCACTCACCACTGACAACCAAGAATAAGCCCTTAAGTGAAATGGATTGAATGACTGAATTCAGGAAATGAATAAGGATGCAAATATTATTAGTCAATAAAGTAATCCAAGAGGAAGGTTAAAAATGACATCATTTTGTACAATGATATCTCCCATTGGTTCTCCTTCCATGAATTTTTTTTTCACATCAGCAAATAAGCTTTTGGCCTTCAAAATTAACATTTAATAGGAAGGAAGGAACACACAACACTCACCACTCCAACGAGCATTTATCAGGCAATTGGAATTAGTAAAGTGTGACCACATAAAAATGGGCATTTTTCAATTAATAATACAAAAACAAACAATATCTGAATCCAAGAAAAGGGTTGGCCTGTCCTCTCCTATCTGGTCCTACATAATAGGGAAGACACATCAAAAGCACCATGTTCTGTCCTGGGAGCTACCGTTAAACGGGACATTAACAAACAGAAGCTTGTCTGAAGGATAGAAAAGCTTCTATACCCTGACAAAGAGCTGAAAGCAGCCTGTGACAAAGAGTTGGAAACCTGGAGACAATTTAGTTTAAAGAAAAGAGGACAGATTTAAGGAGTTAAGGCTAAAGGAACAGCTCATTAGCCTTCTTCAAATATTCCAAGGACTGTGATAAGAATGCAGTTTTCCAAGTTGTGATGGGAAAATAACAAAAACAAAAAACTGTGACAAAACATTTTAGTTCTTGCATGTTTTGTGGCTTTTTGTTATTTGTAATACCTGCTGCCTTCTAAGAAGGGTAGATTCTGGTACCTGGAGGCTTCTTTGTTTGCTGAACACCGGGTGGCTCTGGGGATAAAAAGAAATGACTAAACTCACTGAATAAGAATGGGAGAGAGTTGTAATGACTCAGAGACAGGACTGAGCCCAAAGAGAACAGGATCCATGGAGATGTGTAGCCCATTCCTATCTGGGGCAAACATTTGAAGAAAGAAAAGACCCAGTACATGGCAGCCGAAGGGAAACTTTAAGAACTACAAAAATATAATAATTTTTTTTCAAAATAAATTATATGGTTAAAAAATAGTACAAAAATGTTTACAATAAAATACAGTTTTCTACCACACTACTCCTTATCCTATAATGAACCTCCATTTCAGGGGCAATAACTTTTCAATATTTCTGGTTTTGTTTTCTTCTTTTGTTTTCATGCACAATAGTTACATTTTAAATATTATACTTTTATATTATCTGTTAATTTATAAGCTTTAAAAATTGCCTATTACTCTTGTGACTGTATTTAATAGGTTTAAAATTCTTCATTTTCCTGTACCAGTATTAACGAAGGAATTAATGAAATCAACTATAACCTAATAGTAGTAGTAATAGAAATTTTAATATTCTTTTAAAGTTGCTGCAAAGTGTGACCCCCTCCCTTACACTCAAGTTAAAAGAGAATATCAACAGCCTGTCTTCTCTCTGTGGACAGTGGACCTTATCTATACTCCCCAACTCCACATTCCTTAAAGTTTATTACAGGCCCAGCAAGTTCCTGCACGGCTGCAGGGTCACAAGACTGTTAAGTTTAGGTTGTAAGACATGTTTCTCTCAAGATATAAGAAATATTGTAATGCTGCCTTTGTTTCTTGCTTCTGCAACTTGCTTCCCACCTCACGTAGTTCCTGCCTTAAGATGTTTAAAAGTAGGAAAAGCCCTTTGTTTGGGGCTCAGACTTTCTGGACGTATGTCCGGCTGAGCCAGTGATCACCTTAATTTAATAAACTCTCCTGAACCTTTTTCAGTCTCTCCTGTGTTTGATTGTTCCACAACATTTCTGGGGGCTCATCTGGGATTGGAGATGGCAGATTTTCTGTCTCCTTTGCCTGTAGGCTAGAGCCCCAGGACGTGGGAGACCGGGGTCCTTGGCACCACCGAGAGTTTCAGCCCGGAAGGAGAATTACCTTCCGTGTTCCGGAGCCCTCCCTGACAGCAGAAATGGAACTGGTAAAAGGAGTTGCAGGACAGTCACAGGAGCAGCACTCAGACATATGAACCATGGTAAGGTTTGGGCCCTAAGGCAAGACCCGTCCCATAAGGACGGAAGGGGACTCTGATCACCTCCCAGGGCATGATGACTAGTCCAACCCAAGGGGGTTGGGACAATGGGAGAGGCCCATTGATTCGGACAAAACTCACACCCTGACACCCGACATGGGTGGGGCTCATGAGTCAGTCAGAAAGGCAAACCGTTTCGGGGACGGGGGAGGTGTGTGAAAGTGTGTGAAAGAGATGGTCTCGGGAGAGACCAACGCGGGGCGTGACGTGGGGAGGCACAGATCTCTTAGCATGGACTGTGTGCTCTGAGGAGAGTGTAGGAAAAAGCAGACCTAGGACACTGCATACAGCCCATAGGACAAGTTCCACAGCTGCAGCTAGCTGTGACAGGAATTAATGCACACTTCTGGCTAAGCAGTGTCTGAACCTCCCGTAATAGGACTCGTTCTGGTGGATCCCAGAGTGAAAGTGCATCATGAGGGAGGAAATGGGAGGAAAAGTGTCAAGGCCTACTCCACTGTAGTGCATGCTGAAACACTTTAAAAAAGGTTTTAATGGTGATTATGGGATTAAGCTAACTCCACAGAAACTGAGAACCCTTTGTGAGATAGACTGGCCGTCTTTTAATGCAGGGTGGCTGGCCAAGGGGACAACAGACAGGGAGATAATTGGCTAAATGTTTCGGGTAGTCACCAGGCTTGGGGAACAGCCTGGGCACCTGGGATCAGTTTCCGTATATCAACTCCTGGCTAAGTGTAATTCAGACGCACCCTAAGTGGCTGCAGGCCTGCTTTGAGACGTACTGTAAGACACTAATGGCCCAGACAAAACCAGGGACAATAGAAAGAGGCTGCAAGGCATCAGAAAAAGAATAGGAGTTACAGGAAAAGCAGAAAAAACCTGTCCTACAGGCCCAACCTGAAGTGTTAGAAAGTCCACCCCCTGTGCACCAATTTATCCATCCCTGGCAAGGCTTGGACAGGAGGCTACCCCAGCTGCCTCCAGAGGCTCAGACTCAGAAGAAAGCACCCCTCAGACAACACCACACAGAGAGGAGCCAGAGCCCTTGCCTGAAAAGCCAAGGGAGGAACTCCAGGTGGATGAGGTCGGCCACCTTAGGTCGGGCCGTGCCCGAGCAATGCAGATGCCCCTCCGAGAAACACTGGGACAAATTTATTTGAATGCACAGAATGAAGTCTAGGGAGGAGAAAAGCTCTTCGTTTATCAGCCCTTCTCTACTACTGATCTCTTAAATTGGAGACAACATACTTGCTCCTATACAGAGAAGCCTCAGGCTCTTATAGATCTAATGCAGTCTATTTTCCTAATTCACAATCCTACCTGGGCTGATTGCAAACAACTTCTTCTGTCATTATTTAATATGGAAGAGTGCTGTAGAGTTATAGAAGTCGCTCTCCAGTGGCTGGAGAACAATGCGCTTGTAGGCACACGAGATACCAGGCAGTATGCACAACAAGCACTCCCGAGAGAGGCTGACCCAGCCTGGGACCCTAACCAGGCTCAAGTGCTACAAAGTTTGCAGCGGTATTGAGAGGCACTTCTAATGGAATAAGGGCTGGAGGAAAAAAGGCCACCAATATTGGAAAGGTCTCAGAGGTCCACCAGAAGCCAGATGAAAGTCCCGGTGAATTTTATGAGACGTTCTGTGAGGCTTACTGGCTTTACACACCATTTGACCCAGAGGCTGCAGGTAATCAGTGTATGGTTAATGCAGCATTTGTAACCCAGGTGCAAGGAGACATAAAGTGAAA
Source organism: Homo sapiens (assembly GCF_000001405.40). Classification (NCBI taxonomy): domain Eukaryota; kingdom Metazoa; phylum Chordata; class Mammalia; order Primates; family Hominidae; genus Homo; species Homo sapiens. The sequence continues at coordinate 47,109,405 of NC_000013.11, read as the reverse complement.
GCTTCAGAAGTTAGAAGGGTTTGAAGGCATGAATGTTACCCAGTTTATCCAGGTGGCTACTAAGGTGTTTGTAAGTTGGGATGAGGCCAAGAGAGAAGCTCGACGCAGATCTAAAGAAAAGGGCGGACTTGCTGGCAGCAGTCTTAGTTGGAAGAGAAACTGGTTTTGTGAGAGGATGTGGTCGTGGTTGCAGTCATGATAGAGGACTAGCTAGGCAAAACCAGGAAGCTAAGCCAGGATGAGAGGGCTGACTTAGGCTTGAGAGAGATCAATGTGTGAGATGCAAGCAGATGGGACACTGGAAGAATGAATGCCCAGAAAGAGAAAAGGATAGAGGCAACAATCCAGGACAAAAGAGCTGGCCAGAGCCCCCTGCCACCAGTCAAGGGTTTCAGAAGTCAGACATGGAATTAATCGGACTAGCAGGAATCAATGATTATTATGAGGACTGAGACAGACTGGGCTCCATTTCATTAGGCCCGGAGGAGCCTATGGTCTCAATGGAGGTAGAGGGCTGAAAAACAGACTTTATGGTTGATACTGGTGCGGAGCACTCAGTAGTAACTCAAGTGATTGGGCCATTGTCTAAAAATTATGTAACTATAATTGGAGCAAAGGGGGTATCGCTGGCTTTCTAACTCTAGGATGTTAAGATATCAAGGAATTTTGTGTGAAAACCCCTACATAACCAGCCACACTGCTGCCAATAGAATGGACAGAGCATGGAAAGCCCTCGTTGTATGGCCCAGGGTATCATTGCTGTGTGGAAACAATGGATGAGGTTTCCTCAAGCTGAAAAGACTTAAAGGACCAGCCCTTAAAAGACCCAGATGTGGCCGGGCACGGTGGCTCATGCCTGTAATCCCAGCACTTTGGGAGGCCAAGGCAGGTAGATCACAAGTTCAGGAGATCCAGACCATCCTGGCTAACATGGTGAAACCCCGTCTCCACTAAAAAATACAAAAAAATTAGCTGGGTGTGGTGGCGAGCACCTGTAGTCCTAGCTGCTTGGGAGGCTGAGGCAGGAGAATGGCGTGAACCCAGGAGGCAGAGCTTGCAGTGAGCTGAGATCGTGCCACTGCACTCCAGCCTGAGCGACAGAGCAAGACTCCATCTCACAAAAAACAAACAAACAAACAAACAAACAAAAAACCCAGATGTTGAATACTTTACTGATGGAAGCAGCTTCATATCTGAAATTGTCAGAGAGGCTGGATATGCAGTGGTAACACTGAATTCAGTAGCTGAAGCCCACCCTCTGCCAGTCGGAACTTCAGCCCAAAGAGCTGAGCTAATAGCTTTCACTAAAGCATTGCTCTTGGCCAAAGGAAAGTCAGTAAACATCTATACTGACTCAAGGTATGCTTTTGCCACTTTGCATGCCCATGGATCCATATATAAGGAAAGAGGATCATTAACAACTGAAGGAAAGGAAATCAAAAATAAAAAGGAAATAGAGCACCTCTTAGATGCTGTATGGGCTCCAAAAGAAGTAGCAGTCATCCATTGTAAAGGGCATCAAACAGAGGAGGTGCTGAGGCTACAGGAAACAGAAAGGCAGACAGAGAAGCCAAAAGAGCTGCAATGACAGAGGTTCACTCTGATGATAGGTTCTTTTGCTGTGCAGAAGCTCTTTAGTTTAATTAGATCCCATTTGTCAATTTTCACTTTTGTTGCAATTGCTTTTGACATTTTCATCATGAAATCTTTGCCCATGCCTATGTCCTGAATGATATTGCCTAGGTTTTCTTCTAGCTTTTTTATGATTTTGGGTTTTACATTTAAGTATTTAATCCACCTTGAGTTAATTTTTGTATAAGGTGTGAGGAAAAGGTTCGGTTTCAGTTTTCTGCATATGGCTAGCCTGTTTTCCCAGAACCATTTATTAAATAGGGAATCCTTTCCCCATTGCCTGTTTTTGTCAGGTTTGTCAAAGATCAGATGGTTGTAGATGTGTGGTATTATTTCTGAGGTCTCTGTTCCATTCCATTGGTCAATATGTCTGTTTTGGTACTAGTACCATGGTGTTTTGGTTACTGTAGCCTTGCAGTATAGTTTGAAATCAGGTAGCATGATGCCTCCAGCTTTGTTCTTTTTGCTTAGGATTGTCTTGGCTAAACGTGCTTTTTTTGGTTCCATATGAAATTTAAAGTAGTTTTTCTAATTCTGTAAAGAATGTCAACAGTAGTTTGATGGGAATAGCATTGAATCTTTAAATTACTTTGGGCAGTATGGCCATGTTCACGATATTGATTCTTCCTCTCCATGAGCATGGAATGTTTTTCCATTTGTTTGTGTCCTCTTTTATTTCCTTGAGGAATGGTTTGTAGTTCTCCTTTTATGTTCCTTGTTAGCTGTATTCCTAGGTATTTTACTCTCTTTGTAGCAATTGTGAACGGGAGTTCATTCATGATTTGGCTCTCTGCTTGTCTATTGTTGGTGTATAGGAATGCTTGTGATTTTTGCACATTGATTTTGTATCCTGAAACTTTGCTGAAGTTGCTTATCAGCTTAAGGAGATTTTGGGCTGAGACGATGGGGTTTTCTAAATACAGAATCATGCCATCTGCAAAGAGAGACAATTTGACTTCCTCTCTTCATATTTGAATATGCTTTATTTCTTTCTCTTGCCTGATTGTTCTGGCCAGAACTTCCAGTACTATGTTGAACAGGAGTGGTGAGAGGGCATACTTGTCTTGTGCCGGTTTTCAAAAGGAATGCTTTCAGCTTTTGCTCATTTAATAGGATATTGGTTGTGGATATGTCATAAATAGCTCTTATTATTTTGAGATATGTTCCATCAATACCTCATTTATTGAGAGTTTTTAACATGAAGGGATGTTGAATTTTATCAAAGGCCTTTTCTGCATCTACTGAGATAATCATGTGGTTTTTGACATTGGTTCTGTTTATGTGATGGATTATGTTTATTGATTTGCTTATGTTGAACCAGCCTTGCATCCCAGGGATGAAGCCAACTTCAATCATGGTAGATAAGCTTGTTAATGTGCTGCTGGATTCAGTTTGCCAGTATTTTACTGAGGGTTTTTCCATCGATGTTCATCAGGGATGTTGGCCTGAAGTTTTTTTTGTTGTTGTTGCGTCTCTACCAGGTTTTGGAATCAGAATGATGCTGGCCTCATAAAATGAATTAGTGAGGAGTCCCCTCTTTTCAATTATTTGGAATAGTTTAAGAAGGAATGGTACCAGCTCCTCTTTCTACCTCTGGTAGAATTCAGCTGTGAATCCGTCTGGTCCTGGGCTTTTTTTTTGGTTGGTAGGCTATTAATTACTGCCTCAATTTCAGAACTTGTCATTGGTCTATTCAGGGATTCGACTTCTTCCTGGTTTAGTCTTGGGAAGGTGTATGTGTCCAGGAATTTATCCATTTCTTCTAGATTTTCTAGTTTATTTGCATGGAAGTGTTTATAGTATTCTCTGATGGTAGTTTATATTTCTGTGGGATCAGCAGTGATATCCCCTTTATAATTTTTTATTATGTCTATTTGATTTTTCTCTCTTTCCTCATTAGTCTAGCTAGTGGTCTATTTGTTAATTTTTTCAAAAAACTACCCCCTGGATTCACTGATTTTTTGTAGGGATTTTTGTGTCTCTCAGTTCTGCTCTGATCTTAGTTACTTATTGTCTTCTGCTAGCTTTTGGATTTGTTTGCTCTTGCTTCTCTAGTTCTTTAAATTGTGATGTTAGGGTATTGATTTTAGATGGTCTTTCTAGCTTTCTCATGTGGGCATTTAGTGCTATAAATTTCCCTCTTAACGCTGTTTTAGCTGTGTCCCAGAGATTCTGGTGCATTGCCATTTTGTTCTCATTGGTTTCAAAGAACTTCTTGATTTCTGCCTTAATTTTATTATTTAGCCAGGAGTCATTCAGAAGCAGGTTGTTCAATTTCCATGCAGTTATGTGGTTTTTAGTGAGGTTTTTAAAATTATTATTATACATTAAGTTCTGAGATACATGTGGAGAACGTCCAGGTTTATCACATACATATACACGTGCCATGTTGGTTTGCTGCACCCATCAACTCGTTATCTACATTATGTATTGCTTAATCCTGAGTTCTCCTTTGATTGCACTGTGGTTTGAGAGACTGTTTGTTATGATTTCAGTTCTTTTACATTTGCTGAGGAGTGTTTTACTTCCAATTATGTGGTCAATTTCAGAACAAGAGCCATGTGGCACTGAGAAGAATGTATATTCTGTTGATTTGGGTGGAAAATTCTGTAGATGTCTATTAGGTCCACTTGATCCAGAGCTGAGTTCAAGTCCTGAATATCTTTGTTAATTTTCTGTTTCATTGATCTAATAGTGATGATGGGGTATTACAGTCTCCCAGTACTATTGTGTGGGAGTCTAAGTTTCTTTGTAGGTCTCTAAGAACTTGTTTTATGAATCTGAGTGCTCCTGTATTAGGTGCTTATATATTTAGGATACTTAGCTATTCTTTTTGAATTAATTCCTTTACCATTACTTAATGCCCTTCTTTGTCTTTTTTGATCTTTGTTGGTTTAAAGTCTGTTTTATCAGAGACTAGGATTGCAAACCCTGCTTGTTTGTTTGTTTGTTTTGCTTTCCATTTGCTTGGTAAATATTCCTCCATCCATTTATTTTGAGCCTATGTGTGTCTTTGCACATGAGATGGGTCTCCTGAATACAGCACATTGATGGTTCTTGGCTCTTTATCCAATTTGCCAGTCTTTCGACTGGGGCATTTAGCCCATGTACATTTAAGGTTAATATTGTTATGTGTGAATTTGATCCTGTTATCATGATGCCAGGTGGTTATTTTGCATAGTAGTTGATGCAGTTTCTTCATAGTGTCATTGGTGTTTATATTTTGGTGTGTTTTTGCAGTGGCTGGTACTGGATATTTCTTTCCATATTTAGTGCTTCCTTCAGGAGATCTTGCAAGGCAGGCCTGGTGGTGATGAAATCCCTCAGCATTTGCTTGTGTGGAAGGGATTTTATTTCACCTTTGCTTATGAAGCTTAGTTTGGCTGGATATGAAATTCTGGGTTGAAAATTCTTTTAAGAATATTGAATATTAGCCCCCAGTGTCCTATGGCTTATAGGGTTTCTGCTGTGAGATCTGCTGTTAGTCTGATGGGCTTCCCATTTTTAGGTGACCTGGCCTTTCTCTCTGCCTGCCCTTAACATTTTTTCCTTCATTTTGACCTTGGAGAATCTGATGATCATGTGTCTTGGGGTTCATCTTCTCATGGAGTATCTTAGTGGTGTTCTCTGTAGTTCCTCAATTTGAATGTTGGCCTGTCTAGCTAAGTTGGGGAAGTTCTCCTGGATAATATCCTGAAGTGTGTTTTCCAACTTGGTTCCAGTCTCCCTGTCTCTTTCAGGTACTCCAATCAATCATAGGTTCAGTCTTTTTACATAGTCCCATATTTCTTGGAGGTTTTGTTCATTCCTTTTTATTCTTTTTTCTCTAATCTTGTCTGCATGCCTTACTTCAGCAAGATGGTCTTCTTCTGCTTGATCAATTTGGCTACTGGTACTTGTGTATGCTTCACAAAGTTCTCGTGCTACGTTTTTCAGCTCTATCAGGTCATTTATATTTCTCTCTAACCTGATTATTCCAGTTAGCAGCTCCTGTAACCTTGTATCAAGGTTCTTAGCTTCTTTGCATTGGGTTAGAACATGCTCCTTTAGTTCAGTGGAGTTTGTTATTACCCATCTTCTGAAGCCTACTTCTGTCAATTTGTCCATCTCATCTTCTGTGCAGCTCTATGCCCTTGCTAGAGAGGTGTTGCAATCATTTGGAGGAGAAGAGTCACACTGACCTTTTGGATTTTCAGCATTTTTTCATTGATTCTTTCTCATTTTCATGAGTTTGTCTAGTTTTGATCTTTGAGGTTACTGACCCTGGGATGAGGTTTTTGAGGGGACTTTTTTGTTGATGCTGTTGTTGTTGCTTTCTGTTTGTTTTTCTTTCAATTATCAGGTCCCTCTTCTGTAGGGCTGTTCCGGTTTTCTGGGATTCTCTTCAGGCCCTATTCATCTGGTTCACTTCCGCACCCGGAGATGTCACTCAAGGAGGTTGGAGAACAGCAAAGATGAGTGTGTGCTCCTTCTTCTTGGATCTCTGACCTTGAGGGGCACCAACCTGATGCCAGTAGGAATGCTCCTGTTTAGAGTGTCTGACAGCCCCTGTTGGAGGGTCTCACTTGGGTGGCACAGGGAGCATGACCCATTTAATGAACATTTTGGCTGTCCCTTGATGGAGGAGGTGTGCTTCACTGGGGGTAAACCCACTGGCCTGGGATGCCTGGATTCCTCAGAACTAGAAGGACGAAAGACTAAGTCTGCTGGTGTGTCTGGAGTTTGTTCCTTCTGGTAGGCTCGTGGTCTCACTTACTTCAAGAATGAAGCTGCGGACCATCACAGTGAGTGTTATTGTTCTTAAAGGTGGTGTGTCCAGAGTTTGTTCCTTCAGATGTGTCCAGAGTTTCTTCCTTCTGGTGGGTTCGTGGTCTTGCTGACTTCAAGAATGAAGCCACAGACCTTTGCAGTTAGTGTTACAGCTCTCAAAGGTGGCATGGACCCAAAGAGTGAGCAGCAGCAAGATTTCTTGTGAGGAGCAAAAGAACAAAGCTTCCACAGCATGGAAGGGGACCCGAGCGGGTTGCCGCTGCTGCCTGAGGTGGCCAACTTTTATTCCCTTGTTTGTTCCCGCCGTCCTGCTGATTGGTCCATTTTACAGAGTGCTGATTGGTCCATTTTACAAACCTCTAGCTAGCCACAGAGTGCTGATTGGTGCGTTTTTACAGAGCACTGATTGGTGTATTTTACAAACCTCTAGCTAGCCACAGAGCACTGATTGGTGCATTTAACAATCCTAGCTATGGAGTGCTGACTGGTGCATTTTACAATCCTCTTGTAAGACAGAAAAGTTTTCCAAGTCCCTACCTGACCCAGAAGTCCAGCTGGCTTCACCTCTTACTGGTCCGCAGAGACTACAGCCACCCCTCCCCCTAGGGGCTGAGGCCCAGGGAGATCAGAGTTCTGTCCCTGAGCCCATGGCTGGAGTTGTTGGAGTTCCATCATTATCTTTAAGATTCTTTATTTTATAATTAAAACTTACTTTTACATTTAATTTTCTTCCACACCACCCTGGACTTCAGCCACACTCAGCTATTGCTATCCTCCAAATATACCATTCTAGTTTGGGCATCTATTCACATGATATTTTTCTGAGACAGAAATAACCTCTGTTACTTTACTGTTTCAATGTTATGCTGATTATATGTTTGCAGCATTCACCTTTGTGAAAACAAGATCACTCTCTGAAATGGAGAATATAACTTTATCTGAAATATGAGCTCAGTCAATGTGTCAGTCATCACCATTCCCAAAGTCCCTTCCCTTAAGAAGTATACCCTTTGGGCCCAAAATTATAAGGCAACAAATTATACTCCCAGTCTTCCCTTAGACCACAGAGAAGTGAAGGCCCAGGAGATCTGCTCCCATGTGGTGGGGAGACAAAAAGTGAGAACTCAGGCAAGCCCTTGAAATGTTCCAAGTTTTAAGGATTACAGAGTATTATCCTCAGGCCAGGTATCAGGTAAGATAGGAGAGCCCTGCCAATTGTTAACACAATTATGAGAGGCCATTGTTTTGGACAAAGCTCATGTACCAGACCCCAACAGACTAGGCCAAACAAAAATGGAGTCGCTTATGCTAAATGTGACATGATCAAACTGAAACTTTAAGGAAATAGATCCTGTAAATAAATCCCACTTCTTACACCATCTATTAAAAGAACAACTTCAGACTTTTTTTTTTTTTTAATTTCCTTTGAGGTGCAGTATTCTTTGGACACAAATAATGAAGGATCCTTCTCCAGGAGACACAAGACTAAGAAAAATGTCCTTAAGGCACCTGAATGGACACCTGCACTTCTGATAGGTCCTGGTGTCACCTGATACCTAGTTGCAAACTGAAACGGGAGGTAGAGGAAGAGGGTTAGATGAACCCACATGGAGGACCGAAACCCAGATCTCAGCATCCAGTCCTGCGACCTGGAGGACTCTATGATCTCTAAGTGGATGAACTAGACCTCTACTGCCTCACCAGATATCCCTTTTCCTTTGTCTCCAGGAACCTGTCGGAAGAGAAGGGAAGCAGTGTGTACTGAATGCCATTTCTGGGCCAGGCATTGTTCTAGGCACTTTACCTATGTTCACTCACTTACTTCTCATAAAACTCATGTTTCCATTTCACACAGTAAAATGAGGCTCCAAAGAGTTACATCATTTGTAGTAAATAGCAGAATGAGGATTCAAACCTTCCTGACTCCCAAGTCCTGCCTCTTGCTTATTGCACACCAATTCCCCTAAGCTAGGATGATGATATTGCAGTGCCACTCTCATGAAAAGCCCAGGGTGGTGAGAAGGGTGTCTGCTGGCTCTCTCCTTGGACTCCAAAGGCAGTTGACAGTCTCCTAACATTCACAAATGTAATTGAATGCAACCTCCACATTTTTTGAGATCTGTACTCTTTTACAAAGCTCATTCATTTAGTCACAGCCTAATCATGAGCTCTTTATTGGGAAATTCAACGTTTGGTGGAACCAGAGACATGGCACTGATCCTCTGCATCTGTATTAGTTTGTGTTTATTGAATTACTTATGTGCCACTCCAGGAAACACCAGTATTAATATTTTGACCTGGCAAAAAGCGAAAATGATTAACTCAGTAATGTGAAACTGTTGATGCAAATTTGCAACTAGAATTAGAACACAGACTGAGATCAACAGTCAGTCTGCTGTTTGCTCTTTTGAGTACTGTTTGCATGGAAAGTTAAGGATGAAAGTAAACCAAATCAAGAGTGGTTCCATTCTTAAACCTTCAAAGGCTTAATGGGATGTTTAGTTCAGTGCCTTAAAGCACATAAATAGCTGTAAGCTCAGCAACATGGTTCCGATGTCTAGATTAGATTTACCAGTCTTTGTTTATACATGCAAAGTCAAATAGAGGACTGATGCAATTATCAGTATAATTCAGGCCAAATGTTTGCTACATGAATATTTAGCTGGTCATTACTAAGTGGGGGAACTTTTTTGCTACCATTCCTCTAACGGTCTTATATCTCTATTTTATATTTGTCAGATACAGCTTTAAGATAAGCAGCCAAGATCCCACTTTTCAGTGCAATAAATTAATATGTCATTTAGCCTCTTAAAGCTCCCCTCTTGCCCTTCTGAAAATGGACATAAACTATTAGGTTGGTGCAAAAGTAATTTCAGTTTATATGCCTTATAAAGGTTTTGCCTTTGATCTCTACATTGAATCCATCTGCACAGCCCTGGAAAGGAAGTAAATAAAGAATTGCAGCAATTAAAGAATCTCCTGTTCTCCTCAGTTCTCACTACCCCGATAATACCCTCTTGAATTCTAAACAAAATGCATGATTTAAATACAATCAGTATAAGGTTAAATATTCCCCTCCAACAAACGGTCCATTATGCATCTTTCCAGATTCTCTTTTAATTGTGTGTGAAACTGGGTGTTCTTGACAGTTAAATGAAATCTAATTGTTACATGGCCTATATTTGGCCCTTAGAAAACAAAGGGTCATAGCTTTTTCTTTCAGATTGTTGAAGAGATGGAACAATTGTTCTGATCTCTTGAGAAGTGTATGTAAGTGGTTGAAAAAACTACACCTCTGTAAGTGTCTAACTTAATCCCTTTAGCAACTGAGAGGATCATGATCAAGAGCAGGACTTACAAAAGATTATGTCCAAATTCTTGACTACCCAAACCCTATTCCTCCAGAATATATTCTTTATGTGCCTTATTAGGAAGAAACTCAAGAATGGAAACATTTTATATTTGTGTAACACTCTTTTACAAAGCACTTTAACATGTATTGTTTCATTTTGCTTGCTTAACAGCCCTTTGACATGGACAGGGAATACTGTCTACATTTTATAAAGAGAAACTGAGGCCCAAAGAGGTTAAGTAGTGGCCTGTCCAAAATCACAGAATTAATAAGAGAAGCCTGGGACCCAAGATCATATTTCCTAAGTCCAAATTTAGTGATGTCTCTATTCTTCCTCACTAGTTCCCTGCTCATAAAATGTCAGTAGAGAGGGGGCTATCAAAACTGATCCTTTCATTCATATCCCAAATCTCAGCATCATGCAATATGCCAGGTAGCAAACCTGTGCATGTACCCCAAATCTAAAATAAAATTGAAAAAAATTAATAAATTGTTATTTTTTGAAATGGATTCTTTCACATCTTGGATTTTCACTTTTATTTTTTAAAAGTCAGACATTTCAAGATCTTGAGACCTAGTAAAGCCTTTAAGAAATTAGTAATATCATGTTTAATTACTAGAAATGAATTTCTTCTCTTATTTGCTCTGTAATCATAAGGCATAAGTAACCTAAAAGAGCTCACTTCATGAATAGCCTGCAAGGCCGATGGGTCATCAATAAGACCCTGAATAAAGCCAACTGTTAACTGAGTGCCAGTTCCATTCTATGTAGCTTGGCATTTTTCACAAATGTGATACAAGTTTCCTTTTGCTTTATTTATCTATTTCCTTATGTAACTGACCTTAAGTGATTGTATAACAGTGCAAGACTGTGATTCAGTGCACTGTTCTTTCCTACTTAGTATTATTACAAGCTATTGGAGAAATACTGCTGATGTTCTCCGAAAAGGAAGCTTTTAATATTCCATTTAAAGATATTGTTGTGTTTTTCTGGGAGAAGGAATAAAAGATAAAAATGTAACACATGAGATTTTAAAATGCTAATCGATTTTCATGGAAAATGTTCATCTCAGGAATGTTTTCTGTGGTGAGCTAGGAAAAAAATAAGTATAATTAACACATGAATCATGCACAACAAGTGTGCTATAGATAACATGTTACCAAAGATATTGGGATGGACAAGTAAAGTCATTTTCTTAAAATTCCTAACTAAAATGACGTAAGAGGAGGAAATTAAGTCATACTCTAAAGTGCCACTGTTTTGTAAATGTAAAATAATTTTTATTGGAGTTTCTCTCTAGGGACTTAACAGTTGTACATATGAAAATACTTTGAAAACTTAAAAAAACATATTTCGCTCAATGACTACAGCATGCCATTAAAGTTACTGATATAAGTAGGAGCTAAACAATGGGTATATATGAACATAAAGATGGAAAAAAAACAGACACTAGGGACTCTAAAGAGGGGAGGTTGAGAGGGAGGGGAGGTTGAGAGGGAGGTGAGGGTTGAACAATTACCTGTTGGATACAATGTTTACTATTTGGGCAATGGGTACACTGGAATCCCAAACCCCACCATTAAACAATGTATCCGTGTAAGAAGCCTGCACGTATACTTCTAATCTAAAATAAAATAAAATTTTTTAATGTTCTCGCTATGCTTCACCAGAAAAAGAATTGCAGCATCCAGAGCAGCTGTTTATAAACCAACCAAACAACACCAGGGGATTTTTAAAAACACTAACAAAGTAAGGCCACCAACATTTTTGTTTTGTTTTTGATCTTGTGATGGCCACACATCAGTGCCGCTGTGCAAGGCTGCAGTAGCCATGACTTTCTTCTTTCCCTAAAATTTATCTGATTCCCTAAGGCAGGCACCATGGAATTGTCACTACTCCAGACTTGTATCCTGAGCTCCCAGCTTTGACAAACACTCATTTTTACCTTTTAGGCTTCCTTGGTTCTTTCCTCTTGTTTAGCAATTCCAATCTGTGAGAGATTTATTTTACACAGATTTATTTACTTTATGGCGATTGATACCATCAACAACCTCAGCCCTAAATAAAGATGCTTTCCTTTTTGCTTCACCATCTCCTGTTCATCCTATCCACAGTACAGTTACCTTATCCATTACGAAGCTAGAGTATCTGAACCATAAATTTAAGGTAATGTACATATGTTAAGAATTAGCACCTAAATAGTAATAGACAAATCATTGTCTCCTAAGAGAATCCTATCAAGTTTAAAGGAAACCCTACTTTGTATGTTTGAGATATGAATTTGGAGAGTTCTACCAAATTGGAAGCTCTACTAGCAACCAATTTTCTTTCTCCGCATATAAACTTGGGTCTCTACACAGTATGGGGCCAGCTCTATTTTGGAGCCTAAGCTCTTCTTTCATCTTCTGGCAACTCATTTGTAAAGCTGTAGATAAACTGGAAAGGCTTGCAGGAAAACAAGAAGAATGATTCATAGCTTGGATGAAATGATCAGTTAGAGGAGTATATAGGAATTTGTACATATACAAGTTGTTCTAGCAAATCTAAAGTCATTTCATAGCCACATATCTTATGAGTGAATATATGAAGAAGGCATATGAACATTTTTGATTAGTTAAAAGGAAATTAACCCAAAATAGGATTTGTCTTTATAAAAAAAAAGAAAGAAAGAAAGAAAGAAAGAAAGGAAAAGGAAAAGAAATCAAGCCACAGAAGTTCTTCCCTCGGTGCCCAAATTTGATCATATTGAGACTTACATTTTCATAGATAAAAATAAAGAAACTACTGTTAAAGAATAAAAACAAAACAGAAATACAGCATAGTATACCTGCATGTCAAGGACCCAAACAAGATTCAAACATACAATTTGTGTAAGCAAATTTCCAAATAGGCACACACACAAGAATAAACTTATCAGAATGAATAGGCAAAAAAGAGAAGAAGAGCAGAAATGCCTTATCTTGAAAATAATTCACCCAAATACATTGATACAATGTCTGAGATTTCTTAAAGTAGTCCAGGGGAAGTGAGTAGTAGAGAAAGAGAGAAAAATGAGATTGGCCATGAGTTAATAATTGACTAACCTGGGTGATGTACACATATGGTTCATTATACTCTTCTCTCTACTTTTGTGTATATTGGAAAATATCTATAAAAATATTTTTAAAATACTAAATAAATATAATGTCTAAAGAGAAATAATCTGCAGAGAACAAATAAATATCTGAAGGGAACAAAACTGATCTCTATATTTAATAGCAGGACTGGTCAGCACAGAGAATAAACGAAGCTGTTAAAATGATCTTTATACTGATTAATTTCTTTAATACCATAAAGATACCTGACCCTAATCTAGATATACAGTACCTGTATACCAACAGAAAACTAAAGATTATTAACTTTGATTAGTTCACATTAAATTAGTTGCTTAGATTGGTTCTTAGTTGTATGCAGAAATGACTTGATTAATTCATCTGCTAAGTTGAAACAATTTCAATCACCTTACTTATTTCTGAAGAATGAATGACATATGTTGAGGATTAAATCCTGAGATTAGCCTTCACACTGGATACTGGTGAGCTGGGGAAGGTCCCCAAATGCTTCTGGGATCTTTACCCCCAGCTAGTGTCCAGGCTCTTGACACTATTGTGAAAAGGAATTCAAAAATGAGTTAGAAAAGAGTGGAAGTACAGAGATTTATTGCAAAGCAAAAAGTACATACTCAAGAAAGGGAGTGCAGGCATATGCAGGAGAGAGTCACTCACAGAAGGGTTTGGAGCTGCTACCTTTATGGGTTTCTTTAACCAAGGGGTAAGATATTCGTGAAGATTCCTGGGAAAAGGTAGAGATTTCTCAGAACTGTAGTGCCACCCATTTTAACACTAACTATAGGTATTCTCAGAACTGTCATGGCGCTGTTGGGTATCTGATTTAGTATGTTAATGAACATATACTGAGGTCCTAGGTGAAACCTAAGTCAAATCAAGCACCATGTTGGGTCCAGTCAGTCTTAGCCAGCTTGGTCCACACCCTGCTTTTCAGGGTATTATGAGCCTGTAGCCTCTAGTTACGTGAAACTGCCACCTGGAAGTTTTTATTCTCCTGTGACCACCCTATATTATTCCTGTCTCATTTAAAGAGGTAAAATGTTCTATCTGCTTGTGGGGGATAATTCTGCCTGAGTATTCTGGGCTTCTACTTGTCTTACGAGCAGAGGTACAGACTGACCCTGTTACAGAATATCTTTTCAAGAATTTTTACGTAGAAACAACCTTGAAAGATAGAAATAGTGTCTCCATCTGAAGCAAAGGGCAGGCATGCTGGTTTCTCATTATAAAAGTTTTGGGTTCCCTAAACTCAGGGTTCTTCTGTTCTAACACAACCAACCACATGTGTAGGTATCATCTGGCCCTATTCACAATGCCTCGTGGGGATTCGGTCTCAGGGAACCAATATAAAATATGCTGATGTTCAGCCTACTTGCTATGCCATGAGTAATAAAGTCCTTGTTTCTGACCCAGGAGTCTCATGTCTCACATCCATGAACTGCTAACAGGATAATCTATTAGTTTTCAAGTAAGATAAAATCTCAGATTCTTCACAGATCTTGCTACTGCTAACACTGAAATGGTAAATATGTGTCTGGCATGAAAGTGACCTATATTGAAACTGACTAGGGAAAGCAAAACAAAACAAAAAACCTGCAGCTGAATTGTGAAGACTCTAGTTAAAAATTAGCAATGCCTGCCAAGAAAGCCAGCAGGTGGGCTGTATCATGCATGCTATTAACACTGACATTGTGAGGTTACCTTTTTCAGTGCTAGTTAATGGGAGATGCTTAATAAATGTTTACTAAACTGAAATCCTTGTTAAAATTCTAGGTGGATTTTAATGGATTGACTACTGAGAAGTCACACATTACTTATGTCCACAATTTTGATTTTTTAAATTCTCTTTTTAAAAACCAGAAGTTCTTCAAAAATTAAATAGGAGGGGAGAAGGCATCTTACACTTTGCATGCAAGATATAAGCACTGAAACTCTTATTTGTTAACATAGGCATTATTTAAAAAAGTTAACAGACTTTCTTCACTATTGAAATAGAACTTAAAAATTAAAATTACTACCATAAGTACTGCTTAAGTCCAATCTCATGTATTATTTCAAAATTTTTGCCAAGTTCTGATATAGTTAAAATGTCCCAATTTTCTTGGTGTAAATAAACAGCCTGGTCTTCAAAATAATTCAGAGGCAACATATTGTCTAGGGTCAAAAAAAAAAAAAAAAAAAAAAAAACCACTGGTGTTCCAACACTGATGAACCCCTGAGATGTTTTTTATTATCTGTAGTAAATAATATGTGGTTCTTCTCGATGGGTTAATGAAAAGATTTTGTAAATATATAATTACATATATGTAACCTGACTTTGGACTTGTCTGCCATTGCACTCTCTGGCATATGTTTATTTTTAAGGTAAGGAAAATCTTACCACTTTGAATCCTAACTGTCAGGAAAGCATAATACCTTTGATTAGTGATATTTTAGAGAAGTCATTATATGGGTAAGCCCCAGATAGGCTTGTGAACCTGCTTTTTCTACCAAAGGGGTCTGTAAAGGTAGAATATTAACTTATTTTAGTGGATGCAGCTCTGCATAAAAGCAAAAAGGTGTTAAGGTATTAATAGTGACAATGACCACTGAAGTATGACTTTCGTCATTTTATTCTGTATTTGACATGCAGCCATAATTAATCACTTGGAAATTGTTCTAAGCACATTATTTATTGTCTTTCATGCATATACAATAAATCCTTAGGAGAAACTCAGATTAAATAATCATGACTTGAGGTATGCTCAGGATTCTTTCTTGAGCAGCTGGGTGGATTATTTTCTGTGTTGGAGAAGATTGGAGGAGGAACAGTTGGCAGGGATGGGAGGGAAGGCATTTATAAAATACCCACATAAAGATGAAACAGGAAACATTTCAAGTGAATATAAAATATCAAAGTGAAGATACACAGCATCAAGGAGATACCTTCAATGAAGATAATTTGTCAAAATACCAATGATATCTAGAGCCCTGACAATTAATAAAATTATCTCGAGATAGGAAGAGCAAGAGAATGTGGTTCTGTACCAAGTTTTATAGAAGTCCAGTTTTAAAGTCTAGTAGGAGGAGATAAGGAAAGATGACAGATAAGTGATATCCAATAAGGTCACTGGACACCTAGGAGATGGTTCAAAGATGGAAACATTAACTTTGATGAGAGCTACTGGTAGATCATACAGAATAAGAACTTTCATTTGGAAAATGAAAGTGTCCAGTGACCTTGGAAGAAACATTTGCTGTTTATGAAGATAAGCAAGAATGGAATGACTTGAAGGCTTCAAAAAAGAGATATAGGTATGGAAATAGAATGTATAGATAACATTTCTGAGAAGTTAAACAAAGAGTAATGGTAATTGAAGGGGGATATAATATCAATGATGAATGGTATGTGACTGGAATGAAGTATTAGAGAGAAAAAAGTTGAATATGCCAAAAAGAGAGAAGACTCCTGAAGAAGGAATGTCCTTAGGATAATCAAAATGAAAGGGATTCAGAGAATATGTAGTGAATTAGCTGCAGTAGCAGAGAAAGGAGAGATAGGTGAAAGGGAAAATATATGAGTTTATTTGGAAATGGCAGGATTTCCAGGCAGGATGAGGATGTACACTATTAATGGCTTGAATTTTCATTAGTGATATATGAGATAAGGTCACTAGATAAAATGGTGGGTGGTGCTAGATGGAAAGTCTTAGGAGAGAGAGAGAGAGGATGAAATTGTCATTGCAGAGGGTAGGAGCATGAGCTTCCTAGAAAAATACAGTAGATTTGCAACAGTAGAATTTCTCAGCATCTGCAGCAAAACTTTCTTCACATGCAAAGTCTTCTTAATGGAACAAAAGATTCATTTTAATGTTTTGATTATACTCAATCCTGAACCACCTGTGATATTTAAGTTGCACTATAAGCTCGTTAGTGTCAAGAAGCAACTATTATTTTTCTGTTTCTGTATGGTTAGGGCTTCCTAAACAAGAGAGTACTAGTAGCCTGGGTTGCTGAATGGCAAACAAGTCTTGGAAGATAAAGGTAAATCTTGGAAATTAAAGTACATCTCTGGAAAGACTCGCTGGCTTATTTCTCCTGGAGTCATTTAGTCATTTGTTTACATTTAAGAGGATAGTAGGCCAAGGGACCTGGCTTTTTTTATAGAGAGGGTTTGTTTACATGCCAAGGAATAAAAGTGTTAACTCTCTCTTTCTCATTCTCTTTCCCTCTCTGAATGACAGGAGTGGCAGCTGTGCAAGTACCTGCTATGTAAGCTCCAAAATTCAGATGACACCTGTCTTCACCATGCTGCCCCATGGAGGATTGGGGCCTGGGAAATTCTCACGTGATGTTCTATAAGTAAATACTTGGTCTTTTCTCTGATCTGGAAACCTCGCGTTTTCTATCAGGATAAAATAAATGCATATAAAAATAATAGTTCGAAGTTACAAGTCTTTAGATTCAAGATCCTAGAACTCCTAGAGGCCAAGCTCTGGAGAAAGGTAAAACATACATTAAACAAGATGCCTATCTTAGGGAGTCTGTGTTGCTATAACAGAATATCATAGATTGGGTGATTTAAAACACAAATATTTGTTTCTCCACAGTCCTAGAGGATTCCAAGTTCAATATCAAGGTGCTGGCAAATCCAGTGTCTGGTGAGGGCTTACTCTCTGGTTTACAGATGACCAACTGTTTGTTGTAACCTCACATGGCAGACAGTAGAGAGCTCTGGTCTCTTCCTCCACTTATAGTGACACTAATACCATTTAGGAGTGCTCCACCATCATGACCTAATTAACCTCTAAATGTCCTGCCTCCAAATACCATTAACCTTGGAGATCCAGACTTCAACATATAAATTTGGGGGGGACACAAACATTCAGTCCATAGCATGCCTTTCATAATAAGCAATTGAGTACTGAAGTCTTAGCTGTTTTTCCCCCTTCCAGACAGATGGCTCTATATAGCCATTGCAAGTGGCTTTTAAAAAAATCTTTAATTTCTGAAGTTCTGAGTAAGCTTTCTAGTAGTCCAAATTTTTAGCTTATATTTTCTAATAAGCACCAGAAATTGTAACATCATGGATCATTTTTATGTTGTTGCTAATATGATAGTACTAAAATGATATGTGTTAGGGTTGTTGTTTATTGTGGGAACATTATTATCAATATAACATAATATTGAGTGAAATTCTTCCTGTTGCCTTTAAATTGGTGCAAAGCTTTCTAAAGCTGAGAAAAAGATGTGTCCCCCACTTGGAGCTAATCAGAAGACAGAAACAGACCTATCAACATGCCCAGAAAAACATTTTCATCTTGTGAACTTTCCTTTCTAATTAGGAAGAAATATTATAAAGAAATAAACAGGTATGGTGCCCCTGTATCTGCAGTTTTGCCTTCCAAGTTGTCAGTTACCCACAGTCAACTGCATTTCAAAATATTAGATGAAAAAGTCCAGAAATAAGCAATTTGTAAGTTTTAAATTACACTCTGTTCTGAGTAACATGATGAAATCTCACACCGTCCTGCTCCATTCTGCCTGCGATTAAAATCCTCCCTTTTGTCCAGCATATTCAGGCTGTAGATGCTATCTGCCTTTTAGTTATTTAGTAGTCATTTCAGTTAAAAGATTGACTGTAGTAATAGTTCAGTGCTTGTGTTCAAGTAACCTTTATTTTACTTCACAATGACCCCAAAGTACAGAAGTAGTGATGCTGCCAATTTGAATATGCCAAAAAAACCCAAAAAGCGCTTCCTTTAAATGAAAAGATGAAAGTTCTCAACTTGCTAAGGAAAAGAAAAATTGTATGCTGAGTTTTCTAAGATTAACAGTAAGAACAAATCTATCTGTGAAATTGTGAGAAAGGGAAATCAATTTGTACTAGTTTTGCTGTCACTTCTAAGACTGCAAAAGCTATAGCCACAGTGTGTGATAAGTGCTTAGGTATGCTGGAAAGGCACCAGGTGCAGTGACGCATGCCTGTAATTCCAGCTACTCAGAAGGCTGAAGTGAGAGGATCCCTTGAACCCAGGAGTTCAAGGCTGTAGTGAGCAATAATCACAAACCCTGCACTCCAGCCTGAGTGACAAACAAACAAAGTGAGGCCCCTCCTCTTTCTCTCAAAAAAAGATAAAGATGGAAAGGCATTAAATTTGTAGGTGGAAGACATGAACAGAAATGTGTTTCAATTGATAGCGATTGTGGTCAGTACCATCCTCAGTTTTAGGCATCCACTGGGGGTCTCAGAAGGTATCCCCCATGAGTAAAGGTGGACTATTGTATTATGATTTAAAAAGCAAAAACAAGACTCTGTGTCTCCAAAGATGAAGTCTTTTATTCAAGGTACTGCTATGTTTGGCCTCCTCTGCAACCCTTTGTGCAATTTTTCTGCTTCTTCAATTCTCACCAAAAAAATGTTGACTCCTTTGCTTTAGCAGCCTCTTATCTCCTGCTATAGTTTGAATGCCTCCTCCAAATTCATGTTGGAATTGAATTGTCATTTTAACAGTGTTGAGAGGCAGGACATGCAAGAGGACCATAATTAATGAATGCTATTATAGTGAGAGCAGGTTAGTCAACACAGGAATGGGTTCCTGAAGAAAAGGATGTGTCCAGCTGGATTTCGATTCTCTGCCTCACATGCTCACTTGCCCTTCCACCTTTAGCCATGGAGTGGCACAGCACAAAGGCCCTTCTCAGATGCTGGTGCCATGTGCTTGGATTTTCCAGCCTCCAGAACCACGAACCAAATAAACGTCTACTGTTTATAATATAAATTACCCAGTCCCAGGTATTCTGTTGTAGCAGCAGAAGATGGACCTATCTTAGCAAACCTCTAATGAAAAATAATTAAATTATTTAAAAGCTGCTGAAATAAATTCACTTAGAGATTAAGTATCTCCTTAAATCTGCTGACAGATTTAATATTAATTGCAGATATACCTCAAAGTAAACTTCTCAGGGATTATACTCAGAAGCAATCCATTCTCAACCTACTGATGATGTACTTTTAAAGCTTCTCTCATAGAATCTGAGTTTGAGATACTTTTACATCATCTAAAACAGCTATCTACCAAAAATTTACAATATTCTTGCAGATGGGCATGCAGCCTAAACAAGTAAAAAGGGTTTCTTGTCTCATAAATCCACTCATTCCAACACTGGCTCTCTAAGAGTGAGAAAATTCTCCTTGATATGAACCAAAATTCACCTTCCTATAAATTACATCTATTAAGTCCAGCCTATGGATCATAAAAATTCTTTTTGTTCATCCACTAGACTTCAAATAACTGAAGGTCATTGTCATGTCTGTTTTAGTCTCCCTCTTTAGTTAGTGATTCTAACATCCAAATCAGTGTCTCTTCATGCTCTTTTGATCAAAGCTTTCTGTGCCTTGGACTCATCCAGTAATGTCTCAGCGCCCACCCCAAGACCAAACTCTAGAGCACCATCAGCATCTCACCTGTTTTATGCTACAGGTATTATAGACACATTGCCTTAGACCTATGAGCTTTACAGATCTGGGCGTCGATAAAAGTGAATTACTGGCTTCAAAGTATTAAAACCTAAAAGTTGAAACTAATAAAAGTTTTACTGGATATACATAAAACATATTATGCCAATTCATTACTTATTAAATTTAATATTCATCAGAAAATTATTCCAGATAAAAACAATCTGTAGGTTTGTGTTATTTTAACTTCTCAGTAATTCCCAAGTATGTATGATGATTGCAGAGAAATTAGAGCTAATCATAACTTAAATGAGTTAGGTAGCTGAAGTGCTTCAAGAGGGAAAATCATAAAAATCTTTCCAAAATATAAGCAACGTGTATTTAAAATATGAGTGATATTTGCATTTTAACTGAAAGTCAAGGATGTCAACAGAATTATAAAGGTCTGTGAGGGGTCTTAGAAATGACCCTTAACATTATAAACAACCTCCCTAAGAACCACCTAAGAGATCTATGAGAAATGCAAAGTTCTAAGCCATACCTCAGCTCTAATAAATTAATAGTCTAACGTTTCAGACCTACTCCTTTTAACGTAAACTCCTAGATCCTATTAGCAACTTTTCCTTATTTCTTAATCACTCTTACCTTGACTTTTAGCCTGAAACCTGTCAGGCACACAGACATTTGTATCCTTCTCTTGGCTCTAAGCAGTCAGCCCTTCCATTGTTACTACAGTGTCCCAAAAATACAGCATAATCAACATAGCAACATTAATTTAAATTTTACCCAATAAGTATCAACAGAAAAATACTAGCAAAATAAATTATCAAAATAAATTTATTCTCAGCATCCCCAGTGCTAAACTGTCTTCCACTTTAATTTTTTCCTTCTTGCTTCTTGCTTCCAGCTTGCATTGCTTAAGGCATGAATGAAAACTCTGCTGCTCTGGGTGCAGAACCCAAGATCAAACAGGGTGGGTGACCTATAGCTCAAGAAATGTATCTGTAGAGTCAGAGTGTTCTGACTACCAGACCCTGAAGTAAGGAAAGACTCATTCCTTGAGCCACTTAACTAAGTAAGAAATGCAAAGGTCTTTTTGAAGACTCATCACCAAGCCAGGAAGCACTGACATTTTTGTCTAGTGGTAGATTTGAGTTAGTCATATTTCTAAAAATAATTCTAGCACTTGCTGTGCCTTAAATGGTCTCCAAGGACCCTGAAATAGTGACGAAGTCTCTTTAAATACTACTGGGATATGACTTAGAGGCCAAGAACTACAGAGTTCAATAAATATTAATAAATTTTGATGTTAAAATAAAAAAATTACTATAGAATATTCAGCATATCTGCTTTTTATATCATTTTCTACAGGAGATTAAATTCTAGACACAGCCAACACTGGTCTAACACCAATAGCTGACGGGATAAAACATTTATCATTGTGAGACTGCTTATAAAAAATAGCAACCCCTTTCTTAAATTAAAATCAACTTCTTTGAAATCAAGTATATCCATTTAAGGCCTTAATACTAAAAAAATAACATCTTGCGGAGGATTTTTTAATATTCGACTTGTCAATGTATCTGTCCTTTGCCAAAAATAAATCAGAGTGCTAAAAGACAACTTTGGCAACAGAACTTAACATAATTACTGAATCTTCAGAATGAAACATTCATAAAAATAAACACTGGCCACATGCCTGGACCCATATAGAAATTCGGCTTGGTTCTGTATATTGATGGCACATTTAACACAACCAATTTCACTATAGATTAACAAAGCTCAGAAGAGATATATATAGATAGAATCTAGCTATCTATCTGTATCTATCACCTCTCTCTATATATAGATCTATATAAAGAGATAATTACATAGATATCTATATCTACCAATAATTATATATAAATATCTATAATTATATGCATAATTGACTTTTTATACAAGCATAACTAACAAGGACAAAGAGAAAAGGAAAGGTAATAATAACAACAGAATTTTGGAAACTGGAAAGCAAATGGACAAGTGGCAATTTGCTTGGCAGAACTGAAAGAACCAAATCCTAAGCTGGCAATGGGGAAAACTGAAAAGCAGTATGACTTACACAGCAGATGCTCAAAAGGCTATGAATTCAGACCAAGGGCTGAGATCTATATACATGCTATGATAAGAAAGATTGGTTTAAAGGACATACAATTAAGTATGGGATATAATAAGTATGGGATCCCAGATCCCATACTCACTTGATGCTGCTGAGTTACTGCCACTCCTCCAGGACCGCAGAATGCTGAAGATTTCTTCCCTGGAGAGAGTAAGGCACAGGATCACTGGACTCACAGGTACACACACAATGAAGATGCTAGGGATACCTCACTGCAAACAGGGAGTAGGGGACACCTCAGTGCAAAAAACTTTAGCATGTTGGGTGCTGAGGTCCTAGAGGTTGATTCCCCTGTTGGCTCTCAAGACAATGGCAACCCTGTCATTACTATCCAGACAAGACGTTACAAGAATCTTTTCTGCGAAATCATATTAGATCAGCCTAATTTAAAGGACATCAGAGAAAACTCCCACCCACATGCTCTGAGCCATCAATCAACTGTACTAGCCCCAATTCTTATATGAGCATCCAACCAAAGATCACCAGACACCTCAGGAAAGCCCCCAAAATAGATACCGAAAGAAACAAACCAAAGAAAGCAACTTAGCAGAAACAGAGGCTTTCTGGGGAAAAGGAAATTTCAGAAACATTATCAATAACATTCTAACAGAGATAGGAAGAAAACATTGTACCTGTATAACAAGAATATAATTTAATAAGGAACACTTAAGGTAGCATTCCTCAAACTTTGTTTTCTAAGGACCCCTTAGTACTCTTAAAAAATTATCAAGGATTCTAAAATACTTTTCTTTATGTATGTTATAGTTTTTTATATATATATATGAGATAAATTATTAAATTTTATTGATGATTCAGTATAACATATTGTATGCGTGATAAATAGAACATGAATAGATTTTTATGAAAAACTATAATTTGAAAACAAAAAATAGTGATGATAGTGATGTTTTACATTTTTCCAAATCTCTTCTGATTTAATAGCTGACAGTTGGATTATCATGCCTTTTTCTGCATTCCATCTGTTGCGATGTTCATCAGAGATGAACACACAAGTTCATCTCTGGAAAACCTTTTTATACTCATAAGAGTGAAAAAGAAAAAAATATCTTAGAATTATTATGAAAGGTTTTTACCTCATTGGCCCTCTGAAATCAGGAGCTCTTGAAAATTAATGGCAGAGAAGAAGAATTATAATAGAGAACTTAGAAGATTTTTTTAGAAAATAGAGCAAAAACCCAAAAATAATAGAGGGGGAACTTTTTTAAGACTTGATCACCCAATATTTACATAAGAAGTTTCAGAAAGAAAAAATAGAGAAAATGTTATTGTCATAGAAGAGACAAGAGAGCTTTTCAGAAGTGAGGACATGAGTTCCAGATTGAAATTTTTCATCAACTGTTCAAACAAGTGAATAAAATTAGACTCATACTAGTTTACGTCACTAAATGGCATTTCAGAACTGGCACTGAAGAAAAATCATAAAAGATCTAGAGAAAAAAATTAGTCACACCCAAAGAATTGAGAAACAGAAAAACCTCAAACTTCTCAATAGCAATTCTGGAATCTAAAATAAAATGGAACAATGACTTCAAAATCCTGAAAGATGATTACTAGCAGCCTAACTCTTCATCAAGTATAAGAGTAGAACAGAAATGTTCATAGAAATGCAGAATCCCAGGAAATTTTTCTTTATACATTAATTCCCAGGAAACTACCAGAAAATGTGTTCCAACCAGATAAATCTTTAAACCACATGCAATATATATGTATATGTGTGTGTGTATATATATATGCACACACACGCACATATATGTATACATACACACACACACACGCACACATATACATATATATATACATATATATATATATAAACATGTGATACAGGAAACAGAAGATCCAACTCAGGAAAGAGGCAAAAGGAATACCCAGGATGATGGTAAAGGAAGATTTCCAAGATACACATCTGTGTCCCAGGTGTAAAGCAACACATCTAGAAGGAAGCGGATCAGAAGGTACCAAGAGAGATTTCCATAAAAAGATGAACCTGATGAGAATACATATATTAAGAACAGCTTTAGACAACTATTAGAAAGTTTTGGATTAAATCAGTGTTACATAAATAGAAAACTAAGCAAATAAGCAAACATGGGTGATTATGAGCTCCAGGGAAACAAAAGGTGGTACATGAAGCGAAATATGATCATAGTTTACTAATCGACATAGCACTAAATTGCATTTATGTAATCTTAATTGTACAAAATCTGACAAAAATTATAACTCTCTTGAGACAATTGGATGGGAGAAAGCAAGTATGCCTGTGTGACATAAAACACGAGAAAGAAAACTAGTTTTTCTTATTTTATGGTGATAATTCAGTAGAAAATATCTAACATTGATTTTTAAAAAGACATACCAACATAAGCATGATATTTATAGACGTGGAGGTAAAGTCTAAAATCTTAGAGAAAAATGTTTAAACAGAGTGTCTCTGTGGAAAGCGAAATAAAACTAGTTTTCATCTTAACAAGTCTTACATATTTAGTTGACTTTTTAAACATGCAGATTTGATGAAAAAATATTTTTAATGTTTCACAAGTTTCAAAAAGCAAACTAAAGTCCATGAAAAATCAAGCATTGTGTCAAAAGGAAGCTAACTCTACATTCTCATTTCGGTGAGGTCTTCTCAAACATTTGAGCTTTTGAGGAGGTTGAGCGTATTTCCCACAAACAGATATTAATATTCTTAGACATTCTGTTCTTTGATGAATTTTAGAACTCTAAGATAAGCAAAGATAATGCCCATGTAAATTGGAACAATGCAAATTTTCCTGGCAATAAGATTTTGGCAATCTAAAATGTTTCATAATTATTTTCTCAATTAACTGCAGAAGGAATCTTGTCGTCACTACTCTATACGCACTTGTTTACTATTATTGCTAAAAACATCAAATATATACTGAAGCTAAAAGTTGTTCTCGTATGTTGTCTTACAAGGGATAAAACCAAAGAGAGACTTGCATTGCACATGATACGGATTATGATATGGAATCACGTCTAGGTATCTTGGGTTCCTTCCCAGCACATGGGACAAATAAGTCTGTCAGTAAATGCTGATATTAGTAATGAGTATGGTGCACTCAACAGCAATTCTGCTAGAATCACATGCCGGCCCAGTTGATTCTATGTTCTGTCTTTTTAGTATTCAGGGTGTTAAATGGGGACCAGAACCAATTTTGACATAGCTGAATACTTGGACTGAATTTAGCAAATATTAAGTACCTTCTTTGTTTCAGGTACTGTGTTGGACCGTCTGGAAAATGAGATGTTTACGCTATGAATCCTAGATATATGCTTGAACTATTTCTCTGTATTAGTTGTAACTTCATAAGAAAGTGTTCTTGTTTTTCCCGTTAAATTCCAGCATGCCTTGACTATGTCAATCATGCAAGTTAGCCTGGAAAGGAACTGGAGCTGCTCATTGTCTGGGAAGAAATAGCCTTCAGACTTCCCAGGGACAGCAGTGGAGTTGGCTGCTCTAAGCTTTCCTGAAAGGCATTCCTTCATCTCATATAGTCACATGCTCAGCTGCTTTGAGAGAAGTTCTCTATTAAACTCTACTGAAATGGAAATATGAGAATGAAGCATAAGGGACCAAACCCAAGGACATTTTTGGATTCACTTCTGTTCTACGTCATTGGGAACAAAACAGGACAAATTCTCAGCCATACAGAACGAGCAAAGAGTGATAATGAGCAAGGAACAGGAAAAAGCCCATTCCTAATTGGTGGGACAGGGCTTGGGGGATCCACTCTGGTGAAGGGCAGAGAAGCAGTAAGAATATACATGGGCACGAAACCAAAGACCTAGGTTTAAATATCAGGCCTACCCCCTTTACAGCTGTAATTTTTGAGCAAATAATTTGTCCTTTCTGAGCTTTTGTTCTTGTTCATAAAGCAAAAATGTTAACATTTATTTTCAGGGTTGTCTGAAAATGTAAAATAATTCATACAAATTTCCAAAACATGGGGCTGCGTTGTTGTGCTGGTGGTTGTTCTTTAAGGTACAGTGATCACAGGGCAGGTCTGTCTTTGTTATCATGCTGAAAGTGGGAGTTACTGATTTGCAGCACAGAGACGGTGAATCAAAAGAGCAACACTCAATATACTGGAGTTGAGCAGGAGGGGTGGTCACTGGAAGATCAAGTTATAAGAGGTAATACCATGGCCAGGACAAGTTACGGGCAGCACTTCTTCCCAACCCTCATTTCCATGAATATAGACAGTGGTAGGCAGAATAATGGCATCCCCAAATTGTCCACATCCTACTCACTGAAACCTATGAATACATTATGTTACCTGGTAAAAAGGGACTTGGAAGGTGTGCTTAAGTTAAGGATCTTGACATGGGAGAGTAGCCTGGATTATCCAGGTGGGCCTAGTGTAATCACAAAGGTCCTTATAAGACAGAAGGAGGGCCAGAGTCAGAGAACGAGATATGACAATGGAAGCAGAGGTTGGAGTGATGCCATCGCTGTAAAAAGGCCACAAGCCAAGGAATGTGGGTGGCCACTAGAGGCTGGAAAAGGCAAGGAATGGATTCTTAGAAAGGAATGCATCCCTGCCAACACCTTGATGTTAGCCCAGTGAGACCCATTTTCAAACTTCTGACCTCCAGAACTGTGTAATAAAATTGTGCTGCTTTAAGCCACCACTAAGTTTGTGACAAGTTGTCACAGCACCAATAGGAACAAATACACAGACTTTTCCTGAACACACCTGGCCTGTATCTACTTCTTAGACCTCCCTCTGGAATTTCAGAGATAAGCCAGTTTACTCAGCCTTCAGTCTTCATTTCCTCCCTCCTGGGGGCAGCCCTTACTGCAAGCACATACTCTCCTGTGCTCTTTTATGCCATCGTTTTTACAGGTGCCCACCCACACTCAGGGTGGGTGGAAGTGTCTGCAGTGCCTGGAGGGTAAGTGCTGCCTGTGCCTGGAGGGGTAAATTCAGCTCTGAAACTAGGTTTAGAGAATCTGTGAGGGCAACATATGTAAGCCATGCCCTCTGATCCAGCTTTCATCAATAATAAAGCTGATGTTTTAATCTCCATTTGCCTGACTTATTTCCCAGATGATTCAGAACTCAGATGGGGAGAGGAGGAAAAGGAACAGAATCCAGCTTCAGGCAGTAAGACTCTCAAAAGTTATACATGATAGTAGGGTGGGATTCAGTTCTTAAGAAAGGACATCAGTGCAGAAATCCAGCCCTTGTATTCAGCCAGTGTGGAAGACTGAGACTGCTATCCTTAGGAGTAGGAGAGCATGTGGAACTGTAACCAAGTCTTATCAAGGCAGGCATTGTAAAGCTTACCTGAACAGAGTGGGAGGAGAGCGCTACGGATACATACTTTGTCTCTGTTATGATTAGTTATGGAATGAGAGCACATTGAAGACTGTAAGTGAGGTTTTCAGTGGATCTGGCTTCAGGCTGTTAAAGAACACAAGGCTACAGCTGGCATTCTGGGCGCACAGCTCATGAAAAGCCTAGAGAGCCAGCCCAACCCACCAGCCTAAGACGTGTCCACGTTCTGTCTCCAGATAAGGGCTCCCTTCAAAACCAGACAAAATACTGCACAAACATAAGCTGGCATGTTCAGTCTTCCAAAGAAGGAAAGGCAGTCACCTTCACATTTCTCAATAATTTCATGAGCCGGTGCTGTGACGATTCTGCCATTAAAATCCGATTTCAGGACACAAGGAAAGCTATTGAAGGCAAAAATAAATGTATAGGGCAGTTCTGTTGGGGTCTAATTATTGCAGATGTTTGTTAGACAGAAATGAATATGTTGAATTCCACTCCACTCACTTCCAGATGACTTAATGGGAGATATCCAGCATCTTCCCCATAGTCATTAAGAAAAAAAAAAGTTTCATATCTTTTTTTTATTATTACTTTGTCAACCAGAAAAAAAAGGGCATATTGACAAGGCCATTAGGAAACATATTGATTGCAATTATCAATCATTTCACAAATTTGGGAAGGCACTTTCTGGCTGTGGATTGATCACTGGAAAGGCTGGCTCTAATGATCTCAGTCATTATCACAGCAGAGCAGCTGCTAAAACCAAGTACTTATTTCTAGGAGCAGCCCACGGGGAGCCTTAGCCCCCGCAGAGAAGGTTTATAGTCCAAATGAAATTTTATTACTCAAGAAAGTGGAAAGCAACCAAACCTAGAGAACAGATCATTCCTGCCTCCCTTCTCTGCCTTTGCCTGCCTTCAGCTTTTAGAAACTTTCCAAGGTTTGTTCATTCCAGAGAGCTATCAAAGGGAGCTGAGAAAAGCTCCTCTTTGAAGAAGGGTTTGGAGCAAGTCATTATCTGGACAAAATGTAGACAATGTGGAGAAAGCAGGTGTACAAAGAAAGTGGAGGAACGGAAAGGTAGGAGGAGCTTTACCTTGGAAACACTGAAGGAATGGGAGGAACAAACTCTGTTTCTCTGTTTATAAAACTCTACTGCTCTGTTTATAAATTTTATAAGTTTTTTGTTTGTTTGTTTGTTTGAGACAGAGTCTCGCTGTCTCCCAGGCTGGAGTGCAGTGGCTCGATCTCGGCTCACTGCAACCTCCGCCTCCCGGGTTCACGCCATTCTCCTGCCTCAGCCTCCCGAGTAGCTGGGACTACAGGTGCCCGACACCACGCCCGGCTAATTTTTTGTATTTTTAGTAGAGACGAGGTTTCACTGTGTTAGCCAGGATGGTCTCCATCTCCTGACCTCGTGATCTGCCCACCTCGGCCTCCCAAAGTGCTGGGATTACAGGCATGAGCCACCATGCCCGGCCTAAACTTTATAAGTTTGGAGGAAAAATTTGGTTAGTTTCCATGAATATGTACATAGCATCTAGCAGAACACTAGGTGTGTACAGACTGACTTGGTGTATATCAGAAAAATCATTTATAGAAGAGATCTGATTATGGACAAATTCCCAGTTCTCAGTAGAGAAGCTTAGCACATATTAAGTTAAACGGCTTAGAAATTTTAATTGGAATAGTTGAGTTCTAAAGAAGCTATATGGTCAAGGGGGCTTTTTACTTCTTTCCAAAGTAAATGGAAAAGGAGATCTTGGGAGTGATTCTTTCCACTCAAGGCCATGTGGACATGGGGATCAGATATCAGAATGTTGTTGTATTGAATTGTATCACTGGAAAGTATGAAAATTATTAAGACTTTTTTTATTTCTACAAAATGTTCAATCTTCTTAAGTTCTTCATCTACTTTAATACATTTATTCACTCAATGCATATTTATTGAGCACCTACTACATGCCAGGCACTATGTTAGGCTCAGAAATATGAAATTTACAAATTTAGAGATTCTGCCTTCAAAGAGCACATAATCCATGGTGTCTTAGTCCAGGCTGCATTTTAAAAATACCATAGACTGAGTGGCTTATAAACAACAGAAGCTTATATTTCCCATGATTTTAGAGGAAGGGAACTCCAAGATCAAGATGACAGCAGATTTGTTGTCTAGTGAAGGTCTCCTTCCTGATTCAAAGATGGTTGTCGTCTCACTATAACCTCACATAATGGAAGGGGAAAGGGAACTCTCTGAAACCTAATTTATAAGCACACTAATCCGATTTATGAGGGCTCTATCCTCATGACCTAGTCACCTCCCAAAGGCCTCTCCTCTAAATATCATCATATTGGGTATTAAGATTTAACATATGAATTTTGAGGGTATGTAAACATTCGTCTACATGTTCAAGGTGCATACTGTAATAAAACTATAAAATATATGTAAGAGTATCGGTGTAAGTTACTCTTGCCTTAAGGCAAACTGGTTACTACTTAAAACGTGGTTTTGTTCTGCCAACTGCTAGTTACTGGTCTGCACAGAGACAAATACAGAAATTAAGAATACACCTTTAGAAACATTGCAATTTGGCATTACCATGACATCCATGCACATGAACACTTTTCTAATAATTCGTTTATATTTTATGTTTCAAAAGTTTCAGGCTATGACAGGAGTTTTGAAATTCATTCTTCACCGTAGAGCTTTTGAGATACACTGCTTAAGGTTTAAGGTCCTTCATATTAAAACTAAGAGAAGATAAAACTATACAAGCAAATTGGAACACTTTAAGATCCTGTCCCATTCCACATAAACTATAAGAAATTAGTTTTCTTTTCTTCCAACTTTTATTTTAGGTTCAGTGGGTACATGTGCAGGTTTGTTACGTGGGTAAAGTGTGTGTCACTGGGGTTTACTGTACAAATTATCTCATCATCCTGGTAGTGAGCATAGCACCCAACAGGTAGTTTTCAAACCTCACCCTCCTCCCATTCTTAACCCTCAAGTAAGACACAGTGTTTATTGTTCCCCTGTTTGTGTCCGTGTGTACTCAATGTTTAGTGCTCAATTATAAGTGAGAATATGCAGTATTTGGTTTTCTGTTTCTGTGTTCATTCATTTAGAATAATGGCCTCCAGTTGCATCCATGTTGCTACAAAGGACAAGATTTTATTCTTTTTATGGCTTCATAGTACTCCACAATGTATATGTACCACATTTTCTTTATCCAATCTACCATTGGTGAGATTTAAGTTGATCCCATGTCTTTGCTATTGTGAAAAGTGCTGCAATGACAATATGCATGCATGTGTCTTTATGACAGAATGACATATATTTCTTTTTGTATATACCCAGTAATGGGATTGGTGGGTCAAATGATAGTTCTAAGTTCTTTGAGAAATTGCCAAACTGCTTTCCACAGTGGCTGAACTAATTTATATTTCCACCAGAAGTGTATAAGCATTCTCTTTTTTCCACAACCTCACCAACATCTGTTATTTTTTAACTTTTAATAATAGCCATTCTGACTGGCAGGATATGGTATCACATTGTGGGTTTGATTTGAATTTCCAAAATGACTAATAATGTTGAGCCTTTTTGAAAATGTTGGTTGAATGTACGTCTTCTTTTGAGATCTGTTCATATCCTTTGCCCATTTTTAATGTGGTTGTTTTATGCTTGTTGATTTAAGTTTATTATAGATTCTGGATATTAGACCCTTGTTGGATACATAGTTTGCAATTATTTTTCTCCCATTCTATAGGTTGTCTATCTACTCTATTGATAGTTTTGTGTCTGCGTGTGTGCAGAAGCTCTTTGGTTTAATTAGGGCCCACTTGTCAATTTTTGGTTTTGTTATAATTGCTTTTGGGGTCTTCCTCGTGAAATTTTTGCCAAGGCCTATGCCCAGAATGGTATTTCCTAGGTCTTCTTCTAGGATGGATTTTTATGGTTTTAGGTTTTCTGTTCAAATCTTTAATCTATTGTAAGTCAATTTTTGTATATGGTATAAGGAAGGAGTCCTGGTTCAATCTCCTGCAAAACACTAGCCAGTTATCCTAGCACCATTTATAAATAGACAGTCATTTCCCCATTGCTTATTATTGTCAACCTCGTAGGAGATCTGATGGTTGTAGGTGTGTGGCTTTATTTTTGGGTTCTCTAACCTGTTCCATTGGTCTATGTGTCTGTTTTCATAGCAGTACCAGGCTGTTTTGGTTACTGCCACCTTGTAGTATAGTTTGAAGTTGGGCAGTGTGATGCCTCCAGGTTTGTTCTTTTTGCTGAGGATTGCTTTGGCTATTTGGGCTCTTTTTTGGTTCCGTATGCATTTTAGAATACTTTTCTTCTAATTCTGTGAAAAATGACATTGGTAGTTTGATAAGAATATCACGGAATCTGTAAATTGCTTTGGCAGTATGGTCATTTTAACAATATTGATTTTCCTATCCATGAGCATGGAATGTTTTTCCATTTGTTTGTGTCATCTCTGATTTCTCTGAGCAGTGATTTTTAGTTCTCCTTATAGACATGTTTCACCCCCCTGGTTAGCTGTATTCCTAGGTATTTCATTGTTTTATGGCTATTGAAAATGAGACTGTATTCTTGATTTGGATCTCAGCTTGGATGTTATTTGTATATAGAAATGCTCCTAATTTTTGTACATTGATTTTGTATCCTGAAACTTTACTAAAGTCCTCTGTCAGTTCTAGGAGCCTTTAAGAATCTATGGGGTTTTCTAGGTATAGAATCACATTGCCTGTGAAGAGAGATAGTTTGACTCCTCTCTCCCTATTTGTAAGCCTTTTATTTCCTTCTCTTGCTGGATTGCCCTGGCCAGGAATTCCAGTACTATGATGAATAGGAGTGGTGAGAGTGGGCATACTTGTCTTGTTACATTTCTCAAGGGGAATGCTTCCAGCTTTTTCCTATTCAGTATGATGTTGACTGCGAGGCTGTCATAGATGGCTCCTATTATTTTGAGATATGTTCCTTTGATGCCTGATTCATTGAAGGTTTTTAACATAAAGGAATGTTGAATTTTATGGTAAGCCTTTTCTGCATCTATATATGCAGGAATAACCATGTGGTTTTCGTTTTTAGTGCTGTTCATATGATGAGTCACATTTATTGATTTGTGTATGTTGAACCAATCTTGCATCCCAGGAATAAAGGCTATTTGATTATGGTGGAGGAGCTTTTTGATGTGCTGCTGGATTTAATTTGCTAGTATTTTGTTGATGAGTTTTGTGTCTATGTTCATTAGGAATATTAGCCTGAAGTTTTCCTTACTTGTTGTATCTCTGTCAGATTTTGGTATCAGAAAGATGCTGGCCCCATAGAGTTAGGGAGGAATCTCTCTTCATCAATTTTTTGGAATACTTTCAATAGGATTGGTACCTGCTCTTCTTTGTATGTCTAGTAGAATTCAGCTGTGAATCCATCTGGTCCAGGGCTTTTCCTAGTAGGTAGTTTTTTTTTTAATTGCTGATTCAATTTCAGAATTTATTATTGGTCTGTTCAGGTATTCAATTTCTTCCTGGTTTAATCTTGGGGAAGTTATATGTTTCAAGGAATTTATCCATTTCTTCTAAGTTTTCTAGTTTGTGTGCATAAAATTGTTTATAATAGTGTCTGAGGGTTTTTTGTATTTCTGTATGGTTGGTGGTAATGTCTCCTTTGTCATTTTTGATTATTTGGATCATCTCTCTTTTTTTAACTCATTCTAGCTAGCAGTCTATTTACCTTATGTATTCTTTCAAAAACCAAATTTTTAGTTTTGTTGATCTTTTGTATGAATTTTCAATTTCGTTCACTTCAGGTCTGATTTTGGTTATTTCTATTCTTCTGCTTGCTTTAGGGTTGGTTTGCTCTTGCTTTACTAGTTCCTCTAGGAGGGATATTTGGTTGTTAATTTGAGATCTTTCTGACTTTTTGATGTAGGTGTTTAGCACCAGAAACTTTCCTCTTAACACTATTTAAGCTATGTTCCAGAGATTCTTGTATGCTGTATCTTTGCTTTCATTAGTTTCAAATAATTTCTTGGTTTCTGCCTTAATTTCTTTCTTTATTCAGAAGTCATTTGGGAGCAGGTTAATTTCCATGTGATTGTATGATTTTGAGATTGTCTTGATATTGATTTCTATTTTTATTGCACTGTGGTCTTTGAGTGTGGTTGGTGTTTTAAATTTGTTGAGAATTGCTTATGGCTGAGAATGTGGTTGATCTTAGAGTATGGGCCACATGCAGATGAGAAGAATGTATATCCTGTTGTTGTTGGGTGGAGTGTTCTATAGATGTCAGTTAGGTCCATTTGGTCAAATGATGAGTTTAGATCTTGAGTATATTTGCTAGTTTTTAGCCTCAATGATCTTTCTAATGCTTTTAATGGGGTAGTGAAGTCTCCCACTATTATTGTGTAGTTACCTAAGTCTCTTCATAGGTCTCTAAGAACTTGTTATGAATTTGGGTGCTCCATTGTAGGCTGCATATATATTTCGGTTATTTAAGTCCTCTTGTTGAATTAGCCCTTTATCATTATGTAATGTCTTCTTTGTCTTTTTTGATCATTGTTGGTTTACTCTCTTTTGTCTGAAATTACAATAACCCGTGCTCTCTTTTGTTTTTCATTTGCTTAATAGATATTTCTGTATCCCTTTACTTAGGGCCTATGAGGGTCACTGCACGTGAGATGAGTCTCTTGAAGACAGCATACAGTTGGGTCTTGCTTCTTTATCCAAATTGCCACTCTGTACCTTTTAAGTGTGGCATTTAGCCAGTTTACATTCAGGGTTAATATTGGTATGTGAGGATTTGATCCTGCCATCATGTTGTTACGCAGACTTGATTGTATAGTTGCTTTATAGTGTCAGTGAGCTATGGACTTCAGTGTATTTGTGATGGCAGGTAATTGTGTTTCATTTCCATGTTTAGCATTCCCTTATAGACCTCTTGTAAGGCAGGTCTGGTGGTAACAAATCCCCTTAGCATTTGCTTGTCTAAAAAGGAATTTACTTCTTTTTTACTTATGAAGCTTAGCTTGGCTGGATATGAAATTCTTGATTAACTTTTTTTTCTTTAAGGATTTTGAATATAGTTACACAATCTCTTCTGGCTTGTAAGGTTTCTGCTGAAAGTTCTGCTGATGGGATTCTTTTTGTACATAACCTACCCCTTTTCTTAGCTCCCTTTAATATTTTTTCTTTTGTGTTCACCTTGGAGAATCTCATGAGTATGTGTCTTGGGGATAGTCATCTTATATAGTATCTCACTGGGGGTCTCTAAATTTTCTGAATTGCATGTTGACTTTTCTAGCAAGGTTGGGGAAATTTTCATGAACAATATCATAAAATATATTTTCCAAGTTGCTTGCTTTCTCTTTCTGGGATGCCAATGAGTCATTGGTTTGATTTCTTTACATAATCCCATATTTGTCAGAAGTTTAGTTTTTTAAACTATTTTTGTCCAATTTGTAGTCCGATTGAGTTGATTCAAGGAACTGGTTTTGAACTCTGAGATTCTTGCCTCATCTTGGTCTACTCTACTCTGCTGTTAATACTTCTAATTGTATTGTGACATTCTTGTAGTGAGTTTTTCAGCTCTAGAAGATTAGTTTGGCTATTTCATCTTTCATCTTTTGTATCATTTAATTGGATTCCCTAGATTCCTTGTGATGGTTTTCAACTTTCTCCTGAATCTCAATGCTCTCCATTGCCATCCAGATTCTGAATTTTATATCTGTCATTTTAGCCATTTCATCCATTTCAGCCATTTAGCCATGCCATTTAGCCATTGCTGGGGAGCTTGTGCAGTAATTTGGAGATAAGAAGACACTCTGACTTTTGTTATTTTTGTATCTTTGATGCCCTTTAGGTTGGTTTTTACTGTGGTATAAGTTGGGTTTTGTTGATCGGCTTTATTTCTGGATAATTTTGGAGGGCCAGGTTTCAGCTAATCAAACATGGGGTTTGTACTCTAAACCTAGGGGGCTAGGACCAGATCCATGGCTTTTTTTCTCTGGCTCTTTGAGGTTAAGTGCCTGCTGCACTGAAGAAGCTGAGGTGTTCCCAATCTGAAGACAACAACATTCCAATGAGGTTTGCTAGCAAAAGTGCTTCAGCAGGGAGGCAGTTGTTTGCAGGGTTCCTCATGTACATGGACACCAGTGGCAGTGGGCAGTGGCAGGTCCCACATGCACACCAGCGGCAGTGGCCAGCAGCAGGTCCTGTGTAGATACTTTTCTTAAAACAAAATCATTGCAAAGTCCAGTAATCTGCTTAAAGATTTTTCTTTAGTTCATAGATAAAGCCTAGGAGTCTGCTGTTTATGTAGGAACCTCAAATAAGTTTTATTTATCCTGAACAGTATTTTTAAATTTGATTTTATATTTCAAATTTCAAATTTAGGCAATTTCAGAAAAATCTAGGTAATTACTTTAATTTTTAATTTTTGTGGGTACATAGTAGGTGTATATATTTATGAGGTACATGAGATACTTTGATACAGGCATCCAATGCATAGTAATCAGATCATGGTAAATAGAATATCCATCTTCTCAAGCATGTATCCTTTGTGTTACAAACAACTGAATTATACTCTTTAGGTTATTTTAAAATGTACAATTAAATTATTATTGACTATAGTCATTATGTTGTGCTATTAAATACTAGGTCTTATTAATTTCTTCTACATACTTTTTGTTTATTTGATTGAGGGGTGGGCTGTGTCTCACTCTGTGGCCCATGTTGGAGTGCAGTGGTGCAATCCTAGCTCACTGCAGCCTCAAATATCTGACCTCAAGCAATTCACCTGCCTCAGTCTCCTGAGTAGCCAGGACTACAGGTGTGCATCACCATTACCAGCTACTCTTTAATATTTTTGTAGAGACAGGGTTCCACTATGTTTCCCAGGCTGGTCTCAAACTCCTGGGCTTAAGCAATTTTCCTTCCTCAGCTTCCCAAAGTATTAGGATTATAGGCATAATCCATATCCAGCACCCAGCTAAATAATTAGTTTTTTTAAAAAAAAATTACTCACATCTGTAATCCCAGAACTTTTGAAAGCCAAAGTTGGAGGATTTCTGGAGCACAGGAGTTCAAGACTAGCCTGGGCAAGATGGCAAGACCCCATATCTATAAAAATTTTAAAACTTAGTTGACTGTGGTGGTGGATTCCTGTAGTCCTAGCTACTTGGGAGGCTGGGGCAAGAGGATCTCTCCAGCCCAGTTCAAGGCTGCAGTAAGCTGCAATTGTGCCACTGCACTCCAGCCTGGGTGACAGAGCAAAACCCATCTCTAAAATGAAATATTAAAAATTGTGGCAACATAGACCTACAGCGCACAGCATTGTAGCCAGACAAATCAACTCCTCATCCTTACAGCCAGTTTCTTTTTTTGAGTTGTCTACCTGTTCTCTTTGGGTATTTGAGTTTACCACCCTTGCTTTTCCTTATTTTGTTAGTCTAGTTAAGGATGTTAGCATATTCCTGCCAGTCCTCCATGTCCTTTTTGTCTTTAACTTTTTGTGGCTAAAATGGAAAACTAGAGTCTCCTCTGGTAAATAAATTTACATAGCTTGTAATTTACAAAACAGCATGCACATCTTGGTTCCTATAGGTCTGAGATAATCAGACAAATTAAGAGATTTTGCAAATGCCACACAATATAGAAAACTCCTAAAAATAGGGAAAATAAAAACCCCTACTCTTATGTTATATTGAAGAAGAGATTCTGTGTCAAAACGAACTTGTAGGAGATGAGAAGCCATAGCTTTGTTCCATAGAGTCTCTTGACTTGATGAAGGTTTATTCACTCCACAAATACCGTGCACCTGCCATGTAGCTAGCACGGCACATTGTATATACTGTGGATTTAATTGTGAACAAAATTAAGTTCCTACCCATGTGGAATCTACATTCTAGTAGAGAGAGGTAAACAATAAACACCCAAACAAAAACACAAATAAGTAAATAATGTACTTCAGATAATAAATGTAACAAAAAAAGTAAAATAGGGCAATAGTTGAGAAAATAACTGGATATTTTTATGGGGAGCAGTGGTATTTTAACTATAGTAGTCAGGGAAGTTTTCTTCAAAGGGATGACATTTGAGCTGAGACTAAAATGACGAAGAGAAGACAACCACGCAAAGATTTGTGGGCTACAAAAAGTTATAGAGAAGAAGAATATGAGTACGGGTAGGGTAGAATATGAGTATAGGTAGTACTAAAGTCCTCAGCCAGACCAATGAAATGAAGAAAAGTGGAAGTGGCACACTCAAGTACCTACAGACAGGTAGACAACTCAAAAGAGGCAACCAGGAAGAGCATTCCAGGCAAAGGGAAGAGCAACCACATTCTCAGCCATAACCAATTCTCAACAAATTTTAAAAAATAACACCAACCACACTCAAAGACCACAGTGCAATAAAAATAGAAATCAATATCAAGACAATCTCTCAAAATCATACAATCACATGGAAATTAAACAACCTGCTCCTGAATGACTTTTGAATAAATAAAGAAATTAAGGCAGAAACCAAGAAATTATTTGAAACTAATAAAAGCAAAGATACAACATACAAGAATCTCTGGAACATAGCTTAAACAGTGTTAAGAGGAAAGTTTCTGGTGCTAAACACCTACATCAAAAAGTCAGAAAGATCTCAAATTAACAACCAAATATCCCTCCTAGAGGAACTAGTAAAGCAAGAGCAAACCAACCCTAAAGCAAGCAGAAGAATAGAAATAACCAAAATCAGACCTGAACTGAATGAAACTGAAAATTCATACAAAAGATCAACAAAACCAAAAATTTGGTTTTTGAAAGAATACATAAGGTAAACAGACTGCTAACTAGACTGATTTAAAAAAGCAAGCACACAGGTCCTGAGGCAGGAGCAAAAGTGAAGTGTCATGGAGCTTATCATACTTCCCACGTGTCTATCATGCTTTCTTTTGACTTTTCTAAAATTTCCCAGGACCTTCAGGAAACCTCTGCTGATAAACTAAAATATCATTGACTGACTTTGGCCTACTCCCTATAATGTCAGCCGTGTGTTAGCCTTCACTTTCTCTCTGTGCCATCCCCTAGTACTTCATAACACCTTCATCAGTACCAGCACCACTATAACCACTCTAGGACAGAAGCATCAATTTGCTGTGAAGAAATATGCCAGGTAATGACAGTTAATCAAGTATGAAATGTGTAGGCATAAAATGAAACAGGTGTTAAAGATATTTTTCTAATCCTGCATGCACATTTTAATGACATGTGTCTTAAAGAACCCAGCTGAATTTCATTCATACAGGAAAATTTTTTTAATTTAATTTTGTTTAATGCTAAACGAAAAAAAAATTCATCAGCAATTGGACATTTAAAACCTTTACTGAATGGACCATAATTTATTCAGAACCTCTACTTAAAAAGGCAAGGATCAATCACAAATTCCAAAAACAACTATACTGCATACTGTACAAGGACTAAAGAATGAAAGTTATCCAGTAGTAAAAAAATTAATTATTACTGTGATTATATCTTATCATTTACTAACATGGAATCAAATAATTAGCATTAATCCCCCAAAGTAATTAATATAAAATAAAATGATTTGAAAGTAAAAGGAGAAGGAATAACTTCAAGAATATGAAATTATATAATTCCTATTTTAATTTTTAAGATTAAAAATAAAGAATGAGAATATTTAAGAATTTGCTTCAGTGAAAAGAATTATTTATGTTCATACAAAGAGCATAATTAAATAGAAGAGCATGAATAAGAGCCTGAAAGCTGAATACTAGTGTGAAAACTCCCAGATGGTGGGAAATACACAAATTATCTCATTATTATTTTTCAATATTTACTAAACACTCTGCTTTTCAAATGGTGCCATTCATGAAATTCCAAGAATACCTACCTTTGTTAAGGATCTGGCATGGTTTGTAGACTCAGGGAAAAAAATAGTAGAACTGTTGGAGTATGTCTTTTAATGGCCTTTCCACCTCCCTTTCAACACCTTTAAATACAATTCAACCACCAGTCATTGGGAATATACTAGCGATGAAGCACTGACTGACATGCAAAGATTAACTCAAACTCTGCTCTCTTGTCCAGGTTGTCAAGGCATAAATCATACGTTTCATTTAAGCCTATCAAAATGCTGACTCTCTTATTTAGAAACAATAAAAAAAAAAGGGCAACTGGATTCAAGTAATTCACACAGAATTAAAGTGACTAATCAGCCTAATCCACTAATAGTAGATACTTGTCAGTACCCATATCCCTGGGACTGAGGTTGCTTCCAGAACTGTGAAGACTGAACTGTACATGAAAGAAACCAAAAGTGCTAGGGAATTAATACCAGCCTGGAGCAGCCCTCAACCAATGACTCTAGGGAATTAGTATGTAAAGACCTCGGCTCCCTCCACATTAGGTTAGAGAATTACAACAAGCATGTTTCATATATTTCCTCGAATTCTCCTGTAGGATTAAATTCTAGCCTTCCACTATGATTGGGAGGGTATCATGACGCACCCTTTATTGGCTGGTTTACCTTCTCCGTCTCACTTCTCTCTCATACTAGTATTCCTTGTATCTCCCAAATAAACTACTTGCACCCAAATTTTTGTCTCAGAGTCTACTTTTAAGAGACCCAAACTAAGATACCATGTATTAAGATAATTGGATATCAGAAGATGAGCTTGTTTATCCAAACAGATTTTCTCAATACAAGTAGATGAAAGGAAATTGTAATTGAGGAGGATCCCTGTGCCCGTTGCCTACATCAGCACTCACCTCTTCATAACTGGCCTTCTCTCTCTGATCTTGCTTCTGTCCTACTCAGCCTTTGGACCAAGTCCCTAACTCACGCCCCAAGCATTCTCTGCTGTCCTGCAGCCCCAGTGATTTCTTCCACATTTGGAATCATGTTTTATTTATTGTTTGTACCACTTACCTCACGGTTATCTTAATCTGAAGAGAAACTCAGGTGATCTTATTTGTGAAAGGAATGGCCAGATGGGTTACCTTGTGTCAATC
Source organism: Homo sapiens (assembly GCF_000001405.40). NCBI lineage: Eukaryota > Metazoa > Chordata > Mammalia > Primates > Hominidae > Homo > Homo sapiens. Next base: position 47,068,589 of record NC_000013.11, on the reverse strand, counting down.
TCTCTCTAGTCACTGCTTCTGCAAGACCAAGTTTCCCTTAAGGGACAAGATGAAAAGTCTTATGTCAAGGTCTCAAAAGCTGTCACTCCTTCAGGTACCTGAAATCTGAACCCTGACCTGGCCCCAACTGCCCCTGAGTTCTTGTCTAGCATGTGCAGCCCACCAATGCAAATGATTTCTTTGTGACTTCTTGATACCATCTTTTCACTTGATTCTCTTGAGAAAGGCATTCGCTTTTAAACCTCTATTTCTCACAAGACTAATCCTCTGCCAACATTCAAATCTAAAGTCTTCTTTCCTACCTGTCTTCAAAGAGAAACCCTACCCAGCACCCAACTACAGACTTTTCCTCAACTGGTCCACAGTGCTGCATTTACAGACTGCAGTTAGATGCAGGTTTCCTAATGCTGAAGTTAACTTCATTCCACTTCTGAGCAATGAGGTCACCGTAACTCTCAATACCTTCAAAAAAGATTTCCATAGATGGAAAAGTTAATACTAGATTCATTTCCATGTGTGTCTTCTATGTATCAAGTGTGTACTTAGCATCTTTGTGATATCCTTAACTGTACTTTAGTTTAAGGCATTTATACTATCTACCCTAACCATAATGAACCTCTCTACAGCAGAAATGAAATCCAGGTTGTGGCTTTCTTTTGAGAGGTGTAAATCTGCATGCACCCTGTAGGTGGGAACTTGGCTTTTTAGTTAGCTTCTTCTGTGTTTTTCTTACTTTTCATAAAGCAAGGTTGATAGGAGAGAATTCTTTATGACCATCTTCCAAATATCTAACAATTTCCAAATGGTCTTACACCTAAATTTCTTCCAAGACTTTTAATAACTAACGATACAAAATTAGCCATGCTTTGCACTTGGAGCCCTAATCTATAATGCTGCATCTTCACGTTACAATCTTCTGGTGTCAGGAAATCGAAGTACTCACACCGCAAGTTGCCTACTTTTCTCCTACATACATAAATGACATGAAATTTCCCAGCAGTCAAATCTTGAAGGCCTGCCCCCTAGCCAGATGGATCTAAAAGACAGCTGTGTTTTCTATGAATGCTTTACTGCTAAGTACACACATGCCACAAAAACTGGCATCCCATTCTCATGCTGCTGTTGCCTGAGAATGTTTTCAATCTGTTTTTGAAGCTGTTCTGATAAAACATCATACAAGAAAAATCTAGTAATTGTCTTTTTCTTTCCAAATAGCATTTGGGGTTGATTCTCATTGCACCACAGGACTCTGTGACAGAACTCTTTACTTAGGGGGTTCTTTTATTTCCCTATCCTGCACACAATTCCCAGCTCCTGCTTTGATAGCTTTCTGTTTCAGATTTCAGGACAAGAAAATGCACTGTCTGTGACTTGTCACCTTTTCCCTTTGAATTTTATTTTTCTTGTGATTGCTCTGCAGGATGCTCTTCAACTTTTGCACTGAAAAAAGACACCAGAGAACATTCAGGAAAATAAAAGGACTTAGCAAGCATTATATTTTGCATCATAAGTGAACTACTTTTCATAATTTTTGAAAAAAATTGAGAGACCTAGAGAAAATAGTGTAGTCAAATGGAAATTACAGGTGTGGAATTAATATGTGAGATGGTATATCAGGGTGGTCTAGGGCAGTCCACTTTGCTGTGGGTCCTGTCTCTATCTTTTACCAGCTATCCAATAGCTGCTATTTGTGACCTTGAACAAGTTTTTTAGCCTCTCTGTTCCCATTTTCTCACGTGTAAAATGGGTAACAATAGCACCTATCTCGTCGGCAGGTTTTAAGGGTTAAATGAAAAAAAAATACATGTCAATAATTGCCTAGAATCATAAATGTTTGGTACATAGAGTAACACTTTTATCATGATAATGATGATATTAAAGAAGATAGATATGTTTGTAAGGAAGTGAACTTTCTTATACTAAATCCTTAATACATACAGACTTCCCATCCCAGGTTGTAACCACAAACCTTCCCAACACTTACTACTAAACTTACCACATAGATAAGGGCAAATGACCTCTGTGGGTAGGTTTGCTTCTAAGACAAAGGGGAAGGAAAAAATTATAGTTTACTTGCTGAGTTTCTCTTTCTCAAATCCCCAGTGAGATTAGGTCACATCTCCTCTACAGAATGTGAGTGAGAAGCTAGAAGCAGGCAAAGAGTGAAATGCTAATGGGACTGCAACCACAGGAAAGAAAAAAATCAAGAGTGGGAAGAAGCACTCCTCCACAAACATGCTGGAAGTTATTACTAATATTATATTAGAGGAGAAGCCAAAATGCAAGTTTTAGTCCTATCATCAAAGCCTTGACTTCCTATTTTCTGCTCTGAAATTCTGAAGGGAAACAGAGAGAGGAGAGAGAGAAACTGATTGAGAAATCATCCCCACAAGCCCACATTTGAGTTTTAAATAACTCAATTTTTCTCCAATTTAATATGTCTATTGTGTTTCCTGACATTCCAAGAAGTCCTGCAAAACTGAAAAATACAATCATCGCTGCAAGGTGCTTTTTGGTGTCACAGATATGCACAAAATCATGGGGGTGAGAACTGACATCTCCTACCCTTTTTATTCCAGTCTCATCAAAATATGAGATGACATGACACCTGGCATTGACCATAGACAGTGTGACAAAGTAAATTAATTGACATGCTCTTAAGCACAGTGACCACAGATCTTTCATTTAACATGTTGGGTAATAAATGCCTTAAGTATGACTTTTCATGGTTCTGTTTTGTTTCTTAAGTCCACATTATTTAATGGTCAAACCTCCTATTCTGTCTTTGTCTTGCCTTTTTTTTTTTTTTTTTTTTTTTTGAGACAGAGTCTCGCTCTGTTGCCCAGGCTGGAGCGCAATGGTGTAATCTCTGCTCACTGCAAGCTCGGCCTCTCAGGTTCATGCCATTCTCCTGCCTCAGCCTCCCGAGCAGCTGGGACTACAGGTGCCTGCCACCACGCCCAGCTAATCTTTTGTATTTTCAGGAGAGACGGGGTTTCACCGTGTTTGCCAGGATGGTCTCAATCTCCTGACCTCGTGATCCGCCCACCTCGGCCTCCTAAAGTGCTGGGATTACAGGTGTGAGCCACCGTGCCCAGCCTTGCTTTCTTTAAACAACTTACCTGTCTTGTCAAGGCTGTGGCAGAGGATTCCATTTCTCCCTTTCCACAACACACCCAAGCAAGTACATCAACCATGTAACCTAGCTGTTATTCATTTTTTCTCCCTCTCTCTCATTTACTCTATTTTCTTTATCCTGTGGATATTCTGCTAGATTTCAGGAATAAGCCCATGTGGAAAATAAGAACTAAATTATTCCTCTAAAGTTATAAAGAGGTATCATTTTCAGATGTAAACGCAGGCCTTAATGAAGAAAGTTTCACTTGCTGGAACCCTGGCTGACCCCAGATCTAAAGGCCTGGGCAAGACTGGGTGTTAGAAACCTACTTGACTCACAAGGGCACCCCTTTGAGAAGAAACATATTTTGGAAAATGTCTTGAGCTCTAAAAAGGCAGCATCAAAACAGAAAAATAATTTTTTTAATTATTATTTTTTCTGATAACTCAATATAATATTAAGAAAATCCCTATAAGTAAAATATGATCTTTATACTCCCCACCTCTTCTCTGACACTGACAAATTAAAGCATTTCTTCAAATAATTGCCAACAGAAAACAAAATGTTATTATCATGCCCAGTAGTCAACAATTTTTCTTTGAATAGGCTTTCCCTTTGGGGTTCTGGCTTTCCTTCTCATTAAGAGATAATAGTCCCAATTGAGGATTCTGGGAAGATGGTGAGGTAGGAAACCCCAGGAGTCTGACAACAACTGCAATGGTAGAATCTGTCTGATGTATCTATTTTGGAACTCTGGAGTTTATTGAAGATTTACAACTTCCAGAGATAGGCTTATGTGGTAAATTGCAGTTAATTTTCATCAATTTCGACTCTTAGCATAGTAGCAGCTACCTGCTCCTACTCCCAGCCCCATGGCAGGCAGCTATGCACACAATTCTGGAGCAATCTGCACGCAGCTTATATGAGCCAAGGTAGGAAAAATGATGCCTGTCCTCCAAATATTGGTAATTTGTGCTCTGATTGCTAATTCCTGCTTCTCATCACAGAGGTGCAGTCAAAGAGGCAGGTGGCCACTGTTGTTTCACCCTCCCTCATTGACACAAACTCCTCCATCTCTGGCTGAAGTGACTTCCAGGGGATTTGAAGAACCATCACCCTCCCTTTCTTCATTTTTCTCTTTTCCTTTTTAACAGCCTAACAGTAAAAACTAGGATATTCTAAAATGACTGTGTATATGGGGAAACTAAAAAGTGATTGTGTGTTCAGGAAAAGACACAGGCTCAGTAAAGACCTGAGAAGACATTAAGTTTATATCTTAGGCTTATCCTTGGCACAGAGACAGTCTATAACCATCAAAATTAGAACTAAAGCAATTTTTTTTAAAAACTCAGCAAACCCCAGGGAAACCAGAGAATCTGATTTCCAGAGTTACTACATTAATTCTAATGTCCAGTTTTAAACAAAAATCACAAGATATATTAAAAAAAAAAAAAACAGAAAACTATCACCCATTCAAGGGGAAAACAAACAAACAAACAAACACAGAAAGTGTCCCTTAAAAAGAACTGATGGCAGATATACTAGAAAAAAAACATTTAAAAAATTGCCGTGGCTGGGTGTGGTGGCTCACGCCTGTAATCCCAGCACTTTGGGAGGCTGAGGTGGCAGATCATGAGGTCAGGAGATCTAGACCATCCTAGGCAACATGGCGAAACCCTGTCTTTAGTAAAAATACAAAAATTAGCTGGGCATGATGGTGCATGCCTGTAATCCCAGCTACTCAGGAGGCTGAGGCAGAAGAATTCCTTGAACTAGGGAGTTAGAGGTTGCAGTGAGCCAAGATCATGCCTCTGCACTCCAGCCTGATGACAGAGAGACACTCCACCTCAAAAAAAAGAGAAAGAAAAAAAAAAAGAATTGCCTTAAGATGCTCAAAGAACTAAAGGAAGATGTGCAAAAAGTCAAAAAGAGATGTATGAACAAAATGGAAATGTCTATAAACTGATAGAAAACCTAAAAAGAAACCAGTTAGAGGCTGGATGCAGTGGCTCATGCTCTGTAATCTCCGCACTTTGGGAGGCCGAGGTGGGCAGATCACTTGAAGTCAGGAGTTCAAGACCAGCCTGGCCAACATGGTGAAACCCCATCTCTACTAAAAACAAAATTAGCTGGGCATTGTGGCATGTGCCTATAATCCCAGCTACTCAGGAGTCTTAGGCAGGAGAATCACTTGAACCCAGGAGGCAGGGGTTGCCGTGAGCCAAGATCACACCATTGCACTCCAGCCTAGGCAACAAGAGCTAAACTACATCTTAAAAAAAAAAAAAAAAGAAAGAAAGAAATAAAGAAACCAATTAGAAATTCTGAAGCTATAAAGTACAATGATTAAAATGTAAAATTCACTAGAGTAATTCAAAGGCAGATTTGAGCAGGAGTAAGAAAAAAACAGAAAACTTGAAAATAGGAAAATGAAAATCATAAAGAATAGAAGAAAAAAGATTAAAGTAAAGTGAACATAGCCTAAGGGAACTGTGAGGTATCACCAACCAGGCGAATATATGCATTTTGGGAGCCAGAGAAAGAGATAAGAAGAAAGGGGCAGCAATAATATTTGAAGAAATAATGGCTAAAAACATCCAAAATTTGATGAAAGACATGAACACCCAAGAAGCTCCATAAACTCCAAGTAAGGTTAACTCAAATAGACCCAAATCAAGATACATTATAATCAAACTTTTGAAAAACAAAGAGATAATATTCAAAGCAGCAACAGAGAAGCACTTCATCACATACAAGAGAGTCTCAATAAAAGTATCAGCAGATTTCTCAACAGAACATTGGGCTCCAGAAGGCAGTGGGCCAACATATTCAAAATGCTAAAAGAAAAAAGTCTATCAACCAAGAATCTTATATCCTGCAAAACTGTCCTTCAAAAGTAAGGGAGAAATTAAAACATTCCCAGATAAACAAAAGCTAAGGAAGTTTGTTACCACTGGACCTACCCTGCAAGAAATGCTCAACAGAGTCCTGCAAAGTAAAATAAAAGGGCACTAGACAGTAACTCAAAACCAGATGAAAAAGATCTCAATAAAGTTAAATACAAGGGCAATTATAAAAGCTAACATTATTGTAACAACAGTTTATAACTTCAATTCTGTTTTCTACATGATTGAAGAGATTAATACATTAAAAATTTATTAATCTAAAAGCTAGTATTATTGTAACTTCAGTTTCCAACTCAACATTTTGTTTTTTACATAAGAGAATAATACAACTATTTGAATAATTATAACTCAAACAATTATTAGCATATATTTTGGGGCACACAAGCACATAAACAAGTGATTTTATGACATCAACAACTAAAATAATAGAGACAGAGCTGTTAAAAGAGCAGAGGTATTTTTTTATGAGATTGAAGTCAAGTGGCTATAAATTCAAATTAGAGTGTTATAACTTCAGGATGTTAAAGGTAGTCCTCATGTTAACCACAAGGAAACTATCTATAGAATATATACAAAAGGAAATTGAAAGGAATTTAAAGATTTCACTATGAAGAAATTTATTAAAAACAAAGGAAATTCATAATGCAGGAAATGAGGAACAAAAAAGTTATGAGGCATATAGAAAACAAGCAGCAAAATGACAGAAGAACCTCTTTATCAGCAATTACTTTCAATGTAAATTGATTAAATTATCCAGTCAAAAGATAGAGATTAGCAGAATAGATGTTTTTTAATGATCCAACTCTGTGTTGTCTACAAGAGAGTCACTTCAGATACAAAGACACAGATAGACTTAAAGTGAAAGGCTGGAAAAAGATATTCCACGCAAACAGTAAACAGAAGAGGGAAATGGGTGTCTATACTAATATCAGACAAAATACACTTTAAATCAAAAAAGTTTACCAGGGAAAAAGACATTCTATATTAATAAAAGTTTAAATACAGTAAGGAGATATAACAATTATAAACATTTACCCACCTAATGAAAGGCCATCAAAATACATAAAATAAAAACTGACAAAACTGAAGGGAGAAATAGTTCTACAATAATAATTGGATACTCTAATACCCTACTTTCAATAATGGGTAGAACAAGCAGACAGAAGATAAATAAAGAAACAGACGACTTAAACAAAATAATAGACCAACCAGATCTAGTGTACATATACAAACACTTTACTGAATAACACCAGCATATGCATTCTTCTCAAGTGCACATGAGCCATTTTCTAAGATAGCCCATGTTAGTCCACAAATTAAGTCTCAATAGATTTATTAAGATATCATACAAAGTGTCTTTTTTGAGCACAATGGAATAAAGTTAGATATCAGTTACAAAGATAAAACCAGAAAATTCACAAAATTGTAAACATTAAACAACATACTCTTCTACAACCAATGGATCAAAGATCAAATCACAAAGGAAATGATAAAATACTTAGAGAAGAATAAAAATGAAAACACAACATATCAAAACTCATGAGACATAGCTAAGCAGTGGTAAAGGAGAAATTTATACTTATAAATGTTTACATTAAAAAACAAGAAACATTTCAAATTAGCAGTTTAACTTTACAATTTAAGAAACTAGTGAAAGAACAAACTAAACCCAAAGCTAGAAGAAGGAAGGAAATAATAAAGATTAGAGCCAAGATAAATGAAATACAGAATAGAAAAACAATATAAAAAATCAATGAAAAACAAAAGTTGGTTCTCTGAAAAAATCAACAAAATTGGCAAACTGTTAGCTAGATTGATTTTAAAAGAAGCCTCGATTTCCTAAAACAGAAAAAAGGACATTAGTACTGTTTCTACAGAAATAAAATGCCAGACGAAAACACTACAAGAAAAAAAAAGACACTACAGAGCAATATCCCTCTTGAACGTTGATGTGAAAATCCTCAACAAAATAGTAAATTGAATTCAGCACCATATTAAAAGGATTATACATCATGACCATGTGGAATTTATTTATGCAATGCAAAGGTAGTTCAACACAAAAAAATTAATCAATGTAATAATCACGTAAACAGAATGAAGGGGAATAAAACACATAATCATCCCAATTGATGCAGAAAAAAACTTTCGATCTAATTTAATACCCTTTCTTGGAAAAAAAAAAAAGTCAACAAAGTAGGAACAAAATAACTACCTCAACATGATAAAAGCCATATGTGAAAACCCAAGGCAAATATGGTGAAAAACTGAAAACTTTCTCTCAGATCAGAAACAAGGCAACAGTGTCTGCTTTTACCACTTCCATTCAACATAGTACTAGAGGTTCTGGCCAAAGCAATTAGGCAAGACAAAGAAATAAAGGCATACAAATTGGAAAGGAAGAAGTAAAATGATCTCTGTTCACAGAAGACATGATTTTATATGAAGAAACCCCTAAAGATTCCACCCCCAAAAAACTATTAGAACTAATAAATGAATTCTGCAAGTACCAAGATACAAAGTCAGCATGCAAATACTAGCTGCATTTCTACACACTAACAATGAACAATTGGAAAGGAAATTACAAAAACAATTTAATTTACAATAACATCAGAAAGAACAAAATACGTAGGAATTACCTCATACAAGGAGGTGAAAAACTTGTACAATTAAACTATAAAACATTGATGAAAAAATGAAGACATAAATAAATTGGAATGCATATCATGTTCATGGATTGAAAGACTTAATAGTATTAAGACATCCATACTACCTAATCTACAAATTCAATTCAATCTTTATCGAAACCCTAAGATTGGCTTTTGAAGACATTGAAAAAACCATCCTAAAATTCAAACAAAATCTCAAGAGATCCCAAATAGCCAAACAGATTTGAAAAAGAACAATGTTAGAGGACTCACACTCCTGATTCCAAAACTTACTACAAAGTTATAGTAATCAACTCAGTGTGGTAGGGTAGTGGCATAAAGACAGACATATAGACCAAAGGAATAATATAGAGATGCCAGAAATAACCCTTGCATATATGGCCAAATGATTTTTGACAAGGATGTCAAGATTATACAATGGGAAAAGGATAGTCTTTTCAGCAAATGGTGCTGGAAAAATTGGATATCTACATGCAAAAAGATGAGTTGGATCTTTACCTAACACCATATACAAAAATTAACTCAAAGTGGACCAAATACCTAAATGAAAGACCTAAAATCATAAAACTCTTATAAGAAAACATAGAACAAAAGCTTAATGACATTGGGTTTGGCAGTGATATTTTAGATATGGTACTAAAGGTGTAGGCAAAATGTGACAAAATAGACAAATTGAATTTCATGAAAATTTTTTAAGTTTTGTGCATCAAAGGGCGCTATAAAAAGAGTAAAAAGGCAATGTGCAGAATAGGAGAAAATGTTTGCAGATAACATATCTGATAAGAAATTAATATCCAGAGTATATAGAGAATTCCTAAAACTCACTTAAAACAAAGTAAACAATCTGACAAAAAATGGGCAAAGGACTTAACTAGACATTTCTCCAAAGACAATATGTAAGTGGCAAATAAGCACATAACAAGATGCTCAATGTCACTAACCAGTAGGGAAATGCAAATCAAAACTATAATGAGGTAACACATCACACTCATTAGGATGGCTACTATTAAAAAAAAAACAGAAAATAATAAGTGTTGGTGAGAATATGGAGAAATTAAAAACTTTGTGCACTTTTGGTGGGAATGTAAAATGGTTCAGCCACTGTGGAAAACAGCATGGCTAAAACTAGTATTACCATATGATCCAGCAATTTTACTTCTGAGTATATACCCAAATGAACTGAAAGCAAGATCTTGGGGAGTATTTGTGTGCTCATGTTTATAGCAGCATTATTCACGATAGCTAAAACAGGGAAGCAACTCAAGTATTCACGACAGATGAATGCATAAGCAAAATGTGGTATCTACATGCAATGGAATATTACACAGCCTTAAAAAGGAATGAAATTCTGACCTATGCTTACAACATAGATGAATCTTGAAGACATTATGCCAAGTGAGATAAGCCAGACACAAAAAAACACATACTGTAAGATTTCATTTGTATGAGGTACTTAGTTAGCATAGCCAAAATCATGGAGACAAAAAGTAGAACAGTGGTTGCCAAGAGCAACAGAGAGGAGGTAAGGCAAAGTTATTGTTTAATGGGTATAGAGTTTCACTTTTACAGATAAAAAGAGTTCTGGAGATGGAAGGTGGTGATGGTTGCACAGCAATGCAAATGGTACTTAATGCCACCAAACTGTAGAATTAAAACTGGCCAACATGGCAAATCTTATAAGTATTTAATCAATAAAAATAATTGGAGGACAGGGAGAAATAACTTAGTTCCTTTTTAGATAAAGAGAGTGAACTTTTATGACGGTTGCCCTAGAGTTTGAGGATTCTGAATGGCATGATTGCACAAATCGTCACATTAAACATATTGGCAATACAAAGTACACCACAAATTGTGTAAATACCATTTGCAAATTTCAAGATGCATTTCCTTTCATCTATACTAAACATTTAGTAAATTTCAAGGTGTAGACCATTTATCTTCCCAGGGCATAATTATCAATTTATCATATTAGATATTATTATTTCCCAAAAATCAAACTAGAACTTAAAGTCTGTCACACTTTAGCCATAAGACAAAACGCACTATTTTTAAACCTCTAAATTTAAAAAAAAAAACAAAAAAACAAAAAACAAACAAACAAACAAAAAAAAAACGGATGTGGGCAGGGATGTGAGTAAAATATGGTTCAGAATGGAAAAAATAGGATTATATTAGGTCTTGAGGATGAGACTCAGTCTTCCAAAGATGTGATGTCCTCATAAACCTGCAGACACTGCCTGAGTGCTTTAGCTGCACACCTGATTGTACTGCCAGATAAAATACAGGATACCTAATTAAATTTGAATTTCGAATACGCAACAAATAATTATTTTAGCATAACATGACTATGTTCGAAATATTGCATGGGGTACACTTATACCAAAACATTTATAATTTATCTAAAATTCAAATTTAACTGAGCATTCTGTAGTTTTATTTGCTAATGATGGTGACTCTACACCTGACCTTTCACTACCCATTGAGCTGTTATACCCTGTTCACGGGATGTGAGAAATTAAGCTATTTAATGAGCAAGATCAGAGCAGAAATGGCATCACTCATGCTGGCCAAGTCTTGTTTTTATTTTATCTTTCATCTCTACTTCAGAGGAAAATTTTGTGAGAGAATGTCAACCAGTTATTATAATTCTTTTAAAAAAAGATTATACCTCAAGCAATCTGGTTTTCTTTATTAATAGCTAATATCTATTAAATCTTTACTACACTCTAGACAATGTTTCATAATGCCATATATGTGTCCTTATAAAAATGGTACATTATCCCAGTACTACTGATCAGGGAGCTCAGGTAAAAAGCATTAAGCCACTTTACTCAAAGCCATTGATCACGGAGTAGGGCATTGAATTGAGGCGCTTTGGCTCCCTAGCTGGCACTCAGCCACATCCTTTCTTAACTACCTTTTGAGTCTTTATCTACAAATTTATGTAAACTTATTTTGAACTCAATAATAAACCTTAAAACACTTAGTAATATATTTCAAATGTCTTAGATTTTTCTTAAAAATTATACAAATTAGTTTTTTAACTATTTGACTAAACCTTCCTCTTTCTTAACCACACTATATCTTAGATAATGACTTCCATAAATTTACTACTTACTCTATATATTTAAAACTACTTATTTTAAGTTATATGAAGTGATCCTACTTCTTGGCTTCCCAGATTTGATAAAGAGGTTGACATTCTATCTAATAACAAGATTGTGATTATGTAAAATTCAATCATAGCATATCCTCCTAATCTCATTTGCATTACAGAAAAGAATCAATCTTATAGCATTTTAGTGCAAACTTATCCACTTTCATCCTGCCTTTATTGACAGCAAAACAGGAGTTGAGTTCTAGAGGTGGCCACACCCTGGTTCTTTACAATGTCAGCCAAGGCTTGGTTTCCGACGGCCTTGCTCTTCAGGGAGGGCTTCCTAGTGTTTGTGCTGTACTGCCATGAATGAATTCTGTCATCAGTTCACCAAATGTGTATTGAAAACCTACACTTTGCCAGGCACAGTATAAGAATGATAATTTAAAAAGAAAAAAAACAACGTACAGTCTATGATCTCAGGGAGCTTGTAACCTATTGGGTGACACTTAGAATGGCTTACAGTGACTTCTTACTCCCCTTTATCTGGGTCTATATATACTGCCTGCTTGAAGCATCTTGCTTTATCCATACTGGCTGTCAAATGGAAGACTGATGGGATAGACCCTCTCAGAGCACTGGATGCCCTTCAACACCAGGTCTGCACATGCTGCCACCCCAGAATCAACATGAAGTGCAGATTGAGGTGGTGGATGGCTCCTGTCCTGCCTTCTTGTCGAGTGAGAGTTGGCCCAAGAGTCATCAGCACTCTCACTCATATTCAGAACTCTGGCTAGACAAAAAACAACAACAAAATCAAAGCAAACATGACAACAGTGATCATACTTTAAATAATTTCAGGCTCATGCAACATTATGAAGTTAGCTTATGATCATTTTGATGGTACTTTCCCTTATTTCATCTGACATTTCAACCACATTTTTATGAGGTGCCTTCGATTTCCTGATATGGTTTGGCTGTGTCCCCACCCAAATCTCATCTTGAATTCCCACGTGTTGTGGGAGGGACCTGATGAGAGGTAATTATTCAATTACCATGGGAGCAGGTCTTTCTCATGCTGTTCTCGTGACAGTGAATAAGTTTCATGAGATCTGATGGTTTTATAAAGAGGAATTCCCTGCACAAGCTCTCCCTCTTTGCCTGCTGCCATCCACGTAAGATGTGACTTATTCCTCCTTGCCTTCCACCATGACTGTGAGGCCTCCCCAGCCATGTGGAACTGTAAGTCCATTAAACCTTTTTCTTTTGTAAATTGCCTACTCTCAGGTATGTCTTTATTAGCAGAGTGGAAATGGACTAATACCTTTCCTTTTATTTCCTTTCCCAGTATCTTTTTCTCACATAGTCCACAATAGCCTTAGTGTTTAAGTTTTTAAAATTCTATTTAAAATGAACTACTTTTCTCAAGCTTGGTTGTCTTATGTGTAAATCATTCAAACTTTTCCATAAAGATGGCTAAATCTAGTGTTAGCTCCCTTTCTTTCTCTATTTCTAGATTCTTCCCTCTTACTCACCCTCCAGGTTATCACCAACCATCTTCCAAGATCAGTGTAATTTGTAATTTGTGGTGTTGTCATCGCATGTAACATCCCATTGTCCCCTCCAGTAAGAAATCTTGCTTCCCCTTATCGCAGCTGCTTCAGCCAAGCACAGAGCAAGCTGTAATCATTTGCAAATACCCCTGCCAAGGCTGCCAATGCTCTGGAGCCCTTGATGGGCATCAGAATTATGCAATGTTCTCAGAATAAGAGAATGCTTTCTTTCACCATTTATGTTACATACTATTAGAAAAACACATACCCAAACAGTGCTACTTTCCCCTCCTGCAGGCTACAGTAATAATAGGGATTTTTGCTCATAAAATCATCCCTTTATGACCCAGAAATGAGTCCCAAGGGAAGTGGGTTCTTCCCTTCTGGAAACTGAGGCCTATTTTAGGGCCAAGTTTGTTGGTCTAAACTTCCCTTGCTAGATCATGTTATTTTCCAAGAGGAAAACCTCAAGTCTTCATGGTAGGACCCTCAAACAGTCTTTCAAATAGGTATGAATCCCACCGTTGAACACAGATTCAGCTCAACATGGAATTCTGCCGCCTTCTGGGATTATTTTTTTTCCAGTCAAGAGGTATACTGCGCAGGTATGAAGCTATTTAATGGTGACAAGGTAGGAAAGAGTAGTGCAGAATACTGTAAAGATCACAGAAATTTCTAGAATATTAAAATGTCCTGCCAATAAAAATTTGACTACAAAAAACTTAAGACTTTTTTATAGAAATAAATATATAAAGTCAAAAGGCAAGTGACAAATAAATGGAGGTCGGGAGGGGGACACACAGTCACAGATAATGAACAACTTATTTCCTTAATGTGTATATAGCTTTTATAAATGGACTTAAAAAGATGAGCAGCACAATAGAGAAATGAATAAACAGCAGGAATAGACAGCTCACAGAAAAAAGAAACACAACAGCCAAGACTTCTATAAAGATGTTTATCTCACTCATAATCAAAGTGCATTAAAACAGTTAGATGCCGTTTTTCACCTAGAAGTTTAAAAAGATTTAAAAGAGTAACATCATCTACCACAGGTACCATAGAAAGAAACAAGCAGTCTAGTACATTGTTGTAGAAAGCACAAATCGTTACAATTGTTTGGAGAGGACCTTGACAATCACCACAAAGGTAGTTTAAATTTGTATACATTAAACCTAGGAAATTCCAGGAATTTATCCAACATATGTACTTTTAAGTTTATATTTAGAACATGTGATGTTGCACAGCAGGACAGGGTCAGATAGGGGCCAGGTTTTTATATACGGTGGGAAGGGAAGGGAACTTTGGAGCTGATACTTGAGTGAAGTGGAAGTAAGAAATCTGGATGAAGACAGGGAGGCCAGAGCTCCAGGCAAGGAAAACAGAAAAGGGAAAAGTCCATACACCTGGAACAGTCTTTTCTTATTGGATATGTAATTCACTTCGAACTCTTTTAAAGGTTAAAGATTCTTCTATATCTTCTTCTAGCATTTGGGGAGGATGTTTTAGCTTAGCATTTAAATCTTTTGATTCAAACCAGTATATTTCTTGGAAGATAGGAATCTTAGCACTCTTGTGAATGTTTACATCTATCCAGGCATATGTCCTATTACTTTAGATAACTTTTTAGATATAGTACAAGTGGATTAAAAGTATTGATGATTAAAATATTTTTTGATATATAATATTTTACATGTTTATTGGGTACATATGATTTTTCATTACATGCATAGAATTTGTAATGACCAAGTCAGGGTATTTGAGGTATCCATCACCTCCAGTATGTATCATTTCTATGTGTTGGGAACAATCCAAGTTTTCTAGCTACGTTAAAATATACAATATATTGTTGCTAACTGTAGTCGCTCTACTTTTTGAAATAATTTTGATGCATTTTGCCAAAATTGCCAACAGAAAGATTTTAACAGTTCGAGGTATTTGAAAAGAAACATTTCACCACATCCTTAAATACATGTGCAACTAGCTATCTTTCATCTTTTATAATCTGATATGAGATTGAGCAGCTCAGGTTTTTTAATCACATACTCTTTTTAAAATGTATCTATTATCTTTTTATTTGGTTATGTTTTATTTTTATCTTTTCATGTTTCTCCATACATTCCTCATTTTTTAGTTTCTCTATTGTTAAGCTGTGATATTCTGTACATGCAGGTTGATGAAAATTGTACTTTCACTTTTTGGTAATTCCCTTTATTATAACATACTGTTCTACCTATGATAAATATAATATTGTATATTTTAAAATCCACATCTTCCTAAAATATTGCAGCCCAACTTTCCTTACATTTTCATTTCTAGAGAATATTTTGTTCATTCTTGTAATTGTAGTTTTTCTGAGGCACTGCATTTTAGGTGTGTCTCTTCTTGATAGTATATAGTTCCATTTTTGTTTGGGAGCCAATCTGATATATGTTTTATCAAATTAACTTTATGCCATTTATAATTATTACCATGTCAAGCATGGTTGGCCTCATTTCTGATAATTTGTTTTACGCGTTTTTATCTTCTAATTACTTTTTATTTTTTGCTTTATTTTGCTTCTCCACTAATTTGAAGGTTACATAGTTTGCTTTTATTTTTATTGGTGATAACTTTTAAGGTTGTAAAAAACAAAGTGTAAGCCTGTATTTTTCTAAGTACTATATCAATTGATTTTTTAAAAATTTTCTCTTTCCTATATAGGGTTAAGAAATACACCCATCTGATGGGCACTGTGGCCCACACTTGTAATCCCAGCACTTTGGGAGGCTAAGGCGGGCCGACTGCTTGAGGCCAGGAGTTCGAGACCAGCCTGGCCAACATGGTAAAACCCCATCTCTACTAAAAACAAAAATTAGCCTGGCATGGTGACACACATCTGTGGTCTCAGCTACTTGGGAAGCTGAGGTATGAGAATCACTTGAACCTGGGAGGCAGTTTGCAGTGAGCTGAGATTGCCCCAATACACTCATCAACTTCTTCCCTTGCTCTTTTTTTCCCATATTTTCTTCTTTTAGTATGATTTGAGATTATCATATTTTATTGTCATTGTTGGTTTTCTGCTGCATTCTATACCTTCTCTTTTTAAAATGTTAACATCTGCATCTTTTTTTCAAATCATATTTATATTTATTTAAAATTAATTCTATTTTCAAGTAGTTTCTGTATTTACTATTATTCCTCTGGCATTGTGACTTCCTGACTTACAATTCTTTAAATTGTATTCCAGTGGATTAAACTTTTAGTAAATTTTTTATGATAAAGTATGAAGAATGAATACTACGAGAGTCCTTATATGTCTGGGATTGTTTTCATTGTCTTTATAAATAAAAACCACCTGCTTTGACAGGTGGTAGAAGGGATGAGTCTCAAAACCCCCTTAAACACCTTAGGTATTGCTTCATTATTTTTTGGTACCTAATATTTCAAGTCTGAGACCAGTTAAACATTCTCCTCCTTTACTGGTAATATTTTTTCCTC
Organism: Homo sapiens; assembly: GCF_000001405.40. Classification (NCBI taxonomy): domain Eukaryota; kingdom Metazoa; phylum Chordata; class Mammalia; order Primates; family Hominidae; genus Homo; species Homo sapiens. Next base: position 47,051,769 of record NC_000013.11, on the reverse strand, counting down.
CCTGGATTATCATAGGTCTCTCAAAATTCCAAACCTTAGCTACGTCTGGATTTTTATCCATTTTTGTTAACTCTGTTACAGAGTGGGCCCATTCAACCCACTGGTTCAGGACTTGTTTTGGTTAAGGATTGTTCTTTACTATGCATCTGAATTACCCCATCAAACTGATTCATACTTTGTTCACATCATAAGAAACACCAAATTATCTGTGTGTTAGGTCTTCATTAGATGTCCTTCATATCTCTATCTATGATCTTGTCTTTAATCATATCCCTCTTTTTATCCTCCTTCTTTGCTTTAAAATAGAGCCTGTAATGGACTGTTTGTGTCCCCAAAAATTCCTGTGTTAATGCCCTGATGTTCAATGTGATGGTATTTGAAGATGGGGCCTTTGAAAGATACTCAAGTGTAGGTGAAGTCATGAGGATGGGGCCCCCATGGTGGGATTAGTGTCCTTATAAGAAGAGGAAGAGGAACTAGACTATGTAGGATACAGTGAGAAGGTGGCCATGTGCAAGTAAGGAAGACAGCCCTCATCAGGAACCAAATATGCAGGCACCTTGATCTTGGACTTGCCAGACTCCAGAACTGTAAAAAATAAATGTCTGTTGTTTAAGCCACCCAGTCTACAGTGTTTTTACAGTTTGAGTAGACAAAGCCTCAAAATCTTGATATACATATCACTGATCCATTTTCATTGAAATCCATTCCACTCTCTATAGCATCTCACATTATTTTTAATTTTGCTAATTGCATGTTCTAGTTTTCCATTTCCTTGAATCCTTTCCTCAGCACTACCAGATCTTTCTTTACTAAAATCTGTTATTTTATCTCTTTTTATTTTCCAAAGAGGCCCTATTTTCTTTCATTAACTTGAGAGTACAAAGCAAATGCTGTCTAAAGCTTATTTTCTTGCTTGTAGTACATATTTTAAAAATATGTTCTTCCTCTGTTTAGCTTGCCATAATTATCTCGTTCTTTTATAATACAAAATCTTTTCCCCAAAATCTCATTTTTTCCCTTTTCATTTCATTTTTAATAAGAGCAGTATTTCTTATACCTGACATTTGTTCAAAAACAATGTAGGTAAATCTGCCTATGCAACCTTCACAATTTATCTAGTTGAGTTTGGAATTCTTAGATACAGAATCCTTGGTGGCGGGGGGAAATCTAATTTTTTCCATTTCCATTTTTATCCTTAATAAGACTAGTCATTCTTATATCTGATCTTTGTTTACAAATAGTATGGTTATATCTTCTTGTAGATCTCTTACAACCTACCTAGGTATCTGCTAATTCTCCTCTTAGATAATACTCTAAGGTTTTTAGTCTCATTTTGAATTAATCTAGAGTCTATAATATAGTTTTAATAACTTTAAATATTCAGGAGCCTAAGGACAGTGGGAAATGAACTAGGCTGAGGAAGTAAGTTTCTTCATGCTTTTCCTTTGTGTATCTTAACTTTTGCATCTCTATATCTATATCTGATTACCTGTTCTGGCCTCTACTTCAGATATATGGACTAATTGCGTCTAGCCTTATTTCTAGTGTTTCTGTCTGTTGAGTTGGAGAGCGCTATTTTCATTGCACCCTCTAATTACTGAATCTTCAAGGGAAGCATCCTACTGTTCAGATACTTCCTGTTTACCACAGCAGCGATTGCTTTTCCAGTCGCTGTGCTGACACCCCTGAGTGTCTGTATCTGTGAAGATAAAATTGGCTTAAAGTGATGTGAACCTTGGTTTTCCGTGATACCCCTGACCTCTATTCCTGGACTCTCAAAAGGAGGGGTGTTTATGGTCTTCTTCCAGGACGCTATATACTTCCTAGAATTCTTCCTAGAATCACCACTTCATTGGGGAAAGAGAATTATAAACTGACCCTTTATAACTTCCTTCAACATCGTACCAGGCAGATCACACTTAGCAGAGATTTCTCAGGGATGTTGTCATGTGGTTGGCAGTATTCTCTAGTTTCAGCACTAATACAAGTTTTTCCCCTGTATGCATTTGTTTTTAGTCATCATAGGTAGTTTCTATAAGAGGAGATTTTTTGCTTGCTCTTATATTGATATTTTTTCCAGAAACTCACTAACCCTTTTGAATATATATGTGATATATCAATCATAGTGCTAGGTAATCAAAGACAAATAAAGGACTGTTCTGTTCCTGAGGCTAGTTAATTTTCACATGGCCAGGGTAAGATCTGGATCAGTCAGCTCACTTACATTTGGTAAGTCTTCTCAATTTCTGTTTATAAACTTAACCACCAGCCAAGATTTGACTGGGTTGTTAGGAATCAATCAGAAAGACATGCAACCAGAGGAGAGTTTCCAGAATCAAAGTGAAGAGAAATAGTTTGCTCTTTTGAAAAGAATTAAAAAGAATGTAGAAGGCAGGGAGTTTCCTGGCAATTGGTATCACTGTGTCCAAGAGGCGAAGTACGAAACAGACTTAAAAAGGGAATTCACATGGAGAATGAAATAAGTAGTGAATGAGAAATAAAAAAGCAGTAATTACACAGACACTCTAAGGTCATTTGAATTTTGAAACCTCTGATCTAAACACTGAGAACTTCCCAATGAATTTCCCTGAAAGCTTGAGACTGTGTTTCAGGTCCAAACTTCAGGCTTTATTTCAACTGTTTTAAACTAACAAATGGCAATTGATCATTCTTATGAAAATTAACAGTCTTATAGAACAATGGGGTAGTGAGAGTAGTGTTTTAGAGGAGAACTACAAGAGTTCTATCTTTACTACTGATGCACATTATTTTTGTTTGGCTTGATTGTTCTTGTCTTAAAGTCCTAAGGAAGACTTAAAGAAAAAGCAAAGTTAGATAAAAACTTCAAACACTTTCATTTATTTCTGTCTGTAAAAAAAAAAAAAAAAAGTGATTATATTGAGGTGAAACAGATCTCTTTGTAAATATGAAAACAAATTTTTTCAATTGCCTGATTAATTTTATGTGTTAAGTATAGAAGACATATAAAGCAAGCAAAGATAAAACCAGCTTACATTCTCAGACAAAGTTATTTTAACAAGCAGACTAGTTGACTGAAAAGGGAGAAAGCAAAATAATCTCAGAGGTATGATGCTTTTGTTTGTTTCATGTCTCAATTACTAATGAAATAAGGTTAGTTTTTGTATGCTTTGTAATCTTTTACTGGATTCCAGATATTGTGAATTTTACCTTTTAGGTTAAATATATTTCTTATAAATATTCTTAAACTTTGTTGTGAGATGCAGCTCTTAACTTACTTGGAAATAGTTTGATCCTTTGAGGTATTATTTTATTATTTGCTAGGTGAGAAAAAGCAATGTTTAGTCTAGGGCTGATTATTCCACCCTGCTGAGATAAGCCTATTGTTTTTACCCTAGCCAATGTCCATACATTATTTGTTTTTCTAGTATGGCTGATGGGAATGGGGATAATTCCTGGACTTGTGTGAGCTCCAGGGCACTCTTTTTGACTGTTCTTTCCCCAGCCTTGAATTCTTTCCTCATATGCAAGCACTGCTCGGTTCTTTGCTGAATATTCAAGGAGGACTCTCTGTAGATTTCTGAGGTTCCCTGTGCACAAACCCTTTCTCCGTTACCCTCTGCCCTGAAATGCTAGCTGCCTTATTCTATAACCCTTAGTCCAGGCTGCTCAACTCAGGGAATCTTCCTGGTTTCCTCCTGCTTGCACCATGGACTAAAACTTTCAAGGCAGTATTTGAAGCAAGAGTAGAAGGCACTTTGCTTGTCTCCCATCCCTTGGTGATCACATTCTGTTTATGTGATCAGAGATCTCATTCATTTCCTGATGCCTAACGTCTTGAAAACTGTTGTTTCATCTATTTTTGTCTGAGTGTTTAGTTGTTTCAGGCAGGATGGTAAATCTGGTCCCTATTGTTAAATCTTGGCCAAAAATGGTAGTCTCCAGTGAAAGGTTTTTGAAATCTCATACGTGAGTTTCAGAATAATGAATGTGGGTACTCTATCTTCAGTGCCATCTGATGGGCATTGAAAGGCCTAAAGACTCATCTATGTTTCTGCCACAAGGGGCCTATTGTGTTTTAGGACTCCAAGGCCAGATTTTGACTTAATGTGGAGGTCCTGGGGAGCACATCAACCAGCACTCTTGCTCTCTTTATAATAAGCCCCATTCTGTGTCTTAATCCCTTGGCGTTGCAAATGGAAGCTACTGAACAGTTGGAAACAGGATAGAGAGTTTCTTGCTTTTCCCTTCTTTCTTTTTTTCAGACTGAGTTTCGCTCTTGTTGCCCAGGCTGGAGTGCAATGGCATGATCTTGGTTCACTGCAACCTCCGCCTCTGGGTTCAAGGGATTCTCCTGCCTCAGCCTCCCTGGTAGCTAGGATTACAGGTGCCCACCACCACGCCCTGCTAATTTTTTGTATTTTTAGTAGAGACAGCGTTTCACTATGTTGGCCAGGCTGGTCTCAAACTCCTGACCTCAGGTGATCCACCTGTCTTGGCCTTCCAAAGTGCTGGGATTACAGGCATGAGCCACTGCACCGGGCTTCTTTCTCTTTTTTATATTTTTTAAGAATTACCACCTACCTCACATCTTCTAGGGAAAATCAAGGGAAAGGTTTATGTCCTCAGGTTAGAGACCATAAAGTTTCCTTAGTACACCCTTGAAGGAAAGCATTAAAACAACATTGGGAAGAAAATGTCACCCACCAAAAGATAAAATTCAGAAGGAAAGGATCAGAGTTGCCTGGTCTAGCCATCATACCCGCTCTCTAACCATTTGAAAGTCTCTGCTTTCAAAGCTAAGATCTTGGTAGATGTGATTTTAATTTTAGTCAGTTAAGTGGTTTCCTGTATGTCTCTCACCCCAGCTAAACAAAATCGCTGCCTCTTTCACCAAGGGGCCAATCAGCACTGACCCTGGGATAGCAGAGCCCTGTGCAGGGGTGGCAGATGGAGTGAGAGTAAGTTGATAGTAAATGTTAATAGAAAAGAATTCAAGGAAGCAGTAAAATAGTATTTATTAAGGACAGCCTTTGTGACAGGCATTTAACATTTAGGCTACTTTTAAGTGTTATTATAAGAATCAGAAATAGTACAAGGCACTGTGCTTGCACTATTTCTGATTCTCACAACAACATTTAAACATAGCTTTTATGCTTTCAATTTACAGATGAGGAAACTGAGATTCAGTGTTAAATGACTTGCTCCAAGTGATGCAATGAGTAGATGATTTAAATACATACTCAAGTCACGGCCAGTCTGATTCCAAAACCTATGCCCACTGCATTATAATACTACACTCTCCCTCTCCAAAGGAAGACAGAGCTCTGGCAGTGAATGGAAAAAATAATTAACTGAGCCTCAAAAGCCTCAAAACCATAACGGGAACAAAATCCTGCATCCTTTGCTTCTGTCAACACTGCTAAATGGTTTGCACTGCTATTCCGCATCTTCACACAATTATCAATCTTTTCAGGGCTGCTCTTAGTCATTTAAAAATTATCTTGACCTCCTCCAACTAGAGAGGGTAGAGGACTGAAGGAAAAATGCATTAGCCACAGACAAGGAAAGCAGAAATATCAAAAAAGCAACTACCTTTTCAGGCCAAGGCAGGCAGATCATTTGAAGTCAGGAGTTTGAGACCAGCCTGGCCAACATGGTGAAACCCCATCTCTACTAAAAATACAAAAATTAGCTGGGCATGGTGGTGTGCACCTGTAGTCCCAGCTACTCAGGAGGCAGTGGCAGGAGAATCGCTTGAACCTGGGAGGCAGAGGTTGCAGTAAGCTGAGATGGCACCACTGCACTCCAGCATGGGAGACAGAGTGAGAATCGGTCTCAAAAAAAAAAAAAAAAGCAACCACGCACACCTGACCAGGGAGATTCCTGCTGTTTGTCCAGCCTGTTAAAAAGCTTACCTGACCCCTCATTTCTTTTTTGTTCTCTAATAAATATATTTAACAGCACTACTGTTATCACTTTGATTATAAACTCTCTGGAATGGAAGTATGCTCAATTTGCATAGGATAAATAGGAAAGTTATGTAAAATTCTTTATTCTTCTACAAATTAGTAAAAGAAGGCTGAGCACAGTGGCTCATGCCTGTAATCCCATCAATTTGGGGGGCCAAAGCAGTATCTCAATTCTGAATCCCCTGTATATCAGCCTTCTGACTTGAAATCAGGAAAAACAGAACATCAAGTTATTTGGTAGAAAAAAAATATTGTGTAAAAGCTCCAAAAACGCTAATGTGTTGAACACGTGCAAGGCACCATCATTGTTGTTATCAGTAAGGACTAGAAGGCAAGCACTAGAAGGATAATAGGAAAAGCATGCTTCCGGGAATAAACAGATAACACAAATGTATGAAAATAGGCAAAATCTGTTATCTTAAATAGAAGTTTTTAATTTTCAATTTATCTTTGCTTTCCCTGGTGCCTATTATTGTAACCGCGTGCCCTTTCATACACCCACACCAATCTGCAGGCGTGTGAGCGTGCATGCACACATGGGGAAATTGGTTCTTCTGTTGCTAGTTTTTTTTTCCCCCAGCCAAAGAAAATTGACTGACAAAATAAATAGTCAGGTTTGAATATGATATGTTAAGACATCATTCTAGTACCCAGGACATCCTTCAAACATTACATCAACAGTTCTGTTCAACAATTTTCTGACCTGTGAGGCATCTTAATCTCTCTAGAGTTTTGAAGATGAAGATTCTATTGCACAATAAATGAGCTCGTGACAGAATGTAAGATCTGGCATGTGCTCAGAGGGCAAGAATAAATTCTATCAGTACATTGACACCATCAGTCATGCGTTATCCAAAGGCCACACAACAAAAACCACATTGCATTTTACTTAATGCTCATCATTATGAATCAGAACACAAAATAAGTCCCTCTTTAACATATCTTGGAACTATGCTAATTCCACTGAATATTATTATTCTGTTGATTTCAGTTGGATTGCTTGTTTTCAACGCCTACCACAACCTTCTCCCTTAATTCTAGATTTTAGTATCTAGAATGACTCTTCTAGTTTGCTTCTTCATGTTTTTACTCTTTTTCTGTAATAACTAAGATGATCTAGCCCAATGAGAAGTGCTTCTCCAAGGAATCAAAAATGGTCTTTGTAGTAGAGAGATTAGTCTCAAGCAGCTTGCTGTATGCAACATGGAGTTTGCCTGTGGCTTTTACCCACAGCCGTACAAAAAACTATGTACATGATGTTAAAAAAAAAAAAGTTGTAAGATTGTGAGAATCCTAAGCACACTGATTAGATGCCTGTAAGAATGACAGATACGTTAGCTTGAGATTTGCCATTTTCAGTGAAGTCTGAGTGTCAAGAAAGAGGAAATTTACTTTCCACATATGTTCATTCAATAAATGTATATTGAGCATCTTCTATGTGCCAGGTGCTATGTTAGGAAACCAATGAGTAAGTCAATGAGAAGTCTCTGCCTTCATAAGCTGGTGGGAGAGACAGGTAATAACAAGTAAATATAAATGATAATGTCACGTAGTGATTCATGATTCACAAAGAAAATAAAACAGGTTCAAGGCATACAAAGTGACAGCATAGAGTGAGTCCTATTATATATGTAATGATCGAGGAGTCCTCCTCAAGGACATGACATCTGAGTAAAAACTGAAATAATGTGAAAAAGAGTTTTAGTGAGAACAGTGTTACGGGCAGAGGGGAGATCAAGTAGAATGGCTCGAAGATGCAAATGAGCTTGGCATGTTCAAGAAACAATAGAAACACTGCTGTGTGGCTGAAACCCAGTGAAGAGCATGGTAAAGAAAGGGGACAGGAATAAAGAGATAGGCAGGGGCCAGGTAACGTACACACTGTTGAGAAATGCAAAAGCACAGATGCAAAGATATTGAGTAGTACTGAACCTGAGGCCTGCTTTGAAAAGATTCTCTGGCTGTGTTGTGGAGAATCGACCTGAGAAGGGCAAGAGTAGGAATAGGGACCTGTTGGGTGGCTGTAGTGGGGCTGCAGATGAGAGTTGGTATGACTTGGACAAGAGCGGGATGGCAGAATTAATTGTTCTTTTCTCAGCATGTTCAATTTGAAATGTCTATTATGAAACTAAGTGAAAACAATTGGATCTACCAGTCAGGGCCATGAGCATGACCCTGAATCAGCTCAGGAGAGAACAGCATGAGGGGGTATTTATGGGACTATTTGAGATCCCAAAGAAAAATCTGTTTAAGGAGAGGAGAAAAGACTCCAACATCTAGGGTGTCAAGAAGATGCAAAGCCAGAGAAGGAAATCAGGATGTAAGAGAAACCAGGTAAGTTCGTGGTATCCCAGAAAACATGTAACTGTGTTTTAAGAAGTAAAATAATCAACTATGATAAATGCCACCAAAGTGATAAGGGAAATGAGACTGAGACTTAACCTTTAGATTTTAGTATGTAGGCCAATTTAAATCCAAAATACATTTTCAGAAAGCTGTTTTATTGGGTGGCTATTTTATCAGATTTCAGAAAAAAGTCAATTTTCTGAATTTATCAAATTGCCAATTATAACTGTTATCAGAACTGTTTAAGAAATTTAACAAGAATGTTTCAATAGCTTGAGCAAAAATGTTCCATTTTTATTACCAATAATGAAGTATTTAGAAAAGTATATTTCATTAGTAAGAATCAAAAATACATTATTTCATTCAATTTTCAGTTTTATTTTATTGTGACAAGAACAGTTAAGTTTTTAAGTCTACAATACCTGATTCTTGACTATAGATACAAAGTTGTATAGCAGATTTCTAGAGCTTATTCATCTTGCCTAACTGAAACTTTATGCCCCTTAATTGATAACTCTCATTTCGCCTTTCCACAGCCCCTGGAAACCACCATTTCATTCTTTGGTTCTGTAAATTTTGAGCACTTTTCTATGCCTCAGGTAGGTGGAAATATGCAGTATTTGGCTTTCTATGCCTGGCTTATTTCACTTAGCATAATGTCCTCAAGGTTCATCCATGTTATCATGTATTGCAGAGTTTCCTGGTTTTTAAAGACTGAATGAAATATAATAAATTTTAATACAGGATTATTTGAGATAATTCTAATTCCTTTCAGATACTGTTTAATATTAATTTAACATTTAACTTAAAACATTAATTCAGCTATTCAGATAATTATATTCATATGATATTGATTCAAATATTCAGATACTTGTAATTTAAATTTTTAATTTCAAATTATATTTTGATTAAATTTAAATTGGATTTTTGAATTAAACTTTATTGAAAATTAATTTTAAATTCATAATTATTGAAAGTGGCTAATATTCTCTTTCAAGAATCTTCAAAAAGAGTACAAAATAGTGAAATTTTGAACAAATAGAAAATTGTATTTAAAAGTGTATAAAAGAAATTGGAATTAGCCCAAATAATCTAGATAAATGTAAAGTGCTTCAATTGTGGCATAAGTAATTGGTAAAAGTTTGCAGAAACATAAAAAAAAAAAGAAAGGTAAAATCAAATAAATAGTGAGGGTAACTGAGTAACCCAGGAAGGGTTCTATTCTGGACTAGTAAATCTGGATTGGTAAGAGAATAACACAGATGTGTCAAAGCAGACACCTCAAATATTAAATTTTAGATACTAGCTAAAACTAAAAATCTAAAGTTGACAAGCTACCAGAGGGAAAACAAAAGGGGAATAACAAAAAGGATATTAAGAAGGTAGAAAGTTTTACAGAAAACAAATAAACAAAACAAAACTACAAAAAAAAAAAAGGTAAAGAGTTTGGAAGGAAAAACCGATATTGACATAAATATTTAAATTATATTTAAAGGTTATTTAAAAGCATCCACAAATCATTTTACATTAAATGGTGTGAACCAACAGTTATTTTAATCTCAATTTAAGTTTTCAGTTCAAAAGCATGTCAAGTATATCAGAATTAGAAAACAGAAGTCCAATATCTCAAGCATCGGTGTAAATGGCAGTAGTTGCTGTTTTCTATTTTAAATTCTCAAGAGAAAAACCTCAACAAGGTCCAGTTCATCTATTCAAACCAAGTCACATAAATAATAAGTAACTGTCCAGCCAACAGTATAGCTTTTTGGGGTCAGGGACCTTCCCTGTCATCTGTGGCTGGGGAAGGACAGGGTGAAGAGGTGTGGGGGCAGGCACCAGGGAGCAGGAGTTCAGAGATTGGTCTCCGGACCAGACTCCAGGGTTCAGTCCTTGGATCTTTCATTTATAAACTCTGTGTCCTTGGGAAAAAATATTTAAATCTCTCTATGCCTCAGCTTTCTCATCTGTAAGGGGAATAACATTAATATCTACTTTATAGAATTGTGGGGAGTAGTGAAATAATGGATGAAATGTGTTTAGAATAGCAGTTGGTACACAGTAAACTAATCAACTAACCAAAGCTATTATTGTAGGTATGAGAGGAAAATTAATCTGGTTGCTCTGAGAATAGTTTGGGTCCAAATCTTATTTCAGTTGCTAGATTGCAAGGTCCCTGAGCACAGGATTTATGTCTTGTTTTTGATAAGTTTATTTACCCCTTATTTTCTAGCATAGAACTGTGGCTCTAAGAGGTGTCCAATAGATGGGTTTGTGGAATTGAGTCGATTTAAAGATCGGATTGATGGGATTTGGTGACAATGGGAATGTAAAGAAAGGGAAGAGAAGGTCCAAGCATACTTTGTAAGTTTTCAGAGTGTACAGTTGGAGGAATGTGGTTACCATCTACAAAAACGAAAATTAGGAGGAGGTGGAAGTAAGAAAATGAGTTAAATTTTAGACATTTTGAGTTTGGTGGTGCATTTAGGTGCAAATGTCTAGCAGATAGTTAGAAATGTGAGATTGAGCTTGGAAGGTAAGATGGTGCTATAAATACAAATCTAAGAGCCATCTGCCTAGATGTGTGAGTTAAAATTATGGGAGTGGATGAAATGACTAAGAGAGAGAACCTAGGAAGAAAAGAAGGAAGAAAAGTGGTGGCTATAGCAGAAACTGGGAAAGACAGAGTGGTTAGAGAGGTTTTTGGAGTCAGGTTCTGGAAGGAAAAAGACAGGATTGCATTGAGCATACAAGTAGAACAGTGAGTTTTAGAAACCTAATGAGATATCACTTCCTTGATTAATTACCAATTGCATTCCATGCACAAACATTTCCAAGCTTCCAAAAAGCAACATAGCTGTGATCATCATCAACTTACTACGGAATCACCTAAACAGAAACTTTATGATAATAGTTATTTTTTTCCCCTTTCGTCAGTATGTGCTAGAGGAATTAACATTGAAATTCTGAAACGATTTATTTCATACACTTGACTAGAGCTGAACTGGGAATTGACATTCTTGCAAAGTAATAGTAAATTTTGATCTCAAATAGAGTACATTTTATTTCTGCCTTCAGCAGGAATTTACTATTTGTTAAGGTTTATATTTTTTTAGCCATGATTTTGTTTTGTTTTAATTTCATATCTTCAGTAACTTAATTTGGGCTTGACAGAAACTTTCTTCTGAGGCGAGTGACATAGTAATAGCCAGAATATTAATTGGCATGTTAAGGCAGGGGTGAAAAACTATCTGAGGGTAATTTAAATTGAAAGTACAGGAAGATGGTACTTAAGAATCCAGAAGCACAAGAACAAAATGAATTTTCTTTTCACTCTCAGCAATTGTTTAAATAAACCGTGTGGAAGAATTTCGGGGTGCATAATTTCTGACTATGCAGATAGGCTCCAAGAAATATGTTAGAAGCTTGTATTGGATGTCTGCTTTACCTAAAAGATGGCAGATATTTCACAAAGGTCTTTGTTAAATGTGAATCCATTGAAAAGACATTAATAAGATTTGCTTGGAACTATATACTGAAAAAAAGGAACTCAAATTATAGAAATTCCTTTATTATCTCATATTTAACCCACTTATTTTATTGTAACTGTAACTGTGCACTAATTCTTAGAACTAAATCAAGTATCTGAGCGTGATTTTTTTCAAACAAAAGTACTAATTAATTTATACTTGACTCTTGCAAGTTGATAATAAAGAGACATGCTTCATGAAAAAAATTGAGAGCTCCTTCAGTTTTCTCAAGGGTCTTTTAATCCTTTTGTATTCAAATGATTATTTTAATCCATTGCTTCATTTCTCTTCAATTATCAAATAGCCTAAGTCTACTATATTTTCAACTATCAGTGACTTTTCATTTGACTAACCACTTTTATTAATTTCATAAACTCTAAACTCCTTCCACTAAGATAGGAGATTTCATTTTGCAATTGATTTCTACTCTATCTGCATTTGAATTTCCAGATGCTTACAGTACCTGACATTCCACAAGGCTCTTCTACACAGATATTTTTACAATGGATGGGGGTGGTTGCTTGTGTTGTATTCAGGAAGATGCAAGAAACAGGACTCATAAGATTTCAGTTCAACAGAGGAAGGTTTTCACGTAATGACAACTTTTGCTATCTCTGCAACTGTGTAATGATAGGAGCTTGAATCATTAATACTGGATTCCACAAACCCTCAAGGCTGTTTTATTCAGGTTGAATCATCTCTGCCTCTTACCACAGAGAACTGGCATGAAAGCACAGAATAAACATCCAGAATGCACTTCAAGGCGAATATTAAAGAAGGGACTATTTTTGTGTATTTTCATGTTCAAAATAAACATGTCAGTTGAAAGTAAATTGTCACTTTTTAAATTGGGAGTAATACAGAAGTAATGTTTATTAAGTGATTCCTACGGCCCAATAATGTTTTATTTGCCTTAATTCTACTTTCTTTAATTCTCACATAATCCTATAAGACAGATACGTTATCATCTCCATTTAACACATGATAAAAGTGAGGCCTTGAATGGCTAGGAAACTTGTTTGAGGTCACAAAGTTAGTTTTAAAAAAAAATGGGAGATACACAAACTGACCTGGTTTATGTAAGAAAGGTGATAGAGTTTAGATGCAATGGCATATACAAAATCCTAGATCCTTTTTAGTATGGTCTAATTATTAGGCTACTTAAACACTGACTCGCAAATAGGGATAGTTTACTATTGGTGTTTACAGATGAAAATACCAATGGAAGTGATCTTAACCCTAGCAAGCCTAAGATGACCACTTTAAACACACACAGAGATTAGTGTATAAGAGAATGACAGATTTCTAAGAGTATGCAAAAAACATTACCCACCAGTGCAGAAACCCCCTGATTAATAAACCTTCTAACACATTTTTATGCACCACATAAGCTATGGATTTATGTTTCAAACTCAGACTAGTTTTTATTCTACAGACTAGCCACCAAGGAAGGGAAGAAATTCTGAATAATCTTTTGAAACTGGAGGTTAAACAGAGATTCCTTGGAACCATATGTTATCTAGGAGGCTATAACTAATGACTCATTTGTACTGCCTCATTTAACCAGAAAGCAATGCATTTGCCATTGTGATTTTCTTAGCCGCTTGAATGGACTATCACCAGCTAGTAGCCTGCATGACCATTGATTACTATAAATAGTGATAATACAAGCAAATAAAGCCAAAATCAGTAGCAGTAGGAACTACATCTTCATTTGTAATCATGATCACTAATAAGCTTTATGAGAAAATGATAGTAGAATATGTAGAAATATATAAACTGAGTTTAAACAGATATTTTGAGCACCAGCAACAATTATTTAAAGGCCTCTTTGTATAATAGCAATGCAAACAGTTCCTTCCCCTTAAAATCTGCTGATAAGTTGTTTTGAATAATGGGCTGAGAATCTCTGACACACTAAATTATTCTTTAAATGTTCTAAACATTTCAAAGGTTCATAATTTTTTAGTCCTCCTACGCTTATCAAGCTACTCAGTCATCAATATGAATCTAACCCTAAAGCAAACAAACAAATGAGTAAACAAAAACCTAGCAAGCCTGCCAGCCTCCCTGGATACCACTGCAGTTTTCTGGGATCTTTTCTTAAGGAGGTCTTTCAGATGCTCATTCAGTGACCATCCATGAGGTCAACAGTCAAAACAGATGGATCAATTCCAATAGAGGAAATTGTATAGGTACTCTACAAATGTCTTCTCCAATTGTCTTTTAATCTTCTATCTCAGTTTTCTTAGCTCTAAAATGGGGATAAAGATAGAACCTCCTTTACTTTGAAGAATAGATGAGTTAATACAGGTACAACACTTAAAAGAGTGTCTGACACATGGTAGACATTTGATACATTTAATCTATTTTGTTACCTAATTTTGTAACCATAAGTTGTTCTAAATCTCCAGTGATTTAGCCATATGAATACTTCAGTATGTAAAAGTCTTTTCATGAGGTCTACCTAGTTGCTCTTGAAAATATTCAAATATTCTGTAAGTAACCGCAAGTTAAGAGATAGAGGTCTGTAAGTAACACAAGAAATCTCTTTATTACTTTATGGTCACACTATAGATACAAGCATATTAGCATAAGAATACAAATGCATAACACTACATATTCACCTTTGAATGGATTCCACAGACATTATTGTTGGAATCTGTTTTGGTTTTAACAATAATGAACACCAAAAGAGATGTGAGAAGTGAGTAATCAACAAATCAACACATTAGAGGCTGTTACAGAATAAAATTAATAGTATTTTATCACATAGAAGAATGCCTGACTCTCACTAGTTTCTGAATAAATATTTTTGAGTTGAAATAATCTGAAGATAGCAGACTATAAGCCCTTTAGGGGCTCAGTAACTGTTAGGAATTAGTAACAATTGCTGATTTACCTTCCACTCATATATTTGGTATCTGCAACATCTATCAGAGTTCCTAACACAATGGCTCAAGAGAAACTTCCATTGCATGAGAGAATATATGAATAAAGAAATGAATGAATCAAGTCAATGTTTTAGACATGAACGTCTCTGCTGTGCCCTTCCTCAGTCTAGGTCTCATTCCTTCTCCCCACTTTTGTATGTCCTCTTGGTGACTGCTTCCTCCTTTCTGTCTCAGTTTTACTTTCACTGCTCTATTTGGTGTGTCATTTCTGCCCCTCTTTTAAGTCTCCCCTTAACTGATTAAATTGATGGGCTTCAGGTTTAAAAAGGAAGATTAAACACACATTTTTAACCTGATTTCCTTCTCTAAACTCCTCTAAAATAAATGTGTAGCATTTTTAAAGGCATAAATCCTCAAGGACAAACAGAACAAGAGAGGAAACAACAGCAACACAATTTGAGAAGCTAGAAATCAGATGGATAAGTGGTAAATGATTTAGCAAACCTGAAAAATCGAAAACCGAGACTGGCTGGGGAGGGAGGCCCAAAAGCTAGCCAGTGCATACCTCAAATTCCAGAAGTGTTCAGAAATTAAAGTTACCTGGTACCTCTTAAAGGAGTGTGAAGGCAGAGGTGATTGGTTAAAAATCTGTTTAAAAAGACGTTAGATACCCTGTCCAATCTCAACAAAAGTTAGAAAATGTTCTCTCTGAATAGCGTGAATTGAGGGATTCTAGGGGGCACTGGGCATAGGAGCAGGGCTGCCAAACTGAACATTGCTAGATTAAGTGAAAAATCTACTCATGGAATGATGATACTCTCATCCCCTTTCCCAACTCAGATCCCAGAACAGAGTCAGCCAGACTTGTACCTACCAGACAGGTCACTGAAAATCTTCCACAAGGAAATACAATCAACCAAAGAGAAAACAAAAAAGAAAATGGTCGAATCTATCAGGGAAAAGAAATGGTAAGAAACATAGACATTGCAGAGAAAAGAAAACAAATCAAAAATCCATATTTTTCAGACAGATGAAAGAAGATAAAACAACCATGAAAAAAAGGATATTACAAATATGGAACATTCTGGGACAAAAGAGAGATTTTGGAATTTAAAAATGCAATAGCAGAAAGGCAAAAAAAAGCCTTACAGAGAAGGTAGAAAGTAAAGTTGCAGAAATTATTCAGAAAGTAGCTGAAAAGGAGAGCTTGGAAATACAACAAAAGAGAAGCAGTAAGAAAATTAGGGAATTAGCCAAGGGACAAACATGTAAATAATAGGAATTCCAAAAACAGAAAACAAAGAAAATTAATAAACATATAAATCAAATAAATGATTCAGGAAAAAATTCCAGAACTGAAATATAAAAATTTTCAGATTGAAAAGCCTACTGAGTGCCCAGCACAAGAGACAAGAGAAAACCCAGAGAAGGACCTTCCCAGTGAAATTCCAGAGTAAAGGGAGAAAGAAGATTCCCCAGAGTTCATTCTTTAAAAGTAGGTCCTAGCCAAAGAGGAATCAGAATGACTCACTGCAATCTTGAAAGCTAGGAGACGATGGGACAATGATTTAAATATTCTCAAGAAAAAGTAATCCCAATCTAATTTTCCCTACAAAGGAAAATTATTAATTGTAGGGGTTGAAAAAAGCAAAGGTCTCAGACAACTTATTCCTGCATCCTCCCTCAAGAAACTACTGATGGGTGTGTTCTGCCTTAACAGGGATATAAAGAAAGAAAACAACATGAGATGCAGAAACCAGGGAAACTAATACAAAGAAGAGAGACCAAGGCTACCCCAGGATGATGGTGCAGGGACATCCCAGGACAAAAGCTGTGCAACTGCCTAGAGATGGCCTGGTCCTGATTCCAGCAGATGTAGAGAACTCCAAGGATGAAGTCAGCAAGAAAATTAAATTTATAGGAATATATAGTGTCTTTGAACACACAAAGTGGGGAATTATATTTCTAGCAGAGTCCTGGGGTGAATTTGTTGTTGGAGGCTGAAAGAGTGAGGGTTGCGATCAACTCAGTATACCACTGGAGGCTATGTAAGTAGCAAACTGTTTGTCATAAATGCAGAATGTTGGCAAACTGACAAACTGCGTATGCCACCCAGAAGGACTGCTGAGGGCAGTCAAGACCCAGGCACAAGTGTTTCTTATGATTAGGCATAATTGAAGCCTGTTAGTAACAATATGAACCTTTGATCAATTAAGCAGTGAACCAATCGTTACCTCCTCCCCCTGCTCTTGTTACCCAATAAATACGAAGGGCTGCCTTTGCTCACTAGAAGCAGGTAGCTCTCTTCTTCTCCCCATGTTGCCTTTCCTTAAAATAGTTTCTTTTGTCTTAAGTTTTCATTTCTACATTCATCCCTTCCTTCAGTGGTAATGACAGTCTCAAGTGGTAACAGTAGAAACTGCTATAATGATGGTCTCAAGCAGTAACAGAAGTAACTGCTGTAGTCACCATTTCAAGCAGTAACCATGGCAGTCAGCCACAATTTGTATTAGATAATAAACTAAAATGTAATTATTAAAATCAAGGAAAATATACAAGAAAGGAAATGCAATAATAGTATACTACAGGTCTTAGTTGTGAAGAAATGTCAGAGTCACGATAATATAAAATCTGAGTAAGATAAAACTAAAAGTTATCGCTGGTAGAATTAGGGAAGAATATATGTGTGGATTGGAGGAGCAAGTAAGAGGATTCTCTCTTTATCCAGCACATAGGATATTTAAATAGGAAAAAAAATCAATGTAAAAACATCAGTTATTTTACAACATGGCTATAAACACCCAAAAAAGTAGCTAAACTAGTTGAAAGTGGTTATCTTTAGGAAAAAGGAACAGATAAATAGGAAAAACACACTTCTGTGTTTTTCACTATTGACCTTTCAGAACCATCTGACTTTAAAATTACGGATATGTGCCACTTTGATAAAAATAAAAATTAAAGAAATTAAGGGAATTTATAATATTTCATTTATAACATTTTTGGCTTATTATTCATGTTTTAAAACTCACGTGGTTTGAAACAGTTGCATTTTTTTTTGGCACCTGAAAGATCACATTTTAAAAATTTAGGTGTGATCTTCAATTTATTTTCTTCCATGCAAGTTATGGGTTTGGAATAAGAATGGTGTGAGCCATTCCTATATCAGAGAGGAAATTCTCCATGATTCCCATCCGCACCCACTCTGTCCTTTGTACCCCTTCTGTTACGACCAATAGCCTAATCACAGCAACTCTAATTCTTCATAATACTTTCTAGAAAGAATATAGACTGCTAGTAGACTACGCATTGCTTGAAGACAAGGAATGTGTATTATTCACCTTGGTAACTCCAGTGCCTAGCCCAGAGCCCAGGAAGAAATAGAAGGTACTCAAAAAAAGCTCATTAGCTTAAGGAGAGGAAAGAGAAATGAGAAATGGGAAGAGAGGAGATTTTAAGAGAAAAAGAGAGGCTGGCTGCAAGTGATTGTCTGGACACTAGATATGAGTCATAGGGGAAAAGAATGTCTGAAGTTTTCAAAAATTTAGCAGTTCGGTATAGAAAGAGAAACTAGTAAAAAAGAATGAGAGAGAAGCCAGTAAACTGGAAGGAAAATAGAAAAATGTTGAGTCACAAAAGGACAGGTAGTTAGAAAGTGCTTTGAAAAGCAGGTCATGGCCCACAATGTCAATGCTGCTGAGACACCAGGTTGGATGAGGACATAGAATTACCCACAGGGTTTGGCATGCTGAGATAACGGGTGTCCTTCACAATAGCCAGTTTCAGGGAGAGCTGGAAGGAAATGCCTCATTGGGCTGATCTGTGGAAGAAGACAAGCAGAAAAAGAAGAGTCAACTCTGCAGAGGAGTTTGAGGTGAAAGAAAGCAGTTGCAGGAGGAAGATGTGTAGTCAAAATATTAATACAAATATTACTGAGGCAAATATTACTGAGGAAGGATCAAATAGAGAGATAGAAACTGGTGATGGAAGAGGAAGCAGATACCACTGCAATAATAAATCCATGAAGAAGAAGGGAGGAGTTGCGGAGAGGCTGGTCTGAACAGCAAGAATAAACCCCCATTGTAAAGAGAAGAAAGTACACCCTGTGAGAACAGAAAAAGGTGGGCTGGCAAAACTGGTGCTGGAAAAGTGAAGGAGTGCTTACCTAATTGCCTCTATTTTCTGTTAAATGTGCTGTATTTGCAGAGTGAAAGGGAAGATTTTTTGTTTTAAAATTGAGTTGTATAGACAAGGATACAATTCCAGATTATTTTTTAGAATAAGATATATCTGTCAGAGAAAAAAAAATCTAACTATAATGCCAAGCTCTGGAACATGCCTCTAGGAAATGTTAAAAGCTGCTCTAAATCAGCAAAAGAGGAAACATATAATTTAACTTTAGAGCAGAACTACTACCCAAGCAAAAATTTTAATATTTTGATCTCAAGACAATAGCCTCAAATACAAAAATTCAAGATGTGCCGCAGAACATTTAATAATGATCATTTTCAAAGTGTCAAAATAGGACAAACCATGTGTATTATATATTTACATACCTTATTTTCTTTAATTCTCATAAAAACTCTATGACATATTATTTTCCTTTTCAAAATGAGAAAACCAATGCTATAAAGGTTAACTCAAGTCCCACACCTACGAGGATAGCTGGAAATAAAAACCCTGTCTGATTCCTAAGTCCATTTCTTTCTATGACTCTATACTCTGAGGCTTGTATGGCTTCATGAAAAGCCATAATTTTTTAAATACCCATTTTAGCTAATACTCCAAATGTTAAAAGTTTCATCCATTTTAAGCTCCATTTTCAGCTTATTCAGAATTAATTATGCATAAGCCTATAGTGATACATGCCAAATTTATTCCCTTTTTAAAAATACACACTTTAATAAACACTGCTTAGGTACACACACCAAGGGCAGTGAGAGATGCGGGGAATAGAGAATAGAAGAATCTAGTTGGAAATATTCTAAGAGCAACAGACTTCATGTGGGGGCTCACATGCTTTACAATCTGTTTGCATTAAAATGAAATGAAAACAGTATTTTTTGTAAAATAGGGCAAAAGTATATATACAAGAGCACTAGCATAATGTCTGGCACATGGTAAGTGCTCAGTATATGTTAGTTTTCTTCTCTTTCCTTCGTAGCATTTTAGAAACTAGAAAGAGCA
The DNA here is from genome assembly GCF_000001405.40 of Homo sapiens. Taxonomy (NCBI): domain Eukaryota; kingdom Metazoa; phylum Chordata; class Mammalia; order Primates; family Hominidae; genus Homo; species Homo sapiens. Next base: position 47,031,864 of record NC_000013.11, on the reverse strand, counting down.
AAGAGTTAGTGTCCTAAATAAGTCCTTTAAACTAATCTATCTAAGAAACTGAGAAAATTGCTGGTGACATATTTTTGGAAGGTCTGTGGATAATATCACTGATCAGGATACCTGCCTATGTGAAATATGAGGTCACCTTGATCTCAGAGTCTACATTTCTCATAACTTTATGAAAATAACAAAATAATATATTTCAATGAAAATGATTTTCAAAATATTTTATAATAAATATTAGCTACAATATATTTTAAGGCTGTGTTGGGGGTTAACAGAACTAAGGTGAATGACCTGAATTTATGGTCCAATCTCCAGGCAATTATGAGTTAAATATTATGAGGCTAAATATAAGAGTGCAAAGAGGAAATGGGAGAATCCCTCTTTTCCTATGTGAATGTCCCAACCCATGCATCCAGAAAAGCTAGGCATGTAATATTCTTAAGCAGTGAGTAGAATGAATCTCAGAACTGAAAATCACAATGCCTGGGTACAAGGACTAGTGCCATTAGATAGTTTCACTGAAGCTCTGTGGGTGTGTTTCCCTAACAGTGAAAAGTACAGTGAAATGAGTCCCAGATTGCCTACAGTGTTATAGATAATTACTAAAGTTCCTTCCTTCACATATGTCTATGACTATATGTAAAATAAAATTGTATGTAAAGTAATGGGAATTTTAGAAATAAGCTGAGAGGCAAAAGTATTCCTTCTCCTGTTGAATTATAAAGATATTATCCTTGGGAGGCTGAAGCAGGAAAACTGCTTGAGCCCAGGCTGCAGTGAGCTATGATCACATCACTACACTCCAGCCTGGGCAACAGAGTGAGACCCTGTCTCTTAAAAATGATTCATTGATTAATTAATTAATTTAAAAGAGATTATCAACCTCATTCAATCTTCCATTAAAAAAATATGTGCTATTCATCCATGATACGCCAGGAACTGTGAGATCAATCTATCTTCTTTGTGGCAAATCATTAGTGCACAGTTGCCAGTATATGAATTATAGACCTGGAAAAGACCCTCAAACTGTCATTTGTATGTCCAGCTTTAAAGAATTATGTGATAAGTCTGAAGAAAAGCAATAAGGTGAGAAGAAAGGCATCTGGATCAATCATCACAATTTATTTCAGGAAATGCATTTAGAGAATACATTAGGACATTAGATCACCCCTCATTTGTACCCATTTATGCAGAAGGAGTGATCAAAAATAATAAAAGGAAATTACTTTCAACAATAAAGAATTATAACAACAAAAGTTTTGTAATCAAAATAGCATCAGACTTCTCATTCGCAAAATTGGATGCTAGAAGACAAGCAAAATCTTCAAATAATCAAATACATATAAAAAATTGTAATAACTTAATGAAAAAATTGTGAAGTATATAAGGACTTTAACAAACTAATTAAATGGGAAAATATGTCATGATCCTAGACAAGGAGCTTCAGTATTTCAAATTATAAAATATCTCCATTTAAAACTATAAATTCAAAGCAATCCTCAATAAACATTACAGCTGGATTATTTAAGGAACTTGTTAAGCTGATTCTAAAATCCACATGGAAAAATGGCAAGAAAGGATAAGAAATTTTTTAAAGAACCCTGCATGTGGTGTGAAGAGAGGGAAGTTATATTACTAAATATCAAAATATCCTATGAATTTATCTAAGGAAAATAATGTCATACTGGTGCCAGAAAAGCTGACATAAATGGAGCAGCATATGGAAAAGAAAAATAAACCATATACAAATGCAAATTTAGTTTATGATAAAAGTGATATTTAAATAAAGGGAGACATGATTGCATAAATACTATAGTGAATACTGGTTATCGTTATCCATTTGGAAAGTATTAAGTTAGAGTGCTGCCTGACACCATGAATACAAATAAATCTCAGATGTATTATGAGTAAAAGAGCTGAATTTTTTTTTAAATAAAAGTTGTAGAAGAAAATATAAAAGACTCAATAGCATTGAGGCAAGAACAGCCTTCCAGCATGAGGCACAGAGCCTGGACACGGCAGAGGAAGAGGATTTAGCCTCATCAAAAATTTAAATCTTCTATCAAAGAAAATGATGTAAAAAGATAAAGACAAAAGACAACTGGGGATGGGGCGCGGTGGCTCACGCCTGTAATCCCAGCACTTTGGGATGCCAAGGTGGGTGGGTCACCTGAGGTCAGGAGTTCAAGACCAGCCTGACCAACATGGCGAAACCCTGTCTCTACTAAAAACACAAAAATTAGCCAGGCATAGTGGTGCATGCATGTAATCCCAGCTACTTGGGAGGCAGGAGAATCACTTTAAGCCGGGAGGTGGAGGTTGTAGTGAGCTGAGATTGTGCCATTGCACTCCAGCCTGGGCAACAAGAGCAAAACTCCAACTCAATCAATCAATCAGTCAATAAGACAACTGGGAAGCAATGTCTCCAAAAAGAAAAAGATTACTATCCAGAATAGACTGCATACAAAGCCAGGCATCCTCTTCTCTCCAAGGAATATCTACAAATCCCTGAGGAAGGAAGACATCCTTGCTTTTGTCCCTTCCCCACTGCTCAATATTGTCTCTAGAAACAACAACTAGACCGTTCAGGTGGAGACCTGCTGAAACTGTTTTCAGGCCCTTTCTGCTACCCCAGGGACAGAAGCATGACCGGGAGCTGAGTAACAAACAAGATTTCTGCTCTGAAAATTGTACATCAAATTGTAAATCAAATAGTGATATTTTATATATATATATATATATATATATATATATATATATATGAAATTACTTTCAACAATAGAAGAATTGTAACAACAAAAATTTTGTAATCAAAATAGCATCAGACTTCTCATTAGCAAAACTGTATGCTAGAAGGCAGTCTTTTATATTTTATATATATATATATATATACGCACTGTATATATATATATAGACAGTGTGTATATATATACAGTGTGTGTATATATAGAGTGTGTATATATATACAGTGTGTGTATATATAGACAGTGTGTGTATATATAGACAGTGTGTGTATATATAGACAGTGTGTGTATATATAGACAGTGTGTATATATAGACAGTGTGTGTATATATAGACAGTGTGTGTATATATAGACAGTGTGTATATATAGACAGTGTGTGTATATATAGACAGTGTGTGTATATATAGACAGTGTGTATATATATACAGTGTGTGTATATATAGACAGGGTGTGTGTATATATATACAGTGTATATATATACACACACACTGTATATATACATATAGTCTCAGTTTTAAAATGAGAAACTGAGGCACAGAAAGCAAGCACCTTACTCACAGATACCTTATAACCTGCCTCTCACACCCCCTACCACTAAAAGGTGCTCCAAGGTTTTATTCTGAAACTATTAATCTGACATAAATTAAAGGAAAATTAAATGTAATAAACTTTGGTATTCACTGCAAATCTATATGTAGTAAATGCAAAGAAAATGTAAGTGGCAAGCACTGATCTAGAAGTAGAGATCTGAGCACTGGTCCTGTGTATGTCTGTAACGAATGACAAGGCTGTGGGCAAACAGCCCCTCCTGTCTGGTCCCAGTGCTCTCTCACAGGTTAAATGAGAGGTTTCATCTCCTTTGGTTTTCAACCCTGACTACAAGCTGTAATTGCTTGGAGAGCTTTAAAACAATCTGGTATCTGAGCCAACCCAGATCAACTACAGTCATACTCTCAAGAGCTGGGGCCCAGGCAGTGACAATGTGACAATATTTAAACCTTCCCCAGAGGATTTTAATGTGTAGCAAAGGGCTCAGAATCTCCAGGCCCAATGATGAGTTCTGTGTTAGAAAGTTTCTGATGCTTTAGCCAATGCTGGGGCCGGACTGTGGATCTGAGCACCGTGCTCTTTTCACCCACCAGGACTTAGCACATCCCTGGAGATAATCAGAAAGGATGGCTCGCTGGGGTGACCAAACAGCCTAAACATTTCCTCTCAGCTTGAGTAAACTTTAGACAGTTTTTTTTTTCCCCCTGACTGCAGGCCCCCGACTGCCTGCTCCTACATTTACTTTAAAAAGTTTGTAACTGTATTTTCTTTCTCCGTCTGCCTGAGAAATAAATCTTCTCCCAAACTCTTGCTGGTTTTACAACAGAGTAACTTCTTTCTCAAAAATCTGGGAGCCATTCCTTTGAAATGCAATCATTAAGGAAGACAGCACCCCTATCTCCCAGGCTCTATGGGAGAGTAGCACCCTAATTTCCATTAGCACCAATCAGCAAATACAGATGGCCTAATCGCATAGACCAACCTCCACACAAATAATGCTGTGCTATGTTGTCACTAGCTCAGGCTAGTGCTTAAAAACTTGCCTGCATTTTGTTTCAGCTGAGTTGAGTTCCATCTCTCTCTCTCTGATTGCAGTCTTGAATAAAGTCTTCTTTGCCTGTTTAACCCTATCTACTGCAATTTTTCTTTGACAGAGAGTTTGAGTTTTGAGTGGTACTCCCTGCAAAAAAATGTAGATAAGCTGAGTGGTCTTTCTTATTTTCAGAAGCAAAAATGGCAAGCCAAAGTCCTCTCTTCTGCTACTAATACCAGGTCCCAGGGCCCAACTTCATCTGTTTTAATTCCATTGGAATTTAATTCCATTGTCTTTGGAAAGACAGTGGAAAACTCACTCACATCTTTTGTTGCTGTTGAAATTAATTCAGTGACTTAATTCTGGATTCTTTCATTTATTAATATGTCCATTAAACATCTATACATACAACCTACCATTGAATGCAAACCTCTGTAATTATCAATCTACAAAGTTTTAAATTATAAAAGACAGCGCTTACTCTGTTACAAATCAAAACACGCCTAGACAATGTACAATTTCTCCCTGGATGCCAAATAAAAACACTTGCATTTGCATATTGGCTCCAACAACAACTTGGGGTTTGAGGTAGGTTGCTCCTCCTCTTTGTGCTTCAGTTTCCTCAGCTCTAAAATGAAGAAATGATACTAGATTCTCTCTTATTTTTTGCATTATAAAAGTGATTTTCCTTTTATGTTAGCATGGTAGGGGGATAAGAGTGGAGCAGAATCAATGTTTGGGGGCAGGGTTTGGGCCCACGATTTCCCAACTAGGGTTGGCACAAACCCAGATACTATCTTGACCCATAATCAAATCAATAATGAAATGAAAGGCATTCACATTAATTTTGCAGATGGCATCCACATAGAGTACCTCACTAACATACTAGAACAGTAAGTCTCAACCTTAACTGTATGTTGAAATCACCCAGAGAGTTGTAAAAGAATCCTGACGCCTGGGGCTGACACCCTGAGAGTCTCATATAATTGGTCTGGAGTACAGCCTGGGCTTCAGGATTTTTGTAAAGCTCCCAGCTGATTCTGATGTGCAGCCAGGGTTGAGAACCACTGCCTTAATATCAAATCTCAACTCCTTAATGCATTTCAGAGGTGCTCAATGACAGGCAGTTATAAAACTAACCCTGAAGAATATGCAAAAATGCATATATAAGAGCAGTGAACTGTACTAATATTCTAGGCAGTGTAGGTGGAGCAGAGAAGCAGCTGGGGATGACAATGGACAAAGACATGACAGCCTGTATAAAGAGAAGTAATAATACACAGAAAGACAAAGTGACACACCCAGCAAGGCAGGCCAAGCCCAGAAGAACAGCTAGAAGAGGAAGTGTGCGTGCGCATGGAGTGCCCATTGTATTAGGCATTTTACTGACGTTCTTCTGTTATATTTGTAACATTTCATGGCGGCCTGTGTTATCAGGTAGCTATCGTTATCTCTACTTTATAATGAAGAGACTGACTCAGAGACATTATATAACTTCCCCAAGCTTAGTCAGGGCCCATGCTTGCACTAAAAGTTCAGGTCTGTCCAAAACTCATACTCTATTTTGTCCAGATTATTAATGAAATTACTAAGAACAGACCTGAAATTCATCAATGTGACAACTACTTCTTCCCACAAGAGAGTTAGACACTCTTATCATGTGCTTGCACTCAGTTCATTGTCTACTTTTCAGAGTCTGGACAAGGCCAGGAAAATATATACTAATTTGATGAATAAGACTAAACATTATCATGTTAAATTTAGCTGTTCCTACTCAGAGTCACTATTTGAACAAAAGATTTTATAATTCCATGAAGATAAAATATACGAGATTTTCTTTGCACATTATGAAGATGCTATATTCATAACTTAGTTTGTCCTGATCAGCTCATCAGTGCTGAACTTTTTTCTATCATTTGAAGGTTTGGCCTGTTAACCTTATTTAAATATATAAGTGATATGTCCTCAAGGCTGCTTTTCTTCCTGTAACACTTTTTACCTGCTGTTCCCCATTGTTCTGAAATTGCCTGTGCATACAGGCTAGTTAAAAAATGATTTTTGTCAATTTGAACTCAAAGACTGTGTTTCTTTCATTTTTTCAGCATCCTTGGATTTACGTCATTTTGATCTAATAAATAAGTGCCAGATGCTTCCAAGGGAGTCCTTTTGTACTCTATCAATACATATTTTATAAGTCCTTATGCTTTCCTGACTTACAAATTAATTTGATATCTAACCCCCATAGTCTCATCCATCTTCTCATTTGTAAATGTTGCTTCTCAGCAGCTCTTTTCCCTGGAAACTTTCTAAATATGAATTCCTTTCTTGGTTTGCTCTTTCTCTTTGACAAGTTGCAATTTATTCTGGTTTCTCTTCCCCTTATCTTTTTTCTGCAAACCATGAACTTACAATCTGTGTCTTTTTGTTCCATGCCTTTTCTGTCTCATTTGTTCTGTGCAGTATTGCTTTAGTTCTTGGCTCTGCACTACAAAAGATGGGGTTTTGAACTCCTTTCATTCTTCTTCTTCAGAGAAACAGAAGCAATTTAACTTCCCCAGCTCTGATTCATAGGTGCTTTCACCTGCTTGGGGCTTTTAATGTTCTGTTGCTCATTTGATTAACCAAATAACTGAACATTCCCAAATTTACTTCCTGGCCATCTACTTCCTTTGTCAGGCCGTATATTTCCATAATGTCTTTCAACACCTAGCAGACACTCAATTCAAAGTGGGACACAGAGAGGGAGCAGGGATAGGGGGCAGCCCCCTTCCCCAGCACTGACTTTTTTGATTAGTTGGCAGTCAAAAAAGGCTCCTGGGTGCCGGTTGTCAAAGTCCCTGACCTAAAAGCAAGAAATGACTGGATAAAGAGATAATTTCTCTTCCAGAAAAAAACCCCAGGCATCAAGCCAGGAAAAAAATAAGTGCCACCATGTTTAATAGCTTAACCCCAGGGAAAAGAGTGAAAATGAATAAGAAAGGTGCATGAATTGCTAGAACCTGGCTCAAAGCCAATCCATCCCAGGATTCAACCTTAGGATTCAACCTTTTGCGAGAGGCAAAAATGTCTGAGTTATAAACATCAGCAGCACTTTGAGCTGCATTCCTCATTTAACCCTCAACATCCCACATCCTCATTATCCAAATAAAATCATCAAGATATGTTCCATCCTAGAAATTCCATTCCCTAGGTTTTAAGTGGTGGGAGATAAAGGACCCAGGGAGCATTGACCTTTAATAATACACATAAAAAGAGAACCCAACAAAAACAACAAAATATAAATAAGAAAAAGTGATTAGAGACATGACAGTCCAAAAGAAGCGCCATAACAGTGCCAAATTCTGCTTTGTACAAGGTCAGATAAGAAAGCGATTTGGGATTTCTGAATATAACATGCTCTGTGGATGCCAACAATGTCATCATTCTTGATTTTGCTGGATATGAAAAATGAGACTGTGTGGAGAGGGCACACACAGCCTCGAAAGCACTGTACCTGTGCATATCAACTCTCAAACTAATTTTCACAGATCATTTTTTAAGAAAAGCAATAAAATACTCCTTAAGTTATCCAATGCATGACATACAATGGTGGAGGCTGACAGCTAAGCCCAAGCCCTTAACATCAATACCTGTTGCTACCACAGTCACATGATAACCACCCTTAGAAATCTCTCAAGATAAAATCACTAGGAAAATGAAGTGCAGAGCAAGTTTGTTCTCAGGAGAAATATGTTCCCATCTTGACAACTATTATGCAAAGTGTGAAGCAGCACGAAGTACATGACAATTATATTTGTTTTCAGCAAATGTTGACTCTAAATTGTGTTAGATGTAGTTAATAATAGCATAGTTCTTTGAACAGAGAATAACATATTGGCACAAAGGAATGCTTCTATTAATCATCAGATTGAAATGATCATTTCAGAAGTTTGTTTAGCACATTTAATTAGCATCTAATAGAAGAAAAAATGTAAACTCTAAAGGCATTTTTCAGCAATCCAAAATGAAGTGTTCATCAAATGCTACTTCTGAAGACAGAACTACATGTTGTTGTTGTTGTTGTTAGGATCTCCATAAATCTTAATGTGTATGTATCAAGTTGCTTAAAAGGTCAAGTGACCTCCCAGAACCAGCAGTTCCAGTTCCTAGCAAAGGTGACAGTGAAGCCTGCTTCTGTCTCTCAGATATGCCCTTCACCCTCTATCATAAGATGTGGTTTGGTACAGTCATAGGTTGAAAATATGAGGGGTGGAATACTGCACTATAAAAGGATTTTTCTTCTACTTTTTGTTAAGGATGTCAATTTTTTAATTAGATTGAAGTATTCTCCATCTTATTTTCCCCTGGTGCTCAGTGAGTTATGCCATCAATAAAATGTCAAAAGATTATTTGAGCCAGTATTTGTCATTTTTATATTAACTGAGGACAACGAAGGAATATTTATTCCTTCCAATTGTCCAAATTGGCCAAGTTGGTCAGAGGACATTACCTAGAAGCACTATATTATTTTATAAAATTCTTTGACAGTTCCATGATTATATCACCAAACTGAAAAGATCCTTAGGATAGAGGCAATGGTTAACACAGAGACATATAGTAAGTGCTTACTAAATGTCTGTTAATGCTTTCACTTTTTCCCAATGGTTTCATATAACTCTAAGTCTTTTAAATTAAACCTATAAGTGTAGATTTGCATGCAATTGTGAAAATAATACAAAGAAGTTTTGTGTACCCTGTACCCAGCTTTCATCAATGGTAAGATCTTGCAACAACTACAATACATACAATATCATAACCAGGATATTGAAATTAACACTACTAGTCTTACTCAGATTTTCACAGTTTTCTTTGGACTCAATTGGGTATATGTATGTGTATCAAGTTCTATACAATTTTATCACAAATGTAGGCTCACAGAGCCACCACCTTGGTCAAGATACAGAACAGTTCCATCACCAGAGGGATCCATTGTATTGCTCTTTTAAAACCACACCCACCTAACCCCCACTTTTTCCCACCACTAATCTTTCCGCCATTGCTGTAATTTTATCATTTAAAGAATGTTATATAAATGGAATTATACAATATGTAACATTTTGGGATTGGCTTTACTGGCATAATTCCATCAAGACTGATCCAACTGGTTGTATGTTTCAATACGTTGTTCCATTGCTGAGTGATTTTTTTCTACAGCGAATGCTCAAAAATACTATTGCTGATACTCAATTGTATGGTAGTTGAATGTTTGGTTTACAAGAAACTGCCAAAGTGTTTACCAGAGTAGAGTGGTTGTACCACTTTTAGTTTCCACCAGCAATGTGTGAGTGATCCAGTTTCTACACATCCTTTGCCAGCATTTGGTGGTGTCCTTTTTTTTTTTTTCATTTTATTCATTCTTACAGGCATGTAATGATATCTCGTTGTGGTTATAATTTGCATTTCTCTGGTGGCTAATGACAGTGAGCATTTTTCAGCCGATTTGCATTTGTACATCCTCTTTGGTGAAATGGTTTTCCTGTTTTCTTGTTCATTTTTCTAATTGGATTGTGTTTTTTGTTGTTCAGTTATTGATTTTAGCTATTAAATGTTAAGAATTATTTATGTACATGATTCTATTTTAGGTACTCTTTGGAAGTTTTCAGCCACTGGAGAAACTATAGTTGATTCCAATTTAGAACTGTAGATCTTACATCTTTGAAAGAGCCAACAGAACATCTGGCCAAATCTCCTCATCTCTCACAAGTAAAGTTGCTTATGTTCACTTAGCCGATAAAGCAACAAACCCAGCAGGAGTACATGGTTTACTTAAATCAAATACAGTTAGTGGAGGAAGAAGGGGTTGGACTCACCACCAGTGGAGAAATCAGCTACCCTTTCTTGGCCTCAGAACTTCACCTGCAAAATAAAGATGATAATGCTAATGCCCTCAACCTCCAAAAGAAGTTAAATCCAACAGGCAAATCAGAAGGTTTATGAGGCCATTTATTCCCAGCTCCATAGTGACACTTCCCAAGCAACCAATGACATCTGTTAGTGGTGGTAGAGGTGACCTGCTTTGGTCCTGGCCCATAGCTTTATGATCATCACTATAATTAGATATAATGAATGTTCATGAGTAGCGGAGCTTCTGTTCTGCAGTTAATGTTTATTCCACCAATTAGCACTGACTGTTCTTAGAATACAACAACCAAGCATGTTAAAGTTCTGAGAAATTAAAAGAAATGGAGGGAAAGGTGAAAAAGAGTTGAAGGAGGGACTGATGCCCTTCCTCATTTAATGCTACTCTATCTGCAGGCACTAAATAAAAAGATCCCATTATTGGAAACAGAATGTGAGAAGGCCTGGGGAAATACATGTTGAATCTCAGGCCAGCCAAGAATATCAGACACACACAGAAGAAGAGGACCCATCTACCTTTTTGTTTCCTTTCAATGAGTCGCCCATCTCTCATGGTAGGGCAGGTACAACCAGAAGCAACTCATTGTTCCCCATGTAATGTTGATTGAAGTGATAAGCTATGGGACACTTCAGTTATTTTTTAAAATAACAGAAATATTTCAGATTCATTCTCTAGTTGGTTACACACTGGAGGATTTTACCTGGGGGCCTTGACCACTAAACCAGTACTTTTCCTACTGCATTAGTTCAATTGCTGCATAACAAATCACCATAGACCTAGCAGCTTTAAACAACACATGTTTTATCTCACAATTTCTGTATGTTGAGAATCCAGGCATGGCTTAACGGGATCCTCTCCTCTGGTCTTCCAAGGCTACAATCAAATTGCCAGCCAGGCTACATTCCCATCTGAAACTTTTGATTGTTCTTCCAGGCTTCTGTGTTTGTTGGAAGGGTTCAGTTACTTGTGGTTGTAGGACTGAGGCCCTTAGCTCCTGGAGGCCAGCTGCAGTTCCCTGAAATGTGGTCCTCCTCTTAGGCAGTTCACACAATGGCTATTTGCTTCTTCAAGGCCAGCAAAGGAAGTGTTCTCCAGCCTGCTTTAGGTGGAGTTTTACATAATATCACATAATTATGGGAGTGACCTCCTATCACCTTTGCCATATCCTATTGGTTAAAAAGCAGGTCACAGGTTCCATCTGTACTCAAGGGGAGGGAATTATACAAAAGCATGACTCATTGGAGGCCACCTTAGGTTGTATCTGTCATACCTACTAATTTTTAATTATGAAGGAAAGGGAACCTCTTTCCTTTTAAACATTCATGTGAGGAAATCAAGAGCTCAGAGTGAAAGGAACAACAGTAAGATTATTTTGAAGACAACAGCTGTTCAACTGTCTTCCAGCACTTCAGGCTTTGAAAACATCAATGAGTGTGGAAGAATCAAGAAACCAATACAAATACTCAGGGACTTGCTAATGTCATGCAAAGTATCTCCTGTGGATCAGCATCAACAGTGAAAACAATGACAAATTTTTACTCATTGTTTGCCTGGAGAAAACAGTATGGTTCAGTGACCATTTTGTAGAAAAACAAATGTTTTCCTGCCATTTTGTAGGAAAACAAGGTGGTTTTGCACAGGATTAAAGAATTATCTGGCCAGGGCAATTAGGCAGGAGAAGGAAATAAAGGGTATTCAATTAGGAAAAGAGGAAGTCAAATTGTCCCTGTTTGCAGATGACATGATTGTATATCTAGAAAACCCCATTGTCTCAGCCCAAAATCTCCTTAAGCTGATAAGCAACTTCAGCAAAGTCTCAGGATACAAAATCAATGTACGAAAATCACAAGCATTCTTATACACCAATAACAGACAAACAGAGAGCCAAATCATGAGTGAACTCCCATTCACAATTGCTTCAAAGAGAATAAAATACCTAGGAATCCAACTTACAAGGGATGTGAAGGACCTCTTCAAGGAGAACTACAAACCACTGCTCAATGAAATAAAAGAGGATACAAACAAATGGAAGAACATTCCATGCTCATGGGTAGGAAGAATCAATATCATGAAAATGGCCATACTGCCCAAGGTAATTTATAGATTCAATGCCATCCCCATCAAGCTACCAATGACTTTCTTCACAGAATTGGAAAAAACTACTTTAAAGTTCATATGGAACCAAAAAAGAGCCCGCATTGCCAAGTCAATCCTAAGCCAAAAGAACAAAGCTGGAGGCATCACACTACCTGACTTCAAACTATACTACAAGGCTACAGTAACCAAAACAGCATGGTACTGGTACCAAAACAGAGATACAGACCAATGGAACAGAACAGAGCCCTCAGAAATAATGCCGCTTATCTACAACTATCTGATCTTTGACAAACCTGACAAAAACAAGCAATGGGGAAAGGATTCCCTATTTAATAAGTGGTGCTGGGAAAACTGGCTAGCCATATGTAGAAAACTGAAACTGGATCCCTTCCTTACATCTTATACAAAAATTAATTCAAGATGGATTAAAGACTTAAATGTTAGACCTAAAACCATAAAAACCCTAGAAGAAAACCTAGGCATTACCATTCAGGACATAGGCATGGGCAAGGACTTCATGTCTAAAACACCAAAAGCAATGGCAACAAAAGCCAAAATTGACAAATGGGATCTAATTAAACTAAAGAGCTTCTGCGCAGCAAAAGAAACTACCATCAGAGTGAACAGGCAACCTACGCAATGGGAGAAAATTTTTGCAACCTACTCATCTGACAAAGGGCTGATACCCAGAATCTACAATGAACTCAAACAAATTTACAAGGAAAAAACAAACAACCCCATCAAAAAGTGGGCAAAGAATATGAACAGACACTTCTCAAAAGAAGACATTTATGCAGCCAACAGACACATGAAAAAATGCTCATCATCACTGGCTATCAGAGAAATGCAAATCAAAACCACAATGAGATACCATCTCACACCAGTTAGAATGGCAATCATTAAAAAGTCAGGAAACAACAGGTGCTGGAGAGGATGTGGAGAAATAGGAACACTTTTACACTGTTGGTGGGACTGTAAACTAATTCAACCATTGTGAAAGTCAGTGTGGCAATTCCTCAGGGATCTAGAACTAGAAATACCGTTTGACCCAGCCATCCCATTACTGGGTATATACCCAAAGGATTATAAATCATGCTGCTATAAAGACACATGCACACATATGTTTATTGCAGCACTATTCACAATAGCAAAGATTTGGAACCAACCCAAATGTCCAACAATGATAGACTGGATTAAGAAAATGTGGCACATATACACCATAGAATACTATGCAGCCATAAAAAATGATGAGTTCATGTCCTTTGTAGGGACATGGATGAAATTGGAAATCATCATTCTCAGTAAACTGTCGCAAGGACAAAAAACCAAACACCGCATGTTCTCACTCACAGATGGGAATTGAACAATGAGAACACATGGACACAGGAAGGGGAACATCACACTCTGGGGACTGTTGTGGATTGGGGGGAGGGGGGAGGGATAGCATTAGGAGATATAACTAATGCTAAATGACGAGTTAATGGGTGCAGCACACCAACACGGCACATGTATACATATGTAACTAACCTGCACATTGTGCACATGTACCCTAAAACTTAAAGTATAACAATAATAATAATAAAAAAGAATTATGTTTGACAGTTATTTTGATAAATACTTAGAGGTAGTTCTGGCTCATCCTCTAAGACATTCCCTCCAATCCCAGTTTTTCTACAATATCTTTTTTCTCTCTCAAATCCCAAAACAAATACAAGTATCTTTCTCTTCTCTCCTACTTAATATCAAGATGATAGTAATGCTACTTAATGAAAACTTTTATTGCATGGACAGGATAGAAAAATGAAAACTATGTCTCAATATGCACAGGAAATTGAGCCAACCAACCTTTCCTTCCATCTTACAGGAAAAAAAACCCACTGATGATGTCATCCAGAAATAATTCTTCCCAAGAAATTTCTCCATGCTTTCTCATCTAATTAAAAAACTTTCGATTTTATTTACAAAAGTTCCAACATCACCATTTTCAGTCACCCATTCTCACAGTTTCAACCCTCAGTGTACATGTTCTCCAAGTGAAATGGCCAGATTAACACTCAATCATTTCCACAATTTGCAAGACTGCACCATGTATGTATATGACTGATGGCACAAGAGCAATATATCTGAAGGAAAAGCTACTCTCTTCTTTATTTTTCCTTCTGTGTTCCCTATTATTACTCAAAGTGCCATCCTCCTCCCAGTTTCTCATACCCAAAATCTGTCATCTTCACTTTGTACCTCTCTGTAACCCCTCCACATCCTGCCATCTCAACCTCTTTAGTTTTGAAGGCATGCACCCTGGCCTTTCCACTCTCCTTGCTACTGCTTCAGCTCCTGCCCTCCTTCCTTATCCCCTGTGGCAGAGAATGAACTCCTTTCTTTCTGTCCATTTTCTGATCAATTCCACACACTGCTCCCAACATGGTCTTTTTGAAACACTTCATAACATGGCATGGACCTGTTGAAAAGCAATCAGCAACTCCCTGAAACATGGAAAATAAAATTCAAACATCTTGGATGGGCATTCAAAATTTTCGAGAATATGGTGCCTCCTTATACTCCTAGCACTATCTTCCATGATAATGACACTTCCGCACTGTCACTCTGTATTAGTCTGTTCTCACAGTTCTGTGAAGAAATACCCATGAATGGGTAATTTATAACAAAAGAAGTTTAATTGACTCACAGTTCCACATGGCTAGGGAGGCCACAGGAAACTTACAATCATGGCAGAAGGCACCTTTTCACAGCACGGCAGGAGAGAGAATGAGTGCCAGCAGGGGAAATGCCAGGCGTTTATAAAACCATCAGATATTGTGAGAACTCACTCACTATCACAAGAACAGCATGGGGGAAACTGCCCCGATGATTCAATTACTTCAACCTGGTCCACCCTTGACATTGATTATTACAACTCAATGTGAGATTTGGGTGGGGACACAGAGCCAAACCATATCACATCCCATCACAGCCATTTATTTATCAATCTTCAACCTGCCTCATCTAATTTTACCTTTCCATGCCTTAAATGTTGTCACTGCCTGGAATTCCATGTGTATCCATGCTGATATCAGAGTTCTCATCTTGTAGCAATTATTTCAATAGCCACATGCTTCGTGAAGCTTCCCAGATTTCCTCATCTTACCCTGAATTTGGGAGGGAATGTAAAGCAGTGGAGCACATCCATGCTACTCCTCACTAAAGGAGAAGAGGTTCCTTACTTTCTGTGTGATGTCACCAACAAGTCTTTGACTATGTAAAGGTTATTTTTTCAGAAACTTTCCTAGAAAACAAATCTTCAAAATTCACCCATTCACTAAACAGTCTTTAGCCTTTCCATTATATTACAGGAACTAATTGTAGGTGTTAAGGAAACAAATACATGAATTTTGACCACAGGAGGCTCAGGGTCTGTAGGAAAAACAGTTAGATAAACAGCAATTATAATTTAGTGTGACAAAGATCTGTAATAGACAGTGAATGAATCAAAGGCTCAAGTATTCTGATCAGAGACTGGGGAAGGCAGGTGACAGAAGGCTTTACTGAAGAAATGACATTTAAGTTGGGCTCAAAATAATATATACAGAATAATATTTTTGAGCACTTATTATATGTCAGGCACTATAACAAGCACTTTATGGTACATGCATTTCTTTTATGTGACACAGCTACCATATGAAATTGGTATTATTATTATTATCCCATCTTACAGATTAGAAAAAATAATGAGGCTCACAGAGGTTGGGCAACATATCCCAACCCACACAATTAATAAGTGGTAGAGTTGGGATCAATACTATGTCATTAAATCCACAGTCCAAGCATTGGCCATTGCTTCAGCCAGAGCTCTAGACTAGAACAACTGAGTTGTCAATTTTCTCCACTTCAGCCTCCCCGCAAATTTAGATGTTGAGTTTAGCTCTGGATGTTTCCTCACAAAATAGTACTCTGAAACACAAGCAATAGATGGCCACATATACTTCATTAGAAATTTCATTGAGAAAATTTGGAAGGAGGTCACACAGACATCCCTCAACTAATAGCTCAAAATTTATCATTAGATGTTTCTATGCTTCTAGGTCACTTGCCACCCAGTTGTCATCTAGGTGTTTCTCCTTCTTCCTCTTCCCTCCCGAGACTCTTTAGTAAGGCCACTCCTCTCTTCTTCCTCCTCTGATATACAGAACTATTCTCCTCATGCACATGCAAATCCATCAGAGTCACCATCGAACAAAATGACTTCTCATCAACAGCAGTGATCTTTATTAAAATAAAGTTTATCAGCAAACTACAGCATCAAAATTTGCTTCAGGACTTAACCTATCACGCCAAATAGACTTTAGAGTATATTTCTTTCCCCAAAATGCTGTCACCAAAGGGAACTCTGGTAAATCAAATTTCATCTATAGCTTTACTATATTAAAATGATTTTCACATTTTCAAATCTATGAATGTGATTTTCTCTAACGCTTTTACGTATATGCAACTTTTCAGCCAGATCAAGTCAGGAAGATAAACTATACCATTGTTAAAACAGAGAGATATTAACAGAGATGAGTTGGCTGAATGGGTATTAAAGATCTGAGAAGGCAAAGGGGGAACAAACACAGAGGCCACACAAAGATATTAACTGTGGGAAGCAGCTGCCCCCATAGGGCTGGGAGAATAAAGGGGAAACTCTGGAGTGATTAGAACTAGAAACTCAGAGAGGAACTCAGGAGCTAGGATCCTGACCTCAGGGAAGTGGTGTGGATACGGCTGGTTCTGGAAGTGTGGAAAGAAACTCACAACCAGAACTACCTACCACTGCTCAGTTTAGAGGCCAGTCCTGGGGCACTGTGGCAAGGACACGAGACAAGCAGGAAAGAGTAAGTCCTTCTCCTGCCTTCCAGTCTTATTCTAGTGCCCCTATTAAAAAAAGAAGAACGTGCTTTGCAGAGTGACACCACTACAAAGCCAAGTAGAACCAGTGTCCAAAGGTCACCAATTCAAGATAAGCCCAGATTTGGCATTCATCTGAAGAGTCCAGTAAAGATCCAGAGGACATCGTGTCAGTTCAAGTGTGGCAGGCCAGGTCTCACTAACACAGGCCTCCGTAACAACTGTTTCCATACTGACCGAGTGGTTAAGTTAAATATTGAAAGTCAAAGCCCTTATACAAAGCCTGGGATATAACAAAAGCCCACCAAGAACTTTGCCTAGGCCTTTCCTGGGCCTTAAAGCATGACAAAATAATGAAGGAATTCTTAACAGGACCCATTTAGGATTAAACAAGTTTTATTGGGGGCCTGAAGAAACTTCCCAGGCCTCCACAAACAAGTTTACTGGGGGTCTGAAGGAACTTCCCAAACCTTCATGATCTAGCAAGAGACAAGATAAGGCTAATCACCCCAGCAACTGAGACCATTTAGATTTAGTAAATTTACTGAAGCTCCAGAGGAAGGTCTTCAGGACTCACACTTTAGTTACAGATTAAAAGAAGTTAATCACTTATGTCTTTAGATGAATGCACGCTTACATGTAGACATATAGGTTAGAAAACTGGAAAACTTTGTAATTTTGAGTTGGTCTGGTGATAATTTCCAGGCCTTCTCCCTGTAACCGGTTGCAGAAATAAAAACTGTCTTCCTCCCCAGTTCATCTGCATCTTATTATTGGGCCACAAGAAATAGCAGCCTGACCCTCAGTTTGGTCTGGGAACACAAGGACTCCATCACCATCCACCTACCAGGAGGCTTCTTTTGTTTCCCTCCCTTTCTCCATCTCTTCCTTCTTTCTTTCCTTTCTCCCTTTCTTTTTCCTTTTCTTCCATCCTCCTCTTCATCCTTCTCCTCCCCATCTCCTTCAGCTGATACAGTATTTTTTATTTGCCCTTTTAAAGTTTAAATGAGCTATATAATGAACCAATCTGTTTTTTTTTTTTTAATCAGCTATGGCTTCAGTTCCTATCCTACAACTTTACATTATCGCAGACTATGCATGTGCAAGATAAGGAGCAAAGTATATTCATTCTGTGAGTAAATTAGCCCCCAACAGAAACTCAAACCTACATCCAGAATGAACTAATATTTCCCTTGATGGAATTGGTAAAATTGAAGTTGGATGAATCACAAAACAGTCTCAATTCACAAACATTTTTGGTGTTTGAATTTGGAAATAGATTTGGCCCCAGAAGTTGGCACCCCTACCACTGTTCTGTGAGCTACATCCATCAAAGCGAATAAAGGAAAGATGAGGAGGAGACAGTGGTTAACCTGTGGACTAGAATTTCCAGAAAATGTATTCATACTACAATTTTAATGAAACCTAGAAAATTAGAAAATAAGATTTAAATTTTAAAACTTCATCTTATCCTTTCTTCCCTTGCAATAATCTTTCTCTTCCATATCATCTATTTTCTATGGTTTTTCCTTTCTTTCCTACCATACCCTATGTGATCATCCATTGAGATGATTCTTTTCCTTTTCATATATCTTTTTCTAATTGAAGTTTAATTAACCAAAGGTAAATTTCATAGATCTTAGGTATTCTGTTTGATAACTTTTAAGTATTGTATATACCTATACATCAACTACCTGAAACAAAAGTATTTACAACATCCCAGAAAGTTATCCTGTGTTCCTCTTCCAGTCAATTCCTGCACCTACCTTCCATAAACCACTTTATATTTTCTATCACAACAGATTAATATTTTGTCTAATTTTGTATCTCATATAAATGGGAATCATAACAGTATTTATGAGTGGGGTCTGTTTTTGCTTAACAATGTTTTTAAGGTTCATCCATGATATTGTGTTTCAGTAATTCATTTCTTTTCATTACTGAGGAGTATTCCATTGTGTAAAGAGACCATAGTTTAGTTACCCATTCTCCTGCTGATAGACATGCATGTTGTTTCTGATTTGAGATTATGAATAAAACTGCTATAAACATTATTGTACAAGTCTTTTTGTGAACACATGTATTCATTCTCTTAAATACCTAAGACTGGAATTGCTGAGTTCATAAACATAGTTTTTCACAGTGCCTATACCATTTTACATACTAGTTACTCTTCATCTTCACCACTTGGTCTTTTTTTATTGTAACCATTCTAATATGTGTGCAATGGTTTCTTATTGTGATTTTAATTTGCATTCCCTGGTAACTATATGTCTTACCTTTTTTTGTGTTTATGGGCCATTCATATATTCCTTTTGTGAAGTATCTGCTCAAGCATTTTTCCCATTTTTAACTGGAATGTTCATCTCTTTAGGGCACTTTGTAATAGTTTATTATAGATTCTGGAATCAAGTCCTTCATCAGATGCATGCTCCAAAATTTTCTTAGTCTGTGGCTTTTCTATTCATTTTCATAATAGCATCTTTTTAATGAAAGTTTCATCTTTTTTTGTATTTTCCAAATTTATAGTCTCTCCCTCTCCATTCTCTCCTGCTCCTCTCTTTCTCTCCCTCAGAGCTTTGGACTTGCCCTTGGTAGGAAGTGCCTGTTCACCCCACTCCATGGTAGGCAGGGACAATAGGCAGGCCCACATCTGCTGAGAGGATCTCTGTGTTTAAAGCGTTTGAGAATAAGTTACTGCAATTCACATGATGCAGAGTAGGGGGTGGAGAGAAGAACCTGGAGGTGGCTTCCCCTAGAGTCTGGGGGTGTTTGATAGAATTTATCAAATTTTAAAATATGCTTAGTGCTTTTTGCTTCCAATCCAAGCAATTTCTCCCTACCCCAAAGTTGCAAAGATATTCTCCTATACTTTCTTCTAGAAGTTGTATGATTAGAGGATTGTGTTTAGGTCTATCATAATTTTTATGTGTGGAATAAAATAGAAGGCGATTTTTTTCTGTGCAGATGTTCAGTTGTTTCAGCAACATTTATTGAAATGACTTTTCTTTCACCATTGAATGGGGCACTTTGATAATGAATCAATTGACTTCATATGAAGAATTGACTGCATATGTGTCGGCCTAGTTCTGGAGTTTCTAATCTATTCCATTGGTGTACTAACTACCCTGAGCCCAGATCTGCATTGACTTGATTATTATATAGTAGGTTGTGACATCAAATGGTGTAAGCCCTTCAATGTCGTTCTTTATTCAAAATTGTGTTGGTATTCTATGTTCTTTGCATTTTTGTATAAACTTTAAAGTCACATTTTACAAGACTCAGAAAAATACTGTTAGAATTCTGAAAGGGATTGCATTGAATCTATACATTAGCTTAGGAAGAATGGATGTTTGAATAATATTGAGTCAACTCAATTTATAAATATGGAAGAGTTTTCCATTTATTTTGTACTTATTTTTCTCAGCAGTGTTTGTTTGTTTTGTTTTTGAGACAGAGTCTCGCTCTGTCACCCAGGCTGGAGTGAAGTGGCACAGTCTCAGCTCACTGCAACCTCCGCCTCCCGGGTTTAAGCAATTCTCCCGCCTCAGCCTCCTACGAGTAGCTGGGATTAGAGACACACACCATCACGCCTGGCTAATTTTTGCATTTTTAGTAGAGACGGGATTTCACCATGTTACCCAGGCTGGTCTCGAACTCCTGACCTCAGATGATCCACCCATCTTGGCCTCCCAAAGTGCTGGGATTACAGGTGTCAGCCACTGTGCCCAGCCTACTGAAGCAGTGCTTTCTAAGTACCATGTGAAGGCCTTACACATCTGTCATAAATATATTCCTAGATATTTAATATCTTTGGATACTATTATGAATTATATTATTGTCATTTTCAAATTGATTTTTTCCATATTAACCTTGTATTTTATGACTCTGCTAACATTCATTTATTAGTTCTAATAGAATTTTTGTTCATTCATAGTGTTTACTATGTACACATGCTTCCCAAGAATAAAAAAGTTTAACATGTTCACTATGCTAAATTCACTAATTAGTTCTAGCAGAGTTTTAGAGGATTTAATTCCATAGCGTTTTCTAGGTATGCAATTATGTACCCTACTTCATCTTTTCCAATCGTTACACCTTTTATTTTTCTTGCCTGCAATATAATGTTAAATGGGGAAAGCTGACACTTTCGTCTGTGCTTAGATGCAAGAATGAATTTAGTGTTCTGTCAATTAAGTGTGATGTTAGGTTTTAGTGCTTTTGTTTTATTTTGTTTTATGGATGCCGTTTATCAGATTGCAGAAATTTTTTTCAATTCCAAGTGTGGTCAGAGGTATTGAATTTTGTCAAATGCTTTTGCTGCATCTGTTGAGATAACTATTATTTTTCTCATTTATTCTTTTAATGTGGCATTTACATTGACTTCTTTTTTAATGTAAAATCAGCCTTGCTTTCTTGGAACCAACCCATTTGATTATTATTTACTATATTTTAAAAATACTGTTAGATTTAATTTGCTAATATTTTGTTAAAGATATTTGTGTATATTCATGCAAGATATTGGTTTCTTTTTTTGGTCTATTGTTTTTGACAGATTTTTATTATCTGCGTTATGCTTGTTTTACGAAATGAGTTGGGAAGTGTTTTCTTCTACTTATTTTCTCATTAGCACGTTTCTTCATTAACAGTTGGATAGAATTCACTAATAATGCCATCTGAGCCCGGAGTTTTCTTTGTAGAATGGTTATTGATTACATATTTAATTTCTTAAATGATACAGAAATTTTGAAGATTTTTCTATTTAGTCTTTTGACAGTTTTTGGTAATTCATGTTTTTAAGAATTTGTCCTTTTTAATCTACGTTGTCAAATTTATTGGTACAAAGTTGCTCAAAATATTCTCTTTTTAACATTAGTAAAATCTGTAGTAATATCTCTTTTGGTTTTAATATTGATAATTTGTATTTTTCTTATGCTTTATTTTTTCCAGTTTTGTTAATTTTACTGATCTTTAAAATTCAACTTTGACTATGTAGGTTTTCTCTATTGTTTGTCTCTTTTCTATTTCATTGATTTTTGCTCTTATTTTTGTTTCATTTGAATTTAGCTTGGGTTTAGTTTGCCCATTGTTTTTAATTTCTTAAGGTAGAAGCTTAGACCATTGATCTTAGGCTTTAGTCTTATGGAGTTTACAAAATAAATATATAATTGCTATAACTTGCCCTCTAAGCACTTCTTTCATGGCATCTTACAAATTAGTTCTGGATATTATAGCCTATTTATATAGTCTAATTTCAAATAATAATGTTTAGATGAGAATTTAATTATATAGTCTTCCTGCAAATAAATTATATATTATATAACTTTATATAAAATGTAACCTTACAACAGTATAATTCCATTTATCTTCTGTCACACTTCATGCTATCTTGTTTTATGTTTTACTTCTATATATGTTATAAACTCCTCAATACCGTATTTTTCCTAAATAATAGTTTTTAAAATAAACTTATTTGTGTATGTATATAAAAGGGAGTTATTAAAACATACTTCCATTATATTACCCAGGTATTTACTCTTTCTGGTTCTTTTCATTCCTTCCTGCAGATCTGGGATTCCAACTTGTCCATGTGAAATCATTTCCCATCAGTCTGAAATAGTTATTTTGCACTTTTTATAATGCAGGTGTGCTAGAGATGAATTCTTTCAGCTTTTCCCTGTCTATGAATACTTTAAGTTTCATATTTGAATATTACTTCACTGAATATAATATTTTAGGCTGACAGAGGATGTTTTTTCAGTATGTAAAAGGTATAATTTTTCTTTTGATGTGTGTTCTTTCTGGTCACTAGCAATTGTTCCTCTGTATGCAAAGTATTTTCTCCCTCATAGCTGCTTTTAAAATCTGCATTTTATCTTTGGTTTCTAGCAGTTGGTCTATGATGTACCTAGGTGTTGCCTTCTTTATGGTCATTCTGCAGATTCCCTGAAATTCTGATGTACCTCACGTATTGTTTTCAACTCTCCCTGTCCCCAGTTTTGAGGACCTACTCACAGCACTCAGTGAAGACCAATGAGAAAGAGTGGGGTTGGAGGGGGTGGTAGTTCAGTCTCATCTGAATCTGGAGCTTTTCTGGATTCTAATCTGTCACACCAGCCCACACACAGCTGTTAAAATTTTGTTAAAATTAGTCTGTTTTTTCTTATCTTCTGTATGGCAGATCCCTCCTCCTCCTCCTCCCTCTGTCTCAGTCAGGATGAATCGATTCTTTCTCATGAAGGGTTTGCCACTTTCTGAAGTCCAATTTATTTAGGTTTCTTTGTGCCCTTGGCTTTTTAATATTTTTTAATTATAATTATGTAACTTATTCAGATTGTTTTGGTTTTTTTAGGGTGAAAGCAAAAGTCTATTGCAAGTTTGTTCACCAGAACAGAAATAAGTCCGCCATGAGATTTCTTAAACTATATCCCTTACCCATATCCCCAGATGTCTTGATAGAAGCAGGGAAAGAAAGAAGCTTCTGAGATTATCAGTTTTTTTCCAAACTGTTAATATATGAAAAGATACTATTTAAATTATTGCATCCTTCTAAGTATATCAAACTAAAAATATTTCTCACTGCAAAAGGCGGCAGATCTGTTAATTAAAAAATAAACTATTCCTCTGAAAATTTGAGTGAAATGTGAACAAATTTGTGTCCCCACTACACTACCAATTTATATATTTAAAAATATTATAATTTCTAATACTGATTTCAAATTTTCAGCAAGTTGCCATGTAATATAGATGTTAGGAGAATGGACTCTGTACCTAGACCCCATGTCTAAAAATCCTGGCTCCTTCAGCTTTTAATTTGGTGATCTTTAATAATTTGTTTAACTATTGTTACATTTTCTCATCTTTAAAAGAGAGGTAATAGTATTTATTACTCAAGTTTGTATATGTAAGGCTCTCAGAAAAGTCCCTGGTATGCATTAAGGATTCAATCAGGGCTATCGTGATATTAAGGATGACTTATCAGGAGGCTTATCAGAGTTATTACCATCATCCCCTATCACCACCTTCAGGCAAATAGGCAAATTGAATGGATAGTGCAGACCAAAAAGATAACACGAAGCTCCTGTTAAAGGAGACCTCCAATAAGCCTTAACTAGCTTATAATTAACGTCAAATTCTGCAAGATAAGTTAGTTTCATTGGTTAACTAATGTGGCAGTACCTGAACACTGCTTTTGACTATCTCCATCCACGTATAGGAGAGAACTAACAAGAAAAGCAAGAATTCAAGATGCTGTCCTACCTGCACCTGCCCATCTTTCATTACAGATGTTCCTCAACTTACAATGAGGTTACGCTCCAATAATCCCATTCTAAGTTGAAAATTTTGTAATTTGGAAATATATGAAAATCATCCAACCTCCCGAACATTACAGCTTAGCCTAACCTACCTTAAAAGTGCTCAGAATACTTACGTTAGCCTACAGTTGGACCAAATCATCTAACACAAAGCCTACCTTATAATAAAGTATTGAATATCTTATGTAATTTATTGAGCACCATGCTGAAAATGAAAAACAGAATGGTTTTATGAGTATCACTGTAAAGTCAAAAAACCATAAATTGAGCCATTTTAAGTCAGGAACTGTCTGTGTTTCTGAGAGTTTGACTGAAGAGCAGGACTGAAAACATTTCACATCTGTGATTGAAATCTAGAGACTTTGCACTATAAAAGTTTAGGTGCTGGAATTTAGATGGTCCAGAAAAGCACTGTTATCTTCTGTAACTCAGAGCAGTGACAAAAACAACAAAACTATTAGAATTGTATCCACTATCTGGCATTTATTACTTAGTTTTATCTCCTGAGGAGGGATAAAAGCCACAGGGTAAAAAAGAGGAAATACTTCTCTCACCATCTTTTCTCTCCGAAGTTACTGCTGGGGATATGTTTGTAACAAAACACAAGACTTTTCTAAAAGGATGTGTCCCCCTAGGTGACTAAAAGATAATGTCACCTTACAATTTAAAGGGATCAATCTAAAAGAATAATGTTCTTCAATATTAGTGTTACCCTGGGCACAGTGGTGCATGCATGTAATCCCAACTACTTCGGAGGCTGAGGCAGGAGAATCGCTTGAGCCCTTCAGGAGTTCAAGACCAGGCTGGGCCACAAACACAGTGAGACCCCCATCTTAAATGAAAATAAAAGCAATTTTAAAAATTAATATTCTACTTTTTCATTTTCAATCTTAAAAACAATTTAAGACAAGGTTTGCAGATTGTGGCTTTTTGCATAAATCAAGAACCATTCTTAGCAACCTGCTGTTTCTCCCTACTAGAACATAAGTTTTATCAGAATGGGGAGCTTTGTTTTGATCACTGATACGTCCCAATGTCTAAAGCACTGTCTGATACATAGAAGGCGCCTAACTATTTGGTGAATGAATGAGTGAATGAATGAATGAATGAATGAGTGAATGAATGAATGAATTCACTTCTGTTACAGTATAGATGACTTTAGACTATTCTTCTCTTCTCCCTGCTTCTTTTCTTCAGTGGAAAATCCCAGAATGGCTGGGCAGAGGGGAGGAGAGGAGATGCCATAGTTAGAGTTGGGAGGATCATCCTATTTCATTTTTCCTAAATTTAAAGTATTTTTTCCTGTAACCACCAAGGGTCTCTGAGTCACTTTTGGGCTTAATAAAAAGGGATGATTCCTAGGAAGAAGTTTGAGCAAGGTCTATGCATACAGTTGGCTATGAGTCAGGTTTTTCCACATTAAATCCTAGCCCTACCTCCTCCAATGAAAGCAACTTAACCAGTAGAGTGAAATATTTTAATGCAGGCAACATGTCCCCTTCTGTGTAGAAAATACTCTAGAAAAATGAGAAAGCACTGGATAAACTCTACATAATAGTGCTAGAATCCAACTGTGAATTTTAACAGAAAAGGCAACTATAGTATGGTTCAGTTTTCCCATCTATAGAATAAAAACAAGACAACCCAACCCCACCCCTCGCAGGGATAATTTCTATCTTCACCAAAAGTGAGTCTTCACGTGAGAGAATATTATGGTTCTAGGACCAAAGCATACACGCTCCTAATGTCTGTCCTAAATCTCAGAACCACTTTGGCCTATCCCATTAGTAGTTCTCTACTACAACTGATTATTACTGCCAAGTTAGCACTCTCAGTGGTATAAAAATTCTCACATCTGTATTCTCATTCTCCCAACGGCCACTGTCCTACTCATGTCTTTCATGCAACATTCTTTGTTCTTTTCTTTTCCTTCTTTCTTTCTTTCTTTCTTTCTTTTTTTTTTTTTTTTTTTTTGAGACAGTCAGGCTGGACTACAGTGGCATAATCATAACTCACTGCAACATGAACTCTTCAGCTCAAGATCCTCCCACTCAGCTTCCCAAATAGCTGGGACCACAGGCATGCCATCATGCCCAGAAATTTTTTTTTTTTTTGGTAGAGACAGGGTCTTGCCCTGTTGCTCAGGGTAGCCTTAAGCTCCCAGCCACAAGCAATCCTCCCACCTTGACCTCCCAAAGTGCTGGGATTACAAGTGTGAACCATTACACCTGGCCTCTCAGAGACTCTGAAATTGCTCTTCCAGCTCCAGTGTCTCCTTTCAAATCTTCACCACAGCTGCCAAAATTACCTTTCTAAGACAAGTCATCATGTCACTGTCTTGCTAAAAGACCCTCAATAAGACTTCACAATGATTGCCCACATTACTTACATAATTCAAAACAAAAGCATTATAAAAGAAAAACTTCCAAAATTTTACTTATCATACTATGGAGAATGTTTCATGCCCATTCCTGATGCATCTGTCTTATAAAGAGAGCTCAATTAGCATAACTCCATTTACTTACTTCACCTCAGGGAGTGAAGCCATCAGTGTGACTAGATTAATTTCAGAAGAGCAGGACATGCTTGACTCAGCTCCATCCCATAATCCCCTCCTCTAGGGAACACAAGTGCTTGACACATCCTCCAAGCTTTAATTTGCAAGTACTTGCCCAAAGGGAAGAGGTCTGCCTCACGCCACACCCCTGGAACTGGGTTGCTGTGTCAGCCCAATTCCAGAATTCAGGAAGGAGGTCCACTCAATTTTTATACTAAGGTTCATTCCTCTAAACTAGTCTCTTTTTTTTTTTCAATAAAGATGATATTTTGGGCTTAATCTTTACCTTTGGTTTTATTTCTCGAATTCCTTAAAATTGTTTGAGAAGAAAGGTGCTATGTATTGGGGTAATGATAGTTATTACACAACTTTGCATACGTAAGGCACTCAGAGAAGCTCCTGGCACACATCAAGACATTAACAAATGATATGAGGATAATGAAGATTTATTGGGAGCTTTATCTGAGTTACTATCATCATCCATTATCAGCTTCAGGCAAACAGCCAGTTGGAAGATTGGAGAGTACTCTCAGTTGAGCTTCTATTCACAGGTCAGACAACCGGCAACTGGCAGACAACTGGAAAACATGGACACATCCTGAGGTGGGAGCTCCTCCTTCTTGCTGCACTGTTGAACTGCTCCTATAGTCTTGGATAAGACTAAGTACTGGGTCCTGAGATCACACTAACACCTGGGACAATTGCTTTAGGGACAAGGGACAAGCTTCTTAATTTCATGGGTATAATCAGTGCTGGGCTACCCATATGTGTCCCATGAACTCTTTGAACTCTTAAAAGATCAGGCTCCTGGGATATTTAGCATTCATTGAACCAATACAGCTTCTGAGGTCCTGAAGGAACCAGACCAATGCCAAGCAGACACATCATTAGGATGGAGATACAGAAGAAATTGCCTCTCCCTGGATATTCAGGAACTTCTGTGGTAGGCTGGGAAGAATAAGACCTTTATAAGAATGCTTTTTAAAAATAGATTTTAGACTTTTTAACTCACAAAGGAATAAGAATTTGATGTGGGACTTTAACATTCAGATTTAGGAAAGTTTTATGTTGCTGGCATTTTATTATTGGAGGATCTTTATAAACTTTATTATACAAATATCTTAATATTGTCATTCAGTCTCATTGCAGACCTTTGTAAGCCACGTTGGAATTGAGATTCTGCCTCAACTCCAAAAACACCAAATCAGAGAGAATTTTGAGGTAAAAGCCAAAAGCCAAGGAAGCCAAAAATCAACCCCACTATATATAGAAATAATGATTTTGTGGGCTTTTTAACAGGTTGAAGGTTAAGATGATGGTATTTCAATTCACCAGTATAAAGAGAGCTGACACTTGGGGAAACAGCAAATACCCTAAAATGTTATAAATTCTCATTATGGCTGGCGAATTATGTTAAGTTAAATAACTCAGAAACAGAAACTCAAATGCCGCATGTTCTCACTTATAAATGGGAGATAAACAATGTGTACACATGGACCCAGAGAGTGGAATAATAGACATTGGGTGCTAGGAAGAGTGGGAAGGCAGTAGGGAAGTGAGGGATAAGAAATTACTTAATGGTACAATGTACATTATTTGGGTGATGGTTACTCTAAAAGTGCAGACTTCACTACTGCACAGTATATCCATGTAACAAAACAGCATTTAGGCCCCTTAAATCTATTTCAAGTATAGATGGATAGATAACTGATTGATTGATAGACAGATAAATAGACAGAAAAACATGGATGGCCAATTTCACCAAGAATAAGGAAGAGGAAAAGATAGAAAGCAAAATGAGAAGAAACATAAGTTCCTAAAGAAAGAGGTAAAAGAATTATAGGAAAATACCTAATCAAGCCATATTGTTGTTTTTCTTTTAATTTTTGGTTGATAATTTTAGAAAAATAAATGATTGAGAGAGAGGAAAAAAAAGAGGAGGTCATTGTGTGAGTGATAAGCAATCAACCAACAGATGGTGCCAGCATCTGTTTATGTTGTAAATAGCCTGATGCTTTATGTACCTGTAGAAATGTCCCCATAAAACCTCTTGTTGACAATTTAAGTCATGGAGGATCTGACATGACAAATCCAAGAACTTCTATTGTTAAACTCATATATTTCCTAAGTTGGAAAACCTTGTAGGACAGAGAAGGCTTTGTTTGAGTCTTACGTTAGTTATGAAGAAATTCGATTTACTTCCTCTCTCTGGGATTTCATGAATTTGTACAGGTTTGGATCATTTCCTAGCACCTGTCATGTAACTTATATTGGATGTACAGTTAATGAATAGAGAGAGTTCAGATTGAAAGTGCACAGTCCCCAGTCAGGGAGCTTTTTGAATTCCTAATGGAAGCAGACGGCTAGAATTTTTAAATCTAAAAATTACCATAGATTCAGATTCAGACAGTATAGAATTGCCCTTCAGCTATGGCAGAAGAGGCTCCCTCCCCAGGGCTCATAAATTAGAAAGTCCCACAATTTATAGTGTCTTTCTTAATTTTTTTTTTTTCTTTTTTGAGACGGAGTCTCATTCTGTCGCCGAGGCTGGAGTACAGTGGCGTGATCTCGGCTCACTGCAACCTCCTCCTCCTGGGTTCAAGCAATTCTCCTGCCTCAGCCTCCCAAGTAGCTGGGATTACAGGTACCCACCACCATGCCCGGCTACTTTATTTATTTATTGTATTTTAGTATAGACAGTATTTCATCATGTTGGCCAGGCTGGTTTCGAACTCCTGACCTCAAGTGATGCACCCACCTCAACCTCCCAAAGTGCTGGGATTAGAGGCATAAGCCATGGTGCCTGGCCTCTTAAAATTTTTGAAATCAATCTTTGGTGTCTGGAGTAGGCAGGCAGAGACACTGGGCAGGGCACTCCAAGCCCCAGATCATTTCTTCCCCGCTCAGGGCACTCTCTAATCTTCTACCCTTCATGGGAGGATGACCACAGACCCTGAAAAGCCCCTGGACTTGTGCCTTTGGGGTCATCCTGGGGTATCTTGGCCAATCCCATTTGAAGGGAAGAGGGACTGAGAAACAGATCTCTGGATGACTGGCCAGGTATTTCTTTTGTAGGATTAAGATTGAGACCCTAGAATAGTGCTTGACACATTGATTTGAGGTGACTCCAATCACTTTTAGACAGGGGCCCACACACCCTAGGAGTAACAATAGCCTCAGAAGGTTTGGAAAATAATCTTTTTCCCTGACTTCAAATAATGCACATATAAAGCACTGCCCATAGATTAAGGAGAGAGTTACATGGAATTATTGCAGAGAGAGGAAGAAAAAGAGAGATTTGAGGATGAGAGAGAGATTGACTGACGTCTGGTTGATGTAAAATGACTGTGATACGGGCATCATAATGCCCATTATACAGACAACAAAACTGAGGCTTAAAGAACTTAGGTCACTTGCCCTTGCTAACATATCTATCAACCCCTCTCACTGTTACTAAGAAATGACTGGACCAGTATTGCATTCAAGAAGCAAACTCTGAATCAGAAACAGAAACAAAATGTTGCAAAGAGGTACTAAAATGACCAACAGACGTGTCCTACGTCCAGGAACATGACAGACACACCGTCGTTACCATGAGCACTCAAAGACCTACAAATACATGGCTCAGACAGACATCCCAGCAAAGGTCACTTTTACAGCTATATTTGGCAGGGTGTCTATGTGTCAACTCTTTCCTGTTCATATATAAGAACTTGTCCTGGGACCAGAGTGACCTGATTACTATAAAGCTTTTGTATGATGGACCATCAACCAACTGGCCGCCCCACCTGGCCCCCCAAATATGTGTCCCCCCAGTATGTTTTAACTGATGTTATTCTGGATCATTAATGAAATGCATAGTTTATGTCATTTTTACATTGCAGAACCCATACTAATTGCACATGAATTCAAGAAATTACAAGGAATAAGCAAGGGGAGGAAAAGAATTGTTTGAGGGCAAAACCTCAGAGAAATTCTCTAAATAATTATACAAATGGTTTAAACATGGCCTGAGGGGAAAGGGAGCCCTGAGGCTGGAGATAATTTTCCAGGAATCATATAGGGGTCTAATAAAGATTGTGAAATCAGGTTACAAGGAGCTGGAAACTTCTGAGAGGTAATAGTCTTTAAACTATTGCCTAGCCTCCTTAAAAAAAGTGACTCTTGAAACATTCATCACCAAAGTGGGAATAATGCTGTAGGTAGCAATGACTTAGGTTAGGTGACTCCATGGCTCTCTCTTTGCACTCATTTTAAATTCTGCAGAAGCTAGCCACCCTAAACAAACTACAGAATTCATAAAGCATCTTTCAGACCACTGTCACAGCTATTTTCTGCAGCCTGGCGTCCTTTTGCCTTTTTATTCCCTTCCAAGCACAAACCAAAAAAAAAAAAATCGATTACTCATGAATATGTTGCTAAGCAGTTCCCCGCCCCATGTGGTAAGTGTCTCTTGAAGTTACTATGCTGAGTAATTACACTTAATGTAGGTAGGAGAAGAACTAAGACCATTTGTGTTGTAATGATTTAATTATGGGATTTATTTTCCTTTCTCTTACCTAGACATAATATTTATGATTGCTCATAATTCTTCAGATCAGAAGGATCAGCTCTCCTATTCTAGGTTGAACATGGAAAAGAAAACTTCTTGATCCATCTACAATCAAAGCAAATTATTTCAGGCAGTGTGCTTTTTGAACCATTAGTACTAATTAAAAATTTTTTAAAGTTTGAAAATGCCACAGAAATATTTAGGGAACACACACATAGAGATACAACCAGTATCTTGTTTATTTACCCCTACAATTCACTATCTTTGTGTGGTTTAATACTGGTGTTAATTTCCAAAGCTTAAAAGAAAAGAAAACATTCAATATTCTCTGTCTTCCCTTAACAGAAATCTCACTGGAATTGAACATAGCTTGTAACTTGGGATATACATATTTTAGGGTCATAAAATAACATACTGTCAATTTAATATAGCAGAAGACAGTCTAGCTACATACTTGAAACTAGTACAGATAAAAAACATGTTTTTTCTTTTATGTTTATCACAAACTACTCTCCTGATATTTATGGAATCCCATATTATTTGAAGCTAATGTACTCCTCATTATATATAACCCAATATCACTCTTTGGTGAACATAAGAGTAATTAGCACTTCAAAGTTTTATGTTGTTGTTCTTTTATTTTTGACTGGAACATGCAACTTAGAAATGAGAGTTTTACTGCTCTATTCAGTAGAGGAGATTTGTAAGGAGCCATCAGTTACCTAACAGGAAGGAGGAAGAGATGCAGAATGGGAACATTGCAAGGTTGGCCTCACTCACACTCCAGTTCCCCGCCAAATCTACAGTAAATTATCCACTTATCATTAATGTAATGTTGAGCTGCATCAATTTAGGGGATGCACTGAATTTGCCTCAATGACAAATGCAGGGTAAAATCTGAGGCTGCTCATAGCTTCCCTGCTTTACTTGGATTCTGGTGTAAGGTGTTGTAAAACACAACGGTAGAGATATTCACAGGGAATTATGAGAGTGTGCAGAAGGGGCACCTAATCCCTGTAAGTGACAGGTGTTACTAATACATGCAGAAACACACTGGCCAAGGGGTACCTTGAATTGGGCTTTAGAAGTTTGAGAAAGAAAAGTTTTTTTGTTTTTCTTTTTTAATCTAAGATTCATCAAGTCAATGGAAAAAAGGGAGCAGGACAGATGGTAAGTGTGACAAGTAGATAGTTTACTCAGGGTGTCACTTAGTTTTAGTGAGAGGCCCTAAGCATGGAAGTAGGGGTGAAGACTTCACTCTCCCTGTGCACAAGTGCCGAAGGAGTGGCAGGAGTGTGTACCCTGGAGTTGAGTAGACTCACTGCCTTTCTAAAGGGATAGTAGATTCATTTACTATGGCTGAAACTACAGACTAGGTGGCTTACAAAACTGAAATTTATTTCTCACAGCCTGGAATAAAGAATCTGAGACTAAGGTGTTAACAGGGTTGCTTTCTTCTGAGGCCTCTCTTCTTGACTTGCAGATGGTGTCTTCTTCCTGTGTCTTCACATCATCTTCCCTCAGCACCTGTGTCCTAATCTCCTCTTCCTATAAGGACACCAGTCATAGTGGATTAGGGTCCATCCTAATGATCTCATTTTAACTTAATCACATCTTTAAAGACACAATCTCCAAATACGGTCACACTCTGAAGTCATGGGGGTGAGGATTTCAACATGTGAATTTTCAGGGGACACAACTCAGTCTATAACAAACATCCAACTTCTGTCTGAATTTTAAGAGTCTTCGTCCTGAGATTAAACTAGGACCCTCCTGTAAGTGTATATAAATGAACAAGAAGAATAAAGAATAAGTTCTTATGTAGGTTGACTGGTGTGGACAAATTACAGAGAAAATGAAAAGATACATATGCATCTTCAGGAGACAATGAGTAAACCTTGAACAAAGGGCTCAAATCCAACAAAGACAACTCAGACAGAAAGAGACAGGCAAAGAACAGACTTGTGGAGGGCCTTAAATACAAGCCTAA
Organism: Homo sapiens; assembly: GCF_000001405.40. Lineage (NCBI taxonomy): Eukaryota > Metazoa > Chordata > Mammalia > Primates > Hominidae > Homo > Homo sapiens. Next base: position 46,998,249 of record NC_000013.11, on the reverse strand, counting down.
GAAATGTGGGACTAATTAAAGAAAGGTATTGATATGGACAGGAGGCAGGGAAATACTGGGTAGAAGATGGTAGTTCCCTAGCAAAGTCCCCATCCTCAAACCTGGAAACCCATGGACCTAAACGGGAACAGACATTCCTATTTTCGCACCCAAATGTTCCCTTTTGGCCTGCCACGCTCCCCTATTCTGTACCCATATAGACCCCAAACCCCAGGCTCCACAAGCAGACAAGCAGAAGAGAAGAGGAACAGCAGAGCAGCAGAGTGGCAGAGTGGTGCAGCAAAGGAGAGAAGACAAGGAGCATCTGAACATCAAGAGGAGTTCATCTGGGGACAGTTGGAGAGGTGATGGGTCATGGGACAACCGAACTCCAGAGGAAGATCATCTTCCCACTCCGTCCTCTTTCTAGCTCCTCATCCCTCCCACCGAGAGCCACCTCCACCACCCAGTAAAATCCCCTGCATTTACTATCCTTCAATTTGTCCGTGTGACCTGATGCTTCCTGGACACCAGACAACAACCCGGGTACCAAGAGGGCACTAAGCTGGTTAACACTTAAGCTGTCTGTGATGGCAGAGCTAAAAGAGCACTATGGCACATCCACTGGGGCTTTGGGAGTCACAGGCACCCACCCCTAGATGCTACCATGGGGCTGGAGCCCAAAAGCACTTGCCCCAGCTCCTGCACCTGCCCATCTGTGTGATCCCCCTCATGTAAGGGGTTTGAGTGCTCAGCAGCCAAATAGACAAGCCACACCCCTGTTGCATATCCTGCGAAGGGGGTCAGGGAACTCTTCTGTTTCAGTATGACTGTTTTTTAAAATAAAGGAATACCAAGAACAAAACAGTTCTTGAAGCTTAAATTGACAGCTTTATATAGGGTAGATTGGTAGGGGAAAGAAATGATTTCACAAAAAAGAGAAACCAGGTGATGAGAGCTTTGGATAAAATGGCAGCCATGGAAATAGGGAGTGGGGATGGTGGAGGGAAAACTAAAGAGAAAACAAGAGCGAAAAAAGATCAAATTTAATAACAAATTGGAACTGAGGAACTACTGAGAAGGAGGAAGAAAAGATAATGCCAAAATTTAAGCCCGACTTATTCACCACCACTCTTGATAGCAAACAGTGTCTCTATTTTTCCATTTTAAATACCTAATTAAATTGTCACTTAAAAATATGGAACAACAATTTCTCTGTTGTTGAATGTTTACTAACTGATTTGCTTTTGCAAAGCTGTGACTCTTATTTAGTCACAGCTTTTCCCCTCTTTTTACCTCTTTTCCCCTCAGAATGGTCTTTCATTCAGTGAAATGTTAAATTACTCCCAAAAACTTACTAATTAAATTGGCTGTAACTGCCACGATTAAAATGTGATGGCAAACATAAATTGGCCCAAAAGTGACTGCTAATGTCTCACTCATAGAGGACACGCAAATTAATTTTATTGTTTTCAATTTCAAAAACACAGTGCCTTCCACTCCCTCTGTTATCCATCTGTCAGTCACTGCCTGCATAGCCTCCCTTACTAGATCCATGTATGCTGCTACTATAACTCACTTTGTTGGTTCCTGAATTAATAGTGGTTGTGGCAAGAAGTAAACCAACAGCTTTACACTAATTAGTAGGGGTTTAGAGGCTGTCTCACTGCCATAGGTTTAGAGTCTCACGTGCCGAAGGTAAACTTGCAAATCATAGCTTGCTTCACTACTCATCTCCTCCTTCACCCCCTCCTCTGCCATTCTCCTCTGCACATGGGTGCACACACACCCTCTTGTCAAATTGGCCTGATAGCTGCCTGTGAGCATCAGCCTCAGCTTCCCCAGTGAGAACTTTTGTTTATGTCTGATATTTTAACTCTTCCCTAACCTCAGCCCATCTGTTAGGGCCCTTATGCCCTGAACTGTCTCTGATAATTCCCTTCCTTTAAGAGCTAGATCCTTCACTAAATAATCCTAGAGAGTAATTAAGGTCTTCCCATAATCTAACTAGTCCACACCACCCACCTGAACTTCAAGTATTTCCTACCACCTGATAGGGCTTCCAGGCTCCATCTACCAAATTAGACATTCTTAGATGTCAAAACCAAAATGATTTGACCATACTCTTCTGTTACTCCCTTAGGAAGTAGCTCATGTCCCACGTAGACCAACTTACTTCCTCTTTCTTGTGAGTCTTTGTTTCTGAGGTCTCAGTAGGCCTCAGCACTGAGCCCTTATGAATTATGATACTAATCCATCATGGAACTGAAACACAGTTGGTTTCTCCAGCAAAGAAAGAAACTTCACTCCCCACATATCCATTACTCTAGCTTATTCTGAAAGTAGCCACAAAGACATTATGGATAGTCAGATAATCTATATTTTTTTAACTAAGAAAATTAAAACCTTTAGTAACAATCCTGGGAATAATTAGCAATTCTAAAATCCCTGAGTAATCCATAAATTCAATACCTTCAAAATGTAATAACACAGCAGACTTTAGCTAATCAAAGAAGAAACATGCAGCAAACCGCCATGGCACATGTATGTCTATGTAACAAACCTGAGCGCTCTGCACATGTGTCCCAGAAGTTAAATAAAAAAAATAGAAAAATGTTTATGAAATAATATAAAAAATAGTTTTGTATAGCTTCACAATGTGTGTTTTAATCTAAGTGTTATTACAAAAGTGTCAAAAAGTTAAAATTAAAACGTTTATAAAGTAAAAAAGTTACAGTAAGCTAAGGGTAATTTATTATTGAAAAGGGAACATTTTAAAAAATAAATTTGGTGTAGCCTAGGTGTACGGTGTTTATAAAGTATACAGTAGCGTGCAGTAATGTTCTAGGCCTTCACATTCACTCACACTCACTCACTGACTCAACCACAGCAACTTCCAGTCCTGCAGGCTCTGTTCAGGGTAAGCAAAACTTTTAAATCTTTTATGTTGTATTTCTACTGTACCTTTTCTATGTTTAGATACACCATTGCATTACAATTGCCTACAGTATTCAATGTAGTAACATACTATACAGGTGTGTAGCTAGGAGCAATAGGCTATAAAAAAAAAAGAAGAAACAACTCAAATTTTTCATTGTGGAAACATAATTTATTAGTTTCAACACTAGAATCATACAAATCATCAGTAGCTACAATTCTCTAGAATTGTCTTGACTCTACATATCAATTTAAAGCCTTCAGGGTGAAAGATTCTTGAAAAAAAAATAGTTGTCACAAAGTGCCCCCATGCACTTTAGAAGTCTATTTTACTTGGCTTTCCAAATAAGACTTATGTGATGAATCAAACTCATTTGGCTATATATTTTCTCCTTAAGAAGAGGCTGTAATAAAGTGGAAAAACTAGGATTGAGAACAAGAAGACATAATGTATTAACTAGTGTTTCGCCAAAAATGACAAAACCCATGCCAGTTAGTTTAAGCAGAAGGGGATGCTGAAAAAGACAGAATTTTGTCACTAGCAGAATCTGCATGGGTGCTGGAGAACCATACTTGCTTGCTGCACACTTACGTACATTACAGCGCATCATTGCTCATCCAGGAGAGCAGCAAACACTGACGAATGGGGCTAGCAATTCCCGCAGTGTCACCACCTTGTGTTCAGAGTGATCTCACTGGAGAACCAACTTGAGAAGCTCTGCTGCAGCACCCTATGCATTCAGACACCTCCCACAATGCACTTGCTCCTTGGTCACGGCTACTGATGGTTCACGACTGCCTCCAAGTCTTACACTGCTTCATTGGTTTGGTGGAACCTAAGCCACTTGCCTGCATTGTAAACTGAAAAGCAATCTAAGAAATCTGAGAAAGATATTTTTTAGCTTTCCAACCTCTGTGGTAGAGGAAAGCAAAGTAGAAGAAAATTAATGGGTGTTGAGTGAGCCAACCTACAGTACCAGCCACAATCTGTTCCTTTAACTACTCAACCTCCCTTCACACCTTCTTTCTCCCAACTGAACTTCCAAACAACAACAAAGCAAAACAATGCACTCTGTCTAATTTAATGCAACTTTGCCTTACACAAATGGAAACTCTCTTACCTCTTTCCAAAAAGGAGAGATTCATGGTTGTCGTCTTAATCCTTGTGCCTATCTTTGAGTGGCATGCTTTCCTCCTCTACTTCAGACATAATCTTGCCTTGATATTCTATAAGCAATGGACTAAATTATGTATGTGTCCAATGTAAAAGTAGGGGAAAGCATGATAGAAACTAAAACTTTGAGTTTGTAGTTATCTTCCCTTAAGCTCTAGAGCCAGTTGGAAGCAGCTAGCCCACTAGTCAGTATTCTTTCTGCCTCTGTGCTGCACCGTGGGAGCTGTGTCCAAGTCTACCCAAGCTATGCTTTCATAGGCACTTCATTCCAGATGACCTTAAGTGATTGTTTAAATAACTATCTCATACAAGTCAGAATGGCTATTATTAAAAATTCAAAAAACAACAGATGCTGATGAGGCTGCAGAGAAAAGAGAATGCTCATACACTGTTGGTGGGAATATAAATTGGTTCAACCACTGTGGAGAGCAGTTCGGAGATTTCTCAAAGAACTTAGAACTACCATTTCAATCCAGCAATCCCATGACTAGGTATCTACCCAAAGGAAAATAAATTGTTCTACCAATCTTATGTTCATCACAGCACTATTCCCAATAGTAGAGTCATGAAATCAGTGTAGGTGCCCATCAGTGGTGGATTAAGAAAATGTGGTACATATCCACCATGGAATACTACGCAACCATAAAAAGAAGGAAATCATGCCCTTTGCAGAAACATGGATGCAGCTGGAGGCCATTATCCTAAGTGAATTGACACAGAAATAGAAAGTCAAATCCCACATGTTCTCACTTATAAGTGGGAGCTAAACAATGGATACACATGGACATAAAGGTGGGAACAATAGATACCACTGGGGACTCTGGGAAAGAGTTGAAAGACTACCTATTGGGTACTATGTTCACTATTTAGGTAATTAGTCCAATAGAAGCCCAAACCTCAGGATCATGCAATATATCCATGTAACAAACCTACACATGTACCTCCCAAATCTAAAATTATTTTTTAAATAAATAAATAAATAACCATTTCCACACTGCATACCTGTGTCTTCTATTATAATTACTAAGGGATCCTCATTGCCTCCAAGAATGTCAAATCACCAATTCCAGATTCCCTCTTTCCGGAACTACAATTGTGGTACCAATTACTAAGTTGACCTCAGGATTTGCATATTGATTCTTCCCACTTCTCAGCTCTGTAATCTGGTGCAAGTTTGTCACCAATAAAATGAAAATAGTAATATGGTTCTTTTGATGATTAAAAGTATGTAAAAATGCCTGGTAGGTGCTTAACATATGTGAAATGAAATTTACCTAATGGGTTATCAAAATAATTGTTTTTGGTACAGAATAACATAGAACAAGAAGGGCAGTCAACAGGAGACTAGAGTGAGGTATGAGGAATCCAGTGACAGAGGTTACAAAAGGATGTTCCTGAGGGAGTTGAGTGAGAGACTTCATGTGGAAGAGCACATTCCACCCAGTGGAAAGGAAGCCAAGCCTCACACATTTCAGAAGCCCTTAGAGGATCCATTTTATAGCACTGTGCAATGGCTACAATAGCCAGTCTTCTTGAGGCATTGTAGCACAGGGGAAACAGGCTGGCCCCCTGGAGTCAGAAACATGTAAATGCAAATCCCAGCTCTGCACATTAGTAGCTTTGTGACCACGGGCAGATAACTCACATACAGTTTCCTCATCTGTACGTTATGGACATTTTAGCAAAGCTGCCTGACAGTTTTAAGATGAGAGGTGATGTACCCAAGACATAATGCCCAGCGTGTGGTGTATGCTCAGAGCAGTACATATTAATATTCCTACATTCCAGGAACCATGTTAAATATTTTACATGCCTTATCTTATAAAATCCTAAGACAATTCTGCATCATGGTTTATTATTATCATGTCTGCTTTACAGATGATAAAACTGAGGCTTAGAAAAGCTAAGTAACTTGCCCACAATATCAGTAAGTGGTAGAATGAAGATTCGCACACAAGTGATCTTGCTCTAGACCTCGTAATTTTTCATCTCTATGTCCTCCAAATAAGGGCAGCTATAGGAACTGGCATATATATCTCAATCTCGCTCCCAATCATCACCTAAAGTATTTACTTAATATTCTTTAAACAGTAAAGATGGAAGTATATAAAGAATTTTCAAAAATTTTTGTCAATACTAGGTACAATATAAATATTTCTAGGCAAAAAGATAGGGCCTCACTTACCAGGGAACAAAAGCCATGAATCCAAGATGCTTGATTATCTGGGAAGACTAAGGAATACCTAAGAAAAAAAGACAATATGACAGGGCACGAGATTATAGCAGATCAGCTCCATAGTGAATCAGCAGACACCTCAAAGCAGAATGAAATTTCACATCAGTGTTTTCTAAATCCAGAGTTTTAGCAAAATATAAAGATGATGGTCCCCAGAGTTCATCACGGTTGAAGAACCAGAGAGAAAGAGCAGACAGGGAGCTGTTTGGGGACCCAGAGAGATAGGACAACCCGTTCATGGAATCTCTTCACAGCAAATCAAGTCATTCCAGGGATGTGGTGCTCAGCACAGGGGCGAGGCAATACTTGAATCGTGGTTCTTTCTGCCAGGAGCACTGAGGCTGAAGCTGTTAATAGAAACACCTCCGATGAGGGCTCTGTAAATCTAGCTCCCAACTGCAACTCTTTCAGTGGTGCAACACTGAGCCAGTGGCTATACATCTTTGCCTTCAAGGCCTGCATGGCTTCCAGGGTAGATGATCCCCTACAAGACGAGGTACACAATAATCCAGGTCAGGGCAATTAGCCCAAAGTCACGCATATAGGCAGGGGCTACAAAGTAGTGAAATTGAAGCTGGCCCTTTAAACCAGGCAGGGAAAAACCTCTGGCAAACTGCAAAATTTGTGAGGAAGATGACCTTCTCCTGGCTTATGCCTGGAATTAATTTGAAGACAGTAAGACTATAAATCAATTTTAAATAGGTTATGAATAGTCAGATTGAAGAAAAAAATCAAATGTTCTTGCATGAAAGTTTACTCTATTTTAGATCAAAGGGCAGACACTGAGAATATAGAGGGGGGAAGAAGCCCTGGAGGAAAAAAAAAAAGTCCATTTGTAAAATATATTGTTTTGGAGGGAAAGAGTCACTGTATTCATCTCCCTTATTATCTTATTCTTCAAAGTCCTTCACTATACTTTGCGATATTTTCCACCTCTGACCTTGGTGCTTTGATCCCCAGATTCCTGGGGGGTGAGTTGAAGCAAGCACTGAAGTTGAGCTCAGCAAGTCTGATTCCAGCCCTGGCTCTGCCACATACTGCCTGAGTGTGGGAGACTTGGAGATGAACTGCCCAGTTCTCCTTCAAGGAAAGCCTTGCCACCTAGCTGCTGAGGGTACTGTCAGCAGACAGCCATCAGCTATCAACTGCAGAGAACCACCTCATGCTAAACTCCTGATAAAACCCTGTAATTGATTCCATTTTATATTGAGATGAAGACAAAATTCCTTCTTGTGGCCTAGAAGTCCTTATTGAATATGTCATCTAGCTCTCACTCCAACCTCATCTCTAAAGGTTCTGTCCCTAACCCCCTTTACTTCAGCACCACCTGAAGCTCCTTCTTGCCCCAGGACCTTTGCATATGAGGCTCCTTCTTTCTGGAAACTCTTGTTACTCCTCTTCGCTTCTTCATTCCTCAGGTTTTCTAGATCCCACTGAGTAGGTCAAATCCTTTCCTTATAAGCATGCCAATATCTTATCTCTCTTCTTTGTAGTAATCGCCATTGTTGCAATTTCGTGTAACATTATTTGATGAATATCCACCTCTTCTACCAGACTATAAATGCCCTAAGAATAGAGGAGTTCAACTGTATTCATTTATCCCCAGCACCTATCAGTGTTGCATACAAAGTACTTGTTAAATGAATGATTGAATTGAAACACTAGCAGTTTCCAGACCAACAATTTGGGAGTATTTTGGTGGTAGTTATCAGTGTTACTGATATATTGTTTTCCTTTCCCTTTTTCATGGACTGAATGTTTATGTTTCCCCAAAATTCATGTATTAAATCCTAACCCCCAGTGTGATGGTATTATTGATAGAAGGTGGGCATTTTGGAGATACTTGGGTCATGAGGGTAGAGTTCTCATGAATGGGATTAGTGCCCTCATAAGACAACACACAGGAGCTTGTTCGCTTTCTCTGCCATATAAAGACACAGTAAGAAAATGGCCATCAGCAAGCCAAGAATTGGGATTTCACCAGAACCCAATCACACAGTCATCCTGATCTTGGACTCCTCAGTCTCCAGAACTCCAAGAAAAAAATGTTTAAGTGATCCAGTCTGTGGTATTTGGTACAGTAGCCTGAGCTAAGACATCCTCTGAGCACATTGTGCTGTTCTTATGGTTAGATGATGACATATGACTAGTTCTAGCCTTATGTTATAAATGGGTAGAGCATTTGAATTGTCAGTGAAGACTAAGTATTCTTTTTCCTTTTTTGATTCCTGTAGTGATTCTGGAATTACGTGTTGAAAAGAGCTATCACAGCCTTAGTCATTGAGTGAGGATAGCAGAGAGCAGAGACTCCAGGCAACGTAGGTGAGAAATAGCCCATTACTTTTTGAGCAATGAGATTTTAGCATTGTTGCAGCAACATAACCTAGCCAACCCTGAATGCAGCAGAAAATGTTACTAGGAAGATGGTAATCCATATCATACAATGGTGACACACTTGATAAAAATTATTTACCTATGATAATTTGGAAAGCAGATAATATACTTAGTGAACTTTTATCTCTAGTAGAAGTAGTTTGGAATCAGAAGAGTCATATGTGCTCACTGCTATTGGCTTCATTTGACAAGGTGTGTTAGTTTCCTAGAGCTACCATAACAAACTACCACAAGCTTGGTGGCTTAAACAACAGAAATTTATTATCTCATGGGTCCAGAGGTTAGCAATCTGGGATCAAGGTGTCTGCAGTGTTGGTTCCTTCTGAGGCCTGTGGAGGAGAATCTGTTCCATGCCTGTCTCCTACCTCCTGGTGGTTTGCTGGCAATATTTGGGATTCCTTGGCTTGTAGATGCATCACCTCTTTCTCTGCCTTCGTCTTCACATGGTGTTCTGTCTCTGTACACATGCCTGTCTCTGTGTCCAAGTTTCCCCTTTTTTATAAGAATGCCAGCCATAGGCCAGGCGCAGTGGCTCACGCCTGTAATCCCAGCACTTTGGGATGCTGAGGTGGGCAGAGCACAAGACCAAGAGAACAAGACCATCCTGGCCAACATGGTGAAACCCTGTCTCTACTAAATATACAAAAATGAGCTGGGCATGGTGGCGTGTACCTGTAGTCCCAGCTACTTGGGAGGCTGAGGCAGGAGAATCACTTGAACCCTGGAGGCAGAGGTTGCAGTGAGCCAAGATCACACCACTGCATTCCAGCCTGGTGACAGAATGAGACTCTGCCTCAAAAAAAAAAAAAGAATAACAACCATATTAGATTAGGACCCGTCCTACTGATCTCATTTAAAATTGATTACCTCTGTAAAGATCTATCTCCAAATAAGGTCATATTCTGAAGTACTGGGAGTTAGGACTTCAACATACCTTTTTTGGGAGGATAATTTAACCTGTGACACTTGATATTACAAGAAAGAGATGAAACTGGGAACGAATTAGTCACATTGCAAGCAAAAATGTAAGGGAATAGAGTCCACAAATGCAGGAGCTTCTAAGTTAGGAAGAGACGGCCGGCTCCCAAGCCCAAAGTGTAAAGAAATGTCTTGAATAACAAATGCCAATTAAAACTCTCACCACAGCAAGAATTAAATGAAGGGATTAGCTGCCTCACCCACAGTCAAAAATCTCTGAATGGATTTCACTGGCACCCAGAAATTGCGTCAGTTGGAAGAAAATGGTGCAGCAAAAAATAGACTAAATAAATGGTTCTGCCAAAGAAGCCTGATAAGCCCAGAGTATCCACAATTAAGTAACGGACAGGAATGGGGTACAAAATAAGACATGTGTAACAAATCTAGAAAAATGTCTAGGAAAGAACTATGGGTGTGGTTACTGGCACATGTTAGTGTCTGAATTAAAATAAATAAAAAGCTAAGTTATTGGGAGAACTGAATTGCCAAAAAAATAATTAAAGACTATGAAACCTATAAAGAACTTAGGAGTCCCAAACATCTACGGGCAAGAAGTAAGCTGAGAAAGCTACTAACAGCATAAGAGACTACATTCCCAATGCCTACTTCATATGGAACCAAAGAGGATATTAGAACAACAAGAACCTCCAGAGGGTAAAGCCAAGGGCTATGGGGATGAGTAGAGTGGGAGCTGCACCCAGGAAGTATAATCAGTAATAGCCTCTATCTCCTGATTTACACCCACACCTGATGTACAGGCCACTGCCATCCCCTACCTCTGGTTGGAGTCTACTAAGCATCATGCAAGAGATCTCAGACTTTGAGCCTGATGCCATGACTAAATGGGATTTTTGGGTTGTGATCCTCAGGGAGGGGTGACTATACCTCATATACAGGTAGGAAAGCAAGCAAAATTATTTAAAAATATGGGCAGAATGCAAAAGTTACTGATGCTGCTGATATCCGATTACCATTTCTTCTAGGCAAATGGAAAACAATTTCCTGGCTCTTTTTTGTGAAGGTGGGGCCATGATACCAGTGAGCAAAAGTGATGTGCTCATTTCCAGGCTAAGTATTGGTTTGCTGGTGTAAGACCCTCTAAAGTTCTTTTCCTGCTTCTCACACTATGCTGATCCTGGAAACTCATGGTAAGCTGAGAGACACCCATGAGACTGAGTTCCTGAGTGAGAATAACACAGAGCAGAACACCCAAACCAACTCGGGATGAACATGTAGCTTGAGAAATAAAAAAATTGCTTTAAAAATAAGAGATTTTACTCTTACCGTATAATCCAGGAATTGTGCTCCTTGGTATATACCCAAAGGAGTTGAAAATGCACTTCTACACAAAAACAAGCATGCAAGTGTTTATAACAGCTTTAATCATAATTGCTGAAGCAATCAAGATTTTCTTCAATAGGTAGATGGATCAACTGCAGAACATCCATGTAATGAAATAGTATTCAGCACTAAAGAAATGAGCTATGAAACCATGAAAAGACATGGAGGATTGGTTCTTAAAAAAAAAAATTTGACGTCTGTTACTGAAGCATAACCTACCCACCCTATTATAACTCATACGGCACTAAGAAATCATTTAATTGACAAAATAACCTCACAAAGAAGGAAAAACAATGTATGTGAATTTGTAATAGGCAAAGCTCAAATGTATAGCATCTACTTTTTAGTTCAGAAGGAGTACTTGAATACAAAAAAAAGTTATAAGTAAATAGTGTAACAGTAGTTAGTTTTCCAAGTGAAAGGGCTCTGAAAATTAATATAGTCCACATTTTAAAAAAAACTTTCATAACTCTTTTTTTAACCTATATTGGATGGATACGTTTTGAAGATCTAAGGTACAGCACGGTAACTATATTTATATGATACTGTATTGTATACTTGAAATTTGCTAAGTGAGTAGATCTCAAATGTTCTCATCACACACACAAGGTAACTATAAGAAGCTGTAGAAATGTTGATTAGTTTGATTTTTATAATCATTTCATACTGTGTACACATCAAAACATCATATTGTATACCTTAATTCTTATTTTGTTAACTATACCTCAAAGCTGAAAAGTAAAAAGCACTTGAACTAAACTTGATCTTTTATGTATCACAAAAATACAGGCTCAATTAGCCCCAGTAAGTCATCATTTGTTTTTACATAAATTACAATGAGTCAGCCAGCTGTGCTGTCTCAAGCCTGTAATCCCAGCACTTTGGGAGGCCGAGGCAGGCGGATCACTTGAGGTCAGGAGACTAGCCTGGCTGACATGGCGAAACCCCATCTCTTCTAAAAATACAAAAACTAGCTGGGCATGGTGGCACACACTTATAATCCCAGCTACTTGGGAGGCTGACGCAGGAGAATCCCTTGTACCCGGGAGGTGAAGTTTGCGGTGAGCCGAGATCATGCCACTGCACCCCAGCCTAGGTAATAAGGCAAGACTCCATCTCAAAAGAAAAAAAAAATTACAATGAATCATTTCAACTCTTGAAATTTTCATGAATCTAAGCCAATATTTCTCAAGGAGTATGGATCAATTGTATTACAAGAATCTGAAGTATTTGTTAAAAATGCAGATGCCCAGGCTCCATCCAGCTTCACTGACTCAGAATCTTTACAGATTGGGACCCAGGAATCAAAAGTTTATCCTGTGTCCAGGTTTGAGAATCACTGACCTAGGTTCTGTATAAAATTATAAGGCTCCATATAATAAGCCTTTAAGATGCTAGTTTAAGATATCAAATAAGCACATAAGCATTGCATTCACAATTAGTGTAACATAAATTTACACCCAGAATAACATATCTGAGGCCTTTTCAGGACTCCATCATGCTTCTAACCTTTGAGCTGTAGTGAGCTGCATGATTGTTGTATAATAAAGTGGCTCAGAGTAAGGCTTAATAACAGAATGAAGTTCAAGTAAAAACATCTTAAATGGATTTCCATTTTTCCTAATGCAAAATTTAGCTAATTCTGAGTTCGAATTGTCCTCCTACTGCCCACGTTTCCCACAGGAAGTGGACAGTATAACTTGAGGTGATGAAGCTTTGCAGTTAAGAAACTGATGGGAAACATAACAAATTTCAAGATGTTTAAGTGGTTCTTTGGGGGAGAACTCACTGTCATGAAGAATGCAAATGAAAACAGAATAATAAAATGCATGTGGAACTATTTATCTGTTTGTTCCTAAGAATAAGAGATTTTTTTATTCTTGGTATTTCTCCTGGTAATTTTTATTCCATAACTCACATTTCTGGTTTTTTTAAATGAATTTATCAACCAAATGTGATTAGGTACAGGCATGTTTTGTATCTGCAGAATCCAGGAACAACCTCTACCATTCTTATAAATCAAAGATTGGTGAGCTATCAGTACTATGGTCTGAGTATAGGGAAATTCAACTAATACATTTTGTATAAAACCAACCAGAGGCAGGAATAGGCTGTTTATAATTTAAAGAGATTCATTCAACCTATACTGACCTTTCCTTCTCTATGATATTTAAATTCACATACAACACACTTGATACTTCTCTAATAGTTACATATCTGTTAGTTTTTCTCCCCAAATTATTCAATGTTTTTGAGAGGAAACAGAATTGTTTGAACTACATTTAATGAACAAATACATTTCTCTCAAAAGACTATCAGTGCCAGGCATGGTGGCTCACACCTATAATCTCAGCACTTTGGGAGGTCGAGATGGGGAGATCACTTGAGATCAGGAGTTCGAGACCAGCCTGGCCAACATGGCAAAAACCCCTCTCTACTAAAAATACAAAAATTATCCAGGCTTAGTGGCACACACCTGTAATCACAGCTACTCGGGAGGCTGAGGCAGGAGAATCGCTTAAACCCGGGAGGCAGAGGTTGCAGTGAGCTGAGATCATGCCAATGCACTCCAGCCCGGGAGACAGAGTGAGACTGTCTCAAAAAAAAAAAATGTTTATTGAAGTTCCGATGAAAATTAATTTGGAGTAATTGAGGCAATAGAGTGAGACTCTGTCTCAAAAAAAAAGAACATTAAAATTAATTTCATACTAATTAAATCTAATGTACAAACTAAACTTAGTTTCACCTCTAATTTAGTCTTTACATATATGATTCCCAAGAAAAATACCACAGGTTACAGAAATCCAACTATTTCAGTTTCAAAGGGGGAAAAATAAGCTATTATATGACAAGCTAGTCAACAGATTCCTAAATCAGCCAGTTATTACTGATGTTATTCTTTTCAAGGGAAAGTAGACTATGCCAAAATTTTCAAAAATACAAATGTATATTTAATCCAAAATAACACTGCAATGACAATGATCTCAGTACCTCAGGATATACTCAGTAAATAAACACTTTCTGGCTGATGAATAGGTGCAGAGGTCAATAATGTGCTCCTAACAGGACTGCTCTTACATGAAAGGCATGATTCACAAGAGGAAGTTCCTGTTACTACACCCCAAAGGGTTCTCAAGGCCTGAATGCCTTCCTAGAGATACTTGTGTTTGCATGCCAAGCCATCACATAAAACTGAAAGCACAGAAAAGGTCTCACAGGTGTCTTAAAGATACAAGTACAGCAGGACAGCAGAGGTGTAGTGAGCTGGTAGCTGGACTCGGGATCTGGAAGATGGAAACAAAGAGTATAGGGTATGCCATAGGTCTCAATATTATAATGTTGGACAAAAGCCTGTGGTTGAAAAGATAATGAACATGCAGTTTAGTGACCAAAATAAGGGAGTGAATGTACGGAAAAACATTTTTCACAATGCCTACCTTACAGCATGTGCATGATAGGTGGTTTTTTAATGATTTTGTAGTATATGGGATCAGAAGCCCTGTCTGCAAAACTCCATACAAGGTCCCTCTCTCCCTGCCCATGACTACCAGCCACATTCTGAAAGGAATGGGTATGATGACCTGCAGGGGGATCGATGCCAGATACTAACAAATTATACCCCAGTGAAAATTCAGCAGAAGAGAGGAGTTCAAGATGGGAAAATCCCTTCTCATTTGGACCCACTTGGTCTCTGCAAAAAGCCATTCCTGCCACCAGCACCCAGTGGGCTGTGCTGTTCATGGGGGATACACAGCCTGGTGCTAAATGGAGCGCTGCTGCTAAAATCAGCTTATCACAGCTCTGCTCTTTTCTTCTTTTGACCAAGCTTGCATCACAGGGACCACAACAAAGAAAGGGCTTCCTGCATTTTGCAGAAGTGAAAAAAGATCAAAGATTCAGTCTGGGACAGACCTGAGAAGTTCAGTGGCCACATATACAAAGCCAAAATCGATGTACAGTCAGAGAAGGGAACCTCAGATTTGAGATTGAGACTGTGATGAAAAGTCCAGGCAATCAATCTAGGTCTGATAAATCAGTTTCCTAATTTTACAGACAGGAAAACCATATTTGAGAACTATTCCCACGTGCCTTCACCAGCCAGTAAAAGAGGGACAAGAACCCTACCTACCAGGGCCCAGTGCCAACATCTGTTCTGCCACAGTGCTATTCCTCAGAACAAGGGTTAGTGAACACACCTGGCTAGGGATGCTAAGGGCTAAGGCAAGTTCTGGTGAAGCTTCCCTGAACTTCCTGTTCCAAAACCAATCACCCTCCTCCATCCATGTAAAAGGGAAGGACACCTATTTCTAATTTCAGACCTAGCTCCCTCTATACTTTTACTCACCCCTTCTTACTGCCTTACACCAGGGAAACCCTATATTGCATAGATACACATCTATATATAATGTTGTAATTATTATTCTATGTCTTTTCAAAAGCAAAGATAATTTGTTTTAAAAAGGCAAAACTATGGAGACAGTACAAAAGCTCAGAGGTAGCTGGGGTTTGGGGATAGGGAGGAAGGAATAGGCAGAGCACAGAGGATTTTTAAGGCAGTGAAAATACTCTGTATGATACTTTAATGGTGAACACATGACATTATACATTTATTCAAACCCATAGAATGTACAACAGCAAGAGTGAGCCCTAATATAAACTGTGAACTTTGAGTGATGATAGCGATATGTCAATGTATGTTCATTGATTGTAACAAATGTACCACACGGGTGGGGGGTGTTGATAATGGAGGAGGCCAGCAGGGGAGGGCAGTGGGTATATGGGATGTCTTTGTACCTTCTTCTCAATATTGCTGTAAATCTAAAACTGCTTGAAAAAAGTAATCATCCACATTATGAACACTAATATCATGAATCACTGAAAAACTCACAGGTTTTCCTAAACCAGGGGCTTCAATAAATCAGTTCGCATTTAACATATCTATCTTCAGGTCCAAAATTTAACATGGTTCATTTGTTTATTTTCTACCTTTCACAGGAATTTGGTACAGATAGGTGGGAGGAGCAACAGATGATGGCAGTTCCATTGGATACTATATTCTTTTTAAAAAAGAAAGTAGTAGAAAATACTTAACATAAAATCTAGCCTTTTAGCAAATCTCAGTGTACAGACAGAACGGTGTGGTTTACTATATGCACATTGTTGTAGGGCAGTTCTCTTGAACTTATTCATTTTGGATGACTGCAACTCTGTATCCATTGAACAGCAATTCCCCATTCTCCCCACTCCTGGAAACCATCACTCTACTTTCTGCTTCTATAAGTTTGACTGTTCTAGAAACCTCATCTAAGTGGAATCATGCAATATTTGGCCTTTTGTGGCTCACTTATGTCACATAGCGTAAAACCCACAAGATTCATCCATATAGCGTGGGACAGAATTTCCTTAAGACTAAATAATATTCTATTATGTGTTTCTATTTCACATATTCTCAATCCATTCATCCACTTACAAACATGTAAGTTGTTTCCACCTCTTGGTCATTGTGAATAGTGCTGCAGTAAGCATGGGAGTGCAAGTATCTATCTGAGGCCTTGTTCTGAATTATTTGAATACCTGGAGTGGGATGGCTGGATCATATGTTAGTCCTAGTCTTTTTTGAGGAAAGACCCCACCATTTTTCATAGAAGCTACACAATTTTACATTCCCAAAAACACACAAGGGTTTCAATTTCTCTATATCCTGATATTCGTTATTTGTTTTTTATAATGGCCGTCTTAGGTGTGAGGTGATATCTTGTAGCTTTTTCATTCCTTAGGGATGTTAAACACTGAGTTTTAGGAGTTTATTATATATTTTGGATTATTAATCCCTTATTAAACACATGGTTTGCAAATATTTTCTCGCATTCCATAGGTTGCCTTTTTATTCTGTGGACTGTTTCCTTTGCCATAAAGCTTTTTAGTTCGATGTAGTCTCACTTGCCCATTTTGGTGTTGTATCTTGGGCTTTTTGTGTTACATTCACATTTGGTGTCACATTCAAGAAATCCTTGCCAAGACCAATGTCATAAAGTTTTTTTCCTATGTTTTCTTCTAGTTTTATAGTTTTAGGACTATGTTTCAGTCTTTAATCCATTTTGAGTCTATATTTTGTATATGGTATAAGGGTCCAATTTTATTCATTTTTGATTGACAAATAATAATCGTGTATATTTATGGGGTACAAAGTAATGTTTTAATCTATATATACATTGTAGAAAGATTACACCAAGCTAATTAACATATCCATCAATTTCATTATTTTCAACATGGATATCCAGTTTTCCCAACACTATTTGTTGAAGAGACTATATTTCTCCCTTGGTGATTTTAGCACACTTGTCAAAGATCATTTGACGGTATATGGATGTGTTTATTCCTGGGCTCTTGATTCTGTTCCATTGCTTTATATGTCTGTTTTTATGCGAGTAGCATACTGTTCTGATACTATAGCTTTCTAATATATTTTGAAGTCAGGAAGTATGAGGCCTCTAGTTTTGTTCTTTCTCAAGATTGTTTTGGCTATCTGGGACTCTTTGGAGTCCCATATGAATTTTAGGATTGTTTTCCTATTACTGAAAAGAAAAAAGCATTGGAATTTTAATAGGGAATGCATTAATTCTGTAGATTACTTTGGGCAGGATGAGTGTTTTAACAATATTAAGTCTTTCAATCTATGAACACAGGATATCTTCCCATTTATTTGTATCTTTAATTCCTTCCAGCCATGTTTTTAAAATTTTCGGTGGATAAGTATTTTTATCCCTGGTCAAGTTTAGTCCTGATTATTTTTTGATATTGTAAGTGGAATTATTTTCTTAATTATCTTTTTCAGATTGTTCATGTCAGCATATAAAAAGAGCTTATTTTATATGTTGATTTTATATCTTACAACTTTGAATTTATTCAACAGTTTGTGTGTGTATGGCAGAGTTGTTTCTACATATAAGACATCATCTGTGAATAGAAATAATAAATATTACATCTTCCTTTCAGATTTAGATGCCTTTTATCTCTTTTGTTTAGCTAAGACTTCCAGTACTATGTTAAATAGAAATAGTGAGGATGGGCATTCTTTTCTTCTTCCTGATCTTAGAGAAAAAGCTGTTAGTTTTTCACTATTGAATACGTCTGCTGTTTGTCATATATTGCCTTTATAATGCTGAGGTAATTTTCTTTTATTCCTATTTTTTCAAATGTTTTTATTAATCTTGTAAAGGTGTTGAATATTTTCAAATGTTTTTACTGCATCTATTGAGATGATCATGTAATTTTTATCCTTAGTTCTGTTCATGTGGTGTATCATATTGATTGATTTTTAAATGTTGAACCATCCTTTCATCTCAGGGAAAAATCCCACTTGGTCATGGTACATGATCCTTTTGATGTACCATTGAATTCAGCTTGCTAGAATTTTTATGAGGATTTTTGCATCTATGTTCATCAGAGACAGTAGCCTGGAGTTTTCATTTCTTGTAGTGTATTTGCCTGACTTTGCTATCAGGATAATCCTGGCCTTTGAAAAGTGTATTTGGAAATATTCTATCCTCTATAATTTTTGGAAGAGTTTGAGAAGGATTGATAGAATTATTCAGTTAAGTCAACTAGTTCTGTGTTTTGCTTTGTTGGAAGATTACTGATTCAACCTCCTTACAAATTATAGATTTATTCAGATTTTCTATTTCTTCATAGCTCAATCTTGACAGTTTTATATTCCTAGGAATTTATCCATTTCTCCTGGATTACATAATTTAGTGGTACATAATTGTTCATAGTGATCTCTTATAATCTGATATGGTTTGGCTATATCCCCACCCAAATCTCATCCTGAATTGTAGTTATTATAATCCCCATGTGTCGTAGGAGGGACCTAGTGGGATGTAATTTAATCATGGGGACAGTTACCCTCATGCTGTTCTCGTGATAGTGAGTGGGTTCTCACGAGATCTGATGGTTTTATAAGGGGCTTTTCCCCTTTAGCTCAGCACTTCTCCTTGCTGCCACCATGTGAAGAAGGATGAGTTTGCTTCCCCTTCTGCAGTGATTATAGGCATCCTGAGGCCTCCCCAGCCACGCAGAACTGTGAGTCAATTAAGCCTCCTTCCTTTATAAATTACCCAGTCCTTGGCCATCAGAGAAATGCAAATCAAAACCACAATGAGATGCCATCTCACACCAGTTAGAATGGCGATCATTAAAAAGTCAGGAAACAGGTGCTGGAGAGGATGTGGAGAAATAGGAACACTTTTACACTGTTGGTGGGACTGTAAACTAGTTCAACCATTGTGGAAGTCACTGTGGCGATTCCTCAGGGATCTGGAACTAGAAATACCATTTGACCCAGCCATCCCATTACTGGGTATATACCCAAAGGATTATAAATCATGCTGCTATAAAGACATATGCACACGTATGTTTATTGTGGGACTATTCACAATAGCAAAGACTTGGAACCAAGCCAAATGTCCATCAATGATAGACTGGATTAAGAAAATGTGGCACATATACACCATGGAATACTATGCAGCCATAAAAAAGGATGAGTTCATGCACTTTGTAGGGACATGGATGAAGCTGGAAACCATCATTCTCAGCAAACTATCGCAAGGACAAAAAACCAAACACCGCATGTTCTCACTCATAGGTGGGAATTGAACAATGAGAACACATGGACACAGCAAGGGGAACATCACACACCAGGGCCTGTTGTGGGGTGGGGGGAGGGGGGAGGGGGGAGGGATAGCATTAGGAGATATACCTAATGTTAAATGACGAGTTAATGGGTGCAGCACACCAACATGGCACATGTATACATATGTAACAAACCTGCACGTTGTGCACATGTACCCTAAAACTTACAGTATAATAAAATATAAATAAATAAATAAATTACCCAGTCTTGTGTATGTCTTTATTAGCATCATGAGAACAGATTAATACATAATCCTTTTTGTTTCTGTGGCATCAGTTGTTAATATCTCCTCTTTCATTTCTGATTTTGAGTCTTCTTTTTTCTTACTCCAGCTAAGGATTTCTCAATTTTGTTGATCTTTCCAAAACAACAACTTTTAGTTTTATCCATTTTTTTCTATTGCTTTCCTATTCTCTATTTGTTTCTTCTCTAATCTTTTTATTCCTTCTAATTTTGGGCTTAGCTTGTTCTTCATGTTCTACTTCCTTGCACTATAAGATTAGATTGTTTATTGAGATCTATCATCTTTTTTAATATAGGCATTTATCACTATAAACTTCCATCATAATACTTATTTTCTGCATTCAGTAAGCTTTGGTATATTGTGTTTCATTTTGTTTGTCTCAAGATATTTTGTAATTTCTCTTTTGATTTCATCTTTGGTCCACTGGTTGCTCAAGAATGTTGTTTCTATGGAATGGGAGAAAATATTTGTAAACCATACATCTGATAAGGGATTAATATCCAAAGTGTATAAGGGATCCAAACAATCCAAATAGCAAGAAAACAACACAATTTAAGAATAGGCACTGAATAGACATTTTTCAAAAGAACATATAGAATGGCCAAAAGGTATATGCAAATATGTTCAACATCGCTAGTCATCAGGGAAATGCAAATTAAAACCGCAATAATCTATCAGGTCACACCAGTTAGAGTGACTTTTATCAAAAAGACAAAAGATAACAAGTGTTGATGAAGATATGGAAAAAGGCAACCCTTGCATACTGTTTGTGAGAATGTAAATTAGTACAGCCATGACGGAAAATGGTACGGATATCCCTGCAAAAATTAAAAACAGAACTATCATATGATTCAATATTCCCACAACTGGGTATATATTCGAAGAAACTGAAATCAGTATGTTGAAGAGATATATGCACACCCCTGTTCATTGCAGCATTATCCACACAATAGGTAAGATAAGGAACCAGTCAGTGTCCACCAAAAGATGAATAAAGAAAATATACTATATATACACAATGGAACAACATTCAGCCTTTAAGAAGAATAAAATTCTGTCCTTTGCAACAACATGGATTTACCTAGAGGGCATATGCCGAGTGAAATAAGCTAGGCACAGAAAAAACAAATACTGTATAATCTCATGTGTGGAATGTAAAAAAAAAAAAAAAATCAAATTTCTAGAAGCAGAGAGTAGAATGATGAATACCAAGTGCTAAGGAAAAGGGGCCGGGAATGGGGAGATGATGATAAAGGGCACAAAGTTCCAGTTAGAAGGAATAGTTCTGGAAATCTACTACAGAGCAGGGTGACTATAATTAATGATAATGTACTGTACACTTGAAAATTGTTAAGAGATTTTAAATGTTCTTACCACAGAAATATAAGCACATCAGTTGATGGAATTAAATTAGCCTGATTTAATAATTCCACAATGTATACATATATCAAAACACCATGTTGCAGTTCATAAATATACATTAAAAAATGCTCTTTTTTGGTACCATTTGCATGGAGTATCTTTTTCCATCCCTTTCAGCATATGTGCATTCCTACATCTAAGGTGAGGCTCTTGTAGCATACACTTGAATTTTTTAAATTATTCACTTCATGTCCTTTGAGGAATTTATTAAACTGTTTAAAGTAATTACTGATAAAGAAAATTTACTATTGCTATTTTGTTGTTTTCTGTCTGTCTTGTAGCTTTTTGGTTCTTCTTCTCTTGCTCTCTTCCTTTTGTGTTTTGATTTTTTTAGTGATATGCTTTGACTCCATTATATTCTTTAATATATATTCTATAGGTATTTTTTGTGTCTTACCATGAGACTAACAAAACATTTTATGATCATAAGAAGCTGTTTTAACCTGATAACAATTTAACTTCAACTGTATATTAGTCTGTTCTCACACTGCTATAAAGATACTACCTGAGACTGGGTAATTTATAAACAAAAGAGGTTTAATTGACTCACAGTTCTGCATGGCTGGGGAAGCCTGAGGAACATACTATCATGGCAGAAGGTGAAGAGGAAGCAAGCACCTTCTTCACAAGGTGCAGGAGAGAGTGAGCAAGCAAGCAAAGGGAGAACTGCCAAACACTTAAAAAACTATCAGCTCTTGTGAGAACTCCCTATCACAAGAACAGCATGGGGGAAACTGCTCCCCTGATCCAATCACCTTCCACCAGGTCCCTCCCTGGACAAGTGGGGATTACAATTCAAGATGAGTTTTGGGTAGGGACACACAGCCAAATCATATCAAACTGCATACACTCTAAGCTTTTCTGTCCCCCCTCTACCATTCTATGTTATTGATGTCACAAATTACATTGTTTTATATTGTATATCTATTAGTATACTGTCATATTTTTATACTTTTAACTTCTCTATCAGAATTCAGTGATTTATGCACCCCTATTATAGCATTATAGTATTCTGAGTTTTTTTTTAAATGTAATTCCACTTTATTTTAAGTTCTGGAATACATGTGCAAGATGTGCAGGTTTGTTACAAAGGTAAACATGACCCATGATTTGCTGCACCTAGCAACCCACCACTCACCTAGGTATTAAGCCCCACATGAATTACCTGTTTATCCTAATGCTCTCCCTCCCCCATCCTCCGCACCTCTAACAGGCCCCAGGGTGTATTGTTCCCTTCCCTGTGTCCATGTGTTCTCATTGTTCAGCTCCCTATATATTTTTTACCAGAGAGCCTTATATTTTAATATGCTATCATGTTGCTGTCTAGCATCCTCTCATTTCAACTTGAAAGACTCCTTTTAGTATTTCTTATAAGGCAGGTCTAATGATAATGAATTCCCTCTGTTTTTGTTTATGTGGGAAAGTCTCTATTATTCATTTTTAAAGAATACTTTTGCTGAATATAGTATTCTTGGTTGGCAGTTGTTTTCTTTCAGCACTTTTAATGTGGCATCCCATTCTCAATTGCAAGGTTTCTGCTGAAAATTTCTGGTAGTCTTCTAGGAGGCTAGAATGAGTCAGTTTTCTCTTTCTGCTTTCAAAATTTCAAATTGCTCCCCTTGTCTGCCACTTTTTACATTTCTAATATGTCTTGATGTGGAATTTTGGGAGTGCATCCTATTGGGCTTCTTGAATTTGAATGTTCATTTCCTTTTCTAGATTTGGAAATCTTTGGCCATTATCTCTTCAAAAATATTTTCTTCCCTTATCTCTCTCACATCTCCTCCTTGTACTCCCATATTGCAAATATTGGTCTGCTTGATGATGTCTCATAAGTTCCTTAGGCTTTAACTCATTTTCATTTTTTTCTTTTTGTTTCTCTAACTGGATAATTTCAAATGATGTGTCTTCAAATTCATTAATTATTTGTTCAAGTCTGCTATTGAACCCCTCTATAGAATAGTTCAATTCAGTTATAATTTTCAGCTCTAAAATTTTTGTTTGGTTCTTATTCACATTCTCTTTCTCTGTTGATAAGATAATGTAAATTTGCTCACACTTCATTTTCCTCAGCTCATTGAGCATCTCTATGGCAGTTTTAATTCTTTGTCAGTTAACTCATATACTTCTATTTCTTTTTTCTTTTTTTTTTCTTTGAGACAGAGTCTTGCTCTGTTGTCCAGGCTGGAGTGCAGTGGCGTGATCTTGGCTCACTGCAAGCTCCGCCTCCCGGGTTCATGCCATTCTCCTGCCTCAGCCTCCCGAGTAGCTGGGACTACAGGTGCCCACCACCACACCCGGCTATTTTTTTTTTATTTTTAGTAGAGACGGGGTTTCACTGTGTTGGCCAGGATGGTCTCAATCTCCTGACCTCATGATCCGCCCGCCTTGGCCTCCCAAAGTGCTGGGATTACAGGCGTGAGCCACCGTGCCTGGCCCTTCCATTTCTTTAAAATCAGTTTCTGAAGATTTTGTTCCTTTCATTGGGCCATATTTCCATTTCTTTCCGTGCCTTGTAACTTTGTGCTGGAATCCACACATTTCAAAAGAAACAGCTACCTCTTCCATTCTTTACAATCGGGCTTCTTACAGGGAGAGACCTTCACCAATCATCCTGGTTAGAGATTCTGAGGGCCTTTCAAAGATTTTCTGTGGATGTGCTTCCTATGTACTTGTGTGTATAAATTCCGGATTAAAGGAATTTGTTTCCTTTTTCAGGAGCTCATAGCCTCTTGTTCCCTCTGGTGTCTGTCTGTGGTACTGCAGGTTTTCTGGGAATGCTGCATGTGCCCAGCTTTCTCATTACTACAGCTTCTAGAACATGCCAAATCCCATAAATGCTCCAAGTCACGTAAGACAGAAACCAGTGCATCAGGGAGCCTTCTGAAAAGCCAGAACATTGGATGCATGCTGTAACTCTTTCATTCCCCAGAGAGAAGCCAAGAGATCAGGGATTTCTCCTGCTTATATTCTGCACTAAGCCAGGAGTAGGTAGTTATGGTGAATGAGTGCTCCAAACCACTGCGTTTGTTCTCAGTGGCTCCAATCTGATGCTCTTTCCTGTCTGCACTTAGATTCATACAAGACAGAAATCACACCCTCAGAAGCCTCTGGAAAATTCTGAACATTGAATGTACAATCCAGTTTTCTATTTTCCTCACCAAGAAGAAGCTGGGAATTGAAAACTTTCTCCCAGTTGTGCCACGGTGAGCCAGGGGGAGAGACTATAGCAAGTGAGTGCCACAAATGTTTCTCTCAGTTATGATGTCGCTGGTTTCAAGATCACCTGGAACACAGGAGCCTCTTGTTTCTGGATTTCTCACAAAGAGAACTGGTCCGTGTATTATTGTTGAGTTTATGTCTTCACAGGAAGGAAGAGGGTCTGGAGCTTCCTATTCCACCATCTTGCTGACATCAGTTCTAAACTATGTACTCTTAACAGATGTTGATATGACCCTACACTCTCCTCAAACTGCAATTTTTTCACCTCTGAAATGAAGGTCTATACTAAATAACTGCGATTTCCTGCAAAATCCAACAGCACACAAATTTAGAGATTAATAATATGAGAAAAAATTAAAAAGCAGAGGCAAAAACGAGACCATCAAAATGAAGAAGGTGAATGTATATTGCAAAACAAATTGTCATTTAGAGTTTTACGGGCATGACAAACTAAAAATATATCCCATAAGTCTTTATTCATCAGAATTAAACATGCCTCACCTTTTAAAATGTCTTTCAACGTTTACATACAAATTAAGGTATCTGTTATACTTCTGAACCTTAAAATAATTTTTATGTAAAACATTATCATTAGAAATGTAATAATTATATGACTAGTAATAAAAATGATAACAGTAACAGCTACAATGTTGATTAGACAGGGACTGGCTTAGAATCTTATATAACACAAGCCAAACTAAACTATTAATGAATGCTACTCAATTCTGGACCAACTAGGACTGCCTTCTAGAGAACTGGATTTCTAAAACAAGAGCAATACAACAATGCCACACATATTTAGATTAAAGATATTCAACCAGAGATGAAAATGTAAAAATGTATCCATTACCTTGTTGCAATTTCTACCATACCCATCGTAGTGGCAGCTTCTCAGTCATAAGAGCACATGCCTCAAGCTCTTTCTGCTGGAAGCTCATCAATGTGAAACTTTAAGCAGCTGCAAATAATTCATTTATCTTCCCCTTCCTATTACATACACAGTTTAACCCCATTTTAAACAGCTTAAAGTTCAGTAGTAAATGCTTGTGGCCAAATATAACCATAATGCTCAGAAAACAAATTATTTCTTACCCTCCAACCGTTCCTAAAATGAGAAGCCACAAAAGCAATTTATGAAGAAAGATATGTACATATCAAGCCAATGAGAATGTTTTTTCACATGATTTCTTCCATTTATTTTCTGCCAAAATAAAAATATAGATATTTCATAACATTTGTCAGAATGTGATGGGTCCTATGTATAAAATGCCAACAAATTTTAACAAATGTAGAAATACCAACTAGACTTTAAAGCCTGAATTACATGGTTGAAAGTGCTGAGGACAAAGCATTTCATACAAGCAATTTGGGCACATGTCTGGAGAGAAGAGAAGCTTGATATGCCTTAGTGGGGGAAAGCGGGGAGACTGGCTGAAGAAGCATAATGTGTAAGGGGAGAACGGTAAAAGATGAGGATAAAGAGGAAGACCGGAGCCAGTTCAGACATTCTGCATGGACTCTTTGGTGAGAAGCCTACATTTTATTCCAAGGGACACAGAGAGCCATCGGTGAATTTTAAGGAGGAAAATGATGGTGATAGTGATAGCAACTATGTATAGAATTGAGAAAGGCAATTAAATCCTAAATCCCAAGGATTGTTCCAATTGTTATTTGATCCCAGAAATATAAGTACAGGAATTGAAAATACAGACAGTGGTCAGTGCTTATGATGGCTGGTTTTATGTGTCAACTTGGCTAGGCTATAGTACTGGTTATTTAAGCAAACACTAATCCAGGTGTTGCAGTGAAGGGACTTTGTAGATATGGTTAACATCTACAATCAGTTGACTTTAAGTAAAGGAGACTATCCTTGCAATGCAGGTGGGCCTCACACAGTCACTTGAAGAACTTAACAGCAAAAACAGGTTTACTGGAGAGGAAATTTTGGTTCAAGAATACAACATCAATTCATGCCTGAGTTTCTGGCCTGCTGGCTTCAGATTTGCTAGTTCCCACAAGCACCTGGGTTGATTTCTTAAAATAAGTTATATGTATATACACATGTGTATATATGTATATATACACATATATAATCATATATATATGATTATATATATAAAAATATATATATATATAAAATCATAATAACTCTGTTTATGTAAAGAGTCACAACTCCAAAAATAGTGTTTTTCAAGATGGAGGTCCATGGCAGAAGTAATGTCATAACTATGTTGAATAAATAAAAGAGCATGTCTGTTTGAAAGTAAAGGTGAGCTTAAGTTTGGGTTTGATTGCTTTAGTCTACTTTTTAAATTTAGATTGTTTGTTCTTAAATTAACATGGCCACACTAAAATGAAAAATAAAGGAAACAAAGGTACTAAATGGTAATATAACTATTTCTACTTTAGTGTATCTCTTTATACATATGCATATTCAAATAAACATATGCTGTATGTGCAGTGTTATAAGTCAACAATGTATTATAAGCATTTGTGTGTTATCAAAGTCTTTATAACTATTTTAATAGCTGCATTATATATATATTTTTATATATATATATATATTTTTTTTTATATGGAGTCTCACTCTGTCACCCAGGCTGGAGTGCAGTGGCATGATCTCAGCTCTCTGCAACCTCCACCTCCTGGGTTCAAGCAATTCTCCTGCCTCAGCCTCCCAAGTTACTGGGACCTACAGGTGCATGCCACCACACCCAGCTAATTTTTAATTTTTAGTAGAGACAGGGTTTTGTCATGTTGGTCAGGCTGGTCTCGAACTCCTGACCTCAGATGATCCACCTGCCTTGGCCTCCCAAAGTGCTGGGATTACAGGTGTGAGCCACCGTGCCCGGCTCCATTATATTCTATTGATTAAATATATCAAAACTTAAGCCATCCCTTATGGAATATATACATTGTTCTCACTGTTACTATCATAGTAACTATCACCATTATCACCTTTTACAATATTTGGGCTCGTTTCACCTAAAAAAAAAAATCCTGGAGAGAGAATTTTGGAGTCAGACATGATTAATATTCAGCCAGTGTGCACTAGTACAGCTGTATGGTGTTATAATGTATTGAAATGTTCTCATAAAAGTTCATAAAGAGCCACTGTCCACTACCCTTTAAGTATCCCCATTCCCCTCCCTTGGAACCACTCTGACATTTCGAGGATCCCAAAACTCCAGGCTGAACACCTGACTGCCCCATAACCAGGGTCCTGATTGGTCAATGGTCATGTTTTACTTGTTGCTTAAATACTTTGACACCTCGGGTCAGAGGCATTTATATAAGTTATGGCATTTATATAAATTAATTCAGTTTTAACAGTTAACTTACATTAATGTATTAGTATTGGTACTGTAACATTTAAGGAAGGATGACCTTATTTCAGCCAATCCACCCTCTTCTGATCATTCCAGCCTCTTCTGGGGCTAGAAATGCCTCATGAAGTTGCTATGAGATACTCCCCAGCCCCTACGCCACCTCCCCACAACACTCCACGCAGGTGTCTATTCTTGTTCCCTGAGATATTGCAAACTGGCAGGATCTCTTTCCTTGCCACTCCACTCCTCATCTTCACTTTAGTAAATCTTAATCTCCACAGATAGCCTTTTTCTTCTCTCCTGTGTGGGGACAGAGGATCTATAAATATTTTTGGATTTGTTGATGGTGCACAGTCTATATTTTTTACTGTTGTCCTAGAGATATTAGGGCATTGGAAGATCATTTTTAAAAAAATGTCAGGGCTCCTGAGGGATCAGGCAACTCTGAACTCCATGAACAAGCTATTTTTCTCTCTCTGAAGTAAACACTTGAGGGTACCTAATGTTGACAACAGAAAAAAATATTCATTTTTTACATTTCATGAAAAAAATGCACATAGGAAGTTCATACTGAACATGTTTTTTCAAAAACATTGTTTGGTCAAAGTAATCAATGAGGCAGGGTTATTGCACAGCACGATAGTCACTACTCGTGTAGCCGCTGCAATATACAATCTTAATTTAGCGACATTCAATTCAGTTTTGGGGCCGGGCACAGTGGCTCATGCCTGTAAGCCCAGCACTTTGGGAGGCCGAGGCGGGCAGATCATGAGGTCAGGCATTCGAGACCAGCCTGGCCAACGTGGTGAAACCCTGCCTCTACTTAAACACACACACACACACACACACACACACACACACACACACACACACACACACAAATATTAGCTGGGCATGGTGGCGGGCCCCTGTAGTCCCAGCTACTCAGGAGGCTGAGGCAAGAGAATCGCTTGAACCCAGGAGGCGGAGCTTGCAGTGAGCCAAGATCGCACCACTACACTCCAACCTGGGCAACAAAGTGAGACTCTGTCTCAAAAAAAAAAAATCAGTTTTGGAGTTCTTCCTATAGCTCATCTCCTTTCCTTTTTGCTGTACCTATTAGTTTTGAGAGTCGCTCCTAAAGCAAGAATGAGTATGACATAATTAATTAAATCATTAAGGAACAGGTGAATCTAGTTTGGAATGACTGGGGATTTAATCCTCAGAGAAGATATGTGGGGAAAATTTAAGATACTATAAGGCGGCTATCCTAGGAAGAATTAACATATGAAAATCCACTAAATCAAAGGTCAAAAATTGTCCTAAGATACTCGACTTAAAGTGAGATAGAATTTGCTTTTGTTTTTAAATGAAATTGACATCACCAAGAAATAACTATGATAATCTCATCAGAAACTCTTCAAATATTATTGAAAGAAAAAATATCCATTTAACAGTGAATACGTACTTAAGACAATTCATTGGCAAACAGAATACACAATCTGCAGGAACTTTGCAATCTACTTGGCAAGTGGGGCGATAGAGTTGCAAAGTTATAGTAAGTGTCAGCTAGGAAAGTAACTTAGAAAAGTGAGTTTTCATGTTAGTTGTGGAAATGCTCATGAAGTGAAGCCTGTGCTGGGCCTTAGAAGGTAATTATAATTTGAGGAAGTGAAAAGAAGGTAAGTGCAATTAATTTCTAGTTAATTAAATAAACTGAAATAGAAACTTATTGGGAATAATGAATGCTTCTCTCTTGTTCTAAAGAGGAGAAGCTAGGGATGTTGATTAGTTTCACAGAGGACATTGAAGGTTCGGGTCTGGAGTCTGGATGGTTCCCTCAAAGACAACAGGAAATCAACAAATGGGAGAGTGGCTGAAAGAAGTGCCTGGGGAAAATAAAACCAGAGTTTGTGTGCAGCAGGTCTAGAAAAACATTAGCCAAGTGATATTGCAATAGTCCAAGTAAGCAATGGCATAACTGTAACAATGCTTCTAAGCTCCCTAGGGTTAAAAAAAAATTCAGATAACTTTTCCACATTTGTCATCCGGCAGGTGGGAAAGGTGGTAAGAGAATATAAGAAAAGATAGTAAGATTTCCTTTTAAGAACATCTTTTACCCACTCTGTCCTACCTGCTCATCAATATGGGTGCTGCTCTTGGTACCTGGTCTGGGAACAATCACATGCAGATTCACTCTCTATATTTATCATACAAAAAGTCCTCTAAAATTTGATATTTTTTTCAATTGTAAACAATTCCATGTTTTCAAAAATATGGATGTGTAAGTGTTAGGACAGGAAACCTGCTGTGGGTCCTGAGTGCCCCACGCAGTCTTGCTAAGTGTGCTGAACTGCAAGGCCTGACTGTCCCCAGAGCAACTACTCTAACTAGTCACACAGGCAATCAAGTAGGTCAGGGTGGCCAGAGTGTGACCACTGTGAGACCATGAGCTCATGAAAGGAGGGAAACTGATTTGTTTGCTGCTTCCTACAAAAGGTGCTGAGCGTTTGACCCATGTTCCTCTTGTGTCACAATCTACTGCATGCCTAGCCCTTGCTTGGGCCCATCACGATGCCCTATGAGACTCAGAGACTGGGAACCTGGCACTACCATGTTGATGTGCCTGCTGTTTGCTGTACTGTGCGTAATAAGCTGTCTTTCTCTGATCCACAGTGTCTTGTCTATTCTTGTATTTATGGAGCAATGGCTTTGCTATCTTCTATGAGGTTGGAGATCTTCTCAAATAACAAGTTGGGTGTCAAGACGGACAATGACATTCTGGAAAAAAAAAAAAAAAGGCAAGGGCCAGGCTCAGGTACATGAGAAAACTCCCAAGAAGCCAGTAGCAAATGCTCTCATCCAAGTGATGGGCCAAGAGGTGGGGAGAATAAACAATCCCTCTCCTTTTTTGCTCATTAACAAACAGGAGTTCAGCCAATGAATAGAGGCTGAATGGCAGGATCAAAACAAGCTGCCCAAAGAGTACCATGATGTTCTTGATCTCCTATGAAACAGTGGCCTAGGAAAGCGCCCTGAACTGTCAGGGAGGAAAGCACAACTGCTCCCTGTTTTAACATCTGCAACTAGAACAAGCTCTGGAGTGCATCACACCTCAATACAGAATACTAAGATATCCACCTACAGCAAAAAGGAGAGGAGGGAAATCCAAGGCCAGTTTGATCAATGGACTGAGGATCTGTTAGAGACACAGCTAGCACATTTGTGTGATGAGGAAGCAAGAGAGATTATGCTCTTAGAAGATAAATGGCAGCAACTAGACCAGCTCATACTTGACCCCATGCCTCCAGCCTCTGGAGACTACTCAGTTGAGAAAGAATCTTTTTTTTTTTTTTTTTTTTTTGAGACAGAGTCTCACTCTGTCACCCAGGCTGGAGTGCAGTGGCATGATCTCGGCTCACTGCAAGCTCCACCTCCCAGGTTCATGCCATTCTCCAGCCTCAGCCTCCCAAGTAGCTGGGACTACAGGCGCCCACCACCATGCCCAGCTAATTTTTTGTATTTTTAGTAGAGACAGGGTTTCACCACGTTAGCCAGGATGGTCTCAATCTCCTGACCTCGTGATCCGCCCGCCTCGGCCTCCCAAAGTGCTGGGATTACAGGCGTGAGCCACCGCGCCCGGCCGAGAAAGAATCTTATTCTACAATAAGGCTTCCTACTTTGGATTTCTGTTTCAATGACTATGTTGAAGCCCACATATGGCGACCTCCCCCAAGGCCAGTGAAGTGAAAAAGGCCTGTATAGAATGACTTCCTCCATGGAGATCAATGATACTCTACTAGAGGAAGTCAAAAAGTGGGGTGGCTTCCTTAGAACCAACTATTCTTTCAGTACCTCCACTGCCTGACCCTGCACTCCTGAAGTCTGATTTGGTAGAGTTTTAAGAGAAGGAAGACTCAGGATGAGTCCGGTCTCTCTGTCCCCAAAAGGATCAAAAGTCTTACACCCCAGTGAGGGTACGTAGTTCAAGTCCCCTGTCCACTCATCGCAATAGACTCACAGTTACTCTGCTGCTAACTCACTCCTACCACTGGTGTATAATAGCCCATTGACAGTTTTCCAGCTATGGCCACACCAGGGTGACATTTGAGACAAAGCTATGCCATGTTTTTGAGAGAGCCAAGATATTCACAATAAGACTATGGCATCCTCACAGCAAAAGGCACCTAAGAGTGGGCAAATGGACGTGGTATTCAATACACATTTCAGACACTTACAATCCTGAGGCTGCTGGCATCATCAAGAGATAGAATAGACATTTAAATAGTTGACTGAAAAAGACTGCTTGACAGAACATGTTGTCAGCATTGTAAACAACATCTTAGACAGTAAGGACATTAAGTGCAGCTGTTTCTGACAAAGAAACAAGCCCTTTGAAATTATTGCTTAGGAAAATCAGGACTAAAGGGAAGAGAGGAAATGGAATGTAGAGACCAGATCTCCATATCTGTGATTCTGAGAATACCCAACTTCTTTTTTCCCATTGATTCTAGTGTCTGGGGGCCCAATAAGTTTTATTTTAAGGTAGCAATTAAACAATATGAAGTGGGTGATTCCAACCTGTTGCCTGAACTACACCTGATTTCAGTTACTGAGTATGACAGCTCACAGACTATGAGCATAAGCAGCTGATAGAATATGTAAACCCTACATTACCTCTCCATTGGCCCACTTGGACAATGATAGGGACATCACAGGTCATTACAAGTTCTATCACTTTTCCCCAGCCCTGATGACACCCAACCCACTGGACTGAGCAAAGGAAGAAGTTGCAGCTATTTCCGTAGGACAAACTTTGTGACTGTGAGGGAGGAAAAAAAACAACTCTGGCATCTAAGGAGGGAAGATCTTAGACCCTGAGAAATGTTGAGAGGAAAGAACATTTAATGTCCCTCACTTGTCCCCTAGATCTAGCCCCACCTGGCAACAATCATATGGTCTTCTTGAGTCAAGCAGCAGCTGTGCCAGCAATATGACTCACTACTGGGTTTGTTGTCATCTTCCACATGCTATGAGAACAGAAAAATTCATGTGGGCATGACTATCCAATAATTTTTTTGCTGTGTTTCACACTTTTGTGAACAGCTCCAAATGTGGACCTCTTCTCTCCCAAATGACAAACACATGGACTGTCACACCTTATTTCAATATGACTGGTAAGAACTCATGTGTGTCTCCTAAGGCCCAAGCAACTTTGGGTTATGCCACATATGGCAATCCAGTCTGTAACTACATGGTGACCGTGCCCATGAAACTTAACCAAACCCATGTAACAGTGATCCCAGTCAAGTTAAAGAACAAATCCTGAATTGGAGTGACCTGTGCCTTTATGAGTCATATGTTTACATGTGAAGGAGAGTAGGCCATGGAACATCTGCCACTGGAGAAAGAGGTTAATTTTTGGCCCATTTATTGTCTTCTGTAATTATTGACACTGACACCACCCCTTGCTCTACATTTCTTTTATGAAGACACAGAATAAAGAGGGCTGCTGTACCAGGAATATACTGACTCCTTATTCCATACAGCAGTTTAGGTACTGTTCCCTAGGAGTGAAATTCAGAGAGGCAGTCATCAGGAACCCATCCTTAAACTCAGTTACTACAGCTAATGAAACAGCACAAACCCTAGAAGATCATCAGGCCAGTGAAAACTCCCTTGTGTGGATCATAATGGATAAGAGACTGCCCCTTAGACTGCATCCTGGCTGAATATGGAAGAGCGTGCATAGTCACCTACGCCCTGTGTTGTGTTTGGATTAACGCTAGTCATATGGAACACTCTATGTCATAGGAAATGAAGCTAAATGGTTATCTGAAATGAGAACTGCTTGTTCCCCCTGGGACTTATTAAGTAGGCTGAGCCAGGGATGCTATGGTATATGGCTAAGGCCAATACGGCAGATGGGCTTCATCCTGCTGACCAACATTTTGTTGATAGTATCTCTAATGTGAAAAATTTGAGTTTGGCCAGGAATATATAAGGCCAATGAGTAGATTGTTGAGAAAGGCAGTCTACCATGGGCCCTGAGGGTCTCTTCATGTCCTTGCCTACTGTGCCAAGGCCTGGCTGTCCTCTAATGCTGAGCAGTTTCCATAGTTAATCACACAGGCAAATAAAGTAGTCAAGGCAACCACAATGTGATTATGTTGTGTCTTGTTGCTCCCCAAGTGGGAGAAGGATCTGGCTCGCTTCCTGCTTGCTATAAAAGGTGCTGAGTCCTTGGCCCTGTGTTCCTCTTCTGCAACACCAACCGCTGCCCACTGGGCTCATTGCGTGGCCTGTTGGATTTGGGGCCAAGGAAACCGGTACTGCCCTGTTGATGCTCTTGCTGTGCTGTAAATAACAAACTGCCTCATTTAGATTATTATCTAGCTTTGGCATTTAAGGAGTTGCAGAAGGTTTACTCCTTGATGTCCATTATGAGCATGGGACTTCTTTCCTGACAATAAATAAATGTTTGAACAAAACATATAATAAGCCAATAAAAAATGCCAGAGTGAACATGAGTCTCATTAGAGAACATATGAACTATATACTTAATATATATATACTTAATAAGCTTAAATAAGAAATTAGTGAGGAAAAGTAAATATAATCCTAGTCACTAAAAATAAGTATGTACATATATACTTGAAGCAAAAAAGAGAAAGGATAGCAACAGCAATCCAGATAAATCTGAATTTATCTAACAAACTCTAGGAAAAGTGATATAAAATTCATATATAATTAGTAAGAATGATTTATAATCAAAACAAATAATAGCAATGAAACTGTACTTGAAGAGAAAATATGGCTCTTGATTAATATTTTAACTTTATTTTCCTTAAAAAATTGGCTCATCTATAAGAATACCATGTGGATTCATGCAATTTAACTATTCTGGAAGAGTTTTCAAGTATTGAATCAAAAATGATAAACAATTCAATTTGCAAGAAAGCAAAATGAGTGGGGAAAAAATAATTGGTCTATATATTTAAGTACATTAAAAAATCCAAGAGTTTGGAGCAGTGGTGTGTTGGTATATCTTAACAGCCAGTTTTACAGAGAAGAAAACTGATTTATAGTGTTTGCCCATTTTCACAGTATAAATACTCCTGCTCCAGTTAATTTCAAGCTACCAACAATACATCACTGATCAAAATTGGGAAAAGTTATGGAAAATTGTCTCCTATGAATTTACACAAGCCAGCTCTAGCACACCACTGATTTGAGGTGCAATGGACAATATTTACAAGTAATACAATATATTTGTATACAATATATACAAATAAAAATCTTCCCAGTGAGCTTTTATTGCCCATAGAAACAGTACAGCTAAATGGAAAAAAGCTGAACTTCGATGACAGGCATATTTGGGTTAAAGAATCCTTCACCATTTACTATTGTGTGATCATGAGCAAGTTATTTCATTGTTCTTAGATTTACTTTCCCATGCGCACAACGGGAATAAGAGTATCCACCCTATATTGTTGTTAGAAGGGCAACAAGAAGAGGGAGAAGAAAAGCCCCTTCTTCCTTCCCCAGTCTTGCTATCTCCCTTTAGCACCACCTATTGGCTGAGACTAACATCAAGCCACCTGGCAAAGAAAAATAGCTATTCTGAAAAGTCCAGATCCATTATCACAAAGTAGGACAAAATAGGATGGGTGGGTTTAGATATGAGACATAACAGCTAGCATACTCGCCAAACTGGAATAGTGCTAGAAGAATGAGGACAGCTCCTGAGACTTCAGGAGCTAGGAGCAGAGACTGAAATACTGACAGCATCCTGCTTCTCCAGCTCCCGCCTTCCTTCTCTCTGCATCACCCTTTATTCCACCATGGATCAGCTTCTGCATGAGTCAGAGATCATGCACATTGTCATCATCCGGGATCACACTTTTCAACCATCAAGACCAAGTGGAGGTTGGGGATTGGGAGGAAAACTTCTCCTACAGCTTTATTATATATAGCAGCCCTCCCTCCTTCAATGAATTTTTGTGATCAAGAAGGTGCAAAACTGTGGTGCCTCACGTGACACAGGCCCATTCCTGGAGGGGAGAAGTAAGGAGCTATAAGTCTAGCTCCCACAAGAAGCACATGGGTGAAATAGAAGAAAGAAGGGTTACCCCAAAAGAAGGGGCAAAGAAAGACAAAACAACAAATATCCATGACCAATATTTCAAAAGTTTCATTTTATGCCTTTTTTTTTTTTTTTTTGGCTTCGGGCCATTATCTAAGATCCTATGAACAAAGTAGAGGGTCAAGTTGCAAGTCTAATACTGAAAAAGACAATTCTGCTCCTGCTCCTGCACAGCCAACTTGTTCACTGTGCTTGAGGTCCTCTGCTTTCATTTCAGCAATGACTGAAATTACATAACCAAGGGATGGTGGTGGACACGATGAGGAGTCACAGTGTGATGAGTCATAATGCTGGTTAGGTTTCACTGCTGCAGCTTCTTAAAACCAGAAGAAAAAGGATTTGAAAAGCAAGTTAAATTTTATGAGTAGATGTTGGTTTTAAGTTTAACATCTTCTCTCTAGAGAACCAACAACAATTACAACAAAGGGTTTTTATTCAAGAAGAGAAATATATACTACTATGGTACTTGGTTTAAGGTCCAATTTATTAAATTCCTATATCTGATAAAAGCTTTGAAAACCAATTTTTGTTCAGATGCTGATTATACATTTCATTAATTAAATTCCCTCAAGTAATTTTAACTGTAGTTACAAATTTAGTATGGTTGATTCTTCTGAATATATCGAGCATGTTAAACAGCAATTCATGTACAAAAACAGTAAGTACAAAACTTAATACCTTTACATTAAAGCTAGTTATCAAAATTCTAAAATGGGTTTAATCGTGTTTCTTATTTTTAGACTTATTTTGACACATTGCTAGTGCTCCCATTTTTGGTTATTCTTAGAGTTCTGTTGATCTTGCCAGACCCAGAAGAAAAATAATGGTCTCACACAAGTCAAGGGTGCAGATTCTGAGTTATTGGCTACATGACCCTGGATCTGTATCTTAGGTGTGATTATAAAGGCTATGGTGATTCTAACAGATGACACTGAGCATCACAGGATGAATCCTGTTGTATAATAAATGTTTTAGCTTTCAAGTTTATGAAAATTGACATCTTTTTGAAAATTATGTATTTTTAAATTTTTGGATGTCCTGGTCCCTAATCTATTGTCTGTCACTATGATATATGGGCCTAGTCTCCTGACATTATTTCAAGAGTATATATTTCTTTTATTGTTGTTGTTGTTGTTACA
Source organism: Homo sapiens (assembly GCF_000001405.40). NCBI lineage: Eukaryota > Metazoa > Chordata > Mammalia > Primates > Hominidae > Homo > Homo sapiens. The sequence continues at coordinate 46,961,037 of NC_000013.11, read as the reverse complement.
GAGTCTCACTCTGTCACCCAGGCTGGAGTGCAGTGGCGTGATCTCGGCTCAGTGCAACCTCTGCCTCCTGGGTTCAAGCAATTCTCCTGCCTCAGCCTCCTGAGTAACTGGGAATACAGGCGCCCGCCATCACACCTGGCTAATTTTTGTATTTTTAGTAGAGACAGAGTTTCACCATGTTGGCCAGGCTGGTCTTGAACTCCTGGCCTCAGGTGATCCACCCACCTCGGCCTCCCAAAGTGCTGGGATTATACGTGTGAGCCACTGCACCCGGCCTTAAGAGTATGTATTTCTTACCAGACTTTTTTAGTCTAATTACTGGAGCCATCTAGGGCAGGGATATCTAAACTTTTGGCTTCCCTGGAAGAAGAATTGTCTTGAGCCACACATAAAATACACTAACACTAAAGATACCTGATGGGCTTTTTAAAAATTGCAAAAAAATCTCATAATGTTTTAAGAAAGTTTGTGAATTTTTGTGGGCCACATTCAAAGCCGTCCCAGGCAACAGGTTGGACAGGCTTGATCTAGGGCTTAATCTCTATGAACAGCTAACTTCTTTAGAAGATTAGGCTGATTTACTTACTGTAGACAAAAATTTAAAAATCTCCATTCTTCTTCATCAACGGGCCTGATTAATTTTTCACCCAATTTACTAGGTTATTGTAGATGATTACCAGTGCTAATCAGTACTCCCTGTTCTTTATAATAGAGTTCCTACTTTGTACAGAAATTCTTTCTTGCTTACACAAATAAAAGTATATCTATACTTCGTTAAAATAGATTAATAGAAGAACCAGAATACCAACATACAATATTACTTCTGCTATAAACTCAGTAAAAATTTTTAAATATCCAAGTACATACAAGTTTACTGTATAGAATAACTATCGTTTATATACTTAATAGTGACCTGTTTTACTTGTAGTATGAATTCATGACTTTATGCAGATGCAAATTTATAAGTATTGTTATCATTATTTGATGCTTATAAGTCTTTTTCTTTTTCTTCTTAAATAGAGATGGGGTCTTGTCATGTTGCCCAGGCTGGTTTCAAACTCTTGGACTCAAGCGATCCTCCCACTTTGGCCTCCTGAAATGTCGGGATTACTGGCATGAGCCACAACACCTGGCCAGGAAGTCCCTTAAGCAGACTTTTTCACTTTTTTTTTTCTTTTTTACTGCCCCTTACATTTTTGAAAGAATTCTTGCCTCCTGACAACAGGATAATTGAAACTGTACTCAAATATCTTGATTTGTTTTCCCACCCTAAGGCAGGAAGTCAAATACCTCCAATGAGACTTGGTCCCTTTTATGTAGAGAACAAAATTAGAGACGAAACAAAATCTGGGCCCTAAGGGCACACTAAGAAAAGCATGATGGGCAAATGACATAAAAAGTGCTTTTGGACTTCTTTTAATAATATCTGAGCTAGAAAAATGTATGTGTATTTAAAAGTATGACTTTCTGCTCATTTTTCCAATTTACTATGTTTTTATTCTCTTATTTACATTATTTTGTCAACCACTAGAATTTTCTCCTACATTGACACCAAGATCTCAAAAGCTCAGCAGAGACCTTCAAAAGAGAGCAAAAGTTTACAATTCAATATTGTTTTTACATCCAAAGAGTATTTACACATAGCAAACTAAAAGTAGTGTTAGAAGGGTTTGTGAAGCAAAATTATACCACAGAAGTTAAGAGAATTAGAAAATAAAGTATGGTTCATGATTCTGGATAGGAGGATTACTGTAATTGTGAGCCATCCATGTCTATGCTCCTAGATAGGGAATTGCCACACTTACTTCTTTGAAAAAATGTAAGGCACTAGAAGTTGAAGGACTGACTAGAGAGAAAACAAGGTATTTCATGAAACTAAGCCAGTTTTATGAGACCACAGATAACTGTGCTAGGTAAATCAGTCCTACTTAAAGCCAATTTCTAAGTATTCGTATATTACAAAAAATATTTATTACAAAACCATCTGTTGGTTGAAACTATTTTAGTTCCATGAATGACTCAACTATGTGCTATTATAAATACATATGTGTGTGTGTGTATATATATATATAGAGAGAGAGAGAGAGAGACTGAGTCTTGCTCAGTCGCCCAGGCTGGAGTGCAGTGGCGAGATCTCGGCTCACTGCAACCTCTGCCTCCTGGATTCAAGCCATCCTCCTACCTCAGCCTCCCGAGTAGCTGGGACTACAGGCATGTGCCACCACACCCAACTAATTTTTGTATTTTTAGTGGAGATGGGGTTTCACCATATTGGCCAGGCTGGTCCCAAACTCCTGACCTCAAGTGATCCACCCACCATGGCCTCCCAAATTGCTGGAATTACAGACATGAACCACCATGCCCGGCCTCATTAAATATTCTTAAACATCACAAAATTTTATACAAGGAAGATGGAAGCAGTGGCAGCATAGTTTTTGAATTTATTTAAATCCCACGAAAAAAAAAATAGACAACTAGAAAAGACAAAAACAGATGCGCAATATCTTCAACAAACTGAGGTGACAAGGTATCCTCACCCATTCCAAAATACAGGCAGACGTGGACAAACCTTCACTAGCTATAAGACAGGCACCGCATGTGTGCCAGGGAAAAGATGGGGGAGCAAGGAGGCATCCTACGGCCCTAAGAGCCCCAAAACAGCCAGTAAGAGTTCACTGGAAATTTCAGAGGAACAATGTGAGAATCGCAGCTGAAACCGTGTGGGTTTTGCATCGTCCAGGGGTGGGTCAAAACTAATCTCCAAAGCTCCTTTCCAGGCTGAAGCCCAACACTAAGGATGAAGTGCTGGGAATAAAATCAAAATTGAGAAACATGAGACTATCAGAGAAAAAGGAAAGAGCTCTGTTCTCATCCCTCCATTAAAAAAAAAATGAGGGGATGAGAACATGTAAATGAATACATTTTTTTTAAATGGGGATGAGAACAGAACCAGGAGATCTAGGAAAGTAAATGGTCATATTTTTTAACACTACACACAACAAAAGAATTTGCTTTCGAGTGTAAAGTTAGAAAAGTTACCTTAACTCCTCCTTCTAAACTGTAAGAAAACAAATTTCATTAAAAAAATCAACAGAAAAGACATGAGGCTAATGCCATACTAAGTTAATATAAGAAAAAGGGGAAAATGAACATACACAATCTGTAGCACTAAGGTCAATATGACCAGGAAGCACCAACTGAGGATTTGCCAAGTGAGACATAAGGAATGTTGATTGTCAGGAAGACAGTTAATATACTTTTTAAGTTGCAGACGTAGAAATAATGTGTTACACCTGTAAAGTGCTTTACACATCTACATAACTTTAAAATTTGGTCAGGCATTTGGAGTTAATCATAAATGAATTAAGAATTATTCTCACCATTTTATAACTGGGAAAACTGAGGCTCACAGAGAGTAAGACTTTTTCTAGATCACATTGCTTGAATTGCTAGAATAAATGTATGCCATAAAGGCATGCTCAAAAATACATAAAAATTAGAATCTAATATTTCAAAATGAGCCGAATTCATTAGAAAAAAATGATAAAAGTCATGAAGATCGATACAAATCAGAATGGGAAAAACTCAAATGAGATGATAGAATTCAGAACAGAATTGGAAATAAAAGAATAATTTCAGAAAAGAACATTAAACTAGAAAGAAGAATTAAAAGTAGACATAAAAGATGTAGAAGGTAAAAGGGAGAGGAATTTTAAAAATCACAAAAGTATAAAGGGATGTGAGGGCAATCTGGCTGCAACATCTATCACCCCATTTATGGCCAGAGTTGATTGGGCTGAAAAGAGGATGACCTTCCTCAATAGAGGAGGACCATTCTTTGCTCAAGGGTATATGAGTAGCTGTACTCCCCTACTAGAAATTCCAAACAAGCTCTCAAAAACATATGAAGTCAAAACAATGAAATACCACCACACAGCTATTAGAGTGAGAAAATCCAAAACACTGACAACCCCAAATGCTGGCGAGGTTGTTGAACAGCAAGAATTCTCATTTATTGCTGGTGGAAATGCAAAATGGCACAGCCACTTTGGAAGACAGCTGCTCAGTTTCTTACAAAACTAAACATGCTCACCATAGAATCCAGCAATCATACTCCTTTATTCATAGCTTTATTCATAATTGCCTAAAATTGGAAGCAACTGAGATGCCTTCCAGTAGGTGAATGAATAAACAAACTGTGGTACGTTCAGACAATGGAATATTTTCAGCATAAAGGAAATGAGCTCTTAAGTCATTAAAAGACATAAAAAAAGATGTGAATGCATATTACTGAGTTAAAACAGCCAATCTAAAAAAGCTACATACTGCATGATTCCAAATATATGGTATTCTGGAGAAGAAGGTAAAACTACAAAGATAGTAAAAGATCAGTGGTTGCTAGGGGTTCCAAAGGCTTCCCCAAAAATGGCAAAGCATGAAGGATCTTTAGGGCAGTGAAACTCTTTGTATGATACTGTAAGGGTGGACATATGTCATTACACATTTCTCCAAACTCAGAGGATGTACAACACCAAGAATCTTAATGTAAATTATAGACTGTGGACAATGATGATGTGTTGATGTAGGTTCATCAGTTATAACAAACGCACCACACTGGTGGGGGATGTCAATAGTTGGGGGAGGTATATGTGGAGAAGAAGACAGGGGATATATGAAACCTCTCTGTACGTTATGCTCAATTTGCTATGAACCTAAAACTGTTCTAAAAAAAAAAATTTTAAGAAAAACTATGAAGAAACAGATAAAAATAACTTGAGAATAAGTAACAAATATTGAAAAGTAGGTAGAGGAGCCACCATTCCAGCAAAGGCAGACACAATCATTGTTCAAGCTCATACAGAAATATGAATGTCCAAAGAGGAAATCAAATTGAGAAAACAGAATACCAAAAAACATGATTTTAAAAATTCTGTAATTAAAAAACTCAAAACTACACACTGAAACCAAATACTGAAACATGTAGTATACCTGAAAAATTAGAACTAGAAATTACCAACACAAAGAAATAGTCTAGTAAAATTAGTGGGATTTAAGAAAAAAACAAACTTTGAGTATCAAAGCAAAAAAGCGACATCACTTACAGAGAAATTATATTTTTATCAGACTTTTCAACAGCAATGCTTTACACCAAAGGAAAATAAAGCAGCATTTAAGATATCAAAAAAAAATGTAAAACAAAGATTTTATACCCAAACTGCCATGCAAATATGACCACATGAAACAAATATCAACATGCAGTAGCTTTGGGAATATTTTCACATTATTTTCCTGCAGAATCTACTAGAGAACAAGTTTCAGATAACCAAAATGATTAAAGAAAAACTGACAAAAGGATGGGTAATGAGCATTAAATAGAAAAGTAAAAACTAAGACTCAATAATGTTAAAAAGTATGATAATAGAGTATTCCACAGCTATATGCTATGACAATAAAGAGATTCTGTAACTTTTTTTAATGGGGAAGAATGAGGAGAACATGTGCATAAAGAAACATTAACTGTTTTTATATTAATGATGGTAGTATTAGTGTGTAATTCTGAGCCTGTTGCATAAGTAATGTGACATAAGTGAATAATTATATGATATCTCAATCATCCCATGTATTTCAGAATCAAGATTCCCGATGTGAAAAAGAAGATTCACAGATTCACATGTAAGATAGAATCTATTAAAAAGAAATCCTGTATTATAAGTTTGACTTTTAAGTGTCATTTCTCAGTATAAAATATCTTTGTAGATTTTAGGTAACATTTTTCCCCCTAAATACTGTCCACTGCAGGCCTAAAAAAAAACAGTGTCCAACTCAGTATCAGTAAACACCAGTGGCACCTAGCTTATGGTCTTCAGAAACCATTTCTGCTAAAAGACGTCAGTGATCTTTGGCAAATGGTTGATAACAGGAACAAGAAATGTACAAGAACATGTCCTACCAGAGAGCAAGAAAGCCATCAAAGACTGGGGGCATATGCAAAAGATCCAGGGGCCAGATTAAGGAGGCCTCTCAAAGACAGTCAAATTAAGTCTTAATAAGGATTATAACTACATACTAATAATGTTTAAACCATAAGTTCATAATGGTATTTCTTAAAAGTGGTACCCTAATTGATCAGCAGTGTAAGATGATAGTGAGCAACTTATTATTTTAAAATTGGTAAATAAAGAATAAAATACATTTATCCTGTCTTTTCAATTATAGCTATACATAAGAATAGCCAAATAGTAGATGAGCTTAAGTTTCTTGTAGAAGGTTTCAAATGATAGAGAAAGAATTAGAGTATCATCACATTGCTATCTTAATGAATTACTGGATCTAACCTTTCAGTGGCAATGGCTACTAACATCAGCAGTAAAGGACACACACCACCTATGAAATGGTTTTGCCAAAAAATTCATGTCTAAGTTTTTATATCCAGATACAAATATATAGGAAATAAAGGGGACAGAGGAATATGCTAAGCCATATGTTGAGAATGCAAAATATAATCCAGACCGGGGGAAACACGATGGATCAAAGATCTCGGTTTTTTCAACAAATAAATTGCAAGCGAGAAAGGGGAGATGGAAAGAAAATCTGTACACTAAAGAGACTGTAAAGGAACTATTCTTCACTACACGAGCACTAAAATGTGTGTGTGCTTGTGTGTGTGTATATGTATATATACATGTATATATACATACATACATATATACACATATATACATATATATAAAATATGTATATGAAAAGAAGAAAGGGAGGGAGGAAACCAGAGTATTCAAGGTTGCACACTTTGGTGATAAAACAAAGAAGAGTGAAAAACAGTGATTAAAGTCAGGATAGTGGTTACTTTTAGAAAAAGTGGAAAGAGCATGGGGAATTGCAAATACAAAGTTGCACCATCTTCGAAGGTGACTAACACAGTTCTATTTCTTAATTTGGGTGATAGCTACAAAGCCATTTGCCTTATAATTCATGTTACATATTCATTTTATACAATTCTTTGTATCTGTTTAATTTTACAATAAAGGGCTTTTAGTTATGCGAGATATATATTGCTCTTTTTTTTTTTTTTTTTTTTTGTTTTGTTTTGTGGAGTCTTGCTGTGTCACCCAGGCTGGAGTGCGGTGGTGCAATCTCAGCTCACTGCAACCTCCACCTCCTGGGTTCAAGCGATTCTTCTGCATTAGCCTCCTGAGTAGCTGGGACTACAGGCGCTTGCCACCACCCCTGGCTAATTTTTGTATTTTTAGTAGAGACGGGGTTTCACCATATTGGCCAGGCTGGTCTCAAACTCCTGACCTTGTGATCCGCCCACCTTGGCCTCCAAAAGTGCTGGGATTACAGCTGTGAGCCACTGCGCCCAGCCAGTAAAATATATTTTAAGTACTTTATATTTCAGGCCTTTTTCTTGTTATTCTGAGTTTGTGAGCATACTTAATATGAACTTCCCTTTTCAAAGTCACAATTTTATTTAAAAAGTTACTATATTTACAGTCATATGCTTAGAATAGTGCACAGAACAGGGACTCAGGAAGTGGTTATGAAACAAAGTAAAATGTGCTGCCAATAGAGTAAGAGATCTAGAAATTTGTCAACTGAGAGCAAACAGAATATTCATAGAAAGATAAACTAATTTTGAGACAGCCTTAAGGAAAATGTGTTCTTCTCCATAGAACTGGAAATGCTTATAGGACAGCAGTCGGACAGAGCCACCATTCCAGCAAGGCAGATACAATCATTGTTAAAGCCCGAGAATGAACATTATCTTCCAAAGCAGCTGCACTGAGTATAATTTTTATTTTTGAAATGAAGAGTAGCTTTACATTAGGCACAGAGATCTATCAGACTAACTTTTATTACAAGGAAGCAATCCTCTGTAGAACAGAGAGCTCCCTTCCCTAGGCGGCAGATCCCCAAAAAAGCTGGGTGTGAGTTACTTCAAGAGCTCTGGGAATCTATAAGTACGACTGAATGTGTCATCCACATAAAATGTTCTATGATGGTTCAAATATAAGGAGGTGTTTTTCTATTTAATATGATTCCAATTAATTTAAATATATTATTTAACTCAGTTTCTGACATTTAGGAGATTCTTGTGTACATTTAGATTCAATATCCAGATTTTCTCCCAACTTTTTATTTTGAACATTTTCAAAGGTACAGAGGAGTTGGAAGAATAGCACATGGACACCCACAGGCCCTCCATCTAGTTTCATCAATTCTTAGCATTATTAGCAGTATATGTCCATTTTCTCTTGCTCACTTTCTTGTGAGCTTACTCAATGCTTTTATCTTGCTGCTACTTTTGTAAGTAAATTCCAGGTATCATTTCTCTTTACCCCTTACCTGAGCATTATCTAAAATTAAAATAAAAGGAATGTACCAACACAACCACTATGTGACTCTCATACCTACTAACATAATAATAACAGACAGAAAAAAGAGAGAAACTGACCATATTTAAATTTCACCAATTGTCCTAAAAACAATTTTTAAGTCTTGGGGTTTTTTTCTGACCTAAGATCTAAATGAGATTCAAAGAAGGTCTTTGGCTGTTTTTTCTTTAGTCTCTTTTAATATAGAATAGTCCCCTCACTCATTTTCATTTTTTATGACATTAATTTTTTAGAAGAGGCCAGGCCAATGGTCTTGTAGAATATCCCACATAATGGATTTGTCTGATGCTTCATTAACAGATTCATCTTAAACATTTTTTGCAAGAATATTTCAGACGTGATACTGTGTACTTCTCATGGCATTGCAATCAAGAGGCACATAAAGCCAGTTGTCCTACTATTAGGGATGCTAAGTTGGTCACCTGGTTAAGATGATCATGGGCACATGTCTCCACTTCAAAGTTTCATTTTTCCCTTTGTAAATCGCAAGTAATCTATAGGGTGATATGTTAAGACCATGTGAATTTCCTGTTCCCCAAAACCTTTGCACCTTTGCCCATTAGTTTTAGTATCTATCAATGTTATTCCCCTGGGGGTTAAAAGATAGCGATTTTTTCTTTTCTTTCTTCTTTTTTTTTTTTTTTGAGACAGAGTTTTGCTCTTGTCGCCCAGACTGGAGTGCAATGGCACGGTCTCAGCTCACTGCAATCTCCGCCTCCAGGGTTCAAGCGATTCTCCTGCCACAGCCTCTGGAGTAGCTGGTATTACAGGTGCCCGCCACCACGCCCAGTTAATGTATTTTTATTAGAGATGGGGTTTCACCATGTGGGCCAGGATGATCTCCAACTCCTAACCTCAGGTGATTCACCCACCTCGGCCTCCCAAAGTACTGGGATTATAGGCATGAGTCACCACGCCCAGCTGTGATTTTCTAACATTACTTATATTTATGTACTTATTAGCTGATATGTCATCAGTCAATAGATACGAATACAATGAGTGTCATATGAGACTACAAAACTTCAGTGAGACTGAAAGCCATAAATCTAGGCAGACACTGGAAATTTGGCTAGAGATCATGTAAATGTTCAACTTTCTACACAGCCTGCTGCACCATCTCACAGGACAATTAGTGTTTCTTGAAAAAGCTCTACTGATTGACAGCACTGCTGTCTGAATTATTTCAGAGACTTCATTATTGGATTTAATATGGTTAAACACAATTTTTTAAAAATAGAGACTCATTACTCCTGACACATAGTGTTAGGATTTTAGAAAGGTGCAGGAAATAACTAAAAGTAGGCTTATTTGGGCCATAGAAACACTAAGCAAACGACTGTACAACCCCTACTTTCATACATGCTGAGTGCAACCAAATTTTAATATTTGCTGTTTATCTTCATTTCCCTTAATTTCTGATGTGTTTAATGCAAAGACTACATGGGGCTATGTTGTTAAACTTCTGTGCAAGGCATATAGCTCTATAATTTGTGATTCCCTGGGACTTTCTTGAAAATAAGCCAGAAATTGCTGCAGGTGCAGAATTCAGCAGCTTGAAAACTGCATTCAAGGAGAAGACCAATTTCATTACATGAAGACAGGGTATGTAGAGTTTTCTATAGGCTTAGGCATAAGAACCCAACCTACTTGTATTTTGCATCGAATCAAGAATTTGGCTGGGCAGTTATAGCCCTGCCCCTCTGATTTTAACAAAAGCTTTAGTCAAAATGGGAGTTCCATCTCTAGAAATGTCTCCTCAGAGATGTACAAGTTTTGGAAGGGTAATTTTAAGAGTTAAAGATGTGTTAAATAACCAACTGCCTGCATAAATAATGAGCACCTCTCTTTTCTGATCTCAGGTCATCTGTTCCAAGGGAGATCAACGGTTGAAACACTATAGAAATCAGAGATTGTTAGGGTCAGTAGGCTGTACTAGGATGGCCTACTGTAGTATGCTGTGAGTATTCATTTTTGTTGTTTTAGTCAAATTTGAAGAATGGAGTAAATACTTGCAAATAGGAAACAATTTATAGGGATTATGAAAAGAAGGTAGAAAACCAACAGTCCTTGGATAGAATTTAAGAATGATTGAAATAAGGGAATGGATCCTGAAGACAGGCCAATTCCTAAAACAGACAATGCTTTGTGTTCTGTTCAGAAAATCAAATACTCTATTCTAATAATATACTACATATTATGTAGTATATTATGTGATATTCAAAGTATACTACGTGATACTATGTGATATTCAAAGTATATACTACACGTAGATTATGCATCATAACTCTTTATCATCTCATTTTATTGAAGAGGAAGATCTTCCTCACAGTAAAACTAGAACATCCTGAATAGGGATATCGCTACCACAAAGTACTCCATTAGAAACTGGGGAATTATGACCTATCTCAGGGCATCACGTATCTCTAACAAGAATTTTAAACTTCCTTATCTCTATCCTCTTCTATGTTTTTTTGTATGAGTTGCATTAAAGAATGTTATGCTTTCTTGGAGGAAAGAATATCACAAAGTGCAGGGTAGTTAAGTAATTCCAGAAGGTTTTTTAATTCTAAATTTAGTCTCCCTCTTGCATATTCCTGAGAGCTTCTGGCATAGCAAATTTTAAAAAATATAACCGTAGTCTTTAGTTCTCATCAGCTCTTCATTTATTTAATTATTGCTTCAATGTCTTTTCCCTTTTGCTAAATAATAGCCTATCTCAAGATGAGGACTTGTCACTGCTGTATTTCAAATGCTTAGCACATAACAGAAAATCAATATATCTTTATTGAATAAATGAATAAAAAATTAATAATCAATGCAGTCATGGAAAACTCAGCCCAGAAGTCACTTCTGACTTAGTCTGGGAATCCTCAGGCTTTTCTTACATAAATGTCAAATAATATTGATTCTCTTCCTTACAATATCTATATTATAACATCCAAGCACCTCCTTTGGGCAATTGTACCTCTCTCTGAAGCTCCCAGGAAACCCATGTCCTAGCCAAAGATATTTCCCCTCCTGAACACAGATATGGCTCATCTTAACAATGTAGATATTTCTCATTTGGCCATGTGACATGTTCTAGCACCAAATATGTGGAAATTTTCCCACACCAAACAATTCTAATTCTCTGACTCCAACTGAGTATCTAACAATTCAGTTCTGATATCAACTCCTGGAATTAGTGCAGACCCCATGAGTTAAGAGCTCAATCATGCCAGACTACGACTCATATTTCTGCTCAGCCAACTATAAGTTTGAGGGTTCCACAACCTTCCTCTCAGGTGTGATAATATGCTGTAATGACTCACAGAACTCAGGTAAGTAGTTTATTATTACCCCTTTATTATAAAGGAACACTCAGAAACAACCAAATGGAAGAGATGCACAGGGCGAGGTATGGGGAGGCAGGCACAGAGCTTCCACGTCCTTTCCAGGTATACCATTCTTTCAGAATTTCAATGTCTTCACCTACCTGGAAGCTCCCCAAAACTCACCATTTAAAGGATTTTATGGAAGTTTCATTATGTAGGCATAATTGATTAAAACGCTGGCCATTGTTGATTGAGCTCATTACCCAGACCCTCTCCCCTTCCCAGAGGTTAGGAAGTGGGGCTGAAAATTCCAAGCTTTGAATCAATTTTTGTTCTTCCTGGTGACCAGCCCCATCCTGAAGCTAATTAGAAGCCCACCACGAGCTGAATAAATAATGAATAAATGCTAATTTATTCGTTAGCATAAATTCAGTTAAGGTTGAAATGGACTTATTGTGAATAACAGAAGACGCTCCTATCTCCCTTATTGCTCAGGAAATTCTAAGGTTTTCATAAGAGCTTTGTGGGGACAAAGGACAAATATTTTGTCTTATTTTACCTCACCATGAATTGTCACTTTTCAACTTCCTCTTACCTGTAGTACACTGAAAGGGGAAATATGATCCCCTATTTGTGCCGAAATCCACTATTAAGCTATAGCATAGAGCATCATCGGGCTCCTGGATACCAATATGGCCTTAAGGCTATACACGGCTCATTAACATGACTCACTAGGTACCCAATATAGCCCCACCCCAGAAACCTGGTATGATTTCCCTAGCAGGAATTTTTCTGGAAGATAATTTATTAAGAGATCATATATCATGTGTTCCACATTTTCCCCTTCAAATTCCCACCAAATGACTATAAACCAGATTTATACATCCTGACTCTATCTGCCTTACAACAAGCTCTTGGCCTATCTAGGCCTATTCTTCTTGGTTGAAACAGCCCTGAATGCTGCCCATGAGTATCCTCGGGCATTTCTCTTTTTTTTTCAGTGTAGCTAAAACTTAAATAGTGCCTACTACATGCCAGGCACTGTACCCAATGTTTTACTGATACCAAATCAACCCTTAAAACAGTCCTTTGAGGTAGGCACCATTATTTTCTTTATTTTCCAGATAAGTAAAATGAGGCACAAATTAGTTAAGTAACTCGTCCAAAGTAATACAGGTAGTGAGTAGGGGAGGCAAGATTCAAATCCTGGCAATCTGGCAGCAGAATCCAAGCTCCTAAACCACTAAGATATTAGACCAGGTTCTACCATGGGGATCATGGCACTTGCATGCAAATTAAACCTTCCATGTTCTACTGAGTGGTTGTAAGAAGGAAACTCAGGTTTTTTTTCTCTTGCCCAGATTCCCAATGAAGGAGCCTGGAGGATTATACCCTACAAACCATAAAAATCTCATTAGATGAGTTTTTTTTTTTTTTAATGAACCCAGTATTACCTGACTGACTTTGCAATCTGACTCTGATATAACATCATACGACAAATAAAGACCCTGATTATTTTTTTGATTATTTGGTCCTGATTATTTATTTTCAAATGGTTGCCTCAAGGGCAACAGACTGAAATGGCCTTGCAAACCTGTCTTTTGTGGGGGAAATTTGCATCTGTAAAGAATCTCCATTAATGTAGTCATGACTTCCCTTTCTAGGCCTTTCCTAGATCTAGGGGAGATTGAGTCTGACACCTTTCAATGTCTGAAAAGAGACTTTCACCATCTGTTCTCTCTGAGGGCTGCTACCTATGAGGCTTCATCTACATAACAAGGCCACCTTTGCTAGCGAAGCCTCTTCCTTTCTCCTTCCCATAACTCTTCTTGCTGCTAAAACCTGTTTTTGGCCATGATCTGAGCTTGCATTTATTCTGTAACCTCGGGATGATATATAAGCTTCCGAACCTCATTGACAGGTGGTGTTTTCATTCTGAAGGCTGTGTACACATTAATAGGAAAAAAAGGCATACAAATTTATTTAATCAATCTATCTCATATCAGTGATTTTCAGCAAACATTCAGAGGGCCAAAGGACCCTACAACCCCATTAACTTAAATCAAGCACACTTTTCTACTGACTTCAAGTCTTTAGATAATAACTCAATTCTCTCAAGCAATTGTCAACTGAAGGATTCCCACCTATGACTTGTAAGACCTTGCTTTGAAATGCCTTGCCTTTTCCATTCAAACCAATGTATAGCTTCCATGTGTTGATTTATTATTTTACCTATAATACCTGTCTCCTTGAGATGTATGTAAGCCAAAGATGTGAGACAAGTCTCAATCAACTTAGAAAGTTTATCTTGCCAAGGTTCAGAATGTGCCTGTGACACAGCCTCAGGAGATTCTGATGACATGTACCCAAAGTGGCTGGGGTACAGCTTGCTTTTATACATTTTAGGGAGACATACACATCAATACATGTAAGATTCACATTGGTTTCATCTGGAAGGGCAGGACAACTCAAAGCAGGGGCTTCTAGGTCATAGGTAGATTTAAACATATTCTGATTAGCAATTGGTTGAAAGAGTTATAATAGAAAGGAATGTCTGGTTTATGCCAAGGGGTTGTGGAGACCTAGGTTTTATCATGCAGATGAAGTCTCCAAGAGGGCAGGCTTTAGAGAGAATAAACAGTAAATATTTCTTATGAGACTTAAGGTTTGTGTTGATGTTAATGCCGGAGGGGTATAATGAGTCGTGTCCAACCCCCAGTTCCCATCATGGCCTTAACCAGTCTTTCAGGTTAAATTTTAGAGTGCCCTGGCCAAGAATGAAGTTCATTCAGATGGTTGAAGGGGGCCTTCAAATTTCATTTTTGGTTTACATGTATAAAATGAAACTGTATCCTGATCACCTCAGGGGCACTTCCTCAGGACCTCTTGAGATTGTATAACCCCAAGCCATGGTAATTCATATTGGTTCAGAATAAACCTCTTTTTTAAGCCTTTTCTTGTTTAGAAAAACAAAAGTACAGCTCACTGCCAGCGCTCATTTAATTTTATATGAACACACTCTGAAGCAAATCTGACTGATTTTCAATGTAAAAATAAAACATAAAAACTGTCCTTAGAGTTATTTCTAAATGGAACATCAGAATCATCTGAATCATCAGAATCATCTATTTCAGAAAGATCAGATTTATCAAATGAAACTCAGTGATATGGTTTGGCTGTGTCCCCACCCAAATCTCATCTTGAATTTCAGCTTCCATAATTCCCATGTGTTGTGGGAGGGACTCAGAGGGAGATAATTGAATCATGGGGCAGTTCCCCCATACTGATCTCATAGTAGTAAATCTCAGGAGATCTGATGGTTTTATACAGGGTTTTCCTTTTTGCTTGGTTCTTATTCTCTCTTGTCTGCCGCTATGTAAAACGTGCCTTCAACCTTCTGCCATGATTGTGAGGTCTCCCCAGCCATGTAGAACCAAGTCCATTAACCTTTTTTTCTTTATAAATTACCCAGTCTCAGGTATGTCTTTATCAGCAGCATGAAAATGGACTAATACATTAAATTGGTACCGGGCAGTGGGGTGGTGCTGTAAAGATACCTGAAAACGTGGAAGCAACTTTGGAACTGGGTAACAGGCAGAGGCTGGAACTGTTTGGAGAGCTCAGAAGAAGACAGAAAAACATGGGAAAGTTTGGAACTTCCCAGAGACTTGGAGGGCTCAGAAGACAGAAAGATGTGGGAAAGTTTGGAACTTCCTGAGACTTGTTAAATGGTTTTGCCCAAAATGCTGATAATGATATGGACAATGAAATTCAGGCTGAGATGGTCTCAGATGGAGATAAGGAACTTGTTGGGAACTGGAGTAAAGGTGACTCTTGCTATGTTTTAGCAAAGAGACTGGTGGCATTTTGCTCCTGCCCTAGAGATTTGTGGAACTCTGAACTTGACGGAGATGATTCAGGGTATCTGGCAGAAGAAATTTCTAATCAGCAAAGCATTCAAAAGGTAACTTGGGTGCTGTTAAAAGTATTCAGTTTTAAAAAGGAAACAGAGCATAAAAGTTTGGAAAATTTGCAGCCTGATGATGCAGTAGAAAAGAAAAACCCATTTTCTGAGGAGAATTTCAAGATGGCTGTGGATATTTGCATAAGTAACATGGAGCCAAATGTTAATCACCAAGACTACAGGGAAAATGTCTCCAGGGCATGTTAGAGACCTTCACAGCAACCCCTTGCATCATAGGCCTGAAGGCCTAGGAGGAAAATATGGTTTCATGGATTGGTGAAGCCTACCTAGGGACTGTGTCCCAGCTGTTCTAGCCATGGCTAAAAGGGGCCAAGGAACAGCTCAGACCATGGCTTCAAAGGGTACAAGCCTCAAGAAGGCAGCTTCCACATGGTATTGAGCTTATGGGTGGACAGAAGTCAAGAATTGAGGTTTAGAAACCTCCACCTAGATTTCAGAGGATGTATAGAAATGCCTGAATGCCCAGGCAGAAGTGTGATGCAGGGGCGGGGCCCTCATGGAAAACCTCTGCTAGGGCAGTGTGGAAGGGAAATGTGGGGTTGGATCCCCCACACTAAGTCTCCACTGGGCCACTGCCTAGTGGAGCTGTGAGAAGATGGCCACCATCATCCAGACCCCAGAATGGTAGATCCACTCATAGCTTGCACTGTGCACCTGGAAAAGCCACAGACACTCAATGCCAGCCCCTAAAAGCAGCCAGGAGGGAAGCTGTACCCTGCAAAGCCACAGGGGCAGAGCTGCCCAAGACCATGGGAACCCACCTTTTACATCAGTATAACCTGGATGTGAGACATGAAGTCAAAGGAGATTATTTTGGAGCTTTAAGATTTCACTGCCCCATTGGATCACAGGCTTGCATGGGGCCTTTAGCCCTTCATTTTGGCCAGTTTCTCCCATTGGAATGGATATGTTTATCTAACACCTGTACCTTCATTGTATCTAGGAAGGAACTAACTTGCTTTTGATTTTATAGGCTCATAGGCAGAAGGGACTTGCCCTGTCTCAGATGAGACTTTGGACTGTGGACTTTTGAATTAATGCTAAAATGGGTTAAGACTTTGGGGGACTGTCAGGAAGACTTGATTTGTTTTGAAATATGAGGATATGAGATTTGGGAGGGGCTGGGGTGGAATCATATGGTTTGGCTGCGACCCCACACAAATCTCATCTTGAATTATAGCTCCCATAATTCCCACATGTTGTTGGAGGAACATAGTGGGAGATAAATTGTATCATGGGGACAGTTTCTCCCATACTGTTCTCATGGTAGTAAATAAGTCTCATGAGATCTGATGGTTTTATAAGAAGTTTCCCTTTTCACCTGGCTCTCATTCTATCTTGTCTGCCACTACATAAAATGTGCCTTCTACCTTCCACCGTGATTGTGAGGCCTCCCCAGTCATGTGGAACTGTGAGTCCACTAAACCTCTTTTTCTTCATAAATTACCCAGTCTCAGGTATGTCTTTATCAGCAACATGAAAATGGTGTAATACATTTGGCCAACAACTCTTTGAGAACAATGTTAACATCATGTGTAGAAATGCTATGTTTTCTAGGATTTGACATCTTTAGCAATCAAGAATTACTATATTTTATAAATGGAAATACCACTAATAAAAACAGAATGCTATAAATAGAATGATGTGCTTTGTTCCAAAGTCAATATACTAGAGTAATGCTAAAATAATAATAAAGGTGAGATATCTTACGGCAAAATTATCTTGGAGTAAATGCCAGAGCCACAACCACCACTGGCAAGATATTCCTGGAGAAAATAAGAAAAGGGTTGAATTTTCTGTAAAGTTTTTTATTTTTAAATTTTGTAGGAACATAGCAGGTATATATATTTGTGGGTTACATGACATGTTGATAGAGTAATATAATGTGAAATTATCATATCAACGTTAAGTGGGGTTTCCATCATCTCAAGCATTTTTCCTTTGTGTTACAAATGATCCAATTAAACTCAGTTATTTTTAAATGTACAATAAATGATTGTTGACTGTAGTCACCCTATTGTGTTGTCGCATACTAGAACTTATACAATCAAACTATATTTTTTTCCTTCTTCTAGAAGTTGTACGATTTTATTTTTATATTTGTCTCTGTGATCCATTTTTTTTAAATTATACTTTAATTTCAGGGACACAGGTGCAGAACATGCAGGTTTGTTACATAGGTATACACAGGCCATGGTGGTCTGCTGCACCCATCAACCCATCATCTACATTAGGTATTTCTCCTAATGCTATCCCTCCCCAACCCCCCACCCCGTGAGAGGCCCTGGTATGTGATATTCCCCTCCCTGTGTCCCTGTGTTCTCATTGTTCAACCCCCACTTATGAGTGAGAACATGCCATGTTTGGTTTTCTGTTCCTGTGTTAGTTTGCTGAGAATGATGGTTTCCAGTTTCATCCATATCCCTGCAAAGGACATGAACTCATCCTTTTTATGGCTGCATAGTATTCCATGTTGTATATGTGCCACATTTTCTTTATCCAGTCTATCACTGATGGGCATTTGGGTTGGTTCCAAGTCTTTGCTATTGTGAACAGTGCTCCAATAAACATACTTGTGCATGTGTCTTTATAGTAGAATGATTTATAATCCTTTGGGTATATACCCAGTAATGGGTTTGTGGGTCAAATGGTATTTGTGGTTCCAGATCCTTGAGGAATTGCCACACTATATCCACAATGGTTTAACTAATTTACACTCCCACCAAAAGTGTAAAAGCGTTCCTATTTCTCCCCATCCTCTCCAGCATCTGTTCTTTCCTGACTTTTTAATGATCTCCATTCTAACTGGCATGACATGGTATCTCATTGTGGTTTTGATTTGCTTTTCTCTAATGACCAATGATGATGAGCTTTTCTTCATGTGTTTGTTGGGTGCATAAATGTCTTATTTTGAGAAGTGTCTGTTCATATCCTTCACCCACTTTTTGATGGGGTTTTTTTTTTTTGTAAATTTGTTTAAGTTCTTTGTATATTCTGGATATTAGCCCTTTGTCAGATGGATAGATTGCAAAAAATTTCTCCCATTCTGCAGGTTTCCTTTTCACTCTGATGATAGTTTCTTTTGCTGTACAGAAGCTCTTTAATTACATCCCATTTGTCGATTTTGACTTTTGTTGCCATTACTTTTGGTGTTTTAGTCATGAAGTCTTAGCCCATGCCTATGTCCTGAATGGTATTGCCTAGGTTTTCTTCTAGGGTTTTTATAGTTTTAGGTCTTATGCTTAAGTCTTTAATCCATCTTGAGTTAATTTTTGTATAAGGTGTAAGGAAGGGGTCCAGTTTCGGTTTTCTGCACATGGGTAGCCAGTTTTCCCAACACCATTTATTAAATAGGAAATCCTTTCCCCATTCCTTTTGTCAGGTTTATCAAAGATCAGATGGTTATAGATGTACAGCATTATTTCTGAGGCCTCTGTTCTACTCCATTGGTCTATATATCTGTTTTGGTACCAGTACCATGCTATTTTGGTTGCTGTAGCCTTGTGGTATAGTCCATCAAACTATATTTTTAAACATTTCCTCTTCCCGTAAATACCTTTCCTGCCTCTGGTAATGACACTTCTACTCTAAGTTCAATTGTTTTAATTTTTAGCTCCAACAAATAAGTCAGAACATGCAAAGTCTGTCTTTCTATAGTTTTATTTGTACCTATTGTTTTATAAAGAAAATGTTTTATTTGTACCTATTGTAAACAGGATTATTTCTTGATTTATTTTAAGATTGTTTGTCATTGGCATATAGAAATTCTACTAATTCGGTGTATTGATTTTATATCCTGCAACTTTACTGAATTTTACTGTTCAAATAGCTTTTTAGTGAAGTCCTTAGGTTTTTCCAAATATAAAACCATATAATCTACAAACAAGGATAATTTGACTTTTTCCTTTCAATATGGATGTCCTTTCTTACTCTTGTCTGATTGCTGTAGCTAGGACTTCCAGTACCATTTTGAATAGCAGTGGTGAAATTGGGCATCCTTGTCATGTTCTAGATCTTAGAAGGTTTTCAGTTTTTCCCTATTCAGTATGACATCCCATTCAGTATAGCTCCATACTGTCATATATAACTTTTTTTATTTTGAGGTATGTTCTTTCTACACTCAGTTCTTTGAGAGTTTTTAATCATAAAGGGATGTTGAATTTTGTCAAATCCTTTTTCAACATCAGTTGAAACAATCATATGATTTTTGTCCTTCATCTTGATACAATGTATCACAATAATTGATTTGCATATGTTGAACTATCCTTGCTTCCCTGGGATAAGTCTCACTTGAAAATGGTAGATGATCTTTTTAACGTATTGTTGAGTTCAGTTTGCTGATGCGTTGAGAATTTTTACATCAATGTCCATCAGAAAAACTGAGCTGTAGGGTTTTTTTGTGTGTGTTTTGTTTGTTTTTGTTTTTTGATGTGTTGTTCTGATTTTGGTACGAGGGTAATACAGGTCTCATAGAACAAGTTTTGAAATATTTCCTTCCCTATTTTTTTCAACAGTTTGAGTAGAATTGGCATTAGTTCTTCTTTAAATGCTTGGCAAAATTCAGAATTCAGTAGAGAAGCTCTCAGGTACGGTTTTGTTTTTTTTTTTTTTTTCCCCCTTTCTTTTTGTTGCAGGAGACTTTTTATTACCGCTTCAATTTTGTCACTTCTTATTGATCTATTCAGGTTTTGGATTTCTTCGTGGTTCAATCTTAGTAGGTGGTATGTGTCTAGGAATTTATCCATTTCTTCCAGGTTTTCCAATTTATTGGCATATGATTGCTCATAGCAGCCTCTAATGATCCATTCAATTTCTGTGGTATCAGTTGTAATGTCTTGTTTTTCATCTCTGACTTATTGGGTCTTCTCTCATTTTTTTCTTAGTCTGGCTAAAGGTTTTTATCAATTTTATTTATCTTTAAAAAAACAAGTTTTTATTTCATTGATCTTATGTACTGTTCTTTTCCTTTCAATTTTATTTATTTCTGCTCTGATCTTTATTATTTCTTTCCTTCTACTAATTTTGGGTTTGGCATGCTCTTGCTTTTCTAATTCTCTAAGATGTACTGTTATGTTGTTTCTTTGAAGTTTTTCTATTTTTTTTTGATGTAGGCACTTATATCTATAAACTTTCCTCTTAGTACTGCTTTCACTGTATCTCATAGATTTTGGTATGTTTCCATTATGATTTATTTCAGGAAATTTTTCAATTTCCTTCTTAAGTTCTTCTTTGACCCACTGGTCATTCAGGAGCATATTGTTTAATTTCCAGGTGTTCGTATAATTTCAAAATTCCCTGTTACTTATTTCTAGTTTTATTCCATTGTGGCCAGAGAAGAAAATACTTAATATATAAATATATATTTGTGTGTATGTGTGAGACAGAGTCTCACTCTGTCACCCAGGCTGGAGTGCAGTGGTGCAATCTTGGCTCATTGCAACCTCTGCCCTCCCATTTCAAGCAATTCTTGTGCCTCAGCCTCCCGAGTGGCTGGGATTACAGGCACGTGCCACCACACCCAGCTAATTTTTGTTTTTACTTACTTTTTTTCTTTTTTGTATTTTTAGTAGACACAATGTTTCACCATGTTGGCCAGGCTGGTTTTTTCTAATTTTTTAAGACTTGTTTTATGCCCTAACATATGATCAATCCTTGACAATGATCCGTATGTTGAGAAGACCGTGTATGCTGCAGCCATTGAATGAAATGTTCTGTAAATATTAGGTCCATTTGGTCTTTAGTTCAGAGTAAGTCCAATGTTTTTGTTAATTTTCTGTCTGAATGACCTGTACAATTCTGAAAGTGAGGTGGTGAAGTCTCCAGCTATTATTGTATAGAGGTCTGTCCCTCTCTTTAGGTCTAGTAATATTTACTTTATGTCTCTGGTGTTCCAGTTTTGGTGCATATATGTTTACAACTGTTATATCCTCCTGCTGAATCCACTTCTTTATCATTATATAATGACCTTTCTTTTTATGGTTTTTGTCTTGAAATCTATTTTCTCTAATATTAGTATAGCTATTTCTGCTCTTTTTTGGTTTCCACAGGCATGGAGTATTTTTTTTTTTTTTTCTGAGACAGAGTCTCGCTCTGTTGCCCAGGCTGGAGTGCAGTGGCATGATCTTGCCTCACTGCAAGCTCCACCTCCTGGGTTCACGCCATTCTCCTGCCTCAGCCTCCCGAGTAGCTGGAACTACAGGTGCCCGCCACCACACCCAGCTAATTTTTTTTGTATTTTTAGTAGAGACGGGGTTTCACTGTGTTAGCCAGGATGGTCTCCAACTCCTGACCTCACAATCTGCCCGCCTCGGCCTCCCAAAGTGCTGGGATTACAGGCGTGAGCCACCGCACCTGGCCACCATGGAGTATTTTCATAGTTGAAGTGTGTTTCTTCTAGGCAACAGATAATTGGGTCTTGCTTTTTCATCCATTTAACTAGTCTTTGTCTTTTCATTGGAGCATTTTGTTCATTTCCATTCAATCTTATTATTAAGTAGGGACATACTCCTGCCATTTTGGTTAATTTTTCTGGTGTTTTGTGATCTCTTTCCTTCTTTGTTCTTTTTAGTGAAGGTGATTTTTTCGATAATATGTTTTAATTTCTTGCTTTGTGTGTGTGTGTATCCATTGTATGTTTTTTGATTTGAGGTTACATGTGGCTTGTGAATAATTTAACACATTAAAGTCATGACAACTTAATAATGATTGTACAAACAAGCAAAGAGAAAACTAATAAAAACTACACTTTAACTTTTTCCCCCTGCTTTTTAACTTTGTTGTTTCTATCTTATTGAATATCTTGAAATGTTGTAGTTATTTTTTATTACTTTCTCTTTTACTCTAGTATAATTCAAGATATGAGATTACATACAATTACAGTGTTATAATATTCTGTGTATTTCTGTATACTTACTATTACCAGTGAGTTTTACACCTTCAGCTGATTTCTTATTGCTCATTAATGTCCTTTTCTTTCAGACTGAAGAATTCCTTTTAGCATTTCTTTTAGGCCTGGTTCAGTGTTGATGAAATCCCTCACCTTTTGTTTGTCTGGGAAATTGTTTATTTCTCTGCATTTGAAGGATATTTTCACTGGATATACTATTCTAGGATAAAAGTTTGGTTTTTTTTTTCCTTCAGCATTTTAAATATGTCATGCCACTCTCTCCTGGCCTGTAAGGTTTCCACTGGAAAGTCTGCTGCCAGATGTTTTGGAGCTCCATTGTATGTTCTTTCTTTCTTTTCTCTGGTTGTTTTTAGAATCCTTTCTTTATATCCTTGACATTTGGGAGTTTGATTACTAAGTTGAAATAGTCTTATTTGGGTTAAATCTTCTCAGTGTTCCATAACATTCTTGTACTTGAATATTGATATCTTTAAGTTTGGGGAGTTCTCTTTTATTATCCCTTTGAAAACCAACCCCCAACCCACCACCACACACACACACACACACATATATCTTCTTTAAGATGAGTAACTCTTAAATTTGGCCTTTTCAGGCTATTTTCTAGAAGTTGTAGACATGCTTCATTCTTTCTCATTCTTTTTCTGTTTTCTCCTCTGACTGTATTTTCAAATAGCCAGTCTTCAAACTCACTAATTCTTTCTTCTGCTTGATCAGTTCTGCTGGTAAAAGACTGATGCATTCTTCAGTGTGTCAACTGCACTTTTCAACTCCAGATTTTCTGCTTGATGTCTAAAAATTATTTCAATCTCTTTTCAATTTATCTGATAAAATTCTGAATTCCTTCTCTGTATTATCTTGAGCTTTTAAGTTTCCTCAAAAAAAAAAGGTATTTTGTATTATCTGTCTGAAAAACCAAATCTCTGTCTCTCTAGGATTGGTCTCTGGTTCCTTAGTTTGTTTGGTGAGGTCATGTTTTCCTAGATGGTCTTGATGCTTATGGATATTTGTCAGTGTCTGGGCATTGAAGAGTTAAATACCTTTTGTAGTCTTTGCAGTCCGGATTTGTTTGTACCTGCCCTTCTTGGGAATATTTTCCAGGTATCTGCCTTAGGGGGCACCCCAAACCAGGTAACAATGTAGCTCTTGCAGACTTTTGGAGGCACTGCCTTGGTGGTCTTCTATAAGATCCAGGACAATTCTCTGGATTACCAGGCAGAAGTTCTTGTTCTCTTCCCTTACTTTCTCCCAAACAAATGTAGTCTCTGTGCTGAGCAACCTGGAGCTAGAGAGGGGTGGCACAAGCACTCCTGTGGCCACCACCACTGAGGCTGTACTGGGTCAGACCTGAAGCCAGCATGGTACTGAATCTCACTCAAGGCCCACAGTAACCACTATGACTACTGCCTATGTTTTTTTCAAGGCCCCAGAGCTCTACAACCAACAAGTGGCAAACCAGCCAGGCTTGTGTCCTTCCCTTCAGGTTAGCAAGTTCCCCCAGCTCCAGACATGTCCAGAGATGCTGTCCAGGAGCCACAAACCTTAGGAATCTACCTGGTACACTAGTCTACTGTGGCTGAGCTGGAACCCAAGGCACAAGACAAAGCCCTTCCCACTCTTCTCTCTCCTTTCCATAAGGAGAAGAGTCTCTCCCCTTTACCACCACTGCCCCAGGCCTGTGGTGAGTACTGCCTGGCTAGTGCCAATGTTTACTCAAGGCCCAAGGGCTCTTCAGCTTGTGGTGAATGCTGCCTGACCTGGGACTCCCTCTATCCCAGGGCAGATTCAGAAATGCCATCCTAGAGTCAAGGCCTGGAATTGAGAGGTGACAGTGTACTGGCAGTCCTCACAGTCCTCGCTCACTCTCGGCGCCTCCTCTGCCTGGGCTCCCCCTTTGGCGGCACTTGAGGAGCCTTTCGGCCCACCGCTGCACTGTGGGAGCCCCTTTCTGGGCTGGCCAAGGCTGGAGCCCACTTCCTCAGCTTGCAGGGAGGTGTGGAGGTAGAGGCGCCAGCGGGAACCGGGGCTGTGTGCGGCACTTGCGGGCCAGCTGGAGTTCTGGGTGGGCATGGGCTTGGCGGGCCCCCACTCGGAGCAGCCAGCCAGCCCTGCTGGCCCCGGGCAATGAGGGACTTAGCACCCGGGCCAGTGGCTGCGGAGGGTGCACTGGGTCCCCCAGCAGTGCCAGCCCACCGGCGCTGCACTCGATTTCTCACCGAGCCTTAGCTGCCTTCCCGCGGGGCAGGGCTCGGGACCTGCAGCCCGCCATGCCTGAGCCTCCCACCCACTCCATGGGCTCCTGTGCGGCCCAAGCCTCCCCAACGAGCACCACTCCCTGCTCCATGGCGCCAAGTCCCATCGACCACCCAAGGGCTGAGGAATGCGAGCGCACGGCGTGGGACTGGCAGGCAGCTCCACCTGCAGCCCTGGTGTGGGATCCACTAGGTGAAGCCAGCTGGGCTCCTGAGTCTGGTGGGGACATGGAGAGTCTTTATATCTAGCTCAGGGATTGTAAACACACCAATCAGCACCCTGTGTCTAGCTCAAGGTTTGTGAGTGCACCAATCAACACTCTGTATCTAGCTGCTCTGGTGGGGCCTTGGAGAACCTTTATGTCTAGCTCAGGGATTGTAAATACACCAATCAGCACCCTGTGTTTAGCTCAAGTTTTGTGAATGCACCAATCGACACTCTGTATCTAGCTGCTCTGGTGGGGCCTTGGAGAACCTGTGTGTCGAAACTCTGCATCTAACTAATCTGATGGGGACGTGGAGAACCTTTGTATCTACCTCAGGGATTGTAAATGCACCAATCAGCACCCTGACAAAACAGGCCACTCGGCTCTACCAATCAGCAGGATGTGGGTGGGGCCAGATAAGAGAATAAAAGCAGGCTGCCCGAGCCAGCATTGGCAACCCACTTGGGTCCCCTTCCACATTGTGGAAGCTTTGTTCTTTTGCTCTTTGCAATAAATCTTGCTGCTGCTCACTCTTTGGGTCCGCGCTGCTTTTATGAGCTGTAACATTCACCGCGAAGATCTGCAGCTTCACTCCTGAGCCCAGCAAGACCACGAGCCCACCGGGAGGAACGAACAACTCCAGACGTGCCACCTTAAGAGCTGTAACACTCACTGCGAAGGTCTGCAGCTTCACTCCTGAGCCAGCGAGACCACGAACCCACCAGAAGGAAGAAACTCCAAACACATCTGAACATCAGAAGGGACAGACTCCAGACGCGCCACCTTAAGAGCTGTAACTCTCACCACGAGGGTCCGCGGCTTCATTCTTGAAGTCAGTGAGACCAAGAACCCACCAATTCAGGACACAGAATCAGGAACCCCAACAACCCTCTTGGTGTTCTACCCTACTGTGTCTGAGCTGGTACCTAAGCTGCAAGACAAAATCCCATAGACTCTTCCCTCTCCTCTTCTCAAGCAGAAGCAGCCTCTCCTCATAACAACTACAGCTGGGAATATGCTGAGTCACACCTGAAACCAGCATGCCTCTTGAGTTTCACCCAAGGTCCACAGGAAGTGCTACCTGCCTACCATTGCTGCCTATTCAGTGTCCAAGGGCTCTTTAGTCAGCTGGTGACAGAACTGGGTCCTTTCTTTCAAGGCAGTTGATTCCCTTCTGGTCCAGGGTGAGCATAGAAATGTCATCTGGGAGCTAGGGCCTAAAACGGGGCCTCAGGACTTCTCCCAGTGACCAGTCCTGTTATGGCTGAGCTGGTATCCATGTTGGAAGATAAAGTCCTCTTTATTCTTCCTTCCCCTCTCCTCAAGTGGAGGGAAGGAGTCTCTTTTGGAGCTGTGAGCTGTGCTGCCTGGGGTTCAGGGAGGGTGGTACAAGCACTCCCTTGACTGCCCCACCTGGTGTCTCACTAGCTCACATACCCCTCACAAGTCCACTGGACCCATGCCCAGCAAAGCACCAGGACTTGCCCAGGAATTGCAGTCCTTGTAGCCTAGACTATGTTCCAAGTTTAGGACTCCACAGCACTTTAGCCCACAGTGGCAGCACTTACTGGAACTCAGTTTCCAGCTGCTAGGATGGATAATTCTTCTCTAGCTAAGGCTGATCTGAATGTTCCTTCTGTGGCTGCTGGCTGAGTCCTGCCTGGTATTGCTTTCCACTATGACAAGGCAACGCTGAGCTCTAGTGCAAAGTCTTACAATCACTGTGCTCTGTCTCTCCCAGGCAGATGGATTCTCTCTCTGTCCACATGGATGCTGCAAGGGAATAGGGAAGGGGTGGCATAGGCAGTTCAAGACTGTCTTTCCTACCCTCTTCAATGCCTTTCAGTGATCTAAAGTTAAAACCAGGTACTGTGGTTGCTCACTTGGCTTTTGGTTCTTATGAAGGTGCTTTTATGTGTGGACAGCTAAATTTGATGTTCTTACAGGGAGGATGATTAATAAAGGCTTCTATTCAACCATCTTGTTCTGCCTCTTCTCAGAATAAACTTCTTTCAATATGCTTTTGCAGAATTTGGGTTTTCTGTCAACAGCTGTAAATATTAAATTATATAATATATATAAAAGTATTAAGCTATTCTTCTTGCAAGTAATGTTGGTTTCTAATTTCTTCCCTCTTCATTCTTTTTTCCTCCCTTTTTTCCTTCTCTTCTTTATTATTTCCTCATTATCAGCTCCTCAAAAAAAAGATTATGACAAAATGCACTGTTTTTCAATGAGAACTGCTGAAAGTGGGGCTAGGTGAGAAGTTCATCAAACAGTTCAAAAAGAACTCCAGAAAATAGCCTCATATCAGCTTCTACCAGATGTTAGAATCTTAGGCAGATGGAAGTCACAGAGCCTCAAGGGATGCCTGCTTTGTACAAGAGTGACCAGACTTCAATGTGGAATGTAAAATTAAAAATTGCAAAACACTTCTTCTTACAGATCTCTTCTTGAAATCAAGATAACACATCTCTGTCCATTCTACTTGGTTCTTGGGGGTCTTAGAAAACATTTTTTTATGATTCCATGGGGCAAAAAATTAAGTCATTGGGATAACATCTAAGCCTGAGAAGTAACCATCCCAAAAGACCTCCTGCAAACATTTGTTTCCACATTTGTAGACTGGCTAAATTTCTTTGGTCAAGATGTGCTTCTAGTTGGTTTGTGTGACAAACAATGCTTCTGTTTAACCAGGACTAATATCAGCAATCTTTTCTGTTGTGAATTGCAAATACTGTGCTCATATGTCCACATGAATTGGTGAGAAATGTCAGCCTTCTATAATTAAAGTATTATTCCTGCTTGCCATCTTGGCTGACACCTGAAGAAACAGTACCATCTTCATGTATGCTCACCAATCCAGCTCAGATAATGAGCCAATTAGCTGTCCTACCCTATCCCTGTCAAAAATCAACAGTGATAAAAGACATAGGTAACTAAATCTTAGTTGAGAAGTAGCTCTGAAGAACGATAGGAAAGTAACAGTTGGCAGGAAGAGTCAAAGACCATAATTAGCCTATAATTCAAGAAGGAAACCCTTACTACTTAAATGTCCAATATGGTATGTTGCAAGAGATAGGAGTATCACAGTGTTTAAATGAAACATAATAAAATAAATGGTTACCTTTGAGAATTCTCATTATCCACATGGGATTTGTTGAGAAAAAAGCTTAGGGTTGGGAAGAAAGCTGAGGCAGGGCTTGCACGACTGACACAATGTCCTCTGGAGTGTGTCTAGACTTGCTCGCTCCTTGCTTCTAGCCCTCCTAGGCTCCTATTCCCATTATGTCAAGCAGCAGAACATGTTCCATATAAATGCTAAACCATCACAGCTGTAGATCATGTGCCTGCTCTTTTGACCCCACATTCTCACCACGTGTTTCTCTGTTGGATTACCAATAAACAGTGTGGGCTCCCAGAGCTTGGGGTCTTCACAGCCTCCATGATCGCAATGGCCCCCTGTTCCCACTTCTCTCTCTCAAACTGTCTTTTCTCAATCCTTTGACTCCACCGGATTCGTCACCCCCATGACCTGGTGTTGGGTCTGGACACCCCAACAAGATTTCCACAGTGAGGTGAAGAGAAAAACCTTTTAATATTTCCTATTGCCATTCCATACCCCTGGCTCAATATTATTCACTCATTATCTAAAACAGAGGTTGGCAAACTATGGTTGGCAGGCCAGCCAGCTGTTTTTAATCAATAAATTTTTAATGGGACACAGTCATACCCATTCATTTATATATGTTTTACACCTGATTTCATGCTATAACAGCAGGATTGAGTAGTTGCAACAGAAATTATGTGACCCACTAGCCTGAAATATTTCCTATTTGCCCTTTAGGGAAAAAAAATTCAAGGTATTATCTAAATTCTAAGCCAGAGTTTCTGAATCTGGGCAAGATGGGGTAAACACTTTCCTCGCTGTCTCTCACTGAATTATAAAACCTAGACAGATTGGATGCAGAAGATTTTGGGACATTCTGAAAAGTAAATAGTGGCAGATTAATTGGGAATAAAGATCAAAATTCAAAGTACCACCCAATCAGTGGTGAATTTACCATTTTTTATCCCTCTAGTCAGAATTTCCACCACTTGGCCCCACATGTGGGTACAGATGCAGAAGTCCAGGGAAGAACAGGATAACTGAAGCCCCATATATCTGGCTAAAGGACTAAAGTTGTTTGTTAACTCCTGGGTTCATCCAGGAGCTGTGCACATGTGGATAAGATCTTAATCAGTAAATAAACAATTGAAAACTGAACCGCTCTCTCCTAACACACAAAGATCAACTCAAAATGAATTAAAGACTTAAATGTAAGGCCTGAAACTGTAAAATTCTAGAAGAAAACAGAGGGAAATCTTTATGACATTGGTCTTAGCAATGATTTCATGGATATGACACTAAAATTACAGTCAACTAAAACAAACCGGTGGGACTGCATTCAATTAAAAGGCTTCTAGCACAGCAAAAGAATCATAGTGAAAAAGCAGCCCACAGGATGAGAAAAAAACATTTGCAAACCATCTATCTGATAAGAGATTAATATCCAAAATATATGAGACTCCTACAACTTAGTAGCAAAAAAGACAAATAATTTAGCATTTAAAACATGCTAAAGACTTGAATAGACATTTTTCCAAGGAAGCCATACAAATGACCAAAAAGTATATGAAAAAAGTTTAATGTCACTAATCAGAGAAATGCAAATCAAAACCACAATGAGATATGACCTAACACCTGTCAGAGTAGAAATTGTCAAAAAAAGTAAAGACAAGTGTTGGTAAGGATGTGAATAAACTGAAACTCTTCCACACTGATGGGGGAATGCAAAATAGTACAGCCTCTATGGAAAATAGTATTAAATTTCCTCAAAAATTAAAAAATAGAACTACCATATGATCCAGCAATCCCATTTCTGGGTATTTATTCAAAAGAACCACAATCAGAATCTCAAAGAATTATCAGCACTTCCATGTTTATTGCAACATTATTCATAATATCCAAGATGTAAAAGCAATCTAAATGTCCATTGACAGATACATAAAGAAAATGAAATATTATACAAATTTTAAAAAGAAAATTCTGCAGTGTGTGATAACATGAATGAATCTTAACGACATAGATGAACCTAAGTCAGATAAGCCAGTCACAGAAAGACAAATATTACATGATTCCATTTAGATGAGGTATCCAAAATGATCAAATTCATAGAATCAGAGAGTGGAATGGTGGTTGCCAGTGGTTGGGGGGAGGAAAATGGGGAGTTACTAATCAAGGGGCATTAAGTTTCAATTAATCAAGATGAATAAGCTCTAGAGATCTTCTGTACAACCTTTTAACTATAATCAACAATAATGTATACTTAAAACTCTGTCAAGAAGGTATATTACATGTTAAAAGTTCTTACCACAATAAAATAAAATGTAATAAGATAAAAGAGAGAGTTGAACTAAAAGACAGATCTCCACCCAGTTTGGTGATCCCAAACTGACCACCAGCTGATGTGCAGATGGAGTAGATCCAAATAACATTGCAAGGCTTTTAAAACTGACTTGACATTGGAACCACTGCAGTTTTAAACTTTCAGTCTGACTAATCAGACTGCTAAAAAAAACTATTCATATTCACCACAGGATTAAACAAGACCCAGAATCTCACAACATAATATTTAAGATGTGTCGGATTTAATCCAAAATCATTTGGCATATGAAGAACCAGGAACTTCTCCATTCACATGGTGAAAGACAACCTACAGACATCAGAGATTAAACATTTGTTAGGATTATCTGACAAAGACTTTAAAGCTGCTATTATAAAAATGCTCCAGCAAGCAATTGTAAACACTCTTAAAAGAACAAATAAATAAACGACACAAAGAAGAACAAATGGAAATTTTATAACTTAGAAGCATTTTCTTGGTCAGTTGGGTAGCTATAACAAATTACCATAGATTGGGTGGCTTAAACAACAAATATTTATTTCTTGCAGTTGTGAAGACTAGGAAGTCCGAGACCAGGGTGCTGGCAGCTATGGTCTCTCATGAGGCCCCACTTCCTGGTTTGCAGATGGTTGTCTACTTGTTTTATTCTCACTAGGCTAGTTGTTTTCTGGAGAAGGATAACTCCAAATATATATAGTACATGCTACTCAAACTACCCTACTACCCAGGCACACAGATTGACTTTTTTATGACGAGGAGACTGCGGTGCAGAATGAGCATAATAGAACGTCATTAGGAAACCTAAGAGACCGATAGCTCTGTTTTAAGGCAAAACATAACACACAAGCTGATGTGGAGCATTTTGCCAATGTCAGATGTAGGAGAGGCTGGAAGTAACCTGGACCCTGGGCCTCCCCTTCTGCTTCACAGCAGCAGAGAAGGTCCCCGTCACAGCCTGGAAGAGGTAGGGGATGGTCACCTTACATGGCCACCACAGCCCTTCACACATGTGAAGTACCCCTCAACCTCAGTGTTTCAGAGAGAGAAGGCTGGAGTCCTGAGAGCATTGAAGGTGGAGAATGAATTAGAGAATAAACTCTCCTCCTAGTCTGTGATCCCCTTTTCCTCCTGGGGAAGTGCAGGTGTCATTGCTTAGATCCAAGTTACCTTGGTAATCTTCTCTTGCTGAGAAGGCAGGAGAACGGGCCCTATGTGGACTTCTACAAATCATGACCAGAAATAAGCAATTCCTAGTGAATAATGACTTTCCTCCATCTTTCAACATTGTCAGTGTGTGTATTCAAACACTATATCCAAATATTAGTGATAAAGAGTTTTTTGTTCCTATCAGCAGATTTACTTTATTTTTATGAGAATGCCATGGTGGGCTCCTAAGATGAATGTGGGTAAACTCACTAAGCAGACATGGCCTGCTTTCATAGTCCTGCAAACTCAATTACTCTACGTACATCTCAGCAGTGTGACCAAGATCTGAGCACATGCTGGCAGCCAGCATGACAATATAGTTTCCTTATTAGGAGGTGAGCAGACATAACAATCTGAGGGATGAAGCTCAGGGGAATATGTAGTCAACACACTCCTCAATTAATTTCCCTTCATAAAATATCTACTACATTCCAAGCGAAATAAAAATTGTATCCAACAAACAAAACATTCTTCTTTCTTTCTTTCTCTGAGGCAGAGTCTCGTTCTGTTGCCCAGGCTGGAGTGCAGTGGTGTGATCTCAGCTCACTGCAATCTCCTGGGTTCAAGTGATTCTCATGCCTCAGCCTCTTGAGTAGCTGGGATTACAGGCATGCACCACCAGCTAATTTTTGTATTTTTAGTAGAGACAGGGTTTCACCATGTTGGCCGGGTTGGTCTCGAACTCCTGACCTCAGGTGATCTGCCTGCTTCCCAAAGTGCTGGGATTACAGGCGTGAGCCACCATGCCCATCCCATTTTTCTTTCTTGATTAGCATTCTTGTCATCCAATAACCTTGTCCTTTAAATATATAATTTTAATTGTGTGCTGTAATGTAAGGTATCATTAGGACTCTTTCAGATACAACTGATAGAAACTCAAATCAAACTAGCTCAAGCAAGAAGAGGAAATCACTGGCTCAGATAACTAGAAATTTTAAGGGAGAATACAATTTGGGCATAAATCCAGAGACCTGAATGATGCTGCTCCCACTCTGTCTTGTCTTTGCTTCTTTTTGTTTATTTACCTCATTCTTTCCTGCCTTAAGCTTATAGGTTATTCTCCAAAAGGAAAAGAGTCATTCTACCTCTCAGCATCTATATTTAAAATCTCACAGGACTCTAATTCAGTCTTTTGTTGTTGTTGTTGTTGAGATAGAGCCTTGCTCTGTCCCCCAGGCTGGAGTGCAATGGCACAATCTCAGCTCACTGCAAACTCCACCTCCCGAGTTCAAGCCATTCTCCTGCCTCAGCCTCCCAAGTAGCTGGGATTACAGGTGCCCACCACCACACCCAGCTAATTTTATGTGTTTTTAGTAGAGATGGGGTTTCACTATGTTGGCCAGGCTGGTCTCGAACTCATGACCTCATGATCCACCCACCTCACTTCCCAAAGTGCTGGGATTACAGGTGTGAGCCACTGCACCTGGTCCTAATTCAGTCTTCTGATATCCTATGTGCACACCTAGACCAACACAGTAGTGAAAGGGATAAGGTCTCCCAATCAGCCTGGCTAGGTCCTGTGCTCACCCTAGAGGTCAGTAGGCAATAAAAGCAGGTCCATCAGAATTTCTGAACTCAAGAGACAGCAGATCCCCCACTTAGAGAGGGGAGCCAGACAGACAAAAGCAATACATGTCCATTTCACATGACCAGTCCTGTGTTTGGTTAAATTGAAAAGCATGTGTTAAAAGAGATGGTTAAAAAAATAATTTAAAAGAAAATAACAGTTTAAAGTGAAAATATTTTGTTATATGTTATTCTAATCTGCTTTTATTTTGTTGTATTTTATTTTTCCTCTATCCTATTTTAATCCTCATCTTATTCCATTTCACATTTAACACAGCTAGTAATGTCTTCTATCTCAGTACTTCCATCCCCCTCACTATGGAATCATTCCCAGCAACATACAAACATGTTGCAACATTTTCCTTCAGAAACAAGCTCCAGTACTGCATGATTTCTCTCCTGCTCTTTATAGCAAAACCCAAGAATGGTCTCTATTCACTACTTCTTTCTTCTTTTTGACCTTGCATTCTATTTAAATGTATCCTAATCAGACAACTTTCAGTCCCTACACTTCCCCGAAATTCCTCTGTCAACAAGGTCATAAAACGAGATCTATTTTGTAACTTTTATGGTCAATTCTCAATCTTCTCGTTGTTCATCATTCAGCGACATTTGACACCCTCTGGTCAACTTGAAAAACTTTGGTCTCTTGGATTTCACAGAATTTTGCTTTCCTAGGTCTCCTCCTATCTCAATGACTGCATCTCTTTGGTATTTTTTTTTTCTGAGCTAGCCTTCCTTCTTTTACTGACTCTACACTTTAGAACATTCCAGGGACTCCTCAGTCATCTTCTTCTCTTCATCTCTACAAACTCCTTAGGCAACTTTTTCTAATCACGTGGCTTCAAAGTACCAAGTACTCTCAAATTTTATACTCTATCCCTAATCTCATCTCTCAATTCCAGACCAATATATCCAACGTCTTATTTAACATCTCCATTTGAATGTCTTAAGAAACACCTCAAATTTAACATGTCCAAAATAGAGTTTAATCTTTGCCCTCCACCAGAAATACATTTTTCCTATAATTTTTCACATCTCATTAAACGGCAACTCCATCTTAATTGCTCAGGCCAAAAACTCCAGAGTTGCTCTTGACTCCCTTCTCTCTCACACCCCACATTCAGGGCATCAGCAAGTCCTATTGAGGTCTACCTACTTCATATATCCCCAAACTGAAGAGATCACTTTCACCAATACCAGCTAGTCCAAGCCTAGACCATTGCCACAACTTCCAACTGGAATTCCTTCTACTTCTCTTGCTTCCTACAATCAAATTTCTACCCAACAGCTAAAGCACTCCTCTTCTGAAGTCCCAAGCATCTTATGACCTGCACAGCTCTCCATAATCTGGTGGTTGCCTATTTCTCTAACTTCATGTCCCACCACTCCCTCTTCCCCTCACTTCCTCTACTCTAGCTACCCTGGACTTTATTGTTCCTTAAATATCCCAAGCTAATCACACGTCAAAGGTCTTTGCATTTGCTTTTTCCTCTCCCTGGAAAGTTCTTGTTCCAATTCTCATCTCCTTGTTATTCAGATATCAGCTCTAATATTATCTCTTAAGAAAGATTTTTCCTAGCCACTCTATTTAAAATACTTCTCACCCCTCACCATTCATCACCCCCATCCTCTTACACTGCACCATTGTTCTATGCACATCACTTGGCCAAGTGTTTTGTGTTATTTTGTGTATTTTTTTGTAGTCTGTCTTCCCAGCTAGAATGGAAGCTCTGTAAGGGAGAAACACAATTCCACTCTACTCACATCTGTATATGCTCAGCCTCTAGAGTAATACCTGGGTAACAGTAGGTCCCTAATAAATAGTAATGAGTGAGGAAAATGCCAGAAGATGTTTAAGAGAAACTGGAAAAAAATAAGGAACTGTCGGGGTAACTGGAATTTGAAAGAAGTTACAGAAAACATCCCTCTGTTCAATTAGAGAGTTTTTATCAGAGACAGAACATCTCTAACCTAATTATGTTTGCAGGAATCTAACTGATTTTTAAATACTGTTAAAAAAGCACAGCAAACACTGCAGAGAATGTCAAACTTCTGACAGGAAAATGACTGTGAAAATTCATCAGGAATATGCAATGAACATCTTATGACTGAGTAGGCTATGATTAAGAGGTTGCATCTTGGAACTAATATGCTTAAGTATTGCATATGGAATTTGATCATTTCCAGTTATCTTTGTAAATTCATGTTATGTGGTATTTCTCATTTATTATTAAAGGTTATTACTATTTATTGTTTATTTATAATTTAAAATTTGACTCAAATTTTTAAGAGAAATAGTCATTCTATTTTCTCATCTCCTTTTGTATTTAATTTGTTCCTTTATACACAGTCTTCAAACTGTCCAGGTATTGCTAACCTAGATAATTAGTATCTTTTCTCACAAATGGAACACAACTTAGGAAGAAGGTAATAGTTCTTGTATTAGGGTTCTCTAGAGGAACAGAACTAATAGGATAGATGTATATATGAAGGGCAGTTTATTAGGAGAATTGACTCATATTCACAAGGTGAAGTCCCTCAGTAGGCCATCTGCAAGCTGAGGAGCCAAGAGTAAGGAAGCCGATAGTTCAGCCTTCAGTCTTTGGCCAAAAGCCCAAGAGCCCCTGGCAAATAAGTCCGAGAGTCCAAAAGCTGAAGATCTTGGAGTATGATGTTCAAGGGCAGGGAGCATCCAGCATGAAAGAAAGATGGAGGCCAAAAGACTTAGCCAGTCTAGTCTTTCCACGTTCTTCTGCCTGCTTTTATTC
Source organism: Homo sapiens (assembly GCF_000001405.40). Classification (NCBI taxonomy): domain Eukaryota; kingdom Metazoa; phylum Chordata; class Mammalia; order Primates; family Hominidae; genus Homo; species Homo sapiens. Next base: position 46,924,990 of record NC_000013.11, on the reverse strand, counting down.
AGGCCATGTTGGCAGCTGATTAAATTGTGCCCACCCAGATTGAGGGAGGGTCTGCCTTTCCCATTTCACTGACTCTAATGTTAATCTCTTTTGGCAACAGCCTCACAGACACACCCAGAAACAATACTTTGCATCCTTTAATCCATTCAAGTTGACACTCAATGTTAACCATCACAGTTCTTAAAACCTGTAAGAGTATATAGTAAGCATCTCCTAGAATATCAGCTTATTCAAACTCTCTTTTCAAAGCCTCTGCTTCTGCTATGTAAGTTGAGTTGGTAGCAAGCTATGGCATTACTGCCCTTTCTGTAGACAAATAGAATAGGAGTGGACTATTGAGATGGTCTCTGCCCATAATTTTGAGATAATCTTCAAAAGCTCCACCAAAGGAACCTCTACTTCCAGGAATACAGAGTAGACATACTTTATCCTATTTATCCCTCTCACTACAACTAAAACCTTGGATGCTGTATAGATTTTGAAAAATAATAATAAGATGACCCTAAAAGGTGTAGAAGGCCAATTGGGTCCTTACAGTCCAAGGACCAACACATTAGTAATATCTTTGGTTTTTTGGGGGAGGTGGGTGGGATCTTATCTCAGATATCCTAAACTGGGTGCTTCAGAAAATGGCAACTAGGAAACACCAACAGGAAAAAACAGGAAAAGTCCCAACAAAAGACTCTTTCTAGCCAAAGAACCAGGAAAGGGGCAACCTAGAAAGATGGATAACTTTTAGATAATAACTACTCTACTAAAGTCAAATGTCACAGAATACACTAGATGTGGCCCCATCTAGTGAAGGCTGAGTGGAGAGCACTGACTGCCACACTTGCGAGGCTGTCCTGAGGCACTGAAAGCCCCCACACCAAGGTGGTGTCAGAGAAGGCTGAGTAGGTAGCCAGGACGTTTGCCTTTGCTGGGTGATAACAAGTCACTCCACCTCAGTGTTAGGGGAAGCCACGTGGGGAGCCTGGACTTCTACCCCCATGGAACAGAAACAAGGTGCCTTTCCTCTCCCCTAATGTGGTAGTGTCAGATGAGGTCCAGTGGATAGTCAGGATGTTCACCATTGCATGTAATGATGCCACCCCCTTCCTATGGTATCACTGGAGGCCCTGGGGGGAACAGTAATGAGGTGCTGGTGTCATTTCAGCATAGGAGGAATCAGTAGAGGCCTAGAGAGGAGCTAGAAGTCCAACTCAGCAGTAAAAATGAACCCTACCCTCAGCTGTCAATGGTGGCTGTATTAGTCCATTTTCATGCTCCTGATAAAGACATATCCAAAACTGGGCAATTTACAAAAGAAGTTTACTGGACTTACAGTTCCACATGGCTAGGGAAGCCTCACGATCATGGCAGAAGACAGGGAGGAACAAGTCACATATTACGTGGATGCAGCAGGCAAAATAAATAAATAAATAAAAGGGAGCTGTGCAGGGAAACTCCCATTTTTAAAACCATCAGATCTCATAAGACTCATTTACTGTCACCAGAACAGCACAGGAAAGACCCGCCCCCATAAGTCAATCACCTCCCACTGAGTTCCTCCCACAACACATGGGAATTCAAGTTGAGATTTGCGTGGGGACACAGCCAAACCATATCAGTGGCCAAGTGAGAAACCTGGACTTCTATCCCCACATGGCAGTAACAAAGCAGCATTCTCCCTTCCCCTGAATAAGCAGTGTTAGAGAAAGCCAACTAAAACAGAAGGTGTTTGTAAATAAGATACAGAATCTTATAACAAAATATACAAATGTCAGCTTTCAAGTGAAGATCATATGAAAAAATTCCAGAAACATCTCAAACTGAATGAAAATAATCAATAGGCAACAACAAATGACAGATATATTAGAATGACTCTGACAATTATTTTAAAGCAGCCATTATAAAAATGCTCCAAGGAGCAAATGCAAACATACTTCAAACAAAAAAATAGAGTCTCATCAAAGAAGATATAAGAAAGAACAAAATGGAAATTTTAGAACTAAAAACCGCAATAACCAAAATTTAAAACTCAGTGAATGGGCTCAATAACAGAATTAAGAACTGAAAACTATCATTTAAAAAATGTAAAACTCAGTGAATCGGCTCAATAACAGAAATGAGCCCATTTGAGGACAGAAGAAAAGAATCAGTGAGATCAGTAAGCTGGAAGATAGAACAATAGAAATCACCTAACCTGAACAGAGAGAAAACATACTAAAAATATATTATTAATGGGGCCTCTGGGACATGTGGAACCACAAGATCTAATATTCAGTCATTGGAGTCTGAGAAGTAAAGGATGAAAAGAAAAATGCCAAAAAGCTATTCAAAGAAATAATGGCTAGAAATTTTCCAAATTTGACAGAGGACATAAACCTGCAAGCTGAGTAAGCCCCAAACAGGATAAACCCAAAGATGACTACACCAAGATACATCATAGTCAAAGTTCGAAAAACGTAGAGAGAAATACCATCTTATCTGTAGGGAAAAACAATTCAAATGACAATGGATTTATCATCAGAAATCATGGGCGCCAGAAGGAAATGGCACATTTTTCAAATGTGATTATTTTTCAGATATGAAGGAGAAACAAGACATTCGCAGATGAAAGAAAGCTAGTGTTGCCAGCAGACCCACTTTAAAAATGGCTAAACAAAATTCTCTAAAATTAGAATATCAACAAGGATATAAAAGAATTCAACACCATTATCCAACAGGATCTAACAGACACTTATAGAACACACCACTGAACATACAATAATTTGAAAATACAAATTATGTTCAAGCACTCTGGAACATATAGCAAGAAAGACCATATCCTGGCCCCTAAAATAAACCTCAACAAATTTTTAAAAACTGAAATCATACAAATTATGTTATTACAACCACAATGAAATCAAACTAGAAATCAATAAGAAAAAGGTAACAGGAAATTCTCCAGACTAAGCCGCATACTTCTAAGTAATTCATGGATTAAGGAGCAAGTCTCAGGGACTACAAAAAAGATACACTGAACTGAATTAAAATGAAAATAAACTATATCAAAATTTGTGAGATGCAGCAAAAGCAATGCTGAGAGGGCAGCTTATAACATTAAAGGCAATGGCAATGAAATAAAACCAATGGCAATGATATTAATAGAAGGAACCCTCAAACAACAGGAAAAAAAATATGGGTAAATACAATGGACTTTTCTTCTTTTTAGTTGTCTTATGTTTGACAGTGAGTACAAAAATTATAACACTGATGAGGTTCTAAATGTCTGTAGAGGAAATATTTAAAATATTTATAAGTTGGGAAAATAGACAAAGGGAAATAAGGTTTCCATACTTCACTAGAACTGGTAAAATTATGATGCCAATGGACTGTAACAAGTTTTGTATACATAATATATTAGCTATAGCAACTACTAAAAGAACTATTCAAATGGATATATTTTAAAAGTACTATAAATAAATCAAAATGGAGTTATAAAAAATGTTCAACTAACCAACCCGGGCAGCATGGAGAAACCCTGTGTCTATAAAAAAAAAAAAAATACAAAAATTAGCTGGGCATGGCCACTGCACTCCAGTCTGGATGACAGAGCAAGATTCTGTCCCCCAAAAAGAATAAAAAGTTCAAGTAACCCACAGGAAGGCAGAAACAAAACTAAGAATAAGAAAATACAAAGAAAGAAAAAAATAAAATGAAAGGCTTAAGTCTTACAAATTAAGAAATACATTAAATAGAAATTATCTAAATATATCAATTAAAATATAGATATTGGCAGAAGGAGGAGTGGCTGTATATACTGATGAAGCTTCTTTGCTCCCTTGCCCACCACTTATCTCTTGCTGTGCAGCCTGATTCCTAACAGGCCACAGACCAGTATAGGTCTGGGGTTGGGGACCCCTGACTTAAAAGACACAGAGTGGGCCAGGCGCAGTGGCTCATGCCTGTAATCCCAGCACTTTGGGAGGTCGAGGCAGGTGGATCATAAGTTCAGGAGACTGAGACCATCCTGGCTAACACGGTGAAACCCCGTCTCTACTAAAAAATACCAAAAATTAGCCAGGCATGGTGGCAGGCGCCTGTAGTCCCAGCTACTCCGGAGGCTGAGGTAGAAGAATGGTGTGAACCCGGGAGGCGGAGCTTGCAGTGAGCCAAGATCGCACCACTGCACGCCAGCCTGGGCAACAGAGCAAGACTCCATCTCAAAAAAATAAAAATTAAAAAAAAAAAAAGACACAGAGTGGCAGGCTAGATAAAAAGACAAAACCCAACTATCTGTTGTTTTCAAGAGACCCACCTCACATGTAACAACACCCACAGGCTCAAGGTAAAACAATGGAGAAAAATCTACCATGCAAATGGAAGACAAAAAGGAGGGATCACTGTCTTTATATCAGATAAAACAGACTTTAAATCAATAAAAATTAAGAAGGAAATTAATATGTACTTTAAACCAATAAAAATTAAGAAGGACATGCATTAATACATTATAAAGGGAATTACATAATGATAAAGGGTACAATGCAACAAGAAGCCTTAAATATCCTAAATATATATGCATCCAACACTAGAGCACCCAGATTCAGAAAACAAGTTCTTCTTGGCCAATGAAAAGACTTAGACAACCACACAATAATATAGGAAACTTCAACACTCCCACTGACAACATTAGACAGATCAACAAAAAGTAACTAACTCTGGACTTAAACTTGACTCTTCACCAGTTGGACCTAATAGATATCTACAGAACACTCCACCAACAACCACAGAATATACATTCTTCTCATCTGCACATGGAACATATTCTAAGATCAATCACATGCTCAGTCATAAAGCAAGTCTCAATAAATTGAAAATAACTGAAATCATACCAAGCATATTCTGGGACTGCAATGTAATAAAAATATAAATGAATATCAAAAAGATCTCTAAGAACTACACAAATACATGGAAATTAAGCAACTTACTCTTGAACAACTTCTGAGTGAATATCGAAATTAAAGGCAGAAATCACAGAATTCTTTGAAATTAATTAAAAGAGATACAATTTACCAAAATCTCTGAGAAGCAGCCAAAGCAGTATTAAGAGGAAAGTTTATAGTTCTAATCAAATCACTTATCATCAAGAAGTTAGAAAGATGTCAAATTAACAATATAAATTTGCATCTAAAGGAACTAGGAAAAAAAAGAACCAACCAACCTCAAACCTAGCAGAAAAGAAATAATTAAAATTAGAGAGGAACTTAATGAACTTGAGATGCAAAAATCCATACAAAAGATGAAATAAACAGTTGGTTCTTTGAAAAACTAAGATCAGTAGACCATTAGCTAGATTAACAAAGAAAAACAAAGAGAAGATCCAAATAAACACAATCAGAAATGACAAAGGCAATATTATTGCAACTGATCCCATAGAAGTATAAAAGATTCTCAGAGACTACTATAAACAACTCCATGCAGATAAGTTAGAAAATCTAGAGGAAAAGAATACATTCCTGGAAGCACAGAATCTCCCCAAATTGAATCAGGAAGAGTTTGGGACCTTTAATAGACCAATACCAACTTCTGAAATTCAATCAGTAATAAAGAACCTAGCACACATACAAAAAAGCCCAGGACCAGATGGATTCACAGCTGACTTCTACCAGTTGTATAAAGAAGAGCTGGTGCTAATCTTACTGAAACTATTTAAAAAAATTGAGGAGGAGGGTCTCCTTGCTAACTCATTCTATGAAGCTAGCATTAGCCTGATGATACCCAGATCTGGCAGAGACACACACACAAAAATTGAAACTTCAGGCCAATATCCCTGATGAACATAGACACAAAAATCCTCAATAAAATATTAGCAAACCAAATGGAAAAACATTCCATGCTCATAGATTACAAGAATCAACATAAAAATGGTCATTTACCAAAAGTAATTTACAGATTCAATGCCATTCTTATCAAACTACCAATGTCATTCTTCACAGAATTAGGAAAAACTATTCTAAAATTTATATGGAACCAAAAATAACCCAAATAACCAAAGCAATCCTAAGCACAAAGAACAAAGCCAGAAGCATCACATTACCCAATTTCAAACTCTAAGCTACAGTAAACAAAACAGCATGGTAGGCCAGGCGCGGTGGCTCACGCCTGAAATCCCAGCACTTAGAGAGGCTGAGGCAGGCAGATCACGAGGTCAGTAGATCGAGACCATCCTGGCTAACACGGTGAAACCCCGTTTCTACTAAAAATACAAAAAATTAGCTGGGTGTGGTGGTGGGCGCCTGTAGTCCCACCTACTCAGAAGGCCGAGGCAGGAGAATGGCCTGAATCCAGGAGGCTGGGAGGTGGAACTTGCAGTAAGCTGAGATTGTGCCACTGCACTCCAGCCTGGGTGACAGAGTGAGACTCCGTCTCCAAAAAAAAAAAAAAAAAACCATGGTACTGGCACAAAAATAGAAACATACACCAATGGAACAGTACAGAAAACTCAGAAATAAAGCCACATGACTACAATCATCTGATCTTTGACAGACTAACCAAAAAAGCAATGGAGAACAGACCTCTTATTCAGTAAATGCTGCTGAGATAACTGGCTAGCTAAATAGAGAATATGGAAGCTGGATCCCTACCTTTCACCATGCACAAAAATTAACTCTCAAAGGTTTAAATATAAGACCTCAAACTATAAAATCCTAGAAGACAACCTAGGAAATACGTTTCTGAACATCAGTCGTGGCAAAGAATTTTTGACTAAGTCCCCAAAAGCAATTGCAACAAAAACAGAGATAGACAAGCATGACTTAATTAAACTAAAGAGTTTCTTCACAGAGAAAGAAACTATCAACAAAGTAAGCAGACAACCTACAGAATGGGAGAAGATTCACAACCTATGCATCTGCCAAAGGCCTAATATCCACAATCTATGGGAAACTTAAGTCAACAAGCAAAAAACAACTTCATTAAAAAATGGGCACATGACATGAACAGACGCATCTCAAGAGATGACATACAAGTGACCAACAAACATACGAAAAACTGCTCAGCATCACTAATTGGAGAAATGCAAATCAAAACCACAATGAGATACCATCTCACTCTAGTCAGAGTGGCTACTAAAAGGCCAAAAAACAGATGCTGCCGAGGCTGTGGAGAAAAGGGAACGCTTATACACTGCTAGTGGGAATGTAAATTGTCCAGCCATTTTGGGAAGCAGTTTGGAGACTTCTCAAAGAACTAAAAACAGAGCTACCTTTTGACCCAGCAATCGCATTGCTTGGAATATACTCAAAGGAAAAGGAATCATTCTACCAAAAAGACACGCATTTGTATGTTCATCACTGCACTATTCACAATAGCAAAGACATGGAATCAAGCTAGGTGCCCATCAATGGTAGAATGAATAAAGAAAAGGTGGTACATAGACAGCATGGAATACTATTTGGCCATTAAAAGAATGGAATCATGTCTTCTGCAGCAACCTGAATGTAGTTGGAGGCCATAATACTAAGCAAATTAATGCAGGAACAGAAAAAAAAAACAAACACTGCATGTTCTCACTTGTAAGTGGGAGTTAAACATTAGGCATACATGGAGACAAATATGGAAACAATAGACACTACAGGCTACTGGGGTGGGGGAAGAAAAAGGAGGGAGGGGTTGGTCAAAAAACTACCTATTGGGTATTATGCTCACTACCTAGGTGATGGGCTTTCTACCTCAAACCTCAGCATCACATAATAGTCCAACATAACAAACCTGCCCATGTACCGCCAGGATCAAAAATAAAAGGTGAAATGTTAAAAAGAAAAGAATGAAACAAACCTGGGTTTTTGAAAAGACTTTTAAAAATTGAAAATCTAGAGGTTTGTCAAGACTGACAAAAGAGAGAAAAGACACAAATTATCTTCATGAACTAAACCCAGGTTATCACTAAAACATTGTAGACATCAAAAGAATAATAAGGGACTACTATGAACAATTCTACACATATAAATTTGACAATTTGGATGAAAAGGACCAATTCCTTAAAAAACACAAACTACCACACTTCACTCAGTGTGAAATAACTAGTTTTATAGCCCTGTAATTATTAAGTTATTTGAATTCTTAATTTCAACACATCCAAAAAATAAATCTTTAGCCCCCAGATGGTTTCACTGTAGACTATGCCAAATGTTTAAAGAAGAATTAACATCAATATTACACAGTCTCCTCCAGAAAACAGAAGAGGTAGAAAACAGTTCCCAATTCATTTTATAAAACTAGCATTACCAATACCAATCCAAAAAAGTATCATAGAAACCACTACAGACCAATATCCCTCATGGCATCAACAAAAATTCTCAACCAAATATTGACAAACAGAACTCAGCAACACAAAACGAAGTATACACCATGCCCAAGTTGGGATTACTCCAGGGATGCAAAGCTGGTTTAATATTAAAAAAAAAAAGTAACTGACCTTACTAACAAGCTAAAAAAGAATGAATCAAGATCATATCAATGGACACAGAAAAAGCATTTGACAAACTTCAATAACTATTATAAAAACTCTCAAAAAACAGGAATAGAGGAGAACTTCCTTGACATAATAAAGAGCCTATAGCTTACTTTATACTTAATGTTATACTTGAAACCCTACAGCTGACATTATACTTAATGATGAAAGACAAGAATAAGGCAAAGATGTCCACTCTTACCATGTTAATTCAACATAATGCTGGACTAGCCAGTGCAATAATAAAAAGACATAAAAGGCATCAATTGGAAAGAAGAGTAGCCCTATTTGCAAATCACATGACTATCTATGCAGAAACTCGCAATAAATCTCCACAAAATACTCCAAGACAAAGGACATAAGTTTAACACAAACTGTGGTACATTAAGCCAATGGAATGTTATTCAGTGCTAAAAAGAAATGGCTATCAAGCCATTAAATGGCATAAGGAACCTTAGATCATGTTATAAGTGAAAGATGACTGTCTGAAAAGGCTACTTATAGTATGATTTCAACTACATGACCTTCTGGAAAAGGCAATACCACAGACACAATGAAAAGATCAATGGACGCCAGGGACTGGAGGAAGGGATGAATAGACAGAGCACAGGGGATTTTTAGGACAATGGAAAATACACTAATACTACAATGATGGATACCCATCATTATACATTTGTCCAAACTCATAGAATGTACAACACCAGAAGAAGACCCTAATGTAAAGCTATGAACTTGGGATGATGATGTATCAATGTAGGTTCATAGATTATAATAATGTACCACTCTGGTGGGGGATGTTGCTAATGGGAAGTTAGAGGGGTATATGGGAACCTGTACCTTCATCTCAATTTTGCTGTGAACCTAAGACTGCTCTAAAAGTCCTTTTAAAAAGGATGTATAGAATACATCACAGGTAGATTTCCTTTTGTTTTGGGTTCCACCAGGGCACTCATTTTTTAAGGGTAATATGAAATGGCTAATTTGTAGAAATATGCATAATATTACCAGTATTGATTATAGTTGTAAACAGTACACCTGCTCAGGTTGATTGACTTGTATTTAACCTTTTGGATTGAAATGCCTCATTTTCAGTGGGAAAATCTCACATTGTTTTTCTAGTAGTTGAACCAAACTGTTTTAAGCTTCCCTTACTTTCCTTAAATTAGGTCATCATGTTCAATACTTAGAAAAACAAAAAGAGAATGTTTAAGAACAATGTGATTGCTTAGAGGACATCTATTTTTCAAGCCGGATGCTGTGAGGGGAAATCAATTTATGTTACTGAGCTATATGAACCTCCAGTAAAACCTAATTCTTTTGCTCTTCTGCATATGATCATCCTTAGCTTTTCATATGGCCCACAATTAAATGCAAAAGATGATTCTGATCCCTTCTTATAAAGCAGAGGAATGATTCATTAAAAAAAACTTCTCAAAAGCATTTATCTCGGGTTTGTTTGAAATAGCCATTACCTTTCCATCTTGAATAAAATTCAAGTTTACAAAATAAGTAAATTAATAAAATATAGTTCAAGTTTACAAAAATTAGCCACAATTCTTTCAGAACACATCGATTACATATATACATATCTCCTTACATATTGTGAGGAGCACTCAGCCACCTACTTATTTGATCTATTCAATAGTTATGGTACTCACACTGTTACGCATTGGGCTACATCTATAAAGTAGAACAGCATATCTTAAGATCCTCACAGGCAGTGAGAACACTGTAACTATAGTGGGCCTGTTAATTGCATGCTATCTCACGGTTGTAAATGAGCAAGCATGTGTTGGAACATGTAGAGGAAATCAGCAGAAATAATTCTGTTTAAAGAAAAACTATGACCAGACTGGGCAACATAGCAAGAGCTCATCTTCACACACACACACACACAAATTAGCTGGGCATGGTGGCACATGTCTGTAATCCTAGCAACTCGGAATGCTGAGGCAGTGGGATCACTTGAGCTCAGGAATTCAGGGTTGCAGTGAGCTCTGACCACATCACCACACTACAGCCTGGGCAACAGAGCCAAAACCTGTCAATCAATTAATAAAGTAGAACTAGTGGGGTTGTATTTATGGGTTGTGTGTAAGTCTAATCACATCATCACGAAATTGAACAAGGAGCCTGAGGGGACCATCTCATAGCTTGTGGTGTGCCAACTAAAGGTAAGCCTTTAGTGAAGTGTCAGGAACAAGTTTCATGGAAAATGAAAGAAACCAAAATGCAATACAATAGTTTAGAAATTAGGAATCTTGTATTTGTACCACGATAAAAGTGCATTTGAATAGAGGCATAGTGACAAAAATGCATTATGCCACACAAGCTGTGAATATAAGCATGAAACTTTGTCATATTTCTGACAGTGAGAGATGTCTGGATCCCAGAAAATTTACCTTCAGGAAGCTTGGCATATTTGTAACTCAGCAAATTATAAGAACATTATCTCTGACATTTTCTGTGAATGGCACGAGCTTCCAACTTGCTTCTGCTTATGTGGAAATTGGATTAAAATGGAATAGACATTTTTGTAAGGTGAGCAATACTGCCTAAATGTATCATACAAAGCACTTTCCTCTTACCTCATTAAAGTACTTTGTTCTGAAAGCAGACTGTTAGTCAGTATCATAATTATAATCCTAATTGTTCCATTTATGAAGTGCCTATCACATGCCAGGTACTATATTTGCTACTTTCCAGATGTTGTCACATTCATCCTCACAATAATCCTATGCCACCCCATTTTATAGAAGAGGAAACAGGCTCAGAATGACCTGGCTAGCCTAAGGTCACAAACGAGAGTACCATATCACCAAACAAAAGTCAAACACCTCACATATGCTTAGAAAATGGAGGAAGGAGATGGTGGTTGCCTCTGGAAAGTTTAGACTGAGAGGTGGTGGGTGAACAAGCAGAACTTTCATTTTTATATCTCTCTCTACTGCCTCATTTATTTTCTTTACAAAGAGTATAAATTACTTTTATAACAAAAACAACTTAATTCTTTAGTCTGAAAAACACCTGCTATATGAAAACATCAAATCCTTGAGAGCTAAACACAAAACAGGCACTAAGTAAACACTAGATAGAACTGAAACAAGTTAAAATATCTTGTTCTTTTTAAAAATGAAAGAGAATGATTGAAAGTAGCTAAATGTACACCATGGAATACTATGCAGCCATAAAAAATGATGAGTTCATGTCCTTTGTAGGGACATGGATGAAGCTGGAAACCATCATTCTCAGCAAACTATCGCAAGGACAAAAAACCAAACACCGCATGTTCTCACTCATAGGTGGGAATTGAACAATGAGAACACATGGACACAGGGAGGGGAACATCACACACCGGGGACTGTTGTGGGGTGGGTGGGGGGGGGCAGGGATAGCATTAGAAGATATACCTAATGCTAAATGATGAGTTAATGGGTGCAGCACACCAACGTGGCACATGTGTACATATGTAACAAACCTGCACGTTGTGCACATGTACCCTAAAACTTAAAGTGTAATAAAATTTAAAAAAAAGAAAGTAGCTAAATAGAAATGTTTGTTTACACTTGTAAAATATCATTAGATAATATATATATATATACACATACCCTTATATAAAGTGTAAAAAATATATCTAAGGAATATTTAACATGGTTTGCCATAAAAACAATCAGTTATTCTCAACTTTTGCTGCATAAGTGAATTTCCATGAGGTTTTGTTTTTAATGAAGATAACTTATAACTTAGTCTTAATCAGGTAGGAAGTGGGACTTAACTCTGGAGGCGGAGCTCTGTCACAGGACCAAATTGAGAACTAGTTTAAAACCAGGTCTGGAAGTACCCCCCAATTAGACATGCCCACCAATGTGCCATGTTTACCATTGCCATGGCAATGTCCAAAAGTTATCATACCTTTTCATGGCAAAGACCCAATGACCTGGAAGTTATCACCCCTTTTCTAGAAATTTCTGCATAGACTACCCCTTAATCTGCATGTAATTAGAAATGGGAAGAAATATGACTACAGAACTGCTTCTGAGCTTCTATGCCCACCACATTGCCTGTGGGGTAGCCCTGCTCTGTGGAATCAGTCACAGAGCCATAGCACTTCAGAGCAATTCTTTCCTAGGCAAAGCCAAGAACCCTCCCAGACTAAGCCCCACTTTAGGACTCCTCTGTCCTTCATCATTACTCCAGATGGATGACCTGAATTTAAATTTATAAGGTGGAATTAGGCATAGGAATGTTTAAAAATCTCCAAAGATAATTGTTGAATAAACCAATGATTTAGTATGCCTACTGAAATTGTTCTTTAAAAAAAAAAAAAAAAGACAGCAATTCCACTCCTAGGTATATACCCAACATACATATACTTATGTTTATCAAAAGACATATACTAGTCTGATAACAGCACTATTCATAATATCCCCAAACTAGAAACTAGTCAAAAGCCTAGAGACAGAAGAATGGATAAATGAGAATCTTCACACAATAGAATGTTATAAAGCAATCTACAGCTACAAGCAACAGTAAGGATCAATCTCATAAACGAAATGTTGAGAAAAAGTATCCAGATATAAAAGAGTACATACTGTAAGATTCCATTAACATAAAATTCGAGAACAAAACGAATTTTTGCTGCTAGAAGTCAGGATAGCAGTTACTCTTGGAGTAGGGAGTTTGGGGAAAGAGAATAAAATGGAGAATAAAGAGCATTTCTGGGATGCTGGTATTCTTCTATTTCTCCACCTGGGTGCTAATAACATGGGTATGTTCACTGGAGAAAAATCGAGCTGTACACTTAACACTATGTGCACTGTACTATGTTATACAGCAATATAATAAAAGGTAAAATATATCTAAAATGTCCATAACAAAATAAACAGGAGTTATTAGGCAGTTGAACATTTTAAAATCAAGACATAATAAAACTTAAAATATATAGTAAAGGAAAGGGTGATGTAACAGGGAGAGAAGGAGTAACAGATGTAGGCATTGAGATCCTGGCACTAGAGCATGAGATAAACTCAGGCGCATCTTTTGACCTGAAGGCCGTCTGTGTCATAGATTCTATTTTACTTCTCTTGCAGAGTCATTGCCAGGATTATTTAACATATGTATGTAAAGCATAATAACACTTGGCACTTGGTTCAATAAGCACTCATTCATCTCCATTCCTTCCTTGACTCTAAAGCAAAATATGAAAATAAGTTTCATAGAAAGCCAACTCCTATATTCTTAAATGTAGTAAGGGTATATAACCAATGTATAACTCAATATCAGTGTAAGCATACAGAATACAACAAAATGTGGACGCCAGTTCAGAATTACATAATCCCAGAGGATTTTTAGGTATTTCCAATTTGCATTCTTTTCTGCGGTGAGAACACAAATGGTGGTAGTGACTGAGCTACCAGACAGACACACACCTTCTCCAGCATCCATATCCATGAGGTGGACAATGTAATGGCTAAGAAAACACAGGCAGTGATACACCATTCAACAACCTGGATATGTTGTGTCATTGAGGAAAGGATGATAAAACTCCAACAGCCAAATCCAGATGCAACAGAAAAAACATCTGGGTATTGAAGGATTTCAAGCTGAATGGGAGTAAGCACTTCTATGTTCTCATTTAAAAGACAGCCCATTATCTGATGCTGCAAGGGGAGCTGGCATGGTTTGTCACAGCACTCTGATAGTATGGAACATCTGCCCTCACCCCCAGTTCTCATCTGGGCTCCAGGGCAGATGAGATTTGGAGAAGATTGAGAGGAGCAAAGGTTGAAATCTAAAGTAAGCAAGCAAAATTTTAAATTAACTAGCATTCTTCACACAGGGAGAAAAGTAGGGGACACTCCAACAACCATTAGGTGTGTTTGAATCAAAATATCAAGGATTTATGGAGAAAAATAACAGAAATAGATGGGCAACAAAACCAAAAGTAATAAATCTTACTGTGTGGTTTTAATGCCCTGCATATTGGTTCAATTACTGCCTTCCCAGGCAAGAATGATGCCTTCTTGACTGAAGTTATTTTGCTTTTAGAACAAATACAGTGAGGGAATAATAACTATAATTTCTGATGGCAATAAAAAAATGCCTGGAAATAAAAAGTAGAAGAAAAAGAAGTGTTTCAATGAATAAAGTTGTTTTATATTCCACAATGTTCTAATATGGTCTTGGTCACTAGGGTCAATTGCAAATGATTCTAAATGTCATGGATCATGATCATCCCCAAAATAGATCCTAAGAAAATTTGGAGGCAGTTATACGGCCAAGAGATATCAATATAGTACATGACAGTCTTCTAAATATCAAAAAGGATGACAAAGACAACAGTAAAATATCATAACTTTGCTCTTTACCTTGAAATCTTTAAAAACTTAATTTTCTAGCATCTTCCAAAAAGTAAATAGATTGCATACAAAAATTGGGTCAGGTCTGTGGCTAACAATTTAAAACGTCTGCCAAACTTTCACATACTATTACTAAGAGGACAGAAATGGGAGATGGAGATTTCTGATTTATTCTTAGAGTGATTATAATGGAAAAACATAGAAATGGAGAATTGCAAGGTGACAGAGAATTTGCTCTTCTATAGCAGGGGGTCAGCAATTTGTTTCTGTAAAGGGAAAGATAAATACCTTAGAATTTGTAGGCTGCTTGATTTCTGGCACAAATACTCAAAGTTCTGCCATAACAGCATGAAAGAAGCCATAGACAATATATAAGTGAGTGAGTATGGCTGTATTCTAATAAAAGTTTATTTTCAAAACAGGTAGCAAATATTTAGCCTGACGATCATCATTTGCCCACCCTTACTCTAGAGAGTACTATTAAAACCACCTTTCTGTTCAGTGGAATATATCAAACACCTATTTTAATAAATCTAGCCATAAGAAGGTATCAGTCCTTGATGCCATATTAAAAGCTTGGGCACTTATTCTCATAAGATACTAGCTTCCTCTTTAAGTCTTCTTATACTTAGAAAAAACAGAAGACCTTTTTTCTTGATATTTAAGCACATATTTCACCTGTTTTCATACGCTTAGAAAGCATAATATCAAAACCTTAAAATGAATGAAAGATAAATTCCTGACACAAAATAGAATTCTTAGGGGAAGAAAATCCACTCTACGTGACTGATTCAAACATGATTCATTTCAATGCGACAAAGGGCTTATAATCTAAAATATGCAGACAAATAAAAAAGAATGAAATAATGTCTTTTGCAGCAACTTGGATGGAACTGGAGGCCATTATCATAAGTGAAGTAACTCAGGAATGAAGAACCACATACTGCACATTCTCACTTATAAGTGGGAGCCAAACTATGGGCATGGGAAGGCATACAGAGTGGTTTAATAGACACTGGAGACTCAGAAGTGAGGAGGGTGGGAGGGTGGTGAGGGACGAAAAACTCTCTGTAGGGTACAAAGTACACTACTCAGGTAACAGGTCATTAAAATCCCATACTTAACCACTATCCAATTCACCCATGTAACCAAAAGCCACTTGTATCCCTAAAGCTACTGAAATAAAATAATTACAAAAAATAAAGGTGTATGCAGGCAAGACAATTTTGCTCCTTTCTCCTTTCAATGACACTATAAAAAACAGTAAGAGTTAGAAACAAATGCAGGCTCTAACTTCAACAAAATTGGTAGCCTACTGTGGCCTTGAACCACCATATATGAGAAAGGGCTGCCAAATTCAGAGGAAGTCAAAAGAATTGGCGTGGGAAGATGCCAGGAGAGCATGCCTGTGGCTACAGACCACAGACAAAGCCAGCCACATCCATTTTTCCAAGATGTTGCAAATTATGAGAGAGAACACCAACAATCTCTTTTTTTGTAACAGACTGGGGTAAGTGCACTGATGGCAAGAGCTTCCCTAATCCCATCTGGCACAGAAAAGGCAGGGAGGGATGAGAAGTCAGGAAGCAGTCGTCAGTGAGTGGGACAGGCTGACTACAGGAGAAGGTTTGCATTGATTGCTGTCCTGCAGCATCAATCTCTGCTGGCTAGGGGAAAGATTAGAATCTCTCTCCCTCTCTTGGTGGAATACTAGACATCGGAGAAGTGAAGGAGAATGAGGGATGAGAAATTACCTAATGGGTACAATGTGCACCATCTGTGTGATAGTTGCATGGAAAGCCCAGACGTCACCACTACACAAAATATCCACATAACAAGTCAGCATTTGTACCTTCTCTAAGTCTATAAAAATAGAAAATCACACATACACACACACACAAACACACAGTGGGATAAGAAGCTTGACCAAACCAGCCATAAATCCACTAAGACTAGGCTCTAGTTCTATAGGACCTATGGAGAAATTCCCAAAGAAAAAGAAAAGAACACAACAGGGAAAAAAACAAAAACAAAAACTGGCAGACCAAGAATATTCTCCCCTCCTAAAAAGTGACCATGGAGATTAGAACTGACCAAACATGACATGTATGAACATAAAGATCTTAATCAAGCAATCTTTCATATAAATAAGAGCGTGAAGCAGCAATTCAAAATCTCAAATAACCTCATGTAAGATTAGCAGGAACATCAGAAGGAAACATAACAGGAGCTGGCTCATGAAGGAAAACAAAAAGCAGTCACAGGAACGTAGACCACGTTGAAAGCAACAAGAAGAATAGACACTGCTAAAACACAGTAAGAGACAAGGGGGACAGGATCGAGAAAAGTGAGTAAGATAAATAAAAGTGAATAAAGGCAACATATACTCACTATTGGTTTCCCTAAGGAAGACAGTTTAATCAAGATAGTAAAAAGATATGTAAAAATACAGTCAAGAACATTTTAGAGACATTCGGCCAGGCACAGTGCCTCACGCCTGAAATCCCAGCACTTTGGGAGGCCAAGGCAGGTGAATCACTTGAGGCCAGGAGTTCAAGACCAGCCTGGACAACATGACAAAACCCTGCCTCTACTAAAAATTATAAAAATTAGCCGGGTGTGGTGGCGCATGCCAGTAATCCCAGCTACTTGGGAGGGTGAGACAGGAGAATCATTTGAACCCAGCAGGCAGAGGTTGCAGTGAGCCAAGATCATGCCACTGTACTCCAGCCTGGGTGCTGGAGGGAGACA
This sequence comes from Homo sapiens, assembly GCF_000001405.40. Taxonomy (NCBI): domain Eukaryota; kingdom Metazoa; phylum Chordata; class Mammalia; order Primates; family Hominidae; genus Homo; species Homo sapiens. The sequence goes on along the minus strand of NC_000013.11, from coordinate 46,907,404 downwards.
CTGTCAAAAAGAAGAGGAGAAGAGGGGAGGGAAGGGTAAGGGGAAGCAGAGAGAAAGAAAATTTTAGGGACATTCAAGAATTTTATCTGCAGATGAAAAGAGCGTACAATGTTATAGGAAAACCTGACACAAAACAACCAACAGTAATAGGTATTCTAGAAAACTTACTAGATATCAAAAGCTCAAAATGAATAAAAGAAAGAGTTATTTGAGCATCTAGACAAAAAGCTTAAGACACCTAAATGGGTGAAAAAAGTCACTGAACTCACACCTCTCTACAGCCATATTCAACTCCAGAAAATAGTTAATACTTACAATGTTCAAGGAAAGAAAATGTGACAAGAATTTTAGACTGATCAAATGTTATTCAAGGATAAAGACAACGTAGAACTGGTGTTGAACTTTAAATCACTCAGGAAATACATTTCCATGACTTTTCTTTGAGGAAACTACTAGAAAACAATCTTTAACCAACCATGAGCTAACTGGACAGCTATAGCAAAATGGAGGGTGGGGAATATTCAACCCATCAAACTACAGGACTAAGACCAGGACAGATATGGGAATTGTGGTCCTAAAACAGGATTTAACATTATAAACCCTGGAAATGTTTAGAAATTATATAATTAACAAAACTAGAAAGACAAGAAAGAAAATATGTATGATGGTTTTTCCTTCTTTTATAGATATTAGCTAAAGCTGGCAAATCAAGCAGTAAAGGCATACATATGCTTAAGTCAGAAGATCCATAAAGACCTTGATGAGTCACAGCTCTGCACAAGGCTATGATGAATTTCCACAGTACATTAATAGGTGTAATATTTTATCCAAACACATTATAGCCTTTGGATTTTCTTTTTGGCAAATGATGTAAAGAGAAGTACTTGATCTTTGTAGAGAAATTCTCTAGAAACAAGTTACTGAAATGCAGATAAAATAAACACTGATGGAAATGGTAAAAGCAGGGAATCTCAAACTGTGGGAAGAAGATAGTATATGGGGATATGGTCACTTTTTTGACTTAAGAAGATTGTGGCTTCCAAAAATACTGCTACATTTTTAGCCCTTGAACATTTATATATTTGTGAAATTTTTCATAAATATCTTTATGAGAAAAATAAGAATTTTGTTTTACAACGAGACAAGTTTTAATAGAGTAACCGACTGGTAGTTCATAAGATATAAAGGTGTTAAAGTTGCCAATTTAAAAAACTCCATGTTAGATGTGAGGAAAACACTAATATATTGTTGGTGGGAATATAAATTAGCATATTATTTTAGACAGCTATTTGGTGGGATCTTTGAAATTTAGCACTTGCAATCCTAATAATTTATTTAACCTGTTCAAAGAAAGACCAGTTAAATAAATTATGTTATATTCATGAGAATTCTATTACCAATCTACACATTTTTAAGTCATATGTATTATATATATATAAAATACATATAATCATATATGTAAACACTTGTATATGCAAAGAAAATAAAGGATATAAAATATGAGGAGTATGAAAGATTCTTTCAACATGGTTTGACTTTTTTACACTATGCATTTTTATAGTTAAAAATGAAATAAAGAAAGATCAAATTTACAATATAGTATCAATGTTAAATGTTTTTTAGATCTCAGAATCAAACATTAGGATTGGAAGGGACCTACAAGGACATCAAAGCCAACTCATTCTATGAATATTTCTCCTCCAGAGATTCTAGAAATTTAGTGTCCAGTCTTCTTCAACCTTCTTGTTCTGACAATTCACAACCTCCTGGTGCCTAAGTATTTGTGGTTCTGGCAGGAAGATCCCAGAACCAAGTCACCCTATCATAGTCTTGTACTCTAGGGCCAATGGCCACCACGTGAGTATGAATGAAGAATTGTACTGGCCACCTAACCACTGCAGAATGCCAAGGAGCTAAGGTGATTCCATGACAAATCAACTTTCTTGAAAAGGGCAGAAAAGGCTGCAACAGAGACACTATGTGGCAGCAAGAAGCAATGGCAATGGAGGACTGATCAGTTACCCCTCCACATAAGGTTTGGTGTGGGACTGACCTCTTTGGTCAGAGACTCCAGAGTCCTTCATCAATCTGGGGGGAAGCGGGGATAGTAATGGGCTTCAAAAGGGAGATACTAGACATCGTGTTTTAAGGGCAGATAGGAAACCAAATGATTAATTTTTACAAATATTTATCTTTTTTACTCCAAAATTATGGAGCATGTCTTACCAGACATATTGAAATACAATGTACAACCTTATCCTGGACAACACCGTCAAGCATAATTTGAGATGGAAAATAGAACAGGAAGAGTAATTTCAACTAAATTGAGATAATGTTCTGATCCATTTCAGTGGTTTCTAGGACCCCATCTGAGATATTGGTAAAAGGCTCTGAGGGGATTAAGTGCCTAAGTCATCAATATCAGGTGGACAGAGGAACAATAATTTGGTTCTTAAAAGTATCCTCATGAAGGTGAGAACTTGAATTTTCTGATATACTGGGAAACTCCCAAAGAAGGCAGTATTTCATATTCATACTGATTGACCTGTGGCTGCTGAAGCCATTGGAATGCAGAGAAACCAAGAATCTGGTCTGCCCATTCTACCCTGAAGTCAAAATTCAAGACTTCCATTCTCCCAAACTGCCACTCATCACAAAGGAGGGAGAGCATCAACGTGAGTCAAGACCAGGGACACCATTAGGCCATATTGTTAACAGATCACTGAAAGCAGCAAAGAGGTTAAAAATCTATCCTCTGAGTAGAGAACTCTCATTATTTTCATTTTAGGTGTGTCTCTTTCCTCCCATAGGCCGCTTTTCTCATAGAGCTGGTTTGATAAAATTGGTCCAAAAGGCTCCTCTTTCCAGTGGGAAGTACCTGAACCATCAGTCTCTCCCCATCCCCCACAGCATGAAGTGGGAACTGGCATGGGCTCAGAGGACAGATCTAACAGGCTGCTAGCCAGGCCCTGACCAGGAAAACAGAACCCTTACAACCCAAATGGTCCCGTCTGGTTCACTACATGCCCTCGTTAAGAATAAGAGGTAAATGTACCTCGAATGTCCCTTCAGCCACAGACACCTGACAGTTGGTGCCAGAACAAAATTTGGGATCCTGGCCAAATATCTTATGATTCAACCAATAAGCACCTGCAAAAATGTGTGAGGGTAATTCTTTGGGACTAGCAAAAATATTTTTCCTCCAATAGTTCTACATTTTTCTTATAAGAAAGGTAATCATCTTGCTCTGTAATGAGAATCTAAGTGATAATATATTCATTTCTCCCAAAACCTAGGTTATGCCTGGTAGTAAATTAGATATTTTGGGAAACACACTTTTAGATCACTGACTGGCTGAAGTGCTATTTACCTCCAGAGTAAAAATGTAAAAAATGATCTCCCTGTGACCTCAAAAAAATTGTGATGCCTCGTGAAACAACCAAGTATGACTCAGACACCAGAGCCAATGTAGCTGAGTAAAAACACAACAAAAAATAGATAAGGATGTACCCTCTGCTAATAGAGAGTCATTATTTTACAGGCCTGGACAAAAGGCCTGTATTTTTATTTGGGAAAGGGTCCATTTCCTGCAGTGTCAGTGAAGCTGGTAAGTCATGTTGCTCTGATCCCCTGCCCAGAGGGATGGCAGGGTGACCCAGACTGGCTAATTTGAGTACTCTATTCCCCTAGCTATCATGTTCATTTCAGAGATGGGCACGTGGGTCTAACCAGGGTCTCGTCTGCAAGTGAAAAATACTCTACTGCAGAGTTAAATCCTGTTTCACAGCCTGCAATTATGTAAAATCAGAACTGCCAACCACCACCTTTTCCAGTTACATGAAAGAAGTCACCTATAGAGGAAGAGAATCAGGTCAGTGAAAGGGAAGCAGATTCTAGAGGTAGCAACATAGCCCTAATAAGGTCCTTTTAGCCACTAGATCCTGCCATGCCTTAAGTTAGTCCCACCTTGGACTTGTCAATTACTTGCACATCTCCCTTGATCCTTTTTGACTTGGATGTCTGCCATTTGTCTATAATAATTCTGAATAATACAACTGCCACACCTAACAAAAACAAGCAGTTTAAAAATTTTACCTTAAAGCCAGTCTGTCTCAGCCATGGTTAAAGGATAAGGTCATCTCTGACCCTCTTTTACCTGAACTTAATTTAAATATTTTTGAAATAATTATTTTATGTTTATAAACACATGTATACTTCAGAATATTTACAAAATTTGAAATCAGCATTGAAATAAAAAAAAAATCACAACTCCTTGACCCAGGAAATATCACTGTCAACATTTGAATGTACTTCCTTCTAGTTTAGAACCACATATCCATGGTTTTTTTAAGTTGAGAACATGGACTATAGAGCTCGTTCTTATTTAACATTAGCTTGTGCACGATTTCCCACATAATGAAATGCTCTTCAAGTATATGAATCTTAGCAGCTTCACTGTATTTCATTCGGTCGCTCTCCTCCTCGAAATATTTTCTTATCTTGGCTCCTAGAACACCACATTCTTCACTTTTCCTCCTTCCTCACCAACCCCACGGTCTCCTCTGCCACGTCTTTCTTATCCCCCTTACCTCTAACTGTTGAAGAAGCTCCAGATTCAGTCTTTAAACTGCTTCTTCCTCTACTCGGATATTTAGGGAATCACATTCTACCTCACAGCTTTCAACACCACGTATATACTGACAGTTTCCAAATTTATATCTGCATCCTGGACCTCTGTACTCTATTTCAGACTCTTATGCTCAGTGTCTTATAGACATAGTTATTTGTCTTACACAGACCTCAAGTTAGCATATCCAAGACTGATCTGATAATCACCCCAAGTAAGCTCCCACTGAAGCCTTGACTATTTCTGTTAAGGACGATGCCCCATTCTTCTAGTTGCTCAGATCTAAAACCTTCAGAGTGACGCAGCTCTCTTCTTTCTCTCACGTCCCATATCCTATCATTATCTGTCATCAAGTTCTGTTGGCTCTACCTTTAAAACATACGCAGAATCTGACCATTTCTCACAAACCCACTAGCACTACCCTAGTGAAAGCCACACCATCTCTCACCTGAAACTGATGTTCTTGCTTCCCTCCCCCTCCCCTCTTGAACCCATTCCATTGGGCTGTTATTCCAACTACTCCACTGGAACAGTTCTTATCAAGGCCACCAAAGACTACCATTTTGACAAATTTTACGGTGATTTCTCAGTCCTTATTATACTCAGCTGGTCAGAAGGCATTTCACCCAGTTGCATACTCATTCTTCTTGGCCATCTTTCTTTTCTTTTACTTTAGGATTACACTTTCTCTTTGTGTCTCTCCTAACTCACTGGGTGCCCCTTTTCATTCTACTTGGCAGGTTCCTCCACACTCTCTGACCTAAACTATTGCAGTAATCCATGGCTGAGTTCTCAGACCTCTTCCCTTCTTTATCTCCACTCACTCTCTTAGATGATTTCACCTAGTAGCATACCTTAAATACCAATATGCCATTGGCTATTTGATGTCTCTTCCCTAAACTCTGTACTCATCCATGCTACTGCCAACTATTTCTTGAATGAATGAAGGCAGGAACTATGCTCATCTTCATGGTTATACTCAGCACCTATAATAGTGCTTGACACAGCAGTCAATTATCAACTGTTAAATTAATGAATATTGTTCAACTCGGTGCCACTGTGAGAAAATTAAAAAGATAGATGACAGTCATTAGCTAATTTCAAGTAGTTTTTTTTTTTAGATACAAGCCAGTGCCATAATAGAAGGCAGTTCATGATATTGTTTTCTAAATATACATTGGTCCGATGGTCTGGCTTGTTCCAAACCTAAGTATCAGAGCACCAAAAGGAAGTGATAGATAAAATGTCAGTCAGTAAACCCTCTGTTAATATTTTTTTCCTCATTCTCAGGCCATTAGTAATGTTTGAGCAGCAGAAATCTTAGAGACATATTCTTAAATATCATAGAGTAAAAGAATTCTATGCTGCCAATTCATAACAAAATCAGGCATAATCAATTGAGTGAAGGTTAAGGTTGGCACTGTCTTGCAAAATTAAGCAGCTTAAAAAGGACAAACGTAACAAAGAAAAGGGACCTATTCTATGTTCCTTTGAACAAGAAAAAAAATAAATGTTGAAACCCCAAATGTCCAGGCCATTTCAGTTTCTCAGACTACAATCCATTAAATAATCATTTAATCACAGTGACATGGATGAACACACAGATACACTGTTGAGTGAAAGAAGCGTGACATAGAAGACTGCAGAAGATGCTACAGTCTTTGCCTCCACTAGGAAGGAGGGCCACATGTGTCCATTTAAGTTAAAGTCAAAAAAGGATAGGAGAGTACTTTCAAAAATGATGAAAATGGTGGATATCTTAATTTGGGTGATGGTTACATGGGTGTACATATTTGTCAAACTCAGTGAATTGTATACTTAAGAGCATTATGTTTTAATAAATTTAAAATATAACTCAATTTAGACAAAATTAAAGTGTCTTTCAATGAGTGTTCTGGATGAAGAGGAATGAAATAAATATAAACAAATTTCCTTACTGCAGGATCTCTTACAGCTTTTAATATGCAATTATGCACTGTATATTTCTAAGAGGAGACTATAAGATACAGTAATGTTCCAGACTTAATTGGTCAAGGAACCTTTTTTTCTCATATACATTGACATATGTAAGACACTACAGTTTCAGAAACCCAATAACTTTAGCCTGGAAAAAAATTCAAACAAAGGCTACAAATACCACTGAAGTCATTGAGAAAATATTAACATCTAATTTTAAGCAATCACTTTCTAGTGAATCTTCCAAAATGAACTAGTTATAAAATGTATTCCTATATATGGTCCAATTAAGAACTAGAGAAATTCTGCCCAAGATAATAAATATAGTTCTGGTATTGTTAACCTTAAATTCCTTCTGGCAGTAATTAGATAGCAAAGCCAGATGTATATTGAAGAATTCTAAGCTTATGGCAAGGAAGCATCATTCATCATCACATAGACAACACTTATCTGTTTTGTGTAAGACATCCAACTCACCCAGAGATGTTATTCAAGGCATTAATACACAGCTAAAGATGATAGGTCATAGGTTGAGCTCCCCAGGAAGCTGACTCTGTGACTGATGTGTGTGCAAGAGATTTGTGTGGGGCGAGCTCTCAGATCAACACCGGCAGGGGAGCAAGAGAAGCCAGACTGGACAAGGGGAGATATTTAACTTGGATTTGACACAACAAAGGCCTCAGTGAATCCCATAGAAGCACTGGAACCAAAGTTCTTCAGCCATCAGGCAAGAGGGCCAGCCCTTTATATCCTCACAATGGACCAGTCTTTGCATGCTGGCTGCCACAGAGAAGGGGCATGACCACTGGCAAGCTGGCTTCCTTGGCTGAGGGGAGTGTTCACAGAAAGAGTGGAGAGCCAGCCACCAATCCTTCCAGCAGCAGGGAGCCCGAGTCTCAGCCCTGAAGCAGAAGCTGGGCGAGGCATCACGGTGCGCACTACAGCAGCCAACACACACTCGTCTCACCAAACTCACAGGGGCATCTGCCCAGCAAGAAACTATTCCTACCTAATCTAACCCTCATGCTATTAACCTAGAAGCTCTGTTTAAGAATCAGGAGCCTAGATTATGCCCCTACTGCTTTGTCCATAACAAGTATTCATAAAATTGCAATAAAAACTAGAAATAATCTTAGATGGTAGCCAAAAAAATATTTCCCAGTGTAAACCACATAATAAGAAACACTGATTAGTTTTGGCATGACTAGAAGCCTAGCTGTTCTTCATGAGAAATAATGGACTGAGATCATCAGAATTCTCTAAGAGCTATAACAAGAACATCTATAAAATTTAACCTCAGAAAACTTTTGAATAACTTCCTGACACTGGAGTATTTTTTATATTACATTTCCCTCTGCTATCTTTAATAAAATTAAATTGGTATCCCAATAAACAAAGTAACAAGAAAAAATGAGAGGTTCTAAGTTTCTCCCTGGTTCTCCTTTTTAATAATCAATTCATCTTAATTTATGCTAATAACAATTCAGTCAGAACACATCTGTTGAGGACCTTCCATTATGAGATACCATGCTTAGATACCACATGTGAGGTTTATGAATTGCATCTGGGTGGATAATATAATAGTATAAGATAGATGTAATATAGATTACATCTATATTAAGGGTATGGAAATGAAGTTCAACATCTAATAGAGAAGACAGACATTTACACAGATGTCATGCATTCATTCAACAAACATACTTAAGCACTATGCGCCCAGCTGTTAACAAGATAGACACAGTTCCTGCCTTTATGAGGCTTACATGAGACATGATGTGTTAAAAATAGAAGGCTGCAGAAGGTGCTATAGTCTTTGCCTCCACTGGGAAGGAGGGCTACAGAAAGCTTAGGAACAGTAAACTTAGTAAGAATAATAGCAACTAACCTTTATTGAGTGCTTAAAATGTGCCAGGCAAATATGTAAATTTATTTGGCTTTCACGTCAATCCTGAGGTCTTTTTATTATTAATGTTCCCTACTTGCGGATGAGGAGACTAAAACACAGAGATTAGGTAGCTTAATCACGCTTACAGATGTGGTGAGTGGTAGGCCTGGGATCCAGAGCTGCTCTGGAACTAAGCACGAATTTGCCAGATGGACACACACAAAAAAGGAATGGTAAGAGCACTCCGGGCACAGGGAAGTACAAGTACAGAGACATAAAAATGGTCAGAAACATGTAAGTTCAGTCTGCATACAGGCTGACTGGGAGAGTAACCAGAGTCCAGGCCTGCAAAGTGGGGCAAGCAGGGTACAGGTAGATGAAGAAAAGTGTTATGTGCCCCACAAGGAAGGGACTGCAGGAGTGTAGGCATGGGAGTGATGCCAATTGTGTCATTAATATCAGTAAGAATATCAATAGGAATGAAAGTGGCTGACATTACTTGAGAACCTCCTATAAGCCAGACATGGGCCAAATACTTACACACATTATCTCAGTTTAGCTTCACTACAATCTTATGAGGAAGGTATTATCCCATTTTACAAGTGAGAAGACTGAGCTTTAAAGGGAGCAACTAGATGAGGCGAGGTTCTACTGTTTATGAGTGATAGAGCTAGGATCCAAAACCAAGGAACTCTAAGGTCTGTGTTCTCCGCTGCCTGCTCGCCAGCGTGCATATTTAACGTGGAGGGGTAGGAGGGTGGCAGGCATGGCAGTGAGGGGGGCACTAAGGCACCCACCCAGGAAATAGGTGGCTAGATCTCGACCACAGGGTGCCAGCTGCAGGCTGCAGGAGAGGACATGTGAGAAACACGCATACAGAGGTAGCACCGGAGACGAAGTGGGATCTGGCAGCGAGAATGAAGGAAGAGTCGCGGATAACAGCAGCTGTCTGAAGAGGTGGTGATTCCATCATGCAAGCCAATGGGTAGGAACAAGCACTGAGAGCCGGGCAGGGGGATGCGGAGTGAGGGAAGATGCTGAGGTCAAGGTCTCCCAGGCTACCATGGAAGGAGCCAATGGGCAGCTAGAGATTTAGGTCTGGAACTGAGAGAAATAATCAGCTATGAAGGTACAGACTTGGCCACAAACATATTGAAGGCATGAGAGTGGTTGAATTTGTCCAGGGAGAATGTGAAGAACAGAAGGTGATAGAACTGTAGCAAAACCCAACTATTGAGGAAAATATTTTCATGCCTGCAAAAAGAGAGAGATCGAACTGCCTCCTTTAGAAACCTACTTGGGAAAGGGCTTTCTTTACAAGTAAGGCAAGTTGTCATTACTGGTGGGGGAAAAAAATTGGTACTGCGAAACCAACTTATTTCCTACCACATGTGAGGTTTTGAATAATATCTGGGTGGCATATTTCTGCTGAAGAAAATAAGCCAGTTCAATGGTGTATCTATTAAATAAAAATAGTGCTAATAGTTTATCAGAGTTATCACCACAGACGTGCCTAGCCACCCTGAGCCTATGTGGCCAATGTCAGTAATTCCACTCTGGACACAAACACTGTTGGCTTTGGATGGAAGTGCCGGACACTCACAGCACTCCGAGGACATACTGTTTTCTAGCCTTATTTATGTTCTCTCTTCACCCTTCAGCCTAAAAAATTACCACAGTGCCACTTACCTACCTTAATGGGAATCTGCACAAAAGGCCATTTCTCCAGTTTCTCTCAAAAGCAAAGGAAAACTTCCCAATATTAATATGTAGCAAAAAGAGGGAGAAGAAAAAGCCTGTTTGGTCCGCCCTCCTGGCTGTTGCTACCTTGCAGCTTATGACATACACATAGAGGGAGGTCTGATGAAATGAACGAGACAGTCAGAGAGCTACTCCATTCCCGTGGAAACCAGGAGTCCCTTGGTGCAGACAGCTCTTCCTACTTTCCCATGCAGTTCTTTTGTGCGACTTTGAGGGGCTCGTGAATGATTTCTAAATGTGTGCCTGCTGAGGCGAGCCGCACAGGGAGGGAGGAACCCAGCCGAGCCGTGCCAGAGGAAGCCAACAGGATCCTAGCAGTGCGGGAGCTGGCTCAGCTCTTGCATGCAGTTTTTGAAGTCAGCAAAACAGAAACCAAATTACTATCATATTATGCTGGTGGAAGATCAAGAAGAGGGGACTCTACACCAGTTTAATTACTGTGAGAGATGCAGCGAGTCACAGAATAACAAATGTATCTCATGTGTGGACCCTGAAGACAAATGTAAGTTCTCATGCCGCTATATTTTATTGCTGTGTAATTTTCTTTCCGGTTTGAAATCATGCTTGGCCAACATGTAATCATTTCAATGAGAATTTCCAGGGAGGAAAGTTGTCTGCTAATCTTTACTTAAGACTTTTTTGTTTTCCTTTTATTAGCTAAGCAACATTATAGGAGCTGAAATTCCTGACAGCAGCTGTGGCAATTCAGCTTAAGAATGGCTGAGAACTGTAACCCAAAGTACATCCAATTACTATGGGATTAACACTGGATGTATTTTTAATTGACTTTCTTAATGTAGAATGTGTACATCCCCACTGTTTCTGATTGCATGCTATTTTAATAATACTGTTGCTAAACTAGTACCATCGGCATAACCAACAAAATGAGATATAGTTAAACAAGAGTCCCAGTAGTTATAAAACTTTTCTTCTTTGTCCAGGACATTTATCTTCCCGAGCGCTCAAAAAAAACCCTGCAACCTCTATGCTAAAAGTTCATTCTGCTTTTTTGTCCTCGGTTTGGTGAGAAAATAATAAAACCAAACAGTGGACTCTCCTAAAATTGTGAATGAAGAAAACTTACAGCCACCACAGTTCAGTTCTTTAACTATCATTGTAATAATGGAAGACAAAAATCCAGCCCCGGGAGAACAGCATGTACACCAGCCTCAGTGTTACAGAGTGTGGGTACATCAAGGTGAATGGTGAGCAGAAACTATAACCTGTTAGTCCTTCTACACCTCATCTGCTACAAGTTCTGGCTTAGACATGGATATTCTTTGTGAAGAAAATACTTCTTTGAGCTCAACTACGAACTCCCTAATGCAATTAAATGATGACACCAGGCTCTACAGTAATGACTTTAACTCCGGAGAAGCTAACACTTCTGATGCATTTAACTGGACAGTCGACTCTGAAAATCGAACCAACCTTTCCTGTGAAGGGTGCCTCTCACCGTCGTGTCTCTCCTTACTTCATCTCCAGGAAAAAAACTGGTCTGCTTTACTGACAGCCGTAGTGATTATTCTAACTATTGCTGGAAACATACTCGTCATCATGGCAGTGTCCCTAGAGAAAAAGCTGCAGAATGCCACCAACTATTTCCTGATGTCACTTGCCATAGCTGATATGCTGCTGGGTTTCCTTGTCATGCCCGTGTCCATGTTAACCATCCTGTATGGTGAGTGGCATTAGTTTCCCAGCTATATTCGCACTGGTAATAAAGAGCATGTGCATGCCACCAGCAGATGAGATGGGGCTCAGGGGGCAAACAAACTATAAATAGAAGTCTTTGTTTATAGACTAGAGCCTACTATGTTACTTATATTTTACTCTTAAAATGGGATTTCACATAAAAATCAGACAGTCTATGACCTGTGATCACTGGAGAGTTTTGTGCTTCAAAACGCGTACATCCTGTGTAAAAATGATCATTGGAGAGTTTTGTGCTTCAAAACATGTACATTTAATGTAGAAATTTTTATAAATTACCCCATACAGTCATAAACCAATAACTTACCCATCATTCTGAATCTACTTGATTTTTGCTTCTTTATATTCCCAACCAATATTCCAGCCTTCAGGACAGAACAGTTTTAATCTTTGTCACACAGTTTTCAGCACTTTTAATGGAGTGATAAAGCCTTCCCAATTACTTTGGAACATTTGCAGAGAGAACATTAGTGGTGCAATAGGTTTTATGTTAAAATATGCAGAACCTCAATTAGAATAAATGAATTACTCCAGTTTTAATTGTTCCCTGCCCAGAGAAGCTAATTTGGAAATGTGCCTTTGAATTATATCCTCAACTCTTTGAAAATGCATATGCATAAACTCCTCCAGTCTGGTTTGGAGGAGGGTGGGAAACAAATGGGAAGGGATTAATCTTGCTTTCTTCTCAACAGAGTTTGAAACAGTCAGACCTCTCAGCAAGGGACCAGAATGTGATATTCTTTCCAAATTATGAGTAATACAGCCAGATACCTCCTTAAAGGAGAGACTATTGTGACTGCTGACACAGGCACAAGCAGCAGTCACTCAGAGCTTAGAGACAGGTTATGATAGCTATCTTTAAAGGGAAATTTTCTGGTCAAGTCTTAGGGGCTAAGATTAAAAAACATCAACCCAGCCCTAGAGAATGTGAAGGAGGAAGGCGGTACGCAAGGGCGAGCAGGCGCCAGTTTGCACAAAGCTAGTAACACTCATTCCAAGTCCAGCCTTCACTTGACCATTTAAATGCCACACCGGAATGATTTCATTTAATTTGCCTGCCCTTTCCCCGGCATCCCGGGGAAGATTCTCGCTTCCCAAACCCCCTCCCCTAGGGGGCAAACTCCAGTGGGGGTAGGAGGAGTGACAGAGCGGGACCCAAAACAGAGGCTGGAGGGTGGGGTGACCCCCGGCGTCACCCGCTTGGGGAGCAAGGGCGCCCCCTGGCGGCCGCCGCTCTGAGAGCAGCCCGTTCCCTCCGGAGCCCCGCCCCTCCCTAGGCTGCTCCTCCAGCCTCCCCCAGCCCACGGGGCGTGGGGCATGGGGCTTCTCCCACAAGGAAATGCCCCCTCCTTATCCCGCATCAGAAACACGGACTGAGGCCTGGGCCGCCTCCTGGCAGAGAAACCCCTCCGAGGGCCGACATCTGTTCCGAACAGACAGAGCGTGGCTTCCCCCATAAGGCGCTGCAAAGGAAAAGGCTTTCCTTTCGGCTCAAGCTCTTTGCAAATAATACATGTGAATGGCTGTAAATTAGGCTTGTACCTACGCCCTTTACTTGTCTAAATATCCCTTGTGGCATTTTGGTAGAGAGTGTACGTTTGCGTTGGAGTTTGTTCGGCTTTGTGGGTCTGTAATAAGAAAAGTGGACTTTAAAATTTTCCTTCTTACATGCAGGCAGATCTAACTCCGCTGCTTATACTGTGATCAAAACTAATTAAGGTTTACATAACTGCTTAATCCCCCTCCAAAACACAAAACCAGGACACTTTGTTTATGTCCATAAAGCACACTCTAACCTTCCTCATATAGCAGGTGACCTGCAGTATCTCTTACATTGGAATTGTCTGGGGAGCTTGGAAAAAGCTTTGCAAACGCTTTGACATTTGATGTCCACCTCAGCCCACCCTCCAAACATGATTTAATTGGGCTGGGTTTGGCATGGGCATCAGGACCTTCTCTAAAGCTCTCCAGCTGATACTGATGTGCAGCCAGGGGTGAGAGCCACTACCCTAAAGCAGCTATTCACAAAGCGTGGTCCCTGGACCAGCAGCATCAGCATCACCCGGGAGCTTGCTAATTCAGATGCAAATTCTACAGCCTGCTCCCTACTAACTGCATCAGAACCTCTGGACGGAGGTCCAGCAGTGTGTGTTTTAAGAGGTGTGGCAGAGTCTGATGCTCACTAAAGTTTGAGAAATGCCTCCCTAAAACAAAGCTCAGAGCAAGGACACCTTTCTTTATTTTTCTTCACCCTTGTCTTCAGCTCTCCCTACACATACCCCAAATTTGAGTTTGGCACCCAAAGCATTATTAGATCATTATTTTTCATTTTTACAAACAGACATATTCACAATCTGAATTTTTAGTCATTTAGTCATTTGCACTAATGCAATTTATTGCCATCACTGTATGGGACTGGATGGTTATAATAATGACTAAGAGGTGAGACTAACCTTAGGGAAATACAATCCAGAGAAATATGTGACTAAATCCTGACAGTACAGTGTGAGAGGTGCTCCAGAAGAGGAGCCAAAACACAAATTTTGACATAAGCCATTAACAAAAGAAATGTTTTGCCAGGCGTAAGGGGGAAGAAAGAGAACCCCCAAATAGAGACCATCCAAGCTTACCGTGCCACACTCACATAACTCCAGACACTAGAAATTTTCAAACCCTGCATTCATCAGCCAGTGCTAGCTTATCATAGTTAAGTACAGTTGCCAGTGGGCTTTTTTCAAATACTAAAAATATATTGTGTTGCCCTTTGCCACCACCTGTGCCTGTCCCAGAGCTGGAAATTGTCATAGGATAGGGATACATGTGCTCCAGGAGGCACAGGGTTGCTCACTGACACCAACCTTCTGCCTCATAGGGTACCGGTGGCCTCTGCCGAGCAAGCTTTGTGCAGTCTGGATTTACCTGGACGTGCTCTTCTCCACGGCCTCCATCATGCACCTCTGCGCCATCTCGCTGGACCGCTACGTCGCCATCCAGAATCCCATCCACCACAGCCGCTTCAACTCCAGAACTAAGGCATTTCTGAAAATCATTGCTGTTTGGACCATATCAGTAGGTAAGTGGCAACATATTTCAGAGTCTCATTTGAAATGACAGTTCGTGCTTTCTGAAAAGACTTGTTCCATTTTGTTGTACTGAAACCTGACATCCTCAATCTACTGTTTTGGGTGGTGCAAGATATGTTACAACATCATAATTATCAGATTCGCTTCAGGAAAGAAAAATCTGTTTATGTCACTGGCTGACAACATGAATTTGTATTGCTTTGCACAGGCAAAACTATAAACAGTAGAGCCAAAAAGTCAGAAATAACTGTGCTGTTTTCCCTATTTCTTACTTTCAAGTCCACGACTCTAATTCTTGGGTTTCCCAAAGACCTCAACTTTTATAATCACTGAACTTATGATCAACGTAAGGATGCAGACCACTTTGCTAGAGAACATAAAGCCTCTGGGCTCTAGAGAAAGGTACCATGTGCTGTAGCTTGGAGGGAAAAGGTGGGCCAGAGGAAAGTGCCAGGATTTGCTTTGGGGCAAGGCTGCTTTTCAGTCCGACCCAGTGTCCCTATTGACCTTCCTCCTTTTATGATACCACACACCAAAGGATTTCAACTTGCTTCTGTTAGGTTGATTACATATATTCATCTCTCGCCAGTATTGATCTTCTGTCACACACCTAATAGTCAGAAAAGCCCAGGTAATGGAAGCTAAGGGGGCGGGTCTCAGGCAGTGAAGTGAATTGTACCTGTCAACCTCAGCAGCTTGGTTGGTAACCAAAGATTCTCTGACATTCATTTTAAAATCCAAAAGCTTAGCAGGCAGGAGTGTTGCACCTGTTTATGGCCACGCCAGTGCCAGCATCCGCTAATATGAGAGACTATGAGATTCCACCGCTTGAAATCAAGGGCTTGAGTGAGCTTATCCACAGCATTGGAATAATAGTACCAATAATAAGAGCCAACACAATAATACTATATCTTGTGTATTTTAGTTCCCATTGTTTTCTTTGCTGCTAGCAATGGGAACTATTATGCAATTTGAAGAGTAAGTAGCTCCATCTTATAGATGAGGAAAAACTGGGATTCAAAAAGCAAAATGAGCTGTGCAAAGCCCCACAGCCAGTAAGTAGCACAACAAGGATTTTATTGAATTCTGATGGGAACATCTGATGGAAACACTAACAAATCACACTTGTGTCACTTTCAAATGTTTAAAAAGTCTTACCTACTTCCTATTTTAAATTTCCCATTACCGTTTGAGATAGAAGATTCTATGGTGCTTATTTGATAAATGAGGAAACCAGAATACAGAGGTATTGTGGCTTACTGGATCATGTCTCCAACTTGCAGCAGGACTAGGACTCTAAACTTCCAGCACCATGCCCTGTTCTTTCTGTACCTTCCTTAGGAAACAGTTTTTGCTCCTAGAAAATGCTTGTAGTTTCTGGGACTGTGCAAGTTGGACTCATTCTACTAAGAGCAAGAAAGTGAAGGGCCAGTAACCACTCAATCCCAATTACACATAAAATGCCCCTGGGAACATTCTGATTTAATTGCCTAGGGTGAGGCCAGGTGATTCTAAGGGGCAGTCAGAGTTGAAGACCACTGAGACAGGTTTTCAGGGTGGTCAGCGTGATAAGTAGGAGAATCAAGATTAATGCAGAGGGAGCAAATGAAGCTATTTATTTTTACCCTGATACACTGTCCATAGTTTTACCCCAATATACTGTGCCATTGGTGAGACAAATGCTGGGAAGGTCAACCATCTTTTCCTCAGCCACACTGACTCCCCCATCTCATTCAGGCTTCATGATAACACCAGTAGTAAGGTAACAGTTTCTGAGCACTGAGTACGGACCCAGTAGTATACAAAGCCCCTTAAAGAAAATCAGCTTCAGAGAACTCAGTTGCACAGGATGATATCACTTATAATCAGGAGTCAATATGGGTCAATCTGAGTCCAAAGCCCATGCTCTTTCCACTGCACAAAAGATAGCCAGAAAGAGCCAGAGGCAGACTATCACCACAGGAGGCAGGCAGGCTGGAATGATTGTGGTGGTGCCAGGCAGGGATCATTCATCCATCCACTTGGCCAGTCTTTTTGAGATGAAGTTTCGCTCTTGTTGCCCAGGCTGGAGTGCAATGGTGCTATCTTGGCTCACCGCAACCTCCGCCTCCCGCATTCAAGCTATTCTCCTGCCTCAGCCTCCTGAGTAGCTGGGATTACAGGCATGTGCCACCACGCCCGGCTAATTTTGCATTTTTAGTAGAGACAAGGTTTCTCCATGTTGGTCAGGCTAGTCTCGAACTCCCGACCTCAGGTGATCCCCCTACCTTGGCCTCCCAAAGTGCTGGGATTACAGTCATGAGCCACTGCCCCCACATTTGACCAGTCTTGTAATGTGCATCTACTATGTGTTTGGCACTGTATAGACCAAGATGAAAAAGATATGCATTCAAAGATCTCTCACAGTAAGGTAGGAGAAGACAAGGAAACAAAAGAATAAAAAAAAGTTACATAGAATCTATACTAGAAGTCTGAGGTGTGTGCCCTGAGGAGGGGGCAAGCGGAAAATGTAAAAAGGAAAAAGGCAGATCTAATGAAGGACCTACAGAGACTCAGCACAAATATTCTCTTGAGTTTTCTTCTAGTGTTTCTGTTTTGATTATTTTGCTTTGGGTTTAGTTTTTTGTTTGCTTTGTGTGTGGTTTCTTTTAATTTAGATCCTTAGTCTAGCTGGAATTTTAAAATATGATCTAACTTGTTTGCTTCTACTAGTAACTAAAGCTTTTTTTAGACTCAATTGATATTTTCTCTTCAAGCTATTGATATGTTCACTCTCTTGGTAAATTTCTAAATGTAATACTGTCTTACATTCCTGGAATATTGAGTTTGTATGACAAAGTTGGTTGGTTTATGATTCTTACAAGTTTTCTTTTTCTAGCTTTATTAAATGATAGAGAAGTTTCCACTTTCCCTAAGTCTTGAAGTCTTTAAGTAGAAATTACATGTTTTTGAGAGGTTATGTAGAACTTGGTTCCAAATCTCTTCATCCTGGCTCCTTTTTAAATAGTATTTTAAGTTACATTTCTAACTTCTATAGTTATTGCATTTACATTTTCTATACCTTCATGGGTTATTAGCTGCATACAAATTTTAACCTTTACATTGATTCTTTTATCATTAACTGTCCCACTTTATATCTAGTGATGCTTCTTGATTTAAAATCTATTTGATCTTAGTATAGCTACGTTAATTTTCTTTTGATTATCATTTTTGGATATATCTTATTTCATCCTGTTACTTTCAAACCTTTTGTGACTTTAAAGTGTTAGCCTGTAAGCAGCATATAAAGTTTTGTTTTTAACCCCATCTTTGTCTTTTAGTTGGAGTATTTAGTCCTTTTACATATAATGTTAACTCATATTTGGGTTTAAATCTGTTATCTTACAATTTGCTATTTTCTTATTTGTTCTATATTCTAGTTTCTTTTCATTCTTACCTTCTTTTGGACTAATCAAGAATTGTCAATTCATCATTCCCCTTTATGAGCTTGTTATCCATTGTTTTAAATTACTTCAATGATTACAACATTCCTTATTGACCTTAGAGTCTAAAACAAATTATTACTTGTAACACTTCTCGGATAGTGCAAAAACTTTAGAACCTTTTAGCTCCATCTATCCCTGTTGTCTTTTGGGTTTTTCCCTATTTACTAAATGTCTTTTTTAAACCCATAAGACATCATTATAGCCATTCTATTCACTATTTCTCACATATTAACCCCTGTTGCTGTTTATTGCTTTCTTCATTTTCATGATTTTGCCTGGGTTCCTCATTCCTGAAGAATTTCCTCTAGAATATCATGTCGTTTGTTCTGTTTTTCTTATCCTAAGCATCTTTATTTTGCTTTCATTTCAAACACATTTTTGTTCAGTATAGAATTCTAGGTTGACAGTCATCTTTTTTTTTTTTCAGCACTTCATAGGTGGCAAATCCAACATTCCAGGCTTATATTTTTTGTTTGTAAGAATCCAGCTGTCAGTCTTATTTTTATTCCTTCAGAAACATCACCTTGTGCCACGCCCTGCTGCTTCAGAATGTTTTGTCTCTATTTTAGCAACTTTATCATGATGTACTTAGTTGTGAATTAGTTTCTGTTTTTATCCTGCATGGTGTATGTACTGATTCTTAAACTTGTGACTTTGGCCACTTTGACAAAACTCTTGGTCACCATCTTTTCAAATATTGCTTCTGCCCCATTCTCTCTCTTCCTCATGTCTGGGACTCCAATCTCATGTATGCTAAACCTTTTACCTAAGTTCTTTATAACTCAAGCACTTCTACATTTTTTTTTTTGCTTTGTTCTTCAACTTTTAAGTTCAGGGGTACATGTGCAGGATGTGCAGGTTTGTTACATGGGTAAACGTGTGCCATGGTGGTTTGCTGCACAGATCATCCCATTACCCAGGTATTAAGCCCAGCATCCATTAGTTATTCTTCCTGATGCTCTCCCTCCCACCTCCCCCCACCAACAGGCCCCAGTGTGTGTTGATCCCCACCATGTGTCCACGTGTTCTCACGATTCAGCTCCCACATATTAGTGAGAACATGCAGTGTTAAACACTTCTACATTTTGTACATTTTTCTCCTTTTATTTCTTGAGATAGCTTTACTGACTTTTCTTCTTCTGTTACTAGTCCTCTCATCAGCTACTTCTAATCTGCCTAAGACCCATCTCTTGTTTTCTTAATTTTAATTCCTACACTTTTAGTTCTAGATTTTTTCATTTAATTCTTTATAAATTCCAGGTTTTTAGAATAATTCTCCATGTTTTCATCTATTTTCTTAAATATTAATCACAAGTTATCTGGATCTCTCTTTTCTGGGTTGTGGGATTACCTAGGGATTTCTCTTTTCTGAGTTTTGGGGTTGTTTTTCTCTTCATTCTGTCTGTTGATATGTCTGGTAATTTTTTTAATTGAGTACTGTGTATGCCTGATAATTTTTTTTTTTTTTTTTTGAGACAGAGTCTCACTCTGTCGCCCCCGCTGGAGTGCAGTGGCGCGATCTCGGCTCACTGCAAGCTCCACCTCCTGGGTTCACGCCATTCTCCTGCCTCAGCCTCCCAAGTAGCTGGGACTACAGGCGCCCGCCACCACACCCGGCTAAATTTTTTTTTGTATTTTTAGTAGAGATGGGGTTTCACCATGTTAGCCAGGATGGTCTCGATCTACTGACCTCATGATCCGCCCGCCTCGGCATCCCAAAGTGCCGGGATTACAGGCATGAGCCACTGCGCCTGGCCGCCTGGTAATTCTTTTTAATTGAATACTGGACACTGAAATAAAATGTTTGGGTGTTTTGTTGATACTGCCTTTCTCCAGAGTGGAGTCTTTTAGCATTAACAGCAGTTAAAGTAAGCACAGTTCCCCTTAATCCAATAAGGGATTGAGTTTATTTAAGGCAAGGTTCTTATAAAAGCCAGTCTATTTCTAGTTTGCCTTTATACCTAGGATGTATTTTTTCATGATCCCAGATGAAAGCCTGACGTGTTCTCCATTTTGAGGAGCTCTGAGCTTCAAGTTTCATATCCTCAACATCGTAAGACTACTGCTAACTCTCTTTAGCTATTCGGTCTCTCAATCTGTTCCTTTAACAAACTGGCAACTGCCTGAGTAGAAAGGTAGCTCATAGTATTACCTTGCTTTCTTGCTCTTCCCTTCACTCCAGAATCTTAACTTCTTAACATCCTGGCTACCTTGGTACCCTCTCACCAATTGCTTTTTCTCTCCCTGACCCCAAGGACAGGTTTGGGACCTTGAATTCTGCTTTATGTGGTACTAATATTACTCTATCTTTTTTGTTTGACTCTCCCCAGGCTATTTTCTCACCTTTTCATTTTTAATATGTTTTTGTAGCTTTGCTTTATGTGCATTTTCACAAGTAACATATGGATAGATTTATTTAACAAAATCTGTTAGTCTTTGCCTTTTTAATATTGAAATTTGACCTGCCCACATTTGTGACAATCAGCATCAGTTTTAGCCCTTCCATCTTATATTTATATTTTAATAGCTCATTTTTAAATGAACTATTTACTGACTTGCACAATATCTTAATTTCCTTCCTCCAACCCGGTTAGTTTGAATTGTTATGGGACTCTTCCATTGCTCTTATGATTACAGTCCCATTTCAAATCATCACGTTATTTCTATTAATATATCTAAAATAAATAATCTCATTAAGTTATTTCCTCATTACCCTGAGTCCCAATTCACAAGTTTTCCAATAATTTCTAAATAACCTAGTGGCAGAATAGATCTTTAAAAGCAAGTCAAAAAATGCAGATGCCATAAAGAAGAATATATACATAAACAGTTATATAAGTTTGATACGGCTAAAATCAGTGTAAGCAAAGTTAAACGAAAAATATTTGCAATGTATATGATTGGCAGACCAAGGGTTAATAACCTTAAAATACAAATAGCAACATATTTAAAAAGAGGAAAAGGAAACAATCTAACAGAGAGAATAAGCAAACTAAAATTTCAGGCAATTCACAGAAACATAACTTGAAATGGACAATAAAACTTATTTAACATGTTTAGCCTCTTAAACAGTCATGGCAATATAATCTAAAACAATGCAGTAACGTCTTTCACTTATCCAATTGGCAAAATGAAGTTAGTGAAGACAGCCAGTGCTGCCCTGAATATGGCACCACTTGCACTCTCTCAAAACCCTGCTTGTGGAAATGTGAATTATTTGTTCTTGGGCCATCTAGCAAAAGCTATTAAAACTTGACCTACCAATTCCACTTGAGAGAATCTATTCTATAGAAAAACAAAAGCACATGTAATGATTTTTAATGCAGCAATTTCTTCAGAAAGAAATGGAAAGGTTGGATTATGTTTAGATATGTCACTTTTCTCTAAATTGCAGAATATTTTGAAGATCTTAAAAATATTAAGTTGAGACTACAGTTGTTTCCATTATCCAGTTTCCCTTTCCATAGTTTTATTTACCCAGTTAACCACAGTCTGAAATTGTTAAATGGAAAATTCAAGAAATAGACAATTTGAAAGTTTTAAATCGCCCTCCATACCAAGTAGAGTGATAAACTCTCCCGCCATCCTGCCTCGTATTACCCAGAATGTGAATTATCCCTTTGTCCAGCATATCCACACTGCAGATGCTATCCACCTGTGAGTCACTTTGTAGCCATCTCAGTCATCTGATCAACTGCCATGGCATCATAGTGCTTGTAGTCCAGTCATCTTTATTTTACTCAATCATTTACTAATACTTTAATTCTTACTGCTGCTAATCTCTTACTGTGCTTTCTTTATAAATTAAGTTTTATCATAGGTACGCATATACAGGAAAAAAAAACAGTCTATATCAAGTTTAGTATCCTTGGTTTCAGGCATCTACTGGAGGTCTTGGAATGTATGGCCCTCAGACAAGGGGGGACCACTGTATTTGATATTTAAGTGAAGGAATGTTCATAATGTTAAATGCAAGAAGCAAGTTTTGGAGTGGTATGCATGGTGTGAGCTCATTCTGGTAAACTAATGATAATATAGTGATAATATGTGGAGATATATATATATATGTATACATACACACACAAATACACACACAAGTGCTGAGAATCTGTCAAAAGACTTCACACTTATCAAGATGATTAAATTAGAAAGAATGGCAGGATTGTCATCTTTTTCCTTAAGCATTTCTGTATAGTTTTGTCACAGTTTTGTTTTGTTCTGTTTTTATCTTGAGACAGAGTCTTGCTCTGTTGCCCAGGCTGGAGTGCAGTGGTGCAATCATGGCTCACTGCGAGCTCCGCCTCCCAGGTTCACGCCATTCTCCTGGCTCAGCCTCCTGAGTATCTGGGACTACAGGTATGCACCACCACTCCCAGCTAATTTTTTGTATTTTTAGTAGAGATGGGTTTTCACCGTGTTAGCCAGGATGGTCTTGATGTCCTGACCTCGTGATCCGCCCACCTTGGATTTGTTTAGATATCTCACTTTTCTCTAAATTGCAGAATATTTTGAAGATCTTAAAAATATTAAGTTGAGACTACAGTTGTTTCCATTTATCCACAGTTTCCCTTTCCATTGTTTTATTTATCCAGTTAACCACAGTCTGAAATTGTTAAATGGAAAATTCAAGAAGTAGACAATTTGAAAGTTTTAAATTGCCCTCCATACCAAGTAGAGGCCTTGGCCTCCCAAAGTGCTGGGATTACAGGCGTGAGCCACTTCACCCGGCCTGTCACAAATATTTTTATTCCAAAGTGTTTCAGATGATCCATAATGCAGCTGTTATAACTGCATCATGGGTCAAAGACAGCTTCTTGGATGAGGCGGCCAACTTTCAAAGTTAGCAAGGATCTGACACATTTTCACCTCGGTAACCACATCATAGATTAGTCAAGTTTTCCTGCACTCAGTACTCCTGAAATGTACTGCTGCTTTCCCCTTGCTCACCATTATCAGTGTGGTCACTTCACTGCTTGCGAAGGATTCCATCTAATTCTGAGGAAAAGGAACATAATTGCAAATCATTGTGTTTTCTGTGTGGGAGCTTCTGAGTAAAGCAGCAATGACAGGAGATTGAAGCATTGGATTAAGAATAATCCTGCGGGGTGGAGAGAGAGTGATCCTAGTATTCTCTATGGATTTCATTTTCCCTTTATAAACCTACTTCCCATGATCAGCAGTAACTGTGACTTCACCGCAACGTATAAAATGAGCAAACCCTTTCCTCAGGATGGTTTCTTTTCTCATGGACCCTTCATGATGTATCCTTTTTCCATCTGCCAATGCCATGAGAAGAGAAAATAGAAGCTACTTTATTTCCTGTCTTTAGCAAAGACATATCTCAGAAAAGGTGAAAATGACTATTCTCACATTGCCGTATTCTGACAGGCAACCAAAGATACCACTTTAAATTCCTTTTCCAGATGTTATTTCATTTCAGAAATATATTTGCAGTTTATGGGGTAATTTTGAAGTACCGTCAGTCTAAATAGATTTTTTTCCCTCAAGGATAAACATAATCATGTATTTTCTGCATTATTACTTTTGTAATGGGAGGAAAGGCAAGCTGGGTTACATTTATTTGGGGCCATTCCCCTCAAGCTGTGACACCTTACATAGAATCCTAACCTTCCTGGACCTAACCTCTTGCCTTCATGCAGCTCAAATAGCTGCCTTCCTAGACAGTGCAGATGTTTCAGGAAGCTTTGAAGGACAGAGAAAATGATAAAATCTCATTGTAGTTTTGTGTTGATTTAGTATATGGGGGTTTTAGCATCGCTTCATGTTATGTTTTTATTTTCTATAATTGGCTGCCCATGGTTTTTGCTGTAGGACTTGGTGAATATAAGCAAAATGTCTGGAGCCACACTATCTGGATTTGAATACTGGCTCTGTCCCTTCTAAGCTGTGTGACCTTGGGCAAGTTACTTCACCTCTCTGTGTCTCAGGTTCCTGGTGATAAAATGGAGATGGTAACAGAACCTACATTATGGTTTCTGTTTGCATGGTGGATCTCTCTTGGATTCTATTTCATATACTAATTAGCCATGTGAGAAAAGAAAATAGATGCTAATTTATTTTCTGTCTTTATGAGGTTAAAGATTGAGTAAATGTAATGTTTGTCATATAAGTGTTAATTAAGTTTTCAACATAATTTGAACTCTTGTCTTGGCTTTTTCCTAATTGGTAAATTAGGGGATTAAGCTCTTTGTGTTATCACATCTTACCTGTATATTCCCAGTTTGTTACTTGTCACTTGACATTACTTGTTTTTTTCCACATGGATTTATGGAGTCTCATTTATTAATGTTCCTTTCTCTTATGGCTTCTGAATTTTGAATCATTGCTACAAAAGCCTTTTCCACTATAAAGTTAAATGTTTCCTCCCATTACTTTTATGGTTTTGTTTTATAAATTTAAGTCTTTGGGCCATTTAGAAATTAACACGTGATCTAATTTTATCTTTTTCTGCATGGCAACCTATTGTCCCAGCATCATTTGTTTCCCCATAGACTTCATATACCACCTTTGCCATCTACTGCATTCCATGTGTATTTAGGTGTTTATTGACTGTTTCTACTGATCTGTCTAGTCGTTCACCACAACATACTTTTAATTAAGGATTTTTTTATTGTCTCTGATTTAGTACTTTCTCTTTTTTTTTTAACTTCCCTGACCATTTTCACTTGCTTGTGAGTTTCAAAACTCAGCCTCTAATTTCCCAAAAACTACTATACTTGGAATTGCATGTAACTTCATGTATCTACTTTCTAGACCTTTTGACTGGCATACTTTTTGCACTTTTTTTGGTCTTATTTTTTACTTCTTTTTTTATGAGCAACCTCAAATTCTATATGGAATGAAGTGAATGTATACAAGCAAATGTAACTACATAAAATCTAAGCACTTAGGTTGAAAAAATAGCATGCTCATTTAGGTCCAAGAGGAATGACAGCAAAATATATTTTCCTATGATACCGTATCTTCTGGAAAAAAAATGCTTGAAAAAATAAATCAACTGAGTAAACCAGACTCAAAACCAGATGGTGTTCTGTCAGCCTTTACACTGGAGGACATTCCCAGCCCCACAGCCTGAAACAAACTATCTGAGGAATCCACTTGAGATTGTCTCTCCTGGGACCCTCCAGGTTTATGCCCAACTCCTTTATACGGCTATTAGTCAGCCTAAGAAGTACATGTCAGAGACTATTCAGGCAACCAGGACAGAAAGGGCTTTGGGTTACCTGTCCTCACTTCCACTTCTGGGAGATCATATGGTAAGTTAGCATCTACCAGAATACAAACGGAAACTTGAATTAGTCCAAGTCTCCTTTGGTTTCTCTATCTTTTCACTTTCTCTCCTAGGGGGAAGAAGTGAAATTGCCTCCATTTGTTGTATCTTTATTTTTGTTCCTGCCATACTTCATTTCCCTCCCCAGAGGTCCAGAGAGAGATCCAGGCACTGCCCCAGCCTGCAGCTGAGTGGCTTGGCATCCAGGAACAGAGATGTTCATAGCCATGTTGAGAGAAAGTGCTACTGTCTCTAGAGTATGGCAGTGCTGGAGAGCTGTCAAGTGTCAAGTGGCCATCTATGCTTGTCACTACCCTGAAACAAAGGATCCGCAGGGCCACCACTTGGCCCACCCCTTCTCTTGTCCCTGAGTGCAGTGACCCTTCCCCTCCTCTGCCCACAGATGCAAGAGAATTTAGGGACATCTCCTTGCCTGGCCAGTTGTCTCATACTTAGAAGCACAATACGGTAAAATATCACGAAAACCTCTGCTCTTGAAAGACATGTCCTCGGTTGTCCTTCGGGACATTAACCCATGGATAAGAAGTCATTTAATGACCCAGGCAGCTGAGAGCCTGCCAGAGTGGCAGCTGACTTCTCTCTGCATGGCAGACTTCAGCCTCATCTTTGGGAAAACATGCTCAATAAAACAGCACTTAGCACAGCATAGATGATCCATGGCCACTGGAAACTGGTGAGAATAATTAAGAAACGATCAGGTCATAAGAAAGAAAGAGGTGCCTTCTTTTTTTTTCTTTTTTATTTGAGACAGAGTCTCCCTCTGTCACCCAGGCTGGAGTGCAGTGGCACCATTTTGGCTCACCGCAACCTCTGCCTCCCAGGATCAAGTGATTCTCCTGCCTCAGCCTCCTGAGTAGCTGGGATTACAGGTGCCCGCCACCACACCCAGCTAATTTTTCTATTTTTATTGGAGACGGGGTTTCACCATGTTAGTCAGGCTAGTCTCGATCTCCTGACCTCAGGAGATCCGCCTGCCTCGGCCTCCCAAAGTGCAGGGATTATAGGTGTGAGCCACCATGCCCGGTCAGAAGTGCTTCATTTTTTGTTAGTCTGTTGATTTGGCCTGGCTTATGGACTATGAATTTCTTTATTCTTTTGCTAAATATTCTTTCTAAGAAGAAGAGAAGGGACAGGGTACTTGTGTTGCTTCTGGCTATTTAAAGCAGAGGAATAACATCTGCATGCTGCCCCTTCATGCCCACCCTCTGCCCTTGGGCTGCGTCAGGATCCTGTATGCTCTTGAGGCTTCCACTCTCTCCAGATCAGTCTTTTCTGGGCTAAGAGATAGGAATCGTCACCATGCAAGGAGCTAAGGTGGATCTTCTGATCAGTTTATTGTCACCAGCATCCTCTGTGTCCTAGTATCCTACTCCTTCATTGGCCTAACCAAAACCCAACCTGGATGGCTCTGACAAACCAGCCTTTACAGTTGCTACACTCAAGTAACTCAGACCTGCTGGAGAAAATTTTACTCTGCGAATTGGGCACACCACCTATCTGTGGTTTTTAACCTCAGCTAGATCCTCTTGTTCATTGCTATCAGTCCTTTAATTTGTTCTTGGATTTTTTTTTGTTTTTGATACAGGGTCTCACTCTGTCACCTAGGCTGGAGTGCAGGGGTGTGATCATGGCTCACTGCAGCCTCAGCCTCCCATGCTCAAGCGATCCTCCCACCTCAGCCTTCTGAGTAGCTGGGAATATAGGTGCATGTCACCACACCTGGCTAATTTTTGTATTTTTTGTAAAGATGGGCTTTCAATGTGTTGCCCAGGCTGATCTTGAACTCCTGGCTCAAGCAATCTTCCCACTTCAGCCTTTCAAAGTGTTGGGATAACAGGCATGAGCCACTGTGCCAGGTAGTGGATTTTTTCAGATTTTTCTGTTTAGGTCCTTTTTACAGCCTTTGATTGCCACTGTCTAAGGCAGATAATCATGTCCCATTCTTCCCCAAGAAAAGACCATCATGCACAATTGTTTTTTTCTACTCCCATCTTCCAATTGTACCCCTGATCTTCTGTACTTCCTGTCTCTACCTCCTGTCCTTCCCAAGAATTTGATTTCTCTCCATCTCTCTCCAACTTATGTTAATTTCCCCAAGATTTTACCCTTGCTTTTTCTATTTTGTCACCTTTCATTCATGTCGCAAAGCAACATTGGCTGCAGCCTCCTTCCCTTTTATTGTTCTTGTCAAGGTCACCAAGCCCTTCTGCATTTCCAGTTGAATCCGAAAGACTATTTCTATTTCAACAATTCATTCAGGTAATACACAAATACATTCTCAACATGAAAGAAACAGCTCAGGACTATAGAGAATACAAAGTGAAGTTATCCTTCATCCCTCTCTGCCTCTCTGGATCAGCAGCCACAGCTCTTGTGTTAACCTTGAACTGTGCTGTTCCTCCCCAATACAGAGCATAGGCAGGAGAGGAGCACTGCCAAGCAAAGCTCCCTCAGATTTCAGCCCTTGGAGAATGCCCCTTAATTCCCATCCATGTGTATATCCTTTTATCCTGCATTTCATGCAGTTTCCTCAAAACCCTGCTGACATTTGCTGCAGTTTCTTATATTTGTTTTTGTCCTTTCTTCAAGTTCTGTTTCCCTCTAAACCAGATCCCATCTGCTGTCTTCCAGAAATTCTTCCATCATTTAAAAAACACTAATAAAATGACATTTTCTTTTCAGTAATTCTGATTTTTTTCTTCTAATTCTTTTGTATCATTAAATAGAATTTTAGGGGTGAGGCAGTATAAACTTGTGCTCAGATACTATCTTGATCCACAAAAACAGAATCATATGTGTATACATACACATATATGCACATACTCATCTAGTGTTACTCTTTAATGCAATTGTTTGATTCTGTGGACTGATTTCTTCACATCTGTCTTCTTCCTCAGCTCCTTCCCACTCCCTAGATCTTCTTCCTCTGTGGCTTTTGCAGACTCCTTTTCTCCTCTTCCTTAAATGGTAATATTCTCCAGAGACCCATTCTCTACCTTCTCATTTTTTATTCTTGCTTCTGCTGGGTCCTTTTCTTTTCGTGGGTTCAGCTATTAGAACACTGACAAACTGCTTAATAATCCACATCCCAGCATGAAGTGCTTCCCAGGGCTTCAACCCCCGGCATCCAAGTACCCTGTGGCTGCTTATAGCCAGAAGTCCCCCACACTTCTCAGGTGAAAAGCTCTACTCATTGTCTACCTGTTTCTCCTGAAGGCTGTCTTAGCATCTGCCATCAACATCTACTCAGCCCATTAGACTCACAGAATTCCTCTCCTCCTCCTAAGCTCCACATGCAAGCAGTTGAGTGGTTCTTTTGTTTTTACTTGCTCACTGTTTCCTAGATCAGTTTTCTCCTCCCAGTCAGCCCTCATCATCTCTCTCTGGTGCTAATGCAAACATTTCCCTGTCCACAGGGTTGTTGCTCTCATTCTCTACCTTGCCACTGAAGTGAGCCATATGAAACAGGTTTAACTAAATTGCTCTCCTGACTGAAACTCTTGAGTGTCTCTCTTGCCCCATAAAGTACGGATCCTTAAATGAAAGGCATAAAGTCCCCATAAATATGGACCTGGTCCATACCTCTATTTCATCTCTTACTGTATATTGCCTCATCTTTTATTCTCCAGCTGCAATAAATTTCCCATCATTCTCATGTCATTTCACTCCCACACTTTCATTTTTTAATCTTCTGCTTGAAAAGCCTTCTCATCCTCTTGCCTAGCTGCCTTCTACTTTTCTACTTTCCTATGATTTTGGCATCACCTCTTCCAGGAAGCCTTCACATTTCCCCTTCCCTCTATAAATGAGGTACTTGCCCTGCTTTGATTCTTCCAAAACCCCTCCATATCTCTATATTTTCACATATTCGATTATAATCATTAGTTTATTCCCCTACTAGGTCACAAATTTTCAGAGTGCAAGGAATGGAAAGCAAAGCAGAAAATGTACTTCATCTTGAGTACAAACTATGTAATAGAAAATGCCTATCCAGGTACACCTGCATATAAAAATTAATTTCTGGAGTCTGACTCTGCAAGCACTTTGAAAAAAATTTGTTTCCTTGTGCCCTTGGTTTCAAAAGTTTTAGATTGCTTTCCCCATATAGTACTTTAAATGAAAGCCTAACCTTTATATAAGAATAAACTACTTTTGTTTGTCTACTTAATATCACTGTGTTGTAATTATGAAGGCCTAGTTAGTAAGGTCTGCTTAAAAAAAGAGCTGTTGAGCTGTTGAGCTGTTGATTTATTTTGAATTTCTCCCCAATCAAGTTGGTGAGCTTTCGTTTCAGATTTTGAGATTTCTTTGGAAAGCGTGCAAGAATCGTTCTCATCTAAGCCGAGTTCTGCCGTATTGGAATACACATATCATCTCAGGGCAGTTTTTTTGTTCTTTAAATTGGATGCTTTTGGAAAATATATATAAGAAAGGGTACAGTATAGCTTCTAGAGGCCTCATGGGTCTCATCATAACAGCTACTCATTAGTGGAGTCCCCACATTCCACAGTCTAGGCATCAACTTGTAAGTTTAGATATACTATGTTTTCCCCTTCATCCAGAGATGATTGCACTCTGGGAAGTTGGCTTATATGACTCAAATTCCAATAAGCTCACTTATTTAAAATGAATGTAATAGGAACCCATTTTCCTGGATCCATTCACCTGCAGGGACACACCTTCCTGATAAGAGAATCTTCTCAGCTGGTCATATTAAATGGCAATGCAAAGTTAGTAAGGGTCCACAGTGGATAAGGGACTATACAAGCATGTGGGGGACACAGTGAGGATTCAGTGAACATAAAGCATCTAGCAAAAGAGTTTGACAGATATATTCTCACGAACTTTTGTTAAAAATATGAATCAAGGACAGGCACGGTGGCTCACGCCTGTAATCCCAGCACTTTGGGAGGCCGAGGCGGATGGATCACAAGGTCAGGAGATCGAGACCATCCTGGCTAACACAGTGAAACCCAGTCTCTACTAAAAATAAAAAAAAAAGAAAATTAGTAGGGCGTGGTGGCAGGCGCTTGTAGTCCCAGCTACTCAGGAGGCTGAGGCAGAAGAATGGCGTGAACCCGGGAGGCGGAGCTTGCAGTGAGCTGAGATTGCGCCACTGCACTCCAGCCTGTGCGACAGAGCAAGACTCTGTCTCAAAAAAAAAAAAAAAAAAAAAAATATATATATATATATATATGAATCAAAATACAAGCACACAGCAAATGCCTTACAATTGAATGAAGAAACTGCTAATTCTGAGAAAGCAGAATCTGCCATTATAAAAAAAATGCAGAGAACTCTGGCAAAAATTGGGGATCAGAGATGGTTGTGTCAAGAGGGAGATGCTTGAGTTGAACCTTGAAGGATGGGCAGAATTTCAACAGTAGAAATGGAGAATAGGCCAGAACTTTCAAAGAAGATAGAATAATATGGAAGAAAGATGTTATGATATGGCTCGATAAGCAACAGATTGAGATATATGAACTAAGATGTTCTTTAAAGGATATTTTTATAACTCTATAACATTGATGAATCACCATTTTCCACTGTAGGGATATTTGTGATTAGATAAGCAAGATCAGTTTTCTAAAATCAGAATGTCTTCTCCCCTGGAAAGAATGCTGAAGACTTTTTAGCTGTTGAACTCATCTTTTTCAGTATCTCTTGTCAATCATCAAAATTGTCTGTTATAACATATATTACTATTACAGTTCCAAAATTAGCACCTGCTTTCTCTAGTTGTGCTGTGGGTATTTGTTTTGGATTACTTTTGGAGAGCCACTTTGGAGTCCTGGATGAACAGGGAGCTATGTTTTTAATCGGAAACATTTTCAAAACCTTTCTTCTGAAGAGTCACTTCTAGGAAGATTTCTGTAGGTGAACATTTTCATCCATTTTATGATGATCCTCCTTGGCTCTCATTTCATAAGGCAGCATTTTTCTGACCTTTCCTCACACTCTAGGGCCCTGTTTAAGGGTCTATAATAGCTTTTGTTTTAACCAGGAGGAGCTGAGAAACATGAAGTATGGTGGCACTTTAAAAAGTGATGTCTTCAAAGTCAATTATCTACTGTCTTTTAAAATTAATTTTAATTATTAATAACTGATTTCATGAGTTAGAACCATTAGCTATGGTGAGATGTAAAGATGAACAAAACCTTTTTGCTCAATTTATATTAGCCTGTGTCAATAAGAACCTTTAGGGTAACAATCATGAATGCTTGCCATTCTCCACTTTTTAAAAGGTCTTTAAAAATGGGAATTGATTTTTCTCCTACCATTCCCTATTTTATGTGGGGGTAGATTCATGATTCCTTTTCACATTTGAAAGTTTTTAAAATCCCAGATGAACAACTATAAAGGTTTACATGACTGACTACATTTGTAGGCTATATTCCCATAATTAATACATTGTGCAATTAATTCCCACTCGACATATTATTCAAGGAAACCACTCAGGCTATACATTTAATAAAGAACTTTTGGACATGACCCAGTTGCTACAGAAATCAAAGGTCTGTCTACTCAGGGGTGTTCTTTATTTTTCTAATAGACCAATTAATCCATCTTTCTATGATAAGGGTAATTTTGTATTAAAGTTGTTTCATTTGAGAGAAGATGTTCAATCCTGTCTGGAATAAAGAGAGTTGATCCTCATTTATTGGCTGTGCTTCAAGCACTGTGGTTTTAAGTCTACTATTTCCACCTTAGGCACAGGCTTCTGAATTCCCCAACCACACACCTGTGGCTTCTTCACTCAAAGGAAACGAGGTTCCTTTTGTGTTTCTCAGCTACACTAACTCTCCAACACATTTCCTATACCAGTCCTCAACAGTTCTACTATGGCTCCAACCATTCTGTTCAGGCATCAGGATTCCTAATGTTTATGGAGCCATTTTGTGTTAGATGCCAGTGATGGCAAGACACCAACCTTGCCCTTCCATTGTTTGCATCTGTTTAAACAGACATGCTTCCTAGATACAATGCAAGACAGTATCTGTCTATTGGTTTCTCTCTGAAAACCATGCATCAGTGTTCCTGACTTACATGGGAGAAAACAAATATGTGTACATATATTTAACCATAAATAGGAACTCAATTATATTGGGTGAAGGAATGACTGAATAAGTGAGAAGAGAAGGGAGGGAAAAAGAAACAAAAGAGGGATAGAGAAATAGAAGGAAGAAACATGGTCCCCTAAGAGGCCCTTGTGGTTTTTCCCTGATAGCAAAGTCATTTTTACACTAGGATGCCAGCCTGTGTTCGCCTTTTTACACTCGGGACCTTACTTGGCGAAGTATAGCAAATGAGTTTAGATGATCATCCCCATAGTAGCTTTTTCAGTATTTTCAGATTTGATGTCTGTTTCCATGGAAATAGTTTTGGCAAGACCGAAGCTAAGAATAAGAGACATACCATGAGAATTTCACGTTCCAATTGTCAGGCAAAAGCTGAAAGTCACACTTTTGTCTTTTCAATAACTTGGTGCTTTAAACTCAGCAGGAGAGAGTTTTATTAATTCCAGCAAGAAATATTTTCATTATATTAATGAGGTTTCATTTCTGACTGTTTACATTTCTCATAAAAGTGAAAGCAATTATGGGAACAGTGTTAATAGGGAATTTTCCTCAGGGGAATGAACTTCTTTTAGATTCTGGTTATGGCCTTCAGAACTCCTCCCCTCTAGCCCTTTCCTCACTGAACTGCCTTAGCCAGCACTTGCTCACCTGCCTATTTTTGCGGACATTTGAATGAAAGACAAGAATATGACTGAACTGTGAAAGTGAAATGTTTCTGAACATCCAGAGTAACCATTCTCAGACAAGTTTGAAAGTAAATTGGAAATCATCATTCTCAGTAAACTATCGCAAGGACAAAAAACCAAACACCGCATATTCTCACTCATAGGTGGGAATTGAACAATGAGAACACATGGACACAGGAAGGGGAACATCACACTCTGGGGACTGTTGTGGGGTAGGGGGAGGGGGTAGGGATAGCATTAGGAGATACACCTAATGTAAATGACGAGTTAATGGGTGCAGCACACCAACATGGCACATGTATACATATGTAACTAACCGGCACATTGTGCACATATACCCTAAAACTTAAAGTATAATAATAATAATAATAATAATAATAATAATAATAAATTTTATATTACAGTTGGGAATGTTTTGGATATACTGTGTTAAATAAAATGTATTATCACAATTAAAAAAAGAAATTTGAAATTTAAAGATTCGCTTTGAACCTATTTGATCAGAAAGTATTAAATATCACTACCACATGAGTTAAAACAAAAAATGGAATAAAAAACAAAAGTGGTGTCTATGTAATCAGTGAATTACTTGATAGGACATTTTAACTATTTTACAGTTCTTCTTAGCACCAGAATAAACTGGTTCCAAGGTTAAAAAAAAAAAAGAAAGTAAAATAGATGCAAAAATAATCACTCATAACTGAAGATCATTTCACCTTTGAATGAGAATTTGTCTCTGAAGGCTAACTTTTCTAGGCAAAGTCAGGAAACAATGGCAGTGGCCGGGTGCGGTGGCTCACGCCCAGCTACTGAGGCAGAAGAATCACTTGAACCGGGAGGCGGAGGTTTCAGTGAGCTGAGATCACGCCATTGCACTCCAGCCTGGGCAACAAGAGCAAAACTCCATCTCAAAATAATAATAATAATAATTACTGGGAAATACATATTCTCAGGGCCCATTCCCAGAGAATCTGAGTAGGAACTAATGGGAAGTCCAAAAATTGGGACACTCTGAGAAGCACTGCCTACACTATCAGTTTAGGATTGGAGCAGACTTTTAACATCTACTCATGAATTATACTGCATGTACACTTTTTTAAATTTCGGGGCTTTTGTATATAGAGATGCAAGGTATTAAACTAACAGAGACACAAGGTATTAAACCAATGTTTTCATGTGTCCTTTTTGCACGTACACTTGTTAATGTTAGCACTTCCATTAGTAGTATACAGAGTGGTCAAATAAACAGACATAACAAATCATAACTAATTGTAGTCCAATTTAGACGTAACAAATCTATATAATAAAATAGTATATAATTGATACAACTCTAGAATAAAGAGAAGCTAGCCTGAAACTCCAAAGTTATTTTGCATAATAATTACTAATTGAGATGCAAAGTATTAAACTAATGTTTTCATATATCCTTTTTGCACATACGCTTGTTAATATTAGCACTTCCATTTGTAATATACAGAGTGGTCAAATAAACCATGCAATACAGCATGCTAGATTTTATAACCTCTCAAGGACAGGGGCTATGTCTTATTTGTCTTTGAGTTCCTCACCACTAGCAAAACAGGTGCTTAATAAGTGCTAGAACTGGCCATTGATAACCAATTCTGATTTCCTTAAGCTGGTGCATATCACTTTGATTCTTATAATTTTCTCTCACATTATCTTTGATTTAAAGTCTACATTTAAGTGTAGTTTTCATTCCAAATTGGTCAGAGTAAAAAAGTACCTTCTCATATTTGAAAGAACACCATGGTATTGTAAAGATATCACTGTCCATTAATAAGATATTTGTCGGAATTTAAAGAGGAAAAATAAAAGATACGACTAAAGTAATTTCCCTGGCACTCTTCTGAAATAGTTCAGAAAATCATGTCTTATGCAGGATATGTCTAGAATTAAATTACATTTTGATAATTCTTTCCAGCTCTATAATTCCATTTTCTACTGTTGGGTTTCAACACCTAAAATTGTCAGCAAGCCTCTGAACAAAGATGCTTTTGTTCTGTTGGCAGAGATTCTACTTCTAAGTTTCCACATGACCCGCAGAGCCATACTCAGCCAGTTAGGTGTCAAAAATGCAGGGAAAGATACTGAAACCTCTTACTGGCCTGACCAATGCATGCAGCGTTATCTGCAACTCATGTCTCTGTGTGCCTACCTGGAGAGTTTACTAACACTTTGTAATTATTTGAAATTGGGTTGGTTCTTGGTGTAATAAACTAAGTCATAGACCCTATTGAAAGAGTAATGCTAAATAATGTATTTTCTGAATTGCTTGTTTATTTTCTTTTTCCACTATGGATGAGTATAGGGTAGAAAACTGATTAGTTAGCAGCCTGATCAGTGGTTCAGCAGCCTGTAATAGTTTGGCAATAAAATTAGACCAAAAGAGAACTGATGGACCAAAAGAGGTTGTTTTTCAATCCAGCCTCTTGCTTCAAGTAGAATTGAATAATCATAAAAGGAGGCAATATTTTCATTACTGATTTCACTTTTTCAGGTCAAAACTGACCCACTGAATTTATGGATTTGGAATAGCTTTTTCACAAGGATGGAATAAGAAATCTGAATCAGGTTGCACTGATAAGTTGAAGTAATTCTCACAATGTCAAAGAGATAATGGGTTCAGTTAATTCAGTACAAGTAAACAGCAATAAGCTAGCATCCTTTTGAAGTTATGTCTTCCAGCACCAAGCTCATGCAGGCACGTGTCTATATTACATGGTAATGTGGAGTTTGAGGATAGATGAGAAGTTGCTCTGG
The DNA here is from genome assembly GCF_000001405.40 of Homo sapiens. NCBI lineage: Eukaryota > Metazoa > Chordata > Mammalia > Primates > Hominidae > Homo > Homo sapiens. The sequence goes on along the minus strand of NC_000013.11, from coordinate 46,871,036 downwards.
CATAATGGAATGAGCAGAGTATTAAGACAGGCAAGCTTGGCTACTGTCTGGCTTTTGTCAGCACATGGGCTGTATACCTCAGTTTTTTCCTTTGTTAAAAGAACTTGGACTACTGAATTCCTAAGCTAATTTCAAACTATATAATCTTAGTTATATATATATTGAATCTTGAAATATTGGAGTTAAATAAGAATATTTAGTGAGATCCCAAGCAAAACTCATTGTGGAATTTCTTTAGCTTTTAACTTCTTCAAATCCCTGGCTTAGCTCTAATGTCACTAATCATAGCCCAATTTAGACATAACAAATCTGCATAGTAAAACAGTATATGATGGATACAACTCTAGAGTAAAGAGAAGCTAGCCTGAATCTCCAAAGTTATTTTGCACAATAGATAATTACTAATAGAGATGCAAGGTATTAAACCAATGTTTTCATGTATCCTTTTTTCTAAAAACCTGAATTAACAATAAAGCAACAGTAGTAGAAATGTTTTAATCCTAGCACAACTGTTTTCATATTTTGTCTGCCACATACAATGTATCTTAGCAAAGTTGCAATAATGTAATATACTGTTTTATATTCTGATCCTTTCACATAACATTGTATTGTCAATTTGTTTTTCTACATGGGCTTTATAATGACTTTAATACCTGCAAGTTATTCTCTCATATTGGTATACCACAATCTGTTAACTATTCTTCCAATTCTGTTTCTAGTCTTGACCATTACAAATAAAGTAGCATGTTCAAGACAGTAGTTTAGCATTTGATCTGATTTATTTTATTCTATCCCTACAGTAGTCTATATCTGTCCTTTTAGTTTCAATTGCCTGTAATTATCTCAGGTATGTTTACTTAGACCCCAATAATTTCTTCACTTTCTTGTTTTAAAAAATCCATTATATATATTTGACCAGTTTAGAATTCATATTTTTAAAAGTCACAAAGGCATGTACTTTATGCAGTAAAATATATAATAGAGAATTTGCCATTTTAACCATTTCTAAGTGTAATGATTTAGTGGCATAAATTACATTCACAATCTTGTGCTACCATCACCACTATCTATTTCCAAATTTTTTCGCCTTCACAAACAAATTCTGTAACCATTAAGCAATAACTCCCCACTCCTTCCAACCCAACTCCCTGGTAACCTCTAATCTGCTGTCTCTTAATTCATCTGTTCCAGATATTTTATACAAGTGCAATTATACAACATTTATTCTCTTTCTGTCTGGCTTATTTCACTTAGCATACTGTTTTCAGGGTCTGTAGTATAGTACATATCAGAACTTCATTTTCTATGGCTGAATAATATTTCATTATATATATATGTACCTCATTTTATTCATTCATCTGTTGATGGATATGTGGATTTCTGCTTTTGACTATTCTGAATAATGTTACAATTCAGAGCATTGGCATATTAATAACCTGTTTTTAATTCTTTGGGGAATATACCTAGGAGTGGAATTACTGGGTCATATGATAGTTCTATCTTTAACTTTTTGATGAACTATCAAACTGTCTTCTACAGCATCTGTGTGATTTTACACTTCCGCCATCAACGTACAAGGGTTCTGATTTCTCCAAGTCCTCAACAATATTTTCCTTGTGTTTGTTATAGCCATCATAGTATGTGAGAAGTGGTTATCTCATTGTGATTCTGATTTGCATTTCCCTAATGACTACTGACGTTGATCATTTCATATGTTTATTGGTCATTTGTAATGTCTTCTTTGAAGAAATCCCTATTCAAATTCTTTGCCCAATTTTTAATTGGGCTGTTTTATCTGTTTGTTGAGTTTTAGAAATTCTTTATGTTCTGGACATTAAACCCTTATCAAATATAGGACTTGCAAATATTTTTTCTCATTCTGTAGGTTGTCTTTTCACTGTCTTGGTAACATACTTTGATGCACAAAGGTTTTTAATAATGACGAAGTCCGGTTTATCTATTTTTCTGTTTTTGTTTGTGCTTTTGGTGACGTATCTACTTCAATCACTTTGTATTTCTCTAATATAATTTCCCTTTTTAGTCTCTTCAGATTCTGTAAAGCTACTTTATCACCATAAGTCCAGTCACTGTTTGCTTGCTTATTATTTAATAATATATCTGGGAATTTTAAAAGATTTTCATGAAGTTTTATTTTTCTAACACTTCTTAATAAGAATATTTTAATACATATTGAATTTGTGTGCCAATAGTGGCAGTAAATAACTTTTTTGTTCCACATTTAGAAATAACATTATATAAGCAGCTGGTGAATATAGAATATAGTTTATAGAGCACATTTAGATGCTTCAAGGATGAAAAACTGCCCTAGACTTCCTTTGGGAATTGCCCAAGGACAAATAATGGAAATGCTGCATACAGGATAAAATAGAAACTCAGTTGAACATAGGGAATTTCATATATACCCCCGTGAGTAGGTTCTTTCAAAGAACTATATTTAATAGTAAAAATGATATATCTGTAAGAGTGCTAATTCCCTAATTTTGAAGAAAAAAAATTTAGCAATGATATTTTGGGGAAATATTAGACACAAGTAATACACAGTTCCTTGAGTTGGAGTTTTCTTTTGGTCGTATGAATGACCCCCTCAAATCTATGAACTTCTGAATAGTTTTACTTGTTCTTGGCAATTGCCTTTATCCTCAACAACCTTGTGCAAATGTTAAATCTCAATACCAAGCTGTCAGAGCTTAGCTTTCCACTTCATCTTAAGACTGCATTTCCAGCCATATAGCTGCCTTCAGTAATTCCATTCAGCTTGACTCTCTGACCCAGCTCTGGCAGCTTTGCACATCCAGGGATGCTGAGCTTTCAGATTATTTAAATGTTATGTGCTTCCTGAAGTCTGACCTTTCTAGGGAAAAGGTATTCCTATCGCTTCAGAAAGATGGAAAGAAAAATGTTTAAAAATAGAGAACTTCCATTAGTGGTCAATTAAATTCACAATATTATCTAGATTTCCAGTTGCCTAAGGAAACCAGCTACTTAACTGTCTCTTTGCAGTGGTGCTGGGACAATTGATGAACCATTCTATTTTCCACTTTACAATGTGGGTACTTTGTGCTTCACTCAGGACAAAAAGTTCACTTAGTTCTCTTTAAAAAAATCTCTATCTCAAATCATAGATGTCAAGACTTAAAGGCAGGTTTTGGATTTTATTCTAGTTGCAGGCTAACACATTATCTTGCTGCAAGACATGAGACTCTTGGATCAGAGATTCACTACAATAGCCAGAGTATCGCCACTTTCTTGCAGTAGTTGCACAAGTCCCAGTTTTCACAGGGTGATGTAAAGAGGGCCATATGGCAACTACAGACACAGTGGATTGTATACAGGAAAGAAAACCGAGCTTAACAAACCCAAATCTTCATAATGAGCAGGAAACAAACCTGACCTTTGCTCCAGATGGAGACACTATCTCCATCTTGAAAGATTATTCACTATTCAAAAATCCTTCAAGAGATGTTCTGGAGAAATTAGCAACTCAGATTCCCATGCAGAATTGGCTAACAGTTTTATATATTACATACACATATGCACCAAGCTATCTCATAATATTGCTACAAATTCATAGTAAACAGTGGAACAAGACAGATTCAAATTGAAAATGATCCCTTTCCTGAGATGCTTTTAACTTGTCAAGTTATTTGGATAACCTTCATTTTCCATGATGAAGGAAATCAGTCAGCGTCAGCCTTTAAATGTAAGTAAGTATTTGGCACCTAGCACATAGTAGGCATTTTAAGGGTAACTTATCTCTAGGTGAGGGTCATCAACCAGTTTTTATTTTCAGGTTTCTCTGTCTTATGTCTGGACTTAAACTTGGACGGTTCTTCACAGATAGGTACTTGCCTTATTTCCTCAAGCTTTTGCCCAAATGTCTATTTCTCAGTGAGGCTTATCCTGATTCCCCCACAAAAACCATGTTGTCTCCCATCTATTCCCCATCCAGTTTACCAAGCTTTATCTATCTCCCTCACTTATCACTTTTTGAGACAGAGTTTCACTCTTGTCACCCAGGCTGGAGTGCAGTGGCGCAATCTCGACTCACTGCAACCTCTGCCTCCCAGGTCAAGCGATTCTCCTGCCTCAGCTGCCCAAGTAACTGGGATTACAGGCGCCCACCACCACACCCAGCTAATCTTTGTATTTTTAGTAGAGAATATGTTTCACCAGGTTGGCCAGGCTGGTCTCGAACTCCTGACCTCAGGTGATCCACCCACCTTGGCCTCCCAAAGTTCTGGGATTACTGGCATGAGCCACCGTACCTGGCCTACTTATTACCTTCTGATGTGTTATGTAAAGCATTTATTATGTTTATTTTCAGTTCCTCTTGCTGAAAATGTAAATTCCATGAGGGTAGAAGTTTTTAGTCTAGTTCACTGATGACTCCCCAGTTCCTAACACAGTACCTAACTCAATATTTGTTAAATGAATGGGAATGAGAAAAGTAAGTTTCAAAGAGACTAAGTACCTAGTCAGAATTTCATAATTAACAAGGCAAGTCTGGGACTCAAAGCCAGGTCTTGTGACTTCAAGTGCATTACTGTTTACACTGTGCACCATTTACATTCCTCAGCTGCTCTCTCCCCTGAGGCCTGAGTTGATTGCACAGCCCCTCAGGCAGTACAGGATAGCTCTGCAGAGTGGCTGACAGACCCTAGGACAGGAAGCAGGCAGAGAAGGGAGGAACCACGAGGCCAGGCTGAGGCTGAAGGGCGAGTCAGCTTTCTCGGTAAGCCTATCAGGAAGCTGATTGCTTAATCTAACTGAGTCTGTGTGGGCCTGCCTCCTGGGCTAATAGCACAGATGCATTGCTCCGAACCCTATAAACAGGAATTGTCAGAAGTCTAATCTCTCCAAGTCAGGACTGCTGATAGTAATAGACATTTTAATAGGGAATTTTAATCTACAAAACAATTTATGAAACTCACGAATTAATCCTCTTATGATTCCCAGGATGTGAGCAAGATAAAGATAGTAGAACTTGAAAATAATGAAATATGTGAAAAATACAGCAAGAAGTCTCATGAGATGGCTGGAGAGAACCCAGAAAAGCTTACCTCGTCTCAAGCACCCAAATGTTCCCATCACTGCCAACAACATCTAGGACCACTTCAACTCTAGTATCTGTACATCTTCCAATCAGTGATAAATGCTGATCAGTATCCTACACAGGAGATTTCTCTCCAAATAGCGCAAGCCTTGTAATATTTAAGTAAATGACCCCAAAAATCATCTTCCCTTGAATCATATAGTTCTGTGTTGTCCAATAGAGTAGCCACTAGTCATATATATTGCCATTTCATTTTTATTTTATCAACTTAAATTTAACATTCAACTGCTCTGTCACACCAGCCACATTTTCAGTGGTCAGTACACACATGGCTGGTGGCTAGTACATTGGGCAGTAGATATGGAACCCTTCCGTCACAGAACGTTCCAATGGACATTGCTGCTCCAAGTACAGTCCAGGTGACCCAGGACTGGTTTAGGTCAGCATCTTCACCTAGTAGAGCCAGAATTGTTTTGTATTGCAGGCTGTTGCTAGGACTGAAGGCTGAAATCTCTTATATTCTTTTCTGTTGATGAACTTTGAGTCATTGCTTCATTTTGTCCTGCCTTTCTAGGCATGTAATATTTTATTTTTTGTCATGTACTCACTGACCTTAAATCCCTAACAGCTCAGCCTCTTTCCTCCCTATCACTTGCAGTCTTTCTCAGCTAGCTGACACATGACTTTTAAGACAATCTACTTGCTGTTATCACATTATTTGAGATATCATAAAATTAATCCTCTAATTTAAATTAAAGCTGCAGACCATTATCAGTGATAATACCAGGAAGTGAGTGAGGAAGGGTGGCAAAACATGTTCTAGGGTGATTCACCAAGATCCGGAGGAAGGAGAATCAGTGTTGACATGAATGGTTAACCCATAGGCAGTAAAGCTAATGTTAACATCTGCTCGGGTTTTAGGGACATAGTTTAAGAGCACGTGAAATATATCTAAAATCAATATGAGGTTAGGTTGGGTAAATTTAAAGACAAAATCATCTTCCAACCTAAAAAAAAACCTCTTTACAAATATAGTAGAGAAAGAAAGCAGCTTTATTATTGAATAAACGCTAAACTAGAATATGATACACATAGAGGGAATCCACTGAGGGATTGCAAAGACGAATCTCACTCTTTTATACAGCCAAACAGATGCATCCTATTACATAGGCATTCTCTAGATAAACAACTAGCTAGTCCTCACATAAGGACTTGACAGCACCATGTGCCTCACATAGTTCATCCTAAATATACCTGGTAATTGGGGTGAACATCTGTGTTAGCTAATTAGTGTCTTATAAAGGGAAAAACAAACTTCTCATATCTTAATGACAAGAAGTAGTTTTGCAAGTTGGAGGAGGAGGATCCTCGGAAGTTTAGGCTCCTACCTTCTTACCGAAGCCGCAAGATAGAAGTGTTGTCTCCTTTACGTCAGAGAGATGGCTCCTTGGTCCTAGAAAATGACACTCCTGGCTTGTAAGACCTGCGAGGGCCTTTTAAAATATTTTTCATCTCAAAGAGCCAAAGAAAGAATTTATAATTACAAGGATTTTATGAACTTTTAAGTTCAGGGGTACCTGTGCAGGTTTGTCATGTAGGTAAACTTGTGTCATGGCACAAGTTTGTTGTACAGATTATTTCATCACCCAGGTATTAAGCATAGTACCCATTATTTATTTTTCCTGATCGTCTAACTTCCTCCCAGGCCCCACCCTCCAACAGGCCCTAGTTGTGTGTTGTTCCCCTATGTGTCCATGTGTTCTCATCATTTAGCTCCCACTTATATGTGAGAACATGTGTATAGTTTAGTTTTGCTAAGGATAATGGCCTCCAGGCTCCATCCATGTCCCTGCAAAGGACATGATCTCATTTTTATGACTGCATAGTATTCTATGGTATATATGTACCACATTTTCTTTATCCAGTCTATCAGTGATGGATATTTATGTTGTTTCCATGTCTCTGCTATTGTGAATAGTGCTGCAATGAATATATGTGTGCATGTGTCTTTATAACAGAATAATTTATATTCCTTTGGGTATATATTCAGTAATGGGATTGCTGGGTCAAATGATATTTCTGCCTCTAGATCTTTGAGGAACCACCACACTGTCTTCCACAATGGTTGAACTAATTTACACTCCCACCGACAGTATATAAGTGTTCCTTTTTCTCCACAACCTTGCCAGCGTGTTATTTACTTCCTAATAATCACCATTCTGACTGGCATGAGATGGTATCTCATTGTGGTTTTGATTTTCAAATGATCAGTGATGTTGAGCTTTTTTCATATGACTGTCTTTTTTTTTTTTCTTTTTTTTTTTTTTTTTTTCATTTTGAGGGAGTCTCACTCTGGTGCCCAGGCTGGAGTGCAGTGGCAGCTTACTTCATAGCTCACGGCAGCCTTGAACTCCTGGGCTCAAGCAATCCTCCTGCCTCAGCCCCTTAAGTAGCTGGGACTACAGGCACACTCCACCACGCTCAGCTAATTTTTGTACTTTTTGTAGAGATGAGGCGCTGCTATGTTGCCCAGAGTGGTCTTGAACTCCTGGGCTCAAGCAATCCTTCCACCTCAGCCTTCCAAAGTGCTGAAATTTATAGGTATGAGCCACCACACCGGGCCAATTACAAGTTGACAAAGGAAAATGCTCTAAGAAAAGATAACTTTTGTTCTTATTCCCTTTTTATTTTTTAAGCATCAGAGCTATCAAACTGCATTCTCTTATTTTTAAAAGTGAGAGTTAAGCCTTTTATTTTTCATGTATAATTGCCCTTATAGTCTTCATAAGAAATTAAGAGTTTTGTATAACCATTTATACTTTCACCTTATTTGACTAATTTTGACTAATTGTTGAGAAAATAAGTCTGAATTAAAGAGTCACAATTGCAGTTTATTTCAGAGAAATTTTTATTCTCCAATGCACATGGTAACTAGTGTTATACCAGAAAGAATGGTAACTAGTGTTATACCAGAAAGAATATCAGCGAGTGGAGCTCCTTGAGGTATCTTGAGGATTAAATTGAAATGTTTTACAATTAGTGATTTAAGTCATTTACACAGAAATGACTGTCAAGTGCCTGAAGAGTCTAAGCATTTTAATTATCCCCCTATAATTTTATACCTTTGTAGAACAAATACCATTTTATAGGTAGTGCAAATATAGTATCTTTCTACATGTTCTGACAATAGTGGCATTCAAATAAGGTTTTATTATATGAACCAGACATATTACAAGCTATCTATTACCAACTAGAGGGCACTTCTAGAGTTACCTGACCCAACATAAGTTATAAGTTGTCTCAAATAGTTCACTTAGCGGAAGCCACTAACAAATGTGATCTCCCGAGTGGCCAGCCAGTTTTGGTTTTCCTGTTTCTCTTTTCTATTTCTGGAGTTTCTTATGCGGGGCAAGGGGCTCTATGTTCCCCAAAGTCACCTTTTATCTATCCCAAAATGGATTATACAATACATTTCCCCCTGGCTAACTTTTTCTGTTTTTGTTTTATTAACCTTGATAGCAAAATATAACAGATTCCCTAATACATTCATTTCCATAGAACAGGCCCATATGTTACACAGTTCTTACCTTTGCACTCCTGGATTGTGATACCTACCACACAGTAGGCCCTTAGTTATGGATGTGATGCATATAAAAACATTTTAAAAGGAATTACTTGCTTTGAGCCTATCTCCTCTAATGTACAATATACTTAAGCTGATTGGTTCAAAACCACATATGCATTTCCTATATGCTGTGTACTGACTGTTAGGCTTAAGTACACTTACAGAAGTTACAGTAACTTAATTATAATAGATCTGGCAAGGAACTTACTCATATCTCGTTCTCTGTTTTACAAACTTGGACAGTGGTTATTGAGGTCCACAGCTAATTTGTTATGTAAGAAATTAACAGGATCCTGGACCACTGACCCAGAAAGTAAAGGACAGGCAATAATAGCAAGACAGAATCTATTTCTATCTTATAGACAAACAAGGAGGTTATCTCCATGTGCATCCAATATTCCTCATTATCTAGGGTTCTTTTGCCATATAGAGAGGCATGAGGAAACCAAAACTGACTTCAGTTTGGGAGTTTTTAATCCATGAAGTTTTGGCAATAAATACTAGTTAAGCCACAGAAGGGCCCTCCTCTTGGAAATTGTAAGATAGGTAAAAATGATCTCTTCCAACTCTTAGGAGTGCCTTTTTCCCTCTCCCAAACACTAATTGCTCTGAAATAATCCACTCCTCAAAACTTTTGTCCTGACAGAATCTCTATTTAGGCAAAGGTATTAGTTGATAAGCCTAACAGGTTCTCAGTTATTGCCTCTTCGGAAGTGTTTGCATTTTAAACAGAAGCCAGTAAGTTCAAAATGCTTGATAGATCCAAACAGACAAATCTTTGATGGGAAAACCAGGAAGGTGAGGGAGACAATCTAAGAACAGGCCTTTCCAATGTCTCCCAAACTGTATCCCAGAAGCAACTTTACTCCTTTGCCCACAGCTGGTTCCACTCAAACGAAATTGGGTTGGTGTTTCTTGTAGCTGGGTCATGTCTGAAGGTAATGGAAATTAATAATGGCTCTGAGGATAAGGGAAGTAAAATGTTTACAATCTAAAATTATGTGAGAAGAAAGCTGCTAACCAATGAATTTTTAGGAAAAAAAAAGTAAATCACTTCTTTTGCACGTCAGCCCAAGTTTACAAATATCAGGAATGCTAACACAATAGAATTGTCTTATTTCTTCTCCTTTTCTTGCCTCTGAGCTTTTCTCCTCATTCCCCTCTGAATCTAGCTGCTTTCCGTTTATGACTTCAGTTCAATTTCCTACCAGCTATTATGAGATAACTAGGACCTTTTAAAGAATAAATTTGTATTTTCCCACTTAGTCAGCTTTCCATTCCTGCCTACAACAAAAACATCTGGTGAGTCTAATTTTAAGTAATCAACCTTTTCAGTTTGGTGATTAAGAGATATATATCTGAATTTGCATTTCATTTGTGGAAATTCTGCCTGGGAGCCATTCATTTTTCATCAAGCTCCCTGTGCTTTTCATTACTCCCTCCCTCTCATTTTCCCTGTGGTCAGCCTGCCTGAGTAAGCAGCTCTGTTTCACTGGTCTCAAGCTCTGCAATGTAAAACCATTAGCAAATCTTAATAATAGTAACCCATCAAATTTCATTATTTCAGTAATGGAATCTGTCAAGGTCAGCCACTGATGGCTGTTAATGGCCACTTTGTTGATAAATCGGGGGTAACTGCAATAATATTCATTTTAAGCAAATAAAATATGTTCTGATTAAGAATTCATTCTGCCCAGTTGGAGTCCAATTAAGCCAGCTTCTGGATGGAGTCTCACCCAGGATCTCTCCACTTAAGGAATATATTCGCAGTTGAAGTTTGACTTTTTTCAATAAAGCTCTTCTCTCTCCTTGAAAGAGATGAAACTTTGTCTTCAATCCAAAAGAACATAAAGGTGATTGTTCTGCAATCCTCCCTTGCCACAGACCTCCCTAACTCCTAACCCTGACACAAACACGTTCACACAGACCTGCCCATCTGTTTACCCTATCTGAGGCTATGGTTTTGCTTTAATATGAATTTAACTTGTTCATCATTAGCAATAGGGATCTTTTCCTATGTTACTCTATGTCATTATTATGGAAGTTTCTATGTATTATATAGCAACAGAAAGTAGATTCTGGGTTTGGATTAGAAGTCTAGGCAGGTATGACCTTCAAAACATTTACCAACCTGTACAGCACAGACACCAACCAACACACACAGTCCTCAGCACCAGAACTAGGGCACACTGGGCCAGGTATTAGGCCTTAAGTTGTGGGTTGAGGAGAATTCTGAGAATTCCTCGAAAAGGGCAAATAGAAGAATGAGTAAGGGCTGGGGGACTTCCAGGGCTCTGAGCAGAGGTTATTAAGTACAGAAGGACTTTGAATTTTAACAACCGACATGGCCATAAAAATGATACTGGCTAAAAAGAGCCTTGAGAACAGGAATCGTGACTGTTCTTTAGCCGTGAACTTAATTAGTATTTATAGGATGGTGATGATAGGCCAGGGCATAAAGCTGCCACTGGCTATACTCAGGTAAAAGAAGCAGGCACAATCTTTACCTTGTATCAGTCCACTCTTGCATTGCCGTAAAGAAATACCTGAGGCTGGGTAATTTATAAAGAAAAGCGGTTTAATCGGCTCACGGTTCTGCAGGCTGTACAGGAAGCATGGTGGCTTCTGGGGAGGCCTCGGGAAACTTTCAATCATGGCAGAAGGGGAAGCAGGCACAAATTACATGGCCCAGAGCAGGAGGAAGGTGAGGGAGGTGCTACACACTTGCAAACAACCAGATCTCCTGAGAACTCTCTCATGAAACAGCACTAGGGGGATGGTGGTAAACCATCAGAAACCACCCCCATGATCCAGTCACCTCCCACCAGCCCCACCTCCACATTGGAGATTATAATTTCACAGGAGATTTGAGCAGGGACACAGATCCAAACCCTATCAACCCTGAAGGACCTTATAATCATAGTGGGAAGAGAGTAATATGTAAATAAAAATATACTTTTAAGCTGATGAAATGGCATGGATGACAGGACGTAGAGCCATGATAGTAATAACAGGACCTGTTTGGAGAAGGTGTTCAGAAAATGCTTTTCTGACCATTTTCATCTCAGCTGAAACTTGAAGAATGAGAGGAATCAGCCATGTGATAGCATCTTGAAGGCTTGGGCAAATTATAGGTACTTCTCTTCAACACAAGATTTTAGATATCTGATTATTTGGGAAAGAGAGATCCCTGCAAATACCAAGTTATATTTTGGCCATTTTTAACATGTTGAGTATCTGTTTCTTTCAAAAGATAAAGTAGTTTTGCAAACAGAACTGATTTCCAAGCCTTAATATTGACAAAAAGGGCAAAGTGATGCCAAATTCTTCACTGCAGATGAAAGTAATTAAAATTGCTGTTCCTTGCAGGGATCAAGAATTCGAACGTCTTAGTGACTCATGATTTTTCAGTCAATTGTGAGATCAGGGTTTATGGCGCATCTGCCCTGCTTTTCTCAGACCTGTACCTTGCCATTCCACCTCTGAGATGGGTAGTGCCCATCTCACCAAATGGTCCACCATCAGCCAAGCCAGAACTCTGAATATCATTCTTGCCATCTTCCTCACCTCCCACATTTAGTCCATGGCTATAGCTGTCATTTCTGCCACCTCGGTATCCCTAAAATTCATTCCTTCTTCCTCACCCTCTCTGTTCAGCCTTAGTTTAGGACTTGATCTTTTGACAGGCATAAAACTAGATTATTTTAACTGGTCTGATTTATTTCCATTTCCAGTTCACACTCATGCCAGTGCCAGTCTAATTCCTAAAACCCAAATATGATCAGGTTTCTCGCCTGTCTAAAATATTATATTAGCTCTATCTCATTCCTTAGGCATAAAACATGACAGGCAAAACCCATCAAGAATTATTCCCTGCCTTCCATCCACAGCCCTCTGTACTACCTGCAATTCCTCATGGCATGTAAGTCTCATCATCATTCCCCAGCTTCCAAGCATTTCCTGCCACACCCCCTCCCACTACTCTTCATCCTTCAAGGCAGCTCAGTACTCCTTCCTGGAATCCCTTGCCCTGAGAGCTGCCTGAGAGAGGGGTCGTCAGATTCAGGTACCTGTTTTCCAAGCAGCTCTGCTTGGCTATACTTTATGTATATCCAAATCAGTATGTCTAAAACTGAATCGTCCCCTTCCCACCAAAGCTTTCTTCTCTCCAAGTTCTCAAGCTCCACAGAGAGGTACCACTCTACAAAGCTAAACTCTTAACCTTCATTTTCTTACTTGCACCTCCACCCAATCACTAAATCCTGCTGATGCTCCCTGCCACTGTCTTAGGAGTCCCCCACTTTTGTCCCCAGTGGCAATGTTTCTCATTTCCCACCTTGCTTACTGCAGCAGCCTCTTTACTGGTCTAGTTTCCCTCTAATCCACCCACCAAACAGCCAGGCTGTCATCTGAATATTTCCATTCTCTGCTTAAAGTCATTTAGTAGCTTCTTATTGCCCTCAGGGTAGAGGTGAATCTTCTCCATATGGCTTGCAAGGCCCTTCGAGATGTGGCTTCTCCCCACCTCCCCAGGTTCCTCTCTCTGGAGGATCCTTACCTCATATCAAATTACTTTCAGCTCTTATATGCTGTGCTTTCTTGCCTCCAGGGCATTTATTTCATTTGTCTGAATAAGCCCTTCTTGTTTTTGAGGCCTCACTATCACTTTCTACAGAAAGCCTTTTTGATCAGTTCTCAAATTCAAGTCAAATGCCCCTCCCTACTTACTATGGTCTGAATGCATCTCCCCAAAATTCACAGGTAGAAATGTAATCATCAATGTGATTATGTATTTGGAGGTGAGTCCTTTGAGAGGTGGTTAAATCATGAAGGCAGAGCTCTCAGGAATGAGATTAGAGCCCTTATCAAAGGGGCCCTAGAGAGCTGCCTTGGCCCTTCCATCCTGTGAGGATGCAGTGAGCAGGTGCCATTTATGAAATGGGCAAACCGACCCTCATTAGACACTGAATCTGCTGGTGCTTTCATCTTGGACATTCCAGCCTTGAGATCTGTGGGCAATGATTTTTTTTTTTTTTTTTTAAGATGGAGTCTTGCTCTGTCACCAGGCTGGAGTGCAGTGGTATGATCTCAGCTCACTGAAACCTCCGCCTCTCAGGTTCAAGTGATTCTTCTGCCTAGCCTCCTGAGTAGCTGGGACTGCAGGGGAGCACAATCACCCCCAGCTAATTTTTGTGTTTTTAGTAGAGACAGGATTTCACCAAGTTGGCCAGGATGGTCTCTATCTCTTGACCTCATGATCCACCCACCTCAGCCTCCCAAAGTGCTGAGATTACAGTCGTGAGCCACCGCGCCCAGCCAGCAATGAATTTCTATTGTTTACAAGCCACCTAGGCTGTGGCAGTTCGTTCTAGCAGCCTGAATGGATGAAGATGCTAGGGCTCCCCCCAGCACCTTGCACTGCCCTCATCCTCACATGGAATTATAGATGCCTCCTACTCAACTGAGCTGCACAACAGGGACTGTTATCGTGCCCCTGCTATCATGTGGCTGTTTTGGACAAGTTTGTTTAGCATTCTGCCTGGCACTTAGTAGATATTCACTAAGTATTTGCCAGATGAATGGATTTGTTGTGTAATTAGATAACGATAACCCTCTTAACCTAATCTGCAAATCCTTCATTAAGGACTTTCATCCCAGGATAGAAGTACATACATAAGAGTCATCGTACTACATGATACAAATGGCCCATTCAGCCTAGTGTTTTTTTGTATTTTTTTTTTTTAACTAAGAGAGTTAAAGCCTACTGGGGAAGGATTTGCTGACTTTCACTGTCATCGTCTTTAAGGTATACCCAAGACTTACATCCATTTAGAAGACCTGCATCCCAAGTGTAGGGATAGCCAAGCCTCACATTCATTTAAAAGGCTCTTCTTCAAAACCCTGCTGCATTTTCTACCTCTTGAATTTCATAAACTTGCAGTGTATGAAGAAACACTTTACATTTTTCTCCCCACTTGCTTTGTTCAGAAAAATAAAAGTAATTAGGTTTATTGAAGTGTCATTAAAAAGATAAAACATTGTACCTAGGTATTTGCATTTATTTCAAATCTTTTCTAAGTGGCATATTAGTTTGATTATAAATCTACGAGGGATTGTTTTGCTTTGTATTGTAATGAATTTTTAGAAATTTAAATTGTGTACTCTTACAAAAGATAGGAGAGCATATTGTCAGCAAGGAAGATGTACTTGAATCTTCTCCACCCACTGTCCAGAGCACTCTTCGTTTTCTAAGATCAACATATAACCAGGGATGAAGCAGGGTAAGGGATTGCTTTATTCTACCTGTTCTGTCCCAAACCCACACTAGGTCTCTAATCTTACTATTTTGGAATGTCAAAGAACACAGCAGTCAGGAAGAAGGTGTAAGTACAAGACAATAGTAGCCAGAGGAGAAAGACCATTTGCTCCAACGCCCAGAGCTGTTTCAGACCTTTGGCACCCTTACTTTTGCGGACCCCACCCACATCATATGTTATACACAATACACCACATTAAACATAACTTTATATGCCCTACTATCAGCTGATCTGGCTAGTGGACATGTTATATTTTAGATATTTAAGTTAAATATTAATTTTGAGATTGAATTTTTGGGGGAGCAGTACTTACTTTTCTCGGTCCTAAAATTTTTGTAGCAAGGTCCTCACCTGCCCTGCTGGCCATCCCACCTTAGGCCTTTTTTAGGGAGGGAAAGCTTTTGGGTTCTGTCTCCAGTTTACATGTTCCCTGGCCACACAGAATGAAGAATGTCCCGGAAGCATAAGGGAAAGCCAATGAGAAAAGCAGCCTGTGTACCCCCCCAGTTGAGAGCACCTTCCCCATCCACCCACACTGAACTGGGAAAGTGGAAATTGAGACAGCTACCCAGTGAGATTGATTTATGTCTCACACAAAGCTCCACCCACCAGAAAATATATTTGACTACATCCTGTGAAACTGCCCCTTCTGAAGGTCATAGTGGTTACATATCAGCCTTTTCACATGTTTCAACCGAAAAACTGAAGGAGTTCCCTTGAGTTTGAGCAATCTATAGTATCACTTCTCCTGGAAGGCAGAGTGAGAGAAAAGGGGGTGTACTGGTTTCCTAGGGCTACTGTAACAAAGAACCTCAAACTTATTGGCTTAAACTGACAGATTTCTTGTGTCACAGTTCCGGAGGTCAGAATTCTGGGAATCAAGGTATTGGCAGGATTGGTTCCTTCTGACCTGTGAAGGAGAGGCTGTTCCATGGCCTCTTCTTAGCTCTGGGGGGACATTAGTCAATTTGGTGTTCCCTGACTTATAGTTCCGTCTCCCAATCTCTGCCTTCATCTTCACATAATGTTATCTCAGCGTACACATGTCCACGTCCAAATTTTTTCTCTTTTTATAAGTTCAGTCGTAGTGGATTAGGGCCCACCCTAATGACCTTACTTAACCTTAACTTGATCATCTACAAAAGAATCTATTTCCAAATAAGATCACATTCACAGCTACTGGGGATCATTTGAGGGGACACAGTTCCACCATAACAGGGTGGGTAGGGATCTGTGATTTCCTGGCCAAAGGCATTATTCTGTTGCTGTTTGGAATGCTATCAAAATATTAATTATGGTATCACATCTCTGTGCCTAGGAGTCTCTGCTGACTTCTGTTATTGGTCGTGTAAGATCTTACAACCCCAGGGCAACTTTCAGCCTCAAAAGAACTGATGTCAGAGCCAGGGCTGGGGATAATGATATTTTGTTCTGATATAGGCTCAAAGTCACTATTTGAAGTCCTGGCTATAAAAATTAGTTCCAGCAGCTTTCACCTAAAGCTGGCCCAAGTCTGAAATGAACCAAATTGCATGAGCTCTATTATGTGCCCCTCTTGTAATATAAAAATCTAATAAAAGTAAATAGCAAAGTCTAATAGATAATCCTAACAGAGGAGCAAGCACTAAGGTGTGGTAGCTGAGGAACACCTAAGCTTGTGCTATTTGTAATGCTGCTTATTAGATACATCGCTGATCCTCCTGTCAACTCCAGTTAATGTTTCTGTCCCATTCAAGTTGAAAATGTTCAAATTCAGCTAATGTCTATGGCATCTCCTGAAAGCCCATCACTGCTGGGCACTTTTCCATTTTATTGCATTTAATCGTCACAACTCAGAGAGGAAACTTGTTTTGTTAGCTAAGAATCAAATCCTAGACTTGACACTAAGTCCACTGTGCTGGTCCCCCTGCTATTTGATAATATTCCAAAGCAAAATACCCATGCTACCGATGACTGGGACCCCCCAGCTCAGTCACTTGGGCTAGTTTTTCCTGTAGTCTTTCAGGATTGGAAGTAGAGTGGAGTTGTCAGGTCCTGTTACAAAAGTAGACTAACTGGAACTGTAGACTTTTTTCTTTAAACCTAACAGAAGGAAAAGATTGGTGAATCAAAAACTAGCATAAAAACTGCAAAAAACCTCTGGGAAAATAGACGGTCATGAAGTCCATATATGGGAAAGAAATGTAGCCCAGAAATTTCTAGGCATATGAAAAGCACAACTGTAAAACTAAGATGTTTTAGATGGAGGAGAGCTGAGAGTGACAGCTGAGAGTCGTAGATGCTGCCTTGGAAGAGTGTCCACGCTACCCTGGACAGGGGCCTGCCTGCCCACCCAGTGACCATGGCAGGGCAGAGAAAAAGCAATGTCAGCCCAGTATCTTCTCCAGCCAGTGGGGTGGCTTCAGGAGAGGGCTGGGACTGGGGATCTCAACCTTAGCAGCACATTAGAATCATCTGGGGAGGTTTAAAACAGCCTGATACACTTGGCCTCACCTGGAATGCACAAAATCAGAATCTCTATGGATTCAATTCACTATCAGTATTTAAGGCTGCCAGGTGATTCCAGTGTGCTGCCAACAACCACTGAGAGCACACAGCAAGGGAAGAGAGCAACCTGCTGGCTTCTGAGCTCTTTCTCCTCCCAGCCCAAGGGTTAGGGGATTGGGAGTCAGAGAAGTGGCCCAGGCAGATGAGTATGGAGGTGTCCAGCAAGATGTGGACAGATGGAGGATCTGGGAGCCCACATTTCAATGCTAGAGGCCATCTGCCCTAAGGTCCACCTTCCCCTTCTTCCTAATCAAGATCACCAGGAGGCGCACAGGCTGTAACCCCTTCTCCTGGTGTACGATATTAATCACGGCATCTTATATCCCCTGAAGGGGATATAAAGTCACAAGAAAAAATTTCTAGGCATATGAGAAGCACAAACTCTATAAGATACTGACAACAAGCAGACCAACTTTTACCTAACAATTCAGAATAATGCACTATATTAAGGAGAAAAAGAAAAATCAGATAAGAATTACCAGGAACTTTATAGGAAAAAAAAAAGCCCTAGAACTATTATAGGACAGACAAGACCTAAGTAGATAAAAATATAACATGTTCAAATTATTGAGATAACTTACCTTTGTTAACTGTAGAACTAAGGTGTTCATTTTCCACCAGATTATCTACAGTTTCAACAGTTTTAATCCAAAAGTTAAAATTTTTTGAGGAGCATGACTAAGTGATTTTAAAATGTTTATGGGAAAACAAAAGTTCATTACACCCATAGCTTGTATGTGGACAGGCCAAGGAAAGAAATCAGGGCTTCTGTCTCCCAGTCTGGTGCTAATTTCACCCCACCTGTCTACAGCCGTGAACTGCATTTTAACAGCACATAAAGAAATATACTGCATGCAATGCCGCTCCTCATATCATAGAACAATTATCTTAATCATAGGAAAGCTTAGAAGTTAACACATCAGTCTGAATGGCATCATAGCTCATCGTTTGTCCCTTTGACAAAGAACTTTTGTAGCGAATGCCACTCCAAACACACAGGGGCTAAGGCAAGGCTGTTACCGCAGTGGGAAGAGGGTAGCACTCTGTGTAAGCAGACGTGGCCAGCCCAGCCGAGAGAGCCCCCCTTTGCTGACTACCTCCAAGAACGTGGACACCTACAGTGCCGCCCAAGCGCCAGAGCGAGTCCCGGCAATGTGTGCCAGCTCCTTAGTGCTGCTGTAGCAATGACTACAAACTGAAATGACACCTCTGCTGTTGGCTTAAAACAACACAAATTTATTACTTACAGTTTTGGAAGTGAAAAGTCCAAAGTTGGTCTCACCAGGCCAAAACCAAGGTGTCAGTAGGGCTGCGTTCTTTCTGGAGGCACTAGGGAAAAAATATGTCACTGGCCCCTCCAGCTTCTAGAAACCACCTACACTCCTTGGCCCACGGTCCTTTTCCTGTTATCTTCCAAGGTAGCCAGTACAGATTGAATCCTGCTCTTATTGAATCACTTTGACCCAACACACCTTCCTCCCTCTTCCACTTTTAAGGAAATCTGTGATTACATTGGGCCCACCTGGATAATCCAGGGCACTCTAATTATTTCCAGCTCAGCTGATTGACATCTTTAATTCCCATCTGCAACTTTAGTTTATCCTTGCCATATAACACAACATATTCACAGCATCCAGGAGTTAGGCGTAGGCATCTTTGGGGACCATTATTCTGCTGATTACAAAATGCATCAGATTCAAACATTTAGCAGGCTAGAGCTAACACCTTCCTTATTACTATCACAAAATGTAGAAAAGCGGTGAATATATCATCGGGAAGTTTGCAGCTTATTTGGCTGGATCCACAACTGCCTTTCATGCCCAGAATGTTGCTAAAAGGAGAGTCTCTCTCCCAGTTACTCTACATCCATCCTGCCCTTGTAAAGCCACCTGGAAAACTGAAGCAATTTTTCAGAAATCCCTGTTTCCATTATATAAATATTCCGTGCGAAAGTGTTCTTTTGGTCTGACTTATTCTAATAAATGCTCCCATTTAACATGCATATGTGTAATCCAGCAAATTAACTTCTCCACAGGATATTAAAGTTAGTGTGTTTTGTGCTGTATGTATCTGTGCATGTACTATGTTTGAACCAGAATATACAATGTATCAAGGAGCTCATTCTTTATCTTTTTCCTGCATTTTCTTATAAACTATTTGGCTGATTAGATTTTTACTGTGACTTTTGTTTCTTATGTCTTTTAAAATTAGAAATTACTGCCATATTCTCTAGAAAAGTACTATCCAGAAGAAATAGAACTATGAAGATATGAAACTGGTTTTACTAGGAAACACACATATACACAGACACATACACACAAGACATAGTGTTTGTACACCCAGGCTCAGTGATTCAGAATCTTTTTTGTGTTGCAGAGTATTGGGATAATTACCTCTTTCCTGAAAAATGTACGTAGTCACATGAACATGAACTTTTGCACTCCTTTTCAAAGGGTTTCTGCCCCATCCTCACCCCCACCCCAGAAATCATCTATAGGTTAATTTGGAGGAAAAACATTCAACATCAGCACAGGTACGGGACACCAATTAGCTGGGAACCATGGAAAGAAAATAAGCATTGTAAGAAATAGCAGAGAAAATTGTAATTTCAAAAAATGTTGATCTTGGCATTGTGCATTAAAGACTTGCAGTAAAACATAACTGGTCCTTAGCATTAAGTTCTTAAAAGATGGTTTCTATAGCCAGTCTTCCCATAGATAGCATGTAAATGGCTCTAAATGAGAAACGTATAGCCCCTGCAACACAAGCACAGATAAAAGGAGGCCTGTCCCCACAGAAAGATTTCATAGGTAGGACACTGCATGAATTCCAGGCTCCGGATCTAAGAGCCAGCCTTGAGCAGCAATGAAGCAGCAACTCTTCAAGCAGCAACTTTTCTGAAGTGAGGAAGTTTGATCCCCAAGCCTGCATACCTGATGGCGAAAGTGTGCTGAGGCTACAGAGCATAGAAAAATACAGACTACAGAGCCAGGCTGTGGCTCAAAATTCTAGTTTCAGCACTTACTGTGTGACATTTGGCAACTTGCCTAACTTCTCTGTGCTTCCACTTTCTCATCAGCAAACAGTGATAATAATAGCACAAACTCATAGGGTGACTGTGAGGAGTAAGTGAGCTCATCTGTATAAAGCACTTAGGATAGTGCCTGGAGCACAGTAAGCACCATGTAAGTATTTGATTGTGTTATTTTTTATCATTATTATTTACTACCACCACCATGACATAGTCCTCCCTGATGCACTGTTAGCATGTAAAGATGGATGATTATTATTAACTAGGATATTAGAGAAAGGGCTCTGTCTAGGGAAAGTCCTCAAATTAACTAGCTTTACCTTCAACTTCTATAAAGCCCTACTTTGTCAGAATTGTTAGCCCCCAAATGATCTATATTTGGGCAATTTCTTGCCCTTGCCAAGATAACTAAGGTAATAAGGAAGTCTACTAGGTAGTCATAATTGTTCTCTCCTCTTCTTTTTATGTTGTATGTGTTCCCAAAGGCCTCTGCATTTGCTTCTTCATTTATTCCAGAAATCTTTATTTCATGCTTAATATTTAAATACTATGTGCCATGCACTGTCTTAGGAAAAGTATCTGCTTTTATGGAGCTCACATTCACGTAAACAGAGAGATGACAAGCAAATAAATAGACCAAACAAGATAATCTCATACAGTGGCAACTGCTAAAGGAAAAAAACAAATCAGAGAAATCCGCTACAGAGTGACTCAGGCAGGGTGAGGAAGGCTGACTGGGGAGAGGGCATTTACATGGACACCAAATAAGAAGAAGCCAGCCATGGTAATATCAGTAGAGAGTGGCGTGTTCCTGGCAGTGGGAACAGCAAGTCCCAAGGCCCTGATGAAGTAACCAGCTTACGGGGTTGAAGGAGCAGAAAGCAGCCAGTCCAGCTCAAGTGTAGTAAGAAAGGAAGGGAGTGAGAAGAGAGGGGGAAGGAGAGGTCAGCAGAGCCACATCTCTGAGGGCCTGCAGCCAAAGTAAGGAGTTTGGATGGTATTCTCAGTGCAGTGCGGGGTCTCTGAGGGTCTTAGGCTCAGAGGTACACAGGTAAGGATGGGAGCCCCTTGAGGGCAGTGGGGAAGGTCTTGTGGTAATTCAGGCAGGAGTCCTAGTGGCTTAGAGTACAGAGATGGCAGTGGAGAAAGAGAAGTAGGCAGATTAGGTCAAAAAGTATATTTTGCAGGTAAAATTAGGATAGATTATTAGGTAGACTTATTAGAATGCTGGTGAGTCTTTTGCAAAGGCAGGATAATGGAAAGAGACTCCTAAGTTTTTAAGCTGTGTATCTGGATAGATGGTAGGACCATTTACTGGGATAAGGAAAGGTGGGGGGTGAGCGAGTGCAACCCAGAGTCCTAGTGTGACGGTGTAAGGTTAGGGATGCCCATCGGAGACATCCAAATTGAGAGGCCAAGGAGGCAGCTAAATGTCTCAGTTGTTCATTACTTATTATGACAATGCTTAGCCCTTGGGGTGGAGGTTTTGTTATTTTCAGTTTCCTATCTCCTGTTTCTATTCCTGCTTCCCACGTATAAGTAATATCAGATAGCAGTAATTTCCATATGCATCTCAAAGTTCTTTACGAGTAAACACTCTTAATCCTTAAAACCCAAAAAGTATGAACTACAAAATGAAACAATGAAAAAGCTAACTAAACTCTTCTGATGTCATGAAAAGAACACTAGATTAGGGTTCATAAGGTCCAGATTCTAACAAAAAATGGAAGTACAGAAGAAAACAAATCAGATGTAGATTTGAGTCTTAGCTTGTGCATTTATTAAGTATAAGGCCTAGACCAAGTTATAGAGTATATTTTCTTCATCTGTAAAATGGGAATAATAATTCCTTCCTTGTGAGTTCCTCGTGAGGATGAAATGTGCTGACATCTGTGAAGACCTACATAGTGTCTGTTGCATTGTGGACACCTGTAAATGTGGGGTTTTCCCCCACTTTTTACCTATTAAACTTACACAGAGAGCTTAACAGTTCTACCTTGACTCATTAACTGTGAAAGAAAGCTGCTTCCTTAGATAATCGCTAAGCTCTATTTCATCTCTTCAAGAAAAATCTGTACAAGATCTTGAAAACAACCAGATAAACTTCTTGATTAAAGCTGCTTTTAACCTGAACTCAGTGCATCTTTCTGCAAACTAAAGGCATACTTAAGACTGGGGAAGACAGGGCCTTCACAAGCAGAAATTAAACCATAGAAATGACTCTACAATGTTGCAAAACGAACAAAAAATTCTCCCTCCAAATCACTAATGTTTCAGGGTATGTACAACTTTTTAGGAGATGGAGTAAATGAAATCTCAGAGAGTAGAGGCTTTCATATCACTCACTGAAAGACAGTAAAACCAAAAGGTCTTCATCTTGGGCTTTCCTGAGCTGGATGGGAAGTTTGGAGGTCTCAGCCAACCAGACTGTTGAGTGATAAAAAGTGAAACTGTGAAGAAGCTTCTAGAATCCTAGAAGCTCTAGGAAACAGTGGGTAAGACAAGAGGGAGATACAGAAGTTTAGCTTGGGTTACAAGAAGAAGTTGCTAGTTAGGGACTTTCTGTGCCCCAAATAGTGCCCAGGGGCACTAATCTATCTGCATGATAACAATTTTTATCCGAATCCCAGAGGCGTGCATCTGAAACCCAAACTAAGAAAGATCCTGCCTAATCTTAGGATTTAGGACCCAAAACAAAAAGTTGTTTGGGCCTCGTGGTACAAATAGTGTCAGCTGATCAGGACGAGAACAGTGACCACAAGAGCAAGGCCAAGATGAGAAGTCCATAAGAGATGGAAATAAAGAAGAACCCAAAAGAAATTTGTAAAGCTCTAAACCTGTGCCAAGCTAATTGAATAATGAAAAATGTGTCTAGCCCACAGATCTGTTTTGTTTGGCTTGCACAATGTGTTTTGTTTCTTATTATATTGAACTTGATTGCCCTCAGGCACTATCCAGTTTACCAAGCAACACCCTTCCTACCATCTTATCTGCCAACAGGTAGCTCAATTACATTACTTCACTGGCCCTGTAAGCATTTGAGATGATAGCTATTGGTATATAGTTTATGTTTACAGATGGATTCATTTTTAACTGTTAAACACTTGAACTTATGTTGACTGCAGAGATGCCAGAAAAAGAGAGGAAGATCATAGGGGAAAAAAGTGGGAAATTGAAAAAGGGTAGAAATCCTAGCAGAACTATCTTTGAAAGAGGCACCCCCGCTCACTGCCCCAATTACAGCAGCTACAAATCATGCCGTAGGTCAAGTGAAGTGGGTGCCTGCCATATTTCTTTCAACTAGCCTTTCAGTATTTTGGGAAATTCCCAAGAATCGAAACTCAAATTCCCACCCTTCTTTGTAGCTAGGACATTGGCTTATAGCCTCAGTTCCACCAAAGAGCAGCATGCTGGCAAAACTGCAATTTGGAAAAGAGCAAAATGAACAAACAGGAGGAGTCAGCCACCCCCATTTTTGCCAGCACAGCTGAGGTGTCAGGTTTCCAGGGCTTGCATGACTGAATTCCCTGGACAGAAATGACACTAGTGACACTGTGGCAGGTCCTTCTGTTGTCTTGGGTGAGAAACTGATTCCGTATTAACATAGACCTCTGTGCAAAGAACTGATTCCTTGTCAACACAACACCTGTGAAAAAAGTCCCAGATTTCATATGACCACCCTTCTTCCCACAGAGAAAGGACACAGTGGAAGTCTCTCTTTTGTCCTTGTTCTGTGAATCCCAATGTGTACTTTTAAGGCAATATGACATTGCACACCCATTACTCAGCACCCTTGGCACTTGACTTCATTGTCACCATCCACAGTCAAGAGGTCATTCAATTTTCACTGAGGAGACCATTATCAGCCATTCTGGGAAACATTCTTGCTCTGCAGGACCCCTATCTTGGGTGATGAACTGGTTCCATATTAACAGAGACCTATGTGCAAAGTGGCAAGCAATGTACAGATTTTTAAACTAAATATAAAGATGATATTAAACTGGTTTTCATTTCTGTTAGCACCAAACAAGAGTGGTTGGAGGTTTCAGCTACAGCAGAGATTTTTAATGAAGAACTCTGGGCATTAAGGATGGCTGTAGAACATTCTTCTCTATAATTGCCAGCTGTTAGACAATACTATATTTACTATATAGTATTTACTTTATATTTACTATATAAGGGTAGCAATTCTCATTTATATTTCTCATGATCATCTCTTGAAGGGTACACTGTTAATCCCCATTTTATGGGAGAAAAAAAACTCCAATTAAATGACTTGCTTAAAACCAGAGGGGATCCAAATTTGGGTTTTCTCATTGCAAACTAATGGCTTTTTTTCTCCTGTATCAGTGGCTTTCCAAACATATTCTGCAGGTTCCCTACCTAGGCTGTGTGGGACAGCCTAATGCTCCTAGGCTACAAATCTGTACAGAGTGTTACTGTACTGAACCCCATAGACAATTATAACAATGGTAGTTGTGTATTTAAACATATCAGAAAAGGTATAGTAAAAATACAGTGTTATAATCTTATTCTAATCTTATGGGACCACTGTTGTGTGCGCAGTCTGATGTTGACTGAAACATTGTTATGGGTGCATGACTATGATAAGATATTATTTTCCTTTCTCCCATTCACCCTTTTAAGAGGGTAGAGAGTTTTCCAGAGGATACATGCTATGTAACTTCACAACAGACTGAAGCAGAAGCAGATATATTTCCCTGTAAGATCCTAGTTTTCTGCTTATATCTCTGTATCCTCTGCCTCCCTAGTCTTTTTTTCTTTTTTTTTTTTTTTTTGGAGTGATGAATTAATGAATGGTAGTGAAGGTGTTAGATTGTAAAGTAACTGATTATAGACTCAACCACCTTCCCCTCAAATTCCTCAAGTACCTAGCTCAGTGTAGGCTCAATTACTACTTGATTGATGGATGAAGGAACAAAACTGATTGCTATCATAGATAGAGGACCTGCTCAATGCTTCTGGTAAGTGATAAGCAATGTGTGCACTTGCTCCTGAGTTCACAGTTGCATACCAGACAACAGACTGCCTCAGCCCCAGCAAGTCCAGGCTCACCTGGGCCCAGGGTGGAGAGATCACTCCTGTCTCCTTGCCTCATCCCTGTCCAGATTCTATTCATTCACAGGCCCAGCTCAGCTCCTGTGCCTTTCCCAGGGATGCCAACCAACAATGAGCCTCGCACTGTGACATCACATAGGAATTTATCTATGTCATCTATTTTGCCTCTCGATCTCATTCTGTCCTGCACTGCTGCCTTCCTAAATCAATTGTGTATATTTTGTTTTCCCTATAAGATCTTAGACATCATGATTATATTGAACTTGGGTGATGTGTACATAGGGTTCACAGTACTATTTTCTGTAGTTTCGTGTGTTTAAAATTTTCCATAATAAAAAGCTTAAAAAAAAAAGATCTTAGACATCATGAAATGTCTCAAAGGTCTTTTGCTTTACCCAGAGTCTCACATAGTGCTAAGTAAATTATAATCACTCTCATCTAAATAAATCTTAAAACTTTACAAAATGATTCAGACTCATCATCTCACTGCTTTTTCACCAAAGCCTTGCATGAAAATTAGAGGAGGCCTCTTTATATTATCTCCACCTTACAGATGGAAGCTTGAAAGTTAAGCAGCCTAAGGTCACCCAGCTAGTGATTAACAGAGTCTGGAGGCAAACCTGTGTCTTGTGATTCCAAATTCTGTGATTTTCCCACTATATTCATGCTCCAGTTTGCTGATACATACTTGTTTAATTTACCTGAAAGACACTTTGTGAAAAATAACGGGCCTAGATCCAGGATATGAGTCAGAACAGACAGGAATAAACGCAAGTCTCCTGATTCTCACTAGGCACCATGTTCTACAGCGATCTTTTCCCTTGTGATTTTAGCTGTTAAGGTGGTCAGCTCATGTGCTGGTTAATCCTATATGTGCCTCCCTTAAAAGAGTGTACGAATTATGTAGTATACAAATTTTGTATCATACAAATGTCCATTTTCTTTTTTCCACCCTATGTGGCTAATTGGCAGCCTCATTACTGTGTTTTCCCAACAAAAATGAAGGGAAGCATTACGAAATTATTCAGTAACTTCAAGCTGTGTCTATAAAGTGTATTATAATTCCCAACTCTCTCTTTTATTTTCCTCTCTCTCATTTGTTTACCCATCAATCCCACAAGCATTTACTAAGCTCTAAGTATAAGCAGAAGCACATTCGATGCTGGGATGTCTTACAATACACAAAGAAAAAGATATCCCTGCTATTAATGAGATTGTCATCTCATGAATATAATGACATGTCTAGAGAAAAATTCTAAGATATTGAAAGTGTGAACTAGCACAGTATAATTTATTTATGGAGGTGTTGAAGGAATATTGAGTAAGAAAAATAGTTCTTATTATAGAGAGAATTAATTTGGGGAAGGTTTCATATAGCGGATGTGCCTTGAGATACGTTTTGAAAAAAATTGTAGGGTGTGGTTTGGAAACATGATCTCCATCTGCAGATTCCCAAAGCACTCCCAAATAATTGTACAGTTAAAGTACAATAATGTGTTTTGTATGCAAATGTAGCCTCAAGACAGGTTGCCTCATTCCCCCATGCCCTCCAGCCGCCACTCCTAAGCCCCTGCTACATAGAAATCCTGGAGCCCCTACTCATTGGTGTAGCATTTCAGGGAAAGGAAAGTCATCAAAATTGGTCCAGGGCAAAAATGAAAAGTAAGTCTCTGTACCTCCCAGTAGCCGTTTAGATTGCCCCTTCCCCATGGTGCTCTGGGCTTTAACGAACAGCCCAGCATGGCACAGCCACCATACCTCCCTCAGACCTGCATCCCTGAGCAATCTTGTATGTCTTCCCTCCTAGGGCAACCTTCCTTTCCAAGGCCTATGCCCTCAGGAGTCCTCCCTACTATGCGTCTTTGTGCTGCTGCACCATGAACTTAGGTTAATAGTCAACCCTCCAGGGTATTATAGGTACACAGAATGGACCTCTCACTCTAACAGAGAGACACTGCAGTACAATAGTTTCCCCTTACCCTTGGGGCTCACATTCCAAGACCCCTAGTGGATGCCAGACACTGTGGATTGTACTGAACCCTATATATACTATGTTTTTTCTATGTGCACATACCTGTGATAAAGTTATTTTATAGATTAGACACAGTAAGAGACTAACAATCATTAATAATAAAATAGAACAATTATAACAATATGCCAACCTCACTACTCTTGCACTTTGGGGCCATTCTTGGGTAAAATAAGGGTTTCTTGAACACAAGCATTGTGATCCCACAATAGTTGATCTGCTGAAATGGCTACTAAGTGACTTATGGGCACAGAGCATCTGCAGCATGGATCCACTGTACCAAGGGATGGCTTACATCCCAGGTGGGGTGGAGTAGGACAACACAAGATTTTATCACACTACTCAGAACAGTTAACAATGTAAAACTTACGAATTGTTTATTTCTGGCATTTTCCATTTAATATTTTCGGACTGTGGTTGACTGGGTAACCGAAGCTATGGAAAGGGAAAGCAAGCTTAAGGGAGGACTACTGTATACCAAGCAAGCTACTGAGAGAAGACATATATGAGAGGAGGCAGGACTTGGGGGCTCCTTAAATCACACTCTGTGACTGGTTGAAAAATCTTGCTATGGGTAATATCCTCCTGAATAGTTCAAGACATAACATAAAGAAGAGAGCAACAGAGAGAGAACACCATATGACTATTGAGAAAGTTGAATAATTATGTTAAAATCAGATTACAAAGACCCTGTAGGGTGGGCTGAGTAGCTGGTAATTGCTCGAGTGTTAGGGACACTATAGGCTCTTGTGTAATATGATGGAAAAGGTGCTTTAGGATGCTGCATACAAGCGAGGCTGGAGGAAAGAGAACTGACTGTTGTGGGTCTAGATTATGTGCGCACCTGCCGCAATCTAGCTTTCCAGACACCATGGCTGTTTCTCCCCACACCTTCTAGACCAGAGTCTCTGAAATGAGACATGTCACATGTAAGACTCATTCTCCAAGCTTTCAGAGAGAATCACTCCAAAATCTGCCCCCTTGATAGAAATGGGAGAAAGGATACAATACTTTCAAGATGGGGCCCAATAATGTAGGACAGAGATGAGTTTTTTTTCTAAATAAATCTTTACTCATGAGCACGTTGCTAAATATGCAGCCTAGAAAAGAGCACCTGCTAGGGGTAGATAGTGTAATATCCACTCATTAAAAAAGAAGGAGGCAGGTCTTGATTTTGCCCCCAACTTTCTGTGGCATTGAAGAGTTTTATTTTTATTATTAATATTATTTTTCATTTGTGAATCATAATTGTATCATTGATGACGTACAAATGTGATATTTTGGTCGATGCCTACAATGTAGAATGATGAAATTAAGCTAACTAACATAGTGATCAGCAGAAGTTGCCTTATTACTTGTGATTCCAACAACAAAACAAGGCTCTGGTTATTTATTCAAATTATATTATATGGTTCAGATTCTCTTTGGGTTTTGTAATATATTGTCTGGGGGCTGAAATGGTAGATGAAAGTCAATCTTCTCTGAGACAAGAGAGATGTGGATGGGTTCTTAAGTGTTGCAGTGACGGCTGACAAGCCCCATCTACAAGCCAGAATTCAATCTCTTCGCCTTTCAGTGCAAGATCTTTATATTGAAGCACAACCTCTAGGCTATGAAATGGAAAAGAAAAGGAAGGAGGGTCAGAGGAGACAGAGACCACTTTATAAGGAATCTATGATGGGGGCAATTAGGCCACCAGCTTCTGCAGTGCACAACTGCTTACAGAGATCCCTGGAGTGGTTGTTGTTTTCATGTTTATGTAGTGCCTGGGCATTTATATTTTTTAAAGTACTAACATCAGAACCCCCGAGAATGAGGCTCAGGCAATGTAACTTTTAAAACTCCCTCAGTGATTCTAATGTGCAGCTACAGTTGAGAATAACTTCCCTAGTATTTGAAAGAAACTAAATGTTGATTATAAGGATTTTATTTTTGAACTATTTTTCTGGCCTCAATGAATTTAATGTCTGGCTAGAGGAACTTGTGGCTTTGAGATGAAAGAATGCAAAAACAAAATCAAGGTACAGAAAATCACTGGTGGGGGTGGTGGAGAGAGAGAGAGAGTTTGTGCTGTACATGCAACATCGGCGTATTAGTCTGTTCTCACACTGCTATAAAGAAATGCCCAAGACTGGGTAATTTATAAAGGAAAGAGGTTTAATTGACTCACAGTTCCACATGGCTGGGGAGGCCTCAGGAAACTTACGATCATGCCAGAAAGGGAAGCAGGTGCATCTTACATGGTGGCAGGTGAGAGAGAGCGTGGGAAGGAGGAACTGTCAAACACATAAAACCATCAGATCTCGTGAGAACTCTCACTATCACGAGAACAGCATGGGAGAAACCTCCCCATGATCCAATCACCTCCCACCAGGTCCCTGTCCCGACATGTGGGGATTATGAGGATTACAATTCAAGATGAGATTTGGGTGGAGACACAGAATGAAACCATATCAATTGGTGTAATTTAGTGCTTATTAGTCATATTAGGGGCTAGAATTTTTCTGCCCATCTAAGGAAAGATCTATCTCCAAGGAAATATACATATATACAAATTTTTCAGATTTTAGGATTATCATAGACTTCCTGAAGCCAATGTTAAAAACCTCAGAGGTAGTCATAGACTTTTGTAACTACCTTCAAAGGAACAAATAAGCAGTTTTTAAAAATCCACCATAAGAATTAAGAACCCTGAGTAGAGGTCTTGATTTTGCCCCCAACTTTCTGTGTGATTCTAACTAAATTACTTAAGCTTGGTAGGCCCAAGTTTTCATATCTGTAAAGTGAGATTTTCATCTGCCCCATAAGAAGGTGTGGGTAATGTTTTAACAATTTTGTAAAAATCAATTTAGAGTGAATAAACAAATATGTGTGATAATACCTTGAAAAGTTGCAATTTATTATCAGAGCTATTTGGAATTAATCTGAGAAAAAGAAACATACAGCTTTTGGGTAACTGACATGTTTGTGTAGCTCTCATTTTTATGTACATCTGCCTTGTCAACACACCATACATAGATTAGAAGGAATTTAGCCACTCTGTATCAGGATAGTGAGTCCCATTGGCAGTTGCCCTATATATTCAATTCTTCTTTCCCTGTAATATGAGGATTATCCTGCAGTGTTTACCAGTGGTGTCTTCTGTCAAACTACTAGTAAATTTGTTCTTATAACTTGAAAAATACAGCATGCATTAAAATTCAAAGAAAAGGTAGCAGTTTGGGGAAACAGAAACCTATGAACCCAAATTTCAATCTTTTTCACAAGAGCCCCGAAATAACTTCTCTGCCCTCCACCTCCTTTCCAGCTGAGGGCCCTAGGGACTGCCACTGTCCTGTTCCCTACAAGAGAATGGTTATCTAGGAAGGCAATCTTCTTATTTCCCAAGAAATGTACACTGTCTCAGAAAAAGTCCAAGATTAAGAATAAAGCCAGTCCTTCACAGCCAGCGGTTCAAAGTGAATTATTGATGCAGCCTGTGGTAAGATGTTAACTAGAGGTGCAAAGTTTATGTGCAGGAAGTAAGCAGAGCCATGCTGAAAGAAAGACACCAACCAAAGCTTTTGTGTTCTTAGGTGTCAAGGTTTCCCATTCATTTTATTGTCTGAGTTTCAATGGAAATGAATAAAATGCTACATAGAGGATCTAATACTGATAGTGAATTTTGACTGCTGTTTTCCACTCTTCAGAAAAAATATATTAAACAAAATGCAGAGTCATGTAATTCAGGTTACTGTCTGTTTTGTTCATAAAGGAAAATGCTTTATATGCAGAAATTTCAAGTGAGAGGAGATGTCAGGTCTCCAAAAGCAGCTATTGTCAAACAAAGCAGCCAGATAATTAATGCCCTAGAGATGGCTGTGACCACGATATTGGATATCAGCCCATGTCTTCATCTCTCTTGGTAGAGGCACATGCTTTTGAGCTGCTGATTGTACCCACAAAGCCTATCTATGTGTTCTAAGTTTTTTGACATAAAATTTCCTCTCCTCTTTATAGAGTATTACTTTAACTTTCTGGTTATTCTTTCTACAACCCTTGCTGACCAGATACTATGAGTGAGGCATGGAAAAAGAATGGTATACGATAGTATTCAGGATGTTTTTGTTATATGTAAAGATGAATAGGCCATTTAAATAACTGATCAGCTTGATTCTCCACTTCCAAATTAATATCCCCCTTCCAGACAGAACAGCTCTGCGTGTAACCTCTTACCACATCCTCTTGTAGAGTGGCTTTTTATCCCGGGCATTTAAGAGAGGGATTCTCTATTTCAGTGCAGATGACTCCATCACCCCTCTCAGAAACTGGGCTATTCTGTAAGGGTGTGTGTGTGTGTGTGTGTGTGTGTGTGTGTATGTGTGTGTCCAACCAAAGACACTATTCCAAATAATTAAAGAATTTGGCATTTTAGGTAAGCCCACATTCTGGTTAATTGAGAATTGCCACTTATGTACATTACTAGGTTATAAGCAAATAGGGCAAAAGGCTCTCAAGGTAGTTACTTCCTTTGTATTAATTAGAAAAAGAACACTCAAGAGTTTAATAACAAAATCACACACCTTTTTTGGACGGTTGATATCTTGTTTCTGTGTATCATGACTAATAGTAATGCTGTAATTCATCACATTAGGAAAGTAATCAACAGTTCTAGCTGCACAAAATTAAAATTGATTAAGACCCGGCGTCACCCTGGCAGAAGCTAAAATTACATCAGTGTTAACTCTACGGCCAATAGCCAAAAGTCTTTTTAGTCTCTTTTGGTTTAAAAAGATCTGCTATATAAAATCTAGTGTATACAAACTAAGCAAAATGGATTAGAATAAAATAATGTTGATATATTTAATATAAATAGTTCTGCAGAGAAAGCTACTCTCATGTTTATTGACCACTGGTAGAACATCACTATGGACTGGGTGCTGTGCTAGGTGCTCTGCAAATTTGATCCATTTTATCCTCACCAAATGCATGAAGGTATGTTGGTGCCAGCCTCCCACGATAGATGAAGAAGTGGGGACTATAGGAATGAAGTAACCAATTCAGGAGCCCAGAGCCACAGCCAAGACTCAAATCCAGGGATGTCTCAAATGGTTGAACAAAGCATCCTTTCTAATCAATGAGCAACTGTGCTGTCTAAGAAGACCTTGTACATGAGTACAGGAAATATCTTTCACAGATCTAGATTCAAACACTGGGAGAAAAACACTCTTCTTAGAAATCATGCCCTTACTTTTACAATCAAGAGTTTTCCGAAGGATAAGCAAAACTGGTCAATATCCAGGGTCTCAGAGGATGTTCTCCTTGGAGGCACAGCTCATCAATCTCTTCTTGAATGTTGCAAACAATGGGCCAGGAACAGAGAGGGATGGAGGAAATGAAGAGTCATTAGCCACAATAAGTGTCCTTATGAACAGCTCTGATGTCATTTATCTCCACCTTCCAAGAATCCTGGATGGGCTTGCATAGGCAAGTGACAAATATTGTTAATTAAGTCTTTGAAGATAATGGCAAATGTCACTAAGAAAGATTTGTGTTGAATATTACATCAACTCAGCGTTCTTTCCTGGCCACGATGGCCAATGTGAGGTGACATGAGGTTAGGACAGTCATGCCTGTGCTTGGATGAAGCGGAACTCTGTTCTGAGTATGCAGAAGTTAGATTAGAGATTCTCCAAAAACCTTTTTCCAGATGGATGGCAAGAGTGAGGCAGTGGCCCCCAATTCTGGAATAAACCGGTGTTCTTGGCTGGTGTGAGACCATGTATTAGACTCTAAAGACGGTCAGAAGCAGTAACCACAACACTCTTTGTTCTACAATTCTGAGTGTGCTGATAATATGGGCAGGAGTTAGAAGGGAACTATTTTTCTGACTTTTTCTCCCAGGCTGTCCCTGCAATATCTACCATTTCATGAAAGAAACAATCTTAAACTAAGTTATACAGAGTACTTGATTCATGTTTCCTCTCTTTTTTATCATCCTGATTCTACCTTTATGGCAGAGAGAATAAGCCATCTCATGATTGCCTTGGACCAACCATCCCAGGCCAGTAGAGAAAGATACACCTATTTCCCCAGGAGCAGAGAGGTTGTCCATGGTGGGGGCTGGGTGGTGAAACTGCACAACATGGCCAGTTGAATCTTCCTTTAAAAAGGTCCTATCATCAAGTGGGGCACATAGCATGATTAGAGGCCAGGGGTTGCCTTTATTCACTTCTGCTTCCTCCTCTGCCTAATCCCTGTACCTGAGGGAGCCTTACAGATCCCCCAAATCTGGGTGATGGAGCAATGAACCATATAGGCCCATGTTCCCCTGTATTATCTCATCCTATACCTACTTTTTATATTTGTCAATAAAAAGTCTATGGCTGTCTTGTTTTTTGCAATCCATCCTTATGAATGCTCTACTACTAAAAACATAGAACAACCTTTATGGGACAATTGGAAATTTGAACACTAACTCTACATTTAATATTAAGGAAATATTAAACTTCTATTTAGGAGTGAGAATGGTATTGTGAAAATATTAGGTTTGTCTAAGAGTGCATGGCTTTTAGATCTACGTAATAAATATTTTCAGATTGAATGACATGATGTCTAGGATTTGCTTCATAATAACATGGGAGGGATGGCAGCCAGAGGACATATGGATGAAACAAGATTGGGCTTGAGCTGATAATCTTTGAAGCTGGGTGACGAGTTCACTGTACTGGGTTTGGTTTTTGGTTTGTTAGTTGTGTGTATGTTAAAAATGTCCCATAATAAAAGCTTTTTTAAAAAGAATTAAAATTGGTTATTTTAAATTAATATTAGAAAATTGTATTTCTCAAAAATATTTTATGTGCAATTATCATGATTTATAATGTTAAATGGAATAGGAAGATCTAAAACATATAAGGTACAAAGTACTGCATGTAAAGTACTGCATATACACATTTGCTTTTATATGTACATGTAAGTGGAAGAAGAAATGATGCAAATGTAAATTATGGTTGCCCCTGACTGGTGAGAATACATATTATTTTTCTTTATTCATTGTTACATTTTTGTACCTCCCAAATTTTCTAGAGAGAAAATAAACTATATTTAAAATTTTATAGTTATTTTTATATATAAGCCATGCTTGTGACATATTATTAGATTTTTTAAAAAAGATACAGAACTATTTGTGAAAAAGAACCTCAATTCTGTTTTAAAATGTGTGCACATGGTAAGTGTGTGAATGTATCTAAAATGAACAGCATCAAAAAAAGAAACAAATCTATATTCTAGATTTTCATAGACAAAAATAAATAAATATATAAATAAATAAAATGAACAGCATCAGTTGTTAATTGTGGCTATCTCTAGATGGTGACGTTATTGGACAATTTTTAGTTTATTTGCCTCTCTGTGTGTTTCTTCAATTAATAAGTATAATATTATAATCAGAAAAATGTGGCATAAAAAATAAAGCTAGATTTATTATACTTCTTTATAAGGGTTAGCTATATAGGGCAATATAACATACAAGTAACTACATAATATATACTTACAAAACACATATGTAAGTCCAAAGGAATTTTAAATTCTCAAAGTATGTTAAGCTTTTAAACGATGATATAAAATCTTTTCAATAGCCAATATTATGTGATGATGCTCTTGCCTTCATATACTTAATTCCTTAATAATCATGTTTCATTTTCTGTTCAACTCCAGGTATATCCATGCCAATACCAGTCTTTGGGCTACAGGACGATTCGAAGGTCTTTAAGGAGGGGAGTTGCTTACTCGCCGATGATAACTTTGTCCTGATCGGCTCTTTTGTGTCATTTTTCATTCCCTTAACCATCATGGTGATCACCTACTTTCTAACTATCAAGTCACTCCAGAAAGAAGCTACTTTGTGTGTAAGTGATCTTGGCACACGGGCCAAATTAGCTTCTTTCAGCTTCCTCCCTCAGAGTTCTTTGTCTTCAGAAAAGCTCTTCCAGCGGTCGATCCATAGGGAGCCAGGGTCCTACACAGGCAGGAGGACTATGCAGTCCATCAGCAATGAGCAAAAGGCATGCAAGGTGCTGGGCATCGTCTTCTTCCTGTTTGTGGTGATGTGGTGCCCTTTCTTCATCACAAACATCATGGCCGTCATCTGCAAAGAGTCCTGCAATGAGGATGTCATTGGGGCCCTGCTCAATGTGTTTGTTTGGATCGGTTATCTCTCTTCAGCAGTCAACCCACTAGTCTACACACTGTTCAACAAGACCTATAGGTCAGCCTTTTCACGGTATATTCAGTGTCAGTACAAGGAAAACAAAAAACCATTGCAGTTAATTTTAGTGAACACAATACCGGCTTTGGCCTACAAGTCTAGCCAACTTCAAATGGGACAAAAAAAGAATTCAAAGCAAGATGCCAAGACAACAGATAATGACTGCTCAATGGTTGCTCTAGGAAAGCAGCATTCTGAAGAGGCTTCTAAAGACAATAGCGACGGAGTGAATGAAAAGGTGAGCTGTGTGTGATAGGCTAGTTGCCGTGGCAACTGTGGAAGGCACACTGAGCAAGTTTTCACCTATCTGGAAAAAAAAAAATATGAGATTGGAAAAAATTAGACAAGTCTAGTGGAACCAACGATCATATCTGTATGCCTCATTTTATTCTGTCAATGAAAAGCGGGGTTCAATGCTACAAAATGTGTGCTTGGAAAATGTTCTGACAGCATTTCAGCTGTGAGCTTTCTGATACTTATTTATAACATTGTAAATGATATGTCTTTAAAATGATTCACTTTTATTGTATAATTATGAAGCCCTAAGTAAATCTAAATTAACTTCTATTTTCAAGTGGAAACCTTGCTGCTATGCTGTTCATTGATGACATGGGATTGAGTTGGTTACCTATTGCTGTAAATAAAAATAGCTATAAATAGTGAAAATTTTATTGAATATAATGGCCTCTTAAAAATTATCTTTAAAACTTACTATGGTATATATTTTGAAAGGAGAAAAAAAAAGCCACTAAGGTCAGTGTTATAAAATCTGTATTGCTAAGATAATTAAATGAAATACTTGACAACATTTTTCATTCCTGCTTTTTCATAGATACCATTTTGAAATATTCACAAGGTTGCTGGCATTTGCTGCATTTCAAGTTAATTCTCAGAAGTGAAAAAGACTTCAAATGTTATTCAATAACTATTGCTGCTTTCTCTTCTACTTCTTGTGCTTTACTCTGAATTTCCAGTGTGGTCTTGTTTAATATTTGTTCCTCTAGGTAAACTAGCAAAAGGATGATTTAACATTACCAAATGCCTTTCTAGCAATTGCTTCTCTAAAACAGCACTATCGAGGTATTTGGTAACTTGCTGTGAAATGACTGCATCATGCATGCACTCTTTTGAGCAGTAAATGTATATTGATGTAACTGTGTCAGGATTGAGGATGAACTCAGGTTTCCGGCTACTGACAGTGGTAGAGTCCTAGGACATCTCTGTAAAAAGCAGGTGACTTTCCTATGACACTCATCAGGTAAACTGATGCTTTCAGATCCATCGGTTTATACTATTTATTAAAACCATTCTGCTTGGTTCCACAATCATCTATTGAGTGTACATTTATGTGTGAAGCAAATTTCTAGATATGAGAAATATAAAAATAATTAAAACAAAATCCTTGCCTTCAAACGAAATGGCTCGGCCAGGCACGGAGGCTCGTGCATGTAATCCTAGCACTTTGGGAGGCTGAGATGGGAGGATCACTTGAGGCCAAGAGTTTGAGACCAACCTGGGTAACAAAGTGAGACCTCCCTGTCTCTACAAAAAAAATCAAAAAATTATCTGATCCTTGTGGCACACAACTGTGGTCCCAGCTACAGGGGAGGCTGAGACGCAAGGATCACTTGAGCCCAGAAGCTCAAGGCTGCAGTGAGCCAAGTTCACACCACTGCCATTTCCTCCTGGGCAACAGAGTGAGACCCTATCACAAAAAAAAAGAAAGAAAAAAAGAAAATGACTAAACTGAAATGGTCTTAGTCAAAAAATATATACAGACTTATTTTTAGAATCATTTCAACTTATTTCCTTCTTACCTGGTTCAGAAACAAGTTTGTTTCAACTGTGAGAGTAGTTTTAAAAATAAGTTTTCCTGATTGGTTACCAATAAACACCAAACAAATAAAGGAGGGGGAAAATATCACTTGAGGCTTAACATTGCAATTAATTTAGAAATACGCACCTCAATCTCAAGCCAGTTTATAACTACCATAGTTTTGAGCAAAATTTTTCTTCTATTTCTCCAAAAACTCACTCATTTCAGTATTACTCATTGACACTGGGCTCCCTAATAGAAAAGCAGATATTATAATATTTCATTGAAATGGTTACTAAAGAGAAAAAGAGATTAACAACAGTTAATCCACCTTGATATTATAACACTCAAGGTTAAATTGCATGTTGTTATTAGAATCAATGTTATATATATGATTACAATGCTGAAGCATTTCTATTGAATGAGAAATAGTGTTTGCCCTAAACCTTTGGGAAAAAAATACAGATTTGAAAACTAAAGAATGTGGGAAGTGTCATTGTGTAATTTGGAAATGCATAAAATTCTCATTATGTCCTCATAGATATGTTGAAAGATGGTTCACTGTTTCAAAGATAGAATGTATAATATGCTGCTAGTACCAAGGCTGCATTTGAACTGAACTACTCCTTATGATATACCATACTAACTGATGAAAATATAAATGTTAAAATGTCTCCACTCTAATGTATTTTGCCTTCACTTGTAACTCTGCACATTTCATTATATATTAGGGAAAAGATTACAGATTCTACCCCCATATACTCAATCTTGATCAGAATGTACATTAATGTTGCCTGATAGATGTCTTTTGACTACCTATATATTACAAATGTGTATGTGTTTTTTTCTTCCATAAGTATCTATTCAAGTGTATACTGTATAGGCAAATGTGTAGCTGTATATATGTACAGACATGTTCTCATGCACTTTATTCAATATTTATATATTTATATGGACGAAAAGCAAGTCAATGAAAACACTCAGTATATACACATGTGTGCATGTTTGTATCATGTTTATTTAAATGTGAATTCATGTTCTAATATTTCTATGACCTTCCATTGCTGCAAAGCAGATTAAAGTGTAACAAAAATATCAGCTCTTTAAATAAACTGGAAATTAATCTAATTTTGTGGAAGAACTTTAAGACAAGTCTATGAGGATGGCGAAAACAATGGTCCACATATATAGTTTCTTGATCCTAAATAAAATGGTACCTTTGGGCCCTTTGTTTAGTCTGGCAATTTTCTGACTACTATGGCTTTTTAAACAGACTCACACCTAAGTGAAACACAGTTGTCAAATGATTTATGGATCTGTGATTAAAGGATTCACTTTTAATGAATACTATTAAAACGGAGTAACAAACCTTGCTCTACTTTAAGTTGAATGATAGATTCCTCTATATTCAAAAAAAAGCAATTAACTGCCATAATTAGGGAAAACTGTTTAAAGCATACTGCATTTACTTGGCCACAGCGCCATCTCATGGTAATTTTTTAAAGTGCTACCGTAGCCAAATTGAACTAAGTCACTGTACTGCTTTCAGCAAAGGGTGCTCCTCCCATTTGTGCATCAATGAGACATATTT
The DNA here is from genome assembly GCF_000001405.40 of Homo sapiens. Classification (NCBI taxonomy): domain Eukaryota; kingdom Metazoa; phylum Chordata; class Mammalia; order Primates; family Hominidae; genus Homo; species Homo sapiens. The sequence continues at coordinate 46,831,682 of NC_000013.11, read as the reverse complement.
ATAAAGTGCTAAATTATTCTGTGCCATATGTAACAAATACAGTGAAGATTATTTTATGAACTTATTTTAATCAAGGCGATGCTAAAAGTTTTCAAGAAAGGATAAATAACTGTAAATAAAGTAGACTCAAAAATGAATGAATTTTGTGTGAGTCCATAGCTGTGTCTACTAAACGGAATTACCCCAAATCTTCCAGGTCATCAGACTCAGAACTCCAGGTATCATCCTGATATTCGAGAGCAAAAAAGCCTGTGCTTCTGGAAGTCAGCCATGTCACAGAGCTAGGATCCATCCAGTTGGATTAGCTTTATCGCCATGATCCAGTTTCTAGTTATCTGCAGTAGAAATATGCTCCATGTTTGATCACTATGTCTGGTTCCACGAAGCCTAAGAACATAGAGAACAACTTCAGTGCCCTAAGAGATGTGCACAGGTGCGTGTGGTGTACACCAGGACATGCACACAGGTGTGCACACGCACAGATGCATTAACATATGCACACACACTCTCTCTCTTTCACAGGAGATCATTTCAGGAATTAAAGTAAACCAAGGAGGCATGGTGTCATTTAACAGTTACCCTCATTCATCATTTCATCTTTAACTGCAGGGAAAGTATATTGAGTGCCTACTGTGTGCCAAGCATTAAGCTGGTTGCTTTCCTTGCTTCACCAAATGGAATTTTCACAACAATCTGACAAGGTAGAATTATTTTTCTTTTTTACAGATGAAGAAACAGAGATTCAGAGTAGTTAGTAACATATTTAAAGTCACACTGCTGGCAAGAAAATTGGCAAGTTTAAGCCTGGGTCATCTGACTCCAAAGCATAAAATATTTTCCCAACCTCATGCAGTGCAGGGGAAAGATCACCTGTCAAAACCACAATAGGAGAGTTCCCATGTTGGCTTCTCCATTCACTGCTTATGTGAGTTGGAACCAGTCTCTTAACAACTCTGGGCCTTGATTTCACTGTCTGTAAAATGGAGCTGCTGGTACCCATCCTGGCTAACTGACAGAGTAATTTAGATAAGATCATGCCTATGGCTGTGCTTGATAACTTGTAAAACACCATGTAAATGTAATCAGTGTGTTAGTAAAAAGGAACAACTCCAAAGCCTCTGTAAATTATTAGCCATCAGAGCAAATTCTAGCCAAAACTGTGGGATAGGCAATATTATAATTCAGCAGCTTCTGCTACTCTCTTGGTGTTTCTCTTTTTCAAAAAATTTACTTCTGCTTTGTCCCCACCTTAATGCAGATCTCCCTTCTTTGGTGCTCTCTCTTATGACTTACATAAAAACTTTCCATCCCATATGCCATTCCCTTGGGTGTCAACTCTCTGGAAGACTACTACTAAGTAACTGAAGCTGATATGCCATTGTGTATCATTGACATCTCTTCAGCAGCCCACCATGATGAAAACCCAAAAGGCAGAAATCAAAGGAAAAATGTTAGGCATCAAGGAGACAAGTGAGAAGAAAATTTGGGGACAAGAAATGTTTTCTTGGTATCCCTGAAATGACCAACAACAACAACAAAAAAACAAGTATCTTCAAACACTTCATAACTTATATAAAGTTTTATAACTTAATATTGAATTTAATCCACAATAATAATGATGATTTTGAAAGAAACATTCAAGACTTTGAAGATTTCATTCTAAACTAAGAACATTAATGATGCATTTGTCCCAGCAAATATGCAATGAGACAAGACTTCTTTGTGAATTTCTGATTATTTTGGCATGCGGCTTGCTAAAACAAAATTTTTAAAAATTTTTTCCTTAATGGTTTACACACCAGTCTTAACTCTTTCTTTTTTTTTTTTTTTCTTTTGAGGTGGAGTCCTGCTGTATCACCCAGGCTGGAGTGCAATGGTGTGATCTCAGCTCACTGTGACCTCCGCCTCCCAGGGTTCAAGCAATTCTCCTGCCTCAGCCTCCTTAGTAGCAGGGATTACAGGTGCGCACCACCACGCCTGGCTAATTTTTTGTATTTTTAGTAGAGGTGGGGTTTCACCATGTTGGTCAGGCTGGTCTTGAACTCCTGACCTTGTGATCCCCTCGCCTCGGCCTCCCAAAGTGCTGGGATTACAGGCGTGAGCCACCATGCCCGGCCCAACTCTGACCTTCTTTTTTGATATTAACACCAGTATGTCCATCTGAGCCAGCGTTTTATGGGAAGTCTTCATACCCAATTGGAACCTTTTTTCATGTGGCCCAGTCACAGCAGAAGACAGACAGGAAACCGAGGTCCAGCCTGCTGCTGTTGTCTGACCTTGGACGAATCTGAGTTTTTCCTCCTTGAAGCATATAATAAGGGACTTAGGGTCAATTATCTCAGCAAGGAGTCTCTTCTATGTCTATGCTTATCTGAACACTAGAGAGTCCAGACAAGGCCTTGTTGAACCAAGGCACTGCTTCAGGTGCCAAGGATAATCTGGAATGCAGAACCCTCATGTTTTCTTAAATTCTCTAGATGGATTTCAAATAAATGACAACTTTATCTTTTATATGGGATGAGATAAATCAAATTGCTAAGTATCTAAGAAGTTTCTAAGATATGAGCCCAGGAGGCAAATATCAACATAAATGTTTGTACATTGGCATTTTCCTCACAGTTGGGCTCTCTTCTGCAGTTTCATAGCTACTACAATATTTTGGATTGGCCTTTTTAATAACCCTCAGGCTTCCTGAAGAACAAGTGCTCCTACTATTTGAGTTCAATTTCCCTGAAGGGTTAAAATTAAAAAGCCCAGATAGATTTAGAATTCATGGCGCAGAGAAGATCTCTTTTTTAAAAGCTAGATTTACATTGACAGTATGCCAAGGTCACTTAAGTTTTCATTTATAATTGAGATTATGAGACCTTAAAAAAGTATTTATTCTGTCTTCTAGAAAAACAGCACAATTTGTACTTCCTGTCCTACACTTATTTCAGATATTGAAAAGTAATATGCCATTATTCAGATAATCTTGTCTTAGTTAGGGTGACCCTAAGAGCAGAGTTAAGACTCAGGTGCAGGTTATTTATGCAGGAGATGCTCTGAGGGAGCCAACAGCATTAGAGAGGGAAGAAGTAAAAGTTTATTTAACTGTGTGTTCAGTGTGTGACATAAGCAAAAACTATACTCAAATTGGGTTGAGCAACTAGTGCTGCAAACTCATTTATTCTCTTAATAGGTTTGCTAGTGAGGGTCTGCTATGTGTATGTTTTATGTAAGACCACTAAGTGTGGGAAGTCTAGGGATGGAATTACTCTTTTAAAAAACTTGAATAAGATACTGGGTGGGGAGATTATTCTACCTCTTTACAAAATGTTTGTTTATTTCATTGAGCCTACCAACTTTGTCACAAATTAGCCTAAGTAATATAGGATAACTTAACACGCCTACCCAGAGATGCCATGCTGCATATGATAAGATATCCCTCAAGGCATTGCCACCACCCGATGCTGATGTTTCAGCCACTTTAGACACTGGTGAAAAGCAAAGTTGTGTGGGCCAATGGCAAAAGTGTTAAGAATATAGAATTTTAAAATTAGTTTTATGAGGAAAAAATGAAAATTAGATAGAATGTTCAATATCACTATCTCCAGGCTCCATTGTTAAAGTTCTGCATTCTAAGACCTAGGATCACAATGGGGTGTATAAAGAAGAATATCTAAAAGATGGGAATTAGTCAACATAGATAAGCAATCCAAGAAGAATTTTTAAGAAGACGAAAAAGGAAATGAAAAAAATAAACAATAGTAAATATAAAAACAAATGTGTTCAGCATGTACACATGTAATGATGTATCTCTCTGATACTCTGAAAAGGGGATACATTTATTAGTCTTTAATTTCTAGAGACAAGATGGTGGGGTTTTTTCCAAATTAGCAGAAAAATAGGAAATGTTATTCACAAGTGATTACAAGTATGACAAAATTAAAACAACTAAACATTTCCAAGACTGAAGAACAAGAAGATTGATTTGCATGAAAATGTAACACTACATTTATTCCTCTAATATAATCACCAGAGAACTTGACTATGATTAATTATTCCTACACTTCTCTAAAATAGAATGTGGAAGCTATGACACACTTTTTGTCCAGCTCCTCTCCACCAGATAGACCTAAGTCTGAAAACCTATTGGAACCACTCATAAAGAAAAAAAATCTTCTCTAACTTAGAATTATTATCACTGTCATGATGCAAATATCAACTTACTTCAATCTATATGAAGCATAATAAATAAAATATTGAAACTATTAGTACATTTATATAACATTCTGCTTTGAGAAATTTGCTTTAATAACTTTGAAAGACAAAATAACTATTTCTGCCTTAAATGAGCATATTTTTTATTTGACTTAAATACCAGCTTCTTTTGCTAATAGCTTTGAGTGGTCCTACTTGGTTCTAAGAATTTGAGCAAAGTACAGCTAGCCACTTGTAGTAGGCAATAATGTATATATAAAGCATAAACCAGCAATGTTTTCACATTTTTTGAAACAGCGAGATTAAATCCAGAAACATCCAACCTATTTCTCTTACTACAACAAGGAAACCAGAAGGAATGTCAAAGGAAGACACTGAAGTTGATACTTATTGAGCAACAATTTTGTGCTAATTTCACACATTTAATCACAATAATGTGTCTATGTCTCATAGTAACCATAGAGGAAACTGAGTCTCAAAGGTAAATTTGACCAATTCCACCAAGCTAAGGAGAAGAATCGGAACTCAAGCATGACTATATAAATGATAAGCTTTTACTGTTTCTAATTTCCACTGTGCTAAAGATCAGAAAATATTTTCTATAAGGAGCCAAATAGTACATGTTTTAGGTTCTGTTGTGGTGTGAAAACAGCCATAGACAATAAGCAAATGAGTGAATGTGACTATGTTCCAATAAAACTTTATTTACAAAAACAAACTCTGGGTCAGATTTGAGCCTGGACTATATAGTTAGCTAATCCCTGGACACTACCATCCAACAACAGCAACAATAATTACCACAAACACAACAACCACAACAACATATACTACTACACTACTACTACCATCACATCTATTTATTTGAGCCCTTAGTAAATGTCAAGTATTATGTTAGATATTTTAATATATCCTTACAATACCAGCACTATACAGTGGATATTATCATCATCTCCATGTTCTATATAAGGAAACTAGAGATTAACCTATCCAAGCTCACACATAGTAAGTAATAGAGCTGGGTTTTGAATCAACATCTCTATTCTCAGCCACTTGCTCTATTTCCTCCCTAACCCAAAAGAATGAAAGCATATCTCTATCATGCTTGCATTATACCTGTGACTGTCTTGCCTTAGTTAGAATGAAGAGTGAAGCTTAGCAGAGCTCTAGCTTTGGGAAGGAAATAGTTCCTTCTAAAGCCTTCAACTTACAATGCAGGGTAAATTAGACTTTGCTGAATAAACACAATTTCAACCCATAAGTATAAGTGTTGATAAGTGGTGATCAGCAACATGGTTAATTCTCTAAAGGAAATTCTTGATTTGGTAAGATAGAATCATAACATATTGATTGCTGTCTTTTCTCTTAGCTCACCTTCATGCACAGAGAATGTATGTAACATTAACTTCCTCCTAAATGTAAGGAAGAATGCATAAACTCTATGTCCTTTATATTTGTAGAAGTATGTTCAAAAATAAATTTCTTACATGCCCTTTCTACTTCCTATGCTAATCAATAAAATAATAAATATTGACTGGAAAAATTACTATTTAAAATAAATGTTATAGATATTAATACAAATCAGGGAGATTGAAAAATCTCCAAGTTTCTTCGGAGAACATGGATCTTATTGTCAGAATACACACAGAAATGAGAAAACAGGAATCATTGTTTTGAATCGATGTCAAATAGGCCTCACAGAAGCTCAGAGACACATAACCCACCCCAGACCAAATCAAAGGCTACCGGAGGGATGCAGGCACAAGTTCCTCCATTTTCATCAAAGGCCTGAATCATCCATAGGACCCAGCTACTCTCTCTCAACCTGTTTCACTCTGGGTCTCTTTCACTCATCTTCCCTCTACCAGCTGGTTTCCATTTGGTTTCTTCTTACATATAGCATGTGCTCACTTACAGTCCACCATGACCTCTCTACCTCATGGACTTTCATCTTCTACAGCTGCCACTAATTATATGAACTTCTCTATACTGACTTGTGTAGATTTCTAAGAGAGAGCTGGTTAGGTTGGTCCATGTTCTCCCTACATGGGCAGAGACTTTGTTCTAAGCTCCCCTTATAGTCTACTGACCAGATATGGCCAGATGCCTTTCCCAATCCAATCAGCTGTGGTGGGCTATGCAGAATATTCCCCCAGCTGAATCTCTTGACAGAAGAAGAGTTTTCACACAGAGGGCTAGAGTGTATCCATCACTGGGTCTGAATGCTAATCATACCTTATCTGAAAAGAGAGAAAATCTATTGACTTACTCTTCTGGCAAGGGTAGCCACCTCTTTTAACCAGCACTCCCTTTTCCTACTTTACATTTTTTCCTTCTAATACAGTTATTTCCAATTTCCTATCCACAGGTTGACACTTTAAAGAATATAACCAGAAGTGAGTCAGCCAATTTTCTTTTATAGGGTTATCGGCAAAATAGTTGTTGCAAAACACACACACACACACACACACACATACACACACACATGTAGAAGCTTGAATCTGAAACCCTGGGAAAACAATGGATGGGAGGTGAACCAATCTCAATGATGCTTTTCCAGGGCTTGCCCTGGGAATTGTGATTTGATGACCTCAACAAGCAATCACAGTGCACCATGATTAAAACAGCCACATTATAATCTAATGAAAATTTAACAATTTAGAAAAATCTGCCAAGCCCCAGTGGAGGAGAAAATCATTTAGTAGCTGAAACATTTGTATCACTGGGGCAACAGAGTCCTACAACTCTCGGATCCACCAATGTTATAATTCATAACCATGAGAAGAAAAACATAGGATGACTCCTGTACCTGCAGCCCCCTGGAGGGTGGCCAGATTATGCCCGAGAAGACCATGGATTTAATTCTCTACAAACCAAAACTCTAAGAATAAATGAGGGAATTGGACATTAATAAAAATAAAGGAATAAAATATTTTCCCTTGTAGTACAATGAGAATTAGTTATTTCATATCCCTTAGGTTTGCAACAATAAGAAAAAATCTACGCAATAGAGCTTGGGTACTTTACTTTTAGAGAATGTTACAAAGACAAAGTTCACAGAAAGGACATTATGTGAGGTTGTATTTTCAATCTAATTCTAAAAGATTTAGAAGAATATTTGAAAGAGCATGGCCTTAGGAGTTACATAGACATTACTTCAAATTCTCTATTTAATGTACTGGCTATGTAAGAAAATTACTTAAACTCTATGAGGTACATCTGCTAAATGGAGATAATAATGTCTTGTGGAGTTGTAAGAATTAGAAGTAGTTTATGAAGAGCTTCTCGAATGGTCTGACCTATAATAGAACTTAATATGTGATGGTTATTAACATGACTAGCTAGAGGAAAAAGAAGTAACTGCCTCTCAGTGGGGCCTTCCTGACTATAACCAACAGAAAGCAGGGCCAAAATGAGGACAAAGAGACCTCTAGAGCTAACATGCCTGAAGCAAAACTACAACGTGAGGTCTGGCAAGGTTCTCAAATGAATCTATCCCCATCTCGTTTCTGCCTTGGTGTTCTTATAATAAGGTGGATTATCAAAGGAAAACACAATCCACAAAGACAAACGCTGTATGATCTCACTTATATCTACTCTCTATGCAGATGTCACTACTGCTTAGAGAGTAGATCTTAAGTGTCCTCACCACCCCCGACACACACATACACAGTAACTATGTGTGGTGACTAGTGGGTTAACTAATTCGACTGTGGTAATCATTACACAATATATATGTATAGCAAATCATCTCATCGTACGTCTTGAATACATAAAATTTTTATTTGTCAATTATATCTCAATAAAACTAGAAAAAATAGGAAATGTATTTTGTAACTTTCTAGAAGATTCACAATATATTTTAAGATAAAACTTCTGGGAATTCCTGCAATAAAGAAGCAAGTTTAACTTAAAAAAAAATCAATCACTGTTTTGGGCCCTTTGGCAAGCATGGGTGTAAAAGGGGAGGTCTCCCCTTTTGCTGCCTGGACCTGTTTCTAAAGGTCTATGGGCTCCTTCCCACAAGGGGCCAGGTAAACAGGTCTTTCAGTCCTTCTGGGGTTGTGTCATATCAGAAGGATATGGAGGCTATTGCTTTAACAGAAGTTGGGGGTGATTGCCGCACCCCAAGGTCATCCTGAAACTAGGAAAAGTACAAGGAAGGAACTTTGACAAGTGAGAAAGCACTGCACTCTCCCCATTCTGGGACCCTGAAGGTTTGCAAGGCCTCTACCAGGCTGTCAGTGAACGGCAGAGAACAGAAAATGGGACACCCTGGCAAAAGAGCTCCAGGCCTGAGCCTGACACAGAAGCAGTGAGCCTCCCAGCCTCCTACCACATGAGCACCTCAAGGCTTCTGGACTACAACCTTCAGATTTTTGTAAAGTAAGGGGGTGAGGCCCCTGGCAACAGTGACCACAACGGGACCTTCCACTAACATTTGGAGAGAAAAGGGAAATCAGGCTCAAACTTATTTCATTTGGAAAAACAATTTTTCAGGGTCATTATTTAGAGTAGTAATAAAAACGAAGAATGAAGAAGTTATATTTCCTTTTCAAATCTGTCCTTTGATGATATAATAGATTATCAGTCCTGTCTGCTTGAGCAGAAGGAGGCTGCATTCCATCCCAGTTAAGCCATCCCTGGGCAGAATAATCCCCTTCTAAGCGGAAAGTTTTATACCACTGGCTGACACTGTCTGGGCATCAGCTATCAAGCAATCTTAGCCTTCCAGAAGAGAGCTATATAGAGATATGAGTGAAAAGAGCTTCTGAGTAGCCAAAGCAGTTTTCATCAAGACCCATAGACTCAAGTCTGTCCTTAATACCTCCATAGGCTCTGCTCCAAGGTTCAAGGACGTTAGTAGAAGCAGAGCCTATGGATGTAATAAGCAACAGTATGTTGCCTGCAACTTACAAACTTGAAGTCCCATGTGCCCTGGAGTTGTTGTGAGGATAGGGGGATGAAGTGCTATTAATTACTGTTGTATTGTTTGTCATTGCAAAATAAATTAGAAAATAAGATTGGAAAATGGAGAGGAAACAGGAAATAAAGAACAGCTGAGGTAAGTGACCACCATAATCAAGGTGTAGCCAGTAAAACTACAAAGTAGGGTAGGGGAGTGAAAGAAAAGCACCTTAGGCCTAACAGTTTAATTTTTGGCAACAAGTCTCACATTCTTCAAAGGTCCCCAAAGCTACAATTCTCCATCTTTGGAATCTCTGGAGAATTGGTTTAAAATGCAGATTCCAGCGCCCCCTTCCCAGAGATTCTATTTGGATTCTATCTAGAATTGGCCTCAGGAATTTGAAGTTTTTTTTTTATAAGACCCTAGTGTTTCTGCAACAGTTAGTCCTTGGACCACTTTTCAGGAAGCATGGACCTAAAGGTAGAATTGCACCCCAGTTATTCATTCCTTCAACTAATGTTAATTTAAAATACACCCAGGTACTGAGCAGAATGCTGAGAATTACAGAGATAGCAATGGCAAAGTCATGGTCCCTGCCCTCAGGAAGCCCATAGCCTAGTTGGAAATACAAACAGGTAAATAAAATCTGCAAAAGTGCAAATCTGCAGAAGTGTGATCAATGCTACACTACACAGGCACAAATTTATATATGTGTGTGTATATATGTGTATATATATACACATGCATATATGTGTGTGTATATATACATATACATATATATGTGTGTATGTGTGGGTGTGTGTGTGTGTGTGTGTGTGTATATATATATATATATATATATATATATATGCCACATAGGTAACCCAAAAAAAGAACAAAAGAGAATGATAAATTCTACCTCAACAGGTCTGAGAATCTCTTGTAGGTGAAGAGATCTTGGAGTAGTATCATGAACAACAAATACAAATTCATTAAGCTGACATGAGGGAAAAAGCATTAAGCAATAGGTAAGTCCAGAGGCTGAAAAAGTGAGGACATTCAGTGAACCTAAAGTCTTACATCGAGAGTGAAGAAGAGACAGAAGGCAACAGCGGAAGATAAGGTAGAGCTGTACAGGTAGGGGCTAGATCAAAGACAACCCTAAATTGCAAACTTTCATGTTAGGAATCTCTCCTGTGGTCAATATAAGCCATTAAACAAAATAGTAAAAAAAAAAAAACTGTAATCAGATTTGTACCTTTGATCACTAGGGCCATGGAAAGCATACTGTAAAGGTAAAGGAATTGATGGTGAAGGTGTCAACAGTTGCAAATTTACAGGCCAGGGCCTTTTCTAAAGCAATGGGAGCAGGAGTAGAGAATACAACAATGTTGAAATTGTTTGGTAATATAAAGGATGAATTGGAGATGGGAGAACTGTTGTGTGATGCCCTCTGGAAACTAGTATACAACAGGCACACAATCTTTTATCCTCAATTCCAAAAATCCTTTATCCTCAACTCCAAAGCCAAAAAGTTCTGAAAACTAAAAAAAAATTACTAACTGATTTGGTAGCAAAACCTGACCTGACCTAAAGTAATTTTGACAAAACCTACCCTGAGCTGACAAGAGAATGAGCATAATTTTAATTACCCTACTTGATGTAATTATTTATGTTTCTCTTCAGAAATTCGAAAGTATATGATTCCTGGGAGATGTTCAAGATCTTGCTGGGGATGTTATGAGGAACACATGGTTTGGGGTTCAGATTACCTTCCTACAATCAGAAAAATCTGAATTCACAAACATATCTAGCCCCAAGAGTCTTGGATAGGGGATTGTGGATCTATGAAAAATAAAGTGAAGACACTGACTTTCACTACCCAAGAATGAGAAAGAATAAAGGAGCCACAAGATTCAAGAACATTCAATGGGTGTTTAGACTACACAGTAGGAATGTGCCCATTCAAATTATTATTTTTTTAAAAAATAGTACTCAAATGGGTACTTTACACCTATCCAGAAAATCCACTTGTCCGAACCTCTCAAACCTCTTCAAAACTAGATGAGCAAGGATAAAAACAATAATGCCTCCTGTTGGTGTAGCACTTTAAAGCTTACAAAGCTCTTTCTTAAAATTATTCCATTTAGTCCTCTAAACAACCCTAAGGCATTTTTGTATGCATGTGCTCACAGACTTAGCAAAATCTTAATTTCAAAAAGGCATTCAGTTTATTTTTACATATGTGAAGTTTCAAAAATTGTATTCAATACTAGAAAAGACTAGTGCAATGAAAGGCTTGATATCCTAAGAAAAAGAATCTATAGAAACACATTCAGCCTAATTAGTTCTACTCCCACATCAATGTGAAAAATGTTGAAGTCTATACTGAGTTCACCAAATAATACAGCATTATTGGACTGCTGGAGAAAAAAATAGCAGCCCGTACCTCTCTCTCTTCAAGCACTTTATATGGTTTGATCACTATTTTCATTTCAATCAGTAAACTTTTCTTCCTTCTAAAAAATGCACAATGATCAAAGATAATTGTAATCTATTAACTTCAGTTACATTTACATCTCAATCTCCTGAGTCAATAATAAATTTAATTGTTTCATTCTTCATTGCATTTTTCTTTATAATCCTATATTTATCAGATGGTTCCATGGCACATGGCATTCTCCTTGCTAATTGTAGATACTAAATATTTGTCTGAATTAATCCACATCTCTGACAAAGCTCATGTTAAAACTGCACACATTGCCTAAATGAAGCAAAATGTGTCCTTTGCAAAAGTCGTCAGTCTTGCCTGTAACTTTTTCAGAAGATATACAAATAACATAAAAAACATATTGTCATTGTAAACTATTCAAATATACAACAGCTCACAGCCAAATGGGAGGGTCCCTTTTACAGCTGTTCAGTCTCTTCTACTTCTCATCAACAGTATGATGTAAGTCACTCCATCCTCCATACTCCTTCCTTCACTCCAGGAGTTCAAAGAAAGAATTCAATTGTTTTTCTCTTTTAGGTTCTCTCTCCTGTTCTCTTCTCTTGTCTTCTCTTTTCTCTTCTCCTCTCTTTTCTCTCTCTCTCTCTCATTTCTCTGCCTGTGTGTCTGTCTCTCTCGATACATTTGATATCTTCTCCATCAGGAAGTCGTGTTGGCTCAGTCTTCAAAATATATCCATCACCCCACACCAAAACCACCATCAACTCTCACATAAATGACTAAGTAGCTCCCTTCCTGGTCCCCTGGCTTTTGTTCTTACCCCACCCAGAAAATCTGTTCACATCACAACAGCCAGAGGGACCCTTAAAAAAACAATCTTCTGCGCAAAAGCCTCCAATGGCTCCCCATCTCATGCAGAATAAATGCCTGAGAAATTCCTACATAACCTGCCCAGCCCTCATCTCTCTGAGCTCTTCTTCTGTAACTCCCTGAGCTGTGACCAGCCACACTTGGCTTCCCAACTCTTCCAGAATGTGAAACGTAAGTGTCCACTTCAGGCCCTCCAGAATGAATGGAGCTCCTCCAGCACCTTGATTTTAGCCTAAAGGACTCATTTCAGATGTCTAACCTCTGGAACTGTAAAATAATACATTTGTGTTGTTTTAAGCCACTAAGTTGTGATGTTATGGGATCACTGGGGTGTCAGTTTTTCTGGCTGGATCCATGACCACAGCACCTTTGCCCAAGTTCTTGTCCTACGTCCTGGAAGAATGAGGTATGCAGACAAGTGAAGGCTGAAGAAGAAGAGTTTTATTTAGTGTTAGAACAGTTCAGAGCAGTGGGTAGCTCTTCTCTGTAGGCAGGTCATCCAGTCAAATGTTCAGCTCTTAGAAGAGGGGAGGCCCTGGAGAGGGTGGCTCTTCTCCTCAGGCAAGTCATTCCAATGTATCTGCAGGTCTCTGAAGCTCTCAGCAGAGAGGGTAGCTCCTCTCTGGTCCTCCCATTATCTGCAGCTCTCAGTGGAGAGGATACTCCTCCCTGCAGCTGCTGGTCATCTTCCTCATCTCTCCATCCTCTGCTCTCTTAGTTATCTGCCCATCCTCTGCCCTGCTCTGGCTGGGCCCAGGGCTTTTATGGACCTCACAGGCAGCCCAGAAGAGGTACCATGAGACCCAACTCCAGTCCTGCAGAGACTTGCAGCCAGGACAGCAATCTTCCGCCCTCCCTGGCCTGAAGGTGGGGCCTCACTGGGGATCTGCCCCCTTCCACCCAGTTCTCTGTCTGCCTCCCACAGCCATTCATGGCCCCGGGGTCTGGCCCCAACCCTGCTCTGAGATCAGAGCAGGCAGGAGTGAAGAGAGGCCAGGCAGTGGGAGCAGACACCCCCGAGCCTGCAAGGACTGAGGGGGTGGGTCCTTCCTGGGGCCCCCGAGGGTGCAGGCTGCAGAGATGCCCGGGTCCTGCGCCTGGGAGGGCAGTGGCAGCTGCACCCATGCGCACCCGCCCTCCCAACTCAGAAGGGACAGGGCTCCTGGGCGGCTGCAGCCATGCCCTCCTGGGCAGGGCTCCTGCTTGCTCTGTAGAGCAGGAGGCCTGGGTCTGCAGCTGTGGTTTGAGAGGCCGCAGCAGGACGGAGAGCTCCCGTTCCAACTCAGAAGGGGCAGGGCTCCCACTGGCTCCATGGAGTGTGCAGCCCCAGCCGTGCTTCCCTGCTGCAGCCAGCATGATGGCAGCAGCCACTGCCATCAATAATTTGTTACATTAGCAATAGAAAACTAATACAAAATCCAAACTTCATTTCAGAGTAGCCACAGGCAAGCATCACTTCTAGACACAAGTGGGAAAAGTGCTTCCAACTTTGAACTTTCACAAAGTTCCTAGTGAATGTGTGGCTTGTTTGTTTATTTCTGTGTAGTATATGGCAACTGGAAACCTGGTCTATTCAGTAGACATAATGTGTAGACAACCTGGTATTCAAATAGAGAAAAGGCAGAGAGAGCAAAAACAATTTTATCCAAAAGTTACTGAAAATCTTCCATGGGGCAGACACCATACCACAGCAGGCACTGTGCTACTACGCAGTATAAAAGAAACAGATTCATTCAATGATTGCGTTTATGATCTGAGAGACCAAAATAGATGCCCCTTTATCAACTAAAATGGACCCTAAGCTTTAAGAAACAAAAGTTAATCTACAAGCCGAAGGTTCAGGACTCAGCCAGCATGCAACTTCCTAAATTCCTACAACTGCCAAAACAAAACAAAACAAAAACACTCTTGCTAAACTCCCTAACAATAGGAGCTATCAGGCAAAATGTCAGATCCTCCTTACCTCTGATTCACAACCCAGAACACTGCAACTCTGATTGGACAGAGGACTGGCCTTAGAAACACCATTTCCTGATAAGCAACTGCAAACCCCAAGCCAGTCACAGCCAGCTTATAGAGACTACACACAAGTTGTTTTTGTATCCTCTAGTACATCTTTTGATGTAAAGAGCCAAATTCCACCTCATTTTAATACTAAAACCTTGCCCCAAGGTGAACATGGACTGTATGTTACATATGTTTACCCATTGTGCATGCACTTGACTCCCCTTGTAAATATGTACAGATTTTCCCCAAACCTACTGAGTATGTATGATTCTATTGTGTAACACACACTCGTGGGAAGTAAAAGCAACCTCTTCCTTCCTTCTCTGAGAGAGAGCATCTTCTCACACCAGGGACTGTCTGTTCCCAGTTTTCAAACTGATATCACCAATAAAACTCTCCTTTCTACTTTATAGCCATCCTGGTGGTACTTTGGATGACAAACAGATAACAATTGTTATTAATAATTAATCAGCCAACTAGAAATTATTGATCATCTCCTGCTCAATATTATGCTACATGCTGAGTGACACAAAGAAGCATCAGAACAGGTTCACAATTATGTGATACCAGACTAGTAGACCAGAGTGAACAATGTGAGGCAGGATCTATCGAGTTTCCATGAAATTATGAGTATAATAGGAAGTCAGTGTGGACTAGCAAGAGTGGCATGGGTGAGGAGGGAATTTGAGGGCACCTTAGGCAGGAGAAACAATAAGATCAAAAGTGTGAAGAGAAACTGAGCATAGCAGGAGGGAGGGATAATGAGGGAAATAGCTTGGTTACAGCAGAGGGCCTGATAGGGAGCAGCAGAAAATAAGGTTGGACAGGTGTAGCACAACTATAATCTTTCTTTAAAGGCCAGGCAGAGGCATTTCAACTTGATGTAACAAGAATAGGGAGCTGTGGCAGACTTTTTTCCTGTTTCATTTTGAGAATTTGCAAATATCAAAAACAACTGAAAGAACTGTACACTAAACACCCTCTATGCATCACGTGGACCGTCAATTATGTATTACTACATTTGCCTATTTGTCCTAGTACCTAGCTATCAATTATATTTCATTTTGCATTTTTGTTTTTGGCTTTTTTTAATGGTGGTAAATTTTCAATTCTTATTCTTCCAGAAGAATCTTGACTCATTTTGCCAATTTCTGCAAAAATACCCTTGGAATTTTGATGAGGATTACACGAAACTTGTAA
Source organism: Homo sapiens (assembly GCF_000001405.40). Classification (NCBI taxonomy): domain Eukaryota; kingdom Metazoa; phylum Chordata; class Mammalia; order Primates; family Hominidae; genus Homo; species Homo sapiens. The sequence goes on along the minus strand of NC_000013.11, from coordinate 46,816,065 downwards.
ATCAATTTAGAAGGAATTTACATTTTTTAATTATCTGTCTTTCTTCCCAGGAGAATAGCTTCAGTAATGTTTTGTGTTTTATATTTTTCCTTTTACTGATTTCTCAACTTTATGATGCAGCTTATTCTTAGGTATTTTATTGATGATGTGGACATCTTTTTTTCCCCTCATTTAATGTTTCTAGCTGGTGACCCAGGTCTTTCCTTTCATGCCCATGCTTAGCCAGACTTTGCTCATTTTGCATATTTCTCTTATACAAGGCTCTATTATAACGTGGGCTCACAATGCCAGATGCAGGGCTGAGAGGAGTAAATGGTCTATGCACACAAACAGTTCGTTTGTCAATTATTTATCAGAAAATACATATTTCTCAGTACTTATATACTCTTGCTAACCTGACATTTGGGAGAACAATTCATTCACAAAAGTTTCAAGAGTCAAGGAAATAAAAGACTTAGAAGTTGACAAAAGATCATAGCTAAAAGTAAATATATGTCCTTCTTTAATAGTTGGTAGCATCCATTTCCTGAATTGATCACTTATTTTCTTCTGAGAGAATAAAAAGCTGGACTACAAAGAATAGTTATTTTAAATTAAAGACAAAAAGATAATGGGTATGATAAAATGTTCATTTTCATCTAAAGTAGAAAATCAAATGGACAGCTCTGTGGCACATATTCTTATCAGCACAAGGCCACATTTTTCTTTAGCCATAGTCTTTAATTCAGCTATGAATGAGCAGAACTTTTAAAAAACATTATAAGTTTCAAAAATCAAACGAATAAAATTGGGAATCTTATTGCCTTCTCTTCCCTCATGTCCATTCTCTATAGTATGTTTATAGGTAGCCCTTTTTATTAGATTTTGTGTATCCTTCCAGTATCCATTAACACAAATACCTACTTTTATTTCCATTTTATATATAAAAAGTAGCATACTGCATACATCTATACTTGATTTATACCTTACATTTTTTAAACTAGAGATTGATCCATATTTCTATATACAGAACTACCTCATTCTTATGTAAGGCTGTATAGAATCCCATTTTGTAATGTACCTTAGTACATTTAAATGGGGCTTTATTGACAGATATTCAGGTTATTTTTCTTGTTTTGGTGTTATACACAATGTTGCTATGAATAACCTTGGAGGTATAATATTTAATACATTTGAAGTCATATCTGTAAGAAAAATTCCACAAGTACTGGGTCCAAATATTAATGTATTTTTAATTTTGACAAATATCATAATTTGATTTCCACGGTGTTTGTTTCTACTTTGTGCTCCCACCAACAGTGTGTGAAAGAATTTGCTTCTCCATGGCCTTGCCAAGAGTGTATTGTCAACTTTCCAAATTTTGTCTAATAGGTAGAAAATGGTATCTCAATGCGGTTTTAATTTGTATTTCTTATGATAAGTGAAGTTGAGCATATTTTCATACCTTGAAGGCTCACTTGCATTCATTTTCCTGTGAAGGTCCATGTTGTTGTGCCATTTTTCTATGTGGTGATTGCTAGATCTTTTTCTGCTTGATGTCTAGGAGCTCTTTATTTCTAAGGGAAGTTAAATTTTAATTTATGGTATGAGTTTATTATCTTTTTCCATTTTTTCCTTTTTTATTTTACTTATTGTGTTTTTCTCTTATGCAGAAATGTTGTTTCTGCTGTTGCGGTTGTTGCTAATGTCAAATTTAATGCATATATAGGGGTAGTGTTATGGATACTAAATTGGAATTGTGATTAGAAGGACCTTCTCTACCTTAAGGTTACAAATAAATTTGTCTATCATTTCTTCTAGTACTTTGATGGTTTTATTTTTAAATTTTAAATCTTTGATGTTATTTGGTATTTAATATTTAATTAAGGTTGTTTTATTTGATAGTTTAAAAGTATTACCTACATCAGGGAACTATTCAGATTATTAGTTGAATTATTAATTTTAACCTTAATTTACACATGGGGAAGTTAGTTTCACTGTATTTTTTTTTTGGTCAGAAAAAACAAGGCAGCCCTTCTCTGCATGTGGCAATAACAATAAAACCAAATGATTACAAGTGATTTCAAATAAGTGAAGAACAAAAGAGTTCATATTAGTTTTAAGCAAATATATGATCCCTCATATATTGAATTCAGTTTGATTATCATAATTTATGGCAAAATGCTACTGGATGTGTGCAGCAATTAGAACTTTCATACATTGTTAATGGGGATACAAAATGTTATGGCCACTTTGGAAAATAATTTGCCAAGTTTCTTATAAAGTTAAACATACCTATCATTCAACCCAGAAATCTCACTCCTACATCTTCACCTAAAAGAAATGAGAACCTAGGTTCGCAAAGACCTATATGTAGATATTTATAGAAGATGTATTCATAAAAGCCAAAATCTAGAAATAATCTAAGGTCCATAAACTGGTGAATCGATAAATAAATTTTGATACATTCTGACAATGGACTAATACTCAAGGATGAAAACTAAAGGAACAGAAATTACATCAGTGTTTGCCAGAGGCAGGAGGTGGGAGAAAGGATACAAAGAAACTTTTGGGGGGAAATGGAAATTTTCTGTACTTGTACCTTGTTTGTGGTGCTGGCTACATAACTACAGATACTTATTGAGCTATGCAGTTTAGAGGTAAGTTTTGCTATTTATAAATTATACCTCAGTAAACATGATTTTTTTTAAAAAAGTGAATATACTCTGATTACCACTACCAATTATGACACAGTAACTAGCACTGCACCTGTCCTTCCGCTGAAGAAAACTCTACCCCTAGCAAAATGCAGCAATATGTTTTCATGCACTGAAAAACAAGCAGTGAAGCACCGTGATCCTTCAGAAAAGGAAAACCACAAGATGAGTCCCATAATTGCCCAAGTTTTTTTCCTAGGCACTTTCTTGCCACAGATCATAAAGATGGGACCTAAGCACAGCAGTGATATTATTGACCTGAGGAGGCAAAGATTAGAGTTCTGGGCTGCTGAAGCAGCTAGAATTTGTGAAAGAACTTGAGAAGAGAGAGCTATAGAAAGTTGGTTCCAGAATTCTGCATGAGGATTCATATGGGCGCTTGGCTAGGTCTGACATAAACATGCACAAGATAAGACTTCATGAGACCAAACAAAGATCATGTGCTTTAGGCTGAGGATACCCCAAGTTATGCAACACTGGAAGATATTAGAGTTCATTCCAGCCAGAGTAGAGAGATGTCACTGAGCATTTCATGTATTAAATTGTCACTCAAGAAACACCATGCCATAGGAATAAAAAGCATATACCAGGCTAAGGGGTATGCCCTAAGAATAAATTCAAACCAAAAGTGACCTACCTACCATCAAAAAAGTCTGACAGGACTAAAAAATAAAAGGATTGTCAGTAAATGAAGTGCCTGCTGATAAAAACTCACTACCCTGTAACCAATACAGCATAATGCAAACACCATACCACATGTCATTAGCATTATCCAACATATTACCAAAAATTACTAGACATGTGAAAAGAAAAGGAAAGTGTGACTCATAACTAAGAAAAAAGTCAGTCAGTGGAAACCACCTCCAAGATGAACAAGATGTCAAAATTAGCAGATGGTACTTTAAAATAGCTGTTAAAAATGTTTGAGGACTTAAAGAAAAACATGGTCATAATGAATGAGCAAATGTGGACAATCTCAAGAGAGAAATGGAAACTATTAAAAATTCAAATAGAGTTTTTAGAACTGAAAACATAATATTCTGCAGTAAAGTATTCATTAGGTGGGCTGAACAGCAAATTGGAGACAGTAGGGAAAAGAATCAGTGAACTTGAGGATAGATCAGTAGAACTTTTTCAACCTGAGGAACAGAAAGTGAAACTAACTTTTTAAATTTAATGGAGTCAGGGTGACCTGTGCAATAATGTTAAAACGTCTAACATTGGAATTCATTTGGAGGAATAATTACAGTTCTACTAGAAGAGGAGAGACAAAATTGGACAGAAAAAAATTTGAAAAAATATTATGGTCAAAATACACCCAGATTTGGTGAAAAACATAAATTTACATATTTTACAAATTCACTGAAGCTCAAGTAGAATTAATGAAAAGAAAATCATTCCCAGACACATCATAGTTAAATGGCTGAAGACTCAAAAAGAAATAGAAAATCTTGAAAAGCTGCCAGAGGATCAAGGGAAAACACACTGTATACAGGGGACAACATTACAAATAAATAACTAAATTGTCACCTAAAATGATGGTGGCCAGAAGACAATAGAAAAACATTTTTAAAGAGAAAAAAATGGCAACCTAAAATTCTATATCCACCGATGAAAATATTCTTTAAAAGTAAAGACAAAATGAAGGCATTTTTTCAGTAAACAAAAATTGGGAGAATTTGTTATAGGCAGATTTGAACTCTAAGAAAGCTACAAGATCTTCAGACTGAAAGAAATGATACCAGGAGGAAATTCATGTGTATTGGAAGAAATGAAGAATACTGAAAGTGGCAAATATTAAAAGGATGTGTTATGCCACTTCTTCTCTTAATTATTTTATTATGATAAAATATTTGCCTATTTAAAGTAAAAGTTACAATACTACTTCTATAGCACACTTCTATAGTTTTATAATGTTTGTAGATCTAAGAGTCATGATAACAAGAAATAAAATAATGAGGAGTGGGGAAATAGAAATATACAGTTACAAAGTTCTTACATTAAAGTGGTATAATATTAAATCAAAGTAGACTGTGATAAATTAAGAATGCACATTATAATCCCTATAGAACCCACTTAAAAACAGAAACAGGTACAATTAAAAGGCTAATAGAGGAATTCAAGTGGAATTATGAAAAAAAATCAATTAACCCAAATGAAAGCTAGAAAGGAGAAATAAAGTTTAAAAGGTGGGACAAATGGAAAAGAAATAGAAAAAAAGTAGACCCAAATCCAATTACATCAATAGTTAAATTAAATGTAAATGGATTAAACATTCCAATTAACAAACAAAGACATTCCATAATGATAAAGAGCCCAGGAGTTCAAGACCAGCCTGGACAACACGGCAAAAACCCATCTGTCTCTATACAAAATTTAAAAATAGCCAAGCATGGCAGTGCACACCAGTAGTCCCAGCTACTCAGTAGGCTGAGGTGGGAGAATCACCTGAGCCTGGAAAATTGAGGCTACAGTGAGCCGTGATCATGCCATTGCACTCCAGCCTAGGCAACTGGAATAAGACACTGTCACAAAAAAACAAACAAACAAACAAAAACTTCCCTGGAGTAAAAACCAATTAAATATAAAATGCTCTAAGCTCTGAATTTCCTAAGAAATAGGCGATACTACGATATTGGGACTTTAAAGGGAGACAAGTTGTTATGGAAATGTGAACCGTTAAAGACTTTATTAACAGAAAAAAATTATTATGAGTCATCTGATGGAGACATGACCAACAGTGAACTAGACTGATATTTCTCAGAGTACATTCCAGACTACATGAATCTTTCAGAATGTCCAAAGACAAAAAAAGAAACTATAACCCCCTAATGGGAGTTGCATACTGTAAACTAGCACCTTGAAGACTCGGACTCGGTGACATCTTTTGTTCAACCTACCATTCCCACATTTAATCACAGAAACATAAATCTAAATAATATCCTACGGAATTGGAGTTTCTCAATGTCACTCTGAGAAATGTGGGACCAGATTTATAAAGAAAGCCCATTTACTAGCCAAGTTTGATAACAAGATAAAATTTAAAATCAGATATAAATTGTTTTGTGAGCTGTAACTTCACCCAAGTGTATTCCTCAAATATACAAGCCTATGAAACTCCAGAAAATTGGCAGTTTTGCAAGAATTGTCCTTTCTATACCAGTCAGTTCAAATATAATGATAATGTTGCTACTATTCCCTTCCCATTTCCAATAAATTTAAAATAATCTTGGCACTATTTCCCATTTCTTCCATTCCAAATCAGGTTCTGGTTTATAAACATCTCTCCTCTTTTTCTCATGTTACTATCTCTGCTAAGTCATTTTACTCAGTCTTTTAAACTCTGTTCTTTCTTCCCCTTATTGATTTCAATGAAAGCACTGTTAGAGCTGGCTCTTTTTTTTTTTTTTTTTTTTTTGAGACGGTGTCTCGCTCTGTCGCCCAGGCCGGAGTGCAGTGGCGCGAGTTCGGCTCACCGCAAGCTCCGCCTCCCGGGTTCACGCCATTCTCCTGCCTCAGCCTACCGAGTAGCTGGGACGACAGGCGCCCGCCACCGCGCCCGGCTAATTTTTTTGTATTTTTAGTAGATGCGGGGTTTCACCGTGTTAGCCAGGATGGTCTCCATCTCCTGACCTCGTGATCCACCTGCCTCGGCCTCCCAAAGTGCTGGGATTACAGGCGTGAGCCACCGTGCCTGGCCAGATCTGGCTGTTTAACCATGTCTCTTATTCACAGTATAATGCTTCTAGAGGGTTTCTGCAACATTGCTGACTTCCAGGTTATATGGATTACTTTAGTAGGAGGTAGACTGGAAAAAGTCAGAATTTAATAATTATTGAGACATCTTGGCTGTGTCTTCTCAAGTACAACTGAACTAGTGTGGGCTAAAAGCAGCTGACATTCACAAACAGTAATCAGGTTCCATTTTGTGGGACAAATATTGCTTTTTTGCAAGCTTCGTTCTGCTCCAAGAAATTAGGCTTATCTAGTATTTGAGCTGGAGCCAGATCACTTGGGTTCATAGCAATCTAAACTTAAGCTTTATTTCTAGCTGTACCAGTGCCTTGACTAAGGTCATGTATCTCCTTGTGAATCAGTTTATACTCTGTAAAGACAAAATTAACTTTATGCAAAGATATTTGATGATGTTAACTGAGTTAATATATATAAAAAAGATTTGTTTTACTGAGAAATAATAGTATTTTCCCATGCTTTTAGAAAAAGTAAGCTTGGACTGTGGTTCACACCTGTAATCGTAGCACTTTGGGAGGCCAAGGCAGGAGGATCACTTGAATCCAGGAGTTCAAGACCAGCCCTGCCAACACAGCAAGACCCCATCTCTACAAAAAAAAGAAAAAAGAAAAAAAAAAACTAGCCAGGCATGGTGGCAATGCCTGTAGTCCCAGCTACATAAGAGGCTGAGATGGGAGGATCACTTGAGCCCAGGAGGTCAAGGTTGCAGTGAGGTGTGGTTGCACCACTGCACTCCAGCCTAGTTAACAGTGAGACCCTGTCTCAAAAGAAAAGAAAAAAAGAAAAAGTAAGCCCTATGAAAGCAGAGACTTTGATTTGTCTATTTCTGTATTTCCAGTATCTAGAAAAGTACCTTGCGTATGGTAAGCAATCAATGACTACTTGTGGGTGAAAGAATAAATTAATGGATAATAGTATAACTAGAGATCCAGAGATATAACAAACAAATTTACTTTGCCCAGTGACATAAAATAAAGCCATATTCTTGCACCTAATTTTTTATATTTTTAAAATTAATTCCTTGTTGTTTTCATTAGTTGTGACTAGGGGAAAGTATTAATTTGTTCAGTCTAGAATGCTTTGATAACAAAAATAATGTATAGGATCAGTATCTTCATCATGATTATTATTGATGAAGAGTATTATTATTATTGGCGGTATGGAATGGCAGTTAAGCACACAAACTCAGGATTTCAACTGATGGAAGCAAATCCCAGCTCTGCCATTTACTAGCAGACAGTTCTCAAAAGAAGACATTTATGCAGCCAACAAACATGTGAAAAAAAGCTCATCTTCACTGGTCATTAGAGAAATGCGAATCAAACCCACAATGAGATACTATCTCACTCCAGTTAGAATGGAGATCATTAAAAAGTCAGGAAACAACAAATGCTGGAGAGGATGTGGATAAATAGGAACACTTTTACACTGTTGGTGGGAGTGTAAATTAGTTCAACCATTGTGGAAGACAGTGTGGCGATTCCTCAAGGATCTAGAACCAGAAACACCATTTGACCCAGCAATCCCATTACTGGGTATATACCCAAAGGATTATAAATCATTCTACTATAAAGACACATGCACACGTATGTTTATTGCAGCACTGTTCACAATAGCAAAGACTTGGAACCAACCCCAGTGCCCATCAGTGATAGACTGGATAAAGAAAATGTGGCACATATACACCATGGAATACTATGAAGCCATAAAAAGAGATGAGTTCATGTCCTTTGCAGGGACACGGATGAAGCTGGAAACCATCATTCTCAGCTAACTAGCACAGGAACAGAAAACCAAAAACCACATGTTCTCACTCATAAGTGAGAGTTGAACAATGAGAACACATGGACACAGGGAGGGGAACATCACACACCGGTGCCTGTCAGGGGCTGGGGGCTAGGGGAGGGATAGCATTAAGAGAAATACCTAATGTAGATGACGGGTTGATGGGTGCAGCAAACCACCATGACACTTGTATACCTATGTAACAAACCTGCATGTTCTGCCCATGTATTGCAGAACTTAAAATATAATTTAAAAAAAAGAAATAAAAGAAAAAGAAAGCGGGTCTTGCTATGTTGCCCAAGATAGACTCCATCCTCCCGTGTCAGCCTTCAGAGTAGCTAGGACTATAGAAGTGCACCACTATCCCCAGCTATTGAGAAAGTATTTTTGAGTTTAGTGAGTGAAAGTCAGAACTGATTTTACATAGTTCATAAAATATTTGTAGAAGGGATACAAAATTAAATCAGTAGCAAAATAAATGTATATGTAACTATGAAATGTAAATTCTATTTACCCATGATATTTGGAAATTGGAGCAGCCTCCCACGTCACATTTCCAAACTAACACATAAAAACAAAAATAAAAAAATAAGATCTCAAATACAATAATGTTTCAAAAATAATCAGAGGCATAGATTATCTCAAGGTGTCAACCTAGAGTTGCTAGATCTGTCATATTTTATCAATGTAAAATGTTAAAATGTGCAAAAACTCTTCTCTAGTTAGCTGTGCTATAAAATAAGCCATTAGATGTTTTATTAAACATAGTTTATAAAAACAAAAGTAGATTAAACCTAAAATAAGCTTTTGATTACTCCTAGACTCCTTTGTCAAGCACAAAAAGTAAATAGCAAAATAACTCACACTTGAATTTTTAAACTGCTTCTAGGTCATACACAAAAACCACTACATATTCAGCGTAGCCCTTAAATCACCTGTATTACAAATTAAAGACATAACTTTTATCAATTAATTTATAATTTGACCCTCCTACTCCATCTTCTAAAAATGATTGAAGGACAATTAATTGCAGTAAGAGCCAAACATATCCCCAGAAAGAGAGAAATGAGAAGTAAAAGAGGAGAAAAGAAAACCTTTATTTAAACATTGTAATTAAAGTAAATACTGGAATGCTACAGTAATGGGTAAAACTTTATTCTGAGCATCCTAAAAACCAGGACAAAGAATGAAGTACAACACATAGTTCTAACTGATGGACAGAAGTATGCTCATTTATCAGAAAACAAACTTTTATCTAGACTGTTAGTGCTAAAAGAAATACTTATAGGAGACTTTGTAACCAGTCACTGAACTACTTTATAAATATTATGTACAGCTATTTCAAATGTTACATTTTTTAAATCTTAACTGTCTATATAAGAAAATAACGCCATAGCGTCATTCTGTACATGCAACTCTACTGAAGGCAGGGAGATAATGGAAGGTAGTGAAGTCTAGGTGTAGAATTTTCTATTATCTTTAACATATTGTGCACATCAAAGATAATGCGTTCATCAAAATATCCCATTAGAGAATTATAACTAGAGTTAAAGACTTCTTTGTGATTTCTGAGTTCCTATTGGGACTTTGTAGCAAAATGTGCTTCAGGTTTCCCACCATGAAATGTGAAGCGAGCCAGGCGCAGTGGCTCACGCCTGTAATCCCAGCACTTTGGGAGGCCGAGGTGGGTGGATCACCTGAGGTCAGGAGTTCAAGACCAGCCTGGCTAACATGGTGAAACCCCATCTCTACTAAAAATACAAAAATCAGTTGGGTGTGGTGGCGAGTGCCTGTAATTCCAGCTACTTGGGAGGCTGAGGCAGGAGAATCGCTTGAACCCAGGAGGCAGAGGTTGCAGTGAGCCAAGATCATGCAATTGCACTCCAGCCTGGGTGACAAGAGCGAAACTCTGTCTCATTGCCCAGGCAAGGTGGCTCATGCCTGTAATCCCAGCACTTTGGGAGGCTGAGGCAGGTGGATCACAAGATCAGGAGTTTGAGACCAGCCTGGCCAATATGGTGAAACCCTGTCTTTACTAAAAATACAAAAATTAGCTGAGCATGGTGGCGAGCACCTGTAGTCTCAGCTACTTGGGTGGCTGAGGCAGGAGAATTGCTTGAACTCGGGAGGTGGAGGTTGTGGTGAGCCGAGATCACACCACTGCACACCAGCCTGGGCGACAGAGTAAGACTCCATCTCAAAAAAAAAAAAAGAAAAAAGAAAAAAAGTGAAGTGCCCTACTGTTGAAGAACACTGCAGAATGAAGGGAGCATAAAAAGAGAACAGGACATGCTGGTGGGGATGTTAAGTGGCATAAGTGTTCTAGCTGATATTTTGGCAATTTGTGTTGGGAAGCTTAAAAAGGAGAAAATATTTTGACTTAGTAATTCCACTTCTAGGACTATGTCCAATCCCTGTGCAGCAGCAATTCTATTTCTAGGAAATATACCTTGCAAGAATACTTGCTGTGTGCACAAAGGTATATACAAAGATACACACATTGAATTAGTTAGTTCTTGCACTGCTATAAAGAACTACCTGAGACTGGGTAATTTACAAAGAAAAGAGGTTTAATTGATTCATGGTTCTGCAGGCTGTGCAGGAAGCATGGCTGGGGAGGCCTTAGGAAACTTATAATCATGAAGGAGAAGAGGAAGCAGGCACATCTTCACATGGCAGAGCAGGAGAGACAGAGAGAGAAGGGGGAAGTGCTACACACTTTTAAACAACCAGTGAGAACTCAGTATCACAAGAACAGCAAGGGGGAAGTCCATCCCCATGATCCAATCACCTCCCACCAGGCTCCTCCTCCAATACTGAGGATTACAATTCGACATGAGATTTGGATGGGGACACAAAACCAAACCATATCACTCATATTCACTGCTGTGCTGTTGTAATAAACAAAACTATAACGGTCTAAATGTCCAAGTAAGTGTGGTGGTTTTGAAGATGTGTTCACAAATTCTTTGACACTTCTCTCATCCAGTCCCCTCTCTTGAATTCTAGGTAGTTTGTGACTACTGTGACCAATAGGCCGCACTGTGTGGACTTCCATCACTAGGTCAGAAAAAGCCACACAGTTTCTGCCTCTCTCTCTTGAGACACTTGCCTTTAGAGTCCTGGGTCACCATGTAAAAAATCTGACTGCCCTGAAGGGGCCATGTTGTTAGGAAGCTCCGGCCACATGGACAGGTAGGTGCTCTGGCCAACAGCCAGCACCAACCAACAGGCATGTGAGTGAAAATACCACCAATGATTCCATTCCCCAGTTATTGAGTCACCTCAGCTGCTGGATCTCCCCAGCAGAGGTCTCAGACATCATGAATCAGAGACAAGTCATCCCCATTATGCCCTGACCAAATTCCTAACCTACAGAGTGAGCGCAACAAGATGGTATTTCACAGGACTAAGTTTTGGAGTAGTTTTTTATGCAGCTTTAGTAACCAGGATAATATGCCATTGGTTAAATAAAATATGGTACATTCATAGAATGACATACTATGCAGCTGTTTAAAAAAAAAGATGGGGTAGTTCTAGAATAATACATATAATATTACCCTTTATACCTTCTTCTCAATTTTACTATGAACATAAAACTGCTCATTAAAAATTAAGTCTTTAACAAAAAAAAAAAATCTCAGTTATCTGTGGTAGTTTGTGTCAAGGATGACTTCCATCTACTCCTTCCTTCTCAGCACATAGATGTCATTGCTTCCTTCCGATGGACTCTGGGCTGGCCTTAGTGATTTGCTTGGGCAATAGAATATGGCAGAAATGACATTCTGGGATTTCCAAGACTATGTGTGGTGTTATGATATTTCTTGGTTATTGTCCACAGTTCCTGGCTAACCCCTGCAGCCCTTGTTACAGTCTTGTGTTAGAATATCAGGTGTGTTAGGACTCAGGGGCAGGCCACCTGCCCTCCTTTCATTCTAATGTTTCCCCCATTGGTCTGACTGTTGGTCTTAAGACGCTCCCATGAAAGAGTCCCATGCTTTCCCTGGGGGAAGAAATGCTGAAGTCATGAAGTGTCCATAAAAGCCCAGGAGGATAGGGTTTCGTGGGCTTGCGGATAGCTGAACACGTGGAAGTTCCTAGAGGATGGCTCACCCAGGGAGAGCATGGAAGCTCCTAACCCCTTCCCCCATACCTCACCCTATGTGTCTCTTCATTTGTATCCTTTGCAATGTCTTTCATTAAAAAACGGTAAACATTAGTAAGTGTTTTCCTGAGTTCTGGGAGCCACTCCAGCAAATTAATTGAACCCAAAGAGGAGGTCATGGGGATCCCAACTTGAAGCAGGTAGGTCAAAAGTTCTGGAGGCCTAGACTTGCGACGGTGGGTTCTGACACTATCTCCAGGTAGATAGTGTTAGAACCAAATTAGAGGATACCCAGCTGGTGTCTGCTGCTTGGTGTGTGGGGAACAAAACCCACACATTTGGTCACAGAAGACTTCTGTGTTGACAACTGCTGTGGTGTGAGAGTAGAGGAAAAACAGAGAGAGTTTTCCCTACCCACTATGTCATAAGAAGTGTTGCAGCTTCTGCCGGGGCTTCTTGCAATGCTTGATAGGGGGCAGCCAGACCTAATGTAGGAAGTCCAACTACCCTGAGACTACCATGCTGTGAGGAAATCCAAGCTAGCCAGGTGGAGAGAAGGTGCTCCAGCAGCCTCCAGTTGTTCCCGCCATTCCAGCCCAGGCACCAGATAGGAAACTGAAGAAGCTATCAGCAATTCAACCTCCAACCATCTGACTTCAACTAGATGAAGAACCACAAATGAGATGCACCAGCTAAGCCTGTCAGCCCCTGGACCCATGAGAGATAATAATCAATTGCCACTTTAAGCCACTAAGTTCTGGTGTGGCTAGTTACAAAGCAGTAGGTAACTAGAACATCACTTCCCTCCAAAAAAATCGTTTTATGATTTAATATTTAAAGCAGTATTTAATCTGTAAATTAAAAGGGCAAATTGCTTTATTTCAAAACTGTAAAACAACTTTATTTTGGGTTATGAAATAAATTAGTATGCAAACCTAAGGAAAATGTTTCTATGAATAGACTGAGTACATGTGTCTGTGAGAAAATCAATTAAACTGAGAAATGTAAAAACAAATTTGCAATTAGGGGAAAAAGTACAAGAGAATAATGTTAGCAATTTAAACAAGGATGTTTGCGTCCAGCTTTGTTGAATAACTCAAAAGGGATATTTTTAAATGTTGATTTCATAATCTGTCAAAAATGTTAACCATCTAACAAATGGATAGCATCACTGTTATATGCTAAGCTTTTGTTTCCTTTATGTTCTTTTATGGAAAGAAAATAAAAATTTACTTCTGCATTCTATAAACAATAAAAAAACGTATTTCAATCCTGAAAACATGATAATTACTAAACCTTTGTCTTAGTCATACTGGGCTGCTATACCAAAATACCTTAGACTAGATAATTTATAAACAACAGAAATTTACTGCTCACAGTTCTGGATGTTAGAAAGTCTCAGATCAAGACATCAGCAGATTCAGTGTCGGTTAAGGGCTTCTGTTATAAGAGTGCTTATCCCATTCATGAGGGATCCACTATCATCACTTCATCACTTCTAAAAGGCCCCACCTCTTAACACCAACACATTAGAGATTAAATTTCCACATATGAATTTTGGAGAGACACAAATACCCAGACCATAGTAACCTTTCATGAATTCTAAAGCCACTTGTGTGCCTACGATTTGCAAGTATTAGAGCTAGGATATGACTCAGCTCCTGCCTTTCAGAAACTTACTTATATTCAAAATTGCAATGCAATGTTAGGTGCCACAATAGAGGTGTGGCTGTACAAGGGCTAAAGGTGCACTGAAGAGTGCTTAGCTTTATCTAAGCAGTTCAAAAAGTTTCCTTGGGGAATGTGCATTTGAGCTGGGAACTGAAAAACATGTAAGTTTGTAAGGTAAATTGTGCATGGTGAGAAGTGTGTTGTGGGATAGGCAAAAGGAACAGCATGTGCAAAATCATGATGGTATAAGAGCATGGGGTGTTTAGATTATAATTAGGAGGGAAGTAGCTTGATACAGCTTCAGCATAGGATGGAATTATGAGGGAGCTGTAGCTCATGAACCTGGAGGGATAACTTGGTAATAATGTCATCTTCATTCATAGTGCCTGGCACATAGCAAGTGTTTCTTAACAGTAATATTTTGAGCATGTGTGTGTACAGATGCAGCCATGGGCTGCATTACAATGTTTTGGTCAATAACTTATTATATACACTACAGTGGTCCCATAAGATTGTAATACTGCATGTTTACTCTACCTTTTCTGTATTTAGCTGTGTTTAGATACACAAACACCATTGTGTAACAGTTGCCAAGAGTATTTAGTACAGTAACATGCTGTACAGGTTTATAGCCTAGGAGCAACAGACTATACCATGTAGCCTAGGTGGGTAGAAGGCTATACCATCTAGGTTTGTGTAAGTATACCCTGTGATATTCCCATAGTGACAGAATCAGCTATCAATGCATTTCTCAGAACACATCCCTGTCATAAAGCAACTCATGACTGTAGATAGATAGATAGATAGATAGATAGATAGATAGATAGATAGATAGATCCATTTATCTGTCTATTGAGAGAGAGAGCTGGAGGGAGGACATGGGAAAAAGAAAATGGAATTTCTAAATTGTTTTCATATAGGGAGGCAAACAGAAAGGGAAATTTGGGGTGACTTGTGGATATAATGGTCCTTGCAATAAGGCCAAGATGGCATATCTGCGGGGATTTCTACCTAACAGCTGATTCTTCATAACCAAGGAAGCTGTCCTAGTTCTCAGCCTAAAAAGATAATGATATAATATCTAGAGCTACTGACTTTTGGAGGATACATAAAACCCCAATTTTCTTCTAAATTCTTAGTTTCCTTTAGCAAAATCCCAGCCATGGTTATAATGGTAATCTCAGAATTTTTTAGTTGCCTCATTGTCTATGAAATAGTTTATTTTACTTCACTCTCCATGTTTACAAATAATTATAGAAGCATGTTTAAGCTATGCTGGGGAATGTGTAAGTGACTAGGAGGCATTTTAGAAATGACCTAAAGAAATAGTTGGCATTATTGAGAAAAGGATCATGAAAGCATAGGTAGTCTCACTAGCAAAATACTAATCTTACACCAAAGGAGATTTATAAGCATTAACCAAAACAGTTAGTGAACTGGCCTTTTGTCAGTTTTCATACATGCCAATGATTAACAGATAGCCAGAGTTCATTTTGTTTCTAATAAGCTATCAATGGAACTTTAAAAATTATGAATAAACTGACAAACTGTGGCTCAACAAATATGTAGAATGTTAAGAAACTTAACAGTACTGTAATTGAGCAAAAGGTGATAAAAGAATAGGAGTCACTTTGAACAGGAAAAAATCTATAGTTTTAGTTCTCATGCTAACAAAAATAACAATAATGGCTAACACAAAAGTCTAGCTCTGTACAATCACACACTAACTCTTGATTTTTTTGAATGTGTGATGAAAAAGAAATATAGCTTTTAGGATTTAAGAATTAAAAAAAAAAAGTAAATGGAATTGAGGCCAGATGCAGCTGGGTGCAACGGCTCATGCCTATAATCCCAGCACTTTGGGAGGCTGAAGTGGGAGGATCACTTGAGCTCAAGAGTTCAAGACCAGCCTGGGCAACATAGCAAGATCCCATTTCTACTAAAAATACAAAAATTAGCTGGGCATGCTAGCACACGCCTGTAGTGCCAGCTACTCAGGAGGCTGAGGCAGTAGGATCACTTGAGCCCAGGAGTTTGAGGTTGTAATGAACTATGATTGCGCCATTGCACTCCAGCCTGGGTGACAGAGTAAGACCCTATCTTAAATAAATAAATAAATAAAATTGAAATATGTGAAATTTGGACATTTGCTAATATGAATGTGAGACTGAAAGGCTTGTCTGTACTTGTTGTATTGTACTCTGCAGTTAGAACTTAAGATAACAAAGTCAAGATGGAACAGTGGCACAGGGCTATAAGTTTCCGGTACTTGGTTCAGTTCCCATGATCCAAAGTCTGGTCCTCAGAGTACACATTCAGAAACTCAATTCTGTAAGGTGAGTATCATGCTCAGAGATGGTAAGTCTTTGGGAAAATGTATCATCTCAGCTACACTCACCAGAGACTAAAGCATTTTTAACCTAAGTTCTGATTTATTAAATAACAATGGAGCCTATTATTTTCCAAAATGTCACTAGATAAGAATAGAATCAAAATAAAGGGAATTTTGAAAAATGTTTATCTAGGCCAGTGGTTCTTAACTAGGGGCAATTTTGCAGCCCTCCTCTACACCAACCCCTCCTTCCATGGACATTTGGCAATGTCTAGAGACGTTTTGGGTATCTAAGCTTGTTAGGGGTACCACTGGCATCTAGCTAGTGGAGGCCAGGGATGTTACGAAACATCCTACAATGCACAGGGTAGGCCTCCACGACAAAGAATCATCTGGCCCCAAATGTCAACAGTGCCGAGGTTGAGAAACCCTGTTCTAGTCTGTGGAAAAGCCACAAGGACACTTCTCAAGTAGCATATTTGATACCCAAGAGATTATATTATTTTCTATGTATGGTGTCTTTTCTAGTCTCTCTAAAACTATCTTTGCTATGGATTGAATGTTTGTGTTCCCCAGAATTCAAACATTGAACCCTAAATCCTTAACGTGATGGTATTTGGAGATGGAGACTTTGGAAGATAATTACACCATGATGGTGGAGTCCATGTGAATGGGACTAGTGCCCTTACAATAAGATGAAGGAACCAGAGCTCTCCTCACCCCACCCACCAAGTGAGACTACAGCAAGAAGGTATTCCTCTGCAAACGAGGAAAAGGGCTCTCAGCAGGAACAGATTTCATCAGCACCTTGATCTTGGACTTCCCAGACTTTTAGAATGGTGAGGAATAAATTTCTGTTAAGCTGGAACTGACTAAAACAATCTCTTTTCTTACAGGCTTCAAGTATATTTGACTTTTTCTCATTTTTATTGCATCCCTTTATTGCCTCCTTAAGATTATATTCCTACTCATTTTAGTTCAAACCAAGAGTCCTATATCCTCTCAGCCACACATTTACACATAATTTTTGGACTATTTCTTTGTGTACTTAATATTCATCCATTTTTATTGGTAGTGCCATTTTTTAAAATGTCAACCTTAATTTCTGATTTCAGCCTTCTTTGCTTCCATGTCCAAATAATAATGATAATTATATATATTCTTAATATTTTTAAGCAATCGACTTTTGTGGATCTATTAACATTTTATTTATGCTGGGTAAAAGAAATTTTAGTTCTGCTTATTCTCACATTGTATTCACACAAGAACCCTTTAGTAAAGAACTTCACACTTACAGTTCTTTGGCTAGTCTGCACCTCACAGCAGTCCACTTATTAGGCAAATATATCATTTAATCAATTATTTCTCTTTGTTCAAACATCAGTTATAAAGAACTTGCAATTTAGGTATTTATTCTGTTTCAGTTTTGAAACTGAAGAAAATCCCCTTTTCAATGATTTATACTTAAAGATAGTAAAAAGAAAGTTTAAAACAATTTACTTCAATGCTTTCTCAAAATAAAAACATTATTTTGATGAAACATTATTTTCAGTCTAAGTTCCAATTGATCCACAGGTTCAGTCCACAGGTTAATTTAGTCCAAAGATCACTATGGCAAAATGGGCCTGAGCCACACAATAGATTCTGGCAGGTAATCTCTTGTGTGGCAGCTCATCCATACTTAAGTCAGCTCCCATAGCTACACAATTTGCAGGGCCCAATTCCAGACACAAACGTGGGGCCCTGGTTCAACACTTACTGAGAGAAAATGTAGCGTCCTTCTGTTCTGGGGGCCGGGTAATAGCACAGGTTGCAGGCCCATGAGGCCAGCCCCAACTATCAGATTGTGTATTTACAATGTCAGTCTAACCGTTGCTGAAAAATACTTAGCTCTGTTGTAATCAGATTTAATTTCTCAAGAGGCAAAGTACACTCAACAGTTTGCTTAAATCAGAGAGACCAAAAGGAAAGATTTGCTGTAAATTATCAACTAGCAAATCTTAGTCAGTTCAACTTAATTTTTATTGAGGGAAGAAGGGAGAAAACAGAAAACTGATGGAGTTCCCACTGCGTGTCGGCCACTGGAGATTTCAAAGGTTTCTTGTTTAACTCAAGCTACCAAGTAGGTGACGTGGATAGTCTTGGGACAGAGGAGTTGAGGGAGTTGAAATTAGGCCCTAGTTTCTACATAAGTGACACGGAAACCCTCTGCACGAGTTAAGCGAAGCTACATCTCAAGTTTATTAATGCCTCGGGTTCTTGCTGCTGGCTCTGGGAAGAGTCTGAGCACGCACAGCAGACTGATCCCCGACAAGGTGACAGGGACTAACCTAACGCCCTCCTCGTTGGTCCTAGTAACCACACAGAGCAGAAACGCGGGCGAAGGCAGGAGTTGGAGGGGGCGCCCACGCGGAGGCTGCCGGGAAGTGCAATGTGCAAAGGCGGCGGGGCCATGGAGACTGAACTGGAGAAGAGCGGGTTCTCGGAGTTAAAAGCGAGAGTGAGTGGGACCGGAGGGGCGGGGCATCATATGGGCGGGGCTGAGGCGAGGCCCCGGCGGCCATCTTGAGCCCCGCCTTTTACTTCGGCCCGCTTCTTCTGGTCACTCCGCCACCGTAGGTAAGACTGGGTTCGGGTAGAGGCCTGGACGTTGTCAGCCTTCCTGCGGCTGCGGCACGGCTAGGCGTGATCGGGGCGGACGCCGAGTCCTGCGGTGCAGGTATCCGCAGGCACGAGCGCAGAGACGGCGACCCTGGGCCTTGGGCGCCACCATCCATGACAGGAGGCCAAGGACCTTTTCCCGTGACCCGGAGCCTCGCCTCTAATCCCTTTTCCTTCTCTGAGCCTCCAACCTAGTGTAACCCGGGGCGAGCGCCCGTTTACCTACTGCCCGCTACATTTGTACAGCTTTTTCCTGTTCAGAAAGACTTTCCTAGACCCGCAGCCACCGCGCGAAAATGTGAAGTAGATGTGTACGCATTTTAAGGAGGGAGCTGGCCTCAACGCGTTACTAGCGGCCGCCGGCGCCTGGTTCGGGGGAGTGTGGACCTGCTGCTCTAGGCAGCGTCCGCGTCGGGGCACGAGCCAATGGCGCGGTCAGGAGCACTCACCTGATGGTGCCGAGGGGAGCACGTGTCTTTGGAGTTTGACAAAATCTGTTCGGGTCGTAAAATGCTCTCAGAGCGCTGTGGGGGACTGGAAGTCATTTCTGATGGGGTCATTAGGGAAATGGGATTGAGCGCACCTGGAAGGAGAGGGCATTCAGGTTGCAGGAAAAATAATAGCTCATGTTTGTGTGTGTGGTAGAAGCAGCATTTTAAGCACTACGTGAATTAACTCATTTAATTCCCAGAGCAACCCTATCAAATTGATATATATTACTGTATACCCATTTTGCAGATGGGCAAATGAGGCATAGATTAGCTTGCCCAGTGTCATGTAGTAATAAGTGGTGAAGTCAGGGTTTGAACCCGGAGGGTCTGGCCCCAAAACCTGCTCTGAAACCATTGTACCGTGGCATTGAGTAAAGCCACCCGATAGCAACATCCAGGCCATCCTAGAATTATGCATAGTTGAGTTTAACTAACAAAATAGGGAGTGAGACCAGAAAAATAATCTGGGACCAAATTATAGACCATATTTAGAGCCATGTGAAGGTGTTTGGCGTTTATAGATGCTATATTTTTTTTAAAAAATTTTCCCCAGAGTTTAATAGAAATCCTTACCTAGGCAAGCCATGTGAATTTTTATGAAGGAAAAGAGACCCAGCCTAGGCAGCATGGCAAAACCTCCTCTACAAAAAATTACCTGGGCATGGTGGTGCCACCTGTGGTCCCAACTACTCCAGAGGCTGAGGCGGGAGGATCACCTGAGCCCGGGGGCCGAGATGATTGCAGTGAGCCGAGATCAGGCCACTGCACTCCAATCTGGGCCACAGAGTTTGACCCTGTCTCAAAAAAAAAAAAAAGAAGAAAAAAAAGACTGTGTTTGCACACAGGTAGAGTGTGACTGAAGTTTATATGGAGTTTTATTCATCTATTTTTTCAGTGATCCTGCATGGTTTTAATTTTATGAAATTTTAATGGCATTAAACTTGAAGAAAATTGTACAATTAACATGGTCTTCCATTTCAGTGACTTTCTGGTTCTCAGCGACTGGCCTAACAGCGAAAGGGATTAGTAGTCTCCACCTGCAGCAGCCAGGGGGTGATGAGGCAGTTCTCATCTGCTCATTATTGTGAGCTGGCGAACTGCGTTTTTACATATGACTAATGGATACTTAACACTACTGAAATACACACTTAGGAATGGTTAAGATAGTAAATATTATGTATGTGTTTTTATCACAGTTTTTAAAATACTAAATAAAAATGACTAACAATTCCACGTAGGCCGTATTAGGCTGCAGATGAGCTGTTGGTAGGGATCCGTTGACCAGTAAATTAAGTGGATTAAAACCCTAGGCTTTCATGCAGGATTGATCGTAGTGGGATGTATTAGGAAGAAAGGAAGAGGCTAAGTTTTAATTTCTTATATATAATTAGGATGATGGCAGTGGGAATTCAAAAAGAAGGTAACTTTGAGGCATCTCAAATGTAGATTAGGCAAGACAGGCATGAGTCTGAAAAAGAGAGGCAATGAAAAGAGGAATGGTTTGAAGGTGAGATGCAGAAGCTTAATTTTAGGTGTGGTAAGTTTTAATAGCTGGTGACATGTCTTGGTAGAAGAGTCCAGCAAGAAATGTCATTATGGGTACTAATGCTTGAGAAAGATTGGTTATAGAGATGCAGATTTAGATTATTTCACCCAGAAAATGTAGTTGAAATTTAGGGAATGAGGTTTAGGGAAAGAGTGTGAAGAAAAAAGAAAAGGGAGGTGGGAGGAGACAGAGTGAAAGGGAAGAAGCCAGATCCTGAGTTTTCACTGAGAAGAGGATTTGAACAACACAGTGGTGGTCAACAGCAGTTATTGGAACTGTAGATTGTTGGTTTTGGGAACACCTGTCTAGGTTGTTAAGAGCCAGTGGAATAGGACATCCTGGAAATGAAGAAACATCAAAATCCAAGGAATCTGAGAGAATGGGAACAAAAAAACACATGTAGAGATTTATGGAAAACTTGAGACACAGGGGAAGAAGGATAAAAATAGAACTCAGATTTCTGGAGGTGGATGACATTTAACTTTAATAAGTAAAGGGCCCTGTCTCTACAAAAAATTAAAAAAAAAAATATTCCAGTGTGGTACGCACCTGTAGTCCTAGCTGCTCAGGAGGCTGAGGTAGGAGAACACTTGAAGCTTGGAGTTCTAGGTTACACTGAGTCATGATTATGCAACTGTACTACAACCTGGGCCACACAGCCAAGACCCCATCTCCAAAAAATAAAAAATAAAGGGAAGAACAGTAAGGTTTGACCTTTAGGGGAATGGATGTATTATGCACTGAGAGACCCTTTCTTCTCCAAAGAATGTTGATGTTCACTAACATTTGGGAAAAATTGTGTAACTCCCACTGGCACTGTGAAATTGTTTTTCTGTTTTTGTTGTTGTTGTTGTTGTTGTTGTTTTTTGGAGGGGAAGGAGGAAGGGTGTTGTTTGGTTTTTTGGTATTCCACCCTACTCTGTCACCCTATTTCTCCCACAAAATCTGTTCTAGAACCTAAATATATATTTGTTCTAGAGCCTAAATGAAATCTACCAGATAAGTGACATGATATATACTATGTAAGTTTCCATATATATTTTTCTTACTGAATATCAGTCACTTCATCGTTCATAAGCCCACTTTTCTTATACATCCTTTCTAGTCACCCTAGTAGTAGTCCTTCAGTCCTCATCTCTTCCCTTCTTTCTCCCCATGTTACAAGTTCGACTTACAACTGAGCCAGATAGATCCATCTTCCTCTACTTACCTAGTCCCCACTCTTATTTTCTTCACTCAGGAGTTGACTACATCTCATGCTTCGAAATTACACTTGAAAACTTTGTTTATTGATTTAAAAAGATAAAAAACTTTCATAGTACTTTTACTTCAGCAGATGGTTTTGACCAAGTACCAACAAGCTTTATGGCAAAATAGGTATTAAGGTGGCCTGTGGCAAATAATTAGATTATGGGCAATTAAGGTAATTAAGTGGTGATGTGGTATCCCATCAGGGTGTACAGTCATTTACCTCAAAAGAAGAAAACATCTCTATTGAGAATGCATATGCATATAAAAGCTCTGTATAACCTTTGCTGTGAAAAGTATATCCCATTTGTAAACCATTGGTGTTTTTTTCAGAATCGCCTACCATTTGGTGCAAGCAAAAAGCAATCAGCAATTGGACAGGTAAACTTGTTTTATTGTTTATATGTTACTCTGAACATTGAATGAAAATACCACTAATAGCTTGTTTTAAAACGTGCTATTTTTCACATAGAAAAATTCTATTGAAAAATATAACCACCTATTATAATGTATCAGATATCATAGTATATCACAGTATGTCATATCTAGTTCTTAGTTTATGTCATATTTCTTGTTAAGCCTAACATATTTTTTTGATTTGTAATTAAAGATAGTTTCTAAAATGGTGGGTAGAAAAAATACTTTAAAAGCTTTGTTTTTTAAAAAATATTCTACCAACTTTTAAAAAGTGTTTTAATCTTGTTTCTTCTGGCCAAATGAAAAGCATTTGATTTTGAATTTTAAGAGCAGAGAAAACTGACAACTTGAGGTTTATTAAAATAGACGAATAGCAAAGATACAGACTCCTATGTACCAGATACGTGCTCAGTGTACCATCTTTTGCAAAGTGGATATAGTCCTTTCTAAGTTTAAGAAAATCTGGTTTCCTTGTGGAATAATGGAGCAAATAAATTTTATTTGTTGGTCTCATATATATGTATTAATATATTAAAATTAGTATCTCTCTCTATAAGTTCATTATTTAAGATAGGATTGTTAACAGTAGCTAAAGTTAATATTCAGTAACTAATAACATCTCATGGGAGTTTATTGTTTAAGAATTAATCTTTTATAGATTAAAAGCATAAAACTGAGCAGATGGTAATTTCTTTGTGTACAGTTGTAATATCATAATTCTATAGAATCAGTTATCTTAAAGTGTCTTAAAAAATGAGTATTTAAAGAACCTCTAGAGAGTCAGGACAGCATAGCAGTTAAGAGTAGGGCTTCTGATGTCAGACTTCTGGGTTCAAATCCCAGTCTTCCAAAATAAAACTATTTGGGTTTATTGAAGAAATTAGAGATAAGATTGAAACTAATTTTTTAAAGTATTTTATAAAGACATTTCCAAAATTAGCTTTTTAAGATTATTGTTATACATCTTTGAAAGAGTAATCCTAAAGCTCCAGCTGATTAGCATGTAGTAGTGCATTTCTCTGAGAAGATCACCAGGGTGGTAATACCTGTTCCTGATATCTAAAGCTTTTTCTTCAATATGTAGGACTTACTGCCTTATATTCTAATACAGTGTTTCTAGGAATAGAAAGGGAATCTTTCTTTGAGAGGTACATGTCAGAATCAGTGTGGTTTCCCTTTGCTTAATAGGCATTTATGATAAAGATAGTTTTCCAACTTTTTTCCTGTATTTATCATTAAAAGCAATAAAATATGTCATTTTACATGTAAGTTTAAAATTATTTTTACATGAAAACAAAAGATTTGTTGGACAGAAAAGAAGTTAACAGGCTTGTTTTACTTATTGGTTTGTTTTAAAAGGAGAAATAAATGTTGATCTTAAAGTTTCATATCACTTTCTCTTAAAAATTCATGGGATGAGTAATTGGATCTGGTTTAGTGTCTAGAAAAATGTGTATCACACCGTAAGTGTTCAGTAATGTTACATATTATTATTACCAAAATCATTATCACATCTTTCTTCCATTTTAAAATCAACTATAATCAGTCATACCAATTCCTTGACTACTTTGTTGCAGTTGATAGGCAGACTATTAACAATTTTTAATCTTCTAAACTAAGGTAATTAATTGGTAACTTATGTATTTTCTGCCTCTTTTAAAAATAATTTGGGGCAGTCCACCACAACGAAAAAACTTGTTAATAAATTAGTAATGATATACCAAAGTATGAAAGCTTTTAAAAGTGAGTAACAAGTGTAAATGCATGTATGAGCGTTAATCAGTTTCTTAATATTATTTACTGGAGAAAAATGTGAAAAAAAAATTCTAAGTAGAAAATAGTTGTATGTTCAGATAATTTATCTGAAGGCAATTAGTTTTGTTTCAAGTTTTTCAGTAACTAATTCTCTGGAAATTAATGAGATTACTCTTTACTAATAGGAAAAGAATGGCATTGAAGCAGATTTCCAGCAACAAGTGCTTTGGGGGATTGCAGAAAGTTTTTGAACATGACAGGTAACTATTAAGAAGATATAATTTTAGATACCTCATTCTGTTGGATTATTTTGTTCTATTTTAAAACCAATCTTTATCTAGATATTATAGTACCTCATTTTACTTTTAAACTTGCTTACTCTCTTTCTGTGGTTATGTATTTGACAATTCTACCAGACTTAATTAACTGTGGATGTGATTGTGTGAGGTAGAGCCTTAACAGAGAAGTATCTTCAAGCTTTGACATGATGCTCTTCTGAAACTTTATGAAAATGCTTATGTTGCCAGTAAAAATTCTGAAAACATTTTCTTTGAGGATCTCTAAGTGTAGGAAAAACACCTGGACTTTTTGAGAAAGATGGCACACTAAACACATGCATTTGCTTCCGCTGCCTCCAAAACTCTGACTAACATGGCATTAAGTAAAGAGATTAAACACACACGCACACATACATATACCTATAAAGGCATAAAGAAGCAGGAGACAGGAGCTAAGAATAACATTTTAGAAGCAGGAATACAAATGGAGAGGTAGTACCTGACTTAGTAAAACCTAGAAAGCTACATTCTAAACATAAGCAAGAAAACCTGAGAAATGACACAATTTATTTAAAGCCATAGTAATTGGAGGCACCAGGGACCCCTGAAAATAAGGATAAAAGTTGAGCTTAGAAAAAAGATTAATTGAAAGTCTGTTTTTAAAAGGAGATAGATCTGAGAGTGTCCCAGCTTTATGGACTGCCTCTTCCTAACTCTGGGAAAGATTGGAGGTAAGTTCTCTAGAGAAAGTAAACTGTTTGTACTGGGGAATACCAGACACAATTAGTGGGATTGTGATACTGCAAATAGATTAAGCAAAAGTTTGCACACTGAGTTTCTTCCACTAGCTTTCAAAATTTGGGGACTTAGTCTTATATCCTTTAGAAGAATTTCTTTGTGGGGAGTTTGAGTAGCCCAAAGGAAGAGATTTCAAGATACTGAGATTTGCCAACAAAGTAACCTAACCAGACCTTACAGTAAAGCAATGATTGACAACTCCACCTGTAGGCACAGTGCTTTCAACTAGATTTTTAGTGTTTCTCTCTTAAATAGGAGTGGACAGCTAAAGATCACTAGACATTTGTATAAAGTCTTTAATTTGATATGAACTTCTCTTCATATCAAAGTATAAAAGATATTGACCTCTTGACTTCATAGGATGCTATTAAAAAATATTCAAGTACATGGCCAGGTGTGGTGACTTACACCTGTAATACTAACACTTTGGGAGGCCAAGGCAGGCAGATCACCTGAGGTCAGGAGTTCGAGACCAACCTGGCCAACATGGTGAAACCCTGTCTCTACTGAAAAAAAAAAAATATATATATATATATATGTACAAAAATTAGCCAGGCATGGTTATGCACACCTGTAGTCCCAGCTACTTAGGAGGCTGAGGCAGGAGAATTGCTTGAACCTGGGAGGCAGAGGTTGCAGTGAGCTAAGATGGCACCACTGCACTCCAGCCTGGGCGACAAGAGCGAAACTCTGTCTCAAAAAACATAAAATAAAAAAATCCTCAACTACAAAAAAGCCTAGACATTTAAATTTTGGTAGTAGAAATGACAAAACTCAATAGAATGGTTAGTTGAACATTCTAGAAAGTAAAATAAGATAAAAGTGATAAATCAGAAAGGACAACAAAATTAGAGGACTAGTCCAAAAATCCAACATTAAAAGTTAGGAATTTTGGAAAATAGAACAGAAATAGAGGTATAGATATAAATAATAAATAATTCAAGAATTCCCAGAACTGAAGTTGCCAGATTTAAAAAGTTGTCTAGTACAATGGATGAAAATAGATCTACACCAACAACATAGTAAAGTTTTAGAGTGTTGGGAACAAAGAAAATTCTCAAACATTGAGAAAAAGAGAAAGTAGATTAAGAATTTTTCAAAGGTTTAGGTCAGCTCAACGGTATTACTAGAACTAAGAAGGCAGAGCAGCAGTGCTTTCAGGATTCTGAAGGATAACTTCTATGTCCAACCATATTGTCAATTAAGTGAGAGTAGAATGAAGATGTTTTCATATATGAAAGGTCTCAAAGTGTATTTCCCATGCACTTTTGGAAGCAACTGAATAATATGCTTCACCAAAATGAGGGACTAAAGCAAGATAGCTGAAGGCATAAGATCCAAGAAAACAGATCAGAGGAGAAAGAGTTTCCAGATGAGTGGAGCTATATTAAGGCAGCAACTAGAAAGCAGCAGGTCAAAAGTTGGAGATGGTAGCCAGTAATTACATGTAGCCATTTACATCAAATTAGCTAATTAATAAAACTTCAGTCCCACTAGCCACATTTCAGGTGCTCAGTAGTCACATGACCAGAAGCTGTTGTACTGGACAATACATAGATAGAACATTTTTATTAATATCACTGTAGAAAGTTCTGTTCGGCAGTACTGGTCTGAAGGGGTTTTTTTAATGTAGATGAAATTGATAGAACTGACTGTATTAGAGAGGAAATTTATGAAACCAATCAGGGTTGGGGGAGTTTGGTATTGAATTAGTGATACATGCAGAGTGACCACACAAATATCTGTGCATGAGATTGTATTCTTTTGGTAATTGAGCAACATCTTAATGACATGATAGGGACAGAGGTTTCAGAAGATTGCTTGATAATCCTGTTGTGTTTTTTTTTTTTTTTTTTGCTTTTACATAAGTGTTAATCATACCACTGTTGAACATACTTTAGACCTGATTTATTCCACAACTGCTTGAGAAAGGTCCTCTTTTAAAAATTTTGTTGTAATAACAAAACAACATGAAATATACCCTCTTAACAAATGTTTAAGTGTGCAAGAAAGGTCTTAAGGCACCAACCATTCTGTAACAAGATTATGTTCTCTTGATTTTACGTATTGATAACAGATATCCCTGCATTGAATATGGATTTGATATAGTATTATAATGAAAGTAAATGTTTCAGCTTCCCTAACAAAAGTTGAAAACCTAAAAACAAATGTCAGAAATTTTTTGTGCCGTCAGTCATCAACAAGAAAAGTTGCTTAGAATAATGTGGAAAAAGAAAATCACCAATATGCAGAGAATGGAAAGGAGCATACAGAAAACTTCCCATGATGGGGCCTTTGTGGGAGTCTATTCCTAACAAGGAAGGATAACCAGTAACAAAAAGGAGAGAATTACCAGCTCAATGAAAACAAAAAAAACTGAAAGAAAAAGGAAAGTAATGCTAATATACTACATGGCTTATCTCTGAATAGCATTTATAACTTCTTAATATTGATTAACCAAAATTATATGTGATACGATAGTGGAAGGAGAAATGTAGGGGCATGCAGAGAGCAAAGACAGGGAGCTGAAAGTTAACTAAAATCCTTCTATAATGGGAAGCCAATAGATAATAACTAAAAACTGAAAAATCTAGAAGCAGTAATAAAGTCATATTATGTAGATAGGGACATAAATACCAGAAAAATCAACTAAAAGAGGTAAATTAATTATCTCTGGAATATGGAAAATGAGAAGGTTGGAGAGTTTTTTATATATTTAGTTTTTATATATATTTAGTTTTTCATAACAGTGTGTGGAAGTATTTACTATTTAGTTACAGTTTACTTTAAACTATGTACTTACATAACTTTGATAAAAAGATAGGTGTTTACTCTGAAGTAGTAAGAGTTTACTTCCATTTATATGATGTTTTAAATAAACCCATGAGAGATCACTGTTGCATGAATTACTGTTTACTGGAAAAACGCCTGTGGTTTTAATCAAAATTGTCTTTTCTAGTTGCATTAATAGTGATTGTGATAAAATATTAGTGATGAAAGAGCGAATTAAGGATGTGTTGCATTTTAGTGCCTATGAACAAATATGTAAGATCTCAAGAATTCATTTTTTTATGAAAGATGATTTGTCATTTCATACATTTCTTTAGAAACAAAAACTATTTTTTAATAAATGCCACAATGAATTACATTTATTTTTTCACTTATTTTGCCCAGAATGACAGTGCCATGCAAAGTATAGGCTCAGGTTGGTTTAGATCAGTATGCTAAATTGACCACATTCTTTCTTTAAGGGACAAGTATATTCGTTAAATGTTAGTGGAACCACTTATTTTGAACATTAAATAACTTATTTTGGACCTTTAGTATATATCTTACTTTTTATATAGTGCATAATTATTTTGTTTCTGTATTGATTAATGAGGGGCATTAATATTTTGTTGTTGTTTTTGTTAAAACTAGTGTTGAACTAAACTGCAAAATGAAATTTGCTGTCTACTTACCACCAAAGGCAGAAACAGGAAAGTGCCCTGCACTGTATTGGCTCTCAGGTAAGTATTATGCATTTGAGTTTTATAAAGTCGTTTCTATTTTCTTTTTAACTGGCTTATCTTACCCTTTTATTTTAACTTGGTAGGCTTTTTGAGCCATTTATGAAAGACTTTAAGGACCTGTCATAGTCTACTCTGTTACTTTTATCCTCAGAATAATTTCAGACCTACTGAATTATATTTATTTCATATATTTTTCTAATAGACCAAGTAATTTAGCAGAGAATGTAAAGTTCTGTACTCAATAGCAAGGGCTTAGAAAACTTATTTACTTAATTTGGACCTACCCAAGCATTTCTGGAGTTTATAGAGACTTTACTAGTCCATTAGAACAATATTAGGTGAAATCAGGACACCAAGATACTCTAATTAGAAACCAGCTATTGTAAAAAGTCAAATAACTTACAGTGTTCTCTAAAATATTTTAACTGGACTCCATAGAGCTTCTCTGACAACAATCTGGAAAGTCACAAAAGAACGCTAAGGCTTCTCTTAATCAGTGTTTCATATTAACTACTGTAGAATAGATTGTGAAGAGTAAGATTTTGACACCTGCAGTTTTGAAACCTCTATGCTAACTTTTCTTTCACAAGACGCTGGTACTTCATCTTCAGAAGCAAACATAAGGAGAGAATCCTAGCAACTAAATTGTGTCACAGAGTACTATTTTAATTTTGTTTCCTTCAAATTGGTTCCTGTAACTTTGATTTAACAAATCCTCCCTCATGTGTGTTTCATCAAGGACAAGTCCCAAATACCAGTCTTTGAAAATGAGAATAAATATTTCATCTTAAAGGGTAAAGATTAAGTGCATATCTGACTTTAACTCAAGAAAACATTTCTGTGATTGAATGAAGAGCACTGATTTTGCTAGAAGAGCATTAGGTATTGCTAAAAGCAAGAGCAACAAAATTAGTTATTTAATTGTCTTAGAAAATATAATATTGTATAGCTAAAAATGATCTTAGAAATCATGTAATCCCTAGAAAGAAAATGAGGCCCAGTGAAGCTAAATATTGTCCAGGGTCACACGCTAATGTGGAGTTGAACAAGTTTTCTGACTCACAGTCCAGAGCTGTATTTAGTTTTTTCTCCTGTTGTTTTTGCGTTTTGTTTCTGGTGAGGGGTACTATAGTCATATCTCTTGGCTAAACAATAATAACCAGAAGCCCTGAGGCATTGTGTCATAGGTACTCTAATAATAGGGCCCTAAGTTTTAACTAAAATTGAATCTAGCAAGACATATCTGAGCTTTACAAGTATAAAATACAGAATTTTTGTTTGTTTACATCAAATGACAGGACAGTTTCCTTAGTGAGATGCTGAAGAACAGATAGACCTTGGAAATTAAGGCTTGATTTTCTGAGTAAAGGTAAGATTGCCTGACCAGTGCACGTGAGAAATGGTGACAAAAAAATTTCAGAAGGTTTACTTCCCAGCAAGTCTAAGGAAAACAATGACAGAAAGATTACACAATTATTATATAGCTAAAATAGAGAAATTAGCTGAAATCAAAACAGCCAAACTGAAATCTTAAAAGATAGTTCATGTGTAGTGATTTGTATCTTTCCCAAGTGAAGGTGACCATTGAAACAGCCCTTTATTAGCTGTGTACCCAATAGAATTGAAAACATGTCCATACAGAAACTTGCACATGAATGTTCATGGCACACTATTATAATAGCCAAAAAGTATAAACA
The DNA here is from genome assembly GCF_000001405.40 of Homo sapiens. Taxonomy (NCBI): domain Eukaryota; kingdom Metazoa; phylum Chordata; class Mammalia; order Primates; family Hominidae; genus Homo; species Homo sapiens. The sequence goes on along the minus strand of NC_000013.11, from coordinate 46,785,320 downwards.
AACCAAATCTCTCTCAACTGGTGAAATGATCAATAAAATCGATTGCTAGTTCATTCCTCACCATTCTCACATCATTGTAGTATTAGATACCTATAGTAAAAGAATTAAGTCATCTCCTCTATCATGACTGAAAAGCATGGAGCTAGGAAAAATAACAGAAACTTCTAAAAACTGAGGCTAAAACTCAATTTAAGGATGGCATATGGTCACCATTACTCTCTTTTTAGTTCAGTGAAGAATACAAAGATGATTAAGCTAAATTTTGTTGCTGAGAACTATCTGTATGTAAAAAAAAGTATTTGTATTATGAAGACCATAGTATTTGCTTATTTACTGTGAATATGTTTTGGTGCAGAAATAGTGCGATGTTTAATTAGCATATTTGATAACACTTCACTGGGGTTGTTTTAATATTGGGCTTATGCACCATATTGTCACTCTACAGTTTGAAAATTTCTGAATTCCCAAACACTCCTGGTCCAAAGGATTTTAGTAATTGAAACTTTAGTAGTGATTTTAAAAGGATAGTTATGGGATCACTTAACCTAACACAGTTCTTAGGTTAATACTATTACAAATTTTGTGAAAAAGTGAATTTTAGTGTCTTACTCAAAATTGTTTCTAAAGCAAAAAAAATAATAATACCAAATGAGCTTGTTTTCCTGTATTATAAACAGTTTAAAGCTTATAAACCATTCACAATATAGCATGAGATAATTTATTTTTAATAATTTCAACTTTTATTTTAGATTAAAGGGGTACACGTGCAGGTTTGTTATATGAGCGTATTGCGTGACATGGAGGTTTGGGGTATGAAAGATACCATCACCCGGGTAGTGAACATAGTACCTAACTGGTAGTTTTTCAGCCCTTGTCCGTCTCCGTCTCCCCCTGCTCTAATAGTCCCCAGTATTAATGGTGCACATCTTCATGTCCATGTGTGCCCAATAACAATATTTTTTATCTTCAGGTTTAACTTGCACAGAGCAAAATTTTATATCAAAATCTGGTTATCATCAGTCTGCTTCAGAACATGGTCTTGTTGTCATTGCTCCAGATACCAGCCCTCGTAAGTGTTTGTGGTCTAGATATCCTTTGTAAAAATCTAAATCTTTAAGACTGGTATAAAGTGGTATGATATATACATTATACAATTCATTTTATATTTTTGCTGTTATCTCTATTAACCTTTCAAGTGGCATCATGACTCCAAAATACCATGCTGTACATTTTCCTCATTGAATTTTACTCATGACATGGCCTTTATGAAAGAGGATAGTTTTGCTATTCCCATTGTACAGATTAAGATACTTCAAAGCAGAGATTGAGCAACTCAATTCATATATCATGTTGGCACTACTGTCAAAATACTAATGTGTAATGCATAGGAAATTATTTTTCTATTCCAGAGGTATACTGTCTTGTTGCATGATAATTACATCTTTTTTCATCTCTGTTAACATCAACCATACAGTTAAACAAGTATTAGTTTTAATATAAATGATTTGAATATTTACATTAGAGAAATGAAAATATCAACTACGTGAGACTCAATGCATCAGACAGTTAAAACTTGTTTTATGACTCTAGAAGTTTCAGGAAATGGAATTTAAATGGCAGTAAAACTAGGGAAGTTATATGGCTGGCCTGGCAAGTAGTATATTTCCTTTCACAGGCCATATTATACAAAAACAATGCATATCTGGTTAGAAATATAACAACAGATTTAATTCAAAATAATATCAAAAATATAAAATACGAAAATAGATATATAAAAGGGAAACTAAAATTTTGTTATCATAAACGAAGACTTTAATAAATGGGAAAATGCTGTGTTTCTAGATGGATAAAATGAATCTTACGACAAGGTCATGTCTCCAAATTACTCTACGTGTTACTGTAATTCTATTCAAAATCCCAATGGTTGGCTTTTTAACCACATGCAAGTATATAAAATAAAATGTAACAAGTTAAAAAGAAACATAAGAAAATTCCAGTGGAGGTTGGATAGATAGGAAAAATGTGATGGAAAGCATATTAGAAAACATTTTCAGTTCAAGATAGTAAGTTGAGCACAAGCATCTGCCTCCCCACTCCTGTGTAAAGAGAATTTAAAAAGTGCTGATAGTGAGAGAGGGTCATCAGGGAAGGGATCACAACACATTTCTGAAAGATAAAAAGAGGATATAAGTCCTTTTTGACAGGTAAACCAGAGTAAGGAAACATATGTTCAGAGTACATAAGAAACTTCATCAACAAAGAAAGTTAGTGTATCTTACCTTGGCAGCTGAATACTCCAGCTTGGAAGGTCATTTTTTACCTCATTGGCCAGAACGAGTCGCAGGGCCCCATTCAAGGGCAAGAGGAGCAGGAAGTATAATCCTATCATGTGCTCCAAAAGGCAGAGAGCTCACAACATTTGGTGAACAGTTCCCATGCAAATGGACTTGCAGATTCATCTGAAAGTGTGTTATTAAACATGGGCCATTACTACAGAGCAGATGAAACCACAAGATTGTTTCTTGATAGGTGGCTGCAATATTAAAGGTGAAGATGAGAGCTGGGACTTTGGCACTGGTGCTGGATTTTATGTTGATGCCACTGAAGATCCTTGGAAAACCAACTACAGAATGTACTCTTATGTCACAGAGGAGGTAATTTAATTTGTATTGTAATTATTAATTGATGACTGCCAAGAGTTTGATTTTGAACACAAAGTCCTTACAATCCTGAGGATTTTAAACTAGGGTATAAAAGTTACTAGTAAAAATTCCAAAGTTTGCTAGTACTATAGTTCTATTTACTGCAATTTAAATTAACACTAAGTACAATTAAAGAATATAATCATTATATTGAGACCTGTTTATACTACCCAGAATAACCAAGAAAATGGTATATGAAAAAAACCTTTAATTTGCCTGGCAGCTGGTTCATTTGGATGTATTTTATAGTGATAAGCCAAGGCTTAGTTAGAAAACATAAGTGGTAAAGCATTACCTCTATTAATAATATTTGTATGCTGCTTATGCATTTTCTGAATTTTATATGATTTTCATTGTTACTATGTATATCATAAAAACTTAGAAACAATAGTGTAAGTTTTTAATTACCCATAATTCTGTTACCCCCCCAAAACACTTATGTTTTGGTATGTTCCAGACTGTTTCTATGACTAGTTTTCACGTAATTCTAAACTTTTTTATTTTCTTCTTCTTTTTAAGTTACATATAAAAATATTTTCTAGTGTTATTCTGATTTTAATAATTGTGTAATATTCTGTCATATGCCATAATTGACTTTTTCCTCTTATAGAATACTTATGGTTTTGTATATGTTTTTACCCTAATAAATATTACTGCATTGATTATATTTGTGCATAATGTTTTCTCCCTAAGGACTTTTCCTTAGAATATATTCCAAAAAGTGAAATTACTAGGTCAAAACTTAAAAGCATTTTAAAGGTTCTTTCTGCATCACCTTCCTAAAGTGTTTTCTAAGAAGTCTGTACCATATATTTTCCAGGGATATATTAATAATCATGGTCTGCCTGAGGATTTAGTTTTGTTTTGTTTTCATTGTTACTAGTTCAAACCATTGTAAGACTATGATTTGGCAGTATTGATTGTGTAATTATTTTCTGTAACTTTGAAATGTCTGAACTTATTTTCTTTGATATCTTTTGTCACACTATTAAATTTTTTCTAGCTTCCCCAACTCATAAATGCCAATTTTCCAGTGGATCCCCAAAGGATGTCTATTTTTGGCCACTCCATGGGAGGTCATGGAGCTCTGATCTGTGCTTTGAAAAATCCTGGAAAATACAAAGTAAGATTATCTAAACTTCTAGTGATAAATATTTCTCTTGAATAACATAATATTAGGAACCTTCAAAGAGTAAAATTACAATATTGTTAGTATTGGAACTAAACTTTTCTAGTGTTGAGAACTTTGGGGTGTTTGAAGGGTGGGTATTTAATTTGACCATAGAGTGTATGCTGCAGAATCAGACGCATAGGAATTCAGCAAGAGTGCTTTCTTATTGGCCTACTGGAAGTATTATAAAATGTAGCTTCTCCTTTAATTGTTTTTATTCCAACTATAGTTTTGAACACACTTTTTTTCTGTAAAGGTTATTATTACTGATTAATGTTATAGTGGCAGGATCTATCATTTATATTCTTACCAGGGATGTCTTTGTAAAGTTGACTTTGATTTTCTGAGGTAAAAGATATGATTTGTAGAAGCTTAAGAATTGTGTTCTTAATGCCTCTAATGAAAATTGAAATGCAGCTTGATTAAAAAACATCACTCTCAGCCTTTCCCAGAGTCAAATTTGAATAACTACCATATGTAGTATGTCATACTGTGCAGAACAGCATGTTACAAGAGTTGAATAAGGAAGTGTTAAAGCAACTAGCATCTTAAAATTTCTTCTGCCTTTAAATTTACAGGGCTGTTCATGCCCTTAAAATTGGTTTAATTCATTTCCTCCTCTTAGGAAGAACTTGATTATTTTAGGTGTGCTACTGAGAAATGAAAACATTTCTCATAACAGTTTCTTTCTGTGGCATCAAATATTTTGTTTTTGGTACGCTTTATTATCAAGTTTTATTAATTCATGGCCTGACAGTGGGCTTTCTAAGTAAGCACTTTTATTTCCATTTTTTAAGGCAGTCTATCATGTCTGAGGTAGAAAAGCAAACTTAGTTGATTTTTTTGTCCTTTAAAAAAGCTAGTAGATACCACTAAACATTTACATTGATGAGTACTCTGAAGTTGAGAGATCCCATCTCTGCATCTCATCCAGTGAAAAAGAACATTGTATAGAACACAGAGTTGTATTAAAAATTCTGTCATATTGAAATGCATTGCTCACTGCTTTGTTGGTACTGTTTAAGAGAAATGTGTCAGATTTAGTAACATGTTCACTAAGGTAAGCATGAACTGTTTTATATCACTATAGATTAATTTTCAGTGCTAAAAAAGCAGAAACGCTGAACATAGACTTCTGTTTGTATCTTAAATTGCAATGTATTGTTTTGCATTATTTTAGCAACTATACTTATTAGCTCTCTTAATAGAATACACAAAAGATGTATTATGGAAAGGCCTGCAATCTAAGCCAGCAATATATCAAAAGGAAAATTGTTCACAGGGTTTTCATGGCAAGTCAGAATTTTTAAGCAAGTTGCAAGTAACTTCTATATTTTTAAGTAAGTTGCAAATATCTATTCATATTTAATTTAGCAAAATATAACTTGTTTTTAAATTTCTTTTGTTTCTGAAGTCTGTGTCAGCATTTGCTCCAATTTGCAACCCTGTACTCTGTCCCTGGGGCAAAAAAGCCTTTAGTGGATATTTGGGAACAGATCAAAGTAAATGGAAGGTAGGTACTGAATGGCTGTCTTAATACTCATTCTTAAGTTTCAAGTTTGTTTAAAAGGTTGGACATATATTATATTCCTACCCTGCTCATGTTAGGGCTCTAGAGCTGAGACAAATTAGCAAAAGATATATATATATCGATATATATATCAATATATGAGATATATATTATTATATATATTATTTTATATATATTATTATATATATTATTTTATATATATATATATATAAATCAACAAAAAACCCTACTTTCTAATTGTATTGAATCATGGCAGATATTCTGGGGCTATATTTTTTTTCTACTAATGGTTAATTTATATTTTTATTTCTAAATTAACATCACTTCTAAATTAACCAAAAAATACCACATATTACAGGTTGAGCATCCCTAATCTAAAAATACCATATATTACAGGTTGAGCATCCCTAATCTAAAAATTCAAAATGCTACAATGGGTATTTCCTTGGAGCATTACCTTTAAGCGTCATGTGGGTACTCAAAACGTTTCAGATTTTGGAGCATTTCTGATTTTGGATTTTTGGATTAGGGATGTTCAACCTGTGTTACTAAATTTAGACTTGCCTCTTATTAACTATGTGCTCAGTTGTGTAATAGAAGCAAAGAAGCCTGGCTTTTTAAATTACTTTGTTTTCAAAATTTAGCATTTCAGATCTCGATTTTAAATTCCAGACACGAGTCTTTAAAAATAGATATTCTGTTATGTACATTTATGTGAATATTCCCACAGCAAGATTGCTTTTTCAAGCATGCAAACAGGTGCTTTCAAGTGGAAATAAAAATGACCCTTTTTCCTGAGAGCCATGTTACTCTTGTGCAGAAATGGGCCATTTACAAACTCTGCCAAGAGTTTGAATACTTTGCAAATGAACTCATCATGATGTGTATTGTTAACAAGCAGAAAATACTTGAATGGGTAAAAAATGCAACTTCTTTGTCTTAAAGTATTTAAAGTATAGTTCTGTGTTCAGGGTTCATTCCTACATGAACCCCTATTTTATGTAAGGATGATTATTGAAATTCCAACACATTTTATTTAAGGATGATTACTGAAATTCTAACTAATTAAAGGGTTCATCCTTTAGTAACTAGATTACAGTTTTGTTTAGGCTTGAATTTTTACTATGTTTGAAGAATGCTAGAAATGATTTAGGATTAGGTCCTTTGAGAACTGACATTGCATGTACATCAGTGTTTTGAGTCTTCATCTGGTGCAAAGTCTATGCTAGGTTCTGAGCTGTTTTGTCACGAAAATGGTGACCCTTTCACATCCACCAGGGGCTTATGGTCTAATAGAAGAATTGGGTAAAAGACCAACTAATTGGAGGGTGAAGGTGAGAGGTAGAGGTACAGGTAACCTAAAAAGGAATCTAGATATGTACTTTTCTCCAAGTGACAGTAGATTTTACTGTCTTAATTATGTTGTATTTAGGGTATTATTTAATTTACGATTGAAATCAGGAAACCATGTAGAATTATGAAATCATAGAATTTAGAACTAACTAGTCAGACTTTATAGGTCCTCTCCCACTCTAAGATGAAAGGAAATAGAACCTTCAAAAGCAGGATACTTAGAGGACAAATCTTTTCGTGGTTGTTTGTCTTGGTCAATGTATAAAGTTGTGGTTAATGAATATATATGAATAAGAATATTTCGAGGTGGATGATAAAACATAAAATTGTAACTAGTGGCAGCTCCTCAGAGAATAAATTTGAGATGATGTTGATATGATTCAGATGATTCACACCAGGTGTTTCTGAAAGCTTATGTAGATAGCAGAGGTTTGGTGCTGTTCAACAGCAAAAAAGAAGGCTGAATGTGTTTATGTCTGGAATTACAGCCATAAAGAAGAGACATAAAAAAAAAGATTATCTGAAATAGAGAATATTTGGAAAAAGATCATGGAGTTAGAAGAAGCTTCTAGTTTCCAATTTGTGGAAGGAGTTACAAAGGAAAAAAAATCATGTTCTTGCTGGAGCCAAGAGGAGATTAAGAATATTAAAGGTTTAGAAGGAAAAAGGCCATTTTCTTAAGAATCCCTGAGATATGGGATTCTTGCCACTAGTCTAGGACTGCTTGAAAGTAGGGAAGAGACTATTATTAGAAAATAGAATTCCGAAGACCTTGTAAATAAAAGCCTGGCAAGTCAGATTTTGAACCAACTTAAAAGCATATTTCTGATTTAATCAGCCTAAGAGCTTAAATAACTTTAAATTTCTGTTTGGTACTAGTATAGTATATCCTGAAGAGTATCTTTGAATTTATTTTTCAATGTTACTTCTCTTTTTACAGGCTTATGATGCTACCCACCTTGTGAAATCCTATCCAGGATCTCAGCTGGACATACTAATTGATCAAGGGAAAGATGACCAGTTTCTTTTAGATGGACAGTTACTCCCTGATAACTTCATAGCTGCCTGTACAGAAAAGAAAATCCCCGTTGTTTTTCGATTGCAAGAGGCAAGTATTAGGAAACTTTAGCTTGATCTAGATAATGTAACTATGAAAAATTAGGATTCTGTGATATTTTCTTAACTTTATTTTAGAATATAAAATGCTACTTCTAGTAAGTTTTTAATTATATTCAGACACTTGAAGTGAAAACCTGCCTATAAAATTAATTATATCTAACACTAAATTTGATAGAAATAGGAAAGCTTTTGGCAGTGAAAAATATTGTTTTCCATCAAACCAGTAAATAACAAGATTTTTAATGCTTGAATGATGATTAATCTTCAGCATTAGCAGATACTTCTTTCTTTACACATGGACCTTTGCTGCAGTAGAATAAAAAGGACAAACTTCTACCTAAATTACTCCTTATTTTATGTATATATTTTAGCCTCAGAAGTTAAGTATTATTTATCACACATGTGCTTTATATTATTTGACTTTCATATTAATCTATTCATTGTGCTACTTGATATTTCTAGTTGTTTAAGAATAATTACTGAATCCCAATGGGCTTGCAAGTTTTTTTTAACTAAAATATTTTTGACCGTCCACTACTCACCTAACTCTATATATGCTACCATAGTCCTAATTAAGGAAGTTCTGCTTTTATTTTTAAGAAAAATTCATAAGCTTCAGAATATAATTTAAAATATTTTAGAGTGAAAAATGAGCACTGAAAATTATACATGGTCATGATTTTTAAATAAATTTTTATCCATGTTTAAGGATAATGTGTCAGGCACATTGATCTAAAATGTAATTACGATGGTAAATGTTCAAATCTAGATCAGTGTGTAATGTGGTACATTAGTTTGTAAAATGCTTTCACAGCATTAACTCATTGTTAATTCTTATACCGCCAAATGAGATATCATTTCTTTCCTATCCATCTGTTTTACAAATGAGGAGACAGGCTCAGAGAAGTAACCTACTTATCTAAGGCCACATAGCTAGTAAGTGGTGGAACCAGAACTGGAACTAAGGCCATTTAACTGCAAATACTGACCTCCTGTCATTTATCAAGCCATTTTCAGACGGCATGATATTCTCCTGAGGAGCAAAGGAATGGAATTAGAGCTAGCACAAGGAGAAATTGTGCATAGCTTGCTGCCTACGTAACTTATGCAGAAGATCTGAGCAGTCTTCCTGTTTTTAGGGATATTTTGCACATGTGAACTATATAGTGAGAAAATGTCAAAAACTAATACATGATATACTGTTTGTCTCTTAGTGTCCATCCTTGAGTAATAGAATTTTGTTTTAGATTTATTTGAACATTTACCATCACAATTAAATTTTAGGTCAACAACCAGCCTTGAGAAATCCAAATACCAATTTGACTATAAATATAGTAATACGTTTAACTGCAATAACTATAGCTATAAGTGCGTACCAAACCATGTTTTTTCCAAATGACCTTAATTTCTTGGCACTACCCATGTTGGATACCTCATTTGCTTCCCCAAAGACTGGGCCCAAAATTTCTGTTGTTTCTACAATGATTCTGCCTGCCAACAAAGTCTGAAAATCTCAAGTTTGTTATAAAAACAGCACAGTTAGAACATGATGACATTCCTGGAGGGAAAAATAAGTCCACTTATTTGTTTCTAAAATGCCTGTATCCCAAGCAACTAGAACACATAGTTGGCTATACTTAATGAGGAGTCAAGACAAACCATTCAATTCTTCTAAAAAAGTAAGAAAGTATTCAAAGCACCAGAGTCACAATGTTGAGCTCAGGTGCAATTTTCTATTCACTTTACTTCCAGCATGGTCGGGTTAAGAGTGGACTACATAGCTTGAAGCGGATTTCGTTGAGATTCGTTGTAATTGAATCAACAACTGAATGAGCATGCCTAAGTAGTGGCTCCAGAGAGTCTGCTTTCAGATTTTCTTGCCAGCTTTGACCCAAGATTACCCTGGGTCTGCGAGTTTTATCACCTGCTTTATCATTTGATTACAAGTATAGTATAACTGTATTTCCTTGTGGGATAGAAGCTGTAAAAAATAAGCTGAAAATAATAGGGGATATATATAAATAAACGATCTGAGAAAGAATAAAGAAAATAATTACAATCATGCACATGATTTACTCAACTTCATTCTTTTACCTCTTTTTAATGGTGTTAAATGCTCACAATTTATATTTATACTCTGTCGAATGTCAAAAAAAATTTTTTAGAGAGAGGGGTTAGTGCATCGGGGATATTTATTTGGTTATTATTTTATATAATTTTTTCTTTTTCTATTTTGGCTTCAGGGAATCTAAATTGAAAAAAAAATACTAGGTAGCAGAATTCTGATATCTAGTGTACAGAGATCAAATCTTAGTCTGAAAAAGAAGGGCCTAGTATGTCTTATCTTTAGTTATTGGAGTTACACAGTGAGAAAAAAAAATTTAGTGACCTAATACTGTGAAGAAGTTTCCAGAAATAGTAATCTCTTTTTGTGGAATAGAAGGAGAGGCTATACTACCTCCTTAAGTCTCAGGACCTTTTTGAAGATTGAGAGGCTGTTTTAGCCTCTGCATCTGCCTGCTAGAGAAGAGTAAGAACATGGCAGAGAATCCCAGAAATGTAGAGCTCTCTCATTCATCTCTGTATCCCATGCTTATTTAGCATAGGTATCTAGCACAGAGACTCTCAATACTTGTTAAATGAATACAGTGCAAAGTCTTCCTCCTTATACACTGAAGAGATTTAATAACCTGGGGATTCTTATCCAAGCTTTTCTAATTGGGTCTGGAAAATATATAAGAAAACACTGCCTGTTAGGATAAACATCCATCATAGCTGCTGGAGCACTGCTCCCTTTTTGAGAGCTGAGTGAAGAATGAAAGAATGAAAGGTGTTCATTTATTTTTATACTCCAGGAGTCAAGAGTTTTGCTACCAAGGATTTTCCATTTAAAGTGTGAGGTAGAGGAGAAAAGTCCCCTTCAAGTGTCACTAAACATAGGCATTTGCACAAGCTGCTTAACATATCATACCAACTCATTCATCAAAGAATTTAATTAAAGAAGCCATCCCCATTTAATAAGACTGATAAATAGAAACCCTCGTCAGGGATGATACAATTAGCTCGAATTGTGTAACTTCAGCAGGATACCAATTGTTCAAATGTATTCTATTGCCTTTTTGTTGACATTTTTTAAAATTCTTGGGCCCTCAATGGCAGGCATTTTCTTCTTTCTCATATAGGTGAATCTTTATCATTATGGAACTTATGGTCATTTGTTTTGGATTTTAGATGTCTTGTCTTGCAATATATTCCTGGGTTTACCTTGGGACTTCTCTAATAATAATGATGGCTATTCATATGTGTCTGATGGCTCTTAACACACAAGAAACTAAGGATAAAAATATGGCATACTCAGTCACATTGGAACTTGGTCACACAAGTCTTTTGAGATATCTGTTTCCCTGCATCTGTACCCATTTTCTATCAGATCCATCTTTTGATCTGTGAAAAATGGCAGATAATACTTGGTACATTTTACAGGTTTGGTGGCCTAAAACTCCAGGCCTGTTTAACTTCTTAACAATTCAAGAATTATATGGATGGAAAATGTTTTTCTTTACATTTCTTTCTTTATATAGGAAACTGTAATTTAGCTCTAAATTCAACTAGCCAGCTGGGACTAGTCTAATCATTGAGAGACATGACACCAAGTAATTCCGAGGCTCAGCTTTAATCTTGACAACATTCCTGTCACATTCACTTCCATGATAGAAGACAGATTGCTTTAGAAGACTTAAGTTACCTTGACCTTAAACTAGAACTTTTTATTAACAGCTGTTCCCAAGATAAACATTTAATACCTCTCTGGAAGGGAGAGATTGAGAACATTTACTGATTCATCAAAACCTTGGGGATTTCCTTGTTCTCTGAAGCGTCAGTGATATTTTTATTAGCTCTATTTTTATTTCTTAGGTGCTTAGAAAAATTCCCATCTTTTCCCATCAGTGACCATTCACTAGTTCAAAATGGGAAAAACAAAATCTTTGTTAGACTTTCATTTCTTTCGGTTTATTCAACCTTGTATTTTAATTGTAGATAGGGATAAATTATCTGGTGTTTGATACCCTTAGAAAGTTCTTCCCACCTGGAGTGTAAATTAGTTTAACCATTGTAGAAGATAGTGTGGTGATTCCGCAGACCTAGAGGCAGAAATGCCATTTGACCCAGCAATCCTATTACTAGGTGTATACCCAAAGGAATATAAATCATTCTGTTATAAAGATACAAGCACACATATGTTCACTACAGTACTATTCAATACTATTCAATAGCAAAGACATGGAATCAACCCAAGTACCCATCGGTGATAGACTAAATAAAGAAAATGTGGTACATATGCACCATGGAATACTGTACAGCCATAAAAAGGAATGAGATCATGTCCTTTGCAGGGACATGGATGGAGTTGGAAGCCATTATCCTCAACAAACTAATGCAGGAATAGAAAACCAAACACCAGGCCAGGCGCAGTGGCTCACGCCTGTAATCCCAGCACTTTGGGAGGCTAAGGTGGACGGATCACAAGGTCAGGAGATCGAGACCATCCTGGCTAACATGGCGAAACCCCGTCTCTACTAAAAATACAAAAAATTAGCTGGGCATGGTGGCATGCACCTGTAGTCCCAGCTAGTCGGGAGGCTGAGGCAGGAGAATCGCTTGAACCCGGGATGTGGAGGTTGCAGTGAGCCAAGATCATGCACTCCAGCATGGGTGACAGAGTGAGACTCCGTCTCAAAAAAAAAAAAGACCAAACACCACATGCTCTCACTTATAAGCAGGAGCTGAATGGTGAGAACACATGGATATATGGAGGGGAACAACCCACACTGGGGCCTGCCAAAGGGCGATGGGAGTTGGGGAAAGCATCAGGAAGAACAGCTGATGGATGCTCGGCTTAATACCTAGGTGATGGCTTGATCTGAGCAGCAAACCACCATGGCACACGTTTACTTATGTAACTGCATATCCAGCACATGTACTCCTGAACTTAAAAGTTGAACAACAAAAAAAGAAGGAAAATGCGTTAATACCTTATTGTAATTATTTTTTTTTTGGAAGACTATTTTTTATATTCAGAAGAAGTGTCAGAGTCAGCAGAAAGGGATTATTTCTCCATTTACCTACAACAATGGTTTTAAATGACTGGATAGATAGAAATCTCTTTCAACTTAACTGCTTAGCACATTGCATTTTTCTCTGTTTCATGTTAGTTTTCCAAAGGATTACTGACTTTTTACCTAATTTGCTAAGGGATGTCAGGCCTTAATGACATATTTCCCCTCACATAAAGATACAACATGCTTTTACTGTGTAGGAGGAATTGTTAACAGGATTTATGATGGCTGTGTTTGACTTCCCAACAATGATAGAACATTTGGGCATTTTTATGTTCTTTTTCTATATTGTTTGTGTGCTTATTTTGTGTTTTAATAGTCACTGTCTTACTGATGTGCTGCATTTGTGAATTGAAATGTCTTGCCCATGTTTCTAAGATCTCTAAATCCTGATTCTTTTCATCTTGGTTGATATGACAGTGTCATATCAACTGACACTGTCAATTGATAGTGTCATTTTCAATGACAGTGTCTACTCTGCATATTTAATGCACTCTACAGTGTTGATATGACATGTCTACTCTGCATATTTAATTAATGTGTTACTTCCACTCTTTACATATTAATGGCAGCATTTAGAAGTTAGGCTATGTTTAGAAGCTAGGCAGAATGTTTAGTTTTCCTTCACATTTTTGCTGCTCTTTTAATGTACAGTGAAAATGTTAAAGTACAAGGATGACAACCTTGATTTTATTATAAACCTTCCTCATACTTCCTTAATGTTATGACTATTTGTAAGCAAATTAAACGACCTTAGAGATATATTTAATGTTCCTAATACTGATGTTCCTGAATGGTAGATAAATGTCTTATCATCTCTTTATCTTCTAGGGTTATGATCATAGCTACTACTTCATTGCAACCTTTATTACTGACCACATCAGACATCATGCTAAATACCTGAATGCATGAAAAAACTCCAAATAAGAGAATCTCTTCAGGATTATAAAAGTTGTAAAATGCAACTGTATTGCTGAGCAAAAAAAAAAAAAATTCAAAACATTGGATTTTATAGTGCTAAAAGGGCTTTATTCTATAGTTGAATCACCTCTGAATAAAGATATAAAACCTACTTCTGATTTTAAAAGTTATTTTACAAGTGTTCACATAGGAAATCTTTAATGCTCTATAGCTTTTTCAGTGTCGTTTGGAAATTCTTGTATTAATCCCAGGTCATAGAATATGAATGTAATCCTATTTGAAGTATAGAGTAGCAACTCTGGAACAGAAGACTTAAAAGTAATTTAGCCCAGACTCCTCACCTTTCCAGACTTTAAGCCTCTGAAGACATTGGACTGTCTTTGTCATGTTCATTGTTGTATCTCTAGTGTCTAGCAAGTGTCTAGAAAGCAAATATCCACTTGATTTCTAGTGGATATTTAATAACTGTTAGCTACAGAATAAAGAGGTAGGCTCAGAAAGGTTAAATGAATTCCCCATCGTTACACAGCTATTTGTGGGATATTAGAAGACAGATTTTCTTTTCTTACCTATTGAGTCTAATATATTTGTGAACATTGGTTTTTGGGTGTATTAAGGTTCTCAAGAATTAAATAAGATTCAATCTGAAAATGGCTAAATAAGGAAACGTATTAGTTTCATATGTTACTGTAAACATGAATATTTTCCCATAGTTGCAAGCAGAGATTTAACTTGGTGAGCTCACCAAGAAAAGTAATATCTCTGTAAATACCCAATTGTTTTCCTTTAAGAACTTTTAATAGACAAACTTTTTGAAATGTGATAAAAGCCAGTAAAACATGATAGAAGCCAGTAAAACCTGGCTGCTTTAAAAATATATTTTTTTCTGTTAAAAAATAAATTTTAAACATTCAGTAGGAATGCATATTATGGTAACTGAAGAAAATGACATTAAGTTCCTAAAGTTATAAAATTAGTATTATTTAAACATCAGTAGTCAAGGTTGAGCCCTTGAATGAGCTGTACACAGAATGGTTCTCATTTAAACAGTCTTGTGTCTTCTAATAAGATCATTCATGAACGTTTTACATGCTGGTAATTTATTTGTGAAGAAAAACAATTGTCCCTAAGATCATTGAGGTTGAGGTTTAAACCAGGGAAGCAAAACTAGTAGGAGATATATACATTAAGATTTTTTTTAAAAAACGAGGAATTGGCATACCTGGATTAAGAAAATGTGGCACATATACACTATGGAATACTATGCAGTCATAAAAAAGGATGAGTTCATGTCCTTTGTAGGGACATGGATGAAGCTGGAAACCGTCATTCTCGGCAAACTATCTCAAGGACAAAAAACCAAACACCGCATGTTCTCACTCACAGGTGGGAATTGAACAATGGGAACACTTGGACACAGGAAGGGGAACATCACACACTGAGGCCTGTTGTGGGGTGGGGGGAGGGGGGAGGGGGGAGGGATAGCATTAGGAGACATACCTAATGCTAAATGACGAGTTAATGGGTGCAGCACACCAACATGGTACATGTATACATATGTAACAAACCTGCGCGTTGTGCACATGTACCCTAGAACTTAAAAGTATAATAAATATATATATATAAAAAAAAAAAAAAAAACAAGGAATTGGCATACCTGATTATGAGGGCTGGCTAAGCAAGTCCAAAATCCATAGAGCAGCAGTCAGGAAGGGACAGGCACAAGCAGGACGGACTCTGGGCATGGGCTCAAGCTGTTGTACACAGGAGGAATTTCTTCTCTCCTGGTGAGGCCTCAGTCTTGCTTTTAAGGCCTTCTGATTAAGTGAGGTCCACTGGATTGTCTCTCCTCTTTAAAGTCAGTTGATTAGGGACTTTATCTGCAAAATTCCTTCATAGCAACACCTAGATTAGTATTTGAATAACAGGGGACTGTAACAAACAGCTAAGTTAGTTAGTGTATCATTGTTAGAAAATAGTTGCTTTGCTTTTTTACACGTAAATGCAAAACATTTAAATATTCATTAAGTAATTGCTGATGAACAGCTAATGTTAGTAAAGACAAAGACCTTTAGTTAAAACAGAAATGACTGTTGAGGATAATAAACCAATACATTTGAGCTTGCTTTTTTGTGCCACAAATGCTGGCCTGGGGAGGGATGAGTCCTTATCAATGCCTAAATGTAACATGAGTTTCCCCAACTAGAAAGAGTTCAATCTTAATGTCTCTCATATTGTAAGGTTCCATCTCAGTGACATAGTTAACAATACATAACCTAAACATTAACTCCCAATGCTTGTTTAGGGTGTTTCTAGAAGTCACCTGACAATCAGGTATAAAAGGAGGTAAAGGAATCTGACATTTCCTGGATTATGTTCAATGTAAGACCCTTGTGAAGATTATGTTCTTGAAGAAACGTAATACTGTAAAGCCACCACCATGAAGAGTAAAAGGACAAGCCACAAAGTAGATGGAGATGCTTGCAACACATATATCTGACAAATAACTTGTATCTAGAATGCCTGAAGAACTCTCACAAATTCTTAAAAACATAAAATTTGGCAAAAAATTTGTACTTAACAAAATAGGACAAATATGGCTAATGAATGCCTGAAAATGTGCTTAGTAAGACTGGGGAAATACGAATAAAAACTACAATGCAATGAACCTACACACCCACCTGAATGGCTAAAGTTCAGACAATGGAAAATCCCAGGTGTTGACAAGGAAACATGGCGACCTGAATTATACTGCTAATAAGGTGCAATCTGGCAGGATCTGCTAAGGTCTAGTTCAACCTTAGCAAACTGGTAAGGTCTGATGAGGCCTCAGACCTTACTTAGCACGTCTCCTATAGCCTTTCAATGCATGTTTCTGTACTTAACAGGAACATTATGGCTACATGAGAATGTTTACAGCAGCACCATTTACAATGGCCAAAATCTAGAAATAACCTGAATCCATCTATAACAGAATTAGTAAAATTGGAGCATATTCATACAATGAAATATTCTACATGAATAAAAATAAACACACTATAACTGGATGCAGCAACATGGATGGGGTCTCAATCATAATCTGGAAGAAAGAATCCTGACACCAAATTATGTGCTATATAATAACTTGGTACCATTTTATATGCATAGTATTGAAGACAGGAGGTGT
This sequence comes from Homo sapiens, assembly GCF_000001405.40. NCBI lineage: Eukaryota > Metazoa > Chordata > Mammalia > Primates > Hominidae > Homo > Homo sapiens. The sequence continues at coordinate 46,768,240 of NC_000013.11, read as the reverse complement.
TACACATAGCAAGGCAATGGAAGGGGGTGGTGGGGGGCATTCTGAGGGAGAGGTGATTGGAGCATGGCAGGAGAGAGTACTGGTGATGCTATCTTCATCCAGGTGCTTGGTACATGAGCATGTTCACTGAAAATTCATCAGGCCATACACTTAGGATTTATAAACTTTTTAATATGTGTTATACTTTAATAAGGTTTACATTAAAAGTATATTAAGTAGTTATGCTGTGAAGATCATAAATATACTACTGCATGAAGAATTTAAAAATCCTGATGTTATTGCAAAGAATACTTATCTTGGGGGATACAATTTCCAGTGGCTACATCGTTTATCAATTCAAGTAATATTGTATCTCAAACCACTTAGAAGTGAAGGTGATGTGAAAAGTTGCTGCAAAAAGTGGCTGTAGGCCAGGCGTGGTGGCTCACATCTGTTATCCCAGCACTTTGGCAGGCCGAGGTGGGTGGACCACTTGAGGTCAGGAGTTTGAGACCAGCCTGGCCAACATGGCAAAACCCCATCTCTACTAAAAATGCAAAAATTAGCCAGGTGTGGTGGCAGGTGCCTTTAATCCCAGCTACTCAGGAGACTGAGGCAGGAGAATCGTTGGAACCTGGGAGGCAGAGGTTGCAGTGAGCTGAGATTGCACCACCGCACTCCAGCAACGGACTGAGACTCTATCTGCCCCCTCCCCCAGAAAAAAATGGCTGTAGTGATGTTACTGATATTGACGATGCAAATGAGTTTAGATAAAACCATGTCATAAAATCTTACAACAGAATATTTAATATTTCCAAGCTGACATATCTCAAGTATTTTTAAAGTATACATATAAAATCTGTGACAAGTAGGCATGAATTATATATTTAAAAATGTATAAATGTATTCGAATTAGCCAAAGTTTTGGATGTTATCATTAGAAAAATGCAGATCCAGGCCAGGCGCAGTGGCTCACACCTGTAATCCCAGCACTTTGGGAGGCTGAGGCAGGTGGATCACAAGGTCAGGAGTTTGAGACCAGCCTGGCCAACGTGGTGAAACCCCATCTCTACTAAAAATACAAAAATTAGCCTGGCATCATGGCGTGCACCTGTTATCCCAACCACTCAGGAGGCTGAGGCAGAAGAATCGCTTGAACCCGGGAGGCAGAGGTTGCAGTGAGCCAAGATCGTGCCACTGCACTCCAGCCTAGGTGACAGAGCGAGACTCCATCTCAAAAAATAAAAAAAAAGAAAAAGAAAAATGCAGATCCTCTCATGTTCAAGGTTGTCTTGTATTTAGGCACACTGGGTATATACAGTATGTAACAGATTACATTGTTTTATCGACCTTCTGCAATGAAAGCCACTTTAAAATTAAAACAGCCAGATTTTTTTTTAAGCTTTCATTTTTGAAGCCTAGCCTCCAAGTAATCTGAAGAATTGGGGTTTCGGATGAAGAAAGGAAATGTCACTGTTGGTGTTCCAGTGATGGGGATGGCAACAGCAGTAGCTAAGAAGACATTGGCAGAGGTTGCCGGGGGGGTGGTGGGGGGAAGTAAAGATGCAGCGATGGCCACAGCAGCACAGGGGACCATGACAAAAGAGGCATCCACTACAGTCGAAATGGAGGACAAAGTGTTAGAACCAGTAAGAGTTTCGTAAAGTGGCTAGAAACAATATAACTGTCTCAAAATTAGTGATTTTTCTATAAGTCTATGTTTAATAAAAATTATTTTAAAATGATCCTATTCACAGCAGCAACAAAAAACTACCTAGAAAGAACTCAAACCAGAATTGTATAATACCTCTAGCAAATAAAGTAAGTCTTAAATGGAAAGCAATATCATATTCATGGAATAAAACTCTCAATATTGTAAAGCTACAAACATACCCCAGATTAATCTACAAATGCAATATAATCTTAATCAAAATCTCAAAGTTGTTCATGGAGCTTGACAAGCTAATTATAAAATTTATATGGAAGAATATGCCAAGACGGCTTGAGAGAGAACAAATTGCTCTGCCAGTTGTCAAGACATTATAAAGCTGTGATAATTAAAACGGGTTTGGACTCAGAAGAGTTCATCCCATCAGAAAAGTCCTGCCACAGACCCACACAGAAATTTAGCGTATGTTAATAGCAATGTCTCAAATCAGTGAGGAAAACATGAGCCTTTCTGTAAATGGTGCTGCCAAATTATTTTTCAGTAGCTTTGTGGAGAAAGATATACAAAAGGAGGCCTGTGTAAAGGCATGCATTGCAGCCTTGTTTGTAATAAATACGAAAACAACCCCAAATATTTAAGAATCAAAGTAAGTTGGTGAAAAATTTGACACTGTTTACATTTTCACAAGCCATCAAAACAATATGTATTTTGCTATAGGTACAAATATATTTCATGGGAAAAGTTCTGAATGGAAATAATGAGTTACTTCTGGGAAAGAGGAGGAGGGCACCAGAGTTGAAAATAACAGCCAGAAAAGCTTTATTTTTGGTGGATTATATCATTTTTACAGAAAAAGTTATTCATGTATATTTTCAGTTGTAAAATACTAATTTTAAACACTAATAAATGTTGAAAATCAGAAAGAACAGTGCTTACACTCATCTGTGCCAAGGTCCAGAAACACATTTTCATGCTTCTTACTTTGTATTTCTGAGAACTTAAGTTCTGGTTCAAAAACACATTGGAATTAAAAAAAAAAAATAGAATTAACATAGCTGACTGTGTGAATAATGAGACTTTCAGGAGAAGAAACCCTTGTAAGGTCCTGCCTCCCAAAGGTACTTCAGGCCAGTCATTGCATCTTTCAAAGGCCAATTCCTCACTGGAAAGCAGAGTAAATAAACAAAAACCCCTACACTAACTCCCAGGGCTGTGTAGCAAGACAAGATACCCACATGAAATCTCTGTCATCTTATCCAGATGTTAGTGACTAGATGCATTAGGGCCATTGAACTTCAAAGTGACCCGTGCCGTCCTTCAGGGGTGCACAAGACCATCCAATGGACAGGATTAGAGCTTCTGTCTATATTTATTTTTATTTCATCATCTCCTGTTAAAATTTCTATTTTTGTGCATGCCTTATAATATACATAGCATATTGGTATGCTAATGTATACAATTATAAATTAAAAGTCATATAGTATGGGTGTGTGTGGCAAATGTGCCTCCCAAATTTCTTTTTAAGCTTACTTTTTAAACCACAACTTTTTAAGTGAGAGGAGACAACATTGTGAGCACCAACACACAGATTATCTATTGCGCTATTAGTTTCTACTCTGCCAGTACAAAGAATGGTTGGCTATAGAAATAAAATATTTTCCTCGAAGAGAGAACATAGTTTGTAAATTTCTCATCCTTTCATAGCCCTGCTAGTCCAAGAGAAAATGTCTTTTGCTTATCAGATATATATTTTTTTATTTGTTGTTGTATTTGGCCCAACTCTGGGATTCCAATCCATGACCAGTGAATTTTCGATTTCATTTGTGTCTCTTTGGCACCAGGTGGCAGCTTCTGTCTCTAACGACACTTAATGAGCTTCACTTTCTGGTGATAGTACATAAAGAAAATAGAGTTCTAGCACTTTCTTTGTTGGATGATAATAGTATACTCAACCAAATAAAGTAACATTTTCATCTTATTGGGCTTATTAGAAAAATTCAAATACCCCTAAAAATGAGGCATGGAGCTGGGAAGTGGGTGAGGCAAGGGACTTTTTTTTTTCCAATTTATCCTAGATATTATTTTGGGCATTCTGGTTTTGGGGTGTATTATTTTGTGTGTGTGTGTGTGTGTGTGTGTGTGTGTGTGTGTGTGTGTGTGTGTGTGTGCATTTAAACCCTGCATTTAGAGTTGTAATATTGACCCCAGGCTGTTCACGTGGTTGATTGAAGGCAGATTGCCTTATTAGTCATTGCTGGTTCAATGGGATTAATATTCCTTAAAGAGGAAAGCCTTTTCCTTTTGGGTCTCTTCTGAAAACATTTGAGTAAAAACACTGCCACCCAGTGTTTCTTTTAGGAGAAGCACAATAAATATACCGTGCACTCTTAAAAAGTTTTCTAGGATGAATAGCAAATCACCCATTTTCTTAGTTATATTCAAATAAGACCTGACAGACGACAGAACATGCCCTGCTTTAAATGTAAAATAGGCCGGGCTCAGTGGCTCACAACTGCAATCCCAGCACTTTGGGAGGCTAAGGTAGGAGGGTTGCTTAAACAGGAGTTTGAGACCAGCCTGGGTAACCATGAGACACTGTCTCTACAAAAAATAGAAGAAAAAAAAAATTAGCTGGGTATGGTCGTGTGTGCCTATAGTCCCAGCTGCCTAGGAGGTTGAGGTGGGAGGATTGCTTGAGCCCAGGAGATCAAGGCTGCAGTGAGCCATGACTGCACAACTGCACTCCAGCCTGGGTAACAAAAAAAGACCCTGTCTCAAAAATAAAAATAAAATATTCCAGCCCATATCATGCTACGTAATGCAGAGAGGCTATCCCAGATGTTGGAATGATTGTTTGATTTTCAAGCATGAATTCTAAGACGATCCTGCAAATATTCCAGCCTTACGTAATCATTCTGACCTGGATCATGGCAAAAAGACCAGGCTAAGGGCTTTGTCACCATTCGAATCCTCCCTCAACCTTTCTGCTGCAGTCACAGTTGTTTTCATCCAGCCCTCAAGAAGTGCTCTCCAGGCCGGGTGTGGTGGTTCACACCTGTAATCCCAGCACTTTGGGAGGCCAAGGCAGGTGGATCACTTGAGGTCAGGAGTTTGACACCAGCCTGGCCAACATGGTGAAACCGTCTCCACTGAAAATACAAAAATTAGCTGGGTGTGGTGGTGCACGGCTGTAATCCCAGCTACTGGGGAGGCTGAGGCAGGAGAATCACTTGAACCCGGGAGGCAGAGGTTGCAGTGAGCTGAGATCGTACCAGCCTGAGTAACAGAGCAAGACTCCAACTCAAAAAAAAAAAAAAAAAGTTCCTGTCCAGTACAGTTCAAGGCAGCCTTAGGTAGCAGCTCCCTTTTGCAGGGCCCACATCTGGAGAAACCTGTGTCCTCCCGCCTGGTCTCTTTGCCCTGCCACCCCACAGGCTGTGCATTTGCCCACCTCTTCTCTTCTGCCCTCCTCGTTCCCAGGGGAGGGGAAGGTGGGCAAATGCACAGCATTCCAACATCTTTCTCTGAAAGTTTCTGGCCTCCTCACCTCTTCTTGTATTCTTCATAGAGCCTGTTGGACAGAAGTGGGATTTGCATCCTCTTTGCGATGAACAAGCACCTTGTTTTTGGAAGGTGGTGGAACAGAGCGCCCATTATTTTGGGACCTCTGCTATAACCATAACATCGTTTACACACATAAGTAAAAGAGAGATAATGACAATAGGACCTACATCCTAGGGTCATAGAGGATCAAATGAAACAACCCAAGTAAAGCCTTGAGCTATTTACTCATCTTTTTTTAATTATTAGATATTTGGTCAGTGACTTGGTAAATAGAGGAAGATGTTATAGCATAATCGTTAAAAGTGTGGGTTCTAAGACAAACTCCAGGAGTTGAATCCCAACTACGCCACTTAGTATTCATGGGACCTTGAACAACTGACCTCCCTGTGAGATGGGGATGATTGTAGATGTTATCTCACAGGGTTCTTGTAAGATGTACAGGCATTGCTACTTGTACACCTCCTGAACAGTGCCAATTAGGTAGTAGCCACTCATATTAGTCAGGGTTCTCCAGAGAAACAAGATCAATAGGATATATATAGAGAGAGAGATGGATGACAGGGGATTTGTTAGAGAGATTGGCTCATGTGATTATGGAGGCTGAGGAGTTCCACGATATGCCATCTGAGAGCTGGAGAACCAGAGGAGCTGGTAGTGTGGCTCAATCCAAGTCTGAAGGCCTGAGAAGCAGGGAAGCCAGTGGTGTCACTCTCAGTCTGACGCCGGAGACTGGGAACCTGGGGGACTGCAGGTGCAAGTCTTGGGGTCCAATTGTCATGTAGTTCCTATTGTCATTTTCTCTCTTTTACTTATGTGTGTAAAAGGATGTTATGTTGGCGCTCCTTCTATCCTAGTTCTAGCAGAGGGCTGGAGAACCTGCAGTTCAGGAGAACAGGAGAAGCCAGTGCCCCAGCTTCAGGAGAAACAGAGAATTCACCTTTCCTCTGCCTTTCTGTTCTATCTGAGCCCTTGGCCGATTGGGTGGTGCCCGCCCTCATTGGTGAGGGCAGGTTTTGTTTACTCAGTTCACTGACCCAAATGCCAGTCTCCTCCTGGAGGCAGCCTCACAGACACACCCAGAAATTATGCTTTACCAGTTATCTGGGCCTCCCTTAATCGAGTCAAGTTAACACCTAAAATCAACCATCACACCACTCGATAAGCATTGGGTATTGTATTTAGTTTTCCTCATCACTTATATCCATGACTTCCCTTATTTAGATTCCTGTAAGAAAAATGAACTATTGTGGGGTCTTTTCATGCTCTTTCCCCATTGAAATTATTATTTGTCTAATACGAGCTCGATAAAAGAGGTTTATTGAGAAATGAACATAAAGCAGACACAGATTATTTTTTCAGGGGTGCCAAGGTGAAAGAAATAATCTGGAGGGGATGGGGAAAAAACTCACCAAAAAGGAGACATTGTCCGTAAGTCTTGAAGGCTCAGTAGCACTTCATAAAGTCAAGAAGAGGTGAGCGGGTATTCCAAGGAGCAGGCGTAGCACAGGGAACAAAGACATGGGAGCACCTGGAAAGAGGAGACTGGAGTGGCTGCAGCAGAGGGTGTTAGCAGTAGGACGGAAACAGTCTGGGAAGGGCAAGCATAGCACCAAAATCAATTGTGTGAGTAATAGTAAAGTGCTGAATATGTTTCCAGTAGGGAAGAGACATGATAAGACTTGCTTTTTCTAAATATTATTGTAGCAGCAGAGAAGGGAGGAAGAAGAGGAGGGAGACAAGGTGACAAATGAGCCATTGACCACTTACCCAGGGTGAGCTGATCAGGGCAGGCGCTAAGGTAGCAGGGAGAAAGAGGAGAGGCTGGGGCTGAGAGATGTTTCTGAGGGAGGATCTGCGGGGCTTAGTGACAGACTGAAAAGGACAGGAACACATCAGTGGTCATCCTGCAGTGTCTAGCTTGGGAGGCTGGGAAGATGATGAAATCACTGAACCGGGAAACGCATATAAAGAAGGAGTTTGGGGAGGTGCAGAGGGAGGTCAATTTTAAACATATTTGCAGGACCCATAGGACATCCAAGTGAAGATACCCAGAATGGACCTAGCATTGTGAAGATATACAGAGTTATAAGTTACCTAGGCTGGTGGACACCACCAGAGATCTTCAGCATGGATGGAAGAGTGCCAAGCATTTCATTTCCAGGAGGGCAGGGGTTGGGCACAGAAACAGAAGCCTATGAAGAAGATGGAAAAATAAAAACATTGAGATAAAAATTGTACTAAGAGAGAACTGGCTTTCAAGAAGCAAGTTTTCAATGATCTCATATGCCACAGGAAGGTCAAATAGAACAAGGACTGAAAAGAGGCCATTGGATCTGGCAACTGAGATGTGGGACCCATGACCAAAAAGTATTTTCAATGAAGTGGTATGGTTAGAAGAAGAAATGAAGGCATTTGTCCATTCATTTATTCAACAAATATTCATCAAGCACCTATTATATATCAGGCCATGTTCTAAGCCTTGAGGATATGGTAGTAAACAAAACCAAGACCTCTATTCTTTCTAAGTTTACACTCCAGCATTGCTTATAGAATACTCTTTAAAGAACTTAACAGGGAGAGGAGAAACTAGACAGTATTTTGAGGGAAAAGATGAAGTCAAGAAAAGTATCTTTCTTATAGCCTGGTAATGTTTGAATTTGTGGCTGAATAATTAAACTATAGGTGGAGAGGAGAGGGTGGAGGAGGAGATCAAGAGACAAAGAGAGAGAGAGAGAACAAATAACATAAAATCTCCCAAGGCTGTGGAGTTGGCATCTAACCTTGGGAGGGAGAAGTGCCATCTACTCCTCCAAGACAGGAAATAAGTTGACACTTCACTGCTGAGGCCCTCATTTTCCTTGTAAATTAAGAGGCAAGCTGGGGACAGACTGAACGAGATTTGAGACAACACTTTGGAAGAGCTGAAGCAGGAAGCAGGAAAAGAAGCCAACGGCACAAAGTCAATATTCAAGCAGAGTTCTGCCCAGTTAAGCAATAAAATTATGTGGCAAGGAGTTCTGTTACCTCACCACCTACACATTCAGTCTAACTAGAGGCTGTGTGGAGTCTTCCAAGGCAGTAGACATGTCTTCTCCCCTTCCCCTTCCTCTGGCTTTTGTGACTGTAGCAGATGTCTATGTGGAAATCAACTTAGAGGACAGCAAATTTTTTTTTTTTTTTTTTTTTTTTTTTTGGAGACAGTCTTGCTGTAGTCACCAGCTATCTGGGACTACAGCACGAGCCACCATGCCCCTGCTAATTTTTGTATGTTTTGTTTGTTTGTTTTTGTAGAGGAGGGGTTTTGCCATGTTGCTCAGGCTGGTCTCAAACTCCTAGGCTCAAGTGATCCATCACCCTCAGTCTCCCAAAGTGCTGGGATTATAAGCATGAGAAACTGTGCCTGGCCTTTTTTTCTCAGAGAAAAGCGATAGTTGTGTCTTAGTCTGTGTGCATTGTTATAAAGGAATACCTGAGGCTGGGTGATTTATAAAGAAAGGAGGTTTACTTGGCTCGGGGTTCTACATGAAGCATGATGTCAGCATCTGCTGCTGGTGAGGGCTTCAAGCTGCTTCCACTTATGGTGGAAGGTGAAGGGGAGCCTGTGTGCAGAGATCACATGCCAAGAGTGAAAGCAAGAGAGAGGGGGAAGGTGCCAGCCTCTTTTCAACAACCAATTGTGACAGGAACTAAGAGTGAGAACTCACTCCTGGCAGAATGGCACCAAGCCATTCATGAGAAACCCACTCCCATGATCCAAACACCTCCCACTATGCTCCACCTCCAGCGCTGGGATGAAATTTCAACATGAAACTTGGTAGAACCAAACAAACCATATCTAACCTATAGCAAGTTGTTAGGAGAGTTTATTGGCCAAGTACCCCATTTTATTTACTTTGGCATTCCTAGTCACATTGGAAAGCGGCAGCCTATCCGCTATTCCTCCCCAGTCTCATCCCCACCTTGCCCCATTTTATGACTCACAAGTACCAATATGTTGCTCACTGCCTTTAAATGCTCAGTGACTTCTTATCATGGGTGTTGCTGACCCAATTTATCTTTGCAACCAGCATTAAAAAGCACAGAGCATAATGGTCAGATGGATTTTCTATAGGTAACTGCCTGCCATGACTTTGGTGTCATCGCCTCTCTCACCTTGTCAGTAAATGTCACTTTACCTTCATCCAGATGATGACTGTCTTGCATTCTCGATGACGCTGTGCTTCACGCAGCGATCCTCAGCTCCAGACCTGCCTGACAGCATCCTCTGCCCATAAACACACGTACTTCTGAAAAGAAAGATCTACAGGTAGGACACAGCTGTCTTAGCCCTGGGTTTGTACTGACACAGATTTCCAGCCTACTTATTTAGACAGTCTTTCTCAAGTGTTTGCTGGGCTTTCTTATTATTCATATATAAACAGAAATTAGTGTGTGGCATCACTTTCTGTCTTTTTACTTTCAGTCTATGCCCTTATATCTCGTTGTGTCTGTAAATATATAGTTGCTTTTCTTGGAAATCCAATCTGCCTTTCAGCTATCTAGTTTCTTGCTATTTATCATGCTTGCTGATGTATCTGAGTTTATTTCTGCTCTGTTATTTGGGTCCCTTCCTTTACTCTGTTCCTTCTGCTTCTTCTCCCCAGTCTACATCCTTCCTTACTTTTGGAAGGGACTTTCTAACTTTATATTCTTCTCTTTACTGATCTGAAAGTGATAGACACTCTTGTCTTTTCATTAAAGTTTTAACATTTACATTTAACATGATTGAAAATGCAACAATGCATCTACCCTCCTCCAAAATAGCAAGAAACTGAAATATTTTAACTGAGATCAAGCCTTTTCATCTTGTATGTAGTACTGGCCAGCATTTTCTTTCTATTTTTGTTTTGTTTTGCTTTTCAGCAACTCCTACCCTAAATTAGCCATTAATGTCATTAACGTACAGCCAATGTTTGTTTGGATATGCACACATAGTTACATGTTTATCTTTTGGCCACTGTTTTTTTTTTGTGGGGGGGGCGGTTAGACCTTCCTTCTCCCTGAAATACATCATTCAGTGAAAGTGTGTTGATAGTGAATTACGTTTTTGTTTGTCTGAAAATATTAAGCTATTTTCTCTCAGTTCTTTCTTCCTTCCTTTCTTTCTTTTCTTCTTTTTCTTTCTTCCTGTCTTCCTTTTCTTTCTTCTCTTTCTTTTCTTCCTTCCTTTTTTCTTTTTCCTTCTTTCCCCTTCCTTCCTCCCTTCCTCCCTGTCCCTCTCTTCTTTCTCTCTCTCTCTCTTTCATTCTTTTCTTTTTCTTTCTTTCTCTTTCTTTTCTGTCTTTTGAGACTGAGTCTCACTGTATCACCCAGGCTTGAGTGCAGTGGCACGATGTCAGCTCACTGCAACCTCCTGCTCCGGGGTTCAAGTGAATCTCTTTCCTCAGCCTCCCAAGTAGCTGGGATTACAGGTGCACGCCACCACACCCGGCTAATTTTTGTATTTTTAGTAGAGACAGGGTTTCACCATGTTGGCCAGGCTAGTCTCGAACTCCTGAGCTCGAGTGGTCCACCTGCCTTGGCCTCCCAAAGTGCTGGGATTACAGGCGTGAGCCATCACTCCCAGCCTCTCTCAGCACTTTGAAGAGATTATCATTGATTGGCTTCTGATTGTACTGCTGAGAGATCTGCTACAGTACTTTTTTCCCCTGTAGGTAATCTGTCCTTGCTTTTAGAATTGTCTTTATCTGCAGTTTTAGCTTCCTCTTTAGAGACTGTAGGGAGTTCCCTAATTTTCTTATGATAAACAAAGCATTAAACTAAGTATGTGTTTATTTTATTACACATTTCTAGGCGTGTTGTTGAGGGAAGTTTTCTTTGTGTGTGTGTAAATACGTCAGTTCTCTCTTGGGAGCTTGGCTGGGATACCTCTGCGGTATGAGACATTCTGTGCCATTTCCCAGAGCTTTCTGCATGGCGGGGCTTCAGTCACTCCCTGTGGAGCTGGTTTAGGAACACAGCCCCTATTGGCCATCTTCTCTTTCCTGCAGTACCTCCTCACCCCCCTGCTGGCTCCCAGTGCCCCTCAAAGACCTAAGGGCCCATGTCTTTATTTTAGGTCTGTATACTTGTAAAGGAAGCCTCTAAAATATTCTGTCAGTGCCTGTCCAGGGAACTCCACCTTTCCCTATAGTAAACAATACTACCCAGTGGGGGATCAGGGGGTGCAGGGAATGCATAAAATCTAACATTAACAAGAAAAAAAGTCAATATGTAAAGTTTTAATATGTAAAAATGTATAAGATGTCTCAAAGAAAATATCCCAAAGGTTTAATCATTACCTATAAGGTGGAATTCTGGATCATTTTCCCCAACTACTTTTATACCTGCCAAAGCTTCTATATTATGCATGTGTCAAAGGATTCCCTATTTAATAAATAGTGCTGGGAAAACTGGCTAGCCATATGTAGAAAGCTGAAACTGGATCCCTTCCTTACGCCTTATACAAAAATTAATTCCAGATGGATTAAAGACTTAAATGTTGGACCTAAAACCATAAAAAACCCTAGAAGAAAACCTAGGCATTACCATTCAGGACATCGGCATGGGCAAGGACTTCATGTCTAAAACACCAAAAGCAATGGCAACAAAAGCCAAAATTGACAAATGGGATCTAATTAAACTAAAGAGCTTCTGCACAGCAAAAGAAACTACCATCAGAGTGAACAGGCAACCTACAGAATGGGAGAAAATTTTTGCAATCTACTCATCTGACAAAGGGCTAATATGCAGAATCTACAATGAACTCAAACAAATTTACAAGAAAAAAACAAACAACCCCATCAAAAAGTGGGTGAAGGATATGAACAGACACTTCTCAAAAGAAGACATTTATGCAGCCAAAAGACACATGAAAAAATGCTCATCATCACTGGCCATCAGAGAAATGCAAATCAAAACGACAATGAGATACCATCTCACACCAGTTAGAATGGCAGTCATTAAAAAGTCAGGAAACAACAAGTGCTGGAGAGGATGTGGAGAAATAGGAACACTTTTACACTGTTGGTGGGACTGTAAACTAGTTCAACCATTGTAGAAGTCAGTGTGGCGATTCCTCAGGGATCTAGAACTAGAAATACCATTTGACCCAGCCATCCCATTACTGAATATATACCCAAAGGATTATAAAACATGCTGCTATAAAGACACATGCGCACGTATGTTTATTGCGGCACTATTCACAATAGCAAAGACTTGGAACCAACCCAAATGTCCAACAACGATAGACTGGATTAAGAAAATGTGGCACATATACACCATGGAATACTATGCAGCCATAAAAAATGATGAGTTCATGTCCTCTGTAGGGACATGGATGAAGCTGGAAACCATCATTCTCAGCAAACTATTGCGAGGACAAAAAACCAAACACCACATGTTCCCACTCATAGGTGGGAACTGAACAATGAGAACACATGGACACAGGAAGGGGAACATCACACACTGGGGCCTGTTGTGGGGTGGGGGGATGGGGGGAGGGATAGCATTAGGAGATATACCTAATGTTAAATGATAACTTAGTGGGTGCAGCACACCAACATGGCACATGTATACATATGTAACACACCTGCACGTTGTGCACATGTACCCTGAAACTTAAAGTATAATAAAAAAATAAAAACAAATTATTACATTAAAAAAAAAACCATGTATCACTTTGATAAACAGGGAGAAAATTCCAAAATGAAACAACAACAACATAGTAATATTGAATTAAATTCAAGGAGAGAAATGGCAACGAAATTAAAGCCTTCTTCAGTAAATCCCTTTTATCCTGCTCTTTGTGGTTTGGCCTTGATGTGACTTAGCATTCAGACTAGTCCAGGTAAGACTCAGTTGATCAGGTTTTAGCATGTGACTATGCTTGCTTTTCTAGGTTTAAACATTCTAATAATTGCCCAGGAATTTTTTTTAACTTTAGAAACTTCAATGGAGTCAACTCTGCTGGGAAGCCCTTCTCTTCAGTGAGGGTACAGACCTGACCTAGCTGAGCCTCTATCTGACTCTTTCTTACCTGCTGTGACCTTGAACAGATTACCTGAACAACTGAGTCTCAGCTTCTACTCATTAGTTTGCATTCTTAATTAGAGCTGAGAGAAGCCCAGCTGAAACTGATTTTATGCAAAAGTTGTAGCCTCTTGGAAGTACTCATGAAAGATTTAACTACCTGGGCTTCAGAAATACAGGATTTCTTTCTTACTGGACCCAAACTTCAGGGTTTTTTTTGCTGTCTCTTGTGCCTCTGTCTTTCTGTAGGCCAGTTTCTCCCTAGATCTTTTGTAGGTTTTATGTCTTCTGTCTTCGGTCACCAGGAAAAGAATTAAAATCCCAAAGAAGAGACTTGCAAGTCAATTGTGAGGAAGGTGCAGCTCCTGAATGGATGAACCATAGCCAGGTGGGCAGTGCTATGTATGGGCCACAAATCTTTGTGGTATATGAGGCAGGAGCAGTTCCTACTCCTAGGAGTATGTGGTGTTAGGTGAACAGTCCCTTGGTGTCCACTACAAATCTCTTCCTTACAGGGTTATGTAAGTTTTTGAGCTAATGTGTGTAAAGTTTATTTCACCTCTTCAGTAGACACTGCTGCACTGTTCTAGGCATTGGCGATTCAGCAAAGAACAAAACAGACAAGCAGCCTTGTTCTAATGGGGCACACAGCTGAGATACAACACTCGACCCACAGTAGCTACTCAATAAATTACGCGTTTCCCTGTTGCTCCAGCAAGTTTAAGATGGAAAGTGTCTGTGAAGAGCTGGACTTCTGTAATATGCAGAGGGACAACTAAAAGATTTTGGGATTTGGCACAGTTGCAGCGCCTCAAAGGAAAACACCATGGGCCATGTACAGAGTGTCTTGACTCAGTAAATGAGGATCTTAAATGCAGAGGTCCTGATACTGCTCCCTGAAGGCCCTGCTCAGGCTAGCAGTTTCGGGTCTGTGTGTATTTTATGTGGGGTGGGGTGGGGTGAGAACGTGGAAATGATGTTACTATATTCACTTGAATTTCTCAAAGCAGCTGCTGTCTACCAAAGGTAGGCTAGCCCTGTGAGGAAAACAAGACTGGCCCAGATCTAGTGGTGTAATCAAGGCAACCATTTCATTCTCTGGGTGTCAGATACCACAGTTGAGGAGGGAGGCCCAGATTCTGTGGTTTTCACAACATGGGCCAAGAAATCTTAAGTGTTCTCAAATATGCCCAAAAAACAAGTAGGGGTCCTGAATCCATGCTTTCACCTGAACTCCAAATCCATCATAGCAAATTTGTTACTCCTGTTATGTTACGCTATAAGTTTTAGTTTGGGAGAAAAAAAGAGTATCCTGAGGGGTGTGTGTGTGTGTGTGTGTGTGTGTGTGTTATCGACAGATAGATGGATAGAGTCATTCTTCTGATAGCTATACATGAATATACAGTCATGTACACATAACAACATTTTGGTCAATGATGAACTAAATATACAACAGTGGTCTCCGAAGATTATATAATACCATATTTTTACTGTACCTTTCCAATGTTTAACTATGTTTAGATACACAAATACTTACCATTGTGTTACAACAGCCTACATTATTCAGTATAGTATCATGCTGTGCAGGTTTGCGTCCTGGGAGCAATAGGCCACATAGCCTAGGTGTGTGGTCGGCTATACTAAGTGTGTAAATATACTCTATGATGTTTGCACAATGACGAAATCACCTAATGACACGTTTCTCAGATATATCCCTGTTGTCACATGATGCATTACTATATATTCTTTCTCCAAATTTTATACACACCCAGCCATACATACATATAACATATACATATTATGTGCACATATACATAAATATACATGATTGCTACAATCTGTTTCAGCAATGACACCCTATGATGTGTGTGTGTGTGTGTGTGTGTGTGTGTGTGACCGGGGTCAACCTTTTTGATGGGTAAGTCAATCACAAAGTGGTTTGTACAAATCCAAGATTTTAATGGCTGTTAAATAATAAAAGGAAGGATATTTGCACTATATACATTCTGTCCACTGACGATACTGTCAGCTGGCCATGCATTTTATTGCACATATAAACAGTGTACAAGGATCTTGAAGACGTCTTAGCCATAGAAGGACTGCATTTAAAAGAAAAAAAAGCAATTTTACAGAAGACTGAAGCCATTTACATTACACAACCAACTTCAAGAAAATAATAAAAATTAATATCAAAAGAAATACTTTAATTTTGAAAAAAAAATCTCTCAAAACAATGATTACAAAGCTTCATGCTACCATATATACACGTAAGAAAATATTTCAGGACCCCGCATTCTGAATGCCCGTGAAGGTGCAGCAGGCTAAACTCCTACTTATATAGTCAACCTTTGAATGTTGCTTAAATTGTATACACTCTTTGTCCAAAATGTTTCTTTACATCATTATGCTATTTGACAAAACAGGTATTTGTGCAGTACAGAAAAATATTAAAATACATTTTAAGTTAGGTTAAAGTGCACAGTACATCTGATAGGAAATAACTGCTAGCTGCCAATCCAAATTTCCGTTTTCAGAAACCTCCCCCCATCTTCCCAAGAGTGGAGGGCAGCCATTGCCTTGGTTGATGTTGGTCTGTGCTGACTGCACACTGAATCCTCCTCCTGGTGGTGTCTTTTCTTTTGCGTCCCCCTCTACATTTGTCTTACAAACTGTGGCTGCTGCTGCTCTAAAAACTTCCAATGGCTTTTCGAGGAGGTGAAAGTGCAGTCAGCATTCACAAGACTTAGAAAGGTTAATTACTGGGACATCTGTGATTGCAGCGTGAGTGCACATGCATGGAACTGCCTGCAGAAGGCTGCCGTGTTCCGTGAATCTCTGAGAGCAGCATGGGTTCCACTCCTTGGCTGGTTCTTCTCTAGCCCTATTTTGTTGCACTTGCTCCCTCCTCAGCCACTCAGCCTCACAAACTCCACTTACTGCACCCTCCCCTTAGCCTGCCTTGGTGGTGCTGCCCACAGGCTCACAACGACTCACTTCTGAGGTTTCACACCAGAGACTGTGAATCTTGCAGGATTTTACAGACTACTTGGAAAACCACCAACCACCAAATTAAAATAAAATGAGCACATCTCAGAATCATTTCCTCTTTTAAAACTGGCAGTTGTAAGAAGTGCTGGTTTCCTGATTCAGGTCCTATGTGCCTTAAGTAATTTCTGATACTCAGTCGAAGCTTCCCTTCAAACCCTTTTTGGTTCAACAATCAACTTTTTATCATCTCCACTTTCCTATGCCATTTCTTCATTATCTACCTTTGGTGCTAAGCTCTCTTTAACGTAACCCAAGTTACAGTGCAAAAGTATACTTCAAGACACACGATGCTAACACTTATTATTTCTTTGTGTTAAAACGTGAATGTTTTGTGCATAGCAAAAGAAGTATGAATCCAAAAAATAATTGTTCACATTTTAGCTTCAAGTTTAATATGTCTTTTTTTTTTCCATCACAGCTATTTACAAATAACTTTGGGGTGCTCTCTTGATTTTAGTCAGTTCATTATATTGGGGGACAGAGGGCTGCTGGAATGTAGGAAACTGGATGGAATGCAGAAATATAAATAAGACCAACGTTCCACAAACCAAAGTGTCAATATTGCCTCCCCAGAAAAGTTGTGTCCTAAAAGCACCTGTTTTTCGCTTTTTTTTGGAATCATATATACCAGAAACATTACTGAGACCTAAACTACCGCACACCAAAGAGGATAGAAAATAACTCAACATTTATATTAAAATAAAGTGTTTAACCACAAAAAAGCAGTAATAAAATAGTTTCCTAATTTACAATTTGCATCCAAAGGATGAATAACAACTCACTAATAAATAATATTTATATAAATATTTTGTATGTCGAAAATAGTTTTTTAAAAGGCAATGGTCTCAAGAAACCTCTCGAAAAATTTGGTGGTGAAAAACCTGATTGTGCCCCCCTCCCCCCACTAAATACATAACGAGTTTGGTTTTAATAAAACGAATGCGTCTTGCTGCAAAACGGTTGTGCTTGGCGTTTTGGTAATGGCAGTCGGTGAGTGTGGAAAGGATGAAGGAGGGTGGAAAAGGCATTGATGTGCTGCTCAGTTTTTTTTTCCTCCAGCTCCCTCTCTGGTTTCAAGATAAATACCTGTCAAGTCTTAAAGTCGGAGGTCAGCTCTGAAAGGTAGAAAATCCTCCCTTAGACTGAAAATTGTTTCAATGTAACTGGAGTCAGTGAAGTGACAGGCAGTGGGTGGGAGAGAGGGTTGAACAGGTGCCTGGAGCAGAGTTCAGGATCCTGGATGAGAGCAGAGTCTGAGCCCCCAATGGAGAAGGGGTAGTTTCATGTGAACAGAGCCTTCGTTACGGTGATGTCTAGTAATGCTTGAATGGTAATGCCCACTTTGACCAGGCCTTTTTCTTCAAGGATGTGGTGGGGGAGACATAGCTTTTCCTAAAAGGAAAAAGAATAAAACATCAATTTTTAGATGATTGTACTCTCATTGTAAAATCCTGCTACATCGTTGATGACATCAAAGTTAGGTTGAATACTCTAGTATGCCTGTTTGATCACCTACACCAAGCTCCTTCCTTTGCTTTCAACCTACTGCAAAGACCTTTTCTATGTTTGCAGAGAAAATAATGATTTTTCACACATGCAGTTTGTTTCAAAAAGGCTCCTAATCACCATGAAGTCTGCAGATCTAAATATTTAAGAAAGTTTTACACTAAATAACTGAGCTACAGAGTCAGTCAGAGAGCATACACCAAGAATATAATAGCTTCTATTTTTATAAAGCAAAACTGCAAATAGCCCCTGACACATTTTAAAGGCACTCAAATATTCATTTGTACCGACCACACATTGTTATACTGACCATAGAACTTCATTGAGTTCATTTTACTTCCTGTGACCTCTGGAACGCAGGCAAGTGGGTGGACTGGCAGCCTTTCTTCATGGTTTATGAACAGTCTTTATAAATTGGTAATTATAACTACAGCCCTCAATAGCCTCCCTTTCAAGACTCTTTCATAAAACTGTCAAAGACACATATGTCCTGCTACTCTCTCATGCTGCATTTTTGCTCTTGGGAAATGTCCAGGACATACTATTTAAGAAAAACAGTAAGCGTGAGTCCCTCCTTGTGTGCAGAACCTTTCATGCTCCACAAACCAGTTTACAGAATAACACAATGAAATAATTTTCCACCTTTGTTATTTCACCCTGGTCTGATATCATTCAAGAGAATCTTCTTCCAGGGTGTGTCTCCTTGGCTGGAAAAAGACACCACGGCAAATATTCTTTTATCTACTTGATGACAGTGTGTTTTCCACAGCCCAATGTTTACTTTTTCTTTTTTCTTTTCTTTGACAGGAAAAAAAAAATTGTATTTATTTATGGTGTCCAGCATGATATTTTGATAAAAGTATACATTGTGGAATGGCTAAGTCAAGCTAATTATCATATCCATTATCTCAGATACTTATTTTTTGGTAAGAACACTTAAAATAGAGTCTTTTATCAATTTTCAAGTATAAAATACATTATGATGAACTATAGTCACCATTTTGTATCCTTTGACCAATATCTTCCTATCCCCACCTCCCCACCCAGCCCCTGGTAACCACCATTCTACTCTCTGCTTTTGTGAATTCAACGTTTTTAGATTCCACGTATTAGTGAGGTCACGCAGTATTTGTCTGTCAGTGCCTGGCTTATTTTACTTAGCATAATATCGTCTAGGTTCATCCATGTTGTTGCAAATGACAGGATTTCCTTCTTTTTAAGGCTGAGTAGCGCTGTTTTGAAGGAGAGTTTAAGTGGGATCTGCATCCAGCCCTAGGTGATGGAGTCACTGTTCAGCAGGAAGCCAATTGGTGTGCTCTGCAAGGAAGGGCTTCCTTCCACGTGACACTTGCTTGAGGAACCAGATCTTCTTGCTGCCTCAATGCAGAACTCTCCAAAAATTACCGGAGACACAGGCACTCTGTGCTTAAAAGACTTTCAAAGGACATGACATGACATCTCCAATAACTTGTTCCACTGTCTCAAATGTCAGTGGGTCTTACTCTCTCACCATCTTACCGTATCTGCTTTTCACCCTTCCCTACCTTGTGGCAAATTCAGAGAACATCAGACTTTAACCTAGGCCTTAAGAGATGGCCCCCTGTCAACAGAAGACAGTCGATTCTTTAAAGAACAATTTTAACCATGGTTTCATGTCATTGCTGTGTATCAAAGTAGGATTATCTTGTCAATGGCGTATCAGGTGAGCATGGAAGTTCATGCTGCCTGACAATTTATTAGCCAAGTATCAACCTGAGAAAGGATGGGGGAGTTCTGTCTGAGTTGTGAGCTGTGAGCCAGGCTGTTAACAATGGTGCCTCCTTTTGCGGCATGGTGAGGGATATCTGTGGCCTGATGACAGTGTCCAGCCTCCCCGGCACCATCTGCCACGGGCTTGTGAAATCACTTGAATCTGGCATTTCACTGTTAAGGCAGGTTCTATAAGGGCAAAGATATGTCTTCCTCATTCTATTGGCTCTGACAGCACCCAAGTCGACATCTGGCTTTGCAGGAAATTGTAAATGGCTGTTAAGTACAGTTAAGTTCCTGGTGCCAGATATTACTTGGGGAAAACAATTCTTTACTTCATACCATATGTTAAAATCAATTTGAAATCAAATAAAGAGTTGAACATTAAAAAAAAAAAAATCTACAACACCCCTCCCAATAACATAAAGGTGAATATTTAGTACTTTTTTCTGATAAATGGATGGGAAAGGATTTCCTAAGCTAAAAAAGCATTATGAAAAAGTCACAAAGGAAAAGAGCAAAGCAACTGATTACCTAAATATTTAAAGCATCCATGTGTTAAAAAAACAAGCCCGATTAATAAGAAGATAAGTAACACTTTAAAAAAAAGTATTTGCATCAAATTACAAAGGGAACAATGTGTATGGTGGCTCATGCCTGTAATCCAAGCACTTTGGGAGGCTGAGGCTGGAAGATCACTTGAGGCCAAGAGTTCGAGACTAACCTGGTCAACATAGTGAGACCCCCATTTCTCCAAAAAAATTAAAGAAAATTAGCTGGACATGGTGGTGTGCACCTGTGGTCCCAGCTACTTGGGAGGCTGAGGTGGGAGGATCATTTGAGCCCAGGAATTTGAGGCTGTAGTGAGCTATGATTGTGCCACTGCACTCTAGCCTGGGCAATAGAGCCATACCCCATCTCAAAAAAAAAAAAAATTACAAAGCATTTTATATGACACATAAGCTCAACAAATCAGTAGGAAAAACACTAACAAATCAACAGAACACTGGGCAAGGAATGTGAACAGCAATTTTTGAATGAGGGATTTGCCTAAGGCAGTGCAGCACGACATTTTGCTTTTCAACCTCAGTGTTTAGTTATGTGTAGTCTAGAATGTGCCTGAATTCTAGCACGAGTATTCCCATAGAGCCTAATCTCTGTGAACGACACAGCTTATATGGAGCAAGGTGTCCTATCCTGTGTCCTGAAAGGAGAGTGGCATGTGTCCTCCAATGAAGGACTGACCCCAGGGCCTGATGAGCAGTGGCTCCAGTGGCCTGCAGGGTTCTAAGCTGAAGGGCATGCGAGGGAAAGGCTGGGGGCTTCACAGAAACGGGGATGGGAAGGTATCGAGGCCTCAGCCTCCTGCCAACAGGACATTTGGACACTTCACAGACTGAGTTAGGTGAAGGGCACCCTCTTTCCCAGGCCCTTGTTTTTTCAAGCAGCATTCCTCGCCTTCCTGGTCTCCACATTCCAAGCCAGGTGCAGAGTCCGAGATCCTCCCTCCTGCTTGTATGGCTAGTGATGAGGAGTAAACAGAAGACATAAAAAGATACCCCTCAAATTCTTCCTGCCTCTTTTCAGACCCCCTGAGGAAGCCCAGAGGTGCCCTCAGATTACTTTGCTGAGGTTGGAGGGATGTAAGAAGACTCACACAGGAAAACAGAAACCTTATACAAGCATGGCCATTCTGGTTATTCTATCACAGGATTGGAATGAAGACTCTGGTGGGAATTACACCTTGAGGTGCTGGTTGGAAGGATGGCCAAGGGGAGGCTTCCAACCAGGAGGCGTCCCAAGAAGGGGTCAGGGCCATTTGCCATCACACCAGTCAGGACACTGCATCTCCCACAGAGTGGGGGGATCCTTGAAGTGTGCACAGAAGCTGGACTTAGGAATGAATCATGGTAGGTTTACAGCTGGATGAGGAATGACTCAGAAGAGAAGGGCCCTCTAAGGATCAGGCAGGTAAAGTGGCCCTTCCAGCAGGCCCCTTGTTCATAATGGACTTACAGCAGAGACAGCTGTACCTTTATATTGACTTGAAATGAATTTAAGTTGCACTGTTATAGGATCCCGGAGATTTTTGTTGAGAACGTGACAGTAGACTCTTAGTTTGCCCATGGGCTTTTTTTGTTGTGTTTCTTTTTAAAGTACGGAGCGGAGTCATGAAGTAGTCTCCTGCATAAAAATAATGCTTCTGACCGCCTTTGAAGAACTCATGCTTCAAGTTACTTCTCCAATGGTAGAATCTGTTAGGTTCACCCATATCCCCTCATCCACCCTTCTGAGCCACAGCAAACGACATTGGAAAAGACGGCAAGCCATAAAGACTAAATGCTAGCTTTGAAAAACTTCTGGGCTACCTCCTATGTGCCTGGCACCAACACTACAGGTTTGTATTGGTGATTTCTTTATGATAACCCTGCAAGACAGACATTAATATCTCCATTTCACAGATGAGAAAACTAATATAGAGAGAGAGTTCAAGTAACTTTGTGACACTAAACAGCTGGTAAGTCCTGGAACCAGGGTTTGAACTACATGTGTCTTAGAGCCAGGGCTCTTTCCACAATACTATGCCTCCTCCCATAAATCTCTTACTTAATGGTTAAATATGTTAGGTCTGCGGTCATGATATAGGAAGAGGTCCCGTGGCCCCTGGAGTTTTTTGATGGCTAGTCCCATCAATTTCAATGTCAGATGGGACCAGCGAACCCTCAACTCAGTGTCAGGGTTAGCTCTGCCACTCAGCTCATCTTGTCCTGGCAGGAAACACCTGCTGGGAACAGGATGAGCCGTCACTGCCTGACTCTCCTCCTTCTACAGTTTCTTATGCTCCCAAAGAGACCCACACTTCTAAGCCAGCCACTAGCCTAAAATGGCATCATCCCACCAGCATATTTCATTTTGTTCAGGCTGCTTCTTATATATAAAGTCCTGGCACTACACTGTTTGAGCTTTAAAACTATCTGTGTGTTATTTTGATGTACGAGAGCTTTAAGTTCCTGCATCAGTTTCTTCAATGTGAAATGGAGACCATTCAACATCTTACAGAGATTTCTTGTTGCTCCTCCCTGGATTATTTACTTTGCAACCATGCTACCTTCTAGTCCATCCTCTCCCTAGAACACTTCATTCTCTACACACACATATGCCTCAACCCTAGTCCCTCTCCCCTCCCCACTCCACCTGGCTATTCCTGAACGTTTGCTAAGTCTCAGTGGAAACACCACCATCCCAGGATGCGTTCACGGTCCCCTATTCCCCATCAGGGTCAGGTCTCTTTTCCAGAATCCTGTACCCGTTCCACCACAGGTCCTTATCACTTGAATTCCTCTTTACTTGTCTAAGGACCTACTAGATCAAGGGTGGCAAACTATGGCCTACAGGCTAATCCAGCCCGCAGCCAGTTTTTGTAAATAAAGTTTTATTGGCACACAGCCACACCTATGTTTGATGTATTGTCTAAGGCTGCATTTATGGTACACAAGCAGAACTGGGTAATCCCAACAGAATCTGCATGGCCCAAGAAGCCTAAAATGTTTCCTTTAGGCCCTTTATGAAACAAGCTTGCAGACTCCTGCTATAGACTGTAAGCTTTTTGAGGACCAGGCCATGTGTCCCAGTGACTTTTTTATCCCCAGGGCCTTGCAGAGATTGCTCATTCAATATTTATGGAATGAAGGAATGAACACAAAAATGAACAAAGTCACAGTGAAAAGCCAGGCAACTAGACTCTGACCATCTTAAAGAAGAAAAAAAGGGCACATTCTATATACCAAATTGATTGTTTATTGAGAACTAATTTTGAAATACGAAGCCTAATTTTTAAAAATCAAGTCTCCTGAAATAAAATCATATTAAAGTATTTTTCACCTAATCCAAAACAACTTTCAGTTTCTTAAAATTTTAAAATATCATCCCTACTTTTTCCCCACAGGCAAAGGCAAAACACCCTTTTGTCCTTATGACTCAATCAGGCATCTACATGAGTTTTCGAGAGATAACCCAGCTCACCACGCGCTAGTTTTAATTTCTTACAAACAAATAGCAGCAGGCTATCAAGTGCCTTTATTTATCTACTCTCATTGATGAAATTTATACTCGATTATCATACATTGTAGTTCTGCGGGGCCCCTTTCCACCAGCCCCATTTCATAAGTGTCTCTCCCTAAAAATAACAAACCAGAAATCCATAAATAGGAAAGATGATTAGAAATTAGGTGTCACAAATTTTGGAATTCCTGACACTGAGTGGAGAGTTGCCACCAGTTGGAGAAACTGGAGAAAGAGAATACAAATGGCTATTTCAAAATAAAATGTAAATAGATACTTGGCTCCTTTTATCTAACATTGGAAGGGAGTACTGAAAAAACGGTCTTTCTTGTGAGGAGGAGATTTGGTCAGCACAATAAACCACTCAGTGACATCCCTGACTACTTCTCAGACTCTAAGGAGGTCAGCCAGGTATCCCCAGTCAAGCTGCAAGGGCAGGCATCCGCAGGCATCCAGTTAGCATATGGGCTGGTGCACGGGTACCTTGGAGAAAAACCACAGAGAAGCTTAATATTCTGATTAGAAATTAATGGGTTGGCAATGGACAGAACAGTTCATTCAAATTTTTGCCTAAAGGACTAAATTAATTGTGTTCTGCTAGTTACCATACTACTAATGAAAAAACATCATCCAATAAATCCCAAGAAGTGCAGCGCAGCAGAGTACAGACAAATTAATGACACAAAAAAAATCAAAGTGCGTCCAAAGAATACTTTGGATGCCAGAATTAAAATATAAATGTCTTTTAATTTGTCTTTAACATGTTTTAATTGAACTATATCAACACTGAAAATTAAATCTACTCTTACATGAGTGTCCTACTCAGTTTTTATTGATATTATTTTAAGGTGGCAACCCAGTAAGTTTTCTTTTTTTTTTTCCCATTTTCTCCCCAGAAAGAAGGGAAAAACCACCACAGTGGTGACCATTAAAGAGAAGCCTCAATGCACTGCAGAGCTGGATGGGAATGCTGAGAGCTCATGAATACATGTATCAATGGGCTGATAAAAACTTGGAATAATCACCCAAAATGTGTTTATTAAGCAATTTATGGCTCAGGGTGCTCATTAGACATCGTACAAAGGGATTTTATTGTGTTACAGATTGAAGAGTACAAGATAGCACCAAAAGTAATTCAGTACATCTGTGGGTTATTCATATACAACTGAGGTTAATTAGATAACTTCCACATACCCTGCATTTCACCAATCAACACAAAGTCAGGAGGAAAAAAAACTCACATAACTCAAGATACTGTCATGTAAAGAATGCTTCCTGTTAGCAAATCTGATCTGACTTAGCAGCAAGGAATCTTTATAAATATATTCTTCTAACTATGTGGGTCTTCCATATTTTCAAGTCCCCTGGATTCATGAAAATGTTCAGAAAAATAAGATTTTCTTCGTAGTAGCCATCTATGAGAGCTGTTTGCATCTTAATAAACTAGAAATTTATCTTGAGGAAGCTAAGTCCATCATCTCCCCAAGCTAAGAAACAAGATTTGGCAAACAGCATGTAAAATAAGGAGGCTGCCTTGACCTTGGAACAAGGCCCTCTCATATTATACAAAGACACCCCTGAATCCAGGGACATTCTGGCTAAGATAAAATTCTTTTTTTTCCTTTTAAATGCAAACTGATCACATTGCTCCAAATGCAGATATAGTTACTATATAATCCTTTGAGCTGACTTAAAGCAGTTTGCTAGTTAATATCAGTGAAAATCAAAGGCTAAATGAACATTTCAAATAATTAGAGAAACTACATTCTTCTAGAATGAAAGTAATCTTCTTCTTGACTCCTGCCATCATAACCCAAGCACCAGGACCAAGAATGTTCCACGGCTCATGGCTTTATTTGAAAATGAATAGAGTCGAATCCGTCACATTCTGGACCGGCAGTTACTATGTGATGTGGCAAAAAAGCAGTGATCCGTTCCATTGTTCAAAAATAGAAATCTCTCTGGAAAACGCTTTTCTAAGAGCCTCAAGAGAAGACCTAACAAGGAATTAAGCAGTAAAAAACTGGTGTTTAAGTGACTCCTCCACGTGAGGCTCTAACAGCAACGACACTTCCTTCCCTTGAGCGCCCTTCTGCATAGGACAGAGGGGCTTGCCGGGGTGGAAGTTGGCGGCCACACTGCCCAGCGCCCTTCGCGGCTCCCTTTTTAGGAAATTTGGGAGGAATCCAATCGAATGGCCATCAAGGCAGTGTGAGTACGTGTACACGTCCAACTTGGTCAGTAGTGGTATTATTAAAGTTTTGTATAGATCAAGTTGGGCCAAAATGTTAGTTTTCTGTCCTCCCTGCAAGGTGGCCCCTATACAGCTCAATTGCCCAGTCCCGAATTAGAATTCTAGTTCAATACTGACCCAAAGGAAAGACTTCCATATGCTAAATCCCTGTCCTTGACACTCTTGTCCTGGAATTCTCCTCCCCTCTGCCCAGGGCAGCAGCTCACCGGGAGGGAGAGGAGGAACTGCGTGGCACTGCTGCTGGCACTATGTGGATGAGGAAGCATGCGGTGTGCATACACTTTGCAGTCGTCGTCGTTGTATTTCAGTAAGTGAGAGGAATTATACTAAACTGTATTCTACAAAGTTTGTGCTTCTGGAAAATCTGATTTGCTACTGTTCAGCTTCAAAACTCGAGAGATAACTGAAGACATGACAGGGATGGAAGTTTGCAAGGCAAAGGCTCAAAGGTAGGAAGGACCCTGCAAAGGTTGAGGGCGACAGAGCACAGCGTTTGGATGCACGTGCAGACATTATGCGGACAGAGCATTCCAGTGGTAAGTGATATAGACCAGCACTATAAAGAGAATATGGACAAGACAGAAGCCTATAAGGTCCCTGGAGCGGAGGGCAGAAGTTGGTGGTGGGGCTTTCTCCCCGAGTGCCAGCAGAGTGTCAACAGTCTTTCGAATGTGACGAAAATCCAACTGCAGGATGTCACACGGAGAGCAGAGGTCAGCCTATTCCGAGGGCAGCCATTAGAACAGAAAGAGACAGTGCATACAATTAAAAATACACGGAGGAACAGCTAGAAAGAAGCACACATTTTTGGTTACTAGCAAATGGCAGGAGTAACCCCTTATTTCAAGCAGGTAAGACCCTTTCATCATCAAAGATTTTTTAATCCATCATAATAGTAGAATAGAATACCTATTTTGTGCCAATGGGTCAAAGAAATCCTTCACTCACAATCTCGCCATGGAGGAACGGCCTGTTCTGCAATTTACACATCATTCTGCCTTTCACACAGTTTTAATATTCAAGGTATCATGTGCTCATCAGTGGCATAAAAATAAGATTTTCACGTGGGACATTTCAACTTAACCTTACTAAATGAAAAACTATAAAGTTTAAAATGGAATCCCTACCCCCACTCTCCATTCTCTTAGTGCATTTTTTACCCTGGTCTATGTAGACTTGGATATAAAGTAGTTCTCTCTGAAAGTTAACACACACATTTAATTTTTTTTTTCATTTTACGCTTGATAAACTCTGGGCAATGCTAGTTCTAAGTATGTCCCTACATGTGTCAGAAAGTACATTACATTTCATATTTTTGCAACAACACATTAACCAAAAGTCTAGGGGAGGCTTCTTGGATGTGTAGTGAGAGTAGAGAGTAAAAGTACACCCCCACATGGAGTTACTATGTAAATTGCTTCACTACTAAACAGGTATATTGGGGCAGGGGGGGTAGACCTCTGTGTTTTATCTACTCAACAGTCACCATGTAAGGAAGCAGAACACCTATTTCTCAGCTAACTGCAAACTAAGAGGCTCAGTTTTCTGCGTTGACTTTCAGCAGCCTATTGCTGTCAGAAAGCAAACAATTGTCTCACATGCTGAATTCCTGAACCGGAAATGACCACAGTTTAAAATTAACAGGAATTATAATTGATATATTAGCAAGAAATAAAAGCTGTGGTTCTGTTTCCAAATTAAACAAAGATTGAAAATACGTGTGATCTATTTCATAAATGCAGTTTTATTTACAAATTAGGTGAGGCATTTAAGATATATGTTATGTATATTTTACATACTTTGCTACAATTTTGTCCTTTATTTTGGCCTCACTGCTAAGCAGCTGCACATCATGGAGTGACTGAAAGATGTTTCTAAGTTAGAAGTTTTGCCTCACTTGTGTCCTCTGAAGTTAGCTCGATACCCTCAGTTAAGTAGGAATACTACAAAATTAGGTTGGTTGAATAAGATTAAAAACATTCTAATTTTATTTTATTAATGAAGTTAGAGATACTCTTAACAAAATATTTTTAAGATGAATAAATCATGTTATATGTATTCAGATGTTGTATCTTTTCTCAGTGGATCTGGAGAAATCAAGCTACCACTGTTAGGGTTCTCCCAAGAATTAAAACAGCTACACATAAATTGGATTTCACTGGGAGACTGATGCTGCTCATGGATTAATAGATGAGGAAACATCTAAGAAAAGTTTTCTATTGCAATAAGAATTTTCTATTGCAATGTTGTGCTTGACCAGGGAAATCCGAGCAAAGCAGTCATAAGACAGAAGGCTGATATGCAAACTGAAATGTGATTTTCACAAAACTAGTATTTTCATGTTAAAAGCAGATGATTCTATCTTCACCAAGTATTTCAATACATTTCGCAGAACCCTAAGGAACATGTCTGGTCTGCTCTCTGGCAGCACCATCAGAGAACTAGAGTCAGATCAACTTGGCAGTTTTCAGTAGTACACTCCTCATGGGGGCAGGCAACACAGACCATTCTTCTCATCCAGGAAACAATTTCACGATGCCACAGACTCTGGGCTTAATTAAAGTGGGTGAGACCTAGAGTCACAGCCTATAGTGGTTAATTTAAATTAAATCATAATCTCTAAAGAAAAAGGAATGGATCTAAGACTGTCTAGTAGGCAAAAATGTGAAGCACCATGATGATTGTGTGGAGTGTGAGCTGCTGTGGCCATCTGAGAACTGCTCTCTGATTCAACCCTATGTCACATAGCCAACAGTCATTTCAGCCCTTGAAATGGGGCCATGAAGCAAACCAGGGCTAAAATTCCTAATTTCTGACCTGGGAGGTTCTGCCCTTTGTGCTTTCCAAAATTTAGCCTTACTGAGAGGGACGTAGAGATTATACTTTATTTCTTTATGAAAATTAAAATTGGAAAATGCTAAAAAGTAAGGAAATTTAAAGAGGCAAAATTTCACCATGTATTTACAAAGCATTTGTAATCACTGCAAGCCATTTGTAAAACACAGTTAATTCACTAAGAGTCCCCAGAGGCAAGTGCGGATGCTAATGCCCATTATAGTGAACAAAAATCACAATCGCCAGAGGTTAAGAAATTCACTTAGGTTGCACACAACCAGAGTGTGTGACCGAGATTACTACTGGACCAGGTTCCCCAAATACTATGGATACAAAGAGAAAAGTAGACAGATCCAGCAGTTCAGGGTGTACTACAGTCTAAATTCTAAGAGCTAAACATATCTAGGCAGAAGTTTTATTTAAAACTTTGGAATATATTTACTTTACTTAAATATAATCTTAATATAAAAAGTCAATATGCTTACAAAGTATTTTTTAATCTAAAATATCATAATATAAGAATGTTCATGGTCATTCTGCAATATTTAAAGCCATAATTCAGCGATGAGGTATAATTTGGCAGGGAGAGGAGAGAGGTGGGGAAGGATTTCCAGTCTTCTCCAAATATATGACAACTAATTGCCAATTTTATGAACTTAGAGAAAGCTAGGAATAGCTTGGAAATTAGTTGCATTCTTTATAGCTAGAAAAGAGATAGATTGGCTGTTTTCAATAAATTATGAATTTTAAAATTGATGTTAGTAAAACAATGAACCTGTCTTTCACCCTTAGAATTAACCAATATAAATGGAAAATTAAAATAAATCTTGTAATAAGAATCTCATCCTTCCACAAAGTGTTAGTTATGATTTAAATTAACACTAAAGTCATTGACTTGGGGAAGAAAAATAGGTATAAGGCTCAGAGAAGATAAGGGACCCATTTCTCTTATTCTTAAGATTAAAACAAAAAAACAGTAGCTTCAATTTATAGATTGTCTTTC
Organism: Homo sapiens; assembly: GCF_000001405.40. Classification (NCBI taxonomy): domain Eukaryota; kingdom Metazoa; phylum Chordata; class Mammalia; order Primates; family Hominidae; genus Homo; species Homo sapiens. The sequence goes on along the minus strand of NC_000013.11, from coordinate 46,738,522 downwards.
AAAAACAAAAACTTCAATCAGTGGTATGTGTAATTTCCTAAACCCTCACAAGAGGTGTAAAGTGGGAACGCTATTATGACTTTCATATATAAAACCTTTAACACAAAAAATGCGAATATGAAAATTACAAAAGATAAGGAAAACTCAGCCATAATTCCACTTACATTGACACAATCATCATTAGCATCTGAATGTACTTTAGGGTTTTATTTGTAACTCCCTTTGGCTGATGCAGAAGCTCAAGGATGCCAAGTGACCTGCCCTTTTGCATGTGGAATGAAAACTTTCTCCTTCCTCCAGCACTCTGAGCTGCCCAGATAGGCAGGAAGGAGCCCTAAGCTGAAAGGAGGCTACCACTGTCAGCTGAGTTGCTGCCTTTAATCTTCTTCTCTATCTTTTCTCTGGAAACAGTAAGGAAGATGAAGGACTGAACATTTAGACAACAGAGTACATTTCTATTCTAACTCCCCTCATCTAAAGAAGGCAAGTCTGTTAAACTAAGGATCTCATGCCTTACAGAAGTTTGAGATCAAAGTTACCTATTTAAAATTAAGTAGAAAAATTTCCCTGGTGAACCAAATAAATATCTATTTCCTAATTTTTTGATGCTTCATAAATTAGATTTCTCTCAACCTGAGAGAATACTAATAAGAGCCCTAAAATATCCCTAAATTTGGATCCATTTGAAAACCTCCAATAGTCAACCATGAACTGTACCTACCAGGAACATGTAGCCAATCTGCTACATAGAGGTTAGAGGTCAGGAATCTCCAAGAGCACTCAGAAAAGTCAAAGGAAGCCCCAATGTGTCCATTAAAAGCCTCATGGGGTCAAGGCCTAATTGGAGTCAGATTCTTAGGTGACGCAGAAAATATATCCCAAAGAATTTGGAAGCCCACTAAGGCCTGTCTTCAAGACCAAGTTGATGCTTGCACTAGAGGTCGAAGACAGCTACAAAGTCTGACCACTAAGCATCAACAGCACAAAGGGATGTGGGATGGTACCTAATGCTGCTTATAATTCTGAATGTAGCCAATGTGAAAATGCTGCATTTATGAATCAGCCACAACAGAACTACTGTCTTCTACACTACTGTAAAAAGTGGGCTTAAAATACCACCAAGGGTTGGGCACAGTGGCTCATGTCCGTAATCCCAACATTTTCGGAGGCAAAGGCAGGAGGGTGTCTTGAGCCTAGGAGTTCGAGACCAGCTTGAGTAACACAGTGAGACCCTGTCTTAAAAAATCATAACAAATTTTTTTAAATGTCGTGGAGGGATAGTCTCACCCACTAACCTTTACTATTTATTCAGTGAATTTAGGTAGTATACTGCCACAACCTGCACAGACATGTTTCCTGGATATTAGAGAAACCACACAGTGGTTCCAGCTGCAGAAGCAAAGAGAAGTGTGTCATGAACCATGACCCACCCTGGAGCAAATGCCTGGGACTGCGTTTATGGGGACTTCTAAAGAAAATCATTTATTATTATTTCCATCCCATTTTCTTACTTTACATGTAATAATTTAACTAAATCTGCTTAGCTACTGTATTCCATCTATATGAATGTGAAAAAATTATACAAACTGCTGACCCTGACTATGGTTTATAGTTTCAAACTGTGATTCTATTACATAGGACAAAAAATTTTAGGCTTAAGAACACAGCTGTGACTTTTCAATATCTACAGGATGATTTATCATTGTCAGTTAGATATTTAGCTTATAAAATGCAGAACTTAAGATCTCTGTGGCTTGTGTGTGTGTGTAGATAAGTTATAGATGGAGAAGTAGAAAAAGCTTGCAAATTAGAGGGAAGTAACTACACTGACTACTAGGAAATCAGTGAATATTTTATTACTCAAATATTAAGCTTGATGCAACAAGAAAAAGTAATGATATAGGTCCTCTTTTTTTAGGTCTTTAAAAATGTCTTTTAAAATGTCTAATTATAGATGGAGAATTTCTGCAAGAAGTCTTGTGATATAATTACCTTTTCAGTGTAAATCATCAATTGTACTGTGCCACACATACACTCAAGTCATCAACCCTCCTAGGTAGGGAAGGAAGTATAAATATCTAAGGTGGGGTGGGGAAGTCATCTGGTCCCTCAATTTAGTGTCATATTCCTAAGGTAAAAACATTTCCTGTACTCTGTGAGATGAAAACATGTTGTTTTGAGTATACAGGAAAATGCCAGTTGCCTTGCAATAGGAATTTCTGATTTGTCACTAAATATTCTTTACTTACTTTAACATTATCATTAAAGAAGTTCAACTGTTAACACACTTTTTGTCTAGTAGAAGTAAATTTAAACTCTAGTCACCAGTAAAATGCTATTGGATTATTCATTAGGATATATATGTGTACACACACACACACACACACACACACACACACACACAGAGCAAATTTGAAAATCACCTTGGCCAGGCACAGTGGCCCATGCCTATAATCCTAGCACTTTGGGAGGCTGAGGCAGGCGGATCACCTGAGGTCAGGAGTTCGCGACCAGCCTGGCCAACATGGTAAAACCCCGTGTCTACTAAAAATACAAAACTTAGCTGGGCGTGGTAGTGCACACCTGTAATCCCAGCTACCTGCGAGGCTGAGGCAAGAGAATCGCTTGAACCCGGGAAGTGGAGGTTGCAGTGAGCTGAGATCGTGCCACTGCACTCCAGTCTGGCCAGGTGACAGAGTGGGACTCCATCTCGAAAAAAAAAAAAAAAAGAAAAGAAAAAGAAAAAAAGGAAAATCACCTCAAGCCTTAAACATAATTCCAGAAATACGCTAAGTGATACTAAACATAGTTAAATGGGACACTGCCAGATAAAGATCATTCACTGCCTGTATTTGAACCTTCTCGGGAATTATAAATTGTACATTACTGCCAGGGGCATCTTGAGAAATTATGATAAATTTTGCTCTGGATTTTTATGGTAATTTAGTTTCCTTTTCTCCACTTTAAAAGGAAATCTTAATTACCAATCTTTACTCACAATAATTGGTTAAGGGCATTTCCATTTTATTTTATATCACTGTAAGCCAAAAACACATTGATGAGTTTTAAAAACCACAGGGAGTTAGGTCATAACCTAATGACCTAAAGCACTGATGAAGTGCTTTCTAGCACAGACACAAATAATTTATCATCTGAAGCTTGCCATGAGAGTTTTGATTCACACATGGGAAATCTTACTAGCCCATGACAGAATCAAATCATTAGAAAAGGTATGTAAGTGCGTTCACATATATATTCAAAGCCAAGAAATGTATATGCAATATTAAAATGTACACACACAATAGACAGATTATAACATTGCTGAAAGCAGAATAGATCACAAAGACAGTCCATCATATAAAATTTACACTCTTTAAAAAATAAATTTGTAAGCTTCCTTGTATTGATATAGCTCTGACTTAAAGATGTTTTAAATAATGCTCTCCTTTTCCTCAAATAAGATGAGAAGTCTACCGCTATCCCCCACCTCTGAATCCCACCAAGCTGAAAAAAGAGGGAAAGAAAGGAAGAAAGGAAAAAAAAGGAAGGAAGGATGGAGAGAGAAAAGGAAAGGGAAAAAAGTCTTTGTCAATCTCAGTAACTAATTCCTATCACTGAGTAGAATTATACTGAAATATAACTCTTCATATACTCAAAACAGTATCGCATGTATTTTTAAAATTACCTTATCCCTGGGGCATTAAGAAAGAAGAAATCATAAGAAATAAACTTCTATCAATTTCTGTTTATCACAGTGAGGATAAACTCCTCAATTTATATGGCTACTCCATATTCTGAGTGGATGGCCTCCTGTCTGCCTAAGAAATCAGTTTATGTTCCTAAAAGCAAAGTCTTTAAAAGCCCCCAGCCATCTGCCTGAGGCTGAGGCTGGGTCCGAGGTTGGAGAGAGAAAAAATAGCAAACTATATGTAATTGAATTGCCTATTGGGCTCAAAGCAAACTGAAGGCAAAAATGAAATGCAAATAGTTAACAAACTGTAAAGCAACACACAAACGCTGCTATTATTAATGATAACGATTAGTGATAACAATAACTATAGTATTTCCAATGTTGATTTTTTTATCCACATATGGAAAATACAGCTACAGAGAATGATAATCAATAATCAGCAGGTCTTTTCTTCAGAGCCTGGGATAAGAAAACCATCAGCTCCAAAATTCTACTCTATGAAGCCTAAGAGAAGATTCACTTACAGCCTCAGCAATTTCTGCTCTTGGAGAATCAAGCGGATTAAAATTTTTTTTCAAGTCTGAAATTTCACACTTACTTCAAAATCTTAAATTATTTCCCTTTTTCCTCAGAATTGAACATATTGCATAGTCATTTTACTTTCACTGCAATAGAGCAAGTTAAAGTTTATATAATTTATTCAATATTATTTCTCAAGAAAGGTTGAGACAAAAAAGCATGTACAAAGCTTTGCATCGATTCAATGGTTCAAACTCATATATTAAATAAAATTTTTACTAGAACACAGTTATATGAAGTAAGTTTGATGTTACCTCTGGTACTCCTAATTTTCGGCATGCTTCCAAAAAGTTTTCCACATTTCTTCTGCATTTGGCCATGCTAAGTTTGGGCTATAAATGCAAATATACGGAAATAATATATTATTTAAAAGAGAAACCATTTTAATAACATGTTAAATTTTAAACTTCCCAAATGGCACAAGCAATACATGTTTATTGGAGCAAAAGAAAATAACACATAAGCAAATAGAAGAAAACAAAATATCACTCAGAAACATCCATCTTAGATTAAAAACTGTTAATATTTTAGATTCTATTCTTCCAGACACTGTGTTCATATATGCCTACATAGATATACATATATGCCTATGTATATATATATAGATGTTTGTATATCATGTATATACACTGATGTATATGTATGCAAAATTTTCTGCATACATATGTATATATGTATACACACGTATGTTTATATTGTTTATATATATGCACACACACACGTATATATAGTTTTTACGGGATCATACTGTTGTGTAACCTGTTTTAGTTTGCCTAAAGTACACCATAAACATCAACTTCCCCATCAACAAATATATTCCTATATAAAGGGTCTAAATTCACCAGGCCAATTAACCTCCTTCCCACCAAAGCCAGGGATATAGAGGCAATATCATGGTAAACAGCACTGAAAATGGTGGATGTTCAGGACTTAACCAAAAGCTTCTCACAATTGAATTAACCTTGGTTATAGATGGCCTCTGAGGTGTGGGATGGGTAACAGGCACATTTCATATATAATATACTATACTTTTTTACATGGTACGTTTTGAACACTTTGCTGCTAAATTGTAATATTCCTCCACTATTTTCCTTAGGAAAGAAAGCAAGACGCATGACTGATTCCAATATTGTAGGTGGAGGAGCAACTGTGATAAAGACTGGCCTTATCCTGCTCATGTGAGAATGACGGAATTCATTCCGTCTTATAGAGGCACAAAGCAACTATCATCAAAATCTAATTTGTACAGCATTTATTAAATACAAAAAGAAAAGCCCTGCCAAAAACAGAGTCTGTTGCCCTGTGAAACAATTTAAGTTGAAAGCTAAATAAATATTCTCCATCTTGATTAGGGAGGAAGTCACGTCCCTCACGTGGGCCCTAAAGAGATGTCGCCAGCAGCTGCTTCGGTGGTTTTGCCCAACCCCTGGCATGTCTCAGGACAAGGCCACTGCATGAAGCCTTGTGCAAACAGAAGCAGACCTGAGGAACATGACTGAAGATAACAGAGGGTCATGGACCTGGCAGATGAGGTACCAAGAGGCATTTCATCACGCCAAGACCCTAGCGTTTCTCTCTGATCGTTTGGGCCCATTATCTTCCTTCATTTACTTATGATTTAGGTGAGTCTTTTCTGAAACTCCAAAGATGTCCTTAGGTGAGTCTCTTCTGAAACTCCAAAGACGCCCAACATCATTCCAAATACTTAGGTCAGCCCCAAAGAAGTTAATGGAGAGTGTGTTTCAAGCTACAGAAAAATAATTCTCCCTCTTTGGGAGTGAGGGAGGGCGTCTTCAAAGATTGTTGCCTAACTTCAGGTAGAAAAGTACTTGTGACAAACGCAATGGTTAAAGCTTCAACCTCACCACTGGTCCAATAATAAAACATTATACCAATTATACCAATTGAAATGCCAATGTTTTGCTTATCAAATTGTCAGAGGCTGAAAAAGTTCATTTTTCTAAGGAATAGTCTCTAAGGATACTGACAATGATAGTGATTTTGTTCACTACTATATTCCCTCAGTTTGGCAAAAACAAAATGGACAATATTAGTTTCATGAATGAAGAATTAGAATGCTTTTGCTGGTGATAATACTGGTAGAAAAGATGCTCTCATCCACTGCTGCTGGCAGATACAACTGCATTTATTGCTTTACTATGGGTCAGATACTAAACTTGATGCTAAAGATACAACTGTGGAGCCAAAGACAAAATCCCCAGGCTCACTTACCTCTAAAGCAGCTGGAAATATTAGCAACCTAAAGGAAGGTACAGTATAATACAGGATAGTTCTTAGTTGTCATGGGGTAGGTGTGACGGAAAATGAACAAAGGAAGAAACCCTGTCCTAAGGCGTTGAGAATGGTTTGTTTTCTGAATGCTGAAATAGAGAAGGAAAGGGAGCTAGTGACGCTGAAGAACCAAGGAGATTTGGGGGGCAGGTGGGGGCATGGCTTTCTAGGCAGAGGGAGCTGCCTGTGCTGAGCCTGGGGCAAAGAGCAACGGCAGAGAAGAAAGAAGGAAAGCAGGTTCTACGGCTACAGCGTGGCTGGGCCTGGTCCAAAAGGTCATCAAGATGCTTGGTGAAGAATTTTTGATAATTGGACATGTAGAAGTGGATATTTAGAAACAAACTGCATTTCTAAAAAGGAAAACTATAATATAATAAAACAGGCTAAAATATGTTATAGTCAGTAAATTAGGCATTTATGAAGAATTTTAGGCTGGGCGAGGTGGCTCACACCTGTAATCCTAGCACTTTGGGAGGCTGAGGCGGGCAGATTACTTGAGATCAGGAGTTCGAGACCAGCCTGGCCAACATGGTGAAACCCCGTCTCTAGTAAAAATACAAAAATTAGCCAGGCGTGGTGGTGGGCACCTGTAATCCCAGCTATTCAGGAGGCTGAGCCACGCTTGAACCCTGGGGGCAGAGGGTGCAGTAAGCCAAGATCGTGCCACTGCACTCCTGCCTGGGCGACAGAGGAGACTCCATCTCCAGAAAAAAAAGAGAATTTTAATGACATGGGGAAATATTTAGGTTTCAATAATACATTTAAAAAATTACTAGTCTATATGAGAAGCTCACAATTAAAAAACAACTTAATTTTACCAAAAAAAAAAAAAAAAAGCTTATAGTAAAGAAGACATAATGGTAAAAGCAACAGTGATTGGTTTTGGGTAGGAGGAGAATAAAGAATGATTTGTTTTCTTTTGCTTTCCTTTATTTTCTTTTTTTCACCAGTCACTCATTGTTTCCTATTATTTGTTTAATTTTAAAATTTTTATTTAAAAAAAGCAAAATGGTGAAAACCAAAAGATTTCTAAAACAATGTAGCATTTTTCCTGAAGATAAAGGTAAATGGGTACACAATTCATGATGTCCTCTTACGTCTTGTAAAATGATCATTGTACATTGAAATTGAAGGCTGAGGTGTCTGTTGTGTCTCTCTCATAATTTGGGAAAAATTACTGAGAATCTGGCACGAGACTCAGATGACTTTACGGCAGTTTGGACCTCATTTGTAAAAGATACTGGAGTGTTTCATATTGGATCATGGAACAGAATTTACTGTCCCACATTAAGGCTGCTAGAGGTAGATTTGTAAAAGAAGACAAATTGGTCTTTTTGTCCCCACTATGTTTCTGAGGCTAAAAAAGTGGTTGAACCTTTGAAAGAAAAATATGTTCAATATGATAGATAAGAAACTAAGATGAAATAAGGTCATTGGCTAATTTTTCCTGCTGTCAAGAGAAAAGAAAGTAGGACAAATCATGCCACTGTGAGGCTCTCCTGGGGATGGGAGAGGGCGGAGGAGCTTCACGTGAGCTTCAGTCCAACACACTGGGCTCTGAGATTTTATGAACATTGCACTTTTATGGGGCTCCAAATTTCCAAAACTTGCCATATAAACACTAATGATTATAATGGCTTACATATATGTGTAAATTACATGAAGTATCTTACTTCATACTTGCAAGAACATTTCCATTATAGAGAAGAGCAAATCAAGTTCAAGAGAGGATTGCCCAAAGTTGTATAGCTTTTAGAATTTTAATCCAAACCTTACATTCTTAACCCCTAAATTCTTCTGCCTCTCCTAACAAACAGCAAAAAGGGTGAGCAGTGATACTTTTTTCTCTATTTGTATAAATCCTGTGTAGGTTTCAAGGACAAGTTTATCTGTGATTCCTCCACTTTCATCTGAACAACCATAAAACTGACTCTTTGGCTCTCTTCTAGTTCACAACATGCTGTGATACCTAGGAAGAGAGCCCTGAGTGCAGGCTCTATCTCCTCTACAGCAGAGATGAGGATCTGGGGGCGCATTAAGGAGTCTCATTCATGTTCTCCTCCCCACTACGTCCCCAGCATCACCAATGAGTCCTTGAGTGCAGTGACTGATCAAGCAATTGTTGAAGTCATGACTGCTAACCAACCCCTTGACAGGTTATTCATAGTATTTTTCATAGAACTCACATCTTTTCAGGGCTATCCCTAAAATCCTCCATGATGAATAGAGGAAAAAGATTCAATTTAGAAGGGAAGTTACCAACCAAAAGCAGCTTTCTGAAAGACTTGTCACTGTTTAAATAACTCTTGGGAAAAAGAAATTTTTATGTTCCTATAGTCTTAAAGTTAGCACCTTGATCATCAGTCAATCAGTAATTTCTTTTTTCTTTTTCTTTTTTTTTTTTTTTTTTGAGACAGGGTCTCACTCTGTCTCCAGGCTGGAGTGCAGTGGCACAATCATGGCTCACTACAGCCTTGAACTCCTGGGCTCAAGCAATCCTCCCACCTCAGCTCCTGAGTTGCTGGGACCACAGGTGCGTGCCACCATAGCCAGCTAAATTTTGTATTTTTCATATTTTTGTATTGTGTAGTTTTCTATTTTAGAACCCCGTCTCTACAAAAAATACAACTCCTGAGCGCAAGTGATCCACCCACCTTGGCCTCCCAAAGTGCTGGGTTTACAGGTGTGAGCCACCGTGCCCGCCCAGTAAGTTATTTAAAGTGATCTGCTTGATATTGAAATAAAATTATGTTTCTGTCATTTATATATTTATTTTAAAATAGTCTCTCATTTTACCGGGAAAATGTTGCTTCATTCAAGGCCATTCTTTCATTCCTTTTCTGCCTTATAATGGTTTGGGGCCCAATGGAAAAGATTTGAGCAAGCTCCTACTGACACCATTGACATCCTAAACCAACAACAGTGCCCCCTAAAGGTCTGTTTTATGTCAGTTAGTTTCCCTTTGGTGTTACTTACAACCGCTGGTGATGGGACATGGATGCTTGCAACCGACCGTGGGCGGATGTGGTTGACCAGATGGCAGAGGACGACACCATCCATGAGGGCTGCCCCCAGGTCTTCGTGTAGACTGACCTTCAATCTCATCTCAATGCTCTGTTGGGGAAATCAGAAGGAAGCCAGTTAATATGAACACTGAGGTAACTGTGAGTAAAATACATTTATGGGTATTTATGAACTGAGGCACTAATTTCATCATAGGAAATAAGGATAACAATGCCTAGAAAACACTGACATTATTTAACTCTTTCCAAACAGTATCAAAATCTCTCTTTATAAAAACAAATTTAGGTGAGTGTAAAATTTTTATTTAATAGAATGAATGGAATAATGGAATCACTCTTTGAGCGTGATAAATAAAAACCAAATCTGACTGGTTCAGGCAGTCTGCATGGGGCAGAAGAGGGATTAAGAAATGCTTTTCTCTGGTCGGGCACAGTGGCTCACGCCTGTAATCCCAGCACTTTGGGAGGCCGAGGTGGGTGGCTCACCTGAGGTCAGGAGTTCAAGGCCAGCCTGGCCAACATGGTGAAACCCTGTCTCTACTAAAAATACAAAAATTTCCCAGGCACGGTGGCAGGTGCCTGTAATCCCAGCTACTTGGGAAGCTGAGGCAGGAGAATCACTTGAACCCAGGAGGCGGAGGTTGCAGTGAGATGAGGTAGTGCTACTGCACTCCAGCCTGGGTGACAGAAAAAGAAAAAAAAAGGAAATGCTTTCCTCTTAGGCCAGGAGTGGTGGCTCACACCTGTAACCCCAACACTTTGAGAGGCCGAGGTGGGGAGATGCCTGAGCTCAGGAGTTTGAGACCAGCCTGGGCAGCATGGTGAAACCCTGTCTCTACCAAAAATACAAAAAATTAGCTGGGCGTGGTGATGTGTACCTGCGGTCCCAGCTACTTGGGGGACTGAGGTGGGAGGATGTCTTGAACTCAGGAGATGGAGGTTGCAGTGGGTTGAGATCATGCCATTGCACTCCAACCTGGTTGACAGAGTGAGATCCCATCTCAAAAAAAAAAAAAGAAAGAAAGAAAGAAAGAAATGTTTTTCTCTTAGACTATTTTTAGCTGAGAAATCAATCTTTGTCCTTCTTTTAAAAATTAAACTTTTGATTTTTGAGATAATTCTAGATTCATATGCAATTGTAAGAACTAATACACAGAGGTTCCACGTACCCTTTGCCCAATTTCCTTCAATGGTAACAACTTTCAAAACAACCAGGATATTGACATTGACAAAGTCAAGATGCACAACATTCCCACCAGCACAAGGATCCCCCATGTTGACCTTTTATTGACACGCCCTCCCAGCTACTCAGGAGGCTGAGGCAGGAGAATCACTTGAACTCAGGAGGCAGAGGTTTCAGTGAGCCGAGATTGCGCCACTGCTCTCCAGCCTGGATGATAAAGCGAGACTCCGTCTCAAAAAAAGAAAAAAAATTATAGAGACATCCCCTTCCTTCCCACCCCCAAGTTCCTCTTCTGCCTTGCTCCCATTCTCCTTTCCTTCTGGGCCTCCCAAGACACGAATGTTGGATCATTTGTTACACTCCCACAGGTCCCGAGGCTCTGTGTCCACTGATTTTTCAATCTGTTTTCTCTCTGTTGTTCAGATTAGATGATTTCTATTGTTCTCTCTTCTAGTTTCATTCCAGTTCTTTCCTTTATCATCTCCATTCTGCTGTGGAGCCCATCCACTGGGCTTTTTGTTATGAATAACGTATTTTTCAGCTCCCAATTTCCATTTGGTTTTTCTTCGTGTCTTCTATTTCTTTGCCAAAATTTTCTAGTTCTCTGCTGGGGTATTCTTTTCCTTTCCTTCGACCATGTACATCGTTGTTCACCGAAGCATTTTCATCATGGCTGGTTTAAAAATATCTGTCAAATAATTCTAACATCTCTGCTATATCAGTGATGTCATCTGCAGATTGTCTTTTTTGCCTACAGTTTGGGATCTTCCTCGTCCTTGGAATGATGAAGGATTTGCAGTGGAAACCTGGACATTTTTGAATTATGTTATGAGACTCTGGATCCTATTTAAATCTCTGTTTTAGTTGCCTTTTTTTTTTTTTTTTTTTTTTTGACACTGCTCTAGCAGGGGAAGGTGGCTGCCACCATCTTGTTACCGCCAGGTGAATGCAGGCATCTGGGTTTTCTACTGGGTGTCAACTGGCCAGGGAGTGGGGGAGGGGTAGGTGCCTCCTTACTGCTGAGTGGGGGTGAGAATCCAGAATTCCCACGTGGTCTCCACTGAAACTCTGGGAGCAGACGAGCTTCCTTACTGACCAGTGGGGATGAAATTTCTGGCTCCTGGCTTGGTCTTCTCTGACACCACCCCAGCAAGGGGAGAAGTCTCACTTGACTCAGCCCTTGCTGGTGTGGGTGAGGGGGGACCACAGTGTTTCCTGTGGTGTTCAGCTGCAGTAGCACATTTATGGTCTAAAACTTTTGTGTCTTGCTGGGCTGTCCCTTTCCTGGTTATTTGGTTAGAGAAAGTCAGCTTTTATTGTTGTTTTTCTAAAGTCTGTGCCGATTACTGTTTCTGGGTTCCCAGCGACTTCGGCTCCAAGTCTGGATACATGAGGCAAAAAGAAAGTCCCCTGGAGCTCATCACTATGGCGCCCCTCAAGTCTCAAGGACCCTAATCAGTCCGTCTTCTTCTCTTTACCTTCCAGAATGTTCTTACATTTGTTTTATGTATGTCTAGGGATTTTAGGTGTACTTAGTGGGAAGAATAGGGCAAAGTATGCCTACTCCATCCTCTTGGAAGCAGAAGTAGAGAAATCGATTTTCAAACCTTAACTAGAGCTTCTGCAACAAAAGCCCCTTTTAACTGAATCACAGCGTATGAAAGGATGACTTAATTTGGTGATTTTAATAAATGAAAACTTGAAAAACACTGCATATAATAGTGTTATATAAATTTCTTTCAGAACTGTCCTGTGTGTGGACAATTGTTTTTAGGTACTCTTTCAGGCTCTAATTTTATATCACTAAATTAAGACATAAATGATCAATATGACCCATGTTTAAGATAAAATTGTAAGATATCACTCCTTGAGGGGCATAGCTCAGCTTCTGATCTTAGTTGCATAGATTTCATAAAGTTCACCTTCCCAGTTTACATCACATCCAGATAGTCCAGGCAAATGACAGAGGTTTGACTTTCCCTTTGTGTTTGCTCAATCACCACAGTGGCTTAAAGTGGTGGTAAGAGGTTTTTTTGTTTTCTTTTTAAAATTACTTCCTCCTGACTCTTTGCTAAACCATATAAAAAGTATCATCTGCTATAACAAAGAGGCTGACCTATCCTAATTTAATTTAATCTAAATTTTGTTTATAGGGCTCACTGCTCATTTGTAGAACTCATTGCTCTCTGAAACTGTGTATTTATTTGTTTCCGTCTTATTTACTATCTCTCCCCAATAGACTATAAGCTTCAGAACAGCAGAGACCTTTTTGTTCTCTCCTACATCCATTACCTAGAATACAGCCTGGTAGAGAGTGACAGTCAATACACATGTGCTGATGAAAGAAGATTTAACATCGAATCTATCTCCTCCAAGAACCTTTCTTTCTTTATTGAAAAAATTTATTTTAGATTCAGGGGTACATGTACAGGTTTGTTACATGGGTATGTTGTGTGATACTGAGGTTTAGGCTTCTAATGATCCTGTCACCTAAGCAGTGAACATAGTACCCAATAGGTAGTTTTTCAACCCTCACCCCCTATCTCTCCCCTTTTGGAATTCCCAGAGTTTATTGTTTCCATCTTTGTGTCCGTGTATACCCAGTGTTTCACTTTCCCTTATAAGTGAGAACGTGGTATTTGGTTTTCCATTTCTGTATTAATTTGCTTAGGATAGTGGCCTCCAGTAGCATCCATGTTGCTGCAAAGGACATGATTTCATTCTTTTTTATGGCTGTGTAGTATTCCATGGTGTTTATGTACCACATTTTCTTTATCCAATCCATTGTTGATGCGAGCCTGGGTTGATCCCAAGTCTTTGTTTCTGTGAATAGTGCTGTGATAGACATATGAGTGCAGGTTTCTTTTTGGTAGAACAATTTATTTTTCTCTGGGTATATACCCAGTAATGGGATTACAGGGTTGAATGGTTGTTCTGTTATTAGTCAAGAAGCTTTCTTAGACTCTTTTAGTTCACAGTTATGACACTTCTTTCTGAACATTAAAAACTCATGCAGCAATTCATAACGTGCTGTCTTTAGTAGCTAATACCAATGTTTTCTTCCTTGGTGATTGATTCCTATACTGTTAATTAACCTTCCATACATTTATGTATGATCTTCCTAACCTGACAAAAAGACCATGCAGGTAGACAAATACCTACAGAGTGCCCATTGGGAACTAAGAAATACGACAAGAAATAAGACAGCCATGGTCCCTGCCAGCTCCAAGTTTAAGCTTCAATGACACCCAGCACAAGACTTCCTCTTTGGTAGAAACTCAAATGGTTTGCCTATTAGATAATTGATTTAAAATCTCTGGTCGGTTTGGGGTACAAAGTGAGGATAACTATAAACATTGTTAAATTAATGTAATATTGCCAGGCACAGTGGCATGTAGTGATAATTTATGCCTACCTACTTGGGAGGCTGAGGCCAGAGGATCACTTCAGCCCAAAAGTTCAAGGCTGCAGTCAGCTATGATCATACCATTGCACTCTAGTCTGGGCAACAGAGAGAGTCTCTTAAAAATTAAAAATTCAGCTGGGTGCGGTGGCTCATACCTGTAATCCCAACGTTTTTCTAGTAAAAATACAAAAAATTAGCTGAGTGTGGTGGTGCACACCTGTAATCTCAATTACTCAGGAGGCTGAGGTGGGAGGATCACTTTAGCCCAGAAGGCACAGGCTGCAGTGAGCCGAGATCATGCGACTGCACTCCAGCCTGGGTGACAGAGTGAGACTTTGTCTCAAAAACACATAAATAAATAAAAATAAAAAATGAAAATTAATTTAATATTATTAAGTAAATAAATGACAGGGCATTAAACTATACCTGAATTGAAATTGAAATAGTGCCAGCATTTATATGTATATATTATTTTTTATTTACTACTATCTCATATATTCCTCACAAAACTCCACTAAGGTCAATTGGAACCATTTTTTTTTTTTAAAGAGACAAGTTCTCACTGTTGTCACCCAGGCTGAAGTGAAGTGGTACAATCATAAATCACTGCAGCCTCGCATTCCTGGGCTCAACTGATCCTCCCACCTCAGCCTCCCGAGTAGCTGGGATTACAGGCATACGCCACCACGCCCAGCTAATTTTTGTATTTTTAGTAGAGACAGGGCTCACCATGTTGGCCATACTGGTCTCAAACTCCTGGACTTAAGTGATCAGCCTGCCTCTACCTCCTAAAGTTCTGCGATTACAGGCATGAGAAACTATGCCTGGCCAAAACATTTTTTTAGTATACAAAGAAACAGACTCAGGGTTGTTAAGTGGCTTGCCCAACATCCAGCAGTCACTAAGTGACCTGGCTAGATTTGAAATTAGGACTGCTTGCAATGTTTCAAAGTCTGTTTCTCAAAAATGTAGAATGTTGCTTAAATTCTCCTTTAGTTACATAATATTTCTTGGGTACCTCACGAAGTTGTTCCACCAGCTCTTTCTCTTCTCTCATCTGCTCCATTTTCCTCCGGATTGTAAACTGCGGGTCTATAGATTCCAAATTTCTCTGAGGTCTTAGAAACACTACAATACAAAGGGGAAAAAAAGCCTTTATATAGTGCCTTGTCACATAGGGCTATTCATATTAAAATCAAACAGTATTTTAATTTGTCCAAAATAATTCATTTACCACTCAAAGAAACAAAGAAATTCCAAATCCACAAGAAAAGCCTGGCTCAAGTATTTTAAAAGAGACAATATTTTAAATTGTACTAGTTTGTGTGGACTAACAAGCTGTATTTTTCAGTGATAATAAACTGAACCCAGGGCAAGGTCTGGGTCACTGGGACCATTCCAAGCCACTTGCCTGACAGATGTCCTACTTCACTCATCTTCCCACTGTCTTCATTCTAAGTTTTTATTTACACTCAACCCTTTCATTAAATTCAGATAATTTATTTCAAATAAGGCTCTAGAATTGTTGTATGTATTAAAAATAAGCACAAGTTAATGTTTTTGTTGGCATAAAGTTTTTTGTAAGCCTGAGTTAAGAACTAAGTGATGATTACATATTTGAGGGTGTGGTGGAAACATTCTGCCTTCTAGACTGTCACTGGCAGACTATCTAAAAAGTTAGCCCTTTGGAGATGAGCAAGGACACCTTTTAGGAAGGCTGGCAAGATTGGAAGTAGCTGAAGGGCTCATGGCTGGCTTCAGGTTCTTGAAGTTACGACTTCCAAGAATAGTAACTAACAGCGGGGCATCCTCTGAAATGAGCTGAGAAAACACATGCCCTTCCCTATGAAGGAAAACACCTTTTAGACACCAATCAAGAAGGTAAATAATGTTCTATGCATCGGAGAATGACTACAGCAAGAGTTTTAATTAACTTTTTAATGATACAAAGCCCAGGGCAGACTTAAACTTGATTTTTTTTTTCTTCCTAGAGATTTTTATCCTTGCACATAAGATGGATGAAAGAGCTGTTCAGAGCCTTGGCTCCCCCATCCCACAGACTTTCAGATTGAGGTAGGGAGGGAAAGTCCCTCAGAAAATTTTGGGCAGAGAACTCCAATGTTAGAAATCCATACCACATAGAAGGCTGCATGGTGTACTGAAGTTACAGAAGTTTCAATCATGATGATTTAAACAATGCTGAATAAGAAAGAATGTGTAATTTTTATTCTACCCTGACATACATTTCCTATGGACCTCTTTAGAAGCTATTTCAATATTTCAGATTTCTAGAAATTAAATATGATTTACAAATAGAATACTTTGGATACAAAGACTTGAGTCCGCTCGGTGTAATCAAAAGTCCTGTGCTCGCCTAACTACAATATTTTAATTTCAATTTGTGCCTTTGAACATGCATTCTCCTTCTCACATCTCAGTATTTTCTTTCTAAATTAGTTCTAAGATTCTTGAATTCACATTCTGATGCTCTATGGAAGTTGAGAAAATTGACATATCTTAAATCGTCGACTTGAGAGTTAATGGAGAAAGAGGATGATTTAAGGTACGCAAGGCCTGTCGCCTTCTGGAATCTCAGAGAGGAGTCAGCTTGTGGCCTGGGGCCTCTGCTGGAAGCCACTGAGGGAAGTCACAGGCAAAGAACACCAAAGGCAGTCACAGGAGGGCTGTCACCAAGTCCCACAAAACCCAAACCTCACAGGACGTAGAACCAATTGTTTAAAAAGTAAAGCCAAGGTCAGTAAAAGGACAGAGTGACCAGGCAGGGAAAGATGAAAAGTTCACAGAGAAAAGGGAACTGAGGAAAACTCTGACAAATTAAGACGCATGGAAGAAACTGGAGAATGAATCACATTTTACACCATTTCAAGCAACACCAAAAAAGAGACATATATAAAAATATAAAATATAGAACTAATTTGCACCACCAAATTTACCAAAAAAAGGTCAAGAAATGCAGATAGAGTTGGATAATACACACATATGCCAGCAAGGGGCGCCTCAACACCGTTTAAACACATCGAATGTTTTCTTTGGAGCTGTTACTTTCCTTTGCCTTTTTTCTGGGGGTAATCTTATCTAATAATATTTTCAATATGTTTTTATTGGCAGATTTCAATCTGAATATGAAACTATCAGGAAGTTAAATGAACCATGAGCTTTTGTTCAACACCACATTGCCTTATTAGAGCCCTATGTGAGATATCAGGATAACGAAATGGTGTCTGGGTTTTACTTTCCTGGCATCATTTTTTAATTTTGCATTCCTTTGTATCTTAAAAATATAACATGCATGTGTGGGCATTTGCTCTATGAATGTTAGGCAACCAAAAGTGTTTTAAAAACCAATTGAACTGTATTTTTTAAAATGAACACTTAAAATTATCAGAAATACATAAAATGATCAGAAATAATGACTATATCACTATTAGTTTTCTGAATGTATTCATTACTATGACATATAAGAGAACTTAAGGCAATCTCTTTAGGCTCATAATAAATCTACCAAGTACAAAAGTGCTTGCTTATTTTGCTGGGTTTGTTACAACAGAATAACTTCACCGGGACCATTAAAGTACCTCTGATTAAATTACCTACAGTTTTTTCTTTTCTTTTAATTCCTATTTAAATAATAAATCCAGTGAACGGTCTGGGTCCAGGCTTCAGGAAATTGATCTACAAAAGAATTATTCTGCTTTTCCTTAATTTCATATCACTAAATTTCAAGAGCTCCCTTACTTAATCCAGAGGAATAAAATTTAACTTGAGGCCATGAGACAATATTAAGAAGCAGCCCCCACTGTGAGCATGTATTTTTCAAGTCAAATGCTCCTGTGACTGTTGAAGTGTACATAAGAAAAAAGATGGGTGAGAGAGCAGAGTGTGTGTTATGAGTGTGTTGAAAGAGGTGAAGAGGCGGTGATTGGTTTTGGGGGGCGGGTGGAGAGACACAGTCTCACTCTGTTGCCCAGGCTGGAGTGCAATGGTGCGATCTCGGCTCGCTGCAACCTCAACCACCTGGGCTCACGCGATTCTCCCATCTCAGCCTCCTGAGTAGCTGGGACCACAGGCCTGCACCACCATGCCTGGCTAAGTTTTATATTTTTAGTAGAGGTGGGGTTTCGCCATATTGCCCAGGCTGGTCTGGAACTTCTGGACTCAAGTGATCTACCTGCCTCAGACTCCCAAAGTGCTGGGATTACAGGCGTGAGCCACCGTGCCTGGCCAAGGTAGGCAATTTAAGATGAAGGAAAAAAAATAAGTTCTGCTTAAATTAAGCCTATAGTTTAATTACTGTATGTTGTATAAATAACATTTATTTTTATTTTGTTTTGAGATGGAGTCTCAGTCTGTCGCCCAGGCTGGAGTGCAGTGGCACGATCTCGGCTCACTGCAAACTCCGCCTCCCAGGTTCAAGAGATTCTCCTGCCTAAGCCCCCCAGATAGCTGGGATTACAGGTGCCTGCCACCACGCCTGGCTAAATTTTGTATTTTTAGTAGAGACAGGGTTTCACCATGTTGACCAGGCTGGTCTTGAACTCCTGACCTCAAGCGATCCACCTGCCTCAGCCTCCCAAAGTCCTGGGAATTCAGGCGTGAGCTACTGCACCCAGCATAAATAACATTTAAAGAATGAAAAAGATTTGCACATATACGCAATTTACTTAGCAGAAGAGATAAGCATGGACCCTGCAGGGTATAATGAAATGCTTACGTAGAATATCAAATTCATACTTGCAGATATAGGTCAAATTCCACTGATCTTTCCATCATTTTCTGCCTTTTCTTTCACTCTTTACCCCATCCTCATCTCTGAGCTGGGAGTAATCTCTGTCTTCTGTGAGCATACAAAATTCTTTTATCTGTGTCTCTCCCATGGCACTCACCACTTTCTATCTTACAGTAGAGTGATATTTCGCTCCATTATGGATCTGTAAATGTTTATGTCTGTTTCCAACTTGTACCCTCTATTCCTGCCCCACAAAGCAGTGAGTGGGGCAGAATGAGTTTGTTGAACGAGTAAATGAAACAAACGTTTCAAACACTCCCTCACTTAAAGCTCAGTCTGTTTGGAGAACGTCATTGCAAAGATTATTCTATTCTGATGATCAGTCGCCTGAGTTTTTCCTCTTATGAATAATCTCCTAAACTTAGTTTCTAGGTGTGAATGCATTAGACTCTGAAATAAATGTTATATGAAAGCAAAGAGATTTTGGCTGTCTCTTTCAGAGCTGCATCCATAGTAATGAGCATCATGTGTAGCACATAATAGGCACTCAGCAGATATTTAAGGATGTGTACAAGAAACCATTTATGTACTTGTTGTGAGAACATCTTTGAGTCAAGCAAAGAAAGAAAGCCCTTTGCTCTAAAAATTGCCCAAATGCACTTTCTCATTTAATTATTGCATGAAATGCATCTTCATATGAAAAATATTTATACCTAAATTTAACTGAATGAGAGGAGATTTCTTCTCTGTGGAAACATGAAGTTTTAAAATGTAGCTCTCAACTTCTCCTTGGAAGTTAAGAACCTGAACTGGACATGATGTTTAAGATATACAAACTCAAAGGCAGCAGTATCTTGGCTTTGAAAAAATATCACGAGCTTTAGATCCAGGCTACTGTGAATCAGAACTCTCACTAGCTGATTCATTCATTCCCTTCTGGTGCCTAAAATTGAACTGGACACATTCGGTGTCCTCAAAATGCTCACATTTCTTCTCTATGGTCTTAGACAATTTACTTAACCCAGTGACTGTCAACCTTACTTGAACACCACATAACATCCCATAAAAAGAAGTAAAACAAATGACCAGTGCTTAGACTCAATGCTACACCAAATAAATTAGCATTTCTGACTATGGGGCCTAAGTGACTATAGTTTTACAAAACGCCCAGGTGATTCTAATATAAAACCAGAGTTAAGAGCCACTAAAAAGCCTCTTATATCCTCAGTTTCTTCATTTCTCTAATGGGAAAAATAATACCTATAGTGCAAGATTACTGTAAAAAATTAAGGAAAATATCTGTAAACTGGTACAAGATACATGGTTATTTCAGAGACTAATGTAAACTGGTCCATTCATCCATTCTCTGGTGATAACTTAAAGATTAATTTTCAATAAGTATAAATTAGCACCTACAAATTCACTGCAAATGAAAGAGCAAAAATGACCCCAAAGAAGATAGAAATGGTTTTTAACTTCAAAGTGAAGGGAAGAGGAAAGATTCAGTAAGAGGACACAAGAGCAGGGGGAAAAGCAGAAGTTAAACTATCAGGTTAAAAACGGAGGTTAAAGCTGTCCCATCCAGCTCCAGGGGTGGGCCCAGAGAAACCTACAGACAAACGTCCACATCCTCCTTCATCCACCTTATGGGGCAGAACTTTGGGGACTTTGAGAACTCAAACTCCCAAGGACCTTCTACCCAGGTTGCCAATTTTAAAAAATCTGTTTGAAGAATAAGTTTTAGAGAAATGGGGAATTTAAAATGAGATAGAATGGGAATAAGATATTTGAAAGAATTTTAAAAAAAGGATAATTTTATATAAAGCAAGACAGTGAGCAAGGTAAAAAAAGGACAACCTTACCAAAAATAATAACTAAATGTATAAATAAAAGTCAAGTTACATTATGTTAGGTTGAGCTGGTAATAAGATAATGTTTATTTATAAAGGTTATTTACAAAGATAGCATTACATTAGAAAATGTATTCCAATCACAGGTCAAAGTTAAGAACAAAGAGAATGAAGATAAACATAAAAGTCAGATCTGGGAACCTAAACAAATATTTGTAAAGACTATTTCGGTACAGAAATTTTTCTGTTGCCCAGGGCATAGTAGAGACAAATTGCAAATAGGAAAAAATGACAACCTCCAAACATCTGACATGATCGACTGAACCGTGAGTATTGAAAACGATGGCTTTATTATTATTGTGGTACAGCATAACAGCTGCATGTGAATTCTTGGAATTTTTACTCATAGAAAAAATAACTATTGCAAGGTTATTTTATTTTTAGAAAGATTTCCACAATGATTATTTTCTGTGGAAATTTAAGGATTTTTAATCAAATGAAAGCAGCCTGAATGTAGATGCGGCAGAGATGATTCCAGAGTTAGGAACCCTGGTGCAGCTTCACCTCCACCTCAACCCCACAGTGTGACCCAGGCAGCTCACCTCACCTTTCTGGTTTTAGTCTGTTCGTCTATAAAGATAGTAATTCTACTGCTACATAAGAAGACTAATTGTTTCCCAGTTTTAAAAAAAAAAAGGCCTTTGGTTTCAGATATCATTCCTAAGGAAATACCAAACCACACATAAATCTTTCATTCTAGGCTTTATTTCCTTTAAACAACATTAGGCCCATAAATAGCTATACTTTCTGAAAAACAAAAATGCCTCCCCTCCATTAGAAAAAAAAAAACTTAAGTAAAGAAAATGTTTATCAAGAAAGTTTCCATTTAGCCCTCTTCAACTTCCAAAATTTACAACTGGATGGTATAAGGAGGGCCATTTGTTTAATAACTGTTGTTTTTTAATCCTATTTATTTTCCGTTTAAAAATTTAGAAATCTATGAAATATTAAAAATTCTTTTTATAACTACTCTGCCAAAGTATACATTGTCTTTCTCCATAAGGAAATTGTAGAAGCATTTTTGGTTGAATTTTAACCAGAAATCACAGCAAGTGTCTTAAACATATATTTTCCAGGTATTACATGTAACATACTTAGATGAAAAGATAAATATTATCAGAAAACGTATCTTTCCATTGTGTTTGCATTGTGGCTATACCCTGTACCTCACTACTCTTCCCTATAAATCACATTCTCTGTTTCACTTAACTCGACTGCAATCACTTTGTATTCTGAAGTAAAATGTTTAAAATTTGAATATTTCAGAGACTAGGATGAAATTAGACTAGAATGGAGATTACGATATAGGTGGTGTGCAGATCTAAATAATTATGTTTTATTGTAATCTCTTAGGCTATATAAGATTCAAAATTAAAAGATACCCACATGAACTCTAGCTGAGTGTCCTCGATTTTTTATTTACACATTTGATTCTCAGGCCAAGTTACTATCCTTGAATGTCAAAAAGATGAACCTATACTCAAGAAGGCATCAAAAGTCAAAATATGCCAATAATTTGGAAAAAAGAAGGCAAATGATTTATCTTCATTTTCAGAAATTTCTCCACGTTAACATTATTTTCAATGCAATACTCTAGGATCAGCCATGGTACATTTTAATTACCTTAGAAATCTCACACAGTAAGCATAAATAGTAAAATATCAAACTCTAAAACCATTTAGTTCAGATGCAGGAACAAGCGGAGATAAATCCAAATGTGCAAACCCCAAATATTTGTAAACAAGCAAACAAACCAAAAAACCCAAGCAGAAAAGGGGAGAAAAGAAAGTATTATAATGCCTTCCCCAAATCCAGAATAGTCAAGTTAATTAAACTGGAGTTTGACAAACTGCTAGAGAACAATCCACGTGCACTTTTCTGGACTTCACTTTCCAGGCTTACACATTATTTCTCATACCAAGCATGCAGGTGAATATACTCTATCTTCAGCTGCACAGAGATGAATGTTCAGTATACGCATTGGCTTATTAATGAGAACATTGGAGAATAGGTACAAAGCCACCTACCATTGTCACTGTCTCCTTCAGATGGAACACTGTAGCTAGAGCTGTCCCATGTCTGTGCCTGTGTAAGTGTGTTGAAGGAGATAGGAGGAAGAATGAGGGCTGGGTCTGCAGGGGAGCCAGAGAGCCAGTCCGCGTACAGTTGCACAAGGACCAGGAAAAACCAAAGGGGCAGCAGCATTTCACAAATGGCATAGGGTTTGCATGGAAATGAAGAGTGGATTTCATTTATATGGGGTTTAATTTCAAATGCACAATATAGGAGAAGAATGAAAGATGGTGCATGGAATAAAAAGAATGATAAAAACTGAGTGTTAGTACCCATCAATCATACACTTTGCATGCAGTTCATATTTGTTAATCTTAACAGTTCTGCAAGCCCACAGACTTAGAGTACTAATGAATCAGGTCAGAGGAAAGAAAGAGTACCCATAGGTTAGGTAGATAAAAAGCAAAAGACCTGCCAGATACGTTCCTCAAAGACTTTCTAAAAAACTAACAAAATATGATTCACACACAAAAAAATTGGTGACATAGAATAAAACTTAATATGCGTAAATATATCTATTATTTAGAAATAAAACTATTATAGAATCATCATTTACCATTAGTGATTTTTTTTCTCCAAAGCAATGTCAAATTTCTTTTTAAAGACACCTGTAGGTCTATTGGCATGCTTTATAGATAGCTGAATCTAGCTAATTCTTTTCTCAATCCTGGACATACCTCTAAATACTGTTTTCAATATTGCTCAGTTAAAAAACAAAAAACAAAAAATGTTGGAGACTAGTACAGTCTATTTAACAACAAATCCAATTAATCAACAGAGATCAATCAATTTCAAGAACTTCTGAGTTGGTCACTTATGAAATGATAACAACTCTTATTTTTGCACTAAATATCCATATGGCAATTTCATATTTAGGAAATATCTATATTATTTTTTATTCAATCATAAGGCAGGGCCGGTAAAATAAATGGATATAGTTCTAGATATAAATATTTGGGTGTGTGCAGTTGTCTTTGTTCGGGAGGAAAACACAGAAAGAAATGAAAGAAACTGCCAGCCTACTTTAAGAATCTAAGTTCTTATTTGAACTTGCTAATTTAAGCAGTCTGTTTTTATTTATAACACAGAAATCACATAAATCCACATACTTTCAAAATAAAAATTAATTGGCTTTAAGCATTCTAAAGCTACTCGATCAAAAGTGGTTTCTTTTAAAACTATATGCTTTCCAGTTAAGATTACTGTATATATTACTTTCCAGAAAATGTGAAAAATACACTTAAGCATATATACTATTTTAAAATTATTAAATAAAATGAAATAAATTTCCATACATAATGCAAGTTTTTAAAGTTCCCACATGTCACTTGATGATCCTGAAGGTAAACAGCATTATTTACAGCAACCAAACTCCATAGAGCTTTCAACAACAAGAACAATTTCCACATTGGTTAGTCAGCATTATAGAAAGGCTGGAAGCTTGGAAAGGAAATTAACTTTGTTTTCTGCTATTCAAAATAAAAGCTCCATTTATTTTTCACTGCTACAAAGAATGTGAAATGGTTTAACAGCCCCAGTACAATGTAAACCCTAACTGTAATAAGTTGAGTTTGGACTCTATAAAAAGAATAAAAAAGTCACCAAAATAATTCTACAATTGCAAGTTATACATTCAAAAGAATATTATTCTCTGAAGATCCATTCAACTTTTGATTTGCTCAATTATGCCATGCTTTTAAACTGTGTAAAACTGACTGTGAGGATTAGGAGACAGTCTGCAGCTCAACATGAGGTCCTCAGCGTGTAAAATAAGTCTCCTGGTGGGTTGTCACTGAAGGCACAGATGAGGTGTGCCTGGACTCACCTCCATTCCTCCCAGGACACACCTGAGACCGTGGAAAGGAAAACCCAGCCAAGGGCCTCAGCCCGGAACTGATCACATTTGCTTAGCTCCAAACATGAGAAGACCAGCCATTTGAGTTTTATTTCATGTAAAATTTGGCTCTCCATAAAACACTCACTAACCCTTGTCACACTCAAGCACTTTCTCAAATGGCTTTTCTTCTATGGCCCATTCAAACTGCCAGGAAACCATTACACCTGGCCACTTGTTACCCATCAATCAACCTGCCCCAAGAATGAAAAACATTTCCTTTATTAAAGAATCATCTTTGTTTTTCCTATGGGTGCCTTTTTGCAAAATATACACATGTATAACCTCTACTGTTGTCAAAATGCTTTACTGGAGAACTCAAGAACATCTGAGTTCTCTACCAGTTCTTATTTAAAAGCGTCTGAATTCTTTATTAGCACTTGCTTAAAAGCATCAGTAGTAAGTGTAGACTAAATACCAAAGAGTCAAAAATATTAAAACAAAGAAAGACCTAAAAGAAGGAAGATTAGCAACAGAACTTCAAATAAATGGAGAAATCAGAAGAATCAAATTTTTCTATACAGAGTACTTTCTTTTCAAAAGCAACCATTATTTTGTACATTGCTATAATTTACTTTTGTGAATAAACTAATAACAAATTAAAATTGGTAATATAAGCAGAATGCTTTCTCAAAAGACTTTTTAAAAAAGTAACTCCTGACCACTCATGCAAGCCTTGAAATGACCACTCTGTTATGTGAGTAAACACACAGAACCTACCAGACTCAGAAATCAAATGAGGATGTCTCAGAAAGGAGTCACTTTTCCAGAGGCAGGCTGCCCCTTAACTCAGCCGAGCAGCAGGAACCACTGGGGCCAAAGCTATTTTATCTTCCTTAGGTAAAAAAAAATCAATAGAATATTTCTTCCCCGCTTACATGCTCCCACCACCTGTTTTTTCTTTGCTCGGATTCAAACGAAGATAGAATATCCACTACTGATAACACGGACTTAGCTGATTCACTGAAAACAAAGCTACAAACTCTGGCCTCCCCTAGCTGTAGATGCCAGGATTTCGGCTCAGCAGAACTGACAAGGATGTGCACATTGATAATGCATACACTTAAAAGGCTCAAGAGAAAGCAATGAGTTATTTAGTGTAAGAATGGGCTGAGGTTTTCATTTACCTGATCGAGGCTTCAGGCCAAATGGAGCTGTGCTGTTTGTGGTAGGAGAGACTGCAGGGGAGTTCTCTCTAATCTGTGGTGTTGGAAGGAAAGGAAATTAGGAAAAAAATAAAAGGAAAACAGAAGAACTATGTATGGTTTTCTATGTTCAAGGATTGTAACAAAACTACTCCCTTTTTGCATTCGCTGCTGTGTGATGAAGTCCTGGCCAAAAAAAATCACTTTGTAAAGATGTTAAATGGCATAACCAACAGAATGTTTGTTTTAGAGTGACCCACTCAATTTGTTTTGTCCATTTTAAGAACATTTTACAATTACGTGACACTGGCACTCCTCTTGCACAGCTGTGTGCATGGGTGCATGCACACACACACACTATATCCATTTATATCCAAAAGAGGGCACATCTGATGAGGAAACAGATAATACTGAACTCAGTAATACTGAATCACACACTGAATCATTTATGGAGAACAAGACATTCTAAATGTTTCCTATTTAAGTGATCTTCATTCTGTTTTCTTGTAAAGATGTTCCTACATTCGGTTTTTAAAAATATATCTCATAAAAATTAATCTTTAATTACGAATAGGACCAGATAAAGCTATGATAGCTAATGAGAGTTAGACGGATTCCCCCAAAGACTCAATTAATTAATTAATCACAAGTCTTAGATTATATATTTCTGTAAAAGATATTCCAATCCAGCCATCAAGAAACACCTCACCTTCCATTAATCTTCAAGAAACTTACCTCATTTGGAGAATACTGGCTCCCGTTACTCTGTAATGTTAGATCACTTTGCACCTTAAAAAAGAAGAACAAAGCATGGTATGTTCCATTAGACTGTGAAACTGTTGAGGCAAGAAATTCATCTTTCTTACTGCCATCATGTCCCCGGTCCATAGGTGCACAATGAATATCTGTTGAATTAATTAGTTAGTGTGTTCAGTAACTAAGTAGACCATACTCATACGTTCTGAAAACATGCAGCTGTATTCATAGAAAAATACGTTTAAAGTATTATACAAACTAAGATAAAGAACTTCCCAGAGCAAGGAGTTCACTCCAAAATATCTGTGGATGTCAGCTTACCTTGCTAGGTGACCAAGCTGCCTGCTGGTTCCCATCCTCATTTTAATTATGATTTTTAGAAATGGTTCAAGGTAGTACTTCCTAAATATGCAGAATCACATTGGGAGCATTCAATAAATACACGTCTGGACCCCAAATTAACTGGGCAAATCTCATGTTGTCAGTTCAACATCAGATTACTTTGGCAACTACTGGTTAAGAGAAAAAATTATGAATTTTTTCTGTCATAAAATGTGCAGGATTTATAACTGGTCATGGAGAAAAGTCAAGATGACATCCCGATTTCCAGCAGGAATGACTGGGTAGATGGTAGCATCACTGAATACCACGGAGAACACAGGAGCAGTTTAAGAAGAAGTTGATAGTATCAGTTTAGCTATGTAGAGAAAGAGAAATTTGTGGGGCATGGAGATAAAATCTGAATACTGGGGTACAGAGGGGAACCTGAGGCATGAGCTACAGGTTTCGAAGTTATTATTATTTATGGGGTGCCTGAGTCCATGAGAGTGGCCAGATGGTCCACAGAGACAGTGAAGAAATTGAGGGACAGTGGCTGAGAGCAAAATCTTGTAAAACCAGCATGAAAGGGACACGCAGAAACAAGGAGCCCACAAGGGACACACTCTAGTTTCTTACCCAGATCTGCCTTCTTTATAAGGTAGTCAAGAACCCCCTGATCCTCCCTAATAAAAAATTGGGCGTTAGCTCATATAAAAACACCTTCATATATGCCACCAAATTATTGTACATTTAAGATGCCTGTTCCTATTCATTGTTGAGGAGTGCTATTTAAAAATCTTCCCACCTTTGACACAAATCCAAGAGGAAACCATATTTTTAGAATAAAATGTCACAAATATCCCTATTCAATCAAATGGCTTTGTTAGAGCTGCTAACAAGTAACTTCAGGTTTGATTCTTTCTATAAGCAATTCTTTCCTCTAGTTTGTCCTATCGTCTCGCAGACCCTTCCCCGTTCGATATTTATGTATGAGCCATGCAATTTGCAATTCTTCCTGCATGGATGCCAGTGCCATCCACACTTGATGTGGACAGTCACCTAAAGTATGTTTAAAGTCAGATCACGTGATGTGCCACCAATTACAAACCGCTTCATAATCCTGGCCTCCCCTTTCCGTGTGGCTCACACAGAGCTGATCCCCCACAGCCACGGTGTCTTGCTCAACATAGCCTCCTGGCTACAGGGCCAAACCCAAAAATGCCCAAAGTCTAAGTTTACTTTCCTCTCCTTAAACTCTACCCCTTCCCCAGTGTCCCTGAGCACCTAAAACAAGCTCAGGACTGCAGACCATCTTATTTCTTCTGCAAATTTTTCAACATCTAAATCTTACCCCCACAATTAAAAAAAAATTCACTAAAGTGAGGGCAACTTCATAGCCTTCATCTTCCAGTCCTTTACACAAAAACAAGGCTGAATCTAGCACAGGCACTCAACAAATACTGGTGAATTAATATAGGGCTATGCTGAAAGATGTTACTTTCTGCTTGAATGAGACAGAAGAAAGAATATAAAAATAACCAAATCATAAGTAAGGATCATATTTTAGCTCTCCATAATCCTTATCACTGGCCCTGTGAATTCACTACTCTCTTTTCTTTTCCTTGTGACTTCCTTTTTCCATCAGGGCCAGCTATTCCCCTCCTTTTTTAAAATCATAGAGATGTATCTGCCAAGGACAGATAATTGCCCTACAGAAGGAAAACAAGGAGTGAGAATTCCTTATACCAAATACTCCTCCTTCAGCCAAAAAAGAAAAAAAAATCAACCTTATGTTAAAATAACACAAAACATTGTAAGTTGGGGATAGAATAAAAGTATCTTTTTTTTTTCTTGAGGTTTTCTGTCTTCTAGGGACTCCCGAAATCATGGGCACAGGTATATATGCGTTTTTAAAACTCTATGAGAGTGAAAGCTCAAAGACATTTTAAGTAGCATGCTAAAATAAAGGTGCTAAGGAAGGTTGGACCTGGTACATTCTGTGAGTACAGAGGAGTAATACAATCTGCCCAATTAGAGCAGAAAATTCACTCTGGAGGCAAGGGTGCAGTAGCTGGCAGGGAGGCCCTCACAGCACTGAGCACAGGACCTGTGCAGAGCTGCAGCTCAACACCTACAGGCTTAATGGCCTTGGCTGATGGAACAAACAGACTCATCATTAGAGGGAAAGCTGGGCTGGGCCAACTGACTGAATGATTGATATATGACTTGGAAGTCAAGTTTCCTACTTTAGGAGGATATTAGGCTTTTCCACATAATATAATGGTAGCAAGCATGGTTAAACTTCAGGAAAAACCCATGAAGCTTTATGAGCATGTGGAAAAGTGTCAGATGATTTTCAATTTAGACAAACACAAGGAAATGAATTTAAAGGGACATAATATACACTTTACCTAAATGATGGAGTGTTTGCAGCTATCAGTTAAGACCCAGAGATCTGTACATCAAATAAGCAGTACACTGAAATTTGCTTACCAAAGCCTAATCCTCATCATCTAATTTCCTATCTCTCTCCCTCTCTTCTTCCCTCCCTTCCAGGAATCCTCACGAACTACTCACTGTGTAGTAGTTAGGTACTGAGTCGGGTCCCACTTCAAGTGAGAATGCTAAGTGTTTGTGCTATGCAATGAGAAAGACAAACAACAGGAGAAATAAAGAGGAGATCAATAAGTACGAATCCATTTTGAAAATCTAGAACTGACTGCAAAGATAGAGTTCACCTTTGCTGATGGGAAAATGGGAGGAAGCTCCAAATAAAACAGTCTTGGGCTGATATTAAGGAAATGTGACATTTAAACATTCCTTCCCAAACCACCAAAATGTTGAATAACAATAGCAATTTCTAATAACCATTGGAATTGGGTAGTTAGTAAATCAGCGCATGTATTGCTATTAGATTAAAAGATGGGATCAGGCTGGGTGCAGTGGCTCATGCCTGAAATCCCAGCACTTTGGGAGGCTGAGGTGAGCAGGTCACCTGAGCTCAGAAGTTTGAGACCAGCTTGGCCAACGTGGCAAAACCCTGTCTCTACTAAAAGTACAAAAATTAGCCAGGCATGGTAGCGGGCACCTGTAATCCCAGCTACTCAGGAAGCTGAGGCAGGAGAATTGCTTGAACCCACGAGGTGGAGGTTGCAGTGAGCCGAGATTGTGCACTTCAACCTGGGCGACAAGAGCGAGACTCTGCCTCAAAAAAAAAAAAAAAAAAGATGGGATGAAAACTAGACCTAGACAAAACTATGAACTGGGCTCAGTCTATATTTAGTATATACCCATCCCTTATTCCTTCCATACCCATTCACATTACTGGAAGCATTGTTCATGCACACATAAGTATAATGGCCGCTCTTCTTCTGCCAAGATCTGCTCTGAAGAAAAGGTTTGATGCAATCAGGCATCACTAAGGTTTGTAAGCATGACAAGACTTAGTGCTGCCACTAGTCTACAGCATGAAGAGGCAATATACCACAGTGGGAAAGCAGGGCCACGCCTTTTACATGTAACTGAACTGGCCAGTCACTTGACCTTGAGCTTCAAATCCTGCATCATCACTCAGGATGCACTTTTCACTTATACCTTTACCTAGAATGTAAACTCGTAAGTGTAGGACCTCTGTGTCTTTAATGCTACTTTCTCAGTGTCCAGAGTGGTGCTTGACACATGGGAGGCAATCAACGAATATTTATTGAAGAAATGAAATAACGATAACTTATGTAATATACAAAGCACATGATCTGGCATGTAACAATACTTCCTTTTTAAAAAAAATTCAGGAATATATACATCTTAGAAGACAAAATTATTGGAATGACCATCCAATTGTGTATTAAAAATGGAGGGGATATATCTTTATTCCAGAAGCTTTGTGTCTTTCTTGTGCTCCTGAAATCATGCAAACAGGTGGCCATCTATTTTACTAGAGTCAAAAGTGGGTCTGCAGCTGGATGCTAAGATGGTCTTGAACTATCTTGTCACAGACTGCTTGTTAGTTGCAACGAAAAAATAAAACAGCAATTACACGGTGGAGAAATGGACTTATATCTTGATTGGGTGATAAATTAACATCACCAAAGAGGGAAAGATGGACATAGTGTGTGGCCCCAAATGTGATGCCCTGAGATGGTCACAACATCACCTGTGCAGTATTCGAAATCAGAATGCAGAAGTTCAAACTGATAAGGAAACATTAGACAGACACAAAATGAGGAACATTCTATTAAAAAGGAGGAGGTTTGTGTTCCTCAAAATTTCAAGGTCATAAAAATCAAAGAAAGGTCATGGAAATGTTCCAGATAAAAGAAGGTTATAGATACCTGACAATCAAATGCAGTATCTGCAACTAAACTGGATCTTACACTGAAAGGAAAAAAATGCTCTGATGAGCATCATTAGATTAACTCACAAATTTGGAGGATGGGTGATAGATTAGATGAAAATATGTTATCACCATGAATTTATGAAGATGATAACTGAAATTGATTGTGTAAGATAAAAATCCATATTCTTAGAAAACACACACTAAAATGATTAGGGATAAAGGACTATGATGTGTGAAACTTACTTTCAGCAAAAGAATTGTGTGTGTTTCAGAAAAAGAACTGTGTGTATGGAGAGAGAGAGAGAAAGAGAACAAATATAACAAATGTGATAAAATGTTACTAGTAAATCTAATTTTACAAGATTATCATTTTTGCAAGCTTTTGTAGAACACTGCAAATTTTTACAACTTTTATAAGTTTAAAATTATTTTCATGTTTAAAATTATTATTACAGGTGTGAGCCACCTGTAATCTCAGCACTTTGAGAAGTTAAGGAGGAAGTATCGCTTGAAGCCAGCAGTTTGAGACTAACCTGGGCAACAAAGCGAGATCTCATCTCTCAAAAAATAAAATTAAATTAAAAAAATTATTTCCAAATAAGAAGCTAAAAAAGAGGTTAAGTCTGCACAGAACCAAAATCAATCTCAAAGGAAGAGCTTGATGAAATTGGTCCAGGGGAGACTGCAAATAAAAGACTTCCAATGTCCCACTATTGGGTAATTCAATGAGGCCTCCACCCAGGGAAGAGGTGGTACAGTAATTCTGTTTAAAGGCCACACCAATAACAATAATAGAGAAGTAAGCTAATAGCTAACATTTAGGTACCCTATATTATGTGACATTTTCTGAATCAGAATTCCTAATTCGATCTTTACAATAGGTAGTATTATGATCCCAATTACAGTAATGAATGTTTAGAGAGGTTAAGTTCCCCACAGTTAGCCAGTCTTTGAGATGGGACTGATACCTAATATAATTCCAAGTCGCTGCGCTTAACAATGAAACCACACTCTCTAGCAACATGGCTTTCCCTTTTACATTAATACTTCCCTTTTCCTTATTTCTTTAACATAGAGACAAAGTTAAGAGCGTGAAACCGCTTTACTATAGTACATGTGCAAACACCTCAGTGGGGCATAAGGTGTTTGTACACAATCTTGGTGCCTAAATTAGCCATCCTAAATCCATTCAGGAAATGGGTTGTAGCCTATGTTTCATTCCCAAATCACCAGCTCGAACTTCTCTCTCTAATCCTGGGGTAACATTCTGGCTTTAGGACATTCTAAGGTCATCTCTAGTGTTATGTCAAAACTGCTTTCTTTACAGCCATCCAAATTTCACTCCATGTAACTCTACTGAACCCATCCTTACCCTGTCTTCAAATATCACCACCAGTTTCTCTTCATGATATTCTCTCAATCCTCCTCGACATTCCCAAATAATTTGTTCTTGTCTTTCAGGTGTTTTCTAGCTAATTTCCATCTGGCCAATTCCCAGACCTTTTCTTGGCTCTAAAATCTACATTGAATGGTCCTCCTCCAGGTTCTGACACACAGGCAGATTCCCTATGTATTTTAGTTGCCATCGCTTGACTCAGCAAGATGATCTGAGGTAAAAAAATCTACAGAATCTAATAGAAATAGCCAACTCTCATCTTCAACAGAGGGTGAGGTATAGCAGAAAAGCAGAACTAAAGAGGCAAACGTATAAACAAGTTGAAAAATGTGTCCTGAACAAATCTGAATATTGGCCTCATTAATAAAGATGTTTCACTCCCTGACAAATCTTTACAGAATGTGGTGGCCAGTATTCCATGGCAAAATATTGCACAGAGTTCTGGTGAATCTACCAGCAGCCTTACCTCACACACCGGAGATGTCTCCAGCTGTATTTGACCACTGTGAGAACAAGGAAAGAAAAAAAAAGATACAAAGTGAAATTTAAAGCATAGAAATGTCAATGTATTATGAAAAGAGAAAACATAATTTGTTATAAAAGGCAAGCATACTTCAGTGCAGAATCTTGTAATTCTAAGGCTTCTGCTGATCCCATAGGATATAGGTTTAAAACACTTCTCTCTGTAATATCTGTGCTTAATCTAAAGAGTAGGAAAAAAAGATATTAGTAAACGTATTAAACTTTTATTTTTAATAAATTCTATTGGTCTTATTCAGTTTAAATTTTTAATTTACTAAAAAGTTATGTTTATCTTTAGGATTAAGTGAGGAAAAGTTTATGACAGAAATTTCAAAGTGCATGGTATTTTCCCACTGCATGCCAAAATATAATATTCCATCTGCTATTGGTAATACAATCCAACTTGTTTGTAATATAATAGTAATTTCTAATAAAATCAAAATTTTCATAGGTAGTATAGCATATACTAAATTTTATTTTAGAACTTTATGAATTTACAGAAGCAAGTCAAGTTGCTGAGAGTATTACATTATAGTATATGTACCAATGGCATTTGGTTTTAATAGGGAGATATACATTATATCTCTCACTTAAAAAAATCATAAGCAATTTGATATGCATTTTTACTTCTGAAATAGTCTCAAACAGTTTCTAAATTTCTGCTATTTTAAGAGATGAAGATTTTTTGTTCTTAAAGACCTATAAAGCCAGGAATTTCTGTAAGTTATATAAAATTTACAAAGTCATCTTAAACAGGGATGCATTTATATTATAGAGGCCTATGAAAATGCTGTCAAACTAACAATCAGAAGGCCTTAAGAGAAGAAATCAAGATAAAGACAGAACAGCAATAGCCAACTAAATTTTCTGATGCATAAAAGGTAAACTTGAAAAATTTAATCCCACAATCAATGGCTTAACTAAAAAAGAAAAAAATTCCTGGATCTATGAAATGTGAGATAAAAGAAAAAACAAAATGTGTATGTAAACTTTTTTATTACTAATATTCAGCCCCAAAGTAGTTAGAAATAAATGACATCTTCAAGTGTCCTCTCTATATCCAAAACAAAACCAGGGCTTTTCATGACTATTAAACTGGCTCACAGAACTATTATAAAATTAGATGTCATATTATAATAGTTATTTCAGGATAAATAACAATGATCTAAAGCAGCCAAAGTAGTGGATTATTTTAGAAAGAAAATGAAAGAATCCATATAAAATTTTACAACATAGTATTTTAAAATAGTGCTCCATAAAGATGCAAATCAAGTGTCACTTGGAAGGTTAGTTGGGAATGTTTTCTTCCACTATCTTAATATATTTCCTTCCATTTTAATATATTTCCTTCCATTTTAATATATTTCCTTCTTAAAATCCATCTTAATATATTTCCTTCCAGTTTTTCTAAATTTCCTGCACAATTGGTACCTAATTCTATCTATATAATTGGGACCAAACATTGTGCGTTTTTACATACTTTAAAAAAGTTATATACTTTTTTAAAAGTATAAAAGCATTCTGTGATATCACTAGAAACTTTAAAAAACATTATATTGGCCACATCACATTCTGTCTTATCAAAGAGTATAATATACTTAAAGTATCCCCAAATTGTTAGATAATTTCTTTTTCCAAATATTTGCTATTAAAAATACCTACCCCTCATTC
The DNA here is from genome assembly GCF_000001405.40 of Homo sapiens. Classification (NCBI taxonomy): domain Eukaryota; kingdom Metazoa; phylum Chordata; class Mammalia; order Primates; family Hominidae; genus Homo; species Homo sapiens. Next base: position 46,703,577 of record NC_000013.11, on the reverse strand, counting down.
TCTACCCCAAATTCCCCAAATTGTTCACGTCTTCTTGTCTCTTAGGATAAGTTCTTAGATTTCACTCCGAAGTTTTATATGTTTCTAGACTTGGTTACATACTAAGTTACTTCTAGAATGGTTTTGCCAATTTACTTCTCCACCGGCAGTTTATGTATTATTTCAAATCCTCATAACCCTAAAAGGTAGGTACTTGTCACCCCCTCTTATAGATGAAGAAATGGGATGCAGAGAAGTCATACAACTTACCCAAGTTAACTGATGGTGCAGCTATGTTTAAAAAGTTTCTAGCTAATTCAAAGTCTGTTCTTTCTACAAGCCACACTACTTCCTGATTCGTTATAATGAATACATGTACACGGGTGCACATGCCTACATGTACTAACATACATGTATGAACAACCATACACATGCATGGATACACGTAAACACACATACAGGCTCTCCTGTCCTGTTTCCTGCCCTTTCACTAACTGCCCCGGCTTGGGATGTAGAATTCAACTCTTTGAACATACCTTGATTAGGTGCCTATGCCACGAGCCAAACATAAGGGAGAATTAACAACATGAATAATCATGTTTAAACACCATCATTGCCTCCCTCTAAATATAAATTAAAATCTCAGCTCCTTAACAACATCCAAAGCCATCGCCTGCATCATTCTACACTGTCTCTGGTGATTCGCAGTCCTGGCTGCACATCAGAAGCACTGGCTGACTCCAGTCCCCAAAGGAAGTGCCTGGTATCTGTTCTGAAAAAGTTCTACAAGTGATACTGAAGCACACTAGGATGGAGAGCCTCTGTTCTGCCTGAGATTTTCCCAACCTGGCTCCATTCATTCTGACCTTCATGCCTTTACCTAAGCCTTTCATTCAATCCAGAATTTCTCTTTTTCTTGAAATTGGCAGTCATTAAAGGTCCAGGCCATTATCCTATCCTTCAGGAAGACCAGTCCACCCATCTCCCCTTTTCCTGGGGTTGGGCACTTGCTCGAGTCTATCCTTTTTACCTCCACTTGAAGCACTTGAATCAATTACAGTTATTTATTTATTTATTTGTTTTATTATTATTTTTTTGAGACACAGTTTCACTCTGTCACCCAGGCTGGAGTGTGGTGGCACGATCTCGGCTCGCTGCAACCTCTGTCTCCTGGGCTCAAGCGATTCTCCTGCCTCAGCCTCCTGAGTAGCTGGGATTACAGGCGCATGGCACTATGCCCAGCTAATTTTTGTATTATTAGTACAGACAGGGTTTCACCATGTTGGCCAGGCTGGTCTCGAACTCCTGGCCTCAAGTGATCTGCCTGCCTTGGCCTTCCAAAGTGCTGGGATCACAGGTGTGAGCCACCGCGCCTGGCCCAGTTACACTTATAACTTCTCAAGGCAATCTCTATCTATTCTAAATTCTCAGAAAGCAAGAGCTGTGTCTTGTCCATCTTTACATCCCCCAAGGTGCACACTGCAGATCTTCCCATACTCCAAGCACTCAATTAATGTCTGCAGAATTGAAATGTTTTTCAAATCAATTGCAAAAGACTTCCAGCTGTACTAAACTGATCCGCCACTATTCTTTCAGGGCCAGACATCATAGGTGGTATATTCTCATCAGCATTCTGGGATACACTAACTACGCTTTTCATAAATTTGCAGAACCCAGCTAGGATTGCTGCGTGTGATTCCCGTGTTCATCATATTATAAGACCACATCAGTTTACCAAGTCCTCTAGTTCTCTAGAGATCATGTAGTTATTACCCGATACATGATACCTGCTATTGTTTAGCTGAAAAATATTTTGTCCATGGGAATTCCATTACCATTAGTTAAGAAATCGAAAAATATTATCCACATATCCACTGAATGTAGTGCCTATTATCGATCAAGGCAAATTCAGATTTTAAAATTATCCTGTATCCCAAATCTTTAGAAATATATTCTTCAGTTAACATATATTTGGCACTACCCCATATAAATACAGTACTACTTGATATACCAATTCTTTCCTTTTTGGAAAACATTTTCTTTATATTTTTTATAAATCAGGGGTTTAAACTTTAAGCAATATAAAACATGCACTTTTACCATATTTTTGTTTTCTAAGAATTTTACCAAAAACTCCCATATGAACTTCATGAGGGGTGAATGAACTCAATAAAGGGTGGTGAAAGGGGAAATTGATCTCACTCCCTCCAGAAGTTTGACTCTTTTACTTTTGCATCTTGGGAAAACAGGCAATAAACATGACTTTTCTTTGTTAGTAGCTGGACTGGGCCAAAATCGTCTGTGTAGGTATTTTAGGAATTTAGACAATGTACTCCATACATTAGTATGCATTATTTACACATGAAACCTGGACCAAGGAGACATACACACCCATTGGGATCTTGCAGCAAATCTACTGCTTCTCTCAGCTGCTCGATCATTGCTATATCCATGTCCTGATCTTTGGATGAACTTATTCTGTAACGTGAAACCAAGCATAAGAATGAAAACGATCAATACAACATGAATATCATCTAATTTCTTAAAAAGCAAACTTACAAAAATCCATCTAACATATGAAAATGATTTCGACAGATTCAGTGTTATGGTGAAAATGTGTTTGTACCTTGTGGGGTGGGATGGCAGAGCACGGTGGGAAGAGCCCGAGTAGGGGAAGCCCAGCTCTGCTGTAAAGCAGCTCACATAAGATTTTCATGCCTGTGCACCCCTAACTGCCCCTGTGCACAGTCAGGCAATGGCCTAGATGAGAGGCTTTCACCGTTGTGCTTTACTGAGTTCTAGGGGGCTGCATGGAGGGGATCACCTGGCTGAGTCTGTACTACTTCTGGGCCTTCCAACTCCCGTTCAACCAGTTTTATTACTTTCATGCATATAGGGTTTCAGTGTGGGACAGTGGTTCTCAGTCCAAACTCTAGATGCAGCAAAATCATCTGTGGAGCTTAAAAAACATGCCAGGCCCTATATGTCCAAGTGGGTCTGACTAGGAGTTCAGCATTTTATAAAGCTCTACAGATAATCCTTTACAGCCAGGGTTGAAAGCACTAGGTATGAGATTGAGAATGGAGTTTCCAAACCGTTATATAGTTTAAAAACAAGTGCCTCTTTCCCTATGATTCTCTGATTGTTTAATCAAGCTAGGCCTCCGTGGCTCTCAGCAGCATATCCAGTGAGTAGCTGGTAATACAGACCGTGACCAGAGAGGAACTTTCCAACGTTTTTAAAGGGCAAGAGAGATTTGATCACAGCAAGCCCTTCCCACCATAGAATGTAAGCCAATGACTTTCTGTAAGGAGAAAAGTTTTAACAATGGGATAAATCCTCACTAAGAAGAAAAACCCTGCAAGGTATGATGGAGAGTCAACACCTGCCTCCCAGATTATAGAAATAAAAATCCTGGGAACAAAAACTATACTCTATGTCACACAGTCCAAACTCAATTCCCCTGGACATGATTCATTGTCTGATGGGATCACACACCCCCTCCCCTGTAAATCTTGCTAAATAAATATTTATACACAATAGAGTAGAAGGATTATCTGTCTGGTACAAGATTCCTTGGGTTCAAATGCTGGCCCTCTGTGACCTTGCGGCAAGATAATCAATCTCTCTGTGCCTCAGTTTCGTCATCTGTGAAATGCGGGACAAGAACAGAACTTATCTGTTAGGAGTGTTGTAAAGATGAAATGAGTTATGGCCTGTCAAGTATTTAGGACAATGCCTGGCACATGATGTTGAATAAATGGTAGCTCTGGCAGTTAGAAGTCTTGGGACCAGAAGTCTACGGTGTTCTCAGATCTTGAAGGGGATGACTTGGGGTAAAGAAGGAGATCAGCGCTACAGATCACTTCAGGCCCAGCTGTTGGCTTCTTCAGGCAATTGTATGGATGGTAGAACCTCCAATCTAGAAATTCTAGCTAATTCTCTGAAATCACATTACTACCCGCAACCTCAAAACAAATAAGACTCAAGGCCAAGTAAGAGGTTTGTACTGCCCAATACCACGACAAAAAGCATCAGACAGAGAAAAACTGGCAACTTCTTATCAATATTGTCTGTAAGAATATCAGCTTGCCCACAGAAAAGCAGGTCAAAATTCTATCACAACAGAACTGCCAGACTGCTTGCAAAGTGGATTTGAGTGATGATGGCTTGTAACCAAGGCCTCGGCACTCACATGCCCTCAGTTTGCCAGTGCACATCCTCTTCTATCCGTAACAGCTCTTCACAGTCTTCTGCCCTTGCCTGTGGACAAAACACACAGGGTTCCTGAAAACCATTGGCTACTCAGTAGTCAGGAGCCAAAACCTGCCCAGCCCATGTTTATAACAGCGTTATTCACAATAGCCAAAAGCTGGAAACAAGCCAAACAGCCATCTATGGAGGGACAGATAAACAAATCTGGTATGTACATGCACTAGAATATTACTCAGCCTTAGAAAGGGGGAAATTCTCATGCATGCCATACACACAGATAAACCTGGAGGACATTATGCTACGTGCAATAAGCCAGTCACAAAAATACAAATACTGTACTGATTACACTTATATGAGGTGTCTACAGTAATCAAATTCATCCAGACAGAAAGCAGAATGCTTGCTGCCAGGGGCTGCCGGGAAGGAACGAGGGAGTTGTTATTTAAAGGGTACACAGGGTCAGTTTTGCAAGTGAGAAGAGTTCTGGAGATAGGCTGCACAACGTAAATGTAGTTAAAACACTCTGAACTACATGTACATTTAAAAAATGGCTAAGGTGTACATTTTGTAAGTATTTTCCCATAATTAAACATTTTTAAATTTAAAAAAATGTGGCCCAAGACCACAGCATCTGTTAACTTATCATCAGAAATTTAAAGCTTTACTGGATTTCCTATTGCCCTTTTAGCACCTTCTTGTATTGAGAGATCCCTCTCCTGTGCTTGTGGGTCACCTGTGAAGATGCATCCTAGTGTTTGTGAGAGCAGGGATGTGTGTTTAAGTGTGAGTGTGCACGCATATGTGTGTAGTGGGGAAAAGAGAAAGTGTAACATTCTTAACAACAGAAAAGTGCTTCTGATTGCATCTAATAGTTTTCACGTGTACAACATCCAGAATCACTCAAATGTTCTCCCTGCACTGTCACCCCACTTTTTCCCAAAGCGGCAATGTAGTGACACTGGCTATTTGGAAAGTCATGTACCACCATGAGCCTTCCACAGGCCTCCTTGCACGTTCATCTCTGACACAGAGAAACGCTGCTTTAACCCAGCTCATGGCTAGAATGAAAGCCAGCCTGAATAGGGCCACATTTCCCTAGCTAGGAGAGAACACCAGCCAAAAGGACCATTTTTGGTGTCAAGGTTCTGGCATATCATTAGCTAACTGGGGACCAGCCAGTCCTCCAGATGTGTTGTTAGGACAAGACTTTTCCCAAGGACATGGCTAGCTGCCCAATGCTGGACTCTGGCTGGGAACACACTTGGACTTTTTCTGTAGTGATTATACTTTTCATGTACAATACAGTCAACGTATAAAAGACTGTGCCACTCTCCACACTCCAAATGACAGAAAAATTCATGGGTAAAAATATACTACCAGAAATGACCAAGACAACGTGTTCTTACTTCGTTTTGTTGGGTTTCAATGATAGAAGCAAAGGGTATTTCTTTTTATTTTTTTGTTTCACAACTAAAAGTAGCCAATAGTATAAAATGTCTCTTTTTTTCATTAGGCAAAACAGGCGTACTGGGTTGCTTTTGCTAAGCTAAATGGTTTTACAGTTGATCCTCATTATCTGTGGATTCTGCATTTGTGAATTTGCCTATTCACCAACATGTATTTTTAGTCCCAAAACCAGTATTCGTGGTGCTCTGGAGGTCATCTGCAGACATCTACAGAGTGGTAAAAAATTTGAGTCCCAGGATGTGTATGTTCCCAGATGAGGTGGAACAAGGTGACACTCTGCTTTCTTCTTTCAGCTCTCTTATTGTAAATAAGTGTCCTTTTTCACAGTCTAGTTAGTGCCATGTTTTCACACTGTTGTGTTTTTTGTTGGTGATTTCACTTTAAAATGGCCCCAGACATAGTACTGAAGTGCTGCCTTGTGTTCAGAAGCCCAAGGAAGTTGTGATATGCCTTACAGAGGACAATACGTGTGTTAGACAAGCTTCCTTCGGGCATGAGTTACAGTGCTGTTGGTTGTAATGTTCATCAATCAATATATGTTAAATAAGGTATGGTTGTAATGTTCATCAAAACAATATATATTAAATAAGGTATCTTTAAACAGAAATACACACACACCAAGGTTGTGTGCTGATTGGTTGACAAAAACGTTGTGAGCAGAGGGTGCAGGAACCCAGCCCTCTATTTCCCCAGTGAGTTAGGGCTCAGTATTGGATAATTCGATATGCACAGTGATGTCACACAACATAACTGCTGTGAATAATGAAAATTGACTGTGGTTGCAAAGGTCCAAGATGCTTATTCAGTAAAGAAAACAGGATTATGTAAAGCATAGAACTCTGTTTTTCTGAGAAAGGGTCTCACTCTTTCACCCAGGCTGGAGTGCAGTGGTGCAGTCATGGCTCACTGAAGACTCACTCTCCCAAGCTCAAGTGATCTTCCCTCCTCAGTGTCCTGAGTAGCTGAGACTCAAGGAGCACACCACCACACCCAGCTAGCTTTTGTTTTTTTGTAGAGATGGAATCTTAGTATGTTGCCCAGGCTGATCTTGAACTCCTGGGCTCAAGTGATCCTCCTGCCTCAGCCTCCCAAAGTGGGGGATTACAGGTGTGATTCACTCCGCCAGGCCAAGCACAGGTTGAAAGACTTAAAGTTGATGGATATCAAGCCTAATACGGGCCTGATTTTCAAGCACAATTTTTCCTTAACTTGTTGTAGATGTTCATTTTATCATTAACATTTTTCTTTTGATTTTCCAAGAGAAGTATCTTCCAGAAAGCCTTTGCCAAGTTGACTTCCACACGCCTATCTGCTCCTCTAGTTTCCATCTACAGGACCCATTCTGTAGGGCAGCCATTTCCAGGAAGTCCTTGAAATCTCTGAATCCAGGGAAATTTGCTTTCCTGAAACAATACGCTTTATTCTTACTAACTGCTTTGTTTCCTCTAGAACTTAAATATTGATATCTTCTTAACACATTCTTCAGGGTTTCCATCTTTACCTTAGATTCTTAACTTAAGATGAATGCTCGATATACTCCAATTTTCACATTTTCATGGAAGAATCGTCCCACAGAGCTGATAGATAGGGTCTAATCTGGGGAAGCCTTGTAGAACCAGTGGCCTGAGAGGAATGTCATTAGATTTGCACTTTAGAAAAATGTTTGGTGGCAGAATATAAAGAGTGTGTGTGTGTGTGTGTGTGTGTGTGTGTGTGTGTGTACACACATGCATGCATGCACGCGGGTGCAGCATTGGGTAAGAAGTGGAGTGGGCGGGGTGGTGCCTGAAGTAATCAAAGTGAGAAACTATGAGGCTCAAATGAAGCAATGTCAATGGAGACAGGGGACAGAAACAAGGCAATGGGTGTGACCTATTTTAAAACAAGGATGTATGGATTAATGACATTAAATATAGCAAGTAAAGAGTTAAGACTGTGTTTTATCCTTCTACACAACTTCTGTAATCTATAAACATATGTCACGTTCATTATTTTTATCTGGAGGCCATAAACATGTCCTGAGCACACGAAGGTCTCCTACAGTGTAAAATTCAGCTGTTTTCCTCTCCATTTCCTTGAAGGTGATGCCCAGAGATGTTAATTTAGGCTGGGTCCAGCCATCAGGACACAATGCTCAGAAAATAAAGATGAGTACTTAGGGATCCCATTCTTGGCTTCAACATAATAACTCAGAAGTTACCTCGAAGCCACAGTGAATCTGAATTTTACAAAAACAATAATCTTTATGATTCTTGGGCACCACAACCTGAACCAAAAGGGCTGGCAGAAACATACCAAGCACCTAATCGGGTTGTGAAGTAGAACCTTCAGTATCTGCTTCAGTAAAGGGCTAATTTTTCTTTCCTCCCTTTGTTGCTGCCAAGATGAAGGTTTTCCTGACAACTCGGCAACTTCACCTGTCCTTTCAATGCCTCGGGGCACCTACAAAAGTTCAGGAATAAGTGTCCTCAGAGAGATCTTTCCAAAAAGGAAAGACATTCATTTATCAATTTTAAAAGTCTCCACTTTTGTCTTCACACTATAAATATACTCCCAAGAAAAGGATTTACCTAGAACATGTTGAAAAGAATGTGAAACTATTTCAGCTTTTACTGCGTGGCAATGGTCACACTAATGAGTTTGCTAATTTGTACGATGCACTGAGTAGCGGAAAGAAAATCAGATCCATAAACAGACAAATGGAGAGGCACACAGGGCAGGGACCAGCTCCTCACATCAGCAAATAGACACGCTGAGCGCTGAGATGTTTGGAACGCTTCAGGGAGGGTGCAGCAAGCTGGACATTGAAGGGGATGGATTGGCAACCTTCAACTTAAATTGTACGGTGCCAAACAGAAGGAAATAAGTAAAAAAACGTAGTTGATCCTGAAAATCTTGCCTTATAGTTCATAAATTCCGAATGGAGACCATCTGCTCTATCAGTAAACTGGTCTCTTTCTTCTCCTGAGTTGGTGCTGTCACCCAAAAGGGAAGGCTCCGGTTGAAATTCCTGATGAAATTCCCCTATTAGGAAAATATAGAGAGATGGAAAGCATGATTTCATGAACAGAAGAGCAAAACACAGCTGATCTTCAAATATGATCTAATCACTTCAAGTCTTCTGTGTTCCCTATGAAGAAGGTATATGAAAAACCCAAGTTTTCTCTTCCCTGCAGGGAGGAAAAGATAAAAATAAAATAACCCCAGAAAGCCCCAAACTGAGCTTAAAAAGTCAAGGCCTCTCTGGGCTCAGTTCCCTATGAGAAAAATTAGATTTTCTCTTACTTTTTTAAGGAATGGAGAAAAGAAAGTATAAAAGAGGCTTTTTTGCCCTCAGTAATATGTTACTATGTATTTCATATTTAAAATCCAACAAATATTGAGCAGCTACTAAATGGCAGGTATTATGCTAAACATTTTAGGGATTAAAAAATCAGCCAAATCTGACTCCTGTCCTTAAACAGCAAATAATCTCAAGGAAGAATGTGGGAGGGGAACTAGGCAAGAGCCCCAAATCATAACAGCAAAAGAAGTGTCTACAAGAAGGGCCACACAGAGGTGACAGCATGCCCAGATGTGGCACTTCCACCTAGAATGTGTTCCAGGGGAGGTGGGGGAGCAAAAGGAACACCCTGCAGAACTCTTCCAACTGTTCTGAAGATGAAAAAGAACCATACTGGGCCACCCTTTAAACACTCTGAGCCAATGCAATACCCACATCTAGACGAGAGGGGGAACACCCACTAGTAACAAATTACATAATTCTTTTATTTGAAAAATTTGCCTAAAATACTACCTCCTACAGTGTATAATATTACTAACTTTATATGAATTAATAAAGTGGCAGTTATATTTGTATATAAAGCATACAGCTATGTTTTTAGACAACATATGGTTCCCATGATAATCTCAGGTAAACAGAAATGCTAAACTTAAAAACCGAAGTGTAAGAAGTGAAAGCCAACACTAAGGTTTGAGTGAACTTAAACAGCTCTCCTATCATGAATAAGAGCAAATTCCAACTATTTATGAGAAGATCTGTATATTAATCCAGTTCTGCACTATTTATACACTGTGAAACAGTCTCTGCCACAAATGAGTAAAACTAAATGCTTGTATTTTCCTTAAAAGTCATGGGGAAACAGGGGCAATCAAAAAATCGCCTTAATGTTACCCAATGAGGGCTTCCAACCAAGATATGAAACGTATTACAAGGATCTTGAAGGCACACAAGACAGTGTTTAGTGGTCATTTGATGATTATTAAAGAGCCACAGAATTTTCAAGCTACACTGGACCTTTGGTATTACCTAATCTAATCATCTCATGTACAGGTGAGGGAATCAAGGTCACCTGACTGGGCCAAAGTCAAGTAGCTTCTTGAACACACACCTCAACTACATTTCCCACCCTCATGTGCAGTGCGATGTGGCCATGGGATGAAGTCTAGCTTATCAGTGATGGGCACTCCTTCCAGACCCAGTCCATAAAAACCTCCCACGAGCAAACCTCCACGCTCTTCTTCTGGCTTAAAACAGATGGACATGAAAGTTTTGGAAGGCCTGTGTTAAAGATGATGGAGTCATGGTATGAAAGGAGCTTGGGTCCTTAAATCAATACTCAGAGGGGAGTTGTCTGCCAATCACTAACTCCATTTGAACTTAATTTGGATTGTGTTGAGCCACAGAGATTTGGGAATCTATGTTACGGCAGCTAGAGTTTTCCTAACTAATATATCTATCATATCAATATTTTCTTTCCAAGAATGGATTTAAAGAATTAGCCGGGCATGGTGGCAGGTGCCTGTAATCCCAGCTACTCGGGAGGCTGAGGCAGGAGAACCCCTTGAACCCAGGAGGCGGAGGTTGCGGTGAGCCAAGATCACGCCACTGCACTCCATCCAGCCTGGGAGACAGAGCGAGACTCCATGTCAAAAAAAAAAAAAAAAAAAGAATTTTATCTAAGTCTTCAGAATGAGATTAGTTCTACTATGTACCGTAGGAAGTAGTACTACACACACATCAGCTATGTGACCAATGGCAAGTTACTTAAACTCTCTGAGTCTTGGTTTTCTCACCTATAAAATGGAGATGATTAGAGTATCCATCTTTGACTTTTAAATTTTAAATCAGCTCAACTTCCCAGAAGAACACAGTACCTGGTACATAGGACATACTCTAGAAAGATTATCACTGCCCTATCTGTGCACAGGTTATTTTAAACATAACATTTGAAACTGAAAAACAAGCACTTTCTCCACATTTTTATTCTCAGACCTTTAACGGGGCTAAGGCGATGGCACGAGTCCTCCTTGATGATCTGTTCTTCTTCCATGATGTTTGACATTGGCACATTGAGGCTAACAGTGTCTTCGTCAGAAGGCTAAAAAGATACAGTGCACTGTTTAACTCAAGAGAAGTGTTATCAATGTAGATAAGGAGAATGCTATGTAATAAAACAACATCCTGTGATTCTCACAAATATCATATTGAATATAAGTTGCCAGATACAAAGGTCAATTCCACTTATGTAAGTTCAAAAAATGCAAAACTAATCCATGGTATTTAAAATTAGGAAGAGGTTATTCTTGGGGTCGGGGTGGGGCTTTCTGGGGTGCTGGTAAAGTTCTGTTTCTTGAACTGGAAGCTGGTTATACGGGTGTGTTCACATTGTGAAAATTCATGGAGCTAACACTTATGGGCTTCTCTGTGTTTTCTTCTCTCTGTTTTAAGCTGAAATCTTGTCAGGTACTGATACACAGTTTGGATGTATGTCCCCTCCAAATCTCATGTTGAAATGTAATCCCCAATGCTGGAGGTGGGGCCTGGTGGAAAGTGTTTGGGTTTTGGGGGTGGATACCTCAAGAAGGGTCTATGCAGTTCTTGCTATGCGTTCATGTGAGATCTGGTTGTTTGAAAGTACATGGCATCAGCCAGGCGTGGTGGCTCACACCTGTAATCCCAGCACTTTGGGAGGCTGAGGCAGGTGGATCACAAGATCAAGAGATCGAGACCATCCTGGCCAACATGGTGAAACCCCATCTCTACTAAAAATACAAAAATTAGCTGGGCGTGGTGGCACACACCTATAGTCCTAGCTATAAGGGAGGCTGAGGCAGGAGAATCACTTGAACCCGGGAGGCAGAGGTTGCAGTGAGCCAAGATCGCGCCACTGCACTCCAGCCTGGCAAGAGAACAAGACTCCGTCTTAAAAAAACAAAAAAAAGTGCATGGCACCTCCTCCGTTGCTCTCCCCCAACCTCGTTGCTTTCTTGCTCTGGCTGTCACCATGTGACAGGAGGCACTCCCTTCACCTTCAACCCTGAGGCCCTTGCCAGTAGCAGTTGCTGGTCACATGCTTTGTGTACAGCCTGCAGAACTGTAAGCCAACTAAACCTCTTTTCTTTATAAATTATCGACCCTCGGGCATTTCTTTATAGCAACACAAGAATGAACTAATACGGGTGCCTGTTTTATTTCTCTGTTTTAGGCTGAGGAAGCTGCATCACATATATAAAAATGCTAAACAACTGTAGTAGTTAAAAAGAACTGCTCTGTGTGATTTTTGGAAGAAAGCTTCGGCTTTAATAATTGGATTAGTTCTCTCTGAGGGCTTCCTTTCCCACAGTAGCTGATGACGTTTATTCAGAAAACCTATGATTCTGAAATATGGAGCCTGGTTTATTTTCCTATGTCTCCATTTTACTGTTGCTACTTAGGAAATAGCTTTCCAAATCTCAAAAATCAGGAACCTCCACAAAACACATTTCAGGAGATTGTGGCTTGCTCCTAAGTTCTTGAGGTATGGTTTTCAGAGTCTGTCCTTGTTTACTTTTGGACATATGCACAGATTGTTTAGAAACTGGCAGAAATTAGGCATGCATTTCATTCATTCAACAAATATTCATAGAGCTCCACACTTTCCTGTTTATCTTGATAAAAAGATGTTTTTAATCTCTCAGTGACAAATGCTAAATCAATCAATGGCAGCAGCCAAAGAAAAAGAATGAGGTGTGATCCCTGAACCCCACAATGTCATCTAAATGGGAAGTAAGATCACCTGATCATAGATGGTAAAATCTTTGCCAAACCAAGTGAAAATAGGAAGCTATGTAAGATAATTTGGAACACTTATCACTCTAAAAAATAAATTTCTTGGAGGTGTACTTAGGAAAGGAGGCTGTAATATAAGACAAGGAAAGGCCAAAGGCAAGATGTGTGCATTTCATTCTGTTGAATATAATCTTTTCTGTATTCCCTTCTCTTTCTACCCACCTCTCATCTTAAAAATTTAGCAAAATTCCAAAGATATGCATCTAATTAAAAGGCACAGAATAAATCCTTGGGCTCCTTTTAGAATGATATTAGCATCCTACTTATGCTTAAGTGACAACAAAAGGATAATGAAGTTCTTTATGTAATGTTTTATTAATGAGTTTAATTAGCCTTAGAAGAGAGATAAAGCAGAGTCTGTTTAATTTAACAGAAAATATACTTAGGGTGAGTAATTTCTGAAACAATGGTCCATTTGCGAGGACTTAGGAGTTGAAGAGGATGAATTAAAATGCAACTAAAGCAATGTGTTTAGTATCCCCTCTCTCCCACTGAAGCACGGTAAACTATTCATGTGCCTTCCTATGGGTTATTTTCTTTTATTGACACTGGCCTTCTCTGCCTACTAACTCTTCTTCTTTTCAAAATGCTCTATATTAGAAGGATTTTTAAAGATAAAGAATCCCACTTTTTAATATACTGCTATATAGAGTATTTTGTGAAAAATAAATTCAAATACCTTAGCTACCTATTAAAATTCAACGACTTGAGGAGAATTGGAGAAAGGTTTTTTTCCTGGAGTCATACATAGAAAAAAATGTGAGTTTCTTTGATGGGGTGACTGGCCTATTAACTGCAATTTCACAGTATTATAATGTTAACTTAGTAACTACAGAAAGTAACTTCCCTCAAAAAAAGAAGAGCACCTGATACTTTTCCTACCACTCCTTTCTAGATCCCTGAGGCCAAGAAGCTCCATTTAATGATACATTAGTGTTAGATTTTGGGGACTCTAATAGACTACATGTGAGATAATAAATCAGTTATCAAAGCATGATTTATAACCACTATAGGAAGTTCTAATGTGTGAGGCCTGTTAGCTTGCAAGTAACCAAACTTGTATCCAATTAACTGAACAGAACAGAACAGAACACAATCTAAGAGTCTGAGGAAAACAAACATTGTTATAAAAACTATAGCTACTCATAAATGCATTTCCTGTGGATCAACTATTAAAATAAAATGTACAGTTGATTCCTTAACATTTACGCATATGTATAACAATGTTTTTCTAAATTACTCTATTACTGAAAAATAAGCGTATGTATAAAAGTGCTTCACGGGCACTTGCGTACTACTTAGCCATTTTGTAATATTTATTGAGCACTCAATAATATTTTAGATAATGTGTAGGAGAGGAGAAGATACAGACTCCACTCTTGAGGCATTTACAAAATATTAAAGATATTAAAGATGCAGAATAAGTAACAACAGCTAATATTTATATAACACTTCGAGGATTTCAAATCACATGAATATACAAATCACTTTTACGAATATCACATGAATATACAAATGAATCGATGCCCTTTAACAGAAAGGAGTTCAATGAACACTGGTAGATATGTCTAGAAGTACAGAAGGAAAAGAATCTGATCACTAACTTTACCTCGGTGGCAGATAATCGCTTATCTCCATTATCACTTCCAACTCCCGAATCAGAATCCTTCTTGCTGAGATAGATGCCATCAATATTGAATTCATTTAAAAAAGATTAAAATCACAAAGTTCACACCAAGAAACATCAATTTATATTCTAATAATAATTTTGCTACGCAAATTTTTATTATTACCATAAGGCAACAAATCAGTCTAGTATTAAAGAATATTAAGACATGGACCTAATGAAAATCAGACAGTAGCACAGTCTAAACACAGGATAAGATAAAATTCTTTGTGTTCGGGGTTTCATGGATTTATGCTCTAATCAAGTGGCTTGCTCTTAGATGTCAAGGTGTTTCTTAAAAATAGTTACCAATGTTCTTATTTTACTGCATCTAGCATATAAAAAATTAATAAACCACATAACTGCTTTTACCCCTTATGTTATGAAATGTGGTTACTTTCAATAATTCTGTAAATTTTTATCCAGGGATTAAGTACATAAAACAGTGTACATATTTTAAGCATTATATAAAAGTAACATTAGAGTAGTCCAAAATTTTAAATTTACTTATGTAGCAAAAAGTGAAGGAAAAGATTTCTGCAGTGAAGACTTCTTAAAAAGAACCTGCATTTCTATAACTGTGTTCAGTGTGAGAATGTTGTTTTTTGGAAGCTCAAGGCTTGATTTATGCCACAAGAAGCTCTAGGATGTGTGAAAGGGTTCTAACTTTTCCATTTGAAACAGGAAGTGGCGACAAAACTACACATACTGCATTTTTAAAAGACCAAAAATAAAGCCTTCATTTTTTTCTTAACATTGTTCTGGAGGCATATTCAACATTAATAATTGCTAAAAAGGCATGTCTGGGCTCAATATAGTTATTTTGATAAGTAAAAAATATTCACATTTGTATTCTAGATCTTATTTATAAGTATGCACATATTTACTCAGGAAGAACTGATTATTGATTAGGAGACAGATGATATTTGAGATATACCAAAATATTCTCAATAGCAGCAGTTTTTTCTTTCATATCCCAATAGTTTCTCAACTTCTTGTTTTAAATACAAATTAGGTGATTAAACCAAATTGTTCTGTTTTGCTTTGTTTTCTGCAGATACCATGGTGACTTAAAACAAACAGATTTTGAAGTCAGCTACCTGGAGGGCCTTGGCCTAGGCAAATTTTAAACTGGGGCTTTGAATGAGGGCATGACTCACCCATCTTCCACGTGCTGGTGTAAATGTGGCCTCTCCATGGTGTGGAGATAAAGGGAGTCAGCTGTCTTAATCTGGCATGCTTGTATGCTCAGATACTTAAATATGTGAACTTTGCCCTTTGTGCAAATCTACAAAGAAATTAATAGCAATCATATTCATTTTTCAATGACAAAACAAAATGTAAGTATCAAATCCTTACTCTGTATATTTCAATTTTCCCAGTTTCATTTTAAGTAACACCCTACCAATGTACACTAAATCCGTCCTTTCCAAAACATGTAAGAATTTTGGGAATCATTCCCTCCAAATTCTACTTTGAATAGAAAATCATGCTTAAGCAATTTCCCATTTTTTCTTGCATTAAACTATAAAACTCTAACAAAAATGTATTCAAGTATATATAGTATAAAAAATATAAACTCAGATGACCAGCCTGGTGAAATTCCAGTTACAAAAGATGAGAAAAGCACAATTATTTTCGAGCTGATAGAAAGCAATTCAGAGCCTAAAAATAATTGTAGATTTAAGAAGCTGTTAAATTATTTAAAAAGAAAATAAACTTCAAAATATTTACATGGTTAAGCATCTGAAAGCATAGCACTTCATTTTTCTCTCATGCAGTTTAACATTTGAGCTGGAGACTTGTCTCTAAATAATCAATAACCATGTTTTAAGGTGTTTAAATTCCATTTTCCAGCTAACATTCAAATAAGGAATATATGGTTGGGAGCAGTGGCTCACGCCTGTAATACCAGTATTTTGGGAGGCCAAGGCGGGCAGATCCCTGGGGGTCAGGAATTAGAGAGCAGCCTGGCCAACATGGTGAAATCTCGTCTCTACTAAAAATACAAAAACTATCCAGGTGTGGTGGCAGGCGCCTGTAGTCCCAGCTACTCAGGAGGCTGAGGCAGGAGAATCACTTGATCCTGGGAGGCAGAGGCTGCAGTAAGCCAAGATCACACCTCTGCACTCCAGCCTGGGCGACAGAGCGAGACTCTGTCTCAAAAAAAAAAAAAAAAAAAAAAAATCAATATACTCCATGAAACAAATTCAAATAAAATGATAAATAATAAGACATTTAATTCTGGAGTTGGAGTGATTAGCATAGTGAGCCAAGTGCTGGTGAATGGATTTGATGCAATGGAAGACAATTTATTGTTTCTCACATTCACTCAAGGGTTCACTGTGACTGTTTATAATCAAGTTTTATTCAGTATTATTCTCTTCAGCAGAGAATCAGAAAACTGGCCTTTGGAGAGTTGCTTAAGCATGATTGATAGCATTGGGAATCAGAAAACAATACCCCAAAATGAAGGTCTCAGAAGCAAAAGTTTTTCTCTGACCTCTCCTGCCCTCCTGCCCCTCGGTCCCATTCTCCCAAGGAAGGGAGCCTTACAAATTTGAATCTTCCCCAAAGCTGGTCATAGAAACCAAAACCCCTTTAAAACCTCAAAATATTACTGGAACTTTCCCTCGGCCTTTCTGTGTAAAAACTGGCCATAAAGAAATGATCTGACTTCTCTTGTTTGACAGTAGGCCATAAGACCCCCCATCGCAAAGAGGGTCCTGCCCCACGCCCAGAAGGAAGGAATGATCCTCAGAGAGCCCAAGAAGAATCCAGACAAACAGGCCCTGCTGGGTTTCCTCACTCAGTCTATTAACATGAGATCATACTCTTTTTGTCCAATCATATTTCTACATGGCTGTCCATACTTTGTAAGCATAAAAATGGACAATTTCCCCTGTATCTTTGGGTCTTCACTCTGGAGGCTTCCACGTACATGTTAATAAATTTTGATGCCTTTTCTCCAATTAATCTGCCGCTTGCCAGTGATTAGTGATTTTCAGCAAACTTTCAGAGGGTGAAGGGGAAATTTTCCCTTGGCTCCTATAACAGCACATCCCATGGGGCATTGGCTTTGCTGCAAGACCCCTCACCTGTGCTGGAGGAGACTGCAGAGGGTTATTCTCAAGTAGTAACACTTGCAGCTGCTTCATCTCTCTAAAACAAATTGGAATCACGAGCACTTTGTTGCAGGAAAAGTCAAACTTTACCAAGGAAAGATCTACTAGTTCTAAAATAATAGAAAAAAGAAAAAAAGAAAGAAAAAACCTTAGAAATCAATAAGATTAAATGGCTAATCATTCAAAAATTAATGTTCTGCTTCTCAGGAAAAATACAATTGAGTATAATCAAAGGCAAGTTGTACATTAGGAATACATGGTGTGTGTACATAACATTTTACCAAAAGAGGGAAAATCTTTTATTGCATGCCCCAAAGTTTTAAATTGTTGTTAGTTCTGATAAAAACTGGAAACACTTAACATTTACAATATCTATTGTTTAAAAATACTTTTTTTTTTCAGCAAAAGAATCACGCAAGCCACATCACACAGGACATGTTTATGTTTTAACTTCAAACTGTTTCCCAGTAGCACTCGCTAGCCCATGAGTAATACGTTAATTACAGAATATTCTTATCTAATCAATGTATTTGGGCTGGCATTATCCCAGAACTAGCTACACTAAATATATTCATGAGTTTTTCAACTGCATTTTAAAAAATAAATGTTATCCAATTCAGAATTTTCCGACAGGCCCTGTAATTCTGGTATGATGAGACTTTATTCTACAGCTTTTAAAAAGTCTTCTGTAGCTCCACTCAGAAGACAGAACATTACATTTAGCTTAAAATCCCCACCCAGTGGCACAGTAGACACTAAGTAATTTCAAGCATTCAAAACGACACTGGCAGCTGCTAGGAATAAAGTCAAATATATTCCATAGAGCAGAGAGGCTGGGCCACGCCAGACATCTAGGGTGATGCAGGCAAGCCACTGAGATCTCTGTGTGAGGGGCTATGAAGGGTTCACTCCAGAACGAGGCCTCGGAACTTTTGTTATGGGATCTGTTAAGGGATGGAATATTGCGCTTTAAAACACTCAAGGAATTCTAAAGTGGACGAAGGGCAAGAATTAGACAAAGAAGAGTAACTGAAGACACTGACCTGGAGTAAAAATTCACACTATTTCTCCTCTACCCCTACACTGCTCTTCAGTCTTCACTTTACTCAGCTACGTTATGTCAAATTCCAGCAGGAAAAGATTCTAGTAACCAGTACCTCTCTCAGAATTCAAGGCACTCTGGGAATGTAAGGGACTGTGTTTTTTAAATTGCCCTGAGTAGTTAGTTCATTGCTCAACCCAGCTTGTCTCCCCTCTGGCAGGATAAGGGATTGACCTCAGGCCACACTAATCCTGGAGGACCCTGGAATCATGAAAGTGAAACAATAGGAAAAGCAAGATCCCCTTTCACCTCACAGCTTGTTTGTAAGATGATAAGAATTATGAAGATTCCATGATAAGAGGAACACCTCCTAGCTGTTTCCCCTAGCAATATCAACCTATCTCCGAGATGGTTAATTAAAGTTAGCTTAGCAAATCACTGGAAAAATTTAACTGGACTCTGGATCTTTAGCAATTCTTTGCCACTTAAAATGAAGACTTCAAAGCAAGACTAGAGGGCTAAGTTCATGGAAAACATAGCAGGAGAAAACTTACAGGTAAATAAAATAAGTGAAGGTTTTATAATGACCATTTCTTTTCTAGTTCCAGTTTGGGACACAATTGCCATCATAGTTCAGGAAAACAGGAACCAGACAGTTTCACAACAATAAAACGAAGGAGAAAATGATAATTTTGCAACACCAGCCCAGGAAAGGTAAAAAAAAAAGTGGAGTAGAGAAAGGGAGTAAGAAAAAAAAGAAGCAGAAGAACAAATCCCACTCTCTCTCCCCACTGCTAAGAGAGGCAATGAATGGCTATTTTAATCCCCTCTTCATTCTAGTCCTAGAAAGAATAAAATATGGTCTTCTTATTGCAGTTGTTGTAGTAAAACCACCACAAAACTGATATGAGTAATCAGACCACAATTTTGGTGTTTTCTTTTTTCATCCTCAAATTGAAAGCATACGAGGAGGGGTATCCAAAGAGGAAAAACATATAAGTAAATAGGGAAAGTCTTTACAGTCACTGACTGAAAGTATTTTCAATGGTCTTTTGTCAATAGAGTTCTCCAGAGGGAAGCAAAAAGGAACTTGATATTGAGGAAGTTATTTTTTTAAGAAATTTCCAGTAAACTGAAGTTTTAGCTTTGAGTATATTCTTAAAATATCAAAACTGAGAAAACATAATTATGGAATAACTGATCTTTTTAAGGGAAAGGAATGCTTTTAAGGTAAGAAAATGAGGAACCAGAGAGAGACAAAAATCTAGATTTTGTGAATATACTTTCCACATGTTTCCAGACTATGACAGGCAATTGCAAAATGATCAAATTAATTTTTCCTTTTGAAAATGAGAGTTCAATTATTTAGGACATTTTCACAATGATTAACATGAGAGCTTAAGTTTAAATGAAAGTTTTCTTTAACTCATAAAAGGTTGTATGCATATAAATTTGCTGTTAATAAGCTTTCCTTTTGTGCTTGCTTAAACCAAATACAAGTTTTGTATATCCAAAAAATGAGATTGTACAAGGACAAATTGAAAAATCAATCAATATTTTTCAACCAAGTCATCTCAAGTACTGAAGTAAAAAATGTTGAGTTTCTAACTCTGCTTCTCTAAAATGCTAGTCAGTATGAGAAAGGTGAAAGATGGCAAGCGGACTTGAACCTCCCATCTATAAAGCACATTACCTTTTGCAAAGTTCTTTCCCTTTCATGAGCTCCATTTTCTTGCCTTATTATGAAGCATTTCAAGCCAAAGATCAAGATGCAGAGACAGGATAATTAAAATCAGGCATCCATAAATTGTTCCATTAATGTCAGATTAACCAAATGCTGACTGTTTCCAAGTACTACAGGGTTTTGCTTTGAGAAATATTTTTAAATATATGTTTGAAATCAGCTATGTCTAGAGACTTTAAACAAAAACAGTGGAAATCAATGTAATCTCTGAAAACCAGAGTATGCTTTGGAGAAAGCATTCAGGGTTCCAGGACTCATCCGTTCATTCCTGATCCAGGTCCAAACCCAAACACCAAATGCAGATCCACTACCCCCTATGAGGCTGCTTTCATGCTCTAAATGGTATGCAGTTTCTGAATAAATATACATATCTGCCTTGAACTCAACACACTACTGGACAGACATGCTATGGAAGCCCATGGCTGCAAAGCAGGGCTGTCTGAGGTCTTGGCATTCATGCTGGATGGTTGGGAGCCATGTCTCAATGCTGAGGTTCTGCTGTCACCACTGGTGAAACTTACCAAGACCACCAGTGAGACATTAGTCCAAGTATCACTCCAGCAGAGGCAGCACCCTCACCTCAGAACAGATTCTAGACACTGGGAGTTCCCAACCAGTGCTCCCAGATCCCCAAGGCTAGAAATCCTGACAGACAGGATCTGTAGAACAAAGTATGTCCCCGAAATTTCACGTTCCAAAACGTCACATACCCATACCCAAAACAATTCATGTCACCCCTTGTGACGGGCTGGCTTGAGTCCTTCCAAAATTCATATATTGAAGTCCTAACCTCTATTACCTCAGAATGTGACTGTATTTGGAAATAGGGTCTTTAAAAGGGTAATTAAGTTAATTAAAATGAGGTCATGAGGGCAGCTCTAATCCTTGGTGTCCTTGTAAGAAGAGGAGATTAGGACACAGACATGTGCAGAGGGGAGATGACGAGAAGACCCAGGGAGGAGAAGATGCCACCCACAAGCCAAGCTGAGAGGCCTCAGAGGGAACCAACCCTGCTGGCACCTTGATCCCAGGCATCCAGCCTCCAAAATTGTGAGAAGATGAAGTTCTGTTATTTAAGCACCCCATCTGTGGTTCTTTGTTATAGTAGCCCCAGCAAACTAACACACCCACGTCCACCCCCGTGCCCCACAGCATTACCTAGGGGAATGATTTTGTTGCTGTAGCCCTTGACTAGAATCACAGCCTGAACATCACTTTTTTGTTATCTGTATGTGAAATTCAAATCCTAATTAAGTAGTAGGCACACACACACACACACACACACACACACAAAGATCGACCCTCTTCACAAAAGTAAACCCCCCAAAACATAAAATAATGCAAGTCTCCCATTTTCTTCATTTTCCCTCTTTCTTTTTTACCTTGTGGTAAAACTTTAAGGTAATTTCTTCTGACATTCAGTTCTCGTAGAGATTTCAACTGACCTATCTGCTGGGGCAACGCTGTGATCTCGTTGCAGCTGACATCCTGTATCAAAAGCAGAGAGAGAAATAATAAACATCTTTTTCCAGGAAATCAAGCATTTCATGTGAAATCTCCTTAAGGAATTTAAATATTTGGACAACTACACAGGTACACTTTTATATTCATCTCCAGGTCCCTAGCATTAAGACTCAGCACAGAGAAGAGAAAGCTGAACATTTTAAACTCCCTCACAGGAGAGAAAAATGGAGAAAGGGTGGACATTAGTAGCATTCGCCAGCTGCTTCACCAGCCTCTGGCCTGCCACTTTGACATGCTTCGATTTTACTGAATTCTCACCACAAACCCATTGGGCAATATTGCTAGCCTAATATTTACAAATCAAAAAGTGGGGCTCAGAAAAGTTTAGCCAGTCGCCCAAAGCATGCAAGTGCCAGAGTTAACACTAGAAATGAATTACCAGCTCACCGTTTAGCCACTATCCCATCGTGCCTCTAAACAAGACTACAATGCATCTTATTTTACCAAACTCTCACATTTTGCAGTGAAGAACTAGAATATTAATGCAATGTTTGGATGCACTATTTATTTAAAATGGAGTTCTTCACCACAGGCTAGAAATCTTACAGCTGACCACCTTGCCATACACTTCACAAGCAATTCTTGTCTTCTTTGCTTTAGGAAGCAAATACTCAATTAAGCCTTGATTGGAATCCCCTCTTGACACATGAGAAATGGAGGCCTTGACATTTATAATCTTCTATATCCTTAGGATCTCCCTGAATCCCACTCTTCCTCTTGGCTCTGGGAGCCGTGCTGGGCTCTTCACTCCCCCACACACCCCCAGCTACTCCTGCAGTGTAGACCAGTGCTCTCTCTTAGCTGGGTGCTATCATGATCTCCTGACTGGTTTCCATACATCAGTCTCCGCCTTGGATGCATCCTTCACAGAGCGGCCAGAGTGCAAATGCCATCATGCTGTTCACCAGCTTAAACACTTGCAGAGGCTCCTCAACAACTATAAAGTCCAAACTGGGCAGTAAGGCCAGTATCTATGATGAGGTCTGTCCATTTCTCCAGCACTTTTTCTCTGAATGTCCCTCCTCACAACCTACACTCCAGCCATGTTACTGCTTCTGGCAGTTTTCAGTATTTCATAATTCCCAAACTTGTTCATGCTCCTTCCCTGCCTGATATGCCAGTCCCCAATATTGTCCTCTTGTCCCACTGACTCATTTTTAAAGACTTAATTCAAGCCTCAACCTCTTTCGTGAAATCTTTCACGAGGCTTCCCCCACCTCTCCCACTCTGATCTAATGCCCAGGGAGACTGACCACTTCTTCTTGTGTGGTCCTTTAGATAGCATGTCACTGTAAGTCATTTGCTCATGGGTTTACATTCCCCTTTAAACCTATGAGCTCCTGGGTGGGAGGGACCATGTCTTATTCATTCCATCCTCCCACTGCCAGGTGGAGTGCCAAGTATAAAGTAAGGGATCAATAAATGTTGGATCAAACTTCTAAAATCCACTTACAGTGACACTCCATAATACTGTGGCTCCTTCTGTCTCCAGGACCCTAGGACCCAGGATGCTCCAACATACATACCAAATCCCATGCAGGTCCCACTTGGCATCACAGAACTAAAGATACAAATGATTCCAGTGAGATCAAGGCCTTAAATATCCCGCTTTACTTTTGAACCTGGAAAAGCTCTCCCCTTTCACCATAGAAGGCAGCAGAGCCTCGTTTCAGAAATCTGTTTCACTTTCATTCAAATAAGATGAACTCATCATCGACCAATCCAGTGAACACCCCCAGGCTCCACATTTAGACCAGGCTGTACACAACACAGTTGATCCCTGCCCTCTAACCTGGTCTCATCTAAAAGGCTTCAGGTGATCTATCAACCTGTCCTCACCAGGACAGTGCTCAATGGATACCACCCGATGAAGAGGAACAGTATCACTCTTGCTAAAAAGGAATGAAGTTGTCCTCTATAAAGGCTGAGTGTGCACAGTGCAGATACCTCCCCAAGCTTCTCTGTACAGCTGTCTGATGGGGGAGGTGGGGTGGCACGGGCTGAGAGCACCGGGTGTTCAGCAGCATCACCCCCAACTGCGGTTGCTCTATCCCTCCTGGCCCAGAAAAGTCACACACAAGTTTGAGAAAAACACTTCCAGTGTTTAAAACAAAAACAGAAACAAACTCCACAAGCACATCTGCAGAGACAAAAACGTCAAAGGAAGTAATTACAGAATTAGGAGGTCCAGAGATCGTGTTCAGTCACTCTCAGCCCCTCGCTGAGTCAGTAAATTGCCCTGCCTTTCCGAATGTATTTCCACATGGGAGAAGAGAACAGTGAAATGCCATCTTTTCCCAATTACGGGGGCCTTTGCTCAGTCACAAGAGCCAACAATCAAATGCTTTCAATGAAAGCTTTCTTTGCCTTAACTAAGTTACAAATAAGCAAAAGGTGCCATTCCATCCTATTTTAAAAGAGTCCTCACACAAATACCACACAGGTGAGTCCTAGAAATGCAGGAAATCAAATCCTTCTATGGAACTCATGACCAGATACAGTCACTTGGGTGATGTTGTTGGCAGGAGAAATGGGCGTGCTCGTGGGGAAGAATTAGAAGGAATTATTTGCCATCTCTAGAGAAAATGGACGTTATTGGCATCTAAAACAAGTTTTTTCAGTCTTGTGAGTGACAGCACGAGAAAGATCCTTATATAAATTATGGAAATCACAGATTTTCAATATGAAACTGACAATTTCCAGAAGCTTCAAAGACATAATTTTTTAAAAATCTTTCTCTGAATAAATAAGGAAGGAGGAGAGGAAAGCAAAAAGATAACAGATACATTTAGGTAGCACGTTATTCACAGCATGAGATGAAACTAAGCCTTATTCCATTTTTTAGTGTGAACTATACTCACCTTGCTCTTTGCTGGTCATGGTTGAGTTAGCTAGGAAATCAAAATATGCTGTTTCTCTAATCATAAGGTGATTTTTTTCCATCGTATGTTTCTAACATAATAGCCTTATTAAAAAATCAACTCCCCCTAGCGATATTTGAAAACTTATTTGGCAGTAGGGAAAATGGTCAATTTACTTTAAAAAACTTCCTGTAACGATAAATACAAGTTTTTTTCCTTCTGATTTAGAGGACAGGATATCTGTAGACAATTCAAAACACAAAGTCCAATTGTCCATTCACATTTTGGAGGGTATATGGTGAAGGTCAAATTATTTTAATAGTACTCTGCACTGTTGTCAATTACTTCCTGTCCTGACAAATAATGGGGGGAAAACGCCCAAGCAGATTTAGCACATAAGATAACATTTCACTACTGTGTAATCAATATTGTAGAAATAGTGCAAAACTCTATTCCCACAAGGCATTGAAACTTGCCACGTTTTAAAAAGGTTATAAATTCATCACAAAAATAAAACCCCATGGGTCACTATCTGAATTAGCTGGGGGTTAAGGAGAAAGAAACAGGAGATAATAGTCTAGGTGTTTGGGGATAAAATACTCCTGTTTTGAAAATGTAAAAGCAATATTTCTAGAATGGCCTTGTTCTCTAGAACACTTTTGTTCAAATTCAGCCTAAGATAAGGTATGAATTTTACAGACTGATTTAAAGAAGATACGATTTAGGAAAATGAATGTAAATAAAAACAACACTAATGCCTCAACTTCGGCAATTAGTAAGAATTTATCAGCTTATAAATTCCATATTCAGTTATTTATTAAAATAGTCAAATGAATCCCTTCTGAATTTTCTATTAGCCCTAAGCTATGTCTTAGAGAATGATTCCAAACTTCAGTGAAATCATAGCACCCTATAGTTAGTACTATAATACCACAAATACACAGGCAGATCAGAAAGAATCATGAGCATGTTATAAATATTTACTGAATTTATTCTTTTTGATAGAAACGAATCTAATTATAGTAATATAAATACTCAAGTTTAAGTTTTTTATAGACCAGTCAGTCCAACTTTGTCATTTAGATAAAAAACAAAATAGAGAATTTGAACTGTGACTTAACACATACTTACTTTCCACTGGTCATCATGTTTTTAGGTAACCAAAAGAAAAACTTTAGAAATAAGATTCTCTCCTCATCACAATAAAAAGAGTCTCTAGAAGTATTAAAACCATGTTGGAGTTTAATATATTTTTGTTACTAAGTGCTCGTTGCTAACTGACCTTCAGAATGCAAAAATAACAAGGATTTAAATTCGGAGAATAAATTCAGGGATTATTAAACTAGGTTATACTCACTTTCAGAAAGCAATATGGTAAAAGAGACTAGAAGTTTTTTTTGTTTTGTTTTGTTTTGAGACATTGTCTCGCTCTGTCGCCCAGATTGGAGTGCGATGGCGCGATCTTGGCTCACTGCAAACCTCTGCCGCCCAGGTTCAAGCGATTCTCCCGCCTCAGTCTCCCAGGTAGCTGAGATTACAGGTGTGTGCCACCACACATGGCTAACTTTTTTTTTTTTTTTTTTTTTTTGTATTTTTAGTAGAGACGAGGTTTCACCATGTTGGCCAGGCTGGTCTCGAACTCCTGACCTCAGGTGATCCACCCGCTTTGGCCTCCCAAAGTGTTGGAATTACAGGCGTGAGCCACCGTGCCCGGCTGACTAGAAGTATTTTTTTAAGGAATGATGTCTAGTGAAAACCAACATAGGCCGGGCACGATGTTTCATGCCTATATTCCCAGCACTTTGGAAGGCCAAGGTGGGCAGATCGCTTGAGCTCTGGAGTTTTAGACCAGCCTAGAGAACATTAGGAAACCCTGACTCTACAAAAAGACTTAAAAAATTAGTCGGGCATGGTGGCATGCACCCGTGGTTTCAGCTACTCGGGAGGCTAAGGTGGGAGGATTGCTTGAGCCCGAGAGGTCAAGGCTGCAGTGAGCTGTGACCATGGCACTGCATTCCAGCCTGAGTGACACAGTAAGACCCTGTCTCAAAACAAAAAGAAAAAAGAAAAACAATATAAATACTGTGTCAAGATGATCTTGGTTACAGAATAATTCCAGTAAGACCAGGACACACACTGGAACTGCAGGTAGTATTTGTACACGTGACCTTGCTCTGACACTTAGGTTTATGGTAATACTGCTTGAGATGTATTTTTGTAAGAATCTAGCTCTTTATTTAATTGAATAAAATGCAAACGTTCTGACAGGAACTGCAAGCTACTAATAGTAGCCTCCTATCACGTAGCCATGCCCTTTTGTGGAAGTGCATTTTGTATGACTCACTGTGTAACTTTAGGTAAATGTCTTACCCTTTCTGTGTCTCTATCAAAAGAACAGGTAAGGATTAAATAATTCTAATTATCCTCCAATATGAGGAAAGTCCATTTGCTACATCAGAGATAATGAAATGATTTTGGTTGAAACACAGGTATGTAACTAACCGGGAAATGTCAATTTTGATTTCTTAACAGTCAAAAACCCTCAATGCTTGTGGTCAGAACTTGCTGTCTTTCCCCCCACCCCACCGAGACGGAGTCTCTGTCACCCAGGCTGGAGTGCGGTGGCGCAATCTCGGCTTGCTGCAACCTCCACCTCCCAGGTTCAAGCGATTCTCCTCCCTCAGCCTGCTGTGTAGCTGAGATTACAGGTGCATGCCACCATGCCTGGCTAATTTTTGTATTTTTAGTAGAGACAGGGTTTCACCATGTTGGTCAGGCTGGTCTCGAACTCCTGACCTCGGCCTCCCAAAGTGCTGGGATTACAGGCATGAGCCACCGCACCCGGCCAGAACTCGCTGTCTTAAAAAGAAAATATGTTCATTTAAACTTGAAACTTTCTCAAGAAAGCTCTGGGATGACAAATTATCACCTTTCAACACCAGTGTCTTTTTCCAGAGCAAAACTCTGTTGCACAGTTCTCCTAAGTTTACAAACACACGGCCTACCCCACTGCTCTTCAGAAGAAAGGCAGAAATGGAAGCACAGAGGGCCTTGCGCAAGCCCTGGGTTTCCAATCATCCCACAGAAACCAGAGGTTAGGAGGCGCCTCCAGAGACAATGAATGGACAAACAGCATGGCGAGCACGTGAATTTATGCCTCCGCTGTTATCTCCCTCAGAGATTGGAACGCTACCCAAGCAAATAATGAAGAAGGGATTTTCCTCAGCAGCTGCTCAATAATCAATCTTTGAATCCAAACTCTCCACACAACCAAACATTTCATGAAAAAAGAATAAAAAATAGCATATCCAATCAAGGCCAGGAAATGCACCTTCCAACAAGTCGTTACTTGAGCCAGGCCTTGTGAGATTTTTGATTAGAAAAGCAGGTTTTAAATCAGAGATACTGTGTTCTCTTATGTGAAGGTAAGAGCTAGAAGACATGATTTTCACACACTGCATGACTTCAGAGAGGACAGAATTGAAAAAAAAACATCTCTGGACCACAACATGTCACCATGTACAGGGAACCAATGAGAAAACTCTTCTTTGGCAAATGCCCCATAAAAGGCTCTCAATTTTATTGTGTTCTAACAGTGTGTTTGTTTTTACAGCTGCCTGTTAATTATAACACATGGCATTTATACAGCATCTCTTAACAAATATACCTCATCCATCAGGCATGGTTTAGCAGTAAAAGAACCATGTTTCCAATATGTTAACAAGGTTTTAATGAGTAAAATGAGATTTAGCCAACACAAGTCTACAGATCCCTTCCCTGACTCTTGGTTCCACAGTAACAAAACATTAGTGAGACATTGACCATTTGTACCAAACCTTTTTTTTTGTAACATTTTCCTCCCACAACTTTAATGGAAAAACCACTAGGAGTTAAACCAGGGAACTCCAAGGAGAAAAATCACAGCCCCACTCCATGAGGGGCTTACAGTTTCGGTGAAGAGACAGTGCTGTATTGTGGTGAGGACGCTGATTAAAAAACCTGGTTTTGACTCCAGCTCTACCTCTTCATATCCTTGTGGCTTTGGCTAAGTAATTCTAAAATTGAAACTTATTTGTAAAATATAAACATGATACCTACCTTGCTAGCTTATTTTCAAGACTATATGAAATAATACATGTATACCTAGCAGAGTGCCTGGTATATAGCAGGTGCTCAGTAAAT
Source organism: Homo sapiens (assembly GCF_000001405.40). Lineage (NCBI taxonomy): Eukaryota > Metazoa > Chordata > Mammalia > Primates > Hominidae > Homo > Homo sapiens. Next base: position 46,674,661 of record NC_000013.11, on the reverse strand, counting down.
GTGAATGCTTTATCTCTTCCCCTTATAGAAAGCACAGGCAGATAGACGTACAAAGCAACATATCCATACTGCTACAGCAGTGAGGCAACAGAGCACATAGAAGTCATTCAGAGCAGCCAGGAAGGTCAGAAAGTTTCAGATCATTCCCATCTGAAATGACCCTGGAGGGGCCAGCTCCATGGAGCTAAGATTCCATAAGTTTTCCTGCACCTGCAACAATGTGGAAATACAACCTGGCTGCTCTTGTTGAGTCAAGAAAAGGACATCTCAGTAGTGTCTCTTTGTGGCTTCCTCATGGGAGGGGGAACAACTGCTTTTCGACATTCCCTGCACAGTCTCAAATGGCAGGACAAGGCAGTGACTGAATGGGAATGCATTAAAAAAAGATCTTATATAATTCTAATGTATTTAGAAAGATAAGATACCATTTTCCAACTCCAATTCCTTTCACAAATTAGAAAGGACAACTGCTTTGTTGTAGATGGCTAAAGTTTTTTTATTTTATTTATTTATTTTTTTAAGGGATTGCTGACTCTGGAATGTTCACTCACACTTAGAAAAAAAGAGAGTTCACAATTCTGACCAAGCATGGTGGCTCATGCCTGTAATCCCAGCACTTTGGGAGGCCAAGGTGGGTGGATCACTTGAGGTCAGGAGTTCGACAGCAGCCTGGCCAACACAGTGAAACCCCATCTCTACTAAAAATACAAAATGTTAGCTGGGTGCAGTGGTACGTGCCTGTAGTCCCAGCTAGTTGGGAGGCTGAGGCAGGAGAATTGCTTGAACCTGGGAGGCGGAGCCTGCAGTGAGCAGAGATTGTGCCGCTGCACTCTAGCCTCGGCGACAGCCGCTGCACTCCAGCCTGGGTGACAGAGCAAGACTCTGTCTCAAAAAAAAAAAAAAAAAAAAAAAAAATTCCATTTGGAATACTCTGAGTCTAATGTGAACAATTTAAAAATATTTCTTCTAAAATAGTTAACAAACAATGCTTAGAGCCTAATAAGCTGAGACACTGTCTCGGCGCTAAAGGGCTTCAAGTATTCTGAATGCTTGGGGTGCTCCCAAATCTTATAATAAGTTGGTTACTTCGTGACTACAAAACAGAAGCCTCCCACGGCAATTCTAGAATTACTTCTGGCCCTCCAGGGAATTTTTTTTTCCAATTGATAGCTAAAAATAATGATATGGTTACCTATAGTAACACTACTATTTTAAGCAAAAAGATGAAAGATAAGTGAGAATGGATGGAAAATAATCTTTTTTTTAGACCGTGACCTTAAGCAAGGCCAGTCCCTCTTTGTGGTTAAATAATGACCACTTATTAAATTTTTGCCAACTTCATAAGTAAATGCTTTTCCAAAGATCACGCTTGCTCATACACAGGGGCAGGGAACGGAAAGAACACAGGTGACGGAGCTGCCGAATCCAGGAGGGTGGCCACTGAACACCAGAAATGTGGCCAGTCCAACCTGTGATGCACTTTCAGAGTTACATACACACAGGATTTCAAAGACTTAGCATGAAAAAAAAGCACCTAAAATATCTCATTAATATTTTTTATATTATACAGGTGACGAAGTAATAACGTTTTGGCTATTTCAGGTTAAATAAATATTATTACAATTAATTTCACTTGCTTCTTACTTGGCTATGTATCTACCAGTACTTTAAAAATCACATTTACTGCTTACATTATATTTCCACAGGACTGCGCTGGGTGAGGGTGTTTCAGCTTATGTTACAATTTAGCTACACAGGGGTGACCTTCCGTATGTCATGCACTGGCTTTCTGCCTCGGGTTTCTTCATTCGTAAGATGTCAAGAGTTTGGACTAAATGCCTTTTACAATCCCCTATCACTCTAAGATCCTAGAACCTGTGGGTTCAGCAGTTATTGCTGGTGGAGAAAAGACACAAGAACCAGGTGAAGACAGTCCTGTAATGCAGGGCAGCCCTCGTTAGAGCTGGGGCCAGGACAGGGTGCCCAAGAAAAGCATGGGGTGTCCCTTAGAGCCACCCGACAGCCAGTGTGTCCTGACGCTGGAGACAACGCTGTTTACACGTCAGCCCTGCAGCTGACAAAGGGTATTTGAGGAAAGCCCTGCTCTAGTATGCGGCTGACTCTCAGGCTCAGCACATGTGCCACCTGCTAACAGATGAGCTGGTTGACACAGCTCTAGAGCACAGCTGATGGAAGGCATGCGGTGTCATTTACACCCAAGGTTCATGGGACAGAAGCACGTATCAGCACCAAAAAGTTCCAGAAGATTGATCTCACCCATGTGCCACCCATCTGCACGGGACCTCAAATAATGAAAAAAAAAAGCAACTTGTCAGCTTTATTCATAATTGGCAAAACTTGCAAGCCACCAAGATGTCCCTCAGGAGGTGAGGAGATAAACTGTGCAGGCAGTGGAATATTATTCAGCACTAAAAAAAATGAGCCGTCAAGCCATAGAAAAACATGGAGGAAACTTAAATGCATATTACTAAGTGAAAGAAACCAACCTGAAAAGGCTACATACTGTATGGTTCCAACTACATGACATTCTGGAAAAGGCAAAACTATGGAGACAGTAAAGATCAGTGGTTGCCAGGGTTGAGGAGGAGGGAGGGATGACACAGAGGATTTGTAGGGTAGTGAAAGAGACACATGTCATTATACATTTACCCAAACCGATAGAATGTACAACACCAAGAGTGAACACACTAATGTAAACTGTGGACTTTGGGTGACATTGATGTGTCCGGATAGGTTCACAGATTGTAACAAATGAACCACTCTGGTGGGGAACGTTGATGACAGAGAGATTGTGCATGTGTGGGAGTAGAGGGTATGTGGGATATCTTTGTACCTTCCTCTCAATTTTGCTGTGAACCTAAAACTGCTCTTAAAAATAAAGTCTGGTTTTTTTAGTTGTTATTCATATTGTATTTGCAAATCCTAAACCAAATTTTAGCAACCATGGATTTTGTGGCTATCAGATACCTAAAAGAAGCATTAAAAGAAAAAGCAGCAGCATATGACCGTCACTTTCATCCAAAGCTTTCACCTAGGAAATTTTTTGTTTCCTAGAACCAGTTAAAATGGCACCTTCTGAGTTATGTGGACAGCAAGATTGAGTCTTCCTGCCCCCTCAGCCCCATTCAGGCCCAGCACCTGACGGTCTTCACAATCTGCCCCAGCCATCTTTCCAGGTTCACCTTCCACCATTCAACAGTAACATTCAGCAAACATCTGCTGGGTGCCTATCAGGTGCCAGGCACCTGGGATGCAACAGCAAGTAAGCAGCTATCAGGGTGTGGGGGGAGCTGGCACAGAGAAAGCCAAGTAAGAAAACAACTGTGATGCTATGAAAATTGAGTAATAAGTATGGAGTGCTTGCCTTAGGAGCACCTAACTCAGGCTTGGAGGATCTGGGAAGGCTTTTTGGACAAAGTGAGATCTAACTTGGCTAAGAACTAACCAAGAAAGGAGCGGGGAGGAAGAAACAGCCCATGACGAAAGAGTGATGTGTGCACAAGTCCAGAAATGAAAATGAACAAGGTGCATTCCCAGAAGGTAGGAACTTGGAGAGTGAAGGTGCCAGTGGCAAGAGATGAACCCGAAGAGGTGAGCAGGGGCCTGACCACAGAAGGCCTCGAATGCCCTGTGAAGGAGTTGCCTGTGGCCTAAATCTAAGGCAGTGGGCATGAGGAGGGTGTGCCCAGCCCCATTCTATCTACCTAGACTTCAGCAGGATTAAACGGCTTCCTACTCCCAAGCACGACATGGACTTCTAGGATGTATTGCCTTTGCACAAGCTGTCCCTTCTCCTTGAATGCTTTCCCTGTCCCTGACTTCTTTTTTCCTCCTAGGAAATCCCACATGGGCTTATTTAAGGGGCCTCTCAAAGGGCTCTTCTTTTCCAAACCTCTCACAACCCGAAGACTGAATTAATTAATCATTCCCTGCCTCGTGCACATGCTTCTTGTAATAGAAACTTTTGGGGACAGGGTTGGGGGGGGATGGGCAGTGTCTGCTCAAATTAATATCTGTCTTCTTTCAGAATTACCCCCTTTGGTGGCAGCCCAACAGCCACATCTGAGCAGTGTGACCATGTGCCTTGGGCACAGCAGACTCAGTCGGCGAGAACATCAGACCAGATCTGCCTCTCACTTAGAACCCAGGGCTGAGAGATGCTAGTAGGTCTCTTGCTAGGTGCTTTACCTGGGAGAACATTTAAACTTGGGCAACCTCTGCCGTTGTATGGAAGAGGAAAAGCTGAGCAGAAAAATGAACCGCTGCCATGGTCCTTCACAACATTCCAGTGTCTTGTCCTAGTCACTCATGACCTGTGACCAAATGTCTTCATCGTAAGTGATCTGATGGACCCCTGTATCCTCTAACCAACGCTGACTTTTGGTGTGAGCTAGCTGGAATGAGTTTTGGACAATGCTATCAAATAATCCATGAAAAAGACACTTTCTATAGCTCTAACGTCTTTCTACAGCAATTATTAATTTCTATATTAAAGTCAAAGTTGATACGTATGTGACATGGGTGCCATCACTCTCCTAGCCCAATCCCACTAAAGACATGACTAAGCAATCACAGCATTCTCTATCTGGGCCTCACAGGCCAGCACCGTGGTGCTCCGGGTGGCCCCAGAGGAGTTGGCACAAAAGACAAAACTTATTGGCCATCATTGTTCTAGACTGGAATCTACTGAAAGACAGGTACTGTGCCCTTTTCATCATTTAATCACATCAAGCCCTGTGCCTGACACAAGATCAGGATGGAATAAGCCAATGCTTAGATGATAAATGAAGACTATCACCTTTCAGCCTGACTGCTAACTCCTGCTTCTTCCTTCACCTATGTTAGCTCAATGGAAGTTTAGAAAGTATTCATTCTTTCCCAATTTAGAAAAAGGGTAAATAATTAAATTAGTAGTGAAAGAGCTGAAATATAACAGTGCATCTCAGCTTCACACACATTTGTAATCCATCTCTGCTCATCTATAGCTTGTTCTCCTTTTCTATCCCTAGGGACACGGTCACATTTTAAAATTACAACGATTTGCGACAATGATTTCTAAAATCTCGACAGAATCAGAGCACCCCATTCTTTCTGTCTTCTGACTTAATTTTATACCTTCATGAAGTGTGGCCTACTAACTTATTTGGAGATTATTTTGGCAGTTTAGCCATAATTTTTTACAAATTTATATGCAATCTGAAAATACTAACTACAACATGATAGCCCATAAACTTCAAAAACGGCAAATCCTGCAAACTTCAGGAGCTGTAAATTACAGGAAGCCTTTAAATTCCAGGAACTGTGTCTGTCACAGTGAAGTTTCAAAGCTGTTCCTCTCCCCACTTAATGTCTTTATCATATACCTGCCCTCAAACAACAGAGGCTCTACCTTGTCCAACCGTAGCAAAAAGGTTTTCTGAATACCTTGAGAGGCTATGATCAGTCAACCAACAAAAAAGAGCATCTTAAAAATCGGTAACATACCAGCTCCATTAACTGTTTGAGCTGACCTATCTCTTCTGGTAATGATCCAAGTTTGTTGTTACTTGCGATTAAGACTTTGAGAGGCAGACCACACAGGCAGGCAGGCAGGGCGGACAGCTGATTTCGACTGCAAAGACAATACAACAAGAACACATGTAAACAGAAAGGCCACTTCATACTGTCTGTGAACCTGTTTTTAACAAGAAAGGAAAAAGGAGTGATCTGAGAAGACATTTTACAAATACAAGAAGTCCAATATATTTTCTGTGTGACAACTCAAATGACAAGTATGTAAGAAAACAAAATATGTTTTTCTTTTTTTAAAAAAAAATAAAAAATAAAAAATAAGGGTATGGGCAGTTCTCAAAGAGACAACTTTATTCAACACAAGGAATGCCATCAAAGTCCCCCCGCCACCCCGCCACCCCGCCACCGCCACTTAGAAGCTGAGCCCTCGGCCAGCCAGGAGGCAGATGGAGAGCACATCCTGCACAACCAATAGCAACGGGAAGCTGGTGCCAACTGCCCTCTCCTGACAATGTGTGCAGGAAACTCAGCTGGACCAAAGCAACCAGCACCACACAGGCATCATTTCATCCATTGCAGTAGGGATGGGGAAGATAATTTTGCTGCAACTCACAAAACCACCGGGCTCATTTCCAACATTTTGACTCAGCTTCCTTTTGTTAAAACAAGGGTTGCTACAGTTTAAGTCTGTTTTGGTATCTGCAAGAGAGCTAACTAAAAGAGAAAGAAAGGAAAGTTGGTCTTCTGGCAAAGTGGAACTGCAGCCCAGAGGGGTTTAGTTCCACAGAGCAGCCAAAAAAGTCTAAGTTGATGTCTCATCTCTGCTCTACAAGAAGAGGGTCTCTACCCAGAAGTTTCTGAACTTTCTATCATCAATGCTTAGTTTTCATGGAGATGGAAAATACTAGATAAATAAAATCTACGAACCATCCTTATTTATATGTCAGCCATTTATTTCAATCTCCTCCCCCACAAAAAGCCCCTTTTTCCTGCTACCAAGCAAAAAGACAGATGGGTTTCAGTTTCCCTTTCTTTCTCTGCCCTTCTGGTGTTGAAGCCAACAACCACAGAGTGAAATATCTAAAAATCTGTATGTCATTCAGTGTAACTATTTAATAAAACTGCTGTGTGTTTGCACACACATGCATAAAGTTTCAGAAGCTGTGTTCCTGTGTGAGTGTATTTATAGACATGCATGTATCTGTGTATGTGAGGGGGAGAGACAGACAGAATGGAAATACACCAAAATACTATCGGTACTCCTCTTCGGGTATAGGTACAATGGATGGTTTTTATTTCCATTATTATACTTTGATGTATTTTCCAAACTTTCTACAAGTGCTTTTATCATCAGGAAAGAAACATCATTATAAAATGATAAATGTGACCTGGATATGTGTTACGAGTGCTCCTATTTGTGAAAATTCTTTATTTTTTATTTTTTATTTTTTTAATTATACTTTGAGTTCTAGGGTACATGTGCACAACGTGCAGGTTTGTTATATATGTATACATGCGCCATGTTGGTGTACTGCACCCATTAACTTGTCATTTACATTAGGTATATCTCCTAATGCTATCCCTCCCCCCCTCCCCCCACCCCACGACAGGCCCCGGTGTGTGATGTTCCCCTTCCTGTGTCCAAGTGTTCTCATTGTTCAATTCCCACCTATGAGTGAGAACATGAAAATTCTTTGAGATGTATACTTATGATCTGTGCACTTTTCTGAATATATGTCATTCTTCAATTAGAAGTTTGACTCTCCTCCATATGAGGGAGCAGAAATCTGGTTAACTGAAGGGCAGCTCTACCTGATGAGCTCAGAAAAAGCAGGTGCTGTGCTGTGGAAAGAACCTTTCTAATCTGGGCACGGCCTTGTCAACACCTTGATATCTCTGCTGCTCCAGGGCACTCAATTACCCATGTAACTATGTTTTAGCAAGAAGAGATACAGTCATATCTTCTCTCCATTGTGCAGACCCATGGAAAAAGCTATTTCCAGAAAGAGGCAGATTTTTCTTTAAGAGGGTCCAGCAGAAGGAGGGAGGAGATTGAGTGCCCTCCTGGTAGGTTCCTGGCTTGCAAAAGACCAACCAGCTCTTCACTTTCCCTAGTTAGCAGGATTGGACCAAGAGAATAAGGGCAATGGGCCCGCACTGGCACTCTCTCCTGGTCTCTGGGGACGGTGGAAGGGAGGAGCTAGGGCCAGCAGCCTGTGTTTCTGCCTCTCACATCCCTCCCAAGGCTCTCTCTCACCAGCAGGGGCTCAGTGGGACTCTTTTGGCTGGAGGAGGGGGTCTTCCTGTTACCCTGCTGTGAGGGCTTTTTTCAAGCTCCAAAAAAGGCTCCTTCAGAAAAGAGAACTCAGTTTATTAAAAGGTGGCAAGCAAATAATTTGAAATGTAACTTGTGGTTATAAAATATTTGTTAATATGCAATTTTATAAAGTGAGGATCGGCAAATAAAAATGTTAATAAGGCAAGTCTATTTATTTGGAGCCATACGTAAACCTCCTTTTGAAGAGGGATAATGAGAACAAAGATTAGTATTTTCAAGAAAGTTCTACATTCCTATTTTTAGCAGAGTTAACAAATACAAGTTAAGATCTTTCCTACATTTCTTTGCCTGGAAACTCAGAGTTACACTCTAAGTTATCCGTCTCACTAGTTGGTGCAGGGATCTAACCAGATTAGCAGATATGGAACTGGGAGAGTCATGTATCATACTACTTTGAGAAACACAAAGAAAGTTCTGCTCATTCAGATGCGTGAGTATTTGAGATTACATGGGTTTATTCTCATTGGAAATCTTCCAGAGTGGGTACTTACTTAAAATAAAATAAAATTTAAGCTTGTGAAAACATTCATGGTCTCTTTGAGGGGAACGGATGCTTTTTACACTAAAAGCTGCTGATGGAATGGCCTATCTCATATTTATGTTCCATATATGTCTTGTTTACACTGTAGTTAATCATCTGTAGACTTACCAATTCACCATGCTAAGAATTTAGTCACCGTACAGCAGGCCACAGACCTGGGGCACATTTCTTCGACTTCATCTCTCTGCTCCCTCAGCCTCTACTTCATATATTTTATCACAGGATGTTCCTGTATTACTTGTAATTTCCCCAATAGAAAAAGGAAATACACAGGCACACAAAAGCCCATTTGCTCTCCAGCAAATATTTAGACAGGAGAGGAAAAGCTGCATTCCCTTTAATCCTCTACCCACTAGCAACCACAGCAGCAGCCTCAGCTTTTTGAAACCACTCTTCTGGCAGCAATTTTTCTCAAGCAAGTAAGTGCCTCAGGCCACAATCCACTATCCTACACCCCTGGTCTTCTGCAGCCTTGGTGCTATAAACTGGCTCTGTGCTGAAAGAACGTTTGAAAATAAGGCCATATTGTATCCGACAAGCTACATCACCAGAGCCAAGTCTACACCCCCACCCCTACCCCAAACCTGTCTCTTTGTCACTGTCCCTGCAGAGTCTGGGTTGAAGATCAGGGTGGGGAGGAAAGAGAAAGAGAGGGAAGGCAGTGGGCTTTTACCAGATCCATATTATTGTGAATGCTTCATCTTCCATCTTTTTCAGTTAAATGACTTCCTGCTGGATTCATTTGTCTATTTCATCATTTCAAGATGAAATAAGGCAGCTCAATATAATCTAAACATTCTTGGCAGCCTAAATTTGCAGGATACATTTATCTTGGCTTCAAGTACCACTATCCCTCACTTAACTCCTAAATTAAGGAATTTACAAACCAAATCACTTTTTCTGGTTTTACTTTTAGAGTATTATTTTGATGTATTTTGACTATGGCACTTATTGATGTCCATAGTTTGAGTCTCAATCTTAGTATCTGATATTATTTATTATTGGTTTATCAAAAGGTTATTTTCCTTAAGATATGTGATTATAAAGACATGCTATGTTCTTACAGGTGATTTTATTAACAGAGCATAATACCCACATTTTTAAATTCTACTGGAATATACCTCTGTATTTTCAGTGAATGGATTCACTTAACAGAATACAGAAAATTATTTTCACTTAGAAAATAATTTATAGAAAAATTTATATAACAAATTTACTCACTCAATTGGCTGCTTGGTGTGGCAGAAAAGTCACCAATTGTAAAAACCTTTCAGATTGTCAAGAGACTGCCCCTCCCAGACTAAGCCAATTTTTAAGTAAGAGATAAAGAGAGAAAGGCCACCTGTTGTGAAATTTTAAGACCTGGGTTCAAATACCATAGAGATGATTTGCCACAAATCAGGTAAATCATTTAATCTCTCTGGTTTTCTCAGCTATAAAACAGAGACAATAAGACCTACCTAACACGACATTATAGATGTGAAAATGCTTAGCCCAACACCACATCCATATATAAAGATTAAACCTCACCTAGCCACTAATGTAACAAAGCAGCGAGGAGGTGACCATAGAGAGCATAGGTGTGCTCAGCTCGATTTTACAGCCACGTGTTGCTTAATGACAACGATACCTTCTTTAAAATGCTTCATCATGCCATTGTGTTATTGTGTGAATATCACAGAAAGTACTTACACAAACCTAAGTGTCTAGCCTACTCCATGGCTAGGCTATATGATATAGCCCATTGCTCCTAGGCTACAAACCTGTACAACACGTTACTGTACTGAATACTGTAGGCAACTGTGACACAATGATAAGTATTTTTGTATCTAAACACATCTAAACATAGAAAGGGTAATGTGTTATGCTCAGATGTTAAGATGTGGCTACAACGCCTATGTCACTACGCCATAGACATTTTTCAACTCCATTATAATCTTATACCACTGTCACATATGTGGTCCATTGTTGACCAAAATGTCATTATGTGGTGTATGACTCTATTTATTAATTTTACTTATTGTACATCCTAATTGCTAAAATTTTAGCCACCTTTAAAATATGGTTTAATGTTTCCCTCACTGAAAACATATACCAATTAAAAATAAAGAGATAGCTCAGACATGCCAGGGTGAATCAGGCTGGGCTATAAAATTTCAGGCCCAAACAAACCATGTACCTAATTCCAATCTGGATAACCAAGACTACAACATATAATCCTATAAATGACATTTTCTCTCTCATCCTTCCTAATTCCAGGATCCTGCCATTTCACTGGAAAAGCATGAATATCCAGGGGTTACAATCTCTGTTTACTACTTGTTTTCAAATAGTAATGGAAATAATGATGTAAAGTCATTAACCATCACAAAACTATTAAGGAAATGACACAGGCCTGAATCTAAAGAGTGACAGAGAAAGCTGGGCAGGTTTCACAGCGTGGATACTCTGGGCTTATCCAATACTGAGTCTCAGCAAGGGAAAGGAGCTAGCAAGGATCCAGTCATTGTTGATTTGAATATTACTGTCTGTGCTTGGCACTCGACCTACAGTAAACAGCAATTATTTTACTTTAGCCTAGTAAGTTTCCTTTTCACAGGATACCTCACCTAATTTTGTTTTTATGCTCTTTTATGAATACCCTGTTTGCTTCTCATCAAAGTTAGAGTAACTTTTTGCTGTTTTGCATATGACACCTGACTGTTGTCTTTATATGCACACAGCAGTGAACAATATCCATAGAGAACCATTTCCTTTTTCCTGCTTGTTCCATTCTGAAAAATCCACCATGGCAAAATGTCTCACCCTGGTTCCCCCTAATGACTGAGTGCTTCCCCTTCATTGCCTGCCCTTCCCCTACATTCCACCATCATTAATTACACGTCTAAGACAATGAGCAACAACAACAACAACAAAAGCTTTGCTTTCAGTTGCCTGGTGACAGTCTGGTCAACTGTAATTTTATGCTATAAAGCTAAAATCAAATAGAGACTATCTTTACACTTATGTAAAGCTAAAAAATAACATTTGACATTAATTTTTAGGACAGAGATTTATTATTATCTTATATATTTATATTATAGGTGCTTAATTACATAATGTATATTAAATCTGGGAGCCTAAGTTTAAATCTAACTTTGAAAGCAGTTATGCTAACTACAACCTGACTGTGACAATCATTTGAAGACTTAAAATGTTTTCAGACTAGAAAAACAGAATCATCATTTGAATTGAATCTGAAACAAGTCTTGAAAGCTACACCAATCAATTTCACACTCCAAACACATAAAAGCCATGTGTTGAGAAGGTAAAAGATTAACTTTAGAAAAGAGAACTGCGAGAAGAGCAAGAAAACAAAAACAGAGTGTCTAAAGCAAGTCTGAATTCAGGCAAATTTCTGCAACAGTCATTTATTTCACAGTGCATTTTCCTATGCATACCTGCACCATATTTGACCTCTTGCAACTGAACTGGTTTCCCACAATAATAGCCTATCTCCTCGTGAGTATAAATAAACCACTGCTTAAAATATTCATATATATATATTCCCCCCAACGGTCAGCAACCAATGTAAGCTACCAATGTCTACACTTAGATTTCAAAGGGCAGTTTTGATAACTAGCTCTATCTTAATTATTTTCTCTCCTTTCTTCTAAGAGTTCTTCAATTCCAAAAGATCAAGGCCTATTTTGTGCTCTAAAAACCACTGCTTTAAATTTCCTCTATTTTAAAATGGAATTGAATGCTCAAAATCAATTGAGCTTTCAAAATAAGTGAACTGTGGATGTTCAAAGAGAACTCAATATGTAATACCAGCCAAAATATTAATTTTGCAAACACTTTTAGAGGCAACAATGTAGATGTGGGCTTTTAAGTATTAAGACTTGTAGCGGCCTAAGCTCTGGGTCTTGAAAAATACCATTGTGCAGATCATTGCTCCTGGCACACAGGAAATTATCACTAAATGACTAGGAAAGATACACGGGCAGTGGAGATAATTCTCCCACTTTTTGGAGCTATGTGCCAGGTGAAATCAACCCTAGTTTCCTACTATCAGGAAGGTATTCCTACTTTGCTTCTCTTCCATACCACCTACCAAAGCCTAGAAAACATACATTTTCAAGCGATTCTCCTGCCTCAACCTCCTGAGTAGCTGGGATTACAGGTGCACACCACCACGCCCAGCTAATTTTTGTATTTTTAGTAGAGATGGGGTTTTACCATGTTGGTCAGGCTGGTCTCAAACTCCTGACCTCGTGATCCGCCTGCCTCAACTCCCAAAGTGCTGGGATTACAGGCATGAGCCACGGCGCCTGGCCAAAAATATATATTTTTTACTTTAACATCTTTCCCCCTTAAAAAAGGAAAGGGATACTGATACTGACTTAGGTGAGCACAGTCTACTGAGATCAATTTTTACCTAGGGACATTAAGGTAATAAAAATATTCATAATAAAAATTAAGATGCCTGCATATTGCCATTTACCACTTGAAGACGCGTTCCTCTCCATTTATTTCTAGAAATGTTTGAATGTGGAACATGCATGGATATTAGTGTACGTACATCCTTTTTTCCTACTCATCCCTCCAAGGAAATGAATCTTCAGAGAGCTTCTATTGTATAACTTGACAACTACTAATAACTAGATTCTTCTTTAGTGTTCTAACATTTTTACACAGAGTAAAGTTTTGCCAAAAATTTTACTCTTTGCCAAAAATACTAAAAAATCCACTTACTTTACTCAAATACTAGCTCTTTTGACACTTTGCTTCTTAACCCATATTTCAATTTGCATGATGACACAGCATGCCACAAAACTTAATTCAACAAGTCAACAAATATTTCTTGGCTAATATATATAAGGGACTGTGTTGGCACTAAGACGATTATTTTATTTATATTCACAACCATCTTGTAACATAAGTACTAAGACCTCCCACTTTTCAGACACAAAAACTGACATTCAGAGAATTTAAATAATTCATTATAAGTTGCCTGGCTAGTGAGTGCCTCTGTGTTCAGGTTTGAAACCGGGTGGGTCAGGCTTTAGATCAAATTCTGTGATCTCCCCTCTACACAGTGCAGCCTTTTCTCATTTCCTCTGGAATAAAACGTACAGGTAAACCAGGAAAACAGTGGAAGGAGGGCACAGAATTCCAAGCACGAGGCAATGAGATACTGAACTAGTAGTTAATGATTGATTTATGTAAAAATGAATGGAGGAAAGGGGTCAAAGATAATTTCTGAGATTCTGACCTGGGGTGCTGGAGAAAAACAGTAGGAGCATGAACAGAAACAAGGATCGAAGATATACTAATTTGGAAAAGAAGAAAATGGGCTTAGTCTAGAACATACTGGAATTTGAGGGTCACTAGGACATCTAAGAGGAACTGAATATTAGGGAACCGGGGAAATAAGGGCTAGTGCTCAACTGAGTCAAAGGGATAAAGAACATATTTGAGACACAAGAGGCATAAGGTCTTGGAGAGAAGATTGAAGACCAAAGCTTTAGGGAACTCTAGCACTAAGTTGCAGGAAGAGAAAGAATATCCAGATACGGTAATAGAGAAGAAAAAGGAAGTAGAAAAGTGACCAGGAAAGCATGTGACCAAAGACAACAAAGGAAGGCGCTATCATGTCAAATACTGAAAAGAAGTCGATTATTTTCTACACCTGCTGAGTTCCTGCTCTGTCCAAGAACCTGTTCTAAGCTCAGAGAAAATACAAAATGTGTGTAAATCCTAAGACTTTATGTCTAACAAGACTAGCCAATTTCTCTCTAAGCTGGTATCACCTACATCCTACCTGGACATTGATCATATATATATACATTTTTTTTTTGAGACGGCCGATCATGTATTTTTAAAGTGCTGTGGCAGCAGATATTTCCTTCTGGGATTCTAAAAATCTAAGTTAAAAAAACTTATTGACTCCTAGGCCAGGTGCGGTGGCTCACGCCTGTAATCCCAGCACTTTGGGAGGCCGAGGTGGGTGGATCACGAAGTCAGGAGATCGAGACCATCCTGGCCAACACAGTGAAACCCTGTCTCTACTAAAAAAAATACAAAAAATTAGCCGGGCGTGGTGGCGGGCGCCTGTAGTCCCAGCTACTAGGGAGGCCGAGGCAGGAGAATGGCGTGAACCAAGGAGGCGGAGCTTGCAGTGAGCAGAGATCGCGCCACTGCACTCCAGCCTGTCTCAAAAAAAAAAAAAAAGTGACTCCTAAGGAATACAGAAAGTGAGACTTCCTTTACCGATCTTATCATGCAAGGTGGAATGAAAGGACTCCAGGCTGGTCCTAAGAATTCTGTAAACAACTGCTTGCAGATTTTTGGCACCGTGGTCAAATGTTCAAAGGTTGCCTCTGCTGAAAATCCCAGGCTGTTCTCTCCTACTGGTACTGAGGTCACAAGGGTCTGGTTCTGGGACTAATTTACTTGAGGGGCCACAACTCATAACAGTTTACTTAAATTCCCTGAAGATCACCCATTCAAATTATTGATTGAACAAAAGTAAATGAACTGCCCTAAAACACTAGCTACTGCTTCAGCCCACCCCCCACAGCCACCCACACACAAACAAGCTTTCCCAGTTCTTAGGACACACAATCTGAAAGGAAACATTTCACCATCCCCACTGAGTATCACTGCTGATATTCTTTTCGTTCTTTTTGGTTTTTTGCTACTTACAGACCTGTTCCAATAGTTCATGAAAGTGCACAATTCTTGTATGTGGTGATATAAATCTGAAGTATTTGGGCTGGGCGCAGTGGCTCACGCTTACAGTCCTAGCACTTTGGGAGACTGAGAGGGGCGGATCATCTGGGGTCAGGAATTCGAGACCAGCCTGGCCAACATGGTGAAACCCTGTCTCAAATAAAAATACAAAAATTAGCCGGGCATGGTGGCGGGAGCCTGTAATCCCAGCTACTCAGGAGGCTGAGGCAGGAGAATCGCTTGAACCCACGAAGCGGAGGCTGCAGTGAGCTAAGATCATGCCACTGCACTCCAGCTTGGGTGACAGAACAAGACTCAACAAGTCTCAATAAATAAATAAATAAATAAATAAATAAATAAATAAATAAATCTGAAGTATTTGGAGTATCAGAAAAAAAATTGTGAACAATTTTGCAACAGGCAAAAAGAGTACCAGGTGCCTTGTCTAATGTACCTTTCCAGGTTATCTCTGCCTGCAGACCTGCAGATGCAAAATGTGTTACAATGGAGGAAATGTGAAGCCCCAAATTAAAATGTTAAATTTGCTGTACTTACTATAACCCTGCATACCAGACTTAGAAAACATATATTGTTTTCAAGCGTATGTGGAATATTTACAAAATTAACTATGCATAGCAAAACTTGACCAATCTAATGAATCTATTTCAAACAGATAATATTCTCTGACACAATATAACTAAATTAAAAGTAAACTTTTAAAGATAACTTTAAAAACTGTTCTATAAATATTTAGCCCAGGTGTGGTGGCTCACGCCTGTAATCCAAGCACTTTGGGAGTCTGAGGTAGGTGGATCACTTGTGTCCAGGAGTTTGAGACCAGCCTAGGCCACAGAGCGAGACTCCATCTCTATAAAAAAATTTAAAAATTAGCTGGGCATGGTGGTGCATGCCTGTAGTCCCAGCTCCTGCGGAGGCTAAGGTGGGAGGATAGCTTAAGCCTTGGAAGTCAAGGCTGTGGTGAGCCGTAATTGCACCACTGCACTCCGGCCTGAGTGATGGAGCAAGACCCTGCCCATCACCAAAAATGAAAATAAAAAGAAATTTAACACTCACAAGCCACAGAAGTAATAATGGAAAGTAGAAAAGCCTGGGAGTGATTAACAACCACTGCATAGCAAAACTTTTAGGAGTCAGCTAAAGCACTATGGACAGGGAAATTGTGGACTTAAAAGCTCCTGTAAGAAAAGAAAAAATCACTGGTAATCAATGAGCAAAATATCCAAAATCAAAAGCTAAGTTAAAAAAAAGTTATTAAAACACACCATCTTCCATAAAAGTGGATAAAGAAAAAGAATGCACAAATTTATAGTATTAGAAATAACAATGGGAACCAATTATAGCTACAGTAGAAATTTTAAAAATACAAAGGCCTTCCTTGTGTAAATACTGATGTTGTTCCCTTGGAAAATCCCTAACAACTATTTTCATAATTATGAAACTGTCTTAAGGGGCATGAAATGCAATAGAGATCATGTTCAACAAGGTAACAGAGGTGAAAGTGCTTAGTGACCTATAAAATGTCAAAGAAATATATCTCATTCATTTCTATTAATTATGAAATAGTGTAGCCTAGGGATAAACCACTTTCCTATTTCCTATCCAAAGTTAAGGGTTGTTGAAGGGCTCAGATCTGATGGTGTGATGGTTAATCTTAAATCCTATTTAGCTATTAAGAAGTAGTGGTGGCTAGGCATGGTGGCTCACATCTGTAATTCTAACACCTTGGGAGGCCAAGGCGGGCAGATCACTTGAGCCCAGGAGCTCGAAACCAGCCTGGACAACATAGCAAAATTCCATCTCTACCAAAAAAAAAAAAAAAATTAGCTGGGCATGGTGGCGCACGTCTGTAGTCCCAGCTACTAGTGAGGCTGAAATGGAAGGGTCACCTGAGCCCAGGGAGGTCGAGGCTGCAGTAAGCTGTGATCACACCACTGCACTCTAGCCTGAGCAACAGAGCAAGACCCTGCCTCAAAAAAAAAAAAAAAAAAAAAAAAAAAAAAAAAAAAAAAAAAGAAAAGAAAAGAAAAAGTAAAAATGAAAGAAGAAAGAAAGAAAAAAAGTGGTGGTGGTGATGATCCCCAAAATCCACACCTTTCATATATGTATGTTTTAAAAAAAAAAATCTCTCTTTTTCTCTACAGCACTTGTTATAGGACTTGGTAAAGTGCAGTGTTCTTAGAGGATATATAGTAAGTTGATTACTGATGAAATGGCAATGTTTCACAGTGCTTTTTATCTGTCTCATTAGACAAATAAATGCAATTTGGAACTTGTTCATTTGGGGCTGGCAGAATAAACTTTGACAATATATATATTGTAAACAAAATAATATATACAACAAAAAAAAAATACAATTGAATTAGGAGTGGGTATTTACCTCAGTTCCAGAGCACTAACCTGCTGCACAAAGATCTTAACAACTCTATTAAGATCAGAAACAGAACTGAAAACAAAACCAACACATTCTGACACTACTGTAGTTATCAAAGTCATAATATCCCTTTTGTGTCTCTCTGTTCTTTTTTTCAATACACACTGATCCAAAACAACAGCTATGATCAGGTGATATGTAATAATGGGAAAATCCTCCTTGGAAGTTATGCCAAATATGAACTATCCTAAAAGGAATTCAATCTGATAAGAAATAGCCAATCATTCACTCATTCACACTTTATAAAGCCTGTCAGCTACCAATGGCAATGGACATAATTTTACAGGCACAATAATTTATAAACACATTAATAATTTTAGGGACCATTGGCTACGGGTTCCACCTTGAAAATAGATGCCCAGTGAGCACTAGAAAAGGCAAAGCGTAAACTCCACATGGTTGGCCGTGCGTATGCACTGGATGACTCCAATGGCCTCTTCCAACTCTGCTATCCTGTGAAAAATATTTTCAAATTTTAAGTCAGTTCACTTTCAAACTCCAGTTCAGTTCACTGTGTTTTTGGTGTCTTTCTGCTGATCTGTCATTTCACAAAACAAAACCTGGCTACCAAAGACCAGCTCGAAAATATATACATTAATATACACACTAAAGTGTTCTCATTTTCTCTTTGAATGGGGTAAGATCTTCATGAAAGAATGTGGGATACACATTTTTATCGAATTGAACAAAACTCCTCCTCCTTTCCAGTTTAGGAAGACATCATCAATTCTTTCATTTTTTTAAGAGAGAAGAAACACTAGCCTACAATTGAGACTTTCTTTAGAATTGTCAGTGCAAGGAGAGAAGACATTTCTTCTACAAGTAAGAAGAAATGTAGTTAAATTTAATTTTTAGTTCACAACAAAAAAAGTATAAAGTCTGTGTTTTCTAAGGCAACCCTAGCATGCAAGACACTTGTCCCAATCCAAGATGACTTCTCAGTGTGACTCCCAGAGGAATGTGGGGATACGGGTTATAGGACCATCAGGAAGCTGGCTCTTTCTGCACATTGTTCAGCAGCCGAAAAGAATGCCAGGCTGCAGAGAAAGCAGCCAAAACAGATTCCTTTTATGGTGTGATAACATTTTGTTCAAGAGACCGCCCTGTTCTTTACAGGCAATGCTTCGGAACCCACTCCTAGTAGGTTGGGAGAGGTTGGGGCTTCTAATGAATAAACCAGGCCTAGCTGAGTGTATTTCACCCTAGAAAAGTAAAAGCACTCACCACGACTTCTGGAAGCAATATGATCAAATACTATACAGAACTTTCATTTCTTGGCAGCCGCTAACGCTGAAATGAGACTTTTTAACCAAGGTCCCTATTCTTAGATTCACAACACTCCTACTATTGCCAAGAGTTTTGCTAGTCTGGGTTATTTTATTTTCCTATGGTACATTTTCTTCATGAGGCTCATCAACAACAAACTCTCTAGCATCTTAAAATAGATTTTAAACTTTGTGAGGCTTTCCTGTGTAACTCAGGTTCAAAGTGTTGGTTCCTCTATAGGAACAAATCTTGCTTAATCATTTTTATTGTTCTTGGCCACATGTCTTGGATTAAGACACTTTATAACAGGAAAAGACACAGTGGCACATATACTAAACTAACATAACCTTTTGTTGTGAACGCCAAGAGGCAAAGATTAAAAGCCCAAATCCTTCAAACACAGGCTACATAAACAGCAGTAAATTAATATTTTCCACAAACATAACATTTCTGTCATGTGAGAAAATGTGAAAAATATGTAAGTGTTTTTAACTGCACTTCACAGTAAGGATTTTTTTCATGTGCTAATTAAATTTATCTCTAATTTAGGACTAGAGGTTGTTGGCAACAAGCAGCCTTTTGACATTTAAAGACAACATATCAGCCAAGAAGCTGGTTAGGGAGTGACATATCACCACCACCGCCACCATCATAGTCATCATCATTATCATCACCATCACTATCACCATCACTATCAAATATTTATGGCTGTTTACTCAGCTGAAATACACAATATACCCC
Organism: Homo sapiens; assembly: GCF_000001405.40. Classification (NCBI taxonomy): domain Eukaryota; kingdom Metazoa; phylum Chordata; class Mammalia; order Primates; family Hominidae; genus Homo; species Homo sapiens. The sequence goes on along the minus strand of NC_000013.11, from coordinate 46,655,074 downwards.
AGAGGGTGTAATCAGTTTTGAATGTTTCCCATGAATTCAAAGTAGCTTCATATGGCATCTTCCTACTTTGGAATATACAAAATTAATAATTTCTACATGCAATTTATTGAGAGAAGAAAAAAATCTAAATACAGTGAGGTCACATTGATTTTAAGTACAGACAGACAAAATCTGTGAAAATTTGAAAACCAGCTTCTTGGCACTATTTGATCTAACAAGTCTTTCTTTTCAATTAATAGAAATAAGAGGAAAATTTCTAAGTGCTACAGAAAAGAAAGTATTTTAGGGTACTTGTTTATAAAATCAGATATACTTGCCTATTTGTTAAAGCTCTTTCAGATCATACTATACTTGATATCATCTACCTTAAGTGTGAGCTCAAAAGCAATTTACAGTTTCTTTAATTTTAAGAAATTCACACCGACTTCCCCATACATCAAAATTAATGATAATGTCCTGCATTGATTATATACTTCTATGTTGGATATGTAAGTTTTTTCTTTGGCATACTATCCCATTTATAACTACTGAAGAAAAAACACTAGATTAGCTCTTCTACAAAGTGGTGTGTTTGCAGCATCCTAAGTCTCTGTGTCCTTTTCAAGTGAGGGGATTGGCAGTCTCTCCCCAAAGGTCAAAAGTCAATGAAGTCCACTACGACCCTTCACCATACCCAACAAAATATATATTTTATTTTGCTAACTTAATAATATCCAGGAGGAGCAGAAAAGACGTGAAAAGGCCACCGTGGCTAACCCTGGTTGTTGTGGAGGAGACATCACGTTGTCATCACACACAAGCATGATATTCTGAGTCCCTCCTGCTTACCAGGCTTAGGGATGGCTGGGAGTGGGGTGGTAGTTTGTGGACAGGAAGAACTCACACAGACAACACTATCATGTGGATGATACTACTCAACATCTGAGAAGACTTCAAAAGAATTTTATTAGATGCCACTGGTATTTTCTAGATACAATTACATATTTGGAAGTAAACAAATGTGACAGTCACTGTTTCACAGATACTAATAAATCTTTTAGGCAAAAGCTATATTGCATTCAACATCAAATCTGATAAATATCTCAATTTCAAGGGTCCAATTCCTAGAAGACATGTTTCAACTATACCCAGTAATCAAATAGGAATTAAAGGCCTTGTAATTGAATAACACAAGAGGACCAGCTTTCTGATTACTTTAAAGATTACTCTCATTAATATTTTTATTTTATTTTCTTTCTTTCTTTCTTTCTTTTGAGACAGGGTCTTGTTCCGTTGCCCAGGCTGGAATGCAGTAGCACAATCACGGCTCACCGCAGCTTCAACCTCCCAGACCCTCTCACCTCAGCCTCCCAAGTAGCTGGGCCTACAGGTGCACGCCACCACGCCCGGCTACTTTTTGTATTTTTTTTTTCAGTAGAGACAGGGTTTCAACATGTTGCCCAGGCTGGTCACGAACTCCTGGGCTCAAGGGATCTGCCTGCCTCGGCCTCCCAAAGTGCTGGGATTACAGGCGTGAGCCACCAAGCCCAGCCTACTATTTTATGTTATACATTTATACTCATGTAAAAAATTTTATAGGAGGTTTTGAAAATAATTATATATGTATATATAGTATCTGGCTTTCAAAAACTTTAGAGGATAGCTACACTTTTTTTTATATCTTTATACAATACCTCTGTGAGATAAGCTTTTCCTCAAATTTTCTCTATTTGTCAAATTCCTTCAAAGAGCACATGATTCAGTATGGGAGAATAGGTCTCAAACATGGTAATATTAAAAGTAGGAGAAGTGGGCAAAGAAAAACAGAACAAAAACAGAATGACCCATGTAAGTGGGAGAAAACAGATGCAACCAGGAAGCTAAAAATTACAGACTGTAAACCATATTTGAAGAGTTAGATGCTTAACAGCCTCTTCCTATATTCTTTTTCCTTTCCATTACCCAGGAATTCATCACAAAACTGTTTATAACGTACCACATGGTCCTCTTCAGCCATGATCCGTTTCAATGAATTCTCTGTCTTTGCCTTAAAACATCCTCAGATCCATACTGCAATATATTCTTCCTACCCATCTGAAGACAGCAATAATCTATTCTCAACTGGGGGTGACATGGAAACCATCACACCAAAACCATTTTACTAATGTTCTAAAAATATAATATACATTTTAAGATGACATTATTTAGTGTGATTAGCATTTTAAAATCCCTATCATTGTAAAAGTAAAATGTTATCTATACCCAAAAGTTTCTCAATGAACATGGACTAAATACAACAATGCAAAGTTAAATATATAGACTTACTGCATCCAGGACTACCAGCAGTGAAAATGTCACACACAGCAGGACAGGAGTAGGTAAGTAAACAGACCAACTACACATGCTTTCCCCTGTATATGTTGGAATTAGAGTACAGATGTCTTAGGAGATACTGACCCAAATTCTATAGACACTTATGCTTGCTGCACCAGGAAATTCCAAGGTTATTAACACCCCACTATGGTAGAAACAGCAAGAAAATTCAAAATGGTCAGATAAGTTAGAAATCTGCAAAAGTGAAGATTAGATATATGAGCCTCCAGACAATCCTAACAGTAACCTACACCTTATTTACCAAAAAGAAGTTAAGGCTACTTAAAAACCTGCTAGGATTTTTTTCAACCCTGACAAAAAAAAAAACAAAAAAAACAAATACACTTGGCCAGACGCAGTGGCTTACGCCTGTAATCCCAGCACTTTGGGAGGCCGAGGCGGGTGGACCACGAGGTCAGGAGATCGAGACCATCCTGGCTAACATGGTGAAACCCCGCCTCTACTAAAAATACAAAAAATTAGCCGGGCGTGGTGGCGGGCGCCTGTAGTCCCAGCTACTCAGTAGGCTGAGGCAGTAGAACGGCGTGAACCCGGGAGGCGGAGCTTGCAGTGAGCCGAGATCGCGCCACTGCACTCCAGCCTGGGCGACAGAGCAAGACTCCGTCTCAAAACAAACAAAACAAAACAAAAAAAAAAAAAAAAAAAACATCAGCAGGCCTGGTGGCCGGCGCCTGTAGTCCCAGCTACTTGGGAGGCTGAGGCAGGAGAATGGCGTGAACCCGGGAGGCGGAGCTTGCAGTGAGCCGAGATCGCGCCACTGCACTCCAGCCTGGGCGACAGAGCAAGACTCCGTCTCAAAACAAACAAAACAAAACAAAACAAAAAAAACAAAACATCAGCAGGCCTGGTGGCCGGCGCCTGTAGTCCCAGCTACTTGGGAGGCTGAGGCAGGAGAATGGTGTGAACCCGGGAGGCGGAGCTTGCAGTGAGCTGAGATGGCGCCACTGCACTCCAGCCTGGGTGACAGAGTGAGACTGCATATCAAAAAAAAAAAAAAAGCACTTCTACAGAAATGCAACTTAAACTCTTTTTTTTTTTTTGACATGGAGTTTCGCTTTTGTTACCCAGGCCGGAGTGCAATGGCGCTATCTTGGCTCACCGCAACCTCTGCCTCCCGGGTTCAAGCGATTCTCCTGCCTCAGCTTCGTTGAGTAGCTGGGATTATAGGCATGCGCCACCACGCCCAGCTAATTTTGTATTTTTAGTAGAGACGGGGTTCCACCGTGTTGGCCAGGCTGGTCTCGAACTCCTGACAGGCGATCCCTCCGCCTCGGCCTCCCAAAGTGCTGGGATTACAGGCCTGAGCCACCACACCCGGCCAGAAACTCATTTTTGACTGCAAGGAAAACAAGACAAAACCAGTAATTTTCAGTAGCCAACTAAATCAAAACTAAAAACAAAACTAAAAAACCACTGACATTATACCTGGTTCATTGAACTTTCTGAACTTTGATGTTGGGTATATCTGTTATTCAACACAAGTCTTGCTCCCCTTTGCACACTAACATGACGCAATGACATGAGTAAAGGCTACATTCAGGCTTGCAATTGGGGATCTTGTATTCACCGTAAAGATATATTTGATGAAACAGCTTCCCTTTCTCTCCTGACATCCCAGATATGGGGAAAGGATTTAGAATTTGACCAGAGAACCTAGCTGCAAAGTCTAAAACCAAGGCCTTAAAATAACTGATTTTCTTAATATCAGAGCTACTCAGGGGCATTAATATATGATATTATGTTGTGCATAATCAATCAATGCACATTACTAAACCATGCTCAGCAAACACTGACCTAAGTTAGCGGGATGTAAAGATAGATAGCAAACTTTGTATCTGGCTAGAGTTGTTCAGTGCTCCTCAACTTTCTTAAGAAGGCTTAAAGTGAATGGGCTCAATTAGTACTAGGTAGCAAAGCCCAATGTTACCAATAATTGCCAAAGATCACCCAGGCTTTCTCTTTTTTTTTTTTTTTTTTTTGCTCCTTGTTTGTCCTGACAACCAAACTCTTTTTCACTTCCTTTATACTTCCTCCTCCAAAATCTACATGAATACTTGAAGACAACATAACTACAACCTTACAAATGCCAATTAGACAAAGAGAATAAATGATATAATATAAATCATTTTTTTAAAAAAAAACCTTGTCTTATTCATATTCAGGGAAGTCTAGCACCAAGGACAGTATTAACAACATTACAAATTTATTAGAAAAGTTATTACTTAAAACATCTGTGTGTGACCTACATCAAAGAAAAATCAAGAATTGCAAAAAGGGGAAAAAATGGATAGAAATGAAAGCATAAGTTTTTTATTTCTTTCACTGAATTTGATTACAACTTTTATGTTTAACCTACCTCAAGTTCAGGTAAGTCAGCATCTGCAGATTAACGATGGCCTCAGGAATGACTCTGATACAGTTGTGATACAGATTAAGAATTTCCAGTGATACAAAATGGCACAATTCCATTGGAACTTCAACCAGTCTGTTTTTAGATAAGTCTATAAGAAAAGGAGAGAATATTTTCTCAACAAAATTTGAACAAAATCAATACACTTTTATTAACCACAAACACTGTTTTTCTTAACATTATACATTTTGACCAACATTATCATTTTTTTTTGCACCTCTGTTACTACAGCACTGTGATTTCTATTTCCTTTTTCTATTTCCTTGCCAAATTCTGGGACATGTGGGATTTGGAAAAGCAAAAATACCACTAAAACTTTTTAGCTCTCTAAAGAACTTTTTACTGTAACTAAAAATTATGTCCAACTCATTCTACCAGACAAGTATGCAAAATGCTATCCTTTAACGTATCTGAATACATATATATTTACCAAAATTATTAATTCAATTTTTTTTTTTTTTTTGAGACAGGATCTCACTTGGTTGCCTATACCAGACTGCAGTGGCACGATTTCAGCTCACTGCAATCTCAACCTCCCAGGCTCAGGTGTTCCTTCTACCTCAGCCTCTCGAGTAGCTGGGTCTACAGGCACGCACCACCATGCCTGGCTAATTTTTGTAGGAACATGTCTTTTACATCCTTTACAAATGAACCCATAACAGACAATAACCAAGTACTTTACTCACTAGAATTACTGAGAGCCTATAATATATAAGACTGAGATAAATTGTATCTGTTAAGAACTGACACTATGAAGCACAATCAGCAGTAAAACTGGACACCACTGGGCAAAGGTACCAAAGAAAGCAATCACAGTCCCCAGAGCAGCGTAATCATACAGTACGGCCTACAGTATTACCATCCTGATGATAAGATTATGCAATAGTCCTTAATATCCTAATATCTAAATGAATGGGAGACATGATTGTCAAATTCCAGAAAACATAGACTATAAGGAAAGAACCACTACTTTTGAAAACAACTCAACAATAAGAGATAACCTCACCCTGTATCAGAAGAGACTCAAACAGTAACTGAAGATTTTCAGTAAATAATATGTAACATATACTTAAGAAACCACACCTTAGCCAAAGAAAACACAGAAAATGTAAATATGTCAATATCACAGATGAAATAGATGTTAAAGAGCCACCTTCCCTCCAATAAATAAATATACAAATAAGCAAAATCAGGATGAGATAGCTTCAGAGGGAGAATTCTAACAAACTTTCAAGGAATAATTTTGAGAATGATGGTTTCCAGCTTCATCCATGTCCCTGCAAAGAACATAAAATCGTCCTTTTTTATGGGTTCATAGAGAACACGAGGATCTTATACTATCAAAACAATTCACCTTATAAATAGACCAAAGTGAAATGATATATGATCATCTTCAAGGATATGTAAAAGGCATTTGGTATTAATTTTTAAACAACCTTATTAAGGGATATTTTATATATTTTACACACACCAGCAAAATGACACAAAAGAAGAGATATAATTTATGATAATAGCAAAAGGGCAAAATCCCCAGCAAATCTTAAGGAATATGCAAAATTTATATGAAGAAAACTTTAAAATGCTACTAAGGCAAAATTTTAAAAGGTGATGACAATTATCTCAATTATATCTATATAATTTAAGGCACTTCCAATTTAAACAAAAAAATACTTCCAGAATTTTAAAAAAACTGTTGGGGTTATTGCACAAGTTGATTCTAAAGATCTCATGGTTAAATAATGTGAAAACAGTAAAGTATTTCTCAACAAAGAAGAGCCCTGAGAGGATGAGCTCGCCTGGATATTAAAAACACATCATAGAGCAGTGTGGTGGATAGATGGGAAGGTCAATGGCATGAATTACTAAGATGGGAAATGGGTCAAGAGACATACATATGGAAATCAAGGCCACGGACCAGACTGGTACAGGTCTGCACAGCAGGAGGTGAGTGTCAGGCTGGCAAGTGAAACTTCATCTGTATTTACAGCCACTCTCCACTGCTCACATTACTGCCTGAGCTCCGCCTCCTGTCAGATCAGCTGGGGCATTGAATTCTCATAGGAGCATGAACCCTATTGTGAACTGTGCAGGCAAGAGACCTAGGTTGCGTGCTCCTTGTTAGAATCTAATGTCTGATGATCTGTCACTGTCTCCCATCCCCCTCAGATGGGACCTTCTAGAGCAGGAAAACAAGGTCAGGGCTGCCATTGATTCTGTATTATGGTGAGTTATATAATTATTTCATTATATATTACAATGTAGTAATAATAGAAATAAAGTGTACAATAAAGTAATGCGCTTCAGTCATCCTGAAACCATCCCCCACCCCGGTCTGGGGAAAAGCTGTCTTCCACAAAACCGGTCCCTGGTGCCAAAAAGGTTGGGAACCACTGAAGTGTGCAATAAAGGTGGCATTTCAAATCAACAGGGAAAAGACACAAGGCCAGTAGTTCGAGAAAACTAGATAGCCATTTACAACGAAAAAAAAAAAAAAAAAGATGACTACCTATCTCGCACCTTTTATCTCAATAAAGTCTAGATGAATCAGAGATCTACTGTGAAAAGGGAAGCTGTAATAGCACCAGGACAGCATGGGTTGTGTTTACGATCTCAGAATGGGGAAGGCTTTGTATGAATAGTATAAAGCCAGAGTGCCAAATTCAACACACACAAAAAAGTATGGCATTTTAAAACAAAAACTTCACCATAAACATATATGACAATCAAGGAATGGGGGAGGATGGAAAGTTCTACAATTCCTAAACCTAATAGGCAAATTTTTTATAAACAGAAAGAGCTTCTACAGTTGACAGAAATAAGACAAATCATAAACAAGAAAAGAAAAATAGATATGAACAGATGGCTCACAGAAAATGATATACGAATGGCTCTTAATCATATGAAAAAAAGGATCAACCACACTCAAATTAGAGTGACACAAATTACAACTAAATGGGATAGTATTTTTCATCTATTAGAATGGTGAATATAAAAAAATCTGATAAACACATTGTAATGCTGAGGCCATGGTGATGTAAATGAAGGACATTTTTTGGTAATATCTGTAAATATTACAAATGCACATACACTTTAACCTAGCAGTCTTTCTCATCTACAGATATTCTTATACATATGCAAATGACATACTTTTAGCATGGTTTCTTTTTTTTTTTTTTTTTGAGTTGGAGTCTCACTCTGTCACCCAGCCTGGAGTGCAGTGGTGTGATCTCAGCTCACTGCAACCTCCATCTCCTGGATTCAAGCAATTCTCCTGCCTCAGCCTCCTCAGTAGCTGGGACTACAGGCATGCACCACCACGTCCAGCTAATTTTTGTATTTTTAGTACAGATGGGGTTTCACCATGTGGGCCAGGCTGGTCTTAAACCCCGGACCTCAGGTGAGCTGCCCACCTCGACCTCCCAAAGTGCTGGGATTACAGGCATGAGCCACTGTGCCTGGTCAGTATGGTTTCAAATAGCAAAAGATGGAAAGCAAATAAAATAGAGGACTGGTTAAGTATTAATATACCATTAACAAACATCATAAATATGCTAAAATTAAATCAATCAATATTAATGTAATGTTAATTCTATTTTGTGTGATTGAATGTAATATTAAACATTATATTCCATAATGGAATACTAATACTATGCAGCCATAAAAATGAATGAAGCAGCTCTATATGTGCTGATACAAAACAAACTTCAAAATAGATTATAAGTGTTTAAAAACAAAAACAGTTGCAGGACAGTGCATATAGTATTTGTGGGTTTTAATGAATATTTACATAATTATTTAAATATAAGTAGATTGTGTCTGGAAAGCTACACAAGAAACTGTTTGAAGTGGTTGTTTCTGGAGAGAGGATCTCTGGCTAGGAGGACAGGAGTGAATGGGAGGAACTCACTGTAGATACTTCTGTGCCTTTAGAGATATCAACGCATTGCTTATTTCATTGTGATACATAATATATACATATTATGATAACATATGTAATTGTGTGTATGTGTGTATACACATCTCTGTCTCATTCTCCCATCAGCATTCTTACTCTTTCTCTACACGAAGAATTTCATTTCACTTAAAAAGAATTAAGAAGCAAGAGCAAACTGTGAAGTTCCTCATATTAAATTAAGGAAAATATTAAAGCAACACTCCTTTCACGAATGTTTAGAATCTAAATAGAAAAGAATTCCAGAAGTCTCTTGTGTTCTTTCTTTCTGAAACACTTTACTAGACATAGTGGTCTTGATGTGCTACAGTGCTGGAAGTTTGCCCCGAAAACTTATATGTGTGGTTTCCTTCAGGTTCAACTCAAAGAAAGTTCCACTGAGGGTCCAGTTTACATTCCAAACTTAACCTTTCCTGAGAATTGCTAGAACTATACTATCTAATTGAATGAAAAAGATACAGAATACATGTGCGTAGAATATTTCAAGAACTATTTTAGGTAATGAGAGTGTTTCTGTGATTTCAGCATCACCAATGTTTCTTTAAGCAAGAAGAAAATAGTATTTTTGTAGCAATACTGTCACATAGCTACGAACCTTTTAAAGGACAATGGGACATAAAATTAATAATAGAAACCACTCTAACCTGAGAGCAGAAGACTAGTTCTAAATCTACGACCACCTGAGATGTTTGAGAAAGTTACTCAATTTTCTAGACCTCTGTTTCTGAATAGGTAATATTAAAGTATATACAACTAGATGAGTTCTAACATTCTTTTCAAAGCTAAGATTTATGTGAATAAGTCAAATTTATTCTGAAGTCAAATATATTAAATCAAAAATATTCAAAATCCAAGAAATTTTGTTTCATCATCATAATTAATAGCAGCAGTTAAATATCACAAGAAGTTATAAAATATAAACCCACCAATACTGTAATTAAATATTGGCACATTATTTTAATGAATTTGACATTTCACTGTAGAATATATATTCCATCATATAATCTGAATTTTAAAAGTGTTCTGTTTTCAAACTTGGGAAAAATGTAATGGTAAGACAAATAAATTACAAAATGACTTACAAATTCAGCTAATATTCAATTCTGGGCTACACTTACTAATGGCATCATTAATAACAATTTGCTAAAAACATGCTAGAATATTGCACTAATTAGTGTATCAGTCTGGTATTTTCATTACTATTTACAATACAGATTATATTTGCTCTCCCCCCTTCTTATCTTTTCCTCCATAATCTCCAGGTTTGAGGGAAAACTCTGGCATTTTTCCTTCCAAGTAATTTCTTCCCTGGCTGTGTGACTGCATCCCAGAAGCAGCTGTGCTAAGGGCTGGTCAGAGCCTCTCAAGGAATGAGATTAGTCCTGCTAGCTGAAAGGAAAAGGAGGTTTACCCAGTAAAGCCTTCATTTTCCCATTATTTTAAGTTGTGTCTGATCTCTTTTAATTCTTATTTTTAATTATGCTATTCTATATGTACTTTTTTAGGATTCCTTTCTGAAAGGAGCCAGGCTACACATTATACATTCATAAAGTTATAAGGTAACAATGGGCTTCTGCCATGCCCAGGCCTACACTGGGGGACAAACAGGCAGACCACCCTGTCCACTGAGTTAGTGAGAATTCACCTATGCAATGGGTCCCCTGTTGTCTTGGGTTTGTGTTACAATTTCTACATTAACAAGGATGAAACTATATTACAAAATCTACACACAGCTTAGACACTTTCACTGGCTATACAAAAACAGTTGCCCAGATCGGCATCACCCAAGTTAAAACAAAACTGCAAAACAGAAAAACAAAAGCTTTCCTTTTTTTTGTTGTTTAGTTTTAGTTCACTCCCTGCTGAATTATGTATGCATCCTCAACGTACACTAAGGATGGGATAGCTACGGAAATGGAAAACTACTTCAGGCCTACTTTCAAGGAGTTTAAATTTTGAAAAGTAAGATGAGGCAAACCCAGAATGAAACATAAGGCAGGATGCCCTAATTGTGCTTTAAAAATGGTGCAAATAAAGAGCTAGGCATTTGGGAGAAGGTAGATGAATGACAGCTGGCAAAGTTTACCACGCATTGACCAATTCAAGCATGCCTGACACTGGAGCTTCACATCTGGCACCTCATTTAAACCACTGCATGTAGCAGCAGTAGCCCCACCAACCTAAAGATGACAAAACTAAGGCTCTGAAAGCTTCTGTCACTTTTGTGCCCAACGCTAACGATGGATAAAGCTCCCCACACAAGACCACTCTTTCTCCATGGAATAAGGCCAAGCAAGAACAGCTTTATTATCAGGAAGATACAGCAATGAAATCTTCACTGCACTTTTATGTGTCCAAAATTCAACCAAAATAAAGTCGACATGGTCTTCGTATAAGCCCAGAAGGTAAGAAAGTGATGAAAATCATGGATAAAAAAGGAAAGTACTGAAAAAAATAGGTCAGCTGATGGGCTTAATTCTAGAAGTAACAACATGAAGCTTGGCTCGAATTGCTGATTATATTAACCTTACATAAACACTCTATTTTGATTAATAGGTTTCCAAATATATGACTTGCTTTTTCTCTGAGTATCATTTAATCCTCAACTTTGTTAACAGAAGAGAGGAAGAGGGTGCAAAAAAAATGGGCATGTTTGCTTTTTGATGCTTTGCTTAGGCTGATGTGGAAATCATAGTGTGTCTTTGAGAGCACACCATGGGGAAGACACCTAGAAGGGAAGGGGAAGTGAGTGTGGATCAAGATGTTTTGATTCTGATAATCCAGAAGAGATAATCCCTTTACAAACAGTGGGAGCGAAAGATATACGTACATGTTCAAAATTTTTCTGTCCTGATAACCAAGAAATAAAACAACGTCTGGTCCCTCTTTAAAAGGGAGAGAAAAAGAGAGAAAGGAAGGAATGAATCTAGGACTTAATTGAATTAAAGACATGAGAGGGCAGTCCGTTCATGGTTCACAGAGAGATATGAGCATTCCTAACTCTGCCTTTTGAAAGGTCAGAGCCATGCCAGAAGCACCACTAACAATGACAGATACATCAAGTTGTGAGTAATGAAGGTTCTCCCACTCAGGAAAGACAGAAAGAATAAGAGCTCATAGATAACAGGAAAATATTAAAAAGGCAACTAGTATCTTTGTCTTGAACGGCAACCAAATAAGAGGGAGCAAATGGGCAAGGGGCTGTGAAAAGGTACAGTAGGGTCTGAGTGACAGAAAGATAAGTAAGCTTTTAAAAGCTAGAGATACATGCAGATAAAGAATTTGTGTATGTCTTTGTTATTTATTGCTCTAATTCTATTATAAATATGCTTGTATAGAGGTGTTAGTGAATCGGCTTATGAGCTATTTGTATATTGTTTCTCAATCTTGTTGGCACACTGCAATCACTCGGAGAGTTTTTTTTAACATCCTAAAGCCTGGGGTTCATAGCCAGAAACTTTAGAGCGTGGCTTGGACATCAGGATTCTTGAGATGTCCAGTTGATTCCCACTGGGCTATGGGAAAGCCAGGTGAGCAGACGACACAACCTATTTCTGCTTTCTCTACCTAAACCAACCCTCCACAGATGCTGCTGTCCTAAGAGCAGAGGTAGTTCCCAGAAAGGGTCCGATTTGGATACCAGGCTAGTACCTGAGAAATAAGCTGATTTGGGAAATAAAATCTTACCCAATCCAGAATTAAGCATTGCTAGGTTAGATCCTTACTCTGAACTCCTCAGCTAGTTTCTGATACAATCAGAGCAACAAGAATCTGACCTGGAATGGAGTTTTGCGTATTTTGAGTTGTCCATCATCACAGAAAATTTGTGGGGCTTTTTTTCCTCACGTAATCCTCATCACAACCTAGCGAGGCAGGTGCTGTTACAATTCCCAATCACGTGCAGGCACTAAAGACTACAGAGGTTAGGTAACTTGTCCAAGGACACTGAGTTAGTAAGTGGCAGAGCCAAGAACTAATCCAGGTTTGTATGACACCAAAGTCCTGTCTTGAATCTACTGATTCTGCCTCATAGAACTGCATACAGGCAACATCAGTTGTTCATATGGGTATAGCTTGTAGAAGAAAAAAAAATGACTGACCCATTTCAGGTGCCTGGTCACCAGGCATTAAAAAGTTTCTATAGCTCTGTACTAAAAGTAAGTGACCTCTGGCCAGGTTCCTAAAATTTTCTCCAGAAAGAAGAGCACATGTCTTTAGTGCCACGTATCCTCCATCCAACCCACAATGGGCATTGTCCTTTCCTGCTGGAATCCCAGCCTAGGTCTGGCTCTGCAGCGTGGAGCTGGGCCACCACAGCTCTATCTGTGCAAACATACCTAGGCAGCAAACCGGAACCCCAGAACCACGTCCTCCCCACGTCCGCCTCTTAATGGAAGCATTCACATGAAAGCCGAGCAGCCAGAAATAAAACAATAAGAGTCACCACTGCCAAGACAAGCTTTCCAAATCCCTAAAATAAAGTAGCCAGATGAATAAAAATAAGCAGGGTAGGGTAGAAAAACAGTCAATGGAATCTGGTGTGCAGTCAGCACGATTGGAAGCACGGTGTTGTTTTTGTATGAAAAAGGAAAGTGGTGTCTCAGGAGGATCTGGACGAGTTCCCCACTCTCCAGCAACAACATCCTGAGTTATCAGCCACCAGAGCCATCGAGCAGCCATGCCGACAGACCAGGACAGCTGGGAACCTCGTTTGCAACATCTTGTTTTATGGTCAGAAGAGAAGATCTCATCTTGAAAGTCAAAATCATTACCAGTTCCACAGAGGAAGACCAAATGACATCATAAACATGTTATCGTGGAAATTTACTTTCAGAATCTTAACACTCCTCATGATGTCTCAATAACTGGGTAAAAGGTGAATCTGTCATTCACTCATCTAAAGCCCTGGCCCACCACAAAAGTGCATGGAACCTGCTGTTTTCCCAGTACTGAGGGGGCTGCTCTGTTATCTCCACCCTCTTGCTACTCTTCCTGGGACCACTGCCTTGGTGAAGATAGTCCTTGGGTAGAGGTAGGATCTAGGGTCATGTGCCCTCTTTGGACAATTCATCCCTATCTTCACCTAGGCAGGCAAGGGTCTCTCTAGAAGAATCGCAGCTACATCTTTCTATCCATCCTGAACTTCCTCTCTCAGCTCCGCAATGTCCTCGGTGTCTGACCCTCACTTCCCACTCCTCTAGACACCCCACCCAGCCCATAACTCAGCACCCATGGGGCACACATTCAGAACTGCCCCCCAGTAAGGGAGTGCTACCCAGCCAATAAAGCAGAACCCATGGGCTGACTCACCCCTGACTCTGCAGACCAAACAACCCAACGCTTCCAGGGTTAAATAGGCAGAAATATTAAGCAGTTCCCTACAAGTTTTGAGTGAGTCAAGATCTCAGCCTGCATCTCTTAAGAGATCAACAAAGAAGTCAGGTCAAACAACAGAAATGTGATCAACAATTCTCCAATATGAACCATGAGGTCTTCCCTGATCATCTCCTTAAAACTTCTTTCATAACCATCTTAACCTTCTTCCTCTGTTCTACATTTTCTTTTTATCTTAGCACATAAATAACCTTCTAACATAGCAATGCGATTTAGTCATGTAGATAGATGTGAATTTTCTCTCTTCCCTTCCTAGAACGTAAGCTCCATGAAGATTAGGAGCTTTGTTCATTGTTGTACAGTAAGAGCTTAATAAATATTCGTTGAATTGAATATTTATTACTAAAAGTAAGTGAGCTCTGACCAGGTCCCTAATATTTTCTCCAGAACAAAGAGCCCATGTCTTCAGTGCCATGTTTCCACCCAGCCCAAGATGGGCACTGTCCTATCTTGCTGGAAACCCAGGCTGGTTCCAGGTCCTCATGTCAGACAGCTTGAGTTCAAACTCTGGTCCCACCACTTAGCTGCATGAACTTGGAAGTAATTACTTAATTTCTCTATGCCTCAATTTCTGCATCTGTAACATGAGGACATTAATAGTACTGGCTCCATTGAATTAGTGAAAGGACTGAATGGGATGATACATATAAAGCCCTTAGAGCAGTGCCTGCCACAGAGTGAAGCACTCTAAGAATAACTGCTATCATGATTATGTTAGCTATTACTGGGTTCCATGAGACACAAATAAATAAATAATAGTTTTGTACAATAAGTGAACAATCTGTAAGTTAGTTTGAAGGTTTCTCTTTCCACTAAATTAGTAGTCAACTTACTTAACAGTTTTCTCTAGCTCCATTCAATGATCAATGTATCTGTTCCCTCACTCATCACAGTGCCAACTATATGGCTTGGTTCAGTTGCACCTTATAAACACTGGGAAGAAGAAGTAAGATGATGCATGCAAAGCAGTTAGCAGTGTCTGGAGTTCAACAAATGACAGTTGAAAAATGAAATATAACTAGGACACCAGGCCTCCTCTGATACTCTCTGAGTGCAGAAAGGGAGACACACAGCTCATGACTTAAATTCTAGAGAGAAGTATGGGAATAAACATGAGTACAGATTACTGTAGGGACACTGGTCCCCAAGGGTGCAGAAGAGCCCAAAGGGCTTCCTGGCAGGTACAACACTGCTTGGGACTCTGCCTAGGACAGGGATCCTGAGACCCTGGGCAGTGAACAGGGGTGTGTGTCGGACCATCTTCCTGGCCGAGCAGGCCAACAGCAATCATGCAGATAGCATGAGAGGAAGGCAGGAGACTAGGGATTCTCTGGGGTGTGAGAGGGAGGGCAGAGGTCTCAGAAACTTTCCACTGTGAGGCTTTAGAGCTCAAATGGCCTTTCACTAAATCACATGATTATTTGAAGTGTAACAAATACCTTATTGCCTGACTAAAGCTGAGCAGCTGGTAACAGTCTCTTACCAGCCAGACCACAGACAGTCTATGTGATACCATAATTCAAAGAAAACTAGTTACTAATTAAGGGATCTGACAACTGCTACAAGGTGAGTAATTTCGGAAATGCAAAGAAAATGAATCCCAAGGATGCTAAGGCACATTGACTTTCTGCATGCCCAAATTTACATTACTACACTGGGATCAGAGAAAAGAGTGGACTTCTCTCTACAGGGAGACAGAAAAAAGGCAGAGAAGTAGGCTCTGTGGACGCTACGGCTGCTGCTTTGCTGGTATGTTATCATTCCAGGATTAGAATCAAGAATGAAACAAGGCACTGCTGTGAGTTGCTAATTACATAAATATTGAAACTCTTAACCATAAAAGAAATGTTCTTTGCTGGAAAATAGAAAGCCTTTTATAATAAAAATGACCAAACCAGAAAGTTTTTTTCCAGGATTTTTCTTTGCTGGAAGCTGTTGAAGTCAAATATACCGTGAAACAGTCTATTACACTTCAGTTAACCATAATCCTCAATTTCTTAGATTTTCTTTTATTATATACTTCACAAATAACAAATAAAAACATAAGGAAAGCCAAAACTACCCACCCCCCTTGCAAAGGTAAAGAGGATCTAGAGGTTTTGTAGTATAAACAGCACGTCCACGTATGTGATTGATTAGATCTCTCCTATTTAAAAAAGCCTTTTAGTGGCATATCAAACTTTTTTTATTTTGATACAATGTGTAGTAAATAATCTTAGGCATGAGGCCATGTAAGATCTTCAGTTAGCAAAGATAAAATTATTGTCCCTCTAACAGACTTGCTAATTTGGGATGGAAATGTATCAGTATATTTTTAAAGACTTCCAACATAAAGAAATGAATCCTCCTTTTTACCTGCAGTAAATTATAGTTCCACTAAGCCAGATAACCACTACTCAGGTTTTCCAAATACTTGTGTTAAACATAAAGTAGAATGAAGGCAGCAGGCATCATTTTGAAGTAGAAATCATGCAGAATTCAAAATTTATACCATATGGTATTAATTACATCAGTAACT
This sequence comes from Homo sapiens, assembly GCF_000001405.40. Taxonomy (NCBI): domain Eukaryota; kingdom Metazoa; phylum Chordata; class Mammalia; order Primates; family Hominidae; genus Homo; species Homo sapiens. The sequence continues at coordinate 46,638,427 of NC_000013.11, read as the reverse complement.
GGTTAATTTCAAACGAGATAAAAATTCAAAAGCTATTCAAAGGTTCCGTGCCAGTTTTAACATATTGCTGAAGAAGTCAAAGGAGGAATTATTGCCACAAGTTTTATCCAAAAAAAGTAACCCTCAAAGGTATTGCCAGTGACATTTTTAAGTAAATATAATTCAGAAAATTCAAAGCTACTGTAATATATTTAATGTCCCATAAGAAAGTAAATTTTATATGAATCGATTTGCAAATCCATAGTAATTTTCTTGTATATAATACAAATACTATATTTGTCACAAATATTTTATATGTATAAATGTATCCATAGCAACCTAAATTATAATTTCATCTATACATCCTTCTTGGAAACGACTCAAAGATATCGTTTGAAGCAATGTTTAATTCAGCTTTGTTCTCTTTTGGATAAAATAAGAACTTGAAATTTCAAATGAAGCCTACAGTTTAGGAGGCTGAAGTGGGCAATTAATTACGCTTTTCTGTTTTGTGAAAGCTTCTTCTCTATAGTCATTCAAGGAATACTTGCTGTGTACCTACTATGCGCCAGAAATAGTTCTAAGCAGTGGGCAAATCCAGCGAACGCTGGCAAGGAAATCCCGCTCTCTAGAACTCACCCTCCAGTGGGGTGATACAAACACAAATGACAAGTAAAATATACGGCATGTTACAGGGTGGTAAGCGCTAGAAAGAAAAATAATAAGAAAAAAAAAACTACGAAGTGCGGGAGAAGCGTGGCAACTTTAAACAGGGTGACCAGGGAAGAATTCGCAACCAAGGTGACAGCTGAGTGCAGAGCTGACAGAAAGAAGAGAGGAAGGCACGGGATCCTTAAGGGCTGAGCCTTTCCCCAGAGGGACAGAGAGCAGAAAAGCCCTAAGGTAGCAGCAGGATGGCATACTGCAGGCACACCAGGGAAGGCTGTGGGACTCCAGCGAGGGGACAAGGGTGAGAAAATCAAGAAAAGAGGCCAATGAGGTCATGGAGTAGGCAATCACATAGAGCTTTCGGCCACTGTAAAAGTCTGCCATTTCCTGGCCACTGGAGGGCTTGGAGCAGAGGGTGGCTCACATTTTCATAGGCTCTTCTCGCTAGATTTGTGTTTGGAATCTAGGGCAGGCAGGGAGGCCAGGGAGGAGGTGACAACCCAAGCAATGTAAGATGGTGGTTAGACCTGAGTGGCAGAGTGGAAGTGACAAGAAGTGGTCACATTCAGGTTGTATCTTTTGAAAGTAAAGCCAACTGAATTTGCTGATTGGATGGGGGTTTGAGAGAAAAAGAGTAGTCAATTATGATTCCCAATTTTGGCCTCAGAAATTGGAAGAACGGAGTTGCCATCCTCAGATGTGGAAGCCTATGGCAGATATTGGGGGGCAGGTCAAGAGTCATTCTGGAGATGCAAATGTTGAGACACCTATTAGATATGCAGGTAAGGAAGTGTTCACAGCTGGGCCTCGGGACAAATGTTGGGAACTGTAAGAGTATAAATGGCATGGAAAGACATCAACTCTAAAGAGGAGTGAGTGAAGATTAGAGAAGAGGGCCATGCACTCAGCCCTGGGACATTCCAACCTACAGAGGCAACAAGAGGAAGAACACTAAAAGGGAGTGGTCTGTGAGGAAGAAGGAAAACACAGGCCAGCAAGGTCCCTGGAAACCAAGTGAAGACAGTGTTTCAAAGAGGAGGGAGTGCTCCACTGTTCCTATAGCTGCTGCCGGGCCAAATCAGCCAAAGACTGAGAAATGACTGTCAGATCCAGCAAGTGGAGGCCACAGGTGACCCTGAGAAAAGTGGTGGAGGGGGAATGTAGGAGCAAAAGCCTGATGAAGGTGGGTTCAGGAGAGAATGGACGATTACCCAGAGTAGTCAAATTTACAGAGATAGAAGGTATAAGGATGGTTGCCAGGGGCTTGGAGGAGGGAAAAATGAGGTGTTAATGTTTACTGGGTACAGAATTTCAGTTTTGCAAGATGAAAACATTCTGCAGATTGGTGGCTTAATAATGTAAATGTACCTGACATTACCGAATTGCACACTTAAGAATGGTTGAGATGGGCCAGGCGCAGTGGCTCATGCCTGTAATCCTGGCACTTTGGGAGACCAAGGCAGGTGGATCACTTGAGGTCAGGAGTTCAAGACCAGCCTGGCCAACATGGTGAAACCCCATCTCTACAAAAATACAAAAAAATATTAGCCAGGCATGTGGCACATGCCTGTAATTCCAGCTACTCGGGAGGCAGAGGTAGGAGAATCGCTTGAACCCAGGAAGCAGAGGTTACAGTGAGCCGAGATCGTGCCATTGCACTCCAGGCTGGGTGACAGAGCGAGACTTCATCTCAAAAAAAAAAAAAAAAAAAAAAAAAAAAGGTTGACATGGTAAGTTGGATGTTGTGTTGTATATGTCTTACCAAAATTAAAAGCTTTAAAAACTTTGCAAAGAGAGAGACTGAAAGGAGAGGAATAAGTTATAATGAGTTCAGGCAAGTCAAAGTAAAACAGAGCAGATAAATGGAAGCTGGAGAGGGGCATGGTATGGGGGAAGAAATCAGCATGTTTGTATGCTGATGGGAATAGCTTGGTGGCCAGGGGAAAACTGATTATTCAGAAGAGAAAGGAGACAACTGATGGAGTGATGTTCTTAAAAAGGTGGGAGGGGGCCGGGTGCGGTGGCTCACGCCTGTAATCCCAGCACTTTGGGAGGCCGAGGCAGGTGGATCACGAGGTCAGGAGATCGAGACCATCCTGGCTAACATGCTGAAACCCCGTCTCTACTAAAAATACAAAACAATTAGCTGGGCGTGGTGGCGGGTACTTGTAGTCCCAGCTACTCGGGAGGCTGAGGCAGGAGAATGGTGAGAACCTGGGAGGCAGAGCTTGCAGTGAGCTGAGATCGTGCCACTGCACTCTGGCCTGGGCACCAGAGCGAGACTCCGTCTCAAAAAAAAAAAAAAAAAAAAAGGTGGGAGGGGACCGGATCTTTCAAGTGGAGGGTGTGGCCTTCCCAGGGGCATCAACAATTCCTCCACAGCAAGGGAGACTAGCCAGCGAGTGCAGACAACTGAGAAGATGTGGTGGCAGGTACACAGGGAAGCTCTTTCTAATTGCCTGCAAGCCCCGTTAGCTGAGAGGCAGGGATGGAGATATGCTAAAGGTTTAAGTGCAGGAGAAAGTATGAAGCAGTGAACAGACTGCGGGAAAGTCTCTGCAGAAGAGCACGGCGGTGTGAGTGCTGGGTGGCAGTAAAGCCCCCTTGAGTTAGTGGATATGAATTGAAAGTAAGGCCTCTGGGATGGCCACAGTGCATACAGACACCTCACTGAAATAAATAGAATTCACTGGGTTCACTTGGTTGTGTTCAACCTTGTTACCTGTGCCTATAAAAAACCCAATCCTTATGGAGATAATAATAACTTTTCAAAACTACTGGTTTATATTCTGCAGCTCTGGTCCCAGAGCATGTATCTAACTGGTAAGGGTCAAGGGAAGTCACTACCAGTAAGCATGCTCATCGGAAAGTCAAAGAGCCCGAAGGGAGGCTCACACTGACTACGTGGTACCCTCCCAACCCTTCCCGCCCCAGGAAAAACCACCCACACGTTGGCTCACTTACTCACTCATTTATAGATGTCTGCTATCAATGAGACACACCATGCTAGATATTAGAGACAGACATAAATAAGACTCAATTCACAACCTCAAGTAACTCAGACTCTGACAGGAGGGGGAGACAGGTAAACAAGAGAAAATGTATGAAGAGTTAGATTTACATTTAGCAGCATAGTTATATCTCAACTCTGCAAAGGTTGAGAAAGGCTTCAAAGAGGCATTGAGCTGTAAGCTGAGCCTCTGGATAAGTATTTGGAAGTCTGCAGGATGGAGTGGAAAATTCACTCCAGATTACCAGGCACAGCCTGAATGAGGAAGGGAGGAAGAGAATAGCTCTTTGAGAACTGTGACTGGCATTACGGCTGAGGCACATGGGATTGATGGCCAGTAGGGATCCAGGGAGCCAGCTCTAGAGGCCATGGTTACAAAGATCCAGGTGAGAAATGAGGAAGGCCCGAAATAAGGTGAAGATGGGTGGCACAGAAAGGAGGATTCGCCAGGGAAGACATTTGTGAGGTAGAATTCGCAGACCTTAGTGTTCCATTAAACATTGAAAGCAAAGAAGAGCTGGTGGCATCTGGGGCTTTCTGACGTGGATGAATGACTGGAAACGTGCTAGATGCTCAAAAGAAATGCAGGAAAGGCTGGGCGCGGTGGCTCACGCCTGTAATCCCAGCACTTTGGGAGGCTGAGGCGGGCAGATCACGAGGTCAGGAGTTCGAGACCAGCCTGAACAACATGGTGAAACCCCGTCTCTACTAAAAATACAAAAATTAGCCGGGCATGGTGGTGCACACCTGTAATCCCAGCTACTCAGGAGGCTGAGGCAGGAGAATCGCTTGAACCCGGGAGATGGAGGTTGCAGTGAACTGAGATCGTGCCACTGAACTCCAGCCGGGCGACAGAGCGAGACTCCATCTCAAAAAAAAAAAAAAAAAAATGCAGGAAAAGAAACAGGTTTGGAGGTGATGGTGGGAGAGAGGAGAGTCACGATCAGTTTAGATATTCATGCCTTGACTTAGGGTATCTATGGAGCAACCAAGTAGAGAGTATGTTGACCACCAGATTGTGGGTCTGGAGCCCATGAGAAATGTCTTGGCTAAAATGCGGGCTTGGAAGATCCATACAAATAGTTACCACACGTGATGTCACCCTGGAAAAATGTGAAACATGAGGAAAGAAAATGAGCTAGGAAAAGAACCCTCCAGCAGCTGCTACCATGAGGCCAATGCCTGTCTCTTTCCCCTCACAACTTCTTGAAACGTGAAGGCTTGGCTCTATAGGCCATGGGCTAGGGCAGGAAGTCCTAAACCAAAATGTAGTTTTATTTCCACTATGGCACTCTGCCCCAAGTATTTATTACACAATTCAATAATGATGATGGCATTCTGCTGATACCCTGACCAACTGTGTATAATACAGGGCAGAATTTAATTGCTACATTATCACTCACTTTTTAGGAACCAACACGATCCATGCTTTAGAAATCAATATTCTTTTGTTATATTTAGGGTCACTATCAATTCCCAAAACAACAAAAATATTGTAGGCTAAACTACTATGTTTATTGAGAAGTTAGACTCCTTCCAGAAATACTTCCTTGGGCAATTTTTTTTCCTTAGCCCAAAAATATGAAACAAAGAGTGAACTGTCTACAAAGTGCCTGATTTTCCAATTTTTAAAGTTCACATTTAGCTAGGGCAGCACTGATAAGAAAGACATTTTTTGTGATGGTGGCTGAATATAGTATATTCCACTGTGGAAGCATGAATGTTAAGGCTAGAAATAGTTTATTCAATTCAGAGGATTTCTGCAGTCTTTTTAACAGATCTATTTGGAAGCTTTTTGCTGCATTAAAAAGTAATGAAGTTGTTGACAATAAAATAGAAACCATTTCATATTACTGTTTACCAGAAACTACAATAGAAACAGTTTATCTAAATAATTTAAGGAAATATATTTAACGGGTATATTATTTTCAAACATATCATTTCCAAAAGACTTAAATGTAGACAAAATGCTTATTCTCTTGAGACTTCTCTTTTTCCTCTCATTTTGATCACACAATTTACACATCTAGAATTCATGAATAACAAATAATTGTTGCTCATATTTTTTTTAAACAAGGGTTTTCTCAAAACCTCTGAAAAGAGATACTGTTTATGGAATATATTCAGAAGTCTACCCTCTTCAAGCCTCTTGCATTATGCCTTGAACTTGAAGAGTAAGTAGGTTTTATCTTTTCATTTTCAATTGTCTTGTAAACAATTTGAAATATAAATCTGTTAGAAAATCTTCTTTTCTCCCCTGAAGTTCAAACTGTATATTAGTCTCATGCTAAAGTGGACATAAAAATGATGAAAAAATTATCCAGTGTTACCAATGAGAATTCTCGAGGTCTCCACTGTGATTCAACCGGCAATTACTGTGACCACACAGGCATATGTATGGGGCAGACATATGGCACCAGGCTCAAAAAATGCTTCTTAACTAGCAAATGGGGGACTGCCAGTACCACAAATCCTCATGGCCATCAACTATTATTAAGCACTTATTTTGTCCTGTACACATCAAGTCATCAAGTGTTTCCTATGAATTTAGGTTTGTTTTTTTTTTTTAGACAGAGTCTTGCTTGGTCACCCAGGCTGGAGTGCAGTGGCACAATCTTAGCTCACTGCAAACTCTACCTCCCAGGTTCAAACAATTCTGCTGCCTCAGCCTCCTGAGTAGCTGGGACTACAGGCATGCACCACTATACGGAGTTAACTTTTTGTATTTTTAGTAGAGATGGGGTTCCACCATGTTGGCCAGGCTGGTCTCGAACTCCTGACCTCAAGTGATCCACCTGCTTTGGCCTCCCAAAGTGCTGGAATTACAAGTGTGAGCCACCACGCCCGGCCTGAATTAAGTCTTAATCTCATAACAACTTAATGGGAGTATTATTCCCACTTGCAGAAGAGGAAACGGAGACGCAGAAAGGTAAAATAATTTGACCTCTAACACAGCTAAAAAGTGGAAAACTTGTGATTGTGTTTAGTGCCACTGAATTGTACATCTAAATTAAAATGGTTAAAATGATAAATCTTATGTATATTTTATCACAATAAAAAAATCACTAAAAATTATATTTAAAAAGAATCAACAGCTAGATCCAAACATGACTCCCTATACCAAACTAAATTCCAGGTAGGTTAAGAATTTAACAGTAAAACATAAAATAAATAAAATTACTAGAAAAAAAAAGTAGAAAAGCTGAGACTCAAACTCAAGTTCTCTAGCTTCAGAGTCCATGCTACATACTAACGGTCTTCCACAAATTGCTATTTTATGGGTAAAAACTACCCAAAGTGCTATTTTATAGACCTGCCTCATTATCATCAAATTAAGTTTCATAATAAGTCAATAGTGCTTCATGGCTTGCTGGGAAATATACAATGCATTGAGCATGTTTGGCTGCTGAACATATGAGGGACAAACCCCAAGACAAGTTTGGAAGCCACCTAAAAAGCCTCAAAATTGTAACCAGTTGATTTGTTGTAAAGAGACAGTCACTCTCAATAAGCAATGAGACGGCATGGCAAGTGCAGTGAGAACCTACTTTTGGAGCATGTAGTTTGAGGGAAATGTTTGCTATGGAAAGGATGCAGAAAATAATCACACTCGTGTTTTAAGAAACCACATGCATACAGCAGAGAACAAACAAAATTACAGTTTTCCAAAATACCTCAGAGTTGAAAGCTTGCAAAAAGCCTCAAGTCTTTACTGCAGATCTAAAATAGAGTTCAGACAGGAAGGGGTGGGGAGGGTGCAGATCCCAATCTTGAGGTCTCCAGACAAAAAGATTCCCAGATCTAGAGAGCACATATGTCCCTGAAGGCAGAACCAGAAGCAAGCTGGTGTGGGACTGCAAAAATCAAAGTGAAAAGCAGATCTTTCCAAAAGCCTGCACTTACACAGCAAAGAGTTTAAAAATGCCTCACATACAGGACTGCCCACCTTGTTTATTTTACTGTCTTTCATACATTCAGTTAATTGGTGTTTTCTCACCATTGTTCTGGATATCAGTTTAACTGCATTTTACAAAGGAAGGAAAGCCAAAATGTACCTCTCCCCATGCATTCAAATCCTCAAGGCTCAGTATAATTTACATTTAACAAACACTGCAGTCTTTTCCCAGTCCCAGTGTCTTAAGACACACAAAAGCTTGGCAGAGAACTGAAAGAGAAACAGAACCAACTGCTTGGTAGAGCTCTTATCAAATTAAGGAACTTCAAATAAAAAGTAAAGGTATCTTGGATTCTTAAATAACTGGTCAGACTGAAATAAGAAAGACATACATCTTTAGATTCAGATGACCCTGATTTATAAGAGCTTAAGTCCCCCATTGCTAAATCTAAATAATCAATATCACTCTGATTCTTTGAGTTTGCTGAGAAAGTAGTAATAATAAATAGTGATAACCTTCCGTAATTTTGGAAGCTAAGATCACAAAGAGAATGCCCATTTTTATAACTTATAATCAACTGTCACAGGAAGGAACAGAAAAATAGTCTGCCCCATCCATCTGCTGTTCCACCCACTGATTATGCCTCAGGGACTCAAATCCTAGATAAGCTCTGAGACTTTCCATATGGCCATTATCATCAATTTTCAATGAGCAGTCATTGAGTGAGTGGCAAGAATATAGCAAAAAAGAAAACTAAAGTCAATCAGTTGCCCTGTGGTTCCAAGAATAAGGTCCATTGACATCAAAATTGTTAGACTCACAAGCTCTAAGGAATCACTCTGTAACTTTCCCTTGCCCAGAATTCTCCCTGAGCCTCACTTTCCTTCCCTGCCTTCAGCTTTCCATTTTCACTTACTTTAATCCTATTCATTCTTTAAAGACCTGCTGAATTACCACCCCTGGGGGAGACCCCTGCTCCATCCAGCTACAAGAGATGTCTACCTTTTCTAACTGTCTGGAGAGTGGACCTGGTTTGGGCTGTTACTCATTTAGCCCTGATACTGTGGTTCATGTCCATTCAAGGTTTTGGGCCTGAAGGAAGCTAATCTATCAAGATATTCGTAGGAAGTGACATGCGACATAATAGCAACCTGCATTGCTGGCTCCTCATTTGTGTTCCTGCTCCTATTCTCCCCCATTTCCCAGGCTTTCTGACCCATTCCCATAGGCTCAGAAACACACAGTTTCCCCAGCAGCAGAACCACAGAGCCCTCCACAAAGTCTGGAGTTCCACTGAGCACCCATCACATGGGCCCTGAGGATGCTGGGGCTTGCTGAAGACAGAATCAAAGGCTGAGTTACAAGGGGCTCCAGCCAATGGCTCATTGGCAGCATTAGCCAGCTGCTCTGCATCTTTTCAAGCCTTTCATGAACTATGCAATTAGAGGTATTCATTGTGCTTATTTTATTTTTGATTGGCACACAAGAACACATAAAGTGTATTTCCATCAGACTACTATGGAACAGCTAAAAACAAAAATAACAGGTGAGATTTAAAAATAAAAAACAGAAATGGGCTACAAACCCTGAGAAGACAATCAGTGTTCTTTGGTACTGTTTATTAACTGCAGAAAGGTGTCTTTTTCCCCCACAGAGGCCTCTATGCTGGTTTTATCAGTTTACTACTCTGTTCACTGATTTTGCCCCTAGGCAGCCCTGGAACTTTGCCCTTGGGGTTTTCAAATGTTTTCTATAGCTTGCTAGGAAGATGGCATTAAAGTTCTTGGGAAAGGCCCTCTGAGATACCTTTATTTAATTTGTGGAGTTCAGGGAGACTTGGCAGACCACTGTCAAATTCAGAATGAACAATATATTAAAAATAATGTTAAAACTTACTATATGGATAAACCAATGGGTACATTCCATGATGTTTAGCAGCAGTAGAGCTGGATGTTTTCTGTCCAGCTACAAGACATGTTTCTATACTGCGAATTTGACTGGTCATAGCAGATTGATGACGCCATAACTCAGGAGTTGGTTCATCCACGATTTGTCTCCACACATTACTGTTTTATATCTCCAAGTAACAGAAGCTGGATGTGAAATTCATAGTGAGGCTGAACAGAGCACCCCACACTGCACCAGGGTCCACTCTAACCGTTCCTGTCATGGTCTCAGCCTGCCGGGCCTTGTGTTTTTTTTTTTTTTTTCTTCCCTGAGACAGAGAATCGCTCTGTCGCCCAGGCTGGATTGCAGTGGTGTGATCTCGGCTCACTGCAACCTCTGCCTCCCAAGTTCAAGTGATTCTCCTGCCTCAGCCTCCTGAGTAGCTGGGACTACTGGTGCGTGCCACCACGCCCAGCTAATTTTTTGTACTTTTAGTGGAGACGGGATTTCACCATAGTTGCCAGGCTGAATAGACTGTTAAAGGTCAGGTCTCGAACTCCTGACCTTGTGACCTGCCCACCTCAGCCTCCCAAAGTGCTGGGATTACAGGCATGAGCCACCATGCCCGGTTGGCCTTGTGTCTTAGATGTACCTTCTGCATGATTCTCTTTGCATGATCTCATGCAAACGTCTTGGTGTGTTTCATTCTTGTCTCCCAGTACTCACCAGCCTCATATCCTTCCTTACATCCCCTTCCATCAAGCAGCCCCGCATATTTTCATGAGTTAAAGTCATATTTACCAAAGTGTATCTGTATATAGTAGGAATGTAGTATGTCTTCTGAACTGTGCTCCTGTTTTATGATGGTTTTCATTGTTTTTGTTAGTGCTGTGCTTGCAAAGTAGCATAGATTTAGAGTGGTTGGTCCCAACTTAATATTTCCCATAAGCCAGACTGCCCCAAACCAATATTTCCCATAAGCCAGACTGCCCCAAACCAATATTTCCCATTAGCCAGATTATTCTGAATGTATGATTTTGTAGAACATGAGGTTTTCAGGAATATGTATATTGAATTATAGCAGAGACACCTGTAATGGTAATACAGGTCATGAAAACTGAGAAAAAGTAGAAAATAATGTGGATGACTCAGAGAAATTACACGGATCCAAAAAGTATAAATAAAAAGAAAAGCTTAAAAAGAAGGAAGTCTATTCAGCCCTTCAAAATATGCCATTGTTTTAAGTGGCCAACAACCAAGAACCATATCAAGGCAGGAACAGTGTTGCCAGACTCCAGTGGGAAAAGGACCCTGAACCCAGCATCCTTGTTGATCTTTGCCATACGTGTGTGCATGCACTAAGGTAGGTGGACCAGGGCTGAGAGGGAGGAAGAAGAAGAGGGAAAGAGCAGGAAAACAGTAGGGCAGGCAGTGACATAATGATACAACAGAGCACTGGACAACGTCCTCAACTCTGCCTCTAGTGAGTTTTCATAATTCATTCAACTTCTCGATTTTTTTATCTGTGCCTCATTTTTTTATCTGTCAAATTAAAATCTGGCCAAATTTAAAACTCTATGATACTCTAAGCCAAAGGGTTAGAAACAGAACCATTCCTTTGTACTTAGTTCCCAGAAAGATGGGTGATTTAGCTGGTATCACTTTTACATTTACAAATACCGGCATATATAGAATCACACAGATGCTTAAGCCCCAAATGTTATTTACCAAAGTGTGGGCTTAATAACATATGGGGCTTAAGCATTGTGTGATTACATGTCTGTCAAATTTTGTGTATATACATATACCCTAAAACACTGGTCAATTATCTTTCCAATTGGTCTACAAAATCAGTATGATTACTCCAAGTAGTACATCTATGAGTAAATGACAGAGCCAAAATGCAAACTTGAGTCTAGCAGATTCAAAATTTCTTTCCATTTCACTATGCTGTCTAACTAAAAGATGTCGGAGATATTTGAAAACACCCAACCATTCCTCAAACATTAATTTGAGGATGACTCATAAAGAAATTAAAGGAAATTAACACTACCTGGTGTTCATCTCATTTATAATAAAACAGGAAGTCAGGATATTACGAACCTTTTCATTTTGCTGTTTTTTTAAAAAAATCTTGCATAAACCGGTTAGTGAAAGAAAACAAAGAAAATATCAATGGCTATATATTTGATAGATTACCATATGTCCTTTCCTATCTGGTCCTTAATTTAAAAGTAGAAGAGCAACAAAACTTCAGCAAAAATTGTATTATGCTACCTTTCATGCACGTCCATGTGAGGAGACCACCAAACAGGCTTTGTGTGAGCAACATGGCTGTTTATTTCACCTGGGTGCAGGTGGGCTGAGTCCGAAAAGAGAGTCAGCAAAGGGTGGTGGATTATCATTAGTTCTTATAGGTTTTGGGATAGGCGGTGAAGTTAAGAGCAATGTTTTGCGGGCAGGAGTGGATCTCACAAAGTACATTCTCAAGGGTAAGGAGAATTACAAAGTACCTTCTTAAGGGTGGGGGAGATTACAAAGTACATTGATCAGTTAGGGTGGGGCAGAAACAAATCACAATGGTGGAATGTCATCAGTTAAGGCTATTTTTACTTCTCTTGTGGATCTTCAGTTACTTCAGGCCATCTGGATGTATACGTTTAAGTCACAGGGGATGTGATGGCTTGGCTTGGGCTCGGGGTCTGACACTACCCATAGTCATTAATAGTGTAATACAACCAAGGGACTATGCTTTGGAAAAAGCCATTACCACCCACCTTTGCACACTGAAAAGTGCTAAAACTGATCTGATGAAAATCAAGTCTAATATTACATATTTTGCATATAATATGTCATTACCAAGATTCCCAGGCTTAAAATTTAATTAAAAAGAAACATAAAAACATGAAGGAAGTGGTTTCACGCCACAACTCCTTACATAACATAGAATACTGCTGAATATAAGACCCATAGATTAAGTACAATGGAAGATACAAAAATACCATAGTCTGAGTGGCTTAAACAACAAACATCTGGCTGGGTTCGGTGGCTCACGCCTGTAATCCCAGCAATTTGGGAGGCTGAGGTGGGCAGATCACTTGATTCCAGGAGTTTGAGACTAACCTGGGCAACATGGGGAGACCCCTCTCTACAAAAAATACAAAAATAAGCTGGGCGTGGTGGCACAGGCCCGTGGTCCCAGCTACCTGGGAGGCTGAGGTGGGGGAATCACCTGAGCCCAGGAGGCAGAGGTTGCAGTTACCTGAGATCATGCCACTTTGCTCCAGCCCAGGCAACAGAGAGAGACCCTGTCTCAAACAAACAAACAAGACCAAAAAAAAAAAAAAAAAAAAACCCCACACATTTATTTCTCATAGTTCTGGAGGCTGAGGAGTCCAGGCTCAAGGAGTCCGGGCTCAAGGAGCAAGCAGATTATGTGTCTGGTGAGGACCCCACTTTCTGCTTCACAGATGTTTTCTCACAGTGTCCTCATATGGTAGAAGAGGAAAGAAGCTCTCTGGGGTCTCTTTTATAAAGACATCCCATTCATGTGGGCTCCACCCTCACGACCTAATCACCTCCCAAAGGCCCCATCTCCTAATACCATCGCCCTGGGGGCCAGGATTTCAACATATGAGTTGGGGTGGGGGGACACAAACGCAGTCCATAGTATTGTTCTAAGCCACTGTTTTGGGGTGACCTGTTTCATGGCAACAGATAGGTGGAGTACAGAAGTATGCAGAAGATAATAGAAGAGTATGGAAGAGGGTACTGCTAACACGGACTGAGGGAGTCGGGAAAGAAGTAAACACTTAAGCTACCCCTCAACGTGCCAACAGGGCGCCACTAGGCACTTGGGCAAGAGAGGGGGTTAAGAATCCAAACAGATAAAATGGCACAGCTGCAAATGTACATAGGTAGGTATGGTTAACACTCAGCCTAGAGTAGGGATAATGGCAGAAGTAAGGCTGAATAGACTGTTAAGGGTCTCTGTAAACAGAACCCTGAGGATGCAGGCTACTGAAGGTTTTTAAATAAGAAAGTAACAGGAAGAATCTCAATGGAAGGAAGATTACTGATTACAGTGAATCTGCCTAATACAAAATTTCACTCCACAAGTAAATGTTATTGTAACAAGGGCTAAGATGTATTTTGAAAAAGTAGCTAACATCGTTGGAGTTGTTGGATTAAGCTCACAATACAGAGATTTTCTCAAGGTGTTAATATCGTTTTTCTTTTTGCTTCATCCTTACTAAAGCAGATTCTGTTACCAGTATAAACAGCTGAATTCTAACTTTGCAAGGAGGCTCCCCTACCTCATCTGTCCAGTCTTCCCCCCATCTCAGGACATTTTCATAACGAAAACCCTCCATGCTTCACTGATAGCCTGTAAGACTTTTCAACTCTGTGGATCCCCTAAAATTCTCAGCAAGCTCAAACCACCATTTTAAGAGGCATTCATGTTCTCTCACCAACGAAAAATGAAAGAGCATTCCCTGAAAATGGAATGCAATAGCCCCGTCTTAATGAGTAGGGATGGGTTAGGAAATAAGAGAAACTGAGGACTGCCAAAGTGCTGCCATTCTGAAACTAAGTTAAGTGGGCCCTGGCCAATTCCCAAAGTGCTTTCCTTAATAAGGCATGGAACACTTCCATACTCAAATCCACATCAGTCAAATCAAACACCAGAGAACAAAACAAATGAAGGAGGCTTTTATAATGGAGTGTTCTATTTTGTCCACAAACTTTATAATCTAATATAAATTCAATCTTGCAGAAAAGGTATTGCAAGTTAAAAACAGGGCCTGGGTGTAGTGGCTCACACCTATAATCCCAGCACTTTGGGAGGCTGAGGCAGGAGGATCATTTAAGGCCAGGAGTTCAAGACCAGCCTGGGAAACATAGAGAGACCTCATCTCTATAAAAAATAGAAAAATTGTCTGGGTGTGGTGGCATGTGCCTGCACTTCTAGCTGCTCAGGAGGCTGAGGCGGGAGGATCGATTGAGCCCAGGAGTTTGAGGCTGCAGTGAGCTATAACTGCACCACTGTACTCCAGCCTGGGTGACAGAGTGAGACTCTGTCTCTAACGATAAATAAATAAATAATAAAAAACAGAGATGGGGAGGGGGGAGGGATAGCATTAGGAGACATACCTAATGCAGATGACGAGTTAATGGGTGCAGCACACCAACATGGCACATGTATACATATGTAACAAACCTGTACGTTGTACACATGTACCCTAGAACTTAAAGTATAATAAAAAAAAAAGAAAAAGAAAAAAAAAAAAAACAGAGACAGGGTACACAAATTATTCTTTGAGTCAAGAAAAGGGGGCGGGGCAGCAGTGGTGGAACAAATGATCAGATTGGCACAATTCCTAAGGAAAGGTGACAGACTTAAACATATCCCTAGAGGAAGAAGTTGACTCTGAACAAACAAAAAAAGCACCAAAAAGCGACCCTCCAAGGATGAGTAGACTTTATAAAGGAAGCTAGAGATTGGCCACTTTGCCTTACTGGTACTAAAAATCTAACATTTTATAGACATTTTATTTAAGACTCTTAAATTAATCATATTTGTGGCTTTCCTTATCCTGCAAAATATTTACTTTCTCCCCATTACAATCCTTTTATTAAATATGTCTTTCCCCACCATTACCATCTCTATGCCAAAGCCCCTACTCAGTCTACACATTCTAATAACCACAAGCATTATCTTTCACCAAGATTGTGCATTATTATTATCATTCAATAAAAAATTGCTCCCAAGATGAGGCAGGATTGCACTAAACACACCAGATGATAAGTCCCCAGCTCATATGGAATCTACAGCCCACCACCAGCTGCTCTCAGTGGAAGGATAATGTAAAGCTCAGCCTGAAACCACTTGCCCAATTACAGTGCATGCAAATGACAGACTGGCATCTTTTAACTACACTAAAAGCTTCCAGCCCAGCTTACTCTGGGACATGTGCCAGTGGGATGAGCTATTACACCACGAGTCTCTCCCCAAATGCTATTTTCCCAAAAGGCTTCAGCTCACTAAGCTCTGAGCAGTACGACGCAACAGCAAAGCTGCTCTACTGAAATTACTAATTTCAAACTCTTTAAAGAAGCTGAAGCAAAAAGGTAAAACGTTCTCAACAGAAAAGCCAACTTTATCACAGTGCTCCTAACTGTTGCTGGAAAATTCTGAGGACTGTCATGTTGTTTAAATTAGCAAGTAATTTTCTTAGCTTGATTCTCAGCAAAAATTATTTTCAATACACAAACTAGCCCCAAAAAATAGAATTTCCTTTTTCCTGTCACCTTACAGGTTCTCAGTTCCTTAGCAGTTCCCCTTGAATTTATTTAAAAAGCAGCATTATTTGAGTGGTACTAGTTGTACTAAAATAGTGGTACTAGTTTAGGACTAAACTTGCATGGAAGCAGGAAAAGAGTGAGGAAGCTCTACTGACACTGGAAATACAAACCACTTTCTGCAAGTTAATGCCTGCTTCTAGAGACAGTGTCAGGATTTGCACTGATTTTTAATGAGCTTCTACAGGCAATACACTTGCAGATGCTTGCCTGTTAGGAAAGATGCAAATTACACCCACCCAAGCTGAAGTGAATGAAAATCTATTTAATAGTGGAGACTGAACAACGATAGATTGTGTCTTATTTCCTTTGCAGGGTTCTAGTGTCACTAAGTTAATGGTATACTCTATTAACCAGGCAGGTGGTTGGCCAACTGGAATTCAATCAACACAGAATATACAGGATACCTCGCCTTGGGGGGAAAAAAAAAAAAAACCCATAGAAATTAGTGGGCTTGTTTAGATAAGTATATTATTATACAAATGTTTTATCACAGGGCTTCTCTAAATAGCAACTCCTATTGGCACATTCCATTTAATTCAGTTTATTCAAGACTGATTTACACACAATCTTACATAAACATTTCTATTACATAAGGAAGAATAATGTAATGTTTGCTTTATGTTTGGAGTCCAGTGTCTGGAACACAGACATAATAAGCCTGTATCTTATCCGTCTTTTAAATCCCTAGCATTTAAGAGTACAGAGAAGGGACTAGATAAATGTCTGCAGGATTAAGAGATGAAAGCAAACGTCTCAAAACAACACCTCCTCCCACTTGATGACTTCTTTTTTGTTATAATACAATATACAAAAAATAACAATTGTCTTAAAAATTATTTTTACTGATTACAATGAAGCTACTAACTCTCTTATTATACTGCGCTTTATATAATTGTATAATATCCAGGGTATTACAAAGTGAAATTTACTCAGTTGCAAACGCTGTAAAAGTCTGGTGTAAGATTTTCTTTTTTCTAAGAAATCTAGTTAGAGCAATGGGAAACAAGCAATGCAGAACCCCTTCCTGACTCACCTAGACTTTATCAAAGCTTTCCAACTAATGCCTTACCCCAATCTCTCCCCTTTTCTAATGCCACTGCAATTAACCCATTAAGATACAAATGAAAGCCTGTCACTCTCCTGCTCAGTAACCTTTTCTTGTTTTCTGCTGCCCCAGACTAAGATCTCAACTTGATTATATAGCATTCAAGCACCCTGCACTCAGAACTGAGCTCTAGCAAGTCAGCTGCATTTCCATTCATTTGACAAATGTGCATGGCATTTCCTACCAGACTCTAGAGTTAAGGCACCATTCTGCACTGAGGCCACTCACAGCTAAGTGGGAAAGATGGATGTATGAACAGATGCAGAAAATCCACTGTGGTACCTGCAACACACCTCCCACATACTGGCAAAAGGCATTTTGCAGGCAGAGAAATATCTGATTCACTGTATTTACATGACACTAGCGGAACGCATGTTAGAGAGTAAGAGAAAGATGAAAGTATCAAAAAATGTGCTCATACACATCCCTACTTTGGGACCCCAAACATCTTGGTTCTGAGGCATAAAACATGAAAAGCAGGGTCTTCTAGGAGGAGGCCAGGTATGAGCAAGGAAAAGGACTAAGGCCCAGTCCCTGTTCTAAGAGCCAACGATGACACCCAAAACAATAGCTTAAACACAGTCAGACTCAATGAATTAGATTACATCTCTTCCATAAGCCAAGAAAGGTAATGATATGTCCCCCATAACATTTCAGCATGTGATATAAAGGAGTTAATTATCTTTAGTCAATGATTTACTCAATGTCTCTGTAAAATGCGAAAAGCTATGTTAACTTAGTACAGTCATACCAAAATTCAAATTAAATGTGAAGCATGGGAATGTCCTACTCAAAAAGCAAAATTTTCCACATATAGTTATGCCAATAGCAAGTCCCCATGGACTTCAGTTACAGAACTCAACACTGCTTCAGAAAAATGTTTCAGATCATAGCCAGGGCCCTTCACCACTGCATGGCTCCCGTTCTGATTAATGACCTAACCAGAAGTTTTGCAATAATTAATACACACTCTCCCTTGAACCCCACACCTGTTTCTAGTGGAGAATACTACAGACTTTCATTTTACTCTATACTTCTCATTTTTTTAGTGAATAACTGAATATAAAGGCACATACCATGGAACAGTGGACATAGCATGTCCTCATCAGCATAAAAACAAGAAGAACAAAATTATATGCTTTTTTTTTTTTTTGAGACAGGTTCTTACTGTCACCTAGGCTGGAGTTCAGTGGCACAATCTCAGCTGACTGCTACCTCCAGCTCCTCGGCTCGAGTGATCCTACCACCTCAGCCTCACAAGTAGCTGGGGCTACAGAATAACATGCTTTTGTATTGGTAGTATGCAGAAGGATATGCAAGAAACTGGTAACACTGGTTGCCTGGGGATAGGCCACTGGGTAGCTGTGGATAGGCCTGGGAAGGAGTTTGGACTCTATACCTTTTCCTACTTGTCAAATTTGGAAACGTGTAAATGCACTTCTGAGTCCAAATATTTTAACAATCAAATACGAATACTAGAATTACGTTATCTCTATTCATAATTTAAATTAGTGCCGAACCAAAAGGAAATTAAACATACCCTTTCCACTGAACATGTATTTGATCCAAATATTGAAAGAACTAAAATGTAAAATGCAATTCTGCATTTTGGAAAATGAGTTACTGGTAGTAACACAAGGACTGAGAACGTGGGTATAGAATTGAGGAAATGCTTCAACGTAAGGAGCTATTTTAGCTACAATTCTAAACACATGAAATCCACCAGGCTTGCAATTTACTCCATCTTCCAAACAACAACAACCACCACAACAGCAAAAACAACAGTAGTGGTCAAAGTAATGCAAGTCCGACAGCCTCTTCATCCGAATGCCCACCTTCCCTTCTGATTTCAAACACAGAGCTTCGCGTGTGATTTCTTTCTAAGCATAAGGTTACTCTGACAATGATTTCTCTAATCAAGTATCTTCTCTTTATAAACTGCTACCATCTCTCTCTGCCTCTGTCCTGCACTCTGGCCCTCACTTTGAGACTGTTTTACTGAATAATTTATTCCTTAATGGATTTCCCGAAAATTCCTGGTCACTGCTTCAAACCTACCTTCTTAAACTAACAAATCAGAAGAAAAATTTTTAAATAAGAACTTTAGGCCAGGCGTGGTGGGTCACGCCTGTAGTCCCAGCACTTTGGGAGGCCAAGCAGGCGGATCACTTGAGGCCAAGAGTCCGAGACCAGCCTGGCCAATGTGGCGAAACCCCATCTCGACTAAAAATACAAAAATTAGCCAGGCGTAGTGGAGGGTACCTGTAGTCCCAGCTACTCAGGGAGGCTGAAGCATGAGAATCACTTGAACCTGGGAGGCAGAGGTTGCAGTGAGCTGAGATCGTGCCACTGCACTCCAGCCTGGGTGACAGAGCAAGACTCTGTCTCAAAAACCAAAAAAAAGGAAGGAAGGAAGGAAGGAAGGAAGGAAGGAAGGAAGGAAGGAAGGAAAAAAGAAAAGAAAAGAAAAGAGAACTTTAGATGTGAAGTTAGTCTGAAGTTCCCAAGAATCTGACAGGATTTTTCTAAAAATATTTGTAAACTGTGGCACCATCGCTCTAAAAGTTATTTCAACCTAAGAGGAATTCCCCTCCACTGCTTTCCCAAAACAAACCCACATGGGGAAAACACAACTGAGGAAAGACAGAGCAGTAGAAAGGTTCTAAGTGACTACCAACAGAATTCAACTCTGAGCCTCCAGGGGCAAAACTCAAAAAGGAAACCTGAGTAGTGAGAAAAACAGCTACAAGAAAAAAAAAATCTCTACAAGTTCCTCCGAGTACACTATCTTTTGTAGTGATGGAAGTTGTTCTATTTTATCTTTAACTTAGGCCTTAAAGAAATGCCCATTGAGAGCCTTCATTGGAGGACTACATTGTAGTGTAACGTCCAATTCTCAACGTCATTTTCCAGGTCAATGCAGAAGAATTCTATAAATGAAGAAGGTTCTGTATTTATAAGTTTTTTTGCAGCCACTATTAAGGGAAAAATACCAATGCAAAATTCAGTGCAAGACAGCACAGAAGACAAATTTTCCCACATACCAGGGTTAACTTAAAATTAAAGTAGCTATACTTTTATATACAGTTATGCCCCACACAACAGTTTCCATTAACAATGGACCACGCATGCAGTGGTGGTTGCGTAAATGGATCTGCCCTGTAAAGGTGTACCATTTTCACTTTTTATGCCTTAGTTTTACTGTACCTTTTCTATGTCTAGATATGCTTAGATACACAAATACTTACCATTTTTGTCAGGTAATGGGTGCTGTCAGGTTAGGGGGAGAGGAAAATTGCCTACAGTATGCAGTATGGTAACATGCCATGCGGGTTTGTAGACTAGGAGCAATAGGTTACACCATATACCCTATGTGTGCAGTAGGCCACGCCATCTAGGTTTCTGTAAGTCACTCGATGATGTTCACACAACAATGCAATGGCCTAAGGATGCATTTCTCAGAATGTGTCCCTGTCGTTAAGTGATGCATGACCGTATAGCTTGTAGAAGACACTAAGGGTATCATTATCAGGGCATACAGCTTATTGAAGATAGGGGCTGTATCTTACTTATCTCACTGTCCTAGTATCTAGTAATACCTAGTGCTCAGCAAATTCTCAAAAATATTTGTTGAAGGAATAAACAAATGAACAAAAGCAAAATGAGGAAATGGCACCACATTATAAAGAAAAAAATGTTTTGGGGCCTATCCTGAATGAGAGCTTTTATTGTCCTTCAGGAACATTCTTAAAAATTCTGAGAAGAGTTTTCTCATTCTCTAAGAAGACTGAGTAAATATGTCTGAGTCAGATCACTTAACTGCTACACAGAGATTGGATCTGTATCTTTCAAAGACAAGGGTTAGGCAAGGACCAACGACATCCAAATTCCCTCTAGCAAAGAAAAGGATGAGACCTTCAGGGGACCTGCAGTTGAGACGAGCCCCTGCGAGAACCTTGTTCATGGTTACAAGGCAGGGGCCGGGTGTCTTAGCCAGCCTCCCTGCGGAGCAAATAGGAATGTGCAGCTCACATGACCCTTCGTATCTCCTGCTTCAGATACTCAGGCACCAACTTAAAAAACACTGTTGGAAGGGACCACACAGATTTGCCGACATCCTTATTTTACAAAAGGAAAAAGAGAGACTTAGACAAATGAAGTGACTTGCCCACACAGCGAGTTAGTAACTGGTCCAGGATGACAACCAAGTTTTCCTGGCCCCTGATCCAAAGTTGTGTCTAACTCACACTCCTCTGCTCCTCTGCCTGAAATGAAGGGCTGACTCCAGGGCTATTCCCATCCAAAGCATCCAAGTATAAACAACCAAAATCACATCTTCAGACCTGACACAGGCTATCTGACAGTTTTGAGCACTGTGTTATTGTCAGGCCTCTGAGCCCAAGCCAAGCCATCGCATCCCCTGTGACTTGCACGTATACATCCAGATGGCCTGAAGTAACTGAAGATCCACAAAAGAAGTAAAAATAGCCTTAACTGATGACATTCCACCATTGTGATTTGTTCCTGCCCCACCCTAACTGATCAATGTACTTTGTAATCTCCCCCACCCTTAAGAAGGTTCTTTGTAATTCTCCTCACCCTTGAGAATGTACTTTGTGAGATCCACTCCTGCCCGCAAAACATTGCTCTTAACTTCACCGCCTATCCCAAAACCTATAAGAACTAATGATAATCCACCACCCTTTGCTGACTCTCTTTTCGGACTCAGCCCACCAGCACCCAGGTGAAATAAACAGCCATGTTGCTCACACAAAGCCTGTTTGGTGGTCTCTTCACACGAACGCGCATGAAATTTGGTGCCGTCTCTAAAAGGCACATAGAAAAAATGTTTCAGATCAGTTGCCTTCATGCAGAAATAAGAGATTTATTCTGGGGTGTGTTTTACGAATGATTGTTTACTCCTGTTTTTTAATACAACACTATTTAAAGTTCTCTGGGAAGAATTTGGAAGTAAGTGACTCAAGACATTACACTTTCATTTTCAGAAACTCTCTAAATAATAAACATCAGCCTCCACTGCCACTAGGAACTTGTATCTCACCGTGCTGTCAGGCTTATGACCAAAGACTGGGTTGGGGGTGCTGTCAGGTTAAGGGGAGAGGAAAAGTCATCTGTCAGACAAAGGTTCTGTTTAAGCTTATTTTGATAGCAAATAAGTTATTTTTATGGCGCCGTAGCATAAAAGTCTAGTTTACAGGGCTCTGTTTCTGGTTTTTGCCATTTACTTTCAAGTTTTATTTTAGAAGTTGGTCTTGTGCCTGGGGAAACTCATCTGGGAAGAGAAAGTACTGACTTCAGGGCACAGGTCTTGTATTGTTCCAATTCACTAAATAAAGCCATTTTTCTTATCTGCGAAACTTAAACCCGCTCCAGGATATTTTTCTTTTCCCAGTACACAGTTCAGCTGCCAAATGCATTACTGCATCGTAATTCTAAGTCCCATGTTTACATTTCTAAGAAACAATGTTTAATTACTCTAGAAGCAAAATATAAGGGAGCTACTCAAATTGTTAACAAATCGTAACCACAAGAGCTGCCTTGTACAGGGGTACAAACAGAGAGGAAAGGCAGTAAAGGGACAAGGGCCTACACGACATCTGGTGGCTTCTCTTCCCCAACACTCAAAGCATAATGCTTCCTGGGAAATCTTTCCATCAAACTATTCATAATGATAACTCATTTTTAAGACCATCCACACAGACTATCATAGCTGGGCACGTCTGTACATGTCAGAAATATGGGGAGATAATACAACTGAAAAACATCCAATCTTGGGGACAAAAACATTACGAGAACACTTGCGCTGAAAACCCTTTTTAGTCTTGGGAAACAATAAGACAAAAGCAGGTCCCAATGCAGATCCATCATGAATATCTTGATGAAGGAATGGAAGGGAGCTCGAAGCTGGGTTTTAAAAAAGCAAAAATTCCTAGAGTTGCATCTTATGCCACTTAACCATGTGATGAGGTTTGGAGGTTTTTTCCCCCTCCAAATCTCATGTTGAAATGTGACCTCCAATGTTGGAGGTGAGGCCTAGTGGGAGGCGTTTGGGTCACAGGGACGGATCACTCATGAATGGCTTGGTCCTGTCCTTGCCATAGCAAGTGAGTTCCTATTCTGAGTTCACACAAGAGCTGGTTGGTTAAAAGAGCAAGGCCCCTCCTCCCTTGCTCTCTCTTGCTCCCTCTTTCGCCGTGTGTCTTGCCTGCTCCCCCTTAGCCTTCTGCCTTGATTACAAGGTTCCTAGGCCTCACAGGTAGCGGAGCAGATGCTGGTGCCATGCTTGCAGAGCCTGCAGAACCATGAGCCAATAAAACCTCTTTTCTTTATAAATTACCCAGTCTCAGGTATTCCTTTATTGCAACACAGAACAGAGTAACACACCATGAAATGAACGTTTTTAAGAATAAGACTAAATTGTCAGCAGTAATAACTCAGATTCATTATTACCTACCTAATTAATTCATCAGTGAGGACAAAGATCCAGTGATAGCCCTAAAAAAGAATAGCATCTTCCTAATAAAATGTCTAAGGTGGGGTGGCCGTGGAATGAGCTCAAAGTCCCAGCTGCCCAAATGTCAGACAGTAATTCTGAAATGGTTTTCTACATTATAATACAATTCCAACAGGATTTTCTGACTCACTGCCTCTCCTCATGGGACAAAATGTTTTGATACTGCACCGTGATATACAATAGAGTAAGTCCTTCTTACGTCATTATTCATCTCGAATGTCATAATACCTTTCATCTGAGTCTGGCGCTCCCCGGCAGAGGGAGTTAACACAAAAATACATAAGGGAATTGAAACAAGGAGAATACACAGCATTCATTTTCAAATGAAAAACAACAATGTCAACTAGAAAACCTGATTCACGATAAAAGTCTAGGTGTAATTGGGAAACAGTATTTACCACTAGAGATCAGATTTTATTAAAACTTTTTAAAAAAAGTTTCCTTAACTGTGCATGCTTTTCCCTCTAAGAACAGTTTGGGTTTTTTGATCTTTTATGAATCTGACATTTCTTTATTTTCTCCTTATGTGGATTTGTTTGGCAGGTATTTGTGACTTCATGATTTTGTATCCTCTCTAAGTCCTTTTCATATTCTTTCTCCTAATCTTTCTCTAACAATTTCATCTCCCTGGAATAGACAAAAGGCCCCCAGAATTCAGTGATGGCTAACTGTCACACTATACTGCCTCAAAAGGCATAATCGGGAGGGGCAGGGAAAATGGGGAGATATAGATCAAAGCATACAAAGATGCAGTTATCTTGGATGAAAAAATCTAGAGTACCACACAAGTATTGTCGTTAATAATATTGCATTATATATTACAAATTTGCTATGATAGTAGATTTTAGGTACTCTCGCCACAAAAAAAGAAAGGTAACTATGTGAAATGATGGGTGTGTTAATTTAATTGTAGTAATTACTTCACTAGGAATATGTATATCAAATATCATGTTGTATACTTTCAATACATACAATTTAAAACAAAAAAGAAAAAAAAAAGGCCTATTAACGAAGGCAGCTCCAAGAGATTAAAAGCAACCTGGCTCACCTAAGGAAGTGTAGGAAGTGCTGATGAGGCAAAATAACCGGCTAATGTTTTTAATGTCGGAAAGAAGGTGTTTGGATCAGGCCACTTCAAAAGCCCTGGAGTGGAAGATAAGAATTTAGAGGACATTTAGGAACATACCAGACTTAGAGAATAACTTCTGTGGTCACCCTGCTTATGTTGTATATGTTTGAATCGTTACAGCTACAAGCTATCAATGACCCATTTCGAAATGGCTCAAGTCAGGTTCTGCAACACACCAATTAAATCAGAATCTCTGTGAGTAGAGCCCAGGCATCTGGATTCTAAAGCTCCCAGGGTGATTCTAATGCGCAACCAGGCTGAGAAATCACAGCATCAGCCAATCACGCTTTGGGCCTCAGGTCTTAGACCACTTACCAAAACCACATGGGAGGCTGAGTCCTGAGCAAAGCTGAGGGCTTATCATTAAGGAAGGGAGAGGGAGGGAGGGAAGCGTTGATGGCTGATGGGGAAGGAGCAGAGAGTATAAATACAATTTTAGAAAATCTTTTTTTCTTTTTTTTTTTTCAGACGGGGTCTCGCTCTGTCACCAGGCAGGAGTGCAGCCGCAATCTTGGCTCATTGCAACCTCTGACTCCCTGGTTCAAGCAATTCTCCTGCCTCAGCCTCCCGAGCAGCTGGGACTACAGGCACGTGCCACCACGCTCGGCTAATTTTTGTCTTTTTAGTAGAGACAGGGTTTCACCATGTTGGCCAGGATGGTCTCGATCTCCTGACCTCGTGATCCTCCTGCCTTGGCCTCCCAAAGTGCTGGGATTACAGGCGTGAGCCACCACGCCCAGCCCTAGAAATGCATTTTTTTAAAGAAAATTAAAAACCTGGTAATATTTGTTACGGTGATCTGAAATAATAATGTACAAATTACAGGTTTCTGCAGTTTTTCATTTGTTTACAACAAATCATATTATTCATCAATGCATATATATACATATATGCTAAACTGGGAACACATACGATTACTTCATCATTTCATTCTGTGACTTCAATAGGTTAAAATGACTGTCTTTCTTAAATTTCAGTTCCTAATTGGCCAATGTATAAACAATAAAATATGCAGCCTTAAAGATAAGCAAGGAAGATACCTTTGTTACCTTCAAAATGATATTGTAATCTGTTTTTAGAGATCATCTGCTTAGCCAGCAAGACATGCACAAGGAGTTGGAAACTTCCCTTTTTTTCATAATTTTGTTTTGAAAACTCATAAACAAACTCATTCAAAACAAACAGTCCCAGCATGCTAGCTATACGTTTTCCCCAGAAAATACAAAGAAGAAAAGAGAGTGGTCCTTGGAGTGGTCTAACTGACCTCATTCCAAGAGGGGTGCTTCAAAATTGAGACATATGAGCCTATCTCCCCAAAGAGGCAGGAGATTCAACAAAGCTGTGAGCTCTTCTGATGAATTTACATTTGGAGCCCACGACAGAATAGGCAAGGTGGCACAGCATTATGTCATGTCAAGTTACTTCTTGCTTATACATATTTAAAACTACAAAAGAGGAACAAGTATTCATAATTATTTTGCTCATTAATATGTTCATACCTTCATAACCGTGTATACAAAATATATACATTTGTATTGAAGGTGTTAACTTTAAAATTCAGTGAACCTAAAGGTATTGCTTGCTCTGTTTTATTTCATTGCATAACTAATAAAGTTTATTTTATATATATATTTAATTTTAAGTTCTGGGATACATGTGCAGGATGTGCAGGTTTGTCACATAGGTAAATGTGTGCCATGGTGGTTTGCTGCACCTATTAACCAATAAAGTTCATTTATATTGTTTAAGTATTTTCATCTACTCTTTAGCTATATAACAGGCTGTCGGTTTTGTTTTGCTGGGGAAAAAATGAGGTCCCCTTAAGGGCAAGATTTGCCATGTTGTTTTTTAATGATAGTGGCATTTAGTATTTAGTATGGAAAGAGTATCTACTTTACCTCCTAGTACTGAAAGCCACATACTGACAACAATGGCAAATGGTGCCCTATGATCTTTTCCTCAGTTAGCTCTAGGGCAATGCCCAATAACAGAAACATTATGTAAGCCACCTATGCAATTTCAAATTTTATAGTCATCACAATTTTAAGAAGATAACATTATTTTAATAGTACATTTTATTTAACCTAATGTACCAAAAATATTATCATCTCAACAAATAATCAACATTTTAAAATTACTTATTGTATATTATTCTTTTTAAATACTAAGTCTTTGAAATATAGCATGTATTTTACACTCACAGCATATCTCAACTTGGACATTAAATTTTTACTGGAAATCTTTTATCATAAACTTTAGAGATGAAAAGGTAAGCTCACATATTCAAGTTGTTCCAATCATATATATTGGATATCAATTTTAAAGTTTTGATTAAAACTAAATACAATTTACAATTCCATTATTCTGTCACACTACCATCTCTCATGTGTTTTTGAGCCAAATATCTCTATTGGCTATAGTACTGGGTGGCTGAGCTCTAGACTAGGAGAGTACGATGGTGCTTGAACACCACCCTGCTGTTCTCCAGAAGAAGTGGTCCATACCCCAACCAGAAGAACCCAAGGAAGGAAGCTGAAGAAGGAAGCTGTCACAGCTCAGGCCCAAATAATGTTCATTCCAATGCGGGAAGCTGAGAACCACAAACCCTCACTAGCATAAACCGATGGTGTTCAGTAAGACCCTTGGAGGATCTGCATGAGGATCCAACTCATCATGTGACAACTGCAAAATTGGTTCTCAGAAGCAAAACCAACCGGGGACACTAGCACCAGAATCTTATCCTAAAGCTTCCTAAAGCATGGTGTGATTAACTGAGATGAAAAAATCTAAGGCCCCTAGATCCCAGCACCTCTAGAGCTGTTTCTAACTTTGGTTGCAAATTCCCTCCCAAATAACATTTTAGAGTCACAGTTACCTGTTGAATACACATGCTAAGAGGATCAGTGATTATTCTGATAAATTACATTCTGTACCATTTTTCCTAAGCCATTTCCAGTCACTCTTATAAATGCTGCTTACCTAAATGCCCTGCAGTGTAGTGGGTGGTGCAGAACATGTCAGACGGACACATATCTGAAAAGATACTGTGTTATCGCATGTTTATAGCTGCACAATTCACAACTGCAAAAATATGGAACCAGCACAAATGCCTATCAGTCAACAAGTGGATAAAGAAGTTGTGATATATACATATACAGAGATAGATAATGGAATACTACTCAGCTATATAAAGGAATGAAATAATGGCATTCACAGCAACCTAGATGGAACTGGAGACCATTGTTCTAAGTGAAGTAACTCAGGAATGAAAAACCAAACATCCTATATTCTCACTCCTAAGTGGGAGCTAAGCTATGAGGACACCTATTCCCCAAAAACCTACTGAAATTAAAAAAAAAAAAAGGAAAAAAAGATATTATCTTTCAGGAGGAAGATTTGGGTAG
This sequence comes from Homo sapiens, assembly GCF_000001405.40. Lineage (NCBI taxonomy): Eukaryota > Metazoa > Chordata > Mammalia > Primates > Hominidae > Homo > Homo sapiens. Next base: position 46,610,447 of record NC_000013.11, on the reverse strand, counting down.
ATAACTTAATAAAATATTACAAGTTTTTAAATAAAAAATATATAACTATAGTGACCACAATTTTCCCCAAATTAGAAAAAAGGTGAATTACACAGCCTAAAAGAAGTAGAATAAATCAGCACTACCCTAGGAAATCTGCCTTTGAACACAAAACAGTGAGCCAAAAAATGTATACGATCACATACAATTATGTGTTTAAATGCAAGTTAATCTAAATGATTAACTTCTACATATGTTCAAAGGGAGACATCTTTTGGATTATCATTTCAAACTCTCTCCCAAATATTAATAAATCTTCAACAGAATTTAAAGTAAGGTCTAGAAAGTGAGCATTCCATTCCCTTCTCTTTCTTTTCATTTGATTTTGATGGTGAAGCTGATGAACAGTACAAGGGCCCAACTGCCGGCCATGACAAAAAGGAGAAAAAGAAAGTGGAGAAACTAGTTCCTGGACACCTTGGATGTCACAACTCACAAAGGTCAATCTTTTTTTCTTTATTCACATGCCTTCCTTCTATACAGACACTTGTTTAACGCTTCCAATGGGGCCCCTTCCTGCCCGTAGGCAGCTGTGTGTGTCTGGCAGCCCCTGAGCCCAGGCTCCATCTGGTCCCCGCCTCCCCGCTCATAGGCTCTAACCTCTCTTTCATGGACGTGCCATAGTTTGCTTTACTTTACAGCTATAAATTTTTAAAAATTACTTAATTATTGCCTGTCACTCCCTAGACTGTGGGTATCATGAGGTGGGGAACACCTCTGTTGTGTTCACCCAGTAAGCACATTTCCTAACACACACACCTTCACTCAGGGAGTGTTCAGTAAGTCTTTTGGTTGAATGAATTAGTTTACTATTTGGTTAATAAATTTAAGACCTTTTTTCATTCTAAAATTTTAAAACTCTCTATGAGACCTTCCTTTAAATAAAGCTTTCACCTTCAAAAAAAAATATCAGTAGCTACATGTTTATAAAAACAGACAATTTATTTCCTTGTGCCCTCGTTGCCAGCATTACCAAAATGTAGTTTTTAATCTTAGAGATTATGCAACTGAACAGCAGTGGATACGAGTGGTACACAAGCTTGAAGAAAACTGATATCCACATATTGGCAATGGAACTGTCACTCCCTAAGAATGAAGAATGTAGATGCTTTGTTCAAGGCAAAAACCCTATAACTCTGTCCCAGAACAACATTGCAAAATGGTGAAGGCATATGGGCCTAGTGCTTCATGCCCAAATATGGAACAGGTGACAAAGAGGCCGAGCACAGCAGAACAGACACTGCTTATGACCACTCTGTGCAGAAAATGCTCACCTGGTTTTAAATTGTGGCAACAAGTTAAAGGACACAAATAGCTAACTTGAAGTCAGCGAGCCTTTGTGGACATTAAGAAAATGCCTGGGTGGAGGCTGCTTGTACCTGGTTCACTCAAGGGTGCCATACAGCTCGGGAGGTCAATTACATGATATAATACATGCTTCCCCTCATGAGATGAGCAAGTGAGGGAAAAGCAAGCTCCTAACAGAGGATGAAATTTTGTTCTGTCAATTTTCTTTAAGGAGAATGCATGCAATGTGTACTGCAGTAATTTCTAGAGAAACTTAAATTTCTGTAAAGTAACTTATGGAGTTAATTGTCAATTACATGAAAAAGAAATCTATTTTTAGAAACCCACTACATTATACCAAAATCAGTCCAAGTTAAAGACTGCACATTATTAACTCTTTTAGCAAGAGACGAGCAAAAGTAACTAAATTTCAATGGTATCCTTTTGCAACTAAATTTCACCCTCTTTACTGTAGTAGTAAAAGAGGAAACAGGGTGAAGGAAAAAGGCACAGGTTATACTAAAAACCCTCCAATCTGTAAACTCAGGAAAATTAACTTGGCTTCTTTTCCTGCAGAAGGATGGATAACAAAATCATGTTTATCAAATACTTGTTATTAAAAGACTGTATGACACTCTACTAAGCATTTACTTCTTTTTTCCAGAAATTACTCCAATTCTGTCTTATGGTCCTTTCCTCACACTGAGTGGAAATACAAGTCAATGTTACCCCAAATGACACATGGCACCATCAGTGGAAACTATGATGGGCCACAGAAACACAGTGCGTATGTCTCTCTTTAATTCCAAAGCAAATCAGCTCTAATGATGAGAGTACCATCTTCCATCTCCACACCACATCTGGAGGTCGCACAAGAACACGTCTGCACTTTTCTGCCCTGTGACTCGTGTGAATGCAAGGGATTGGGAATCAAACCTGAGCCTGGACTAAGAGAAATAAATTGGATCCCAAGTTCTGGTAACTTTGGAAAGGCATCTGTGACCTATGATGCCCTTCACAAATCACTGACTTCCTGGGTCACACCCCAGGGTCGAAGTGCATCCCCCACAGGTCCCAGCCTCCTGCTTTGATCAGAAGGTGATTCATCACCGGTAAACTCTGGCTGCAAACTCATATCTCCTGTGGCCTTCCCACATCCCTCCCTGCCCTCAGTTCTGCTTCATACAAATCAGTAATTATTAACTATATTAGAGATGAACAGCCCCACTAAGCATTGCAGATCCTTCCCAGGAGCTGAAGCTCTCCATTACAAAGGGAACTGTGCCTTTGCGTCTCCACCCTTCCCTGCCGCACCCCTCACTCGCCAGGAAGTTGCTCACCTGGTTAATAGATAATAAATGACAGTCATCTTCCTAAGATGTCTGAGATCCTCAGATTTTATATTACACTTTCAATGAAACTAATACAAGTGTTTAACAGAGCGAGACTGTGTCTCATATTAAAAAAAAAAAAAGAAGAAGAAGGAAGAGGAGGAAGGGGAGAAAGAGAAGGAGAAGGAGAAGGAGAAAAAGGAGAAGGAGAAGAACAATGAATCATGAGGGCAAGAAGGTCCTCACTGACTCTATTTATTCATCATTTATGCACATGGTATTTCCAAATAAAAGAGCCTTGTTTCTATCTATAAAAAGGTCTAGTCTTTGTTTTTAATAATCCCAAATTACAGAAAAGCACCAAAACAAAATAAAAATTCAGCCTAAACCTCACCACTCACAAAAAAAGGTCTCTTCTAGATAGCTCTCTTTGACAGTACTCACAAAAGAGACCCCTTCCAACAGGTTTGTGTAAGTGGTTTTTTGGTTCACCACAAAATGAATGGCAGCAAAGTAAGCCTGGGAAGTTGTCCTGCATTTTCTCCGAATCTGTATTTGGCTATTTGGTATCCATCAATTACAGGGCAAGTTAACAGCCAAGTAGTTTCCATCTCCTCTGTGATCTAGCTGAGCCACCTCCTTATCTAACTCTCAGTTACCCAGCCCACATTTCCCCTGCCCTAAATCTCTCAGGGCCAGGAACTGACAACTAAAGACCATCCCAGCGCCTAGCCAACCCCAAGCTGATTCCTCCAGTCTGCCTTGCCTTTTCCATAAAAACCCAGTAAAGGCTCTGGCCTCGGCTTTCCCCTGACTCCCATCTCTTCCTCTTCACCCAAATAGGTGCTTCTCCTCCTGGCCCTGTGTGGCATGGAATGCCCTCTTCTCTTAGGAAATGTGAGTAATAAAAAAAAATTTCTTTCTGCCAGGTGCTGTGGCTCACACCTGTAATCCTAGCACACCAGCCGAGGCAGGAGGATCACTTGAGGTCAGGAGTTCGAGACCAGCCTGGCCAACATGGTGAAACCCCATCTCTACTAAAAATACAAAAATTGGCCGAGCGTAGTGGCCCACGCCTGTAAGTCCAACTACTCAGGAGGCTGAGGCGGGAGAATAGCTTGAACCTGGGAGACAAAGGCTACAGTGAGCTGAGATTGTGCCACTGTACTCCAGCATGGGCGACAGAGTGAGACCCTGTCCCAAAAAACAAAACAAAACAAAACAAAACAAGACTTATTTCAATGGACTTGTCCCCTCTGTGTCATCATTCAGTCATCTCTGTAAGTTAAAATCCTGTGGGTAGGAACAACACAGAAGGGGGGAAATGCTATAAATATCACCTCTGAAAGTAGCAAAAAGTGACAACTGACAATGAGGAAGGATATCAAAAAGTTCCCCATGCACTCATGAGTTTTGTCATGTGGGAGTGTTAATGTAACTAAGGGCAAGTCCTATAGACTCAGAATAGCCCAAGGGCACCCATGAATTAAAACCACAATGACCCATGTTCACAAAACAGTGTTGATAATGATGAGATTGAAAAAAGGTCGAACTGTGTTCTACATGGTCAAAATAAGATTTCAGAAGGTTAAGTACTTTAGAACGACTTATACACACACACACACACACACACACACACACATAAGGTTAAAATTAGAGTTTGAGCATTTAAAGGATATTTCAATGACTTGAAATGTTAAATTGTCCTGAGTCCTTTTCCTCAATAGTTGGGGAAAGCTGTGTTTGGAGTCAGGCAAAAGAGGTCCTACTCCCAGCTTCATCACTCACTTACTGTGTGACCTTGGAGAAGTCACTTCATGTCTCTGAGTCTCCATTTCCTCTAATGAGAAAAGAATATTGAACCCGACAATATCTAAGAAGCCTTCCAGCTCTGACATCTTATCTTTCATAAGTAGTCTGTCATTATTAAACCTAGAATGTGAATTCTAATCACATTTTCACCCATTATCACAAATTATAGGTTTGTTTTTATCTCATAACCAAGAAATGTAACATTTTTTAGAAAGAAAACTGAAAGAGAAAAGAAAACCCAAAGGTCAAAACTATTCAAATCTCTCCTTAAGGAATTTATCTCATGAAGAAATACCCAACTTCTCCCTATCAGGATATTCTGAAATCCCAGTCAAGAATCCCCAACAAAAATATTTACAAGCACATGAGAAGAAAACACATGCTTATGATTATTTTTAAAAAAGAAGAAGAAAAATGAGGTGGAGGAAGGGGTAGGATAGGAAGGAGGAGGAGGAGGAGGAGGAGGAGGAGTGCCCTCATCTTCAGCACATATACTGTATTGTGTGGGGCCTCTAAACAGAAAATAATCCGGAATTTTTTGTACCTCTGCTCTGGCAGGCCACAAGTAAGTTTTCAAAGTGGATATGAACGGATAAAAGGCACAAGGCTTCTGTAAAATAAATATATAAAGTAGCATGGAAAGAACACATTATTGTTCAATAGTCAGGAAGCTTTGGAGCCCAGCCCAGGAAAACACTCTGTAACCTAAGGTGTGCCCTTCCAAGTCTTGGTCTGTTTATAAAGGACTCAGAGATAATTCCAGACATGTGTGATTTCATGTCAATCCGACTTTCCTTAGAGAAAACATGTTTAAACTCAGAAGAATTAAGATTTGGAAAGGACAGGTGACGATTATTTCAATAAACTTTTCAGTACTGCTGCATGCTAAGAAAGCAGATGCCTGCTGGCTGGCCTCTCCACACAAAGGGATTAATGGGTCAATTTCTTTAAGAACTGGCACCATGACATAATTGGCTGTCAATTAGCCAGGCATCAATCAGATGGACTTTTCTCATCTAAGCTTTTGTTCATTATACCTTAGGCCATATCAAAAATATGGCTGAGAACATTCTCCGATGCCCCAGTTTCTCTCACCAAAGCATTAGGAATAGAAAAGCATGTGTGTCGTTATGTTGATAATGTCAGTGTCATCATGGTCTGTTCCTTATGATAAGGGTTAAAACTCTGTAGATAGTGTTGTGATGAGATAAATGACCTAAAATTACTTATGCTCTAAGCTCACCTAGTTCAAAGCATTTCATAAATACCTGTCACATTTTTCTGGCATATCTCATTCCTTGGATAATAAAAAAAGAAACAAAAGGATAAACCTTGTAGAACATCAGAGGCTGAGGGCAGAACAAGACCAACAAGATGTAAGTTCTGCCTGCTCCGCTCCAGATACAATTTCATGTTTATTCCGTATCACAGGGAAGAAAGGCAAACAATTGAAAATTAAAATAACACTATCATTAAGTAAACTGTTCTAGGACTCTGGCCCAGTGTGTTCCTTCAGAATTAATTTATTCCACTGCCTTGAGCCACCCCCATCATCCTATTCTAAGTGACTACAGGGAGAAGGCACAGGCCCCAGACCCAGGGAGCAAGGCTACTGTGCTGCAGCCACCTCGGTCACCCACAAGAAGACACCTGAGGCTCTGACACCTCTCCTCTGGCCACATCCAAGGCCCTCCTCACCATCCCCACCCCAGTTAGGGTTGCCAGATAAAATACAGGATGCCCAGTTAGATCTGAATTTCAGATAATTAACAATCTTTTAGTATAAGTATGTCTCAAATATTGCATGGGACATATGTATAGCAAAAAAAAAGTAGTTATTTATATGAAATTCACATTTAACTGGGTGTCTTGTATTTTTATTTGCTACATCTGGCAACTCTACCCCCTAATTCTTTCAATACTCCTCCAAACTATTCTATAATACAAGGAGAAAAATTAATTCTGGCACAAAAACAACTGGGAGGTGAGGAAGAATCAACAAGCTAATTTCAAAAGAAGTTTGGCCGGGCATGGTGGCTCACGCCTATAATGCCAACATTTTAGAAGGCCAAGGCAGGAGGATTGCTTGAGGCCAGGAGTTCAAGACCAGCCTGGGCAACATAGTGAGACCCCATCTCTACAAAAAAATTAAAAATTAGCCAGCTATGGTGGCACGAGCCTATAGTCTCAGCTACTCAGGAGGCTGAGGTGGGAGGATCGCTTGAGCCCAGGAGATTGAGGCTGCAGTAAGCCAAGATCAGTCCCCTGCACTCCAAAGCGAGACCCTCATCTCATAGTACTCTGAATAGTAAAGTATCCAATTAGAAAAGTGAAGGTAAATTTAAAATTGTTTTTAAACAGCATGTTTAAAACTACCAATGCTTAAAATGGTTTCTAATACTATTGACTCGGTTACCTAGGGTAGCAGGAGTCTTGAAATTTATTGGTGCATTCAGTGTTAGCTCCCCCTGTTGTCCACTTAATTACTGGCTTTAGTGACACATAGGAATCCTCCCTAGATTCTTTTCTGTTGTACACAGAACACCTCAGCGACACTAGCTTTGCAAACAACCCATTTGGGTTATGTAAGGAGGGCGGCTGACAGAAAGAGAATGGGGCTGACAGAAAGAGAATGGGGCTGACAGAGATTTCAGGGAAGACTTGAGTCAGGGTCAGGAGGAGGAAACTGGATGGCTTCCCAGCACCTCAGATCCACAGTGTGGCTCTGCTCTCCCCAGGGATCAGACACACCCATGCTCAGAAAACAGGGCCACACCAAGAAGAAATAAATTAGAGGCTCTCCGTGTCTCTGCTCCGTGCATAAAATGAAGAAGAATTAGCTTTCTCCTCCCTAGATCATAGAAAGCACAAGAGGCACAAAATTATTTACAGGATGAAGTCACAGGATACAGATATCTTATTATAAAGATACAGCCATTTATCTGACAAGAAATGAGTTATTTAATTATTTACATGTATGTATGTATGTATGTATGTATGCATGCATGTATGTATGCATGTATGTATTTGTTGACCGGGTCTTGCTCTGTTGCCCAGGCTGGAGCACAGTGGCACAATCATGGTTCACTGCAGCACTGACCTCCGGGGCTCAATCCATCCTCCCACCTCAGCCTCTTCAGTAGCTGGGGCTACAGGCACCACCGCAGTCAGCTAATTTGTGTATTTTTTATAGAGATGGAGTTTTACCATGTTGCCCAATCTAGTCTCAAAGTCCTGGGCTCAAGTGTTCCACCCAACTCGGCCTCCCAAAGTGTAGGGATTACAGACATGAGCCTGTACCCAGCCTCCATTTTATTTTAAATCATCAATGCCCTTCAATTAGGAAATAATAATAATGTTGAGCACTTTCTGGGTACTAGCCATTGTGCTAAGAGCTTTGCATAAATTTATCTCAGTCAAGCCTCACCACGTCCCTATGAGTTTTTTTAAATCCCCAATTTAATTTCATAGTTAGGCTAAATCTGCAAGAAGTTAAATAGCTTTTTCTAGACTACAGACACAGTAAACAGCAGGGGGCTGATTTAGATCCACTGCAGACTGACCCAAAAGCCATGTTCTTCACCCTGAATGGATTACCTGTCCCCAATTAAGCACGTGTTCTGGGTGGTAATCATGACACAGGAAGCAGAGGCATAAACTATTCCAGGAAACTCACTTAAATTTCTCTGGTCTTCAGTTACACAACGAAGCTACATCATCTTCAAAGATCCTTCTAATGTCCAAAAATTCAAGCTTTATTCTAGCGGAACCAAAAATTCCTCAGGGTCAGCTATACATAGTTGCATTAATCTACTTGACACCTTTGAGGCTTAGAGAAGTTAAGTGGTTTCCTCAAGGTTACCAAGCTAGAATGGAAAGAGATGAGATTCAAATTCTGATCTTTCAAATCCATGTCCTGGAAGTCACCTTTAAACCATAGCTGGATCTATGATCTTTAATTTATATGACAACGTTGCAAGTCAGTAGACATAAAAACATTCAGGTTACAAATCCAACTACTGAACACAGGCTATTAATTCTTAGGTTTATTAAACAAGCTCTTTTCTCCTAATAAAGAGAAAGCAGCTACAAAGTCCAACTCAGTCACTGGATATCAAGAGTTAGGCAGCGGCGTGGGTACTATGATACAAGCCCAGCCTATATTCCTAACACCCCAGGCATTGCGACTCCATAACCCCCTACGAAAAACAGCCTGGTCCTACGTGATCATGACTGGGTAAAAAGAAACCCAACAGAGCAGGGCTTGGAAGGTGATTGGGCAGCAGGCCACTTAAACATTGCTATGGAAATATAATTAGTCTTATTAACCTAATTCATTTAGGGTTTTGTGATACTTCAGAGGGAGCTGAGCCCCACCTGGATTTAAAAGAATTTGATGAAAAAATTCAGATTACAAGAGGACATTGAACTAACCTCAAGGGACCAGTCACTCAACCTTTAAAATCACCTATGTACCTATGATCTATGAAATAATGACTAGTCATTCTCCTCTATTCATTAAGACAACTTTTTAAAAAACTTATAATCTTATCTTTCCTTCATTTAAAGAACTTTTTCCTGCAATTTGCCTCAAACATAAGTTTTTACACACAACAGTCTCTACCCTCTAAGCAAGTTACCCCTCAGGTCATTCCACACAGTCTGCACATCTCTTTCTATACATGCTTTGCTGTTTTCTGTAGGGAGGAGAAGAGGGACAGTGAAGAGAGGACCAGAGCCAAGGCTGATGCATATTCTCCACACAAGGAATCATGCTGCGGGCTCTGAGGAATAAAAAGAAAAACAAAACCGGCCCTGCCCTCAAAGCATCCATGAGGTAGGTGATGTTGTGCTAGTCTAAGTGACAATGGAGACCAATGGGCCTGAGCCCTTTAACGGATAGGGTGGGTTGGCTTGTGATTCCCATACTGCTGAGTTCCCCAAAGTATAGATCTGATTCTATGGAACATTCAACCTGCTCAGCAAGCCCCATTTCCCAAGGAGCAGCTGCCTGTAAAGGTGAAACTGAGTAACTGAATACACAACCAGAGCTAACATGACTTTGACAATCAAATTGCTTTAAAGCGCTAACAGAATCATAGCAATAGGCCATCAGTCATGAGCAGAAAAGCTGACTGTTGCTAAAGAGCATGAACGACAAAGTTCTGTGACACCAGTGCTCAGTATTTGTTAAACTGCATGATGAAATAATGTGAGTCATAAAATCAATTCAATGAACAGTATTTTATGTAAATTAAATGGAAACACATATCCTTAGCAGTAACTGTAAACATCTGCAACTTGCAACAAATACTTCAGGTTCTGTGTGTGTGTGTGTGTGTGTGTGTGTGTGTGTGTGTAAATCTGGTCAGGATGTAAAAAAACTGTAAAACATATTTCTTACTGGGTGTCTTAATTTTAAAAGTTTGAAAAACACTGTCTTAGGCTCAGCAGTAAATTCAGTTTTGAATAACTGCAGCCAAAGGGAACAGCAATTAGGACCATGACCCAAGGAAAGGCAAACAAAAGTGAATAAAAATAAATACTTCCTTAGAAGGACTGACCATACGGTTCACAGTCTTGACCCTAACTCTGTTATTCTTGGCTTGAAATAATCCAGCCATCTGAGAAAACGACTGCAAAATACCTGAAAGATTTCAAGTGCAGGTGTCTGCAAGGCACACACCAAAAAAACAAATAACACCAGACTCTGAAAGACAGGAAGCCACCATTCCCAAACCATAAAGACATTGTGAGAATAAAAATGTTTATGTTACTATGTTAAAAAGCCTGGCCGGGTGTGGTGGCTCACGCCTGTAATCCCAGCACTATGGGAGGCCTGAGGCGGGTGGATCACCTGAGGCCAGGAGTTCAAGACCAGCCTGGCCAACATGGTGAAACCCTGTCTCTACTGAAAATACAAAAATTAGCTGGGTGCTATTTTTTAATACAACAAAGCTATTTTTTAAGTAAGCTATTTTTAAAATAAAAAAATTAAGATCGGTGGCGTGAGCCACCGCACATGGCCAAATACCTTTAGTTTTGAAAGGGCTAAAGAGTTAACACAGGAGAGGGCTAATACATTTACCCTACATGTTTTCCAATCCCATTACGTATCTCCATAACAAATAACCTGAACTGTCTTCATGGTCATTGATTCATTCATTTAACAAAAATGAACTGAGCACCTACTAGGCTGTGGCCACAGTTCTAAGGTAACATAAGGTAAATTGATTCTATATTATTTGTTTCTACCTACATAATTGAGGGGCTAGAAACATGGAAAATGCAAATATTTCTGAAATAAAACTACTACTAATAAATGCTACTAAGTTTAATAATAAAATACTACTAAGTTTAATCATAAGACTATCACTGATGGCCAAAATTTCTTGACATTGTAATAGTTCTTCAACAATATTATTTAGTCATAATTATCAGTCAGCTACCAAAAAAAATGAAAGTAACAAATGTTGGCAAGGATGTGGAGAAACTGGAACCCCTGTGTACTGTGGGTGGGAATGTAAAATGGTGGAACCACCATGGAAAACATTATGGCAGATCCTCAAAAAAATTAAAAATAAAGTTACCGTCTGATCCAGCAATTCTACTTCTGAGTATACAACAACAAAAAAAAATTGAAAACAGGGTCTCAAAGAGATATTTGCAAACCCACGTTCATGGCAGCATTATTCACAATAGTCAAATTGTGGAAGCAACCCAAATGTTCATTGACAGAAGAATGGATAAACAAAATGTGGTGTATACATGCAATTAAATATTAATCAGCCTTAAGAAGGAAGGAAATTCTGACACCTGCTACAGTATGGATGGACCTTAAGGACATTATATAATGCTAAGTAAAATCAGCCAATACTAAAAAGACAAATACTCTATGCTTCTATTTATATAAGGTACCTAGGGTAGTCAAATTCATAGAGATGGAAAACAGAATGGTGGTTTCCAGGGGCTGAGCTGGAGAGAGGGAGATGAAGAGTCATTTAATGGTACAGAGTTTCAGTTTTGCAAGATGAAAAGAGCTCTGGAGACTGTGCGACAATGTGAATATGTAACTGCACACTTAAAAACAGTCAAGATGGTAAGTTTATGTGTATTTTGCAATTATAAAAAATATATATCAGACAGTGTTTACCTTCGGGGTTTTTATACCATAGAGCATTGCCCATGGTTCTGGATGCGAAGAACAACTTCTCAAGGATCCTGTGTAAGTTGAATCCAGGCTTTGCAGCAGCCTAAGCATTTCCCTTACCGAAAGCCCATCCCGGAAGTTCTGACTCTAATTCATTGTCTAACCAAATAGCCTTGCAAAACCATTTCCTCAAAACCCAGAGCAAGGCTATTTTGTTTGTGTTCTTTTTTTTTTGTTGTTGTTAGTGGTGAAACTACAAAAGTTACAGAAAGTATAGAAAGATGGACAACTTTTCCCCTTAAATTTATTGAAATTAAATTTTATTTACCCTGTAGAATGTTATCTTGAAATTGAATTGTTTTTTCTTGAACCTACAGAATATCATGCATACAAATGTAAAATTTCTATAAATCTGCAAGCGTCTTTTCCCCCGAGACAAGCAAGTTCCTGTGTTGCCTATTTTTATACCAATTGTACACTAAACTGGGGCACCCTGGCTGCAAGAGGGCCAGACAAAACTGCCCCAGGGCTGCTCAAAAGAGGCCATTTTGCACATAAAGAAATAGTGTTGTTTCTGGAACTTCTAGAGGAAAGAGTACATACGCTGTATGCCAATTTACTCAGAAAATGCCTCAGAAACCATGGAGTTTAAACTCTATTGTCATTTTATTGGGTGCCCGCCACCTTGACCGGCTAATTTTTGTATTTTTAGTAGAGACAGGGTTTCATCATGTTGGCCAGGCTAGTCTTGAACTCCTTACCTCAGGTGATCTGCCTGCCTCGGCCTCCCAAAGTGCTGGGATTACAGGCATGAGCCACCGCACTCAGCCCACACAGTGATCCTTGTTATTCATGATGGTAGTTCTGTCTATGAAGTTGCCTTGAACACCGCCATAGGAAATACTAATCCTTAGCTTCTGGGGGAAACACAGGGTTAGGTTCCTGCAAGCCTCTGGTCACAAAATTTTCATCAACCAACTTATAACGTCATTTTATGTGTGTTTCTGTTTTTTAAAAAAAAAATGGCTTATTTGATCTAAGTTGTTGGTTCATTGACACTAAACTCACAGCCAACAGCACTAAAGCCCATGCCTGAAGAAAGCTTAGCTAACACATGTATTTTTCCCTATAAGGCACATCACAGCCTTCTTGCACTTAAAAACACTGGACAGGGCCAGGCGCGGTGGTTCACGCCTGTAATCCCAGCACTTTGGGAGGCCAAGGCTGGTGGATCACCTGAGGTCAGGAGTTCAAGTCCAGCCTGTTCGACATGGTGAAACCCTGTCTCTACTAAAAATATAAAAATTAGCCGGGCGTGGTGGCTGATGCCTGTAACCCCAGCTACTTGAGAGGCTGAGGCAGGAGAATTGCTTGAACCCGGGAGGCGGAAGTTGCAGTGAGCCAAGATCAAGCCACTGCACTCCAGCCTGGGCGACAAGAGTAAGACTCCATCTAAAAAAAAAAAAAGTCCTACTGGACAGTTCTTTAGCCCTATATTTGGGGAGCCATTTTAAACAGTGAAATCACCAAGAAAAAGCCCAAAAATGCAGAAGACATGGCACTGAATTGTCTGCATCCAGGACACTCGTTTACAGTATGAGAACTGAGGCAAGAAGGCAGAGTGTCACCTTGTTCAACCTCCACCGGGTACGTGTACCTTGAGCTACTCAAATTTTTTTGCTGCTCTGTACATATCCACCAATGACCACAAAGAGTCCTCACGGATGGATTTGGGGCTTACAAATACATTTTAGCAAGTAGGCCAATTTCACAGATACAGAATTCTCAAAGATTGAGGATCGACTGTATTAACCCATTTGGGAATTTTCTTAGACCTAAACTTAGAGTAATAGATAGGAAGTCTATTCAAACCTTTCTGGGGGAAACTTTTAAAAGGTCACTTGAAAATTCAAGGGCTCTGAGCTACATACATAGAGCACTAGTTACTATCTTCCTGGGGTGGTGAAAATGTCCTCTTCACTCCCCCAAATTCAGCAGGCAAAATGCTGGGCAAATGATCGATTGCCATGGACCTAGCCATGTTGACTACCAGCATCTACCACCTGCGTAACTTTGCGTGACTTTGATCCAATCGCAAGCTGTTCCTCTACCCATGACGGGATTTCCCACAGTCTCCAGAAGGCACTTCCTGAAAATCATTCCCTTTGTCTATTCATGCCTTTAACATGTCATCTCAATGTAGCTTCAAGTTAGAATTCACTGACATTCTTTCATATTCTAACAAAGATGTCTCTGTTCCAAGATCGCTATTTCATTTCCAGATATATGCTAAGATAAAATTCAAAATTTAAAAAATGCCCAATTTTTCCAATTTGCTATTCATAGCAGCACCAAGTGTCTTAAATCATAAAAATGGAAACATCTGACAGACATACTGCAACTACAAGATCCTTATAAAGTAACACATGATTTTTTTTATCTCCCTGGAGAAGTAAAGATGCTTTGATTTATAGTCATGATCAGACTGTACCAAAACATGCTGCCTCCTTGAAGCAGGTAATATTTAGGGCTGCAATACAAGCTTTCCTCGGTGTTCATTAGGATCACAGTGTTTCTTCAGAGCTGCAGGAAACATTCAAAATTCACCAGCCCTTTATCTATTAGAAGAGATAAGCACTCAAGATGTGTTCCCAGGGAAAAAAACATTTTTGATCATGTCAACTCCCTCATCTATGATAACCATCCAAACCTCAGCTCCTCCTCCTTTCCTTTGAAACTAAAATAGGAAGCACTGGCATGAAAAACTTCTGCTTTTTAAAGTCTCAAAACTGGTTACTTGTATTTAAAAGCCTTTTTGCCTGTTTAAAACTAAAAACACTTTTACACCTTCATTAAAGTTATGACCGATGTGTTTAATTTTAAAGACATAGCTGCCATTCTTAATTACTTCCTCTACCTTTAACATCCCTGTCTTACATAAAATATTCAAAAAAAAAAAAACAATGTGAGGCCGTGCTTTGGATTCCATGTGGCCAATTTCACTCTGTGGCAGTTGCCAGCAGAACTCCACATCTAGAACAACCAGTATGTGCCTAAGGCCTTTCCTGTTCTTTTTGTTTCCTTGAGTTTATTCCTGTCAGGTGTAAGCACTCCAGAAATGTAGAATTATGACATAGGAACTCACACTGAGTCATAGCTGGAACTCATCTCTTCTGAGTTCACAATTAAAAACAAATGAAATCTAAAATTACATTGAAAACATAAAGGTAGATGGAAGTTTAAAGTGCAGATGTGGCTTCAGCCCCAGCTGGATATGCTCAGGGGGGAACAGATGTCAGTAATAAACCTAGGAGAGCTACAAAAGTTAGCTTATATCCATCACCAAGTGAAAATGCTGACGTACATATAAAACTGTGCCCTGCCTGCTTTCCTACCCAGTCTGAGTGTGCAATATGGAAACAGCCTGGAAAAGAACCCAGAAACCCTGTGGAGATGCAGAGCAGGTCTGCCACATCAGCGGTGAGGAAGTCACTTACTGCATGGTCGGGGTAGGCTAGCCATGCAGCACCATCAGGAAAGGTATGGTTTCTTCTAACACTTGGCACCTGGCCTATGCATCCTCTAAGTTCACCAAAGAAAGAAAACACATAATCTGCGGTTACATTCATTAAAGTCTGCCACAGGAGAATAGGGTTCTCGATGGGTATGGGGAGATGACAGAACAAAACTATAAATGACCAGGAATGGAATAAAATTAAACCTAAAGTGACCAGGGCAAAAAGCAAACCCCAGAATGATCATCATGGTATTAATAATTACATAAAGACTATAAACTCAGAAGAAGCTAGGAGAACACCCAGAGCCTGAAAGTTGGAGAAGGTTATAGCTGCCACACTCTTTAGATGAAGTTCATTTATGAGACTTTCTTTATATAGCCTGTATAGTTACATAAACTAGAGTCAATCAGGTTTTTCTAAACTGCGCTCTTGTTACTAGATCTTATTACAGTCTTCACATTTCAGAGCTAAATTAAAAAAACACACACATTTAGCCATATGTTTTCTATGGAAAGCACTAACCATACATTTGAAAATGAGGGTGACTTTCTTTTTTGTATTTTGCAGCCAGGATATTTTATTCACCAAAATTAAGCGAAGCAGTTCCTACTTATGAACTCATATGAACTAATTCAGCCCCGTCAAATCGAGAAACTTTAAATATTAAATTCTACTGTACAATCTCAGCTGGAAGTCATCTCTCTCTCCACCAACCTTCCAGGGCACTTGGCACCTATCCTATAATGCAAACATTCTGTGTAGCTCAAGGAGGTGGCCTGATTTGGTGCATTCAACAGTGGCTAGAGGTCTAAGCCTCTTTGCTTCTGCAGGGAGACAAAGAAAAATCATTTACTATTTTGCAAAGATCGCTTCATTGAATTTTCTTGGGGTCAATAGCCCTTAGCAGAAAACAAGTATTCCACACTTGTTCTATAAGGTTCTAGGAGGTTCTTACAAACCTCATCAGCAAGTAGTATTTTTTACATAACTTGCTATTAGCTTGGAAATTTACTACAGTCTCTGTTTATTTTCTTCAGTTGTTAAATATGTACTTTTTTTTTTTTTTTCACTGAGATTAAAAGAGGAGTCCAGGCAAAACAGTAAGAACATGGGTAAGAAATGGAAAGACAATAAATGTCTTGACTTGTTTTCGGGACTCAGACTGCCTAGGCTTAAATGCCTGCAATGTCACTCCCTGGCTCTCTGTTCTTGGCAAGTTACTTCACTTCCCAGGCACCTGGTACCCACCTCTCAGGGAACCTGGTATCTATCCTATGATGCAAACATTCTCTAGTTCAAGGAGATGGCCTGATTAGGTGCATTCAACAGTGGCTATAGACCTAAGACTCTATCAACTTAAAATTAGTTTTATAGAGGAAATGATACCTGATAAAAGGACACAGGAAAGAAGAAAAAAAGTTCATTTTTTCTTCTATATCATTATTTGTGGTCCAACTTCACCAAAGCTACCACAACAGACAAATAATGAAATCAGATCAGAGTGAGTTTAGAATTCAGAAAAGCAGAAGAAACTGACAGAGATTGGGAGTCTCCCTGGAATGGATGTAGTGGTGGCACCAGCCTCATCAGGACCTGGCGATCAGAAGGATGGATCCCGCCTGGGCCAGCCTATCAGCAAGCAGCTGGAACGAAGGGGCATGCCGCAAACTCACAGACCTGCCCACGGTTAACTAGGCAGCCACTCTCGCCAACACACAGAACAAATTTACTCAAAACATATCCTCACTCTCTGAGATTGTGGTTTATTCAGATCACGTCAGATCGTGGTGACGTTTCACTAAAGTCACTTTGATTTATCCTGGTTCTAAAATTCAGTGTCTCTCTGTGTAGGCTCTTTGATTACTGCCTTTGTATTCTCCAGCACGACCGAATCAGCTACTAGGTATTGGGATTCCTAGAAATGTTTGAAGAATGGCATGTCCCAGTTAACCACTGACTAGAAAAACCAAATTTGTCTAGTCAATTCAGGATTCAGATGTCAAATGGACAAAAAAAAAAAAAAAAAAGGAAAGAAAGAAAGAAAAAACCTCTTAAGGAAAAACTTTTTTTTTATTTCAAGTCTTGTTGAAAAATGTTTGAAAATACACTGATGAACTTTAGTACTGAGTAAATGGAAGTACTGAACATCACTTAATACTTTTTGATGATTCAAAGCCTACACTTCCATAGGGTTTCAAAACAGCTATAAATACAGGGCTAGTAATCCAAAGGAGGATATTACTCCCAGTTTAAAGGCAAGCAGGAAAGGCTACATTGGGGCAGAGGCTGGGACCCGTGTCCTGAAGGGACATGGGGATTTGAACAGGTGGAGACTGTAGAGGGAAGGGACATAGGAGGACAGGTGGTAAGGGAATTTTAGGTAGAGAAACCTCACAAACTTACAGAAGCCATAAACCCAAAATCATGGTCTATATTGATTTTTAATACCAATGCGAGAATGAAGGGATCTATCAGTCTAAAGAGGTAAGACGGGGCCAGATCACACAACAAACTAAGGAGTTTTGCCCAGAAGCAGCCAGGAATCACCAAACATTCTTCAGCTCAAAGAACAGAGACTGGGAAGAGGATGACATGATCAAATGAGTGATTAGGTATGATAGAGCTGGCAGAAATGTATATGAAGTGGGTAACACTAAGTACCATTTAAAACATACTTTTTAAGTGCTTCACATATTTTACCAATTTAATCTCATTTTACAGATAAGAAATTGAGACCAAGGAATTAAACAGGTTTTTCCAGATCAGTGACTCCAGCATTCTCTAATAATGGCCATAGAGAACCAGTGAAGAAAACCTTGTTTTCTTTAAAGGACTTAGCACCATGTGTGGGACAGAGGAAGTGCTCATATAATTGTTAGTTCCCTTACTTGCCCTTGCCTATTATGGGCTGAAAAGGAGAAATCCAGGAGCTAAAAGGATGGGAATGCCACAGTGGCATATTTCACTGGGGCACTATCACAAGCCTTACAGTTTTGGGGGCCATAAGCAGTTAACTTGGGATGTTGTCTCCTGAAAATTGTTGCCTATAAGCTGTGGCTGACTCTGACTCAGGAATACTCCTGTTTTGAACAAAAATGATCAATCCAAAGTCAGGAGACCATGATTCCTCATTAATGGAGTCCTCCACGAGGCGCCGTACCTTAAAAAGCTGCCCAACTGTTCCTTCCAGTGGAAAGATGGTAGGGGCTCAGCATTGCAATCCTATGTTCAAAATGAGGACTTGAGCTACGGAATGCGTTGCTGGATGAGAAGTTCTGCCTATGCTGACAGTTTTAAAACAATACTCTATTTTTGATTCCAATACCATATGATACTAGGGAAGCCTTGAAAACCAGAAACATTTTTCACCCAAGTCCACGGCAAAGTTCAAGAATGACTCCATGGCTAATACTTAGGTTGCAAATCGATAAATGAGCTCCTCTCGGATCCAATGAATTGAATTGAAAAATAAAACTATAATTACAGTAGGAAGAGTGCAATAAAAGATGAAAACCCAGGCTCCAAGCCCCTATTTTTCTTTTGTTCAAAACACCATTATTGGTTTCAAATATGCTTGTCTGTCAACAGGGGTTAGTATCCTATTTGCCTAAAGGCAAGAGGCTTGATCTGATGGTTTTCTAGGGCCCCTTCCTGGTCTAAGAACTCTAATCTAATGTGGTTTTACTAAACCCAGAGCTCTCCAAAATCATGACTTTCGTCTTAATTGCCTGCAGGAACCTGGGGGTTACCCTCAAGCTCTCACTGAATAAATGATACCTAAAGTAAATGCTGAAAACTGCCTTTCCTATTTATGAAGTGCGTATTCAGAATAATATTTCTTTTTTCTTCAAATTTGATTAAAGTAGCCATTCCATTATGCCTTTTCATAAGGGAGTCACATTGAAGTCATAAAAATGTTACTGGAATCATTTTCATTCCAACAAATTAGATATTAATGAGGGTTTATCCTTACAATTGAAGAAAGGAACTAATTCATTAGGAAAATGAGTAACACATATATATGCTTATCAAGGGACCCTAAAAGAAATACTTTCATATGAAAGATGTGTTTTTATATCCTAAAATTATTTCCAACATTTGGTATGGAGCCAAGGCAATTCAGTAACTTTGCCATTTATAGCAAAGTTTAGGCCAAGTTGCGGGGCACACAAAAAAGTATACTTGCTTGACAATTTAAGTCCATAGGGCCAATCTGAATGTCCAGGCAGGAAGGGACTTTGTCTCACCGATATTCTGAGCTCTTTGAAAATGAAGGAGAGTCCCTATATTTCCACAGGTGTATAGCTCGCAGAGAACTTACAGGGGGAAAAAAAAAAGCCATAAGCAATGAAAAATAAAGTTCAGAGAAGAAACATCTCAGCTCCTAAAAGAGAAATCGAAAAGAAAAAAGAAAAGGACAGTCACTGATATACAGACCTATCTTCTCACTTCACTTGGGAATATATGAAGACTAGAAGGGAGTGAAAGTAGCTAAACTAGGGAAGAGAAAGAAGGTGAATCCATTCACCATTTGAGAAAACATCTGCCTGCCAAGCATAGACAATTCAGTTGTGGATCCAGAAAATTCCTTTCCCCATCAAATTTAAGATGAGACTTTTATTTATTTATTATTTTATTTTATTTTTGAGATAGGGTCTTGCTCTGTTATCCAGGCTGCAGTGTAGTGCTGCAATCATGGCTCACTGCAGCCTCAAACTCCTGGGCTCAAGTGATCCTCCTGCCTTAGCCTCCTAAAGGGCTGAGATTACAGGTGTGAGCCACCACGCCTGGCCAAGAAGAGAGTTTTAAATGTTAATAAATTGGCCTGTGATAACACTGAATTATATTGGGTTTCAAGAAATCACAAAAAAAGCAACACCTCCCTGCTGTCAGCAGCTCATAGAATGGTGGGCTAGACATAAACGTATACAAGGAAATTGCCACATTGTAAGAAAATGTCCTATTAGTGGCACATACTCATGGCCATGGAAGAGCAAAGAAGAGGAGATAGAAAGAGATAGGGTGAAGGGGGGAGGACAGGAAACCCAGTCAACTTTTAGTTCATGTCTTTTAAAATAAGGAAGAGACTCTAATCAGAAGTTGACAAGTGTCACCTTCCAATATTGTGACTTTCTCAATATCACAGAGGCCAGGGTTTTAAGAAAAATCACTCTGCGAAGATGACACTGACTTTTTCTTAATCTCCTCTACCTCATCTTCCCAAAAAAGATTAACTGAACTAATAAACTCCAAACTTCTGGCCTAACTTCCAGTTTACAGGAAATCATGAATGAGAGAAACTGAACAGCCTCAACAGGAAACAATCAGACACATCCTCCATGTGGGATGTCCTCCAAGGCAAGTGGCCTGGTCTCTTTCTAAAGTCAATGTCAAAAAAAAAAAAAAAAAATCCCAGGCACAGTGGCTTACACTTGTAATCCCAGCACTTTGTGAAGCCAAGGCCATTGGATCACCTGAGGTCAGGAGTTCGAGACCAGCCTAACCAATGTGGTAAAACCCTGTCTCTACTAAAAATACAAAAATTAGCTGGGCGTGTTGGTGGGCACAAGTAATCCCACCTACTCGGAAGGCTGAGACAGGAGAATCACTTGAACCCAGGAGGCGGAGGTTACAGTGAGCCAATATAGCACCATTGCCCTCCAGCCTGGGTGACAAGAGCAAAACGCCATCTCAAAAAAAAAAAAAAAAAAAAAAAAGTGAGAGAACTGTTCTAGATGCTAGATTAAACATAAAAGAGTTTAGGACTACAATATGAATTGCAATGCATGAGCACTGTGTATCTGAATTTAGGAAGAAAAAATCGCCATAAAAGACAATTTGGAGACAACTAGATAAATTTAAATATGGACTGGATACCAGATATAATGAGAAAATTATCGTTCATTTTTCATATTTTGAAATGTTAGTGTCTTTATGTACGAGAATGCCCTTACTATTAGGAAACAGATGCTCAAGAACTTAGGCCAGGCACAGTGGCTCATGCCTATAATCTGAATACTTGGGAGGCTGAGGCAGGAGGATCACTTGAGTCTGAGACCAGCCTGGGCAACATGGTAAGATTTCTCTCTATAGAAATAAAATTAAAATTAGCCAGGTGTGGTGGCATGTGCCTATAGTTCCAGCTACTTGGGAGGCTGAGGTGGGAGGATTAGTTGAGCCCAGAAGTTCGAGGCTGCAGTGAGCTATGATTGCACCACTGCCCTCCAGCCTGGGTGACATAGTGAGACCCTGCCTTAAAAAATATATAGAGAGAGAGGGTAAGCATCATGACATCTCCTTACCCTGATTAATCTCAAACTGTTCAGCAAAAAACATATATATATATATACACACATCCGCATACCTTCACATACACATATACACACACAAATAGAGAAAGCAAATGCAGGCTGGGCACGGTTGCTCACACCTATAATCCCAACACTTTGGGAGGCCAAGGCAGGCAGATCACCTGAGATCAGGAGTTCGAGACCAGCCTGGCCAACATGGCAAAACCCCGTCTCTACTAAATATACAAAAAAGTTAGCTGGATGTAGTGGCGGGCGCCTGTAATCCCAGCTACTCGGGAGGCTAAGGCAGGAGAATCACTTGAACCCGAGAGGCGGGGGTTGCAGTGAACGGAGATGGCGCCACTGCATTCCAGCCTGGGTGACAGAGCGAGATGACTGTCTCAAAAAAAAAAAAAAAAAAAAAGACAGAGAGAGAGAAACGAAATACAGCACCATGTTAATTAATTAATTTAGGTAGTAGATATACAGATGTGCTATGCTACATAAATTCTTCAATTTTTCCACATTTAACATTTTATACAATAAAAAGCTGGAGGAAGGGATGAAATTCTACTAAGACCTTAAACATATAAAAAGAAAGTAAGTACATCTATAAGGAAATTTAAAGGAGTAAACAAGCAAAGTTACGCCTTATTTACCATGTGAGTAGCAAAGACATCTAATCAGGCTAATAGGTTACTTATTTATCTCTGAAAACGGCTACCACTTTCAGTATCTCAGATTTGTAGGGGTTTTCTACTATAATCTATCCCAGATTGACTATGTAAATAAAAAATATTTTATTACTTCAGATGAGAGCGAAACTGTATGCTTCTGCTTTTCATGCTTTGGTGCACAGCATGTTATAAATATAAATGACTCCAAGATAAGTCAGTCAGGAAAGATCAAATAACTCAGTGTTTTTACAATTCTGTCAGAGATATATGACTGGATTTACCCATTAGGGAGAAATACAGCCTAGAGTTTGCACATTCCTCTGATTTTTCTCATATTAAATTATATTTAAATATTCCCATAATGCTAATAGTCTTAGCCCCAGCATCCCTTACATACTCTATGGTACCACAATGAAATGGAAACCGTAAGAATAATTTCAGCAATTGGGAGGAGGATGCAGAGATTATTAATTTCATACACTGTGTATAATAAGTGCTATATGAATTTTCACTGTTTCTCACAGCTCCTCTAACCCATGCTAAGATTATAATTTCAAGTCTATATCACCACAGATGTTAACAACAATAGATTTATTTCAGCTTTTCACCAACAAAACCAGACCAGGGGCATTTAATGAAGTTCATCTCCAAAAGTTTATTATACAACAACAGAAATAACAATAAGCTACTCTGTAATTTGTCTCTAAGTCCTAACTAACCATGACCGTTAAAAGAAGCATTTACTAAAAAGAGACTCGTTCATCAATTCAGGACAACTGAAATTTTCCTGACTCAAACACTTCCTCTTAGGCATCCACAATTATGTTCCAGTACTCTTGCTAAGAAACTCTATTAAGTTTTTTCTGATACCTTCTTCTTTCACATACACGTAGCATTATCAAAAGTGTCCTGAAAGGCGGTCTAATCTGCCTTAATTTGTCAGTGCCAAAAATCAGTTCCCAGGCCTCAACATTTGTCACTTAATCAGTACTATTGTTTGCACACTCTATTTGTAATGCAACTTATCAGGCTCTTGCAGATGGCATACAACGTATGCCATTCCATTGGCTGAAGAAAGTGTGCCACATATACAGTCAAAGACAAAGAGGGCACCTAAGGCCAACTCTCCACTCTTCTCTAGAATCAGGGCTAATGGAAATAAGAGATTTCACCCTGAACAACTAGTGTCTGTAGGGTGCTATTTTTACATCATTTACAACTCAAGCAACTTGGATTGGTAAAGAAAGGTCCAGATTTATTAAGTCTCTTCTAGTATTTGTCATGAGCTAGTTGATCCTTAGCAAACCACACGGCATCTCCAGGGTCTAAGCCAGAAGCCACTCCTGAGGTCATTTAACGGCCAACTCCTTTTCCTGATTAAGACCCAGTGAGATTCACTGTCTCTGCTGCTAAAACTAAGACAAAATCCTGGGTGAAATGAACCGCATCTGTGCAAAATTCTAATAAACTTTCCTGCTTGGAAAGAACCAATGCCTGAGAAAGCTGCTCATGCCAGAAAAATACAGCCACACATCCCAGGACCTGATCCTGGCGCCTACCCCTCACTGTTAAAGCTGAAGTATCATTCCTTAACCCAGGGAGGGAACTCAATAAACATTAACTGAAGCTGGGCATGGTGGCTCACGCCTGTAATCCCAGCACTTTGAGAGGCTGAGGCCAGCGGATTGCTTTGAGCTCAGGAGTTTGAGACCAGCCTGGGCAACATGGCGAAACCCCATCTCTACTAAAAATACAACAATCAGTTGGGTGTTGGTGGCGTGTGCCTATAGTCCCAGCTATTCGGGAGGCTGAGGTGGGAGGATCCCTTGAGCCTGGGGAAGTGGAAGCTGCAGTGAGCTAAGATTGCACCTCTGCACTCCAGCCTGAGTGACAGAGGGAGACCCTGTCTCAAAAAACAAAAACAAAAACCTAACTGAATGAAAAAATGAATGATGCTCCCCTCAGCCTTGCTATGGCTGTTTCTGGCTGCCAACCACATGTGACAGGCAACCTCTGACCCCACATGTGGCCCTCTGTGAGACCTTCCTGGGCAACAACTATCATGCTTAATTCAGTAAAATGCGCCACCTCTGTGGTCAGACCCCCTGATCTTTCCCCTGCCTGTCATCCTTTCTTCCTCTCTCTCTTTCTTTTTGCAATCATTTACTTTGTGTCATCCAGGAGTTAGCTTTTTCTAGATGCTAGACTGGCAATAAACATGTTCCATTGCCATGTTCCTGGGGCTGGAAGCTGTGAAAAGAATGCACGAGGCTTTTAAAGTTATAAAACTCAAAACAAATTTTAAAATAAAACAAAAGTAAAAACCAATTTTAATGTGCATTTTTCCCCAATACTCATGACTGAGAACTGGGAAATTACAAAACAGGGAAAGCTCTAAAAATAGACACCTGCAAAAAGCACGCCCAAATCTGAATATATGGCTTAGATTTTAAACGGAAAGAAAAAATTACAAAGATTTAAAGCACAGACTTTGTGGTTTGTTCCTTCAGCTGGAAAGGATTTCTTAGTACCGTAATTACATTTATTACATCAATAGCCGAGGAAGGTGGGGGTGGGCAGGGGGAATGACAACGTTCTTTCTTAACTCCAGCAAATCCAGTTACATCCAAAAAGATCGAGAGATGTAATCTAAAGAATGAAAATTACTTGAGTGAGCCACACATATTTACATAAAGCATATTCAGGACAACTAGCTTCAGATCACACTAATTTCTACAAAATCGGTGCAGGTTATAGAAATGCGTTTTTTTGTTTTTTTTTTTTTTTTTTTGAGATGCAGTCTCGCTCTGTCGCCCAGGCTGGAGTGCAGTGGCATGATCTCTGCTCACTGAAAGCTCCGCCTCCCAGATTCACGAGTAGCTGGGACTACAGGCGCCCACCACTATGCCTGGCTAATTTTTTGTATTTTTAGTAGAGACGTGGTTTCACCGTGTTAGCGAGAATGGTCTTGATCTCCTGACCTCGTGATCCGCCTGCCTCGGCCTCCCAAAGTGCTGGGATTACAGGCGTGAGCCACCACGCCCGGCTCTAGAAATGCATTCTTATGAGTAGCAGAATTCCAAGGACCAAATGCTTTTAAAACATCTTACTTAACAAGTAGACTCAGCATGTTTTGAAATACAGGTAAGAAATTCTACCAAATTGTTCCTACTCATTTCTAAAGCCTTACTAAACATGAGAGAAAAAGATATCTGTTCATTTTCAAAGCTGGAAATGTTTCCAGTTACCTATGAAAAATGCAGTTCTTTAAAGAACTACTTCTCAATGTCACTATTACCCCCATAAATTTCCCTTTACTTTCCAGTAGTGAAGCAAGTTGAGAATTCTCTGCTCTTTCATTGCTTAGTTGTATGAAAGTAGTTTGAGAAAGGAACTTTTATGTCAGACCAAAATACATTTCTCCATCAGTTCCCAATTGGCATACAAATTCCATCCATATTTTACATATAGCCTCATCTCAGGAAGATCCACTTTTTTTCGTAGCAACTGTTGCTTTATAAAACATTATTAATCGATTGCATGTGGGTTTTGATTATAAAACTGTCATCAGACTGAAATGGCCATGTTAAAATTAAGAAACAAAAAATGATTAAGTTCAGAGCACTTAAGAGGAAATCAAAGGGACAAAACCTTAAGGGACAAAAGCAACGCAGGTACAGATAAAGAGCCTAAGAAGAAAAACACGGAGTGTAGAGACCATCACAGGCTCCAACAGGAGCTGAGGGGGCTCTGCATCATCATGGGAAAAGAAGGCACCTGCATCTTTGCAACATCAACATCACAAGCTATGCAACCCAGACTCAGGACTGGAGATCTACTTGCCATGTGATAACAGGAAAAATAGTTAACTTTGGTGTCTTATCTCTTCAAACTGTAATGTGCACACAGATCACCCGAAATCTTGTTAAAATACAGACTCTGATTCATGAGGCCTTGGGTGAGGCCTGAGAGCCTGCATTTCCCACCAGCTCCTAGGTGATGCCGGTGCTGCTGGTGCATGGACCATAATTTGGGTATCGAGCTCTCAAATCACATGTGAAAACACTGGGTTAAGGTTGCATGCTATGAGAAACAATGGAGCTATATATGTAAAGTACTTTAGATTTCCTGGGAGAAAGCCACCATGAACTAAACTTAGAACCACCCCAGTGGTGAATTGAACGGACTATAATTGAAGTGTCATAATTATCCTATGTCTTTCAGTACAAATCCCATTGCCTAGAATTTCAGAGTTTAAAGTGGTTAAAGTTTTCAGTCTTTAACCACTGCCTATAAAATACCACCTCTAAAACATATCGAGAAAATATTATTCTATAAGAAGGAAAAACGTGTGAAAAGTAAGTTTCCTGACCTCGTGGAGTTTAAAATCTAGCTGACTAAAGAAAGCAAAATTCCTTGGCTGGGCGCAGTGGCTCACGCCTGTAATCCCAGCTACTTGGGAGGCTGAGGCAGGAGAATTGCTTGAACCTGAGAGGCGGAGGTTGCAGTGAGCGGAGATTGCGCCACTGCACTCCAGCCTGGGGGACACAGTGACACACTGTCTCAAAAAAAAAAAAAATAGAAAAATTCCGTAGCTGAAACAAGAGCAAATAATATAAACACAAATAAATGATTACGTTCAAAAATGTATAGTAATCTAGTCAGATTAAATCACATTGATAACATTTACTCTAGGAAACAGAAGAAAAACCTAGAGAGGTTAGTTACTTTCAACTGTCTAGAATCTAAAAATTAGATATCCTGTCCAAAGGTGAGTACTGACATTAGCACAGGCAGCCAGGAATCTGAAGCAATCTTTGGAGCCATATGTTCACAGAGTGGCTTCTGAGTTAGGAGCTTTCCAAGTTAAAGAGCAAGAGAATAGGTGTGCCTCAGAA
Organism: Homo sapiens; assembly: GCF_000001405.40. Lineage (NCBI taxonomy): Eukaryota > Metazoa > Chordata > Mammalia > Primates > Hominidae > Homo > Homo sapiens. The sequence goes on along the minus strand of NC_000013.11, from coordinate 46,583,445 downwards.
GGCAAACAAAATTACGCTATGACATACCCAATCAAGACCTCTAGTGCAGGAAATAGATCATTGACTTAATTTATCAAGAAAGATATCTTGGTACAATAAGCCTCATTCTTTTCAATTTGGCCAGTAATCTCATGGGCTATATTTCTTTAGCACTCAAAAGCAAACAGAATATTAGTGCTTTCAGCATGCCTGAATGAGGATGGACATGAGATTATAGCAAATTTCACCTGAAACTTTAAAAAAGGAAAGCTAGAATCGACTTGTTTTGGTAACTGTCAAAATTAAGCATTTAATGTTAGAACTGACAAACTTACAAAAGATAAAAAGGTTTTGTGTTTTATGATCAGTCCTTAGAGAATCTGTGGCAGAATATTTCTTGAGACTGCAATATATAAAAACTGGATGGTCTCTGACATTGATTAACATGGATTTCTTGGGAACACATTTTTCAGAAATGTAGTCTTTTCCTGCCTCCACTCTTGACTATATATAGAACTGCCATTTGTTTTCTTACTGAGAGAGCAAGTCTTTGTGGTGCAAGGTGCTACCAGATTTGGAGTAGAAGCCTTTTTATTCCTGAGCCCAGTAACCTCTGTGAAGAGCTTGGTAGCAGTTAACTGTTTAACTACATCAAAAGCAATATGTGGCTGGGCACAGCGGCGAATACCTATAATCCCAGCACTCTGGGAGGCCGAGGCAAGCAGATGGCTTGATCTGAGAAGTTCAAGACCAGCCTGGGCAACATGTTGAGACCCCGTCTCTACTAAAAATACAAAAAAAAAAAAAAAAAAAAAAAAGCTGGGCATGGTGGTGCGTGCCTGTGGTCCCAGCCACTCAGGAGGCTAAGGTGGGAGGATCACCTGAGCCCGGGAGGTCAAGGCTACAGTGAGCTAAGATTGTGTCACTGCACTCCAGCAGGGAGTGACAGAATGAGACCCTGTGTCAAAAAAAAAAAACAATATGTTCATCCCTTCATTAAGACATCCAAAGGAACTCAAAAGCAACCATAGAGCATCTCTTATTGATCTCAGCCACTGGAGAGATGAAATGACCAAAAAAAAAAAAAAAAAAAAAAGATGAGAGCAACGGTTGTTCTTCCATTGGTAGGAGTGACTTGTAACAAAGGTCCTTTGTGTCTTTCAACATGCTCAGATTTTTAAAAATATATTTTTCTCTTTCCTTTTTTAAACAGTCCTACTGCAACAGCAATCAGGTTTTTTAAATTGTCAAGATCATGAAATGAGCAGATTTCAGCTATACCCTTCATTTTCTTTCTTTCTTTTTTTTTTTTTTTTTGAGATGGAGTCTCTCTCTGCCGCCCAGGCTGGAGTGCTGTGGCATGATTTCGGCTCACTGCAAACTCCGCCTCCCAGGTTCAAGCGATTCTCCTGCCTCAGCCTCCCAAGTAGCTGGGACTACAGGCACACACCAGCACGCCCGGCTAATTTTTGAATTTTTAGTACAAAGGGGGTTTCGCCATATTGGCCAGGGTGGCCTAAAACTCCTGACCTCAAGTGATCCACCCACCTTGGCCTCCCAAAGACTTCATTTTCCCAAAATAATTTCCAAAAGTCTCTTTTATTGCAAGGATGATTAATTATGGAATGGGGGGACAAAAAAAGAAACAGGAGCATGTGGGCTTGAGAAGGTGGAATATTGATGGCAGTAGGTGGAATATTCTGAAGGCCAAAGCCACCTTTGGTTGTGACTTTTGTCCCGCCTTTTCTCAGTTCAATATAAAGTGGCGAAGGACATTAACTGGAGGCAAACTGCTTGGGTTCAACCCCTGATAGGTCCATTTCTCAACAGAAAAATTACTTACACATTTGTGCTCCAGATTCCTCACATCTAACACGGGGATGAGAATGTCAGACCTTTGTCTTATAGAGTTCTCGTGAGTCTTAGATGAAATAATAAATCGAACGTGCTTGGAACTGTGCATGGTCCACTGTACATGTTCACTGGACGCCAGCTATTCTTACTGTACCTCTCTCTTTCAATTCCCACCTTTGAATCTTTTCTGTCCCACTTCTTTTATTCCACCTATCAGTTCTTTGGTTGTTGTTTTGAATTTATTTCTGTCCCAGGCCTTCCCACCTAGCCTCACTTGAAGCCTTTTCCTAAGACTGCTCCAGGCTCACTTAACACCATACTCCAGTTGCACACAGAGGTCTAGGGGGCTGAGGTGAGGCAGAGGAGGCAAAAGCTCTCCTGTTGCAGGGGCTTCATCCAGGCAATGAAAGAAATGAGGAGATTGAAGGAGCAAAGGAAAACCACACCTGCAAAGTTCCAAATGACATGATGCAGCTGACACATGAACCTGCTTTCTGGTACACAGGGACTGTGTTTTACCTTATTTCATTAACCAAGGTAATGCTAGATCCATTGGTGAGGCAGTCTAGAAGCTCACCCAGTGATACATCCATTAACAAAGAGTAAGTTTCAGCTACACACTTCAAATCCAAAATGTTATTAAAATATGACAACCACTACTAGTATTTTAATGACATTTTGGATTTGAAGAACAACAGAGGCAAGAGCTCAGCCTTTGTGCATAAGCCCCTTTTCCTAGAACTTTATTAGAACCAACTGAAAATTGTGTAATTTGTACCAACTGTCCTTTGGGCTCTGTTCCTCTTTGTTCCAAAAGCTCAGTCCCTTTGATATCCCTGCAACACATTTAAGCATTTCCACTTGGTCCACTCCGTGCCAGAAATGTCTTGCAAGTGACACATTTCTCCACTACGTCTTTGCTAATTAATCTACAGAACAAGAATGGCAAAAAGGGAAGGGACTTTCCTTTTGTTCTCACAAAAGAGTTTGTCATACAAGCCCTGCTACAAAAGGTGAATCAATTGGTGGCTTACGAGTCTTAGAGATTTGTTCCAGGTCAAAAAGTAAGTGTCCCCAATTCCCACGTTAAGACTGTTGGAGCAGAAAGCAGCATGCATGACCCCCAAAGGGTAGCATTACAAGAAAACATGGGTTAGGTTTCCTTGCAGTTTCGCTGCAGTAGTTTCAACTGCTGGGTAGGATGCATACTGCAAATTACCCTTTGGATAATTTCATTCCCTCATTATCACACATAGGATTCTAGCAAGGAAGTAATGACAGAAGGGCCCTACAAGAAAAAGTAAAATAACTCTCTTCACTATCTTAGAATTTCAGATAACAGGCAACAGTCAGGTTATAATTTGATGACAAGAGATATGATCAGTTTTAGAACTCCTTCAGTGAAAATAGTTCTACCAAGCTTTCTCAGAGCTAGCTTATTATCCAAAAATGAGTTAAACAGAACTTATTTAAAAATTAGAGGCAGTAGGAGGAGGACCTGGGAGAGGAACAAATGTTATAAAGAGGTCTTGGGCTAGAAACTCAAAAGAAATGTTCATGCCAAAATGCTCCTAGGGGTTCCCTTGCACATTCCACTTGACTGAGAGGTTTTACTTCTTCATGAGCCACTTTCTAAACCTGGCTTTTTCAGGTACAGACTGCAAGTCTTCTCAAGTTACTCTGAAGCTCCATGAAGTTAATAATGTGACAAGGCTAAGGTTAAGATCAGCCAACTCTTGCTTTGACATTTTAAATTGTCAGATGACTAACAATTTGACAGATGCTTCTGAAACAAAAGTTTTGTTTAAACAAGATTTTTGTTCAATTATTCAGATGTTCGCATTACTCAGGTACATCAAGAACAAAGTAATCAGATGCCTTCCCATGATTTTACAGAAAGACAAACTCTGAAACGGACAAACAAGGTGGTGAAAAGCCAAAAGGTAATTCAGGAAAGATACTGAAGATGATCCGCTCTTGTTGTGGTTATTGAGGTGTTATTCATATTATCAGATTGAGAGTGTTAAACTCCAAGAAAAGAGCTGGTAACCCTATTCCTCAATTCAGCTGAAGAAGTCATTAATATAGGGAAAATAATCTTTTTTTGCCACCAGCTACAAAGTTAGCATATATGGTTAAAAAAAAAAAAGAAAAGAAATTCCAAGGAAGAAAAAATAACTAAAAATAACTCTAGGCAAAAAGACACAATAATTTCAACCTGTCTTATATTGGCAGCTTATTCCATGGAGTTCTGAGATGGTACACTTTTCATAACGACTAATATCTCTCTGAAGAGTTGGAAAAATAAACACTGATGACTGCTGACAGAGCCAGAGTTAAACTGTGTTCTGTGGGTCCGCATCAGGCAGCAATCCAGTGCAACCTTCTGCCCGTAATCAGATGCCATCCACAGTCAAGCATATAAGGGCACTCCTGCTTAGACGAGGGACTGGACCAGGGTTCCAAAAGAAGCATTCCTTTGGAATATTTTGTTTTTAGTCCAAGGGCTACATACAAATTCTTGAGAATGCAGCCCTTTCCCTGCACACAGCGAGCCCCTCTACTTCACTCCCACCACCTACACACCAGGGAGAAACAGCCCAATGTTCTTCATGAGGGAGTGAATTTTGTCGGCCTTAGGTCTTGTCTGAAGAGTTGAGAGGTTGCAGTCTGGCTGTACCAGTGAACAACATAAATAAAGGTAAGGGCCTCAACCCCAGCATCTCCCCTCCTCCCGCCAACCAGGGAGTGCTTCCCTGTCCTTTCTGGCATGAAGGCCACACACCCTGTACATCCCCCTCCCACAATGTAAGCATCTGAAGGCCACACACCCCGTACATCCCCCTCCCACGATGTAAGCATCTGACTGCATAATTCAAATCCAAGCTAGCAACAGTTGTTTCTGCACCAGCTCTCAGGGACTGCCCCAGTTGCTAAGCTGTTTCAGTTCTCAAGGGAGTCCAAAAGACCAGCATATTATTTTTAGAGGGGATAAGGGAATTGAAAAACAGAAATAGGTTATTCTTAAGGAGAAGAACATGGTACTTCTGGCTGAAATGCTGGTTCTTACCATCCAGCAAGGCACTTAGAATGCATGCAATTGTTAATCAGACAGACAAAGACTTACTGTCTGTACATTACCAGGCTCCAGCCTTCATATTTTCCTCCGAATTTTAATGAGATCCTCCAGCTGCTATTAATGTGTCATCCTTTTGCTTCTGCGATGCACTAAAAGCAGCAATGTTTATATAAGGTGGCACCCAAGCCCAAGAACTGATGGGGAAGCAGGGCCATTGTCTGCATGGGAAGCTTCTAAGGCTGGGCAGTGGTATTAAGTCATGGAGACTTTCACTATGCAGGCGCCACAAAGCACGCATCCTTTCTGCTCTTCCAAATTAAACACAGACGACCACAGTTCCATTTGATTTTTAAAGCTAACCGCAGCCAGGAGATTTTGAAATGAAGGCTTCCTTTCCACACCTAATGCATCTCACTGTTGGAAGAGGTGGGGCAGAGATGGGGGAGGAGGTGCCACATGTGCCTGTGATTATAAGGGAGCAAATAAAGACTCACACTAAGTTTTTCTCTCAGCCTAAGGCAGAGGCTCAATCTCTGGAAACTAAAACCAAAGCTGACGGGGATTCCCTTTAGTGGGCACCACTGCCCTTCTGCATCCCCCATGGCTATGCCACAGGAGCAGAACCAAGGAGAGGCTCCCAGCTCTTGTTCTCTAGCAATTGTAAATGACAGCAGTCTGGAGGGTGGGGAGAACTTCTTGAAACCACCACCGGAAATCGGTCCAAAATAATGATTTCCTTCTCGTTCTCTTTTCTCCTTCCTTCCTTTCTTGCTGTTTCTTGTCTGCTTATGTCTTATAGTTACCAAGAAGCAGCTCACTAGTGATAAACTGTTGCAACTGCATTCTTCAATAAGGAACTCAATACCTTCTCTCACTCATGCTACAAAAAAAGCTAGTTGCTGTGCTTCCAGCTATCAGAATTCATTCATTTCATTCATTCCTTCTTTCAACACTATATCCACCCTGTATAACCTACCACCTTTTGAGTATAGGTAGGACCTGTGAATATGATGGGATATCATTCCAATTATTGTGTCATCTTAAATGGCAAAGGGATTTTGCAAATATAATTAAGGTTAATCAACTGTTGAGTGGGCCTGACCTAATTAGGTGATGCCTTTAAAAGAAGAACTGGGGGCCAGGTGCAGTGGCTCATACCTGTAATCCCAGCACTTTGGGAGGCCGAGGTGGGTGGATCACTTGAGGTCAGGAGTTCGAGACCAGCCTGGCCAACATGGTGAAATCCCATCTCTACTAAAAGATACAAAAATTAGCCAGGCATGGTGGCGTGTGCCTGTAATCCTAGCTACTTGGGAGGCTGAGGTGGGAGGATCATTTGAACTCTGGAGGTGGAGGTTGCAGTGAGCCGAGATGGCACCGAGGTTGCACTCAGCCTGGGCAACAAGAACGAAACTCTGTCTCAAAAAATAATAATAAAATAAAAGAAGGACTGGGGCCCACCCTCAAGTCAGAGACCTTTTCCTGCTGGCCTGAAAGAAAAAAGGCCACCATGAGTTCCACAATCACAAGGGACCGAATCCTGCCAACAACCTCGAAAGCTTGGAAAAGGACTCCAAGCTTCAGATGAGAGAAGCCCCAGCCAGTTCCTTGAGTACAGCCTTGTGAGACCTAGGGCAGAGAATCCAGCCAAACTGTGTCTGGACTCCTGATCCATAGAAACTGTGCCATCATAAATGTGCATCATTTTAAGCCACCAAATTTGGGGCAATTTCTTATGAAGTAATGAAAAACGAATACAAATGCCAACATAGTCCTAGCACTGTAATGGAATGCTGGAGACTGTAGACAGAGAAGTGCAATACAGTAAGGTGAATAATGATAAAGGGTAAATATAAAATTCTACTGAACCTCAGAAGGGAGCCTCTAATCCTGGCTGGGCCAGGTTGAGAACATTGAAAGGAAAGAGGCATGGCTCTCCAATATTCCGAAGGACACCACAGGAGACAACATGTAAAGCTCAGGGCTCTAATCAACGATAGCAATGTGAACATGTTGTGATAGCCTCCTTGGTCTCAGAATGGTCTCAAAATATGCACAGATCATTGGCATAGGGAGCGCAATTATTTCTGCTGAGTTCAGCAGCAACTGACAACTTCACTCAGGACTCCCAGTTATCAGAAGCCAAGGCATTTAAATGGTTTCACTTGGGAATTCTAACAAGTTTTTTCCCAACAATCTTAAGTCTACGGAAAAAAATTAGAACAAGACATTCTTATTTAGGGCCTGCCTAAAGGGAGCATTAGTATTAAAATATGCTGCCATGCATGAGAACCTTGCTAAAACTGCCTTTGAGTTTCTTGTTTCTCTGGCTTAGGAGACTGCCCCATAAGTTACATGAACAAAAGGCTCACGGCAAATGTCTAATCCAGCTGGCTTTCTCCTGGTCGCCAGCAAGCCTCAAGCCTGCCACTTTCTTTGGCCATAATCAGCATGTGCTTAAGGAATGCTGACTAATTCCAACGTTTGTCCAGGCAGGACACAGGGAGGTAAATCCACTGCCAAAAATAAAAATGCATTCCAAAGTCGAGTATTAGGTCACTCTGAGATGATGTACTATTTTATATCACTCCTGCCAATCCTGTGCTGCCGTTAATCAAGCTCATTCTCTCTCCCTCTGGACTTCTCAATGGATCCTCTTCACTCAAGGACTCAGGAGCCTGCTTCATTCTCTCATTTTAGCCAAAAAGAGCTTCATACATGCATTTCAGGAAAAATTTAAAGAGAGAGAGAAAGAAAACATGACTTACCTAAATATAAATTAGGCAATGGTTTCTGTATCATTCAATTCCATTTAAATCCATCCCATGAGCACACACTGATCTTGCTTTCAAGTCATTGTCCAAAGTTGAGGAAGTGTTGCTGACATCTAGTCAACACAAGAAGCTGACAAGCAACAGCTGTGCAATGCTTTGAAAACCCCTTCTGGAGGATTTTTGCAAGTAGGAATGAGACCACATCCCCCCCACAACACACACACACACACACACACACACACACACACATTCATGCACAGATTTTTCAGTTATGCTGCAGAGCAATGTGTCCTTCAACTTAGAGAATCATTTGTGTGCACAGCACATGAATGAGAAAGCCCTCCCACGCCCAGTTCTATCACCAGAGTCACAAGGTTGCAGTAAGAGCTCTTTATTTAGATAATCACACACGCATCTTGTGGTTCTGTGACTCTAAGTCATACGATAGACTATCTTCATCAATGTCTGGGGTGCACAGCTGAGCTTAAACTCCACTCCTAAAAAAAAAATTAATACAATTATTTGTGCTGGTGATGATAGAGGGGACCAGCAGCACTGCACCCTATCCAGCAGTTCTCTGTTCCTGTGGTCAGAGTCATTGACAATGTAGAACAGGAATGAAAGGAAGGCTGGACCCTAAAGAGGATTTCTGCCTATTAAAAGATGATGGTTCTTGTCCAGTAGGTATATTTTGGTTGGAACTTTTCATTTATCCCACTATCCATTGATCAAAAGGATTGGAAACTGTTATTCCAATATTCCAGAATGTGCTTATAGATACATCATGTAAACCTCATCCAAAGGCTAAACAGAATATTTATTATTACCACTGCCAAAAAGGACTTTGTTTGGATTTTGCTTTCCAAACACACAAGGAAAAAATTAAGAAAAAGCAATAAATAGCCCATACACCAAAAAAAAAAAAAAAAAAAAAAAACCCCACACACAAATAAATGCCAGACAACCGAAAGTAAACAAGTGCTTCATAATCATTTTTAAGTTACATGGGTTGACTTTTTAAAAAACCTTTTAAATGATTAAAATGTGTTTAACTTCCTTTTACAAGTTTTAGAATATGCGTATAAGTTTGTATGTTTGAAGAGAGGGAATAATTGAGAAGGAAATGCTTTAAAAAGTGGGGAAGTGGGATCTACAAATAATTATTTTAAGTCTTCTAATGGATAAAGAAAAAAAGTGCTCTTGTTTATCAGTCCACCACTCAACATAGTCGGAAAATGCCACTTCTTCCTTGATGCCATACAGCATGGTGTCCCCGTTCTTCCCTTGCATTGACACTTAGCACCTTTGGTTATTATAGATCTCTAGACTTCTCCTTCACTTGACTAGCTGGAAGCTCTAAAATGCAGGCAACACCACTTGTTTTGTATTTTTTAATGTTAATTTTTTTTAATTTTTAATTTCTGGGGGTACATAGTAGGTATATATATTTATGGGGTACATGAGATACTTTCATACAGGCATGCAATAATCACATCAGGATAAATGGGTATCCATCATTTCAAGCATTTATCCTTTGTGTTACAAAGGATAATTATACTCTTTAGGTTACTGTAAAATTATATTTAAATTACAATTAAATTATTATTGACTATATGGTCAGGCACAGTGGCCTGTAATTCCAGCACTTTGGGAGGCCGAGGCAGGCGGATCACCTGAGGTGAGGTCAGGAGTTCGAGACCAGCCTGGCCAACATGGCGAAACCCCGTCTCTACTAAAAATACAAAAATTAGCCGGGCATGGTGGTGTGTGCCTGTAATCCCAGCTACTTGGGAGGCTTGAACGAGGCAGGTGGAGGTTGCAGTGAGCTGAGATCATGCCACTGCGCTCCAGTCTGGGGAATAGAGTAAGACTCCATCTCAAAAAAAAAAAAAATATATATATATATATATATATTTGACTATAGTCACCCTGTTGTGCTATCATATACTAGATCTTGTTCCTTCATTCATTCTATTTTTCATACCTATTAACCATCCCCACCTCCTTCCCATCCCTCCACTTCCCATCCTCTGGTAACCATCATTCTACTCTCTATGTCTATGTCCATGAGTTCAACTGTTTTAATTTTTAGCTCCTACAAATAAGTGAGAACATGCGAAGTTTGTCTTTCTGTGCCCGGCTTATTTCACTTAATATAATGATGTCCAGTTCTATCCATGTGGTTGCAAATGACAGGATCTCATTCTTTTTATGGCTGAATAGTACTCCATTGTGCATATGTACCACATTTTCTTTATCCATTCATCTGTTGATGGACACTTAGGATGCTTTCAAATCTTGGCTATTGTCAACAGTGCTGCAACAAACATGGGGGTGCAGATATCTCTTTGCTGTACTGATTTTCTTTCCTTTGGGCATATACCCAGCAGGCACCAAGTTTTGTTCACTCCTGTCTAGGAAGCACCCAGCACAGAGTCCAGCCTTCATGCATTCCATTCATTCATCCAGCCATTTATTCACTTACTCGGCTCAAATATTTACTAAGCTGCTACCATGGGCAGACACTGTCCTAGGAACCAAGGATAGTAGTTACATGAGAAAAGAGAAAACAAGGTTTCTCTCAGCGTTTAATGATGGAAAGAGAGAGTGACAATAAAGAAGCAAATGAATAAGTCAGAAAACAAATGATAAGAGTTAACATGTATTGAATGTCTCTCAGATGCCAGGCATTGCTCTGCACTCCTTGCATTTTCAATTCCCCAAAGCCCTCTGTGACAGGTGCTATTATCATTTCTCTTTTACAGATGAGGAAACTAGAGCATAGAGAGGTTATGGAACTTGCCCAAGGTCACTGGGCCAGTAGATGGAGGAGTCGCTCACCCAGGCAACGTGGTTGCAAGCTACTGAGCACGCTACTATCCTTGTCACATACAGTAACAGGCAGTGGAAAGGGATGGGCTCATGGGCAAGTTTACTCACACTAGATAATAAATATTTGCTGGATGGATGAATGAATGAAAAAAAATGCAGCACCTCTTAAGTTTACGAAATGTGGCTGTGAATATAGAACTTAAAAAAAGCTTTTTAAAGTCTTTGCAATGTTTCATTACCTTCTTTTGCCCACAATTGTGCACTGTCTTCTTATTCTATCTTCCATATGACTCCACGAGTTAGGGAGATTTTGTCGAGCTTTTTTTTTCTTTAGTCAATATAATGAAAACAGTCGTTATAGGTAGCTTCTTTCAAACTATACCCCTGTCCACTCTGAAGTATTCATATTGCTATGCAGAATTTGCTTTTAGATCACTCTGTTCTCCAACTGGCATCTATGTCTCTTTCATTTCACGCACCTATTTTATCTTTTACTAAAAGCTGACACCATGCCATATGTATAATAGGCTGTGATCCAAATTAAACTCACTAAGCTTAAAGTAGTGTTGCAGTAAGTCTCAGGATGGCTCAAATAAGACGATAAACATATTTGGTCTGGGGATTATTACTTCACACCACCTGGGCCTGTTTCTCAGGCAGCCTGGCAAAGAGAACCAAAGTCCTCCCCATAAAGAGCAGCAAGCTCCAAGCTGAGAAGGACAGCAGGGTCAGGGAGTCCCCAGGCATGGCCTGCAGTGGGGGTACAAGTAGGAAGAGGAGTGCAGGGAATGGCCTCAGCCCTGTGCTGGCAGACCAAGGGAACAACAGAAAGACAGCTGTATCCGACAAGAGATATGTTCCCAGAGTAGTGGCAGAGACAGATGCACGTCCCCAGCATGGATGAGAATTGGGAGCAGTGAGAAGACCCCCTCCTCTCCAAAAATAACTCCCCCTCTGTGGGCATCGCCGTTCAAAAAAACAGCCACTGCCTGCCTGTCTCTCTCTCTCTCTCCCTCCCTCCCTCCCGCTCTTTCTCTCTCTCTCTCACACACACATACCCCAAGTGCCACATACTTAGAATTTGTTATTTTAGTCATCACAGCAACCCCATAAGTGTTATTACTCTCACTTACTTTACAGATGAGAAATGAGAAGTTCAGAGAGGTACATGAATTGCCTACAGTCACCCAACTGCTAAGTGACAGAGCCAGAATTTGACCTTGGTCTGTTGGACTCCAAGACCATTTCCTAAACAGCTGTGATGGTTCTAAGCCTCATGGATGGTCACAGCAAGAAAGGCATGGGAGCCAGTGAACAAAGGCATGGTGACTTGAGCACTTTGGCATTTCATCATTCTGGGAGAGTGTTCACAGCATGCACAGTTCCAGGAAGCTCCACAGCCCTTGGAAATGATACGCCTAGCCCGCTTCGAGAAAACCCAGTGTGCAAAGCTAGCGTTTCTCCAGTTTCTGAGAGCACAAAAAGCAATGGGTGGAAGGCAGAGTTGGTACTCGTCGCCACTTGAATCTCTGGCACTCATGCTAATGTGCATCACTGCGAATACCACTGACAACTGTTCTCTTGGCACACAGCACACTCAATGGAAACACGCCGCTGATCAAACAAAAGTGGAGGACATATTCCAAGGCCCAGGAACTGCACCTGATGCAGACCCATCCTCCCTCATGCTGGATGACTCGCACAAACAGCTGAGATGCACAAGATGCTGGAGCAGTTAATGGAGGTGTGTTTTGATCACCAAAAGTCTAACATATTGTAACAATTGTTGGAACACAAAGGAGTTCCTTTTTTGTAGGTATGAGTTTTTTAATGCCTAGTTACTTTGAAGGGTAAACTCTAGGGTGAATTTCAGCACTCTGCAAATCCACCAATGGAGAGGCCGAGGGCAACTGGCCGTTACCTTTTACTTCTTTTTACTTCTATGCCTGAGAAAGGCAGTTAAAGAAAGGAGCAGTGAAGCTGCCTGACTGGAGACAGCTAACCACACAGCAATTTAAAAATCTGAATGGGAATACTAAGTCATCTTCTCCTGTCTTTTAATTTTAGACACTCCTCTACTATAGTAAAGGTAGAATCCCTCAAGTAAATCTCTCAAAAGATAAGAAATTCTGTGACTGCCATTCTGTTCAAGTGTCTATCTCACCTCACCTTTGCTTTTACGTTGTCTCTTCTAAAAATCCAACATTCTTTATGGTACTACTCTTCCCTACCGGAATATGTGTGATATGCTCATGCTTCTAACAGAATAAAAGGAACTTTTGTTTTTGTTGTTTTTTAAGCAACCTATAACTAATTGAAAAGTTTCCCTAATATCCAGCTCTATGCTAGGCCATGCAGAGAGTAAGAAAAAGAAATAAAGTGTCCTCATGCACGCAGTGGAGCATCTCTAGGGGCAGAAAGACCTGGTTTAATTTTTATCTCTCCACTAATCAGCGCTGTGACCTTGAATGAATTATGTAAACAGAGCCTCCGTTTTTTAGAGATCTAATTCTCAATTTTTTTGGAGATCTGATTCTTAGCACAGGATAAGGACCCTGTGAGATAATAAGCTAAACCATCTCGATGCCAAGCCATAGCAAAGGCACAGTCAATGTCAGTTTCCTTTCTTTTCTACTCTCCTCAAGGCATTTGCAAGAAGTCAGCAAAGAGTAGTCAAACTCAAGTCAAACCGAATCCCAGTCTTGCCACTTAGTAGCCATGTGATCTCAGGCATTTCTCTCTGAGCCTCAATTTTCCAGTCTGTCAGATGGGAAGAAAATGTGTACTTACCTCCCAAGATTGCTCTGGGAGTTAGCTGAGGGAAGCCACATAAAGTGGAGAACACAATATCTGACTCAATAAATGAAGCTATTATCATTCTTATTCTTATTAGAGAAAAAAGACATGGAATTAAAGAACAATTAAGGACCAACTCAATCATTATAAACTCTGTTTTAGATGAAAAGATGAGTAGAGTTGCAGAGAGGGAGGCTGGCATTTGGGGCATCCTAGAAGAGGCAGGAATTAAAATTTTGAGATGACTGCTTGACAGGGACTGGAGAGCTGGGGTCTGTCATTGTTTTGTTTTGTTTATTTTATTTGGCAAGTGCAATGAAGACAGAAAAGGTACAATCGAAGGCAAAGCGGAGGCCTTAACCTGGAACATATGGGAACACTAATGGAAAAGGCAGCTGGAGCCACACAGGCCCTTGAGGGGAGCTAGAGGAAAACCCAGCAGGATAAGCGGGTTGGCGCCAGATACCAGAGGCCCTGTGGATCTGCTGCTAGGCAGCTGAGCCTCGGTGGGCAAGCAGGAGAGAGCCACAGGAGGGGTCTGGGCAAGGAGTATGCAGGATCACAGTGATTTAGGAAATTTGGAAGTGATACGCCACATGGTCCTGGTGCTACACGATACAACCAGGGGAGCCAGCCAAGTGCTTAACTTCTCCCAGCAAAGGGCAGTTCTCTACATTAACAATGTACTTAGATCCCTGGGGCTCAAACCCTGACTCCTAATTCTCCTAATTACTTTTGCATGGGGATCTTGGGCAAGTTCTTAACATCTATAGGCCTCAATTCTACACATGAGGAAATTTAAGGGAAATGATACCTATTATTAGGCTCAGAGGAGAAATAAGATCGTGTCTGCAAAGTGTCTGACATCCAGTAGGTGCGCAACAAATGCTTTCAACATTGGACTCCATTAGCTAACATCATTCCAGTGATCCCAGAAAACTTGGTTCAGCCACAGTTTTTTCTATCACTAAAATAAAATGCCGCTTGTTAAATACAGAATTAGAATATTTTATGAGTAAGACTACGTAAAGAGGGTTAACAAGACGTTTCGAAATAAGGAAAATAAAGATTAAAGAACGTCCACTAAAACAGAAATATCAGTCTTCTAATAGGAGGCATTGATTTAGCAATAAAGCCTCAGTTATTCTGTGTTTTAAAACAGCTTGTCAGTCAGGAATCGGCACCAGGCAGAAAGCTAAAAAGGTATTGGAAATGTTCTCCTTTTTAAGTTGGATAGTGGTAAATAGGTAAATTTTTAGTCTACTGTATCAAGGTATGATTTACATACAGTAAAATGCACCCATTTTAAGTGCAGAGTTCACTGAGTTCTGACAAATACATACACCTACCTATGTACTCACCATTCTAAGACATAGAATGTTTCCATCCTCTCTGCACCCCTTCCCAGGTGATCACCTTTCTATATGCTTCTGTCACTATGTCTGTTTTATCATCATTACTTAAATCATGTCTACATAGGGTACGGACTCCTTCCTATGTATGCAATATTTTGTAATTTTTAAATTAATGCTGTATTTTACCAACTAAAATAAACAACAAATGTCTAAGACTTTACTAAGAGGGTTTCTTGGCATGAAAGTTAAAAAAGAGAACCAGCCAAGCATTGTAATTCCTTCAAAGGACAGCAATATGGGTAGCTGGTGAAATGACCAGGATAACCTGGACCAATTCTGGATTCAATCTGACACAACTAGACATGGGTAGGTAAGTCACTTCACTTGAATCCATTTCACTTTATTCTTAAAAGGTGTTATCTACCACATCCCATGTGCATGGGGTGACCATATAACTTATCTAAATCATGCTGTGCTAAAAGAGGGTGCTATTATTCATTAGGCCAGGATGAGTTATAAACCCAGACTGTCCCCGGTAAACCTGGATTTAGGATGGTGCCACTTATAAGCACCCTCTGAGAGCACCTCTTATGATGTTCCCAGTGATCTATTGTGTTCTCTAAAGAAAAGAGTGTTGCATGGACTTGTGTCCAAAAGCCTTTTCTTATCCAAAGGTGATGGGGCTCATCCAATCCAATCTACCATGCAGTATTAAAAGATTACAGACAGACTGCCCAAGGAGAGAAGAGGTCTGAGACACAGAAACACAAGAAAGCACACACACAGAAACTATGGAACCACTTGAGAAAGACCAAGGCTGCCTGATTATGAAAGGACTTAGCTGAGTTATACTGTCTTTGTCACTCGCCCTCCTAAGAGGCAGGCATTAGGGGCTCTATCAGGACGCATTATCTCAGAACTCCCATGGTGCAAATTTCATATTGAGATACCAAGTCTTCATTAACATACTGATTCCAAGGACTTAGCCTGTGCAGGGGAGGAAGAGACAAAAGCAAGCCTTCACAGCTGCCAACTGAATTTTATAAAATATATCAGATTTAGGCACATTTGTACTTATAAAGTTATAGCACAGTACCTTTTACAGTACTGTATAGATACAAGAAAGCATTCATTGTAAATATCTGAACAAACCACAGCTAAGAGTTGATTACAAGCCTATAACCGATGGAATGACTGCTACAACTAAAATTAACTTGGATTTATCCAGGCTTTCTAAAACACCAGGAAAACACACACACACACACACACACACACACACACACAAAATTGCCTTAAATTGCATGCAGAGATTATCATTTTCACCTCCAAGGGAACTGCACAAAGAGAGATCTATTTGCCGTCAATTGCACAGATTCCTTTAAGTTGGATTTGATTTGCATGCACTCAAAAAAAATCTGTTTTTTAGCCATAATCTTGTGCTGCCCTATTTCATCTATAAAATTGTAGAGGTAATTAATGTATAGAAAGATCTCTATTACAAAATAAAACATATTTTTATATGTCAAATTGATGATTCTTATTACATAATAAAACAGTCTTTGGAATGTAAACATTTGTATTCTATAGGTAATGTTCTAGAAAGTAAACTTGGTCTTGCACTCGATGAAATTCGTTCATTTCTCACTGGAGGGAAAGTAAATATCAGTAAACTGTTTATAGAAAATATCAGTAAACTGTTCAATTAGGTCATGTGTTACAAAGTCTAACAAGAAAAGTTTATACCAAAGCTGAAAACCCAAATGTGTGTCTATATTTTTTAATAACAGATACCTTGAAGAATTTTTAAAACTAGTAATTGTGACTTGCTTTAAAACACAATTCTTAGAAATGGAGCTGATAGCTGGCCATCACAAACAAGTGAGGATTAGGGCTGGAACTCCCCATGCATATATCTGGGGTCTCTGAGCTCACTTTCAGATCAGTGGGGGAAATCACATTAGTCAGGAATCCGGGTCCTACTTGGGGATGAACTCTAAAATCTCTATGTCACCCCGAGGACCATCTGTAGAAATGCCATAGGCTTGATTCTCATCTGCAAAATCTCCTTCTCTGGTCTCTTCCTCTAGCTCTAAATATTCAGTGACACTAAAATAGAGGAGGATCCTGCACTTCTTCAACAACTGTTTGGGCTCCAATTTCGGCTCTGTCTTACTACTGGCTTACAAATATACTCTGACTGCCTAACTTGTGATAAGTGCCCTTCTCAGTAACGATGATACTCCCGACCTCACAAGGGTGTTCTGAGAACTGAAAGAGGAACATTCTGAAAGACCCTGGACCCAGACATGAGTCTGGCCCTACAAACATTATTCCCCCTTCCGAGTTACCATATCAGTAGCCTCAGGGAGATGTTGAAGCTATGACAAGGTTCTTAGTGAAATAACTTCTGACTGAAGTTCAAAATAAATGCTGGATGCCAGTAAAAGAGTGAGGGAAAAAAAAGATAACAATTGAATCTACTATATATTTATTCCTAAAGCTCAGCCTCCTAGTAGCCATTTCTTCACTTCTGGTAGAAGTGTTTGCTATTCATCTTCAGAGCATGTCAAGAACATAAAATTATTCATAAATTGTTCTTTGCCAAGAACATGAAGAGACTGTCAATGGTTTTTTATTTGTTTGCTTGTTTTTTAACTTGGAAGAGCTTTTAAATCAATGACAAGACTTCCGTAGAGACTGAAGACAGGCACCCCAGGCCCTCCTCTGAGGCCCCAGCCACCACTTCCTCACCCCTCCAATCTGGAGGCCAAAACAAGAGCTGGCCCCAGCACCCTTCACCTGAATACACAACGTGGCACAGGAATAGGGTTCCCCATTCTCTACTGTGAGAAACCTGAACACACTCTTCTCTGCGAGACTCAGTCCCCTCAAGACTCCTCTGTCCCAGTAGAAATTATTGTTGTCATTATTATTATTATTATTATTATTATTATTATTATTATTTTGGAGACAGAGTCTCATTCTGTCACCCAGGCTGGAGTGCAATGGCGTGATCTCAGCTCACTGCAACCTCCGCCTCCCAGTTCAAGCGATTCTCTTGCCCTAGCCTCCTGAGTAGCTTGGATTACAGGTGCCCACCACCACACCCAGCTAATTTTTGTATTTTTAGTAGAGACGGGTCTCACCATATTGGCCAGGCTGGTCTCAAACTCCTGGCCTCAAGTGATTTACCCACCTTGGCCTCCCAAATTGCTAGGATTACAGGTATGAGCCATTGCACCCGGCCCCAGCAGAAATTAAATCAAACCTAAGAACACCGTTGAATTGAGGAATAAAAACAGCATGAAAACCCAGAAGATGTGGTCTTGTCTCAACTGCTGACTAGCAGCATAACCGAAGGAAAGTCATTTCACCATCCAGCCTGTTTCCCCCCATGCAATATGGAATAATGAATACCACCTATGCTACCATCCTCCCAAGACTGCCGAAAGGATATAAATAACATGTACACACACTGAAAGCATGTACACCCAAGCTTGCTGGATACTGATGTTATTTTATTAATGTCACAGCATTTCTAGGAATTTAGTCTTTCTGTGCCTTATAACACTGACTCTCTTTTCTAAAGATACAGAATAATCATAATGGCAAAATCAGTGCCATGCACTGACCTAAGCACTTGACATATGTATTCATTTGTTCCTCACAATAATTCTATAATTATTATCCCCATTTTATGACGAGGAAACTGAGACTCAGGGAAGTGAAGTAGTAGCCATGTCCTGGCAGAGCAGGGACAAAGACCCAGCCACAGTTTGTGCTTTAGCCTCTATGCTAATGATAGGCTGACAGCTTCCAATTATCTACGTGACTGAAGAAGACTATGTCACATAGCCCCATGGAAATTAAGGACAGAAAGTGACAGGTTTTCTACTAGTCACTCACTGTTTGCCAGACCTGAGCCCTGCTCCTGTGCTATCTATTACCCTTTGAATCTATACAACCACCCAAGGGATAAAGAGCATTTTCGCTTCTAACAAATTACAAACCTGATGTTCAGAAAAGTTCACTAACTTGCTTCCAATTCCAAAATTAGTAAGTTGGGGAGATAATACAGAAGAAATATAAAAATTAAATAGAGAAGTGTCTAAGTTCCTGCACGCCTCCCTCAGGTGGGTGGCTCCCCGGCCTATTCCTCCCTGGCCCAGTGGCCTTCCTGAGGTCCAAGTGGATCCCTGACTTATGCCAACCCTTGTTTCCCAGCCGCTGAGTGCCCTGATCAAGGGACCTGGGAGAGGTGTGGGGAACCTCCGACCCCTGGCCGGAATGGCCAGAGGGGAGAGAATTATTTTCAAGAGGCAGGGGCCTCATTCACAGCCTGATGCCAAGTTCTCCAGATTCGGGATTTCATGTTGGAACTGGGATTGCATTTTTCCAAAGAAACAATAAGAAACCACCATTAATAAGAAGGCCCAGGTCTGCTAGGGTTAAACAGGGCTTTGTGGGTTGGCGGGAGAACCAAATCACAGGTTACCACCTTGTTTTTATAGGAAAATGCATGCCAAGTTCTGAAACAAAGCCTTGCTAGGAAAGGCTGATGGCCCCGTTTGTGAGTCGGGGGCTGCCCAGCACACTCCTTTAGTATGTGGAATCCAGTTGACAAGAGGCCTGTGCATGTCCCTCAAACCACATGCAGTCAAATCCTACACTAACATGTCTCATCTGTAACTACCGTTAGCTTTATCTTATTCTCCCCAGGTTTGGACCATCTGTTATTAAAGGTTTCACACCATTTTTTTTTGTTTTTTGGGAGGCCCACAACCTGGCTGGTTTGGGTGGGTTTGACCTGAGAACCCTATGGATGAGGGAAAGCCTTCCCTTCATCCCAATGTCACCTCCTGGCTCCACAGAAACGACCCTTTGATGTGAGCCTGGGAGACTCTGCCCTGGCTCTGGCACCTACTGCCATGCTGTGTACCCTTGGCCAAATGATTATACTCTCTGGGCCTTAGTGTCCTCAGCTATTAAATGAGGGAGAGATATGAATGGATGGTTTCTACATTTCTAATCTCCCTCTTCAGGTTGCAATAGAAAGGCATTGCTTGGAGTTATTGAGCCCCCACTCTAGTTAATACAGACCATGTAGCAAGCATTAAATGAGGTGAAACATCTATTACATACATTTAATACATATATTTGCATATAAAGCACTTGGAGCAATACCTGACATAGAATAACTGCTTGCTAATGTTAGCTGTTGTTATTATAACCAATGTCCTCATGACAACTCTACTAGGTACATACTATTATTATCTCCATTTGACAGGTGAGGAAACCGATGCATAGGGTTTAAGTCATCTGGCCAAAGTGACATAGTTTATAAGCAACAAGGCCAAGATTTGAACACAGGTCTTTGAAGCTCAGGAAACCCTATTTTTAATCACTAAGCTATACTTAAAAAAAAAAGGAAGAAATTCCATTTGGCTAAGGGCTGAAAGGCTTTGGTGAAATAATACTTGTTAATTGGAGTACTGTATGTGTAAGGGACTTTCAAATACATAATTTCTTTAATCCTCATCCAATTCAAACTAGGTGGAACTATGCCTTTATATTTTTGGCTATGCTCCTTACACAATAAGTGCTCAAAAGATATTGATTAGTTTTTCATTTGCTAATTTCAAACAATATTTGATATTATAAAACACCTGCCCATCTCCCTCAGAATTCACTATAACTCATTTGATTTTAGATGTAACATTGCTTATCGAACACTTGCAAATGTTGGTGAGAAGTGACCCCACCTTAGCTAAAAATAAAGTGTGACTCTAGGGACCCACCAACCACCGAAAAGATTCTAAGTCTATGAGAGATGGAGGAGGGGTCCAGATGAGCCGGAGTCATCCATTTGTAAGTGTATATGTGGCTCTCTTACCATTTTACAGCACATTCGAGGGCTCAGGAGCATTATTGGGACTCTCAGCGTGGATGCAGGTGTAGCTAGTGTGTGCAGGGCTAGATTCCAAGGACAGGATGGTTAACAAACAGACCTGTCTTGGGCCTCCTGCAAGAGCAGCATTGAGGGCAGCCTCACACAAGTCCAAGATCAGTTTACACAGGCTGGGGGAGGAACTCCAGCTACCAGCTACAGCAGGGGTGAGTCAGTGGGCGTTATGGGCTGAATTATGACCCCCAAAAGTAATGGAAGCACTAACCCCTAGCACCTCAGAATGTGACTGTATTTAGAGACAAAGTCTTTAAAGAAGTAATGAAGATTACATGAGGTCCTATGGGTGGGTCCCAATCCAATCTCACTGATACCCTTATAAGAAGAGGAAATTTGGGCTCAGGAAGGGACAACAAGGATTTGTGTATAAAAAGGAACGGCCTGTGAAGACCCAGGAAGACAACCTCCACCTGTAAGCCAAGAGAGAGGCCTCAGGAGAATCAAACCTGCCGACACCTTGATCTTGGACTTCCAGCCTCCAGAGCTATGGGAAAATTAATTTCTGTTGTCTAAGCCACCCAGTCTGAGGAATATTGTCATGGTGCCCCTAGCAGACTAATACAGTGGATGACACTGAGAAGTAAAAAGAGGCTATGTGAGAAAAATCAGCTCTCACAGGAAAATCTGAGCAGATCAGCAAACTATGCACAAGTAGGGGATAACTTCAGGGTAGATCCAAGATGATGGATGAAAAATGCAGAGACCAAGTGTAGGAAAGAGGAAAGAGAGTAATCCATCAATGTTTTTCTAGCATTTTCTGTCCTGGGCATGGAAGCCATACAAAAATCAGGAAAAGTCCCGTCTAGCCAAATCTCACAGGCCAGTGAAGGAGCAAAAAGGTTAAACATAGGGAAAGTATCAGAGGAAGGCAATAAAACAAAAAATGCCATAAGGAAATAATGCAAAGATGGCTTAAGGTCATGTATGATTCAGTGCTGACATCTGCAAGAAAGGGCTGATAGGGAGGCTGTTTGTTTTGACAGGCTGGGGGCCCAGATGAAATGAGAGTGGGGTCAGTAGAATCCTACAGAACAGGGAGGAGAAGGGACATGAGGTAAATGACTTGGAAAAGCAAAATGAAGGCAATCCAGAGGAAGGGCAAGCCAAGCAGTGTGTTGATGGTGCTGTCTTTGAATTGCCACCATTGCCTGCAGAGATAAAGTAGTTAAATCAGAGCTAAGCTGACTGAACCAGATCAGAAATATTGATGCTACTCCTCACGCTGTATGGCATAAACATCAAAAATAGGGAAGAATAACAGAGGAACACATCGTGTGCCAAAGCTATACATACCACACTGCAGGGGTCAGCTGTCAAAAGCAAGTCCACATGAGAAGCCAGAAGATTAGAAAAACTAAGATGGGGGCCACTTTCTGCCCATTTGGCAAGAACAGTGGAAAGGAAATTCAAGACACACTGAGCTAGAAGGCTCCTGCTCAGTTTCATCCCACACCTGTGTTAGGTCCCCCTCCAGCAGAGGGACTGAGGGAAAAAAGCAAACAGCAGAAGGAAGAAAAACAAACATCTAGGAAGATCCCAAAATCAAATAACCTGTCCCCGATTACTTAAAAATGTTCGGTAAGAATTTCAGGTATAGTCAGTTGAGCTGCCTCAGCACCAGCATCATATTAACAGAGAAGCAATAATTTCTTACCAAGCAAAATATGAAGTATTTCTGTTATGCAAATCAAACATACTGTTCTTCTCTGATTTTTTTCTCCAGCTATATCCTCCTTTATGGCCAGTGAAGGAGGATATGGTTAGGAAAAACAGTGAACAGAAATCTGACTATAAAAGCATTTCCCTTCTATTGCATGGCTGGAGTAAGCAAGGGAAGCCCCAATTCTCACAGTTCATCAACTTTCTATTCATGTAAACAATCTCACTTTATTTTTGAATTACTTTATGGGAGGAGATGGTTTCCAAATGTACTATTTCTTACTGCAGAATATGGAAGCAATATCACTAAACTCTTAAATTAGGATGAAGAATAACACAGGCATATTTCATGTTTGAGTCTATATTAGAATGCCTAGTTTTCCTACATTAAGTCTGACTTGGAACCCTGACCTTTCTTTTCTTTTTTTCTTTTCTTACTCTCTGAAATATCATGGCAAAATTCTGATGCAAAAACAAAAATCTTTCATGCAACAAAAGACTAGTAGCAATAACAGAAGCTAGGCTTCCTATGAGTTGGGCATTAAAAAAGATTATTCACTATGGAAAAATAGTTGGGTTTTGTGCCTTCCATCCTTAACACGTTTATAATAGATTACAATCTTATAACTTGAAATAATCACTGCAATTAACACCAAATTATCTTAATTCTAACAATTCACACAATCACTGAAATAATCACTGGTGGAATTGCCATATCTAAGCTCAAGCCAATATCCAAGACAGACGTTCAATTTTCCAAAAAGCCCAAGAAATTCTGAAAAGTGGCCTCACAAACAGGTTTTTCTGAGGCTTAGACAAAAATTCAAGTTACACATGGCCTGAGTGACAAACCCATAACCACCTTATATGGAGTTAATAATAGCATTTCTGCCATTTAAATTATCAAGGCTTTGAAAAAGCACATGCAGTACCACACCTGAAGGGAAATTATGGGGAGACATTAAGAGCAAGTAAATGCTGCCCAGCTGAAATATAAAAAGTCTATATATATGGGGGAACAGAAATGTATACACAAAAGAGGAAAATAGCTTGTGTTTAAACAAGCAATGATGAAGTTGAATGATATAATAGAAAAAGTCTATGTACATATACCAGATGGACAGCACGGGCAAAACAAGTTTGACTTCTGAATTAATCGACGTCAACATGGATTTCAAAAGGTATCTACCCTTTAAATGTTTATTACAAAGAGTTATTATGCCATGCCATGGGAAATTTCAGTTCATTACAGTAACACACGCACACAAAAAAAAGTCTCAGTCAATAATTTAAACAAGAATTTTTAAATGACAGGGTGTGCTAATTTGTGGCCTAGTATCAAACACCTACCAAAAATCAAATCAGATGTTGCAGTGACTGACAAACTCTCCAGTAGAGTCATCTCAGTGATGAAGGTCAAACCTTGGGCTGTTCCTTTATAAACTGGCACAGACCAAAAATTCCCAGAGGTTCCCTGGCCTATAATTGTATGCTATTATTCTAGAAGCATGATTAGTATGTCCTTGCCTTTTCAAGAAAGCAGCCTGTAATGCAAGCAATGAGAATAGCATGTAGGTTTGTGGAGACTGTTTTTGCCATATACCACAGACATGTGGAAGGGCCCATCTAGACGTGATTCAGAACCACTACAGATATTGTCTGAGTTGTTCCAAAAGCTTTTGTTTGATGTTGGAATTTATCTATACCTTAACAGGGAAGAAAAAACAATAGTAATAGGAAAGAAAAGGATATGAATCATAGTTTATGAATGGAAGAATATTTAGAATACATGTAATAAACAAAGGCATTTATCTGATAGTAACCACCACAAAAAGCAACAGGTATGTTAAAAACTACCAAATTTAATTCAATAGCAGAACGATAATTCAAAACTGGATATAACTATAAAAGAACATACATTTTAAGGAAACACATGTGATTTCAAAAATTTTATTATATTTATAGTGAAACATATTGATGGCAAAAATTATGAAATAAAGTTAAGTTGTTGAAAATGACTAGATTTTGTTATCAAGTCTTCTGTGAATTCCAACGACTAAAGAGTGCTAACATCCCAAGGACTCCATTGCTTTAGGATGGGAATAGGGTGTGGAAGTCAGCCTTCAAGAGATAAAACCACCCACAAATCTCAGAGAAGATCCTTTGAATCTGTACAGACATTTGAGAGAGCCAGATCACACAGAGCTAGGGTGTTATTCCCACAGGCTGACAAATCCTAGGCTTCAGCCATTTCCGGAGTCCTCAATTAAAGGGTCATAAGAGCCCTGTAGCCTTTACTCCATTATAAGGCAGGAGTTGGGTAGAAGAATATGACCAGAAAGACAGGCTTAAATGCCCTCTCTGTTTCTTTTATTCACAGAATCTTAGACTGTCAGGTTCATTTGTTTGTTTGTTTGTTTGAGACAGAGTCTTGTTCTGTCGCCCAGGCTGGAGTGCAGTGGCGCAACCTCGGCTCACTACAACCTTCACCTCCCAGGTTCAAGCAATTCTCATGCCTCAGCCTCCCGAGTAACTGGGATTACAGGAACCCAGCTTTTTTTTTTTTTTTTTTTTTTTTTTGTAGACACAGGGTTTCACCGTCTTGGCCAGGCTGGTCTTGAACTCCTGGCCTCAAGTGATCCACCCGCCTCAGCCTCCCAAAATGCTGGGATTACAGGTGTGAGTCACCACACCCGGCCAACTGTCAGGTTCTTACTCCACGTCTTGGCACCATCCTTCCAATCACAGAATATTCATAGGCACTTCTATCTAAATCCTATCCATCCTACAAAACCTGATCCAAATCCTACCTCTGCTATCAAAGTCTTTCCTAAGCATCCTCATGAAAATGACCTTTTCCTCTGAATTCTACACACAATGTCCATCAGTGCTACTTGGCACCTCACCTTGACCTGCCTTGGGCCTCAGTGGCTTCCTGGAACTGTTATTTAGCATCTCATGTATTCCTGTATTGTCTTATACTTTGCATCTCCTACAGAACTCTTCCCTCACACATAAATGGGTATTTTTAATGCTGCACTTCAATATTCTTCCCTGAGTAAGCTCTTTGTTTCCCACATAGTCTTTGTTTTGTTTGTTTGTTTGTTTGTTTGTTTAAGGCAGGGTCTCACTCTGTCACGTAGGCTGGAGTGCAGTGGCGCGATCATGGCTTTCACTGCAGCCTCAACCTATGGGCTTCCCACCTCAGCCGTCCGCATAGCTGGAACTACAGGCATGCGCCACCACACCCGCCTAATTTTTTATTTTATTTACTTATTTATTCATTCATTTTTTGAGATGGAGTCTCTCTCTGTCGCCCAGGCTGGCATGCAGTGGTGCGACCTCAGCTCACTGCAACCTCAGCTCACTGCAACCTCCGCCTCCTGGGTTCAAGTGATTCTCCCACCTCAGCCTCCTGAGTAGCTGAGATTACAGGCACATGCCACCATGCCCGGCTAATGTTTGTATTTTCAGTAGAGATGAGGTTTTACCATGTTGGTCAGGCTGGTCTCAAACTCCTGACCTCAGGTGATCCACCCACCTTGGCCTCCCAAAGTGCAGGCGTTACAGGAGTGAGCTATCGTGCCTGGCCTAATATTTTATTTTTCGTAGAGATGGGGTCTCACTATATTGCCCAGACCGTTCTCAAACTCCTGGGGTCAAGTGGTCCTTCCACCTAGGCCTCCCAAAGTGCTGGGATTACAGGTGTGAGCCACAGTGCCTGGCCCATAGTCTTTCCTGCTTAGAGCCAACTCAAAAAGATAATTAGCAATGAAATATTCCCCACTTTCCTTAACAAGACTTTCAACAAGTGTCCTGCATGCCAAGTCTAAGGGCTTCTTTTTTATTTTCTAGAACCTCCTGCAATCAGCCACTTTCTTTTCTTACTCCTTTTCAATTCACTTTTAATTGTACAAAATACCCTTTTGAACTTCTTCATTCAAAACGACACTACTTAATAAATCAGCACCAAAAAAAAAAAAAATTTGCTTTACTCATATGCAAATTTGTGTACTTGTTTTTCTTTGGCCCAATTTTATGCTTCAGATTATATGTATTACTAGTCATCATTTATACTCTTGCTACAAGCCACCTGAAGTCAATACAAAGCAATCTGTGTATTTATAAAACAAAGATATTCCATCTATCCTGTAACTCATCCTATTTATCCTGCAAAATCAATTTATTCATGTATCTCTCTATTCTCCAACTAGAATGAACTCCACAAGAAGGGATACAGGGATTCTCTTTTGGTCACTGTTGTGTCCCCAGTGCCTAGATCAGTGGCCAGCACTCAGAGGGGCTCAGTACATTCTTGTGGAATCAATGCTGGTTGAATGAATTTCCAGGAAGCCTCCCAGATTCTATCTCTCAACCCCTTCCCTCTGCTTGATGAGAATATGGTCAAGAACATGAATTAACGTGAGGCTGCCAGGGTTCCAATCACCGGTTGACCATCTCAGTAGAGGTATAATCTTCAGCATATTATGTAACTTGTCTCTGTCTCAGTCTTCCCATGTATAAATGAGGGTATGACTGGGCTCCTAGTGGGGACTAAGATCATGCAGATAACGCATAGAGAGGCGCACCCAGTGCTGATAGTGGCTCTTCTGTTTTGTCCCTTTCCATCAGTGACACCTGTGTCACTCACTGCACCTGCGTGGATCAGTCTTTCTTTCCCCGTTTCACCTATTAAAAGACTAGACTCTGACAACAAAACTTATTTTGATTCAAATAGAAGTAAATTAATAGGCTCAAAATGAGAGCTTGAATTTTTTCCTATCAATAAAGTATATGCACTTGAGTGACAGCTTAGACATCTATTCTATGTTTCTTTGTTTACATCTTGGTTTTCCACTCTGTTCAGATGGGCTATATTGCCCAGGTGCAGTTCTGCACAGGTGGCTGCCAGAAGCCTGACTTTTTACAAGGCGTAAACCAAATGGCCTGTAATATACAACAAAACTGTGAGAAAAAGCTTGCTCTACCACTCCCTGTCTTAGAAAATATATGGAAAAAAAAATCCACTTTGCCTCTTAGGCCTTTAAGGATCTTCATATGCCATTCTAATTTTAAGAGACATTCTTAAAGTAAATATGAGTCAAGGAGAAACCACTATCTTTATTATAAATGTTACTACTCAAACTTTCAACTGTACTAGAACTCTTACATGTACGCTGTGTCAACACTGTGTACACCGGAGGTAACTTTAACTCTTTATTTTGCTTTCTGGTCTCTCAAATAAGAAACTGTGCTCAATTAAATTTATCTTTAGAACAAAGAGTACATGTGGTTTACACCTAGCTTTTGACCTGAGGCAAAGACGTTTTGCAGAAGCAAATATTTAATACATTTGGGTATTCTAATTTCATGTAAAATAACTAGCTGCAATGAATACTTTTCTGATGGGGTTGACTTAAGTTTCTACAAACATGAATATCCCTCCACTCCTCTTCCCCCAAATAATACTGTATTTTTGGATGAGGAATTAACATAAAGCCTCTGAATTTTAACCAGTTAGATTTTCCTGAGCATAAAACATGTGCAAGTGAGCTCATAAATAAAAACCTGCAAAACTCACAACTTAAGCTTGCCATAAACAAGCCAACAAGAACACTTTCAGCATCCACTTCACATGGCGAGGTCTTAGCTAAAAGATGTGATCCCTAAAAGCACTGGTCTTCTCAAAGAAATGCCAACACAGCAGACACATCAAGTTCACCTAACTTTGTAAATAATCCTTAGCATAACTGAAGTAGAACAACTATGAAGCCCCCTTACTGAACTACACAAACCTATTATTATTAGTCATGCCAGCTCTATTTTCTGCAGATATAGCCAACCATAGCATAGCTAGCTCACGGTACACTCTATAGCAGAAGGGAAGTAAAATTTAATGTAGTTTTTTAAGTCAGTGATTCAGGCAATTCTTGGAATAAGTTCCACTTGAGAAGATGTAACTAAGAGGTCTTATTGAAAGACACTCCCCAGCTGTTGACAGCTCAACTTTGGAAATTCCCTCTTTTTTGCCGATTCCTGACTATCCCTAAATCCAAATTACAAAGTTTAATGACCCTGGAGAGCCATCTTTGCCTCCAGTGAACTCAGAACTGTATCTAAATATTCATTAAGGCTCTAGATAAATGTTTATTGAATTAAAAGGGGGAAAAGACACTGGAAACCTAGCCTCCAAAAACCCACTGCCTGCTCCCTTGCCCACTACAAGATTAAACTGGGTGCTCCTGTGATGAGAGTCAACCCATCCAAGACCCAGGGGGTCTGACCCTGGGCCATGAGGCGATGACAGCCAAGAGGTCTGGGCAGCGGCTCCAAAACGGAGCACCCACTGCCCTGGGAAATGTTGGGCGCTTGCTATGACACAAACCCTCCCCCAGGGAGCGGAACCGGATGGCCGGAAACCAAGTCAGTTCTGTATAGACCCTAAGGCCCCAATCCTATTCCACCACCCTCCTTCCTGTTTATAGATCCCGCTCCTGGAACTCCAACTACCAAAGAGAAAGCAGACGTTTTAGAAGTATGTAACACATGACGTAACTTGAAAAAGTTATGCTGCTTATTGGCGCGAGTTACAACTTGCCGGGCTCACACAGGAAAACAGGCTCACGTTAATTACTTTGCCTTTAATATGCCACGCCGTCCTTTCCTGGGGCCCCCGCAACGGTTGGGTAACTGAGAACCAGGTAGCCTCGGTGGTAGGACCCAAACTGTGTGGGCGGTGAGCAAAAGGCACGGAAGGAAGAGGGCCGATCGCTTCCGAAGCGGCAGCCGACTGGGATTCACTACAAGCCCGGCGGCTCTTTTCCCGCACAAGCGCAGGGAGAGGAAACTTGGGCACCTCACAGGCGGCACCGAGTTGCCCGATCGCTCGGCGATGTCGCCGAGGGGGCTCGCGGCACTGCGCCGATGCCCCTGGCTCGGCCGAGGGCGTGCCACCTTTGTCTGGGTTTCCCCACCAGGATGGGCTACGCCTCGATGCAAAGACGGCTTGAACTGGTTGGAGGCGCCGACGCCGCTGTCCGCGCTGGAGTTCCCAGCCCTGCGCGGGGCCCAGGAAGCCGACACAGCCGCCTGAAACCTCCCACTTACACTGCGCGCACGCGGCGCGCCTGCAAGTCCCAGCCCCGCGGTTACTTCCCTGGCGCGGCAGCCACAGGGTGGAGAGCCGGAGACCCCTCGCTCTCAGGCGCAGAGGCCCGGCGCACCCCTGCCCTCCTGGCACTGCATCGCCGGACCAGGCAGGGCCCCCGTGCCCTCTCCAGGGCCCGCTTCTTCCGCGCCCACGCGAGTCCCTTCTTCGGGAGACAACGGGCCGATGGACCCTCCCTCCCCCAGCAAGACAAGATCTCCGACTGTCCACCGCGTTAGGGAACGCACGACAGACACCCAGACAGCACCCACACCCCTGCCCGCCCCTCGGCCCTCACTCACCTGCCTGCACCGTGTCCGAGAGGTCGTGCCCGGGGGCTGCGGTACGGGGAAATTCCTTCAATTTCCTGGCGCTCAGGTTCAGCCCCCCGGAGTTGGCCGCCTCCTCAAGCGCGCGCTCCAGACCCCGGTTCAAGGGCAGGTTGAAGCCCCCGCTGCCACCGCCGCCACCACCCGCCCCGCCGGGGGCGCCGGTTCCTCCGTGGTGCTGATGGTGGTGGTGGTGGTGGTGGGGATGATGAAGTGGGTGCAGAGTAGCTACCGAAAGGGCCGGGACGAAAGGTTGGGGTTCGCTTCCCGGCGTCGCCATCTTCTCCCGGGCCCCCCCACCCCGCCCCGCCGCTCCTGCGGGGGGGTCACAGCGTTCCCCGCGAGGGGAAAACGGCAGCTCGGGCTGAGTGCCGCAGTGCTCCACCGAAAGGCGCTGGAAGGAGGGGAGGAGGGTGTGGGCAGGCGCGTAGAATGGGGGGCGGGCGGGGAGGCGGCCGTGGCAGCTCGGTCTTGAAGGTTTCCTGTCCCCGGGAAGCTAAGGACTGCGGCGGCGGCGGCGGCGGCGGCAGCGCGCATGTGTCTCCTCCCGCCCCTGCGCCCTCCCCCCGGCTGCTCTGCCCTCCTCCGCCGTCTGCTCTCTCCTCCTCCTTCCCCCACGCAGTCTGCCCCGCCTGAGCCTTCCTCCGCGCCTATTCTGCCGGCCGCCGCCGCCTTGCCGCGATCCGCCCCGCAATCGGGTACACGGCGGGGCTGGACGTCTGCTCCGGGGCAACTGAGGCGCCGAACCTCTCTCTGGGCGTCCTTTTGCCGCCCAGGAGGCTTTAGGGGACTGGAGGTTGCGGGGATAGGGGGGTGGTCTGAGAACACGGATAAAACGGCGGGAGGCAATGAATGGGATTTACAGTACAGTGAGGTTTGGGGCAGGAGAGGGTTCTCTCAATTCTGCGATTTATTCTGGCCGTTTAACCCAGAGATCCCCAAGAGGCAGTTTTCATTCACTATGGGGTCATCCCTGCAGATGCCCCCTGGCATTTGGGCGCTTACAATGAACCAGACGCTTGTTTAGGGAGTCTACGTAAGTTACCTCATTAATCCAGGGACCCCAGGAGTGCCAAAGTTGTTCCCCTGAGTCTACAGAGGAAGTTAATAAATGTATCTAAGGTCACCCCTGCAGTTAGAGGGGCGCTAGATTCGAGCTAGGGCCCTCAGAATCTAGGGTTGCCCTCCTTCACAGTGTACCCCTGGGCCAGACGCCAGCGCCAAGGGACGAATACGAGTGGGACAGAGTGTTTGCTGAGCGGCAGAAGAAAGCTACAGACATAGGAAAGAAAAACTCAAAATGAGGGCAGTGTTTATGGGGGACAGAAGACATTGTCGTAGGAGAAAGATGAGCTGGCTGCTCCCCGAAATTGGGTGGTGCCAGGAGAGGCTAGAAAGCCAGTGACCCCAAACAGCAAATCAGTCACAGCTCGAGTCTGAGCTGAAAGAACCATCGAAGTCTCCTTGTGCCCTTCTTCTTCCCGCTTTGGGGCATGGAAACGAACATGTCCGCTTGCAAGTGAATTCACATTCTGCCATCAGCCACCCAGTGGCACCCAGGCCAATGCTGGCACACCAGGGGCGACAGAGAACATCTGACACCCTAAGGGCAGACCAGCTGGACGATTAATAGAATACCATTCCTTTCCTGAAGTTAAAGCTTCATGTCCAACTTTCCAGGGCCTTTATTTTTGCTCTATTCTTAAGGCTTGATTGTCCCCTATGAGCGACTTGGCTTGGGGAAAATGAGTCGGGGGGTGGGTGCGGGGTTGTCGGGGTGTCAAGCACGAAAGTAATGCAACCCTTGGAGTAGGGGAGCTGGTTTTTTAAGTGGTAATACATAAGTTTGATGGCCTAGACAACAGGCTGGAACTGGTGACTTCATGGACTCGGCACTTAAGTATGGCATGATCTGTGTCACTTGAATTGACTGCACAGATAGTTGCCCTTAATTCCTGCGGGATTCTTGGCCCTGAGCAAAGCATTCTAATCTGCCCGGAGGAGACACGCGCCACCTGCTGGTATCCTCCCGCAAACCTCCCCTCTCACATGCCATTCGCCGCAGCCTTCCAGGCTTTTAAAAGTCCGGCTTCAAAATTCATAATAATAACGACAATAATAATAAATGAAAGTATACTTCCATCACAAAAAAGTAACCAAATTTCCACTTTCCTCCAGGGAGAGGAACAGAGAAAAACAAAATCCAGTGAAAAACAGAAACACAGAAAAAAATCCAATTAAAAGAATCTTCAGCTGAAACCAGGTGGTAGTCTGTGTGATCAGCAGTCAGGACATGATTTGGGACATCTTCTGGCTGACTGCAAATTTAGTTCAGACTAAGAGTCGTTGTGATGCATCATAGGAAGCATACATATTTTTTTAAAAGACCACTAATTCTTCTTTAAAGAAAATAATGGATTGCATATGAGCCCACGATTTGCTTTTTAACAAATGATCAGTCCCTCTGTTAGATTGACCTACTCATTGTGGTTTGTTTACCCATCTACAGATTACTAAACTGTAAATTCCATGAAATAGGGACCTATTCATCTTTGCAACTCTCTCCCCATGCCTCAGAATCGAGGGGAGTACTTTGTATATAATGAGTGCACAATTAATATTAGTAATCAATTAAGTATTGCATAATAGACCATGTGTTTAACAGGTTTGCCACCTGTTGATATGTCCTTTTTTATTTGTATAAATTTATGGGGTACTTGTTGATACATCTTTAAAGTTTCAAATGATTTCCCTGAATGAAGGAGTTTTTCTTAAAATGGGAGAGAGTACTTGACCCTTGAAAATGATCTTGATTATTTCTAAATATTAAAGAAACTCGACAAGCCATTTCCCCTTGCTGTCTTGCTTCTTCACTATTTCTTCAAGAAGATGGACATCTCTCTTTTGTTTAATACCCTGTTTACTTATTCTGAAAACAGCACCCTTTTGCTATTAAGGGCAGGAATCAGGCCCTTTTAAAAAAATCCGCTGCCTGGAAGATTCAACAAATAATGTTGTCTGGCTGAGATATTTGATGCAACTAGTAACATCAACATGAATTTCTCTGAAGATAAATAATATGTGTTTCAGGATTTTTCTATGTGAATCAGCTAGTTGATGAAAAAATGACCCTGATAAAATGAGGAAAAAAAAATAGGACAATGTCCTGAGTTTTTCATGAACCTGAATGTATTTAATTTCAAAAATTATATATAATTGTGAGGCTGTGCCTTCACTATTTTTTTTTCTGATGAAAAAAAAAAACCAAAACAATGGTAACAATAAATTGTAGTGTTTTTTAAGTATCCTTTTTCAAAAAATAACAAAAGGAGGTTACTAAAGTCAGTTACCAATTATTTTGATGTTGTTTATCTCTGAAATCAAAAACTCTGGGAACTACTGTACTTGCTGAGACCCTTGGTTTTCTTAAAAGGAAGTTAGTCATACATAAGTCTAGTCACCTGCTTTCAAGCATTTTCTTAAGCTGTGCTCACATCAACTAATCTTCTTTTCTTTTTTTTTTTTTTTTTTTTTTTTGAGATGGAGTCTCACTGTAACCTCCACCTCCCATGTTCAAGGGATTCTCCTGCCTCAGCCTCCCGAGTAGTTAGGACTACAGGCACCTGCCACCATGCCTGGCTAATTTTTTTTTTTTTTTTTTTTTTTTGGTATTTTTAGTAGAGATGCAGGTTCAACACATTAGCCAGGCTGGTTTCAAACTCCTGACCTCAGGTGATCCACTCACCTTGGCCTCCCCAAAGTGCTGGGATTACAGGTATGAGCCACTGTGCCTGGCCCCTTTATTTATTTATTTATTTATGGGACAGTGTCTCGCTCTGTCGCCCTGGCTGGAGTGCAGTGGTTCAATCCCGGCTCACTGCAACCTCCGCCTCCCAGGTTCAAGCAATTCTCCTGTCTCAGCCTCCCAATTAGCTGGGACTACAGTTGCACACCACCATGCTGGGCTAAATTTTGTATTTTAGTAGAGACGGGGTTTCACCATATTGATCAGGCTGGTCTTAAACTCCTGACCTCAGGTAATCCACCAGCCTCGGCCTCCCAAAGTGCTGGGATTACAGGCACAAGCCACTGCACCCAGCCCCTTTACATTTTTAAATACTTCATAGCTGACTATTGTCCAGACGCAGTTTTTTTTTTACATTCTGTGCCCCAAAGTCCCCAGCAAAAAACCTCAACCCCTTCATAGAGGCTCATACTTCCTTCTCTTGAAGCAACAAAGCAGTAGCTACTAGCCTCTGGCCACTTTATTTCCCTGTTTTCTCCCAGATTAAGGTGGAGTTCTGGCTCCTAGACCAGGGAGACTTTATTTAAGTACTCCTTTCTACAGCAGTTCCTGCGGAATAAAGAAACTGCAGAATCTATGCCTCAAGATAGGATTCTCAGAGAAGCTGGCTTCTTGACCATTCTCTGAATGACAATAGAGGAGCAGTCTTGATAAATCAATAACCTATACTTTAGTCCTTGTTCTGTCTTCATAAATATGTGTACATGGTCTTATGAAATGTCAATTTTCATTTATGTGTGATTTTTGTTTTTAAATCAATGCTTTTTAAGAAATTATATGAGATAATATAACCAATTGTATAACGGAGAGACAACATTCTGACCTAGAACTTATGAGTGATAATAGGATTTTGAAAAAACCTGAGGAAAACTTGGTTTGGACCACTGTGGATTAGAAGCTGATTGTAATGAAAAGAATATTTTGGTAACTCAAAAATGGAAAACCAATCATATGTTCTCACTTATAAGTGGGAGCTAAGCTATGAGGATGCAAAAGGATAAGAATGATACAACAGCTGGTCATGGTGGTTCACGCCCATAATCCCAGCACATTGGGAGGCCGAAGTGGGCGGATCACTTGAGGTCAGGAGTTTGAGACCAGTCTGGCCAACATGGTGAGACCCCATCTCTACTAAAAATACAAAAATTAGCTGGGTGTGATGGCGTGCGCCTGGAGTCCCAGCTTCTGGGGAGGCTGAGGCATGAGAATCACTTGAACTGGGAAACGGAGGTTGCAGTGAGCTGAGATTGCACCACTGCACTCCAGCCTGGGCGACGGAGTGAGACTCTGTCTAAAAAAAGAAAAAATAGAATGATACATGGACTTTGGGGGCTTGGGGGAAAGAGTGGGAAGTGGTGAGAGAGAAAGGACTGCACATTAGGTCCAGTGTGCTCTGCTCAGGTGATGGGTGCACCAGAATCTCAGAGACCACCACTAAAGAACTTATTCAGGTAACCAAACACCACCTGTTCCCCAAAAACCTATTGAAATAAAAATAATAATAATAAAAGAATATTTTGGCTTAAGGAGGTTGAGATCTCCTTAAGTAAGTTGTAAGGAAAAAACATCAGTGAGCAGTAGCAAACCCTCTGGTTCCTGCCAGAGGTTTAGGAGGCTTCCAGGTGAATTCACTAGAAAATAAGGACCAAAAGGCATCAACTAATAAGACTTTAACTTATAAAGAAATAGATTTTTAGGGCGGGTGCGGTGGCTCACACCTGTAATCCCAGCACTTTGGGAGGCCAAGGCAGGCGGATTCACAAGGTCAGGAGATCGAGACCATCCTGGCCAACATGGTGAAACCCCGTCTCTACTAAAATAAAAAAAATTAGCCAGGCATGGTGGCATGTGCCTGTAGTCCCAGCTACTCGGGAGGCTGAGGCAGGGGAATCGCTTGAACCCGGGAGGCGGAAATTGCAGTGAGCCGAGATCGTGCCACTGCACTCCAGCCTGGTGACAAAGCAAGACTCCATCTCAAAAAAAAAGGAAAATCGATTTTTAAATACCTGACTTTAAAAAAAAAGCAAATGTAAATGTTAGATAACAGATAATATTAAAAAACAGCTTTATTGCAACTGGTTCACCTAAATGTTTCACCAGTTCATTATATTATGTTATTGGTTTATAACATAGGCATATTGTAT
This sequence comes from Homo sapiens, assembly GCF_000001405.40. Taxonomy (NCBI): domain Eukaryota; kingdom Metazoa; phylum Chordata; class Mammalia; order Primates; family Hominidae; genus Homo; species Homo sapiens. Next base: position 46,547,727 of record NC_000013.11, on the reverse strand, counting down.
TATTGGTTTGTAATATGATGAATATGTGAATTATTTAGAGGAACCAGTTATTTGTTTATTAATATAGTCATGTCTCTCTTAACAATGGGGATATATTCTGACAAGTACATTTCAGATGACTTTCTTGTTGTGTGAACATCATGGAGTATACTTACACAAACCTAGATGGTATATCCTATTATGCACCTGGGCTATATATGGTATAGCCTATTGCAGCTAGCCTGTACAGCATGTTACAATACTGAATACTATAGGCAATTGTAACACCGTGGTAAGTATGCATTTGGGTATCTAAACATATCTAAATATAGAAAAAGTACAGTAAAAATTTGGTATTATAATCTTATGGGACGATCATTCCATACAGTCTGTCACTGACCAAAACGTCATTGTGCATCGCATGACCGTAAATCATTTAACTTGCATGAATAAACTGAAGCAGCATTATCCAGTGTGTGTGTCTCTGAACCTTAGTTCTTTAGGCTGCTAACAGGCACTATGCATAAAACATTTTTTCGCCAAATAAGTTTGGGAGACAAAGGGTTAATTTAAAAGTTTAGAAGTTGTTTTACTAACACACTTCTCTGAATCCTTGATATGCTAATGTACATTGTGAACATGGAAGAAGGAAAGATGATTCACTGCAGTTTTTTCCTATATATTTGACCAATAAATCTCATCTTGCAAGACTGTTATCCATGGCTCACACTTTGAGAAACCCTGGACTGGGGTAGTCTCTCTCATGGATGTGTCATCTTTCGATCGCCAATTATATCGCAGTTCAACTGATCAAAATGTACCTCCAAATCAATATTTTAAGTACCTTTTCAGGCCTGTTGTTCATTAGGTGGACTTTAAAAGGACAAAAAAGTCTTCCTATTTGTAGTTAAGGTACTTTGCATCAAACTAAAGCAGTAATTTTCATGTTCCCCAGAGGCCGTTTTTAAGACTCTTGATATCATTACAGGGATATTTTCCGAACTTAAGGCTGTCATTAGGGTCTAGTCAGAGGCTCCCAGAGTGGTTGTTCTCTCCAGATTTAGCAGAAAATGCCCTCTGGCTACAATGGCGTTAAGCTTCCCATACCCAGATGCTATCACTATTCACATACACAGGGTTTAAACATTAGCTGTCTAACGCCCCAAGTTATTTCTCAAATCCTGCCAGTGCGACATCTAAAGAGAGGTCCTGCTAGACAGTGAAGCAATAGTGCAGAAGCAAAGGAACATGGTCATCTCATTTTATCTGTTGGCAAATCAGGTCAACACGTAGCACAACTCACCACAGTTCAAAAGTAAAACCAGTTAGGACTTTCTTCGATTTCTGGTTGCTGCAGAGAGAGTAAAGCCAGAATTAGCGTGGTTGGGATAGAGGACTGACCAGAAAGGAAGTCCACCCCAGTGAGGGTGAACAGTGTTGGAATACCTCATAATACCCACAGGGGAGTGTTACCTGCATGTCTGGTCACAGCCGCTGGAGTCCCAGATACTCTTCTAAGAGCAAGGATCATCTTAGACTATGCCAATTGAAGCAAATCATAAATCATTGCCTGGGGGGATGTATGGCACAGCCCACAATGGGAGAATGCCCAGGAGGTAAACAAGACCCTAGCCCAACTGGCTAGGATTCAAGACAGGGCCCCAGGCATGATGGTGAGCCATAGTCCAATCAGGAAGCAATTGTCTAGCACAGAAAGTCTCTGCAAGGAGGGACAAGAAACTGCTATCAGTGATGGCTTATGGGAAAGAAAACTGGTAGAATGGGATGAGAGAAAGACTTCTCTTTCTCTAGATATCTGTTTGTTCAGTTTTACCTTGTGCATCTATAATTAATCAATATAATAATAAATCAGTTAATTAATTACATTTTAAAAATACCAATTCAGAAGATTGAGTTTGCAGCAATAGTCATTGAAGTCATGGGTGAGTCCCAAGGAAGATGTAAATGAAATGATACTCTGCAGGATGAATTGGAATTGAAGAAGCAAGCCAGAATAGTGTTACCAGGTATAGGAGGTGTGACAAAGGGTGCTTGGACTAGGATGGAGCACAGGGCATGCATAAGGATGGATGGACAAGAAGTTTTTGAAAGGAAAAGACCACAGAGTCTGTATTCAACAAAGATTTGCTGAACCGCTTCTAACTCACAGGTAATGTTTGGTACTGGAGTTGCAACAGAGAGAGCTCTGTCCTTGTCCTGCAATAATAGCAAATGCAAGAGGCAAAGACTTGGGGGACACAGAAAATCCTCTGTCTTTGAGAGAGTAGTTCTAGGACAGTTTATCAACATCCAAACTGCAGAGGTAAGGAGAAGGCAAAGAAAGTAGAAAGAGTAGGTGTAAGTTACTTACTCCAAGCGTTTGGGGGCTAGAAGAAAGAAAAAGATTAATAGTTGACTAAAAAACAAATAAAGCAGAGAAAACTGGTTTAGTTTTTAAGATGGGGAAAATTTGAGAAGATTTGAAAGGAGAAAAAGAAAGAAAAGGCCCGTGAAGAAGGTAAGATTGGTGAGCCCAGGAGGAGAAAGTGGGATAAGGATGGACTGGACACTCACAGGTGAGACATCCAGGGAAAGAAAGGAGATGAGAATTCAGGCGCCTCCTCTGATCCTGGATTTAAAAGATCAGGAGACCTGAGTAAGAACACTAATATGCCAAAGCAACAGTTCAGACACTTTAGGGACTGTATGCTGATGGGCCAAGAGTCTGAATATATCCCATCTGCTAAGAGCAGAACAGGAGGTTGGCAGTGGGAAGGGAGATTTGTGAACAATTCAAACCAGAAACCACAGATCAGGTGCCCATTGTACTCAGAAATATTTACTCTTTAGTTTTCAGCCCTAATTAGCATATTAACCTGTCCCTGAATTATTGATGCTACCCACAAGTGCTGTTTTTCCCCTTGAATGTGCCTATTTGCTCATAATACTTCTATGGACTGCAAAACTAAATACTCCTCTAAAACATATAACTTGGTGTTTAAGATAGAAAAATTAACTGGCTCCTAATAAGGACCAGTTGTCTCCAAATACCTTTCTGTAGACAGGGACACACCAGAGTTCAGACACAGCCTGTCAGCTCCTCAGCCAGGGAGGCCTAAGGAATCTAGCCCAGCTTCCCCATACTACAGATTGGGAAACTGAAATAAATGCATGAAGGTGAACTACCCAATGTCATGCATCTGGCCAGTGCAAAATGTTGCTTAAAACTCAAGTGTCTATTTCCTATACAGTGTTTTTTCTTTGTCCCTGTTAGTGGGAATAGAAGTCACCAATTATGTCACTACCTGCCATGCTTGGGGATCTGCTTGTGTCCTTCCATCAGTGGTTCATTTGCTTTCACTCTGAGTGGCTTGTTAAAGGGCTGTGGTCTAGGGTGCTGGCGTACAGGGCTGACGCTAGGTAAGAACTGTAGTCAGAGCTGGTCCAAGGGACATGAGATGCTCTTGCTAGTTGTCTCTGGGACAGGACAAGCCTTGTACCCTGGTCAAGCTGAGAGGCAATATTGAGTACCCAAAGTCCAGGCATAATACAAGGCCGTGATTAGCTAGTCTACTTCCTGTAATGACCTTTCAGGATCCTTTCTGCCATAATCAGAAAGGCAGGGTTCCCTGAACCTCTAGATCAGTAGCTGCAAAATATTTTGGGGGAGTGACAAATCCTTTGAAGATTTTTGGCAAGAGATGTAGCCTCTCCCTAGAAAAATTAACACTATATCCTACACATACAGTTTTTTATACAATTTCAAAGGTATTAGAGACTCTCTGAACCCTCTAGGGCTGATCAAGCATCATCTAGTCAACTCTGACTCTGAACAAATCTTCCCCGTTGAAAAAACATCTTGAGAGAAGTAGTTAGTTTAGTTAGTTCCATGAGACTATCTCAGAAAATATTCTACCTTTTACTCACAGCAAGTTTTTTTCTCCTAAACCTCTGATATTTCCTTTGGGCACAGAAGGAATTGTGTGACGTTAGAATTGTCTTCCAGCACATGCGTAGAGGCTGGGGTTAGTTGAGGTGGTGCTGATGAAGAAAGGTCATCCATGCTGACCCCAGGCCCATCTTTAACACTTTAAACTCCCCTGTCAGCCTCCATGGCTACACACTACTTGCCTTGATCCTCACCCAGCCTCTTCTAATCGCCTCCCATGGCCAGGTTAGATTACTCATGTGTGCTCAGGCCCTTTCCAGTGTTTCTGCCATCTGGCTAATGATGGGACACCATATGTCAACAGCAGGGAATGGCCACCCACCTACGGGTTGGGGCACAGGCCTGCCCTCGTGAACAGCATGGCTGCCCAGTGTGTGGCTCACTTCCTAATGACACAAGGCATCCCTTGCATGAGTCTGCAAGTAGGACACTGAGGTTCCTTTTACTCTAGGCTGAGTTTGTGGCAAATGGCATAAATGTGTTTGGGTAACATTTAAGTCATCCATCACCTTCCATATACCTAGAATTTAGAGTAGCTCAAGTTGTTTCACACACAGGAATAAATATTATCTAATTAAACAACTCATTACTTCTTTAAGTTAAAAATCAGGAGGCCAAGGCTTTAGTATTGAGTTTGTTGGCTACATTAACCAGATTTTCACTCAGCACCTTCCCCAAGGGGCTCCAGATTGCTCAGTGAATTATGGAGGAGGGGAAAGAAATTTGTGAAGCCTGATGTCAGAAAACCACATTAGATACCAGTAACAAAAGCAGGTGCTTTCTGTTTTCACACCTCGTTAGACGAAAAACTGGTAAGCGTGTAGATTATCTTGTGTGGTTGGCATTGAAGTGTGTATTATGGTGATGGGAGTGAGAGTAGGAGAACCTTAAATTTCAGATCTCCCGGACAGTGGATGGTAGCCTCATAATCTGATATGAGAGAGTCACACATCTTTCAGGTCCTTGCTACATATTAGGTTACCCTGTTTTTCACTCACCATTTCAAATTATATGTGCCTCTTTCTATAAATGGGACTGTTTGGATCTAGATGGTTCATTAAGAAATATCTGTTTCACTTTATCATACTTAAAAGTCCAAGAGATGGTCTAGGCTTATGGTTTTCTAAAAATGAGGCCAGGCTCTTATTTGCTTCTCCTTTCAGACTTCCTTTTATTTTAAAAAATAATTTGAATGCAAATGAGAGATATTAATGCAGGGCTCTTAATAATTGACTCTTGTTTTAGTCATTAACTATTGAATTAAGTAGGCAAACAAATATGTGTTCAGCATTCATTAGCCCACCCCTGCATAACTTCAGGGAGCTAAGAGGAAAACCCAGAGGGCTTTTATACATGGAGGGAAATGGAATGTGTAGCTGCCATATGACCTAGTCCAGTTGGTGAGAATAGTAGATGTGGCATTAACTTAAAATATATTTTTGTGAATTGTAATTTACATGCAAATTTGCTCTTTTTGACCTTGCCTTTGGTGTTTCCTTCAAATGAGTAAAATAATAAGCTTTTATAAACTGCATGATTTCATTAGATCACAAAAGTTCAGTAGAATAATGCATGCTATAGTTATTTCTTAACTACTGTGCTAATTAGAGTTCTTGAAGGCCAAGGTCATTTAAATACTATGTGTAATGGAAAGAGAATTGAACTGGGAATGAGGAAGATACAGCCATATTTCCAGCAAGGCCAACAGCCAGCTGTGTTACTGTGGCTAAGTCATTTAGATTCTTTGGAGCTCAATTTCCACATTTGTCAAATAAAGGGAGTGAATAGTGTGTGCCTAAAATCTCTTTTTTCTCTGAGATTTCATAACTTTCAAAATTACAGTTTGATCAACGATGTCAGCTTTCTGCTCTACCAAACGCGTTTTGACAGTACTTCTCATCCAAAGAAAGATATATTTCTAATGTGTCCCCTGCCAAGTCAGAGTAGGAAAAATTACATATGGCCTAAAGCTGGCAGTAGAGAAAACTAGTAGCCTGAATAATCCACAAAACAAATAATAATCTGTCATACTATCAGATGTGTGAAATACTGCAAACAAATTCAGTTCTAAAATTCTTAGGCAGGCGGCTATTGTATATTCCCTATATTCCCCCTCTAATAATACCTTGTTTATATTGCATTGATGAGCAGAGACCTAATGTTGCAGAAAAAGAACAAAAAATGTACAGAGGGAAATGAGAAGTGATGAAGGGGCAGCATTGGAAAAGGAATTGAGAGAAAGACTCTCCCAACCATCAATCTCGAGGGCAGCTAGTCAGCCAAGTGGGTTTAGGGCAAGTACAGAGGGATGGGGATTTTCCTACTGTTTGATATGCTGTTGCTGTGGACACTTAAGGAATCATGACAGTGATTCCTTAGTCACACTTAGGTAACCTAAGAATACACTTAGGTTAGTGTATTCACTAACCTAAGTTAGACAGTGAAGTAACACTAATATTTGTTTTGTTTTTGTTTGAGACGGAGTCTTGCTCCGTCGCCCAGTCTGGAATGCAGTGGTGTGATCTTGGCTCACTGCAAATTCTGCCTCCCAGGTTCAAGTGATTCTTCTGCCTCAGCCTCCCAAGTAGCTGCGATCACAGATGCCTGCCACCACAGCTGATTTTTGTATTTTTAGTAGAGATGAGGTTTCACTATGTTAGCCAGGCTGGTCTTGACCTCAAGTGATCTGCCCGCCTCAGCCTCCCAAAGTGCTGGGGTTACAGGTGTGAGCCGCCGCGCCCATCCTAACATTTGTTTCTGATTATATTGACATACACATGCAAAATACATTTTGCTAAAAGATTGTTTTAAGGGTAAAATTATGACTCTCTTACAAATATGAAATAAACACATAGGCTGGGCGCAGTGGTTCATGCCTGTAATGTCAGCACTTTGGGAGGTTGAGGAGGGTGGATCACCTGAGGTCAGGAGTTCGAGACCAGCCTGGCCAACATGGTGAAACTTCATCTCTACTAAAAATACAAAAATTAGCCAGGTGGGGTGGTGGGCACCTGTAATCTCAGCTACTCTGGAGGCTGAGGAATGAGAACGGCTTGAACCTGGGAGGCAGAGGTTGCAGTGAGCCAAGATTGAGCCACTGCACTCCAGCCTGGGCAACAGAGTAAGATTCTGTCTCCAAAAAAAAAAAAGAGGAAAAAATATGAAATAAACATCTGTCAAGGAATTTTTTTAACTCATTAATTAATGAGTGAAGCCAGTAAGATATTTCAGCCCGTTCAAAGGAAAAATTCAAATTAACATACACATGTATAGGCAGATAAGGAATGCTCACATGAATTCACAAGTAGATACAAAAAGCAGTCTGTCTACAGGGCAATAATCAATTGCCCTCCACCAGAAACAAATCATTTGCAATTTTATGGACAAGAGTCATCTGCATTATTATTAGTTGTCTACCATTTACAGAGTGGTAAAATAGCTCAAGAAAATGAAAGGAAGAGATAACTCAGAAGGATACACTAGACAGGACACTCAGTAGTCCTTTTCTTTTTTTATCCCCCTCTTCAAAGTCTTTCACAATTTTTCCTGACAATTCACCTTGACGGAATGTAATATGGTGGAGGGGAAAAAACACAGGATATGGCAACAGGCAGCCCTAGATTTGAACTGCTTTGTCACTTCAAGATATATATATATATATATTTTTTTTTTTTTTGAGACTGAATTTCACTCTGTCACCCAAGCTGGAGTGCAGTGGCATGATCTCGGCTCACTGCAACCTCCACCTCCCAGGTTCAAGCAATTCTCCTGCCTCAGCCTCCCGAGTAGCTGAGATTACAGGCAACCGCCACCACGACTGGCTAATTTTTGTATTTTTAGTAGAGACAGGGTTTCACCATGTTGGCCAGGCTGGTCACGAACCCCTGACATCAAGTGATCTGTTTGCCTTGGCCTCCCGAAGTGCTGGTATTACAGGTGTGAGCCACTGCACCCGGCCTCAAGCAATATATTAATATTTGACTTTTCTGAGTCTGTTTCCTTATATGTAAAATGAGGATGATAATACCCATCTTTCCAGGTTGTCATGAAAGTTAAATAAGATAAACATATAAAGGAAATGTTTGGCATAGTTCTGAATAAGTGTCAGTGTTTATTTGGCAGTAATAATTACACGGAAAAGTTCAAGCATACCTAAGAATAATGTAGCTTTACTTTTGAAGAAATATGACTTTCTGTGATCCAAGAACAGTACAGAGAAAAGTGCTTTATAATTTATAAAATCCTGTGTAAAAAAAAGGCAGTTCATTGCTGGTGGGAATGCAAAATAGTACAGCCACTTTGGAAGACAATTTGGCAGTTATGCAAAACTAAACATAATCCCGCCATATGATTCAGTGATCCCACTACTTGGTATTTACCCAAATGAGTTGAAAACTGTCCACACAAAAACCTACGCACAAATGTTTATAGCAGCTTTATTCACAATCGCTAAAATCAGGAAATAACCAAGATGTCCTTCAAAAGGTGGATGGATAAAACAACTGTGGTACATTCAGACAGTGGAATATTATTCAGCTATATAAAGAAATGAGCCCAAGCCACAGAAAGACATGGAGGAACCTTAAACACCCATTGCAAAGTGAGAGAAACCAATCTGAAAAGGCTACATACTGTATGATTCCAACTACATGACATTCTAGAAAATGCATGGAAACAGTGAAGATCAGTGGTTGTCAGAGGTTTGGGGGAAGGAAGGGGGAATTGGTGGAACATGGGGGATTTTTAGAGCAGTGAAATTATTCTGTATAATACTACAATGGTGGATACATGTCATGATACATTTGTCAAAACCCACAGAATGTACAAGATCAAGAGTGAACCCTAATGTAAACTATAGACTTTACTATATCAGTATTGGCTTATCAATTACAACAAAAGTACTACACCAATGCAAGATGTTAATAATAGGGGAAATTGGGAGTGGGGGTATATGGGAATTCCCTGTGCTCTCCACTCAATTTTTCTACTGTTTTTGTTTTTGTTTTTGTTTTTGAGATGGAGTCTAGCTCTGCCATCCAGGCTAGAGTGCAGTGGTGTGATCTCGGCTCACTGCAAGCTCTGCCTCCTGGGTTCACGCCATTCTCCTGCTTCAGCCTCCTGAGTAGCTGGGATTACAGGCACATACCACCAGGCCTGGCTAATTATTTTTTTGCATTTTTAGTAGAGATGGGGTTTCACCATGTTAGCCAGGATGGTCTCAATCTCCTGACCTCGTGATCCACCCGCCTCGGCCTCCCAAAGTGCTGGGATTACAGACATGAGCCAACGCGCCTGGCCACCCTCCACTCAATTTTTCTGTAAATCTAAAACTTTTCTTCAAAAGTCATAAATTAATTTTGTTAATTCATTATTTCCATTACTGGCTGTATGATCTAGAGCAAGATCTTTAAGTTCTCTAAGCCTTACTTTTCTTTTTTCTTTTCTTTTTTTTTTTTTTTGAGATGGAGTCTCTCTCTGTCACCCAGGCTGGAGTGCAGTGGCACAATCTTGGCTCACTGTAACCTCCGCCTCCCGGGTTTAAGCGATTCTCCTGCCTCGGCCTCCTGAGTAGCTGGGACTACAGGTGCCTGCCACCACGCCCGGCTAATTCTTTGTATTTTTAGTAGAGATGGGGTTTCACCATGTTAGCCAGGATGGTCTTGATCTCCTGACCTCGTGATCCACCTGCCTTGGCCTCCCAAAGTGCTGGGATTACAGGCGTGAGCCACCGCGCTTGGCCTCTTAATTTTCTTATCTACAAAATGAACATAAATGCAGAGTTGGGACTCGGGAAAAAAATACCCCCAAATGAAGGCCTCAGAAACAAAAGTTGTCCTCTGACCTCTCCTGCCCTCCTATCTCTCAGTCCCATTCTCCCCTGAGGCCAGCCATAGAAACTCAAATCTTTCTTCCCCAAAGCAGGCCATAGAAACCAGAATCTCTTTTCCTCAAAGCCAGCCATAAAACCTAAAAATATTACTCGAACTTCCCCTCTCTCTGCCTTTCTGTGTAAAAATTGGCCATAAAGAAATATCTGGGCCTACCATGGTGGCTACCCCTGTAATCCCAGCACTTTGGGAGGCCGAGGCAGGCGGATCACATGAGACCAGAGTTCGAGACAAGCCTGGCCAACATGGCGAAACCCCATGTCTACTAAAAATACAAAAAATTAGCCAGGCATGCACTTGTAGTTCCAGCTGCTTGGGAGGCTGAGGCATGAGAACTGCTTGAACCCAGGAGACAGAGGATGCTGTGAGTCAAGGTTGCACCACTGCACTCCAGCCTGGACAACAGAGTGAGATTCTGTATCAAGAAGAAAAAAAGAGAGAAAGAGCGAAGTGGGGAAGGGAGGGAGAGAGAGAGAGAGAAAGAAAGGCAGGAGAGAAAGAAAGGAAAGAAAGAAGGCAGGAAGGCAGGAAAGAAAGAAAAAGAAAGAAAGAGAGAAAGAAAGAAAGAAAGAAAGAAAGAAAGAAAGAAAGAAAGAAAGAAAGAAAGAGAAAGAGAGAGAGAGAAAGAAAGAAAGAAGGAAAGAAAGAAAGAGAAAGAAAGAAAGAAAGAGAAAGAAAGAAAGAAAGAGGAAGAGAGACGAGAGGGAGGGAGGGAGGGAATGAAGGAAGGAAAGAAAGAAAGAAAGAAAGAAAGAAAGAAAGAAAGAAAGAAAGAAAGAAAGAGAGAAAGAAAAGAAAGAAAGAAATATCTGGTCTCCCTTATTTTGACAGTAGGTCATTAGACTCCCACTCCAAAGAGGGTCCTGCCCCATACCCAGAAGGAAGGAATGCTGCTCAGAGAGGCCAGGAAGAATCCAGGCAGACAGGCCTTGCTGGGTTTCCCCACTCAGTCTATTAGCATTAGATCATACCCTTTTGTCCAATCATATTTCCACACGGCTGTCTATACTTTGTTAAAGCTAAGCCTAAAAATGAACAACTTCCGCTGTCTCTTTGGATCTTCATTCTGAAGGCTGTTATGTACATGTTAGTAAATGTGTATGCCTTTTCTCCTATTAATCTGCCTCTTATCAGTGAGTTTCAGAAATCTTCAGAGAGCAATGGAGTTTTCCCTTGGCCCCTACAGCAGGATCTTGCCTGGCAGCACTGTGGGAATGAGGGCTCTAGCTCAGGGCCTGGCAGCACCGATATTCCGCAGGTATATCCAATATGTCTGTTCAAATGTGGAATACTTCCATGTCAGTTAGTAAATAGCCACCCAGAACATATTCTCCACACAGGCATTTATGCCATCTGCCCAGCCCCTCCCCCTAGATTCCTCCTGCTTCCTCAGGGCCAGCAACTAAAGGGTTATCCCTGGCACAGCAGAGGATCTCAGCTGTCCTATTGGAGCTAAGGCTGGTGACAATTCTAATTGGCCAGTGCCCATACCATATTGTTTGTTAAATATTTGTAATATCATCCCCATACCAATGAAGAGTAAGCCCTTGAGGAGCATTAGTTATTGTTACTAGAATAGCTTTTTATTATTTAGATTTTATGCTTTAAGCACAGTGTTGCTTTTATCAAAAATGTCAATAGCATATGGCTATACATATGTTTTAAAGGAATTTTTTTAACTATGGAAAAACTCTATACCCACAGTGGAAGTTTTTTATGCCAGGGTGAAGTCTGGACTCAAAATGTATGCTGCAGAAATGTAACTGCAGGAGAATGAAAATCAAGGCAGTCAACTGAGGTAATCATGGAGAAGTTTCAATTCAGAAAACTTCTCCATTGCTCTCTGAAGATTTCAGTGATTTCAATGATTACATCATTGTTTTATCCTTAGCGTAACATTAAAGTGTTGTTGGGCAATCACTGGAAATATGAATCTTGATGATACACTGATATAAGTGAACAGCACTGTATCTAATTTGGATGCCTGTTCTTGTTAAATAGAAATTGGATGCTGCCCTCACCAAGAAATAATTAAAGAGACTCATTAGAGCTTGTGACTTCCAAGAAAAAAATGAAGAGAGGTGAGCCATTATCTGGGGTATTTGATGATCTAAACTAGATTATCCAAGAGTTGGGGAACATGCTTTCTTTCCTTAAGAACAGTTCAAAAATGTAGGCCATATTTTTGAGTTATCCAGTACCTTCACCGGGTCTCTTTCCCATTGTCTGTGCTGAACTCCAGGAAGGAGTGTAGGGAAGTGAGCACTGGACGGTGTCAACAATTTTACATGACTACCCATGCCAGCATTATGGTAATCAAAGTTCTCTCTTCATTCCTAGAAACTAGGGAGAGGAGGCTCTTTTTGGTTAGATCAGCAGAGAATAATCTACCACATAGATCAATCCAACTGAATTAGCTCCTCCGTCCTAGTAGAAGAGCTCTAGAATTAGGAGGGACCCCACTGAGAGAATCTTTACAAGGTAGCTCATCCAATAGCCCCATTTAAATGCACCTGGTTATATGTCATGTTCTCACTGTTCCCATATAGCCATTACCAAGGAGTGCATCTCCAACTCACACATGTGTACCACATCTGTCAGACAGAGAAATGTAGCTTCCATTCACTCCTGTTCTCAAATCTGCTTTCAGAAACCCGCGAAGGAATATTGCAGAGCAAAGAACTCTTCAGGAACACCATCTGTTCTTATGCAGAGACTGGCACAGTTTCAGGAGTAGGGTGGGAGGAATAAAGGTAGCATTTTTTCATTAGTTTTACATTTGGAGAAGGCCAGAAAGAAACACAGAGCTGTAGACCCAGGAGAAACTGAGAACGCCATCACACAATTGCTGTCTTTCTAAGATGTCCCCCACAACCTGTGCCGCAGGCCCTGCTTTCACTGTGGCCCACCTTTCATCCCTGATCCACAGTTTGCCTGGGCCCACACTGGATTCTCTCCTTTCATTCTCTCATGACCCTCACTCAGGGTACCATCAGGGAGTTTTCTTCTCCTAATTTTGAGGCTGGCCACTGACACACATTCCTGAATAGGAAGACTGTCCTCCAGGATAGTGTTTAAGTTTGTTTTTCTTCTCTATCTTGAATTGCAAGCATTGTCTATCCTTTTCTGATATGTCTGTGAATAGGCCACTGTGGAAAAAGACTTGGTTCTGATATACTTCTTTTTTTTTTTTTTTTTTTTTTTTGAGACAGGATTCTTGCTCTATTGCCCAACCTGGAGTGCAGTGGTGTTATCAGATCGCCTCTCACTGCAGCCTCGGCCTCCCCGGCCCAAGAGATTCTCCCACCTGAGCCTCCCAAGTAGCTGGGACCTTAGGCACGTGCCACCACACCCAGATAGTTTTTGTATTTTTTGTAAAGACAGGGTCTCTCCATTTTGCCCAGGCTTGTCTCAAACTCCTGGGCTCAAAGGATCCTCCCATCTCAGCCTCCCAAAGTGCTGGGATTACAGGCATGAGCCACTGCGCTTAGCCCTGTTCAGATATAATTCTAAACTATGAAATAAAGTCAACAAAAGCATTGTCTATGATACAGTCACAGCTCTCTGTGGAGGTATGCCTGCTAGTTTGGTGTGTATGTGGTCACATGACTTACCAAAGGCGACCAAGGGGAGCTGAGAATCAGCTAAAACCTCCAGGGTCTGCTGACTGTTTAAGGTAAGTGCCAGCCCGTTGGTGGGTGTCCTGTCACCAAAACCACATCAACAGAGGCTATTTGTGGGTGACTTACCCATTAAGGGGTCAATCTTTGCTCTACTATCCGATTGTTTTAAACGCAGTTTAATATCTGATAGGAGTCATCACTCTTCATTACTCTTTTTTCCTAAATTTTCTTTGATATCTTTATCTGCTGATTCTTCCAAATATCCTTGAAGATAAGTTTGTTCTCTCCTCTTCCCAGAAAATTAGCTAATTTTAAAGGGGAAAACCCCACATCTTCACAACGAAGAGATATGGCTATCACCATCTTAACCATCTAGCAAATTGTAGGGCAGCCTGAATCATATGCCTCTGCAAGCCATACAATATAAAATATACAATATAAAATATGATCTGGGAAGTGTTCTTGACAAAGATGTTTAACCCAAACCTAATCAAGCCTTTTTAGGAGATAGAGACTAGAAGAGCAAGTTAAAAGTACACTATGAAGAGCTCATCAAACACAACCAGGATAGGGAACAAAGGATTGGCCTGATCATTTCAAAAGACTGAAATTATTTTTTAAATTAAAAAAATATATAATAACAAAATTATTTTCAAAAAGCCAAAGACCTGAAAAATAAGGTAGAAGGACTGCTTTATAAGAAAAGAGGCTAGGCTGGGCGCGGTGGCTCACGCCTGTAATCCCAGCACTTTGGGAGGTAGAGGTGTGCAGGTCACTTGAGGTCAGGAGTTTGAGACCAGCCTGGCCAACATGGTGAAATCTCATCTCTACTAAAAAATACAAAAATTAGCCAGGCATGGTAGCAGGCACCCATAATCCTAGCTACTGTGGAGGCTGAGGCAGGAGAATTGCTTGAACCCGGGAGGCGGAGGTTGCAGTGAGCCAAGATCGCGTCATTTCACTCCAGTCTGGGCAACAGAGGGAAACTCCGTCTCAAAAAAAAAAAAAGAAAAAAAAGAAAAGGAAGAAAAGAAAAGAGGCTAAAGAGAGATAGTAACTAAATATAACTTGTCACCCTTGATTAGGTTCTGATTTAAGGGGAAAAAGAGTAATAAATGACACTCTAAAAACAAGAAATGTAAATACAGAATAAATATGAGATGGCTATTGTTAGTTTACTTAGACATAATCACGTTATTGTAGTTCTGCGGGAAAATATCCTTATTTTGAGGAGATGCATATTGAAGTATTTAATGGTAAAGTGTAATGCTGTCTGCAACTCAGTTTCATATGATTCAGCAACAATGCAGAAAAACACAATAAATAATTATATATATGGTATTTATGTATATTGTTATATGTATAGTGGATATATATGTACATACATAGGTACATATAATCATACACACAGAAACACATATATGCATGAACAGACAACTATGAACAATTGTTGTGGTGGATACATTGGTGTTCATTGTATTATTTTTTCCAACTTTTCTGTTTGTTGAAAAACTTTTCATGGCCGAGTGCGGTGGCTCATGCCTGTAATCCCAACACTTTGGGAGGCCGAGGCGGGTGGATCACCTGAGGTCAGGAGTTCGAAACCAGCCAGGCAAACATGGTGAAACCCTGTCTCTACTAAATATAGAAAAAAGAAAAAAGAAAATTAGCCGGGCATGGTGGCTCATGCTTGTAATCCCAGCTACTGAGATGTTTGTAATCCAGCCGAGGCAGGAGAATCGTTTGAACCCTGGAAACAGAGGTTGCAGTGAGCCGAGATCATGCCATTGCACTCCAACCTGGGGGACAAGAGTGAAACTGTGTCTCAAAAAAAAAAAAAAGCATAATAAAATGTTGAGGGTAAAAAGAAGTTTCCAAAATAATTCATTGAGATTTTTATTTGAACTGCATTAAAACAATAAGTTAATTGGAAATAATTAACATACCTATAAAATTGAGTGTTTCCATTAACATGTTTATTTATTCAAGTATTATTTTATATCTCTTAATAAATTATTTTTAGTTTTTTGCATTAATGGGTACCGTATTCATAAGGTTGATAGTAACAAATAGTGAAAGTAATTTACTTTGCAAACAGGCACTGTGTGTTTTTGCTTACTCATTGTAGCCTCTGTTGTACCACAGAGGCTAGAGCTAAAGGGAAACTTCAAGGTCTATCTTATGACTAAAGTATTTCAAATTTGTGCTGTCCATAATACCTTGCAGCCAGAACTACTTTATGTGTTCGATGGGATGGAAGAGAAAAAGGGATCCCAAACTCCATACAGCTGTCATCTTCCAAGCACGTATTTTCTTGGGAACTTGGTATCATGTTTTACAGGAGCCTACTTACTTGGCCACTTCTCTCAAATCCTTGGTGTGTGTTTGGGGGTTTAAAAAGAGGTGATCATACCCATCTTCTCTTCTAGATTCTGAGCCAATCCAAAACAGACAGAAGAAGCCAGATGTAGATGTAATACAATATCAGCTTTGTTTAAGGTAAAGCTGGTGGGTTAGAGAATGCAGCTTGATTCAAGCCTGGACCAGAGCTTCCTATTCTCCCTGACCAACCAGCCAGTCAGAAATTGAACAGTAGAGAACTCAGGTGGAAAACCTCTCTGGTGAGCTTAACCAGGTAGAGGAAGAAGTAGGGAAGAGACCTTCTCTGCTTGCTGGCAGAAAGAGAGAGCGAAGAGGGCACTCGGCTGAGCCATAATCAAACCATTCTCATAGATCTCTCCCTTGCAATGAAGAGTGAGGGAGAGCGTATGTGTCCACCCAGTACTTCATCAACAGGGCAGAAGCATCTTCTGGAGAGCCAAGGAGTTTCCACTCCACAGGATTCATTCCTGTGCTTTCCTTCCTGACTGATTTGTTCCCTGGCAGATGGACTATGGACCTCCATGAGAAGGAAATTCTTAAAGAGGGAAAACTTTTTAGATGAGCTATGTATAATATAAAGGCTTAATATGGAACTGAAATAAAATCAAGTCATTTTTTAATATTCCTGACACTATTAGAGGGTTAATTACCAACATTGTTGCCTTTTTATTAAAGGCTGCCTGTAAAGTTAACACAGAGAAATATAATGATTCAGAAAAGCCAGGAAGTGAGGCTCAGTTTTTCCTCTGATAATCTCACTGAAATACTAGCTGGCTATTTCCCCTAGGTTTCAGCTAAAATGTAATTAAATGGGTAATCATTATGATGAAAGCCAGGCAAGTAAAATGAATATCAAATGAATAGGACTGTGAATTTAAAATAGCATGAGAAAATGCAAACAAATTTTTATCTTGAAATACTCTCTCTCTCTCTCTCTCTCTCTCTCTCTCTCTCTCTCTCTCTCTCTCTCTCCCCCCCCCCCCCCCCCCGTCTCTTTCCCCTATCTTTATTTTAGGAAGAGGAGAGCTGCGTATGGGGAATAGCACATATAACAGAGGGGAAAGATTTACCCAGCATATTAGATTAGGTCCAAGGAACAACACAACTATGAAAATACAGCTGAGTTCTTAAAACCACTGATTAGAACTTGGATGAAATGAATCCACAGATGATTCATCAAAGAGCCCAACTTTTACAAGAGTCTGAAAGAATAAATATTGCAGAGTTGAATCAGTTAGGGACTTGAAACACTCACCAAGAAAAAGACTTAAGCACATTCATAACATTTGATGACTGTAATTTAATAGCAAAATTTTTGTGATGGTTATTTTTATGTGTCAACTTGACTGGGTCACAAGATGTGCAGACATTTGGGCTAACATTATTCTGGGTGTGTCTGTGAGGTTGTTTCTGGATGAGATTAACATCTGAATGGGTAGACTAAGTACAGTATATTGCCCTCATAATGTGGGTGGGCTTTGTACAAGCTGTTGAAAATCTGATGAAACAGAAAGGCTGATTCTCCCTTGGGTAAGAGAGAATTTCCTCCTGCCTAACTGTCTTGAGCTGCGACATCAGTATTTTCCTGCCTTGAGACTCAAATGGGAACATCAGCTCTTCCTCTGTCTTGGGGCTGCTGGCCTTCAGACTGGAACTACATGATCAGCCCTCCTGGTTCTCAGGCCTTCAGACTCAGACTGGAACTACACCATCAGCTCTCCTGGGTCTCCAGCTTGCCGAATGCACATCTTGTCAGCCTCCACAATCATGTGAACTGATTTCTTATGACAAATCTATCTCTGTTTATCTATAGATATAGATATGGACAGAGACATATACAAATCCTATTGGTTCTGTTTCCCTGGAGAACCTTGACTATTACTGGTTTACATTGATATTTGTGTTCAGTGAGACTCTATTGGTGACAAGTGACAAACTACCTCCCATAAGTGGATATTCTGGAGGTGGGTGGCTTAGTTTTACCCCTGGCTTCATACAGTGGTTCAGATGATGACACTGAATCCATTTTCCTGCTCTCTCCATTTCTCAATTCTGCTTTCTTTGGGTTGACTCCATTCTTGCACAGGCTTTTCTCTGTTGGTCACAACATGAATCGTCTAGATTCTCATTCAGGGAAATAAGATGCCCTCACCTGAAGCAAAAGGTTTCATTTTATCTCAGTAGTTCTGATTGAGTCACATGTGATACTGTTGAAAACGTGTGGCCCTGAGCACCTTGCAAGCACCTGCTGGGTGTGCCAGACTGCAGGTCCTATCCCCCTCTTGATACTGAGGAGCTCTGTAGCTCCTCACATAGGCAATTGAGCAGATCAAGGCAACAACTGGACTGCAGCCTGCATGGTGTGGGGGTTGGGGAGGAGGGGAGACTGCCTTATTTATTGCTGGCTGAAATATTCTCTGCTTGCTCAAAATGCACTGAGTCCTCAACCCTGAGTTCCCTCCTGCAACACATCCCACGGTATGAGCAGATGCCATCTGATCCTCTGTGTCAGCCAGTGGAATTGGAGCTTGAGGAACTAGCACAAATATACTAACGTTTTGGCTCCTACTTTTGCTATGCTACATTTTGTGTGTTTGTCTCTGTCAGTGAGTCTTACAACATCTGTCAGCATCCCTGAAATGGTGGCAGGCCAAATTGTTATCTTGCAAGGAGGGTAACATCTCAGACTTTTCATAGCTCTTGAGAGATACACTGATTGACTTAAGCCATCCTTTGCTCCAACTCAAATCCACTGGGAACACATTGAGAAGCAGGGGAGGTGGTCCTGCAGAAGAGGATTTACAGATCCCAGAAGAAGGGCAAATAGAAGGTGGGCAGGGGAAAAAATGGGAATTATGCCAATTTGATATGACCCTCACGTGCCCTACCTGTTAAACAAAGATGCAGTACCTCTTAATTCAATTCCACACTCAGGCAATTCCACTTTCAGTTGTGTTCACTGGGCCCAGGACCCCATGAAGACTAACAGAATTCCTTAGGACTCAGGCAAAGTGCCAAGGATCCCACAGCCACCACAGATCATCTAGGAGAAGAACTCCTATGATGAGGCCGAAAATGTGATTTCTTTCCTTCTTTTTATTTATTTTTTTATTTGAGACAGGGTTTCGCTCTGTCACCCAGGCTGGAGTGCAATGGCATGATCTCAGTTCACTGCAACCTCCGCCTCCCAGGTTCAAGTGATTCTCCTGCCTCAGCCTCCCGAGTAGCTGAGATTACAGGTGCACACCACCACGCCTGGCTAATTTTTTTTTTTTTTTTTTTTTTTTTTTTCAGTAGACATGGGGTTTCACCATGTTTGCCAGGCTGGTCTCAAACTCCTCACCTCAGGTGATCTGCCCTCCTCAGTCTCCCAAAGTGCAGGGATTACAGGCATGAGCCACCATGCCTGGCCTAAAATTATGATTTTAATCACAAACAACATTTACAGAAGTTAAACTAGAAGCAAAAGTATTTCACCCAATCCCACCTCCTCCAAACAACCAAATTGATTTTGTTTGAATCCCCTTCTAGTTCTTTTGCATATGCATACATACTGCTTATGAAATTATAGTATAAGCATAACTTATTAATATTCTTCTTAATTATATTAGTGTTAGTACTGTTACTACTTAATATTATTAGTACATTTAACCTGTATCACAGATATTTCCCCATAGTGTTTTTGTTGATCATTTTCATTTTAATTAGTGCAAAAAATGCAATGCCAAAATATAAGTAGTTACAGTCATCCCTCCTTACCCATGGGTTTGCTTTCTGCAGCTTCAGTTACCTGCTGCCAACCACTGCCCCAAAATAGGTGAGTAAAGTACAATAAGATATTCTGAGAGAAAGACAGAGCCCACATTCACATAACTTTGATTATAGTATTAGGTTGGTGCAAATGTAATCATGGTTTTTGCCATTGAAAGTAATGGCAAAAGCCACGATTACATTTGCACCAACCTAATATATTGTTTTAATTATTCTATTTTATTACTGTTTTTGTTAATCTCTTACTATGCATAATTTATAAATTAAACTTTGTTACATGTTTGTATGTGTAGGAGTAAACCTAATATCTATAGGGTTTGGTACTATCTGTGGTTTCAAGCATTCATTGGGAATCCTGGAACATATCTCCCATGGATAAGGGAGATCTACAGTATATACAACTTATTTACCATTTCCTTCTAAATAAGTACATCAATTATGTTCCTTATTCCCCATAAAATAGAAAGTGTAAATAACATTTGTATAACTTTAGGCTTTCCTTACTTTATTTCATGTGATTCTGGCAACTCAGTGAAGATAGCTTTGGGTTTTTCCCCCTATTTACAGTTGAGGAAAGAGAGGCTCAGAGACAGTAAGCAAGCCACAGCATGATGACCTGAGCCCAGTGTTTCCAGTGCTTCTAGATTCCACTGGCTTTGCATATGTTGGTGCTGACAGACTTTGACTTTTAGAAGCTAACTGCCCAGTAACTGCTACCAGTGACTCAAGTGTCTGTGTCAATAAGCAGGGCTCTCTGGCTTTATGAGTAAAGGAACTGCACAGGTATCGACTTGGGTTAATTTGAAGAATCTGTAGAAGGCTTTTATGCCTGCAAATATCTCATCCATCACGGTCTGTAATTCCTCCCTTTAAAAGGCATGTCTCTGAGTTTTGGTGACCTTTTGGTCTTTAAGAGGTCCTTATTAAAATCTCTAGGTTATTGAGAAGGGTGACTGTATAAGAGAGGTTTTGTTAACCCCAGTAATAGGATTGTTTTCCACTGCTTGATATTAGTGGCCTAAGCAGACATCTGTTGTTTCGTTCCTCAGCAGCCCCACCCTCATATAATGGAATTGCCTCTTCCTCCCAATGACATAGTTATTATGAAGGCAGCCATGTTAAAATAATGTGATCACTGGTGGTGATCTTTCTCGTGTCAGAATTGAGTCAACTGAGACCTTTCCCGAGACTTTGTAATTGAGACACAGAGATAAAATGCTTTCTCTTTCCCTCTCACTCATTAAAGGGCAATTTCACAGTCCATAGAGAACACAAAAGCAGAAACTCTGCACCCAGTGAATTGTGAAGATGAGAATTGAACCTGTCCTAAGAAACCTGCAAAGGCACAAATTTAGGACATTTCAAAGGCTGTGGAATTATCAAATAAATGTTAGTAATTGCTCACATGTGACCGTAACCTGTGAACATTTAATTTATCATTTATCCAATAAACACCAAACACCTATTGAGAGGCTCTTGTGCCATGCCCTGGAGACACGGATGAAATCATCCCTTTCTCAGGAAGCTCGCAGGCTGGTGAGAGAGCCAGACAAGCAAATGAATTATTTCAAAGCACATGCGCAGCCCTCTGAGGATGATAAATGTGTTAGGTACTGTAACCAAGGAAAGCACAGTTATGAAAGACAGGAGTGAGTGAGAGGTCAGGTGGACTTCAGGGAGGAGTGAACTTTTGAGGGGTTCCTGCTGGCTGAGGGGGAATTTTCCCATGGGAAGACGCTGGATGTGTAGACTATGAGTCTGGCATATACAACGGTCCCTGTAAGGAGAGGAGGATGTGCCAGGGAAGGGAGAAGTAAAAGAGTGTGGTGTTTGGGGGTGTGCCTTACAGTCTGCAGAGTTGAATCACAAGATTCATGGCAGGGAATAGGAAGCACAAAGACAGGAAGGACCATCCTGGGATGGGCCTCATGATCTGGGCTAGTGGAGTCTGTGCTATGTGTGAGGATGATTACTTTGAAAGCAAAGAGGTGGCAGGCAGAGAATGAGGGGTCATGTGCACGGGTTCTAAGGCAATACAGCCCTAATGCCCTGTAGCTGTGTGCCCTCAGCAAGCAGGTGCAGGTGCCCCTTTCTATGCTGCAATTCCCTCAACTCCAAATTAACACTCAGGCAGTATGAGTGCACACAAAATCACGCACACCAAAATCCTCATGCCCCATAGGCTTCTTGGGAGAATCGAATGCCATGTGTTTAAAGCACTTAACACAGAGCCTGACAAATGTACTGACAGCTTACTACAGGATAAATACCGTTAGTAATTTGAGTAGCAGTGGGTTGATATGTGCAAAAGGAAGTAAAGAAGCTTAGGGTGTATCTAGGATCAAACAAGGAGGAAAAAACTATCACCTCCCCTGGAGAGAAAGCTTTAAGATCCTGTTCATTGGAGAACACTTTGAGTACAGATGCTCCTCAGCTTATGATGAGATTATGTCCTGATAAACCCATTGTAAGTTGAATATATAGTTAAACTGAAAATGCATTTAATACATCTAACCTATAGAATATCATAGCTTAGCCTAGCTTACCTTAAACCTGATCAGAACACTTGGGTTACCCCACAGTTGGGCAAAATCATCTAACACAAAGCCTATTTTATAATAAAGTGTTGGATATCTCATATAATTTAATGAATACTATACTTAAATGAAAAACAGAATGGTGTATGAGTGCCTGAAGTATGTTTCTACTTAATGCATGTCACTTTTGCATCATTGCAAAGTTGAAAAACCATAAGTCAAGCCATCAAAAGTCGGGGACTGTCTGTACTCCTTGCTAATTATCTGGAAAATGTGTTTCTAGGTAGCTGGGTATGAAGAAAAAAACAATTAGGAAAAACTTTAGTGAAATACTTTTCATTGAATATTCTATGTAAAACACAGGATAGAAAACCAAAGACATCAGCCTGGGCAACATGGAAAACCCTGTCTCTACAAAAAAAAAAAAAAAAAAAAAAAATTAGCTGGGTGTGGTGGCACATGCCTGTAGTCCCAGCTATTTAGGAGGCTGAAATGGGAGGATCACTTGAGCCTGGGAGGTCAAGGCTGCAAGTGAGCTGTGATTATGCCCCTGCGCTGGAGCCTGTGCTACAGAATGAGACTCTATCTGAAAGAAATGAGCAAAAAAAAAGAAAAGAAAAGAAAACCAAACAGAGTGTAAAGGAAGTTAAGATACATCTTGCTCACATTGCTTTGGCTTCAATTACACAAGGGAAAAACCAAGATTTTCTTTTTTCTCTCATAACCCAACAGAAGATCATGATAGCCTTTGATGCAGATGTGTTTAGCTGATTAAAGAGTTTGCAAAATGTGGGGACTTTTTCACTTTGTCATATTTGCAGACAACCTGGAAAGAAGATTTATGCACTGGAAAGTAGTGTGGGAACTTTTGTTGTGGGATACTTTCTAGAAGCCGAAATATTAAATCCATTCACTTATAAGCAAACACAGTGTCTACAAGATGCCAAAACACGCAAGCATGTGTTCATCAATTAGATGACAGAGGGATATTTGGCCAATGAATCAAAGTTTTGTTTTACATGATGCCAAACATCTGGATATTTGGAAGCAGCTGTTTGGCATCTTGTGGACTAAATAGAAGCACTTTTGTACCACTGTGGCCTGAGATTGCCTTCTGTCCAATCTGCTCACTGTCCCTAAGATCCAGTCCCAAGAACACTGTTGACCACACAGGGCCAGTACTGGTTTGAGCCAAGATCAGGCAGTAAAATTGATGGAAACAGAATTGCTCACTGGGATGCAGGCCTGAGGAGTAGGCATGGAACAGACTTATTAGGGAGACCAAACCTCCTAAATGCACCAGTTCATGAGACCACAGTGCACTGGAATAAGACAGGAAGTAGTGTGGAAATCAGGGTCAGAGGGGTACCTCCTCAGACAAAGGCACTTGAGGGAGGAGGCTGCATCAGGAGCTCACACTTGGCTGCATTTTCATTATTCACTGAGTCAGCAGCATGGTGTAGTAGAAAGCATGGGACCAAGATGTAAAGGACCTGAGCTCTGCTCCTGGCTCCACCACCAGGTTGCACATGACCATGAGCAAATGCAAATGCTCTGAAACTTGGCAATGTTTTTTCTTTTCTTTCTTTCTTTCTTTTTTTTTTTTTTTTTTTTTTTGAGATGGAGTTTTGTTCTGTCTTGCAGGCTGGAGTGCAGTGGCATGAGCATGGCTTACTGTAGCCTCAACCTCCCAGGCTCAAGCAATCCTCCCACCTCAGCCTTCATAGTAGCTGGGACTACAGGTATACATCACCATGCCTGGCTAATTTTTTTGCATTTTTTGTAGAGATGGGGCCTCACCATGTTGCCTAGGCTGGTCTCGAACTCCTGGGTGCAAGCGATTTGCCAGCCTCAGCCTCCCAGAGTTCTGGAATTATAAGCATGAGCTGCCACACCCAGCCAACTCAGCATTCTAATAGGTAAAATAGAGCATCATAATTATCTCTCAGAGCTGCTGAGAAGCTTGAATGAGATTATTGACATACTTTTTAAATGGCAAAATGATATCAAATGTAAATTATCATTAATAGTTCTTATATTCTCACTTTTTGATATGTAAAATTGAAATGATGAACTAATAAAATTATGGGGAGACTACAGAAAGGATGTTTCAGAGAGTTCTTGGTGAGAATGGGTTGTCTTGAAAGGTACTGGGAAAACTTAGTGGAGAAAAGCTTGAGGTTTAGAGAAAAACAGAGGTGGGTTTGAACTCCAGCTTCAGTGAAGTTTAGCAGTGGATCTTTGAGCATAAAAAGTGGATCTTTTTTATGCTTTGCTTTCCGGATTTGTAAAGGGGACTAAGAATAGCAGCTACCTCAGAGGGCTGTTGAGGGTTAAGGAAATAATGCCAGCAAAGTATCATACGCGGCTCACAGCAAATGCAAAGGTGCTGCTGGTATTACGATGAGTGAGCCTCCTGTCATTGAAAGGGTTCAAGCAGAGGTGGAATCTCAACCCCTCCAAGGGTTTGATGGTGTATGAGGTCGTTTAACAAAATGATTTCTAAGTTTCCTGCAAATTCAAAGTTTCTATGAGTTTCTCACATAAAAACACAATTACGGGAAATAAACAAGAAATGAATTTGATCCTTGGAAAAGATCATTTCACTTGTGTGCAAAATGAGAAACTATATATGACTGTAACCCCAAAAACTATCCTCCAAAGCTGTGTCTTTTTACTGGCACTGAATCCAGCCTATTATTTAGCAAAGCCCAACACAAACAACTAGTGAGCTTGTTCACAATGCCCTGGGCTTTGAAGTGTCAAGATTTCAACTTCTCCTGCTCTTGTTGGGTTGGCCCCAGTACAAGATAAGGGACCAGAGGATCTTGTTGGCAAGTTAAAGAATGAAAACAGTAACAGCAGTTATCAATGTAACTGTGCCATTAGTCCTAACTGAAGTTGTAATTGCTGGCAGACAGATAAAATTATTTGGGGCAGAGCTATCAATGTTTCTCACTTTGAAAAAAATAAAACAAAACACCATTCTTCCTATTAAACTCATCTTTTAGGAGAAAGGAAAGACAGCTCAGCTTTGGACACTGAGCCAAGGGGAAGTGCAACCCAGCTTTGGACGCTGAACCCTTATTGAACTGGAGAGAGAAAAATTCTCACTAGCAAATGTAAATTTCTCTTTGTCAGAGGTAAAGTTAACTGAAAACTTCAATAAAAACAAATAACTTTTAAATATTTTTCTTCATATATTCTTGGCTTCACATTCATTTTTTGAGCACCAACTATGTGCTGAGCACATTGCTAAGCCTTTTGCATGCTCTGCTAGGCATGCTCCATTTGCTTTTCCAGATTGACTTTTCCTCCTGGTCTGGCACAAGCTGACCTTTCATAGATGACATCATTTGAGCGCCACTGACTGGTTCATAGTTGAGCATGACTACTGGGAGGCAACAGTTAGAAGGACAGGAGGCAAAAGAGGCTAGTTTATTCATCCCCAGCCTGAGCTTCGGGTACTGAAAATTCAGGACCTGTATTAGGCTATTAGTAGCCCCGGGGTAGCTTACAACCCTGTGTGACTTCCCTTAACCCTGCTCACACTTTTGTAACTAATCCATCAAACAGATGGCCCTTTAGAGTGTGCCATCTGTTTTTTGTTGTTTTTTTTTTTTTTTTTTTTTTTCTGTAAACTGACTGATGCATGTGATTATTTCTGATGGACTATAACCAGAAATGACATAGTCACTTTGAGGCCAAAGTAGTAAAAAGCCAGTGTGGCTCCTCCATTCGTCAGGAAGTAAAAGCCTCTTAGATGTTAGATTGCCATTTGGAAGAGGCCCAGGTCCTTGATCACTTTTGGAGGAGAGCCACCTTTTCCTCCCACCCTCAACTGTGACGTAAGCAAGAAGTAAATTTTTGTCAGATTAAGCCGCTGAAATTTTGGGGTTCACTTGTTAATGCAGCAGAGCCTATCTTATCCTGACTAATTCTCTCATTTAATCCTTATAACCTCCTTATGAAGTAGATACTTACATTAACTCTCATTTTATAGATGAGAAAACTGAGATGTTATGAGAAAACTGAGATGCAGAGAACTTAAGTAACTTGCAACCAGACCAGAAGGAACAGAGCTGTGCTCAAACTCAGGTCTTTCTGACACTAAAGTCCAAACTCTTAACAGAAGATAGCATGGTTTTCCCCTAAACCACACTCTTTTGTGTGGCATGGAAGGTATGTCTCTTCTTCACACTTAGGAAAATGCACTTGCTGTCAGTGAATCTTGCAAATGGCATGAGACCAGAACAGGCATACTGGTCGGGCAAAGCAGTTGATCCAGCAAATGTTTACAGGACTGTCCTAAAGCCTGGAAACTCATAACTAGCCCTGTAATATCCTTGCTTAGCTCCCTGACCTGGAAAAGAGGGATATAGGATTTACTTTCTTGCCTAAAGCTTATGACATTATCTCTGTGTGAGTATCATACTTTTCCATTTTCCTCTGATATAAAAACAGCCCTTCTCGGCTGGGCAGAGTAGCTTATGCCTGTAATCCCAGCACATTGGGAGGCCAAGTTGGGTGGATCACCTGAGGTCAGGAGTTTGAGACCAGCCTGACCAACATGGTGAAACCCCATCTCTACTAAAAATACAAAAAATTAGCTGGGCGTGGTGGCGGGCACCTGTAATCCCAGGTGCTCAGGAGGCTGGAGCAGGAGAATCACTTGAACCCAGGAGGCGGAGGTTGCAGTGAGCTGAGATCGCGCCACTGCACTCCAGCCTGGGCGACAAGAGTGAAACTGTCTCAAAACAGAAAAAAAAAAAAAAAAAGGAAAGAAAAGAAAGCAGCACTTCTCTCTTTGTTGTGCCTGTTGAGTACATTTCTTTAGAGAGACTAGGGGCTCATTTATAGCTATTTATTTTAAAAATAAATATGACTCAGTGCACTTCATGCTACTGTATTGTAGATTTTAAAATGGTAAGAATGGTAAATTTTAAGTTATGTGTATTTTACCACAATAGACTCTTCTGTTCAATCTTAGCTTTTGATTGATTAAGGTACAGAATTGCACCTTTGCCATGGATTATTTGCTTTGGAAAATACATGTCCTGTGCATTTTCAAGGTTTCATTGTCAGCTGGAGGAAACAGGCTTTGTCATTTGCAGGAAAAAATTATTGACTGTAGGTCAGATCAGTTCCTTGCATTCAACAATAATGACTGTTTTTCTGTTACCAAAGGAAATTCAGCTACACTGTGACTTCTGAAATTTTGTGCATAGGAAGGAAAAGCCAAAGGGGTGCTTGCTGGCCCCAGCCGGAAATGTGACCTATTGAGCTTTCCTAAGGCGATGAGGTCAGAGAAGTCCTTTATCCTCCTAAGCTAGATGTAGTAAGCCTCAGCAGTTTGCATTCTATGGTTTTGTTGAGGATGAACTGGAAGACTCAAATTCTGACTCAAATGCTCTGTACATTTTCCCATAATCATTTTGTACTGGCTTCTTTCACTGAGCTTTCAATGGATCTGGAGTAGGACTTTGTGTATGGAAACCTTCCTATCCTATTTATATTTTCTTTGACATGATGATGGTTCTTGGAATAGAATGCAGGAATTTACTTTGGAAAGGCCAACAGCCCTATTTCGAATAGTGTCTGAACCAATACATATTTGCCTAGAATCCTTTAAAGAATGGACATGTTGGGTAAAGTGGGAGTTTGGGGTCAGATTCTCTGTGTGGTGTCTGAAGATCAAATACACAGGGAAGGAGACTAGACTGTGGTGGCTTCCACATCTATGATTCACTCTCTATTTGGCCTGTCCGTGCCTCGGTGGTCAATGTGTCCAACAGACCATGCCAAAGGATTGCCTTTTCCCCATTTTGTACTTAGGGATGACATGTTTTAAAATATTCATGCATTTCTATAAAGAGGATGAGAACTGTCAAGCCAGTATGAACCTCTTATTTTACAGCTTAGGCACTACTTATCCTCCACTAACCAACCCGATTCACTTCACACCCTGTTCCTGCCCTGCTCTGTTCCCCAAGAACCCCACATATATTACATCATGGGACTCCCTTGCAGGTAAATTTGGCCAACCTTATTCTTCATCGAGGGGAGAATGAGGTCAGGGTACTTCTCACCTACCACCTGCTTCCTTGCTTTGGCACCATGGTCTGGCAGGGTCCAAGGATTTCCTCTAATGTGGCTTCAGCACCTGTTGTGTGGTCCCCCTTGATGGCTCCAGGTTTCACCAGGTTCCCAGCCCTTCAGACCCAGATGTGGCAATGACTTCCTGCTGTGCTTGTCTCTATATGTTTCTAGACCCGCTTTGGGTCTCTTAAGCCTGCCTGTGGAAACAGTTCTGTCCTTCAAATCTCTAAGTCTCGAGAGAGGCGTGCTCTCTGCAGCCTGCAGAGGCCTTGGCTAAGGGATTTTTAGTTCCAATGAGCCCTTGCCTTTTTGGGTCAAAGTTCTTGATGCCATGAAGTTGTAACTGTATAACCTGGAGACTTGTAGAGCCTTGGGCCACTTTTAATGTTTTAATATTGACAGTCCTATAGTTTGTGGCAAAGAAATTTTACCCTGAAAGATATTATCTAACCCCTTGCTACCCAAAGTATGACCTGTAGACCAGCAGCGTTGTCCTTGCCTGGGAAATGCAGATGCTGAGGCTCCACCTCAGACCTACTAAGTCACAGTCTGCATTTTAACAAGATTCCAAGCCACTAAGATGCACATTAACATTCTTTTTTTCTTTTTTTTCTTTTTTCTTTGAGATGGAGTCTCACTTTGTTGCCAAGATGGAGTGCAGTGGCATGATCTCAGCTCACTGCAACCTTCGCTTCACGGGTTCAAGTGATTCTCCTGCCTCAGCTTCCCAAGTAAGCTGGGACTACAGGCACATGCCACCACGCCCAGCTAATTTTTGTATTTTTAGTAAAGACGGAGTTTTGCCATGTTTGCCAGGCTGTTCTCAAAACTCCTGACCTCAGGTGATCTGCCCTGGCCTCCCAAAGTGCTGGAATTACAGGCGTGAGCCACCGCGCCCGGCCAAGAGGCACGTTATTATTTAAGAAGTACTCATGAAACCCACAGATTACTGAGATCATTGAATATTACTCCACAGGAGGATCCTAGCTCTGAAAGGGCTATTTCAACAGGAGAGTGGGGCATTTTGTGAAGTAGCCCAATGATTGCTTTGTGTACTCCAGGCTGAGGAAAGCAGAAAAAATTGGGGTTGTGTACCCTTTTAACACTCTTTCCTTTCAGATATCTCAAGTAATCCTGTTCAGTTTTCCTTCTTTAGCCTAACTCTTAAAAAAAAAAAATCTAAAAAAGTCATTCTCTCTATAGTATAAATTAGTGGGAAGATCCATTTTATATTCAATCAAAAGCAAACATTATCATTATTTTTTTTTCAAGATGGTGTCTTGCTCTGTCGCCCAGGCTGGAGTGCAGTGGCACGATCTCAGCTCACTACAACCTCTGCCTCCTGGGTTCAAGTGATTCTTCTGCCTCAGCCTCCTGAGTAGCTGGAATTACAGGCACGTGCCACCACGCCCAGCTAATTTTTTTGTATTCTTAGTAGAGATGGGGTTTCACCATGTTGGCCAGCCTGGTCTTGAACTCTTGACCTCGTGATCTGCCCACCTTGGCCTCCCAAAGTACTGGGATTACAGGCGTGAATCACTGGGCCCGGCCCCAAACCAAACATTATTTAAGTGTCTATTATGCACCAAGCAGTACTATACAGCAAGAAATGATAAACCAGCAATGGAAAAAGAGAAAAGTGGTGGGAAGAATCAAGAAATATTTAAAAAGTGAAATTGCCAGAATTTAGTAATGGGTGACATGATACTAGGGTAGGAGTTGGGCTTGAAGGAAAGTGTGGAGATAAGATATTTTCTGAATCTTTAGCCTGTGTGGTTGGTGTTGGCGGTGATGCTGATAACATAAATGAGATAAGAAAGATGAAAGGAGAAGAAGCAAGTTTGGGAAGATGACATACTGAACTAGACATTTAGTGGGCATTTAGATGTATGAACCTGAAGCTTAGAAAATTAATAAAAATGAGGAACTAACCAGGAAATATATGATTGATCCGGAGCTGCAGTGGTGGAGTGGGAGAGTGAGTGGCTTGTTCCTCTAAATTCAAGCATATAATAAAGGAAATGCCCTCCTAATGATCTGCAAGTTTGAGAAATCTCAGGTCACCTCTGCACCTTGTTTACCCCCCTTGGAGCAGGTCCCAGGCACTCAAAGCTCTTATTATGCTAGGGCGCTTCCTCCCCCTGCACCGCCTCTTGAGGATCCTCTCTCCTGCCAGGATGAGACTGGGATGTGATTGCCCCAGCTTCCCATTCCTTGACATTCCTGGGCACAGCACATACAACTTTGGTTTTTCACATGAATCTTTATAGGAAATAAGAGAACAAGAGATGTCAGAGCAAGAACCAAAGCAGTCTCTTGTGTAGTATTTCTATTAGGAGTAATTAGATCTTCTGAACAACTCAGCTTGGCACTTTTCCTGGACACCAAAAGTGCCACTTGGGAATTAAATGGGAACGGAAACATGTTGGCTGACTCTATTGAGGGTAAATACAAAGGAAATCCTAATAATGAAAATGATGTTATGTGTTTTCTTCCAGGATTAATAGGTTGCTCTCTGTTTTTGTTTTGTTTTATTTTGTGTGTGTGTGTGTGTGTGTGTGTGTTTTTTAGATTTGTTTAGTTTTGGGTTTTTTTTTTTTTTCCTGTATTCTTACTCACTTTTCTCTGGGGACCAAACCTCAGCTATTGTATAGAATCCCATGGATTCAGATTTCAACCTGTGAGGTCTCTTCATTGCTTTGGAGAATGAAATCGGAGACTCCAACCTTAGGCATTCTGAAAACAAGGCAACAGAACTCAGA
The DNA here is from genome assembly GCF_000001405.40 of Homo sapiens. Lineage (NCBI taxonomy): Eukaryota > Metazoa > Chordata > Mammalia > Primates > Hominidae > Homo > Homo sapiens. Next base: position 46,516,737 of record NC_000013.11, on the reverse strand, counting down.
TAAATGAATTCCAAATGCTACCCTGTGCGTGACGAATAACAATTCCTTACACTAAACCAGATTTAGGATTTATGTGACATTTTGTGCTGATAAATGAAATGTCACTAACTGGGCAAATGGCTTGTGGGTTCTCTACTTTTTTCTCAAATAATATCAATGTTCATTTTTCTCTTCTTTTTGATAAAGAAAGGGAAAATTTGACCATCAGGCCTGCAGTATTAGGCTGGTACAAAATATTTTCTCTACGTGCTGCAGAAGGGAGCAGAGTCCTTTAGTTTTACTCTTTAGCCTGCCTTAGAAGACTGTGTGTAGCACAAAGTAAAGCTGGTAATTTTTTTCAACGAAATTCAGTAGTAAAAAGACTAATCTGGACCACAGGTTCACTCAGTTAGCAATCTTCTACCCTCAAGTGCCAGACTTCCAGGTGAAAGTCATGTATCTTGAATTTATCAGAGTAATTTGTTGTTGGAATATGACCTTGGTTTGGGAGAAGACTTCAGGGAAAATCTTTGGAATTGGTCAAATTAGAGGCAAACATTGCCTGTTACATTTGATTGCTAGAGATAACTGGTGGATTTTCCTATAACAGCAAAAATTAGTGCAATTTCCTTCCATGTTTCTTTCAATAACATCCTTGGACATCTGTGATAAACACATATTATGCTTGGTGTGGAGAGATTCTCACCCTTGGGAAATATAGTTTCTTGGCAGGAGACAGATACATAGTGATGGTAACAATATGATGAGTGATGTAATAGAATTACATGGAAAGGGCCATGGGGGCATGAATTAGAGAAGTTGTACTTTCGTGAGGAGATGATGTGAGTAGTAAAGCTTCACAGTGGAGGTGACAGTGAAGCAGGGAGTGAAAGAATGAGCAGGACTGTGGGAGTTGGCATGGGAAGGGAAAGAGTCAAGGGGAACAGAGCGAGAAAAGCACGGGTTTAAGGCAAGTGTGTGGCTTGGCTCACGTCTGTAATCCTAGCACTTTGGGAGGTTGAGGCGGGTGGATTGCTCGAGCCCAGGAGTTTGAGACCAGCCTCGGCAACATGATGAAACCCTGTCTCTGCTAAAAAAATTATTAAAAAGAGGGGCGCCTCTGCCCGGCCGCCCCTACTGGGAAGTGAGGAGCCCCTCTGCCCGGCCAGCTGCCCCGTCCGGGAGGGCGGTGGGGGGGTCGGCCCCCCGCCCGGCCAGCCGCCCGGTCCGGGAGGGAGGTGGGGGGGCCAGCCGCCCCGTCCGGGAGGTGAGGGGCGCCTCTGCCCGGCCGCCCCTACTGGGAAGTGAGGAGCCCCTCTGCCCCGCCACCACCCCGTCTGGGAGGTGTGCCCAACAGCTCATTGAGAACGGGCCAGGATGACAATGGCGGCTTTGTGGAATAGAAAGGCGGGAAAGGTGGGGAAAAGATTGAGAAATCGGATGGTTGCCGTGTCTGTGTAGAAAGAAGTAGACATGGGAGACTTTTCATTTTGTTCTGCACTAAGAAAAATTCCTCTGCCTTGGGATCCTGTTGATCTGTGACCTTACCCCCAACCCTGTGCTCTCTGAAACATGTGCTGTGTCCACTCAGGGTTAAATGGATTAAGGGCGGTGCAAGATGTGCTTTTTAAACAGATGCTTGAAGGCAGCATGCTCGTTAAGAGTCATCACCAATCCCTAATCTCAAGTAATCAGGGACACAAACACTGCGGAAGGCCGCAGGGTCCTCTGCCTAGGAAAACCAGAGACCTTTGTTCACTTGTTTATCTGCTGACCTTCCCTCCACTATTGTCCCATGACCCTGCCAAATCCCCCTCTGTGAGAAACACCCAAGAATTATCAATAAAAAAATAAATTTAAAAAAAAAAAAATTATTAAAAAAAAAAAAAGATAAGGTAAGTGTGTATGGTGTATGGTTAGGGTAAGGGGTGTATGAGTGTATGAAAGGGAAGGAATAGGAGGACTGGGACCAGATTGTAATTGTCTTGTGGGTCAAGCCAAGAAGTTTAGATGTTATCTTAGAGGTAGTCATAAGCCACTAAGTGGATGTTAAGCAGGTAAGTATTGCCTCATTTTCAAGAACACATCCAGAACTTCTATTATTAAGAGAAGAAAATCCCCATAGGATCTTAATATCTGAGGTTCACCTTCCCTTTTGAGTGAGTCCCCAGTGGTCAATACCAATATTTTAGGCAAATCTCAGAGATCTCTAGACCAAGCTGGAGAGAGGGCTCTTCCAATGACTCAGTGATTCTCTAAGCTCTGACAAGGACATTAAACAAGATTATAATTCAATGATTAACTGAATCAAAAGAACATTCAACAAGATATTACTAAACTCTCATTCTACAGAAATAAACAAAAGATAGAATAATCCAGTTTATAAAATGGGGCTTACTTTCAGGATGTGCAGGTTTGGCCCCATCCAGTACAAGGTCTGTTCTTTTTGGGTGTGGACGAGAAGTGCACCAATATACTTCTGTGCAGATGTACTTTTGTGAATGGGGGTGAGGTATGGAGAGACTAGAGACGGGGAGAAATGTTAAGCGGGTACTTCCATGGCCCCGGAGTTGGATGTATTGTCTTTGCGTAACTTCCAACAAAGGGACGGGTCCCTAATAACAATGTCTGTGCTGTGTAACCCTGTTCTCAGCCACAATGGATTGTTTTAGGGGAATTCTTCTCATCAAAGTAAACCAGATTCCTTTACTTGAAAATTTGAAACTTGGAAGAGTCACAAAGACTGAAGATCCTTTGAGCTAGTTCGGTAATAGCAGAGCTTTAGAGAGATGCTGCTGAGCTCCTTGAGGCTGTCTTGCTTTCTGCCCTCTGAAGTCTTGATTGTTAATTTCTTCCTAAGCTTCAATTAGAAGCATTAGTGTCCTTTGTAAAACCTTAAGCAATTAATTAATTTTTATGAGTGAGCAGTAGAAGACCCTATACAAATCTGTGAAGTATAACGATAGACATATAGACCAATGGAATCGAATGGAGAGTCCAGAAATAAATTCTCACATTTACAGTCAATTGATTTTCAACAAAGATGCTAAGACAATAAAATAGGGCAAAGAATAGTCTTTCCAACAAATGGTTCTGAGCTAAGTGAATATCCACACACAAAATAATGAAGCTGCACACCTACCTCACACCATAGAGAAAAATTAACTCAAAATTGATCAGAAACCTGAATGTAAGAGCTAAAATTATAAATCTCTTAGAAGAAAGCCTAGGCATAAAACATTGTGGTTTTGAATTAGGTGACTGTTTCTTAAATATAAAACCAAAAGCACAAGCATCAGAATAAAAACAGATAAACTGGACACCAACAAAATTAAAAACTTTTGTGCTTCAAAGGACACCATCAAGAAAGTGAAAAGACAACTTATAAAATAGGAGAACATTTTTGAAAATCACATATCTTATAAGAAACACATATTTAGAATCTATAAAGAACTCTTACAACTCGATAATAAAAAGCCAAAGTATCCTACTTAAAATGGGCGAAAGATTTGAAAAGACATCCCCCAAAGAAGACGTACAAATGGCCAATACACACACAAAAAGATGTGCAAAAGATGATTATTAATCATCAGGAAAATATAAATCAAATTAACAATGAGATCCCACTGCACACCCACTGGAATAATCTAATCAAAAAGAAACTAATAGATGTCAGCAAGGATGTGGAGAAATCAGAACCCTCCTACACTGCTGGTGGGAATAGACAATGGTGCAGTCACTTTGGGAAACAGGCTGGCAGTTCCTCAAAAGGCTAAACATAGAGTTACCGTATGCTCCTATAATTCTTCTCCTAGGTATATACCCAACAGAAATGAAAACATGTGTCCATGCAGAAAATTATACATGAATGTTCATAGCAGCATTATTAATAATAGCTAAAAAGTAGGAACAACCCAAATGTCCATCAACTGAAGAATAGATGAATAAAATGTGGTATATCCACATGATACAATATTATCTGGCAATAAAAAGAAATTATGTACTGGTACATACCACAACATGAATGAACCCTAAAAATATTATGCTAAGTAAAAGAAGCCAATTACAAAACACGACGTATTATATGATTCCATTTATATCCAATGATCATAATAGGCAAATCTATAGAGACAGAAAGTAGATCAGTGGTTGCTTAGGGCTGAGGGGAAGAGGAGAGAGAAGTGTGTTGGGGGTAACTGGGTAGGGACTGCTAGTGGATTTCTTTTTGCAGTGATGAAAATGTTTTAAAATTGATTGTGGTGATGGTTGCACGTATCTTGAATGTACTAACAAACACTGAGCTGGTTTACATGGTTGAATTTTATGAAGTGTAAATTATAGATCAGTAACACTTTTTTTTTAAAGAATCTACAGAGAAGTGGCTATCAAAATGTCTTCATGAACTTCTCAGCAAGTCTGGGTGTTCAGCAGGGACTCTGCTGGGGTTCAAGGCTCAGGCTTACTATTTAGGAATCTGGGATGTGGTGACAGCCACTGTATTGCCATCCTGTGTGGCACCTCTAGGACTGCTTTCACGGCAGTTTTGTGTCTTCTGATCCCAGGGCCTCAGACCTCCAGGGAACAGATAGATTCTGGCCCTGAACCTGAGACCCAGGTGCTAGGAGAATTCTTGGATTCAGCATCTAGTGAAGTTTCATTTGGCCTTTGACCTCAGCAGCTGGAGCCTAATATTCTTCACGCAGAAAATAAATCAGTGCACTCTAGCTTTGATACGACGATCAGGACAGAACAACATTACCATCTGAGGCCGGTGCTATCTGCCATTAATCAGAATAAATCAGAATACCCAAGATAGACCTCTGTAGGGCCTACACTGTCAAATTAATGAATAGGAAACATAAAAATTACGTTTCCAGACCTACTGTATGTAGTTTGAAAACACAGTCATGCCATTCAGACCATGTGATTCTCCATTAATATTCTAAAGAAGATATCTTCGAAATGGAATGTGCTCACCCCAAAGGGGCCACAGACAGTCTACTGCGGTACAAAGCACATTGTATCAGAATTTCTGTGTATTCCTTATTTCATCTTTTTGAGTTTATATTTTTGTTTCTGTTTTTAATATACATGATACTTTAGTAGAATTGAACATGTGCACTGCTTATAAATTGATAAATTAATGTAAATGAAAGTGTTAAACCTTTTCATTGATAGTTGTTTGCAATTTTAATAAATGTCCAAGAGACTGCTGCTCGAAGGATGTTTTGGCTGCCAGAGAGAGGGGTGGAAATGGACTTAAGTGATACCTTGATTTACCTTGGTGACCTAGCCCAAAACAAAAAACTAGTCGAGCATACCTGTTTGCAAAGAAAGATCAATTTTTTAGTGTGAATTGAACTTAGAGGCCAAATCTCTAGAGTTCAGTTTTCTTCCCACAGTGGATGGGGGTAAGCCCTAAGTTGGCCAGCCCTGCTTGGGTTTCTAAACTCCTTATCCCTATTCTCTACCAATTGGGCAATTATTCCTCTAGTTATGGGTTCAACCCTGCCCTAGCCCGAAAGTTCCACTCTGACTTTAAACGGGTGGATTTAACGTGCTCTAGGTCAATGTTCTTGGCCAAGTATTCACTCTTGTTGCTAGTCCCACTTTAGTAACAAGTTCATCCTCAATTCTGAGAACTGAGCTAGTGTATTGATCCTGAGACATATTCCCAATCAACACCTTGGTTCTAGTAGTTGAATCCTCTTTTGTTCCCTGTGTCTACCTACTACTCAGTGCTACAAGGATGGGGACCACCAATCCTCATATTCTCTAGGTATATAATTAGGGTCTGGGTACTTGCTGACAAGTTTTCAGTGTGTTGGGTTCTTGGAATGTTTACATGTAGATAACAAAATGAAGCTATGCATGATCATCTAAGGTACACTTGTACCTAATTATTAACATCATTAGCAACCAGAAGTAATGTTCATGATCAGCATATAAATGTCTTCTTTAATGAACAAAACTCATTGTTCTAAGAAAACAAAGCTGTTGCACAACACCAGTTCCCTTTAAATGTAAAGTAAAATCAATGAAACTTTTGTATGTATCCAATCCCTAGCCCATAGATAGCAATAAGCCGCTAAGATCACCTTTGAAAACTAGGCACTGGCTAGAATGGGCAGAAATTCAGTTGTGGTCAAATAGACTCCCTGAACTTTGGACACCTGTAGATTAGATGGTGTCCCATGTCCAGTTCCTTCTGGGTGGATCCTCAAAAACTGCCTTTATAAATTAATTCACTCCAATTTCCATTACCAGTGTTTTTCTCTGCTTCTTAACTGTTTTCACTTTTCTTACACTCTCCAGATTTAGAAAAATTAACTTTAAGAAATACACTTGAGTTACCTTCTGAAGAGGATATAGATTTGTTTTACTTGTATGTCCTGGCTCTTGTTTAACTCCTTTATGGCCTGAGCACAGACTCTTCACTGGGTTCATGGTTGAGTAAGAGAACTGGATTTCAAAAATTCTAGTTCAGGTGGAGTCCTGTTGATGGAGAACCATTCCACCTCGTGTAGTCATTTCTTTCAGAGAGGCTGACTTGATCGCCAATTACCTAACGACCAGGCAGCTCCTGGAGGTGTTGTCCAGGAGTTACTACACCCTGTAGAGTTGCTTCATCTGTCAGTTTCCTCATGTCTTAAATTGCTATAATTATCTACCTCCCAGGATGATTGTTGGAGTAAAGAGTAAGTGTTACAATGACTACAAAACAGTCTTACTTCCCAGGTGTCACAGCAGCTAATGCAACACGTGTCAATCTCTTCAAATTATTCATAGAATATTTCATGTGAATATTTATCCATATTCTTTTTATCTGACTGTATAGGATAAAATTTCTTCTTGATGTCTACCTGTATTAGACAGTTCTTGCACTGCTATAAAGAAAGAGGTAATTTCTGAAGCTGGGTAGTTTACAAGGAAAAGAGGTCTAATTGGCTCACAGTTCTGCAGGCTGTACAGGAAGCATGATGCCAGCATCTACTTCTAGTGAGGGCCTTGGGGAAGTTTCAATCATGGTGGCAGGTGAAGGGGAGCCAGTGTGTCACATGGCAGGATGGAGCAAGAGAGGGAGATGGGGAAGGTGCCACACTTTTAAACAACCGGATCTTGTGAGAAATCATTCGCTATTGTGAGGACAGAACCAAGGAGATGGCGCTAAACCAGTCATGAGAAATCCACTCCCACAACCTCCACCAGGGCCCACCTCTAACATGTTGATTATCTTTCAACATGAGATTTGGGCAGGACAAATGGCCAAACCATATCACCAACTTAAATTACTCTCCTAGTCTATCACCACTGTGCTGGCTAGCAGTGCTTACCGTCACTGAGATCACACTTTTCAGTGCATAGAAACTGAACTGTGGCTTTCTCCAAAGTTCGCCCTATGATAAGTAACACTTGAATCAGAAAGAGGTCACTTAAATGGCATAATGTTTTCTATTTTATTATTGACACTTCATCTTTTGGAGCATAAACTTTATAAGTTGCCTTTGATGAACAGTAAAACTAACAGGAAAGTTAATGGAAAGATTTGAAATTTTGAGAAAAGAAACTAAAATAAAAAAGGAGAGTAAAACTGTTAGGGTGGTCCAAAAGTAATTGCAGTTTTTGCCAACTTCAGGGGGCCACAATGTTGACTTACCTGGAGTTGAATTACCTGGAGGTTTGCCTTCTGGCTGGATAAGCTTTGGAAAGTTGTATGACCCCTCCAAGCTTCATTTCCTTATCTGTAAGATGGATGTATGAGTTAGGGAAAGTTAATCTGCTACTGCAAAGAGACCTAAAAATACTTAAAGTAGAGTATAAGCATACTCTTATAAGAAATTAAAATACTGGCCAAGAGCAGTGGCTCATGCCTGTCATCCCAGCACTTTGGGAGGCCAAGGCCGGTGGATCACTTCAACTCGGGAGTTTGAGACCAGCCTGGGCAATATGGTGAAATCTCATCTCCACAAAAAATACAAAAACTAGCCAGGCATGGTGGCATATGCTTGTAGTCCCAGCTACTTGGGAGACTGAGGTAGGAGGGTCACTTGAGACTGGCAGGTTGAGGCTGCAGTGAGCCATAATCACACCACTGCACTCTAGCCTGGGTAATAGAGTGAGACCTATCTCAAACAAAGAAAGAAAGAAAAGAAATAAAAATACTTAATAAGCTTTTATATAAGAATATAAAAGAAATAAATATAAAATATAAAATAAATAAATACAAAAATAAAAATACTTAAATATGTTTTTTTTGCAATAATAAAACTTGAAACTCATATATGATGCTGAGGGGAGGGGGCAGCAAAAATTTTTCTCACCAACTCACTACACAGGACAGCAAAGGGGTGAAAAGGGCCTGAAGAAGGAAAAGCCAGGAAACTTTGAGATCAGCAGAGGGAACCAAGGATCAAAAAATAAGAGATGCTGAAGCTGCAATGACCAGCATCATTTTCTTAAGAGAACATTCAAGGATTTGTCATGATGGCTGGACTTTCATTGGGTGTTAAGTCTACAAACAGCATCTTCAACTGAAACTGCCAATTAAGGTTCTTAAGATTTAGGAAGTGGTGGAGCTTGGAAAGTTATGAGATTACGAAATTCCTTCAAGTCCATTAGAAAAACCACAGGATGGGGGAAAAAAAAAAAAAAAAGCCAGACCACAAAGAAGGCTTCAGAGGTCCCTGCTGGTCCAGGGACAGACACCTGTAGTGTCCAGCATTACAGTGAACATGATCTGCTTTCAAAGGCAGAGGGTTTAAGGGGAGGGTAGGTGGGACTGGTGGAGGCAAAGGCTCTCCCCTTCCCCACCTCAGTTTTAGGTAGGGCTTTTAATTTCACTTAAGGGCATCTCTCAACTTGGAGAATAATTCAGCCCTCAACAGCACTTCAAATGTGCTATGGCTTTGCAGCGCAGCAGCAAGAATATTTAATATACAGTAAAAATTTCACCCAAAAAATTAAAATATTCTTGCAACCCCCTCCAACACCAATTCCTGTTCTAAAGTTAACCTATCACTTGTGCTGTCAATACTTGACCATGAATTGTCCCTGTTTGCAGATTACATGATTGTATATCTAGAAAACCCCATCGTCTCAGCCCAAAATCTCCTTAATCTTAAAAGCAACTTCAGCAAAGTCTCACGATACAAAATCAATGTGCAAAAATCACAAGCATTCTTATACACCAATAACAGACAAACAGAGAGCCAAATCATGAGTGAACTCCCATTCACAATTGCTTCAAAGAGAGTAAAATACCTAGGAATCCAACTTACAAGGGATGTGAAGGACATCTTCAAGGAGAACTACAAATCACTGCTCAATGAAATAAAAGAGGATACAAACAAATGGAAGAATGCTCATGGATAGGAAGAATCAAAATTGTGAAAATGGCCATACTGCCCAAGGTAATTTATAGATTCAATGCCATCCCCATCAAGCTACCAATGACTTTCTTCACAGAATTGGAAAAAACTACTTTAAAGTTCATATGGAACCAAAAAAGAGCCCGCATTGCCAAGTCAATCCTAAGCCAAAAGAACAAAGCTGGAGGCATCACGCTACCTGACTTCAAACTATACTACAAAGCTACAGTAACCAAAACATCATGGTGCTGGTACCAAAACAGAGATATAGACTAATGGAACAGAAAAGAGCCCTCAGAAATAATACCACACATCTACAACTATCTGATCTTTGACAAACCTGACAAAAACAAGAAATGGGGAAAGGATTCCCTATTTAACAAATGGTGCTGAGAAAACTGGCTAGCCATATGTAGAAAGCTGAAACTGGATTTCTTCCTTACACCTTATACAAAAATTAGTTCAAGATGGATTGAAGACTTAAATGTTAGACCTAAAACCATAAAAACCCTAGAAGAAAACCTAGGCATTACCATTCAGGACATAGGCATGGGCAAGGACTTCATGTCTAAAACACCAAAAGCAATGGCAACAAAAGCCAAAATGGACAAATAGGATCTCATTAAACCAAAGAGCTTCTGCACAGCAAAAGAAACTATCATCAGAGTGAACAGGCAACCTATAGAATGGGAGAAAATTTTTGCAATCTACTCATCTGACAAAGGGGTAATATCCAGAATCTACAAAGAACTCAAACAAATTTACAAGAAAAAAACAACCCCATCAACAAGTGGGTGAAGGATATGAACAGACACTTCTCAAAAGAAGACATTTATGCAGCCAACAGACACATGAAAAACTGCTCATCATCACTGGCCATCACAGAAATGCAAATCAAAACCACAATGAGATGCCATCTCATACCAGTTAGAATGGCAATCATTAAAAAGTCAGGAAACAACAGGTGCTAGAGAGGATGTGGAGAAATAGGAACATTTTTACACTGTTGGTGGGACTGTAAACTAGTTCAACCATTGTGGAAGATTCCTCAGGGATCTCGAACTAGAAATACCATTTGACCCAGCCATCCCATTACTGGGTATATACCCAAAGGATTATAAATCATGCTGCTATAAAGACACATGCACACGTATGTTTATTGCGGCACTATTCACAATAGCAAAGACTTGGAACCAACCCAAATTTCCAACAGTGATAGAGTGGATTAAGAAGATGTGGCACATATACACCATGGAATACTATGCAGCCATAAAAAAGGATGAGTTCATGTCCTTTGTAGGGACACGGATGCAGCCGGAAACCATCATTCTCAGCAAACTATCGCAAGGACAAAAAACCAAACACTGCATATTCTCACTCATATGTGGGAATTGAACAATGAGAACACTTAGACACAGGAAGGGGAACATCACACACCGGGGCCTGTTGTGGGGTGGGGGGAGTGGGGAGGGATAGCATTAGGAGATATACCTAACGTAAATGATGAGTTAATGGGTACAGCATACCAACATGGCACATGTATACATATGTTACAAACCTGCACATTGTGCACATGTACCCTAGAACTTAAAGTATAATAAACAAAAATATATAAAAAAGTACTTGACCATGTACTTAATTGGAAACCTAGATCCAAAAGACTGAAACTGAATCTTCACCCCAAAATGGAAACAAAATAAAATGAATAACTTGGGGTTTATGGCATATAGTTTAGGTAAACACACATATGAGGAGAAAGGGGAAGAGGAAATGGAGGTTTTGAAGCAAAGCTGAGTGACAGAATACATTCAGTCAGGGCAGATGTCTATACAGCCTGCAGTGGAACATCAGGAAAAGCTCCATATGGATTCATGTGCATGCATCTGGAGGCACCAGATCCCTCCATAGCAGATCCAAGAACAGGGAGCTAGGGGAGAAGGCCATTCCTGTCATTCCAGTTTTAGAAGCTCCATATCGAAGACGAGAGTGGCATGTGGTGGGATGATGCCTGGGTGCCCAGTGGTACCGTAGGCATAATCTGGAGATGTTGTCAGTTTGTCTCTCTGGCCCACACTCTTCTGAGCAACCCCTTCTTCCCAACCTCAGATCACCTCCTGCTTGCCTAGCATAAACTTAAAGAACTTGTTTCTGTCCAGGGGAGAATGAATTTTCTTTCCACCTTCAAGCATACCGGTGTAGTGCAACACGCAGCTCTGGCCATGCATCGGGAAGGTGCACCCTTCTCCTGGGGAGATGGTTTCCACCCACACTCCCGCAGCGGCAGTGGATGCTGGGCAGGCAGTCGGCACGACCCTAAATAAGTATTTTTAAAGTAACCCTATGATAAGTAACACTCAAATCAGAAAGAGATCACGTAAATGACATAATGTTTTCTATTTTATTATTGGCACTTCACCTTTCGGAACATAAACCTTATTAGTTGCCTTTGATGGACAGTAAAACTAATAATAAAGTTAATGGAAAGATTTGAAATTCTGAGAAAAGAAACTAAAATAAAAGAGAAGAGTAAAACTATTAGATAGGTGCCACCGTGCCTGGCTAATTTTTGTATTTTTTTGCAGAGATGAGATTTCACCATATTGCCCAGGCTGGTCTCAAACTCTTGAGCTCAAGTGATCCACTGGCCTCAGCCTCCCAAAGTGCTGGGTTTATGCCTGTATTTCGATCACACATAATAATTCCTAGCTGAGTATTCAGGTTGGTTAGGCAGCTTTGTGCTGCACAGTAATTTAAGGATCCAGTATCATATTAAATCTCACACAACCCCATGAGGGTGTCTGCTAGAATTCATTCTTCATTTTTCTGAGGCATGTGGCTGACCATCTATGCAGTGTTTCCTACTTTATAACATGAAGTGGCAAAGAACTCCTCCAACACAGTCTTGAAAACATAAACTGTAAGGCAAAATTCAACATTTTTGATTACAGAAAAATTAAAATTTTTTTGTGACTGTGCCGTAAGAACCCCAGGTGACATGGAGAGACCATGGGTAGATGGACTCAGGCCCAGCTGAACTCACAGTCTCAGCACCAGCCATCCCTTCCCAGACACAGACATGTGCATGAAGAAGCCACATCCTGAAGTGGCTCCTCCAGCTCCAGCAACTTGGTGGATGCCACAGGGATCATTACTAACCACCCAGCTGAGCCCTTCCTGAATTCCTGATGCACAAAATATAAGAAAAACAAAATATTTAAGTCCTAAGTTTCAGAACAGGGTTTAAGACAAAGCCTAAGCTGAAAACATAGATCTGAGGCTCACAGCCATGCAAGCGATTATCAAAAAGTCCTGGAATATTTCTGTAGCAAAGATTATGTCATTTGCAATAAAGACAGTTCTACTTTTGTTTAAAACAAACAAACAGAAGAAGAAAAGCCCTGGAAATAGAGACTATCACCCATGGATGGAGAGTAGGAACAAATAGGGGCCAGGACACCAATACTTGTGGGGTGTCTGAGGAGGAGGCATCGGCTAAGGAGACTGGGAAGAAACACATAGAGAGTCAGGAGGAGACAGATAATAACAATTGCTTTATTGACTTATTTTCACTAGTTTAACTCTCAGAGGATTACCTGAAACTCTAAATTCACTCAAATCAACATATTTATTCAAATGATATAGAATGTATGTAAGGCATTTGTTAAAAACTTGGGGTGTTACCTAGCTGAGTGTGGTAGCTCACACCTGTAATCGCAGGACTTTGGGAAGTTGAGTTGGGCCAATCACTTGAGGTCAGGAGTTTGAGACCAGCCTGGCCAACATGGTGAAACCCCATCTCTACAAAAAATATAAAAATTAGCTGGGCATGGTGGCGCATGCCTGTAATCCCAGCTACTCAGGAGGGTGAGGCAGGAGAATCACTTGAACCCAGGAGGCAGAGGTTGCAGTGAGTCAAGATTGTACCACTGCACTCCAGACTGGATGACTCAAAAAAAAAAAAAAAAAAACTTGGAGTGTTACAGGCAGACCTGACCTAGTACTCCAGGTCTTTGCAATGTGACTTGAGCAATTACATCGTGTGTTTGAATCTCAGGTATTCTTTCTTTTTTTTCTTCAAGGTATGCAGTAAAATGCATAAATATTCACCCTTTTTTAGTGTATAGTCCTGCATATGTTGTCAAAGTCACATCATTGTGACTACCACTAAAACCCGGTGTCCCCTTAGAATTGACCCTTTCCCACCACAGTTACCTGTTTTCTGTCCCTATAGTTTTGCCTTTCCCAGAATATCATATAAATGGAAGAACACAGAATGTACTCTTTTTTGGTCTAGATTCTTTCCCTAACACAATGCTCTGAGATTCATCCACATTGTTGCGTGTGTTACTAACTCATTCTTTTTCACTACTGAGTATTCTATTGAATGAATACTTCTTGCCATAAGAAACCCAGGTCATAGGAAGAGACGATGGGTAGATGCTCTGATATCCAGTCATGGATATTTATGGTATACTGTAGCTTGTTTATTCATTGAGAGGAATTCGTGTAATTTTCTGTTTTGGGTAATTACAAATAAAGTTACTACAAATATTTACATACAGGTTTTTATGTCAACATACATTTTCATTTTATTGGTCAACAGTTAGGAGTGAGAGTGTTAGGTCCTATGTAAGTGTATGTTTAACTTTATAAGAAATTGCCAAATTATTTTCTAAAGTGGCTGTACCAATTTGTATTCCCACCAGCAGCTTGTGAGAAAGCTAGTAACTCCTTGCCTGGACTTGGTATTGTCAGGTTATTGATTTTGTTTTAGCCATCCTAGTAGGTGTGTCTCTCACTGTGGTTTTAATTTGTATTTTTCTAATATCTAATGGTATTAGTAATGACCACCTTTTCAGGCGCTTATTTACCATTCATCACTAATTGTCTGTTCAAGTATTTTCTCTATTTTAAAAATGTTGTTTGTTTTCCTACTATTGAGTTTTGAGAGTTCTTTATATAGTCTGGATCAGTTATATAATTTGCAAATATTTTCTCTTGGTCTGACTTGCCTTTCAATTCTTTTAATAGCTCTTTCAAAAAACAGAGGTTCTTAATTTTGATAAAGTCTAATGTGTCTTTTTTCTATAGGAAGTGTCTTTTGTGTAGTTTCTAAAATATCCATTTGTAACCCAGGTCACACAGATTTTTCTCCTATGTTTACTTTTAGAAGTTTTAGTGTTTTAGCTTTCACATTTAGATCTATGATACACTTTGAGTTAATTTCTGGAGCAAGTTTCATGTTTTTGCATATAGATGTGTATATGTTTCAGCAAATTTGTTGAAAAGACTATTCTCTCTCCAGTGAATTGTCTTTCCATCTTTGTCAAAAAAAATCAATAGACCATATATGTATGGGTCTATTTTTGGATTTGGCGCTGTTGTTCTATATGTATATTCTTTCTCCAAAACCAAGCTGTCTTGACTATTGTAGCTCTACATGAAATATTAAATCAGATAGTAAGAATTCCCCTCATAATTTTCTTTACTGTGTATTTTGATCACAATGAAGCTAAGGAATGGTAGAATAACAATTATGCTAACAAAATCAATTAACTCAAATCAGAGAAAATCAATAGAAAGATAATTAACATTTCTTTCTAAACTCTGACATGGATAGAACATGTTTCTTCTAAGTCAGAATATGATGAATACATATCTGCAGCAAATATGAGTCTTTTATATAATACATAATATGTACAAAACAATTTTAAAATAAAAAACACAGCTATTGGCTTTATAATCCAATTTCCACTCTCTATTCAATTGCATCTCTAGAATTCCCACAACTTACCATTATAATTTCTTTAAGACATAGCAGGATTTAAACTAAGTGGTACTTTTATGCTCTTGCTGACATAGTCTACTGTGATTTCAAACAGCATAAAGAGAAAAACAAGATAAATAAATAGAAATAATAAATTTTTTTTTCTTTTTTGAGATGGAGTTTTGCTCTTGCTGCCCAAGCTGGAGCGCAATGGCATGATCTAGGCTCACTGCAACCTCCGCCTCCTAGGTTCAAGTGATTCTCCTGCCTCAGCCTTCCAAGTAGCTGGGATTACAGGCGCGCGCCGTCACTCCCGGCTAATATTTTGTATGTTTAGTAGAAACGGGGTTTCACCATGTTAGCCAGGCTGCTCTTGAACTCCTGACCTCAGGTGATCCGCCCGCCTCGGCCTCCCAAAGTGCTGTGACTACAGGCGTGAGTCACCATGCCCGGCCCATGAAATATTAATTACTCCAACTTTTACTTTTCCATGGCAGCATTATTGCTTCATGATTATTCCTAGGCTGAAAAGAGATAATGTAAAAGCCTGAAGTCAACCTCAGTCTATTTTATTTTATTTATTTGAGATGGAGTCTTGCTCTGTTGCCCAGGCTGGAGTGCAGTGGTGCGATCTCAGCTCACTACAACCTCCGCCTCCCGGGTTCAAGTAATTCTCCCACCTCAGCTTCCTGAGTAGCTGGGATTACAGGCACCTGCCACCATGCCTGGCTAATTTTTTTTTTTTTTTTTTTTGTAAAGACAGGGTTTCACCATGCTGACCAGCCTGGTCTCGAACTCCTGACCTCAGGTGACCTCAGCCTCCCAAAGTGCTGGGATTACAGGCATGAGCCACCGCGCCCAGCCCAGCAATTTTAATAACCTACACACATTCAGTTTTTAAATGAAATCTGCAGCAAAGAGATGAAGGCAGATGGAACTCTCAGTAGCTGTGCTCTTTTTTTACTTTTTTTTTTTTTTGAGTCTCACTCTTGTCGCCAGGCTAGAGGGCAATGACATGATCTCGGCTCACTGCAACCGCTGCCTCCAGGGTTCAAGCAATTCTCCTGCCTCAGCCTCCCGAGTACCTGGGATTACAGGTGCCTACCACCACACTGGCTAATTTTTGTATTTTTAGTAGATATGGGGTTTCACCATGTTGGCCAGGCTGGTCTCGAACTCCTGACCTCAGGTGATCTGCCCACCTTGGTCTCCCAAAGTGCTGGGATTATAGGCATGAGCCACCATGCCTGGCCTCAGCCGCTGTGCTCTTATCATCCTCCTGCCTATCGACTGTCCTGACTTTAACTAGCAGCCTGTTTGGAAGTAAAAATAGTTCAAGCCCATGGAACATCAAGCCAGTGACTCTCAGTTTGCTTTCTGTGACAAAGCAATAATAATATTTGCTATACAGAGTAGTTAAAAAGACTAACTGAAATTATATATGTGAGGTACCTAGCACCACAATCAATATATATAAAAACTCAGTAAGTTGTAGTACCATTATTGGCTATTTTGTGAGAGGCAGCTTATAGTTCTCTCTATTGACCCCAGTCGTGACGGCTGACTCTAGGAAACTCGACAGTGGGGACGAGCAAAGACCTGTTGACCTCGGAGGAAGAGGAGCCCATGAGGGAGCCAGAGATGGAAACGTGAGAGAGGGGAGATCCTTGAATAGGCTCAAGGGGAAAGAGATGACAGGAGGATAATAAATGAATAGGTAAAGAAAAGATAGAAAGTCTTTTCAGGTGTCTGGTTAATCCCTAACTGGTCTTCCTCCACCTTCTTCCACCCTGCCAACCTTGTGAAGGACCACAGTACCTCTTTGGAGGGCTCTAAAATAAACTGCTCACACCAAAAGAGGTAGTGGGAAAAGTAGAATTTACTGAGTGTTTCATAAGGCAGGTAGAGAAAAGGGAGGAATCACACTCCTCTAAGCACACAATGTCACCACTTCTTCTCGGATGATGATTTTCTCAGTGACCAGCTCTCTCAGGCTCCTCCTCACGGTGTGTTCTTCCACAAGGCACTCAGCTTCTCCTCAACAGCTCCCCGAAATTCAGTGGTTTAACCTGCTATTTAAGGACAAGACTCAATAGTTTCTTTCCATCCACATTCCCAATCTGAGCCACTTACCAAGGTAAGGTAGTTCTTCCAACCACATACCGAACTCTCTGAGAAGGTCTCAGAAACACATTTTTCTCCATTTTTTCCATTTTATTCCAAAAGGGAAACAGAAAAAGGAGAGAAACTGGAAGGCCTGCATGCTTAAAGAAATGACAGTTCAAAATAGGTTAAACTTGAAAATACTTAGTGGCAAAAGCAGAGGGAGAAAGAAAGAGAGAACCAGCTACGTGGGACCCCGGAGACCCTCTTTCTCCCAGAAAAAGGAGCTCACCCAAGCTCAGCTTCCTACTGGACAATGGTTTCCTCCACACCCCCAGTTGCCGTGTGTGTGTGTGTGTGTGTGTGTGTGTGTGTGTGTGTGTGTGTATGTATAGGGGGTGTATAGTTATAATGTCCATGGGTGTTGGGCCCCAGCAGCTCTAAGTCCCCCATGGCAGAGGCTCTGGTGTTCCGAGACAAGTTTGTACACAGTAGGCCATGCAGTCTAAGTGTTCCTGATAAGGCCACTTCATCACATTTGTCCTATAAGAACACAGACACAAAGGGGAAAAGTCCCTCCCCTGAAAAGGAACCGTGGCCTTGCACACCTCTCCAGGTGTGGTCCTCATCCAGGAACAGTGGAGAGACTGGGGGGGCCACAGTCACCTCTGCCTCACTGCACTGAGTAAAGGCTTTTCCTGATCACGTATCATGTGACATTGTAGAATCTGTCCTGGCCCTCCTTGTATAACTCATGGCAGCCAGGAAGGGACCCTCTTGACATGAGGGCCATTATCTCAAAAAGTCTGATAGAACTATATTTAGCTAAGATAAATCTGTACAAGCAATTACTTAATAAATTACCCTTCTGATTATATGATATTTGAAAGATGATATTTTGAAACAAGAAAATAGTAATAGAAGGGAAAAATGAGAATCATCAAACTAGTTCAATCAGCTTGAAGGAATATTTATTGAGATGTTAATTTGTGCTGTATTATCATTGGATTTTTATCTTTTATTTTGTATTATTATTTTAGAGATTGGGTCTTGTTATCTTGCCCAGGCTGGTCTCAAACTCCTGGCCTCAAGCAGTCTTCCCACCTCAGTTTCCCAAAGTGCTGGGAGTATAGGCTTGAGCCACCATGCATGGACACTTTTATTTTGACTCTAGAGGTGGCTGAATCTTTGTGTTCTTTGGCTTAAAGGCCAAAGCAAAGGTTTCTTGGAGGCCAGGTGCATTGGCTCTTACCTGTAATCCCAGCACTTTGGGAGGCCTAGGCAGGTAGGTCACCTGAGGTCGGGAGTTCAAGACCAGGCTGGGCCAACATGGTGAAACCACATCTCTACTAAAAATACAAAAATTAGCCAGTCACGGTGGCAGGTGCCTGTAATCCCAGCTACTCGGGAGGCTGAGGCAGGAGAATTGCTTGAACCTGGGAGGTGGAGGTTGCAGTGAGGTGAGATCATGCCACTGCACTCCAGCCTGGGCAACAGAGTGAGACTCAGTCTCAAAAAAAAGGTTTTTTGGAGATAATTCCATCACCAGTATCACCTTCCTGGCATTTGCTCTGCAAAGCCTAAAGGGGATTCTACTGTATTTTCCTAGAAAGGGAAGAGTGAGTGCCTTGGAAGTGGTAGGTTGTAGAAACTGTGCTAACAGAGTGGGGAGAAGGCTTTTGCCAAGTCTGTAACATGGACTGTGGGAAAGTATTGGTGACCTGAGCCCCCATCCCTCTAGGAGGTGACTGGGCTTTAGAAGGAAATGTCTGGTTGGAACACTAAGGGTGGGTGCGCACTGTACCCTGGGGCTCTTTGCTCCTGACCAAGACCCTATGCTCAAGTTTGGCAAAGAATGATCAGAGTGACCCACCTTCAAGGGACTTGGACAAAGGACCTTGCACCAGCACAGTATATGGACTAAAGATCAAGGACCCCCTTCTTAAATGTTCCTCGGGGAGGGAGGAGACTATCAACAAGACCAAGACTAAATTTCTTGCCTCCTTTGTGCGCCCAGGGTCAGAGTTTACTTGGCTTCAGAAAAATAAGTGTCCAGTATACCCAAGTTTGTCGAGTAAAGTTCATACACCCTGCATCACCATAATACAGAAGATCAAATTTAGCTTTGAGATGAGAGACATAATGCTTTCTCTAAGGTCCTTGATACTTATGGGCAGAGACCACTGGTTTCTTTTCTATAGCATGCTGCCTCCCTTATTGTATTTACTTAGAGATTAGTAAGCTAAGAGAAAAAACATCCAATCCTAAAAATATTTAATAATAATTATAACAATAACAACAACAACAATAACAACGCCATCATGCCAAAGGTTTTACTTTTTTTTTTCCTGTTTTTTTTTTTCATTTAATTTTTGTTGAGACAGGGTCTTGCTCCGTCACCCAGGCTGGAGTGTAGTGGTGTGATCATGACTCACTGCAGCCTCAAACTCCCTGGCTCAAGCCATCCTCCCACCTCTGCCTCCCGATTAGCTGGGACCACAGGTGTGCGCCACCATGCCCAGCTAGTTTCATTTATTTATTTATTTATTTATTTACTGTAGAGATGGAGCCTTGCTATGTGGCCCAGGCTAGTCTGGAACTCCTGGGCCCAAGCAGTCCTCCTGCCTTGGCCTCCCAAAGTGCTGGGTTACAGGTGTGAGTCACTGTGCCCAGTCCATATTTATTGTTTAATTATTTGTACTTATCTGCCAGGCACAGTGGCTCACATCTGTAATTCTGCACTCTGGGAAGCTGAGGAGGGCAGATCACTTGAGGTCAGGAGTTGGAGACCAGCCTGGCCAACACGGCGAGACCCTGTCTCTACTAATAATACAAAAATTAGCTGGGCGTGGTGGCACACCTGTAATTTCAGCTACTTGGGAGGCTGAGGCACGAGAATCTCTTGAACCTGGGAGGCAGAGGTTGCAGTGAGCCGAGATCACACCACTGCATTCCAACCTGGGTGATGGAGTGAGACTCTGTCTTAAAAAAAAAAAAAAAAAGTACTTATCATTTTATTCTTATAAAATCCTGTAATACAGATAATATTATTATCTCCATCTCACAGAAAACTGAACCTCAAAAAATTTAACTAGCTGGCCCAAGGCTACATATCTAGGAAAGGTTGAATTGAATTGGGGTTTAAGACCAGATTCCAGAGCCTGCACACCCATCTAACCAACACACAATTTCTGGAGCACTTCACCACAAAATTGGCCTTCAAGAAAAAAGGACAAAAGCCTTGCCATCTGTTTTCTATTCGACCAGCCTGATTTATTTTAAGCTTTATGCATTGTGAGTGTGTTAATATGAAATTCTATGTTTCTCGTCTATTTCAATTCTGGGAAAACTCAAGCCTTCTATCAATGGTGTCCTTTAGTCTTCATGGGAAATACTTTAGCCTCGCAGCGAACCCTGCCCAGACCCCAAATCTACTTTTTACTCTATACTTGTAGAAAGCGTTCAAGCAGGACAGGGAATTAGGCATTGTGAACTTCCAAGAGAGTCTCACATTTGAGGCACTTTGAAAATGAAACCATATTATTTTATTGTGAGTAGGTTTGGCAAATGTTCTCAAAGTCAATATATTCCTTGTCTGGTTTCCAACAGCGATGCTTTGAGCCAATGGTCACCTACATGCCTCTAGTCTACATTTGAGCAAGGCATAAAATTCTATTTGAACAAACTGGCTTTTTGTTTTCTTCTTCTTCCAGAAGTCTAATTCCTCGCAACCACATCACTTAGCAATTTCACGTGGTAGTAATTAAGACCACATTTTCCATACTTGATTTTCTGGTCGGTGATAAATTGCATGAATGGAGAAATCAGGTTCTAAATACCCTTAACACACAGCTCTTTTTTGCTCCTGGCATCTTATTTTGCTGCCTTCTCAGGTAAAGAAGAGAAAGTAGTATATCTTTATTTTCTTGGTCTTCCCTGTTCAGGACACTTGGATAATGAAATATTTTCTTTCCTATGAGGTAGAGACAAGATTCCTGCTCAACAAATAAGAAGGAAGGGCCATTTCATGAGTAGTTGTTACGGTCTGAATGTGTCCCTCTAAAATTCACATGTTAAAATCCTAACCCCCAAGGTAATGATTTTAGAAGATGGGAAATTTGGGGGGTGTTTAGGTCATGGGAACCCTCATTAATGGGATTAGTGCCCTTACAAAAGAGGCCCCAGAGACCTTGTTTGCCCCTTTTACCATGTGAGGACACAGCTGGAAAACACCTCCATGGAATGAGGAAATGGGCCCTTATCAGATACCAAATCTGCTGGCACCTTGATCTTGGATTCTTAGCCTCCAGAACTGTGAGAAATAAATTTCTGTTGTTTATAAGCCACCTAGGTTATGGTACTTTGTTATAGTAGACCAAAGGACTAAGACACTAGGAGCTAAAGCATAGCTTGTGAAAGGAATGAGCTGCCCCAGCAGAAGTAGCAAGGCCCTCTGAACACTGAGTTCTAAATTGGCTGTCCTGGATCTGGAGAGAAGGGAGCAAGTTTGCTCTTCTAGGGCTCTCCTTCTTCCCATTATGTGATTGGTGGGGTCTGAAACAGCCACTTCAAAATGACTTTGCCATACACATACAATGGAATATTATTCAACCATAAAAAGGAAGAAAATGTGGACACAACCCACAACATGGATCAACCTTGAAGACATTATGCTAAGTGAAATAAGCTAGACACAAAAGGACAACTACTCTATGATTCCACTTATTGAGGAACTTAGAGTAGTCAAATTCATAGAGACAGAAAGAAGAATGGTGGCTGTCAGGGCTGAGGGGTGGGGGAATATGAAGTTGTTATTTCAGTTTGGGGTGATAGAAAGCTCTGGTGATGGATGAGGGTGATGGCTACACAACAGTGTGAAAGTACTTAATGCCACTGAATTGTACACTTAAGATGGTTTAAATGGTAAATTTTACATTATGTATATTTCACCATAATAAAAAATAAACAAAAAACAAAAAACTTTGCACTGAAATGGAAATGGCCAATTTTATGTTGAAGCCAGAAAGTTTTACAGATTGGAGGGAAGATGGTGTCAATTCAGAGGTGAGTAAACTGAGCTCCAGGAGGTGAAGCTCACAGCCGGAGGCCCAGCCAGGACTAACACCTAAGCTCCTTAAGCTCCCAGGCCATTGCTCCTCCCGTAACAGCGTTAACAGCCCAGGTTTCATGGGAGATACATAAGTTACATGGCCATTCTCTGGTGTTCCTACAACATTAAAATGCCTTCCTTAGATCAGTGACCACTTTTGTTTGTTTGTTCAGCTGCTTGACTCCCCAACCCCCTACTCACAATAAGCTCCTTGATCCCAAGATCCATGTCTTTTTTTTTTTTTTTTTTTTTTTTTTTTGAGATGGAGTCTCACTCTGTTGCCAGGCTGGAGTACAATGGCACAATCTTGGCTCACAGCAACCTCCACCTCCCGGGTTCAAGCGATTCTGCTTCCTCAGCCTCCTAAGTAGCTGGGATTACAGACATGCACCATCACACGTGGCAAATTTTCTATATTTTTAGTAGAGACGGAGTGTCACCATGTTGGCCAGCCTGGTCTTGAACTCCTGACCTCAGGTGATCCACCCGCCTCGGCCTCCCAAAGTGCTGGGATTATAGACATGAGCCACAGCACCCAGCCAAGATCCATGCCTTTTTATCTTTGTATTAACACCTAGCAACTTGCCCAGCATATCACCAAACCTGAATAAGTATTGTTAAAGGAATAAACAGGCTGGGTCCAATGGCTCACGCCTGTATTCCCAGGGCTTTGGGAGGCCAAGGTGGGCGGATCACCTGAGGTAGGGAGTTCGAGACCAGCCTAGCTAACATGGTGAAACCCCATCTCTACTAAAAATACAAAAATTAGTTGGGTGTGGTGGCACATGCCTGTAATCCCAGCTACTTGAGAGGCTGAGGCACAAGAATTGCTTGAACCCGGGAGGCAGAGGTTGCAGTGAGCCAAGATGGTGCCACTGCACTCCAGCCTGGGTGACAGAGTAAGAATCAATCTCAAATAAATAAATAAATAAATAAATGAACAAGCCACCTATCAGCAGTTATAGGTTGCTCAGCCTTGAAAACAAGTATCAGGAAGAGGATGGTTCATTATCTTATTCGTCAGTCCTTGAATATTGGGTGGGAATCCAATTGCAAAGAAAATACTGTATCATTTTGTTTTGTTGTTTTTAAACCCAGATTTGGAGTTTGAAGAATAAATCAATACTCACATTCATGCAAAGTAATATAAAGATATGTTTCTAATTTTATTAGGGAACAAAGACAAACAATAACAACTTGTTCCTTTGGCCACCTCTTCATTTTGTACTTTGCAATGCCCAGATGCTGTTTTCTCAGCCGGAAAGATGAAGTTTGGTGCCCTCTTGTGGTCTTCCATTTTTTAAAAGAGAAATGCAAGAAGTTTTGTCCTGGGAAATTTGGATCCAGGAAATAGCATCTTGCTTCTCTCTGGAGGAAAACTGCTTCCTTGAGACTCATTGCTTCTGATACTAACCATGCTTTTAAACAATTTTAAATCAGAATATCCTACCTGCCAAAGATGTAGTCAGGGTGGTTGTGATGTCTTTGTTGGTAACCCAGGAATGTATTTGAGTCCTGCGGAGTTGCTCTAAAGAAAGAGAATTAACATACATGAGATCAGAATTAAAACCCTTTTATAATTCCATAGTGCTAGATCACATCCATGTGTCATATAAGGACCTTCATGATCCAGCCCACAAATTTAACTTCATTTTCCTCTCTCTCATGTCCTCCTCATCCTCATGTCCCCTTGGTTAAAAACATTTGTCTATTTCTCTCTTGGTGCCTCTACCTCCTCCCAGTCTCTATAACGGCTGACAACTGATTGTACTTTGCTTTGTATTTATCCGAATCCGTCACTAATGGTTGTGCTTTTGAGCACAGAGTTTTGGTCTTGAGGAAGTAACTACATATTCCCAGCCACCCAATGCTTAGCACAAAGTTGCAGTAAATGTCGATTGAATTACTATAAACTGAAGAGCAAAGCAGAAAATCATATGGAAGCAAAGAACAGTGAAAAACTAGTAGTTGTCTCCAAGGACTCCAAGATTCTTCTCCCTTTTTCACTGCACTATGTGATCTGTTATTTGGTACAGAGACTATAAAGGCAGCATCACTTCCATGAAGTCTGCAGATCCCCTAGACCAAAAGGAGATAAAAAGATACATTTTCCATGGCCACTGTATGTTTTTTAGAAAGCTTTAGTAAGTCAAACTAACCCCTTAATGTAATGGAAACCTAAAGAGAGCTGAAAGCACTGTGATATTCCTCCCATATAAATATATGAGGATGATAGGACTCAGTGTATTGATAAAGAAATGAGCTTAGAGAGACGTTGCTTGCCCTAAGCCACACAACCCAAAATTGATGGCATGCGGACTGGAATATGGACCCCTGACTCCAGTCCCATGCACTGTTCATCATGTGGTGCAGTACTTCCTCTGGGCAGGGAACTCTATTCCTGCACTGGACGTGTGGGCTCTCCGTGCACACACATATACAAAATATTTTAGTAAATGTTGAAAATTATTTACATACAGCAGGAGGCCATCACTAACCAGGCTTCCACACTTCCAGTTTCCAACTAAAACAAAACAAAACAAACAAAAACAAACCCATGCCATGAAAACAAATGAACAAAACCACTAACCACACTCCCATGGGCCCAGCAGAGTAGCAAGAGTGCTTTGGAGGAATCTGGACACTTGAGACTGCATGGGAATCCATGCTCTGCCACGCAGTTCACTCCTCTCTGCCTTCATTTCCTCATATACAAAATAGGTAAGAAATTGTGTGTAGCGGCCAGGAGCAGTGGTTCACACCTATAATCCCAGCACTTTGGGAGGCCAAGATGGGCAGATCACTTGAGGTCAGGAGTTTGAGACCAGCCTGGCCAACATGGTGAAACGCTGTCTCTACTAAAAATACAAAAATTAGCTGGGCATGGTGGCACTTACCTGTAATCCCAGCTACTCTGGAGGCTGAGGCAGGAAAATTTCTTGAACCCGGGAGGTGGAGGTTGCAGCGAGCCGATATCACAACACTGCACTCCAGCCTGGGGCAACAGAGCAAGACTCTGTCTCAAAAACCAAACAAAACAAAGTATAGTTTGTGTTTTCTTTTTCTGGACAATTGTCTACACTGGTGAAATTCACTGCACATTATTTTATTTTTCTTTATATTAGCTACAGTCTTTGATGGATGATTTTTTTTCCACTAGTAATATTTTACTTTCTTCTTACAATAAATTATAAATACTTTTTCCACATATCAAAGTTCATCAAAGAACTCCCAAAATTAATCTTCTTCATCCTTCAGGAATTATTTATTCACACAGCAGACCACCATTTCATATTTTAAATCCTAGGGCTCTCATGCATTCCTTGTGGGCCTCAATTAGATGTCCACAGTGTTCTTCTCCTTTCTCGATGATACACGCATCGCGTGCCTTCTTGGTCTCCGGGCAAGTGCAGCAGGGCTTCAGCGGCCTCTTCTCCTGAGACTCAGGCAGGGCAGGGTTTGAGTCAACCAGACCCGGCATCTTTCGCGCCAAAAGCAGCTATGAGCGGAGACAGCCAAATCTATGCCAGCCTCGGCAAACGCCAATTCGTCCGATTTCTTTAAATTAAAGTTGATTGCACCTACTGTGCTATACATATCAGCAAGACCATCTCATCCTTCTCCCTCTCTTGGTTTCAAAATTAAGAAGTCATTTTAATTCTGTCACTCCAGATAAGCTCTTCTGTAATGCTCTATATATCCCATTTCCAAAGGTCAGGGGCTCAAGGCTCAGACTCTTGTCAATGTGGAAAAGGAAGCTCTGCCTGTTTGCTTCTGAGAGGCAGCTGTTCTCTGAAAACATCTACCCCAAAGGGAAGCGTGGGGGTGGGGGAGAACTGATTGCCTTTGATTACTTTTATACCCCTGTAACTGGCTTTAACTCTCTGACTTTTCATCTCTTTCAATACCAGTTCATGATACAAATATCCCTTGACGGATTGGGGAACTAATAGTGCCCTCTGGCCAACTCACTTCTGTATCCCAAAAGAGCCAATAGCAATCACAGCTTCCCAAGCACAGCCTGGCGCCTACCCTTCACTGCTGCATGTGGTGGTGTTTCTCCTTTATCTTAACACACACATTATCCTAATCAGGTGGGATTTGCCTGGCTTTTAAGCAATAGTCCTATCAGACAGTGTTTGTTTTCTTCCTGGAAATAGAAAGGATTGCTTCTGCCAGAGCAAGGGATTAAATCTTTATTTGGAAGCAGTCAACAAACACATTTGTAGTGAGATCTTTGAACTAAGCATCTTAGAAGCATTAACCCTTTTGATACCATCTGAAAGAGAAACTGAGCTAAACGCTTCCTGGAAAAAGACTAAAAATTAAGCTTGGTAGTAACCAAATTAGATGGCTACTGAGGACAACCTCGAATTTAGTAAAACAGGGGAATCTCCAAACAGGCGCTTGTCACTAGCTAAGCATGTGACTCCTACAAGCATTGATGATTGTGACTCAGGGCATTTGGGCAGAAACTTGGGATTGTGTTTCCTGGCTCTGCGCCTCAGAGTCCTGGTAAAACTACAGACCCACCACCTGGGAGATTTCTTTTCCTCTCTTAAAGAAATTCAAACCACATGTGGTGACTTATTAAAGAAACATATGTCATAACATATTTGGGCAACTCTTGGGCAAACTAAAAATAAGTTGGCAACAAATCTCAGAAAAGTGACTCAATCGTTGTCTGGGAAGGCAAAGCAACTTTCTGGAAGCACAGTGACTTTCCGTTTCTTTATGCTTCTGGTGTGAGCGGCTGCAGGGCTGAGGAGGACTATGACCAAGATGCTCCTTTATCCTTTCTTCCTGAGCAGGGTGAAGGTGGGGGTCTCCAGTCCAGCTAGAGATGTTTGCCTGCACTGCATCTAAGGAGGCGAAAGCCCAGCCAAGTCCCACCGTGTGCACCAGACTTGTTTGAAGGATGAGACTGCTCATGTGAGCAACTGGAGATCAACTCGTTTAGGTCTCTGCAGGTTTGCAGGGCACACTGGAAGGCCTTTGAGTTAACTGGCAGTTGGTTCTTTTTTTTTTGAGACAGAGTCTTGTTCTGTCGCCCAGGCTGGAGTGCAGTGGACCCATCTCGGCTCACTGCAACCTCTGCCTCCCGGGTTCAAGCGATTTTCCCGTCTCAGCCTCCTGAGTAGCCGGGGTTACAGGCACCCACCACCACGCCTGGCTAATTTGTGTAGTTTTAGTAGAGACGTGGCTTCACCATGTTGGCCAGGCTGGTCTCAAATTCCTGACCTCGGGTGATACGCCCACCTCAGTCTCCCTAAGTGCTGAGATTACAGGCATAAGCCACCTCACCCGGCCCACAGTTGGTTCTTAGAATCTTTTGTCTTGCAATTCTGTTGGGGTAGTAAATTTATAAATGCAAAAAATACCAAATACGCAGAAATGCGAACCTATCCCCCTTTCTGGTGTCACAGGAGCTAGGAAATACAAAAGCATCGATAGAGACATTCGAAGTTGCAAGTTGGTTTGAAGTTTCCCTGCTTTTCTGTGGTTATTGTAGCTGCTTAAGATGATGATAGACAAATAAGACAATCTGCTTAAAATTCACAGATGGAACTCGAAAATCATCTTTACAGCTAACACTGAATCTCTTACCGTTTGTATGGTATGGCAGAAAGAGACTTGGGCTCAGGGGAATTAGGTCCTGGAAGCCAAGGAAGGGGAGGAACATTTCAAAGAGGAGGAAATTTCCAGTTTTCTCAGACACTGCAGCTAAATCAAGTAAATGTAGGACTTAAACATGTGTATGGGATTTTTTTTTTTAAAAACAGCTTTATGGCAGTACAATTGACATATAACAAGATATTTAAATACAAATATGTAAAGTGTATGGTTTGACAAGTTTTAGCATATGTACATACCCTAAAATGATCACCAAAATCAAGATAACAACTTCTGTCATCCTAAAATTTCCTCCTCTTCTTTTGTAATCCCTCCTTCCCACCTGTCATGAACCCTCCTTCTTAGGCAACAACTGATCTGCTTTCTGTCACTATAGTTTGTATTTTGTAGAATTTTATGTAAGTGAAGTACTACAGTGATATGGTTTGGATATGTGTCCCCACCCAAATCTCATGTCGAATTGTAATCCCCAGTGTTGGAGGTGGGGCCTGGTGGGAGGTGATTGGGTTATAGGGACAGAATTCTCATAAATGGGTTAGCACTATCCCCTCGGTGCTGCTCTTGTGATAGGGAGTGAGTGAGTTATCGTGAGATATGGTTGTTTAAAAGTGTGTAGCACCTCCTGCTCCCTCTTTCTCCTGCTCCTGCCATGTAAGACAGTTTGCCTTCCCAGAAGCAGGTGCTGCCATGCTTCCTTACAGCCTGCAGAACCATGAGCCAATTAAACCTCTCTTCTTTATAAATTACCCAGTCTCAGGTATTTCTTTACAGCAGTATGAAAATGGACTAATACATAGAGTATGTACTCTCTTTTGTCTGGCTTTTTTCACTTTCACTTGGGCTGATTATTTTGAAACCGAGAGTCATCTGTGTTGGAGAATGTATCAATAGCTCATTCATTGTTTTGCTTTGTTTTTGTAAGCAGTATTCCATTGTATGGATAGAACACAGTTTGTTTACCCATTCACCTGTTGGTGCACATTTGGGTTGTCTCCAGTTTGGGCTATTACAAATAAAATTGTTTTGAATATTTGTATTTATGTCTTTGTATGAACATTTGTGTAATGGACTAAATGTTCGTGTCCTCAAATTCATGTCTTGAAATCCTAATTCCCAAAATGATAGTCCTAGGAGGTAGGGTATTTGGGAGGTAATTGGGCCTTGAGGGAGGAGCCCTCATTAATGGGATTAGTGCCCTTGTAAAAAGAACCCCTAAGAGTTCCTTGCTTTCTTTTTACCATGTGAAGGCAAAAGACAGCCATCTATGAACTAGAAAGTGGATCCTCACCAGGCACTGAATTATCTGGTACTTTGATCTTAGACTTTCTAGCCTCCAGAACTGTGAGAAATGAATGTTTGTTGTTTAAGCCATTCATGCTACAGTACTTTGCTGTAGCAATACAAACTGACACAGACAATGTGTTTTCCCTTCTCTTGGGTAAATATCCAGGAGTAAAATAGCTGGATCATATAGTATGTGCGTATTCAACTTTTTTTTTTTTTTTTTTTTTTTGAGACAGAGTCTCGCTCTGTCTCCCAGGCTGAAGTGCAATGGCACGATCTTGGCTCACTGAAATCTCTGCCTCCTGGGTTCAAGTGATTCTCCTGTCTCAGCCTCCCGAGTAGCTGGGACTACAGGCATGTGCCACCACACTGGGATAATTTTTTGTATTTTTAGTAAAGACAGGGTTTCACCATGTTAGCCAGGATGGTCTCGATCTCCTGACCTCGTGATCCACCGGCCTTGGCCTCCCAAAGTGCTGGGATTACAGGCATAAGCCACCATGCCCGGCCTGTATGTTCAACTTTTTAAGAAACTGCCAAACTGTTTTTCAAAGTGAAGCTACCATTTTACATTCCCACCAGCAGTGTTTGAGTTCAGATTCTTCCACATCTTTGTCAACACTTGGTAGTGTCAGTCTTTTTCACTTTAGCCACCCCACTGGGGGTTGTCCATAAAATCTGACAATCGGAATGTTCTGACCATCTTCAGAAAGCATCTCCATTGTAGGTATGGGGACACAAGCGAGACTGCAGTGGGCAGGGAGGCAGAAGTGAAGCAGGGGAGACCACGAGTGTAGGCTGTTTCACAGACCTTTGGCTATAAAGGAGTGCTCCAAATTTGTATGAAGATCAAGGTCACATATTCAAAACTGGACCACTCTAAATTGGAATTAGAACATTTTCAAGTTTATTAGTATCCTAGTTCACTGTGTGGGCAGTTAGGTGGAGCTTTACAGAACAAAAATTTGTTTTGAATTTTACCAAATCATAAGGCCACGTCACTTCTTGCGTAATATCTAAGCGTGAAGGTTGGGTAAAATTAGCTGGAACTTCTCACAGTCCATTAATAAAGCTTTAAATGTGACACATGTGTTGTTATCCTCTTCCAACAGGGCACACCCAGACAGAAGACAAAGAAGGCTGAAGAAGTAAGAGTGAGAAACCGAGAGGGTGAGCACCTGTCCCAGCTTTAGCACTGAAGGCGTTGCATCTGTGAGTGTGCGGGGCATGAGTTCTGCTTTAGTCAAAGACAAAACAAGAATCACGTCAAAAAAGCCTGAGGACTTGGATGGAGGAAAGATGTCACATGTTCTCTCATTAGTTTAGAAAATATTTCTTATTTCTTCCTGCCTGCCTCGGCCTCCCAAAGTGCTAGGATTACAGGGGTGAGCCACCACGTCTGGCCTCTCCCGGGGATTTTTATAGAACTATGTGACTACTTACTTCAGCCTCAGAACTCTCAGTATTGTATTGAAATGAGGTGCTTCTTCTAACGCAACAACTTTCCTCAACTTTGGCTGCACAATCAAATCATCCAGGAAATTAAAATTCCTGATATCCCTGACCAATCTGAGGCCCATCAAATCAGAATCTCTCCGGGCAATTCCAAATTGCAGCCAAGTTTTGATAGTCACTCTACTATAATAGATCATAAACACTTTGGGAGCAGGAATTTAGCCTTATTGATCTTGGTTACTCCTTTGCCAATACACTGCTGGTGTGGGACTGGCATAAGCACACTGACAAATGTTTCTTAAATTAGCTCCACCAGAAAGTGAGTTTATAACCTAGAAGGGGATAAAACAAACAAGCAATTTATTATTTACAAGGTTGTAATCAATGACCTAGAATAGATACAATGTAGTTGTGTCTTATTTGGGAGATGATGGGTAAGGAGAAAATTAAGAGTTTTTAATTTTTAATTTTTAAAAACTGGCACATAATAATTGTACATATTTGGGGAGTACATAGTGATGTTGCAATACATATAACATATGGTGATCTGATCAGGGTAATTAGCATATTCATCATCTTGAACATCATTTCTTTGTGTCGTGAGCACTCAATATCCTTCTACTAGCTATTTGAAACTATATATTATTGCTAAGTAGAGTCATTCTACAGTGCGATGAAACATTAGAACTTATTCCTCCTAGCTAGCTGAGCTGATTCAGGTTGTGAGCCAGCATCCCCACACAGCCCCAGTATACTCCTTGGGTGTTCTGCAAGTCCATCTGGGCCAGAAAGCGATGTCAACCTCAGAGTCCTTGTGAGATCCTCTGCAAGCCTGGATTTAGAGCACCCTCCAGTGCTGAGATGGCTTCAGTGGTCACAGGCTGAAGGAACTCAGCAGTCAGCTTAGAATTTTAGGAAAGCCCTCAGCAGAAGGACAGCCACAAACAAAGCCAGACTGCAAAGACTAAAATAAATACCTAATCCCTCAAAGCACAGACGTTGTCACGCATCCACAAAAAACAAGAACATTTAGGGAAATATGACCTCACCAAATGGACAAAATAAAGTTGCCAGTGACCAACCCTAAAGTGATGGAGATGTGTGATGAGGTAAATAATTCAAAATAGCTGTTTTAAGGAAGCTCAATAAACTTCAAGCAAACACAGAGTCAATTCAGAAATTTATCAGACAAATTTAACAGAGATTGAAATACTTAAAAAAATTAAACATAAACCTTAGAACTGAAAAATACAATGAATGAAATGAAAAATGCAATAGAGAGCATCAACAGCAGAACTGATCAAACAGAATAAAGAATCAGATCAAAGAGACCGTTATAAAATATGCAGGAGAAAAACGAAAATGAATGAAAAGGAAGGAAGCTAGCTCATGGAATCTTCGGGACAACATCAAAAGAACAAATATTTGGGTTATTGGTGTTAAAGAAGGAACTGAGAAAGACAAAGGAGTCAAAATCTTATTCAAAGAAATGATAACGGAAAACTTTTTTTTTTTTGAGATGGAGTCTTGCTCTGTCACCCAGGTTGCAACCTTTGCCTCCCGGGTTCGAGCAATTCTCCCTGCTTCAGCCTCCAGAGTAGCTGGGATTACAGGTGCCTGCCACCACACCTGGCTACTTTTTGTATGTTTTAGTAGAAATGGGGTTTTGCCATGTTGGCCAGGCTGGTCTTGAGCTTCTGACCTCAGATGATCTTCCCACCTTGGCCTCTCAAAGTGCTGGGATTACAGGCATGAGCCACTGTACCTGGCCTGATAACAGAAAACTTTCTAAACCTGGAGAAAGTTATAAATAGAAACCCATAAATCCACACACAGCCAACTCATTTTTGACAAAGGTGTCAAGAACATACACTGGGGAAAGGACAGTCTCTTTAATAAATGATGCTGGGAAAATTCAATATCCATAAGCAAAAGAGTGAAGCAAGATCCCCATCTTTCATCATATACAAAAATCAACCTAAATGAATTAAAGACTTCTGAATGTGGAAAAAAATAATTAATGTGCTTTTTCCTATTTTCTCACTCAATAATACAACAACAATCAATACAGGAGTCTTCCGTGACCCCAAAATATGTGGGGATTTCTCCCCGCCAGGAAGCAAGCAATTAATTCTGCAGTGAACACCAGCTGAGTGTTCTCCAATTTAATTCCGACACTATCTACCTAGTGATAATGTCAGATCCCACAGGTTGAGGGCTCATTCCCCAAGACAACCTCCAGCCTTCAGACACCAGTAGCAGGTTCAGGACTCTGAAAATTCTAACTGACCAGCTTCAAGTTGGAGTTCCCATGACCCTGTCTTTGGATTTGACTAATTTACTAGAGTGGCTCACATATCTCAGCCATACACCTACTTATGTTTACCAGTTTATTACAAAGGATATTTTAAAGAATACAAATAAATAGCCAGATGAAGAGATGCATAGGACAAGGTCTGAAAAGGTCTGGAGTGCAGGAGCTTCTGATCCATGGAGTTGAGGTGTGCCATCCTTACAGCACATGAATGAATTCTTGTTTACCTTCCTGTCAGCCTCCATGTGTTCAGCTCTCTGGAAGGCCCCCAAACCCAGTCCTCTTGAGCCTTTTATGGAGACTTTGTTGGATAGGCATGATTGAAACATGGACATCCATGTCAAAATGTGATTGGACAAAACAGGTATGATTCAATACTAATAGACTGATTGGGGAAACCCAGAAAGGCCTGTCTGTTCACGTCGTTCTGTCCTCTCTGTGCAGCACTTTTTTCCTTTAGGGTATGGGGCAGGACACTCTCGCAAATGAGGCTCTTAGGGCCCACAACCAGACTAGGGTCCTGCCTTGGGCAGGTCAAAGGAGGACAGGAGAATGTTAGAGAGAGAGAGAGAGAGATTCTGTTTTCCAATTCCTACTTCCAATGCCTGGCCTACAGTGCCCCAACATTATAACAAAATTCTGTCCGTGGAAGTTATGAGATAGGAATTGTGGATAAAAACCTACAAACACACACACACACACACACACACACACAATCACACACACATAGAGGCTGGCAGCCATAGGAAGCAGCTGTGAGAGTCTTTGTTTCTGTTCCTGAGTCCATTTAACCTTAAGGGTGGCTCTAGTTCTGTCCCCATTCTAAAAGCATTTCATTATCTCCCAATTATAAAGGACTTTTTTCCTCCCAAAGCTGTTTGCTGGTACAAGGAAACAGAATAATATACACTATATGTATGTATGTATTTAAGATAGGATCTCACTGTATCATCCAGACCAGAGTGCAGTGGCACAATCACAGCTCACTGCAGCCTCGACCTTCCAGACTCGGGTGATCCTTCCACCTTAGCCTTCCAAGCAGTTGGGACTACAGGCACATGCCACCATGCCCTGGTGATGAATATCTCAGTTACCCTATTTGATAATTACACATTGTACATATTTGTACACATTACAAATTATCACATGTACCCCAAAAATATGTACAACTGATATGAATCAGTTTTTAAAATACACTTTTGCTAAATAAATAAAATAGCAATGGAAACTTGAAGAGGAAGATGAGGTCTCAGAGGATGTGCTGTCTGAATTAATTCCAGAGGTCTCTGTAAATGAATTGTGCACCAGCTGATTGAAATATGAGGCTGGTGCTCAGGAGAAAGGTAAGGTC
The DNA here is from genome assembly GCF_000001405.40 of Homo sapiens. Taxonomy (NCBI): domain Eukaryota; kingdom Metazoa; phylum Chordata; class Mammalia; order Primates; family Hominidae; genus Homo; species Homo sapiens. The sequence continues at coordinate 46,482,372 of NC_000013.11, read as the reverse complement.
TTGATAAGCAAGCAGGGATGTGGTCTGCATAGGGAAGAGAAATAAGGAAGTGGATGTCAATATTAAAGAGAAACTATGGAACAACAAAAGAAGCAAGAATGACTGAACGTTGAAGAAGCCTCTGCATGTAAAGAGCCAGAAACGGAGAGAGAAACAGCGTAATGTGAGATCTAGAAAGAGCAGCTGTGGGAGAAAGACTGTGATGCTGAAATATCTGAAGAAGGTGTGACTGAGTCTTGAACCTTGACAGACAATAGGGTTGCCTAGGAGAAGGGTATGGGATGAGTAGATTTCATGGACTTCAAAAGAGCAGGAAGATAAGGAGGTGTTGATGGCATCTACCTCTTCTTCCCCTTGGTTCCTAACCTTCTCCCATGCCTTTCCTGCCCCTCTCTGACCCAATTGCTCTATCCGGCCAATGTATGGACATGGCAGCAGCAGGAATAAGTAGACAGATGTTAGGAGAATGGATGCAGGTTCTCTCTAGCCCATGGAAGCATAAGCTTTAATTACCCTGTCTCTGACTCAACTCTTCTCATGCTTATCAGTAGCGTAGCTGAGATCATTGAACATTCTCTGTTACAGTGCCTATTTTATCTAGAGCCAGCCTTCATAAACAAGTTGGCAGCTATCTATTAGAGATGGAATTTCCAGTAACCCTCCTTGACTGTTAGCCGATGTCTGCCATTCCACTATCAAAGCTTCATTTTGTTGGTCTAAAGCTTTGTTTCCTTTTGGGTTCCAGATTCCACTGGGAGAACACACACATGCATCTGCTATCAGTACATAATTTTGTTACAGAATTTATTATCATGGTTCTTTACTTTGTTGTCCATCTCCTTGACTAGCCCATGCATTAATCTGAAGCCATAAGCTGTGTTTTATTTACTTCCGAGCCCCCAGTCCTTAGCATGGCCCCTGAGTGTGTTGGAGCCAGCATGCACTGGCTTGCCAGGGTGGACCGTGCTCATCTCTTTCCAATTCTGTGATATCATGTTGATGGCTTGACATCAACGTGATCAGTTGCAGTGGGAGTATTTGCATCACAGATCTTGGCAAGTACAGCCTTTTTCAGGCCTTTTTCCTCTGGAGGTTCATCTACGACCACACTGCTGCATGTTCTTTTAAACTTAAGCAACTTATTTTTCCTAACTATTGAACTTCTGGGACTATAGTAGGTTTCAAAGTGATACTACTGTGTATTAGTCTGTTCTCACACTGCTAATAAAGACATACCCGAGACTGGGTAATTTATAAAGAAAAGAGATTTAATGGGCTCACAGTTCCACATGGCTGGGGAGGCCTCACAATCATGGCGGGAGGCAAAGGAGGAGTAAAGTCACATCTTGCATGGTGACAGGCACGAAGGCATGTGCAGGGAACTCCCCTTTATAAAACCATCAGATATTGTGAGACTTACTCAATATCACGAGAACAGCACAGGAAAGACTCACCCCCATGATTCAATTATCTCCCACCAGTTTCCTCCCATGACACGTGGGAATTGTGGAAGCTACAATTCAGGATGAGATTTGGGTGGGGACACAGCCAAACCATATCATACTGTAAAATAATAATAATGGGTTCTTAAATTTCCTTAATGCTTTACAGCTTCCTCCTTTGACCTCTCAACAAAGCTGTGAGGTAGGCCAGGAAGACTGTCGAGCCATCTGGGTTAGTGGTGAGCTTGCCAGGGATGTGATCAAGGAACTCTGCAGGGTGGCATGGAGGGAGAAATAGGGAGGATTTTCTCCCTGTGTCTCATGGAGTAGTCCTGTTCATGAACTTGGAATCATCCTCTTTGCCCCTTTTCTGAACTGCTTTTAGCTTTTGAAGACTAAGGACCAGAACTAGCTGCAGTATTGGGCTAAGCAGCCATCCCCAGGATGCAGACGTAAATAGCCAAGGGCTACTTTTAAATATGTAGAAGAGCAGTTTGTGAGGTAAGCTGTGAGAGACCACCAGCCTTATCTTGCTTGATTCTGTGGCTTTTTGTAGTCAGTATCCTAGAGGATCTTATCGGGTGAATCTAAAAGTAAGACTGCTGACAAAGAGAGTATGTTTCAAACTTAGCCTGGAGGCTGAAGAGCTTTTCCCCATCCTGCCCGTCTCTGTCTCCAAAGAGCCTCAGGATAATTGGAATATGGTAGCATGCTAAGCCAAGATGAGAGAATCCAGTAGCATTCCCCAGCAAGGAGGATGTTTTGATGTGTTTTAAGCATAACGTTGTACATCATGGCGAAAGCTCTAAACCGGAGATCTGAGGCTTCTTTGGAGAAAAAGCAATTAGCTTAGGAAATGTAATCATGTCTTAAGTGGAGAATATTCTGGCTCTGTGGCCTGGCTCTGACTTCTGACATGTTCCTAGGACCAAGCCCCAGGTTTGCTCTACTGGAATCATGTTCTCTGGTGGGTTCTGCCAAGCCTGGACCCTGCTTTGATAACAGGTCAGGTATCTCAGCCGCTGGGCCAGGAATGCCACAGTAGTTTCAGTCTTCCCAGGTGGCTGGATTCCTGGCCCTGGGCTGTGTTGAACAGCTACATCCTAATTGCAGGCCTCATCTCTGCTTCTTTTCTGCACTTGGAACTCTCTTCAGGCTGCCCATAACATCTCATCTAATGCTCTTCCTGCTTGCTCCTTCTCCAGAAAAACACTTATCATTCTTGAGTACTGCCCCCTCCCCAAGCCATTCTATATTTTTCTTGATAGTACTATGTGAAACTACCCTTTTAGTTGTCCAATTACTTATTTACCATCTGTCTCTCCTGCTTCTTTGCTAATTACTAGAATATAGACTCCAGGAAGACAGGGACTGTTTTGTTTACACTGGATTTCCAATACCTAGGATAGTATCTGACCCACAGATAGTATCTGACCCACAGTAAGCTCTCAAGGAAGTATTCAAATGAATGCATACATGCATAAAGCCTTAGGCTACACTGTTCTGTCTTTACTCTGTCATTTCTCTAACTGCCTTCACCTGGGACCCTAGTGCCGCTGCCATCACAGTAGGTCTGTTTTACTCCTAGTCCCCATCTGTCTTTCCACTCCCCAGCTCAACTGGGCTTATGCCAGGAGACTCAGCATCAAATCTCTGGAGTTCTAAGTTTCCCTTCTGAGAACTTGCAATCTCCATAACTGTCCAGATCTCTGTTTACCTGCCTGGTCTTGACATCTAGCCTTGCTCTTATTGCCAGTAGCTCTGCCTACTTGACACTTGATTCCCACTATGAGCTCTGGTCTCCCTGGTCTGCCTTGTGTCTTCTTTTTCCTAATCGTGCTCCCCCAACTTTTGTCCATCCCTTCATATTTCAGCTCCTGCCCTTGCTGCCTATGGTGCCAGGACTTTCATGGAGAAGCCAGCATCAAGGCTGGTGGCTCCCTCAGCTTCTAATCCTAAATATGAAGGACTTTCAGGGATACCAAAGTGAGAGACTCACTCTAGTGAAACCCAGAGTGTGTCAGTCACTAAATATTCAATGGTGCCCAAGTCTCATCTTTGAGAGAATGTTTATCTTTCTAGGGATGATTAATGTAGCCATTTATCTCATTTAAAAAATTGTGAAATAAAACATGCACTCGTAAAAAATGCATAAAACAGATGTTTTGTTTAGTGAATAATTATATCACAAACTCCCTGTCTTAGGCTTTTTTGTGCTGCTATCCACAATATCTGACTAGGCAAAAAAGAGAGTTTATTTCTCTGTTATGGAAACTGAGAAGTCCAAGATCGAGGTGCCAGCATCTGGTGTCTGGTGAGAGCCTTCTTGTCAGGTTCTCAGATAGCCTGGCTCTGGTGTCTGTGCACTTAACCCCTGTGCTATGGTAATTGGCTAGATACCGCATTCTCACATGGTGGAAGGTGGAAGGGCAAGCAGGGTCCAACAATTTGTCCTCATGTCCCAAAACAGTAAAAGAGAGTGAACCCATTCCTGCAAACCTCTTTTGTAAGGGCCTTGATGAGGGTGGAGCCTCATGACCTAAACACCTCCCAAAGGCCCCACCTCCTAATACTGTTGCACTTGGGATTACATTTTCAACACCATTTCTGGAGACGCATTCAGACCACACGACACTTTATATAACTACCACCCAGATTAAGAAATATAACATTACCAATGATACAGGAGTTAAGAAGAAATTACTTAGGCCAGGCGCGGTGGCTCACGCGTGTAACCCCGGCACTTTGGGAGGCCAAGGCAGGCGGATCACGAGGTCAGGAGATGGAGACCATCCTGGCTAACACGGTGAAACCCCGTCTCTACTAAAAATACAAAAAAAAAATTAACCGGGCGTGGTGGCGGGCACCTGTAGTCCCAACTACTCCGGAGGCTGAGGGAGGAGAATGGCGTGAACCCGGGAGGCGGAGCTTGCAGTGAGCTGAGATGGCGCCACTGCACTCCAGCCTGGGCGACAGAGTGAGACTCCATCTCAAAAAAAAAAAATAAATTACTTAGGCAGATAGTGAGGAGTACAGAAGTCCTCAGTAAGGTTTTCCTTTTAATGAAAAGCAGCCCCAAATTATTTTCCTTTCTAACAAAGAGCAGCCTGTAAAATTGAGCTGCAGACATAGATCCTGGCAGTTGTGCCAGTCATGTTCAAGATGGCAGCACCATCTTCCCTTCTCTTTGTCAGCCATGTGGACAGTAAGGAGCAGACAAGATGGCGCCACAAAGGGGAAAGTTCATTTGCGTAATAAGATTAGGATGGGGAGGCCAGCCTTCCCCTCTCGATATGTAAACGTCATACCTGATGGAACCAATCTGTGTGCCCTGTGTAAATCAGACACTGCCTCCTCAAACCTGACTATACATACAATTCGGATCATCTGCCACTGGCCAGTCTTTCTTCTTGGAAGGCCCCTCTCTCTCTCACTGGAGAAAGAGCTGTTTTCCTTTCTCTTTCTTTTGCCTATTAAACCTCTGCTCCTAAACTCCTCGTGTGTGTCCGTGTCCTAAATTTTCCTGGCTGAGATGACGAACCCCGGATATTTACCCCAGACAACGTAGCCACTTCAGCAGCGATCCAGAACTCCCCTTGTGTTTCCACTCAATCGCAGCCTGTTCCCACCCTATCCCTAATGGGAACCACTATGCTGAATTCTGTGCTTATTTCTTTATTTTTCTTCGTGCTGGTACCACTTATCACTCTCTCGCTCTAAAAAATAGATTTGGATATTGTCTATTTTGAATTTCATGTAAATGGAAACAAACTCTATGTATCTTCTTATTTCTACTTCTTTGATGGAAACTCATCATTTTTTATGAGAGTGTTGTTTTCAAAAGACATTCTCTTTCTTTGTCATTCTGCCTGTACCATCAGGATCTAGCAAAAATCATTATTGCTAAATTTATCCTTTTCTCATCCCAGGTTTTCTCGGAACGTGACTTGCAGTTTCCAGACAGGGTTTACTACTATGTTTTCCAGATTGCTTTATACTAAATCCAGTTTCAGTGTGCAGGCCCTCACCCCCTCCTAGCTGCCTACCACCCATCCCCTCCACCAAAGAAGGCGCACAAGATGCTTCCTTATCTCCTCTTTTGCACGTTAATAATAGAGATCCAGGCCAGGCACGGTGGCTCACGCCTGTAATCCCAGCACTTTAGGAGGCTGAGGCAGGCAGATCACCTGAGGTCAGGAGTTCAAGACCAGCCTGACCAACATGGAGAAACCCCATCTCTACCAAAAATACAAAATTAGCCGGATGTGGTGGTGCATGCCTGTAATCCCAGGCACCCGGGAGGCTGAGGCAGGAGAATCGCTTGAACCTGGGAGGCAGAGGTTGCAATGAGCCGAGATTATGCCATTGCACTCCAGCCTGGGCAACAAGAGTGAAACTGTATGTCAAAAATCATTATAATAGAGATCAAAATGCTCAGTGACTTGCATTGAAACCTAATATGTGAAGATGCAAGTTCTTGTTCTGTAGAAAAATAGAAGAATTGCTGAGGCTTTTGCCCTGACACAGGAAAAAGAATGTTGAAGAGTTGCCAGTCTTGGATAAAAATGATTCATGTGTCCAGGCAGGGCACGTGTCTGTAGTCCCACCTACTCAGGAGGCTGAAGTGGGAGGATTGCTTGAGCCCAGGAGTTTGAGTCCAGCCCAGGCAACATAGCGAGACCTTATCTCAAAAAAACAAAAACAAAAACAAACAAACAAAAAAAGATTGATGTGGAGTAGCTAACCACTAATTTGTTGTAAAGAGAAGCTTTTAGAGTTTTCGAACAGGAATAAACTAGTACATTTTAAAGTACTTCAATTCTAGAGTGCATTCATATCACTTAAAAATATTGAGATAGTCTAATTCTAGTATTCAAGAAAAATAGTGATCTGAATATGTCTTTTGATTCAAGCTGAATCTTTCAGTAAGTGTATCTGTGCAGTTCTATTTATGTTGCACAGTTTTGTAAATAGGGCCTGAGTGCATTCTCTGGGTGAAATGAGTCATGAAAGCGGTGCTTCATGTTGCTGCTGTTCCAATGTTGGCTTTCCGAGTCACGGGTGTCATCACTAATTTATATGCGGGAGGATGATCATTCTGAGGCAAAGAATAAAAAACAAAGCCAAACAAAAACAACAACAAAAAAGTCTTCTCTTTTTGGCAATCAAGTCAGAAGCTTCCATGTGGTTCTCAGAAATTGCATAAATCCACCCACTGTTCTGAGCTCATTCATACTCTGCACTAGAGCCATTTGGCATGCGGTGTAGTCATTGCAAAGGGCTGTATCAGCAGGTTCTAGTTCTTATCCATGCTCCCGGTTGCTGGTGTCTGAACAGGTGTGGGTGTGTACTCTTGCACCTGTGAGTAATGTCTTTAACAAATCTAATCTCACTGGTACCTTTGGATAGGGGGATCGTCTCTAAATACTCACTATTACTTTCAAGAATAAATACCTGAAGCCCAGGACTTTCCGGCTCATATGCACATCTCAGTTGCCTCTGTTTCTACCTTTTGCACAGCCAAATGTTTTCTTGCCAGTAAGAGGGAGAAGGAAAATACAAGAATAACCTTCACACAACCATCTGAAAGATGTCAACTGTATGAAACAAGAGGAAACAAAGCATGCAGCTTATGACATTGTGGGGCCCAGGCCAACTTTGTGTCAGGACCTTTCCTTCCTGGAGAGGGGGCCCTTGGAGTGGCTCTTTGCTTAGGGAGTTAGGTGGCTACAAAAAGCAGCTGAAAGTTGTTTGGGGAATCCACCCAGAGACAAAGTCCCACAGAGTTTGGAAAGCCATACACAATATAATTTATTGTAAAAATACTCTTTAAAGAATCAGTGCAGAGGAGTTCATTTTTCAGCTAATTTTATCGGTGTAACTCGGGAACACACCCCAAGTGGGACTGTGAAGTGAGTTCTCTTCTGTCCTCTCCTTGACTGTCATCATATTAAAAACTAAAAATGCTAGCAGGAGGCTAGGTAATTTAGATGTTCTTCCTTGTCCCCTCCTGCCCCCTCCTTAACCTCCTCCCAAATAGTTCCACTTCATTTCTATTAACTCTCATTGAAATCTAGTCCATATACATCCTACCCCATCACAATGTAGTGGGGCTAGATGTTTTGTAGAAGGATGCTGCAATGTTTACAGTTACTAGTGTTTTACAGTCAATTATTTTATTTTATTTAATTAATTTATTTATTTATTTTGAGACAGAGTCTCACTCTGTCACCCAGGCTGAAGTGCAGTGGTGTGATCTCAGCTCACTGCAACCTCTGCCTCCCAGGTTCAAGCGATTCTTCTGCCTCAGACTCCTGAGCAGCTGGGATTACCGGCACCCGCCACCATGCCTGGCTAATTTTTTGTATCTTTAGTAGAGACAGGGTTTCACCATGTTGGTCAGGCTGGTCTTGAACGCCTGACCTCATGATCCACCTGCCTCGGCCTCCCAAAGTGCTGGGATTACAGGAGTGAGCCACTGCGCCTGGCATACAGTCAATTATTTTTATCCTCAATCTGCCTTAATCTGTTTCTGCTGCTATAACAAAAATACCTTAGACTGGGTGATGTATAAACAATAGAAATTTATTGCTCACAATTCTGGAGGCTGGGAAGTCCGAGATCAAGGTGCCGGCAGATTTGCTGTCTGGCGAAGGCTCACTTTCTGCTTCAAAGATGGTGCCTTGTTGCTGCCTCCTCACATGGTGGAAGGGGAGGAAGGACCATGCAGGCTCCCTCAAGCCTTTTTATAAGGCACTAATTCCATCTGTGAGAGCAGAGCCCTCATGACCTAATTGCCTTCTAAAGGCCCCACCTCTTAACTGTCACATCAGGATTAAGTTTCAACATGAAGTTTGGAGAAATACATACATTCAAACCATAGCATCAGCATTCCATGAATACCATAGATTCTGAGACTAGCAGTAAGCAGAAGGTCTCTCATAAACCCACCCCTCAAGGGCCAGGCAGAGCTGACAGCTGTGGGTGGGGTTAAGGGTCTGTAGGGGTGAGTGTCAGTAGGAAATAGGCTAGTGAGTGTGGCTGGCTTAGGGCAAAACTATGCAACAATATTTTTTTTCGTAAGACACGGTCTCACTCTGTCACCCAGGCTGGAGTACGGTGCCATGATCTCAGCTCACTGCAGCCTCCCCCTCCTGAGTTTAGGTGATTCTCCCACCTCAGCCTCCCAAGTAGCTGAGACTACAGGCACACACCATCACGCCCAACTAAGTTTTGTATTTTTTGGTAGAGACCAGGTTTCACCGTGTTGGCCAGGCTGGTCTCAAACTCCTGACCTCAAGTGATCTGCCCACCCTGGCCTCCCAAAGTGCTGAGATGACAGGTGTGAGCCACCACATGCAGCCCAGCCCTATGCAACTTTTTTTTTCTTTTTTTTTTTTTTTGATACAGCGTCTCACTCTGTTGCCAGGCTGGAGTGCAGTGGTGTGATCTCGGCTCACTGCAACCTCTGCCTCCTGGGTACAAGCGATTCTCCAGCCTCAGCCTCCCAAATAGGTGGGACTACAGGTGCGTGCCACCAGGCCCAGCTAGTTTTTGTATTTTCAGTAGAGACAGGGTTTCACCATATTGGCCAGGCTGATCTCGCACTCCTGACCTCGTGATCTGCCTGCCTCGACCTCCCAAAGTGTTGGGATTACAGGCGTGAGCCACCGTGCCTGGCCCCTATGCAACATTTTTGATGAAAAAAAACTCAACTGACTTTTGAAGATAAAAGGAAGAGCCAGGTATGTTTGGATTTATATGAAGAGTTTACATTTAAATTGATTTGAAAATTCCTTTCATTCAACAATTAAATACAGATTTCATCTCTAATAAGAATTCATTTGTCTACAACTCAGAGTGGCCAAAGGAAATAGCAACACAGAGAACTTAGTCTATTGAATGAACAAATAACTCATTCACCAACAAGGCTGCTACCTCTTAGGATCTGCTGGGAACATGTGAGTGAAAAACTAAATGTAGGAATCAAGGTAAAACTTACTGTTTATCACCATAGGCAAACACATCAGTCACTGCATCATCTATCTCCTTCAAGTTGTGAACCAAAACATATCTGATACAGGTCTCAATCCATTTAGAGATAAATTGCCCAAGGTTAAGTATATGCAGCTGAGAGGCAGGTCTGTGCCTTTCTCCAGAGATGATTTTGAGGGCTTTAATATTTAAAGGGGAAAGAGCGGATACTGGGGAAAGAGGAAGAAATGTTTACAAGGTGTGGAAAGATACGAGACAAATGGTTGCATTCTTTTGAGTCTTTGATCAGCCTTTCACCAAATACGCAATTTACACGTGAGAGGAGGGTAAAGGAGTAGTCACTTACGCCTTAGTCTAGCTCAGTGAATGTGCATTTTTACAGAGGAAGCAATCAGATATGCATTTGTCTTAGGTGAGTACAGAGGGATGACTTAGAGCTCTGTCCTTTGTCCTGTACCTGTGAAGATAAGCTATCAGTTTACATTGTCAGGGTAAAATTCAACAGAACTGTTTTAGGGTAAAGATCTTGGGGCCCACAAGGAATTTCCTGATGAACAAATTGTGAGGGAGGTATGTAGCCTTTTAAAAAATCTTGGCCTGGTGTGGTGGCTCATGCCTATAATCCCAGCACTTTGGGAGGCTGAGGTGGGTGGATCACATGAGGCCAGGAGTTCGAGACCAGCCTGGCCAACATGGCAAAGCCCTGTCTCTACTAAAAACCCAAAAATTAGCCAGGCGTGGTGGTGCGTGCCTGTCATCCCAGCTACTCAGGAGGCTGAGGCAGGAGAATTGCTTGAACCCAGGAGGCGTAGGTTGCCGTGAGTGGATATTGTGCCATTGGACTCCAGCGTGGGCAACAAGAGTGAAACTCCATCTCAAAAAAAAACAAAAAAAAAATCTTTGGGCCGGGTGGGATGGCTCACATCTGTAATCCTAGCACACTGGGAGGCCAAGGTGAGCAGATCACTTGAGATCAGGAGTTCAAGACCAGCCTGGCCAACAAGGTGAAACCCTGTCTCTACTAAAAATACAAAAAATTAGCCAGACATGGTGGCAGGCGCCTGTAGTCCCAGCTACTCGGGAGGCTGAGGCAGGAGAATCGCTTGAACCTGGGATGCAGAGGTTGCAGTGAGCTGAGATTATGCCACTGCACTCCAGCCTGGGTGACAGAACGAGACTCCATCTTAAAATAAATAAATAAATAAATAAATAAATAAATAAATAAATAAATCTTTGTAGCTGTCTTATTTAGGAATAAAATGGGAGGCAGGTTTGCATGACACAGTTCCCAGCTTGGCTTTTTCCTTTGGCTTAGTGATGTTGGGGTTCCAAGATTTATTTTCCTTTCACAAAGCCAAATTTTAAAGGTCACGATAGAAATGGAGACTAAAGTTATTTGCTGTCATTCTTTATACATCTGACACTTCTAGTATCTAAACCATTAATGTATCCCTTGGTTTCCAACTATATAAATAGAACTTGGCCCACTCTTTTGTATAAAAAGTGAATCGTACCCCTGGCATATGTGGTGGAATGGTAATTTTATTAAGCAGTGAGTGTTGGTTAAATAAATTGTGGATCAGCCATATTATGGACTATTACACAGTCATTCAAAATCAGGTTTTTTGAAAGACATTTAGTGATTATAAAGCTGCTGATGCTATAATGTTGTTTCTAAAAGCTAGATATTTGATAAGATGATTTTTTTAATATGCGTATGTGTAACATATATACTGTGCATCCATATATGCAAAAAAGACTAAAAGAAAATATACCAAAATATTAATAATGGTTATAAGTTTTAGGATTATATATGATTTAGACATTTAGAATATTTTTCCATCCCAACTATTGTACAATGCACATATTATATTTAGTATAGAAAAAAAAATGTTGTTTAAGAATTGCTATCACTCCCAAAGTGTCTAATCTATTTTCTGGAACATTACCAAAAGATGAACATTAAATTAGACGTTGATAATGTCAGGAAGACAAATTTGATCATTTTGCAAACTATTTACTTTGGTTCCCTGGCCACATGCTACCCCAAATCTGCAGAGCTGTCCCTAAAACAAAAGACACAGATAACTGCTGGTGAAGCAGCTTGAAGTCGTTGTCTTTTTTTTTTTTTTTTTTTTTTGAGACAGAGTCTCACTTTGTTGCCCAGGCTGGATGGAGTGCAGTGGTGTGATCTCGGCTCACTGCAGTCTCCAACTCCAAGGTTCAAGCAATTCTCCTGCCTCAGCTTCCCAAGTAGTTGGGATCACAGGTGCCGCCACCACACCTGGCTAATTTTTGTATTTTTAGTAGAGACAGGGTTTCACCATGTTGGCCAGCCTGGTCTCGAACTCTGGGCCTCAGGTGATCTACCCACCTCAGCTTCCCAAAGTGCTGAGATTACAGGCATGAGCCACCACACCCGGCCTGAAGACCTTGTCTTTTCTTTTCTTTTTTTTTTTTTTTGAAACGGAGTCTCACTCTGTCACCCAGGCTGGAGTGCAGTGGCACGATCTCTGCTCACTGCAACCTCTGCTTCCCGGGTTCAAGTGATTCTCCTGCCTCAGCCTCATGAGTAGCTGGGATTACAGGCACCCGCCACCACGCCCAGCTAATTTTTTGTAATTTTAGTAGAGACGGGGTTTCACCACGTTAAGCAGGATGGTCTCGATCTCCTGACCTTGTGATCTGCCTGCCTCGGCCTCCCAAAGTGCTGGGATTACAGGCCCGGCCCAAGCCCTTGTCTTTTTTTTGTTTTGTTTTTAGCCTGGAGGGCAGTGGCGCGATCTCGGCTTACTGCAAGCTCTGCCTCCCAGGTTCACGCCATTCTCCTGCCTTAGCCTCCCGAGTAGCTGGGACTACAGGTGCCCGCCACTACGCCCAGCTAATTTTTTATATTGTTTTAGTAGAGATGGGGTTTCACTGTGTTAGTCAGGATGGTCTCGATCTCCTGACCTCGTGATCCGGCTGCCTCGGCCTCCCAGAATGCTGGGATTACAAGCGTGAGTCACCCACCGCGCCCGGCCCCAAGCCCTTGTCTTTTAATGGGTCAATTGCATCATCCTCACCTATGAATGACAGCACTGGAAATGGTGACTCCATGGGTAAATACATGGTTTTATTTTTCCTTTTCTTTTCTTTTTTTTGAGATGGTGTCTCTCTATGTTGCCTAGCCTGGTCTCGAACTCCTGGGCTCAAGTGATCCTCCTGCCTCAGCCTCCCAAAGTGCTAAGATTACTGGTGTGAGCCACCATGCCGGTCCAGCAATCCATGGTTCCATATAGGTGAATAGGAAGACTTTCTTTCTTATTATTTAGATATCTTTGAAAGATAATCAGTAGTTTAAAGCAAAATTAGCTCCATACTAAATATTCATACTAGCTATTTTAATTTTTATAATTATACTATTGAAGTGGATACTCTTATGCAGACTTTACAAATGAACAAACTGAAGTTTAGAGATTCTAAATATTCTAAATAAATAGGTCATATAGGCATATCATTATACTGTCTATTGCTCAATGCCCTTGACAGTGCACAGTTCCTTGGCTAAAAGTATGTGGAAGCAGGGAAAAATGAATCCAGCAATTACTATATTTAGCTGCTTTTACAAATGCCTCTTGGTTAAAAAAAAAAAAAAAAAGACATTCATTGGTAGACATTACCACATTGCCAAGTCACTCATAAATCTAAGTACGAAAGTCAGTAAAAAAGGATGATGTTATCTGATTCACTGAAAGGGAAATAAGCTGAGATCTGCTGCGTTAGGACAAAGGCCAGCTGGGCTTTATGAGAATTCAGATGGCAAGGAACAAGCTTTTTATGGCAATGACAGAGGGAGAAGGGAACAATATTATAAGGAAGAATCTTTGTGGTTCAAACAGATTATGTGGTTTATTATTTTCATTTAGATTAGGGAAAAAATCAGTGGGCACAGAATAAATAGCAACTGCCTCTTTCCCCCTCCCCAGCAAGCAGAATATTGATTTCCTCTTTGAGGAAAGGACACATTAAAAAGAATACTCTTGAGATGATAAATATGCTAATTAATGTGATCTAATCCCTATACATTATGTATATGGAAACACCACTATGTACCCCATGAATGTGTACAATTATTGTCAATTTAAAAATACAATTTTAAAAACACTCATTTTATTTTTTTAAATTAATTGTTCTTATTTTAAAAATTATTATTTTTTAGGGATGGGATCTCACTGCATTGCTCAGGCTGGTCTCAAACTCCTGGGCTCAAGCAATCTTCCTGCCTTAGCTTCCCAAAGTTCTGGGATTACAGGCATGAGCCACCACTCCCAGCCAAAAAAAAAAATACTCATTTAAAGCTGCACAAGTTTGATGGCACAAGTCTGTATAACTGGACCTGTGCCTTTATAAAACCTCAAACACTGCAAAGGTTCATGAAACAATGTATATCTATTCTTCTTATTCACTGTCATCAATGCTGACCAGGGAAAATTGCACAGGTGCACGTGTGTGTGTGTGTGTGTAGGGCTAGTGAAGCAGGCAACTACCAGAGATACATTATTAAAAAGCTAACATTTATTGGCCAGGCGCGGTGGCTTACGTCTGTAATCCCAGCACTCTCACGGGTGGTGCCTCCCCGGCAATGGGGGTCCCAAGATCCAGGGGGGGAAAAGGGGATGGCTCTCAGCCACCACAAAATGGGGGGCCTTTATGTTCAGGTTTTGCCCAAGAGTCAGCTTATTTGCTTCTTGTACTAGCAGGGCAGTTGCTGCCAAGGCCTCAAACAGGGGAGCCATCCTTCAGAAACCCTGTCTAGTTGTTCAGAGACGTAGGCCACCGGCCTCAGCCAGGGCCCCACAGTTTGGGTTAAAAGTCCAGCTGCCATCTTTTCTCTCTCTAACGCATACAATGGAAAAGGCTTTGTCAGATCGGGTAGCCCCAGGGCTGGGGCTGCCAGAAGTTTTTCCTTTAAGTCATGAAAGACTTGCTGTTCTTGGATCCCCATTCCAAAGGTTCCGGTCCCCGCCCCCTTTGTGACCTCATACAAAGGCTTGGCTAATACTGCAAAGTTTGGGATCCACAGTCTACAAAACCCCACATCCCCTGAGAATTCTCTCGCCTGCCTTAGGCACTTAGGCTCCGGGAGATTGCAAATAACCTGCTTTCTTTCTGTTCCCGGGCTGCGTTCGGACTCCTGTCAGATAGTAAATCCTAAGTAAGGTACCTGCCATCGGCAGATTTGAGCTTTCTTCTTGGACACCTAATACCCACAGTCCTCCAAGTGGGTCCTAAGGTTCTTAGGATCCGCGATGGGGGTCCTATGCCGGGGGGGACGAGGGGCTGGCTCTCAGTCCCTGCCTCGTTGGGGGTGCCTCCCACCCCTGCGATTGGTGTCCTAAGAGCCAGGGGGAGAAGAGGGGCTGGCTCTCAGTCCCCGCCTCGTGGGGGGTGTCTCCCCCCCTGCGATGGGGGTCCTAAGAGCCGGGGGCAGAATAGGGGCTGCCTCTGCGTCCCTGCCTCGTGGGGGGTGCCTCCCCCTCCTGGGATGGGGGCCCTAAGAGCCAGAGGGGGAAGAGGGGCTGGCTCTCAGTCCCTGCCTCGTGGGGGGTTGCCTCCCCCCCTGCGATGGGGTTCCTAAGAGCCTGTGGCGGATGAGGGGCTGGCTCTCAGTCCCCGCCTCGCAGGGGGTGCCACCCCCCCTGCGATGGGGGTCCCAAGAGCCACGGGGGGAAAAGGGGCTGGCTCTCAGCCACCACAAAATGGGGGGCCTTTATGTTCAGGTTTTGCCCAAGAGTCAGCTTATTTGCTTCTTGTACTAGCAGGGCAGTTGCTGCCAAGGCCCTCAAACAGGGGGGCCATCCTTTAGAAACCCTATCTAGTTGTTCAGAGACGTAGGCCACCGGCCTCAGCCAGGGCCCCACAGTTTGGGTTAAAAGTCCAGCTGCCATCTTTTCTCTCTCTAACGCATACAATGGCAAAGGCTTTGTCAGATCGGGTAGCCCCAGGGCTGGGGCTGCCAGAAGTTTTTCCTTTAAGTCATGAAAGACTTGCTGTTCTTGGGATCCCCATTCCAAAGGTTCCCGGTCCCCGCCCCCTTTGTGACCTCATACAAAGGCTTGGCTAATACTGCAAAGTTTGGGATGCACAATCTACAAAACCCCACAGCCCCTGAGAATTCTCTCGCCTGCCTTCGGCCCTTAGGCTCCGGGAGATTGCAAATAACCTGCTTTCTTTCTGTTCCCAGGTGGCGTCGGACCCCTGTCAGAGAGTAAATCTCAAGTAAGGTACCTGCCATCGGCAGATTTGAGCTTTCTTCTTGGACACCTAATACCCACAGTCCTCCAGGTGAGTCCTAAAGATCTTAGGATCCGCGATGGGGGTCCTAAGGCAGGGGGGGAAGAGGGGATGGCTGTCACCCAACCCAAAATGGGCGGCCTTTATGTTCAGGTTTTGCCCAAGAGTCAGCTTATTTGCTTCTCGTACTATCAGGGCAGTTGATACCACAGCCCTCAAACATGAGGGGCCATCCTTTAGAAACCCTCTCTAGTTGTTTAGACACGTAGGCCACCGGCCACAGCCAGGGTCCCAGAGTTTCGGTTAAAAGTCCAGCTGCCATCTTTTCTCTATCTGACGCATTCAATGGAAAAGGCTTGGTCAGATCGGGTAGCCCCAGGGCTGGGGCTGCCAGAAGTTTTTCCTTTAACTCATGAAAGACTTGCTGTTGTTGGGATCCCCATTTCAAAGGTTCCCGGTCCCCGCCCCCTTTGTGACCTCATACAAAGGCTTGGCTAATACTGCAAAGTTTGGGATGCACAGTCTACAAAACCCCACAGCCCCTAAGAATTCCCTCACCTGCCCCCTTTGTGACCTCATACAAAGGCTTGGCTAATAATGCAAAATTTGGGATGCAGAGTCTACAAAACCCCACAGCCCCTAAGAATTCCCTCACCTGCCTTCTGCCCTTAGGCTCCGGTAGACTGCAAATGACCTGCTTTCTTTCTGTTCCCGGGCTGCGTTTGGACCCCTGTCGGATAGTAAATCCCAAGTAAGGTACCTGCCCTCGGCAGATTTGAGCTTTCTTCTTGGACACCTAATACCCACAGTCCCCCAGGTGGGTCCTAAGGTTCTTAGGATCTGCGATGGGGGTCCTAAGCCGGGGGGGATGAGGGGCTGGCTCTCAGTCCCCGCCTCGCCGGGGGTGCCTCCCCCCCCTGCGATGGGGGCCCTAAGAGCCAGGGGGGAAGTGGGGCTGGCTCTCAGTCCCTGCCTCGTGGGGGGTGGGGGGTGCCTCCCCCTCCTGCGATGGTGGTCCTAAGAGCCAGAGGGGGAAGAGGGGCTGGCTCTCGGTCCCTGCCTCGTGGGGGGTGCCTCCCCGCCCTGCGATGGGGGTCCTGAGAGCCGGTGGGGGTGAGGGGCTGGCTCTCAGTCCCCGCCACACGGGGGGTGCCTCCCTCCCTGCGATGGGGTTCCTAAGAGCCTGTGGCGGAAGAGGGGCTGGCTTTCAGTCCCCGCCTCGCAGGGGGTGCCACCCCCCCCTGCGATGGGGGTCCCAAGAGCCACGGGGGGAAAAGGGGCTGGCTCTCAGCCACCTCAAAATGGGGGGCCTTTATGTTCAGGTTTTGCCCAAGAGTCAGCTTATTTGCTTCTTGTACTAGCAGGGCAGTTGCTGCCAAGGCCCTCAAACAGGGAGGCCATCCTTTAGAAACCCTGTCTAGTTGTTCAGAGACGTAGGCCACCGGCCTCAGCCAGGGCCCCACAGTTTGGGTTAAAAGTCCAGCTGCCATCTTTTCTCTCTCTAACGCATACAATGGCAAAGGCTTTGTCAGATCGGGTAGCCCCAGGGCTGGGGCTGCCAGAAGTTTTTCCTTTAAGTCATGAAAGACTTGCTGTTCTTGGGATCCCCATTCCAAAGGTTCCCGGTGCCCGCCCCCTTTGTGACCTCATACAAAGGCTTGGCTACTACTGCAAAGTTTGGGATGCACAGTCTACAAAACTGCACAGCCCCTAAGAATTCCCTCACCTGCCCCCTTTGTGACCTCATACAAAGGCTTGGCTAATACTGCAAAGTTTGGGATGCAGAGTCTACAAAACCCCACAGCCCCTAAGAATTCCCTCACCTGCCTTCTGCCCTTAGGCTCCGGTAGACTGCAAATGACCTGCTTTCTTTCTGTTCCCGGGCTGCGTTTGGACCCCTGTCGGACAGTAAATCCCAAGTAAGGTACCTGCCCTCGGCAGATTTGAGCTTTCTTCTTGGACACCTAATACCCACAGTCCTCCAGGTGGGTCCTAAGGTTCTTAGGATCCGCGATGGGGGTCCTAAGCCAGGGGGGTATGAGGGGCTGGCTCTCAGTCCCCACCTCGCTGGGGGTGCCTCCCCCGCCCTGCGATGGGGGCCCTAAGAGCCGGGGGCAGAAGGGGGGCTGCCTCTGAGTCCCCGCCTCGTGGGGGGTGCCTCCCCCCCTGCGATGGGGGTCCTAAGAGCCGGGGGCAGAAGGGGGGCTGCCTCTGAGTCCCCGCCTCGTTGGGGGTGCCTCCCCCTCCTGCGATGGGGGCCCTCAGAGCCAGGGGGGGAGAGGGGCTGGCTCTCGGTCCCTGCCTTGTTGGGGGTGCCTCCCCCCCTGCGATTGGGGTCTTGAGAGCCAGGGGGGAAGAGGGGCTGGCTCTCAGTCCCTGCCTTGTTGGGGGTGCCTCCCCCCCTGCGATGGGGGCCCTGAGAGCCAGGGGGGAAGAGGGGCTGGCTCTCAGTCCCTGCCTCGTGGGGGGTGCCTCCCTCCCCTGCGATGGGGGTCCTGAGAGCCGGGGGGGATGAGGGGCTGGCTCTCAGTCCCTGCCTCGTGGGGGGTGCCTCTCCCCCTGCGATGGGGGCCCTGAGAGCCGGGGGCGGAAGAGGGGCTGGCTCTTACTCCCCTGCGATGGGGATCGTCATATCCACAGGGCGAGAGGGGGGTGATATGACTGCCTGCCTTGCGGGTGGCGCCCGCCCCCCTGCGATGTGGATCGTCTTATCCAGAGTGTGAAAGGTGGGTGATATTACTCCTCGCGTGGCTGGGGGTCGCCCGCCCCACTGCGATGTGGATCGTAATATCCAGAGGGTTAGAGGCCGGTGATATTACTCCCTGCATCGCGGGGGGCACCTGCCCCCCTGCGATGTGGATGGTCATATACAGGGGGCCATAGGGTGGTGATATTACTCCCGGATTTTTCCTAGGGTCCTTTCTATACTGCCACCCTCGGTTCACACCCTGGAACATTATCTTCCATATTCTAGCAAGATGCGGCTTCTAACGTCGCAGGGGGTATACACCCTTCAATATTATTCGTAATTTTGTAGGGGAATGTTAAACCTGATGTCACAGGACTCTGTACACTGTGATGTTATTCCCAATATCCTAGCTTTACCTTAATAATAATGTCACATTGTGTGTACACCTTGTGGTGTTATTCTTATTCTCCTAAGGGGAGGTTGCATTTATTGTGACACGGGGTATGTTCCTTTTGATATTATCCATAATGTCCTAGAGGGATGTCACCCCTTATGTCACAGGGTTTGTACACCTTGTGAAATTACTCATATTATCCTCATAAGATGTCACTCCTCATATCACAGAGGGTGTACACTCCGTGGTATTGTCGTCATATTCTAGGGAAATGTTACTTTTAATGTCACAGAGGGCGCACAGCTTGTGAAATTATTCGTTATAATTTTGTGGGATGTTACCCCTAATGTCACACGGCGTGTACACACCGTGATGTTACGTGCAATATGCTATGGAAATGTTACTCGTAATTCAGAGGTCCTGTACACCCTTTAATATTCTTCGTAATCTTCTAGGAAAACGTTACTGCTAATGTCATAGGGCCTGTAGACCCTGTCATAAAATTCCTAATATCCTAGCGGGAGTTCACTACTAATTTCACAATGTGTGTACACCCTTTGATATTATTTGTATTGTCCTGAAGAGATGTTACTACTGATGTCCCAATGCAGGTACATTCTCTGATCTTACTGGTTATATCCTCGGGGGATGTTACTTCTAATGTCACCCGGGGTGTACTCCCTGTGTTCTATTTCGTAATATCCTAGGGCAATTTTACTTTTAATGACACGGGGTGTACACATTGTGCTATTATTTGTGATATTCTAGAAAGATGTTACTCCTAATGTCACAGGGCTGTGCACCCTGTGATAGTATTCATAATTTCCCAGGGGTCTATACTCCTATTGGCACAGACGATAACACCCTGTGACATTATTCGTAATATTCTAGTGAGATGATACTCCTCATGTCACAGGGGGTGTACACCCCCTGTTATTATTCTTACTATTCTAGGGGGATGTTACTCCTAATGTCACAGGGATGTACACCCTGTGATATTATTCATAGTGTACCAGAGGAATATTAGCACTAATGTCATGATGTGTGTACGCCTTGTGATATTATTTGTCATATCGCAATGTCACAGGGGGTGTGTTCCGTGTGATATTCTTCCTAACATCCCCGACGGATATTGCTCCTAACGTCACAGGGTGTGTACACCTTGTCACATCATTCATAATATCCTAAAACTACGTTATTCCTCAGGTCACAGGGGGTGTTCACCCTGTGATATTTTTCATCATAGTTTTGTGGGATGTTACTCCTAAAGTCACACGGGGTGTACACAGAGTCACACAGTGATATGAGTTGTAACATTCTATAGACATGTTACTTGTAAATCACAGGGGCTGTACCTCCTGTGATATGGTTCCTAATATTCTAGGGGAATGTTGCTACTATTGTCACGGGGGTGTACACCCTGTGATATGACTCGTCATATCCCAGCGGAATGTTACTACTAATGTCACAATGCCTGTACACCCTGTGATACTATTTGTAATATGCTAAAGAGATGTTACTACTAAGGTCACAATGTATGTACACCCTCTGATATTGTTCGTTATATCCTTGGGGGATGTTATTCCTAATGTCACACGGGGTGTACTCCCTGTCATATTATTCATAATATCCAAGGGGGATGTTATTTTTATTGTCACCGGGGGTGACATTACATATTAAAAATGCATATTCAACACCTGTGATACTATTCCTAATATCCTAGGGGCATGCTCTTCCGAATGTCACATGGGGTGTACTCCATGTGTGTACACCTGCTGTGATATTATTCATAATATCCTAGGGGAATGTTACTCCTGATGACACAGGCGGTGTACACCATGTGTGTAACCCTCCTGTGTTATTATTCATAATATCCTAGGGGGATGTTTCTTTTAATGTCACAAAGTGTGTACAAAACGTCACAGAGGTGTACACGCTGTGATGTGATCTGTAATACCCTAGAAGGATGTTACTCCTAATGTATCACAGGGGTGTACATGCTTTGATGTTATTTGCAATCTCATAGAGAGATATTACTTCAAATATCACAGTGGATGTACACACATAGTATATACCCTGTGATAGTATTCATAATATCCTAGGAAGATACAACTCCTGATATCAGTGTGTGTACCCCGTGTGTGTACACCCTTGATGTTAGTCGTAATATCCAGGGTAAATATTACTCCTCATATCACACAGTGTGCACACCCTGTGATATTTTTCCTCATACTTTAGGGAGATATTGCTTCTAATATCACAGTGGGTGTACCCCATCTGTGTATACTCTGTGACAGTATATTCTATATCCTAGGGAGGTATTACTCCTAATATCACATTGTGTGTTCACCCTGTGATATCATTCTTATTTGACCTTGCTGCCTTTTTTAACCCACACTACAAAAGGAATGGAACAGATAAGAAGATACTGAAATTGGACGGTGCTGCCGTGCGGCTGCCGCAGGACACCTTTAATATCCCTGTTTCTCAGGCTGTAGATGAAGGGGTTCAGCATGGAGGTGATCACCGTGTACATCACTGAGGCCACTGCAGCCTTTCTCGGGGAAGATGACACATCTGAACTGAGGTACCCTCCAAAGCCTGTTCCGTAAAATCAGCAAACAACTGACAGGTGAGACCCACAGGTGGAGAAGGCCTTATACTTCCCACGTGATGATGAAACCCTCAGAATGGAGGAAACAATTTTATAGTAAGAGAAAAGGGTCCCCGAGATGGGAAGAAAACCAAATATGGCAGCAGGCAAATACATGATTATGTTATTGGTGAAGGTGTCACAACATGCAAGATGGGGGAGTTGAGAAGGGTCACAGAAGAAACTAGGAATTTCCGCATCCTGGAAGCAGGTCATTTGTAAGGCAATCAAGTTGTGCAGCTGGGCGTCTAAAGGACTGAGAAAAAAAAAAAAAAAGACAAAACTAGAAAGCCACAGAAACACGAGGTCATGATGGGGTTCCTAAGAGCCAGGGGTGGGAGAGGGGCTGGCTCTTACTTCCCGCATCGCAGGGGGTGCCTCACCCCCCTGCACTATTCACAATAGCAAAGACTTGGAACCAACCCAAATGTCCTTCAGTGATAGACTGGATTAAGAAAATGTGGCACATATACACCGTGGAATACTATGCAGCCATAAAAAAGGATGAGTTCATGTCCTTTGTAAGGACATGGATGAAGCTGGAAACCATCATTCTCAGCAAGCTATCACAGGGACAAAAAAAGAAAATGCCTCATGTTCTCCCTCATAGGTGGGAATTGAACAATGAGAACACTTGGACACAGGAAGGGGAACATCACATACTGGGGCCTGTTATGGGGTGGGGAGAGGGGAGAGGGATAGGATTAGGATATATACCTAATGTAAATGACGAGTTAATGGGTGCAGCACACCAACATGGGACATGTATACATATGCAACAAACTTGCACATTGTGCACATGTACCCTAGAACTTAAAGTATAACAACGACAACAACAACAAAAATATATATATATATTTAAAATGAAGCTGGTTTGGTTTTAAAAGTCTCCTCAATGACAATTACTTATATAGCTGAAGAAATGGGAGACAAAAGGAGGGCTTCTCTGCCTCCCCAGGGTCTTGGTTTGCCTGGAGGATGGAAGGAAAATATAAGAAGCACTTGCAGATAGCATACAGTCTGGCTTTGAATGATCAGATGTGAATATGTTTCTTGGGATTTGAGGGAGGTTGGACAAGGGGTAGGTGTGGAAGTGCAGAGTGAGTTGGAGAAAGAAGTCTGGCAAAGAAGTTGTAATGACTCAGGAAAGGGAATAGGGTTGTCTCTTTCCCTATGGGTAGAGGTAGATATTTTAGGAAAAAAGAGAGAGAGAGAAAAAGGATAAAATTTTGTTATGATCCCCCCAAAACTTGTTATGTAAGATATATATCTACTGATAGGACATTTTGAAAATTAGTATCAGCTTTATATTTGGGCACATGATTTCACTGAGATGGTTCTTGGGCAGAGCAGATTAAAATGATGTTCCTGAAATGAAACTAGAGTCTCCAAAATAATTGGCTCATTTTAAGCAAAATATTATTGATGATCAACAGTGACTGGCACATAATAATTGTTTAAATATTTGTTGGCTAAGTCAGGGAATGAATGATATGCTTTGGCAATTACTGACAGTATATAAAGGTCTCAGGGAAGTAGAAGACGTCCACACCTCAGAAGCATCTTCTTGAAACCCATCTCAAGTCTCTCCTCTTGACAACTGTGTTGCAACTACTACGGCAACTCCTGTGGCTATGGCTGCAGCTATGGCTGTGGCTATGGCTCTGGTTATGGCTGTGGCTATGGCTCCAGCTATGGCTGTGGCTATGGAACTGGCTACAGCTGTGGCTATGGCTCTGGCTCTGGCTGTGGCTATGGAACTGGCTACGGCTGTGGGTATGGCTGTGGTTATGGAACTGGCTATGGCTGTGGATGTGGCTCTGGCTCTGGCTACTGTGGCTACCGGCCATTTTGCTTTAGAAGATGCTATTCTTCCTGCTAAAACATCACTGTCAGAGGACCATTTGCTTCTAAGATGACACGTCTAAAGATAATACTGATTCAAGGATTCATACTCCAAGATTTCTATATCCAAGGATTACATGCCTGACAGAGTCTTGGACCTCTAGCCTCACATTTCTTTGAATGAAATCATGGCCATAGGATCCACGGTGTCATCTGACTGTTTTCCAAATGTTATCTTTTGCTCCCTTAATCTCTGATTCTCTGTTATGACTGTGTTAATGATCATAACATCTACAATTGGGGAAGTCAATCATTTGTAATAAAAATGGTTCTTTATTCCAAAAAAAATGTTTAGTACAAAAGAGTCAAAAAGCTAAAATAAAATATAGTTTATAAAGCAAAAAATTATCAGTAAGCTAAGTTTAATGTATTATTGAAGAAATAAAATGTATTTTATACATTTACCCTAATGCCTAATGTTTAAGACATCTACTGTAGTGTACAGTAATATCCCAGGCCTTCACATTCACTCACTAATCACTCACTGATCCACCCAGAACAATTTTCAGCCCTTTAAGTGCCAGTCGTGCTAAGTGGTCTATATAGGTACTGTTTTATTATTATTATTATTATTATTATTATTTTATACTGTGTTTTTACTGTATCTTTTCTAGATTCCAATAAGTTGAGATACACAAATATTTATTATTGTGTTACAATTGCCTATATTATCCAATATGGTAACATGCTGTGCAGGTTTGTATTCTAGAAGCAATAGGCTATACCTTATAACCTAGGTGTGTTCTAAGCTATACCATACAGGTTTATGTAAGTACACTGTGAAATCTGCATGGCAAACATCATTGCCTTATGATACATTTCTCAAATTTTCAGAACATATCCCTGTCGTTTAGCAGCACATGAATGTATTTGATTTATTGTCTTGATGTCCCTTTGCTTTCCCCATGTGTTACCATCAACTGCCTAATGAAACAGCCTGGGATTGTGTAATGACTAACTTAGTGCTTTGAGTTTAATTCTTTTTCAGCCACTGTGGTATGTTGATTACTATATTAATAATGTGTCTCCTTTATGTGCTTTTAAATAGTTACTTGGTCATGAACTATTGATAAGCTTTGGAAACATGATTTCATTTATTCTGCAGGATAACTTCAGGAAGTGGGTATTAATTCTCACGGTATAAGTGAAGACATTAAGCACCAGAGTTTAAGTAGCTTGGTAAGTGTTATTCCAGTAATTAAATAGGCGTAAATAGAGTTCAACTTTCTCAGTTCTATCTATAATTTCTTTCTATGTATGGGCTTATTTATATCAACCAGTATACACCTTGGTTTCGGCAATCAGTTATTGACTTTCTTTAAAGAAGGAAGAGAAGAAAAAAAAGGGAAGAAAAAACAAAAACCATAACCCTCTTTTACTATCAGACACCACATTTTTCTCTTCCACATTATCTTCTTTAAAGAACTGCATGTTGCAGAGTCTATGAGTGCAAGTGCTAGAAAGGCCAGGTAGAAATATTAAAAGTGATGCAGTTCAATACTGACAGTGATGAAATACAGAATGTATGGACCCTAATGTCCATAAAATGTGGCACAAATACACCATGGAATACTATGCAGCCATAAAAAAGGATGAGTTCATGTCCTTTGTAGGGACATGGATGAAGCTGGAAATCATCATTCTCAGCAAACTATCGCAGGGACAAAAAACCAAACACTGCATGTTCTCACTCATAGGTGGGAAATGAACAATGAGAACCCTTGGACACCAGAAGGGGAACATCACACATTGGGGCCTGTCGTGGGGTGGGGGGAGGGGAGAAGGATAGCATTAGGAGATATACCTAATGTAAATGATGAGTTAATGGGTGCAGCACACCAACATGGCACATGTATACATATGTAACAAACCTGCACGTTGTGCGCACATACCCTAGAACTTAAAGTATAATAATAAAAAAAAAGAGAGAATGTATGGACCCTATAATCTCAAGGAGGGGCGGCAACCCGGTTGAATATTTTTTCAAGCCAGTTTAGGGAAAGATTGATAAGGTTTCCAATTTTTCAAAAGGACCCATAATCCAAATTTTTATATGAAATCTAATTTTTAATTTGAGTTGGAAATTAAAATCGATGTGTTATTTATGTTATGATCTCTACTTTTGGTTCTATGAGATTATTACTTGTTTAACTCACTGTAATCTGAATTCTGCCACCCACAAGCCATATTAATGGAGATCGTGAATGACTTACATGTTGTCTTTTGAATACATATTAATTTGCATCTTAATTGACCTGCAAGCAGTTTAAAACTCTTCAGGTGTGTTTATCAAAAGATGCCTTCATGTGACTTTTTATCTTTCTCTACTCTTTCATCAATCTCATTTATTATTAAATTTCAGTTATCAGCTGCCATGCCAGTAACTGCCAACTCTAAACATTTATCACAGTTTACTATGCAAGCTTTATAGGAATATTAATATACCTCATTCACATATTCAGTATACATCTTAAGTATTAATTCCCCAAACATATGATTGTCGTTCAGGAGACTTTCTTTGAACCTCAATAAATGTCATTACACTTTATAGCACTCTATTTTTGTTTCATAGAACTTCACTGTTTTATTAATCATTTCTTTGGATAATATCATATATCTTCTACAAAAGTATAATTTCTATAGGGAAGATAATTTTATTTCTTATTTTTACTGTGACATTTTAGCATCTACTATGCTGGCCAGCACGCCACATATTTGTCAATAAATAATGTATTGACTCTCAGCTCCAAATTTACCCCGCAATCACTCTGCCATAATGTGTGGAATTCCTCTTGTATTTACTTCCTCATAGTGAGCACAGTATTCAAGTCTTCTCAGTAGAGGGCACCGGAGAGATGTTGTAGAGGAAAGGGCTCTCCTATGGTGCCTGGCTCCTTACAGTGAGTGGGCGGTGTGAGTGTGAGAACATCTAGAGGTGCTATACTTCAGAATCTGAGGTCCCTCAGGAATCTTACAGCTGGGGCTGGCTTCCTGCAGCCTTCTCAGCATGGACACCACAATTTGCAGGCTTCATACCTCCACAGGTTTTTTGATTCCCTCTGCCCACCTGTGTACCTGGGCCCTTGCTAACTTTTGCCTGTGGCCTGCTTGCAGTTAAGAATTTGTCATTTAAAAAAAAAAAAAAAAGAACTTGTCATTGGCAGCCAGGCGCGGTGGCTCACGCTTGTAATCCCAGCACTTTGGGAGGCCAAGGAGGGCGGATCACGAGGTCAGGAGATCGAGACCATCCTGGCCAACACGGTGAAACCCCGTCTCTACTAAAAGTACAAAATTTAGCCGGGCGTGGTCGCGGGCGCCTGTGGTCCCAGCCACTCTGGAGGCTGAGGCAGGAGAATGGCGTGAATCCGGGAGGCGGAGCTTGCAGTGAGCCGAGATCGCGCCACTGCACTCCGTCTTGGGCGACAGAGTGAGACCCCGTCTCAAAAAAAAAAAAAAAAAAAAAAAGACTTTGTCATTGGCTCACTCCTTCTATATCCTTTTACCTAGATCCACTGAAAGAGATTCAACTGTGTGGAACCTATGCCGTGGAGAATTGCTTTCTGCCATTGTTATCGTCCAGCAGTTGCCGAATAGCTCTGACCTGAGCAAAGCAGTGAAACGCGGTGCTGTTGAGTGGGTTGCCACTGCACCTTTTTCAACTACTCTAGTCTTGTGGAGAAAATACCCCTTCTAAATTTTTTCTTCATTGAATACTCTCCCTCAGCTCCAGAGTACCATATAGAGTTTTCTTGTATTTTAGAGTTACTGTTTTATCAAAGTTTACCAGTCTTTTGTATTACATTTCTCCTGTCTAAATCGACTGTGTGGTTTCTACTCATTATGGATATAGATTGATACAAACTCAATAAATATTTTTGAATGAATAACTCCACAGTCCAAGTTATTTTAATCACTATACAAAATCTCCAGAGTTTCTCCCATATTTCTGAACATGGTAACTATGTATCAAGAGACAAACCACAAATTTAAAGAAGGTGTGGTCAAATTTTATAAGTGTTTATAACATTTGTAAATGTTTGGCATCTAGAATACATGTATAATTCCAACAAATAAATAAGAAAAAAAAATAATCCAGTGGGATATTGGGCAAAATATTGAAGCCAAAGTGTCATAAAAGAGGAAATATTACTTTTTAATACACGTGGAAAATGTGTACCCACCTGAGCAATCACATAATGCAAATGAAAGTTAAAACAAAATACAACAAGGCAAAAAAAATTCCCTTGCTTAAGCCTAATGTAAACAAACAAACAAAAATTCATCAAAAGACTATTAGTTTCTATACAGTCAAGGATAATGTCCAAAATCTGGAGCCGGGAACTGATTCAGTGAGGAAACCAAGCTCACCACCATTAAAGATAAGTTGCTATAACTTACATGGGTGTCACTATTGTTTCAGTAACTTGATCTTGCCACTACTGCTATTGCTACCAGTGAGAATTTTATAGTGCTTAAATGTATCATTATATCATAATTAAAATTCTGGGGAGTGGGTTAATCTAATTGGTAGAGCTTAGGTCATCGGGCATACCCTAGCTGCAACAGAGACTGAGATAATGATTACCGTTATCTTCAGCTTCTATAGTAGGTGGCAAACTCTGCATTGCAACAACAATCACAAAATAAAAGGTTTCTCAATCATATAAAGGTGATTAAGATACTGAGCAGCCGAAATGCACATATGTACATAAACAGACACTCTCATTACACATATGCCCAAAGAGATTTATTTCAGTATTCTATATAATATTAAAAAATTGAAGAAAATCTAAATATTGGCCAATACAAAAATGCTTGAATAAATGGTGACATGTTATTGGCAGACATTATTATTAGCAGCCATAAGTCAGTCTCTATATGCCACTTTCTCTGGCATTCTACTATGGAAAATAAACAAATAAACACTTTCAAAGTTTCTCTTTTGCCTTTTAGTCCATGTAAATTATATCTTGGTTAGTAATATTTGAAGAGAGATCTCCTGTGAGGTTTATGAGAAAGTTATTTCTCTTCCTATAAAGACGTGTGTGTGTGTGCGCGCGCGTGTGTGTGTGTTGAGGGGCTGTACATAGGAGACCAGCCTAGTTCTTGCTTAATAGTGAGGGCATAATACGGTGAATTGAAGCAACTACCTTTCAGTTATGAGGCTACGGGTCTAAGAATGAATGTGAGGATTGCTGATGGAAAGAAGTGAGCCTGGCCTACAATAACATTATTTAGTGACTGACTCTCTGTCCAAATCTTTATTATTTGAGAAAACAACCCCTAAATTTAAATGGAAGGTTGTCGGGAGTTTCTATTAAGTAAACTGAAAGTATCCTTAACTTACTCAGCATTTATTTCATAGAATATTAAACAGCACTTGATTATGCTGGACCCAAATGCATCAATGGGAATAAATCTTAAAAGTATAATGTTGAGTAAGAAACCACTATGTTTGGAATAAGTATAATATGATGAAATGTATTAATTAAGAAAAATTATAAAACATTTCTGAATATTGTTCAAGCATACGTATTTAATGATAATGTGAAATATGAATAAGAAAGTTGCACAGCGACACCAGAGAGGGAAAGAATAAAATAGAAATCGTTCAGGAGAGGAAAACTTTGACTCCCTCTTTAATACTCAGAAATAATATAAAGCAAGTTTAATTAAAATTGTTGAATATGGAAGTAAATACATGGATGTCTATTATATTATGCTATTTTGTTTTGTATGTTAGGCATATTTCAAACTTAAAAACTTTTAGAGTGCTTTCCAAAGTAATGTGCAATTAAATTCTTAGAGAAACACTGTAAAGAAAGTAGTATTGTCTCATACTACAGAGTAAACTACTGAGCCTCACTGACATGAAGTAATTTGCACAATTGTTTCTACTCCAATTGAAGTATTTTACAAATTGTTATGTCACAACCTGGGATTTTTCTTTTGCGTTATCATCATAGATATTCAGGAAATATCTACTCATATGTTCATAAAATTGCCTTAAAATGTTTTTTACCAAAGAGACAAATGTTTTCATAGCCTTCCTTCTTTGAAAAACCATTTATAACTTTAAACTCATGATAATGTGTTTCAAGAAATACGTGAAATATGAAATTTTCCCACAGATTAAGTGGTAAAGATGAGAGCTCAGTGGTGGATAAAGGACAATAATAAATAGCTATTTTTGTATTTTTCCTTTTTTACATATCGCTTTTCTTCACTATAAATCAAATATACATTAAGTATTTTATTAAAATAAGTGAAACACTAGAATCTAAATATCTACAAAAATTAAGTGAAGAAATATATCAGAACCCATTGTAGGTTGAGCATTCTGAATCTGAAAATACGAAATGCAAAACGCTTCAAAATCTGAAACATTTTAAGTGCTAATATGATGCCACAAGTGGAAAATTCCACACCTAACTTCATGGGATAGGTTGCAGTCAAAAGGCACAACCCACAGTTTATTCAGCATCTCCAAGGAAAAATGACCACCTTAGCCCACTTCAGCTGTGATATATCTTCTCCATGCCCTTCTACAAAGGGTAATAACATGGCACATGCACAGGCTGGATGTGTGTTCCCACCAGTGCCCTACATGGGGCCAAGACCTACGTGCATTACTGACTGTGCTTTTTCTTGCTTATTCTCTGCTCTTTGGTGTAAAGACATTACTGAAAATGTCAAAAAGGTCTGCAAATACCTCTGTGGGTAATGGTAATAAGAAAAAATGAAAGCATTTCTGTTTATCTATATAAGAGAAAGTCAAGTTGCTAGAGAAACTGGACAGCAGTGTACGTGTGAAACATCTTACAGAAGAATATGGTGGTAGAATAACTGTCCTATATACCCATGGAGAAACACAAGGATAGACTGTTGAAGATCTGTGCTGAAAGTGATGAGCAGAAGATATTGAAAAATACAAAAACACTGCATAAAGCTAAAAATAAATATGTAAGTTGTGTAACCAAAGTGGATATGTTAGCATCCCTGAAGAAACACATATCTACCCCTGAAGAAACTTAAGGGTAAACTGCTGAAGATCTGTGCTGAAAGTGATCAGCAGAAGATAATGAAAAATACAAAAACACTGAATAAAGCTACAAATAAATATGCTTTATTTATAAAGCATGCCACTTAATGGTGTGTGGATCATGACATTAGCAAAGATCAATTACAATGAACTAGAAAATTGAAGAGAACTCTGAATATTAAACAGATTGGTTGCAAAAATTTAAGAAAAGTCATGACATTACATTTTTAAAGATTTATGGTGATAAAGCATCTGCTGACCATTAGGCTGTAGATAAATTTATTAATGAGTATATCAAGATTATCGCTGATGAAGATCTGATGCCAGAACAAGTCTATAATGCTGATGAAACATTCATTTCTGTTGTGGTGTTGTTGCTCTAGAAAGACATCGACTAGAGCTGATAAGACAGCCACTATAGGAATTAAGTATGCCAAGGACAGAATAAGTGTCTGGGATGTACTAATGCAACAGGCAAACATAAGTATAAACTTCCTGTGATAGGAAAAAGCTTGCATCCTCACTCTTTTCAAGGAGTAAATTTCTTAGTCCATTATTATGCTAACAAGAAAGCATGAATCATCAAGGCGTCTTCTTTGACTGGTTTCACAAACATTTTGTACCAGCAGCTCAAGCTCACTGCAGCGTTGCTGGACTGGATGATGATTGCAAGATTTTGTTTTTCCTTGACAACTGTTCTCCTCATCCTCCAGTTGAAATTCTCATCAAAAATAATTTTATGCCATGTGTTTTTCCCCAAATATGACTTCATTAATTCCGTCATATCACCAACATATTGTTAGATCAATAAAGAGTAAATATAAAAACACTTTTTTTGAAGAGCATGCTAGCAGCAGTGAACAGAGATGTGAATGTAGAAGGTTTTCAAAAGAAGTTTAGCATGAAGGATGCCATCTATGCTGTTGCCAATGCTAGAATAAAGTGACTAAAGACACAGTTGTGCATGTCTGGAATAGCCTCTAGTCTGTAACCATGTTTAGTGATGATGATGAATAAGGTGGTGGGTTTGAAGGATTCCACATATCAAGTGAGGAAAAAAAACGATGTCTGATCTCCTTACATATGCAAAAAATACCTTCAGAGTCCCTCAGTAAGCCGGAAGAAGTGGAATTTAGGAAGTTTTTAACAGTGAGAATGAGAATGCAGTTTTTCATTCATTGACTCATGATCAAATAGCCAAAATGGTTCCGAATCAACGTGATCATGAAAATAGTGATCATGAAGATGATTTATACGTTGCAGAAAAAGAGCCCACGACAACATGGTGAAAATATGTGATGAGCTTATTGAAGGCCTAAAGCAGTGTGCACTCATAACAGAAACAGAAATCTTCTCAGTTCATAAAATCAGAAAGTGACTTCTAAGACAAAGAGTGTTGTTAATGAGACAGATGATTCTGGAGGAAGCATTTAAAAAAGCCATCCAGCTGAATGTCTCCTCATCCCTAGAGGATCCACTTCCTGGTTGGCGACTGTTTCTAGTGTTTTTTTCTCACCTACAAAAGATAAAATACTGTCTACAGTAACCTTTTAATCAAATCACAGCTTCTTAGGTGGAGACTGAAAGCCTGCTCTTATTTTTTGTTGCTGTTGTTTAACAGCTGTTAAAGGTATTCTGGTGAAGCTAGTGTGATGATTAGTTACCTTAAACATATTATTTTTTCACTGTATTAATATTATGTCATATTTATTATGGTTAAGTGCTTATGTGTGAAAAAAATATAAGAAAATGCTTATCAGTAGTTATAAATTCAGAGTTAGGAATGATGGTGTTGCCAAAAAAAAAATCCCCACAGACTGTTCACGTGGGTGGCTGAGATAGTAGCACTTTTGGTTTCTGATGGTTCACTGTACAAGAACTTTATTTTATGCACAAAATTGTTAAAAATATTATGTAATGTTAGCTTCAGACTATCTTGGTAAAGTGCTTATGAAAAATAAATTTTGTGTTTACATTTGTGTCTCAACCTCAAGACGTCTCATTATGTACATGCAAATATTTCAAAATCCCAAGCAATTCAAAATCTTACACACTTCTGGTTCCAAGAATTTTAGACAAGGAATAGTTAATATGTATGAATAAACAGCACTTAAGAGAGAAAATGAAATTAAATAAAAGCTGAAAGAAGAATAAAGAAATTTTACTTCACTAAGAAAAATAAAAATAGCAAAGAAGAAATGCGATGTGTTACTGTGCTAACCTAGAGTTAGAGTTATGCTACCATTGCAATGACTTTCAGGAATATTTGATGATATCAACAAGGTATTGCTTCTGCAATACATGGAAAAGGCTATAGAGATAGTTTCGGCTTAATTGAAGTGGAGCTAACATTGTTAGTTTTACTAACAATGGAAGTGATATGCATGATATTAGAATTATATAATTGTTCTGCAGGTTTTGATTGCATGCTCTATGTCACCCATTTTTAATATTACAAAAGTACAAGAGTGGGAAAAGTACAAATGGGCATTATTTTTTGTGTGTGCTTAATGTGTTGCCAAAATGTAAGGGCTGGTGATTGGTAATTCTATCAAAAAGAACACACACACTGCATACATACATATCCTGGAAAGAGAAGATTTAAAAGAAAAGGAAATTAAGATCAATAGAGTCTGTGCTAAATAACAGTTGACATAACAGACATTGTATACTATTTCAAACAATAATTTCCATAATAGCTATAAGATAGGTTACCATTATTATTCAAATTTTAGAGATAAGGAAACTGAATTATGGTTTTATTTAGCACTGGAGAAAGCACAGACAGTAAGTAGTAGATATTTATTTAAAACAATATTCATATTTTATCTAGAGCCCACAGTTTGAACATAATATCATAAAGGATTAAGTTGGAAAAATTAAGAACTATTAGAAGGTGATGACAGTCCTAGGTTTACATCATATTCTTATAATTTATTAATTTTTCTTCCATATTTATGTGTATTTTCTGAACCCGTTTCCTTATCTTAAAAATGGAAGTGTTAATACTAGTCTTGTAAGAGTTATTCTATCTTTCCCACAATTTTATCATGGACAGAAAAAAAAACTGATAGCTACATATAAACGCATGAAAAATGAAATGATATTCATTGTTCAAATATTTTATCACATATATGTACACCTCTTGTTAAACTTTATTTTTTCACAGAAAATGATACAAGTTATTATTAAATTTGTTGCTTAATCAATGTCTTATAAGCTTAATTTATAAGTTTGTAGTTGGCCATTTTATTCTCTATTTTATTGAGAATTATTCACTAACCATGCAGTAGTATTTTTAGTACCTTTCTTTTTGATCATATGAATGATTTTTTAAAAAGTGAAGATAGAGTTTTGTGGATTAAATACCATTCAAATTATAATTTATTGTTTTATTTCACTGGCACTGCTAGAAAACTAGTAGGTTTAACTATGTAAAGACGCTCCATGTTTTTCATATTTTAACTAAATGTTATATTTAGTTTAACTATATAAATATTAACTTCCTAATACCCCAATATATTACTCACAAGCCATGAATGAACATACTTTACATGGTAGTCAGTAAAAAACAACTTTTACAAGTAGACTCAGATGCCAGTATGTAATTCCCAAAAGGCTAAGAGGCTAAGAACTTGGTCTTGTGTACTGCTGTATTACTAATGGCTGAGAAAATGCCTGGGACTCAGTGAACACTCCATAAATATTGATCCTATGAGCGTGAGAGTGTGTGTGTGTGTGTATGCACGCATGTGTCTGCGTGTGTGTGAGAGAGAGAGAGAAGGAGAGAGAGAGAAAGAAGAGAGATCAACTTCCATCTCATTATTTCAGGCAAGAGCCACCATAAACAATGTGTACTAAGTCGTAAGAAGAAATGGAATTAGAGCTTTATTTTGGAATAAGTACTCACTGATATTAAGCAATGTCAAACATACAGAAGATTAACATAATGTTCAGGATTTGAGTAAAAATAAATCAGAAGAACTGGGAGAAGAATATATCTGCTTAAGTTTTGAAACCCTACAAAACAAAGTAGCAGCTTACATATATCAAAGTCTGGCTGTTTAGTAATTATTTTCTACTTCTGTTTAATTTTTATTGTGTGTGTGTGTGTGTGTGTGTGTGTGTGTGTGTGTGTTTGTGTAGCCTTAAATTTGCAGAATAACTTAGGACCATTTCACATTATTATCAAATTAATGCAGCAAATGAGGAAAAAAAGTCAGTGTATCTACATCAAAAAACAAGGGTTATTTTTAACATTAATAGTAATGAAATATTTAAATGCACTGTTTAAACTTCAAAACAGAAGTGATAGGTGCCCATTTTTAATGAGAGGAGGTAAATGAACATT
The DNA here is from genome assembly GCF_000001405.40 of Homo sapiens. Lineage (NCBI taxonomy): Eukaryota > Metazoa > Chordata > Mammalia > Primates > Hominidae > Homo > Homo sapiens. The sequence continues at coordinate 46,447,625 of NC_000013.11, read as the reverse complement.
TGGGAATTTTCCAACAATTCCACAATTAAAGAATACATAAAAACTAGATATTGAAAATGTGTATATCATCAGGGTGTTTGACTAAAATGTACTGTCTGTTTTGATGAACCAAAGCAAGGAAGTGTTTCAGGAGTTCATCAGTGTTGAACAGTTGCTGACAACTTTGTTCTAATTTTTGAAAACAATCGTTTGCTAAATTATGGGGTACCTGATGAATAACTTTAATTAGATTAGCATCAAGAAAAAAGAATAAAAAAGAATATATTCTTTAACTACATCAAGATCTAAGCTTATGTTTATATTCAGTGAAAGAAATCTATTAATGAGAAAACCTTTTTGTTTTTCCCAAAAAATACAATTTAAAAAGCAGATGTCTATCTCTTACGGTCCACTGTTTTCCTGGTTTTAATACCAGGGTGTGCTTCCAGTTTTAACCTCCTTTAGTCCCCTTGATGGTAGAAATCTTTTTCGGAGCCAACATCATCATTTCTTAGGGCATATATCAAAAGCTTAACATATTATTTCAGGCTGAAAATATATCAGTGCAAATGTAATTGCAATCTCTGCAGCATCAAAGTAGAAATACCCAGAGTTCATGATTGGTCATTCTTATCCATGAATGTATCATAATAGGCTGATATGCTCCCTTTCCCAGGAAACAAATTTTCTTTTGGACATGGTCCTTCTGATTAAATAATATCTTATCACAAAGAATGACACTAATCGTAGAAATTTCAGGCCTTGGACATTTCATCACTGATCCAACCTGGTAAGTATAGAACATTATTAAAGGGGAAAAAAAGCTTATAAGTTGCTTAGTAATCAATCAACTAGCATTTACAACCATCATTTGATTATTACTGTCTGTGGTACTATAGTGGAAGGAAAATCTAAGCTGTCCATCCACTCCTAAAAGAGATTTGAATTAAGCATATCTGATATATCACATCAATTTAATGAGTAAAATTATTCAGTTGAGCACTTTCTGTTGAATATTTTCAAAGAGCAGCTTTGGACACTGTCAGTGTTATGTTTAATGCTTTTTTCCAGAAAGTGCTAGCCAATCTAGTATTCAATGATCAACTCTAGTCACATCATTTCTAAATTATATCTATAAATGTAAACTTTCTTTAATATTCCAGAAATCTATTTTCATATTTAATATATTTCATTTATTCAAAAGATACATTTATTGGTCGCCTATTTACATGTACCTCTCTAAGCTCTGTAACAATTTTACCAGTTTTGATAGCTCAGTGTCGTAATCGTTGATTCTTGATCATTGAAATGTTCAATAACATGGACATCAAGTCAAGCAATCATAGACACTTAAATTACTTATAAAAGCCCCTAGACAATTAATTTTCACTTACCAATCCTTATTTACTAAAAATTTTGTCAGGATTTATTCTTTCTAGAGTATTCAGATGGTACTTTTATGAAACTTAACCTGAGTTTTTCTATTTTTCAAAAAATATGTATTCAAATTTGTATTTTCTAGAGTAGTTATCTGATTTTTATCTAGAATTTCAATTTCTTAAAATTTTTACTTTATATTTTTTAAACCTGATTGTCACCAAGATAATTTTTACTTAGTACAGTAGGCACACTATTTTTCTGCTAAATATATACTTAGTTCTACCTTTCTACCTTTGATTCCACCACAGCAAAAAAACAAAGTCTGACATAACCTCCTCCTTTTGTTTCAGCTTTTTCACTCATAGATATATTGGCCTGTGGCTTTGAGTTTATTTATTCATCTGCATCATTTACCTATTCCAAGTATTGTTGCAAAAATGTGCCCATCTATCTACCTTTTTCTTTACTTCGCATTTTACTACCAACTTCCTTTTTCTTCTCTTTTCTAATTGCCATCAATAAGTATAAAGCATCACAGATTTCAGTGTGAAAATTAATGTGGCTGAAAAAAGAGATGTTAAGAAATAAATGCCTATAAATGCATTTTAGGTAAGGAAAATATTATCCTGTGTAAAGATTCCTGAATTACTCTGGTGGAATTTACTTTACTCTTGTTTGTGGAGCACGGGAATTATTAAGATAAATAGAGCTTTGTTGATTCCCTTCCCCTAGTGAATGGATTCCTCCCCACACATTCACAAATTTGGTAATAGAGAATATGTTACCAGAGAAAAAGGAATACTTTTATTGATTTTTTCTTTTTTACAAACATCATGTGCAAGCACCACAGCATGATTTTATGCTATCTTTATCCCAGAATGAGTGAAATGTTAAATTTTATCTAATATTGGCTTCTAGGGGCAATAGGGAGTGAAATAGATTAAAGTGGATTATCTCAGAGGCGGGGCAGATTGAAATTCCAGTGCTTTGATGTGGGAGACAGGTGTAGTATGGCATTAGAAATAGTGCTGGAAATCCTAAACTGAGACCATTAGGTATTTGAATGCTGTTTGCATGAATAATACCAAATAATTTGCATATATATGTCTTTGCAGAGGCTGAAAATGAACATGTAGCACTTCTGCCTTGGGATTCTAAGCAAAGGCCTTGTTGGCTGAATGTTGCCTTTGGGAGGAAAGATCATTCTAGGGGAGTTTACTATTGAACTTTGAAGGGGCCATGTGGGCACAAGAAAGGTGCCAAGTTGGCCCAGGAAAGGTGCATGTCAGCCATGGCAACAACAGGAAGTTCTTCCCATTTCCCTGAAGTGTATAAACTTCAGGACACTCAGGATGCTCAAATGCTTTCAACTGGCAATCTTCATAAACAATTAAAGGTTAACTCTGGAGAGAGTAAGGGGAGCAGGACAGATTTATTTTGCTCAGGAAAAAAAAAAGGAATACAATATTTCTTTCACCTGCGGATATTTTAAAACTATAAATTACCCTTGAATTTCAGTCAGTTATGAACTGAGATTAAATCTTACTTAGAATATTGTTCTACTTCAGGAAACACGCACTGTGATTCTCTAATGAGAAAAAGCAATATGGTGCTATGTGTTCTATAAAGATTATCAAATACATGGAGGGAATAATGTTTACTTAGCACAATTAAAATAAACATTATGATAGGTGAGGATTGGTATCTTATTGTTGTTTAATTTGAAAGACTCCAAAGATTAATGAGCAAGTTGGAATATTTTAGCTATCAGGCAACTTGGTTATACTCTTTTTTGCAGTACCCAGTCATGTCTTGGCCCCTGTGCATGTGTGTATACACACACACACACACACACACACACACACACACACGCAAAGAGAATTATTGAATTCTCTTGAATTATTAGGAAATCATGACTTTTGTTATGGATTGAGGTTAAAGTTCAAGGTGTTTTTAAATCCAATATGAATATCAAATTTCTTCAGCATGACTTATTAAAAAATAAGCTATACTTTTTCATATATATATATTTAAAGAGAGAGACAGAGAGTGAGCGAGTGAGAGAGAGAGAGATCATGAGCCTATAGAGGTGAGTCTTTTTCTGGACTGGCTTTTGTTCCATTAGTGTACATCCTATTTTTGTTTCATACTACACTATTTTAATTATTGCAGAATAGGAATCCTTGATATATTGTAGGGCATAATCTCCATCTCTGCTCTTTTTCAAGATTGATTTGGCTCTTCTAGATTCCTTAGGATTTGCTTAAAATTTCCACAAAAAATAAAAATGCAAACAATCAAATAAATTATATAAAAAGAAAACTTTCCATGTCGTAAAATATCACAGGATATAGACAAAACTTTTTCACAATTATAAAGTCAATAATTAAATGTTCATTTAGGAAAAGAATAAATTAACTAAGTATTCCAGTTGGCTGAAGGAAAGGGAGAATGACCATATTATAGGAGGAAGACCAAAAAGTAAATTAAAAAAAATACAGTAATCACAGTGATTAATGCAAACACTTTAAAGAAAAGTAAACCAGAAAATATCTAGAAAATCTAATCATATGTTTTAATAAACAAACTTCAAATAAGATAAGAGCATTAATTTGCACAGAGGCTACTTATAATATATAATACATTTCAAAGTACATTAATATGACATATGTTTAAAAATATTTTTATTTTTGTGGATAAGATGGCAGAAACAAAATGGCACAAAGCAAGAATAATAATAGGGTAAAGAAGCAAAGAAGGAAGGTGAAAAATTTACTTTGTATATTAGAGACCTTTGAGGATTATAATATATATTATGAAGATACGAGAATCATTACTTCATTTTATGCTCTAAAAATGAAATATAAATTCAAATAATACTATCTTAATCATTCTTTTCAGTTTTTCTTGAAAATAAATAAATTGATGGTGCATTCTTATGTGAAGTATAAGTGAATTTGCAAGTTTAGAGAAATACAAGATTATATATTTCTCATTAAATGCATGAACTATTCAGCATTTAGAGAAACAAATTCTTAACCAAACATTATGGAACCATCCAGAATCTAAAGTAAAAGGTTGTGATGTGCACAATGGAATAAATAACTTGAATAAAGATATATTTTAAGCAAAAGTTAGGTATTAAAATTAAACCTTTTAAAAATTTATTTAAAGTATTAAAGCTAACTGAATATGCACAGAAATATGTGTTTGCACAAGCAGTAAAAGGACATAAATATTCATTAACAGAAAGTGTTGAGGCATCATTCTGTACTTAGGTTATGCTTATTCAATGTTACCTTGCTTCTAATTAGTCTTCATTTAACCACTTGTGTCTCAAAGCTTTTCTGATATAAAGGAAAAATGCAGCTTGAAGCAAAAACCAAATGCTCGAATGCATTCAAATTTATACACCTGGATATACTTTCTCAACTTACAGAGGCACTTTTGTGAATTACCACTTCATCAGTGAAATGAGGTGAAAAACTAACATTGCTTTTACCTTAGGCATTCTCTTCAAAGGAAGATTAGAAGCTGAAAAATGAGACTCTTTAAGTCTTCATTTATCATATTCTCCAAAATCTTAAAGTAATTGTATGTCATTTCACATATAAACACAACACATCCACTTCCCTGGATATTCTAAAAGCAAAATCACAAACTATCTGTGAAAACTGTTACATTAAAATGTGGATCAGAACAGCTGTTAGCATTGTTTTATTTGCTTTCTTAAAAATCTAATGTTATGAACATTAATTATCCATAAAATATCATCATTATGTAAAAGAGATAATTTCTCAAATCACTTTTTCTCCAAACTAATTATAGTCGAATAAAACCATGCTTCATCACTTTATGAGAAAAGAAGGGACATATTAAAAGTGTAAGCTTAGAAGCCCATCACAACTTATAAGTAAATACTGACATAAAAATAAATCTACTTTGACCTGTCTCTGTTCTGCTTGTCACTTCTTCAAGGATTTTCTGTAACTTCTCTAATCCTCTTTTGTCTCTCTATCTTATGCTCTCCCAATTCCACACATTTTTATTTTATTCAGAAATTAACTTAGGGAAACATGACTTTTTTTCCGCTTATGCCTGTGGCATCATAGAGATTGCTGATTTTAGCATGCCGGCATTTCCCCATTTTCTAGAAGACCATGGTTTCAAAAAGGTGAAACCATCACTTCTATGTGAGAACATGGTAAATTAGATAATTTATTCACTGACTATGTCAATAATAGTGGAAGAGAAGGATAGTTTTTGAAACTATGGGAACTATTGTCTTAATTCTTTAATTCTAGTTATATATAAGTGACATTAAAATGAGTTTCACTACATAACTCATTAGATTTTATTTTTAATGAAGATTTCAAACTGAGTTTGAAAACAATTCATTTTCTAATAAAACACAAAAATGACTGAGACTTTAAAACATACAAATGTATTCACGTATATAATGGTACCTAGAGTTATGGAATAAATACTTTAAGACTATTAAGGAAAGTTAAAAGAACTTTCCATAATTAAAATATTATATTTTTGATGTAGAATATAATGAGTTTGTTTTGGGAGCCCTTATACAATAGGGAAAAAAGGATTTCATTAAAACATAGAGGATGCAAACATTATGGTCAATATCTTACAAATCTCATGGATTTTCAATTGCCTTGCAGAATAAATGAGGAGAATAAAAGTGTTGACACAGCTTGATGAGTTGGTATTTTTTAATGCTTACTTTAAAAGAGTGCCTGGTGCAAGCTATTTGGCAATTTTGCCAAGTTTCTAATTTCTGAACTCTCATTTGAATTAAACTGTCTACCAACCTCTTGCTCCTTGCATGAGGAGACATAAAAACTGAATTAAGTTGATGGAATATACATGTTAACTAAACAGATTTTTAAGTGTATTGTATTAAACTGGAATTAAAATTTTAGCAACTATAAAGACACCCCAGTATCCAAAATTAAATAGATAATAGCCCAACTTATAACTTTATAACTATAGTCACTAATTCTGTCTTAAAATATTTCCTCTTATAGTATATAATTATTCAATGCTAGCACTAAATGGTTACAATCTAAGATGTAGTATTTGTGAACTTACATTAATAAAAGATGCTATCGGTGGTGGCGGGAGGCAGACAGGTTCCTAGGCAGGGCAGGTCCCTGGTGGGGCCCAACCATCAAGTCAAGGATAACCTAAAGCCTGGGGGCTGGGCTTCCAGTTCCAGGTAGGGTCTGCAACCCAGAGTGGGAACTTCCTTGATGCCTTTCAGCCAGTCAGTTGGCACTTTTTCCACACTCACCCATGGACCAACTCAGAACCACTTCCTCCTGCCCATGGACCAATCAGCATGCACTTCTTCCATTCTGAGCCCATAAAAACCAAGGACTCAACCGGACTCAGGCACCTCACAGGCTACTCGACTTTGGGTAGGGGGCTGCCCTCTTTGGGTCCCCTCTCTGCTAAAACCTGTGCTGTTGTCGCTCAGTAAAAGTCTCCACCCTCCTCACCCTTCAGTTATCAGAGTAACTTCATTCTTCTTGGAAGTGGGACAAGAACTTGGGACCTGCCAAACGTTGGTATGAAAAAGGCTGAAGCACTGTAGTCCACAGTCCTCCACCAGTGTCCGGTGGCTGCCCTAGACAACAGAAAGTAGCAGTGGGGCTGGGTCTGCCCGGGAACCACAGGCCAGAGTTGGGCAACAGGACTGAAAAAGATGTTAACACACCCCTGTACACTGAGCTGCAGAGGGTGGGAATGATACCCCCTCAATAATAATACTGGAGTTGCTGGTGTCTCCGAGTTTCTTGGCAGCCACTGCATTCCCCTCATCCAGATGCAGGTGCCCAAGGTGGAAGAAGGTTGCTGCATGCCCGGCTGAGCTGCAGGCTGAGCGTGGGATCCCACCGTGAGTGCTCGATCCAGCCTGGAGCACAAGCCAAAGGCAGCCCACTGAACCAAGTGGGTGGGGTACCTCCTGTGGCAATCCAAGGGCAATCCTGGGTAGGGGCGTCACCAGCCTCAGAAGTCACCAGCTGGCAAAGCAGCACCGAAAATTCCTGTGTCACTAGTCTACTTTCTTAGTTTAAGATACTGGGAGAAGACATAGTTCTTTGCTCCGCTGATACTAATAAAAAAATACCTTTTGAATATTAAGCCTCCTTCTTACTTGTGCCTCCCCCAACAATTTGCTCTATAAATTCAGACAAATGTCTTAGCATCATCAATGCATTTTTCATTAGCTCAACCTATTTCTCAGTTCCTTCACGATCTGCCATATTTTTTCAAGGTGACCTACTACCGTATAAATTCTATTTAAGCAACACTTGAGCAGGACACAATGCTTTTCTAAGTAAGTATTCATTGACAAAGTGTATTTTCTAACATAAGTAATTCTCTAAAGGTCACCATATATTGAACTAGAATTCTTAGTATCTGATGTACTTAACCTAAATTTTATATTAACTTAAACATTTGTGTCAAACACAAAAAATATCCCAGGCATGAAAAAAGTACATTGCACAGAGAATGAATTGAATCAATAAGGACAAATTTGAAAAGTGTTAGGGAAATGAATAGAAGGTCAAAAGTCAAATATTCTTTCGAATATATGCAAACAGTCTTAGTGCCAAGACTGAAAATTAGTTTTTATGATTACAGAAGCTGTAGATACGCCCTGACATTTGCAAAAAATATGCTATAGTAGTGGGCCAGGAGAGGTAGTCTAGAAACTGATTGATTTGGAGAACATATAAAATAATCAGCTTAAAATGTATTATTATTGTTTTCTTACCATAGCCAGTTCTGTGAATCAGGAATGAATCTAGGAATGCTGTATTCTGAAAGCATGTGGTGATTTTATGGTTCAAGTAAAACAATAACAAAAATATTAAAATAAATACCACACACTTGTTACAAAAGGAATGAACACTGAAAAGAAGTCAAATATGATTCGGTTTTAAATCTCTTAGATATATTAGTGTATCTTGACATCACAAATGTATTTAATAAATATACTTCCAATTTGATGTCAATTTGAATTAAGTGATTACATAATAACATAATTATTAACTTGTAAAGAGCTTCTCTTTTGCCAGACACTATTCTATTTTGTTTACTCCTTACAACTCACTGAGAAAGTTATTTTTTTTGTCATTTTACAACGGAGGAATGTGAGATTATAAATGAATTTCCCAAGATCACACTATTCCTGACTTGATACCAGTTATATCTTAGTCCAAAATAAAAATAAAAGCTGTAATTTGTTTTAAAAATTTGTGTAAAGAATATTATGTTATTTATCATCTATTTATCTCTATCAGCTGTATTTCTTATAACATCCCAATTGCTAGATATCATGACACTGCAAGTCATTCAATCCCTTCTCAGAATTAACGAGATTTAATAGTGCTGAGTATATTAAGTATATTTTGACTGTAAATGAAATGTTTAATGACTGATATTCAAGTATAAAGGCATCAATCATCTGGCAGGCACCATTTTTAAGAGAAAAATAATGCATTTTAAATTCATGATGAAAGAAGGAATTCCTAATTTGGACTCAAAATAAGATCAAAAGTCCAACGACTAGCACTGGTTCTGCTAATAGCCAGCTCAATGGCTCCTTGTATAAAGATACCTGATATTTTAGGTCTCACTCATCTCCATATTTCTTCAAACAGTATTTTAAAAGGACTTATGATGTGCCAAAAACAAAAGCCGAGCTCGGAATAAAGTGATATAACAGAGTCATCAAACATACAGACTACTTTTCCAGGCATTGGACTGCACGAAATAACTTAGCAACTGGGTGCAGAAACTATAATAGAGAAGTGGTTGGAAGTCTCAGTTCGTAGACACAGAAGAAATTCCAGATCCATAAAATGAGAAAGGATAAGCAAAGGGGAATGAGAACCAGCTGCCAATGTGATAGAATTTAAACCAAGGTAAGATATCGCGAGAGGGCGGGCCCGCTAGGCTTGGCGTCGCTCCCGAGCTGGAGCTCTTGCCGGCGTCTCCCCTCGGCCAGCGGCTGAAGTGCTGGCGGTTAAGGGCCCGTGAGCAGCCGCCACTCCTTCGGCGTTGGCTCTTGCGCCGGGGTCGTTGTTTCGTGACAACCACTCAGGTAGCCGTTTCTGAGACGGCAGATGCGGCCGCTTTAGCCCTGAGCGGGCTCCGCGGCTCCCTGGACGGTCTCTGCCAGTGCCCGACTCTTCTCTTCCGGACTCCACGCCAAGCAGCGACCCTGAGCCAACAGCCAGAGCGCCCAGAAATGGCGGCCTGGACTGCCTCGCACTGGCCAGTCAAGGGGATCCTGAAGAACAAGACCTCTACAGCTTCCTCTATGGTGGCCTCGGCTGAACAGCCCAGCGGGAGTGTCGAGGAGGAGCTGAGCAAAAAATCCCAGAAGTGGGAAGAAATGAACATCCTGGCGACATATCATCCAGCGGACAAAGACTATGGTTTAATGAAAATAGTTGAACCAAGCACTCCTTCCTGTCGTAAGATGGGTGATGGTGAAGATGCGTGTAGTGGTATAGAAACCACTGAAGCCGTGGCACCAGATATCTTAGCTAAGAAATTAGCTGTTGCTGAAGGCTTGAACCCAAAGTATCGGGTTCAGGAACAAGAAAGCAGTGGAGAGGAGGCTAGTGACCTCTCACCTGAAGAACGAGAAAAAAGGCGACAATTTCAAATGAAAAGGAAGCTTCACTACAATGAGGGACTCAATATCAAACTAGCTAGAGAATTAATTTGAAAAGACCTACATGATGACAAAGATGAAGAAATGTTAAAGACTGCAGGTGGAGAAAGCATGAAGACGGAAGAATCAAATCAAAGCTCTACAACAAGTGACCAACGGCAAAACACATTCAGTAAGTTCATAGAAGAGCTTTGTTCAACACTACAACTGTTTGCTAGATAGAAACCCTGTTACTATAATACATTGCTTCTTCTTCTCCACAATTTATGATTTAAGTATCAAAATCATACCAGTTATTATATATTACCAAGAATTAAATGATATCCTTAGAAACTGATTAGACTGAACATGCCTAATTGGTATATATATCTTGTGCCTAGTACTTTACCACAAATCCAGTGTAATATCATCAGTCCAAAACTGCATTACTTTTGTAAAAACACTGGTTAATTTGTGTAAGATATTATATAGCATTTTTAGAGGATAAAAAATATCTTTGGGGAGGGGAACTAAGTTATTTTCATCACTCTAAATGGGGCGATACCTCTTAGAAGTTTGTTGGTTTGCTTTTTTTTTAAATCAAAAGACAATTGAACAACAGGATGTATAGGCTGATAAATATTCAGTCCGAATAGTATTTTAACACTTGTCTTCAACTTGATTTGTCTGTTTAATTGAAAAGGATTATAAGAGTTACTCTTGCATTTTCTGTCCTACTACCTTTAAAGTTCCTGTTGAGTTTCTTTGTATTTACAAGGAAAGGACTGAACTTTTTCTCATCAAAACTAGCCTTTTTTTTCTCACAAATAAATTATCAGTTTAAACTTGCAAAAAAAAAAAAAAATTAAGCCAAGGTAGAATGTAGTTGTGGTCTGAGGAAATTAATGTTCTAAAAGTTGTAGAAGGATAACAGGGTGTGAAAAGATACTGTTAAGTCAACTTAAACATGAACTGATAATTGACCACTGGATTCAGGTGAGCAGAGATGACAACAGCATGTGATATTTCTTCAGAGTAGAGGAAGCAAAGTCTGATTGAAGTTTGTTGGAGAGAGGATGGGAAGAGAAAGGGTTCAGACGGTAAGTACAGTTACACTTTCAATGAGTTTTGTTGAATAGAACAGTCAAGTCAGGCATTAGAGGAAGAGGCAGAGTCAATGGACTTTTATTTTTTTTGTTGCTTTGTTTCTAAGGCAGTAGAAACTGCAATGTTTCTATACAAATGAAAATGCCCAAATAATAAGGAAAACATTGATCATACAGGAACATGATAGGGAAGTTGCCGGAGTAATTCACTTTGCAAACAAGAGGTAATGGGATCTGTTGCACAAGTGTAGAGCTGAGACTTATATAGGAGCATATAGCTTATTTGTTGTGGGAAGAGGATAGGAGTATAGGAAGGTCGATAGACTCGATGATGGGTCCATGCAGGCATTTTCTTCATATACTTTCTACTTCCTCAGTGAAATAATAGCCATGAATATGTATCTGGAAGAAAAATGCTCTAGTTCCATAGAGTGGGGAATAATTGGAACAGTTACGCAGAATAATGGGAGAGCAAATTGAATAAGGAGATAGAGTGGTATCACCCTACAGCCTTAAGGAATCCCTTGAGTTCAGTGGTCAGGATATTAAAATGAGATCATTCAACACTGTTGTGAGGTTTTCTCCTTTAAGTTCACTTATTCGATGATGACTTAGAACAGGTGACCAGTGAAAAACCAGTGAAAACAGTAAACATTTTTTCAGGAAAATAAAACACGGGTGTTGATAATGGTATTGAGGCTTTATGAACAATGGAAAGAGGTTATAATGAGTGGTCATAAGATGTAAGTCAGATGGGTAGGAAAGACATGGTGAACAGTGAAAATACAGTAGTATCAATGGATTGGTTGGAAGATGGGATGAACCTAGTAATAAGTGAGGAAGAGGGGTTAGCTGTTACTGGTAATTTTCAAAGTTCAGATGGCTGAACTAACAGGGACCAGAAGTCCATTGAAGGAGAATTCCTAAAGGAACTGCGTGTGTAAATGGATATTGAAAGCATAGTGTATATGGATAGGAAATTTACTGAAAAGTTGCAGAGATAGTTTGGAAGAGAAAGATAGTAAGCTGAATTACTAAACTTCCAGAGAATGAGGGAGACAAAATTACAGATCTGGAGATCTGTAAATAGCTGTGGCAAAAAGGGGCAATGTATGTCATAAACTGTTGTCATGAGCTTCAAAATAGATGAGAGTTTGGAGAAATGATGAGGAACATTGGTTTGTTTGTTGTGAATAACACCACAGATGATTATGGGATAAGTATAAGACTTTTGAGTGGATATGAAGAATCAGGTAGGTCAAAATCATACGAGCATAAATTGTGTTTGTTGATTGTAAATGCAGTGGGCTCCTTGAGTTAGCGAACTGGGTGGTCCTTGATGCTTCCCAAGAGTCTCTGCCTGGCACTTGGTCTGCCACACCTTAGGATCAGACTTTTTGGTAACCACACCCTGATTATAAATACCCGTGGTTTATCTGTCTGTTGAATCACATTTCTCCCCTCCTATCCAACAAGACTTGTATATTTAAGAAAACATTATCCTACTACAGTGGGAAATCAGTACCCTGTCCCATACTCCAAATAGAATTTCCTCACTCCAACAGAGTAGCACTTCCATTGTGATGCTATAAAACAGGGGGCACAAACTCAAATATGTACAGGAAATTTAAATAAAGTGGCTAGAGGAAAGAAAAATCAACTACCAAAAATATAATAAAACACTACTTTTACAGAACTATGTAGTAAATAACAATATAAGGATGATTAGTCCTAACAATTATATTTTAAATTAAAAAAAAAGTAATGCAATTACAATCAAAACAGCTGTGCATGACCTTTTTCTTAACTTTTGATATAATAGAACTTTTTTTTCTTAACTTCAAAATGAGAATGTTATATCTTTTTTTTTTTTTTTGGATGTTGTAATATAAACCATAGCATGTCAGAAACTTTTATAGCGACCACATGAAGATTATTTTAAAATTAAATCTGTTACAATTTTAAATTGTAGTTATAAGTTGTTAGTGAATTGAAAATATGTTGAGTAAATTAAGTTTTTATTTTTAAAGGTTAGTATCTATAATTGTCAACTATAGTACTGATGTAAGGATTTTGTTGGGAACGTAGGGATTAAATTATAATGACACCATGAAGAATAATTCTATCTTCAGAAGTTACTAAAAATAAATCGACTGAAAGATCGGAAGATTGGAGGATTTGTGAGGTCAGGAAATGTGTCTGTATTGTTCACTGTTACATTCTTGGAACATGGAATAAGGCCTGGAACATAGCATCCATTCAGGAAATATTTTTGAGTGAGTTAATAAATATATTTCATACCTGTGAAAGAATTTTTTTCTGTTAATGCTGCCTAAAAGGACATTGCTAGATAAATTTTAATAATTTTATGTCTCACTTAATGAACACGTCATGTTAACAATAACATAAAAAGTAAATTATTTTCGTATTTGAAATTAACTTTTGTAAAATCGATGTTCCCTTTTTTTGCTTGTTTCCAGAAAAGTACAGCACTATGCATTTACCCTTGAAAAAAAGATGTGCTTTAAAATAATGAATTGAATCCCATTATTTAAGGATGTGAATGCATTATTCTGTAGAATTTACACTTGAAAATGTCAATTAGTAATGGGGGCAGTACTTATTTTGAAGTGCAGAAATCTGATCATAGGATCATAGGCTATATAGTGTTCATGTTTACAATGCTGCAAGGCACAAGCCCAAAGAGATAACAGTGTATCTTAGAAATCCTGCAGAGAAACACACCCCTGTCACCCAGGCTTCAATCACAAGCCTATGATAAGGTTTGAATATAGAAGAATATTACTCCCTTTATCTCATTCCTGTCCCCAGCTACTCTGGCTAAGAAGAATCAGTGGAAGAACATTAGGCTTAGTAATCATTTTAATGCATGCCTGAGCCTATTTGTAGCTATCTCTCATAGACAATATTGTTTCTTTAACCTTTCATTGTTTCTGATTGTTCTGTTTGTGAATGGTTTTATTGTTTATAATGAGGTTCTGTATTGTTGATTGTTGTAGTTTTGTGTTCTTTGAGGTTTTTTTCTTTGCTTTTTTTTTGTCCTATCTAGCTGTAGTTGCCTCTGTTTCTTCATGGTATGTTTATGTGTGGTTGTGTATGTCTGCATGCACCTATGTGTGTGTGTCTTTACAGAGTACTCTGTAGACAAATTTGGAACTCCAGATCTCATGAGGCTTCTGTTGGAACAGTGAGACTATCCAGAGTTGACCTCAGTCTAACTCAGTGTGGGAAATTTACGTGACATAAATTAAAACTCGTTATGTAAATAGGAAGAGATCCAAGTTAACATAGTTTCTAATAGTCCCACAAGGTGTTACAGTTCATCTGACAAGATTATCAGGCTATTTCATTTATATGAGTCATTATGTTCTGTATTACATTCTTCAAAGTAAGACTGTTTACTTTAGCTCCTAGGAAGCAGTCACATTACCATCAGTGATAATTACCATCATTAAAACAATACCTTAATAGAACACTAATTTGGGGGCTCTTGCAATTCTTTTATAGGAAGCATTACATAATGAGTGGATGTTACACTTACTTTCACACAAGTTCCTAATAATAATGAGACACAAGAGAGCCTCCCATTGGGAAATGTCTCACCTCACCAAACACTACAGAATTTCACGGGAAGTGATTTTAATTCAGATATAAAAATATATTCATAAAAATTCCAACTTGTTTAACTACTTGTATTTTTATAATGAATGAACAAATACATAATTATATTTTGAGTTTGGAGAAAGGAGTATCATCATCAACTATTTGATTTATAATTATAGTTATACCCTTTGGTGCAAAAAATGTGTGTTAAATATATCTAACTAATGGCTGATTGGTTTTAAAATAATGATGGAGCTGTGTGGAAACAATGGAGATATAAATGTAAGTTTTAAAATTTTGATTATCTTGAATGTGTCTAGTATTTACAAAAATCAATCCCTTACATCAGTGGTTCTCTCCTTAGGCTGCATTCTGGTATTACCTTGAAGTCTTAAAAACCCGAGTGTGCTGGATGCAACCCAGTCCAATTAAATCAATATCTCTAGAGATGGGACCCAGAGACCTGTATTATATAAAGCCTCAGGTGACTGTTTTGTGCAGACAGTGATGAGAACCATTGAGGATAATCTGAATACATGATTAGGCTTCAAGCTAACCTGGAAAACTTCGCAACAAAAGAATGATGTGAGTCAAATGAAAACAAATTTTTTTATGAAGATAATCAATAACAATGTTTTTCCTGAAGAAAATGTTCTATAGCGAGTTATTATCCCAACTAGCTACTGATTTTGAAGAGCTATAACCAATATTTTCTCACTGTTTTGTGTGCTTTTCCATAAGACAAAGTTTATTAACACCAAAGGTTATTGTATTTATCACTGAAGTCAGATAAGCAGTTTATTAGAATAAAATTATATTCTGTGTCCTTTATTTTCTCTAATGTGTGGGACACATATGTACACTACATATATATGTGCATGTATATATATGTGTGTATGTGTATATGTGTATATATGCATATATATCTTAAAAATATTCTGCTATACTAATTTTTGAGAAAATATAAGTATATACTGAAAAAATATAGTGATGTTTGTTCTATATACACAAATGAGCTCTGAAACATGAGCTCATTTCTTTGCTAGATTATGTCAATTAAAGGACTTTAAGATAAGCTCAATTATTCATCAATATTCAGTTTTTTCAAGAAATTCTTTCAAAGAATAATATTTAAGAACAATGTAAGTTCATTTAAAAATGCCCCCACCCAGATATAAATCTTACAACAATCCCATTAAATGCATTCGATGTTATTTAAGCTTTTAAAACATACAGGCCCCTCAGCAGATATGCTGCTTTTTGTTAAAATTTCCCAACCTCTTTTGGACTGTAAACATATCATGCATGTTTTATGCAAATGGTAGAAACAATTTTCCATATGTGAATACTTTTAGCAATTAAAATAACTACTTTCATGAGTATGCTAGTGTCTTTTGAACATTTTAAAAATGACCTTATGCTAATTTTTCCTGTGACAATTTTTTAAACAGGGCATTTTTCTGACCTAGAGAACTACCTCTATACATTTTGTTTGTCCAAAAGATCAAGAAAACCAGTATCATTATAATTTTCCTGTATAAACTGCAAGGTGCAAGGGTTTCATTATTGTTCTATATCTGAAATTTAACATGTAATTTATCTTATTACATACCCATTTGCATATCAAATTAGATAATATGCTGTGCTCAGTGACATAAATAATTATATTCATTTATGTCACAGAGGTTAATTATATTCAACCTCTGTAGGCTGAATGTCTTTTCAGCTCTCTAATCAAATGATGATTTAGAGTTATAGGATTAAATAAAATTATAAAATAATTAGTTATATATCTCATCTATTGATTACAACAGAAGCTTGTTTGTTTTATCAACAATAAAATATATGTCGTTCTAAATAAGAATTTTGATACCTTGTAGCTCTTTGAAATAATTATCATTATGAACTGAATATAAATGATCACTTGGGCTATAATCAATAAAATATGTCAATATTGTTTTAAAAAGTAAAGTCCTTTTAATGTTTAGTTATCCTGCTTTTGAACACTATATAAAATAAATGGTTTTGAAAATTTTTATAAATCCACTTTTACAGCACAAATTTTAAAAACTTGAATACTGTATATAGGTAATAGTCCTATTCACTGTTTTATTAGAATTCAAGCATCCTACTTAACTACTTAGATTTATAATATGTTACCTGTAATATAATTTTATAATTAATGGTAATATAATAAGTCTTCCATCGCACATATTATTAGGCACCCCTAAATACACTTAAGATATTACCAAATAAACAAGAATTTATGCTTTCTTACAACCCAGTTCTAAAAGATGGATGTTTGTTAGTTGCTGCAGCAGTAAATAAATCTTGGCCATGACTCTCCTGAAATAGTCCAACATGCTGTGTGGCAAGCTTGCCACAGGTAAAGATGTGGTAGGTACGAAATTAAATGTTAGCTTAAAGGTTAGAAAGTTAAGTTCAAACAAGTTGAGAAAGGCAGCATATGCAACTTCTTGCTGCCTGCATGGCTGCGTAAGAGTGGCCTTGGGCCTGTAATATTTCTTATTGGGAGATAAAAAACCCTCACAGCCTGGGCTGGGCTTGTCATATTTCCAGCAAGAAAATACTTTTCCCTGTTTAGGCTTGATGTATGCTCCATAAGTATTCTGCTTAGGCCCAAGCTTCAGTGATCCTCTGGCATTCCTCCAGCTTTCTATATTTCAGACCCAAGGGGAAGAGGTCATGGTCCCTTTAGTGCAGTACAAAGTGAGGGACCTGCAGCCACACTAACCACATCGGCTATGGAGTGGATTCTCTGGCCATGGGGAAACAAAGTCTTGCACTCCTTTTCTTCTTTTTCTGTAAATAAATAGCTGTACCATACCACTGGAGCCTAGTGTACATGTCTTCGGTTCTCAGTGACCCCAAATCATGTAGGTCTCTTCCCTGGGTGGCATTCATCTGCTTGTTAACCTTGGCCACACTCATTTTATATTCTGTCCTGCAGCACAGCTTGACCGCCCCGTGAACAGTGAAACACAGCTATTTCTAAAAAGTATTTTGGTAAACTCTCTTGGAAGGAACAAAACTAGTGTTTGTTGGTCTTCTATATTACCATGTGAAACTGAGAGTGTTAAGGCACAACTACTGCAGATAGTTGCTAAGTGATGTCAGGGAAACTTGTGCACCTCTTAAAAATGTGAACAACTCAAAGTTGTGCTGTATTCAAAGTTTAAAATCAAGCATACAGCTTCAAATATTTTGACACATGCTTTTAAACAAGAGTTTGTCCAAATAGGCTATACATCAGAAAAATCTAGAGGCTCAGAACATACCTTGCAAATAGAATTGTAAAAAATGTAGCCTAAGTAAAAGCAGCTAAAATCTTCTGATTGAAAAAATTACTGCACAGCATTGGGCAATTTTTTTTTTTGAGACGGAGATCTGTACTAAGAAACTACTATTATATACAGGAACTGAAGTCATCATTTGGGGTACACTAGAGTAAATAGAGAAACAAAAATAGGAAAAAGATAAAAGAAAAAACAAAATATATGAAGGTCTCCATCTTTGTGTGTTTTATATTCTGGATAGGAGAGACAGATTATAACCAAAAAAGTACAATCAGTTAGAAAATGTTATAGAGGCTAAAATATGATAAATGTTAGTGAAAGAATAAACAAATAGATCAACAAAATAGAAAAGAAAGAGAAAGACTAGAATAGAAAGCCCAGGAATAAACCCAAATAAATACAATTGATCTTAAATCAACTTAACTTAGACAAAGGAGTAAAGGTCATACAATGCAGGAAAGACAGTATTTCCAACAAATGGTGCTGGAGCTTCTGTGTATCCACATGCAAAATAATGAAATCTAGACACAGACCTTACATCCTTCACAAAATTTAATCCTAAATGGATCTTAGATCTAAATGTAAAACACAAAAGTATACAACTACCAGAAGATAACATAAGAAGAAGCCTAGATGATCGTGGGTATGGTGATAACCTTTTAGATACAACGTCAAGCGCATGATCCAAGAAACAGAAAAATTGGTAAGATGAATTTAAAAACCGTTCTGCAAAAGACAGTGCTAAGATAATTAGAAGACAATCCACAGGGTAGGGGAAGATATTTGCAAAACACACATCAGATAAAGGACTGTTACGAAAAATACGACAAACTCTTCAAATTCAACAATAACAAATCAAATAACCTGATTGAAAATGCAAATTGAATAAGAATGAGATACCACTACACATCTTTTGAATGATCAAAGTCTGAAATACTGGCAACACTAAATGCTGGCAGGTATTTTGAGTAATAGGCACTCTCATTCATTGCTGGTGGGAATTAAACATGGTACAGTCACTTTGGAAGACCATTGGAGCTTTCTTACAAAATAAACATAAAATCCAGCAACTGCCCACTGTCCACCTGTATACTTAACAAAGGAATTGAAAACTTATATCCACACAAAAACTTGCACAGCATATTTTTATAGCAGCCTTGTTTATCATTTCCAAAACTTGGAAGCAACCAAAATGTCCTTTAATAAGTGAATGGGTGCATAAACTGTGACACATCCAGACAATGAAATATTAATCATCACTAAGAATAAATGAATTATCAAGCCATAAACAGACATAGAGAAACCTTAAATGAATATGACTAAGTGAAATAAAATAATCTGAAAAGATACATACTGTATGATTCTGTCAGTTTGATATTTGGACATTTGTCCAAACCCATACAGTGTAAATCCTAATGTTAACTATGAACTTCAAGTTATTATGAGGTGCCAATGTAGGTTCATCAATTATAACAAAGGTATAATTGTGGTAGGGGATGTAGATAATAGGGGAGCAAATGCATGGGTGTGGGCAGTGGGTATATAGCACACTAGTCACATCTTATCTACAGGGTAGAAGTTCTAAGACTTCCAGTGGATGCCTAAAACCACTACAGATAGTACCAAACTTTGCATTTTTAGTTGACTCTTGAACAGTATAGGGGTTTGCGGTGCCAGTCCCCCATGCAATAAAATACCCGCATATAACTTTTGTCTCTTCAAAAACTTAACTACTAATAGCTACTGTTGACTAGAGCCTTATCAATAACATAAAAGAGTCAATTGACACATATTTGTCTGTTATATGTATTATATACTGTATTCTTAGAATAAAGTAAGCTAGGAAAAAGAAAATATTATTAAAATCTTAAGAAAAAATATGTTTTACTATTAAGTGGAAGTGGATCATCATAAAGGTCTATCATCATTATCTTCACATTGAGTAGGCTGAGGAGGAGGAGGTAGAGGAGGGGTTGGTCTTGCTGCCTCAAAGGTGACAGTGATGGAAGAAAATCTGTACATAAGTGGACCCACTTAGTTCAAATCTGTATTGCTCAAGGGTCAACTGAGTGTTATGTGTTTTTCCTATACATATATACCTATCTACAATAAAGACACTTTAATTATTATTAGGTATATTAAGAAATTAATAACAATATTACTGTATTAATCAGTTTTCATGCTGCTGATAAAGACATATCTGGGGCCAGGCGCGGTGGCTCACGCCTGTAATCCCAGCACTTTGGGAGGCCGAGGTGAGTGGATCACCTGAGGTCAGGAGTTCGAGACCAGCCTGACCAACGTGGTGAAACCCTGTCTCTAGTGAAAATACAAAATTAGCCGGGGGTGGTGGAACGTGCCAGTAATCCCAGCTGCTTAGGAGGCTAAGGCGGGTGAATCACTTGAACCCGGGAGGCGGAGGTTGCAGTGAGCCAAGATTGCGCCATTGCACTCCAGCCTGGGCAACAAGAGCAAAACTCCATTTCAAAAAAAAAAAGAAAAAGAAGATATACCTGGGACTGAGAAAATTTACCAAAGAAAGAGGTGCATAGGAGTTACAGTTCCATTCCACATGGTTGGGGAGGCCTCACAACCATGGTGGAAGGCAAGGAGGAGCAAGTCACATCTTCGGTGGATGGCAGCAGGCAAAGAGAGCTTGTGCAGCTCAACTCTCGTTTTTAAAACCATCAGATCTCATGAGACTTTTTCACTATCATGAGAACAGCAAGAGAAAGACTCACCCCCATGAATCAATTACCTCCCGCTGGGTCCCTTCCACAACACGTGGGATTTCAAGATGATATTTGGGTGGGTACACAGCCAAACCATATCAACTACCAATAAAATATGACAGATAAAAATATCCCAGCATCACAGTCCTTGTACTTTGGGGCTGTTATTAAGTAAAATAAAATAAGGGTTACATAAACACAAGCACTACAATTCCATGGCAATCAATCTGATAACCAAGGGGTCTACTAAGTGACTAATGGGTGGGATGATTTATGGCCCTGGTCCCTGGGCAGGACAGAGTGGGGCAGCATGAGGTTTCATCATGCTACTCAAGATGATGTGCAATGTTAAACTTATGAATTGTTTATTTCTGGAATTTTACATTTAATATTTTTGGACCATGAAAGTAACTGAAACTGAAAAGTCAAACCACAGATAATGAGAGACTACTGTAATTCTCTGTACTTTCTGCTCTATTGTGGCATGAGCTTAACTGCTCTAAATAAAAATAAAATCTTTAAAAGTAAAAAAAAAAAGGTGGCTTATTTCATCTACATATAAAAATATATATGCATATATGGTAAATGTTACATTTTTTTAAAGTAGAATATGGATTATGAGCGGTTCCCATGGTAATGCCTCATGGTGCAGTATTGTGGGCATAACGACACATAGAGAAGATGAGATTTGAGCAAATCTTTGAGAAAGGTAAAGGAGATGCCAAGCAAATATTTTAGAGATGTGCCCTGCAGTCATGGGGAGTGTTGAAGGAAGAACACTGTGGTCAGTGTGCCTGGATATTATCTGTTCTTACATGGAAATCATTTTATTATTCTGCGTGTTGTGGGTTTCCATGAAAATGCCATTTCTCTTCTTTAATCATAAGCTGCGTATGAAAATGTATTTTCTGTAACTCATTTTTTATGCCTGCATATCCTGGTGGTTAGAAGCTGCATTGAACCAAATTGATTCTAGATATGAAGTCAGACAAAAATGATAAATAAAGTTTTCATAAGCATCCAGTTTGAATTACTCAAAAGGTATAAAGGGAAAGAAATAATGAGAATGCAATATTTATATGATATTTGTAATGAGGTCAACTTTAATGTTATTTTTCTGTGTTTTGGGTCAGCTTTGCATGGGGGGAGGATGATCTAGTCAATATGCTCAGTTGAAAGAGATATATAACCACTAGAAATTTACAAAGATAATTTATATAAAACAACATTGCTTACTTAGCAGACAAGACTGAAAAGCAGTTAATAAGCTGAAATATATAACAAAATTCTGAGAAGACAAAGTAATAAGCATGTAAAAAATAAAGCAATAAAAAGACATGGTAGGCAGAGTAAGGTAGTATGATCTGCATCTAATCGAAGTTCTGGAAATAAATGTATAAATAAATGTGTAAATATGTAATAATTTCAGAGGTAATGGTAAAATTTATGGCAAGTGTTGACACACAGATTTAAGAAGCCCCAAGTTCAAATCATAATGCATAAAATATAAATTTCACTTCAATGCATCTTAGTAAAGCTAGAGTTAACAAAAAGACTTTAACAATAGCCAGAGAAGAGATAAATAATAACTGGAAGTCAGAGAATAAATGAATGTCTGCAGAGTACTAAGAGAAAATAATTAGCTTAGAATTCTAACGCACAGTCAATGTATCTTTCAAGAATGATAGTGGAATAAAAATACTTTCTACTAACAAATGTTCTCTATTAAAGATATTTTCTGATGAAAGATCTAATAGATGTTTTTATGATGAAGAAAAATTACTTCAAATGTAAAATTTGAGATTCAAAAAGTAATGATAAAGAAAACAATTGATAAATTTGTAGGTTGATAGAAACAAAGACATAACTTTTAAAAATCATTACTTCATTTAGCATGAGGAAAGAGATATTAATTTTAGCAATTACTTGGTTGACATACATTCTGGCTTCCCACAATATTTTAAATGTATAATTATGTAAATAAACTGTATGTCTCACTATAAATACAAATATAACTCATACTTTCAACAATGCCCTGAATTAGATGACAAATCATATGCTAATAGTGGCCCTAACGTTGATAGGTGAGTTTTATAGCAAAAATCTGTCAGAAAATATTAGGGAAATAGAAATGACATATTTAAGTTACAAATTATTAGAGAAAATAAAGAAAAGATTTAAATCAATTAAAACATAAGAAAATAGAAAAACCACATTAAGGGATGGTATAAACAGAAATTACATAAGATATTTGAGAAATAACAGTAATATAATAATTATTAATAAAAAAGACCTAGAAAAGACAAAGATTATAAAACTGCATTAAACTACTAAATTTATTTATATATTTTTTAAATAAACATACATAAAAACAAAGAACAAATTTTCAGAATAAAAGAGTGATAAAAGATGATCTAGCCAAATATGTAGTAACTGGAAATAGCGGAGATAGCCACGTTTATATCTGACAATATAGACTTTACATAAAATTTTTACTAGAAAATAAGAATTCAAATTACCCTTAAATATCTAAATCTTTTAAAATGTATAAATGTAAATATTCCTAACAGCACATCTTCAGAATATATACATTAAAAATTTATGTTCTGGTTAGGGGATGGGTAGCAGCAGAAACCCAGCGGTATTCATTGTGTATTTGGTGGTTCTACCATCAGAAGAGTATATGAATTTCAGTTCTCATTATCAAGTTGATTTTGGGGGTTGTATATCTGGCCAGTTGTTCTGTGAGAAAGTGATTTTCTTCAGCGTGATTTCATCTGACAATAGATTAAAAACAGAGAAGTTCTCCTTTATGGAAATCTTTAGGGGATACTCATGAGACTGCTTGTTGAATTTCAAGTTGGGCAGATTCTAGAACCTCTTGTTGCAGAGAATCCCATTCAGAGTGGGCTGATTTGTGAATTATAGCGTAAATTAGGCTAAATAAAATTTTAAAATAGGAATATATTGCCTCCAGAACCTTCAAAGCCTTAAAAGAAATCAAGATTCTTTCAACATTCTTGGTGCTGAGATGATCAATAGTTTGTTGTTGTTGTTGTTGTTGTTGTTTCTGACAGTGTCAGGGATGGAACAGTTTTTAACAAACCAAATAATTTTCAGAAATCTAACTGAAGTAGTGGACCTTGTTGTAAATGCAGAGTTATAACCTATTTCCACCGCTACGTTTTGTAAACGCCTTTGTGATTACTTTTATGTCCTGCATGTGTGTGTGACAAATAAATCTCCTTGGAGGAGATACCATCAATGTAATGTCAGACCTGAGCTCCTGGAGAAAGCCAGATACAACTAAGATCTTTCCTACAAAGACTGTAAAAGAATGCAAGGCTATTGAATCACCCCATCAGTATCCAGGAAAATGCATATCCCTTCAAAGGTGAAGGCACTGCAGCTGAAATAAGCACTAAACAGAACATGTTCACCTAACTAGGCACTGAGTAGAGCATATTAATCAAATCTAGTACTATAAAGTATTTACTAGTTGTTGATTGGATAGAATCGATGATTTCAGTAATATTATAGGTGTGGGCTTTAATGGGTAGAGCCACACTGAGTTCATGGTCATCCACTGCCACTGCAAGATGTCCATCATTATTTTCAGTTTTAAGAACAGATTGAATTGGGCTATTTAATAGTAAAATAGTAAAAATAATCATCCTTTTCTACATAGGGCTACAAAGTAGATTTCAAACATTGAAACCCACATTTTAATTTATATTAGGCTTTATCAACTCTTTTAATTAAAAAAACTAGAAGATCCATCGGGTTTTATTTGTCAAGTCGATTTTAAGTGCTAAAGACATAATTTTATTTCAATTATTTACTTGAGTCAAAGGGGCCACTATAGGATATTTTAAGGGCAATGAATACTATGGCCATTAGAAATTTTGGCAAAGCAACATTTCTCATGGTTAAGGTAACACATATCTGTTAGTTTTCTGTTTTATGCCTGGTAACTTCCTTAAGAAAATAGCAGGTACTTTGTTTAAATTTAGTGAATTTAGTGGGACATCCATGTATAATAACAATTTTGTCACCTATATCAGTTAAGGCCATGAATAGTTGTCAATACATACATTTCAGCAGATTTTAAAATTAATTTAGAACCAATGATGTAGAGATTTAAATGTCAAACAGCACCCTTTTAATATTTCTATTGGGTAAATTCTTTAAGTAAGTAAATTTATTTCCATTTATATCAGACTGTGGGCCTCTGTCTCAGTTTCTGGCTTGTCATCATGTATCTAGGTGTCTGTCTTGGTTTTTGTGCTGATGGTAGCTCATTTTGTGTATTTGTCCCTGTTAGTCCCCATATTCTTAGGGTCCTTCTCTACACTCCTAATATTTATAAGTTTCTTCCTCCAGAAGTTCCCAAATTGCTGTCATCACAGTAAAGAGGCTCCCCACGGTATTTATTGCATTACTGGCTTTAGAGGCGCTAGGCAAAAGCCAGGTTTGAATGATCTCTTTGGTATGTTGACAAGCCATAGCATTCATCAGACTCACAGTCCAACCATTTTATCCTTGTCCAATAGATTGATGATGCCCCCTGGCTTTTTAAAGAAGAGGTGGGTGGAAGATAAGGCGATATAAAGGATTCAAGACAACTTTTCCCAAGATCTATGCCAAGGTTCCTTGGATGTTTTCCTCCTTAAGTTTGAGGATCAGAATCTCTGTTGTGATAGAAGTATAGATGGCGGTAGCAGCATTTGGATTCCTAGAGACCTATCTGATATTAAGAGCGTTGACATCAGCATTCAAAAATGGTGACTATAGTTATTTAAGCAACCACCTAATGGGTCCATAAATTATACAGTATATAGGTGTTTTCCCAAGCACTCAGTAGAAAGTGAGTCAATGTTTTATTGATGTTTTATAGATTCAATCAACGCTTATGGTTAGATCAAAATAAATGATTTAATTTGACACACAGATAGGTATAGGCTGAGACACACAATCTGTGCCATGTTAAGGAAGATCCCTAATCCCATGCTGGTATTCTTGAGCGCCAACTACCAAAATTTTCAAATAATGCCAGTTAAATATGAAGCAGAACCTTGACAGAAGTAACATATGTGGCACTAAGAAGTAAAGCTCAAAGCACATGGAATTCAGCTGGCAACAGCTCAAAGTACATACTGTCCAGCAGAGAGCAGAGCCAATCAGTGAACCAGGACGTAAAGGGCCACAGGTGGTGGTCATTACCTAGGCTATCCTGTTCACATACCAATTGTTTTCTGGTTCACTATGGGATCCATCCCTCCAACCCAAAACTGATATGGATGTGGAGATTGATTATACCACAAAAACACCAAGGTATAAAAAGATTTATTACTCACATAATGGGACTTTTTGATTGAGTGTTTAAGGTGGAGGAGCAGAGAGAGGGTTTCTGCATGGGAGCTTGGGTTTGTGTTGTTTGATCTTTCCTGTTCATCAAAGAAAGGTGCCTGTGGGCTCTATCTGCTTTTCCAGAAATAGCACAAAAACAGAAAGGGGCAATTTAGGCCTCAAAGCTATCCAACAGTCAAATATTAAAAACAGAGTCATTTAAAAAGATTGTGTCTTTTTATTTGTATAAATATAACAGGTATATAAAAATTTCACAAGGCATACGTATATCAAATCATCACATTGTGTACTCATATAATTTTTGTCAATAGATATTAATAAAGCTAACAGAATTTTATTTTAAAAATAGAAGCCTATAACCACAATCCAATTAAGCAAAAATAAAGAGAAACCAGGAAAAATGTGTTTGGAAACTAAAATATATTTCTGAATAAATCAATGTCAAAAAAAGGGAAAATATAATAAAAGCAGGAAATTTTCTTAACAGATGTCTTTCTTTCTTTTTTTTTCTTTTTTTTTTTTTTTTGAGACGGAGTCTCACTGTGTCACCAGGCTGGAATGCAATGGTGCGATCTCGGCTCACTGCAACCTCTACCTCCCAGGTTCAAGCGATTCTCCTGCCTCAGCCTCCTGAGTAGCTGGGATTACAGGCATGTGCCACCATGCCCAGCTAATTTTATAGTTTTAGTAGAGATGGGGTTTCACTGTGTTGGTCAGGCTGGTCTTGAACTCCCAACCTCAGGTGATCCACCCGCCTTGGCCTCCCAAAGTGCTGGGATTACAGGCGTGAGACACTGCGCCAGGCAAATAGATGCCATTATTAAAGCTGTGAACTAAGACTACACTATTGCTCCAGAAATAAATGAATTGATAATGGAACATTAAAACAATTCAAAAATATATATTGTTTCGGTTGGCCTTAGTTGCATGTGATGGGCTGAACTGTGGCAAAATTCAAATGTTGAATCCCTATCTCCCAGTGGATTTTATTTGGAGATAGAGCCTATACGAAAGTGATAATTGTTAAATGAAGTCATTATTGTGAGAATAGGGCTGATGATGTTATAAGAAATGACATCTCTATCTCTGTGCACACCCAGAAGAAAGGCCATGTGAAGCTACTGCCAGAAGGGCCATCTGCAAACCAGGAAGAGAGACCTCACTGGAGACAAACCCTGACACTACCTTGATCTAGATGTATAGACACCAGAACTGTAAGAAAATAAATTTCTGACATTTAAGCCAGGCTGTGGTATTTTGTTATGGCAGCCCAAGTAGGCTAATACATTCCATAACACAATAGTGGCTTAAACAACAATTAATTACTTCTCATGATTCTGTGCATTGGCAAACTTGGTGGTTCTTCTCTTTGTTTACCTAGAGTCAATTATACGGCAGCAGTAGTCTGGTATCTAGGCTGGAGCTAGAGATTGTCTTAGAGACCCTCAGCCTAGTAGTGCCTCACCATACACCTGCCTCCAGTGCTTCACCACGCTAGTACTGGACAGTGATCATGAGGTCTGGCACCTCATCAAATGCCGACCGCACATTTTCTCTCATTTCAGATGTCCACATTTTTCTTGGGTGGAGGGTGTTCCTATGGCACAGTCATTCATATTTCATTCACGTGAGTGGTGGATAAATTTTTTAAACAGCAGAAAACCAGGAATCACACCAGCACAGGGCCCTCTCAGGCACTCACTAGCACCTAAACATTGTCTTCACTACTTCTAGACTCTTGCCCTGTGCTAGGCTGGTTTTTCTACTTTATTTCCCACCAGTTGTTTATAGTGTAAATCTTAAGATTGCCTTAAAGCTTACTATTTTAAAACTCTAATGGCACTTTCAATGTTAAAAAAAATGCTTGCTTGAAAAATGTAAAATATTTACTCTCAACACTGCTCTTCTGATATAAGTTTCTGGATCATGTTTTGGGCCACTATAGCAATCATTCTTTCTTTATGTAATCTTGCCATCAAATTTTCAGTGCTTCTAACTAAAAAAGAGGGTTGTTAAATCTGTCGGATTAGGTCATGTCATGCAGCTGTAGAAAACATTCTAAAAATCATAGAAACTTATTAAAACAGACCTTATTTCATTTTCCCATTTTATTTTAATTATGGGTCAGTGGTTGCTCTGCTCAATGTCATCTAATTTGCAGGACTCAAATCGCAAAGCAGCTTCTATCTAGACTATTTCCATACATCACAGCAGAAGAGAAAAGACATCTGCACTTGATTCATGCGTTTCTACCTTTCATTGCCAACAAGAGTCACATTCATATTTCTGAGTAGAACAGGGAGAGATTGTAGTCTTGTATGGAAGGCAACTGCCAGGAAGAAAAACACATGTAGCATGGTCACCTATGCAGAAGGCCAGGTGTTATGTTGCCATAATTTTACTACTAATATCTATGACTCATCAAATATATAAAATACAGAGTGTTATAGAACATTCTACACTTATTATCTCAGTGAATTTTCACGCTAATTTTATGAGTAAATTTGCCTAGACCACACAAATTTTAGTGACACTTCTTATATAAACCCAATCCTGTGATTCTTGGTTTTCTGCTTTTTGAAAAATGTCTCTACCTCTTATGTTAATGAAATATGAATTACCATATGCTGCTTCATAATTATAACACATTGCATTTATGTAGTATCCATATTATACAGGTGGTTCTTCTAGTTTTTCACTTATAAAATCAATTGATTCATATATGTATTTAGCAAATATGCACAGAATGTCTAATATGTACCCCCAAAATTACTCTGGGGCACAGTATTGAACAAAGCAAATATGTGACCTACTATCACAGAGCATATTGTCTAGTGAACAACGGAGACATATCACTAAAGTGACAAATAATTTCCAAATCATGTATAGAGATTTGCAAATGCCTATAGTAGTTGAATCTAGTTTACTCTGTGCATTTAGGGAGACCAGTCTGAGAACCCACTTTTATACTGAGATCTGAAGGTGAGTGGACAAATTGTTTCCAATAAAAGCACTTTATAGCTAAAGCGTATCATATTCTTGACCATAATTATATAATCAGGCATGTTTCATCTTTAACTCCGCCATCATTCACTGTAGTGTTGTGCATTAAATGATCAAAGTTTTCTATTTACCAACAATAAAAGTTCAATTGTAGTTGTTTAGCACTTTCTCAAGATATTTTTTGGCTAAGCGGTTTATCAAAAAAGCATCAACATAAGCATCTCTAAAAGATGGTGAGAGCTGCAAAAAGAGCATTAATATACTTTGGGGCAGTAAAGGTGATCTCTTCTGTCTCATCTCACACAGGTTCTGTCCTTCCGGTATAATTCTGGATGAACACAGGCTGTTCAGAAGAGCCTGCAGACAATGACCTAGTGTACTTTGTGGCCTGAGGTAAAATTGCTATTCATCAAGTCAGTTCCTTTTGAACTTAACTCTCACAGTTGTCCTTGATTCATCACAGTTGTCATTCTCAGTACAGCACAAACATTGTCCTTCTTTGTCAATATAGATTTATTTGTGAGCCTCATTTTTATGTAAATATCTAAAATAACTGTAAAATATGATGTTTTTCCTCATGCAAATGTGATCAACACATTTCAGTGCTAAAATAAATTTTATAATATTGTTGAAGGGTTATTTCTCTATGTAGGCAGCTTTGTATGTAACTTTTTTCCCTCTTATTTGTTATTCTTTTGAAATGTTTGTTATTCTTTTGAAAATCAACAATGTCTGTTTTATTACAAATTTATATTATTATTTTTGACAGTTGACTCTACCAATATAGTAGCAGGAATGTAGGAGGAATTTTTTCACATCAAATTTAGGATTACAGTAAGCACCAATGGCAAATTTTAATGTTAACAATGTTCGCCTCATAAGTAACAAATGACAGTATGTTTTCAGACAAAATCCTTGAGAAACAAGTTAAAAATACAAAGCGAGAAAAAACTGAAAAGGGCACAAATCATCCACATATATATGTAATTATCTTGGAAAAAATACTCTATTACCTATTTCATAATGATTAATATTAAACCAAATCAATTTATAAAAATCATTATACCAAAAGGAGTCTCTAATTTTTAATTGTCCAAATAGTGCCTCAACAATTAATCAGTAATCCAGTATACAAGTTAAAGAATAAGGGTGTGTGTTTGTGTTAAACTAAACAAAATTACAACAAAATGAATTATTATCCTTTGACAGAATGATTTCTGGCTACAAGAGAGTGCTTACTTAACAAAACCAGGCATGAGAAATGAAAAAATAATATAATGTCTAAAATGGAAATAGGAGAAAATGCTCTTATCTCAATTTATTGAGTGTTCTCTCATGAGAAGAAAAGATAGTCTAAATATTCTGTTATTTCTATCATGTGAAATGAGATAATTGCTTTTCTATCTAACCCAGACTTTACTTTTTGCAACTTAATATAAATTCTGCCTGACATCTTTGCTTTTGATTCTTTTCTCAAATAAGTTGTGGCTAGTATTACATTACTTTAAGTGCATTTCTCCTGGTGGAATAAAGAGTGATTAAACATTTGCATTTCGATTACAATGTTAAGGTACTCCTGTTTTTTGTTTTGAAATATTTTATCCACATCTGACCCTCCATATTCCATTGAACACTAGTTTCCCTTTGTTTTGCATTATCAGTCACTGTTTCAGAAATTTGTATTTGATTCCTGAAAAAGACGTTCTTGTTACCTGTAGTCATATATAACCAAGTCGTTATTAAATAAAGTGATTTTTTTAAGCAGCAATGTATCAGTAAATATACTGTGAGGAATAAACTATTCTAAGAATCTTCGGGATGAATTAGATCAGAGAATAATTTGATTTTGATTACAGGTTGTCTCTCTACTCCTCATTTAATGTTCCATTAAGATTATTTTTTAGTCAAGCCAGGTAGAATCAAAATATCCAAGAATATAGTTATGAATTGTCATAGGAATCTGGCATGAATCACATACTTATTATTAAAATGCAAAGGTTACTCTGTCTTCCTGGAAATCATAATTCACTTTTCTCTGCCTTTTCTGATGCAATTTAAAATTTTCCCATGTAGATGCTCCATCAAAAGCATGGAAACTTAATTTTTTGTATTTAGAAAAATGTCTTAAATATCTTATGGGCAGCTGATTAGAACTTTATCGATGATATTTAACTTAAGTTTATAAAATATTTTGCTATTAATAAGGCTAAGGTAACAATAAGGTAACTATGCTAAGTAAAGCCTTTTTGCATTATTTATATTTATTATTTGTCACATTTAGATATATAAAAGACGGGAATAGGCGTTATTTTGTCTTTTTAAATAAGTTTTAATTTTTGTGTGTACATGTTAGGTGTGTACATTAATGGGGAACATGAGATCTTTTGATTGAGGCGTACAATGCATAATAATCACATCAGGGTAAATGGGGTATTCATCACCTCAGGCACTTATCCTTTCTTTGTGTTACAAACAACCCAATTATAATGTTTTAGTTATTTTAAAATGCATAATAAATTACTGTTGACGGTAGTCACCATGCTGTGCTCTCAAATACTAGATCTTATTTGATTTGATCTTTTAATCAAATGGTTTAAATCATTTTCATTTAATTTAAATGATTCAATTTAAATTTAATTTGGTTACATTTTCTTTTTTTTCCTTTAACTTTTAAGTTCGGGAGTACATGTGCAGGATATGTGGTTTGTTACATAGGTAAATGTGCACCATGGTGATTTGCTGCACAGATCATCCCATCACCTAAGTATTAAGCCCAGCATCCATTAGCTATTCTTTCTGATGAGCCCCCTCCCACCACAACTCCCCTGACAGGCACCAATATGTGTTGTTTCCCCCACAGTGTGTCCATGTGTTCTCATTGTTCAGCTCCCACTTTTAAGTAAGAACATTAGTGTTTGGTTTTCTTTTCCTGCAAAAATTTGCTGCGGATAACAGCTTCCAGCTCTGTCCATATCCTTCCAAAGGACATTATCTTGTTCCCTTTTATGGCTGCATTGTATTCCATGGTGTATATGTATCACATTATCTTTATTCAGTCTATCGTTGATGGGCATTTGGGTTGTTTCCATGTCTTTGCTATTGCGAAGAGTGCTGCAATAAATATACGTGTGCATGGGGCCGGGCGCGGTGGCTTACGCCTGTAATCCCAGCACTTTGGGAGGCTGAGGCGGGCGGATCACAAGGTTAGGAGATCGAGACCATCCTGGCTAACATGGTGAAACCCCCTCTCTACTAAAAATACAAAAAATTAGCCAGGTGTAGCAGTGTGCGCCTGTAGTCCCAGCTATTTGGGAGGCTGAGGCAGGAGAATGGTGTGAACCCAGGAGGCAGAGCTTGCAGTGAGCCAAGATCGCGCCACTGCACTCCCGCCTGGGCGACCGAGAGAGACTCTGTCTCAAAAAATAAAAAAAAAAAATAAATAAATAAATATATGTGCGCATGTATCTTTATAGTAGAATAATTTATATTCCTTTGGGTATATACTCAGTAATGGGATTGCTGGGTCAAATAATATATCTAACTCTAGATTTTTGAGGAATTGCCACACTGTCTTCCACAATGGTTGAACTAATTTACATTCCCACCAACTGTGTAAAAGCATTCCTTTTCCCCTGCAACCTCACCAGCATCTGTTGTTTCTTGGCCTTTTAATAATTGCCATTATCACTGGCACGAGATGGTATCTCATTGTGGGTTTGATTTGCATTTCTCTAATGATCAGTGATGTTGAGTTTTTTTTTCATGTTTGTTGACCGCGTGTATGTCTTCTTTTGAGACGTGTCTGTTCATGTTCTTTGCCCACTTTTTAATGGGGTTGTTTGCTTTTTTTCTTGTAAGTTTGCTTAAGTTTCTTGTAGACTTTCCATATTAAAGCCTTGTCAGATGGATAGATTTCAAAAATATTCTCCCATTGTGTAGGCTACTTGTTCACTCTGATGATACTTTCTTTTGCTGTGCAAAAGCTCTTTAGTTTACTTAGATCCCATTTGTCAAATTTTGCTTTTGAAATTGCTTTTGGCATTTTCATCATGAAATCTTTGCTGGTGCCAATGTCTTGAATGATATTGCCTAGATTTTTTTCTATGGTTTTTATAGTTTCCAGTTTTACATTTAAGTCTTTAATCTCTCTTGAGTTAATTTTTGTATAAGGTATAAGGAAGGGGTCCAGTTTTAATTTGCTGCATATGGCTAGCCAGTTTTCCCGGCATCATTTATTAAATAGGGAATCCTTTCCCCAGTGCTTGTTTTTGTCAGGTTTTTTGATGATCAGATGCTTATAGGTGTGTGGTTTTATTTCTGAGGTCTCTATTCTGTTCTGTTTGTTTTTGTATCTGTTTTTGTACCAGTACCATGCTGTTTTGGTTACTGTAGCCTTGTAGTATAGTTTGAAGTCAAGTAGCATGATGCCTCCAGCTTTGTTCTTTTTGCTTAGGATTGTCTTGGCTATTCAGGCTCCCTTTTTGACTCCATATGAATTTTAAAATAGTTTATTCTACTTCTGTGAAGAACATCAATGGTAGTTTAATGCGAATAGCATTGAATCTATAAATTACTTTGGGCAGTATGGCCATTTTCACAATATTGATTCTTCCTATTCATGAGCATGGAACGTTTTTCCATTTGCTTGTGTCTTCTTTGATTTCCTTAAGCAATAGTTCATAGTTCTTGAAAAGGTCCTTCACTGCCCTTATAAGCTGTGTTCCTAAATATTTTTTTCTTTTTGTAACAATTGTGTATTGCAGTTCATTCCTGATTTAGCTCTCTGCTTGACTGTTGCTGGCGTATTGGAATGCTAGTGATTTTTGCACATGGATTTTGTATCCTGAGACTTTGCTTAAGTTTCTTATTAGCTTAAGAAGTTTTTTGACTGAGACAATGAAATTTTCTTGACATAGGACCATCTGCAAATAAAGATAATTTGACATTCTTTCTCCCTATTTAAATACCCTTTATTTATTTCTCTTGTCTGATTGCCCTGATCAAAACTTCCATACTATTTTGAATAGGAGTGGTGAGAGAGTGCATCCTTGTCCTATGATGGTTTTCAAGGAGAATACTTCCAGCTTTTGCCCTTTAAGTATGATATTTGATGTGGGTTTGTTAGATATGGTTCTTATTATCTTGAGGTATATTCCTTTAAAACCTAGTTTATTGAGAGTTTTTAAGATAAAGGGATGCTGAATTTTGTCAAAGGTCTTTTCTGCATCTATTGAGAAAATCATGTGGTTTTTTTCTTTAGCTCTGTTTATGTGATGAATTGTATTTATTTATTTTAATATGTTAAACCAACCTTGCACCCTAGGGATGAAACTAACTTGAATGTGATGGATAAGCTTTTTGACGTGCTGCTGGATTTGGTTTGTCAGTATTTATTAAAGATATTTGCATCAGTGTTAATCTGGGATATTAGCTGAAGTTTTCTATTTTTGGTGTATTGTGGTCAGGTTTTTGGTATCAGGATGATGCTGGCCTCATAAAATTAGTTATGGAGGAGTCCCTCCTTTTCAACTTTATGGAATAACTTCAATAGAAATGGTACCAGCTTTTCTTTGTACCTCTGTTAGAATGCAGCTGTAAATCCATCTGGTCCTGGGCTTTTTCGGTTGGTAGACTACTTATTATTGACTCAATTTTAGAACTCATTATTGGTCTACTCAGGGTTTCAATTTCTTTCTGGTTCAGTCTTGGGAGGATGTATGTATTCAGGAATTTATCCATTTCTTCCAGATTTTCTAGTTTATGTGGTTTATGTGCATACAGGTGTTCATAGTATTCTCTGATGGTTGTTTGCTTTACTGTGGGGTCATTGGTGATATCCCCCTTATCATTTCTGATTGTGTCTACTTGATTCTTCTCTCTTTTCTTCTTTATTAGTCTAGCTAGTGGTCTACTTTATTATTTTTTTGAAAAAAAAAAAAGCTCCTGGATTCATTGATTTGTTGAAGGAATTTTCATGTCTTTATCTTTCAGTTGCCCTCTGATCTTGGTTATTGCTTATCTTCTGCCATCTTTGGGTTTGTTTGCTTTTGGTTTTCTAGTTCTTTTAGTTGTGATATTAGGTTATTATGACATCTTCCTAGCTTTTTGATGTGAGCATTTAGTGCTATACATTTCCCTGATAACACTGCTCTATCAGCATCCCAGAGATTCTGATACATTGTCTCTTTGTTCTCATTAGTTTAAAAGAACTTCTTGATTTTGCCTTAATTTCATTATTTACCCACGAGTGACTCAGGAACAGCTTGTTCAATTTCCATGTAGTTTTGTGGTTCTAAGTGAATTTTTCAGTCTTGAATTCTAATTTGATTGTACTGTGATCTGAGATACTGTTATGATTTCAGTTCTTCTGCATTTGCTGAAGAGTGTTTTATTTCAGATTATGTGATCAATTTTAGAGTAAGTGTATATGGCAATGAGAAGAATGTATATCCTGTTGTTTGCAAGATGAGGAGTTCTGTATATATTGATCAGGTCTGCTTGATCCAGAGCTGAGTTCAGGTCCTGAGTATCTTTGTTAATTTTCTGTCTTGATGATCCATCTAACATTGTCAGTGTGGAGTTAAAGTCTCCCACTATTATTATGTGGGAGTCTACATCTCTTTGTACGTCTCTAAGAACTTGCTTTATAAATCCAGGTGCTCCTTTATTGGGTGTATATCTATTTAGGAATAGTTAGCTCTTCTTGTTGAATTGACTCCTTTACCATTATATAGGGCCCTTCTTTGTCTTTTCTGATCCTTGTTGGTTTAAAATTTGTTTTGTCAGAAACTAGGTTTGTGACCCCTACTTTTTTCTGTTTTCCATTTGCTTGGTAAATTTTCCTTAGTCCCTTTATGGTGAACCTATGTGTGTCTTTGCATGTGAGATGGGTCTCTTGAAGACAGCATACCAACAGATTTTGACCCCGTCCAGCTTGCCATCCTATGTCTTTTAATTGGGGCATTTAGCTCATTTACATTTAATGTTAATATTGCTATGTGTGAGTTTGATCCTGTCATCATAATTCAAGCTGGTTATTTTGCAGACTTATTATGTGGTCACTTCATAGTGTCACTGGTCTGTATACTTCAGTATGTTTTTGTAGTGGCTAGTAACAGTTTTTCCTTTTCATATTTAGTGCTTCCTTCAGGAACTCTTGCAAAGCAGGCCTGGAGGTGACTTATTCCCTCATCCTTTGCTTGTCTGAAAAGAATCTTATTTCTCCCTCGCTTATGAAACTTAGTTGGGCTGGATATGAAATTCTGGGTTGGAAATTGTTTTCTTTAAGAGTGTTGAATATTGGCCCCAAATTGCTTCTGTCTTGTAAGGTTTACACTGAGAGGTCTGTTGTTATACTGACGGATTTCCCTGTGTAGGTGACCCAGCCTTTCTCTCTGGCTGCGCGTAACATTTTTTCTTTTCTTTCAACCTTGGAGAATCTGACAATTATGTGCCTTGGCGTTGATCTTCTTGTGAAGTATCTTACTGGGGCTCCCTAGATTTCTTGAATTTGAATCTTGGCCTGTCTTTCTAGATTGGAGGAAGTTCTCCTGGATGACCTCCCGAAGTATGTTTTCCAACTTGGGTCTGTCCTCCCTGTCTCTTTCAAGTACCCCAATCAGTTGTAGGTTCAGTCTTTTTACATAGTCCCACATTTCTCAGAGGTTTTGTTCATTCCTTTTCATTCTTTTTTCTCTATTCTTGTCTGCCTGTCTTATTTCAGAAAGATAGTCTTCAAGCTCTGAGATTCTTTTCTCCACTTAATCTATTCTGCTATTGATACATGTCATTGCACTGTGAATTTCCCATGTTGTGTTCTTCAGCTCCATCAGGTCAGTTATGTTTCTCTCTAATCTGGCTATTCTGGTAAAAATATGGAATGCTTCAAAGATGCGTGTGTCATCTTTGCATAGGGGCCATGCTAGTTTTCTCTCTATGGTTTCAATTTTAGTATAAGTGCCAAAGTGAGCATGACAGTATATTTTTAAAATCCCAAGTGGTTTGTATTTATACCCCATTTATTTACGGACTCCAGAATTATGAAGCTACTTTAAAAATGGTTAGCAAATTTCCCATATCTAGTTTACTAACAGATTTCAAAAAGGCAAAACATAAACAAAAATAAAACAAAATAATATGAAATGAATATGTACAGTATAATAATGAAAACTGTTATTTAATGTTAGGATTTACTATAGTCATCATTTATATATTAATTTGTGGTATAGCAATTTTTAAATCTTAATGACATATTAATCCTTTTAAAAGTGCTTCCTTCTAGTAATATTTAACATGCCGATTAATGCATTTTAATATTTTTGTTGAGGTTTAATTGATGTACAATAATCAGTGCATAAAGTGTTTAATTTGTTGAATTGATATGCATATAAGCCACTCAAATAAACACTGCAATTAAATTGATGAGTATACCCACCAGCCCCAAGAGTATCTTCTTTTGTAATTCATATAGAGTCCTACAACCTCTCCTTTCTACAACTATTAATTTCCTTTCTGTCATTATATTTTGTTTTTCTTATTTTAAGCATTTTATATAAGTGGAATCTCACATTATGTACTCACTTTGTGGAGTTTATTTTACTACCTTGTTTTTGTTTTCAGATTTATTCACATTTTGGTGTTAATCAACACTTTAAAATTTCTGAATAGTATTCTGCTTTATGGATATACAATTTGTTTATTCATTTACCTGTTGATGGATATTTAGAATGTTTCCAGTTTGGTGCTTTACAAATAAAGCTATAAAAATTTGTGTATAAATCTTCATGTGAACATAAATATCTAGGAATGAAATGTCTAGAATATATGCAAGTTTAAGTTAGAAAGAATTTCTAAAAACTATATTATAGAAGAGGTTGCTAGCAAGATGGCTGAATAGGAACAGCTCCAGTCTGCAGCTCCTGGAGAGATCAACACAGAAGGCAGGTGATTTCTGCATTTCTAACTGAGGTACCCAGCTCATCTCATTGGGACTGGTTAGACAGTGGGTGTAGCCCATGGAGGGCAAGCCAAAGCAGGGTGGGGAGTCACCTCACCTTGGAACCACAAGGGGTCGGGAACTCCTTCCCCTAGCCAAGGGAAGCTGTGAGGGACTGTGCCGTGAGGAACAATGCACTGTGGCCTAGATACTATGCTTTTCTCACAGTCTTAGCAACCTGTAGTCCAGGAGATTCCCTCGGGTGCCTATGCCACCAGGGCCCTGGGTTTCAAGCACAAAAGTGGGCAGCCATTTGGGCAGACAATAACCTAGCTGCAGGAGTTTTTTTCATACCCCAGTGGCACCTGGAACACCAGTGAGATGAAACCATTCACTCCCCTGGAAAGGGTGCTGAAGCCAGGAAGTCAAGTGGTCTAACTCAGCAGATCCCACCCCTATGGAGTCCAGCAAGCTAAGATCCACTGGCTTGAAATTCTCACTGCCATTACAGCAGTCTGAAGTCGATCTGAGACACTCGAGCTTCGCTGGGGGAAGAGCGTCCACCATTACTGAGGCTTCAGTAGGTAGTTTTCCCCTCACAGTATAAACAAAGCCACCAGGATGTTTGAACTGGGTGGAGCAAACTGGAGCTCTGCAAAGCCTCTGTAGCCAGACTGCCTCTCTAGATTCCTCCTCTCTGGGCAGGGCATCTCTGAAAGAAAGGCAGCAGCCCCAGTCAGGGGCTTATAGATAAAACTCCCATCTTCCTGGGACAGAGCACCTGGGGGAAGGGGCAGCTGTGGGCACAGCTTCAGCAGACTTAAACGTTCCTGCCTGCTGGCTCTGAAGAGAGCAGCAGATCTCCCAGCACACTGCTCGAGCTCTGCTAAGGGACAGACTGCCTACTCAAGTGGGTCCCTGACCCCTGTGCCTCCTGACTGGGAGACACCTCCCAGCAGGGCTTGACAGACACCTCCCAGCAGGGGTCCACAGACACCTCATACAGGAGAGCTCTTGCTGGCATCTGACAGATGCCTCTCTGGGACGAAGCTTCCACAAGAAGGAACAGGCAGCAATCCTTGTTGTTCTGCAGCCTTTGCTGGTGAAACCCAGGCAAAGGGGGTCTGGAGTGGACCTCCAGCAAACTCCAGCAGACCTGCAGAAGAGGGGCCTGAGTGATAGAATGAAAACTAACAAACAGAAAGGAATAGCTTCAACATCAACAAAAAGGACATCCAGACAGAAACTCCATTTGAAAGTCACCAACATCAAAGACCAAAGGTAGATAAATTCATGAAGATGAGGAAAAACCATTGCAAAAAGCCTGAAAATTCCAAAAACCAGAATACTTCTTCTCCTCCAAAGGATCATAACTCCTCGCCAGCAAGGGAACAAAACTGGATGGAGAATGAGTTTGACAAATGGACAGAAGTAGGCTTCAGAAGCTGGGTAATAG
Source organism: Homo sapiens (assembly GCF_000001405.40). NCBI lineage: Eukaryota > Metazoa > Chordata > Mammalia > Primates > Hominidae > Homo > Homo sapiens. The sequence continues at coordinate 46,408,034 of NC_000013.11, read as the reverse complement.
CAAACTCCTCTGAGCTAAAGCAGCATGTTCTAAACCATTGAAAAGAAGCTAAGAATCTTGAAAAAAGGTTAGCGGAATTGCTAACTAAAATAAGAGTTTAGAGAAGAAGTTAAATGACCTGATAGAGTTGAAAAACACAGCAGGAGAACTTTGTGAGGCATACAGAAGTATCGATAGCTGAATTGATCAATCAGAAGAAAGGATATCAGAGACTGAAGATCAACTTAATGAAATAAAGCATGAAGACAAGATTAGAGAAAAAAAAAATAAAAGGAACAAGCAAAACCTCCAGGAAATATGGGGCTATGTGAAAAGACCAAACCCACGTTTGACTGGTGTACCTGAAAGTCACAGGGAGAAAGGAACCAAGTTGGAAAACACTCTTCAGGATATTATCCAGGAGAACTTCCCCAACCTAGCAAGACAGGCCAACATTCAAATTCAAGAAATACAGAGAACACCAAAAAGATACTCCTTGAGAAGAGCAACTCCAAGACACATAATCATCAGATTCACCAAGGTTGAAATGAAGGAAAAAATGTTAAGGGCAGCCAGACAGAAAGGTTGGGTTACTCACAAAGGTAAGCCCATCAGACTAACAGCGGATCTCGCTGCAGAAACCCTGCAAGCCAGAAGAGAGTGGGGGCCAATATTCAACATTCTTAAAGAATTTTCAACCCAGAATTTCATATCCAGCCAAACTAAGTTTCATAAGCGAAGGAGAAATAAAATCATTTACAGACATGCTGAGAGATTTTTGTCACCACCAGACCTGCCTTAAAAGAGCTCATGAAGGAAGCACTGAATATGGAAAGAAAAAGCCGGTACCAGCCACAGCAAAAACATACCAAATTGTAAAGACCGTTGATGCTATGAAGAAACTGCATGTCTGTGTAGTCATTCATGATACATTATGAATCCCCAATAATTATAAACCATAACTAATGTGAACAATTCAGCTAAATTATAGATGTTATTGAATAGCTCTATTTCAAATACCAATCTCTTCTTTTTGGCTAGTGCTTCTCATGTCCTGTTTAAATAATCTTTGTTCAAATCATTATGGTATTCTCCTCTGTGCTCTTTTAAAAAGCTTTATTAAGTTTCACATTTAGGTCTGTGATCCACCTCAAATTTATTTTTGTGTATGGTGTGAGGTGACGGTCAATGTTCAGGTCTTTTCCACATGGATATAAAAATGCCCAAGTACCTTTTGTTTGAAAAAGCCACTCTTTTTGTTGTTGTTGTTGTTTTTTTTTTGAGACGGAGTCTCGCTCTGTCCCCCAGGCTGGAGTGCAGTGGCTGATCTCGGCTCACTGCAAGCTCCCAGGTTCACGCCATTCTCCTGCCTCAGCCTCCCGAGTAGCTGGGACTATAGGCACCCGCCACCACACCCGGCTAATTTTTTGTATTTTTAGTAGACATGGGGTTTCACCATGTTAGCCAGGATGGTCTCGATCTCCTGACCTCGTGATCCACCCACCTCGGCCTCCCAGAGTGCTGGGATTACAGGCATGAGCCACCGCGCCTGGCCTGAAAAAGCCATTCTTTCTCCCATTGAATTGCAGTGCATCTTTGTTGCAAATCAAGTGGTCATATATATGTGGCTCTGTTTTTGGATTTTCTCTTTTGTTCCACTGGATTATTTGTCTATGGAAACCTTTAACATTAATTAGTCAGTTATATTCCTTTTCTAAGTTTAGAAGGAAGAGATGACCCAAGTTTAATACGTAACTAAATTATAAAGCTATGCATAAAATTTTGAGAAAAGTTTCTGGGAGGTGAAAAGTTGAATTGCATAAAACAATACTTGATAGGCCAAAAAATGATCAGTATGGAAGTATTCTAGTCTTTTCCCACTTTATGCACCCAGTGAAGCAAATCCTGTAATTTCTCATTGAGTTTCTCTCACTTTATCACTCTATGCTTATTGGGAAAGGGTCTGAAAAGTCAATCTGCATAATAAAACAGAGAAGCATGTTGGGAGAGTTTAGGTGGAATTTGAGACAGAGTGATGCTTGGGAGTAGATTCTGGGTGTAAATAAATTGGAGGGAGGCGCAAAGGTGTTGCAGGATAGATGAGCCCCCAAATTGGGGCTTAGCCCGAGAGGGTTCTTGGCTTTGCCTAGGAAGGAATTCAAGAGTGAGCCAGTGGTATTAGCAATTTTTTGTTGAATGGCACTGCTCCTTGATAAGCAGGGCTAACTTACAGTCAGGGCAACCAAAGTTGGCAGCTATGGACTGTTGGCAACTCTATTTATATCCACTTTCAATTATATGCAAATTAAGAGGTGGGCTAATGCAAATTTAGGGGCAGGTTATTCATAACTTTCTAGGAAAGGGGCAGTAACTTCTGGGTGGTTGTCATGGCATTTGTGAACTGTCATGGTGCTGGTAGGAGTGTCTTATGCTAATGAGCAGCTAGGGATCACTTTTCTGGCCATCTGCTGGTTCCTGCCAGTTTCTTTACTTTACCATGGGGACCAAGAAATAAGTCCTGCCAGTGGTCTCCTACTTCAACTAAATGTGGTGAAGTAGGGTAGAGAGTTATGATCACCTCTGATGATCCTTTAAAAATGCAAAGAAAGAGTTTTGGTTGCATTATAATTATTGCTGTTTTTTTTTTTTTTTTTTTTTTGAGACAGGACCTTGTTCTGTCACTGAAGCTGAAGTACAGTGACACAATCATGGCTCACTGCAGCATTAATATGGTTGGTTCTTGAAATGTGTTTAAGTAGATTCGATGCCATTTCAATTTCATAAGAAAGCATAAGATAGAGTCACAGGAATAGAAACTGATTAGGGAAAATTGTGCTGCTTTAAGAATTATGTCCATTGCCACTTCAACCAATCCACATAAGCAAAATAATCTAATCTCATGAATTTTTCAGATAAACATGATTACATTAAATTGCTTTCTTTCCAATAAAGGCTAATTAATACATGTTTTCAAGTAAATTTAGCAAAATTTTAATTACTTTATGAATTGTATAATTAAAAATCAGAAAATGTCATTCATCAGGCTATATCCTCATTTTTGGTTCTGAAAATATTACTACTATATATAAAGAAATATGAGCCTCTCTTGAACTTGACAATAAGCTGAATAAGCTCCCTTCCTTCCTTCCTCCCTCCCCCCTCTTCCTTTCTCACTTCCTCTTTCACTCCTTCCCTCCCTTTCCTCCCTCCCTTCCTCCCTTCCTGCCTTGCTTCTTTCCTTTTCCTTCTTTTTTGATGTTACTGTTAATCCAGTAACTACTATAGTGGCCTTAGAGACTGTGAGACGCATGACTCTGCTGCTGGAGTGTGAACCAAAGAAGCAATGATGGGAATCTTCCATCATCAGAACAGCAATAGTGGATATAAATATGGATCTGGGTTGATAGAGGAGAAGCAAAATGTTTAATTTATACAACATGATCCCATTCCTCTTGGACGTGAACTGAAGAAATAGTTGTGGTGAGCTAGGAAAAGTACGCCAAGGACTTCTGAAGAAGAATCTCTGATTACATCCTAAGGAGAGTTAGCCGCACTTCAGAGCTGGAGAGAAGCACACAGCACCCTCCCTTTGATTGCAGTCACTCCCTGGTCACTGTCCTAACAAATTAAGCTAATGGTGGGGGTAGGGATGCTGAAGGAAATGCCACATCATGTTCCAGATGCCCTTTCTGCCCTGGGGTGGTGATGGTGGCTACAAGGGGGAGGGAATGAGGTTAGCAATGAGAGAGGTAACTGAGGTTGAACTTTTTTTTTAGAAGAAAAAGTTATTTACTCTAGTTTTTTTGTAGTAAGATCTCTGTATTCTGATAAAACTCCATTCAATTTCACAAATGTTTGTGGAGCTCTCATTATGTGGTAGGCTCTGTGTCAGTTGCTGTCGAAAATATAGACACAAACACTAGCTACTGTGTGTTGAGTAACTTCCTGTAAGAAGTGGCACTTGGAGAGTGAGAGACACTTGGGAGGAGGCTCTGGGTGTAAATGAAGCTGAGGGGAGGGGAAATGGAATGCAATAAAGTAAGACTGAGAGTCATGAGTGCGATTGCCTTTGATGGTCCTCAAGTAGTGCAAAGAGGCTGGGCACGGTGGCTCACGCCTGTAACCCAGCACTTTGGGAGGCCTAGGCAGGCAGATCACCTGCGGTCAGGAGTTCAAGACCAGCCTGGCCAACATGATGAAACCCCATCTCTACGAAAAATACAAAAATTAGCTGGGTGTGGTGGCAGGCACCAGCTACTTGGGAGGCTGAGGCGGCAGAATTGCTTGAACTCAGGGGCAGAGGTTGCAGTGAGCTGAGATTGCGCCGCTGCACTCCAGCCTGGGCAACAGAGTGAGACTCTGTTTCAAAAAAAAAGAAAAAAGAAAAGAAAAAAGTGCAAAGAAAGAGTTTTGGTTGCATTGGTTGCATGATAATCATTGTTGGTTGTTGAAGTATGTTTAAGTAAATTACTTTACCTCCTTAATTCCCCCACCAAGTCTTATCATAGGAAGGTAATTCTATTGACAGAAGAGAGAAGGAAAGCTCATCTGACTTTAATACATTACTCAAAGTGGAGCCAAGATTTGATATAAGATTTTCAGATTTCAGATTGAATGCATCTGCTTCAATCACTAAAGGACAGAAAAAGACCTTAACACAACTAACAGGAATATAACCTGGAGAAGTATGAGTGCTGAGAACGCAGGTGTGGGGCACAGGAAAAGGAATATTTTGAGTCTCCTTCCTGGAAAGAAAGTGCTTAGGGGAAGTTTCTAATTTCCAGAGGCTTAGAAGAGCACAGATAAGGGAATGGTGACTCTGCCAGGAGAAACTGACTATTGCCTGACCACTGCTCAAACTAGGGTGAGCTCAGCAAAGACGCAGGGCCCACAGAGAGCCCTTGGTGAGGCACCACTCTCAGGACTTGCAAATTTAAAGGGCGATTCAGGTGATGGACAGGAGGAAAAAGAGAAAACAGAAACTGAAGAAGATGGAGAGGTTCTTGAAGAGGAATGCTTCAAGTTACAGTGGCTTGACTTCTTGATTCTGTCTTAATTCCAAACAAGGTTATCATGAGGATATCTCAGGGTTTTTGTTTAACTATTAAACAATTGATTTTATTTTGATCTCACCAGTTTTCTTGTTGATGTTATTTTTAACTAAAAATGTTATTATAGTAAAATGTACATAACATAAAATTTATCATTTTAAACCATAAAGATACACCCAGTCTTAATTGTGGAATGAGTGTCATTGCAATGGCAGGAAGGATGGGAGAATCCCAAAGCTCCGTGAGCTCCTGCCATACCTCTTCACACCTCCCATTCATGCTGTCACCATCAAAACCGGCCTTGGAGACTCTTGGAACTAATCTTATCCTGCCGCTTACACAGTGGTGTGCTGAAGGCCGGTTGTTAAACACTTATCAGCACCCCACTGTTGTTATCCCTGTTTAAGTCAAACTTTATATTCCTCTCCCCTCCAATTCCCCACCAACCACCACCTCCTCTCCCTCCCCTTTCTTATCTTCCCCCTCTCTCCCCTTTTCTTCTCCTCTTGCTTCTCTTCCTCCCATCCTCTCCTCCTCCTCCTTGTCCTCCTCCTCCTCATCTCCATCATCATCACCATCATGAAAGCTATGGTGTATTCAACATCTACCACGTGCCAGGCACTATCCTAAAGTGCTTTACACATGTTACTTAACTCTCACATCACGTCTGTAAAGCATGTATTTTTTTCCTTTTTTTTTCTCTCTCTCTCCTTTTTTTTTTTTTTTTTTTTTTTTTTGAAATAGGCTCTCACTGTGTTGCCTGGGCTGGAGTGCAGTGGCTCAATCATGGCTGACTGCAGCCTCAAACTTCTGGGCACAAGCAATCCTCCCACCTTAGCCTCTCAAATAACTGGGACTACAGGCGTATGCCACCACGGCTGACTAATGTTTCAAAATTTTTGTAGAGACACAGTCTCACTGTGTCACCCAGGCTGGTCTCGAACTCCTGACCGCAAGTGATCGTTGGGAGGCCAAGGCCTCGTAAAGTGCTGAGATTACAGGTGTGAGCCATGGCGTTCAGACTTAAAGTATGTATTTTGATCATAATAGCTACCATATATTGGATATGTAGGGGCCAAGAGAAAACTTCCCCTTTGCCCTCTGAAGTTTCCTTGAAAAATCAACTTGCAAAAGACAGATAATTGCAGAAGATGTTTACAAATTTATTAATATGTACATTGGCAGAATCACAGAATGATTACCCAACCCCCAGTGGAGTACAGAAGGTTACAGAAAGCATGGGGGCTCAGAGCATGGCCAGAAACAGGTTCTGGTAATAAACCAGGTTATAGTGGCAAGGTAAGTTATATGAGAGAGAGAAAAAGAGGAAGGAGGAGCTCTGGCTAGTAAACGTGGTCTTGTTCATGTAAATAAAACCTCACTGGTAGAAGCCCTCAGAGAAAATAGAAGGTAAATGTTTCTTTCAGATGTTTAAAGGTGGCAGGCTCTCAGTTCACCTTTCCCACATGTAGACCAGGGAAGGCCTGGTTGCATCAATGCAGATTTTCTGCAGATGCAAATCTCCCCCACAAGACAGCTTTGCTGTCTCCCTGAGCAGCCATCTCAAAATATGTCAAAGAAATATATTTTAGGGTAAAATACTTTAATTTCCTTCAGATGTTTCCTGTGTGCTAGGCACTGTGCTAAGTACTTTACATTTATCATTTCATTTATACTATAAAAGGGTGTGTGTGTGTGTGTGTGTGTGTATCTATCTATGCTATGATGACCAAAACAAAGGCTAGAGTCCTGTGTTTCTCTCTCCGCAACGTCAATTTAAAATATTCTCTCAGATCTAGTCTTTTTAGTCTAAAAAGAAAATAAAATTTTTAAAAATAGTCAAATTTATGACTCTGCAACCTCCCTTCACATCGCAAGATTATTTGAAGAAAGGCAAACTGGTCACATTTGGAGAATCTGATATTCTTGGCTTGATGTCAGTCTCAAGGAATGGGGAAGTCAATCCTGCTGCAGACGGCAGGAAAATAGAATTTTTTTTTTTTTTTTTGAGACAGAGCCTTGCTCTGTTGACCCAGGCTGGAGTGCAGTGGTGCGATCTTGGCTCACTGAAACCTCCACCTCCTGGGTTCAAGTGATTCTTGTGCCTCCGCCTCCCAAGTAGTTAGGATTACATGTGCATGCCACCATACCCAGCTAATTTTTTAGTACAGACGGGGTTTCACCATGTTGGCCAGGCTGGTCTCAAACTCCTGGCCTCAGATGATCTGTCTGCCTCAGCCTCCCAAAGTGCTGGGATTACAGGCGTGAGCCACAGCGCTTGGCCAAATGGAATTTCAAAGCCCATTTGGTAACTGAGCACATGGAGAGCCAGATGAGACACAAAGTTCTGAGCTAAAAGAGCAGAGTCTAAGTAATGGTCCAGAACACAAAACGCTCAGAAGGAATGACTAATGACATTGCCACAATGTTCTCTGCCTGAGCAATTAGGTCACCCCAGGAAAACATGTAGCCATTTGAGGATGGAAAGGAGCTTTGTCTATGCCTTACGGCTGCTCCCTCACTTTCTTGCAGGCTCTGAAAAAGCCCGTGGGGGAGGCTCACAAATGATTCTGTCTAGGACTTTGTTACTCAGAGAGCAGTCTGGGGCTCAGCAGCCCTGTTGTCACCTAGGAGCTTGTCGCAGCATCTGGAGCCCCACATGAGACTTACTAAGTCAGAATCTGCACTTTCCCAAGATTCCAGGTAATTCCTGTGCACATTAAAGTTTGGAAAGCACTGCCTTAAGGAATATTAGATCACCAAGGAAGAAAAATGCAAATATAGGCTTCCAACCTGATCATGCCCCACTGTTCAGAGCCCTTAAGTAGCTCCCACTGCCCTTGGAATTAAGTCTACAGCTCTTTAAAGTGGTTTTAGACTCCCATCTCCAGACTTTGCTGCTCACTCTTCCTTCTCATAGTCCAGCCAAGCTCAACTTAGAGCAGCAACACAAACCAGCCAGGCTTTCTTTTTGTTCCATGTGTTGCACATATTTCTGCCAACTCTTACACGTTTTATCACTTTAACAAATAGGACTGGCCGGGCGTGGTGGCTCAGGCCTGTAATCCCAGCACTTTGGGAGGCTGAGGCGGGAGGATCACGAGGTCAGGAGTTCGAGACCAGTCTGGCCAACACAGTGAAACCCCATCTCTACTAAAAATACAAAAATTAGCCAGGCATAGTAGCACATGCCTGTAGTCCCAGCTACTTGGGAGGCTGAGGCAGGAGAATCATTTGAACCTGGGAGGCGGAGGTTGTGGTAAGCCAAGATTGTGCCACTGACTCCAGCCTGGGCGACAGAGCGAGACTCCGTCTCAAAAAAAAAAAAAGAAAAAGAAAAAAAAACTAATAGGACTGCTTTAAAGTCACAGAAATACAACACTAATTAGGGACAATGAACTTTTTTCTTTTTCTTTCTTTTTTTTTAGACGGAGTTTCGCTCTTGTTGCCCAGGCTGGAGTGCAATGGCGAGACCTCCACTCACTGCAACTTCCGCCTCCCGGATTCAAGCAATTCTCCTGCCTCAGCCTCCGGAGTAGCTGGGATTACAGGCATGTGCCACCACGCCCGGCTAATTTTGTATTTTTAGTAGAGACAGGGTTTCTCCATGTTGGTCAGGCTGGTCTTGAACTCCCAACCTCAGGTGATCCACCAGCCTCGGCCTTCCAAAGTGCTGGGATTACAGGCATGAGCCACTGCACCCGGCCGAACTTTTTTCTTTAAAGTCCCCAAGCCCACACAGGCCCAGTGAGTGTGGCTAGTCTCAATACAAGAAGCACATCTCTTCCCAGGAGGGTTCTCAAGCCAGCAACTTCCAACTGATGGCATTTTTCAAGGGACCTTTTTATTTACACTTGGTTTGACATTGTGACAGCAGTGCTAGCACCAGACAGTAACAACTGGTCTCTCGGGAGCCCTTCTTAGCTGACCAAATGTTGTAATGGTTCATTGAAACTCTCTACTTGTCTTTTCTTCTTCAGACAGGCTCAGTGTTTAGTGTTGGACATGATATGTTGTCAGCAGTGTTGACCAGAATGTCACCAGCTTCCTAAACTGCCTAAACTTCCTAGACTGCCTAAAGAGCTTCCACACACCTCTAAATAGAAATAAAGCTTCCTGGGCCGGGCGCGGTGGCTCATGCCTGTAATCCCAACACTTTGGGAGGCCAAGGTGGGCAGATCACCTGAGGTCAGGAGTTCCAGACCAGCCTGAGCAACACGGTGAAACCGCGTCTCTACTAAAAATACGAAAAAGTAGCCAGGCTTGGTGGCGCGTGCCTGTAGTCCCAACTATTCAGGAGACTGAGTCATGAGAATCGCTTGAACCCGGGAGGCAGAGGTTGCAGTGAGCCGAAATCATGCCACTGCACTCCAGCCTGGGTTACTGGGTAATATTTTTTTAAATATTTTAGACTCTGTCTAAAAAAAAAAAAAAAGAAAAGAAAGAAAGCTTCCTCTTGTATGGGGAAAGTCACTACTGTATGTTAAGACTAGGCATTGATTTTCAAATGATTCACATTTTCCATGTAAGAAGAAAAAAGAGCTACGTGTTATCCTCACAAATTTGCTGTTAAGTCCATATAATTTAACTACCAGTTTCTTGATTTTTAGGGTTCTCCAGAGAAATAGAACCAATAGGATATTGAAACTGAGGACTTTTGCTCATTTTGCTTTTGTGTATATATGTGTGTATATGTGTATGTATATATACACAAAAGCATATGTATATATATACATATTATGTATATATATAACTATACTTTCTCTGTATGTATAAATATACGCACATATATAATATAGACATAATATGTGTATACATGTATATGTATATTTGTATATATATCTATATCTATATATTATATATATGAGAGAGAGAGAAATTTATTTATTATTTTATTTTATTTTTTGAGATGGAGTCTCCCTCTGTTGCCAGGCTGGAGTGCAGTGGCACGATCTCAGTTCACTGCAAACTCCGCCTCCTGGGTTCAAGGGATTCTCCTGCCTCAGGCTCCTGAATAGCTGGGATTACAGGCTCCCGCCACCACACCTGGCTAATTTTTGTATTTTTAGTAGATACACGGTTTCACCATATTGGCCAGGATGGTCTCGAACTCCTGACCTTAGGTGATCCGCCCGCCTTGGCCTCTCAAAGTGCTGGGATTACAGGCATGAGCAACTGTGTCCGCCTGAGAAGTTGATTTATTATGAGAAATTGGCTGACATGATCATGGAGGTTACGGAGGCTGAGAAATCCACAATATGCTGTCTGCTAGTTGGAGACCCAGGAAGGTCGATGGAATAATGAAATCCAAGTCTGAAGGGCTGAGAACAAAGGGCACAGTAGGAGATGAGACAAGATGTTCTAGCTCAGGCAGTGGGGCGGAGAAAAAGGGGTGAATTCTTCCTTCCTCTGTCTATTCAGGCCCTCAAGGGATTGAATGATGCCCCCCAACAGTGGGGAGGGCCAACCTACTTTACTGAGTTCACAGATTCAAATGCTGCTAATCTTATCCAGAAACACCCTCACAGACACACCCAGAAATAATGTTTGACCAGCTATCTGGGCATCCTCTTATCCCAGTGACACATAAAATGATCTATCACGTTGATATTAGAGGCATTTATTCACAGCTCGTTAGAGAGAGAAATGGTTAATCCTAAAAGTTTTCAAACTATCAAAAACACACCAGCCATGACTCACAGACTTTATATTTAGCCAAAATTCATTGATTCAACAGATATTTTTAAGAGCCTATATTATGTTCAAAGCATTTGGATAATTAGGGAAAGAAAAAAACTGAGATATTTCCAGGTGAGTCCAGGAAACCACTTGGCAGGTATACGAAATCCAGAAACTGTATTTCATCAGTGCAACCAAAATAATTCAGGCTCTCAGGGTCCTATTAGTTTCCTCTTGCTGCTGTAACAAGTAACTATAAATTTAGTGCTTAAAACAATAGAAATGGCTGGGGACGGTGGCTCACGCCTGTAATCCCAGCACTTTGGGAGGCCGAGGCAGGCTGATCACTTGAGGTCAGGAGTTTGAGGCTAGCCTGGCCAACATGGTGAAACCCTGTCTGTACTAAAAATACAAAAAGTAGCCAGGCATCATGGCATGTGCCTGTAATCCCAGCTACTTGGAAGCTGAGGCAGGAGAATCAGTTGAACCCAGGAGGCGGAGGTTGCAGTGAGCTGAGATCACACCACTGCACTCCAGCCTGAGTGACAGAGTGAGACTCTGCCTCAAAAAAATCAAACAAACAAAACCAATAGAAATGTATTATCATATAGCTCTGGAGGCCAGAAGTCTGAAATGAGCCTAGCAGGGCTAAAATCAAGGTGTCAGTGGGGCTCTGTTCCTTTTGGAAAGCTCTGGGAGGATCTGATTCCCAGTCTCTTCCTGTTTATAGAGGCTGCCCATATTCTTTGCCTCATGGATGGCCTCCTTCCATTTTTTTCAAAGGCAGCAATGGCTGGTCAAAATTTTGTCACAATGAATCACTCTGACTCTGACTCTCCTGTCTCCCCCTCTTTTACTATAAGGATCTTTGTGATGACATTGAGCTCATATGGATAACCCAGGATAATCTCTTCATTTTAAAGCCAGCTGATTAACTAGCAATCTTAATTCTTTTTAAAATTTTTAAAAATATTTTATTTTAAATTTTTGTTTATTTATTTTTAAGACTGCATTATGAGACTGGCCAATTTTTGTATTTTTGGTAGAGACAAGGTTTCCTCATATTGCCCAGGCTGGTCTCAAACTCCTGGCCTCAAGTGATTCACCCACCTTGGCCTCCCAAAGTGCTGGGATTACAGGCATGAACCACTGTGCCCAGCCTAGCAATCTTAATTCTATCTGCGGTTTTAATTCCCCCTTACCGTGTAACATAATTTCAGGCTCCTGGCATTAAAATGTGGACATCTTTGGGGGACCATTATTCCACTTATTACAGGGTCTGATGTAATTGGACCAAACTCACTAGAGATTAATATATAAGCAAGAATGATAATTTATTACTATGTACTATAAAAATATAACATTAGGGGAGTGGAGTAGGTGGGAATGTCCATACTGGTTGGTAAATGGCTTCTCTCTCTCTTTTTTTTTTTTTTCAATGTATTTTCTCTTTTATTCCAACGCTATATTTACTTTTTTTTTTTTTTTTTTTTTTAAGATGGAGTAGCACTCTTGTTGCCCAGGCTGGAGCACAATGGCACGATCTCAGCTCACTGCAACCTCCGCCTCCTGGGTTCAAGCGATGCTCCTGCCTCAGCCTCCTGAGTAGCTGAGATTATAGATGCCCACCACCACCCCCGGCTACTTTACTAATATTTTATTTAGGGTCTTTGCAAACATGTGAATGAGTTAAATTGTTTTATTTATTAATTATACTGTAAGTTCTGTGATACATATGCAGAACATGCAGGTTTGTTACATTGGTATACATGTACCATGGTGGTATGCTGCAGCCATCAACCCCTCATCTAGGTTTTTTTTGTTTGGTTTTGTTTTGTTTTTTTGAGACGGAGTCTTACTCTGTCACCCAGGCTGGAGTGCAGTGGCGCAGTCTCGATTCACTGCAACCTCCACCCCCTGGGTTCAAGCAATTCTCTGCCTCAGCCTCCTGAGTAGCTGGGATTACAGGCACTTGCCACCATGCCCAACTAATTTTTGTATTTTTAGTAGAGACAGGGTTTCACCATCTTGGCCAGGCTGGTCCTGAACTCCTGACCTCGTGATCCACCCGCCTTGGCCTCCCAAAGTGCTGGGATTAAAGGCGTGAGCCACCGTGTCTGGCCTGTCATCTAGGTTTTAAGCCCAGCATGCATTAGGTATTTGTCCTAGTGCTCTCCCTCCCCTTGCCCCCCACCCCTTGACAGGCCCTGGTGTGTGATATTCCCCTCCCTGTGTCCATGTGTTCTCATTGTTCAGCTCCCACTTTGCACGCATGTTTATTGCAGCACTATTCACAATAGCAAAGACTTGGAACCAACCCAAATGCCCATCAATGATAGCCTGGATAAAGAAAATGTGGCACATATACACCATGGAATACTATGCAGCCATACAAAAGAATGAGTTAATGTCCTTTGCAGGGACATGGATGAAGCTGGAAACCATCATTCTCTGCAAACTAACACAAGAACAGAAAACCAAACACCACACATGTTCTCACTCATAAATGCCTTCTCTTTCTATAAGCAAATTTACATAGAAAGTCCACTTTTAAGTAGATGGCTTGGTGAGCATAAAATCAGAGCATCACATTAAGCTGAATGACTTTAATGGCTGGTGAAGATAATTGATGCAAGAGAAGCTGGATCTATAAACTTTATAGAGATGCAACCTCTGTTCAGGTCACAGACCAGTATCCGTTGGTATTCATTGTACCAGTGCATTAGAATTTATGAACCACTGTGGCAGGATAATTTATTGAGGAATTCATTTGTATTTTGCGGCTGCTGATAATTAATAAATTGCTTTGTTTTGTTCTTACTGCTTTGTGGAAAAATCTGAATCAATGAGACCTCTTTTCTCTCCCCTCCTGAAAGACGGCCAGCAGGGCTGGGAGTCCCAAGGGGCAGAGTTAAAGATTTTTGTCTTTAGTTTTTTTGTCTCTAAGATACGGTATGCAGAGAGGCAGGAGTTGCCTGACTGGGAGGTAGCTTCTTCAGGTAGGAGATAAGGGAGAGGGATTTTTTGTTTGTTTGTTTTGCTGGGAAGTTTGAAGAAGGTGTTTGAATGAGGAAGAGACTCTCTGAAAGGGTAGCATTTGGATGCTGAGCCATTAAACCTCTAGGGGCTTGGCAAAGGATCCCTGTACCTACACTGGGCATAGAGTGATAGAACTTCCTAATTAACACAGGCTTTGAAAATGGGAACTTCTGCAGTGATAATGATGGAACAAAGGCCAGAAATCTTTCCCCAGATGTTCCATAAGTACCTGAGCTCTCAAGAAGCTCTAGGGGGGTAAGAGTAAGGCTCTCCAACATGTGGCAGACTCCATTGCTTGTCATTTACTCAAGTAGGAAATACCAGGTCAATTTCATTTGAGTTAGAAGAAATTTTGGAAAAATAAGGTAATGTCACTTTTTTTTGATACCAGAGTTATAGAATAAAATTCATACTAGCCACCTAAGATTTTATCTAAGTCTTTTAGCCTTTCCTTATCAAACAGTCCATGTGGAAATGACTTGGGGATTATCTAGACTGGGCTACAAGGCTACCCCCAAGACAAAGGAAATGTCAGGCACAAAACACTGAAGTATAGGGTCAACACTAGGAAGTACATGTGAAGAATATAAGATGTGGTCAATGACTTGGGGTACGAGGGTAGGAAAATGGAGAATATTCCCAGAACAATTGGTAGCTATTGTGGATTTTAGGGTATTTGAGGCAGGCTTGAAAGAAGAGACTGAAAATTAGGTTGAAATTTCAGACAACACTATAAATGTTAGACGAAGACTTTGAACTTTGGACATATTAACTGTTTCCAAGCATGGGATAATCTTAGTTTAACGTCTTTCTGTTTTGCAGGATGGCATTCAAATCATACCGCACAAGCCATGAGAGCAGTTAAAAACATTTACAAAACACCTAAAATATATAAAGTACATGGCTAGGTTCTGGATGGGGGATGGGGAAGAAATTCAAGAATGAGTAAGGTTTTCCTGGCTCCACAACCCAGTGGGCAAGACAGAATACAAACAACTTAATGTTTTTAGTTCTAACGGTAGATTGCCATTGCACTCATGTGGAACCATGGATTTTATCTATACCACATTGTTAGTCATAAAAGTAGACCACAAGACAGGTGCAGCTTCTAGTTCTACTAGTCCAGCTAAGAGCATCTTCAAAGAGGAAAAGTGGCAACTGTGTACTGAAGACACCGGAGGAAGGACTAAAAGTCAAAGGTTACTTCTTGTTATCTGTCAGACCAAGAGCACATCCCCTCATACAGTCATTTTCAGGAACAGGCTTACCCTGGGGATAATGGTCAGCCTGAAGCTATGGGATGGTCCTAACTGGTCATCTTGGCTGCTGGAAGCAAATAGTCAGTTGGGTCTATAATCCTTTTAATTTCTTCAATTTCTCTCTCTCTCTCTCTCTCTCTCTCTCTCTCTCTCTCTCTCATTCCCTCCCTTTCCTTCTCCCTCTCTCTTTGTAAATAGTGCATAGATTTAATATCAAAGGTGTCGACGAAAAGAGTCAAACTCTATAAAATATTTGAAGAGATTTATTCTGAGCCAAATATGAGTGACCATGACCAGTGACACAGCCCTCAGGAGGTCCTGAGAACATGTGTCCAAGGTGGTCAGGGCCCAGCTTGGTTTTATACATTTTAGAGAGGCATGAGACATCCATCAAATACACTGAAGAAATAGTTGGTTTGGTCCGGAAAGGCGGGACAATTCAAAGCCGGCGGTGGTGGGGCTTCCAGGTTATAGGGGAATTTAAACATTTTCTGGTTGACAATTGATTGAGTTTGTCTAAAAACCTGGGATTCATAAGAAGGGAATGTTCAGGTTAAGATAAAAATTGTGGTGACCAAAGTTGTTTTGAAGTCTTATAGTGTCTGCCCTTAGAGACAATAGATGACAAATGTTTCCTATTCAGATCCTAGTTAATCTCTTTAGATTGGGAGGGTCTGGAAGAAAAAGATCTAGCTATTTTAATAGAGATCTTTTACAGATGTAAATTTTCCCCCACAAAGAACAGCTTTGCAGGGTCATTTCAAAATATGGCAAAGAAACACGTTTTGGGGTAAAATATTTTGATTTTCTTCCTTGTCTCGTGATGTTATGCCAGAGTCAGATTGGAAAGTAAGTCACGACATACAGGGTTAAATAAAACCCATCTGATGAGAATTTATGATTTGTAGGGCATGACTCCCCAGACCGCTTAGATAGGAATTTAGGCAAGAAAAAAAAATGAGTTTAGTCCTCAAAGGTAAAGAGTCCCTTTTAGGGCCACATCTCTGACTATGCCACCACAAACCCCCAGCTACTTAACACCAGCTGGATCAGAGAGTAAAATGGCAGAACTACTCTTCCTTCTGAATAAGGAGCTGCAACAACCCAAAAGCTGGGCCCTGGGCACCCCTAAATGGAAAGAAAAATAAATTAAGATTTATTTATTTATTTGATTATTTTGAGACAGAGTCTTGCTCTGTTGCTCAGGCTGGAGTGTAGTGGCACTATCCTGGCTCACTGCAACCTCTGCCTCCCGGGTTCAAGCGATTCTCCTGCCTCAGCCTACCAAGTAGCTGGGATTACAGGCATCTGCCACCATGCCCAGCTAATTTTTGTATTTTAGTAGAGGTGGAGTTTCACCATGTTGGCCAGGCTGGTCTGGAACTCCTGACCTCAAGAGATCCACCCACCTCCACCTCCCAAAGTGCTTGGATTACAGGTGTGAGCCACCATGCCTGGCAAAGATTTATTAACATTCATAGAGCCAGGCGTAGTGGTTCATGCCTGTAATCCCAGCACTCTGGGAGGCCAAGGTGGGAGGATTGTTTGAGCCCAGGAGTTCAAGACCAGCCTGAGAAACATAGGGAAACCCTCATCTCTACAAATAACTTAAAAAATTTAGCTGGGTGTGGTGCTGTTTGCCTGTAGTCCCAATTATTAGGGAGGCTGAGGTGGGAGGATCACCTGAGCCTGGGAGGTTGAGGCTGCAGTGAGTCATGATCATGCCACTGCACTCAGGCTGGGCAACAGAGCAAGAACCTGTCTCAAAAAAAAAAAATTAAAAGCAAAAAGGCTGGGTGTGGTGGCTCACACCTGTAATCCCAGCACTTTGGGAGACCAAGGCAGGCAGATCACCTGTGGTCAGGAGTTCGAGACCAGCCTGGCCAACATGGTGAAACCCCATCTCTACTACAAATACAAAAATTAGCTGGGTGTGGTGGTGCATGCCTGTAATCCTAGCTAGTTGGGAGGCTGAGGCACAGGAATTGCTTGAACCTGGGAGGTAGAGGTTGCACTGAGCCGAGATCATGCCACTGCACTCCAGCCTGGGTGACAGAGTGAGACTCCATCTCAAAAATAAATAAATAAAAATTAAAAAGAGAAATGAACAAAAATTCAAGTGAAGAATTTCCAGATGTAGGGGCCCTGTCAGCTGATTGCTTTCACCTGGGCTTTTACTCCAAAGAAGTATTACATCATGATAATACATTTATATTTTTTACATATATATGTATATATAAAATATATAAATAATATATACATATATACATACACCATACACATAAATATTTGTGGTAAAATATAACAAAATGTATTATCATAACCATTTTTCAGTGTACAATTCAGTGGCATTAAGTACATTTACAGCATTGTGCAACTATCACTACAATCTCTCTCCAGAACTTTTTCATCAACCAGACAGAAAATCTGTGTCCATCAAGCAATAACTCTGTATTCCCCATCCTGCCAGGCCCTGCCAACTTCTGTTCTACTTTCTGTCTCTATGAATTTGTCTCTTCTAGGCTCCTCATGCAAGTGGGTTCACACAGATGTGTCCTTTTGCAGACAGTGGCTGTTAAGTCAGGCAAGGAGGAAGAGAAACAGCCAAGCCAAATGCAGCTTTCCTCGGTTCTTTCCTTCCCTGGTGCTTGTCTGGGCTTCTCTCCCATGCAAAATCATCAGTCTTTCTTCCTGGGACTTCTATGTGGTGAAGATGCCATTAGGCACCCTCTGGTAGCTTATAATGCAGTTCATTTCATCTCATTTCCTTCCTGTTTTGTACAGAGACTGGTTTCCCCTTTGCTGACTGTCAGCTGAGTTCAAAACTGGGGTCAAAGCTCTGCTCACAGCACAAATCACTTCTTGTGAAGCCTGGCTGGGTTTTGGCAGGCAGCTGCTAGGCTTTCGGTCTTTTATGAGGCTATCCTGGCCACAATGGAGCTTTGTGTGTGATCAATGGGTGCTGGGCATGAGCCCGGCTGGGCTAGCTGACACAGTGAGTTGTCCCTGACACTCATGACTTTCAAGCCCTGTGTCTTGGAGGGCACTGTGATCTGGAAGTTCACCTTCCCCATGAAAAAACCCAAACCAGCCTCTCCTTTTCCTGCATGGTGATCCGTCTGTAATGATCAGTGACATTCTCAGAATTAACCAATCAGGAAATTCTTGGAAAGTCCACGCCTCAGCATTTAGTGCTTGGGAAATTCTACTTCCAGATCCCAGAGGGGACAGAGCAGATTTCCAGTGAGCATTCCTAACTTGAAAAACCTGTCCTTGAATGTTTCTCCTTAGTCCTAGAGATGCTCTTTCAGAATGTGAACCTCCTGCGTCTGTGACGAGATGTAGAAGGTCTATACTCAGAGTTAGTAGGATGTCCACGTGATAGTGCCTAGGCCTGCCTTATGGCAGTTTTGAGAAAGGTGATTTCAGAGTGGCTTCAGAGGGGATGACTAAAGCCCACAATCTTGGTCCAAAATATCCTAATCTCCCTACAAAAACGATTTTCTTGCCTTGGACTATGTCCAGTCTGCCAACTAGTACAGCTGTTTCTGGTTTTTGACTCACTGATTTACCTGGCATGACATTTCCTCTTGTTTCAAGATTCTTTCTCTAAGTTCCTCCTGACTCCTCTTTCCCTTTAAGTATTCCTGAAACTGGCTCTTGCCTGGTCCCTTTATTTCATTATTCTTCCATCTTGCTGGTAGTATGGTGGAAATTGGACATAGGGTTTGGTGTCAGATACACCTGCCTTCAAAGCCTAACTGTGCTACCTATTAGCTCTGTGACCTTGGGCAAGTTATTTGAACCTAAGTCATAGATTTCCCCCTTGCGAAATGGGAACAAATGATTTGTTATTCTCAGGGATGTTCACAGACTTGCTTAAAATAATAAGAAAAAGTACCTGGCACATAGCCGATACTCAAAAAATGTTAGCACACACCCACACCTTTTTCTTTCTGATTCATTTAAGGTAAGCCCTTCCCAATCGGCCTTCAGCTGACCTGAATTCCTGGGATACTGTATTTGGAATTTTAAATATTCCAAATATCCAGAGTTCTTGCAGGTCAAAGCTGGTCTATGCTCCAAACAGGCTGCCCCCAAGGGAAGCAGGGTAATTGGCAGCTAGTATTCATCTGACTTTTGTCATATTGATTCAATATTTTATCTGAAGATGGCAGCAACTAGTACATGGTGCCACCGTTTAGCCACTCCATGCCAGAGGTACCAGGCAAGTAAAAGCCAAATTACCAGTGCCTCTGCTCCATCCTGGAAATGACAAAGGACAAAGCCAAGGAACCCAGGAAAGTGCAACGGGATTTGGTTTTATGCAGCAGGGAATCTTCTAAGAAAGCCAGGACCGGTTCACCTACGTGTCATTACCAGTGCAGGCAGCTCAGAGGTCCTTCCCCGGGAGAAGTCAGGGCACCGCGAGAGAGAGCTTAGCTTCCTTCCTTCCTCCATCCCTCCCTCCCTTCCTTCTGGGACTTAGGTTCCTTCCTTCCTTCCTTCCTTTCTACTTTTCTTTCCTTCCTTCCTTCCTTGGCTTTGGTTCCTTCCTTCCTTCTACCTTCCTTCCTTCCTTCTTTCCTTCCTTCCTGGGCTTAGGTTCCTTCCTTCCTTGGCTTAGATTCCTTCCTTCCTTCGCCCTTCCTTCCTTCCTTTCTTTGCTTTCCTTCCTTCCTTCCTTCCTTGGCTTAGGTTCCTTCCTTCCTTCCTTCCTTCTTCCCTCCCTCCCTCCCTTGGGTTCCTTCCTGCCTGCCTGCCTGCCTTCCTCCCTCCCTCCCTCCTTCCCTTCTTCTCCTTTCTGTTTTTTTTTTTTTTTTTTTTTGACAGTCTTGCTCTGTCGCCCAGGCTGGAGTGCAATGGCGCGATCTCGGCTTACTGCAACCTCCGCCTCCCGGGTTGCTCCTGCTTCAGCCTCCCTAGTAGCCGGCATAACAGGCACCCGCCACCACGCTCGGCTAATTTTTATATTTTTAGTAGAGACAGGCTTTCACCATGTTGGCCAGGCTGGTCTCGAACTCCTAACCTCAAGTGATCCATCCGACTTGGCCTCCCAAAGTAGGTGCTGGGATCACAGGCTTGAACCACCGCACCCGGCCAGAGCTTAGGTTTCTATTCGTGACAACTTTCTGTATTGGTTGGCAGGTTCTCCTAGCACCACCATGATCTCAGGACTAACCACTGCACACCCGTGATGGGATTCCAAACCTTCGCTGCAAGAGGACAAGGTGACGAGTTGCTGACAGTGAAGGCTAAACTAACGCGGACAGTGAAGTGCTACATGAGTCGGACTCAGACTCCAGGTGAAGCAGCCAGCAGAGGTCAGAGAGAGACAGCTCACGTTCCGGGTAAGTTGCAGGTCGATTTCAGGGCCGACTCATCCAGATTACTCATTCTTCATTTCAGGCAATTGTATGACTGCTAAATACTGCTGCTGGGGGCATCTGGGGTTGGGAAGTCATTTCTGCCAGGTCTTTGACCCCTGAAAGCGTCGTTGCGTCTCGCGCCGCGGGTAGGCAGGGCGGGATTTCTAGGAGGACCGGCAGAGGCGCGCATAGGTGCGTGGTGCTGGGCCCGGGCGCCGCGGCACCGGTGTAGGAGCGCGCATCTCCAGAGTTTCTTCCATCTGGGCGACGTCTCGGTGCCTGCGGCGGGAACGGCGCTTTGCTTCCCTGAGGAGCTTCTAGAGAGCTACGGTGGCCCCCGTGTGGGAGGCGGGGGGCGTGGCGGCGTCGGGGCGTCGCTGTCCCCTCCTCGGTAGCTCTCCTCCCTCCCCTTTCTGCTGTTACCGGGAGCGCGGTGGCCACGGAACGCTGCCCGGAGCCGCGCGAGGGAGGACCCGACGCGCGGCGTTTACCCAGCGCAGCGTTCCACCGCTCGGGTTTGGCTGGGTGAGGCTGGCGGGGCCGGGGGCGAGATGGGAGCGGCGCGGGGTGGAGAGGGTGGTTGGAGAAAGGGAAGGGAGGGCCGCGGGAGAGGTTGGATGGTGGAAGTGGCGCCAGAGAGGTTTGTGCCCAGCAGAGACACCCAGGTATCTTAGGGTCGCTCAGAGCAGTGTCGGGGACCCCTTGGAGACAGTAGGAAGGGGCTCCTCGCGGGGTGGCGGATTTCTATCCGGTTGACTTTGTAGAGTGAGGTTGACCCTGTGTTCGGCTTGGGCCGGGAAGGGCGCAGAAGCGGGACCTCAGGACACTTTTACGCAGGGCGATTCTCAGAGACTACAAAGCCTGCGCCCTGCGTCCTCCCAGGCGCAGTGTTCTGGGATCAGTGTCTTTTCTCTGTTTTCGTCCTCAACACAGCCAAAGTCGTGGATATGTGGTGACAGAAAAACATTTGGCTACATAACTGAGCTAGGCTGGAGTGTGAAATCGCGGCGTGTTATTTGGTCCGGGCGCCCTACATAGCAACCCCCACTCTTCTCGCCCCCAACCCCCCGCCACGCCGGACACGGTCAGGCGGGCGTTCCCCCAACCCGCCCCTTGTGAAGTCCACCTGCTGAGACTGATACAGATCCCCTGCGAACTTGATGCTGTCCGCTTGGAAAACGTGGAGAACTTTCAGAGGAGGGGTTATTTCGCCTTGAGTGAAAATTAAGACTCAAAGGAAAAGGTATACTCAAGAGCTGCCCTTACTGGGTTATTTCTGTGGAATTTGGAAGGATCTTTGAATTGAAGATGTGGTGGGAGCGCGCAGAGAACAGAGAATCCGTAAGCTTGAGTTTCTTAGACCCAGTTTCTTAAAGCCAAAGTAGCGGGGAGATCTTGGCAAGTCAAGAAACCTTCTTGAACTTCAGTTCCCTTGCCTCAGGGGGAGAATACTCCAGCCATACCCCACTGTGTGGTTTAGAAGGTTAATGGCCTGGAGGGAGGGAAGTGTTTTGAAGCCTATAAAGTATCCTGTGAAGGTATCACCACATTGCTGCCCACTGAAACACTGCCGGCCGCCGACAGAACTTTGTTTGGAGCCGAGTTAAGACAGCATCTTTATGGCAGTGCTGGGGTTTTCGTGATTACCGGTCCAGAGTGTCAGGACACCTCTGTTTCTCAAACCCCAGTTTCTGCACTGCCACATGAAACTGCTCATTACTGAGTGACAGCAGAGGACAGGAACTTTGCCTTCTTCATTAACTTCTTTAGGGCCTTTACAAAGTGGGAGATGGTAGGAACTTTGATGAAAATTGAGGGTCATAGCCTTGGAGCGGGGTGAGGGGTTAGATTTGACTGGACATAGTCTTCATGCAACCGTTTAACAACAAAAACATTGTTGGCTGAGTTCTTGTTTTTTGATACAAGGAACATTCTGTCGGAGCCAAGGTTAAACATCCAAGAGTAAACGTTTGTTGGTTTTTTTTTTTTTTTGCATGATCTTTAGAGGATAAGTAAAAAACTAAAGAAAGGCTGCATTGCTTGCTGACACATTTTTTCCCCACCCATCTGAAGGCACACAAATAATAGCACTGGCAAATTTGAATAGTTTCCCTTGTTACCAAATCTACGTTCTTATTTCTAATATGGAACGATTATTTCTAGTATGGAGAGAAATATGGAATTTCTAATATGGAAGATTTAGCATGGTGTGTCATTGTAAAAATTTAGGCAGTTCTTGGATAAGTATGTCCAGCCTTCCAGAGACTATAAGTGTAGTAATATTAGTGCCTGTTAGTCATATTGTGTATCTTCCTGATACCCAATTAGATCTCTGATTGTTTTTTCTTTTTAATTAAAAGGAGCTGAAAGATGACTCAGTTAAGAAGCTGGAAAATAAAACCAGGTCTCTGTAACTGTGCTGTCTTATTCTGAACTGAAAGTCTTTCTGCAATAATAATGATGGTGATAATAAAGCTAACCTTCATAGGACATTGTGTACCAGACTGATACACGTGCTACAATTCTGTTCGTTCTCACACCATCCTTCATGGGGGAGGTTAAGAGCATTGCTCAAAATCACACAGCTAATAAGTCATTTTTCTCAGATTGGCGTTAAAATTATATTTAATTGGGTCCTGTGTGTGCGAGTGTTTTAACTTTTGCATTGTCTTTTATCCCACACACGGAGGCAACATGGATGGTGAGACTAGGGGCTATGGACAAGGTTCCAGGGTTTGGACTTGAGCATGCTGCTGAGTGGCTATGTGGTCATCACTTTACTTCCTTTTCTAACCCGTAAAATGATGATAATAATTCTACATTGAATGAATCCTTTGTTTCTACTGAGCCCAAAGTCTGCTCCGTAAAGGTAAAATACTTCTCAGAGTGTAGAAAGAAAAGTTTCAGATTCAAGCCTTTTTGTCATCAGTAGGCTGGAAAATGAATAGAAGTTAGAATAAACTATACACTTAATGTGATTTTTCCAACAATTATGTTGAAAAATTGTTCAAAAATGCATTCATTCCAATGATCCTTAGCTTTATATTTATTAAAAGAAGTAAATGTAAATTAGACCTCAACGTTTTTTTTTAACAGGTAACGTTGAAAAGCACCCACAGTAAGCAGGTACTGTTTGCTGGTTGATTTTAGATGATGAAAATTGTAGAGTAAGTACGTTTGCAGAAAACTGTAGAGTAAGTACAATTATAGAGTAAGTATAAGAAGAATTGTATTCAAAGGTATTGTATTATTCTTATAAAGAAATGTATTCTTCTTATACTTTTTTACGTTCTTTTATTCCGACAAGCTAGAGTTGATCAGAAAAGAACTGAATTCCAAAAATATGTTTAGGGCACTTCCCTATTCTCTCTGTATTTACTTGGAAATGATTCTTAGAAGTTTTTGGCATGGGACTTTTAAGTTTGTTAAGTGAAGGGACTAGCACTTATCTATATGCATATTTTGCAAGTATTTTTAAAAATATGGCTCAATTGTTAAATCATTTTATTCGTCCCATGACTTATATAAAAATCTGGGGGTTTTTTGGTTGCTCACTTTTAGTTTAGGCTTGGTTTTATGGTGATCTGGGCTCAGGGAGGTAGACATGTCAATGTCATTAGCATTGCCAAGGTATAGGCAGTCTGCTGCATGCTGTGTGAATATTAATATTCTGAAGAGATATTTGAGTCCACAAGATTTAAAGATCTTCTGTTCACCGCTGTGCTTGTAGAATTAGGGCTAAATTAGTTTAGCCTGGGCCTCCTGGGTCTTGGTCATTTGAAAATAGCTCCTCAAGTAGGCTGGCTATGTGTCTTAGTATAGCAGAAACAATTCATTATTCACTCCATGTGTCGTCTATTATACTGTGAAATTACAGATGATAGTTTTCTTGCTTTCTGTTTTTCCAAACAGTGCCACCTGGACTTGTGGGTTTGGCTCATATACTGACTGTTTCTTAATCAAGATAGCTTTAATAGTCTTCACCCTACCCCCATCCTCCAGCTGCCCTTTGGATGTTGCTGTGTAGAAACCAAGAGAGTTCATTTTTGTTGGGGGCTGGGCTAGGTTGCTAATAATCTGAAGCACCATGAAGGATTCTGACCTAATCAAGGCATAAGGAAATGATGTGTGTGTGTGTGTAGAAAATTTGGAACTGTGCCAGGCACAAAGTAAATGTCATATAAGCATTAGTTATGAATTGATGAGGAGGAAGGTGTCAGAAGATGAATGCTGTAGAGAAGGCTATGGGGCAGTACATGGAGAGAGTGGTTATCTGTAGAGATGTGGTTTTGTCATAGGTGATGGGAAAGGTCTCAGTTTGAAGGTGATGGGTAAGGTCTTCATTTGAATAAAGATCCACAAGAGAGTATGGGTAGAGGGGCATAGAGGTGTCCAGGTAGCAGATAAGGAGGTCAGATAGGCAACCTAGGGACTCCTGGACAGATGTAGCAAATTGAAGGTTTTTAGAAAACTTAAACGGGAATTTTTTAATGGAAAATTTCAAACTTAAACATAGAATAGTACAATGAACAACCTTCTCCCTTCTCCCAGCTTCGGCAGTTATCAACATGGCCAGTTGTGCTTCATCCATGTTGCCCACTGGCATTATTTTAAAGCAAATTTAAGAAATTCTACCAATTATTTCTATTTATCGTCCCCACTGACATTCTATCAGTTATTTCTAAATACTTCTGTATATATATTTCTAAAAAATAGGCACTTAAAACATAACCACAATACTTAACTTTTTTTACCTTGTTTATCATCTGTAAATCTTGGCCTTAGAGCCTTCTTGCAGCACTGGTTGAAAGATAAGCATGGATAGGCCAGGCGCGGTGGCTCATGCCTGTAATCCCAGCACTTTGGGAGGCTGAGGCGGGTGGATCACTAGGTCAGGAGATCGAGACTAGCCTGGCCAACATAGCGAAACCCAGTCTCTACTAAAAATACAAAAAAAATTAGCCGGGCATGGTGGTGGGCGCCTGTAATCCCAGCTACTTGGGAGGTTAAGGCAAGGAGAATCGCCTGAACCTGGGAGGCAGAGGTTGCAGTGAACTGAGATCATGCCACTGCACTCCAGCCTCGGTGACAAGAGCGAAACTTTGTCTCAAAAAAGAAGATAATCTTGGATGTCTGGATTCCTTAGGGTAGGGTCTGACAGTAGGTGCTCAATTGCTAGTGGTCATCTGTTGTCTTTACCAGCCCTTGATTTTTTTTTTTCTTTTCCTTTTCTAGATAGTTCTATCATGACAATTTCACTTTTACTTCCTCTTTCTTCTCCTTACCTATTTTTGACACATTTATTCAGTATTTCCCGTATCTACTCTCTACTTCTCCTTTTAACTTTCTCCTATCCTTTCAGTATTTTTGTTCACAGCCTGGTGTGTAGCTTGTGCTCTTTTGATCCCTGTAGCCCATGAAATACAGCTCCCTTTAGTTCTAGATCTTTTTGAAGGGAGATGAGCATTTCCTATTCTTATTTTTTAAAAAATACTGTTACTGAGATTGAGATAGAATTTACATGCCAAATGCTTCACTGATTTAAAGTGTACAAGTCTAGCCAGGCATGGTGGCTCTTGCCTATAATCCCAGCACTTTGGGAGGCTGAACTGGGAGGATTGCTTGAGGCCAGGAGTTTGAGACCAACCTGAGCAACATAGTGAGGTCTTTCCTCTACAAAAATAAAAAATTGGCCAGATATGGTGGCACACCTGTGGTCCTAGCTGCTCTAAAGGCTGAGACAATAGGATCACTAGAGCCCGGGAGGTCAAGGCTGCAGTGAGCCATGATCATGCCACTGCACTCTAGCCTGAGCAACAGAGGCCGAGGCGGGCAGATCACCTGAGGTCAGGAGTTCGAGACCAGCCTGACAAACATGGAGAAACCCTGTCTCTACTAAAAATACAAAAATTGCCGGGCGTGGTGGCGCATGCCTGTAATCCCAGCTACTCTGGAGGCTGAGGCAGAAGAATCACTTGAACCCAGGAGGCAGAGGTTGCAGTGAGCCGAGATCGCACCATTACGCTCCAGCCTGGGCAACAAGAGCGAAACTCCGTCTCGAAAACCGAAAAAAGAAAAGGAAAAAAAGTGTACAAGTCAGTGATTTTCAGTGTATTCACAAATATATGCCATCATTACCACAGTTGATTTTATAACATTTTCATCACCTCAAAAAGAAACCTGGTACCCTTTAGCTGTTCCCATCCCACCACCCTAAGCAACCACGAATCTCCTTTCTATTTCAATGGATTTGCCTATTCTGGACATTTTATATATATATATATATGAAATGTCTTTTGTTTCTGGCTTTTTTCACTTAGCATAGTCATTTCAGTGCTCATCCATGTCAGAGCATAAATTAGTACTTCATTTCTAATGATGGTTGAATAACATTTCATTGTACGGATATAGCACACTTTGTTAATTCATCAATTGATGGTCATTTCATTTGTTTCCACTTTTTGGCTATTATGAATAGTGCTGCTAGAAATATTCGGGCACAAGTTTTTGTGTGAATGTGTGTTCTCATTTCTCTTGGGTATATATATCCAGGAGTAGAATTATTAGATTAAATGGTAACTGTATATTTAGTATTTGAGGAACTGTCAGACCATTTTTCCAATATGGCTTTCCATTTTATTTGCCCAAACATGGAAATCTAGCCATTTTTCAAGTGCAGCTGCCTACCTTTACTTTGGGTAAATTTCTGTATTAATATTTTTTCACTGTCTTAGTTATCAAATTCTGTTGCATGTAAATCTGGTTTTTTTTAATATATGTAAAGTTTTTAGGTAGAATGTTAATTTAGTGGTGGTCCCCAAAGTGGAGGGCATTTACCTTTAAGTGTAAGATGATTCATTGGAAAGAAAGAACAAAATTCTATTTTTACATATGCTGTATGTATCCTAATGTATTAGCATAGCTGTACACATGTAAGGTGTATAAATTAATATTCTTATATTAGATCTGTGTGGTGC
The DNA here is from genome assembly GCF_000001405.40 of Homo sapiens. Taxonomy (NCBI): domain Eukaryota; kingdom Metazoa; phylum Chordata; class Mammalia; order Primates; family Hominidae; genus Homo; species Homo sapiens. The sequence continues at coordinate 46,380,681 of NC_000013.11, read as the reverse complement.
AAAGTTTTTTTATACAAGTATGAATAATAATAAAATTTTGTGAACAATTGTCCAGAGGCATGAAATCAAATATACCTATGTAGGTCTTAATCCTATATTTTATGACATGTCTGATGGGAAAGTTCTTAAAATTACTTTGCTAATGAAATTGAAAATAGCCTGCTAATTTCAGCCCACACGGAATGTGTGAAATACCAGTGGAAACAGCTTTGGATCAGGTTCAGACTTTTGTTTTTGTCCTACTTCTGCTAATTACTAATGGCGAGACTTTGGGTAAGTCCCCTAATGGTCTCCATTTCAGTTCTCAACTTGGCATAATAACACCTGAAATTTTGCAAATTATAACTTTGCAGAATGAGACTGGGAAGGGCGTCATATGCAGCGACCAGAGGGAGTTAGTCATTTGGGTGTTTTGGGCAACCCTGCAGTTCTTTTAGGTGAAATATTCAATTTTCCATGAACTTTGCCTTCCCCTTCTTACTTACCCATTTCTCTTGATTGCTTTCTGTCCTTCTGTTGTGTTCTTCTGACAGCAAACCTTCAAAATTAATGGTCATTACCAAAGGCTAAATCAGCTGGAGTGGAGTCCTTTGTGATACCACCCAGCCAGGGAAACAGTATAGCACTGTTTCCTTTCTGCTGCTTTTATTACAACATAGTATAGAGTATATAGATGAAATAAGAAAATTGCAGTTTACTGCAATTCCTGGACACTGTTTTGGAAGCTGTTGAGTTAAATTATTGGGCATCTTGATGGTTTCTATTTGATATGTGATAGTTTTAGGCTCTGTTATTCTCTTTGGGATGTGAATCTTTGCCTAACGTCAAAGCATGAAGAGAAGTAGATCCTGAGAAAGAAGGGAAGAAGTTCTGGGGAACTGTGGTAACCAAACAGCTCACATGCTACAGTTGAAGATTTATTCATGCTCTACTCAGTATTTGTTTATTACTGGCTGTGCTTAGTAACGTACCATAAAATTGATAAAAATGAATTTTACTTTTCACTCTAGACTCTTATTTATTTGTGATTTCTATTCTCTAGTATCCTTTATTCTAAGGAAGTGGTTGATGAACATTTAGGTCATGATTTCTAATTTCTTCTAAAGGGTGACATCCATTCTTGACTTCCTTTCTTGGGTGACAAGGAAATAAACAACATAACCATATCTAGGTATCGTTTGATAATTTGTTCATGATTTCATTCATAAGTGCAAAGAATATATTTATTGAACACCTATTATTGCCACTGGTCTGGGTTCTGGGGACAAAGCAGTGTCCAAAATACGTTATTTTAAAAAGTGCCCTCGGCCGCCTGCGGTGGCTCATACCTGTAATCCCAGCACTTTGGGAGGCCGAGGTGGGTGGATCACCTGAGATCAGGAGTTCGAGACCAGCCTGGCCAACATGGTGAAACCCTGTCTCTACAGAATACTAAAAATTAGCCAGGCATGGTGGCGGGCACCTGTAATCCCAGCTACTTGGGAGACTGAGGCAGGAGAATTGCTTGAACTTGGGAGGCAGAGGTCACAGTGAGCCGAGATTGTGCCTGGGCAACAAGATGGAAACTCTGTCTCAAAAAAATAAATAAATAAAAATAAAAGGGCCCTCATAGATTTAACATTCTGGGGGGTACTAGTCATTGAGGTTAGATACAATGAGATTTGTGCTAAAGAGAGAAATAGAGCTAAAGAGAGGGATAGGAACTGTTTGGGAGGGGCAATTACCAGTTTTTATAGGGTGACCAAGGAAGCATTACTGACAAGGTAAGATTTAAGGTGTGTCTTTACTCTGATGCCCCCAGTTGTGTATTCAATAGGCAGTTAGTATTGGGGCATAGAAAATCCTAAAACCTAAATCTGATGTACTTTTGCCTATTCATGAAATAACTTGAAGACTGTTATACATAGTGGGAGCTAAAGCTGCTCTGCCCTCCAAGTGCTGGCTGCTTATGATCTGAAAGACTTCTGTGAGGTCACCGTAGGCATCATGGTGGCACTGAGGCATCTATCCCTCCTGCAGAAGTTGCATCTTTGCTGTTAATACTGTGTCTCTGGTGGCTCTAGTGATGCAATCATTCTCGATGGGGCCACTGACTCTGATGTCACAATGACTTGGCTGGAGGTGTCCTGAAGTCTCTTGTTTGTCCAGGGCCTTTGCTGCAGCTTATATGTTCACTAGTAATCTGGCCTGTGCCTACCTTTTAATCCCAGCTGGAAAATCTCAGTAAGAATGATGGTAAGCTTTGAGATTGGTATCTCTTCCCTTAAATGTTTTTGGAAATTGATTTTATTGTTTGTACCTAAGTATCTCTGATTCAAAGGACCCCCTTTGTGACAGTGGCAGGAAGTATGTTGAGAAGATGCTAAGTATTGCTTAGACCTGTATTATCTCTGCTTATCAATCCTTGAAATGATTGTGTGTCTGAATGTATAAATGTATGTCTATTCACTATCTCCCTTCCTCCAGAACATAAGCTGAGGAAGGGCAGGAAGCTTATTTTAGTCCCGTCTGTTACCCCAGTGCTACCAAAACAAAAACAATGCCAGACCTGTAGTAGATGCTCAGTAAAAAAATATTTCTTAACTGAATAACTAACACACTACAAACAATATGGCAACAAGTAACATACCTGGCAGTGGTATCATAGCATCTGGCAAATTGTTTTTTGCCTTACAGATAAAATAAAAAATGGGGATATTGACCTCCTGTCACTACTGCATGGACTTTGATGGTTTCCAATCATTACTTTCTCCTCTGTGTCAATCTGCCTCTTCGAGAAATTCATACTCCTGGTGAGTGTCCGACCTGGCCTTTTGTCTTCTCTCTGCCACTGCCCAGCTGTGACCTTAGACATGGTTGTGAATCTATTATGGGCCTATTCTAACTCTCAATGCTTTGATTTTATAACCTGGCAAAGCAGCACCTGCTGGTTATTTTTGTGAAGCAACAACACTTTTCTAGAAGGAAGTGAAGAAAGCACCTGCTTTTGACGGTTGTTTTTTATGAGGACGTTGGTTTTTGCTCAATTCACTTAGGTCAGTCCATGTATGGGAAGTTCCAAATAAGGTCATTCTCTTTGAACTATTAACTATAACTTGTTTATAAAAAACACTGGGATCAGCCAGGCACAGTGGCCCACACCTGCAATCCAGCGCTTTGGAAGGCCGAGTTGGGTGGATCACTTGATGTCAGGAGTTTGAGACCAACCTGGCCAACATGGTGAAACCCCATCTCTACTAAAAATACAAAAATTAGGCAGGCGTGGTGGTGCCCACCTGTAATCCCAGCTGCTAGGGAGGCTGAGGCATGAGAATTGCTTGAATCCACGAGGCAGAGGTTGCAGTGAGCCGAGATCGTGCCACTGCACTCCAGCCTGGGCAACAGATCGAGACTTGTCTCAAAGAAAACAAAATGAAAAACAAAACCACCTGGAATCACTACTGCTTTACCATTTGAGACTGCATGTTTTTCATGTGATTTCACATCTATAGTCATCTCCCCCCACCAAACACACAAAAGATATGTGTAGAAAATTGAGGATAAACCATAACTTACTTATATAGTTTTATTCTCTTGGAAATAATGAGGCTATCATGAACTATGGACTCAGACTAAGAGTGGAACTAGTAAGAGAAAGGAACTAAAAAAAGTCAACCAAAAAATGACATGAACAAGGATGTTCATTGTTATAAACTGTATAACTGCAAAAAGCTAAAAATAAATTTCTATCAGTAGGGTCTGGCTAAGTAAGTATGATATATTTATACTATAGAAAGTGATAACACAGTTTAGGAGAATCACATAGACCCTCAAGACATAATGTTGAGTGAAAAAGAAGATAAGTTGTAAAATATCTCCAGTATGATCCCATGGATGTGTATACAAAAGAAAACATATCTTCTGGTCTGAAATATGTACGTTAATTCATAGATAAAGGTCTAGAAAGAATAGAATGGTTAACAATGTTATTTCTGAGAATAAAGTAGGATTGTGGGGCTTGGGGTGATGAGCGCTGTTCACTTTTTACTCTAGGCTTCTGTGTTTGGGCATTTTATAAAAATGTAGTCATGGTTTCCTTTTGTAATTATAAAATCCAGAATTATTGGAGACGAAAAGATGTGTGACAAAGAGAAATTGGTGCACAAGGTGGGATTTGAGGTCAGGAGAAGGAAGATAGGCATCTTGGGCTGGTGAGTTCTGGCGGTTAACACAACCAGCTGTACTCTGTGATATTTTGTGAATGGTGATTTGGGGCTTTTGTAGTGTTTTCAAGATGCATGTATATGTTTATATATGTATGTTACATACAAAAGATGCATTTATATATTAATATATGTTATATACAAAGGTATATATATATCTATATGCCTCCAGAAACAATATATGTCATATGCAAAAGATATATATATACACACACACATAGAGTTGACCCTTCACAATGCAGGGGTTAGGGACACTAACACCCTGTGCAGTTGAAAATCTGCGCACAACTTTTGACTCCCCCAAAACTTAACACTACTTATAACCTACTGTTAACTGCAGCCTTACTGATAACATAAACAGTTGATTAACACATATGTTGTATGTTAGTGTATAATACTATATAAGCATTCTTACAATAAAGCAGAGGAAAGAAAATGTCATTAAGAAAACCATAAGGAAGAGAGAATATATTTACTGTTCATTAAGTGGAAATAGATCATTATAAAGGTCTTCATCCTCATCCTCTCATGCTGAGTAGACTGAAGAGAGGAAAAAGAGGCGTTAGTCTTGCTGCCTCATGGTGACAGATATGGAAGAAAATCCACATGTTAGTGGACCCACAAAGTTCAAATCCATGTTGTTCAAGGGTCAACTGTGTGGGTGTGTGTGTATAAATTATAATCCTTATTACTCCAGAAGGTATAAACTAAAATATAGGGCCCTCAAATCAAGAAGTCTCCAAAACTCTTGAGACTCAAAGTCTCAAGAACAGTTTTCATATGTACCTTATTTTGGTCTACTGAACTTTTATTATTGGGTGAGAACAATTTCATGTTTTAGGAAATGTGGATTCACTTCTATTCCTACATGAGTAATTCTGCCCCATTAATAGAACAGTTATATCTGCCACAGAGGTCTTTTCTCTAGCTCTTTTTTTGTTTTGTTTTTGAGACAGAGTCTCGCTGTCGTCCAGGCTGGAGTGCAATGGCATGATCTTGTCTCACTGCAACCTCCGCCTGCCAGGTTCAAGCGATTCTCCTGCCTCAGCCTCCTCAGTAGCTGGGATTATAGGCGCCCGCCACCACGCCCAGCTAATTTTTGTATTTTTAGTAGAGATGGGGTTTCGCCATGTTGGTCAGGCTGGTCTCGAACTCCTGACTTCAGGTTCTCCACCCGCCTTGGCCTCCCAAAGTGCTGGGATTATAGGCATGAGCCACTGCGCCCGGTCTTTTCTCTAGCTCTTAACTTTGTCTCCATTTTGTTGGATTTGTTCTTTCCATTCATAAACATTTATTGAACCCTGATATGCAGCTCTAGGTATGGGGCATGCTACCCGGCAGGGAACAGACAAGGCCCCTCCTCTCATGAAGCTTACAGTTAGGTGGGAGTAGGGGGAGAATGGCGGTAATGAACTAAAAAATAGCAGGAAGTGAGCACCTCTGTGACGAAAACTAAATGTTTATGGTGATGTGAGAGGTAATGATGGGGGAACTACCTTAAGCAGAAAGGTGGTTAGGAAAGATATCTTTGAGGAAGTAATTTATAAATCAAGGCATTTATGACAGGAAGGAGCCAGATGTGTCATCATCTGGGGGAGGAGCATTTCAGAAAGAGGAAACATAAAACAGCATTCCTAGGGTTAGAAGGAGCCTATAGGGTTCAATAACTTGCAGTGTGGTTGGGGCTTATGGATGCTGGATGAAGATAAGTGAGAGAGGTTTACAGGGACAGCATCATGTCAGGCCTTGAGGGCAAGGTAAGGAGTCTGGATTTTATTCCAGATTTGATGGGAAGCCTTTGGGGGATTTCGATTAGGGCAATGACATGATCTGATTTAGGTTTATAAAAGATCTCTTGAATACCTCTTGATTATAAATGGGCAAGAGTAATCGCTTCTCGGCCTTTTGGCTAAGATCAAGTGTAGTATCTGTTCTTATCAGTTAATATCTGATATGTCCTCTATCCGAGGACAATATATTAAATGGATTTTTGGAGCAGGGACATGGACTAGGAGCTTGCTCCGTCCACTCCATGCATCAACTTGGTATTGCTGTACCCCTAGGAACGGCGCACCCCTCTGGGTGTTAAAACACGGTGTTACTGGCCGGGCACGGTGGATCCCACCTGTAATCCCAGCACTTTGGGAGTCTGAGGCAGGTGGATCACAAGGTCAGGAGTTCAAGATCAGCCTGGCCAACATGGTGAAACCCCGTCTCTGTTAAAAATACAAAAATTAGCTGGGTGTGGTGGCATGCACCTGTAATCCCAGCTACTTGGGAGGCTGAGGCAGAGAACTGCTTGAACCTGGGAGGCAGAGGTTGGAGTGAGCCGAGATTGTGCCACTGCACTCCAGCCTGGGCAAGAGTAACAGCAGAGAAATCTATTGGGAAGCTATGGCTGCACGTCCAGGTGTGAGAAGACGGTAACTCAGACTAAGACAGCAGCTATAGCTATAAACTTGCTGATGGAATGAAGTTGGAGAGCTAAGGAAAGATAGGATCAGAAATGACTCCTAAGTTTCAGGCTTGGGCAATTGGAAGAGGGAAAAGCAGGGAAGGAGCAGGTTTCAGGAGAAGTGAGTGACTGTTTTGGATGTATCAGGTTGCAGTGCCCACTGGACAGATGTCAAATAGGCAATAAGATTTGCTAGCCGGGAAATCAGAAATAGAGATACATGTGGGAGTTGCCTGCATGCACAGCAATGGTATTTACAGCCCTGTAATTGACTCCAAAGTCTCCTGTTCACCACTGTGCAGGGTGAATGTGGCATAGGCCACCCTTCTATCTCTAGGCCTTCCCCTGTCTCTTCTTGCTTTTTGCTGTTGAAAGTTGCTTTTAGCTTCACAATGCAGAGGGCAGTGGAAGAACAGAAAAGCAAAACATTTCCCGAGCCTGTAATTACAGTGACAAGAGTGCTTCTTGTTTGTGTAGCTCTCAACATTTTAATCATTACGTCTTCACTAAAGCTAAAATCTGAGCTTAGAAGTGAGTGGGTTTTAAAGATGGGTTCTAGATTCATACTGTGTTCTTTAAATGTTATGAACTGAGAATACATTGATACTGATATTATAAGTATGAAAGGTAATATAAGTTACATGAAGCAAAGTCTTCAGTGCTATGGATCATCCCTCTGTTTTATGTACCACTTTGCCTACTTTGTTGAAACACAAGAACAAACTAAATGAAAATAAGAACATATGGAAATGGCTGGGCGCAGTGGCTCATGCATGTAATCCCAGCACTTTGAGAGGCTGAGGCGAGTGGATCACCTGAGGTCAGGAGTTTGAAACCAGCCTGGCCAACATGGTGAAACCCCGTCCCTACTAAAAATACAGAAATCAGCCAGGCGTGGTGGCACGTGCCTGTAATCCCAGCTGCTCGGGAGGCTGAGGCACCAGAATAGCTTGAACCTGGGAGGCGGAGGTTGCAGTGAGCCGAGATGGCCCCACTGCACTCCAGGCTGGGTGACAGAGTGAGACTCTGTGTTTAAAAAAAAAAAAAGAAAGAAAGAAAATGTGGAAATGTGTCTTTACTTCCAGATAGTATTCCTGTCTTGGATTTGACATTTAATTTTATTAAAATAATTTTGATGCATGGATGTTTTACATTTTTATGGGATTTATCAGTTGATCCTTTGTGATTTCTTAATTTTATGCTTTGAAGAATGTTTCCTCTCCCAATGTCAAGCCTCTGTAGGTTTACTGCTAGTTTTATGGCTGATTTATTTATTTTTTCACTTATAAATCCAAGCGGGCTTTACTATGTTGGATAGAGCCAAGTACAGACTTCTAAATTTTTTGGGTTTTGCCATCTCAAAATAATTTGTAGCCAAAATACAATTGAATTCTTACTTATTTTGAATGATTCCTTGCTCATTGCAGAATAGCTCTCCAGACCCCCAGCTGGCCATGTGGTGAGTTCAGGGCCCAAATCAAGTAGTACCAGCAATCAGGGAACTCCTATCTGTTTTGAATGGATTCACACCAGCCACAAGCCTGGAAAGATGGTGTCACAATCTACAGTCAGGCAGGATTCTCCTGTGGAGCCCTGGGAAGGGATCAGCGATCACTCTGGCATTATTGATGGTTCGCCCAGACTCCTGAACACTGACCATCCTCCTTGCCAATTAGACATCAGGCTCATGAGGCACAAAGCTGTCTGGATTAACCCCCAGGATGTGCAGCAACAGCCGCAGGACTTGCAATCTCAGGTGCCAGCAGCAGGGAACAGTGGGACCCATTTTGTGACAGATGCTGCCTCTCCCTCAGGCCCTTCACCTTCGTGCCTCGGGGACTCCCTGGCAGAGACAACGTTGTCTGAGGATACCACAGACTCCGTTGGCAGCGCTTCTCCCCATGGCTCGAGTGAAAAGAGTAGCAGCTTCTCTCTGTCCTCAACAGAGGTACACATGGTCCGCCCAGGATACTCTCATCGGGTGTCTCTGCCCACAAGCCCTGGGATTTTGGCCACCTCCCCATATCCTGAGACTGACAGTGCTTTTTTTGAGCCTTCCCATCTGACATCTGCTGCTGATGAAGGTAATTTTAGTAGGTGACCTCCCTCATTCCTCTCTGTTCACACCCTTGCTTCGCCTTGCTCTAAAGCCTGCCTTGTTGTCTTCCCCATGGGACAATGCATTGCCTCATCTAATATTGTCAGCAGCCCAGCCATCTGGGCGGTCACAACAGGTGAAATCAAATATTGGCTTTCTCCTTAGACTGCAGAGAATTGTTATCTTTTTAGCTTAATGTAGTTGATAATCAGTGCCATGTGCCATCTTTAAGCTGGCGTCTGCCTTCAGGAACTTAGAGCTCATTAAATTGTCTACAGGGGAGAGCATCGGAAGCACTCTCAAGTCAGTGTGGAGGTTGGAGGTGTTTCCAGACAGCCACGGGGTCTGCATTTCACACCAGTACCTAGTAGGTGGTGAAGTCACTTCACTTGTTATATTTACCTGTATAGAATCTGACAGGAAAATGGTAAGATTTTTAAACAATAACTACAGTTTCCCCTGAAGACTATACAAAACCCCTTTTTATTAAAACAAGGGCTCTCACTGCTATGAAGTAATGTACATATTCCTAAGACCCTAAAATTCCTAAAAATTGGATAATCCGTGCGAAGTACTACTCAAGAGTCAATAAATTAGCTATTATTGTTATAATCTGTGACATGTTTATTTCATTTTAAAATATTTGTTATAGTCACACTTGTCATTATTAATTTACATTTCTATTCAAACCCTAGTATAAATAATCAATGAAGCTTTTTCTTTCAAAGCAATTTAAAAAGTCATCAGTCTGCCTGCTGCCTGCCTGTCTATTTCTCTGTATATTTATTTCTCACTAGCAGGAGCTCATCTTCCCCCTTACCTAAAATATGGAGTTTATGTGTTCTTTTGGAAATGTTTGAGCAATCAAAGATGATGACAGTCTTTAACACATTTATTCATTGCTTAAGAAGAACAAATTTTGGACAATCTTTCAATGGTTAATTTTGAGATAAGGACCAAGTTTGAGCAAAATGACAAGACTGATTACAGGCCTTTTTTTTTTTTTTTTCCTATTTTTTTGCTCACTTGCTTGGATAGTTCTAAGGATTAAGAGTGACTTGCAAATTTAGTAGTGGCTAAGTGAGAGATTAGTCTTAATAGATTGTCTTATAGAGGAAAGCCCTCTCCCCAACAGAGAACCACCATAATGACAAGTTATAATAAACTGAAGATGATCTTTGGGGCCTAGCATACCCTTGCCTGAAACTTTTTATTCTATCATGGTACAGGAAGTAGTTCTACAATTTAAAATTATCCTTTAGCTTTTTCTTTTACTCAGAAAGAAAACAGATACCCCAGCCCCTTTTGCCCAAAGACAAGGACTCCCAACAGCTCCTGTCAGTGCCTTTAGAAACAACTCACGGAATGTTTTGAGAATATCTCTTAAACTCAGTAAGGGGATTCATTCTTTAAGATTAAGAAAAAGAAGCCTTGAGTGATCTGGTTCTTTCTTTCTCTGGTGCGGAGGCAGCAATAGGGAAAACAGCCATTGGCCACTAAGATGTGGACATTCCTATGACCGCTGCATCTCAGATGGCGGCAAAAGGGTTTTCTTTTTTCAGAAAATACTTTAGGGAAAGACTATCGGCCTCTGTAAGCATTTCTTAAGGCTGTAGGAAGGGATTCCACAGTTTATTTTGTTGGCATAGGAACTACACATTTACAAGCACTTTCACCTTCCTTTATCTCCTTAGTGTCCTGATAAATATCCCAATTTAAGGGCTGAGAGCGTTTTGATGCAGAGGCACAGCTGGTGAACGGACAGCTGGAACTGGAATCCACTCTGTTCCGATTCTTCTCTGTGCTCTTTCCTCTATACTCAGAGTCTGCAAACTATGACCTGTGGACCAAATCCTGCCAGCTTCCTGTTTTTATAAATGAATTTCTCTTGTGTCTATAGCTGCTTTCTCACTACAGCGGCAGAAGAGAGTGGTTGAAACAGATACTGTATGGCTCTCAGATCCTCCAATATATACCAGCTAGCTGTTTACAGGAAAAGTTTGCCAGCCATAGCTTCTGAAGCTAAGAAGTCCAAATTTTTCCATGCAACAACTACTTTCTTGAACATGAAGCAAGGGATTTGAATGACTCTGCTTGCAACTCCATCATGCTGAGAGCTGTGTCACCACCATGTGCAGCATTTTGTTCTAATTTAGCAGGTTGGGACATCTCAGCTCTTGACACAGAAATTTTTGCTTTAAATGCTGCAGTAAGAAATCACATGACAGAAAAAATGTTTGTTTTGATGGTGGTCATTGCCAGTAATGGAGTGGCTAAGGGTGCAGGAATGGATGTGTCAGCAGAATGTACCTTCTGCAGTTTGTTGGTTTTGACTGGAAGAAGACTAACTTAGAGAAGCAATGCTGACCTTTTTTGGATGGATTTTATTTCTCTAGACAGGAGGTTTAGGGCTGGGTGCAGTGGCTCAATCTGCCTGTAATCTCAGTGCTTTGAGAGGCTGAGGTGGAAGGATAGCTTGAGCCCAGTGATTTGAGACCAGCCTGGGCAAGCTAATGAGACCCCCATCTCTGCAAAAATAATTTAGAAAATCAGCTGGTCATGGTGGCACCTGTAATCTCAGCTGCTAGGGAGGCTGAGGTAGAAGAATCGCTTGAGCCCAGGAGGTTGAAGCCGCACTAAAGTGTGATCACGCCGCTGCACTCTAGCCTGGGTGACAGAGCGAGATATTGTCTCAAAAGAAGAAGAAGAAAGGAAGTTTAAGATCAATCACAATGAGCTAGAGAAGCGATCTCATAATCCTTAGGACCCTGCTTTTGGACTGTGGCTTCTCACTTTACCCCAGCCCCTGTTGGGATTTCCCAGGACCCTATTCTCTTTCTACCCTCTTTTCCTCATTGGTCTCCTCCACTCCGGTGGCTGAGGATACCTCCCAGTTACTCCAACAGCCTCTCCTAGAAATGATCATCATTAAAGCAATATCTGTAAGACCTGCCATCGGAAAGATCTTTCTTTTCCTGTCATCTGAATTTATTCTAGAATTGTGCTTATTTTTTTACATTATTTAAAAGCCACTTCCTATAATTGTTTTATTTTATTAGGTAATCTTTAAACTCCCTTTTCCCCATTTTTAACAATTTGCTATATTGGCAGGTGCTGTTCAAGTCAGTAGAAGAACCATTTCTTCGAATTCCTTCTCACCAGAGGTATTTGTGCTGCCTGTTGATGTAGAAAAGGTGAATGCTATCTTCTTTCTTTTTAACCATAGAGTCTTAATCCTTTAGATAGTGTTGTTCTGATTTAAATCTGGAAACTTCAATTTGATGAATCATTACAAATAGGTTTCCTTTCAGCATTTGATTGATGGAGACTGCCAGAAACACTAAGCTAAGAAGGGTTCCGAGGCCGTGCCTGTGCTCAGCTGGAAAGTTTTCTGTGATTGATGAATGATGTCTGGCATTAGGCTTCCCCCAACCTAAGGTTTTGTATAACAAGAAATCCAATTTGAGTTGTCCGTTGATTATAGTAAGCCGAATCTATGTCTCTGGACAATGTGTGCTATAAGTCATAGAGTGACCTATGATAACTCAGTTAAATGAATATTTATACTGATATGCATTAATTCCACTTAAATAGAGCATATTGATTTTTCAAATCTAATATACCCTCCATGAAAAAGTTGATTATGCTTGTATTTTAATTGATTTCTTTTTCTGCAGGAAAATGCCCACTTTTATGTTGCAGATATGATTATATCAGCAATGGAGAAAATGAAGTGTAACATTCTGAGTCAACAGCAGACAGAGAGCTGGAGTAAAGAAGTCAGTGGGTTACTTGGGAGTGATCAGCCTGACTCTGAAATGACTTTTGATACCAACATAAAGCAAGAGTCTGGGTCTTCTACTTCTTCATACAGTGGCTATGAAGGCAAGTTGGGCAAATATGAGAAAGCTGTATGTTATGTGTTTCACATATATCTCCTCTATAATTACCCCTTATCCACGGGGCATATATTCCAAGACTCCCAGTGGAAGCCTGAACCTTCAGATAGTACCAAACTCTATATACACTACTTTTTTTTTGTTCTTGTAACCAAGAGGGTTACTAAGTGACTAGTGGGTGGGTAGTATATACAGTGTGGTATGCTGGACAAAGGATGATTCATGTTCCAGAGGGGACATGGCAAGACGTGTGGGAGTTCATCATCCTACTCAGGATGGTGCACAATTTAAAACTTAAGAATTGTTCATTTCTGGAACTTTTCATTGAATATTTTTGGACCAGTTGACAGCAGGTAACTAAAACCACGGGAAGTAAAACTGCAGATAAAGCAGGACAAATGTATGTCTTTAAATCCTTTGTCTAAAAACTTCTTGAGTAACCTCTGTAATCCTCACCCTTTCTGCCATCTTGGGTCAGGATTGGTTATCATGCTCCGTTCAGTTGTCAAATCCTATGTTTTGTTTTGTTTTGTTCTTTTAATCTTGGACTTCATCCTACTTTTCTTTTTCACTGGAAATAAACGTGGCTGATGTCTCCTCGTCCTTTGTTTTCTGTCACATGGCATTCTCCTAGCTGTTCTTACACCATCTTTCCTTTTCCAATGAATCTTCTTTTTTTCATTCAGTAATGGGCCTGTGCTGTGCTAGGTGCTGAACATCAACAGTATGCAGGGTGTGCTCCTTCCCTCAAGGAGTCTGCGTGCTGGAGCATGGGACCGGGAAGCCCTGTGGGGTAACCTGTAGAACAGAGGTGGGGACCCAGCACAGTGCGTCACTGTCACTGAGGAGGAGTGCCTCGGCTCACTCTGGGACCTGGGGGCTCTTCCCCGAGGGACGAGTGCCTAAGCCGATAGCTCATGTTAGGGTTTGCTACTTTCTTACCATTTCTTAAGTCCTGCCTCCAGTCCTATATTCTTTTTTTAATCTGTATTTGCTTCCTGGCAGATTTAACCTACTATACACCTTCAATTATTCCTTCTCAGCTATTATCTCCTGAATCTATGTTTTCAGTCCTGGACATCTCTTCTAAGTGCTTGCTCTCTAAGGCTGGAGGCTTGTCCGTCTGGCTGGCCCCCCAGGACCTGTGACTTAATACTTCATTTCTGGGTGACTTAAAATGCTTCATTTTATTCATTGTTGATATATGTTCACTGCAACATAAAGGTGGGTGTAGTTAACCTATAACTTAATATGTCTAAACTAGTCATCTCTCCATCACTCTCTCACAATCCCCTTCTTTCCAAAGAAAACCACTGAAGCTTGCTTTTCTTCTTGACTTCCTTTACTACACGTTAATCAGGAATACTCAATAACAAAGGAAGAACTCACTCCATATGGTGTATAGCATAATGCCTGGCACAGAATAGGTATATGATCAAATACCTGTTGAATGCACTAACTGGCTCAAATTAAAAGGGTTGTTTTGTCTTAAGATATAGAACATTCTCACTGAACCCAGTGGTGGGAAATATATCTGGGACACATATGACCAGTGTAGACAAAGCTCCAGTGTCTATCTTTTCGGGGACTTTGGGCCTCTCATCTCTTCTTTTCTAGCAATTGCTTCATTCTTTTTCTGTAGCCTACCTACTTCTACCCACCCCTGGCATCTAGTTTCAGCTCTGCAGTCTTCCTGACCACTCAGCCAGGTCACATCTCAACAACTCAGTTTTGCAGGACCCTCAGTCCAGATCCCAGGACAGAGCACCTGATGGGCCTTACCTTGGTTAGATGTCCATAACTGGTTGGTCAGATGCAGCCAGGGGGCGGGGAAATCTGATATGGACGATCGTGCCCTCTGAGGCTACCAGTAGGGAGAAAATGAATGTGGGTGGAGAAGAAGTAATTCCTATTTAGTATACTGGACTCTTCCTTCTTCTGTGGTCTTGTGCTCCTGTCCCGTTTCTAGTTAGTAAACAAATCAATCCTGACTTCTCAGTCGTAATCACTTCTCTTCCATCCATTTCCCATTTCTATCCCTTACCTGGCCCGCTGCAGTAGCCTTCTGGCTAGTCATTTTGTAAGGACTACAATTTAGTTCTTTAATACCGATTTGGTTTAATTTTCTCTCTTTACTTTCAACTTGTTTCCCCTAGTTGATCCTGCATGTATCTGTCTTCCTGGATCACAACTTTTTGTCCTCTATAATGGCTTGCTGAGCTTTTGCCACATTTTATTCTGGAATTTTTAGCCTTGTGGCATCCAGCTGCTTCCTGCCTTTTAAACAGGAATCTCGTGCCATTCCCCTTGGCTGGATGGTGGGCTGTAGTTGAACTAGACTGTGTATAGTTGCTGGCAGACATTTCCCCCCATGGCTTTGGGAAGGATGTCCTGAAATGTGGGTTCCCCCAGTAACCACACATCAGGTCTTTCATCCTTCGCATCCTTCAGAAGCAATGTCCTGCCACTGTCACTGTGACATGCTCCCTGGTTTGTATCCCAGGGGAGGAGCACCATCCATGTGGAATGAAACACAGGTTGTGCTCCAGAATGCTCCAGTGCCATCTGCATGCTCGTCTTTCCCTGGAGTTGTGTAGTGCAGAACCTTGCCTCAGAACTTCTCAAGGCCCATGCAATGCAACTGTGTTTTTTGTGTGTGTACGTGGTTTAGGTCTGTTCGTATCTCAGCTCCTTCATGAGATTTTTTTTTTTTTTTTTTTTTTTTGAGATGGAGTCTTTCTCTGTTGCCCAGGCCGGAGTAGAGTGGTGCGATCTCGGCTCACAGCAACCTCTACCTCCCATGTTCAAACCATTCTTCTGCCTCAGCCTCCCAAATAGCTGGGATTACAGCCGCACACCATCACGCCCAGCTAATTTTTGTATTTTTAGTAGAGACGAGCTTTCACCATGTTGGCCAGGCTGGTCTCAAACTCCTGACCTCAGGTGATCCGCTTGCCTCGGCCTCCCAAATTGCTGGGATTACAGGCACGAGCCACCACACCCAGCCTTTCATGAGATTTTAAACTCTTAGATGGCTGAGAAATTGTCTTCTTTGTATTTGTGTTTAGTATAATGCCTTGTCTGAAATAGGTATTTTTATAAATAGTGGTTGGGTGTAAATTGATGGTAGCTGAAACTTTAAGAAAACATGAATAAATATGAATATGTTAAATGAAAATTAAGAATATTTCTATCCTCCAAATATAAATATTTATCTTTTATTAAGTACTTCTTTTGTGACATTTGTGGCAATAGATGTTCCTCCATGAGGTGGGTTGGTATTACTCAAACTGCCAGTTGGTCCTGAGAACATTAAAAAAAAAAAAAACAAGGGTAGAAAATAGCAGAGTGCATCTCACTGAGGGTGAGCAATGTTTCCTGAAAGTTTTTTTTTTTTTATCAGTTAAACATATTATTGTGTCTGTACTAAGTCACAATGTAAATTGTACGTTACTATGGATGATGGGCAAAAGACAGTGAAAAACACAGATGGGTGCTCTTACCCCCATTCTATCCATGAGGAAACTGCAGCTGGAAGTGGTGGTTGTCCATCGTCACCCAGCTAGAATGGGTTCTGTCTTAAAGTCAGCCAGCCTACTGTAAAACCCTTCACATAACTTCTTTTTTTTTTGAGATGGAGTCTGTCTGTGTTGCCTAGGCTGGAGTGCAATGGTGTGGTTTTAGCTTACTGCAACCTCTGCCTCCCAGGTTCAAGCGATTCTCCGGCCTCAGCCTCCCAAGTAGCTGGGACTACAGGCACCTGCCACCACACCTGGCTAATTTTTTTTGTATTTTTAGTAGAGATGGGGTTTCACCTTGTTGGCCAGTCTGGTCTCAAACTCCTGACCTTGTGATCCGCCTGCCTCAGCCTCCCAAAGTGCTGGGATTACAGGCATGAGCCACTGCGCCCAGCCCACATAACTTCTATGTAAACTATGGGCTAGGCTATTTCCTTAAACAACTGTATTCCTTTTTCTGTGTTTCTCTCCTATGTTTATTCAAATGAAGACAGTTTTACAAATTTATATTTACAATGATTATATAATTATATTAATAATATAATAATGATTATTAATGCTATTATCAGTATTATTAATAGTATTAATACTATTCATACTACTAGTATTAATAATCATGTTGCTATAGTTTTCACTTTTTTTTTTTTTTGAGACAGGGTCTTACTCTGTCACCCAGGCTGGAGTGCAGTGGCATGATCTCAGCTCACTACAATCTCCGCCTCCCAGGCTCAAGTGATTCTCCCACCTCAGTCTTTTGAGCAGCTGGGACTACAGGTGCTGGCCGGGCCACCACACTGGGCTAATTTTTTTGTATTTTTTGTAGAGACGGGGGTTCTGCCATGTTGCCCAGGCTGGACTTGAACTCCTGGGCTCAAGTGATTCTCCTACCTCAGCCTCCTGAGTAGCTGGGACTACAAGTGCACGCCCCTGCCCCTGGCAGATTTACATTTTTAAATGATAGTATTTAATCGTGTGATTTGCAAAATCAATTTCCTATTATTAAACGTTTAGATGCTTTCAGTGTTTCAATATTTTAAAACATTGGATGGACTGCAGATAGCTTCTTTGTGATGAAAGCCTTCCGAATAGCTGGGACTACAGGCACTTAATCATAGTGAGTGCAAAAAGAACACACAAATAGTTCCCCAGTTTTTTAATTCTTTAAGTTGAAATGTTTAATTCTCTTAAACTTTTAGCCCTCTTCATTTCCCAATTTCTATTTAGTTGGGTGTTGCAGGTTGTACAGTTTTTCTTTTTCTTCTTATTGGTAAAAACCTCCTTCCTTTCTTTGTCTAGGTTGTGCTGTGTTACAGGTCAGCCCAGTGACTGAAACACGTACTTACCATGATGTGAAAGAGATTTGCAAATGCGATGTTGATGAATTTGTTATTTTAGGTAAGATTTGGAAACTGTTTGGATGTGACTGGCTGCCTCCCCAATCCCATCCGCATACACACACTAACATGCATCACACACAACATTACGTTACAGTGGCATTCAAACCAACTTCTTCCAAAATCAGATTATGGCCCTGATATATATATATATATATATATATATATATATATATCTATATATATATATATGATGTTCTTGTTTCAAATGTCTGGATAGCTAATCTCTCATCTCACTTGTAGAGTTGAATGAAAAAGCAGATATTCATTATGGTCGGATATCTCTTTGGCCTCTCAGTTATATTTTGGTGAAATTTCAGATGAAATCCCATCTTTGATCATTATCTGTCCTCTCATTATCTGTTCTGTCCATTTCTCAGAACCTGAAGCATGGAGATGCTGAATAATTTGCTCTTTCTGAGATGCAGGGAGTGATTTTAGTGTTCTTATAAAATGGACTGCGATTAAATGAAACAGACTAAAAGACCTCACCACTCTTTCTTTTATTTTCCCACAGAGCTTGGAGATTTTAATGATATCACAGAAACCTGTAGCTGTTCCTGCAGCTCCTCTAAGAGGTATCTGTCTTCTGTGCACAGTGCACATAGACCCTTGGGCTGTCACCTCTGAGGCAGTGTGAAACCTAGGCCTCTGACATTCTGGGCCCACTTTAGCTAGTTCCAGTGATTTGTTCCCATGAATCTAGGAGAGTATCACCTAGAAATGAAACAATCACCCCCAAAGTTTCTATAGTGTTTTACAATATATAAAAGGCTTTTGTATGCATTTTCATTTAATCCTCATTTCAGTTAAACAGGTTGGGTGAATTTTATGTATGCATGTGTGTGTATATTTATGTTTTTGTTGTTGTTGTTTTTGAGACCGAGTTTTGCTCTTGTCACCCAGGGTAGAGTGCAATGGCCCAATCTCGGCTCACTGCAACCTCCGCCTCCTGGGTTCAAGCAATTCTCCTGCCTCAGCCTCCTGAATAGCTGGGATTATAGGCACCTGCCACCACACCTGGTTAATTTTTTTTTTTTTTTTGTATTTTTAGTAGAGATGGGGTTTCACTATGTTGACCAGGCTGGTCTTGAACTCCTGACCTCAGGTGATCCGCCTGCCTCAGCCTCCCAAAATTCTGGGATTACAGGTGTGAGCCACCATGCCCGACCATATATTTATGTATTTTTAAACCTCATTTTATAGACATAAAAATTGAGACTCATATATAGGATGTGCTTCGGGACACGAAGGCTGTGAGGTAGAAGTAGGGCTTGAATGCAGGTCTTCTGACTCTAAAGCCAGTGCTCTTTCACCACACCTCTAAGTCTTAGCGCCCTCAGTAAATAAAAGATGCTTTATTTATTGAACATGCAGGAGCCATGTTGAGTAAGATGCCTGGTGAGTGATTCATGCGTCATCTCATATGACAGCCTCTTCTGAGTTTTGGGGGCTGGGAAGAACAGTTGAAAACCTCAGGAAGACCCTGAACATACTCCTCATGAATATAGTTTTCCAGTATTTGCATCTCTTACATTTCAGTGTCACTTATGAGCCAGACTTCAATTCTGCAGAACTATTAGCCAAAGAGCTGTACCGCGTGTTCCAGAAGTGCTGGATACTGTCAGTAGTTAATTCTCAGCTGGCAGGTTCCCTGAGTGCAGCTGGCTCGATAGTAAGTATCAAAAAAAATTGACCTTGAATTGAAAGTTCCTAAATCCTCATTTTGCCTGCCCTGTTCACTTTAAACATTTGTCTTTCCTTGTATGGTCACTGGATATTAGGGGAGACTCAAAATGAATGAGGAAACTGGCATGTGTTGAGTACTTATTGTGTACCAGAGACTGTGCTCAGCAGTCCACATTATTTTATTTTATTTATTAATTTTTTTGAGACGGATTCTTGCTCTGTCACCCAGGCTGGAGTGCAGTGGCGCAATCTCAGCTCACTGCAACCTCCGCTTCCTGGGTTCAAGCGATTCTCCTGCCTCAGCCTCCCAAGTAGCTGGGACTACAGGCGCACGCCACCACGCCCAGCTAACTTTTTTGTATTTTTAGTAGAGACAGGGTTTCACCATGCTGGCCAGCTGGTTTCCAACTCCTGACCTCAAGTGATCTGCCCACCTTGGCCTCTCAAAGTGCTAGGATTATAGGCCTGAGCCACCGTGCCCGGCCAGCAGTCCACATTTTAATCCTCATAAGTATCCTGTTAGGTAGAGGCTGTCCTTATTTTTATTTTTAAGTGGTGGGCCCAGCCTCCCAGCAGGGCTGGTCAGCTGTGAAGCAGGAGTCATGCCCAGGCTGCCTCATTGGAAAGTACATGTTGGTTCCCTCATGGAACACACTGCTCACTGCTGTCAGAGAGCAAGCAGCCTTCTGAGGGTAGAGAACATTATGACAAAGGCTAAAACAGGGGTAGGGAAAATGCCCTCGAAGTGCAGAGGAAGGAGTGTTTAATTTTACCAGGGGAACTTAGGAAGGCTGACTGCAGATTTCAGAACTTGAGCTAAGTATTGGGCTGGCCAGAACTGTGGCAGGTAGAAAGGTTGGGGGAGGACGTTCTTGGCAAAGGGGAGCTGCAGCAAAAGTGGAGGGGCATGCTATGCCGTTGAGCAGAGTGATTCGCTGCGGTTGGATAATACCCGTTTGTGAGTATTTGTGTCTGAGAGGTTGTTCTTTATGGAAATAAGGTTTGAATGATAGTAGCCAAATTGTGGAGGATGTAGAATGCTAATTTGAGAAGTTTGGATTTTATTTTATTTTATTTTATTTATTTTTTAAGATGGAGTCTCACTCTGTTGCCCAGGGTGGAGTGCAGTGGCACAAGCTCGACTCACTGCAACCTCCACCTCCTGGGTTCAAGCAATTTCTGGCTAACTTTTGTACTTTTAGTAGAGACAGGGTTTCACTATGTTGGCCAGGCTGGTCTCAAACTCCTGACCTCAAGTGATCCACCCACCTCGGCCTCCCAAAGTGCTAGGAAAACAAGCATGAGCCACTGCACCCAGCTGAGAAGTTTGGATTTTAAATGACAGTAGGAAAGTCCAGTGGTTCAGCGGGGAGGCACTGAACATTTGTAAGCAAGGGGAAAGGTCTTAATAGAGCTGTTTCTGGGGAAGACTAATAATGATAGGGGTTCTGATTGGTAGCATTTGTCAGTCTGTTGACTAAGAGGGGTGAGGCTTCTGCTATTCATAAATGCATTCCAGGTCAAAATGACCTACTTACAGTAAATTTGAAGTCTGGAAATAAATGAACTAAAAATACTAAGAAAAGTGATCTCATCTGGGTGGTGTTTAAAGCAATTCTCTTGCAGATGGCTTTAGAGATGTGGAGGGCTCTTGGTATGCCCTTTAGTTCAGTTAAAAGCACTGTTAATTTTTCATGGTAAATTTTAATGTTGGAAATACATTTAGATGTTTCTTTAATTTAAATTCTTTGAAATATGCTTAAGTTGTTCCTAAATCATTTTATGTCTTATGCAGGTCGTAAATGAAGAGTGTGTCCGAAAAGACTTTGAATCCAGTATGAATGTAGTACAGGAAATTAAATTTAAGTCTAGGATCAGAGGGACTGAAGACTGGGCTCCTCCTAGATTTCAAATCATATTTAATATTCATCCACCACTCAAGTAAGTATGGGCTGTTGCTTGGGCCTCCAATCCATTTAAATCACATTGTGACAGATCCCACCTGACTCTATGGCAGTAGGTGAAAAAAATACATATGCTAAAGAACACAGGAAAATTTGTTTTAGGGAAAGGAAAGTTGGCTGTATTTTCTGGCTTAGGTTTTTTTTTTTTTTCCTCTTGTTTACCATGGACTTTTGGGGGCTCTGTAAGTTTTGACAAGTTGAGAATTCAGCTATGCAACCCTAATTGTCAATATTGCGTAGCAACTGAAAATTAAATAGGCTTAAAGGGGATTTTTAAAAGTGGCTAATATCAAAACTTAAAAATTATATACAATAATTTTTTAAAATGTGTTTCCTTTTTAAAAAAATTAGAGATGGGGTTTCACCATGTTGCCCAGGCTGGTGTTGGACTCCTGGGCTCAAGTGATCTGCCCACCTCAGCCTCCCAAAGTGCTGGGATTACAGGTGTGAGCCACCTCGCTCAGCCTATGATAATTTTAAAAGACTGGACCACTTTATCTTCCAGAACAATCAGTGTGAAATAAAAATGAATGAATAAACTTCTAAAAAAGGAACATTTAATCTTAGGGAAAGCACTTATAGTTAAGAAATGTTACAGAGGCCGGGTACGGTGGCTCACACCTGTCTATAATCCCAGCACTTTGGGAGGCCTAGGCTGGGGTCAGGGATCACCTGATGTCAGGAGTTTGGGGTCAGCCTGGGCAACATGGTGAAACCCTCTCTCTACTAAAAATACAAAAATAAACTAGGTGTGGTGGGTGCAGCCCTCTAATCCCAGCTACTCGGGAGGCTGAGGAGCAAGAATTGCTTTAACCCAGGAGGCAGAGGTTGCAGTGAGCTGAGATTGCACCAGTGCACTCCAGCTTGGGTGACAGAGCGAGACTCGATCTCAAAACCAACAAAAGAAATGTAACAAAATGTAAATAAAAATATGTTTGTTCTCTAAGAAGTAACAAAAGTTCTAAAAGACAAAACAACTAAGATTATGCAAAAAAGGAAATAAACCTATAAATTTAAAGTAATAGTTTAATTGTAATTTGTTCCGAGACTATAGGACAGATTATGATCAAAGATTATACACAAAACATTTTAACCAAGTATAATTTTTCCATCCCTCTTGGTTTGTATTCAATTTGGTGTGCAAACTGCCAAGCATTACAAAGGGACCGGTGAGGGTTGTTGACTGTGCCCAAGGGACTGGAGAGAGGTTGACTCTGCCCCACGGAGGTGCCTTATAGACTAGATCTTTCTTTTGTTTTTCTTTTTTTGAGAGAATGCCAAGAAAGTCTGTGGGGCTGCTTGGGCAGAACTCCCTGTCTAGGCATCGTGAGAGGTTGCTTTCCTTAGCCTGGGGTATCTTTTCTTTAGGGGTTTCCTAGGTCCTCACTATGGCACCTGGGCAGAGATTTAGCATATTTTTACCTTGGCCATCTTTTGCTGATCCTGAACTGTAAACAAATTTTACAATTTCCTTGGTATTTCCAAGTCACATGTAAAACTATGGGATAAACAGTTCAATAGAAAATCCCTCAGGCCGGGCACAGTGGCCAATGCCTGTAATCTCAGCACTTTGGGAGGCCGAGGTGGGCGGGATCACCTGAGGTCAGGAGTTCAAGACCAGCCTGGCTAACATGGCAGAACCCTGTCTCTACTAAAAATACAAAAATTAGCCGGGCATGGTGGTGCATGCCTGTGGTCCTAGCTACTTGGGAGGCTGAGGCAGGAGAACTGCTTGAACCTGGGAGGTGAAGGTTGCAGTGAGCTGAGATTGCACCACTGCACTCCAGCCTGGGCAACAGAATAAGACTCCATCTCAAAAAAAAAAAAAAAAGAAAGAAAATTCCTCAATGGAATGGAATATCTCTTACCAGAAATGATTTGATTTCTTTGTCTTACGTTACCTCTTATTCGTCTAAATTTCTTTAGATCCATTTGTGAATTTCCCAAGTGCATCATCTTTTGGTGTATGGCCTCCCTGAGCTGTCTTCCTTGTATAACATGTCTCTGGTTCTCTCTGGAGCTGGAACCCTGTACACGGGCATCGAGACCTCCCTAAAAACCCCTTGGAGTTATCAGTGACGCTGACTTCTGCTTTGGTTTTAGCAGAAGCTTTTTTTTTTTTTTTTTTTTGAGACGGAGTCTCACTCTATCGCCCAGGCTGGAGTGCAGTGGCGCGATCTTGGCTCACTGCAAGCTCCGTCTCCCGGGTTCACGCCATTCTCCTGCCTCAGCCTCCGAAGTAGCTGGGACCACAGGTGTCCACCACCACGCCCGGCTAATTTTTTGTATTTTTAGTAGAGACAGGGTTTGGCCAGGATGGTCTCCATCTCCTGACCTCGTGATCCGCCTGCCTCAGCCTCCCAAAGTGCTGGGATTACAGGCGTGAGCCACCGTGCCCAGCCTAGCAGAAGCTTTTAAAGAGATGTAGCTTTAAGGCTGGGCACGGCGGCTCATGCCTGTAATTCCAGCACTTTGGGAGGCCGAAGTAGGGGGATGACTTGAGGCCAGGAGTTCGAAACCAGTGTGGGCAACATAGAGAGACCCTATCTCTACCAAAAAAAAAAAAAAAAGTAAATAAAGCCAAAAAAAGCTAGCTGGGCATGGTGGCGTGTACATGTAGTCCTAGCTACCTACACAGGAGGCTGAGGATTGCTTGAGCTGAGCCGAGGAGTTTGAGGCAGTAGTGAACTATGATCATGCCAGTGCCCTCCAGCCTGCGTGACAGAGCAAGACCCTGTCTCAGGAAAAAAAATGAAAAATAAAAAAAATTAGTCATAGCTTTAAAAGACCCAGGGATTTCAACTAGAAAATTGTATTGAATAAATCTATTTCTTTCCCAAATGAAAAGTGACAAAGTTAAGGCCCTTAGTTAGAAAAGTATCACGATGGCAATTTCTTTTCTAATTAGTGAAAAATGTGCCATTGGCCTTCTCTGAAATGTAACTAGTATTATTTTTCGTATTCAGGAGGGACCTTGTGGTGGCAGCCCAGAATTTTTTCTGTGCCGGCTGTGGAACTCCAGTAGAGCCTAGTAAGTACGGATAATGGATCGCCTGCTTATGATGTGATGACAAGGTCCAGAATAGCAAAGTAGGGCAGCGCATTGCTTGTGTGAGAGATGCCTTTGATGAGAAGTTGTTATAAGAGCTTCAGAGAAGTTGCCCTCCTTTTCATGAGGAGTCCATCATGACTGACAAGGCTGTGTGATCAACTAGGACCGAGGACACCAGGACCAGCCTCCTAGTTCTCTCCCTGTTGGGCATCAGCTCCAGCCACGTGGCCTCCTGCTGCCCCTTGAAAATGCCAGGCTCACTTCTGACATATTTGCGTTTGTGGTTTTCTCTCCCCCAAATGCTCTCTCTGCAGACACCCCCATGACTAATTCCTTTGCTTCTTTCACATTTTCACTCCAAAGTCACGAGGTCTTCCCTTGCTGCCCTATCTAAAATACCTGTCTTGCCCCACTGCTGGCCACAGACAATCCCATGAACGCTTTATATTACCCATCCTTATTTTTTTTCTTTATTTTCTTGCACAATATTTTCTTAGAAGTTCCTTCTTATTTTGTATTCTTAGCACAGTCTTTCTAAAATAGTCTCTTATATTTTACTAATATGTCTTATTATTATCTGTCTTCAACACTAGATTATAAGTTCTGTGAGGCCACATGTGTTGTCTGTTGTATTTATTACTTTATTTCCAGCTTCTAGAAGAGTGCCTGGCACATAGTAGGTCTTCAAAAGATATTTGTTGAGTAAAGGAATGGCTTAACAAGGAGCTAGCCAAACTTCTCTGAGAGTTTGAGGAGGTAGCCTGAGAGGATCATTCCTGGGCCAACTGAGGCCTAGAAGATTAGGCTTTCCTGGGCCAGGCACGGTGTCTCCCACCTGTAATCCCAGCACTTTGGGAGGCTAAGGTGGGTGGATCACCTGAGGTCAGGAGTTTGAGACCAGCCTGGCCAACATTGTGAAACCACATCTCTACTAAAAATACAAAAAAATTAGCCAGGCATGGGTGGCAGGCTCCTGTAATCCCAGCTACTCGGGAGGCTGAGACAGGAAAATTCCTTGAAACCAGGAGGCAGAGGTTGCAGTGAGCCGAGATCACACTATTGTACTCCAGCCTGCATGACAAAGTGAGACTCCGTCTCAAAAAAAAAAAAAAAAAAGCTCGGGCTTTCCTCAGTCAGAAATGCAAGTTTCCCCCTTGAGACTGGGAATCACTTGTTCTGCTCTGATGGTACCTGTATGTCTGACCTGCAAAAGGCTGGAAAGAGGAGCTTTGTGGAAAGAGTTCCCTTAGCCTTTGATAGTCGGTTTTTGAAGGAAAAAGACTATGAGGAGCTCCTACTTCAAGAGATAAAAATAGCAAGCAGGAATCGATCTGGGCTTCCTCTCCTACACTGGATGATAATGCCTGACGGGCATCACCATTGTTGCTGATTTTCTTTGAATGAGTCATTTTCCCAGCACATCTAGTGGGGAACATGTCTCTTTGGTTAACCACTGTATCCTGGCGCTTCTGTAAATATTGAATGCATGAGTCAGAAACTGTACACATATGACTATCGCTCCACCAACTTTTTGTTATTTCCCTAAGCTTGTTCAGGTATGGAGATGTGTGTCTGCACTTTTGTACAGTGGCCTTGCCCTCAGGGAGCTTGCTTATCATCTTTTAGGGAAGATACACTCATCAGCCAAGTAAGTGTATGTAACACAAAGTGATGTACGTAACAAAAGAGTCAAGAGTGCCGTGGGATTTACAGCAAGGGAACTTCATCTGAGCTTGAGAAGCTGGGAGTAAGAGGTTTCATCGGAAAGTGATTGCCCACAGAAGTAGGGGTGTTCGTCATGTGCAAAGGGCCTGTGGCAAGTAAAAGAAACCCTGTGTGGCCAGAGAGTAAGAATAGGAGGAGAAAACATGCTGCAGATGTAGGCGGGGCCCAGATTGTAGACAGCATAGAAATAATTTTGGGCTTTTCCTGTTAAATTCCTCTAGCTTCTAGGATACATTTTTTTTAACTTTTGTCTTTGAGATAATTTTAGATTTACAGAAGAGTTGCAAAAAGAGTAGAGAGAGTTCCTGTACACCCTTCACCCAGCTTCCTCTACTGCTAACATCTTACATAATCATAGTTTCAACCTGAGAAATTAGCATGGGGTACAGTCCTATTAATGAAACCCCAGGCTTTATTCAGATTTCACCAGGTTTTCAGTAACATCCTTTATCTGTTTCAGAATTTAGTTGTCATGTTTTCCTTAGTCTCCTTCAATTTCCACACACTGAACATGACATTTTACCCTTTACTAGTTCAGTATATCCCAAAAATAAGGATAAGAAACAAGTTATCACACCAAAAAAATTAAAAACAATTCTCTATATTGTCTACTTCCTAGTCCTTTTTGTTCTTAAGGTATCATTTATGGCTATTTTTTCCATCAAGGTTGCAATCAAATTTCATACATTGCATTTAGTTATTGATTCTCTTTAGTTAGCTTTATTCTAGAACTGCACTATGCAGTATGGTAGCACTAGTCCACCTGGCTATTTAAAATTAAATTAATTGAAATTAAGAATTCAGTTCCTCAGTCACACTAACTACATTTCAAGTACTCAATAGCCACATGTAACTCATGGCTACTGTATTGGACAGCACAGATATAGAACACTTTTATCCCCATGGAAAGTTATACCGGACATCTCTGTTCTAGAATATTTCTCTTCCACCCAACCCCCTGATGCTGACTTTTCATAAAATGAGGACAATTGTGTTTTGGAGCAGGATTTCTCAACTTCAGTACCATGGACTTTGTCGTGGGGGGTCCTGTGCACTGTAGGATGTTTAGCAGCATCAGTAGGTGCCAGAAGCAGCTCCCAGTGGCCACTGAAAATGGCGCCAGACATTTGCAAATGCCCCTTGGGAGGCAAAATCACCCTTGGCCAAGAACCACTGGTTTAGGTCACTTTGTATTCTGTTTTAGTTAAAGGACTTAGGAAATTAAAAAAGATGGACATTAGTGTATTCTGTATTGATAGTATAACAGCATGTATTCAATGAAGTTTGATGAATGAGTGAATGGATATTGAGTGTGTGTTGAGGAGTAGATGAAACTGTTGCTACCAGAAGCTCACAGGTGCCTAACCCTGAATTTCCCCCAGGAGCAGTGGTTCAGTATTGACTAATTCAGTGTTCATGGCGACTCTAGAGAACATAACTATCATGAATAACAAAAAACAACTCTTTATTTGTTTGCTTTTAAACATCAACTCAGAGTGTGACCTGGGTCTGAGGGACAATTTGGGCAAGTGCAAAGGCGTTAGCTCCCTCTCCCTTTCCCACCATCGAATGCAGCGGAGGAGGAGTGGGACATGATGGCTGTGGGCTGGAGCTTTCGCAGTCCAGGCTTGGGTTGGAATCCTGCCTGCCTACATACTGTTCGTGTGGCCCTGCGTGTTGCCTAACTTCAGTGTCTTGTGCTTTCATCAGTGAAATAGGGGAAATAACTGTCCCTCTCTCACAGACTTTCGAGCACAGAATGACATAGTAAATGTAAAACATTTAACTGATCTGTGGCACAGAGTAAGTACTCAGCAAGATTCATTTCTGTGGTCGCTCCCAGCCAGGCCTTGTTTATTTTTTATTTTTATTTTTTTGAGATGGAGTTTCACGCTTGTTGCCCACCCAGGCTGGAGCGCAATGGCGCAATCTTGGCTCACTGCAACCTCTGCCTCCCGGGTTCAAGCAATTCTCCTGCCTCAGCCTCCCAAGTAGCAGGGATTACAAGCATGCACCGCCACTCCAATCTAATTTTGTATTTTTAGTGGAGATGGGGTTTCTCCGTGTTGGTCAGGCTGGTCTCAAATTCCCAACCTCAGGTGATCTGCCCACCTCGGCCTCCCAAAGTGCTGCGATTACAGGTGTGAGCCACCGCACCCGGCCAGGCCTTGTTTATTTTTAAAGCCATTATTTGGAAATGATCTTCAGAATCTACAGTGTACGGGTTCTACAGCAGCTGCTTTCCCATCCATGATTTCATTAATCCTCCCAGTATATGGCAACTAAGATTTCTGTTATGCTGTATGGTATTTTAGTTACAAAGACGTACATGACTCAAACTATGAATGATAAATATCAAACTTGGTTCATGTCAGAACCTAGTGTTGAGGGAGGGGCACATAGAAGACTTCAACTGAATTGTTTTCTTTCTGAAGCTGGGTGGTGAGTGCACAGGTATTTGTTGCATTAGTTTTTATACCTTTTGTTTGTTAATGTATTTTATTAGACACATTTCCAAAAGTGGTCAATGAGTGTTTATTTTAGTAGGTTAGAAAGTGCAGTGGGCGTGGTGGCTCACGCCTGTAATCCCAACACTTTGGGAGGCCAACATGAGTGGATCACTTGAGGTCAGGAGTTTGAGACCAGCCTGGCCAACATAGTGAAACCCCATCTCTACTAAAAATACAAAAATTAGCCGGGCATGGTGGCACGCCCTGTAGTCCCAACTACCGGGGAGGCTGAGGCAGGAGAATCACTTGAACCCAGGAGGGAGAGGTTGCACTGAACTGAGATCATGCCACTGCACTCCAGCCTGGGCAACAGAGCGAGACTCCTTCTCAAAAAAAAAAAAAAAAAAGTGTAAAGAGCAAAAATTCCTTCTTTCTCCTACCCTCCAGAAATAGTCACTGTTGGCTTTTTGGTGGGGATTTAGACAGTGAATATATGTTTATGTGTATGTTTATATATATGTTCTTAAATAAAATTGAGATCACATTATACCTATTTGTAACTGGATGTCCACTTCCTATGCTCTTCCGTGTACTTTATGGGCTGTACAGCATTTCATGTTGAGTGCACCATACTTATTTAACCAATTGCCTTTTGATGGACATTTTGGCTGCCACCCCCATTATAAATGTGCTGTAATGAACACCTTTTTATATCACTATGTGTGCCTGTTAGCACTTCTGTCTGATGGAGTAACAGAAGCAGGATTACTGTTACACATGTGAGAATTGAAGTCTATCACAAAAATGTCTTCCTACAAATTAGTTCTATCAGTGCTAGACGTAAGTGCCCTCCTCTAGATACTGCACCAGTTCTGGGTCTTCTAAATTTATGACAGGCTGAGTCAAAACAGAGTATCTCACTTTTCTTTTCTTTCATTTCATTTCAATTTAATTTTATTATTTGTCATCAATTTGTGACAGGGTCTCGCTCTGTTGCCCAGGCTGGATGGAATGCAGTGACATGATGATGGCTCACTGTAGCCTCCACCTTCAAGCAATCCTCCTGCCTTAGCCTCCCAAGTAGCTAGGACCACAGGCACACACCACATTGCCTGGCTAATTTTTTTTTTTTTTCTGTGGAGATGGGGTCCCACTATGTTGCCCACGCTGGTCTTGAACTCCTGGGCTCAAGCAGTCCTCCCATCTTGGCCTCCCAAAGTGCTAGGATTACTGGTACAAGCCACTGTGCTCAGCCTCACTTTTAAAATATGCATTTTTTTGTTTCTGAGATTGTTTTTCTCTGTTAGTTATCTGCATTTCTTCTTTCCGTGAATTACCTATTCCCATCCTTTGTGCATTTTTGTATTTTTTTCTCATTGATTTATCAAGGTCTTTATGATGCTGCTTCCTAACATTGTATATATACTGCTTCACAATTTATAAAGCACTTTTCCTATGTGTAATAACACTCGATCCAGTTCTGAGTTGCATTTTGTGGTCTCAGAATAGTTAGCCTAACCTGCCTTCAGTCTTCCTGCTAGTGAGAGGAGTCTGGACTCCCACCCAGATTTCCAGATCCTAAAATGAATGTTCCTTTTGCTACACTGCAGTTTGCAATTTCCATCTTCCAAATCCAGGAGTATTTTGGGAAGGTTTTGTTTTTCTGACGTCTGTTCCACAAGAGCAGAGCTCATGAATGGCCATGATTTAATTCCCCAAGTCTCTGCTGGAGCCTTCCCAGCTGTCATGAGGTTGAGTATGGCTTTATCATCATGAAACAAGTCATCAGAGTCTTTGAATCTTGCGTAGGAATTGGAAGTCGGGGTATACCAGGATAGGTTTTCAGCACCAGGTGTGGCACTCACCCTCCGGTATGCTTGGCAGAGTTTGTGAAGCGGCTCCGGTACTGCGAATACCTAGGGAAGTATTTCTGTGACTGCTGCCACTCATATGCAGAGTCGTGCATCCCTGCCCGAATCCTGATGATGTGGGACTTCAAGAAGTACTACGTCAGCAATTTCTCCAAACAGCTGCTCGACAGCATATGGCACCAGCCCATTTTCAATTTGCTGAGCATCGGCCAAAGCCTGTATGCGAAAGCCAAGGAGCTGGACAGAGTGAAGGTGAGCCGCAGCCCCAACCCCATCCCTCTCATTGGAAGTGTCCTGTGGCAGGAAATGCACATCACACTAGCTTGGGGAACCCACAGATACATCCTCTAAGAGGCAAATGGATCATAAAGCGAGTGAAGCGGCTGGGCGCAGGGGCTCACACCTGTAATCCCAGCACTTTGAGAGGCCAAGGTGGGCGGATTGCCTGAGGTCAGGAGTTCGAGACTAGCCTGGCCAACATGGTGAAATCCCATCTCTACTAGAAATTAAAAAAAAAAAAATTAGTCAGGTATAGTAGCACACGCCTGTAATCCCAGCTACTCGAGAGGCTGAGGCAGGAGAATCGCTTGAACCCGGGAGGTGGAGGTTGCAGCAAGCCGAGATTGCACTACTGCACTCCAGCCTGGGTGACAGAGCAAGACCCTGTCTCAAAAAAAAAAAAAAAATTAGTGAAGCTTACACTTTGGAGCCCCTCTCCTGCACAGGCTCTTTCCAAGGCCCCACACTGAATCTTATACTTAGTATTATGTTTTTCTTGAAGAAGGCCCCAAAGTTCTGTAAGTTTTAGGTTCTACAAAACCTGGATCCATCCAGGGCACACTTTGTGGATCAGCAGACTCAGTTGTGAAGGCTTGCTGTATAGGCGGTTTGCTTTCAAGGTTTGTTTTATACAAGTGCAGCATTTCAAGCTTAGAAATAACATTTAAATTTGACTTGCACTTTTCCCGTGTCATTTATTACATTTAACTTTTCCCCGTGTTTGGTTTCTCCCATTAGGAAATTCAGGAGCAGCTCTTCCATATCAAGAAGCTGTTGAAGACCTGTAGGTTTGCTAACAGGTACTATTCTCAGCTGGGACAGGCTGCCTTCCCTCCATACATCTGCTAATCCTATTAGTGCCTCCTGCATCTGGCTCCCCCATTACACAGGGCTTCTTAGCACAGTGATGACCTCATGGCTTTCCTTGGGAAATCATGCCATCTCTTTGAATTACTAAGCCAATAGTGGGATGCATTAGTCTGTTCTCAAGTAGCTAATAAAGTCATACCAGAGATTGGGTAATTTATAAAGGAAAGAGGTTTAATTGACTCACAGTTTTGCATAGCTGGGGAGGCCTCACAATCATGGTAGAAAGTGAACAAGGAGCAAAAGCACGTCTTACATGGTGGCAGGCAAAGAGAGAGCATTTGCAGGGGAACTCTCCTTTATAAAGCCATCAGATCAGCCAGGCACGGTGGCTCACACCTGTAATCCCAGTACTTTGGGAGGCCGAGGTGGGTGGATCACGAGGTCAAGAGATCGAGACCATCCTGGCCAACATGGTGAAACTCTGTCTCTACTAAAATTACAAAAATTAGCTAGGCGTGGTGCTGCATGCCTGTAGTCCCAGCTACTTGGGAGGCTGAGGCAGGAGAATCGCTTGAACCTGGGAGGCAGAGGTTGCAGTGAATCAAGATCGCACCACTGAACTCCAGCCTAGAGACAGAACGAGATTCCGTCTCAAAAAAAAAAAAAAAATCAAATCTCGTGAGACTTATTCACTACCATGAGAACAACACAGGAAAGACGTGCCTCATGATTCAATTACCTCCCACCAGGCTCCTTCCATGACATGTGGGAATTATGGGAGCTACAGTTCAAGATGAGATTTGGGTGGGGACACAGCCTAACCGTATAATGGAGAATTTAACTCATTAAGAAGAATGGTTTAGTTGGAGGATGAACAACTCTAGCCAGTGACCTTTTTATTATTATTATTGTTATCATTAAATTGTGGTAAATACATATAAAATTTACCATCTTAACCATTTTTAGAATACACTTCAGTGGCATTAAAGTATTAACATCGTTATGCAATCATCACCACCATGCAGCCCCCAAACTCTTTTCATCTTGCAAAACTAAAACTCTGTATCATTTAACAACTCCCCATTCCCTCTTCCTCTTAGCCTAACTCCTGGCAGCCACTATTCTACTTTCTGTCTCCATGATTTTGCCCACACACATGCCTTATATAAGAGGAATCTTACAGTATTTGTCTTTTTGTGACTGGCTTGTTTGACTTAGCATAAAGTCCTCAAGGTTCATTCATGTTGTAGCATGTGTCAGAATTTCCTTCCTTCTTTTTTTTTGAGACGGAGTCTCCTTCTGTCGCCCAGGCTGGAGTGCAGTGGCGCGATCTCGGCTCACTGCAAGCTCCGCCTCCCGGGTTCACGCCAGTCTCCTGCCTCAGCCTCCCAAGTAGCTGGGACTACAGGCGCCCGCAACCACATCCGGCTAATTTTTTGTGTGTTTTTAGTAGAGACAGGGTTTCATCATGTTAGCCAGGATGGTCTCGATCTCCTGACCTCGTGATCTGCCCGCCTCGGCCTCCCAAAGTGCTGGGATTACAGGCATGAGCCACCGCGCCCAGCCAGAATTTCCTTCCTTCTTAAGTTTGAATAATATTTCATTGTATGTATATACTACATTTTTTTAATCCATCTATTCATCCATGGACACTAGGGTTGCTTCCCCTCCTTGGCTATTGTGAATAAAGTGGATATGACCATGAGTATACCAGGGGCCTTTTAAAACCCCTTATAGGGAGGCATGTCTAACCAAGTGGAACCATGGTCTTCAAAAATTGTACTTTTGGAAGTTTATCCTAAGGACATACCGATGGATATAGGTAGAGATTTAAAGTATAGTTTTTTTTGTTGTTTTTGGTTTTGTTTTAAGACAGAGTCTAGCTCTGTCACCCAGTTTGGCGTGCAGTGGTACAGTCTTGGCTCACTGCAGCCTCTGCCTCCCAGGTTCAAGCGATTCTCGTGCCTCACCCTCCCAAGTAGGTGGGATTACAGACATGTGCCATCACACCTGGCTAATTTTTGTTATTTTTAGTAGAGACAAGGTTTCACCATGTTGGCCAGGCTGGTCTTAAACTCCCGACCTCAGGTGATCCGCCTGCCTCAGCCTCCCAAAGTGCTGGGGTTACTAGTTTTGTTTTTAAATAAGAAAAGGCATTAAAAGTCTATTAAGAGGTATTATGCTCTCTCCCTGGGTGATGGGATCATTGATACTCCAAACCTCAGTGTCCTGCGATATACCTGTGTAACAAACCTGCACACATACCCCCAAATCTAAAATAAAAGTTGAAATTATTTTAAAAATCTAGGTGTTCGTAATAGGGCAGTACTTACATTAATACCATGTCCGTAGAATAGAATACTATACAACCAGTAAAGACTTAGGCATGAATTCATTGAGAGAGAGATTTTTAAGTAGAAAAAGCATAGGTTGCTCAAGGAAGTTAAGATTGTTTATTGTACTTGGTGGAATTATAGAGTTTTTAAATAAATGGTTTAGCTTTAAAGCGTTTTTTTCAGTCTCTAATCTTTAATGATGATGTATTGCTTTTTAATTAAATTTTGGGGGAAGGAGCATGTATTCTGGAGTCATTTGGTTTTGAGCCTTTGCTTCATGGCCTTGGCGTGGCATTGGTCTCAGGGCCTCGGTTTTTTCATCCACAACATAGAACAATACCTATACTTCCTACCTTGTACAAAAAATCTTGAATATCCATTCTGGGCTTCAGATAAAAAAAATTAGTAGATCTGTATTAAGTCCAGGGGGATGGTCAGCACCAACCGATCACTGCTGGACTGAGTGTTAGACACGTGTCGGGGGACCATGAGGATACAAACGGAGGCAGCATTTAGCTCAGTTAGGAGTGAGATAGGGTAGACCGCAAGCAAGGATTCCAGGAGAAAAAGGCTGAGCTTGAAGAGTAAGGTGGAGCAAAGAAGAGGGATTGGGGATTCTCCAGGCAGAGGATGCCGCAGGAGTGGGCACCTCAGGCTGGGTGCAGAATTGAAGAGAATTTGGCATTGTAGCATGCCAAGTCCAGTGTAGGCCATGGCTGTCTTGGAAGTGCAGGGAATAGTGCTTCTACTAGCCATTGAGAGAATTCAGGTCGACACCTGCCGGGTTTGGAGAAGATGAAGTTTTGAATGCCCTAGGGACCATGACCACTGGCAGTTGGCTGCATGAGCCTTAAGCTCAGTGCCTGACTCGTGCATTTGGAAGTCATAGGCTTGCCGAGTGAGTGAGAATTTTCGCAGCTGAGCCAACAGTCCATAAGGCTGATAGACTTGAAATGTAGCTGGAAGAAATAAGGTAGGAATTTTGATTACTTGGTAATCAAAGGGTACTAGGTTCACATTCTTTAAGACCTAAAAAACTAATGCTCAGTTTTCTTTTGCTCAATGTGTGCATGGGCAGGCTGTAAGAGATACAGGTCTCTGCTTATTCAGCTTTTTGAAATCAGCTTTCATGGAATTTTAACTTCCTGGCTTCCAAGCAAACTTGCAACATGTAGAATGGTGGCGAGCATGGTTCACTGTTGTTCTTGGAGCTATTTATTTTTTAAATTGAGTTAAAAAAAAATTAAGTGTGAGTGCCAAGAGAAAACAACTGGCCCCATTCTTCCCTGTCCTCTGTGTGGGTGGGTTTCTGAATTCCTCTTTGTTTCCTCTCTGGCAGTGCATTAAAGGAGTTCGAGCAGGTGCCGGGACACTTGACTGATGAGCTCCACCTGTTCTCCCTTGAGGACCTGGTCAGGATCAAGAAAGGGCTGCTGGCACCCTTACTCAAGGACATTCTGAAAGCTTCCCTTGCACATGTGGCTGGCTGTGAGGTGAGGGTGCACCCAGAGCAGATTCGTTCCCGATGCACCAGGGCCTGTGCTGGGTGTTCCGCACTTGACTTCATTTAACTCTCACAAACCCTGAGGGAAGTGCCGGTGACCTAGTTAGAGATGAGAAAACTGAGGTCAGAGCTGTGAAGTAACAGCTGAGATACCCCTGCTGGTAAGTGGCAGAGCCGGGATGCAAGCCTGGACCAATGGACTTCATCTGGGTGCCCAGTTCTGCTCAGGGCCCACTCTGCCCTGATGCACCAAGTATAGTCATGTGGAACCAGGATTCAATGGAACAGGAGGCTCTGTGTCTACACGGATTGAAGAATTGTAGTGCAGCAATGATAAATGAAATTAGATCATTTCAGAGTGCATGTTTACAATTAGGACCTTACTCTGGTACTTTAAAACTGCTTTGATATGGAATTGGTTGAATGTACATTTTTATCTTTTTTTTGATTCTGACCCATTCATTGCTGCAAAACAACATCCTTTTCCTTCTAGAGGCTGGAATCATAGACACTGAAACACTGATGTTTATAAAGTTCTGTAATAGTGAAAACTCAGCTTATCCATCAAGAGAAGGTTGTAACTTTTTGATGTCTTCTTTTACAGCTGTGTCAAGGAAAGGGCTTTATTTGTGAATTTTGCCAGAATACGACTGTCATCTTCCCATTTCAGACAGCAACATGTAGAAGATGTTCAGGTATTTAATAACTTAATAACATAAGCTTAATAATAGGTTAACTAATTAAACTAAGTTTAGTAACTTAAGCACAAAATTAACTTAAGCTGAATAATAGCTTAATAATTTAAGCACAGTTATTTAAAGTACAGTCATGCTGGTGTGTGCTTGTATGCTGGATTGGAGATAATGAAGTTTTGGGCACAGAAGGAGGAGTATTTGGGTGGGGCAGGGATAAAGGATAATGTCTTCTGGTGCAGGGTTTGGATAGAGGAGATGGTCCCTTTGTTGCCTGTGCCCACCTCTCTGTCTTGTAATTGGATCATTCATGCCCAGTGGTGAAGTCTCTGGCTGCTTTTGTGCCACGGAGGCAGAGTTGAGTAGCTGTTGTAGAGACCACATGGCCCTCAGGGTCTAAAACATTTGCTATCTGGCTCTTTACAGAAAAGGTTGCCGACCCTTCTGTGGTATTAGTGCCCGAGAGAATCCCGTGTTCTGTAAACTCTGTTTAATGGGAGAGATCCTGGTAATGAACTCTGCCTTCACCCTTGATAGGGGCATATCCTCCTCTCAGGCCACTCCAGTGTTGTCTCCCCAACCCTTTAGGCAGTGTTGCAGGACTGGCTCCCCAGCAAAGAGACTCTGGGGCAGAGACTTGCCTACAAAAAGTTTCATGTTCTTCAACTTAATACCTGTAGGGGTGTGCAGGCAGCAAGACTGGGAGAGGGAGAAGTTGAACTGTGGTGGGGTTGCAGTGGAGCCCTCAGCTCATCTCACGGGGAGCTCTGGAGTTTGGTGGCCTTTCAGCATTGTTCCAAACTGGGGACAAATTGGGGCCGGCCTACTCACTATATAGTGATCAGTCATTGAATGCAGGCTGGTGCCAGGAAGGGGACAAAGCAGCTTTCTCGATGTAGGGCCATATCTAGAGAAACAATGTGGCTTCCCAAGAGTTATCAGCCACCACCTCTCTTGGCAGCTGGGGAAACGCCTGCCTCAGTGCTTGAGCAGATCCAGGGGGCACTGCAGTGTCCGTTACATCAGGCTCTCTGAGCCTCCTGTTCATGACCTGTTGGAAGAGTCCAACAGGTCTGCTGAAATGTGACCTGCTGAAACGTGCGTTTCAGCCTGGCTGGTTTCTTTTTAGAAGACTCTGGGCTCTGGATTCAGACCCCTCTCCCTCCCTAGGATGGAGACGAATGTCTGCAGAAATGTGAGAAAACAAGATAGACCGTTTGCTAACGGCTCTCTTCCTTGCTTGCAGCGTGCAGGGCTTGCTTTCACAAACAGTGCTTCCAGTCCTCCGAGTGCCCCCGGTGTGCGAGGATCACAGCGAGGAGAAAACTTCTGGAAAGTGTGGCCTCTGCAGCAACATGATGCCCCTGAGTACTGTGAAAAAGACTGTTCAACATGCCTTATGATAACACCGATTTGTGTCTATTATTGGTGACATTGTTTTAGATATTGGGTATTGTATATTAAGGAAAAAGATGGTCTATATTCTCTTTATTGCATATACTTAATGTTTCAAAAGAATGCAGATTCTGTGTTTAAGCACAGGGCTGATAGTTGTGGTTTTGTTTACAAATGTTCTGTTTTGGCTGCTATTGGTTTTTTAAAGAGGTTTTTTATACTTTTGTATTTGAATAGTTATGTTTCACTGATGCTGAGCCAGTTTGTATGTGTGTGCATATATGTGAACTGTAACTGACAAGATGAATTACTCAGTTTCTCTTTCTCTAAAGCTTGTTTGATGAAACTGGTTGGTCCTTTCAGTGAACAAAAATATGACCCCAAATCTGTTTGCTCTGGCTTTTATTTCTTCAGGAAGCAGACTTCCACTTAAATGCCATTTTGTGATTGTGTCAATCATACACATTTTATTTACTTCAGAGTTTGAATAGAGAGTACACATTTCTTCTGCAGATTTATTTCATGATGAGTTTGAGTTGCTTAGCAGGGCGTGTGGGTCCCGTTGAAGTGCAGTTTGAAGCAACTGCTTCTAGATGGCACTCTTTCAGGTGGCACAAATTGAACCTGTATTTGTCATCTCTGTTCCACACACTGCAATGTCAAGGGATGCAGAAGTGAGTAGAATTCCATCCCTGCCCTTGAGGATCTTGCTTTAACAGATGTAAAACTGAACATAAGGTATTTGCAGATTTAAACGAACTGGGGGAAATAATGAACAGTGTGATTCTAGTAATAACATTAAAATCATAGACATTGACTAATAAGGTTAAATGAATCACAAAACCTTTATGAATTTCTTTTTTCTAATAGTTCTTATATGTTTTCCTGAAACATGTGAGCCTATTCTTTTTTCTTCTACTTTCTATATACTTTCTCCCACTTGAGAAAGGGGCCTTGAGGCTGGGTCCCTTCATGGTATACCTTTAGACTGAACGGTTTGCAACCTAGGGCTTGGGCATTACATTCCCTGGGATTCACATGCCCTAACTAAACCTACCTTGATTTTCTCAGACAGCACAGGCAGGCAATAAAGCGTCACAGATTGTCCCCTAACCCCATCCAGCCATGTGTATGAGTGTGTTTTATTCAATGGGATAGTACTGAGCACATGAAAGAAATGAATGACTTCTGTCAATCTCTTTTCATTCAGTCTTCTCATTCTGTCAATTGTTTTCTCATCCGCAGTGCCTCTGCCAGAACTGTGCTCACATCCATTATTTAAGCCAGATCTTTTCTAAGTATTATAGAAGTGTAGAGGCACATAGAATAAATAAAACCAGACTTCAAACAATGTTTCATTCTTGCCCATTGCTCCTATTCCCTGTTAAGAATCAAGGGTAAGAGTGGTATGTTCACATTCCTTTCTGAGGCAGATGTCTATATCTCCATTTACAGGCAAGGAAACTGAGGCCTAGAGAAGAGAAATAACTTTCCTAGGTTCCCACAGGAAGTGCATGATGGAGCTGGGGTTGACATTCAAGTCCACCTGCCTCCAAAGCCCATGCTTAGGCCCTGCTTCTTTTGTGGTGTCTTTTCAAGACAAAGGAGTAAAAACAACCTTAACTGGTAAGTGTTGCTCCAACTTGCAGAAGTGGCATTGGGCAGAGTGTTTTCTCACATCAGTGTTGATTTAAGGCAGCTGCTATGGCTCAAGCATTGCTTGAAGGGCTCTGTGCTCAGGGTTTGTATGTTTGTAAGGCACTGATGAGCCTGTGTGTGTTACATATCTTTGATATTAAGGAAGAGTGCACAGCAGTTGCCAGGAAGTGATGCTTTTGATTTTCTATTTTGAGGAAGAATGAGGTCATTTAAATAACTGCAGTATGGGATTTGTCTGAGACTTTGTTCCTCTCCAATGTGATAATAGAGGCTTCTTCCCAGGAAGGCACCTGTTAGGGAAGTGATCTTCAGCCCACATGGAGCACCCCATAAGGAAGTAATTAGTTGTGGCATATATAGCTGTTTAATGGGTCTTCCTGATTGTGTGGGTTTTCTGTTCAACTCTTCCTTGGCTGCCGGAAAGAAGATGAATGCTTGGTCAGACCATTACCCACTGTGAGGCATCAGTTGCAGTGCTGTAAAGGTCAGTGATTCATTTTCTGCCTCTGCACTCTTCACATGGGCAATTCCAGTAGTGTGTCATTTACAGTCATGATTCTCAACTGCAGGGAGGAAGTTACACCATCTCAAGGCAGAGGCTATAGGATGAGGAGGAGCAAGCCATCCCAAAGATGTCTGGTGTGTTGACCTGGGTGAGAATTATTGGCCACAACTTCAGATTAGATCCCAAATATGCCACTTTCTACCTACCCATGGTGACTTGGTGCTCTAGTTTGGCTTGTTTGACTCCTGCAAACCTCATGGTGAAATTTGATCCCCAGTGTTGAAGGTAGGCCTAATAAGAGGTGTTTGGGTCATGCGGGTGGATCCCTCAAGAATAGCTTGGTGGCACCTTTGTGGTGATGAGTGAGTTCTCACTCTTAGTTCCCATGAGAGCTGGTTGTTATGAAGCCTGGCACCTCCCTGCCCTCTCTTTGCCTCCTCTGTTTCCATACAAGGGGAGTCTGCACACGCAGGCTCCCCTTCCCCTCCACCATGAGTGGAAGCAGCCACAAGTCCTAACCAGAAGCAGATATTGGTGCGATGCTTGTACAGCCCGCAGAACCATAAGCCAAATTAACCTCTTTTCTTTATAAATCACCCAGCCTCAGGTATTCCTTTATAGCAACACAAATAGACTCAGACACTGGGGAAGCCATTTAAATTATCTAAGCCTCTGTTTGTAAAATGAGGGATATGACTCTCTGCAGTTGAGATAAGGATTAGAAATGAAAATGAAGCACCCACTAAAAGGCCTGGTACAAGCAAGGGCAAATGGTAATAATGAGGTCTAGACAGATTACAAACTGAGTCATACCCCTTATTTTCTGTATCTCTGGGTAAGTTACTCCCTGGGTCTCAGTTTATAATCTGTAATACAAGGATTAGAACAATAGCTACTGTTGTGGGTTGAATTGTGTCCCATGAAAGAATATGTTAAAGGTCTATGCTGGTGTCTGTGCTGTGGCCTTTTGGGAAGTAGGGTCTTTGCAGAGGTGGTTAAGTTAGGATGAGGACATAGTGCATTAGGATGAGTTTTGATCTAGTGACTGGTGTCCTTATAAGAAAAGGGAAATTGAGAGAAGAGAGAAGATGCAGGGAAGAAAAAAAGCAGAGGTTGGGGTGATGCATCTACAAGCCAAGGAGCACCAAGAATTGCTGGCAGCCCCCAGAAGCCGGAGAGAGGCAGGGGGCAGATTCTTCCTCAGAGCCTTAAAAAAAAAACCCAACATGGCTGACCCCTTGATTTCAAACTTCTGACATTGAGAATTATGAGAGAATAAATTCCTGGGGTTTTTTTGTTTTGTTTTGTTTTTGTTTTTGTTTTTTTGAAATGGAGTCTTGCTCTGTCACCCAGGCTATAGTGCAGTGGTGCGATCTCAGCTCACTTCAACCTCCGCCACCTGGGTTCAAGTGATTTTCCTGTCTCACCCTCCCGAGTAGCTGGGATTGCAGGCGCACGCCACCAGGCCTGGATAATTTTTGTATTTTTAGTAGAGACGGGTTTTCACCATGTTGGCAAGGCTGGTCTCTAACCCCTGACCTCAGGTGATCTGCCTGCTTCGGCTTCCAAAAGTGCTGGGATTACAGGCCTGAGCCACTGCGCCTGACCCTGTTGTTTTAAACCACCCAGAGTGTGGTCATTTGTCTGAGACTTCGGAATTCAAACCTGCTGGAAGGAACGTGGTAGACATGTCAGGAAGGGGTTTGACATTCAGTTTCTGCCCCCAGGTCTGAGCCTGCATGGCTGGCTTAGCCACCGTCAGATGCTACCTGCAGGAAGCCTTCCTGAACTCATCGCCAAAGGAGGGTGAAGTGTGTCATTTTTAGAAGCGTGCTTCCTTAAAACAAGCATTTAAGGATCTCTGTCTTTAAATAATTTCTCAACTGGTATGGGAAGGAAAACCGTAGTTCCCCTTTTTCACTTCACTAGAAACTAAAACAATACTTTTATGAGTAATGCTGAGGTAGCAGGCTGCAGACACAATTGGGAAGCTTCAGCACAAACATGAGAAATCGAGAACCTTTGCATCCTCGCATATCTGGGCAGCTCTCCAAGCCAAGGGGACTGAGGATTGAAGAGCTTAACCACATAGGTTAAGCAAATTGTGTATTTTTCCTTGCACTTTTTTTTTTTTTTTTGAGACAGGGTCTCGCTCTGTCGCCCAGGCTGGAGTGCAGTTGGCGTGATCTCAGTTCACTGCAGCCTCTGCTTCCCGGTTCAAGC
The DNA here is from genome assembly GCF_000001405.40 of Homo sapiens. Lineage (NCBI taxonomy): Eukaryota > Metazoa > Chordata > Mammalia > Primates > Hominidae > Homo > Homo sapiens. Next base: position 46,338,961 of record NC_000013.11, on the reverse strand, counting down.
GATTTTCCTGCCTCAGCTTCCCTAGTAGCTGGGACCACAGGCATGTGCCACCATGCCCAGCTAATTTTTTTCTGTTTTTGGTAGAGACGGGGTTTCGCCATGTTGGCCAGGCTGGTCTCAGAAGTGATCTACCCGCCTCGGCCTCCCAAAGTGCTTGGATTACAGGTGTGAGCCACCGCGCCCAGCCCTTCCTTGAACATTTTCTGGCCTCTGCTTGTGCTTCCAGGCTTCTTTCTCCCCAGGGCTGCCCCCTCTTTTCTAGTCCTGCCGTGTTCCTGCCTCCATGGTCTTGTTCTTCTTGCATCCCTTGCCTGGGATCAGGACTGCCCTTTCATCCTGGAAAGAGGCCCTGCTCTGGCCTTCCTCGGGCTACGTACATCCCCATTGGTGAGGAGACAAAGGGCAAGCGCACCCAAAGCCCCCACCCCTCCTGTTAGATCAAATGGAGCCCCAGACAGAATCCCCTGCCCTGTGGTCTCAACCCCACTTTTAGGGCTGCTCAGGTCTTTCCCCTGGTCCAGCCTCCTGAAAGTGAACTGCGCTGCTAAGACCAAGAGGCAGCCAAGGGGCAGCTGCTTGTAGGATGGAGCCAAAGTGGGAAGAGAGAGGGGCAGGGGTTGGCCCAATGCTAGCTATACCTGAGCCACCATGCTCCAGAGCAGAGCAGTGAGGAGTCAAAGATTTCAAAATTCAAACCTGCTTTCTCGGGTCCTGATGAAGGGATATTCACCATGGTAGGAAGATAAAACATATTTCAAATTTTAAATACTTGGATATATGGCATGTGGACCTGTATTTGTACTCTTGCATGGGCTCTGCAGATGGGAGTGGTGGGCGCTTCCCCTTTTCATCTCCCTCCCGATCTTGCCCATTCTTCAGCGTACTGCACGTGCACACACATGCTCCCTTCTCCTTACACTCTGATATCTGCATTTACCTCATTATTCTACTGGGGACAGCTCTCTGAACTTTTGGCAGCCTTTGATCCTTTCTATCTGCCCTTGAAAGTCTCTTGGAAGCTATGAGAGAGACTTTATTCTCCCTTTGCTCCTGCAGCCCCTGAAGGTCCACATTCCTGAGGGCCCTACCCAGCTCCCTGAGTGATTGTTTGAAATAGAACTACTCAGGAGTGCGGTGCCTGCATTGGACTTTTTACAAGCAAGAATAAACCTTTATTTTGTTCAGTTCCTGAGATTTTTGTGGGGCTGGTTCCTACAGTGTAACCCACCCTACTCTGACTAACATAAGATGTCCTGATACCTGTTGTCCAGGGGATGAGTACTGAGGGAACAGGTTTGTCACTGTCGTAGTCTGTTTAGGCTGCTATAATAAAATACCTTACGCTAGGTGGATAATAAACAACAGAAACTTACTGCTAACAGTTCTGGAGGCTAGGAAGTCCAAGATCAAGACAACAGCAGATTTGATGTCTATTGAGGGACCACTTCCTGGTTCATAGATGGCACTATCTCACTGTATCCTTACATGGTAGAAAGGAGAGAGAGCGGACCAGGCACGGTGGCTCACACTTGTAATCCCAGCACTCCCAAAGTTGAGATATATGCCTCAGGCTGAGACAGGCATATCACGAGGTCAGGAGATTGAGACCATCCTGGCCAACATGGTGAAACCCAGTCTTTACTAAAAATACAAAAATTAGGTGTGGTCGCAAGTGCCTGTAATCCCAGCTACTCGGGAGGCTGAGGCAGAAGAATCGCTTGAACCAGGGAGTTGAAGGTTGCGGTGAGCTGAGATCACGCCACTGTACTCCAGCCTGACAACAGAGTGAGACTTGGTCCCCCCTCCCTGCCCCCAAAAAAAGAAAAAGGAAAAGAGAGAGAGAGAGAACCCCCTGGGGTCTGTTTTACAAGGGCACTAATTCCCTTTGTGAGGGCCTCACCCTCATGACCTAATCACCACCTAAAGGCTCCACCTCCTAATACTGTCACAATTGGGGGTTAGGTCTTCAACACATGACTTTTGAGGAGATATAAATATTCAGTCCATAACAGTCATGCAGACATCAAAAACTATTCTACTCCTCTGAGTTATCCATATTATCTAGTATTCCTTACATTAAAAAATAAAGGAATATGCAGAGAGAAAAAAATTCTTTAACCTCACATTCCTTTCCAGTTCTACCTCTATGATCTTCTTCACAGCAACATTTTTGAAAGAACAGTTTTTAATGTTTGCCATCGCTTCCACACCTCTTTCTTCCTTTACCTACAACAATAGCATTTCCATCTCAACCATTCTACCCAAACCGTCAAGGTCACTAGCAATATCTAAATTCAGTAGTCACTGTATTGTCTTCACCTACCTCTCTACCACAGTTGCTTGCATTCTTCTTAACAAAAGAGAATACTGTTTTATAATAAAATATAATAAAATAAAAAAGTCTAGCTAAGAAAAGCTAGACTATAATGAATTTCATCATATTGTGGTGGTGATTATCTCTGTATAGTGGGATTAGAATAATTTTCAAAAATTTTCTTTGTAAATTTTACCATATAGACTAGATATCATTTTAAATAAATGATAGATCATTTAAACTAATGACAAATTACAGATGATAAATGAGATCAGTACTATACAACTTTTAAGAGTAATGGTTGCATTTCTACTGTCCATGCCCACAGTGGAGAAATCAGATTAGCTGTTGGGGACCACCTGAAACTCCATCTTCGTAGAGTCTGATGATGGAGGTGCTGCCTGGTACCCAAAGCTCCTGGTTTTCTTGGTTATTTAGTAAATTACTAAAGACCACGTGAACCAAAAAGAACAGGGCCGGCTGTCAGATAGACCAGATGGATGGATGCAACCATTCACCTTCCTCCTGGAAGCTTTGGAACCCGGAAACATCATGACATTTGTGATTTCTCCCCTTCCTCTGTAGACAGTGGTCTCTTTTCTTGGTCTCCTTTGTAGGTTTTCCTCTTCTTTCTCTGTCCATCTCTAAATAAAGACAGAGATTCCAGGGCTCAGTTTTGCCATCTCTTTTCTTCTCTTGGGATGGTCTTATCCAGTGAAATAGCTTTGAATGACTCTAAATTTGTAGCTTCAGCCCAGAGGCTGGTACTCAGCAGCCCACTGATAGCTGTGCTTGTATTAGTATTTCTTTACAGGCTTTTCCATCTCAGAAAATGGCACCACCATAGACCCAGTCGCTTAAGCCAAACACCTAGGAGTCATCCTTTCCCTTTCCCTCACTCCCCAGATCCAGTCCATCAGTAACTTCTGTCAGCTCTACCTACAAAATATATCTTAGTTGATGGCTCACCACAGCCACTGACATTATTACAGTACAAGCCACCATCTCTCTCCTGAACTTCTATTAGATTGAACTACGTAGCATTGCTGCTATTTTATAATTGTTGAGCTACCAAGTGGCAATTTCATGTGTGGTTCAACCTAATTAAAAACCTCCTATCTCCTCTTTCCACACTTGCCCCTCTATAGTCCATTCTCCACACAACACCAGAATGTTTATAAAGCATAAATCAGATCGTCTATCTCCGTGGATTAAACCCTCTGAAGACTTAATTTAAAATTAAGTTGGGTGGGTGCTGGCTCGTGTCTGTAATCCCAGCACTTTGGGAGGCCAATGCAGGAGGATGACTTGAGCCCAGGAGTTTGTGACCAGCCTGTGCAACATAGCGAGACCCTGTCTCTTAAAAAAAAAAAAAAAAAAAAAAAAACAACAACAACAACAACAAAAAGACACAAATTAGCTGGGCACAATGGTGTGTGCCAGTATTCCCAGCTACCCAGGAGGCTGAGGTGGGAGGATCGATCGAGCCCAGGAGTTTGAGGCTGTAGTGAGGCATGATCCCGCCACTGCATTCCAGCCTGGGTGACAGAGTGAGACCCCATCTCAAAAAAAAAAAAGTCCAAATTCTTTACCCAAGTAGGTTTCCTGTTGGGCTTGACCTGCACCACTTCCTGAGCTGTTCCTCTCTTCCCTCCATCAGGAACCTCTTTAAAAATTCCTCTTGCCCTTAGTATACCCCCAAATCTTCCCCCACTTTCCTTTGGGGTACAGTGAGTCTAAGTGATCCAGAATTTAGAGCCAGAAGCACTTGGATCCTTTCACTTCTAGTCCTGTGATTTGTGATAAGTTGCTCAAATTTCTTAAGACTCCGGTTTCCTATTTGTAAAATGCTGACAATCTGTCTCACAAGGTTGTCGTACAGATTAAATGATATAAGTTATGAAAAGTATGTTTAGCATCTTGTCTATCACTTTGTGTATAAAATTCAGTGTTTTTTTTCCCCCTGGCCTCCAAGCTCCCCTGCCTACCCTTAGTCCATCCCCCTTCCTTTCTGAATCATAACTTCTCTATAACCTCTTTATTCAGCCCTGGTATAATTCACACATCTGAATCATTATACCTCCCTCCTGCTCGTCTGACCCTCTGAGTCTTCCATAAAAATAACATCAACTTTCCTAAGGGACCCTTTCCCATTCAATCAGTTGTCGTGGGGAGGAAAGAGTGATTGTTTTGGCCCATGGGCATCATGAGAATGTAGAGTGGACCGTTAACAGTCAGGAAACCTACATGGAAAGGGTGGCTTAGACACTTTCAAGTGCAGTGACTTTGGACAGCTCATTTAATCTCTGCGTCTTGGCTCCCTTATCTGGAAAGTGGCACATAACACCAACCTTGCAGGGTGATTGTGTGCATCCAACAAGATAATGGAAGTGAAAGTGCAGTAATGTAAAGCACACCGAGATGTAGCTTAGAACAGTTACTCTCTTCTGGTGCTAGTGCTTATGAAAACCTAATGCTGGTGGTTTCCACCTTCAGAGCACATGTCAGTTGCCATTGGATTTCCTCAGAGTCACCTCCCTGTCAACCGTCTTTCACTGTCAGAGTCCAGATTGGCCACATTTCGGCTGAGCTTCCTGGGGCCCCGTCTTTGGATGAGAGAATTGGTGTGGGAGTGGCACAGCCCTAGTAGGCCAGATTTGGCACATAAAAATTCAGGCACCTAATTAAACTGAACTTGAGATATATGAGTAAGTTTTTACTGTATATATGTCCTGTGTGATATTTATATGTTTCTTCCAACCCTGAACTCTATAGAAAGCTGGGTGGACACCTTTCCTGCACTATGGCCATTCACGGTGGCCTGTGAGCTAAAGTGACATTCTGACCATGTCCTGACTAGTCACAGAACATGTGCCACCCTCTTGGCTAGTCATTTTACTCAGGGAGCTGCTCTTGGTGGCCATGGCCAACTGAGGATGCTGATATATGTGCATCTGCACAAAGCTCTCCTGGTACTGGAAAACTGACCACAATTTTCAGGTCTCCATCGCCCATCTTCTGCATCTTTACTCCTTGGGTGATCTCATGTATCCAGCAATTCTCAGTTGAAGACAATTTAAAAATCTATCACTGAGCATCAGCCTTGCTCCGGAAGCACAGGTGTGAACCTGACCCAGTGTGTACTCTAGAGACCCTTGCAGCCTCCGAAGTTGACAGTTTTAAACAGTCAGAATCACCTTCTGATTCCAGCTCCTCCTCAGGCTCTCACTTGGTTCTAAAGCATGACCTATAAAAATGCTCCAATAAGTACATCTTCCTCACACCATGGGGGCAGGAGAGTGGGTCAGGCTGCATACCACAAATGCCACCAGGCCCTCCCATTCCCTTGCAGAGTAGTCCTAGGACCCCCTGGAGAAGTCTCCCAAAGATGCATGCTAGGGAACACTCTCCATATACACACACATTACAAACACAAACACAAACGCATGCAGAATTTATTGCCTTTTTCTGGCCAAACCTGATTCCAATTAGGTTAACTTCCTCTGTTAACTACCTCCTCTCCTCCCCAACCTGAAGTTGTGACATGTTGTCTCTGCTGTAGCGTCCAGATGGCCAAAGCATGGGGCAGGGCTGACCCTGATGCCCCATGCCAGGCCCCTGCCCCTAGCCCCTGCAGCCATCTGGGTCCGTGTGGATCCATGTGGGATCTCAGTAGCTGCCCCCTTCCAGTTCCCCACAGAGGAGGAAAAACGTCAGAAAAGGGAAGTGGGGTTAAGATGGTGCAGACGAGTTAGTGGGTGCAGCGCACCAGCATGGCACATGTATACATATGTAACTAACCTGCACAATGTGCACATGTACCCTAAAACCTAAAGTATAATAAAAAAAGAAAAGAAAAAAAAAAAAGAAAGAAAAAAAAAAAAAGATGGTGCAGTCAGTTACAGCATCTCCACTGACATTCCGGCTCCCAAAGTTTTGTTGCTGATGTCTCTTCCTTCATCCTTTCTGTTCTTGTAAGTTCATGTCTTTAGAATAATTCCTTAATTGTTGTTTTTGAGCAGTCTTTCTACCATTGCTTTAGAGGGACTTCAGCAGTATGCAAAAGTAAACGTACGTTCAGGCTGCCATTTTTACAGGAAGCTAGAGCTCACAGCCTTTTTATTTTATAATTGTGGTTAAGCTTAAACTCTTAACTGTTGCGCTGTGCCTCACCTCTATGTTTCACTGTCTCGGAAGTCTTTTTTTTTTTTTTTTTTTTTTGAGACAAAGTCTCGCTCTGTGGCCCAGGCTGGAGTGCAGTGGCCTGATCTCGGCTCACTGCAGCCTTCACCTCCTGGGTTCAAGCAATTTTCCTGCCTCAGTCTCCTGAGTAGCTGGGACTACAGGCGTGCACCACCACGCCTGGCTAATTTTGTATTTTTAGTAGAGATGGTGTTTCACCATGTTGGCCAGGATGGTCTTGATCGCCTGACCTCATGATCCGCCCACCTCAGCCTTCCAAAGTGCTGGGATTACAGGCGTGAGCCACCGCGCCCTGCCCAGAAGCAGTTTTAACAGGGGACTAACTATGTTTGTGCCTTTAGAAAGTTAACTGTGGTGATGGCATGGAAGATGGAGATAGAATTGTGGTAGGGAAGCTGTTCTGAGGCTAGTATTGACAAAACTCTGTTACAAGAAGGAGCACTGGACTCTCACCTTCCTGGGAGCATCACTCAGTGCTGGGGGATATAAGTTCTAAAGTCGGATTAAAAATTACTTACTAGAAAGTTACCCTTTAAAAAGCTCTTAAGCAGCAGCCACATGGGAGATAAACATATGGAGAATTAATAAATCCAGCAAAGCAAGGCTGTTCCTCACATTGGAATAGATTGCTGTTTTAACACTTGAACAACAGAAAAAGTAGATGACTTGCATTTGTTGAATTAAAAAAAATTGTCTTCAGATATTATTTTCACACTCATGTACATGCAATGTACTGTACATGCAATGGGGACTGTACATGCAATGGGCACTGTACATGCAATGGGGACCAAGAGCCACCAAGGGGACCACAGGCTCTTGTCTGCCTGTCTCCACAGCACAGCCTCCTTTTTTGTTGTTGTTTCTTTTTCCTTCTCTCTTTGTTTTTCTCCAAGCTTTTGGTTAAATTGCAGTAAGTCAAATATGCAGTTGATGACATTGTAGTGTAATAACGAGAAAGGAAGCAGATAGCTGTGGTGAGGATAAAATGGTTTTGTGCCCACATAAACCGTGGCTATTTAAAAAATATTCCTCAATTCTTTCTCCTCTTAGTCTTTATTCCAAACTTAACTGCAGATTTTTCTCTCATATTTTTACTTTACAATATTGATGGGGGGTGAAGTGAATGATTATTTTCCCCCTTCCTAGCATCTAAATTCCCTTCCTAATGTTGGGAAATTTCAATCTGGTGATTCTTGCTGGGAGCCAAGACCATGTCCTACCATAAATGCAAAAATTTCCAGTCTTCTTCCTTCTCTGACCTTTTTTGCAGCCAGGGGACTGGCAGGCAACCCAGGCACCACAGATTGGTTGCATCCCGGAAGTTCTAAGATCAGGATCTTGTGATACAGGGAGGCGGGGCTGGGGAGCACCCATTCCAGGGGCATAGCCGTGGTGTGATTGTGCCTGAGGTTCTGGCGACTGTTGGCTCCTCATTTCGGATTATTTCCAAGCATGGTTCTTTAACCTTCCTTGCTATTCTGGAAGCTCCTGATGTCCTTTCTACAAATCTCTGTTCTGCTTAAAGCAACTGGAGCAGGTGACTGTTTCTTTGAACCGTGAACTCTGACAGATTTTTTAAAAAGGGGGAAATTTTCCAGGAGCCTGGTCCCAGTCCACAGCCACCAGGGTAATGTATGCCGAGTGACATAGGTGTATGCACGCACGTCCAAGTACATGCACACAGCCTCATTTACTTGGGCTTTTTTTTGCTGTTTAGGTTAGGTTTTGGGGGCTTAAGCATCTTTGAATCCTGGTGAGAAGGGCCAGGCTGCACTTGCTGCTCTGGTTCACAGCCTGGGGGAGTGGATAGAGTGTGAAGAAGAAAGTGGGGAGGAGGAAGCCCATGGCAGAGAGAGGCATGACTTTCACCCTTGCCTTGTCCCGGTCCAAGCAGTGTTGACCTCAGAGGGCCTCTCATCCAGTTTAACCTCGTATCTGGTCTGGTGAGGACAAAACACATCTTTTTTGAATAGAAGTGAGTATGCATTGGACACCTTTTCACTGTTTCTAGCTGTTACAATTAGCAGACAATCCTAAAGCTGCAGAGGTGCTTCTGCTGAATTTTTGGTTGGTGTTTCAAAGCATAAACCAAGAAGGATTGTGTCATTAAAATTAAGAAGAAAACATAAGGGGAAATCTTTCCTCATTATTCGCCTGGAAAACTATTCACCCTTCATTGCCATCCTCTGCGAAGCTTAGCCTTGTTCTCCAACTCCTCTCAATATTAGTTACTCTTTCTGCTTTATTATTTTTATACCTTGTATATATTTATACTATTACACACTTTTTTTTACTGATTACTAGTCTGGCTCGCCTATTATACCACAAGGTTTTTGAGGGTATCTTGAGTATCTCTGAACATTTTACTCACAATGCTCCTGACACCAAATGTGTGGGGGTTTTCCACACCAATGACCAATTTTCCTTCTCTCAGGACACCGACTGGTTGTCCTACAGTTTAATTCAATTCTGGCACTAACTACCCGGAGTTAATGTTGGACTGTACAGGTTTAATTACTCAGCCCCCAAAGGCTGTCCTTACTTCAGATGCCGGACCCAAGTATTGGGTACCCAGGCTACTCACGTTGCTGTCTAATTTGGCTACAAAGTTGGAGGTTCTCACAAGCCTCCCTGCTTTCAGGTTCAATAATTTGCTAGGATGACTCAGAGCTCAGAAAAGTACCTATATTTACCAGTTTATTATAAAAGATACAACTCAGGAGCAGCCACATGGAAGAGATGCACAGGGTGGAGTATGGCGGAGGGCGCAGAGCTTCCACACTGTCTCTGGGTGCAGCACCCTCCCAGCGCCTTGATGTATCTACCAACCTGAAAGCTCTCCAAACCCCGTGGGATTGCTATGTTCTACACACACTGATTTTTCTCTCTATTTTTAGAAGGCATTAAACTCCTAGCTCAGAAGACACTGTTTACTGTTCCTTCCCAGGGCTTCCCATCTTCAAATGTTGGGCTTCATCCCAACCTCAGACCACAGCTCAACCCCCCTACCCTCCCCCTGGACTCAGTGGGTCTTCTTCTTACATGTCTCCAAGTCAACATGATTATCTTTTCATTGTAACATGTAACAGAAGTTACAATTCTCTTATCTGCTCCCTTCTGACAACCGCTGCCCTCAGTAGCCTCTAAACTGAAGGCACACACATTTCATTCGCTTTAGCCTCCTCTGGCACATACCAGCTACTCCATATACTTTATTGAATGAATGAATCATTGATCAAGGTAAAAATAAGTGAGAAAATCAGGATGAAGATAAAAAAAGAGGAGAAAATACACCATGAATTCAGGGGAAATGTCAGAATATAGAATGCAAGTACAAAATGCTTTACGTTCACTAAGGGAACATAAATTTGGCCTTGAACTTTCTCACAGCTCATGTAGAAAGCAGTATTCTCAGTTATGTGATTCAGGCCCCTGAGATAAAGATCAGATGTTTTAAAATCAGGAGAGATGCAATTATTCCTAGAAATCGCCCCTGAGAGATATTTCTCTTGGGGGTCAGGTAGAGCCTCAGGATATCCTAAATCAATATATCAGAGCTTCAGAGAAATTTCTGCTTTCAGCAGAAAGCAGCTTCCCATGTAAGCCCCTTGAAGGAGGACCATATTTATTTGTTATTTATTTTAATTCTCCTCTAAATGGAAAAGTAATGTATTACTATTTCTGATTATAAAAGTTATTCGTGTTCACTCTAAAAATCCCAAACCTTTGAAAATGTATGAGTTTTGTTAGCTATTCTCCTACATCTATTAAAAAGGGGATTATTTAGCAAATTCTATTATGTGAACTGCTTTTTTCTCCCAGTAATGTTTTTGGATATCTTTTCATGCCAGTTCATGTAGATCTGCATAGTTATTTTAATGCCTGTATCGTATTCTATTCTGTGGTTCTACCAGAATTCATATGACCAATCTAATTTTTGTCCAAATATTTTGCTGTTATAAATATCCTAATATTTTTTACCATTATAAAGGTATAATATTATACCTATAACTTTATTCAAGGGTCTAATTATTTCCTTAGAATGTGTTTTTCTTTCTTTTCTTTTCTTTTTTTTTTTTTCTATTTTCTTGAGACAGAGTCTCGCTATGTTACACAGGCTGAAGTGCAGTGGCACAATCTCGATGCACTGCAACCTCTGCCTCCCGGGTTCAAGTGACTCTCTGCCTCAGCCTTACAAGTAGCTGGGACCACAGGTGCCCACCACCACACTCAGCTAATTTTTGTATTTTTAGTAGAGGTGGGGTTTCACCATGTTGGCCAGGCTGGTCTCGAACTCCTGGCCTCAAGTGATCCATCCACCTTGGCCCCTCAAAGTTCTGGGATTACAGGAGTGAACCATCATGCCTGGCCTCTTTTCTTGCTTTCTCTCTTCTTTGCTTCTTATATTTCTTTCTAGCTACTCCTTTGGCACCAGTTTGAAAATTTGTCATAAGATTAATTCTAGGAAAAGGAACTGCTAGGGCAAAATGTGAGTCTAATTAACATTTTAATAAATATTTCCAAATTACCTTCCCTAATGATGAATCAATTCAAACACTCACTGGTTGTGACTGAGAATTTTCATTTTTCAGCAGTATCCCAAACACCACGCTTTTTTTTTTCATTTTGCTTTTTAGAGCTTTATTGAGGTATAATTGACATATGCTAAACCACACATATTTAGCATCATTCTTTTAAACCTTTGCCTGGTTGATGACAAATTGATATGTTATTGATGTAATTCACGGTTCTTTATTTACAAATGAGATTTAACATCTTAGCATATGTTCATAGAACATTATTTTGAGTGTTGCCTGTTCTGTGGCCCATTTTTCACTTAATTTTTAGTCTTTTTCTTAAAGATTTATGATTGAAACTCAGATTTGGATTTGCCATTAAAATCAAGTTAAAGTTAAAATCTCAATTTGTTCCCCAGTGGCTTGGCCGACATCTGTGCCAGTGCCTGCCTTATCTGATGCTGTGACATCACTAAGCACCAGATAAGTAAGGGTGTAAAAAAGGAAAATGACATCAGTTGCATAGAAAGCTGCTCTTGGTCACTGGTTTATGGTGCACAGGTCTATGCAAACCAACCCCCAAAGGCCAAGGGAGCTGAGAGGCTGAAGAAAGGCTGACAAATCTAGTTTCTCAGAAGCATTTAATAGGGACTTAGGAACAGAAGCAATGTCTTGGGCAGCCGTGAGACAGTGAATCCCCTCCAAAAATCATGCTCTCCAAAAAGTATCATTTATATAACAGTCTTTTAAGGTAGAGACACATGCAGCTGATCACGTCTCAGACTTTCTTGCCAAGACTAATGACCACTGGGGAGGTTAGATGAGCATCTTTATGAGGAATTATCTACACCGCAGGTGTTGTTTAAAGATCTTGCTGAAGAACACCTTGGTCTGCAGGAGTCAAATATCTGTCATCATGGCAGTTCCACTTCAAGATGGCGTCACTCTTGCCATGCAACAGGCTGTTTTCCTAGAGTCAGTCAGGGTTCTATCAGAGAAACAGACCCAGCAGGACACACACATACACATTCATTTGTTTGTTTGTTGATTGATTGCAAGGAATTGGCTTACATGCTTGTGGGATTGACTAGCCAAATCTGAAATCTTTAGGGCAGGCCATCAGGCAGGGCAGGCTAGAACTGAGCTTAAACTGCAGTCCACAGGTGGAATTTCTTCTTCCTCAGGGAAATCCCAATTTTGCTCTTAAAGCCTTTCACTGGCCAGAGCAGGTCCACCAGACTATCCAAGATAATCTTCTTTACTTAAAGTCAGTTGATTGTGCATGTTAATCACTTCTACAGAATGCCTCCACAGAAACACTTACACTAGTGTTGGATCAAATAGCAGAGTACTACAGCCCAGCCATGGAAACACATAAAACTGACCAGCAGAGTTCTCAGTCCTCGATCATCTGAGAAAAGAAGCATGAGATTCTCAACTAAGCAGGAATCCGGGGAGGAGGGTAGGGTCAGGACCAAATGGTATGAAGATGAGAGGAGAAAATATGGTTTTCATAGCTCTTGTAGGGACAACAATTAAGTCTGCAAACCACTGGGAAAATCTTGAATTTGAGATGCTTTCTTAATCACTCATTTTCCATCCAGGTAGTGAGAAAGTACCAAGCCACTGGAAGGAGTTATACTTCCTGAAACACAGATATCTTTTATTTCTTCCTTCCATCTCTTTCTCATCTCTTCCCTCCCCACACTACTTCCTTCTTCTCTTAAAGAATGTAACCTCTTACATGGATGGTTAGTTGATCTTAGAACCAGGGTAGCACCCTAGAAAAAACAGAAGGAACCCAATGGAATCAGCTCTGTGAGGATAAATACCATCATCTTCATCAGGAATGTTCCATCATCGATCTACTGCTGGCAGTGTTTTTTCTTTTATTTTTTAAAGTATAATAAGAATTGTAATACACTTTGTATCAGATTTTAAAACTTTACATAGCATTTTTATATGCACATTTTATTATATATTTTATTTCATACACATTTCACAACAACTCTGTAAGATTAGATTTCATTATTTCCATTTTACTGTTGAGACAACTGAGGCACAGAGAGGTGCCTGCTCAATGTCATCCAGCTAAAAAGTGGAAGATGAAGAGCACACATGAAGGCGATTTATCCCTTAATTGCCTTCCTTCTACTGTGTTTCTTGTTGGAATATCCATATGCTCCATAATTTATTTTTTAGGGCCTTTAGCTTATTCAAAATAAAGCGTTCAGCTCCTTGGATGAAAAGCCTTTTACCTATTTTAACATAAGTGAATAAGGCCTGGGTCAATCCATTTTGTGTTGCTATAAAGGAATACCTGAGGCTGGGTAATTTATAAAGAAGAGAGGTTTATTTGGCTCATGGTTCTGCAGGCTGTACAAGAAGCGTGGAGCCAGCATCTGCTTCTGGTGAGGCCTCAGGAAGCTTTCTTTACGGTGGAAGGTGAAGGGGGAGGAGACATGTCACGTGGTGAGAGAGGGAGCAAGAAAGATCCCATGATCTTTGAAATAACCAGCTCTCCCATGAACTAATAGAGTGAGAACTCACTTATTACTACAGGGATGACACCAAGGTAATCATGAGGGATCCACCCCCGTGACCCAGCCACCTCCCATTAGGCCCCACCTTCAACACTGAGGATCATATTTCGACATGAGATTCGGAGGGGCCACACATACAAATCATATCCCTTGTCTATACACCACAATTTTATTGCATAAACAGGACACATTCTTCTGCTGATCAGGTATTCTAGGAAACCAACGTGTTAATCAGACAATTGCTTGCATTGTTGAAAACTGACTAGAACGAATGGAATGATATTACATTATACATCCATGGAGTTACAGAATCTTATGCAATTTTTTCTATTAGGGATATTTGTGTCTAAAATAGAGAACTGGTTATTTAGAAGCAAAGTTCTCCTCCCATAAATGGACCTGGGGTCCCACTGACAATAGTATTGGGTTTTTAGAGGTGCAAATTAGTTGTAGTCCTGCCTTCCACACTGAACATGGAAATAATTGAGAGACACATGAATCAGACGGATATTACTGATGGGGCGCATTGCTGAGCAGCCTTAATCAATCTTCAGCCTTGAATTAAACAGACCGTCTGAGTTCCAGTCTCCTGCCAGCCTCCATCTCATGGCAGAGACTGCCCAGTAAACTTTGTTGTTACTGGAGAGGGAAGCAGGCAGGCTGACATCAGAGAGAAAGCCCAGGTGGCTCACTGCAGCCATCAAGTTCCTTCTCCCAAACTCACCGGAATGACAAGTCGTTCTTCCTCCCGGGTCAGCCCCTACACATGAGTGTGGCTGTACCAGTGATGACAATACTGGAATACTTCCATGCAGCTGAGAAACAGCATCCTCTCTAGCCTCCAGCCCCTCCTTCCGACTCTCAGACCTCCCAGCGACAGCACCTGGCAGGGGCACCAAAGACCCCTTCCAGGTGGCATCTTTTCTGATTGGTGGTGACCATGCTTCACTGGTTGTTAAATGTCCTGACTGTCATATCCTAGGTGTGGAGAAAGGGGCCAGGAACATCCCCCGCCTCCTCTTTTCTATCAGGGAATCATGATTCCCTGCTTGGTATGGAAACCTGAGGTGTAGGAAAGTGTTTCCCCCAAATAATGTTACTTTCCAGCACTCCTTTTCCAAAATTCAACAATCAATCATTAAAAGCCTTTATTTATGTAGCAGTGGCTCATTATAGAAATGATTGTACATTATAGAAATATTGTTTAGTTACAGCTTTTAGTAATCAAACTGCTATCTCTGAAAACAGTTCTCCTTCAGAGACCTGGAGGAGACGCCCGGTCTTAAGAGCTGTATGTTATCTAGGCCAGGCACAGTGGCTCATGCCTGTAATCCTAGCACTTTGGGAGGCCAAGGCAGATGAATCACCTGAGGTCAGGAGTTCAAGACCAGCGTGGCCCACATGGCAAAACCCCGTCTCTACTAAAAATACAAAAATTAGCAGGGCGTGGTGGTGCACGCCGGTAATCCCAGCTACTCGGGAGGCTGAAGAAGGAGAATCACTTGAACCCGGGAGGCGGAGGTTGCAGTGAGCCAAAATCGCACCACCGCACTCCAGCCTGCGCGATGGGAGCAAGACTCCATCGAAAAAAAAAAAAAAAAAGAGTTGTGTGTTATCTCCTGGAAGTGAAAGTTCAGGGGAAAGTTTCCATAGTTGCTCTTACTCCTGTCCATTAGTTGGGTTGATTCTCCTTATCTCAATCAGAATCCTTCCTGAACCTGCCCCAAGATATGGGATGAGCCATCACTTGGGCCAGCAACCCAGTGAAGACACCACAAGTCCTTGATTCTCTCTCCCGGTCCAGACTGAGAAGTTGCTGGAAATCAATTATTTTAGCTCAGCATAATGCAGACCATGGTAATATTCATCAGCTTAACCTGTCTTCTATACATTCTTGCATGTTTTCTTCCTACTTTTTGAGCTTCAAAGTTCTGCCTGTGCTGCAATGAGATACCACTGTACACCCTCTCAAAGGTCCCCAACTTAAAAGACTGATGATACCAAATGCTGGCGAGGATCTGGAGCAATAGGAACTCATGCATCGCTGGTGGAAATATGAAATGGCACAAACACTTTGGGAAACAGTTGGTCATACACTCACCATATGACCTAGAAATTCCACTCCTGCATATTTATCCAAAAGAACTGGAAAAAAAACCCCAAAGTCCATTAACAGAATGAATAAACCAATCTTGTTATATTCATACAATAGGATACTACTGGAAATAAAAAGAACAAACTGCTGATAAATCCAAAAGCCAGAAGCAAAAAAGAACATGCTGTATGAATCCATCTACATGAAATTCTATAATAGGCAAATCAATAGTGAAAGAAATCACATCTTGTTGTAATCACACTCTAAACCGTAAAATTGGATACTCTAATTATATACAATTTATTCCCCCACAAATCTTCATGATGTCCATGTGGATTTCCAAGTGACTTTTTTTCAGAAACCACACACAGAACTTTAAAATCAACTGTATTGAAGTATAACTTGTATAGAATAAAATATAACCATTTTAAGTGTATTGTCTGATGAAGTTTTGACAAAGATATACATCCATGTGTACTCCCCAGTTAAGATATAGAACATTTAGTTGTTTTTTTTTTTTTTTTTTTTTTTTTTTGCGACAGTCTCACTCTGTTACCCAGAGTGGAGTGCAGTGGCGAGATCTTGGCTCACTGCAACCTCCACCTCCCAGGTTGAAGCAATTCTTGTGCCTGAGCCTCCCGAGTAGCTGGGATTACAGTCGCCTGCCACCATGCCCGGCTAATTTTTGTATTTTTAGTAGAGATGGGGTTTTGCCATGTTGGCCAGACTGGTCACGAACTCCTGACCTCAAGTGATCCGCCTGCCTCGGCCTCCCAAAGTGCTGGGATTACAGGTGTGAGCCACCGCGCCTGGCAATATAGAACATTTCTGTCATCTAGCAAACAAAGTCCTAACTGGAACCCCAGAGGATCTCGTTAAAGAAGCAGGACTAAACTAAGTTAGGCTGTGGGTTCCATCCATAGTGCCCTCTTTCTACACACACACAGTTGCCCCGACAGTTACCCACACCCTGCATCCCTAATTTCTACCCACAAACGGCTGGGTACAGTGGCTCACGCCTGTAATCCCAGCACTTTAGGAGGCCGAGGCGGGCAGATCACCTGAGGTCAGGAGTTCGAGACCAGTCTGGCCAACATGGTGAAAGCCAGTCTGTACTAAAAATACAAAAAAGCCGGGTGTGGTGGCAGGCTCCTGTAATCTCAGCTACTCGGGAGGCTGAGGCAAGAGAATCGCTTGAACCCGGGAGGTGGAGGTTGCAGTGAGCGGAAATCGCACCACTGTGCTTCAGCCAGGGTAACAGAGTGAGACTCCATCTTGGGGGGAAGAAAAAGAAAAAGTAGTAGTAACCACACCACGTATTGCATAGGGGTGTTGTGAGGGTTAAATTAGGTAACGTGTGTGATATTTGTAGATCAGCACCTAACACTTCGTAAGCCCTCAATTAAACATTAATCATTATCTGAGTGTTGCTACAATTTTGTAATTTCAAGGTACTGTGGGTCTCAGATCTGCCCACGAGAGGGCACTGGTGACACAGCTTTGCCTCAAAAGGTTTCCAGTTGAAAGACCAGGCAGCTTTGCTTGTGTCTAAGGAACTAAGGGTCCGATTTCTCATGAGCTGCTGAACCACAGATTTTAGAGCTGAAAGACACCCTGCAAGTGATCTAATCCAGTCATCAGATGTTGCAGTTATAAGCCATAGGCGGGTAAATGTGGACCTGGTGAGTACGACTTACAAAACCAACAGTCACAGGAAAAGCAACTTCACATGCGTTCTCTGTGGAGTTGAAAGGTAGGACAGAAACGCCATCTTTCTGGGAATAAAAACGCACCAAAAGTGTTAACAGCGTGCCAGGCTGAAATGAAAAGAAGGCACTGAGGTGTATATATGTGTGTATCTGTGTGTGTGTGTGTGAGAAAACCAGAGAGAGAAGAGAGAGGTCATGTAGATTTTTTTTTTAGATGAAAACAACGGATACTGGTTCTTTCTTCTAGATCAGCTCAGGAGACCAAAATATTCAAGATTTTCTTTGACAGGCTGAGCCTGAGAATGTCTTCCACACCCTTTCTCTGCTAAGGGGGAACTGTCCTACTTGCAGCCCCTGCAACTCAGCAGCCTGTTGGGTCCCTTCCCCTCCTCTCCAACCACACCTGACCCCAGGGGTCCCAGGCCTTAAGCTGGCCTGGGACATTCATCTCATCACCTGGTGTGAAAGATGCGTTGGGCCAGTCAGATCCTTGCTTTTCAAGATCTAAAGGATCAGAAGACAGGGTGGCGAGCAGCAGGAGCACAGAGTAAAACTTCAAGGAGCAGAAAGGCCCCAGGGTGACCTGGTGGCCTCACACAGGCCAGCGCATGAGGTAGCTGGCCTAGCTGTTGGAGCCATAGAGGAGAATAAGCCCACTGCAAGAAGCAGAAGGGCTGCTAGCCGAGAGGAGACTGGATGCCCCTGGAAGAACTGAAGGAGGTAGCAGGGTGCCTAGTGCATACCTCATTCCCCTTTTTGAAGCAAGTTGTTTGGGTCTCTAGTTCCCCACAACTAAATTCTGTAGAGAAAATTTTGAAAGTGTGATCAGATTGGAAACCACGTGGCAAAGGCAACACTGCGTTTATGTACAGACATCTCATTGTAAGAGAGCCTGCAGGGGTGTGTGTGGAGAGGGAAGAGAACAGGAGATGCTGCTGCTGCTCCTCCTCCTCCTTCCCCTCTTCATTGTCCTTTTTCTCTTCCTTTTCCCTCCTTCTCTTCCTCCTCTTCCTTGTCTTCTTTCCCCTCCTCCTCCCTTCTTGTCTTTTTCTTCCTCCTTCTCCGCCTCCTCTTCCTCTCCCTCCCCCTCTTCTTTCTTGTCTTCCTCCTCCTCCTGTTTCTTGTCTTTTTCCTTCTCTTCCTCTTTCTTATCTCCTTCCTTCCTCCTCCTTTTTCTTTTTTTTTTTTTTTTTTGTTTTGAGACGGAGTCTTGCTCTGTCGCCCAGGCTGGAGTGCAGTGGCCCCATCTGGTCTCACTACAAGCTCCGCCTCCCGGGTTCACGCCATTCTCCTGCCTCAGCCTCCCGAGTAGCTGGGACTACAGGCGCCCGCCACCACGCCCTGCAAATTTTTTTTTTTTTTTTTTTTTTTTTTTGTAGAGACGGGGTTTCACCATGGTAGCCAGGATGGTCTTCATCTCCTGACCTCGTGATCCGCCCGCCTTGGCCTCCCAAAGTGCTGGGATTATAGGCGTGAGCCACTGTCCCGGCCTCTTCCTCCTTTTTCTTCTGCTTCCCCTCTTCTTCCTTAGCTCTAAGAGGAATTAGAAAAAACTTTTTACTTTAAAATCATTTCATAATTAGAGAAAGTTGCAAAAGTAGTACAGAAAATTCCCATACCCTTTTGCTTAGATTCCCCAAATGTTGACATTTCTATGATTAAGGAAATTGTGACATATTTGTGCAATGCAATACAAACCGTAATTAGCCACATTAGCTAATACAAACCCTAATGAGCATATGGCTAATTAGCATAAGGCTAATTAGGGTTTGTATTCTATTGTACAAATTTTAACATTTGACAAATGTTAAAAACAAACTTGAGCAAAAGAGTCAAATCATGGAAGACGTTCATTAGTGATCACTTAACATAAATTTCACAGACAAAGCCAAGCATTACGTTGTTTACACTAGAGATCTACCCATAGGTGGTAGAAACGTTTTTTGTTTTTGTTTTTCAAAGCAAGTGAATGATGAACATAATGCAACATAGTGGTTGTCACAGATGGAGGGTGGGAGACAGGATCAGGGAGAGGTACTCCAGACCTTTGAAGGTACTGCTGATATTCTTTATTATTGACTGATTTGTTTTTAATTTAAAAAATACACATAATAGTATATATTTTGGGGGCACATAATGATGCGATACATGTAATATATAGTGATCAGATCAGGGTTAATAAGCATATCCATCATCTCAAACATTTATTATTTCTTTGTGTTGGGAACATTTAATATCATCCTAGCTATGTGAAACAATATTGTTAACTACAGTGATTCTACAATGGTATAGAACACTAGAGCTTGTTCTTCCTGTATAGCTGTAGTTTTGCATCCTTTAACAAATCTCTTCCCATCACTCCCTTATCTCTACTTCTCCCAGCTATTAGTATTCTCTGTTCTGCTTTCTACTTCTGTAAGATCAACATTTTAAGCTTCCACACATGAGTGAGAACATGTGGTATTTAACTTTCTGTTTCTGGCTTATTTCACTTAATATAATGTCCCCCAGTTCCACCTATGTTGCCACAAATGACAGGATTTCATCCTTTTTATGGCTGAATAGTATTCCATTACGTATATGTGCCATATTTTCTTTATCTGCTGTTGTACACCTGATTGATTCCATATCTTGGCTGTTGTGAAAAGTGCTGTAATAAACATGGAAGTGCACATGTCTCATCAATATACTGATTTCCTTTCCTTTGAATAAATACCCAGTAGTGAGACTGCTGGATCATATGGTGGTTCTGTTTGTAGTTTTTTGAGGAACCTCTACACTGTTCTCCACAGTGGTTGGACTAGTTTACACTCCCACCAACAGTGTATATGAGTTCCATTTTCACCTCATCCTCAACAGCATTTGTTATTTTCTGTCTTTTTAATAATAGTTATCCTAACTGGGGTGAGATGATGCTTCACTGTGAGTTTGATATGCATTTCCCTCATCAGGGAAATTAGTGATGTTAAACATTTTTTCATATATTTGTTGGCCATTTGTATGCCTTTTGAGCAAATGTCTGTTGAGATCATTTACTCATTTATTAATTGAATTGTTTAGTTGAATTAGATGAATTTTTGCTGTTCAGATGTTTGAGTTACTTGTATCTTCTGGATATTAACCCCTGTCGATGAATAGTTTGCAAATATTATATCCCATTCTGTAGACTGTCTCTTCACTCTGTTGATTGTTTCCTTTTCTATGCAGAAGCTTTTTAGTGTAACATAATCTCTGGTGTTTATTCTTGCTTTTGTTGCCTGTGCTTTTGAGATCTTATTCATATAATCTTTTCCCAGATCAATGTCCTGAAGTGGTTCCCCATTGTTTATTCTAGTAGTTTTATAGTTTCAGGTCTTCCATTTAGGTCTTTGATCCATTTTGAGTTGATATTTATATAGGGTGATAGGTAGGATTCTAGTTTTTCTTCTGCATGTGGATATTCTGTTTTCCCAGAACAATTTGTTGAAGAGACTGTCCTTTCCTTAGTCAATGTTCTTGGTACTTTTGTCAAAAATCCACTGGCTGTAGATACATGGATTGATTTCCAGGTTCTTTATTCTATTCCATTGGTCTATGTGTCTGTTGTTACACCAGTACTATGTTGTTTTGTTGCTACAGCTTAGTAGCATAGTTTGAAATCTGGTAGTATGATGTCTCCAGCTTTGTTCATTTTGTTCAGGATTGCTTTGGTTATTCAGAGTCTTTTGTGGTTCCATACAAATTTTAGAATTTTTTTCTCTATTTCTGTAAAGAATGTCATTGATATTTTGATAGGGATTGCATTGAATCTTTAAATTGCTTTGGGTAGTACAAATGTTCACATTCGTGTGAACTTCTCTATGTGTGTGTATGTGTGTGTGTGCATATTTGTACTTCTGAGATGTGTGAGTCTAGGATGCAGAAATGAAGTTTCTTTACCTCCAAATATTTTTATATTTCAATGGGTATTTCTGAAAGATAAGGATATTCTTTTACACAGTGAGACTTCAGTGATCAAAATCAGAAAATTAACATTGATATGATAGTATTATGTTTTTAAAAATATATACATTATTCAAAATTTGCCACTTGTGTTCTAATTCAAAATTTGCCACTTCTAATTCAAAATCACACATTGCATTTTTTGTCATAACCCTTTAATCTCCTTTAATGTGGGTCAAATCCTTGATTTTTCTTTCTTTCATGATTCTGAGAGATGAGTTATTTTGTAGTAGATCCTTCAATCTGGGTTTTCCTGATGTTTCCTCATGGTGGCAATCATGTTATATTCTTGGAAGGAACCTCATAGAAGTGAGGCTGTATCCTTTTATGCACAGGGAGACACAGCTTCTTAAATTCTCTCATCTTTCTCCTGCAGGGAAAATGCAGACCAACACCTTGCTGGAGTGCAAAGAGCCCCTAGCCAATTCCTAGGCCTTTGAGAAAACCTGGAAAAATTAACACTTGAAATAAATTTTGAAGAACAAGGAAAAGTTATTGACCTAAAGGCTGACAGGGAGGAATTCTGGAAGGAAGGAACAGCTCACTTGCTTGGAGGTGAGAACATGTGTTGTGTTGGGAACATAGTGGTCTTGTGTGTGGCCTTTGCAGGTACCTGGACACATCATACTCTCTCACATTCTTGGCTCTGCTCATTCCTGGGCTCCCTCTGCCTGGTACCACTTCCTCCACCTCTTACCTTCTCTTCCTTTTTCTGGATAATTTTACTCAGCCTTTAGAACTCAGTGGAAGTATTTTCCTCCTCTTGTTGCCAGTGAATGGTGAAGATCACATGTTTGGAGTCCAGTGGGCCTACGTTCAAATCCTGCTCCTGCCATTTTGGCAAGTGAATGATCTTGGGCAAATTATTTAACCTCTTTGAGACCCAGTTCCCTTTTTGGACAAATGAGAGGTTATATCTGATGGATATATAATGTTTATGTCCCCTGAAAATTCATATGTTATACCCACAAGGCAATGGTCACAAGCCAATTCCCAGGAAGTGAAGTCATTGGTAGGTGATTATGAGATGAGTGTGCTTTTAATGGAAGTTCTAGAGAGCTGCCTTGCCCATTTATATCACCATGTGAGGACACAGCTAGAAAGCAACATGTTTGAGCCAGGAAATGGGCCCTCACCCAACATGGAATCTGCCAGTGCCTTGATCTTGGACTTCCAAGCCTCCAGAACTGTGAGAAATAAATGTTTCTTGCTTATAAGTCACCCCATCTATGGTATTTATTATAGCAGCCCAAACAGACTAAGACACCCTCTGCTTATCACAGGCATGGTTAGTCTAAACAGGTACCTCCTTCTCAGGACCTGTGACCCCTCAAGGGGTCCCCTTGTATTCTAAGAGTTTCTGGGCCTGACTTCTCCTGCTTTTATCTTCTTCTAGGTTTCTACACCTGTGTGTGCCATCATGCTTTGGCCCTGTATCAGATACAGGCATGAGGCTCATCTCTGTCACCATTCCCAAAAAAGGAATATAAACATACCATTTGTGAGTTTAGGAAGCTCACTGCCGATGTGAAATCCCATGAGAAGAGACCACGTGGCCCACTGCCTAGCCTCCTGCCCACCTGGGGCCAGTGTGTTTGTCCCCTCACACAATGCTGCCTCTTGAAGTTTATGCATGCTACCATTCAGGCTTACTTACCTATCTGAACTCCCATTCATTCGTGGAAGCTGAAGACTAGGAGTCAGAGTTGGATCAGGTGGCAGGTGTGGTAGGTGGTGGGAAAGGTGGCTCTGTGGTCAACCAACGTGACTGCTGTACAAGCAACTTGTTAGGCTTGTCCAGACCCTTCACCCATGTGGGTGACTGCCCCCACCCTGCCTTCTACTTTCTTAACCTCCTTGCCTATAGTATTTTGTTTTTCCACATACCTCATCCATGCACTCCTGAAATCACACACTCCTGAAATCGTGACATTGTCATTACCAATCATTGCATCACCTCTGAAACCTCAGCTCCAAACCTCTCACCATCTGAGCACCATCCTATTACCTCCAGCCCATTCACTCTTCTCGCCTCACTCAGGCGATTTGACATTTTTGAGTCCTTGATATCTTGAAACTTGTGTTCTCTCACCATCAATAGCCCTATGTACTTCAGCCACTCCAACCTCATTTTTCTCTACCCTGCCCTGCTTACTTTGTTCCAGCCATGCTGGCCTCTCTCCTATCCTGGGAGGCATCCAGCTTGTCCCATTTTATGGCCTTCATACTTGATGTCTCCTCTGCCCAGAATGTTCTCCTTGCATTGTTTTGGTCTTGGTTAAAAACACTTTTAAACATCTAGTTAATAATTAATCCATACATTAATTAATGAATTATTGATCCATAATTATAATAATAAAATAATTTATATTCTTATTTATAATAATATAAGTTAATTATATTATTATATGTAAAGACAAAATAATTAAAATAATTTATAGTAAATATGTTTACAATTAATGGATTAATTATTAATCCATTAATTTATGAACTAATGCTATATTTATAAAATGCACATCATGTTTACAGAATGACAACATATCTTACATTCATGGACCTGCTAACCATTTCAATCATTTACCATAAAATCTGTGAATTCCTTCCTGATCTCAGCCCCTCTCCTACTTAGTCTGAGATAAACACTAGCCTAAATTTTGTGTTGAGATCCTCTTGCTTTTCATTATAGTTTTCCTACATCTGTTTCTATCTCTAAGCAATATGTTGTTTGGATTGAATGTTAGTGGAATCACAATACTTCTGCCACTTGCTTTTTCACTTTGCTTTATGTTCCTAAGATTCATCATGTTGGTGTGTAAAGCTGTAATTCATCCATTTTCACAGCTGTGTAGTATTTCATTACATCAAAATACCAAAATACAATTATCTGTTCTACTGTTGATGGACATTTGAAGTTTCCCAGCTTTTTGCTATTACAATAAACTAAACTTTCTGAAACATATCTCCTAATACACATGTGCAAGATTGATTCTATATAACTAGGTATAGACTTGCGGGTTCTAGGATATAAGCATATTCCTTTTTTTAAGTAACATGAAATTGATTTCAAAGTGGTTATACCAATTTACAGTCTTATTATCAGTGAAGGAGCATTCCTATTGCCCTCTACCCTTGTCAATATTTGGTATCACTTAACTTTTCAAGTCTTGTCAGTCTGGTAGGTGTAAATGATATCTTGTGGCAGTCTCACTCGCATTTTGCTGATTATTTATCATGACTTCCGCAGGGCTGGCTTCTTCTTGTCATTCAAATTTGAGCTTAAACATCTGGAGCCACCTTGTTCTTCTTAACTATATCAACCTATTTTAATTCCCACTATCTGATATTCCTTCCTTCCTCTCTTTTTCAAAAAATGTTTGTTGGTCTATTTTAGTTTCTCCTCTACAAAGCTTGTACATAGTGGCTGCTCAATAGATACTTACTGAATATTTATTAAATAAATAAATGTGCTAACTTTAGTTCTGTTCAGATCAATATTTGCTTTCTTCCTGCTTGGTATATGTTCTGTCTTCCATCTTGCTTTCAGTTTCATCTTATACTTTCTCCATTGTCTTTCACTCTCCATTAATGTCTACTTTTGTGTTTATTCTCATTCTTGCTAACTTCTTTCCTCCTGGAGAGTTCTCTCTCTTGCCTCCATGCTTGCTGCCAGACTTGAAACTTCAGGAGAGCTTACTTGTATTTTTCAAAGTCAGCTTTTCAATTTAATAACCCCTGTACCCAGCTTCCTCCCTGCTGCTTGACACCCCTGGGCCTTGGTCAGTGAGAAGCAGCCTGACTCTAGAAGACACGGGAGACAAGAGCCGACAAAAATCATCGATCATTCAAATAGTCTTCCAAGGATCCTAAAAGAAAGAGCCATGAGGGTCCCTACCTTTTGTTAGAGGTGCTAAACTCTAGAAGCAAAAGGACATCTTGTCTAGAGCTCATTTCAACGTAGCCTTCCCTCACATTTCCTGTCAAATTTCACAACTTTGATATTGCAATAGCAGAAAATTGGGGTAAATATGTGTGGAAGATAGAACCACATATCACCCAATAAAGTTTTAAAGATGAATGAGGCAAAAATATTACTATCTTCTGAAACAGTGAAAATCTTTTTTGTGATACCTTTTATGAAATACGATCTCGCATTACTTCTATATTTGAAATTATGTAAGACAAAAGTTCCATTTTCATCATATATATAAATATTTTTTTAAAAAAGATTGTTGTATGCTGCATAACCATGGCAAACTAAATGTGCTTTCACCCACCCTCCTAGAACCTTAATAAAATATCTATAAAGGAAGTAAAAAAAATACAGAAGTCCAAGAGGACAAAGTGGATTGAATATGAAACAGCATCTGGTGAGAAAAATTTCAACAAAAAATCTGGTTGATGGAAGATTTGTAACAATGTTGGCGTCTACAGAGGGGAAGTTTGATGAGAAATGAGTGATTCCTCTTCAGAGGCACAAAAAGGCTTAACACAGGTGTGAGGTGCCATGAGGCAAAGGTGGGAATGGGGCATTTTCTGGAAGGCTGTATGTGGAGTGATTAGACAACCTCCCCTCTCCTCATGAAGCTAGGCAAGTGCCCTCCCAGAGCCCAGCTAGAGTGCAGTGGTGCAATCTTGGCTCACTGCAACCTCTACCTCCCAGGTTCAAGCGATTCTCCTGCCTCAGCCCCCTGAGTAGCTAGGACTATAGGTGCCCACCACCATGCCTCGCTAATGTTTTTTTTGTTGTTGTTGTTTTGTTTTTTTGTTTTTTTTTTGTTTGTTTTTGAGACAGAGTCTCACTCTGTCACCTAGGCCGGAGTGCAGTGGTGTGATCTCAGCTCACCACAACCTCCACCTCCTGGATTCAAGTGATTCTCCTGCCTCAGCCTCCTGAGTAGCTGTGATTACAGGTGCCCACCACCAGGCCCGGCTACTTTTGTATTTTTAGTAGAGATGGGGTTTCTCCATGTTGGCCAGGCTAGTCTAGAACTCCTGACCTCAAGTGATCCACCCGCCTCGGCCTCCCAAAGTGCTGGGATTACAGGCATGAGCCAGGGCACCTGGCTAATTTTTGTATTTTTAGCAGGGATGAGGTTTCACCATGTTGTTCAGGCTGGTCTGAAGTCCTGACCTCAAGTGATCTGCCTGCCTCAGCCTCCCCTGCTTGGGGCTACAAGCAGGAGCCATGGCGCCTGGCCTGGAGGTTTATTCTCTATGGAAACTGAACTTGAGAAGTTCAGGAGAATAATGATGAATGTGAGTGAGAATAGATGGGTAGAAGTTGAAAACAAGGAAATTAACTTGAAATCTGCACATTGAATAGTAGACTCTCAATACCCTCCCACAACGCTCTGCTTTAAGGAAGCTAGCAGTCAGGCTTACAATTCTCCCCATCCCTGGGGAGATTGGAAGCATCTTCTCTGGACTATGTGAATGAATCTAGAGAAAACATCTCAGGCACCAACATTTGCAGGACCCTTTGGCAATGAAGAAGTTGATGTACCGACTGATCTCCCTTTGGTGGGCCCTACAACTTATGCACAAGCTGACCCTGCAATTCGCTTCATGCTTGAATATGAATAATAGGCAAGACTGCCAGACATTTGTAGGTAGCTTTCAAAATGAAAGAGCACTAGAAAAAAAAAGTACAGAAAAAAATGGAACATGAAGAAAAAATACCAGGCTGAAAACAGAAAAAAAAATTAATTTTAATATTCTGTGGTGGGGGGAGTGAGGGTGTGTCTATTAAGGGATAGCATGAGGGAGATCTTTGTGGTGATGACACAGCCAGGTGGGAAGGGGTCCCCAAAGCAATCCCAACTGATCAGTGCACTGGAGTTCCGCCGTTTGCATCAGGGAGGAGCTTGGCCCCTCCTCTTCCTGGGTGGAACCTGGAATTCAATCTGTGACGCAGGAAGCACACTAGCAGGGACTCTAGATTTGTGGAGAGGCCCTGTTTCCCTTTTTTCCTTTTTGCCCAATGAATTCCATTATTCTCACCCTTCAAATTGTCTGTAAGCCTAATTTTTCATGGCCATGTGACAGGGACCTCGTCTTTAGCTGAACTAAGGAGAGAGTCCTACAACAGTGATGTGACATAGAACTATACATGTGCATTGCCCCAATGTCAATTTCCTGATTTTGATATTGCATTATAAGTATGTAAGATGTAACCATTGTGGGAAACTGGGTGAAGGGTACTTGCAGCCTCCCTGTACTATCTTTGTAAATTTGAATCTATAATTATTTAAAGACAAAAAGCTAAAACAATAAATACCCTCAGTACATTAAGATATTGCATCTAGAATAAGAACGGCTGTTGGATGTGGTTTGCTAATACTTTGTTGAGGATTTTTGTATCTATGTTCATCAGGGATATTGGTCTGTAGCTTTCTTTTTTGTTGTGTCTTTGTCAGATTTTGGTATCAGAGTGATGCTGGCTTTGTATAATGAGTTTGGGAGGAGTCTCTCTTCTTCCATTTTTTGGAATCGTTTCAGTAGGTTTGGTACCAGCTGTTTTTTGTATGTCTGGTACAATTCAGCTGTGAATCCAACTGGTCCAGGGCTCTTTTTGGTTCGTAGGTTTTTTATTAACTGATTCAATTTCAGAACTCAATATTCGTCTGTTCTGGTTTTGGTTTCTTCCTGCCTCAGTCTTGGAAGGTTGTGTGTTTATAGAAGTCTATTTCTTCTAGATTTTCTAGTTTGTGTACATAGAGATGTTCATAATAGTCTCTGAAGAGCCTTTGTATTTCTATGGGATTGGTTTTGATGTCACCTTTGAAATTTCTGATTGCACTTATTTGGATCTTATCTCTTTTTTTCTTTATTAATCTAGTAGTGGTCTATCGATCTTGTTTGTTCGTTAAAAGAACCAGCTTTTGGTTTTGTTGATCCTTTGTATGGATTTTGGGATACATGAAAAATAAAAAGAAATATTTCTTTGAGATTAAAAATGAGGCATTTCTAAAAAATGAGAGGGCTGAAATATTGAAGAAATCTCATGTACAATAGAAGCAAAGTTAAAGTGATAGAAAATATGAAAGAAAAGAAAATTACAGGATCAGTCTAAAAAGTCCTATAGGAACTAATAGAAGTATCATAAGGAGAAGTGAGAAAATAGGAGGAGAAAATTATCAAACAATAAAATGAGATCATTTCCTGTAATTGAAGGGCTTGAGTTCTAGGTGACAGGACTCACCAAGGGTCCAGCATAACAAATGACCAAAGACTGTCAAAACTTGCCATTATGAAATTGCAAAACACAAGAGGTAAAGATTCTAAAAGCTTCTAGAAACAACAACTCACAAAAGAGTGTGAGTCAGACCAATAGTAGACTGCTGAGTGGCAACATCAAAAGTTAGGAGATGATGGAGGCCTTTCTTCAAATTCTGAGTGACAATGATCTTCAGTCCAGAATTCTGGATTCGAATATACCACACACACTGATATTAGAATCAAGGCATTTTCTGACATACACATCCTCAAAACAATGCTCTCCCATTTACAAGTTATTGAGAAGTTACTGGAGGATGTGTTCCACTAAAACAAAGGAGTAAGCCAAGAAAGAGGAAGGTAAAATAAAAGGTCTAACACAGGACAATGGCATAAGCAAAGTCCTGAGATGACAGTGAAGGAAAGTGACAGGATAAAACTTGTATAGCCAACTTGGGAAGAAAACAGTCCAAGCTGAAGCAGGAGGACAGAGGACCCCAGAGAAAACACAAAAAGTAATTGATACAGTTGAGTATCTGGAAAATATTACTGATGAGTGTAAGACAATGATAAAAGAACACTAGGAAAAATTAGCCACTGGTGCATAAAGTATCACAGATGAAAACAAGAAAATGCTTATTCTTAGTAAAATGGAGGATTATATGATAAAGAGACCTGGTCATAGTTCACAAGTCACAGAAGGGGGATGATATTTGACTTCACCAAAAGCTGTGTCATAACTATACCAAGGTAATGTTAGGAGGGGAATTGGGAGTAAGAAATGGAATAGGTGAGATTTTTTTTCTACCATGACAGAAAGTCAATAAATACTACCTAAAATAGATAGAACAGAACATTTATAGTTTAAGCATATCAGTTGGAAATATGGAGGTAAATACCAGTAGAAAGAGCTAGAAATGTTGAGAGTGGTTACTGCTGGAACAGGACTTGGGGAGACAGGGCACATGGCTATGGATTTCACTATAAGCCTTTGGTTTTTTGTTTTTTGTTTGTTTGTTTTTGTGTGTGTGTGTGTGTTTTTGTTTTTGTTTTTGTTTTTGAGACAGAGTTTTGCTTTTGTTGCCCAGGCTGGGATACACTGGTGCTATCTTGGCTCACTGCAACCTCTGCCTTCTGGGTTCAGGCGATTCTCCTGCCTCAGCCTCCCAAGTAGCTGGGATTACAGGCGTGTGCCACCAGGCCAAGCTAATGTTTGCATTTTTAGTAGAGACAGGGTTTCACAATGTTGGTCAGGCTGGTCTCGAACTCCTGACCTCAGGTGATCCACCCCTCTCACCCTCCCAAAGTGCTGGGATTACAGGTGTGAGACACTATGCCCATATATTTTTTTTAAGTTTTAAAACTATGGATCTATATATGTTGAAAAAATTAATATTGATAATGTCACCAAAATCTGTATAAGTATTGTGTGTAATTAAAATTAATAAAATAAAAATTAAAATCACTTAAAATAAAAATGAAGTAAAACCTAATGTGTTAGTTCATTTTTGCATTGCTGTAAAGAAATCCTGGAGACTCGGTAATTTATAATGAAAAGAGATTTAATAGGCTCGCACGTCCGTCTGCAGGCTGTACAGGAAGCATGGTACCAGCATCTCCTCCCGGAGAGGGCCTCAGGAAGCTTCCAATCATGGTGGAAGGTGAAGGGGGAGCAGGCATGTCATATGGCAAGAGAGGAAGCAAGAAAGAGAGGGGGAGGACATACCATATTCTTTTAAACAACAGATCTTGCTTGAACTCAGAGCAAGAACATGCTCATTACCATGAGGAGAGCACCAAGCCATTCATAAGGAATCTTCCCCCATAACCCAAACACCTCCCACCAGGCCCCATCTTCAACATTGGGGACCATCCAAACCATATTCCCTCAATTACTCAAAATTAATTTTCACCGGAACTTCAATAAACATTCTTTTTATCTCTGTATGTGAAATATAAAGGAATGATAGAAATTAAGGCCAACCAGCTAATCCAAGAGATGGCATTTTTAAACAGCAATTTCCTGAAGAATCTTGTGGG
This sequence comes from Homo sapiens, assembly GCF_000001405.40. NCBI lineage: Eukaryota > Metazoa > Chordata > Mammalia > Primates > Hominidae > Homo > Homo sapiens. Next base: position 46,308,344 of record NC_000013.11, on the reverse strand, counting down.
ATTGCCAGTCCAGCTTCCCCTGTCTTCTCTATTGTATTAAATCTATGTCAATCTTCAATAAGATTATTTTTAACATTTTCAGTCATCAAGAAAACTCCAACTACGTTAAATCTATTTACTTCAGAGAATAGACCAATACATTTAAGACTTTAAAAATATCAATAGTTGATATACAAAAGGACAGGGGCCATATCTATCTTATGTGTTTCTGTAATCGCAGGTCTAGAACTGTGCCTGGTGCATAGTAAATACTCAATAAATTCTCACTGGGTGAATGATTATTATGAACCAAGGAAGTCATTTGACCAGAAGATCCTATTCTCTTTGCATTCCGCTTCCTCAGAATTTTAACAAGTGCACCAAAGTGACATTCCATATTTCTGACTTCAATATGGGTATGGTTTTTGCCAATTAAAGAAATTATTTCATATTTAAAGATTACAATAAATAAACCACTAATCTGTCAATCTTCAAAGTCTGCCTGAAAATAAGATTAGTTTCTCTTGCATATGCATTGCCCAAGTTTCATGCTACAGAAATCCGCTCTCCACAGCCCTGCAAGTGTGAGTCAGTGGAGCACCAGCCACATCTTGTGGCATGCCATGCTTATTTTCTGGCATCTGCTGATCTGATGAGAAAGGGAACCTGACCTGAGGGAAGGCAATCCACTGGCCAGCCAGCAACCTCTGGTGCATTAAAATGAACTGGGGTAGTGAAGTGCTCTGTCTTGAAAACTTGGACTTAGATAAGGAGAAATGTAGTCAATTTGTGCTAGTGACAAACACAGAAAAGGTCACAGGACAAACACTGAAAAGAATAGAGTAGGGACGTTAAGAAGAAATGGCTGTGTTCCAGCCAAAGTTACAAAGAAGCGGAAACTGAGTAAGTAGAACAGTTGGTACTAGGACAAGAATAAAAGAACCCAGTTGGTAGATAAAGTCATACCAAAACTAGAGCCCTAGAGGGTAGAATGCCAAGGTGTAGGAATGTCTGAGTGGCAGCTCAAGTCCCTAGAGCAGCCACAGATCTAGAAACCCTCTCTCGATCCAGTCCCTATAACGGCTTTTGTTTCAAAATTTCAGAGACAGTTAATCTTCCCTATTATTTGTATCTTCATATAAATTCCCTTAACTTAAAGCTATCTTGAAGAGTTTATGTTGCTTGCAACCAAATGAGTCTCACCAGAAGTAACTTGGAATACGTTATTGAGACTGTGTCATTTTGATGTTGACAAAGATATTTTTGTTATGGGCTTCATACAAATAGAAAAGGATAGCAAATGCAAATGCATATGCAGATAATATTGTCGTATAAAGAGGACAGCCAGTACAGAAAGTATTGATTTCCCTAGGCAAGTGAATGGTAGGTATTCTCTTTCTATATCACAGGAAATTACATAGATTCTCTCCTAGGATGAGGGAGATATACACTCTATCACTGTTGACTCCAGGTACCTGGCATAATGCCTCACACATATTAGTTCCTCAATAAATAGTTGGGGAATGAGTGAATTCTGGTGTGTCCTGACTGCATGTTATGAGAAAACAGATGCAGCAATATTTTATTTGTTGAAAAGAAAGAAAGTGGGCCAGGCATGGTGGCTCATGCCTGTAATCCCAGGAGTTTGGGAGGCTGAGGTGGGTGGATCACCTGAGGTCAGGAGTTCGAGACCAGCCTGGCCAACATGGCAAAACCCCGTCTCTACTAAAAATACAAAAATAAAAATTAGCCAGGAGTGGTGGCAGGTGCCTGTAATCCCAGCTACTCGGAAGGCTGAGGCAGGAGAATCGCTTGAACCCGGGAGGCAGAGATTGCAGTGAGCTGAGATCACGCCATTGCACTCTAGCCTGGGCGACAAGAGTGAAACTCTGCCTCAAAAAAAAAAAAAAAAAGAAAGAAAGAAAGAAAGTAAAAATTCACATATAGGCTGGGTGTGGTGGCTCATGCCTGTACTCCCAGCACTTTGGGAGGCCAAGGTGGGAGGATTGCTTGAGCCCAGTAGTTTGAGGCTACAGAGAGCTATGATTGCACCACTGCACTTCAACCTGGGTGATAGAGCAAGATCCTGTCTCAAAAAACCACCACCCCCCCAAAAAAAGGATATTTGTCAGGAGACATTGCAATGGTTGCTCATTAATTCATTATTTATTTATGAAGCACTTTATGCTGGTACTGTGTTTGAGGCTAGGGCTAGAGAGCAAAAAAGACGCCAATGATTCCTGTCCTCAAGGAGCCTATAACCAGTAGGTATCACAGAAATTGAATAAATGATTACACGGGCTCTGAGTATGCAAAGGAATGAACAAGGTGCCACAGAAGCATCAAAAGGGGAAGTTCGAATCCAGTCAGGAGATAAGGGAACTTTTTAAAAAAAAATTTTGTGGGTACATACCCCATAGCAAGTGTATATATTTATGGGGTACATGAGATATTTTGGTACAGGCATAACAATGCATAGTAATCACATCATAGAAAATGGAGTATCCATCCCTTCAAGTATCTATCCTTGGTGTTACAAACAATCCAGTTATATTCTTTCAGTTATTTTTTAATATACAATTAAATTATTATCGACTATAGTCTCTCTGTTGTGATGTCAGGTACTAGGTTGTATTATTTCTATTTTTTGTACCTATTAACTATCCCCACCTCCCCCCAACCTCCCCACCGCCCTTCCCAGCCTCTGGTTACCATCATTCTATTCTCTATTCCATGAGTTCAATTGTTTTCATTTTTATATCCCACAAGTAAATGAGAATATGTGATGTTTGTCTTTCTGTGCCTGACATTTCACTTAACATAGTGACCTCCAGTTCCATCCATGTTGTTGCAAATGACAGAATCTCATTCTTTCTATGGCTGAATAGTACTCCATTCTTTTGTATGGCTGAATAGTACTTTATTTTCTTTATCGACTCATCTGTTGATGGACACTTAGGTTGCTTCCAAGTCTTGGCTATTGTGAACAGTGCTGCAACAACACATGGGAATGCAGATGTGCCTTTGATATACTGATTTCCATTCTTTTGGGTATGTACCCAGCAGTAGGATTACTGGATTGTATGGTAGCTGTATTTTTAGTTTTCTGAGGAACCTCCAAACTGTTCTCCATAATGATTGTACTAATTTACATTCCCACCAACAGTGTACAAGGGTCATGGAATGTTTCCTTGAGGAAGTTATGTTTAAGCTGAATAAAAAAAAATTAGTTAACTGAGGTCAGGCATGGTGGTTCACACATGTAATCCCAGCAGTTTCGGAGGCCACGGTATGTAGATCGCTTGAGCTCAGGGGTTAGAGACCAGTCTGGGCAAGATGGCAAATCTCCATCTCCACGGAAAAAAAAAAAAAAAATTTAGCCGAGCATGGTGCATACCTTAGTTCCAGCTACTCTGGAGACAGAGGTGAGAAGACAGCTTGAGCCCAGGAGATAGAGGTTACAGTGAGCCGAGATCACACCACTGCACTCCAGCCTGGCCAAAAAACAAACAAACTCCAACAAAAAAAGAAAATTAGTTAGTGGAGGCATGATTCCAGCATGTGTAAAGGTCCGGAAACTGGAAAAGTGTGGCCCATGTGAGGAACTGGAAGAAAACCAGAAAGATGCAGTCACAGACTGTGAGATGAGAGTGGCATGAGATGAGGCCAGATGAGGCCGAGCTGGAACCAGACCAATCATGCTGAGAAAAGGTGTTGGAAACCCACTGAATAACTTTTTACAACATAAACTGTATTTTATTAAGTATTTAAAAACATTTTATTCAAAAGACATGTTTATTTATTTTTAATTAACACATAATAATTGTACATACTTATGGAGTACCTAGTGATATTTTGATATATATGATGTGTAGTGATTAGATCAGAGTAAGTAGCATATCTGTTATTTCAAACATTTATGACTTATTTGCATTGGGAACATTCAAAATCCTGTCTTCTAGCTATTTGAAAATATGTAACATATGTTAACTAGAGTCATCCTATACTGCTGTAAAACGCTAGAACTTGTTCCTCCTATCTGGCTATAATTTCACGTTCTTTAACAAGTCTCTCCCTCTCCCCCTCTTTTCTTTCCTCTAGTAACCTCTGTTCTGCTTTTTACATCTGTGAGATCAACTTTTTTTCAGCTTCCACATAAGAGTGAGAAATACCACATATGACTGTGGTATTTAACTTTCTGTTTCTGGCTTATTTTATTTAACATAATGTCCTCCAGTTCCGTCCATGTTGCCACAAAGGACTGGATCTCATTCTTCTTATGGCTGAATGTATTCCATTACGTATATATGCCACATTTTCTTTATCCATTCATCTGCTGTTGTACATCTAGGTCGATTCCATATCTTGGCTACTGTGAATAGTGCTGCAATAAACATGGGGGTGCAGATGTCTCATCAGTATACTAACTTCCTTTCCTTCGGTTAAATACCCAGTAGCGAGACTGCTGGATCATATGTTAGTTCTGTTTGAAGTTTTTTGAGGAATCTCCATACTGTTCTCCATAGTGGCTGGACAAGTTTGCATTCCTGCTGACAGTGTATATGAGTTCCCTTTTCTCCTCATCCTTACCAGCATTTGTTATCTTTTGTCTTTTTGATAATAGCTATTCTAACTGGGTGAGATGATACTTCACTGGGTTTGATTTGCATTTCCCTAATCAGAGGAATTAAACTAATTAAATTAGTTAAACTTTTTTTTTTAACAAATTTGTTGGCCATTTGTATGTCTTCTTTTGAGCAATGTCTATTGAGATCATTTGCTCATTTATTGATTAGATTGTTTAAGGGATTTTTGTTGCTGAGATGTTTGAGTTCCTTATATATTCTGGATATGAATCCCCTGTTGATGAATAGTTTGCAAATATTGTATCCCATTTTGTAGGCTGTCTCTTCACTGTTGATTATTTCCTTTGCCATGTAGAAGATTTTTAGTATGATATAATCTCAGATGTTTATTCTTGTTTTTGTTGACTGTGCTTTTGAAGTCTTATTTATACAATCTTTACCCAGACCAATGTCCTGAAGTGTTTCTCCATTGTTTTCTTCTATAAGTTTTATAGTTTCAGGTCTTCCATTTAGGTCTTTGATCTATTTTGAGTTGATATTTATATAGGGTGAGAGGTGGGACCCTAATCTTTTTCCATCTGCATATGGAAATTCTGTTTTCCCAGCACCATTTATTGAAGAGACTGTCTTTCTCCAGTGAATATTTTTGGCGCTTTCCTCAACAATCAGCTGGCTGTAGATATGTGGATTAATTTCTAGGTTCTCTATTCTGTTCCACTGGTCTCTCTGGTTTTATGCCAGTACCATGCTGTTTTGGCCACTATAGTTTTGTAGTATTTTTTAGTGTCTGGTAGTGTGATATCTCCAGCTTTGTACATTTTGTTAAGGATTGCTTTGGTTATTCAGGGTCTTTTGTGGTTCCATATACATTTTAGAATTATTTTTTCTATTTCTGTGAAGAATGTCATTGGCATTTTAATAGAGATTGCATTGTATCTGTAGATTTGGGTAGTATGGTCATTTTAGCAATAATAATTCTTCTAATCCATGAACATGGAATGTCTTCCCATTTTTTAAATGTTCTCTTCAATTTCTTTCATAAGTATTTTATAATTTTTCTTATAGAGATCTCTCATTTCATTGGTTAAATTTATTCTGAGGTATTTGATTTTCTTTGTAGTTATTGTAAATGGGATTGCTGTCTTGATTTCTTTTTCAGGTAGTTTGTTGTTTGTGTATAGAAGTACTAGTGGATTTTGTATGTTGATTTTTGTATGCTACACTTTCACTGAATTTGCTTATCATTTCCAAAATTTTTTTTTGGTAGGCTCTCTAGGTTGTTAAATATATAAGACTATATCATCTGGAAATAAGGGTAATTTGACTCTCTCATTTCCAGTCTGAATGCCTTTTATTTCCTTTTCTTGCCTAATTGCTTTAGCTAGAACTTCCAGTACTATATTGAATAAGAGTGGTGAGAGTGAGCATCCTTGTCTTGTTCCAGTGCTTAGAGGAAAGCTTTCAATTTTTCTCCATTCAGTATGATGTTAGCTGTGGGTATATTATATACAGCCTTTATTGTTTTAAGGTACTTTCCTTCTATACTTAATTTACTAAATTTTTATTATAAAGCGATGTTGAATTTTATCAAATGCTTTTTCTGCATCTATTGAGATGGCCATATGGTTTTTGCCCTTCATTGTGTTGCTGTAATTTATCACATTTATTGAGCTCAATCAACATTTGCACATGTTGGTGGGGCACAGCGGCTCATGCCTGTAATTCCAGTGCTTTGGGAGGCCAAGGTGGGTGGATCACTTTGAGGTCAGGAGTTTGAGACCAGCCTGGCCAACATGGTGAAACCCAACCCCATCTCTACCAAAAAATACAAAAATTAGCCAGGTGTGGTGGCAGGCACCTGTAGTCCCAGCTACTTGGGGGGCTGAGGTGGGAAGATCCCTTGAATCCAGGAGGAAGAGATTTCAGTGAGCCAAGATCGTGCCACTGAACTCCAGCCTGGGTGAACAGAGTGAGAGCCTGTCTCAAAAAAAAAAAGGTCAACATTTACATATGTTGAACCATCCTTGCATCCCTGGAATAAATGCCCCACTTGGTCATGGTGTATGATGTTTTTGACATGCTGCTAGATTCAGCCTGATAGTATTATGTTCAAAATTTTTGCATCTATGTTCATTATGGACACTGGTCTGTAGTTTTTGTTGTGTCCTTACCTAGTTTTGGTATCAGAGTTATGTTTGCGTTTTAGAATGAGTTTGGAAGAATTTTCTGCCTTTCAATTTTTTAAAATAGTTTGAGAAGAAGCAGTCTTAAGTCTTCTTTAAAAGTCTGGCAGAATTCAGCTGTGAAGCCATCCAGTCCTGGACTTTTCTTTTTAAGGAGACTTTTTATTGCTGATACAATATTGTTACTCATTATTGGTATGTTCAGACTTTCTATTTCTTCTTGGCTCAATTTTGATAGGTTATATATGTCCAGGAATTTCTATATTTCCTCTAGGTTTTAAAATTTATTAGCATATAGTTGTTCATAGTAGTCTCCAATGACCATTTGTATTTCTGTGGTATCAGTTGTGATGTCTACTTTTCTGATCTTGTTTATTTGGGTCTTCTTTCTTTTTTTCATAGTTTATCTAGCTAATGGCTTGCCAATTTTGTTTATCTTTTTTAAAAATCAGATTTTTGTTTCATTTTTCTTTTGTATTATTTTTATGTCTCAATTTTATTTCTGCTCTGATCTTCATTATTGCTTTCCTTATAATTTAAAGTTTGATTTGTTCTTGCTTTTCTTTGAGATGCATCATTAGTTTTTTTTTAATTTGAAATCTTTCTACTTTTTTCTTTTTTTTGAGACAGAGTCTTGCTCTGTTGCCCAGGCTAGAGTGCAATGGTGCGATCCTGGCTCACTGCAACCTCTGCTTCCTGGGTTCAAGCAATTCTCCTGCCTCAGCCTCCTGAGTAGCTGGGATTACAGGCATACACCACCACACTGGCTGGTTTTTGTATTTTCAGTAGAGACAGGGTTTTGTCATGTTGGTCAGGCTGGTCTCCATCTCTTGACCTCAGTTGATCCACCCGCCTTGGCCTCCCAAACTGCTTGGATTATAAGCATGAACCACTGCACCTGGCTTCTTTCTACTTTTTTGATGTAGCTATTTACTGCTATAAACTTGCCTCTTAATCCTGCTTTTGTTGCCTCCCATTTGTTTTGACAGGTTATGTTGCTATTTTCATTTATTGCAAGAATTTAAAAAGTTCTCTTTTTAATTTCTTTCTTTACTCATTGGTCATTCAGGAGCATGTTGTTTAATTTTCATGTATTTGTATAGTTTCAAATGTTCCTCTTGTTATTGATGTGTAGTTTTATTCCAGTAGTCAGAAAAGATACTTGATATGACTTCAATTTTTTAAAAATTTAAACTTGTTTTGTTTCCAAACACATGGAATATTCCAACTATTCCATGTGCTGATGGAAAAAATGTGTCTTATTTAGCTATTGGGTGAAATATTCTGTAAATGTCTGCTAGGTCCATTTGATCTATGATGCTATTTAATTCCAATGTTTTTTTGTTAAATTTTGTCTAGATGATATGTCTAATGCTGTGAGATGTTATAATGCACAGCTACTGTTGTATTGGAGTCTGAATCTCCCTTTAGATCTAATAATTTGCTTTATATATCTAGACTATCCAGTATTGACTGCATATATATACAGTTGTTATATGTCCTTGCTGAATTGATCCCTGTATTATTATATAATGTCCCTTGTTTCTGTTTATAGCTTTTGAATTAAAGTTTGTTTTATCTGACATAGGCATGGCTACTCCTCCTTGCTTTTGGTTTCCATTTTCATGACATATCTTTTTCTATCCCTTCACATAAAGCTTGTATTTACAGGTGAAGTGAGTGTCTTGTAGGCAGCATATAGTTGGGTCTTACTTTTTTTTCAATTTGGCCAACCTATGTCTTTTAACTGAGTAATTTAATACATTTACATTCACAGTTATTATTGATAGGTAAAGACTTACTCTTATCATTTTATAGATTGTTTTCTGGTTGTTTTGCATATTACTTATTCCTTACTTCTTCTCATTGTTTATTTTTGCAGTTTGGTCATTTTCTGTAGTGATAAAGTTTGATTCCTTTTTTTCTCTCCTTTGTGACTACTGAATGAGTTTTAAGCAGGGCAATAATGTGATTAATTTTACATTTTGGAAAGCTGACTTTTGTTTTTTGTTTTTTGTTTTTGTTTTTTTTTTTAGATGGAGTCTCACTCTGTCATCGAGGCTGGAGTGCAGTGGCGTGATCTCGACTCACTGCAAGCTCCACTTCCTGGGTTCACACAATTCTCCTGCCTCAGCCTCCCGAGTAGCTGGGACTACAGGTGCCCGCCATCACGCCCGGCTAATTTTTTGTATTTTTAGTAGAGACAGGTTTTCACCATGTAGAGACAGGAGATCAAGCCAGGATGGTCTCGATCTCCTGACCTCGTGATCTGCCCACCTCAGCCTCCCAAAGTGCTGGGATTACAGGCATGAGCCACCATGCCCAGCCCTGACTTTTGTAGAATTATATAGCAAGCTAGCTAGAGTGGGGGAAGAGTTGATGTATATGGCCATACCACTTAGTAAATTATCACAATTGTCCAGATGAGAGATAATGATGGCCTGGAATGGAATAGTGGCAGTGGAACCAGAGACATTGGAGAGACATGTAAGAGGTGGAGGTAGAACTGACAGGACTTTGTAAGTTATTGGAAGTGGAGTGTGGCTATGAAAACATAAAACACTTGAACCATTCAACTTAATCCATATCCTGTATGTGTGTGTGTGTGTGTGTTGGAGGAGGTGGGTATGCTCTCAGCAATAAGAAATCTATTTGCCTGGGGGTAAACAATGCTACTGTCATTGACTTCATAATAGCTGTAGTTTCTGCTTTGCTTTTTGAGATAAAGCAGTCCTGACTGGGCCATGAGGCTATTGAGGTAAAAACTTTGTTGTACTTACTAATAGAAAGAAGAATGCACTACTAATTAGAGAAATGCGAATCAAAACAACAATGAGATGTCATCTCACACTGGTCAGATTGGCTATTATCAATAAGTCAAAAAATAACAGATGCTGGTGAGGTTGCAGAGAAAAGGGAATTCTTATATACTCTTGGTGGGAGTGTTAATTAGTTCAACCATTGTGGAAACCAGTGTGGTGATTGCTCAAAGAGCTAAAAACAGAGCTACAATTTGACCCAGCAATTCCATTACTGGGTATATACCCAAAGGAATACAAATTGTTCTACCAGCATTTGTTCGGTTAGGTTGCAGTAACAAACAATTCCAAAATCTCAGGGACAATGACAAAGGATTATTTTTTGCTTACAATATATGTCAGCTAGGGTTGACTATAGCTCTGCTCTACATGTCTTCTTCATTCTGGTTTACAGGCTGAAAGATTCACCCCTACCTAGGACACCCCCTTCCTTCCCCTCCCTGCCCCCACATTTTTTAAGAGAAGAAAAAAAGCCATGGCTGAACTATGCAATGATTTTTGTTGTTGTTGTTGTTGTTGAGATGGAGTCTTGCTCTGTCGCCCAGGCTGGAGTGCAGTAGCGCACTCTTGGATCACTGCAACCCCCACCCCCTGGGTTCAAGCAATTCTTCTGCCTCAGTCTCCCTAGTAGCTGGGACTACAGGCGTGCGCTACCACACCCAGTTAATTTTTGTATTTTTAGTAGAGAGAGGGTTTCACCGTGTTGGCCAGGCTGGTCTTGAACTCCTGACCTCAAGTGATCTGCCCGCCTTGGCCTCCCAAAGTGCTGGGATTACAGGCGTGAATGACTTCCAAAACTTCTGCTGAGACATGGTATAAGCCATCTGCTCACATTCCATTAACCAAGGCAAGTCCCTGGACCCAAGTCTGATGTCAATAGTGGGAAGAAATGTATTCCACAGGAAGGCCCATGGCAGTAGACCTGGATGTATAATTTTCTTGCAGGGAGAGTGTAAATAATCTGGAAGAAATACTGCAGTCTATCACAGATCCCAAAGATAGTTTCATCATTTGTATTTTTACAAATACTTACTGGATACTATTCCTTTCTGTGAGGCAAGAACAACCAGCTGTCATTCTCTAAAAATTTTCAGATATTAAGCACATATTCACCTCTGAACTTTAATGTTTTTTCTACATCAGCATTATTCAGAATCTCATCCAGGAACTATTTGCTAACAATCTGCAATGAGATAAGAAGATTATGCCAGGAAGTAAATCAACACACTGCTTCCTTCACCACGAAAGCCTTGCTACAAAAAATCAAATGGCAGCAGTACTGAACAGTGCACTTACTGATGTAGTTGGTTAACATTTTGGCTTAAGCTCCTTATCTTGTCATGGACAGGTACCGAATACTCTGGACTGACAGAGGTCGACAAACTATGCTCTGAGTGGCACTGTTCTGCAGCAAAGTGGTTTTACCCATAAGACCATTCAATTATAGAATTTTAGAACTGAAAGATGTCTTAGACACCATCTAGTCCAAGTTCCTGGTTTCACAGCCGAGGATCCTTAGAACCTGAAAGTTTTAGCAAACTTCCCAAAGCCACTTAGTGGTTGTGATGCAATATGAAGTAAAGGCCAACTGTCCTGACTCTTTCCAATCACCACCATGCCCTGAAATTCCTGAAGGAAGCAGAATTTCCTCTGAGGTTTCTGCTGAGTCATATGCAGGCTCCATCTGATGTAGAGATTCAGTAGAAGGGGCCAGGTTGCCTCCTGATGGGGGCAGCGTGTGGAGGATGAGCCTGGGCTTACTTGGCAGACAGATCTGGTCATGTTCCAGCTCTATCTCCTACTTGCAGAATGTCTTCGGGAAAATTACCTACATTCTCAAAGCCTCAGATTCTTGCTTTGTCAACATTCCTTGAAGATTGCTAAACTGAAGACTCTGGTGTTCCCTTTTGTGATAGGGAGAATAATAGCCCCCCAAAGATATCTACATCCTAATCCTTGGAACCTGTGACTATGTTATGTCACATGGCAATGGGAGACTTGAGGTTCCAGACTGAATTAAGGTTGATAATCAGCTGACCTTGAGATGGTGAGACTATCTGGGATCATCTGGGTGGGTCCAATGTCATCACAATGTTCCTTATAAGAGAGAGGCAGGAGAGAAAGAATCAGAAAGGCGGCAGCATGAGGAAGGCTCAGCCTGACATTGCTGGCTTAGAAGATGGAGGAGTGAGGCCATGAGCGAAGGAATGCAGGAAGCCTCTAGAAGCTGGAACACACCCCTGCTGACACCTGGACTTGTACCTAGTGAAACCCATTTCAGACTTCAGACCTCCAAAACTGTGCAGTAATAAAGCTGTTTTGTTTTAAGCCACTGATTTGTGGTAATTTGTTAGAGCAGCAATAGGAAAGGAATTCACCATTCATCTGAACATTGCTATTGCCTCCCTAGAGCAACTGTTACATCATCTTTTGGAAGATACAGCTTTTTTGAAGACACGTTTTATAGTGGTATTATTTGGCAGAATCTGCTCTAACACAAGCTAGCCAAGGCAGGAAGTCTGCTTCTTTAGAGGGCATAGTTTCTCTCTTGCTGTTTCTCAATCCTTTTTAGCTGTTTTAGTCATAGCTGGTCAAAAACAATGGTTTGCATTTAGGGGTCATTGCACTTGGGAATTTAAATGTACTCTAAAATAGCTGATAATCGGATTTTTTCCTCTTGCTTGATCATCAGTTTTAGTTAGAGCTGCAGTCTTTCTAACAGTGCTGCCCTTTTGCACTGTGTCAGACACTATTTGCCAGGGAAGAATTGAGGTTACATGGTGCCTGGCAGTGGTGGCAGACAGTTTGTGGTCTCCACACCTTGCAACACTGATCATCCTGTTTGATGCAACTCTTTGACGCAGTGTGAAAGGCGTTGCAGCAGGAGGAGGCGTCTCTGTTTGACCTATTTCCTTATATTTGAGCACAGATGTTGGGATTTGAATGCTTGATAATCAGATATACACTAAGTTGCATAAAATTCTCAGCATGCACTGACACAATAACACCGGTGATGAATTTGTTAGAAGAAGAGAAAAAGCACAGAGTGAGGCTCAAAGCAGCTTTGACACATACATACCCACATGCTTCCCATCACGTGTTCTGGACTCAGCTTCTCTTGATAACACAGGTGCTAGCGCTGAAGCTCTGGCTGTTGAGAAGAGGAACAGAGCAAGCTTCTTTCTGGTTCCTCAGAGTAAAGAAGCTGTTCCTTTTTCTGGAACAAACCATAGAAGTGTGGGAGGGTCTGACACTTGTAGATTTTCCCTTTTCTAGGTTTTTCTTTCCTTTTAAAAATAAAATAGCTAAGTCCAGTTCCAGGAAAAATAGTGAAGCATTTCCTCTATTTATTTAGGATTTATGCCATGCTTACTGCCTACAAAACTCAGAAGGACTAGAAAATTGAACCATTGGAAAACAGAGAATTTAAAACAAAGACAATTAAAATAACCACAAGAAGACACCATTTTCCCATATGAAAGTATTAAATATTTCAGAAGACAATTCTCAATGTCTCGATGATTGTGTAGTGGGAAGAACAAGTGTGTAGCCTGCCAGGAATGTACACTAGCAGGAACACAGTTTTCAGAAAACAAATTGGCTTCTCGTATGAAAAGCCTTAAACATGCTTACATTTATAACCTTGAAATTACACTGTGTGGAATCCACTCTTTTTTTTTTTTTTGAGACGGAGTTTCACTCTTTTGCCCAGGCTGGAGTGCAGTGGTGCGATCTTGGCTCACTGCAACCTCTGCCTTCTGGTTTCAAGCAATTCTCCTGCCTCAGCCTCCTAAGCAGCCGGGATTACAGGTGCCCACCACCACACCCAGCTAATTTTTGTATTTTTAGTAGAGACGGGGTTTCACCATATTGGCCAGGCTGGTCTCGAACTACTGACCGATCGACCCGCCTTGGCCTCCCAAAGTGCTGGGTTTACAGGCGTGAGCCACCGTGCCCAGCCAGAATCCACTTTTTCTTAACTCTACTTGCTTCAGTTTACTGACCTATAAAACAGAGATATTAATAGGAACCATTTCATAAAGTGATGTGAGAATTAGATCATGGATAACTGGCACAGTGTGTGCCCGACAAATGTAAGACATCATTATTAATAAAAAAGTAAAAATATTTTTAGGCAAAAATTATTACAGCATCATGGCATAGAAATTTAGGGCACTGATAGCTCGGTGTTCTGGAGTGAACCTGCAGCCCAGGTTCCTGGGGTTTTGAGGTCCTTGGGTACACACTGTGAAAAAGTACCCACTTGTTACTGTTGCACCTTGAGTTCCTGTTGTTTCAAAAAGACCCAGAAAGAAGCTCAGCCTCTGCAAAACAAAAAACTGGTTGAATCGGGAGATGCCTGCTGTGTTGGAGATGAAATTTGGGGAACTCTCCTCATTCCCATACTAAAAAAACCTGCCCAGGGAGAAGCCTGTTTGCCACTTTCTAAACATGCAATGTTATTTATTTTATTTTATTTTATTTTATTTTATTTTATTTTATTTTATTTTATTTTATTATTTTATTTTATTTTATTTTATTTTATTTTATTTTATTTTATTTGAGATGGAGTCTCACTCTGTCACCCAGGCTGGAGTGCACTGGCGTGATCTCGGGTCACTGCAACCTCCACCTCCCAGGTTCAAGCGATTCTCCTGCCTCAGCCTCCCAAGTAGCTGGGACTATAGGCATGCGCCACCACATCCAGCTTTAATAGAGATGAAGTTTCACCATGTTGGCCAGTCTGGTCTCGAACTCCTGACATCAAGTGCTCCGCCTGCCTCAGCCTCCCAAAGTGCTAGGATTACAGGTTTGAGCCACCACGTCCAGCCACATGCAATATATGTAGAAGCATGAACAGTGACTGCACCTGTGTGGCCTAGACTCCCCCTTTACTTACAGTGACTCAGCTATCCAGCCCAATTAAAGCCCCGTTTTCACCTTTGTTATGAAAGGTACTGTTTTGGGGAACTATCCCGGGTGTCTTCCTTACTTGTTGCAAGTAATAAAATCCCCTTGTTAAATCCTCCTTGGTTGTGGTCATTGGATGGCCACCCACCAAGTGATCATACCTGCCCATTGTGTGGGTAACAAACATAAAACCATTTGAAAAGAGCTCTGGCTGTCTTGTGAGCTTTCCACCCACCCACTTCCCATTAAGCTCTGGAATAGGTCTCTTAAGACGTCTGAAAGTTATGTAAATTGGAGATCACAATTTAGTTCAGAGTTATAAGAACAGTTAAGGACATCTTTGATATAGGAAAACTCCACGTGTTATTTTTATGGATTGCTTTGGGGGCATACAGTGTGCTTCTGAGGGAACATTCTAGGGTGGACTCTGTTACCTGGAATTGTGTGGTTAGTGTGGGCTTATCAGCCTTCACAGTGGGCTTTCTTGTAGAACTAGGATCTGAGTCTATTTGAAAGTTTTCAAGGGCTTTGAAAATGGAAGCTTCTTGGTTCTTAAGGAAAGGGGGTCCAGATTGTTTTGGGCTAGCCATGATTGGGCTGTGGTGTAGATGAGCAACTCAAGCTCTATTGTGAATGAAAAGAGAATACAGCTGTTTAGGAAAGCTGTGAGAAGGGCATGCAATGGAACCCATAGGATAGAGAGGAGGGAGATGCACCAGTGGTTGTGGGATGGAGACCTAGTTTTCTGACACCTGAGTGAGAGGGAATTGTCAGAATGGGGAAAGAGGCTGTCCATGCAGTGCAGGAGTGGGTCAGGGTGTTGGGAAGGGCAGACTCATAGGAAGCCTAATGCAGGGTCCCCCTCTCACACGCCCAGGAGCTGCCTTGAGTAGTGTGTTCGTGGCTGACCACCCAGCCTTCACGCATGTGGAGATCTCCCTCTCCTCCTCCACCCTATACATGAACCTCGGCTCCACCCAGCCCTCTGCCTCACCAGTTGACTGACTAGCAAAAGTGACCCCAAGCAATGCCACAAGGCATGCTTCTGCCCAGCCTTCCTCATGTGGACAACTTCCCAAGATATCTACAAACCCAAAGGGGGCCCTCATAGCTTAGTGTTCTCAGAGTTCCCTGTCCTGTGCTTGGGGCAGGAATCCTAGTGAAATGAGCAAAATTTAGACCCTCAAGTTGGGACAGTGCTTAACAGCATTCCGTCACCTTTTTAAGGTAATACTGTTTTCCCCTTTTTTTTTTTTTTTTTTTTTTTTTAGAGCCAGGGTCTCCCTCTGTCATGTAGGCTAGAGTGCAGTGGCACAATCACAGCTCACTGCAGCCTCTACCTCCTGGGCTCAAGCAATTCTCCTGCCTCAGCCTCCCAAGTAGCTGGGACCACAGGCCTGTACCACTATACCTGGCTATTTTTTTATTATTATTTTTTGTAGAGACAGGGTCTTGCTTTGTTGCCCAGGCTGGTTTCGAACCCCTGGTCAAGCAATTCCCCTGCTTTGGCCTCTCAGAATGCTGGGATTACAGGCTTAAACCACTGCAGCTGGCCTTGTTTTCATACTTTTAAACTTATTTGTCTTACACAGGACATCTTTTACACTTGTGTCCGCTGAAGACTACAAATAGCGGTAATTCCATTTGCCCTGTATAGAGTGGGGGACAAGGAGATAAACCTAATAGTGATGATGATAAACACCTGTAGCATCATCATGAGAGGAATTCAGGTGGAATCAAAATACAAGAACAGTTAAGAGTTCTTTGAGCTTTGACAAAAGGAATACCATAGATCATTTCCGAGTCTCTTTTTGGTGTATTGCCAAACAGAAAAGGAAAATAAAATTGTAAAGTTCCAATTAGGCAATTTGTTCTGTGATGCCTGATGTTACAGAGAAATGCCCTTGTCAGAATGCCGTTTCAAGGATAATCTATCATCATGCTTTCTGGGCTAAGAGAATGCCCAGTTAATGTCAGTGGGAAATCTGGTGTCCCAGCAGATATTTCCAATTAGATAATGACTTTGTGAAACTGTCTGTAGCTGGCCCAGGCCTTACGGAGACTATTGATCTGCTTGTTGAGCCAAATTTTGCATTACTATAAATTACTTGGGTAATGCTTACATCTTATTACCTCACTCCTAAATTAAAAGTGTCTGACAGAAGCAAGAGTGACCCAGGGATCAAAAAGTACAATTGGTGTGCATCTCTTTTTAGTTAAAAAAAAAAAAAAAGAATACAACCCATAAGCTATATGCAATTGAGCTAGAGAAAAGTACAGGAAGAAAATCAAACTGACTTATTTGTACAGTTTCAGGTAAGCCCATGGTTCTCACTAAGCTTTTTATAATTATGGCAAATGGCTTGTCTGAGTTCCAGAGGAATATGCCAATTGGCCTCATGAAGTTTCAGCTTAAAAGAAATCTAGTCATAGTAGTATTCTGGAGACACCTCTGACTTCTGCAGAATTTTCTAACATCAGCTTTCTTTATTTGAAACATAGTGGAAAATTTAACTTGTTTAGATTTTCCCAGTCATCAAACAAATTCATGTGTTGTTGCTGAAATGTTGTGAAGGGGGTCAGACATTCCAAAACTGATGTGGCACATTGAGTAGACTGATTCTTACTCTTCTCATGCTCCAGGTGTCAGGAAACAGCCTTTCTCACATTCAGGGGCAATCATGGAGGAACTCCCTCAAAAGGGACAGGTAGCTCCAGTTCCTGGACTCACACATTGCCTAGGGGCCACACGGGGACTGAGGGAGAATGCAATGTGCCTGCTTTTTTTTTTTGGCAGGTAGGACCTAAGCAGGGGTGAGGCATGGGAGGCAGAATGGAATAACTTGGTCCTTTCTCTCATGGCCCTTTATACCAAAGACCAGTTCCCTCCCTGCCTCTGCATGAAATCTCTGGTAGAGCCCAGTGCTCTACCTGCTTTTTTGGTCATCAGAGCAGTATCATTGCAGCAACAAAATGTCCAGTCCAGTGTAATAACCACACTCCAAGCTCTTAAGCAAGTGAGACCAGTATTGAGTCTGACAGGAGACCTAGAGTGGGGTAGAAGTGGTGATCAGTTGCATCTGTCACCCCCCACCCCGCAGTCCCACCTTGCTCACCCATTGGCTGGCTGTAGTTTCTGACCCTTTCAGAGTGGTGCTCCAGGGGCAAAGGAGATTAGGAGAAACTGGCACAGTCTTGCGTCATGATCTGGCATTGTGTCATTTGGATTTGGTGGATGCTCAAGACCGATTGTCTCTGGAAATTTTGTGGGTTTCTTGAAGAGTGTCCCAAACTCACCCCACCAGGAATCTCCCACTGCAGCTCCCACCATCCTGGTGGTGCTTCCTTCAATTGCCACTTTCTGTCCCCTCCCTTAAGCCCTGCACCTCCAGTAGTAGATTCCCTTGTAGCATTTGGCTCAATCTCCAAGCAGACCTCCTAAAGAGAACCCTCTCAACATGATCCCAGGCCTGATCCTCCCTCTGGTCCACCTGACTCAAGGGAAAGCTGACACATCCTTGCCTCTGTTTGGGGTCTTGTTGCTTATGCCTAAGCTGATCTGGGTCTGTTCTTTTTACTTGGCCATCTTAGGCCAATAGCCACAGTCTCCTCCCTTTCAATTTCTGTGTGTGTCCTGCACCAGTGCCATGTCCCTGAGCTCCAGGAAACACATTAGAAACTCATCAAGCAGGCCTTTGAAGTCTCTCCCACTTGGCTTAGGGCAAGGGGAAGCAACCACCGTGATTCCTGGAGCTTTAGTTCTGCAACTGTTCTGTCTAAAGGAATTCTTTTATGTGTCTCCTCAGGTCTTGGTGGACCTCTCACACACCTCTTATGTGTTTTCCAGATTGCTGGAATATGTGTATATATATATATATATATATATATGCGCCACACAGACACACACACACATATATACACACATATATGACTAACTCACAAAACTAGTTTTAACCACCTTCTTTCCAAGTTCTTTACAACATATCATTGTGAAACTTATTTTAAGCATCTGGCCACCAATTAAAATGAAGAGAATGCAAATATTATTTCAGTATCCTGTTTGAGTTGCTAACCATTACCAAACAAGAGCTTAGTAACCTAAAAAGAGGTCATATAAAATGCACTTGTAAGCACTAACATGTAAACAAAGAGAACCTTAGTCTGATAGGTTATATTGACAAAGATTCAGAGGCACATCAGGGCCTAGCAGGCGAGAGTGTCAGGATTGATTAGGAATGTCTATAGTAAGCTGGGGAATACGATGATAGAAATTCACCTGGCTAGAAATTCACCATCCCAGTAGATGTTGGGAGACTCAATAACAAATCAGATTTTGCATGCAGTTCCCAGGTTTTCCTGGTTTGCTGATTTATCAGACTTTTTTTGTTGTTGTTTACAGCTGTACAGAGGTACAAAAAGGAAACAGAAGTTGACCAGAAGTGGTTGATTTCTTCCTGGCCAGTAGGTCATATATAGACCCGTGTCTGGTGAGGTGAGAGAGCCCAGACCCCCGCCTCACCCCACAAGTGAGATCACAAAGAAATCAGTTTGCTGAAATTTTCCCCAGCCTTACATGTAAATCTGACTGATACCAGGTTTAGAAGACAGCCAAGAGCCACTTGAAGGGAAAAAGGAGTGAGTTAGCAACAGATTTCTCCAGTAGGGGGAGTCTAACTCTTTGCTGGTGTCATTGATTAGTGTCTAAAGCAGTATCTGTTAGGATTAGATTTGGCTGGATAAAACAGAGACCCAAAATATCAGTGACTAAAACAAGATCAAAATCATTTTCTCTCCCATGTACAAGATAGGGAATACCAGGTCTGATACTGTGGATCTATGATGCCATCAGGGGCATAGGTCTCTACTCTCTACTCTTTATTCTCAAGGTCACCTTGTAGCCAAAAATGGCTGCTGGAACCCCAGTCATATTGTCTGCATTCTACGCTGGAATAAAGAGTAAAGGTAAGACCAAAGGGTAAGAAAGATCTTCCCTCGAATCAATCACCTGCCTTTCAACAGCCTTCCTGGAGTCTGACCCAATACTTTCACTCATGTTACTGTCCATAGTATAGTGGCCAGATGCAGCTACAAGGGAGCCTGGGGAAAGTAGTAGCTTCTACTAGGAGGCGATTGTGCCTATCCAAAAATTGGATTCTGCTCCTAAGGAGGAAAGAGAGAAAGAAAATGCCGTGGTTAATCGGTCTTCTGCACCACACAGGTAATACTAGAAAAACAATGGCTTAAACATTTCTCCCCTCCCTTGGTATATGAAAGTGCTTTGCAAAATTCTGAACTGTGTAGGCAAGGTAACTTGGTTTATATTGGTATGGAAGAGTTTGAAGTGATGCAAAGACAGCACACTCTTTGATGAGAGATTAAGGGAGGAAATTAGGAGTATTCAAATCATAGTGTCTTTTTCTCCCAACAAATGACTGTATATCTGAATTTATTAAAAAAAAAAAAAACAAGAATACATAGTCTGGCATCTCTTCTGAGTCTGACAATAAATAAGAAAATTAAAAATGGTGAAATCATTTACACAACATATTATTGGAGTCACTTTCTGGTTTTGAGAATTTATTTAGCTGAATAAATCTATAGAAAGTTCCTGCTATGTGCAAAGCACTGTGCCAGGAAATACTTAAAATTAGCAGAATGAATAGCATATCCTATTTCTTAAAACAAAAAAAGGTATAATCCATTAGAGTATACATTCCATGAGGATAGAATATTTTGTCTGTTTCATTCTCTGCCATAACTGAAAAGTATAAGATAGTGTCTGGCATAGAATAGGAATCCAGCACGTATTTCTTAACTGAGTGAATGAATGAATCCTAGAAAATACTGATCTGCCACTTACTCTAAAAAAATAAAAATATCTTGGGAAAAAATAAATCAGTTTGAAAATACGTGTATGTCGGTTTTTAGAAAAGGAATGTGTTTCTGAGGAATAGTACATTAAATCATATTTAGAGCTGACAGTTTAAAAGTGTCATATAAAGATTTATTTTCTAGAACAAATAATCATTTTATAAAGAGAATAATTACCTTTGTTTGTTTGACAAATCTGGATTTTTAAAAATACGTCACATTTGTATAAGGTGGCATAAAGTCCACTTTAGTACCAAGAACAGAACATGAATTAAAACTAACTCGTACTTTTGCCATATCAGTCCTATAAAACTATTTTTTCTATAAGAAATTTATAGGCTTAGTGAATTGATGGGTGAAGTAAAGTTTTTTAAAAACTTTCTTCCTCCATAGGATGCAAATTAAGCAAATAGTCCTAGAAACTCCCCTTTCTCCCTCATGCTCTACATCCAATCTGCCAATTTTATATTCTAAATGTTTTTTAAAATTTCTCCTCCTTACTACTACTACTGCCATGCCCGGTTGGAAACCTTAACATCTTCTCTGAATTTCCTCTGTACATCTACCAGACTAATCTATTCAGAATACACATTAGATGATATTATTCCTCAGTTAAAACCTTTCCATGACTCCCTAACAGCTATTAACAGTCCTTACATGGTATGTGAGAGCCTTGTGACCTGGCCTTGTTTATTTCACTATTGTCTCCCATAATTCTCTGCCATGCATTTTACAACAGCAAGATTGCTTTAACTAATGCTCCCTCAGAAAGTGAATCCCCAGAGGTGGCTCTGTGCTGCTTCACTGTGCTTCTACGGCATGCTGGGCATACCTCTGCCATAGAAATTCTATGTTACACTTTATGCAAAGGACCTAGCATGGTGTCAGGCATCTAGAAGGTGCTCAGTAAATAACTGATGAATTGAACCAAGCTTTAACAATTGTGATCTCCAGAGAACACTAGTTTGGAAGTTTTACCAGATGGTTAATATAGTTGTTATTTTCTTCCACTATAAAGCAAGGAATCTCCACGATTCCCCAGAGCTATGCAGCAAAAGAACACTCTGAACCATTTGGCCTTACTGTACCTAGGTCCTCCTACAACTGTTTTCTGATCAAACACACCGCATTTCTTATTGGTGAAAAATGGGACTTCCTAATATGTCCTAATGGAAATATTAAAAGAGTGGCTAGGTAGTCAAAATGAGTTGGTACTCTTGATTTGTGGCTGTATGGATTTCTGAGATTAATTACATTTGGAACATTTGCATTGCTTGCTAGCTAAAGGAATCCCATTTAAAGATTAGAAATGCTGAACTAAACACAGCTTGGAGAGAATATAAAGAATCAATTTTTGTCATTAGTCTCTACCTCCTGTCCCTCCCCTAAATGTAATGAAAACAACAAATGAAAAAATCAGAGATCCTCAACCGACTTTCAATCATTTGAAAAGGTCATTGTGGGTGGGGGGAGGGGGGAGGGATAGCATTAGGAGATATACCTAATGCTAAATGACGAGTTGATGGCTGCAGCACACCAACATGGCACATGTATACATATGTAACAAACTTGCACGTTGTGCACATGTACCCTAAAACTTAAAATATAATAATAATAAAATTTAAAAAAAAGAAACAAAGGGGAAAAAAGTAAAAAAAAAAAAAAAAGTAAAAGAAACTGGGAAAATGCATGTTTAAAATCTATTTTAGAAAAACAAACCATAATGTCCTTGAAGGCAGCCATCATGTTACAAGAGAAAGGAGAATGGGCTGGGCAGACACAAGTTCTCACATTAAAAATAAGAGCTACCCTTTTCTGAGTCCATACTCTGTGCCAAATCCTGCATCGGGTGCTTTGCACGTCCTGTAAGATGAGGAGCCTTGGGCAGGTCACTTGACCTCTGCTTTATTTATTTATTTATTTTCATTTTTGAGAAGGGCCTTGCTCTGTTGCCCAGGCTGGAGTGCAGTGGCACAATCATGGCTCACTGCAGTCTTGACCTATTGGCTCAAGCAATCCTCGTGCCTCAGCCCACAAATATCTGGGACTACAGGCATGTGCCACGATGTCTGGCTAATTTTTGTATTTTTTGTAGAGATGGGATTTCACTATGCTGCCTCGGCTTCTACTTTCCTTTACCTTATTGGAAGTGAGGACCCTGAGTCTGGGTTCTGGAAGGGGAAAGAATCAACTCCCAACTCCTCACCTCCTCACCCCCGGTGGCTGCCCAGGTTGAGTTGTTCATCTGCTGGAAGAACTCTGCATGTATTTGTGACCCTGTTGGAGGCTTTTTTTTCCTTTCTTTTTTTTTTCTTTTTGAGACGGAGTCTCACTCTGTCACCAGGCTGAAGTGCAGTGGCGCGATCTCAGCTCACTGCAACCTCTGCCTCTTGGGTTCAAGCAATTCTCCTGCCTCAGCCTCCTAAGTAGCTGGGATTACAGGTGCCTACCACCATGCCCGGCTAATTTTTTTTTTTTTTGTATTTTTAGTAGAGACAGGGTTTCACTATGTTGGCCAGGCTGGTTTCAAACTCCTGACCTCAAGTGATCTGCCCACCTCAGCCTCCCAAAGTGTTAGGATTACAGGCGTGAGCCACCGTGCCCGGCCTGTTGGAGGCTTTTCAACTGGGTGTTAACCCACACTCCTGGGAAGCGGGAGGAGAGAGAATTTTGGGAGGGACCAAGCGTCAGTAGAGGAGGTGGTTGGCCTGGAGAGGGCATATTCACCAACCACTGCAGAAGGGAACCTCATCTTGCCCTCCTGAGTAAGCAAACTCCAGGGCCTCAGCAGCTGTCTTTCCTCCTGAGCCTGCAGGAAGCCAGGCCCTTGGGTGGTGCCATCACGAGCCTTCACTGGTGCTGCACCAGCCTGGCTGCCTTGGTTGAGGATTGGTCCTTCCCCATCCCTAACCCTACCCTGTCTCTGGCAGACAGTGACACCAGGTAATATCTTTAAACTGTCACTCATGGTTGGTTGCTGGTGGCAGTTTATGGGAGTCAGATTATCAGGGTAGAGGCTCAGGGTGCATGAAGTCGAATATGTGAAAGTAAAGCACTGCCTTGGTGGGCAGCTTATGTTTAAACAGTGATACCAGTAAGCTACTTTTTAAAAATTTTTTAAATTTATTTTTTATTTTTATTGAGGCAGGGTCTCTTCTGTTGCCCAGGCTGGAGTGCAATCTTGGCTTACTGCAACCTCTGCCTCCTGGGTTCAAGTGATCCTCCCACTTTAGCCTCCTGAGTAGCTGGGCCCACAGGCACGCACCACCACGCCCGGCTAATTCTTTTATTTTCTGTAGAGATGGTGTTTTACCATGTTGCCCAGGCTGTCTCGAACTCCTAGGCTCAAGCAATCCACCCATTTTGGCCTCCCAAAGTGTTGGGATTATAGATGTGAGCCACCACGCCTGGCAAGCAAGCTACTTCTGAGTGCCTGCAGCCTAGAGGATTTTTTTTAAAATTATTTTTTTATTTTTTAGTATTTGTTGATCATTCTTGGGTGTTTCTCGGAGAGGGGGATGTGGCAGGGTCATAGGATAATAGTGGAGAGAAGGTCAGCAGATAAACACGTGAACAAAGTTCTCTGGTTTTCCTAGGCAGAGGGCCCTGCGGCCTTCCGCAGTGTTTGTGTCTCTGGGTAGTTGAGATTAGGGAGTGGTGATGACTCTTAATGAGTATGCTGCCTTCAAGCATCTGTTTAACAAAGCACATCTTGCACCGCCCTTAATCCATTTAACCCTGAGTTGACACAGCACATGTTTCAGAGAGCACGGGGTTGGGGGTAAGGTTATAGATTAATAGCATCCCAAGGCAGAAGAATTTTTCTTAGTACAGAACAAAATGGAGTCTCCTATGTCTACTTCTTTCTACACAGACACAGTAACAATCTGATCTCTCTTTCTTTTCCCCACATTTCCCCTTTTTCTTTTCGACAAAACTGCCATTGTCATCATGGCCCGTTCTTGATGGTCGCTGTCTCTTCGGAGCTGTTGGGTACACGATATTTAATATCCCTTGTGAGGTAGACAGGATATTACACAACCCTTAGATTACAAGCACAAAATGATAATCCCTAGTGAAGGGGGCTCAGAACACCTTGCTCTACCTTCTCATCCTTGCTTTTAACCACAGTCAGCTGAGAATACCTGCTCCACACAAAACTCTGATAATGGACAAGAGGACAGAGAGCAGGCAGAGCTGGCGACCAGTTTGTCAGAACAAGGCAGAGTATTCCATGGGAGATATATCGGGCAAAACCCTGAGCTTGGAAGTTATACTTTTTGAGTAAATGCATAAGCATAATATCCAAGTAAGAGGCAGACAAAAACTTCAGACTATATTGTTTTTACCGTAAAAAACATGGATCATAGAGAAGTGAATTCCCCAATGACTGAATTATCACATTCATGATCACATTAGTGAAGCTAAACGCACATTACCAGATGGGAGACTCTAACCGGTGTGGCTCTCAGTTCTCTTCAAACTAAAGTAATCCTAACCAAAATCCAAAACAGTTTATGTGGTGTGGGAAAGGGATATAAAACAAAATAATTTTAAGGATTATAATAATTATCATAGAAAAACAAAGGTACGAGAATAGCTAAGAAGTTTTACATAAGGATAGCAATTAGTTGGAACTTGATAAATCAGATATATTGAGGCTTGGTTTTGGTTAAAATAATTAAAACAGTGTGGTATTGGCATTACATAAACAAGTTAATGACACAGAAAGTGGAGGAAAAAAATGGCCTAACCATGTAAGAATTTAGTGTATCGTAAGTAGCATTTCAGATTGGTGGGGTAAAGATTGAGCAGATAATGGCTGAGGGCACAACTTCCCAGAATTCTATAAAGACTTGAATTGTGGAACCACACATCACTTACCATACTGAGGTAATTCTGAGGTGAATCAAAGATGAATTCTGAGGTGAATCAAAGATAAAAATATAAAATAAGTAAAGTTTAGATCAATATGTAATTTGAGGACTGAAGAAGGGCTTATTAAGCTTAGCATTAAGAAGAAAAACAAAAACTAGAGCGATAGATTTTATAATCTAAAATTTACATTTTCGTTACGTCAAGAAATCTCACTTCAAAAAGGCAGGCAGTAAACTGAGAAAAATATTTTCATCACACATGACAGAAGGTTAATATTCTATCTATCTATCTATCTATCTATCTATCTATCTATCTAACTAAGCTGTTACAAATCAATAAGATAAACAAGCATACCAATAGAAACGTGAGAAAAAGATGTAAAAGGAAAAATCAGAAAAGATAATAGGATCATGATTATTTAACGTGGAACACAAATCAACTTTACTAGTAATAAACAAAAATCAGTGACATTGTCTAATTGGCAATGAATATATTAGTTAATTAATTAATATCAGTAATGTGGGCTTAGGCAAAAAAGGGCATTTTATACATTACTGGTGAAGAGGTAAACTGATATGAAGAACAATTTTATCATAAAAAATTTATATCAAAATTAAATGAAAATGGGTAGAGATTTTGGCAATGATTTAGCTTTAGAAATGTTCTTTATCAAATTGTTGTTTATAATAGAAGAGAAAATGAAGGTAATTTAATTAGAGAATATTAGATAAGTAAATTGGGGCACTTCCATAATGACACATCAACGTTGGAATATCATAACAGAAAGGTATTTGTGATATAAGGTTGAGGAGAGAAAAATAGAAAGTGTCACCATTATATGATCCCATTAAAAGTTAAAACATTTTTAATTTTCATAAGAGTAATACATAATTATATTAAAAATTCAAACAATGAGAAGTTCATCTAGCCAAAAGCAAAGGACCCTATAATCAGACCCTAGATTCTGTTTCCCAGACATAACCATGAATTCATTGTTTACCATTCAGTTGGCTTCTGTCAACCTTTTTCTTTGTGTATACAGGCAGTTGTATGCACACATACTCACTGTCGCAGGATGACTTTGCAATACTCTTGAGTATTTTACAGACAGACAATTTCCGTTATTCCTAGTCCCCCTACATGTCTTAATTTAACAAAGCACACTTTGCACTAGGAGTGAGAAAAAGATAGAAAAGAGAAAAGAATGAAAGAAAGGAACAAGAGGAGGGCAGGAGGGAGGCTGGAAAGAGAAGGAATGGAAGGCAAGCAAGTCAAGGAATAAGAAGGATAAAAAAGAGCCTGGTTATTGAGATGTTTTCAACAATGATCAAGAAAACCTAGAAACAGAAACATTCACTCATCTCTCTTCTTTCTCTGGTGCTCCTGGAGTTTTGGAAGTTACAGATAAAGTGGGTCTTACAGTGATTACCCAGTGGCTTACATTAGTTGATATTTGAATGTTTAACCAGTCCTGCAGCCGGGCACGGTGGCTCATGCCTGTAATCCCAACACTTTGGGAGGTCGAGGTGGGAGGATCTCTTGAGCCCAGGAGTTCGAGACCAGCCCGGGCAATATAGAGAGACCTTGTCTCTACAAAAAATATAAAAATTATCTGGATGTGGTGGTGCCTGCCTGTGGTCCCAGCTACTCGGGAGACTGAGGTGGGAGGATCGCTTGAGCCTAGGAGGCTAAGGCTGCGGTGAGCTGAGATCGTGCCCCTGCACTCCAGCCTGGGTGATAGAGCGAGACCTGTCTGAAAACAAAGAACAAAACAAAACAAAACAAGAACCAGGCCTGCATTCTTGGGATAATTTTTATTGATGAGATCGTCAGTGATAATGATGTATAGTTGAGACTAATGAAAAGATAATGAGGTATGTTACACCAACACCTGCCTCTCTTGAATCAACACTTTGGTGTGAGCGTTCTGACCTCTGGAGAACAGTGATTCTCAAGCTCAGCAAGCATTAGAGTCACCTGGAGACCGGGTAGTAATTAAGATTCCTGGATAGTATTCCCAGAGATTTTGATTTAGTAGGTTGGAGGTAGGTCTGAGAATCCATATTTTTAACAAGTGTATGAATGACGCTAATGCTGTTCTTAAATTATATAATACAAAAAAAAGCACTACTGGAATAAGGAAAATTCTTCTATATACAGCTGCATCCTTATAGGTACTTAGTGTTTAAGTAAATGCAAGAAGCTGGTTAACAATATGTGGGCATCTGAAGGAAATTAATGTGAAATAGACTTTTCACTCTTAAATCTTTTTTGAGCTGGGTAAAGTATGCTAGTATTACCTATTTAAAAAGCAAATAAATACATATTTTTCCCAACTCCCAATTAAATATAAATGAACATACCTTTTGACCCAGCAATTTACTTCCAGGAAATTATACCACAGATATATGTAAACATACAAACTTATTCATCACAACATTTTTTTCCAAGCAAGAGGTTAAAAAGTTAAAAGTCCATCAAGTAGTAAACTGGTGAAATAAGCTATATATGTTTGCCCAATGGAATAATATGAAACCATAAAGAAAGAACATAAACTAATAATGTACTGATCTGGAATAACCTCTATGACATAATTTGAATGGAAAGATGCAGAAAGGAGTATATATTATGCTAATATTATACAGATAAGGAAGAAATATATGTATATGTTAGCATACATATGCATAAGCTATCCTGGAATACAAAATGATTGATATCATTGGTTGTCTCTGAGAAGGGAAAAGGATGCCAGGCATCAGGGTTAAAGAAAGAATTTTTATCCTATACACTTTTTTGTACCTTTTGAGTTATGTGACTATGTTACCTAGTAAATATTTTTCAAAAACTAGTTGGTAGATATCTTTCCATTTAAGGAAACAGTTATCTAATTTTTAAATGACTGAATGATAGTGCCTTGTATGGATTTACATACATATTGATGAACTCTTTGAATGTTTCCAGTTTTTCACTATTGTAAATATCCTGGTGGTAAGTATACTTGAATATATTTTTAGACATACGCACAAGTATTTTTTAGCAGAAAATTATTAGACTTATTATGGTAAAAAACAAAAATTAAATGTTGATTGTTATAGCTATATTAAGGTCATCTTTTGTTGTTATTGCTACTTGTAACAGCTTATTGGATGTCAGGATGTTTTAGAGGTCTCTGACAGTTCCAGATTTTAGCTGTCCAAAACACTTTTTCTTCCCCTAGTTTTCAGTTCTAGAATTCTCCTTTCTTGTGGAGAATCTAATTAGTATGTTTTGGGAGGGGCTAATTCTGCCTTACCCAGTTCCAGAGATGGGCATGTGACTCAGGCCTGGCCAGGGTATGCCATCCATGAAGCTTTAATGATTTGTTTGTATTTGGATTTGTGACCCAGGCTGAGCCAATGAAAATCATCCCTAATGTATTTTACAGTAACAGTTGGGATAGACAGTGTGTTTTCCTCTGAGGTTCCTGAGATTCTTGTACATGAACCTGGAATGATTAGTGACCATCCATATTACCTGGATATGAGACAAAATTTTTAGAAAGTATTGGTAAGAGATAGATGATAGATAGATAGATAGATAGATAAATAGATAGAGTGAGCTAGATTAGATAGACAGAAAACTAGATAATGCCTTGATGACACAGTTTGAGTCCTGAATGAGTTGTGCCAGGAGACACATGCACAACATATATATATATTTTTTGTTGTTGTTGTTGTTGAAAACCTCATTCTTTCTGGTCATATATAGTATAGATATGTTCCCCAGTGTGCTGCTTGTCTTTATTTTTGGTTATTTTTGCTCGACAGACATTTAAAAATTTTTTACATGGTAAATTTGTTCATCTTTTCTTTGAGGTTTCATTACCCGCTTTTAAAAAAATCTAAATCTGATTTTTTAAAGACCATAGCTATTTATTTTTATATTTCAACTTAGACCTTTAGGCCTAAAATTGGAAATTAATCTTTGTTGTGGTGTGAGGCAGATAATCCCATTTTTAAAAAAAGTAATACATTATATAAATGTATTACACATATGTATTACACAAATGTATGCACACATACACATGTTGAAATGATTGCCTCTGACTTTCATTGGTTGATGGTGTAGCCGAGTACCCCATTTTTAAAAGGAAAAAAATGATTTTTTTTTCTTTTTCCTTTTCCCCCGCTTCCTACTTAGCTCTTTAGGAATGCAATTATAACCTTTACCTTCTCTCCATCAGGTATGGCAAGCTTATCTATGTGTTTACTTAGAAGTTGCAGAGACCAAAACTTGAAGCAAATCAGGCCCCTCTGGAACTCTCACCCACTAAGAGATTGCCTCAATTTACAACGTAGCTGCCTGCCATGGCGCCAGCCAGACCACATGATAGATAAGACATCTGAAGCAAGTCACACAGACCCCGCACCTCCTCCCCTCCTCCCCATCCCCCCTTTAAAAGCCCTTGCCTTCTGCCCTGAAGGCTGAAGTGGTATCTCAGGGCAGGAGCCTGTACTACTTCCCCTCGGGTAGCTCTTGAATTAAGTCACTTTTTTTTTCCCACCAGACCTTGCTCTTGTTATTCAGACTCTGCAAGCAGTGGATGACTGAACCTGAGTTACAGAGGCATTACAAGGAGGATTTTGTTTTCTTCTTAGGTTTAGTTGTATTTTCTAATATTTCTATAATAAATATGTCTTACTTTCATTAAAAAATACTGTAAGTTACTTTTTTTGGAAGATCTATAAGAGATCACTCAGATTCAAGGTTTATACTAAGCATGAAGAGATTGGGTTCTAAGTATATTTCATATTTGTCTAAGTATCTAGGTATATTTAGTTTTGAAACGTCCCTCAGAATTTGTCATTTCCCTTGAAAGCTATTCTTTTTTATTTCCTATTTCATTGAGAAATTACTCAGTTAAACCAAAACCCAACATGTTTTGAATAAATAAATAAACATATTTCTTCCCCAAGAAATATTTCAGGAACAAGGGTGAGTATTAATAAACTATATGCCACAGGGAGTTAGTATTATTTTCTTCATCTTGTTTTCTAATTATGAGTATATTACATTTTAATGAATTAATTTATCATACTATAAATATCCCTTTCTGCATGCATGTGTAATATGGTAGTTACTTCTCTCATTATAAATAATTTTATTCTTATGCTGGAGAATATAGTGTATACTTATCAAGCAAAGTAAAGTTTACCTGATTCTGCTGAAAAATGAAACAGAGTCTCAAGGAAAAGCGTGTAAGCATTGCAATTTATTGAAATCAATAGAAAAATTATTCTGCCTGATTTATCTTTATTTAAATGATATCACTAAAAGATACACACAAACATGACAATGTATATTTTCTGACATTAATGATGATAGCTGTGTAAATCATTTCATATCACTAAATTTAGCAATGATATTTGAGATTTAAGTGAACTGTGTGTAAAGATATGTGAAACAATTCTATGCCATTCTAAAGTTGTTTGTATATCAAAATGCCCTTTTATCTTTCTCTTACCAAACGTTAATTCTTAAAGTAAGTTTTACTATATGTATATGCTGCTTTGCAATGTTATTTTGTAAGCTGTATTTTATTTTTGTGTCAGGCTATCACTGTAGGCCTTGGTAGATGCTGGTGCTAGCCTATGGAATCAGACTAATGTCCAGTTGCTCAGCTTTAGGACATGAAGTTCAAGGTAACAATTAAAGACTGTACCAGTTCTCTAAGAACCTGGGACATTAATTTAAACAAACAAATGGGGATAGAATTAATCTTTTATTCCCCAAAACAACCTACAATTGAGATGGAAGGTGCTGGTCAGATTTCCACAGAAATGCACAAGCATTGAGCACTTGGATGTGTGACATTGAAGCTCTATGCAGCACATACCCCACTGATGACTCTGCAATGCTATCTCATCACTTAGTATGGATGCATGAAAAGACCAGTTGTAAGACATAACCCATTTTGCAAAGGATTCCAACATTTTTCCTTTTATAGTAAACAGGCTCTGAAAGAAATTTTCTAGAGCTTTATTCAAATCTAAAGGCTTTACTAATCCTCCTTGAGTAATTATTCTGCAACAATTCCCAAACAATCACAAACTTTCATAAGGAGCTAGAATTACAAAGATAATTCGTATGAGAAGACACTTATGTCTTCCAAACAGAACCTCTACTTTCAAAGAGATGAATTACTATATGCAGATATATATGCAGTAAAAGCCAGTAAAGTTTATATATATATATGAATATATATATATAAATATATATATATATAAATATATATATATATATATATATACACACACATACGATAAATCATTGTACTATAATTCTTTTGACAACTCCACATCTAGAGCTATTCTTCTACTAGGACTACCATCTAAAACAAAACTGCTTTCCTTTATTCTTCTATAGCAAGAAGGAGAACAGACATAAAACATAACTGGAAGCTGTGATGCTCCAAAAATATCACAGGATCGGATGACACGAAAACCTTCACCAAACTTGGGACCATGACACCATTCACACCTGGATGTGCTGAAATGGAGGAAACAGCAAGTCAATATTTAATAAATTTTTACTAAAGACTCTGTGCTATGCAAGACTCCAAATAGTATAAAATACTGCCCTTACCTTCATTGAGCTTACCAGCTAGGTGAGTGCTACCCATTAAGTGAAAGACTAAACGCTAAAAAAGCTGAACAATAAAGTAGGTATATGTATAATACAATCCTAGCTTTTTAAAACAGAAAGGTATATATGCATAACAAGAAAAAACTCTAATGATAGATCCCAAATTGAAAATAGTTATTATTCTTGGGAAATGTGATCACAGGGGTTTTATGTTTCTTTATAATGTGTTTCTTTATTTTCTAATTTTTTATAATAAACATGTTATTTTTTATGATACAAAATAAATATATCATTTAAAAAAATAAAGGTACTATCATAACCTAGTATGGAATTAGAGTCCATAATGTATTTTTAAATGGTTAGAAATCAGTTAAAAAATATTAATCCATTAGTACATTAACATTAGTACAGGAATAGACTATTCACAGAAGAAGAAAAAATGAATGTCAAGAGAACACAGGTAAAGCTTTTCAATCTCCCTAGTAATCGGGGAATACAAAACAAAATAGCAAAGAAATACCATTTCACAATCATCAGATTATAAGAATATGTTTAAGTATTTAAACAAACTATAAAACCACTGGAAGAAAACACAGTGGAAATGTTTCAGGACATTGACCTAGGCAAAGATTTTATGGCTAAGACTTGAAAAGCATAAGCAACAAAAATAAAAATAGACAAATGGGACTAATCTCGAATTAAAAACCTACTGCACTGCAGAGGAAAAATCAACAGAATCAACAGCCTACAGAATGGGAGTAAATATTTGCAAAGTATTCATCTGACAAGGCACTAATGAATATATGATGAACTTAATTCAACAGCAAAAAAAAAAAATCTGATTTTAAAATGATCAAAGAATAGATATTCTCAAAACAAGACATATAAATTGGCCAATAAGTATATGAAAAAATGCTCAACATCACTAATATTTAGGGAAATGCAAATCAAAACCATAATAAGATATCTTACTCTAGTGAGAATGGCTATTATAAAAAAGACAAAAAGTAAAAAATGCTGGTAAAGACGCAGAAAAGAAGCAACTCTTACACAGTTTCAGTGGTAAATGTAAATTAGTACAGCCATCAGAATGGAGGATGGCGGTTTCTCAAAAAACTAAAAATAAGGCTATCATACTATCCAGCAATCTCATTACTGGGTATTTATCCAAAGCAAAGGAGATCAGTATATTGAAGGGACAGCTGCACCCCCATATTTATTGCAGCTCTATTCACAATCGCCAAGATATGGAGTTGACCTAAATGTTTATCAACAGATGAATGGATAAAGAAAATATGGTATGTACACACAATGGAATACTATTCAGCTATAAAAGGAATAAAATCTTGTCATTTGTGGCAACAGGGATGATCCTAGAGGACACTATGTTAAGTGAAATAAGTCAGGCACAGAACGGCACTCATGTGGAAACTAAAAACAAATTGAGCTCATGGAAGTAGAGAGTAGAATTGTGGTTATTAGAGGCTGGGAAGGGTAAGAGGAAGAGGAGGATAGGAGAGGTTAAAAATGGAAAAAAAATCACAGGTAGATAGGAGTTTTAGTGTTCTATAGCACTGTAGGTGAATATAGTTAACAATAATTTATTGTGTATTTTCAAAAAGCTAGAAGATTTTAAATGTTCACAACACAAAGAAATGATAAATAAGGTGATGGATATACTAAGCTGATTTTATCATTACATACTATATACATGTATTGAAATATCACCCTGTATGTTACAAATATGTATAATTATGTGCCAACTAAAAATAAAAGAAAAAAATAAAAACAAACAAAAATTTCTATCATTCTTATGCTCAAGGAAGTCAAGGTAAAAATCTGTGGAACATGAGTCTTCTGACCCCATTCTCAATGGAAGTGGATTCTCTGTCTGAGGTGATACAATGTGGGTAGAGAGACAGAGAGAGGCAGACAGCAATGATAAGTTGTACAGGACAGAAAAGACATACATAGCTGCTAATTGACAGGGCAGCCATTGGAGTGACAGCAGTAGCTGAGCTTAGAGTGACTTTAGTGCAAGCCTACAGCTGAGCTGCAATCCAAAGAACTCAGCGAAAGTAGGACAGTACCGAAATTTTCAGTAGCTAGCAATTCAGGATTAAAGCCAAGGGCAGACACTGGAGGATGACAGTGGTTGGGTGACAAATCCCTCCCTCACTGTTCTTATTTTTACTAATGTCACAGTCATCTTTGATGAGATTGAACCCTTTGTCATTTTTCATCCTCCCTCTCTCACTCGGCTCACATACCTAGGTATGTTAATTTTACCTCCATAATTTGTCTTGCATTTCCTGCCTGTTCATACCCATACTTATTACTTTGGATCAATCCCTCCTTACCTGTTATGGACATGAGTGTTTTAACTGACCTCCACCCAGCCTTCCCCTGCACTAGTCTATCTGTGACATACTGCCAGGTCTATTTGTGCTATTTGGACTCAGTGACTCTCAAGGCCTGAAGAAAAAAACTTCCAATGCATTCAGTGATCTCCAATGGACAACTAGCTAACTCCATTTATTTCTTTTTAGCTCACTTCTTGGTACTTTTTTTTTTTTTTTTTTGAGACAGAGTCTTGCTCTGTCACCCAGGCTGGAGTCCACTGGCATGATCTCAGCTCACTGCAACCTCTGCCTCCTGGGTTCAAGTGATTCTCCTGTCTCAGCCTCCCAAGTAGCTAGGATTACAGGCATGTGCCACCACGCCCAGCTAACTTTTGTAATTTTAGTAGAGACTGGGTTTTGCCATGTTGGCCAGGCTGTTCTTGAACTCCTGACCTCAGGTGATCAGCCTCTTCCACCTCCCAAAGTGTTGAGATTACAGGCGTGAGCCACCATGCCCAGCCACCGCTACTCTTTTTTTTTTTTTTTTTTTAAGGCAGATTCTCACTCTGTTGCCCAGGCTGGAGTGCAGTGGCACAATCTTGGCTCACTGCAACCTCAGGCTCCTGGGTTCAAGTGATTCTCCTGCCTCAGCCTCCTGAGTAGCTGGGACTACAGGTGCCCGCCAGCACGCCCCGCTAATTTTTTGTATTTTTAGTAGAGACAGGGTTTCACCACATTAGCCAGGATTGTCTCGATCTCCTGACCTCATGATCTGCCACCTCAGCCTTCCAAAGTGCTGGGATTACAGGAGTGAGCCACCGCGCCCGGTCCACTACCCTTTATGGATGTTTTGTTCTGGCTGAATATTTATTTTTCTCTTTGTACACATCCCTCTTTTCCCATTTTGTTTCCTCTTTCTGGAATGTCCCTTGAACACAAGACATAGTTCCAAATTTTACTGGTCCTTCAAGACCCTTCTCAAATACTATTTCATCCCTGAATCTTTCCCCTATGTCCCCAACTATTTGTTATCAGCTCCTCCTCCAGCTGCTTTTATTTATAATTCACTTGTGTCAGTTTTTATTTACATGAAAATGAGTCCTTGTAAAATTTCCAAACAATAAGGAAATATAGAGAGAAAAACACAGAGATTCCTGCTTATTCCTCTCTTCAATCACTGGAACTCCTCTCCCTAGAATAACTAAAGCTCTTCCCTTGGGTTGTCCCCTCCAGCTCCTAGATAAGTAACTGTTTCTTACAGAAATGGAATCTTTCTCACATGTGTGCACCCTCACTGTGTATGTATGTGTCTGTGGGAACAATTTGCTTTTTTTACTTAATAAAATGTCTTGGACAACTTTCCATGTCAAAACATTTTGTTTTACTTCATTCTTATTAACAGCATCATAATGTTTTATAGTATGAATATGCCATAAGTTATTTTACCACTCTCTGACTGAGGCAGATTTAGGCTGCAGTTATAATCCCTGTATCTAACTTTGTGTTTACATGTAACTATTTCTATAAGACAGATTCCTGAGATTTAAGGTGCTCTTTTAAAGTCTAAGAAACTGTCAAATTGCCTTCCAAGAAGCTTTCACCAATTTATAGTACCAACAATGATACATGATGATAGTCATATTTTTGGGCATCCAAAGCTAGCACAATATCAGTCTTTTAAATTTTGATAAAAATAGGTAAGTTAAAAAAAGATTGTTGCTATTTTACATTGCAGTTTCTTGATTACTAGTGATATTACATTCTTCATGTTTATCACCTATCTGTATATCGTCATTCATGAATTTCATATTCCTATCACTTATCTACTTGTCTATGGTTTATATCTTTTCTTATTGATTTATGGAAGATATACAGTAGTGTCCTCTTATCGAAGGTATTGCTTTCCACAGTTTCAGTTATCAACTGTGGTCCAAAAATAATAAGTGAAAAATCCCGTAAATAAGCAATTTGTAAGTTTTAAACTGCCCACCTGGGACAGGAATTATCTCTTTGTCCAATGTATCCACATTGTAGACGCTACCCATTGTTGCCCTCTGAGTTATCAAATCAACTGTTGTGGTATTGCAGTACTTGTTTAGGTAACCCTTATTTTACTTAATATTGCCCCAAAGTGCAACAGTAGTGATACTGGCATACTGTTATAATTATCTCATTTTATTATTAGTTATTATTATTTTATTAGTTATTAGTTATTGTTAGTTATTATTAGTTATCTCTTACTGTGCCTAATTTATAAACTTTTTTCTGTATAAATGTGTATTTTATTTAAAAACAGGGATATTGAAATGTATTTATGTGTTACAGCCCTTACAGAAAAATGACAAGTTTTATAGTCCTTTTATTTGAAATTCAGTGTTAACTGATCTTAAACTATAAATTCATAGTTGTTGGAGTTTTTTTTTTTTTTTTAGTTTAAATGATGTGAAAGCATTTGCTCCTTTCAAAGGCTTCTACGCCTTTGAATGACATATTCTCAGTAACTTATTTGCTGGTAACTAGAGTATGTGAGACTGAGTGACTACAATATGCATATTTCAGTAATTAGCTTCCCACTGCATTATAATACATTTCCTAGGAAAGCTTTTGTATTTTTCATAGCCTTTTCACATATCCCTCATTTAAGCAGTCACAGTGTTGCAGTTTTACTTTGTTTCAGAGGGGAAGGCCATCTTGTTGGCATAAGGAGGGCAGAAGATACAATCTGCACTCCAGCCTCTTCCCTACAACCTAAAAGGGAGAGGAGTTGAGGCAGATGGGCTGGGACTAGACTTTTTGGTCGTCACATTATAGCAGATTGGGTAAGAAAGGCGGGTTAGGTTTTTTTAAACTTCAAACTAATAGGACAATGAGGCAAAAGCAATAACCATACCATAATGTTCAAACAGAAGTAGGTTAAAATGTAGTACAGTTAGCCCTTGGTTTACATGGGGGATCGGTTCCAGGACCTTCCACATATACCCAAATACACACATAACTCAAGTCCTGCAGTCGGCTCTTTGGAAACTGAGTATATGAAAAGTCAGCCTGCTCTATAAGTGGGTTTTGTGTTTGGTTAATGATATATTTTTGATTCGTTTATGGTACCCTCTAACAGTTTAAACCCATGTTATTCAAGGGTCAAATGTATTTACTTCTGGATTATGGGATAATGCGTAAATTATTTTTACTTAGCTACTTAAAACTTTTCTATACTTTCTAAATTTTCTTTGAAGAGCTTTGTTTGTTTGTTTTTAATCAGAAAAACATTCCTTGCATGCCAGTTGTTAGAGAGATGCAAGAGAACAGGGTAAGTACATGGGCAGGCCAGATCTGGCAGGCTGAAGACAAATGGGAACCAAGGCTCATTATGCAAGCCAGAGAGGGGAAACGAAGGTAAGTGAAGCACCAGGCCTCCTCGGCCTATGGCTGTGAAGTATGCTTCACAGATACTGGTTCTTCTCCTTTCGTGCACTGATGGTTTAGGCCAGGTAACAAGAATCCCACTTTGCTTTTTGCTCCATGTCAGTCCTCATGACGTCACTGTTGTGGCATTAATGCATTTCACCATGACTTCTTCATACCGTTTTTGTGTCAGTAACCCTTCTGTTATGTTTTTACTTTCTTCAAATTTGGGTAACTCAACTGCAATGTAGCCTTCAGTGATGGCTTTTCTTGAAGAATAGATGGCTTATGGAGAATGTTTTTCATTCACTTCCATCGAACATCCTCTAACACAACTAGATACAGTATATTCTTCGCCATCTGAGCAGTAAATCTTACAGAGAGGTGCAAGTTCTGTTAGAAACTGTGCCCCCCACTTAAATTTCCCAGAGACCTTGTTCTGAAGTCTGCTACAGTTGGGACTGATCTGACAGGGAATGCTTTTAATTGTTTTTCCACTCTGAAGAACTGGATGAGATTCTGCCAATGTGATGACACATATTCGGTTAGAGTGCTGTGGTATACAGTGGTCCTTACAAGATCTTCCTTTGACATCTGCTTTGTACCAGCGAGTGAAGTATTGATCCACGAACAAAGGCACCACCGGCTCTGCGGTTTGGCGCTCGGTAGCCATGGTGACCTCAGGCGCCACCACCCCTATAAATTAAACTTTATTATAGATATGCATGTATAGAAAAACACAATGTATATAAGGTTCAGTGCTACCCATGGTTTCGGGCATCCACTGGAGGTCTTGGAATGCATCTCCCAAGGATAAGGGATGACTACTATATATATATATATGTATATAGTGTCTACTATATCTATACAGTAGATATATCTACTACATCTATATAGTAGATATATAGATATATAGTATATATATCTATAGCGACTACTATATATATATAATATATATATATTATTCAA
Organism: Homo sapiens; assembly: GCF_000001405.40. Classification (NCBI taxonomy): domain Eukaryota; kingdom Metazoa; phylum Chordata; class Mammalia; order Primates; family Hominidae; genus Homo; species Homo sapiens. Next base: position 46,269,780 of record NC_000013.11, on the reverse strand, counting down.
CTATTTTAAGCACTGCAATATCTTCTTCCAGTTAATGGCTTGTCTTTTAATTTCATTGATAGTATCTTATATTTATGTAAATATTACACTTTTGTCAAATTTATAAAACTTTGCTTTACTGTTTATATTTTTTGCTTTGCAGTTAAGATATGTCTGCCTACCATGAAGTCATACAGAGAGCCTTCTACACTTCCTTGTAAAAGCTTTAAAGTTTTGCTTTTCATATTTAAATCTTTAATCAAAATGGAAATGATTTTTTTGTGTGTCTGATGGTGACATATATATAGCTGGAATCTGATTTTATTGTTTTTTCCTTGTGGATGACTAAATGTCTCAGCATCATTTATTCCAAAGTCTATTCTTTCACTACTGATCCACAGTGCTATTCTGTCAAAATGTCAAGTTTTCCCACGTGCATGAGAACAAAATAACTGGACTATGTTTTCTCTTCCATTGGTTGATTTGCCTTTCCTTGCACTTAATACCAACCTTTATTACCTTCTCTAACTTTGTATAGTAAGTCTTGATGTCTGGTGGGCAAGGCTTTTATGTTAGGGTTTTTTTTTTTCAGATTTATTTTGACTATTTTGGATCTTCTCCTTTTCCATATACATTTTAGAATCAGCTTATTAAGTTTCTGAGAAAATTCTATTGGCATCTTCACCAGAATCGCATTGAATTTATAGCTCTATTTGGGGATAACGTGTTTTTAGTACTGAGTCTTATTATCCCTAAATATCTATAACTCTTCCATTTATTTCAGCCTTCTTTACTATTCTATAAAGCTTCAGCTTTTTCCATAAATGTTTTGCACATTTTTCACTTAATATATTCCTACATTAGGTTTGTTTCTTCCTATCATAAAAAGTATCTTTTAAAAATTATATTTCTAACTGTTTGATGTCTGGTTTTAGTTATATTTTTTAAACCCCATATCATAGACATTGTTATTTCATAGAGATCATGTTTGTTTACCTACATATTTTCCAACTGCTTTTCTCACCATTCCTTCTTGCCTCTCAGAACTTGCTTCTGGAATCATTTTTCTTTTTTTGATGTACATCCTTTGCAACTTCCTTTGGTGAAAATTTATTGTGAGTAAATTCTGTTTTGGTTTATCTGAAAATACCATGTTTTCTCTTGTTCTTGAAAGCTTTGCTGGGCAAAATAATATTTTTTTTCAGTCACTGGTCCACTGTGGCTGGCAGTTGATTTGTTGTTTTTTGTAAGGGATTTTTTATTCCTGGCTGATTTTAGGTTCTTATCTTTGTCTTTGGGGTTCTTCAGTTTTACCACAAGGTATTTTACTTAGCTTTTATAGAGCTCCCGATGATGTCTGCGAATTCATATCTTTTATTACTTCTAAGAATCTGTAGCCATTATCTCATTGAATAATGACTCCCACCATTCTCTCTGTTCTCACTTTCTGAGTATCCAAGTGTATGTTAAATCATGTCCTTTTTTCTCCAATCTCTTTACCTCCGGTCTACATGTTTACTATAATTTTTTCAGATCTCTCTTCAGGTGTGTATAATCTGCTGTTTAACTCATGCATTGAGTTAATGTTAACTATTATATTTTTAGTTTCTAGAATTTCATTTTACTTAACATTTCTTTCTCATATTTTCCTGGTCACAGTTGCAATACTCATATCCTAGGTCCTTGGAAATTAGTATCTGTTTGATTGTTTTGCTTTTTCCTTGGTGGCTTGTTTCCTCATATATTTGGAAATTTCTTTAAGCTGTGAGCTAATATTCATTTGAATGTAATTTTCTGGAAACTTTACAGTCTAAATCAAGGATGTTTCTCTCAAACACTTTTTTTCTGCTGGGAGAGTTAGTTCGCTGCTCTGGGACCATTTAGCCTCTTTTGGGGTCCACATGCAATTCAGGAATCTCAAGTTCAGCTTCCCAAATACCTTGTGGTGAATCCAAATCTCATGATCCCATATCTGTTTACCACACACTAGTTAGGTTATAATTCTTCAAAAAAATTACTGCCTTTGTGATTTTTCTTGCTTTCTCATGTGCATTCATGAATATTGACATCTTAATACCATAAAATCAAAAACTTCTGGGCCTGGTTCCTTTTTCGTTGGTAGATTTTTAACCACTGTTCAATTTCTCCAATAGTTACTAGGCTGTTTAGGTTTTCTGCCTTTTATTGAGTCAATGTTTCTAATTTATGTATTCCTGGGAAGCCATTTTACTTAGGCACATAGCAAATATTTGTTAAATTAATAACCTAAGCACTGATGGTCAATAATTCAATGAAAATCGTCTTCTACCATCTGAAGAAAGTAAGCGACAAGCCTAAGTGGATTGTAAGGATGTGGCAGTTTAAGTACCCTGGTCTTGAGATTAGGCAATGATTCCAACACTGGTCATTGATACCCTGAGGGAGGTTACTCCATGCATGCCTGCTCCATTCCTGGTCTCCATGACATCACAGTGGAGTGAAACACCTCCTAGAATAGTGTGTCTGGAGCCAAATAATTTTTTTGGAAGAATCCACTTCTGTGAACTTAGACATTTATAGAAAAGATTTATGCAACAGCCATAGAGACAACTCATATTTCACACTGGATTTAAGTAACAACTTGAGAATATCACACAAGGGGGCCGGATTCAGACTACATTATTATACCTGAAGAACTGGATGGAGCGATTTGAAGAATTGTGTGTATGGTTTTGTGTGTGTCATGGAGTATGTGTGCATGTTAGTGACACTGTCATCTAAGCCTGTAATGAAGAACATTTTAATGCTTAAAGGTATATTTTGGTTAAAAGGGCTTCAGCATTTGCTCACCATTTTAGTAACTTCTGAACTTCTACTGGGATCTTATCATAAAATTTATGTAGTTTATTTTGGACAATGAACAAAGAAATAATTTGAGTAAGTTGTTGTGGATTATTCAAATAATTATCTCTCCAAAAACAAGGATGAGTGAAATTATTCTCAAACTGAATTTTTGTCAGGTTAAGCTTCAAAATTCCATGGGGGAAAAAACTCAGTTCATTCCCATCAACAGTCAGTTTTTCAAGTGATCTGTAAATAAAGGAAACCACACTTTAAAAGGTATTATACAATTCATAATATTAAAGTAAAATTCTGCCTCAATTGTTCATGAAAATTGGCATCAAACTAGTACCAATAAAATACAAGTATGAATTTAAGTATTTCTTTAGAATCAAGAGAATTAATTTATAAAGCAATAGAACCAATATAGTATTATGCAAATAAGTGCCTTTGAGTGAATAGCACGGTTTAAGTACATAGTTTGGATTTTTGCAATATGTCATCACTATGGAAAAAGAAATATCCACAAACACAAGATTAATCAATGTCATGTTACATAAAATATGGTATAGTATGATACACAGAATATATTTTCATAGACAAATTAAACATCAACACATATTCAAGCCCAATCAAAATAGTGAAATTTATGCTATCAAAACATATTATGTGCTATTTTGTGCTTTGACTTTTCATTAACTGGGTCCTCTGGGTTTTTTCTGTGTCAATAACTTCTAATAACCCTTATTATTTATTCAAAGAGAACCAACATTACTGATTTTCTTATTTTCACTTGCCTTAATGGTATTTTTGTACAGTCATGTATCTCCTTTCTAATTAGTCCTAGAAGCAGACGGAAAAGAGTCTGTTCATGAGAGACACATAAAAATCAAATCAAAGGCTGGTCCAACTTGTCAAATGTATTAGAGGTGAAAAGGCTGATATATGAACTTTAGGAAACAAACTGCTGAGGGCCTCTGGATTCTCATTTACAGTCTAGTTTCATAACTCATATCTACACAGTGTAACTTATTTATGACTCCTGCTGATAACATTAAAATGTGATCAACAAGGGTATTGAAAACAATGAGGCTAGGAAGATGGCACCTCAGCTCTCTTTATCCCTCAACCAGAGTTTGACTAATTCACCTCTCATGGTCTGAAAAAGGTGAGCAAGACTCCAGTCTCTGCCACAGTCCTGAATGAGAGAGCTGGCATGGTCACCTTTTTCTTCTGCGCAAATCACAAGCCTAGGGGCCGGCAGCAGAGAGCCCTGCTCTGGTCTGAATGTTTCTGTCCCCCCAAAATTCAAATATTGAAATCTTCACCTTAAGTTGATGGTATTTGGAGGTGGGGCCTTTAGGAGGTGACTAGATCAGGGCAGGAGCCCTCATGCGTGAGATTAGTGCCCTTATAAAAGAGACTTGAGAGAGCCCTCACCCCTTCTGTCATGTGAGATTAGAGTGAGAAGATGGCTGTCTATGAGGAAGTGGGCCCTCACCAGACACCACATCTGCTGGGGCCTTGATATTGGACTTCCCAGCCTGTGGGAAATAAATTTCTGTTTTTTATAACTGCCCAGCCTATGGTGTTTTGTTATAGTAGCCCAAGCTGAGAAATACAAATTCTATGTGGACAATCAGAATGAGTGTGGCACACTCTAGGCAAATGCTAGTGAAGGTTCACCATGGCTCACCTGAATAGCCATGGTGAGGCTCTCCCTGCCTGAGTTGGTTTACCTCGGAGGACACACCTGTTTAGCTGCCTCCTTCCCCTCAATGAGTTCTAAGAGAGCTAGGCAGGCTAAACATTTTTTTTTTTTGAGATGGAGTCTCACTCTGTTGCCCAGGCTGGAGTGAAGTGGCCTGATCTCGGCTCACTGCAAGCTCTGCCCCCTGGGTTCAAGTGATTCTCCTGACTCAGTCTCACGAGTAGCTGGGATTACAGGCATCCACCACCACCACGCCTGGCTAATTTTCGTCTTTTTAGTAGAGACGGGGTTTCACCATGTTGGCCAGGCTAGTCTTGAATGCCTGACCTCAGGCAATACACCCTCCTCGGCCTCCCAAAGTGCTAGGATTACAGGTGTGAGCCACTGCACCTGGCTGCTAAGCCATCCTTAAAGCTAGAATAGCTCTGTGTTGAGACTGCCTTGGCAGCTGAGCACCCTGAGGTGCAGAGAAGCTTCCTCCTCATCCACCACTCACTTTCTTAGCATTCTGAGTGGTGTTATGTGACTGCCATTGGACTTGCATGGAAGAAAGAGTGGCCAGAAGAGAAAAACACATAGAACACACAAAGCAAAGGTCCTGGGACAAGCATCTTCTGTGGAGGGATGGATACAAAGTTGGGGAGGGGGGTGGGGAAACAAGATTCAAATACAGCACACACAGACACGCAGAGATGTTCTGGAACCAAAATGCATGATGTGTAAAACTAAAAAGTTAAGTGGATGAATGAAAGAAGAACATGATCTTCATGGGGATCCAAATTAGAGGCAAAGACGAAGTAGAAGAAATAATTCAAAACTAACTAACTAACTAAATAAATAAATAAATAAAAACCATGAGGAAAAATCTAGGTACCATGGAAGACAGATCTAGGAGACCTAACATGTAAACAATAGGCATTTTAGGAAGAAAATACGAAACAGATGGAGAAGGACAGGAACTATTTAAACATATTTTCTGAACTAGAAAAGAGAAGTTTGAGCTGGCTGATTCAAATAATTCACTGAATTCCGGGAAAGACAGCTTAAGAAAAAGACAACTTGTAAGCGTAATCTCATAAAATTCTGAAAGGTCAAAGATTATGGGAGAATCTTAGTCTTTCCAGTCAAGAAGAAAAGTCGCTTAGGAAGAAAAAAGAATCAAACTGGCATCAGGTGCCTCCCCAGCACCCTGGAAACTAGAGGAGGACACAATGATGGAGGCTACTGTGAAACACGCTGAATGAAAGCTTGTCCACTCACTCAGGACATCATTTATTTGTCAGGGTTAAAGATTCAGAGAAAAAATTACCTATGTATTCCATCTGAGGAAAATACTTAAGGAAAAACGCTAAACAGCCAATGAATCAAAAGAGACACGGCCAGGTTCCAGGTGAGAGGAAAGGAGCGAAACAGCTGTAAACAGTGAGTCTTGAAATACATACAGATAAATATAAAAGGAGAATGAACTAAAATGCTTGTAAGATTTAAGTGCTAAATAAACATTCTTTAATAAAAAGAGACATGATGCAAAGGAAAATACTAATGAGAATCTGAAACAAAAGTTTCTAAACTATTTCAGCAAAGCCTAGAGTTGGATAAGGGGAAGATGAGTTTGGAAAGAAAGCATCTTTCCAAAGAAAATAACTGTTCTAAAGGTCTCAACGAACAGTGGAAGGCAGCAGTGGGGAGACAGACCATCATGGTGGGGGAAGTACTTTTTATATTGCCTTTATAAAATATTAAAGAAAATGAGTTTGATTATGAGTTTGGGAAAAGGAAAGATAGCCAAATAGCAGATTAGGGTAGTACAATAGAATGCCAAAATTAATAACATAGAAAAAAAGAGGTGGTAGGATCACTTGAGGCTAGGAGTTTGAGACCAGCTTGGGCAACATAGTGAGACCCCCATCTCTACAAAATATAAAAAAATTAGCGAGGCATGCTGGTGTACACCTATAGTCCCAGCTATTCAGGAGGCTGAGGCAGGAGAATTGTGAGTCCAGGAGTTCAAGGCCGTAGTGAGCTATGATCATACCACTGCACTCCAGCCTGGGCGACAGAGTGAGATCCTGTCTCTAAAAATTAAAAATAAAATAAATTCAAAAATTTAAAAAGAGAACAAACAGCATCCTTAAAAAAATAGGTAGGAAAAGGGGAAAGTAAATAAATAATAAGTACAAAGTAAAATGAAAAGCAAAAATTAAATATGTTGGTCATAATAAATATGAACAGACTGAATTCTCCTACTAAAATATAGAGATTGTCACATAGGAAATTAAATAATTGATCTAAATATTTTAAAAGCAAAGGTAAAATTATCTCATTCTGCTAAATGGAAGATTACGTTCCTAGGAAACAAAATAAAATGTAGTAAAACTAAATCAGAACTAACAGAAGAACTTGGTTACACACATTAGTTTTAAGTTAATGTAAAGAAGTACATAGTTTTTCTCTATTCTGTACTGACAATAATTAGAAACAAGTGGAAATAAGAGAAATATTACATTACATTCATAGTAACAATCACAATCATAAAACACTTAGAAAAGGTTATTAAGAAAAATATGACGTGAGTCATAAATTCCTATGAAGAACATAAAACAAGATCTGAAAAAATGAAAAAAAAGTTTTAGAGTAGAAAAATTGATCAAAAATATAAATTCTCCCAAATTTATGAGTAAACTCTATGCAATTGCAATTAAAATTCTAACTCTGTGATTATGTGTGCTGCTGGATGTGCTAGAAATTATACAAAATGATCTGAAAGATTATGTTCTAAAGAGAATAGTTAAGAGACTATTACTGAAAAATAATCTCCCTACTAGTTATTAAAAATTATTCTGAAGTCACAATCAAAACAGTATAGTACTGACCTAGAAGGACATAGATAAACTTCAGACTTTTATTAATGTTAGAAAGAATTGAAGCTTTGCATTAAAATTATATTTTGTATTATTAGCATTTTGCGTAAATGTATTTCCTCACAAAAAATAAATGAAACATAATAAGAGCCACAGGTACACACACAGACAAATGGACATAAGTAGCTTATCGTTCTGTTAAGTAGTCATCTGCACTTTCTTTAAATAATTTCTGGAAATGTTATGTCTTAAAAATACTGTACACCAATCATTCAAATTACATGTTTGGTAAACTTTGTACTTCACAGATTACATTTTATGGCTATTAAATAAATGAAAGGATTGATTTTCTCTATCACAATCATTATTAAATATATAATTAAGGGGCATATAACTTTCTGTGTACTTCCAAAATACCTGAGTTTCTGAATTTCATTTGGAATAAAAGTAAGTTCATTATAGGAAACATCAAGTTCTTCAAGATAAGACAAGGAAAATAACCTTAAATAGAAAGAGAAAATTAATTGTAGAAATGATTATGTATCACCACTGGGAATAAATAAGTACTTGAGTAAGTAGGCAGGAGTATAGAAACCAGATTTCTAAGATCTTGAAATTTATATGGACTTCTTTTCATTATAGATCGTGTAATTACTATGAAAATTCCTAAGAATTACTCATCTATCCATTAAGACCAGTTTGAGATTTTTGGAGTGGACAAAGCCCTATTTAGAAAAATTTTCATTATCACTAAGATACTTTTTTGTTGTTGTTGTTGCATTAGTTTCCTAACAAATTACCATAATCTGGGTGGCTTAAAGTAACAGAAATGTATTTTCTCACAGTTCAGGGCGCCAGAAGTCGAAATGAAGGTATTAGCAGGGCTGGTTCCCTTCATAGGCTCTGAGGGAGAAACTGTCCCTTGCTTCTCCCCCAGCTTCCAGTGGTTGCCTGCCATCTTTGGCATTCCACGGCTTGTGGAAGCATAACTCCAACCTCTGCCTTTGTCTTCACATGCCTTTCTTATAGGGACAATAGCCATTGAATTTGGGGCTCACCCTTATCCAAGTTAGTATAAGTATGACCTTATATTAACTAACTGCATCTGCAAAGACGCTATCTCCAAATGAGGTCACATTCTGAGGTTCTATAAGGACATGAATTTCCGAGGGATGCTATTCAACCCACTACAATTGCATTAAGACTTTTCTAGTAAAATACCTTTAATCTTTCTTTCCATCAAGACAAGTACTTAAAGGTGAGAACCAAAGAATACAAACACTCTGCAAAAACATAGTTGTGCTGTCAGAAGCCCTGACTCCTAGGGGTTGGATGGAAGTGGGAATTGCTTCTTGAAGACTGGAATTGAAGGGCTCAGTATCATAGTCATCATAATCCCTAGTAAACACCCCCTTCTCTGTATGTGCTGTTCTCAAAGACTTTCTTGTTTTCCATGTAAATAAAAGGTGAGAAGTTATTTGTATGATTTTTAACTAAGGCATCATGAGCAGAATTTTTCGCCAACTTCTTACTGTCTTAACATGGCATATAAAGGTCCTCATGATCTGGTCCCATGCTACTTGTCCAGCTTGCCTCTCACAATCCCCCATATTCCTCTGTGGTCCAGCATTTATTTGCTAAAATTCCCTGAATTAACCAGTTATCACATATCTCTAAATAACACGTAAAATTTCCCCAAGCTTGACTCTGATCATTGTCTTTTCATTTTTTGTCTTGGCTCAGATGTCATCTCTTCCAACAAACTCTTCCCAAATCCTTCAGACTGGGTGAGATGCCTCTTCTGTACTTCTCTGCTTACTCTCTCATAGTACCCATCACATCGTGCAATAAACGTCTGCCTCCTAAAATTATGAGCTTCTAGAGGGCACGGATTCAATTTCATATTTCTATACATCCAGTGCCTTACATGCTGTCTAGTACATCGTAAGTGCTGAGTAAATCATAACTGAATGAAAGGAATGGTGACCCCAGTTAATTTAAAATAATTTGCTCTGAGAAGTTAATGAGACTGACTAGGAAAACAAAGGAAATGCCTATTCAATTCAGTGTTCATCTCTGACTTCTTATCATCTCTGTAAAGAAAATGTTAATACCATTTGCTCTATCTTTCAATTCAATATCATATCATTTTCTTGCCTCAGGCAGTTTCTGGAGTCATTCTATCTTCCCTATTACCTTGGCTCTGGCAACCTAGTTTGGTTCCAGGCTTTCACTATGGATGACATATTCCTGCTGATTGTGAGATGTAACAGGTGTAGGCAGCACTGAGGAAGCTGAATAGGTTCTAGAGTTGAAATTTATGTCATCTATATATGATTTTTACAGAGAAAATCTGTTCAGACAGCCTGTTTGGTCTGATACTCTATGTCCCACCAGTACCAAATCTATCACATTTTTTAGGATATGTAAAACTTTTTACATTTATTTCATTGCTTGATTTATTAGCAAATTATTGGCCAATGAGCTGCCTAAACTAGAGCCCTACTGTTAGCTTGCAAGATTAGACTAGCAATAATAATTTCATGTATTAACAGTGATGACCACCACACTGATATAAATATTTATTAAAAGCCTACTATATGGTAATTTAGAATGATCTTTTAACATACCAGTGTAGGATTGTTTTTTACAGGTTAAAAAAATGGAAGCTATAAGAGGTTAAGCAATGTATCCAATTTGGTATGAAATAAAATGTAGCTATCCCTTTTCATCAGATATGTGGAGGCAAGGTAATTTAATCCCCTTCTTTAATAAATAACAATATGGGAAAATAAATGTGTACAATTTCAGATCTGCTGTTAAGACACGGCTTTCAAATAGGCTGTTCGGTTCTTTTTGTTCCAAATAGTTTCTCTTTCCCGAAGAACCTACCTGCCAATTAAAGTAAATTGAGTCAAACAAGTAAGGCAAAGATTTGACTCCCTCAGTTGAAGTAGCTATTTCCTATGTCATTTTTCTCCTGCTATCCACTGAGAAAAAGATAAAGACTTTTTGTTTTAACCTTTGTGACAGTTGTTTCTGCATAACCTCAGGGCATGAGTCTAAAACATGTCTCTGTCCTTCACCCCACCTCCCTTTTTCTCCCTTTTTTATCTTTTCTACAAAAGCTTTGGGAACAGGAAAAAAAAACATTTGGATTTTTGAAGTGATTTATTATCTTCATTTTATAAGAGAGTTGAAAAGACAAATCAAAGAGCTTTTCATAGTAATAAAGTTCTAAGCATAACATGGGAGTGTTGATCCACTGGCCACTAATAGGAGGCCCCTGTTCTTTCTCCCACAGAAGCTGAGCTTTCCTGCCTCCATGCTGCCTCACACAGTATGCCCTAAGTTGCTCAAAGCAAAACCTTAGGAACGAAAATGTAGGCCTCAGTAAATGTGTGCTTTACTCAAATAGAACTTTTTTCTTTATTAACTTCTAATTTGCCCTATATTGAAACAATCAATTGTTACATAATTTCAAAAATATTGCATATTTTATTTTATTTTAGAAATTTAGGTCAAGGAAAAGAGACTAATCTGTGAAAATAATTGAAAGGATTTTAAAAATAATTTACAAGATTTTTTTTTTTTTTTTTTTTGAGACAGAGTCTTGCTCTGTCACCAGGCTGGAGTGCAGTGGTGTGATCTTGGCTCACTGCAACCTGCAACTCCCCTGGTTCAAGCGATTCTCCTGCCTCAGCCTCCTGAGTAGCTGGGATTACAGGCACACGCCACCATGCCCAGCTAATTTTTGTATTTTTAGTAGAGATGGGGTTTCACCATGTTGGCCAGGATGGTCTCGATCTCCTGACCTCGTGATTCGCCCACCCCGGCCTCCCAAAGTGCTGGGATTACAGGCGTGAGCCACCATGCCCAGCCAATTTACAAGATTTTCTTACCTAATTTTTGTAACATCCTTGAAGACAAGTATAAGTTTTCTAAACTTTCAGATGGAAACTGAAGTTAAGAGTAGGTCAGGGCTGGGTGCGGGGGCTCACGCCTGTAATCCCAGCACTTTGGGAGGCCGAGGTGGGCAGATCACAAGGTCAGGAGTTCAAGACCAGCCTGGCCAATATGGTGAAACCCCGTCTCTACTAAAAATACAAAAAATTAGCCAGGCATGGTGGCGCATGCCTGTAATCCCAGCTACTTGGGAGGCTGAAGCAGGAGAATTGCTCGAACCTAGGAGGCAGAGGTTGTGGTGAGCCAAGATCGTGCCATTGCACTCCAGCCTGGGCAACAAGAACAAGACTCCGTCTCAAAAAAAAAAAAAAAAAAAAAAGAGTAGGTCACTGGCTTGCTAGAGTTTGTAGCATATATGGGACAGAACTTGCCTCTGAAAGTGTCTTGCTTTTTCTACTCTATCACTTTGAGTCTCATGAAACTAGAAAGATCTTGTTAGGAATGGAAAGATAACAGTGAAAGTACTCCATTACACTTTTAGTAAAACTTTGAGAAGGTACCAAAATAATATATCTGGGAAAAAAAATATATGCATATTTTAACATATGGAAACTATAAGAAAAAGACTAATAATGAAAAGAATTAAAAAGACAATCTTTTAAATACAATGCTTAGCCACCAAAATAAACAACCATTTTTCTATGTTAGATAATATCTAGAAAAAATATGTATCTTAATTTAAATCCTAACACTAGGGCTTCAAACAAATTGAGTAACCAATTGTTTTATTTAATAAAATACTGTTAAATTAGACTTGAACTGCTAAATTTACATCACAAACCCCCACTTTGTTCCAGTGTCCCTTTCTCAATAAGGCCTACCTTAGCTATCCCACTTAAAATCACACTCTCACTCCCTTTTACTGTTTGTTCTTTTTCATATCACTTATTACCTTCTCACATACTATATAATTTATTTATTACATATATTGACTGTCTCCTCCTGGGGGAATGTGATCCCACAAGAGTTGAAATCTTTGACTGGTTTTATTTTAGTTTGCTGTTACTGCCATTAACAAATTGCAACACAAACAGTGGCGTACAACAACTCAGATTTATTAATTATAGTTATATAGGTCAGAAGTCTGCAAAGGTCTCACTCTACTAAAATTAAGGCATCAGCAGGACTGCATTGCTATCTGGAGGCTCTAGGGAGAATCTGTTTTCTTACTCATGCAGGCTGTTGGCAGAATTCAGTTCTTTCCGGCTGTAGAACTGAGGCCCTTGTTTTCTTGTTGGCTGTATGCTGAAGGCCATTCCCAGGTTTTCAAGCTGCCTCATTCCTTGACTCATGGCTCCCTTCCTCCATCTTCAAAACCAACAAAAGCAAGTCAAGTCCTCAGGTGGTATCTCTCTGACAAATGCTTCTGCATCCCCCTTCCATTTTTAAGAGCTCATGTGATTTGATTGGGACCACTCAACTAATCCAGAATAATCTCCCTACTTTAAGATCAGCTGATTAGAACCCTTAATTTCATCTCCAAACTTAATTTCCCTTTGCCATGTAATATAACATATTCACATGTTCTGGTAGAATATGAACATCTTTGGGGACCATTATTCGCCCTATCACAGTTCATCCCTAAAGATTCACATCTATCCCACATGCAAAATACATTCACTTATCTCAATTTCCCGAAAGGTTAACCTTTACAGCATCAACTCAAAGTTCAACATCTCATCTAAATCTCAAAAGTCCCATATCTCATCATCTAAATTAGGTATAGGTGAGGCTCCAGATATAACCCATCCAGAAGCACAACTTTTCTCCATTTGTGGATCTATGAAATTAAAGAAACAAGTTATCTGCTCTCAAAATACAATGGTGAGACAGGCATAGGATAAGTTATAGATATTCTGGTTCAAAAGGGAGAAAATGAAAGGTAAACAGGAATTACCAATTCCAAGCAATTTTGAAATAGGACTGAGTAAACTTCATCTGGTTTCAAGGCCTGGGAATAATCAGCAGCAGCTCCCAGCTCTGCCACCTGCTTTCCAGTTTCTGCCCTCCTGGCTTCTGGCTCTGTCTTTTAGAATCACAGCTCCACCTTCGGTGCTCCTGGTTTCATCCTCCCCAGTTCCTGGCACCACCCTCTGAATCACCCTCCCTTTTTCATGAAAGTTGGCACATATATTCAGCTGTTTCCTGCCCATGGAATTTTGGAGATCTGACAGCCTTTTTTCATTTCATACTGTCTTTGTCCTTCTTAATACACTCTGGCAACATTTCTATTAGTATAAAATCTTCAAGAACCTAGTGGGTTTCCCATGTATATCATGGGTATTCATTCCATAAGACAAAAGACTTGTCCACAAATTTCGTTCCTAGTTAATCCCATTTCTATTTTTGACTTTGCTGAAATGGCTGAGGCCATGTGACATGAGGTCATCATTAAAAAGGAATGGAATACTGATATATACAACATGGGTGAATCCCCAAAATGTATGTTGAGTGAAAGATGTCACACTCAAAAAATCATTTGTTGTATCAATCAACTTTTATAATTTTCCAGAACAGGTGAAATAAGTCTATGATGTTAGAAGTCTGGGAATTGACTAGAAATGTACATGGGGACATTTCTAGGGTAAACTTTCTAGGATAATGGGAATACCCCATATCTTGTTTTGGATAGTAGTTATATGGGTGCGTATATTTGTTAAACACTTTAAATCAAATACCTAAGATTTGTGCATTTTATTGTATATAAATTATACCTAAAAATTTTAGAAAGAAGGAAGACTAGGAGGAAAGATGAAAGCATTGAGGTTACTAATAACTATATATATATATATATATATTTGAGGCAGGGTCTTACTCTGTTGCCCAAAGCTCACTGCAGCCTCAACTTCCCAGGCTCAAGTGATCCTCCCACCTTAGCCTCCTATGTAACTGGGACTACAAGTACATACCACTGTGCACAGCTAATTTTTCGTATTTTTTTGTAGAGATGGGGTTTTACCATGTTGCCCAGGCTCTATGTATTTTTTGTTATAGTAAAATATAGATAACATAAAATCTGCCATTTTAGCCATTGTTAAGTGTGCCATTCAGCAGCATTAATTACAATTACAGTATTATGCAACCACCAGCACTATATGTATTTCCAGAACTTTCCCATCATCCCAAACAGAAACTCTATATCCATTGAACAGCTACTCCCAATTCTCCCCTCTCTGCTATACCTGAGCCCCCAGTAACCTATATTCCACTTTCTGTGTCTGTAAATTTGTCTATTCTAGGTACCTTATATAAGCACAATAACACAATGTTTATCCTTCTGTATCTGACTTATTCCACCTAGCATAATGTTTTCAAGGCTCATTGTTGTTGTAGCATATACTAGCATTTCATTCTGTTTTCAAGATGAATAATGTTCTATGTATGTATATATCACATTTTGTTTATTCATTAATTAATCTGTTAATGGACATTTGAGTTACCACCTTTTGATTATTGCGAATAAAAACAATTAGGTTTTCCACTGTTTTGTTGATGGACATTTGAATTGCAGACTTTTTCAGGATATTGCAGATAAAACTGCTATGGACATTCCCAAAGAAGTCTTTTTATGGAGGCTAAAATCTACCTTCTCCATCTTACACATGAATGACTGAGCTACTGAAGATAATCAGCAGAAATGCAGATTCGTGTCACCATGAATCCTTGGTTTCCAGTCTCAGCTAAGCCCACAGCATCATCTCTCAAACATTCACTTTCCTGTGCTCTGTTCTTTTCTGTTCCTCTCAATATCAACACTAAATCATCACAACTTTCTTTAAAACTTCTTTTCAATCATTATTCTTCTTGCTCTCAAAGATTATCTGAAGTTATTTCATAGTAACCTCTCTCAACTGATGCATTATAGGAGCTAAATAAATCTTTGTTGACTAAATGAATTTCCTGTTTTCTTACCCATATAACTATATATTTTACATGTTCATTTTTAGGACCTACCTCCAGTTTTAGGAGATAATGGTTACTCCTCCTGTTCAAGACCAGAATCTCCACCTGAGCTGATGACTTCTTCCCCTCCCATCTCCTGTGAAATTCTGCTTCATCTGTCATCCTTCCACATCTTCAATCTATTCCCTATTGGTTTCTTTCCAACATCCTGTAAATATGCCCGAGTCTTTAAAAAACTAACAATAAAAATGTTTCTAAGATCCCACTTTCTCTATAGCTTTTGTCTAATCACTCTTCTCACATTGCATCTAAAGCTCTACAAAGAATGGTCTACACTCATTATCACCAATTTCTTCCCATTCCATCACAACCCACTGCAAGCTGGCTTTTATTTCCATCATTCCACTAAAACTGTTCTCACCTTTACTCTTACTGAGCTTCTCTGTTGTATTTGACACTGTTGGTCATACTTCTTTTTCAAAATAATCCACTTCCCTGGCTTCCATGATACTCTTGGTTCTCTTTATGCAATTTGAGGCTTTTCCTCAGTCTTTATAATTTCTTTATCTGTCTGTATTTGAAACACAGATGTTTCTCCAGAAATATCTCCAGCACAAAACTCTCCTGTGAGGTTAATAGGTCTAGGTCCAGAATTGTGATGAAAAACAGAAATCTAAAATCAACATGTTAATCTAAAACAAAACCAATTATTTTCCTTCATTCAAACCTCCTCAGCCTTCATTGTCACTCTTGTGCTTAAAAACAAGCAATGGCTTCTCAGTGCACTTTAAATAAATTATAAATATTTTCACCTGACCCTCACAGCTTCATGGGATGTAGTCCCTATCCAACTCCTAAACCTCACCTGGGTTTTATTCTAAGCCATGCTGGCTTCCTGTCAGCCTTTGAGGAGTCCAAGCTCTCATTACCTCCCATGTTATTCCCACTGCATGAATATTCTTTTTCTTATTCTTGGACTGGATTTATAAACTTCTGCTTAAATGTCATTTCCTCAGATACACCTTTCTTAGTGATTCAATTTTTTTTTCTCCTGACATCATATTGTTCTTTTCAGTCAAAGCCCTTAGAATGTTTTATATTTATATATTCATATATTTATTATGGTGTTTATTAAAATTCCTGTATCGTGCTCTGGATTCTAAGCCCCATAAGGGAAAAGATCATGCCCCTTTTCCTTTAACAATCTGAACCCAATGCTTAGGACAGAGCCCAGTATTTAGTAAATACTCAATAAATACATTTTACATGATTGAATTGTTTCACTCTAACTAGAGATCTGGGCATTACCTTGACTTTTTTTTTTTACTTTGACTTTTCTGTTCCTTATAGCCTCTATGTCTCAGTTCTAGATCTTGCAGGTTTTACTTCAATTTCATAACAATTTGTTCCTCCTTCTCCATGCTCACTACCATTGCCTTGGTCCAAGTTCTCTTCATCTCTTGCTTGAACTACTGCAATGGCCTTCCAACTGGTCACCTTTAATTCTGTTTATCCCCTCACATCCATCCTCCACACTGCCACTAGAATAACGTAAAATATAAGTTTGACTCTACCACTCACATATGGAAAACCTGTAATGGTTTCTTGTTGCATACAGCATAAATTCTTTACCTTAGCTCATAAGGCTTCCTAGATAATCTGGTCCCTGCTTACTGTACCATTTCTTACCACTTGGCATTGCCCTCTAAGCTTCAAAACCAGCAAACTGCTTGTATTTCCCATCTCATGTTATATATGCTGCTTCTTTTCATATACGTTGTAACTTTTCATTGAAGAAATATCCACCCTATCATTGGCCCAACTATCCTTTGTTGTCTCTCCTGTTTAATCCACCTAATTCACACTCAGTCAACTTTGGATCAAATACTACATCTTCCAGGGAACCAACTCTCACCCTTCAGAATGGGTTACATGTAACTCATACATTTTACTGTGTACATCTCCATTATTTTACTTTACTCAATTGTATTGAATTGTCTGCCTTCCTTTTAGGTGGTGAGCTCCTAGGAGCACACAGTATTAATAGATGCTTCATGAACATCTGCTGAATTAATTACAAGAATGAAAGTATAACATTCAAAGTGTATCAGTGCAATTGCTTGTGATGGTAATAATGTCCAAACTCCAGAATTTACATGGAGCCAGAATATCTCAAATATATTACATAATGGTTTGGTTCACTAAATTTCACTCAATTTAATTCAGTTACTGATCTCCAAGTCTCACCACACTCCGTGAGGTCTTCTTTGCTCAGCAAGGTAGATTTCTGACAACAACCCTTAGATATGAAGAATTCAGCACCTTCATTCTTCACTGTATAAGTGCCCTCCTGGTGAGTTTTCATTGAACAAACTTTGCAAATAAACATTTTTATTATGTCAGAGCTTGCTTGAAGTCTTCTTTGAGGTCAATAAAGTTAAGTTTTCCCCATTATGTTTTTCATTCTTGGCTTTAATATGCTGTCATTCTTCCCCTGATATGCATACATATCCTATGTTATTTAATAAAAATATGCCGCTTTATTTCAGAAACACTAATAGTTTTTAAAAATAGCTTCTGCAAACTTTTTGATTATAATCAACAATTCATACTTATTTGTCCAATATCTAAACAATGAACAAAATGTTGACCTTTTAGTTATAATCACATTTCACTTGCTTTAGGAATTTTTATTTTGTTTAAATGGTAGTTATGATTATTGAAAATGTATAATTATGATTATAGATTATCCAGTAGGAATTCATGTTTAGATGCTGTATATATACATATATATTTATACATATATAGTTCTGTGTGTGTATATATGTAATTGTATATGTGTTTGTATCTATATAAACAATTACAGATATGTGTGTACACATGGGTTAGTATACATACATATATTACTTTGCTCTCTCCAATGAGAGGGTCTAGAAGGAATGATAACCTAATGGTGATGAGGATACCCAACACCCAGATCTTGGCTTTTAAACACTATTTTCTAATAAAAGGAAACAGGATTTCCTTAGAGAAATGGCAGATAGTGTCAGGGCAGGGAAAATACAGTTTATGTACTGTGGAAAAATCCGGATGAGTCAAACAGAAATAAAATACCCATATGTAACATTCTTACTTCTTTAGTGTTTATTCTTTCTTTTTATATATGTAGTGTGTAATGTGTGATATGTATATGCATTTTATACAGAAATGGTATAATTTTTTAATATAATTTCTTATTCTTTTAAATAACTGAATGTTTATGAATGTACAATTTTTTAGATCATTAATTACAAACAATACTGAATGAACATCTTTATAAATGAATTTGGATGCACTTCCTTAATTACTATAGATAAGACTCTTATTTTGCAAAGTATTATTCAACTATTTATGAGTCCCTTTCTCTTTGTACTGAGAGATTCAATTTGTTAAACTCTGATTGGAATAAGTATCTTGTTTTGACATTTGGTTAAGGTTTTGGTTTAAAATTTTCATTAGGAGTTAAATAATTACTAGTCCATACGTGGGAAGAAACCCATCTCTTTTATGTCCAAATATCAGCATTCTTATGGAGTTGAAAGGGTCTTAGATATCATATAAGCCAATCTCCTTAGTTTACAGATTAGGAAATTGAGGCCAAGAATGGTTAAATTACTTTCTCCAGATCAAATATATAATTATCATCAACTTTAAAGTCAAAGGACTAGATTTCCTCATCCCAAATTCAGTGCTCTTTCCATATCCAAAAAGGCTGTCAAGAGATAGGTGCAAGGCTCTCACCTGAACTGCTTTAGATAATTCCTGTTAATTTAACCCGTACTCAGATAACGTGTTTCTAAATGTATAGTCACTAGACCCATATTAATTGCTCTGTATGTAGCTGGTAGGATTGTTTTTAACACCATAAGAAGAAGCGTATTAGCTAATTAGAATAGAATACAAATTACTAAATAGCCAAAAAGCTGCTAGCTGCTTTGAAAGGGGAAATTGATCTTTTTCGAAATTATGAATTATTTTCTGTGTTTATAATCTCAGACCATCAACCTTACCCAATTGGAAGAACAGTAATTAAATTAAAAGCAATGGTGAAAATTCTAAGGAACTCAAGTTGTTGAATTTCAGAAGGAATTTCTTTGATAGGATTATTTCTCAATTTCAGTATTTGTAAATTTTTAAGACATAATATCTGGGGAACAGAAAAGAGAAACAAACATGAGCGGAATAATAAAGTATGCAAATCATTATTTGTTACCTTTTATAAACTCTCTGAACTAATGTAGAATCATTATAGCAACATTAATTGGCTATATCATGTAACTCAGTAAACACCCTCGGTCAACCTTCAAAACAAGTGACCAGCATTAATAGGTATGATATGGTGAAATAGTGCAACCACTGTACTCATACACCCTTGACTCAAGAATGGTGCTTTCCTAAGTGTGAAAGTTACCCTTTCTGATCAAGCTCACGGTTTCATACGAGGAAATCACGGAATAATGAGGGAGGAAGGAGGTATCTGCAGAACCAGGAAGAAAGGTGGAATTAACCTTAGTGATCAGAAAAGTGTTAGAGATCAAAGCCAGATTATTTCTGACATCCCAGTAATTTCAGGTACACTGATTTTTCATGTGAAATTTAAAAAATAGAGTAAACCATTTAAATCTATTATCTTCCTCTTAAATTTATACAAATTTTAAAAAGAAAAACAAAGAAATAATCTATGATCTTTACTTGATTAGTATATTTTTCTCTGGTGAATATTAACAAGGTCTTATATTAGTTCTCTTTAATATTAAATTCAACCTTGTTATCATCATAAAGGTCCAAAATTGGTGGAGTAGAGCAAGTTCATTCTTGTAATCAGGAAGCATCAGTGCTCCAAGTTTGCCTTTCTTTTCAAAATTATTTTGGCTCTTTGTAATCCTTTGCATTTCTATATAATTTTTAAGATCATGGAGCCATTCATATTTTCTAAAGACCTTTCTTGTGTCTTTGTAGGAATGTGTTCATTTCACCTAAGTTATTTAATTGATTGGTATACAGTTATTTATAGTATTTTCTTTAAATCTTTTTAATTTCTTAAGGTCAGTAGTGATGTTTCTTCTTTCATCCTGGTCTTTAGTAACATAAGTCTTCTGTCTTTTTCTCTTGTTAAGTCTACGTAAAGTTTGTCAATTTTGTTGATTTTTTAAAAGTAATAACTTCTGTTTTTAAATTTTCTCTGTTTTTCTATCTTCTATTTCACTAATTTCTGTACTAATATTTACTATCTCCTTGCTTATTCTCTGTTTAGGTTTAGTTTGCCCTTTTTTTCTAGTGGCTTTACATGAAAAGTTAGTTTGAGGTATTTCTTCTTTTTTAAAAGATTTACATTTACAGCTATAAGTTTCCCTCTGAGTACTCTGTAATGCATCTCAGAAATTTTGGTATGTTGTGTTTTCATTTTCATTTATCTAAAAATATTTTCTAATTTCACTTATAACTTATTCTTTGACCCACTGGTTATTTAGGAGTATGTTGCTTAATTTCCATATATTTGTGAATTTCCAAATTTCTTTCAGTTTTTGGTTTATAATTTAATTCTATTGTAGCCAAAAATAGACTTTTGTAATTTTTCAATCCTTTTAAATTTATTGAGACTGATTTTGTAGCCTAACATATGATTTATCCTGGAAAATGTTCTACATGAACTCAAGAATTGTGTATTCTGCTGCTATTGGTTTGAGTTAGACCCTAATACATTCCATACAGATTTATTAGGTCTAATTGGTTTATAGTGTTGTTCAATTCTTCTATTTCCCTCTTGTTCTTCTGCCTAATTTTTCTATTCATTATCGAAAGTGGGATATTGAAGTGTCCAATTATTATAGTTGCATTTTCTATTCCTCCAATTCCTTTGGTTTTTGTTTCATATACTTTGGGGCTCTGTTACTAAATAAACATTTGTTTATAAAGTTCTATTATCTGATAAATTGACAAATGTCTCTTTTTATCTCTAGTAACTTTTTTTGCTTTAAAATATATTTTGTCTGATATTAGTATAGTCTCTCCAGCATTTCTATTGTTGCTGTTTGCATGATATATATTTTCTCATGCTTTTGGCTTCAACCTCTTCAATCTTAAGTGTGTTTCTTTTAATCTTAAGTGTGTTTCCTGCAGACAGCGTATCATTGAATCTGTATAAGAACTTGTATAATTTTGTACAGTTTGACTATCTGTATCTTTTGATTGGATTGTTTGATATATTCACATTTAATGTTATTATTGACATGATTGGATTTACATCTGTCATTTCACTTTTAGCTTTCTATATGTCATATGTTCTTTTAATTCTTCCTCTACTGCCTTTTTTTGCATCAAGTGAATATGTTCTAGTGTAACATTTTATGACTTCAATAAATGTTTTCAGTATGTTCTCTTGAGTTATTTTCTTAGTGATTGTTTAGAGGTTATAATATACACCTTATCAGAATTTACTTCAGATTTATACTAACTTAATTCCAGTGAGATATGAAAATGTTCTTCATACATATTCAATTCCTTCTTCCTTTTTTGTCTATAATTTCTACATATATCATATCCATATATGTTACAGACCTAACAATACATTATTATACTTATTACTATGATTTTATGACTGTTTAAGAATCTTAGAGAAGAAGACCAAGTATATGTATATAGAGTTTGCTATATTAATCTTCTTTATTTAACATTTCTGCTTCTACCTTCTCCCATCTGAAACTATTTTAGTGGACACTGCAATTTGCCTAATTCAACCATTTTGAATTTTCCATGAAATCGGTAATAATTTGAATCACCCCACTTACCTCAGTCCCCAGCCTTTTATTCATTGCCTTTATGCCATGCTAACAACTGGGCCTCATTAGCCTGTCCCCAAAACAGCCTCTCTAAGCTTAGATATTACCATCTTCATTGGAATATTTTATCTATAGCTATATAACACAGACCTGCATTTTAATGACAAGTTGATCTCTGTCACTTTAACAATGAGCACTTTATATCTTACAAGTGACTAGCTCTCCTGTCTTCACACATTTATTTTTTAGTGGATGGAGTTTTCTTTGGCAGATACACAAATATTATCTGTATCTACTTAGAAGAAAGGTTAAATTAGTGTGAAGAACTCAGATCACTATATTCCTTGGGAATTCTTGTCAATTTCTCCTAGTCAAATTAATAAAACTGGTGTTATGTATTAGAAAAGAAATAACTTCTCCAATTGAAAATAAAAACATTATATTATAGAGAAAGTATGGAAAATATATGTTTTCAATACCATCTGATTGAAAGAAGAAAATACATTTGCCAAAAATAAACTCACTAAAAGACAATACTCTGGAAATCAATTCACAAAACCACCAATTACCCAGTAATCAATGAAGCAATGACTAAAGACACGAAAAACGTAATTTGTCCTAATCACTCATAATGGTTCATTCACTTGAAATGACATTAAATTAGCTCATCTCATATCTGATTATCCTTCATACATTTTATTAAGCAGAATATTATATTTTATCGTTTGGTAATTAAAACTTATTACAACACTGCATGTTTACTTTGTTTTTAAAGCTTCTGATTGGCACATAAATAAGGTTTATTTTAGATTACATTCAGAGTTAGAAGAATAAATATTTAATATACATTATAGAATTATGAGAACACATTTGAGAGTCTCACTATAACATAGTCTTTGAGGATTACATCATGGGATTTCCTAAGAAAGATGTACTGTACATTTTGTGCTTCTGAAAATAAGCCATTCAAAAGATGCAATCCAAAATACATTTACAGTACTTTATAGTAACTTCAAGGTATTAAAAGACGTCTATTTTTATTATAATTATTATTCACGACAAGTTATATCAGTACATAACAATAAAAGTTGACTCACTTCTGTGGGAAAGTAATGAAGATCATTAAATGATAAATTAAGATATATCAACTGGAAAGCCAAAGGTGTTAAGTCTGGACAATTTAGGATAAAAAAGCCCTAAAAGAAAGTGACAAGAGATAAGGTGTTAATCACTAACAAGGCACAAAATAGTTTATACAAGAGTAAAACAAAATCAGCACATAATTTGAATGAGAATGTTTTACACAATATACTAACAAGCCTATACTCCTCGTCCATTCATTTTTTTTTAGTCTGTCATGATAATAATTTCTTTGGTATGTAAAAGATAGAAGCAAAGTAGAAGCACTGTGTATTAGGCTGTTCTCACACTACTATAAAGAAATATCTGACACTGGGTAATTTATAAAGAAAAGAGCTTTAATTGGCTCACGGTTCTCCAGGCTGTAAAGAAAGCATGGCAGCATCTGCTCAGCTTCTGGGGAGGCCTCAGGAAACTTACGATCATAGCAGGTGAAGGGGGAAGCGGTCTTACATGGCCAGAGCAGCAGGAAGACGGGGGAGGTGCCACACACTTTGAAACTAACAGATCTCATGAGAACTCGCTTGCTATCAGGAGAACAGCATCAAGGTGGAAATCCATCCCCATGATCCAATCACCTCCCACTAGGCCCCACCTTCAACACTGGAGATTACCATTTGACATGAGACTTGGTGAGGACACAGATCCAAACCATATCAGACTAAGTATTTCTGTATGTGATAAGTGTAGTATTACACGTGTGACAGAATTATTTCAATCAATAACAAGCAAACATTGCTATGTGCTGAAATATAATTGAATCTATTTTATATTTAATTATTTTCTTTACCCCCTTTTTATATCTCCACCTCTATTTCTCTGATTTCTATCTGTTACTCTAGCATCTATCTGAAACTTCTTGTTAAATATGCCAATTTCTGTACTGTCTTCATTGTTATTCAGTTCAAAATATTTCTGATTTCCTCGGTGTTTTCTTTCTTGACCTATTTTTTAATTAGTGTGTTGTTTGATTTCCAAACACTTAGTGCTTTTTAATATTTAAATTAATATTTAGCACAAATATTTGGTACTTTTCTAGATATCTTATTGTGACTATTTTATTTCTGTTGTGGTACGAGAACTACAATATTTCAATCTTTTAAAATTTCCTGAGACAGGTTTTATGGCCCAACAAATGTTCTATCTTGAAATTGTTCTATGTGTACCTAAAAAGTAATGTTTATTCTGCAGTTGTTGGATGTATCATTCTATAAATGTTAATTAGGTCAAGTTAGTCGCTGGAGTTATTTCAGATCTTCTATATCTTTATTGAATTGTTTTTGACTGCACATATCAATTCTTGATCAAGATATATTAAGTCTAATCTCTAGTTATGATGGTGAATTGTTCTACTTCTCACTTTAGTTCTGTCAAATTTTGGTTTATGAATTTTGAGGCATTCTAATTATATCTATACACATTTAGATTGTTCTGTGTTCTTGATGAATTGACCCTTTAAACATTTTCAAACTTTTCTCTATACTTGGTAATATTCTTTTTCTTTAGTATTATTTTCTACCTAGTCAGCTAATACAGCCATAAGAGCTTTATAATGCCTACTGTTATCTTTTTCCAGTTTTACTTTTTAACCATCAGTATCTTTATTTAAGTACGCTTCCTAGTAAATAGCAAATAATTGAGTGGTTCTTCATTAGCCAGTTTGACAATCTCTATTTTTTTTATTGTGGTGTTTAACCCATTTACCTTTAACAAAATTACTAATGTGTTTAGGCTAAAGTTTACCATTTTGGTACTTGTTTTCTGTTTGTCTGATCTGTTTCTGTTCTTCTATTCTCTATTCCCCCTTTTTTTAGAGACAAGGTCTCGCTCTGTCACCCTGCCTGGAGTCCAGTGGCACAATCATAGCTCACTAAAACCTCAAATTCCTGGGCTCTTATGATCTTCCTCAGCCTCCTGAGTAGCTAGAACTACATGTACATGTCACCATTCCTGGCTAATTTCTAAACAGAAAATTTGTAGAGACAGGGTCTTGCCATGTTGCCTAGGCTGTCCTCAAACACCTGGCATCAAGGAATCCTCCTGCCTTGACCTGCCAAAGCACTTAGATTACAGGCATGAGCCACAGCACTCAGCCTTATTCCTCTATTCTTTTCTTGCCTTCTTTACTGTGAACAGACGATTTGTTCAAACACCACTTTTTAAAAATGACTTTCTTGTTATTCTCCTTAGTGTTGTTAAAAAAGTGACTTCTTTAAGGATCACAATATGTGCCTTAACACAACCACCCTTCAAAAAATATTCTACTACTTCATGATTAAAGAACCTTACAATATCAGCACCATAGAAAAGGGTAAGAAAAAAAAAGAACCTTACAATAGATATATACATTTAGCCCCTTCCAACCTTTTGTACTCCTGTTGTCAAATATTTTACTTTTATATTAGCTATAACACCCACAATATATGATTAATGTATTTATTTAAATAATCAGTATTCTTTTAAAGAGATTTCAAGATTGTTTCAAAAGGTCCTTTATATTCACTGATTATTTACCACTTATGGTGCTATTCATTGTTTCTTAATTAACTAGGTTTCTATTTGGTATAATTTTTTTTTGTACTCCTCAGGTTTTTTTCCAACATTTCTTGTAGTAGAGATAAGCTTGAGAAAAATGAATTCAGCTTTTCTTTGTCTGAAAACATCTTATTGCATATTCATCTTTTAGTGATATAAGATTTATTCTTTATCAATGAAGAGTTTATAAGTTTAAATAGTTGCTAGAAACACAGTCTTAAGGCAGAAATGTGCAAAATAGCAAACAAATTCTTTAAAGCGTATAACCAAGGGCCGGGTGCAGTGGCTCATGCCTGTTATCCCAGCACTTTGGGAGGCCGAGGTAGGCGGATCACCTGAGGTCAGGAGTTTGAGACCAGCCCGTCCTCTTGGTTTTTATACGATGGCCCTCCTTGTCTTACCATTCTTGACTTAAAGTTTACTTTATCTGATATAAGTATAGTTGCTCCTGCTCTTTTTTGGTTTCAATTTACGTGGAATATCTTTGTCCATCCCTTCATTTTCAGCCTGTGTCTTTATAGAGAAAGTGAGTTTCTTATAGACAGCATATAGCTGGGGCTTACATTATTTATTTATTTACTTATATTCAAGGTTTTTATTGATAGGTAAGGGTTTCCTATTGTCATTTTGTTATTCATTTTCTGCTTATTGTGTGAATACTTTCTTCCTTTTTACCTCTCTTACTACCTTTGTGTTTAAGTAATTTTCTCTAGTAATGTGTTTTGATTCTGTGCTATTACAGGTTTATGCTTTGAGGTTACCATGAGGCTTACAAAAAACATGTTATAATAGGCAATTTTAAACTGATGACAACTTGACTTTGCTCACAAGGAAAAGCATCAAAAACAAACTCCACACTTTAATAGCACCTTCTACATATTTTGACTTCTTGATGTTTCAACTTACATCCTTCCATAGTGCCTATCTCTTAACCAGCTGTTGCAATTGTTGTTTTTAATAGTTTTGTCTTTTAGTCTTCATATTTAAGATGTAAGTGGTTTACTTACCACAATTACAGTATTAATATATTCTGAATTTGTCTAGTTTTCAATTTTCTTACTTGAAGCAGTGAGTTTTATATTTTGAAATGTTTTCTTGTTACACCTTAGGGTCCATTTCTTCCAGATGGAAGGACTCCCTGTAGCATTTTTTTGGACAGGTTTGGTGTTTATGAATTCCTTCATCTTTTGTTATTTGGGGAAAGTCTTTATCTCTCCTTTGTGTTTGAAGAGACACTTTAATGGGTATAGTAGTCTCAGTTGAGAGGTTTTTTGTTTTTTTTTTTTCTTCAACACTCTCTCCTAGCCTGCAGGGTTTCTGCTGAATAATCTGCTGAAAGCTGTACTGGGGCTCTGTTGAACGTCACATGTTTCTTTATTCTTTGTGCTTCAAATATTCTTTCTCTTTGATTTTTGCTAATTTGATTATGATGTACCTTGGGAAATTCCTCCTGCATTTAATCTAATTGGTGACCTTTGAATTTCCTGTACTTGAGTGCTGCTGGTTATCTCCAGATTTGGGAAAATTTCAGCCATTATTTCCTTAAATATGTTTTCTAGGTCTTTTTTTTCTAAATTTAGCTTTTAAGTTCAGGGATACACATGCAGGTTTATTATATAGGAAAACTTATGCCATGGGGGTTTCTTGTACAGATTATTTCATCACCCAAGTATTAAGCCTAGTACCCACTAGTTATTTTTCCTAATCCTCTCCCTCTTCCCACCCTCCACCTTCCAATAGGATCCGGTGTGTATTGTTCCCCTCTATGTGTCCGTGTGTTCTCATCATTTAGCTCCCACTTATAAATGAGAACATACAATATTTGGTTTTCTGTCCCTGAGTTAGTTTGCTAAGTATAATGGCCTCCAGCTCCATCCATGTTCCCACAAAAGACATGCTCATGTTCTTTTTAATGGCAGCATAGTATTCTATGGTGTATATGTACCACATTTTCTTTATCCAGTCTATCATCGATGTGCATTTAGGTTGATTCCATGACTTTGTTATCACAAATAGTGCTGCAATAAGCATACGCATGTGTCCCTATAATAGAATAATTTATATTGGTTTGGGTATATACCCAGTAATGGGATGCTGGGTCAAATGATATTTCTGTTTTTAGGTTTTAGAGGAATTGTTGCACTGTCTTCCACAATGGTTGAACTAATTTACACTCCCACCAAGAGTGTATAAATGTTCCTTTTTCTCCACAACCTCAACAGCATCTGTTATTTTTTTTTCTTTTTAGTAATTGCTATCCTGCCTGATGTGAGATGGTATCTTATTGTGATTTTGATTTGCATTTCTCTAATGATCAGTGACATTGAGCTTTTTTCATGCTTGTTGATCACATGTATGTCTTCTTTTGGAGTGTCTTTTCATGGCCTTTGCCCACTTTTTAATGGGGTTGTTTGTTTTTCTTTTGTAAATTTGTTTAAGTTCCTTATAAATGCCGGATATTAGGCCTTTGTCAGATGCATAGTTTGCAAAAATTTTCTCCCATTCTGTAGGTTGTCTGTTCACTCTGTTGATAGTTTTCTTTGTAATGCAGATGCTCTTTAGTTTAATTATACCCCATCTGTCAATTTTTGCTTTTGTTGCAATTGCTTTGGTGTCTTTATCATTAAATCTTTGCTCATTCCTATGCCTCAAATAGTATTGCCTAGGTTGTCTTCCAGGGTTTTTATAGTTTTGCATTTTACATTAAAGTCTTTAATATATCTTGAATTAATTTTTGTATATGGTGTATGGAAGGGGTCCAGTTTCAATCTTCTGCATATGGCTAGCCAGTTATCCCAGCACTATTTATTGAATAGGGAATCCTTTCCCCATTGCTTGTTTTTGTCAGCTTTGTCAAAGATCAGATAGTTGTAGGTATGCAGCCTTATTTCTGGGTTCTCTATTCAGTTCCATTGGTCTATGTGTTTGTTTATGTACCAGCACCATGCTATAGCCCTGTAGTATAGTACGAAGGCAGGTAGCATGATGCCTCTAGCTTTTCTCTTTTTGCTTAGGCTTGCCTTGGCTAGTCAGGCTCTTTTTTGGTTCCATATGAATTTTATAATAGTTTTTTCTAGTTCTGTGAAGAATGTCACTGGTAGTTTAACAGGAATAGCATTCAATCTATAAATCGCTTTCGTCAGTATGGCCATTTTAATAATACTGATTCTTCCTATCCATTAGCATGGAACATTTTTCCATTTGCTTGTGTCATCTCTGATTCCTTTGAACTTTGTGTTTCATAGTTCTCCTTGTAGAGATCGTTCACATCCTTGGTTAGCTGTATTCCTAAAGATCTTATTCTTTATGTGGCAATTGTGAATGGGACTGTGTTCCTGATTTGGCTCTTAGCTTGACTGTTGTTGGTGTATAAGAATGTCTGTGATTTTGGCACATTGATTTTGTAGCCTGAGACTTTGCTGAAGTTGTTTATCAGCTTAAGGAGCTTTTGGGCTGAGACTACGAGGTTTTCTAGACATGGGATCATGCCATTTGCAAATAGGGATAGTTTAGCTTCCTCTCTTCCTATTTGGATGTTCTTTCTTTCTTTCTCATGCCTGATTACCCTGGCCAGGATTTCCAATACTTTGTTGAATAGGAGTGTTGAGAGAGGGCATCCTTGGCCGGGCGCGGTGGCTCACACCTGTAATCCCAGCACTTTGGGAGGCCGAGGTGGGCGGATCATGAGGTTAGGAGATAGAGACCATCCTGGCTAACACAGTGAAACCCTGTCTCTACTAAAAATACAAAAAAATTAGCCAAGCGTGGTGGCAGGCGCCTGTAGTCCCAGCTACTCAGGAGGCTGAGGCAGGAGAATGACGTGAACCTGGGAGACAGAGCTTGCAGTGAGCCAAGATCGTGCCACTGCACTCCAGCCTGGGCAACAGAGCGAGACTCCGTCAAAAAAAAAAAAAAAAAAAAGAAAAAGAGAGAGAGATAGAGGGTATCCTTGACTTGTTCCAGTTTTTAAGGGGAATGCTTCCAATTTTTGCCCATTCAGTATGTTGTTGGCTGTGGGTCTGTCATAGGTGGCTCTTATTATTTTGAGGTATGTTCCTTCAATACCTAGTTTATGGAGAGTGTTTAACATGTAGTGATGTTGAATTTTATTAAAAGCCTTTTCTGCATCAATTGAGATAATCATATAGTTTTTGTTTTTAGTTCTATTTGTGTGATGAATCACATTTATTGATTTGCATATGTTGAACCAATCTTGCATCCCAGGGATAAAGTCTACTTGATCATGGTAGATAAACTTTTTGATGTGCTGCTGGATTCAGTTTGCCAGTATTTTGTTGAAGATTTTTGCATCAGTGTTCATCAAGAATATTGGCCTAAAGTTTTGTTGTTGTTGTTGTTGCTGCTGTTGTGTCTCTGCCAGGTTTTGGTATCAGGATGATGCTGCCATCACTGAATCAGTTAGGGAGGAGCCCCTCCTCCTCAATTTTTTTGGAATAGTTTCAGCAGAAATAGTACAAGCTCTTCTTTGTACATCTGGCAGAATTCAGCTGTGAATCTGTGTAGCACTGGGCTTTTTTTGGTTGGTGGGCTATTTATTACTGATTTAGTTTTGGAGCTCATTATTGGTCTGTTCAGGTAATCAATTTCTTCCTGGTTCAGTCTTGGGAGGATGTATGTGTCTGGGAATTTATCCATCTCTTCTAGGTTTTCTACTTTGTGTGCATAGAGGTGTCTGTAGCAGTTTCTGATGGTTATTTTTATTATTGTGGGGTCAGGAGTAACTTCCCCTTTGTCATTTCTAATTGTGTTTATTTGGATTTTCTCTTTCTTCTTCTTTATTAGTCTAACTAGTGGCCTATATTACTAATTATTTGTTTCAAAAAATCAACTCCTGGATCTGCTGATCTTTTGAATTCTTTTTTGTGTCTCAATTTTCTTTAGTTCAGCTCTGATTTTGGTTATTTCTTGTCTTCTGCTAGCTTTGGGGTTGGTTTACTCTTGCTTCTCTAATTCTTTTGGTTTTGATGTTAGGTTACTAATGTAACATCTTTCTAATTTTTTGATGTGGACATTCAGTGCTATGAATTTCCTGCTTAACATTGCCTTAGCTGTGTACCACAGATTCTAATATGTTGCATTTTTATTCTCATTAATTTCAAAGTACTTCTTTTCTGCCTTAATTTCAGATTTACCCAAGAGTCATTCAGGAGCATGTCATTTAATTTTCATGTAATTGTATGGTATGAGTGATTTTAAAAGTCTTGACTTCTATTTTCATTGTACTGTGGTCCAAGATTGTGTTTGGTATAATTTTGGTTATTGATATGGTTTGGCTGTGTCCCCACCCAAATATCATCTTGAATTGTAGCTCCCATAATCCCCATGTGTCGTGGGAGGGATCTGGTGGGAGGTAAATGAATCATAGGGGTGAGTTTTTCTCATGCTGAAAGTGAATAAGTCACATGAGGGCTGATGGTTTTATAAAGGGCAGTTCCCCTGCACATGCTTGCTTATCGTCATGTAAGACATGTCTTTGCTTCTCCTTTGCCTTCTGCCATGATTGTGAGACCTCCCCAGCCATGTGGAACTGTCAGTCCATTAAACCTCTTTTTTTTTAATAAATTACCCAGTCTCAGGTATTTCTTCATAGCAGTATGACAATGTACTAATACAATTACTTTGCATTTGCTGAGACTTGTTTTGTGTTCGATTACATGGTTGATTTTAGAGTATGTGTCATGTGGAAATGGGAAGAATGCTGTTGTTTTAGGGGTAGAGTTCTGTAAAGGTCCAGATCCATTTTTGTCCAATGTTGAATATCTTTGTTAATTTTATGCCTTGATGATCTGTCTAATGCTGTCAGTGGAGTGTTGATGTCTCCCACTATTCATTGTGAGGGAGTCTCAGTCTTTTTGTAGGAATCTAATAATTTGCTTTATGAATCTGGCTGCTCCTCTATTGGGTGCATATATATTTAGGATAGTTATGTCTTCTTGTTGAATTGAGCCCTTAACATTATGTAATGCCTTTCTTTGTCTTTTTTGATCTTTGTTGGTTTAAAGCCTGTTTTGTCTGAAATTAGGGTTGCCTGAAATTAGGTCCATCTGGTCCTGGATTTTTCTTTGTTTGGAAGTTTTTTGTTACTGATTTAATCTCATTACTTATTAAACATCTGCTCGGATTTTTTTTGTTCTTGAGTCTGTTTTGGTAATTTGTGTTTTTCTGGAAATGTTTCCATTTTATCTAGGTTATATAATTCATTGGTGTACAATTATTTATAGTATTCTCTTACAATCCCCTTCATTTTTGTAAGGCCAGTTGTAATATTTCAATTTTCATGACTAATGTTAGTTATTTGTACATTCTCTCTCTTTTACTTAGTCTAGCTAATGATTTGTTTATTTTATTGATCTTTACAAATAACCTATCTTTGTTTCCATTAATTTTCTCTACTGTTTTTCTATTCTCTATTTCATTTATCTCTGCTCTTATCATTATTGTTTTCTTCCTTCTGTTAGCTTTGGATTTAGTTTGCTCTCTTTCTTCAAGTTCTTTAAGGTGTAAAGTTAAGTTCTTAATTTGAGATTTTTCTTCTCCACATACCCCTTCACCACATGTACCTATAGCCTTCCCCCAACATTAACAACTTGTACACCATGTTGGTATATTTGTTACAATCAATGAACCAACATTGGCACATCATTATCAACCCAAGTCCATAGTTTACATTATAGTTCACACCTTGTGTTATATATTCTATGGGTTTTCAAAATGCATAAGGAAATAGATTCACCATTACAGTATCATACAGAATCACTGCCCTAAAAATCACCTGTGCTTCTCTTATTCATCCTTTCTTCCCTTCTGCCACAACCCTGAAAACCACAGATACTTTTACTGCCTTTACATTTTTGCCCTTTCCAGAATGTTTTGTCATTGTTGGTTTTGTTCATTCCCTTCGTTACAGCCTTCTTTGTATTTAATTAATTTTCTGTAGTGTGCCACATTAATTCCCTCCTCACATCCTTTTGTGTATGTTTTAATATTGTTTTTCAGTAGTAGTTACTATGGGATTGCACTTGGCATCCTAAATTTACAACAATGTAGTTTGGATTGATACCAAATTAACTCCAATGGCACACAAAATCTCTGTTCCTATATGGCTTCATCTCCCTTCTGTTTTGTCACAAATTAAATCTTTATACATTGTGTGTCCATTAATATACATTTATAATTATGTTTACACATTTGTCTTTTAAGTGATATAAGAAAGAAAAAGTAATATAAACCGATAACCAAAATAATACTGACTTTTATATTTACCTTTGTAGTTACCTTCATCAGAGTTCTTTATTTCTTCTTAAGACTTTGAGTTGCTGTCTAATGTTCTCTCACTGTAGCCTGAACAACTCTCTAGCATTTCTTATAGGGCAGGTGTACTGGCAACAAATGCCCTCAGCTTTTGCTTATTGGGGAATGTCTTAATTACTCCTTTGTTTTTGAAGGATAGATTTTCTGGGTATAGACTTTTGGTTGACAGATTGCTTTTCTTTCAGCACTATAAAGATGTCATCCCATTCCTTTCTTGCCTCCATAGTTTCTGGCAACAAACTGGCTGTGAATTTCATTGTAGAGCCCTTGTACATGACAAAACACTTCTTGATTGCTGCTGTCAAGATTCTTTCTTTGACTTTGGCTTTTGACAATTAGATTATATGTCTCATTGTGGATTTCTTGGCAATTATCCTTCTTGGAGTTGATTGAGCTTCCTGGATGTATAGATTTGTGCTTTTAATCAAATTGGAATATTTTGGCCATTATTTTTTCAAATACTTTTTCTGCCCTTTCCTCTCTCTCTCTCTTCTTTTCTCCAGAGACCCCATTAAATGTATGTTGGTATACTTGATGATGTTCCAGAGGTCCCTTAGGTTGTGTTCATTTTTCTTTATTTTTTTTCTTTCTGTTCTTCATACTTGATCATTTCAATTGACCGATTTTCTAGTTCTATAATTCTTTATTCTGCCTAATCAATATTTCTAGTATTGAAACTTTCTAGAGAAGTTTTCAGTTTGGTAATGTAGTTTTCAGCTCCAGAATTGTTTTGTTTTGTGTTTTTTCTTTTGTCATTTCCATCTCTTTATTGAAATCTCTGTTCACACATTATTCTCCTTATTGAAATCTTTGTTCACACATTATTCTTTTTAGCTCTCTGTCCATAGTTTCATTTAGCAGTTTGAACATATTTAAGACAGTTTATTTAAGGTCCTTTTTCCAGTAAGTCCAATGTCTGTGCTTCCTCATAAGTAGTTTCTAATCCTTTAGTAGTTCATAAGCATGATGATTGGCTTTTTATGCTCATGAATAAAATATGCCTCCCTCAAGCCTTTTTATGACATTGGCACATTACCCATCTGACGTGAAAAAATAGAGCTTCTGTTAGTTTCTTCTGTGAACAAGCATTTTTTTTTGCATATTCCATAATTTTTGTTAAAAAGTGGAACTGGACATCTTAATAATTATTATGTGTTAACTCTGGAAATCACATTTTCCCCTCTCTTTGGGGTTTGTTTTGTTGTTTTGGTTTCTATTTCTATTTTTATTCTGCCTGATCACATCTACTATTGAAATCTTCCAGTGAAGTTTTCATTTCAGTTATTGTATTTTTCAGCTCCAGAATTTCTGTAGGCTTGATATGAGCTATAGCTATTGGGTTGTTTAATAATTTTCTAAACTTTTTTTGTGAAGTCTGTATTCTTTGACATATATTTTCTTTAAAATCTCTGCTCCTTTAACTTGTGTTCAGTTATTGTTTTGACATGATTTCCTTACACAACAGAAGACAGAGGGAGGAGGACAGAGAGAACTTCATCTTTTCAGATCGACTCTGTGCTAAGGCACTCCTTCAATGCTTAGCCAGGCCATTTACAACCACCTTAGCCTTTACTTCCTGCTTGTACTGCATTTAGAGGTCAGCGAAATGTGAAAGCTTAGGGTCTTCTCAGGTCTTTTCTAAGAATGTTTCTAGCCCCAGCCATGCATTTGGCTTTCCAAATTTCCCAGTATATGTGAATATTATTTTAATGCCTAATTTTTCAAATAAACTCTCTGTAGCTTTTCCTATTTTTACAACTTTTCTATGAGTTAGAACTTATTTCAAAATAAAACTTAAAATAAAAAAGCATTGATTTTGAGGCCAGAAAGTTCTGGGTTCAAACCCAAGCTCTACAACTTGCTTACTGTGTGATCTTATACAAGTTACTTTCATTAAGGCTCAGTGTTCTTATCTGTAGGGTAAAGATTATAATACTTACGTTACATAATTGTGTTTTAGGAGTAATGTGTACTTGGCACATAGTGGATACTTAACAAATGATAACTAATATTATTGCTATTCATGATATTGAGCTTGTGTTCAGTGAAAAGCCATCCTAGTACTAGATTTGTCACAGAACCAAAGATTGCTAATAACTTAAAAATACAATAAATCTGAATTCAAATTCTCTTATGCTAAGTAATAAAAAAAGCACTGTGATTGACTTGAACCTCAGAATCTTTTTAAACTGAAGGCAAACTAGGAATATAGGTTTAGAGATGCAATTTGAATGTGTTCCTAAGAAATCTCTATTGTAATAGGAAAATTCCCCTCAATACCATGGAAACTAATCTATATTGGGAAATTTAAAGCAAAAATAATTGATAATACAGGAGGGCACTGTCATTAAAAAGATCTAGCATACCTTCAGATTAAGTGCATTTCTCCCATATACTTGACAGTTTACTATGGCCAGGTTGGTCATGGCTGTTATTGTTTCATATCGTGTTGCTGCAACAGTCTTAAAACCTTCACCACGTACAACGTGTATCTCTGATTCTATTTTTTCAGTTTTGGTGAGACCTAAATAAACAAAACAAAACAAAACATAAAATTTAAATGTGTTATCACTTAGAATGAAAGTTAAGAGGTATTTATCTTATGATAATATTGAGTTACCCTAAGGACTTAAGTGTACACATCCTCTGGCAGGGATTCCCCATAGCCTTCATCTACCCAAACTCAGTTAGTTCTGTTTGCCAAAGTGGGTGTTGTTTTGTTTTGTAATTTTAAATGCACCATTATCTTCCCCAAAGTAAACCATATGCTCATAGATTTCTGTCTAGATAATTTAGATTCCATCAATATCAGTCTTTGTATACTATGTGTAAAAATGTTCTCTTAAAATTTACTACGAATTACATAAAGAACTTCTTGGCTCATAAAATTAATAAGCAACATCATGTAAGAATACCTCATGAAGACATCAGCCTCACTTTTTCCTTAGCATCACTTTGATGTATAATTCAAATGCCCTGTGTAATTAAACTCTTCCTTTAGTTTGTAGATCCCCCATAGGAAACAAACAAACATCTCAGGAGTAAGCCAAAGAAAGACCATCTAAATTTAAATTTACTTTATTATGACCCTATGGGTTTCACCTTCCATCAAAAATGTCCTATGCAAGTATACACCAAATGTGGCAGGAAAGTATTTTAAAATTTTATATATTTTACTTTTGCAGCCATTATTGCTGCATTGTTTGCAGAAACATATTTTATAATGTCAGTAATTCTTATGCTACTGGTTTGATGAGAGAAAATAAGCATCCTAGAACAAAGAAAACAAAAAAAGGTTTTTAATTTCTAAAATAGAACCTCTGTGCCCATTTCAGATCAAGAGATGTGAAAGCTGACCACAGAATAAAGAAAGATATATAATGTAATATAGAGATGCCTTGGCTTGGTAGAAAGAATGGAGCAAGAAGGGAAAGAGAGTGAATTAAGACATAAGTCTGTGGCCTGCTCCCTGCTCTAAGCCCACAGAGTTGGTTGTTGAGTAGAAATGAGGAAGATGGAGATGAAGAGGATGTGATCTCTCAAGAATCTGAGGATTCTTAAATTTTCTAAGGAGGAAACTACCAGAGAAGAAACTCAATAAAGCAAAAATGGCAGCATGACATGGAAGACACCCGGAAGTTAATTTACATCATAGACAAGGGTACAAAAGTTCTGGGAGGAATGGTAGGTTATGGTTAGAGTGTTCTGCTGTGTATAACCTCTTACTAAATGCAGCTATTTGAATTATTAATTGGGTATATTATTTTTATTGTTCTAGAATTTTATTTGACTCATTTTAAAAAACAAAAATACCAGTTCTGTGGTGAAATTCTCCAATGACCTCTTTGTTTTCTTGGACATAGTAATCATAGTTACTTTTAAATCCATTTGAAACTCTAATATCTGAATCAAATATAGGGCTGTTTTATTGCCTGTTTCTTTCTACCATTTTTCAGATATTTTATTTTTTTTTTAGAATGTGTTGTAATTTTTTAAATTTAATGTTGGACTTCGAGGATGAACTATTTTAAGAAGTCTGGATAATACGCCCTCTCTCTTTCTCTCTCTATCTTTCTCTCAACGTGTTAGGTTTTCCTTGATTAGGCAGAAAACACCATTATCAAGGATTGGTTTGAGCTTTGTTAGGGCTTGGCTATTTTAGTTTTGTCCTCTTTCCTAGAACATCATCTTTATTCCTAAGGAATGGAATTTCAACGGAAATTCCAATGTGTTTACAAAGGCCCCAACACTTTGGCAGAGCTTGAACTCTATTATCCATCTTTTGTGCAAACACAAAACTCTATGATAAATTTCTTGTCTTCTCAGCTGATGTTTTCTACTGTGTTTCTTGGAGTCTTGTTCTATACATTCACAGCTTACAATTAGCTAGCAACCTTGGAGTTTGTATGAAGATTTTTTTAAAGAGACTGTGATATAGTTTGGATGTTGTCCTCTTTAAATCTCATGTTGAAATGTAAACCCCAATGTTGGATGTGGGTCCCAGAGGGAGGTGTTTGGGTCATGGGGGCAGATCTCCTATGGCTTGGTGCTGTCCTTGTGGTAGTGAGTGGAATTCCGATGTTGTTTAAAAGTGTGTGGCAGGCCGGGCGCAGTGGCTCACGCCTGTAATCCCAGCACTTTGGGAGGCCGAGGCCGGCGGATCACGAGGTCAGGAGATCAAGACCATCCTAGCTAACACGGTGAAACCCCGTCTCTACTAAAAATACAAAAAATTAGCTGGGCATGGTGGCGGGCGCCTGTAGTCCTAGCTACTCGTGAGGCTGAGGCAGGAGAATGGCGCGAACCTGGGAGGTGGAGCTTGCAGTGAGCCGAGATCTTGCCACAGCTCTCCAGCCTGGGTGACAGAGCGAGACTCTGTCTCAAAAAAAAAAAAAAAAAAGTGTGTGGCAGGCCAGGTGCGGTGGCTCACATCTGTAATCCCAGCACTTTGGGAGGCCGAGGAGGATCACTAGAGGTTGGGAGTTTGAGACCAGTCTGGTCAACATGGTGAAACCCTGTATCTATGAAAAATACAAAAATTAGCTGGGCATGGTGGTGCATGCCTGCAGTCCCAGTTACTCAGGAGGCTGAGGCAGGAGAATCACTTGAACCTGGCAGGCGGAGGTTGCAGTGAGCTGAGATTGTCCTACTGCACTCCAGCCTGGGCAATAGAGTAAGACTCTGTCTAAAAAAAAAAAGAAAAAAGAAAAAGTGTGTGGCACCTCTCCTTCACTCTCTCTTGCTTCTGCTTTTGCAGTGGTGTGATATACCTGCTCTTGTTTTGCCTTCTGCCATGAGTAAAAGCTCACTGAGGCCTCCCCAAAAGCCAAGGGAATGCCATAACTACGCTTGTATAGCCTTCAGAACTGTAAACCAATTAAACCTCTTTTCTCTACACATTACTCAGTCTTGGGTTTTTCTTTGTAGTAATGAAAGAACAAACTAACACATAAAATTGGTACTGAGGAGAAGGGCATTGCTATAAAGATACATGAAAATGTGGAAGCCACTTTGGAACCAGGTAACAGGCAGAGGTTGGAAGTTTCTAGGGCTCAGAAGAAGACAGGATGATGAGGGAAAGTTTGGAACTTCCCAGAGACTAGGTAAACAGCATGACCAAAATGTTGATATTTATATTGACAGTGAAGTCCAGGCTGCCAAGGTCTCAGATTGAAATGAAGAACTTATTTGAAACTGGAGCAAAAGTCACCCATGTTACACCTTAGCAAAGAGCTTGGCTAAATTCTATTCATGTCCTAATGATCTGTGGAAGTCTGAACTTCAGAGTGATGACTTGGGGTATCTGATAGAAGAAATTTCTAAGCAGCAAAGCATTCAAGATTTGGCCTGGCTGCTTGTAACAGCCTATGCTCAGATGTGGGAGCAAAGCAATGACAAAGTTGAAATTTATATTCGAAAGGGAAGCAGATTGTAAAAGTTTGGAAAATTTGCAGCCTGGCCATACAGCATGGAAAGAAAAAGCTTTGGGAGAGGGATTCCAGCAGGCTATAGAGTAACCACTTGCTAGAGAGATGTGCATAACTAAAAAGGATCCAAATACAAATAGCCAAGAGGAACAAGGCCTCAAAGACATTTCAGAGACCATTGTGGCAGCCCCTCCCATAGAATATCAGACTCCAAGTTCTTCGGCTTTTGGGCTCTTGGACCTACATCAGTGGTTTGCCAGGGGCTCTCGGGCCTTTAGCCATAGACTGAAAGCTACACAGTCGGCTTCCCTACTTTTGAGGTTTTGGGATTCAAACTGAGTCACTACTGGCTTCCTTACTCCTCAACTAGCAGACGGTCTATCATGGGACTTTACCTTGTGATGGTGAGTCAATTCTCCTTAATAAACTCCCTTTCATATATACATATATCCTATTAGTTCTGTCCCTCTAGAGAACCCAAACTAATACAAAGGGACATGCCTTGTCTCACGTGAGACTTTGCACTTTTGAATGATGCTGAAATCAGTTGAGACTTTTGGGGAACTATTGGCAGGGGATGATTGTATTTTGCAATGCGAGAAGAACATGATATTTGAGGGGCCAGAGGTGGAGTGATATAGTTTGGATGTTGTCCCCTCTAAATCTCATATTGAAATGTAACTCCCAGTGTTGGACATGGGGCCTGGTGGGAGGTGTCTGGTTCATGGGAGTAGATCCCTCATGGCTTTGTGCTGCCCTCATGATAGTGAGTTCTTATAAGATCTGGCTGTTTTAAAGTTTGTGGCACCTGTACCGCACACCACTCTCTCTCTTGCTCCCGCTCTCATCATGTGATGTTCAAGCTCCCACTTTGCTGTATACCATGAGTAAAAGCTCCCTGAGGCCCTCACCAGCAGCAAATACCAGCACCATACTTCTTGTAAGGTCTGCAGAACTGTGAGCCAATTAAGTCTTTCTTCCCTATAAATTATCCAGTCTCAGGTATTTCTTTATAGCAATGCAAGAATGGCCTAACACAGACTGAGTCTCACTATGTTCCAGGCGGGCCTCGAACTCCTGGGCTAAAGTGATACTCCACCTCAGCCTCTCAAGAACTGAGACTACAGCTGCACTCCACTGTGCCCAGCTTGTATGCAGATTTTTTGATTCACCTTCCTTCAATTCTCTCCTCGCCAAGATTTTCTCCCTCAAGTCCCAAGTATATTGGCTGCTCTGAAGTCTGACTACTAGCTCCTCAATCCACTAAAACCACCACATTCTACTTGTAATCCATTCTCCCACACCACAAACACCCTCAGGCATGAGCCAAGGTAAAGGCAGAGCTTCCCTTCTTTCAGGAATTGTAATGTCCACATTGGTTACTGTCCAGTTCTACTCAAGTCACGCCCACATTGGTTACTGTCCAGTTCCTTCAATAGCTACTTTATATATTTTTGGCAGCTTTAATAGTTGATTTTGGTAAGGTTAGTCCATTACAAACTACTTAGTAATGGAAAAAACCCAGAAGTCACCAGGTTATTAAAAAATGTGCCCAATAATTCTAATACCAAATAATCCTGTGGATATGTTTCTACTGCTTATTGTTTCTGCTAGTTTTCATTCATTTTGTCTTTCTCTTTGTGTGCCTGGTAATTGTGAATTATTTGCCACACACTATATTTGAGAGATTGTTTGTAGACATAATGTAACATCTAGGATGGTATAATCTTTCTTCAAATATATTTTTCATTTTCATTTGTTTGATTTGCCTGGCACATGGCAAATAGTTAATTCATATTTCTGTATGCCTGTCCACCCCACCCAGATTACGAGTGCATCAGCTTTTATATTCTCAATATCAATATATTTGGTTCATAGTCAATATATTAAAAATAGCTGCTCCATAAATGACTTAGGGAGCTGAAAATGAGGTAAGACATATGTGTGTTATGCATGTGTGAATCACACACATAAACACAAAAAATCACCCATAATTTTTTAAAGATATAATCTTACATACATTTTCTAAAAGAATTGTATAAATCTAGCATTTACCTTCAGGTGGTCTTGGTGGGATTTGCTTTGGGACACTTTCTATATTTCCATTTTCTGTTACAAGAGTTTCTAGAAAAATGAAAAACAAATGGGATGACTTTGGATATTTGTAAAAATTCACTTGAGGGTTTTATGACTTCAATATAATTGTTCATCATTTAATGGATTCCAATTATCCATGAAAATATATTCATGAAGGCGTCTATCAGCACTGGCATTCTACTTCTGGAGTTCTTCTAGATCACCTTTGAATGACTGTGTATTCTCACTGCTTCTTTATATTAGCTTTTCCGATCCTTTGAATTCCCTTGTTGGTTCCCATTATCACCATCTGAATGGAGTACCCAGTCTGGCCTTGGCAGATCTGCAAGGTCAGGACTTCTGTTATTGCCCTATGGCTCAAGTATTACATGTATATATAAAAGGTGATTCCATCCTCCCATTCTGCAAACCCAAAGCGGGAGGGGTACCATTAGCTTGCATGCCTTCTCTCCCCTTTGCTCTACTTGACTCTATAATTATACCGTGTTCAGATTGTATTTACCTATCACAGACTGCCTGTGAGGTTTTCTTGGTAAAACTGGTGTTGGCAAGGAAACAAAACCTGGAAATTCAGTAACTCTTAGTGTCAATGTAGCAGTTGATTTAAAATGTTCAGGCCACTGTCCTTCTGGTTTCATAGATACAGTCATAGGTGGAGGGCTTGGCACTGTTGCACTTAAGTCTCTCGAGATGTGCTGATAAGTATAGCCTGGACTCTCTGGTAAAGGTTGATGCTTAGGGTGCATTTTCTCAAGTTTTTGAGCGATAACTGAGCCAGGAGTACTTTTAGGTTTGGAAAACTTGGAAGAAAGAATTAAAATGTTTTCTAGCCTTTTTTCAGTATAAACATCTTTCATAGTTTTAAACTTTCTTGAACTTTCCATTTTGTTTGTTTGTTTCCCAAAAATTCGAGTAGAAGCTGAATTACAATGTGGAAAAAATATGGAACCAGTAGCAGTATCTGGAATCTGCTCACGGACATGCTTAGTAGATTTCTGGGGTGATGAAATTGCAGTCACTCTTTCTTGTACACAGTGATCAAGAAAGATATTTTGGATATTGATAGGTGTTAGTGATTGATTTCTTAAAACATCAGGAAAACGAGTTCTATCCATTTTAATGGAAGTGGTTTCATCTTCAGTGAATGCTACATGTAGTGACTCAATTTTACCAGTTTTAGCTAAACCAAAAGAAAAAAAGAAAAATTAAATTATATTTATCAATATGTCACAGACAAAATATCTTAGCATTCACTTTTCTTTACCCACTCACCCCTTTCTCACCTTCTAAAAATGTTTCTGTATACACTTGCTCAGCTACCAGGATGTGTGTTGACATGACTGGTATAAAGTTTGAGTGAGCAACCGGAGAAGTGACAAGGCTAAATTGTATTAGATTTTAAAAGGGTAGAGAGCTATTCTTGGAAGAACAGAATTGGTAGAGAGAAGGGGAGATATAAGCTCCAATAATAGACTAGATTTTTGAGAGGTTATCACTAAAACTCTGGCAATAGGGATGGATACAATTGATGAAGTTTTGCTATTTATCATACATCATTAGCTCTCCCTCATTTGAAATTTCCTTGACCAAAGATTTACATTTCTTTTAAATGCCAGATGTCAGACCAATGTGTCTTTTGAAGATGATAACAATCTGATAGTGGTTACAGGTGCCATAAGCTCATTTAGGTTATAACAATAAGTATTCTTTTCTATCTTACGTCCAGAAAATCCACTGAGCTTGCATTCTTAGGCAGGAATCATATATGCCTTTTCTTTCCTATGCAACAGAATGTGAAATGACATTTTTCTGTTCTCTCAGCTGAGTGCAATAAATGATGAGGATCTGTACATTCAAATGAGGAGATAATAGATTCATTAAGGCAAAATTTGCCAAGGGGTGGCCAAAATTAGTCCTTCAACACTTCACCCTTTACCCATCTGTTGTCTATATGGGATTGCTAGAGACTGATCTGAGTTTGGAGACAGTATTTCTTCTGAACAGAGCTATTGGAGTTCTATGCATTTCCCTGATTTTTCCCTCCCCATGGAGGGTGTAGGAGGGATGATGTCCCCTATCTCAAACCAAGTGAGGGAGACTTTTTATAGA
This sequence comes from Homo sapiens, assembly GCF_000001405.40. Classification (NCBI taxonomy): domain Eukaryota; kingdom Metazoa; phylum Chordata; class Mammalia; order Primates; family Hominidae; genus Homo; species Homo sapiens. The sequence goes on along the minus strand of NC_000013.11, from coordinate 46,226,582 downwards.
GAAGAGGAATATATGCCACAAGGAGAAAGTAACATCTCACTCTTCCCCTATCCACCTCCCTGACTGATACTTGTAGAACAGCAAAATGTATTGGTTTACTAGTGCTGTTTCCTGATCAGAGTAATATAAGAGAATCATTTTAACTACTTGACTTGTATCTCCTGACATTTCCATGGGGTACAAGACTGATGCTGATTCTCACTTTAATTTTTAACTTTTTAACAACTTAACTCTTCCCCACACCTTGCCCCACTTATAGAGGAACCAAAAACTATAATATGAGTTGAGAAAGAGAGTAGGGCCAGGCACAGTAGCTCATGCCTGTAATCCCAGCACTTTGGGATGCTGAGATAGCAGGATCGCTTGAGGCCAGGAGTTCAAGACCAGCCTGGGCAACATAGCAATACTCCTATCCCTACAAAAAAAAAATAATTAGCCAAGTGTGGCATCATGCTCCTGTACTCCCAGATACTCAGAAGGCTGAGGTGGGAGGGTACCATGAGCCCAGGAGATTGAGGCTGCAGTGAGCCATGATTGTACCACTGCACTTCAACTTGGGTGACGGAGTGAGACCCTGTCAAAAAAAAAAGAAAAAGGAAAAATGAAAAGAATAGAAAAAGAGAGTAAAAAAATAGGGTTGAAGAACTGATCAGGCCCCTCCTTCCCTTGGCTTGTGTAAGAATTAGCAGGCCTAGGTTGAGCTTGGAGAAGGGACACAGTCTGATTGTACACTATATGGAAGTACTAATTTAGATGAAACAAGTAATTCAATATCTGAAAATGAGATAGAGCTAATTGACAAAACTGACTAGAAAAGCTTTTAGAGAGATACATATGCCACATGAGATTGAAGGGCAGTAGTAAGAAAATAATGTTTGCTTCCTACTTAAGTGGAACTAATTAAAGCTAACTGATTCAATAAAATAGCTATACCAATATATTTAAGTTCATTTTCTCTCTATTAAAACAAAACACATTAACACAGCAAACGCTTCAATAGACTCCAGAACTCCTTCCAACTACCACCATCTCACCATATTTATCCTTCCCTTTAATGGCAAACTGGAGTAATTTATACTCATTAGTTTGATTTCCTCTCCCACCGGCGGAAGAGTCTCTGTTCTCAGGCTCACACATAGAGAACAGGACATCTCCTCCTCCTCCACACACCCACTTCTGCTACTGCTGCTGAAGCCTGGGGCAGGTGATCCAGAGACCTGCTTGACTGAGGCTCTAAGTAGTGACTACAACCTCACAGTGTAACATGGCCTGCATGCCTGGGATCTGGAGTGAAAGCAAGGTTCTTCCTCCTTTCACATGGCACTGTAGCACTGCTGCTGCAGAGAGCAGAAGAACCTGAGAACAGCATGTCTGGAACTGTGGGTGGTGACCTGTAGCACAGCCACCACCAACACCAGCCCACAGCATGCAGGACCCAGAGGGTCATTCACCACCTCTACTGCCATGACCCATAGCACAATTGTTTCCCAGCGACGTGAGAACCTGTTCAGTCACCTAGCCCACTGCTGCCACTACCAGCATCCATGCAAACCACCTAAGGCCCAGGAACCGGCCCACCAGTAACTGCCAACACAGGTGCCAGCATACACCACTCTGGGGCACAAAGATAGGTAGAGTCAGCCTACTCTTGCCACCCTTGGGGCCTGTCCCCAGCACAACTTCACCACAGCCTTCACTAATAATTGCAGCCTAATCCTCTAAGGAAATCACTGAAAGCATTAATGCTATTTATAGCCAAAGAAATCATACAGAGACTACACTACTACATGTACTCAGAATCAAAGCCAAAGTGCCCTACCCAACCAACACCACAGATACATCTTCAGAAAAAAGTCCTACCCTATGGAAGTGAATTAAAAAATAGGAAGATGCAACTGTTACACCAGATACACAGATATCAATATAAAGACACAGAAAACATCAAAATACAAGGAAATATGAAACTTCCAAAGGAAAACAAGAATTCTCCAGTAATAGATCTTAATCAAAAAGAAGTTGCTGAAATCCCAGAAAAATAATTCAAAATTTCAATTTTAAAGAAGCTCAGTTAGATACAAGAGAATTCTAGAAAATACAAACAATTCAGAAGAAGAATTCAGGATATGAATGAGAAATCTACCAAAGAGATAGATAGATATTTTTAAGAAAGAACCAAATAGAAATTCTGGAGCTGAAGAATTAATTGAAGAAAATATAAAATATATTTGAAAGCTCCAATAATAGACTAGATCAGGCAGAAGAAAGAATCTCAGAACTTGATGACACGTCTTTTGAAATAATCCAGTCAGACAAAAATAAAGAAAAAGAACCTAAAAGAATCCGCAAAGGCTTTGTGATATTTGGGACAACATAATGTGATCAAATATTCAAATTATTGGCATCCCAGGGGCAAAGAGACAAAGGAAGGACTATAAAACCTATGTAATTAAATAATAGAAGAAAACTTCCCAAGTCTAGCAAGAATTTTAGACATTCACATTCAGATATAGGAGCTTCAATAATCCCTAGGCAAACACAATGCAAAAATGTCTTCCCCATGGCACATTATAGTGAGACTGCCTAAAGTCAAAGATAAAAAGCATACCCTTTAAAAAGCAAGAGAAAAGCATCTGGTCACCAATAAAGAAACCCCATCAGACTAACAGTGGATTTGGATTTCTGTGGGTTTTTTTTGTTTTTTGTTGTTGTTGTTTTGTTTTTGTTTTTGAGACAAGGTCTTGCTCTGTTGCCCAGGCTGGAGTGCAGTGGCACAATCTCAGCTCACTGCAACCTCCACCTCCCATGTTCAAGCGATTCTCCTGCCTCAGCCTCCCAAGTAGCTGGGATTACAGGCCCACACCACCATGCCCAGCTAATTTTTGTATTTTTTTAGTAGAGACGGGGTTTCACCATGTTGGCCCAGGTGGTCTCGAACTCCTGACCTTGTGATCCACCCACCTCGGCCTCCCAAAGTACTGGGATTACAGGCGTGAGCCACTGTGCCTGGCCTTAACAGTGGATTTCTTAGCAGAAATTTCACAGGCTAAAAGAGAATGAGGTGATATATTCAAAGTGCTGAAATTAAAAAAAAAAAAAAACAAAAAAAACTGTCAGCCAAGAAGAGTCTACCCAGCAAAATTATCCTTCACAGATGGAGGAAAAATAAAGTATTTCCCAGACAAGCAAATGCTGAGGAAATTTGTTACAACCAAGAGTGACGCTACAAGAAATGCTCAATGGAACAGAATACAGAATCCTGAAATAAAGTCACATACTTACAGCCAACTGATCTTCAACAACACTGACAAGAACTGACACTGGGGAAAGGACACCCTTTTTATATTTTTTTTCTTTTTTTTAATTTTATTATTATTATACTTTAAGTTTTAGGGTACATGTGCACAATGTGCAGGTTAGTTACATATGTATACATGTGCCATGCTGGTGTGCTGCACCCATTAACTCGTCATTTAGCATTAGGTATATCTCCTAATGCTATCCTTCCCCCCTCCCCCCACCCCACAACAGTCCCCAGAGTGTGATGTTCCCCTTCCTGTGTCCATGTGTTCTCATTGTTCAATTACCACCTATGAGTGAGAACATGCCGTGTTTGGTTTTTTGTCCTTGTGATAGTTTACTGAGAATGATGATTTCCAATTTCATCCATGTCCCTACAAAGGACACGAACTCATCCTTTTTTAAGGCTGTATAGTATTCTATGGTGTATATGTGCCACATTTTCTTAATCCAGTCTATCATTGTTGGACATTTGGGTTGGTTCCAAGTCTTTGCTATTGTGAATAGTGCCTCAATAAACATACGTGTGCATGTGTCTTTATAGCAGCATGATTTATAGTCCTTTGGGTATATACCCAGTAATGGGATGGCTGGGTCAAATGGTATTTCTAGTTCTAGATCCCTGAGGAATCGCCACACTGACTTCCACAATGGTTGAACTAGTTTACAGTCCCACCAACAGTGTAAAAGTGTTCTTATTTCTCCACATCCTCTCCAGCACCTGTTGTTTCCTGACTTTTTAATGATTGCCATTCTAACTGGAGGATACCCTCTTTAATAAACAGTGTTAGGAAAATTGGACAGCCATATTCAAAAGAATGAAACTGGATCCCTATCTCTTACCATATACAACAATCAACTCGAAATGGATTACAGAGTTAAACTTAAGACCCAAAACTATAAAAATACTATAAGAAGACCTAGGTAAAACTCTCCTGGACACTGGTCTAGGAAAATAATTTATGACTAAGACCTTGTTGAGTGGGAGAAAATATTTGCAAACTATCCATACCACAAGGTACTAACATCTAGAATATACAAGGACCTCAAACAACTCAACAGGAAAAAAAAAATCCCCTTAGAAAACAAAAAATCCCCTTAGGCATGACATGAATAGACATTTCTGAAAAGAAGACATACAAATGGCCAACACTTATATTTAAAAATGTTCTATATCACTAATCATTAGAGAAATACAAATTAAACCACAATGAGATATTATCTTACCCTAGTCAGAATGGCTGTTATTAAAAAGATAAAAAATAACAGATGTTAGTGAGGATGCAGAGAAAAAGAAACCCTGAAGGTGTGTGTTCTCATCAGCTGTTCACTGTACGCCTGACAACCTTCCACTCCCAGTACAATCTCAGCCTAGCCATTCCATGTTGCTCTAGGGGTCTGCTTTGGCAACTCCCAACAAATAAACTATATTGAAAACGTCCAAGGCCTGAGATGGGTTCTGGAAATCTGCAGTCCTCCACAGTCATTCACACCAATGTCCCCTTCTTTCTTCCAACAGACCCCCACTCCCCAGTAGCAATGGGTTAACCTCTGCTGACTCAGAACCAAGTCTTGAACTTGAAGACAAAATTTGAACTTTGATCCATATGGCACTTGAGAGACAGCAAAATATCACAGTCCCATATACTTATGAACCCCTCTCTTCAAACCCAATGTCATGAAAACAAAATGGGAAAATAAAAATTAAAAAAAGTTTTTCCCCTGATTATCACTGCCATCGTCCTAGTCTTCAGAGTTAATTTCCCATTGGTTTTCTGATATTGTCATACCATGTTTTCGCTGAATTATCAGAATCGGTATTAATTCAGATTTCTTAGTTTGGGATATAAAAATCTAAGTGAACAGGATCTACTTTACCTCACCTTTTTGTGTGATGACTCATAACTTTCCAATATGAAGCCTTATTTACTGCAATTATTTCTGACAACCAAAAAGGCCCAATTGCTCATGTATGACTTCATTTCATATGTTCATCATGCTATGTGGAAAATCTTCTCTTATCAACCAATTCAAATCATTTTTTTCTTTCAAAGTCTACCTTAAACCCTATGCAATCCATCCTTCTTTGATAATACAACACATATTTATTGTTCTCATCAATTCATTCAATAAACATTTAACACCTACCATGTGCCAGCTGTACACATAGTGCTGGGGGTACAATGATATAACACAAACCTTACTACCAACAAATATCTCACAATTTAGTATAGAAACTAGGCAGGTAAACAGTTATAATAAGTGGTGCGTAGGAGTAAGTATGGAATACTATGGGAGAAAAGAAAAAGGCAGTCTGATTGGGTAGAGAAGCGATGCTTAAAGAAATCTTCCCAATATGGAGGGCGAGCCAAAGCAGGGTGCGGCGTCACCTCACCTGGGAAGCATAAGGGGTCCGGGAGCTCCCAACCCTAGCCAGGAGAAGCCTTGAGGGACTGTGCCGTGAGGAATGGTGCACTCCAACCCAAAAACTATGCTTTTCCCATCTTCTTCACAACCTCTAGACCAGGAGATTCCCTCAGGTGCCTACACCACCAGGGCCCTGGGTTTCAAGCACAAAACTGGGTGGCCATGGGGGCAGACATCGAGCTAGCTGCTGGAGTTTTTTTTTTTTTTTCATACCCCAGTGGTGCCTGGAATGCCAGAGAGATAGAACTGTTCACTACCCTGGAAAGGGGGCTGAAGCCAGGGAGCCAAGTGGTCTAGCTCAGTGGATCCCACCCCCATGGAGCTGAGCAAGCTAATCCACTGGCTTGCAACTCTCACTGCCAGCACAGCAGTCTGAAGTCGACCTGGGACACAAGCTTGGTGGGGGAGGGGCGTCTGCCATCACTGAGGCTTAAGTAGGCAGTTTTCCCTGCACAGTGTATACAAAGCCACCAGGAAGTTCAAACTGGGTGGAGCCCACTGCAGCTCAGCAAAACTGTGGTAGCCAGACTGCCTCTCTAGATTCCTCCTCTCTGGGCAGGGCATCTCTGAAAGAAAGGCAGCAGCCCCAGTCAGGGGCTTATAGAGAAAACTCCTTTCTCCCTGGTACAGAGCACCTGGGGGAAGAGGCGGCCATGGGTGCAGCTTCAGCAGACTTAAATGTTCCTGTCTGCCAGCTCTGAAGAGAGCAGCGGAGCTCCCAGCACAGCACTTGAGCTCTGCTAAGGGGGACAGACTGCCTCCTCAAGTGGGTCCCTGACCCCCGTGCCTCATGACTGGGAGACACCTCCCAGCAGGGGTCGACAGACATCTCATACAAGAGAGCTCCAGCTGGCATCTGGTGGGTGCCCCTCTGGGATGAAGCTTCCAGTGGAAGAAGCAGGCAACAATCTTTGCTGTTCTGCAGGCTCCGCTGGTGATACCCAGGCAAACAGGGTCTGGAGTGGCCCTTCAGCAAACTCCAGCAGACCTGCAGCAGAGGGGCCAGACTGATGGAAGGAAAAAATAACAAACAGAAAGGAATAGCATCAACATCAACAAAAAGATGTCCACACAGAAACCCCATCCGAAGGTGACCAACATCAAAGACCAAAGGTAGATAAATCCACGAAGATGAGGAAAAACTAGCACAAAAAGGCTGAAAATTCCAAAAACCAGAATGCCTCTTCTCCTCCAAAGGATCACAACTCCATGCCAGCAAGGAAACAAAACTGGATGGAGAATGAGTTTGACAAATTGACAGAAGTAGGCTTCAGAAGGTGGATAATAATAAACTCCTCTGAGCTAAAGGAGCTTGATCTAACCCAATGCAAGGAAGCTAAGAACTTTGAAAAAAAGGTTAGATGAATTGCTAACTAGAATAACCAGTTTAGAGAAGCTAAATGAACTGATGGAGCTGAAAATCACAGCACAAGAACTTCGTGAAGCATACACAAGTATCAAAAGCCAAATCGATCAGCAGAAGAAAGGATATCAGAGACTGAAGATCAACTTAATGAAATAAAGCATGAAGACATGATTAGAGAAAAAAGAATGAAAAGGAACGAACAAAGCCTCCAAGAAATATGGCATTATGTGAAAAGACCAAACCTACATTTGATTGGTGTACCTGAAACTGACAAGGAGAATGGAACCAAGCTGGAAAACACTCTGCAGGATATTATCCAGGAGAACTTCCCCAACCTAGCAAGACAGACCAACATTCAAATTCAGGAAATACAGGGAACACAACAAAGATACTCCTCGAGAAGAGCAACCCCAAGACACATAATGGTCAGATTCACCAAGGTTGAAATGAAGGAAAAAATGTTAAGGCAGCCAGAGAGAAAGGTCGGGTTACCCTCAAAGGGAAGTCCATCAGACTAACAGCGGATCTCTCTGCAGAAACGCTACAAACCAGAAGAGAGTGGGGGCCAATATTCAGCATTCTTAAAGAAAAGAATTTTCAAACCAGAATTTCATATCCAGCCCAACTAAGCTTCATAAGCAAAGGAGAAATAAAATCCATTACAGACAAGCAAATACTGAGGGATTTTGTCACCACCAGGCCTGCCTTACAAGAGCTCCTGAAGGAAGCATTAAATATGGAAGGTAAAAACTGGTACCAGCCACTGCAAAAACATACCAAATTGTAAAGACCATCAACACTATGAAGAAACTGCATCAACTAAAGGGCAAAATAACCAGCTAGCATCATAATAACAGGATCAAATTCACATATAACGATATTAACCTTAAATGTAAATAGGCTAAATGCCCCTATTAAAACAGACAGACTGGGAAACTGGATAAAGAGTTAAAACCCATCAATGTGCTGTATTCAGGAGACCCATCTCACGTGCAAAGACACACATAGGCTCAAAATAAAGGGATGGAGGAATATTTACCAAGCAAATGGAAAGCAAAACAAAAAAAAGCAGGGGTTGCAATCCCAGTCTCTGATAAAGCAGACTTTAAACCAACAAAGGTCAAAAGAGACAAAGGAGGGCATTACATAATGGGTAAAGGGACCAATGCAACAAGAAGAGCTAACCATCCTAAATATACCCAATACAGGAGCACCTGGATTCATAAAGCAAGTTCTTAGAAACCTTCAAAGAGACTTAGACTCCCACACAATAATAATGGGAGACTTTAACACCCCACTGTCAACATTAGACAGATCAACAAGACAGAAAATTAACAAGGATATTCAGGAGTTGAACTCAGCTTTGGACCAAGAAGACCTAATAGACATCTACAGAACTCTCCACCCCAAATCAACAGAATATACATTCTTCTCAGCACCACGTCGCACTTATTCGAAAATTGACCACATAATTGGAAGTAAAACACTCCTCAGAAAATGCAAAATAACGGAAATCACAACAAATAGTCTCTTCAGTGCAATCAAATTAGAACTCAGGATTAAGAAACTCACTCAAAACTGCACAACTACATGGAAACTGAACAACCTGCCACTGAATGACTACTGGGTAAATAACGAAATTCAGGCAGAAATAAATAAGTCCTTTGAAACCAATGAGAACGAAGACACAATGTACCTGAATCACTTGGACACATTTAAAGCAGTGTGTAGAGGGAAATTTATAGCACTAAATGCCCACAGGAGAAAGCAGGAAAGATGTAAAATTGACACCCTAACATCACAATTAAAAGAACTAGAGAAGCAAGAGCAAACAAATTCAAAAGCTAGCAGAAGACAAGAAATAACTAAGATCAGAGCAGAACTGAAGGAGTTAAAGACATGAAAAACCCTTCAAAAAATCAATGAATCCAGGAGCTGGTTTTTTGAAAAGAGTAACAAAATAGACCACTAGCCAGACTAATAAAGAAGAAAAGAGAGAAGAATCAAATAGACACAATAAAAACTGATAAAGGGGAGATCACCACTGATCCCACAGAAATACAAACTACCATCAGAGAATACTATAAACACCTCTATGCAAATAAACTAGAAAATCTAGAAGAAATGGATAAATTTCTGGACACATACACCCTCCCCAAGATGAAACCAGGAAGAAGTCGAGTCCCTGAACAGACCAATAACAAGTTCTGAAATTGAGGCAGTAATTAATAGCCTACCAACCAAAGAAAGCCCAGGACCAGACAGATTCACAGCCGAATTCTACCAGATGTACAAAGAGGAGCTGGTATGATTCCTTCTGAAACTATTCCAAACAACAGAAAAAGAGGGACTCCTCCCTAACTCATTTTATAAGGCTAGCTTCATCTTGATACCAAAACCTGGCAGAGACACAACAGAAAAAGGAAAATTTCAGGCCAATATCCCTGATGAACATCGATGTGAAAATCCTCAATAAAATAGTGGCAAACCGAATCCAGCAGCACATCAAAAAGCTTATCCACCACAATCAAGTCGGCTTCATCCCTGGCATGCAAGGCTGGTTCAACATACATAAATCAAATCAATAAACATAATCCATCACATAAACAGAACCAATGACAAAAACCACATAATTATCTCAATAGATGCAGAAAAGGCCTTTGATAAAATTCAACACCACTTCATGCTAAAAACTCTCAATAAACAGGTATTGATGGAACATATCTCAAAATAATAAGAGCTATTTATGGCAAACCCACAACCAATATCATACTGAATGGGCAAAAGCTGGAAGCATTCCCTTTGAAAACTGGCACAAGACAAGGATGCCCTCTCTCACCACTCCTATTTAACCTGGTATTGGAAGTTCTGGCCAGCACAATCAGGCAAGGGAAAGCAATAAAGGGTAGAGGAAGTCAAATTGTCTCTGTTTGCAGATGACATTATTGTATTTTTAGAAAATCCCATTGTCTCAGCCCAAAGTCTCCTTAAGCTGATAAGCAACTTCAGCAAAGTCTCAGGATACAAAATCAATGTGTAAAAATCACAGGCATTCGTATACACCAATAACAGACAAACAGAGAGCCACATCATAAGTGAACTCCCATTCACAACTGCTGCAAAGAGAATAAAATACCTAGCAATACAACTTACAAGGGAGGTGAAGGACCTCTTCAAGGAGAACTACAAACCACTGCTCAAGGAAATAAGAGAGGACACAAACAAATGGAAAAACATTCCATGCTCATGGATAGGAAGAATCAATATCGTGAAAATGGCCATACTGCCCAAAGTAATTTATACATTCAATGCTATCCTCATCAAGCTACCACTGACTTTCTTCCAAGAATTAGAAAAAACTACTTTAAATTTCATATGGAACCAAAAAAGAGCCCACATAGCCAAGACAATCCTAAGCAAAAAGAACGAAGCTGGAGGCATCACGCTACCTGACTTCAAACTATACTACAAGGCTACAGTAACCAAAACAGCATGTTACTGTTACCAAAACAGACATAGAGACCAATGGAGCAGAACAGAGACCTCAGAAATAATGCCACACATCTACAACCATCTGATCTTCGACAAACCTGACAAAAACAAGCAATGGGGAAAGGATCTCCTGTTCAGTAAATGGTGCTCGGAAAACTGGCTAGCCATACACAGAAAACTGAAACTGGACCCCTTCCTTACACCTTATACAAAAATTAACTCAAGATGGATTAAAGACTTAAATGTAAGACCTAAAACCATAAAAACCCTAGAAGAAAACCTAGGCAATACCATTCACAACACAGGCATGGGCAAAGACTTCATGACAAAAACGCCAAAAGCAGTGGCAACCAAAGCCAAAACTGACAAAATGGGATCTAGTTAAACTAAAGAGCTTTTGCACAGCAAAAGAAACTGTCATCAGAGTGAACAGGCAGCCTACAGAATGGGAGAAAACTTCTGCAATCTACCCATCTGAAAAAGGTTTAATATCCACAATTTACAAGGAACTTAAACATATTTACAATAAAAAAAAACAAACCACCCCATCAAAAAGTGGGTGAAGGATATGAACAGACACTTCTTAAAAGAAGACATTTACATAGCCAACAAACATATGAAAAAAAGCTTAACATCACTAATCATCTGAGAAATGCAAATCAAAACCACAATGACATACCATCTCACGCCAGTCAGAATGGCAATTATTAAAAAGTCAGGAAACAATAGATGCTGGCAAGGCTGTGGAGAAATAGGAACACTTTTACACTGTTGGTGGGAATGTAAATTAGTTCAACCATTGTGGAAGACAGTATAAGGATTCCTGAAGGATCTAGAACCAGAAATACCATTTGATCCAGCAATCCCATTACTGGGTATATTCCCAAAGGAACATAAATCATTCTACTATAAAGACACATGCACACGTATGTTTATTGCAGCACTGTTCACAATAGCAAATACATGGAACCAACCCAAATGCCTGTCAGTGATAGACTGGATAAAGAAAATGTGGTACATACACATCATGGAATACTATGCAGCCATAAAAAGGAATGAGATTATGTCCTTTGCAGGGACATGGATGAAGCTGAAAGACATCATCCTCAGCAAACTAACACAGGAAAAGAAAACCAAACACTGTGTGTTCTCACTTGTAAGTGGGAGTTGAATACTGAGAACACATGAACACAGATTGGGGAACAACACACACCAGGGCCTGTTAGTGGGTGGAGGGTGAGGGGAGAAAACTTAGAGGATGGGTCAATAGGTGCAGCAAATCACCATGGCATATGTATACCTATGTAACAAACCTGCACGTTCTGTGCATGTATCCTGCTTTTTTTTTTTTTAGAAGAAATAAAAAAACAAATTTTGATCACCTACTATGTGCAAAGCCCTCTGTCAAGAGCCTTTGGAGCAAGAGAGCTCTGCTTTCCCCACCAAAAAAAAGGAACCATCCAACCTAAAATGTCAATAGTGCCAAGGTTGTGAAATTCTGTACTAGAAGATAAACTTTAAACAAAAGATGAATGGAGAAACTACAAGATAACTGGTAACCTTGAGCTGTAAATCTGCATACTGTATTATTACAGAACAGATTGTAAATGCAGAACATTATAGAAATGTAGAAATGATGATGTAAAAATCATGTAACAAAAGTTGGGAGAGAAAGTAGGAGAGGAAATTGTGGCAGTATTACAGGTAAGTTGAGTTACCTACTGTTAATAGCCATAGGTCAAAAGATGATAATTTAACATTATAAATCAAGTTATAGACTAGGTATATTTGAACAGTATAAATGTTGACACTAAAACTGCAATCAACTAAAATCAGATGGAAGAGGAAACTGAGAAGGGGAAAATGAGAAAATATGCTAATTGTATTGCTTATAATAAGGAGGGAATAGAAACCATACAACAGAAATAGAGGATTAAGCATTAGATAAAGTTATAGTTATAAAAGTGGCTCATCTTTACTTCATAGCACTTATCACAGGGTAATTTTGCATTTACTTATATGATTGATTGATTACAATCAGTATCCCAGTGGGTAACTAATGAAGGGAACAGGTAAGGTCTGTTTTTGCTCACTAAATATATTCGGTCCTTGTTATTTGCAGTAGTTCTGTTCTACAAACAATGAATTACTCATTACTGAACCATTTCTCCTGGAAGAAATATGGGGCTAGGTTCCTGCAAACCTCTGGTTTCAACATTTTCATCAACTGATCAACACTAATTTTGTTTTATATTTGTTTCTATTTAAAGACACTTTAATAAATATAAACAGTTGATTTGTTAACATTGAACTTAGGGCCAACAACACTACTCACACCTGAAGGAAACTTATCTAACACATATCTTGTTCTCTGTAAGGCCCATCACAGCCTTCTTGTGCTCAGGAACACTAGACAGTACTTCAACACTATGCTTGGGGCCCACAGTGAAATCACTAACTAAAAGCACAAACATTCAAGAAACATAGAGCTAAACAGACAGGGAAAACAGTACCCGTTTACAATATGAGAGCTGAAACAAGAAGGTAGAGGTAGCCTTGTTCCACCTCAGCTGGAGGCATGTGTGTTGGGTGACTCATTTTCAGTGCTCTGCACATATCCACGCATGACTGAGAAAGCCCTTTGAGTACCAATTCTGGGGTTACAAGTAAATTTTATCGATGAGATAAACTTGAATCTACTAAGTCCACCAATAAGTATCAGTAAATGCATCTGTGGAATTGAATTGGATGTTATCACCTGACAACAAACATTTGTAAGTTATTAGTGAGTGTATTTATTGTGATTCTGAGCTGTGCAAGTCAAGGAATTTCTATGAAAGATACATAAATGTTAATACACATATCTGATTAATACACATACCTGTATGGGTTTTTTTCTCATGTAAAGACAGCTTAGTGAATTTTGGAGGTAAGGGTCTTCGAAGAAGCAGTGGGGGCTTTTGCATTTTAATGAATAATAAGTGCTGTTTTTCATAATCCTTGGTTTAAATGAGAATTGAAAAGGTTTTGAATATGTTTGAATTGTTGAAAAATAATAAGAATTTAGATTACATCTTAAAGAAAATCATTCTGTACCAATACTCTACTGAATCCAGGCAGAATTCCTTTATGAAAAAAAAAGAGGGTAAGAAAATAATTCTTTAAAACTTCTATTAATAGAAAGAATCCAGTTAAAATGTAGGGTTATAAGTAAACATAGAATTTTAAAAATATGTGTATTATTACTACCCAGGATCATTCTACAATTTTCCATGTTAGTACAAAGTTCAATTTGCCAATGCTATTTCAACTAGTAAATACTGATTTTTCAGAATAGTCGAAATGACATTTTTTTTCTCTCTCTCCAAAATGTTATCGCTATAAATGTAGAAAGAGAATTTGGTCAGAAATGTGTAGAAGATGCCTTCATTAGATAAGCCTCTGAAGACCCACCATATCTAACCATTCACAAACAAATTGTTTTCTTTCTATAATGGCTTGTTTTTCAACCACTATGCTTGGGCCAAAACAATTCAATCCTAAAATAAGATGGGTTTCACTATAATGAGATTTCCCAGGGCTGCTGGATCCCAACTCATACTGTTTAGAAATAATGCGAGAAGATGCACCCCCAAAATGTGCTTTTAGTTTGCAGGGCAACATCAAAAGTGCCTGGCACGGCATTATTCCATTGATAGCCTAGAAGGGAACACCCTGAAACTGCACAAATGGGCCGTTTACCGCCAAAAGATAACTGCACACAAGCGCTCAAGGTGTACTCCCTGGTCATATGTTCCACACGATGCTGGAAATCTCCCTTCCGTAGTACCCAAAGAGGGGCATGGAAGTGCTGGACTCCCACACTACCCTTTAGGATAATCGGCCGCTTTCCAAACCAACTGGCTTTTCGTCTCCTATCTCCTTTTCCTCGGAATCTAGGCAGCGAGGTAAAGGTCCAGCGAGGGTCTTCCTGCAGGAGGCTGTTCCCGAAGAAGCACCACGGATCCCCACCCTCTAGGAGGCCAAGGAGACACACCCTAGCAACCGGGGTCCGCTAAGCCAGCCCAGCCACTTGACGCGCAGGCGCGGGGGCGGGACAGGCGAGGCGGGCGCGGGACAGGCGAGGCGAGGCGGGCGCCGGGAGGGGCAGGCCCAGCCCACGGTGCAGCGCGCGCGGAGCCCTCGCCTTCCTCCGACGCACTGTGGGGCTGCAGGGGAAGCTGCGGGCCGTGGGGGCCGGAGGAGAAGCCGGCTCCACGCGCAGCTGCTGTACGGAACGCCGTGGTGACAATTGTTATTACTATTTTTATGCTTAATGGCAATGACCACTATTATTTATTATTTTCTCTCGATTACAGGATGCTTTACTTGGGTGTCTAGAATATGGGCTGGCATTCTTTAAGGCTGCACTTTTGTGCAGCCGGGTCCCGGGGCTAATTTTGCAGTGCTCTCGAAAAGCGGGCATTCGGTTTTCTTTCTCTTCCTTTCATGCAACCTGTTTTCTCTTTCTGATCCTTTAAAGTTCCTGGCTGAGGCTGGATTGTGTAGAAATAAGGGCATTAGGGATCCAAGCGGGCCATAAAAGAAACCCATTTCTCACTGTCATCGTCCTCTGTTCTGGTTATCATATTGTGACGTGTCGCCTCTGTCATGGTGTTGATGAACCTGTGTGTGCAGTCATAGATACATCGTGTGTGTTTGCAAAAATGTGCGTGTTTCTCTGGAGATTTGAGGGGGAAAGAGCACTAGAAAGAGCTCATCTGATAGATGCGGAAATCCGAACTCAGAAAGTAAACTAGGTAGAGCTTCCTTCCAGGTTTGGTTTTTTCTAAGTACTAGCGCAGGAACTTTATAACAGAAGTTGGAAAATGAGAGACTTCTGTATAAATCTTTCTAGCTTTGGGGATCTTTCAAGATTCACACCATAACCATGTCTTCCTTTTTCTCCTTAGTAGCAAACATGTTTTAAAACAATCAATGAAAAAAGTAGAAAAGTTTTAACAAAAAAGTAATCAGACTCTGGAAAATATTATGCAACTTGTTTTCCTTTACAGTAGTAGTGTACTGTTTCTTTTCCTTGTAAGTTTACTGTGTCCCAATTATACTGCTGCCCCAGACTATGAATTTATTTCCACTTTTGCTGTTATCTACACCATAGATTCATTAGTTTCTCAGAAATACAAAGCTGAAAATAAAAGGCAGCTCTGTGGCTAAGATTAGTCTCAAGTAATATATATCGTGCATATTTTGTAAATGTGAAAAAAGGTTTATATTTTTAAGCATAAAAAATGACAGTGTAAATTGAGTCAGGTACCTATGCTCTTCAAGATCGTTGGAACCATGAGAACTACAGGAATTCAGTTTTACTGACTGACGTTTGGCCTTTAAAATTTATGCTTAGCTTTGTGTAGTCGAAAGCAAGGCTTCTGAATGCTTTTTCAAAAAATGCTTTGTCACACTTGGAATCCGCAGGCATCCAGGTATCATTCCTTGCAGATTTCTTCTAGCAAGTATGAGACTAAAACCTAGGGCGGTTTAATATGTAATCTCAGGTGTGAACATTTTGTCTTCTATTTCTACCACTTAGTACCAAACATTTAGGCAAATGAGATAGTTATTATGAAAATTAAATCCATGGCTTGGTATATTTTATATGTATATATGTTATTCTAACACATCTGACTCGCTTTGTCTATGGAAATGATATATCAGTATAGGATGAGTTTAGACAGGACAAACAAAATTCAATTTAGATTATTTTATAGTTCTTATATTTTTGAAAATATTATCCCCTCAATTTTCTTTCTTCTTTTGTAAAATAACGTGTTTTTGAAATAATGAATAACTCCCTTTTGGATTTTAAGGGTCTGCTTTTTCTGATGTATGTACGGTCAGCCTATTTATTTGTTCCGTCCCCTTTGCAGTTTGGCAGAACCTTATGAAGAAGCTTCCCAAACTGAACCACAGTGCTTTCACTCTATTAGCAAATTGTACTAAAGATGCCAGCGTAATGATGAGTGCCAAGGTTATAGACATCCTGCATTTTTTAAATGTTGCTAAAATGAGATAAAAGCCTTATGCAGAAGCAACCGCAGGCACCCCGCAGGTAATGCTATCGATTTCCCTAATAAGTGGGAAACGCTTGGGGAACCTTAGATTTGCTGTTGGTTCTGTTGAAATGGTGGAAGTGATGTGAAAAGTGTTGCTAGACAACTTCATTATTTTCCATAGACCTATCTCTTATTTATTTATTTCCCTTTAAAATAGGACAGAGGTTTGCTAAACAGTTTGGCCATTGTAGTTTTAACCTAATATTTTACCTTATGGAAATAATGGAGTAATTTGTGTTTTTATGTTCATATTAATTTTTTTAAGTACTGTTAAAGAATGAATAGTTATTTTTGAGCACATATTTGTTCAACTACTGAGTCTCCAGAGTAACACAGGGCACTAAAATGCTTTTGAGAAAGAAGTGTTTTATTGGTCTGAATTTACCTGTTTATATTAATTATATGTACGGGGAAATGTCTTCTTCAGTCACAGTGGCTTAAATGTACCCACTTATTTCATGTGTTTTCATGCTGTTGCCTAGAGAATAGTTTTATATTTTCTCAAATGTTAATAAAGATATTTTGAAGAAGCTGCTACTCTTTTTATCCCCATATCTCACTGTAAAGACAAACACTTCATTTGTTTTTAATTATTTTCAGCCAATTATTTCTTTTTGTCTTTCAAGGTGATAGTTATTTCCTTTGTTTGAACTGGAGATCCTGGGATTCCTTTAAAAAAATTACTAATAAGGAAATGTCATGCAACCTTTATCATGGAATTAAAAAAAAAATCAAACACAAGGAAAGGACAATGTCTGTCTGTTTTCAAAAGTGCCTTCATGAATTTAGTCATTCATTCCAGAATCATTTATTGGAAACCTACTATGCATAAGTTACTTCACTAGGTGCTAAACTTTAAACTTTATTAAAACAACTTATAATGATTAATTTGAGGCTTTATAATTTAGACATTGAAATGAAATTTTAAATCATTTCCAAAGACTACACTTATCTGCATTATAACTACTTGAGGGTTTTTTTTAAAACAATTTTTTATTTTATTGCTTTGGTAGAATAGTGTTGTTTATTCACACTCCTTTGATTCTCAGAAACATTTTGAGGTTTTTTTTTTAGCTGCAGTGATCATTTTAGACTGTCTGCAACCAGCTAATATTAGATATTTGTATATATTGTATGATTGTGTCCTTCACCAAAAAAAGTTAAATAATATTTGTTTCCTTAATATTAAGCGCTTAGCATGAGCAATGTACATTAGTATGGGGAAGGCACTGTTTTAAATGTTGATTTTATTTTAGCTTCACAATTGTTATATTAATTGAGGATGCTGGCATCTGCATTAAATTTCAAGCACAGGAAGCATAGCACAGCTCTACCCAGCTGGGTTCACATTTGGCTGCCACTTGTCAGCCCTGTGCCCTTGGACCAGCTACTTAACCTAAGCCCCAGGGTTTCCTCATTTGTAAAACTGGGTTAAAATGGTACTTACCAAAGGGTCTTGTGAGGAGTTAAAGAGATAATCTGTGTCAGAGGCTTAGTTCTGTGCCAGCCACAGAGTCAGTGCGCAGTAGATGTTGTTAGAAAATTAAAATAAAACAGCCCAGTTTTCCGGTCTCCACACCCCTGCTTTATGTGATGATAGTTGACGTTAATTGAAATGTTGGAGGGCTATACATCCTGGGCATTTATCCACAAAATTTATCCACAAAATTTCACATTTAACTTTCCTAATGTCTCCAAATGTTGGCAACTCTAGTTTGCAGTTCTCAGACTGTGGCACAAATGCTATGCTCTAGGCAGTGTCCCACATTCTGTCACAGGTCTTTATACTCCTCTGGGCGGCACAGGAGCTGTGGGAGAGCTCGTGCCTGAAGGAGTCCTGGTACAGTGTTGTAAGGAGGCCTTGACTCTCCCCCACGTGAGTTGGGTCTGCGAGCTGCTGTCACCATTGATTGAGCCGGGCTGAATCGATGATGTATTTCAACCGGTAACCCAAGGAAGAAAGCCTCTTTGTTCTCAGCATCTTCCAGGCCACTTGGTGTGCCTAACAAAGGTGAAAAAGGGCTGCAATGTGAAGCTCCTTTGAATGGCTAGAGGGAAAGGTGTTAAATGCACATGATCTTTCTTAGGTTTTTTTCTAATGTGCACACCGGACTTTGGTAGATGAGTCTACTGAGTCCCTGTACTGGCTGGGATTTAGTCCTAAACTTAGGAGGAACATGTACTATATCAATAAAGTGTCTGAACTGCATGCTCTCTATTCAACCCTCAGCAAACACCTGTAGCAATTAGAACCGCAGGTGAGAAAAAATGCTTTATAATGACTTATTCTTCATTCTAATGTCAACATATGACCTTAAACAGTAGATATGATTTCCTTTTCAAACCTAGCATTCTGCTTATGCCTACTGCCCTATTGAGTATATGTTTTATTCGTAAGTACATGAGGCTAAAAGTTGTGTATGGGAGTAAGGGCGGGACATGTAAGAGTCCATTGTATTCTGTGGGTTGAGTGTTGGTAAAGAATTTGTATTTCTTATACCAGAACTAGACAACTAGAAGTGTAACTCACATTTCAGTGTCACATAGTTTAGTATGCTGTTGACAGTTCTGCTACATTTCTGACAATTGCAATCTCCACTTTATAATATGTTGCCAAATTTATAATACGATGCCAAATTTTATCAGGGTAGAATTAAAGTTTCAGGATATTTCTCTCTCCACCCTGCCCCAGGTAGCAGAAAATTTCTTCATTTCCTTTGCCAGGTTTTCCAGGTGAGGTAATCCCTAACCAAGGAAAAGAATATAGTGTCTAGCTCTATTCAGAAGCCATGGGGAAGACAGTTTGTGGGGCTTTATTCTTCTCCCCACTGCAATTCCAAGAAAGCAACTATGCTTGTATGAGTTTGACATATTAGGCTCTGCTGTTTGAAGAAAAGGTCCTATGGCTATAAGAGGTTGCATGCAAACCACCAAATCAGATGGTTTTAGGTGTTTTCAGCCTTGAGACAGTCTGTGTTTCTGCTTCTCATTGGATGGTACCTTGCCCTGGAAAGTTTTCTCATGGAAAACTTGCATGGCCATTGCTGGGGTACCTTCCTTGTGCCCAGGAGCTACACACACACCATCACTTCCCAAACCATCTGAATTAGGCCCAGTGGAGGCTCTGGGTCACCACTGCTCTCAGTGGGAGCAAAGGAAGCCAGAACGTTCCTTTCTTCCCAACTCCCTACTTCTCTCCCAGACTCACAACATTAGAAGGGATTGCTTCCAGAGGATTTGTAACTTGGTGTATCACTTTACCCAAGTGTTCCTACTTAAGAAAAGAAAAAGCAAAGTGCCTCACCCTGTACACTCACTGACTGAGGACATTGGCAGTACATAGTTGTGAGACACTTGATGTCCCCAGTGAAGGTAAAAAGAAGACAGCACTAATGGGGTCAATGATGATACCAGCTTTCTGAAAGGAGTTAAAGTGAGAGACCACAGGGGTTGAAAGTGGAGCCATGAGTATAACAAATCCGGTTTGGCACCATTTGCTTAATAGAAATCAGTTAGTTAAAAACCAGAAGGGCTGGTTTTGCTAATCTTGTACTGTGCACTGTAGGACAAGCTGTGATGAATTGGAATGGCTATGATTTCTAGACCCATACCAGAGGGCTAGAGTTAGTTGGCCTAGTGTGTTTCTTAATAAATATATTTATGTTTCCTACTTACTTTCATGGGGCAAAGAGTCAAAGATAAATGTTTTCTGTGAGCTGTAAAAGTAATAGAGCATTGAGGGCTTTGAGAGCTTCTTACAGTCGTGGAGATGTGGATTTTAAAGGCCAGAACTTCCTGAATGAGTTGATGACATGTTCTGGCTAAAGGGTTAAGGAACCCCAGAAGGGAATGACTCCAGCCAAAATGGAAGACCGGCTCTTCTGCTTGATCTCTAGACCTCCCTCAGATGACCTCTGCCCTTCAGAAACATCTGCCCAAAGATTAACAGGCACCCTTCTTTCTAGTACTTCATAGCACCTCTCCCAAGTAGAAGGGACAGACTTTTGATGGAACAGGGTGAAGCACAGGAAGTGAGTACCCTCTGGGGAGGCCACACAGCCATAGTCAGAGATGAGATTAAGATCTTGTCTTCTGAAACTAATAAAATGCTCTTTATATGATTTTATACTGTTTTGGGTATTTTGGATATAGGGTCTCACTCTGTCCCCAGGCTGGAGTGCAGTGGCATAGTCATAGCTCGCTGCAGCCTCGAACTCCCAGGCTCAGGCGATCCTCCCACCTCCGCCTCCTGAGTAGCTGGGAATTACAAGCACCCATCACTGTGCCCAGCTCATTTTTAAATTTTTTTTGTAGAGCAGAGTCTCACAGTGTTGCCCAGGCTGGTCTCAAACTCCTGCTGAGGAGATCCTCCCACCTCAGCCTCCCAAAGCACTGGGATTACAGGCATGAGCCACCATGCCCGACCTTGTATGTTGTCTTTCGAGAAATGTTTATTCAAGTCCTTTGCCCATTTTTTAGTAAGATTATTTGTCTTCTTGTTCTTGAGTACTTTAAGTTGGATGTTAGCCCCTTATCCAGTATATGATTTGCAGATATTTTCTCCCAGTCCATGGGTTATCTCTTCATTCTATTGTTTCCTTTGCAGTACAGAAAGAAAATAGCATCTTATTGTAATTAGTATTTGATTATTAATGAGTTTAAACTTTTTTTGTATGTTTATTACTGAGTGTATTCTGTTGTAAATGGCTTATCCAGTCCCTTGTCCATTTTTACATGGTAGTATTTTTTCTTCCTCCAATGATTTTTTTTTTAATTTTAATTTTTTTTTTTTTTTGAGACAGGTGTTGCTCTGTTGCCCAGGCTGGAATGCAGTAGGATGATCATAGCTCACTGCAGCCTTGACCTCCTGGGCTTAAGCAATCTTCCCACCTCAGCCTTCTGAGTAGCTGGGACTATAGCGCATGCCACCACACCAGGCTAATTTTTTAAAAAGTTTTTGTGGACACGGGGTTTTGACATGTTGCCCAGGCTGGTCTCAAACTCCTGGGCTAGAGCGAGCTGCCTACCCCAGCCTCCCAAAGTGCTGGAATTACAGGCATGAGCCACCATGCCTGGCCCCTGTATGATTTTTAAGAGATCCCTAATGATTTTAAAGAGATACTATGGATACTCAATATGCCCCGTTTGCCTACTGAAGCTGTGTAAGATGAAATATGAAGTGGTTACATATGTGAGCCCTAAAGTTAGATAGACCTGGTTTGAATATGACAGCACCATTTACCAGTTATATGACTTTGGTCAAGTTAACCCTTTAAGTCTTAGTTTCCACATCTGTAAAATTGAGGCAATAATGGCACCTACCCCAAACAGAGTTGTGAAAATTAAATGAGAAAATCCTGAAAATGCTTCAACACAGTTCCTGGATCACTGAAAATGTTCAATAAATGTCAACTACTATTTTTTCTCAATGATAATTCAAAAGTTGATTGTATAAAGGTAGTACCATACTCATTACTGTTACATATTACTGATTTGTGACATATAACTGATTTGTTGCTAAATCACTCTAAAATGGTTCTTGTGCTCTTTATATACATACACACATATACATACATATATATATATATAATGTAAACAAAGTCATTTTACATTCAAGCATGTATAGTTTGTTTAGTTAGTTAGAAATCAATGCTAGCATTTTCAGTCTATGTGACCAGTAGTGCTGATGTGGATGGCCTCTTGTCCACCCAAAATACATAGGAATGCCAGATAAAATATGTAGCTGAGATGAACAGAAAAGGAAATCCCTGATGTTGGGAGAAGAAAAAGAACTTAATGTCAGCGAAGTGAGCTGGAGATGAAGTCCTGGTGGTCCACGGGGGGTCTGATTTTTAGGGGTGGGGAACTGGGATTGTCCTACCTACATGGGAAGTGGAGATGAACTCCCTAGTCTGCAGCAAGCAGAGAACTGAAATAAAACAGCCTGCATAAATCTGAGAGCCTCAAAATTGAGACCCTTTCTCTGAAACAGGGACTAGAGAATCCATTCTCTAGCCCACAGCATATCAAGGAAGCTGACCATAGGCTAGGCAAACAATATATTAATACTGGACAAAGTAGACTCTAATAGGCTTATTTTTTAAGGATACAAAGAAATGATTCATCAAGGTGATGTGCCAGCATATGACTGTCTGCACTTAACTGCATAACTTCTAAATACCAGAAACAACAATGGACAAAATGACAAGGAGCTATTGATAAATCTACCTCTAAAATGAGAACCTTTTTTTAAAAAAAGCACGTCTCTTAGAAAATAAAAGCTCAAGCAAGCAAAAGATTCCTAAGGATATGGGAGATTTCAATAAACCAAGTAATACACTTGATCTGATCGATATATAGATCCCTGTATCCAATAAATAAAGAACACACATTCCCCTTCAGTATACTTGAAATATTTACCAAGATGGGCCACAAAGGAAATCTTAAAAAATTCTAAAGGGGCGCTTAGTAGATATTCCAGTTTGACTAGAGAAGAAGTTGGGTAGGTCAGGCTAGGAATGTAAGTCTGAGAGGATCTTAAATATTAGGATATTGACAGGCAGTGGAGAGCTACTGGAAGATTTAGAGCAGGAAAGCTACAGGATCTGCATTAAGAGATGAATCTGGAATTGAGGCCAAGTTATTCTCTTAATTTTCAAGGGCGAATGAGGAAAGATCCAGCTCTGACAGAATAATGAGTTGTGCAAAGTGAAGGCCAAATGACATCACCGGAGATAGCAGTAGTTCAAAGAAAGCAAAGCAGAGGAATTGAACTGCTGCAAAATGCACGGTAGGTAACAGGGCAGTGAACGCAGACCACCCTGGGCCTCGGGGGTCAGCACCAGGTTCACAGGGCAAAGCATGAATTTAATTCCAGAAAGTCACTACTAACCTCATTAGAAATCTTAGTGTGATTTTCCTGTGTGTTTTGAACTTAATTTTAAGCTTATTTGGATTTATAGTTATGATCTAACTGCACTAGCAGCTTACCCCAAGTTTGCTGTTTGCTTATGTAACAGAAATAGGTAAAGACAACTCTGGAAGTCTGGGATAGTTTTTTCATGTATGTATTCATGCTAGAGAAGTTCTAGTCTAGTTGATTCTCCTCACTCTACAGATATGGAAAATTAAGCACAGAAGGGTGACTAATCATTAATTATAGTAATAAAAATGATTAAATATTAGTACTAGCACTTTTAGAACGTATGCTGTGTGTTAGTCATTATACTAAGTACTCTCCATGCATTTCTTCATTTATGCCTCGCAACTAGGCTATGATGTAAGTGCTATTTACTTTTCCTGTCTGCTAATAAGGATACTGAGGCTTAGATAGATTAAGAAGACCATAAACCCAGGGACTAGATTTGGGACCCAGGCCTTTGTAACTCCACAGAATGAGCTCTTACCCACTTTGCTATCCCAACTTGACTTGGACACACAAGTTGCCACCCAATCAAATTTAGATTCAAGATCTCTTGACTTGTGGTCTAGTGTATTTCCTGTCTCACCTCAGGCCTCTATTCTCTACATTTCTTTGAGAGTACACAGCTAAAGCCACAGAGTAGTTTTAGATCTTATTGTAAGAAAAATGCTTAGTTAGGCTCATCTCCTATGTCAGAAGTTCAGAATAATTAATCATATTTCCGCTTTCTGACTTTTCAGAGTTCCTGGGATGTTTTAATTAGACACTTGACATATTTTTAATTTTCTCTATCACTTGTAGCACACACCAGGTGTTCAGGTTTTGGTCCAGATATTGGTTCAATAAGGATTTATTGGATGCATTAATGAAAATCTAGAACCTCCAAATCTAGAACCTCCTTACTTATGGACATGTTAAATTTCAGAAGGCTATTTTCCAATACATTTGTGTATAAATCCTTAGTGACTAAAACAGATTAAGGAGTATTTCTTAGAGGTCCCCAGAAGCATTTCCACTAAAGATGGGTATAAAAGTTAGTCCTGTGAAACTTTAAAATCAGGTCTGTTTTCCGCCTTTGAGATCATATAAAATCTATCAGACATTCTTTCTATTAATATAATTGATTGTTTTGGTCTACATCAAAAATCTATTGAGGCAGTTAACCCTCCTCTTGAATGACATCTGCAACTGTTTTAGGTTACGCTTTAAGGTGCTCACTTGATAAACCACAATATTAAATCAACTCTCCACTTACTCAATACCTACACCAGTGGAACTGAACAGGGTGGGAGAAAGCCCACTTGGAATGCCCTTATTTTAAATTCATAATCACCTACTTTTTTTTTTTTTTTTTTTTTTGAGATGGAGTCTCGCTCTGTCACCCAGCCTGGAGTACAGTGGCACGATCTCGGCTCACTGCAAGCTCCGCCTCCCGGGTTCAAGCGATTCTCCTGCCTCAGCCTCCTGAGTAGCTGGGATTACAGGTGCCCGCCACGACGCCCAGCTAATTTTTGTATTTTTAGTAGAGACAGGGTTTCACCATATTAGGCTGGTCTCGAACTCCTGACCTCAGGCGATCCACTCACCTTGGCCTCCCAAAGTGCTGGGATTACAGGCGTGAGCCACCGTGCCCGGCCAGTCAACTACTTTTTAATTACAAAGGGAAAAATAGTAACTTTACAGTGGGGGGGCCCCTGCAGACATCATGTACCCCACAATATGATGTGCTGAGAGAGAACAACATCACTAATGTGTTACTCTTGCCAAAAATACATACCTGAATTAAATTGTGAGGAAACAGACAAGCCCACACTGAGGGACAGTCTATGATGGACTTTTTCGAAAGTGTCACGATGATGAAAGACAGATTGAAGAACTGTCCCAGATTAATGGAGGCTAAGGAGATATCACAACTAAATGGAATGTGAGATCTGGATTGGATCCTAGTCCAGAAAAAGGATACTTACTAATAGGATAATCTATCAAAGTTGAAAAAGGTCTGTAGTTTAGTTAATAATGGTGGATCAATGATAATTTCCCAATATTGATAATTATACTATGGTACTGTATTAATGTTAAGATGCTAATATTTGGGAAAGTTGGGTGAAGGGTATATGGGAATTCTTTTAACTATTTTTCCACCTTTTTTATAATTCTGAAATTATTTCAAAATTAAAAGTTAATTAAAAGAAAAATATTTTTAAACTGATCATCACTAGCCTTGAATATTACTCAGCCATTATACCATCTTCCCCAAAGCATTCATTCTTCCAAACTCCTAAACAATATTTCAGACACTCTCCTTTCACTACAGCCCTTGTGTAGCTCCTTCCCCAGCCTCACTCATTGTGAAAATAGGGGCAATTAGAAGAATTTCCCCAGGTGCACCTCCCAGCACCTGCGACCCTTTACTGTGCTTTCTCTCCTGCCCTTGTGGATAAGCTGTCTCTGCAGCTAGCCAGGGTCAAGTCCTCCACTTGTTTAGTAGATCTTATCCTCTCATCTATTCAAGAAAATTGCTCCCGCAAGTCTCTCTCTCTCTCTCTCTCTCTCTCTCTCTCTCTCTCCGTCTCTCTTTCTCCATCCCCACCCCAACCCTTTCTCTCTGCTGCTGGGTAATTCCCGGAATCATAGAAATATGCTACTATTTCTTTCTTCTTAAAAAAGAAAAACAACTCTTGAGCCCACTTCCCCTTTCAGCCAGCTTCAACATTTCTCTTCTTCCTTTTACAATAAATCTTCTGAAATTGTTTACAATTACTGTCTCCAATTTCTCCCCTCTCATTCTTTTGGGAAACCGTTCCAGTGGGACTTTAGCTTCACTCTTCCATCAAACTATCTTTACACGATTCCTAGTGGCCTCCATGTTTGCGCCTTCTGTGGTCAGTTGGTTCTCCATCCTCTTACATGGCCTATCAGCAGCTCTTCAGAGCGGCTCCCTCTCCTCCCCTACAGATCAGTCTTCATTAGGCCTCTAAGTCATCACAATCACCTGATTTATCTCCTGCCTCTCTGAAAACTTCTTCTTAGTATCCTTTGGTGGTTCCTCTTTAATTTCCTAACCTCTTATGTTGGAATGCCCCAGAATTTGGAGTTTATCTCTTCTTTTTTTTTTCATTTCCATAGCTTTAGAGGTACAAATGGGTTTTGGTTACATGAATGAATTGTATAGTGGTAAAGCCTGAAATGTTAGTGCACCTGTCACCCTAGTAGTTTACACTGTACCCAATATGTAGTTTTATTATCCCTTACCCTGCTACCACCCTCCCTTCTCCTTCATATTTACTCCATAGGTGATCTCAACCAATCTCACAGCTTTATTATTTATTTTTATTTTTTGAGACGGAGTCTTGCTTTGTCATCCAGGCTGGAGTGCAGTGGTGTGACCTCGACTCACTGCAACCTCCGCCTCCCAGGTTCAAGCAATTCTCCTGCCTCAGCCTCCCAAGTAGCTGGGATTACAGGCATGGGCTACCAAGCCTGGCTAATTTTTGTATTTTTAGTAGAGATAGAGTTTCACCATGTTGGCCTGTCTGGTCTCAAGCTCCTGACTTCAGGTGGTCCACCCACCTTAGCCTCCCAAAGTGCTGAGATTATAGGCGTGAGCCACTGCACTCAGCCCTCACAGCTTTAAATACCATTGATATGCTGATGACTTCAACTTAGTATCTACAGTGAGACCTGCAGACACCTATATCCAACTGTCTACTCAGATCTCCTGATTGGAACCCTAATAGGATAAACAGGTCTAAAATTGAGCTTCTGCAATTCTCCATCCCCAGGCCTGATTTTCATCCCGTCTTCTCCATGTCAGTTAATGGCAACTCCATCCTTCTAGCAGTTCAGGCCAAAGGCCTTAGATTCATACTTACCTCTTCACTTTCTCATGTGCCACAAAGAATCTGTCAGCAAATCCTATCAGCTCTACTGTCACAATGTACACAGAATCTGACAACTTTTGTCTCCTCTGCTAAGAGTTTGGTCCAAGCCACATCATCTCTCACCTAGATTATTGCAACAGCCTCCCAATTTGTCTCACTGCATCTGACATTGCCCTTCTTTGGTTTAATCATGACACAGCAGTTAGAAAGATCTTTTTAAAAATGTGTATCAGATCTTGTAACTCTGTTGATGAGACCACCCTCCCTGCAATAGCTTCTTGCCTCCTCTGCTGTAAAAGGCAACGCCCTGTGTGATCAGGCCTCTCTGACCTTATCTGCTACTACTCTACCCCTCTTTTGCCTCTTCGCATTGGCCTTGAAAATGAAACACACACTCTTCCCTCGGGGCCTTTGCGCTTATTCCTTCTGCCGGGAATTCTCTTACCCCTGATATCTTCAGGGCTTGCTCCACTTGCACTCCCTCACTGTCTGCCCTTACCTCCCTCATGTTTTTGTTCAAATGTCACTTTCTCAGAAAGGCCTTTCCTGGTAACGTCATTAAGAATTTTAATTCCACACTACCCTCAACCCTGATTGCATACACACACATAGACTTACATTCCCCTTCTGCGCTTTAATTTTTTTCTCCCTAAGACTTATTACTATCTAATATGTACTTAGTTATCTTAAATATCGTCTGTCTCTCTCAACTGGAATGTCAATTCCATAAGGTTAGGAACTAATGTCTTATTTATGCATTTGTATCTCCAGTGCCTCTAAAAGTACCTGAGATAAAGTAAGTACTCAAGTATTTGTTGAACAAATGAATGAATGGATGAATGAATCTGCACTGGAACCCCAATACAAATTTTGGTGAAGCAGGCATTGAACCAATGGAATCATCCAGGCCTTGCGACAACTTTTAGCAGCAATTCACCATGATACGTTACTCAAAATTCCTAGACTTCTTCTAAATTAACATTAGCCATCCAATATTTACCACACCAAAGATTTCTTCCTAGTTCCTAGCTAATGATGATGATTGCATAGATCAAGCCCATTTCAACATTTTGCATGATTTATTATCAGTCTCTCAGTGTTATTGTTACTGCTCAACCAATTCACTCCATATGCACCAGTAATACTCATTTCATCACCATTTTTATGTGTTTAAAAGATCTCTGTTTTAAACACATAATTATAATTGTATGCCCCTTCTTTATGTTCTTTCAGCATTCTTAAGTCTTTTGCACTCTTTGTAAATGCTGAAGTTATGTTTCTAACCCTGCAGTGACTTCCATGTTTCTGTACAAACATTGCAAACTTGCCACAGACCAGAAGTTGTAAATTAGTGATGTCTAGATGAGTCAGTTACAGATTAGCCAACATGATATTTAATTGAAAAAATGTTGCCAGTATATTAAAAATCAGACAACTTTTTATGTAAAAATCCAGATTTCTGGTTTCTCTTAAGCCTACATTCTTTCTGCTGCTACCTTTAGATAAGACTTACATTTTCCCGTGTGTGGCAATCCCTGTGACATCTGTGCAACCTGTTTCACTTCATTGAGTTACCTGCCTGACCCCTGTAGATATTTGACATTGATTCAAACCACAGTCAGGGAAATGACTTAGAGACTTAAGCAACCCTGTGTGCTCACCAATGGCACCTACTGGGACCGGCAGAGTTATCCACTTATTCGGAAGCACTGCTTTCTATCTCCGGACAATTATAAAATGAAAGTTTCTAAGTTCAGTAGGTTTGCTAAATCTACCAAAAGCAGTTTTGGAAAGCCCCTGTTTTATTCATTCTGGTACTTTTTTTTAAATTAAAAAATGTATTTTGTTTCTCTTCCCTTATCCTTCCTTTCCCTTGATTTAGACAGGAAAGAGCAATGAGAGGGGAGATGTGGTGAGAGGATCCCTTTCCCTCCTATGGTCTCATTCCTTTGACTGGAGTTCATAAGGGAGTAGGCGGCCTTCATAAGTCTGAAACCCTCTGCTGTGTAGACTACTGACACAGCCCTGTAGAGTGGTCGTGGGAGCCCCTCAATCAGTTGGGTTAAAATGTGTGGCCACTTGCACTTATATTTATCACCTTTTGTGGTTACCTCATAATTCGTCTAAAAGAAGACCTCCCTCTGCTGATTAACAGGCACCCTGCCTTCATCTATAAAAGGTACATAGCCAAAGGACAATAGGAAAGACAAGTAGAACTAGTTAAATGTCACTGAGGTTCAATCCTGATAACTTTGTATAGGAAAGAGGTGGGATGCAGATTGTCCAAGGCTAGACTATGAATTCCACCAGAGCAGAGAGTATGTCTGCCTGCTGCGCCTCTCTGTTGTCAAAGTTTGGCTGAGTGAGTAGCTTGTGAAAAGTAGGATGAATGAGGAAAGGAATGTATGAATTTAGAGGCTGTAGTCATTGCAGGCAGAAGCAAGTTCTCAGATTTGCTGGACATTTCCAGAGTTTGGATGATAGAAGCAGATCTTACACACTGGTAAATTGGAAATGGGTTATTGATATTCAAGGGACTTTATTTTTAGCCATGATTTTCTTGCTGTGAATATTATTTTTCTTAAAATAAACATAATGTATAGTGCTCGTACCTCCTCCTTTATTGATACTTATCTTTTATTGGGCACAGAAAAACAGGAATAAAAGGTAGTCCTTTATTATTGAAATACATTCCATTAAGGTGCACACCAAAAATTGATTAAATGGGCCTTTCTTCTTTTTTCCCCTCTTAATTTTAGATGTCAGTTTTTAAACTTCTTCTCATTTGCATCCAATGCGTCCTCCTAGACAGTTAACTCTTTCCTACAGTTGTAGTCATCTCCATGCTAATGAGGCTCCAATCTATATCTTCTGCCCTGACCTAGCACTAAGCTCTGGATACATACCTTGCATTATCCACAGGCCAGCTCTCCTGAGCTTCTTCAGTGTTGCCTCAACCTCATTGTAATCCATTGGATTTCATCTTTATCTTCCCTAAATGCCACAGTTCTGTCCAGGGCATCACCACTCTCTAAATTCTTTAGATGATGTCTTGGTCCATTTGTGTTGCTATAAAGGAATACCTGAGGCTGGGCAATTTATGAAGAAACAGACACATTTGGCTCATGGTTCAGCAGGCTGTACAAGAAGCATGGTGCCAGCATCTGCTTGTGGTGAGGGTCCAGGCTGCTTTCACTCATGGCGGAAGGCAAAGGGGAGCTGGTGTGCAGAGATCACACAGCAACAGCAGAAGCAAGAGAGAGGGGTAAGGTGCCAGACTCTATTTAACAACCAGTTATTATGGGAACCAACAGCGAGGACTCACTCACTCACTTGCTCAGTAGTACCAAGCCATTCATGAGGGATCCACCCCCATGACCTAGACACCTCCCACCTCACATTAAGCTTTACCTTCCACATTGGAGATCAAATTTCAATATGAGCTTAAGGGGACAAACATCCAAGCATCCAATAGCAGATAATTAACCTCAAAATTATCCTTGACTTGTCCTTCTCATTTACCCTCAGTAGCCTCTGAAATATCTCTTATGTTTGCCTCTTGCTCCCCATGCCCCTTGCTACCATCCCAGGCCTAGCGGTCATTGCCCCAAACCTTGTCCACAGCCATGGTTTCCTAACCCTTCTTGTTTCCAGCCACGTCCCCTCCATTCCATTTTTCTGCCACCAAACTAACCTAAAATGGCCAATTTCATAGTTTCACTCTCTGCTGATCAAATTTCCTGATTCTTTTTACCTATGTTTGTTTTGTGTCATCTTCAACATTTTCTTACATACAGTAAATACTTGCTTAATAAAAAGTACTAAGAGTGATTGAAATAAGGAAGTTCGGTCATGTGAATTCATTGGAGCTATGTTGACTATCCTTTGGCCTAGTTTATAGAAAATTACCAGCTGATTCATATCTCTATTTAAGGAATGGAGAACTTTGCCAGAAATATTTTTATATTGCAGCTGCAAATAAGATAGAGTTTTCATCTGGACCTCAATTTCCTTACCTTACAATAGAGAAAAATGCCACCTATGGATATCCTAGATTTGCTGGAAGTATTACATGTGATGGATTAAGGCACCCAGCATGGGATATCCCACAGATGCAAAATGAATCCTACTTGAGTCTTAGTACAAAAAGATTGAATGAATGAATTTGATGGCAAAATGAAATGATGAATCATTTTATATAAATCACAATTTATAAAATTCAGATTCAACTAAAATTTGGCACTAATTATGACCTCTGTGTTAGGTATATTAACACATACATCATCTTCTCATGTATTCTTAGAAGTAACCCTGTGATACAGGTGGTCTTTTTTTCAATGTACAGACAAGTTTAGCTGAGAAAAGGGAAAATGCCTTACTCCAGGATTGTTGGTATATACTGGAATTAGGGTTTGTCTCTAAGATTTATGATTCCATATCTTTTTGTTTTACATTTTTCTTTACTTTCTTTCTTTTTTTTTTAAGATGGAGTCTTGCTCTGTCGCCCAGGCTGGAGTATAGTGGCACTATCTAAGCTCACTGCAACCTCTGCCTCCCAGGTTCAAGCGATTCTCCTGCCTCAACCTCCTGAGTAGCTGGGACAACAGATGTGCGCCACCATGTCCCGCTAATTTTTGTGTTTTCAGTAGACACAGGGTTTCACCATGTTGGCCAGGCTGGTCTTGAACTGCTGACCTCAAGTGATCCTCCCGCCTCAGCCTCCCAAGATGTTGGGATTACATGAGTGAGCCACCACATCTGGCCTTTTTTGCTTTTTCTACGTATCATGCTCTCAAATATTTTTCTTACCAGTTTTTTTCGTGTTTTTTTTTCACCTTTTAACATGAGCATTGTTAAAATGCTCACGACTTAACGTTTTTACTCTCCCATTGAATTACTTAGTTCACACTCTTTTTCTTTTATTTTCTGTATGCTTATTTTAAAACCTTTGTTCCTATATTTGTATTCTCGGTGGTTCGAAGAGTCTCAAACATTGTCTCAGCAGCAGCATCATATCTTACAAAAGTTGAGGAAATACTGTATTTCCAGCTTAGGAAACTGAAGGTAAGTAGCACAATCAATTTCAACTGGCATCTGTTTCAATGACTCTGTAAATGCAAATGGGTTGTAAAATGTCAGTAAATATCTAGGGAGTTGTTATAAGCTACAGGTAAGTGAATTTTCTACTTTTGAAATGGTTGTAGCCTGCATCATTTGCTGAGTTCCACTTTTTAATACATAGGAATACTGCAGAGACAACATTTTTATGTGTTTGACATTTTATGAAAAAAAATTGCAAGTCATGAACAGCCCTCTTTCTTTCTTAAGCTACCTGAAAATAATAACTATAATTAACTTTTCTTACATTGTTATCAGAAAGGAATAGTCAAATTAGCATTAAACAGATGTAAAGTCAACCTTCATATGGCAGCTGTGTATATAAATTCTCTGGAAGACCTATCGTGCTTAGAGAATGAATTTTAGATATATATTTATTTTATTTTATTTTATTTTATTTTTTTTGAGACAGGGTCTCGTACTTTCGCCCAGGCCGGACTGCAGTGGCGCTATCTCGGCTCACTGCAAGCTCCGCCTTCTGGGTTCACGCCATTCTCCTGCCTCAACCTTCCGAGTAGCTGGGACCACAGGCACCCGCCACCGTGTCCAGCTAATTTTTTGTATTTTTAATAGAGACGGGGTTTCACCGTGTTAGCCAGGATGGTCTCGATCTCCTGACCTCGTGATCCGCCGGCCTCGGCCTCCCAAAGTGCTGGGATTACAAGCGTGAGCCACCGTGCCTGGCCGAATTTTAGATATATATTTAAAATGTCTAATTACTTTAGCTCTTTGGTTTAATGTTAAAACGCCATATTGTTTATAGAATCAGCTTGCTTTCTCAACTAATGAAATATGCATTGAAATTGCTCTATGTGCAACGCACCATGTTAGGTGCTGTGGAAGGGTGCAATTCCTGTACTCCAGAAGCTGACATTTCAGTTAGATGTATATAGCATCCCGCTCTGTTCATATATGCTGGCCCCTCTGTTCGAAATGGCCTTCATCACTTTTCTCCCTCCTTTATCTGGCCAGCTTCTATATATTTCTCAAGGCCCAGCTATACATCATTTTCGTTTTTAACTGACAAATAAAAGAATATATATTTATGGTATACAGTGTGATGTTTTAATGTATGTATACATTGCGGAATAATTAAACTAAGCTAATTAACTTACCTATCCCCTCATATACTTTTTTTTTTCCCGTGAGAATATTTAAAATCTCCCTTAGCAATTTTCAAGGATATAGTACATTAACTATAGTTACCCTTTTGTACAATAGGTCTCTAGGAGTTATTCCTCCTGTCTAACTGAAATTTTGTACTCTATGACCAACATCTTCCCGTTTTTCTTACCCTCCCCCCATTGCTCAACTACTCCCTGCTTCTATAAGTCAACTTTTTAAGATTTCACATAAAAGTGAGATTAGGCAGTATTTGTCTTTCTGTGCCAGGCTTATTTTACTTAGCATAATGTCCCCCTGATTAATCTATGATGTCACACATGACAAAATTTCCTTCTCTTTTAAAGCTGAATAGTATTCCATTGTGTATAGAGACCACATTTTCTTTATTCATTCATGTGATGCTGGATACTTAGACTGATGTCACATCTTGGCTGTCATGAATAATGCTGCAGTGAACATGGGAGTGCAGGTATCTGTTCTGAGTGCATTTCCTTTGGGTATATGCCTCTGCCATGCCTGGCACATTTCTCATTAAGCCTTTGAGATTTTTGCACTCCCTCTCGCTGCCTGTCTCTGCACTCCCCTTGTCTATAAATCTGAATCATTCTCCTAGAACCAAGAACAGAACCAACTACATAATTTGTGGCCCTCAGTGCAAAATAAAATTGTGGAGTCCTTTGTTTAAAAATGAAGAATTTTTAGACAGCGACAGCAGAGCATTAAACCAAGTGTGGAGGCCTTCTGGGCACAGGCCTGTGTGAGACTGCACAGGCGGCTGGATTATATGGTAGTTCTACTTTTAATTTTTTGAGGAACCTCCATATTCTCCAGAATGGCTATACTAATTTGCACTGAATCCCCACCAACAGTGTACAAGGTTTCCTTTTTTCTCCATATCCTTGCCAATGCTTACCTTCTATCCTTTTGATAATAGCCATCCTAACAGGGGTGAGATGGTATCTCATTGTGATTAAAGCTATACTTCTTCTAAGATGCCTTCCTACCTGGCACCTTACTGTCATTTTGCTTTTGGTACCATATGCATCTTTCTATCAGAGTTTATCACAAGGTATTATAATTATGTTTGGCAACCTCCCTGATTGCAAACTTCCCAAATTTATATGACTGAGTCTTTTAGGTTTGTTTTCTGAGTACCTGGTACATGGTATGATCCTAATAAGAGCTTGAGGAATGAATAAAAATGCAACAAACACATAGAGATATATAGTCATAAAGATTAGTTGACAAATGTGGCATGCAATAAGTGTCAAGAATGTCTTATAAAAAGTACTATAGGCTTTAGCGGGAGAGGAAAGGATAGATTGGTGGTCACGGGAAGATTCTTGGTCAGGCTAGCCTCCTAGCCTGTGCCCAGAAGGGCTTCACACTTGGTTTAATGCTCTGCTGTCACTGTCTAAAAATTCCTAATTTTTAAACAAAGGACTCCACATTTTTATTTTGCACTGGGGGCCACAAATTATGTAGTTGGTTCTGTTCTTGGTTCTAGGAGAGTGATTCAGATTTATAGACAAGGGGAGTGGAGAGACAGGCAGGGAGAGTGAGCACAAAAATCTCACAGGCATAATGAGAAATGTGTGAGGCTTCCAGAGGGTCAAGGACAGGCCAGCCTGAAGACACTAGAGGGCTTACGTTGTTGCTCTGAGGCTTGGAAGATGGATTGAGCCAAAGTTTGGACATTTTTCTAGCAGCAATGAGTAACTTCAGATGCACAGGGAGCAGGAGAATGAAGGGAGAGAACTGTAGCCTTATGAAGAGTCATGTGGTGCTGCTATGCAGGATGGAGAGAGGAGCACTGAGACAAAAAAAAACAGGGAAATCAGGAAGCTAATCCAAATGTGATAAGGCAAAAGTGGCAAAGAAAGAACAAAACCGAGAAATACTATGAGGGAAAAATAAATGAAACTTTGACCACATGTGGGAATTGCAAAAAAAAAAAAAAAAAAAGTAGGACTCAAGGAGTACTCTGGACCATCCTGGGGGTGTAGTCCACTCTTGGCAGAATGAAGGAAGAGATGGGCTAGGGGCAGCTTCTTTGTCAAATGAATGATGAGTTCAGTTTTAGACACTGGAGATTATTATTGGAATTTCAAAATAGACTTGTTTATTTTTCACTTAAATATGAATAACTGTTCATGGAGAAGAGAAATTGGAAAAGGAAAGGATTGTTAACAGTGTCAAATATTGCATAAAAACAAGGACATTGAAGACTGAGTAGAGTCCAGTTTCAGAAGAGTGATGAGAACAGCAGCCCAATAGAGATTCTATGGAAATGAACAAAGGTAGCATTTCTTAAATTCATAATCCTCTTGTCCAAACCACTCCTCCTGAATTCCTCATCTCATTGAATGTTACTACTCTCTACCACCCAGTTTCCCATGCTCCTTCCATTATATTCAATCTCTCTCTTCCTCTATAGTCAATCAGTCTTTTCTTCTCCTTTCTGCCTATCAACTGTCTCTGGAATTCACCCACATATCATTATCCCACTGCCACCATCATCACCTTATGCCCTGCCAAGGCAAAGGCCTCTGGGATGGTCCAGTCTTTATTCTCCCCACTCTTCTTATAGTCCTTGCCATCTTATTCTTCTCACTGGAGCTAGGGGGATTTTTCTAAAACTCAAGTATAATTGTGTCACTTTCCACTTATGACTCTGTTAGGAATTGTGCCCTACCAAAAATATTGAAGTGCTAAATCCAAATGCCTATGAATGTGGCCTTATTTAGAAATAGGGTCTTTGCAGACAATCAAGTTAAGATGAGATCATTAGGATGGGCCCTGATCCAATATGACTGTCATCTTTTTTAAAAAGGGGAAATTTAGATGCAAATGTGTAGATAAAAGCAGAAATTGGGGTGATGCCTTTATAAGCCAAGGATAACAAATGTTGCCAGCAAACCCACCAGAAGCTGGGAGAGACACATGGAATAAATTATCTCTCACAACTCTCAGAAGGAACCAGTCCTACAACACTGTAGTTCCATATTTTTAACTTCAGAACTGTGAGACAATTCATTTTCGTTATTTTAAACCACTCAGTTTTTGGTACTTTGTTAAAACAGCCCTAGAAAGTAAATATGGATCCTAAAATGGCTCCCCATTGCTTGCAGGGTGGTGGTTAATTTTTCATGTGTCAACTTGACTGGGCCATGGAGTGCCCAGATACTTGGTCAAACATTATTCTGGGTGTTTTGGTGACAGTGTTTTTGGGTGATGTTAACATTTAACTTGGTAGACTGAGTTAAGCAAATGGCCCTCCCTAAGGGAGTGGCCCTCATCCAATCAGCTGAAGGCCTGAATAGAGCAAAAAGGTTGACCACCCCTTGAGTAAGAGAGAATTCTTCCTGACTGACTGCCTTTGAGGTGAGACTGGCTTTTTTCTCCCTTTAGACTCAAACTGAAACGCTGGCTCTTCCTGGGTCTCAGGCCTGCCAGCCTTCAGGCTAGAACTACACCACTGGCTCTCCTGGGTCTCCAGCTTGCTGAATCGTCATGAAGATCTTGGGACTTGTCAGCCTCCCTAATCACATGAAGCAATTCCTTGTAATAAATCTCTTTATACATACACATACATGCATACATAAATACATACACACACACACACATACACACACATCCTATTGTTCTGTTTCACTGGAAAACTGATTAATACACAGGGCAAAGCCCAAATTCCTTAACACAGTTAAAAGATCCACTATGACTTGGTCTCTGCAAAATCCTCCAGCTTTTCTCTTTCTCTGCACTTTCCCCCAGCTTCGCTCTCTTGACTGCAGTAGCATCCAGCTTTGGTCATATTTTTGACATACCTTTATTTCTCCCACCTGATCTTTCACACATGCCATTCCTTTATGCTTATAGTACATTTCCACCTTTCCTTTCCATGTCATTCTTCATTAATTTATTCAACAAACATTTCTGAAATGTTGGATATGGTGTTTAGAAGTTAATAAAGCAAACACGGCCCTTGGCCTCATGGAATTCCTAGTAGGAGACACCAATATCAAATGAGGCAATAAGTATACCAGAGATGTCAGCAGTATGTTGGAGACCATGAAATAGGTGATAACACTAGCCTTAACACATATGGAAAAGCTGAATTCTAACCCTATAATGAGAGACGCCAAAGAGAAGTAATTCAAATCCCACCATGGACACTCAGCAAAGCTCAGAACTCCGAGGCACCAGATACCTTTGGAGGCAGAGTGCAAGAGGGACTTGAAAAATAGGAAGATTAGTAGAAAGTTTATATAAGGAGCAGTAAGACATTCCCCACCTTATCCCCACCCACATGTTGCTTTATAAAATAAAAAAAGAAACATTCAGAAAAAAAGAGTTTTTAGCTATTGCTATGGTTTGAATGTCCCCTCCAAAACTCATGTTGAAATTTAATTGCCAATGTGATAGTATTAAGAGGTGAGGCCTTTAAGGGGTGATTGGCCATCAGGGCACTGCCCCATGTAGAATTGATGCCATTATAAGAAAGCAAGTTTATCCCAGTCTTGCTTTCTTGCCTTCTTGCCTTCTGCCACGGGATGAGGCAGCAAGAAGACCCTCATAAGATGCTGGCACCTTATATTGGACTTCCCAGCCTCCAGAACTGTGAGCCAATGAATTTCTGTTTATTATAACTTACCCAGTCTGAGATATTTTGTTATAACAGCACAAAACAGACTACGAGAGAAATTTTGAGGTGAAAGCAGAAATAAAACGTTCAATGGAAGTTTTGAAGAAAATGTAGAAAAATTCTCTCTGACAGTAGAATAGGAAGGCTAAGAGGCAGGAAATGGGAGGAAAAAAAGAAAATTAGAAGATTAATCCAAGAGGCATAACATGCAAATAAATGTAATCCCAGGGAAATAGGGCATAGGAAACAGAGGAAAGGAAATGAGAGATGGAGAGAGAAAATATTTCCCAGAACTGAGAGACTTGAATTTCCCAATTAGAAAAGACCACTGAGTAACTTGCACAGTAGATGAAAACAGACTTACACTAGGACAAATCACCAACAATTTTCAGAACACCTGGCATTAAAAAAAATTCTAAAAATTTTCAGAGAGAAACCAAAAATGATGTGAGAGGGACCATAAGTCAGAATGATATCAGATGTCTCAACAGCAACCTTGGAACCTAGAACACACAGGAACAATCCCTTCCAAATTCTGAGAAAATGATTTCCAGTGTGGATTTCAAAGAATGGAGATCGTTTTCAGCTATAAAATGTCTCAAGAAATTTACGTTCCATAGAACGTTTCTCAAGAATCTACTAGAGGATATGCTCATTAAAACAAGGAAGTAGACAAAGAAAGTGGATGGCATGTGGTCCAGAAATAGGAGATTCAGCCTAGATGGAGAATAAAGGAGTCCCCAGAGTGATGAGGTAGGGAAGCTTCTAGAAGGCAGCTGGGCAGCAGGACCGAACAGAGGAAGGGCCTCTCCAAGGGGGAAACAAGGAATGGATTCATTTCTTGATGTTTTAAATTGAATTTTAGCTCTGTTGGAGAGTTTATACAGAATTAGTAATAAGTACGTAGAAACCTAGCATATCAAAAAAAGATACAAAAACATAATGCAAAATATTCCTAACTCAGTTATGAATATTTTGAGTTACTGTAAAAGCTGAGTATTGATTTAAATAAAAGGGTATTATAAACTGTTCTGGAGGATGATGGGAAGGTTAACATGTATATGTTGGACTGGGGGATGTGAGAGGGTCAAATATTTATCTCTCAAGTAGGAAGGAAAAAATATATGAACATATATATACATATACATAAATATATGTAGGTATCTGAACCCAATCAAGATACACCATAAGCATAACATCTAGAAATATGTAATAAAATAACAGAAGAATTAGCTAAAACTGTTCAAAATACTTGGTTCTAGGGAATGGGAATCAGAGGTGAAGGAGTGTGTCGGGAGACTGGTGTTTCATGAGAAGCCTTGAGGTAATATTTGACTTCTAAAACCAAATACATATATTACTTTGATTAATAAATTAAAGAAAACATATGTCCACACGCACAAAATGTACACAAATGTTAATTGCAGCATTTTTATAATATCAAATAGTAGGCAGCATCCAAATATCCATCAGCTGATGAGTAAATAAAATGTGATATATTCATACAGTGGAATAGCATTCTTCCATAAAAAGGAGTGAAGGTCAGGTGCAGTGGCTCATGTCTGTAATCCCAGCACTTTGGGAGGCCGAGGCAAGAGGATCACCTGAGCCCAGGAATTCGAGACCGGCCTGGCCAACATGACAAGACCCTGTCTCTATAGAAAAAAAAAAAATTTAAATATCCAGGTGTGATGGTGCGTGCCTGTAGACCCAGCTACTCAGGAAGCTGAGGCGGGAGGATGGCTTGAGCCTAGGAGTTCAAGGCCTCAGCAAGCTATAATCACACCACTGCACTTCAGCCTGGGCGACAGAGTGAGCCCCTATCTCAAAATAAATGAATAAATAATAAAATGAAGTAGTGACATGTTACAACATGGATGGACCTTGAAAACATGCTAAGTGAAAGAAGCTCGTCACAAAAGAGCATGTATTGTGTAATTCCCTTTATATGAAATGTCCCGAATAGGCAAATTTATAGAGAGAGAAAATAAACTAGTGGTTGGCTGTGGCTGGGAATTTGGGAGATGGGGGTGAATGGGGAGGAATCTCTAACAGGTACAGAGTTTCTTTTGGGGATGATGAAAATGTTCTGGAATTATATAGTGTAATTGTTGCACAACTCTGTTAAAATACAACAAACCACTGAATTGTATACTTTTTAAAGGTGAATTTTATGGTATGTAAATCATATTGCAATGAAGCCATTATTTTAAAAATTAAAGAAAAAAATTAACAATCATACCTAATTCATAGAGTTGTTGTGAGGAATAAATGAAATAATGGATGTTAGGGGTCTAGTCCAGAGCCTGACGTAAATATTAAGCGATTAGTTAACACGTACATAGGATATACTACGTGCCAGGCACTCTTCTAAGTTCTTTACATATATCAATTCACTTACCCCTTGCAACAACTGTCTAAAATAGACACTGTTCTTACCCCCATTTTATAGACTAGGAAACTGAGGCCAGTGCAAGTAACTAATTTGCCCAAGATCACACAGCTAGTACAACAGTAGAGCTGGAACTTGACCCCAGCCAGCTGGCCCAGCATCTTTACTCT
Source organism: Homo sapiens (assembly GCF_000001405.40). Taxonomy (NCBI): domain Eukaryota; kingdom Metazoa; phylum Chordata; class Mammalia; order Primates; family Hominidae; genus Homo; species Homo sapiens. The sequence continues at coordinate 46,185,637 of NC_000013.11, read as the reverse complement.
TCACCACTTTGATGCTCCCTCTCTCTGCCTCCCAGGTCCCATGTCTGGGTTAGTGCTGTGTGCTCCTAGGGACGCTGCTTTTCGTCTGTTGTGCTTCCAAGTAGATAACTCTTCACTTGCCTTTTTTCCTTGTCTGTGTCTTCAACTACAGTGGACATTCTACAATGGCAAGGACTGTACCCATCTTAATTCATCTTCATTCCCTGCCCATGATATGTTGGGATGAGGGTGGGCTGCAGAGTGAAGCAAAGGTGTTTTTCTCTTCATACAAATCCCATGAGTGCATGGAGAGGAAGTGGGGAGAGCTGAAGATGCTAGCATTAAGATGCTAGAGAAACACGAGACAATTGATGGAGCAAGATATCTAAGGAAGTAGAATATTAAGAGTGAGATAGTGTTGAAACACTGACCTTGGGAAGAAAGAAGAATGCCGCTTCCATTAAGACTGAAAGAGAGGAGGAAGAGGTGGATATTGTGGAAGTAGAGAGGAAGCTCATACCAGACGACTTGGATCATCTCAGTCAAGAAGGGGCAACAGAAGAATCTTGGGCCAGGACAAAGCATAGGAGGGTGAAGTGGAAGGTTGAGGCAAGAGGAGAGAGTTTAGAATAAATACCCAACTTTTTGGGGTCTGTGATCTCTTTACTAATACAATGGACCCTTCTCCCAGAAAAAAAGTACATACACACAAAATTGTGCATTTAGTTTTAGGGGTCTATGGACTCCAGGTTGAGAATGCCTGTTCTCAAGACTTAGTAAAATTGAATAGAAGTATTTCTGAAAGTAATTTGAAGTCAAGCATCTTGACTTTTTAGCATTCCAAGTTTGTGTTTCTGTGACTTTCCTCAGCAATATTTAGAGGCCTGAGAGTAGCAGGTGATCTGATATCTGGGACTGAGGCCAGAGGCTTCAGGGCAGGAGAGGGTGGGATGAAGTCTGAGAGGGTGGTAGGGCTTAGAGGAAGGCAAAACCCAGGCCAGGAACAGGTGGCAGTGGAGGCTCATAGAGGGTGGGCTGAGAAAGGTCCACTCCGGCTTCAGGCCATAAGGGGGCGCACTGTCTGTACAGAACATAAAAACGTAAGAAAACCAAAAGTCAGTCTTCTGTTTACTAGTACTATGCTGCACAAGCAATTTAAAACACCAACAGCAAAAAAATACACTTCTCTGAAAAAGTCTTGGTCTAGGACCTAAACAATTGCCTGAAACTGGGTAGACTTACACCAATGAGAGGCAGATAAAGAGATTAAGATTGAGGGAGTAGGGCAGGGCTTGCAATGGTGCCGGCCAGGATGTGGCTGAGGGGGTGTGGGTGCCTGCCGTGGATGCTAGGGTAGAAGACGACTCTATTAACTGGGTGGCTGTAAGCAGTACCCAGGTCAATGCCTTTCATCTTCTACAACCTCGACGTTGCCTGGAATCCTAAATCTTTTTCTTCACTTAACAAACATCACCTCTGCTCAAATCTGCAACTGCTTTGATATCACACTGCCTTTTTCACCCCTCTATTATAGATGGCATTTATTTACTTACATGTTTTTTCCCCACTAGACTATACTCCTTGAGAACAGCGATTGTGTCTTATTTATTTCTGAATCACCAATTCAGACAGGCATGCAAACACTTGCTGAACCAATGCACAAATATATTTTGCTCTTCTTCATAGATTCCTCCGGCCTCAGATGACCAGGCACCACTAGATACAGAACACTGTGCTTTCCTTCTCCAAGGTAAAGGAATAAATATCTGTTCCCCTTCATGAAGTGTTACTGTTGGGCCTTTATGCCATCCTGAAGCCACCAGGATGTGGAACCAGATCAGGGAGGTCCACAGTTACAACCCCTTGTATCTGTAACACCAGCAGGACATTATCTACAGAGTCCTGCTGCAGGGCCCCGAATGAAGACAGCATTTTGCTGCTTTGTAGCGTGAGCAGTGCTGTAACAGTGATGCATGGATGTTCCTCTGGTGTCCTGAAAGAATGTAGGTGCTTCTTGAAAGCTCTCTGCAACTTATTAATTGGGAGTGATTATGCGATGGAGAAAACAGAGTCCCATCACCCCCTCAGTCTTCCCTGGGAAATCACAAGAGGGCTGATAGCTCTCTGTGAGGTGAACCGTTTCTAGAATCCCCACCGTCTCGTCCTGTTCTTCCGCCCACCCAGTTCCTCAAGATAGCCCCTGTGGGCTTCTGATGAAGTCACCACACCACTGGCTAATGAAGTAGATAAACCAGAACAGTTTGGTTTAACATTTAAGGTCAGAAACAGGAACTTTCTAGAGGAGAAATCAAAAAAGCAAAAGAAGTATAAGGGCAGCCCTCCAACCAGTCAGAATACCGTGACCACCTGAGAGGCCCGTGGCCCAGCGGACACGGACGCATGTCAACTCTGGAGCAGATATCTTCAGCGCAGCATCTGACCTGGGAGTACAGCCACATACCCTCATTCCTAAACGGCAGATTGACTACTGGAGTCACACACAGTCTCCGGGCAATGTGGAGACATGTCTAATATTTAGTCAACATAACTCAGGGTGCCACAGTCTTCACAACTGTTGTGAGCACTTGAGGATGCTCCATTTGAAGATAGGAATTTGCCCTCAAGCATCTGGGGTTTGGGTACAGAACAGAGCTTCCCCTGCCACCACCTGCTAATTTTATAAAATGTGCATTCAAAAAAAAATCCTGCCTGTAAGAAGGAATTAAGCTACCCATTTAAATATAACAGCTGCCTGTGCAATCTACTGCTGCTCTTTATAGGAAACGCTTAAATAATTGAGATACTTAATTGGGTTAAAGAGATCCCTAGCACATAGATGTTCTATAAATAAAAGAATGAGTAAATAATCTAGTAACCTTCCTTTTCATGTCCTTCACTTAAAGAGATCGTTCTGTTTTGTTTGCACCAATAAGATCACTGTTAGAGGACTCCAGAGAGGTTTGATTTCAGGTGGGGTGGGGCTTTCCCAAGGAAGTCCCTTTTCATTTGTTTCAGGTGTACTGCCACCTTTTTCCCTGGCTCTTTCACTAAAAATGAAAAATTTGTTGATCTTTGCTGTAAGTAGGTAGGCATCTGGGCTTTGCTTTTGCAACTAGAGTCAAAGAAGTCAAGTTATCAGGCTGATCTTGCCTTGCTATCTAGAATCAGAAAGGTTTAAGTAGCCCAGGGACTACTCAAAGACAGCTGGAGGAGAAAGGGAGAGAGAAAAATGCTTATAAAGAGGTGGGCAAAAGAGCGGGACCTTGTCTCAAAAAAAAAAAAAAAAAAGAGGAAGTGGTAGGAGGTGTCTGAATTTCACTGTGACCTGTTCTGTCAGGTGATTTTTGGTGGGGCGGGGACATGAAAAAAAAGTTAAAATGTCCTTATAAAGACAAAATCTTTTTCTTTCCTGGCTGATGATTTGTCATTCTAGTCACTTCCTGCCTTGTGACCACACACCCAGGCTTGACAAAGCTGTTCTGCAGATCAGAAAGAAGGGGTTCCTGGTCATACACCAGTACTACCAAGGACAGCTTTTTTCCTGCAAGGTAAATGTTCTTCATGTGTTTTTGTTGGTTTTAAGCGCTTGTGATGCACTTCGGCACTGTTTCTGTGGATTGTGGGTTTTGCCTTCAGGGGACCAGAGATCTGAGCATGTCACCTGAGACCTCTGTGATTCCTGCCACTGTCTAACTGGCCAGGACATCTGCCGCCACCTCGCGTGGCCATCCAAGATGGAGCACCTCGGCTCTCTGGGCTGGGTTCTTCTCAACTTATCTGCAGTTATCACCCCTGCCCAAAATTAAGGTTTCTTTTTCCTTTTAAAACCAAACCATGTTCTGGTTTATTTCTATTGCTCTATTTCACGGAGGCTATTTACTGTGATTTTATCTTCTTTAAAATGTTTTCAGGAAAAGCGCGTATTGATAATTTAGATTGTATGGCTTATTGGCCCAATGGGGGTAGTTTAATTTTAGTTCCTGCGGTTCTGTTTTTCTAAAAAACTTCTTTACAGTACTTTAGTGGATAAATTATCTAGAGTCATATGTTACTGAATGTGATACTGGTTATTTGAGTGATTTTTGGCGCCAAGGGTTTTTAATGGGTGTGCTTTATAACCACATGGAATTAGAGGTTTTCTCTTTTCCATTTGTTCTCTAAAAATAAAAGCAATTTGTATAATGCTTAATTGTAGTGTTTTTGTAGGATTGTCTGAATTATTTGTTATGCTTATGACCATATCAATGAATATTCACTCAAATTCTGGGAGAAAGGCTTTTATCTACAATAGAAATTTTTACACAGTTGATATGGGATATTTATTTCAGAAACTGCCCAAACATAGACACTTTGGATTTTGTAGTATAAGCTTTTACTTAATTACCACTATCACATAACACTAAGAACCATTGACAAATGATAACTATAAAAGCCATTCAGACTGGAAATGCGAACATTAATCAGGATGTTTATCAAAACCGAACTTTTCTTTTACACAGCAACTTGTTTTCTAAAATTACTCTGTCAGAACTATCAGTAAGCAAATAAAGGTGGCTTATCCACACACATCTTGATTTTGAATTTACATACATTTGTCATAAGTTTGGTTTCTATTAAGTATAATTGTTTAAAGAATGTCTGTGTAGACAAATTTGAATAGAATTAATCATTTACCTATAAATGTGAATTTCTGGAAACTGCAAAATGTGACCACCAATGTTACTTTGCACATCTCACCTGAATAGTTTCAAACAAGCAAAAATGTGAAACTGAGATAAGAGGGACTTGAACCCCGTAAAAGAACAGACTAAAAATATGTTGTGTCTTATTTTAAGTAAAACTATTAATGAGAATAAAATAAATTCGAATGTGAAGGAATGTCAGTATTTTTCTTATATTTACGAAGGAATAAAAAAGAACTATGCGAAAGTTAATTCAAAATATAAAGGTCCCCTGTTTAAAGTTAAGTTTACATTGCTAAAGCATCAACCCCATATGTTACAAAGATATTCCTCTTCATTCTAGCTCACCCCCAGGAACATCAGGGGAAAAATCTTCTAGGTCTTGCCCTTTGAACAAGCACTGCTGTGGTGGGATGGAGTTGTGCCTAGGAGGACATTTCCTTAGCAATCCCAGAGACCCTTTTCTTTGTAGCATTTAAATTTTTGTCTCTTTTGTAAATTATGCCTTGAAACAATTGGTAATTTGGGAAACAATTTCAGTGCTTTAACTTCATTTATAATTCTATCTCTGAACCCTTTGGGGAAGGGAAGACCAACAAGTAAAGTCTCATTTACTTGTTGTTAAAGTACCATTTAACTTGGAGAGGACAGGAAATTAATAATAGCACTCAATAATTATGAGCACGTAGTGTAAGCAGCTACTCTTTATGCATTACCTCGTTTAATCCTCTCAGCTACCTTTAGAGATAAGGAATGGGCTAGATAATTGAAGGAACCGGCCATAGGTCACTGGGCAGTTGGGGTGGGGGGCAGTAGATGGCCAGGATTTCAGGCTCCTACTGACTGTGTGTGTTACAGATCCTCCCTTCCAGGCCAGCATATTTTTCTCAGAGGTAGGTGATTATAGACTTTTATTACTGAAGCTAGCTAACAAGATCTTGGCACTCACAGTTTTAAGAGAGAATAAAAGAGAGAGAGCAAGAGAAAGAAGAGAGAGAGAGAGAGAAGAAAAACTTTGTAATAAATTTACAAACATTTTTATTTTTATAAATAAGAGATACCATTGCAGGTTTTATATAATAATGGGCTGAAGAACTATTTTTAAATTAATGCATAATTTTACTAAAGAATTGTGTGCCTTTACAAACTTGCCTCGACCCACTTCCCCAATCTTATTTCTTGTCACTTCCTTCTGTTCAACCTCCCACTACCCCATCCCCTCCCCCGCCACTGCTAACCCACATTTTGGTGCACCAGACCACAAGCCACCAGAAAGTTCCATTCTCTTTCACCTTTTTTCACTGCAACTGTTTCTTTAATTGCATTCTTCTTTATTTTTAAAACTTCTGATCATTTTTCAAGGCGGACTTCAAGAAACATACCCTTTTGGAGGCCTTCCCATCTTCTCCCTGCCCCCACTAAATGTTTCTTTGGTGTGCATTTGCTCAATGCTTTGATCTTGGAGTAAGTATAACATTAATCACATTGTCTTAGTTTCAAGTACTTATTTGCTGACAGACCTGAGCTCCTTCTCCATCTTTCCTGGCACATGTAGATACTAAAGGCATTTATTGAATTGAAAATTTGTCACAAGTATTTTTTTTCTCAGCTTCTTACATACGCATGAAAGACTTTGATTGTACTTATTAACTTAATATTTACTGAGTTTCCATTTATTGCTATGAATGAAGATGCAACAATAATATAATATTTTGCATTCTACCATGTTTCAGCTTTACCGAAGCCCTAGTCTCATTTTAGCTTCAAAGTATCATATAGACATTGACCTCAAGAAATTTAAAAAATTGTACAATGACTAACAAACAGGGAAAATTACAATCTCATTTTTTTAGTATAAATACATTGGTTGGGCCAAAACTTAGCTACCCTTGCCAAAACTATATACCCAATAATGGGCCTCTTTGATGACAAAGAACACAAGGGCAGTTGTTAACTTTTACTTAGTCACTTTGGATTATTCTCAGAAAATTCTCAAGTCAACTTCTCCTTGTTACCTAAAGAGTACAGGCCCTTCTGTGTATACAGGAGAGATGGCAAGCAACTTTTAAAATCAGCTTAGGTAAAATAAAATTAAGAAATCTGCTTATAAGGTTATACTTATGAAGAGTCAAACACTTATAAAATAAGATTATAAAGGCTTGGACTTTATTACTAATAGTAGATTTTATAGTAGAGTGACATTATTTCAGTTAATCTAATTTTCTTCCTAGTGTTTTTTTATCTGCTAGTTTCCCAACTTACAGATATCAAATGAAATGATACTATTTCATCTGTATACTGAACACTGCAGAAATAAACATTAGAATTAGGACACATCAAAATATAAAACTAATCAGTGTCCACAGATTTGAAGAGTTTCAAGTGTTCCTATTTTGCCAGATGGAAGCGCACTCCTTAAAAAAGTGTTAATGTTCTACAGGGTCTTCATTTTGAGGCTCTCGGAAGTCACCTCCTGATTAGATGTTGGTTTCCTAGGGATATCTCCCTATAGCTGCTGTGGCCGTGGTGTTCCCCAGATGGCATCTCCTTGTTGCTTTCCTCAGTTCCCTTCTGATCCAACTTCCTGCCTTATACTATTGACTGTTCCTGTTGTTTTGGTTTGTCAGTTTCAATGCTTACATCAGTCTGCCCAGAAATTGCATAACTGCTCCATCTTGTAAGATATCGGTGGGGGATGGGGGGGAGTGGAAGGCGCTTCAATTAATCATCCTAATAATAACGTTAATACTTACATTGAATCAGGTGTTTTTCTAAGTGCTTTAACCCTATGAAAGCATTTAGTTGTCATACAGTCCTGTGAGGTAGTGTCTGGTGTCCTCTTCATATTTGAAGGCAAGTTCATTCATTCACGTATTTTATTTAATTTTCTACAATTGGATCAATTTTGTCTTAACTGTTGAATTTCAAGGCAACTTCCTGGAATAAACAGGTAGCAAACCATGGTGCTTATTTGTAACTAAGCCCTCAAGTTGAGCTCAAATAATCATAATACTTCCCCAAATAAATGCATCTATATGATAAGTGCTTTTATAAACAAATTATTCTGTGTCATCATATCATCATCATCATCATTATCATCACCATCAGCAGCAGCAGCAGCAGCAACAGCATCAGTAGTCAGCCCCTCTGTACACTTGACTGAGTAGAAGTTGGTTGTTAACAATTACAGGCCTCTGCATGGGTCACAAAACATGATCTCCACCCTCAAAAACTTTAAAAGGTTCTTAGTCTTTTGTTTGTTTGTTTGTTTGTTTTTTGAGACAGAGTTTCACTCTGTCGCCCAGGCTGGAGTGCAGTGGCGCGATCTCGGCTCACTGAAACCTCTGCCTCCTGGCTCACCCAGGCTGGAGTACAGTTGCGTGATCTCGGCTTACTGAAACCTCCGCCTCCTGGGTTCAAGCGATTCTCCTGCCTCAGCCTCCCGAGTAGCTGGGACTACAGGCGCCCACCACCACGCCCGGCTAATTTTTTGTATTTTTAGTAGAGACGGGTTTCACCTTGTTAGCCAGGACGGTCTCGATCTCCTGACCTCGTGATCTGCCTGCCTCGGCCTCCCAAAGTGCTGGGATTACAGGCGTGAGCCACCGCGCCCGGCCTTTAAAGTTTAGAATAATTTTAGTCAAGTGGCATTCACATTTTCTAGTCTGTTGTGACTGATAGACATGAATAGATTAAACATTCTACTTTTTATACCCAAGTACACATATCTATGATTGTATAGTAATGGCCAAATATAAGTGTCCTAAAAACTGAGAAAGAATGAAACATTGCTTTAAATGTTAGTGGAAGAAGAGAGGTAAAAGTGAACCACTTACTGGGTTTAAGTAAGTTTTGCTCAACTTCAGAGCCATGGCTGTGTCAGCCCCACTTGCAAGTACAAGGAGCCTGTTACTCAAAGATGGTCAGTTGTTCTTTCTGGCGGAAGGAAAAGCTATGTTAAATTGGGGAACTAGCAAACCCACAGTTCTGTGGTTGCAGCATTGATTCTTATTTCAGCATCTGTTACATGGACAGAAGGGAGGGTCTCCCTCCCTCTCTCTCTCTCGCTCTCTCACACACACACACACACACACACACACAAATAAACACACATACACGGAAACACACACACACACTCACTCACACACTCCTTCTTGACTGGATAAGCTAAAGTGAAAAAGAGATTATGTTTTCCATAGCAGAAAAGCTGACACCAAATTCAGCAAGCAGATTAATTATGCATGTGAATTGCAATCTCCCAGATAATTTGCTTTCCTTCTTTTTCTGGTTGCACTTTCTAGAGGGAAGTGAATTAATGGAACAATTACCTTGTATTTAAATAATACCCTGCATTTTGTTTCCTCAGTCTGGTAGTAGTCACTAAAATTTATCCAAGCTATGTATCCAAATGTGTGAAGTAAAAGGATACACAAATGTTATTTGTATAAAATTTGCATATTTTCCCTATTCAGCATTCCTTAGGCAAAGTTTAAAATTAGAAGTGGATCTTTATTAACCTCAGGTGCAACTTTTTTTCCATAAAAACCTTTTATAATAATTCATGAGATTATAATAGATGTGTGTGCATTCAATATAGCTTCCATCCTGAAAATGTTTTTTCAGTTTTTATTTATTTTTAAATTGACATATAACGGTATGTATTTATGGGGTACCTAGTAATGTTTCAATACATACAATGTCTAGTGATGAGATCAGGGTAATCAGCATATCCATCATCTCAAACATTTTTTATTTCTTGTGCTGGAAACATTCAATCGCCTCTCTTCTAGCCATTTTAAAACTATGTACTGTTAACTATAGTTATCCTATAGTGCTATAGAACATGAGAGCTTATTCCTCCTGTCTAGCTATAATTTTGTATCTAAACAAATCTCTCCTATCCTCCACCTTCCCCCTACCCTTCCCAGCCTCTAGTAATCTCAGGTGTAACATTTAAAAAGTAGATCCTTTGTACCTCCTTGACATCATCTGCTCATATCACCCTCACCAGAAAGGCCAGCTTGAACAAAGAAGAGTGGGATATAAATTCTTTATAGAGAAAGCTAGGTAATAGGTGCAAAGTGGGAGTAAGGAAAAAAGAGAAGATCATGCCTGTAGTTTTGCACTGTTGAGCACTCTTTTGTCATCTTAAAAATGCGAACTGAACTTCCCCCACTGTTTCTAATGCTTTATAAACAGTTTTAAAGTTTCCCTTTGAAAATATGGAATATGGTAGGCACCTTGGAAAACTTTGGATTTTTTCCTTTTCTTGCTGTCATTCATGTTGGGACTGTTCCTCAAAATATCATGGATTCTGTTTCTTTTCTGTGACCACTGAGAATGACAGTTGTGATACTTCATCTACCTGGTGATGTTCACACAGTTTTTCTCCTCCCTCCGTACCCACCCTACTGTTCACTGCACGCAGTTCTTCCTCCAGTACCATATCTCCAGTACCAGTTCTTTAAAGCTGAGTGTCTGCAGCTCCCAGGCACAAAAGAGGCAAATGTGGTATAAAGAAAGGGGAGCAAAGGTAGAGACAGATTTGGATTTATATTCTGGGCTCTTGGTAAATGTGGAGGCTGAGCAAGTCTCTGGAGCCTCTGAAGTTCAGTTTCCTCATCTATAAAATCAGGCAAGTGCTATCTACTCGCTAGGTGTGATGTGGGTTATTTTCCCCTTCCATTTTCCCATGTTGTCGTCTAGGTAGATATGGAGCATATCTACTCCACCCAGCGTCACCACTGACTTACTGAGCCCCTAATATTTACTAGGCATCATGCCAAACGCTTGAAAGATAATTACTCTTTTATTTTCATACATAGCTAGGTAAAGTTGTTATTAATTATATCCTTATTCCAGATGACCAAGCTGAGGTTCAGGGAGGGTTAAGTGACTTGTCTGGGGTCACAGAACCAGTAACTGGCAGAGTCAAGATTCACACCTTTCCTCTCTCTCATTTTATGTTGGCAGTTTCTTAAAAGTATAATCCATGTCTATTTAAACTGTTTTGTATCTTCTAACATGATCCACTAGTTGCTTCCTGATAATATGTCTATATACTTTTTTGTGTTTCCATGATTATTGAATGATTATTTGTAATTCCACATTTTCTTTCTTTTTTCTTTTTTTTTTTTTTTTTGAAGATGGAGTTTTCGCTCTTGTTGCCCAGGCACAATCTTAGCTCACTGCAACTTCCGCCTACTGGGTTCAAGAGATTCTCCTGCCTCAGCCTCCTGAGTAGCTGGGATTACAGGCACACACCACCACGCTCAGCTAATGTTTTTGTATTTTTAGTAGAGACAGGGTTTCACCACATTGGCCAGGCTGGTCTTGAACTCCTGACCTCAGGCGATCCCCCTACTTCGGCCTCCCAAAGTTCTGGGATTACAAGTGTGAGTCACTGCACCCGGCCTATAATTCCACATGTTCTATCAGGAAGAGATCCCAAGTCTCCTTTTGTTAGGTCGGCTGGTATACCAAACATATTTGAGAAATAAATATAAATGCTTGAGGATTTTATGGTGGGAAGTCTTTAAAATAATAGCTGTGAAGATATTAGATTAGGCTATTTAGGCACTTAAAATTTTGATAAAAGAAATGTTATACATATTCCATTGTACGTTGGTATTGGTAAATATTTACCAACTAAACTGTAACTTTTAAAAAAAATGAAGATAAAGAGAGCCCATCAAATTAATACAAATTTCCTGTCTCAATTTATCTGTAACTTCTCCTTTTGTTTTTTTCTGCAAATAAGCTTGTCATTAGAGATTCTAAAATCCAAGAAGCCTATTGAGAATGAGATCACATTATTACAAATAAATAGAAGTTTCTGTTATCATTGCTTGTATACAAATGTCTGCTGTACATTGTCTCACTGTTTTTCAGCTCAGACTACAATGGTAAAAATGCCTGGAGAATTAGAGAGTGGAGAGGAGGTAGAGTGTAGTGCAGGATAACAGAATCAGTTCTGAGCATTGGTGCATCTGACAGAGAGGAGATGTTGCCCAGTGGTCCTCATCACAGATGCCCAGAGATCTCTTTTCTTTTCATGGCTCATAGTGTATGTGGTTGGGCTTTTCTTAAGATTGCTGTACATTTTTCCACTCTGGCCATACTTCCTCAACTGTTAGAAGGTACTTTCCACTGTCAGTACTCAGGCAAGGCAAAGCCCGGAGCCCCTTCACCACTCAGGATGAGCTAATACCAATGCTGTTGGCTTTGGGTTGGTATCATGTACCAGTTCTGCAATACCTGACTTCAAGGACTCCGAATAAGAAATGTGGTACCAAAGCCAAAATAAGCCAGACTGAGAACATTAAAACATAGAGCATGGATGTGAGATCTAGATTTACACCCACACAAAACACATAGTATACAACACAACTAATCTTTGCTTTTAAGTTGCGACTTGACAATATTTCCTACAGTTTATACTAGAAATTGGGATTTGTTCTCCAAGATAATTTTGCAAAAGTTCTAGTTCTTTTACATTTTCTTTTAACTTCCTCTGTTCCTTCCCTTTTCCTTCTTTCTTTCCTTCCTCTCTTCCTCTCTTTCTCCCTTCAGTCACCAGGCACTGTTGTATATATTTTAAACACTCTGTCTCACCTAATCCTAATGCTGCCCTATGAAATGAACGGTGTGATTGCATTATTAGCACCCCTTCTTTAAAGATGAAGAAACTGAGGCTCGGAAAATTTAAGTAACACATTCAAATACACACAGCAAAAAATAGTTGAGTCAGAAAATTCAGCATTTCACCATACCATGTCACTGCCTAGTTGATTCATTTTAAAAACAATATATAATGATCCTAATTTCATAAAGGAAGCGAGGAACATTAGCTTTTGTTTGGAATGCCTTTACATGGGTGTATCCCTGTATCCTAGATCCACACATCTAAGAAGTAAAGCACATTTCATGGACCGTGCATCTCAAAGGTTTTTTAAATAAAACTTTAGGTTCTTAAAATGCCAACTGACTTGTGTTTTTCCCACGCATTGCTTCGACCAAACTAAGACTCCAGAGGTTCCACTTACTTCTCTTTTTGGACCAGTCACTGACTTACTTTGAGACTTTGGGGAGTGACTTCACCCTCCAGGGCCCCTATTTCCCCATTCTAACATGTTCAGTTCCCTCCTGTCTTTGCAGTATTTTCTAAATGGGAGATAATGACATAAGGAGAAAGCTATGCACACACAAACCAAAATGGTTTCCGGGCAGAATTATTTTGTTGTTTGTATTCACATTACCTGTGGTGAGTGGAGTATAGCCTGCATCACCGAGGTTTTGCCTCTAGAAACAAGAGCTAGTGAGAACGAGCAGCACGCTGACACCACCTCACCAACCTCTCATCCTGGAGGTCTCCTCCTGCATCCCTGTCTGTAGCCACACCCAACCTGCCACAGCTTCCTGTGTGTGCTTTTGCTTTGCACTTTGTAGAGCTATTTTCTCTTTCTTTTCTTTTCTTTCTTCCTTTTTTTTAATGTAATGGAGCCTTGCTCTGTGGCCCAGACTGGAGTGCAATGGCGTGATCTCAGCTCACTGCAACCTCTGCCTCCCGGGTTCAAGTGATTCTCCTGCCTCAGCCTCATGAGTAGCTGGGATTACAGGCACCCATCACCATGCCTGGCTAATTTTTGTATTTTTAGTAGAGATGGGTTTTCACCATGTTGGCCAGGCTGGTTTTGAACTCCTGACCTCAGGTGATCCACCCATCTCAGCCTCCCAAAGTACAGGGATTACAGGCGTGAGCCACCATGCCTCGCCCTGCAGAGCTATTTTCTCTGCCTGAAATGCCCTTTTCTATTTTGTCTGTTTGGAAAACTACTGGTTCCCTAAGACTTAGCTCAGTGGGCAACATCACCTTCTCTGGAAAACCTTCTTTTGCCTTCCCAGGCAGAGTTAAATACAGTTGTTCCATGGTATCCACAGGGCACTGGTTCCAGTAACCCCCTCGGTACTAAAATCCATACATACTCAAGTCCTGCAGTCAGCCCTGTGGTACCCACATGTACGAAAAGTTGGCCCTTGGTCGCCCTGAGTTTCGCATTCTGCGAATACTTGTATTTTCCATCCACATTTGGTTGCAGATGCTGACCCTGAGGACAATGAGGGCTGACTGTATTGAAGAAAATTGCGTATAATTGGACGCACACCATTGAAACCTGTGTTGTTCATAGGTCCACTGCACTTCATTCTCTGTGCTCCTGTAGCTCCATGCAAATAATATCTTTAAAATATTCATATTAGTGTAGTCTTGCATTTGCGTGACTATTTTGTTTACTGGACTGTGTGCCCCTCAGGAGCAAGGATTCTCTGCTGTTCATCTTGGTATCTTTAGTACTTAGGACAAGGTATGTGCTTTATTAAATGTGAGTGAATGACTGAGGTGTGGAGGCCACGGGCAAAGAGGACCCTTTTCTCCACCAGTGGCAGGGGGGACACAGGCAGAAAAGATCAAGCCTGGTTGTGTTCTTGCTCTTCTTAATACTTCCTTTAAAGATGTTGAGAAACCGAAGACACATTTAGAACTTCCCTAAAGAGCCTAGGAAGGGCCCAGTCCTAAGTAAAACCTTGCAGAAATATGTGTTTCCCTAATTAACATGAGGTCAGAGCTTTGACCTTCAAGGGCAACCCCAAAGGATGGCAGGGAAACTCGAGATACAGGAATCCCATAGCCAGAAATGATAGGAAAGGCAGGAGGCCACTCCAGTTTATAGCTGTGCGACCCTGGGCCAGCTATTTAAACCTCAGTTTCCTCAAAGTGGGAATCATAGTAATACCCTATAGGATTGTGGTGAGAATTAAATGTGAATGCATGTAAAACATTTAGCACTGAGTTAACCACTCATTAATGTTAACGGCTATTATTACTGACCAACTGGTCTTTTCATTTGTTCTTTAGCTATTTGCCCTTTCTCTGACTCCAAATAGATAGGCTTTCTATAGAGAGAGCATGGAGTCTCTGATGAATGAAGAAAAAAACAGACTGATCTTTAAGCAATCTCCTACTGCTCTGTTGAAATCTAGGTCAAATGTCACTTCCTCTAGGGGGCCGCCTTTGGCTCTCCAGGGGAGAGCTATTTTTTCCCTCTTCCTGTGGATCTAAAAAGTTTCGCTGTATTCTAGTTACTGTGTCTCTCTCCCCTACTCAACAGGCCAAAGCCACGTCTGTGTGTTCTCAGCATCTAACACAGGACCTGGCATATAGTAGGTGTTTGGCAGATGTCTATTGAAGGAAGAAATTTACAAATGTATGAATTTTTTTAGTGACAGACATTTAGAATTACTGGGGGATGAATAGCATTGTTCAGATAGTGAGACGCAAATTACATGCAGGTAAATGCTAGCACCTATATTTCCAGCTTGCTCCTTGGTACACCGCATATGTGCATCCCAGGTGGGTTTGCCCCTCATTCAGTCACTGCTCTGTCTCCAAGGTTCCTTTCCCTCCCACCTCAGCAGCGCTCAGCTTACAAGCAGGCCCTACAGAGTTGGATAGAGACCCACTGCCAAGCATTACCGGCAGCCAGCAGGTTTTACAGCAACAGTGCCAAGAAGCCCAGCCTCAGGATCTGCAATCTCAGACAGAATCGCTTTTGCGGCTGGCAAGGTAGGGCTAGGCAGCAGGCACAGGTGCCATTTCACAGACTACCTCGGGCCAGCAGCTGCCCTTTAGACACCAAATTAACTCACCAAAGTTGTCTTTCCAGCAAAGTGGTTTAATGTGAATTTGAAGCATTTAGTAGCCTTGTTTTGGGTGTCTGTACCTTTCAGTGGATGGGATTGTCTAAGTATGTACACAAGAATATTATTGTTAAATTCCTCAAAGAAGGTGATAGGGGACTTTTCAAGTCCTGTATACCATTAGGTTATGGATTGTTTTGTTCATGTACACAGCTCATTTACTGAGTACCTCACATGGGCCAGACACTAATCTGCTAGGAGAGATGAATGGTAACAGGGACCACACTACAGAGATCTGGACCAAAGCTCAGAGGAAGGGCTCACTGATTCTCCCCAGCCTCCAGAACAGGATGCCTGAAACCATGATGATTGTTGCGATAAGTCTGAGGGTGTCATTTTATTATTGATCTATGAATTTGGCTGTCTTGTCTTTTGAACATTTCATCTCGTGGTGAGTTGTTTTAATTGGGTTTGCTCTTTGGTTGCTAAGGAAATTTGGAGGGCCTTAGTGCAAGGTCAAGAATCAATGTACAACAAGGTGTGGTGGTGCACGCCTGTAGTCCTAGCTACTTGGGAGGCTGAGGCAGGAGGGTGGCTTGAGTCCAGGAGTTCTGGGCTGTAGTGTGCCATGTCAATTGGGTGTCAGCACTAAGTTTGGCATCAATATGGGAGCAGGGGACCACTAGGTTGTTTAAGGAGGAGTGGGTGCACTGGCTCACACCAGAAATGGAGCAGGTCAAAACTCCTGTGCTGATCAGTAGTGGGATCACACCTGTGAAGAGCCACTGCACTCCTGCCTAGGCAACATAGTGAGATCTGTCTCTTTAAGGAAAAAAAATAGAATAAATGTATAGAGACAAATGCAGGGGGTAAGAATCATCGTGACCTAGAAGATGCCAGTGTACACAATATTTGTATGTGATTTGGCACATGTTAATTGCAGCCTAAACCTGAACAGTGCCTTTGCCATACCTAGAAAAATTCCCCTTCATGTACAAGAAACATACATGAAATTATATTCGTAAGACATTTGAAATCTTGGGGGATTGTTCTTACTATATGTGAAGAAGGTCTTAATTAAAGAGAAGAGTCCTATCTTAGGGTTTAAAACTTATTAAAGAGGAAAGAAGAGAAATAAGGAGGCCTGGACTCTGGTCCCAGCCACACCTCCAATAAGCTCTGTGATGTTAGGCATGTCCTTTAACTTGGGTGTCATTTCATGCCTCTGTGACAGGGGAGTGGCCAGATAGATCATCTCTAAGATCCCTCCACCTCTACATTCTATGACTGCTATTCTTACTACATTCATTCTATAAGGAAGTTGGCATAGACCCAGAAGATAGCAAAGAAAACTATGAAAGATTTGGAGAATAAGCCCTAAAAAAGCAGGTTACAAGAATATAAAGAGACCAAGGCATGTGATGGAATCTTTATGAATTGAACAGCTCCTGTTATTTCCTCTGAGAATAGCCCAAGAGAGACCTTCAATCGTATCAGAAAAGATTTAGGTTACAAAGTAGGGATATGAGACACCAGAGAGGTTGTAGGATTTCCTTATTTGGATATTTTTAACAAAATAGTAGATGACTCTCTTTCTGGGACAGTTTGAGTACCGTCTTGCCTAGAAACTAGGAGTGAACTGGATCAACGTGTCTTAAGCTGTGTGTGGTAACATCCCATAAAACAGGTCTCACGTGCTGCTCTGGGAACTTCCCTGATCTGTGCGGGGGCAGTCCAGCAGCTAGGCAGCTGAGCAGAGCGCATCTGCCTGGGGCCAGTGAGGAGAATGCATCTAGACAGAGCTTTTCGTGCTGCTGAGGTAAGAGCAGGAACACAGCCCCCCAGCCCCCAGGAGCGAGGCTGGGCTGGGAGCTGCCCACTCCCTCACTTGCTCCATTTCACAGAAGGCACCTCCGAGCCAAAGCTACAGCTGCTGATGGCGCCAGCAGCTATTTCTCAGCTCATTTGCAATACTTTCTAATCTAGCTCTAATTTGTATGTATACTTGTCAGCTACTGCATAGAATTTTGGAACTTTTAACATAGAACGGACTCCGCTTCTCAATTTATGAATGAGAAAACTGAGTCCCATAGAGGCAAGATGGAGCCTAAAGTTACACAGCCTAGGTCTCCTGACTGCCAAGCTTGGCACTTCCTTCTATTTCCTGCCAGTTATTTCCATTTTGATTTCTTTGGAGATGTTCAAGTATATTAATTGTCTCAATATCTTAATTGCCTGGGCTGCTTTAGGTATTTTATATTTTTATTTTTTTGATAAGCCTCTGTGCTAATTTCTTACACTTATCTAGTTTTATTTTTCCCTCAGAGCCTTGTGTTTAACCTTTTCACTTGTTCGTTTTTGATCGTCAGAACTCTTTTCATTGCATTAACTATTTCACAGTAAATTAGCTGTAATCCATGTGCTGCATTTGAAACTTGATATTTAACTGTGGGCTTCATGCCTGAAGCCCCTCACCAACCCCCTAGCAGCCAGGGCAGTACTTTGCATACAGACACATATATGGAGTGAAAGAATGAATGAATGGCATTTGATATCAAGGTAATAGTGCAATCATGGTTAAACAGCTAGCCCATAATATTCAATTTATTGAAAAGATGCATTTGGGGTACTCTGAGCTTTCAGTAGGGGAAAGTCTGGATCTTAAATTGCTTCTGGTAGAATGTGGGCTAAAGGGTAGCTGTAGAATTTAAAGATGTTAGTATCAGGAGCATCACTGTCTAAAGCTCAGGGAAGGAGAGAGATGCTAAGGCACAGAAAGGCCTCCCCAAGCCCCAGCCTGGAGTATCCCCTTTTCTTGCAGGAGGCTTGTTCTTGTGTCACACCCTTAATGGGATTGGGCAACTTGGTAGAAAACAGAGGTATCAGGAATGTACTAAGGGAGAGAAGGAAGGAATGAGAACTCCTTAGCTGGCGACAGAGCCAGGCTCTGTAAGATGTGCTACACAGCTTCAGAAGCCCCTCGGTGTAGTGGTCAAACCAGAGGTACCCAGAGCAATATGAGGTTGATGAAGTTTGGAGTAATCTGGATTGCTAGCTTCCCATAAGTGTTTATGTGGCCTGAGATAATAGTGTCAGAGGAGAGCCGTTGAGTCTCTCCTCCTGAATAGCCTTCCCCCTACCTTCCACCCTGTGGCATTTACATCAGAGCCTGCAGAGAGAAGAATTCTGTAGGCTTTGAGAGAATCCATGTATCTGCAGGGAGAAAAAGGACAATCTGGAGGAGATTCTGACTTGACAAAAAGATTCATCAGAGTCCCTTTAACTGGCCATCTGTTTTTAAGGCCATTTATAATTATTTGGTTTCTTAAAAACAAAGTCATTTTAAAATTATATTTTCTGAATCATCCTTTATGTAAAAGTTAGTCATATCTGTATCCATAGAGATATGATATCCCAAGAATATATAGTAAATTCCATATATTCGCAAAGTAAGATCTCCTACAGTGGTCTACTTTATAAAATGAAGGGGACAGGATTAAGTAAAAGCAATGTTTTTTCCTTAAATAGATTAATCTTGATGGCTTTTTAAAAATGTATGGGTATTTTATTTTGCTTCATAGTCCTACATATTTTATTTTTCGTTTCTTTAGTTGTCATAGTCTAATGCTAAAGCTTACAATATTAATGTTATTCTAGATGATGTGTTCTTTTGGATTACTGATTGTTCTTGAGATGTTTGGAAGTTGTATAATTTCCCCTCTGGAAATGTACTGAAATTTATTGAGGCAGAGCTAGGAACTTGAGTCCTGAGTGTCCGGTTTGACTTTAACTACTGAATCAAGTTGCAGGAAAAGTGGGGCACATTCAAAAGAGTCCCTTGGCAAGGTGATACCAGGTCACAGATGCCTCCCTGATCCTGGCAGGTTATATGATTCAGCATCAGTATATTGAATCAAAATACTGACTAGCCCAGCACTACCATCTTTCAGAAATGATTCCACCCCTTGAGCATCTCTCTCTAGACAGGTCACCTTTTCTAGCCTTTCTGCTTTTAATTATCAGTTATGAAACTCCCCAGAGAAAATTCCATTTACATTTTTACATTTACTTTAGAGGATGTTTTTTCTTCTGTAAATTCTGCAGCACTGTGTTCAAGAGTAAACTCCCACAAATTGTTTCTATATTCAGACTTTAGAGAACTTAAGTTCAGGTACTTTTATGATAACTCATCCTCAGAAATTCCCTTCGCTACTGACTTGGGAAATACCAGCACCCTTTAAGCAGAAACTCAAAACTCACTGATTTAAGAAATGAACAGGCTTTGTGGCTTTTGCAGTTTGAGGTGGGGCTTTTTTTTTCTTAAGGTTTTAAAAATAATATAATTTTTTAAAATGAACAACCAATGCTTTTTTTTTGGCCAACGTCTTGAGATTCTACAACTATTGATTTAATAAATTTAAGTGCTCTCACATGCACTCACACAAAAAACTAGCAGCCCAGACGTGACCTTGATGAATGAGTTGTCTTTTTATAATAGATTTTTGATTTGGGCAGTAATTCAGAAGGGGATTTCCCAGATTGACCACGGATTTGCAGAAGACCTGAAAATGGTTTGTGGCAGGGCATATTTAGATGATGTAGTCATTAAAAAGGGCCACACTCAATGCAGGAGCAGTCGGGCAGAGCTGAAGAAACCACTCACTTATACCTTGGAAGATACATGCTTTCTTTAGCCCCTCCTTTTAAGCTCCAGATGCCTCAGCATGCCCATTACTGCAGCAGTATCTGTATAGTTTGCTGCCTATATGGTGCCAGTAATTTGCAAACTAAAGCCATCACCAACTAATCTTACTTATATTACTTATTAATCTTATAATATTATCATAACCCATATTTTCAAATATGCGTGAATTAAAATGGGTGCATTTTTGTTTTTTTTTTGTTTTTGAAATGGGGTCTCGCTCTGTCACCCAGGTTGGAGTGCAGTGGCATGATCTCAGTTCACTGCAACCTCCGCTTCCTGGGTTCAAGTGATCCTCCCACCTCAGCCTCCCGAGTAGCTGGGATCACAGGCATGCACCACCACACCTAGATAATTTTTGTATTTTTGGTAGAGATGGGGTTTCACCATGTTGCCCAGGCTGGTCTCGAACACCTAAGCTCAAAGCAATCCGTGCACCTCGGCCTCCCAACATGTTGGGATCACAGGCATGAGCCACTGCACCTGGCTCAATGTCTTTCTTAAAAATGATCTGGTCTGCCTGTTTTTACACTAATTATGTCCTCTTCCTGCTGCTTTGCTTTGTGAAATTACTGCCCTTTGCACATTCAGTTTAATTACTTAAAGGTCTCTGCTCAGTTATGGACCTTAGGGGCCCTTTTAATGGTAACTCCATCCTTTTCCTGCTCTGCTCATCAGCACCTGCATTTACAAGCTCCAGCCTGGCATTGCCTTGAGAATTTGTACATGGATAAAACATTTCTTCTCATTAGAACTTCAGTTTCCTTATTTATAAAATGAGGACATTGTAATAAATTATTTATGAGGTTCCTTCTGTCTCCAAAAGTTAGGTTGTGTTTCCAGGATATGCTGCTCATGCTGATGGTAAAAGGGACTCTCTCCAGATATCTATTCATGTTTCTGCCCAACAACAACAAACAGTATCACAGCAATGTCAGTTGCTGATTATCCCTTCTCCACTTTACCTTTTAAACTAAGTTAATCCACTTCTCTTTTGCATTTGCTGTTAAATCACTGAAGCATTTTGGATTTTTTAAATTTAAAGGTGTTCTTGCTGTTTGACTTCTCTGAGTTTATCCTCTCCACTCATAAATCTCGTAGAAAAATATTGTTACAGATGCTCAAGGCTTTTCATCTTGACCTACCTGCTGTGGTTTAAAAATAATATGATTTTAAAATACATGTACTTTCTATGTCTTTTAAATGAATGGGCCACTGCAATTTTTATGGTAAAAAAAATTTCCCATTATACCATGATCTTTAGATATTTTTTAGATTTTCTTTTTTTACCCAACACTGTAATTGTTTTGTTTCTTCATTGGCCCTACTTGTGACACTTAGAATGTAGTCTTGTTCTCTGCTTCTACTTATATTTATCGCTAGCTGCTGATAGCGCTCTAAAATCTAACATTCTTGTGTCAAGGGATAAGGCCAGGTTTAGAGTCAGAGATCTTGTTTGTCCTCCTTACCTTTGACATTGTTCCATGCTTTCAGGATAACTAACTGGGTCAATATAGACGTGCTTACCTAAAATGAAGAATAGCACCTGGCTTATAGTAGGCATTCATAAAATATTTGTTAAATGAATGAATGTATCTTATAATCCCATAAACACCTATGAACCAAGAGGTCTTAAGACATTTAAAAACATGAAGGGCTGGACAGCCGGAGAGCTGGAGAGCCTTCTATTCATGCATATGTGGATATGGTAGAGGGTATAGAAGAGACCTAAGCCAAGTTAGTCACAAGGATTTAGCAAAGTATATTAATACAAAGTTCTATACTAATTCCTTAAAACAGAAGCCTTGATTTCTGAGCACAGGAAAGCAAAAGCTTTCTACTAGAATGACTGGACAAGCTCACTATATTGTAGTTTTAAAAATCTCCCATGGGGCTATCCATAGTCCATATACTTAATAACTCATTGTTTTTTTTTTTTTTTTTTTAATTGATCATTCTTGGGTGTTTCTCGCAGAGGGGGATTTGGCAGGGTCACAGGACAATAGTGGAGGGAAGGTCAGCAGATAAACAAGTGAACAAAGGTGTCTGGTTTTCCTAGGCAGAGGACCCTGCGGCCTTCCGCAGTGTTTGTGTCCCTGGGTACTTGAGATTAGGGAGTGGTGATGACTCTTAACGAGCATGCTGCCTTCAAGCATCTGTTTAACAAAGCACATCTGGCACCGCCCTTAATCCATTTAACCCTGAGTGGACACAGCACATGTTTCAGAGAGCACGGGGTTGGGGGTAAGGTTATAGATTAACAGCATCCCAAGGCAGAAGAATTTTTCTTAATACAGAACAAAATGGAGCCTCCTATGTCTACTTCTTTCTACACAGACACAGCAACAATCTGATTTCTCTATCTTTTCCCCACATTTCCCCCTTTTCTGTTCCACAAAACCGCCATTGTCATCCTGGCCCGTTCTCAATGAGCTGTTGGGTACACCTCCCAGACGGGGTGGCGGCCGGGCAGAGGGGCTCCTCACTTCTCAGAAGGGGCGGCAGGGCAGAGGCGCCCCCCACCTCCCTCCCGGACGGGGCGGCTGGCCGGGCGGGGGCTGCCCCCCACCTCCCTCCCCGACGGGGCGGCTGCCGGCTGGAGACGCTCCTCACTTCCCAGACGGGGTGGCTGCCAGGCGGAGGGGCGCCTCACTTTTCAGACAGGGCGGCTGCCGGGCGGAGGGGCTCCTCACTTCTCAGACGGGGCAGCCGTGCAGAGACGCTCCTCACCTCCCAGACGGGGTCGCGGCCGGGCAGAGGCGCTCCTCACATCCCAGACGGGGCGGCGGGGCAGAGGCGCTCCCCACATCTCAGACGATGGGCGGCCAGGCAGAGACGCTCCTCACTTCCCGGAAGGGGTGGCGGCTGGGCAGAGGCTGCAATCTCGGCACTTTGGGAGGCCAAGGCAGGCGGCTGGGAGGTGGAGGTTGTAGCTAGCCGAGATCACGCCACTGCACTCCAGCCTGGGCAACATTGAGCACTGAGTGAACGAGACTCCGCCTGCAATCCCAGCACCTCCGGAGGCCGAGGCTGGCAGATCACTCACGGTTAGGAGCTGGAGACCAGCCCGGCCAACACAGCGAAACCCCGTCTCCACCAAAAAAATACGAAAACGAGTCAGGCCTGGAGGCGCGCGCCTGCAATCGCAGGCACTTGGCAGGCTGAGGCAGGAGAATCAGGCAGGGAGGTTGCAGTGAGCCCATACGGCAGCAGTACAGTCCAGCTTCTGCTCGGCATCAGAGGGAGAACGTGGAAAGAGAGGGAGAGGGAGACCGTGGGTTGAGGGAGACGGGAGAGGGAGGGGGAGGGGGAGGGAGGGGGAGGGGGAGGGAGAGGGAGAACTCATTGTTTAGTGAATAAATGGATGGATGGGATGTGTGTCTAACAGGAACATGAAGGCAGAGAACCCGAGTAGACAGCCTGGGAGAGGAGAAAAGACTTGGGGATTGGAGTTTTGGCTGCTTCTCCACCCAGCTGAGTGATTTGAGATCTGTATCTTAACTTCTCTGAGATACTGTTTTCTGATCTATACAATGAGAATATACATACCTATGCCATCAGCCTATATTGAAGGACATTGTAAGAAACACAAAACCTGTGTTTACCCCATCCCACAAATGGCCTCTTCTTAAAGCCTGTGTGAAGATTTTGCTGTCAGACATCAGATCTGCTGCCCTAAGAAAATTGGTTTGTCTCATAGATAGTGAATTGTATAACCGATGATACTTTCCTTTTTGCCTTAGCTTCTAGAGAACTTGGAGATAGATTTTCAGCCTACTTGTAGCAAAACATGCGGGGTCTTAGGCATGTATTTTAAGTATTAGAGTTCCTCCCGACCATCATCTTATTTCAGTTACGCTTTCTTTCTTATCAATTACATCATTTAGTTGGTTTAACTCTTGGGTTTGGATATATCTTTGTAACTTAGCTCAAATTATTTTTGGAAAAAGGCATTCTGAAAAAGAAAGAGAGGAAGGAAGGAAGGTAGGAAACAAGGAAGGAAGAAGGAAAGAAAAAAGGACGAGAGGGAGGGAGAGAGAGAGATGACAAGAAAGCCAGATAGCCAGTGCCTGTCTCTTAGGGTTATTGTGATGTGTTAGTGAGATTGTATTTTTAATACAATTAACCCCTCGACAGTTTCTGTCATCCTTTAAAAGATCCAATGTACCAATACTTTCTTAGATATGTAAGACAATAATAAAATAAAATTTTTATTGATATCAAAAATATATTTTTAATGAATACATTTAAATTTAAATGAAGACATATATAATTCTATGATTTTCAAATCATGCTCCCTGGAGTTCCCACAGATGAAGGTGACAAGGAGATAAGATAGCAGGGGCAGGGGTACATTTGGGTTTTTTCAACCAAAGACTCTCAGAGTTGTTATTTTTATTTGTTTGCTTACATGTAAGGTTTACATGTAAGGTTTCTGTCAACAAAGGGTTGCTTGGTGGAACAAAAGTTTGAAACCACTGATATATGTATGTGGCAGGATGGTAATTTGTTGGATAATGGATATGGATTTGCAAAATTGAGTGTAATGCATTTTTGGCCTACAGGTTTTGATGTTAATTAAGACTGTTTTCTGTTTGGTGTGGTTGTTGGTGGCCATCAAGAACAAATACAGCACTATAGAATAATATGAAAATATAAAAAAGAAATCTACTGAAAACAACATCCTGTCACAAATTTTTTTTTAAATCGATAACTTCCCTGAACTATCCAAAATATAACTATGCTTAGAAACACCCCAACCCCCACACTCCCACTCCACTTATCCCCTCTGCACCAGTAAGTTCAACAAACTTCAGTGGGTCTCCGATTTGAAACATGCTGGTGTGGATTAGCTAGGGGCATGGAGATTATCATCCATTTTCTGTTTTATTTTCTTCTCACCCACTAGAGGGCAGCAGTGATGCACAGGAAAAGGGAAATTACTCAAGCACTGTTTCTCAGCAAGACTGTCGCTTTTCTGAGAAGAAAACACCTAGAAAGCGCCTCAGATTCCCATAGCTGAATTATGAGAGGGTCAGCTTCCCTTTGTTCATCCCTAAATAATATGGAGAATTTTGATTAACTTCCTTTGAAGTTATAAACTGTATCTGTTGGCTTGGTCAAATACTAATTTTAAATATGAACACGAAGATACCTCTTAAAAAAGACATTTATGTAAAAGTGAAGTGTTTTAGTTGCTTATTGCTGGGTAACTACTCTAAAACGTAGTGACTTAAGACATCACTCGTTTTGTCTTCTCTGTTCTTTTGGTTGACTGAGCACAGCTGGGCGATTCTTCTGCTTAATGTGATGTTGGCTGGGAATGTGGTCATCTAGGAGCTCAAATGGGCCAGAAAGCCCAAAATGGCCCTCTCAGGTTGCTGGCATTGATGCTGGCTGTCAGATGGGATCTCAGCAGGTTTGTTAACCAGTGCACCCAGTTCTCCTTCATTGGCTTCTTTATTTATGTGGCTTAAATGTCTCATGTCATGGAAATTGGGTACCAAGAGGGAGCATCCTAAGAATGAGCATTCCAAAAAGAAGGAAGCAGAAGTTTCCAGCCCCAGACATCATTTCTACCACCCTCTAATGGTCAAAGCAGTTAAAAAACCAGCCCAGATTCTAGGGGAGGGAAATAAGCTCTACCTCTTGATGTGAGGAGCAGTCTGTATAGACCGAGAGGGAAGAAATTGTTGAGAGCCATCTTTGGAGACCACCACATGGAGGATTGAGAAAAAGCGTATTTCTGACTTACATTTTGGAAAGATAGTTCTAAATCATGGGGGATGCAGAAGAATATTTCTTCATGTAATAAATGGGAATTGCTTCTTAATGTGGTATTTTAAGAATTCAAATGCACAAAAGTTATCCCTTATGTTCTTCTTCTCTCCAGATCTGTTACCTAAAGCAATAAAAAATGGCCAGAGGATCAGTGTCCGATGAGGAAATGATGGAGCTCAGAGAAGCTTTTGCCAAAGTTGGTGAGTAGACCTGGTACCCCAAATTGCATCATTCTCTTCTTCACTGAGTAGCTTCAGGGTAGATTCAATGAAATGGGAACATGAGCAAAATTTCAGAGATGACAAGAAACCAGTAGTATTTGTTTAGAGGAGCTGGGAGAACTTATTTTTGAAAAATATGCTTCAATAAAATGACTTTCTCTATCAAAACATGGAATATGGACTCTACTCTTACATAGTTTGTTCCTGGAAATGGTTTGTAAGTCTCATCTTTTATATCTTGTCTTCTGTTTTGCTGTTTCCTTGATTTTAATACCATCACATACTTTCTCTTACTCTTTATCACTAAACCTGTGGTTTCCTTAAGAGTTTCTATAAGAGTTCTTTGTGGAAACAGAGGTACCTTATAGAAATTATGACTCTTTTACTGTGGATGTTGAAAGTAATGCTGGTGCCCCTATTCAGTAGCAACAGTCATCTTGTGAGATTCTGACTCTTCCCTGGGATCATGCCTTAATGTCTGAATGATAGCCTCTCTCGTCCCTTCACCTTCCATCTAGTCTTCCCTCACCTCTCTAAAAGCTGTTGCCTGAATCGTCCTGAAGCTTCAGTATATTGTGTACATTACAGATACTGATGGCAATGGATACATCAGCTTCAATGAGTTGAATGACTTGTTCAAGGCTGCTTGCTTGCCTTTGCCTGGGTATAGAGTACGAGAAATTACAGAAAACCTGATGGCTACAGGTGATCTGGACCAAGATGGAAGGATCAGCTTTGATGAGTTTATCAAGGTGAGTACCATGCAGAATACAAGGAGACACATTTGAAACTTGGAACTTGAATTCTGTTTTAAAAAATATCCAGAAAGACATTCCTTACCTCCTTGCTTCGACATTACATATTCTTTCCTTTGTGATTTTCTTGATCACTGCTTGAGTTTCTAAAGATACATTATATTTTTGCAGATTTTCCATGGCCTAAAAAGCACAGATGTTGCCAAGACCTTTAGAAAAGCAATCAATAAGAAGGAAGGGATTTGTGCAATCGGTGGTACTTCAGAGCAGTCTAGCGTTGGCACCCAACACTCCTATTCAGGTAGGCTCAACTCCTGGGTTGGAGCAGGATTTCAGGATTACAGATTCTAAACTTGGTATTCAAACCTAAGGGATGTAAACAAAGACAGAAGCAAACACAGCTTTATGGATGACTCCCAATTTTCCTGTGACTAAGTGGGTCAGTTCTGGGTACATAATATAGGAGCAGTCCTAGCTCTGGGTAGGGTCCAATACAAAATGATTTGATCAGCATTTAAACAATCATTAAAGGCTGCCCAGATTCCTTTCTAAATCTTATGGACAAAATTAGCTACTCAAGCTTCTATCTTTAAACTTCATGATAATTTTTAACACCTGCTAAGTGATCAAAAAATTATGTTTTCATTGATTTGGAATAAATTTGTAAATTTATTCCGAAGGCTGCCATCCAACAGCCATAATGGAAACTTCCAACAGGCCAAACAGTATAGTTGTTGCAACATTTCCAAAACTGAATTATTCAAAACGTTAGTTGATCTTAAAGATAAACTCATGAGGCCGGGCACAGTGGCTCACGCGTGTAATCCCAGCACTTTGGGAGGCCAAGGCGGGTGGATCACCTGAGGTCAGGAGTTAAAGACTAGCCTGGGCAACATGGTGAAACCCCGTTCTACTGGGTGCAGTGGCGCATGCCTGTAATCTCATCGACTCGGGAAGCTGAGACAGGAGAATCGCTTGAGCCCAGGAGGCAGAGGTTGCAGTGAGCCGAGATTGCACCATTGCACTCCAGCCTGGCGACAGAACAAGACTCTGTCTCAAAAAAAAAAAAAAAAAAAAAAAAGATAAGTCATGATTAAATACCATCTATAGTTGCTAAGACAACGTTTGGCCTTTTGTTTTTAAATACAGGAATTTTCAGAACCTTTGCTGGGTCAAATGTGCAATGTGAATCTTTAAGGCGGAGATACATTCACTACACAGTATTTCCCAAACTTTTATGACTCAGGATTTCTCTGAGGGACACTACTGTTTTCAAAAACTGTCAGTTTGGGAAACATAGTGCTAGGCTGTGAAGACATAACTTGAGTTTTTATTAAAACATCTAAAAATCACCTTCTGGCAGCTTTACTGTTAGGAAAAAAAGATTATATCCAAATGATTTTATTTTATAGCAATTTAATTATAATTGTATCAAGAAACTCAGAGGTACAATAAGGATTGTCCACAGTGATCCAACATTTAAACCAGCAGAGCTAAAAGCGGAATCCTGAGTTTTGTCCTGTAAGCATTATACCACATTTGTATTTATATGTGTATATATATATGTATACATGCACATATAAATAAAATATTTTTATTATTTATGTATTTATATATAGAAAATAAACATATGTATATATTTGCTTCTAAATGTAAATATATATCTGGATTATGCGTATATATAGGAACAGAGAGATAGTTTTGGCCGGGCGCGGTGGCTCACACCTGCAATCCCAGCACTTTGGGAGGCTGAGGTGGGCAGATCACGAGGTCAGGAAATCGAGACCATCCTGGCTAACACGATGAAACCCCGTCTCTACTAAAAATACAAAAAATTAGCTGGGTGTTGTGGCGGGCGCCTGTAGTCCCAGCTACGGGGGAGGCTGAGGCAGGAGAATGGCGTGAACCAGGAGGCAGAGCTTGCAGTGAGCCGAGATCGCGCCACTGCACTCCAGCCTGGGTGACACTGTGAGACTCCATCTCAAAAAAAAAAAAAAGAAAAGAAAAGAAACAGAGAGATAGTTTTTAAATCTGTTTGCTCTATGTTTTATGACTTGGAGTACACAGACTCAATGCCTATTTCCCAAGTGATCTGAGATTTTTAAATCTTAATAAATATGAGATGATAAGATAATGGACTGAATAAACTCACATCTCTCTGCTGGGAATGAGAATTTAAGATCCACATGCATAATTTTGTTTATAATAGAGTTTCACTTTGCAAATGAGTCACTTTAATCATTTACTTGCAGAGGAAGAAAAGTATGCCTTTGTCAACTGGATAAACAAAGCCCTGGAAAATGATCCTGATTGTCGGCATGTCATCCCAATGAACCCAAACACGAATGATCTCTTTAATGCTGTTGGAGATGGCATTGTCCTTTGGTAAATAATACTTCTTTCTTGGTTTCCAAAGAATTGCCCATTTTCTAGACCATCAACAATTAATCGTTATTTATCGTAGGCCAACTTTGTTTGGTGCTCAGCTGCACCTAGAAGGCTTTTCTGGACTTTCACTTGGCCAGGTCCAGGACAGCAAACTAAATTCAAAAACAATTTATAATGAGAAATGTAAAATTGCTATTGCTTGAGTGGAGAGGAGGGATAAACATTATAGAGATAAACATGGAAGATATAGTTATACCAAGTCAAAAGCATTAGATGTCTAATCAATGTATTAGATAATTAAGTGGGGGAAACTTATAAAATACTGATTAAATAATGACTATAGAAGGACATTAAAAAGTTTATCTGATGACAAGTTTAAAGTATAAAGTTGGATCAGGCATCAAGCGGAAATGTAGACATTATGTAAGCTCAGAAGTACATAGATAGTCTCTTCTATAATGAGGACAATTTTCCTGGTTATATATTTTTGGAATATATGCTGCTTGGCTTCATCTGAGCGTGGCTCACCATGAAAGCAGATAGAATTGATAATAGCAGCAGGATGATGGAAGAAGTCCTTAAACTGTAGTCCTTAAGCAAAGAAACCTTTGAGTGATGCACAGAAATCCACAACTCAAACATTGAGGACACCTGGAAAAGGGGGACTGCATCCTACCCACGGGAGGCCTCTAAATATGGTGCTGCTCAATGCAACGTGGTGTCTTTGAAAATACCTCTGTAGCTCTTGCTTCAGCAGGTTCTCTGTCATCACAGGCCAAGTTGTAAGTGAAGTGACTTGAGGTGCTCAATATGTGAGGGACTCAGGACTTAAAGGATAACAATGGGTGGGAAAGACATTGAGCTTTCTCCTCTGCTCTGACCAGAGCAATTCTACTTTTGATATTTTATTTATTAGTTTGTCCTGAGAATTCATTTTTAAAAGGTTCAATTGCTATAAAAAAATCAAAATTCTAGCTTTTAGGTTGCCACCCAAGGCACCCCATGGTCTTCCCCCAATCTGCTAGTTTTACCTTCTAAGACCCCTGTGACTCATTGGTACTCAGCCTAGGGCACTGAGAAGGATATAAAAATGTTATCATATGATTAGCTGAAGATACAAAGTTTGGTCCTGTGTCAAATAGAAATGTAGACAATAATAAGCTCAGAATTTTGTAGACAGTCTTTTATATAATGGGGACAATTTTCATGGCTAAGAAAATAAAGTACTTATGGTAGAATTACTTTGGTTATCCACCCAGAATTTCCTAATGTGCTAAGAAAATCAGGATAATTTTGCAGCTGTTTAGGTGGGAGAATGAAGTGGGGTCCTCATTTCCAACCTCAATATATGAATGTGGCTTCAGTAGTATTCACCTTTCCCGCAGATAGTTTGAGTCTAGTCAAACGGCATAACTGATTTTATATCTAAACATCACAGATTCTGTTGCTATCTTCTTTGATTATGGTATTGCTAGAATTTAAATTCAACGTTACTGGGCTCTGTTATTCAGAAGACTGCTTTCTTTAATTTAATTGTTTCTCTTTCAGTAAAATGATCAACCTGTCAGTGCCAGACACAATTGATGAAAGAACAATCAACAAAAAGAAGCTAACCCCTTTCACCATTCAGGTATGTCTTCCCACCGTTACCATAATACAGGATTTGTTTGGCATCAATGAGCATCATAACTGCTGAGTCCGCCTTTTTCAGGGGCTCAGACATCATTCGCAAAACCCAGGCTTTGGGCTGGTGACTTGTCATACTTCAGGGATAAAGGGATACATTTCTGAGCAGCAAAGAAGGGAGACTGGTGGAGTGGTAGCAGCTGGGGCTTTGTATGTTTGTTTTGGCCACTTAGGAATAAAATTCACTTTGGCTAAAGTTTTAACTCAAGCTTTCCTTAGCAATTTATCTTTGATTTGATGCCAAATAAACAGCATTTTAGATGAAAACATAAGCCTTTCTAAGAAGCGAGGGGGTGAAAAACGGGAAGTACTCTGGCAGCCTTCATAGTAATTTTGGCCACAGCCACGAGTATAATAAATATAACTTGCTTTTATTCCATCAATTTGTTGATTAACTGGAATAGTAACCAGCAGTAAGTGTATTTCTGTGTTGTGTTCCAATATTTTAACATTATCATAATTCTTTTGCTAAGAAACCATATCTAACTTCTTAAATCATGAACGATACATTATCTCCTGTGTGGATTTAAGCAACCTTGTGTACTTTAAAAATGGAAATGGTAACCAAATTGAGAACAATGATTAAACACATATGAATGCACTTAATGTTAAATTTACTCATAATCTTGACCATATATAGAAACAGTATTTTTCACTCATCATTTAAGCACTAGAACAAGGACCCACTTTTCTTCTGATAGTTCTTTTCCTAATTCACTGGCGGCCTTTGCTTTGTTTTTAATTTGCCAATTAAAACAATTTCTATACATCTCTGACATTGATATCTCTTCCTTTTTAAACTCAAGAATAGTACATACAGAGTCTGGACTGAAAACTCCCTTGACTCTATCTCGACTATATGTGAGTTACATTACCTGCATTGTTGTTACTCATAAGAACATAGAATCTATGAGTATGTGTGTGTATACTCAGGTTCCCTAGTTATTACAGATACTCAACAAATCAACCTAGCAAAAACCATTCCATCTTTTCCAGGAATTTTAATCGTATCTATTTTTCATTTTCGTTTTCTTTTTTTTTTTTTTTGAGATGGAGTTTCACTCTTGTCGCCCAGGCTGGAGTGTGATGGCATGATCTCAGCTCACCGCAACCTCTGCCTCCTGGGTTCAAGAGATTCTCCTGCCTCAGCCTCCCGAGTGGCTGGGATTACAGGCACCTGCCACCATGCCCAGCTAATTTTTGTATTTTTAGTAGAGATGGGGTTTCACCATGTTGGTCAGGCTGGTCTCAAACTCCTGACCTTAGGTGATCCACCCGCCTTGACCTCTCAAAGTGCCGGGATTATGGGCATGAGCCACCGTGCCAGCCTTTTCATTTTCTTAACACCCAATCTTCAAGTCAAAAAGCTCTTCTGCTACTCTCTTTTATGATCTTGATTTACATCAACAATTGTCTTATTCATGATGGCCAGTGACAGGACAATGACTTTCTCAAAGGTGTCCCTTTATTTTTGGCCAATAGAGATGTTTTGTGTGTCAGCTTCATCACAGAGCAAGATGGAAAAATATAGGCCTCATCAGTCTCATGCCAACCAGAATGGGCCTTCAACTTATGGTGCTGGTTTGATTGAATGGACCACTGCATGAGTGGTCGGTGTCTGGGTTACTGGATTTTCTCTTCTGGTTATGAGTCACTGTTTTTTTCTCAATGTTAAAATGAGTGAAGACCATGACTCTAAACCTGTGACCTTCGCAGAAGGAAAACATTGTTACTGTTGCCATCGGTATTATTTGGCATCTACAAAGTCATAGAACAAAAACTTGCATACATTTTCTCCCTCAGGAAAATCTGAACTTGGCTCTGAACTCTGCCTCAGCCATCGGGTGCCATGTGGTCAACATAGGGGCTGAGGACCTGAAGGAGGGGAAGCCTTATCTGGTCCTGGGACTTCTGTGGCAAGTCATCAAGATTGGGTTGTTTGCTGACATTGAACTCAGCAGAAATGAAGGTAAGAGCAAGTCCCAAAGGTCATTTATGACACAGCTTTCTAATAACTTACGCGTTGGGGACTGTAGGAGGAAGATGTCAGAAATTCTCAAGTTTTGAAAACTACACAGTTATATTGATTCCATGGTATTCATGTCACAGATTCTATACACACAGACCAGACGTTTTTTAATGATAGAGCAAAAGCTTTTTAAGACCATAGACTAACAATAATGTTTGTTTGGAGCATAGGGCTCAGTCTTGAATGTTTGGCACTCTAACCTCAAGAGGTTTTTTCAGAGCTCACTTTGCCTTTAGATATTTGTAACAAATAAGAGGACTTTTAACTTGCACTTTGCGAAGTAAGCAACTCACATTCATATACTATAGTGAAGGTACCAGATTAGGAGGAACTTGGTCTATTTCTTATCAAAACTATAGAGGAAGGTATAGGTCAAAGGGTTCAAGGTTGCAATTATATGGGATGAATAAGTGGAGATCTAAACAGCACGAGGGCTATAGTTAATAATATTGTGCTGTATACTGGTAATTTGCCAAGAAAGTAGATTTCAGGCACTCTTCCTACAAAAAAGAAAGAAAGAAAGAGATAGAGAGAGAAATGAAGAAAGAAAGAAAGAAAAAGAAAGGTAACGATATGAGATGTGAGTATGTTAATTTGCTTGACCAACAGTAACCACCTTACTGTGTATGTGTCTACCAAGATAAGTATACCAAAACATCACGTTACACACCTTAAATCTATGCAGGCTAGAATAAACATTTTTAAAGACCGTAGAAAATTCCATTTAGGGTTTCAGAGTTCTCAACTAAATATGTAGCTGTCAATCTTATTGCGTCTTCTCTCACCATCTTATCTGTATGTAAACAGTGACAGCCCCCTGGCTTAGACAGAGGTAGCCCACCTTGATAAGTATCATGCAAAACACGATGTTATCTTTTAGTTATCAGGTACAAATCCTACCAATATGAAATCTGTAGTCAAGTTCTAATCTTTAGTTATACATACTTTTTTATTTATATGTCCAAATCACAATAACCAATGAAAAATCCTGAAATATTATTTAAAAACCAATGTATTAAACATAATATAAAGAAGGCGGGGGAGAGGAAATAGGGATCTTAGAACCTGTGAGAAAGAATATTGATCTTCAAATAATGACCTCAGCTAAATTTAAACCTTCTAGCTGAGCAAAAAAATACTTACTCATCTGGGAAAACGTAGAGGAGAGTTGATTACATTGTTGAGTTGCTATAATTAGGCAGGTAAGCACTTGAAATATAAAACACCTATGGGAATAGACAAGAGAACATTGTTATTATTACAAAATTGATCTCTTAAAAGCAAAAATGTTGTCATATTGTGAAATGTGGTTTGACAGACCCAGCAAAACATCCGAGCCAGTAGCCTTGGTTATTTTTATGGCTCTGCCCAAATGTTCTTAAACATAGCGTTGAGATTCACTGTGCTTTGTTTTCTCCATCTGGAAAATGGAGATAATAAATAAGCTCACAATGGCTTACGCCTCTTTTTAGGGAATAATAATAAAATATTTAATCCATGGGAAAGGCTACAAGAACCTTTACCCCAAAGAGGTAACGTTGTTATCTTTAGCTTTTTAGCAGAGCTTAATGAAAGTTATAACCAACCCCCCTCCCCCAACATCGCTGCATTTATTTTTCTGTGGTTTTTGTGCTTCTTCAGCTCTGATTGCTCTTTTGAGAGAAGGTGAGAGCCTGGAGGATTTGATGAAACTCTCCCCTGAAGAGCTCTTGCTGAGGTGGGCTAATTACCACCTGGAAAATGCAGGCTGCAACAAAATTGGCAACTTCAGTACTGACATCAAGGTAGGAGGAGCGTTGTTTGAACATGACTCTCTGCAGGAGTGAAGGGGAATTTGGGCAATAATAAAGAAAAGATAAAGATTTGGGGCTTCCTCTCTTCAGAAGTTCCAGGGTAGTCTGGTGCTGTTTTGGAGGTGCTCACTGTCCTTGAGAGCCCATCTGCTGCTCTAGTCCTGGGCCATACACAGACCTGCCCAGAGTCCTAGTGCAGTGTCTCGATTGGAGTTTCCATATCAGGAAGTAGAGGGACAAAGGTGAGCTAGAGGAAGAGCAAGAGAACAGTCTGCTGTCCAAGTAAAGGGAATATATGTAGGTCTGTAATGTCTCTGGTTTCATAAATGGGAGCAGCAGATGGGAATTCCCTGTAAAAAATTAAATGAAGATGACTCTTCTAGTTATACTAATAACAGCAAACATGGTGTCTGCAACATGCCAGGCACTGTTCTAACTGATTTATATGTGTATTCTCTTATTGAATCCTTACAACAACCCCATGAGGTAAGGGTTATTATCCTCTCATTTTACAGATAAAGAGACAAAGAGGTCCATAGGGGAAAGGCTGAGGCAGGAATACACTGTGGTTTTCAAGTATATGAAAAGTTCCCTGTCAAGGTGAAAGAAAACAGCTATTGGCAATGATGACAGATGGATGAAGATAGAAAGTGGTTAAGGAGCAGAAAGGAATGGAAAGCGGTCCCTAGAAGGAAAGAGTAGGAGATGCTGGGATGCAACACCAGGAAAATACTTCAGTCTCCACTTTCTCAAACATTAAATAACTTTTCCCCAAAGAGAAAGAGTCAGAGGAAAGTTCACATGACTCAACAGGAGTACACCTAGGCTTGTAATTCTTTGAGTAACAGTTTCCCACTGCTATATGACGTGCATTCAGTGGCATTTAGAACTCAGCGTGTGTCAGGCACTGTGCCAGTCAGAGTCAAGCTTCTAGATGGAAAGCCCCCATTTTTTAGGATCTAAGCTAAATCCATCTTTCTAACTATGCATCTTTCATGGGCTATTAACATTCTTCTAGCACCACCAACCGACCTGGGTTTTAACAGGAGCTGGCTGTCATGCTCTCCCTTTGTGCTCAACAGTTAAGCTCTGCAATTGCAAAACTTTTCAGACAAAATTAGGCTGTCAGATCTCAGCTGTAAATTTACCTAATTTCCTGTCATTAAATGGCTGTGTTCTCTAGAACCACCATTTTGTGCTTTGGGAAGTGTCTGTATGAGATAGGAGCTGGCCAGATGAGCACTTACTTATACAGTGTTGTGCCTGTTCTCTGGCAGCCGCTGCATGGCAACTGACTCCGTGCTGTCATGTGTATGTCTGAGTAGCCAGCCAGCAACCTTGGGAGATGTCTTTAAATCGTGTAAATTGGCAAAGGCGAGGAGAACACCCAGGCTAGAGTGAGTGAGAAGGTTCATGAGAGTCAGGTGAAATGAGGTTACTCTTAGCCAAACTAAAAAGATGTAACCCAGGGCAGGCAGATGGTATTGGTGCCTGACACCTGCATGTGACTTTCACTGACTTCAAAATAGCTACAGTGAAAAGTCAGAGAAGGGAGGGTAGATAGAAGGGAGATGAAGATCATTTTCCCCAGGTGCAACATCAATGATTCACACTCTCTGGTTCTCCTCTTTCTAATGCCAAAAGTGGTGAGCATACCTCTCCTCTGCCCAGGCCTTACCTACCCTAACCAGTTGTAGAAACAAAATAATAGCTGATTTTTCGATCTTTATGAGAAATTGAGATGCTATTAAATGATTTAAATAAACTACCTGAAAATCTGTATGCTTTCATTGACTAAGAATAAATTTATATTTTAAGACTATAATTCTGAGAATTCTTTTTGTCAATAAGCATATTTTCAGAATCTAAGAAAACTTGAGAATTCAATACCTGTATCTAATCTGCTATAACTAAATTGAACCATTTTTCTAGCTTCTAGATAAATATGAAATGCACTTTTCTTAATATTTCTCCTTTTACGTAAAGATTGCTTGTTAATGCTTCAATCTTCTGTCTTTGACATCTTTTTCTCTTGCTGATTGTCCATTTAAATGTATTTTAAACTCGCTTTAAACTTGTGCTTCCTTTTTCTGTCACTTTTTTTTAATTAAACCTTAGCTGACTGACTTCTACAGCAATATAAAGGTATATATATATTTTCCTGTATACAATTTAATTCATGTAAATAAGTTGTTTTTCTCCCCTAAAGACAACAGAATAATATCCACTTCTTTAGGGTGCCTTTTGTGTATATCTTGTCTATTTTATTGTTACGCTCCTTTTAAAAAGAAAAGCAAATGTGATATGTAAAGAGACAAATAGAACATTCAAATTAGTGAATGTTTCTAGCTTTGTTAAGTTACATTCTGGAATGATAGCTGAATATGAAATAAAATGTTTGCTTTTGGGAAATCATTGTTATGCTAAGTATGTAATTAGCTGTGCTATTTTGAAATTGGAATTTCTTAATTTCTCACAGGACTCAAAAGCTTATTACCACCTGCTTGAGCAGGTGGCTCCAAAAGGAGATGAAGAAGGTGTTCCTGCTGTTGTTATTGACATGTCAGGACTGCGGGTAAGGCCAGGTCCCAGTTGTGTTTGGAGAATATGATGCTATTTTCATGTTGGCAGTTCCATTACCTTGTGTGGCCCTGATTCTGGAGTTCCATGACTGGGCATTTCTGCCTAAAGCCCTGTTAAAACGGTAAAACTGTGAGCAGTTTGGGATAATAATTGATGAAAACTGAATCTGGAAATACAACATTAAAGAAAGAAACCAATAGTAATTAAACACCATCCAGCATGCTAGGCAATTCTATATATGTTCATCATTTAGTAGACTCTATAACCCCACATGGGTCTGAATGTTATAATAAAACTTCTGTTTTGCCGCCACTTTAATACTGATCTTGAGAAGTCTCTTTGCCCGTTTCTGTGCCTCATTTAATATCACTGGAGTTAAATCCAATGAGTTCATGTTGAAGTCAACTGATTCCTAATGAGAAGTAGAGTAAAAGTAAATGACAAGTAAAGCTCATGAAATGCATAATGTGTAGCGTTATCTAGTAAAGGGTCATATTAAGAAATCATCCTAATTTAAAGTTTTGTTTTCTGAAAATTGGTGGTTTCATGTACTTTAAGGACAGTGGGCCATATTTCAGCAAAATTTTAGGGTTAAGAGTCACTTACAAATGGCTAGAGATTCTCTAGAATTATTTGAGCACATTGAGTGGTTCAAAATCTGAAGTCTGCAAAAATAAAATTGATATTATATATTTATCAATAATAATACATAGGTTAACTGATAAAATTTATTTTATTTGGGTTGCAAGTATACCAACTCAATGTGGAGACAGTGGTTATGCTAATCATATGTTCTTACTGGCAAGTGTAAATATCTTTTGTGAACTGGTTATGGGAATATAAATTAATAAATAAAATTTTTGATAGACAATCTCATGTCATCTGTGCACACAAATAATAAAAAGGAATCTTAATGGTTGGAAATAATTAAGATAAACTCAAATGATCAGTTTTCAGAATCTACTGCATCTCTTTTGAAACAGAGCAACCAACCACTCATCTGAAATAGTTTGATAAAGGAGATGAGAGATCCTTGTTACTTAACCTCTGAGATTCCTTTTACTTGTGACTTTCTGATTTTGGTGCAGGTGCATATAGGCAATAATGTGCTGTTATTAAGTGTCTGCCTGAGATAAACACTAATGATTTCAGTGAGATTCCCATTTCTTTTCACATTATGCAATCTGCTTTGTGCATGGAGAGCCTTGACCCAGCC
Source organism: Homo sapiens (assembly GCF_000001405.40). Taxonomy (NCBI): domain Eukaryota; kingdom Metazoa; phylum Chordata; class Mammalia; order Primates; family Hominidae; genus Homo; species Homo sapiens. The sequence continues at coordinate 46,147,127 of NC_000013.11, read as the reverse complement.
CTGAGACATCCTTTTGCATTGCAGGAGAAGGATGACATCCAGAGGGCAGAATGCATGCTGCAGCAGGCGGAGAGGCTGGGCTGCCGGCAGTTTGTCACAGCCACAGATGTTGTCCGAGGGAACCCCAAGTTGAACTTGGCTTTTATTGCCAACCTCTTTAACAGATACCCTGCCCTGCACAAACCAGAGAACCAGGACATTGACTGGGGGGCTCTTGAAGGTAACTGTAAACGATTTGCCTAAGATGGGGAAAGGCACTCACAATTCTAATTCAATGGCAATTCAAACTCACTTCCTAAGCAAATATAAACTATTTACATGTGCAAACAGGCCATTAATTCTCTGGTATGCAACAAAGAGAATAAATAGATTCATCAAGTCAATTTCAGCCAAGCAGGAATAATCAAATACCATTCTATCACGTCCATTAACAAAGCGTTCATCCATTATCAGAATTAAATGTTTTAGGAAAGATAATGCATTTAGTTATTAGATGAAATAAATCCTGAGTTTCAAAAAGATAATTTACGTACTTAATGGACTGTGTTGATTCCTAGAGACAAGAAATTGCCACCATCCATTTCCAAAAAATGATATTTAAGGTATGCTGGGATATGCTTACTGAGTTTTTGGTTTTCTTTTGTTTCTTACGGGAGCCACAGAAAAGTATTTTGAGGCAGAATCCCTAACAGTTGTATTTTTCAGGTTAATGCTCTAAGATTCAACAAAAAGCATATAGCTTTAATTACGTTCTACCAGGTAGAGGTGCTGGAGATGTTTACTTGACTTTTTTAAAAAAATCATGAACTAGTCCCAATATTGAGACAAAGGTCAACTAATATTAAATGAATATCACCCAAGCAAGGAGATTCAGATTTGAAGTATGAGTTGATCCTTTTCCACAGTGCTTTACTCTCACTAGAAATGCAGCATAATCGTGCTCCAACACTCCTGCATTGGTGTCATTTGCTGAATTATGGTCAGGGGGTTGTGTGTATTTTGTTGACTCCCAAATCTATATATCAAGCCCACAAATCACCCATTTCAGCTGCTTCTAGAATATTCCTGTTTGGATCCTTGGCTATCATTTGAGGTGCAGCATATGCAAAACAGAATTGATTATTTTCCCTCCCACCCCCAACCATTGCCTTTCCAGCCCACCTCCCATCCCGTTTGCCCTCTTTTTTTTTTTTTTTTTTTTTTTTTTTTTTTTTTTTTTGAGACGGAGTCTCGCTCTGTCGCCCAGGCTGGAGTGCAGTGGCGGGATCTCGGCTCACTGCAAGCTCCGCCTCCCGGGTTCACGCCATTCTCCTGCCTCAGCCTCCCAAGTAGCTGGGACTACAGGCGCCCGCCACTACGCCCGGCTAATTTTTTGTATTTTTAGTAGAGACGGGGTTTCACCATTTTAGCCGGGATGGTCTCGATCTCCTGACCTCGTGATCCGCCCGCCTCGGCCTCCCAAAGTGCTGGGATTACAGGCGTGAGCCACCGCGCCCGGCCTGCCCTCTTTTAGAAATGCTCCATTTCCATTAATCATACCATTTTTTTTTCTTTAGTCACCAAACTAAAGAGCTTGGATCCTACTATATCTTCCTATCCTTCATCCCTACATCCACTAAATCAGCAAATACTAATAATTCTTCCTTTGGAACATTTTCTCAATTGTTATGTTTCTTTTATGCTATTCCAAGCTCATTACCTCATACACTAATTATTTTAATGGATCTTGGAGTCTCCATTTATCAAATGCTTGAATGTATCCCACATGCTAATGTCAAACACTCTGTCCTCTGCCGTGTTTAATTCAAATGCATATCGCCTTTCAGTGATTCTGCACACTGCTGCCAGTCACATCCCGGTACTGATTTTATTATATCTCTGCCTTGCTCAAGAATTTATTGTAGTAATTTTACAAAGCCATAATGACTGCCGTTGTCTGTCAACTAAAATCTGCTACCTGGTATCCAAAGATCCCCAATTCTGAATCCTTCTTCCAGATAGGCTTATCTCATTGGGCTGTACAACACACACCCCTGACCAAACCAGTTCCTGATGTTCTTAATAGAGACCTTGCCTGTTGCTCCCTTTGTATGCATATTTATACTACCTTCTACTCCCACCCCTTGCTATCTCCCCAAATCCTCTACTCTTTCCTTTTTCTGATCCAGATTTTGCTAGCTATCCAAGGACAAGTTCAAATTCCACCCCTTCCAAGTTCAGTCCATACTGTTCTTTTCCCTGTCTCAATTCAAATAACAAATATATCTACCTCATAAGTGAGTTCTGTAGCTTGTATGATCTCTGTTTGATGCCTAAAAGTCCTGTTTTTTCCAGCAAGAAGGTAAGCCTTTGAGAGCCAACTGAACAGCTACCCCACACAGGATTCCACACACTATTAATAGATACTATAGAAATACATGCGGAATTGAAATGGAAAAGAAAAATTAACACAGTATAAGAACCCTCGTCCAAATCCAATACAGTTTATTTTATTTCTTTCTTTCATTCTACTTTCAGTTTTTATTGCATCCTCTTTAGTTAAACTTTGGTCATAAAAAAGCTATGTTTTCTTCGGTCCCAAAAGATAACCCATCTTCATTCATCTAGGTGAGACGAGAGAAGAGCGGACATTTAGGAACTGGATGAACTCCCTGGGTGTTAACCCTCGAGTCAATCATTTGTACAGGTAGGAATATTTGGGAACTCATTCTAATGTAAGATAGAGACCTCAAAAGAGCCATAGGATTCCAAATACCACTATGATGTGCATTCTCTTCACAAAATGTGCATACCTTGCTGGAAGGGGAAAAAGTGCCAAGTTGAGCTTCAGATGTTGGATATTCAGTTGAAAAACTCACCTGCATACATCAGTCTCACTGTGTGCTCAATATATAAATCATACCTCAACAAAATGAAACATTTACTATATGTCATAAGTGATCTTACATATAACCCGCTCACAAGCAGGCAAAACAACAGATGTTAAGTTTGTGGTGAAGTGTCTCCTATGCCACTTGTTAAAGCAATTTTCTTCTTTTTTTTTTCAATATTTCTTTTTTTTTGAGATGGAGTCTCGCTCTGTCGCCCAGGCTGGAGTGCGGTGGCGCAATCTCGGCTCACTGCAAGCTCTGCCTCCCGGGTTCACGCCATTCTCCTGCCTCAGCCTCCCAAGTAGTTTGGACTTCAGGCACCTGCCACCATGCCTGGCTAATTTTTTGTATTTTTAGTAGAGACGGGGTTCCACCTTGTTGGCCAGGATGGTCTTGATCTCTTGACCTCATGATCCACCCGCCTTGGTCTCCCAAAGTGCTGGGATTACAGGCGTGAGCCACTGCGCCCGTTCTAAATATTTCTTTTACATTTATTTAGTTTTACAAATTGTAAACCTTTAGGTACAGGGGACATGTGCAGGTTTGTTATATAGGTTAATTGCATGTTGCAGGGGTTTGGTGTACAGATTATTTCGTCACCATAGTGCTCTTTCTTTTCCTGAGGCAGCATATGTTGGATGGAAGGGCATAGCTAGTCACACCTGGGAAGAGTGAGTCCCCCAATCTCTCTGAGTCATGGTTTCTTCACCTCTATAGATGGAGCTACGACTACCAAGTGTGCAGGGTTGTTGTGAATATTCTTTGAACTAATATGTAAGAAAGTGTCTGGCCCATTGTAGGCCCTGAATAAATGTTGGATATCTGAGAATCCTTTTGTGTTTGTTTTGTTCAGTGACTTATCAGATGCCCTGGTCATCTTCCAGCTCTATGAAAAGATCAAAGTTCCTGTTGACTGGAACAGAGTAAACAAACCGCCATACCCCAAACTGGGAGGCAATATGAAGAAGGTAAACAATGATGGTTCTGTTGTTCCAGGAGACAGGCAAAGTCATAGCCTGCAAGAGCACTCTAAATACTTTATAAGGCAGCCAAACGTAGACAAGTAATGTTTTTCCAGAAATTAAATTCTAGTACAGCAATCAGAAACCTGAACAGCTTTATTAAAGTGTGTCCATTATTTCAGTCAATTGCTTATTTATAATTCCATGTTGGATGTCTTCAAACATTATCATGCAAAAATTCTAATTAAGATAATTAGAGCAAGCAGAGAGCCACAGGGATTTTTCCCTCAGCAGGATCTTTATTCTAATTTCTAAAGAATTGGAGCTTGTACTGACAGCTTGACTTGTTCAAACAGTTTGTCGACTGTCAACACAGTGGGAACATTGTTTTGAAACAACAGGGTTGACACAGCCATTTCTCAGCATTTCTTATTGCCGTGACTGTTAATGATCCATGCGTAGCTACAGGAATATCTGTTCACATGTCCATTTGCTATGTGTGCAGAGGATGGAGACTCCAAATTTTCCATGTCAATCTCCATGAATTCACCTTTTTTAGAAATATTACATGTAGGTAATTAAGGATGGCTCTCCATTTCTGCAGTGTGATATAGCTGTGAACATATTCATAGTAATGAATTCATTTCAGTTTTCCACATTATGAATATTTTTTATGAAAGTGAGGGGTTCTAAGGACAGATGGAAAATTCTTTAATTTTGAATCCTAGAATTGCAGAACCAGTTGAGACTTGAGAGGTCATTCGGTCTTACCATATTTATTTCATTTTTTATCTTTATTTTTATTATTTATCTGGTATTTATCATAATCAAGATGATGACGTTAAATCGTTTTCCTTTCTGCTCATTCAGCTTGAGAATTGTAACTACGCGGTAGAATTGGGGAAGAATCAAGCGAAGTTCTCCCTGGTTGGCATCGGTGGACAAGATCTCAATGAAGGAAACCGCACTCTCACACTGGCCTTGATTTGGCAGCTAATGAGAAGGTAGTATAGCTTATGGAAGTGGCTTTTTCTTGAATACATTATTTACTTAGACAAATATTAGCAAATTTTTAGCAGTATGAGTTAATTCAGTAAAAGTATGTTTTAAGCTAAGCTTCATAACCAGAGAAACACTTTTTACCTTTCTGCTTTTTTTTTTTCAGTCCTATCAGTTTTTGTTTCAAGTATCGTGAAACTCTGTTATTAGGTTCATAAACAGTTTAGATTGTTGTTTCATTCTAATTTACTCATCCCTTTGTCCTTATAAAGTAGTCTTTTTTATGCCTACTAATATTCTTTTCTCTGAAATCTATTTTTTCTGACATTAATAGATAATAGCTACTATTGCTTCTATAGGCTTCCTATTGATTAGTGGTTAGCATGGCCTATCTTTTTACCATCCTTTTACTTCAATTGATCTGTGTAAATAACAATTACTTTTAAAGGGACTTTTTAAATAAAGGGGAAATTATGCTATATTTATCTACACATTTACTATTTCTAGTGCTCTTCCTACTATTTTATAGATCAAGATTTCCATTTGGTATCATTTTCTGTCTACCTAAAATATTTCTAATAGCACAAGTTTGCTGGTGATGAGTGATTTCAGCTTCTATATGTCTGAAAATGTCTATTTCATTTTCAAAATATTTTTTTCTCTGAGTGCAGAATTCTAAGTTGATAGTTTTTTCTTTCCGTACTTTAAAGATAGTTTCACTGTCTTCTGGCCCACATTGTTTCCAAGGGGAAATCTATTGTCATTCTTATTGTTGTTCCCTCATATGTAGTATTTCTTTTCTGGCTTATTTTAAGATTTCTCTTTATTACAGGTTTTAGGTAATTTTATTATGATGTACATTGTTGTTTCTTTTTTTTTTTTTTTTTTTTTGAGACAGAGTCTTGCTCTGTCGCCCAGACTGGAGTGCAGTAGTGTGATCTTGGCTCACTGCAATCTCCACCTCCTGGGTCCAAGTGATTCTCCTGCCTCAGCCTCCTGAGTAGCTGGGACTACAGGTCCACGCCACCATGCCCAGCTAATTTTTGTATTTTTAGTAGAGACGGGGTTTCACCGTGTTGGACAGGCTGGTCTCAAACTCCTGACCTAATGATCCGAGTGCCTCAGCCTCCCAAACTGCTGGGATTACAGGCATGAGCCACCATGCCCAGCTCCATTGTTGTTTCTTATGCTTGAGGTTTGTTGAACTTATAGAATCTATGGGTTTATACTTTCCATCAAATTTGGAAAACTTAACTTTCATCTCTTCAAACATATCTTCCATACCCACCAGCCCTGGTTCTGGGGGATTCCAAGTCCATGTATATTTGATCGTTCAAAGTTGTCCCTAAGCTCACCGATGCTTTAGTGATTTATTTTCTCTATGTTTCATTTTGTATAACTTGTATTGCTGTGTTTTCAAGTTCACTAATCTCTTTTATTTTGCATGTCTAATATTCCATTAACTCCATCCAGTGTACATGTTTTTTAACCTGGACATTATAGTTTCCATGTATAGAAATTTTGAGTCATTTTTATATTTCCCATAGCTGTCCTTTCCTTTACCTTCTTGAACATACAGAAAATAATTACAGTAACTTATTTTGGGATCTGTTTCTACTAATTTATTTTTATCTTCATTATGAGTCATATTTTTTGGCTTCTTTGCATGCTGCTAATTTTTTAATTATATGTCAAATATCATGAATTTGACCTTGCTGTGTACTGGATATTTCTGTATTCCTTTAAATATTCTTAAATTTAATCCTGGGATAGACTTAAGTAACTTAAATACAGTTTGATCCATTTGAGGCTTACTTTTAAGCTTAATTAATCTAGAGCTCATTTTGCTTGTTAGTAATGAGAAAATGGTCTTCTGAGTACTTTGCTTGATGCTCATGTATTATGAAATTTTTCCACTCCAGCTGGTGGGAACAAATTTTTCCAGCCTTGTGTGAGCCCCAAGGATTGCTCTCGTGGCTCATTTCTGGTGGGTTTTTCCCCACAGCCTCTAGTAGTTTCCTCACACATGTGCACTGAGTGGTCCTCAGCTGAAGACTGAGGGAAACCCTCTGAAGGCCGCTGAAGCTTTCTTTCTGAATGACTCTCTTCTCTCTATACAGTTCTCACCACTCTGATAGTCTTTCCCCTAAATTCTAGGCACCTGGGCTTCCTTCATTTCTCATCCCTGTTTCCTCCACTCAAGAGGATGGCCAGCTGTTTGGGTTTTCTCCTCCTATGCTGCAGCTTGGAAACTTTTTCCATGCTGGAAAAATCTTAAGGCTAACTTTGTTTTCTTCTTTTCAGGGGCCACTGTCCTGTGCTTCCTATTGTCTGATGTCTGAACAACATTGTTTCATATGTTTTTCACTGTATTATAAGTGTTTAAATGTGGGCCCTGTTATTCCATCATGGCCAGAAACAGAAGTTCCTTTCATACAAAACTTTAGATATGTTTTGGAACTGAATATAAACTTGACTAATGTGAGAAGTATAGGGTGATATTAGTTAAACAAAAATAGGTTATAAAAAGATACACAAATAGAAAATAAATTATAAGAAAAAGAAACAATTTTGGTACAAAATCATAAGCTTGGGAAGACTTTTAGATAGGAATTCTGTAAGTAATAAAATAATTTACTTGTAAATGCTTCAGTCTTTCCCCCTATACTAATAGCTCTGACAAGGCAAGAATCTTACATCCCCTCATTAGATCCTATGTTAGTGTGACTCAATTCATTTTCCTACCTGGAAGGAAGCCCCAGAAACTGCATGTCACATTACATTCTGTCTGGAAAGATAATGGCAAAGACAAGGTTCGTGGTGTGCCTAGGCACTGCAGCTTTAGTTCCAAGCCACTGTCTGCAGATCCTAATAATGGCCGGCTCTGGATGTAATCGTGTCAGTATTTCCAGATAAGGTAGGATAATCAGAAGTGATCATAAAAGATTTCACTCCCTGATTCACATTTGCTTTACTAAGTATAGAGCTCCATTACCCATTTCCACACTGGGGTCTCTTTAATGATGGGGGCAGATGTCATAAGGCTCCCCTGGTGCAGAAAACTCCAGAACTAAAGAAACTCCAACTCTGTCTTTTAGTTTACTGCATGTATCCAGAACATCATTGAAAACTCCTCAGGGCTGTTCTCACCAGTGTATTTCCAGATGATATTTCCAAGCTATCTTTATTATCTTCCACAAGTTTTAAATTTTTAACAGATTAGCAATTCATACTGATTGCTTTAAAAACCAAAGCAAAAGTCCTTTTAGTTGCAACAGTTAAACTGACTCATGGGTTTCAATATTAAATAATCTTTAATATATGCTATTTTAATGATTAAAAAGCTCAAGCCAGCGGGTGCGGTGGCTCATACTGTAATCCCAGTACTTTGGGAGGCCGAGGCGGGTGGATCACCTGAGGTCGGGAGTTTGAGACCAGCCTGGCCAGCATGGTGAAACCCCATCTCTACTAAAAATACAAAAATTAGCCAGGTATGCTGGTGCGTGCCTGTAGTCCCAGGTACTCAGGAGGCTGAGGCAGAAGAATCTCTTGAACCTGGGAGGCAGAGGTTGCAGTGAGCCAAGATCATGCCACTGCACTCCAGCCTGGGTGACGGAGCGAGACTCTGTCTCAGAAAAAAACAAACAAACAAACTCAGGTCAACCCCATTCTATGTTAAATTTCATAATATCTGAAAAACGTCTTGCAATATGATCTTTGGATGTTTTATAAAAATGTGGCTCAAAGCCCTATTTAATGGCTGGCACATACACAACAAGGTCCACTCTGCTGTTGCTGTCTCCACCTGGTTAAAAAGTCATATTTCTCATGAGTGTTTACTACATAAGAATCGTGCATTTAAGAAAGTAGACAGAAAAATATATTACTGTAGAAGGAGAAGTAATGACTGATAATTATATAAATGGCACCGGAAGGGATTTTTTTCCCTGCATGCTATATATTAAAAGATCTATTAAATTTACAGCTGGTTCTAGCTGGAATTTATTTCATTGAATTGTGCTGATGTGCTAATTTGGTCATTTATCTGGACAATAAATGGCTTGTCATTTTTTCCTATGAGAGCAAATGAGAGATATGTACTTAAACTTCCCTATCCCCTTCAGTAGCTTGGAAATCATTCTCAGGGTGGACAGTTGGCAAACAGCATATGCATAAACTTGCAGATAAAACCCTTGAAGCAAGCAGGCTGCCAGCACATGGCAATGATGGCTCTGAAGCAAATGAACAAAGAATCCGAAGCAGACAATTAGGAAACTCTCCCCAGGTCAAACAGGCTGTGGATGGTGAAGTCAGGATGGGTCCTTGAAAAACAAAATGCCTGGTTTGTTCCTCTATGCCAAATAATAAATAAGTAAAACAAGTGTTGGAAGGCAGGAAAGTAAGCAGGTACTAATCACATCCCTCTAGTGCCTCACATCCAAACCTCATCAACTCTCTTGTTGAAGGAGGAACTGGCTAAAGCTGGAGCTCATAATTCTGTTTCATTTTGACAAAGAGCTTTTCAGCACAGCACATTTTACAAACACTGGTAATACTGAGATCTTGTCTGGAGGGCTCCATTTAATAGCACAATCGTCCCAAAGCAGGTTTGATAATATGCAGTAATTATCTCAAAAGGAAAAATCTAGAAAGACACAGGCCAAATTAGTTTTTGTTTTACATTTCAAATCTGTATTTAGATGAGCAATTGCTTAGTGTACTATCTAGAATGGAGGCTCTAGCCTAATTTTTTTTTGAGACAGAGTTTTGCTCTTGTTGCCCAGGCTGGAGTGCAATGGTGCGATCTCAGCTCACCACAACCTCCACCCGCCAGGTTCAAGCAATTCTCCTGCCTCAGCCTCCCACCAAATAGCTGGGATTACAGGCTTGTGCCACCACACCCGGCTAATTTTCTACTTTTAGTAGAGACAGGGTTTCTCCATGTTGGTAAGGCTGGTCTCAAACTCCTGACCTCAGGTGATCCGCCCGCCTCGGCCTCCCAAAGTGCTCGAATTACAGGCATGAGCCACCGTGCCCGGCCCAGCCTAATTCTATTCTTTCTTCTCTTTGTGTTTTTTTTTTTTTTTATCGTTTTACTTACAAGTGGGTGTCTGATTCCATTTCAAACCTCTGCATCTCAGTTGAGGTGACAGAAAGACTGCCTTGTGTTCACTGGAACTCTGTGCCACTATGAGAGGCTGTTCTCAAACCCCAGCATGGAATAAGCTGCCTCCACAATTTGCTATACCTCTATAAGGTTCCCTGTTCCTTAGTAGCTTCTCACTCTTGCAGACAAACTTTAGTATAAAGGTGGGCTTCCCCTCTGCACCATTTAGTTCCCAGGCTTAGGAGGTGGGTCAAGAACACTGCTGCCGTTTACATGAGCATGTGGACAACGCCGGGCTGCAACTCCTGATGAAGGGAAGTGAGAACTAGGTCTCAGGACAAGAGAAGCTACCAGAAGACTGATTAAACTTAGTTTGTTCCGTCAGGTTATATATAGAGAGGACCTAATGAAGCAAGCACTAACCTACCTTTTTTTTAATTCAGATGTTCATTAGGCAGAAATTCTTAGATGTTACAGTAAATGCTAATAACTTAATATGCATGCTATCTGGAAATAAGAAGCCAGTTATGCCATAAAATGTAACCTTTATGAAGAGATCAAAAGTAGGATCTTTTCCAAACTAGAAATATTTTGAAAATCTATCTGCACTTACCCCATTTATACTCATGATTTCTCAGCATTTTGGTCCCATCTCTTGGACCAGACTAAACATCTTTCTTATCCCCTTGCTTTCCCTGGGAGACAGTCACTCTATTTATTTCACCCGCCTCTCTGTGCCTTCATTTACTAGATGTCCAGTAGTGCTAGGCAGTCTGCTAACCTCTGATGAACAGGGCACATGGACCCTGTCCGAGGGCACACGGTGGATACCAATGCCATCACAAGTTCTGGGAACAGGTTTGAAGCAAGTATACCAATACTGATGAATACACTGTGCAAGCTGGAAAAGTGATACTTGAGCTGAGGATTGTTCAAATGATTAGGAATTCACTAGAAGGGAAGGGGGCCCAGGTAGTGAGTACAGATGAGTCCCAGAAGCAGGAGGCAGAAGGAGGATGGAGGTGTGCCTGGGGAGCTGCTGATGGTTCTGTGTGGTTGAAATGTGTATAGGTCTTTGTGTGTGTGTGTGTGTGTGTGTGTGTGTGTGTGTGTGTAGCACACGATGGGCAAGGAAGCAGAGAGGGAAGAAGGAAATCACAGATGTGCTGGAAAAGAATACTAGAGCCAAATTGTAAAGGGCCTTGTGTGCTGTGTGCTGGAGCTTAACCTGTATTCTTTGGGCCATGTCGAATCACATTAAATGTGACCAAGCAGGGAGCTGTGGCATGTGTCTGTGGTCCATCCCGTACTAGGGAGGCTTGCTTGAGCCCAGGAGTTCGGGGGCGCAGTGAGCCATGACCATACCTGTGAATATCCACTGCACTCCAGCCTGGGCCATGGGCCATGTAGTGAGACCCCATCTCTTAAAAAAAAAAAAAAAAAAAAGACAGACCAGAACTGTACTTCAGAAAGGAAATTCTGTGAGGTGGAGAAACAGAATGAAGAGGAGCTAATTGATTTGAGGGAGACTTACGAGGTGTAATTGATAGGACATCACTGTCAGTTTAAATGTGAATTTTGATAAAGAAAAGTTGCACAAGCCATTTTCCTTCCTCTCTTCAATAATGGGAAGGTGTTTTCACCTAGAAGAAGCAGGGCATTGCTCTTATTTCAGGGACTAAACTTGAAAACCATCTGGAAAGTCACGGGAGAACTGTACTGTCCATAGGAGCAGGAACTAGAGGAAGATACCCGATGGATTATGTAAGCAAAATCCTAGAGCACACAAGTGGAGGGTGACCTGAATTTAGGTAGAACCGGTCAGATGAGATTCAGTCACAGGATTCTTGAGTTTCAGTTTGAGAAGCACACACTGTAATTCTAGCCCTGAAGGTCTTTCATGTGTAATTTGATCCCCTCCTGCCAACCTGAACCATGAAGTCCACAAACCCATGTGTTCCTGGACTGCTGGGCTTTCTCCCATGCATTTCCCTTTCAGAAGTGAGTAGCTTTAGGGAATGGTGGTTCTTCTCTGCTCCAGAGACAGTGTGGGTTTTTTTTTTTTCTTTTTTTTTTTTTTTGAGACAGAGTCTCACTCTGTTGCCCAGGCTGGAGTGCAGTGGCACTATCTCAGCTCACTGCAACCTCTGCCTCCCAGGCTCAAGCAATCCTCCTACCTCAGCCTCCCTAGTAGCTGGGACTACAGACAAGCGCTGCCATGTCCAGCTAATTTTTTGTGTGTGTTTTTGGTAGAGACCGGGTTTCGTTATGTTTCCCAGGCAGGTCTGGAACTCCTGAGCTCAAGTGAACTGCTCACCTTGGCCTCCTAAAGTGCCGGGATTACTGGCGCCTGGCCTAGTCTATAGAATTTTAAGAGGTTAAAGCCTCTTCTTAATAAATGTCCCCCAACCCCTCCAAAACAACAAACAAACCAATTCTCATAACAGTAGGTATCTAAGGTAATTCTTACCTTCAGACTAAAGATTATCTTTGTCAGCATATTTCTAACATTTTTACTTATATAAGGCAAAAAGTATTTTATACTTTTTCTTTATCATGTAGGCTACTCAGACTTTTCCAACATTGAGTTATTGCTTGATTTTTTATCTTTTTTAAATTGCCACAGGTTGGAATCTTTTCCTTCATTTTCCTTTCCTTGCATTTTTTCCCTTTGGCTTTTTCTTTTTGCTCAGAGCAATGATCATGCTTAGAAAGGAGGTATCTGCTTTACATTTCATTATACTAGCCATAAAGTCACGTCTTAAGTTATTCTAAAAGGAACTAATGTTGTAATATGTTCTTTTTTTCTCTCAAATGTAATGGTGTCCAGACTGTCTTCTATGACATACCCGAAAAAAAAATTCCATCCTTAGCTACTTTTTGTTTATATTAAATTCTTTAGCAACTGTTCTCCAGAAAGCATTCTTTATTTTGTTCAGGTATACACTGAATATCCTCGAAGAAATTGGTGGTGGCCAGAAGGTCAATGATGACATTATTGTCAACTGGGTGAATGAAACATTGAGGGAAGCAAAGAAAAGTTCATCCATCTCTAGTTTCAAGGTAAAATTCTTTGTCTTCTGCTAGAGGCCATCTGAGCTCTATGCCTATCTGTATTGTTTTCATTATGTGTTCAAGTGACCTTCAGTGGTAGGTATTAGAGGCTCCCCCTCCCATTTCAATTTTGCTTAAATGACTCGTTATTGTTTTGATGTTCATCAGCCATTTCATTAATGAATTTCTCAATACTTTCTCCCATAAGTTAATCATAAAAACCCATCAGTAAAAAAAATTTCAACTTTTATTTTGGATTTAGGGGGTACATGTGCAGATTTGTTACATGGGTATATTGAGTGATGCTGAGGTTTGGGGTACAAATAAATCCACCAGCGAGGTATGGAGCATCGTACCCAACAGGCAGTTTTCTAGCCCTTGTCCTCCTCCCTCCCTCCCCATTCACCTAGTTTCTACTGTCTATTTTTAATTTTAATTTTTATATTTTTAATTTTAATTTATTTTTTAATATTTTTTATTATTTATGTTTACTTTTCATATCTGTTTTTTGTGACAAGGTCTCACTCTGTCACCCAGGCTGGGGTACAGTGGCATGATTGTGGCTCACTGCAGCCTCAACCTCCTGGGCTCAAGTGATCCTCCTGCCTCAGCCTCCTGAGGAGCTGGGACTACAGGTGCACACTACCATGCCCAGCAATTTTTGTTTGTTTGTTTGGAAATGAGGTCTCACTATGTGGCCCAGGCTGGTCTTAAATTCCTGGCCTCCAGAGATCCTCCTGCTTCAGCCTCCCAAAGTGCTTTGGGATTATAGGCGTGAGCCACCATGCCTGGCTTATTCCCATCTTTATGTCCATGTGTACTCAGTGCTTAGTTCCCACTTAAAATCCATGATTTTAAAAGCAAGATTTTAGGCATTGTTCTTTCAAAGTAATATAAACTATGATAGTATTCGTAAAATGTGGGCACCTCCATGATTCAGATTAATATTATAATGGTGACATGTAAAATGCTCAAAGATCTCCCTTGTGATGTTTTTTGTAAAAAAGCAGTTGTGTACTTCTATCTAAATCTCATTTTTATTAATAGCAGCATTTTATTAAATTTCTTGACTCATGTTTCATGCATTAACTGGATTCCTCCTCAAAGGACGTGTGCACTTGATCCACATCATCATAATGCCTGTGCCATCTTAACTACATTTTTCTAGCTTGAAGGTCAGGATTAGGGGGAGGAACACCTTCCGAGTTGTATTAACAGGGTTGGTGAGGTGGTTCGTCATGATATCCATCCTGTGTTTCAAAATCAAGAAAAAATGAAAATCTCTTTCCACAAGCAGTAGCAGAAGATATTGTCAGGGCAGGGCTGTCGCAGGAGTGTCCACCTGCTGTGAGCTCATCACAGATAACCGTCACCTCTGCTCTATCTCCAGCCTACTGTTCAGTCTGGAGAGCTGAGCAGAGTTAGGAGTGGATGCTGGTCACTGATGCAAGCAGATTCTTCCAGAAAGAGATTTGGAAAGGCGGCAAGCAGATTCTTCCAGAAAGAGATTTGGAAAGGCAGTAAAGAAAAGCAAAGTTGAAAGGAGCTCTAGATATTGAATGGGCTCTGGCTACCAGGGGCTCCTTGTTCATGTCTTAGGGCATCTTCGCTGACATTGTGAAGCTGGCTTTACTGTTTTCCTCATTTTATAGGTGAGGACATCAAAGCTCAAGTAACTTCCTAAGAGTATGGCTAGTAATTGTATGTGATGGTCCACAAATGGGAGGAAAATGCCTTTTACCTGTGGGGTGAGGCTGTAGAGTGTAGTGTATCTATAGGTCACTTAGCTGTTAATATGAAGTGGCCAGTTACATAGCCCAGGGGTGCTTCTCTCCGTAAAATAGCTGCTGCTCCAGCCCATTACATTAGGCTGTGGCTTCTGGGGTGTTCTTATGGGGACAAGGTTTGACAAGCGATGCTGGGGTTCACTATTAGAAAGGTTTGGCAATTCTTTTGCTCCTTGTAACACTCGGGGCTCATTTTCTCCTGTCTTCTTAGTAAGTTGTTGCAGAATTGATTAAGTAAAAGAGGCCACATAATGTACTGAAAGAAATGTCATACTAGCCCCACATTCCTTTTATGTGAAGCCCTTTTAAAAATGAACACAACCCACTCTTTAAAAAAAAAAAAAAAAGATTCAGAGAGTACATTTGCAGGTTTGTTACAAGGGTATATTGTGTGATGCTGAGGTTTGGGTTTCCATTGAACCAGTCACCCAAATAGTGAGCATAGTGCTGAACAGGTGGTTTTTCACCTTTAACCCACTTCCACCCTCCCCCTGCTTGTATTTATCAATGTCTATTGTTCCTACCTTTATGTCCATACATACTCAATGTTTAGCTTCCTCTTATAAGTGAATAGATGCAGTATTTGGTTTTCTGTTACTGTATTAATTCACTTAGGATAATGGCCTCCAGCTGCATCCATGTTGCTGCAAATAACATGATTTTATTCTCTTTTGTGGCTGCATAGTATTCCATGGTGTATATGTACCACATTTTCTCTATCTAGTTCATTGTTGATGGGCACCTAGGTTGATTCCATATCTTTGCTATTATGAATAGTGCTGCGATGAACACAAGCATGCAGGTGTCTTTTTGGAAGAATAATTTATTTTCCTTTGAGTATGTACCCAATATTGGGATTGCTGGTTCAAATGGTAATTTTATTTTTAGTTCTTTGAGAAAACTCCAAACTGCTTTCCACAGGGGCTGAACTAATTTACATTCCCACCAACAGTGTGTAATCATTCCCTTTTCTCCACAACCTCACTGGCATCTGTTATTTTTTGACTTTTTAGTAATAGCCCTTCTGAATGGTGTGCAGTGGTATCTCATTGTGGTTTTGGTCCTCATTTCTGTGATGATTAGTGATGCCGAGCATTTTTGCATTTTTTCATATGCTTGACACAATCCACTATTTTAACTTTACGTCTTTCTCTAGTTGTGCTAACTTCCTTCCATTTATTATTTGAGAATGACTACCTGCTGTTGGTAGACGGTGGGTTTTCTGGGAAGTTACTGATGCTCCTACAGAAACTACAGTTTATTTGAAACACTATGTGGAATACTGCTGCATTTCCCAGACCAGGCTGTATATATTATATATTTAGGAAGAAAAAGCCACCCACTTCCTTTGAGCTGAATGGGAGTAACTTTGGGACACGTTGATGAAACCCTCCCTGTGTCTCTGCATAGGACCCGAAGATTAGTACAAGTCTGCCTGTTCTGGACCTCATCGATGCCATCCAACCAGGTTCCATTAACTATGACCTTCTGAAGACAGAAAATCTGAATGATGATGAGAAACTCAACAATGCAAAGTACGTAAATAAAAATAAACCTCAGATTGGGAGGGAAGGACCCAACTGGCAGCTGGATGGTTGTAAAGTCTAATGCTCATGCCTTTATACAAACATTTCATTTTCACTATCCGTGCTTTTCCTTCTCATGACTTTCTGCAGTCTCATCATCACTGTTTTGGATATGGGACAATAGTAGTTTAAAACTTCTAGTGCCAGAATGGGAGCAAGACAAAAAAAAAAAAACAACCCAATAATGAGAGTATTCTTGTAATTGATAAGCAAGCCTATAGTTTCATAAAACCAATTTCCTAACCAAATGCTCCATTCATGAATATTCATGGATAAGAATGCACAGGGGTAGGGTTCCACAGCAGAGCCTTTGCCAGTGTGAAAGCCACTGTCTTGTGTTTTACCATTCAGGTCACCTGCCAAATGATTCCTCTAGAGTGAGTATCAGCATATTACAGTTTCTGAGCCAGATCTGCCCTGTTGTCTGCTTTTCTAAACAAAGTTTTATTGAAACAGAGCCTATTCATTTGCATCTTGTCTATAGCTGCTTCCCTGCTATAACAGCAGAGTTGCATAGTTGCAACAAAGCCTAAGATGTTTACCATCCAGTCTTTTGCAAAAAAAGTTAATGAACATCTGCTCCAGACAGGTGCTTTTCTCAGATCAGATTCCGTTAGTTTCCTTGGGCTGCCACAACGAAGTACTGCACAAACTGGGCAGCAGAAGTTTCTTCTCTCACAGTTATAGGAGCTAGAGGTTTGCAATCAAGATGTTGGCAGGATTGGTTTCTTCTGAGGGAGAATCTGCCCCATGCCAATCTCTGCCTCCATCTTCACATGGCATTCTTCTTGCGTGTCTGTGACTTCACACGGCTGTCTTCCCGCTTTGTGTTTCTCTGCGACACTTCTTTTCTTAGAAAGACACCAGTCCTACTGGATTAAGGTCCCACCCAACTCCAGCATGACCTCGTCTTAACTACTTACATCTGCAGCAACCCTCTTTCCAACTAGGGTCATACTCTGAGGTGCTGGGGGTTAAGACTTCAGCATATGAATTTCGAAGAGACACAATTCAGCTCATACCACAGGTCTAGAAGATACAAGTATCTAGTGCCCGGCATCCCTGCTTTATAATCCCAACAGAGCCCTTCTCTCTGTTCCCAGTTTGGGAAAGTGGGAACCTGTGCTCTCGGGATGCCAAAGTTTAACACAATTTAATGGAGAGAAATAAATAATTAAACTAAAATTACAATAGATTGTGATGAGAGGTGTGGAAGGGACAGTATGAGGCATCCCTGAAGGGATAGGAAGGGGACTAGAGCTCTTTAGAGCAAATAGCAGCTCAGCTGAGCTCAACTGAAAAGACAAGTAAGAAGGAAGTAGACAGGTGAAGGAGAGAGGAAGAATGTTCCAGGCAGAAGGAAAAACACATATGAAGACCCAGAAATTGTAAAAAGCCTTCAGCCCAGATGTTCAAGGGGAGTGTGATTAGGTTTAAGAAACTTGCCAAGGCCATACAGTTTTTCAGTTGTGCAGCTGAGATTCAAAGTCCAACTTCAGAGCCCAGACCCCTAAGCACTCTCCTGTGAGGGCGAGATACAAAATTACTTAGAAAAAGGGGTGAAAGAAATTACACAAAATGCGAAGAATGGTTATGTCATGGTGGCAAGATTGTGTGTGATTTTGTTTGAAGCTCCCTTTTAATTTTCAGACCGTTTTCCCTCTGTGTTTTATAATGGGGAAAAATTAATTTTACTTTGTTAATAATTAATATGGAAGAAGTTATTGAGAGAGAGACAAGGAGAAAAAATGGGACCACTCATGCCTGATGCTCTTAATTTAATTTGATCAATAAAGTAAAAGTAAAGTAATTTTAGGAGAGCAGGAGGTAGTAAATGTGGGCTTGGGTAGAGTGAAGAGTGTCTGGTGTAACCATAGTAAGAGGTCACTAGATAATAAACGAGGTGAATAAAAGAACTGCCAGGTAGTAGTGTGGGCTCATTTGAAAATAAATTACAATTAATGAAATTTATCTTCATATATCTACAAATAGAGCAAAAATGTTCTGATGCAGCTATTATCATTCTATGTGAAAATATGGAATATAAATCTCTGGCTACTCTATATTATAGTACCATAAATAAGTACAAATATATGTGGGCAAGAATTGGAATGGAACAAAGAATAAAAAAATTGATGTGTAAGGCTAGGATTTTTTTTTTTTCTGAGACGGAGTCTCACTTTGTTGCCCAGGCTGGACTACAGTGGCACGATCTTGGCTCACTGCAGCCTCCGCCTCCCGGGTTCAAGCGATTCTCCTGCCTCAGCCTCCTGAGTAGCTGGGACTACAGGCGCACGCCACCACGCCTGGCTAATTTTTTGTATTTTTAGTAGAGATGGGGTTTCACCATGTTGGCCAGGATGGTCTCGATCTCCTGACCTTGTGATCCACCCGCCTCGGCCACCCGAAGTGTTGGGATTACAGGCGTGAGCCACCGCGCCTGGCCAAGGTCAGGATATTATACATTTTTCCTCTTTTGTTCCTTGTCAAAATGTTACTGTAGTTGAAATGTAGTCTGCAAACTTTTCCTAGCACACATGTTTATTCAGTTCTGTGACTCTTTCTGCTATGCTGCTATGTAGCCCAAGAGAATACTCCTGGTGTGAGTATCAAAAGTGGCAGCACGTGCTGTAGTGGCTCACACCTGTAATCCCAGTGCTTTGGGAGGCTGAGGCAAGAGCTTCTCTTGAGGCCAGGAGTTCAAGCCCAGCCTGGGCAACATAGTGAGACCCCTGTCTCTACAAAAAAAAAAAAAAAAACTTAACTTAAAAAAAAGGCAGGAGCTGAAGAGGTCTCCAAGGACAAATAATACACTTGATAATGATCACGAGACTAGCCAGCAAGTCTGATGCTTTGTCAGAATCTTTGGTTGAGCCAAAATTTGTCCACAAAAGTGTGAGGATGCTGGTGACTGACTCCAGCCACTGCAGGAGTGAGTTCTGTCCTGACTATGGAACGACTGTGACTGTGACCCTCCAGGGTCCCATTCGTGTTGTGTTTCTCAGGCTCTCCTTATTTTTCCTCTTTTCTCCCTTTTAGATATGCCATCTCTATGGCCCGAAAAATTGGAGCAAGAGTGTATGCCCTGCCAGAAGACCTGGTTGAAGTGAACCCCAAAATGGTCATGACCGTGTTTGCCTGCCTCATGGGGAAAGGAATGAAGAGGGTGTGAGGCCCAATGGGGCTGGGTGGGAGGCGGTGCACTCACTCCTGACTGCCCGGCACAGATGCTCCAGGGATGATTCAAGCCATTCCAAAGTTCAACTTGGTGACACTCTATAAGATTCCAAAAAGCACATATTAGTGCAGCCAAGTAGCCTCTCCTGTATTTAACAAAAAGTGCTTCATTCTTTGCAGGAGGCCCAACCTCCTATATATAGGTTTCTATTCTTGATTTATTTGCTTCTTCGAAAATCTAGAGGAAAAGAAAGAAGTTATTTTCCAGGTACCCTTCTCGCTTTTGCCATTAGCCAAGGATAGAAGCTGCAGTGGTATTAATTTTGATATAATCTTTCAAACCAGCTTCATGTGGCTTCCCTTTTCTTTGTTCAAGATGAGGGCCAGGAGGGGAAACATCACACCTGCCCTAAACCCTGTTCCTGGAGGTCAGCATTTGATCTGTTGCAAGCCCCTCTTTCTGTCCCCTCTTCCTACCCTGCCTCCCTTGACTTTGCTCCTCACACTTTTGGAACCATGCCTTCCGGGGGGGCCCATCTCTTCTGGCCGTCCTTGTCTCTGGGCCACTTGGAGTGTGTGATAAATCAGTCAAGCTGTTGAAGTCTCAGGAGTCTCTGGTAGCCTGCAGAAGTAAGCCTCATCATCAGAGCCTTTCCTCAAAACTGGAGTCCCAAATGTCATCAGGTTTTGTTTTTTTTCAGCCACTAAGAACCCCTCTGCTTTTAACTCTAGAATTTGGGCTTGGACCAGATCTAACATCTTGAATACTCTGCCCTCTAGAGCCTTCAGCCTTAATGGAAGGTTGGATCCAAGGAGGGTGTAATGGAGCATCAAGCCACTCGGCGGCAGCATGGAGCTATAACTAAGCATCCTTTAGGGTTCTGCCTCTCCAGGCATTTAGCCCTCACATTAGATCTAGTTACTGTGGTATGGCTAATACCTGTCAACATTTGGAGGCAATCCTACCTTGCTTTTGCTTCTAGAGCTTAGCATATCTGATTGTTGTCAGGCCATATTATCAATGTTTACTTTTTTGGTACTATAAAAGCTTTCTGCCACCCCTAAACTCCAGGGGGGACAATATGTGCCAATCAATAGCACCCCTACTCACATACACACACACCTAGCCAGCTGTCAAGGGCAGAATGAATCTATGCTGGATAAGAAATGGTGGAACTGCGTTATGAAGAGCTAATTTACTGGACAAAGAATTCCAAAGCAAAACCAGAACAGTATGAATTTGAGCAGGTCTCATAGGTTGAGCAATTTCCCCCTAAACCAACTGAAGGCTAAAAAGCAACAGGCCATTGTGAACCAATGCAAGACGCCCTCTATCATGGTGAAAAGCTCCATCAATGAGGTATCTTCTTTAGTGGTGGTATGTAATGGAACTTAGCCATTTTTCAAAGCAATTGAAATGCATTGCTCTGGATCTGTTCCTTGGCAGTGGACTCAGAAAGCCAACATGTGGCTCCTCCCAGCCCATAACCAGTATTTTTGCTGCTTCTGAATACAAATTGGTTGGTTTTGACTTCAGATTGAACTTACTGTAGCCTCAGATGATTTCCCCCCTCCGCCTCCAGGAAGAAAGAATGTTACTGCCTTAATAAAAAATGAAAAGAGAATGATGCTCAAAATCTTTCCAAATAAAATGTTCCCTATATTAGGTGTCTCTGGATGTTTCATTTTGAAAGTTTGCTGACAGTGTGCTATAAATCGTTCATTCATTCATTCCTCCAACACGTTCGAGTGCCTAGTATGTGCAAGGCACAGTGCAAGGTTTTAGGAATGTGCCTATGAACTAAACAGGCACTGTGCTCAGCTGATGCCTGTCTTAGGAAAGACGGAAGTTAAACAATTAAAATAACAGATGTGACGAGTGATAAAAAGAAGGGCAGGGTGAGACATGAGTTTATGACAGGAAACAGTCTGAGGAGAAATAGTTTAGCTAAAAACTGAAGAATAAATTTCCGTTAGGCAAAGCAGGGAATAAAATTAAAGCTGAGAGCCAAACTCAGAAATACACTGAACTTGTAGGAGTGAAGAGGTGTGATACCTTTCCTCACCTATCATAAGAGTCACGGCCAATACTATGACAAAAGATGGGTAACAAGAGAAAAGGGTAACATATTTCTTTCATCAAAGTTTTACATGACATGGGAGCTTTTAGAAATGAAAACCCAAAGATCCAAGGAAAACTGTTCATTTTTATGCTTAGATTTAATGCAGAATGAACGGCCAGGCAGAAATGTGATTGGGCAAAAGGCTGTGATCTAAGGCTAATAAATGGAAGGGGAAGCCCAGCAAGGCCTGTGTGTTCCGATTCTTCTTGGCTGCAGTCTGTAGCATTTTTTCCTCCAGGGATCAGGGCAGGACCCCCCTGGAATGAGGGTCTTATTACCTACTATCAGGCAAGGTAGGTCAGAGAATTTCTTTACCGTCACTGTCTACACAGAAAGGCAGGGGAAGGTTAGAGTAATTTTTCTAGGGTTTTATGGCTTGCTTTGGGGGAAAGGGGTTCTAGTTTCTATGACCCTCCTTGAGAAAGAGGAATTCTGCTTTCTGCGAGTTGCTTCAGGGGAGAAAGAAGAGGAGGAGACAGGAGGGCAGGAGAAGATCGGAGAGGGAGACCTTGTTTCTGAGGTTTCCTTGGAGGCTTTCCAGTCTCCTTTAGTTCAAAGTACTCTGCACACCAAAGTGCCACACTTTGGGGTTTCATTTTTTTCTGAGCCCCAACAAACCCGATCATAAACCAAAGTCAGACTTGGGGATTGGTGCAAAACAATGTCCAGACTGATTCGAGGAGGAATCTTTGGGGTGAGCAGCGCCCGAGATCTCCTCTCCAGCTTGGCGGGGCCTTACTTGGGAAGAAGTGGGGGTGCACTGCGGGGATGCAGAGGAGTTCTGCTGCAGCCAACTTCCTCAGTTAGGCTGCTGTGACAGAGAAGCTGGCCGTCGATTTGGCATGATCACGCTTTGACCTGCAGAGGAGCCACCCACCCACACAGCAGATGGGAAGCTGGGCTTTTGTGCCTAAGCTGTGTGTCCGGGCTTTACCAGCAACTTCTTCTTGGAGGTAGCTCCTTCCTGGCCTAAACACTGCTGCACCTTCTATACTTAGGAGGTCACTCTGTTCCCAACATATCAAGAGGCTATAGATATTGTTTCTTTCTATTTGTACTAGACTGCACTGAAATTCCCCTCCTAATCAGCAACCACTGTTAACAATTTCTTTTGTATCCTAGAAATATTCTGTGCACATATCACACCCACACATCCTTTTTATAACAAATATCAGCATACCATAAACATCACTCTTTATTCCATTTTTTTTTTTACTTAATACCGTGTCTCGGATGCTGTTTCATATTGGTGCATACAGACCTACTTCAATCTTTCCAACAGGTACATGGTCTTCTACTATATAGGCATACCAAACTCCATTTAACCAGTGGTCTCTAAATAGATATTTAAGTTGTTTTAATCTTCTGCCCCGAAAATAAGGCCACAATGGATAATATTATACCCACTTCTTGAGCACAGAATGTTAATTTTAATTCAACAGGTACTTATCAAGTTCCTTCTCTAGCAAAAATATAGCACATTGGGTAGTCAGACATGGATCCTCTTAAGTTTCCTCAAGTTATTTTATTAAAAACCCTAAGCTGGGACAGATGCTTTAGCCAATCCAAACTTCTCTGTTTTATGTCTAAAGAAGCGTGTTAACCAGCACGCATGCACACATAAACCATAATAAAAAGCAGAATGTGATCAATGCGATAACAAATTTCTAAATTAAATATCATGGGACCTCAGGGAAAAAATTAATTCTGAATATAGGATCAACAAAAGTTTTTGGAAGAATTCAGTTGTGATGAATGAGAAGTGGGCAGGAACTGGGCCTTACTCTTGCTGTTGTTCCCTACAGAACCAGGGACATTTCTAGATTTTTAGTAAGAGTTTCGTAAGTTTTAAAAAATTGATTTATATTAGTTATAAACAAATGTTTCCTGAATGTAGGAAATGCTGAACAGAAAGAAGTAATTGTGAGATAAGTTGTGAAATAGACCTACCTGCGGAGTATTTAGAATAGAATGGATTCCTGTCTGGAAATTATGACATCTGGGTTGGTCTGATGCAATGCATTGGATTATATGACCTTTTAAAGTATCAGTCAACTTAGTGATTTTGTTCACCTAGACTCACATTCACACACACACACACACACACACACACACACACACACACACACACACAGCCCTAGTCTGTCCCTGGGAGCACAGTTGTGATCTCCATTGTAAAGACCGGGTAAACTCTTAGCCTGCCTTAGATCAGCCTATTTCAGACTGAGGCTTAAGGCACGGGACATTTCCATGTGCTCTCAGTCCTTGGGATGAGCCCTGGGCCCACCTTCCTTACATTTACTATGCCTGTCGTCACTGACCTCTGTTCTTTGTTCCACCCAGTGTGCAGATGGGCTTGCAGTAAACGCCAGCAGTGCTATCTTCGTGAACTTGGCATTGTTTTGCCCAGTACGTTCCTGCCAATTTCATGATCCAGAAAGCAGAGCTGATGCTCAGAACAAGTTAGAGGCATTGACCGATCCTCTTATGCAATCTAGTCACTTTGACAGTTTCCTAATAAAATTCCTGTAATTAAATTTTAAGCTGTCAAAGAGGGCTCTTACTCAGTATGCTTTCTCCCTATTTCTGAAAGACAGTTTACCAACTGAGCCTGTGAATGAGTGACAAAAAGAAAACTGCGTAAATGTTTTCTCATGCCTAACATCTACATATATTTAATAACCCACATCAGGCCAGGGACAAAAACAGGTAACCTAGTCATTGCCCAGCATGTCACCATTAACAACTCAGAGACAGGTCAGTAAAATGACAGGAATTTTTTATTTTATTTGGCAAGTTGGAATTGGAGAGTTCCACTTAAACATATATTTTCGTTAATGGAAATCTAATATACATCATTTAGAGAATTAGAATGCACACAAACACTGAATTCTGAAGGTATACGGAAGCTAACATAAAAACTGTTGATTCAGCAGTCATTTCTGGACTTGTCTACACCATGGGTCCACTGTTATAAGTCGCAATGTTCAAACCTGCTTGCTCTAAGTGTAGTGCTCAGACCGGGGGCATCTAGGAGCCGGTTAGAAGTGCTGAATCTCAGCCCTTACCCCAGACGTACTGAATCAGAATCTGCATTTTAATAAGATTCCTACGCACATTAAAGTTTGAGAAATGCTGTCCTAGAAGAATAAAGGTCTCGTTAAAAGATCTACAGTTGATGGAAGGCTAAATTAGGCTCTTTTAAATTAAATTACACTTTCTCACTTACACTGGACTCGAGAGAGTGAAATAACTTCCCATGAATGTTTCCCGATCATCAGTATTCACTTGATGTGGCCAGAGTGGCTCTTCCCTCTGTTTGGGTACTTCCTCCACCACCCAGCTTTGCCCTTTGCTGTGCCCCTTCCCTTGGTTTCCCCCTTCCAGGTGGCACTCGCTCTAAGAAGCTGATCTTCTGGTCCTGCTGGCACCTGCATTGTGTCTCTTGACATGATCTCTTGCCAGCTGCCCAGGGCTGCCTCTTTAATAGATCTGACCCAGTTTGTGCCACGTCACTCAAGTCTTCCCTCTTATCCCTCCACCGCCTGTCAAACTGGCTTTTCTCCCACCATGCCTGGAGCAATCTCTCTATGACTTCCAGTGACAGGGAACTCATTAAATAGTAAACCATTACTATTCCAAGGCCCTGCAGTGTCTACTCTTAACCCCCTAAGCAGGCACTTTGCAATGACTTTCTGGGGTTACAATAGCCTCATTGTTAAGTCTGCCAAATGCCTAATAACAAGGAGAAAGAGGAAAATGTCTTCCAAGTAGAGCGACTATCATATGCAGTGGTCCTGAGGATGAATGAAACTTGATATCTTTGAGGAACTGAAAGACAAGGATAACTGATGGGAAGCAAGAACGGCCATATCATAAGAAGCAGCGGTACTTGCAAAAAGCTTAGGAATCACCTGGGGAGCTTATTAAAACACATTTTCCAGATCTCACCTTGAGACTCAGTGCCTATAGGGCTGGTGAACCTAGCAATCTGCATTTCCCACAAACATCCAAGGAGATTCTGCAGCCTGTGACTTACAGACCATACTTCAAGAGGAACTGGTGTAGACCAGCTGTTCTCAATCCTGACTGCACATTGGAATTATCTCAGGAGTTTTAATCAATGCTGATGTCTATACTCCTCCCTACAAGAGTCTGACGTAATGATCAGATGTGCAGCCAAGGCAGCTGGGTTTTTAAAAGATCCCCAGATGACTCTAATGTGCAGCCAGGTTTGAGAAATGTTGATCTATAGCCTGGAGTACTGCGCCAAAGAGCAGGCACAGGTGGAACATCTTAACAGTTGGGCAGAACAATAACAGGCACTGTTGATTCAGAAAGTAGGAATGAAGGCATGGACACATTGCACAGGTAAGCTTTGCTTTCTTCACAATTTAGCCATCCAATCAACAGGCATTTGCCTGTCTGGGTACCCAGTAACCCTCTTAAGTGCCACAGGCCTCAGGCTTAGTCTTGCAAGCCAAAGCAAGGTCATTAGTACCTGGGATTGAGTTCTCTGCGTTCAGGCCTCAAATCCCCTTTTTAAATGGCTTCTGGGCTAGCCTCATCTTTCCTCCCCCTTAGAAATACAGGAGGCCAGATACCCCAAGACACTGTTTAAATTATAAGACTGGTTCACTTTTCATGAATAAACATGAGAGATAATGTGTGAAGGGGAAAAACATTTACCAATCATGCGTCTTCAAAACCTTCCAAGATTATGCAGCTTTAATGGCTGAATGATTTTGAAAGAAAAACTTGTAAATGGAGCTGCACCTGAACTCATAATAAAAAGGCATCAGATTAATTGAGTCTCAGAGCTTCCCTAACAATAAGCCTGACCTGCATATCCAAGTTGTGGCCGGCCAAGGCCAAGAGGGCATTTGCCCTTAGTCTCAGGCTGCTCCAGTTTGACAGAAAGTCAAGGCAGGCCACTCCTGACAGGGTACACTAATAAGGACAGAGGGTTAGGGCACTTCAAGAAATACTTGCCATATTATTTTTGCTACTCATTCTTCTAAATTGGCTGGAGAACAAGTTAGCTGGGTCCTAGGGTCCACGATCCAGTCAGATAGATCGGCCAGAACTAGATGGCCTCTTGAGGTGGTGACTCATCACCTAACTCTCAGAATGCAGCAGAGGAAGACTAGCTGTTCCCAAGATCCTGATGAACTAGATAAGCCTCCTGCAGAGAACACAGGAGGCTTCCTGGCTTCCTGCCAACTCCCTTCCTGGTTTATCTTTTTCATGTGAATTTTAATATATTGAGAACCTGCTTTTGCCAGTTAGTTTAAATGTTACCCCATTCAATCCTCACAACAGCCCTCTGAGGTAGGTTACAGAAGAAGCTGCATTTCCAGAGGCTGAGATTTGCCTAATTACCCAGCTAGGCATGGGATCCGTCGGCTCCAACTTCTGTGTTCTTTTTGCTCCCCAGTAGAGGTGACAGGATCCACAGAGAGGCATCTCAAAGAGGGATAAAGAATGAGAAGAAATTTGTCTTTCCCTCCCTTCCGTTCTTCCTCCCTCCCACCCTTTCTTCCTTCCTTTCTTGCTTCCTTTCCTCATTCTTTTGTTCTTCCATTCTCTATTTGTACATACAATAAAATTCAACTTTTAAGTGTTAAATCTGAGGAATTTTAGCAGGATACAGTTGTGTACCTACCACCACAATCAAAATATAGAATACTTCCACCACTCCAAAACAATTCTGCTGTACCTTTTCAAAGGTTAATCCTCTTTCACCAGCTCTACCCTCTGGCAAAAACCAACCTACTTTCTGTCTCTGTAGTTTTGCCTTTTGTAGGGTGCCATATAGATGGAGCCATACAATATACATCTTTTAGCGCTAGCTAGTTTTATTGGCATCATGCTTTTGAGGTTTTTCCACCTTGTTGCTTGTATCCATGGTCTTGTCCTTTTCACTCTTGAGTAGCATGTCATTGTATGAATGCACCACAATTTGTTTATCCACTCCCCAATTGATGGTCATTTGGATTGTTTCAAGTTTTTTTTTATTGTTATGAATAAAGTTGCCATAAACATTCAGCTTATTGAGCATTCAGCTGCTATGACACTCAGGTCTTTCTGTAGACAAATGTTTTTATATTAGGCAAATATCCAGAAATAGAATTACTGGGATATATGGTAAGTACATGTTTAACTTCATGAGAAATTGCCAGACTGTTTTTCAAAGTGGTTGTACCATTTTGCAACCCCACAAGCAATATATGGGCATTCGAGTTGCTCCACATTCTCACCATCACTTCGTATTCTCAGACTTTTTCATTTTAGTTATTCCAGGAATGTGCAGTAGCAAATTGTGGTTTTAATTTGCATTTTCCCTAACAGCTAATGATGTTGAACATGTGCTTACTGGCCATTTGCATATTTGGTAAAGTATCTGTATAATCTTCTGCCCACTTTATATTGGGTTGTCTTCCTATTCTTAATTTATAGGTGTTCTTTACATATTTTGGATACAAGTCCCTTACCTGATATGTGTTTTGCAATTATTTTCTCTCATCCCATGGCTTATATACTTATTTTCTTAACAGTGTCTTTTAAAGAACAAGATGCTTTTAATGGTAAATTCCAAGTTTTCAATTTTTCACCTGTGATTTGTGCTTTTTGTGTCCTACCTAAAAATTCTTTGCCTAACTCAAGGTCACAAAAATTTTCCGTTTTCTTCTAGAAATTTTATTGTTTTAGCTCTTACCATTGGGTCTGAGATCCATCTTGAGTTATTTATAAGGTTTAAAGTATGGCTCCAGATGATTTCTTTTGCACATGGATATCATATGTTTTCAGCACCATTTGCTAAAAATATCCTTTCCCCCATTGAATTATCCTGTTAACATTGTTGAAAATCAGTTAATTTTATTTGTATGGGTCTATTTCTGGACTCTCTGTTCTGTTCCATTGATTGCTATTTCTGGACTCTATTCGCATGCCAATGCCATATTGTCTTAATTATTATAGCTTCATAACCAGAATATTCAAGTGCCTCAACTTAAAAGAAATATTTTTAGCTACTTTAGGAACTTTGAATTAACTGTTGTGTCAGGGATTTGATTTTACTCTACTTGGAAGCTAACAAGTTAGCCTATACTACTGTTTCATGGAAGCTGGAAAAAAAAAACAAAAACCCTCAAGAATCCTAGGTCTATGGCAAAGAACTCTATTACCCATGGCATGGTAAGCATTATGAGCATTATCATCCACATCAGTTTCCCTTGCTCCCCATCCCCAAGACCCATAGGGTGATGTGACATGGGCCCAGATGGATGCCTGTACATGCAATTGGTTGCATTGCAGAAGAGGTACACTGGACTTGGGGAATTCATCTGTTTTATATCAAGCTGTAAGAAAGCCTGTTCTTTGTCCCAGAGTGAAACATTATCTCATACCTCAAAGTTGCTCTCTGCAAACACAACTGTAAGAAACAAACGTGATAAGAAATGATCAGGGCTTGGTTTCTTAGCCTTCTAAGTAAGATGTGTAGCAAGCAGTACAAGAGACACATGGAGGACGGTTTCCCAACAAAAATTTAGAATAAGCTTTCAAATTTCTATAAAAATGCTCACTTGAATTTTGACTAGGATTATGTTGAGTCTATAGATCAATGTGGGGAGAATTGTCATCCTAACAAAATTGTCTTCTGATCCATGAAAATGGTGTATTTCTTCTTTTACTTAGATCTTAATTTCTCTCAGCCAGTTTTTCTCCTGTACTTTTAAAACTATTTCCCCTACAAAGTTCACACTTTTGATGGCATTTGAATCTTTATTTTCAATTGATTATTGTTATTATATGACAATACAACCAATCAACTGATTTTTGCATACTGATCTTGTCTCCTGCAAATTTGCTAAACTCATTAGTTCAATCCTAGTAACTTTTTTGGGATATTCCTTGAGATTTTCTATGTAAGTGATACTGTCATTTGTGATTAAAAGACAGGTTTACTTATTTCTTTCCAGTCTAGATGCCTTTTTTTTTTCTTGCCATTGTGCACTGGCTAAGATCTTCAATTTAATGTTGAATAGAAGTAGTGAGAGTGGGCACATTTGCTTTGTTAGTGACCTTTCAGAAAAAGCATTTAGCCTCTCTCCATTAAGTTTGATGATGGCTGTAAGCTTTTCATAGATGCTTCCTTTCAGATTGAGGAATTTCCTGACTATTTCTGACTTGCTGAGGGGTTTTATTGTAAATGAATATTGAATTTTGTTAAATGCTTTTAATTCAGATGGGCTTTTAAATTTAATCTGCTAACATGGTGAATTGCATTAATTGGTTTTTGAATATTAAACAAACATTGCATTCTTGTGAAAAATCTTACTTGACCATAATGTATTATTCTTTTGCTATATTACTAAATTAAATTTGTTAAAATGTTGTTAAGCATTTTTGCATCTATATATATGAGGGACATTAGTTTATAGTTTTCTTATTTAAATGCCTTTATCAAGTTTGGTGTCGTGCCAGGGTAATGTAGACCTCATGAAATGAGTTGAGAAATATTTCCTCTTCTTTCACTTTTTGAGAAGATTTTGTGTGGAATTTCCTTCCTTCCTTCCTTCCTTCCTTCCTTCCTTCCTTCCTTCCTTCCTTCCTTCCTTCTTTCCTTCCTCCTTCCTTCCTTCCTTCCTTCCTCCCTTCCTTCCTTTCTTTCTCTCTCTTTTTCGACAGAGTCTTATTCTGTCGCCCAGGCTGGAGTGCAGTGGCATGGTCTCAGCTCACTGCAACCTCCACCTCCCGGGTTCAAGCAATTCTCCTGCCTCAGCTTCCTGAGTAGCTGGGATTACAGGAGCCCGCCACCACGCCCGGCTAATTTTTGTATTTTTAGTAGAGATAGGGTTTCATCATGTTGGCCAGGCTGGTCTCGAACTCCTGACCTCAGGCGATCCATCCGCCTCAGCCTCCCAAAATGCTGGAATTGCAGATGTGAGCCACTGGGCCCGGCCACATTGTTTCTTTCTTAAATGTCTGGTAAAATTCACCAGAGAAGCCATCTAGTCTGGAATTTATTTGAAAGGAGATCTTAAACTATGAATGCAATTACTCTAATAGATACAGGGCTATTCAGGTTATCTATTTCATCTTGAGTGACCTTTGACAGTTTGAATCATTGAAAAAATTTGTACTTTTCACCTAGGTAATGAAATTTATAAGCATAAATTGTTTATAATATTTTCTTATTGTATTTTAGTGTCTGTAGGATTTGTAGGAATGTTCCTACAAATTCATTCCTGATGTTGGTAGTGTGTATATTATTTCTTTTGTTCTTGATGAGTCTGATCAGAGGCCTATATCAATATTATTGCTATTTTCAAATCACCAGTTTTTTTGTTTCTTTGGTTGTATCTATAATTCCCTTTTTTCTACTATATTGATTTCTAATCTTATCTTTATTGTTCCCTTACTTGTTTTGGATTTACTTTGCTTGCTCTTTTTTTAAGTTTCTTGAGGCAGAAGCTTAGGACATTGGTTTAACATCTACTTTTTAAGTATCTAATCCCATACATTTTTCAGTAGGTACTGCTTTAGCTGCATCTCACAAATTTTGATATGTTGTGTTTTAATTTTCAATCAGTTCAAAGTATGTTCTAATTTTTCTAATTATTTTTCATTGTGTCCCATGGACTTTAAAAGAGTATATTATCTAATTTCTATACCACAATAGAAAAACTGTAATTAACCATAATATATTATGTAGTTTCAAATAGCTGGAAGATAATATTGAAGGTTCCCTACACAAAAATTATAGATGTCTGGAATGACTGATATGCTAATATCCATGATCTGATCACTATACTTTATATGTATTGAAACAACACTATGTACTCCACAGATAATACAATTATTTTTCATTGGTTAAAAAACACAATTTTAAAAAATCAAAAATAAAAAATTTCCAAATATTTGGGGATTTTCTATATAATTTTTTGTTTTCTATTTCTAGCTTAATTCCACTGTGGTCAGAGAGCATGCTTTCTGTAATTTTAATCCTTTTAAATTTCTCAGTTTTTTTTGTACATGGCCCAGAATATGATCTGCCTTGGTGAATGTTCCATCTACACTTGAAATATGTATTCTGCCATTGCTGGATAGGATGGTCTATTAATGTCAATTAGGTGATACTGGTTCGTACTGTCCAAACATGCTATATCCTTTCTCATTTTAGGGAAAGTGACGCTATGTAATTTCCATGCCTAAAGCATAAAAGATGAACCTTGCCTGCTAGAATACTTGTTCTTGGAAGCGTCAACCGCTACACGGTTCACATACCTTGAGGTTACCACGCTATGAGGAAGCCTAAATTAGCTCACATTGGAGAGGTCTCAAAGCCAGATAAAACGAAAGCGACATCTGACCAATCCCTAGATTCTCTAAGCCCTCTGCTGTTCTGGCTCCAGCCACTGATCACAACAATATGGGAGACCTTGAGCCAGAATCATTCACCACCTTATCCTCAAATTTCTGACCCAGAGAAACTGTGAGAGATAAAAGATAATTATTGTTATTTCAAGCCACTACGTTTTAGGTATTACACCATAATTAATAGTAATAGTAGTGACGTATTACACCGTAGTAGCAACGGCACCACCACGTTCCTCCTTACTCCGTATAGATAACCTCATCTCTTTCTTAACTAAGAAACTAGAAGTTATCAGCACTAACTTACTCAATGTCCAGACTTCCTCAAATATAAATATATCTGCCTCTATATGCCTTTATATGCATCTGTATGTCCGTCTTTCTCATTTCAGCAAAACAGAGTACCCGGATTCTCTCCTACACCGCTTGTCATCACCCAGTCTTCCCTGCAAGCTCATCTTTCTTCACTTGGGCCTTAATTTTCTGTGCTCCTCAGAGTTTCCATTTTCTCTTCTCATCTCAAACTCCATACTCTTCCAGGCCCATCTCTTCCTATCCTTCTCTCTTTTCTTAGTTTATAGCATAACCATCTACTCAGCTGCCCATGCCAGAAATCAGGAAATCATCTTTCCTTCACTATATTCCTCATTGTCTATATCCAGTCAATCACAAAGTCCCATCGCTGCTAACTCCTTCTTAATTACTCTCATATCCATGTAGGTCTTTTCATTCATGGAGCTAGTATTTTAGTTTGTTCCACCATTCATTTCTTGCCTGCTTTGTGATCAAAGAATTTAACCTAGAAAATTTTTACAGTTAGGAATTTGTTATATTTTTAAATTGTAGCCTTATAGTTTGTGATCAAATTTTGCAATAATTCCACAGAAAATTGGGAAAATTATACATACTCTAAAAACTAAGTTCAATACATGTCTATTAATTTAACTTTGTTATTTATATCATTCAATTTCTGAATTCTTCCAGTTCATCCATGGGAAGCTCAAGCAAGAGAACAAAAGAAGGAAAGAAAATGAGGTCGGGATTTTTATTCTCCCAGCTCCCTTCCTGCAGAATTAATAAAAACTGCCTGAGGGCTGGGTGCAGTGGCTTATGCCTATAATCCCAGCACTTTGGGAGGCCAAGGCAGGAAGATTGCTTGAGCCCAGGATTTTGAGATCAGACTGGGCAACCTGGTGAGAACCTGTCTATAAAAATACAGAAATTAGCCCAGTATGGTGGTGTGTGCTGAGGGTGCAGTGAGTCATGATCACACCACTGCATGACAGCCTAGATGACGGAGCGAGACCCTGTCTAAAGAAAAAAAAGAACTTCCTGAGTCCTTCAATGGTAAGTCACAGCTCCAGCCAGACAGCCCTCCCCTGTGGCTCTGTCACCAGGTTCTGGTCACTCATTCTTTTCCTTTCTCTATCTTTTCAGTGCCCCATGTTACTATTCTTGGGACACTGCACCATACCTTGTAATTTCCCTATACCCTTCCCACATCAATATAAACAATACTTTTATTAAACTCCCCACAAATTAATAACATTGAGTATACCATCTTGCAATGCTCACCAGGGAATCCTCTTAAGTTCAACCTGGCATTCAAACTCACAAGACTTCCATCAGCCTCATTGGCAACAGTTTATTCAGAGGTATGTAAGGTAGAAATCAAAGCTTGATGGCAAGGCACTGTTGGGAGCTCCTCTCCCATGGGAGTAGTTCTTGGAGCAGCCATGCAGCAGCCACACCACTTCCCGGGCTTCTCAAATGATGTTTCAGGTGTGAAGCAACAAGATCCACATCAGGCAGGTGTGAGAATCACCCTGGCCTAGAAGCTCCATGCACCACAGTAGCCAATATCTTGTAATAACTTCATAGACACAGCTTTCAGGGTCCCTATGGAGGCATATGGAGTTACAGGAGTCAGCACACTCAGGGGAACTGAAAGCTATGATGTCCCAATCAGATATGATGTCCCAAATGATTGTCCCAATCATTTATGGTTATCCTGAGTCCAGATGCAATTTATCCAGTAGGAGTTATTTCTACCAAAAGTAATGTTGCCTAGAGACATAGTCGACATTTTACCTTTATCAAGTTATTAGAGGAACAGAGTAAGGAAGATAAGTGAAGGTCAAATTTTTATGCAGAAAGAGGCATCTGTTTCCCATTGAGACGTGAGCTATATATTCCCAATGTCTTATTTTGCCTATCTAAGCCATCCTAGACAAATGGGAGTGTGCTACAGTCTTCTCTTGTGTTTTTATTTATTTCTTCTTGATATTTCTATCATGTTTTGCTTTATATTATAATGGCATTTCTTTTTCTTTTTTTCTTTTTTTTTTCACTGTCTTATGGTGCTGAGGTATTTTTCAACTCATAAAGTTTAATGACTGTTGTGTATTAATTAAATCTGTTGTCAATTCCAATTGATCTTTGTCACACTTTTTGCATTGCATAGCTTAATTTTGCTTTGTCTGATTTAAATAGTGCCATGTTTTTGTTTGTGTTGTTTCATTAATAGACTTTTCTACAGCAGCTTTAGATTTACAGAAAAATTGATTGGAAGATAGAATTCCCACATGTCCCCTCACTCCGCTACACTCACCCACCCCCCAACACACACATAGTTTCTCCTATTATTCACATCTTGTATTAGTGCGATACATTTATAATTCTTGCTAAACCAATATTGATACATTATGATTAACCAAAGTCCATAGTTTGACTAGGGTTCACTGTTTTTTTTTGTTTCTTTTTGAGATGGGGCCTCCCTATATTGCCCAGGCTGGTCTCCAACTCCCGGACTCCAGAGATCCTCCCATCTCAGTCTCCCAAGTATCTGGGACTACAGGCATACACCACCATGCCTGGCCAGGGTTCACTCTTGTGTTGTACATTCTTCGGGTTTTGACAAGTGTATAATGACATGTGTTCATTATTACTATGTCATACAGAGTAGTTTCACTGCTTTAAAAATCCTCTGTGCTCCACCTACTGATTCCTCCCTCCCTCCCACCTGAATCCCTTTTTGAGAATGTCACATAATTAAAATCATATTATATGTAGCCTTTTCAGATGGGCTTCTTTCACTTAGCCACGTGCATTTAAGTTTCCTCCAGGTCTTTCTCTGGCTTGATAGCTCATTTCTTTTTATTTCTTTACCCCAGCATTTGTTTCCGTTTCATTGATATCTCCTTCTACATATCTTCTATTTTTAACTTCTGTGGATCATTTTATTTTAGGTGTATAAGTCATAAAAAGCATAGAGTGGAGTAAAAAGTTATTTGAGAGTTTGACTTTTACTGGAAGGGTTCCTATTTTTTTCCTTGTACATATTCTTGTCTTATGTATTGTGTCTAGTCTTTCTCTTTGGAAAGTGAAGCACCAGAGGTGAGGCTTGGGGCCAAGAAACAACCACTAGAATGAGCAGAGCAAGAGAGAGGAGAGACAGATAGAGGATAGCAAAAGCAACGAGAGAGCAAAACTCAGACCCAAAATGAAGGCGAGTAATGAAGATCACTTAGACAGGTGAATGACTTGGGAAGTGGATTGGAAATCTTGTCAGATTTACACCAATGCAATCCCTTTGTCTTGTTCTCTGGAGGGACATTTTGGAGAAGGAGCTCAAATGCTAGCCCCACCTCTTCCACTCACCACCAAAATTATTTCATTGCCTCCAAAGTATAATTGAACAAATTGATTTTATATTATATATTAATATAAAAGATTAATTTAATGTATTAAATATTAAGATTTAATATTATTTTATATTAAGATTAATATAAAAAGGCAAAGGTAGAAATAAACTAGGAAAAGAGAGAGAAATACAAAGCACTAGAAAGTAAAAGCAATTGAAGATGGACACAGAGAAAAACAAACTACAGGAATACAAATAAAAATAGAGAAGAAAAGAAATATCCTATTTACTGTAATGAAGAGATCCATAGACAAATGCAGGGAGGGAGATTTCCACGTCAAGACAACTCAAAGAGATTATGGTTTAATGAGACTTTCTGCACCTCTCCCCAGTCACACAAAATTGGAGGAAAAGATATAAAAGGACAAAACCCCAAAGACAGCAAATGAGAGACAATCTCAGATACAAGAAATGGAACGTAAATGCAGAGTGGTGGCAGGTGTTGATGGCATGAGACAGGCAGTGGTGGCCACTGTACGTCATGGAGACATACTAGGGTGCTACGGGTAAGCTGACTGCTCAGGGCCAGGGACCAAGCACATTCTTCCCAGCTTGTGGAATCAAAGATCAATAGGCTGGGCGCAGTGGCTCATGCCTGTAATCCCAGCAATTTGGGATTACTCACCTGAGGTCAGGAGTTCGATACCAGCCTGACCAACATGGAGAAATCCTGTCTCTACTAAAAACACAAAATTAGGCAGGCAGGGTGGCACATGCTTGTAATCCCAGCTATTAGGGAGGCTGAGGCAGGAGAATCACTTGAACCCAGGAGGAGGAGGTTGTGGTGAGCCGAGATCGTGCCATTGTACTCCAGCCTGCGCAACAAGAGCGAAACTCCGTCTCAAAAAACAAAACAAAACAAAAAAGCAATAAAAGTTGTGCCAGACTTTTGCTTCCATTAGGATACAGAAAGTTGCAGACAAATGTGGTTCCTACCTTAGTAAGAACAAGCTGGACAACCTCCAAAATCATAATTTTTGCAGCTCATCAGAGAGCTGATGCTGCAAAGGAAACTAATGAACCAAAATTGAGGGAGGGACAGGAGAGCAGAAAAGGTCCTGTCTGAGGCACAGACATGCTGGTCTGCCAAAGTCTGAGAGCAGAGCAGGAAAATTGGAAGCAATTCTGTATTAGTCTAGGTTATCCAGAGAAAGAGAACCAATAGGAGATATATGTATGTATAAATATATGTGTGTTTGTGTGTGTGTGTGTATATATATGTATATAAAGAGATTTATTATAAGTAGTTTGCTCACATGGTTATGAAGCTGAGAATGCCCAGAAACAGCAGGTGACAAGTTGGAGACCCAGAAAAGCAGATGGTCTAAGTTCCAGTTTGAGTATAAGTCTGAAGGCATAAGACTGATATCCCAGCTCAAAGTCAGCCAGGCAGAGAGAAAGAAATCTTTCTTACTCAGCCCATTTTCCTATTCAGGCTTTCAGTGGATTAGATGAAGTCTACCTTCTTTGGGCCTGTTTTATAATCAACTGATTCAAATGCTAATATCATCTAGAAACACTCTCACAGACACATTCAGAAATAATGCTTAACCAATATCTGGGCATCCCATGGCCCAGTCAAATTGATGCATACAATTAACCATCACAAATCTCAAAGGACTCTGAGCCCCAGGCTGAGAACAAGACAGTGGTCATCTGTACTGGGGAAGAGTCAAGAGATCAGAGAGAGATGAACTCTTTGAAGCTCAGAGCCTGCTGACCCTCTTTGAAGCTCAGAGCCTGCTGACGTTTGAGGTCAGGGCAGGAAAACAGAGAGAAAACCCACAATGAACCCAGCCTTACGCTGAACAGGAGACAGTAGCTGCCTGTGGCTACTGGTAGGGAAGAGGAGAGCAGGAGAGCTGAGACCCCTCCTATGGCGCAGGAGCACTGGGCCTGACGATGGGTGCAGGCAGGGCAGGAGAACTAAGACAAACCCTCCAGGCACTCAGATATCAATCCTGGCTAGAGGAAATAATTTGATCTTGCTATAATAATATAACAAATAAAATTTAACAAAAATAACAGCAAAGCCTAGACCCAGCTCAACTGCAGCCTAGATTGGCTCAATCCTTCACACTGGTGGCATGAGAGAAGAAGATATGGGACCTATTCTGGGCTTATCTGCTAGTTACTTTAGTCTATCCTATCCTTTTGTACATAACATCTGTGATTCAATAAAAAATTACAAGTATATGAAAAAGCATAAAAAGTGACCCATCTTCAAAAGAGAAAATGGTCAAAAGAACCAGATGCAGAGATTGCTCAAAGACAATCTTTGTTCATACATGTATGAAAAAATGGGAAATGCAGCAGTGAAAAGTAAACTCTAAAAAAAAATTCAAATAGAAGTGTCAGAAATGAAAAATATATCAGAAATAAAGACTTCTTTCAATGGACTTATCAGCAAACTGGAACTGCTGGGAAAAGAATAAGTGAACTTGAAGCCAGATCAATAGAAAATATCCAAATTGAAGCATAAGGAGAAAAAAGAGATAAGAAATAAAACAGACACACTCTAGTTATTATTGTGGTGAGGAAAGAAATTACTGCAAACTTATGGATGTAGACTCATACGTACAGAGCCAATGGATTTTTCCCAAAGATGGCAAAGCAATCCCATGGGAGAAAGAAAAGTGTTTTCAGGAAATGATGCTAAAACAATTGAATACTTATATGGAAAATTAAAGAACATCAATCCCTCCCTCAAAACATACATAAAAATTAATTTGAGATGGATCATAAACCTAAAAGTCAAAACTATAAAGCTTCAAGAATATCTGCATGATCTTGAGTTAGACAAAGCTCCTTAGACAAGACCCAGAAGGCACTAACCACTAAAGAAAAATTGATAAATTGAACTCAGCAAAATTAAAAACTTTTGCTCTGCAAAAGACATCAATAAAAAATGGGAGAGCCACAAAGTGTCAGAAAATATTGACAATGTATATGTCTGACAAAGGAGTTGTATCCTGAATATATAAATAACTCTCACAAGTTAATAATAAAACGACAACTAAATTTTCCAAAATGGTCAAAAGAATTTGATAGACATTTCTCAAAGGAAGATATATTTACAATACATATATCTGACAAAGGACTGATGTCTAGAAAATGTGAATAACTCCTACAAATCAGTAATAAGACAAACTATCCCAACTAACAACCAGGCAAATGATCTGAACAAACACTTCTATATATATATATATATATATATATATAAAATCTAACTGTACACTTACGATCTGTGCATTTCACTGCATGTACCTTAATACAAAGGAAAAAAATGCTGCTCACTTTTACCTAGGACTGGTTTATAAGTAGCTGCTAGTCAG
Organism: Homo sapiens; assembly: GCF_000001405.40. Classification (NCBI taxonomy): domain Eukaryota; kingdom Metazoa; phylum Chordata; class Mammalia; order Primates; family Hominidae; genus Homo; species Homo sapiens. The sequence continues at coordinate 46,108,044 of NC_000013.11, read as the reverse complement.
TATGAGACAGAATAACTACACCAGGAGTAACTAAGCCAATAATTAAGTCAAGTCATTACTGTTTGCTGACTGGATCTTTGAAATGTGCTCCAAAAACCAGTGTAAGACAGGGCTCTGGAATGGAAGCGCAGGGACTTCTTGGAGGCATGTGCCAAGCAGAGAGAAGTGAGCATAGGGGAAGAGAGAAAGAAATGAAAGACTTCCTACTTGAAGGAAGACTTCCTACTCAAAATGAGCCTGCAGACCAGAGTTCCAAATCACAGAAGAATTCAAATACCAATAAAGGCAGCTAACAAAATCAATACTCAGAACATGAATTCACCCAAACATAATTAACCTCATAAAGCAGTGCAACACTGACTTTAAAATAAGTATCCTGAGGATTCTCAATGAGAGATCTAAAGGAATCATATCGACTAAAAAATTGAAAAAAATCTTAAATGATATTTTAAAATACTGGTATAAAAACAAAATCAGTAAACACGCAAAAGAACCAGCTGTAAATGATTTATATAGTCATCGAGGTAATTATTTAAAACACCTCAACTGGACTATGTAGTCTAAATTAGACTCAAAGAATAAATTAGTGGATTTGAAGATAGTGCTGAGAAACTCACCCAGAATACAGCATACAGAGACAAAGATGATGAGTTTTTAAAACATGAAAGGACAGTTACAAGACATGAAAGATAGATCAAGAAGCTCCAACAGGAGCCCCTACAGGGCACTAGCAGAGATACGATAGCTGAAGAAATAATAAAATGATTTTCCAAGACTGAAGAAATGTCTAAATCCTCAGATCAAAAGTACATCCTGTGTATTGAGTAAGATAATAAAAACTAAATCCACATCTAGACCAGAGTAATGGATCTGAGAAGCACCAAGGATAAAGATAATCCCTTAAAAGTTATCAAGGAGAAAGGACAGCTAAACTGCAAGGGAACAACAATTACCTGGGCAGCAGATTCCTACCATGCAACAGGAAATGTCAAACAACAATGACGCATCCGTCACACTCGAATATTACATTCAGCTAAACTAGTACTTGAAAGTGAAGGCAAAAGAAAGTTATTGTTAAAGATACAGAGCATAAAAGATTTTATCACCTGTAGACTTTTGCTATAGGAACTTTTAAAAGATTGCTTCAGCAATAAGAAATGTAATTTAAAATTTATTGTTTTTTATGCACTCTGTTTCTTTTGTATCCTGTTTCTGTTTCCCCAGAGAGGAAACAGGACATAAAATAAAGAAGAAACACAGATACAAAATAAGTAGCACAAAAATTGATAGAATTTATTAGCATATTTTAACTATTTTGACTGTTTGTTTTAAAGTTAACTTTTATGTTAAAAAGATAAGGTAAAAGTTACTTGGGTTAGTTTTTCTTTCTCTCCTTCAGTGTGATTATGTTATTCATTTGAAACACAGGTTCGTTTTTGTTTGTATTATTTTTTAAAATTTATTTGTTTGCTTGTTTTAAGTACATATGTGAAAAGAACATGGTTCTAAAATTCAGAGTAGTTCTAAAGTTCAGAACTATTCAAAACACTTCACCCAAAGAAGCGTCCCTCCCTGTCTCTTCTACCCTGTCTTTTCCAGTGTGTTTCCACTCACCTCCCGTGGATAACCAGTCTCATTGATTTCTAATCTATCCTTCTTATGTTTCTTTCTCCACATATGAGCAGACACACACATATTTTCTTATTTCTTCTTCTTTCTTATACAACAAGTGGTTACAGTGGAGGTCACTTTAATTCATTAAATATCATTCAATAGTTTTAAATCTCAAAAGGAAAAGTTTGAAATCTCAATCATTTTCTTCTGGCCAGGCACGATGGCTCACGCCTGTATTCCCAGCACTTTGGAAGGCAGAGGCAGGTGGATCTCCTGAGCTCAGGAGTTTGAGACCATCCAGTGCAACATGGTGCAACCCTGTCTCTACTAAAAATACAAAAAAAATTAACTGGGTGTGGTGGGGCACACCTCTAGTCCCAGCTACTTGGGAGGCTGAGGCAGGAGAATTGCTTGAGCCCCAGAGGTGAAGGTTGCAGTGAGCCAAGATCACGCCTCTGCACTCCAGCTTGGGCTACAGAGTGAGACTCTGTCTCAAAAAAAAAAAAAAAAAAAGAAAAGAAAAAAGAAAAAAAATCATTTTCTTCTCAGAAGTTAATTGTGGGCAGGCTGATTTATTTTGCAAATTTGCCAATTCTGACTTCAAGAACATTCAAGTGCATTAACCAATGGGAATGTAGGGGAAGAGGGCTCCACTCACTTACAGAGGGTAGGATATGGCCTCATACTAGACAAAATGTTATTTGATGCTACTTTCAAGATGATAGGGGATGGGCCTGGATTTAATTGATGGCTATTATGGTGACCTTTAAATAAATGAGATTCAAAGTAACCTGATGTCTTTACTGCTTGAACCAGCTTCCATGAAATAGTATTCCTATTGGGGGTGGGCCTATCATTCCATATGGTCAAGGAAACATCTTTTTGAACAGAGATCCTGTAATCATCCTTACAAACTGCACTTCAACATTGGATTGGATTAGCCAGATTTGAGGAACTCACTTTTTACATCTTCATAAATTTAAAATGTTGAAAAAGTCAGAGGCAAGGGAAGACATTTATAGTACTTCACGGTAGATCTCCCTCAACATGGGCTATATATCCATTAGTCAATATTCTATAGCTATTGTTCTGCAATAAACCAGACAAGATCCTACTGTATTACTACCCTTTTATTCTTGGCCCTACCTTCCCCAAGGAGTTACACATTTTCTAGATAGTCTAAATTAAGAGCAACTCTCATCATACTCTTTTTGAGTGTTTAATTATCAAGCAACAGCCTAACTAAGCCAATAATATTTCTCTTTTTGGGAGTGGAAATGGAAGCTAAGTTGATTGACCCACAGGAACAAGAGGGAACATGCCGTTATATTTTAACCAGTGTGTAAAGAAGGCTGTTATGCAATCAATGATCTGGGTTTTTCTCTTCAGAGAAATTTGTTGTACAGAAAATTGCTGTTGGGATGAAGCTTTGCAGCCTTGCAGTCCTTGTACCCATTGTTCTCTTCTGTGAGCAGCATGTCTTCGCGTTTCAGAGGTAACCCAATAGAATCTTAGACTGTGGTGGGCCACTCTCCTCACTTGTTTGCCTCATGTCGTGTCAAGTCAGTGCACTGAGCTGGTGGACAAAATGGTAAACTTTGAAGGCCAGGTCTTTCAGAACTTTCCAAGTTGCCCTGACAAATAAGTAGACTTTAGCACAATGGGCTATCACTAAAGACAGGGTCTTTTTTCTTTCCTGGCTCTGGTTTTATTATTGGGAGAACCTTGGATGATACGCATATCCAGTGACTATGGAGATTCAAGAAATTAAATCTTTTATAAACGTAACTATTTATACTCTAACTTGATGTATGATTCATATTCTTCCTGTCTTCACATAAAAAAAGTTAACTATGGATCATTTATTTTCCCCTTGTACATGGAACATAGGAGGAAGAAGAGGGTGAAGTGTTAAATAGGAGGTTTGGATCATGCATGATTATTTAGCATGGAATATGAAAGGAAGAAGAGTTGTGTGATAAAGAACTATTATCTGATTCTTATTTTGCTTAGTAGATTCCCTTAGGATAAACTATCTAGAAGAACACAAATGAATTCATGCTATAGCACATGCAATGCATGGAGAAAATAGTTCCAGGGTATATGTAATGTAATTTATTAAGTAGTCAATTTTTAGGCTTTAAAACATTGATATTGTTTCCTTTGGAATTATCTTATTTTTTCCCCTTTGTTTTGGTTCTATGATCGCTTTCTCCTCCAATTATCTTTGAGACAGATCCCTCTCCTCATGTTAGTAAATGACAAAGAAAGAAGAGACATAGGGCAAAGGAATATACCAGTGACAAGGAACATTCTACCACCAAAAAAATGTTCACGGTCATAAATAACCATAGGACAATGGTTTGGAAAATAGATCTTGACTTGTGAGCCTGAAGCTGTGTTTGTACATGATCACTGAACTGATTATAGTTGATTGATCTTCTTTTGTTCAACATGATTGTCGAATGTCGAGCAACAAATTCTATCATAAAATGATATTATTTTTGTTATTTAATTGACGTGGGGGTCAAGATTGCTGCAATGATCAGTGACTTATGTCTTTCTCTGTATTTTATCGGTGAATCATATGGTCAGGATTTCTAAGGTTCTTGCTAGTTCTAATATTCCATAACTTGATAATTGGCTTCAGTTAAGGGAAAGGGGGAGAAGAGAAAAATTGGTATCAACATGTCCAACTTGGCTACTGTACACAGTGGCAGTACCATTGACAGTTAGGGGAAAGGGAGGAAACCTCTGCTTATTTAGTGCCTGTGTTTGTGCCAGGCACTGAACTAGTCACTTAGAAATGTTATCTCTTTAAATGCATAAAATCCTACATGCTAGGAATCTTTACTGACATTTTACAAAGGAGGAAACTGAGCCTCAGGAAGAATAAATAATTGGCCCAAGATCAAACAGTAAATGTAGAGCTTGGATTCAAACCCACTTTAGCCTCATTTCAACTCCATGCACTGGACAGCATTGCCTCCATAAAATCTGGAAATTAGGAAGAGAGCCAGTTTGAAGGAAGGTCAGATTTAGTCAAAGGGAGTTGCAGGCAGCAGTTGGTTTGGAAAGTAGCTTGGAAGAGAGGTTCGGGATTAGAGGTTCAGTCTCATGGTTCTCACCCACTAGCAGATCTAATCATGGCCTTGGCGTCAGCCCAGTGCAATTATCCTCAGCTGGTTGTTGCAGAGGTTGGCGGGCAGGTGGGCTCACTGCAGACCGCCATCTTGATCGTAGAGTAACCCAAACTCTTGGATAGGATAATCAATAGCAAAACACACTAAAAGCTTTAGCACATCTCTTCAAATGAGTACGTGTATAGCAGCTTAGTGACACTAAATATAACGCAAATAGAAGAAGTAGCCAACAATAAAATAGTAAAAAAATGAGTGAGAACATATCTTCATGCATGGGCTTTGTTACTATTTGTTGCTTCAGCTTATACTCTGAAATCTGACTGATACTTATGCTTGAAAAAAGGAATGAGAATGTGACTATATTTTAACCAAAGAATATCACATTAAAAATATTTAATACTTTTGCATACTGCGAGGGTCCCTTTGCAGAGGAGAGGAGGTAGGAGGACCTCAGTATTGTAGACAGATGAATATCTGAATCCTGGTTCCCATCCCTTCACTGGAAATAACATTGCAAACTACTCTTTCTGTGAGTAAAAATAAATTTTTTTACCAAATGTTTCTGTGCTCCACTTTTCCAGGAATGGCCTATTCCTGAAGCTAAAAAGGAAATCTAATTTCATTCAGGGCAACAGACTTTGATAAATTGTTGCTGGGGTTCAGAATATCAACCCTTCTAAAAAAAAAAAAAAAAACTAACAGTCTGGCTTTTTCTTAAAGCTGTTCTTTGTTTTTTTTTTTTTTTTTGTCATAATCATTTTCCTACTAACAGTTTTTATTCATGCAGTCTCTTAGTGGCTGATTTGTAGGTTCATTTTGATAAATTTCATCAGTGAAATGCCCTGGAACAACAACAAGTTTTAAAGGCATAAATATCATATGCCAAAGGGAAAGGCAGCCAAAAAATCATGACTCCATATTCATTTGCTTTTAAAAGCCAAACACTATAAAGGGTAAAAATAAAATACTAGCAAGAATCTTGTAAACAGAATCAGTAATTGTATTGTGCAGTGATTACCTAAATGCAGCCTGCCAGCCCAGACTATTTGGAAAGAGGAAGTAAGAGACACTAGGAAGAAGACTTAGGAATTAGAGAGTGGAGGAGGGTTGAGGATAAAGGGCTTCTGAATTATTAATAGACCACAGGAAGTGTTCCTCTGTTGACTTCACATACTGTTTGGGTACCTGGAGACCAGTTTACTCTCTTTCACTTTGTTCCTACTGATGTATTGTTTTCATCTCAAAGAACAGGCCACCAGTGGCCTTAAAACACTGTAATGTGTGCAACAAAATTGCAGCCTTGGGCTATGTTCCATTGTTCAGAGACATCTTGCCAGCTTTTTAAATTCAAAATAATCTTTCAGAATGGTGAAAGTGTGAACCCTCCCCTGTAAACCATAGCAGGGGATACACCCCAATGAACATAATGACGTTCTCAGAAGGGAAGGAACAGAGGAAGTGTTGCATAGGTATTAAAAGCTCAGGATCTGGATTCGAGCCCCAGATCTGCTACTTATCACCCATGCAGACTTGGGCAATTTGCTCGTCCCCTTTCAGCCTTTACTTTTTTTTGTAAAGTGACCTGTTACTTCACTGTGCTTGTACTTCTCATTCGATTTTTGGTGCAAGGCTGTTCTTTTTTCTCAAGTGGTTATTGTGTAAGTGCTATAATCGTATCATTCAGAGACGCAGTTGAAACACAGCTTTAGTTTTTGTCTCCCATTGCCCCATGACATTTTGCGTAGTGGGGTTATCTATCACTGCTCTCGCATGGAAAGTTAGAAAATTTCAAGGCTTTTTAGCCTGCTTTTAAGTGACAGTCCTTGGGTCCTGCTAAAAATACAAATAGCCTCAATTTAGAAATTAGAATGTCACCTCCAACCAAGGTATTGTTCAAATATCCCCATCTTTGTTGTTAAAAGAAAATCTTTAAAAGAATTATATTTAGCAAAATTTAATTGAACAAAGAACAATTTTCTAATCAAGTAACCCTCAAAAACGAAAGAAGTTCAGAGAGTTCTGCTCAGCAAAGTGGGCAGGCAGCACTTATAAACAGCAAATGGAAATGAGGTCCAGAAGCAGCTTGAGTAGTTACAGGTGAGCAGTTGTCTTACTGGGCATAGGCTGATCAGTTGGCCACATGGGATTGGCTGTAGCTTGGCTGCTGTGATTGGCTGAGACTCACCTCGTTAGTACAAAAAAAAAATACTCCTAAGTTAGGTTGCAGTTTGTTATGTAGCGACTCAAGTTACGAGGCATCCTCAGACCAAATTTAGTTTAATTTAACATTATTTATAGGAAAACAACTGCCTCACCTCTTCCACAAACACACCTTACTCTTTTTCTTGTTAGTCTTTTTCTCGAGTTCTAACTTCTTAGAGTTGTGTGAGACATCTTTATTGGGGAAGCCTCTGGACCAGGACAGATGCTTCTTTGTCTAGGTTTTCACTTGCGACTCCATCCTTCCCCGCTAAGAGTCTTGCTTCTACCTCTGGGCTCTTGTTGTTGAGAACCTTCCATCCCTTTAGGTGGCCCTATTGGATGGCATCTAACATTAAGTGTTTCTTTTCATTTTAACTACTACTATCTAGCCAACTAGAGACCAGCCACATGCAGGTTTAGCTTTATCAGGAGAAGCCAGGCACCAGTCTTTGTGTCTGTAAATTTGAGGAAACATCCAACTCTCTCATTATCTCCTGGAAGTCCCCCTACTAGGCTGAGGTAAGGGGAGTGCACCCCGAAACTTCATCCCTTTGGGAGGGTGGTGACTTACAGAACCATAAAAACATGCTAAAAAAAAAAATTCACAAATCCTCTCCCTCTTTCCACTCTGACAGCTTTTTATATAGCCTGTTTATGACTAAGTAAGGGGAAGCAGTCATGAAACCAGTTTCCAAAAATAGAGTGATCTGACTGACCCTCATCCCATTACCTAACTCTGTTGTGTTAGCACTTTGCTCAAATTCTGCATAAGAAGAGTCTGTTCACTACAAGCTGAACTTGGACATATCAATAAATTTTTGGTGAATTTTTAACTTCATAATTTTACTCACTATTTCCTAACTTATTTTTTGAATTTCCTTTATTTTTTCTTCTTAAGAGGTCTCATTTGGATAACATACATTTTTACCTTTATATTTTCTTTCTTTCTCTGCTTGTTGACTAATTTTTATACTTTTCTCCTTCTTTAATACATTAGGTTTTTTTTTAATTTAATACTGCCCACTCAACATTTTTTGTTCATTATTTTCTTTCTTTCTTTTGAGACCTAGTCATGCTCTCTTACCCAGGCTGGAGTCCAGTGGTGTGATTTTGGCTCACTGTAACCTCCACCTCGTGGGTTCAAGTGATTCTCGTGCTTCAGCCTTCTGAGTAGCTGGGACTACAGGTGTGAGCTACTATGCCACGCTTATTTTTGTATTTTTAGTAAAGACAGGGTTTCACCATGTTGGTCAGGCTGGTCTTGAACTCCTGACCTCAGGTGATCCACCCACCTCAGCCTCCCAAAGTGCTGGGATTACAGGCGTGAGCCACTGTGCCTGGCCCATTATTTTCAATATAATAGATTATCTACCATACTGCCTTGTGAGGATTAAATAAGAATACCTGTAAAGCACTTAGCACAATATCCAAGTTACTAAATATCAGTAAAAAAGAAGAAAAGTCCCCCCAGACATATTATGCTCTAGTCAACACAAGACTTCCTCTACATGGACTTGAAATTCAGCATCTCTTTAGATAATGAAGAGCTCATTGCTTGATAAGGTGTCCTATCTCATGGTTAGCTCAAATTGTTAGAAGTTCACACTGAAATTACAGTGATTTAATGATATGAACCTCCACTTCTCTATACTTTACATGAAAAGGAAGCTTTGAGTTTGCCACATCTTTTGCTACAACTCCCAAAATCATGCCCAACCAACTTTTAAGTAAGGGCCACAATCTTGACCCCAGCATTTAAGACCCTTAACAATCAGGTCCTACCCTGCCATTCGTCCTGGCTTTATTTCCTGGTATATCTCTATATAGGCCCCATATTTCTGCCCAGCTGGATCACTTCTCCTTCCTTGAGCTCTGATTTTACTTTTCTACTTGTGCACCTGCACTTATGATGTTTCATCTCCAATTCGTTTAGCAAAATTCTGCCTATGTTAGTCTTATACCATCTCATCTTCCCTTCACCTATTGAATCCTAGTATCTCAGAAGTCCAACTCAGAATATCTCCATTCTCTGACTACCTAAGTCAAAAATGATACCTGACTTTGTATTCCTGTAGCAGAATATTTATACCACTCGCATTGTACTTTTAGTGTTTTATCTCACAGAATAGGCATTTGTATCAGTTGCAGGTTAGTTTCCCCAGGAAACAGACTCCTGAGATGAAGATTGCATGGAGGAAGTTTACTGGAAAGGAATCTCAGGATCAGCATCTGTGGAGGAATGAAGGAAGAAGGCTTGGGCAGAGGAGAAACTGACCTGTGATGTAATCACAACTATGGCCTCACCTGTTCCTGTGGAGAGCCTTGAGGCTGGGTTGGCCTGGTAAAGTTGTCCCAAACTGGGGCAAGCAGGCATGCCTTTGTAACCCCTGTTTATTAGTCACTGGGTGTGGATTGTACCTTGGAGGAGGCATCATGTTGGGCAGCACAGCTCTCTTCAGGCAAGGGCAAGTCCTAGAAAGGGACTCAGGTGAGAATATCAGCTGCCAACCCTCCCAGAAGCTGAGGAGACAAAGAAGCTGAGGAAATAAGAGTTCATCCCTGGATGGAGATCTAGGCAGCAAAACGTGACATCTACTACAGTCCAACCCTTTGTGTCACTCAGGTCAATTTTCTTCATAAAATAAGCTTTGAGATCAACTCTTCTGGGGTTTTGCTTGGTCCCTCTTCCTAAAGGAAATATACAAGAGGAACGTTAGTGAAATAAACTACAACCTTCACAGCTACAGCTAGTCTCGAGGCCATAACCAATACTTGTCATTCCTCTTCTCCCCTACCCGTTCTGTTTTCCCCAAAGAGGTGCCCTTTGCTAGCACCTCTTCTAATCTAGGTGGTTTACCTGGTGAGACAACCCAGACCCTCAATCCTCAAGGATCTGAGTCATAATCACTGGGCCCTCTTGGGCCATGGCTGCTGCAATTGTCTGTATACATCAAATTTGGACAAGGGAATATTACAGAACGCCTAAGCTGGATTCCAAACATATTCTTCCCTGCCACATTCAGTATGTAAGTGCAGCCCTCAATGTCCTTCTGATTATTGGAGTCAATTACCCTTCCTGCATGGCTAGAAAACCCATGGTAACTCCTCGCCTTCCTGATAATCAATCAGCATGAGGAAACTGAAATGACTGGACAGTAACAACAGCTTTCAGTTTAAAGGAACTCTTCCTATGCTCTCTGGAAACCGGAATTTTTATAAGTACAGAGTCCATATTTGTAGATTTAAAGTACTAATTCTCCGAGTGGGTTACTTGGAGTGACGGTATATGGAAACACTCCAACTTGGTTCCTGGAACCATGTATACTACCTAGTAGGGACACAGCACCACATGAGTATTGATTTAAAGTGTGCACTGGAGGATGTTGCCTTCCAAGTTAGCACCTCAATTGATCCTTCAACAAACCATTTTTATTTCAGTAACAGGATAGCAGCAACTAGGTATTCTGGTATGTGAGAGGCTAAGTGGATTCCATGGTAATGGACCCATTTCTGCAATTCCCTTGTTGTAAAGTGGAGCCCATGATCTGATAGGATGTTATGTGAGATGTTTTATCAGTGGTCAAACACTCCGTAAGCCCTTGTATGGTGATGCTTGCCTGAGGCCCTACAGGCAGGCGAGATAAACCCATACCCAGAGTGGAAGAGGACAGATGTAGTCAACTTACCACCCAGTGACTAGCTGGTCTCTATGAGGAATGGTGCTGATTCCGGGGCTCAACTTTGGTCTCCGTTGCTGGCAAGTTAGACATGGGGCAGCAACAGTAGCTAGATCAGCCTTAATGAGAGGAGTCCGTGCTGCTGGAGCCATGCACACTTCATCTCTGCCATCAGGCTATTCTGTTCTAGTGCCTTTTGTGCCAGCATTGGGGTGGCTGTTGACACAGGCTGACTGACATCAACTGGCTGAGTCATTTGTTTATGCAGCTGTTTAATGTCTATTCTGTTGTGGGTGCTCCTGGTTAGGCATTAATAAATGATACAAAGATCTTCACACTTTCTGCCCACTCTCATAGTTCCATTCACATCCCCCTTTCTCCAATCTCTTTGTCTCCAATCTGTCAAGATTTCTTCTTCCAGGTTCTTGAGGGGTTTTCCAGTCATGTCACTTGCCACTCTCCATGAATTCCTGCATATTCTAACACTGGAAACACCTTTTCCACCCAAGGTGTATGATGAGATGCAACACTGAAGCTCTGCCTATTTGGGACGATTTCCCTCTCTGCTCTCTTTCGGTCACCCGAGTGAGTCCATAATGCAGCACCACTTCACTTTTTTTTTTCTTTTTTGAGATGGAGTCTCCCTCTGTCGCCCAGGCTAGAGTGCAGTGGTGCGATATTAGCTCACTACAACCTCTGCCTCCTGGGTTCAAGCAATTCTCCTGCCTCAGCCTCCCAAGTAGCTGGCATTACAGGTGCCCGCCACCATGCCCAGCTAATTTTTTGTATTTTTAGTAGAGATGGGATTTCACCATATTGGCCAGGCTCGTCTCGAACTCCTGACCTCAGGTGATCCACCCACCTCGGCCTCCCAAAGTGCTGGGATTACAAGCGTGAGCCACCGTGCCCAGCCCACTTCATTTTTTACTTGTACCCATGCACTATCAACTTGACTGTCCATGTATCAGACTTCCTCTTCCTACTTGTGTCAGTTATGATCCTCTGAGAAGCAGACACCAAGATGGGATTAGCTGTGCAAGAGGTGTGTTGAGGAAAATGCTTGGGTGCAAGAAATGGGGAGAGGGCTGGAGGAGGCTGGGAGAGCCATGAGACTGCAATGCAAGCTTAACCCCTGTGGAGGAGAGAGGAAAGGAAGGAAGCAGGTAGGGAACATTTCAGGTCGTAGTGCAGTTCTAAGAAAGTTTTGGCAAAACCAACCAAGAGTCCTGGCCAGGCACGGTGGCTCACACCTGTAATCCCAGCACTTTGAGAGGCCGAGGTGTGTGGATTACCTGAGGTCAGGAGTTCGAGACCAGCCTTACCAATATGGTGAATCCCCGTTTTTACTAAAAATACAAAAATTAGCCAGGTGTGGTGGTGCGTGCCTGTAATCCCAGTTACTCGAGAGGCTGAGGCAGGAGAATCACTTGAACCCACGAGGCAGAATTGTAGTGAGCCAAGATTGCTCCATTGCACTCCAGCCTGGGTGACAAGAGCAAAACTCTGTCTCAAAAAAAAAAAAAAAAAAAAAAGTCCTATAGCCAGAGTCACACATCAGAAGAGTTTCCAGTTTTGTAGAAAGAGCCTCCCTTAGTATCCCCACCATACTCAGTTATTAGCTGCAAGAAGCCAGTGGGAAATGTGGTATTAGCACTAACACAGGGACAGATTTCAGAGCACAGTAGCTGGGGGCTTATATCAAGTACACATCTTGCAGCTGGAGAGTGAGAAAGTTAATTAAAGCTGAGGCAAGACTGTAAATATGCACTGGTGTCTGTCCCAAGTGGATGTTAACTGTTCTGATGCTTTTTCCGACTGACATATCCAGCGCAATAGCTGAATACCATATGCCTGAGACTCTACCCCGGCAAAGATGCCACATCAAGCACTATGGCTGCAATTGAGATTGTTGCTTGGTTGAGTTTGATTGTTTGCTGTCGTTTTCCAGGATCCATCTGGTTTTTGTGGGATCCAGATGGCAAATTAAATGTGGATTTGATGGGATCTATCATCCCTGCATCTTTTAGGTCTTTAAGGGTGGTACTGATATTTGTCATTTCCCCTCAAGGATGAATTTTTTTTTTTTTAATTTTGATATCTTGGCTGGGAGGTTGGGCAATTTCAGAGGTTTCCTTTTGGCTTTTCCCACTATGATAGCTCTGGTCTTACAGTCAAGGAAACAATGTGGAGGTTCTGCCAACTACCTAGTATGTTCATGTCAATTATACATTTGGTGACCAGGGAAATAATGATGGGGGAATCCATTAACATGGTGCACCCGCTATGAGCTAGTCTTAGGCTAGGGCTCCAGATACCCAAGTTTCAAAATCAACTTGGATAGTGACCCTGCATCCAACACACCTGAAAATATTTGAGTATTACCCTTTCCCCAGGGTGCAGACTTACCTGAGGAAATTTCCATAGGTCTCTTTGGGAAAGGACTGAAGGAGTCATGATCTTTTTAGATTCTTTTTTTATACAGTTGCAGGGTCTTTCCTTGTGGGGACCTGATTCCTCCTTCAGGCAAGAAATTCTGGGTCTAAGAACAGCTCAGATCTGGAAAAGGGCAATGGATTATGACTTTTGATTAGGATAGCTGTCCTCAGCCTCTCTCATTATCCAGCTTTGATTTATTTTTATTGTAAAGATTGAGCAATCCTTTTGTTGGCTGCTTCTCTATCTTGCCCCTAAGAACTCTGTGTTCTCCTAACCGACTCCACAATTTTCTAAGGGTCATGGTCCTCTGGCTGCCACTCCGACCTTACTGCTCATTGTAATAACTGTGCCCAACTTGTTACTGGTGGTTAAGCCCTCCCGCCTGGCTTCTCTATACAGGGATCTTAACATCTCCATTGGTATCAGAGAGCTCAGTTCTGTAATGGCATGTCCTGTAGTTAGCCCTCAGGATCTATTCCCACCTCCCCTCCTGGCCTTCAAGCCAATAACCTAGGGTAGTCACAACATAAGCTGGCTGTGGAAGTGCTGGGCATGTTAACAAAGGAAAGGGACTATACCCCAAAGGAGGTGCACTCACCCATGCTACAGAATTTAACATTCTAGTTAGTTCCTTGAGAGGTGGTACAAACATGCTGTTAGGGTAGTTTTTGGAAGCTTGGAGAAAGCATGGCCTGCACCATCTGAGCTAGAAATGTCAGAGCGAATGTGGCAGATGGTGAAAAAAGAGATAGAGCACACTAGAATAAAAATGCTATGTAAGGCTAGAAAACCCACTGGGTGACTACGCTACTCCAAGGGCCCAGAGAACATTCTGTTTATGAAAATAATAAGGAATGTGCTGGTGAGATGAGAGGGTTACCAGCATCACTGAGAAGCTTGTTAGTGGCTTTTTCACAGTCAAAGGAGATTTTTCTTTAAATTTAATTTTCTTGAATAAATACAAGAATAGGAGTTCTTTTGGGTTTAAAAAGTAAATAATACAGAAAAGCATAAAATTAGGGAGAAAATACTAAAATTTCACCATCCTGGTGAAAATATGAACATGTTTGTGATCATCCTTTCATACATTTCTCCACATAGTTATACCTCCCTGGGTATAATTGTATACTAGTTCAATGTTGTATCTCCTATTGGTACTATAGAAACCTTTCTTTTAAAAAGAATCTCATTTGTTCTTCCCCTGCCACTTACCCAAGGCTTCAATTGCCATTTCCCACCCTCCAAATCAAAGCTAACAATGTGTTGTTTATTTATGTATAATTTTCTCCTGATTTTAACACATATAATTTTTCTTTATCTTTCTAACTTTTTTTCCAAAAATAGGATCATATTTCATAAAGTTCTCCATATCTTGCTTTTCTCCCTTAATATGCCATTTAAAGCCCCCAAGTTAACTGTTATAAATCAAACTCATTTTTTATAATGACTGAAAAGCATTCTAGAATGTGGAGACACTACCAACATTCGACAATTCTGTTACTGCTGAGCATTCACATGGTTTTTAGGTTTTGTTACTATGAATAATGCCGTAATACACATCCTTGAACATGTATCTTTAATCAGTGGTTTAATAGTTTATGCTAAACTTGTACCAGAGATTGACATAAAATTTCTCAGTCTAGCTACTTTTCCCCTCTTCTAATAAGCAAGTCTCTCCATAGACTTATTTCCAGAATTCAGAATATTTTACTCAGGATTTCCAAAATAAAGCCACCCTCCACCCTTGTTAAAGTTATCCTTGGTGGGCGCGGTGGCTCACGCCTGTAATCCCAGCATTTTGGGAGGCTGAGGCGGGTGGATTGTCTGAGGTCAGGAGTTCAAGACCAGCCTGACCAACATGGTGAAACCCCATCTCTACTAAAAATACAAAAATTAGCCGGGCATGGTGGTGCACGCCTGTAATCCCAGCTACTCAGGAGGCTAAGGCAGGAGAATCGCTTGAACCCAGAAGGTGGAGGTTGCAGTGAGCCAAGATCACGCCATTGCACTCCAGCCTGGGTGACAGAGCGAGACTCCATCTCAAAAACAAACAAACAAACAAAAACAAACAAAGGAAAACAAATAAAATTATCCCTATAAATCACAGCTCAAATGTTACCTTTCTAACTTCTAATTGCCTACAAGATAAAGTCCAAATTTCTCAGCATGCATTCAAGACCTTCTCTAGGGAAGGATGAACATAACTTCCCACACTCATTTCTGTTTAGCTCCCATTCTTCTCTTGCTTTAAACACCCGTATCCTATACTTGGCAACAATGAACAAGAGCCATTTTTCCAAAAATGCCCTTTATCTCTTGCTATTGTGCCTTTACCCACTCTTAGACATTCTTACACACCCAGACATCCCTTCTATGAAGCCTTTGCTAATAATGACAAACAGAAGTTATCATAACCTCTTTTGTGCTTTGAGAGCTCTTGGTACATGGTTTTCTTAAATAAGATGATTTATTTGGAATATTTTTAGATTTACAGAAAAGTTGCCAATTGTAATACAACTGTATACCCCTCACCCAATATACCCTAATGTTAACATTTTATATTATCATGATGTATTAGTAAAAACTGAGAAATCAACATTGTTATATTACTATTAACTAAACTCCAGACTTTTTTGGATTTCACCAGTTTTCCCACTAAAGCTCTTTTTCTGTTCCGAGATCTAATCCAGAACACCATGTTGCATTTAGTCATAATGTTGCTGTTGTCTAATGTCTTGAGTGCTGTTGTTCCATACATTTTGTCCAGGTTTTTAGTTATTTCATAAAGGAGGGTATAACTGGAAGCAAAGTCTAAGATTAGTTTTAAATAAAGCAAGAGGAAGCATTTTTTCTAATTTAAAATATATCTATCGTCATATTTCAAGGGCAATATTTGTTTGAAAATAAAAGAAAAATCTCGTTCAGTTAAAAAAAAGGGGGGGCTCAGAGCTGGCAAATGCCACCAACATGCTTAATTTTAATTTAAATAAAATAGTTCTTGTGAGGTTACTCAGTGGTATACTGGAAACCTGAGAATGCCATTGCCGTTAACAGAGTCCACAATCCCTCACCTCACTGCTTCCTTTCTCTCCTTATCACTTACCTATAAAACTGGATGGAGAGCTGCAGAAATGAGGACATTTGCTAAGAAATTCTTTCTTTTCTAAGTGGTATGTGAAAATAAAGTAAATTCATGTTGAGTCACATTAATCTATTGCCTTGGCTGTGTAAGAATCACCAAGAATTCTCACAACCTTAGCAACAGTTGCAAAATAGAAATACAACAAAGCAAAAGTGAGAAAACCAACCAAGTGTCTGCTTTTTAAACAATCTATTGATATAATTCACCACATTAAGATATTAAGCCAGAAAACCCATATGCTCATCTTATAGAAAGCATTTAAAATCCACACTTATTCATCATAAAAACTCTTAACAAAGAGCAAGGAGTTTTTTAAAACTGATAAAAGACATCTACCAAAAATCTACAACAAGCATTCTAATGGTAAAATATTTTAAGGTTTTTCTTAAAAATTAGGAATCATGCATTTTATCTCCACTTCTATTCAATGTTGTACTGAAGTCCCAGGCAACACAGCAAGACAAAAAGGAAGGGGAAAAGGGGCTCTATAAGCATTGAAATTAAAGAAGCAGAACGTATTAAAAGTACATTAAGTACATTAAAAGTAACGGCAAAAACCGCAATTACTTTTGCACCAACCTAATAGTGTGTGCAGATGTAATGATTACTTGCAAAGAGAAATATCCCCCCAAATATCTATACCAAAATTATCAAAACTACCAAGAGAGCTAAATAGAAAATCAACACCAAAAATCATTTTTATTTCTATATCTTAGCAAAAAAGAGCTTAGAGGTGGCATGTTAAAAGTTACCATTTACTAACGAAAAGGCAAATTTGTTAGAAGAAAACATAATTTAAAAATGTGCAGCCGGGCACGGTGGCTCACGCCTGTAATCCCAGCACTTTGGGAGGCTGAGGCAGGAGGATCACGAGGTCAGGAGTTCGAGACCAGCCTGACCAACATAGTGAAACCCAGTCTCTACTAAAAATACAAAAAATTAGCCAGGTGTGTTGGTGTGCACCTGTAATCCCAGCTACTCAGGAGGCTTGAGGCAGGAAAATCGCTTGAACCAGGGACGTGGAGGTTGCAGTGAGCCGAGATGGCGCCACTGCACTCCAGTCTGGGCAAAAGAGCGAGACTCCGTCTCAAAAAGAAAAAAAAAAAGTGCAACATCTTTATGGATAAAATTGTAAAACTTTTGGAAAGGCATTAAAGAATAGATAAATGGGCTGTGTGCAGTGGCTCACACCTGTAATCCCAGCACTTTGGGAGGCTGAGGCGGGTGGATCACGGGGTCAGGAGTTCGAGACCAGCCTGACTAACATGGTGAAACCACGTCTCTACTAAAAAATACAAAAATTAGCCAGCCATGGTGGTGTGCACCTGTAATCCCAGCTACTCAGGAGGCCGAGTCAGGAGAATTGCTTGAACCTGGGAGGCGGAGGTTGCACTGAGCCAAGATCGCTCCATTGCACTCCTGCCTGGGTGACAGAGTGAGACTCCATCTCCAAAAAAAAAAAAAAAAAGAATAGACAAATAGACAAATTCACTGTATTTATTAATAATGACACTCAGAATCATGAGTATATCTGTTCTTTCCAAATTATTAATCTATTGATCCAATATAATTCTAATGAAAATTTCATTTTTTTCATGAAACATAACAAGCTGATTTTTAAAAATTATGTGAAAAAGCAAAGGATCAAGACAAGAGGCTTGTAAAAAAAAAAGAATTGGGCAGGGCAGAGGGGAAGCAAGAGTTTGTTCTCTAAGATATTAGGATGTAATATGAAGCTACCATCACTAAGATGAGTAGTATTGGCTCAAGGGTAGACAAATATATCAATAGAACATAATAGAGAACTAAGAAATAGAGCACATTATATTAGCAAGGGTAATCCTTGATTATGCTATAATCACTAATAAAACCTGAAACAGCTTTACTTAATACAATATAGGGTTAATTCTGTCTTAGTACGTTTGGGCAGTTATAACAAAAAATACCTTAAGTGGTGCAGCTTATAAACAACAGAAATTTATTGCTCACGGTTCTGGAGGCTGGGAAGTTCATGACAAAGCACCAGCTAATTCTTGTGTTTGGGGAGGGACTATCTTCCGCATAGACAGAACCTTCCCGCTATATATTCACATGGTGGAAGGGGGAGGGGATCTCTTTTTTAAGGTCACTAATCCCATTCATGAAGCCTCTCCCCTTATGACCTAATCACCTCCCAAAACCCTCATCTCCTAATACCTTGGAGGTTAGGATTTCAACATAGGAATTTTGGGGGGACACAAACATTCAGATCAGAGCAATTTCTCACTCATAATACTAATTGATGAAGGTCATAGAACTCTCCCTGGTGCTCTCCTTCAACTTGGAGATCTTGGCTGCTTCCATTATGCAACTCCACATTTGAGGCTCTTTGCTTCTGGCCGCAGGATGAGAGGGGGCACGTGCACATGAAGACACACCTACTCTTAGGCACCTATAACACTCCCACGCATTCCCATTGGCAAAGCTCAGGCACTGGCTCTCAACACAACCACACGGAAGGCTGGGTAATGAAGTTTTTCTGTCTATGCAGGAAGAGGCAGTGGTGTTGATGAACCAACATTTTCTCTGCCAAACAGTATGGAAACTTGATATATGACAAAATTGACATAGTGGATCCCTGGGAAAAATATAGATGATGTAAAAAATCATAATAATAAACGATGCTAAGAAGAAAAAAAAAGAAGTCTATTTCTTCTTTACACTGCACCCAACCAAATAATTTTCAATTGAATTTAAAATTTAAATAAGAAGGACAGAAGAAGTATATGAGAATATCTTTATATCCCAGATATCTAGAAAGACATCTTAAACCACACAAACCTGGAAGGAAATGATTAAAAAAAAAAAAGCACATCATCAAGAAAGAGAAAAGACAAATTACAAACTGCTAGAAGATATTTGCAATACATATAACTGACAAGAAATTAGTATTTAGAATATATAAAGAAATTATACAAATTAACTACTACAAAAATACAAGTAAATTAGAAAAAAATGGGCAGTTGATCTGAATAAACATAACATATAAGCAAAAATATGAATGGCCGATAATCAAATATAAACAACTGTACTTCATTAATAAGTCAGAAAATGAAAATCAAAATCACAAGAAAATTTCATTTCATAAAAATTTGATTGCAAAAGTTGAAAAGTCAGAGAGCATCAGGTATTGGCAAGGAGGAAGAACAACAGGAAATCTTTTCCACTGCTACTGACAATATAAATTGATACAAAAAACTTGAGGACTGATATGACACTATCCTATGAAATTAAAACTGTGCATATCCCATGAAATGGCAATTCCACTTGTAAGAAAATGCTTTCACGTGTGAACTATGGCTAGCTACTTCAACACAGATGATAATCTTGAGAATACAATACCGAACAAAAGAAAAACAAGATTCAGAAGAATACATATAGTATACCATTTTTATAAAGTTGAATCAGGCAAATCTAAGGGTATTGTTTCAGAATTCACACATACATGTGTTTAAAAATCCATGCTATAAAGAAAAACAAGGGAATGAGCAAAAGTCAAAATTTAAGGTAGAGGATACCTCTGGTGATGTGGCAAGGGGGTAGGACAGAGAGGAGCACACAAGGATCTTCAGGATGTCAAGGAAGCTGGACTTTTTAAGTGGGGTGATGGGTTCACAGGCATTCATTTTATTGTATAATTAACTAGGATCAGCATAAATATTCCCTTATGCATCAAATATTTAATTTTTAAAATTAAAACACACATGCACGCACAAGAAAAAGGAAAGAAGTAAATACTCTGTAAACTGACCCCCAGTCAAGAGAGCTGTTGATTTTGCAATTGCTTAGGAGCATAAAGACTGAGAGTATATGTTCTCTTATTACACTGAATCTGTAGTAAGATCCTCTGTCCTAATAACATTTTAAATTTTGTTTCCCTTTTGCAATTACCTAAAAGCTCCTCACAGTATAATATATTCCATCTTTACTCTTTATTTAATATCAAAATCCTCTTTTATTTTTTTCCCCAGTGGCCAAGTTCTAGCTGCTCTTCCTAGAACCTCTAGGCAAGTTCAAGTTCTACAGAATCTTACTACAACATATGAGGTAATTTCTCCCTAATTTATGTTTATATTGGTTTCACTTTGTATAAGCACTGGGTGTTGAGTTTCCTCCTGTATGTTGTCTGGCTTACATGTATCTGGTATGAACTCTTCTTCTCATAGTCTTCTCTCCCTTCTCATAATCACATGATTTTGTTGGTTCCCCAAATCAACACTTCTTCACTTGTGCTATTGGCTTTCCAGCCAATTTCATAATAGTACCTTGGGATATAAAGTGTGCACTTACAAAGAGGCTACAGTAACAGAAATTAAAATATTTATAAATAAAACCTTACTCATGAAACAATGGTTCTTAACCAAGGATGCACCAGAAAGACAGAGTACATTTATTAAAATTCTCACCCAGGCACCCATCTCGACATAATGTCTAAGATGTAGAAAATTGACAAGAATTACAGAATATTAATGGCAGTGGCGGCCCATCTAGAGCGGCTGCTGCCATGCGGGAGGCACGGCTGGGGCTGTGTGCTCCACGGAGCCAGCAGAAGCCAGGAGGAGGTAAAAGTCCCGCCCCCTTCTGTGATGGCAGGGCGGCAGCCTCATGCTCCCCAGGCGCAGCTGCAGCTGCCCGCTGCAGCTACAGACCTGGACATCCCTGTGCTCTTGGGGGCCAGGAGCAGGCAGGAGCCCTGCCCTCCTGGGCGCAGCTGCAGCTGCCCAGCTGGGGTTGCAGACCCAGGCATTTCTGCACTCTCAGTGTTCTGAGAAGGACCCTCATTCCCCTACAGGCTCGCAAGTGCCTGCTCCCACTGTCTGGTCTCTCCGAGTTCCTGGTGCTCACTCCAATCTTGGAGCAAAATTGAGGCTGAGCCTAGGTGTTGTCACAACCTGGCTGGCTGTGTGCATGATCAGAGCGGTACTGACATGCTAGCCCCCTGCTGCCTCAGCCCCCTCTGGACTTTGGGTACTGACGAGCACAGGAGGGAAGCCAAGGGGGTGGCTGAGGGCTTCTCGGCACTGGCCTGCAGGCCCCCTCAGCTGGAAAATCCTGGGTGCCATAAATAGCCGTAGGAGGCAGACAGGATCCTAGGCAGAAAAGGGCGGGTCCCTGGTGAAGCCCCACCTTCAAGCCCAGGAAGGCTGCCAGTCCCGTGGACCGCAGTGGGAACTGACGGTGATTTTTCCGCACCCGCCTATGGCCACCCATGAACCAATCAGCACTCACTTCCTCCCATCTGAAGCCCATAGAAATCCCCCGGATTCAGCCAGACTCTTCTGGAGAGACATGGGGAGGACCAGCTGTAGAGAGGAGCCACCCACTCCAGGGTCTCCTCTCTGCTGAGAACGAACACTCATCAGGACACCCTGGCTGCAGAGAGGAGCTACCCACCGCGAGTCTCCTCTGAGCTGTTCTATTACTCAGTAAAGCTCCTCTTCACCTTGCTCACCCTCCGCTTGTCCACGTACGTCATTGTTCCCGGGCGCTGAACCTGCCAAATGGTGGAGGTGAAAGAGCTCTAACACAAACAGAGCTGAAACACGCCCCTTGCTTGCCACGTTGTGGGTGACAAGAAGGAGAGAAGAGCTGCAGCCTTTTGGGGAGCTCAGACCTAAGAACTCCCCGAGGCAGGACTATGACACCCTCTTTAGGGCTCTGTGGTTCCTGACGTCTCCAAACTTCTGGGTGCCACCACCTTCCCCGGTGCCAGCCATTGAAGCTGCTTGAGGGACACCTGGTCCAGCCACAGCCTTGCAGGGAGCCGAAAGATGCCCACCCTGCCGCAGCCAGCATGCCTCGCTGTGTGTAGTAGCTGGACCCCACACCTGCTCACTCACACACCCCTCACCGCTCAGCTCGCCCTTGGCACGAATGAGACCCAAGCCAGTAGCACGAGATGAGTGCAGCCTGCCAGGCCGAGTGGGCTCAGCGGGCCTGAGCAAAGCTTAGGCAAAGGCGCCACTGACCACAGAGGTTTCTGCTGGTGAAGCGACCCCAGGGATCCTGTAACAATATCATGGTACAAAATTGATGGCTCCTTGTTTGTTAGTGTTTTCCAAGAAGCAGAGGTTAAGACTAGACTGGAGGAGCAAGCGATGAGGGGAATGCTGTTGGAGGATAGAGGCGGGAGCTGGAGAAGGCAGAGAGCATCATCAGACCATGTCATAGCTCTGACACCTCTGCAGAAAGGGGAATTTTGTTTGGAGAATCTCAGACTATAGGGCAGGTCCAAAGAAGGCTGGGCTAGGTCAGTCTCAGTCTGGCAAGAATGGGCCTGCATTAACACTTCCACAGGACTCGGTTACTGGCTGGATGCAGCCCTGAGACCACATGGCCTCAGCTTCTAGTGGGTCACCAGGGCAGCCACTGAAAACACCAGCCAACTGTATTTCTCTCAACCGAAGAGCTAAATGGTGCATATTCACGACCACCACATCATGGTAAAGAGGAAATACTACAAGAGGAAGCATCTGAGATTTAGAATTCTAGTTCTTGTTCTGTCATTTCTAGGTGTATGATTTTAGATGTCAGGTATGAACCTTAATTTCTTCACCTGAACAATGCAAATAATAACACCTGCCTAGTCTATATCAAAGCGTTATAAATATCAAAGGAAATGAGTGTGAAAGTGCTTTGAAAAAGTACGTGTAGTGGCTCGTGCCTGTAATCCCAGCACTTTGGAGGGCCGAGGTGGGCGGATCACGAGGTCAGGAGATCGAGACCATCCTGGCTAACACGGTGAAACCCCGTCTCTACTAAAAATACAAAAAATTAGCCG
Organism: Homo sapiens; assembly: GCF_000001405.40. Taxonomy (NCBI): domain Eukaryota; kingdom Metazoa; phylum Chordata; class Mammalia; order Primates; family Hominidae; genus Homo; species Homo sapiens. The sequence goes on along the minus strand of NC_000013.11, from coordinate 46,085,010 downwards.
GGCGTGGTGGCGGGCGCCTGTAGTCCCAGCTACCCGGGAGGCTGAGGCAGGAGAATGGCGAGAACTCGGGAGGCAGAGCTTGCAGTGAGCCAAGATCGCGCCACTGCACTCCAGCCTGGGAGACAGCCAGACTCCGTCTCAAAAAAAAAATAAAAAATAAAAAATAAATAAATAAATAAATAAAAAGCACATTAAGAGAGAAAAAATGTAAATCTTATTGGAAGCCTTTTTAAAAAAAGGAAAAATGACATGATGATAATTACAAGAACATGAAATTTTTATTAAATAAAATCAATGTTTAATCAACTTTCTTTCTAGAAAAAATTTTGTTTCCTTTCAAATATCTGATGTACACATGCAATTTTACAGTTAAGCCATGAATATAGTCATTCATTCATCATTGTCTCATCAAATATTTATGGATTATCTTGTATATTCCAGGCCCTTTTATTTTATTTTTTTTTAGCAACTAGAGTTATAGAAAGGAATTTTAAAAAACTCACTGCAAAATAAATGTTTATATTACCATGTGTGTGGATGGGGACCAGCACCAGGGAGTGTCCTTTTCATACTCCTTATAGATAAAACTGTCATGGCTCTAGCTACAGATGAGAATGATGTGAACAACTCTTTTTTAATTTTATCAATTTTGCCCCTTAAACTGTAGATTGTTCTCTGGCAGCCGGTAACAGCTGACCTTATTGTGAAGAAAAAACAAGTCCATTTTTTTGTAAATGCATCTGATGTCGACAATGTGAAAGCCCATTTAAATGTGAGCGGAATTCCATGCAGGTAGGCACCGTTCAATACGTATTGAGTAGTTATTATAAACACTTACTATGCACTTGACTAGGGTATGGTATAATTGCTTCCTGGAAAAATAAAATGTATTAACCATGGCAGCATAGAAGTCTCTGACTGGACCAAATGGACTGGTGATAAAGCCTAAGGTCCAGCTCTGTGATCTTGGATAAATGGTTCAACCCCTCATGACCTCCGTCCCTTATCTAAAATGCAGGTTAGACTCAGTGATTGGTAAAGGCTCTCATAGTTCCTTTTTCTCTGACTCTGTACCCAGACTCAGGGAGCAAAACTGTCATTTGCCTTGGTAGGCTTTTTGATATCTCCTGAAAAAGCAGCTTCGGGAGGGGATTTAGCTTCTGCTAATTCTTCTTCACAAAGACAGTGACCATTTCTGAATGTCTGGCTTTAAAAAGTGTAACAGGTGGTTGGACTCTGCAGAGACCTCGGGTTAGTCTGGCACTGCCCCTTACCACCTATATGACCCTGGGGGAATTATTCACCTCTCTGCTCCCAAGTTTTGTATATTAAGGGTAAAAACAGCACCTACCCTGTGGATTAGAAATGATTTCCTTTTCTTAAAAAGTGTATCAGGTACAATTTCTGCTCACAGTCTAGCCTTCTTCTTATGGAGTCTCCTAATATCTCCCCTCCATATCCACTGCCCAACTGCCAGTACCTTCCTGGTGGCCTGGCCCCTTGAGACCATGCTCTCTTCTGTGTATCAATGGGTGCCCCCTGGATAATATGCTATGTTAATTATTAGTAATATATTATAGAGTATATTATAGGTGTGTACTGTTTTCCAGGAACTGTGCTGAACCTTTCTATTAATTGACATTGTGTCTATTAATCTTTATTTAACCCCGTGAAGTAGATGCAACCCCATTATATAGATGAAAAAATATCCTTACTTATAAAGGAATTTTTCAGGGTAAATCAGAAAGAACATGGCAGAGTTAGGAGTCGAACTTAGACCTTTCTGATGTCAACACTGCGGCTTTTATTTATTGGCCTAAATAAAAGTAAAGAACCCTTTATTAGTATGATAGCTAACTTTCAACTTGTCCATCTCAGGCGATAGAATGCCTGAATTCAGCTAAAATATTTGCCTGGTTAACAAATGTGGTGCTCTGAAGAGAACTTGAATGAGATGCCTTTCCTGTACTTCCCTTTTCCTGTTCTATTTCTTTGGCTCTGCAGAACATCTGATGCAGGTCAATGGGGGAAAAAATAAGAAAAAAAAAAAAAGAAAGAAAAGGCTTTTCTGCTTCTTCTTCCTCTTTAACTGAAAACAGCATAATACAGTGTTAGTCTGGATTGAACAAAGGTACATTAATCCATATATTCATATAAAAGACACTGAAGAATCACCATTGAGTAATGTTGGTAATGGTGGGAAACGGTGGTTTTTATGGAGGTCCTGAAAGTATACCTAATAGGAGCTACTTTTTCTCTAGTGCCCATGTAGGCTCTACTGAAAGGGTTTGTCAACCAGTTTACCACAATGCGAGATGTCTTACTTTTACCTTGATGAAATGCTTATGAAGTTTCTTAGTGATTTTTTTTCTTCATGCTCACCTGCTGTGCCTGCAATGGGCCATGTGGGAAGATCCACCCTCTGCTTGGAAACTAGCTCACTCTCTGTTTCATCACCTAGTGTCTTGCTGGCAGATGTGGAAGATCTTATTCAACAGCAGATTTCCAACGACACAGTCAGCCCCCGAGCCTCCGCATCGTACTATGAACAGTATCACTCACTAAATGAAGTAAGCCATCACACAGCTCTTCAAAGCTACTATTTTCATTTAACCAGTATTGCCATTTCAATCAGGGGAATATTCAAGAATCATAATTGGTGGAAGATGGTAAAAAATAAAACACAAACACACTTAGGTTAATTAAATGGTGGTCATTCATTTTTTGGTAGATATCTTCCCTGAGAAGACTGCATCATATTTGGTAAACTGCAGGATGTTTGTCTACAGCTAAGAATATCTCTAACTGCTGGGAATAACACTTTATGCTATGGAACAACAGAAATTAAAGAATTGGGGCTTTTAATTAAAACTGCCACCAAAAAATTACCAGTCCAATTAATCATGTCTCTTTGGACCATTACCCTAATTTTACTAATTACCAGATTAGCTCACTGAATTAAAGGAATATATTCACTTATATTTAATACACTATAACTAATTGCATTTTATTCCTTAGAAGGAAGCTATTTAAACTAATAATAATAATAATGCCTTTGTTTTAATCTGTAAGAAATTGGATTTTTTTTCTATCAGTACTTACAGGTTCCACTCCTTCTAGAGAGAACTTGAGTAAGATGTTGATGTGCAGGTGAGACCTCAGCAAGCTTTCACATAATCCACTAAAAGCCATTCCCTGTATTTGTTAGTTGAAAGAATAAATTCGCAGGAGGACTTTCTTTTTTATATGATATTCTCCAAGTAGTAAAAATACCTTGATGCCTTTTTATGAGTATGCAGCTATATTGCCTAATATAACTATTTTTGTCATCTTTGACTAAGTGCCCAGAAACTATTAGGGACCATATCCATATTTTTAAGACATCTAAGACTTAGGTAATGAGAATCAATTTTATGTATATAATCTTTAAAAGCATCTGTTCCTTCCCAGTTAATTAAGCCAGAGTCAGTATGCTTCTAGAATGTGTGCCTGGTTGATTGAGGGGGCCTTAAAATTGCACCCCCCCTTTTTTAATCTCTCCTACATCTATCCAACTTAGACCACCTCTCTCCAGCATCCATCAGCACGACTGCATGAGCAAACTTGATGCAGAGAGGCTTCATAGGTGGGATTTCACCTTCATAAAAGGTGAAACTGTCACTGCTGTGATAAGTTTGGTGGGGAGAGGGGAATGCCATAAACAGAAGTATTTTTAAATATTTGTTAAAACATATTTTAATTATTTTGTTCAAAAAAGTTATGTTTTCTTACGATATGTTCAGGAAAGAGTTGGAATGACACAGGAGGAAAAAATAAGCACATGGCTCTATTAGTTTTCTAGGGCTGTGGTAATAAAATACCACAGACTGTGTAGCTGAAATCACAGAAATTTGTTTTCTCATGATTCTAGAGGCTAGAAGATCAAGGTGTCAGTAGGTTTGGTTTCTACTGAGGCCTCTTTCCTCAGCTTGTAGGTAGTTGCCATCTCACAGCGTTCTTCCTCATATGCCTTTTCTTTCCTTTTTTTTTTTTTTTTTTTGAGACAGAGTTTCTCTCTGTCACCCAGGCTGGAGTGCGATAGCATGATTTTGGCTCACTGCAACCTGCGCCTCTTGGGTTCAAGCAATTCTCCTGCCTCAGCCTCCAGAGTAGCTGGGACTAGAGGCGCATACCACCACGCTCAGCTAATTTTTTGTATTTTTAGTAGAGATGGGATTTCACCATGTTGGACAGGCTGGTCTTGAATTCCTGAGCTCAAGTGATCTGCTCGCCTTGGCCTCCCAAAATTCTAGGATTACAGGTGTGAGCCACCATGCCCAGCCTCATATGACCTTTTGTTTGTGCACATGCATCCCTGGTCTCTCTCTGTATATCTTAATCTCCTCTTCATATAAGGACACCAGTCAGATTGGATTCGTGCCCACTCTAAGGGCCTCATGTTGACTTGATCATCTCTTTAAAGGCCCTATCTCCAAATACAGTCACTTTCTAACCTACTGGGAGTTAGGGATTGAACATATGAATTGGAGAAAGGGGTACAACATCTACTCCTTAACTATGACATTATAGAAAATGTCTTGTGCTTCTCTTTGCACCCCCGCCCCTATTATTTTCTAACAGGTTCATAGGAACCATAAGCATTTTGCTCTCAGAATATTCCTCTAAGTGCTTCTTTCCCTTTGATCGGTGGTCTCTTGATCAGCCCTACCTACAAGATGGACTGGTGGGCAGCAGAGGTTATTTTGTCATTGACTCACACCAGGAGATCTTAAATGATCCGGTGTAGGGAGAAAGAAACAAATGGCCAAAAATTACTTCTTAGAAGAAATGGTGAGAGAAAAGAGTTCTTCAAAGGATGTTACATTATTACCCCAGCTTAGTTTGAGAAATGAATAAAGTCTGTCGGTTAAACTGCCTTCATATTATACAGCCTCTCCTGTTAGAGGAAATCTACTGAAGTATCAATGCATAAATTATTTTTTTGTGGTAGCTTTCTCAGATGTATTTATGCCTAGAAGAGTAACACAGGAAATGGAGATTCAATTAGGAAATTGCTGACAGTTACATTTCTGACACCCCAGACACTGACAGGGTCGGTACTTGGTGGCAGGTGGGCAGGAGCCCTTAATTCTCAGCATGGGGACAACCACTCACACCTACCACTCATGCTGGTTATGTGATCTCAGAGAACCCAAGGATAAATGGTGCTCCAGTTTTTACCAGCTAGGATTGCTATTTGAAATCACCTCTAGAAAAGTTCCCAGAGATAAAGCCAGGGTTTGATTGCTTCTGTTTCAGAAGGCATCAGAGTTTAAGAATGGACCCTGGAAAGTTGGTCCAAATTAAAACATAACCCAGTTCAATCCCAGCAATCCCAAACCAGACAATAATTCAATGTTTGCTTTGAAGTGGGTGCTAGCCTAAAGTCAGAATTTTTTTCTTTTCTTTTCTTTTCTTTTTTTTTTTTTTTTTTTTGCTTTTTCCTTCCCCTATTATCTTGACAGAACCTCAAATACAACTGGACTTCCACCCAAGAGAGAGGTCCAGAATCGAACTACTTCTTGGGGGGATAATTGAGTTTGTTTGTTTTTCCTCCAGATGGTCCCCACCTTTGCCTCTCATCATTGTGCCAATCTCACTGTTCTTGCACAGGTCTTTAGTGGGAAACAATGATGCTTCCATTTATCCTGCATGAAGACAGTGCTAAGGGCTCCCTTCATCTTGAAAAGTGCATTTTTAAAAAAGTCTCATATAAAAGTGAACTTTTGAATGAATGAGAACAAGAATTTCATACACAGGGGCAGTGACTCAATGTGATGACTTTAAAAGTAACTTTCAGGGGCCATAGTTTATAGATTAACTTTTCCTACCTCATTATAAGTATCTTAGCACTTTTTCACTCTTTCTCAAAACCTTGACACTTATCAAAACTTTAATTTTATTAATTTCCCTAAACAGCAGAAGAAACACCCTGCCCTAAGTGCTTTAGGTCCTCGTGCATTCCACATACAGAGGTTTTCCTTTCTCTGAAGAAGTTGTCTGCTTGCTTTGGTCAGGGAAATGCTTTGAACTTGGCTTCGTGACTAACCTCTGGTTTCCATTTTGCTAGATCTATTCTTGGATAGAATTTATAACTGAGAGGCATCCTGATATGCTTACAAAAATCCACATTGGATCCTCATTTGAGAAGTACCCACTCTATGTTTTAAAGGTATGTTGTGGGGAAAGTTGTTGATCTTTCACTGTGAGGGGAGGGATTAATTCTCCAGTCGTGTTTGTTAAAACTTGAGTTTGTTTCCTTTGAGTTCTGAAAATATTTGCATTACAAGTGTTCCTCAACTTTAATACCTGGCTATTTAGGGGTTGGTTATTTTTCCCATTAATAATATAGTCTTGTCCTGGTCTGTATGTCCTAATCTCCTCCCACAAGGACACCAGTCAGTCTGGATTAGTACCCACCCTAAGGGCCTCATGTTAACTTAATCACCTCTTTAAAGGCCCTATCTCCAAATACAGTCTCTAGGGGGTTAAGGCTTCAATTCTAGATGAATCCCAGTTCTAGAATTAACTCTGTTTCTGTTTATGTGACATTAGATAAGCCATTTAACATTTCCATAAAATGAAGGAAGTGGTGTTTATTTTTTTCAAGTCCTTGTTTTATTTTCGTTAGTGGACAAACACTATTTCTGTTAGGGGACAAACACTAACAGAAAATAAAACAGGGACTTGAAAAAATAAAATTAAAAATTAAAAAAAGTGGTGCAGCTTTTTGATGTTAATTTTTAAAAATTGATACATAATAATTGTACATGTTTCTGGGGTACATGTGATTTTTTTTCTCCCTCCCTCCTCACATGTGATGTTTTGATACATGCATACAATGTGTAAATCAGGGTATTTGGGATATCCATCACTTCAAACATTTATCATTTCTTTGTGTTGGGAACATTTTAAGTTCATCTTCTAGCTATTTTGAAATATTGTTGATTCTCGTCACCCTACTGTGCTACTACACACTAGAACTTATTCCTTCTATCTATTTTGTACCCACTAATTAATCTCTCTTTATCCTCCTTTCCCAGCCTCTGGTAATCACCATTCTACTCTCTACCTCTATGAGATCAACGTTTTCCACTCCCCATATCAGTGAGAACATGTAGTATTTGTCTTTCCCTACATAGCTTATTTCAGGGCATGTTGCTGCAAATGATAGGATTTTATTCCTTTTAATGCCTGAGTAATATTCCATTTGTTATCCACATTTTCCACATGCATATCCACATTTTCTTTATCCACATCCACATTTTCTTTATCATTCATCTGTTGAAGAACACTTAGGTTGATTCTATATCTTGACTATTGTGAATGGTGCTGTAATAAACATGGGAGTGCAGGTATCTTTTTGATATACTGATTTCCTTTCTTTTGGATACATACCCAATAATAGGACTGCTGGCTTATATGGTAGTTCCATTTTTAGTTTTTTGAGGAACCTCCACATGGTTTTTCATAGTGGCTGAACTAATTTACATTCCTACCAACAGTGTACAAGGGTTCCCCTTTCTCCACATCCTCTCTAGCATTCGTAATTGCCTGTCTTTTGGATAAAAGCCATTTTAACTGGAATGAGATGACATTGCATTGTGGTTTTAATTCACATTTCCCTGATGATTAGTGATGTTGAGGATTTTTTCATATACCTGTTGCCCATTTGTGTGTCTTCTTTTGAGAAATGTCTGTTCAGATTCCTTTCTCATTTTTAAAATTGGATTATTTGTTTTTTTCCTTTTGAATTGTTTGCGTTCCTTATATATTCTGGTTATTAAGTCCCTGTTGGCTGGATAGCTTGCACATATTTTCTCCCATTTTTTTCTTTTCACGCTGTTATTTCCTTTGCTGTGCAGAAGCAAATTTTCAGTTTGATGTAATCCCCTTTATCTATTTTTGCTTCTGTTGACTGTGCTTTTGAGATCTTACCCAAAAAATCTTTGCTGAGACCAAAGTCCTGAATTGTTTTCCCAATGTTTTCTTCTAGTAGTTTTATAGTTTTAGGTATTACATTTAATTCTAATCTGTTTTTAGTTGATTTTATATATAAGGCGAGAGATAGGCATTTAGTTTGAATTTTATGAATAAAATTTTTCCCAATACCATTTATTGACAAGACTGTCCTTTTCCCAATGTATGTTCTTGGTGCCTTTGTTGAAAATGAGTTAACTGTAGATCTGTGGATTTATTTCTGGGTTCTCTATTCTAATCCATTGGTCCATGTGTCTGTTTTTATGCCAGTACCATGCTGTTTTAGTACTCCAGCTTTGCTCATTCTGTTCAGCATTGCTTTGGATTTTCAAGATCTCTTATGGCTCCATATGAATTTTAGAATTTTTTTTCTCTTTCTATGAAGAGTATATTGATATTGACAGGGATTGCATTGAATCTGTAGATTCCATTCGGTAGTACGGACATTTTAACAATATTAATTCTTAAGCCCGTGAGCATGAGGTATCTTTTCATTTTTTTGTGTGTTCTCTTCAGTTTCTTTCATCAGTGTTCTATGGTCTTAATTGTAGGTCTTTCACTTCTTTGGTTAGATTTATTATAGGTTTTTTTTTTTGGTCATTGTAAATGGTATTTCTTTCTTGATTTTTCTTTTAGGTTGTCTGCTATTGTTGTATATAAATGCTACTGATTTTGTGTGCTGATTTTATAACCTGCAATTTACTGAATTTATCAGTTCTAACACAGTTTTTTGGTGGAGGCTAGGTTTTTCTAAATATAAGATCGTGTCATCTAAAACCAAGGATAATTTGATTTTTCCCTTCCAATTTAGATGCCTTTTATTTCTTTCTCTTACCTGTTTGCTCTGGTTAGTACTTCCTGGTACAGCTTTTGAAACTAAAGTAAGACCAGGACAACAAATCCCAGCAAGGGACAAACAGCCGGACAAGGCTGAAGTCCTTTGCAGTAGGGTTCTTATGATGGTTTCTACTCCAATTTCCACCCATTTGGTTATTTATTTTCAGTTGCAAAATATTATGCAAGAGAAATTGATTAACCTAACTTGGATTGGATGTCTTCTCTCTTGAATAAATTGACCTTAGTAAAGGTCAGTGAACATAGCCACAGCCAATTGTTTTCAGAACTAGGAAACAACTCTATAGTTCTGTTTTCTACCTCTCTCTCTTAAAAAAAATTTTTTTTAAAGCTCTGGAAAATAATGTAGTCACTAAAAATGTACATTTAATTTAGTAACATATAATTTATGCACAGTATCCCAATATTATCTAAATTGTGATAGGTGAGCCTCTTCAGTCATTCAAAGATAAGACTTTGGGTTAGGACTTCTCAATTTTAATCTGTCGTTTACAAGAACTTACAGTGCAGACTCAAGGCAGACATATGAAATGTTGGGTCCCCTTGGTCACTGAGTTGGTCAATCAGATTGGATCCATGTATCATGGCATATCCACCCATGACATTTGCTTTCAGCCATGTTGTGTGTAGTCCTTGGAACATACTTATCTGGAACCTGTACACGTTGAAAAATCATGCATTCTGGATGGTTTGGTCCTACTCTTACTTGATCAAGGATGTGCAGATAATGTGAGTCTCTGGGATTTTGCCAACTTTTCGGTGTCAGAACCAGTGCCAAGAAAATTGGCCCAGGACTTAGAAAGGTCAAGTAAAGTAACGAATCCAGACAACTTAAGATTTTCTTTGCATTGAGTAGATTAAGCTAGGTAGTTCTCTTTGACTATACAATTTGACGATTAGTGGCCAATGCCATTGGGCTTTCTTACTTACTATCCTGTTAAATATTGCTAGCTCCAAGTTAGGAAAAAACCTCCTGGAGTGGTTCAAATGACAATCTAAATATCTAACTCTTTCTTTTTCTTATTTTGGAATTGCAAGTCTACATATTTGTTTGATTTTACAACAGTCTTCTCCCTTCCCTCTATACCAGTGGTCCTCAACCCCTGGGCTGCAGACAGGTACCAGTCCATGGCCTGTTAGGAACGCGGCCACGCAACTGGAGATGAATAGCCAGCGAGCAAGCATTACTGCCTGAGCAATGCTTCCTGTCAGATCAGTGGCAGCGTTAGATTCTCATAGGAGCACAAACCCCACTGTGAACCGCGCATGCAAAGGATTTAGGTTGCATGCTCCTTAGGAGAATCTAATGCCTGATGATCTGAGGTGGAACAGTTTTATCCCCAAACCATCCCCACCACTGATTCCACCCCAACTCTGCCCCATCCATGGAAAAATTGTCTTCCATGAAACTGGTCCCTAGTGCCAAAAAGGTTGGGGACCACTGCTCTATACCCTAAACTGTGTTGTAGCTGACTTTTAAAGGCAAATACATTATGATTAATTTTGGAGGTGTTCTTGATAATTCTTCTAAAGACATCAAAGGCTATTATTGAGAAAAGGTTGATGATTCTTATTCCAGAGTTAGCAGCTTGTGTTAGCCCACCATACTGGGAAAAAAGCCTCTGTCCCTGGATTTGCTGGTAAGTTCGTGAGAGGTTAGATGTGTGCTTCTTTTTGTGTGAAATAAAGAAATAATCCACATAAAAAAAAAATATGCACTCAGGAAAATCTTGAGGGAGTTTTTGCTCTGGGTGTGTCTCCACACCTCCCGGGGAAGATTGCCATCCAACTCACACCCATTTACCTCTAAATGAAGCATGAAGATACAGCCCAAATCATTAGTTCTCTGGTCTCTTCTTTGAAACTTCCACATGCAGCTCTGACATGACTGCATAATTGTGGAGGATAAAAACAGTTTTAAATCAAAGAGTCCTGGCTTCAAACTTCAGTTTCAATTCACACCAGCTTTGCTACCTTAACTAATGTCACTTAGTATCACCAGTGTTTAAATTTCCCTTGAGAATTTTCAAAGAAATGCAGAACAATGCATATCTCAGAGATTTGCTGAAACTATTAAATATAAGCACTATATAAATGAAAGTTATTATCCTGAAGCTTATTGTTACTGTTTTTGCTACTTTTGGGGTTTCTTTGAGCAGGTTTCTGGAAAAGAACAAGCAGCCAAAAATGCCATATGGATTGACTGTGGAATCCATGCCAGAGAATGGATCTCTCCTGCTTTCTGCTTGTGGTTCATAGGCCATGTAAGTATTCACATTCTCTTAACCCTATTTCTCAAAATGGTGCCCAAGATCACCTGTGTCAGACTCAACTGGGCTATTTATTAAAATGCATTTTCCTAGGTCACATCATGAAGCTTGGGAATCTACAATTTTCACAAGTTTCCCAGGTGACTTTTATGCATTAGTAAGTTGAAGAACATGACTTCAAGCATTTAAATCACCCAAAATATTTTTGGTCTTTTCTACATTTCTGCCTGGAGCTAAACAGTGGAAAATGATTAAGAAATAGTACATTGATTATAATATGTTTACTAAGTAGAGGAAAGGACTGAAGGAGTTATCTAAGTTGGGGCCCAATTAATTTATTTCTCTTTTGGTTTTAATTATCCAGACATCTTTTGCCACCTTTGCCCTTGGAAATTGAACATAAAGCACAACATTACAGAGGTGAAACAGAATATGTTTTCTCATATGTCATAATAGGGAATTTTGTTCCTGAAGAAGGGTTTTGCATCAAAAAAGCCATATATAAGACAAACTGTATGTTGGAAAAGTAAAAGATATAACGACTATTAACCTCCCTGATGAATGAAAACAGTAAAAATTATGCTTCAAATCCTATAAAATGGGCATATATGTTCTCTACACTGATTTCTACAAAGAATCATAGCCACTGGAAAAATAACTCAAAATATGTGTCTTTCTGATAATGATTTTTGCAGTCTTTGCATTCACAGATACATAGTAACAGAATAAATGAGTTAGGAAATTAAGATATTGGCACTTATTAAGTACATCAAGATAAAACTGTTTCTGTCTTTGCTTGACCTTGACAAATGCAACATCCCTATTTGCCTTCATTCACTGTGAATCTTCTATCCTCCATTCTCCATGGATGGGAGCTGCAACCTCCCTGAGTCTACTGGAAATTCCCAAACACCATTGGTACTACCTTGGCCAAATGAGGATGATTCCAACTGATCAGACCCTTAACATATCCCAGTCACATCATGATCTGGAACCTTCCCCAAGTTGAGTAGTTTGGTTATTTTAGGTAGTGAAGGGAGCAGCAGTTAATAGAGAAAGGTCCAAAGTAGGAGAGTAAGAACATTTATTTTCCATTCTATCACTGAACATGAGAAGGGCCAAGAAGAAACCTCCATTCATATTGACTCTAATTTATATCGGTGAGGTTGTCCCTAATGACTGCCCTTCTCACCCTGACACCTCTGCCCTCCTATTAGACATCCTACCCTCTACCCAAACTGCTTGCTGAATCTTTGTAAGATTAAATTATTTAATCCACAAATATTTATAGATTGCCTATGATGTTTCAGATCCTGGAAATACAAGGATGAACAAAATATAGCCCAAGGATCTTATAGCTGAGTATTTTGCTCCAACAATGTGAACCTGATTTGTGTAGCCCAAAGAAACATAATCAATAAGGGCTTTTTAAATCGACATTTAAACTCCATTCTTGCCTGCCTAAAACTAATTCAGATCATCTGACTCTCTTAGTACTTCAAAGCACTGGAGGAGGGAAAGTAAAATAAAATATTTACCTTTCAACAATTGTGAAGGTAGGTTTTATATTCAAAAACTAAACCACCCAAAGGCAAATTAAAATCTTAGCTTTTAAGTCTCTCACTCTTTTCTACAACTCAATAAGGATTTCAAAAATCTTATAATCTAGTCTCAGTGGAAATCCACTACACTACACTTTGAGAAGCTTGAAGCCAGTCATTTCTTTCTAAGCTTCTCATTCATGTACTCTCGGGAGGCAAATTTAGATCCTTCTCTTTCCGCAAAGGCAGAGCTGAGACCAATTTGTGCATGACTGCATCACCAAGCCAAAATCCGGCACAGGGCTGGCACATCATAGGACCCAGTGAATATATGTTAACCATCACAACTTGCCAAGTACTTTTTCTGCCAAATGGCTTTTCTCACTGCTAACCTCCTGCCAAACCTCTGCCCTAGAAAACTCTCATCTAATTGCACACAAAGTTAGAGCTCTACAACCTCAGGGCCTTCACAGAATTATCTCTGCCCCTCCTCACCACAGCTGACACATGACCTAAGGACACTGCTCCCTGGTGGCTCCTTCAAGTAGAGGGGCTGCTCTTTTTTTCACATCACCATGTGCTGAGAGGCCTGGTGGAGTAGATCAGCATTCTCTTCTCCTGATACTACCAATGATCCTTCTCTTCTCAGAAACTTACACAAACTGGTTGCACTCTTATTTTATTGCTATCGTGCACTGACCTTCAGATAATTTCCTGGTACCCGGTTCATGATTCTTTATTCCCCTCCAACTCTTGCCATCATTCTGAGTGAATTCAAAGTCCATGTGTGAGAGTCACCTAACAATGTATCTTCACAGTTCCTTGTTCTCTGTTCTACTAAACCTCATCTCAACTCCTCTTTAGCAGATTTCTCCTGTAGCCATCCTCTGGATCTCAGAAGTAATGTTTTGCTGATCCTTAGACCCAGAATGTGGCCATGGACAGCAACAAGGAATGTTAGAAGAAGCCATCTAGCAATGTAACTTCTTAATTTCCTGTCTTCTCTCATTTCTCACCCCTACTATGACTGCTTTTTTTTCAACCTTAGCATATTTCTAGTTCCTACACAGATCTATATCATTTTAATTTATCAGTCCCTTTCCAGGAACACTTTCTTCACTAATTGGTCCCATCACAAATTCATCCGAACCCTCAATTTCTTGCTCCCTTGACCTGCTCTTCTGGAGTTCCAACCCCAAACACTCCACAGAATTAACCATCCTTTTTCTGAGCCACCTTGTACATCTTGCCATTGTTTATTATCATACTTATATTAATAGCATTGAACTGCTGCTTTTCCCTTTCCAACTTATCACTTCTATTAGCTTTCTGAAGGCAGAGACCAGGTCTAAAGTAATTTTTTTGTTCCCCATAACCTGGTATATTGTTTGGTCAACATAATTGGTGCTCAATATCCCCTTGTGGAATTTGAAATTTAAATTAATGTTGCAGGTTTAGGCTGACATACAATTTTGGGTTGCAGAGAGTATCTAAACAGTACCTACTGTTGGGATAAATACTTTATTGTCATTGGCTACAGTTCAAACTATACATACATATATAGAGATTGGAGTAAAAACTGAGACGGATAGCTCTCTGATATATTTGTAATGGTAATGAAAATGACATTTTGTTTTAAAATTTTCCCTTCATGTGTCTTATATTTTTTTTTAGCAACCCCATTAACTGACCTATATGTCGTTATGTACTAATTTATTATCTCTCAAATGGTCATTGGTTAATTCCTAGGCAGGAATTGTTGTTGTTGTTGTTGTTGTTTAGGGCCACATTAAAGGCAAAGCTTGAGTGCACCCCAGGCAAAGTGAGAGGAAGAGCTGAGTAATCATTGACCACAGGCCAGCTGATGGGAATCAATCCCACCCTCTCATCACTCAGTCTTACACTCTTCTCCATTCTCCTCTATTCTCATCTTCTTTTTCTTTTATACAGAGGCTTCTCAATTTATGGTGGGGTTATGTCTCAATATACCCAATAAACAATCACAACTGAAAATATTCTAAGTAAAAAATGCATTTAATATACCTAATCTACCGAATACTGAATATCATAGCCTAACCTTCCTTAAATGTGCTCAGAACACTTACGTTAGCCTACAGTAGGGCAAAATCTTCTAACACAGAGCCTAATTTATAATAAATTGCTGAATATCCATATCACTTATTAAATACTGCACTAAAACTGAAAAATGGAATGGTGGCATGGGTATGGTTTCTACTGAATATGCATTGCTTTTGCGCTATTGTAAAGTCAAAAAATCATAAGTGAAGTCATTGTATATTGCAGACCAACTCTAGTAGGACAGGATTTCAGTTATGTTACTTGCCATGTTGGTAAATCGTACCTTCAACAAATATTTATTTGTCGTCAGGCAAAATTTCTTCAGTCACTTTGAAAAACAATGTGGAAGTTCCTCAAAAGATTAAGTATAGAGTTACCATATGACCCAGCAGTTCTACTCCTAGGTGTATACCCAAGACAAGTGAACACATATGTTGACAAATGATTATAGCAATATTATTCATAATAGTCAAAAAGTGGAAACAACTCAAATTTCCATCAACTTATGAGCAGAAAAACAAAATGCAGCATATTCATGCAATGAAACATCAATCAGCAATCAAAAGGAATGAAATACTGATTCATGCTACAACATAGATGAATCTTGAAAATACTATGCTAAGTAAAAGAAACCAGATACAAAATGCCACATATATTATTCCATTTATATGAAATGTCCAGAATGGGCAAATCCACAGAGACAGAAAGTTCATTAGTGATTGTCAGAGGCTTGGGGAAATGGCAGGAGGGAAAGGGGAGTGAGTTATAATGGGCATAGGCATGGGGATTTTTTATGATGAAATGTTCCAAAAATCAGATATTAGTGATGGTTGCAAAACTCTATGAATACACCAAAAACCGCTGAATTTCACACTTTAAAATGGTGAATTTCTGGAATGTAAATTATATCTCAATAAGCTGTTAAAGAAAAAATGGGCACCCCTTCCTTCGGGATTGTAGCTATAGCCACACTTGAAGGTGTGGCTTGGCACACAGCACAGACTGTATTTCAGCCCTCACTCACTCCTTCTGTCTGGAGTCCTACCTATTAGATAAAGAAATAGGTAACATTGTTCTGGGCCTAACATCGGTAATCTCTCAGAGCATAACTTTTTGTAGAAAGATTCCCATCCAACCAGAGGTAAAGGTAGGAAGGAAATTTAAAAAGTGAAGCAGAAAAAGAAATTCATATGCTGCATCTATTAAAAGTTTGGCCCATGTTGTAGAAATGAAAATGAGAAATGCTTTATTATTTGCTTTATTATTTTAAAAGGAACAGGCTCTCCTAATATTTTTCTAATAATGAATGCTACATTATTACTGAAAAGTGATGCTAACATAAATTTATAAATTCGTAACATAAAAATGTATTTAACTGGTTGCTCGACTATTTAAAACATGGCTTCCCTGGAAACCATCATTCTCAGCAAACTAACACAAGAGCAGAAAACCAAACACCACATGTTCTCACTCATAAGTGGGAGCTGAACAATGAGAACACATGGACACAGGGAGGGGAACATCACACACCGGGGCCTGTCGGGGGTGGGGGGCTAGGGGAGGGAGAGCATTAGGAGAAATACCTAATGTAGATGACGGGTTGATGGGTGCAGCTAACCACCGTGGCACGTGTATAACTATGTAACAAACCTGCATGTTCTGCACATGTATCCCAGAACTTAAAGTATAATAAAAAACAAACAAACAAAAAAACAAAACATGGCTTCCTTCATTCTACAAATTTTGCTTCCTTTTCATTAACCTTTTATTTCTGACCTACAGTAGATTTTAAAATAACTTTTTTCTTTTCTTTCTCTCCGATTTCATAAGTATTTATTCATGGCAAAGATTTTTAATGTGACTCTTGTGATTGTTCTAGGGAAATATGAATATAATATTTTAAACGTTTAAAGGGAAAATAGTAAAGTTTATAAAAGGCTTGTTTTTATTTTGTCAATAATGAAAAAGACATTTCTTAACAATGTCATGAGTATGCTTTAAGGCAACAAACAATTATAAACTAAATTAAATATTTAATGTAATTAAATGTGAATTAAATTAAAATATAGCAATGTTGCCACAAATTAAGATTTTGAACCAAAAGCTTTGTCCTAGATGAAACGATTTGACCAGCTAAAATTTGTCTTTATAGTTCTCCTGCCTGTACATTTTGTCATTTTGGGGTAAACTTCTCAGTCACCAAATTTGGATGCCATTGGATCACACTGCAATATGTGCCACTAAGCTGGATGACTCTAAAGTAGAGAGGAACAAGTTTGAGATGATGTCCGTTAGGAATTCATAGCCAGTTCCTAGGAAAAGCTACCCTAATTCTACAGCTAGATGATCAAAGCCTTGGGAAACACACTCAATTCTAGCAAAACTTGAGCTCCACAAGTTCTAAGGACAATGTAGCCAATATCATGTAATCACATCTGGGGATAAAACATGGTAGGTAGTTTAAGCTCTGATGAACATGAATTACAGAAAAAGGAGCTAAACTAAATCTAGGTTTTTGTTTCCTTAAATCTTCTTAGTGGGCTCTATGGCTTTAATAAAGAATTAATTTTATTTTTTAAGGAAAATTTAGAAAGTTTATGGTTCGATTGTCTGCCTTCATTAACTAGGAATACTGGACCACGTGTAAGGCATTTATCACCACTTCGTAGCACCCTAAGTTCAGTTCTTTTGAGGAATTAGCACTCTTTCTGAAAGTTAAATCTGCAAATCTAAACATGCCAAATGACAAATTAAAAAAAAGAAAAAGAAACACACTAAGTTTAGAAGAACTTAAAACATCTAATTAAATATACTTGGTTTAATTTGCAGATAACTCAATTCTATGGGATAATAGGGCAATATACCAATCTCCTGAGGCTTGTGGATTTCTATGTTATGCCAGTGGTTAATGTGGATGGTTATGACTACTCATGGAAAAAGGTAGGAGAAAAGGCAAAGAAGACAAATCATGTTCTCCTTGGGGATATAGGATATACAGGTTGAATTATTCATAGAATTCTGGATCTAGGCACAATGGCTTTATTATTAATTTTTTTTAACTTTTATTGTGGAAAATGTCAAATATATATATAAGTGCACATAATTGTGTAGTAAACTTCTATCTACCCATCATAGAGCTTCAACAATAATTAACTCATGACCAGTCTTGTTTCATCTGTATTCTCTCTACCCACTTCTACCTTACTCATTTTATTTTGAAGTAAATCCTAGGTACCATATCACTTCATCAATAAATATTTCAGTATGCATTTCTAAAAAAAAAAGAACTCTGAAAAAAATAATTATAGTATAATTATACCTTAAAAACTAGCTGTTTCTGAATACCATAAAATATTGCCAGTATTTTCAATTGTATAATAACTTTTTTTTTTTTTTTTTTTTGAGATGGTGTCTTGCTCTGTCGCCCAGGCTGGAGTGCAGTGGCACGATCTCGGCTCACTGCAACCTCCACCTCCCGGGTTCAAGAGATTTTTCTGCCTCAGCCTCCTGAGCCACTGGGACTACGGGTGCCTGCCACCATGCCTGGCTAAGCTTTTTGTATTTTTAGTAGAGACAGGGTTTCACCATATTGGCCAGGCTGGTCTCAAACTCCTGCCCTTGTGATGCACCTGCCTCGGCCTCCCAACGTGCTGAGATTACAGGCATGAGCCACCTCGCCCGGCCTCCTAACTTTTTAAAAAGTATGTTTCTTTGATTCTGGATCCAAATAAGGCTCTTACATTATGATTGGTTTATATGTCTTTTAATTCTATTTTAATCCATGAACTCACATTCCATCTTTTGCTCTTTCTCTCTCTTCTTTTTTTCCTTGCAATTTATTTGTCAAAGAAAAGAGTTTCCCATTATCAGGATTTGCTAATTGCATTACCATCTTGTAGTTTAACATGCTCTTCTGTCTGTATTTTCTGGTTACTCAACATTGTGATTCATGTAAAATTACTCAAGCAATATGAAATACTCTGCTTTCTAATTTAAAGAGGGGCACATAGAAACATAACTAGGTATATATAAATTTAGAAAAACCTACTTGAGTAGCACATATAAATACTAAGAGGAATAAGATTAGTTGGTGTGATTGGAAACATGGAATTACACATGAATTATTTCATGTAGGAGGTAATTTATGCAGAAGATATGGAAATGGCACAGGAGATTGAGGAAAAAGTCATCTCTGGTGAGAGGAATACTGTAACTGAAAATTTTGTAGGTGGAGGTGGGCAAATGCCAAACTAAGTAAATGAGAATTACCTAGCATAATGCCTAACACAAATTTGGTGTCCAATGAATGGTCATATCTGTAAACTGGTAATAAAGTATATTTACACCTTAACCTGAATCACAGTGGAATTCAGTCACCCTTTAGATTTCCAGCTTCCCAACTGTTCTTTGTATCATTACCCTATTATTAATTCCCACAGTTTGAGAACTTGATATCCCCAGGGCCTATTGTTGCCACGGAACCACAGGCCTGGGAGTGGTAACAGGCTGGAAGGCTTGGCGGAGGGTTGGTGAGAGTAGGAGAAAAGGGTGCTACATCATCCCAAACTCAGAACTTAAATGAAGTATGTGCAACTCTTTTTTTTTTTTTTTTTTTTTTTTGAGACGGAGTCTTGCTCTGTCGCCCAGGCTGGAGTGCAGTGGCAAGATCTCGGCTCACTGCAAGCTCCGCCTCCCAGGTTCATGCCATTCTCTTGCCTCAGCCTCCCGAGTAGCTGGGACTACAGGTGCCCGCCACCACGCCTGGCTAATTTTTTCGTATTTTTAGTAGAGATGGGGTTTCACCGTGTTAGCCAGAATGGTCTCGATCTCCTGACCTCGTGATCCGCCCGCCTCGGCCTCCCAAAGTGCTGGGATTACAGGCGTGAGCCACCGCGCCCGGCCTGTGCAACTCTTTACATGACCAAACTTTCCCAGTTTACCCCAAGAACCCAATAGGGAATTTGCTTTATATTTAAAAACCAGAGTCAAATCAGCACAATCGAAGAAGTCATCAGATTAAAGGTGTCTTCACATCTCCACCTTTTCTAGCTTTGAAAGGGGAGTGGTGAATTCTACCTAAAGAGAGCATTTTAACTTATGACTCAGCGTTCAGTTGAGACACAAAGTTATTTTGCTTTTCTTCGAAGGAGCTCAGAATGACCCTGTGCATAAAATTAATGTAAAGGAAACAAGACTAAACAAGAAGGCTAATAAGCAGCCTAGTGGAATGAAAGGAAATCTTTATTTGTATCAGTCAAAATTGATCAAATATTACCATTATGTTTGGTTCAACTAAAATAGTCTGAGTGGATGTGATTGAAACCCGGATAGCAATAGGGACCGTGCAAAGGAATATTGCAACAACAGTGATGTGATGAAGCCATGCAAGGTATGGGATTGAAGGAGAGAAAGGCAATTCTGGCTTCATGGACTTTCAAATGCATGTCTTTCCTCAGGCCTTGAACGTGGCTACCCAGGTTGTCTGTTTGTATTTTGTTTATGTAGAATCGAATGTGGAGAAAGAACCGTTCTTTCTATGCGAACAATCATTGCATCGGAACAGACCTGAATAGGAACTTTGCTTCCAAACACTGGTGTGGTAGGTTGTTGGCTTTATTTCTTGCAATGTCTCTTCACTGAAAGGGTGATGTTCACAGGGAAAGGCCCATGAATTCAAATTAAATACAGAGCTGGCCTGTCTGAATCAGGGAATAATTTAAATGATAAATGCTTAGGTAAATGTAATGCTGCGACTGTTGGCCAGAGTCAGCAAATCACTTTGGCCTCTCCTCTCTCCTGTTTCCCTATCTTTAAAATAAGAAAGTTGAATCAGTTTTTTAAGATCCCTTCTAGCTTCAAAATTCTAAAATCTATTATCTTGGAATAATAAAGAAGTGACAGTTAAAGATCCTATTTTAATAAACAAAAACATTCATCATTAGAATATCAAAGACCTGAGATGGGGGGAGGACCTCTCTTTTTTTTTTGAGACAGAGTCTTGCTGTGTTGACCAGGCTGGAGTGCAGTGGCACAATCTTGGCTCACTGCAGCCTCTGCCTCCTAGGTTCAAGGATTCTCCTGCCTCAGCCTCCCAAGTAGCTGGGACTACAGGCATATGCCACCGTGCCTGGCTAATTTTTGTATTTTTTTTAGTACAGATGGGATTTCACCATGTTGGCCAGGCTGGTCTCAAACTCCTGGCCTTAAGTGATCCGCCCACCTCGGCCTCCCAAAGTGGCTCACAGGAGTGGGCCACTGTGCCTGGCCTGGACCCCTCATTTTTAATTGCACAAGTAAATGTTTACTTCTATAGTGTTTGAAGACATTTTTTTCACTATTCACTTTCTTAATTTCTTTAATAAATAATATAAAGAAAATATAAAAATATTAAAAATAGTATAAAAAGCAGCACAGTGGGAATTTATTATTTCTTAATTCGAATGAGTTAAGGCATTCGATGATGTTGAGTTATGCATTCAAGAACAGTCTGCTTTCAGGAGTTTGAAGATTTTTTAAAGAACTAAAAGTAGAATTACTATTTGACTCAGCAATCTCATCACTGAGTATATACTCATAGGAAAATGAATCGATCTACCCAAAAGACACATGCAATCATATGTTCATTGCAGCACTATTCACAAGAGCAAAGACATGGAATCAATCTAGGTGTCTGTCAATGGCGGATTGGATAAAGAAAATGTGGTAAATATACATCATGGAATACTACACAGCCATAAAAAAGAACAAAATTATGTCCTTTACAGCAACATGGATGCAGCTGGAAGGCATTGTCCTAAGTAAATTAACACAGAAACAGAAAATCAAATACTGTATGGTCTCACTTATAAGTAAAAGCTAAACACTGAGTATACACAGACATAAAGATGGGAATAGACACTGGGGACTCAAAAAAGGGGCAGGGAAGGAGAGAGAGGGGAAAGAGTTGAAAAAGTACCTAAGTGGTACTGTGTTCACCATTTGGGTGATGGGTTCAATAGAATCCCAAACCTCAGCATCACACAATATATCCATGGAAAAAACCTGCACATGTACCCCCTGAACCCGAAGACAAAGAAGTTTGCTTTTAGGGGGGTAGGTGTTAGTTCACTCTTTCTTCCCACCCACTCAACATTATTTTTCATAGTACTACATTTCAGAAACAGCTACGAAAATAAACTAACCTGACAAGGAGTATGCATCATCTATATTTTTGGGCTCCATGGGGCCCATAAGGGAGAGAAGCTATTGTATCCACAGAAACATCTTCTTCCTCCCAGACCTGGACCCTATACAATCCTATGCACATAATTTTGCCTATTTCCTTTAAAAAAGGTAAAATTTCATGATTTTAAACATTTTATCAAAATCCCAGAATACCTATTAAAACCTCACAACATTCAGCCTGGGAAAGCTGATTGCTAAAACAAAAGAAAACCAAACCTCACAACAAAGCACTTACCTTATTTCCTTATTTTTTTCCCTGTCTAGGTTAGAAACTCCATGCAGACAGAAACCAATACCCATTATCTAGTGCAGTGCCTGGCACAAGGAGGGTCCTCATAAAATATTAACTAAATGAGTCCATGAATGAATTTAGTTGCTCTGAGAGCTACAGATATGGTAGGAACTCAGAGGAAGAAGCAGTTCATCCCGACTTAGGTTCCAGGGAATCATTTAGTGGTTTCTCCCTAAAAAACCACTCGTGTTCCCAGAGGCCCAAAGTTTGCTGTGGCACTAATAACATGCCAGGGGCTCACAGGAACAGCAGCCATGTAAAAAGAATCTAAGTAAATAGAGCTGACAGTTACTCAGCGCTGAGCCATTGACATAGTTCATCTTCCAGATTTCATTATCTATGAATCATAGATGGAGAAACCCGGGCTGAAAACAGTTAAGTCCCTTCCTCAAGGGCACGTAGCAAGTATGTGCAAGTACGTGGCAGAGC
This sequence comes from Homo sapiens, assembly GCF_000001405.40. Taxonomy (NCBI): domain Eukaryota; kingdom Metazoa; phylum Chordata; class Mammalia; order Primates; family Hominidae; genus Homo; species Homo sapiens. The sequence goes on along the minus strand of NC_000013.11, from coordinate 46,062,301 downwards.
TGGGCTATAAACCCAAGTTATCAGTTCCCTTTTGGAAGTTTTTATTTTATCTTCAAGCTCTTTTGGTGCTTGATTTTACTTAATATTTTTCTTGGTGAAGTCAGTGTTATTTAATTTGGATAGCCAAGTAGTCAAAATATATTCTGTTATTGTCATCAAGAAATGTCTCAGTCCCCTCTTGGGCATGGTGCTATATTGTTATGTATCATAAGAGTGAAAAACAGAAACAGAAGCAGCAAGCATATGGGTTTTTAACTAAAAAAAAAAAAAAAAAAACCAAATAAAAAGTAATTGTAAGGAACTGTCCTTATTACCAACTGTTCCAGTATCTATTCTGTACTATGTAAGCAAGACAGTGAGAAAGAAGAATTTAATCTTTTCTCATCCCTACAACTAGAATGTGCCCCTATGATTCTTTATATAAAGGATCCAAAAACACCTCACTTATTAACAGGAAGTGACATATCAAACCTACTTACTCATTTTATGCTCCTCTGTATTAAAATTTTGTGTGTGTGTGTGTTGGAGATGAGAGTGGAGGGTAGGTTGTAGGGGTGTCTTTGTCTTCTCAGGCTGCTATAACCAAATACCATAGGTTGGGTGGCTTAAACAACAGAAATTTATTTTCTCACAGTTGAGGATTGGGAGTCCAAAATCAAGGTACCAGCAGAGTGAGGTCTTCCTGAGGATTCTCTCATTGGCTTGTAGATGGCTGCCTTCTCTCTGTGCCCTCACATGGCCTTCTCTTTCTGCACAAACCTCCCTGGTGTCTCTCTTTATTCCTATAAGGGCACCAGTCACATTGGATTAGAGCCCCATGCCTATGACTTCATTTCACTTTGTCTCCTTAAAGGCCTTATCTTTAAATACAGTCACATTGGGGCTTAGGGCTTCAACATAGGAATTTGGGAGGATGCAATTCAGTTCATAACAGGAGTACATTATGAGAACCTTTGGTCTCAAACTTCCTAAGATAGCACCACACATTTTCTAAAACACTGAGTTCAACTACAAAGTTTTTGCAACTGGCTTGAATGGAAAATTCTTTATTTCTTTTTCTAGGAGACTATAGTGTTTTTTAAAATTATTTTTTATTATGATAAAATACATGCAATATAAAATTTGCCATTTTAACAATTTTTAATTGTACAGTTCAGTGGCATTAAGTACATTCACAATTACTACTATCTATTACTAAAATTTTTTAATTGTCCCAAAGAGAGATTTTTACTTATTGTAACCAGTAGGCAATATCTCCTCATCCCTACCTTCTCCCCAGCCCTTGGTAATTTCTTATCTACTTTCTGTCTCTATGAATTTGCCTATTATAGATATTTCACAGTGTGCTTGGTTCCATGTCTATAGATCAAAGAATGCTTGAGCTTGGAGGGATCCAGTGGCCCAAGTTCCTTCCTGGTACAGATGAGGCCCCTGAGGCTGAGACGATGAAGTAGTTGCCCAAATTAACATGACTGCTTAATGGTAAAGCAGAGTCTCGACCTCAAGTTTCCTGCCTCTTCAGGGCTCTTTCCACTAAAATGCTTGAAATCTCTAGAATGACAATCATAGAATGAGAATCTGAGGCTCACTGTCCAGCATAGTAGCCACTAACCACATGTGGCTATCCAGTGCTTAAAATGTAGCTTGTCTGAATTGAGACATACACTGAGTGTTAAATACACACCAGAATTTGAAGGCTTAGTATGAAAAAAGTAACATAAAATATTTCAAGAATAATTTTTATATTGGTTACACTTGAAATGATACTTTGTACATATTTGGTTAAATAAATTACAATATTGAATTAATCTCACATATTTCTTTTTGTGTGTGTGTGTGTGTGGCAGGGTCTTGTTCTGTCATCCAGGCTGGAGTGCAGTGTCATGATCTCAGCTCACTGCAACCTCTGCCTCCTGGGTTCAAGCAAGTTTCGTGCCTCAGCCTCCCAAGTAGCTGGGATTACAGGCGTGCACCACTATGCCTGGCTATTTTTGTATTTTTGGTAGAGACGGGGTTTCACCATGTTGGCCTCGCTGGTGTCGAACTCCTGATCTCAAGTGATCCGCCTGCCTCAGCCTCCCAAAGTGCTGGGATTATAGGTGTGAGCCACCGTGCCTGGCCTTCTTTTTATTTTTCTTAAAGTGGTAACTTGAAAATTTAAAGTAAATATGTGACTTGCATTATATTTCTATTAAACAACCCTGGTCTGAGGATTCATATTAGGGCACCACCTCTCTATTTAGTGGTTATGTCTTCCCCGACCTCCATACCCAATATATAATCTCTATTCTCTAAGAATTATATATCACATAAAAGGGCAGGAATATTCAAAGGTGACCGAACTATCAAAAATGGTTTATCCAATCACCTTATTGGTTAAAAATGAAATACTTGGGAAGACCTTAGATGTTCACATTTCCTCTCAGGGAAACAATTTTTTAACAAACATTAATGTTGTGTTTGTATAATAACAGGAATAAAGCAGAATGAGCTTAATTAAGAAAAGCAGGCTCTGTAAGGATAGTGAGTAGCCTCAGCCATGGACTCCTGAGGCAGAGATGCAGCTGGACTCAGAAACAGAAAGGAACTGGGCCTGGAGCCCTAGAGAGGCTCAGTGAATCCTTCCTCTCCCCTTCTCATCTCTGTGATGCACACTGGCTTCTTTCAGGTCTCAGTCCACATGATGATGATGATGATGATGATGATGATGATGATGATGATGATAAACAGCAACAGTTATGAAATGCATACTACATGCCAGGCACTGTGCAAAGCACTTTGTATGAACTAGCTCATTTAATTCTCATTCAATCAGCATTTAATGTATAATTTTTCAATTTTGCAGATAAGGAAATTGAGATACAGATAGATTTTTAAAAATTTACCCAAAGCCATATAGCTAATAAATGGTAGTCAAGATTTAGAATCAAGTAATTGGGTGCTTAACAATATGCTGTATAGCCTCTTATTCTGAAGAGTGGTTACCACCAAGAATATCCAGATTGCATCTCCTAAAATGACAGTATTTACTTCATAGGGCTGGTGTAAGAATTACATGAGATGTGGCAAAAATCTTAGCAGAGTTCCTGACGTACAGCATGTGCTCCACAGGTGTCAGCTGGTAGTATTACTATTTTTACTGTCTGTTCAAGAGAGCAGCTAGACTGAGACTAGACTCTTAGTATTGATTTCAAGTTATCTTTGAAGGGATTCAGATTGGCAAGCACAAGAGTCAGACCCAATCCTGAGCCCTCAACTGTTTGCAGGAAGGAATAATCTCTTGTGTCAGATGCAGCTTGCTGGGGCTTCACCTTGTGAATTAGGGACAGGGGGAGAAGTGTTGGAAGGCAGCCTACCATCTCAAGTGATGCAAATTATAATCTATCAAAGGAATGAATGAACGTTGGTCTGGCAACAAATATCACCATCCCATTTTATTTACTAAACTTACTAAACCACTTTAGCAAGTTAAAAGTAGCACTGAAGGCAGATTTACATATTCTGAGCTCTGAAGTGAGGCTTTTCTTTTATGGGCTATATTGATGGTAGCTTTAAAACTACAAATATCAGAAAAACTAAATTTACAGTGGATTAAGGAAAGTGGGGTTTATTTTTTCTCCCATAACCATAAGTCTGGAGACAGGGCTGGCATCTCTGAGGATCTCTTAGCCACTTTCTCAAGGTTGCAAGGGAGACAGGTGCTGGGAATGACTGTTAGAAGGTCAGCTATGTGAGCAGATAAGTATTTGACTTCAAAAGAAACATAACACTTAGTGGAACTATGTTCTTTGCAGAGCCCTACCTAATCCATTCATCTAAAAGTGTTGCAACATAGGTAGGAGAATACGTTGTCTGGGAAACCACAAATTACAGTACTATGTGCATCCCCTCATAATTTCACCTTAACAATTTCGTTACAGAGGAAGGTGCATCCAGTTCCTCATGCTCGGAAACCTACTGTGGACTTTATCCTGAGTCAGAACCAGAAGTGAAGGCAGTGGCTAGTTTCTTGAGAAGAAATATCAACCAGATTAAAGCATACATCAGCATGCATTCATACTCCCAGCATATAGTGTTTCCATATTCCTATACACGAAGTAAAAGCAAAGACCATGAGGAACTGGTAAGTGCTACTTAATTATTTTTCTCATTAGCATTTTGGAAATAAAATAATACTTAGTTGAAGAATCAAAAACTGGGAAAAATTTTGTCCTCTAGAAGGCAAATGATAGATGTTTTAAATCATGGTGTGATCCTGTTGAGAGTCACCCTGGGTCAGTGTTCTCTAAGGGAATATAAAGAACGTGCCTTACCCTAACAACACACACTTTATTCAGCACGTGGGCTTCCTAAGAAAATGTCAGACAAATTCCTTGAAGGTTAGGAAGGAACTACTACTACACTTGACCTGATCTGCATGTGAAGCGGTATAAGCAAGGATGAGTATGGAATCATGCGACAGCTTTGTGGTCACTAGCTTCCTACAACAGCACACCACAGATTAAGTCTCAACACAGCACTCATTGTTTTGGTATTAGCAGCAGGAATTGTTCCTGCCCTGACTTCCCTAACCCTCAGGGTTTTGGTCCTATTAAAGTACCTCCAATTTTAGCATTGAGGAGAGAGTCTGTTTTTTGGAACATAACAGACAATACAGGAAATTCAAAGAGGACTCACACAATTTGATACTCCCTTAGCACTTTTTAGTCCAAGATACTGTATGTTTGGGTTCATGGCAAAAGATGCAAGGATTCTTGAAGGATTGTAGCTAGGCTTCGACAAATCCTCATCCCAGATGCTCTCCAGACAGTGGAAGTGTTACATCAACAGCCCCATTCTTGGGAAGGGACTAATTTTTAGGTAGTAGCTTGTTTCTTAGTGACTCATTTTTTTTTCTGGCTCTCTTAACAGAATAAAATATAGTCACATTACAGGAGCTAGCAATTGCTGATGACAAATATAAGATTATTTGCATTCTCTGAAAATAGCCCATTTAGAACATAAATGTACTTGATACTTGAGCTTTTTTCTTCTCAAGGGAAAACTGTTAAGGAAAGCACCTTTCAAAAATATTATCTTTGAAGAAATAAAAGGAAATTTATCATGATTTGGGAAGTAGAATTAGTCTAATTATGCTTTTTTTTTTTTGCATCACTGCCAGCACACATATATGTTGAGAGCCATTACGTGTAAAATACCTTGTCAATGGATGTTTAAAGAAGCATTAGGTAAAATCCTGCCCTTTAAGAGAATGTGTTATGGTTAGGGAGCTCAACCATTAGCAAATGTTACAAATAGTTGTACTCTAAGGCGACATAGAGTAACTACTAAATACGTGGCACAGACAGTACAACTCACTTCTAACTAGAATATCAAGGGATGGCTTCACTAATGCATTCAGAGGGAAATGCTGAGATAAGTGAGGAGATAAAGTAGTTACTGTCCTTGAGGAATTTACAATCTATTAAGGGGGGGAAAAACTACAAATAATAAAGTGCTGTTGATGTCAAAGATCAGCTACATTTTAGACAGGCATTGAAAGAGGATTTCTATAGGCAGACAGGGAAGGAAGGACCTTCCAAGCAAAGAAGTTGGTGTTCACCATAAGAGGATGCAAAAGTGGAGGGTGATAGCATCAGAAAGTAGATTAGGTTGGCTTCTGAAGGGGTGTGACTGTCAGATAAATTTGTATTTCATTATGTAGACAATGGGGTTACATTAAAACTTATTTTTTGAACAATGAGATGGCATAAAATAATATCCGCTGATAAATCTCTTGAGTTTTTCAAGAAGGTGACAGTGTATACCATGATGCTAGTTCCAATTTCCGAAAAGTTCCAGATAAGTGAGAACTTCAGAATAGATTTGACAAAATGAATATCAACAGACAAAATGAAGTCAAATGGGGGTCTTAGTTATTATCCTGCTCCATACCAGAGGCATAATCTTTTTTGATTTGATGAATCTATGGAAGTCATTAGACATTTTACACAAGAAGAAAATAGAAGTTGTGAGAAGGATAAGAAGTGAGTCATGCATGCATTAGGTGTTTGTATGTGTTTAGAAAGGTTGGATTTAAAGTTTGGTGATAATTTTGTTCAGAAATGGAGTACCTCTAAGCCTTTGAGATGTAGTTATACTTCATTTTCCATAATAAATGAGTTCCCAAAAAGGCATGTGATAATTTTTTTCTGCAAATTAATATATTTATTTATATAAATTATTTCAATATATTGAAATAGTTTATGTTTAAAGCCACCCAATTGTGATTGCCATAAAGTGCACATATTTTAAATTAATTTGTTTACCTTATTTATTTGCCTTTTAGATGAATCTAGATTTTCTACCTGTATACTTTGATTCAATTAATGTATGATTATTTTTTAGAAACTTCTACTTGTCATGTTTCAAAGCTGCACATTAACTGAAATTCTATATCTTGTTGCTTCCAGTCTCTAGTAGCCAGTGAAGCAGTTCGTGCTATTGAGAAAATTAGTAAAAATACCAGGTATACACATGGCCATGGCTCAGAAACCTTATGTAAGTATTTCTTCTTATGATCTTAGAGAACTTTGAGCTACTAAAGAAATCTGTGTGATCTGTTTTTCTTTGTGTATTTAATTTTTCTGAATTAAATAGGGTCACATGTAATACAACTGAATTGTAATAATTAGGAACAGAAGCATAATAGCTATGACAATGCTGAACAAAGCTATATTAATAAATGAGTTACTAAAAAGAAGCCAAAATCCTATTTAAGAAATCATATTTATCACAATCAAGTAGGAATTACAGAATTGGCATCATACTAGTTGAGTGAAGCAGAAAAGTTCATAAAACTTTTGCATGATTCCCAGGGCCACCATGGAAGGTTGTGCAGGTTGTACACTACACTAATCTAGGGCATGCCATTTGCATCAAGTGTTTTTTAGTGTTAGCCTGTTCCCAAGAGTATAGCTCATAACACATTACAGTTGATTGTCTTTAATATATATTACACACACAAAACTTGTGACAAACTCTTAACAAAAAGTTTTGATTAATTTTTGCTGAAAGATATTTAGTGAGTAACTCCTATCTACACACAGTGGGAGGACAGACTGATTTTGCCCTTTTGAAGTTTGAAGGGAGATGGGAAAAGAGGAGCATAAAATAAACCTGTAACCAGGCATCAGAAAACTACAGCCTGAAGGCCAAATCCAGGTTTTTCCTTTTTTTTTTTTTTTTAATGATTAGAAAAAAACAAAAAGAGGCCAGGTGCTGTGGCTCATGCCTGTAATACCAGCACTTTGGGAGGCTGAGGCAGGAGGATCACTTGAGGTCAGGAGTTCGAGACCAGACTGGCCAACATGGTGAAACCCTGTCTCTACTAAAAATACAAAAATTAGCTGGGCATGGTGGCAGGCGCCTGTAATGCCAGCTACTTGGTTGGCTAATGCATAAGAATTACTTGAACCTGGGAGGTGGGGGTGGCAATGAGCTGAGATTGTGCAACTGCACTCTAGCCTGGGTGACAGAGTGAGACTCCATCTCAAAAAAGGTCGAAACTGTATTTATCATGAACACTAAAATATGTACACATTTTAGTTAACATGCATTAAACTGTAACAAGTCTTCTGGCAATTGTAGCTTTCATGAGATGCTTCCCAAACTGTATTAGATAGATGCTAAAATTATAAATTAAAATTTTGGGTCAGACTTTGCCATAAACCTGGACTCAATTTAGCACCCCCCCAAAAAAAGTCAGATTATTCAATTAATGCGGTTGGAAAACCTAACAAGTTACCTAGAAAAAAATTAATTGGATTATTAACATGTCTTTCACCAAAGTAAATTCCAGGTACAGCATATATTTTCATATGAAAACCCTGCATAAACCAAGTTGAAATCTCAGTAAGGAGAAAAAATTCTTGTGAAAGGAGAAATGAATGAAAGGAGAAAAAAAGGTCTACATGCCAAACAAAGCTAATAACACTAATGTCGTTTTTATAAGCAATTGATAAAATGAACCAAGTAGACAAATGAGGAAGGACAATTGATAGGAAATATAAAGATAGCCAATAAATATGCCAAACAAATGTGCAACTCACTGATAATCAAAAAACATAAATTAAGACAGTTGGATATTATTTTTCGCCCATAAAATTATCAGAATTCATAATTCCTATTGATGGTATGGGAAGGGGAAATGGGCAAATTCATACCCTGCTTGTGGAAGTATAAATGAATTCAGTTCTTTTGACGTCCATTTGGGAACATGCCGTAATTGCAAAAAGTACAGAGCCTTAGACTAGCAAATCTATTCTAGGGAAGAATATTCTAAAGAGACAAAGAAGCAATTATGTATAAACAAGGGTACTCATTGTAAAGTTGTTTATATTAGTTAAAAACTGAAAAAAATCTAAAGGTATACAAACAAATAAACATTTAAATCAAACAATTCCCAGTTTGTAAATTAATTTGAAACGTCTGTATTTCAACAATTTCTTTCTTCTTCTTTTAGACCTAGCTCCTGGAGGTGGGGACGATTGGATCTATGATTTGGGCATCAAATATTCGTTTACAATTGAACTTCGAGATACGGGCACATACGGATTCTTGCTGCCGGAGCGTTACATCAAACCCACCTGTAGAGAAGCTTTTGCCGCTGTCTCTAAAATAGCTTGGCATGTCATTAGGAATGTTTAATGCCCCTGATTTTATCATTCTGCTTCCGTATTTTAATTTACTGATTCCAGCAAGACCAAATCATTGTATCAAATTATTTTTAAGTTTTATCCGTAGTTTTGATAAAAGATTTTCCTATTCCTTGGTTCTGTCAGAGAACCTAATAAGTGCTACTTTGCCATTAAGGCAGACTAGGGTTCATGTCTTTTTACCCTTTAAAAAAAATTGTAAAAGTCTAGTTACCTACTTTTTCTTTGATTTTCGACGTTTGACTAGCCATCTCAAGCAAGTTTCGACGTTTGACTAGCCATCTCAAGCAAGTTTAATCAATGATCATCTCACGCTGATCATTGGATCCTACTCAACAAAAGGAAGGGTGGTCAGAAGTACATTAAAGATTTCTGCTCCAAATTTTCAATAAATTTCTGCTTGTGCCTTTAGAAATACAACCATGCATTCCGTTTGCTCCACGGTAATTAGGCGATGGCCCAGAAAGGGGAGGGGTGTCAAAAACGACAAACATAGCCTCTCATTCCAGCTCAGCTGCTCAATAAACACTGTTGAACGAATGAATGAGTGGCTCTAGGTACTGTCAACAAATGCCGCATTTTGCGCATTTACAACAGCTGTTTATGGTAAGGAATTATGTAATAAAAAGAGAAAACTCACTTAAATTCACTTTTAATTGGGAATTTTAGTTCTCCCGGGCTCCCAGTTTCCTTTCCTAGGATCTCTCACAGAGCACAGATTCGATTTCCAAGTCCCGCCGCACTCTTACCGCTCGCATGGAACCTTACGCCTAGAGGGCGTGTCCACGAAGGGTGGTGTCTGCGCACTGACGACTAATCTGACGGCCGGAAGCTGCCTGGGTCTACAGAGGAACAGGGCAAACCTCTGACTTCCGGCGGCATTTTGAGGCGGTCCTCCTAGCGGCCTGGTAGTGTTTTTGTTGCCTTTTCTTAATCTACAATCTCTTCGTTATTTTTCTTCCTGCGACCCAGTTTCGCTTGACCCTGGAGAGGCGGCGGGCGGGTTGGTTCTGCTTCTCAGCCATCCCGGGGGCTCCTCGCTAGCCAAGAGCCGGTTCCCGGGAGCCGCGCGCGCATCGCTTTCTCCTCGTCGTCGTCCTCCTGGGTCCAGGCGCGGGGACAGAGTCGCCTCCCCCGCTCCTCGGAGCGGCGGCGGCGGTGGTGCCTCCGGACTGCACTTGCGAAGGGAGCTTGGGGAGGAAGTAAGCGTTCTGTGAATTGGTGTGGGTATCTGGGGAAGGCATTGAGCGGACCCGTAATGCGGAGGCCCGGGTTACCCCCCCCCGTCTTTGCTTGAGTCACTGGGATTTTGAGCTTTCCTTGAGCATCCCACCCTTAACTCTGCAATAGCCCCCTGTGCTCAGGCGTAATTTCTCACTCTGATTATGATTCTGGCATTTGTCTAAGGGCGATAAGTAGACTCAGACAATAGGCTGTACCCCTCGTTACCATTTGATGTAAGCACGGGAACCCTTGTATGGTGTTCGTATTTGTGTGCGATGGAAGGGTGCAGCAATTTGGGCTTAAATTTAGAATCTTCCTCTATACTCATTCCAGATCTGTTAGAGAAAAACATCTTACTTGTGATTGGTCTTGTTTTTTTTTTTTTCCCTCAGCAGTGATAACGATTTAGGTCCTGGGAATTGAGTGCTACTTTATCTTCACAAGCCTTAGGTAGGTAGTTTTGGCAACTGTCAGAAACGGGGGAAAGTGGAATAGAAAGAAGAGAGTCTGTTTGGCGGCATTATCTCTCTGTAATAGGCTAACGCAATTTATGTGGTTTGAAAATTATTTAGAGTTGATAATACTTGAATTATGTTGGTAAGATGTTGTTTGTGAAGGGTAGTCTTAAGGTATTTGGTTATACTATGGGGCTTTCAGGTAATTCGAACTACTTTGAAAATTATGGGAGTATGAAGTCTCTTAAGATTTTTGGATTTTTAAAGTAGTTTTAAAAATTTGGAAAACATCTTTACACCTCAAGTTTTCGAAGTCCGCGATACCGTTGGAGAATAAATACTTATGCAGTTCAGTCTATGGGTATATGGTGCCAGTTAGCGGGGTCTAGTTCTGTAACATTTGAAATTACTGGCTTTAGTACAATATATTGGAGCGTTTTGTGAATACAATCTATAGATTTTCAAATAATTTTTATTTTCTTAATGAACTATTTAGATTATAACAGATGACAGTTTCAACTAGAGACTAGCAAAGTTGATGCAAGCTTGTAACAATTGCGGCTTTAAAAATAGTTGCACTCTGAAACTAAGGCTTTCACTCTGTGCATCTGGTAGGATTCAGTTTTATCAAATGTATGCCTCTTACTGGCTTCCTGATTACTGGTCATTCTAAATGAACATTGCATATTTTGAGATTTGCAAGCTTATGTGATTTTCATATTTGTAATATGAATTTAACATACTAAAAATCCAGCAAGTGGATGGTATCTTAACATCTTTACAAATTATTAAAATTGTAATATCATCAGTATTTATAATATGCATTGGCATTTACATAGAGGAAACACATTGTTTAACTTAAATTTACTTAGAGAGTTGGTTTTCAGTGGATGATAGTCTTCCTCACCTCCTCATCTCTCCCAACTCCATCTCATATAGAGGTGGAGCTATTTCTCCAGCTGTTAGTAGTAGTTGAAGCATTAACTGCTGTTGATATAGAAAGAGTCTTTTATTCTTTTTTTTTTGTATTTTTGTATGATGCAGTTCTTTTTACTTCACTTTAGAGTAGCTACCAGCATGGGATGTTTTCTGTGCACAGTCTTTTTAACAAATTGTTTTTTCTGCATAGTACTGCAGTGTTGCTTTGCTAATTCCTATGTAGTCAGCTTAGTTCTGTCAGTTGTATTTGGAATTTAGTTTGGAATTGTTTTAGCATTAAATTTACGGAAGCAATCTGAAAGTTTGTTTTAGAAAGTTCTTTTTAAAAAATTCTCTCAAACTATGCATCAAATAAAGTTAATTTTTCTTTCTAAAAATATGAAGTATAAATGTGAAGATACCTTATTTTTAGTATCACCTTTTTAATCTTAGAAATTCAGAGTATAGGGATTTATCCTACTAGTTAGTACATTCATGTAGTTTTAATTGCCTAATTGTTTGAAATTTCCCTAATATTATGCCGCTACTCATCCGGATTAAAGTGTTATGCTTTCACTTATGCTTCCAGTAGATGAGACCTGGAAAAGATAATTAATTATGGATTGAAGTGAAGATACTAGAACGCATATGTGTTTATTGACAAGATTTTATTAATTGAGCTTCTGGAGTCATTATTCAAAAAGAGACCCTTTTGTATGCTTCTCCTTTCTCAGCCATAATTATAATGTGAACCTTCTGAGTACAGTGTTATTCTAAGTTTCTCGGGGCAAGGGAGCAGTTCCCATTTAAGACCCTCTTTTGTTGTGTCTTTATTAATAGACTCAAACTTTGTGTCCCGGATTTTCTTTTTCTTTTTCCATTTTCTTTTTTAATTGAAAAGAGATTATAAAGACTTCAGATATTCATTTGCTCTGCAAATGGAGAGGAGAAATAGGAAAATAACGAAATAGGCTTTCACTAGTGCCACTCTGTCTTTGATAATGCTCGTGTTTGAGAAAGACTTGATGATGTGGGTGGAAGTGTGATGGCAACTTAAACCAAATAATAATTTGAAAACAAAAATGGAGGAAAACCTTCATAGAAGAGTAAATTAGTAAGTTATTGGTATGACCTTGATTTCTATTCTCTATGATAGGAAAGACTTTAGTATTTACATTTTTATCTTATGGTTTCTAATTTTTCTCATATACTTTGAAGCATTTACTTGTCATGTTCAGCCTGTTCATACATAATTTGAAAAAGTTTCCCGCCCCGAAAATCTACATTTTAACTGTTGTGGTGTTCATTTTCCTTTACGGGCCCAAAGTTTTAAATAGGATTGAAAATTCTAATTGTCACATTAGTTGGTAACATTTAGTTTTAATATATGAAAAAGGAAATGTTTTTCTGCTGTATTGTAGATAGTGTGTATATTTTTAGATAAATGGGATTTTTAAAGTTATATATTGTGTTCTTTACAAGCATGAAGCATTTTGTTTATTCAAATTCATGAATGTCTCATTAGTAATATTTAAGTAACATTTTATTGTTGACTACTTGTGGAAGTTTTTACATGGATGATCAGAAGAATTTTTTCAGTTAGAAATCTTCAGTTTCTGCTTTTTTCTTTTTTCACCAGACGTTTTACACACACACATATATATATCACATTAAAGAACATTTTATTAAGAATATGTGTGTGTGTATTATTGTTGTCATTATTCTTGTTTTAAATGTTCAGTCCAGGACCTTGCTGTAACCCAGACCGCATACTCAGATGCTGTATTACTTTAGGACAAAGTATGGTACTCTTGGAGTCTGAGAAAAAGTAGAGTACATCTTTTTTTTTTTTTTTTTTGAGACGGAGTCTCCCTCTGTTGCCAGGTTGGAGTGCAGTGGCGCGATCTCGGCTCACTGCAACCTCCACCTCCCGGGTTCAAGCGATTCTCCTGCCTCAGCTTCCCGAGTAGCTGGGATTACAGGCGTGCACCGCCACACCCAGCTAATTTTTGTATTTTTAGTAGAGACGGGGTTTCACCATGTTGGCCAGGATGGTCTCGATCTGTTGGCCAGGATGGTCTCAATCTCTTGACCTCGTGATCCGCCTGCCTTGGCCTCCCAAAGTGCTGGGATTACAGGCGTGAGTCACTGCGCTTGGCCACATTTTTACTTAATTTCATTTCTTCGCTAAATTGGGAGACTCAGTACAGTAGTAGCTGCAAGTGAAATTCCTGGGATAATTACTATGTAGGTGAATCTTGAATAGTTCTTGATGTCACTGGTAAAAGCAATTTTGTCTCTGTGGAAAGAATATGGGCGTAGGGTGAGGGAGGTGAGGAGGTGGATCATTAGTCTTCACTTGATTGTCTTTCATAGCAAGTCCAACCCTTGAAATCTTCAAAGTTTTTTTTTTTTTTTTTTTTTTTTTGAGGCGGAGTCTCACTCTGTCACCCAGGCTGGAGTGCAGTGGCGCAATCTCGGCTCACTGCAAGCTCCGCCTCCCGGGTTCACGCCATTCTCCCGCCTCAGCCTCCCGAGTAGCTGGGACTACAGGCGCCTGCCACCACGCCCGGCTAATTTTGTTTTTGTATTTTTAGTAGAGACAGGGTTTCACCATGTTAGCCAGCATGGTCTCGATCTCCTGACTTCGTGATCCGCCCGCCTCGGCCTCCCAAAGTGCTGGGATTACAGGCGTGAGCCACCGCGCCCGGCGAAATCTTCAAAGTTTGCCTTAGGGAGTCTAGGATTGGAGAGAAGCTCTCAGACCAGCAAAGCAATAGGTCAAGGGAGGAGAGTAGTGCGAATCAGGCAACAGAGGACAGACCAGAAAAAGAAACTGTAGAGTTAATACCTGGAACCCTCAAAAAGTAAAAAGAAAGGAGATGATAGATGACCAATGTTTTAAGTATAATAAGTACGATAATAAATAGCCTGTCGTCCTAACTGGAAACCATTACCATTGAATTTTTTGAAGGAGACTGAGCTGGGAGTGGAGGCATGTTGGGGGTAGTAGAGATGTTGGGGGCAGAACTAACTCATTTCCAGTGACAGTGGAGGGAAAAATAAAAAATTAGTGTTAGTCCACTTGAGGCAGTGTGGTGGGATGGTTGTGCCTGTTTTCTAAGTTCTACATAACTAGCAAATAAGGAAATTTTGGAACCTATTCAATTTTGTTTATTAAGAAATGTTTTAAAAATTGAATTATTGGTTGAGGATTACTCTATATTTGTATATTAATGTAGCAATATATAATGAAACTTTATGTTTTTCTCAAACTTCTTATACATTGTGATACATTTACTTATTATTGAATCATGCTTGGATATATATTGTTAAAAAAGTTTTTCTCAAAGCTCTACATTTTCTAGATCTTTCTCAGCTCCACTTCTCTTAGCTTTCAGTTTTTTCGTGCTCAGTAAATCAAATAGACATAGGAAATTTTACCAGCTTCTCCTCCGTATGTTCACATTTCAGCTGAGAATGAGTCTAAGAAAAATTAAATCAAAGATTATCTTATAATGCTAACACCAGTATGTAGAATTGGTGTGTAGTTCCTTACTTGGAGAACAATTAATATTTAATTGATTTTGTGTTGCAGCAAATTATTGTTTATGTGATGCTCTCCACTGGTTCTTAAATTTATAATTACTGTGAAGTAATTCTGTTTTTAAAATCACTAAAAATTAATTGCTATTATATCAAAAGAATTATTACATTTTATATTGATAAAAATATAGATTTTCCAATTTAAAATCACCATATATTATTTCATATTTTCCTTCCTTGATGCACCATCTTTTATTTATCAAATGTTGTTCTTAGTCTTTGGATTCTTTTAAAAGTGTGACCTGAAGTACCTCATTGAACCAAACACTGTTTATAATTTTTTATTGCTGTTTCAATTAGGTACTACCACGATTTAATTTCCTTTAAAGTGATATGTCTTTACTTTGAAACCACATTAAAGATTTGTGATCTTTATAGAGACTAAATGAAACTTTTTTAGCTGCTGTGGTTCATTCTAGTAACTTTTGATGATTGATAAGATTTCAACTAATATTTAGTTTGTATAAAGCGGGATATAGTATGGTGTTTTTTTTCCTTCCCCTTATGAGGCAGTTTCTACCCTCTTCCCACAGTAGTGTATGCTCTGGATTGTATCTTGGTCTAGAATTTAATATTGTTTTCTAATGTCATAATATACTGTCATTATCTGATACTTGCAAATCTAGTTGAATTACCCAATTATGTCATTGGATTAGATTTTTACTATAGTTTCAGTTTTTGAATGTTTTATTTACATACATATATATATATAGAGAGAGTTTTTTTGTTTTTTTTGAGATGGAGTCTCGCTTTGTCGCCCAGGCTGGAGTGCGGTGGTGTGATCTCGGCTCACTGCAAGCTCTGCCTCCTGGGTTCATGCTATTCTCCTGCCTCAGCCTCCAGAGTAGCTGGGACTACAGGCGCCCGCCACCATGCCCAGCTAATTTTTTTTTTTTTTTTGTATTTTTAGTAGAGACGGAGTTTTGCCATGTTAGCCAGGATGGTCTCGATCTCCTGACCTCATGATCCGCCCGCCTCGGCCTCCCAAAGTGCTGGGATTACAGGCACGAGCCACTGTGCCTGGCCCTTAAAAAATATTTTTATGTTTACATCAAATCTAACAGAGCTTAAACGTAAAATAAAATAAAAATATTTTTACAATTTGCCTTTTTTGTTATTACTAATAATGGTAAAATAGTCTGATAATTACTTTTAACACCTTTGAATTTTATGTCAGTGTAGTATAGATTATAGAAACACCTCGACTTTTTCTAGTTCTACAGTCTGTCCTGTTTTGAAAGTTGTTTCTATCAACATTGAGTTTTGTTTTGTTTTGTTTTTGTGTTACTGGAAAATAAATATGCTTGATCAGATTGTTTTGACTTCTGTCAGGCAAAGAAAATACTAAAATATCATTCATTTTTCTCAACCTGATTTTTGGAACATAACTGCTGTTGTCCCTTAAACTTATGAAACATAATTTCTGCTATGAAAATTTTCACCCAATTTTATTTTTCCATTTTCTTTAGCATAACTCTTTTTCAGTTAACCAGTTGATGGTTAACAACTTTGAGTTACTAAATTTTGAAGCAATTTTTGTAAGTAACTTTTATAAAGTAAACATTTTGTACTGTATCTTCTGAGGTTGATTGTACTATGAAAACTTCACTGTGTGAGTAGGATCATATTCGTTCACTCTGCAGAAGAGGTACAATTCTAGCCAACAGATCTCACAGCTGTTATAAATTCACCAGTAAGGCATGTTTTAGAAGATATTATCTCTGTTTACCTGTGACCTCTCCTATGCTTTTTTTTTTTAATCTCCCAAGGAAAATCTCCTGTAATTTTACACTGTTACCTATAGTTTTATCTACTTGTAAGCTGTGGGCTCAGTTATTTAAAACTGAGGAATTTTACAGTTTTGCCTCTTTCTTTTTTGGTTGAAGTAGTACAAAATGTCAAAAATTAGAAGGAAGGTCACAGTGGAAAATACCAAGACTATATCTGATAGCACATCCCGAAGACCCAGTGTATTTGAGAGGCTTGGACCCAGCACTGGCAGTACAGCAGAGGTGAGTTGTCACTAGTATAGTCACAGGGGTTCTCTTAGAATTCTATTATTGAAATGCTTATTTGTATCATAAAGGTGAACAGGTTGTTTTATTGTAGGAATGTTTGTTCAGTAAATTTTTTAAAGTGTGTTTTATAAAAAGAAGTGAAAAGGGTGATAAGGTTTATGGGTTTTTCCATATTTTTTTCCTGAAGTTTTTATTATTTGGGGAGTAATATATCACAGGTTAGCTGGAATTTTGGTAGCATTTGTTTTAATTTTGTCCCGCTAGCATTTTTTTTTTCCAGAAATAAATATGAAATTTACATAGTAATATCTGTCTCTTAGACACAGTGCCGTAACTGGCTGAAGACTGGCAACTGCCTCTATGGAAACACATGTAGATTCGTACATGGCCCTTCACCTCGTGGTAAAGGTTATAGCAGCAATTATAGAAGGTAAACTGAGAACTTTGTATTGTTCATGTACTATTAGAAGATGGCTTTTGTAATTTATCTAGTATAAAAATCTGAAATACAACCATATATTTGGTCAGATTTTCTATATTGGTGGTAGTCTTACCAGTAATTGAAGATCGACAGGATCTTTTTGTTATTTTCAAGATTAATAAAATGTTTGCTTTCAAATTAACTTATTTGTTCATTATTTATTTGTTTTGACAGTAGATCTTTTTGTAGTATGTGTATGGCTTACTTTTTCCCCCCTAATTATGTATTAAATTGCTGCTTAAGACAGCAGAATTCCATGGTGTCTGAATTTCTTTTTAGTGAGGCTATTTTTAACTCTTAAAATAGTAAAATTCAAATAGGGTATAATTTTAGCTGTTTAAGATGTTCTGAATTCAAATTTTGTACAAATTCTATAGGTTAAAATGCATTTGCCAAATCCCTTAGCACAGTATGTTAATGAAAATATGTATTTATATGTGGATGAATATGCTCCATATTTCGAACATCGTTTTGCCTTTAATAAAGGCTTGGCTAGATTAAACTTGCTTAATAAAGACCTTTTATTTTTCTTTTGGTTCCCTCATGATGATTATTTTATGGTATTTAAAGATGTAATATACATAAAGTTTGTCACAAAAACAGTTTTAACTTGATTGGTAAAGAAATAATTTACCTAGATCCAAAATTGGTTACACTGATTGTTTTGGCTATAGCATAGCAACACTATAAAAACTGAACATTAGCAATTGGAATTTTTTTTTTTTTTTTTTAGTTGAATGATTTTTTTGGGGGTAGTGTATGGGTAGATTTTGTTTAGGAGAATTTAAAATTCAAACCCTCAACATTAGCCAACTTCTTTTTCACGTAAACATTGTACATTTTAGTTTATTTGTGATTCTGAATACTGTTTTATTTGTATTTAGATTGTCATTTGTCACTTCCGTTAATGTGGGAAGATTAGTGTTTATTGTATATGTGTGTTTACTTGTATATATACACGTAGATACATACCTGGTGAAACTATTTCGATACTTTTAATGTTTTGCTTTAATACTATACTTTTGATACATTTTAAAATTTATCTTTGAAATTTATTAGCTGACTCAGAATTTTTATTCAAGAAATCATTTTGAGAAAAATGGTCAGAGAAATTTGTCTAAAATGGGAAAAAGTAATGTCATTGCTAGACTTAGAATAAAGAATATTTATTATAATTTTGCTATTTTGTGTATGATTTTCCATCTGATAACTTCTTTCGTATTTGTGCATTTTTTTTGTCGGGAGGAAAAACATAGTTCATAATGCGAGTCAAAGATAAGAAAAGCAATGTATTTTACAGAATGCTTATTTATATGTTTATATACAAGACTTTTACATAATTAATTGAGAATTCGCTGTGTGTAAAACATTCATTCTGTTGGGTGCTGTTTAGGATAGAAACAAGTTCATACTAAAGTGTTTTATTATATAAAGGAAACCAGGGCACATAGGATTTACATGTACATCATTATAATTTAGAGCACTTAAGTACTGGTTCTTAGTAAGAGATTCCAGTTTCAAGTTTAGCTTTAACTGTTAAAACATTTAATATAAATCTATTACATGTGCATGTAAACATTAATGAGATCCTTTAAAGTGAATTAACTCAAATTATTTCTTTACTAACCTTATGATTTATATTCATAAAATCAAGGAACTGATTTGATTGCCCAATGACTGCTTGAAATAGATGTGAATATTTATGTGATTTGTTTATATCTTTTTTATATATAGTACTTTTTGGTAGTCAAAGAGGAACAGAGCATTCCTTAACTTCTTTTGCCCTGTTTTAAAGGTGTTGTAGAAATAGTCTTTAAAGGCAGTCTGTTTTCCATCTCTCCTTTGTTTTTTCCCACTGATAGTGAAAATAATTGCATAGCCATATACTGTCAAATTTCTAGTATAAATAATAAAGCCTTACCACTGTTGAGTATAAATATGTATTTTTCCTTTAGTTAAAAAATTTACAGCAGAATATGAAAATCACTGTTGTAAAATTGCCTTGAATCCTTTATCTTTATTCTGAAATAATTTAAAATTTAAGATAAATTTTAAAGCTCCTATATTTGCTTTGATTCTTACTTAAGGTACATAAAATATTTTCTCAGTTATTGATGTTGCATCCAACCACAGGCATGTGTATACAAGAAACTTATTTCTTGTAATATCTTCTTATATCTTTCAGTATAAATGATAATGCTGCTACCTCTAGATTAATTTTGCAACTTTGTAGTTTAAAACTTTGTGTTACTACTACATTTTGCTCCCACATATAACTAATATATTTATGTGATTAATAGGAAAACAAGTCAAGCTATTAGTTCCTTTTTCTCAGTTCACATATAATTTCTTATTCACATCACCAGTACCTGCCACTTCGTGGAATTTAACATATACATTTTGATTGTTATTGGGAGAAAAACTGTAAGTGTTGCTCGTGTTTTGCATATTAATATTTAAGGTGAAATTTTTCAGAAATTCAGGAGTCAAGGTCAGTTAGAAAAAGTGTATTGAGATTTGTGAGGTTATTTCTGTAAATACATTCTTATAAAATGTTATTAATATATAAATACAGATTTTTGTTGTTTTGTTTCGTTTTTTGTTTTGTTTCTGTGTTTTGGTTCAAAGGTCACCAGAAAGACCTACAGGGGATCTTAGAGAAAGAATGAAGAACAAGCGCCAAGACGTGGACACTGAGCCCCAGAAACGAAATACAGAGGAGTCATCCTCACCTGTTAGGGTAGGATTGAATTTCCCAAAACAAAGTTCAACTTCAGTAGTGATTTGTTAATTTGAGTTTCATTTTAAATATTGTGTGCTAAATATATGGTAAATGTGTAATACGGCATTATAATGTTCTATATGGATAATGTAATTTAGAGGGAAAGAGTCCCCTGGGAAAACTGTGATTGGTTCAGTTCTTTATGGTAGTTAAGATGAAAGGGATTAGTTGGCAGAACTCAAGCTGAACTTAGTAGGGATTTTGTGTAGGGATCCCTTAGTAGGGATCCTTGACGAGGATCATGAGTATCTTTAAGTTTTCAGAATTCAGCCAGCCATCACATCTGCTTCCAAGAAAGATTGAAGTGGCTTGCAGTAGAACACTTACAAATGAAAACAATGAAAGCAAAACACATGGGGTTAACAAACTGCACTAGAAAGTTGAGGTAAAAGAAAGCACATATGACCACAAATTTTAGCTGTGAATTTGTTGGCAGTGAAGCCAAGAGAAATAAAATTTATAATGTAGTTCATTGAATAAAAGAAAAGTGTTTGTCAGGAATGGAAATCTTTCCCAGAGCTAATTTTTTTCTAGAAATTTATCATACCATATTTCACATACCATACAGTTCACTCATTAAAAGTGTACGCCTCAGTGGTTTTTAGTATTATTAGAGTTGTGAAACCATCATCACAGTCAATTTTAGAATATTTTCATTGCTACGTAAAGAAACGCCAAACTTTTCAGCAGTCGCCCTCCTAGCCACCAGCCCTAGGCAACCACTAAATCCTCTTTCTCTCTCTAGAGATTTGCCTATATATTTCATATAAATGGAATAATAAAACATGATTTTTTGTGACTAGCTTTTTTCACTTAGCATACCTTTTCAAGGTTCGTGAAAGAGTATGGGATGCATCAGTATTTTATTCCTTATTTTTGTCAGATAATATTACATTGTATTGATAATATCACATTTTGTTTATCCACTCATCAGTGATGGATATTTGGGCTTTTTCTACTTTTTGACTCCTGTGTATAATGCTGCTATGAACATTTATGTACAAGTTTGTATATGGATATGTTTTTATTTCTATTGGGTTTATATTGAGGAGTGGAGTTGACAAGTTCTACGGTAACTGTGTGTTTAACCTTTTAATGAACTTCTAGACTTTCATTAAGTGGCTGTATCATTTCACATTGTTGACAGCATATGAAAGTTCTAGTTTCTGCACATCATCACCAACACTTTTGTTATCTAACTTTTTGATTATAGCCATCCTGATGGGTGTGAAATGATGATCTAACTGTGGTTTTGATTTGCATTTTGGATTCTAATGATGTTGAGCATCTTCTTGTGTACTTATTGGCTATTTGTATATTTTCTTTGGAGATTCTTTTCCCATTTTAAAAATCGAGTTGTCTTTTTATTATTGAGTTACAAGTGTTCTCTTTATTTTGGATACAAGTCCCTTATCGTATATGTAACTTGCAGATCTTTTCTCCCATTCTGTGTGTTATCATCACATTCTTGATGGTGTCCTTTAAAGCATACACATTTTTAATTTGATGAAATCTGACTTACCTGTTTTTGTTTTTTTTGTTATTATTGTTGCTTGTTTGTGCTTTTGGTGTCATCTAAGAAACTATTGTTTAGTCCAGGGTCACAAAGATTTACGTCTATGTTGTCTTTGAAGCATTTTCTGGTTTTAGCTCTTATATTTAAGCCTTTGATACATTTTGAGCTAATTTTTATTTATGATGTGGTAAAGGTTCAGCCTTATTCTTTTGCATGTGGATATCCAGTTGTCCTCTATTATAGTCTTTTTATGAAAGTTACTGAATTGTAACTGAATCAAGGAAGCAACAACTTCCTTGATCACTTAAATTATGTAGAAGTTTTCTGCAGCTGTTTTTGACCCATGGTAAAAAAGCCCTGACAGCATTATAATTTGTGAAACTTATTTCTTACAATACAGTTTTAAGTATTTAGTTTTCTAATGTCTAATGTTATACAGTGATACAGTCTTAAAAATCTTAAATAGTTCTCAGCTGGAGGTTTTTATCAACATTCCTTTTGAGGGAAGATCTTTTTCAAAATACACATGCCAATATTCCACCCCTAATCTACTGAATCAGAATTTCTGGGTTGGGGCTAAGCGTGTGTATTACATTTTGAAATAACCTATTGATTCAGAATAACAGATGCCTCAGCGGTCTGCCAGTAAATGTACCGCTACTCTGAAAAAAAGAAAGCCATGCTTTCTAGGGTTTGCCCCTTCTTTTATGTAAATACTCCCACCATGGTCAGTTTCAAGCTTTCAAAGACATCACTGACAGATGCATAGTTGGGAAGAGATGCTAAGTGACATTGTATACAGTGTTCCCGTTATGTATATTATAAACAGACACACAAAATGTAAATAACCTCAGAAGTAAAATTTACTATGAGTTCTGAGTACTTATTATCTTTGTTTTTAATACAGTTTATTTGTTCAATCATGGCTGTGTTTAACAGTGGCTTCCAGAATTCCTAAAAATTTAAATCAGCTCTTATGAGTCAGTACAGACTGACTCTAGCATACTACTAGATGAATTGTTATTAGTATAAGGAGCAAACATCTGGAATCCATATTTAGAGCATATTACTTTAGGAATTGTTAAACTCTTCTTCTTGTCTCCTTATCCGTAAAATGGAAATGCAGGCTGTCCATGTTGCTGTGAAGAATATACATGTAAATGATTTACTATTCCATGATGACACATGCGTAATAAATGGTATATACTGGTATTGAAATGGCACTTAGCTTTTTCTAATATAAATTGTCTTTAGGCTCTTATAGAAGATGAACATCAGCCTTGGAGATTTAGGTTGTTGACAGTTAACTGAATGTAAGTGTGTTGTTTATCATAAGGGTTTTTATGTTCATCAAATAAAGTTAGTACAGTAAAGTTGGCATTTTGTTAAGAAATTTAAAGCCTGATTCTTGCTTTCCCTAGATGAGAAAGCCCTCAAAGGCACTGAGCATCGTGTATACCTAAGGGATAGAGTTACAAATTTCAACAGTGATCAGGTTTTAGGTAATACACTATCTAAACTTAAACAGAACTGTTAATAACCTGGGACACCAGGATATTAATTATTATTTATTAGTATTCTTTTGAGACAGAGTCTCACCCTGTCTCCCAGACTGGAGTGGAATGGCATGATCTCTGCTCACTGCAACCTCTGCCTCCTAGGTTCAAGCGATTCTCCAGCCTCAGCCTCCCAAGTAGCTGAGATTACAGGTGCGTGCCACCACGCCTGGCTAATTTTTTGTATCTTCAGTAGAAATGGGGTTTCACTATGTTGGGCAGGCTGGTCTTGAACTCCTGACCTTGTGATCCACCTGCCTCAGCCTCCCAAAGTCCTGGGATTACAGGCATGAGCCACCAGCAAGGTATTAATTATTTTTAGTGTTATATTTGACAGGTAACAGATACTGATCATTTTTATGGTGCATTCTTGCTGCAACACATGACTGTTGATCTTCATGTAATGAATTTCTCTAGGAAGATCAGGCCTATGTTAGGTAAGGGCAACTGTGGAATAGATTACATAGGCATAGCTAAGATAGAATGGGTGTGATTTTCAGCAAATTAGCTGTAATTCCTCCTCTTCTCTGTCACTGATGTCAACTCCAGTGTGTTTGAATTATGAGGTTGGTAACCCTTGATCTTGTGGTTATCAAATTCATAAATGGATAACTTGTAATTCTGTAGCATGTGATAGTGTGTCAGAAAGATACGAGCAAAATGCACAATGGAGAGAGTAAGTAATTACCTGGAGAACCAGGGACCTCTTCAGGGAAAATGACACTTGGACTGGTGTTGAAGGATCGACGCGGTGTCAGAGGGGAGGGAAGAAGAGAAAACCAACACAAGAACTGTAAGGAGTTTTAAAGGACTAATGTGTTTGAGGAGCTTGTGAAGCTGTGTGCCTAGGTTATAAAAATGATAACGTGGACGTGAGATGAAGGCTGAAGTAGATTAGGACCAGATTATCAGTGGTCTTGTGTGCCAAACTCACAGTTTAGCAATAGAGAAAAGAGACATGCTGAGATCTGTCTTGCTCACCAGTTTACCTCCAGACCCTGGAACTAGTAAGTTCACTTACTGAATTAATGGAAAGTGGTTCTGATATGCAGCCATGATTGAGAAACCCTGCTGATGTAAGGTCTGTGCTGTCAAATGTGGGTAGTCTGAATTGAAGTGTGCTGTAAATATAAAATACATAGTGAATTTCAGAGACTTAGTATGAAAAGAAAGTAAAATATCTCAAATTTTAAAATGTAGATTATATGTTGAGAGGACAATGATTTTGGATATGCTGGGTTAAATAATGTTATCAGTATTTTAATTTTACCTTTATCTTTTTTTCTTTTTAATGTTACAACAAGGAATTGTAAAATTACTTAAGTGCTTGCATCATGTTTCTGTTGGAAAGGGCTGGTCTAGGTGATGTGAATCAGACTTAATACGGTGGAACTGAAAAGTGAGAGGCTTATATGAGGTAGTCAGTAGGAAATAGTTGCATTTAATCAGTAGAGGTTTTCAGATTAAAATGGAATTGTATTTTCATTTTATATTGCAGAGACTTGTTATTTTATGGAATTTGAGCACAAAAGATAAATTAGCTTTGAAAGCAAAATTAGACCCCTAAATATAGTCAGGAAGAATATTCAAGCATTTATTGATGACGGAGACATACAGGTGCTGTAGGGCATCCTTATCTCTTAGTAGAAGCTTTGTGGCTGCATTCAAGAAAGAATTAGATAATTTGTCACTGTGGGAAGATACCTAATTTAGGAGTTAGAGGTGCCCTATGAGTATTGCTTACCTAAGTCTTACATCAGAGCAAATGGGCAAGAGCAGTGGTCTAAGTTTATTTTTCTTTATTGATCTTTGTTTTTATTTTCATTTTTTTATTGTGGTAAAATACACATAAAATTTACTATTTTAACAATTTTTTGATGCACAGTTTATTGGCATTAAGTACATTTACACTGTTATGCAACTGATACCACCATTCATTTCCAGAACTTTTTCATGATCTTTGTTTTTAAAGTGTTTAGTTTTTTGTTGTTGTTTATTCGTCCTCATATACAATATTAAAACAATTGGGATAGCTGAGTGTGGTGGCTCACGCCTGTAATCCTAGCACTTTGGGAGGCTGAGGTGGGCAGATCACTTGAGGCCAGGAGTTTGAGACCAGACTGGCCAACATAGCAAAACCCCGTCTCTACTAAAAATGCAAAAATTAGCCAGGTGTGGTGGCTCATGCCTATAATCCCAGCTACTCGGGAGGCTGAGCCAGGAGAATTACTTGAGCCTGGGAGGCGGAGGTTGCAGTGAGCTGAGATCATGCTAGCCTGGGTGACAGAGTAAGACTCTGTCTCAAAAAAACAAAACAAAACAAAAATGACAATTGGAATAATATTTTAACTGATGTTAATTTTCTAAATGTTAATTATTTCAACTGGTTAAATACTTTTTCTTTACCTGTTATTTTAATAACTTTTTCTGGTTCCTAAAAAGTAATTTTTAGAGGTTTTGTTTTTTTTCTTTTCCACCTCGAGGTTTTTCTTTTGAGACTTCACAATGTTGTTCTCTTTCCCTTGTCCACTGTTTTTTCAAAGGACCATTTCTGTCATTTGTTTATGTTTCCTACCCCACCCCAACCTAATTGCTTACCTTCAAACAGATCATTTGTTTAGACTTGATATTTATCCTGAATTTATTTAAGATGACTACACTCAAATTACTTTTTCAATTCTCAGTCTATAGGTGGATCTCAAGTTGATTATCCAACTTTAAACCTATTCCAGGTGTCTTATTACTGAATTGAAAATGTATTTCTAGTATGAAGTTTACTGTCTCTGGAAATTGTACCTCCTAGAATGCCCATGCAATTATTAGTTTTGTTTCACAGTTGCCTCCTCAGTTCTCTTACTGCCCCCCGACATCCCCTATCTTGTTCTTTTTTTTTTTTTTTCTTGACACGGAGTCTTGCTCTCCCTCTCGATCTAAAGTGCAATGATGCAAACATGATTCACTGTAGCCTCCACCTCCCAGGCTCAAACAATCCTCCTGCCTCAGCCTCCAAAAATGTTGGGATTACAGTTGTGAGCCACTGCACTTGGCCTTACCTTGTTCTTTTTCTGCCATCTTGATATTTCTGTCTAGATGAGAAAAAAAAATGGCACTGACTCTAGAGGAAGGGATAATACTGTAGCTGTTAGAATTAGCAGGACTCCTGCAGTGGAGGACTTTTAAGTTAGAAGGCCTTAACATTGTTACTAACTATATCTTGAGTAAGTCTCTTGACTTTGTCTTTTAACTTGTAGGATAGATGTACCTGCCCCAGTTTATCACAAGTTATGGTGAGAACCAAATGAAGAAGTACGTATAAAATTCTTTGGAAATAATAAAACATAGTTTAAATGCAAAATAGAAATAGTAGAAAGTCACCAAAGTAAAAATTTAGGAAGCTGATCACTGTAGGGGTAAATAGATCAAATGAGTGTTGTTTGTTTATTTCAAAAGAAAAGGCTTAGAAGGATAAGAGTATAAGTAGAGGTACAGTGTATCTACCACCTGGTGGAAATTTGGTAATGAATATGTAGTACGGAGATAATTATGGTGATTTTCCAACATAGCTATATATTTTCATTTTATATGGAAAAAACTTTTAAGTTTAGCCTAGTATGATCTGCAGATGTATTCTTTGATAGCATTAAGAGTTGTTCCAGTTGCTATTCCTTGATGTAAAACAACCATTTATTATGTGCTCAAATTCTGTCAGGAATTCAGAAAGGGCACAGCAGGGATGTCTTTTCTCTTGATCTGTGGGCCTCAGTTAATCTACTGGAAGCACGTAGGCTGGAATCACTTGAAGGTTTATTTACTCACCTGTTTGGCAGTCGATGCTGGCTGTCAGCTAGAGGCCTCTGTTTGTCTCTATGTGGTCTCTTCCCTTGGATAGCTTGGGCTTCCTCACAGCCTGATAACTGAATTCCAAGGGTTAGTATTCTGAGACACATGCACACTGGCACACACAGCAAGGGAATGAGCATGTGCTTGTGCCCTGGTTTCTTTTATTGTAGAATGGTATTAGTAACCAAAACCTGGGCGTTAGCTGTGTTTGTGCTAGTGGGGTATTGTTTCTTTTAGGACCTCTCAGCTAGCAGAGCAAATAAATATATGCGTGTATACTAACTGGTATATATAAATATTTCTAGTGACCATCTGTTATCTGTATTAAGCTAACCATGAGTTTTTACTGATTTCTCTAACTGTAATCCATTCCCACTATTAGTATTTTTATGCCCAGATGTCCCTTCCTTAGCTTGTGGGTGATCTTTGTATTGGATCCTGAGCCTTTTTTTTAAATTTACTTTATTGAAATATAATTTTCAAACATTGAAATGCACCCATTTTAAGTATACAGTTTGAGTCTTGACAGATGTGCCACCTGTATAACTACCACCACAATCAAGATACAGAACATATCTGTCAACCGAAAACATATCTTCATGCCTTTTTGTCATCAGTCGCCTCCCAAACTCACTCCTGATAACCTCTGATCTGTCACTGTAATGGAATCATATATATTATCGTGTCTTGATTCTTTCAGCATAGTACTTACCAGATTCAACCACATTGTTGCATATGTCAGTAGTTCATTCCTTTTATTGCTGATTCATGTTCTATTAGATGGATATATCAAAATTTGTTTAGCCATTCTCCAGTGGATGGACATTTGAGTTGTTTCTAGTTTTCACCTATTAAGAATAAAGCTGCTATCAACATGTGTATATATGTTTTTGTGTGGAAAAGTTTTCTTTTGGTAAATATCTAGGGGTAGAACTGTGTCTTATGTATATTTTTAACTTTATAAGAAACTGCTGAACAGTTTTCTGAAGTGGTTGTTCCATTTTGCATCTCCACCTACACTGAATAATTTTCTCTCTGTATTCTTACCAACACTTGGCATTGTTGGTCTTTTTCATGTTAGCCCTTCTAGTGGGTATATAGTAGTTTTAATTTTCATTTCTTAATGGTTAGTGATGTTGAACATCTTTTCATATGTTTATTGGCTGTTTCTGATCTTATGTATATCTTTTATTGGCTAATTGTTTATTTGTTAACATCTTTTGCTCATAAATTAGGCTCTTTGTCCTATTACCAATTGGTAATATTCTGTATACCAATCCTTTGTGAGATATATGTATTGCAAATACGTTTTCCCAGTGTGCAGCCTGCCTTTTTATTTTTTTTTGTGGTGTCTTTCAAAATGTCTTTCAACTTGAATGAAGTCCAGTTATATCATGTTGTTTTGAGACCACTTTAGTAATCCTCTGTAGTTTCTTTGTTTCTCTGAAGATCACGTATTCCCAGCACATTGTGTATTTCATACTATATATGTGGAATCAGCCATTTTCCTCAAAAAACTTGGTTCCTTTTACTGAGAGTACTTGAAAGCTTTTACCGCTAGATTAGTCATTGTCTTTGGGGCTTTTCATTAGGCATACCTAGGAAATGCGTATAGATCTTCTCTTTAAAACAGACAAACATGAATTCAAATAATTCAGATTTGGACTGCAGGACTTTTACTTAACTTTGATTTTATTAGTTGTATGATTTTTCTCTTCTGCTGAAAATTTTGGTCCCTGTTGACATTATTCATTTGCCTGACCTTACATTACATTTAATAGTTTCAGAATAGCAACTATATTATTGCTAATAGTGTTATACTGAGCTCAACTTAAGGTTTCTATATAGTTCTTAAGATATATCCTATTAAGATAATATTGTTAAATCTGTCTATTAGGAATATATAGTCAAATTCGTACATTTTAAGTTACTTGAAACAGGTCTTCTCTATGTGGTTAAACCACCAAATTGATACTTAGTTGGGTTAACTGAAATAATCAGATAATTACAAGTAATTTTGAAGTTTTTAGATTTCTTTTTTCTTTCATTTTCTAATTACATAAAACGTTTACATGATTTCAAAGCTAAATTTACAAAACAGTTTTACATTCAGAAAAGTCTTTAACTTCTGTCCCATGATTGCTGTACCCTTTTCCCTGTAGGTAACCACATTTATTAGTTTTTGGGTAATCCGGCTGTTTTAATACACACATATATATATTTAATATTTACATATATATGCACACAAATTAGTGTATATATAATCACCTTTTTTCTTTTTCTTAGATAAAAGGTAGCATTACTGTATACATTTTTCTTCACCTTGCTTTTTTAACTTAACACTGTACCAGAGATCATTCTATAGCAGTATGCAAAGCTATATCTTAAGCTTTTTTATAGTTACATAGTATTTCATTGTATGATTGTATGGTACATTATTCAACCAGTCTTCTATTAGTGGAGATTTTAGGTTATTTCAGTCTTGCCACTAAAAGCAGAGCTACAGGGAATATATGCAATTGTTATTTTGCATTTTTGTGTCTGTGTCTTAGGGAAATATAAATCTCTAGAAATGGAATTGCTGTGTCAAAGGGTAAATGCCTACATAATCTTACTACATAATGACATTTGCATTGTTGCCAGCAGCACACAGAGCCAAATTACTTTATCTTTGCTTTGTTAGTATGTGTTTTCAAACTTGTCTTTTTGCCAATTTCATAGAAAAAAATGTTATTTCATCATAGTTTTAATTATGTTTCTCTTGTGAGTGAGGTTGGGCATCTTCATGTATTTACAGGTAATTTACTGTATCCCCTGCCCATTTTCTCTGTTTTTTTTTTTTTTTTTGGTCTTTTTCTTCTCTGTTTTAAAAATTCTGTATTTTAGGGAAAATATTTTACTTAAGATATCAAGTACAGATAATTTTACTTGTCACTTTTCTGGTTTTAGAAAAACACTATGTTTTATACAGTTTTAGGATCACAGCAAAAGTTAATGGTAAATACAGAGATTTCCCATAACACTTCCTCCCCCAGCATATGCAGGACTTGCACCACTATCAGTGTCTCACACCAGTGGTGCATTTGTTGCGATCAGTGACCTTACACTGACACATTATTATTACTCATAGTCCACAGTGTAAAGTTCGGCTATTCTGTTTATTTGTCCATTGACCTACCAAAGGACATGTTGGTTGCTTCCAAGTTTTGGCAATTATGAATACAGCTGCTATAAACATCTGTGTGCAGATTTTTGTGTGGACATATGTTTTCAACTTCTTTGGGTAAATAGGAGTATAATTAATGGATCATATGGTAAGAATATGTTTAGTTTTGTAAAAAACTGCCAACTATCTTCTAAAGTGACTGTATCATTTTGTATTTCCACCAGCAATGAGTGAGTTTCGATTGCTCCACATCCTGCCAGCATTTATTGTTGTCAGTGAATTGAATTTTGACTATTCAGATAGGTGTGTAGTGGTATCTCTTTGTGGTTTTACTTTGTATTTCCCTATTAGATAAGCTCTTGAGCGTCTTTTCATATACTTATTTGCCATCTGTATATCTTTGGTGAGATTGTTCAGGTCTTTTGCCTATTTTTAAAAACAGGTTGTTTTCTTATTATTCAATTTTAAGAGTTCCTTGTATGTTTTTGGTAACAGTCCTTATTGCATATGTCTTCTGAGCTTATTTTTCCCAGTCTATGGCTTGTCTTATTATTTTGATGGTTTTTTTAATAGAGTAGAAGCTTTTAATTTTAATGAAGTCCAGTTATCAGTTATTTCTTTCATGGATTATAGTTTGATGATGTGTCTAAGATGTCATTGCCATACCCAAGGTCATCTAGATACTCTCTTATGTTACTTTCTAGGAGTTTTATTTTTTTTGTCTTACATTAAGATCTATGATCCATTTTAAGTTAATTTTTGTGAAGGCTGTGAGGTCTATGTCTAGATTCTTTTTATTTATTTATTTATTTTTTTTGCATTTGGTTGTCCGGTTGTTTCAGCATGATTTGTTGAAAAGACTATCCTTTTTTCATTGAATTGGTTTTGCTTCTTTGTTAAAAATCAGTTGACTATGTTTGTGGGAGCCTATTTCTGGGCTCTTATTATTTTCCACTGATCTGTTTGTCATTTCTTTTGCCCGTCCCACACTGTCTTGATTGCTATAGCTTTATAGGAAGTGTTGAAGTCAGGTAGTGTCAATCTCATGACTTCGTTCTTCAGTATTGTGTTGGCTATTCTGGTTCTCCATATAGAATGAGTATGTCAGTATCTACAAAGTAACTTGCTGGGGTTTTTTGGTGGGGATTACATTTAATCTATTAATTTGGGAAGAACTGACATCTTGACAGATATGTAGTCTTCTGTCCAAGAGCATGGAATAACTCTTCATTTATTTAGTTCTTTGATTTCTTTAATCAATTTTGTAATTTTCCTCATGCATGTCTTATGCATATTTTGCTAGATTTATCCTTAAGTATTTCATTTTTTTCTATACTGATGAAAATGGTATTGTTTTAATTTTAAATTCCACTTACCGTTGTATATAGGAAAGTGATTGACTTTTATGTGTATTAGCCTTGTATTCTGCAACCTGAACTAATCTATTTGTCAGTTCTTTTGCCCACCCGCAGTCTTGATTGCTATAGCTTTATAGGAAGTCTTGAAGTTCTTGAACTTTATAGGAAGATCTTGAAAAAAGAACTAATTCCTGAAGTTCTTCTGTTAGTTCTTTCAGAATTTCTACATAGACAATCATGTCTTTTGCAGACACTTTTGTTCTTCTTAATAATCTGTATTCTTTTTATTTCCTTTTCTTGTCTTATTGCATTAGATAGAAATTTCAGTATGATGAAAAGGAATAGTGAGAGGGAACATCCTTTCCTTGTTTCTCATGTTAGCAGGAAAACTTCTCATTTTTCACCATTAGGTATGACGTTAGCCGTAGGGTTTTTTGTAGATGATCTTTATCAAGTTGAGGAAATTCGCCGCTGTTTCTAATTTACCAAGAGTTTTTATTAGTCTGAGTGTTGGACTTTATCAAATGCTTTTCCTATAGCTATTGATATAATCATGTGAGTTTTCTTTGTTAGTCTCTTGATGTGGTGGGTTACATTAATTGATTTTTGAATATTGAACCAGCCTTGCATACCTAGGATAAATTCTTCTTGGTTGTGGTATATACATTGTGGGATTTGATTTGCTAGCTTTTTATTAAGTTTGACTTTTAAAATTATATCTAATTTGCATAACATGTTATGATACAAATATATATAGTGAAATGATTCCTTCAGTCAAGCAGATTTCCATATCCATCATTTTATATAGTTACTTTTTGATTTGCTAATATTTTTGATAAGGATTTTTGCTATTATTCATGAGAGATATTGGTCTTTAGTTTTTTTGTAATGTCTTTGTCTGGTTTCAGAATTAGGATAATGCTGACCTCATAGAATGAGTTAAGAAGTAGTCCATCTCGGCCGGGCGCGGTGGCTCACGCCTGTAATCCCAGCACTTTGGGAGGCCGAGGCGGGCGGATCACGAGGTCAGGAGATCGAGACCATCCTGGCTAACACGGTGAAACCCCGTCTCTACTAAAAATACAAAAAATTAGCCGGGCGTGGTAGCGGGCGCCTGTAGTCCCAGCTACTCGGGAGGCTGAGGCAGGAGAATGGCGTGAACCCGGGAGGCGGAGCTTGCAGTGAGCCGAGATCGCGCCACTGCACTCCAGCCTGGGCGACAGAGCGAGACTCCGTCTCAAAAAAAAAAAAAAAAAAAGAAGTAGTCCATCTCTTCTGTCTCTGAAGAGATTATAGAGAATTGGTATAATTTCTTCCAGAAATATTTGGTAGACTTTACCTATAAACCATCTGGTGCTTTCTGTTTTGAAAGGTTATTAATTATTGATTCAATTTTTAAAATAGATATATACCTATTTAAATTGCTTGTTTCTCCTTGTGTGAGTTTTGGCACCTTGTATTTTTCAAGAATTGGCCCATTTCATGTAGGTTGTCAAGTTTGTATTCATGAGTTGTTCATAGTATACCTTTATCATATTTTTAATGTTCATGGGATTTGTAGTGAGATCCCTACCTTTGTTTCTCCTATTGATAATTTATGTCTTCTCTCTTTTTTTCTTAATTAGCCTGGCTAGAAGCTGATAAATTTTATTGATCTTTTCAAAGAAAACAGCATTTGGTTTTGCTAATTTTTCTCTATTGAATTTCTGTTTTCGATTTCATTGACTTTTTTCATTCTAATTCTTAAGTTTATTTTCTTCTGCTTACTTTGGGTTTAATTTGTTCTTTTTGTTGTTTTCTAAGGTGGAAGCTTAAATTAATGATTTTTGGTTGTCTTTTCTAATATATACATTCAATGCTATAAATATCTCTTTGGGTACAGTGTTTACTGCATCCAACAAATTGTTGTAAGTTATATTTTTATTTTCATTTAGTTTAAAATATTTTAAAAATTTTTTTGCAATTTCTTCTTTGACCAATATGTTTATTAAAATTGTGTTGTTTAATTTCTAAGCATTTGGGGATTTTCCTAATCTTTCTGTTACAGATTTCTAGTTTAATTTCATTGTGGCTGAAAGCAGACATTGTATGATTTCTTTTACATTTGTTAAGTGTGTTTTATGGCCCAGAATGTGATCTGTCTTGGTGAATGATCTGTATGAGCTTGAGAAGAATGTGTATTTTGCTGTTGTTAGATAAAGCCATCTATAATCAATTATATCAATTTTGTTGATGGTGCTGTTGAGTTCAACTGTGTTTTTACTGACTTCCTGCTGAATCTTTCCATTTATGATGGAAGGGTGTGAAATCCTCAACCATAAGAGTGAATTTCTCTTTGCAATTTTATCGGTTTTTGCCTCAGGTATTTTGATGCTTTGATGGTAGGGTCATACACATAAGAATTGTTATGTATTTTTGCAGACTGGACGTCTGTATCATTATGCAGTGCTCCTCTTTGTCTCTGATAACTTACCTTGCTCTAGAGTCTACTCTGTCTGAAATTAATATACCTACTCATACTCTTTTTTGATTAGTGTTAGCAGTATACCTTTCTTCATTCCTTTACTTTTAATCTATTAATATATGTGTTTATATGTGGGTTTCTTGTAGACAACATACCATTGGGTCTTGTTTTTCCATCCACTCCGAGAATATCTGTGTTTTAATTGGTGTATTTAGACCATTGATGTTTAAAGTAATTGTTGATGTAGTTGAATTAATATCTACAACATTCGTTACTGTTTTCTCTTCATTGCCATTGTTCTTTGTTCCTGTTTTTGTTCTCACTTGTTTTGTGCCTTTTTTGGTTTAAAATTTGTGGTTTTAATTGAGCATTTATGTGATTCTTTGTTCATTCTTTTTTAGCATATCAATTATACTTCTTTCTACTTTTTTTGGTGGTTACCCTAGAGTTTACAATGTACATTTACAGCTAATTCAGGTCTGCTTTGAAACAGCACTATACTACTTCATCTATAATACAGATAATAACAAAATATTCCCAGTTCTTTACTCTGGGATATTTTAAATGCATTTAGATTTTCTGCTCTTTAAAGGATTGGTAAAATTCCCCTGCAAAACCCACTGGGTTTGGTACTATTTTATGAAGGAGTTCTTTAACTGGCTTTATTTTTTCTTTGAAAAATGATGTAGACTTTTGGTTCTGTTAAAGTCAGTTTTGGCAAATAGTATTTTTCTAGAAATTTCAGCCGTTTTTCATGTAAGTTTTCAAACTTGTTTGCATAGAGTTATGTAAAGAAATCTCACCAGACACAGTATCTCACCGGGCACAGTGGCTCATGCCTGTAATCCCGCACTTTGGGAGGCCAAGGCAGGCAGATTGCTTGAGCTCAGAAGTTCAAGATCAGCCTGGGCAACATGGCAAAACTCCCATCTCTACAAAACGTACAGAAATTAGCCGGGTGTAGTGGTGTGTGCCTGTAGTCCCAGCTACCCGGGAGGCTGAGGTGAGAGGATGGCTTGAGCCCAGGAAGCAGAGGTTGCAGTGAGCCAAGATTGCGCACTGTGCTGCAGCCTGGGTAACAGAGCTAGACCCTGTCTCAAAAAATAAAAAAAAATAAAAAACACCTCATAGTTTTATTTTTTCATTTTGCTTTGTTCTTAGAGATACTTTTACTTTGTCATTTAGGATTTTGAATTTGTGCTTTCTCCCTTTTTTCTTGTTTAGGTTAGCCAGTGGTTTATTTTCAGAGAATCAGCTTTTACATTTGTATATTAGTTCCTTCTTTGTGCTTTCTAACATTTATTTCTGGGTCTTTAAATTCCTTCTTTGGTTGCTTATTTTTTTGTTGTTGTTGAATTTGTTGAACATTTGTTTTCATTTTTATTTATGTTCTTTAATGCTGTAAGTTCTCATCAGATAACTGCTTTAGCTGAATCTCATGAATCTCATATGTCAAACTATGACAGTTATTTTCGGGAAGTTCTCCTCTTTAGATTTGGATTCCACCCATTATCTAAGAATTGTTTAATGGAATGTTAAAATTTTCAGGTTGGAGGGCCTTTTGTTTTTTACGTGTGTATGTGTGTTTTCTTTTGATTTTTAAAAAGTAACTTTCATGTTTTTCTTCATATTTTTGAATTTGATGAGATTTTCTTTGTAGCCTAAGACAGTCACTTTTTCTCAATTTTCCACCCATGCTTTAAAAAAAAGGTGTATTTTCTAGTTCTTGGTTTTTAGGTTCTATAAATATATATAAAACATCTATTCTTTGGGCATCCTATATTTTTAAGATTCTTCTTTATTTGATCTATTTTGGTTTGAGAACATTATGTTAAAGTATCTTAGTAGTAGGTTTCTGTCTCTTTTACTCCATATCCTATAGTTTCTGCTCTTCACTACTGTATTATTAGGTACATAGATACAGAAGTATTAACTATTTCTTTTTCATTTTAATTCTTTTTGTACTTTTTAGAGATGATGTTATTTTGGTTATCTGTATATTTCTTACTTGTTTTTTCTGAGATGAGCTAATTTAATTTATATGAGCACTTCATAAAAAGATTCTCCAATAATCCTATTTGGGTATTTTTCTTTAGTATAAACAAAATAAACTACAGTTTCATTAAGTGTAGGACTAAATTACTCTCTTTGTTTCTATAATATTGAAAGGATCTGAAACTGCAGATCTGTGAATAATTTCAAAATTTCAAAATATTAGGTATATATATTCTAAAACTGTATATAGACTGAGCAGGCTGTTGGTCTAACGTTCAGGCCAAAGCACAACAATGAACCATTCTACTAGATTAATAAAGTTTTTTTTTTTTTTAGCTTTAATCAGATGTGTCCAATTATAAAGGTTTGAAAACATTAAGGTCGAAAACCCTAATCTTTTTAAAATTAATAATAGTTGCTTCACTTGTTAATAATTTTGGGATACCACATGACAGTAAATAACAGAGAAGAAAAATTGGTATTAACATTAATTCTAGAGCTGCTCAAAGAAAATCCAGGAATTGGTTGATAATGTTAGTGTTCTTTGAAACTAAGTTTATTTTTAGAGCAATAGGATTTGAAATAGCATTATTCTTTTAAAATAAAATGAGAGGTTAGACCTGGTATCGTGGATCACGCCTGTAATCCCTGTACTTTGGGAGGCTGAGGTAGGAGGATTGGTTGAGTCCAAGAGTTCAAGACCAGCTTGGGCAACATAGAGAGACCCTGTCTCTACAAATAAAAAAATTTTTTAATTAGCTGGGCGTAGTGGTATGTACCAGTAGTTCCAGCTGTGGGAGGCTGAGGCAGGAGGATTGCTTGAGCCCAAGAGGTCAAGACTACAGTGAGCTATGATTGCGTCACTGCTCTTCAGCCTGGATCATAGAACAAGACCCTGTCTCAAGTAGATAGATCGATAGATGGGATAGATAGATAAGATCAATAAGATAGGTAGATAGATGGATGATAGGAGAAGAAAACAAAGTTTTGCGTAAAACATTGAATGTTTAAAATCCTCTGATGTCAATATAATAAATATGGAATTATTACTTGAATGATAACTTTAGTAGTGGATAGATTTGTGTAGATGTTTATAAGTGAATATTAGTAGCAGGTGAGAATGTTATTGACATACAAATAATTGAGTCATTCTTTGACTAAATGTTCTGAGATAATTTTTGTATATTAACTTCAAAGGAAATTTCTCCAAGTAATTGTGGAAAGATGTAAGTAAATCCAATATAAGAGGTGTGATTATATAGGAAGCTCAGAAACTGTTAGGGATAAACATGGAATTGATTTTAGGCATAGAAAGTTAATTGCACTGGTGTAGAATAGGGTGACTTGACCTGACAATAGTTGCCAGCTGAAGAATTTCTCCAGAATTCATCACATAAAGAGAAGTTATGGAAAGTATTGACAAGGTTTAAAAACATGGGGGAAATACTTAGAAAATTCAATATGCATCTAGTTGGAAACCCAGAAGAAAAAAAAAAAAGAATGTTGGAGAAGCAACATTTTAAGAAATAGTAGCTGAGAATTTTCCGTAATTGATGAACCACAAATCTACAGATACGAGATGTGCAGTACATGAGAGATAGAATATTATAATGAAACTGCAAAGCATCAGAGACATAGAGAAAATCCTAGAAACCTCTAGATACAGAAAGACAAATCCCCATGCAAAGAAGCAACAGGATGACATCAGTAACAAACAATGGAAGCTAAAAGGCAGTGAAATAATATTTTCAAAGTACTGAGATAAACCTATCAACCCAAAGTATGTACCAAAGTCTGGCTTTCAGGAATGAGAATAAAATAAAGACCTTTTCAAATAAAATTGA
Organism: Homo sapiens; assembly: GCF_000001405.40. NCBI lineage: Eukaryota > Metazoa > Chordata > Mammalia > Primates > Hominidae > Homo > Homo sapiens. The sequence goes on along the minus strand of NC_000013.11, from coordinate 46,024,382 downwards.
GAGTGTTTACTACCAACAGATCTTCACTAAATAGAGAATATTTAAAAGGATATACATCAGGAAGATGGAAAAAGACCTTAGAAGAAGGGTCGGAAATGTGAATAGTAAAGGAGAAATTTTTATTAAGTTGGAAATTCTGTCTTGTTATAGCCTGAAGTTATCAAAAGTGTAGCATTGTACCATGAGGAAGTGAAGTGTACTATGAAGTGCCAGGCAGATCACTTTGGATTCCCCAGAACCCGTTCCACCACTTTTTCATTTTGTATCAGCATTGTGATTTGGGGAATTGATCCCACTTTCATGGCTGGGCCTTGATTAGTCGAATCCAGTTAGAATAATCCCATTCTCCTTGCTAATTCAATTGATTCAGGAAGCAGGCCTAAGCCATTTATCCCATGGCTATTACCTTGATAGTTATTCATTCATAGGTGGCCATGTGACTGAAGTTGGCCTAGTCACTCTGAAGGAAGGAATTCTTATTTGTGCTTGTGGGAGAGATACACTGAGGAGACCCAGATTGCTTCTTATTATGGTAAGAGATAAGCTTTAATGTGAAGTCAACATTAGGCAGAGCGGAGCTGTGATAAATGAAAACAAGAGTGAATATTTGGTCTTTGATGATTTCACTGTTACTAAGTCACTTAGGCCTGAAGTTTACCCTATATATAGACTTCATTTTATGTGAAATAATAGTTCAAATTTGTATAGTTTAGGAGATTATAGTTTCTTAGTTGAAGCTCCATTTTTCTCTGCTAAAACAAGTTAGACTTCATTAATACAAGTATAATTTCAATTCTAAGTCAGGGGAGTTGGAAGCTGTATGCTTTATGCTGTTCTGACAAGACTAGATTAATTTGGGGTATCATGTTTCATTGAAGCACACTAGCCGATTAATATGCCCAGAGAAGATGACAGAATGATGAAGAAAGGGCTAGCACGTGAAAGAAGTATTAGATTTGTTTTGCATAATTCCAGAGGTTAGAACTATTCCCAATCAGTAGAAATTGTAGGGAGGTAGAACCTCTAGAGAGGTTAAGAAAGATGCAATGGGCATAAGAAATAATTTTCTAATAATTAGAACTGTCTGGAAATGGGAAGAAAGGGTGCAACAGCACAGAGCTAAGATTTTTGCCCCCAAGAGTCTTGTAATAGAGGGCTTCCATAGCTATACAAATATTGTGGAAAATTGTTCTGCATAGGGTAGGAGGTTGGATTATATTACTTACACAGCCTCCTAACCATTTTTATACTCTAGTTACTAATAATGGTTCTCAACTCTCTTAGCCTTGACACTTCCTATTTCATATTCTTTGTAATGCTTGCTTTTTATCTAAAATTAATGATGAACATAATCTGCCCACGCATATAATGTTCAAGAAATAAATGTGCATATGAGAGTGGAAATGAAAGTAATATAAACATCTAAAATCATGTATTACATTTCTGAAATTCAAAAAACTTCAAACATTTTTCCTAAGACACAGACATTTGGGAGCAAAACCTGGTCTTAATTGAAATAAATTTAATTACAGTTTTTATACAAGTGGTGAATTTCTGTGTTTTGCTGCAAAAATGTTAGTATGTTTGGTCACAGGCTACTGTTCCAGACTCCACTGGAACAGTAGTACTACTTAATATGCTTTGAAATGCAAAAAAAAAAAAAAATTCTGAACTCTTAAAATATCTGATCCCAAGGGTTTTGGCTAAAATACTGTGGTTCTTCAAGTATTTCAAGACTTAGATGTTCCAGGATGACTAATTTACAACACATAGTAATCAGTAGGTTATACTTTTAATTAATATGTTTGGATTTAAGAGAAGATGAGAAGCCATTCTGTTCAAGAAATACAGCAAGGTGGAATAGTAGACCGTGCTACACTACATTGGACGAGTAATACCATACCCTATTTATTTGAGTATAAGAGAAAAGGGGGAATAACTTTGTTTGATAAAAGGCATAACATACCTAAACAAGTTACACATTGTTGAAGTGGGGGAAATTAGGAAATAAGGTATTTTTTAAATTAGCTAGACCTTCTTAATAAATGTTACCAAAATAATTTCCTATATTATGATTTGAGGTAAGAACTTGAAATTCCATCACCTATTTAAGCCTGCATTCAGTCTCTAGTACCTAATAATAGAAGTTATATATGATCTCTGGGAGTAGCATCAGAGTCATATTGGAAAACATGGACAATTCAAAAATTATAATTTTAATATTTAGGGTAAATATGAAATATTTACAGACATCATTATTAATGACATTTATTGATACAACATTTCTGGCTCTAAATCTGATAAAAAATGTTACAAATTTATAGATTGATTTTGCAGCACCAGCACTACTGCTCTGACACCCTTTTTAACTAGACTTGCAATTGGATTTTACATACTTTTAAGTGGACAGAAAGCACAGAATATGTTATTTAATAATTTGGAGATAACCTCCTATTAAATATTTTTGGTATAGTTATTCAGTAATGTATATTTACAGTGGGTTTAATCCACAGAACATTCAAAAATTGTTTGGGATGTAGGATAGTTCTTCATTGATGTTCCACATAATATGTTTTAAGAGTAAAAGTAAATTATATTTCTTCCTTTTGTCTTCTGTTCAAGTAGAGGCCCATTTCTGTTTTCTTGACTCTTCACCATTTTTTTCATGGCAGGTTTTATTCTCATATAACTTACAAATTATTTTCGTCAGCCTCTGTTGTCTTACCAGCAATCAAATCCAAATTTTGTCAGTAATATTTACAGTATGACTTCATGCCTAAATATGTAGAATTTAGGGGCAGTTATATATACTAGAGTTCTTTAAGAAGAAAACTACAAAGAGAAATTAATTTGTGTTTTAAGCAGCCAAATTTTATGATTAGTAATGCTCAGAAAGAAATTTGAGCACTTAATATCCTTGTGTGTAAGTGTCTTTCATAGTATTTACAATGTTAGTAAAAGTAAGACTTCTGCTGTGGTGGAAGATAACAATTATATAACACTGGTTACTTTTATTTTCTTACCACCTAGTAAAATATGATTTGGAGTTCTTATGTAATAGGACATTTAATTGACTTTTATAATCTGAATTAATTTTGTCCTTTTTTGTGTGTAAGCTGCTTTTATACCTGGAATAAAATGTAAAACCTGTTTTTTAGCAGCAGTAGTGAGGACTAATTTACTATTTTAGGTACCATTTGGTTTCATCAAAATGGGTAAAATATATTTTTGTAAACCTTTATAATACTATTAAATGAGTTTGGATTTATCCTTGGGTGTCTAGGAAAATGACAATTACTTGAATATATGACAAGTCCTAGATCAGTTATTTTTAGAAGTCTGTGGTGAATGGTTTAGCCCTTTTTTGACATTTTAAAATATAATCACTTACAAATCCTTCCATTGTATTTTATTCATTTTAAACTGTCTTTTCCCCAGTGGTTTTCACGTGGAAACTTACTGTGTAGCTGAATGTCACAAGTTTGTTAAAGTATTAGATTTGCATTGTATATTTTTACATCTTAGCTACTCTTTAATATTTAAAGTTTTTGTTCTTTAGTAAAATAGATGTAGTATAGTCTACATCTCTTTTAGTTTTTGTTGTTTAGTAGTTTTTGTTCTTTAGTAAAATGGAGTATAGTCTTTTCATTGTGGTGCTAAACTAGAATTTGTCACTTTCTCTACTTAGTGGATAAGTGACTATTTACAAAACTGATTCTTTGATGAAACAGAGATGAATGAAATTAAAATGTTCTCTTATTACAATAAACTACCTCATAATTTTTAAAAATATAGTAATCTGAATGTATGTATGTACTTTTTTAGAAAGAATCTTCAAGAGGGAGACATAGGGAAAAGGAAGACATAAAAATCACTAAGGAAAGAACTCCAGAAAGTGAAGAAGAAAATGTAGAATGGGAAACTAATAGAGATGGTGAGTTTCAGAATCTTGGTTTAAATGGCGAATTCTTGATTATTTACTTTCTAGAGTTTTCGTGGGCTTCAGAACACCTTTCGACTGTGATCCCTCTCGTTTCAGAATCATTTTATTGACATATTTCTATCTTACTGAATTATAAGGCAAAAACTGGCATATAGTAGCTGTACAAAGGCAGAGAAAGTGGTTTGCATTGCATATTTTTATTTTCCCTTCCTAGTTTTCCCTCTAGAACTTTATTGTGCAGCATTACAGCCCTTCAGGATTGTATTGCATATGTAAATTTAAAAATTCCTAACGCTAAGCTTAAAATGAAATCTATATTTGTTTTACATAAAATATTATAAATGAGATTTTTAAATCTTAAGGACTTGGGAAAGTTATTTCCAAGAAATGTTTGACTTTTATCTTTCAGAAGAAATCAAAATCAGATTAAGATAGAGACCTGGATTTATTAATAAAAAATTAGCAAAAAAATTTTTTTTCTTGAGACATGCTCTCACTGTGTCACCCAGGCTGGAGGACAGTGGTACAATCATGGCTCACTGCAGCTTAGCCTCTTGAAGTCAAGCAGTCCTCCTGCCTGTTATCTCAGCACTTTGGGAGGCTAAGGCTGGAGTACCACTTTAGCCCAGGAGTTTGAGACCAGTGTGGGCAACAAAGTAAGACCCCATCTCTACAAAAAAACAAAGAAATTAGCCTGACATGGTGGTGCATGCCTGTGATCCCAGCTACTTGGGAAGCTGAGGTGGGAGCAAAATCATTTTTGAGTCATCAATAAGCATTTATTTTCCACCCCTTGAATGTTTTCTCCACCTCTTTGATGTTCTGAAAGATGGGCACTGTAATGTCATATTACCAAACACAGAGAAAGAGAACTTGTATTTGTTAAATGCATTGAGTGGGGGTGGACAATTTAATGTAATTTATATAATTGTCTTATTATTTCAATAGCTTTGTTACTCTACTTACAGATGACAAAACTAAAGATCTTAAAAATTTAAGCAACTTTTTCAGTGAGAAGCTGAAAACTTAGACCAGGGATTAGAAAACTAGAGTGTGTGGGCCAGTCACTGGTTTTTGCAAAAAAAGTTTTATTGGAACACAGCCATGTCCATCCATTTGGTTACATATTGTCTGTGGCTGCTTTTGAGCTACAGTGGCCAAGTCGAGTCTTTATGACAGAGAACTGAGAAGCTACAAGACTACAATATTAACTACTATATTTCAGAATTATCTCTGAAGACTTAATAGACTAACAGTTGTAAAGTATTGTAAATACATCTTTCCAGTAATTGTTACATCAGTACTTAAAGGAAACCTGTTCCATCTTTGGACAGTGCTGTTAAAAAATTGCTTCTAAGAACAAATAGGAAACTTGTTTATGGTTACTCAGGATTTCATAATCCAACCTAATACCGCTTCTACAAAATAGCAATAAAGGCAGCTATACTCTCCCATTTTAGTTGACTAGTATATTTAAATAAAATATTATAAACCATAACTGTTCAAGTTTGGAGAGCTAACTTTTCCTAAATACTAAGGGGTTACCTTTTAACACACCCAAGCATCCTTTCTTTTCATTTTAATTTTTTTGCATAAAAAACATTTTAAAATGTATTTGATACTTCTTATCTTTAAAATATTTTCAGTTGTCATTACAATAATTAGTAGTTGTTGAAAATATAAAAGGTTCAGAAAAGCCCAAGTCTGTTCTTTTTCTTCCTGGTAGGTATGTCAAACCTTCTCCATAAATCTATGCTTTCATTTCTCTTTTTTGCTATCTACTAAGCAGAGACAATGGAAATCTTTAGGAATTCCCTCAACTTCCTCCTACCACACCTTCAAACTAAGTTTTTATTTGTGCCTAAACTTTTTTACTTCCCTCTTATTCTGTGTAAGAGGCCTCCTTCCTGCTGTATAAGGTTGATGAATAATTCCCTTGTATTGTAGATCTGATTTCCTCCTGCCTCAGCAATCTTGTTCATTTGTGATACACTCTCTTCTATATCTTTAACATCCATTTTCTCTCCTCCCTATTTTACTGTTAGTCACTATCCTGCTTATCCCCACTTAACAACTAAATTCTTAAAACAGTTCTGTGCCTTACTGTTTCTACTTGATACTGTTTCACCTGATACTTATTATTCAGTCTTCTGACCCAACTCTCCACTAAAACTGCTTTTCAAAGTCACTAATGACCTCCTCATTGCAGAATAAATGGAGATGTACTTGTTACTATCCTAAATGGCCGTCTGCAGCATTTGACACATCAAGAGCTCCTGTTTTCTTGAAAAAGACTCTTCTTTTGGCTTCTATTTATCACTCTTCAGTTTTGTATCTTCCTGTTCAAGCCCTTCAGTCTTACACGGAGGCTCCTTGTATTCTGTGTGCCCCTTAAATGTTGATTCCCAAGGATTTGCACTTAACTATATTCTTTTAAAAAATCTAAAGTGATTTTATTTCAAGAGCCTTTTATATAGGAAATTCTTTTAAAAGGTGAGTGTAAATGTCTTTAATAAGAATTTCTTATGCTTTTCCTTGATTGAAACGCACAGTTTTTGACCATTGTGTATCTCTGTGATTTGAAAGTATCTGTTGAGGGAATATTGAAGCATTGAGTTAAGTGCCCCACTCCCTGGATAGTGAGACTAAACTGGTTTCATAGACTTACCTTCTGCATTGTTATTCTATCTGGAATAACAATTTTAGCTGGATTCAGAAAAAATTGGTATATTTATAAACTTTCTGGTTTTTAGGCCACTTTTATATGCTTTTTCAGAACCCCCAAATAACTTTTATCCTTGTGTATTTTATGTTTCCATAACTGCCATATTATGAACCTGAGAAAATTTTTTAATATTTATGTATTCATTCATTTAACAATGACATATAAAAATCCATTATATGCTTTTATGAAAAATAACTATTTTGCAAAGCAAAAAATAATAATTGTGAGGAGGTGGCAGTGTTTTGCATCATTTTGCAAATTGTTTTAATATCTGGCTTAATAGTTGATAGGTAGATTTTCTTACCTGCTTCTACATTCCACCTGTTAACCACATCACATATTCTGGGAAACTCCACTATCTACTCATGGGAGAATGAGTACACCAGGCAAACAATGTAGTGTTATAGAAATAGTCTGATTTTGTAGAACTCCTGAAATTGTCTCAGGGACCTCCTAGGTATCCTCAGACCACTCTCTGAGAATCACTTGTCTGTAAGAACAGCTTTTAAAACTTGGTTGTTTTCCTGTTACCTAGCCATCTTCTTTTCTCACTTTCAATTTTTCCTTCTAGATGAAATCATGCACCCAGTGCTTCATTAACGTCGTACGTGTAGTGACTCCAAAATCTGGAGCTCTCAATTTAGCATTGACCAACTGGGCATCTCCATCTGAGTTATGTATCTTAAGGGCATCACTTTTCCTACCAGATACCAACAGTCCTGAGAGTCATCACTGACACTTCTTTCCCTCCACCCAGGCATTACCAGATAGATATTTTTATGTACCCAATACCATTGAAAACCATCTGTTTCTCTTGATATACTACTAATATTCTAGTTCTTAAGGTATTTATTTATTGCCTATAAATAGATTTTACCAAAATAACCTCCTAATCCCATCCCTTGCTTATAGTCTTGTCTCCTAATTAATCCCCCACTTTAAAGCAAGAATAATCTTTCTTACAAAGTTTTTCTACTGAAGTATACTATACGTTCAGAGGAATGCACAATACATGTGTCCAACCCATTGGATGTTCACAGACTGAACACATTTGTAAAACCACTCAAATCAGTAAGTAGGAAATTACTAGTTTCCCATAGTCCCCTTGTGTTTTCTTCTAGTCACTCCTCCCTACCCTCACCCCTCAAAGGTAACTACTGTCCTGATTTCTAGCACCATTGATTAGTTTTGTGTGTTTGAGCTCCATATAAATGGAATTGACAGCATGTACTCTTTTTGTGCCTAGCTTCTTTTGTTAACAGTATTATCTGAGATTGTACTTTATTTCACATATCATTCATTAATTGTTATTGCATCATTCTTATTGCTATATAGTGTTTTATTGTATGAATATGCCATAATTTAGTCTACTGTTGATGAACATTCAAGTAATTCCCAGTTTGGTGCTATTATGCATAATAAGGTGCTATTACTATTCTTAAACATATTTTTTGGTAAACATGTACAGACACATATCAATTTCTCTTGAGTTTATGGTTCGAAGTGGAATTGCTGGGCTGTGGAGTGTGAATGTGTTCCTCTTTAGTAGATAATTTCAGATCAAAAATGGTTGTTCCAGTTAACCATACGGTGTTTTTGCCTTTTTCATCATAGCTGTTCTAAAATTTTGTAGTAGTATCTTACTGTGGTTTTAGTTTGCATTCTCCTAATGAAGTTGAAAACTTTTTCACATGTTCACTGACCATTGTACACCCTATTTTGTGAAGTGTCTGTTCCAAATGTCTGCCGTTCTGCTATTGTGTTACCTGTTTTTTTTTTCTTGTTAATTAGAGGAATTCTTTATGTTTTCTGGATATGAGATTTTTATCAGATATATAAATATATTGTTAGTGTTTTCTCCCACTCTATGAGTTGCAGAACAGTCTTTTAAAAGAATAAATTGAATGTTCATTTTATTTTCCTGTTTCAAATTCCCTAATTTCCCATTGCCTTCAGGAGCAAGTACAAATTCTAACTACGCCTATAAAACTTTTGATTATCTGGTTACTCTTTGTATTTCCAGGCCCCACTCCGAAGTCTGTGGTTTTTATTTGGTTCCTTAAACTTCTTGTATTTGTTCATCATGTGTTCTTAAGGACCAATGAAGTAACATAAAAAGTAAAAGTATCATTGCAGTAGAATGTGTGAAAATATTTTGGTAATCTTGGAGGTTAGTACATCCTCCTTAAATAGGGCATAAAACCCAGAAGCCACAAACATTTGATTACATAAAACTAGGAGTTTCTGTGTAACTAAATGCAGAAGTTAAAAACAGATGAAATGGTAAAAGAAAATACTTGACATGTGTAACGTGTAAGCATTAGTAAAGATACTATATAGACATATAATGAGTTTCTACAAATACATAAGAAAAAGACGGCCTAGTTAAAAAATGAGTAAAAATATATATGTATCAGATAGGTAACTCACAGGAGAAATAGAACTGGCCAATAAATGCTCAATCTTACTGCAGGGAAATACTGATGAAAATAAAGAGATATGATTACTCACCCATTCGTTTGGCAGAAATGAAGAACATTAATGTTTTCAAGTGGGGGTTTACATTGGTAAAGGAGTTTTGGAGTACAGTTTGGTGTTATTAGAAATAGAAATTATACTTATTTTCAGTCTAGCAATGTAGTCTGAGAAATAATGTCATAGAAAAATACTTGCACTTGAACCAAAGTATATATCAAAATGTTCATATAAGTCTTGTTTTTAACAGCAAAATACTGGAAACAGTTCATCTGTCTTTAAGAAGGAAACTCTTTTAAGTAAGCTACGATAAAGTATGATCATATTAATGAAATGCTTTGCAGACGTTAAAATGAAGATAGTTGAACTCTATGACTTGGAAAGATCTTGTTTATAGGGCAGTGTTGAATGTTAAAGGGAAAAATGTAAAACATTATTTTCATGCATATGACACTAAACTGTTAGCAGTGTTATCACTGGAGTAAGGATGGCTGTAGGAGGAATATAAGGGAAATTTCATATTTTACTCTGTGTATTCAGAATTATTTAAGACTTTAGCAATGAGAATGTATCATAAAGGCAAAGTACAAAATATAGAATGGAATTCAAAAACAAGTGTCTGAAATCAGTTAATGAATTTAGAAAACGTCTCAGACAGCTTGAGGTTAAAAACTGATACACATAAATGATACTAACTCATTGGAAAAAGGTTAAATATAATTAGCATGATGTAACAAGGCAATTCACAAGTATTTATAGTTTTTAATCCTTATACATAAACCTTTTATATATCTATGATTATTTTTATACAATAAATTACTGGAAGTTGCTGATCAACACAGAGAGGGGAACATCACACACCAGGGCCTGTTGTGGGGATGGGGGGTGAGGGGAGGGAGAGCATTAGGACAAGTACTTAATGCATGCAGGGCTTAAAACCTAGATGACAGGTTGATAGGTACATCAACCTGTACCTATAGGTACAAACCACCATGGCACATGTATACCTATGTTACAAACCTGCACATTCAGCACATGTATCCCAGAACTTAAAGTAAAATAAATAAATTTTAAAAAAAGTTGCTGTATTAAAATTAAAGTTATGTATTGATGTTCTTAAGGCTTTTACCCATATTGACAAATAATTTTACAAGATAGATGTACTAGTTTGCATTGCTACTGCCAGAGAATGAGTATGTCCTTTATTTGTACCTTTACCAACAATTAATATTATAATTAGAAAAAATGGCTCCTGAATACATGAAAAAATATGTGTATACTTTCTTCATTTCTTTCTCTTTGTGAATTGCCTTGTAATGTCCTTTACCTGTTCTGTTAATTAGTAAGAATTCTTTATATAGAAAGAATCTTAACCTTTTCTTATGTGTTGCATATATTTTTCTGTTGTATATTCTTAAAAATATCTACCTTGTTAAATATACCTTTCTAATTATACTTGATATTTTTCTGATGACTTAACAATCATTTATGTGAATCAATTTTTATAAGGCAAAATTGTAGTGATAACCTGAAGCTACATGAGAGACATTTTCTAAATTTATTAACTGGCTTCAGACTCTTGTTTTTGAATTCCATCCTGTATTTTGTACTTCCTGTTTTTTCTTTTGTTGTCAAAATACTGTCAGTTGCAATGTGCCTATCTTGTAGTCCATCTCTTACAGGTTAGGAAAATATCTGAGTTTTTATTATATGCGTAAAATAAGCACCTTCAGAATAAAGACCTGAGAGCTTTTCTTCTGAGCAAACTATATTAGTTATATTTACTACATTGACTAGACTTTTTATTTATTTTGTTTTTTTTTTTTTGAGACGAAGTCTTGCTCTGTTGTCAGGCTGGAGTGCAGTGGCACGATGTCAGCTTACTGCAACCTCCGTCTCCCGGGTTCAAGCAATTCTCCTGCCTCTGACTCCTGAGTAGCTGGGACTCTAGGCACGCGCCACCTCGCCCAGCTAATTTTTGTATTTTTAGTAGAGACGGGGTTTCACCGTGTTGGCCAGGATGGTCTCGATTTCTTGACCTGATGATCCGCCCTCCTCGGCCTCCCAAAGTGCTGAGCTTACAGGCGTGAGCCACTGCGCCTGGCTGACTTACACATATATTTTAACTGCTCAGGCCTCTCCCCCTTGGTTGGATAGTTGAAAATTGAGAACTGAAAGCCAGCTTCTTCTTTCTTTTATGTGTTCTGTATTGGTGATATTTCCAGTTGCGAATTTTTAGATTGGCAGTGCCTTACTGATAATACAGTACCGTCAGAAACACTGTTAATCATTCTTCTCAATTAACTACTCTTTCCGTTGTTTTACCTGGGTATTTGGTTATGGAATTTTATTGAATTTAGGAACATAATCAAACCAGAACATTGACTCCTATTATTCACTGATGTAAAGTATCTCAATAGAGTACAAAATAATAACTGGAGATAGCTAGTATTCACTTAATTAAATTCAGTGTCTTCATTTTATCTAGTGAAAACTACTTGCCCTTAATTAAATATTTAGTAATTGCTTTCTGACTGAAAAACATGCTTTAGCCTATTTCATATATTTACTGAGAAATTGTCATTGTACTCCAACATAAGATGAGTAATCAAGCTTAGTCACACAGGTAGTGAATATATATAGTTACCCTCTCAGTCCCCAAGCATGAATGGATAGTTGTCATTCTAATGCATTTGAGCAATATATAACAGTGATGTTCATTTTCTTGGGTTTTAAGCAGTCAAGTAGGACTTCTTATGTTTGTTGTTTTTTTAGTTCTTCATTTTATTTCTTTTCCCAAGGTTAAGATATGATCTAAAGTGCTAGAAGTATATCTTGAGAAGGCACCTCAGTTTGTGGTCAGTCAAGTCCATCGTGGTCAATGAAATTCCCACCTCTAGGCTCCTGGGCATTTATGGCAAATGAGCGTGATGGGTTTGGGTGCTAGTGCCAGCAACTTCTATGTATTTTAATGAAATAGATCTACACACCACTCTTGATTTTTTAACCAATCTTCATAGCTTTTCATCAGAAAATATAAATGGAAATAGAAATATGGCATCAGATCCGTTGAGACGGACAGTTGTGATCTAAGGAAATAGTACAAATCACTTGTAAAGAAAATGTCATAAATCCTTTAAAAATTAGTTTATGTACACATTAGTACTAAAATTACTTTAGTTTTAGATATTAATCATTTGTCTCACAAATTTTAAAACTGAAAAGCCTATGGAAGCAATGTTGCACACGTAATATAACCTCACTTTGTATGATGTATTTTAGTAGCGTATCTTTAGGAAAATCAAGGAGATAATGAGTCGCATCGTATACAGCATGAAATATTGAAGGCTTTGGTATCTTTAAGGCTTAGAAATTCAGCTGAGTGCATTTTGTCTTTTAAAATTCCATCTCCTAACAAAAAACCCAACTTCCAAACAACCCAAAATTGTTTCCAGAAAACCCAGAAACTTCCAAAATATTTGGCTTTTCATGAAGAAATCAACCATGGTGATTTTAATCCTTTATAGAAATGGTATCTATTTCTTTTATCTTTTAGAAGTATGTGATCCTGATGAAAGACTCTGCTATTTAGATTTGTGTAAGAAATTAGTTGAAAAAAGTCTGTATGATTTTTGGCATAGATAATTATGCTAGTTTCTAACAGTAATGCAATTTTATTTTAAAGATTCTGACAATGGAGATATTAATTATGATTATGTTCATGAATTGTCATTGGAAATGAAGCGTCAGAAGATACAGAGGGAATTAATGAAGCTGGAACAAGAAAACATGGAGAAGAGAGAAGAAATTATCATTAAAAAGGAGGTATGCTATTTATTGCAATAAATATGTTAGTACTTAATAGCAGCATTTGTATTGATCAGATAACTCAGCTTCTTGCTACATCTTAAATTATATTAGTATACTGATATATTGATCAACCCACTGTATATGTACTACTCCATATATATTCATTTAATTTTCACATTATTCTATTAGATAAGTAGCAAATATTTATGTTATTGAATAGGTGAGCAAAGCTAAGAGTTTGTTGCCTAGAGTCACCAGCTAATGTAACATGGGGTTTGAATCTGCCTATGTCTGTTTCAGGCCCATGCTATTTCTAGAATGCCTTGTTTCTTTTCTAAAAAGTGAAGATACAGTTAATTTAAATATAATTTATGATTTTTCTGAGGAGATTTTGAAATTTTATGATTTTAATTTACTTTATTGAAACTGGTATATGTTAGGACAGTTATATTGCTTAAAATCATGGATTCAGGAGTCAGACTAATATCAACAGATAGTGGTTATTATAATTTTATTATTTTTATTTTTATTTCAAACTTTTTTTGTAGGGATGAGATCTTTCTCTATTACCCAGGCTGGAGTGCAGTGGCACTCACTGCAGCCTTGAACTCCTGGGCTCAAGGGATCCTCCCATCTCAGCCTCCCTAATAGCTGAGACCATAGGCACCTTCCATGCCTGGCTTTTTTTTTTTTGTATAAGAGATAGGGTTTTTTTTATGTTATCCAGGCTGATCTCAAACTCCTCACCTCAAGCAATCCTTTCACCTCAGCCTCTCGAGAAACTGGGATTACAGGTGTGAACCACTGCACCCGGCAATAATATTTAATTTTAATCTGAAGTTTGGTGTGATTCTAAAATACTGTAAGTCTTGTTGTACCATAAGTGGAGGAATTTCTGAATTGACTTACTGAATTTTTTTAAAGGTTTCACCAGAAGTGGTTAGATCAAAATTGTCCCCGTCACCTTCTCTAAGAAAGTCTAGCAAATCTCCGAAGCGAAAATCAAGCCCGAAGTCGTCTTCAGCTAGCAAGAAAGATAGGAAGACATCTGCAGTATCTTCTCCCCTGTTGGACCAGCAGAGGTCAGTAGGGTGATAAATAGTATCGAGAAAATAGCTTTTTCTGAAGTGATACTAAAAAGAATTAGTAGGTTATAAAAGGGTACTTTTAGTACATTTTATATTTAATGTAAGCTTTTTTGTTCTAAAAAGAAATTTGAAATGTTTCAATTAAAAAGACAATTATAGAGAACAATAAAACAAACATCTGTGTAACATCCACATATGCTTCAGAGCTTTTTATTTTTTAAGAAATAAAAATACAAGATACATTTCCTGTTCCTCTCTTAAATCTGGTGTTTATGATACTTGTGCATGTGTTTATACTTTAACTAATATGTGTTCTGCAATGTATAGTATTGCTTTCATCTATTGTAATAGGGATATATCATAACCTTCTGCACATTGCTTTTTCACTCAACATTTTTTATGTTTATATTGATACATATAACCTTAGTTCATTCATCTTAGTATTTATATTATAAATTTGTCTGCTTTTCTGTGGAACATTTATGTTGTTTCCGATTTTTAAACTGCTACAAATTATACACAAAAAATTTTTGTCTTTCAGTATATATTATCAAGAGATTGAATTCTTTATAACTTAGAATTACTGTAGAAGCCAGTTGAAGAAGTAAAAATAGAAATGATTATATTCAGGGACTAAGAATAAGGAGAAGATACATTTTCATTTAAGGTCACTCTGAACTATTTATATTTTATTTTAATTAAAGTCCATACCCTAATTTTATCTTAAAAAAAATGAACTAAAAATATCTTCTACCTAAGATTTAATCAGTTAACAAGCCCTGTCTATTTGAACCTGTAATGAAACTCATATTTATCTCCCTCCTTCTAGTTCCTAGAAACTAACCCTATTTCAGACTCTACTTAACTTTTTGCCTAGATTATTATATCACTAACTATATTGACTTTATGTAGTTTCTACCCACCACCCACACAGGTGAACATTTTCATTCAGCTACCTCAACCCATTTATTTTGTAGATGCTGTCAGAGAAATCTTAAAAGGACAATTCCAATTAATTTATTATACCATTGAAAAACTCAGTGGTTTTTCATTCTGTAGAATGAAATTCAGATTCCTTAGAATGACATTTACACTTTGGTCTTTTCTTTCTTGTCAGTAGTTTTTGTCCAGCTTCCTCCTATCTACCCCCTTCTATCTCAATTCTTCAATCTCTAGCTCAAATTTTAAGTTTTCCCATTTCTCTTTATGGAACATAAGTTCTGTTCCCTTTAGGTACCTATCAGATTTTGCTTATACCTCCATGTTGATAATAATTGCCTGTTGCATTATATTTCAGCTGTGACTTATGTTTTATAACCTTTATTAAATTTAAGCTCCTTGAAGATTGGGATCTTGGTTATTCATAGTTCTGTCTTCTCATAGTGCCTACTTGACATAGAACTTTGCATTGTAATAAGGCACTTAGTAAAGTTGAGTTGATCCTCTCCCTCATATTGCCTACTTGGCATAGAACTTTGCATTTTAATAAGGCGCTCAGTAAAGTTGAGTTGATCCTATCCTTTGTTCATGCAATTGAGTAAATATTGCAAAGGTATATTGAAGAAGTTGAATGAACAGAGAGTGATACGCTCCACTTCACTTGCTCTTATCCTCTTGGCTAACCAGCTATGTAACTTTCCCTCAATTCTATTCATTTCCCCAATAAACTGCATACTAGAAATACCCTTTCTTCCTTGTCTTATCTGTTCTGTTTATAGAATATTTGAAACTTAATCTTTTCATAGAAAGTTTTGATAACTATTTAGACAAAGGGTTAGTTTCATCTTTTACATACAATCTCTTTTGCTTCTTTATTAGTAACACATCCTATTATAAATATTTGTCATGAATAATCATTCACACTGGTTTAATTACTGTATTTCTTATATTCTACTATGTTGTTGACTTTACGATGCACCGTTAATTTAATAATAAAAGCAAAAGGACCTGGAAAAACAGTATATTAAAAATACAAAGAAAACATTTAATTGAGTATAGCATTTCTTTTCTTTTTTTTTTTTTGGAGTATAACATTTATGCAGTTTACATTTCCTAGAGTGTGTCAAGTAATCATCTTTTAATTTTATTGCTGGATCATACTATCAACTCAGAACATACTAAGCACATGTAAGGATTAGAATTTCAGTTAAAACTCAGTGGAGTATTTTAACCAGTGTCAGCCAACTGAGGTGTGATAATCAGGTAAACAAATTTCTTGGTGGTCTTACTAGGTTATCATATTGAATGGAAAGATATAATTACTGACAAATTAAAACTTACACTTTTCCCTGAAAGCTGGCATTTTTCTTTGTTTGACATTTATTTTGAGATATAGTCTGATAGTAAGATTTGTCCTGATATATGAGATATGGTATAATCTAAAATCATAAATATATTACCTATTCTGTCCATCTGCACTTTTAATCTTAGTTTTTATTAGGTGAATTTTTCTTTATAGCTCTTTGTACAGAGAATATTAAGTATGTCAAAAGCTAATCTAAAACAATAGTTTTGAAGAGAGAGAGAAAAGATTAAAAACTGATAAAAGTAAACAGGTGGGCTCTTTGCCACAAGTCTGAAGTAGGCTCTGTGCCACTGAAACAACAATTAGTTGACTTTTTAAATGTTGAAGATCTTGGTGATTTCAGAATACACAAAACCAGTTTTGGCCTCTTCAGTTGGAAAGCACTGTAACGTAATTGTGTTTTCTAACCACATATAATTTTGATGGTAATGTGAAGAAATGCTGTACTTTAGTAAGTATATTAGAATAGTCCAGATTGTGATTATAGCCAAGTCCCAAAATGTCGGTGGTTTAACACAACAGAAGGTTATTTCTCACGTAAAGTCAAAATGAGTGTTTCTGATTGACAGATGGCTGTCCTATATATGGAGATTGAGTAACCCAGGCTCCTTCTGACCATGATTCCACTTTCTTGGGTTTTCAAGGAAACCAAAGAACGGGATGTACAAAGAAAAACGGAAATTGAGTATTGCAGTTATTTAGCTCTATAGTTTACAATTGCCTGGCATATGAGAGCCCTTTGAAATTTGGGCCTGGAGGTGGTATACATCATTTCCACTCACGTTCCTTTGGCCAGGTCTTGGTCACTTGGCCATGCTTAATTTCAAGAAAGTGTAGATAGTATGGTTTACCACTGTGCTCAGAAGAAAAGTTTGGTAAACCCCCTGCTAGTCTCTGTCACAGGTGATAATGTAAAAATAGTTTGTGTCAAGAATTCCTTTGTTGTTTAATCATGAAATTTTAAAAGATAATTTTGATACAGATGCTAATTATTGATCCGTTTTTATCTTTAAAGTAGAAAAGTATCCAGAAATACAGATATTTATCACATATCTGTTAGGGTGCATAAGAAGATTGAGTCATCTCATGAATATGCAATGAGATATGTGGCTAATATAGTTGTTGGCAGAAGACAAGGATGAAAACTAGATTTAGTCGTCATATTTTAGTAATTTCCTACTTGTTTACATGGTTAACGCTATGAGTGATAATAAGACATAGGGATGAGGACTAAGAGAGCTACATTTTCTCAATGCTATGAGTCAAGTGCTTTTAAAATATTGCCAGCAATTTTGAGGTAGATACTATCTCATATATATATATGGCTAAGAACTCTTGGGACTTGAGAATTCTGAGAATTCAGCATGATAGGAAATAAGTTCTAGGATTTTAGGCTTAGGTCTTCATTTATAAATATCAGTAGATAGTGAGATTAGTAGATAGTGAAAACTCACCAGATGTATGAAAAGGGTTACTTGCAAACCTAGTACCAGACTGAACACTCTGAGCAGATGGCTTACACAGAAACGTTAATACAGTAAACAGGAACAAACTTAAATTATAAATTCATTTATAAGTTTAGTGCAATTTGTGAGGATATTGTATTTAGAAGACAAAAGCAGTTGATTATGGGAAAAAAACTGTGAACAACTATATTTTTATTTTATTTTATTTTATTTTATATTTTTGCAGGAGACTGGAGTTTTATTAATCAATCTCCCTGAGCATTTGGGGATCAGAGTTTTAGAGGACAACTTGGTGGCGGGGCAGCAGGGAGACTGGGGGAAGCCAGTAAGCCAGGAGTGCTGACTGGTCAAGTCAGAGATGAAATCCGAGGGAGTCGAAGCTGTCTTCTTGTGCTGAGTCAGTTCCTTGGTGGGGGCTACAAGATCAGATGAGCCAGTTTATCGATCTGGTTGGTGCCAGGTTGAACAACTTTTTTTTTTTTTTTTGGGACAGAGTCCCACTCTGTCACCCAGGCTGGTGTGCAGTCAGCTCACTGCAACATCTGCCTCCTGGGTTCAAGCGGTTCTTCTGCCTCAGCCTCCTGAGTAGCTGGGATTACAGGCGTGCGCCACCACACCTGGCTAATTTTTGTATTTTTAGTAGAGGCGGGGTTTCACCATGTTGGTCATGCTGGTCTCGAACTCCTGACCGCCTCACGATCCGCCCACCTTGGCCTTTCAAAGTGCTGGGATTACAGGTATGAGCCACGTCGCCCAGCCTGAACAACAATATTTTAAAAGAGAAAAGAGTTCAAATGGAAAATCATAGAATAGGACAGATGCAGTGGTCTGAGGTGGACAGATCACTTGAGCCCAAGAGTTTGAGACCAGCCTGGATAACGTGATAAAACCCTGTCTCTACAAAAATATGAAATTTAGCCAGTTGTGGTGGTATGCACCTATACTCCTAGCTACTCAGAGGGCTGAGGCATGGGGATCACTGGAGCCCTGGGGGTCGAGGCTGCAGTGAGCCATGATTGTGCCACTGCACTCCAGCCTGGGCAACAGAGCGAGACACTGTCTCCAAAAAAAAGAAGAAATCAAAAAATAGCAGAACAACGAGATTGCCAAATTTAGAATTAGCAAAATGAGTACTACTTTAAAAATTACTGAATATAAAGACAGATTTAAGATCCTGGAAAAGCAGGAAAAATGGAAAT
Source organism: Homo sapiens (assembly GCF_000001405.40). Classification (NCBI taxonomy): domain Eukaryota; kingdom Metazoa; phylum Chordata; class Mammalia; order Primates; family Hominidae; genus Homo; species Homo sapiens. The sequence continues at coordinate 46,005,371 of NC_000013.11, read as the reverse complement.
GACAGAGACATCTAACATGGAGGAGAGATCCAAGAGATACAGTAACTGTGTAATAAAGAGAACTGCAGAGACTTGGGTCATAAGGAAAAGTTTTGAAATGAAAATAGAAGAAATTGAGTAAAAAGTTTGAAGTTTCAGATTGAAACAGTCCATTTAGTGCTGGAAAAGATTTTTTGAAAATACCTGGATTTAGTGAAAATCTTTTTCCAGTGAGTAATTTTCAAGGGATAATGTTCATAAGCATGCCAACAGAAAAACCAGCTTACCTGAATAGTAAAAAATTTGATTTTCTTTGGACTTCTGACCTGCAACGTTAAATGTTACAAAATATTTTAACTAGAGCTCTGAGGTAAAAGGATTTTGACATGAAAATGCTATATTCAATTAAACTATTGTTAAAGTAAGAGGCAAAGACAGCCAGTTTTGAATGTGTATGGGATCAAAGTTATACTATTTACTTAAAATTACTTAAATTGCCAAAAAGAGGCACTTAAAGAACAAAATTTGTACCCCAAAATCAATTACAAGTAGATTAAAGACAAATGTGAAAGGCAAAATTACAAAATTTTAGGAGACCATCTTTGTGACCTCAGAGTTGGTAAAAATTTCTTAAATAAGATTGAGAAATTTATGATGAATATATACTGACAGTGGTTGATATTTCATTTGTAGATGATGTAATTGTGTTTTTTGAATAATGATGAAAACCTGGAAGCCACCTGAAAAACTATGAAATTGTTTTAGAAAGTTTTGGAGCATCTATTCAGGGAAATTCTATACAGTCAATAAAAATGATTACCTAAATCTGCTTTTTTAAAAAAAATTTTATTTTGAGTTAGAGTCTTACTCTGTCACCCAGACTAGAGTGCAGTGGCGCAATCTTGGCTCACTGCAACCTCTTTCTTCCGGGTTCAAGTGATTCTCCTGCCTCAGCCTCTGGAGTAGCTGGGATTACAGGCACCCACCACCATGCCTGGCTAATTTTTGTATTTTTAGTAGAGATAGGGTTTCACCATGTTGGCCAGGCTGGTCTCGAACTCCTGACCTCAAGTGATCCACCCCTCCCTCCTCTGCCTCCCAAAGTGATGGGATTACACCATGCCCAACCTAAATCTACTTTTTGTTACAGAAAGATGCTCACACTATGTCTATGTTCAATATTTGAAAATTTTGCAAAATATTGTAATAGGATATCCCATGAATGTATGTGACACACACACACACACACACAGAGTTACCATTTCCAATGATGAGAGAAAATAGTTGTGACTATATATATATATGATTTGCACATATTTTCTCGCATTCTATAAGTTGCCTTTTCACTTTGTTGATTGTGTCCTTTGACATGCAAAAGTTTTAAAATTTGATTTAGTCTCATTTGTCTATTTTTGCTTTGTTGTTACCTGTGCCTTTGGTGTCATAGCCAAGAAATCATTGCCAAGTCCAATGTCATGAAGCTTTTCTTCTATATTTTCTTTTCGGATTTTTATAGTTTTTGCTTTTATGTTTAGGTCTTTATTTTGAGTTAATTTTTGATCTGGTGCAATGTAAAGGTCCAGCTTCATTCTTTTGCATGTGAATACCCAGTTTTAAATGAATAGACAGAGAAAGTAAGATATATGGCAAAAGTATGTAAATATTCAAGATGTTAAAAATAGTTCTCTTTGAGTAGTAGAATTATAGGTGATTTTTACTTTCTTTGTCTACTTTTCTGTCTTAAAAAAAAACAGTTTAAACAGTCATTGTATTAACATCTTTTCTGAAAGTGTCTTCCTATTTCACCTCTATCTTTTCTCAGAAACCTGCCCCTTTAAAGTTATATAATAATAAGCAGTGTTAACAAAATAAGTATCAAGTAAATTAATTCTTCAGCCATTTCTGTTAGTTTTTTTTTCTTCTTGATATTGGTTAGTAGTATACAAAATAATAAAGGGCAAGTAATGTAAAGGAACGCTGCTGTTTTTAAGAAGGCTTTAAAAAATATCCTTTTGGCATATTTGAACCTCTAATGATAGCTTTTTGTTACCTTCAGAAATTCAAAAACCAACCAAAGTAAAAAGAAAGGACCACGTACTCCTAGTCCACCCCCTCCTATACCAGAAGATATCGCTCTGGGGAAAAAATACAAAGAAAAATATAAAGTAAAAGACAGGATAGAAGAAAAAACAAGAGATGGAAAGGACAGAGGACGAGATTTTGAACGACAAAGAGAAAAGAGAGACAAGCCAAGGTAAGTAGGATTGTATGTTTTTAACAATATTAACTTTTGTAGAATATAGAATATTTACTTTTCAGAAGCCGTTGGGCATTAGCATATTGGGTTTTTTAGTTTTGTTTACAATAGTGTGTATATTTATTTTAATAATTCCCATAATAATTATTATTATGAGTCATGGATAATTCAGTAAGCCTTAATTTTTACAATTTATTTTTCAATTTTTTATTGTGGTAAAAAAACAAAATGTACCATCTTCATCATTTTAAAGTTTATAGTTTGGTAGTGTTAAGTATTTTCACACTTGTGAAACAATTCTGCAGAACTTTTTCATTTTGCAAATCTGAAACTCTGTATCTGTCAAAAAATAACTCCCCCTTTCCACCTTTTCCCAGCTCCTGTTAACTATCATCCTGTTTTGTTTCTGTGAATTTGACTGCTTCAGATACCTTATATAAGTGGAATCATACAGTGTTTGTCTTTTTTGACAGGCTTATTTCACTTAGCAGAATGTCCTCAGGGTTCCTTCTTGCTGTGGCATGTGACAGGATTTCCTTCCTTTTTAAGGCTGAATAATATTTGATTGTATGTATATGCCACATTTTATTTATCCATTCATCCATTTGATGGGTGTTTGGGTTCTTTCACCTCCTGGCTATTGTTGATAGTGCTGCTATGAGCATGAATGTGTAAATAATCCCTTTTGAGACCCTGCTTTCAGTTCTTTTGTATATATACCCAGAAGTAGAATTGCTGGGTCATATGATAATTCTATTTTTAATTTTTTTGAGAAACCTGCCTACTGTTTTCCAATGCAGTTGCACTGTTGTACATTCCCACCAACAGTACACAAGTGTTCCAGTTTCTCCATACCTTCACCAACACTTAGTTTGTTTGTTTTATAGTCGCCATTCGAATAGGTGTGTTTATCTCATTGAGGTGAGGTGTTATCCCATTGAGGTTTTGATTTGCATTTCTCTGATGATTAGCCATGTTGAACATCCTTTCATGTGCTTGTCGGCCATTTGTATATCATCTTTGGAGAAATGTCTTTCCAATTCTTTGCCCATTTTTTAATTGGGTTATTTGATTTTTTTTCTGTTGAGTTCTAAGAGTTCGTTATATATTCTGGACATTAACCCCTTAACAGAGATAAGATTTTAAAATATTTTTTCCTATTCCATATGTTGCTTTTTTTTTTTTCACTCTGTTAATTGTGTCTTCTTGACATGCAAGAGAACAGTTAACTGAAGACTTCAGAGTTCTTAAGTATGTTTTCTTAGACTATACTCTATATTTTACTCAGTCCAGCAGGTGTGTTTGTGAAAATTACATGTAAATGTTTTTGGTGATTGACATTCTATCAGTAATAAATGTTTTTGGTGATTGACATTCTATCAGTAAAGCCTTTAGTTTTCCCTAATGGTTCTTTGTACTTTTATTTTGGTATTTTGACTAAGAAGTCTCTGAGAGTTGGTTCTTAACACCTGTTGCTAGGTAGTTTATCATTTAAATGGTAAAAACATTTGTGTTATGAGGAGTTGAATATTACACAGGCTTATCCTTCATTTTCCAGTTTTTCTCCCTTGGTTATCCCTAAATGGTATGCATAGGACTCACCTGTTATTTAGTATGTAGACAAATCTGAACTTGGTTTTTAAATTTATTTTTATTTTTTATTTTTTCATCTAAGGACATGAAACAACAGAGCTAGGAATACTGGAAGATTATGTAAATACCTGATCTGCACGCACTGGAGTTCTAAAGCCATATGTGACAAGACATTGGAAAAAGACATTTTGGTTTAGGAAGAGTTAATTACCAAGGTTCTTAGGTGGGGCTGTTATTTTCATTTGTCTCCATTACTCTGAATGAAGAAATTACAGGCGCACCAATTTTATTGAAGCTCACAGATGTTGTGTATTTTTACAAATGGAAGGTTTGTGGCATCCCTGCATTAAACAAGCCTATCAGTGCCATTTTTCCAATAACATGTGCTCACTTTGTGTCTCTGTAATTCTTGAAATATTTCAAGCTTTTTCATCATTATTGTATCTGTTACGATGGACTGTGATCAGTAATTGTCGCATTACCATTGTAATTGTTCTGGGGTGTCGTGAACTGCACCCATATAAAACAGTGAACTTAATCTGCAAATGTGTGTGTTCTGACTGCCCTACTGACTGGCTAGTCCCCTGTCTCTCACCATCTCCTTGGGCCTCTGTATTCCTTGAGACACAACAATATTGAAATTAGGCCAACTAATAACCCTATGTGTAGTGGCCTCTAAGTGTTCAAGTAGAAAGGAAGAGTCTCTTACTTTAAATCAAAAGCTAGAAGTGATTAAGCTTAGTGAGGAAGGCATACTGAAAACTTAGGTGGCAAGCTAGATCTCTTGTGCCAGTCAGCTAAGTTGTGAATGCAAAGGAAAAGTTCTTGAAGGAAATTTAAAGTGCTACTCCAATGAACACATGAATGGGAAGAAAGCAAAACAGCCATATTGCTGATGCGGACAAAGTTTGAGTGGGCTGGATAAAAGATCAAAGCAGCCACAGTTGAAATCAGCCACAACATTCCTTTAAGCCAGAGTCTAATCTGGAGCAAGGTCCTAACTCTCTTTAATTCTTTCGAGGCTGAAAGAGGTAAGGAAGCTGCAGGAAAAAAGTTTGAAGTTAGCAGAGGTTACTTCATGACATTTAACGAATGAAGCCATCTCCGTAGCACAAAAGTGCAAGATGAAGCAGCACAAAAGTGCAAGATGAAGCAGCACATGCTGATGAAGAAGCAGCGGCAAGTTATCCGGAAGATCTAGATAAGATAATTGATGTTGGCCACACTAAACAAATTTTCAGTGTAGTTGATACAGCCTTATTGGAAGAAGATGCCATCCAAGATGTCCATAGCCAGAGAGGAGAAGTCAATGCTTGGCTTCAAAGCTCCGAAGAACAGGCTGACTCTCTCGTTAGGGGCCAGTGCAGCTGGGGGTTTTAAGGTGAAGCCAGTGCTCATTTACCATCCTGAAAATCCTAGGATTTTTAAGAATTATGCTAAATGTACTTTGCCTGTGCTCTTAAGTGGAAAAACAAGCATGGATGACAGCACATCTGTTTACAGCATGGTTTACTAAATATTTTAAGCCCACTATTGAGACCTATTGCTCAGAAGAAAAGATTCCATTCAAAATACTACTGTTTGTTTATGATGTGCCTGTTTACGCAGGAGCTCTGATGAAGATGTCAGGAGAGATTAATAGTTTCATGCTCGCTAAGACAAAAGGCACCCTACAGCCCATGGATCAAAGACTAATTTTTACTTTTGAGTCTTATTTAAAAAATACATTTTATAAGGCCACAACTGCCATAGATAGTGATTCCTCTGATGGATCTGGGCAAAATAAATTGAAAACTTTATGGAAAGGATTTACTGTTCAAGATGCCATTAAGAACATTCGTCATTCACAGGAGGAGGTCAAAATATTAATAGTTACAGAAGTTAAAAGAAGTCAATTACAACGTTCATGGATGACTTAGAGAAGTTCAAGACTTTATTGAAAGAAGTAACTGCAAATGTGGTGGAAATAGCAAGAGAACTAGAATTAAAAGTAGATCCTGAAGATGTAACTGAATTGCTGCAATCTCAGATCAGACTTGAACGGATGAGGAGTTGCATCATATGGATGAACAAAGAAAGTGGTTTCTTGAGATGGAGTCTACTCCTGGTGAAGATGCTAGAAACATTTTTTTAAATGACAGTGACACCAAAGAATTCAGAGTGTCACATAAACTTTGTTGACAAAGCAGCAGCAGGGTTTGAGAGGATTGAGTCCAGGTTTGTTTTTTGTGTATGTGTGTGCTGTTTTTTGTTTTTCTTCTCACTGTAACCCAGGCTTAAGTGCACTGGCGTGATCTCAGCTCACTGTGTCTCGCTATTACCCAGGCTTAAGTGCACTGGCGCCATCTCAGCTCATTGTAGCCTCCGCCTCCCATCAAGTGGTGAAGTGATCCTCCCACCTCACCCTCCCAAGTAGCTGGGCTTACAGGCTTGCGTTGCCACACTCAGCTAATTTTTAAAATCTTTTTGTAGAGATGAGGTCTCGCTATGTTGTCCAGACTGATCTTGAACTCCTGGACTCAAGTAATCCTGCCTTGGCCTCCCAAAACATTGTAGTTATAGGCTTGAGCCACCATGCCCAGCCGACTGCAGTTTTGAAAATTCTACTGTGGGTAAAATGCTAGCGAACAGCATCACAAGCTACAGATAAATCTTTTGCGAAAGGAAGAGTCAATTGGTGTGACAAACTTCATCATTGTCTTCTTTTAAGAAATTGCCACAGCCTCCCCAGCCTTTTGCAACCTTCATCCTCGTCAGTCAACAGCCATCAGCATCAAGATAATACCCTTACCCACAAAACGGTTAAAACTCTCTGAAGGCTTAGATGGGTGTTAGCATTTCTTTAACAATAAAGTATTTTAAAAATTAAGTTATGTACTTTTATTTTTTTTTTTGAGACGGAGTTTCGCTGTGTCACCCAGGCTGGAGTGCAGTGGCACAATCTTGGCTCATTGCAAGCTCCATCTCCTGGATTCATGCCATTCTCCTGCCTCAGCCTCCCGAGTAGCTGGGACTACAGGCGCCCACCACCACGCCCAGCTAATTTTTTTTTTGTATTTTTAGTAGAGATGGGGTTTCACTGTGTTAGTCAGGATGGTGTCAATCTCCTTACCTTGTGATCCTCCCATCTCAGCCTCCCAAAGTGCTGGGATGACAGGTGTGAGCCACCGCGCCCGGCCTGTACTTTTTTAGATATAAATCTATTGTACACTTAAAAGACTACAGTATAGTGTAAACATAACTTGTGTGTGTACTAGGAAACCAAAAAATTTGTGTGGCTCACTTAACTGTGATATTTGCTTTATTGTGGGAACCAAACCTATGTTTCTGAGGTGTACCTGTATTAATTTTAAAACTAAACAGTATCTTTGTCACTGTCTTCAGATTGATAAGGAATGTAATTAAAGGTTAATGTCTAAATTCCTTTTGGAAAAAATTGCCCTTTAAAAATACTTTAAATGTCATAATGGGCGTATTAGTAGTGTTTTGTTTACTAGTAGGTGTTGTGCTTAAGTAAAATTGCTAATTCATTCATCCAACAGTTACTTAAATACCTGTTCTAAAGCTGGTATTGCAGCAGTGAGCAAAAGTGTTTCCAAAAGTTTTGTTAGTACAGGTAGAAGTAATATAGTGATGGGGTGTGTGTGTGTATGTGTGTGTTTGTAAAATAGTGTTTCCAAATACGTGGGTTTTGGCTTTGGGTTTGTTTTTTTTTCCTTCAAGTATGACCCACTAGGCTTACTGGATATAAGCGGTTGCTTACATTTCTTAAAGGATGGCTCTCTATTGAGTTACCCATTTACATGGCATAGGTGTGCATACACATGGCATAGGAGATGCAACAATGCTACACGATCCTCTGACTTTAAATCCTTCTAGCTGTTCTCTGTGTCTCAGTTGTCCAAATTCAAAAATAAATTGTAACAGTTAATGTTTACTGAATTATCCATTACTCATAATAGATAATAATTGTGTCTCAGTTGTCCAACGTTCTGTATCAGGTGCTTCTAACCCGAAGTCCACTGGTGGATTTTAGGGGTCTACAAGTTTCTTGAGTTATGTATAAAACTTTGCCTGTGTATGTGTTTTGGTGAGGGAGAGTGCCCATACCCTTCTAGAAAAGTTCATGATTTTCCCTTCTCCAAAAAAATGTTAGAATTATGAATCATTCTTGAAGCCTAGGACACTAACCTGATGTCAAGGATTTGAGTACTTTCCTCCCAAACTGTCATTGGCATATCAAGTTTGTTAAAAATGTACTCTTCCCAGAGTATTTGTAAGTTTAATACGAAATTCTATCATGTGGTTAATTTTTAATTGAATAATTTGGAGACTTCGGCCCTTAAATGAATGTCATCAGTGTCTTCCAACTTAACTTTACTCAGCTTTGATTTATTTATTCAATGTTGATCAAAACCTGAGTACTACTCATTTACGCAGAGAAAAAGCCTTATGGATTTATTACTGTGCTTTCAGAAAATATAGCAATTTCCCATAATATTTTTTTAAAATAAACTTTCCGTGACCTACTCTACAGAGAATAGTAAAATACTATTTCTGCCCCTCTTATCCTCAGGGAATACATTCCAAGACCCCCAGTAGATGCCAGAAATGGCAGATAGTGCTGAACCTTGTATATACTATGCATGAATTTCTTCTTCTTTATTCATAATTTCATGTATAGACTATTCCTTCTTATTGTAGATTTTTGCAACCTCAGCATACAGTTTTTCTTCTTAAGAACTTTCATGTTTTCACTCAAAGGAAGTACTTTATGGCTTTTTTTTTTTTTTTGTACATATTCAAATTGCCAGCATCACTCTTCTTTGCACTTTGGGTCATTATTAAGTAAAATAAGGGTTACTCGAACTGCATAATTACTGTTATTGCCAAACTGCAAGTCAATCTGATAACTGAGATGGCTACAAAGTGATCAGCGAGCAAGTGCATACAGTGTATAGTGGTTGCGGTAGAGTGGAACGACAAAAGATTTCACTGTGCCACTTAGAACTGTGTGCAATTTAAAACATATGAATTGTTTATTTCTGGAAGTTTCCATTAGTATATTTGGACTGTGGTTGACCAGGGAAAGCAAAACAGCAGGTAAGCTGGGCCTATTGTAGTGGGAACCCAACAAACTAATTTTTTTTCCTGTAAATTGTTTAGAAGAGATGTAAATCAAAGGGAAATTAAGTTTATTTTAGGTATTTAGTCAGAAAGATAATTTTTGAAGGGAATACTCTGTGTCAATATTCCTAACCTATTATGTCTAGATAATCCTAAATTGAATATTTATAATGATCTTTTGGTAGATGTAATACTTGCTTTTATCAGTGTACTCACTTATATTAGTATATATTCTTTATAGTTTCCCATGCTAAATCAGGAAAGTAAACTAATACATTAGTAGTATTTTAGGAACAAGGGTTTAAACACAAAATCTTCTTGGATAATAATCAGAAAAATTATCTGACAATTGCATGTAGCTCATTCTGCCAGATATTTTGGTTTCAGTATGATTCTGCTGACAGGTGATATGTTTTAATCATAATGCTAGGTTGTAGGACTTTGTGGTCAAATGAAAAAATAGTACTCAGAGCATAGCTAACTAAAAACACAATCATTCCAACACAATTACCTGAGTGTAGAAATCTGCTTATTACTTGATAGTAGTTGGATCAGGTTGTTCTTGTATTGCTATAAAGAAATACCTGGGACAAGGTAACTTATAAAGAAAAGAAGTTTAATTGGCTCATGGTTCTGCAGGCCGTACAAACATGGCTCCAGCATCTGCTGCTGGTGGGGCCTCAGAAAGCTTACTAGGAGGAGGTATGCTGAAGTAAAAGTGCTAATTCATTTATTCATCCAACAGTTACTTGATTACCTGTTCTAAAGCTGGTATTGCAGCAGTGGGCAAAAATATTTCCAAAAGCTTTGTTAGTACAAGTAGAATAATGTGGGGTGTGGGTGTATGTGTGTAAAATAGTGTTTCCAAATATGTGGGGTTTGTAATATAGCCAAACATGATTATATTGCACACTAAGCTTACGAAAGGCTTGTGTTAAGAATGAAATCATGTTATAAACATCAAAACAACTCATTCACAAGGGATAAAAAAGAAGCCTTTCACATTTAGTCAAATTAACCAAGGCTTGGACTGTCTTTAGTAGGTGTGATGTTGGGAAAATTTGTTGAATTCAGGAGAGAAACTCATATCTAGAAAGAGTTTATGACCCTAAATAATTGTACTTTTAGCTTTTGTCCAACTTGCTTTGCAAAATTGGAGACTTGAGGAAGGCTGTTCTCAAGTATTTTCAGAGAGGTTTTTAGTAGCAGCTGGTGGTTCGGAAGTTTAATCCTATTCCAATAATTGATTCAGTCAGAAATGCATAATATAGAGTCAATTCTGTAAAGAATGTAGGGCTGTGTTATAATGACATTAATAAAATAGCCTCTACCTGCACTGTCAAAATCCATCCTAATCTGGCTGTGGTCTGGTGCCAGGTGGTGGCGTTTTTTTTTTTTTTTTTCACTGATAGTTAAATGACCGTAAGAAGAATTTTGGCTCCTGTGACTAGATGGGACTTCCAGGCCATTGGCAGGGATTTCAAAAATCTCCCTTGCTTGGCACCCAGTGGCCTGATCTGGGAAGGTATTATGTCTGGGAAATGCAGATTGGGGACTTCTGCACCTTCCTCTTCCAAAACTGGATTATCTACTGTTTCTTGGCCTGGTTTGGTCCTCTGCTTCATATTCTTGCCACCCTACCCTATCCCCAGCAGAAAGTAGTAACTTTAACTGGTTCCACCAAGCGGAAGGAGCCAGTTGTCTTATGCCAATGTGTGTTGTTTCTGGGTTTTATTGTATTTTAAATATCGATTCTCTTACTCTGGGAGCTTAAAAACAATCCACATGCGTGCGGCAGGAATACCAGCTATTTGTCTTTTTCTAACCCTTGATCACATTGGTAGGTACAGCTTTTAGTTCAAGCCATGTTGTTGAATAAGTCTATGTAAGGCTCTTACCTTGAACCACGTTTCATAAAAGTATTAGTTGTTAAATTATTCTGGATTTGAATAGCATTAAAGGATGGGTTAATTTAAGGGTTGTCTTTAACATTTTTTATTCTGAGATTGAAACTTTGGAAATTACAGTTGACCCTTGAACAATGAAGGGGTAGGGGGTCAACCCCTGTGCAGTTGAAAATCCTTGTATAACTTTTGACTCCCCCCAAACTTAGCTACTAATAGCCCACTGTTAACTGGAAACTTTACTGATAACATAAACGTTTGATTAACACATATTTTGTATGTTATTTGTATTATATACTGTATTGTTATTACAAAGTAAGCTAGAGAAAAGAAAATGTTAAGAAAATCATAAGGAAGAGAAAATATATTTACTATTCATTAAGTGGAAATGGATCATTATAAAGGTTGTCCCTTTGAGGAGGCTAGAAGTGCAAAAAGGAGGCGTTGTTCTTGCTGTCTCAAGGCTGGCAGAGGCAGAAGTAAACTCACACGTAAGTGTGGACCCTGTGTTGTTCAAGAGTCAACCATACTGCGTTTGTGCATGCAAAAATGAAATCTGAACAAAATTATTAGTACCTTAGTGAATATTTTCTTGTATTATCTAGAACTTACATGAGGGTTTTTTTTAATCAAATCTGTTTTACAAGTATCATTATGTATTTATGGAGGAGTGATCTTTTAAAAGATTCCCACAGACAAGTGTCCTCCTAGTTCTGTAAGATTGTTCAGTTAGAAATGATTCCCTTTCCAGGGAGTATTTAGCCTGCTGCAAAAGAATAGCAAGCTACTAGGTGTAAAACAAATCACACAGAAGCATTTTCTTTTTTCATCTTACAGGTTTATTTAGACGAGTAAGATCTTGTTATATTTTAAATGGCACTTAACCACCTATCACTCTCCAGTGCTTTCTCTCATGCTTAGAATAAAATCCAGACTTTTACCATGACCTGTGGCCCACATCTGGCTCTGCCTGCTTTCTGATTCCCTCATGAGACTCTGTTCTCTCATAAATTGTGGTTCCACTTGGCTTCTTTCTATTCTTATACATCAAGATCCCTCCTACCTCCTTTGTGCTTATTGATCCTAAAGCTCTTGCCTCAGATCTTCAGCACTTGGCTCAAATATATCCTCTAGTAAGGGTCCTTTCCTTACCAAGCAACCTAGAGTAGTCACCCTGACATAGTTTTTTGTGTTTTGTGATCAAGGGCTAGAAAAAGACAAATAGCCGGTATTCCTGCCACACACATGTAGATTGTTTTTAAACTCCAAAAGTAAAAAGCACATACTTTTTGTGTTTTTTTGGACCTAACAGTTCTATTTTGTTGTCCTTTTGTATAAATGTTGTTACATTAATTAGCAGAAATTGTCTTGCTTTGTCATTGTTGGTTTGCTCCCTGGACCATAGACTCTGTTACTAGATAGACTGGTTTCCAGTCCTCCCTCGATGTATTAGTCAAGGTTTTCCAGAGAAACTGAACCAGTAGAAGATATGTCTAGAATGAGATTTACTTAAGGAATTGGCTCATGCAATTATGGAGGCTATAAAGCCCTGTGATCTGGCTGCAAGCTGGAGACCCAGGAAAGCTGGTGGTGTAATTCAGAAGCGTGAGAGGTAGAAAGCTGCCTCCATTCAGAGTGTAAGACCTGAGAAGCAAGGGTAGATCAACGTTCAGCTCAAGCAGTCAGGCAGAGAATGTAACCTTCCTTCACCTTTTTGTTCTGTTCAGGCCCTCAGTAGATCAGATGATACACACATTGGTCAGGGCCATCTGCTTTACTCAGTTTACTGATTTCAAATGCCAGACTCTTTTAGGAAGCCCTCACAGACGTGCCCAGAAATAATGTTTAGCCAGATATCTGGGCCATTCCATGACCCAGTTAACCCAGTTATGTCAGAAGTTGCAAATTTTTTTGTGAAAAATCAGACCTTGGCCATGAGACCTTGAGCAGTAGGATATAAATAACTCCCACAAGTTTAGTATTCCAATAATGGAACACTAGGCATAAATGGATTAAGTTGACACATAAAATTAACCATGACATTCAATTACCTTATTAGATTGTCATAAAGATTAAGTGAGTTAATATATGACAAGCACTTAAAATAGTGTCACACACATAGTAGCAATATACGTTACTTGCTATTATTAATGTCATTACTATTATTATGTTAGTGGTTTTGTTCTCTTCATTTCTGTATCCTCATTGCCAAAAATAATGCTTGGAGCTTAGTATGTGCTCACTTAATATTTGTTGAGTGAATTAAAATGATTTAATAAATATAAACTTCATATGTAAAATAATAGAACCTAAATATTTCTACTTGCAAAATGTGTATTATGTTGTATTTTATCACTGAAAACAGAGATGATTTTGGTAGTGCCCATATTACCTTTGTGTTTTAAAAATGTATACATTTTACATGATTTTAAAGGTTAAAATATGAATGTTAGTGCATTATGTAAGCATATTTTCATATTTGAGAAATAGAAACCATTTTTTGAAAGAAACATTGGTGTTACTATTTTTAAGTAAGTCTGGGGTAAACCTATTAGTTTGCAGGTGAAATTACTTGCATCTTGAATGAGAGTTTTTATTTTTAAATTTCTTAACTTTTCACATTTTTTCCCAAAATGAAATATACCCTGAATATTCTCATTCCACACCACATCATATCCTAATTATAGCAGCACTAAAAAGTGTTTGATTGGAATCTAGTCAGACCAAAGATCAACTTTCCCTGGATACAATAAATCACAGTGCTCTTGATTACATTATACAGGTTTTTGTTTTAAGGTATTAAGCTTCTCTTCATTAAATAAACTTTCCTTTTTTCTTTATTTGAATTTCAAGTTTCACTAATTTTTTCCCTCAGATAAGAAACCAGCCAATTATAAAGCATAAGACGAATTAATCTGAAGTTACTTCTATTCTAAGTGGAAATGTACTTTACTATAGCTCTGTAATAGTCTATAGCCAAAGTACTATTAATTTTCACCAGATTTCAAGACAGTTTCGTTGCTTAGAATCATACCTTTTATATATGCAGAATGGACGTAGGTGAAGGTTGAGTAAAAAGAAAATATGATTAAAAAGTTGAAGCCATTATTTGACAACCCATTAGTGTTCTGACCTTAATGTGATAGCCCGATTATCCTAAGTTTGAAGTTTTTTCTTCCATGCTATAGCCATCAAGTTGAATAGAAACATGATTGGACCCTAATGTGTTTTTTAAAGGTAGTATATGTGAACTGTTTTGTTTTTTTAAGTTTTATGAACTAATAACTCAAGGCTATTGTAGACATTCTTGAAACAATTTTAAGTATACCCCAGAAATAAACACAGAAGTAACCAAAATATCAGTTCAATGGAGAACCATTCATTCTTTAGTTTTTTAAATTGACGAGAACCATCAAGCATGGTGGCTCATGCCTATAATCCCAGCACTTTAGGAGGCTGAGGCAGGATGATGGCTTGAGCCCAGGAGTTCAAGACCAACCGGGGTATAGTGAGACCTCGTCTCTATAAAAAATAAAACAAAGTAGCTGAGTGTGGTGGCATGTGCCTGTAGTCCCAGCTGCTCGGGAGGCTGAGGTGGGAGGATCACTTGAGCCCAGAAAGCCAAGAGTGCAGTGAGCCATGATCATGCCACTGTACTGTAGCCTGGGTGACAGCGAGACCTTGTCCCCCCGCCCATCCCCCCAAAAATTTACTAGAACCTAATGACATTGAAATTGAAAACAACCAGACAATACTGACTCTAATTTTTACTCTTGCAGTGATTTTTCTGTTCAGTAGGATGCATTTAGATGGGCATTGATCATAAATGGTTTTCCAAATTTGGCTAAGACCCGTTGAGTATTTCCACTCATATTAGCTGTTAAGTTAATAAATTTCTATTTAGAGTCAATTAAATTTTAGTAGCTTATGGCTTATCTTTTTATGTTAGAAAGGAATCACTATTTTATTAAAAGTATAAAGCTTTAATCAAGTCACAGAAAACTTGATGTTTAAGTGAGTGTAGTGTTCTAGTTAGCTGACTTTTCATTTACTGTCACCCAGAGGTATTTTTATTTGCCTAAATTCTTTTCTGCATATTCTTTCTAATATATTAGATCACATTCCTGACTTAGTAACATAGTTTATAGATTGAAACCTTTTTTTGATAAAAGGTTTACTAAGGCATCATTTATAAACAACATAGTTTAAGGTAGTGGTTCTCAACTGGGGGTGATTTTGCCTGGTAGAGGACATTTGGCAATGTCTGGAGTAATTTTTTATTGTCATAACTTGGAATGGGAGGGATGCTACTGGCATCTAGTGAGTTGAGGCCAGGGATGCTGTTAAACATCCTATATATAATGTACAAGACACTCCCCCTCCTCCGAAGAGTTACCCAGTACAAAATGTCAGTAGTGCTAGGGTTGAGAAACTGGTTTAGAATTAGTAATGATTTGTGCCATCACTGCACATACTAAAAAAATGTTTATCATAGACACTGAAGATAATTACAGAAATACTTTGACTTAAAAAATCAGAATTTTTTTGAATAAGCTTTTAGCTCTTGAGATGATTGCTTTGAGGAATATTTATCTGGGCATGTCTAGAATATTATATTTTAAACATTATTTCCTGCTGCTTCTTAGTTATTGCACAAAAGTTTGGACAGGACCCAGGTATAATAGACTCTAGGAGTGATTCAGATGTGCTTAATGATCACATCTGTTTCATGAGGTTATGTGTTGTTTCTCTGGTAGCAGTGAAAGAAAATGATTTGAAGGGAATAGGGGAGGCCTTAGTTGAACCAAGAACTATGAACTAACTCTCAGTTTGTGCTGCCCACAGTGAAGGCAGATTACTTAAGTTAAAGACAGTATATATTTTGTTATCCTTTCCTTAATTCTAGGATTCTTTCATAGTCCTAAATGTCAACCCATGCAGCGTGGACTTTTTGTTTGCCTTAGCTGATGCTACCTCCCCTTTTACCATAGCCATGAATTTACAGGCATTCTCAAAGCCACTTTCTCTCTAGATCTCAGTAGTATGTTTTGCCATAGTTTGTGGGTTTTCTCCCTCTAAGTATTTGTTCACACTTTCAGAGATTATCAGAGTGAATTCCATACTTTAAGTTAGGGTAGATGGTGTATGTTGGAAAATGCAGTGTACTTTGGCACCAAAGCCTGGGAGAAAAGCACTGCATATCTCTTCTTGAACTGTTGCTTCTAGTTGACTTAAAGTTAAGTCACGTCGTTAAAAAAGTGACTTACTTAGAATTTTACAGCATTGTGAATTAAAATTTATTCTGAAGTTATTGTCTATACTTTCATATTCACTTTTTTGTTTTTAAAGATTTTCCTTTGGCTAGAAATGAAGCTCTTGAATACATGTTTTATTGTTATTGTTTTCCCTTGTAGGTCTACTTCCCCAGCAGGACAGCATCATTCTCCTATATCTTCTAGACATCACTCATCTTCCTCACAATCAGGATCATCTATTCAAAGACATTCTCCTTCTCCTCGTCGAAAAAGAACTCCTTCACCATCTTATCAGCGGACACTAACTCCACCTTTACGACGCTCTGCCTCTCCTTATCCTTCACATTCTTTGTCGTCTCCCCAGAGAAAGCAGAGTCCTCCAAGACATCGCTCTCCAATGCGAGAGAAAGGGAGACATGATCATGAACGAACTTCACAGTCTCATGATCGACGCCATGAAAGGAGGGAAGGTGTGTACTGTACTTTGATTTTTTTAATTGAAAAATTGAACATCCAGCTTTATTGTTGTACTAAGAGATGGAGAAAGACTTTGCTATGTTAAGTCTTCTGTAACACACAGACTAGAATTTTTGAGGGCAATAGGAGATGCTTAACAACATGGGAATGTTAGCTGTTAGGTGTATACAAGTTGGTATTTACAGGTATACTAAGCTGGTGCTTTCTTTAGTTAAGATGTTCTGGCCGGGTGCAGTGGCTCACGCCTGTAATCTCAACACTTTGGGAGGCCGAGGTGGGAGGATCATGCGGTCAGGAGATTGAGACCATCCTGGCTAATATGGTGAGACCCCGTCTCTACTAAAAATACAAAAAATTAGCTGGGCATGGTGGCATGCACCTGTAGTCCTAGCTACTCGGGAAGCTGAGGCAGGAGAATTGCTTGAACCCGGGAGGCGGAGCTTGCAGTGAGCCAAGATCGCACCACCATACTCCAGCCTCGGCAACAGTGCAAGACTCCATCTCAAAAATAATAACAATAATAATAATAATAAAAGATGTTCTGCTGAGTAAGTACTCTCAAGTTCTAGAAATTTTTGGCCATCTGATTCTTAGAGCATCCTTTTCAATCACTGAGTTAATGTCTTTTGAAAACAAGGAGGTGAAGGGAAGAAAAGCAACAAATCAGAGAGCGTAGTTTGAAAGCATCAGAAGTGTTTTGATAAAGGAGTGAGGGCTGGGGGGAATTGTTAGAAGGTCATTGCAAACCGAGTCATCAAATTTCTAGGTCATAATAAAGAAGTAAGCGAAGCAGTTTTCCTTTCTAGATCCCTGAGAATTAAGTTAACTTTGGATTTGCTACTCCCTATTCAAGCTGAGATTTTATTGTTACCTGGCAATAAAGCCTGTTTAATAGCTCTCATCTCTTTCTTTACTTCTTGTCTAAGCTTCTGGTCTTCGTAGATTCAACTTAATAAGTCTGTTTTCTAACTTCTCCTGTGTTCATTTTTTAACATAGTAAGTACTCAGGAAATGCTTACTTGGAACAACATTTATATTTAATATGCACTTTAAGCGCCTCTTGGTGAGTGGAGTACGGCAGTCTCCTATGAAACATGTTGAATTTAGTATTCTCTTCCTATCAACAATGCAAGCAATAATCAGTCGGGTTCTTTTGTTCAAGAAAATGGCGGATGAGAATGATATTCAAGAAAATAGGCAGGGACTGGAGAAAGCACCTATTTGATAGAATTTTTTTTTTGTATGTATGATTTTGGAACTAGGTCAGCACAGCAGTGTTTATGAAACATTGGTAAGATGGGAAAATTCTCTTATATTGTACCTTTCTATAAATTTTAATAAGATATTTAACAACTAGAGTTGACCAGGAATATAGTACATATTTAATGACTACTTATTGAATGAAAACTCCATTAACATTATTAAACATACTAAGGAAGGGAAAATAATAAGCAATTGAGTCTCATAGGAATGCTTGTGTTAAGAAGGGACTTAAATCATAGGCGTTTTAAGTTCTTTGTAAGGAAGATGTCTGTTTAACTTTCCATACGGGAGATTTAGCAGGCAATTGTTCCTCTCTATTTAGATGTCATTTTCTGAAATAAGGATAATTTCGGTGGAAGGATAGGGAGGTAGGTAAAGAAGAAAATACAGTACCTAGACGTATTTGTAAAGACAGATGGGCGCATCATGAGAAAAAGATCTGGCACTAAGTGAACACATTTTCAGGCACAGTTGGTATTGGGGGAGGAATAGAAGTGAAAGATATTCACAGAAAGGGATGGAGATATGTCAGATCTTTGCCTCTTGCCTTTGTCCTTAAACAGGGTTTGTGGATATGGATATATGGACAAAGGAATTGGTGGGGGAGATAGGTTATTGATGAGGGTCTAAGGGCCTTGTGGTTACAAGATGTTTGGGTCCATGAGAAAGTCTGTGGGCCTAGCCATTAGGGACAAAGAGAAAAGGAGGTAAACTTATAATGTTTTGGGCATGAGGCTGCTAGAGTTGCCAAAATAGCCTTAGACTAGGGCAATTCCAGAGTATAAGAGCACCTTGCAGAAGAATCTGATAAAAAGGGCAGAATTTATCCTTTGAGGTTCTCTTGTTAATTCTTTGGCTTCATATCAGATTTGTTATAATCAATTTGTGCCCTTTCTAAATATATGTAAAGAGTGGTTTCTAATCTTTGCAAATTATGGGGTTGACTAAGCCATCTAAGTTTTGGGCCTCTATTTCTTTATTATAAAATGACATGGTTTGTTTAGATAATCACTGTGGTTCAGCTTTTAAAAAGTGCAAGTATTTATTTTTTTGTATGAAATGCTTTTTTGTTCGTTCATTTTAAAGAGAAAAAGTCTCATCTTCCTATGTTGCCCAGGCTGAACTCAAACTCCTGGATTCAAGTGATCTTCCTACCTCAGCCTCCCAAGTAGCTGGCACTGTAGGTACATGCCACGTCACCCAGCTAGAAAATGCTCTAAGTAGAGAAAGCTTTAAAGACTTGCACACATGAATGTTATACCATTAAACAGTGCAGGAAAAGAGAGTGAATAATAGTATCACTCAACCAGCTAGCTTACTAACCATAGGCTACCCTAAAGTGCTTAAGTACATTTGAGGAGGTCACAGATGGTCTAGTTTAGCCTAACTTAATAGTTGATAGAAAAGATTAAAGTAACTGAAGTGTCTTTGTATCTAAAAGTGGTTTCTGAAAAGTAAGCCGTCAATGATAGGAGATGAACTTATTTGTTTCAGTTGTTTAGGATCTGGTAAGTTGGGGTGAGTTGGGGCAGTATAGGTAAGTTGGGGCAGAGGAAATTCATGTTCGGAGTTTATCTAATGAAGAACATTCTTATCAGGTGTTAATTATCTTTGGAATTTTAGCTTCTTTATTTTTTGCAAAGAACACGAATTGTCATTATAATAAAATTTTTAAAGTTCTGTATTAAATATGTTTTCTAGTTTCCTGAAACTTTGTAAAAGCAATTACAGTCAATTTCCAAAATTGCATTACAGATACTAGGGGCAAACGAGACAGAGAAAAGGACTCAAGAGAAGAACGAGAATATGAACAGGATCAGAGCTCTTCTAGAGACCACAGAGATGACAGAGAACCTCGAGATGGTCGGGATCGGAGAGATGCCAGAGATACTAGGGACCGAAGGGAACTAAGAGACTCCAGAGACATGCGGGACTCAAGGGAGATGAGAGATTATAGCAGAGATACCAAAGAGAGCCGTGATCCCAGAGATTCTCGGTCCACTCGTGATGCCCATGACTACAGGGACCGTGAAGGTCGAGATACTCATCGAAAGGAGGATACATATCCAGAAGAATCCCGGAGTTATGGCCGAAACCATTTGAGAGAAGAAAGTTCTCGTACGGAAATAAGGAATGAGTCCAGAAATGAGTCTCGAAGTGAAATTAGAAATGACCGAATGGGCCGAAGTAGGGGGAGGGTTCCTGAGTTACCTGAAAAGGGTAAGGTTTTTGACTTGTCTATGAACTATATCTTATATAGAAAGTATAAAATCTCCTAAGATTTCTAATATGTTGTTTCTTACATTTGTTATCATTTTGTCACAGTAATTTTTAATTAATTGAACTTGTAGTCTTCCTTATAAATTCCTAATTGGAATTACTAGTTAAAATAGCAAAAGATAAATGGAGCTTGAGCTAGACCCCCCCTAAGTATATCCAGTCATGCCTATCATCTTGATTAATGTGGAACACTAAGAAAATCACTATCAGACAAAAAAGTAGAATCACGAGGAAGTTGCTTTCTGTTAAATAGGTATAAATATGATAAAATGTTCATTAAATTAAAGTAGGATTAAAGTGGTGGGTTTTCAGAATTGTTGGCATCAGAAATGACTGATTTGTGTATTCTTCAGTATTTGTACTTGCTTCAGACCCTGTCAAACTGCCACACGTCATTATCTTGAGCCATTTTTCTTTTCATAAAAAGTATTTGCCATCACCCAAATGACTTAAATATATTGTAACTATTTCCAAACTGCTGAGACTTAATTATCATGACCTCTCTTTACCTCCACCTGCTTTTCTCCCCTCTCCCCAAACACTGCTGCAGAACTTTGATCACTTTTATTCTTTCCATTGGTCTGTTAGTCAATCCTTGGTCAGTATTACAGCTTCATATTTGTGTTGAGGGTCCTTTAGCTTCTTTGAGCTGCCTTGTCTTTTCTTGACCTTTTACTTTTTCATATCAATTTTAGAAAACAGTTTTTAATTTCATAAAAAAACTGTTGGATTTTTATTTCAATGCATCAACTTAATCAATTTATAATATTTCTCATTAATATTTTTTACATTTTTTCCTGTGTATCCTCTATTTTTTATTGCCATTTTAAATAGTACTTTTACATTTTGTAAGATGTAAATTATGTATTTACATGGTTCAAAATTTTGAATGTATAAAAGGATATATAGTGAAAAGCCTCCGTTGTACCCTGACCACTCTTTTGCCAGCTTTGTATGTATTCTTCCCAAAAAACATTTTACACAAGCAAATATATATCCATTTGTTTTCCCCTCTGGTTTTACAAAACTAATTTTTAAAAACACTGGAAAAAACTATGTACTGTTTTATATCCTACTATTTTCAACTAGTAAAAATATCTTTCATGTCTTTCTTTGTGGTAAACAGCTATTTTCTTCTTTTGGTACTTGTTCTCTATTGTAGAATATACCATAAAGTCAGCAAGTGCTGCATTACTGGGTATTTTGGTTTTCCAATCTTTATCTCTTTCAAACAGTGCTTTAGTGAATAACTGTGTACATATGTCACTAAATGGTGTCTTTTAAAACATTGCATTTTCTAATGCTTTGTTGGTACCTGGAAATGGTAATTGGCATTTGTGTATTAATCTTACATTTAAATGATGTTGCTGTATTTTCTTGATCTAATTAGATTCTCTTAACAGATGTTCCTAGGAACACACTGATTTGGCTCTTCTTTTCTGATTATTAATTTTCTGTCAGTAACCTTCTGAGCATCTTTATCAATACAGTGTTAAATATAAGTAGAAGGGGCCGGGCGCGGTGGCTCACGCCTGTAATCCCAGCACTTTGGGAGGCCGAGGCGGGCGGATCACGAGGTCAGGAGATCGAGACCATCCTGGCTAACACAGTGAAACCCCGTCTCTACTAAAAATACAAAAAAATTAGCCGGGCGTGGTGGTGGGCGCCTGTAATCCCAGCTACTCGGGAGGCTGAGGCAGGAGAATGGCATGAACCCAAGAGGCGGAGCTTGCAGTGAGCCGGGATAGCGCCACTGCAGTCCAGCTTGGGCGAAAGAGTGAGACTCCGTCTCAAAAAAAAAAAAAAAAAAAAAAAAAAAAAAATATATATATATAAGTAGAAGGGGCTTTGCTTTGTTTCAGATTTTAAAGGATTGTTGCTGGCATTTTATTACTAAGTATGGTGTTTGTAGATTTTTTGCAGATACTTTTTATTGTGTTAAGGATTAAGTTCTCTCCCCCCATTTTAGTTGTCAGAAAATACTCTGTTGAAAGTCAGTTCTTTGGGATATGTATTTGTTAACTCTTATTTTGTGGCTCAGTGGTCTGTTTTTATAAGTGTTCTGCATATGCTTTCAAAGGAGTTGCATTTGTAATGGTTGAATGCAAAATGTTTCTCTAAGATAAAGTTTGTTTTAACTACACTTTCAAATCTACATGTAATTTTTCTTAGTCTGTTTGTTCTGTCATTACAGAGAGGTGAGTTCAGTCTTCCACTGTGATTGTGGAATTTGTAGATTTGTTGATTTCTACTTATAGTTTGATCATTTTTTTATTTGAATATTTGAAGCTTTGCTATTAGGTACACGTAAATTGAGTTATTTCTTTCTTTATTCATTATAGAATGACTGTTTATGCCAGGTTCAGGTTGAGCATCCCTAATCTGAAATGCTCCAAAATCTAAAACTTTTTAATGTAATTTTTTTTGTTTTTGTTTTTTGTTTTTTCTATAGCCACTAGCAACTGATAAAATCCAGACTTTTTGAGAGCTGACATAACATTCAGAGGAAATGCTTATTGGAGCATTTTGGATTTCCAATTTTTCAGATTAGGGATGCTGAACCAATATAATGCAAATATTCCAAAATCCAAAACACCTGTGGTCCCAAGCATTTCAGATAAAGGGCATTCAGCCTGTATTTTTCTTGAAGATTGTTTTGCTGGCAGCTGTCTTTTGGTTAGTATTTGTTTGATATATCTTTTTCCATCCTTTCAGGCTTAATTTTTTTTTAAATGTAACTCTAAACAACATATAGTTTTAGACAGATTAAATCTCCTCATTGTATCTTCTTTCATTCTTAACTTTCAAATTTTTCATCTCTTTATCTGTTTCGCCTCTAGGTCATATTCTCAGGCTTACCTTCTAGTTTACCAATTTTTTCTTAGCTGCATCTAATCTGATGGTTAATCCATTCTTTCCTAGATGTTATATGTAGCCTTTTTGTAGTCTGTAAAAATGTTTTAAATTTTTTCTTCCTGGTCTTTAATTATTAAAATATTTTTCACAGCTATTTTGATTATTAAAATACCCGTAGAATCATGCTGTAATTCTTTTAGGTCTCAAAAGCCTGTTACATTTGTATTCTTTGTGTTTTTGTTTGTTTTTTAAATCTTGGGGAAGTGCCTTTTGATTCTGTCTTTGGGTGGGTTAGTTTGTCATATGTTCTTTTTTTTCTTTTTTATTTATTTGTTTATTTATTTATTTATTATTTTATTATTATTATACTTTAAGTTTTAGGGTACATGTGCACAATGTGCAGGTTAGTTACATATGTATACATGTGTCATGCTGGTGTGCTGCACCCATTAACTCGTCATTTAGCATTAGGTATATCTCCTAATGCTATCCCTCCCCCCTCCCTCCACCCCACAACAGTCCCCAGAGTGTGATGTTCCCCTTCCTGTGTCCATGTGTTCTCATTGTTCAATTCCCACCTATGAGTGAGAATATGCAGTGTTTGATTTTTTGTTCTTGCGATAGTTTACTGAGAATGATGCATCACTGGCCATCAGAGAAATGCAAATCAAAACCACAATGAGATGCCATCTCACACCAGTCAGAATGGCAATCATTAAAAAGTCAGGAAACAACAGGTGCTGGAGAGGATGTGGAGAAATAGGAACACTTTTACACTGTTGGTGGGACTGTAAACTAGTTCAACCCTTGTGGAAGTCAGTGTGGCAATTCCTCAGGGATCTAGAACTAGAAATACCATTTGACCCAGCCATCCCATTACTGGGTATATACCCAAAGGACTATAAATCATGCTGCTATAAAGACACATGCACACGTATGTTTATTGCGGCACTATTCACAATAGCAAAGACTTGGAACCAACCCAAATGTCCAACAGTGATAGACTGGATTAAGAAAATGTGGTACATATACACCATGGAATACTATGCAGCCATAAAAAATGATGAGTTCATGTCCTTTGTAGGGACATGGATGAAATTGGAAATCATCATATGTTCTTTTAAGTTTGGAGTGAACTCATCTTTGTCAAAGATTTATCCATGGTAATTCTATGAGGTTGAGGGCAGGGCCCTCAGAGTTTCTGTCTTTGTTTTTGCCAGATATTCCTAAATTATCACAGCCCCAGTACTGTTTCTCTACTCCTAACCCTCACTGCTCAAAAAAAGCTTTTTTTTAAATTTCATTTTGTTTTGAAGTAATTAGGAATTCACAGGAGATTGCAAATAAATGTACAGGGAAACTTTGTTTATCCTTACCCCAACTTCTCCAGTGTTAACATCTAACATCTTATCTATAGCATAGTATCAAAACCAAACAATTGACATTGGTACAATCCATAGAGTTTATTCACATTTCACCAGTATACATGCACTTGGGTGTATGTCTGTATGTAGCTTTTTGTAGTTTTATCATATGTGTAGCCCATTTCCATAGTCAAGATACTCATCTATAACATCCTAAGATTCCTTTTTATTACCCCTTTATAGCCACAACCCTCCCCTGGCCCCTGGCCCCAACCCCTGGCAACCTCTTATGTGTCCCTTGTTTTGTAATTGTCTCGTAAATGGAATAATGCTATATGTATCCTGTTGAGATTGGCTTTTTCACTCAGCATAATTTTTTCTTGGGGTTCATCCAAGTTGTTGCATATATCGGTCATTCATTTTTATTGCCGAATAGTATTCCATGGCATGCATGTGCCACAGTTTGTTTAACTGTTCATCCATTGAAAGACATTAGTGTACTTTGCAGGTTTTGGCTGTTATCAACAAAGCCACTGTGAACATTTGTTTCCCACATCTGTTAATGAAAATTTTCACATACAGTTTAATGTTGTCATTAACCTTGGTGTTCTATGTTGGAATGTTTTCACTGTAAACTGTATTTAAGCAATAATACGTACCCATTTTTTTCTTTCATTATTTTTATATATCTGTGAATTAAATATGAAGAAATAGTTTTTATTTTTTGTTTTTTTTGGGGGGACAGGTTAATTTTAATGAATCTTATTATTTTATGATTTTATCATATGACTTTTATATAGGTAGGGAAAACTGGGACTTCGTCTACTCAGGTCAGTCATTGGACACCTTGGTTGTTCTGATTCATTGCTTGATACTCTTTTCAGGAGTGATTACCACACTTTGGAATATTAAATATATATATTAGTGATGTTTAGGAGGAAAGATTATGACTGATGAAATTTGTTGAATAAAGTGTATGTGGTAAACATTTGTGTGTCTATCCTTTGTTTAGGAAGTCGAGGCTCAAGAGGTTCTCAAATTGATAGTCACAGTAGTAATAGCAACTATCATGACAGCTGGGAAACTCGAAGTAGCTATCCTGAAAGAGATAGATATCCTGAAAGAGACAACAGAGATCAAGCAAGGGATTCTTCCTTTGAGAGAAGACATGGAGAGCGAGACCGTCGTGACAACAGAGAGAGAGGTTTGTCAAACAGAATTTTATTAAATAGTGAACAATATCAATTGGGCGAATTGTTTTTTCAAACAGTTACCAATTTACTTTTTAATATAAAATATACTTTAAGGCTTGTGCTCGATGACACATTTGAAACTATTATATATACTCATATAATCTTTGTTCACATGGTTTAGGAGGGATTATGTCAATAGCTAGTGACCAGTACCTACTGGCAACAAAGTGCAAAAACTTGGGTGCCCTACTGTGTGTTTCTCATCTTACCCAAATAGCTTACAAACCTTTAAAGAATGTAGATGGTTGGGTTCTATTCCAGGCAATTCTGATTCAAGAAATACCTAAACCTTTACATCTGAGTATCCTGTCTACTCACTCATTTGCTATGATCAATAGAATTTTATAAGGACTTCCAGAAAGGAACAGTAAAAAAAAACTGAATGATAGGGCTGGGGATTGTTTAGAGAAATATTTTATTTGTATTCTGTCCTGAGAAGATATGGTATTTGCTTTAGCTAATTTTACGTTCTTATATGTCTTAAGCTAAAACTTTTTCTGTTCATCTATCAGGTGATCTCTTAAATGAATTTTGAAGCAAGATTACTAGGAAGCACTTAAGAAGGGTTGTAAATACTTTCTTTGGCAAGCTTTTATTTCTGTACTTATTAGGGCCTTTAAACATTAAAAATTTTATGAAGGTCTTACTAACCTTGGCTGAAGTAAGGTTCACTATAATGCTGAGATTAATATAGCATGAAACTTGATGGCCCAGAGAATTGAATATTGATACTTTACTATGGGCTGAATCAAAGAGGTAATATTATATCTTGATTGGTTAGTAGTGGGAGAAGAATAAAGTTTCTAAGGCATCATCTACTTTTGGGAGCATAGATAGGATCAGAAGTAGGAGAATTGATTAGGTTGAGTTTATAAGGTAAGCCTAATGCATTTTGGTTAAAAGATGTGTAGAATTTCCTTAGTTACAGATAGGGCTGGAGTTTCTATGTTCTGTGTTGATATCTGAAATTTTTTCTTCCCTGGGACTTTTAGAACTGGTGATGCTTTTTTTTAAATTTCTTTTTTCCTTTTTTTCTATTTTCATATCCTTGCTCAGATTTTTCTCATCTCATGCCTGAATTCAATAGTAACATTTGGTTTCAATCTTATGGTTAGTTCAACCACATGTATTGATCTTCTACTAGGTGCCAAGAACTTTGATAGTTGCTTTACATATATTCTGACTTAGTCTTTACAATATCCTTGTAAGTGTAGGTATGATAAAATAATTCATGTTTTCACAGTTTTGGGGATTAGATCTAAGAGTAGTAAGATTACAATATTATAGAGAAGTAGGTTCCAGAGCTGGAATTCAAACTCAGGTCTTCTGACCAGAAGTTCAGTTCTCTATTTTAATTTTACTGTAACTACTTCAATAATTATGAGATGTATGATTGAAATAAAAATATATTTTGGAGGCTAATGAATATTTTACAAATATTTGTTGAGTACCCATGTCAGGCACTTTGCTAGGCACTTGAGGTACAATAATTTCTTGTCCTTGTAGAATTTAATGGGGAGAGGGAAGAACTCCCCACCCAAAAAAACAAAGTGTGATAAAATGCTACTACTGTATATAAAAGTTCTGTGAGAAGACAAAGGAGCAAACACAATTCTGAGCAATTCCAAGAAAGCTGCCTAAAGAAGTGACATCTGAATTAGGGCCTGAAGAATAAAAGGAAACTATAGAAGGAGCACTTTACAGGGAGAGGGTGCAGCATGTACAGACACCAGAACTGAAAGAAACATGTGCTTTGGAGTAGTAAGGAATTATGAGATTGGAGTCAGAGTATGCTATAATTGGCAAGGTAGAAAAGAAACCAGGGAAAAGGACTGATGAAAGACTATAGGCCAGGTAGTAAATGACCTAAGTTTAGCCTAGTCAGGCTAAAAAATTTGATTTTAATTGCCTTTCACTGCCTACAAGATAACTACTTTTAAACAGTTGGAAGAAATAATTTTCATCAAAAACATATTAAGGGTGTTGGGAAAGATTGAAAACAAGGATACCAATTAGTTAGACTGTTGATGACATAGGCATCTAAGAAGACCTGATCAAGGTCTGAGTTAATAACTATAGCTATGGGGACAGGAAAAGGAACAAAGAAATATTTTAGAAGTGAAGTTGATTGTACTTGGATATGATGAGGCTTAGACAACCCAGAGATTGTCAGCTTTAATGAATTGGTATGTCATTTATTAAAATAAGGAAATATGTAAGTAGAAGCACATCTTTGAATAACACATTTTGGGGGAAAGATAGGGGAAGATAATTTAGACATTTTAAAGTGATGTTCTTATATTCTTTCCATTTTCCTTTGAAGAAAGTAGCATTGATATTTTGGTTGGGAAAATACATCTCCCATAAAAGCATGTCTGAATAGTCTATTTGCTGATATTGCTGTAATTAGAAATTTAAAGTATGATTTGCTATAAGTTAATGGTATTGAATTTGTTTCAGGTTATCTTGTAATGATTATGATGTTGGTATGACTCCTCCAAACCAGGAATTCAGACAATACAAAAGATGGGTAGATAGCATTCTAGGAATCCAAAGTATGGTACAGAAGAACCACTTTAAGTTGGTTTCAGCAAAAGTGAAAGGGTTTAAGAAAACTGACTTCTAATGCATCTACCATCTCTGTGACATTGGGAAGACAACTCTGGACCATAATTTCTGTTTTTAAATAGAAAGGGGGAGAAGCAACTGTGTAGGATTTCATTTTGATTCAGCTTTAAAATGCTATGATCATTTGTATCTGGGTCTATAACCTCTAAAATAGTAAAGATAAGATAATTCTTGTCTTTTCAATCAGTGATTAGGAAGGGAAATCCAGAATACTGTATTGAACCCTTCCTAGAAACATCCTAAAATTGTTCTGCTTAATGAGTTGATGTTAGATGTTCCACTTACCAACCTGTTGGCCTGATTATAATATGATCTTTATCAAAAACCAGTAGATATATAGTATGTAAATGGAAACATCACAGTATCCTAGATCAGACCGCAGTAGTTGCTTTCAAAAATGGCTGTCTCTTTGAAAAAGTTCATGCCATCCTCTTAAACGTTTTTTTATCCCAGACTAATTTTCTGCTCAACTGGGTATTTGGGCAGCATGCATTCATTTACTCTGTGTTTATGTGATTTGTGTGTACATGGAAAAAATTTATATAAAATGTGATGAGGTTATCAGTTAACATTTTAAGAAAACAGCTCTTCATCTGAGTAATCATTTATGTAATTAAAGCTAATTTATTAGTAATTGGTTATTAATTACAAATATATATCACTAATATGAAACACTTTTTACATTTATTTCAAGATTGCTAGACATCAGTACCCTTAATATTACAGTTCATGTTATATTGCAGCAACAAATTCTGACATATGTTTTGTTCTACTATATTTTCCTCACATAATAGCTGCACTTTGATGTGTATATATTTTGGCCTGAAATTAGAGGTGTGACTTACGAGGGAAATTTTTTTTTTCCTTCAGCTCCTATGTTCTACACCTCCTGCTGCCCCTATCCTTTGCCACCAGTGTTCTCAGGTCCTGCTGGGGGGACAGAGAAGATCAGAGGTGAAGGGTAGAGATGGCAGAAAGTGGGGTTGGAGCAGTGGGCTGGAGGTAGGGTAGGGAGCATGCAGAGAAAGATCAAAGATTGATCAGTGGGAGGGGGGAAGGGGGTTGACGGGGAGCAGGAAACATGGTCGTTAGAGGGCAAATAAAAATTATCTTTAAAAAATTTAAGGTCTAGGGGCGATTGTTACTTGGATATTAAGTTAAAATTAAATATGCTACTTGGTTTGTAATTTGTTGCCAGTGTGACCCTATCACAGATAAAATTTAAGATTTACCATGCTGTCTTACCAATAGGTTATCTGTCAAATTAATCACTGACAAAACTTGATTTTCATTGTAGATCAAAGACCAAGCTCACCAATTCGACATCAGGGAAGGAATGACGAGCTTGAGCGTGATGAAAGAAGAGAGGAACGAAGAGTAGACAGAGTGGATGATAGGAGAGATGAAAGGGCTAGAGAGAGAGATCGGGAACGAGAACGAGACAGGGAGCGGGAGAGAGAGAGGGAACGTGAACGGGATCGGGAAAGAGAAAAAGAGAGAGAACTAGAAAGAGAGCGTGCTAGGGAACGGGAGAGAGAAAGAGAAAAAGAGAGAGATCGTGAAAGGGATAGAGACCGAGACCACGATCGAGAGCGGGAAAGAGAGAGGGAACGAGACAGGGAAAAAGAACGGGAACGAGAAAGAGAAGAGAGAGAGAGGGAGAGAGAGCGAGAACGGGAGAGAGAGCGAGAGCGAGAACGGGAACGAGAAAGAGCGAGAGAAAGGGATAAAGAACGAGAACGCCAAAGGGATTGGGAAGACAAAGACAAAGGACGAGATGACCGCAGAGAAAAGCGAGAAGAGATCCGAGAAGATAGGAATCCAAGAGATGGACATGATGAAAGAAAATCAAAGTAAGAATAATTATCAGTTATTAATAACATTTTACATTTCAGGAAAGAATTCAAAGTTTCATTTAATGCTTTTCAATATACTCTTAATTTCCTGTTAATTTTTTTTCTCTGTATATTTTCCTGTTTTTCAAATTTAGTATATGTATCGGTGTTTAAAGTTTTTTTACCCAGCACTTTGGGAGGCCGAGGCAGGCAGATTCCTTCAGGCCAGGAGTTTGAGACCAGCCTGGGCAACATGGCAAAACTCCATCTCTACAGAAAATACAAAAATTAGCCGGACGTGGTGGCACGTGCCTGTATCCCAGCTACTTGGGAGGCTGAGATGGGAGGATTGTTTGAACCTGAGAGGCAGAGGTTGCAGTGAGCCAAGATTATGTCATTGCACTCCAGCCTGGGTCGAGACCTTGTCTCAGGAAAAAAAAAAAAAGTTTTTTCAGTTGTCTAGAAAAAATAATTTTTAAATTAAGACAGGAATCAGTGAACTTGTATCCCATCACATCCCCTAGACTAGTCACCAAGGGATATCACCTGTGCCATTCTGATGATCCTTCATGACTTTTATGTGCTTGTAATTATGGAGTCACTACCCCCAGGCTACAGGAAGCATTCACAATGTCTTGGAACTGAGGGAATCCTTGTAATCACTGCATGGTTCGAAGATGAGAGAAAAGGAAGTGTCTTCTCTTGTGCTGTGGAGTAGTTCTTTGGGGTCAAAAAATGTGTTCTTGGCATCTGATATACCTAAGGGCATTCTCCCACCTCACCCCCTTTTAACCAGAAAAGAACTTATTGCTCAAATATCTAGGAAGTTGGAGATTAGCTTTTGCTTGTTCTGATGTGGCTATATCCAGATTCTCAAACAAAGCATTAGCAGTTTCCATCTCTCCAGTTTCCCTCTGTATTAATTTCAGTCTCAGAAAGGTTTTCTCCATATGATGGCTAAGATGGCCCCAGAGTTGTCCCTGTCAGCTTAGCAGTCCTCTCTGAGTTGGGGCTCTCATTAGTTGGTGAGGAGACAGTTATTGACTAAGCTGATCACAGTGTTCATGAGAATTCTAGACTCAGATTGGTCAATTTTGAAGTTCTGTGGGCACAAAACCAAACTTACTAGAGTTAACTACTTTTTTGCCTCCAACTGGGATAAACACTGTGGTTTACCTTGCCAAAACATACTGAGAAAATAATTTATGTATCTTCAATTTTCTTGCTCTTACCTCCAACTCATTTGCCACAGGGCGAATACAGGGTCCCTGCTTTAGGCTTTTTTCATCCTCACTATTGTGGATTATGGTTAGGGCCAAACAACACAGCACAGAAGTAGAACTTTCTTCCCTTAGGTCTTGGCTGTTCTTTAATCTACAGCCATGGTTTTCTGTAGTACACTCCTTGGATTACTTTCCTGCTTCCCTCTCCTTACATTTTGAAAAATCTTACCTGAACATAAACTTCAGAGATACCTTTTTTAACACATGGAGGCACAGGTACATATTCCCACCCTCCCCACCCGCTACTTTTCTGACCTCTTTATTTTCTAAGATTAAAATTCTGAAATCTTTGTTATTTATCTTTTATTCAGTCCTCTGCTTTCATTAGTACAGATTGAGCATCCCAAATCCAAAAATTCAGAATTTGAAATGCTCCAAAATCTAATGTTTTTTAAACACTGACATGGCACTCAGAGGAAATGCTCATTGGAACATTTCAGATTTTCACATGAAGGATGCACAACCAGTAAGTACAATGCAAATATTCAAAACCTAAAGCATTTCATGGATAAGGGATACGCAACCTGTATTTTTTTCATGCTTCTGATATCTGCTTATAATAGCAAAAGTTTTTCTGGTTTTTCATGGTTAGACAATCTAAGAGTTGACAATGACCCCAGAAATTTAGAAGTTGAATAACTCTATAACAGAAACTAATTACATGAGATTAATATCTTAATCTTTCATTAACTGTATTGTCATCTCAGTAGTTCAATTTATCCAGCACTTTTTTTAACTGCTCTTATGTAGAACGTTTGCCTAATTGCTGTATTTATTTTACTCTAATTGTGTTTATTTAGGTATTTCCTTGAAATAACTTTTTCTCATGTTTTAAATTTTCACTTTATTCCAGTCTGTCAGTTATCTCTTGATATATAACACATCACCACATAAGTTAGTAGCTTAAAACAACAACCATTTATTTGCTCATGATTCTGTGGATTGGCAGTTTTGCCTGGGCTCAATAGAGTGGTTGTTCTGTTGGTCTCACTTGGAGTAACTCCTGTATCAACATTACATCTGACAATGCAGCTGGGCCTGGAGGCCCAGGATTGTCTCATTCATGTGTCTGGCAATTAGGGCATCTTGTTTCTCCTCCACTTGACCCCCTGGCCTTCAGTAGTCTAAACTCTGCTTTGCATGTAATGGTAGAAACAACAAGAGGGCAGAAGCTGAAGCAGCAAGGCCTCCTGAATCCTCTTCACATTTGCACAGTGTCACTTTCACCACATTCTCTTGTCATAGCAAGTCATTAGATATGAAAAATGGGGAAATAGGCCAGTTATTGATGGGAGAGGAGCTTTGGATAAAGTAGTACACAAGCTTGGGCCTGTGAGTTGTCATATTACACCTGGGGCCTTCTCCACATGGTTGTTCATCTATATAAAGGAGCTGTCTATGATATACATGTGCTGGTATGTTTTTGTTTTATTTTTATTTCAATAGCTTTTAGGGTACAAGAGGTTTTTGGTTACCTGGATGAATTCAGAGATTTTAGTGCACCTGTCACCTGAGTAGTCCACATTGTACCAAACATGTACGTTTTTATCCCTCACTCCCCTTCCACCCTCCCCCTTCTGAGTCTCCAAAGCCCATTATATCACTCTGTATGCCTTTGCATACTCATAGCTTAGCTCTCACTTACAGGTGAGAACAAGTTGCTGCAAAAGACATTATTTTTTTCCTTTTTATGGCTGAGTAGTAGTCCATGGTTTCATGGTGTATATATACCACATTTTCTTTATCCACCCATTGGCCAATGGGCACTTAGGTTGGTTCTATATCTTTACAGTTGTGAATTTTGCTGCTATAAACATATATGTGCATGTTTTTTTTTTTCATATAATGACTTCTTTTCCTTTGGGTAGATACCCAGTAGTGGGATTGCTGGATCAAATATCTCCTTTTAGTTCTTTAGGGACTCTCCATACTGTTTTTCATAGAGGTTGTACTTATTTACATACCCACCAGCAGTGAATAAGCATTCCCTTTTCACCATGTCTATGCTAACATCTCCTGTTTTTTTTACTTTTTAATGGCCATTTTTGTAGGAGTAAGGTGGCATCTCATTGTGGTTTTTAATTTGTATTTCCCTGATGATTAGTGATTTTGAGCATTTTTTCATACGTTTGTTGGCTGTTTGTATGTCTTCTTTTGAGAAATGTCTATTCGTGTCCTTTATCCACTTTTTGATGGGATTATTTATGTTTTTCTTGCTGATTTATTTGAGTTTCTTATAGATTCTGGATACTAGTCCTTTGTTGGATACATAGTTTGCAAACATTTTCTCCCATTCTATGGGTTGTCTTTGTTATTTATTTTGCTGTGCAGAAGCTTTTTAGTTTAATTAGGTTCCATTTATTTATTTTTGGTTTCGTTGCGTTTGCTTTTAGAATCTTGGCCATGAAGTCTTTGCCTAGGCCAGTGTCCAAAAGAGTTTTCCCAGTGTTAATTTCTAGAATTTTAATGGTTTCAGGTTTTAGATTTAAGTCTTTGATCCTTCTTGAGCTGATTTTTGTTTGAGCTGAGAGGGATCCGGTTTCATTCTTTTACATGTGACTTGCCAATTTTCCCACCACCATTTAGTAAATAGAGTGTCCTTTCCCCAGTTATGTTTTGTATGCTTTTGCTGAAGATCATTTGGCTTTATTTCTGGGTTTTCTATTCTGTTCCATTGGTCCATGTATACAATATGTTTCTTAACTTTTGACCATAGTATTTATAAACAAACAATGTTAGTGAAAAAACAGGTAGTCAAATTTTAATGAAAATGGGGGAAAACACTAGAATAATTTAAGTACCCAAGAGATATAAAACGCTACTCATTTAAAGCTCAACTAAGGAACAAAAAATATAATGAACGTATGAATTATTTTATTAATTTGTCAGCAAGAAAGTGATTTCCATGAAGGGGAAAGGAACTAATTTTATGGTGTACCCACAACATATTTGGCACTGGGTTTATGACATAACTAATTTATTCCTTACTGCAATTTTATGAAATGGACTCTCATTTCCCACCCATTCAGCCCCACCCACCATTTTCAGATGAGAAACTAAGGTTCAGTGACTTCAAGGAACTTACTTAAGGCTGCGTAATAACTAATGTAGTTATAAGTTGAACTCATAGCTTTTTTACTTCAAAGCCAATATTAGGTTTTCTCATTCAGCTCTGCAGCATAAGGCATTTTTATATCATAAGAATGCAAAATTGCTGAATGTTTATATCAGAGGGTACATTAATATATTGGTTTCTGTGCTGCATGTTACCACCTTACAGTATTTAAATCTGGCAATTTTCACTTGAGTTATTCTACATGTATAATGAAGAAGAAGAAGAAATGTTGTGTATTTTAAGTTCACAATTCTTAGCAAATGAAGTAAAGAATTTGTATTAAAGACACTGAATATCCTTTGTATGATACACTCTGGCAATATTGCTTTCCTACAATTATATGTTCCAGTTATAGTAAAGAGATACTAGTAAAAACAAAAAAATCTCTTTTTTTGCCCCCTAGAATTTTATAAATTGTGTTTGCTTGTCCAATTTAGGAAGCGCTATAGAAATGAAGGGAGTCCCAGCCCTAGACAGTCCCCGAAGCGCCGGCGTGAACATTCTCCGGACAGTGATGCCTACAACAGTGGAGATGATAAAAGTAAGCAGACTCTGTTTTCTGTCTCTCTATATTCATATTCATTTGTAACCATGAAACCATCCTTTCATACTAGTAGGAACTGATGAATTAAGATTTTTAAAAAGTTGTCTTGCTTTGCTGCCTCTAAATATCTCCTTTTGTGACTAAAGTATGTGTTAGAGTACTGTCATTTTCTACTATTTATAGTAAAGCCATATTTTTATTTTTACTAAAATTATTGTCATTTTAAAAGTTTTTAAATGATCTTGATCTCTTGATCTCATGATCCACCTGCCTCGGCCTCCCAAAGTCCTGGGATTACAGGTGTGAGGAGAAATTATTATAATCTATATGTACCATGCAGTGGTTACTAACCTGGTGAGAGTGTGATTGCTTTTATCTTTTATATAGATGAAAAACACAGACTCTTGAGCCAAGTTGTACGACCTCAAGAATCTCGTTCTCTTAGTCCCTCGCACCTCACAGAAGACAGACAGGGTAGATGGAAAGAGGAGGATCGTAAACCAGAAAGGAAAGAGAGTTCAAGGCGCTACGAAGAACAGGAACTCAAGGAGAAAGTTTCTTCTGTAGATAAACAGAGAGAACAGACAGAAATCCTGGAAAGCTCAAGAATGCGTGCACAGGACATTATAGGACACCACCAGTCTGAAGATCGAGAGACATCTGATCGAGCTCATGATGAAAACAAGAAGAAAGCAAAAATTCAAAAGAAACCAATTAAGAAAAAGAAAGAGGATGATGTTGGAATAGAGAGGGGTAACATAGAGACAACATCTGAAGATGGTCAAGTATTTTCACCAAAAAAAGGACAGAAAAAGAAAAGCATTGAAAAAAAACGTAAAAAATCCAAAGGTGATTCTGATATTTCTGATGAAGAAGCAGCCCAGCAAAGTAAGAAGAAAAGAGGCCCACGGACTCCCCCTATAACAACTAAAGAGGAATTGGTTGAAATGTGCAATGGTAAGAATGGTATTCTAGAGGACTCCCAGAAAAAAGAAGATACAGCATTCAGTGACTGGTCTGATGAGGATGTCCCTGACCGTACAGAGGTGACAGAAGCAGAGCATACTGCCACCGCCACGACTCCTGGTAGTACCCCTTCTCCTCTATCTTCTCTTCTTCCTCCTCCACCGCCTGTGGCTACTGCCACTGCTACAACTGTGCCTGCAACTCTTGCTGCCACTACTGCTGCTGCCGCCACCTCTTTCAGCACATCTGCCATCACTATTTCCACCTCTGCCACCCCCACCAATACCACCAATAATACTTTTGCCAATGAAGACTCACACAGAAAATGCCACAGAACACGAGTAGAAAAAGTAGAGACGCCTCACGTGACTATAGAAGATGCACAGCATCGCAAGCCTATGGATCAAAAGAGGAGCAGCAGCCTCGGGAGCAATCGGAGTAACCGTAGTCATACGTCTGGTCGTCTTCGCTCCCCATCCAATGATTCAGCCCATCGAAGTGGAGATGACCAAAGTGGTCGAAAGAGAGTACTGCACAGTGGCTCAAGAGATAGAGAAAAAACAAAAAGCCTGGAAATCACAGGAGAGAGAAAATCTAGGATTGATCAGTTAAAGCGTGGAGAACCCAGTCGAAGTACTTCTTCAGGTAATAAAATTGAATTGTGATCTAGTCACTGTTTCCTAGGTTAGTATATTTTATACACATTTTAATTCTAAAGTAATGCTAAATTGGTTACTTTACATGCTGCCTTAAATTTTATGCAACTTTTTAAAGAAAAGTTTAGCTGCCCTATCAAAATGTTACCTGTTATCACATTAATACCAACATTATAATAGAAATACATACAGTAGTGTTAATCAGTTTAATATCAGGATTTTAGTAGTATGTCTTGGTGGAAGGGTTTATGTGTTCAAGTCCCTTATTGATGCCTATGATTTTAACCTTCCTGCTATTCTTCATGCAGTCAAGGCTGCCTCTTTTGACCACAGAAAATAAGATAGGGGAGTAGGAGGAGATCAAATAATGGAGTGATTAGTTCTATTAATGCCTAATCATTTTATGTACTTCTTGGAAGATATTTTATGGTTATAGTGGAAATAGACAAGGAAACTTTTTTTTTTATTTATTAGAACTTTGAGAGAGGAATTTTTCTTAAAATGATTTATATATTTGGATATTTATAGAGAGAAATGTATATGTAGAATATAGAAATATATAGAACATATAGAGACAATATGGAACATAGAAAGTTACATAGAATATGGAAAAAGGTAAATTATGTTTTAAAGGACCTTGAAATGAAGCATTTTGTTTCTATTTTATCATGTGCTAATAACTCTTTATATATGGTATATTTATTTTAGATCGCCAGGATTCAAGAAGCCATAGTTCAAGAAGAAGTTCTCCAGAGTCAGATCGACAGGTCCATTCAAGATCTGGGTCATTTGATAGCAGAGACAGGCTTCAAGAACGAGATCGATATGAACACGACAGAGAGCGCGAGAGAGAGAGGAGAGATACGAGGCAGAGAGAATGGGACCGAGATGCTGATAAAGATTGGCCACGCAACAGGGATCGAGATAGATTGCGAGAACGAGAACGAGAGAGAGAACGAGACAAAAGGAGAGACTTGGATAGGGAAAGAGAGAGACTAATTTCTGATTCTGTTGAAAGGGACAGGGACAGAGACAGAGACAGAACTTTTGAGAGTTCTCAAATAGAGTCTGTGAAACGCTGTGAAGCAAAACTGGAAGGTGAACATGAAAGGGATCTAGAAAGCACTTCCCGAGACTCTCTAGCCTTGGATAAAGAGAGAATGGATAAAGATCTGGGATCTGTGCAGGGATTTGAAGAAACAAATAAATCCGAGAGAACTGAGAGTCTGGAAGGTGAGTGCTACCTCTGTTGTCTGTGATACTGCTTTATTTCTTTTCAGATTTCGTGGGAAACAACTATTTTCTTTTGAAAGGGCACCCACTAATGGGCAAATTGACTCCATTCTCCATTCTTCTATAGAGGAAGTAGATTTCAGAAGGAAAAGGCCTGTAAGATAGAGATATATATATTTTTTTAATGTGGTCCCCTTAGCAGTACCATTAAGGCAGATTTGGTTCACATAAACCTAAATGAAATAAAAGATTGTTTAGATGCAGTGTGTATAGATGTTGAAGAATAACCATCACATCCTTTTCTTAGATGTTAAAAAAATAAGATTACAAAAATTGAAATGACTTCTTAGTTCAGAGAGGGATTCAAATAATTATTAGTGAATCCCTATTTTCTAGGGCAGTTGAGAACAAATATATGAAACAATAACACTACCTAAAACTGTATTTAATGTAGGATTGACTAGAATCCCACTGGTACTCCCTAGTCCTAGAATAGGAATGCTAAGTCCGCATCAACTCAGAGCCAGCCTCAGCTATGTGAAACCTCACTCTCCATGCTTCTGTTCTTTACCCTTCAGCCCCCATTTACTAGACAAGCTGACTCATGCCTTTCCATTCTCTGCCCTTCTTTGTACCCACTCATACCATTTCCTGATAGACCTTTTTCTTTTATCTCATCTTTCTTACTCAAAATTCAAGTCCCAATTTATACATTATTTTCTCGATGAAGCCTTCTCTGCTCGAGGCACTTACTGTTTCAAATTCATCTCTTCACATTACATTTTCATCTCAATTTTGAGTATAAATAGCATCAAATCATAAAGCATGGTTCTGATGGAGGTACAACCCTGGGATATAATTGAATATAATTGAATTAATCATTATAATAGCTCTCTTGTGATTGGAGTCAGTATCCCTCATCTCTAAAATATATAATTTGCTGGTTATGATCACAGATAATATAGAATAGAAATGTATAGGTGAATCACTTGCTATGTGATGTAAAGTTTTTACTCAAAGTAGGAAAATGAGTTGGATCAACTTGAAAAGTTGAAAATCCTATTATGTGCATTTATGTTTAGATGTATGTTTATATGACAAAGTTACTAAAATTGGTTACATTAGAAGTGACTTAGTGAGGATATGGGGAGATTATTATAGAATTTAATAACATGGAAAATCACTAGAATGACTAGAAACATCTCATAACTTCTTATATTTTATTTGCTGCAAATTCATACCCATAAAGCATATGGTTACATTTTGAAACTTAGTATTGTAGATTCAGTGAAATGTATGGTTAGCTAGTGATTGTAAACGTTAAGTGTATTCTGTAATTTTAGGATTAAGTTCACAACTAACTCACCAAGAGACAAAGTTTAGCATAGGTGGTTGAAAAAAGTTGGTAAAATAAAAAAATAGAACATACACTAGTGGAACTAACAAAGTTATTTTTAATTGTATTAAAGCATTTTTCTAAAAATTGTGTTCATCAATGCAAGAAGATCATTGAGATAGGGAGGAGGAATTGAGATGTTGAGAGAGAATTAGACACTTCTTGTATTTTTACCTCACTGTTGTAAAGTTTATATAATGAGCTAAATAATATGAACTAAGATTTAAGCTTCGAGTAAATTTTTTAAATGTTTGCAAGTTTTTAAATTACTTTGTTTAGATAAATTGTGAAAATTTGAAAATATAACTTCAAAATCTTTTGAAGTTAGATTTGTCTGAGTTTTAAAGTTTTAAATTATCAAAAATAATACACAGTCAACATTAGTATGTTAGTAGTAGCTTTTATTTGTCATATTTTTATTGTGATCTTATAAGCTGTTCTCATAATTGCTGTCCAGATTGTATTCTTGCTATTAAAGTTTAATTTAACTAATTAAATTTTATTTTTGTTTTCTTTTGATATTATCAAGTATTTGAATAATTAAGAGATACAGTTTTCTGATGAAAAGATGTTTTTCACATTGTTATAATGTGTGTACCCTCTACCTTTTGGTTTGACTTAGTCATCCTCTCCCTTTAATGTTGTCTTTGATCTGAAATTAATTTGTCTATTTAGCAGGAGATGACGAGTCCAAGTTAGATGATGCACATTCATTAGGCTCTGGTGCTGGAGAAGGATACGAGCCAATCAGTGATGACGAACTAGATGAAATTCTGGCAGGTGATGCAGAAAAGAGGGAGGACCAACAGGATGAGGAGAAGATGCCAGGTAACTATTTGCAGAGGTGGTTAAACATGAAAATTATCTGTTATATGATATTAAAGTATTATTACCTTCTACTCTGTAAAAATTGACCTAAGACACTTAGAATTTTTCCTTTTACATTTTACTTAAGGTTGAAAGGCCAATAAAATGAAAATTATAGCCTATATGCCTACTCCTTTTTAAGTAGGCATTGTCTATGAATTAGAAAGGGCCTCATTTAAAATAGCAAAATTCTAAAGTTTATTTTCCAGAATTTAAGAATCATATTATATGACTTGGAATCTAAACAAATACTGATTGTCTAGCAATGTTCTTTCTACATGGTAGTTATATGGTACAAAGCTTCACAACTGTGGTGACACAAGCCAACTTTTTAAACAACCTGTCAAAAATTTACAGTAGTTGAAATTATATTTGAACACTATATACCTCTATCAATTTTCTAAATTTGGTAATTATTTTGACTTACAGTACTTTGTGTGTTGCTGGAACTCATTCCAGTGATTATACCATGAAGCAACACCCCTTAATATTCCTCTTGAATCATTCCAATTAGTGTCTGATTGTTACTAACAACTTTTTTAAATCACAGTGAGGATCTTTTCTTTGATTATATAAAATATGAAATTTTTATTTTAATTTGCTCTTATATTTTGCAATTTTTTCTACTGATGTAGAAGGTATGTATGATTGTTATCTTTGTTATTTTCTGGTATCAGGTATTTCTAAGTAGAACATTATTTCTTCAACTGTTCCTTCGCAGTGGATGGATTATTTGCTCTCAGTGTTAATAATTGTCACTCTCTGACTCTTAAAGGGATTTCATAATGAAATAGTTGTTTTTAAAAATTAAAATGTATGTGTGCACACACTGCAAACACATGTACTCCTAGATTTAACCCTTAAAAGGATTCTGGTACCAAGTTTCAAAAGATCAGACCCAATCTGAGTGAAATCAATAGAGTTCTTTCATTGGGGATCTCCCATGGAGTTAAAATGAGTTATTTGTATGGGTGGGTTGGGTTACCTGTTTTCTTTTGGTGGGAAGGTTTTTTATTTGTCAGAGTCCTTAGATTCTGAGTATTATATGGGAAGGCTTTTATTTTAAGAATAGGACATTTTTGGTTTAAAGTACTTTTCATTTTTTCTGTTTTCTCCTTGATTTATGTAAATGTCTATGTAGATAACAAGACTGCTATTTCTTGGTGTAAAACAAATCTTACTTTTTAACTTTTTACAGATCCCTTAGATGTGATAGATGTGGATTGGTCTGGTCTTATGCCAAAGCATCCAAAAGAACCACGAGAGCCTGGGGCTGCACTCTTAAAATTCACACCTGGAGCTG
Organism: Homo sapiens; assembly: GCF_000001405.40. Lineage (NCBI taxonomy): Eukaryota > Metazoa > Chordata > Mammalia > Primates > Hominidae > Homo > Homo sapiens. Next base: position 45,963,937 of record NC_000013.11, on the reverse strand, counting down.
TTATGCTAAGAGTTGGGATTTCTAAAAAGTTGGCAGGTTCTGAACTCTTTGCCAAAGTCAAAGAAACATGTCAGAGACTTTTAGAAAAACCCAAAGGTAGTTTCATTTTACTTTAACTATATAATGTCTGTTAACCATTTAAGATGCCATCTGAAGGGGATTCTGATCTGTTCTTATGTAGCACTTAACACTGTGTAGAAACTATTTTTTGAGAAATCATTTTATAATCATTATTTAACCCTCATGGTCAAAGTTTCTCTTTAAAATTTATTTTGAGAAGAAGAGTTATCCCACAGAAAAGTTGGGAAAAGAGTACAATGACCTTTTTGTATGAAAATTACTTATTAACAGGCCAGGCGTGGTGTTGCATGTCTGTAGTCACAGCTACTCAGGGAGGTTGAGGCAGCAGGATTGCTGGAGCCCAGGAAATTGAGGCTGCAGTGAGCCATGATTGAGCCACCACACTCCAACCTAGGTGACAGAGCAAGACCCTGTCTCAAAAAAAAAAAAACAAATTAACCAATAAGTTCTAATATCAAAGTGCTCAGTGGTTTGCCCTTGGCTAAATGAAGCAGAGCCAGGAAAAACAGACTACATATTTTTCATGTCTAAAGAAATTGGGTATTTTGGCAGCCCTTTCCCCTAGACATCTACCCAAATGCAGGTGTGTAGGTTGAGTCTTTAACAAAGTGATTAAGAGCTTGGTCTGTAAGGCCGGATGATCTGGATTTCAGTAGGCACACCACTTACTGGCTATTACTTAATCTGTGTGTTAGTGTCATCATCTGTAAGTCAGGAATAATCATACCACCAACTTCCTATGGTAATTAGGAGCAAATGAGTTATTACAGGCAAAACACTTAGAACAGTTCCTGGCATATAGTAATACCCAATAAATATTAACTGCTACTTTGAAAATATCCTATCACGCTGATTTTTGACCTCACTGCAGCAATTTTCAGTTATTCCAGATTATCTAGCTTATGGATTCTGGTGGTAGGGGTTGTTTGGTTTTGGTTTTCACTGTCTCTGTCTCATCTAGTACCTACCTTAGTTTATTTTGCAACTTACTAATACTTTATTAATGGGGAGGGACGAGTAGATGGTAAAAAGAAGGAAAAGGAGGTAAAAGGTGAAAGGAACAACATTAATTAACAATTTTACGTCATGTCCCTGGACATAAAAGTTTAGTTAGTATTAAATTTTTCACTAATACAAAATAAAAAAATATTGTTTTATGAGTTTTATGAATTCATGCCCTTCCTTTACTCTATTAGCATAAGCAGTAAATTTTTTTATTTTAATATAGCCCAATAAACCTAGAGTATACATGTACAAAATACATATAATTGTTAACGTGTATTAACCGAAAAATGACCCAAGACTTAGTTCTTGCCCTACTGTATCTGCCTTGTTTGGTTGGTTCTGTGACCTTAAGCAAATAACTCCTGTGAGCCTCAATTTTATTTGTAAAGTGATGGAATAAAACCCCTAAAATCTTACCCACCTCTAAAGATATTTGTTTCTGTGACCTTTTGCTAGTAGCATTTCAAGTTAAAATCTGGTTTGATTTTGCTACCCATGAAATACAGTTCGGCCCTTACTTATTGATGACTTAACCTAAACAGTGAAAATATGCACTGTAAAGGGTGGGGTGATGTGGCTTAACAATCAGACTTCTTCTATTTTTGCTGCTATGGTGGTTGTATTAGAGAACTGATGTATTATCTTGAATAAAGACTTTGTCTTGTTTACTGCCATATCCAAGGTCTAATTATCTATCTATATTTTCTGCTATTGCCCAGAAAAGTGCCTGACATACATAGTAGGTTTTCAGTAAATATTTATGAAATAATTGATACTGATTTTTCTTTTCCATTTTGTCTATTCAAGTGTACCAACATGAAAGAAAACATAATCATATTTCATATATAATTTTTAAAAGAAACAACTAAAGCTTAAAACAGAAAATTTATAAGTGTACTGAAATTGAAATTGCTTTTGTCTGTTTTCTAATTGCGCTAAGGTTAAGTTCATTTTTTTTAATTTTTAATTTTTAATTTTCATGGGTACTTAGTGGGTGTATATATTTGTGGGGTACATGAGATACTTTGATACAGTCATGCAGTGGGTTAATAATCATGTATGGAAAATAGAGTATTCATCCCCTCAAGCATTTATCCTCTGTATTACAATCCAATTACTGTTTTAGTTATTTTTAAATGTATAATTAAATTGTTATTGACAATAACAGTTTCTACAACAGGGTGTTATAGTCACCCTGTTGTATTATCAAATACTAAGTCTTATTCGTTCTTTTTTTTTTTGTACCCATTAACCATCCCCCCAACTCCCCACCCCCACATCTCCCCACCCCCACATCTCCCCACCCCCACTACCCTTCCCAGCCTCTACTAACCATCATTCTACTCTCTGTTGGTTAAGTTCTTTTGAGCTAAACTTTTAAGAATGCATTTAGTCTGTTTCTTGAGTAATTTGGTGCTGCTCAGTTCAAAACTTTAAAGAGACTGGAAATTTAGTCATGTTTTATACTCCCTGAGGAGGTTTGCAGGTATGTGTTTTGTAATCTACTATTTTGAAAGCCAAAAATAAGGATCCCAATAAACAGAAATGTGTGGTAATGAACAATTTTCAAGGAAGGGTGTAGGCTCAATGCATTTCTTTTATATTATATCTGTAGTGGAATGGTAGTTAATGTTTTTGTTTTTGTTTTTAATCATGTGCATATATGACTATATCATTGGTTGGTACAAACATTGGTATATCTGAATCATCTGAAAAAACTGCCCCTTTTTTCCCTTAAGGTATTCTAGTCCAACTATGGTGATTCTCATTCTGCAAATCTGGTGATAGAGCCCAGGGAATGTTTTTTAAAAAGCTCCTCAGCTGATCCTGATAGACTCCAGTGTTTGAGAACTAGTTTCGGGCTTTTCTATATATTTACACCTTTCTTATGTTACACATCTATTGACTAGGTGTGTTATTTAAGACTGGTTTCTTGTTAACTATCTAATCTCAATACTTACACTTTGCAGCCCAGAAAATTGAAATCGGCTATGTATTGCAGCTTCATTTTGTTCTCAGTAAAATGTGTCTTTTATTTTTACCCAGGCGTTTACTGCTTTTCTTTGTGGGTTGTAAAAGTAACCTGCTTGAGCGTGTTGTATGAATAGAGGCAGTACCTGCTGTCTTTCGTACTCTTGACCGACTCTTATTTATTTGGATTACTGACTGGTCCTGTTCTGTTATTTTGACTTCCTTTGTGTCTATTTTTAACCTAACCTCTTTATATTTTATTCTATCTTTCCTTAATTCTTCTGGGGTTTTTTTGTATGTTCAGTGTTTTCTCCCCTACCTTGCATGTTGTGACTTAAAACTAAGTGATTTAAATTTAATACATTGTCCCAGGTTTTTATGGTGACCAAATCTAGGACAAAGTTTGCAGGTTATCTAACAATCACTTTCTTAACTAATTTTTTTAGAGGTCACAGACTTGAATATTGTTATAACATTTGAATCTTGCTATAATAAAGTCTTGAAATCTAAAACTCTAAATAGTAGTTGATGGTAAGCAGTATACTGAATTAGAGTTCAATGATTCTTAACTTGAACGTTTCTTTAAAACATCCTTTAAAAACGTTCTTTAAATAAATTCCCTGGGGCTGGGGGCGGTGACTCATGGCTGTAATCCCAGCACTTTGGGAGGCCGAGGCAGGCAGATCACTTGAGGTCAGGAGTTCAAGACTAGCCTGGCCAACATGGTGAAACCCCATCTCTACTAAAAATACCAAAAAAAAATTAGCCAGGTGTGGTGGTGTACGCCTGTAATCCCAGCTACTCGGGAAGCTGAGGCAGGAGAATCGCTTGAATCCAGGAGGTGGAGGTTTCAGTGAGCCGAGGTCGTGCCATTGCACTCCAGCCTGGGCAACAGAGAGATACTTTATCTCAAAAAATAAATAAATAAATAAATTGTTTAAAATTAAAAAAAAAATTCCCTGGGCTCTACCTTGAGATCCACATACAGTCTGCTTTTCTTATATTTTAAGTAAATTTAAAGTGGCTATCAGAATATTTATTCTTGTTTGAGACTACCAACATAACTACGTGTTGAAGGTGCTTCACAGAGAATATATTGCCTTTAATGTGAAATAATTTTCACCAATGTTGCTAACTTTAATAAAGTATAAAATTTGTAGAATATTCAGTTAAGTAGTTGGTAACCCTTTTCTATTTTAGTAAAACTTAATGCATGTTTACTTTTTTTTGAAAGATGCAGACAATCTCTTTGAACATGAATTGGGGGCTCTCAATATGGCTGCATTACTACGAAAAGAAGAAAGAGCAAGTCTTCTTAGTAATCTTGGCCCATGTTGTAAGGCGTTGTGCTTCAGACGGGATTCTGCAATTCGAAAGCAGCTTGTTAAAAATGAGAAGGTACTGTTATTTCCTTGGAAAAAATACAAAGTGAATAGTGTGAATGGCCTATTTTTCATTTGGTTGTTTTAAATTGAGATTGCAATCTTATGTTTTTATGAGTTTGGTTTCCTAATCTTTTATACATGTAAAAAGAAGAATGCCATTAAAATGTATAATATGCTTTATTTTACTTCAACAGTATTAATGAATTTTGTTTTAATAAAGTTTAAAATATTCCATTTCTGTTAAACGTTTTTTGTGAAAAGCTTTCAACAAGCAAACGTATTACAAAAATTTATTTAAATTGAAACTCAAGGAAAAAAATTTCTTAGAGTGATGAGGATATTTATGAGAGTAGTATTTATGAGAATATACAAAGTTGGAAGAAAGGGAAATAAAGCGACTCTATATAAGCATTTGAGAGGAATAAAGAGATTGAGAAGTAAGAGGAATAGAAATTAGATTTGGAAGAGATCTGTTAATGAAATCTGGTAAACCCAAGATGAAAACATTTTAGACTCTTTAAAGTTAAGAAACTGGGATTTTTGGCCGGGCGTGGTGGCTCATGCCTGTAATCCCAGCACTTTGGGAGGCCAAGGCAGGTGAATCACGAGGTCAGGAGATCGAGACCATCCTGGCTAATACAATGAAACCCTGTCTCTACTAAAAATACAAAAAATTAGCCGGGCATGGTGGCGGGCATCTGTAGTCCCAGCTATTTGGGAGGCTGAGGCAGGAGAATGGCGTAAACCAGGAGGCGGAGCTTGCAGTGAGCAGAGATCGTGCCACTGCACTCCAGCCTGGGCGACAAAGCAAGACTCCATCTCAAAAAAAAAAAAAAAAAAAAAAAAACTGGGATTTTTATTTGGGGTGGTGAGTGGATGGGTATAGGTAGTACAGACTGAGTATTCCTAATCCGAAGCTTTTGAGCATCGACATGACCCTCAAAGGAAATGCTCTTTGGAGAATTTCAGATTTTGGATTCTTAGATAGGGATGCTCAACTGGGTAAGTAAATGTAATGCAAATATTCCAGAATCCAAAAAAATTTCCAAATCTGAAACATTTCTGGTCCAAAGCATTTCAGTTGAGGACTACTCAACCTGGATGACAAAAGAGAGTTGGTGTGATTCTTTGCTTAGAAAGTTTAGAGTAATGATAAAATGGTTAACTTCACTAGCTTTTTACTTGGGGCAGTTAGGAAAACAGAATTATCTTTGACTATATAACATTGCTAAAGAAAAGATTACTTCATTAAAGAAAAATACTCAGATTTAGGGTAGTGGGTAGGGGGGATTCAATTTTTAAAAAACAGAAGAATGAGTTTATCTCCAAAGATTAAAATGGAAACAAATACGAGGAACAGGAGATTTTTAAAACATGTCTTGACTGTATAATCAAGTTTTCCTCACTTAAAAGTCTGGTTCAAGATTACTTTTGACAGAATCACTACAGTCATTCTCCTTTGCTCCCTGATTTCAGTATGCACTTTTCTTTGTTTTGTATTTTGTAACATTCCCTGGTCCCTTCTCTATGACAATAACTTTCCAAAAAATGCTAATGTAACTTTAAGTCACAATAATATAGATACATATTTTAGTATAAGGGAGGTAGTAGTTCTTCAGCATACTGCATGATTAGCTGTCTTCTAAAGGATTTATTCAGTTTTCGAGCTCACTTTTTATGGGACATTGAAAGATTGGTAAGGAGTATAGAATAGAATGTTTGGCTTACAGAAGGAAAAACTATGTGAGGAAGGAACTCATGGCACTTACCTTCATAGAACTGAAGGATTGTCAAGTAAAGGTAAGATTGAATTACAGTGTAGCACCATAGAAGAGCTTTTATTCCATCACATGGAAGAAATAGTGCCATTCAACAACAGAACGTGCAGTGTGTTTTTTGTTTGTTTTGTCATTGGAAATGATAAAGTAAAAACCGGTTGATTACCTGTCAGAAATTGTTGAGAGGATTCCTACTTTAAGCAAGAGGTTAAACTAGGTGCCCTCTAAAAGTTTCTTTTCAAAGATTCATTGAGCCCAAACACATTTTCTAATTTTGCTTTGAAATCCAATAAAGCTAATTTAATATCCAAAATGAAATACTCTTATAACTTTGATATTTTGGGTAGAGGTTAACCTGCCCATCTTTCCTACTAATAATGTACATCTTTTTTAAAGTTTGTTTTTGTTTTCTTCAAATAGGGCACCATAAAACAAGCTTACACGAGTGCTCCAATGGTAGACAATGAATTACTTCGATTGAGTCTTCGGTTATTTAAGCGGAAGACTACTTGCCATGCTCCAGGACATGAAAAGACTGAAGATAATAAACTTTCACAGTCCAGTATCCAACAGGAACTGTGTGTGTCTTAAGACCGAAGTTCAATATGGTATTTTTGGTACTGTCTTCCTTCAGCAGTGCATATTCTTTTGCAAAGTTCTTTGGTTTGACAAGCATTAGTGACAAAGGCAGAAAAGATTTATCAGCCATGCTAAAAGAGTGAAGAATTTTGATCTTTAGAGACACTAGTTTTGGCCAACTTAAGATTTTACGTTAATTTTTACATAGTATTTGACACTCATGCAAAATAATGTGAAAACATCTAGATTTAGTAGTTTATTCTGCGCCTTTTGTTAAAACTGAAGATTTTGGAAAATGGTTGTCACTGCTCTTCCAGCCTATGAATATTTTTGTGAAATGGAACCATGGATTTATGTCTGGATCATCCATACAGAACCAACAATTTTATTCAAAAACAATGTGTTCATCAAAGTAATTGCTCACATTGTGCAGTACTATGTTGTACAGACCACGTGAAAGGGAATGCTGGTCTAGCTGGCGTGGTATGTTTATAGGCGAATTTCAGCAGAAGGAAGCCAAAATAGTTTTTTCCTTTTGAAAGTTTTTTAAAAATTATTTCATGGGTCTTTTTTTTAATTAATATGTGTGCATTGTTACAATGTATGTTGGATGTCTTTTGACCCTAAATGCTTTTTTTGTTATCAGAGATTGTGTACTATTTTTATTTTTAATAAATGTATCTTCCCTTTCCTTGTTTTAGATTTACTTTGCTCTTCGTTAATCTTATTCCTGATGATCTAGAACATTAGTCATCAACATTACATGTTTCATGCTTCAGATATTTTACTGCTTGTGTCCTTATTGTTGGACAGCTTTAAACAGAGTTGATGTACTTCAAATATAGCTCATTGATACTTAAGGCATCTTCTTGGAATGTGGCTTTTGAAGAAAAAAATTACTCAAAGCAAATCAAGAGTTAACAAACCTAACGTAACCTGAGGTTTAATATTCTACTATCATATTTTTTAGAGCTATAACTTTTGATTATATTAAACTGCCTCCAGCTGTACTATGTAAAACAGATTTACTTTTAAAAATTACAGTATACCTGCTTTGTTCTATATGTATATGTTTAACTCATGAAGTGGACTCTTAGAAGGATTTGAAATGGACTCTGGCCACAGAATTTGTGAGCAGACAGTAGTAGTGATAATAATAAAAGAAGGCAATCAAAATTTAATTTTATCATGCCCTCTCACAGGTTTGTGTTATAATTGTAAGCCCATATTACTTGTGTTAGTAGTTTTGTCTCTATAGGTAACATAATGACAGTGGTGTAAAGTTTCTGTTCAAGAAACATATGTTGTAAAGTTACTTTATACAAGATACCTGCCAAAGGAAATGGTCTTACTTTCAAATGACTTTGAAAGCATGTATAATTGCAAACAGAGCAGGAGAAGACTTTAATCAGAATTTCCTTGTGTCCTTTTCCTTTACTAAGTGTTTTGAATAAAGAAAAAAAAAATGTATGACCTCAGAGAATGAATACCCTTCAGGAAGCCACTTCCTGATTTTAGTGGATAATATTGTTCTCTGTAGCACAAAGATTTAAAGTCCTAGAATTTCTAATCCTAGTTCTCAGAATTGTAGAATATGACAAAAATAATGGTTTCCCCATTTGTCCACTGACTTCAGGGATATTTCACAAGTTATTTATTTATAGAATGAAAACTATGTAGTTAAATCTGTCATTCAGTTAAACCTGTTGTCTTTCAGTTTGAAATCTTTTTGTTATGTATGTTGCAAAAGAAAATTTAGAACTATTCCTTTGTTCACTCAGTCACAGCATTCAGAGCTTTATGTTTCCAGTGGAAATGTACTGTTCAGTCTCAATTTCTTTTAATTCAACCATTCTCAGTATTAGTAACATATACCTATAAAATTTTTCTAAAGCAAAATTTTTGATTGAATTTCTCATAAAAGCTCTTGGACCATAATTAAAGTCTCAGTTAAACTGGTATTCCCGAAAAACAATCTTCCAGTCTATAAATTGTTTGCTAGTACAATTAAAAGGTCATCTATCTCATAACTGACGGCTCAGGTCTGTCCAGTTGCCATAATTGCACAACTGGATTCCAGCTGCTGGTAATAAGGAATTGTGTAGATAGATAAAGGGCAAGAGTATGTCTGCAATCCAAAATAAATGAGAGTTAACACATAATTAGCCTTTTGATTATTTTGGCAGCTATCCTCACCATTTAGTAAAGGGTATACTAACAATACCCAACTTTATTTAACAAAGTTTTGTAAGCATACCTAAGTAGTAACTTGATATGCTGAAAAATCTGACCTGTCACTTCGCTTCACTCTGACCAGTAATTGCAGATTGTCGTCACCATCCTAGCCTATGACTACATTAGGATTTTATGACTTATTAACTTGAAAATCTGTTCTGTAAGTGGCATTGGTAGAATCTCCCACTTTGCTCCTCACTGTCCAATTGTGTAAAGATTAAGGTACATACTATTGTTGGTGATGCTTTTACACCTCAACTTGCTATTTTAAAAGGTTATATGAACCCCTCCCACTTTTAAGGATATTCCCTTTTACTGATTTTCCTAGCTAAAATTATATAGCCATCTTTCTAAATATTGTATTTAAATCTGATCTAGGACTTGCCTTATTTTATCATTTTTCTTTAATAATCTCCAATAAACTTTCTTTATTCATTAATTTTGTTGATCTTTCCATTTCAGTATTTTGAATGACACTCTGGGGAATCCAAGTTTAAATGGTGAAATATTTTTATTAAATAACTTTCTACATGCATCTGTAAACATACTTTCTCAACTTTATTGAGCTGTTTCTTTCATATTTTTTTTTCTTTTTTAAATTATTTTTATAGAGATGGGGTCTTGCCTGGGCTGGTCTCAAACTCCTGGCTTCAAAGCCATCCTCCCGCCTTGGCCTCCCAAAGTGCTGGGATTACAGGCATGAGCCACCATGCCCAGCCCTTTTTTTTTTCAGAGGCAGGGTCTTTCTCTGACCCCCAGGCTGGAGTGCAGTGGCAGGATCATAGCTCACTGCAGCCTCCAACTCTAGGGCTCAAGGGATCCTCCCACCTCAGCCTCCCAAGTAGCTGGGACTACAGGTGTGCATCATCATAACTGGCTAATTTTAAAAAGAAAAATTAAAAAAACACTTTGGTAGGCCAAGGCAGGAGGATTGCTTGAGCCCAAGAGTTCAAAACCAGCCTGGGCAACAAAGTGGGACACCATCTCTGCAAAAAATACAAAAATTAGCCAAGTGTGGTGGCACGTGCCTGTAGTCTTAGCTACTCAGGGAGGCTGAGGCAGGAGGATTGCTTGAGCCCAAGAGGTTGAGGCTGCAGCGAGCTGTGATGGCGCCACTCCATTCTAGCCTAGGCAACAGTATGATACCCTGTCTCAAGTTTAAAAAAAAAAAAAAAAGGTGGGGGGGGGATCTTACTATGTTGCCCAGATGATCTCAAACTCCCAGCTTCAGGCAGTCCTTCCATCTCAGTCTCCCAAAGTGTTCGGATTACAGCCGATAGCCACCACCTGGTTATACTGTGATAGAAGTACAATTGGAGTAGCTTAGGTAAAGATGGGAAGTAAATAGACATGAATAAAATGTAAATTGCAGTGATTGCAATTAAAGAAAAAACCAAATGACTGAGATGAGAAATAAGTGTAGCGATTGGGAGTTGGGTACTACTTCAGATTATCAAGAAGGTCTTACGTATGAGATGAGTCCTAAAAAATGAAAAGAAGCTAGCAAAGAGCAAAAGGGGAAGGAGTATTTCAGGCAGAGGGATGGGGATATGCAAAGGCCTAGGAAAAGAGCTTTGGTGAATTCCAAGACGAAAATACTACTATGGCTCACCACTGGGTGGAGGGGATGGGGGTTGCTAGAGAGAAGGTCTAGAACAGTGCTGTTCAACAGAATATTCTACAATGATGGAAGTGTTCTGTAAATGCTGCCCCCCAAAAAATGGCCAATACAAGCTTCATGTGGCTTGTATTAAACACTTGAAATATAGCCAGTGTGACTGAGAAACTGAGTTTTAAAATTTTGTCATTACTTTTAAATAGCTGTATGTGGCTAATGGCTACCATTTGGGGTGGTGTAGGTATATATCTTGGCAAAGCCTTGTGGAATATGGAAGTGTTTCCCACAGTAGAGTATAAAACAAGTTCTGTATGTTCTAGTTACTTTGCATGGCAAGTGGTACTGATTGTTTTAGTTTACTGTGGCAATATAACATTTCTTTTTGGAATAAATGTTAATAACTAAACAAATTAAGTAGTCAGTGTGGAAATAGGACAGAAATTACTGGTGCTCAGATAATTGAAGTTTAGAATATGTAGGCTATGTATGAAGTTGGAATTTCATTTGAAAGCAAAAGTAATAAGTAATAATAAAAGGATAAAAGGCATTCAATCACGTCAAAACAGGCAAGCAGAAGAGAAAAAGCAATTTAGAACAGGTGAGACAAATAGAAAACACACGGATGTAAGCCCAAATGTATTCACAAATTATGTTAAATGAAAACATTCAGTATCCAATTAAAAGACAAAGATTATCAAACCACAGAAAAACAACTACATGTTGCTTATGAGACTGACCTAAAACATAGGGAGCTTTAAAAGTAAAAGGATAGAAAAAAGACACCATGTAAACATCAAGAGAAAACGATGTTAATGTTAATCAGTTATCCCTATGTATTTCATATGTATTGCTGTAATGCTTGCCAAATGCCGGTTTTCTAATTCCACTGTTTTTTCTACACTTACTGGAATTCCCTTATCCATTTATTTCTCCTTTATTCACTTATTTATGTCAGTATAAACTCATAGATTCCTATTTTATTTCATGGGTTATAACTCATTATTGCTCAAAATATCCATGTTTTAGACTTGTTAATTAACTTCCGTGTGTATGTGTGACAATTCCAATATTTAATGCCAATTCAGAATCTGTTTCTATTGTGTGTTGTTTCTGTTGGCTCTTTTTCATGTTTTCTTCCCTACTCTTAGGTCTGGTTATCTTTCACTATATGCCGAAATCGTGTTTGCAAAGTTGTTTGTAGAAAAAAAGTGGAGGTCTAAGATGCTGTTGTCCAGACACAAGTTTTTTTTGCTTCTGGGGTCACTGTCAGACTGAAAACATCTTAATCCTGTTTTAGGAACTAAGATGATCTGAATCCCCAGATGACTCGCATCTTGGCTGCAGTATATGCATGGGCACTTGTAGCTCACTGTCATTCCCAGGGTTCAGACTTTGAGGTCTAGATCCAAAGTACAAGGGTTCATAAGAGCCTCCATTCTTGGTGGATCCCATGTGCCAGTGTTTTCTGCCTTCCCCAAGAGGACATCATAACTTATGATTGGTTCCTCAGTCTGTTTTCCAGATTTTTAAATGGCATCTGGGCAAAATTGACCCCAAATGTCAGGTTCACCCCTGCATATCTATCTCCTGAATTTTGGCCCAAGATTTTTTCATCATCTTACTGGCTTTTCAGTGTTCAAGCAGAATTTTTAAAATAAATGTTTTGTCCAGCTTCTCCAGTTCTTAGTGTGAAGTTGTTCTGAATTATCTCATCTCCCATTACCAGAACAGTTTAACTTTTTTCTTTACTTCCATTTCATTGCATTTCTCCATTTTATTACCTGTACTCATTTGGTTTCCCACAGTGTGTATTTTTCTTTTTGTATAACTCCTTTCCTAAGCTCATATTTTTTCTTTCTGTGATTTCATCATCTCTTCCTTCTTGTTTCTTGTTTTGTGGACTTTCTTCATGGAGGCAGTTGAATCACTAGATTTTAATATTCATGTTGAATTTTTTTTTTTCTTGAGATGATGTCTCTGTTGCCCAGGCTGGAGTGCAGTGGCATAATCATGATTCACTACAACCTCCACCTCCCAGGTTCAGGAGTCTTCCCACTTCAGCTTTCCAGGTAGCTGGGAACACAGGCACATGCCACCACACCCAGCTAATTTTTTATTTTAACTCTTTTGTGCCAACAAGGTCTCCCTATGTTGCCCAGGCTGGTCTCAAACTCCTGACCTCAAGCAATCCTTGACTCGTCCTCCCAAAATGTTAGGATTACAGGTGTGAGCCACCATGCCCAGCCTATTCATGGTGAAATGTTGCAGAATGATATCCATCTGTTCTGCAAAATTTTTCAGATGGTGAATATTATCTGTTAATTTTTGCTAATTTCTCTAGTTTTTTTAATATAGTATCTTTGTATCAGTCTTACGGCAGTTCCTTTTTCTTACTCAATACTGAATGACTTGTAATATACCATTGTTTGCAGGAAATCAGCCATGGTAGCCTTCCAGACGTCACACACATGCTTCATCTTTTCTGCTGATGTCATAGAAGCATGCTGGCTCATGTAAATAGGGCTCCTTGTGATTGCTTGTGTAGGTGGCCCTTCCTCCTCTCCTCCCCTGAACCAAACCAGGTCCAGGAGGACCTTCACAGCCAATCTCGCTCTTCTCTGCTCCTAACTGATTGTTCCAAACAAGGGACATAGCTTTTGCCTTTCAAGGGGAACCCTCACATTCAAAAGCGGTATTTTTTGCTGAGATTTGCTACTGCCTGGTCCCTCTCAACTCTTACTGCACTTCCTCCTTTCACTGTCTCCTGACACTACTTCTGCTAAATCTCAGCTGTTCTGGCAGCCCTTATGTCTATTTTGACATCTGAAGATTATATCTTATCTCCTAGATTCACTGGAAATAAACTTTATGGAGATTTTTACAGTCTTTTTGTTGCTTTTATACAATTTATAGAAGAAAAACAGATTTATGCAGCATGTCCCTACTAAATTTCTTTCCAAGCTAAAATTCAATCCAAAAGTCACTTTAATCCTCAGCTTGGATAGTTCCATCGGGATGCATTCTTAGGTGAACACCTATAATGGATTAATACTTGGGATTATGGTATCAATATAAACCAAACACATAAATGTGATTTACAAAATAAAGGTTATTTGATGTTATCCTGGTAGGTAGGAATCATATTCTCTCTTTAGTCACATTTCCTTTACAATAAATATATCACGTGGCTACCTCTAAAAGCAAAGGAGACTGGCATATTGAGCATTTCACTTTTCTAGCCCCCTTACTAGAAATGACCAGAAAGGATGAGGGTTGGGTTATAGGTGTTAGCTTTGCCAACCAACCAATAGTGTTTTCCATAACTTCAGGAGAAACATAAGTAAGGAGAAATAATGGTACCCGTTAAGGCCTGTTGATGCCAACTTCATAAAACTAAATAGTCCAGAACCCAGAACAAGTTCTGATTCTAACTCTGCCACAAACTGGCAGAATGACCCTGAGCAAGCCATTGTACTTTGGCTTCCTCATCTACCAAGTAAGCAGGTGGTAGAGAATCCTAGGATTTAAACAGAAAGCTGACATACGATAGCTCAGAGACATGTCAAATGTGTGTTCGTTTCCTTGTCAGGAGCTGAGAGCATCGTTTAGAGTATAGGGTAGGAAAATGTCTCATTGTTTAGTAGCAAGAGGAATAGGACAGTATTTTGACTAAGGAAATCCTCTAATGCTTCTCAAACCCTTCTGTATCACAGACAAATTTTAATGCAGGGTAGGATTTCTAGGTCAGGATTTTCTCCTGATGCTAACACAGAGTGTATATGTGTGTGTATAAAATTATGGGCCCCTCTCCTTGAATGTGGACTGAACTTGACCAACTTCTAATGAGTGGAATGTGGTAAAGGCAAAAGTATGTGGCTTGAGAGTGTAGGTGGTGGCTTGTTTCTTGGAATATTCATTCTGGGGAATGCTCAGATGCTAGGTCATGAAAACATTTCAAGCCACCCTGAGGAGTTCATGTAGTGAGAGGCCAAGGCCTCCTGCCAACAGTCGTGTGAATTGGCTGTCTTGGATCCTCCAAGCCCTAGTTAGGCCTTCTTTAGCTTAGTTTTTTTGTTCTTTTTCTTTTTTTTTTTAACTGGATTTGTTCCTTTATCAGAAAAGGTAAGGAATATGACTTTTTTTTTTTTTTTTGAGATGGAATCTTGCTCTGTTGCCCAGGCTGGAGTGCAGCGACACTATCTCGGCTCACTGCAACCTCTGCCTCCTGGGTTCAAGAGATTCTCCCACCTCAGCCTCCCAAGTAGCCGGGACTACAGGTGCCCACCACCATGCCCAGCTAATTTTTGTATTTTTAGTAGAGATGGGGTTTCACCATGTTGGCCAGGCTGGTCTCAAACTCCTGACCTCAGATGATCTGTCCGCTTTGGCCTCTCAAAGTGCTGGGATTACAGGCGTGAGCCACTGCACCCAGCCGGGATATGACATTTAAATCACACTTTTTTTTAAACGTTTGTCTGTTTATGTAAACGCTTTAAAATAAACTGAATCTGAAGGATAGCTGAGACCTGAAGACTCCTGGACTATAACTTGAGCATTTCCCATTGTGCATCCTATATAAACTCTTAACTGGCAGCAGAATTCTATATCCAAGAAAACTGAGTCAAATAACAAAAGTCTACTCAAATGAGATAAACATGAAAATTGCTGTATAAACTGTGAAGTACTATATAATGCAAGATATCTGTGGCCGTCATTTCCATCTTACCAGTTCTTTGTAGAGAAGTAGTATGGGCTGAATCGTGCCCCCCAAATTCATTTGTTAAAGTCCTAACCCTTATCTCAGAAGTTAACTGTATTTGGAGACAAAGTCTTTGAAGAAGTGACTAAGTTAAAATGAGCCCATTAGGGTGGACCCTAAAGAATGTGACTGGTGTCCTAATAAGAAAAGGAAGAGCTATGAGGGGCATGCTGTGCACCGAGGGATGAGCACATGAAGAAGCAGCAGCAAGAGGGCTGCTACCTGCAAGCCAAGGAGAGAGGCCTCAGAAGAAACCAACCCTGCTGAGACCTTGATCTCGGACTTCTAGCCTCCAGAACTGTGAGAAAATAAATTTCTGTTGTTTAAGCCACCTGGTCTGTGGTATCTTGTTAAGGAAGCTCTAGCAAATTAATACAGTCTGCTTCCAGTGCTACCACTTCTCCAATTTGTATATTCCCACAGCCACAGTTCAAGTATAGGTTTGCATCATTTTCTTTTAAACACTCCCAAAATGAGATTTTTATTAAGCATTATAAATTGCATTTAGTTGCCTTTAACTATATGGCCACAATCTATCTACAATTAATTTAACCCAACAGTAGTTCATTCTTGCATGACAAATGAGTTAGGGCAAATGAGTTAGGGCAAAATGCCTTCCATTTTTACAGGATACCTCCTTAGCACATGCAGGCAGGAAGCAGGGAATTACATCTTATTTCTGATCCCTAAAGTGTGATAAAAAGCATCAGAATTGTATGAAACGAATATGAGTAATAATTCTGATTGTAAAGTACATTGTTTGGAAACTAATAAAAGGCATCAAAATGATGCAAAAAATCAGTTAATATTGAAGATATAGATGGATAGATAGATGATTGGTAGATGATTGATGATAGATAGATGATAGATAGATAGACAGATAGATAGAGCTCATCATTTCTTCATTTGGACCATTCAGCAGCCTCTTAGCTGTTGCTTACTACCTGGACACCTTCAGCCCCCTTCTTCCTAATTTGTCCTCTACCCTGCACCCGGAATAATATCTCTAAATTATCCAAAAATACAGATATGATCAACCTGGTTTCTGGCTGTGGCATTGCCACTGTCAAGTTATATACATTTAAGGCAATCAACCTCTGTGAGTGTCACTTTCCCAATTTATAAATTAAGGCGATTGGGTTGTACCTTAAGTTTCCATGACTTTCTTTGTCACTCCTCTGCTTAACAGTCTGGATGTTTCATATTTTCCATGGAACAAAGTCCAAACACACCACTCTTCACAATCTCACCCCAAAATGGACCTTCTAACCACATCTTCCTCCCAGGATGACTTATCTGCTTCCTACACCCAATAGACCTTCACGGCTCCGTGTGCTTGTCTTCTGTGAGACTTTGAGTATCTTAGGTATTGCATCTTATGCACCTTCCTGTCCAGTGTAGGGCACGCTGCCCGGCATACCAGTAGTTTCTTTAAAAATGTTTCTTTAAAAATGTTGGCTGTTTCTTCCTCCCCCTTGAATACTGACTGACCCCTGCTGACCATCCCTCCAATACCTCCTTCACCTATTAAGTTTGTGTTTATCCTTCCGATACATTCTTCGCACTTTTTCAATGAAACCTTTCTCTTCCCATTCCAAATTAACTGTTCTCTCCACACTTTGTTTTTGTCTGTTATAACATGCCTCTACAGTACATTGGACTATTACAGTCTCTACGATATCACATCTCCTAAATTAGGACTCTAGTTGGTTGTATAGGTGTCAGCCTATTTTCCATATTATTGGTAAAAGATAAGCATTGGCATATTAAAATTTAGAGTTTATTTAAGCAAACGGTGATTCCTGAATCAGGCAGTTCCAAACCATAAGTGGTTGGGGCACCACCTGAGGTGGTTGCATTGAAAGCTTCTAGAGGGCCAGTGCAGACACTGAACAAAGACGTGTTTTGATTGGTTAAGTTTGAGCAATTACCTTATTGGAACTATCCCAGTGGGAAGCTCAAGACAATGTAACTAAATGCCAGTTAGCTGCCTGTGATTGGCTGAACCTATATTTCATTTCCTTTTAAATTCTGAGTTAGAGGCTGGGCGTGGTGGCTTATGCCTGCAATCTCAGCACTTTGGGAGGCCAAGGTGGGTGGATCACCTGAGGTCAAGAGTTCGAGACCAGCCTGGCCAACATGGCTAAACCCCGTCTCTACTAAAAATACATAAAATTAGCCGGGCGTGGTGGCAGGTGCCTGTAATCCCAGCTACTCGAGAGACTGAGGCAGGAGAATTGCTTGAACCCAGGAAGGGGAGGTTGTAGTGAGCCAAGATTGTACCATTGCACTCCAGCCTGGGCAACAGAACAAAAACTCTCTCACCAAAAAAAAAAAAAAAAAAAAAAATATTCTGAGTTAGGTTTCAGTTTGCTCACTTAGCAACCCAGGGCACTGGAGCCGCCTTAGTCTAACAGCCTCCCATGTAGTTATTTGAACAGGATAATCCACATGAATTCAGGAGCCATTTCTAATTGATCTTTTTAGTCCCCACTCCTACGCTGCTCCAGTGAACAGCTTTTTCACTTGAAAACGGGGAACGCTCAAATGTTCCCTAAATCAAGTTGAAGTAAAATTTGTCTACTATGTCATAAAATTTACGGCATATTTTTTCCTTTGGATTTATTCCTTTAACTAAGGGCAGAGGAAGTTTGTGATGGAATTAATAAAATTGATCAGGTTCTAGCTGAATCCACTTCAAGCTTTCATTCTTTCAGGATAGCTATTTTTTCATATTAAGATGTAAATATAGGTATTAAAAATTTCTTAGCCCTCATTAATTTTTACTTTCTTATGCCTAGACTTCAGTTCTCTGCATCATTTTTCCATGACAATTAAGTTTCATCTGTAGTGATGGGGGAAAAAAAAGAACAAAATAATTAAAAGCAAAAAAAATTATTTTTAAATTAAAACTATAATACAGTTTTTACATCTGCGGCTGTGATTGCAGCTCGACTGTTAGCTTCTTTCTTGCTGTTTCATATCCTCCACGGACACACACCAATTGCTTTCCTCTGCACTGCTGTCTCCAGCACAATATTTATGAATTTATTATAACTGTTACAAATCAAGGCCGATTGAAGGCAGCAATCAGCTTCGTCAAAATTTTTACTATGGTTAACCAGCTGCCTGGGACATTCACCATCACAGGTTCACCTTCAGAAAGTTAACTTGCAAACCTGTTATCAACCACTGATAAGCACTGTTAGAGGGATGATTGCTTAATTAATCTGTGTTTTGCGCTAATGACGATGTTAAATGGGTTCATCCCTGAATTTGATTGTTCACAAAGAATGTGAATTCCCTAAAGGGCAAATATAGACAGGTTTCCTATTAAAATGAACCATCCAACCAAGAAGCTCTTTTAGTCATTTTGAAGTTTAAAAGGGTAGCTGATAATTTCAATATAACTTCATGACATTTCTAGTGGCTACATGTGACATATTATTACCATATCTCCTGAAGCTCTTTGCCAGTTCCTTTGGGAAAGAATTTTATATTACATTTCTTAAATAGATACCGGCTTTTATTTTCGATCAAGACTCCTCAGGGTGCAGCATAAATTAAACTTGTGGCACTTATCTTTCACAAGCAGACTTTGGAGGGGATGGGAAATAGCAGACGCCAATAGCATCATCATTCAGTCAAAAATCCATTATGTTAAAAAACATTCCATATACGGGCTGGGCACGGTTATGCATGCCTGTAGTCCCAGCTATTTGGAAGGCTGAGGTGGGAGAATCACTTGAGCCCAGGAATTTGAGGCTACAATGAGCTATGATGGTGCCGCTGCACCCCAGCCTAAGTGACAGAACAAGATTTTGTCTCTAAAATAAATAAATAAATTCATCCAAAATGCAATGTAATTAAACCAGAGGAAGATCGTGTTGGATGGGGGAGTTGCATGTGTGTGTTTAAAGTTAGGGAACTTCTGTTTACTTTGCAGTGGCCTATCGTGGCATTCAGGGAGAGACTATAACCCAGACCTCCGTTGATTATGGCTTGCACTGGCATTCCGTGGATACTGGTAACTAGCTGATCCCTAGCATGTGCCCCAGGGTCTCTTTACCATCTTCCTTTCCTGGTGAAATATCAGACAGACCAAATATTTACAAAAACATAGAGGGACTCTGTTGCTTGGGTGAGGGTACATGCAAGCAAGGAAACTTTATGGTTCACTTGGTGAAAAGGAAGAGTGGATTTTCCTGCTCTTTGAGAAACTGAGTCTGGGCTTCCTTCCATTCCTTAAGCCCAGGTTAGGCAGAGATGCCTGTTTTCAGAGTGACTGATAACTACGAGCCATGGATACCGTTCTTCTGTCTCCCTGACACCCACTCCAAAAACTGTGTGGAAATTTCTTTCTTTCCTCTTTATCTCTCTGTGTGGGAAGAAAAAATTCCTTTGTTTATGATATACAGGATGAGTAGGAGGCATTTTCTTGATCTTGAATGTGTTTTGTATGCATAAATTGAAAGTTACTTCAGTTATGAAAATGTTTTTTTCCTGCTGTTGGTGCATAATATTGAGTAAGCCTTTTTGGTATTTTAACTGTGAGAACAGCTTAAGTACTACGAATTGAAATGAACCTGCTGAGTATAAGTAGTAACTGACTTTAATGACTTTAACAACAGGTTCATAAAACACATTAAGATATAAGTTTAAATAATGAACTCTCTGAAATCTAAGTACATACAAATTTACATGGTAGATGAGCTGCTTTAAGACTTATTCAGTTGGACACAGTTTTAAACATTGAAAATTGTGAACTAAAAACATCTATATTGAATCAAAAAGACTTCAACCTAATCTTATCCATAAGTAGGCTGAAATAATATTTTATTTGAATGAAAATCCCAAATGCCCAGGGTTTTTTTCATAACACTGAAATGTAATTCATTACTTTATTTCGTAGCTCAGATATTATTGTCCTATACATGATGCAGTTGTTTGTCCTAGAGGCATGCCCTGTCTAATACTTAGCACTGTGGTATATTAAAATAGATTGGGTAAATGAAAATTAACTACTGGTATCAGTTGGCTAGCTAGGGATGTCATTCTGTTTTACATTCCTATTTTTATAGTCATTATATAATTATCAATATTCAGCTAATGATATTGAACTTTCCCTGAGTCTCACACTTTTGTGTTGCAAAAGTGGCTTACTGCAAAGAACCACCCTTCCCCATATGACTTAGATAAGACATGTGGACTTAACGACTTTGTTTATCTGTGATAAGGCCAGACCTGGATCCTCCAAATTCTCATTTTGTCTTAGTCCACTTTATGTTGCTATAAAAAAGTTAATACAGACTGGGTAATTTATAATGAACAGAAATGTATTTGACTCCAAGTTCTGGAAGCCGGGAAGTCCAGGAGCATGGTGCCAACATCTAGCAAGGATCTTCATGCTGTGTCATCCCATGGCAGAAAGTGGAAGGGCAAAAGAGCATAAGAGTGAGCAAAAGAGGAAAAGGACTAAAGTCATCCTTTTTTTTCTTCAAGAATTCACTTCTTCAATGACCTATTCTCTCAATAACAGCATTAATCCGTTTACGAGGGCTAAGCCGTTATGATCTAATCACTTCTTACAGGTCCCACCTCTCAACACTGTTGCATTGAAGATTAAGTTTCCAACACATGAACTTTGGGGGGTCAAAATCAAACCATGGAATGCTCTTTTTCTCACAAATGATTTGCTGAACGGTTTGCCCCACTGACCAATATGGATTAAATACCCATTGACTTGATGTGATAAAATTTTAATCAAGTCTCCCCACTCCCCAGAAGCTCCTGGATCTTGACCCACCCATGAGCTTAAAGAACAAGGAACAACCCTTCCTTGACTTCCCCTCCTGAGAATCAGCTGATTACAAGACAAGATACTTCCTAACCAGCTGTGCCATCACACCATCCATTCTATGTCCCATCACACCATCCATTCTAAGTCCCCACATCTGTCCTCTCTTGCTTGTGAAAGAAAAGCCCTCTTTGCTTGACTTTTGATGCTTCAGGTCATATGGTCAGAGTGTTCTTCCTATTGCAACAGTTCCTTCCCTTATAGCAAAAATCTCCTCTTTTTGAAAAAAGTCTCCCCTTACCTAGGCCTGGATTTATTTTAATTGACATGGTTTAGGGTTTAAAAATAGAATTCAGGTGATGATTATCCAGAGACTCTGACCAACATTTGCTGTAAAATGTAGCATGTCTGCAAGTGATATCCACGTTTGTGTGATATATCTTTTATCAATGTAGAACTTTACACTTCACAAAGCCCTTGTGCCCACATTATCAGATTTTAATCCTTATTATGAACTGGAGTGAACCATGAGGGAGAACTTCCTGATACAAGGAAAGTAGTGCTTGGATGGACTTAGCCAAGGCCACAGTGATGGGGCTGGCCATTTCTTCTTCTCAGGCACACAGCTAGCCTACACCTTTCACCCACTTGCCTTGTGGAAAGATGGATGCAATTTTCCAGTCCAGCACCTACTGACTCCCATGAAATCCTTCACACTTTTTCTCTTTGTTCATAAACTGTCTAGACCCAACCAAGAATCCAGCAGAAAACCCCAAGACTTTCCAGAGCAGTGGCTTCACAAGCTGGAAGGGGTTGAATCTCTCAAATCACTGCTCAGAGGAGGGCCACCTGACTGGCGTGTTAAATTAAATCACTGAGATGTGGGGTTGTTACGGCAGTACACCTATCCTGGCTAATAAAGAGGGGCCATATATAAAGAAATAAAGAAGGGTCAGCAAAACTAATTCTGCCTGGTTTAAGTTGAAAAAAAAGTATGAACGGACATTAGAGGGCTGGAGAACCAGTCTTGAATTTATGCAACCAGGAGTAGGGCCCAAACCCCACTGCAGGATCACTCCCATGTGGTGGGCACCACTATGCCTCTGGGCATGGGTTCTGCATCTTACCCTTTATATACAGAGCCCAGATGGTCCCACGAGGAGCCCTGGCACTGCTGCCTCCCTCAGCAGAATGGAGACTGTGGCAGCTGCCTTTTCCTTCTCTGGCTGCTGAATTGAAAGTCCTTTGTAGCAGCTCTGATTGGTGGAGCCTGATCACATGGCCCCAGCTGCAGAGGGAGGCTGGGAAGGTGAGTTTCTTCCTTGAATCTGGGGAAGCACAGATTCACTAGGTGGAGAATCCCCTGAAGCATAGGAAGGATGTTCAAAGATGCTTAACTGAAAGAAGAACAAATATTCACAACAAAATTCAAGTTTACTCATGGCAATTTCACTCTGAAGTGCTCTGCAAATTGAATGTGGCAACATTGTCAAGGGATACCACCCTCAGCCACTTGAGGAATGGGCACAGGAGCTATTGGTTGAGTGACTACGTGCCAAGCACTTTCCCATTCTGTATCTCATCAACTTCTCATAAACCTGTAAGGAAGATATTATCAGCCTTCATTTTCTCATGAAGAAACAGGGGTTCACAACAATACGTGATTTGCTCAAGGTCAAACGGCTATGACTATTGAACTTTAAAGCGCACTTTCAACCAAGATGACATGAAGTCTTCATGCATCAACATGCTCTCATCAAAGCAAAACCAATGTCACAAAGAGGAATCCAGATTTTTAAAGGATTTATTTTGTGAAATTGTCCTTCAAATTCTGAAGTTAATCTTGTTTCCTCTCTCACCCCTCTCTCGCCCTCCCAGCCCTCCTCTTCAATCCAAATTCCCAGCTGCCTCCCAGTTTAGATAAAGAGAGAGCTTCTGTAAGGAGCAGAGACTTGAATACAATGAGGTTAGATTATTTGGCAGAAATATTTCGTGCTGGTGTTGTATATTCCAAAAGGAAGCCTATAATGTCTGATAGTCTCTTTGTGATGTCAGTAGCCATTAACTGTTGTTGTCTGTGCCCACTATTTTATCAGCTGTTGCAAAATGATAATGATCTGGTTCCATCATTCTTTCTCCATTTATAAACTGGAAGCCTCCTAGAAAGAGAAATTTTCCTCATCGATAGCTTGGTTGTTGTGAGACGCAGTTCATACAGGAAAGGGGAGATAAACACTTATTCTTTCCCTCTACTTACCAGTCACCCCTGAAGTTAGCTGAGTTTTTAAAATCTATGTAATTAAAAACTCGCAGATTTACACATTTTTGATTTGCTTCAATCCACTGCCATTATTATTCATACAGATGCCCCAGTTATATCATCTCTGGCCAATAGGAACCTTTTCAAATGGACTCCTAAACATATTGACACAATCCAGCTTTAAAAAAAACAGCTTCCCTATTTCCTAGTATTAGAAGATGTTTCAGAATCATTTTGTACATTTCTTGCCTAAGATGTGGAATTAGCCATTTCCTCAAAGATCCTTGTTTCTTTTAGTGGAGAATGGTATTTAGAGACCACAGTCTTATTTGTGGGCCCATTCAATGAACTGAACTACAAAATACATAATAACTTCTCTGGACAAATAAAATCCACTACGAATTCTGCTAAAGAAAAAATTCGTTCCTGACACTTGCTAAAGATGGATAAAGACTTTATTCCAGGGGGCCATGGTGACAGGTAGAAGGACCACTGCAACAGTCTTCAGATGGGACTCAACTCTGACTCCAACACGAACAGGTGGGATTTAACCAAGGAGCAGAGCGGGGCTCAGTGGATGGAAAAGAAGAGCAAACATAAAGGAAAAGGGGCTTCTGGTCCAACTGTCTCCATAGGATTCTTCCTGAAGCCAAGCCAGGATGATTAGGTATCGAGGGGGGTCAGATACCAAGGGTGGGGGATTTTTGTACACAGACTCAGCAGGATTTTTGCTCAAACCAGTTTCTACAAGGACAGAGAGGGAAACCCAAGGTCAGGCCTAGTCAGAAAGAACTCAGAGCCTGACTAGAGGCTTGGTCAGAAGAGAGTCTTCGCTAATACCCATACAACTGGTATAATGCAATTCAGAGCAATAAGGTTTTTACTTCAAATCTTCTATCTTACACCAATACCTTCCTTCTTTCACATTAAAAATTCTGCTTCCAGCCAGGTGCGGTGGCTTATGCCTGTAATCCCAGAACTTTGGCAGGCCGAGGCAGGCAAATCACTTGAGGTCAGGAGTTCGAGACCAGTCTGAGCAACATGGTGAAACCCCAACTCCACTAAAAATACAAAAATTAGCCAGGTGTGGTGGTGCATGTCTGTTATCCCAGCTACTTGGGAGGCCGAGGCACAAGAATAGCTTGAACCCGGGAGGCAGAGGTTTCAGTGAGTAGAGATCACACCACTCCACTCTAGCCCGGGCAACAGAGTGAGACTCCATCTCAAAAAAAAAAAAAAAAAAAAAAAATTATGCTTCCCAGCAGCATCACTGTAACTGCTCGTTTCCTTTACCTTGCAGCAACTCACATAACAACCTCAGAATCGTGATAGTAACACTCACTGCTGCCAACAATATGATTACTAAAAATGATTTGATTTTTTTTTCAGTGGTCAGCCTTTTATTTCTTAACCTATGTGAATCTCTTTGTTTCAGATGATCTTCTTAAATACAGCATAATTTTCTTTTTGACTTTGTTAGCCAATCTGAAACTGTTTTCATAGCTAAGTCTCTTTAGTTGCACTGATATGATTGATGTAGTTCACTTCGTATTTTTTATTATGTGGCCTCCTGTTTTATGTATTCTTTCTGATACAGCTTTCATGTTTAGGGAATATATTAGTCCAATCTTGTGTTGCTATAAAGAAATACCTGAGAGTGGGCTATTTAAAAAAAGGAGTTTGAATTGGCTCATGGTTCTGCATGGTGTACAGGAAGCCTGTTGCTGACATCCGCTTGGCTTCTGGGGAAGCCTCAGGAAGCTTACAATCGTGGCAGAAGGTGAAGGAGAAGCAGGTGCATCATGTGGTGAAACAAGGGCAAGAAAGAGAAAGGGGAGGGGGAGGTGCCACACACGTCTAAACGACCAGATCTCACAAGAACTCATTCACCATCATGAGGACAGCACCAAGAGGATGGAGCTAAACCATTCATGAGAAATCTGCTCCCTATCATCCAACCACCTCCCACCAGGCCCCACCTCCAACATCAGGGATTACATTTTAACATGAGATTCAGGCAGGGACAACAGGAGGGTTTGTGTTTTAGTCCAAAATTGACCTTTATGTGACTGCTTTTTTTTTTTTTTTTTTTTGAGATAGAGTCTCGCTTGCTCTGTTGCCCAGGCTGGTGCACTGGCACCATCCTGGCTCACTGCAACCTCTGCCTCTCAGGTTCAAGCAACCCTCCCTGCCTTAGCCTCTGGGGTAGCTGAAATTACAGGTGCCCATCACCACACCCAGCTAATTTTTGTAGTTTTAGTAGAAATGGGGTTTCATCATGTTGGCCAGGCTGGGCTCGAACTCCTGACCTCAGGTGATCTGCCCGCCTCGGCTTCCCAAAGTGCTAGGATTACAGGCGTGAGCCACTGCACCCAACCTATATGACTGCTTTTATGTAACACTCAGTCCCACTTTTTGGATCTTATCAGTTCCCTCCTTTGAGTAATCTGATCATAGCAAGTCATCTTTTCTTTCCCCTCTCTTCCCTGTTCTCTAGCATCTAATTTGAAGTACTATAATATTATTTTACTCACAGTTAATACAAGAAAGCCATGAAGTTAGCTTTTCTTCTTTCCATATACAGGCACTCTCCACCTTCCTTCTCCACAGTTTAATGGTTGGGCTGCAGAGACATTATCAGAGTGTGCAATTATTACTATACCGTCTCCCATATTCTCCCATTTAATATTAGCTTTATAGGCAAGTATGTCTCACCAGTCATTTTGATTGGTCCAAGCATGTTCTCAAGTCAATTCCTTAGGAAAGGATCGGGGGTACAATATTCCCTAAATTCTAATATGTTCATAACAGTTTGTCTGTGGCCTTTATACTTGAAGATCAGTTTGTCTAAATTCACAGTCTTTGGCCCACATTTTCTTTCCTTGGGTGTTTTAAATTTGCTACCCCTAACCTTCTGGCATAAAACATTGACATTCAAAAGTCCAATATTAGTCTTAATGTTATTTCCTTTAAAAGGGACTTGGTTGCCAGCCTCTGGTCAGTGTATAATTTTAGAAATAACACTCTGCCTGGGCAAGCTTGAGAGACTGGGGTTACATCCTTGTTTTTTTGGATTAGAGCTATGTGCGGGGCAAACTAACCCTTTCATGCCTCAGCTGTGAAAAGATACAAATATCAAACAAGATCATTGCAAGGCTTGGGATAGGTAATGTTTCTAAAGAACTCCTGTTTTCTAATGAATCCAGCTACAACAACAGATTGTTTTGCAATAGTATTTATTTTTCTGTAGAGAGAAAACAATTAAGTCTGAAGTTTTAGGAGCCACAGAAAAATAAAAATCAGCATTAGTGACTCACATTTCAATAACTTTATAAAATGATTTTGTGACTAGAAGCAGTTTCAAAAAGCATCTAGTTTAAATTTGAAGAAAAATGGCAAACCTCCCGTTTTTTTATGGTCCTTGTTTTTACTACACTTTTTTTTTGTTGGCATGGCTGTCCTCCACATTCAGAAAAGACATTTCAATTAGCCCAGTCCCTTGAGTTCTTTAAATAAGGCTGATCAAATCATCAATATTTAACCAGCTTTATCAGTTCTTTGAACAGACCCATTAACTAATGAAGATACCGTGTTAGCATAAGGAGTGACTCAACATCCAGAAGCAATTTGTTTGCCAGATTCTATCTCCCTCCGGTGATTTCTTACCGGTTATCTAAATTTCTAATCAAAGCACTCTGCTGGATGTACCCTAAGCATGCATTTCTACAATTCAGAGCAAGAATAATCTCAAAGTGTGTTGCTGGCATGTATGGTTTACCTGGCATAGAAAAGAAAAAACACATCCTAGGATCCGATTAGCAGTCACTAACAGCTCAACATAGCTTCAGATTCTGCACGAAGTAGTCTGATGACCAACGCTGGCTTTTCTGAGGCCAATGCCAGAAAAGGAGAGAAATTGCTTAATCTCCGATGGATGTTGGCAGCCCCTCCCACCACCCCATTTTTCTTTGTTTCTCCAAATAACCTTTTTAAAGTTCTCACTGAGACTAACCTTTCAAACAAGCAGAACACTGACTTGGCACATGGGTTGAAGAAAGATTGTGTCAATTGCCTTTTTTATATACTTATGCCTGCAGTCATTCATAAATAAATTCACATACTTGCCAC
This sequence comes from Homo sapiens, assembly GCF_000001405.40. Lineage (NCBI taxonomy): Eukaryota > Metazoa > Chordata > Mammalia > Primates > Hominidae > Homo > Homo sapiens. The sequence continues at coordinate 45,936,341 of NC_000013.11, read as the reverse complement.
AGCCCATATGTGAGCCTCACATTTGCGGGGATGGTCCTGGTTTCGGTGAAAGAAACTTTTGCACACTTGTTTCTTCAGTTATCCAAAGAGCCACAATGGGCTTTCTGCTCCCTCTTCAAACAGCCATTGCCCTGTGTTTTATACGCACATTTACAGGTTACAGAGACGTCCTGTATGTGTTTTCTTTGCTTGTCAAATGAAGCTTCTGACATTAAGATGCCCCAGCAAGGGATCTCTTTTTCATGAATGGAATGAACCTGTGGACACAACACCCTTCAGCCTCATACTTCCCCCCCAATGAGACTCCAGTTCCTTCACTTCCAGGAAGGCTGAGAAATGTGATTTTGGCATTTTCTCTCACCTCCAGCTTTTGCCTAATCCTTTATGGAATTCTTTATCAATTCTCATGCCAGGGCCTGACTGATACTTTGGGCATTTCTGAATACTGTCAATGTCATCAGAACAAAAACCCTACCCCTGACTGTGGCAGTTGTGGGTTGGTGGGTCTGGGCTGCAGACTCACTTTCCAGGACCGGCCCTTCTCCCAACCCCACTGCCTCCAGACAACATCTCCAGAATTAGGATGCTATGGGCAGAATGTTTGTGTCTCCTCAAAATTCAGATGCTGAAATTCTAATCTCCAATGTGATGCTATTTGGAGATGGGGACTTTGGGAAGTAATTAGGTTGCATTCAAGGGCAGAGCCTCGTGATGGGATTAATGCCCATACCAAATGAGGAGGAGACAGAGGCCTTTCTGTGTGCATGCACCAAAGAAGGCCAGGAAGAGATAATGGCCTCACATGGCCTCACATTACTACCAGAACCCAACCATGCTGGCACCCCGATCTCAGACTTCCAGCTTCCAGAACCATGAGAAGTAAACACTTGCCCAAGCCACCCAGTCTATGGTATTTCCCTGTAGCAGCACGAGCTGACTAAGACACAGGTGAGCTGGCCTTTCATTTTTTATTGTATTTTCACGAAATACATCATGAAAATCTTGTGTGCTTGGACCTCTGTCTTTTTCAAGTAAAAAAATGAGAGAAGAGAATGGGGTGAGCAGGGAGCCTTGGTTGGGAGTTGGGGAACTGGGAAGAGAGGAGGAAGCTGAACAGACTGGATAGGAAATGAAGGTAAAGTAACAAAGAGCCAAAAGTGAAGAGTGCTGGGAAGGAGGAGACACACTACCTGTGGGATGGGGAGAGACGGGAGAGAATGGGGCTTTGGAAAGCAAGGCAAGCTGATGGATTCAAATCAGCAAGGCCATTGAATTCCATTTTAGGGTACAAAAGAAGCAAAAAAAAAATGTCATTTACTATATTAAAACATAATAGAAACTCTGTGCAAGGGATGCTGGAATCCAGACTCCACCTCTAGGTCAGTGTCAGGAGAGGCCCTTCAGCCCAAGCTTCTGCCAAAGTCTCAGCTGAGAGCCTGCTGGTGTGGAATATGCAGTTAAACCAACCTCTTTATATCTGGAGGTGGAGGTAGCAGGTTACCTGTGAAGAATCACCTTAGTTGCTTCCCTTCATAAGCCTAAAGAGTGCAATAGAAGCTTCGAGGTTTTAATTGTTGTTGTTTTGTTTTCTATTGTAGAGATGGCCTTCCTTGGTACGCAGACCTCTGGGTTGGGGTTGATGAGGAACCTGCAGAGGAAAACCCAGGGCCTCCTGGGAGCCCAGGAACAGAATCTCCAGCCTCCTCTTCCTGATACTGGAAGTTGGGAAAACCTTCCGGCATAAAACCAAGCAGTGCAGGCCATGCTCTGTGGCCATCAGCATTGCCCTGCCAAGGGGGTGCCTTGACATTGTGCAACCCTCAAGACACTAGTGAGGACAGGACCAAAGACCCCAGAGACGGAGTGTCCCCCACTCCATCTATACACACCAGCCTCTCTTTGCACCTGCCCTCCTGCACCATTTCCGTGCCAGGACAGAAGGCCCTTCAGCCATCTACATGCAGCCTCCCACCTGTGACTTGAATTCCATCCCTTCGTGGCTTCTCAGGAGTCTGGCACGGTTCAGTTACCCCACCTCCCCTCTCCTCAAACCTTCCACACCTCCTACATCTTACGCTCAGCTGATGAGCTTGTCTCCCATTTTATTGAGAAAAGAGGAGCTCTAGGAAAGCTCTCCCTACCAGCATCTGACACAGGCATCATCTCTGTTTGCCCAGAATTGCATGGTGAGGTCCTTGCCTGCAATTTTCCCAAACAACCCCCACCCGGCTGCCAGAATTGCAAGGTGATGTCCTTGCCTACAGTTTTCCCAAACAATCCCCACCGGACTGCCAGAATAACACTTTCCACACTCGATTCTGATGACACTGTGGCCTGTCTAACACTCCCCAGCAGCTCCCCGCAGCGCTCAGGACTTCACATCATCAGCCCTCAAGTCCTGGCCCTCGTCCTCCTTACACTCCTCAATATGCCTTTCCTCCAGCTCTTCCTCTGCTCATCCCCCACATGCCTCGCTCTGCCTCTCTCACGGCTCTGTATACTTCCCCACACACCACCCTTGGCCTGGCACCGCTTCCCCGACGATGCTTAGTCTTTAAAATGTGGTGTATCCACGAAGCTTTCTATGATCACTTCCCCCGCTCGATTTTTTAGATGCCAATTTCCTTTGCTGTTGGAGCATCTGTGACATTTTCGACGTGTTTAGTTTCAATGTGTGAGGATGAGCAATGCAGCGTGGAGAGCCGGTGCACTGGGTGACGATACACATTCTGATCAGTTCGAAGAGGGATCTTGTAGAGTGGCAGCGCTGCACAGGCTTTCGTGGAAGCAGGAGCTGCTCTGGGTGCATCTGCTAGAGGAAGAGGTGGCAGCTCTGCTTATATGACTTGGAAAGTTCAGGCACAGCTGAAGCCAGCAGCTCGGGCAGTGCCCTCAGAGTTCTCTCTCTCTCTCTCTCTCTCTCTGTCTCTCTGTCTCTCTTTCTCTCTCTCCATCTTCCCACCCCAGCCCTGGCTATCTGTTATCTTGCTTTTCTCTGTCTTCGTTCTGTGAATAGCCTCTTCCCAGTGGCAGGAGGGCTGCCTTCAGAATCCCTGGGCTCATACTGAACTTAGCCTTCCCCAAAGAAAACAAACCTCTCCCCTGAAGTTCACAAATCACATGCAGGGCACAATTGTCATTGAATGGCCAAAAGGAGGAAGAAACTGTCTGATTTAAGTTATTTCCCCAGCATCTCTGATGTCCTACCTGATTCTATTTAGGACTCATCTTTCAAAAAGCATTTCTCGAGTGCTTGTCCCGTGCCAGGCAGCGGCTACAGCCATAGGGAGAGCAAAGGGAAGAAGCTGAGTGATCTCAGGATGGTGTGAGGATGGGACAATTTGCTGTCACAAGCTGGTGTGTGAAAGTGTGAAACTCAGGGAAACCAAGTAGCTATGGCAAAGTACGTTGGGGATCCTGTTTCCCCCAATGCTTCCTTGTCAATGGCAAAAAAAGAGAAGCAGTTATAAAAACAATTTTGTAATGAACACTTCCCCAAATAGGTAAAGAAACAGGGCACAAAGCCAAGAACCAAAGTCACAATGAGTATGGACATTGTCTGGTGCCCAGGGAGGAAAATGCCTCTTAGTAAATGCTCAAAAGGGACATGCAGCTCCATAGAGGGAACTCTGGCTGTCGGAACAGGACCCTAGGCTAAGTTGCTTAATTTTTGTAAGGACCTGAGGGAACTTCTGGGAGAGACTTTTTATTTTGAAATAATTTGAGAAGTTGCAGAAAAGTATAAAGAGTTTCCATGTACCCTTCACCCAGCTCTTTCAAAACCAAGAAATTGACATTGGTACAATACTAATGATTAAACTATAGCTCTTATTCAACTTTTACTGATTTTAATATGTATGTATACATGTGCATATGCATGTGCCTGTGTGCATGTGTGTGGGAATGCATGTATGCATGTGTGTGCATGTGTGTGGGAATGCACGTGTGCATGTGTGTGCATGCGTGTGGGAATGAATGTATGCATGTGTGTGTGTGCATGTGTGTGGGAGTGAACGTGCACGTGTGTGTGTAGAGTACTAATCAGGACACAGAGCAGTGATGAGATATTTTTGAATGGGTTGTCAATCTTAAAACAGATCTCAGCAAACAGAGAGGAAAAAGACTGGGTTCCTATCCGTCTGCCTATCAGCCTCCTGGCCAGTAAGGAATCTGAGGAGACTTAGTATTTGGCAGTGGAGGAAGGCAGATCATTTCCTACAAATCCTGGAGATGCTGGCCTCATGTCCCTGTCTGGGCCAAAGATGGCTGTAAACAGGGGTGCAAACACTAAAAGCAGGACCACAGTTGCAGGGCAAGGGTAGAGGGCATGGGTTCTAACAACTGCTATTACTCTGGCTTCAGTTCCATAGAGGAAAATGACCTCATCCATAATGGAGAAGGCAGGAAAGGTGACCCAAGGTCCATGCAGTCAGGTCATCTTGCCAACAGCACTGGCAGGCTCTCCCCACCCGGGCTGGGGAGCAGCTCTCAGGGCTGACTGGGATTCGGTGGTCTCTCTGATGCAGTGATTGTCCTCCCCAGGAAGCGGGTCAAATTCCAAGGGTAAAAATGACAATGTAAAGTTGAGGTGCTTTCTGGAGCTTTGCCTGAGACTCCATAGGCTCCTGAGGGATTTTTTTTCTTTCTTATAGACGTAAAGTTAAAAGCCCTAGAGGTCCTCCTTTTGTGAAGGAAACTGTTTTCTCCGAAGTACTGACAAAGTGTAATCATGTTTCTTCACAAAAATTGGCTGAAATCTCAACCCCAATCTAGGGCACTTTAGCAAACCATTTAAAGAAAAGAAAGCCCTGGAGGCCTGAAATGAGAAGTGATTTCATTGTGGGAAGGGGTGATCTTGTGGCTGGGGAGCTTGGGGGAACTGAATGATCAAGAACCCATCTCCCTCAGGGCCACCTAGCAGGGGCCGGCATGAAATGTTCCTGAGCCGGCCAGCAGGCTAGGCCCCGTGATGGAGTGCTGGAGTCAGTCTCTGGTCTAATAAGGAGGTTGCTTTGATTCTTCCCCTAAAAGTTTTGGGCTCAAAACATCTTCCATTTCCTGGAGGATGGTTCTGGGAGACCTCTAAAGTCATCATCACCAGCCACTGTAAATTCTATCATCCTCATCAACTATGGCATTGAGAATAGGCGATAAAGGGAGAATGAATGGGTATTTATTAAGTCCCTGCTGTGTACCAAGCTATATCTATCTATCGATAGATAGATATATCTATCGATAGATAGATATAGGCACTATATCTATCATCATACTGTGACCTTCTCATAAAGCTGAATGAGCGACCTTATCCCCATTCCTGACCCAAGCCACCAGAGGCTCAGTGTATGTGCGTGCCCAATGTCTCTCAGCTAGAAAGTAAGAGGAACAGAACTTGAACCTGGTCTTTCTGACTCCAAAGTCTGTGTGTTGTCTCTCTCTGGGTACTAGCTCCCGATAAGCCACTTTAGGTCATCAGATGGCAAAAGGAAGGTGTCAGATGTGGGGAGTGAGTGAGACTCCCTCAGATCACTGCTTTTGATTTTTCTCACACTCACCTATGTTTCCTCCCCAAACCCCTTCTTTTCTCTATGCACTGGACAAGGGCAGGTAGGTGGGTGCTCATCTCCTCTGCTCAGGCTTCAGTTGTAGCCAGAGGAGCCTCTTCTCAGCCTCACCCTGTGTGCCCAAGGGCCCCCTCTCCTTGCTCCTGGTCCTTCTTTCCTCCTCTGAGCTCCCAGATTTCCAGTGACCTTCAGATTTGATAGATGGAATGCCCCCAACGGATGCTCCCATTGACATTGAGCATGCTGCTGTGTGGAGCTCAGCAATAAAAGGGGGGAAATTAACAGGCATTTAAATTCTAAAATTAATGATGAGAGGTCAGAGTCTACAGAACATCTGTTTCCAGCATTTTCAAGGGGGCCTTCAATTTGCAGCCAGCACTCAGCCGTGTGTGGTTATCAGCAGTTAATTGTGACTCGGCACGGCTCTGTGACTAGGAGCAGGGAGCTGGCAGTGTGATGTAGCCCTGCATTCGCTGCTTTGTGGCTGGCTGTGAACGGTGTGTCCGCTGCATCTTGGGATCACAGTCTGTGGGTTGGTTTCCAAGTACCTGTCTAGAAAACCTGAGTCTGTGTTTTCCTAAGTATAAAAGTTCTGGGAAACTGAGTGTTCAAAAAGAAGCCCTGTGCTGAAGAAAGGGACCAGATACTTTCTAGAGTGGCACTATCCAATATGGCGGCCTCCAGCACCTGCGGCTGCTGAGTGTCTGAAACAGGTTCCTCTGAGATGTGCCACACATGTACAGTCACACATATTGAAGCCAGTTGAGATGGCTCGCACCTGTAATTCCAGCACTTTGGGAGGCCAAGGTGGGAGAATTGCTTGAGGCCAGGAGTTTGAGGCCAGCCTGGACAATATAACGACACTCTGTTTCTACAAAAAATAAAAAATTAGCCAGTATAGTGTGGGATGTGCCTGTAGTCCCAGCTACTCAGGAGGCTGAGGTGGGAGGATTTCTTGAGCCCAGGAGGTCGAGGCTGCAGTGAACTATGATGGCACCACTGCACTCCAGCCTGGGCAACAGAGGGAGACCCTGACCCCTCCCCCCACAAAAAATAGACACTGGATTTCAAAGACAGTACAAAAAATGTAAAATATCTTTAATGATGTTTTATATTGATTATGTGTATGAAATGAAAGAATTTTGGATATATGGGGTTACATAAATTATATTATTAAAGTTAATTTCAATGGTTTCATTTATTTTATTTTATTTCTTTTTTAGACACCTTTGCTTCAGAGCTTCCTTAGCTTGGTGTTTCTCTAAGGGGGGCAGTTACCACTCCTAAAAGACCCTCTGGAAAATCTGAGGGACTCTTTGCCACATTGATTGGAGGAGGTGCTACCACATAGAGTGCGTTGGGCATGAAGAACGTGGAAGTCCCACATTGGCCAGAGCGAAGCAGTCCAGCACAACAAAAGAATTATCCCATGACCTGCATCATTTTGAATGTCCCAACAGACATTAGATAGGTGAAAAATTAGTTATAATAATCTGAGTCTCACAGTCCCTGTCTGGGCCCCAGGTGGCTGTAAAACAGGGGTGCAAACTCCATTGGACATATAAACACAAAGCTTTTTGGTTTTTGGTTTTTTTGCACAAGCTAAGATTTCCAGGGATGCAACAACTCTGTAAATCAAAGAAAGATTTATAGTTTGTTTTATTTGGATGATTACCAAGGTTGTTAATCATTATGAAATTCACAGCAATGTTGGCAATGCTGCTCATGGTATTTGAGTTGCCAACATAACACGTGACCATCACATTCACTATAATTCCACTGAGAGGTGCTAACTTCTGTCTACTTCACTACACTAGTGTGGTTATGCTTGAGCGATTGCATATGGAGATGCAGATTATTTTACTGAAACTACTTTCCTTTTGTTTCCCCTTTATATTACAATTGGGATTTTATACTGGTTTTTAAAAATTATGTATATAGGTAGATTATACTACTGAAAAGGAGCCTTAACAAAATATTTTTACATAGCAACATCAACTACAAATACATATATATATATATATATATATATATATATATATATATATATATCTCACAGAGAAGGGCATGTTGTAGTTAATAGAATTACAAACCATCACTTGAACACATTCATACACCTCTTGACTCCAAAGAGTCTATTCTTCGCCTCTTAAACACCTTCTCATTCTTTAGGTTTCGCTGCAGCTGTTCTTCCTCCAAATAGCTCTGTGCTTCCTATGCTCTGTACTTCCACATCACTCCATCCCTTATCATATGGGCAGCAATTGCCTGTGCAACTAACATCTTCTTCCCTTGAAGGAAGGACTCCTTCTTGTGGGCTCTGAGAGAGCAGGAGCTATGTACAACTGCTCATTACTACACACCCAGTGCCCTGCACGTGGCGGAGCACACTAGTCCATGCTCAGCACTTGGTGAGTCAATGAATTACAGAGCGCTGTAAGGGCAGGTGGGACTGTGGGCCAGCAGCTGGGTAGAGGTGGCTGACAGTTTCAAGGGAGATCAGTGCCTTGGGCTTCGGTAAAATGGAGAGCCCAGAGTGGTATGGAATAATGTACTTTGGAGTCAGGCAGATTTAGTGTCGAATTCCAGTTCTACTATTCACTACCTTGGTGATTTTAGGAAAGGTCATTACCATCTCTGAGGGAAGAAGAACAATGGTGCTTCTCTCATCTGGTGGAGGTAGGGGTTACCTGAGAATTGCTTGGCAAGCATTTACCACAGCGTCTGGCAAATCAGAGCTCAAGGAATGTTAGCTGCTTATATCAGTCTGGGTTCTCCAGAGAAACAGAAACAACAGGCGATGGAGCCTTTATACAAAGGGATTTATCGTAAGGCATTGGCTCGCAGGGCTTTGGAGGCTTGCAAGTCCCAGGATCTGCAGTCAGCAAGATGAAGGCCCAGGAGAGCCGGTGGTGTCAGTTTCAGTCCAAGCCCAAAGGCCTGAGAAGCAGGAGAGCCAGTGGTATAAGTCTTAGTCTGAGTTCAAGTCTAAAGGCAGGAGAAGATCGATGTCCCAGCTCAAAGACAGTCAAGCAGAGAGAGCAAATTCTCTTTCTCCACCTTTTGGTCTCTTTAGGCCTTCAACAGATTAGACTAGGCCCATTCCTATCATAAAAGCAATCTGCTTTACTCAGTGGTTACCTGCCATTGAAGATTGTACCTTTATGGTATGGTGATTGGGAATGGGGCTGGGATCTGAGCCCACCTCACCCCACAGCTCCTAATCTTTCCGTGACTTCATGCTGCCTCCTTTGGGGGTCATGAAATTGTCCTGTCATCTTCTGTGGAAATTAGCAGGATTGTCTGGAAAGGGCCTGGGGACTCTTCCCTGGTTGCCTCCCCTGAGCTGGCTGGTACTAGAAGCTCCTCTTTCCACAGCAGGATGGACCGATCCAACTTCCCCCAAGGTCTGCAGATGTGGGCACTGCCTTTCCCAACCATGGCTGTAAACAGCTGGTGCCAAAGCTCAGATAGATCATTTGGTGCCTTCATGTAGACACTTTTTGCCCTGAGCTTCAAGTTCATTCTTATGCTTATTCCATGAACAAGGAAACCACTGGGCAAGAAGATCCCCCTGCTGACCAGCACGTCCAGCTCCCCTGGACCCAACTGCGCCTCTCCCAGGCTCTCAAGAGAGGTGGGTATGCACAAAGACCAAGGCTTCTGCTAACAGGTCCAGTCTGTACCAAGTCTGTATCACTGAGCCTGTTGCGTGGCCTCTTTACCTCATCACCCTCACTTTTAGATGGCACTTTACAGTTTACTTTCATACACATTTCTTGCGTCATCTGCTTGATTTAGCTACCACCAGTGGGCCAATTTCTGCTGGCTGCGTGTTTTTGTTATTGGAACACACCCAACTCTATTCTTTGATGCATTGTCTGTGGTGGCTTTCCCTAATAGGGCATAGTTGAGTAGTTGCTACAAAGACTGTTATGGCCTGCAAAGCTTAGAATATTTACTATCTGGCCCCTTGCAGAAAAAGTCTGCTGGCATCCTCTAAACAACCCCATGAGGCAAATGCAATTGTTTTCATTATTTCCATGTTATAGGTGGAAAATAAATGGATGAAACCAAGCGGCTCAGAGACCCTAAATGTTTTCTTAAGGACGCAGAACTGGTCAGTAGAGCCAAACTGAAAGCCAAATTCTTTTCTGTCCATGGAAGAATTTATATTGAAGAGACAGAAACATAGGGAGGGGCCCCAGAGGGTGGTTCTTTGAGAATGCCTTTTAGAACCAGTAAACTTGTCTTGGAGAAAATAACAGAAGCAAGTCTCTGATTTTCACTTTACTTTACTTATTTATCATTATTATTATTTTTAGAGACAGGCCTCTGCTGCCCAGGTTGGAACGCAGTGGTATAATAATGGTTCATGGCTCACTATAGGCTCCACCTCCCAAGCTCAAAAGATCCCCCATCCTCAGCCTCCTGAGTAGCTGCAATTACAGGTGCACAGGTGCACACCACCACATCTGGCTAATTAACAAAATTTTTTTTGTAGAGATGAGGTCTGGTTATGTTGCCCAGGCTGGTCTCAAACTCCTGGCCTCAAGTGATGCTCTCGTCTCCCAAAGTGCTGGGATTACAGGCATGAGCCACTGTGCCTGGCTGGTTCCTGCTTTTTAAAACATGGTGGATGGCCAGCACTTAGCCCCTGGATGGAGGGAATCAGCCCTGAACACATGGCTGAAGGGTTTTAAATGCTAATCAAAAGGATCTATAATATCCAGAGTTGATATTTTATTTACTTTCTCTCCTCTAATTCCAAAAGCAAACACTCAGACAACCCCTAGGTACGCAAGAAATAAATGTGAAACAGATGCGTAAGGGAGCCGTGAGCTCCCAGGTGAAGCCAAGGAAGCAAACTTCTAAGAGGCAGCAGCTGTTCTCATATAAGATCATCTCCCCTCTCCTGCCCAGCCCCTTACCACACACACAGAATGGGATTAGCAAAGGCACCGTAGGCACGACTGTCATTTCCTCACACTGTCTAGGACCAGATATGCTTCTCATGGGCTGCTCAGGTGTCCATTCATGTTTATAATACAGACACATGGAGGCTTTTGCTTCTCATAAGAACTCTGGCCAGGTGTGGTGGCCCACACCTGTAATCCCAACACTTCGGGAGGCCAAGACAAGAGGATGGCTTGAGCCCAGGAGTTCAAAACCAACCAGGGCAACATAGTGAGACCCCAGCTCTACAAAAAAATAAGAAAATTAGCCAGGCATGGTGGTGCATGCCTGTGGTCCCAGACACTTTGGAGGCTGAGGTGGGAGGATCGCTTGAACACAGGAGGTTGAGGGTAGAGTGAGCCATAACCATGCCACTGCACTCCAGGCTCTAAATAAATAAATACATACATAAATGGAACTCGTCATTTACTAACAATATTTAGTAGCAGCCAGACATCACCTCCTGGTGGCTTTATCTGGGACAGTCTCACTTTTCCTACTTGCCCTGGGGAGTTTAGAATGGTGAAGAGCCAGAGAGCCCACAGGAGACTTTGCTCTATCTTGGAAATCCAGAGCCTGTGGAGCCCTGAGCAGGCAAGTTCAACATTGTATAGACTGAGAGGCCCCTGGGGACAGGGGGTGAGGCAGGGGCCGGGTAGCCCTCAGTCCTGAGGCAAGAATTTGAAGCAGGAGAGGCTTGGAAGAGAAAAAGAAGGCAAGGCTTAGATGAGAAGGTGAGGCCAACAAGGAAGGCAGAAGACTGACAGTGAAAGTCAGCTGTCAGGGTGGTGAGAGGCAGCAGCACTAGCAGCAGAGCCGCAGCATCACACAACTCCAGGGGCCAGGTGCATAGTTGCATCTGTAAATGGCTCCTCCTAGTTGTGCAGTGCACAGCCTGTGCATCCATACATGACAGCTCTGAGAAACACCAATGCTCAAAAACTTTTAGAAATGGATTTTGTAAACATAAGGTTGAATCAAGGGTAATAAGTGTATGTGTATATATATATATATATATATATATATATGCGTGGGCCTTTGTGTCAAGAGGAATGAAAGAAGCAGAATAAACATAAAATAAAATGAGCATCTCCAGGCTTTTTGTGCTGAACTGCATTATTAATGATCAAGGCCTTGCCTGGGAGACAGCAATCTAATAGAGGGTTTAAGAAAATATTTGCGTGAGCAGGTCAAAAGTGTGGAATGAGAAAGAGACCCATTTGAGACCCAGGTTTCTCCCTGGCACCTATGGTTCTTTTCCCCTCTCAACAAGTACCTGGAGACAGGCCTGTATTTTCCCAGCCAGCCTCACTCTTTACCTCCACATCAATATTTTCCATCAAATTGCAACCAATACCCTTAAAAACAAGATGTTATCAGCTGTAGCCGATTTCATTTTTTAAGTTTTTCAACTTAGAAAACAATGGGACACCAGGTTTGCTGGGAGACACAGTGGAGAGAGGTTCTCAAACTTCAGTGTGCTCAGAGTCCCCTGGAGGGTTTGGGGACACATTGATGGCTGGGCCGCACCCCAAAGCTTCAGTTTCTGTAAGTCTGGGGGCGGGGCCCAGGAATTTGCATTTCTAAAAATTTCCTAGGTCATGCTGATACTGTTGGTCCCGGGACCACACTCTGAGAACTACTGAATGATAGAATAGTAAGTTTAACAGCAGAGAATTTGGAGTCAGCCTGCCAGAGTGTAAAGCCTGGTCCCACCTCTGCTATCCCTGTGGCTTGGAGCAAGTTACTCAAACTCCACACCCTTTTCATCATCTATAAAATGGTGATTTTACTGAGACTAAATTAGTTAATGAAACTCACAGAGCACAATCCATAGTATGTAGTAAGTAACACATTCCTTTCTCCCCTCCTCATTGAAAGATGGGGAAGGATGAAGAGGGTGAACAGGGAGCAGCGAAACAAGTGGAGGGGAAAGTGGGCAGACAGGCAGGGCCAGGCGGTGGCCGGGGACCCCTCAGGCTTGTGTCTGCATGGGGGGCTGTGGGCTGCCCTGGCTGTCACCCCACGGCCCACTCGCAAACTGCCCACTGGCAGTTGAGTGTCTGCATTCCCACCGCCTGGGAGAATATGAAGAAAATGGAGGTGGTGGGCAATGGCACGTTTTATCTGCTAGGCGCTGCCACATGTGCTATCTCATTTGGTCCTCTCAACAGTCCTGTGAGTTAGACCTTATGGATGATGAAACCAGAGCTTCTGAAGGTCGAGTGGCTTAGCTTATGGTCAGGAAGCGAAGGTACCTGTGGCTCCAATGCAGCAGCTCCAACCAGGCACCTTACCAGCATGGCTGGCCAGCACCTCAGCTAGATTCCCTTTCCCTTTCATTTTCTTCTAGAGGCTGGTGTTAGACTCAATGGTCAGTGCTATTCCTGGGAAAGGGGCCCGGGCAGAGGATAGCTGAAGGAGTCCCTCTCCATCAGAGACAGTCTTAGGACTTGGCAAGCTAGCTGCTGCTCCAGCATTTCAAAAAAAGGCTAAGAGAACAAGTACAGGGTGGTCTCCTGTCTCTGTGCTTGATCTGCAACTTGCTTTTTTGTTTTTGTTTTTGTTTTTGAGATGAAGTCTCATTCTGTCACCCAGACTGGAGTGCAGTGGTGCGATCTCGGCTCATTGCAACCTCCTCCTCCTGGGTTCAACTGATTCTCAAGTGATTCTCCTGCCTCAGTCTCCCGAGTAGCTGGGATTACAGGTGCGCACTGCCATACCTGGCTAATTTTTGTATTTTTTTTTAGTAGAGACGGGGTTTCTCCATGTTGGCCAGACTGGTCTTGAACTCCTGACCTCAAGTGATCCGCCCATCTTGGCCTCCCAAAGTGCTGGGATTACAGGCATAAGCCACCGCGCCTTGCTGCTTTATTTTTTATTTACTTATTTATTTTTGGTTCAACATTATAATCTGTCAGTATTAACTATAGATCTACATGGATCCAGTTCACACCTTTTCATTTTTTAAATTTTTCTTTCTTTTTGAGACAGTGTCTTGCTTTGTTGACCAAGCTGGAGTGCAGTGGTGTGATCATGACTCACTGCAGCCTCGACCTCCCGGGCTCAAGCCATCCTCCCACCTAACTCCCGAATAACTGGCACCACATGCGTTCACCATCATAACTGGCTAATTTTTTGATTTTTTTGTACAGATGGGATCTCACTATGTTACCCATGCTGGTCTCAAATTCCTGAGCTCAAACCATCTTCCTGCCTTGGCCTCCCAAAGTGTTGAGATTACAGGTGTCAGCCACTATGCCTCGCCATTACCTTTTTAAAATTATTTATTGCTTATTTTTATTTTTAGAGCCAGGGTCTCACTCTGTTGCCTAGACTGGAGTGCAGTGGTGTGTTCATAGCTCACAGAAACCTTGGACTCCTAGGTTTAAGCGATTCTTCCTGCCTCAAACTCATGAGTACCTAGGACTACAGGTACATGCCACCATGCCCGGCTAAGTTTTTAAAAAGAATTTTTGGTAGAGATGGAGTCTCACTATGCTGCCCAGGTTGGTCTCAAACTCCTGGCCCCAAAGGATCCTCCTGCCCCAGCCTCCCAAAGTGTTGGGATTACAGGTGTGACCCACCACACCCAGCTGTGTGCATGGTCCGGAGTGGGAGGTCTCTGCTCACAAAGTGCTGAAGGAACAGATGCAGGGCTAACCTGAGAGCACTTAGTGCACATAGGAGCAAAGGCAGTGGGGCTGAGGCTCACTGTCAGTGTCAGGAAAGATGAAGGGTCGGGGAGGGTGGCAGCTACAGGGTCAGGGAGGCTGAAGTGGCGATTTCAGGTTATCATTGGGCCATGGAAGCCTGCCTAGTGAGTGTAAGGGGCAGGGAGGTGATGGTTCTCATCTTCATTTGTCTCCTCTCTCCCTGTTTTGTCATTGCTTAGACCAGTGACCACCTGACATTTGACCCTTCCTCCCGTGAACTAGCCTGAGGGCAGCCCTGGTGCACAACAGGCTGGAGGTCAGACAGGCTGGGCTGCCCTGTTCCCGGGCACACTCTCCTACCACCTCTTTTGCTTGGTACCCTTAGAGGGGATAAACGTTCAGAATATCAGAGAAAGCCCTTTGAAATTTTCTGTGTTCCTGGATACCTGCCATCCGGTATGTTCTAATTATCTCTCTTTCTGTTCAGGGAAAGGTGTTGTTTACTTGCCAATCTGATTTCAAACCAAGTAACATCATCAGAGGGATTTGAAATGCCCACAGCCACAAAAGCTGTCACAGTGAATTTCTTTCTGAACCAGTCAACCCAGAGTGTGACTCCAAGGAAAGGTGGAAATTGCAGCTGGGTGACAGCTAAATACAACACAAATGTGTCACAGACCTCATAAGCTCAGGGAGAGTGACAGAAACAGGCTGAAAATTAATATGTCATACACACATCCTGGCTTGTCTGTTTGTCTGATTTAACCACATTTATGCTTTTATCAGCACTAGATAATCTCCAGCCACTAAATGGTCTTTTTGGGATTTTGAATGTCTTTAAAATGAACATTTCTGCAGTTTCCCTTACAGATAAGAAGAGCTGGAAAATGCTTTGGGATGTGATTTGAAAGATGCTGAAATACACCCCTATCCCAATCTTATTCCTTGCCACCATGCCTAACATTCCCCCAGTCAAAGGCACTTATTTGGAAAGCAACATTTGAGTTCAGAGGGCATCTGCTAATATCAGATACATTACCCCAAAGAGGCGGCAGGTTGAACAGTTAGCAAACAACTCTCCCTCCATCTATCTTTCCCATTCTTCCTCCTTCAATATTATAAGTGACCACCATGTACTACCTCAGACTTCTTTTTTTTTTCTGAGACGGAGTCTCGCTCTGTTGCCCAGGCTGGAGTGCAGTGGCGCAATCTCGGCTCACTGCAAGCTCCGCCTCCCGGGTTCACACCATTCTCCTGCCTCAGCCTCCCTAGTAGCTGGGACTACAGGCACCCACCACCATGCCTGGCTAATTTTCTGTATTTTTAGTACAGACAGGATTTCATTGTGTTAGCCACGATGGTCTCGATCTCCTGACCTCGTGATCCACCCGCCTCGGCCTCCCAAAGTGCTGGGTTTACAGGCGTGAGCCACCGTGCCCGGCCTACCTCAGACTTCTTAACCAGGGGCTCCAGACTGGGGCTGCAGTGCTTCCATGATGTGGCCTGTCATTTAGTGTGTGTGTTATATGCATATATGCCTCTAGAGGGGCATCCCTAATTTTCACTGTATTTTCAAGGGGGTCCATGAGTTCCCACTGTGTAAGTTTCATTAAATTAGCTGTACTAATGTTGTCAATTTAGAAGGTTGGCCCAGGACCCTAAAAAAGAGGGAGTTTGGAGGGCTTCATGGCAGACCTTGATCACATTTGAGCCACTTTTTGATCGTGCCCAAAGATCCCCTCTTACTTCCACATCTGCCCTCCTTTTCATCCTCCCTCCAACACTACGTATACACTCTCTGCAGAATAATAATGCAGAATAAGCAGCTCTAATCTGAATATCTGAAACCCTAAATCCTTCAAAATCTGAAACTTTTTGAACACCAACACGATGCCACAAGTGGGAAAGTCCACACCTGACCTCATGTGACAGGTCACAGTCAAAACACAGGCGCACAACACACAGTTTATTCAGCATCCCCAAGGGGAAAAAGACACCCCAGCTCCTTTTAGTCTGGATGTATCTTTTCCACGCATGCTCAGATTCCCCATGCAAGCACACCCACAAAGTGTCATAAAATGGCATGTGTGCAGGCCAGATGCAACGATAGCATGCAGCCCATGATGCCCTACATGGGACAAAGATCTATGTGCATTACGCACTGTGCTGTTTTGCTTATTCTCTGCTCTGTGGTATAAGGATATTGTTGAAAATGTTAAAAAGGCCTGCATATATCCCTATGGGGAATGCAGATAAGAAAAAAAAGGATGCATCTATGTTTATCTATAGCACAGAAAGTCAAGCTGTTGGAGAAATTGGACAGCAGTGTAAGCGTAAAACATCTTACAGAAGATTATGGCGTTGGAATGACCACCATGAAACAGAAGGATAAACGAAGTTCTATGCTGAAAGTGATGAACAGACGTTAATTAAAACAGAGAAATAATGCATAAAGCTGAAAATGGAGATCTTGATCATGTATTAAAGGAACGCATTCATCAGTGTTGCAGTGAACACGTGTAACATGATGGTATGCCGATCGTGAAACAAGCAAAGATCTATCACAATAAACTAAAGGTTGAAGGGAACTGTGAGTATTTAACAGGCTGGTTGCAGAAATTTGAGAAAAGATACAGCATTAAGTTTTTAAGGACTCATGGTGCTAAAGCATCTACTGATCACAAAGCAGCGGAGAAACTCATTGACAAGGCTGCCAAGGTCATTGCTGATGAAAACTTGACGCCAGAACAACTCTCCAATGCTGATGAAATATCACTGTTTGGGCATTACAGCCCCCAAAAGACACTGACTACAGCTGATGAGACAGTCCCTATAGGAATTCAGATGCCAAGGACAGAATAACTGAGCTGGGATGTGCTAATGCAGCAGGCACACATTAAGTGTCATCTTGCTGTGGTAGGCAAGCTTGCATCCTCACTGTTTTCATGGACTCAATTTCTTGCCAGTCTAATATAATGCTAATAAAAAAGACCTGCATCACCAGGGACATCTTTTCTGGTTAATTTCACAAACATTTTGTACCAGTGGCTCATGCTCAACTACGGGGAACCTAGATTAGATGACAATGGCAAGATTTTGTTATTCCTTGGCAACTGTTCTGCTCATCCTCCAGCTGAAAATTCTCATCAAAAATAATGTTGATGCCATGTACTTTCCACTAAATGTGACTTCATTAATTCAGCCATGTGACCAGTGTAACCTTAGATCTATGAAGAGTAAACATAAGAACCCTTTCTTGAACAGCATGCTAGCAGCAGTGAACAGAGGTATGGGTGTGGAAGCTTTTTCAAAAAGAGTTTAGCATGAAAGATGCCTATATCCTGTTACCAGTGCTTGGAACACAGTGACTCAAGACACAGTGGTGCGTACCTGAGTCACAGTCTCAGACCTGCGACTGTGTTCAGTGATGGTGATGAATAAGATGGTGACTTTGAAGGATTCCATATGTCATGTGAGAGAAAAATGATGTCTGCCTTCCTTATGCATGCGAAAAAGTTTCCTTTAGAATCCATCAGTAAGCTGGAGGAAGTGAATATTGAAGAAGTTTTTAACCTCTATCATCGGGGTCCAGTTGTTCATTCATTCACCATTGGTGAAATAGCCTAAATGGTTCTGAATCAAGGAGATCATGACAATAGTGATGATGAAGATGAAGTTGTTAGTACTACACAAAAAGTGCCGACCGACAGCAGGGTGAAAATGTGCAATGAGCTTATTGCAGGACTAGAGCAGCATGCATTTATAACAGAACAGAAAATCGTGTCAGTTTATAAAATCAAAGAGACACTTTTAAGACAAAAATTATTGTTAATGAGGCCGATGACTCTGGAGGTGACATTTAAAGAAGCCATCCAGCAGAATGCCTTGTCAACCCTAGAGGACCCACTTTCTGGTCCCTCAACTGCTTCTGATGTTTCTTCTCACCTGAAAAAAAAAATAGAGTTTGCAGTTGCCTTTTAATCAAAATACAGCATCATAGGTGGAGACCAAAAGCCTGCTACTTGCTGTTGCTGTTGTGTAACAGTTGATACAGGTGTTCTGGTAATGCTACTGTGTGGCTGAGTTACCCTGAACGCATTATGCGTTCACTGTGTTAATGGTGTGTCATTCTTTTCACTGTTAAGTACCTATGTGTGAATAAGTGTAAGAAAATGATTGCTTATTGGTAACATAAATTCAGAGTCAGGAATGATGGTGATGCCAAACAACCAGATTGTCCACATGGGTGACTGAGATAGTGACACCTTTGCTTTCTGATGGCTCAATGTATACAAACTGTTTCGAGCACAAAATTATTTTAAATATTGTGTAAAATTACCTCTAGGCTACATGTATGAGGTGCATATGAAATATAAATGAATTTCATGTTTATTTATTTTTTGTTTTAGACGGAGTCTTGCCCTGTTGCCCAGGCTGGAGTACAGTGGTGCAATCTCAGCTCACTGCAGCCTCCGTCTCCCAGGTTCAAGAGATTCTTCTGCCTCAGCCTCCCGAGTAGCTGGGATTATTACAGGCGTGCACCACCACACCCAGCTAATTTTTGTATTTTTTGGTAGAGAAGGGGTTTCACCATGTTGGCCAAGCTGGTCTCAAACTCCTGACCTCAAGTGATCTGCCCACCTTGGCCTTCCAAAGTGCTGGCGTTACAGGCTTGAGCCACAACGGCTGGCCAAATTTCATGTTTAGACTTGGGTCCCATCCCCAAGATATCTCATCATGTATTTGTAAATATTGCAAAATCTTTAAAAACCTGAAATCCAAAACACTTCTGGTTCCAAGCTTTTCAGATAAGGGAATACTCAATTTGTATATAATTTATTAAGCACATACAACATGGCAGGCACTAGGCTTAGCACTACACACATTATCTTACTTAATCCATATAACCACCTCTTAAGATCAATGCTATTATTGCCCCATTCTACAGATGGTGAAACTGAGGCTTACAGCAGTTGATTAACTTGCCAAGGTCACCCATATAATAAAAAGCAAAATGAGGCTTCCAGCTCAGGTAGCCTTACTCCAGAGTCCACACATTTAACCACTATGTCACTAGTTCACAAACTTGAGTGATATTGAAACCACCTGGAAGGCTTGTGAAAACTCAGATTTCTGGGCTTCTAGAGTTTCTGATTAAATAGGTCTGGAGGGTGGGGCCTAAGAACTGGCATTTCTAACAAGTTCAGCTGCTGCTGCTGCTGCTGGCCTGGGGAGCCCTGTGCCCTGTGGTGAAGCTAATCAGCCCCTCCCTTGCACAGGCTCCTTCCATAGTATCAGAGGCAAGCTAAAAATGTGTACATTTGATCAGATATTTTTGTAAAATTAAAAAATATAGACAGAGCATGGTAACCCAGTGCTTTGGGAGGCCGAGCAGAGTGGATTGTTTGAGGCCAAGAGTTCAAGATCAGCCTGGGCAACATAGCGAGGCCTTGTCTCTACAAAAACAAAAAATTAGCTAGGTGTGGTGATGCGAACCTCTAGTCCTAGCTACTGGGGAGGCTGAGGCAGGAGGATCACTTGAGCCCAGGAGTTTGAGGTTACGGTGAGCTATGGTGGTGCCACTGCCCTCCAGCCTGGGCTACAGAGCAAGATAATATATATATCATATATATCATATATATTATATATATAATATATAATATATATAAATATAAATATAAATAAATATATAAAAGACACTTGTGTGTTATTTTCTTAAAGCAGATCCTTCAAATTGTTTAAGCTTTGAGTCTCCCAAAGCCTGATCTGCCCAGACCCTGGTGTCTTCCTTCAGTTACGGTTCTCTTGTTTTTATCTCAGAGCCAGCTCACATTACAAAATCCAGGCCCATGAGCAATAGCTACCTTCCACCCCAGCAGGCTAGGATTTCATGAGGTTCTTAAGTCTGGATATATCTACTGACACAATCTGTCTGCAGGTTTCAGATAAATATGGGACTAAAGTAGCTTAATGTATTAAAGGGATCACCGCAGCCGTCAGGATATCCTAGCCCGAACCTGATTTGAGATCTCAAGTGGTGTCACCAATGCCCTTTGTAGGAAGGATAGGGAGACAGAGAGGCTCCTTCTTATGCCTGGACCTGGGAGGCCAGCCTCAGGCTAGTCTTGGTGGCAGCGAGGAAACCCCTTTCTTTATATTCTAGGAAGAGAACTTGCAGCCACTTGGCAATGGAGGGAGTGGATGCTCTTCAGGATGGGTGGTTTCAAATCTTCCACCTGGCAAGGGCCCAACACCATCACAAAGGACTGTGAGCATGGTGTTTGGGGAACAGGAAGAAGAGGAAGGAGAGAAACAAACATCTGACCTTTCTACAGTGACTTGGAGGCTGAAGATACCCCCACCCCATTCCTACCACACCGCAAGCACAAAGCCACAGTACCCTGGCGTCAAATATTGTTGAAAAGATTTTCTTGTCTCCTGTCCAACATATAATTGAAATACCACTGGAGCCATTAATGGAATTAAAAGGGGCAGAAACAGAAATTAATTTTAAAAACAGATGTAATCCAACATATTAAAAATATTATCACATCAGCATATAATCCATATAAAAATGATTAAGATATTTTACAGTTTTTTCATAGTAAGTATTTGAAATCCAGTGTGTCTTTACATTACAGCATATCTTGGTCTGCACACTAAATTTTCTTTCCTGTCTTTATTTCATAAGCTAGACTTTATTAAAATTAGAATTATCTGCTCTGTGAGGGGGTCAAGGCGGCAGAGGGCTGGGGTGTCAGTGCTGCCCCGAGTGTGTACACACCCAGATGGGCTCCAACAGCACCTGGGCTTGGCCTTAACCTCGCTCCAAGATCAGAGTGGGTACAGGGAGCAGGGAGAGGCCAGGCAGTGGGAGCAGACATTTCTGAGCCTACAGCTGTACCCGGGAGAGCAGGGCTCCTGCCTGCTTCCAGCCCCCAAGAGCACAGGGAGGCCTGGGTCTGCAGCACCAACTTGGGCGGCTGCAGCTGTGCCCGAGAAGTTGGGGCTCCTGCCTGCTTCTGGCCCCCACAGGCTCCGTGAAGTGACAGCCCCAGCAGCACCTCCCCCACTGCAGCCGGCATCATGGTAGTGGCCATCCCAGACAGGCCGCCGCTGCCATCAATACCTGATTTGAATTTATAAAGTACTTATTTTGCCTCTTCTGTTTCGTATATAATAAGCTATACATGATATGATGCTATACATGTTTGTTTTATGTACTATATATTTCACATACAAAAATTTAACCTCCCATTTCAGTTAGAAAAAAAAAAAGCTACACATTTGAGGGCACTTGCATATCTTTTTATAAACCCTCTACAACTACCAGTGAAACTTAAATAGAGGATATACTCAGTATAGTTTTGCTTAAAAAAAGAAAAAAAATTTCCTATCAAAAATGCCCGTTAGGATGGCCTTACAGACAACAATTTAAAAAGCAGGTAGTAAATAAGAATTAGACATAGAGGCAATTGCTAAATTTGGATCCCAATTGCCTAGAAATGAAAGGAATAAGAACAGTTTTAGAGGAGAGATGGAGTGAAATTTTGCCATGGTTATTACATAGGTGCATGCCCTTTCTTCATTCATTGTCAGATTTAGTCGTGAGCACCACAGTCTAGATTTTAAAACCAGTTAGATTAAATTATGTCCTCTTACAATGACTATAATAAAAATGTATTTAAATATATGTATCATCTATGTAATATATATTAAGTAGGCATTCAAATATTACTTATATTTTTCTTCCTACCTTTTCTACAGCCATCTCCTCACACTATCATTGCTAGTACTTCCTATTTACATTCAAAATACAAGTCAATTAAGTCAGGGAATGTGACTTAAAATCAAATAGGTAAATTTGGTTTTTAACTCCTTTTTCATTTTAATAGAATGATGATGGTGATACCAATATCTTCTTATAATTTGCTCATGTATTTCTCTCATATATAAATTTGTATTGTGTTATTTTACCCTGAGATGATGATATTGCTCTTCCAAATGAATGTGTGATATCTCTAGAAACAGCTGAAGTTTAGTGGAAGCAGCACTAGACTAGAGGTTATAACCTGTCTTCTAATTTCAGTTCTACCACATATTCTATACGTGATTTGGGTTTCTTCATCTGTAAAACTGGAATATTAATGCCTACCTCACAAAACTGTTATAAATACTAGTGAATATATAAAGACATTTAATAAAAATAAAAAATTTAATTAATACAAAAAAAAAGAATTATCTGCTCTGTGAAATACAATGTTAAAATAATGAAAAGAGGCCGGGTGTAGTGGCGCATGCCTGTAATCCCAGCACTTTGGAGGCCAAGGTGGGAGGATCACCTGGAGGGCCAGGTGTTCGAGACGAGCCTGGGCAACATAGTGAAACCCTGTCTCTATTAAAAATTCAAAAGTTAGCCAGGCATGCTGGCGCATGCCAGTAATCCCAGCTACTCAGGAGGCTGAGGCACGAGAATCACTCCAAGGAGGTGGAGGTTGCAGTGAGCCGAGATCACACCACTGCACTCCAGCTTGGGTGACAGAGCAGACTCTGTCTCAAAAGTAAAATAAAATAAAATAATGAAAAGATAAACTACAGACTGGAAGAAAATATTTTCCAAACACCTCATTGATAAACTACTTGTGACCAAATATGCAGAGAACTGTTACAATCTATAGTAAGAAACTAAACAACCCAATTAAGAAATGGACAAAATATTTTAATAGACATCAAAGAAGTTACATGGATGGCAAATAAATATATTAAAGATGCTCATTGTTATTTTTCTTATTTTATTCATTAGAATTATCATTAGTATTCTAAATTTATATTTTTAATTTTAGTATTTTTAATATACTCATGTGCGGGTTTGTTATATGGGTATATTACATGATGCTGAGGTTTGGGCTTCTAATGATTCCATAGCCCAAATAGTGAACACAGTGCCCCACAGGTAGTTTTTCAACCCTTCCCTGCCTCTGGTCCCACCTCTTGGAATCTCCAGTGTTTATTGTTCCCATCTTTGTGTCTGTGTATACCCAATGCTTAAGGTCCAACTTATAAGTGAAAACATGTGGTATTTGGTTTTCTGTTCCTGCCTTAGTTTGCTTAGCATAATAGCCTCCAGCTGCATCCATGTTGCTGCAGGGGATATAATTTTGTTCTTTTTTATGGCTGCATCATATTCCATGGTGTATATGTACCACATTTTCTCTATACAATCCACTGTTGTTGGGTATCTGGGTTGATTTCATGTCTTTGCTACTATAGATAGTGCTGCAATAAACATACTAGCGCAGGTCAACACTAAATTCAACAGATAAAGTGAAATTGTGGCCCTAACAAAATAATAAAGTGTGTTTAATGGAAAAATATGTTCTACTGCCTCTATTTTTAAATTTATGTTAAATTAAATTGTATTAAAACGTCAGATCCTCAGTTGAACCAGCTATATTTCACGTGATCTATACACGTGGCTAGTACTGGAAGCACAGCTTGAAGATGGTGCAAACTGGGCCTCTGGGGATAGCAGTTGGTAGAGTGAATGAGAATGTCTATGTCTCTGGAATAATGGTGATGATAGCAGTAGTAACTGTCTGGAGACCTCACAGAAAAGATGGAGGGCTTTGGAATTTGGAGAAAGCAAAAAAAGAAAATCCAGCTGGTTAGGATTCCTATTACAGAACCTCATATCCCTGGAATAACTCCTTTTCAGCAGTTATTACCATGCTCATTAATATATTGTTTGTGTGATGAGTTGCTTAGAGTCTGATTCATTTGCCAAGCCGTAAGCTCCATAAGGGTAGGAAATGCGCCTCTCTTATTCACCATAGTATCTACGGAGCCCAGCACCGTGCCTGCTACCAGAGCTCTTGGTACTGTTGAAAGAATAAATTCAAAAGCTACACTAAATCCTCTGAAGACAAGGTGGGGCAGAGTTTATGTGACTCTGGCCAGCATAAGCCAATCAGCCCAAACAGAGGGTTGACGTCTGAGCCAGACTGGCAAAGGCAGACTACGGTTTAGCTAAAAACACAGAACTACCAAACTGAGTAGAGTGTCTCCATTTTACAAGTGAAATAATTTGAGGTATCAGTAAGCCACGGTAACTTTTTAAGTCCTGATGGCCTACAGAACCCTAGAGGGTTTCCAGCACCCCTAACCTTGAGGCCACTCTCTTTCCCACACAGGCCCTGTCTTCTTCTGGGTTCCTCTTCTTTTATTTCCTCCAGTTACAAGGAAATCATGGCCAAGCAGGTCAGACTCTTAGTGAGTGATGGGGAACCACCACTCGTCAGTGTGGAGTCGTGTTAGTCTGGACTCTTCAGGGAAAATGATGGAAACTGAACTTCCCAAAGCTTAAAGGGGAACTCATCATAAAAGTACTGGAGTACAGGACCCTGGACGGGATAAAACTAGGGCAGCTGAGCCAGAAGCAGGTCACCAGCTGCCTTCTCCTGCTTTCTCTCCCACTCCTGTCTTCCCGTCTCTGTCTCTCTCCTTCTCTCACCCTCTCTCTCTGTCTCTCCCTCTCTCTGTCTCTCCCTTTTTCTGCAGACTGGCCTCCTTCCGACTTCAGCCTGGTGTGGGTAATACCCAGCCACCAGCAACCAAGCATGAGAGCCTCAGTTTCAGCCATGAGAAAGAGGCAGACAACTCTCTTGGATTCAAATTTCAGAATCCCACTGAGGGGCTCCTTTGACCCTGCCTGCCCAGGCGCCCTGCCCTGGATGAATTGATGGTGGCTAGGCCTGGGAAGTCCCAGCACTGTGACGCTAAGGACATTGAGGAGACTTTTCTTGTTGACCTAGATTTGTGAGTGCAGTTCCACTAAAGAATATGAGGTGTTAGTCCACCCACATTGTAAACACAGCCACCCTGAGAGTGCACTCAAGAGACTGCTCAAGTGGCCCTACAGCCCCCAGTCACCATGCCTGGTGGGATCCTCAGCCCATTCAAGGAGATGACTGGAGTGAGGGGAGGGACAGTCCCTGGGTGGTAGAGCTCCTGTGGAGTGAGACGAGTCAAGGGTGGGAAAGAGAGGCTTTCCTTCCCTCTGGCCAAGGAGAAGGAAGGCCCCAGAAAAACCCTCTAGCATGGCGGGCTGGGAAGGAGGGGGCCTGGATTCAGGGCCAGCTTCACAGGCAGGTGAGCTATGCACTCGCACAGAATGGCCCCACACTTGGTTTACTTCTCCTCTGTCACCATCTTGACGTTTTTAATATCTGTTAAACAATTCTGGGCTGGGCCCTGCAAACGGAGTGGCCAGTCCTGCTGGCAGTCCTTTCTCTCTTCAGATGCTGCTCAGAGCGCGGACATTCTATCCTGTGCCCGCATCAACAGGAGAAAGATGTCAGGGCAAAACAAGGGAGGCGCTGGGGCACACAGTCCTCCCACTCAGTTTGAAGTGGTAAGGACATGTGGGATTCCCCTGGTCCAGAAGACCCCGTGAAGGAAAACTGGCAGCAAAATCATCTTGTTCATACCTTGACCAAAGAAACCTGTCCTTGTGTCAAGGGACCCTGGCAGCAAGAGACTTGGGGCCTGTTCTGACGGTGGAGGCTGAAGTGGAAAAGGGCACCGCGTGGGGCTTAGCAAGCTCTTCCACACCTGGGAACTGAGACATAGAAAGGGCCTGCAGGGCTCTTCGAGGACTCAAAGTCTCTGGTGCTTCCTGAGGGCCGCCATAGGAGCTGACACACTGAGGGCATCCAAGGAAGTGGGTGTGAGGCCTGCCAAGAAGGGAACTGCAGCTGAGGCCCAGCAGAGAGGAGCTTGGCCCCACCTCTCCTCTCCCCAGTCATTTCTTCCAGCTCCCAAGGAAAGAGATGAAGGAGACATCCTCAGGCAGGCCCTGCCACCATTCCCATGGTGGGTCCTGGCACTTTTGGGAAAGGACAAGATGAGCTACGAAATGTCTCTGGCACGGGAAGCTTCAAACTGGGATGGAATGAGCTTGATAATCAGAAAGTGACCTGAAAGTCATGGGACCTGGCCTAGATGTTGTGAAGGGATCCTTTATGCAGCAGGGGTACCAGGCTCATCCCCGTAGCCTGGCTGGGGGTAGTGAGTGGAGGAAAACACTGGCTTTATGTATACAGATGGCACCACAGCACTCACGAGGAAGGGGCCCTGGTAGACCATGCGGAATGTGCCCACCCCAGAGGATCCGTCTCCAGGAGGGGTGGGGCCCCATGCCCCAGACTTGAGCTCACAGCCGCTCGGGGGCCCTGCTGCCCAGGGTCCTACAACCACATGGGAACGGGTGTTGCCTGAGACGGCTGCATTGTGCCTCCCTGTTGCAGACAGGCTGGGGCTCTGCTTTCAGGACAAGCCCACTGAACACATTGGCAGATGCCTGGAAGAGTGCCCAGGCATTTTTTCTGCATTGGTTAAGAGCCATGGCTCTCCAATGTTAGGGCCAACACCAGAACCTTCTGCTGGAAAACTTGCTAAAACACACATTATTGGGCTCCTGACCTGGGGTTTTGGATCAGAAGGTCTGGGGCGGGGCCTGAGAATTGGCATTTTTAACACATTCCCAGAGGACCACACCTACCTCACATCGATCTGCACATCTACCTTACCTTGGAGATCCACTTCTGCAGCCAGGGATCCTGCCACCCTCACCATACTTTCTAGGCTCAGTGGCCTGGCTGACCTCCTCTCCCTGAGAGCCACACCAGCCCCTAGAAGTGACAGCAGGGGCAAGTGGTTCTTTTCCCAGCCTGTGTGGCTGGTATACTGGAGCAGCAGGGACTCGGCACAGGTTTTATCTCCCACCCAGCTCTGCCCAACTCAGAGGTTCCAGCCCTTTCCTCCTCTGACAGTGTCTGCTAGGTCTGCCCTGGAGGTGACAGTGAGGCATGTGGAATTAGAGGGCTGGCAGGTGCCTCAGAAACCTGGCGTGATCCTTGGTCTCCACATACCACTCAATCTATTTTAAACCTCTAACATCTTAGTTAACATCTAAGAGTGAGCTTGTCACTGCTTCTGTTTGATCTATCTTCCACTGGCTTTTTTTTTTTTCCAATGATAAAATACATATAACACAAAACTCGTCCTTTCACCCATTCCAATGATTTTTTAAGTGCAAAACTCAGTGGTATTCAGCATATTCACATTGCTGTGCAACCATCACCACCATCCATCTCCAAAACTTCTATGCCCCAGATAGAAACTCAGTACCCATTGAACAATAATGCTCCATCCTCCCCACCCCCAGACTTAATTTCATTTAGCATGTCTTCAAGGTCCTTGCATATTGTAGCACGTGTCATAGTTTCATTCATTCGAAGGGTGATTAATATTCTATTGTAGACAGGCACACCACATTTCATTCATAGACTGACCAGCTGGTGGACACTTCCATTGTTTCCATCTGTGTGCTGTTGTGAAAAATGCTGATATGAACCTTGAGGTGCAAGGCATAGTCCCTGCTTTCAGTTCTCTTGGGCATATACCCAGAAGCGGAATTGCCAGAGCATAGGGTAATTCTATGGTTATTTTTTTTCTTTTTTTGAGGAGTTGGCATATTGTTTCCCACAGACATTGAATCTGATCACTCACCTAGGAATTGTTCACCAGAAACAAGGATCTCCTGAAAACCTCACCAGTATCTTCCAGGAAGGACTTGAGGTAGGCCTTTGCCAAGGGACTTACGGCTCAAAGTCAGTGTCGGAAGAGGCTTAACTAACCTCCTCACCTCTATAGGTGGAAAGCTAGCACTGCAGGGGACCCTGTGAGGACCTGGCACCCAATGCCCTCACTTTACAGAATGAGAAGATGGGAGCTCAGAGAGGTGAAGATGCTACACAACTCTGGATGGCTTCTTATCTGCCCAGGCCTCAATCCAAATGTCACCTCCTCAGAGACCCTGGCTATCCCGTCTAATGTAGTCCTCCCACCCTTAGTCACTCGCTAGCCTTGTTTTGTTTTCTGTGCGTTACAGTCTAAAATTATCTTACTATTTACCTCTTGTTTTTTCTCTGTATCCGCACATAGATGTAAGTTAGGGGAACTGGTACCTTATCTGCCTTACTAGGGCTCACCCCCAGCCTCTGGAACTGTGCCTGGCAGGCTGTAAGCACTAGGGTAGTTTTACATAAATGAATGAAATATGAATGCCTCACTAAAATGTATACACAGCTCTAATGTTTGCGAGAGAGATACACTGAGACCTTCCCAATTCTCCCAAGCATAAAATCTTCTCCCTAAAAATGAACAGCCAGTTTTTTAAAGACAGACAAAGCCACTCTGAGATGCTCGTTAAATGACTGACGGCAGCTCCTCCGTCCTTGCAATGAGTCTAAAGCTCAATGTTAACTCCGCGAATTCCAGACCTCTGCTGTCTCTGCAGGCTGGGCTGGATACGGAAGGGTTAACGTTCCCCCAGGGAGCTGAGGTCTTTGATTATGATCACACCGATAATTTTCTTTCCATTAAGATGTTGAAGCCTTTTGGCTGTTCTAAGGATGACAGAAATGGTTTTCTAAGTAATGGTTTCTTCTGGCATAAAAATGCTGTAGGTAATGGGAAGGAAGGGAGGAGAGAAAAGGACGTGGCCTCTCACCCCATCTCTGCATTCAATCGATGGTGCTGTTTCTGCTCCTGATGTTTTAATAGGACTCATCATGGATCGTGGCAGAATTGCCAGGAATGGCAGATGTGCTTTTACTATTTTTATTTCTGATTGAACACTGAACAGAGCACGGTGAGACTTTGTCCTGAGCCTGAACTAGAGCTAACTGGGGGGCGGGGAGGTGAGACCACCACAAGCCACACAACTTGCCCGGGACCTGGGGATTTCTGCTTGTGGCTTACTGCTCCCCTCTGCCTCCCCTTCCCATCCTCACAGGCCTCTGTCCTGGCCTCTCTCTTAGTTGCTGTGGCTCTGCCGAGGCTGAGCCTCCTGTCCCTGGCCAGGCTAAGCTGTCCATGTTCCCTGCAGTGGCGGTGGGATTGGAAGGGAAGAAGCAGAGCAAGCGACCCAGCCCAGAGGGAGTCATCCAGGGTGTGGCCTCTCGGTGGTCCTGCCCGGGTGACTGCCGGGATGGGGACAGCCCTGGGGCACCAGGGAGGAATGTCACATCTCCTTTCTCAGTCTGCTGTGTCTCTTCCCTCCTCCTCCTCATCAAGCCATACTCCTTCCTCCACGTGGCCAGCTCCTGTGAATGATTCTTTCCACCTGACTTAGGTCGCTGTACCCGCTGTGACTCCACTGACCTCATGTGTATTTATGATGGGCCTGACTTCTTTGAGGGCAGCATCTGCTTCTTCATGGGCCGTTCATGTATTTAATGCAAAAAAATGTTGGGAGGCCAAGGCGGGTAGATCACCTAAGGTCAGGAGTTCAAGACCAGCCTGACCAACAAGGTGAAACCCCATCTCTACTAAAAATACAAAAATTACCTGGGTGTGGTGGCAGGCACCTGTAGTCCCAAATACTCGGGAGGCTGAGACAGGAGAATTGCTTGAACCCAGAAGGCGGAGGTTGCAGTGAGCTGAGATTGCGCCACTGCACTCAAGCCTGGGTGAGGAAGTGAGACTCCATCTCAAAAAAAAAAGGGGGGGCGGAGGCTAGGGGTACCCATGAGGAGCTGTAGCCTAGGAGGCAAGGGCAGAGAGAAGCAACCAGAGAGATTGTGGGGATGCAGAGCAGTGGAGAGTCATGGGTGCTGAGGGAGGAGAGGACTTCAAGGGGAAGATAAGGCTGTGGAGTCCTACAGAGACACAGCAAGAGAGACTGAGAGACGGAGAAGGCACCAAAAGAGGTTTTGGGATTCAAGAATTAGAAAATCACCAGAGAACTTGGAAAGGTGGCAATTTTGTCACCATCACAAAGGAAAAAGCTAGATGGAAGAGTTAACAAGTGAATGAAGGATGGTTACCTGGGCTGGTAAGATGTCCCTTCAAATAGCTCACAGAATATACATGATGTGCCCATGTATTGAGACCTTCAGAAATACTCGTGTCCACAGCTGAACATGGTGGTTCATATCTGTAGTCCCAGCACTTTGGGACACCAAGTCCAGGAGTTTGAGACCAGCCTCGGTAACATAGTGAGATCTCGTCTATACAAAAAAAAAAAAAAAAAAAAAAAGAACAAACGTAGCCAGGCGTGGGTGTGTTGGCACACTCCTGTAGTCCCAGTTTCTTGGGAGGCTGAGGTGGGAGGATTGCTTGAGTCCAGGAGGTCAAGGCTACAGTGAGCTGAGATCGGACCACTGCACTCCAGCCTGGGTAACAGAGGAAGACCCTGTCTAAAAAAAACAAAACAAACAAACAAACAAACAAACAAAAAAACTCACATCCTTTGGCTCAACATTTTATTTCTAGGCATAGCATATAGACAAAGATGGAGGCATCAGGTTAGTTACCCCAGCTCTATTTATAATGATGAGGAAATGAAAACTGCCCAAGTATCCAACTTGAATATCAAAGATGAAATATCAGTTAACTGTTACCATTACTATAAATATTGAATCACCTAGGATTACAATATTATGTTAAACCAAACTACAGGGTATAAAACACTATATTCAGAAATCTGTAAAATAAAAAATTGGCAAAAAGTCTATCTGTCTGTCTGTCAATCTATCCACCTACCATCTATTTCTCTAGCTCCATAGAGAAAAAGACTAAAGAGGAAACCTACACGTTAGTAGTCAGTGGTTATGTCTGTACTGTGGCTTATGAGTGACTTTTACTTGCTCCTTTATATTTTTCTGTATTTTCCAAATTTCTGTTGTAGTTATGAGTCATGCCTATAAACAGGGAAACAGAAAAAGTTGTTCTTAAAATGAAATGAGCCTGTGGTGAAGGTAGAAGCAAGGAATGAAGATTGTCTTGTAAAAAGTCCTGCAGTGAAGTGACAAGAAAAAAGAAAACAGTAACTCAAGGGGTAGCTGGTTTGCAAAGGCTTGGCTTGGGGTTATTTTATTTTATTTTTTAGAGATGGGGTCTTGCTATGTTGCCCAGCCTGGTCTTGAACTCTTGATGTCAAATCCTCTCCAGCCTTGGCCTCCAAAAGTGCTGGGATTACAGGTGTGCACCACCATGCCCAGTTCAGCTTGGGCTTATTTTTGAAGATAGGATGCTATAGACCATCCTTTTAGGCAGAGGAGAATGCAATAGAGAGGGTGAAACTGAAGACTCAAAAGGAGGGCAGTCATTCACGAGAATGGCCCTGACTTCAAGTGGTTCTCACGCAGTCAGCTAAGCAACCAGGAGAGGCTGGTCTGGGAGGGAAGAAGGTCTGAAGCTGGGGCCATCGCTGCTGCCCAAACCAGCTGCACTCCCAGGTCCTCTTCTGCTAGAGGCTCTCATCTGCAGGTGCAGGGCTGCAAAACAGAGCCATCTTTGATGCCTTCCTCAAGGATCCTGTCTACTCTTCTTTGGGTGTCTCCTGTGCCCATCTTTTTCTTCCTATTCTAACTCCCACTGTGAGCCTCAGATCCTAACGTCTCCAAGAGATGACCAAAGTCCCTGCCCTTTGACCTCTGCCTCCAGCTGCCCCCGCTGCCCCCACCCCCATTGTGTTTGCTTTCCCTGGCTTGGGGTTCTTTGGCTGTGCTGTTACCTGCTCTTAAAATCTCCCCACTACCTTCTCTGGGCCAATTCTTGGTCATCCTCCAGACTCAGCTCCAGTGTCCCCTCCCAAGGAGGCCTCTCTGACTCTCCCACTCAGCTCCAACCTGTCCAGAGGATCCTTCCCTGATGTTTGTCCCGGCACTGAGCAGCCTGTGCCATGTGCCTTTACTTCTCTGGATACCCCATAAGATGGTGTGAAGATGGGGCCACGCATCTGATATCGCATCTGATATCTGGGACTCAGGGAATGCTTGGTGAGTTTTGATGAAGGAAGGAGTGATGCGCACAGCTTATTCCATTCAAGGAAATGATGGGGGGAAGGAACCAACATTTGTCTTATGTCTACTCAGGCATTGTACAAAGTGTAGTATCCTAAGTGCTTTGAATATGCTATTGCAATAAGTCTCAGATAACACAGGGAGGCAAAGGTTATTATTACTCTTTTGCAGATGAGGAAACAGGCTTAGAGAGGAAAATAGTTCCCTGGAATGTACCCAATTTGCACATAATTAGCACCCATAGCTAACTCCAAAGTCCCCATAGGGGCAGACTATGTCATCCCTCTATCTCCTTCTTCAAGAAACTTCCTGGTGATTGATTGCCACGCCTAGGGAACTAGAAAGTTATCCCTTTGCATAGAAGTTTAGGGTTTCTAACAAATAGCGTTGTATCATGCACACATCTTTAAACAGCTATTTCTTTTCTTCACATCAGGCTGAGAGATCCTCACAGGCAGGAGCTGTCTTATTCATCTTTCTACAACCCATGGTTCTTGGCAAGTGGTATTGTGTAAATATTTACTGACCTGATTATCAATCAAATTATTTGTGATTTATTAAGTGAAATAGGATGTTGAATTTTCTGGAGTTAGAGGAGGAAGTATTTTTGTGCAGATGGCCTATTCCAGCACTCATCAAATTATACTAGATGGGTCATTTTCTAAGCACAGGGCCAGCCCTGAGGCTGTAGAGAGAACACATTTAAATTCATGATGAATTCATTTAAAATTCCAGGACAAGAAATCTTTCAGGAGCACTAATGACATCCCCATTTAAAGCTAAATTAATTCTATATGGTTTAAATGTTATTATAGTGAAGTGCAAACGGACATAATTGTGATGAGGCCCTGCTTCTGAAAAGGAATCCATTAACAGAGTCAATCATCATAGTTTTGCTATTCATTAATATTACTTGACATCGATGCTACGTCACTCTTCTCAGTTCATTTAGTCGATACATATTTATGGAGCACCTGTTCCAACCACGCAGGGAACGGGGTGCTTAGAAAAACACAACAGAGATAGAAGGCGCAGTCCTGCCCTGTAGCTGCTCACGGCCCCACGTGTGGTCTCACAGCCTGCAGCCTCAGCATCCCCTGGGAGCTTGTTAGAAATGCAGGCTCTCTGACCCCACCCCAGACCTACTAAATCAGAATCTCCAGTTTAGCCACATCCCCAAAAGATTTGTATGGCCATTACAATTTGACAAGCACTATGGAAATCATGATCATCCTGTTGGCAATATAGGACCAACCGTCAAATGAGCTAATTGCTGAATGATATAAAATCTCAAAAAGGCTTACCTACACTGACTACTTTATCTGCTCCTGCAACCTGAATCTCCCTACCTCACCACCCTTATAATCTCCTTTCTCTGCTCTATTTTTTCTTTTTTCATGATATTTATCATCTTCTCACATATTATATACTACATATTTATTGTGCGTGTGGTTCACTCCGTCTCCTCCTGCTAGAATTTAAGCCCACAGGAGGAGGGGTCTTTGTCCCAAGAATTACAGATGAGAGCTCTTCAAGGGCGGGATACTTCTGATGTTTCTCCAGCCCCCAGCACAGTCAGAGGCTTTCTAAGTGCAGAACAATTCTTTCTTAATACTCAGATGGAGCTGGGTGCGGTGGCTCACACCGGTAATCCCAGCACTTTGGGAGGCCGAGGTGGGCAGATCACTTGAGATCAGGAGTTTGAGACCAGCCTGGCCAACATGGTGAAACCCCGTCTCTACTAAAACTATGAAAATTAGCCGGGCGTGATGGCATACGCCTGTAATCCCAGCTACTCGGGAGGCTGAGGCAGGAGAATCTCTTGAACCCAGGAAGTGGAGGTTGCAGTGAACCAAGATCACATCACCGCACTCCAGCCTGGGCAACAGAGTGAGTCTCCACCTAAAAAAACAAACAAACAAACAAACAAAAACAACAACAACTCAGATGAAGATATACCTGGCTGCTTCCGGATCCCAAAGACGCTTCCTTCCCTGGGTTTTCAGCGTGTCTCCTTGGTCTGAGTCTTGCAGGCCTCATGGCTACTGTGACCATATCATCTGGATTGGGACACCTTTGAGATTGCTGGGGTGGGTGGTGGTGAGGAATTATTAATAGTTCCACAGCAGGTACAAATGGGGACCATTTCAAGCAACTATACCGTTACTTACAGGACCCATTGAGTTATTTTAGAGTCTACAGTCCAGTTCCTGGAGGATGGATCTGAAAGTTGCTTCCATGTTAGTTCTTCTGATATAAACTCAGATTTAAATATGTGTGTAGCAAAATAGTGCAAATTTTCCCCCTGACATACCTTTATGACATAAAGTGAGATCATCTAGGTTGTACATTTGAATTTTTGTTTTTATGGTGCACAGTATTGCTACTTTCATTGGAAAGGGGGAAATGCAAACATATTTATTTTTCCAGAATTGGCTTTTATGCAGACAGTGTTGCCTATCCGAGTGCTAAGCAGAGGAAACAGCAAGTGCAAGAACTTGGGGGTTGGGGGTTAGGGGTGGTGGGTAGCAGGACCCTGCAGCGTTTTGGAGTTTGGGTTTGGCTGGGTCTTCTCCCCTCTGCTTCTTGCCCTAATAGGGCTTGGACCTCTTTCTCAAAATGAAAACCAAACCAAAACAACAAAACAAACAACTCCCTCCCTAAAATCTACTTTTCCTCCTTTCTGTCACACAACCCAAGTATATATACATATTATTCTATCTATCTTTTTTTTTGCAGGAGTGAGGAAACATTTGACATTTTTTCATGAGTATTTAACCATACATTGTGGGAGAGACACCCTTATTATGCCACCTTCAGTAAAGCAAAGACTGACAATGAATCCTGTCACTGGGACACACCAGCCTCATTACTGAAGGTGCTATGTAAGGCTATGTGATGGTCACCTATGCTGTCCTGTCTGTCCACTGAGTTCTAAGCTTTTTGGGGAAGGGATTGTGGCATATCTTTTTTTCTAAGTCTAGACTCATTTAGTAGCAAAAAACTAATTCAATTCAAATTAGGTCAAGTTTTTTTTTTTTTAATGCCTTATTGGAAGGTTATAGTAACATCTCACACCACCACAGAATGGAGAGCAGGAAGAGTAGCTGACCTGCAGACAACAGGAACAGTGCCTGGAACAGAGCCGTCTCACCACCCTTCAGAGCCGTGGGGTCTCCCTCATCTTTGTGTCCCTCTGTCTCCTTTCTCTGAGCCCGCTTTCTCTTCATGCCTGTGCTCCCATAAAACAAAAACAAACAAAAAAACCATCTTTCTTTGACTTTGTGTTTTTCCAATGGAAGTGCCATTGGCAGCTCAGGTGGGACAATTCTTTGTTGAGTTGATTGTCTGATGTGTTGGTGTATATTTTGCATCCCCCAATGAATGCCAGTGACATCTCCCCACTTGTTCATTGTAACAAACTGAATTACCTCAATGCCTTTCCAAATGACCCCAACTCTGTGATAAGATGGGTACAGCATCTGCTTTCAACAGAGTTTCAGTGTCTTCAGTTCAAATTTTCCAGAGAGAAACTGGTCATCCTGCAACCATTAAATTGGACCCTGGTCCACTCAGCCATGACTGGAAGGCTGCCAAGTCCTGCCCCTTCCACAGGAGCTGAGAGAGGGATTATTCCCAGAAAGGGGTCTGTGACCAGGCAGTTATTCCCAGATAATTAACCAATTTTTTCCCTCTTTGCTCCTGGACATCTAGCTTTTGGTAAGTGCCTATAAATATGTATTAATTGTTGATTGACTAAAGGATGAGGCCAATGGAAGCTAAGGGATAATGAGACTGCCAAGTATAAAGGGGTTACTGGAGAACCTCCAACTGGCCTGCACACTGGGAGGAGTGCTCACTAGTACCTATTGAAATTTATGAGGTTTGCGGAGGGGGCTGGGGGGAGCCTGGCCTCTCCTGTTCCAGTGTAGCACCTGGGATTCCATCTGTGAGGTGGGAAGCCAGCTAGCTAGCAGGACTTTTCGCTTTGCTGAGACCTCCTGTTTCCCTTTTTGCCCCTTTTGCCCAAAAAATTCCATTTTTCTCACCCTTCAAAGTGTCTGCAAGCCTAATCTCTCATGGTTGTGTGACAATGACCCTGTTTTTAGCTGGACTAAGGAGAAGGTCCTACAACAATAATAGTCATGTTTGCTCAGGAGGCCCTGTTTCTGTGCTGTCTCTTGTCACACTTTTGGAACCAATACCTCCAAGTCATCTATTTTCCCTTCTCTTTTCCTCTGAATCCCAACCTTAACCCTTTCATTTTCTCTGTTTCCACTTTCCGTCATTTTGCATTTTTCTATACCCCCTTCAATGTTTTATGTCCATAAACATGTGACCTTAGTGGTTCTCACTCCTCTTGCATACCTGATAACGTAATATTAATTTACTAAAACTTGAACATACTACTTTATAATCACAAGAATATATGAAAATGCCCTAATTTACCCCCTGAATTAACATACTTTTTGCTTATGTGTTTGCTTTGCACAGCTGTTCACCATTTGAAGAGGTCATCACAATGCTCAAAAGATAATCAAAGAAGCTACTTGAAAATCACATGCCCTTTTTAAAAATAAAAAAACAAACAATCCCCATGCTGAACTTGGAATGGTAATGAGCTCAGGCAGGAACCCAACTGCGACCTCCACAGCCAACCCACCCAGCTGGGATATTTGCATTTTATACAAACCATTTTATGATGCTATAAATTTCACATTTTTTACAGTTACAGGTCTTAATCATCATGAAAACCATTTCTGCACGTATCTTTGGTAAACAGAATTAAAATTTCCACATGATCTGAAAATGCTAAATTGTTAATAGCTTCTCTAGGGCTTTGCAGCTTGCTTTGACCTCTGATGATCTCGTCATTGTTTAGGCATATAAAAATCACAATTTAGACTGATGAGCCTAATTTAAGTCTCCAGGCAATTTTCAGTCCATTTTTGCTGCTTTTTCATGTTCTTCACCATAGAAAAAGCCATTTTTATAGCAACCTGGGTACAAAATAATAGACCCCAATTAACAAACCTGGCATATATTATAAACATCACTGTATCTATTGCCATCTCTAAAGAATTCTTTTGTAACATTCAGTCACAATGTGTAATCCTTAGATTTTTAGTTGTTTTATTCAGTAGTTGGCCCATAAACAAATCTGCTCTTCCATTTAAAATTTTCTTCTTAGAGATGGTTTTAACCTCATTCATTTGAAGTTTTTAACTTGTTCTTTTTATATTTGCTTTAATTTTAGGTCATACAGCTTTTTGAAGCACACTCAAGCAAACTTCTTGGATCTAGATAAGCATTTGATTTAAAAGTGATCTTTGAGCTGTTTAATAACTTCTTATGAATATTGTGTGCTCTATGGGAATTCTTCTGAGTTTTTCATTCACTGGCATTTTCTTTATCAATTCTGTATATTTTGAGTAAAAAAAAAAACATAAAATAGGGGATGGGTTCACAAGACAATAAATGTAACAAGCTGTTCTTGACTTAACCATGAAATGAAAGCTTGTACTTTGTTGAAAACATCTTTTGCACAAAATGAAGGCATTGATTATTTCTATGGCGATTACCTGCCATAGTTGATCAACAAACACTCGGTGAATACTGAGCAGGAAGTAAAGTGGCTGACTGGCTCAGGAACAGCAGCATTATCTTTGCTGCAATCTTGAGGACCCAGGACTGGAAGAGCAGTGACTGTATTGGTTGAGGCTTGTAAACCCTTTTCTCCCACCAAGTGTGTGTGGTTGATGGAGTAATGGGGAGATAGAAAATTGACTGTTAATTAAATTTTCATGAGAATAAGTGAAAACTGAAGAACCTGGACACATTTGTAAAGGTTCTGATGAATCCATCTTGTCCTTATGGTTTTGGGTCATATGAGATGCCGAATTTGTCTTTTGGATTCATGTTAAGAATTTCTGGGAGGCCGAGGCGTGTGGATCACAAGGTCTGGAGATCAAGACCATCCTGGCTAACACAGTGAAACCCCATCTCTACTAAAAATACAAAAAAAAAAAAAAAAAAAAAATAGCTGGGTGTGGTGGCGGGCGCCTCCCCAACTACTTGGGAGGCTGAGGCAGGAGAATGGCGAGAACCTGGGAGGCAGAGCTTGCAGTGAGCCGAGATAGTGCCACTGCACTCCAGGCTGGGTGACAGAGCAAGACTCCATCTCAAAAAAAAAAAAAAAAAAAAAGAATTTCCTAGTTGATCTTGCCTACTTCAGCCTCATCACACTGCCCCTAGTTTATCCTTTCCAAATGTAAATGTGATTCAATTATGCCCTCTTTAAAACTCTTCAAAGTTGTCCTATGGTTTATAGGGGAAAAATACAAATGAGTTGGCAAGACCTCTAAAACTAGCATCAGTTGGCCCCAAACCACCCATCTGGCCATGCCCCAAAGCATTCCCCATTTGCTCATTCCACTGCATGGAGCCCCTGCAATGAATCAGTTTTCTCTTCTTGTGTGTGCATCTAAAGAACTCTCCCTTCTCTGCCCTTATAACCTCTTAGCAAACTCCTATTCATCCCGTGAGACCCAGTTCGAGCATTACCTCTGAAGTTTTCCCTGACCACATCCCTCTCCTAACTGAATAGTTCCCTCCTTGCTGACACATCTCTGTGTTCATACCTCTATTCCAGAACTTATCATATAATATTGTAACTACTTTTCTCCAGCAGGCTAGTAGTTCTTTCCATGGTTACATAACAAAGACACACAGGAAGACTTTTTCAAAATACCTGTTCTTAGGCTGCAATCCTGAAGATTCCAATGTAGTAGGACTGGACTGGGGTAGAGCTCAGGAATCTTTTTTTTTTTCTTAAGTGTTGGAGGTGACTCTGAGCAAGTGCACATCTGGTTGAGAATCATCACACGGAACTGGGAGTTCTGGGCAGGCCAGGACTGGATCTTGTTCATTTTTGTCCCCCCTGCCCTTAGCAGAGTGGCACTTAGTAGACTCCCAGGTGATGTGGAAAGAAGAAAGAAAGAGAAAAAGGAAGGAAGGAAGGAAGGAAGGAAGGAAGGAAGGAAGGAAGGAAGGAAGGGAGGGAGGGAGGGAGGGAGGGAGGGAGGGAAGGAGGAGGGAGGGGAAAGAAAGGAAGGAAGGAGGAAGGAAAGAGGAAGGAAGCAAGAGAGAGTGAGAGCAAATGAGAAAGAGAGAGAGAAAGAGAAAGACAGAGAAGGTAGAGGAGTTCTAGACTTATTGGAAGAATCTTACACTCTGGGGGAAAAATACTGCAAATACAGGGAGTTTTGTGAAAAGATGTCCCCTGGTTTAGCTATAAGGACCAGATCTATCTCCCAAGAAGATAGAAACCAGAAGATAGATACACTTAGAAAAGTGTACTGGTATCTGCTGAGTGTGTGGGCACAGTCCAGCCATGGGAGTTGTTCCTCTTCTTCTAGTTATTGGGTAAGCACCAATCTGAACCATCCATAGAAATACACCTCAATCGGCCTCTTCAGTTTGACCTGCAGTACATCACCTTCTCTGGTAGTCTGACACCCAGTTTCCGCTTCTGTAAGTGGAAGCCTCGCCAAGTATCCCCATTCTCAGAGCAATCGTGTGGCCATCAGGCGGTCCGTATGTCACTACAGAACACAGGGTTCCTCCTCATGCCTCCATTTGTCAGTCCCGCCCCAAGCCCAGAGCCACGGCCAGGGTGATTTGCTCTGATGTCAAGGGTCTGCACAGGACTGGCATCTTGCTGAATAGGATCGGGCAGACAAGAGAAGATTCCAGAGTGGGGATCTTTTCAATCTCTGGAGGAGCTTTCCAGTGGCAGGCATAGTGCCATCATTTTGCTCTGTACTGAATACCAGGCTTAAGGCTAAGCACCATGCAAAATCAGCCCCACCAGGGCTGCCAGACTGGTGCAAAAACAGATCTTCCCCAACTACTGGGATAATGCTTTTACACTCCTGGTTTTCCCAATCATTGGAAAACACACCTCAAGATTTCAGCAGCTTAGATGCCCGATATGCGCCTGGTCAGAGCTGTCTGGAATTTCTAACCACTGTGGGGTTTTGTTTTTAAATATATGCCCTGGTTATGGAAGGAAAACTAGTTGTGCAGAGCCCTGCATTTCAAGCACAAAACCTGATATGAGGAAGAATTATGATTGCAGCAACCACAGTGCAGCTCCACTTTGGGGCTCTGCCAGAGTTCCCATAAAACCCTCCTTTTTCTGTAGTCTACACCATGCTCTCTTTGTAATCAATTTAAGAGGCTTTTATGAGATGCCAGAGCATGTTACTTAAAACATTCCCATTTATTTTGCCTTACTTTATGTTTTTATTACACAGAATTTGAATTAAATCCATTTGGCAATGTTTTACAGTGGAGGGAGGCCAGGCGGGGGTCCGTCAGGAAGAGAAAAGGCATTTGTCATGGAGGGAAAGTGCACATGGTCAGGTGGCTTAGACTCCAGCACGGGGAAGAGAGATGGAGGCGCCCGAGGGTGGGCAAGTGTGCCAACCCTCCCCTCAACTCAGTGAGACATGGAAAATTCCTCATGCTCATCTGGAGCCTCTCTCCTTCCTACAATTTTTGGTAATTTTTTTAAGGGCTGGCTCTGCCTTCCATTGTTCCGCTCAAAAACCTTCCATGAGAAAATTTGTCTTCAAAATAAAGACCAAATTCCACATTGTGGTATTTTTCATCACCTAGGATTTTCCCTCAATCTGCCCCTACCACTTGATGAAGTTCTTTCCTTCTCTTGCTTTTTACTCTCCAGCTAAACATGAAGTGCTTCCTGTTCATGCCTCCTGCACCAGCCTTCAAATCCTACCCCATGGTCGAAGCTAAACAAAATGTCAGCTCAGCCCCCATATTTCCCTTAATGCTTTCAGAAGGAAGTAGTTGAGCCCCACTGTGAATGCCTATTGCATTTTATTTGTACTTCTTATGACAATTAACACGTTTTGTCTTGATGTCTGTAATACATGCCCTTTGTTTTCCAAATTATAAGTCTAGAGCAACAGTTGCCTGAATATTTTATCTTTGAATCACACTTACCACCTAGCCCAGTGACTCGAACATCAGAGGACTCAGAAAGTACCTGTTGAATGGCTATGTGTATGCTGGCACCAATAAGCAAGTTCAGAAATAAGAAACATTTGCCACTTATCTGTAAGTGGGGCTAAAGCCCTTGTTTTAGAGGCTGTTTCCACTGTTGCAGCTACTCGCACACCCTACCCGAAAGCAGACGGGCAGTCACTTGAGTCTGCCCCATGGCCTCATGCTCCCACAGATCAGCCTGCTCCATGCCCAGAGCCACGCCAGGCTGATTTGCTCTGAGGCCAGGGATCTGCACTCAATGACGTCTTGTAGAAGCAATTTGGGCAGACAAGAGAAAAGTGGCATCAGAACGAAATCCTCCCCATTTCTAGAAGAGT
Source organism: Homo sapiens (assembly GCF_000001405.40). Lineage (NCBI taxonomy): Eukaryota > Metazoa > Chordata > Mammalia > Primates > Hominidae > Homo > Homo sapiens. Next base: position 45,894,888 of record NC_000013.11, on the reverse strand, counting down.
ATTCTAGCCACAGGAATAGTGGCATCCTTTTTCTCTGTACCCAGTACCAGGATTGGGTTCACTTGGCTGCAAGAAAGAGAATCTTATTTGGCCCCGAGGACCCCTATGGTGCTGTAATCAGGCCAAGCTCCCGGGGGACTCACCCGGATCTGGGGACTGACAGAGGAAGATGGCGGAAGATGGCAAAAATTTAGTCAAGGACCTAAAATGAAGCCAGGAGGCCATTTTGGCTTGAGCCTCAGGCACATCTTAAGTAGAGAACACTAGACCCTGGAGATCACAGCCCCTGCTTGAGCAACTGCCAAAACACCTGCTGTTACCTTCATTATTTCCTGCTGAACTGGGCAGTCCCTGACCACAGGCGCCCTTTTAGACTGTTACAACCAACCCCTTGACTCCAAGGCTGCTTTAGATACAATCACACCAATTGTAATATTTGAAAAACAACTCTTGAAATTGCCCCACTGGTTTGGCCTTTTTTCTTTAAAAGCTTGAACTTCATTTTTGTTCTCAGGAGCACTTCCCAAAGTAACTTCGAAATGTTTCCTGGGCTGTGGTCACTCAAATTTGGCTCACATACATTCATTGTTGCCTAAGCCATGCCTTAGTTTCTTTCTAGGTCCACAGGACTCTGCCACAGGGTTGAAACTTTATTCTGCTGTTCCACCTTGACTGGACGCAGCCACACACTTCACATCTGTTTTTTTTTTTCTGTGGAGCCACCAGCAGGGCTCTTCACCTAGATAAGGTCTCCTTATCCCTGACTCTGCTGCATGACCTTTTGGCTACAATTCCTGCAACCAGTGGGCACATGCACTGTATCTTTCTTGGTTAGACTTTCTGAGAAAAAAAAAAATTGGGATGGGTCCAGCCCATCTCTGTAAGCCAGATGATCACAGCCCTTGGGACAGGTACCTTCCTTTGAATCAGTGAGCAGAGACCAGGAAGCAGGGGCAGGTGTGCACCATGGGTGTGAGCAGTGGGAGCTTGGTCAGGCAGGCACCACAGCAGACATGTCCAATAGTATCAATGCCCCCCTCTGCCATGACCTTGCAACTAGGGAAGGCTGAGGAAGAAAGGCACTCTGCTCCCTAGTCAGAGCAGCAAGAGAAACCTGGTGATCAGAAGATATGGCAGCTCATTTCCTCAGATGTCAAAGCTCTGACACACTGCAGATGAGACCTGGGGAGAAATGAAATGACTACAGGTGAGCCCAGAGTTACTGGTGCTATGATCTGCTACTGGTGTGGCTCCCAAATTCATAAGTTGAAATCTAATCCCCAATGTATTTGTAGTAAGAGATGGGGCTTTTGGGAGGTGGACTAGGTCATGAGAGTGCAGCCCTTCTGGATGGGATTAGTGACCTTATAAAAGAGGCTTGAGGAATTCTTTTTGCCCCTTCCACCATGTGAGGACACATCGAAGTTGCCGTCTACGAGGAATAGGCTCTCACCAGACACTGAACCCACTGGCGCCTTGATCTTGAACTTCCCAGCCTCTGGAACTATGAGAAGTAAATTTCATTGTTTATAAATTACCCAGTCTAAGGTATTTTATTATAGCAGCCTGAATCGACTAGGGCAGTTGCAAAACAAAAACTAAAAATATACATAAGGGAGAGAAAGAGAGAGGAAAAAAGTATTTTAAACACTTTAATTAGTAGCTGAAGCCAGAGGCCAGTCTTTTGAACTGAATAATAACCTGTTATGTTTCAGATTCATTTTTTATCCTGGGTCCTCATTTTTAAGACATTTGAGGTTTGGCCTTGGATACTTAAAAAGAATAAACCCTCATAAGACATTGCTTGATTCATGCATAAGACACAACAGCTTCTGATGTTCATTGCAAGTTTTGCCTCTAGAAGTGACTAACGCTCATTCAATTCTTACCTAACAAGCTCTCCATTCTGAGCAGCTTTCGCTCCTTTATAATCACAGATGCAGAGCCATGATTAGCTGTTTAATCTGGTGACCACAAGCACTAGTTATTTCTTTTAGCAGATTCAAGCAATCACCCCCATGTATCTCTGAGACAAGAGTCTGCTAAGATCTGAGTACAGGGTGCTAATGATCAAGGGTAGTGCCCTCCTCTGCCTCCTCCCTCCTCCCTCCCCTACTCCCCTTTCCTCCTATTCCCCCTCCTCCTTCCTCCTGTTGCTTCTTTCTCTCTTTCTCCCTCTAGGCATGCTCTGGTTGAGAGGACAAAGCCAATAATGATCATAACAGCCAACATCTATTGAATGCTGAATACATGCCATGCACCCTGGCAAGCACATTCTGTAATTACCTCATTTAATTCTCATGACAGTCCTAGGAGGCCCATATCTCTGTTATGCAGAGGGGACCATGAAGCAGAGAGGATGAGACCCAGGGAGGCCACCCCAGTGTTCCTGGGTCTTTCCACTGGCTTCTCTTTTTATCTTTTATGCTCTCCTCCCAGTCCCAGCTAGGAATGCAGTTGAGGGAGATAGGAAGGAGGGCACAGGGAGATGAAGGCAGGGCATACGCCCAGCAGGGCTGGACTTGACAGAACTTACTAGGTATGAGACCTGAAGCGAGCTACAGAACCTCTCTGGGCCTCAGTTTCCTCATGTGCAAAAGGAGAATGATAACAGCGTCTCTCTCACTGTTGAGAGGGTTATCTCATGCCTGAAACAGATGAACGGCTAATTAATGAAAGCATTACTATCACGTTATCGTAATTCACTTTAGGGCTACGCTGTGGCCCATCCCTGAAAGGTTTTGCTTCCTGAATGGACTAAGACAGCCGGGAACTAAAAACTGAAAACATACACAAGGTAGACAGAGAGAGAGAGAGGAAGCAATCTGTACTGTTGATTATTAGGACTTCCTGAATTTACCCTTCCTAAGAGAACTACAAGTCTTTGACAAGAGGGAATCTTTTTTTGACAAGATGGAATTTCTGGATCCACAAGGTGATAAAATGTTCTTAGGTTGTGGCACATAGTATTAGTTTAGGTTACATAATTTGCGTAACAATTTCTGAGATAATAGATGCAATTATCCTCATTTTACAAATGGGGAAACTGAGGGACTTGCTAAACATCACAACTGGGTGAGTGGCAAAGCCAACATTTATAACTGGGCATGAATTGGCAGCAACCCCACCTTTTACCACACGGAGTTGCCACAACCAAAAGAGCAGAAAGCTGTGGGAACGTATCTGGAAGAGACCTGAGTTTCATCAGTGGGTCCCTGTCTGCGTGGGCTTTTTTCCATCCAGCAGCCCTGCCACCTCCTGCTCCCTAACCTTGGCAGCCCCTGCCCCACAGAAGATTTAGATCTAGGAGTCAATGCCGCTCTAGCACCAAGACAACAGAAATATATGATGATTATGGGCTACTTATTTTGTCAATTCATTTTAAATTTCACATTATTTTCTGTTTACTTTCCTGCCGAAAATTCCACATTCTGCTCCTCTGTGCTGTGGGTGGAGGTCTTCAGATCTCTATTATGTTCCCTTGTTATTTTCATGCTTTAAACAAACAAACAAGCAAACAAACTTTTTTTTTAACTTTTGTCATTGCCTGGGGGTTATGCAAACTCTCCCAGCTTCAGTGATCTCCTCTCCCTGGACCACATTAAAATTTACACCTGACTTCTGGCCACTGGCATCTCCCATGAAGTTTCTCATCTCCTTACAGCCAGGGCTTCTCTTGTTCTGACTCTGTTGATGGAGGGAGGAAGACAAACGTGAGGGGACTTATCTTTTGAAATCTGGTTGCATCCTGTGTTCAACATTTGCTGCTTTTGAGTTAGACAGATGAGTGCTTTTTAAAGAAAAACTTGACCGTTATTTCCATTTCCCTCAAAAGAATTAAACTTCGGCTGGGCGTGTAATCCCAGCACTTTGAGAGGCTGAGGCGGGTGGATCACGAGGTCAGGAGATCGAGACCATCCTGGCTAACATGGTGAAACCCCGTCTCTACTAAAAATACAAAAAATTAGCCGGGCGTGGTGGCGGGCGCCTGTAGTCCCAGCTACTCGGGAGGCTGAGGCAGGAGAATGGCGTGAACCCGGGAAGCGGAGCTTGCAGTGAGCCGAGACGGCGCCACTGCACTCCAGCCTGGGCGAGAGAGCGAGATTCCGTCTCAAAAAAAAAAAAAAAAAAAGAATTCAACTTCATCAAATTCACGTAGATTTTATTCTTCCAACAGAAAGTTCCTTACTGGTCTTTGCCCTGGGCTGGAACAATTCCATTTCATACATAATCTTATCAAAGCTAGAAGACCCTCATACTTCAGCCTGGGAGGCGTCTCCTGCCCCACCCTTGCCCTACCCCTGCCTGGAAATCCCGTGTACCCAGTGTTGCATGACAGTGGGTGTGCTTTGCACTTTTCCTACAGTGGGGAAGGAAAGTAGGGGCCTCCCATCCCAGAATCTTGGACTAATTTATTATCCAACAGATTGCAAGCGCCTATATTATGTACCAGGCCCCGCACTAGTCATGAGGATAGAAGCGATAAGGAGACCCTAGTAGAGTTCTAAGGGAGAAAGAAATCACACTCCTGTCATCATCCTCTGAGTTTGAAACCAGTGGAGAGATATTCAGGAGTCTGAAGGAGGAAGATTAAAATACCAGCTTTATTACTGGTAAAAATGGATTGAAGGATGTGGTTTAGATGTTCCACCTCCCATTACTTCACAAGCTTGTCCAATCCATTACTGCAGAGCCAGACCACTTGAGTGTCCTCCCCAAAAGGGCTGAGTGTGTCCAGGGAGCTTGCTATGAGGCTGAGGGCTGATGGGCATATGCTGCCTCCTCCACGGGCAGCCAGATTAGAGACAGAGAGAAAGGGCAGAGCCCAGTGCACCAGGCATTTCAGCTCATCAGCTAGATACGTCAGTTACTCTTCTTCAAAGAAGGAGTTAATGTTGGGGGCAGGGTAGGGTTGGCAGGAATGTTCTGGCTGAAGCCCTTCCACCTGGAAACACAGCCAGGAAAATAGAGATGCCTCCCTATCAAATATGCTCCCTCCTCCCATGGAGGGAACAGCCCAGCGGGAAGAGAGAAAAAGACTTATATAAAACAATACAATCATTGCTTCACAGAGCAGGTGGTGTCTGGACTAAGGCCAGAGGATGAGCAGGGCCCCAGCTGCTGGACAAGTTTCAGGAGGACTAGGGTGCACCAAAGATCACAGATGCAAGAGCCTGAGATAAAGAGGGTGAACATGAGAGGAGTGTGGACCTGTGGGAAGGGACAGAGGCGGCCTTCCTCCCTCATCTCTTTTGTGGTCAAGGAGTAGAGAACTGAGCGCAAGACCTGGGAAGCAGAGGCACCGCAGGGCAGAGACTGTCTTGTTCGTTGCCTGCTGCAGTGCCTGTTACGTGTCTGTGCTCAGCAAAGATTTGTTCTTTGAATTCACGTCATGATGCTTTGGCCTCTCTGTATCCTGCCTGGAGCAGGCCACTTTTCCTTTATGCCTGTTTCTTTTAACTATGGAGATCCTAGTCCAAGTCACCTTCTCACTTCCCCGAGCCTCTGTTGTCATTCCAGAGTGATGTTTGTACAAAGCCTGGTGCTCTCAGAAGCACAGCTCTCAGTAAATACAGAGTTTTATTATTAGACGATACTGAATTTTAAAAATGTCAATTCTGGCCTTTTCCTTACAGCAGAGTGAACTCAGGTCTGCATACAATTTGCTCCTTCTTCATCAGACGCCTCCCCTGAGGCCTCGGCTCTGGGCTGAGGGCATGAGTTCAGGTGGCAACCAAGGTCACAGATGCACAGGGAGCTAGGCAGATCCTGCGGGGAAGGGAGCCCACCCAACTGAAGCACTGCTGCCCAACTCCTGCAGAATGCTTAGGAGCACAGGTCCAATGTCGTTTGTCAAAAGGAGGCAGAAATCAGTATTTTATGTAAAATCTCCTGAATTGTTAACACTGGGTTCAAGTTCAAAAATGCTAAAAAAATTTTTGAAGAAAAAAAATAAGGCCAGGTGCAATGGCTCATGCCTGTAATCCCAGCACGGAGGCCAAGGCAGGCTAATTGCTTTAGCCCAGCAGTTCAAGACTAACCTGGGCAACATGGTGAAACCCCGTCTCTACTAAAAATACAAAAAATTAGCCAGGTGTGGTGGCATGCTCCTGTAGTCCCAGCTACTCAGGAGGCTGAGGCAGGAGAATCACCTGAGCCCAGGAAGTCAAGGCTGCAGTGAGCCGTGATCCGGCCACCGCACTCCAGCCTGGGTGATGGGAGTGAAACATTGTCTCAAAACAAAACAGAACAAAAAAACAAAACAAAAACATTAAAAGGTCAGACATGATCTAGCTGAGGGCTGAATTGACTCTCCCTCCCCTCCCCCAGGCTCCTGGCTTCTGATCCACTGCAACCTGACCCTAAGGTCAAGTTGGACCCTATCATAGGAAGGAGAGCCGAGGTCTCAATGGAGTCAGCCTCAGTCACCCAGGGAATTACGACGTCTGCTGTGCATGATGTTTTAAACTACTGGTCCTTAACATTTCCAGCTTCACACTAATTTTTCCTTTCATGTTTTCAACTGGAAACTTCTCCTAATTAAGGTTTATGCCCGATAGTGTTGATTCTTAGCCAAACTGGGAGGCTGTAGGGTGAAGTACACAGAGCAGAGCCTGGACTATCAGACAGGCCTTGGTTCCAATCCTGATTTCATTACCAAAAGGTCAAAAGACTGTGGAATTTGAGCAAATCACTGAACTTTTCCGGGCCTCATCTGCAAAAGAGGGATGGTCATAATCCCTATTTCAAAGGATGACTGTGAGAGATACTGTAAATGAAACATTGAGCACCTGTCCCGGCTGAGAGCAAAACCCAGAAATAGAGTTTCCTTGTCCTTGATGCTTCCCACCTTCAACACCCAACCCCAAAGAATATGGGAAGCCAGATGGGCAACTCTTGGGGAGAGAAAACTAAGAAGGAGACCAGAATCAGCTGGCACTTTGAGCATGTCCTAAATTCTCCGCAGGCTGCTGATCTAACTGGAAAATAATTTGCCACACGCATAACTGGCCTCCTTTACTGATGGGATGAATTTCTTTTCAGAACAGCCTTTGGGGCACAGAGCCCTGGCATGTACCATCAGCCCTGCATGAGTAGACAGTGGTTCCTTCTCTTGGATGGAGATGACTTCCCTTCCTCCTGGGCTTGCACGGAGCTTGATGTCTCCTTCCTCCCAGAGCATTGACTATTTTACCTCATTTTCCAGTTGCCTGTGGGCAGGTTTCTGTCCCTCATTAGAATGTCAGTGGACAGCAGGTGGGATTGAGGGCAGGCAGAATCTGTGCCTCCATCATCATTTTATTTCTCTCTTCCTCCATCAACTTGGTTGGTGGCTGCTAAACCCCCACCCCGCGCCCCCCCCCAAAAAAAACAAAGAAAACCCTCTGTTAATCAAGGGGCTAAGGCCATGAGGCATGAACACCACGGTGCCTAAATTCTCTATTATTCCTCGTCCAGCTTTTATCCATGAATAGTTTTCATGTACTTTTCTGCTTTAAAGCTCTCAATGATATTGAAATTATTGCCTCCATTTCTAGATTGTTGTCTGTCTCCTCCATTACATTATAGATTCTTTGAATGCCCATACAACTCTAGACATTAAACTGAAAATAATGCACTATGAGGAATAAAAATTAGATCTTAAAAAATTTATGTTTATTTTGGTGAAATTCACACAACATAAAATTAACCGTTTTAAATTGCACAATTCAGTGGCACTTAGTACCTTCACACTGCTGTGCAACCACCACCTCTAGCCAGCTCCAAAACATTTTCATTGCGCCAAGAAGAAATTCCATACCTATTAAGCAGTCATTATCTATACTGCCCTCCTCCCAGCCCCTGTGTTCTGTCTCTACAGATTTACCTATTTTGGATATAAGGGGAATCTTTAATATGTGACTGCTTTGGTTTGGATATGGTTTGTTTCCACCAAAACTTATGTTGAAATTTGATCCCCAATGTGACAGTGTTGGGAAGTAGGGCCTAGTGGGAGGTGTTTGGGTCATGGGGGTGGATCCCTCAGGAATGGCTTGGTGCCATTCTCGCGCAGTACTTAGTTCTCATTCTCAAGAGACTGGTTTTATTCTCTGGGAATGAATTCGTCCTGCAAGAGTGGATTGTTATAAAGTGAGATTCCTCCTCCCATTTTGTGCCTCTTTGCATGTGTCTGCTTCCCTTTAACCTTCTCCACCACGTTATGACAGCACAGAAGCCCTCAGCAGATGCCAGCACCATGCCTGGAACTTCCCAGTTTGCAGAACCATGAGCTAAATGAAACCTTTTTTCTCTCTCTTTTTTTTTTTTTTTTTTTTGAGAGAGTCTCACTCCATCACCCAGGCTGGAGTACAGTGGCGTGATCTCAGCTCACGGCAACCTCCTCCTCCTGGGTTCAAGTGATTCTCCTGCCTCAGCCTCCCGAGTAGCTGAGATTACAGGTGCATGCCACCACGCCTGGCTAATTTTTGTATTTGTTAGTAGCAATGGGGTTTTGCCATGTGGGCTAGGTTGGTCTTGAACTCTTGGCCTCAAGTGATCCACCCAGAGTGCTGGGATTACAGGTGCCCAGTCTAAACCTCTTTTCTTTATGAATTACCCAGTCTCAGGTATTATGTTATAGCAACACAAAACAGACTAAGATAGTGATCTTTTGTGATTGACTTCCTTCATTTAGCATATGTTTTCAAGCTTCATTCACGTTGTAATGTGTATCAGGACATCATCCTTTTTTATAGCTGAGTAATATTCTGGTGTGTGTGTGTGTGTGTTTGTGTGTGTGTGTGCACGCGCACACACCACATTTTGTTTAATGATTCATTTGCTGATGGCCACTTGGATTGTTTCCAGCTTTTGGCTATGATGAATACTGTCATTATGGACATTCATGGGGAGCTGGGTCTTGTTCACCATTGCAGTCTTACGGCAGTAGGCCTGCAATCACTATTTATTAAATAGTTGGGTGGATGCTCAAAAAATGCCTGTAAAAAATGCCAGTGCAATAGATTTTAAGCTCCAAGTTTAAAAGGTGATGTTGCCTCTTCTCCTCTAGCCCCAAGGAAAACAGCTCACACTGTTTTGGTGCTTGACAAATGTTATTGGTGTTGACAGTGTTGATAATATAGGCAATAATAATGAAGGAGAAACCAAGAATGATGTTTCTTCTAGAATTGGTTCTGGTAGTAGCATTGCATTTCATAGAATCATAGGTGAATTTATGATCATAAAATTGGATAATTTAAAGACAAATGGCTTGTGTTTTAGATGTTCCTCAGCTCCTGCAGAAATCCAGAAAAGGTTAATCTTGTGTGGATTAGAATCCAAACAAGAATTATGATATTGGAAAAGAGCTTCACATCATCCCCACTTCTGCATAAGGGAGCATTAGAATTGCAGCACGCAGAGCAGGGCTGCTGCATGCTGGGCTCTAGAATCACCAAGATTCCAGCCTACTGAGAGATGACAGGTGACAGGCTTTCCTCTTTGGAGGAAAGGCAGCAAGCAGACCTGGAGTCAAAGAGAAGAAGCTGTGAACGGAATACTGACAGACCCTGAGGAAAGAGCCACGCGGTGGCAAATCAAAGCAAATCGCATTGTAGGAAGAAAAATCAGTCATGTAATGGCCTTTTCAGTGACACCTGAACAAATTGTTAGTAAGTATTTTCAAGGTATTCATGTGAATATAAAGTATATCCTAGTTTATGACACATTTTGAAGTATAATGAATTGCACAGTAATGTTGTTAGAGTCCTGCTCTAAAGTTGTGTGGGATGGAGAGCTTGAAACAATCAGTGATCCTACATTGATTCACTTATTCACTCATTCATCAAACACTTATAGAGTAATTACTATGTACAAGGATCTGTAGTATGGATGACTGGGTGGAGCTCATGGTCAATGGTGAGATACAATTTGGTCTTGAAGACAGAATAGAAATTTACCTGGATGGGCATGGACTGAGGAGAGGAAGGCATAGGACTGAAAATCAAACTCAGTGAAGATGGAAAGATATGACATAGGGACAAGGTTATTTTAAACTGCAGATAACGCAATTATTAATTTTAAATTATTTGTGATGCTCTATAGCTGGGCAATATTCAAAGAAAATGATTTTGGAGTAAAATATCTTACTTGTAATTTATTAAACAATGTTACCTGCCAACATTTAAAAAAGAATTGAGGTGATTTACAATAAAAATTCCTTATTCTCAACAAAAAAGAATTCTCTTTTGAGCACCTGAAGTTGGAGTGGATGTTCTTGGTAGTCCACGGCCCTCACTAGCCCCAGATATGATGACTGTCTACTGCCAACAGGACTCCTGTGACTCTGCCCCTGTGCTCTGGTGCTGGGTATCTTGCTGTGTGCTCAGATACTTGTTATTCCACTCTGTACTGGTTGGCTTCCTCCTCTTCCCTTTCTCATTTCCCCACTTATTTCCCAGTGCTTCCTGAGACCTCCTCACCAATAAGCTATTTGCATTCAAATGTTTGTCTCAGGGTCCATTTTAGGAGGAATCCAACTGCTGTAGTTTGAACTGTGTCTCACATAAAGATATGTTGGGATCCTAACCTCACCCCCTACTTGTGCATGTTACCTTATTTGGAAATAAGATCTTTGCAAATGTAACCAATCAAGTTAAGATGAGGTCATCCTGGATTAGGGGAGACCCTAATCCAATATGACTGGAGTCCATATAAGAAGAAGAGAAGAGACACAGACACACACAGGGAGAACACTGCATGAAGATGGAGGCAGAGATTGGGATGACCCATCTGCAAGACAAAGAACCCAATGAGCGCCAGACGCCACCGGAAGCTAGGAGAGATGTACAGGAAGGAATGTCCCTCAAACCTCCGGAAGGAGCCAATCCTGCTGACATCTGGATTTTGGACTTCTGGCTTTGAGAACTATGACAGAATATATTCTTGGTTTTTTTAAGCCACCCTGGGAAACTAATACACCATCCTATGACAAAAGTATTTCATTCTTCTGAATTTTCCAAGATTCTGGGGCTCCCAAGTCCCTTATAGCTGGGGTCTAAATTTTTCCTGCTGTGGCGTCAGACTATGATGGCCAGAGAGATCAGGCAGAGGGGATGGAAGAAAGAGATGAATGGACTTTTGTGGAATCTTCCTGGGTGGTTAGAGCCAAGGAAAATAACAATGTAACAAGATATTACAAAAAGAGGATTGGAAAGCCTAATGCTTCTGTAACATTTACAGATCTTTCTGCACACATCTACAAACCCTACACGCACATGTAACTGACCTTGTACATCTTTTAAATGCTAAGGTATGTTGTATGTCCCCTTTATATGGATCACGGCACTTATCAAAACCTGGCATAAGACTGACTTGCTGGAGGGCGTATAATTTTGAAACTTGCCTGTGTCAAACTATGCATTTCAAACCTCTTTGCTGTTTACATTTCTATTCCATTTTTTAAAACAAAAACAAAAAACCCCCACAGGCACAATTATTGAGATCTCTTGAAAATTATCTTTCTTTATCAAAAACAAATTCCAATTTTCAAATCTTCAAATGTTTTTATCTTCTTTTATCTGCCTTCATTGAGCAAGCTACCTCTTCACTAGCTTGCATGCCAGTCCATTTCTATAACAGATAAATCTTTTAAGTGTTTGACTTTGAATTTGGAAGATGGGGCAAAGACAGAGGAAAATAAGCACAGCCTGATAAAGACCCTGCAAACCCACTCCTGAGGCTGAGGGAGATGCTTCACATGTCTTCGGTAACTTTGAGTTTGACTCCTGGATTGTCATGCCTTAGACTAGGGTCATCAGATAGATACCCACAGCAAAACCCAGTGTGGGCCTCTGGCTGCAAGTGGCCACACCAATTTGGAAGTCTCTTTTAAGGATTTGATCCTGCCATTCTGCAGACAGGGATTGCCATGGTAACTCCCTGGGGGGCATTTTCAACTAGACAGAGACATTCCAATACTTGGAGATGGTTGGTTAAGAAAAGTCTATCTTGACAAATAGTTGGTGTTTTAATTTGGGGCAGAGTCAGAAACTCTGCCTGCAGCTCTGAGTGATCCTTTGAGCAGAAGAATGCCAGTGATCAAAGTAACCTGTGATGTGTGTAATCAGATTCCCAGTGGGGGAGAGGAGGGCCCAAAGCCCTTTCTGTGAGGACTCTTCTTAAGAAAGCAGCCCAGTCAGCTAAAGACCCTGTTAGCGCTGTTAAGAGCAGAGTTAATGATGTTGATTTTAGAAAGGGAGACCAGCATTCTCTTTCTTTTACTCACTTCCTCACTCATTCGCTGTTCCCGTCTCCCTCCTAGAATCTTCCTGTCTTTCTGAGTTCTTTTCCTCTTAGCCCACGTACCATGTTGGATTTTGGATTCATTTGAACATGGAGTTCAATCCCAGTTGTGTGACCTTGTTACCTAATCTCTCTGGGCCACAATTTTCTCATCTGCTAAAAGGAGATAATACCACTTATGGTAAAGGATACCTGAAAACAGTAAATAGATGAGATCTGTAAATTGCTTAGCATAAAAGGAGCACAGTGCTATCCAATAAACACTGGCTCCTTCCCCTCTTATAACTTTTCTTCTGTAGTCTTCGTGTAAAGAAGAATGACTATAAATTAGAGATAAACATATTATTCACCATAGTGCTGTGGGAGGTTGGCTGAAATTAAAGTGTTTGGTGGTATTACTGTTCAAATGGAGGAGAGACCCTCACAGGACAAAGGTGTGATATCCTCCAATAGAGTTAGAATGGCACGAGTAGAAATATCAATTAGTCAACAGAGTCTTCTGTGACCATTACGTGAGTCCAGACTGATGAGGGTGGGGGTAGGAGGAAGGGCAAAATTGTAACAAATAGCACAATACGAATGTACTTAATGCCAGTGAACTGTATACTTAAAAATGGTTAAGATGGTACATTTCATGTTATATGTATTTACTGCAATTTTTTTTAAAAAGATCACAAGTGGTTTCTTGAGGATTTTATACCAGATGGAATAATAATAATGTAGAATGAAATTAACATATTAAACTAAGAAATAAATCCATTTAGGTTTTTCATTAATAACAACAGCCACATGCTTCACTGCTGCTCTGCAAAGAAAAAAGTTGCTGTACATTTTGAAAAGCCAATGAGAGAATGAAAAATCATCAAATCCCACAGATTACAAATGTCTTTTCAAATCTCCTTGAACCAGGATCTTATGCACACACAACACTGATAAAGCTTCAGGCTACCTTTAAAACATCGGCATTTGGTTTTCTCTCTAAATGTCTCCATATTTTACCCCTGAAGGTAAATTAATCTCCATGGAATTGCAAAGTCATTAGACAACTGCGTGAATTGCAAAGCCATTAGACAACTGTGTTTTGCCAGAAAATATGTGAGAGCTTCTGGCTTCTCATACTACCCAGATTCCTGATTCCAGAAAACATGGCCTTCTGCTGGAGGAAGGCTACTTCTCATTTATGGGATGGGCCCTAGTGAGGCACTAGGTCCTGGGCTTCTCTTTGATAGGAAACTTTTTAAATATTACTGATTCAACCTTATTACTCATTATTGGTCTGTTCAGGTTTTCTATTTCTTCATGATTCAATCTTGGTAGGTTGTATGTGTCCAGGAATTTATTAATTTCTTCCAGGCTTTCCAATTTGTTAGCATATAGTTGTTCATACTAGTCTTTTCTGATCCTTTGTATTTCTGTGGTATCAGTTGTAATGTCTCCTTTTTCATCTCTGATTTTATTTGAGTCGTCTCTTTTTTCTTTGTTAGTCTAGCTTACAGTTTGTCTATTTTATCTTTTCAAAACGCCAATTCTTCATTTTATTGATCTCTTATAATGTTTATTTAGTCTCTACTTTGCTCATTTCTGCTCTGATCTTTATTATTTCTTTCCTTATACTAATCTTGGTTTTAATTTGTTCTTGTTTTTCTAGTTCCTTGAGGAGCAACATTAGGTTGTTTGAGATCTTTCTCCTTCTTCGACGTAAGCATCTATCGCTGTGAACTTCCCTCCTAGAACTGCTTTTGTTGTATAGGTTTAGTAAGTTGTGTTTCCATTTTCATTTGTCTTAATAAATTTTTTAATTTCCTTTTAAATTTCCTTGTTGACCCATTGGTTGTTTAGGAGCATGTTGTTTAATTTCCATGTAATTATACACTCTCCAAAGTTCCTCCTGTTATTGATTGCTAGTTTTATTCCAGTGTGGTCAGAAAAGATACTTGATATAATTCTGATTTTGATTTTTGAAAATTTGTTAAGATTTGTTTTGTGGGCTAACTTATAATCTATCCTGGAGAATGTTCTGTGTGCTGTTGAGAAGAATGTGTATTCTGAAACTATTGGATGGAATTTTCTGTAAATATCTGTTAGGTCCATTTGGTCTAGAGTCCAGTTTAATTCTGATGCTTCTTTGTTGATTTTCTGTCTGGATGATCTGTCCGTTGCTGAAAATGGGGTGTTAAAGTACACTACTACAAGTGTATTGCAGTCTATCTCGCCCTTTAGATCTGTTCAATGTTTGCTTTACATACTTAGGTGTTTCAATGTTGAATATAGATATTTTTTTCAATTGTTATATCCTCTTGCTGTATTGACCTCTTTGTTACTATAGGATGGCCTTGTCTCTTTTTACAGATTTTGGCTTGAAGTCTATTTTATCTGATATAAGTATAGCTACTGTGCCCTTTTTTGTTTCTATCTCAAAATTTTTGTCCTAAAGGAGGCTTCAAGGATGGTTGTATTAAATTACCACTTAAAACGGCAAATGCAGTAAATTATTTAATGACTTTTCCACTGCAAGGTTTGGGCTTTTGTTTTCTTCGAATTAAAAATGAAAAAAAAAAAAGCAATTTCAGCAAGACACCATTCAATGTTTTTCAAGTCTGTGGAGTTCCATTCCCAGCTTTACTGCCAGAAAAAAGCATGTCAATCATGTAACTGAAAGGAGCTGAAGGAAGACCTTTCCAGGAGAGCTCTGATTCAAGGCGTGAGGACCAGCGCCAGCAACCACCAGGTGGCTTCTGCTATTCTGGGAGTGAATGAGGCCATGTGCCAGAGGTGTGAGTCCACTCATCGGCCAAAGACAGAGGCACTAAACACTGACCCTGCGTGACACGGATGAGCCTGTTCCTGCCTGGCTCACAGGCTCCCTGTCAGGGAGAAAGAATAGTATTTCTCAACCTTCTTATATTAACACAGGACAATTGGTGCTTTATGTTCTGTATCCTTCTGAGTCCTCACACCAACCCTGTGCAGTAGGTACAACTCTGCCCCTCTCCTCCAAGTGGAAAACGGCTCAGAATGAGAAAATAACTCCCTGAAGTTAACACAGATGGTGAAACAGGGGGCCAGTAGGACTCTGGAACCCTCCCTGCTTCTGCCACACCACAAAGCTTCATTCAGCAACCTCAGAGGAGAAGCCGCAGCAGCTATTGGGAGAGGAGGTTTTTCCAGTTTAGTGGAACACATGAAAGTTGGAAAGCAGCAATAAAATATGGTGCTGCTAAACCGACCAATCAGTTAAGGCCAAGTCCTAGGGGCTTTGAGTGCTATGATGAGGCTTACTGCCTGTGTGGAGTAATTAATGGGGAGCCACTGAGGAGCTGTGAGGAAGGCAGCATCCACACCAGATCTTTAGGGCATCTCTTCCCGCAGCTATCTGAGGACAAACCAAAATGAAAGGGCTTTATGAGTGTCAGATGAGCGTGAGGGCACTAGGAAGAGACACCAAGAACACGTGGTGATGATGTAGGCTCCAGAGCGTGGACTATGTTTTCTGAACAGTGAGACTTTCTTTCTGTACACATCATCTCATGGGAGGAGGCAGCATAGTGTGCTGGTCATATGCACTACCCCGCTCTGCCTCTTTATAGCTGTGTAATTTAGGGCAAATTACTTTCCCTCTCTGTGCTTAGGTTCCTCTTCTATAAAATGGGCATCATAACATGCACCTCACAGGATTGTTCTGAAAGATATCTGAGAAAAAGTTTATTTAATATGTAGCAGAGTATTACATATTTATGAATGGCAGCCATTATATAACTATTTGAAATGGATAAAAGTACTTTGCTCTTTCAATATACCTGGGCAGGCAGGTCTGACTAGAGTCAAAACTATGAAGTAAGTAAAATTAATCTTTGATCTTCCATCTCTAATTCTCATCTCCCAAGCTTCAAAGACCAATGATTATTTTGTAACTCATTTGGTGCCAAACCTGACCCAAAGTCAGGAAGGCTAATGATAGGCTTTATTTTACTTAGTGTGAGGACACATTTTACTGCTGAAGTGTTCATGCATTTGCTAATGGGGAGTTAGGCTGCGGTGCCCAGCTGTTTCATCAAATACTAGTTTAGAAGTTGTGTGATTGACATCTAAAATCAGTTGACTTTAAGTAAAGGAGATAATGGTTAACTTGCGGGTGGACTCCTGTGTTGGTTTGCTAGGGCTACCGTAACCAAGTAACACAGACTGGGTGGCTTAAACAACAAAAATGCCTTTCTCACAGTTCTGGAGGCTGGAAGTCCGAAATCAAGATGGTGGCAGGGTTGGTTTCTCCTGAGGCCTCTCCTTGGCTTGCAGATGGCTGCTTTCTCCCTGCATCCTCACATGGCCTGTTCTCTGGTGTTTCTTCCCACTACCCCACCCTGTCACCTCATTTAACCTTCTTCACCTCTTTAAAATCCCTGTCTCTGCCGGGTGCAGTGGCTCAAGCCTGTAATCCCAGCGCTTTGGGAGGCCGAGGCAGGCAGATCGTGAGGTCAGGAGTTCAAGACCAGCCTGGCCAATATGGTGAAACCCCATCTCTACTAAAAATAGAAAAATTAGCTGGGCATGGTGGCGCACATCTGTAGTCCCAGCTACTTGGAAGGCTGAGGCAGCAGAATCGCTTGAACCCAGGAAGTAGAGGTTGCAGTGAGCTGAGACTGTGACACTGCACTCCAGCCTGGGCGACAGAGTGAGACTCTGCCAAAAAAAAAAAAAAAAAAAAGCCCTGTCTCCAAATGCAATCACTTTGGGGGTGAGGGCTTTAACACATGAATTTTGGGAAGACACATTTCAGTCCATACGAGCCTCATCCAATAAGCTGAAGGTCTTAAGAGCAAAAACAGGTTTCCTAAGGAAGGAATTCTGCCTCAAGACTGAAACATGGAAATCCTGCCTGAGTTCCCAGCCTGTCTTACAAAGTTTAGACTTACCAGCCTCCATGATCATGTGAACCTCACTCTTTTTGTTTGTTTGTTTGTTTTTTGAGATGGAGTCTTGCTCTGTTGCCCAGGCTGGAGTGCAGTGGCATGATGTTGGCTTACTGTAACCTCTGCCTCTTGGGTTCAAGCAATTCTGCCTCAGCCTCCCGAGGAGCTGGGATTACAGGCACTCACCACCACGCCCAGCTAATTTTTGTATTTTTAGTAGAGACAGGGTTTCCCCATGTTGGCCAGGCTGGTCTCAAACTCCTGACCTCGTGATCCACCTGCCTCGGCCTCCCAAAGTGCTGGGATTACAAGCGTGAGCCACCGTGCCCAGCCAGAACCTCATTCTTTAAATCAAATCTCTTTATGTCTATCATATGTATATTTTATATGTGATATATACTTTATAGATATATTTTAAATATATATGGTATATATGTAATAGAATATCTATAACTATATCGTATTAGTTGTGTAGTTGAACATATATAGTTGGATTTTCTCTAGAGAACCGTGACTGATACACTTGGTAATTATCTTAGTTTTCTCTTTAAAGAACCCTGTGAGGGAAGAAGGGGAAATGTATTACCCCTTTTTTCCAGTTGAGGAAACAGTTTCAGTATGTCAAAATGACTTGGTGACTCTCAGAGGTTACAGAGCTCGAGAGGGCAGTGCCATGCACGCCTTTCTTCTGGCCTCTCACCTGGGGCTCTGTAGGTCATGCTGCCCAGAGGCTGAGGGCACCAGATCTGGGGAGTCAGGGCATGCTCCGTGAGTGGAGCCGGGTTGAAGAGAAAGTGGTGGGAATGTCAGTGAGAGTAGCTCATTGAATATACATTTTATTCAATAGGGACTGGCCTTTTGAAAGTGAGCCCCTTTTGGTAAAATGGAAACTCATTTTATTTCATTAGATAACACATTTTATCAGTCTTTGGTGGTCAGTGCTCCTTGCCACTTGATCTTGTCCATTGGCCTTATAAATGATCTCAACTGTGACTCTGGGCTACTGATTAAGTCTGCTAAACATTGGGGATTTTTTGCCTCTAGCAATGCTAAAGAAATCAAGTGTTTTGCTGGTAAGTGACTAATCCATCTGAATATATTAATTACTACATGAACTGCTAAAGCTTTTAGAACACTCTAAGAATATTTTAAGAATACCTTGGTAAAGAAACATCTTCCCCATGACTGTTCTTTTCATGGCCAGGAGAATGTCTCACACCAGAGGAAAACCTCTGTGTTAGACACATCGAAATAAGAACTCAAAAAATTAGAATTAAGTTAAGTGATCATTAAATGTTTGATGAATGAATAAATGAATGTTCTTTCACTGTGTTAGATATGAGTTCAAATTTCTTTTCAAATAATCAATATGTCAGTATGTTTAATTCTTTTCCTTCTACTTTTAAACTTGACTTCCTCATAAAGCAACCTTTTTTGATTATCTGCTGTACCCTGACTCATTCCAATCACCTGCTCCACCCTGACTCATTCCGATTACCTGCTCCACTCCCGATTACCTGCTCCGCCCTGACTCATTCTCCATCCTGACTCATTCTCCACCCTGCATAACCATTTCTTTCCCGCCAAACCACTCACACCTGTCACTCTCTTTAAAGTAGCCAATCGGAATTAGTTTAACCTGTGCGATCTAACCTTAGCCAATAGGGGATCGACACAGCAGCAAGGGCCACGTGCGTCAGGGATAAGAACCCCTTTCCCTCCCTTGTCCAGGTGTGCACTCACCATTGCTCCATCTGTAAGGGCACACCCTTCTATAGAAGTAACTTGCCTTGCTGAGAATTAAAAAGAAAATTTTATATTCGAGTGCTATTTCTTTTGTGGCACCGAAACTTTATTTATAATAACTGGCTTCCCCTCCATCTTGGATTTTGTTTTAAATGAAGGGAAATAGTACCTTGGCTACATGTAGCCACCTTAGATCTTTCAGAGAAGTTAGACACATCGAAATAAGGACTCAAAACATTTCTCTCTTCTGATATAAGTACTAGTCGTTGTCTGTTGTTCTTGTTGACAGAACATTCCATCCAATAGCTTCAGAATACACATTCTTCTCAATAGCACATAGAACAGTCTCCAGAATAGTAATAGGTTAGACCACAAACCAAGTCTTAACAAATTTTAAAAAATAAAAATCATATCAAGTATCTTTTCTGACCACACTAGAATAAAACTAGAAATGAATAGCAAGAGGAACTTTGTATTTGTATAAGTACATGGAAATTAAGCAACCCAGTGACAAATCAGAGAGTTACAAGTGTGGATGGTGTATGTCCACAAACCCAACATGTCTCATGTATAACCAGAGAAAATCCTTCAAAGGCAGGCCAAGGAAATGAGGGAGAATGTTCATAGCAGCACTGTTTGTAAACCCCCAGTCTGGAGCACACTCCATGTTCATCACCCATAGAGTGACACAGACATCGTGGTGCAATTATGGGAAGGAACGCTGTGCCGCAGTGAAAATGAATAAACTCCAGCTGCACACATCAACAGAGATAGATCTCACAAACTACCATGAGCGGAAGAAGCAAATCTCAGAACAAGTTACATAGACCTCAAAGACAGGCCAAACAAAACTCTCTTTTTCCTGATGTATACATGGGTGGTAAAATCATAAAGAAATGCAGGGAATTATCATAAAAGTTAGGATGATGGCTGCCTCTGAGGGGATGGAGGCAAGGGAGGGAAGGAGAGTCCAGAGATGGCTTCTAAGGCACCAGCTCTGTTCTGGTTCTCAATCATAGCAGTAGGAATTCAGGTTCCTGCTTCTTTAGACTCTAAAATAGATAAATTGTATATATGCTGCTGGATGTTTATTTCACAATAAACATGAAGGTTAGGCTGGGTGCGGTGGCTCATGCCTGCAATCCCAGCACTTTGGGAGGCTGAGGCAGGAGGATCACTTAAAGTCAAGAGTTTGAGACCAGCCTGGCCAATAAGGTGAAACCCTGTCTCTACTAAAAATACAAAAATTAGCTGGGTGTTGTGGTGTGCGACTATGCTCCCAGCTACTCAGGAGGCTGAGGCACGAGAATCACTTGAACCCAGGAGTGGGAGGTTGCAGTGAGCCGAGATTGCACCACTGCACTCCAGACTGGGTGACAGAACAGGTTCTGTCTCAAAAAAAAAACAAGAAGGTTAAAAAATAAACATAAATATATAGTATGTCTTACTCTAATACACACATTCATATATCTGTGTGTATGTGGATACACTAAAACAAAAATTTCACAAAGAAATGTATCTTTATTACGAGAAGTACACTCATATTTTAATCCTATTCTATTTGTTCCCATTTTTAAATGCCAGTTGTAAACTACTAAGCTGATTTCAGAATCCACTAATGGATTACGACGTATAATTTAAGAACACTGCTTTAGACTAATGATAAATACCACTATTCCTCCTTGCTTAGCTCAGAAAGGCGATTTGAAATATTTGGTAAAGCCCAATGTAGCAAGGGCAGCCCTTATTCTCAGAAGGGATTCACCTCTTTTGATCCGACATTTGCATTTCAACAGCTGAGCTTTTCCCCTGGGAAGCTCGTCCAGTAAGTGGTTGCTGGTTATTGTATTGCAGATTCAGATGCTCTTATCATCTTTTTCAAACAGTTGAAGAAGAAGAAAAAAAAAAGACCCTATGCAACAGTTTAGGGGCTGTGTTTCTGGGGTGGAATAACAGCATTGCCAAGAGACAAAGTATATCATCAGGAAATAAGCAACAGAAACTATTTGCAGAGGCAGCAGGAGTAAGAACTATAGCAGGCACACCCAAAAGACAAGGAATGCTGAGATGAAAATGGAGCTGGGATAGCGCATCCCATGAAGAGAACTTTGTTCAGTGCTGTCCTGCTGTGGTTGGCAAAATATGTCCAAGGTATGGCTTGTGGATGGAAGAGCTGCTTGCTGGCCGGATAACAGGGTGGCAATAGAAATAATCAATAGACAACGGGGGAACAATAGACAATCCTTCAGTGCCTAGATTACTCAGAACATTCCTCTCCAGTGATTCAGCTTTAGCTTTTTTTTTTTTAAAGCAATGTCTTGCTCTGTTGCCCAGGCTGGAATGCAGTGGCATGATCTTGGTTCACGACAACCTCAACCTCCTGGGATCAAGAATCTTCCTGCCCCAACCTTCCAAGTAGTTGGGACTATAGGCATGTGCCACCATGCTTGGCTTATGGGCTTTTTTTTTTGTCAGTTATGGAGTCTCAATTTTTTGCCCAGGCTGGTCTTGAACTCTTGGCCTCAAGAGATTCTCCTGCCTCGGCCTCCCAAAGTGTTAGGATTACAGGCAAGAGCCACTGAGCCTGGCCTAGCATTGCTTTTAAGGTTGAGAATGATCCCAGTTAGAACAAGCCAGCCACAACAGAAAGACCAGGTACCTGCTTGGATGGTCTCATGCCTTTCAGGATCCCTGGAGTAAAAGCCTTGCTGCCTTCTGACTTTCCTGGACACTCCCAAGTTCAGAACTGAATATAAGTCCTATTCGATAGGACAATAGAAGCCAAGAGGCATTAACAGTTTTCTGGGGTGAAGGGGCAAGTTCGGCAAATGATGACTTCCAAACAGCCTCCAGAACCCAGCTAGGCCAGGATGGGAGCCTGTGGGGTGCTGTTTCCAGGTCCCCCTGCTCAACTAGCAAAGCCCCATATGGGCTATATCAGATGGCCTCTGCCCTGGGTAGGTCTCAGACCCTTCTTCAGTGTGTGACTGGAGGAGGGGAGGCTCTGGCTGCTTCTGAGTACTTTGGGACACACTCTATTCAAGCTTTGAGAAGGTAAGCAGATGGAACATCCACGTGTTACCCTCCAGGAAGGGTCAGAGTTAACTGCCACCCAGTTCCCACACTCAACCAGAAGGAGGTAGAGTACCAAGTGTCATTCTGACAAATCCCAGCTGGTGGAGAGGGTCAGAACCTTTCATGTGGGCTGCCAGAAGGCAAGGAGATCATCTGGGCTCCAGATGGTCTCTGCAGGGAGGGCAGGGCTGCCAGAGTCGGGCCTAATTGTATGGGTGGGTTTTGGTAGGACAAGGGCAGCAGTGGGAGAAAATGAGGCAGAAGAAATGACAGCACTCTCATGTTCCCCTATTTTCTCTATAGTCGCTGAAAATTTCTAGCCGGAGTCATAAAATCTGGACTCTCAAATTCCTTTCAGTGCAGTATTTCTCTTCCTAAGTAGGAAGGAGCATTCTGCAACATTATTGGCTCTCTACAAATCTTTTCAAAGTAAACAAAAAATTTCTTACAGGTGTAACCTAGTTAAAACTACAAATCTTTTGTCACCTTTTATGTAGAGGAGAAGACAGTCCTCAGGGGCAGTTGGCATGAATATACTCATAGCCTTAGTTTTGCATCAGGGTACAAGTAATGCAGAAAATTAGGAGCATTCTGTCCTCCAAAAGTGTCCATGAAGGAGGATCTGCTGAGATGACACAAGACGCATTCCCTTCACCCCGGAAAACTGTTTAATGCTTTCTTTGTGTTGTGGATAGGACTGCAATATTGCAGCTGTGTGTGTGTGTGTGTGTGTGCGCGCGCGCATGCATGTTTCTTCATAACTTAGAGAAAGAACAAGCTTCAGAGAGAAAGACTAGAAACTAAAGGAAACACAAATGTTGGCCTAATCAGGAACCAGATATTACTTTTCAGTGTGGGGCTTTTAGCTCACGAGGCCTTCTCCCCAACAGCCGTGGCTCTTGGCTCTTACTTAGCCCAGTCTCCTGAATAGTAATGCCTGTTTCTAACCTACTGGATAGAGAGGGCTCAAATATACATTTTAGGTAGCCCCTAAAAGGAAAACCCAAGTTTGAGAAGTATGCCATCAAAGCTTCATTAAACAAAGACAGTGTTTCACAGTAGGGGCATACATCTTGATAAACATGGAGATGCAGGTGCTGTGGCTTTCTCCTGTCCTACCTGTAAATGCACCCGAGGGTGATAGCCATGAGCACATCCAATAACTCTAATAAATGAATAATAAATAAGCATGCAATCAGGACACACTGTGAGAGAGTAATACCAACAGGCTGAGGCAACACCTCCCCGGGGGCAGGTCAAAGTCAGGTTGAGATGAGGGAAGACAGAGACCCTCTCATATTGTTTTATATTGTTTTATACTCAGTACCTGTTTTAAGAAAAAAAACAAAGAAGTGAAATCAAAGACAGGCAGCCTGGCGCCAGGCCCAAAACCAGGCCTGGGCCTGCCTGGCCTAAACCCAGTAGTTGAAAATCAACTCATAACTTAGAAACCGATGCTATTCATAGATTCCAGACATTGTATAGAAGAACATCGTGCAACTCCCTGCCCTGTTCTGTTTCTCTCTGACCACCGGTGCATGCAGCCCATGTCAAGTACCTCTTGCTTGCTCAAATCAATCACGACCCTTTCATGTGAAATCCTTAGAGTTGTGAGCCCTTAAAAGGGACAGGAATTGCTCACTAGGGGAGCTCGGATTTTAAGGCAGTAGCTTGCTGATGCTCCCAGCTGAATAAAGCCCTTCCTTCTACAACTTGGTGTCTGAGAGGTTTTGTCTGCTGCTGGTCCTGCTACAGAGACAGATCAAAGAGGAAATATTAGGATCACCCATTATAGATTTCCTGACCTGGGCATTTGTCCAGGATGTGCAGCCACAAGAAAACTCCTAAATACATAACTAGCACATCACCACTAGCCTAGCCTCCTTGGAGTCCTGATAGAGTCTACTGAAACCGTGGTGGTTGTTTTCACGTGGGCTTAAGATAGTCCCTGGCAGCTTCAGGCCAATCGCCTTGAATACTTAGATCATGGCAAAATTGGGTGAATTCTGACTTCAGCATCAATCAGCTTCTTCACCAGGAAAAAAAGAAAATGTGTGTGGTGGGTGGGGAAGGGAATTAGGTTATTGAGTGGGAAGAATTAACGTAATGGAAGGGAACTAGGAGCTACGTAAAGTGTATGAATCCATTGCCATGTATAACTCATTCCTTGAAGCATTTTTTTTCCTCTTTATGTCTCCTAGAGGGTTTGGTCCAGTGATTTTGGACAATGTATGAGGCTGCATTTAAATCTGAAGCAGGGAGGATGGAGATCCTTCACTGAAGAAAGAACTATGGGGCAACGGCGAGTAGAGAGGAACAGCGGATGCGTGCGAAGACTTGCAGAGCTCACCCTTCTCAAAGGAATGCAAGGAGGAGGCACTATCTAGTTAGAGAAGTAGTCCCTCTCCCAGGAGCCTCTACCAGGAATGCCATGGCCACTTTTAATAGAAACACCCAGAGCTGGCCTTTGGCCGTGTTCCTGTCGGCCCTGGGAGAGGAAAAGGGGCTCGGGGCCAGTAAACTGTGGTGCGTTCTATTACTGTTGTTAGCATGACCTTCAGAGTAGCAACAAGGTACTAGAGTGTCGTTTAGAAATGGAAGACACAGTCTCTATTTCAGTCCACAGTGTAAAACAGTTCCAAGGTCACACATAAATTAATCTAACAGTTCTCTGTATTCATTTTACACACTTAGCATTGTACCCTGTACACAAGGCCTTTGGCAAAGGTTGTGGCTGATGATTGAAGGAGAAAGGGAGGGGGAGGAGGGGAGGAGGAGAAGGAGAAGAAGAAAGAAAAGGAGAAAAGGATCAAGAAGAACTGAGGGAGAAAAGGAGGTAGAGAAAGAGGAGAAGGAAGAGAAGCAGAGGGAGGAGGAGAGTTTGGTGTTGAGGCCTTGGAATGGTTGGTGTAGTCTTTTCTGCAGAAAGGGGTAAATTAAATGATCTATACTATTCCTTATAGCCTGTGACAAACTACTTTACTTTCGTGTCGGTCCCAGATTCTATAAATACTAGTATTTCACCTCTTGGTGTTGAGCCTATAATCATTGAATAATAAATACCTATTAACTGATTTTATGAATCTATTTAAGGGTATGTGAGTGGAAAAACTAAGCCTGCTCCACCACCAGGCAGCTTGTTAGCAGTGGTGTGCAAAGAGAAAATGATTAGGCAGGATCCCAGATGGAGAACCGGTCCTTGAATACTGAGCTTTTTTGATCCCATTGCTAAGTCCATCTTTTCTGCTGTGAGGAGAAGAGTAAGAAAGCATCAAAGCTGTGATGTCAGAGGCAATGCCTTCCTTAACAAAGGAGAATCACACACTACCACTGAACCATTAGGAGCTTGAAAAGTTAGCTTTTGTTTCTCTTAGAGAGGTCCAACTTCTTGTTCTCTCTGTTGATTGAAGTGAGTGGATTTTGAGCGCCTGCTGTTCATTCACTCATGCAGTGATTATCTGTTTAACTAGATATCTGCTAGGTGCTGTACATCATTCATGCCAAGCCAATTTAGAAATTGTTGGTGCCCTCAGGGAACTTTCAATCTAGTAAGTCTTAAAAGTATTTATATATCACTACAGCTTAAGGCAGGATGAGGTGAGAGAGCTGCTTGGGAAAGCTAGCAGGTGCCCCAAGGTGATAGAGATGTGGCGAGAGAAGAAACCTGCCATCTCCATTGTTGTGTGAGGACAGGAGAAGGAAGGGGCCCATGAGAATGCTGATCATCAGGTCCTGAAGCTTGATCTGACACTGCAGGTGTACAGCCAATGTGTTGCCTTCCCACCTCAACCCCCTCCTGCCCCCACCTGGACACACTCTTTGCTGCCTCTTTAAGAAACAGTGACTTTTGGCCCTCTGCTTTGTGTTTCAGGTTCTAAAAGTCTGAGACTACTTCAAGTGCTCTTAGCATTTGTGCAGTCAGGAGACTAAATCTCTGATTACAAGTCAGCAGTCCAAGAAAGGAACAGGGTAACACGATTGTATGCTGACATTTCTGTAGTGTCCAATCTGAAAAGTGCTGGCTGTTTTCTAGGTTATCTATTCTATGAGCACTCAAGGTGAAATGTCCCAGCATTATCAAGAAATAGCATCATTTCAAGCCCTGCCATTACATACGCTAAAAATATCAGGTCTCGGGGTCTGCAAAGAGGAGGAAAAGAAATCAACTGTCTTCACTGAAACACACACACACACGCCCCCGTGCGCGCGCATGCACATACACATACCCACACACGGTTTCTCAGTACTACCTTTGTTTATATTACTGACTTCTGTTTTTTTGTCCTTAGCCCCAGAACCTTCTCGATGAATGTAGGTTAGCAAATCTCAAAGAGATGCTGTTTTTATGACAACAAGGTATCAGGGCCTCTCCTAGAATTAACCGGCTGCCTTCACTAACTATAGTACATGATCCAGACTCTTTACAAGGAACTGTCTGGTATTGGTGTCTGTGAGCATTTTCTTTTTTACAAAAGAGAAGGAAATCCAATCTAAGAGGTTACCATCAACATTGATGCTAAAATGCCAGTGGAGGGTGAAAAATAACAGATAATGCTGAGAACAGTTTTCCTCCCTGGATGCCCTCATGGGCCTCAAGGAAACCTATGGTCTGCCCTTCTCACCAGAGAAAGGAGGTCATAGGACAGCAAGCAATTAATACCCAAGAAAAGCACTTTCACTTTGGGAGGCCGAGGCGGGTGGATCATGAGGTCAGGAGTTCGAGACCAGCCTGACCAACATGGTGAAACCCTGTCTCTACTAAAAATACAAAAATTATCTGGGTGTGGTGGCACGCCCCTGTAGTCCCAGCTACTGAGGAGGCTGAGGCAGGAGAAT
The DNA here is from genome assembly GCF_000001405.40 of Homo sapiens. Classification (NCBI taxonomy): domain Eukaryota; kingdom Metazoa; phylum Chordata; class Mammalia; order Primates; family Hominidae; genus Homo; species Homo sapiens. The sequence continues at coordinate 45,868,042 of NC_000013.11, read as the reverse complement.
TGCTTGAACCCAGGAGGCAGAGGTTGCAGTGAGCCAAGATCATGCCACTGCACTCCAGCCTGGGCAACAGAGCGAGACTCTGTCTCAAAAAAAAAGAAAAGAAAAGCATTTTCCCCTATTTTTTTAAACATACAAGTAAGCATAAATTTAATGGAGAAAAATAAAAAATACAGATAAGTAAAAAGATAAAACAAAATTCTACTAGTCAGAGAAAGTCACTCTAAATATTTTGGTGTATATCAATCAAAACTTATGCGTGGGTTTTAATGGAATTATTTTTAATATATAATGTTTTATGACCTAATTTCCTTTTTAATATGTCATAAATATCTTTGCATATAAATGTTAACAGAAAAACCGTAGTCAAATTAAATTTAACAGAGTTTAATTGAGCACAGAACAATTCATGAATTGGGCAGCCTCCCGAGCCAGAGTGAGCTCAGGGAGACTCCAGTGCAGCCCCAAGGTAGAAGACTTACGGACAGAAAAAGAAAAGTGACAGACAGAAAATTGAAGTGAGGTACAGAAACAGCCGGATTGGTTACAGCTTGGTGTTTGCCTTATTTGAACATGGTTTGAACAGTTGGCCCCCTTTTTTGATTGGCCAAAACTTGGTGATCGACACAAAAGTAAGTTGCAGTCTGTTTACAACCCCATATAGGTTATAGTTCACTATGTAGAGAAAAACCTTTAGGCTGAATTTAAAATATGTAAAGAGGCAGCTTTAGGCTAAACTTGATTTAACGTATATATACATATATTCATTATAGTCCTATCTGCAGGAATTCTGCCTGCAAACAGACACACACTTTTATATCATCATTTTATCATTTTTAATGGTTATATAATATTCTATTCTCAAGATGAATTGTAATTCATTTATTCAATCCTGAATATTGTTGGACATTTAGGTTGCTTGCAGCTTTTCACAATTAAAAGAATACCCTAATGAATATCCTTGTATATACATTTTGCTTTCTTGTCCATCATTTTTTTTAGGATAAATTTCTTAGAGTAGAATTGCTAGGTACATACACATTTTTGAAGCACTTGCTATATATTTTCAAAGTGTATTCCAGGAATATTGTTCTCATTTACACTTTTAGCAACAGAATCTAAGAGAACCTCTTTCCCTAGACCCATGAGAGGCACTTTTAAAATCCTGGGTATCATCTTTGCCCTTGGACTTCCAACCAGGACATGCTGCTTTTCTGACAGCAGGTTACAGAAAGTGCTCTGCACCTCTCATGTGTACCAAACAAAAAAAGACGGGCAAGCAGCCATAAACTGGGGGAATAACTGAGATGGGCTGTCAGAACCTGGTGAAATTTTGCTCCAGAGAAAGAAAGAGAGAAAAGAGCAAGGTGTCATTCTCAGAGATACATGGCTCAGTTCTGTTTCCTTTTTGTCTATTTTAAAAGGAAGCCATACCTTGAGTTTATAGAGCATCACCCTTCTGAAAAAATTAAATCACCCCAGCAAGGTCTTGGCTTTCAATCCTTCTCCAGATTCAAGTACAATAAAAACTCACGCACTTTTATGTAGATGACTGAAGCAAATCTTCCCGCTACTGTATTCAGTGTAGGTCTGATGATCTACTTCACTACGGCTGGCCTAATGGCAGGGTGGAGGGGGAGACTCTGGTCCCGAGTACGGTGCTCTCTTTAGATATTTTCCTTTTTAATTTAATATGTAAGATATTGGCATAAATATCTATTAACTGCCAAATCTGTGGAACAAGTTGCCTTTTTGACATTATTCTTGGTATCAAACTTTTGTTGTCCTTTGTTTTATTTCCTCCTAAGGAAGCACAAATAAAGAAAATCTAAGGTCTGGTCCCAGCTACTCTATGCCATTAACGACATCAATAGGACCCTATTCATTGTGTGAGTGACTTATTAGGGTCATGGTTACTGACTTCACAGAGGGTTTATGGGATGAGAATTACTGATGTTTAGACAGTGCTCTATGGGGCCCCTTGATGGTTATTTTTAAGTGTCAACCTGGCCACTACCCAGATATTTGGTCAAACACCAGTCTAGATGTTTCTGTGAAAGTATTTTTCTTTATGAGATTAACATCAGTAGACTTTGAGTAAAGCAGATTACCCTCTTTAATATGGATGGGTCTCATCCAGTCAGTTGAAGGCCCTAGTAGAAAAAGACTAATTTCCCTTGAAGAAGCGGGAATTCGGCCTGCAGACAGCCTTCGGACTTGAACCACCTAATTGGCTGTTCCCTAGGTCTCCAGCCTGCCAGCCCCCTCTGCAGATTTTGCACTTGCCAGCCTCCACAATTGCATGAGCCAATTCCTTAACACACTCTCTCTTTCTCCCCGCAAACCCTTCTCTATCCATCTATCTATTTGTTGGTTCTGTTTCTCTGGAGATCCCTAACACAGGCCCAGTGCCAATTTGTAACAGAGCTTCCTGGTCAGGGTTTCTACCTCACCTAATCTTACTTTTAAGTCCAGGAAGCAAGCACAGGTGAATTCCATTCCTTCCCATGCTCTAGTGAGAATGATAATCCTAGCAATGTCCCAGGTACCACACCGAAGTCACTCCCCAGCACCAGGAGGGTGGCCTCAGCTCCCCTGTGTATAGAAGAGGAAGCAAAGCACCCAGAGGGTGGGCTCCCTGCCTCATATGTGTGACTATGAACAGCTCTGAGCCCAGGGTTCAGATCCAGGTTCCCCTGACCTGCCTGATTCCCAAGTTCAGGTTTTGTTCTCTATGCCATCCTGCCTTGTTGTAAAGTGGTTTGGCATTTGAAAACATATTCAGTCCCAACTGGGCACCAGCAGGACTCTAAATGCTCTTACTTGTGAGTGAGTGAAAACCACCCAAAGACTCTTTCAGGTTCTGAACACATTAGATGAGGTTCTGAGGGAGACTCAGAACAATGGTCCTGGAATACACTTTGAAAATATATAGCTTCAAAAATGTGTATGTACATAGCAATTCTACTCTAAGAAATGTGTCTTTAAAAATTACAGACAAGAAAGCAAATGTATATACAAGGACACTCATTAGGGTATTCTTTTAATTGTGAAAAGCTGCAAGCAACCGACATGTCTGTGTTAGGACTCTGTTTCTCCAGTGTAGGAATATTTAGATGCTCAGCCTCTCCACACTGATTGTTTCCATGTCTCTCTCTTCATGCCCAGCTTGGATCCTTCTCTAGGGCCTGTTACAGGTAGAACTGGCCTCTGCCCTGCCTAGAGAGCCCCTGACCCAGCTCTTCACAGGTTCCCAGTGGCCGTCTCAGGGCTGCCTTCTGGAGGGGATCCTGTTGGCCACTCTCTCCTTTGGATGAAATTTCTTTAGCACCCTCTCATAATCTCTCGCTCCCTCCTTGCTGCCGCATTCTTCTGCCTTCATCCTCTTCCTTTGCAGGTAGAAAGATCTGTAGGCAAGAGCTAAGGGGAGGAAAGAAGGAGGAGGAGGAGGAGAAGGAGGAGGAGGACCAATGCTATTTCTTTCCTCTCTTCTTCCCTCTCAAGTCTGGGCAAAGTAAAAGCATAATAAGCATCTTTCAACCATGTGAATAGATGCCGCGGCAACTGTCACAGAAAAACATCAATGTGTGTTAGCACTCAAGGGGGTAAAACTGTGAGAAAGCCTGTCCACCACTGTTTGGAGACGTGGAAGGGAAAATGACAACATGACAAGAGCCACTAGGCTCCCATTGGGTTCTAGGAGGATTATAATATGAAAAACACCATTTGCCTTTCATTGTTGACATATCAAGTGCTGGGGAGTAGGCTCACCCAGAAAGTGTTTGCTGTTTTATCATATTCTTTCCCATTTCCCTAGGAAAAATTTACAGAATCATCTGCCTCTTTATTCCCACAGTTTCCCCCTCCCACCACCCTCCTTGTTGCCAGAAGCAGCTGCTGTTGCCTTGGCAACGTTGCAGAATAAACTTGTTGCTCGTGGACCATCTGTACCCAACCGGGCTGTGTGGAGGCTGTTTGCCTCCTTTGCTTGTTATCTACCAAAAATCAGACTTCATAGTTCAGCTACTGACCATCCTGAACAGTTCTACGAGGGCTAACTGAACTTCTCATTCCCATCTCAGAGCCGGAAGGTGAGCCCTGATTCATTCCCTCGGATTCAGTCTTTCCCACAAGACCCCTGGTAAAATACATGCCTGTTACCAGGGAGACGGGACCCATCAACACATTACAATCCAATGGGATTAGTACATTTTCTTGTAGAAAATAGAATCTCAATGGATGAAAGCATACAGCCATCATGTGAAAAAAAAGTGTTTTAAAACTGTATGATTTTTACTGATTTTTAAAACTGAGTTATCTATTTCTCCTTATTCCAAAAGGGGTATAATACAGTGATTATAAAAATAATATTTGTTCTTAAAACAGATTTTAAAAATAATTTTTTAAAAATTGCCAACAATCCTGCTACCTGAAGACAATGACTGTTACTATTTTTGTATTTTTTTCTTTCATACTCTACAGCATACTTCTTTTTATAAAGACAATTTTGTATCCAAATTTTCCTAACTTCATATGTGTTGGACTTTTTTGCACATTATAAAGATCATGTAAACATGATTTCTTTCTCTTTCTCTCCCCTCCCCATCTCTCTTTGCAATGTGTTCCTTATTTGTTAAAGACTTGGGTCAGTTTTCCTGTAGGGTTCCCTACAATCTGGATTTTGCTAGCTGGATTTTCATGCTGTCATTGCTAATGTTCCTCTGTCCCCTATACTTGCTAAAAAATGGTAGCTAAATCCAGAGGTTTGATCAGATTCACGTTTGATACTTTGGCAAGCATACTTCATAAGTGGGATGATAAGCTTCCCGGGAGAGACACGGTACCTGGTTGTCTGTCTTTGTGTGGTCAGCAGCCATTGAGGGTCACTGCCCAGAACCATTATTTCATTAGGAATCTCAAAAAGGTAATATTCTCATCTGACCATTATTTCTTCATTTATTAACTGGAATACTTCTGCAAGAAAAAACTCCTCACTGACGATTTGATTATACTAAGGTGCAGTTCATACAAGAAAGGCAGGATAAATGCTCAATTTATTCCCTTTGTTTGCCAGTTATCAAAACATGAATGAATTAAGTGCCAAACATAATCCAAAGCAAGCTAGGTTTTAAGTATCATTATGAATGCAAGGACTTAAACATGTTTGATGTGTTTTAATCCATTGCAGCTGTCATTTTAACGATGCTCCAATTGTCCCATCTTCAGCAAGTAAGAACCTCTTCATGATCACTTCTGAGTCTTTAACAAGACCCTAGTATTTTTTTCCTTGTCTTTTTAAATTGCTTCCTTACTTTCTGTGGTGATGGGATGCTCCAGGCTCATCTAATACATTTTCGGCTTCAGACCTAGAACTAGCCACTTCTTCAAAGATAACTAGTTTGTTTGTTGTTGGGAAAGTTTATGTGGAAACCACAATCTGTGTTCTTTTTTTTTTTTTTTTTTTGAGACAGGTTCTCACTCTGTCACCCAGGTATGAGTGCAGTGTGCAATGACATGGTCTCCACTCACTGCAACCTCCACCTCCCAGGCTCAAGCAATCCTCCCAACTCAGCCTCCCGAGTACCTGGGACTACAGGCGTACGCCACCATGCCCGACTAATTTTCTTTATTTTTGGTAGAGATGGGGTTTCATCATGCTGCCTAGGCTGGTCTCAAACTCCTGAGCTCAAGGATGCACCCCACCTCAGCCTCCCAGATTACAGGTGTGAGCTGGGGTTACAGTTGTGAGCCACCACTCCTGGACCTACAGTACTCATTTTTAAAGGTCTTTTCAGTAGACGGAACTAAGTAACATACCTTCTTCTCCTTCTCCTCCTTCCCCTTTTCCTTCCCCTTTCTCTCCCTCTTTCTCTTCTCCTTCTCCTCCATCTCCTTTACCTCTGCTCCACCTCCTCCACATAAAATACACCACTGCAATCATTGCAATTCAAATTCAGGACTACAATATATGTATTTTTCACTTCATGCATCTTATACCTGTAACTTCTTTCTTTCAAAGACACCAACATAATTTCTCATTTGCTTCATCAACAATACACACACATCAAATTACTCCAAAACTTGGTGGCTTGCCACAAGGACAAACACTAATTATATTACAGTTTCCATAGATCCGCAAGTCATAAGCAGCATGGTTACATGACTCTGGAGCAAGGTCTCTCATAAGACTGCAGATAAATTATTGGCCAGAGCTGCAGTCATCTGAAAGCTTGACTGGTGCTGGGAGATCTGCTCCCACCGGGGCATACTCACATGGCTGGCGAGTTGATGCTGAGTTGATGCTGGCATTGACAGAAGACCTCGGCTGCCCTTCACATGGCCTCTTACACAGCTGCAAAAGGGTCCTTATAGCATGATGTCTGGCTTCCTCCAGAGTGAGTGATTCTAGGGAGCAAGATGTAAGTGGCAATGCCTTTGATTGTCTAGCTTCAGAAATATACATTTTTGGGTCTATCACATTCTGTTGTTATAAGTGAGTCATTATTTCTGGCTTACTTTCAAAGGGAAGGAATTCATCTCTTCCTGTTGAAAGGGGAATGTTAAAGAATTTGCAGATCTATTTCTTCCTACCCTCTGGCTGCAACTTTCTTACATTTCTCCCACATGCAATATACACACACCACTTCCAAAGATTCCAAAAGTCTTATTCCTTTACAGCATCAGCTCACAGTCCAGGATCTTGTTACCTAAGTCAGATCCAGGAGTGACAGAGACTCCTTAGCTGGGGTTCCTTGAGTTCAGATCCTTGAGTACAGTTTCTCACAATCTGAGGACCTGTGATCTAAAGAGGAAAGTTGCCTGCCACCTGCTCTCCAACATACACTTAACACAATGGTAGGACAAACACAGGATAACTGCTATAGACCTACCCCTTTCAAAACAGGAGAAACCAGGAGACACAGGTGGCAGGAGAATCACTTGAACCCAGGAGGCAGAGGCTGCAGGAGTCCCTGACCCATAGCAATTCTGAAATCCATCAGGGCAAATGTTGGAAGTTCCTTGATTAGAACACAAGACCTGACAATGAGTTTCCAATAGCTCCCAGCTCCCATACCTGAGCCCTTGGTTCTACCCATTAGGTCATTCATTCTTTTCCATGAAAGGTAGCCTATGTTCTCTGCTGAATAGTTTTCTGATCTTGATCTTGCTTCTTGCTGGTAGAAGCTTGAGGGTTCAAAGGCCTCTTTCGATTTTATATGGATTCTGCAAGCTTTCAGTCCAAGTTCCTGATATTTCTGCCAATTTACTTCTCTTAAAAACTTCATGGATCTCCTGTGATTATTTTTTTTTTGAGGTCTTTATTTTCCTTTAAAAATTTTTTTTAAATTTTACTTTAAGTTCTGGGATACATGTGCAGAATGTGCAGGTTTGTTACACAGGTATACATGTGCCATGGTGGTTTGCTGCACCTATCAACCCGTCTTCTAGGTTTTAAGCCACACATATATTAGGTATTTGTCCTAATGCTCTCCCTCCCCTTGCCCCCCACCGCTCAACAGGCCCTGGTGTGTGATATGCCCCTCCCTGTGTCCATGTGTTCTCATTTCTCGACTCCCACTTATGAGTGAGAACACGTGGTGTTTGGTTTTTTGTTCCTGTGTTAGTATGCTGAGAATTGTAGTTTCTATGTCCCTGCAAGGCTGCAGATTTCCTGTGATTCTTACTGTAGCTTACTCAGATTAAACAAACCCACAAACCTCTCCAAAATAAACTCTTCTCAACCTTGGGCTTCCACTAAAAGCCTTTTCAAGATCCTTTAGGTTTTCGTTAATATTCCCAACTCCTATCCACTACCCAATTCCAAAGCCACTACTAAATCTTAGGGTTTAGTGATGGAAACTCTATTCCTGGTGCAAACTCTATATTAGTTATCTATTGATGCGTGACAAATTATGCTTGGAGAAAAGTTACCCTAAAACTTAGTGGTTTAAAGCACTAAACATTTATTCTGTCACAGTTTCTGTACGTTAGAAATTTGAGAGCAGCTCAGCTGGGCAGCTCTCATAAAGTTGCACTAAAAGATTTGGCCAGGACTACAGTTATCTAAGGCTTGACCAAGACTTTGGGGTCTGTTTCCAAGGTGTCTCATTACATGGCTGGCAAGTTGGTACTGGCTGTTGCTAGGGAGATATTAGTTCCTTTCCAAACAGGCCTCTCCAAAGGGTTAATGGAATGTCCTCATGGCACGAGGGCTGGTCCCAGAGCAAGCCATTCAGGAGAACAACAGGGAGACTGCAATTCCTTTGACAATCTAGGCTCAGAAGTCAAACATCATTTTCACACTTTTTATTAGAAGGAAGTCCCTATTTCTGGCCCAGTTTCAAGGGAAGGGGAATTTGGTTTTACCTTTTGAAGGTGAAGATATATTTTTAAACTACCCAAACACTACTACCAACAATAAAATTACTAAAAGTAGTTAAAATGTTCACATTTGTTTTTGTCCTTTGATGGTATCTTACTAAGGACTTCTAGTCAAATTACTATGTCTAAATTCAATTAAAATTGTTCTCTCTATGTGCATATGCCACCAACTTAAAAAATAGTTGATTTATTTTGCTTTTGACAAGCTTTTGTCTAAAGCAATTTTGAAGAATTTCTTGTTTTGTAATTTTATAAAATAATTTCAAGGTTTCAATGTCAAACTATAGAACAAGGTATATTCAGAGAAGTCTGGCTTCATTTCTGCATCCTCTGCCCTCTTCCTTTCCCTCCTGTATATTAACTTTGTTTTCAGCTTTTTATTTATTCTTCTTTTTAAAAAACATAAGTAGCTATTCAAATAAACATGTATTCCTCATTCGAAGATAAACATTTGCACATTATGCATGCTGTTCTTCATATTTCTTTCTTTATCTACCAGTGTAACCTGAATTAATTCCATAGTAGTATTTGGAGATAACTGTTTCTCTACGGCTAATGGTCATCATTGTGGAGTTGTATATAGTTATTCAACCAGTCCCCTCTGGAGGGATATTCTGGAGGTTCCTAGTCTTTTATCATTATAAATAGTGTTTCAGTGAATAGTGTTATGCATATATCTTTCTACATTTTTTACAGAAACATTTTTATAGCTATAATTTTTTCTGTATTGTGGATAGATACACCTTAAATACTTTAAGTCCACTTCTATTGTGGACATATAGTCTCTTTCTGTTTGTTTTTTTTTTTTTTTCCCAGTAGTATACATGATACAACAGCGAACATCCTTGTACTTAAATCTTTGTTGAAATTTCTGATTATATCATGAGAACAGATTTCTAGAAATTTAGTTAGTAGGTCAAAGTTTATGAACCAGCCAGGCACAGTGGCTCAAGTCTGTAATCCCAGCACTTTGGGAGGCTGAGGTGGGCGGATCACTTGAGGTCAGGAGTTTGAGACCAGCCTGACCAACATGGTGAAATCCTATCTCTCATAAACATACAAAACTTAGCCGGCCGTAGTGGCACACACCTATAGTCTCAGCTACTCAGGAGGCTGAGGCAGGAGAATCACTTGAACCCAGGAGGCAGAGGCTGTGGTGAACCAAGATCACACCACTGCACTCCAGCCTGGGTACCAGAGTGAGACTGTCTCAAAAAAAAAAAAATTAGGAACCATTTTAGGCTGTTGGTGTATACTGTCAAATTGTTTTCAAGGAAAAGGTGCAGTAAGCTTATATTCTCAGAGGTAATAAATCTCAGTATCTCTCATCAGAGAGGTCTGGGCTCAAATCCTACCTTTACAAATTACTAGTTGTGTGACCCTGGGCAAGTTATTTAATTTTTCTGAGCCATAGCTTCCTCGTCTGGAAATGAGACAAACATTACTTATGGCTTTGCAGTAAAGAAAAAAATAAGATATTTGACTACATATGTACCTGAATACATAGGCCAAGTATTTAGTATAGTTCTTGACATATGGCAAGTATTTAAATGTTTGTTTTTATTATTCTTGCCACTAGCAGAAGAGAATGTCAGCCTCATAGCAGATTCATCAGCACTGGATATATATATATGCTCCTCCAACATACACTTAATGCAATGGTAGCATGATCATAAGATAACCGCTATAGACCCGCCCTTGGATATATAATATAATATATGTTACATATATATTATATATAATACAATATTTTAAATAATTATATCATTTTAATACTTTTATTATTCAAATATGTTGTTACATAATATTTATTAATAGTAAAAATATAAAGTGCTGATTTAAAAGGTAAAAGGATGTTATTTTGTTTTAATTTTCATTTCTTTGATTTCTTGTTCGGGTGAACTTTTTTTTTTTCATATTAATTTTTATTTTTAAGACCACTTTACTAAGGTATCATTGAGATACAAAAATCTGTACATATTTAATGTGTACAGCTGGATTCTGGAGCTCTCCTAAAGCTATTTTTATCTGTGGACGGTGGTTCAGTTGGTGGGGGATGGAGGGTGGGGACCCCCTATTTTACCATCTTGTTGACCTCATCACTCCCTACTTACTCATCTTTTTATTACTTCTTCTGTGTACTTTGTTTATATTCTTTGTCTATTTTTTCTATATGATTTTAGTTCTTTAAAATGCATGTACAAGAGTTCTTCATTAGAAATGTAAATCGTTTCTCATACTAGCTGCAGCTATATCCTCAATATTTTGTTTACTTTTCCATTTTGTTTGTTAGACATTATTTTGACATACAGAGTTTAATATTTTATGTAATCAAGTATTTCCCTTTGTGATTACTTCAATAGATTTTTAAAAATCTTTATGAAGTACTTCACTATTTCAAAATTCAATTATTTGCTCATTCACAGGTTATTTTAGTGTTATTGAGGGCGTAGATCTTATGTACAGAAAAGTGCACTGATCATACGTTCACAGCCTGATGAATTTCCATGAAATGGACATACTCATTGTATCAGTTTGCTAAGGCTTCCATAACAAAGTGCCACAAACTGTGGGGCTTGGGTAACAGAAATTTATTTTTTCACGGTTCTGGAGGCCAGAAGTCCAAGATCAAGCTGTCAGGAAGGTTAGTTTCTTCTGAGGGCTGCAAGGGTCCTTTTCATGCCTCTCTCCCACCTGATAGTAGTTTGCTGGTCATCGCTGGCCTTCTTTGGCTTGTGGATGTGTTGCCCCAATCTGTGCCTTCATGTTCACAGGCCATGCTCTCTTATATGCATGCCTCTGCCCACATTTTTCCTTTTTATAAAGACACCAGTCATATTGGATTTTGTCCCACCCTAATGACCTCATCTCAATTTGATGATCTCTGTAAAGACTTTATTTTCATATAAAGTCACATTCTGAGGTGCTGGGGGTTAGGGCTTCAGCAAGAATTTTGGGGGAGAAACAATTCAATCCATAACATTAATGAAACTAGAACACAGATCAAGACAGAATAGTGCCAGCTTTCTACAAGCCCACTTCACCTGCCCTTCAGCTATCTCCTTGCCTAGGTTACCAGTCTCCTGATTTCTCACACTATAGATCACCTTGTCCTTGAACTTCCCATAAATGGAATCACACATACATATTCTTTTGCATCTGGCTTTTCTACCTGAAACTTATATCTGTGAGATCCATTTGTGTTATTGCATTGTTGCATGTAACAATAGTTCATTCTTTTTCATTTCTATGTAGTATTTAACAGAGGAAAAATAATGTAATGTATTCATGTTATTGCTGATAGACATTCAGGTTATTTCCAGTTTTTAGCTCTTATGAATATGTTGCTATGAAAATCCTAGTGCATATCTTTTGGTGAGGACATGCTCACATCTCTGTTGTTTGTATATGGGGAGTAGAATTTCTGGGTCATAGAATATATATATGTTTAGTGTTAGTAGATGATACCTAATGGTTTTCCAAAGTGGCTTCTAACGATATATGAGAGTTTTGGTGTTCCACAACCTCACTGGTACTTTGTGTTATTTACACAAATATGTTTTTGATAAGAAGAAGGTAATGATGATGATGATGATGATAGCTTCTCATTGCTACATTTATCACAAAAACTAGGCATTTGGCTGGTCATTTTATCTCTAGTTACTTATTTAATCTTTTAAACTATGCTTTAATGAAACTAATAGCTTATTTTACAGACAACAAAACTAAGCATAAATGAGGTTAAGTAATTTGCCCAAAATAACAGTAACTAACAATTCAGGGTTTGAATCCAGATTTGTCTGATTTTTAATCCCAGACACTTTCTAGTACAGATAATATGTAAATTTGGTTGCCATAAAAAAGAAGGGGATGTCCTAGGCTTCATGGGTAACATGAGGGGATTGGTTTATCTCTTGCAAAGGAGCCAACTTGGTAATAAGAAGTGATCATAGCTCCAAATCTCCACCTCAAGGCTAGTTTGTGCCACCCTATTTTGGGACATTAATCATCAACATTTATTATTATGGTAAGTTCCAAACATTGCCCATCGAATGATTATTTTTAAGACTGTCTCTAGGAACAGATTGATGTACTTCATATTCTAAAATAGAGTGACAGAAGCCAGTTTTTGGGTAAAGAGTTAGAGCTAGGGCTCAAGTCTGAAGCCAGGGAAAGAATCTGTAGTAGCAGGTGTGTGCTGCTAGTCTCATGGCTGATATGGATCGGCACTCTGCAGCCCTTCAGGCTTCACCTTCCCCATCCTGGTCTCTGGGTAATATCAGGAACATTTACCCTTCTAAGTATATTGCACTTAGAAAAAGTTTATTTCTATTATAATAGAAATAATTGTCTATTATTCCCATGTCATAGTTGTGGGAACTGAGCCTTGGTGAGGTTAAGATAACTGGCTGAGGTTATAATAAAGGAAAAAAGCTATATAATAATGGGTTTGCTCCAAGTACACAAGGCTGGTTCAACATTTAAAAGTCAATTAATGTAATTAATTACATCGACACGCTAAGGAAATAAAATCACCTGATCATATTAATAGATGTAGAAAAAGCATTTGACAAAATCCAACACCCATTCATAATAAAAACTCTCAGTAAAGTAGGAGTAGAAGGGAATTTCTTCAACTTGATAAATAATAACTACAATAAACCTACAGCCAACATCATATTTAATGGTGAGAAAATAGAAGCTTTCCCACTAAGATCAGGAACAAGGCAAGGATGTCCTCTCTCACCATTTCTTTTCAATATTGCACTGGAAGTTCTAGCTAATGCAATAAGACAAGAAAAGGAAATAAAAGATATACAGATTGAGAAAAAAGAAATAAAACTACCTTTGTTTACAGATGACATGATTGTTTATGTAGAAAATTCAGAAGAATCAACAAAAATACTTCAAACTAATAAATGATCATAGCAAAGGTGTAGAATACAAGGTTAACACATAAAAAGTCAATTGATTTCCTGTAAGTAAACAATTACCAAGTAGAATTTGAAATTAAAAACACAATACTATTTACATTAGCACCCAAGAAGACATAGTTGTAAATCTAACAATTTTTCAACAAATGGTGCTGAAACTGGACCATCTGTATGCAGATTTAAAAAAGGAATCTAGACACAGATCTTACACAATTCACAAAAATTAACTTGAAAGTAACCAAGATATCCTTCCATAGATGAACAGATAAATAAACTGTGGTCACCCAATGGGATACTATTCAGTGTTAAAAACATATGAGCTATCAAGTCATGAATAGACATGGATATTAAATGCATGTTACTAAGTGAAAGAAGCCAGTTCAAAAAGACTACATACTATATGGCTCCAATTACGTGACATTTTGAAAAAGGCAAAACTATGGCATAGACAGCATAAAAATCAGTGGTTGCCAAGAGCTGGGGGAGGTTGGTGGGATGGGATGAATAAGCAGAACACGGAGGATATTTAGAGCAGTGAAAATACTCTGTATGTTACTCTAACAATGGATTTGGGTCATTTGACATTTGTTCAAACCCGTAGAATGTACAACACCAAGAGTGAGCCTAGTATAAACTATGAACTCTGGATGATGGTGATGCGTCAATGTGGGTTCATTAATTGTAACAAATGCACCCCTATAGTGGGGGGGTGTTGATAATAGGGGAGGTGGTGCAGGTGTGGGGGTAGGGGCAAAATGAGGTATTTCTGTACTTTCCTCTCAATTTTGCTGTGAACCTAAAACTACTCTAAAAACATTAGGTCTTTAATTTCTTAAAAATCAAGATAAAATTAAAGGAGCATTGATTTTTATATCTTAAGCACAAGCATGAGATTATCAACACAAAGTTATAGATCTTTGACCTATTTGCTGGCATCCTTATTTTGTGTACAATCATTTTATTTTAAAAATACCTTTCCAAAAAAAAAAAAAAAACAGCAGAAATCCCCATTCTCATGGAACTTACTTCTAGCAGGATGACGGAAACAATACATCTTTAAAAAGTAAAGAAAAATGAAACAAAACAGAACAAAAAATCAACACAATCGTTCCACTAGAGCCAAAGATGTAAAAATAATTTGAACCTTTCTAAATTATGAATATATCTTTAAGGAATCTATGAGAGTATCTGCACACTTTTAGTTTTTAAAACAAGTAAGCCAATGAAAGGACATTAAATGTTTTCCCAATGAACTGCTGAAAGCTTATTTTCTGGACAATTCAAACTTTAGAAAGCAGATTCTGGTTTTGTGGGCCAGCAACCTTTATTATATGCCATGTAACAAGTGGCTCCAGGGACTCAGGTCCTATAAAAATATCACATTGATGAGGTTCTAATCAGTTCAAATGTTGTCATCTTCTAGTTTGGTGCCAGTGTCGTTATTTTAAAAGTGCAAAGTTTCCATGTTTAATTGGTGTTCAGCTTGTCTCTTAAAACATTGGTTTGGTTTTAAATGCAAGTTAAAATGAACAGCCTGGGCTCTGTCCTGGCATCAATAAACTTGTGCATTATTTTTATCCCGTATGTTATTCTGTTGTTAGTTTAACTGCCTGACCAGGTCACAGACCTAGGTGTTCCACGTGTGCATATGTTTTGCATACATTACAACCCAAGCATTGTAGCCAGAGCAGAACAAGAGCCATGAGGGAGGGGGCTCACACTCACAGGGTACAATTCACAGTGGGGGCTGATCCTGCTCCAGGCAGCACTGGATCTGGCCTGACTTCTCAAGAGAGAAACAACCAGGGAAGAGGGAAAACACAATACACTGAACTCCCCTGCTTTAGCTGCAAAGACTAAACCATCAGAGCTAGTCCCGAAAAACCCAAAACCCTTCAAGTACTGCTTAGGAATCTTTCTTCAAGAACCAGCGGCCTCCCGCCCACCCACCAGCCCTGTTCTGGGGAGCAAGGACAGGTTTGCAGTCTGAGGACTGGAATGCCCTCTGCCTGTGCCAGCACAGAAATGTGCTGCTAGCATTTGCAGAAACAAGTAAATGATGTGGTATGTGCATCCTTAATCTCTATTTTAATGTCTCCAGCAATCTAGTGGTTAATTAGCAATTTGCTGCCCACCAATATGCAAATGAATGACAAGCAAAGGTTCTCTGCATCTGTAATTATTTTGCTGATTTACAAGCCTCTTTCCTCTCAGTGTAGGTTTTTCTGTGTGTGTGCATTCATGCATCAGGGATTTCATTATTTTTTGAAGCATACTCTGTGCATTTTTATCCTTTAATACTTTCAGACTTCAGTAATCACAGTATTTTGAAAAAAAGAAAATATATATATATGTATAGTAATATATATGTATGTGCTTCCCTCCACCCCTCAACTCCAAATGAATTTGTCAGGGATTCTTTTCTTTGATAAAGAGTGGAGAGTAAGATTTATCAAGGGGCTGTAATCCAAATTGCAGAAAGTCAGAACGCAAGATTGAAAGATACACATTTTTGCTGCTGCCAAGTCCTTATCTGGATTCAGAGTCTAGTAATATTTTATTTTCTCCCAAGCAGCTCTGGTGAGTCGAGCCATGATCTGCGTTATCCATCTGCCTACTTTGGAGCGGGGTGTTGTACTATTTGGCGGCTTAAACGCTTTACGTTCTTGCCAGGGCATTAAGAAAGGCTCTCATGTTAAATTAAGTCAATTAATAAATGGAGACACATTAAGCAATCAATTTTGTCAGCCTATCTCCCCAGCATTAGGTATGGTTGGCTGTAATCACAAGATAAATGCAATGTGCTGATCTATGGTAATGTTCAATAATACATTCTCCGCCAGGCTCAATTCATCAGGGAGTTTCGGTAGGGAAGGCATTTGTTATTGGCTGTCTCTGCACCTCAAGGATAACATTTCTGTCCTTTTGATTGGCCGCCTCACTGCTGCAAGATTCTAACCGTCTTATTTTGATGATGAATATGAAGGCGCGCTAAGCCGGGCTGGAGCGGAGTGTCTCAGAGGCTGCGCTCCTTCCAGGGCCCAAGGACTCACAGCTTCCTCCGCTGCCTTCCCGGACCAACAACCCCCCAAAAGTTGTGATGCTTTTCTTTACCCAGTGCTTTGGGGCTGTATTAGATCTCATTCATCTCCGGTTTCAGCACTACAAGGCTAAACGGGTTTTCTCCGCTGCCGGGCAACTTGTCTGTGTCGTCAACCCCACACACAACCTAAAGGTGAGTCTCTGTGTCATTTTACCTTCACCGGGCTCAGGTTCAAGTCCTTTCTCGGAGGCGGCAGCGACCCTCCGGCGAACGTGTGCAGCCCTTTGCAAACCCGGGTCTCGGGGGCTGGGACGGTGTCTGGAACCCGGCGTGTTTGCCTCGGCTCACTCTCGCTCTCTAGGTGATTGGGTGCTGTTAGTGACCGAGTGTTGTTTCCCCAGCTGGCAGGAAAAGCTGGATTGATGGTCTGATGTCTTTCCCCGACGCTGTCAACCTGAGAGTGGCGTGGGGGGCAGAAGTGAGGGTGGTGGAGGGAACAGGGGGGCGTCCCCATCACTCCCCCTACTATTTGTGGGCAAGTGCTCAGGAGACAGGATTTGAAGTTAGCCAAATTCTCTCTGTCCCATGTGTTGGGAGAGGTGGTCAAACACGAGGATTTTAGAAGCTACTGGGGGGTGAGGAATCCTGAAACAGGGACTTGGACGTCGGTGGGGTGGGGGGAGGGTTCTTTCTGCAAAGTGTTTGTCCTTGTCCTCAGACTCGTGTGTGTGTGTGTGTGTGTGTGTGTGTGTGTGTGTGTGTGTGTGGTGTCGGGAGGATTTTGGCTTATTTCCTTCCTGCTGGTTAGATGCGCTCTGTGTACTGGAGCAGGATTTGCCTGGCTTGTGTAATAATGACACCAGCTTCTAGCTGCTGCCGCCGCTGCCTGGAGCACCCTAGGCAGCTGGGTGCTGGGTTGCTCGCGGCTGCCTAGCTGCCCCGGGGCCTCTGCATTTGTACCCTCAGGTCAGTGCCCTTTTAGAGACCAGACAAAATATGGGGTCCGGCAGAGCCGCTTAACATCACAGCCAAGACTGACTGGGAAAGGAATGATGGGCCACTGGTTAGGGGTAGTAGGGAGGAGGGGAAGTCAGGGAGGTGGGGGCTGGGGAGAGGGTGCAGCTGAACTCCCCGGATGGGAAACTCAGCACCTTGCCTCTCTCCTAACATAAAAGATGGACTCATTGGAAGTTCCTTTCCTGTACTCCTGTGTAAGGCAGGCAGGACTGAGTGCCGGGGGAGGGGCCGTGTCTGTAGCGACAGTGCCTGACAGTCTCTGTGAGGATAGATCTGTCCCTCTGACCACTGCTGTTGGGCAGGAAGAGCATTGCCTGTTGTCCATTACTTTATAAACTCCCACGGCCGGACTGTCCTCAGCTGGAGCCCCGCAGGTCAGCGCTGATGGGTGCCCCCACTCCTAGAAGTTCCGCCGAAAGACAGCTGCCTGGAGCTGCTGGGGTTACATGCCAAGGCCAGTCCTGGGGGAGGGGCGATGGACTATCCTGGGACCCCTATGGTGCATCTGACCTAGGATCTGACTCTCTCTGATATCCCAGCTGTGACGAATGCCATCGCATGCAACCGTTCACACCTGCTCTTGCTTGCGCGCTCTTGCCTCTCATTCCACTATTTCTTTTTTTCTTTTATAGCTTAGTTTTATAAATGAGAATTTACTACCAGTCATCCTTGGCAAAGCAAGTATGTAGTATGCACATTAAAATAAAATTCTGAATTCCATTTTATGGCCACTTTTGAGACTGCATTCAAACTTCCATTATTTTTTCCACTTTGGATTAGTTAGTTCCCTGGGGCAAGAAATTTTGTTTACTTCTGTTTTGTATTTTAATACCTTTAAAAATTGCTTATGAGACTTTAGCATTTCTGAAGTTTGCATTTATATGGTTCATTGACTGCAGCTGATGATGGAGAATAGAGAGGTGTTAAGGTCTCTGTGTGGAGTGAGGGGAAACCACTTGTGTATATTTCTCAATGATGTCTGCCTGGATTTTGACAAGTCGTCTTGCTGCCCTGACCCAGGAGTTCAGAGTCAGGGTTGGAGGCCTTGAGTCATCTCTGGCCAGCTGTGTGAACTTGAACTCCTCCTCCACCTCTTTGAGACTTCCCTTCCTCACCTTTTAAATGGGCTGATGAACATCTGCCCTTTCTCCGCCTCAGCTTTTGAGACTGAAAAGAGGTATCAGAGGTGTTTCATAACTCTCCTCTAAAAATAATGTATGTTATTGTATATATAATTTGTAGAGTTCCAATAGCAAATTCAAAAGTTGTCACTTAACACCTTCAGGCAATTTAGAAATTGTATAATCAGCAACATAAAAATGGATGACGTATGCTTTGAGAGGACATAGCTCACTTTTTCACTTACACTCTTATTTGGCTTTTCATTTCGCACACAAAAAAACCACTTATGGATTTTGCTCAGAGGAACATCACCCCAGATAAACAAAGCAAGTTGAGTGCTGCTAATGCCCCCTCAGGATTAGGCACACAGGATTTGGAGAGGGCGCCAGGTAGGGAGAGACCTGGAGGGTCCAGGTGGCCCATCAGGTAAGTTTCACTCCCTTCTCAAACCTAAGGGCTAATAGCCATTTGCAGAGCTTTAAAAGGACTAACTCCATAGGAGTGTCACTGCCCCATTGCTTGTATAAAAAGCACATGTAACCTCAAAAAAATTCTCCTTCTAAACGCTGATTTCCATAAACAGACCACGGAAATATGCCTTGGACGTAATAAGCTGTGATCTATGTAATGAGGAGGAAAGTCCTTCTTTTGTTAAAGGAAAAAAATAAAACCTGTGGCAGTATTAACCCAGAATAGCTATTGATCTGCCGTGCTTCCCCACATTTTGTATGACAGGCCAGTATATGAAATGGTGACCAAGGACAGAGAGACTGCAACCTTGCTTTCAATTTTATGGGTTGCGTGTAGCTACAAAGAGGGCTGGGAAGCTTGTGTTTTTCCTTGTGGAAGCATTTATGTGTTTTATCCTTTCCTGGGCTTTCCTGAGAATTCGAACCAACAGCATTTTAGAAACTGAGGCAAGTGCTGAGTTATAATCAAAATTCACTTACCAAGCAAAGAAAATTGTGTATTTACCATGCTTCTATAGGTCACCTTCATTCTCAATCTTATTATGGTGATTACTCAGTAACCTGGGATTCCTTCGAGCAAGCTGATGCCTTTCCTTCTAAATGGAAGGCAGAGCCTTCCTGGGGACATCAGATCCTCTGGTTAAAGCCATTACACCCCTGAAGCTCACCCTAATTAAAAGGGACATTTAGAGTAGCCAGCCTTGAACATAAGAGACCTCAGCTTTCAGTGAGTGCCAGGCAGTGGAGTGCAAACAAGACCATTTCCCTCAGTCTCTGCCTGTCTCTGTCTCTGAGGACCACTTGCACAGATTAGGGTTCCAAATGGTGCCCCCACTTCTTTCCACCCCATGAAAAGTGACCGTCAAGGAGCCAGCTCTCTTGGCCAGCTGCCCTCTGCTTCCTCATTCACAGAGGTTATTGAAATGTGACGAGCAGACTTCAGGCTGGCGCTCATGAGGGCGCCTGCTCCTGGTCCTGATTCAGCACTCCTCTCTCCCTCCTGTCCTTTGCTTGTTTCTAAACCAAGAAAGCCTTTCTCTCCTGGCTCCACTCCCATTGGCGCCAGCTGCTTCTACAGCGCCCTGCCCTGGGCAGCCCTGCCTTCTTTTGCCCCATCTGCAGAGGTGCCCTTTGAGGGGAGGAGCGGTCAGTCCCTGTGCCCAGGTTTTTCCAGAGAAGGCTCTGTAGTGCTAGGGGTCGGTCTGGGGTCAGTCATCAGCACTTCCCAAGCAGGCAGTAGCTAGGCTGAGGCTGGCTGAGTGACTTCCTCCTCTTAACCACAGCGTTTGATAAACAAGTTTCTGAAAGAAGAATAGTAAAATGCTTTCTGGCAAACTTCCATGAGGCCCTCTCTGATACCTCCAACCTGTGCCTGCACCACCCCAGACAACCCCATTAACCTTGAGGTGCAACAGAAACACACACGTGCACACACACACACACACACACACACACGAACACATGGAGTGGGAGGGGCATATGGGACAATCGTGGCTTTAAGTGCCCGACAGATATGAAATCTAAAGCTGGGGCACTTCAGTACCATTTGTTGATGCATCCACGTGCCTTCCATTCTAAGACCAACTTGTGTGGATAAATGTGTATTGAGTGGCAGTGGGGAGGGTGGGAGCTGTAAGGAAGAGGAGGAGGCAGAGACCAGGAAAGGAGAGATGTGAGATGTGTGCCCACCTTTGCCATTTATGGGATAATCTTTGGAAATCCCGTGCTGCCCCGGGGTTTGCTAACTCTGTTTCATACAGCACAGCAGGTGGCTCAATGAGAGGTAAAGACCTGAGCATTGTCTAGAGATTTAGAGGTGGCCTTTGGAGTGTTCTGCGTGAATACCTACTTTACAGCAGTTAAAGGCTTCCAACAAGACTGTTTAATAGCTGGTATGTGGGTTACTCAGTTCCTCTCCACACAGTCACCTCTGACAGTCCCATTCCCAGTCCTCTGGGCATTTCACTGTCTTGTTTCTCTGTCCAGTCTGGAGCCACTTTGCCAGAGGGGCTGGATAAAGGGTAAGGAAGGGGACCCCAAGCTGGTGGTGGTCACTGTGCGAGCATTATTCTAAAGGCTTTGCAGCCTCTTCCAGCCCATGGGTTCTGTGAATATTGTATGACACTCCACTCTGTGGGCTCAGAGCATTCGTGCGGCTTTTCTGGTTAATGGTGATTGCAAATGAGGCTCCTGAGTCACATAACGGGGAGGCCCAGAGCCTGGAGCAGTAATTTGGTTAGCCCTGTGCCGGTGATTGAGTTGTAGGGGAGGCTGAAGCTGGCGGCTATGATGAGGTGAGCCGATTACCTCTGTACTGCATTTATCCAGCAGCCCCGAAGCAAATTTGGTGGAATTCTCTTCACTGTGATCCCTCAACCTGCAGGGACTATTTGGGAAAATTAGAAAATAGATACGGAAAGCTTTCTTTGAAATCCGCAGAGAGGTCTGAATTACTTGGATGGCTTCCCTGGGTAAGATGGATTATTTTCCTAGCAATTAACAACAAGAAAAAAAATTAACTGTCTGTGGGGGTATTTTACCCTTAGCAAAGTCATCTTCACCCAACTAGCTCTGTTTCCTCCAAAGGGAAACAGTGACCTGGTTAGACAAGAAATGTCCTGTGGAAGGAATCAACCCAAAGAATGGAGACCTTACTGACAAAATTGAGACTAGAAGTTAGGTCTTCTAGGTCAGGTGCGGTGGCTCACGCCTGTAATCCCAGCACTTTGTGAGGCCGAGGCAGGTGGATCACCTTAGGTCAGGAGTTTGAGACCAGCCTGGCCAACATGGTAAAACCCACACTCTACTAAAACTACGAAAATTAGCTGGGCATGGTGGCGGGCACCTGTAGTCCCAGCTACTCAGGAGGCTGAGGCAGAAGAATCGCTTGAACCCGGGAGGCAGACGTTGCAGTGAGCTGAGATCACACCACTGTACTCCAGCCTGGGCAACAAGAGCGAAACTCCGTCTCAAAAAAAAAAAAAAAAAAAAAAGAAGTTAGGTCTTCTAACATCAGATCTATATTCCTACACTGCCCCAGGTTGCCTTCAAATTATGCTAAGTTAATGTCCCTTCCTCCAGATACATGGTGTGGGAGCGAAAACTTGCAAGGGTCCCCTTCCTGTACCCTATCTCTCCTCCTGGGGCCAGCAGCATGACACCCTGGGCTGTACCACACACTCTACCATCTCCCCTTTACCACAGCCACATTTTCTTCACAAATTAGAGCTTCTAAGTCATCATCCTTCCTCACTCCCTCACCCCTTCTATGAGTTTGGGCCATAATTTTGAAAGGCACAATCCTGAATGTTGAAATTGGGAAAGATGAAAGTCCCAAAAATATAATTATGGAAAAAAAATTTAAAAATTTTAAGACCTTTATTTACATTTTTAAGAGAAACATACAAAACACAACAGAGTGTTTTACAGGCCACTTAACACAATAAAAGAGGCAATAGTAACATACATATTTTTGCAAGCATAAACACTCAGATATACTAACAACTGTAGCATGGGGATAAGTTATAAGCAGACAAACTATATTCACAAAGAAATAGATCAAAAGGGAAATGTATAAACGCGTATTACTATGATTACTAATTGTGTGCACCCAGCTTTATAACTGTGGCCATCTGAAACACCGTGATGGACAACTTAAATCTTTTGATGGACAGCTCAAAAACCAGCGAGTCACCATTGCATATGCAGTCACCCAAACCGCCGAGATCTCAAGAAATTGTACCTTTCACAAATGCAGATGTACAGAAAGGACATCTCTTTATTTACTGAGGAAGTTTCAGCGTTTTTAACACACGCACAATGCATACACACAAAGTCAACATTGTGATAATGCACCTTCCTGGAGTCAAATTTGCAAAAAAAAAAAAAAATGCATAAAACAAATGAGAACTCTCTGAAAGTCTCTACACAATGTATACATCTATTATTGGAGACAATACGAAGATTAAATATATAGCATAGTATATTGGCACTATGTGTGAAAGGGCAGAAGTAGTACATGATTAAATAATTTGGCAGGGGAGATTTTTTGTATCTTTCACCTGCATTTTCACTTCTTCTATAATCTTCGAAACAGTCGTTGCACTTGTATTTGGAGAGTGGTTGTGGTCTACAAATTTTCTAAGTGTATGCTGTCCATTTGAAAGTTTGGTTGTTGCTGGGCCATTGCAATTAAGTAATTTTCTGCTAACACAGCACCAGTATAATTAGCTTTTAAACTTTTATCTTTCACCAATAAGTAGTTTCATACACTTAACTTATCACAGCATTTTTGTGAGGGATCAGTTTCACAGATCTCTTCCAATGTGTTGTAAGGAATGCATAAGAATGAATGATATTCGGCTTCCTCAGTACCAAATATGTATTAGTCAGGGTTCTCCAGAGAGCTAGAACCAATAAGATATGTATGTATATGGATATATGAGAGGGGATTTATTAGGAAAATTGGCTCACACGATTATGACGGCTTAGTAGTCCCATGGCATGCCCATCTGCAAGCTAGAGACCCTGGGATGCCAGTAGCATGTCTCGCTCCAAGTCCGAAGGCCTTAGAACCAGGGAAGCCAATGGTTAACTCTCATTTAAATGTGGGTGCTGGTGTAAGTCCTGGAGTCCAAAGGCTGGTGAGCTTGGGGTTCTGATGTCCAAGGCAGCAGAAGAGATCTGTCCCGGATCTCAGAGAGAGATCAATTTGCTTTCTGTATTTGTTTCTCCCAGCCATTGGCCAATGAGATGGTGCCCACCAACACTGAGGGCAGCTTTTCCTCAGCTAACCCACTCATACTCACACACTAACCTCCTCTGGAAACATCCTCACAGAAACATCCGACATAATGCTTTACCAGATTTCCAGGTATTTTTAAATTCAGTCAACTTGACACCTAAATTTTAGTTCACAATCCACAACTTAGCACCCATACGCATCTCTTTAAATCATACTTCATTTCCACATAAGACAATAACAAGGTAATAGTTCTGCCTAACATGATACAACTAACATGGTGCAGATATCCTGCGCACAACCTAAATGTACTAATCCTTTCTCCAGATTTTGACTTTCAGAATTTTAACATTTGGGATTTTAATCTTTTGGGAATGAGATTTTCAGGGTTTTAGACTTTAGGAATTTTGATCTTTGGGGAATTCAACTTTCAGGATTATGATGTTTGGGACTGCATCTTTTGGGATTATGACCGGCACCAATTGTTAGCATGGTCATTATGACGACAACAGCTACTCAAAGCTGGCTTTGACTCCCCACACTCCCCACCTGGCTGTCTTTCTCCGCCTTCCCTTCCTCTCTGCAAGCTTTAGTGCTTGCTGTTTCTTGGTATTTTGTGAGTTATCTTTGGCCTTGAAGAGAATTGTGAATAGAACAATTTTTTGCCTCATGTGAAAGTCGGATTTGTCCTTAATGTTTAGCTTCAAAGAAAGCACGGAACCCCACTGGGCTCTGAGCCTGGAAGACAGGCTGGGTCTCAGGAAGACACTCATGCCTGCAGTGGGACAAGAGCTGAACGAGCTGGGACCTGTCATTCACAGAGCCAGGAGCCATGCAGATAAATCCCCTTCTCTGCTCATCCTGAAAACTTGCCCCTCATGACTTATGCATTACTTCTTTTCATTAGCAGAGGCTTGAGTAAGCACGTGGGTAGGTGGCTCTGTGAGGGGTATCTGATTCGAAGAGTATATATCTGCAGGCTCGATGACACCACTCTGAGATTCAGCAGGGTAGAGACAGAGATGGAGGCAGAAACTGCATGTCCCTGTGAGGTTGTACATTTTCTCTCTGCCCTGCAGTTCGTTGCACCTTGAGGACACAGCTTTCCTCTGAGCCCGGCATGGATGAGAAGGGGGATGATGCTCAGTCTAGGCTGCAGCCTCTGGAATCGAGGAAGGGCAAGACAGAACTCCTAGATCCCACTGTCATCAGAAAATTAAACATGAATGAGCTAAGCCCTAGGCCTGAGTTGCCTACACTCCAACCTGAGTTTCTACACACACACACACACACACACACACAGAGAGAGAGAGAGAGAAATAATGGCAATTCTGAGATGCTCCCCTGTGTGGGCCCTGAGTGGACTCTGAATAGAAGATCACAGGATGCGAAGCCCAGTGGGTGCGGAATACTGGTCCCCAGCACAGTGGAAGAACAAATAGAGATAAACAAGACCCTTCTTCCCCACCCAGTCTGTAACCAACCAGCTTCAGGAAAGAGTTAAGTGGGGAAAGTGGTGTTGGGAAAGAAGAGAAATGTTTTAGTTGAGGACTTAAGGTATGAGTTTTGGAGTCAGATCTGGGTTTGAATCCAATGTTGCATTCCTTGGATAATATCTTTGGCCTCCCAGAGTCTGCATGCTCTCCTCTATAAAATGGTTGTTGTAAAGATTAAATAATACGATGTACAGGCCAGGCACGGTGGTTCACGCCTATAATCCCAGCAGTTTGGGAGGCTGAGGCAGAAGGATTCTTGAGCCCAGGGGTTCGAGACCAGCCTGGGCAACATAGTGAGACCTCGTGTCTCCAAAAATATAAATATTAGCAAAGCATGGTGGCCCACACCTGTAGTGTCAGCTATTCAGGGTGGAGGGGCTGAGGTGGGATGATCGCTTGAGCCCAGGAGGTCCAGGCTGTGGTGAGCCATGACTGCACCACTGCACTCCAGCCTGGGTAGCAGAGCAAGACCCTGTCTCAAAAAATATA
The DNA here is from genome assembly GCF_000001405.40 of Homo sapiens. Classification (NCBI taxonomy): domain Eukaryota; kingdom Metazoa; phylum Chordata; class Mammalia; order Primates; family Hominidae; genus Homo; species Homo sapiens. The sequence goes on along the minus strand of NC_000013.11, from coordinate 45,842,351 downwards.
CATATGATTTATATAAAGTGTTCAGCACAGCACCTGGCATATTATAATTACTCCATCAATTGTAGTTATCATCATTACTAGTAGGTGAGTCCTGCAGAGATGTTACCTGATGCACAAAATGTGACCCAAGTTCCTTTGCCTAAGTTTGGGTGACCAAACTTTTACTCCAACTGTATGTTGGAGGGAAGGGGGAAGGTAGAGCAGTAAAAGGACATACCTGCTGAGGACCATGCTTTTGAAGCACACAGTGTTTAAGCTGAGAGCCAGAATAATGTCCTAGTTTAAGGAGCCGGTCTAACAAATGTGGCTCAAGGGGATGAAGTGACTTGCCCAAGGTTCCCACTGATGAGGCTCCAGCAGAGCTGGGGATGGTACTTTGGTTAAGGACATTGCCTCTCTAATATGTCCCCATGGCAGTGTTGGACCTCTTCCCAGAGGGGTCTTGTTCTCAGGACCTTGCCAAGGTATAAACCAGCTGGACAACAGCGGGGCATTAAAAAGGCAAATGTTCCTTGTGTCTCTAGCGCTGGCACAAATATATAGTGAGGGACAGGGATGAGGCTCCAAATGAAGTCACCAAACCCTTGCAGCCATTATCCCAGACCTTCAAACAGCAGGATGGATCCAAAGGCTACATATTCATCTTGACTATGGCACCATCAGAAAACAGATGAGAAACAAACACAATGTTTTTACCAGAAGAACAGGTTCTTTGTGGATTATTTAGAATTGTGGTCTAACTGGAAGTGTCAGTTTTACTTGCAAGTTGCTATATCTTGTAATCATTTCTTGGTCCTTTAATGTATTTTTAATCAAGAATCTATGATAAGGAGGGCACTGCTCATTGCAGGGCTGTTTCCAGCTGTGGCACAGCACTGGAAACAGCATGGAGCAAGTAGCCTGAGAAAGGAAACGGTAGGCCCTGGCTCCCCAGGACAAAAAGGACAGGATCCTCTGCAGAAGAGATGGGCCACTGCAGCCCCTTGGAGAGGGAGGGCAGGGTTAGCTTGGCATTAGGAAGGCCCCATAGAGATGAAACCAAATGTAGATCAATAACACAGATTTTACAAGAGACTGGCCAGCAAGCCTAGCCACCTGCCAGCTTCATAACCAGACTTCATGGCCTCTCGGATCTAACAGCTACGACTCTGCCAAGATGTGACAGGGAGTCCAGGGCAGGTGGCCACTTGGAACCCTGGGTTCCCTCTGTGTACTTTAGGGATGTATAATGACTTATACTAGGCCAAGGCAGCTAAACATCCTGAAACCCTGATAATAGTTTTCTACCGTATTAGTTACACACACAATAAAAACAATAATGATAGTAACAACCACAAAATGCTACATCCAGGAACTATGTTAAGTGCTAATGCATTTAATCATCACTGGGAAGTAGTATATTGTTATCATTCTCCATTATACAGAATATCAAAACAGAAAAAGGTCAAAAATCTTACTCAATGTCACCCAGCTCTTTGTGGCAGAACCTTTTTTAAAAATTAAATTTCTGTGCTTTAAAGCGCGTCTTGATATGTCATCCCTCAGTTACTTTTCACAACAAACAACTGAGCCGACATGCTTGGCCTTAGGATTAATATTGAGTATATTTCACTTTAAAACGCTGAGCTGGGACCCTGTCTTATTCATTCTGTGTGTATAAATGCACACAAAGATGCTCCGGCTCGGGGTGGGCAATCCTGGTAGCATCCTCTGTGCTTCTCTATGCTGCCTGGTGGGATCGAGTTCCTGTGGCCTCCAGCAGTGACTTCTTCCCTTCTTCCTGCTTGCTGGAATAGCCTCCCAAATTTACTACTGCATCCAAATCATTATCTCAGGCTCTGTTTTTGGGGAACCCAAATTAAGACTATGTGTATATTTTTTAACTACCTAACATTTATTGAGCACTTACTAAGTGCCAAGCACTGTGCTAAGTGATTTACCTGAATTGCCTTTTAAAAAATCCTCAGGATAATTCATTAGTCTATTTCCAGTTTACACATGAGGAAGCTGAGGCACAGAGAGATGAAGTAACCTGTCCAGAACCCATTCCATGAGCAGCAGAGTTTAGCTTGTGGTTTCTCGTGGGTTTTTTTTTGGCCAGAGTTTCCCTCTGTCACCCAGGCTGGAGGGGAGTGGTGCGATCTCAACTCACTGCAATCTCTGCCTCCTGGGTTCAAGTGATTCTCACACCTCAGCCTCCCAAGTAGCTGGAATTACAGGTGCACACCACCACGCACAGCTAATTTTTGTATTTTTAGCAGAGATGGGGTTTCACCATGTTGGCCAGGCTGGTCTCGAACTCCTTACCTCAGGGGATCCACCCACCTCGGCCTCCCGAAGTGCTGGGATTTCAGGCGTCAGCCATGGCACCAGGTCTAGCTCTTGCTTTTAACCTTGATGTTGAGCTAGCTCTCCTTCCTGATCATAGAATTGGTTGTCTGGAAGCTTCTACAAAGAGCTAAGCCCTCCAAATTCAGGCTTGGTAAAAATTAATGATTTTTGTTTGTTTGTTTGTTTTTTGAGACAGAGTCTCACTCTGTTGCCCAGGCTGGAGTGCAGTGGTGCGATCTCAGCTCACTGCAACCTCCGCCTCCCGGGTTCAACCGATTCTCCTGCCTCAGCCTCCCTAGTAGCTGGGATTACAGGCAGGTACCACCACGCCCGGCTAATTTTTTGTATTTTTAGTAGAGATGGGGTTTCACCGTGTTAGCCAGGATGGTCTTGATCTCCTGACCTTGTGATCCACCCACCTTGGCCTCCCAAAGTGCTGGGATTACAGGCGTGAGCCACCGCACCTGGCCTAAAAATTATGGTTTGTATACAGTATTTCTGGAAAATCTTTGACACAACTTTATGTAAATGCTCAATTCAAAATTATCCTGAAGGAAAGGAAGTTTGTGCTCTATGACCATGTTTTTTTAAGAAATGGGTTACCTGGTTTAACAGGTGGACAAACATGTCTGAAACTGGGACTGATCTCCAAATCTGGGCCATATGATTGTCTTGTCATTATCTAACAGTGGAAGCTGGTTGGCCACATTGGAAATGCAAATGCTCTCTAAGCATCCAGATACTATGAAACAGGCTGCTTTTTCTCTAAAAAATAAAAAAGTTAAAAAAAAAAAAGAAGAGGAGAAAGAAGTCTTTTTATACAAAGCAAAAACGGCCTTTAAGAGAACGTGGCTTTTAGCATGTAACACCTGTTCTCTAAGAGATCCACAGGCCTTTGAAATTTCCTTTCTCATTAGCGGCCATACTCTATAACTAAATTTATTTATTTTTCCTAAAATCAAAGAGGAACGAAATTTTAATGACCATTTCCTACCTAATTTAACTCGGCTTCTACCTTGGTTTCTGGTAAACGCTTCCCCTTATGCCCTTCCAACATTTTCTTTTTCAAACACTGCTGTGAGAAGAACCGAGTGAAGGAGGCATCAGGGTGAGAGGTGGGCTTCTGGAAGGAAAGCGGGATGATGCCTACAAGCCATGTATCCGGGTCAAAAGCCAGAGAAAGGAGGGACTGTGTCCACATTGACCCTAGAAAGCGGGAGAAAAACACTCAAGCAGGAGCCAAGGAGGGAAAATCACCAAAGGAGGCCCCAGAGTCACCTCATTAAACAGCACTGACGTCTGGGAAAAGTCACCAAGGGGTGCAGAAGCCTCGCCGGAGAGACTGGAATGGAAGGAATGAAAAGGAAACCTAAGGAAAGGCCTCAGACATGAGTGATATGCCATCATCACCATTCCCTGTCCTCCATGATGTCTGCTTGTCACAGTGCCCCCCAGCGTGGTGGCCTGGGGGCACTTGGGGCAGGCGCTGGCACTGCAGGAACCTGACTGTTCTCTGCCACCCCCGTGCCCTGTGCGAGCCTCCCTGTAAGCAGGAGGGCTGATGAGCACATCAAGAAGCTGCCTCATTGAAGCCAAAGTGCTACATCTGTTTATGGTAATTAAATAAATGCCAGTTGGACCCTTCTCAGCGTGCTTACTGAAGCAAATGCCAGAAACGCGCTGCTCTCCAAGAATCGGAGAGAAATTAGAAACAGAAAGGCGAGCTCCCAGGCACTTACCACCCACTCCTTGAAAAGACTTGGCCAAGGAGGTTTATGCAGAATCAAGAGGCTAAGCTTTCATTTGCAGTTCTGGCTTGCTTCCTTGTGTGGTCTTGAGCAAGTCACTTAACCTTGGCTACTTCATCTGTCAGATGAGAAGATGACACTTGCCCTTTACCTCCCTCCAAGGTGACCTTGGTGTGCAGAGATGAGTCTTTACAATTGAACTGATTTACAGGCTGCCTCTTTTCAAAAAAGTTTGAGGCAATTTACACCAAATGGGGGGTGATGTGGTGAATACAATAGACATAAAATAGAGAATGAAACGAGGTTAATTTTATGAGCTTAACCCATTTATCATGGGTGACAGAAATTTAGTAGAAAAGAAAAGTCCACAGAGGTATTTTAAACACTTCTCAACATGTTGGAAACATCACGGACTTTGGACTAGGATGTGGCTTCAAATTTAGTTCTAATATTCATATCTATGAGATGCTTGGCAAGTTACTTAATCACCTTGAGCTTCGTTTACCTTGCCTGTAATAATACATACAATGTGAGACTAAAGAAGAATTAATATGGTAAATATAAGCAAAAGCACCTAGACCAGATCCTGGCACACGGTAGTTCTTTCATAAACATTGATTTCTTTTGGCCTGCATGCATTCCTTCTTCCCTTCCTCCCTCCCTCCCTCTGTCCCTCCCTCCTTCCTTCCTTCCTTCCTTCATTCCTTCCTTCCCTCCTTCTTTCCTTCCTTCCTTCTTGTCTCTTTCTTCCTTTCTCTCTGTATTTTTCTTTCTTTCTTTTTCTTTCCCTCTCTTTCTCTCTCCTTCCTTCCTCCCTTCCTTCCTTTTTTTCATTCTTTTTCAAATTTAAATAAGGAAGTCCCCAAAAAGCTCCTCATATTATTTGATGAGTAAGTTAGAAAAGAACCTCTGGGAATGAGAAAGAGTTTGAAATTAGGAAAGGAAGTGAGCCTTGACGTGTAGAGAAGGGACAAATCTTCAAAATGAGTAATGACTCTATGAACAAATCCAAAGTCACCAGATGAGTCTCTTAAATCCTCTGAGTCTTATTTTGTTACTGGAGTGTAGAATTAATAAGATTGGTTTCCTCCTTTGCCCCCTAGATCTCCCCAAAAGATTTGGGAGTAGAAAAGGGAGAGCTGGGAAGATGTTTTCTCCATGTGAAGCTGAGAAGACGAAGGCCACTGTTATGGTGTCCCTAGGGGACACAAATCCAGACAGATGTGAAGCTTCACTGGGAGGCATGGGGCTGGCACTAGGGCGGCAGATGTCTACACATTTACCACTAACCAATTATAAAATAAAGATGACAAATGCAATTCTCTTTTACTCTCTGAGGTCACCTGGGTATGTCCAAGCAGGCAAGATGTGATGTCTGCAAAGTGACCACTGGCAAATATTACAGGCAACTGGGGACATCCAGGAACGTCCAGCAACAGGAAGCAGGGTCATGGCCCACAAGGTTACTGACTGAGGCAGGATTTCTTTATTTCAACTTTTAAGTTTGGGGTACACGTGCAGGATGTGAAGGTTTGTTTCATAGGTAAACGTGTCCCATGTTGGTTTACTGCACAGATCATCCCATCACCCAGGTAGTAAACTCAGCATCCATTAGCTGTTCTTCCTGATGCTCTCCCTCTCCCCATCCCCTCACAGGTGCCCAGTGTTGTTGTTCTCCCCTGCCATGTGTCCATGTGTTCTCCTCAATAATCAGCTCCCACTTATAAGTGAAAACATGCTGTATTTGGTTTTCTGTTCATGCGTTAGTTTGCTGAGAATAAGGGCTTCCAACTCCATCTATGTCCCTGCAAAGGACACGATCTTGTTCCTTGATAATATAGTGGCTTCCAACTCCATCTGTGTCCCTGCAAAGGACATGATCTTGTTCCTTTTTACAGCTGCATAGTATTCCATGGCGTATATGCACTACAGTTTCTTTACCCAGTCTATCACTGATGGGCATTTAGATTGATTCCATGTCTTTGCTATTGTAAACAGTGATGCAATGAACATATGCATGCATGTGTCTTTACAATAAAATAACCTGGCAGGACTTTTCAAGTCCTAGTCCCTGCCTTCTCCTCTGTGAAGCCTTTCCTGCTAATCCTTGACCCCCTCTATCTGCCTCACTCGTTCTCACTGATTTTAAGCACAAAGCTCAGACTCTCCACTCTACGCATTCACTTGCATATCCGTGTCCCTATCAGATGGTGAGTACCCCAAGGGCTCTGTATCCCCAGGCCTGGTATAAATGACTGGCTGGTATAGTGGGTGCATAGTAGATGTAGGTCTAATTAATAAATAAAAGGCTAAGAACTGCAAGAACAAGGCAAGAAAGTGGGAAAACTAAGCGTGTTATCAATACAGAGGCTGAAGAACAGGGAAAGAATCAGGCGTCTCCCAAAGCGTGCTCTAAGGCAGAAACGTGATATTCAGAGAGCTGTCATATACAAGTCCAGAGCCTGAGGAGCAGTGAGACTTGGTCCCAAGCCCCGCAGATCCCTCCAGCCTATGGAGAGTGTTAAGTTTCTGAGCCAGACTGGGTCCGAGCTCACAGATGGGGTAGATGATATATAAGGTTTAGCGTAATGCTAAGTGCTGGTCTCTGGAGTCACACTACCTGGGTTCAGCTACTGCCTCTACAGCTGCCAGCCATGTGACTTTGGACTTGAGGTTTAGCTTTTTGGGGACCTCAGTTTCCTCATCTGTAAAATGGGGTAATAATAACCGCCTGCCTCCTCCAGTTGTTCTGAGGACTAAATGAGTTAATATAATAAAGTGCTTGGCACAGAATAAATGCTATACAGATGTTAGCTGCTATTATTGCTATTGTTGTTGTTATTATTATCATTACTAGATGTGAGGAGGGAACACTTAGTTCATAGGTCCTGATGCTAGTGTAGTGAAAGGAGAGAAAAGAATCTACTGTGTCCGGCTTCCATTGACTGGATTACAGCTGCTCTAACCTTGACTGATTAGTAGTTGATAATCTGAAGACTAGTTCTCTACATGCTATTGAGAAATACTTCAAGTTTCATTTTTGGAGAGGCTGGGAAATAGTCACTATCACAATAATACCAAAGTTTGGCTTTTTTGAAAAATGGGTTTGAGATTTGTTTGTGAGTATATTCAAATAAATCAGGGAGCTTTGTGGTTTGGGAGGTGGTGGGAGAGAATCAGTCTTCCTCTTTCTGCCTTTCTAGTCTATCTTGTGGGCTCTCACACCTGCTGAAGGGAACAAAAGAACATGAAAAGGGCCCTTTAATAATTAAAGGACAGTTTATATTTACTTGTCTTTAAATACACACTTATAAAGCACTTACTATGTGTTAGGCACGCCCTGTTCTAATTACCAATATTAATTTATTTGATCCTTAAATAACCCTGTGAGATAGAGCTATGATTATATAGATGAGGGATCTGAGGCCCAGAGAGGTTTAGCAGTGAGTCCAAAGCCACACAGCAGCAAGTGGTAGAGTCAGGATTGTGAACTCAGGAGTTCCTCCTGCATCACCTCCAGAAGGCCTAAGTTTAGGTACCTGCACAAGACGGTCAGCACCCCTCTTCTGGCCCACAGTAGGTCGGTTTGCGGGCTTGACTCTAGGTGGCCCAGCTTTGGAAGGGAGGTGTCATGCCCCACAGACACTGAGCTGGAAGCCCAACGGGACAGCCTCCAAGAGGACCGGGATGCTGCCCACCAGCCATAGGCCCTGAGCTCCCAGGGAGAACTGCCCTGGAACCCGAGGCCTCTCTGCTGCATCTTCCTATTGGTTTCCTATTCCTCAGTCTCAGAAGGTGCTAACTTCTGAATTTCAGTGAAATTTGAGGCCCAGGGGATATTCTCCCTTCTTTTCCAAGCAAGAAGAGAAAGTCCCAGGGAGCCCATCGATGTCAGTAAGCAGGTCTGTGTGATTGCTGGGCCTTCACAATCGGACAGCCTTTTCTTTCCCCTGGTAGAGATAAATGCTGATAACTCAATGATGATGAAAACATTGTAAAGTGTCAAGCACAGCATGTTTAGTTACAAAAGCTGGGAATAATTGCTTCAGCTTTGCTGCTAAGAAAACCAGTTGTTGAGTCCAGGATAATTCTAGTAAGAAATTGGCATTCAGGGATTAATTGTTTGGAATGTAATGACTGCTACAACCCAAACTAATGAGAACAGAAGGCAGTTTCCAATTAGAATTCCGGGAATGAGATAGGCTTTGCCAGGCTGAATGGTACAGAATGGAAGGGCTTTTTTTTCCCCTTCTTTTTTTTTTTTTCTTTTTGACCTCAGTATTGGTTGGGCGAAAAATAAGAAAGCATTTTGCAAGAACAGCTTCTGAGAAGACCAGCCAAAAGTCTGTGCAGACGCCTCAGGAAAACTCCTGATTGATTGTTAAAAGCCTGGCTGAGCTCTTCCTGGAGGCCCTCAGCAGGTTGTGGGCAAGAAGGCCAGGGTGAGTCATCGCCATGCTTGGGAGAGGGAGCCAGCTCTGGGCATGGAATCAGACCTGTCCCTGCCACTTACCAGCTCTGACCTTCAGCAGGTCATGTCCCCTTTCTGAGTCTGTCCCCCTGTTGCAAAACCAGAATGGATAGCAGCACTTACCCTGCCAACCACAATGGTTTATCGTGAGGATCGAATGAGAAAATATCTGACAAGGTGCTCTGCAATCTTTAAATCACAATGTGGATAGAGAGTATCATTTGGATGAACCACCCTCTTTCTCTTCCTTTTATTTGTGTGCTTAGCCCTGCCTTGTTCTAAAAAGGACTGCCGTGTGTGTGTGTGTGCGTGTGTGTGTGTGCATGTGTGTGTGTAATTTCTTGCAAAGCTATGAGCGCCATGTAGAATAACTGTCATGGCAAGCAGCTGGTCAGTACCAAAAAAGACCCAGGGTGGTTGACTGGGTCCAGCTACACAATAGCCTGAGGGCCCTGGGAGGGATAGCTCTAAGGGAGTCTAGGATGTCTGACCTTCAGCGATGCCCTTGTCAGACCTGGATCATGGATGATGGAAGAGAAATGAGGAAAAGAAGTGGGAGTAGCTCCTTCATTCAAGTGTTTATTTATTGAGCACCTTCTATGAGCATATATTTATTGACACCTGCTATGGAAAGTGGTGCTATAATGGGGAGAAGAAAAGAATCCTTAGAAGATGCCCACTATAATGGGTACCTCATGGGAGAGGTCCCAAATTTGTCACCTCTTTCCCAGTTCCTATGCAGTTTCCCCCCACCTCTGTCTCTGTTTTCTGGCTGTCATTGGCAATAGGGATGCTGAACAGAATTTCCCGAATTCTTTCAACTACCCAGAAGGCACATGCATCAAAGTCCCACCACAAAATAAAGACTCTTCAGATTGCCAACAGGACTTGGATGATCAGAGCATGTTCTGAGAGAGGATTTAGACCTGATACTTTTAGGATAAATCAAAGTCAACAGAAAAATAACAAGTGTTTCTGAGGGTGTGGAGGAATTGGAACACTTGTGCATTGCTGGTAAGAATGTAAAATGGAGCAGCTGCTATAAAAAATAGTATGAAGCTCCCTCAAAAAAATTTAACATAGAATTACCATATGACCTAGAATCATACTTCAGGGCATATACCCAAAAGAACTGAAAATAAAAAGTCAAACGGATGTTTATTGCAGCATTATTCACACTAGCCAAGAGGTGGAAACAACCGAGTGTCCATCAACAGAGGAATCAATAAACAAATGTGGCAGATACATACAATGGGATATTCAACCATAAAAAGGAATGAAATTCTGACATCCTACATGAGTAAACCCTGAAAACATTATGTTCAATGAAATAAGCCAGACCCAAAAGGATAAATATTAGATGTTTCCATTTACATGAAATTTCTCAAATAGGCAAGTCCATAGAGACAGAAAGTAGATTACAGGTTACCAGGGATGAGGGAATTGGAAACAAGGAGTTCCTGCTTCACGGCCACAGTGTCTCTTTGGAGCGAGGAAAGGTTCTGAAAATAGATAGTGGCGATGGTCACACAAATTGTGAATATAATTAATGCCACTGAATTGTACGCTTACACATGGCTAAAATGGAAGATTTTATTTTAGATATGTTTTACCACAATACAGAATATATTTACTTTGCTCAAATCAAAAAAGGCCAAGTCCCCAGGCAGGGTTGGACATGGCAGGGCCCTTGCCCACCTGGGTGGCTGCACCCCACACCTCTCTTCCCTCCTCCCTAGGCACTTCCGGCTGGCTCTCCCTAGCACTCATCTTGCCTTCCCACCCCTGGGCTGGAAATGCTCTCCCGCCCTCCCAAAGTCCATCTTCTCAGGCCAACCAACCAAGGTGGGATTCCCTGGCTGTATGCTCTCAAGGACCTATGTTCCTTTTCTCCAGAATACGCAGCTTAGCAGTGGGATATCTGAATGGTGTCTGACTCCTCCATGAGACATGAATGCTGTGAAAACAGGGTTTTGGTTTCATCTCTCCACTACAGAGACACTGCCCATAGTAGGCCCTCAATAAATACAAACATGTTGGGTGAAGAGACACATGAAGAAATGAGCTGTTCCATCTTCTTTCTCATGTCCCCTCCCTCCTCTTTACCCCATTATCCATTACCCACAGCACTCACCGCTGTCTGAAACAGTGTGATGTCTTTATTGCTTTGTGTTTCTATGGTGTCCCTGCCTTCTCATTAGAGTATAAACTGCTTGAGAGGAGGGACTATTTCTGCCTTGCCCACCATAGCTTCCCCAGTCTAGAACAGCGCCTGGCATATTGGAGGCTCAATAAATATCTACTGAGTGAATGCATAACAGACCTTCATTAACTCCTTACTGGATTATCTTCTACTCCATATCAGTGCCAGAGTTGTATGTCTACAAATATCAATTTGCGCATGACCCCCTTCTGCTGAAAGCCTTAGTGCCTCCCTCAATTCCTGGAAGTAATAAAATCTGTGCTCCTTTTGGTGCATACACTGGCCTCTCCTGGCAACCCCTTGTCACTGATCATACCTTCTCACTGCTGGAAGGCTCAAAGTCATTATTACATAGACGATTCATTTTTTTATTTTATTTATTTATTTATTTATTTATTTATTTATTTATTTATTTATTTTGAGGCACAGTCTCACTCTGTCACCCAGGCTGGAGTGCAGTGGCCCGATCTCGGCTCACTGCAACCCCCACCTCCCGGGTTCAAGCTATTCTCTTGCCTCAGTCTCTCAAGTAGCTGGGACTACAGACATGCACCACCATGCCTGGCCAATTTTTGTATTTTTAGTAAAGACGGGGTTTCGCCATGTTGGCCAGGCTGGTCTGGAGCTCCTAACCTCAGGTGATCCGCCTGCCTCAGCCTCCCAAAGTGCTGGGATTACAGGTGTGAGCTACCAGGCCCTGCCAACATAGACCATTCTTAACTTATTCTGTGCTCTCTCCCCAAAATACCTTCCTCTGCCTTTTTTTGGTTAGTACTTTCTCACCTTCTAGGACCACTCAGAGGTCCTCTCCTGCTCAGAGCCCTTCCTCAAACCTCCTATGTCTGTCTCTGACATGGTATAAAACTGCTACCCAGCTGGGTTCTCCCACTAGACTTGAGGCCCTGAAGAGCTGGGAGCAAGTTTAGTTCATCTTCATGCCTCAATGCCCAGCAGAAGGTAAGCACCAGTGAAGAGGGCTTTAACCAAACCCAACTCTTCAGAGTGAATTTGGGAATGAAGCAAGTTGCCTCTTGATTGAGATGAATGACCTCAGTGTTGTAAAACCACCCTTAGGCCAGGCAGGTGTGTACGCTAAGCTCTGCAGGACCCACCTGGCCTGCCTCGGGCTGTGCCCCTACCCCACGCCTTGAGGAATGTGCATCCCCACCTGACTGTCCCCACTTGGAGCTCACACTTCCCTTTCTAGGTCTCTCTCTGGGTGCCTGGGGCTTGCTTGTCTTCTGCAGGTCTGTCCTTCTCCCAAGAGTGCACAGTGCCACCAGCATGCATGCCCCTGACAGGTATCCAGGCTCACTCTTTATGGAGACTTTAGACAGAACTTGGATGTACAGGCTCAGGTGGCCACATACATCAGGTATGGGATGGAACTAGGGATGAGAAGAGAAGAAGGTGGCTGCCCCTGGGGCTACAGCTGACTGTTTCCAAGGGACGTATTCTAGAACTCCAAGGAGTCCGAGCCCTCTAATTCAAACCTGGCTTTCTCATGTGTTATGAAGATGTTCATTTATCAAGATAGGAAGAAAAATGGACTGCATTTAACAGCCTATTGGCTTAGTGTGTACCTCTGAAACATTTAGACAAATGGTTCATGCTTCTTTCTGTGACCCTTGCCCAGGGTCTCGCAAATGTTAGAGGCAGGCCTGTACCGCAGCCAGACAGGAAAGCTGCACCCCGGGACAGAAGGCTCCTGGGGTGTGGTTCATCATGGCCTCGAACCCAAGCGCCTCTAAAAACAAGATAATTGCTGCCCTAAATAGGAGTGAGATTTATTAGAAATTAGAAGCAATGTTTGGTCTTCTCAGAGGGAAAAAAAATACAGAAAGGGAAACAAGCAAGACAGTTTTGCCTCAAACTAATTGATGGAGATAGATGTCAGAACAGGGGTTATCTCTGGGGGCGGGAGCGCAGGTCTGCCTAGGAAGTGGCATGAGACAACCTTCCATGATGTAGCAAGTGTTCTATATCTTTTGAGTCAGGGTCTTGGTCTGTCGCCAGGGCTGGAGTGCAGGGGCGTGATCATGGCTCACTGCAGCCTTGACCTTTTGGGCTCAAGCAATCCTCCAACTTTAGCCTCCCAAGTAGCTGGGACTAAAGGTTGACACCACCATGCCCGGATAATATTTTTTTTATTATTTTTTGCAGAGACAAGGTCTTGCTATGTTGCCCAGGCTGGTCTTGAACTTCTGGGCTCAAGCAATCCTCCCACCTCGGCCTCCCAAAGTGCTGGGATTATAGGTGTGAGCCACTGCACCCAGCCATGTTCTATATCTTGATCTGGGTGGTGGTTACTGGGTCATGCGTAGGTTAAAATTCACCAAGCTGCACAGTTGAGATTAATGCATTTTACACACAAGCAGTTTTTGGAGTCAGTCAGCTTGCTGACTTTTGCTAGCTCTATGCCCTTGAGCCAAGTTACTGATCCTTTGAAACCTCAATTTACTCCATTGCAAAGTGAGTAAAATCAACACATCTACCTCACAGTGCTGTGGTGTTGATGAAAGGTCTTGGTGCTTAATCAGCGGTAATTCTAGATTAACTATTATTAACTTAGTTATGTAAGCTATTGCTTATTAAAATGCTTTGAAACTTTGAAAAGGGTGGATTTTTTTAAATGCAGTTTTTCTGCAAAAAAAAAAATAGAGTTAATTCTGTTCAAAACTCTCCTCCCTTCTAACTATTCTGTCAATACCACTTGTTTTCACTGACTGATTCCTTTTAAACCACACATGGGTCTAGATGCTGGCTTTTCTGCATGGTAAGCAGGTTTCCCCTTCACCATCAGGCATGACAATGAGACCGGAATTCAATCCTAGAGGAAACCAGAGCACACTGTTGAAAATGACTTATTGAAAGAGACCTTTATTGTCATGGACTTCACCTCGGGCCCCCTGAAAGAGGCTTGGTCCTGGGTGCATTTGATTCCTTATGGAAATGTCCTGGCTCTAATCTAATTCCACATGGAAGCTCAGCCTGGATTGAGAGGAAATTTGGACTATCTTTCATTAGATAAGCTGGGATAGCAGTTTTTGAGTCTCGCAAAATAGTGAATTATGCCTTCCTTATTATACTGTGGTTAAATTTTGCTGTTCCCAAAATGCAACTTCAAAAGGAGAAGTGGGCTACGACACAGAATCCTAGCAGCTTTCAGAGTAGCATTTGTTCACTTGTCAAACCTTTACTTGGTGCCTGCTAAGGACAGGCACCGTTGGGGTGAAGATCATCAGAATAAAGATCACCATGCCCCTCAAAGAGTTTAGCTAGTTCATCTCTAAATGAGGCATCAGGACCATGAACTTCAGCCACGGAAGGTTATGAACCAGTCAGGGTCAAATACTCAAGAGGAGAAGGGCAGGAGAAGAAACCTTCACAGAGCACTCCCATAGGTCAGACAAAGGGGGATGCTTTGCTTATGATATCTCATTTAGTCCTCCCAACAACCCAGTAAAGCAGTTATTATTATTCTCATTTTACAGGTGAGAAAACTGAGGTTCAGAGGAGCTAAGACATGGCTGAAAGTTGCAAAGTCCATTAGCAGAGGTGGGACTGGCTACCTAATTTGTGGGGCCCAGTGAAAATGAAAATGTGGGCCTCGTTGTTAAAATTTAAGAATTTCACAGCAGTGACAGTAGTGCATTAAATTGGGGCACTGTTGGAACTGCACAGATTGGATGTCCATGAAGCCAGCCTTGAGTGGAGATGCTACAAACAATTATGGAAGCAGAGAGAAGGAAAGACAGAGGTTGGCTGGAAAGATAAAATTAAAAACTTTATTGGTAGAGGTGGCAGGGGCCTGGAAGGGAAATGTTGCTTTGGTATCATGTAGTCTGAACACAAGGCTACCCTGGTGACTGCTTTTACTGAATCAATCAGAGCCTGATGTAGCCAGGAATTGAATGAAGTATCTCCTGAAGCCTATGGGACTCATTAGTCTGTCCTGGGAGCAAACCACCTATACTGAGGGAGGAAAGGAATCCAGCTCTAGGGTTCCTTTGCTGCTGTTTGGAACTTTCCCAACCCCTCTGAGAACTCTGTGACCTCCTGGACTGGCTCCAGGCCTGGATTGGACATGTCTGTAGAGTTCCATATTAGTTAGAAATAAAATCAGTTATAAATAGCAGAATGGTCAAATAACAGTGGTTTGAATAAGTAGAGGTTTGTTTTTCTTACAAATCACAGCCTGGGGGTAGATGGTTTCTAGCATAGTTCAGGTGCTCAGAATGTCAGGATTGGCCTGTCTCCTCTTCTCTTGCCCTTTCCTTTGCATTTGCTGCCTCGTGTTTGCAAGACACTGGCTGCAGCTCCAGCATCTTGACTGTATTCAAGACAAATGGAAGGGGAAAAGGGTGACACTGTTTCATTTTATTAGGAAAGCAAAAGCTTTGTCAGGATCCTCTCCTCCAAAAGACAGCTCTTAAGTTTCACGGACCAGAGCTGGGTCAGTCACACAGGCATCAGAACTGTCAAGAAGGGCCAGGGAAACAAAGAATAGTGATTGGCTCAGAGCTAAGAGTGGCCACTTAGCTGACATGAATGAAACTAAAGAGCTGTTAGCCATGAAGAAAAAAGGAATTGGTGGTGGGCAGGCCGTTAAAACTGTGGTTTACTCGAGAGACTAATCTAGCCCGCTGAGTTCATCACAGTTAATGTGTACATCGCCCAGAGACAGTCCTAGGGGATCACCAGGTCAGGGTTGGTCTGGGTGTCAATCTGGAAATGTTTGTCACCCCAGAATGTTGGAGGGGTGCCAGCCTCTGCAACCCACAGCCCTCAGCCCTCACATTATCTTTTTATTTTAGGGAACCCACAACTCACACGTAGAGTTTAGGTCTTTCTGAACCTGCTCTACCTTCCCTCCTGGACTGTAAACTCCTAGAGAGCAGATTTTCATGTTTAACTTGAAGAAATATGTTTAACATGTCCACTATGCTAGGATTGAGCTATTAACATGTGATGAAGGCTGCAACATGAACAGGAGGCACGTGATAAGGTAAAGCATAGAGTGTAATAAATAATAAAGCCCGGAGAGTCAAGGAGCACTTGCAGAGAACGCTATTGATTGATCCATCCATCCATCTATCCACCCACCCATCCATCCATCCATCCATCCATCCATCCATTCATCCATCCATCCATCCATGCATCCATTCATCCATCCATCCATCCATCCATCCATCCATCCATCCATCCATCCATCCATTCATTCATCCATCCATCCATCCATCCACCCACCCACTCATCCATCCATCCATCCATTTAAATGTTTATTTAGCACCTACTATATGCCAAGCATCATCCTAAGCTTTGAAGATGTATTAGTGAATGACATAAACAGGTCTGATCTCACAGGGTTTACAATCCAGCCCAGAGAAGAAGAAAATGATAATAAGTAAATAAATATATCAGGTAATGTTAAATGCTTTGCAGAGAATTAAAACAAGCTTCTATGGACTGAGTCATCCAGGAAAGCTTTCTTTAAAAAAGTGTCACAAGAGCTCACATCTGAATGAAAAGAACATGCACTGAACCAGCCATACAAGGCTCAAGGGAAAACGCCTTCCAGACAGAGGCTAAGGAGAAACCAGGAAACAAAGACACAGGGCTGGGGTGTTGAGGGCCAGGGGGAGGAAGGCAGAGATCTTTGAATGCTGAGAGACTTGGGTTTTGGTCTTCATGGTCAGGGGAGGGAGCCTTTGGAGGAAAGCTGTAACTCAGAGAACAAGGCCTAGGAAGCGAGGGAGCTGGGGTAGGGCTGTCCTACAAAACGGAGAAATGTCACAGGCACAGAGGATGTAGCCAGAACAGGTATGATATGAGGGCCCAGTGTGCACTGATGCTGTTGAATGAACGAACAGATGAGGAAGCTGCTCAGAGCTCAGGAAAGCAGCAACAGAAAGTACTGTCCCAAGTAACTTCTTGCTCACCAAGTTGTTTCCTAAGAGACTCAGCATTTCACATTTTCCCCTATGGTTACCTTCTGCAGAAAAGTGAGCTGGGAAAAGTGGATCCTCAGGAAGACTACTTCACGAAGGTGTGAAAAGGTCAGTTCAGATGTCACTCCCTCCAAGGTGACACTAAGCACACACCCCAGGCAGGGCTGGGGGCTGCGCTCCTGGCTTGGGGGAAATCCGTTTTCTGGGGAAGAGTGTGGTGTGAGGTCTTTTCTCCATCATCCACATTCCCATCTGTTAACGCAGTGCTCCCAGAGTCGAGATAATGATTTAAAAGCTCTAATTTTGTTACATTCTGAATCCTGTCTGCCATCAAGGCTGATTGTAATGAGATTTGGCTAGGAGCTTGGCTCTTAGCTGGGGTCAATTTATCTTTGGGAGAAAGCGCTCCCATCAAAACGCCCAGGAATTATTAGCACTTAGAGGAAAGCTGAAGAGACCTATTAATGCGAGATGCCTAGGGAGTCCTGAAGTGTGAGGTGCAATTATATTTCTTATTTATTTCCCCCAGCTTCATGTTTAAGAGTGAAGAAAAGATGGGTAAGTAAGATCTCGTGGAAATCGATAAATATGTATTAAGCACCCACGATACTGTCATGCTGCCGTACGTTTGCATACCGCTTTAGCACTCACAGCAGTGGACACATTAGCACACGCCTTGGTTCTCTGTCACTTCTCAGCACAGCCCTGCAGAGTAGAGGATGGCTTCTTTTTTTGGTTTTTTGGTTTTTGTTTTTTTTGTTTTTTTTTTTGAGACAGAGTCTCGCTCTGTCGCCCAGGCTGGAGTGCAGTGGCGCAATCTCGTGGTTTTTGTTTTTTAATAAATGAGGAATAAGGCTCAGAGCAAATAAGTCCCCTTCTCTGATAAGTGATAGAGATTTAAACCTGGATTTTTCCAACTCCGATGCGCTGCTTTAACAAATTATACCACAAAACATTGTTTGTGTGCCAGGCTCTATGTGTCTGGAGGTCCAAAGACATTTAGCACTGGTCTCTTTCCCCACAGTGGTTTTCAACTCCACCTGCATGTTGGAATCATCTAGGGAGCTTGAAACCAAGGGGAAGGGCTGAAACCTGGGTCTCAACCCCAGATACTCTGCCTTAATTAGATGAGGTTAGGCCCAGAGCCTTCCAGCTTACAAAGAAGGAAGAAAATGGCCAGTGACAGGTGAGGGGTATGGAGGCTACCCCAGACCACTTTGAATATTCTGTTATTGCTTTTGTTAATAGCAGAGCTTTATCGACAGCAGCAAGGGGGGCAGGTCCTGTGCCTGCTGTGGGCCTGACTACATTCAATCTAACTTACAACCCTTTGAGGCAGCTAACATTACTGACACTCTTAGAGAATTCGATGTGGCGTTGTGGGACAAATAAAGGGTTTGGCACTAAAAGGAATTGACTTCAAAACCAAGTTCTGCCAGTTTTTACTTGTATAATTTTTTAACTGAAGTTCACTTAAACCTAAGTCAGATTTGCCTAGTATGTAAAACGGGTTGTAAAAATTGCCCTAATTATAGAGTGGTGAAGATTAAACAGATGAGAATGGATCTTTGACCTTTGTAAGGCCTAAAATGTAGACTATTTGGTACTATGTTCACTGTTTGGGTGATGGGTTTACTAGAAACCCAAACCTCAACATCACTCAATATACCCATGTAACAAGCCTGCACATGTACCCTTGAATCTAAAATAATATTTTTTTAAAAATACAGTCCCAATGTTACTACAGAGGAGAGAGCTGAGGCTCAGAGCCAGTAAGTAATTTGCCCAAGGTCACACCAGGTCACAGCCCAGATCTTTGACAAACACTGTCAGCACCACTCCCTATACTGTCAGGCCTGTAGGACTAAACCACCAGATTAACACTTGCACAGTGCCTGC
The DNA here is from genome assembly GCF_000001405.40 of Homo sapiens. Taxonomy (NCBI): domain Eukaryota; kingdom Metazoa; phylum Chordata; class Mammalia; order Primates; family Hominidae; genus Homo; species Homo sapiens. The sequence continues at coordinate 45,823,748 of NC_000013.11, read as the reverse complement.
TGGCCCTGAAGGCCTTTGCATCTTTTGACCTTGTCTTAAAGGTAGGGTAGGATAGTGCTGAGTGATGAGAAGCAGGACAGGCTTCATGGTGTCTTTGGATAGCAGTTTTGAGACCAAAATCTTTCAAGTGCTTGGAGAATCACAGAATAGATGGAGTTCTCTAGGGCTGAGAGTTTACATTCAGGTAACTGGAGAGTTTTAAAGCTGAAAGGCATATCAACGGTAGATTTCACAAAGGAAAAGAAAATTGGAAAAACTCCAGAAGTAGACTGAGATTTAAGGTTTTTAAAGTAATGCTATAAAAAGACCTGCCTGGGAAAATAGGGCAGACTTGCCTTGCCTATAGTGGTTCTGAGGATCAGCTGAAATAGTGTACACGTGCTTTAAAAATTCGGAAGCAGCAGTTTTCAGCTCTGGCCACGTATTAGAATTGCCTGGGGAGCTTTTACAGAACTCCAGCTGTAGGTGCCCACCCCAGACCGATTAAGTCAGCACTCTAGGGTTGGGCCAGGCAGTGGTCTTCGTTAAACGCTCCCCAGGCAGTTAGATTGTGCCTTTACAGTTAAGAAATCACCACTCTAAAGCGTCATGAGAATACGAGTTGTAATTCTTTTATTATTCAAGTAGACCCAGGACTATTATGGAATAGGATGCCCACCTTCTACTGAGGTTCAAATAAGAGCTAACAGCTTTAATCTGGAGCAGAGGGGACGGGTTAGATCTAAGGAGAAGCTTTCTGTCTGGAGAGGGAGGGATTCAAAGAGCTCCTAAAGTGCTCGCCCCTCTCCAGGGTGCAAGGACCTTGGGACGACTTTGTGGCCTTTGTTCTTCATTTCCTCATTAAGAAAGAAAATAAAAACAGCCTCACAGAGATAACTTTCCAGGCTGGGGAGGAGGCCATGGGGCAGGCCGTGAAGTGCAAGAACACGGCACTTTAAAACCAGCTCCGTTTCAGGACAATGATGAGTTTCTGTCTTCCAGGCCTGCGGCACACCCAGCTCCCAAACAGCAAACATTTGTCATCCAGGCTGAGGATTTCAAGTCCTTTACAAGTAACATTTTTCTGATGATATAAAAAATAAGTTCATTTTCAAAATTAGGAAATCAAAAATATAAGAAAATAAAATCACCTATAATCCTACTGCCCAGAGGCAATCATTATTAATACCATTTTTGCCTGTTCCCTAGTCTAATATATATATATATATATATATATATATATATATATTTGATAATGAAAATGTTAGCTCACTTCTTCACAGCATTGATCACTCAAGTTAGTAAATTTGTAACTGAAGCTTAGATCAGAAAGACTCAAATCCAAATGCAGTTTAATGATCTTAAAAGTCCTTTTGGCTCAGTCTGTTTTCAAATGGTCCAATATACTGTCTTACTATACTTGGAAAAAATAATGAATGATTGCTAAGAAAATATGTTCACCTCTAGGAAAATTATATTGGAGCTGAAGAACAAGTTCCCAGATCACATTCTAGAAAGACAGCAATTTTTCTGTTCTCTGTTCCTGAATCATGGCAGTGGGACACCATATAGGTCCGCATTGAGACCCCAGTGTCTTCAGAAAAGCTCCCTGTTGCACCAGCTGTCTCAGGGATGATGCTGGGGAGCTTGGACTGGGAGCGCCAAGGAGCCAGATTTCTCTGAGACACTCTGGGTCCACGTGTCACTTGCAGCAGGGGACACATGTCACAAGAGCAAAGGGGTATAGTCCTGCCGGGGACCCACAGGTGTGAAGCATTCCCTACAACGGCCACTGATAACCCTCATAAATCACTCCTGGCTGGTACTCAGGCCCCTACCCCTGCTCTGTGGAGGGTGGTGCTGAAAGATAAGAAGCAGAAATCAACTGGGCACATGAAAAAGAACCTCCAGATATTTCACAGTGAACATTTGTTCTTGTTCTCTCTTCCTACCCAACGTGCTGAGCAACAAACTGTCTCTTGACTGCCTTTTGGCCCCACTCTCATTGATTTTCAACCCAAGAATTGAGCGCAGCTATTTCCTAGGGGCCATGTCTAGGTAATGATATAATTAAGAGGGCCACAGAGTCATTTGCATAACACTTGCTCATAATTAGCATCTTTGCTATAGTTAATTAGGACAATGGTTAAAAATCTCTACGGTGATTTTCCACCTTGAAGTCTAATTATTTTTATGACACCAAATTTTTTTGATGGCATACTATGTGTCAGGCACTCTACTGGGCCATGGGGCAGTAGGTTCAGGCCTTTAAGAACCAATGGCTTTGCTGGGGAGACAAGAAATCAAATTCATGTGACAGTGTGATTGGGCTACTAGTACCTGTATTTGAATCCTAGAGCTGCCACAACAAAGTACCATGAATTAGGTGGCTTGAATAACAGGAATTGATTGTCTCACAGTCCAGGTGTTGGCAGGGCTTGTTCCTTCTAGGCTGTGAGGGATAATTTGTCCCAGGCCTTTCTCCTGCCTAATGGCAGCCTCGGGCATTCCATGGCTTGTAGATGGCATTCTCCCTGTGTCCTCACATCATCTTTTCTATGTGTCTATGTCTGTTTCTGCCTCCAAATTCCACTTTTTACAAAGACACCAGTCATATTAGATTAGGGCCCACCTTAATGACCTCACCTTAATTCAATCAACTTTAAAGACCCTATCTTCAAATAAGGTCACGTCTGCAGGTTCACAGGTACTGGGGTTTAGAGCCTGAACATCTTTTTGGGAGACTATTCAACCCATAATGGTACTCATATATATGCAGAAGGGACAGAGGGGAACACAGAGAAGGAAACAACAGACCTTGGTAGGAGACAGTCTGGGGAGGACGGAGGTGGGGAAATTCCTGGAAGAGAGTATGTTACGTGCAGAGGGCCAGAGGGCAGGCATCAGCCTCCTAGAAACTGGAAAGTCAGTAACGCAGCAGGAAGCAAGTGCCAGGAGCTGCCTGGTTCCCTGGTAAGGCCAGTAAGTTCTGAGGGCCCCAGAACCTGGGAGAGGAGGGGAAAGAGAAGCCCCAGGTAACCCAGAAACTGCAGAAGCAGCCAGGCAGAGTCTGTTTGCTCCGGGAGGGGATTTCGGAGGCTGGTGGAAAAGGAGGGCCGCGGTGGTGGGAGGAGGGCTGGAGGGAATGCTGCTGTTCAATAGTCCTCCGAAATTGCCTGGCTCTACCACCCACACCGTACCATATGTCTGCACACTTCAGAGTTAGAAATCAAATGAACAAACTCTTAAACAAAATATGTTCTCTCCTTCTACCTTTACAAACATAGGCCTTAAACAGTCGGGAAGACCAGGTTCCAGTCACAATCCCTAGATTACAAGGAGCTCCTCACCAGAATGCAGTAGTGTGAGGAGACGCAGCCCCTGGCCCGCAGCCCAGACCCTTCTCGTCCCATCTCTGGCTCCGTCCCCACCACAGGAGGTTCACCTGCATGGTAGCCTGGCTCACTCGTCAAAGCTTCATTTATCTCCCGGCCAACGGAGCTTCTTGACCACCTCTTGGCTTAGGGGTTCGCTCGTGGTGCTGTGAACCATCTGGGGAGGTGCTGTGGTTTGAATGTGTCCCCTCCTAAATTCAGGGTTGAAACTTAGTGGCCAATGTGATGGTATTAAGAGGTGGGGCCTTTAAGAGACACATAAGTCGTGCGGATTCCTCCCTCCTGAATGGGATTAAGGCCCTTATAAAGGAGGCTTCACACAGCATTCGGCTCTCTTGCCCTTCTTCCTCCTGCTATGTGAGGACACGGCGTTCCTTTCCTCAGAGGATGCAGCAGCGAGGCACCATCTCCGAGGCAGACTGCAGCCCTCACCACACGACTGAACCCGCTGACTTCCCAGCCTCCAGAACTGTGAGGAACCCCTTTCTGTTCTTTATAAGTGACCCAGCCTCTGGCATTCTGTTATAGAAGCACAAATAGACCAAGAGAGGAGGGCAGAAGTCCTGCAGGCCCTGGAAGTGGGTTTGGGGCTTTGAGGGAAGAGACTAGGTCCCCGAAGTGATGTCTATCTAAGTCACAGCCCTGGAGACCCTGCCCCTGAGGTGGGCACAGCCAAGGCAGCCAGAGCCAGCCCTCCGACATGCAGGGCCCGTTTTACATATAAGCACAGAGCAATCAGAAGCTATTTCTAAAGCCACATTGTGTGGCCACCCAATAATTATGTTCCTCCTAAATACCAATTTCCACCACAACCTCCTTTTTCTAATTTTCCAAAGTCTGATTTCCTCTTTGCTGTTTTTTTCCCTAATTTGCAGTTATTGGTTTCTTGTAGAGGCCATAATGATCTGACTCTTCCTCAGCGACCACCACTCCTTCCTGTCCCGTCCACCCAGCCATGCCCAACACTGTGCAGCCCAAGGCCATGGCTGCCTCCTGGCTCTGTGAATGGGTGCACACTGTTCTTCCTTGCTTCCTTAAACGCTCCTCCCATCCTGTATCTGTTAGAAGTAAAGTCTAACCCAACAAAACAATCAAAAACAATGGCTCACGTAAAATTCATAGTGTTGCTATATTAAAGCAATCTGGAGGCAAGTAGTCCCTGATGATTTGGTGACAGCAGGGGGCCATCTGGGATCAGGCTCCTTTGACTTTCTACACTGGCCTCTCTTCCTTTCTCTGTGTCGTGCATGGTCAGAAGCTGGTCCTGGTGCTCTGAGCCATCACAAGCACACTGCAGCCAGAGCCCTTTTCGTGGCTCTGGGTCAGCATTTAGCCAGCACCCTGTAAAGGTGGGTTTCCTTGTCCATCTCTTCATTAGAATGTGAGCACCTAAGGGACAAGGACTGCCTTTTATTCATCTCCATACCCCTAACACCCTAGCACATGAAAAGGATTAAGAGTAAAATTGCTTTGCATGAATGACTGTCTTATCATGGTAAACTGATGATGGCCCCCACCGCTGTCCACCTCCTAATCCCAGGAACTTGTGAATGTGACCTTGTGTGGCAAAGTGTTTGTAGATATGACTAAGTTAACCATTTAGATATGGTGAGAATATCTTGGATTATCTGGGTGGGCCCTAAATGCCATCACAATCGCTCTTACAAGAGGGAGATCTGACAAAGGCACACAGAAGAGAAGGTGATGTGAAGACAGAACAGAGAAAGATTTGAAGATGCTGGCCTTGAAATTGCAGTGATGCAGCCACAAGCCAAGGAATGCCAGCTGCCACCAGAAGCTGGAAGAGGAATGATTCTCCTCTAGAGCCTCCGGAGGGAGCGCAGTTCTGCTGATGCCTTGATTTTGGCCCAGTGATAATGATTTCAGACTTCTGGCCTTCAAAACTCTGAGAGCATAAATTTCTGTTTTTTATGCCACCAAGTTTGCTACAGCAGCCATAGGGAAAAACAATGATCTCTTTAGAAGTCATTATTTAACCTAACTAGATGCATGAAAATAGCAAATATACATATCTATGTGTAGGTGTCTTAGCTTGAGTTCTTCCAGGAGCAGACCCTGAAACAAGGACATGAACACAAGTAATTTATTTGGAAGGTGACCTGAAGAAACACCAGTAGGGGAATGAGAACATGAGATACAGATAGAAAGGAAGTCATGCAAGGTGCATTCTCAAGCAAGTTACCACTGCGGGCAGGTGGGCTGCAGTCTCCCTGGGGACCCTGGGAGGTGATGTAGGATACCTCAGAGTTGTCCTGCTCCAGAGGAGGCATCTGGGTATTTTCCTCCAATTTCTCCACATCATTTGTCAATAGCTCCCTCTAGGGCACAGAGTTGCAGGAACTTGCAGTAGGAAGGCATCAGTGAATACAAAAGGGATGCAGGCTGGGCCTCTACTGTACCTTCTGCAACGTAGATAACAGGCAGGTGGTCTCTCCTCACACATACAATAGACAGCAAAAGGGGCACAGCAGGTAAGAGGATAGATTCAGGGCTCTGACAGACCTCAGACCAGATTTTCATCTCTAGAATGGGAATAGCAATGTTGCCTGCCTCTTGGGATTGTTGGGAAGAGTAAAATACATGTATACATATTCTCTTTATGTATAAGCTCTAAGAGAGATTCATCCTTTGCCTCTTCCAGCTTTGGGTGGCTGTTGGCATCCCTTGCCTTGTGGTTGCATCACTCCAGTCTTCGAGGCCAGCATCCTTCACATCTTTCTCTGCTCTGTCTTCACATTGCTTTCTCTTCTGTAGGTCACTCTTCAAAGGTCCCTCTGCCTCCCTCGTATAAGGACACTTGTGATGGCAAGTAGGGCCCACCCGGATAGAATCCAGGATATCTCCACATCTCAAAATCCTTAATTTAATCACATCTGCAAAGACTTTTCCCATCTAAAATTGTGTGTTGTTTACAGAAATACATTCTGAGAAATGCATCAGTAGGCAATTTCATCTTGTGAATATCACAGATTGCACTCACACAGACCTAGATAATCTAGCCTCCTCCACACCTAGGCTATATGGCATAGCCTATTCCTCCTAGGTTACAAACCTGCACAGCATGTGACTATATTGAACATTGTAGGCAATTGTAACAATGGTATTTGTGTATCTAAAAATATCTAAACATAGAAAAGATACATTAAAAATGCAGTGTTATAATCTTATGGGATGACCATTGTATATGGCCTAAACATTGTTATGCAGTGCATGACTCTGTGTGTCTGCGTGTATGTTTACAATTATCCAGGCACTAGTTTAAGTGCTTTTAACAAATTAACTCATTTAATCCTCACAGTAATACTAAAAAGCCAGTGATATTATTCCTATTTTACCCATGTGGAAATTAAGGCATTAGCTAGTAAGGAGAGTAAACAGGATGCAGGATGCATCCCATTGCCTGGTGCAAATTCCTAACCATTATCTAGTACAGCCTTTGTCAATGACATTAGTACCTGGTTCAGTGAAATAATAACCTGGTTGGCAATAATCACTCCATATATTATAGTTATTACTACTGTTCATTGCTACTACCTGTAGGCACATGTAGTTACCGTGGGCTGTTTCTCCCCATGGTCATCATACTCTGAGCTGTCACACTGGATTGGCTGTCTTGGAGCAGGTGAGGGGCAGTTAAATGCTGCCCAGAGTGAAGAGAAACCCTTGCTGAATGTAGGTGATGTCAGAGGGCAGCCTGAGCGCAGCAGCAAGGCGGCCAAGGTGCACAGTGCAGTGAGCCTCTATCTGGGGGAAGTGTGGTTGTGGGGCACGCCCGAGGGGCTGAAGTTGGGAGCGCTATGTTGACATTTACATTTGAATGAATGCCATTCCTCAGGGTTCATAACTCAGCTGTTGTAATTTATAGCAAGGCTTTTAAAAATAGATGAATATTACTTTCCAATCCATATGTTAGTGGAAATAAGTGGCTATAAACACCCTGTCTTCTTTGGCTGGGATATTGCTGTGTTTTTCTGGATAAACCTCACTTCATGTCTTTATTCCAGTTCAGTCATCAGGATCCTAGGATGAAAAGGCCAGCAGAAACAGGGCCTCAAGGGTACCATTCTCTGCAGGGCACCATTCTCTGCAGTCCTTGTGAATAGAGGCAAGGGCTCCTGGAGTTGTACAATGCAGTGGCACAAAACAGATACATCAGCAAGGATGAAGCTTTGACGTCAGCTCCTTCAGGTCTCAATCAGGCCTCACAGGGCAGTGAAGCACAGGGGCCCAGGCCAGCTGCCTGGGCTCCAATCGTGCCTCCATCTGCCTGTGTGCGCCTGAGCATGGCAGCTACATTTCTCTGTGCCTCGGTTTCCTCACCTCTAGAATGGGTGATGATGCTCCGTAACTCGTGGCTTAGCTATGAGCATTAAATGAGATAGGCACGGCATGTGCTTCATGTGGGCCTGGGCTCCTGAAATACATTATAATACAATTTGCTGTGATTTTTGTTGTGGGGATGCCCTGTACTGCCATGTCACCTTAACGGCCTCTGTCGGCTGTGTGGCAGATAAAGAAACTGAATTCTAGGAAGTTAATCCACTTATCTAGACTTGAGTCTCATTTCAGGCTGGGGCAGGAATGAAATTTGTTTTGTTTCGCATTTTCCTACCCAGCCCTCTCACATCATGGAGTGAACAACTGTAATCATCAGGAAGATCTGGGAAGCATGGTCCTTCCTAGTGGATGAGATGTAATGCTTTCAAATGAGTCCAGCAACCTAAAGGGACCTGGGTTTATGCACTGTATTTGTCATGGTTCTCCGGAGACCAGAATGAATAGGATGTCTACATACACACATACATACATATGCACACACACATGTATATAAAGAGAGAGATTTATTTTAAGAAATTGGCTCATGCGATCCTGGTAAGTTCAAAGTCCACAGAACAGGCAGGCAGGCAGACTGGAGACCCAGGGAAGAGCTGATGCTATAGCCGGAGCCCAAAGACAGTCTGTAGGCAGAATTCCTTCTTCCTCAGGAGGCCTCAGTCTGTTTTCTCTTTAGCCTTCAACTGCTTGGATGAGGCTGGCCCACATTATGGAGGGCCATCTGCCTCACTCAAAGTCTTACTGACTTAAATGTTCACCTCATCTAAACAACACCTTCATAGTAACATTTAGCCTAGCATTTGACCAAATATCTGGGTACCATGGCCTAGCCAAGTTGACACATAAAATTAACCTTCACTGCCAGAAAGATGAAATGCCCCTCTCTAGCAAGAGCTGGAATTGTTTGAAATGGTTGATTAAAAAAAAAAAAAAAATGAAGGTCTATTAGGTTGGTGCAGAAGTAATTGCAGTTTCTGTCATTTAAAAGTAATGGCAGGCCGGGCATGGTGGCTCATGCCTGTAATCCCAGCACTTTGGGAGGCCAAGGCAGGCAGATCACTTGAGGTCAGGAGTTTGAGACCAGCCTGGTCAATGTGGTGAAACCCCATCTCTACCAAAAATAAAAAAATTAGCTGGGCATGGTGGCACACACCTATAATCCCAGCTACTCTGGAGGCCGAGGCTGGAGAATCGCTTGAGCCCGGAAGGCAGAGGTTGCAGTGCGAGATCGCACCACTGCACTCCAGCCAGGGCAAGAGAGGGAGCCTCTGTCTCAAAAAAAAAAAGTAATGGCAAAACCCGCAATTACTTTTGCACTAACCTAATACTAGAACTCTGGGGGCAAATAAACTCATGACTTCCCCAGTAGCCCAGAAAGATCTGAGCAGTGTGGGGTTGTGGGGAGGGGCTGAGAAGCTAGGCTGGTGAGAGAGAATGAAGCTTACTAGGGCAGCAGCACCTCACATATGCTGTCTCTTTGGCTGCAAACCTGCTCCGTTTGTTCATCTTTGCCTGCCCAGCTCTTGCTCATCCTCCCAGAGGTCACTTCTAAGAAGCCTTCCATGATTCCCCGAGATGGTGCTGGTTTTCCTGCTAAATATCTCCTGATACCCAGAGCCCACCCCACACCGTGGCACTTTTCCTGAGTAATGTAATTGCCAACTTGCTTGCCAGTTTCTCCCATTGAATTGTCGGCTCCCTGGGGACTATACTCCAAAAACACTTCTTGAATAGATGCATGAGTGTTATGGACTGTATTTTTTTTTTTTTTTTTTTTTTTGAGACAGAGTCTTGCTCAGTCACCCAGGCTAGAGTGTAGTGGTGCCATCTCGGCTCACTGCAAGCTCCGCCTCCCGGGTTCACGCCATTCTCCTGCCTCAGCCTCCCGAGTAGCTGGGACTACAGGTGCCCGCCACCACGCCCGGCTAATTTTTTCGTATTTTTAGTAGAAACGGGGTTTCACCGTGTTAGCCAGGATGGTCTCAATCTCCTGGCCTCATGATCCGCCTGCCTCGGCCTCCCAAAGTACTGGGATTACAGGCGTGAGCCACTGTGCCCGGCCTATGGACTGTATTTTTTATCACCCCAAGATTCATATATTGAAATCTTAACCCCTTTGGAATGTTTTTAAGAGGTGGGGCTTTGGGAGGTAGGTGGGTTTAGATGAGGTCATGAGGGTAGAACCCTTATGATGGTATTAGTGTCCTTTTAAGAAGAGAAAGAACCTAGATCTTTCTCTTCCTCCCTCTCTCTGCCATGTGAGGATACAACAAAAAGGCAGCTGTCTGCAAACTAGGAAGCAGGCCCTCACCAGACACCAGACCTCCCAGGGCCTTGATGTTGGACTTCCTCGCCTCCAGAACTGTGAAATATTAGGTTGGTGCAAAAGTAATTGAGTATTTTAGCATTACTTTTAAATGGCAGAAACTGCAATTACTTTTGCAACAACCTAGTAAGTGTCTGTTGTTTAAGCCCCTGAGCCTATATTCTGTTATAGTAGCCCAAACTGACTAAGATGGATGATGAATGAAAGAATGAATGACTCTGTAATGCTGGGGAATAGGGCTTGTGGTCACCAAGCTGGCCAAGGGGGCAGAGCCCTAGGGACAACATTCTCCAGGCTCCCTGACACCAAGTCTTGGGCTTTTCCTTTTGCTACCTTTGCTCTGGGGAGGCCAGACAGCCTCTTTCCCATCCTCTCTCTCTCCTTATTTCAACTGCATGACAGCATCACAGACTGAAAGAGCTGAATGCAGCCTGGTGCCAGGACTCAGTACTGATATAGGCTCACCATGTTCCCACTGGGTCCGGGACTCAGTACTGACACAGGCTCACCATGTTCCCACCGGGTCTGGGACTCAGTACTGACACAGGCTCACCATGTTCCCATCAGGTCCGGGACTCAGTACTGACCCAGGCTCACCACGTTCCCACTGGGTCCAGGCAATCGCCTTCTAAGTGTGAACAGTGCAGACAGCCAGGGCAGGACACCCCCTCACTTCCCTACCATCCAGATGGGAGCCCAGAAGGCCTGGATGGGCTTCAATACACTGGCTTCCTTCTCCTGGGAAGACACGGCCTCACATTTCCAGCCCAGGAGGAGACTTGCACCTTTATTTGCTTCCTGCATTTGAGCATGTGAAGACATGCAAAACTTTCTCCAATTGTCCTAACTTCCCTTGTGTGTTTTATCTGCAAAGCCTTTTATGTCACTAGTGCAACAAAAAATCCTAGGAAATTCCTGTTTAGTCATGCTGGGATCTCAGGCTTCATTCTCAACACTCAGTGAAAGCTTCCTTACCTGGTTGCTATTTGGAGTGTGAGTGTGAGCATGTGTGTGTGTCTGTGTGTGTGTGTTATATATTTATGCACCCATATGCATCACAGGAAAGCATAGCATTAAGGAAGCTGTACCCCGGGGTCCTAGTAATTCTGTGTCATGATAGCAATCATTATAATCATTATAATCTTAGCCACCTGCTGTTCCTGAATAAATGTGAGGATTAATGGAATGCTATTAATAATGTTCCTTGAGTCCTTAGGGAAAGCTCTTTAGCAGGCACTAATTTTAACCTCTCTCAAGTGAAAAGAAAAAAAGGATGAACTGGCAATTGGACCACATCCCAGCCTCTGCTGGCTGTGTCCTAGCCTGGGACCTTGGGCCAGTCATGTAACCCTTCTGATCCTGTCTCCTTGTCTATAAAATGGGCTCACAGGGCTTGTCTGTCCCCTTTCCTGGGGTTTAGGTGAGGATGAAACAAGATGGTATCAGTGAATGTCCTTGAAAACTGGAAAGCATGGGACATAGGAGCACACTTGGACCTACATCATCAGCCCTCAGGCTGTGTCTGCATCAGGCAGCGTGGGCATCACCTGGAAGTTCTTCTGCAGAATTCCCTGGGTCCATTCCAAACATGACTCACTTGTTTCTGCTCCATCTCCACCGGTGCTGGGCGGCATCCTTTTGGTGAATGGCATTGAACTAACAGTTGTGCATCGGGGAGAGTGGGGCTGGAGTCTCTGAAAGTTCAGAGGGAGACTTCCCATGGGATTCCAGTGCAGGCATGCCCAGGCCAGAACCCTTCTCATAACTAAACCAGGCTGAAAGTTGTCTGGTTCTTCGGAGACAGAATTGCCTTCCCTTTGGTAGACTCTTTTCCTAAAATGACCTCCAGTCCCTAGGTCAGTAGAGGTGAATGCACCCAAGAGGCAAAAATGAAGAAGCCTGGCTGAGGCATACTTGGAAAGATAAAGTGAATGACCATGAAGGTGGCTATCTCCTGCCCTGAACTCTGACTTCAGAACGCTAGGATCCTGAAGTGGTTTCCTGAGATGCAATGAAAATATCATCTGTGAGTTTCATTAGAAGTGCTTTGCCAAATACAAAAATTAGCTGGGTGTGGTGGCATGCCCCTGTAGTCCCAGCTACTTGGGAGGTTGAGGATGGAGGATTGCTTTAGCCCAGGAGGTCAAGGATGCAGTGAGCCTTGATCATACCACGGCATTCCAGCCTGGGCAACAGAATAAGACCGTGTCTCAAAAAAAAGTACTCTTTCAGGCAACAGAGCAAGACCGTGTCTCAAAAAAAGTACCCTTTCAAAACGTTCTATTACATATCAACAAAGATTAATTACAGAGTTTTCAAAGTCTAGTTAGCCTGAAAACATTCATTTCTGTTAGGAAATATTCATTGCCCTCACCATGGCCAGAGTACAAATATCACCACCTCTCACCCTCTCCAACTAGTCCTGCCTCACTAAGCTCAAAGGAGAAGAATCATTACCATCATTACCATCACCACCACCAGCACTCATTACCAACTACTGTGTCCCAGGCAATATGCCAAAGTTTTAAATGAAATTCTTTTTAATTCTTGAAATCACCCTATTATTGTTCTGATTTTACAAATGACACTCTGAGAGGTTAAGTAACTTTGCCCAGGTTGCACAGCAAATGAACAGCTGAACCAGGACTCAGCCTTAGGGTTCCAAAGCTCATTCTCTTAATCTCTTTCCTATTTTGCCTCTGTCAGTCATACCAGAACAATCCTTCAACCACATGTCCATGGAAGCCAACCAACAGATATGGGTATGCAAGCAGTACATTCTCTTTTCTTCTCACTCTGTTCCTGCTTTCTGCAAAGTTCACCCCAGGCATTTCCAGGCCCCATGCATGCAGACACTCTTTCTCACTAAAAGGTCCATGGCAACAATGCACCAGAGAAGCAGGGGATGTTTGCCTCTTCCTATCTCTAGAGCCATCCATAACTGACCAGCAGCGACAATGCAGAGCCAAATTTTAGCAGTAGAATTTCTTCAAATTAAACATTCTTGGGAGTATGAATTCTAGACTCCCATCATACTGCAGCACATTTTTTCTCAATGTCTTTGTCTCTGACCATAAGCCCAGGAGAGGAGAAACCAACCAGCCCCAGGCAAACGCACTGGGACAAAATTCCAGTCTACATGGGTCCCTGTCACCACATTTTTCTATTTCCAGAGGGTGATTTTCTCCAATTCCAGAACACATCAATACCTCCATATGTAAGCCACCAAACACCAGCTGCCGGTAGCAGAGTTTGAAAAATACCTCCTGGATTTTAAGTATCCAGAGTGGTTTGCGGCAGCACTATAGCGGCCTGACAACCACACACACAAGAGTCAAGATATATGTGAGCTTCTGGTGCAGACTATTCCTCACCCAGGCACTGGTGCTGAACAGGACTTCATCCATCCATTCAGCTGACTAGCCATGATGGAGCGTCCCAGTGAATGACGGATAGGACTGGGCCACTCGTCTCTGATCTCCTTTGGGTAGTCCAGGTGGGACTGAGCATCCTCAGGAGGCTGGTGTCTCCTGAGGGAGGATGGAGAGTTCAGGGTCCAGAATGTTGGCTGTGGGCCCTGTTGTCTAAGTGACCTTTGTTGGACTGTGCCTTCAGGTCGCTGCCTCAGGGCTCTGGGCTGCTTTAGGAACTTTGGGGGCTGTGACTCAGGACTAGCTCGACCAGGGAGCCCATGGCAACGTGACAAGCTTCTGCCTGGGCTGCTGAAAGAAGTTCTAAACAGAGGCAGATTTCTTGGTTTGGTTTTGCTTTTGCTTTTGCTTTGTTCATTTTGTTTTGTCTCCCCCTTGACTACATTATTCTTGAAACAACATTTAGTTTTTTAAATTATAAAAGTAGTATTTATTCTGTACAGACATCTGTAAAATATGGAAAGCCACTAAGAAAAAAACTGCCTGTAATTCCACCCAGAGATAACCACAATTATCTGGTTCTTTTGCTTTCAGTAATTTATTAAATGCAATACATTTGATTGTATTTTTTATAAAAGCATTAAATCATATTATGCATATATAGTTTTACCTTACTTTTTTAAAAAGCTATATATTGTAAACATTTTACAATATCAGAATGCAGGTAGGGACTTCTTGGGTAAGCAGTATGGGGTCTTTCCAGCCCAGTAATTTCTGATTTCAATCTTAGCCAGGCTAGAGAAAGAGGGCCCAAATTATTGATATTCTCGACTGAAACTTTCCTTATGGTAGCAAAGCAGACAATTCTGCCCTGGCAATTTCTCCATGAGGCCCGGCCTCTCAATCTCTGGTCAGCATATATGATTTATCTGGGCCGTCTGTTATAATGTCCAGAGATTCTGATTCTGCAGATTTGTGGACACAAAAACATGTCTAGCACGTGTAATGATTTCCAGACCACAGTCTATAAATTTCTGGTGTAGCCTTAAGGGTGGAACAAAACTTACAGAGTCCATTTAAAGGTCTCAGTTCTGCGGAGCCCCCAACACACGCATTCTCCCCACCTTAAGTCCTAGAGGCTTAGGCAATTACCTTGAGGCAGCAGTCACTGAAAGTTCAGAGGTTATGCAGCGCAGCCTCAGGATTTATGTCCACTTCAGGAGTCATTGACCCACATCAACTTCTTTTATGAGTCAGGACCAGGCAGGGATCATCAATATTGTTACAATAGGGTTGGAAGCCCACTCATTCACTGTGTGGGATGTACTGCCGAAGGCGAAAATGGAGGCCTCAGAGCCTCCTTGTTTAGCTTTTAGGTTTACTTTGCCTTATCAGATGCGAAATGGGTACAAGTCTTAAACATATTCATAATTTGAGATGTGCAATAGATATAACATTCTTTTCTCTATAACTGAATTTAATATATATTCTGGTTCCCATTCCATCAAGAATGGAAACCTAATTTTAACCAGGATGGAGATTCCCTACTGTGCCCAGTGTTGAGTCCAAGTTTTGGGGGGCCTATGAAGTAATGTTCTGGTAGATAAAAGTATGCACGTACATATGGACATAAGTTTATTATAAATTTTACTGATATAAAGTATGTGTAATACAATTTACAAATAATAACAAAATATACAATATTCTTTATTTTAAATTTCATATAACTACACAGAATGTATTTATTGGTTTTGTTGAACTCTTGTATCTGTAGCCAACCTACAGTTACAATTCAGCCGTTGTTTAACAAAATTAGACTATGTTGGCTATCTAGTTCATAGAAAAAGTCACCATGTCATTGATGAATGTGTGTGACTTAAATATGAATGTTGGTTGATGTTTTCTTTTATGTTAACAGATAAAAGTGAAACAACAAAGATAAATGTCAGATTATCACTCACTGCTCAGTGACGTGAACTATTTATTTGCTGAGTTGGATAATAGTCTTAGGATACTAAAAGACTATTTCTGTAATTTTTTGTGCTGTTTAACACAAAGTAACACCTATATACCAGGACACTTTTAGGTATAGTTTGCCCTTATTAACATTTTCTTCATCACTTTCTTCAGTCTACTCTAGAAAATCAACAAAACAGAAAATCAAGCCCTGATTTATAGCATTTGCCAGTTTCCATGGTGTAAATATTCCCACCATGACTAATTTTAAGCTACCAACACAACATCACCGCACATGAAGTTGGGAAGAGGTTTTTAGTATTTCTACCATATAGATACAGATACAAATACAGATTTACAGATATGTAAGCAACCTCAAGAACACATTTAATAGCAAAATATAATAAAATATTTAGGAAGTAATGAGCTTTGAGTATTTACTACCTGGGTTGTTAATATAAGTTATTTAATTCTGTTTGTTTAATTTTAACAATGGCTGTGTTTAACAATCAGCTCACAAAATTTCTAAAACTTCAACAATTAGCTCTTGTGAGCTAATACACTACTGGGCATATGCAATGTCAATGATTCGATTTGGAGGGCATTCTTTCTAGCTGTTGTCATCCATCCATATTGACACCACTGAGAGTCCTTGCTGCCATCTGGTGTCCAGTCATTGGTCACAGCAAATTGCTGCTGTGTCCTGACTTTTTTACACTGAGTCTTCTCTAGGTCCCTAAGTTCTCTCTTGCTTCTATGCCTCTCTAGACGAATGGGGAATACAGATTTAAAAACTCAGTAGGAGTAGGGGATTTTTTTTTCTCTAATAATATACAATGCTAAACTTCCTGCTCTACTAAATCTAATAAATAGAACTATAAGTATTTGGTTCTCTGTGCTGTTCTAACAATCTGCTTTGTTTTCTCATGCACTTGAATCACCATGTTTTAATACTGTAGCTTTATTCTATGTTTTACAATTTTATTGAATAGTCTCCTTCATAACTATTTATTTTTCAGCAATCTGACTATAATTGCACATTTATTTTTTCATATAAACTTTTTAAATCACTTGAGTTTTTTTTTTTTAGTATTCTGGTGTATTTATTACAATCTTGTTAATTTTAGGGAATGTCAACATATTTATAACAGTGAATCATCGTATTGAATAGATGATACTTTTATTTATTCAATTCTTTCTTAGAGTTCTTCTGTAGCATTTTACGTTTTTTTCTTATAGCCTGTGACTGTTTCCTATAAAATTTATTCCAAGGTATTATTTTTAATATGAACAGCTACTTCTTATTTGAAAGTGTGAAAATTATTGATTTGTATTTACTAAATTTGTGCTTTACTGAATTCTTCAAATTTTATGATTTTTTCCAGTTGGTTCTCTCATTTCCAAACTTTTATACCTTTTATTTCTTTTTCCCATCAAATTGCATTGGCTACTTCCTGTGGAATGTTAAATAACAGTAATATAGTGAACATTCATGGTTTGTTTCTGATTTCAGTGATGCTTCCAGAGTGTACCCACTAAAAATGTCAGTCTACTTGTTAAGGAAGTTTCTGTCTTTTACTATTAGTGTAACAGTTTTATTGAAATAAAATTCACATACCTTTAAATTTTTATTTATTTTCTTCAGCTTTTAAGTTTAGGGGGTAAATGTGCAGGTTTGTTACATGGGTAAATGACGTGTCACTAAGGCTTGGTATATGAATAATCCTGTCATCCAGGTAGTGAGCATAGCACGCAATAGATACTTTTTCAACCATTGTCTTCCTTCCACCCTCCCCACTCTCATAGTCCCCAATGTCTATTGGTGCCATCTTTATATGCGTGTGTACTCAATGTTTAGCTCCCTGTTGTAAGTGAGAACATGTGGTATTTGGTTTTCTGTTCCTGCATTACTTCGCTTAATATCATGGCCTCTAGCTCCATCCATGTTGCTGCAAAGGATATAATTCGATTCACTTTTATGGCTGTGTAGTATTCCATGGTGTATATGTACCACATTTTCTTTATCCAGTCCACCATTGATGGGGACCTGGGTTGATTCCATGTCTTTGCTATTGTGAGGAGTGCTGTGATGAAAATATGAGTGTGTTTATCTTTTTGGTAGAACAATGTCTTTTCCTTTGCATATATACTCCATAATGGAATTGCTGGGTCAAATGGTAGTTCTGTTTTAAATTATTTGAGAAATCTCCAAACTGCTTTCCACAGTGGCTGAACTAATTTACATTTCCACCAACAGTATATAAATGTTCCCTTTTCTTCACAACCTCATCAACATGTTATTTTTTGTCTTTTTAATAGCCATTCTGATGGGGACAAAATGGCATCTCATTGTGGTTTTGATTTGCATTTCTCTGATGATTAATGATGTTGAGGATTATTTCATATATTTGTATGTCACATGTATGTCTTCTTTTGAGAAGTGTCTGTCATGTCCTTTGCCCATTTTTAATGGGGTTATTTGGTTTTGCTTGTTGAATTAGGTTTCTTATAGATTCTGGACATTAGACTGTTGTCAGATGCATAGTTTGCAAATATTTTCTACCATTCTATAAATTGTCTGTTTAGCCTGTTAATAGTTTCTTTTGCTGTGCAGAAGCTCTTTAGTTTAATTAGGTCCTACTTGTCAATTTCTGTCTTTGTTGCAATTGCTTTTAGGGACTTAGTTATAAATTCTTTGCCAAGGCCACTGTCCAGAATGGTATATCCTAGTTTTCTTCTAAGATTTTTATAGTTTGAGGTCTTACATTTCAGTTTTTAATCCATCTTGAGTTAATTTTTATATATGGCGAAAGGTAGAGGTCCATTTTCATTCTTCTGCATATAGCTGGCTAATTATCCCAGCACAATTTATTGAATAGGGAGTCCTTTTCCCATTGCTTGTTATTGTCAACTTTATCAAAGATCAGATTATTGTAATTGTGCAGCTTTATTTTTGGGTTCTCTATCCTGTTCCATTGGTCTATGGTCTGTTTTTATACCAGTATCGTGCTGTTTTGGTTACTGTAGCTTTGTAGTATAGTTTGAAGTCAGGTAGTGTGATGCCTCCAACTTTCTTCTTTTTGCTTCATATTGCTTTGGCTATTCGCACTCTTTTTTGGTTCCATATAAATTTTAGAATAGTTTTTTTCTAATTCTGTGAACGGTAATGTTGATAGTTTGATAGGAATAGCATTGAATCTGTAGATGGCTTTGGGCAGTATGGCCATTTTGACAATATTGGGCATAGGAAGCTTTTTCATTTGCTTGTATCATCTATGATTTCTTTCAGCAGTGTTTTGTAGTTCTCCTTGTAGAGATCTTTCACTTACTTGGTTAGATGTATTCCAAAGTATTTTGTGTGTGTGTGTGTGTGTGTGTGTGTGTGTGTGTGTGTGTGTGTGTTATAAATGGGATTGAGTTCTTGATTTGACTCAGCTTGAACATTATTGGTGTATAAAATGCTACCAATTTTTGTACATTGATTTTGTATCCTAAAATTTTACTGAAGTCGTTTATCATCTCTAGGATCCTTTTGGTGGAGCCTTTAGGGTTTTCTAGGTATAGAATCATGTCATCAATGAAGGGAGATACTTGGACTACTTATTTTCCTGTTTGGATACCTTTTATTTCCTTCTCTTGCCTGATTGCTCTGGCTTGGACTTCCAATACTACGTTGAATAGGAATAGTGAGAGTGGCCATCCTTGTCGTGTTTCAGTTCTTAAGGAGAATGCTTCCAGCTTTTGCCCCTTTAGTATAATGTTGGCTGTGGGTTTGTCATAGATGGCTTTTAATATTTTGAGTTATCACATACCTTTTAAAGTGTATAATTCAATTGATTTTAGTATATTCACGGAGTTGCACAACCATTACCGCTATCTAATTTTAGAATGTTTTCAACACCCCAAAAGAAATCCCATATTTGTTAGCAACCACTCCACTCTACCCTCCCTCCAACCCTTGGCAACCCATCTTTTTTCTGTATCTGTGCATTTGCCTATTCTGGACAGTTCATGTAAATAGAATTATATAATATGTGATCTTTCGCCACTGGCTTCTTTGACTTAACATAATGTTTTCAAGGTTTATCTATGTTGTAGCATGTAGTAATAACAATATATTAATATTAAACACATTAATAGAATTAATAGTAATAACAAACTTGCCTAAATAATATATAGCTTTTATTTTTAAAAATATAATATGTATGCCCTCCCCAAGCTTGCATTTTTGACATTAAAGTTAACTTTTAAATTAAAAGTTTTTAATTGGGGAAGAAAAAATATATGTAAAATAATTATTTTTGTAAAAGTTCCAGCCACAGTTTACTTTTTAGGAATCAATGTGTTTTCAGTGTATAATTGTACATATCTCTACAAATCGGTTGTAGGTAATTGGATAAAAATATGGATTTTGTAACTGCTACCAGTCTTATATCCTTCTTTACATCTTACCCCACCTACCTGGAATTTTTTATTAGGAGTTTTCTTATGTCATCCTTGTCCATATCCCCCTTAAAATCCTTCAGTGGCACACCAAAGCCTTCATAACAAGACTCAAACTCCTTAGCAGTCTTGATAACAGGACTCAAACTCCTTATACATAGCTCTTCTATGCTATGTATAGCATAGAAGCTATGTATAGGGGCCTCTTCTGTGTAATTTCTCATCATTCTCACCCACCTGGACATCAACTACCTTGACCTTCCAGGATTGCTGAACTATTTGTAACTTTCAGGGCTGCTGAATTCTATTGCTTTTTGTCTACCTGAATGTTCTTTTCTTCTCCCTATAAATGGTCCTTTGCCAAGATAATTCCCATTCATCCTTCAAGGCCCAGCTCACTTACGACCTCCTCCATGAGACCTTCCTTGGCCAGAGTTTTCTCATTGTCTTTCCTCTGTGTTCCCACAGCTCCCTGGGCTTATTTCTATCATAGCATTTATCACACATTCCTTGTAGTTGTCTATTTTCCAGCCAACCCCCCATTAGACTGTACATCCTTTTGTGGACAGACACTGGGTATTATTTATCATTTTGTCACCAGGATCTGGCACATGAAAGAGGGCTGATAAAGTTTGATGAACGAATGAATGAATGAATAAAACTAAATCCATATACTCCAGCTTTAGGCATTTGAATAGGGACTACCTGATCACTTGCTGTGTATGCACCTGTGACCTAAGACAGAGCTATAGAAAATGCAGGCCTCACTTTCAAACTACTTAAAAGATTAAGGCACTCCTGCCCACACCCTGCCAAACAGGCTTTCTAGTCTGCGGCTGCCTTTTTTTTTTTTGACAGAGTTTTGCTCTTGTCACCCAGGCTGGAGTGCAGTGAGCGATCTCAGCTCACTACAACCTCCTTCTCCCAGGTTCAAGCAATTCTCCTGCCTCAACCTCTTGAGTAGCTGGGATTATAGGCGGCCGCCACCACGCCCAGCTAATTTTTGTATTTTTAGTAGAGATGGGGTTTCACCATGTTGGCCAGGCTGGTCTTGAACTCCTGACCTCAGTTGATCCACCTGCCTTGGCCTCCCAAAGTACTGGGATTACAGGCGTGAGCCACCACGCCTGGCCTGCAGCTGCCTTGATCCAGCCTCCTTGCTCTGACTTCTTTATCTAGCCTAATGCATATTAATTTGGGATGGCAACCTGCCGAATGTAGATCTGGAGCTAGCTGGGGGCTTCATAAGTCTCACCAAGGCCTCTGATCTCTGTTTTAGAATATTGCATTATCCCAGAGTGTCCCCACGGCCTATCCCAAGGTATCAGTTGGGGCTTCTAGTGACAGTAAATGTAGCTCCCTAGTGTCTGGGAGTGAATACCTCTGCTGAAAATCATCGTAAATATCCAGAAGCTTTTCCCATTATCCTTTCTGCTCAGGGGTCACATTCCCACATCCAAAAGAAGGACTAACTCAACAGTTCCTTCACTGCCTCACTGCACCTCGCCCCCTAACCCCACTCTCATCATTAGGTCCAGAGCTCAGTGACTAGAAAAGACAACTCCTGCCACCCTGCCACTTTACCAAACTTTCTTCTTCTTGCTTTTATTTTTTGTTGAGATGGAGTCTCGCTCTGTCACCCAGGCTGGAGAGCAGTGGCACAATCTTGGCTCACTGCAGCATCCACCTCCCGGGTTCAAGAGGTTCTCTTGCCTCAGCCTCCAGAGCAGCTGGGATTACAGGTGCATGCCACCACGCCCAGCTAATTTTTGTATTTTTAGTAGAGATGGGGTTTCACCATGTTGGCCAGGCTGGTCTCAAACTCCTGACCTCAAGTGATCCACCGCTTCAGCCTCCCAAAGTGCTGGGATTTTACAGGCGTGAGCCACCACGCCCGGCCCCAAACTTTCTTACTCTGCAACAGTCTTTCAGTTGATTCTTCTGTGTAATATCACAGTTTCCAAAAACGGCATTTTCCCTTCCTGCTACCCATGTCCTCCAGTGAATCAGCATGGACAGGCAGGATTTCCACCAAAACCCAGCCCTGCTGCCCCTTGATATCTTCATCTGCTTGCCTAGACTAATGCCTGGAGCATGCAGAATATCAGCCAGCAGATGTTATTGCCCAGGTAACCAAAGCATTTGACCTTACCTATATTCAAATTTACATGAGGTACTAGGTATGAAAACACTTTGTAAAATGCTGAAATGATGGTTCAAGGTAATAGTTCTTGACCAGAGAGATGGCATAGGAATAATGTAACACGTTATTAAGTATATGTTGACCCCTAGCTGTGTGAAAGGCTGTATACACACACATTTTCATTGCAATTTTTAGTCCCTAATATTATAAAACATATAATATTCAATACAGCCTGCAAGTCATGGTCACATATCCAGGACATGGAACCAATCAAGTGTTGTGAAACTCCTTCCGTCTTTCTTACTCTCGTCTTGCTTTCAAAGCTCTCTGTAATCTGATTGCACCTTCCTTACTTAGCCTCATTTCTCCTTGTTCTCTCAAGGCCTCATCAGTCGGTGGAAAGCACAGCTCCTCCCTGCATTCAGGGATGTCCTCTGTCTTCCAGGAGTGCTCACCTCTCATCCCTTCACTATCCAGAGTTCCTCTATTGTTTCTGACCCATTTCAAGTGTCACCCCCAACACAAACCTTTTCCTGCAATTCAAGCCATTTGGTACTGAGGGAGAATGTACCCTGTATCACTCCATGCACACATATATTGCAAAAGCATATGGCTTCACATATGTCAGGCGCTGGCGAACTCCCGGAGGCCAAAATAGCAACGTCTACAGCCATGCCCCCCCCCGCCACCCATCACTTCACCCAGTGTCCAGCATATTCTAGTTGCTTCACAGGCATATGCTGATGGATCCTAGTAGAACATGACCCTGAGCCTAAAATCAAAGGTGGACACAGGCAGAGTCTACCCTTCTCATGGGATCATTGTGGAAGCGAGGTTTCATCCCTTTCCCTCTTGTGAACATGGCGCCAGGAGAGGTCGCCCACAAAGACGATGTTCTATCTCATTACCAATTCAGTGCCCATGGAAGCCCTTGCCAGGGCCCTTAATTTCTTGTGTTAAAACAACAAACGAGGTGACCCAAGCACAATCTCTAATAGGTAGCATGGGTCAACAATTATTCATTTGTACTAGTGCTTTTCGCATGACGGGCTGAGATGAAAATTTGTCCTCTTCCTAGCAAGAGCTATAAATTAGTTTTATGCCACTGTTAAAACCAGAGGCAGAAAAGGAAGGGATTGGAAGTGGGGGAGGCTCAGCGAATAAGGCCTGGCTGCTTCCAACAACAAAGCAAGCTGCTTTTGGGGCCATCTGAACAAGGAAGGTTGAGGGTGGGCAGCAGAGGTCAAGAGATTGGGCCCAAAAGAAATCGACACAGTGACTCTGAGAAAAGACAGCAAATTCTTTGAGGCTCTGAACTACACTTTATTTTTCTTTTCATCCACAATATCTGGCAGGTTTGCTGAATCGATGAACAAATAAATAATTGGATGCATGAAGCAATTGTGTCTCTCTTCGCTAGGTTTGAATAAAACCAATTATGCTACATTCATATGAGTTCTCCAAGGCCAATGGAGCCACCAAAAATAATGGTGTTCAGCTACATCTCTTGACGCATATAGTTCCACAAGATATCAAGTAGAAAAAAAACAGTTTACAAGACTACAAGTGCAATATTTAGGCATTTATGTCGAAAATGGCATTGAAAGAAGTACACGCCAAAATGTTAACAGTGGTACTATCAGGATGGTGCTATTCTGAGAGTTTTCTATTCTTTTCTTTATACTATGCAGGCTATTCTAAATATTTTGTGATGAGAATACATGATCTCCTAATCAGAAAAAATTAAGTTTAAAAACAATATGTCATCAACCCATAGTTATCTGTGCTAGAAAGAGAAAAAGAGAACAGTGATGTGGATCATCTAGAAGATGGGAAAAATCACCCATGCTTGACTTTGGAATATGTTACATACATTTTCCCCCCAGAAGATTTATCTTCCTAATTATGCTTTGCTCTTTACTTAATATTAGGATTAGTTCTAACTCCCTGAGCTCCCCTGCTAACTAAATGAGCAAGCTGGTTGGCAGGGAAAAGTCAGCTTGGAATGAAATGAAATATGAGCTGCAGATAATACACATGGGGATAATTGAGTGCTGGCTGCTTGCAGGGAGAGGAGCGGGAAGCCTGGGGCACAGTGCCCACACTCTGCAGCCAGAATCCAGAGCATCAAAGCCCAGCTCCACTACCACCAACCCCCAGGCCTTGGGAAAGACCATCCTCCATCCTGAGCTCCAGTGTCCCTGGGTACAAACTACTTGTGATAATGATACCCACCTCCTGGAGGCCACACGAGGATTAAGTGAGATGAGGCATGTGATGTGCTTAGAACAGACACTCAGCAGGTGTCAGCCAGGACCATTCCGTATTTCAAGCATGCCCTTCCATGATTTGCATCCATATGATACTTTCTTCTAAATGGATTGCACCATTTAAAACACATTTTAACGCATTCCTCCTATTATCCAGGAAGGAGGCAGATATCATCGTTCTTATTCTATAGACATGGAAATTAAGGTCTGAAAAAAGTGAAAGGAACTATCCTTGGTCATATAAGGAGTGGAAGACCTGGACCCATATCTCCATTCTCCATGCACCTTCATGCCATGTGCCCCTGCCCCAACCCCATCCGCCTCTTTATGCCTCAATTCCCGATCTTAGTCAATGCAGGGAAATTGAAGTTTCATCCTGTAGGCCTGTCTATAAAGACTTGTGAAGATTACCCAGGGAATTACTGTTAAGTGCTTGGCCAGGATCTAGTGCTGTGGAAACACAGAGTTCTGGCAGTGGGGAGGAATTGAAGAGGCCCTGGTTCATTTGGACTACTTGTCGTGAGGCTGGTACATTAGTAGATCTGGGATGGAGGACTTGTCATTTCTGTGTTTTACAGAGGAAGGCTTTAGTGCCATCACCAATTTGTTTTCCAGAAGAATTAGTCACCAATATTAGAATCATGGAAGAAGATAAGACAATTTGCACTTGGACCAGTTTAAAGATAAACTTTGGTACATCATAATTTTTCAAAATGTATTTGTGCAAACAGCAATTCCTGAATCAGGAAGCTCCAAACCAGAAGTGGTTCAGGGATCTGCCGGAAGTGACTGCAGGGGAGAGCTTCTATAGGGCCAGTGCCGAAGTGAGCAAAGCCATGATTAGACTGGTTACAGTTAGAGCACTGCCTCATCTGGACGGTTCTAATGGGAAGTTCAAGACAACTTAACTAAATACCAGTTGGCTGCATGTGATTGGTCATCTAAATTACCTCCCATTTGATTATATTAAAAGACCTCTCCAAGATACTGGACAGGATACCATCCTGAACGTTCCCCTACAAATCCTGCCCTGACTCCCAGAAGCAATTCCTCCCCCTACTAGAAAAGTAAGCTCTCTGAGGATAGGGACCACATGTGATCTGCTCACCATTTTATACCCATCATCTCCCACAGCACATGGTGAGTGATGAATTTATATTCGTTGCGTGATTGATTGAATGAATGGATTCACTATGTAACAGCAGAATGGTATGGAAATCAATGGGCCCTGCTGAAAAGCATGATATTTATTGGTTTATGTATTACTATTTAAAACTAAAAAGAGGAAGCTGCTTCTAAATTCTGAACATGAAAACCCAATTAAACTAAATAGTAAGGAATTACGAGTAGCCATAAAAATGGAGAATTTATTAATTAAAGCGAAGCTCTCCCTTAACAAATGAATTTAAATACTGTTAAAAGAAAGAAGATAAACTTCCCATTTTCTGCTTAAGAATTTCCTCGCAGCTCTGCTTCCCCTCTGCCCCCAGTGAAGTCCTATGTTACCAAGCTGTCTGCAAGGGGACACTGCATGACTAACAAATCAAGGCATTCCCTCCCTGGAATAGGGCAGCCCTATCACCGCCATCATGAAAGTAACCATGGACCCTGCAGGGACTTGTTAAGGAATCAGAGTGTTAGAAAGAGATGTCTGAGGTTATTAAGAATATGCTATTTGATTCCTAAAGGGATGTTAGGGCTTTTGTGAAGGAAGAAGGATGCCCGGCATGATGGCAGTGGGCAAGGACGAGTGGGTCTAACTGCTTGCCCTTCACAGTGAGGTCTGTGACCCAGCAGCTCTGACATCCTTGAGAGCTGGTTAGAAATGCAGAATCTCAGCCCCATGCCAGACCTGCTGTATCAGAGTGTGCATTTTAACAAGATGCCCAGGTGATTTGTGTGCACCCTGCACAGTGTTTGAGGATTGCTGGTCTAACCCTCTCTCCGCAGACTCATGAATGGAGAGTTTTGCGGCTTGGGTAGCTGCAAGGGAAGTTGTGAGAGATTTCTACAAGGGCAGGACAGAAAATCAAGTGCTTTGGATCCGTTGAAGCTGTGCATGTACCTTCCCTTCTACAACATCCCCTTAGAGGATGGGGAAATGCAGACAGAGAGGAAGAAAGTCCAGCCTTCAGGATGATCCTAGAGGTCACCCAAGCGGCAGGCATTATGCAGGCTGGAGCAATCCTGGCCTGGGAGAAGGCTGAGCTAGAGCCTGGGGACTTAATCTCCTTCCCCTTGGGCTAATTGGAGAGCATGGCACTCTTGTAGAAAGTGAGCACCTTCCAATGGGGGAAATATGAACAAAATAGGACCAACGTTGAAATGTAGTCATGGTGAATTGTGTTAAAAAAAAAAAAAAACCTGCATAGAGACGATTTGAATTGCGTTGAAGTAGATTAGGCTAATTATCTTAGCAGACACTAATAAACTTGTTCCTTAGAGATACTCAGTGACTATAATAACCCAAAGATGAATATTGGATGAACGAATTATTAGGGACTGGCCAGCCTGCCAGCCTCCCAAGCCCTGGGGGCAGGAATTCTCCCTTCTGCCTTCCCATCCCTGCCCCCCAAGCCTAAGATTTTTATTAAATATGTACCCAGCTACTGGCAAAGATTTAGAGTCAATAAAACACCTGCCCCCACCTCGCTTAAGGGGATTTACTTGGAGCTGTCAGCAGCTTTCTGTGGCTGCTCCGTCCCTCAGCTCGGTGTGAGGAGAGCCACATTGCAGAGAGGAGGAGCCATTCATTCAGTGAGGCATTTACACAAAGTCAGGGTGCACCTCCTGTGACACTACAACCAGGCCATAGCACAAGTGTTGGTCCTTAGCCGCCAAGTCTAATCTCAGAGAGGAGCTTTCTGCCTCTAGGAGCAAAGGGCAAGGCCTGTGCCACTCCAGGCATGGTGTGAACACCTTCAGCAACTTATCTACTGTGTTTCTAGGCCCTGCGTCTCCCTGGGAGTGTCAGCCATGACTCTGCCTTTCTAAGCCAGGGAGCTCATGCTCCCTGAGCCCGTCCCTGATCTGACTCTCATCCCCATCCTCCAATCCCCCTAGCTACTGGTATCGCAGGCAACCTGATGCAACCAGACCTACAGACAGGCCAAATGAACAAGTGAAATAATGAAAGAAAAGACCCCCTAGGGTTCTTGAGCGCCTCCCCCCCGCCCATGAAATATGTCCATTTAACAGTGACCTGAAGACAATGGCCACATACATCCGTTCTCTGTCTCTCTCTCTCTTTCTTCCATTCTATTTTGTTTTTTGATGTATAGCATGCAGTGAAGTACACAGATCTCAAGTCTAGTCCTCAATGAATTTTTACACACATATATATATATAAAATCACATATCCATAGAGCCACCACCCATCCAGACCACGAGTTATATTTCCAGCCCTCAGGGGCTCCCTCGGGTCCCACCAAGTCAATATGTCCACACACAAAGATAACCACTGTTCAAGCCTCTGTCACTATAGATCAATTTTATATGTTTTTGAACTTCAAACAAAATTCTTAAACATGTACTCTTCTGTGTCTAGCTTTTTTAAAAATTCAACATGTTTTTGAGATCTATCCATGTTGTTGGGTATAGCAGTAGCTCATTCTTTTTTTATAGTTGCATGATATTCCATTATGTAGATATATCACAATTTACTCATTAGAAGAACATTTAGGTGATTTTTAGATTTTGGCTATTATGAATTAGTGCTGCTGTAAACATTCGTGTGCAGGTTTTCTGATCACATAATGCTCATATTTGTCAGGTATTGATTATAACTGTGAAGAGGCTCAGATCTTACCCCACTACTAACAAGCTCAAAAGGTGACCTGCCACAGTTTCATGGATGCTGGTAGAAGACACGAGACTCCTGGGTCAGAGATGAAGGGGTGCAAAGTGTCAGCTTGTGCCAGGCAGCTAGCCCTGACAGGCTAGTAACTCAAGACACAAATTTACAAGCAGTATACTCTTTATGTGACCATGCCAAGCTGTCAGAGGAGTTTGTCTTAATAAACAGGCCCCAGTCTATACGGAGGCATTTGTTATCTCAACCTCTGTTGCCTGCTGAGTGCTGGGAAACTCTCATACAAGTATCACCTACCTGGTGTCACAGATTAGCAGGTCTGTGACTGGAGGCATCACACATGGTGCCATGAGGAATGTGGGTGACTGAGATGCTGTTCACATAAACATCATCCTTAAATGCTTGTGGCAACAAGGGTCTCTGGGTTTCTTTGTGTATCTCTGGGAGTGAGCTTCTTGGATCATGGGGCTCACATCTTCTGTACCCACTCTGGGAATACCATAGTGTTTTCAATGGAAAAATTACCTCTGGATCTCTCCATGAAAGGTTTATTGGTTTGAGTCATGTTTGGAATAAATAAATTAGCTATATTTAAAAGGAAGATTTTTAAAGATGAGCTCTCATTCTAAACAACTACTGGTTATCTATGGAAAGATCAAAATAAGTTTTTTTAAAAAAGGAGAGATAAAATGAAATATAATGACTAATCTTAGAAACTTACTTGGCAAGATTTAAAAAAAAAAAAAGGTCCTAGTGAGAATTGCTAGAAGGCCTTAAGGGAAACGTGGAAGGACATTAGTGTTTTTATGATTTAATCTTATTCATACATGATCCTAGAAATTATGGAGAGTGCATTTCCTTAGCTTACACCTCAGTCAGCTAGATGTGTGTATTAGTTCATTCTCTCGCTGCTAATAAAGACACACCTGAGACTGGGTAATTTATAAAGAAAAAGAGGCTTAATGGACTCAGTTTCACATGACTGGGGAGGCCTCACAATCAAGGCAGAAGTGAAGGAGGAGCAAAGGCACGTCTTACATGGTGGCAGGCAAGAGAGTGTGTGGAGGGGAACTGCCCTTTATAAAACCATCAGCTCTCATAAGACTTATTCGCTATCAAAAGAATAGCACAGGAAAAACCCGTCCCCATGATTCAGTTACCTCCCACCGGGTCCCTCCCACAACACATGGGGATTATGGGAGCTACAATTCAAGATGAGATGTGGGTGGGGACACAGCCAAACCACATCACTGTGCAATAATGATGATGATGATAATGATAATAACATCTACCACTTATGCCTTCTTGCTCTGGACTAAGCACTATACAACGTCCTTTGTATCTCTGGTATTAGCACATGGGTATGGAGTTGATAATCATCCTGGGAAGGACCTATAGGCTACATCCATGTGTGTGTAGACTCAGTGTTTCCTGATAGTGAGGCCATTCCCAGTCTACAGTGCCTGTAGTCCCAGCTACTCAGGAGGCTGAGGCAGGAGAATCACTTGAACCCAGGAGGTGGAGGTTGCAGTGAGCCAAGATCACACCACTGTACTCCAGCCTGGGTGACAGAGTAAGACTCCATCTCAAAAAAAAAAAAAAGTGTCAGGAGGGCCACACAGCTTCTGAAGGTGCTAGGGAAGAATTCCTCCTTGCTTCTTCCAGTTCCAGTGGGTCCAGGTGTTCCTTGGCTTGCAGCCACATCACTCCAATCTCTACCTCCATCTTCACATGGCCTTCTCTGCATCCGTGTCTTCTCCTCATATGTCTTTTCTAAGAACACTGTCCTTGGATTTAGGGCCCAGCTGGACAATACAGAATGATCTCATCTCAAGGTCTTTAACTTAGTTACATCTACAAAGACAATTTTCGCAAGTAAGATCACATTCACAGGTTCTGGGGATTAGGATGTGAACACATCTTTTGGGGGCAGTCTTCTAACCTATCATAACTAGTTAGAAGGCTATTGTGTAGCCCAGAGAGGCAATGAGGGTGACTGCTGTCAGATGAAGAGAAGCGGTTGAATTGTGTTAGGGTAACAGGTCAATGGGGAGGAGTTATTTATTCATCCTCTCCCCACATACTTCCCGGGTACCTACCATGTTCCAATCACTGTGCTGACACTTCGGATACAGTGGGGAAGAAATACAGTACTCACCCACCTGGAGCCTTTGTTGTGGTCTAGCAGGAAGACTAGATGTTGAATAAGTTTGTTGCATGTTATAAGGGAGCATGCAACATACAGACCTGTCCTAGTTAGAATAAGGAACCCCTGAAGGATGAACACAACTTAATCTGGGGATAGAAAACAGAGGAGGCAGAGAGTACTGTGGAGTTCCTGGTCATGACATTTTTGAAGAACTCAGAGAAACAAGGATGGCATGTGGCCTGGAGGCATCAGATTGTCTCAGGCCACCCAGGACACACCTCTGCCCATTTGTAACCTCCTAACACCTCTGCTTCTGCAGTTTGCATTTGCATGTGTAACCAGTTCCAGCAACCTGCCTCCTCTCAAAGGTTATGGCACTGACTCCAGCCACAACGGTGTGAACAACACTGTTGCTCACAATCTGAGGTTATCCGAGGTGGCGGGACAATCTCTGGACATGGTGTCCAGTCACTGCTGTGGTTCTAAAGTCATCCTAAAGAAAGGCTCATAGTTAATGTGGCTTTGGGTAATTAAAAAGGTTAATCTTTAAACTGTTCACTCAGGCCCCAGGTTTCACTTGCCAATTACGGATATGAAAGTCTAACTACACAAAAAGTCGCCTTGAAGAAAAAGTCTTTCATCTACAAGATTGATTAGACTCATTAGCACACTCAAAACCCCGCAGATGAAAAGCAGAGCCAAAGAATAGAGACAGGGCAGCATTCCTGTATGTGGTTTGACTACAAGTCTGCCTCTAAGATTTGCAAGACAGGAGGCAAAAGTACACGTGGTGGTCCACATACTGTCTATATAAATGCTCAAAAAGAAAAAAACAAGGTATGAGACTCTCAAAATACATTCTGTCCTCCTACCTTAATAATTATACCTTCATGGCCAGACACAGTGGCTCGTGCCTATAATCATAGCACTTTAGGAGGCCAAGGCTGGCAGATCACTTGAGGCCAGTAGTTCGAGACCAGCCCGGCCAACATGGTGAAATCCCGTCTCTACTAAAAATACAAAACTTAGCAGGGCATGATGGCACCTGTCTGTAATCCCAGCTACTTGGGAGGCTGAGGCAGGAGAATTGCATGAACCCAGGAGGCGAAGGTTGCAATGAGCCAAGATTACGCCATTGCACTCCAGCCTGGGGGATAAGAGTGAAACTCCATCTCAAAAAAAAAAAAAATTTATACCTTCATAATGAGTCACATGGTGGCAGCTCCCTGGTAGCAACCTGTCTCACTTTCTTCCTAACCCAGCTTCATCCTGGGCTTTGATGAGTCTCTTACAAAGGCAAGCTAACACCCGAGCCCACACATTCAAGCTCTGCTTATACCCCAACCCCTGAAATAGTCACCCATTGGCCATACCTCACATCTAATGGTCTGCCTTCCAGAAGATGGATCCCAGAAAGAGCACGGGCTGCAGGAAGCTGACTTAGAGACACTGGGTAGGGAATTCCAGCATCGCACTTATGCAGAGTGTGGTCTAGAGGGTGGGCTCTGGGGTTCTGTGTGGGTACAACCCTTTAGCTCCTCATCTCATGGGTAGGGACAGCTGGAGGAGCTATGGTAATCTTTGATTGGGTTAAAGTTACCTCCTGGTGATTGTTAACAGAAAATGGATAAGGAAGTGAGACAGCACTTCCTTTTTAGCTCAGGGGTCCTGCCAAGGTGCAGGAGGGGAACATTGGCCTAGAGCAATCTGGGAGGTGGCCAGACTGATTTGCTGAGTTAACCCAGCAGACTGTCCTTCCCAAATTGGGAGAAGCAATTCATTACTGAAAAAGAGAATGCCTGAAGCATCAAGTAATCTCAGTAAAAAGCAAAAGCAAAGCAAGTACCTCTCTGGCAGGAGAAATTTCTTCTTCAAAGCTTTTATCATACTTCTCACACTGGCAGCTGGGCACGTGTCAGTACCCTCCTCTTGGTCAGGGTCAAATGTGACTTCTGTGTTCCATCACTGTTGGGTTCTGGGTGAGGAGCTGCCAGGGCACCTTCCTGAGGAGCTCACAGCCGTGGACACTTGGCCACACACACACACACCATATTTCTATAGCACCTGAGATGGAAGGGTAGAGGACAGAGCCTCTGACTGAAGACAAACAGCCTTTCCATTGATGTGGTCCAAAACAGGGATCTGTTTATGAATCATTCATTCATTCATTCATTCAAGCAGCATATATTAAAAGTAATGGCAAAGACCACAATTACTTTTGCACTAACCCAACATTTATTGAGAGTCTACTACATGTCAGACACAGCAAGTCCATCACTGCACTAAACACTGAGCAAACTTAACCTCTGCCCTCAATGACTTCCAACCTAGTTGAGGAGAAAAGGCTACCAATTAGTGATTTTCTTTTTTTCTTTTTTTTTTTCTTTGAGACAGGGTCTCACTCCATGCTCAGGCTGGAGTGCAGTGGCATGATCTCAGCTCACTGCAGCCTCAACCTTCTGGGCTAACCTGATCCGCCCACCTCAGTCTCTGAGTAGCTGGGACCACAGCTGCCTGGCTAATTTTTGTATTTTTTGTAGAGACGAGGTCATGTTGCTCAGGCTGATCTCAAATTCCTGGGCTCAAGTGATCCGCCCATCTCAGCCTCCCAAAGTGCTAGGAGTACAGACATGAGCCTCTGCACCTGGCCATAACTAGTGATTTTTCAATGCAAGTTGAAATAAGTAGTGAGTTGTGCAGACAGATCTTAACTGCTGCTTAACTACTTCACAAGTCAGGTAGGGAGGCAGCATTCCTGTCTTACGGCAGCTGATTGTCTCAGACAATGCCAGGTGGGACAGTGGCTGGCACACCTGAATGGTATAAAGGACAGAACCAGTGTGATCTTCATATTGGAAGCTGTTACTAATGCATCGATCTGTGCTATGAATATATGGCAAGCATACATTGCATGTCGGGCACTGTACTAGCAGTAAGGACACACGAACAATTAGTCCCTGTCCTGAAGGCACTCAGCAAGCAGGAAAATATTCATGGATAAATCAGCTAACGCTTGTCAGCCAAGGATAAGGATCTGGAAACTAAAGGGTCCTGGGATCTCTGAGATGTATTTTTTTTTTCAGTGTCATCCACTTATTCCTTCCCTTGTGGCTGGCAAATATGTTTATAAGAAGACCGGCTTGGTCAGGAGGCTTTTGAGATCATAGGACTGGTGTCTATGAAGACATCTATATGGACCCTTTTCATTATTTTGCACCCATAGATCTTGGTTTGAAACAGTTTTGTTCACAAAGTTGTCATCTTTTCAAAGTCACAGCCTATTAGCCTCTTTTCTAGCTAAACAATGGCATAGATAGGTCAAGACTCAAGGCTTCTGTGTGTACTAACCAATCTCTCCACACTCAAGTTGCATAATTTTGATCACCAGTAAAGAAAATTTGTATGCAGTGGTATTTCAGAGGCAAGATTCCAATACAGTTAAGAAGTGGCATCAGAGCACCAGAAGTCCTGACTTAGCAGCTGGACACAAGGATATTTAGGGAACCAGCTTTCAAGACCCATTCATAAAGTGAGAAATCTCTCTGCACTATTTTAACTAATCTTTACAGCTCGAAAACCACTCATTTCCTCAACTAGAGCCCATTTCTAGCATCTATTATGCTGATTAACAAACTACTAATTTCACCAACCAAAACATTTGTGGAAGTGTTAACTAGCAGCATCTGACGTGAATCTGAAATATGGGTACTAATTGAGGCCATTGTAGTCATTAGCTCAGGTATGGACTTTTCCAATACAGTGTTAGGTGATTACCTTGATGTTTGAATTCCTGATTCAGGAATTGACAGGCCCTAGAGTATAGTTTAAAAATACATATGTTTAGGCCAGGTGTGGTGGCTTATGCCTGTAATCCCAACACTTTGTGAAGTTGAGGCAGGCAGATCACTTGAAGTCAGGACTTCAAGAGCAGCCCGGCCAACATGGTGAAACCCCGTCCCTACTAA
Organism: Homo sapiens; assembly: GCF_000001405.40. NCBI lineage: Eukaryota > Metazoa > Chordata > Mammalia > Primates > Hominidae > Homo > Homo sapiens. Next base: position 45,789,584 of record NC_000013.11, on the reverse strand, counting down.
AAATACAAAAATTAGCCAGGTATGGTAGCAGGCGCCTGTAGTCCCAGCTACTCAGGAAACTGAGACAGGAGAATCACTTGAACCTAGGAGGTGGAGGTTGCAGTGAGCCGAGATCACGTCGCTGCATTCCAGCCTGGGTGACAGAGTGAGACTCTGTCTCAACATATAGATAGATAGATAGATAGATAGATAGATAGATAGATAGATAGATAGATAGATAGATAGATGATAGATACACAGATAGATTTATATCACATTCCGTATACTAAAGTATTTTAAAGGAAATTGCAGACATGCTCATACTGTCCACATGAAGATCTCATCCATCTACGTAGCAAGAGCTGAATCTGATATGGAGGAGAAGGAGCATAAGATACATTTTCTAATTAAGATGTTCCTATCCCAGGTGGTAAAAGCCTTACTGTTGTTTTCTCTCTTGGCTTAACTTATTTCTTACCTGTTTGGAAGCATCTAGAGTCCTTCTGAGTTTTGTGTGCAGGGCACAGTCCTGGAGCGGTCAGTTCTTCTCCCCTCCTAGCAGACCTGACTCCCAACTTGGCTCAGACCTAGACTTTACCTCAGTACTCTGATGCCTGCCCAGAAATGTTACCCTACCCTCCACCTCAACCTGCTCATTCTCCCTTTGTGTGAAATGCATCGATAGCATTGCTGCCTTCCCCACTTCACCTAGGACTAAAAACTTCAGTTAATTAATATTCACAAATGAGGGCATGAGCAAACTCGAAGCAAGGGCCTGCCATATAAAATTGGGTACAAAATCCTCTTTCAGCTAAAATGCATGGCACTGTTCCTGGAAGTAAGTGGAAAGGAAAAGCAATCCTCTAAGTGAGCTTGGTGACCACAGGGAGCAGAGGCCAGAGAAAGGGTCATGTAGTATTTCCAGAGGCAGGTTTCCCCTTCAGAAGCCAGGATTTGGAGGGCCATTACCAACCATGGGAGTGTGGCTGATCAAATTAAGGAATGTTTTTTAAATTCAATTACACCCTCAGCGGAAATGGCCTCACTAATGCTTAGAGAAAGTATTATCCCCAGCCTATAAAGCCTAACATTGCTAAACCCAATTTTGCGCATTATTCTAAAGGTTAATTCAAGATCTCTCTTCCAAATGGGAAGTTAAACACAGCCAATGGAAGGAAGGCATCCACTGACTGACTGAGGGGTTTATCAGTCTGTAAGAGTTCATTAGGTTTAATTAGTGTAATCACTAATGTTGCATTAACAGTTTAGTGAAGGAAAGTAATTACTCACACATCCACTGTATTAGATGGGAAGATTGGAATTCATTTTCTGAAACGATTAGCATTTTGCCAATTAAAAGAATCCCTTCTCCCTGCCAGCAGCCCTGTGACCTCACTCACCCAAGGATCATTTAAATGAAATATATTTTGCATCAGAAGATGGAGCAGGAAGAAATAAAAAATTAAGGTTGTGTTTATTCTGAGCACCATCCCAGGGCACAGCAAGTACACAGGTCTCAATGAGTGTATCACGTCCCACTCTATTTGCATAGTTATTCACTTCAGGCTCTTTGGATTATACCCTTGGCTGCTTTGTAACACAGCAGCAATTAAAAAACAAAAAGGCTAGTGGAAGATGAAGCCACAAGGAAGCATTGGGAGAGTCTAGGGGGAAATGACCGTTGCTGGGGTCTGCTGGTTGGACAAGGGTTGGGTCTTGCTGCTGGCCCCATTCTGAGCACCAGCTTAGAGCAGGCTGTGCTGCTGGGCGTAGGGGGCATTGTGCTACCCACAGTAGCTCCCTAAAGCACATAGCTGGGTCTCTTGGATATTCCTGCTAATATCCACCGTGCACTGGGTGCCATCTCAGAGCCTCAGCTTGGCTTACAAGGCCTGGGCAATATGACCCGACATCTCCTCTCCATCTCCACCAGATTCCCTCTCAGCCACTTGGAACTTCTTGTCACTTCTTGAACATCCATGTTCTTTCATACCCAGCTCCTTCAAACCTGCTCTTTTCCCTGTCAGCAGGTCCTTTGCCTTTTCTGCTAGAGAATTCACCCTTCACGCTTCAATTAGTTTAAATGTCACCTCACACTGGCTAGAATAGCTACCTCCCCCACTTGGTGCTCTCAGAGCCCCTGGTGTACCCTGCATTTTTGCATTGCTTTCACACAATCATAGTGAGCTAGTGAGGCAGGATAGGAACAAGGAGCTTATTCTGTTCAGTATTCTCAGCCCCTTGCACAAGATGGGTGGTGTGTACGTGTATGCTGAATGGCTTAATGAACTACGGGCATCTTTCTCTCTCCCCCTGCCATAAGCCCCATCAAAACTTAGCCCAGGAGCCCCAGCCTGTTCAAATCAGCATCATCACATAGAAGGAATGGAGACATTTGCATGCAGGTGCAAATATCTCCATTCACCCGTCTTCACCCATCCACCTGACCTAGCACCACTTTCAAAGGGAGCCATCTTTGCTGAGTGCACCTGCTGGACTCCCTTTGCTGGTAGGTTTCTGCTTGGGTTTCACCAATGGAAGGCACTGGCAGAGATTGGAGAGAGGAAGAGCCAGGTATTTCTTCTCACTCCCTCCCTGCTACTTTGACCTCCCATCTCTGACATTAGCTGTACAGGTCAGGACAGAGAAGATGGAAAATGGATCTGGGGAAGAATATGGAGAAATTGGAAAGAATAGGGGAAAGCCCAGAGGTCACTTCTGAATGGGGATTTCAGGACATTCTATCTGTCCTCACAGGTCAGCACTGGGACTGGTGGCCCCAGGCCAAGTGTGAGGCTGGGTTCTCCAGGTTTTATGGTGGCCTGCACTCAGCCCAGATTGCTGCTCGTGTGTGAAAGTGACTTGATCAGAATGGAGACAGGCAGGCACAGACTGCAGTGGAAGGCTGCCAAGTCTTCACCCAAAACCACATCTAAATGGAAATGCCCTCTCGAGGTAACACTTGATAAAGTTTGTAACGCCGTTTTACAGACATTCTCTCATTTGATCTCCTAACATGCCCTTGAGATAAATATTTTGCCAATGAGAGAACTGACTGAACACGTAAACAGTGAAACAGATTAGAGTCTTTCGACCTCCAGCCTGTGAACTTCCTAGTCTATGATCTGTCACCATTAACTGATCTGGGCCCCATTCCCAGCTGCAGCCCTTAGGAGCTGTGTGACTTTGGCAAGTGACTCAATCTCTCTGTGTCTCTGTTTCTTCATTTATAAGACAAACATAAAATGTTTCTCTCCTGATTGTTGTAAAGACTGGTAGAGAGGGGCCTTCTCAGAGACTGGAAGAGGGACACCATTTGGGTTTTTCATGAGAGCCCAAGACTGGGTCCTCTTGAGTATAGGAGAAGAAGTTGCCTGCCTACCGGCCCTGCAGACAGTGGGAAGGTCCATGGGAGGGTCCTGACCCTGGCTGATGGAAGGTGTGGGCCCTGGGCTTCCTGCATGATCCCAGGAGAGGGGAGAAACCCCCCCGACCAAATCACTAAATGGTCCATGCCACCAGCAGGCAGGTGGGGACAAAGCCAGATTTTTATTTTTTAATAAGGAAATTGATCTTTTCTGTGAAAAATTAAATGAAATAATTATTTTAAAAATACCTCCTTTCCATAGCAGCTGACACTTAGTAGATGCTACATACTAGTTAGTTTCCTTCCCCATACTTAACACTGAGGGATAAGTCAGACTCATCACTAGCAGGATTTTGGAACACAGCTTGTTCCTTCATAGCTGAAGACACACTGTTCACCTTGGGGAAGGGGAACCAGGTGGGGTTGCAGGATGGAGGACAGCAGACTGCCCAGCAGCTACCATCCAGGGGCAGGACAGGCGCTACTGGAAGAGCCCCTGTAGATCACACTTCTGGGGGAAGAATGAGGAAACCAGCAGATGGAACTAACAACTGGAGAGGAGAGCTGATCTGGCCCCTACCTCCTCCAGGTCACCTCCATCACTCGGGTGACAATCCCAGTGCACCATGTGTGCACATGTATGTGTCATGAGCGTGTGTGTATGCATGCATGTGTATTGCGTGCATGACTGTGCATGTATGTACATGTATGTGTGTCCTGAATGCCCTAAAGAAAGGAAGCTAGCTGGCTCACTATTAGCCACAGGAAGTCAGGGGAGATAGATAGAAACTCTGGCAGCAACAGTGGCTGGTGACCTTCACCCCTGCCCTCTGTACTTTGGGAATGAACTGAAGCAGGGTGAGGAGGCAAGTGCCCAAAGGCATCTGAAGTCCAGAAAGCATTTGGAGAGCTAGGGCAGAAGGGACACTCCCTACCTGAGGACAGCCTAGGAAATGGCTGCAAGGTGAGCGACTCATGCCTGGAGCGCACTGCAGAGCTGCCACCTCCCCTGTGTGACCTAGACCATGCAGGCTAATTACGGAAAAGAAGGAGTCAGGAAACGGAGGAGGGAGCTGAAGGCAGGAATCACTGGATGGGGGTGTGCTCTTGTGTTCAGAGTCAGGGGGCGTGAAGATGAATCCCAGTCTTTCACTTACCAGTTTTGCAGGCTCCATCACGTTATTACTGAAGCCTGTTTCTTCAACTGAAAAATATGAATCACAGTCTTCATGACACATGGAGGACCTTTGTCAAAACTGTAATTAATTATAAGTGTAGTAATGTCTGTGCCACCCACACCAAAAGACACAGTATCTATTGTGCTCACAGCTGTATCCCTGCAAGGCCCTGGCCACAGCAGATGCTCAATAAATGTTCACAGACACCTGATCAGAAGGCATCCTCACAGCTCTTGGTGTTTTGGGGGGCACTTGTGGGCACGCCACCATGAGGAACAGATGATGGGGAGATTCTCCAGGTGGAGGCTGCCTGGTGATGAGGCTCTGGGAAGCTGCCCTGGGGCAGAGAGCTAGAAATAGGGTAGATGTGTGCCTGGTGCGGCAAAGTCTCAGGAGTCACAGCGGGGACTCTCTCCTTAGGGACTGTAGTCCCAGTGCACACGATCAGCTCTGCATCCCACCAGATGCCTTAGGACGCAGGAGAAGGGCGCCCAAGACAGGACAATCCCTGACTACACTGGAAGGACAAATGGGCATTATGTAAATTTTGTTCTAAAATTAATAACTATGACAAAATAGAAAAAAAAAATCTATTGACCTCCATTGCCTGCACAAAATTATCAACAATATCAAAAAAGCAAAAAAAAAAAAAAAAAAAAAAACAGCTGTCTTTGTTCTTTGTGATTGATGACCATCCTACTGCATGTTACTTGACGAGGAAATTGCCTATTTGCTTGTGTATCTTATTAAAGAACCACAAAGGCACAAATACTGCATTTTCTTGGACTGACTTTTCAGAATCTCAACACCCCCCACCCCAAGGCGCCCACTCTGTCCTTTGTGGTTTTGTTTGTTTGTTTGTTTGTTTGTTTGTTGTTTAAGAAATGAACCTTTCTCAGCCTGCACTGGAGGATCTGCTTTTTAACACTTTGAACATCAGGGGAGTGGCGGCCTGGGAGAGTGGGCCTCATCCCCGCACTGACGTTCTTCTCTTTCCTTACAGTATGTGTCCAGTCGGCGCGCCGTCACTCAGAGCGCTCCAGAGCAAGGCAGCTTCCACCCTCACCATCTCTCCCACCACCACTGCCACCACCGCCACCACCACCACCTCCGCCACCACGCCCACCCCCACCACCTTCACCACCAGGAGGCGGGGCTGCACGCCAACCCGGTGACGCCCTGCCTGTGCATGTGTCCCTTGTTCTCCTGCCAGTGGGAAGGCCGCCTGGAGGTGGTGGTGCCCCACCTGCGGCAGATCCATAGGGTTGACATCCTCCAGGGAGCCGAGATCGTCTTCCTGGCCACGGACATGCACCTCCCCGCGCCGGCTGATTGGATCATCATGCACTCCTGCCTTGGCCACCACTTTCTGTTGGTGCTGAGGAAACAGGAGAGGCATGAAGGGCACCCCCAGTTCTTTGCCACCATGATGCTGATTGGGACCCCCACCCAGGCCGACTGCTTCACCTATCGCCTGGAGCTCAACAGAAACCATCGGCGCCTCAAGTGGGAGGCCACGCCCCGGTCTGTTCTTGAGTGCGTGGACTCGGTGATTACGGACGGGGACTGCCTCGTCCTCAACACCTCGCTGGCACAGCTCTTCTCTGACAACGGCAGCCTTGCCATTGGGATTGCCATCACCGCGACAGAGGTCCTCCCCTCAGAAGCTGAAATGTGAGGCCAGGAGCCACGGATGCTCCCCACACAGCCTCCCTAGGAAACGCCTGGGACCTCCCAATACCAGGACTCCAGACTCCTTTTTATTCTTCTCCTTTCTTTTTTTTTTTTTTAATTTTTAATTATTATTATTTTTTTGTCTCAGGTACTTTGTGAGATTTAGTTTTTGTCTGCCATGGGCATTATATTATGTAAACATCCTGTAATTTAAGATCTTGGTGTGATGTTTGTCCTGCCTTGTTGGTGTTGTTTTATAGAATGTTTGTAAGATTTATTCAGAATAGTTTTTTCCTGTCACCTCCAAGTCCTTTCTCCGCTAGTTTTGAAAGGATCAAAACACCATCAAGCAGACTGTTGGGGTTGAAAGGAGGCTTCGTGTGAGAATCATTTCTTGTTTCTCTTTTCAGTCTATTTCAGAGCAAGCTAAATCTGAACGTGTGCAGTCGGCAGGTTGGGGAAGGGGCCCAGCTCAGAGATGGATCACATTTCAGACCATCCAGACATGACTCTGACAGCTTCCCAGGAACCTCAAGGTCAAAGCTGAGCTAGCCGGGCATGAGGAGATCGTGTCTCCACCGCAGGGCTGGGGACTGGGCTAGAGGTGTCATTGTGTGCTGAGTGCTCAGGTTGATGCTGGGGCTCAGGAGAGTAGTCAGAGGCCCACCTTCCTGTGACGGGCTCTTGTCACCTTGTTCCCAGGCTGTGCCGTCTTCTCCTGCTCTGGAATCAAAGTCCTCAGATTTTTGATGCTTTCTTAAAAACCCCTTTGCCTTCTGTTGAGCAAGTAGTAGAAAAGAATAGGCAAGATGGGGGGTGGGGATGAAAAGCAACAGGAAAAAGAGAACATAAAATTAATCTCCCATCTCTGAGAGGGCACTCCCTCCTCAGAGAGTTTTATTATCAAGTTATAAAATCCATCAGTTCCTCCCTAGGGTGCAGTTCTTTCATATCATGCAAAAAGCAGAACCAGGACTCATCATCAAATGCAAAGAACTCAGAGGGTGGCACCCAGGATCTCTGACCTGGCGGGCTGGTCATCACTTACAAACCTGGGAGGCTCTCTTCCCTTTCCTCACTTTCTAAAATGCTCCTACCGTCCCATTCAGCACGCAGACGTGACCACGGCTCAAGTATGTATTCAGCACCTGTTGCAGTATGAATGACACAGTGACGGAAATCCATATTTCCTCTGCGCAGGCTGCTTTCTCTTATTTGGTTGTCAGAACAATTCATCAACATCTTCTTGTAGAAGTCTCTCGTGTATTTGAAGAAAGTCAGCATGTTTAGTCAACTTTGTCTTTTCTGTTCTAAGTTGGACACCTATAAGCCTTCCCAGTAGGACCTCTTCTAGCTCCTTTTTATCGCATTTGTCCCCCCCCTCTGGCTGCTCTCCAGACACTGCAGAAGTCAGGCACCCCATCCCCAGCACATTCCCATGACAGCCAAATGGGCCTTTGGCCAACCAGACATTACTCTCCGTGCCCTGTTCCTGCACCTCACCCCCTCGGCTTGGTCCTGGCAGGCATCCAAGTGACTACTTAGTCTCAGGCAGGTTGCCCTGGCTGGCCATCTGCAATTTTTTCTCCACCAAAAATAACTGATCCTGAAACACAACACCCTTCCCCCAACAACTGGGTTAATTCTCCAGCCACTTTTGGTGCCAACTTACACCCCCACGCACCAGAAGGGAGGTGCCAGTCGATACAAGATTTAATAACAGAGGCTGCTCTGGTCACACAGTAATCGCTGGGCCCCTGGGGCTGAGACTGCATTCCGTCAGAGCCCTGAGAGGGGCAAAAAACATTGCCACAGATGGAGGCACATGTCAGATGCTGCAGTCGCAAAAAAGGATTGGGGCCTGCGCATTCTTTGAGCTCTCAGATGCCCTGCCAGGGCACCAGCCACCCTCCTCCAATCACACAGATGCCCAAGAACACCTGAGGCTGGTCCGTCTGTGCGTGGAAAGACTGGCTGTCTTCCTCCTCACTGCATCCCCAATCCCCTTCCCAGAACCTAAGACCCCCTTGGCTGTAAGTCTTATGCCTTTAGAAGCCACAGGTCCTCTCCTGGTTTTTGAGACTCAACCACTTTGAAAGCATTTGTGTAGCATCACAGGTGCTCCAGATCAACAAACAAAAACCTCACTAAGAATATAACTAACATTCACAGGGCCTTAGGGCTCCTGCAGACATCACCTTTGCCTTCTGGTTGTGCCAAGTTACCTGAGCCACACTGGGAATGACTTCAGGTTATTTTCACTGCACACAAGACTGTATTATGAATAAGTGATCCCAGATGGGAGCTTATATTTTTGTTCCTAGAAAGCTTTAGGACAAAGCATGGGAAATGTATTATTATCTTCCATCTATGGTGCTCCCCAAAAGGCCTCTCCATATCCATATGTGAAGAACTGGAGAAGAAGGAGCAAACTAACAACCAAGAATTGGGAATAGGAAATGGTACCAGCAGTTTGTATTTGAGCTTCACAGTTCCTGAAGGGCTCTTTGATTTGAGTCTCAGGTTAATCCTCATTAGTATCCTCAATATACTAACAGAATAGAGGTTCTAAGACATGAAGTGATCTTTTCAAGGTCACACATCAGGTGGTTAGACCACAACCAAAACCCAGATCAACTGACTGCAAACTTGGTGTTCTTGAAGTAAGACTGATCCGAAATATTCAGCAGTCTTGCCAGCTTACCAGTGGACTGAGGACCTGAGAATCAACTGAGTCTTTGTCCTGGGATAGTTGAGGGAGCAGGGAGAGAAAGACTGGAGTAGATTTGCTTTTAGAAGCATCTCTGCTTTAAGAACTAGGCCAGGGATGGTGGCTCACGTCCATAATCCCAGGACTTTGGGAGGCCAAGGAAGGAGGATTGCTTGAGCTCAGGAGTTTGAGACCAGCCTGGGCAATATAGCGAGACTTCATTTCTACAAAAAAAAAAATCAGCTGGGCATGGTGACACAAGCCTATAGTCTTAACTACTCGGAGGCCAAGACAGGGGGATGGCTTGAGCCCAGGAGGTTGAGGTCACAGTGAGCTGTGATTGCACCACTTGTAACTCCAGCCTGGGCAACAGAGTGAGACCCTATCTCTTTAGAAAAAAAAAAAAAGCACTAGTCCACCTGGAAGCAGGGGGCCCAGGAAGTGGGTGGGCTGCAGATGGAGGCTTCAGTGCGCCAGGCCCTTTCTGAATCCCTTTGCCCACACCCAGGTTTCTCACCTTAGAGTCCCAGGAGTCCCTGCACAGAACGCTGGGATCTGGTTGCCTCATTCACACCAAGGTGCAAGAGTTAATGACTCACTCTCTAAGGAGTAATTGCCTTTTAAAAGAAGGCCTAGAGAGACAGCGCACTTAACAGTGAAAAATGAGTTACCAGTATCTGAACTTCAGGCATCTGCCAGAGGTTTTTTTCAGGAGGTGTGGAGAGAGGAGCATTCCTCCCCTTGAGGCTGAGCCTACATACATGGTTGACGCCGAAATGGAGGTCAGGCCACACGAAGATTGTCTTTAACAATTGGTATCTGCATGAATCTGTACCTGGTAAACCCCATCACTAGCTGTGGCTACTCTGGACATTTTAGGAATAGATCAGCATAGTAACCATAATAGTACTCATGGCTACCACTTATTGAGGCTTTTCTATATGATCCAGTAGGCTGCGTACTTTGAATATAGTAGATCATGTAATCCCCATAACAACCTTAGCAAGCAGGTGCTCTTTATTGTATTCATGTTACGGGTGGGAAACGTAAGCTAAGAGAATTTAGCCAACTTGCTTAAGATCACCCAGCTAGCAAATGGCAGAGCTGGGCCTGGGACCGGGTACGTATGGCTTCTGACCAACAGCAACCATGTCATTTCTATGAACATATGGACCCAAGGCTCAGAAGGACCGAGTCATAAAGTGTGAATGGCATAGAGGCCTTTTAGTGCTTTCATACTCAATATGGCCTTTTAGCTCCCCTTTTTCTCCCTCTTTTTTCAACCCAAGACCTAGTGGAGTACTAGAGCTGCTTGTATTCTGGTTGTTAATCTTTCAGGAATTTTGCAAGCTGATTGTTAATTAAGTACAGTCAGTATTAAAAATGATATACATTTACAATTAAATAAATTATATTTAAAGCAAAGGTCAAAAGTACTTAAAACTCATCACTTCCTAATTATTTCACTACTCTTTTTATTCTCTATGCTCCTGGGGTTATTTACATCTATCACATCTGTATGATGAACATACTATATAATAATGTGCTGCACCGCATCTTCCAGCTCCACATTTAGTGACGTCATGGTGATTGCTTGAAATTAGCCATGGTGGAAGTATTCATACCATGGAAATTAGCAAATGCTACTAGACAGGGATTTTTCTCCCTAGAAAGCCAGTTGTTAAGCACTTAACAGTATAATCATCCCTCAGTATCCTTGGGGGATTGGTTCCAGGAATCTCGTGGACACTAAAATCTGAAGATGCTCAAGTCCCTTATATAAAACGGCATAGTATTTGTATATAACCTACGCAATCCTCCCATATACTTTAAATAATCTCTAGAGTACTTATAATACCTAATACAATGTAAATGCTATGTCAATAGTTTTTATACTGCATTATTTCTTATTGTTGTATTATTTCTTTTTTTTTTCCTGAATATTCTTGATTCACAGTTGGTGGAATCCACAGGTGTGGAACATGTGGATACAGAGGGTTGACTTAATACCACTGCCTAGACATTGCTGATGAGCACAGCAGGGTGGGAGAGGGGACTTTGGAAGGAGAAGCAAGGCCCTGGAAGGCCGTACTGACAAGGGCATAAATGACAGCCAAGCCAGCGGAACAGCAAATTGTTGGGGAAACACGAACTCTTCTGGAGAAGAGACTCTGAGGCTTAAGCAGCTTCAAGAGCATTTTCTGCCACAGAGCACCCTCTGCTTTCTCCCCGGACACTTCCCTATTGCTGTTAGTGTGGAAAGTTCTATTTGGTGGCTTTCATGGAAAAATTGGGCTCCGCAAACTCAGCCTATTGGCTATCCCAATCCAAAAAGCAAAACCAGCTCTATAAAGCTCAAATTTCCTGTTACTTGTTCTTACAGGTCACCCTCCCTACCTCTTTCTTACATGCTGGCCAAAACCTAAAGAAATGTTTTACTTTGAAATTAGAAATTGGAAATATCTACCATTCAAGAGACACAGCAAGCAGTGGTGTCAAACACCACATAAGATGCATTATCACAAAAGTGGGACCCCCGTAAAGCATGAAGCTGAGGGACAGAAAACATAATGAGCCAAGGAATGTCACATGAAGAACAGGGCCCCGGGCCTTACTTTCCTACTTGGCTACCTCACTTTTTTGCAACCCAGTAAGGACCCTGTTCACAATCCATAGCCTACCCAGACCAATACTCTTTCTAAATCTGGGGCACAGTTTCCACTAGGACAAGAGTCACTGGAAACTTCCAGCTAAGTCCATTGAAGCAGGCAGAATCTTCAAGGTCAATAGTGCATCAGTTACTCTGATCCCAGTGGTTTCAGTGGAAGGGATGGAAGAAGTGAGGGTTGCTGAAGTTTCTACTTGGATGCATTTCTAAGGGAAAGGGGAAGGGATCATGGGTGGGACCCCAAAGAGTTAGGCTTTGATTGAGGTTCAGCTGCAAATAGCATCATGAGTGGCGTCTCCTAGTCAGATTGTTAAATTTCAGATTTTTTTGTTCATAAGATTTTCTTCAGGAATTGGTGAGTTCCCCATTGTGTTCACCTGGAAAATAGCCAGCTGAAGAAAAACTTCACTGAAAAGAAATCTGAGAGATCTAGTGTAGATAAACATTAATTTCCCCCCAAATCAGGTCATCACATGAACTACCTGGGTTAGAATTTGTCTTTTCCAATATTTTCTGAAAGTATTTCACCTTGGCTACTATACTATAAATACTCCTCAACCTTTTTCAGTCTTTTTTTTAGGGTATTGAGATAAGAAAGAGAAAGGAAATTGAGAAGCATTTTACTTGCCCTGAATTAATGTATATATAATTTTCTATGCTTTCTTATAATGTTAAAGACAATAACTTGGACAAACTCAAACTGCTACTTCATCTCTGCCCTCTCATAGAAAATGTCATTAAATTGCATTTGATATTGTTTCCTTCGACCCTTTGGAGTTGTTTCTGTGGCAGGTTCCTTTTCCTTCCACAGGCTACTGTGCGGCATGAAGGAATAGAAATGAAATGCTAAGAGGGAAAGTGCAATTATCAGGAAGTTGCCAGCTGCCACATTTGACTTATGCTTCATTATCTTCCTCCCCTCTTCTTTTCTGCCTCCATTTTAAAGTCATAATTGAATGTAAAGAAGAAAGTGCTACCAGAGGTGAATTGAAGCCCTGGCAACTAACTTGCCCCCGGAACTATTCCAGCGTACGGTGCTGCCCTGAGATGAGACACCAAAGCCTCTCACTGGATTGTAAAGAAAGAGACAGGGCTTCCCTCCCGCTCCAAGCACCCCAGTGTCCCTTATCATTGCTCTCCCCTGCCTCTGCCTGACAGCGCTGCCCCTGAAATTTACTTCTGGGCCTATCAGATCAGTTGTCAAGGCAGCCTTCATGGTTTAATTCTTTAATTTCAGGCCACTGTTAGTTACTGGCAAGATCAGGATTGAGCAGAGTTCTAATCTTATTGCCTGTCAATTCACTTTAACCTCAATCTTCTTCCCTGCCTCCTTACTCCCAAGACCTGTTTCCTGCTCTCACAAAGGCTTATAGCAAATGCCCTGAATTGATCTGAGTGATCAAAACTGACCGCATGGCCAGCATGAATATTCATGAGGCAACACACTATTCAGGCCAAGTCCTTTCTTGGGACCATTCTGCGCCCCAGTAGTGTCTTAGATATGCACCTCTTTCCGCAAAATACACTCAAAGACCTGCACCGTGGTTACTGAGTGCTGGAGAGAGAGATTTGCCTGAAAGAAGGGAGAAAGTGGCCCTCCCGAAACTAACCAGGGGAAGAGAAATCCAGCCCAACTCCAACCCTGGGATCCAGGGTTTTGGTTCCCAAATGTCAGTGTGCTTGAGAATTACTTGGAAAACTTGATTTCTAAGCCCCAGAACTGGAGATTCTGACTCAGGAGGTCCAAGTGGAGGCCAGCATTCTGATTTGTAATAGTCTCCCTTGAGAGATTCTGCTAGGGGTGTTTGGCTGAACTTTAGGTTCTTCAATTTAGAGCCAGGCGTCTGGTGAGACAAGTGGCCGCCAGGAACAAAGAAGCAGGTAAAGTCACCTGAAGAAGAGAGCTGGTGCTTCTGCAAGAGAGAGGAAGGCAGCAAAGTGACTGGAAACGGCCACAGTTACATTCTGATGGAGAAGCAAGAAAATCTTAAATAGAGTCCAGAGAAGATAGCAGAGTAGTATTAGGTAGGAGGTCCCTGTCAACCAGTGCTAGAGGGAACACTAGACTTCTGTCATTTGGACATAGGAGGGAAAAGCAGAGGGGACAGAGGAGCAAGAGGAGGTTGTCCTAGCAGATCCAGACACAGGACCTCATCAGCATGACAGACGGACTGGAGCTGGCTGTGAGGCCAATGTGGTGCAGTCTCACTGCTGAGTGTCACACAGTCACGGTCCCCACAGCTTGGTGCTGATGAGGTGGCTGTGTAAATCTTCCTGTGAGTACAAAAGGGGCTCATTCTATAAATCCCTGCCTGGTTGGGATGGTAATTCATATTTAAATCTCTGCCCCCAGCCTTGACAGGGAGTTACCTAGCAAATCCCTGGGGAGGCATTTATTCATCCTGCAAATCTCCCCTGGCTGCCTGAGCAGGGGGCCACCATTTCAGGGCCCTCAAAGGGGAGTGTGAATTATCAGACCTCTCTCTCTGGCAGCTGAGAGCTAAGCCCCACGTAAGCCTTGCCTACAGGGTGAGGGAGAAGGAAATCCCTGAACTAGTTCCTTATTAGCCTAGAGGTAGACAAGATAGACTCAGTGCACTCTCTGCAAGGAGGCCAGTGGGAAAAGTATATATTAAGTATCAAAGTTGGGGGCTTTGATTACCACCCATTTGGGAAGTAACTGAATCTTCCATTCCCTCTGCCTCTTCCTTGATTCCAAATCAACTTCCATGAGTACACAGGAGGTGGACATTTCTTGATTTTTAGATCTGACTTTGCAAACAACTCTGGGAATTACAGATTTAAAAAATAAAACACAAACAGAGAAGCAACCACCCCAAAACATTGAAATGCTTCCAGGCCATTCCAAGTTGAGCTCACCACCCACCTCATGGTCCTGCAAACAGTGACAAAATCTAGGCCAATCAGCAAAACTCAAGGAAGTTCTCCTGAAAGGCTGTATTTCCTAAACATCCAGCTCTGCACCTTCACCAACCAGGAAAGGTGCTCTATTGAAAAAAAGAATAAAAAACCCATGATCATAGACAGGCGCGATGGCTCACACCTGTCATCTCAGCCCTTTGGGAAGCCGAAGCAGGCAGATAACCTGAGGTCAGGAGTTCAAGACCAGCCTGGCCAACATGGTGAAATCCCGTCTCTACTAAAAATACAAAAATTAGCTGGGCATGGAGGCTAAGGCAGGAGAATCACTTGAACCTTGGAGGCAGAGGTTGCTGCGAGCCGAGATCGTGCCACTGTACTCCAGCCTGGATGATAGGGCAAGGCTCCGTCTCAAAACAAGCAAACAAACAAACAAACAAACAAAAAACCCATGATCACAGGAGAGAGTTTAGAGAAGTGGCCAGATCTGAGGATGAGGCACCGTTGAGAAATGGGCTTTAGAGGAAAGAGGGCAGAGAATAAGCTTCCTTGGTAAAATAAAGGACACCTAGTTAAATTTAAATTTTAGATAAACAACGACAACAACAAAACTTAGTGTAAATATAGCCCATTAAATATTTGGGACATATTTATACTAAAAAAGCATTCAATATTTATCTGGAATTCAAATTTAACTGGACGTCCTCTATTTTTATTTGTGGAATCTGGCCAACCTAGGAGAAAAAATGTCCACAAAATGCATTGGTTTCATTGTGGGCACTGGTGGCTATCTGAAGCAAGCAAGCAGAAGGGAAAGCTCCCCCTGCCTTGCCAACTCTGCCCCTAACCTGGGGAGCTAAGTGTGTGGCCAATTACCTCTAGCCACAAGGCTGAAATGCTATAAGCCTGTTTTCTGTGCGGACACTGTTGAGGTGGAACTTGACTCTGAATCTTAACAAGGCCAGGATAGCTTTAGATCCCAGAGTCTCGGATAACACGGGCATGTGCACAGAGGGAAGCCATGGCAATTTAGAAAGTAGTTCCAAGTCTTTGTGCACCATTAAGAAGAGAATTTCAGGACAGGATGTATCCTTGAGCAACAAAACATTACTGAATGCCTACTGGATGTTGGGCTTGCTGGAGGATCCAAAGAAAACAGAAGATTGGTCCCTTCCCTAAGGGAGTTTCTCAGTGCACTTTAGGAAACAAAACAAATGCATTTATACCTGCATCAAGCAACTATCAAGTGGTCCATTAGTTCCTGAGCAGCAGCAGCCCAGTAGCAGTGGTTGGGTTGGTTTGCACAATTCCATAGATTAGGCCAATAAGCAGAAAATGAGCCCAAATGTATTTAGACAGCTTATTGATATAGCATCAGAAACATTTTGGTGCAGGTTCCTGGAGCCCCAGTTCCAACAAGACAACACAACAAGGACTGGGTGCTGCCTGTACATGCAGTGGATGGGCATTACAGCACAAAATCCCTGAGACTACGAAAGAAACCCTGATCTTATATGGGGCTGCAAGCAAGCCTGCCATCTTCTGCTGTGCAGAAAGAAACTATTTTTATTACCCTGGAATATAAGCAAATCTCTCTGAGGAGGGAATACTTCTATCTTTACTATTCTCAGATAAATAAATTTGCTCCACAGTGAATCACTGTTTCCATGCTTATATAAACATTCCTGAAAAGATAGCTCTGGAGCAATTGATTATTCATGCCTAGACATGTAGAAACATGAGATTCATGGACAATTGTCTCCCAACAGCAATACACAGCCTTATATAATGACGAGTTAATTAAATGATTAAGATTTTAACTGATGTGGTTTGAGAAGGAGCTTGATGGCAGTTATTATGGTTAAAGAATGCTTTATCAAGGAAGAACTTGAGGTTGTCCCTGAAGACCTTGTAAATAATGTCCAATATTACCAGCCCATTTTATCCACCAAAACAGGGATCAGCAACTGTTTTCTGTAAAGGGCCAGATAATAAATATTTTAGGTTTTGCAGACTATATAGCCTCTATCACAACTATTCAACTCTGCTATTATACTGTGAAAGCAGCCATAGACAATATGTAAATGAATGAATGTGGCTGTGTTCCAATAAAACTTTATTTACAAAAACTGGCATAATCTGGATTTGTCCCATGGGCTATGGTTTGTCTACTCTGCATTAGAACATACAACAATTAACGTTCAAAGAGATGCAACAGGATAATCAATTGTGGGAGATGGTAGAAGGAATTTATTCAAGAGGAAGAAGGTTGGATGGAAAAGCACTGAATAACAAAAAAAGTAATAGAGAAAATACCTTGATGAGGTTATTCCTGGGGTTCTTTTTCACTCTGAAATTCCCTAAATGTTTAAGGATTGGGTAGAGTAACTACAAATGATAAAGGCATTCTGGGCTTTTTCCCAAATATAAGAATAAAGTCAGCATACTGTGGAAACTTAATCTATGTATTTGTATCCAAGATTCTACAAGAGCAGGCTACAGAATCTTACTCATATGGAGCATGTAGGTTCCCTGAAATAAATGATAAAAGTGGCTTTGAGTCTGATGGCCCAGGACCTGTCCCTAACATCTGGATGAAGTCTTCATCATAGCAATGAGGAGGAAGGCATTGCTGGGGAATCCTGCAAGTAAATTTCCTGAGGCAGAAGACAGTTAAAATGTCAGGGCTCTGTCTCGGGAAATCCAATTCATGATAAGAGATAAACACTTTGGAATATGATACTATGTGGCGAGATGACAGACATGGAGACATCCTCTTTTAAAAGAAAAGTTTATTACAGTTTCCAAGAGAAAGGGGCATGTCACACCATGAGAGCCACACAGGGAAGAACAAGGTCAATCAGGAAGCAGCAGAATGAGGAAAAAGCCTGGGCAAAACCTTTACTGTTGTTTTCACAGAAGGCATGGGTGAAACAGAGTAAGCAGCCGAGCAGGCTGAGGATTGGATAGTTTCAATAAATAGGCTCTAAGCTATGGGGTGAGCTCTATTTTTCTGGTTCCTGGCCCTGGGGCAATTTAGGGTAGGGGGACAGACTGTAGGAGCAGATAAAATAAGGATGGTGAGGGTGCGAACTCAGGATTGGTTGGTTTGCGTACTAAATACATGCTCTCAGGTAAACTGTTCACTCACGATAGCAATTAGCTAACCCTGGGATGGGCAGTATGCCCCCTAGGTCTGCAAGGCCCTAAGAAGTCAAAGCCTCATAAAATATGGAAAATAAAATAAATGATTAATATACCCAACCCCTCAAAAATTTTGTTCTAAGAGTGCGGACAAAAGAAGCAATAGCCCAAAAGAGCTTAATCTCTTGGAGTTCTTGTGGGCTGAAAGAATTGTGATCTTTGTAGAAAACTCTCCCTTCACACTCAGGTGGAAATAGAGGCCCAAACTAAGGCAGTAGGAGCAAAAAAAGAACCTAAAGAAAGAAAACAGCCTTTCAAGAGGACAGCAATTCATAAGACAATGTTGGTAAGCTTATGTGAATGGTGCCTCTGGATGGTACAGTGCACTATCTGCACAACTGTGTACAGTAGTCCTCAGTTTGAGTGCCCAGGACACACAAGAAAGGGAGGGCATATCAGTCAAGGTTTTTAGTTACAAACAACAAAATCGACTTTAGCTAGTTCAATCAGAAAATATTCGGTCATTTATAGCATTGGGGCTCAGAAAACAATATATGGTGCTTTGGCATGCCAAGCACTCTGAATTAAAGAAAATTGGAAGGTCTTAGAAGCTGCTTCAGAATTAGGGTCTCTCTTATCTTGTTTTTCCCCCAAGGGTAGGGAAGGTCTCTCTCTCTCTCTCTTTCTGTGAAGTTTTCTTATTTGACTGAGGGAAGTTTCTCCAAAAGAAATATAATTGTCTTTAATCCCTGTCTGAAATCTTATTAACCAGGAAGAATTAATCACCAAAGATGAAAACAAAGGTCATCACCACATCCCCACCCAGACAGACTTTTCATCTATTCTTTTGAAGGATATTACCTGAGAGGCTTTATCTTCATTGTAAGACAACCTTTGTTCCCAGTGCAGTTCTGCCCCTCACCTTCCCACAACTTGTCACCACCTCCCCGCAAGCCCAGAAGAACTTTGTTCCAGGCTATTATTTGTTTTTCAGGCCTATCTTATCCCCTGGAGACTATTTACTCTTCCTCCAAAATTGCCTATGTTCCCCACTTCCCTCTTCCCTAGGAAGCGGGTATGTAAGCTTTAATCTGGCCCTTCTTTGAGTTTCATATTTTGTGTGTGTTTGCATATTAACAAATTTGTATGCCTTTTCCCCTGTTAATCTGCCTATTGTCAGTTTATGTCAACAGACTCAATTATCCAACCTTCAGAGGGTGGAGAGAAAGTTCCCTTTGCTGTGACAACAGGAAGGCTAGAGAGTGACAGCCAGGGGCAAAGCAGCCAGAGGAAACACCGAGCTACAGCACAGACCTCTTCTAGCAGAAATGCCGCTGCTGCTGCTTTCTGCTGCTTGGCACCTTGATGCGAGGGACTGAACTTTAGTGGCAGAAACTCTACCCCAGCTGCCCCAGAAGAACCAGCTATGCCTGTCAGAAGATTAAGTCTCTAAATCATATGAGGATTCCTAAATGCCAGGGAAACTGGGGAATATGGATGTTAGCCTTTAGGCACTCTAGCTCAGGAAGGCAAATTAAAAGGGCACTGGAACCTGGGTTAAGTGAGCCAATTTATGCTATCTGCCACAGTAAAATATGAGAAACTTGGAGTTTCAGGAATAAAACTGGGGAGTAGAGGCAACTACCACTGGGATTTTCACCTGAGTACTTGACGGTCCTCATGCCAGCATAAGCTGGGGAGCAAAGGCTGAAGTATCTGAAGTAAGAAGCACCAGAACTCTTCCAGTAGACAGCCTTTTGCCCATAGACACATTCCCGAAACAATGAACTAAATCACGTGCTAAGTGCCACATATAATATTTATCACTTTAAGAATCCCATTGTGAATTCTTTTGCAAAGTGAATAACCATTCTTCTATATTTCTTTCCTGTGAAACTGGATTTAATATATTGAACTTTCTTAAATCAAGGTATACTGTCCCTTTGGAGCCTTTTAAAAGAACAGAACATCACAAATCTCATGAAAGGAGGCTATAAAAAGTCACAGTTTTGACATAACAGGCATCACATAACTGCACATGGAAACTGACAACTGTCGATGCCATTGTTCAATTTCCAGCCTCCCAAATTAAGAGCTGCAACTCAACAGTTTGGACGTGGAGGGAGAGAGCTGTGTGATCCTCATACCTGGCCGTGTCTGCACAGTAGCTAAAGCCCTCAAAGGATCAACTCAAATGTAGATCATGGGCCCCACATTGACATGTATACTATAAATACTCACGACGGTGCCACTGGTTGGGAGGAACGGGTAATCAATGCACTTATAAAAAGCAGCAGGCAGATGGTAATTAACACCTCACACCTTCCTTCCCCAACATGCAAAGTAGAATTGTTACAGTGGCAGCAGCACAGAGAGGGGTGTTGGGCTTCGTGTCCAAGCTTTTGCTCTTACTTATTATCTTAAATTTTTTTTTTTTTTTTTTTTTTGCCCAGAGAGCTGGAGGCCAAAGCAGCACATTATGAAAGATTTCTCTGCCTGCTCACTCCAATCTCAGCTCATAATGGAAGTTGGTTCTTGTTAATAGATTCATGTACTCCTTCCCCAGTGCCTTGTCAAATAATAGCACAGTCAAAGCAATAGCAGAGAGTCCACACTCACACATCTCACAAGCCCAACAGGAGGAGGGGGCTTGTTTATTGCACTGTCTGGAGCAGAATCCAATTATTTATGGACCATTTAGATGCAAATGTATCACTCATTTAGCAAACATGCTGCATATGCAGACAATTTAGCCAAACAATGGATCTGTGAGGACATCCCCGCTAATCTCTGAGTATCAACTGTGCCTTTTCAAAGGGGATTTGGATTTTCTGTGAATTGATCAAACTTGACAAGTAATTTCTACCTAATGTTTAGGCTAGCCTCTTCTCTCTTCACCATTTGCAGGTGAAAAATCCTATTTTCTGCTAGTGACGAGGTAGTGCAAAAGGCTACAGATGCGGGTTAAGGAAGAGAAAGAGATTTTGTGCCCACAACTATGTTGCCACAGAAAATAAAACCATTCTGAAGGATCTATTTTGTTTGGTTGCTTTGAAATTACAAAACATTTTCATTCAACACACACCCCATCCCCCAACCCATTTATGCTTCCTGAGCTATTGCAGAAGAGGAAGCTGTGAATAAATCTAAGCCATCTTTGTACAAAGAGAGAGAGTGATTTTGCACACACACTCAGAAGAATGTCTGAGTCTCTGCCTGGGAATTATAAAGAAGCCTCGGCTGCTCCAGCAACTCCTGGAATCAATGAAAACCATATTAGGGAAAGAGACACCAAATTTGAAAACTCCACTAGTCCTGGAGTTTATTATCAAAATGTCAGCCTGATTCAGTTGTGCCAAACGATTTGGTGAATAGGAGAAAGGTAACATAATAAGCACAGCAGGTCAGGGAGGTAAAATGGAATTAGGTGAATTTTTCTGCTGCAGGCTGGGAGAGAGGGGCAGAGGGGCTGTGCTGCCTGAGTGAGGTCTGGGGATCAGGCTCTAAATATTTTAATTTCACAACTAAAACCTACATGCATTGCTGCCTGGTGCCAAATGAGTAATCTTTTTTTAAAAATCACATCGTCCTTTTCCCATGTCAAAATGGAGAAATTGTCCATCACCACCTCAAGGAGATTTAGCCCAACAGAAAACTCCAGTGACCACAGGTGATCCTTTGGCCTGGTCATTGGAAAACAATAATTACATTTCCAACACATTCTTTAGGTAAGTTACCGCTTGTTTTACTGGAAGGCCAACCCAATGCTTGGATTCAACTGACAAGTGATAAAGTGCCTGTGATATGATCCAGGAGCACTGGGCTAGGTGCCTTTTATATTTCTTAAGAAAACCACAACAACAACAACAACAACAAAACCTTGATATGGTTTTCTATTAATTCAACAGATTTTTTAACTAGAACTCATGTCAAATGAATTGTAATTCATCCTCATCTACCCTACTCTATATCCCCATTTGTCTCCCTCCCCCCGCCCCCACCACACACACACAGTACCCACACTCATTTTCTACTCTCCAGTCCTCACAACTGCTAAGGAACTCCTTACAACTGCTAAGGAAATCCAGAGCCTGACAGTAGTTAAAGCGGTAAAAATAGATTTTACTCAAGAACAATTACAGTAGAAGAAAAAAGACCTCAGTATAGAACTGGTCTCAGTTCTGAATACAACCATGGCAAGTGGGAATTTACAGCCAAGGAGGAGAGTGGGGAGGAGAGTGGTAGATAGAAAATTACCAAGAGGAGACAGCAAGGTAGGGGAGTTCTTGCTAAACTGGCCTAACAGGGGCCAGGCGTGGTGGCTCACTCCTGTAATCCCACCACTTTGGGAGGTGGAGGCAGGTGGATCATTTGGTACCAGGAGTTTGAGACTAGTCTGGGCAACATGGCAAAACCACATCTCTACAAAAATTCAAAACTTAGCTAGTTGTGGTGGTGTGTGCCTGTGGTCCTAGCTGCTTGGGAGGCTGATGTGAGAGGAAGGATCATTCGAGCCTGGGAGGTGGAGGCTACAGTGAGCAGTGATTGGACCACTGTACTCCAGCCTGGATGACAGAGCAAGATTTGTCTCAAAAGATAAATAAATAAACTGACCTAACGGGATTCTTGCTCAAGGCAGGCCAAGTGGATCAGGTGCGTCCCTGGGGGATGAGGAATTTGACCAGATATTGAGGGTGATCAGATATCAAGGGTGAAGGCTTCCTCCTAAACTGACTTAGGAGGATTCTTGCTAAAACTGGGTGATGCAGGCCCCACAAGGACAATCACTGAAGCCTGCCGTTGAAGCCTTGTTGAGACAAGGCCTTAGAGAGCCTAACACAGGTGAGGTCAAGGAGGAAGTCTGTTACCACACTCCTGGTTGTAAAAACCTGCTGCTTGTACTTATTAATGTAAGGTTTTCTTTTTGTGTGTTCTGGCTTCATTCCTCACGACTCTACTTTCTCAGCTTTTTTAAAGTCCTGAGCTACCATATTTCTTTGTTGTTAAATTTCAGTGGCCTCATCTCAGTCTTCGTTTTCCTCAAGCTTTCTGCCACATTTGATGCTGTGGGAGCTCATGGGTTTCCAGGAAGTTCCTGAGCGCTACACAGAGAGACCCACTAGGCAGCTTGAACACAATAACCTGAACCAACGTTTTCCTGCATGCTCTCACTGGCATTAGGGCCTCCCCACCAAACCCTCCACTCTTGAGCTCCCTGCCTCTGGGGAGGTCACACTTTCCTCTCTGCATCTTAAATCCTTCCTGCTTTCTCACCTCGCCTTCAGGGCACCTGGCGTCCCCTTCATTCTTTCTCTCCATCTTTGCTTCTCCACATTTCAGATGTGCCAACATTTCAGAAAAACCACATCACACATGGTGATGTCTCTCAAGGTATTCGAAATGCCCATAAAATATCCTACATTATATCACGTTGTACTTGCAGTTGTCACCCTCATGATGATTTTAGTATGGGTGAAAACATATGACTACTTCACACTGAAATGCCTACTATGTTATTGTAAATAGCTTTCTTTCTGCTTCTTCTATATATTACACTTAATGTATTATAATTTCTGAAATTATGAGTAGGTTCATTATATTATTTGTACATTTTTTTCAAATGGGTTGATAATACTGCTCTCTTTTATACCTTGTGCTAATCTTTCTTTTTCAGACCCACTCCTCCTTTCTAAAGTCTTGCCTAGATTCCAAAATTATTATTTGCCAGCCCCCACCCTAATCCTTACATTTCCAAATTCTTGCCTCTCCAATTCTCCCTTTGCACTGCCAGAAAGATTATCATTATGTAGCACATATCAGACCATGTCCCTCCCCTCCTACAAAGTCCACCATGGATCCCTAGTGCCTCCTGAGGGGATTTTAACTCTCGAGCTTGGCATGTAAAGCCATTGCCATGGGGCCTCTGCTACTTCTCAAGCTGCATTCCCCCAGGTGTCCACCCCACATCCTATGCTTCTGTGGGAGACTGGAATATGCCACCCCAAAATATGAAGGATTGTTGAGCTGAAGGCAATTAAGAAGAAAATGTAGGAAAGCTCTCTGCCCTTCCTCTATTTGCCTAAAAGCAGGACATAGATTTCTAAAGACAAAAGGTAACTCCCCCCAACCCCACCAGGGAGAATAAACATTAACCATTAAAGACAACTTTGGACCCTGAGTAGAAAACACAAGCTCTGTTTCTCCCACTATATTCTCACTAGATGAGTGTCTTCTGACACTAGATAAGTGGGGATTTCTACCCACACACCAAGTAAACAATCAATTCTGCAGCAGGCTGCAGCTGGGTATCCTCTAATTCACTTCAACTCTGACACTATCTACGTAGAGATAGCATCACATCACACTGGTTGAGGACTCAGTCCCACGAGACATCCGCCCACTTCCAGTGCTGACTGCAAGCACCAGGTTGTTTTGCCTGTGCTTCCGAGCAACCAGCTATAAATTGGGGATCCTAAGACCCCCACCTTGGGTTTGATGAATTTGCTAGAGCAGCTCACAGAAATCAAGGAAACAGTTACATTTACTGGTTGATCATAGAGAAAAGACTCAGATGAAGAGATGGATATGTAAGATGAGGTATGGGGGAAGCTCCAGGCATGCCACCCTTCAGGAATCTCTGGAAGTTCACTGAACACAGTCTTTTTGGGTTTTGACAGGAGCTTCATTATGTAGGCATGCCTGATTGCATATTGGCCATTGGTAGTCAACTTAACCTTCAGCCCGTGTTCCCTCCTTAGATGTTGAGGGTGGGGCTGAAGGTTCCAACCCTCTCATCCTCCCTTGGTCTTTCCAGTGACCAGCCAACAGTCAGCTCATTAGCATACAGAAAGACATCTCTTTGGAGATTCCAAGGGTTTTAGAAGTTGTATGACAGGGCAAGACCAAATATATATTTCACAGTATCACAGAACCTTATCAGCCCAGAGATGGTACCAGAGGAATTTATATTCACAAGCTTTCCCAACTAGTTTTTCCCACATTTATTTGCATTCCCGCAATTTACTGCCCCTAGAGACTCAAAATCCTTTTCCTTCATTTTGTCACTTCTCTAAAAATGTACTCTTCTTGGTTGAAGATGCTATATAAGCTGGGATTCTCACCTTTTTGAGAATTGTTCATCTCTGGATGTCTCCCAAGTATATATGAGATATGTGTGTTAATAAGTTTGGTTTTTTTTTCTCTTACTGATCTTTTTGTTACAGTTTCCATTCCAACTAATAACTTGAGAGAGCAGAAGAAAAAGTTATTTTTCATCCCCTACACTTCAGTAACTGGGGTTTACTCCTGTAGACCCTTGTGTAAACTGTTCCCTTTGCTGGAACTCTCTTTCCCTCCTATCATGACAATATGAGCCCGCAAAACTCAGTACAAGGGTCACTCCTCAGTGAAACCTTTCCTGCCCCAGTTTCCATTTCACCTGTTTCTCCTGGGCACTTTATTTGAACTCCATGAGAGAGAGCGTCCACTTATTCCTTCCAGTACCAGATTTGTTGTTTCCATACCTCTCCCTAACTAAGGTGCTAGTCTCCTGAGCCAAGAAGGTCTCATTCATCTTCGTAACCCCCTCAGTACCTAGCACTTTCACATAGTGGGGCCTCAGCAAATGCTTATCAAGTTGAGTTAAAATAGCAAATCCTGCTAGAGCTGGTGAAAGTTGTCAGAATCAAAATGGAGTCACCAACGTTAGGAAAACCTTGACATATAGAGTCCAGGAAGGCCGTGAAGAGCAGGTTCTCCTGCTTGTATGCCTGATGACAAAAGAGACTCTACAAGAACCACAACCTTGCACAAAGGCCATCTCAACCTTACACAAAAAAAATACTTCTGCAAGGACAACTGCCCAGCAACTGCCTGTCCAACTTTGAGCTGGTATCATCCTTGTTTTTGATCTTTGTAGCCAAGGATAATTATTTCAAAACACCTCACACCTTTATCACTCAATTATGGAATCCTCCTTATTTTTTCCTTAAAAAAACCCTTGTTTTCTTTTACCTCCCTGAATATGCAAATAGTTTACTGTGCATGCATATTCCCATTGCAATGCTGTATTCCAAAATAAATATCATTTATTTTGGCTTTCTTTTAGAAAGCCTCTCTCTGTTTGTTATTTAAGTTGACAAGCTCGAAGTATTTCTGGAGAAATATGGGTCTGGTGAGACTGAGGAAAGGAAGACAGAGTTGCTGTCTCCATAGCCCTATCAACGGAGCTAAATTCAGGGCTCCCCCAGGAAAGGTCTCAGACATTTCCCTCCTAGTATTTTAATTAAAATTAAGAGCACACATCAATAAAACAATGAGAAATAAGTGCAGCACTATTTTTTAATGCCACACAGTGATGCTGACTCAGCTCCTAGAGCTCTGCTTCAAAGTACCTCTTCTCTGCCCACCACCGTGAGTTCAGCCCCAGAGGTTCTTCCCAGTGGTACTACTGGGGTCAGTGAGACTCTACTGCCAATGTTCTTTCGCTAAGAGTGGATTCACACCACTCATTCAGCAGTGGGCCTGGGGCCAGGACGCCCATGGGGGCCATCATCCCTGCAGGCAGTGGTCGTGCACAAGGGACTGCAGTGCCCAGCACTCAGCACTGCCTTTCACCTCTTTGCGGCCTCCACAGTCATCTGACTCTGTCTGGACTCTGCCCAGTTCATGCCTCCAACCTACTTTCCCTTCTGTCTCTGCCAGCTCTACCCACGTGGCCCACTTTGACTCTACTTTCCACATCATTCTCATTTCACCCATCTTCCCTCACTCTCTGTTCTCCTGCAACTCTGACCAACTCTCAGGCCCTGGAATTTGCTCTGTGTCCTCTTTCTTCAGTGTCTTCATGTTGTCTCCTCTGCTTGCAATGCTATTCCTCCTACCAACCCCACCTCCCTTTTTCTGGATAACTTCTACTCCTCCTTCATGCATCAAGGAGACCTTTCCTGACACCTCAAACTCTAAAGTGTGCACTGGGTTAAATCCTTCTGGTTTGAGCTCCCTGAATCCTGTCACCCTGTAACACTCATCACATTTATAGAAGCTTGTGTTTTGTTTGGGTTTTTTGTTTGTTTGTTTGTTTGTTTGTTTGAACATACCATAACTTCATTGGGGATTGACTTGGCTGCAATTATTACAAAACAAACAGACTAAAGGCAATTGTGATCCACTAGGTAGAGGTAACACATTTCCACAGCATGATTACTATATGAATGAGTGACATTATGTTCCTGAAAAAAACAGCTGCATCATGTGATGGTAAACATTTTATTGTCAGTCAAATCATATGGGTTGGTTTTACTTGATCTTAGTCATTTTTCTTCACTCTATAGCAGAAAAGCTAGAAATTTTACTTTCTGTTTACCTTCACATTTTTGCTATATAACCTGCTGTTGCATTGAATTCTGGCTGCATTTATAAAGTTTAAATTATCTCTGGTTGATATCCAAAGAGAAATGATCTAGAAAAAAATGATATAAAATATATTTACAAGTTAGTTTTGAAAGATCATTTTTACTCTTAGTAAAAATGCAATGGTCACAATACAAATTCTGTAGATATAGCTACTGGTATCCCTGACAACTTTTAAGATCATTTAAACATTCTTGATCTTAAACATATCTTAAAAACTTTTCATTTACAATATAAAATTCCAGAAAGTAACCAGTGGTTGAAAAAATATAACTACTTAAGTGTAATTAAGATAACCAAATAACCATGTAGGTAAATAAACATGGCATGGTTTCTCTTCTGCAGAACTCAGGAACAGCTAAAATAGAGATGCACAGAGCAAGGTGGTGATGGAGGCGGCATTGCTCAGAGCTTCTGGAGCTTCCATGCCCTCTCTTGGCACATCATCCTCCCAGCCCCTCCATGTGTTCACCAACCATGAGGCTCCTGTAGTAACTTGTTTTACGTTTGTTTTCTCATATCTGTATCTGTTCACCAGGTCCCCATGGCCCCAACACAGGGTTTGGCACACAAGAGAAAATCAATAACTATTTGCTGAATTGAAATGAGTTGCCTGACTGGGCTGGTCTGCATATTTCATGTGAATGTCAGATCACATGCCAGACGTTGTTCCCCAAGTGTTAGGGGAACAGCCCTGAACAAAGCAGGCAGAATCCCTGCTGTCAAGGGTCTTCTGTTCCAATGGGAGGAGACAGATTTTAAAAAGACATAAAGAGATGACAAAAGAATATAATTACTTCCAGTAGTGATGTGTTTTGAAAAAAGTTAAAATCCTCCCTTTCTACATTGACCTGTTAAGTTTGCCAAAATTACATAAGCTCCAACTCCCTTGAAGCCCATGATAACCCAATACCTGGACAAAATTAGAATGATATTAATGAGAAAGAAGCAAGACCCATGGCTTTTGGGTTGACAGCTGGGGTGTCTGCCACCTTCTGTCATGCTGGATCCATCACTCCCACCATCTCTACGTCTACTCCACAGCTCCAGCTCAGGCCCTCTTCAGTTTCAGTTATTGGCAAATATCTCCCTCTCCATTTGTGAACAGGAAGGCAGGGACCATCACTTCTTCAACCCTGCACACAGCCCAGCATGCAGTAGGAGCTCAAAAAACATTCACTACTTTCAGTAAAGTTGAACTTTAACTTATGTACAGAGAAATAGAGCAAACAGCAACTTCAGTTTGCAAACTCTGAAATAATCATTCTATACGATTCACCTCTTGGCCTTTCTGATAGTATCCACTGGGTCCTTGTTGGCAGATTTGGGGATTAGCTGATGTGACATTGGTCAAAGGCCCCGTTCTGTTGTCACTCAGCTATCCCAGCAGTTTGGTTCACCGAGCTTCCTCTCTATGCCTAGCCTCAGATCACGCATCACCTACGTCAATAACAGCTTCCTCTGGGGCTCACCAGGAATAGGCCACTACTCATGTGGCAGTTGGCAAATACAGTTCCACAAAAGTTCTCACTGTCCCCATCCAAGTCAGAGCCAAGCCCAGTGGACTGGGGACATCCAGAATGTGAGGCAAGGCAGGAGTGTCTCAAGAGCCTGGATTGGAGGGTGAGCAACTTTTCAAAAGGGTGGCATCAAATTGTCCCATGGGGGTGTCAGAGGGAAAGCAAAAGGAAAAAGAGTGCTAGCTGATAGCACTCCAAAGGAAGTAGCAGTGCAATGAGAGAGGCGAAAGAGGTGTTGAACTTGGGAGAGGAAACAAGGAGAGAATCAGGCCAGATCAGTGATTCTCATGCTTTAAGGGTGCCCCAAACCACCTGGAGATCTTGTTTCTGTTTTATTTTATTTATTTATTTTTAGAGATAGGATCTCCCACTGTCATCCAGGCTGGAGTACAGTGGTGCAATCATAACTCACTGTGGCTTGAACTGCTGGTCTCAAGCGAACCTCTTGCCTCAGCCTCCCAACTAGGTAGGCCTACAGGTGTGCAACACTAGGCCCAGCTAATTGTATACATTATATATATACACACACACACAGAGAGAGAGATGGGATCTCTTTATGTTGCCCAGGCTGATCTTGAACTCCTGGCCTCAAGTGATCCTCCTGCTCGGCCTCCCAAAGTGCTGAAATTACAGGCATGAGCCACCGTGACCAGCTGGAGTCTTGTTAAAATACAGATTCTGATTCTGTAGGGCTAGGTAGAGTTTCAGATTCTGTATTTCTGACAAGCTCCCAGGTGATGTTCGTGCTGTTGGGCCTCAGATCACACACTGTATAATAAAGAGCAAAATGATTTTTAAGGCCCTTTCTGTTCTGGGGTTGAGTCTGATTCTCTGAAGGGTTAAAACTAGGGTGACCACACTGACTCATGGGTGCTGGGGAAAAGAGTCTTTATTTCATACAGCCATATGCCCAGATCAAGTGGGCTAAAATAGTACTATATAAGAAAGAAAGAATAGATTTTGGAGGCTAACTACCACCTCTGACACAATAACATTGAATCACCACTTATTTTGTGTTAAGCACTGTGTTGGTACTTTACCTGCAAAGCACTACCGTTAAGGTGTGTACTCTCATTCTCATTTTACAGATGATGAAACTGAGGCTTAAGGCTGGGCACGGTGGCTCATGCCTATAATCCCAGCACTTTGAGGGGCGAAAGATCTCTTGAGCCCAGGAATTCGAGACCAGCCTGGGCAATAGGACAAAACTCCGTCTCTATAAGAAACACAAAAAATTTAGCAGGGCATGGTGGTGAGCGCTGATAGTCCCAGCTAATCAGGAGACTGAGGTGGGAGGATTTCCTGAGCCCAGGAAGTCGAGGCTGCTGTGAGCCATGATCACAACTCTGCAATGCAACGTGGGTAACAGAGTGAGACCCTACAATGGTTAATACTGAGTGTCAACTTGATTGGATTGAAGGATAAAAAGTATTGATCCTGGGTGTGTCCCTGAGGATGTTTTCAAAGGAGATTAACATTTGAGTCAGAGGGCTGGGAAAGGCAGACCCACCCTTAATCTGGGTGGGCACAATCTAATCAGCGGCCAGCATGGCTAGAATATAAGCAGGCAGAAAAATGAAAAAAGAGAGCCTCTGTGCCTACATCTTTATCCTGTGCTTGATGCTTCCTGCCCTCAAACATCGGACGCCAAGTTCTTCAGTTTTGGAACTCAGGCTGGCTCTCCTTTCTCTTCAGCCTGCAGACAGCATACTGTGGGACCTTGTGATCGTGTGAGTTAATACTTAATAAACTCCCATATGTATTCCATTAATTCTGTCCCTCTAGAGAGCCCTAATACAGATGTTGGTAACAGGAGTGGTTCTAGAGGAACAGAATATTAAGGATGGAGTTCTTTCATTGGCTTTGGGGTTTCTGAAGTGGCTGCTTAATATGATTAGACCCAAAAATGCTAAGGACCCTATTTCTAATAGTACAGAGAACACTGATAGTCCTTGGCCTGAACTGTTCAGAGAATTATGTAAAATAAAAGCATTTGATACTCCTGATTCATTGCTTATGAGAGGCAAGGAGTTTAGTGACTATACATAATACATTTGACCATATGTGGAGAACCAAGGAACACAATGAACCTGGTTTGTTGCTCCTAAGTTCAGTGGACAAAGTGATGAAAGAAAATGATGAACTCAGGGATTCTATTTCCTGGCTTCAGAAGCAGATACTGAGCCTCAAATCTGCTAAGATTGCCCTGAGTGAGAGTCTTATCTCCTGTAGAGAAAGAGCCGAAATTGTGGAAAAACAGACACAAGCTCTTATCTTGCAAGTGGCTGACCTGCAATGATAGGTGCATGCACCTGCATCTCCAGGTGCCTACTGTTAAAGTGAGGGCATTGATTGGAAAAGAATGGGATCCTGCAACTTGGAATGGGGGCATGTGGGAGGACCCTGATGAAGCTGGGGATGCTGAGTTTGTAAATTCTGATTACCTTTTTTGCCAGAAGGAACAGCTTCCCCATCCCCAGTAGTGGCAACATACCTTCCCTGACCTATGCTGCCATCAGCCTTTCCACCTTTGAGAAGATAAACCCTGTTCTGCCTGAGGCAATGGTGATGGCCTCCCCTGAGGCAATTGCCAGGCAAGATAATCTCAATTCTCCTCAGGAGCTGCCCCAACACCCCTGTTTGCTTCTAGATCTATAACTAGACTAAAGTCCCAGTGGGCCCCTAGAGGTGAGGTTGAAAGTGTGGCCCATGAGGAGGTGTGCTACACACAAAAAACAACTGCTTGAGTTTTCTAATTTATATAAACAGAAATCTGGAGAACAGGCATGGGAATGGATATTAAGGGTGTGGGATAATGGTGGAAAGAACATAGAGCTGGATCAGGCTGAATTTATTGATTTGGGCCCACTAAGTAGAGACTCTGCATTCAGTGTTGCAGCTTGGGTAGTTAAAAAAGGTTCTAATAGTTTATTTGCTTGGTTAGCTGAAATATGGATTAAAAGATGGCCCACTGTGAGAGAGCTGGAAGTGCCTGATCTCCCTTGGTTTAATGTAGAGGAAGGGATCAAAAGGCTTAAAGAGATTGGGATGGTGGAGTGGATTAGTCACTTTAGACCTACTCAGCCCAGCTGGGAGGGTCCAGAAGATATACCCTTGACCAATGCTTTGTGAAATAGATTTGAGAGGGCAGCACCTGCATCTTTGAAGAGCCCTGTAATTGTTCTTCTCTGTATGTCAGATCTAACAGTGGGAACCACAGTCACTCAACTATAAAATTTAAATACAACGGAAATAATTGGATCCCAAGGTGGCAGGGGCCAAGTCGTGGCACTCAACTGTCAAAGGCAAAGTGGGCATAGCTACTGTAATAGAGAGAAGAGGCAAAGTGGCAATCAGAATTGTCTGACTCGTGTAGAGCTCTGGCATTGACTAATTAATCATGGTGTTCCTAGAACTGAAATTGATAGGAAGCCTACTGCATTTCTACTTAATTTATACAAGCAGAAAACTTCCAGGTCAAATGGACAAAAGACTAATTTGAATTATAAAAACAGAGAATCATGACCCCTCAATCAATTTCCAGACTTGAGCCAGTTTACAGACCCAGAACCCCTTGAATGAAAGAGAGGCCGGGTCTCCTCGAGGAAGGACCCCACTATGTTACTGACAATTTATGCAGTAAATCTGTCTCTCATCCTTCCCCAAGGTGACCTCTGGCCTTTTACTGGGTAACTGTGCATTAGGGAAAAGGAAATGATCAGACATTTCAGGAACTACTGGACACTGGGTCTGAGCTGATTTTGATTCTAGGGGACCCAAAATATCATTGTCCTCTAGTTAAAGTAGAGGCTTATGGAGGTCAGGTAATTAATGGAGTTTTAGCTCAGGTCTGACTTACAGTGGGTCCAGTGGGTCCCCGGACTCATCCTGTGGTCATTTCCCCAGTGCCAGAATGCATAATACATACTTAGCAGCTGGCAGAACCCCCACATTGGCTTCCTGACTGGTAGGGGGAGGGCTATTATGGTGGGAAAGGCCAAATGGAAGCCATTAGAGCTGACTCTACCTAGAAAAATAGTAAATAAAAAACAATATTACATCCCTGGAGGGATTTCAGAGATTAGTGTCACCATCAAGGACTTGAAAGATTCAGGAGTGGTGATTCCCACCACATCCCCATTCGACTCTCCCATTTGGCCTGTGCAGAAGACAGATGGATCTTGGAGAATGACAGTGGATTATCGTAAGGTCAACCAAGTGGTGATTCCAATTGCAGCTGCTGTACCAGATGTGGTTTCATTGCTTGAGCAAATTAACACATCTCCTGGTACCTGGTATGTAGCCACTGACCTAGCAAAATGCCTTTTTCTCCATTCCTGTCCATGAGGCCCACCAGAAGCAATTTGCCTTTAGCTGGCAAGGCCAGCAATACACCTTTACTATCCTACCTAAGGGTGTATCAACTCTCTGGCTTTGCATCATAATTTTATTCAGAGAGACCTTGATCACTTTTTGCTTCTGCAAGATATCACACTGGTCCATTACATTGATGACAGTATGCTGATTAGATCCAGGGAGCAAGAAGTAGCAAACACACTGGACTTATTGGTGAGACATTTGCATGCCAGAGGATGGGAAATAAATCCAAATAAAACTCAGGGAGCTTTTACCTCAGTAAAATTCTAGGGGTCCAGTGGTGTGGGGCCTGTCAAGATATTCCTTCTAAGGCAAATGATAAGTTGCTGCATTCAGCCCCTCCTGCAACCAAGAAAGAGGCACAATGCCTAGTGGGCCTAACTGGATTTTGGAGGCAACACATTCCTCATTTGGGTGTGTTACTCTGCCCCATTTATCAAGTGAACTTAAAGGCTGTCAGTTTTGAGTGGGTTCCAGAACAGGAGAAGGCTCTGCAACAAGTCCTGGCTGCTGTGCAAGCTGCTCTGCCACTTAGGCCATATGACCCAGCAGATCCAATGGTGTTTGAGGTGTCAGATAGGGATGCTGTTTGGAGCCTTTGGCAGGCCCTCATAGGTGAATCACAGCAGAGGCCTCTAGGATTTTGGAGCAAGGCCCTGTCATCTTCTGCAGATAACTACTCTCCTCTTGAGAGACAGCTCTTGGCCTATTACTGGGCTTTGGTGGAAACTGAACGTTTGACTATGGGTCATCAAGTCACCATGCGACCTGAACTGCCCATCATGAACTGGGTGCTTTCTGACCCATCTAGCCATAAAGCCGGTTGTGCACAGCAGCATTCCGTCATCACATGGAAGTGGTATATATGGGATCGGGCTTGAGCAAGTCGTGAAGGCACAAGTAAGTTACACGAGGAAGTGGCTCAAATGTCCATGGTCTTCACTCCTGCCACACTGCCTTCTCTCCCCCAGCCTGCACCAATGGCCTCATGGGGAGTTCCCTATGCCCTATGATCAATTGACAGAGGAAGAGAAGACTAGGTTCTGGTTCACAGATGTTTCTGCACATTACGCAGGCACCACCCAAAAGTGGACAGCTGCAGCACTATAGTCCCTTTTTCTAGGACATTTCTAAAGGACAGTGGTGACAGAAAATCTTCCCAGTGGGCAGAACTTTGAGCAGTACACCTGATTGTGCACTTTGCAGGGAAGGAGAAATGGCCAGATGTGCAATTATATACTGATTCATGAGCTATAGCCAACGGTTTGGCTGGATGGTCAGGGACTTGGAAGAAGCATGATTGGAAAATTGGTGACAAAGGAATTTGGTAAAGAGGTATGTGGATGGACCTCTCTGAGTGGTCAAAAACTGTAAAGATATTTGCATCCCATGTGAGTGCTCACCGACAGGTGACCTCAGCAAAGGAGAATTTTAATAATCAAGTGGATAGGATGACCCATTCTGTAGACACCACTCAGCCTCTTTCCCCAGCCACCCCTGTCATTGCTCAATGGGCCCATGAACAAAGTGGCCGTGGTGGCAGAGATGGAGGTTATGCATGGGCTCAGCAACATGGACTTCCACTTGTCAAGGCTAGAGCCACTACTGAGTGCCCAATTTGCCAGCAGCAGAGACCAACACTGAGCCCTCGATATGGCACCATTCCTTGGAGTGATCAGCTAGCTACCTGGTGGCAGGTTGATTATATTGGACCTCTTCCATCATGGAAATGGCAGAAGTTTGTCCTCACTGGAATAGATGCCTACTCCAGATATGGGTTTGCCTATGCTGCCCACAATGCTTCTGCCAAGACTACCATCCGTGGACTCATGGAATGCTTTGTCCACTGTCATGGTATTCCACACAGCATTGCCTCTGACCAAGGCACTCACTTCACAGCTAAAGAAGTGCAGCAGTGGGCTCGTGCTTATGGAATTCACTGGTCTTACCATGTTCCCCATCATCCTGAAGCAGCTGGATTGTTAGAACAGTAGAATGGCCTATTCAAGTCATGATTACAATGCCGACTAGGTGACAATACTTTGCAGGGCTGGGGCAAAGTCCTCCAGAAGGCCATGTATGCTCTGCATCAACATCCAATATATGGTATTGTTTTTCCCATAGCCAGGATTCATGGTTCCAGGAATCAAGGGGTAGAAGTAGAGATGGCACCACTCACCATCACCCCTAGTGATCCACTAGCAAAATTTTTGCTTCCTGTTCCCGCGACATTACATCCTGTTGGCCTAGAGGTCTTAGTTCCAGAGGCAGGAACGCTGCCACCAGGAGACACACACAACAACAATTCCATTAAACTGGAAGTTAAGATTGCCACCTGGACATTTTGGGCTCCTCCTACCTTTAAGTCAACAGGCTAAGAAGGGAGTTACAGTGTTGACTGGGGTGATTGACCCAGACTATCAAGATGAAATCAGTCTACAACTCCACAACAGAGGTAAGGAACAGTACACATGCAAAACAGGAGATCCGTTAGGGCATCTCTTAGTATTACCATGCCCTGTGATTAAGGTCAATGGGAAACTACAACAGCCTGATCCAGGAAGGACTACAGATAATCCAGAGCCTTCAGGAATGAAGATTTGGGTCACTTCACCTGGGAAAAAACCACAACCTGCTGAGGTGCTTGCTGAAGGCAAAGGGAATACAGAATGGGTAGTAGAAGAAGGTAGTCATAAATAGCAGCTACGACCACGTGACCAGCTGCAGAAACGAGAACTGTAATTGTCATATATTTCCTCCTTCTTTTGTTAAAAACATGTTTGTACATGTATACACTTGTACTAAGAAAATGTCTTCATTTTATTTCCTTTCTCCTTTATCCTGTGACCCAGATTTATTGACTTCACATCAGCATTTAAGTATTGTTAACATTATGTAATAGGATTTGGTTTGGGGATTGGTATGTTTCTGGTTGTACGAAGGATAGTTTTATTATGTTAGGTGTAATTATGACCTTATTATTGTCTTTATTTGAAGATTATGTATGATCTCAAAAGATGTGTATGGATTCAAGTTGACAAGGGGTGGACTTGTGATGGTTAATACTGAGTGTCAACTTGATTGGATTGAAGGATAAAAAGTATTCCCTGGGTGTGTCTGTGAGGGTGTTGCCAAAGGGGATTAACATTTGAGTCAGTGGGCTGGGAAAGGCAGACCCACACTTTATCTGGGTAGGCACAATCTAATCAGCTGCCAGCATGGCTAGAATATGAGCAGGCTGAAACATGAAAAAAGAGAGACTGGCCTAGCCTCCCAGCCTACATCTTTCTCCCATGCTGGATGCTTCCTGCCCTTGAACGTCGGACTCCAAGTTCTTCAGTTTTGGAACTCAGGCTGGCTCTCCTTGATCCTCAGCCTGTAGATGGCCTATTGTGGGACCTTGTGATAATGTGAGTTAATACTTAATAAACTCACACATATA
This sequence comes from Homo sapiens, assembly GCF_000001405.40. Classification (NCBI taxonomy): domain Eukaryota; kingdom Metazoa; phylum Chordata; class Mammalia; order Primates; family Hominidae; genus Homo; species Homo sapiens. Next base: position 45,753,234 of record NC_000013.11, on the reverse strand, counting down.
TATATATATATTCCATTAGTTCTCTCCCTTTAGAAAACCCTGACTAATATGGACCCTGTCTTGAAAGAAAGAAAGATCGAGAGAGAGAGAAAGAAAGGAAGGAAGGAAATGAGTGATATGGTTAGGCTTTGTGTCCCCACCCAAATCTCATCTTGAATTGTAATCCCCGTAATCCTTGTAATCTCATTTCAAAGGAGAGACCAGATGGAGATAATTGAATCATGGGGGTGGTTTCCCCCATGCTGTTCTTGTGATAGTTAGTGAGTTTCCATAAGATCTGATGGTTTTATAAGGGGCTCTTCCCCCTTTGCTTGGCACTTACTCCTTCCTGCTGCCTTGTGAAGGAGGTGCTTTGCTTCCTTTTTGCCTTCTTCCATGATTGTAAGTTTCCTGAGGACTCCCCAGCCATGCAGAACTGTGTCAATTAAACCTCTTTCCTGTATAAACTACCCAGTTTCAGACAGTTCTTTACAGCAGTATGAAATCGGAGTAATACAGGAAGTAAGGCTTAGGGAGCCTTAAGCAATTTCCCCAAAGTCACCCAGTTTGAAAATGGCCAAATTAGATTTTGAATGCAGTTTGAATGCAGTAGGTTGAACTGAGGGTTAGGGTTTGTAATCATTTTGCCATGCCCAGGTGTCTTGAGTTTAAATGAAGATTTCATCCCTTCCTGGCTGTGTTCTTTGGAGCATATGTTAAGTGCTCAGTAACAGTGGTGATTATTGTTAAATGAAATAATAATTAAATGAAAGATTCAAAGTTATTGAGACCATGAGGGAGGTTGCCTGTAGGATTCAGAAAGAAGGAGGAGGAAGAAGAGAGGGTTGCTGGGATGTTACTGAATCTCCAGCTCAAATTTAACCCTGTTCATGCAAAGCCCTAAACCAAGAAGTGTTGTCCCAATTATTTGCCCTAAACCAGTCATTCCCCTCCCAGAGGCATCAGACACTCAGTAGGGGAGTGACATGTGGGGCAAAAGTTGAGCTCAACCTCAGAGTCATCATTTTCATGACATGCATCTATGAGGGTTGGGACACATTTACTGAAAGAGGACCAGAGACACATGGCCAACTGCTCAGTGGCCTCAGTGGCCAACTGCTCAGCTCATGCAGGACAAAACAGGCAAAATAATGGATTGCAGGTGGCAGTGAACTAGAGAAGGCCTTGCAAGCTGGCATAGGGCCAGGAATACTGTAAGAAAAGTGAGCCACTTGCTTCAGGCACAAAATGTAAGGGAATATCAAAGAGTTGTCATCAAGATAAATTGAGATAAATAATATTTCAATGCAATATGCAATGGATGAATGTTTATATTCCCCCTTCCCAAATGTGTGTGTTAAAATCCTAACCCCCAAGGATTAGAGGAGATGGAGAGGTGGTTAGGAGGCAGAGCCCTCATGAATGGGATTAGTGTCCTTGTAAAAGAGACCAAAAGAGTTCCTTTGCCCACTCTGCTGTGTGAGGATACAGGATAAAACAATGACCTGTGAGGAAGCAGGCCCTCACCAGAGACCAAATCCACAAGCACCTTGCTCTTGAACTTCTCAGCCTCCAGAACTATAAGAAATACATATTTATTGTCTATAAGTCACCAGTCTACGATATTTTGTTATCAGAGCCTGACTGGATGAAGACACAATATTTTTTAAAAAATCAAAATTGATCCCTAAAAAATCCATGATGAAAAGGTATCGAAATTGTAAACAAGAATAAACCTGATCCTGTACTTTGCATAACCCTAACAGCGAGTTTCTCATTCACTTCTTGTCCCAACTTTGATTAGCTGGACATGGACAAGAGACTTAGTCCCCAATATGCAGTGTAGCGACAAAAAGAGGGGGTGTGGTTCTTGCCCTTCAGGAACTCACAGGTTTACCCAGGTGAAGCTAGAGAGGAGCCATAAGAATATAATTCCTTGCCAGGCCTAAGGAGGTTGGAGCAATATTTAAGGAGGTTAAACTGGTCAAAACCTCTCAGAATATTGTCAGAGCTCTGAATATAATATCCCCAAATACGGCACCTTGGCATACTAAGTATTTTAAGCTGAAGGAAATGGAGGAAACTGTAGAAAAAGAAGGCCACTCTCTGACTTTCTTTCACCTTTCTCCCCTGAAACATGGCCCTAGAAGAATTGTCTGACTTCTCTCCCCTGAAAGTAGATGGTAAGACCCTCATTTAACAGTTGTCCTGCCCTATACCTGGAAGCCAAGAAGAACCTGAACAAGCAGGCCTTGCTGACTTCCCTGTAGTTTAACACCATTAGATCATACCCCTTTTTGTCCAATCATATATCTCCACAACTCTCCACTTCTTTCATCAGACTTAAAATAAAAATACAGTTTATCCTGGGTCTTTGGGTTTTCATTTCTGAAGACTTCCTGCGTCACATAAAACTTTGGTTAAATAAACATGTTACGCTTTTCTCTTGTTAATCTGCCTTTTGTTATAGGGGTGTGTTAGGGCTCAGAAAATGATCTCCCATGTATGGTGACTTGACAGCTAAAGTAGAGAAGCAGCTTCAAGGTCTCTCAGACTCTCCCATCCCTGCCTCCTGTCTCTCAATCCTCTGTCTCTCCACAAGCACAGGATGGAGCTGTTCTCTGAAGTGCCCTTATCTGCCTAGAAACCGGACCCCCAGAGAGGCAATTGCCTTTGATTCTTTCCCTTAAGTTTACTAACCAGAGAAGATTAAAACTCAAACCACAGAGAAAGCGACTAAAAATGAAATACCACACCTAGAACTCGGATGAACTTTGAACTTTGTCCCAAACGATGGTTTGTTCTTTGGTCCCTTCAATTCCCAAAGAGAATCATTCACAAGCAAATGTCTGCCTCCTGAATCTATTTTTCCCTCCTAAAATTATCTGTTCCTACACCCCCAACTCCCCTTCCCCTCTGAAGAAGGTAATATAAGCATCAGGACCTCACTGGGTAATCATTCTCCTGATTCTCCTGGGCCATGCACATAAATACATTTCATATGCCTTTTTCTCTTATTAGTCTGCCTATTGTAAGTTTATTTTCAATGAACCTTCAGAGAGTGGAGGGGAAGGTTTTCCCTTTTGGCCCTATAGGTATTAGCCATGAACCTTGCAATGAGTAAGGAAAAGATATTACTTTTGCTCCCCTACAACACAAATGATTTTTAGACCACTTGACCATCCTGACACTACACAAATGCTTTTTAACTCAGCAGTTCCACTTCCAGAAATGCATCTTAAGGAAATAATAACAGATATGTAAAAGGACATTCATCATTGCACAGTTTATATGAGAAAGATATTAAAAAACCCCTAAATGGCCAATAATAAAGAATAGTTTTAAAAACAGTAACAACATATCCGTATAATAAAATGTTATTCTGCCATTTAAAATTATGCTGTAGAAAAATTGTTAACGATGTGAGAAAAAGCTCATGGCACACTGCCAAGTGAGGAAAGTAACTTAATATGTATCTAAGAAAACTGTCACTAAAGGGCTAAAAATGATTACCTAGTAGTATATATTATATTTTGTATTAACATTTTCTAAAATGAATTGCTCTGCTGATCAAAACATACAATTTTTTTTAAGAAGCGAGGTCCTATTTATAGACTGCTCGTGCTCTAGAGTCCTGACCGGAAGGAGATTCGTGTAGGATGCTGTCCTTGAACTGGAAGAGCTGGCCAAGTGTGGTGGCTGAAGAGGGACGTAAGGAGAGCTTTCCAGGAAAGGTGATGAGCACAGGCAGAATGTGGCGGCCAGGCTGCCTGGAGCCGAGGGACAGAGGGGTGCAGGAGTGGAGGAAACTTTCACTGGGCTCAAAGCGGGAAACAGCCGACCACACAGCTGCCAATTCCAGAAAGCCCTGATAATCTCAAATCCTACGAGAAGGATCCAGTGACCTGTTCCATCAGAGGATGGAAGGAGCCACGGGCACAATTCAAAGGCCATGATGAAAGTTCCAGCAGCTCCTCTGATTAAAACCACAAATCCACATCTCTCCACCTAATCCCCTGGTGAAAAGGGGAGATTAGCACAAGTCTCAGCCCTGATAACTCCTATCTCTTTAAGTTGCATGTAAAATTTCAGGCATCTCCCTGGAGATCCCAAGCTGGCCTATTGCCATTGCTCTCCCACTAATTGGAAAATTGTAATAAGAAAGCAAACATTGCCAATTCTGTAATAACCTGGATAAAGAGCAGCCTGCCTTGTGCTCCCTGATTACTAAATATACTTGCATAGCTTGAAAGGATGAATGACGGGGGCTATTGTAAGCCGCTGATGTCACTGCATTTTTCATTATATTAAAACAATAACATCTGAATTGAGGGAGATCATTTGGTCCAGAAAACCTTTAGACTCCTGCGGGTTGGGATAGAGGCTTTGCAAATTTGAATGACTCCCTTTGGGGACATAAAGCCATCCAGCTTTCTTTGCCTACAACTGAATTATTAAACCACAGCAGGAGAAGGAGGCAGCACGAATACAGGTGCCTTGGTGAGGCTGTCACTTCTTCCTCCCTTTTGTTCCAAACCATTTCACATCTGGAGTCTGCAATATCTTAGGAGGCTATGTCTGTGTGAGGCAGAGGCCAGAGTACCTGGGGGTGGGAGAGATTGGAGCACTTCCGCAGAATAGATGATGTGGAGCCCGACCCTACTACCACACAGGCACTGCCTCCCTGCCCCCCTGGTCACAAGGTCCAGAGAGCTCTGTGGCCTTAGCCTGCCCACTGCACCTGGGGAAGACCCAGCCACCACCCACAACAAGCCACTGAGGAAATTGCCATTCGGGCAATTCTTGCAGGAAAGGAAAGAGATGCCGTACATTCCCAGTTCTGGGTGGTCCTTACCAGTAGAATGACAGAACAGGAACCCAAGGACCCCTAATGCAGGATCCACTGATTTCCTGATGTTTTCGCAGAATTTGCTCTAAGACTTTCTTGCTTGTATTACTGGTTTCTAGAGAGTTAGTGAGGTGTGGGAACGGGACGGGGTGGCAAAACACTGCATCAGAATGTTTACTTTAGTTCAACCATTCTACATTGCTTTTTCTCGCATTAATTGCAAAAAGATATTAAAACTTTATGAAGCTATTAAAACAAGGGACAACATGAAAGGAAGCTTAATAGAGTGTCATGCTTTGTAAAGTATCAAATTTAAAACACTCAGAGAAGACATTAGTGAAATTTTAATGAGAAGTCAGCTTGCTGTAATTTTACAAGTAATGATTATCTTAAGTCCAAAAACTGTCTGATTAACTGTCACCACAGTGATGCACGTAGTTAACAAAAGTATGTATTACTAAGAAAACCAGTCAACAAATAGACCACAATGGTTATTTCTGCTTAAGAGCAGCAGAACGTGTTAACTGGTGAATCTGTCTAAGGCTTTACACAAGGAATGCATTTTTTAAATGGGTTCCTAGTTTGTGATAAAATTGCAGGTGCATTTTACAGGTGTTAACAAAGGAGAATGGGCTGGGGCACAGTGGCTCATGCCTGTAATCCCAGCACTTTGGGAGGCTGAGGTGGGTGGATCACTTGAGGTCAGGAGTTCAAGACCAGCCTGGCCAACATGGTGAAACCCCCGTCTCTACTAAAAATACAAAAAAAAAAAAATTAGATAGGCATGGTGGTGGGCACCTGTAATTCCAGCTACATGGGAGGCTAAGGCAGGAGAATTATTTGAACTTGGGAGGCAGAGGTTGCAGTGAGCCAAGATCGCACCACTGCACTCCAGCCTGGATGATGGAGCGAGACTCCATCTCAAAAACAAAAACAAAAACACAAAAAACAAAGGAGAATGCCTCTGACAAATGCAAAGCAACCTTCCAGAATACTGCAGATAATACCATTTCCCTTTACCTGGACTAAGCACTGGAAATGAACAACACTTGAACTGCAGAGAGCATTCAGGCCCAGAAATAAACCAGGAGCCATGTGGTAAGATGTGGGTGTTTGCCTGCAAGCCACAAGAGAGGAAGTGCTAAAGGATGGAGTATAATGTGAAGGGAAGAGAAGAGGATGTTGCTGGACAAGCGTACAGTGGCGTGGCCCTTGGCATTCATTGTCCTTCACTTGGCCTAAATCCCAAGTCCATGACATTTTAAAAACCCTGCATGTTGGGACTGCACCAATTTTTTAGGAAGATGTTTTCCAAATGTATGACAATGCTCTTCCACATCATAATACTAGTTAAGGCTTACTAGAAAAACAGGCTTTCTCCAGTCTTAATAGGCATATGAATCATCTGAGGATCTTATTAAAATGCTTATTCTGTTTTGGTCACTCTGTTGGAGCCTGAGATTCCTACATTTCTCACAAGTTTGTGGGTGATGTAGATGCTCCTGGTCCATGAACGAGGAGGAGCAGTGTTACATAGCATTACCACGAGCCAGGCACTGTTATGGGTGCTTGATGTATAGTGTTTACTCATCACAATATACTTCTTAGGTAAGTACCATTATTTTTTTCCCTTTTTGTAGATGGGAAAAGATAGACACGGAGAGGTTATGTAACTTACCTAAGGTCACATAGCCAATAAGGAACCAAGACAGGATTTGACCCCAGGCAGTCAGTGCCAAAGTCTGGGTCTCTTTGAGAGCTGACTTTCAAAAAATCAGATTTAATTCTTACAGATACAGTTCCTCACACTCCCCTATCCCACTGTGAAATCATACATGCAGGCTCAGCTTTCTACTTGTAAGCATTTCTTCACACATTTCTTTGACAACATTGATCATGCAACTACTTCGAACCAGCCCTGGGCTAATCTCTAAGTTTAAAAAGAGCAGACCTGTGCCAAACGGAGTTCACAGGTCAGGGGGAACAGGCCGGGCAGAGGGAGAAGTAAACCAACAGCTCTAATGCAGGCTGACCCACATGGGAGTCACAAAATGCATCAGATACACTTGCATTTCCAAAATGGACATAACTAGGTTATTGTTTTTTTCTTCCTTAAGTGGAAGGGAAGAGAAGAAAAGGAAAGTTAAGATTTTTAAAAAACTCTTATATAATAGGCTTTGGACATATTACCTCATTTAACCCTCACATCAACCTGAAATACAGGTTATATTATCCCCTCTTTAAAGCTGTATCAGACACTCTCCAAGATCACAGAGATAGCCAACTGGGAGTTGGCATTTGAATTGATGTCTAACTGACTCCAAAGCTGGTATTTTCTGAATACATCACTGTTCTAACAATCTATTACTGCAAAATGATCCCAAAACTAAGTGGCCTATAATAACTATTTTATTACGTGCAAAGATTCTGTAGGTCAGGTGTTCAGAAAGGCCACAGCTGGGAAGGTTTTCTGCTCCAAGATATCTGGGGCCTCAGCTGGGGTGACTCAAAGGTGGGCAGAAGGTAGAGAGACACAGGTGAGGCTGGAGAATCCACTTCCAAGGGGGCTTCCTTATTCACTGTCTGGTGCCCGGGTTGGGAAGTCTTAGGGATATGTGTATTCATCTGGAATTGTCACTTGGAGTGTTTCCATGTGGCCTCTCCAGCATGGCAGTCTCAGGACAGTCAGGCTCTTCACATGGTGGCTCAGGGCTCCTAGAGTGAGTTTTCCAATAAAGAAGATGGAAGATGCATTCCACCCTTTGAAGTCATGTAACATTACTGTTCTTTTCTCTACAGTCCACTCATTGGTCACAGAGCATACCACGTGCAAGGGCAGAACGCAGCCCCCATCTCTTGATAAGAGATGTGCCAAGGAACTTATGACCACATTTTAAAACCACCACAATCACTTTCACCACAAGAACCAACCTAATATGTAGTTCTTGCCTCTTAGAACCACATGGAAGCCTTTCAATAACACAGCCCTTTTAATAACAGAGGACATCCACAGTCCAACATGGGTCTACTTGGACCCCATCGAAGAGAGTGAGTTACTGAGTGAGTGAAAGATACCAACAGAGTGAGCTCCCCTGTAATCCACCCTTGGGGAGTACTCTAAGAACTGTGTTTACAGCGAATCATGGAACCAGCACTGACCCAGGGTCTCCCCCATTAACACCCAGCCCTGCTGGCAATGCTAATGCAGAAGATATTGCTGACGAGCAGAAATAGCTTTTGACCTATCCACATCTTTCTTGGATCCATCTCCAGGCCACAGGATCAGGAAGAATGGAATGAAAGCTTCCACATCAGGCTCACACAAGCCATTACCCCCAGGAAGGCCTGGTTTCTAGGGGACACCTTCAGTAAGGACAGTTAGTCTCCAATAAGAAGGCTCTCTCAACCTGTACTTGGGTTAGAATTTCCTTCTGCCTCACCTCGGAACTTCATGTCACACACCCCATAGCTCTGAGAGCCTGAACAGAGCTGGAGGAAGCCATCCCCCATTCAATATGGCTGACAGGTGAGAACACAGATAATAACTGATGGAGAGCTGATTAGGCAGGAAGCCATTTAATCAATCTGTGCAGATGCTGCAGACCACTCATATAGATTTCAATCAGAGACAATCAGTGTGTGAGAAATGCTTCCTGTACCAGTTCTCAAAAATTTGGTTCTCTTTCCTCTACTCAGCATGAATTAATGTTAATTTCAGTTTAACAACCTCTATTCCAATATTTAGGACTTCCTAAAAATGGAGTCCCTTCCCTCCTTCCTTCTTTCCTCCCTGCCTGCCTTCCTTCCCAACATTGACTTAATAGTTTAGGCAATAGAGAAATAGTAAACAAATCAGACAAAAAAAATCCCAGCCCCACTTTCATTCTGGTTGTGAATAAAAAAGACCAATAAGCAAATAAATAAAAAAATGTACACAATATGCTAAAATGTGGTAAAAAGCTGAGGGAAAGTTAGGACTGGATAAGAAGATTACAAGCACTGGTGAAATGAAGCTTTTTAGTTTTTGTTTTTTGTTTTTTGAGACGGAGTCTCGGTCTGTCGCCCAGGCTGGAGTGCAGTGGCGCGATCTCGGCTCACTGCAAGCTCCACCTCCAGGGTTCACGCCGTTCTCCTGTCTCAGCCTCCCGAGTAGCTGGGACTACAGGCACCCGCCACCACGCCCGGCTAATCTTTTGTATTTTCAGGAGAGACGGGGTTTCACCGTGTTAGCCAGGATGGTCTCGATCTCCTGACCTCGTGATCCGCCCGCCTCGGCCTCCCAAAGTGCTGGGATTACAGGCTTGAGCCACCGCCCCCGGCCTGAAATGGTGAAGTTTTAAACTTAGTGGTGAGGGACGGAATTGCTATGAAGATGGCATTTGAGCAAAGATGATAAGGAATCAAGGGAGTTATCCACTGGACTCTTTAAGAAAAATGCAGAGAACAGACATTCTGGGAAGGAAGTACCTGCTATGACCATTGAATAGCCAGGAGGCGAATGTCACTGGGGCAGACGGAGCAAGAGGAATACTGAATGAGGCCACAGAGATATGGAAGGGTCTGATTATGGATTTTAGCTTTTATTCTGGGAGAAATTGAGGGATAGAGGGGTGGAGAAGGATTCTAGCATGTTTAGCAACAGAGTGACATGATCTAACTTGATTGAAAGGATTCCCTGGGCTGCTGTATCAAGCACAGACTAGAGTAAGGCAAGAGTGAAGTCAAGGAGACCACTTACAAGGCCATTTCAGAAATGCAGAAGTGGAATAATGGTGGCCAAGACCAGGGTGGTATCAGCGCAGGGGTTGACATGCAGTCAGATTCTGAATCTATATTTAAGATCGATTGAGCAGAATTTGCTGCAGATTGGATTTGGGGTGCAAGAGGAAGAGTGGCGTAAAAGGCTGCTCCAAACTTTTGGACCTAAGCACCTGGAAGCCTGCAGGTGTCACTTCCCAAGATGGAGAAGATGGTGGGCAGATCGGAATGGAGAGGGAGGATGAAGAGTGTTGCTCAGGGCATGTTGAGTTAGAGACTTCCACTAGACATCTAGGAGGCAGTTTGGCAGTGGGCATTATCTATTGCAGAAGCCATCTGAGATGCAGCCATTCTGGAGTAATGTCTGGTAACTGCCAGCAGGAGCAGCTTTCCCTTAGGATATAAGGGCATTCATCAAAATGAGATAGGGAGTCAAAGGTCAGCAATCAATGAGCATGTGCTTTCTGGGCACCTGCATGTGGCATCACAGTTCCAAGCACACGAGGGATGGAGCAGGAGACTCAGGCAGGCGCATCTACTTCAGGATATCTTGAAGTTCCCGGCTGAACTGACACTTGAGCTGCACCTATATCAACACGTTCATAGACATCCTTACAGCACAACCTATGCGCTGGGCACTAGAAGAAATGCAAAGAAGTGCCAAGACAGCCAAGAGTCATCTGTAGTTAGAGGGGAAAGACAGAGACTTATAAAAATGTAAGGAGAAATCCAAGAAAAATCACTAGAAAGGCAAATAACTAAGGTAATATAAAAGTGAGAAAATCCCCAGCAAATGACTTGTTCAGGATGCTTACTGGGGATGTGAGTATAAAATATGGGAAGTGGTAATTGTTTGGATTTTAGGATGCTGTCTGTCCATGGTCCAGCTCCAGAACCATCCATCTCTGGTTTTCATAAGCCTTCCAAGATGTAATGCTCTGGCCAGGTGCAGTGGCTCATGCCTGTGATCCCAACACTTTGGGAGGCCGAGGCAGGCGATCACCTGAGGTCAGGAGTTTGAAACCAGCCTGGCAAACATAGTGAAACCCCATCTCTACCAAAAATACTAAAATTAGCCCGGCATGGTGGTGCACACCTGTAGTCCCAGGTACTCGGGAGGCTGAGGCAGGAGAATTGCTTGAACCCAGGAGGCAGAGGTTGTAGTGAGCTGAGATTGCGCCACTGCACTGCAGCCTGGGTGACAGAGCGAGACTCTGTCTCAAAAAAAAAAAAAAAGATGTGATGCTCCTCTTTGCTGATAATGGATTTTAGGAATCATTTCATACATGGACAGTAAGTCACTGGTTTTCAAACATCAGTGTTTTAGGACCTTGTCAAAATTCAGGCTCCTAAGCCACATCTCCAGGAATCTTACTTAATTCATTACGTGATTTTTGAGAAACCTTTCTCTAGGCATTATGGTCAGCACTTCTATAGTGGTTAATAAAAAAGCCTGATAGACTAGAATCCGGTCTCTGTTGAGAGTAAACACCCTCCAGGGAGGTGTTAACCTGATAATAAGTCACTGCAGCCACAAATGGGAATAAGCAGGAGGCTGCCAGGTCCCTGAGGATTAGATTTAGGGAGACGTCAGTCAACAGAATTTAAGAGGCCTTTGCTTTGGTAGCAATCTTATTCTTGGTGTTGATTTTCTCAGAACTCATGGGCCTCTATTTCAACCACATATCATTATCATGCTTTCACTCTAATGAAATAGAACACAAGAAATATGGCTTACATCCATTTTCTGAAAAACGCAATGGAGGTATTCACCCAGCACTGAGGCATGTTTCTCTTCAATAATGAAGGAATAAATGTAACCACCTGGGTCGGACTCCCTTCCCTTCCTGCCGTTGATGCCTTTGGATGTTGTCATTTTTTAAATTAGGCTGCTTACTACACAATAAGATGACAATGTCTGTCTCCACCACGGACTATTTTTACATCCTTTTCCTTGGTGATCTCCATTTATTTATTGGCCCCCTCGATATGAACCATACGTAGAAATATGTTAATTATGATTCTTTGAAGAGTGAGATGACAAATCTATGTATGCATGTAGACCCCATGATTGAGCCTAAGCAGAGCCCTGTGAGTTCATTGCCACCAAAACCTTTCTACAGTCTCTGGCATGTCAGAATCAAAGACTACTGCTTTCCTTACTTTATGTCTGTTTAAAGAGACCAACCTCTTGAGCACTTGTTGACAGTGGGTTTACAAAGGATGAAGAAATGGATCTACCCAAGATCACGGGCTAATAAGTGGTCCCTCTAGAATTTGAACCCATGTCTGTGTGACTCCAGAATCAACTTCCTTTCCTCTTTTTCCTTGTAGAGAGCACACCACGATCAACCATGTTTTCAATTCAGCCTTTTCCCCACAATCAGTCAGACCAAGAAGTATTGACAGGTCTCTTACCTCCTCTTCCCTAGATCATCCAGAATCTAATTTGATGGGAAGTCCCTGTTTGGTGAAGAACTGCATCTTGTACACACCAAAAGTAGTACAGACAAAACTAAATGATTCTATTGCATAATGGGGAGGAAAGGAGTCCCACAGAGCTCCCTTCTGTAAAAGCATAGTCAGGAAATGGTACATAAAATGTTTACAAATATATTCTTGTTCTTCACCCTTTGCAGTCATGGCTTCATTCAACCCTTTAAATTACTACAAATAAAAATTGCCTTGTGCCAACATAACAGCATTAAAATCCCAGGACCTGACAAGTGGATGGGGGATAAGGGAAGGAGGGAAGCAGAGAGAAATGGATGGAGCAGTCACTGAAATCAGGAAAACAACCAGCTAAATTAAGTACTTTCTAATCTAATGCATTTAAGTCAGACTCAATAAAGCTTGACACTGATCCCTATTCACTGTGCTACCAGGATCTCAGCAGATTCAGATTAGTAGAGTACTTTCTTTCTTTTCTTTTTCTTTTCTTTTTTTTTTTTTTTTTGAGATGGAGTCTCGCCCTGTTATCCAGGCTGGAGTGCACTGGCGCAATCTCCGCTCACTGCAACCTGCACCTCCCAGGTTCAAGCGATTCTCCTGCCTCAGTCTCCCAAATAGCTGGGATTACAGGTGCCTGCCACTATGCCCGTATAATTTTTGTATTTTTAGTAGAGATAGGGTTTCGCCATGTTGGCCAGGCTGGTCTCAAACTCCTGACCTCAGGTGATCCACCTGCCTCGGCCTCCCAAAGTGCTGGGATTACAGGCGTGAGAGCCATCACACCAGCCTTGGATGCTGTCTGAAATCCTCTTTCTCACAGTTGTTCAGACTGAACAAGGTAAAGATTGATGCTCAGGGTTTACCAGTGATTGCTTGCTTTTGTTCTCTTTGAGCACATGTTAGAAACATACTTCCTGTTCTCCTGTGGTTGAGTGGGATCTGTAACCAGTTTGGACCCATGGATTTTGTGCTACTTTAGGGTATACCTTTAATTTCAGGTCCAAGAATTTCCAGAGCACTTGTCCTCTGGCATGGCAGCTGCCCACTTCAAGATGATAGCTTGAAGGCTTCTCTGTCATCCTAGGCCTTTGAAAGATTGCTGTAAGTCGAGACCCCTTGGCAACTTGGGATAGGCATGTAATATGTCACTGTCTGTCTACACACCCATGACCTGTGGGCATGTAACATGCATGATAAATAAACCTTTGTTGTTTTAAGCCACTAAGATTTGGCAGTTTGTGTTACTGCAACATACTCCAGCCTATCCCAATTGATTCCGCAAACAAGCTTTTGAGCCTGTAAGGAAGCGGGAGATTTGACATTGCAAGGAGCTTTTGCCAACCATCACCTTTAAGGAATTACGGATACCCTAAGACTCTGGGTGTTTCCTGAGGACCGCTATTTCTGGAGAACTGCAACAGGAAGATCCTAAAGCCCTACTAAAGCCTTTTTGACTTTAAGGGTCATCTCACAGTCTGAAGGGTATGACCTTTGGGACCTGAAAAATGTCACAACTCCCTGCAGAGATGCTCAATAGACATCAATGCAGACTGAAAAGCAAACTGGGGCAGAGATAATGCTGCCTTTCCAACTGTGCTCCCTCCTTTAACATGGTTTGGGATCATGAACATGCATTCTGGAGCTAGACTGATTAGGTTCAAATCCCAGCTCCATTATTTACCAGCTGAATGATCTATGGGCAAACTGCTTAGTCTCAGTTGTTTCCATCAGTGAAGAGGAAATACTACTACTACCTACCTCACGGGATTGTTGTAAGGATTAAACAAGTTGCTAAATAAAGAGCTTGGACCAATGCCTGGCACATAGAAAGCACTGTGTAAGTATCAGCTATCATTTCTTTTTGGTAATATTATCATTAGTTCACTTTTCCTTCATCAGTGAATATCTTTTTTTTTTTAATTCGACTGGTAAACTTGAGTATGCATATAAATTTTTTTTCTAGACCATAATAAACACTTTCAAGTGAAAATGTGGATTTTGGATATATTTTTTCCAGTCCAAAGAAATTTGGTAGCCATTCTGCTGCCAACATTCAGATGACAATCCCTTGGCTGACCTCTCTGTAAAGCACCATGCTGCTACCAATGGCACACGTGCATTGAGCCCTGGTGCTCTAGGATTCAGGAAGCAATAAAATGGCCATTGTTCTTGGCTCTAGATGCCATCATTTTAAGAGGTCTCCCTGCTGCACAATACTTACAGATCCCCAGGTCTATAGGATCCCCAGGTCTATAGATCCCCAGACATTCAGACCTTTTGAGACAGATACTTAATTTTTAACTCCTTGTTGAACTCTGCTCCATTTTGTTGAATGAGCCATAAGTTTAAGAGTTGTAGGGAAGCTCAGAGGGCAACCAAATGGTGCATCAACATTTTTTAGTAACACTGGGTCCCACTTGACTTTCTAAGTGTCTGTTGCTAAAGTATGTAATACACTTTGGAGGGACTCCTAGAGTTCAGTGAATTCATAGACACCAACATGCATCAAGAACATCAAGCGTCTCTTGCTGGCCCTCCAGCTGTTCTCCAATGTGCTAGAGACCTGTCACATGGCACTTAAAACGTGGAGCACTGACAGTCTGAGCCGCACTAGGAAGCTTTGGCAGTCAGTCATCCCTACATCCCTGGTCCCATTTGACTCCCCGCAGCCTTGGTCTCTCACCCAAATGTGAGTCTGCTCCAGTGAAAAGGGAAGAAAACAAATTAACCTTTATTTCATCCTTGAAAAGTATGGGACAGCTCTGCTACTTATTTTGAAGTTCAATCTATTGAGCTGAAATTTCTGTAGTGCAAGATCCTTTTTAGGCATACTAAGCTTTCACAAAGTACACAGTTACTATGGCTGTGTTGTTTTTTAATCCAAAGGTTCAGAGACCTCTTCTCATAGGGTCCATGTGGGGACAGCAGGGAATCCACTTAGGACCACAAATGTAGCTCAGGCCTCTGACTTCTAGACTTGCATTCTCACTATTTAATACCCCAATGACAAGTGACAAAAACCACTTCGAACACTTACCAGTAAAGGGCACATAAGCCCCAGTTTTCTAGGCCCTAAGATACTGAAATGGCACCTTTCAACTCGGTGGAGTCATTTATATATGGATTAATCATGCCTTTTCACTTATTGTCTTTCTGATGCTTTGACATCTGGGGCCTTGCTGACCCTGGAGAGGTAACCATAGAGATAGCAATTTCTAGAGATTACAAAGAACAGCTGCAAGTGTACCTTTCACACATGCAAACTAACCAATCCAAAGCCCACATCTTCACCACCTCCTCTATTGGGCTTTAGCAGGACTTTCACACTCTGAGCCACTATCTGTCTGCCCTAATGACCCCAGGGCCAGGTACCAGACAATGGAGATAGCCCCTATACCACAGAGCCTGCTATGAAGTTATTCAGATTAGCCAATCCCAAGCCTGCTTACCCTGCCTCGCCTGTTCCTCCCCACAGAAACCACAATAAAGGCTGGTGGCCATGCTTTCCTCCCACTTCTCTGCCTCCTGTCGGACCCTGGTGCTTCCCCAAGTGGCCTGGTGTGGTATGACATGCCCCCTCCTCTTGGAACTGTGAGCAACAAACTGTCTCCTCAATGGCAGTCATCTCCTGATCTGTTGGCTTTCACCATACTTGAATAATAATAAAATCTATATTCTAAAACAATGTACATTCACATGTTATGCACATTTTACAAAGTACAAGTCCAACTGGCTACTAGGAGGGCTCTCACCAAGAGGCATATCAATGACTATCCTCATTCTCTTCAATAACAGCGGACACATGGGCCAATTCTGACTCTCAGTCGCAGCACCACTAAAAATATAAACAACTTAGGAATAGTTTTGTGAAAGTTAATATGAATTCATTCCTTTAGATGGCTACTGAGCCATCTACCATGTACTAGGTAGTACCTATCTGGTTCATAGGTATTCAAAGAAGAGTAAGTTGTGGTCAAGGCCTCTAAGACCTTCTACTACAAAAGAAAAAATCGAGACCATCCTGGCTAACAAGGTGAAACCCCGTCTCTACTAAAAATACAAAAAATTAGCCGGGCGCGGTGGCGGGCGCCTGTAGTCCCAGCTACTCGGGAGGCTGAGGCAGGAGAATGGCGTGAACCCGGGAAGCGGAGCTTGCAGTGAGCCGAGATTGCGCCACTGCAGTCCGCAGTCCGGCCTGGGCGACAGAGCGAGACTCCGTCTCAAAAAAAAAAAAAAAAAAAAAATAGTACCTATGCATCACCTTATGGTCTATAGAGAGTGGTGGACAGTCATTGTGCTACTTGCTCCCCAGTGATGGTGTCACAAGCAGTGGGGGAGAGGAGCTCAAAAGACTTAGCAATAAGGCAGCCAGAAAGGAAGCTAAAGGTGTCAGCAAACATAAACGATTAATGGAAAATCCTTCTGCTCCATGAATACCTCCCCTTGCTGCCTGAACCTCCAGCCTTGGGGCCACCCAGTTACCTCCATTTGGTAGTATTTACCTCACAGTTCCAGGGATTTCTTATTTTTTAAAAAAGAATGTGGCACTAGCATCTTCTGGGTCTTTGATTGCAAGATTTGACATATTTGCCTTCCGCTCCTCATGGCCAAGCAAGAATGGAGTCAAGCCAACACTGACTGCTGGCCCAGGAGGTTTTCACACCAGAGGAGGGACCACCCTCTCTGGCATGAAATGGGATGTCCCAGTGAAGGGCAGTATCGACTGAGAAGCGTTTAGGGGTCCTGACTGCTGTATGCCAACTGTTCCCACCTCTCCATGTTAAGGCAAAAGGAAGAATTGCCCTTGCCAGGGTTGGGTGGAGCCGTGTGATCAATTTTATCCAATGAGCTCTAAGGAGAAGACACATGTGTTGGCCACTGCTAGATTGAACACGTAATTGTTGAAGTGAAACCCTAGAGATGCACTATCCAATATGGCAGTCCACAAGTGGCCACTGTGCATTTGCAACATGGCCGGTGCAAATCAAGATGCACTGTAAGCATAAAATGCTCATACTGAATCACAAAAACTTAGTACCAAAAAATGTGTGTGCGTTTGTGTTTGTGTTTGTTTGTGTGTGCATGTAGAGACAAATTCAAATTTTTTTTTTTTTTTTCGAGACAGAGTCTCGCTCTGTCACCCAGGCTGGAGTGCAGTGGTGCAATCTCGGCTCACTGCAAGCTCGGCCTCCCAGGTTCACGCCATTCTCCTGCCTCAACCTCCCGAGTAGCTGGGACTACAGGCACCTGCCACCATGCCCGGCTAATTTTTTGTATTTTTTAGTGGAGACAGGGTTTCACCGTGTTAGCCGGGATGGTCACAATCTCCTGACCTTGTGATCCGCCCGCCTCGGCCTCTCAAAGTGCTGGGATTACAGGCGTGAGCCACTGCACCCGGCCAGACCAATTCAAATTTATATATTGATTATATGTTAAAATTATAATATTAGGTTAAATAAAATAATTAAACTTAATTTTACCTTTTTAATGTGGCTACTAGAAAACATGAACATACATATGTGGCTCACATTTGTGGCTCACGTTATATTTCTATCGCACAGAGCTGCCCTACAGCTTTTTTCCCCTCTGCTATAGCAACTAGGAATGTGCCAGATAAGGTCACTTCTGACAGCCAGAGTCCTGGGGTGAGGATGACAATGATGTGGAGAGAGACCCTCAGCTATCCTCAAAGGACATGCAGCACAAGCAAAAAATACACCTTTGATTAGTCTAAGCAAATGAGAGTTGGGTTGGTTCATTACTGCAGCATGACCCAAGCTAATCTAACTGATACAAGAATGAAGACACGAGGAGCCAGTCTGGGGGGAGCCGGGTAAGACATATAATGGGAAATGGACACAGAGGAGTAGACATTACCTGTATCATGATCCTGCCTATAATCATTCCTGCACACACATGCACACGAGTGTACATACACACAAGCCCTGTTTATGTCCTAGAGAGGAAGAGCTAGAACCTGAAATGCTCTTTTTCACTCCAGTGACACCTCAGACTGCCAGTGTTAGATGAGGTGGCACAGGTCTCATAGAGAACTTGGCTTACGGGGATAGTTAATACTGGGGATTTTAGCTTGGCTGTGTCATTCCTGCACATGCTGCCATGTTTTCATCTCATTCCTGCCCATGAAGCCATTTCTGATATTTTACTTTTAGGGCTGACAGTCACAGTGATGCCTCATTCAACCTACATCCTTGATTCACTCAGGACTCATAGTGACAGTGCAGAAAAAAGCAATCCTAGAAGTGAACAGCTGAAGGAAATTCTGTAAAAGGGCACAATGAAGGGATGGACTTAGTGATTTGGTCTTCAACAAATATCAAGGAAGGAAGATCCTAAAGTCCACCTGTAAAAGAAGTGTGAGTGGTGTCTCTGAAGGTGAGTTTGCCAAGAATCAGACATCTAGCCTTCTCTACCTATTGCCTATCACAGCTCTGCTACTTCTTTTATTCTCTGTTTTGATTAGAGGTCTTTTGCCTGTAATTCTTTACATTGGTTTAAAATAGAGATTTCTCTTTCTTGCATAATAAGAGGTTGAGAGATAGTCAGCCCAGGGCTAGTGTAGCAATTCAGCAATGTCATTAAGACCCAAGCCTCACCCATCATTCCTTTCGCCCTCCTAAGCAGGTTGGTGTGTTGTCTCATGGCTGTAAAATGGCTGCTTTAGCTCCAGGCATTACACCCCACTTGAAGACAGGAAGAAGAGGAGAAAAGGAGGAGCAAGCTTCTGGCCTCACACTTGGGGAGGGGGCATACTTTGAAGAAAGGGGGATAGGGCAGAGGAGAGCTGTACCTTCTTCTCCTAAATCCATGGGCCTTGACTCAGGGCTTCATCAGTTGGGAAAAAGGGGCATTTTTTGAGGTTTTTCTGCCCAGGCGGTCTCCCTGTTGCAGTATGCACAAAAGCACTGCTTATGCTAGTGGCATCTGGTCTGATAGCCTTGGCTGAATGGCCTCTGTTTCATACCTTTCCAGGGATGTCTGTAGCCAGCTGCAATGGTCACTTTTATCACGAGAGTGATCAACAGTTTGGAAAACAGTGCCTTAAGGGTTAGAGTATGAAGTCCACGATGGGTCATCCTCAGCCTGTCCCCAGCCCCATGCTAATCCCACTCCTCATCTCTTCCTCACTTCCTCACACCAGCAGTTGTGCCATCCAGAAACACAACAGGTTCTTAGCTATCCTACTGCAGCTGATTGACAATTCATCCCTACCAAAAACTGGGCAGATAATGACAAAGCAGATGTTCCTGGACGCACATGATATTAATAGGCTACTCTAGAAGTATCAAGAGCTTTTCCTAGAGCTCAAGGGCCATCGGTAGTTATGGGCCTGAAACTGAGAGAGGGCAGCTCTGGAGGCAGCCTGTCTCCAGAGCCTGCCAGTCCAGAGGCTGGGTGAAATTTTCCACCACTCCCAACTCTGGAGAGGGAAGCTGTGCCCATTAGGCAAAGACTGCTCTCACAAGTGGCATTTCTGGATGGGTAAATTGCCCTGCAGCAAAAAGAGCTGGTGCTAATTTAGTGTTCACTTCTCATCAACTGAAATGTTTTTATTTTTGGAGAGAATTGGCGAGCTATAATTATTATTGATCTCTGTGACAGCAATCAGAGAAAGCTTTCGTGTGCCCTCCAACAAGCACGGCCAGAAATAGATGCAGTGTCTTTCTCGGCCAATCATAGCTTCTTTTTGCTCTAAATTGGTTTTATAGCTGAGTTGCCATTTAAAGAAAAAAAAACAAAGGTCTACATAGTGAATTTGGGTGTCCTAATCCTTCCCCTGTCAGGCACATTCGCTGGGGCTCTAGTCTTAGAGAATGCCTTACCTGACTTTCAACAGATGGATGTTAATGGGATATTTATTTACTGAGTAAAATTAAATTGGAGCTGCATCTTAATGCACAATTTACATAATCAGCTTTGTTCTGAACTGATGAGCTGTTTTCAATAGCACTTGGGACCTTTCCGTCACAGCTGCCTCAAAGCAGCAGCCACCGAGAATGGAGATTAAACAATTTCCTAAAGCTGGAAGTCTTGATGAGGATCTATTATCCCATTCTGGAGACCTCATAATTTCTCCAGACACTGGCATAGGATCAAAGATTCATGTTAGTTTCTTGCCATCGTTTGGGATCAAAAGAAAGATGTTCAATTTGCATTTGGAAACCATCACAGTCTTGGATAATCTCCACGCTCACCCTCACTTCATAAAATGTATGGCATTTCTATTTTTATAACGTCTCATACTCCAGACAACACACATAATTACCAACGTGCCTCACGGTGTGCTTAGTGAGCCTGGGGGAAACCTTTCTAACGATGAATTTCATTATACCTATGTAATACATAAAGCTGGACTGCAAGTAGAGCAGATCATAGGTAAGATGAGTTTAGAGCCTGGAGGGGTAGATGGAGTGAAGGCTGGGGTGGGGGGTAAGGTGAACAGGGTTACCAGAACTGGATCCTTAATTTTAAAAACTGTAACCTTCCAGGTGTGGCGACACCCACCTGTAATCCCAGATCCTCGAAAGGCTGAGGTGGGCTGGGCGCAGTGGCTCACGCCTGTAATCCCAGCACTTTAGGAGGCCAAGGCGGGCAGATCGCCTGAGTCAGGGGTTCAAAACCAGCCTGGCCAACATGACAAAATCCCGTCTCTACTAAAAATACAATTAGCCAGGCGCAGTGGTGGGCACCTGTAATCCCAGCTACTTGGGGGACTGAGGCAGGAGAATCGCTTGAACCCGGGAGGTGGAGGTTGCAGTGAGCCGAGATTGTGCCATTGCACTCCAGCCTGGGCAACAGAGCGAGGCTCTGTCTCAAAAAACTAAAAATAAAAAACAATTTTTTTAAAAAGCTGAGGTGGGAGGATCACTTGAGCCTAGGGATTCTGGTTGACAGGGTATTATGCTAATTGAGTGTTCCCACTAACTGAGTGTTCAGCACAAATGTGGTGACCTCCCAGGAGTGGGAGACCACCAGGTTGCCTAAGGAGGGGTGAACCGGAGCAGGCCAAAACTCCTGTGATGACCAGTAGTGGGATGTGGCCTGTGAATAGCTACTGCACTCCAGCCTGGGCAACATAGCAAGATCTTATCTCTTTAAAAAAAAACTGTTACATTTTATCCCTACCTCAGCCTGTAGGGTAGTGCATTGATCAGACACCTTTTATACTTCCAATCCGTCTGATCCTGACCAACTCCGCAGTGGACAGTATTTCTTCTAAGAGAAATAATAATAAACACTACCTAAAAATTCAAGCTCTTTAAATTTGCTTTGTTTAATCCTCCCTCCAGCCTTAAGAGATAGCAACTATCATTGCTTCCCCTCACCTGCCCTTTTTACCAATGAGAAAACTGAGTTCTAGAGAGGTTAAGTAATTAGCCCGAAGTCCCTCAGCTAATTAAATGGAATGACCAGGATTTGAATCTGGTTTGTCTGGCTCCAGAACACAAAGCATTTACCCCCTATGCCGCACGGGACCTCACAGAGCAAACAGCATGGGCAGTCCTATTCATAGACCTGGTGTTCCCATTTACAAATAGAAACAAAAGGGTGCTTAAAATGAGACTTCTATTCCTCAGGGCTATATTTGCTTAACCTTGAACATTGGGCAAATACATAAAATCCTTAAAGGGAAAGCTGATCTAAATTATTTATTTATTTATTTATTCTTCCATTCATGTATTCACTACAGAGTGGCTTATTCCAGTCAGCTATAGTTAAGTATAATAGAGATCAAATCCATACCCCATGGAGAGCAAGCAATGTACGTAACTGGGATCTCAGCAAATTTGGGATTTGGCGATGCCAATTGGTTGTCTAAATAAACTCCAATCCTAGCAGGGTGCATTGTATACATGAAACATGTTCCTTAAATCCACTGAGATCATTAGAGACAACCAAATGTAGTAGAGGAAACATTCAACTGGAAGTGAGGGGTCTGCAGCGCTACCTGGCATCGGGCATGTGATCCTCAGCTCGTAGCTTGTGTTTCATGACAGGCTAAATGGGCAGTGACATCCTGATCATGCTTAACAGTCTAACTTCCTTCTATCACAAACTCTACACTTCCTCTGGGACAATCCAGAAACAAACAGAAGTGGGCAGGAAGGTGGTCACTTTTCCCACTGGAGTCCAAGAAGGTGAGTCCAGCATAGATGTAAGGCAAAATTAGGAATGGTCAGACTCTACCTTTGGCTTCCTAACTTCTCACTTGGGGTGGCTTGTCACAGGTTCAGTCTGATGGGGCCCCAAGGTCTTCTGCTGCCTCTTATTGCTTTACTAACATGGCCTCATCTGTCCCTTTCCTCTGGGATCCTGCTCTCAGCCCTGGACTAATGGGCATTGAATGTTCAGATGATCTCTCTCAGAGGTACTTTACTTTTTCATAAGGGCCCTCTACAGATACAGTGCTTAAATTTCAGTTATGTTTCTAAATGGTACCAAGACAGAGAGTAGGGAGAGAGCTGGCCACTGTCGTGGTTTGAAAGGTAGCTTCCAAAACATAAGTCCATTTTCTAACCCTTGGAAACTGTGAAGGTGACCTTATTTGAAAATGGGTCTTTGAGAATATAACTAAGATGGTATCTCAGGATAAAATCATCGTGGATTACCTTAAATCCAATGACAAATGTCCTTAAGAGAAGCAAAAGAGGAGAAACTATAGCTACAGAGACAAAGTCAACGTGAAGATGGGGGAGAGACTGGAGTTATGCAGCCACAAACTCAGGAATGCCTGAAACCACCAGAAGCTGGGAAAAGCAAGGAGGGATTCTTTCCTTGAGCCTTCAGAGGGAACACAGTCCTGCCCTGAGACACTAATGCAGCCACAGTGGGGAGAAGACTTTTCTACATCCACAGAGGTGCTCCCCTTAACTTCTGCACTGACTTGGAGAAGCAGCCTGAGCCAGTTCCCCCCACCTCTCTGTGACTTCTCAGAAAAAGGACTAGTGTCAGGAGCAATGGCTCATGCCCGTAAATTCCAGCTACTCCAGACACGGAGGCAGGAGGATTACTTGAGTCCAGGAGTTCGAAGCTGCAGGGAGCCGTGATGGCTCCAGTACACTCCAGCCTGGGTAACAGAGTGAGACCCCTTTCTAAGAAAATAAAATAAAGACTCTGTGGGCCTGTGAGGCTCTGGTCTTGCTGTCTCCCACACTGCAGCCTGTTTTTCTGTGTGGCAAACGTCCCCACCAGCCCCACCTGCCTACATTGGGAAGAAGGGTGGGGAGAAAGGCAACATTCTTGAGACCTCAATTGGATCATGAAGAAAACTCAAAGGAGTAAGATCTATAGAACCAGGACATGCTTGAGAGAAAATGGCACAACTTCCTAAATTATTGGAGAAAGGTGTTAACATAACGAAGGGGAGTGATGGAATAAAGAAATAATGGAATTAAAATGAGAAAAGAAATACTTAGACATATACGCAGCTGAAAGAACTAAAATCAGTCTGCAAGATGATTTCTGTAGGTAAATGATGGAAGACTTGTTCCTTAGAACATTTAAAGCTAAATCAGCCTGCAGGATACACACAGGAGAAGGGATATACATCATCAGGGCCATCACACAAATAATTCAGGAAGGAAAAAAAAAACTACTCTTGGAGTAAAATAGTTCTATCATCTGAAAAAACTACATTTGATCTTTGTACGAATTGAATTTATCTGGCAATTGTTCAATTGTCTACTTCTTTGTATAAATTTATTTTTTTATTTTTATTTATTTATTTATTTTGAGAGCGACGGAGTCTCGCTCTATCGCCCAGGCTGGAGTGCAGCGGCACCATCTCCACTCACTGCAACCTCCACCTCCTGGGCTCAAGCAATTCCCCTGCCTCAGCCTCCCGAGTAGCTGGGATTGCAGGCATGCGCCACTACACCCAGCTAATTTTTGTATTTTTAGTAGAGACGGGGTTTCACCATGTTGGCCAGGCTGGCCTCAAACTCCTGACCTCAGGTGATCTGCCCACCTTGGCCTTCCAAAGTTCTGGGATTACGGGTGTGAGCCACTGTGCCTGGCCCTTTGTATACATTTTTAAATGCACCTAATTTTCCTTGGGGCACCTAGTCAGGGTTAGGAAAGCAACCTCTGCTGGCAGGACAAGCAAGTTATCATAAAACAATTTCAGCAGGCTCCAATGTCTGATCTCTGGAGCTCAGAGGTCCTTTCTCTAGGTGCCCCTAGAGGTCGCATGGCTCCTGTGCCACCCCCATCTCTAACCCTCAGCTTCATTTCCCTTCATTCCCCATGACCACAATACAGGGCAGACTATTCTGAGGGCCGCCACGTGGCTGCTCAAATGAACCCATCCCTGTGGAGTCACCGAACCAGTGGAGCACTCGCTTCACCTGCTGCATAAGTCAGATTTTAACCAAGTTTTGCACAAGCTCTTTTACTGGAATGAGCGATCCCTCACTTTTCAATTCTGCTTGTTCCTATCACTTGTGCTCAGAGTGTGATAGGAGACACATATGAAAAGGAAATTACATGTCGGATTTTTTTTGTTTTCTGAGACGGAGTATCACTCTGTTGCCCAGGCTGGAGTGCAGTGGCACGATCTCAGCTCACTGCAACCTCTGCCTCCCGGGTTTAAGCAATTCTCCTGCCTCAGCCTCCCAAGTAGCTGGGACTACAGACGCCCACCACCACGCCTGGCTAATTTTTGTATTTTTAGTAGAGACAGGGTTTCACCATGTTGGCCAGCCTGGTCTCGAACTCCTGACCTCAGGTGATCCACCTGCCTCAGCCTCCCAGAGTGCTGGGATTACAGGTATGAGCCACCATGTCTGGCCTACATGTGGTACATTTCTACTGTAATGTTTCTACCTCCATAACATATGGAGAAGTAATCAGAAGCCTGCTATTTCATTTTTTTTTTTTTTTTTTTTTTTTGCTTATCTTTACAAAATGAGTCATTTCAATTATAAGACTTCCTAGTCTTTCCACATGGCCTTGCTGCTCCTCCATGTTCCAGCCCCTGCCTCAGTCCTGGTCTTGAACCTGTCTCCCCTCACCTCTGCCTTACCAGTTGGCTCCAGCCACATTGGCCTCCATGCTGGGCTGGACCCACCCCAGGGCCTCTGAACGTGCCATCCTCCTGCCTGGAAAAGCCTCCTCCATTCCTCACATGGCAGCTCCTTCTCTTCATTCAGATCTCAGATGTTCACAGGGGCCTTTCGGCTCCTGGTTTCCCGTCATGCACATAAGGACTTTGGTCATTGTCATTTCCATCCTCACAGAAAATAAACTTTAAAACTGAAAGTCAACAATTCTTCTTAGATCCATCAGAGAATTGAAGTCACAGGACAAACCTCTGCCCCAAAATGAGAGAGACAGACAGGTGGATACAGAGAATCCTAATTTACAGGAACAGAAACCTCCGAGAGAACCAATACCTAAGCAGGAAAATCTGAATTGTAATTGACAAATTGCAGGAGGCTCAGTATAGACAATTCTGAGTGTTAAGAACTTCAGGGGCATCCAGTCAGGCTTTTGTGAGTTTTACCTCCAGGAGTCCCACCATGTTCTCACAAGACAGATGAGAGAAAAATCCCCCTGTGCTTCTGGCAGGAGGAGGGGAAAAGGAACCATTTTGAAATATGCCAGAGAATTGCATTCTTCTTAACAAGGTCTGCTCTCAGAAGAAACTATTTTACCAGACCCCAAACTGTTGGGGTTTTATTGGAGCCTAACCTACCTGGGAGAAGAGAAATATCCAACTCTAACCCCTCTAGCCTCCTGTCCCATCTAGAGGGGAGGAGGGAGTACTGAGAAGCACTTGTGAAGGTCACAGCCCAGGGGCACAGGCTCACTGAAGGACTGAGACTAGAGGACTGTAGAACACTTCCCAGCCCCCATGCCTTCCCATCACATCAGTAGAATCCTGTATAGCAACAGGAGAATACAGCTACAGAACTGCATGTCTGCTGTGGTCTAAGTGTTGATGTCCCCCCAAATTTGTATGTTGGAACCTAACACCAATGTGATTATATTAAGAGACAGGGCCTTTTAGGAAGTGATCCAGTTCTGATTAAGGGGCTAGTACTCATAAAAGAGATTGAAGGGAGCTGCCTTGCCCCTTTCTCCATGTGTGGAAGCAGTAAGAAGGTGCCATCTGTGAAGCAGGGAGCAAACTCTCACCAGACACCAACTCTGCTGACACCTTGATCTTGGACTTCCCAGCCTCCAGAACTGTGAGCAATATGTTTCTGTTGTTTATAAATTATCCAGTCTAATAATAACAGCCTGAACAGACTAAGACAACAGCTCAGACCTTAATTAAGAAGGAGCCTCAAAGAGGCCTTTTCTGACAATCCTATCTAAAATTCTGACACACCCTAGCAGTGCATTTCCTATTACTTTCTTCATAGCATTTAGCACCACCTAAGATCAACTTGCTTATGGGATTATCATTTCTCTCCCCTACTAGAATGTAAACTTCATGTCTGCCTTGTTCCTCAATGAATCCCAATACCTATAATAAAGCCCTGGAACATAGTAGAATGTTTAGTAAATATTTGGTAAATCACTGAATAACTACATAAATGCAAGCCCATTCAATATTTGGTAAATTATTGAATAACTAAATAAATGCAAAAGTATATCCCTCATTAGCATGTCTTTCTCATGACATATATTTTAACCAGTTACTCTTCTTAGTTTTAAATCTTCTTTAAGATAGTACTTTTCGTTTTTCTTGTATAGATATGTGTGTGTATGTGTGTGTATATAGGTATATATACATATAAAATGTGTGTATAGATACATATGTGTGTATGTATACTATGTTTTAAATATTATGTGTATATAATACTATGTGTGTATATATATAATATGTATTATGTGTATATATTCCAACTGTACTGTCTTTATGATGAATGTTAACTTATTATAGCTATGCATATATATATCATCAAAACTGTTTCCGTATTGAAAGATGTCAGCCATGGTCATTGGCGGTCTCTCAGACACACATTGAGTGAAGAAAGTGGAACTTTGGTGGCTTAGTTAAGATTTAGGGTTGGAATAAGACTGTGGGTATTTTCTCCCACATAGTCATAATAACATTGTATTTGTCATAGTGCCATGTTCAGCTTGCTGGATATAAGACAGATTTTGCCTCTACATTGTAGCATATCAGTTCTTGGATACTGACATTAGTTAATGATGGAGAATCACTAGCTAGTTGAAATGTCAGAAAGTCCCTGGAGCCCCTGAAATCAGACAAATTAATGAGGTTTCAATGATTACATCTTTCCTTTCCAACACTGTGTAATGGTTAAATTTTAATGTGTCAACTTGACTGGGCCGTGGGATGTCCAGATTGCTGGTAAAGCATTACTCCTGGATGCATCTGTAGGCATTATGTCTGGGTGTAAAGGTGTTTCTGTAAGAAACTAGCACTTGAGTAAAGATCATCCTCACTAACGGGAGTTGGCATCATCCAATCCATTGAGGGCCTGAATAAAACAAAAAGATGGAAAAGCAGAAGAAGGGTGAATTTGCTTCTGTTTGAGCTGGGATACCCATTTTGTCCTGCCCCTCCCCACTCCCCAGCTGGCTCTCAGGACTTTGGAATAAACTGAGTTACATCACTGGCTTTCCTGGTGTCAGACAGCAGATTATGGGACTTCCTGGCTCTGAATAGCCCTAACACACACTGTAAGGATCTCCTGTACCTAGCAGATGGTATACAGGCATGCTCTTGGATCATACCTTCCCGTAGTACATCACACACATCAAGTCAAAGCTAATTCCTCCCTACCAAGAAAGCCCCTTTATCAAAAAATGCACTATTGGAACTTCTCTGTCCTCCTTCTTACTCGAATGCTCAGAGCATCACTGCCTCCCTCCCTGGCCATTGTTCCACCAAAGATAATCAGTGAAGTAAAGAGGCCACTGTGACCTAACCCTGGTGTCCTTCCTACTCAAGATGCCTATGGAGAACATCTCTGAAGACTTCTGAACACAGAGCCCTGGTGAAAGCTTCTGCAGCTATTGGGCTCCAACAAATCAGGTTTTTAAAAGGGGCATATCCTCCAATCTCGTGTGTGTGTGTGTGTGTGTGTGTGTGTGTGTGTATGCGCACATGCGTGCACGCACTCAATATCAAGATGTGAGAATTTTACAAATTTTGGTCTTTACAACTGACAGCATCTTTCTCTAATATTGACTCTGTACTGGTCAGTTCATACACATATAATCTTGGAAATGGTTATTTTTCACGAACCAATAATCTACAAATTCTGACAACCAAAATACATGCTCACAGCAACTGAGGTGGCAATGGAAGTCACTGTGCATCCCAGTGTCAGATCATATCCTTTCTAACACGGCAACTTTCACTTCTCTGTCTCTCTCTGCTTGAAATGATGTTTCTTCTCATCAGCTGCTGTTAAAAACAATAAAGACTGCTGAGAGTTAGAACAACTATATCTGTTCTTGATGATATTGACTTCAATATTCCAATATTTTGGACCTAAAGCCTCATCACCCAGTACTGGTACACAATTTAAATCAGACCCCCTTAGCAAAGGTCATGGAAGCATGGGGTTTTTAGCATCATAACTGTCCTCAATGTTTTTCCTGGAGTTTCTTATTTACTGACCACCTACTATATGCCAGGTACTGTGCTGGGCAAAGGAATTTCTAGGTGATTAACTTTGTCCCCAAGGAACTGTCAGGCTGGACGAAGGAACAAATATATAAAACTACTTCTTGATAATATGGTGAATGATCAGTTAGAAGAACACTTATGATTAGTATGGGAAGAAGAGGGGGGTGGCAAAGCACGAAAAAGGGCCCTTGGCCTAACCTTGCATTTCCAGGAAAGCTTACTGAAACTGATCATTGTTGAACTGAGACTTGAAGGAATAAGAATTGCAAAACACAAAAATGTTCCAGATACAGAGAATTGTATGGGCATATAATGATTTCCAGGGGGCTAGATGTGGTTCCACGTTACTACCTACAAGGCAGGGAGGAGCAGAAGATAGAGCTGGTGAGAGGAGAGTGGTCTGAGCAGCTTGAATTTTATTCTATAAGCCTTTTTTTTTACATCATAGTACATGTAGTGAATTTATCTGTGTGGAATATGGGGGTAAATCAATAAGGCTGCTCACAGCTTGGCCACCCTTGGAGCTAAAGGGATCAATATTCCTGCATATCTATAATCCAGCCCAGCACACTGGTGAGCAAGCTCTGCTAAAAGAAATAAAGAGCCACTAAAAGCTTGAAAGGAGACTTATAACATAGTGTCACAGTGTATTTTAAATTGCTCATCACTCTGGCTGCAGTGTGGAAAATTGATTTACTTAAGATTTAACCACGATTGTTTAGGCACCGAAGAGGCCTGAACTGGGCCAGCAGTCAGACAGAAAAAGGGACAAGTTCAAGAAACAATGAGCAGGTAAAATTGGCCAAACTTGGTAATTTAACACCCTCAGGAAATAAGAAAACAGAGTCCAGGGCAGCTCTCTGCTTTCTGGGCTAGGTATTGAATTAATATATAAATTTAGAAACCCATTTTGTCCAAAAGATTGAGATCTTTCCCCATTTATCACACCACACATATTGAACTAGAGAGCGGTTTCTTTGTTGTTATTGTTTTGTTTTTAAAGGCTTCCTGCTTCTGACAAGCAAAGAAAACACTGAAGGCTACTGGTATCTTCTCTTCTCTCCCAAAGTCCTATTTGAATGCTAGAGCCAACATTCTTAGAGAAACAATGAGAGAAAGAAAGGACTGAGGGAGGGAGGAAAATCGATCAATCTGGTTTGCTGTGTGACAGCCTGATACTAAAGTCTCCTTCGTTTGGGGCCCCCTTGTCATCTGTTGGATGCTTCAGCACTGCAAGGAGCCTTCCTCAGCATAAGTAGCTCCTTTGCCCCTTTTCTTTCCAAGGCATCAGATCCCAAGATAATCGTGTAGGTCTCAATTCTTTCAAATGACCTTAAAATAAACAAAGCCTCACCACCTGAGCAATATTGGTTACATCACCCCATAGCTCTAGGGAGCAGCTTTCTGAATAGTTCTAAATCAACGGAGCTTTAGATACCCCAATGGGAACCATAGTATTTCCTGACAGATGCAGAAAAAAATTCAGAAGACCACCTTGGCACATCTACAATGAGCACATCAGGGCCTGGCTGTCTTATGTTCCTGTCGCCTGATCTCAAATGACACTAGCCAATTCTGGATGCCCCAGGAACTGCACAAAAATTCTTCTTCTAAAAAATAAACTTAAGAGGCATCACAACAAATGAAATGCATGGATCTTGTTTGGATCAGACAGATGCTGGGAGAAATTTTATTCTGCTCTGGGTATTAGATGATATTCAGGACCTTCAGTTAATTTGGACAGGTGTGATGATAACATGGTGATTATATAAAAAATCGAAACAAAATGCCTTTCAGTGGTACCTACTGAAACATTTATAGGTGATGTATAGAATTTGCTTTTTTTAAAACAACAACAACAAAAAACTTGACTGAAAAAAAAATGTTGGGGAAATAAAGATTAGCCATCAGTTGACCTGTGGAAGCTACATAATGAAGGTGTAGGGGCTTATTTATTTATTTATTTATTTTTTGAGAGGGAGTGTCATTCTGTCACCCAGGCTGGAGTGCAGTGGCATGATCTGGGCTCACTGCAAGCTCTGCCTCCCAGGTTCATGCCATTCTCCTGCCTCAGCCTCCCAAGTAGCTGGGACTACAGGTGCCCGCTGCCACGCCCAGCTAATTTTTTTTGTATTTTTAGTAGAGATGGGGTTTCACCATGTTAGCCAGGATGGTCTCAATCTCCTGACCTCACGATCCACCCGCCTCAGCCTCCCAAAGTGCTGGGATTACAGGCATAAGCCACCGCGCCCAGCCAGGGGCTCATTTTACTATTAGGTTGATGCAAATGTAATTGTGGGTTTGGCCATTGAAAGTAATGGCAAAAATCACAATTATTTTTGTACCAACCTTATCTATTTATCTAATGTATATACACCTATGTGTTCATGAGAGATTTCCATCATAAAACTTTGTTCTACTTCTACTTCATCCACTGACTTCACCTGTTAGATTTGCATTCTCGGCACCATGTTAAGCCAATAATGCATTTTAGGAATGGATTGAAGCTGGGTAAAAGGGACATTCTTTACCAAATCATTGACCCTGTTGAAGGAAAATAATAATCATAGCTACCATTATTAGTGTTTATTACATTCCAGGGGCTGAGCTAATCATTTTATATACATTAATTCATTCAACCCTCACAATGAATCTGTGTTTAAGCATGTAAAGAGGAGCCCAGAGACTGACTCCAGACAGTTCTTTCAGGAACCACAAAAAATCACTCTATTTTAACAAACTGAAAAATCCTCAAAAGTCTCTGAGGCAATTTTCCATGAATTTCTGTAATTTTTATCTATATTCTTAAATATATACAGAAAAATATGATTATGATGATAATAACAGCTAATATTTACTGCGTACTTACAGTGTAGTAGGCTCTGTTCTAAGCATTTTCCATGTGTCTCACTTGAGTCTCACAACAATCTAGACGGTAGTATGGTAGATTAAATGCACTGATGGTCCCAATCAATGGCTTCCCTGTCTGTATCCATGTCCTTTCCAGCTCCTGCCATCAACAGGTGGAAGGTATTTCACATCCTTTGAATTGGGGTAGTATTGTGAGTTGCTTTCACCTGTAGAATGCGGTCAGCAGGAGTAAGGATGAATCAGTTCCAAGCCTAGGATTCAAGAGGCCTTGCACACAGCTGCTTTCTCTCTTAGACCCTTGCCTCTGCCCTGAGACCTGGCCTGAAGTAATTTGCAGGAGGATGAGAGACCGCATGTAGCAGAACCAAGGGGTCCTAATTGTCAGCCAACCGCCAGAAGCAGAGCCACCTAGCAAACTGCCAGCTGACCACAGGTGCATGAGGGAGCCCATCCAAGACCTGAACAGCACAGTTGAGCCCAGACTAATTTGCAAACTGCAGAACTGTGAGCAAAATCAATGGTTATTTCAAACCATCAAGTTTTGAATGGGTTTGTAATGCAATAGTAGATACCTGATATAAGAGGGTACTGTTATTTTCTTCATTTGATTGATGAACCAACACAGAAAGGTGAAATGACTTACCCAAGGTGACGTAGT
This sequence comes from Homo sapiens, assembly GCF_000001405.40. Lineage (NCBI taxonomy): Eukaryota > Metazoa > Chordata > Mammalia > Primates > Hominidae > Homo > Homo sapiens. Next base: position 45,721,032 of record NC_000013.11, on the reverse strand, counting down.
AAGCAGTGGAGCTAAGACCCATCTCCAGAAGCCTGACCCTGAAGTCCTTGCTGCCAGTTCAAACTTGTTCAGTAGATGATCTCTACTAAAGGTAAGGATCAGGGTGAGAGGTTATCAGTTTTTGACACCCAGCAGCACAATCATGTCCAGGGTGGATTCATTACAACCATCTAGCAAGTGAAGTATCCCAATCTGTCTTAGGTATGGCTGCTGTAACAATATACCATAGACTGGGTGGCTTGAACAACAAAAGTTTATTTTCTCACAGTTTTGGAGGCTGGGAAGTCTAAGATTAGCATGACAGTATGATCGGGTTCTGGTGAAGGCCTTTCTGGTTCGCAGACAGCTGCCTTCTGTGTCCTCACGTGGCAGGGAGAGAGCGAGAGCAAACACTAATACCATCATGAGGGTCCCTCCCTCATAACCGCATCTAAATCAAATTATCTTCCAAAGGCCTCATCTCCAGATATTATCACCCTGTGGATTAGGGCTTAACATGAATTTGGGGAAGACAAAATTCAGTCCATGGCACCATCTGTCTTCAGTTCTCCAAGTACATCTCCCTCAAAGCTCTGCCTGCCCTTCCCAGGAGGAGGAATCTTTATCCTCTTTGGATATAACTTCCATGAGATAGGGATGACATTTGGTTAAGTTATGTTGACTTGTAAAGGAGCCCAGTGGGGGTCCTGAGAAGCAGTGATATGATAACAATTCAGGAGGTCAGAAGAATATTAAGTAGCATCTACATTTAAGACAGAAACTCATCATAAAGTTTTGTTTTATTCTAAAGATAACGGAAAGTGAGAAATTTTAAGTAAGGAAATAACATGATTACATTCACACATTTAAGAAAACCAGTATGGTTGCAACATGGAAAATTGGCTAGAAGTAACACTGGAGACATATCAATTCAGAGTTGCAGCAATCACCCAGAAGACAACAGTGGCTAGACGGGGATTGAGCCCATGGAAATAGAAAGAAGTAGAAGGGTTCAAGGTCCATAAAGGAGATAGGATCAACAGTTATCTGGTGATTGGTTGATTAAAGGAGAGGAAAAAGGTGAAAACCATCAAATCATAGCCCCATATAAAGTAACTAACAACCAAGAAACTCTCTTCCATCCCACAGCACCCCTGAGTGACATCTGACCAATTGCTGGAAAAAGGTTTGGACTTAATGTTCCCACCGAGTGAGGATTTCCAATGAAGAGTTCCAAATCATCCTATCTGCAAAGAATAAAGGCAAGCTTAGAAAGAAAATGTCATAAATTAGCCACTTGTCCTGACAGCATTAAAAATAATCTGTCACCTGCTTCTAAGTTTGTTCTCAGTTACAAAGACCATTGTTTGAGTGAACAAAGAGGGTAAGGAATCTGGAAATAACTGTTTACCTGAAGAAACTGATAAGTGCTCAGATTGGAGAAGACCAGCATGCAAATGAGGAAGGGGGTGGGCATCTCCAAGCACAAGCATTCTGTCTGCTGCAAAAGGACCAGGAGACCAACTCGGGCTCAATATTATGAATGGAAAGAAAGCTGATTCCCAGCAGCTGTTCTTGGTATATCCAGAATATTCTAAAAATGACATGGCTCCCCAGTAAAAGATGTTTCTCATTATGAATCAGAAATTCAATATGGAGGACAATATGCTGACAGAGACTAAGGAGGATTTTGGAGTCTCGACTTCCTCTATCAGATACATTGTGTCAGTTTACCCTCCTTTCAGCTGCTTCCTGCTCTGCCCAGCTTAACACTGGACTCCAGCAAGCATTGACAACATGCAGACTGAGGTCACCCTATTTTATGGAAATTCCTCAGAAAGGGAAGAGTTCAAGAATGGAATCTGAGACATGCAGAAACCAACAGGATTTCCTTCAGAGTTGTTTTGATTCTGTTTCCTATTGTTGGCACTCTGCTAAGCTCTGGATGACCATCCTTGCATAAATGATTTCCCTATTGAAATTTCCTCCCCAAACTAATTCTGGAGATTCCATTAACTAGTGTTAACAGAAAAACCACACTCTGTAAAATATTTAAAGAGGTTTATTCTGAGCCAATATAAGTGACCACAGCCAGGGAACAGTCTCAAGAGGTCCTGAGAAAGTGTGCCCAAGGCAGTCGGGTTACAATTTGGGTTTTATGCATTTTAGGGAGACAGAAATTATAGGTAAAATCATAAATCAATACGTGGAAGGTATACATCCCATATACACCTGGCAGGGGGGTGTGACGTGAAAGGTAGGATGGGAGTGATGCTTACAGGTCACAAGTGGATTCAAAGATTTTCTGATTGGCAACTGGTTGAAAAAGTTATGCTTTGTCTAAATTCAAATCAGTAGAAAGAATGCTTGCGTTAAGGAGGTATTGTGAAGACCAAGGTTTTTATTATGTACGTGAAGCTTCCGGTAGCAGACTTCAGCAAGAATAGATAATAAATGTCTCTTTTCAGACCTTAAAGGTGTCAGGTTATCATTTAATCTCTCCTAGATCTGGGAAAGACCTAGAAAGGGAAGGCCTAGTTGCATTAATGAGAATTCTCTGTAGATGCAAATTCTCCCTCCTCCCCTCAAGAGACAGTTTTTCAGGCCATTTCAAAATATGCCAAAGAAATATATTTTGGGGTAAAATATTTTTATTTCTTTTGGGGTCTGCTGTCATATGATGCTATGCCAGAAGGTTGGAACTTGGTATCTTACTGCCACAAAGCGTCTGTGTTGTCGGTCTTGCGATCTCTATTCAATGTTAATGCTGGTCAGTTCTGCCTAAACTCCAAAAGGGGGCAGTATTATGAGGCACATCTGACCTCCCTTCCCATCGTGGCTAGAAATTCAGTTTTTCAGGTTCCTCTCAGGTCTCCTTAGCCAAGAAGGGGAGGCCTATTCAGTCGGCTGGGGGGCTTAGGATTTTATTTTTGTTGTACACTAGCTAGTTGTTTTAGGTTGTGAATGTTCCTCTTTATTTGACCTGATCCACAACTTAGGGCACCAGATAGACCTATTAACAGGATTCAGCCAATTCAGCAGGAGGGTTTAATCCAGCAACCAAGAAAGCCAGTCAAGTCAAGGGCCAAATGGAAGAAGACAGGAAAAGCTGAATGTTTAGAATGAAGCCAAGACCTGCCCTGCAAGAGGAAACAACTTTGGTTCCTAGAGAAGGACTTAAGGTTAGACCAGGAGGCAGACAAAGAAAAAGCTGCGAAAGGAACCTAGATGCTTAAAGGATACTCTCCTTGAAGAATGAAATTTCATTCTGTTCCACAAGGTTAGATCCTGCTGGATTGCTAGCTAATCTATGACAGATTGCATTACACAATGAAACATTGTTTTGAAGTAAATCTCCCCCACTCCATAAAAATGATATTTTATGGCTCGTCTTGCTAATTTTTCACCCATTTAGATTCTGCCTGACAGAAAAAGTTGACACTGTTAAATAGTATAATGTTCTCTGAGTTCTGTCAGCTTGTGAGAAAACATCCAACTGCTGTTATATACATTAATCCAAGTTAAATATTTGTAACACAAACATGGGGAGTGTGCCTTTTGTCTTCTGTCTAGAATCACATAAATCAATTTGGTTTCATCAAAAAAACAAAAAGAACCCTACACTCCAGGGTTATTATACTGACTTAGACAAATTATGGTACATCATTATGCCCTGAATGATTAATTTACCAAATATAGGAGGGCAAAAAACAGCAAAGGGCCAGAGGCCTATCAAAAACAACTTCCCATTTTTCAGATTTTGGTGGCCACAGGGGATAAGTGATTTAGCCTTTGTGTAGACATCGGTCACCTTCTGCCCTGTATGAAAATCAGGTGTGTAGTCAGCGAGAGGAAATACTCCTGTCATTTTGTTCTCCCTCCTTTGGAATTTCTGATGCTATTTTGAGTAAGACTTGACAAGTTCCTAAATCTGAGAAACAGACACCAAAACAATTTTTTTTTTTGAGACTCTGTCACCTAGGCTGGAGTGCAGTGGTGTGATCTCAGCTCACCACAGCCTCAACCTCCTTGGCTCAAGAGATCCTCCCACCTCTGCCTCCCGAGTAGCTGGGACTACAGGCACATGCCACAGTGCCCAGCTAATTTTTATATATTTTTTGTAGAGACGGGGTTTCACCATGTTGCCCCGGCTGGTCTCAAATTCCTGGGATCAAGTAATCCGCCCACCTCAGCCTCCCAAAGTGCTGGAATTACAGGTGTGAACCACCACTCCTGGCCCCAAAGCCACTTTTAAACTTAATTTTCAGAGACCAGAGTTACTTGGCAATCTGGTCTCATAGAAGGAATTTGAGATCTGCAGTCATTTGGTCTACACTGAATTCCCTGTTTGGCTCTTATTAGCTCGCTAACCTCTGCAAATCCCTTGGAGTTCCTGTTTCCATATCTGTGGAAGAAATGATACTGCCTTCCTTACAGGGCTCTGAGGATTACTGGAGGTCATATCAAGTGAAAAGTGGTGTGCAAAGAGTTCTGTGGGTGCGGGTGACTGCCTTTGGCTTGTTCAAGTCTCAGAAATTTAGCCAGCATGAACAGTGGATGAGGAGTGAGGATATTCCAGTCTCAAACTCTTGTCTGTCTCAATACAAAGATCAGTTTTCCATCAGCAAAATGGGTAAACTTCTTTCCTTAACATGTGACTACTCACTTATTTTCATTACTAGTGAATGCAGCATTACATTGAGAATCAGAAGGCTTAACTATCCTACTACAGTGATTCCTAAACTTTGCTACATATTGGAATCACCTGGGGAGCTTTTACATGCACCACTGCCCAGTCACAGCCAATATCAATTAAATCATAATGTCTAAGCTGGGGTCCAGGTGTCAATACTTGTCAAAGACCCTCAGGTGATTCCACTATACAGCAAAGTTTAGGAACCACTGACCAACTCCCTTTTATAGTCACCTAGGAGTACCTTTCAATTTCTTGACTCTAAAGTATGTCCAACTTTGAAATGGGCATTGAAGCCCAGGACAACAAATCTTGAGCCTCTGCACCTGCCCCCAGTAAGCCTGACAGCCAACCACCCTCATCTCTTGCAGCCAACTGGTAAGTGTGAACCATGAGTAAGTAGAGGGAATCCGAGGGTAGGGAAGTGAGCCTGGGGTTGGGGAGAGCACAGGGCACTCCTTCCCAAACTGGGTGAATAACAGAGAAAACACAGAAAAAGATTTCAAGATCACATCAAATTGGGTAATTAGGGGTTCATCCAGGATAAGCAGATTACTTCACTGTAGGACTTGTTAGGACCTTTAAGTCAGAGTATGATTATGAATCTGCCCGAGGGGATTCTAGCAGCATTTCCTCATGCAAACCTTTATTTTTCTCAGTGTATTTCTAGGACTTGTGTTTCAATCAATGGTACTTGGAGAAACCTATAGTAGTGTTGAAATTTGTCCCCCAGGGGACATTCAGCAATGTCTGGAGACATACTTGGTTGTCACAGCTGGGAGCCAGGTGGCTGTTACTGGCATTGAGTGGGTAGAGGCCAGGGATGCTGGTAAACATTGTGCAATGCACAGGACAGACCCCAGCACAGACTTATCCAGCCCCGAATAATAAAGGCACAATCGAAAAGCCCTGGCTTAGGGTGATCTCTTCCCCCATAGACCTACCCCCACCCCCATAGCCTCAGAAATTGGAGATGATGAGGGAGCAAGAAGGATAGGAGAAAGAGAAGAGGAGGAAGAAAAAACTAAGGAAAAAAAGGAAGAACTGAAGGAGAAAAACAGAGACAATAATGAAGGCAGAGGTAAAGAAGAGACCAGGGGAAAAGAGAGAAGAAGCCAGATTCATAATTGTCTTGAGAGCAACCAAGATGTTCTTTAGTAGATGAAAGGATAAACTGTGATCTATCCAGACAATGGAATTTTATTCAGTGCTAAAAAGAAATGAGCAGTCTCTGAATCTATGAAAAGACATGGAGGAAACTTAAATGCATATCCAAGTGAAAGAAGCCAACCTGAAAAGGCTCCACACTTGGCGATTCCAACTATATGACATTCTGAAAAAAGCAAAACTATGAAGACTGTAAAAAAGATCAGTGGTGGCCAGAGGCTGGAGGGGGAGGGAGGGATGAACAGGCAGAGCACAGAGGATTTTTAGCGCAATGAAAATACTCTATATGGTACTACATATACTCTATAATACTCTATATGGTACTACAATGGTGGCTACATGTCACTATGCATTTGATCAAACCCACAGAATGTACAACACCAGCAGCAAACCCTAATACAAACTTACGGACTTTGGAATAATTATGTGTCAATGTAGGTTCAAAGACTGTCACTAGTGTACCTCTCTGGAGGGATGGTGATAATGCGGGAGATTATGCATTTGTGGGACGGGAGTCTATGGGAACTCCCTGTACTTTCTGCTCAGTTTAGCTGTGAACCCAAAACTGCTCTAAAATATTGTCTATCTTTTATTAAAAGAAAGAAAGAAAGAAAGAAAGAAAAAGGCAGCATGCTGGTGTCAACTGGCCCCAGCCTCCTCACACCTTTATTAAAACTCTGAGTTTAGGAAGGCTGCTAACGCTGCTTTTCAATAGGTACGAACTGGCTGGGGAAGGCGAGGACGACAAAGGAAGGCAGGGGATTCTCTTTTGCCCAGTGTTCGGTGTCCCAAACTCGGCGTCCCGGTGCAAGGCCGAGGCCTCAGACCCTGCTAGGCTTCTTGGGGTCCTGGCTCCTGGCCGGCATGAAGGCGTAGAGCTCCTCGATGAGCATTTCCATGCGCGCGGTGACCTCGGTCACGGTGTCAATGACCAGCTTCTGCTGCAGCTTCAGCTTGTTGTTCTCCCACAGGGCCTTGTTCTCCTCCTGGAAGCCCCTGTGCTCTGCCCGTAGCACCTGCAGGGTCCTGTTCTCCTCCTGCAGGAGCCGGTTCTCCTTGAGCAGGGCCTGCAGCGCCTGCCTCATCTCTCTCAGCAGCTGCAGGGGCTGGCAGCCGTCGGGCAGGCCCGGGCCCACCTTGGCCTCCTCCTCCCCGGAGGGCCCGGACATGTTGCTGACCATCTTCCGCAGGGCGCGCAGCTCCTTGGAGTCCTCCTGCCGGGCCGGAGGCCCTTTGGGCTCCTCGAAGCGGGAGGAGAGGCCGGAGCCCTGGTCCTGCAGCAGCCCGGGGCTGCAGGGCTCCTCGTGGGGTGAGGGGGCGGGCTTGCTTTCCTCGGCAGGGGCGGCCGTGTCCTCTGCCTGCGCCCAGTAGGCCTGTTTCTGCTCCAGCAGCTGCTGCAGCGCGCGATTCTCCTCCCGGAGGAGCTGCAGGGTGCTGTCCTCCTTGCCACGGGGCACCTGCAGGGCGACGTGGTCCTTCTTCACCACCTCCAGGGACGCGCTGTCTTTGTGCAGCAGTGGCGAGGGGGCCCGGCTCTCCTCTCGGCCCAGCGAGGCCTTGTGCTCCTCCCAGAAGACCTGTAGGATCTTGTTCTCCTTGCTGAGCATCCGGTTCTCCTCGCGCAGGGCCTTGTTCTCCTCCCGCAGAGACTTGTTCTCCTCCTGCAGCATGCACTCCTTGGCCAGCCTCTTGTGGTGCAGCTTGTGGTGGAAGGAGGCGGATGGGGAGAAGTAGGGAGACTGCAGGCGGCAGTTCTCATTTACCCAGCGCCCGTCCTGGAACACGAACATCTCGTCGCTGAGCTGCACCCGCGGCGGGTTGTAGTCCAGCTCCAGGTCGGCCTGGGACATGGGGCGCTCCATGGGGTCTAAAGGCACGGAGGAGAAGCGGTTCAGTGGATAGGAGTGCTGGCTCGCCATCCTGCGGCTCAGCCGGGGCAGGGCGGCCTGCTGCGCGCAGCGAGGGGTGCTGTACAAGTTGTGGAGCCTCGGGAAGGGTTCGGCTGTGCCCCTCTGCGGGAGAGAATGGGAAAGCCCAGCGTTAACGATGGGACTGACACACTTGGGGCTGGCTGACAAAGGGGCCAGGACATCCCCAAATAAGCCCCGTCTGATTGTCTGGCCTGGCCACAGTGGGCGCTTTTGCTTCTTGGGGTCCTCACAAGGAAATGTGGCCTATCCTTGTCATTCCAGTGAGTTCTGTTCTATGAAGTCAGTTCCAATACTGAATTAGCAAATATAGAACCATTGCTCCTACAGGAAATAGAGGGCTATGTTCCTGTGAGCCTGTGGTCACAGTTTTGTCAACCAAGCAATACATAACCTCATTTAGTGCGTATTGTTGATTCATTAACATCAAATTCACGTCAGCAGCACTGTCACGCATGCCCAAACAAAACTTCTCTAACACATGTGTTTTCTCCATGTGGCACAGCATAGCCTTCTTGTGATTGGGAATACTAGACAGCACTTGACTTGGAATGGTACAGAAGCCATTTTTAACAGCAAAATCACCAACAAAATGCACAAGAAGGCAAAACAAAAAAAGTGGCACTAGATAGACTGCGCAATGGACACTATTTTCTAGCCTGAGAGCTGAAACAAGAAGGCTCCTTGGCTGGGGACTCAACTTCACACAACTCAAATTTTCACCTCTCCGTGCATGTCTGAGAATTACCATAAAAGTGCTACAAGTATTGATTTGGTGGATACACATTTTAGCAAGTAGGCAAATTCACAAATATGGAATCCGTGAATAATAAGAAACAGTTATATATTATGGTGGTCAAAGGCATTCATTTTAGAGTCAACCAAATATTTTGAGTCTTTGCCTCACTACTTACCAATTAACAAGAATTTGAGCAAGTTATTTGAGCTTTAATTTCCACATTTTCAAATTGGGATAATTGCATTTACTCCTTGCCTCATAGAGACATTTTTAGGATTAAAAAAGGCAATGTACAAAAGCACTAAGCATGGGCTCTGGCACATTCTGTCACCCTAAAGGAGGAACAAACACTGTTCTCAAGGGCCACCACCCACAGATGTGTACTCACACTTAGCATGAGCAGAGAAGCAGCATGAATCATCCAAACAGCCACCCAAATTGCTGTGTCCAAAATGGCGGTGCCGTTGGTCAGCCCAGCCTTCTCTCTTGCCCATCTGGGCATATCCTTCACTCTTAGCCACCCTTGAGTCTTTTCTGCTAGCAGCCCCTTAAACATTCACCCCAGCTTCTAATGCAATGCTAGACTCAAAGCAGAGTCTAACTAATAATTTTGGAAAGAAAGAAAACCCATCCCAGACATATCACTGAGCAATGAGCGTTCAACATGTGGTGATAAAGCCAGTCAAGGACCCTGAGGAATTCATGATGGTGGCCATAGACCTCAAGACCACAGCATAAAACGGGGCTCAGATCCACAGAGCTTAACTCCAATGAGCTGGTAGCTTTCACACATCCCAGTACAGAAAAATAACTCCAGTGAGTTTTAAATGCAGATTTCTGAGCCTCCCATTGTGAGTCTGATTTACTCAGACTGGGGTGTGGCCCAGGAATCTGCATTTCTAACCAGCTCCTTCAGGTGTTCCTGGCTGCAGGTGGTTAGGACAGATCTAAGTCAAGTAGAATAGGCAATTTGCTTAAGTGAGGGTTGCACCAGCATTACAGACTGAAAGGTCACAAGAATTCTCATCCTGATTTTGTCACTGATGGGCACTTTGAAACCAGACAGCTCTCTTATCCTCTTTGAGACCCAGACTTTTCACGAGTGAAAAAGAGGGAGTCGGGCTCCATGATCTTAAAGGCACCTTCCAACATTGAAAAGTCAATGAAATATACCTGTAAAATAGAAATAATATGTGCCCTGCTTAGTTCACAACACTGTTGTGAGGATTAAATGAGATAATGAATGCAAAAATATTTTTAAAACCAACAGTGCCAAAGAACCATAAGGTATTATTATCAAGAAGAGTAGATTTCACTAATGCAAGAATTATAAGATGTATTCAAAAAGAAGTGAGCAAGTAGAATGCACACTAGAGAAGAGGTGATGATTGCAGCCATGAATTTAAGTAAACAGATCATGATAGCTACTTCCAAATACACCAAAAGTACTTCATCCAAGTATATCAAAATGCTCTCCAGATATCAATTCCTTATGTCTTAGGTTACTTTCACAACCGTACAGATAGAGAAAATAAAAAACAAGTCAGGCTAACTACATTATATATATATGTGTGGGTGTATGTAGAGAGAGAAACACAATTTGCATGGTATATAAAGTTGGTTAGAATTCTTTAAAACTTAAAGAGCTAGATAAATAGAAGATGCAGTTCTATGCCATTAACTTTGCAATAAGCACATGTCATTAACTTTGTAAGGATACGCTCAATCTTCCAGATAGCAAGGGTATGAGGGCATTCTGCAAGCGGAATTTTATTTAGTTTAAAAAAGTTCAGCCTCCCTGGTTTTCACATTTCTCAACTGGGAAAGCAGATTGGCTCCTGTAGCTGTCTGTGATCAGAATGAACCTCACTGTGGATAACCTAGACCATTTTCTGATAGGTTTAAGGTCCTGAGATCCAGGATTTCTGGGAAGACTGGTCAAAGCCAAAGACGTGAATGTTTTGTTGTGGTGGTGGTTTTTGTTGTTGTTGTTGTTGTTGTTTTGAGACGGAGTCTCACTCTGTCGCCCAGGCTGGAGTGCAGTGGTACGATTTCGGCTCACTGCAACCTCCGCCTTCCGGGTTCAAGCAATTCTCCTGCCTCAGCCTCCAGAGTAGCTGGGACTACAGGCGCGTGCCACCACGCCTGGCTAATTTTTTGTATTTTAGTAGAGACGGGGTTTCATCATGTTGGCCAGGATGGTCTCGATCTCTTGACCTTGTGATCTGCCTGCCTCTGCCTCCCAAAGTGCTAGGATTATAGGCATGAGCCACCGTGCCTGGCAGGAGTGAATCTTAAGAGGTTCTCTCCATCCTTGCACTAGAACTAATACTTTATCTCAGCAGGATTTGACTCCAGAAGCTATCAACATGGAAAAATGTGGTTTTAGTCAACATGTGCATCCCAGTCCTGAGAAGAAAATGGAAGAAGGAAACAAATATTAAGCCTCAATTTCATGCTAGGCCGTGAGCTGAGCATTCTACCTACTAAATTCATTTTATCCTCACCACACTGACATGTAAGATATTATTACTATTCTTATTTTACAGATGGAGAAACTGAAACTCAGAGATGTTAAATAACCAGCACTAGCTCCTTCACTAAGACACAAACCCACTTCTGGCTCCCTGACCTTCTATGTGTGAAGTACACACATGGGAAACCACCATGGATTTATCAAAAGTCCTGCAGTACTTTGGGGAACATGATATCTTTTCCTTCAATTTATATGATGGAAAATTTCAAACATACACAAAAAGAGAGAGAATAGTCTAATAAATGTCCATGTACCCATCACTCAGCTTCACCAAGTATCAAATCAAGGCCACACTTGTTTCACCAGGCCTCAACCTGATTCCACAACCACTCCCCTACCGCTAGGTTATCTTAAAGCAAAGTGACATTGTGTCATCTTATCCACAAATATATAAATATGTGCCTCTTTAACAGAATCACAATACCATTATCACCCTTTAACATTTAACAATTATCCCTCAATATCTGCGAATACTGAGCCCATGTTCAAATTTCCCCAATTCTCATTTCTTTTTAACGATCGTTTTGTTTCAGCCAGAGAGACAATCTTCTTGATCCAACTAAGGGTCCAAAGAGGAATCATGGATGCTTTCTACCTGTCCATATTTGGCCATGATGGCTTTTAACCCATGGCATTCAGCTGCCTGTGTTCTACATCCACCTTCCACACTGGGTACCCAAGGAACATTCTGTCATCCCCTCAACAGAAATACACTAAACAAAACCTTAACATATGGTGGATCCCTAGCCACGGACAACCTGGGTGTTTGTGCCCTGGTCTTTATTCACACATTCAGGTGATCTTGCTCATATCCACTCACTTTCTGACCTTAGTTTCCACTTCTGTAAAATGAAGGGTAAGAGTCATTATCTCTAAGTGCTCTCTTGGCCTAACTGTCTCTGGTCCAGTGGATTTGCATTTGTAAATTGGCACCACTATGGCCCCAGCAGCCCTCTTTTACCAACCTAGTTGGCATCTCGTCCTCTCCCCTAAATGGCCAACTCTTCCCAAGCAGGCTTTGTGCCTTCTCTTGTTCCATGCCCACAGCACCTAATCCAGGAAATGCTGATGGACAAATAAGTCCCCTTTACTTTCTCAACAGGAAACCAAATTCTTCTCCAATGACTGAGTCCTATTATCTTTCCTCCTATCCTCAGACAGGACCAAGAAAGTGGTCAAGTGCAGTGTTTCCTCATGGCTTAATTTCTTAGAACATTTAAAAATTTTTCAGTAGTCATATACTTATTTTAATGAGTAATGGGAAAACATACCTATATTAAATATACAGGCATTTTTAGACATGACAAGGATCATGATTGAACTTCAGGAAAACATTGATCCAGAACAAACTTGTTTTTTCCTGTAGCATTTCTCTGATTCTGATCAGAGCTAGCTGGATTTAATCCTTAAAGGAAAGCTCTTGGCCTTGTGAAAATTCTTCACCCTAGTCATGTACCCACTCAGGATGTTATTGCACCAATTTTTCCCCTACATTAGTGTCAGTGAATCAACTAACATTAATTTGGCACGTACTGTGTTCCAAGCTCACAGACCCTGCCCTCAGGGAATTTCCAGTTGATTTGAAGAATCAGTGAATAGCACCAATTACTTCTTGATGCAAATGAGAGAAGTCAAAATGCAGGAAGCATTAACGCAGGCAGCAAGGTGTGGGGAATAGGGGACTAGAAATGATAACATCTCCAGAGAATTCTGGCTCTGCACTATATGAGTGCATGACCTTTACAAAGTCACTTCATTTCTGTGCCTTAGTTCCTAGAAAATGTGGATGTTGACATGAATGAATCAGGGCCAACCCATATATTTTTGAAATGCCCAACTCTAAAAGGCGCTATTCACTGTTACTGCAGGGCACAACCTGTACAACCCTCTATAACGACCTCACCAACATCTGCCCTACTTCTCTCAGAGGGTTTGTTGTTCAGAAATAAAAGGAGACTCGGAACATTTTCTTTGTTTATAAAGAGCTGCAGACATACAAGAAGGGCTTTTAGAAGAGACATTGCTTAGCATTTCTTTAGAGAAAGATTATATAGAACAAGAAAAAAAATAACACTGAGTGACTATAATGTGTCAGGTTATATGCTAATTGATTTCTGTATTCATATGTAATATCTTACCCAAAGAACTGGCATGATTCTGCATAAGATTACATAGCTGATAAAGGAGTGGAACCAGGGTTTAAAATGAGGATATTTGACTCCAAACTCCATGTTTATTCTAGCACTTCACAATGCTCAGACATTTTATTTTGCATGTGCTAATATCATTACTTTGCAATGGTTCTCTTACAACCAGGCCTGTCCTCTCCCCATATGAGTAAGTTGCAATTATCTAAGCACAGTGACCTATCCCTTGTTTTTGTGACATCCCAAGTCTTGGGAATTAGAAAGCAAATTTCACATGTGGTGGAGGCTTAATGAGTCCTTGGCAATAACTGAATCAACCAAAATACACTGAAAGATTGGGAGGAAATACTAGGTTGAACCATAAGAAACTGTTAACATTTTACCATTTTTGGCCTACAAAAATGGCCATTTCTTTTGCCTTAATATAGTTAGTGTATTTGATAAGCTATATCCTCATTTCCATTCATATTTTAAGACTTTAAAATAGTCCCAGGGCAAAGCTGTTATGGTATGATGTAAAATCTATAAGCATGGAGTTTTCCTCACGTGAATTCCACAAACCCCTAGGTTCATCCATGTACTCCCTTAGAGGAAGCTCCCACCACCCCCTGCACACAAGCACGCTAGTGGTCCCTTTCATCATCTTGAATATATAATCCAACGAGGGTAAACGCCCTAAATTTCCAGTAACTTTGGGCTCAAAAGTCCTTCCTTTGACTGCTCTTGAGAAAGTCATTTTGCCTCTCAGAATGTCACCTCTAAAATAAGCCTAAACATGGCTGCTCTGCCTACTTCCTGGGGTTGCCAGAGGACAAGAAAGTGGTAGCCAAGCTGTCATAAAGACTAAACAGATGGTCAGTTCTACTGGTAAGGTTTAAACATACCCAGCCTAAAGCGCTATGCAACGTGGAGTATATTTCTTTACAAAAGGGCTACCCAAAAACTAAGCATCTGAGCTCAGCGAACATATGCAGTTCCAGGATTCCAGACCTCCTTGGCCTATGTTAGAAGCCAGTTCCTTCTCAGTAGGACTCCTCGACCAGTGGTATCACTGGATTGGTTTCATGGGCCAAGCTAACCTGCCCTGATATCCTTTAGCCCTTGACAAGAGGTCTATGCCAATACAAAGCCCCAAGAACACCCCAGTAATGTTCTCCTAAGCCTGGGAGGTACAGCCTGTGTAGCATGGTGCAACTGACCATGAAAATAAAAGATTGTCTCTTTTCTGGTCTCTAGGAAATGCCCTCACATAGAGATCCAGTAGGTAGGAAAGAAAAAGGTTGGCTTCTTCATGGAGGAATGAGATATGAAGCTGATGCAGAAGGGGAATAAGTTGGTCATGGGCTCATCATGCCTTCCTGTCGGGTGCTAGAAAGGTGCCAAGAGACTCTGTCCTCAGGGGAAATGTGCTCATAGCTGTAACCCAATGATGCATTAGTGACAGGGATCCAGGAAGGGCCATGGGCACGAACATCGCCCTCACAGAAGCCTGAAGTCCCATCTGTGGATTGGAATTCTTCCTTAGCATTAGGTCTGGTGCCCTCCTTGGTAAATATAAGTGGTCCTGGAAGGAAAATGCCTGAAATCTGCCAACAACTGTGTCTTTGTCAGATCACCAACCTGGTGGCAAGTGAAGAACATGGGGGAAGGGGACAATTGAAAGAAGGGAGGCAAAATGCAAAGGCCAAAGGGCAAAAGGAAAAGGGGAAGTGAAAGGACCAAAATCTCTTACTAGTGCTACAGGACTTGTAGCAACAGGTCTCTCTGGGTGGGACCTTCTGGGATAGAATTACTGGGGGTGTGGTTTCCCATCCAAAGAGTTTGGGGATGGGATTGAACAGCAACTAGCCAGGCTTAGCTGACACACACTGATGTCTCTCCACCCCTGGAAAAATGTGGCTACCACAGCCCAGAAGAGATGTCCAAACACTGCTGATAGAGTCCAAGCCTGCTGACCAAGTTTCTTAAACACCAACTTTGCCAACATTACTGAGGGTTACTATCAGAGAACATTCAGCCATCTGAGGTACTATTAAAGCATGTGAAGTTGAGAGGACCCAGGATTCTGGAAGGAAAAGCCAAATATGATACTGATTTTCATATGAGATGACAAGGCTGAGTCTCATTATCATTATTTTAAATTAATTCAGCTCCCTGGTACCATGGCAAAGTCAATGGTGGTTTTAATAAATACTAACAGGTAAAAGGATAATTCACAAGGTAAATGTGATTGATGTTGACAGAATTACAACGTTAACAGCAAAGAGGATAAAGAAGATGTCATATGTAGTATGTTTGCATACTGTTTAACAGAGACTCTCCTGAAATCTTCCTGGGAATTCAAATTGGCGGGTGCTGTCAGCAGGAATTCACTGCTTCTGAGTAACAAGCACAAACAAAGGGGAAGGAGAAAAGGCAACTGGGAAGGATGAAGGAGGCACCGGAGGGTGCTATTGGAGCTCAGTCTGACCTGGTGTAGCTCTTTCATTAATGATCTAGGAGTAAACAATGCCTTAATGAAATTCACAGAGCACGTTCATTGGGGAAACGCGAAAGTCTGTGAGAACTGAATCATTACATACAAAAGGAACCAGGAGATCAGCTAGCTTGGGCTGGAAATGACACTGATGGCTTGCAAGTTAATGTGCTGGAGGGAAAGAGATCAGAAAACACAAATATTTAATGTGAGGAAGAAAAACAGGAAATCAATGAGTCCTGAAAAGACCTTAGGGTGATAACATGTAGTGATCACAGGCATTTCCAATGTAATTGAGAAGCCCAAACGCACAGCAGGACTGGCAGCTGGGAGCCAGAGGCAGTCTCTGGAGACAGAGCTGCTGCCACAAGTCCTTTCTGAAACAAATGGAAAGTGGACTCCATCCCAGAATAGAGCAGCTTTTGGCAAATACAAAATAAGAAGCCCAGAGATGAGTGGTTAAGATGCAGGGAGAAGACTCCATCTCCAAAAAGCAAGAGAAGAACCATGGAGCTAAGATGCAGCATGGCCCAGCTTACTGGCATGTGCCCTAGTATAGCGGAGAACATGGGCACTGATTTGAGTTCAAGCCCCTTCCTCGAGCTCTGCCATTACTAGTGGGGTTCCTGGGGTTGCCGGTTCCTGTACCTGTAAAATCTCTACCTCACACTTGCTTGGCCCCATGCCCGACACATGATCGCACCAACATTCAGTCAATATTTCTTCCTCTCCTTGCTTCCCAGATCAACCCTGTCCCCTAAGCCATGTGCCATCTCATTTAGGGAGGTAGAGTGAGCACACTGGTCCCTCTCGCAGGCCTGGTGGTATTTTGGTTCGGATCATCTAGTTGTAGACACCCACACCCATCCCCCAGAGTGCCAGTCTTGAGCATCCTGACAGGTGTCCAAAACCTGGTGCATGGCTTGTGCCCTCTTGGCAGGTGTACGCACGAAGCTGCATCTGCCCTTGTGAGGTACACGTGCCCAGACAGGAGATATCCTCTCATTCTTCACCCACTCTGCCCCACAAGACCCCAGCAGCAGCACCAGGTCCTCCAGCACAGGAAGCAGGCAGCCCCAAGACAAGCTTGAGCTGTCTTAAACCACCTTCTCTTCTCCTTGATCGTTGGGCTGTTTCTGGGAGCTGGGGAGGGAAAGTTGCGGTGGGTGTTGATGGAAACATCATTCCAATTTCTCTATCACATGACCACTACTCTTTCAAATCCTACCCCCTCCTTCACACCCACCCCTAGGTTGGCATCCTCTGCCTGACCAAGTTTCTTAAACACCAACTTTGCTAACATTACCGAGGGTTACTATCAGAGAACATTCAGCCATCTGAGGTACTTTCAAAGCATGTAAAGTTGAGGGGCCCCAGGATTCTGGAAGAAAAGATTGGTTTATATGGGCTATGAGGAATCACAGCAGTAACACCCACTCTTGGGGGAGTAGTGGCTAACACAACTCCCTGCGTATTTCAGGTGGAAAGAATCAGGCCCAAAAAGATTCCTACAGCTTGTTATCTTGTTGAATGATCAGGGGGAAGTTATCTTATATTCTGGCTAAGATTCATGGGCTAAAAGTAACAGAAAAGTGACTGTTCATTACAAAGTTATAAAGATAATGTGAAAATAAACATCCAGGATGTTTTCTTCTTCCATATTTTTGCCTCCCGCTGAACATACTTGCCTAGATTGTTACAATTATATATATGGAATGCCCACCAGTGGTCAATCCTCCTCCTACACATCCCTGGACAGAGCTCTCAGATAGTTACCTCTGCATTGGATTCCTCCATCCTACATTTCAACCCCTCTGGTTGCATGGCCCTGGTCTTCCAATGAGGACTTAGGTGACTCTGGAGAAAGCAAAGCCACCCCTTTGTGACATAGCAGCAGTAGAAACAATTCAATCAAGAGGACTCCACTAAGGAAACAGCTGATTGCAGGCAGGAGGAGACCTGAGACTCTATAGCCTGTGAGGACTTCACCAATTCATTGACTGAAAAAGCATCTATGCCCATGGCCCCTACATCTGTCTTTGATGCATAGCAGGGCTTAATTCTCTTGACAGCTCCAAATAACTCTGTACCCCTTTGTCCACGGATGAGGTTTTCTTCTCATGGATTCATTCTTATGCATTTGATTTCAAGTCCCAGTTCTAATTCTCCCCCAGAAATCCAGAGTGATTGCACAACACTAAGCACCAAAAGATCTCGTTTTGAGAAGGCTGGGTTACTTCAGTGTATCATAGAAACTTGGAATGTTAGGACTGGAAGTTCTTACCAGATCATCTGACCCAGCCACCTCATTCATGGGAAAAAGAACCCAAGGCCCAGAGGGGCTATGTGGCCTTCCCCAGCACACCGCCTGCTGGCACCCAACCCAAACTATAATCTGAAGCCCTGACTATCTCTGCTTATTCTACAACATCTTGCTAGAGTTTTGAAGGAGGAGATGGGGGGTTATTCTGGCTAACACTGATAGGTTACATCCTTCTGTGATTATCCCTACCTGAGGTAGAACCACACTGATTGGAATTTCTAGGCTTTCAGATCTGGTATCTCTTTTTCTTGTATAATTTGGCCTTGAGTGCTGTGGAAACGAGAAAAGAAGAAGATTACTGCTTCCCAGCTCATCCTCTGGGCCTCAATTGCTCGCCTAAAAAACACAGAACTTTCTACTCATTTATTTCTCTCTTGTCAATTATGTACAATTATGAAAGTCTGAGTCTGAAAGAACGTGTAGATGATATCTGGCATGATGGTTTATCAATCTCTGAACAGATATTAAGCTAGATATTATAGTTGATGTAAAAGGCTTTTGAAAGTTTTTGAAGTGGAGATAGCTGTACCTGCTTCCCTGTCTAAGATGATTATTTCTATCTCAAGTAAAAAGCCATACCAATGTGAGTTGCCAGGTATAGGTCCTATGCAGAAGTTGGTCACCAAAACACTCAGAACATTCCAGAGGTGACATCACAAAACAATATGGTGTTTTTCAGGGCTCATGGTTTCTCTCTGAGCATCACAGGTGGGAATGAGGCATCTGACAGGCAGGAAGAGCTTGTGGGTGCTGTGACTACTTGGCTGGTCAGGGTCAGTGTGACACACACAATAGCCCAAACATTAGCCCCCTGTTGGGTCATTCCAGCTGCCATTCGTATTCTCACTGCCAGGCTAAGTTGAGATCCCTATTCTCTCTCCAGAAGTGGCATCTTCTTGGAGTTGGGTCACTCAAGAAGAAAGAAACACAAACTGAACTCTTCCCATACCAAGGGAGAAAGTGTAGTCTGAGGTGTTTTCTGACACTACTCAATTCCTTAATTCTCTGACACCAACTGTGTGCCCTACAATTCAATTTCATCCTGATGCTATCTACCAGAGTTAGTGTTACAGAGCTGAAGCGGCTCACTACCCAATGCAATAGAAGCCAATACTAAAACACTAAGTTCTTTAAAAAAGAAAAACTTGTATATTGAAAGTCAACTCCCAAGGAGACAAGAGTCAAGCTCAAATCTGTCTCTCTGTGCTGACATTAAGGTAGTATTTTTATTAGAAAAGATTCAGGGGGTGGATTCTGAGATTAGTAGGTGATTGGTGGATGGAAATGGGAGGTCTGGAAAGTCCCAAAGAGTAAGAAACCAGTTACTTAATTTTTGAGTTTCAAGATAGCAGATAAGAAAAGAAACTTAAGCCGCTGAAACTCCCTCCACTTGTGAGATCAAGAAAAACCTGGCTGAAACTGGTTGGAACCAAGATGGCTAACTGGAGCTTGCACAGAATAAGCTTGCTGATGTCATAGCCTGAATTTCCACCACGTTTCATACTAACTCTCCCTGAATTTGCCATGCAACTCAGGAGTTAACATGAAGAAATAACTATGCATGCCCAAGGACTTTCCAGACCTCCCTTTTCCTTGCACAAATCACCTACTAATCTCAGAATCCACCCCCTGAACCTTTTCTAATAAAAGTACTGCCTTAATGCCAGCAGAAAGAGACAAATTTGAGCTTGACTCCTGTCTCCTTCAGAGGTGACTTTTAATATAAAGCTTTTCTTTTTTTCAAAAATTTGGTGTCAGTGTTGGCTTCTAGCACATTGGGCAGTGAGCCCCTTTTGCTTGTTAACAAACTAGAACCCCAGGTGAGACGAACAGCCTGTCCAAGGTACTGTTGCCCCTAGTGGTGTGCAGGCCCCCTGCACTGATCCTGAGTGGCCACCTAGACCAGGGTGTCCAGAGGCTCGACTATAGGGTTCCTTCTTCTCCACCATGGCACTTCAGGCTCCCTTGGCACTTCTCTTTTGGGAAAATAAATTGCTTCTGGATTAGACATCTTTCTGGTGAGTACCTTGTTAATATGCCCCTGTACTTTTAATTGTCTTTGAACTCATCATAACGACTGTGGGTTCAAGTCCCACCCTGTGGTTTAGGATTATGGATGAGAGTCCCAACCTTGTCTAGGATTGTGGATTTGAGTCCTACCCAAGGGGGATTCTGGTCAGTTCAGAGTCCCAAATCTGGTGTATGTTTAAGTCCCAAAGAATTAAGGCAATACTAAAAAGCTACAGCCACTAAGATAATCTAGTCTGGTTCTGATTTTTGTTGGTCTGTCTGTATTTTTGGTCTGTGTAGCAATATTTGGCTTAACAGAGGTCAAAGACTGTGATGGCTACAGCAGAAGCCTTATGAGATCTCCAGACTCCTGCACACTCAATTAGAACAAAGCAACTCCATAAACTAGAAAACCTGAAGAAAAATGGCACATGTAAAACATTTTCAGTCAATCCCTCTTTCTTCTTCTGTCCTTAAAGAGTTACCATGTAGTCTTCTAAGTTCTTTGCCTATTTTTCCTTCCTGACTACTCTGAATCTGCTGACTTTTCTGCTGGTGTTGAAATAAAACTTACTGTTCATGGTATTACTAGTTTCAGGTTACTGGCTAAAGAAAAAAAAGGAAAGAGGTCTTTTAAAATCAAAGTGCCCTGGAAACTGCTTTGCTCATCAGGGCAAATAAAATTTAGCCATGTGAACAGATTCCAGTTTTATCAGGAAAATAAGTTTGATCCAACTGTCTTGTTTATGCATATACATGCATTATGTTATATGTTGTGTCTATATGGTACCAAATTAGCTTATAAATAAAAGAGTACTGATAAATTAAATAAATAAGTCCAAATGCTTTCAAGTTCATTTGACTTTAATAATCTTTGGAAAATTAAAAAAAAATTATTGATAAAATAAAAATAGATATGTCTTCAGGATTGTCAGCATGTATTTTTGCCTGTGTTTACTGGTCAGCTGATATGTGCATCTGATAGTTATTTTAAGATGTCCAGGTTTGGCAAAAAGTTATGAAATTACAAACCCGGCCAAAACAGAATAATCTTTGTTTATGTGATTCTTTTGATAAATAAGACTAATTTAATATTGTTGGTTTAATGAAAACAATGAAATCCTCTGATTTATCAGCAAAATATCTGTGTATTTCACTTTAAAGTTCTTGCTTAGGTGAACACCTGATATTCACAAGCTGTAAAATGGTTAACAAGGAAATAACTTAAAATGGTGACTAGCTTTGTCTAATATCTCTATTCTCATAACTAATCTAGATAAACTGTTAAAAACAAATAAATTAGATAAATGTAAATGGGACAAATGTGTGTAAATGAAATTCTTATGTTTTTCAAAATCTTAAAGTTATGATACTTACTATCATACTTTACTTACTGAGCAGCTGGGTCACTTCCAATTAAGAAATGTATAAGGAAATGTTTCTAAAGATTAAAACATGGTTTTAAAATACATGAAATACTTATAATATTTTATCTTAAAATACTGATATATTGCAGACAATTCAAGATTTCTTACTTCCTAGGTTCTTCCCTAAAATCCCTAAAATAAGGATTACTAAGAGTTAATATTGTAACTTATATAAGTAATTGAAACTACTAGATACAAGAGAAACAATTCTATTTGCAGAATGTATACGAAAAATAGGATGTGTTTTTGGTAAACACACAAGAAGACAGGAATATGGTTTTCGTTTAAGGGCAAGTAATTTTGCCTAGTTTAGAGGTTCTAAAGGATTGTTTTAAATTGAAGGAATTAAAAAAGTGTAGATAAAACTAAATAAATATAGAAAGTTGAGAAAGAATGAAAATAAAACAAATTGTAAGAGGTTATAAAAGGTTTATGGAAATCTTACCTTGCAGTCAAAACAAATTGAGATTGAATAGATTTGTTTATAAGGTCTTATTAAAATTAGCTGTAATATTAAAAATGCGCTAATACAAAACTAAAAATTTTGGTTAAAGCAACAAAATTTTTTGAAGTATTGATTTGCTCTCAATGATATTGCAAGAAATATTGAGTTTAAATTCTAAAATTAAAACGTCAGATTTATATCTCAGAAGTTCAACTTTTCCTGCACCTTGTTACATATAAGTTGCAGATCACATTCATTATCTTCTGTTTTTTCCCCCTTGAAAAAAAAATATCTTTTTGCTTGGCTGGAATGATAACTGTCCTCTTCAACTTGTTCATCAACTCTTACAACTTTTTACCCCAGTCCTAATGCTGTTCTTATGGCATAATGCTAAAATATTTATCTTAAAAGTTTAGAAAAGCAATGTTTTCCTCAAATGTAATATAATTTTATACTCTTGGCCTTATGATATGTCTGAATTATTTCATATAACCAGGAAACCTCCCATGTAACTTTCTGTATTACTTTTGAGGTCTTTTGACTGTCATGCTAGTTAAATGAATAACTGTTATTTTTAAATGACCTGTAGCTCTGTTTTGATCAAATGTTTTGAATTTTTAACGTCTTTGGTAGGATTTATTTGGTAAAACTCTATGGGAGACACTATCAAATGCTAAATAATACTAGATCTTCTTTTGGTTATGTTTATGGGTATGCTATTGATATAAATGTTCTAAGAATTACATAAATTTATAAAAATCTCATATGCTATCAGTCATAATTTTGATATGTTAAATCTTTTTAAAAGTTATATTTGTACAGATATATAATTAATACAAATATTCTTAAGATTACATTATTATAAAAATCAGATGGTCTTGATGTGATGCTGTCAGTCATGGTTCTGGTTGTTATCTTAAAATGCTATATATAATAGAAATAACTTAATTTTCTTGACAATTGAGAACTTTTATCAGATTTTAACCATGGCTAAGTTTTTGTAATCCACAGTTATTGTTTTGAATTCTTCTCTAAAAAGCTTTCCAATCAGCTACAACCCAACTTACTTTTCATGGAAAGGACTCTGACAAGTACTCTTAAATACAGATTTCTGATAACTTTGGAGATAATGCCATCAGACTAGGAAAAGTCTTCCAGGACTCTGATTAAAAAGTTACATGAGAATTGCTAACCCAACATCAAACCGAACAAGAATTAGTTACATGGGACTGAACTGAGAGAGGACTAAAAAGATCTTTTATGACATTTTTATTTGAAACATTGATGATCTCTTTATGTTTTGTTTTCCTGTAAACATTTTCCTTTTGAACCATTTTAACTTACAACACATTAGATAAAATATAGTTTTGTGAACAAAAATTTGAGGCATTTACCTTTCTCTCTGATTTCTCCAGAATTTGGAAGCTGTTTGTGAGTATTCTCAATTTATGGCAATATATTATTTGTATTAGTTTTCAATAAAAATCTATTTCCTTTTGTAATAGAACACAATTGGAGACACTGGTTATTTCACTAAGGCTTTGACTGGAATGACACGTTTTTAGGTATGACCAGAATGGAAGTTAACTTTAAAGCACCAATAAAAAACCCCCTTAAAAAGACTGGCCTGGTAGCTTGTCTATAAGGTTCCTTTACAAAGTTTCTGTCCTTGCAGTAAGTAAAGAATGTCACTTTCTGACAGGTCCAGCAACCTATTTTGGGACCCTGAGAAGAGAGGAATAACACAACCATTCATGCAGGCATTACAGGCACAATCTGATGGCAAATCCTTGGCTTGACTGATCTCAAGGCTTTTAAAAGTCAGAAATTCCTTATTTTAAAAGGCCCAGCAAAGCCTATTTAAAAACGAAAGCCTATATGGTGAATCATTATTCCTGCTGTACTTTATGCAAATAATCAGTCCAGGTATAATAAGACTAGAACTTATTTTATATACAAATTGGTCCTACAATGATTCGTCTTTGGTAAAAATGGGGGACTGGAGAGAGAGAAATTATGTTCAAAAGAAAACTATATATAACACACCTGTCTCTGACCAGTAGGCCAAAGCCTTAACTTTCAGAATTTGTCAGGGACCCTATGTGCACCTCCTGGATATACTTTTTTTTTTCAATGTGTCAACCACCCACGGGCTTATGAATGTGCTGGCAACTGGTGCATGAGAGGTATTTGTCTATTAGGTTATGTAACTACTTCCTTTTCTATTTATATTGCAAGTGTTACTCAAGACAGGACTATTTTCCTTAAAATTATTTTCCTGGACTAGACAAACCCTACCTGCAAACCAAGGAGATGGATTTTGGCCTATGTTTGGCAGGACTCTCTTGCCATGGTGGGGAGTAGACAATCATGAACATATGATTAGAAATCTGTCAATCACTCTAGGTAACTTAGCAAATGAAGCAGTTGAAGCCACAGCCAACCAACAAAAATCTTTAGGCTCTTCAGCCAGGATCATAATGGATAACAGAATAACCTTAGACTACATATTGGCAGAGCAGGGAGAAGTTTGGATAGTAGCTAACATATCATGTTGTATTTACATGAATACATCTCCTGAAGTCGAAATACATGTAGAAAAATAAGATAGTAAGTTGACTGATTACAACACATTTCTAGAGAAGAACCAGGTGCCAACTGGTTCTTAGGTTTAGTTCCTGGATCTCACACTGAATCAAATATATGCTCCAGGGTTATACTAAAAATAGGGCTTTCTCTATTTCTAATACTTATTGCCGGATATCTGGTAATCAAATTCTGTCTCCAATGCTATGAGGTGGGCGGATCACGAGGTCAGGAGATCGAGACCATCCTGGCTAACACGGTGAAACCCCGTCTCTACTAAAAATACAAAAATTAGCCGGGTGTGGTGGCAGGTGCCTGTAGTCCCAGCTACTCGGGAGGCTGAGGCAGGAGAATGTCATGAATCCAGGAGGCGGAGCTTGCAGTGAGCCCAGATGGTGCCGCTGCACTCCAGCCTGGGCAACAGAAAAAAAAAAAAAAAGAGAAACCAACGTACTGGTAATACCAAATGTTAATATTAAACCAGATGTTAGAGAACATCTTCAACCTAATGCAAAACAATTTCATTTCTGAGGCCCAGACTTGTATCCCTAGTCAGCAGGAAGAAGTTAGAGTAGTTGTCACCCCTCATCCCTCACAATTGAGGAATTTACATAGAACAGGGGGAATTGAAACCATGCCCCAAAGAGTTAAAGAAATCAGTGGTTAAATTCTTGGACTTACAGGATAACAGACAAGAAAATAGCTTGCTGAAAAGCTGAAACTGAAGCTGTGCCCCACAAAATAAGAAACCAGTAACTAACAGAAATTCTTGAGTTTGCCAGATAACAGATAAGAAAAGAAACAAGCTGCTGAAACTCTCTCCACTTGTGAGATTAAGAAAAACCTGGCTGAAATTGGTTGGAACCAAGATGGCTAACTGGAGTTTGCACAGAATAAGCTTGCTGATGTCACAGCCCGAATTTCCACCACATGTTTTGTACTAACTCCCCCTGAATTTGCACATGCAACTCAGGAGTTAACATGAAGAAATAACTGTGCATGCCCAAGGACTTTCCAGACCTCCCCTTTCCTTGCACCAATCACCTACTAATCTCAGAATCCACCCCTTGAACTTTTTCTAATAAAAATACTGCCTTAATGACAGCACAGAGAGACTCCTTGACTCAAATGAAAAAAATCTTTGGTAATGTAATTAATCATCTTCTTGGTTTTACCATAAGTGGATTTTCTTCATTAAAAGCTGGGTGAGTATATTCGCATTGTTGTGCAACTCATCTCTAGAACGTTTTCATCTTGCAAAACTGGAACTCTATGCCCATTAAATACTAATTCCCCCTTTCCACTCCCCTCAGCCCTTGGCAACCACGCTTCTGCTTTCTGTTTCTATGATTTTGACTACTTCAGATATTGCGTATGAGTAGAATCAATATATTTGTCCTTTCGTGACTAGCTTATTTCATTTAGCATACTGGCATCAAGGTTCATCTACGTTTTAACCTATGACAGAACTGCCTTCTTATTAAAGGATGAATAATATTTTATTATATATATATACTACATTTTATTTATTCATTCATTGGTTGATTAATATTTGGGTTGTTTCCAGCTCTTGGCTATTGTAGGTAGTGCTACAATGAACATGGGTATGCAAATGATACCTTTGAGATCTTGCTTTGAATTCTTTTGGATATGTACCCAAAAGTGAGATAGATGGATCATTGTAATACTATTTTACATTTTCTGAGGCACCCCCACACTGTTTTCCAAATCAGCTGCATGATTTTACATTCCCTCCAACAGAAGGATTTCAATTTCTCTGCATGCTCAGCAATACTTGTTTTCTATTTTTCCAAAGGATTTTTTGGTCAAGCATGGTGGCTAACGCCTGTAATCCCAGCACTTTGTGAGGCCAAGGCAGGTGGATCACTTGAGGTCAGGAGTTTGAGACCAGGCTGGCCAGCATAGTGAAACCCCATCTCTAGTAAAAATACAAAATTAGCCAGGTGTGGTGGTACACACTTGTAATCCTAGCTATTCGGGAGGCTGATCCAGAAGAATCACTTCAACCTGGGAAGCAGAGTTTGCAGTGAGCCAAGATCATGCCACTGCCCTCCAGCCTAGGCAACAGAGTGAGACTCTGTGTCAAAAAAAAAAAAAAAAGGTTTTTATAAAAGTGGTTAAGTCCCATACTGCCTGAAAACAGAATTCCATTTTCCTTTACACGCACACCTCATAGAAGCACCTGCACATCCACTGAGTTATGGAAGAGGAGCTATGAACAGCACGAGGGAAATGTGGATGTCACCAAAGCAGGGAGGCCTAGAAGGAGCTGTACAAGTCTCTGCGCTTGCTGCCTGCTGGGGCTGAGCAAGGGAGACTTAACAGAGAGGGACGCAGCTATATTCATTTCCTAGGGCTTCTGTAACAAAGGACCATGAACTTTTTGACTTAAGCAACAGAAATGTATCATCTCACAGTTCTGGAAGCCAGAAATCCAAAACCAAGGTGCTGGCAGAGCCACGCTCCCTCTGACATCAGAGGGGAGGGTCCTTGCCTGCCTCTCTCCCAGCTTCTGGTGGTCATCAGCAATCCTATTCTCTGACTTGTGCTGCAGCACTTCAATCTCTGCCTCTCTTATTGAATAGTATTCTACCCTCGTGTGTCTGTATCTGGTATCCTCTTCTTATAAGGACACCAGTCATATTGGATTGAGGGCCACTAGACTGTAGTTGGACCTCATCTTAACTAGTTACATCTGAAATGATCCTATTTCCAAATTAGGTCTCCTGGTAGGACTTCAATACATCTTTTTGGGGAGACATAATTCAACCCATAATAGAAGCTAACATTCACTCAAAGCATAGTGAGTGCTGGTCCTGTGCTACTTTACATGGTTGTTTCACTTAAATCTGAGTTCCTGACATGTATGCAGGCCCCACCACTCCTGGGATATAGCCCCACCCTTGGGGTCCCTAAACCCATCACCCTGGCCTATCCCCAGCAGGTTCAGTTGAGCCACTTCCTCCCATAGGAGAGGTCTCCAGTGCACAAGCTCTACTCTGGAAGGATCCACATGAACAAAGAAATCTGCTAGTATCCTGGTATGCCTGCATTACTATTACATGTTATATCATTCATATTTATTATTATTTCTGCTATGTTATTTTGCCTACTCTTAGTCCCTCTGCCTCTCCACACTTTTGTTTGTCTGGTGGCTAGTTCCAGTGTAGTAAAAGCCCAACCCTGGCTCTGTTCTGAAGGCTCTATCTGAAGGAAGATACACCCCACCCCATTGAAGTCCCTCTGTGGTTTTCTAGCATGACTCCAAAGTTATATCCATGATATCAGGGGAAGCCTGTGGCACAGTCCGCTCCTAGGAAGGAAGTCTTGCTAGTAGATGACCATGAAAACTGGTCTGGACCCACAGTGCAAATTGTTTTTTTCCAATTGCATCACCAGTCGGTCCCACAGAGTCCTCCAGGAGGCCCTTCTCTTTGTGATCTCCCTTCCTCCTCCCTTCTGCCACAGTCCTTTGCCTTTTTCTCGCTAGAGACCTTGCTCCAGGTAGAGGGGCAGCCCAGATCCTTCTGGGTCTCACAGTGGAACATGGTCAGCACCACTGTATCTCTGGCTGATAGTGATGGCTCTCACAGCATGACAGAGACTCACCGTCTGATCTGATTAAAGACCCTTTCTACCCCATTCTGCAAGGAGAGTGCTAAAGGAGATAAAGAAGGCCCAGATGGACACACAAATTGTCCTGACACATTGGTGTAAAAAGAGCTCCTTTTACTGAACCCAAAGGAAGGGTACTGATAAGAAAAAAACGAGGCTGTGGAAAAACTATGCAGCCATAAAAAAGAATGAAATCATGTCCTTTGCAGGGACATGAAAGGAGCTTGAAGTTGTTATCCTCAGCAAACTAACACAGGAACAGAAAACCAAACATCACATGTTCTCACTTATAAGTGGAAGCTGAATGATGAGAACACATGGACACTGGCAGGGGAACAACACACACTGGGGCCTGTCGGGGTAGGGGGGAATTGGGGTAGGGAAAGCACCAGGAAGAATAGCTCATGGATGCTGGGCTTAATTCCTGGGTGATGGGTTTATCTGTGCAGCAAACCATGTAACAAATCTGCACATCCTACACATGTACTTCAGAACTTAAAATAAAAGTTGAAGAAAAAAAGAAGAATAAATGAGGCTACAGAGAGCAAGGTCATGGCCACTGTACATCAGCAGACCCATGTGCAAAGCTGGAAGCCAAGAAACAGTTACTTATTATATGTCTTCATCAGCTCAGCTGCTATATCAAAATGTCACAGACTGGATGGCTTAAACTACAGAAATGTATTTCTCACAGCTCTGGGGACTGGGAAGTCCAAGATCAAGATGCCAACACTCCCGGGCTTACTTCCTAACTTGCAGATGATGTCTTCTCACTGTGTCTCGCATGGTGGGGAGACAGAGTTCTGGTTACTCTTCCACTTCTTATAAGGACACTAATCCCATGATGAGGGCCCCTCACGACCTCATCTAAAACCTAATCACCTGCTAAAGACTCCACCTTCACATTTACCACATTGAGAGTTAGAGCTCAACATATAAATTTTAGAAAGACACAAACATTCAGTCCATAGTAGTTTATGACTTGAGCAAGTCACCCCACCTGTCAAAAGCTCAGTTCCCTCCTCTCCAAAGTAGAGAAATTATATCTAAGTTGACATAGCATTCTAAAGAAGCTGACAGTAATCTCTCAATAAATACTCATTGTTTTGACTCCCTCGTACAAAATTACCCTTTGACTTAAAATCTCTGGCAGCTGACACACAATTGGTGCTTCTGTTAAAAAGGCTTGAAACTACAGCTTCTGTAAGGGCTTGTTTGTTTGCTTGCTTGATTTATTTCCTTTTTGTTTTCAAAGGGAGGAGCATCTTAAACTGGGCCAATCTGGTCCAAACCTCAGCAGTTGCCCATTAGCTGGGTTTCTTCCTCCTCTGTAGGGCACGCATCTGTAACTCAGTACTGAGAAACTTCCCGGAGATCATGCCCAAAATGCCTGTTATTACTGAGATTAACACCATCATCAATCATCCACGTTCCATGAGCATCAGCAATTGGGCGCTACATAGAGCAGGGAGGTAGACATGCCTCACAGGTTTCTCATCTGAACAGACAGGTAGAGCAGAGACAAAGGAAAGGGCAAGCCTGCATCAAGACTCTCCAGGCTTCTCCCACCTGCAACTATCTGATGATGAATCACAAGCAGAAATTCAACAAGCAGGAGGGCCCATTCCAGAGTGCAGGGCTCCCTGCCCTTCCCTAGAAAAATCACAGAAACTGTAGCTTTTGGGACAGGAGTCAGAGGTGGATGTGGGCTCTATGTTCTGGCTCTTCTCTCATTCTCATTTGGGGAAAAGGGGATGGGAAGGTGGGTGGATGTAGCAAATCGTCAGGATGCCTCTCATCTCCAAATTGCAGGATACAATTGAAAACATAGGTCATTTTTGCTACCTAGGGCAGAGGGTAGCTCTACTCTGGAGCCAGAGGGGCAGCCCAAGTACAGCAAGGTCTTGGGCCAAGCTGCTCTTAGGACTGGCTGATAGCTCTTGCCTTCTGAGGAAGCAGGAGTCAGCAAAGGGCAAGAGAGGATGCTGGTGAGTCTATCAGGCAACAAGTAAAGACCAGCTGTTGGAAGAGTCTGAGAGTGGAAGGAAGCAGAAAAATAGAATGGCAGCTCTCAGGAGCGTGGCTAAGGTGAGTGGTTGTTAAAAGATAGAAGAGTCACTCACATTTGCAGGAATGTCAGAAGAAACAATGGAGGTGGAAGGTGTCAGAAAGTAGGGCAGTTAGCACTCCCAAGTTCCAGAGGTAATCACGAGAATAAATCTTGGTGAAGAATAAATCTCTTGGTGAACTCAGGAAAGACCTTATGAAACTTTTCCTCCTGAATCCAGGAGCTGCTGTAAATTGCCCTGAAGCTCTGACATTCTCCCAATATTAGGTAATTTGTTTACTTGATCCAAGAATGAGGCTCTATCAAAAGACAGCCAATGAAAAAGACATTCAGTCTCTAAAAAATGCTCTTTTATTTTGAAAAAAGACAAAAGAGGTGACTAAGGGGGTCTCTGCCCCCCTCCACTAGCCCCTCCACATCCCCCCATCCTGAGATGATAACTGGCCTTGGGTCCGCAGCAGGGCAGGAGCCATGGAAGTGAATTGGACACTTCCAAATTAAGAGGCAGGTTGGTCTCCACTTCATTTCGACCAATAGCAGCAAACTTGAATGCTTTGTTTATTAGGACAACTCTAATCATGATTTATGCACATCTGTACATTTCAATTTAACCAAAATTAAAAATTACCAGATTAGTTAAGTGTGTAATCCTGTAAATTAATTGTCAATTAGTTGCTCCCTAATGATAATGAAATGCTTACCAAATAGCATATGATCTCTGAATAGTGCCAAATAAATTGATTAAAACATTTCTTCAAGAACTAACAAGGGTCCCATTTGTTCAGTTTCCTTGATAAGTTATAGTATGGTCAGGACTTTGAAAAATGGGTCTGAGATTGGACTTGCGTTACGCTAAGGAAGGACAAACTTTCCAGGTGACCAGGTCAGAGGAATGCTCACCTCCACACCTGGACCCCATTGCAGAGGTAGCTGAAAAGACACAGAATCTAAGTCAAGGTTCCTATGCTGGAATCCTATTGCCAACCCCAGCTAGCTGTGTGACCTCTGCTAAGCCTCAGTTTCTTGGTGATTAAATGGACATGATAGTTTTTCCAATTTTAGGTTGTGGTGAGGACTAAATTAAATAAGACAGGGAATGAAGGACTTTAGAGCTGTGGCAGGCAGGCTTCACCCACAAGGTAGTCAATATATATTGATTGATTGAAAACTTTAGGTGAACTCTATCATTATTACTTTTTTTTTCTTTTTTGAGATGGAATCTCACTCTATTGCTCAGGCTGGAGTGCAGTGGCACGATCTCAGCTCACTGCAACCTCCGCTTGCCAGGTTTAAGAAATTCTCATGCCTCAGCCTCCCAAGTAGCTGGGACCACAGGCACGTGCCACCATGCCCAGATAATTTTTTGTATTTTAGTAGAGACGGGGTTTCCCCGTGTTGCTCAGGCTGGTCTATGAACTCCTGAGCTCAGGCAATCTATCCACCTCGGCCTCCCAACGTGCTAGGATTACAGGCGTGAGACACCGCGCCCGGCCTGAACTGTATCATTATTAATAAGCGCCTGAGCATTGTCTCTGAGCAAGGCACTATGCTTGGGGGTGGAGATAAAGAAGGAAAGAGAGGAAAAGGAAGTAGCAGAGGAGAGGAAAAGAAATCAGATATCATCCCTTGCACTCAAAAGGACTGTAATCTAATTAGACAGCAAAAGTTGGGGGAAACCGGTATCATGATAACAATAGCCAATATTTATTGAGTGCTTTTTCCTATGTGTCAGGCACTAGCATAAGCTCTTTATGCATTAAACTCCTCACAATCCTAAAAGAGAGTACTACTACTTTTAGCCCTATTTTACAGATAGAAACTGAGACACCAAGTTAAGTAACTTGCCTAAGGTCACTCATTAAGTGCCAGAGCTACGATGTGAGCCTCAATTCTGCACCCTTAATATTGCCTGTTGTATGGAGGGGAAGGGGGAATCAGAAGTTCTGGATCTGAATCATTCATACTATCTATGCAGCCCTAGGCAAATCACTTTACCCCTCAGACTCGGAGACTCCTCATCTGTAAAACGAGTTCACATTCTCCACAGCACAGTTTATGGTAATCATGAAATAAGTTGAGTGAGAGTACTTTGCATTATGGCTGGCATGTGCTGTGCATGTAATAAAGTTTAGATGCATTTGAATCTGCCTTGCCATTTATACCAGAGCTTCTGCCAGCTAAAAATGCCCCGAGCTCTCTGGGTAAAACCTGGACACTGAATGTGCTTCAGATCCTCTCTGCAATGGATTGACTCGGACTATTTCAAACACTGCATCAGGGAATTACATATGAGCAAAGGTAGTCTACAATCAGTGCTCTATAAAATCTTTTCATAATACATTTTACGGATGAAACATTTTGGGCATGGTTCCAGGCGGGGGTCTGGGAAGCTCAGCAGCCATGGCCAGCCACCTCAAGCTCAACAACACTGCCAAAATGCCCATCCTGAGGCTGGGCACCTGGAAGTCCCCTCCAGGCCAGGTCACCGAGGCTATGAAGATGGCGATTGGCATTGGGTACCACCACACTGACTGCACCTACACCAGAACAAGCATGAGGTGCAGGTGGCCCAGGAGAAGCTCAGGGAGCAGGTGGTGAAGCGTGAGGACCTCCTCATCGTCACAAGCTGTGGTGCACATACCATGAGAAGGGGCTGGTAAAAGGAGCCTCCCAGAAGATATTCAGCAACCTAAAGCTGGACTACATGGCCCTCTATCTTATTCACTGGCCAGCTGGCTTTAAGCCTGGGAAGGAATTTTTCCCATTGGATGAATCAGGCAACATGGTTCCCAGTGACACTGACATGTGGACACATGGGCAGCCATGGAAGAGCTGGCGAACGCTATTGGCATCTCCACCTTCAACCATCTGCAGGTCGAGAGGATCTTAAACAAGCCTGGCTCAAAGTGTAAGCTGGCAGTTAACCAGATTCAGTGTCACCCGTACCTAACTCAGGAGAAGTTTATCCAGTACTGCCAGTCCAAAGGTATCACAGTGACTGCCTGTAGCTGCCTTGGCTCTCCTGACAAGCCCCGGGCCAAGCCCAAGGACCCTTCCCTACTGGAAGATCCCAGGATCGAAGCAATCACAGCCAACCGGAATAAAACTACAGCCCAGATTCTGATCCGGTTCCCCATGCAGAGGAGCTTGGTGGTGATTCCCTAGTCTGTGACACCAAAACACATTGCTGGGAACTTCAAGGTCTTCAACTTTGAACTGGGCAGCCAGGATATGACTACCTTACTCAGCTACAGCAGGAACTGGAGGGTCTGTGCCTTTGTGAGCTGAGCCTTCCACAAGGATTACCTCTTCCATGAAGAGTTTTGAGGCTGTGGGCTTGCTTGTCCACAAGTGACCTACACCTGTTTTTCCCACCTCATTTTTTCTTGCAAATATATATGGCCTGTGTCACTCAGAGGTGGAACAGCAACCTGAAGACAGACCATTGAGGGCTTTCCTAGCTTGATGTTGCGTTTGGAGAGCAGTACCCACAGAGTACAAGTCTCTTCCAGTTTTCTTTGCCCTTATTGTTGCCCAGCTGGGGAAAGTACAACTTGAATACCCTTTTCTGACCAAGGAAAAGCAAAATGTACAAAGTCAAAATAGTGCCACTAATAGTTGAGTTTTGATGCTTGGAACTGTAATCCTTTCAGCAAGACTTCTCTTTACCTCAAATAAAAATGCTTTTGTAAAAAAAAAAAAAACAACATTTTGAGCACAGATTCCTACATATATATATATATATATATGTATTTTTTTTTTTTTTTTGAGATGGAGTCTTGCTCTGTCACCCAGGCTGGAGTGCAGTGGCGCGATCTCTGCTCACTGCAAGCTCCACCTCCTGGGTTCACACCATTCTCCTGCCTCAGCCTCCCAAGCAGCTGGGACTACAGGTACCCACCACCACGCCCAGCTAATTTTTTGTATTTTTTAGTAGAGACGGGGTTTCACTGTGTTAGCCAGGATGGTCTTGATCTCCTGACCTCGTGATCCGCCCGCCTCGGCCTCCCAAAGTGCTGGAATTACAGGCGTGAGCCACCGTGCCCAGCCGGTATATTTCTTAATTTAAAATTTTGATGCTTTTCCTATTAATATTATCATAGTTATACACGTTATAAAGCATACTCAAAAATGAAATTTTAACAGGATAAACAAAGATGAAATTTATCTTATTCATTAATAATACAAAAATCTTCTGCTTTCACAAAAATTAATTGTCAGTAGTAATATTTGTAATGAACACAGTGTAATTAACTGTGGTTATCTCTTAAAATCTTAATTTAACCCAGTGAACCAAAAGTCAGCTTCTAAGTTCAATTTCCCTGGATTTCTGGATGTAATGGCTGTCTGTTATCACTGAAAAGGGTACCTCACAGAGATCTGTAGATTTAAATGGAAAAGTACATTACTGACTGCAATTTCTAAGTCACAATACTCAATATACAGTCCCATCCTCAAACAATGCAAAGGCTTTTGCTAAAATTTCCACACTAAATTTCTATCTTTCCTCTTGTCAATGGTTATTCTTCAATACTCATTGATTGAGATGTTGAAGACATTCTGGAATTAGACAGTGGTGGTGGCTGCACAAATTTGTGAATAGACTAAAAACCACTAAGTTGTACAGTTTAAAAGGGGGGATATTTTTAATTTTTATTTTTATTTCAATAGTTTTTGGGGTATAGGTGGTGTTCGGTTACATGGATAAGTTCTTTAGTGGTGATTTCTTTGATTTTGGTGCACCCATCACCCGAGGAGTGAACCCAATATGCAGTCTTTTATCCCTCACTCTCCTCCCAGCCTTCCCCTGTGAGTTTCCAAAGTCCATTATATCATTCTTATGCCTTTGCAACCTCACTTATAAGTGAGAACATACAATATTTGGTTTTCCATTCCTGAGTTACTTCACTTAGAATAATGGCAGAATAATGGCCTCCAACTCCATCCAAGTTGCTACAAAAGACATTATTTCATTCCTTGGTATGGCTAAGTAGTATTCCATGGTGTATATATACCACATTTTCTTCATCCGCTTGGTTGATGGGCACTTAGGTTGGTTTCCTATCTTTGCAATTGCAAATTGTACTGCTATAAACATGTGTGCGCATGTGTCAAAAAGGGGGGGATTTTATGATATGCAAATTATATCTCTTTTTTAAATAATCATCAGAAGATTTTTGACAAATGGGTCAAAACCCAGTGAAACTGTTTTTTTAGAAGATTTTAAAACAGATTAGAAATTTATCTTTCCCACTTTCTTCACTATAAAGATATGAACGTTTTTATAGGTTAACTTCTTATATCATTTGGGCAATAAATGCATAGAATGATGGAAATGTTTCTAAGCATCCATTTTCAAAACATTCTTGTTATTAAATAAGTTTCTTCCAAAAACACCCTAACTCCCTCCCTCATCGGTAAAACACCATCTTTACTAGGAAGGAAAAAAAGTAATGTGCCTTATTTTTCTCTTCAAAGTGGCTCCTAAATAAGAGACTGTTAACAGCCACTTGGCACCATAAGAAAAGGTCAGCAAATTTAGAACACTTGTCTTTTTGTAAAAACAGATGACTGCAAACAAGAGGTCTTCATGATCATTATTTATCTTGGTGCAAAGTATTTCAAAGATCCTCTCATTTTATGTGGCTCTCTCACTGGTTTTGTTGTTGCAGTTGCTGTTGCTTGAGACAGGGTCTCACTCTGTCACCCAGGCTGGAGTGCAATGGCACAATCATGATTCACTGCAGCCTCGACTTACTGGACTCAAGTGATCTTCCCGCCGCAGCCCCCGAGGTAGCTGGGACTACAGGTGTGCACCACCACTTCCAGTTAATTTTTTTAAATTTATTTTATTTTATTTATTTATTTATTTATTGGTGAGGAATAATATATTTATTCAATGGAATGAGTAAAGTAAATCATATTTGATATCCTTTCAATCTTACCTGTTTTAAAGTATTTTTTGCATAATAACAGCATATCTATTGTGAATTTAAGTAGAGATGCGATCTTGCTGTGTTGCCCAGGCTAGTCTCAAACTGCTGAGCTCAAGCAATCCTCTGCCCTGGCCTCCCAAAGTGCTGGGATTACAGGCATGAGCCGTCATATCCAGCCAGCTCTCTCATTTTTCAGAATCAGATTAATTGCATCTGTGATCTCCTGTAGCTCATTCTGCACTTCTGACTTCAACTGCTCTGCAGCAATAGTTTGCTTGTGAGTTACTACCCAGCGAATCAATTTCCCAAGTGATGCTCTCCACATCCTATCCAGCATCCTCTTTTAATTCCAGTGGAAGCTACCACTCCATCAAATGTCATTTTAAACAATTGTTCCATGAGAACATTGTTTCTTGTAGAGAAGTTATTTACAATTGAGAACACATCTTTTCTGGCATATTTTCTGTAACTGGTTCACCAAAGAACAGCACTTGTTATGTTTTATTATCTAAGCAGAAGCTACATTTGTACTTCACCCAGCTGTAAAGCAAGCACTACTTGATTTGTTTCCATACTTGTTTCTTTAAAGTTTTCTCCGCATCTATCAGCAATATTTGCTGGCTAAAGGTATTTTCATTCAATCATTCAAAAAGGATATTTTGAATATTTTGTATGAGCTAGTCACTGTTAACAGGTGCTGAGGAAGTAATGAACAAAATTAAGTTTTCATGGAGCTATGTTCCTATGAGGGACAACAGACAATGAGCAAATTTTTTAAAAAATCTAATGTATATCAGGGGTAAGTGCTCCAAAGAAAAGTTCAACTGGTTCTTGGGACAGAGAGTGATAGGGTGAGCCATTTCAGATGACGAAGACCTGTCTAAGGAGGTGAGGTCTGAGCAAAGGCCTGAATATGTGGAGGGGCAAGCTGTAGATTATCTGTATCCAGCAGAGGGAGCAGCAGCAGGGGAAGGACCCCCCAGGCAGGAGTTGCCTGGGTGGGACTGACCCACGGGAAGCCAGTGTGTCTGGAAGCAGAGAGGGATGGGGAATTGGGAGGACCAGAGGACAGAAGGCAGCCTGGGAGAGGTCATGTAGGGCCTTGAGGGCTAGGGTGAGGATGATGGATTTCATCCTGAGCAAGACAGGAAGCCGGGGTGGGGGACTCAGCAGAGCACAACACAGTCTGACTTAGGTTTAAGATTTCTCCAGCCTACTGTGGAGAAAAGACTGCAACATGGCAGGACAGGAACAGGGGACCAATTTCAATTGTCCAGATGAGAGATGGACTGAAATGCTAGTGGTGAGAGAGGACATTGAAAGATTTGGACATATTTTGACATAGAACCCATGAAATTAGCTGACAGCTTTGGATACAGGATAAGAGAGAAAGAAGATAGGACACACATGGTTTTTGTTTTTGTTTTTTTTAATTATACTTTAAGTTTTAGGGTACATGTGCACAATGTGCAGGTTAGTTACATATGTGGTTTTTAACGTAAACACTTGAGGAAGGCAGGAGCCACTTGTGGAGGAGGAGACTGAGGGAAAGACAAGCAGCAATGATCAAGAGCTCAGTTTGGATGCATGAAGCTGCAGAAGACTAGAGATCCCGGGAAGGTGTCAAGAAACCAGTCGCTTGTAAGAGTCAGGCATTACAGGGGAGGCGTTTGGAATGGAAATACAATTTAGGACTTGTCAGTATATTAAAAGCCTCGTCAGTATATTTCTTCATGCATTATTTCAGCTGTATTTATTGCAGTAGGAAGAACAAGTATTTCCCATGGTCATATGCACCTTTTTTTCTTCACTACTAAGAAACCTCAAAAGAGGCATTTAAGCACTTTCCATTACACTAATTAACATTTTGAGAGATACTGCACTGAATAGTACATGATTTTAGGTCAGTTAAAAAAGATTGCAGACATTTTTATTGTCTTTTTCAAAGCATAATGGCTTCAACTCTTGCTAGCCAGTATATCAAGATGTAACACAGTTAGGTGAGGGGTGTCATTAATGATTATGGCTGTAATTTGTGTTTATACATCTACTGAGCAACTTCACTGAAAAGGAGATAGTTCTGAAAGCAAAACTGTCACTGCGGCCTTTTCTCTTGTTTACTCATGCTTGCCTTATCATTACATTCAACCCACCCTCTCTTTGCTGACATCGTCTTAAACCATGTGTCCATTTTGCAGTGACTTGCTGAGTTAAGACCAGACAACATCATCCATAAATCCACTTTGCCTGACACGTATAAACTGCCATCCATCATTGCAATGTGCAACAAGGGAAAGGTGGCACCCTCAACCTCTTGTGGAATGTTGTTTTTCTCAGGACACTCCCCTTCCCTAACAAGAAATGGGACCACTATTCACTCCACATGAAGGTGCCAGTGCCTGTCCATGCATTATACTTTAGCAGACTTTAGAGCTTAGTGTCTTTCTAACTTTTTAGGGAAAATAAACAGAACTTACAATATTTCCTTTTTTTCTTTTTTTTTTTTTTTGGAAACAGGGTCTTACTCTGTCACCCAGGCTGGAGTGCAGTGGCATAATCTTGGCTCACTGCAGCCCCAACATCCCCGGCTCAAGCAATCCTCCCGCCTCAGCCTCCTAAGTAGCTGGGACCACAGGTATGCACCACCATGCCTGGCTAATTTTTGCACTTTTTGTAGAGATGATACAATATTTTCTTCCACATATCAGTGAATCACCTTGTGCATCCTTTGGAGCCCACATTCAGGGCTCACCCTCTGATCTAGTCCTTTTCACTGTCAAAGAAGGTGACAAATAAAGCTGCTACCATGTCAGAATGAGGATTGGCCCCAGCTCCTGGGCAAACAGAATTCCTAGAAGAATGAAAGATCAAGTTGAGTTCCTACGCTTGAAAAAGAAAACATTAAAAAGCAATTGTCTCTTGTTAAACTTTAAAGGCTTTCCTATAGACTATTAACCAATGAAAACTGTGCTAATTTTCTTTCCTGGGGCAATTGCTATTAAGTTGTTTTTGTAGGCTGGTCAAAACCTAACTGAGAAAAAGTTTATTTTTACCTGTCTTTGTGGCCTTCTTAGTAAAATTGGCTATTCAAAGTGGATTAGGAACCTGAACTTCTTTCCTTAGGAAAGTTTCACACCAAATGTAAAAAAGAGAGAATGATTTAGAAATTAAGTTTTATTTTTTATTTAATACTCTATCTGAAACTGAAAACTTTGAGTTTTACTTAGCAACAAAATAGGCAACATTCCCTCTTCAGAAACACTAAGTCAACATAAGGTAAAAGACCTTCATTTCTCAGTAAAACTGAGATTTGAGGTGGCGGCAGGAATGTGAATGACCCTCGTAAATTTTCTAGCTCCAAATTACTTGGCTGCTAATCAACATAGGCAGGTCCCTAAATATAGGACCATATTTCTAAAACATCCCTTTCTCTTATTATTCACAGAAACCCAAACTGCAGAACATGTTCAGTGAAGCAACCAGAGCTAAATCATTTGAAATGCATTAGCCAGTACTCGCCGCAAATTAATTTAACACCAGTCACATGTGTCTGGGTGATTTTCCCCTGAAAGGTGGCGTGAGTTGATTGGACCCCAGGAGGAACGCTGCGCTGAATGGCTCAAGATTTACTACTAACCACACACTGCACAGAGAAGGCTGCGTGTTACCAAGGCCTCCATGGAATTAGGGGGAACTGCCAACAAACCAGTGCAGAGCCTGCAAATGTCAGATAGAAGGAGGATGAGACATGATTTGGATATTTTTCCAAGAAGGAAAGACTCAGTTCATTTAGAAGAGTTTCCTTAAGGATAAAGGAAGTATCCAGAACCTACTCTAAGAAAGGGAAATGGCTTCATGCTTTCCTCTCCCATTCCCATACCTGCAGGAAAATCAGATTTCCTCATGGTCCTGTCGTTTTCTCAGGCCTGAGAGGAGGGACACTTCACCACCGCCCCCCTCCCCACCCCCGCCCCAATCTCAGTGGGTTTAGCAAGACAAGAAGCAGACTCCAGCTTTGGAGAGATGGGTAGGAGACGCATTTGGCCTGGTTCAGCTACTACTTTAGATGTAGATCTTGAACAAGTTTCAAAAATGAATGAAAGTAGCTTTTTATGAATCTGGGCCCGATCTCCCGATTGCCCCTCCAGAGCAGCTCCCTGCCCTTCCCTGCCCCTGAAGGCTGACCTGTGAGCCCCTTTGGGCTGCTGATGGACCTGTGCTCCCACCCTGGCTCAAAAAGCAAAGAAAAGGGAGTGGCTATCAGAAAATGGAAGAAGAGAGTAAAGAAGACAGTGCTGGCTTGAGAGAAGCAGTGGCTTCAGGTAAAAGGCTACTGCCAGCGATATGGACGGGAGACAGAGAAATGCTAGAAGAGGGCGGTTCCCCAACAAAGGCCCCACCCACAAGCCTGGACACCTGTGGCCCTAAATGAGAACAGGCATTCCTGTTTTTGCACCCAAAAAGTGGTCTTTTGGTATGCCACACCCCCTATCCTATACCCATATAAACCCTGAACCCCAGGCTCCAGCTCAGACCAGCAGAGGAGGAGACGAGACAAGCAGACAATGCAGAACAGTGCAGCAGAGAGAACTCGAGAGGAATTCAGCCAGGGTGGTCAGAGAGGAGTTTGGCTGCTGGACAGCCCACTCCAAGGGAAGATCATCTTCCTACTCCATCTCCCCTCCTTCCAGCTCCCTATCCATCCTGCCGAGAGCCACCTCCACCGTGCATTAAAACCTCGCATTCATCCTTCAAGCCTGTGTGTGACCCGATGCTTCCGGGACGCTGGGCAAGAGCTCAGGATACAGAAAGCTGTCACACTGGCCCTCTGCCCTTGAGAAAAGGCAGAGGGTCCATTGAGCTGTTTAACACTTAAAGCCATCTGCGGATGGCAGGGCTAAGAGAATATTGTAACATTGGGGTTGCAGGCACCCACCCCAAGACACTACCATGGGGCCAGAGCCCAAAGCACCCACCCCAGCCTCTGCACCTGCCCATCTGAGTGCTCCCCCTCCCGCAAGGGGTTTGAGGCAACGGAGCAGGTCTCCTGGGAGGGGGATCAGGGAACTCTCCCATTTAACCAGCCCACAGACATGAAGACACCATGGGGAGTGTGGGGAGAGCCACGAGATGTGTACCATGACTGCCTCATCTTTCCACCCTCTGATCTCCTGTTGAGGGTTCCCACTGATCAAATCCAAGAAGCCAGAGGGGAAGAGAGTTCCTCAATGTAGTCAGCGTCCTGGAGCAAAGAGAGGAGAGGAGATGATCCAGGAGCAAATAGGAGACAACCAGCACAGTTCCCAAATGTGAGAAACTGACTACAGCAGAATCGACTTGAGGCACATTTTAAATATACACATGAATTCCTCAGACTCCCCCACTCCCAATTTCAGAGTATGTCAGGGGTGGGACCTAAATAATTTACGTTAAAAAAAAAAAATCTTGGCCAGGCACAGTGACTCATGCCTGTAATCCCAGCACTTTGGGAGGCCGAGGCAGGCAGATCACCTGATGTCGGGAGTTTGAGACAAGCCTGACCAACATGGAGAAACCCCCTCTCTACTAAAAATACAAAAATTAGCCGGGTGTGGTGGCGCATGCCTGTAATCCCAGCTACTCGGGAGGCTGAGGCAGGAGAATCGTTTGAACCGGGAGGCAGAGGTTGCGGTGAGCCGAGATTGCGCCATTGCACTCCGGGCTGGGCAACAAGAAAGAAACTCCCCCCCCACAAACAAATAAAAATAAAATAAATCTTAAATGATTCCAAAGCACAACCACGTTTGGAATACCTGGCCTTACGAGACACACAAATGACCTTGAAGATTTCAAAGCAGGTCCCACAATCCCTTCTCACCACAAGATTAGGCCCAACAAGACCATATCATCTTAGTTGGGCATAGTGGCTCATGCCTGTAATGCCAGCACTTTGGGAGGTTGAAGCAGATGAATCATCTGAGGTCAGGAGTTCGAGACCAGCCTGGCCAACATGGTAAAATCCCATCTGTACTAAAAATACGAAAAATTAGCCAGGCGTGGTGGCACACACCTGTATTTCCAGCTACTCAGGAGGCTGAGGCAGGAAAATCACTTGAACCCAGGAGGTGGAGGTTGCAGTGAGCCGAGATCATGCCATTGCACTCCATCCTGGGCAACAAGAGTGAAACTCGGTCTGAAAAAAAAAAAAAAAAAGAAGAAAGGAAGGAAGGAAGGAAGGAAGGAAGGAAGGAAGGAAGGAAGGAAGGAAAGAAAGATTCTTCTATAAAGCAAGCAACTGCATTTGGTACTATTCTAGTGTCCTCTCTGGAGTGGCACTTATCAAAGAAAACATTGGGTTACTTTCTGTCCTCAAGCACTAACCCCTAGGACAGCTGAACCTAAGGATACATTTTATACACTTGAACTCATTATTGTCCTTTTACCCCCTGAGTAGAAAATACAATAGCTCCAAAACAAACACCTGATTCCTTGAAAATGCTTCACAGGAAGCCAGCCCCTCAACTTGAAATGGTATCAGGTTACAATGGCTGAAGGAGACTGTATCTCCACAGACACCATTCATTGACAAGGCATGCCATTCAGAAGTTTCACTGAAAGATCATTCTCTCCATTATGATCATTGAAGTGAAGGCAAGAGGGGAAAAAAATTGACAGGCTGAACTCTAGAAACTTGGCTTCAGAAATGCCTATTAATCCAATACAATTCAATACAATAAAACATACAAACTCCTGGTAATCCTCAAGGTGCTCTTAAAATTGAAGTTGATTCTGCGAAAACTGCTTTCACCTACCATCATTAAGGAAAATTCCATTTTAACTCAATTCTGAAAAGGGAGGACATGAAGAAAAGTATCATGTCCAGGAATACAAAACATTGTGAACACTGGGACCCCAGGAAGGCGAAACAGGAGGTCTGTACCTAATCCAGACCTTGCCTTTGCCTGCTGCTACAGGTTCCAGGTCTAGCAACTGCTCATTTTCCTAGGGAATTAAATGGAGAAGATGTCTCATAATTTCCAATCACACAGCACAGTTCAATGGCAAGTTGTTTTCCCACAAAAGTAGTTTTATGGTTAATGCACCCAACCTGAAAAGAAGTTTGGGCAGGAGGTTGCGGGGCAGGGGAATTAAAGCAGAAGATATTTATTTCCTCACACGGCCAGAGTAACAAAAACACTGCATTTAACTGCAGGAGCTGCAAAGTGTAGTTGACCCATGTAGTATATGGGTCCCACAAGCCGTGGCTGGGATTGCTGGACTCCTGAGTCCTGTTCCCTGACAAGTTATTAATCTGCCATGTAAGCTTGAGCCAAGACCCTGAAATGTCTCCTTCTATCAATTTCCCACACGATACATGAAAATAAAAATATACTTACCTTTCAAATCCTATTAGATTCAAAATCCCTTTTTGTACTGGTGTGTCCCACTGTATCCAGTAGATTATGTCCCTAAATGCACTGAAATGCTGCTTACAAGGAATAAGAAATCAAATGGTTGACAAGTGGTGTTTTAACTACTCTCAGGCAGGTGACTTTAAAAGCACTCATTTACAAGAGTGGCTAAGAGGTCAGGTGCTAGAGACAGAGAGTTCTCTTTTCTTACTGTAACAAGAAAATTTTTTTGATAGATTAACCAACATTTTCTCCTTTCCCCTTAATTCCTATGATCCCATGAGACTTCTCCTCTGTGTGCCAGGACCTTCTGCATTTAGCACTGTATCAATGACAGTTTATTGAACAAGGATGCATGTTCCCACCCCACCATAATGTGAAGATGTTGCTGGGAAGTCACTGCCCAGCCAGGGGTGGACTGCCTCTCCCACCCACCTTGAGCTAGGCAGAGGCCATGAGACTGAGTTCTGGCCAGAGCAATGTGGGTAAAAATGATACACGCTTCTTCAGGACCATCTGCAGGATCATTAGCAAGACAAGGAACAGAATAGGATGCTTCATTCAACAGGAAGACTCCTTAAGTCAATTCAGGAAAATAGACATGGCCCTCCTTTCCTGTGAGTCCTTCAGCATCACATACTTCCTGAGAATCTGTGTAACTGCTTCCCTGACAAAAACTTGGCCTGTGCCTCCTTAAAAATCAAGCTACGCATCTATTGCCTGCCTACAATATGCCAAGATCTTTCACATACAAACACAAAATCTAATTTTTAAGAAAGGAAGAATTATCTCCACTTAACAGAGGAGAAAACTAGGGTCAAAAAGATGCAAGCGACTTGTCCAGCGTCGTTCACATAGAATTCATTAGCACTGAGGTTTGAAACCAGGGTTTCTGGCTCCAATACAGTGATGTTCACACCATTTCACAGCTTCCTCTTCTGGACAGTGTGCTCAAAGGAACCCCTAGCTCTCAATTGCTGTCACACTCAACCTTAGGCATTCTATACAAAATCTGAGGATGACAAATTGTAACCCACCTGTCTCTAAGGGGCAGCTTACTAAGATTCTGAGGAAAAAGAAAAGTTTTTTCTAAATTGTTTGATCTACATGAATGCATAGGCTGCAGGGTCCGACCATCTGTACTCCATTATCCTTGTGTAACTGACCACTGCCAGGTGTCATGCCAGCCAGCATGGATTAATTAGTTAGTATAAACCAAATCCAATGCAATTAATCATGCGAACTTGAACCCTTAATGTCCAATACTGCTAAAAACATGCCTTAAACTCAGGACACTATAAAGAATGACCAAAATAGAGATAGAAATAAGGCTTTGGATGTATGTGATTCAT
The DNA here is from genome assembly GCF_000001405.40 of Homo sapiens. Classification (NCBI taxonomy): domain Eukaryota; kingdom Metazoa; phylum Chordata; class Mammalia; order Primates; family Hominidae; genus Homo; species Homo sapiens. The sequence goes on along the minus strand of NC_000013.11, from coordinate 45,676,193 downwards.
GTTTGAATCAAGCTTGATACCCATTTGCCCCCCAGGGACTCTCTCTCAACTTGCTATTGCTATCAATGAAAAATTTATGTGGCCCGAACACATATGGATTTCAGATCATGTGACCCACCATAGAAGAACCTCAGACAACCCTCCTGTGAACCCTTCCCTTTGGTTGTTCCAACCAATTAGGCCAATACATTCCAGACCTATCCGCAAGAGATACAAGGAGTTCAATGCCGAGGTTACCATGGCAGCCCCCCAATGACCCCCTTGAGAAGGGCTTCCATTTGCCAACCCCATCCCCTCCATTACGGGACTACAACACATTTATCACCTTAGCTTCCCAAGTGGGCTTCCAGATTGTCTTTGCTATTGATTGTTTTAGCAATTTAGGTAAGGAATTAGAGTGATGGGTTGGCAACTTCCTGTGTGCTTCTTTCTTCACTTCTTAAAGTTTGGTGCTAATTTAATCCATGTAAGAACGCTGTGTTGCTTGGGTGCCCTGATGGTGATTCAAGAGCTGGCTATTTATCTGCAAGACTTATCAAAACTCACTGACTGTGCCTATGTCCCCGGCTGATGTAAGATGCAAGATCAGGTGCCAGGCCGGGCGCGGTGGCTCACGCCTGTAATCCCAGCACTTTGGGAGGCCGAGGCGGGCGGATCACGAGGTCAGGAGATTGAAACCATCCTGGCTAACACGGTGAAACCCCATCTCTACTAAAAATAAAAAAACAAAATTAGCTGGGCGCGGTGGTGGACGCCTGTAGTCCCAGCTACTCGGGAGGCTGAGGCAGGAGAATGGCGTGAACCTGGGAGGCGGAGCTTGCAGCTAGCCGAGATCACGCCACTGCACTCCAGCCTGGGTGACAGAGCGAGACTCCATCTCAAAAAAAAAAAAAGATCAGGCACCAAAACCTTGTTCAGTCAAAAGCAAAGACTGTGAACAAATAAAGGAGCCAGCAAGACAGAAAATGCCAAAGCCAGGGAAGAAAAGCTTTGCATTGTTCTCCGAAGGATCACAGAGCTGGATTTGAGAGTCAGTGGGAAGGAGGGAATTGCACTTCTGTCAAGGGAAACCACATACCACAAGCATTTACCTCCTGCAATTCAACTCCCATGGCAGCATGCCAGTTTATCCCAAGGCATTATCACTCAAATATGTTCAACCAAGGAAAGCCAAAAACAGGGATAAATGATCCTCACAGGAAACCAAATGCCAGCAAGCAGCTCCCTTCCCCCACTCCTCCTCTCTCCCTTCTTTCTCTTCCTCTTCCTCCTCTTCCTTCTCTTCCTTCTTCTTCCTCCTAATGCTTTTTGGGTGATTCTGAAAACTTTCATTCCCTGGGCTGGAGTGATTTACCACACTATGAATTCTAATTTTAACCCCACCCGCAACTTATGGGTGACTGAAAAAAGCCACTGGGCCCCAATTAATTTCTTCAACCTCCTTACCCCCAAAAGAGAGATTGCCAAGGAGTTTTGCTGAAGACTTGACCATCTGAGAAATGGCCACTTACTTAGACTTGAGCCAAAGCCTCTCAATCTAAGGAAGTGTTTCCTAACCTGATTTTCATTATTGCACCACCCCCTCAGTGGCCTTTTTAGATTTTTTTTCCTAATTGCCCCCATCTATAAAATTTTAATACCACAGATATATAGATACTGTGTTTCAATTTGTGCATTCTATGTATATTTGTAATTTATACGTAAAAATAGTAAGACTTTTTTGGCCCCCAAGGACTAATTTTTGCCCTTTGGGAGAAAATATATAGGCTTAAATTCACACACAAAGTGTGACTGATATAGCAAGGCATGTCCTGTTGAGTGGAGACAATTGAGAGCCTAGTAAATGGTAAAAGGAAACAACTAGGAGAAAAAGAGTACAGCAGAAGCAGGGGGACCCAAGACCCGTTTATATATTTTATGATATTGTCAAGGACTGGACTTGAAGCTAGGCCTTACAGACCCAGTAGAGTCTATTTATTGATGAAAAGCATAAATATCACCTCCAATTGCTGAAACTACTGCCTTCCCCACAATTTAACAGGATCAGTCTTTAAAGGAAATATTATGCCAGGACTGATTTTAACTAATGAAAAAGGGCTTTATCAGAACAAAGCCCTTTCCTCTGCCCCTTCATCCCCACCATGGGACACCCAGTTGTGCTGTGTCCCTTCAGCTGTCCAGCAGTTCAACACCAGCCTCAACCCCCTCTGCAGTGCTCTGTGCTAGTCAGTCTATTACAGTGTTCTGTAATTAGCCAAGAGTAATTTAGACCCATATTTGTATTCCTCATCTCCCTGATTTTCTAAATTATGTGAAGGTGTTAAAACACAAACACACAGAGAGACAGAGAGATAGAGAGAGAAAGAGAGAGACTTAGCAGCAATTAACTGCAATGCTTTTAAAGCTTAGTTTTCATTTCATAGTTCTTTACGAGTCAGAAAAAAAAATACGAATAGCTACTAAAATCAAGTTTTATTTTACCGCTGGTTAAAAAAGCAGCAAGTGGCTTGAGAGGCACTATTATCTAAAGCAACATTTATGAATATTTTCCTTTTCTGCCTCATTTCTAGCTGTCAGCATTTCTTAGGCACACAAATACCATGGATGAAAATATATTTGGGAAAGATTGAGCCGAGGTGAGCATTGCTTATTGCTGTTTGAATGTATCCCCAAAGTTCACGTGTTGGATGTTGAAAACTTAGTCTTCGATACAACAAGGTAGAGCGGTGGCACCTTTAAGGTGGTTAGCTCGTGAATAGATTAATGCTGTTGTCTCAGGAGTACCCAGGGTTAGTTATCTGAGGAGTAAATTAGTTATCACAAAGTGGGTTCCTGATAAAAAGATGAGTTTGACCCCCTTCCTTCTCTCATGTTCTTTTGTCCTTCTGTCCACCACCGTGGGATGATGCAGCAAGAAGGCCCTCACCAGAGGCCACCACCTTGATGTTGGACTTCATAGCCTCCAGAATTGTGAGAAATAAATTTGTTTCTTTATAAATTTCCCAGTCTGTCGTATTCTGTTATAGCAACACAAAAAGGACTAAGACACTCACAAAGATAGTGTAGGAAAGAATACTCAAGGTCTCTGACCACTTTTGGAATACCAGCATTTTATTTTCGACAATGCTTAAGTTTAGGACAGTTAGTGACATCCTCATTTATTTTCTAGAACTGAAGACGCTGAGCCTCTAAAAATGCAACCCTCAAAAGGGTTATTCTCAGATAGCTGAGAGTAAACAGTACAAGTAAGAAAGATGGAATCACTCAGCTGTCAAACACTTGTTGAAAGGGCCCTTAATTTACAGGAAGCTTGTAGACCTGGTTATTTTTGGCAACAGTGAGCATAGGACCCTCTCTGGAATTTAGTATTTACTTGGGGATCTGAGCTTGCCCCTGGGGTACATGTTGAGATTACTACTCTCAAAGCTCAGCTGAGGATTCCAGACATCCAAGCAATACTGCAAGTCAGGGAGAAGACTGAGATGGCTGATGTAAGAAGAATCTACTTCATCATCTAATATTACAGAAAGATGGAGGCTGACATCTGGGAAGAATGTTCCCTCCACCACTTGCAGACACTAAGTGGCCACTTAAAGGTTTCTGTTCCCATTGTTCCTTTTAAGGAAGCCCTTGATGCCAATTTTAACCACATTTCACCTTCCACTTTTTTTTTTCATGGAAACTGCTCATTTATTAGCATTGGCACTATTTGACATAACAAGTTTCTGGTAAATATGCTGAGTTGCTTGGCAGTGACAGAACAAGGCAAGGTTCAGATGCACAAACAGCAGACTTCTGCTACTTCCATTGGTTCTTGTTGTAGTACCAGTTGGCAGAGAAGTCCTAGATGGGACTGACTTCATGTCTAGCATCCTCTTGGTCTGCATGCCCACACTCTTCATCAAAGCCGTGTGGGATGAGACCATACACAGTGTTTCTCCCGGATCAGAACAAGAGCTGTGAAGCCAAAGAACATGGCAGTGCCCACAACCATCTTCCACTTTTTCATGCCCCTGTTTATCCCAGAAAAGCTCCTGTTGAACTGAATGCAACACAACTCAACTTTTTCATCCATGGAGAGGTTGCTCCAGGAGGCTTTCTCCTTCTCCTTCAAGTCCTCCTGGCTGGCAGACAAAGGGCTTAAATAGGCCACATCAGGCAAGGGAGTGAGCAGCCACTCTTTGTGATTGGCCTTAGATTGCTTCAAAAGATACAAAATTAGGCCAGGCGTAGTGGCTTATGCCTGTAATCCCAGCACTTTGGGAGGCTGAGGCAGGCGGGTCACTTGAGACCAGTAGTTCAAGACCAGCCTGGCCAACATGGTGAAACCCCGTCTCTACTAAAAATACAAAAACTTAGCTGGGTGCGGTGGCAGGCACCTATAGTCCCAGCTACTTGGGAGGCTGAGACAGGAGAATCGCTTGAACCTAGGAGGCGGAGGGTGCAGTGAGCCAAGATCATACCTATTGCACTCCAGCCTGGGCGACAGAGTGAGATTCCATCTCAAAACAAAACAAAAAACAAAAAGATACAAAATTAATCTTTATTCTTGGGCTAGCTTGTCCACTTGAGCTCACACACCTAAAATCCCCTTGCTCATAGCGTATTTCATTTTATCAGATAGAGACATTCACAAGTCATCATGTTTGCCTTTTATCCTTGGCTGCCAGGAATCTCAAAGCCCAGTGTTACGCTTAAGTGCAGTAACTGTCTTTAGTGCACAGTTTTTACCACCATCCACCAACTCCCCGTCCTATATCCATTACCCAGTATTTGGCCTTTGTTCTTCTATCATCCTTGGATATACTTTTACAATAGGCCGCCCTACAGCTTTTTTGGTGAAAATACAAATAAAAGAAAAAGAGCTAAATTATCTTTAAATGACTTTGCATTTTGGAGCAGCAAAAGTCTTTGGGATACCCCTGTGTTGAGATCCTTATTGAGAAAGGCTGCTCTGGAGGCGATGCGCTTTAACAGGGTAACTAATACAGCACATCAGAAGTCATAAAACCTCTACATGTAATGTGCCCCACATGAACTGAAAGTCATCTCTGCCTCCGTTGGTGAAGTTCCCCATCTATAAAATGATGACAATGCTTGCTCCTTCTCTCTGTTACACTCGTGTTATGAGGATCAATGGGACAGCAACTATAAAGTGCTTTGAGCTCCTCAGGGGACAGTGCTCTATAACTATAACTACTATTATTGACAGCAGCAAGGAACTGCTGTAGGCTTTTCAAGAAATAGTTTCTTGTTCTCTGTGCCTACCACAGCTCTGCAGAGGTGACTGGAGCAGCCAGTGGGCTTGCATGCGGGAGCCTTCCTTTAGCTAGGGAACATACTTGCCACTAGTTCAATAAACGTCCAAAGCTCCAACACAAAAAGAGTGCTCAAAATGCAGAAAAGTTCAAAAAATGCTGAAAACAACACACTGTCACTATTGCCATTAAAGGAATATTTGACGCACCCACCAGTACATCAGTGTAAACTGGCATATTGTAGGGACAGCTGGCAGCAGGTGGCATAGGGCCCGGATCAGTACAGCTAGTCTACACAAAGATAATCCTTTTCCTAGTTAGAATATTCTTGTATAGGATTCCATTCTTTGCATTGTAAAAAAAAAAAAAAAAATGATGCCCACATTCATCAAGCTGTCTTTTTATAACCCTTTTGGACCACCTCTGGAAGCCTGAATTATCTCAAGGAAATGCCCAGGCTCATGTCCATAACTTTGCCACTCTGCCTCCTGACTGTGACTCCTCTCCTTTCTCTTATCTGAGCTGCTGCAACATCATTTTCAGCTGGCAAATTCCTCCTTTGGACAGCTCTGATTTGTCCCCAGTCTGAAATATTTCTCTTTGCAACTGACAGAATTTTGTATTTCAAAAGCATCATATCTTCTAATTCCTTCTCTAGTCCCTCTGTTTTGAATATTTTCTTCCAAGTCTTTTCTAAACCTACAGAATGCCAGGGAACTGCCAGCCAAGATGGCCGAATAGGAACAGCTCCGGTCTACAGCTCCCAGCGTGAGCGACGCAGAAGACGGGTGATTTCTGCATTTCCATGTGAGGTACCGGGTTCATCTCACTAGGGAGTGCCAGACAGTGGGTGCAGGACAGTGGGTGCAGCGCACCGTGCGTGAGCCGAAGCAGGGCGAGGCATTGCCTCACTCGGGAAGCACAAGGGGTCAGGGAGTTCCTTTTCCTAGTCAAAGAAAGGGGTGACAGATGGCACCTGGAAAATCGGGTCACTCCCACCCTAATACTGCGCTTTTCCGACAGGCTTAAAAAACGGCGCACCAGGAGATTATATCACGCACCTGCCTCGGAGGGTCCTACGCCCACGAAGTCTCACTGATTGCTAGCACAGCAGTCTGAGATCAAACTGCAAGGCGGCAGTGAGGCTGGGGGAGGGGCGCCCGCCATTGCCCAGGCTTGCTTAGGTAAACAAAGCAGCCAGGAAGCTCGAACTGGGTGGAGCCCACCACAGCTCAAGGAGGCCTGCCTGCCTCTGTAGGCTCCACCTCTGGGGGCAGGGCACAGACAAACAAAAAGACAGCAGTAACCTCTGCAGACTTAAATGTCCCTGTCTAATAGCTTTGAAGAGAGCAGTGGTTCTCCCAGCACGCAGCTGGAGATCTGAGAATGGGCAGACTGCCTCCTCAAGTGGGTCCCTGACCCCTGACCCCCGAGCAGCCTAACTGGGAGGCACCCCCCAGTAGGGGCAGACTGACACCACACAGGGCCAGGTACTCCTCTGAGACAAAACTTCCAGAGGAACGATCAGACAGCAGCATTCGCAGTTCATGAAAATCCGCTGTTCTGCAGCCACTGCTGCTGGTACCCAGGCAAACAGGGTCTGGAGTGGACCTCTAGCAAACTCCAACAGACCTGCAGCTGAGGGTCCTGTCTCTTAGAAGGAAAACTAACAAACAGAAAGGACATCCACACCAAAAACCCATCTGTACATCACCATCATCAAAGACCAAAAGTAGATAAAACCACAAAGATGGGGAAAAAACAGAGCAGAAAAACTGGAAACTCTAGAAAGCAGAGCACCTCTCCTCCTCCAAAGGAACGCAGTTCCTCACCAGCAACGGAACAAAGCTGGACGGAGAATGATTTTGATGAGTTGAGAGAAGAAGGCTTCAGACGATCAAACTACTCCGAGCTACAGGAGGAAATTCAAACCAAAGGCAAAGAAGTTAAAAACTTTGAAAAAAATTTAGACGAATGTATAACTAGAATAACCAATACAGAGACGTGCTTAAAGGAGCTGATGGAGCTGAAAGCCAAGGCTCGAGAACTATGTGAAGAATGCAGAAGCCTCAGGAGCCGATGCAATCAACTGGAAGAAAGGGTATCAGTGATGGAAGATGAAATGAATGAAATGAAGCAACAAGGGAAGTTTAGAGAAAAAAGAATAAAAAGAAACGAACAAAGCCTCCAAGAAATATGGGACTATGTGAAAAGACCAAATCTACGTCTGATTGGTGTACCTGAAAGTGACGGGGAGAATGAACCCAAGTTGGAAAACACTCTGCAGGATATTATCCAGGAGAACTTCCCCAATCTAGCAAGGCAGGCCAACATTCAGATTCAGGAAATACAGAGAACACCACAAAGATACTCCTCAAGAAGAGCAACTCCAAGACACATAATTGTCAGATTCACCAAAGCTGAAATGAAGGGAAAAATGTTAAGGGCAGCGAGAGAGAAAGGTCGGGTTACCCATAAAGGGAAGCCCATCAGACTATCAGCGGATCTCTCAGCAGAAATTCTACAAGCCAGAAGACAATGGGGGCCAATATTCAACATTCTTAAAGAAAAGAATTTTCAACCCAGAATTTCGTATCCAGCCAAAATAAGCTTCCTAAGTGAAGGAGAAATAAAATACTTTACAGACAAGCAAATGCTGAGAGATTTTGTCACACCACCAGGCCTGCCCTAAAAGAGTTCCTGAAGGAAGCGCTAAACATGGAAAGGAACAACCGGTACCAGCCACTGCAAAATCATGCCAAATTGTAAAGACCATCGAGGCTAGGAAGAAACTGCATCAACTAACGAGCAAAATACCCAGCTAACATCATAATGACAGGCTCAAATTCACACATAACAATATTAACTTTAAATGTAAATGGACTAAATGCTCCAATTAAAAGACACAGACTGGCAAATTGGATAAAGAGTCAAGACCCATCTGTGTGCTGTATTCAGGAAACCCATCTCATGTGCAGAGACACACATAGGCTCAAAATAAAAGGATAGAGGAAGATCTACCAAGCAAATGGAAAACAAAAAAAGGCAGGGGTTGCAATCCTAGTCTCTGATAAAACAGACTTTAAACCAACAAAGATCAAAAGAGACAAAGAAGGCCATTACATAATGGTAAAGGGATCAATTCAACAAGAAGAGCTAACTATCCTAAATATATATGCACCCAATACAGGAGCACCCAGATTCATAAAGCAAGTCCTGAGTGACCTACAAAGAGACTTCGACTCCCACACAATAATAATGGGAGACTTTAACACCCCACTGTCAACATTAGACAGATCAACGAGACAGAAAGTTAACAAGGATGCCCAGGAATTGAACTCAGCTCTGCACCAAGCGGACCTAATAGACATCTACAGAACTCTCCACCCCAAATCAACAGAATATACATTTTTTTCAGCACCACACCACACCTATTCCAAAATTGACCACATACTTGGAAGTAAAGCTTTCCTCAGCAAATGTAAAAGAACAGAAATTATAACAAACTGTCTCTCAGACCACATTGCAATCAAACTAGAACTTAGGATTAAGAAACTCACTCAAAACTGCTCAACTACATGGAAACTGAACAAACTGCTCCTGAACGACTACTGGGTACATAACGAAATGAAGGCAGAAATAAAGATGTTCTTTGAAACCAATGAGAACAAAGACACAACATACCAGAATCTCTGGGACACATTCAAAGCAGTGTGTAGAGGGAAATTTATAGCACTAAATGCCCACAAGAGAAAGCAGGAAAGATCCAAATTTGACACCCTAACATCACAATTAAAAGAACTAGAAAAGCAAGAGCAAACACATTCAAAAGCTAGCAGAAGGCAAGAAATAACTAAAATCAGAGCAGAACTGAAGGAAATAGAGAAACAAAAAACCCTTCAAAAAATTATTGAATCCAGGAGCTGGTTTTTTGAAAGGATCAACAAAATTGATAGACCACTAGCAAGACTAATAAAGAAGAAAAGAGAGAAGAATCAAATAGACACAATAAAAAATGATAAAGGGGATATCACCACTGATCCCACAGAAGTACAAACTACCATCAGAGATAACTACAAACACCTCTATGCAAATAAACTGGAAAATCTAGAAGAAATGGATAAATTCCTCGACACATACGCCCTCCCAAGACTAAACCAGGAAGAAGGTGAATCTCTGAATAGACCAATAACAGGCTCTGAAATTGTGGCAATAATCAATAGCTTACCAATCAAAAAGAGTCCAGGACCAGATGGATTCACAGACAAATTCTACCAGAGGTACAAGGAGGAACTGGTACCATTCCTTCTGAAACTATTCCAATCAATAGAAAAAGAGGGAATCCTCCCTAACTCATTTTACGAGGCCAGCATCATCCTGATACCAAAGCCAGGCAGAGACACAACAAAAAAAGAGAATTTTAGACCAATATCCTTGATGAACATTGATGCAAAAATCCTCAATAAAATACTGGCAAACCAAATCCAGCAGCACATCAAAAAGCTTATCCACCATGATCAAGTGGGCTTCATCCCTGGGATGCAAGGCTGGTTCAATATACGCAAATCAATAAATGTAATCCAGCATATAAACAGAACCAAAGACAAAAACCACATCATTATCTCAATAGATGCAGAAAAGGCCTTTGACAAAATTCAACAACCTTCATGCTAAAAACTCTCAATAAATTAGGTATTGATGGGACGTATCTCAAAATAATAAGAGCTATCTATGAGAAACCCACAGCCAATATCATACTGAATGGGCAAAAACTGGAAGCATTCCCTTTGAAAACTGGCACAAGACAGGGTTGCCCTCTCTCACCACTCCTATTCAACATAGTGTTGGAAGTTCTGGCCAGGGCAATTAGGCAAGAGAAGGAAATAAAGGGTATTCAATTAGGAAAAGAGGAAGTCAAATTGTCCCTGTTTGCAGATGACATGATTGTATATCTAGAAAACCCCATGGTCTCAGCCCAAAATCTCCTTAAGCTGATAAGCAACTTCAGCAAAGTCTCAGGATACAAAATCAATGCACAAAAATCACAAGCATTCTTATACACCAACAACAGACAAACAGAGAGCCAAATCATGAGTGAACTCCCATTCACAATTGCTTCAAAGAGAATAAAATACCTAGGAATCCAACTTACAGGGGATATGAAGGACCTCTTCAAGGAGAACTACAAACCACCGCTCAATGAAATAAAAGAGGATACAAAGAAATGGAAGAACATTCCATGCTCATGGGTAGGAAGAATCAATATCATGAAAATGGCCATACTGCCCAAGGTAATTTATAGATTCAATGCCATCCCCATCAAGCTACCAATGACTTTCTTCACAGAATTGGAAAAAACTACTTTAAAGTTCATATGGAACCAAAAAAGAAGCCGCATCACCAAGTCAATCCTAAGCCAAAAGAACAAAGCTGGAGGCATCACGCTACCTGACTTCAGACTATACTACAAGGCTACAGTAACCAAAACAGCATGGTACTGGTACCAAAACAGAGATATAGACCAATGGAACAGAACAGAGCCCTCAGAAATAACGCTGTATATCTACAACTATCTGATCTTGGACAAATCTGAGAAAAACAAGCAATGGGGAAAGGATTCCCTATTTAATAAATGGTGCTGGGAAAACTGGCCAGCCATATGTAGAAAGCTGAAACTGGATCCCTTCCTTACACCTTATACAAAAATTAATTCAAAATGTATTAAAGACTTAAACGTTAGACCTAAAACCATAAAAACCCTAGAAGAAAACCTAGGCATTACCATTCAGGACACAGGCATGGGCAAGGACTTCATGTCTAAAACACCAAAAGCAATGGCAACAAAAGCCAAAATTGACAAATGGGATCTAATTAAACTAAAGAGCTTCTGCACAGCAAAAGAAACTACCATCAGAGTGAACAGGCAACCTACAAAATGGGAGAAAATTTTTGCAACCTACTCATCTGACAAAGGGCTAATATCCAGAATCTACAATGAACTCAAACAAATTTACAAGGAAAAAAACAAATAACCCCATCAAAAAGTGGGTGTAGGACATGAACAGACACTTCTCAAAAGAAGACATTTATGCAGCCAAAAAACACATGAAAAAATGCTCACCATCACTGGCCATCAGAGAAATGCAAATCAAAACCACAATGAGATACCATCTCACACCAGTTAGAATGGCAATCATTAAAAAGTCAGGAAATAACAGGTGCTGGAGAGGATGTGGAGAAATAGGAACACTTTTACATTGTTGTTGGGACTGTAAACTAGTTCAACCATTGTGGAAGTCAGTGTGGCGATTCCTCAAGGATCTAGAACTAGAAATACCATTTGACCCAGCCATCCCATTACTGGGTATATACCCAAAGGACTATAAATCATGCTGCTATAAAGACACATGCACACGTATGTTTATTGTGGCACTATTCACAATAGCAAAGACTTGGAACCAACCCAAATGTCCAACAATGATAGACTGGATTAAGAAAATGTGGCACATATACACCATGGAATACTATGCAGCCATAAAAAATGATGAGTTCATGTCCTTTGTAGGGACATGGATGAAATTGGAAATCATCATTCTCAGTAAACTATCGCAAGAACAAAAAACCAAACACCGCATATTCTCACTCATAGGTGGGAATTGAACAATGAGAACACATGGACACAGGAAGGGGAACATCACACTCTGGGGACTGTTGTGGGGTGGGGGGAGGGGGGAGGGATAGCATTAGGAGATATACCTAATGCTAAATGACGAGTTAATGGGTGCAGCACACCAGCATGGCACATGTATACATATGTAACTAACCTGCACATTGTGCACATGTACCCTAAAACTTAAAGTATAATAATAATTTTTTAAAAATAAATAAAAATAAAACTGTAAAAAAAAAAAAAAAAAAAAAATGCCAGGACCAATTGTAAAATCAAACATCATTCACTTGACTCCAGAGAAAGTACATTTTGGCCAGGCACAGTAGCTCATGCCTGTAATCCCAGCACTTTGGGAGGCCGAGGTGGGCAGATCACTTGAGGCCAGGAGTTTCAACCAGCCTGGCCAACATGGAAAAACCCCGTATCTACTAAAAATACAAAAATTATCTAAGTGTGGTGGTATGCACCTGTAGTCCCAGCTATTTGAGAGGCTGAGGCAGGAGAATCACTTGAAGCTGGGAGGTGGAAGTTGCAGTGAGCCAAGATCATGTCACTGCACTCCAGCCTGGGTGACAGAGCAAGACTTTGTCAAAAAAGAAAGAAAGAAAGAGAGAGAGAGAGAGAGAGAGAGAGGGAGAGAGAGAGAGAAAGAAAGAAAGAAAGAAAGAAAGAAAGAAAGAAAGAAAGAAAGAAAGAAAGAAAGAAAGAAAGAAAGAGAAAGAGAAAGAAAGAAGAAAGAAAGAAAGAAAGAAAAGAGAAAGAAAAAGGAAAAGGAAAAGAAAGGAGGGACATTCTGTCTGCTATGTTAAAAATCTGGGCACTCATTAAAAAGTCAGGAAACAACAGATGCTGAAGAGGATGTGGAGAAATAGGAACGCTTTTACACTGTTGGTGGGAGTATAAATTAGTTCAACCATTGTGGAAGACACTGTGACAATTCCTCAAGGATCTAGAACTAGAAATACCATTTGACCCAGCAATCTCATTACTGGGTATATACTCAAAGGATTATAAATCATTCTACTATAAAGACACATGCACATGTATGTTTATTGCAGCACTGTTCACAATAGCAAAGACTTGGAACCAACCCAGATGCCCATCGGTGACAGACTGGGTAAAGAAAATGTGGCACATATACACCATGGAATACTATGCAGCCATAAAAAAGGATGAGTTCATGTCCTTTGCAGAGACATGGATGAAGCTGGAAACCATCATTCTCAACAAACTAATACAAGAACAGAAAACCAAACACTGCATGTTCTCACTCATAAGTGGGAAGTGAACAATGAGAACACATGGACACAGGGAGGGGAACATCACACACCAGGGCCTGTCAGGGGATGGGGGGCTAGGGGAGAGGTAGCATTATGAGAAATACCTAATGTAGATGATGGGTTGATGGGTGCAGCAAATCACCATGGCACATGTATACCTATGTAATAAGCCTGCACATTCTGCACATGTACCCCAGAACTTAAAGTATAAATTAAAAAAATCTGGGCACTCATGGAGTAATGTTGGTATTGTAAACAATGGCTCACCAAAAATTTCAAGAACTAAATGAAATGAGATAGCTTCTAGGTCAGAAGATTATAAAGTCACAGCAAAAAGAATAATAGAAAAAGTATACGTATACGTATATGTTGTTCTGAGATTCACTGGGTGCAAAAGAAAAATATACTGTCCTTAGCAACTTAGCATCCTGCTTCCAGTGTAGCATCAATGAATGCCAGGAAATGAGATTTCAGAATATCTGAAATTCAACTGCAAACTTGCATTAACACTTAGGAAAGAGGAGGAGAACATAAAATGACAAATTTACTTGGAGTCTTGCAGACTCTTTTTTAGCCAAATTGCTGGTTTGAGACAGCTCATCATCTTTGTAAGAACATGAACTGCAGACTTGTCACTTTCCCTGCGCTGCATTAATACAAGCTGAGTGATTATGTGTCTGCCCTCCCCAGTCAGCAGCTGGTTCCTGTTCTCTGCTATGCAGTTAGAGTCAAAGAAAAGTCCTCTCAAGTGGATAATGAAGGACTGTCATCAGGCTCTATGATTGGATAATAATGGAATAAATGTTATTGATGAGCAGCACCTTTGTGCAGGGAATACAAGTCTCACTGACAGAACTTGGTTGAAGGCCCCTCAAGCACAGCATTCAGCTAACAAAATGCTGCTTTTAGTTGTTTCTGTTCCCTAGCCTGTCCTCATGGACTGCCACCTCCTTCTTCCACATAATCAGGCTTATTTCAATTCAGCCAATCACTTAAATTTGGAGCACACCTCCAATGAATGCCCTCCCACATATTCCAAGAAAAATACCGAGATCAGGGTCTATGAACGCTTTGGCATAGGAGTTAGTGTTGATCTGACTCTATCTGCCCACAAGAATATCAATAAATGCTTTGTGAGAAACAATAAATGTATGGAATGATTTATTAAGTACTTAAATTATGGTTTTTTTGTGCCCAGTACTTGGATTATTACATGCCTATAATAGTGTATTTTCATATGGAAACATAATTTAATCAGCACAAGTAACCTATAAGGATATCATTATGTTCATCTGAATAGGTGAAGAAACTGAAACATGGTATGTTATTTGCCCAAAGTCATGCAGCTGGTAAGAGTCTGATTCCAGACTCCATGTGCTTAACTTCTACACTGTGTTGCTCCTGCATGTGAGCAAAGGCCTCCCCTCACAGAACTGCCTCCCTGAAGCCAACATCAAGGCAGCCAGCCACATCTAGGTTGGAGAGACAGGCAATCAGAAGCTTCGTGCGCCCATTAAAATCTCCTTTCTGTTCTCTGTCAGGCCCTTCCCCATCAAATGCTGGCAAAGGGGCATGAAAGACAAAGGACAAGCCAATGCCCTCAAAAACCCATCTTCTTGTCCCAGATAGAATCTCATCTGGAATTGTAATCCCTACATGTCGAGGGGGCGACCTAGTGAGAGGTGACTGGATCACGGGGGTGGTTTCCCCCATGCTGTTCTCATGATATTGAGCGAGTTCTCATGAGATCTGATGGTTTAAAAGTGGCAGTTTCTCCTGAGCTCTCTCTCTGTCCTGCCTCCATGTAAGAGGTGCCTTGCTTCCCCTTCGCCTTCCGCCATGATTGTAAGTTTCCTGAGGTCTCTCCAGCCATGCAGAACTATGAGTCAACTAAATCTCTTTTGTTTATAAATTACCCAGTCTCAGGTAACATTTTTATAGCAGTGTGAAAATGAACTAATGCACTGTGTTTCTCCCAACTTTAGCCACTGTTTTGTCATTCATCCTAGCAAAGCATTGAGAAAGGGGTTGCACTCCTCTGCAGCTGGGACAGGTTAAATTCTAGAGTCCCTCTGTCTCCAAATTTCCAGAACTAAAGTTCTTGAATTATCAAGAGAGTGCATAAACCAGTATCTCTTTTCTGTATCTTTTTTTAAATTTTAAACTCAGAAGGTAGTATGGTTTGGCTCTATGTCCCCACCAAAATCTCATGTTGAATTGTAACTCCCAGTGTTGGGGGAGGGACCTGGTGGAAGGTGATTGGATCATGGGGGTGGATTTCCCCCTTGCTGTCCTCGTGATAGTGAGTGAGTTTTCACAGTATCTGATGGTTAAAAGCATGTAGCACTTCCCCCTTTGCTCTCTCTCTCTCTTTCCTGTCACCATGTGAATATGTGCTTGCTTCTGCCATGACTGTAAGTTTCCTGAGGCCTCCTCAGCCAAGATTTCTGTACAGCCTGTGGAACTGTGAGTCAATTAAATCTCTTTTCTTTATAAATTACCCAGTCTCAGGTATTTCTTTATAGCAGTGTGAGAACAGATTAACACAGGGAGTACATATGCAGATTTGTTACATGGATAATTGCATAATTATGAGATTAGGTCTTCTAGTGTACCTATCACCCCAATAGTGAACATTGTATCCAACTGTTAATTTTTTTTAACCTATAAACCAGTCTTAAAGCCTAGATGCAGCTCAGCTGAGATGCAATACTGAAGCCATCCTGCCCAAGGGATTGTGGTGCTTGATTGACACCAGATATCCTGTGTCCTAGTAGTCATGTAAATATACAATCAAGGAAATTGGCCTGGGAGGGTCCTCAAGGCCATTTATTCCAAACCTTTTTCACATGGTGGGAGACCTTTTCCCAAATCAATTCCTGCAATTTCATTTCACTGTGTCAAATCCTATTTGGTTATGGTGGTATTATCTTTTTTTTCTTTAAAAATAAACACAAAAAATCAATATATTCTCAAAGGGATTCTGTTCCATGTCCTTAAAGTATGGCTGGGTTTGGTAGTTCTAACTCCCTTTGTGTATTTTATTCCTGATTCTTACCTTCGGTTCACAGAGGACAAAAAAAGGGTGGTTTATGCCCTCCTCCCCCACCACTGTGGGCCATGCTAGCATTTGAAAAACTAGCACCTTCATTGCATGTGCCTGCTCTGTTCCTTCTTGCCCTGCCACCGAGAAATCTATAGGAATCAGGTTCACTGTGAAGCTAAAATAACTTCAAAATTTATTGTCACATCAGCATAATATCATCAGTTGATGAAATTCTTTTCTTGTACAGGTAAATTAAGACTAAACCAAACATTGACTTAAATCATTATCAGTAAGTCTATTCTAGCCTGGACAACATAGGGAGACCTCATCTCTACAAAAACATTTAAAATAAATAAATTAGCCAGGCATTATGGTGCCTGCCCGTGGTCTTAGCTATTTGAGAGGCTGAGGTGGGAGGATTGCTTGAGCCCAGGAGGTCAAGACTGCAGTGAGCCATGATTGTGCCAGTGTTCTACAGCCTGGGCAGTAGAGTGAGACCCTGTCTCCAAAAAAGTCTATATGCTTATTTAAATGCGATAATAGATATCAAACTGCTAAAACATTGTGCAGGATAAGGGGTGTGTGTGTGAGAGAGAGATGTATATGATACATACATGCATATATGTGTGTATATGAGATACATATGCATACATATGCCTAATATGTGTGTTTAAATGAAGTACTATTAGTTCAAATAGTTTTTCTTAAACAGCCCCCTTCAAAAAATTTCTCCACCCATGTGTATTAGTCATAGTTTCCAAATATGTTTAAATTGTCAGTCATCTGGGCCTGAGAGCAATTCTTCCTGATTGACTCAACTGGCCTTTCTGTGAGGGGATGGCTAAGTGTCAGAGGGCCAAAGGATTCACTGTAAAATTCCACTGTATGAGGGCTCATCTCACATTCTCTGCCCACACTCACTGACTCAATAGGGAATTTCTGCCAGAGGCTATTAAACGCTTTTTTAAAACTTGCTATGCTATTCAATGATTCTTCTTATAAATGATTTCCTTCTCACAACAACTGAAATGATCAATCAAGAGAGGTTTTCTGCAGAGAAAAGAAGAAATTTTACATTCCAGTGAGGACACGTTTTCACAAATTATAACACAGACTCCCACAGCCCACGCTAATGATGGCAAGAGCTTGCCAGAAGGCCCTGCTGTTTTGGTGAGGTATTCTTGTGGCAAGGCAGCAGTTGGCCAAAAGCAGAGACTCAATCCAAAAAGATCTAGTCAGAGAAAGCAAGATGGATGACCTTCATGAATTATTAGGTGGCCAGGCCATTAAGCAATGACCGTGACTTTCAGACCTCTGTTCTACCTTCGGAAAATCCAAGCCTAGGAAAACAGACTCAAACAGAAAATTACTGCTCATCCTCAGCAGGTACATCCTTCCTGTTACCACCAGCCACCCACTCCTGCCCCATGGCAAAGTCCTTGCATCCTCTAGTGATGATGGAAGATGGAGCTAGAGAACATTTTTTATGCCTTCCATGGACAGCATCATTAGCTTTATGCGATCTTCAACCACGCTGAATGAAAATTTCAAGGCACTTACGTATATTTTTCTATATTTATCTTTTTTCAAAGTTCAGAATTAATATGCTCATTGTAAAACATGAAACAACATAAAACTATTCATTTCAGTATACCTCCACCATGCTTACACCCAATTCTCCACTACTTTGCATCCAGAGTCAAAAGGCTGGTATATATTCTTCTGGAACTTTATCCTCACTTATTTATATGTATTCATGCAGACGTGCACATATACAAGAGGTTTTCTGGGTTTTTTAAGGGTTTTTTTTTGACAATATAAAATCACACTCTATACAGCATTCTACAACCTGACTTTCTCCACTTGACAATATGATGGACATTTCTCTTTATCAGTTAGTGATTGCAGCATAACTGACTAATTTAATATGGGGTTGCCGAACTACAGGCTGTGAACCAGCCATCTGTCTTTGTAAATAAAACTTTTATTGGAGCACAGATACACCATTCATTTTTTTATTGTCTATGGCTGGCTTTGCCCTACAACACAGAGGTAAGCAGTTGTGATAAAGCCCATGCGGCCCACAAGCCTAAAATATGTACTCTCTGGTCTTTGAAGAAAAAGTTTGCTAACCTCCAGCTTAAAATAGCAGTCATTTATTTCCTTATGATTCTGAAGGTTAGCAATTGGAGCAAGGCTCAGCTGGACAGTTCTTCTGCTGTTCTCCCCTGGGGTAATTCATGTGAAAACAGTCATTTAGCAGCTGAATAGTCCAAATGGCTTCACTCACATGTTGGTAGTTGGTGCTATCAGCTTGGCAATATGTGTCCAGCAGATGTCTTCACATGGTGGTAGCATTCCAAGGGGGCAAGCCAAGTGCACAGATAGAAGCTTCTGCTTGCAACATGTTTGTCCCATTGGCCAGAGCAAGTCACATGGCCAGGTCCAGGGCCAGAGGAAGAGGAGACTGCACAAGCATATGGCTTCATTGGAGGCTATTACTACAACAGACTATTCCACCCTCAAGGTCAGCAAACATAGGTATCATCACTGGATATAGATTTAATCCTAGTTTTTATTCTAATTTCTCCAATCATAGTCATATATGTGCACAATAATATAATTTTGCATGAATGGGATCATATATATGCTTGAGTTTAGGACAGCATTTTTTGCCTCTCTGCTTGCCTCCTCCTCCTTGCTCTCCTCCCTCATATCAGCCTCAACACACACACAGAGAGAGAGAGAGAGAGAGAGAGAGAGATAACGTGTGTCTACTACCTAGTGTAAAGCACTCCATACTTTCCTCCATGTTCATAAAATCTCACACACACCATTTTACCTATATATGATCATATCATACATGCTTAGTGGTGACCTCCTCAATGGGTCAGTTCTGTGATGTTTTAGGAGTCACAGCCCTTCCAATGATTGAGTAACCCTATAATTCCTTGTAGTACATCTCTTTCTACAGAAAACACATGGAGTGCTTTCTATTTCCTGCATTAAATCCTGACTGATACACTGATACAATTCAACCATTCCTTTACTGATGTGCATTCATTTTGCTTCTCAATTTTTGCACTACAAACAATGCATCAATAAGCATCCTTGACTTAAACCTTTTATTTCTACAAAGTACATTCCTACGAGACTGCATTTTGAAGAGGGCTGGTTTGAAAGGTAAGTGCATCTTTATCATAATGAATTGCGACAGATAAAAATTCAGAACACTTTTTAAAATGGCAATAACAATTCATATTTTTAGTAGCAATTTAGATTTTCTTGCATACCTGTCAGTAATAGGTGTTACCATTGTTTTTCCTTTTTGTCAGTCTAAAGTCATATTAATGCAGGATCTAAAGTAGTAGTAAATCATTTCCCTATTACTAAATCTGACCACCTTTTTCTATGTTTCTGGCCCCTAGTATCTGCTCTTCCATAGTACTTACTCATATCTTTTTGCCTATTTTGGGGTTTTTTTGTATCCTTTTCTTTATGTTTTTGTCAAACTTGTAAGAGATCATTATATATATAGATTTTAACACATTGTCTATTGATGTAGTTTGGATGTTTGTCCCCTTCAAATCTCATGTTGAAATGTAATTCCCATTATTGGAGGCGGGGCCTGGTGTGAGGTGATAGGATCACGGGGATGGATCCCTCATGAATGGTTTAGAATCATTTATTTGGTGATAAGTGAGTTCTCACTCCATTAGTTCACATGAGATCTGGTTGTTTAAAAGTCTGAGACATCTCACCTCACCCTCTGCCCTCTTGCTTTCACTCTAACCATGTGACATGCCTGCTTCCACTTTGCCTTCCACCATGATTGTAAGCTTCCTGAGGCCCTCAGCAGAAGCCGAGCAGATGTTGCTTTCATGCTTCCTGTGCAGCCTGTAGAATGGTACGCCAGTTAAATCTCTTTTCTTTATAAGTTACACAGTCTCAAGTATTTCCTTATAGCAACACAGAAACAGCCTAATACAGAAAATTGATACCAAGGAGTGGGACATTGTTATAAGGATACTTGAAAATGTGGAAGCAGCTTTGGAACTGGGTAATGGGTAGAGGTTGGATGAGTTTGAAGGCCTCAGAAGAAGACAGGAAGATGAGGAAAAGTTTGGAACTTCTTAGAGACTGGTTAAATGGTTGTAACCAAAATGCTCACAGAAATATGAACAGTGAAGGTCAGGCTAAGGACGTCTCTGATGGAAATAAGGAAGTTATTGGGAAATGGAGTGAAGGTCATTTGTGTTATGCCTTAGCAAAGAACTTGGCTGCATTGTGTTCATGCCCTAGGGATCTGTGGAAGTTAGAACTTAAGAGTGAAGACAGGGTATCTGGTGGAAGAAACTTCTAAACAGCAAAGCATTCAAGAAGTGGCCGTCTGCTTCAAACAGCCTACAATTAGATATGGCAGCAAATAAATTACTTAAAGTTGGAACTTATATTTAAAAGGGAAGCAGAGCATTAAAAAAAATTGGAAAATTCACAACTTGGCCATTTGGTAGAAAAGGAAAAGGCATTTTCAGGAGAGAAATACAAGCTGGCTGTGGAGCAGTCACTTGCTAGAGAGATTAGTATGACTAAAAGGGAGCCAAGTGCTACTATCAAAGACAAAGGGAAAAAGGCTTCAAATACATTTCAGAAATCTCTGAGGCAGATCCTCCCATCACAGGTCCAGAGGCCTAGGAGGCCCTAGTTGTGGGCCACAGCGAGGGCCCCACTGCCCTGTGCAGCCTCAGGACACTGCTCCCCATATCCCAGCTGCTGCGGCTTCAGCCTTGGCCCAAAGGGCCCCAGATACGGCTCAGGCCTCCCCTTGGGAGAGCACAAGCCACCATAAGCCTTGGTAGCTTCCACATGGTATTAAGCCTGCAGGTGCATTGAATGTAAGAGTGAAGAAGGCTTGGCATCCTCCACCTAGATTTCAGAGCATGTATGAGAAAGCCTGGGGCCCAGGCAGAAGCCTGTCACAGGAACAGAGCCTTCACAGAGAACCTCTACTAGGGCAGTGCAGAGGGAAAATGTGAGATTGGAGGCCCCACACAGAGTCCCCACCAGAGGACTGCCTAGTGCAGCTGTGGGAAGGAGGCTGCTGCCCTCCAGATCCCAGACTGGTAGATCCACTGACAGCTCACATCCTTAACGTGGAAAAGCTGCAGGCACACAACTACAACCCCTGAGAGAAGTCATGGGGGCTGAACCCTGCAAAGTCACAGGAGCAGGGCTGCCCAAGTCCTTGGGAGCCCACCCCTTGAACCATCGTGCCCTGGATGCAGGACATGAAGTCAAAGGAGATTATTTTGGAGCTTCAAGATTTAATGTCTGCCCTACTGGGTTTCAGACTTGTGCGAGGTCTGTAGCCTCTTTCTTTTGACCAACTTCTCCCTTTTGGAATGGAAATATATACCCAATGCCTGTACCATCATTGTATCTTGGGAGTAAATAATTTGTTTTTGATGTCACAGGCTCATAGGAGGAAGGAACTCATCTCAAGATGAGAATTGGGACTTGGAACTTGGGACTTTAGTCAGTAACTAAAGTGATTGAGTCTCAACTCAATAACTTTTGAGTTATTACTGCAACAAGTTAAGACTTTAGAGAACTATTGTGAAGGCATGATTGTATTTTGAGATGTGAGAGGAACATGAGATTTGGGGAACCAGGAGCAGAATGATATGGTTTGAATATTTGTCCCCTTCCAATCTCGTGTTGAAACACAACTCCCAATCTTGGAGGTGGGGCCGGGTGGGAAGTGAATGGATCATGGGGGCAGATCCCTCATAAATGGTTTAGCACCATCTCCCTGGTGATAAGTGAGTTCTCACTCAGCTTGTTCATGTGAGATCTTGTTGTTTAAAAGTCTCGAATCTCTCCAACCTCGCTCGCTTGCTCCTGCTCTTGCCATGTGATGTGCCTGCTCCCACTTTGCTTTCCACCATGACTGTAAGCTTCCCAAGGTGCTCACCAGAAACCAACCAAATGTTGATGCCATGATTCTACAACTTGAAGAATGATGAACCAATTAAACCTTTTGGCTTTATAAATTACTCAGCCTTGGGTATTTCTGTATAGCAATGCAAAAACAGCCTAATACATCTGTCAAATGCATTTGTAATCTGTATTTCTTCTATATTATATATAATATAATAAGTTAAGTTAATATAATAAGTTAAGCTTTCTTTTTATAAATTCTGGGATTTCCATCTTAATAAAATTTTCCTCAAATCCTGGGTAGTACTTTCAGCTTTCCAAATTTCTTTTATAATTTTTATTGTTCTCTTTTTGTATTAACTTTTTTCATTCTAGACTATGATATAAATTAGGAACTAATTTGATTTTCCTCAAGATGGAGAACCAGTTGAGCCAACGTCTTTGATTAAATAAATCAAGCTCTTCCTACTGAGAGGAATCCATTTCTAATTCTCTACTTTGCTCCATATTCTTTTTTATCCTGCTTATATCAGGTTGGTTTTATTACAGTGACTTTAGAATATGTCCTGAAATATGGTAATGGAAAGACTCTCTCACTATTGTTTTTAATATTTTTTAGCAATCTCAGATACAGTTATCCTTTTGAATAATCTTGAACATCACATTACCCAATTCCAACCAGCAAACAAACAAATGCAACACTGTTGGCGTTTTGATGGTTAATATTAGATGTCAATTTGATTGAAGGATGTCTAGATGTCTGGTAAAGTATTGTTTCTGGGTGTGTCTAGGGGGGTGTTGCCACAGGAGATTGATATTTAAGTCAGTGAATTGGGAAAGGAAGACCCACCTTCAAGGTGGGTGGGCACCATCCCGTTGGCTGTCACCTCAGCTAGAACAAAAGCAGGCGGAAGAAGGTGGAAAGAAGCTGGCTTGCTGAGTCTTCGGGCTGCCTTCTTTCTCCCATGCTGCATGCTTCCTCCAACTCCTCCTGCCCTTGGACATTAGACTTCAGGTTCTTTGGCCTTTGCACTTTGGGACTTGCACGAGTGGCATGGCAGGGGCTCTTGGGCCTTGGGCCACAGACTGAAGACTGCACTGTTGGCTTCCCTGGTTTGAGGCTTTCAGACTTGGACTGAGCTACTACCGGCTTCTGTCTTCCCAGCTTACAGATGGCCTATTATGGGACTTTGCCTTGTAATCGTTCGAGCCAATTCTTTCCAATAAACTCATATGTATATATTTTTTTCCTACCCTCTGACTAATGCAGAGCTCTAACTGAAATTGCTTTAAATTTATATTAATTGGGGGGAGATATTTTTATGATAGCATGTCTTCCCATCCATGAATATAGTATGATTGTTCATTTGTTCAAGTAATGGTTTATTTTCTTATAGGTGCTGTACATTCTGTTAAGTTTTTTCATAGGTATGTTATAGTTTTTACAATTACAGTTAATGAAATTTTTAACCTTTACTTGGGTATTGATAAAATAGTGAAAGACATTGTTTTTCTGTATTTAGCTGGTATCCGAACACTTCAGCAAATTCTGCATTAATTCTAGTAGATTTTTACTAAAGACTCTTTGATTTTCTGAGAAAACCATCACATGGTAAGCAAAAAAGGGTTTTATCTTTTTCTCATTGCTTATATTGATGAAAAAAATGCCCTCTACGACAATGCAAATTCCACTCTAAAACAATCAGCAATTGAGTTCAAATGAGAACAAGATAACTTTTTATCTGGGAGCAGGGGTGGGAAACATGTATAGAGGAGGTAGATGATGAATTCCTGTAGCCCCATTATTTTCTTAGACCAATCTCCCCAACAAACAGGAACCAAAGAAGTGGGAAATTCCCAGATTTACTGCCAATGTCCTGAAGAGTCCAATCAACTGATATTTAAACTGGAGCACGCATGTTCTATCAGTAGTCCCAGAATTGATTTAGACAATACACCCCAACTCCAGAATTCCCAGCTAGCTACACAACTGATATCATTTTATTAACTCACAAAAATACAACTCCACATTCTTTACAGTTGAATTTTAGAAGATTCATTTATGGCATTATGGTAGGGTTTTACTAGTTTTGTCTTCTTTTGCTTTGGTGTGTCTGGGGTGTGTGTGTGTGTGTGCATGTGTGTTTTGAAGTGATCTTATTTTATTCCCTAGAACCTTCAAGAAAATTGTTGAATAAGAATGGCAGAAGAAGGCATCTTGGTGTATCTCTTGCTTGATTTGAATTGAATTAGTGTCTGTATTTTATTACTTAGAATAATATTTGCTATTGGTTTTTGGTAACTGTTAGGGATTTTAGTATTTGGTTTTAAGTTGCTTCTTTCTGATTAAGTCAGGAGTGTGTTTGGGTGAATGTAATAGAAAACCTGATTGTAATTTAAACAAGAAATTTAGAGATTGACAACTACTGGTGTTGATGTAGCAGCTCAGGAAAGTCAGAAATACATTTGTGACTAGGTTGGCCTATCCCTCATGTTTGTTGCCTCATGGCTGCAGAATGGCTGTACCAGCTCCAGGCATCACAGTCACATTCAAGGCAAAAAGAAGGGAGAGAGGGATGCCACCAACTACTGATCTCTTTTTATCAGATTAGCAAAAGTTTTATTGGAAAACCTCAGCAGATTTCAGAGAGCATGAGTCACATGGCAAACTCTCACTTCAAGAAAGCAGTTACTGAACATATTTAACCTCAATAATTAAAGCAGTCAAGGGAAAAGGAGGTTGGAAATGGGTTACGGTTAACCAATCATAGTATGTGCCAGACACTCTAAACCAATTATACTTCACTAAAATCTAGAATGGGCTGCTAATTCTATCAAAAGATGTTTCAACATTGATATGATAATTTCTCCTTCATTGGTGTGATGAATTATGTTGATAGATTTTCTTTTTTTTCTTTTGTAATTTTTTTTTTCTTTTTTTTTTTATTATACTTTAAGTTTTAGGGTACATGTGCACATTGTGCAGGTTAGTTACATATGTATACATGTGCCATGCTGGTGCGCTGCACCCACTAACTCGTCATCTAGCATTAGGTATATCTCCTAATGCTATCCCTCCCCCCTCCCCCCACCCCACCACAGTCCCCAGAGTGTGATATTCCCCTTCCTGTATCCATGTGATGTCATTGTTCAATTCCCACCTATGAGTGAGAATATGCGGTGTTTGGTTTTTTGTTCTTGCGATAGTTTACTGAGAATGATGATTTCCAATTTCATCCATGTCCCTACAAAGGACATGAACTCATCATTTTTTATGGCTGCATAGTATTCCATGGTGTATATGTGCCACATTTTCTTAATCCAGTCTATCATTGTTGGACATTTGGGTTGGTTCCAAGTCTTTGCTATTGTGAATAATGCCGCAATAAACATACGTGTGCATGTGTCTTTATAGCAGCATGATTTATAGTCATTTGGGTATATACCCAGTAACGGGATGGCTGGGTCAAATGGTATTTCTAGTTCTAGATCCCTGAGGAATCGCCACACTGACTTCCACAATGGTTGAACTAGTTTACAGTCCCAACAACAATGTAAAAGTGTTCCTATTTCTCCACATCCTCTCCAGCACCTGTTGTTTCCTGACTTTTTAATGACTGCCATTCTAACTGGTGTGAGATGGTATCTCATTGTGGTTTTGATTTGCATTTCTCTGATGGCCAGTGATGGTGAGCATTTTTTCATGTGTTTTTTGGCTGCATAAATGTCTTCTTTTGAGAAGTGTCTGTTCATGTCCTTCGCCCACTTTTTGATGGGGTTGTTTGTTTTTTTCTTGTAAATTTGTTTGAGTTCATTGTAGATTCTGGATATTAGCCCTTTGTCAGATGAGTAGGTTGCGAAAATTTTCTCCCATTTTGTAGGTTGCCTGTTCACTCTGATGGTAGTTTCTTTTGCTGTGCAGAAGCTCTTGAGTTTAATTAGATCCCATTTGTCAATTTTGGCTTTTGTTGCCATTGCTTTTGGTGTTTTGGACATGAAGTCCTTGCTCATGCCTATGTCCTGCATGGTAATGCCTAGGTTTTCTTCTAGGGTTTTTATGGTTTTAGGTCTAACGTTTAAATCTTTAATCCATCTTGAATTGATTTTTGTATAAGGTGTAAGGAAGGGATCCAGTTTCAGCTTTCTACATATGGCTAGCCAGTTTTCCCAGCACCATTTATTAAATAGGGAATCCTTTCCCCATTTCTTGTTTTTCTCAGGTTTGTCAAAGATCACACAGTTGTAGGTATGCGGCATTATTTCTGAGGGCTCTGTTCTGTCCCATTGATCTATATCTCTGTTTTGGTACCAGTACCATGCTCTTTTGGTTACTGTAGCCTTGTAGTAAAGTTTGAAGTCAGGTAGTGTGATGCCTCCAGCTTTGTTCTTTTGGCTTAGGATTGACTTGGCGATGCGGGCTCTTTTTTGGTTCCATATGAACTTTAAAGTAGTTTTTTCCAATTCTGTGAAGAAAGTCATTGGTAGCTTGATGGGGATGGCATTGAATCTGTAAATTACCTTGGGCAGTATGGCCATTTTCACAATATTGATTCTTCCTACCCATGAGCATGGAATGTTCTTCCATTTGTTTGTATCCTCTTTTATTTCCTTGAGCAGTGGTTTGTAGTTCTCCTTGAAGAGGTCCTTCACATCCCTTGTAAGTTGGATTCCTAGGTATTTTATTCTCTTTGAAGCAATTGTGAATGGGAGTTCACTCATGATTTGGCTCTCTGTTTGTCTGTTGTTGGTGTATAAGAATGCTTGTGATTTTTGTACATTGATTTTGTATCCTGAGACTTTGCTGAAGTTGCTTATCAGCTTAAGGAGATTTTGGGCTGAGACCATGGGGTTTTCTAGATATACAATCATGTCATCTGCAAACAGGGACAATTTGACTTCCTCTTTTCCTAATTGAATACCCTTTATTTCCTTCTCTTGCCTAATTGCCCTGGCCAGAACTTCCAACACTGTGTTGAATAGGAGTGGTGACAGAGGGCATCCCTGTCTTGTGCCAGTTTTCAAAGGGAATGCTTCCAGTTTTTGCCCATTCAGTATGATATTGGCTGTGGGTTTGTCATATATAGCTCTTATTATTTTGAGATACGTCCCATCAATACCTAATTTATTGAGAGTTTTTAGCATGAAGGGTTGTTGAATTTTGTCAAAGGCTTTTTCTGCAGCTATTGAGATAATCATGTGGTTTTTGTCTTTGGTTCTGTTTATATGCTGGATTACATTTATTGATTTGCGTATATTGAACCAGCCTTGCATCCCAGGGATGAAGCCCACTTGATCATGGTGGATAAGCTTTTTGATGTGCTGCTGGATTCGGTTTGCCAGTATTTTAATTGAGGATTTTTGCATCAATGTTCATCAAGGATATTGGTCTAAAATTCTCTTTTTTTGTTGTGTCTCTGCCCGGCTTTGGTATCAGAATGAAGCTGGCCTCATAAAATGAGTTAGGGAGGATTCCCTCTTTTTCTATTGATTGGAATAGTTTCAGAAGGAATGGTACCAGTTCCTCCTTGTACCTCTGGTAGAATTTGTCTGTGAATCCATCTGGTCCTGGACTCTTTTTGGTTGGTAAGCTATTGATTATTGCCACAATTTCAGCTCCTGTTATTGGTCTATTAAGAGATTCAACTTCTTCCTGGTTTAGTCTTCGGAGAGTGTATGTGTCGAGGAATTTATCCATTTCTTCTAGATTTTCTAGTTTATTTGCGTAGAGGTGTTTGTAGTATTCTCTGATGGTAGTTTGTATTTCTGTGGGATCGGTGGTGATATCCCCTTTATCATTTTTTATTGTGTCTATTTGATTCTTCTCTCTTTTTTTCTTTATTAGTCTTGCTAGCGGTCTATCAATTTTGTTGATCCTTTCAAAAAACCAGCTCCTGGATTCAATAATTTTTTGAAGGGTTTTTTGTGTCTCTATTTCCTTCAGTTCTGCTCTGATTTTAGTTATTTCTTGCCTTCTGCTAGCTTTTGAATGTGTTTGCTCTTGCTTTTCTAGTTCTTTTAATTGTGATGTTAGGGTGTCAATTTTGGATCTTTCCTGCTTTCTCTTGTGGGCATTTAGTGCTATAAATTTCCCTCTACACACTGCTTTGAATGTGTCCCAGAGATTCTGGTATGTTGTGTCTTTGTTCTCGTTGGTTTCAAAGAACATCTTTATTTCTGCCTTTATTTCGTTATGTAGCCAGTAGTCATTCAGGAGCAGGTTGTTCAGTTTCCATGTAGTTGAGCGACTTTGAGTGAGATTCTTAATCCTGAGTTCTAGTTTGATTGCACTGTGGTCTGAGAGATAGTTTGTTATAATTTCTGTTCTTTTACATTTGCTGAGGAGAGCTTTACTTCCAAGTATGTGGTCAATTTTGGAATAGGTGTGGTGTG
This sequence comes from Homo sapiens, assembly GCF_000001405.40. Classification (NCBI taxonomy): domain Eukaryota; kingdom Metazoa; phylum Chordata; class Mammalia; order Primates; family Hominidae; genus Homo; species Homo sapiens. The sequence continues at coordinate 45,647,609 of NC_000013.11, read as the reverse complement.
GTGCTGAAAAAAATGTATATTCTGTTGATTTGGGGTGGAGAGTTCTGTAGATGTCTATTAGGTCCGCTTGGTGCAGAGCTGAGTTCAATTCCTGGGTATCCTTGTTGACTTTCTGTCTCGTTGATCTGTCTAATGTTGACAGTGGGGTGTTAAAGTCTCCCATTATTAATGTGTGGGAGTCTAAGTCTCTTTGTAGGTCACTCAGGACTTGCTTTATGAATCTGGGTGCTCCTGTATTGGGTGCATATATATTTAGGATAGTTAGCTCTTCTTGTTGAATTGATCCCTTTACCATTATGTAATGGCCTTCTTTGTCTCTTTTGATCTTTGTTGGTTTAAAGTCTGTTTTATCAGAGACTAGGATTGCAACCCCTGCCTTTTTTTGTTTTCCATTGGCTTGGTAGATCTTCCTCCATCCTTTTATTTTGAGCCTATGTGTGTCTCTGCACGTGAGATGGGTTTCCTGAATACAGCACACAGATGGGTCTTGACTCTTTATCCAATTTGCCAGTCTGTGTCTTTTAATTGGAGCATTTAGTCCATTTACATTTAAAGTTAATATTGTTATGTGTGAATTTGATCCTGTCATTATGATGTTAGCTGGTGATTTTGCTCGTTAGTTGATGCAGTTTCTTCCTAGTCTCCATGGTCTTTACATTTTGGCATGATTTTGCAGCGGCTGGTACCGGTTGTTCCTTTCCATGTTTAGTGCTTCCTTCAGGAGCTCTTTTAGGGCAGGTCTGGTGGTGACAAAATCTCTCAGCATTTGCTTGTCTGTAAAGTATTTTATTTCTCCTTCACTTATGAAGCTTAGCTTGGCTGGATATGAAATTCTGGGTTGAAAATTCTTTTCTTTAAGAATGTTGAATATTGGCCCCCACTCTCTTCTGGCTTGTAGGGTTTCTGCCGAGAGATCTGCTGTTAGTCTGATGGGCTTCCCTTTGAGGGTAACCCGACCTTTCTCTCTGGCTGCCCTTAACATTTTTTCCTTCATTTCAACTTTGGTGAATCTGACAATTATGTGTCTTGGAGTTGCTCTTCTCGAGGCGTATCTTTGTGGCGTTCTCTGTATTTCCTGAATCTGAATGTTGGCCTGCCTTGCTAGATTGGGGAAGTTCTCCTGGATAATATCCTGCAGAGTGTTTTCCAACTTGGTTCCATTCTCCCCATCACTTTCAGGTACACCAATCAGACGTAGATTTGGTCCTTTCACATAGTCCTATATTTCTTGGAGGCTTTGCTCATTTCTTTTTATTCTTTTTTCTCTAAACTTCCCTTCTCGCTTCATTTCATTCATTTCATCTTCCATTGCTGACACCCTTTCTTCCAGTTGATCGCATCGGCTCCTGAGGCTTCTGCATTCTTCACGTAGTTCTTGAGCCTTGGTTTTCAGCTCCATCAGCTCCTTTAAGCACTTCTCTGTATTGGTTATTCTAGTTATACATTCTTCTAAATTTTTTTCAAAGTTTTCAACTTCTTTGCCTTTGGTTTGAAGGTCCTCCCGTAGCTCAGAGTAATTTGATCGTCTGAAGCCTCCTTCTCTCAGCTCGTCAAAGTCATTCTCCATCCAGCTTTGTTCTGTTGCTGGTGAGGAGCTGCGTTCCTTTGGAGGAGGAGAGGCGCTCTGATTTTTAGAGCTTCCAGTTTTTCTGTTCTGTTTTTTCCCCATCTTTGTGGTTTTATCTACTTTTGGTCTTTGATGATGGTGATGTACAGATGGGTTTTTGGTGTGGATGTCCTTTCTGTTTGTTAGTTTTCCTTCTAACAGACAGGACCCTCAGCTGCAGGTCTGTTGGAATACCCTGCCGTGTGAGGTGTCAGTGTGCCCCTGCTGGGGGGTGCCTCCCAGTTAGGCTGCTCGGGGGTCAGGGGTCAGGGACCCACTTGAAGAGGCAGTCTGCCGGTTCTCAGATCTCCAGCTGCGTGCTGGGAGAACCACTGCTCCCTTCAAAGCTGTCAGACAGGGACATTTAAGTCTGCAGAGGTTACTGCTGTCTTTTTGTTTGTCTGTGCCCTGCCCCCAGAGGTGGAGCCTACGGAGGCAGGCAGGCAGGCCTCCTTGAGCTGTGGTGGGCTCCACCCAGTTCAAGCTTCCTGGCTGCTTTGTTTACCTAAGCAAGCCTGGGCAATGGCGGGCGCCCCTCCCCCAGCCTCGCTGCCGCCTTGCAGTTTGATCACAGACTGCTGTGCTAGCAATCGGCGAGATTCCGTGGGCGTAGGACCCTCAGAGCCAGGTGTGGGATATAGTCTCGTGGTGCGCCGTTTTTTAAGCCGGTCTGAAAAGTGCAATATTCGGGTGGGAGTGACCCGATTTTCCAGGTGCGTCCGTCACCCCTTTCTTTGACTCGGAAAGGGAACTCCCTGACCCCTTGTGCTTCCCAGGTGAGGCAATGCCTCGCCCTGCTTTGGCTCGTGCACCGTGCGCGCACCCACTGGCCTGCGCCCACTGTCTGACACTCCCTAGTGAGATGAACCCGGTACCTCAGATGGAAATGCAGACATCACCGGTCTTCTGCGTCGGTCACGCTGGGAGCTGTAGACCAGAGCTGTTCCTATTCGGCCATCTTGGCTCCTCCCCCTCTTTTGTAATTTTTAATTTTTTTTAGATGTGGGGTCTTTCTATATTGCCCAGGCTGGTCTCAAACTCCTGGCCTCAAGTGATCCTCCTGCTTCAACCTCCCAAAGTGCTGGGATTACAAGTATGAGCCACCATGCCCAGGAATAAAATATAATTCCTTATATTTTATTATGCTTGCACACTTTGACTAAACCCTAGTTGCTCATAGTTATTAGTTGTTTTTTAATTACTGGATTACATGTATTAATAATTTTTTAGGAATTTTTGCATACATAATAAATAAAATTAGTCTATAGTTTTCTCTATATCATTATCAATTTTTAATGTTAAAATCATACTGAGTTCACAAAATGAAGTGAGAATACCTCCCTCATTTCCTTTGATCTAGGATCATTTATATAATATTGGAATTATCTGGTCTGTAAGAATTAGACAGAATTCAACAGTAAATTCATCTGGTCCTCATACCTTTTTGAACTTATTTCATGGTAATTAATTGGTCTAGTCGAGTTTTCAACTTCTTTAGTCAATTTTAGTGACTTAAATTATGATTTCTCATGGGCCAGTAGTTGTGCCCTCACATTTGTATCATAATCTAATATATATTCTCAGTCTCTCTCTCTCTCATTCTCATTCTCTCACCCTCTTTTCTCTCACCACCAACATTAATCAGGCTTTCTTGCAAGGAATTTATTCTCTCTTTTATTGATTTTTTAAAGAAATCATCTCATTTAACTTCCACATTTGGAGAGAGTTCCATTTTATTAATTTCAGCTCTCTGTAAGTTGCTTTGTTACTTTTTTTTCTAATTTCTTAAGATGAAGCTAAAATCCTTGTTTTATCTGTCTTCTTTAATAATAAAGGTACAATGTGTTTTCATTTTCTGTCTTCTGGATCATTTGTAATTTCAATTTCCTCTTCAATTCAAAAGTTATCTAGAAAAGTCTTGATTTTCTCTTTTTTTTTTTTTTCAAGTGAAAGCAAGTTTATTAGGAAAGTGAAGGAATAAAAGAATGGCTACTCCAAAGACAGAGCAACCCCAAGGGTTGCTGGTTCCCCATTTTTATGTTTATTTCTTGATGATATGCTAAACAAGGGGTGGATTATTCATGCATCCCTTTTTTAGACCATATAGGTTAACTTCTGGACATTGTCATGGCATTTGTAAACTGTCACGGTGCTGGTGGGAGTGTAGCAGTGAGGACGACCAGAGTTCACGCTTGTCGCCATCTTGGTTTTTGTGGGTTTTGGCCATCTTCTTTACTGCAATCTGTTTTATCAGCAAGGTCTTTGTGACCTGTATCTTGTACTGACCTCCTATCTCATCCTGTGACTTAGAATGCCTTAACCATCTGGGAATATAGCCCAGTAGGTGTTAGCCTCATTTTACCCAGCTCCTATTCAAGATGAAGTTGCTCTGGTTCAAACGTCTCTGACATTTCCCCCCTCCCTTTCATAAGAGAACCCTTAATCCTAAGGGTTGCAGAGGGATAAAGATCCATCTTCTGTAACTTCTTCAGGCTAAATAGGGATAATGATATTCCTGCCTAACTGTGAGTGTCTCTTGTATTTGGGGTAGAGAGGAGCTCAGTCAGAAAGCATCAGTATGGTAAGGGCCATTCATAACTCTTGAGTTCCAACAAAAGGTGATACCTGGAAGATTAATACATGTTGAATTTAAGAAAATATTCAGTAAGCTTGTCCTGCCTTCCTACACAAAGAGCACAGCAGCAACTTATTCCACAACAACAGTAAAACACAATAAGTAAAATTATTCCAAGTAAACTAATTTACATAGAACTAATTCCAGTTCTATGAACTGGGCAACTGTGGAACCAAGCTGATATGGGGTCGCTAGCTGATTCCAATGTACCCAAAATTAGAATATTGATCCAGATTTTTACATTACCCAATCCCTCTTGTTTCTTCTGAGCAGCAGTCAAGAGATCAGTGGTTGGTTCACAGGAATAAGTAGGGTTAGCCTAAATTGCAGAAACAAACTTAAAAATAACTTATGAGACTAAAATTTAGTAACAAGTGTACCATAGTTCTTGTAACATATTTCTCTCTTGTTTCCCATTTTTACTAAAGACAAATCATGGTAAGACTGATTTGCATTATTATGCTTGGCCTGATTATTTGTATAAAGTGCAGGAAGAATAATTATTTTTCACATAGATTCTTTTTAAATTGGCTTTGATGGAACTCTGTTCCATAGAAGAAATCTCAGATAAGACTTTTTTTTAAGCCAAGCCTACCATGGGTTTGTACCCTCAAATACCTATGAGTTGAGTGAATTCCTCTCCTCTTGGGGTCCCAAGATAACTTGGGGCTCCTGGGTCTGTGAGAAAGTGACATTCTTTACTTATCACAGGTCATAAACCCTCTACAGGGACTGCATAGGTAAAGTATGAGGCCAGTTCCCCAAGGGGCTTTTATTGGCTTTAAAAGTCAAGTTTGATTCCTTAAAGCACAGCATAGCATTCCAGTCAAAGTCTTGGTAAAATAACCAGTTTTTCCAATTGTGTCCTGTTACAAAAGAAAACAGATTCTTATTGCACTTATGCAAATAACTATGTTGCCATATGTTAAGAATACTCACAAATAGTTTTCAAATTTTGGAGAAATCAGGTAGAGAGAAACAAATATGGTCCAAATTTTGTTCACAGGAGTATACGTTACTCAATTGTTAAAAGCTGTAAATAGCTCAAAAGAAAAGTTTTCTTGACTCACATATAAAACTGTTTCTTAAGTAGTCTCAATTTCATATTACAGTGTTGACTCTTAGTGACTTTTACTTTTGGTGAAAACCTTAATAAGTTTGGGATTTTAATTATGTGCTAGGTGTAGAGCCTAGGACAGCAGACAGAAGTGCAGATAAGGTCTGATTCTTTCCAGCATCTAACTTCACGTGTGCCAGGTCTTACCTAGAAAAAGTCAGCCCCGATCAGTTCTGCAGTCTATTTCCTTTGGATTGGAGTCTCCTCAGTATCGTCCCTTCCATGTTTCACCAGAAGAAACATGTTACTGGACCTCACCACTTACCAAAAGCTAGGGGTTTCCATACTATAGTCTCTTCAGTGGTCACCAGAAAGATGTTACAGGAAAGGGGTCCTGATCCCTTTCTGTTCTGGGCCCTGAGAACCCCAAGAGAGGGTTCTCAGATCTCACACAAGAAAGAATTCAGGGTGAGTCCACAAAGTGAAAGCAAATTTATTAGGAAAGTAAAGGAATAAAAGAATGGCTACTCAATAGACAGAGTAGCCAAGTCTTGATTTTCAAATAGTCAAATTTTGAGAGAGGTGAGAGCAGCAGTAAGAAGAATCGTTTTCTTATTATTTTACTGTTATTTGATTGTTACCAGAGAAGGTGACTTTGAAATCTCTATTTTCAATTCCAGGCCAAGATGGCCAAATAGGAACAGCTCCAATGTGCAGCTCCCAGCAAGACCTAAACAGATGATGGGTGATTTCTGCATTTTCAACTGAGGTACCCAGTTCATCTCACTGGGAATGGTTAGACAGTGGGTGCAGCCCATGGAGGACAAGCAGAAGCAGGATGAGGCATCACCTCACCCGGGAAGCGCAAGGGGTCAGGGCATTACCCCTCCTAAACAAAGGAAGTCATGAGGGACTGTGGCATTAGGGATGGTGCTCTCCAGCCCACATACTACGTTTTTCCACTATCTTCACAACCCACAGACCAGGAGATTCCCTTGGGTGCCTATACAACCAGGACCCTGGATTTTAAGCACAAAACTGGGTGGCCATTTGGGCAGACACCGAGCTAGCTGCAGGAGGTTTTTTTCATACCACAGTGTGCCTGGAACACCGCAACACAACTGTTCACTCCCCTAAAAAGGGGGCTGAAGCCAGGGAGCCAAATGGTCTTGCTCAACAAATCCCACCCCCATGGAGCCCAACAAGCTAAGACCAACGGGCTTGAAATTCTCACTGCCAGCACAACAGTCTAAAGTTGACCTGGGATGCTCAAGCTTCATGGGGAGAGGGGCGTCTGCCATTACTGAGGCTTGAGTAGGCGGTTTTCCCCTCATAGTGTACACAAAGCCACCGGGAAGTTCGAACTGGGTGCCAAACCCACCGCAGCATGGCAAAGCTGCTGTAGCCAGACTACCTCTGAAGATTCCTCTTCTCTGGGCAGGGCATCTCTGAAAGAAAGGCAGCAGCCCCAGTCAGGGGCTTATACATAAAAACTCCATCTCCCTGGGATAAAGCACCTAGGGGAAGGGATGGCTGTGGGTACAGCTTCCACAGACTTAAACATTCCCACATGCCGGTTCTAAAGAGTGTAGCAGATCTCCCAGAACTGTGCTCGAGCTCTGCTAAGGGACAGACTGCCTCCTCAAGTGGGTCCCTGACCCCCATGCCTCCTGACAGGGAGACACCTCCAAGCAGGGGTCGACAGACACCTCATACAGGAGAGCTCCAGCTGCCATCTGGCAGGTGCCCTTCTGGGACAAAGCTTCCAGAGGAAGGAGCAGGCCGCAATATTTGCTGTTCTGCAGCCTCCACTGGTGATACCCAGACAAACAGGGTCTGGAGTGGAACTCCAACAAACTCCAGCAGACCTGCAGAAGAGGGGCTTGACTGTTAGAAGGAAAACTAACAAACAGAAAGCAATAGCATCAACATCAACAAAAAGTACACCCATGCAAAAACTCCATCCTTAGGTCAGCAACAGCAAAGATCAAAGGTAGATAAATCCACGAAGATGAGGAAAAACCAGTGCACAAAGGCTGAAAATTCCAAAAATTAGAAAGCCTCTTCTCCAAAGGATCACAACTCCTCACCAGCAAGGGAACAAAACTGGACGGAGAATAAATTTGATGAATTGACAGAAGTAGGCTTCAGAAGGTGGGCAATAACAAACTCCTCCGAGCTAAAGGAGCATGTTCTAACCCAATGCAAGGAAGCTAAGAACCTTGATAAAAGGTTACAGGAACTGCTAACTAGAATATCCACTTTAGAGAAGAATATAAATGACCTGAGGGAGCAGAAAAACACAGCATGAAAACTTCATGAAGCATACACAATATCAATAGCTGAATCAAACAAGAAGAAGAAAGGATATCAGAGATTGAAGATCAACTTAATGAAATAAAGCATGAAGACAAGATTAGAGAAAAAAGAAAGAAAAGGAATGAACAAAGCCTCCAAGAAATATGGGACTATGTGAAAACACCAAATCTACGTTTGATTGGTGTACCTGAAAGTGACGGGGAGAATGGAATCAAGTGGAAAAACACACTTCAGGATATTATCCAGGAAAACTCCAACCTAGCAAGACAGGCCAACATTCAAATTCAGGAAATACGAGAACACTACAAAGATACTCCTGGAGAAGAGCAACCCCAAGACACATAATCATCAGATTCACCAAAGTTGAAATGAAGGAAAAAATGTTAAGGACAGCCAGAGATAAAGGTTGAGTTACCCACAAAGGCAAGCCCATCAGATTAACAGCAGACCTCTCTGCAGAAACTGTACAGGCCAGAAGAGAGCGGGGGCCGATGTTCAACGTTCTTAAAGAAAAGAATTTTCAACCCATAATTTCATATGCAACCAAACTAAGCTTCATAACTGAAGGAGAAATAAAATCCTTTACAGACAAGCAAATGCTCAGGGATTTTGTCACCACCAGGCCTCCCTTACAAGAGCTCCTGAAGGAAGCACTAAATATGGAAAAGAAAAACCGGTACCAGCTACTGCAAAAACACACCAAAATGTAAAGACTATTGACACTATGAAGAAACTGCATCAACTAATGGGCAAAATAACCAGCTAGGATCATAATGACAGGATCAGATTCACACATAACTCTATTAACTTTAAGTGTAAATGGGCTAAATGCCCTAATTAAAGGACACAGGCTGGCAAATTGGATAGAGTCAAGACCCATCAGTGTGCTGTATTCAGGAGACCCATCTCATGTTCAAAGATGCACATAGGCTCAAAATAAAGGGATGGAGGAAGATTTATCAACCAAATGGAAAGCAAAAAAAAAAAAAAAACACACACGGGTTGCAATCCTAGTCTCTAATAAAACAGACTTTAAACCAACAAAGATAAAAGAAAAACAGATAAGGGCATTACATAATGGTAAAGGGATCAATGCAACAAGAAGAGCTAACTATTCTAAATATATATGCACCCAATACAGGAGCACCCAGATTTATAAAGCAAGTTCTTAGAGACTCACAAAGAGACTTAGACTCCCACACAATAATAGTGGGAGACATTAACATACAACTGTCAATGTTAGACAGATCAACGAGACAGAAAATTAACAAGGATATTCAGGACTTAAACTCAGCTCTAGACCAAGCAGACCTAATAGACATCTACAGAACTCTCCACCCCAAATCAACAGAATATACATTCTCCTCAGCACCATATAGCACTTATTCTAAAATCGACCACATAATTGGAAGTAAAACACTCCTCAGCAAATGCAAAAGCACTGAAATCATAACAGTCTCCCAGACACAGTGCAATCAAATTAGAATTCAGGATTAAGAAACTCACTCAAAACCGCACAACTAAATGGAAATTCAACAACCTGCCCCTGAATGACTACTGGGTAAATAACAAAATTAAGGCAGAAATAAATAAGTTATTTGAAACCAATGAGAACAAAGACACAATGTACCAGAATCTCTTGGACACAGCTAAAGCAGTGTTTAGAAGGAAATTTACAGCACTAAATGTCCACAGGAGAAAGCAGGAAAGATCTAACATCGATACCCTCACATCACAATTAAAAGAATTAGAGAAACAAGAGCAAACGAATTCAAAAGCTAGCAGAAGACAAGAAATAGCTAAGATCAGAGCAGAACTGAATGAGATAGAGACACGAAAAACCCTTCAAAAAAATCAATGAATCCAGGAGCTGGTTTTTTATAAAAATTAAATAAATAGATAGACAGCTAGCCAGACTAATAAAGAAGAAAAGAGAGAAGAATCAAACAGACACAATAAAAACTGATAAAGGGGAGATCACCACTGATCCCACAGAAATACAAACTACCATCAGAGAATACTATAAACACCTCTACACAAATAAACTAGAAAATCTAGAAGAAATGGGTAAATTCCTGGACACAAACACCCTCCCAAGACTAAACCAGGAAGAAGTCGAATCCCTGAATAGACCAATAACAAGTTCTGAAATTGAGGCAATAATTAATAGCCTACCAACCAAAAAAAGCCCAGGATCAGACGGATTCACAGCCAAATTCTACCAGAGGTATAAAGAGGAGCTGGTACCATTCCTTCTGAAACTATTCCAAACAATAGAAAAAGAGGAACTCCTCCCTAACTCATTTTATGAGGCCAGCATCATCCTGATACCAAAATCCAGCAGAGACACGACAAAAAAAGGAAATGTCAGGCCAACATCCCTGAGGAACATCAATGTGAAAACCCTCAATAAAATACTAGCAAACTGAATCAAGCAGCACATTAAAAAGCTTATCCACCATAATCAAGTTGGCTTCATCCCTGGGATGCAAGGCTGGATCAACATACACAAGTCAATAAACATAATCCATCACATAAACAGAACCAATGACAAAAACCACATGATTATCTCAATAGATGCAGAAAAGGCCTTCAATAAAATTCAACAGCCTTTCATGCTAAAAACACGCAATAAACTAGGTATTGATGGAACATATCTCAAAATAATAAGAGCTATTTATGATAAACCCACAGCCAATATCATATTGAATGGGCAAAAGCTGGAAGCATTCCCTTTGAAAACTGGCACAAGACAACGATGCCCTCTCTTACCACTCCATTCAACATAGTATTGGAAGTTCTGGCCAGGGCAAGCAGGCAAGAGAAAGAAATAAAGCGTATTCAAATAGGAAGAGAGGAAGTCAAATTGTCTCTGTTTGCAGATGACACGATTGTATATTTAGAAAACCCCACTGCCTCAGCCCAAAAGCTCCTTAAGCTGATAAGCAATTTCAGCAAAGTCTCAGGATACAAAATTAATGTGCAAAAATCAAAGGCATTCCTATACACCAATAATAGACAAAGAGAGAGCCAAATCATGAGAGAACTCTCACTCACAATTGCTGCAGAGAGAATAAAATACCTAGGAATACAACTTACAAGGGATGTGAAGGACCTCTTCAAGGAGAACTACAAACCACTGCTCAAGAAAATAAGAAAGAACACAAACAAATGAAAAAACATTCCATGCTCATGGATGGGAAGAATTGGTATCATGAAAATGGCCATACTGCCCAAAGTAATTTATACATTAAATGCTATTCCCATCAAGCTACCATTGACTTTCTTCACAGAATTAGAAAAAGCTACTTTAAATTTCATATGAAACCAAAAAAGAACCCGTGTAGCCAAGACAATCCTAAGCAAAAAGAACAAAGCTTGAGGCATCATGCTACCTGACTTCAAACTATACTACAAGGACACACTAACCAAAACAGCATGGTACTGGTACCAAAACAGATATATTGTCTATTATTGGATCAATGGAACAGAACAGAGGCCTCAGAAATACCACCACACATCTACAACCATCTGATCTTTGACAAACCTGACAAAAACAAGCAATGGGGAAGGGATTCTCTATTTAATAAATGGTGCTGGGAAAACTGGCTAGCCATAGGCAGAAAACTGAAACTGGACCCCTTCCTTACACCTTATACAAAAATTAACCAAGATGGGTTAAAGACTTAAACGTAAGACCTAAAACCATAAAAACCCTAGAAGAAAACCTAGGCAATACCATTCAGGACATAGGCATGGGCAATACCTTCATGATTACAACACCAAAAGCAATGGCAACAAAAGCGAAAATTGACAAATGGGATCTAATTAAACTAAAGAGCTTCTGCACAGCCAAAGAAACTATCATCAGAGTGAAGAGGCAACCCACAGAATGGGAGAAAATTTTTGCAATCTATCCATCTGACAAAGGCCTAATATCCAGAATCTACAAGGAACTTAAATTTACAAGAAAAAAACAATCCCATCAAAAAGTCAGCAAAGGATATGAACAGACACTTTTCAAAAGAAGACATTTATGCGGCCAAGAAACATATGAAAAAAAGCTCATCATCACTGGTCATTAGAGAAATGCAAATCAAAACCACAATGAGATACCATCTCACACCAGTTAGAATGGCAATTACTAAAAAGTTGGGAAACAACAGATTCTGGAGAGGATGTGGAGAAATAGGAATGCTTTTACACTGTTGGTGGGAGTGTAAATTAGTTCAACCATTGTGGAAGACACTGTGGCGATTCCTCAAGGATCTAGAACCAGAAATACCATTTGACCCAGCAATCCCATTACTGGGTATATACCAAAGGATTATAAATCATTCTGCTACAAAGACACATGCATACATATGTTTATTGCAGCACTGTTCATAATAGCAAAGACTTGGAACCAACCCAAATGCCCATCAATGATAGACTGGATTAAGAAAATGTGGCACATATATACCATGGAATACTATGCAGCCATAAAAAAGAATGAGTTCATGTCCTTTGCAAGGACATGGATGAAGCTAGAAACCATCATTCTCAGCAAACTAACACAGGAACAGAAAACCAAACACTGCATTTTCTCACTCATAAGTGGGAGTTGAACAATGAGAACATATGGGCACGGTGGGGAGCATTACACAAAGGGGCCTGTCAGGGAGTGAGGTAAAAGGGGAGGGATAACATTAGGAGAAATACCTAATGTAGATGATAGGTTGATGGGTGCAGCAAACCACCATGGCACATGTATACCTATGTAACAAACCTGCACATTCTGCACATGTACCCCAGAACTTAAAGTATAATAAGAAATAGAAATAAAAAATAAATTTCTATTTTCTTCGATTTGTGGGGGATTCCTTATAACAAAATACATTATGAATTATTTTGTTTTTTGAACAAACAAAAAGTACGTTTGCTTCTTAAAGGATATACTATTCTAGACAAATCTATTAAAACAATTAATGTTGATTGTATTATTTAATTCCTCTATGTCCTTCCTCTTGTTTATCTACTATTTATGTCTGGTCAAATTTAAAAGGAATGTAAAAAAATTTCCTGCTCTAATTGCTTTTCCTGAATTTCTAGTAGATTGCACTATGTTGCTACTATATTTATGCATAAGGTTATGTTTAGCATATATTCTTCATAAATTGAAACTTCAATCACTGCAACATGTTTCTGTTTATCTTGTTGAATGTTTTAACCTTAAATTCTACTTTGCCTAGTGTTGCCATTTCTTTCTTTCTTTGCCTTTGCCTTCTGTCTCTTTGCCTATAATTTTGTTTGACTTTTATCAACTAACACATGTTTATTATAAATGTCATAGGACTGAGCGTTCTATGCAGATATTTTGGAATGCCTTTACTATCCCTTCTTTCTCCCCATCTCAATTTCTATGTTTATGTAAGATAGTTTAGCACTTTGTTTTCCAGAATATTATTAAAACTTTCTTTGTCCCTTGTATTTCAAGACTACTCATTTAATATTCATATTACACACTTCCAATCTGACATTTTCCAATCATTTTATTATTTATTTATTTATTTATTTATTTTTTAGAGACAAAGTCTCACTCTGCCACCTAGGCTGGAGTGCAGTGGCGCAATCATAGCAGCCTCGAACTCCTGGGCTCAAGGGATCCTTCCACCTCTGCCTCCCAAAGCACTGAAATTACAGGTGTGAGCCACTGTACCCAGCTCTCCAGTAATGTTTCACCATAGCAATAGCTAATGTAACACCAACTGCTGTAACAGGTAAATCTTGAAATCAAAGAGGCCTGAGACAATGTCAGATTCTTTCACATTTCTGTAAAGTCAAATCTGAGGGAGGAAACCCTGCTCTGTGCAGTCACTCAGAAATCTAGGTTGAAAGACTTTGTCTTTCCAACTCCTGGCTTCACCCTAAGTGTCAGCATCTGACTGGCAGGGAGAGAAAGGGACAGCACAGGCCAGCCTGAGGGAAGCTTACAGCCCTTCCACCTGCATTCCACCAGCCAGATCTCAGTCCCGTGGCTACACCAAACTGCAAAGAAGTTGGAGAAGTATAGCTTTGCTATGTCCCCAGGACGAAGTGGAAATATATTTGGCCCATAAATTCTAGTCATTAAATATCCAGTTGATGAAGAACTACTCAACCTCACTCAAGAAATGCAACCCAGTCCAGGCACAATGGCTTATGCCTGTAATTCCAGCACTTTGGGAGGGTGAGGTGGGAGGAACACTTGAGGCCAGGAGCTTGAGACCAGCCTGGACAACATAGTAAGACCCCATCTCTCCAAAAAAATTAATTTAGCTGGGTGTGATTGTGCATGCCTACAGTCCCAGCTACTCGGGAGGCTGAGGTGAGAGAATCCCTTGAGCCCAGAAGTCAAGGCTGCAGTGAGCTATGACTGCACCACTGCACTCCAGCCTGGGCAACAAAGCAAGACCTCCTCAACTCAAAAAGGAAAAGAAAAGAAATGCAACCCAAAATCACCTCGTCACCACATCCAGCTCAAAATCCAGAAACTTTCCAGTGATGTAAAGTCTTCTCCATCAGGAGAAGCTATAGCCCTGAGCAGCAGTGACCTAAGAAATAAAAAGACAAGTTTACCACCCCACCACACATGTACGCCACACAGACCCAATCTGGAATGTCCCAAGCAGAGATAGAATAACCCCGGTAAAAACTCCCTTTTGGAAGCAGAAAGAATTGGAAGAGTCACAGTAGTTATGAGTCCACAAAGATTGTGAAGGCTTGCTTGGCAGGAACAATGAAGGCCCAGCCTGAGGTTGGGGATGTTGCTCGCTGAGGCCGTGATTTTATTCTCTGGATGAATAACTTGTTCTTATTATCCATGGCCCTTGGCCTCCATGCCTCTCTCAAATTCCTTGAAATAGTTGGTGAAAATGCCATCCCATTAATATGATATTTTCCATGGTACTAAATTTAATTTTTATTTTTATTTTTATTTTTATTTTGAGACAGAATTTCGCTCTTGTTGCCCAGGCTGGAGTGCAATGGCATGATCTTGGCTCACTGCAATCTCCTCCTCCCAGGTTCAAGCGATTCTCCTACCTCAGCCTCCTGAGTAGCTGGGATTACAGGCACCTGTCACCACGCCCAGCTAATTTTTGAATTTTTAGTAGAGACGGGGTTTTACCATGTTGGCCAGGCTGGTCTCGAACTCCTGACCTCAGGTGATCAGCCCACCTCGCCCTCCCAAAGTGCTGGGATTACAGGCGTGAGCCACCACGCCCAGCCTAAAATTTAATCTTAATGGGGACTAGTCGTTCACAATATTTCTCGATTTATCAAAAAGTCTAGAAGCAGATGACCTTTGCAACTTTGCACAGTCTCCGATTTCTGGATTCTCATATTCTCTCTCTCTCTCTCTCTCTCTCTCCTGGCTAGACACCATGGGCAAGCTTGGGAGGGATGAATTGAACACAGCAGAGCCTTCACAGCTGTGGCCCTGATAGGAGTGGAGGGCCTCCCCCACAACCTCCACAATGTTCTCACATGAGTGAGAAGTGAGCCTCCATTGTGATAAGCCTCTGAGCATCCAGTGCTGATCTGTCTCCATGGGTAACGTTCCTTAACTACATACTGGAAGGTTCACTGCTAACCATTTTTTTCTTTCTTCATTATATTCCATCTTGCTATTCTAATTTTTTATTTATGTTTCTTTTTCTTTCATATATTCTCTTCAGATGTGGATTATACATTCCTTAAATCATTGCATACTTACATACTTACAAATATATTTTCTTCCACCTAAAGTATGTAGCATATTTCTTTGGATCCAAGATTTCATCTATTGTAAAATGAACCATTATTTTATGTACCACTAAGAAAGAAAAAACACTTTTGATTCAATTAGAACATAATGCTTTCTTATAACTTGGAGATTTATTTTATAGTTATTGAAGGAGCTCTTTCAGGCTTAGACAGATACATATTTTTATTATGTTTTACTCTTGTGCATTAATAAAAACGAGAATTTGACCCAATAAATTGGGTAAGGCACTCCTAAAGCGTCTTCCCATAGAATCCTAAACTGGTCATTAACTCAGTTGTGACAATTTGTTTTCCCACAAAATATCATCTTCTCTACCATCGAGAGAGTTCCTGAAAGAATGCTCCATTATTCTTTCCAGGATTTTCATCCAAGCTACTAACATCCATTCTTCAGATGTTGATGCCATCATTTTTAAAAAAAATCTGTTCAGAATATTTCAACAGATTCATACAACAGTCAGTCCTAGGACTCATATTCATTTCTGGTCATTTAATGGTATGCATCAAGCCACTGCCCCAGCCAGAAGTGGGCTAGGAAGCTCCGCAATCCCCAGCTGAGGCCTCACTCACACGTAGAGTCAGATCTGCCTCATCAGAAGGAGTAGAGGAGCTGGAGTTGGAAATGGAAGGAAGGTGGGATGCATTCCAGTCACCACCTTCCCAGAAAGGCCTCAGCTTTTTTCTTGTATGTTGATTATAAAAGATGAAAGATATCTAAGTAGAATATAAAGAAATGGTCAGGGTACGCATACCATTCCATTTCTTCCCACCATTGGAACCATTATCTCACACCATGAGAAGCAGCTCAGCAGTTCACATCATAAGAACATGTGTCTGCCTATGGGAACTGATGTGGGATAGGAACAGAAGATATGACACAAGAGGATTAGAAGCTGAAACTTCGGAATGGTTTTGGTACAAACACACTGCATTCCCCTCCCCTCCACCGCTGAGTAGAAATTCACATAAGACCAGCAAAAAGAGCATTTCAACTTCTCAGGGAATTCATCCAGAATGAGGACTGGCCAGCATGGCTTAGATGATGGCCTCAGAGCCCTCCATTCGAACGTGGTCACAGCTTAGCCATGGGCAATTTACTTAACCTTTGCTTCCGATTTCTCATCGGTCACACTAAAAAGATATTCCCTACTTGAATGTGCTGTGAAGATTAAATGAGATCACATAAGAGAAACCACTCAGGGCCAGGCGCAGAGGAGGCCCTCAGTAAATCTGCATTCCTTTCCTAATTCTCATAATATTCTCGCCTGCCCTAGGGGCTACTGTGGCATGGTCTGGCTGGGTTCCCCAGGCTGACACACCAGAGGATGCCAACACAGTTCTTGGTCGTGCTTGAACCAATTCACTCTCCAATGTGTTGCCCTCAAATGCTTCAAAGTTCCTTGTTGAATCCAAGGCTGGTGGCTGCTTCTGCTCTTCAAATTTGAGTGACAAAACACATGTAAAGTACTAAGAACAGGGCCATACACCTAAAAGTACCTAGTCAATAGGATCTATTATTCTCTCTGCATCCTCGTTCCACCCCTCCGCCACCTTGTCTGTTTCTACTGTGTAAAAGAGGGAAGATAAACTGTTCAAAGAATCATGAAGCTAGTGAATGAGAGCAAAGGGAAAAGAAATGAAACGAGCAAAGTGAGGGGTGTGCTACAAAGAAGAAATAGAGAAATGTACCCCTCTGGTGCAGAGGAGAAAAAAAAATCCTGCAGCACGGCAAACAATGTGGATAATGACATGGAAGATAGAATTTTGCATACTGAACCTGCAAACCATAATAGCAGACTCCAAAAGCCTACCGTATTGCTGGGTAGTTGTGTCTTGGTGTGCACTCTGGGACACTTAAGTACAAAATTCTCACACTGTTTCAGGAACAAATGAACATAACCAGTGGGCATTGCCACTCAGAGTTCCAGAAATAAAAGTTCTCTAAGATGAGATTGCCTCGGATCTTAACAGGCTTGGAACAGAAAACAGGTCTTCATAGATAGTCCTCTGTACTGGTTTCAACCAGTCTTTCATTGACTTAAGTTGTCATCTTTCCAATGAGATATGGGGAGCCACCCTCTGGGGCTCAAAATAAAGTCTTGACTTGTCCAAGAACCCAGCCCTCTCACTATTTATGTTTAGCAATAAATACCTCATGCAAAAATAATGACCTTGGCTCCTGGGGCTTCTGCTGCTTCAGAAAGAACTCAAGTCACAGCTTTAGCCACCAGGCTGTCATCTGAAAGGGACACAGATTAGTAAACCAAGTGGTAATAATTCCTGGCTGGTACATAGCTTCTAGTTTCCCTTCATTTAATTAGCTCAGCCAGGTAAAGGCTGAGTTGTTTAGAATTCTTATTAAACTCCTATTGGAAAAGTTAAATCAATTATATCCCAAATGTTTAGAAAATAAAAGCATTACCCAGGAGTCTCAATGTTAAATCTCGGATTGAAACAAAATATACTGTATGATTTGTCTTAGGAAAAATCAGCTTCCCAACCATAACCTGAACAAGCTCTGACTTAAATGGAGCCATTAAAAGTGCTTCCTGCGGTACTCAGAGACAAGAGCTAATAATTCCTTTGTGAACTATGAAAGAAATCTATCACTGAGGCTTTGTTGGCAGGAACACAGCTTTAGGGGGTCAAAACACGAAGCATTCCCATCCTGACCCCACCACATGAACCCCTAATTAATTATGAGCATCCTAACGTGAAAAATACTTTCATAACTGAAGGGCGACCTATTCCCATTCATAAGCAGACCACAAATCAGTCATAAATCCCCAAACACCAAGAAGGAGCTGCTCAGTTTGTATCTGTGTTGAACTTCCAGTGTTGCATAATTTATATCCAAAATCCACTCTCATATATCTACTGAAATACCCACTCTGACCTTCGCTCCCAATCCTAACTGCATCAAAAGGAACTATAATCACTGGAACGCAGGCATCCAATCACAGTTCTGCTCTCTTGGAGCCAGGCAACTTTCTTCCCTTGATGAGTTCATCATCCCCTAGAACAGGTTATAAAAACTGTTCACATTTTGCGATAATAATTCAAAGTCTCTTTATTTTACACTGTGGCTCATCATCCGCCTGGCTGAACCAAGTGAGAGTGTAGACAAATGGAGCGGCCAGATTCCACGGAGCCTTCCGTTTATCCCTGCCTTGAGAACACTGCCCTCAGATCCATGCTCACACCCTGCAATGAACCTGCCCTCAATTTAGAAGCACTCTGCTTATGCCTCACAGACCTTACATCCAAAAGCAGCCTGAGCTAACTGGCAGCTCATATCATCTTTTTATTACAGCAAAGCTTTGCCTTGAGATGCAAAATGTTTCTTGATTCCTAAAAGACAATGTTCTCTTTGCTCAGTGTGGCCAGGGGAGAAAAGCTTTGAAAAATTCTTTCAATCCCTGGATACAGTTAAATCTGATCATCCTTAAATGCTGATGATACAAAGTTTACCTCTACCCCAAATCACTATACGAGCAGAGAACAAGAAACCCTGCGGCAAATAAGTGCACCATAAGAGGTTCCTTCCATCAGTTTCCAGGGAGATTCTCCAACGGGATCCAGGAAGAACTGTAAAGAAGGCTTGCTACCAATTGCCACCAGCATTGGGGCAGCTCAGGATTTTCCTTGGAAGCTATGGGGTCATCTATGTCTAAGAAGGGGCTTGGTCCATCCAGGGTGGTAGCAGAGGGCTCTTGGGCTGGGACAACCGCTGAGCTTGCTTCAGACCAGACATCCCCCGAGTTTGCTTCCAGAGAAGCAGTGTTCTTGTGGTTGGCATTTATCTGCCTTGTTCAAGGGACTCAGTCAGTGACCCCCACAGTAGGGTGCTTGACTGAAGCTCAGTCCCTCCAATCCACAAGGAACATATTGTGCTTGGCTCCCTACAAAGGCACATACAGCTTGTGAGTGTCACAAATGCAAGCTGATCACCCTGCTAAAAATAAGGTAAAGGAACTTGAAGCACACCTCTTTACCCTTTAGCTTATTAAGAGATTTAAATTTTCTAGGCAGGATATAACACAAGAAGGAAAAAAAAACTTCTATATGAGCCACCACGTACAGCAGAATTAGATCTGCTGTACAACCAAAGAGAGAGATCCACATGGTGTTTGATTTCTTTCTCTTTGTTTTTCTTTTTAACTATTCAGGGATTATTTTTTTCTTATGACACTCTCAAATGTGGTTAAGGGCTCTGTACAGTAAAGCCAAGATAGCAATGTGCTGATCTGTTTGTTCTTCTTATATTTCTGGGCCTGTAGATAATCCCTAGCCTCGGTTACCCTGGGGTACAACTTCTTATGGCTGGATGAGGCAAAGAGCTTGAAGACACATAAGGGAACTATTCATCCTGGAGGGTGTTCTTTCATTCTTCAATTACAGAAGGACCAAAGGAAGCACTGCCCTGGGGGAGGAAACACTGACTATCAATATATGAAAAGACAGGATTTTCAAAAACTAGTTTGCCCCTGTTGTTCTTTAGAAAAAAGTTATCTGAGTTTCTATTGTCAGAGCCATTCATTCTTAAAATGAGAAGATGGAAATCCAAATGAGACTAAGAATTGAGAAGCCTTACCACTAAGCAGGACATGATGCACAGAACCTAGTACGAGTAAGACCCTGATAAGGGTTAAAGCAAGCCCCCTGTCCCATCCCCGTGCCTGGGCTCTAAAAGAAGATAAAGGTAGTACCCTGCTTTGTAAAGAAAAAAGGTGCCCCTGGCAACTTTAGAGTATTCTACCAAACTGTAATATCTGGACCAATGTTAAAATGGATTTTCCCCAAGTCTGTTTGCAGTCATTGGAACAATATGAGGTAAAGAGAAGCCATCAGCTTGGTTTTGTGAAAAATAAATTGCTATCAGCCTAACCTCATTTGGCTCCACAGTGTAACAGGCAGATGCTAGAAAGCAATAGATGTTATCTCTGGAAACTTCAGTTAGGCTCTGGGGTCTCTTATTACTACCAGCAACCTAAGGAATTGGCCTTTGAATGAGTCATTTCGAGGCCAGTGGCTGAAGAGGAGAGAAAGCCTGGCTTTGGAAATGAAGGAGCAACAGAAGGCAGGAAGAGAAGTGAGGTCAGCTCACTTCCCCCTTGATTCAGGGGTAGGCAAACACCAGACCTAGCTCAAAGTGCACCCAGGAACTCAGGGTGGGAGTGCTGCCTGTGGAAATCAGCAGAATTTCTCTGAGCTCCAGGGAGTAACTCTATTTGGTATCCTTCTGTTTGTCCCCTTTGATTCTATTGCTTTTCACTGCTTCCTCTTTACCAGGTTTTAAAAATGCTCTGCCAAAGTCAATGCTGAGAAAAGAAACAACAACAAAAGTTAATCTGCTTTTGAAACTCTTTTCTAATGTAGAGGAACATATCTCTATTCAGTGCTGGTGGCACCTCACGGTGGCTTTTGTTTCGTCCTGGCAATGAAAACCGTTTTACTTAGTCTTACTTTTCTGAACTTCAGCCTAACTAATGAATGTTTTAAAAATTCTATTCTGAGTTGTAAATGAGTCTTGAGTAAGGTTTGGTAATAAGAAAGGTTAAATAAACTCTTGACTAAGATTAAAAAGTGAGAATACATTTGTACTGTTATTGGTAAACCATAACCTTTGTTAAAGGTTATTAAACTCCTATTGGAAACCTTTGGAACTGCTAAAACGTTATTAAACTCCTATTGGAAACTTTTGCCATTTGTCCTAGTTTGACAGATGTTTGCCTAGTTATCACATTCCCACTGGGAATGGTCCCAGTTCATGCCTATTGTCTGAGCAAAATTATTCATATCTTCACTGCCATAAGGGTCCCAGGCTGGATGACAAATCTTATACTCACCCCAGCCGTAAATCACAAGGAAAGCTTCTTTCCCATCGACCTCCCCTCCCCTAATAACCTTCTACTCCTTTCTAGCCCATTGCTTTTTTTTAGTTATATCATAGATCATTAATAACGTATTATTTATATATATAAATATATATATATCTCCCACTTATATCCAGAAGAAATTAAAATGGCTTGCAATGCATTCACTTGACAAATATTTATAGGAAACCTAAAAGGTCCATGAATACTACCTGAGGATATACCTATGCACGAAGCTGTTCAAATGAAAGTTAAAAGGAAAGGGAGGGTAATAAAAACCACAGAGAGCTGGGTGCAGTGGCATGTACTTGTAGTCCCAGCTACTTGGGAGGTTGAGGCTGGAGGATCACTTGAGCCCAGCAGTTCAGGGCTGTGGTGCACTATGATCACACCTGTGAATAGCCACCACACTCCAGCGTGGATGACACAGTGAAACTCCATCGCCAAAGAAAAACCCATCCACCATATAAAGGAAGAAGATGACTAAGCTAGAGACCATGGACAAAACCATAATTCTAATTCCTCCTATATTTGACTTTGAGCTTCCTAGTAGTAAAACCAAAAATAAATTACAAAATGTATCACATCAATTATATTTCCTGAGGACATGCAGCTTTAACATGAAATATCTTTTTTCTCCTGACACTAAATTCCATGAGAATTTAATTATACATTCGATAAATATGTATTGAGAACCTACTATGTCTCAGGCACTGTTCTAAGTAGGTTTTGGAATACAGAAGTGAACAAAACAGAACAGATAAAAATCCCTACCTCCAGGGAGCTCACGTTCCAGTCGGACAAGACAGACAATAAATAGAATACATCATGGGTCAGAGAGTGTAAGTGCTGTAGAAAAAAAGTAAAGCTGGATGGGAGAAAAGAGAGAGCTCAGAGAGGGGCTGCAGTTTTCATACAGCCTCCTATATACAGTTTCAATACATGGGGTTTAGGAAACCCCCCATTGAGAAGGTGACATTTGAGGAGAGTCGCAGAGGGGAAGAGGCAGCAGTTGTGTGGATATCTAGGGAAGAGTCTTCCAGACAGAAGGAAAAGCAAGTGCCCAGGCCCAGAGATGGGGGCACAGGAGACCAGTGTGGCTTGGCAACATGAATCAGGAACAGATGATGAGGACATCAAGTCAGGGGTGGGGCAGGGAAGGACGGGAAGTGGAGACCTTGGGGATTTTCCTCCCAAGAAGATGGAAAGTCACGGGAAGATTTTGAGTGGAGAAGTGTTAGCACCAGACGCATTTTAAAGGATGGTTCTGGCTGCTATGTTGAGCATGGATGTAGGGGAACAAAGGGCAGAAGCAGAGGGGTCAGTTAGGAAACTTGTGACAGGTCCCAGTCCAGAGAAGGTAATGAGAAACCATTCGATTCTGGACTGTGCTCGAGGCAACAGGGCTTGATAATAGGTTGCACGTGCGGAGAGAGAGAAAGAGGACTCGAGATGGTTGTGGGTTGCTTGGTCTGAGCAGTGGAGCTGCTGTTTACTGAATAACAAAGACTGAAGGAGAAGCAGATCATTGGGGGAAGATCAGGAGTTCAGTTTGGGCCCCATTAGATGTGATATGCCTACAGGACATCCAAGTAGAAATGTCAAGTCGAGCAGGTGGTTAGATATAAATCTGGGGTTCTTGTGAATCCTTACACTAAAAACATGGAATTGTAAGGTGGATGGCTTTAACAGATCTTTTTGCCGAAAGTATAGAAACATTTGTTTTAAGACCATTTTTATATTAGCCTGCAATAAAAATCAAGGGCATACTCTTCAATCATAGCTAAGTAAAGGCATTTCTGGAAGCAGCCAAGCTAGTATAGTAAATGTCCTGAAAGATGTTGCCTTCGGGAATCTAACTTGGAACAAGCGTAGAGCTTACTGAACCTGAAGGAATGGGCAGTTCACATGGACCTCAGGCCTGTCTCTTGCAATTGTGATTTCAAATTTGCCTTTGGCAAGGATGAACTCTTTGTATGCGTTCTCTGGGGTAGATGGTCAAATAGCAGGACCAACTTTTTTTTTATGAAAGCAAAAGAGTCTGATAAATTCTCACCCAGATCAAAGTCCATCTCACCCTTACTTGAAGGCAGGTCACTGGGATACCTGAAAGACCTATCAGAATTTTTCTTTAAAAGGAGCCATGAATTTACTCAGATGTCAGGCAAACCCAAAGCTGAGACCCTAGAATGATCAGCTGGTGTTTAGCAACAATTTGGAATTATTCAAATTAAGATTTGGTGTTTCCCTGGCGAAAGGATGGATCTCAAAAGGTAGCTTACACAGACAGATAAAAGGTAATTCTTTCCCCAGCCAAATAATAAAAGAATCTATAGTTCCTCCAGGCCACATCAGTCTAGAGAAAGAAAAATGTGCAACTGTCGGAAATGTAGCATAATATCAGCAACATAAATGGGGACACTTACATCACTGTTCAGTTTCACCTTGAGAGCATAAAAATCACAACTTTTTAAAATTTTTTGAAAACAGAAATTTAGTCTGTTTTGCTTAGCTTGTATCTATAACACCTCCTAGAACAATGCTACCACAAAGTAGGTGTTCAATAAAATATCGACATAGTAATCAATCTATCAACAAAAAAAAAATTTAAAAACAAAACTTAAGAGCACCATCTTGTGGAAGACCTTATCATGACAACAACCAAGACTCCAGTCACCAGCGAGTGGACATGGAAGTGTCTGTGTGACAGGGATTTAGGTCCAATGGACTGTTGGAAGTGATGGGCTAGGAAAGTTGTCCTGAAGCTGTGTTTGCACAACAAATACACTTTTTAGATTCAGGTGAGGTCGATAAAGATTATAGGGGGCTATAGAAGTTTCCCCAAGCCAGCCCTTGGCATTGCCCCGAGTATAATTGAGAGGTGTAGCTTTCAAAAGTAGTCTTTGACAAGTTTCTCATCCCCATCACCAGCAAAGCTTGTTGTCATAACCCAGCCTCAAATTCTTCCTTTGTGCTCAAGAGATCCTTGGGGTGTGGTCTAAAGAGTTCTTTGGACACTTCATAGGACCTCTGTCTTCCTGTTCCTCCTACATTCCTCCCCATACCCTCTGATACTGGTATGGACTTGGCCTCTCTTCTGTTTTCTCCAACTTTCTCCACATCAGGAGGAGGAGGGGGAAAGTCAGAGATCATCATCTGGTCACCTTCCACTTGCTTAGCTCCTATGGGATCACCAAGCAGAGCAGCCTTGGGTTCTCTGTGTCCCACATCTCTTCCACTGAACTTCCCTTTTTTGGAAGCATTCCCACCCCCCTCCCAAGATCCTGGCACAGGTCACCAAGAAACAATGTTTAAAAACCCACTAACATATACCTGGTAGGTGCAGGGTACTCATGATTCTTCAGGTTTTGTGAACACCTGGAGCTTATACAATTTGATGGACCCTCTTCAAGAAAAATAATATAAAATCATAAGTATGAATTTAGTTGCAAAAGTGAATATTTATTTAGAATGGGAAAAGAAACTGCAGGGATTCCCAAGCAAGTAGGCCAAATAGGAACAGCTCTGGTCTGCAGCTCCCATCAAGACCAACGCAGAAGGTGGGTGATTTCTGCATTTCCAACTGAGATACCTGGTTCATCTCATTGGTTATACAGTGGATGCAGCCCACGGAGGGCAAGCCGAAGCAGGGTGTGGCATCACCTCAACTGGGAAGCACAAGGGGTCAGGGAACTCCCTCCCCTAGCCAAGGGAAGCCCTGAGGGACTGTGCCGTGAGGAACAGTGCATTCTGGCCCAGATACTATGCTTTTCCCACGGTCTTCACAATCCACAGATCAGAAAATTCCCTCAGGTGCCTACACCACCAGGACCCTGGGTTTCAAGCACAAAACTGGGCTGCCGTTTGGAAAGACACCAAGCTAGCTGCAGGAGGTTTTTTTCATAACCCAGTGGCACCTGGAATGCCAGCAAGAGAGAACCATTCACTGCCCTGGAAAGGGGGCTGAAGCCAGGGAGCCAAGTGGTCTAGCTCAGAGGATCCCACCCCCATGGAGCTCAGCAAGCTAAGATCCATTGGCTTGAAATCCTCGCTGCCAGCACAGCAGTCTGAAGTCAACCTGGGATGCTGGAGCTTGGTCGGGGGAGGGGCATCCACTATTACTGAGGCTTGAGTAGGCAGGTTTTCCCCTCAGAATGTAAACAAAGCCACCTTGAAGTTCAGACTGGGAGGAGCCCACCACAGCACCACAAAGCTGCTGTAGCCAAACTTCCTCTCTAGATTCCTCCTCTCTGGGCAGGGCATCTCTGAAAGAAAGGCGGCAGCCCCAGTCAGGGGCTTATAGACAAAACTCTTGTCTTCCTGGGAGAGAGCACCTGGAGGAAGGGGCGGCTGTGGGCGCAGCTGCAGCAAACTTAAACGTTCCTGCCTGCCGGCTCTGAAAAGAGCAGCGGATCTTGCAGCACAGCACTCGAGCTCTGCAAAGGGACAGACTCCCTCCTCAAGTGGGTCCCTGACCCCCATGCCTCCTGACAGGGAGACACCTCCCAGCAGAGGTTGACAGACACCTCACACAGGAGAGCTCCAGCTGCCATCTGGCAGGTGCCTCTCTGGGACGAAGCTTCCAGAGATAGGAGCAAGCAGCAACCTTTGCTGTTCTGCAGCCTCCACTGATAATACCCAGACAAACAGAGCCCAGACTGGACCTCCAGCAAACTCCAGCAGACCTGCAGAGGAGGGGCCTGACTGTTAGAAGCAAAACTAACAAACAGAAAGCAATAGCATCAACATCAACAAAAAGGACATCCACACAAAAACTCAATCCGAAAGTCACCAACAGAGAAGACCAAAGGTAGATAAATCCACAAAGATGAGGAAAAACCAGGGCAAAAATGCTGAAAATTCCAGAAATTAGAATGCTTCTTCTCATCCAAGTTGTGATCCAAGAATCACAACTCCTTGCCAGCCAGGGAACAAAACTGGACAGAGAATGAGTTTGACAAATTGACAGAGGTAGGCTTCAGAAGGTAGGTAATAACAAACTCCTCCGAGCTAAAGAAGCATGTTCTAACCCAATGCAAGGAAGCTAAGAACCTTGATAAAAGTTAGAGGAATTGCTAACTAGAATAACCAGTTTAAAGAAGAACATAAATGATCTGATGGAGCTGAAAAACATACCATGAGAACTTCGTGAAGCATACACAAGTATCAACAGGCAAATCAATCAAGCAGAAGAAATTATATCAGAGATTGAAGATCAACTTAATGAAATAAAGCATGAAGACAAGTTTAGAGAAAAAAGAATGAAAAGGAACAAACAAAGCTTCCAAGAAATATGGGATTATGTGAAAAGTCCAAACCTACGTTTGATTGGTGTCCCTGAAAACGATGGGGAGATTGGAACCAAGTTGGAAAACACACCTTAGGATATTATCTAGGAGAACTTCCCCAACCTAGAAAGACAAGCCAACATTCAAATTCAGGAAACCACAAAGATACTCCTCGAGAAGAGCAACCCCAAGACACCTAATCATCAGATTCACCAAAGTTGAAATGAAGGAAAAAATGTTAAGGACAGCCAGAGAGAAAGGTCAGGTTACCTACAAAGGGAAGCCCATCAGACTAACAGCTGATCTCTCTGCAGAAACCCTACAAGCCAGAAGAGAGTGGGGGCCAATATTCAACATTCTTAAAGAAAATAATTTTCAACCCAGAATTTCATATCCAGCCAAACTAAGCTTCATAAGTGAAGGAAAAATAAGATCCTTCACAGACAAGCAAATGCTGAGGGATTTTGTCACCACCAAGCCTCCCTCACAAGAGCCCCTGAAGGAAGCACTAAATATGGAAAACAAAAACTGGTACCAGCCACTGCACAAACATACCAAAATGTAAAGACTATCAACACTATGAAGAAAATGCATCAAAAAATGGGCAAAATAACCAGCTAGCATCACAATGACAGGATCAGATTCACACATAACAATATTAACCTTAAATGTAAATGGGCTAAATCCTCCAATTTAAAGGCCCAGACTGGCAAATCGGATGAAGAGTCAAGACCCATTGGTGTGCTGTATTCAGGAGACCCATCTCACATTCAAAGAACACACATAGGCTCAAAATAAAGCGATGGAGGAAGATTTACCAAGCAAATGGACAGCAAAAAAAAAAAAAAAAAAAAACAAGGGTTGCAGTCCTAGTCTGTGATAAAACAGATTTTAAACCAACAAAGATCAAAAAAGACAAAGAAGGGCATTCATTACATAATGGTAAAGGGATCAATGCAACAAGAAGAGCTAACTATCTTAAATATATATGCACCAAATACAGGAGCACCCAGATTCACAAAGCAAGTTCTTAGAGACCTACAAAGAGACTTAGACTCCCACACAATAATAGTGGGAGACATTAACACACAACTGTCAATATTAGATCAACCAGACAGAAAATTAACAGAGACATTTAGGACTTAAACTCAGGTCTGGACCAAGCAGACCTAATAGACATCTACAGAACTCTCCACTCCAAATCAACAGAATATGCATTCCTCTCAGCACTACATAGCATTTACTCTAAAATCAACCACATAATTGGAAGCAAAACACTCTGCAGCAAATGCAAAAGAACGGAAATCATAACAAACAGTCTCTCAGACCACAGTGCAATCAAACTAGAACTGAGGATGAAGAAACTCACTCAAAACCGCACAACTGCATGGAAAGTGAACAACCTGCTCCTGAATAACTACTGGATAAATGACAAAATAAGGGCAAAAATAAATAAGTTCTTTGAAACCAATGAGAACAAAGACACAACATACCAAAATCTCTGGGACATAGCTAAAGCAGTGTTTTGAGATAAAATTTAGAGCACTAAATGCCCACAGGAGAAAGCAGGAAAGATCTAACATCGACACCCTAACATCAAAATTAAAAGAATTAGAGAAGCAAGAGCAAACAAATACAAAAGCTAGCAGAAGACAAGAAATAACTAAGATCAGAGCAGAACTGAAGGAGATAGAGATACGAAAAACCCTTCAAAAAAAATCAGTGAATCCAGGAGCTGATTTTTTGAAAAGATTAACAAAATAGATAGACCACTATCCAGACCAGTAAAGAAGAAAAGAAAGAAGAATCAAACGGACACAATAAATGGGAGATCACCACTGATCCCACAGAAATACAAACTACCATCAGAGAATACTATAAACACCTCTACACAAATAAACTAGAAAATCTAGAAGAAATGGATAAATTCCTGGACACATACACCCTCCCAAGACTAAATCAGGAAGAAGTCGAACGCTGGAATAGACCAACAACAGGTTCTGAAATTGAGGCAGTAATTAATAGCCTACCAACCAGAAAAAGCCCAGGACCACATGGATTCACAGCCGAATTCTACCAAAGGTACAAAGATGAGCTGGTACCATTCCTTCTGAAACTATTCCAAACAATAGAAAAGAAAAGCCTCCTCCCTAACACATTTTATGAGGCCAGCATCATCCTGATACCAAAACCTGCCAGAGATACAACAAAAAAAGACAATTTCAGCCCAATATCCCTGATGAACATCAATGTGAAAATCCTCAATAAAATACTGGCAAACCGAATCCAGCAGCACATTAAAAAGCTTATCTACTACAATCAAGTCAGCTTCATCCCTCGGATGCAAGGCTGGTTCAACCTATGCAAGTCAATAAACGTAATCCATCACATAAACAGAACCAATGAAAAAAAACAAATGATTATCTCAATAGATGCAGAAAAGGCCTTCGATAAAATTCAACACCCTTGATGCTAAAAACAATAAACTAGGTATTGATGGAACGTATCTCAAAATAATAAGAGCTATTTGTGACAAATCCACAGCCAATATCATACTGAATGGGCAAAAGCTGGAAGCATTCCCTTTCAAAACCAGCACAAGACAAGTATGCCCTCTCTCACCACTTCTATTCAACATAGTATTGGAAGTTCTGGCCAGGGAAATCAGGCAAGAGAAAGAAATAAAGGGTATTCAAATAGGAAGAGAGGAAGTCAAATTGTCTCTGTTTGCAGATAACACGATTGTAGATCTAGAAAACCCCATTGCCTCAGCCCCAAACTCCTTAATCTCATAGGCAACTTCACCAAAGTCTTAGGATACAAAATCAACGTGCAAAAATCACAAACATTCCTATACACCAATAACAGACAAACAGAGAGCCAAATCATGAGAGAACTCTCACTCACAATTGCTATGGAGAGAATAAAATACCTAGGAATACAACTTACAAGGGATGTGAAGGACCCCTTCATGGAGAACTACAAACCACTACTCAAAGAAATAAGAGAGGACACAAACAAATGGAGAAACATTCCATGCTCATGGATAGGCAGAACAAATATCATGAAAATGGCCATATTGCCCAAAGTAATTTATAGAGTCAATGCTATTCCCATCAAGCTACCATTGATTTTCTTCACAGAATTAGAAAAAAGCTACTTTAAATTTCATATAACCAAAAAAGAGCCCGTATAGCCAAGACAATCCTAAGCAAAAAGAACAAAGCTGGAGGCATCATGCTACCTGACTTCAAATTATACTACAAGGCTACACTAACCAAAAAGCATGGCACTGGTACCAAAGCAGAGATATAGACCAATGCAACAGAACAGAGGCCTCAGAAATAACACCACGTATCTACAACCATCTGATCTCTGACAAACCTGACAAAAACAAGCAATGAGGAAAGGATTCCCTATTTAATAAATGGTTTTGGGAAAACTAGCTAGCCATATGCAGAAAACTGAAACTGGACTCCTTCCTTACACCTTATACAAAATTGACTCAAGATGGATTAAAGATTTAAAGTAAGACCTAAACCATAAAAACCCTAGAAGAAAACCTAGGCAATACCATTCAGGACATAGGCATAGGCAAAGACTCCATGGCTACACCACCAAAAGCAATGGCAACAAAAGCGAAAATTGACAAATGGGATCTAATTAAACTAAAGAGCTTCTGCACAGCAAAAGAAACTGTCATCAGAGTGAATAGGCAACATACAGAATGGCAGAAAATTTTTGCAATCTATCCATCCGACAAGGGCTAATATCCAGAATCTACAAGGAACTTAAACAAATTTACAAGAAACAAACAACCCCATCAAAAAGTGGGTGAAGGATATGAACAGATACTTTTCAAAAGAAGACATTTATGCGGCCAAGAAACGTATAAAAAAAAACTCATCATCACTGCTCTTTAGAGAAATGCAAATCAAAACCACAATGAGATACCATCTCATGCCAGTTAGAATGGCAATCATTAAAAAGTCAGGAATCAATGGATGTTGGAGAGGATGTGGAGCAATAGGAATGCTTTTACACTGTTGGTGAGAGTGTAAGTTAGTTCAACCATTGTGGAAGACGGTGTGGCAATTCCTAAAGGATCTAGAACCAGAAATACCATTTGACCCAGCAATCCCATTACTGCGCATATACTCAAAGGATTATAAATCATGCTGCTGTAAAGACGCATGCACACGTATGTTTATTGCAGCACTATCCACAACAGCAAACACTTGAACCAACCCAAATGCCCATCAATGATAGACTGGATAAAGAAAATGTGGCACATATACACCACGGAATACTATGCAGCCATAAAAAAGAATGAGTTCATGTCCTTTGCAGGGACATGGATGAAGCTGGAAACCATCATTCTCAGCAAACTAACACAGGAACAGAGAACCAAACACCACATGTTCTCACTCATAAGTGGGAGTTGAACAATGAGATCATATGGGCACAGGGAGGGGAACATCACACACTGGGGCCTATCGGGGGCGGGGGGGCAAGGGGAGAGATTACATTAGGAGAAATACGTAATGTAGATGACGAGCTGATGGGTACAGCAAAACACCATGGCACGTGTATACCTATGTAACAAACCTGCACGTTCTGCACATGTATCCCAGAACTTAAAGTATAATGAGAAGAAAAAGAAAAGGAAAGAAAAGGAAGGGCAAATTGCAAGCACTTCAAAGACTGAGGTCCTTCTGAAACCTCTGTGACAACTGACCAGGAATGCCTACATAGAAGTGGTTTGCAACCCAGCCTCCCACCCCACCTGACCATTCTGCCACTCCTGCAAGTCCACTCACAGTGGCCAGGGCATGGGAACTCAGCTTTCTCCAACCCTTGGCCCCAGATCAACCCCTTGTGGGTCTCTCTATCCCTTTCAGGGCAGTTCCTTTCCTGGGGACCAGCTCCAGTGAGCCCATTCAGGGCCTTGAGAGCCACATGTCCCATCTCTTCATCTACGCAGCCACCACAAGCTTAGCACTGGACCCCAGGATTCTAGAAAGTCCCAGCCTGGAGGTCTGACGTGTACTGTCTCCATTCAGGGAAACACAATCCCCACGGCTGCAACTTCCCCCTGACACAGGCGACCTTCAGGCAGACAGCAGGAAAACTTTCTGGCCGCCGCTGACGACTGGTCCAAACAGTTCCCCGCCAGGAGAGAGGCTGGGAAAGGGAAGGCAAGGGCAGGTGCAGAGGCTTAGAATTCTCCGCCACGCACACACGCAGATTAGATGGGGCCCAGGGAGGCTGCGGAGTGCGGTTCCCATGGTAACCGAGAGCTGCCACAAACGCCGGGGCCTGAGATCGCGGTGGATGCACGCGCGGGAGCCTGGCTTGGGTAAGGGCTGCGCACGTTAGCAATGCGCTCCTCCTCCTCTTTCTCCTCCGCCTCCCTCTCCACCCACTCTCCTCCTCCTCTTCCCCCTCCTTCTCTGAGGGAGAAAGCAGGGAGCAGAGTGGAGGATCTGGGCAACAAAGAAGCGCCAAGTACATAGACTTCTTTGTTTCTCTCGCCCTTTCTCGGCCTCTCTATTCCCTTGGCCTTTCTGACATCTGCTTCGACCCAGCTTCTTCCCATTGTGAAGGCCGTTGTTGGGTCATGATATTTCTACAAATAAAGGATAAGGGGTCACTTTCTCTCCAGAGAGCCCCTAGCTCTGGGGGGAAGTGCGAGTGTGGATACTATGACTTCTTCCTTGACAGCCTGAATATAGACCAGTCCCCCAACCAGGAACAAATTCCCCAGATCGAAAACTCCAGCCTTGCCCACGAAGCGACTCCTGTGGCCCAAAGGCAAGTCACTCAGCTTCCCCTGTTTCCTTCCCCTACCTCTCTAATGTGGGGGGTAAACAGCAGTCCTAACTGGCCTTCCAGGGAGATGTGAGCAGTGACCAAGGTCAGTGTTTTTACAAGTGTTCTGTTCCAAGTGATGGCTCAAAGTCACCCTCCTTGAAAGTTCAAACCTGAATATATTCGAAATTCTATTTATAAAAAAGGTCCTAGGAAATGATGTTGTAATGAGTGCACTGGGTGTCTATAGTGCTAAACACTGCACTGATTGGTCTAAGGGGGTTGCCAGAACATTTTGATTTCATGTTTGCCCCCTGGCATGTTTTAATGTAGATCCAGATCAGCCCAGGCCTGGCACCATGGAATTCACAGAAGTAGGTCATCAGTTGTTCCCCTCATGGGGGAGAGCAGCAGACTTCAGCCAAGAATCACACAAGTTAATGAACAAGGTTATAAACAGCTATGGTAGATGATAACAGCAACAAGAACACATTACGTTTGCAGAGCACCATGGAATCCTTGGAGTCCTTTACAGAAATGAGGCTTCTCACCTTGATCCATCTAGGGTTTCCAAGCATCGGCTGGGAGAAGCCCAGTGAAAGCCAAGGGTCACCCACTCCATCTTCTTCACCAGCTCCCAGCTTGCTGTCTTAGCCCACCCATAACTCATCTCTTGAGTTTCCCCCATAGCAGGAGGGAAAGTGAAGTGATGGGGGCTGAAAAGTCCAAACCAGAAATTTCATTTGTGGTCAGCCTCCTGTGTGCCTCTCCTTCCGTTGGATCATCCATTCGATCCACATCCTTCTGTTGAAATCCTGCTACGTGCCTGACATGGTGCCGGGCTACAGTCTCATGGGTGAGGCAGACACACAAACCAGGGAGAAGTGCAATAGGAGAAAGGCAGTGAGAGAGCAGTCAGGAAAAGAGAGACTCTTTCTGGAAGAGCTTGTGTGTCTTCCCAGACGAGGTGACTTTGGGTTGGGTTTTAATGAGTGAATAAACTTGCTATAAAGTGATAAGGAAATTCAAAAGAAAGGGTGGGACTCCAGATAAAATCCCACTCTGGAGGAGCCGTCAGAAATATGTACTGGATCCTGCAGAGAAAAAAGAGGGCCCGTTAATATATTGAGGTCTCTGGTTGGAAGGGACACATACAACTGTCTACCGAAGCTCAAGGCTTCTCTTGCACCAGCAGACAGGGTGAAGCCCTGTCCTCCCATTTCTCCTGTTGGAGATGGGGCTGATGTATCCTGCTAAGACAGACCCTGGCAGCAAATTCCTCAGCCCTTCCAGACCTCAGCCAAGAATCTGTATCCATGAGTCCCCCAGCCCAACACCGATTGGTCTCCTCCTAGACCTTAGTGGTTTACCGGCCTCTTCACTTGTGTTGTATAACTAAAAAAGTCTTTGTATAGAAACATTTGCCTATGTTCTTGCTATCCCACTAAAAAAAGCAAGTGTGAGTTTAATAACACAGCTTATTCTGTGTTTCATATTTAATCCCTCCAAACTCCAAATGTGGAACCAGGCATCTGTGCCCTCTCAGACTGATGCTTTCTAGAAGAAAGGGGTTGGTTAGGCAGCACACCCCAAGTCCCAAGCCTGCCTCTCAGCTCTATATCCATAGAAGATCCCCAGTCCAGTTTTGACTGGTGGTTGTGATAAACTTCAGCTTTATGTTAGTTCACCGCTTCAAGTAATGCTTTTGGAGCATGACTATATGTGTGTGAGCATGACTATATTCTGCACTTAGCCGTGACCATCGGCTGAGTGCCCTGGGAGCTACACCTGATCATGTTCATGGACACAATCAACAAAATAAACACTGTCAATATTCCTCACCCAGGCCTAATTTTCTGAACCCCTGACAAAAGCTGGAGCTTGCAGCCCTAATCAAACCAGTCTGTACAACCAGCTTTTCTACAGGGTCTCCGAGGTTTATGGAGGCACCAAGGAGAGATTCAGGTACAGTTCCCAGGTACTATTAGGAAGCTGGTCCACAACCCACCAGTTCCCAGAACTCTGTAGCCTTTTGGCTGTGGATATTTTTTTCATTAGGAGGGGCTCACTGCCACAAGGGTACCCCGCTCTTTGAACAAGGACATAGGTACATATGTCCAACATAGGATAACATGTCTACCAAGGTCAACCATTCTCTATCCTGCAAAATTCCTAACTCCTGGAAACTTGCAAACTCCTGACACCATCCTGGACTCTGTGGTATGTGCAAATGAGCTCTTTTGCCTGGGTGTCTGAAGAGTCCAGTCTTCACATTGAGGATGGCCTCTACGTGACCTGGGAAATTATGCTTGGAAGAAATCCCTGAGCAGTCAAAACCCGAAAGTCCCTTTGCTCCTGGTCTTACAAGCCTTCCCAATGACTAAGTGGGGCAATTTCAGGTCATAAAAGATGCCCTTCCTCTCTGATTCTATGCCTCCCTGATCCCCCATTGAAATCTAGAATGCTTGCTGCTTCTGTAGTCTGTCATGTGAAAACACAGACCCTCTAGCCAAGGCAGCTGCCCTTGATTCTTTAGGGAGGTCAGCAGCGGGAGGAAGAGCCCTGCTGGCTAGGCAGGTAGGAGGGAGGAGAAAAGGCTGTCACATGGGGCATTAACAGCATAGGCTCCTTCCATAAATAAGCTCCCCTGGAACATCCTCTGGCTAGCTTTTAATTAAGTGGGGACTGCCCAATTCTCTCATGGGCCCCATACCCCAGGGGCCAGAGGTAGTGCTGGCATCTGCTAGCTCCCCATCATCTCCCCTTACAGATGATTTCTTTTCCAACTCCTGTTAAAACTCTCCTCTTTTCTCATTCATTACATAATCATACTATGTTGTATTTTAGTTTATTTTCCTGTCTTTCTGCTTAAGCAAGAAGCTTTCTTGAAGACTATCTATAGGTATGCCTTATGCAACCTTGTGGCCCCAGTGCCTGACACAGTGTCTGGGACATTAAAGAAGTCCTCAATAAATGTTTATGGAAGGAAAGAGGGAAAGAAGAAAGAGAAAAAGGAGAGGAGGGAGACTTGGAAGCTTATCATTTTCAGAAGCACATTGGATAAGGTCTGGTGAATACACTAAATGATAATATCAGGACTCACCAATATTTGGGCAGCCTAGAGGGGTAAGGCAAAACCTGCAAGATGAAATGTAACATCAATCCATGTAAATACCTGTATCTGGTTCAAAAAATAAGTAGAAGTTTAGCACAGAAGAAAAAACAGATAAAGAACATAAAAGCTACCTTCAAATATTTGCAGCTCACTGTGAAGCAAGTTGGACTATGTAGCTTCAGGGAACAGACCTCAGAAGGCTTGCTGGAAACCCAAGAGAAGATTTAGCAGCAGAAGTGTGTGCCATTCGATTCATGCTAAGTATAGTGCCTGGCACATGGAAATGGTGGCTGTGATTTTTGTTATCCTTATTATTACAGTGTCATGGTCATTATTTATTATTTATTAGATCTGCCCAATAGTCAGTCTCACGAGGCACTGAGCTCCCATCCTTGGAAAGCCAAGGTCATCACTGGGGAGCCACCTGTGTCTGGGGTCACCCCACCTGTGTGGGGTGTTTGTCAAGCTGATTCCTAACCCCTGGCCTCCCCTTTCCCCTAATCCTATGACTCTAAGAACAATGCCCTGTTTGTCATGGGTAGTGAAAGCTCTAGATGCAATTCCTGACTGAGGAAACTGTCTTTTCTATAAAGGTTTTGCACTCTTTGCATTAGTTGCACTGTGCTTCCCTCTTGCAATGCCACTGAAGCATCTCTTTGATGTTGAAAAACAAAATTGCTTTGTGTGAAAGCTTCTTTAATCTTATATAGATACAAATGCCTTGTATCTTTGGGGATATGCCAAATCACTCGGTATTTGAGAATTAATCTTATTAAAGAAAGCTCTGTTTAATCCCCACTGCTGTTTGCCAGAGATGTCAAATAATTCGACACCTGTTCCTACTGCCGCTTTACTGTGCACTCTTCCTGGATTTATTGTTAAGGAAAATGCATTGGCTTGATCGGGCTGGACAATGGGATTCTAGCATTCGGTTGGATGCTATAGCTATAGTAAAGTTGCTTTATAAGTATTACCTCAGTTTCTTAATTAGTTAAAGAAAAGGAAAGAAAAGTTAGGGGTAGGGGACACTTGCCTGTTGTGAAGAGTAACAAATGATATGATGAAATTGCTTCATTAACTATCCAACTCAACATGATTACTTATGGTAAAACATCAGTATTGCCAAGAAAAATGGGGTTCATATAAAGTAACTATTTGTTGTCTCTTCCCAAGCATATAGGAAACCCCTGTCCTTGATTAGACCTAGTCTGTAAAATATCTTTTGCATATAAATGTATATTATATATAAATATATATATACACACACACACACACACACACACAGTCCTGCCACATAACATTTCACTTGACAGACCGTGTATACAACAGTAGTCCCATAAGATTATAATACCATATTTTCACTCTTCCTTTTCTATGTTTAGATATGTTTAGATGCACAAATTCTTACCATTGTTACAATTGCCTACAGCATTCAGTACAGTAACATGCTGTCCAGCTTGTAGCATAGAAGCAATAGGCTACACCATATAGCAATAGACTGCACCATGTAGGTTTGTGTGAGCACACGCTGTGATGTTCACATTGTAACCACCTGACAGGTTCTTCCTGACTGCTGCACAAACAAAATCAATTCACAGAGACCATGGCACTGCAGTAAGAAAGAGTCTAATTGACGTGAGGCTGGCCACACCATGCAGGAGATGGAGTTATTACTCAAATCAATCTCCCTGAGCATTTGGAAGTTAGGGATTTTCAAAGATAGTTTGGGGAAAAGGGTTGGGGGTGGCTAGGCAAGGGGTTATTGCTGCTGATTGGTTAGGGGTGCAATCATAGGGGTATAAGAAATGGTTCTCCTGCTTGTTGAGTTACTTAATTCTTTTGAGTGGGCCACAGGAGTAGTTGGCGGGTCCAGGTGGAGCCATAGGTGTCAGACATGAAAAAAACCTGAAAAAGACATCTCAAAAGGCCAATCTTAGGTTCTACAATAGTGATGTTGTCTGCAGGAGTGATTGAAGTTGCATATCTTGTGACCTCCAGAATAATGGCTGGCAATCATTTATGTCTACGCCTTAGCAGAATTCAGCCTCCTCTCTCCTCCTGGCCTGGTGGTCTCTCATTAGCTTTACAAAGGTGGTTGAGTTTGGGGAAGGGCTATTATCATTTCAACTATAAATTAAATGTCTCCTAAAGTTAGTTGGCCTAAGCCCAGGAATTTTTATGAGCATCTTGAAGGCCAAAGGCAAGACGAAGGTTGGCCAGATCAGATCTCCTTCACTCCCATGATTTTCTCACTGTTATAATTTTTGCAAAGGTGGTTTCAACACAATGGCAAAATTGCCTAATGATGCAGTTTCTCAGAGCGTATCCCCATCATTAAGTGATGTATGATTACATAAAAATGTCAGTCAAAATGAACTCACTGGCTCCCTTTCTCCCAATTCACTTCTGGATCTTCTCAGGAGCT
This sequence comes from Homo sapiens, assembly GCF_000001405.40. Lineage (NCBI taxonomy): Eukaryota > Metazoa > Chordata > Mammalia > Primates > Hominidae > Homo > Homo sapiens. Next base: position 45,609,692 of record NC_000013.11, on the reverse strand, counting down.
ATCAGTGAACAATCCAAACACACAACCATATGAGATAATCACTCAGTTACTAATTTTGTCAATTATTTGTCGAGCTCCTATCAAATGCCAGGCACTATTCTAGCTGGTGGGAATACAATGGTGAACAAGAAAGCAAAGTTCCTACTCTCAAATCTACAGACCAAAGAACATGGTATGTTCAGGAGTAACAAATATTATGAGGAAACTAAAACAACATGATAATACATGTAGTGATTGGAGGTGAGGGTCAGGGGTGGCAGTTTTAGAAAGCCTTGCTGGAGAGATGACATTGGAGGAGAAACTTGAGAATGAGCCAGGTGTTGGAAGATCTTCAAATGGATGAAGAACTTTTCAGACAGTGGGAAGGGCAAGTGGAAGCATCCTGAGGTGAGAACAGGCTGCAGCAAGGGAAGGAGGATTTCCAGAAGGGCAGGAGAGGATGTGGGGCCAACTTGGGTCGGCCCAGGAGGGCTTTCAAAGGGAAGTGGAAGCCACTGGAGGATGGCTGGGAGCAACATAGAAGCAGTGGAGCAATGTGGTCTATTTTATGTTTTTAAAAGCCACCTCTGAAGAATGGATTATTGGAAAGCAAGAGCCAAAGCAGAAAGACTGCCATAGAAAATGCTGGATTTGACGATGGTGATGGCAGTGGTGGTAGCAGGAAGAACGGATTCAGGACATTTTGTGGGAGGTGGTGCAAGAGGACTTACGGATTGATTCGTGGGTTTGGGAGGATGAAAAAGAGGAATCATGGGTGACTCCAAGCTTCTTCATCTGAGCACTCAGGGAATTATACCAGAGGTTCCCAAACTTTCTCCGTTCAGGGCACCCTCAACGTCTCAGTGAATTTTTCACGGTGCCCACAGGCCAAAAGAAATCCCTAAAGGTTTCATGTATTGAATCGTTACATCCGAATAACTTAATGAATATCTCATCCTTGTGTCACATATTTATGTCACAATTTAATACACAGAAATTGAAGGAAAAAATAATGCTTTTATTTCCTTCTTAAATAGCCACTGCAGGGGAGAAAGCGTAATTTATTTTCTTTCCCTTTTTAGGTTCTTAGTGGAGACACTCTCCTGAAAACAAAAGTCAGATTAACAAAAAACATGCAAAAATGTATGAATGCTTGCTGTACCCATCATACAGGAGAGGACTCAGTTCAAAAGTATTTCTCTCTCAAGGCAGTGGCTTAGGGATCTTGATTAAATAGTATTTTAACAAAGAGCCATAAATACCATGTAGTGACAAGACAAAGAAAAGAGCAGTTCCAGTCTATTAAAAAGCAGGAAAGTGTGTGGGAACAGAGTAAAATCTGTTCCCAGATTCCTCTGGTGTCTGCTGCTGCCTTCTCTGGGCCAATAAGCAAATGCCATCTCCAATAAGGCAGGATTTTTGTGCTGCCATCAAGCAAACAGAGGCTGAGGCCGAGTGTTCCCCTGCATTTTCAGTGCCTTTAACTTAACAATTCTCAGTATTTTGGAGGAAAATATTTTTATTTCCTCCCCACAATGACTTACTAATGAATCGTGTGTACCCATTGGGCATTGCACAACTTCCCAAATCTTGGAATCAATGGGACGTGGCCACCCTCATTTCCTGTTCCATACTAATTTTGGGGTGGTGCTTGATTTTTATCTCAACAACTGCCACATGCCCAGCTTTGCAAAATATGCCATAATTGAAAGGAATGTAGCATAATCTAAAGTTAGTTGATGTCCAACAGATGTCAAGTATCACTGTTTCCCTCAAAAATTTAAACTATACTGTGGCGTCCCTGTGAGTTCTCTGCAGTGCCCAGGGAGCCTTGGCGCACAGATTGGTGATGCCATTCAGGGGTGGCGGTGGGGTTGGCAGAAGAGGCACACCGTAAGCAAGGGCTGCTTTGGTTTGATTTGCTGTTGGACATTCAATGAAAGCTACTGACCAAGGAACTTTAAGGAAGAAACATACCACAAAACTAAATTCATCCAATGTTAGTAAAGAAAAAAATCTATTTTCCAGCATTACTAAGAAATATGTTTTTCTCTGCCCAACTTCCTGGATAACTAACCAGAAAACATTTTTCCTTCAGCTGTTATTGTTGAAAACTCTCTTGGCTTGGACTCAGTTTACCCCCTGACATTGTAAGTACTCAGCCAGGAGCCTGACTGGGCTCCATTGTCCCATGTCTTGAAGATTACACAGTCATGATTTCAAGTAATTCTTATTGTCCTCCCTGTTAGCCACTCCGTGATCCTAGAAACAGCCATGTCAAAATAGACCTCCATGAAGTGGATTTTATTTTCCTACAGAAACAGCATTTTCAATGCATTGCATTTCTCATTATGAACAGGGCATTCAATAAATTCTAGATGATACCACCAGTAGGGCTTCCAAAGAAATGTTCTTGCAGGGTTAAAGTCTCTTATCTGCAAGCTCTGAAATACAAAAAGTTCTGAGAACTGAGTCCTCCTGATAAGTTTGTGACACTCATTTTTCCACAAAACCTGACCTTCCAGAACTCCATTGGGAGTAAAATCCAACCTAAATGGAAGTGGGACTAAAAGCTTTTCTTTATCCCACTTATTGTAAAAGTTTACATGTTTGCTGCAGAAATACTAAGACTCACCACAGCGTGCTTCCCCAGAGCCCTCTGGGGTTGTTTTTTTATCTACAATGTAATTGATATATCTAAATTCCACAGCACAACTGGCCGCAAGGATTTTGAACAAGGGATAGTTAGTCTCAGAAACACAGGGTAGAAAGGAACCTACGGATCTTCTAGGTCAATCTATTAATTGCCTGGAGATATGTGGCAGAAGCAGCAAACATGTTCAGAATCATATACTTTTTAGGCGAGGTGCAGTGGCTCACGCCTGTAATACCAGCACTTTTGGAGGCTGAGGTGGACGGATCACCTGAGGTCAGGAGCTCGAGACCAGGCTGGCCAATATGGTGAAACCCCGTCTCTACTAAAAATACAAAAATTAGACACGCATGGTGATGGGCACCTGTAGTCCCAGCTACTTGGGAGGCTGAAGCAGGAGAATCGCTTGAACCTGGGAGTCAGAGGTTGCAGTGAGCCGAGATTACACCACTGCACTCTGGCCTGGGTGACAAAGTGAGACTCTGTCTCCAAAAAAAAAAAAAAAAAAAAAAATATATATATATATATATATATATATATATATATATATATATACACATACACTTTTGGGATCTCAGCCAAGAAGACAGTGCAATTTCTCTTGCCACCAGCTGCCCACCACCCCGCGAGGCAGCCTAAACATGGCTCATAATTGCTGAAACCCTGGCATCTCAGCACAGTTAGTGGGTAGAAAGGTATTTTTCACACACCCCAAAAATACCATTCTTCTGAGATCTGAAATTAAATATGACATCTGTTATAACAATTATCAATAATTCTGCTTTGTTGCTGATAATTGTGACTATTTAAGAGAGGTTAATTGAAAGGTTCTTTATCTGACTTGAAAATTAGTGCAGTCAACTTGTAACTGCGGATGTCTTTTCATCTCAGTGAATTTCATTTTAGCAAGTAGGAACTCTAAATATTATTTCTTCGTTCTTTTAAATAATTTTCATGAAAGCTTTTAAATATTTGAAGGAATCCCTAAGAACTTGAGTTATAAAGATTGGAAAGAAGACATATGTCGCTTATCTCCTCTTTCGTGGTATTTAGACTTTGGAATGAGACAGACATTGAATATCAAATATGGCACTACATAGCTATGGCCTCAGACCAGCTCACTGCCCTGGTTCTTAGTTGGTTAATAGGATAATTATACTTTGCCAGATTGTGTTCAATCTTTAAAGGAAAAAGGAAAAGAAAAGGAAAATACCTTTTTCTGTTCTAGGCACATAGTAAGTGCTCAGCAAATGACAGAAACCCAACTTCTCCCTCCTCCTCTTCTCCCCCTCTTTACTTTCTTTATCACGGAGAATTATTGTTTAACCAGAGCTTGTGAAAGAGGCTGTGAGAGAGCTAAAGCCAGTGTGCAGGGGGAGACCCCTAAGAAGGTTCCCTGAGGAGGGCTCTCCTCCAAAACACACATGACATTTGGCACTGGGGAAAGAACATTGCCCTCAGCAAGAGCAGACCTAGGTCCAGATCTTAGTCTGGCCACTTAGGACTTGCCTGACCTTGGTGGAGTTATTTGATTTCTCTGAACCTTAGTGCTGTCATCTATAAGATGGAGATGATAGTGTTTACCGCATAAGGCTGCAATGATGAATCCATTAAACAGGGCCCACGAAAGCACTTTGCAGCACAAAGCATTATACAAACAGCTAAAGCATAGAGAAGAAGCGGGACCATACTCCAGTCTGGAAACAGAAGAACCTTTTCCTAATTTAGATAAAAGGAGAAGAAAAAGCAGACGTCGCAAATTACAGCCCAGTCCATGTGATATTGATGCTGGGCAGAATTCTAGAACATTTCACTTGGGACAGGGTACAGGCAGCAGGGCTCCCTGGAGAGTGAGGTGGGGGCACTGCACCTCTCTGACCACCCTTAGAGATGGGAGGACACCTTGAGTGGGTTGGGAGTCAGGGAACCAAAGAGGAGGGGCTTCAGGAAGTTGAGGGGGAGGGGCCTCGGGAGAAAAGTGGGAGTGGCCTCAGGGATTCCAGGGGCCGGGTCTCAGGGAGCACGCTGGGAAGAGCTTTAGAGAGTGGAGACTAAAGGGCCTCAAAAGCTTGGCCCAGCCAGCAGCCTGTAGAAAGAGCTGCTTTCATCCAAACCTTCTTGGATTTGGTTTGTTTTGTTTTGTTCTTTTGAGACAGGGTCTCGAAACCAGCACAGTGGCTGATCTCAACTCACTGTAGTTTGACCTCCTGGGTTCAAGTGATCCTCCCATCTCAGCCTCCCACGTGAGCTAGGATCACAGGTGCACACCACCATGCCCGGCTAATTTTTTAGGTTTTTTTTAGAGATAGGGTCTTACTGTGGTAGCTAGGCTTCTTCTTGGTGTTTTGTTTGTTTGTTTGTTTGTTTTTTCCAGCCAAAAATGTTTGTAGTAAGATTTTCTTCCTCCCACCTTTGGACTATTTTTGATGCTCAGGTAGAAAACAATTTTTTCTTTCAAACAACTTTTTTTTCACACCTGTAAATGAAGACTGTAAACTCTTCTGTTTCCCCTGAAAGTTGATTTTCCTTACCTATGAAGTGAGGGTGATGATGCCCACATCAGGGCTTGCTGTGAGGGTGGAGGGGCCAGAGTTCTGGCCACACAGAACCTTAGCTCCCCTCCCCACAGCCTCCCCTGACGGATGGATGGAGATGGGCAGCATGAGGGGCTTCTGCCGCAGCATCCCCGGGGCTTTCTGGTTGGACATTTGTATCAGTGGTTTGGATGAGGATACAGATAAGACTAAGCTGGGAGGAACTGGAAACGGCTAGCAGTCAATGAAAAATTATTTGGATGAGCCAAAGAAAATGTAACGTCCTGGTTAGAGGGGCAGGAGCCCCCTTCCCCTTTTGGAGTGGGTGCTCCAAACATCCTCACAGAGTCAGCAGAGTTCCCTCTTCTCAGATACACCGCACTGCACTGTGAGAGATGATCACAAGTGTGCCCCTGTCTCCATGTGTCTGGGCCTGGGCTCGACTTCTCTTCTGGGCCACCTGTGTAGAGAGCTCTTGGCCCACAACAGTGCATCTGGGGAGAAGACCCCAGAAACCTCACCATCCACAGAAGGGTGGAAGGAATGGGAAAGGGAGGGGTCTGTATTCACACATTCACTCAACACACATCGTACCCGCTGTGTGCTGGCCAGGGCCCTAGGCCCTTGGGCTACACCAGTAAATCAAACCAAGATCCCTGCTCCCAGGGAACTTACTTTGTAATGAGATGAGCAAGACAGCACACACCACAAATGAATAAGGTACTTGGTACATTAGATGGTGAGAGGTGCTCTGGGGACAAAGGGGAAAGGATGGCAGGTTAAGGGACATGGAAAGTGCTAGGAACGGGCAGGGGAGGACCCAGGGCAGTGGGGCATGCCTCACTGAGGCACTGGGAAAGGGGGTGACAGAGGGAGCAGGACTGTGGCAGAGATCTGGGGACAGGACCCAGGCACAGGGAGAGTAAAGGCCTTAACCAGAAATAATGCCCTGACCAGCACCTGGCATGTTAGGAAAGACCAGCAGGTCTAGGACCAGCAGGGCAGGAGCCAAGGGAGGCAGGGGGAGAAGAGTCGGGAGGACATTGCAGGCACTGAAAGGGCTTTGGCTTCATCTGGGAGAGGGGAGCTATCACAGGGAAGTGAGGGGTCCGCCCCACATCTTCAAAGCCAGCGACTCTGTGAAGAATAGACCTGTTAAGGTGTGTGATTGTTAATTTTATGTGTTAATTTGACTGAACTAAGGGAGGCTCATTATTTCTGGGTGTGGCTGTGAGGGTGTTTCTGGAAGAGATTAGCACTGGAACTGGTGGAGTAGGTAAAGAAGATCATCTTCACCAATGTGGGTGGGCATTGTCCAAGCCACTGAGGGCCCAGCTACAAGAAAAACATGGAGGAAGGGACAATTTTTTTCTCATTCTTCTTGGTCTGGGACATCCATCTTCTCCTGCCCTAGGACCTTGGAAGTCCTGGTTCACAGGCCTTCAGACTCCAGGACTTACACTAGGGGCCCCCCTCCTCCATGTCTTAAGCCTCCAGCCTTGGACTGAATTACACCACCAGCTTTCCTGATTCTCCAGCTTGCAGATGGCAGATGGTGGGGCTTCTCGGCCTCCAAAATTGTGTGAGCCAATTCCCATAATAAATATCCACTTACATTTCTATATATATCCCACTGGTTCTGTTTCTCTGGAGAACCCTGAATGGTATAGAAGGTAATTGCAATAATGCAGGCAAGATGTGTGTGTGGCTCAGAGCAGGGTGGGAAAATGGAGGGATGAGAAGAGATGAGATCCTTTGAAGAAGGAGCCAGACTGCTCTCCTGGTGGATATGAGGTTGGGTGAGAATGAAAGAGAAGAGTCTTAGTCCAAGGGCTGAGAGGTCTGGGGAGGAAGACTAGGATCCCAGTTTAGGCACAGTGAGTTTGAGACGTCTGTTAGACATCCCAGCAGAGATGCCAAGAAGGCTGTTGGAGTTGAGCCTGGAGTCCTGGAGGAAAGTCTAATTGCTACCTTCAAACCCTTAAAAGGCTGTCATGTAGAACTCTTCATCCTGGCTCCCCCAGGACTGAAAAAGGCCAGTGATGAGTGGAAGTCAAACCAAGAAGACTGATTCAATCCGAGGACTTCTGGACTGCAGCTGTCTGGAAATTGAATGATGAGCTTTATAAAGCACAGGCTATCTTACATTTATAGATAACAACTTCCTGAAAGCATGGCTGAGAGTCAGAAAATGTGCTGACACATTGTGAGGGCAGTTCTCTCTGGGCAAACAAAGCATCACCAAGAAAATCCCTCAAGTCAGGCCGCTTTCCCAGGCAGAGGTACCAGCCTCCTGAGGAAAAGGGAGCTCAACTCCAGCACTGCCCCAGAACCATCATTTCTCCTGGGACCCAGCCACTAGGACCCAGAATGAAGGACAGACGGACCCCAATCTCTAAACTTCTCAGCTGGGCTGCAGACAGTCCTTGGAGCAGGGTAGTTGGAAAGCAAATCTCTTTTTTCTCTCCCCATGGCATGAACTGATTAAGGCCTCAGAAGGACCCACAACACACATTCACACACATAGACGTTTACACACACGCACCTTCAGAGCTGGTTAGGAATAAGTGTGCAATAATAACAGTGCCTGACACTCCTTATGCCTGTACACACTGCCTCATTGCATCCTTCCAGGAGATAGGTCCTGTTGTTCTCAAATGGGTCATGGTCTGAATCACAAGTTGGAGCCAGGATGTTTGCCCCAGACACTGGGTATCAAGTTGCCATTACTATTTATTCCACCTGTAGGCTTGTCTTACAAATTTCTAAGAGAATTAAAGGGAGAGTGTCTGGAATGCAGTTTCTTTTTCTGATCTTTGAAATGAGAATGCAGCTGACTGGACCCTTTTTACAAGGCCTGATGAGAAAATAGGAAGAAAAGACCCGTCACCCGGAATGATGGCATGCCATTGACAAATGCTCCTCTGGGCTATCCAGGGGACCGGCTGATTTTGATCTCTTAAGCAGCTACAAAAATATGAGAGGTAGGGAGCCCTGAAGTGTAAGCCTTTGATGGAGTGGCCAGTGCCTGTGTGTGCTCCTCACCTCTCCCAGGGGAGGGCTGGACAGACTGGCTGTCAAAGAAAAGCAAAGCTGGACAGCAATCAAAGCAGTAAAATATATACATTTTAAAATTGCTTAAAAATAGGCTGCCACTGTGTTCCCAAGGCTCGTCTTGAACTCCTAAGTTCAAGTGATCCTTCCCGCTTCAGCCTCCCAAGTAGCTGGTACTATCAGTGCGCACCACCATGCCCCACAGTAAAAATATATTTTACTCATGAACTATTGCAACAGGAGAAAAGAGATCCCAGTATAGAACTGGACTCAATTCTGAATACAGCATGGGCAAATGGAAATTTACAGCCAAGGACAGAGTGGGGAATCAACGGATAGGAAATTAACTCAGAGGAAACATCAAGGCATCGTCAGGGTAGATGGGAAATTAACAAGAAACATCAGGGGTAAGGGAGATTCAGGCTAAACCAGCCTGACAGAATTCTTGATGAAGGCAGGCCTGGGGCATGGGGAGGATGAGAAATCTGATCAGGTAACAAGGATGGTCATATATGGAGGATGGGGCAGGATTTTTGCTAAATTGACTTAGCAGGCTTCTTGCTAAAACTGGACTTATAGAACTACCATTTAATCCAGCAATTCCACTCCTGGGTATCAACCCAGAGGAAAAGAAATCATTACATCAAAAAGATACCTGCAACTGTATGTTTATCATAGCAGTATTCACAATAGCAAAGATATGGAATCAACCTAAGTGTCCACCAACGGATGATCAAAGAAAATGTGGCATATATACAAAATAGAATACTGTGCAGTCATAAAAGAATGAAATCGTGTCTTCCGCAACAACATGAATGGAACTGGAGACCATTGTCTGAACTGAAATAGGTCAGTCACAGAAAGACAAATACCACGTACTCTCACTTCTGAGTAGGCATACAGTGTGGAATAATAGACGATGGAGACTCAAAAGAGTAAGGGAGCAGAAGAGGAGTGGATGGTGAGAAATTATTATTACAAGAAATTACTTAATGAGTACAATGTATGCTATTTGGGTGCTGGAGACCCTAAAAACCGTGACTTTACTACACAATCTATGAATGTAACAAAATTACACTGGTACCCCATAAATTTTTACAAAATAAAAAAAAAATAAAATGAAACTGGATTTTACAAGGAAGTGCACAGATGAATCTGGGAGAAGGTTCAGGAGCCTGACTGGAGTTTGGTCAAGCAAAGAATTCTTGTCACCACTCTTCAATTGCTCTAGCCATCCCAGCTCTGTCTTAGGGTGAGGCAGCAGCAGCCAGTGGGAGTTAGAAGTAGACGGCAATAATAGGTGGTATGTTGAGGTTTTAGATAAATAAAGCTGAAGGGGCCTCCTTTACAATGGAAGAGGCGTCTGCAGACATAGCTGTGGTTGGGTCCCAAAGCTTTCCGTAGCTCACCCTTTGCCCCAAAGACAGTGTCCTCCACCATCAACTCATGTATTATTTATACCTCTCCTCCTCCAAAAAGCACTGGAGGCAGCCTACATGAAAAGACATTCATATACCACAGAACCATAAAATGAAGGATAAAAGGGCAAGCCAACTGCAGGCACAGCTTCCATTCTCCGCTGCTTCTTAACTGTCTGGCAAATGGCCACGGGAATCCTCTTGCTCCAGAGTTGCTTTAATCCTAACACTTTCACCGTCACCACTGTGAAGCAAAACTTATGGAAAGCCATCATTTTGGACTTGGCTCCTGCACTAGGTCCCAGTAGACAAGACCAAATCAGAATGGAGTCACTCATGCTAAGTGCCATATAATCAAACTGAAACTGTAAGGAAACAGATCCCAAAACAGCACACTTTTTCCTGAAAACAGGAGATTCCAGTCTACCTGAGTGAGAATAATAAGTAAGTCCTCTCTCTGCTTTAACCCTTACCAAAAAAAGTAACCTGAAGTAACCTAAGGTTAGCCAATACACTTTTTTTTGTTTGCTCTGTTTCTGTGTTCCCATCTCACAGAGCCCGCTGTTTTGCTACTGCCTGATGGGAGCTCTCATTCTGTTTGTAGAATGGTTCTATTCATGAATCATGAATAAAAACCAATTCAATTAATAACTAAATTTGTTGCAGTTTTCTCTTTTGATGCCACCCAACACAAAATGCTTCATGATGGGTTTTAAAACTCTCCACGCACAGGCTCCCCCTTTACTGCTACCATCTTTGTCATCTCTCCACACGGCCAACTTTCCCTGCCCCAGGCAGATCCGGTTACTCCCTACCCTCAGCCACTGACCTCTTAAGTGATCAGGCTACCAGTGAGGCCTTGTTTTTCTCTCCACCAACTCTTTCAGTCAATTATTTCCCAGATTTACATTTGGTGAAGCTATCACAAGGTAGGTTCTCTGGAAATAGACTCTAAAATGCAAACTGCTGAGATGCAACTGTTGAGATACAAAACGTTTCTTGGGGTCAGCCCCTGGAGGAAAAAGGGAGAGGAAGCAGGCTTGGGCCAGATGGAGATGGCACTTGTGGAGTAGGCTTGGTGAGCCTTGGTCAGCCTGCTAGAGAGCTCTGGGGTGAATGTAGCCTCTCAGAGGTGCGCTGCCTGGAGTTGACTGTGCTTTTCTATCTCCACCTTGCCTGGTCCTCAGATACCGGCTGTCCCAAGAATGACATCACTATCAGAAAGGGACTCTGCAGCTGAGACACATCCTGAAGGAGCTGGCAGCTGGGGGCCACCTGTTGACCACACTCCTCACCGCTGGGCGGCAAGTCCTTCTTTGAAAAGGGGATCTGGGCAGTGTACTTCTGTGTTCACTGCCCCAGGCTAACCCTATTGGAATCCAGCAATCCAAGGGCTCCAACAGTGATGTGGGTGGGTAAATGTGCCATTTGCCCATGATGAATGGCCTTGTCCATCACACCTCTCATCTTGGACTCATGCTGCATTTGCTAAAATTCATCCTGGTGGTCTCATCTGGCTGGTTCCCCAGAACAGAGTTTCCCACTCAGACAGCCAGAAAGAGGCAGGCCAAGATATGTATCTCTTAAGTCCCCAAAGCAAGCAGAAGGATTCTGGTCCGGTTGCCTCTTCAGTCTGTCCTGTCCTGCAGAATAAATGTCATTTTTAAACCTTCAGGGTGCACTGCTGTAGAGCCACCTCTTCTTGGCCCTTCATTCAGTCACTGGCCATATGTTTATTGAACATCTATTATGCACCAGGCTCCGAGCTAACCATCAGAGATACGGTGGGGAACAGATTATAGAAGGTCACTATCATTGAGACATTTACACCTAATGGAAGAAAAAAATTGAACAAGAACACACAGAAATGGACACATAAGTAGACACAATGATAAGTGCTGTAGGAGAGAGTAACAGGGTGGGGGCAGGGAAGGAAGGATGGGGATAGATAAGGCCAGAAAGACAGGCAGGCATGGAACGGAGGTGACATCATATTCTAAGCACAACAGAAAGCCACTGGGAGATTTTAAGCAAAGGAAATCCTGATTTGATTTATATTTTTATAAGAACACTCTTTGCAGCAAATGACTAGCAGAGCAGTGGCAGGGGTCTCAGGAAACCCAGTAATTCAGTCTAGAGATGGCATGTTCACCATGGGGAATCACAGTGGGCCACAGTGGAGAGGAGGAGGAGTGGAAGAATTCAAAATCTATTTTCAAAAAAGAATAACACTGACCCCACCCATCTTTAAGGAGCTTATACTGTTGGAAGAACAAACGTGCAAACAATTTAATATAGCAAAATAGTTACTTTAATAAAAAAAATATAGAGGACATGGATGGAGCAGAAGAGGGAGCCTGGAAGCCTTCCTGGAGGAGTCAAGATGCTCAGTGTTAAAACATATGTAGCATTTGCCTGGTGAGCTGAGGGCAGATGGTGCTGCGGGCAGGGCTGACAGTGCATGTGGTAGCCATGAGGACATGACCCACAGACTTCTGACCACAGGGGCCTTAACTGACCAGAAGCCCCAGCCACTGTGTCCGTCCTATGCTGTGGGAGCCCCTTCCATTGTGTTGGTCACTTGTGTTTAGTAATCTGTTTTTTGTGACTCCTTTCTCCCCAGATTTCAAGCTCCTGGAAGACAGTCTCTGTCTTATTTATTGTGGTAATAAATACTTAAGGAAAAATAAAAATCTTCTCTAGCAGTAGCACCACTAAACAATGATTGCTTTCCAGCCCTCCCCATTGACTTCATATTGTGCAATAATTTCAAAGGCCTGGTCTTTAGGTGTGGTCTCCCCACCCAGCTCTCTGAGGGTAAGCTTCCATTCCCTCTTCTTGTGCCTTTTTCACTGGCCTCTATGTACTGATCTGCATACTTAAAGAGCCCTCCAAAGACTACTGAATGAAATAAGTGAACAAAAATGGAATTAAATCAATATGCATTTGCTATTACTGGCTAATAGGATTTTATTCCTTTCTTGGATACAGGATAATAAAGTGACGTTGGCTGCTGCAGAAGGAGTTCACCACCTACGACTTCCCCAGCATGTCTGCTGAAAATAATCAGTTATCAGGAGCATCACCTCCTCACCCTCCCACAACTCCCCAATATTCCACACAGAACTTGCCTTCAGAGAAAGAGGATACTGAAGTAGAACTAGATGAGGAAAGTCTACAGGATGAATCTCCATTTTCTCCAGAGGGAGAGTCTCTGGAGGACAAAGAGTATCTGGAGGAGGAAGAGGATCTGGAAGAGGAAGAGTATCTGGGGAAAGAAGAATACTTGAAGGAGGAAGAGTATCTGGGGAAGGAAGAGCATCTGGAGGAGGAAGAGTATCTGGAGAAGGCAGGGTATCTGGAGGAGGAAGAGTATATTGAAGAGGAAGAGTATCTGGGGAAGGAAGGGTATCTGGAGGAGGAAGAGTACCTGGGGAAGGAAGAGCATCTGGAGGAGGAAGAGTATCTGGGGAAGGAAGGGTATCTGGAGAAGGAAGATTATATTGAGGAGGTAGATTATCTGGGGAAGAAAGCGTATCTGGAGGAGGAGGAGTATCTGGGGAAGAAATCATATCTAGAAGAGGAAAAGGCTCTGGAGAAGGAAGAGAATCTGGAGGAGGAAGAAGCTCTGGAGAAGGAAGAGAATCTGGATGGAAAAGAAAATCTGTATAAAAAGTATCTGAAAGGTGAGTATCTGGAGGAGGGAGAGCATCTATGGGAGGAAAAGTATCTGAAAGGGAAAGAAGGTTGGATGAAGAAGAGTATCTGGAAAGGGATGAGTATCTGGAGGAGGGCATCCCAAAGGATGGTAACTCTAGTTTACCAGGATGCCCAGGAAAAAAGCACAAACCTGACATAGAGCCAGAGCGCAAATTGTCAACTCTATCCATGGTGCTGACAGGGAGGAAGACTCATTTACTGACCAAGTTCTGCTCACAACTATAATACAATAGCCTTGCCCCAAAGCACTGCACCCACAAAGCAGGCAGGAAGACTTCATAAACATAAAGCACCTGCTTATAATAATAATTGTTATTTGTATCTTTCCTTTTTCATATTACACGAGTAATACATGTTCATTGCAAATGTTTTAGAAACTATATATAAGCAGGCCAGGAGCAGTGGCTCACACCTGCAATCCCAGCAGTTTGGGAGGCCAAGGCAAGAGGATTGTGTGAAGCCAGAAGTTTGAGACCAGCCTGGGCAACATAGCCACACCTCATCTCTACAAAAAAATTGTAAAATTTAGTCGGGTGTGGTGGCACACACCTGTGGTCCCAGCTACTCAAGAGGCTGAGATAGGAGGATCACTTGAGCCCAGGATTTTGAGCAGCCTGGGTAACAGAATGCTTATCTCTAAAAAAAAAAAAAAAAAGAGAGAGAAGAAGGAAAGAAAGAAAGAAACTATATATAAGCAAAAAGAAGACAGCAAAAATCACCACCACTTGACTATCAGATTTGATAATCACTTTCCACACTTTTGATTATATCTTCCCCAGACTTATTTTATATATATACACACACACATATATTTATATACACATATATATACACATACACACACACCTCTTTTATAAAAGGATCATGCTTTATATTGTGTTTGTAACCTGCTTTTAAAGATACACTTATTTATATATTTATATAAACACTGTATACTTATATGAATATCATTTAATATTATATACATTCAATATGCTATTAAGCTTTCTACAAATCATTTTAATGACTGCATCACATTGTGTTGTGTTGATAAGCTATAATATTTTTAATCAATCTCCTATTACTGACCATTTATTGCTTCCAATTTTTTGTTACTTTTTAAAAATGGCATTTTGGTGAACTGCTTTATCAGAGATCTCTATTTCCTGGAATACATTCCTACACTCTGTTGCTAGGTCAACAGACACTGGTATGCTTCTCAGGATACCCATTCGGCCCCCTTAAAGGAATCATTTTAGTCTGTGGGTAAGTATTTGACTTTGGAGTGATTTTTCTCATCCAAGGGCTAAATTTTTCCAACACTGTTTCAGCAACTGGCAGTACTTCCTCATGTTGGGTTTTATTATTTGGCAGCAGCCTCCTTGTGCTGTTTGCTAGCAGTGACTAATGTGCTTTTGCTCATATGCCCCTGCAGTGTCTTCTCTTGATGTCGTGACTGCATGGCCATATTCAACTAGGTACAGAAATGTAAAGGTTCAGGTCACCTACATCATCTTCATGCTGGCCTATAAGTAGAACTAAACTATTTTTCTGGATCCGGTTCTGCTACCAACTACAAGCATCCTAGGCAGCCTGAATTTTTGCATTCCTAAAAATCTGATTACACACAACCTACATCCTAAAAGCTGGGCATTCTCAGCAGCCACACAGACATTTTACCTTTATGTCCCTCTCCATCAAATCAGATGTACCATCCTTGATTCCTACTCCCTTCCTGGAAATTTAGTTGTTGCATTGGAGAGGTAATTCCACTACTGCTGGGAAACTCTCTTTTCTGTATGCCTACCATTAAGCTCTCTCTTGGAATCCTAATATCCCTGCTGTTCAAGTATCAAATGTAATTCTAATACTGAAAAATAGCATTCAGGGCTTTTTCTCTTGCACGGTATGAATCAAGCATTCTTAACATGTCCCCTCTATGTGCTGGATCTTTGAAAATATATTACCCACTAGAGTAGGACAAATACAATGCTGTCAAGCGAATGGAACTGTGTATAAAGCAAACACTTTGAAAATAAATGTCCTGCTAACAAAAATTGGAGAGGCACTGAAAAAACACTAGGGAGATGCTGAAATGCCTTTCAAGGCTCATGAAAGAATGTCTTGGTCTATGAAATTCTAGGGTTTCAAGATAGATTGTACAAAACAGGTTAAGAAAAAATGTATAAGAAATTTCTTAACTTTTCAAAAAAATATATCAATGTTTTTATGTAGAATAGTCTCCTAATACCCTTAAGATATAACTTTGTTTACCCTCGTGTTGAACCTCAGTGACTAACAAGAGTGCCTTCCTCACCTATAGCAGATGCTCAGTACATGTAAATTGAATCAAGTGATCATATTCACTAACTAGAGCCAGTCACACTCACATATACATGGGTGCACACAAATTTTTTTAACCTTATCCATTAATTGGCATCTATAAAATGAGCCCTAGATATGACAAATGGGCTTATCTCTCATGCTGATGCATTAACTACTTGAGGTTAGTAGTGGAAAACTATGTTGAGAAGAATTTTGAGGGATTGTCTGGGCTCAGCAGCAAAGAGTGCTGTGAGCAACTAGTGATGTCTGCCACAGGAGCAGAGAGTGAAGGGGGTGCCTGAGTGTCATTTATTTATCTACTTAATAGCAGGTAGGAGTCTGTCATGAAGAGCACATTTTCCTTTCTCTCAGGAGCTTGACTGCCTAGGTTTGAATGCCAGCTCTCTCCCTTTCACTAGTTGCATGAGCTTGGGCAAGTGACTTAACCTCTCCATGTCTTGGTTGTCTTCATTGTAAATAGGAACAGCATTAGACCTACCTCATAGGATGTGTGGGAGGATTAAAGGGATTTAATTGGGTAAATCATTAAGAAATATGCCAGACACATAGCATTTTAGGCCTAAGCAAGTGTTAGCCATTATAAGTATTATTATATTACATGATGTATTATTATTCCCTTGCCATTGACTTGTGCCTGGCCACACACCCCTAGCCACATTACCTGCTTTGTGAAATGGACATAACCAAAAGATGAGACACAATGAAACAGGCTGTGGGAGGGATCTGCACCCTCCACTCATCTACCCTATAGCGGTCAACTTCAGAGATTCCCATAGCCCTGGACAAATCAGGTTACATCAGACTAACAACCCCCACCCACCTCTCTTCCTTAAAGGGTTGATTCCCCCCAAAGTTTATGGGGAAATCCAGTAAAATTGGGTGAGCAACTTGAATATAAATGCAGCATCAATTGCCAGTGAATAATTGGTTGGTCGCATCTGACTGGCCTGCTGGGGGAGTTCAGATTTTGGATGCACAACATGGGTGTGAGTGCTGTGGTGTCCAAGTCAGAAAACCCAGCACACGGTGGAGTCTAGACCTTGGGCATGTCACTTACCATCTCTAGGTTTCAGTTTCCCCATGTGCAAAAACACCTTTCTCACAGTGGGTTGTAATAAGTAAATGAAGTAACATACCTGAAACTGCTTTGAAACTCCCCTGTACCACACAATTGTAAGGTATAAAATACTCTTCTAATCTTACAAGAAGAAAGGCAGTAGAGGAGCCTCCAGGCTACATTGCTCTCCTGCTGCCACAGAACATGCTGTAGAGTGAAACCACCCCATAATGAGACCCCCTTTTAGTTTTTTTAGTACCCAAGACATTCCTAATGATAAATTCTGCCCTGTGGCAAATAATGCTATAGAGATGTCACAATACATTGATTTTGATTCATCATGTTTTTGCCTAATCTTTTGATATACATAGTGCATCGAATTTTATTTTCTTTACCCTGCTAGATCCTCCTCGGCAGCTCCAAATGCCGTCTGGCCTAAATGCTGTAATTCAGTTGCCATTTCCAGTTGAGAGTTGGTGTCCCAACTACCATTTCCAACAGGGAACCTAGCAATTCTGGAAATTTCAGAAGAAAGGTGCAAGAGATACTAACAAGGCAGAGATGAGAAAGCCAGCCAACTTTTCATGAAAGGAAGTTCACCTCTGTGACCTTGAGTCAGCCACTGGTGGGTGGGGGAACGCTGAGCCCCAGAGCTGGTTTCTTCTGCCTCCAATGTGCTCCCAAAAGAACAGAATCATTTTCTGCACGTGTCTTGTCCCAGCGAAAGTTAGGGAACATAGTCTGATGGCATAGGGTACATATTGTCTATTTCACAATCTGTATCTCCTTTAATTGTCCCAACCATTATCTCTTCCTGCCCATTTCACAGATGAGCAACTTGGAGCTAGAAAGAGGGCATGTGACTACTCCAAAGTCACAGAAAATCATTAGAAGGGCCAGGACAGGCTCCCAAACTTTCTCTCCTCTTCTAGTCGCTTCTCCTCCTTTCCTCCCTTCCTTCCTCCTTTCATGCTTTGTTTCTGCTTTTTAATAAGTTGTGCACCTATTTTAATTTTAGAAAAGTGACATCAAAAAACGAATATCTTCTTGTTCCTTTTTTTAAAAAATGAAAAATTTGAACAGTAAAAAGTAGAAAGACATCCCCCAACCCACGAACATTCAAATATAAATAAAGCTAATTCACACATAAGTGATT
This sequence comes from Homo sapiens, assembly GCF_000001405.40. Lineage (NCBI taxonomy): Eukaryota > Metazoa > Chordata > Mammalia > Primates > Hominidae > Homo > Homo sapiens. The sequence continues at coordinate 45,591,796 of NC_000013.11, read as the reverse complement.
TGTATTCTGTCTCTCTGCCGCCATTGTTTGCATTTTTGGTAGTGATGGTCCTTGTTGTGTGGTTTGGTTTTTACTGTTTTAAACATGCTGTCTATACAAGTTAGTACTTTACTTTTGTAACTTAGTATTATAACTTCACCATTTGCCCATGTTGCTTAATTTTTAGAGACATCATTTTATTTTTATTTATTTTATGTTTTTGAGATGGAGTCTTGCTCTGTCGCCCAGGCTGGAGTGCAGTGGTGCCATCTTGGCTCAGTGCAAGCTCCGCCTCCTGGGTTCACGCCATTCTCCTGACTCAGCCTCCCGAGTAGCTGGGACTACAGGCGCCTGCCACTACATCCAGCTAATTTTTTGTATTTTTAGTAGAGACAGCGTTTCACCACATTAGCCAGGATGGTCTCGATCTCCTGACCTTGTGATCCGCCCGCCTCAGCCTCCCACAGTGCTGGGATTACAGGCATGAGCCACCTCACCCAGCCGAGACATCATTTTAATAGCCAAGGGATGTTCCTCAATAATATTTTCTTGCATGGGTAAGCTACGGATAAGTGGAAGTGTTCACATTTCCCTTTCCAATTCAAATGTTCTGGTTCTCGTTTCTCTACTGCTTCCCCTGTTGCCATTTTGTATTATCAGAATTGTTGGCATAATTTATCCCAAGTCTACAAGAAATTCTTTATGCCATATCATTCAAGGCAAACAATCAGGTGATTACGTGACACAAGCAGGTCCTTTAAAATTAAAAATAATCCTTAAAATACATATATCCCCTGCACCTCAGTCACCTCTGCTGGACCGATGTCCTTCATCCCAATACAGAAGTAGGCTTCTGGGATAACCATAGAGATAAGCAAAGCAAACTCGAATTTCCAAAATCCATGATTGCCTGAAAAGTATCTTCTTGAGTTCTCACTAATTTTATAAAATTTCAACCCAGTAATTTTTAAAGGAAACCATTAAGAGACAATACTAAAGAAAAGTAAAAATAGAAAATTTCTATAACTAGGGCCCTCTCCACGTACTTAACAACGTATTTTTAAATAGAAAGAAAGATGCTTTTTTGCCAATATTGCTTTTTTATTCTTTTTTCCAATAGAACCCAAGGCAAGTTATTCATCACAAACCATGCTTCTTCGTGATGCAAGGTAACAGTTTTCTTTTGGGATAAATCAGGTGGAAACTCCTGCTTGGGGACAATGTTTCAGCAGCCCTTGGAGAACACAGGACAGGGAGTGGCATGGAGTAGGGGAGGAAGAAGGAGTTTAGTGGGGGTTCCTGGAAGTTACAACCCTGCTCGCCTCTGCCACTCAGTCACTCACAGGGGAGAGGCAGGTCCCAAGATCAGAGTCCTGGGTACTCAGAACCACTAGAGATGAAAGGGGCAGAGGTCGTCTGAGTTTGGAGAGAAGGTCTCAACCAGGAGAGACTGCAAAGGGCTCGCAAGCAGTGCTCTCAGGGGAGCAGATGAATGAATGCCCCCAAGGGAAGGTGTAGTCTGTCCCGGAAGAGAATAGGCTCAGGCATATTTCCAAGGCCTGAATTCTCATTCAGTGAATACTCATTAAAATCTTGTGACAGGACTTGGCACACACTAGATGGTCAATGAAATATCTGTGGAATAAGAGAGCCTCTGTGGAATATGCTGGGCCTGCTACGTGCCCAGCTGCAGGGGTCACAAGCTTTGTCCTTGACTTTTTGTCTTGTCCCCTACACTTTCTCCCCAAAGGATAATTTATCTCCACTAGATCTAAAAAAAGCACGGGACCAGTTTGGTTATGGCAAGAAGCAGGAATGAAATCCCAGTTTTGCCAAGTAGGGGACCCATAAGTTACAACTTGAGGGCACAGGGCTCCCACATGGGGCTGTCCCTTGACCCGGCGAGGCAGCCCCCCTCCAGCCCTGCACTGGCCGCTCTGTTCCCCACTGCACACCTCCAGGGGCACTGCAAGGCCTCTGACAGGTAACTCCACTGCAGGTGATGCACAAATGAGGGAGTGGCATTCCAAAGGCCCCCGTTCACCCCAATCGCTGACACTCAAAGCAAGTGAAGCAATGTGCCCAGACACAGTGAAGGGGCCTGACAGTGACGTGACCACCTTAAAGATATTGAGAACTGGGGCTTTGGAGCCAGACTGCCTAGGTTTGAAACTCAGCTCCTCCACCCAGGCAGCTGTGTGCTACAGGGCAGCCACTTAATCTCTTGGTACCTCAGTTTCCTCATCTGTAAAATGGGGAGAGGAAGAGTTCCAGCCTCACGGGGTTTTGGTGAGGATGAAATGTATATTTACCCAGCGGGAGGCGGAACAGTGGCCAGCATACAGCACACTCTCAGTAAGTGCCGCAGATCTGTGTCATCCTCCGTTCTGCACCCCACGAACCGCCAGGTAGAAAACTTAGCAAGAGTCAGGATTCCTGGTCAGCTTTATTCCAAACATACACACCCAGCCAATCCTTTGTTCATATCTCAGCTGAGGGGGTTTCCAATGGGTTCCCAGGGCCCATGGAGAGCTGTGAGGATCAGAGAGGCCCTGGGGGGGCCTTCCTGGTGTCCACACCAGGCTTGGGTCCCCAGGGGCCAGATCTGGGCCTCCAAGTTCTGAGAGGCCCAGGATATTCTTTACATGAGAAAGCTGAGAACCCAAACCTTCCACAGACTCCTTTAGGCAGTAAGTGTTACATTCACACATGCACGTGTGTGACAGGCAAGGGTTGGGGAAGGATAGCAGGTACAGATCAAGCATGTCATGTGTCCCTTATAAACAGAAAGGCTATCAGCCACCCCAGGCCTGGAGCGGCTCCCTCTCTCACTTCCCCACTTACCGAAGGTCCTCCAGGCACATGCCCGGCCCTCCCCTCGCTAAAGCACTACAGAAGCAGGCCTCGAGTGGTCCAACTCCCCAGCATCCAGGATCCAATGGCTCCTCCCTGTGTCCTCTCCATTGCAACATAACACAGGGCTAGTGTTCAGCCCAGGTGGCTAGAACCCGGCTCTGCTTCCCGGCAGGTGAGACCTGGCAGGAACCCCAGAAGGCCCTGAGATGATCCAGCCTGGAACAGGCACGACAGACAGTGTCTGGGGGGAAAAGTACATGATAGTGGAAATGACCAGAGAGGCCAATATTGTGAGACAACTCTCTAAGTTTGTTTGGCAGATTTGACTTTTCTAAGTCCTTTCATGAGGACTGGCATCATCTCTGTGGGTCCCAGTGGGCACCAGGTGAGTGAGGTACGACAGTCATCATCTCGCTAGAAGGATAAAGAAACAGGCCCTAGAGAGTCTCCTCACCTGGCCTTGGGGCCTGGAGCAGGGCAAGAGTTGACATGGGCCTAAGGAACTCACCTGCATCCGCCTGTTCTTAATCCCTGCGGTCACCTGCCCTAGGATCCAAACATCTGGCCACTTGCTCAGGGACCCCTTCTTGATGGTGTATCCTAAGAACTTAGCTGCTAAGCCCCAGGCTGCTGGGCCGGCACAGACCCAAGCTCCCCTACTGATCCCTCAGAGGCACCTGCAAGATCTGCCTGAAACTCCTACAGACCCTGAAGGGAGACTTCCCAGGGCACCCACCTGTGAGAAAAAACAGGCTTCTGCTCTCTCCCTTCACCTCTTTGCCTGAGCCCTTACCCAGACTCCAGCCCTTACCCCATGCGCTGCCCCTACACTGAGTTCCCTGGTGCAGATGGGGACAGGCCTAACTTACTTCCTCTGCAAGAGCAATAGCAAACAAGTAACTTACCCCAAGTGCCTCTACTATGTTGCAAGAGCCAACATTTAAGCTCAGGTGTCAAGAGCTGACACCAAAGTCTATGCCTTTTCTACCAACCATAGTCACCACCTGTTTATATGTTAGGCATCTTTCCTTGTCCCATCTCTGCCAATTGGGCCAGTTGACATGAAATAACTCCAGGGCCAAGACACCCCAAGGACCCCTCTCATTCATTTGAATTAGTTTCTTGCCCCTAGTTAAAAGCCAGAGACTCCTGAGAAAGAACATAGTGTGGGTTGATGTGTCAGGGTCATCCCTCTTGATCCTAAGCTACCAGGTAGTGGAGCCTGCACCTCACACCCAGTGCCCCGCCCTCAGGCCCTTTGGAAAGCCTTTTTGATGGTGGTGGTGTTTGTGGTGAGCCGATTGCAGGGACAGACCTCACTGCTTGATTTTAAACTGCTGCAGCATCTAATTCAGTATCTTTTCCACTCTGCCCAAAACAACTGTGAGGTAGGGAAAGGCACTAGAATAAGCAGGGTTTTGAGCCAGGGAGGAAGGAGAATGTTCTGGAACGTCTGTCAGTTATGACCATCTGGCCCAGTGGCCTTTGAAGGTAGCCACAGATCCTCTCACAGTTTAGTGAAGCAGCAGCGGCAATGTGTGGCTCTGCTGCCCAGAGTGACACACTGGCCTATTTTTCATGATTCACAGCTAGTCTCTTCAAACCTTGAGATGTCCATCATCTGGGTCTGGACATCAAGAGCACCCCCTCAACCCCTAACATGCCTTAGAAGGGGTTCCTGACCTGGCCCCTGTCTGGAAGTTGACCTTCCTGTTCTCCCCTCTGACAGGAGTCCAGACGCTGGCCCCTCTCAGGTGACCACCTTCTTGACTGTCCCGTTGACTTTCGCTACCCCTTCTCCTGTCTCTGAATCTGCCACAGAGTCTTCTGAGTTGCTTCTGACATTGTACAGGAGGAGCCAGGCCAGTCAGACAGACTGGTGCTACGACAGAACTGCCGGTGAGGGAAGCTGCGCTCTGTCGGTGAGGCGCAGCCGGGCTCTGTGGGCCAGGGGAGGAATGGTTTTGTGCATGTGAAATATTGTGGCTCGAGTATTGCCTTTCATGCTAATGATATCCTACTGTTTCTGTTGCCCTCTGAGGTCTCATTTTGGGTAAGATGTTAACTCCTCTCCTAGCCTTGCTTCCTGTTTCATCCCATCCCAGACCCCCCTCAGAGAAAGAGCATCAGCAAAGTACTGAAACAAATAGCTTCTTCCATCTTTCCGTCTCTTCCCCTGTTTTTCATTCGTCTTCCTATTCTTGTTCTACATGAACACAGGCACAATTTCCCTCAGGGACACAGGCCATTTTCTTCCCAGATTACACACTGGCTCCCTGGGGTGACAGGCCATATCCAGATAATCATGTGGAAAATGGAAAATGGGACATGGGCCCACCTCAGACAGTCTCAGTGGGGGTCAAAGCCAGCCCTGATTCAGAACCCACCAAAACTATCCATGTAGTGAACTTTCGTGGCTACAGCTAAGACACACAGGAGAGAGTCCGGCAAAATTGCATTAAGGGTCTTCATTCTCTACCCAATTAAACCCCCAAATCCTCACTCTGGGACCCTGGGGGTGGAAGACCGAATAGCATTTCTTGCCGTTATTAATTATTTAAATCCAGCTTTAGTGGGATCGATCCATCACTGATTCACAGATTTATTTCACATCTGTAGTCATGGCAGCAGTAAATTAGATTCCCCCGTCACCTCCCTTCCCTGCCCCTATCCGTGGCTGCTAAATTTTGTAGCTCCAATGTGGTTAAATGAAATTAGGAGCCAGAAACCCTATAAGGGAGAATGGAGAGGCAGAGGACAGGCACACACCGCCAGCATGTGCTGAGGAGTGTTTCACAGGCTACATCGGTTCACTGGGGACCTTTTTCAGCGTGTGTGCTCCCACGGAGCCCCAAGAACTGGAGCCATCTCAAAGTCAGTAAGCATGACCACCGAGAAAATCTGAGCATTTATCTAAATATTCATAAGAAGGATTCTGAAAGTCATTTCCTGAGTAATTGCCAGTCAAGTGCCAATGCTAAGCTTGAGAGGATGTGGGAGAGGAGAAAGGTAATGGGAAAAGGCTGGGGTATGCAACAGAGGGGACTCGAGCCTGTTCACACCACTGTGGACCCAGCCCCGAGAGGGGCCCCATTGAAATCATTGTTTCATTGGCCCTTCATTAGCATTATTAATAGAGCTAATTATGTCTGCATTTCATTGAGGTTGTAATCACCATGTATATTCGGTCTGTATGGGCACATTTTGCAGCTATGTCTTGGAGTTCCTTAAAGCCAACATATACTGAGTGTTTAGTAAAAGTCTGACCACCCACAGGAAATGTCCACTGATCAAATATTGTGACATTGGTGGCTTGAGTCAAAGATATGGACTGTGTTGGAGCCTCTAAGCCAGGCTCAATGACACCCCAGTTTCCTGCAGTTACTTGGGGTGGGGGGATGGTCATTAGAACAAAGATTGAAACACAAGGAAAGGCAAGCAATTCCCTAAAAATTCATGGAGGTTTTTCTCTCCCCTTCTGTCTGTAGTTTCCAATCTATCTTTCTGGAGAGCATTGGTGGCAACAGGTATATGATTGTGTCTGGCCAACAGAACGGCGCAAGTGTGACAAAGAGGGACAAAGAATGAATAGATTTAGCAGCTCCTGGGTCCTGGGTCACCATTAAATGCCATAAGTATGTTTATGGGCTAGACAGCCAGTCAGCTATCAAGAAAGCCATGGAAAGGAATATTCCATCCCCAATGGCAGCCTTCTAGGGTCAGGGAAGCCTAGGTCCTGTGAGCCCTGCTGAGAGAGGGAAAAGGCAACCAGCTACCTAGCCACGCTCTCTACCAAGCCATACTGCGAACTGACTTTGAAATGCTCCAGTTTTCACTCCAAACAAGCATACTCTGATGAAAGTCCCAAATGAACCAAGGAGCACTGAGCAGTGTCCATGTTCCCTTGCTTGGTGTAAAACACAGGCTGGCCACATGCCTGAAGATGGCGACAAAGATGAACCAGGAAGCACAAAACTCCAGGAAGGTAGGGAAGTGCAAAACCCAGTCAGGAGGAGGTGGAGGAAAGGGACGCAGGAAAACCATCCGTGCAGGAGGGGAAAGCGGTCTTCCTGCAGGTGGGGTACACATTACTAAGGATTCCCAAGCATGGCAGATGCAGACAAGCAGAGCTTTCAGCCCAGGGAAGAAGCCGCCTGGTCACTTGGAGAAACACAGGTGACCACAGCAAACACAACCCAAAGAACTGGGCACGTGGAGCTGAGGCCCGCAGGAGTCAGCAAAGACGAAGCCAGGCATGGGCACTGCTGCTCCAGGAGGCCCAGAACTGGGTGTCCCTGTCACCAAGCAGTCGTGAAAATGTAGCTTTTCAACGCTTATCAGAACCCCTGCCTGAAACATCCTGGAATCTGCATTCTTAACCAGATCCCCAGAGGATGCTTGGGGACACGAACAATGAGGAAATGGAGAACTTCTAGTTTAAGATGAATTGGTTTCAAGGCACCCGCTTCCAAAGCATGATTTTATTATGGAATTGTTCAACCACAATGAGTCAAAAATCGTGTTCCACATGGCTCAGCCTTTCTCGACAAATAGGACTTTGGCCAAATATGGAGGAAAAAATACCCAGGTAAATACTTGGGACCTATGACTCCAGAGGGTGGCAGGTCTGACGTGGAAAGGCTGCAACAGGCACAGGAAATGCCTTGTGATCCATATGAGAAGACGCTCTGGAGCACTGGAAACACTAGTTATGGCCTCATGTGTCTATCCAGGCACAGAGCAGGATCATAAACCAAGTCAGCCAGAAATTCTAATGCAGAGCATTACATCCATGCTCACAGAAATTCTCCATACTTAGTGCCTGGCACATAGTAACCACAAATGAATATTTATTAAATACTTGTGAAATTGTTGTTGAATGCTCATCTGATTCAAGGTCAGATCATGGTGATAAAAGGGTATATCCTACTACAAAAAACCAGTCTTCGTAGGAAAGGAGCTCTGTAGATAGAACTACGTACACATAGAGACATTGTGTGTATAGAAATGTGGGTGAGAATACGCAGAGGTGTAAGGAGAGGTCAGATGGTGTATTAGTCTGTTTTCATGCTGCTGATAAAGACATACCTGAGACTGGGTAATTTATAAAGAAAAAGATGTTTAATGGACTCACAGTTCCACGTGGCTGGGGAGGCCTCACAATCATGGCAGAAGGGAAAGGCACATCTTACATGGCAGCAGGCAAGAGAGAGAACTGAGAACCAAACGAAAGAAGTTTCCCCTTATAAAACCATCAGGTCCATGAGACTTATTCATCACTACAAGAACAGTATGGGGGAAACCGCCCCCATGATTCAGTTATCTCCCAGCAGGTCCCTCCCACAACATATGGGAATTACAAGAGCTACAATTCAAGATGAGATTTGGGTAGGGACACAGCCAAACCATATCAGATGGGGAAGAGGATTGAAAGCTCTCAAAAGTGCAAACTGGTGTGCTTCCTTCAGTGGACTCAGATTTTGAAATATCACATGCAGAGGTTAAAAAGATGAGGATGCTCTCAACAATAAATGTAGGAAAATGGCTGTGAACTTTAAGAATAGTGTCAGGAAAACTGAATCAATCCCAGGATAAACATTCTTACCAAAACATAATAATAATAATAGTGATCATACAGGCAGCAACAAAAGACAGAGGCCCATTTAAAATAGAATTGAGCCAAAAAAAGTCAAGACAGACAGGCTAGTACTGTTTAGTGTAGTGCTGATTAATGATTCAGGGAAAAATCAAGTTGTTTAATTGCTATTTAATTTTGACTTACTGTAAAAGAAAATTATCCTCAAACTGAAAAGAGTGCAACAAAATTAGTTGAGAAATAGCAGGAACTAAAGATTGGTGAAAAGAAATCAAAAGAGAATGGTAACTGCTGTCTCCTCATCTGGATAAAATATACTCCAGAATTTGTACGTACTGAGAGAATAGCTTAATCATGCTTCTGGTTTTTGAGGAATTGTGGGAAGTTGGTGAAATGAGTCTGTGACCAATCTGGGATAAATACTGAGAGCAAAATGACCACAAGAAACCAGCCTAAGATCAATAGAAGCCAATTACATAATACTGGCTTTTAGGTCACTTTTTGACAAGGTTATCAGATTAGGGAACTGTGGAAACCCCATAGGGCGAAATTCCACAAGGCATTTCATTTCCAAAGGTTTCCTGATGTTCCTGGACAAGATAGAGATATATTAGGTGGGTGCTACTGTAAGATGATGTCATCACTAATAACTGACTGAACAGCACCTCAAGATGCTGTTTCATAGATCAGAGTCAACCCAGTTTCCAGCAGAGAGCCGTGGAGCTCTGTCCAGTACAACATTTTTTATAATAGGCTTGGATGCAGATTTAGAAGGAATATTTATATTTGTAGATGCCCTGAAGCTGTTGAATGCTGAGGATAACATAGTCAGATTCTAAAAGATTTTGGCAGGCAGAAACATCAGACCAGAATTAGCTAGATGAAAGATATTGGTCATTGATATCAGATCCTGCTATCAGGCCCCCAAAAACAGCAGGCTGGAGAAGTGCAGAGTAAGGAAGCCCTGTTTGTTGTTAGATGCTTTCTTCAACCACAAGCTCAATAATTCAACAGTATAATTGATGTCACTGCCAGAAAAGTTAACACAACCAGATACAACTGAAAGGTTATGTAGAGAGGATTTCATCCTGCTGTGCCCTGCATTGGAGTGCCATCCCTGGAATGGCGCGTTCAGTTTGGGGGACACCACACTCTCTAAGAACTAGAAGGAGCTTGGTGGGGGCTCAACAGAAGGGCTGGTGTCCTGGACAGTAACCTGGAGACTACGTCACACAAAGAACTGCTGAAGCAAAGGAGGATGTTAAGTCTGAAAGACACACGACTGAGATGTAAAAACTGACTTTAAATATTTGACAATCTGCCACACAAAACCAAGACCTGAGTCTTACACTCCAGACTGAAGGGCTAGAATAGGACACTAATGCAATCCTAGAGAAATATTTTAAGAAAAGAAATTATTCCTAACAGTCAGAACTGTGCCATGGCACAGTGAGTTTTCTTGAAATTGGAGAGCTCCTTGTCTGTAGAAGTGCCGGCCTCTTGCTGAAGAACTAATAGGCACTGATATGGCAAGTGTTCAAAGTCCTCTTAACGCCACAGGCCACAACACAAGTTTTTGTTTTTGTACCCTGTCCGTCTTGAATTTAGGACACTCCCATAAGCTAATGGAGCAGTTTACTTGGCTTTTTCATCATGGGCCTATTAGTCCCTGCTATTAAGAATGGAATGGGCCAGGCGCAGTGGCTCATGCCTGTAATCCCAGCACTTTGGGAGGCTGAGGCAGGCAGATCACCTGAGGTCAGGAGTTCGAGACCAGACTGGCCAACACGGCAAAACTCTGCCTCTACTAAAAATACAAAAAGTAGCCAGGTGTGGTGGCACACGCCTGTAGTCCCAGCTACTCAGGAGGCTGAGGCAGGAGAATGACTTGAACCTGGGAGGCGGAGGTTGCAGTAAGCGGAGATCTCACCACTACACTCCAACCTGGGCAACAGAGTGAGACTCTGTCTCAAAAACAAGAATGGAATGTAGGATGTGTATGTGTGTGTCTGTCTTTGAGTGTGTGTACACACACATGTACACACATGTATTTAGCATTCAGGAGTAGGAAGACAAACACTAGGGAAAGAGGCAAAAAGGAACAGGGATCATAAAGTTCCAGAAGACAGAAAACAAGGGTAATCAAGAACTTACAAAAGTCCTAAATATATATATACAGTAGCTTCCCATTGCAAATCTTAGCAGATCTATCCTAGGCAATCCCCATGTTTCCCATCCAGTCCCCATCACACACCCCATGGCCACAGAGCAGACACACTACTTTGTACAGTGACAGGCACACCGCATTGTGTGTCTACATGGCCTTGGAGCCACTTGGTTCTATGGTTCCTACAGCAGGAGGGATACCTCTAAAGTCTTCCTCTTACCCTGCCTCAGCCCTTCCAGCTATTCTGAGGACCAAAACTAGCCTCATGGTAACCAGAGGAGAAGGCCACAACAGGGTTACATTTTCTGACGACTAATTTATTGCAATCCTAGAGTGATTTACCAAAGCCAAAGAGGGTGGGGTGCAGTGGGGCATCTATATATGCCAGCTGTGCCGCCAGCCTCAGTTCCCCCCAACTGTTGACCAGCCTTGGGTGCCAAGAAAGAACCTGGGACCCCACATACCCAGTATGAACCCACTGGAAAATGTAAGGTTTAAATCATTAATAGCCACCCTCTTCTGCCTTTTAACAGTAAAATCTTTAAAATCGAAATCAGAAACAGAGCAAGAAACCACCACGAAGCTGGCTCCGGAAGGTAAAGTTTATGATGATTTTAAATGATCTGTAGAAGTTAGTCATCCATCCCAGAGAAGGTAAGAAGCACAGAATTAGCCTGCCCCCAGCCAAGGAGAGCATGCTGTTGGCCATTTTAGAACAGAGCAGGCTTAATGGAGGCCAATGGCCAAGGCATTATTTCTGGAATTTAATGTTGAGGCTCCAGGCTCAAGTAACACATTGAACCAGAAAGTTAAGTGCGCTGGCATTTTGAAAGGAGAGGAAATAATATTTATCACTGCAATTAGGAGGGTAGATAATGTTGTTACCCATACTTAGTTCATGCAATGACATTTACTACATCCCTACTGTATATGAGGCAGGATATAAAGTAGACAAAACCCATCTCACCCTCTCAGAACCTGAACTCTAGTGGGCAAGATACAATAAGAATAAAGGGAGGGGAATCAATATTCGGTGAGCATGTTCTGCGGGCCTCCAACTGCTGAAGATCAAGGAAGGCTTTTATCCCAAAACACAGGCACTCCACCCTGAGGCTTCCCAGATATCTAGGAGATGATTTTTAAATTGATTCCATAAGGGATTAAAAGGTCTGGACTAGTTCACTATACCGTATCCTGTTAATAATTTTTCTTATTCTTTTTTAGAGCATGTTAACACTAAAGTACAGCAAAAAAAGGAAGAAAATGGTGAGCATCTGACATAATGCATCCAAAGATCCCTGCTTTCTTCAGAGTGCCCTGGGTGGGGAAGGTGCCCCTAGCAGGTGGCTCCCTCTCTGATCCAGCATGACCCAGGGCCCAGAGGGGACTGAGGGGCATCCTGGGCACACGGACCCCAAACCTCCTCAAGAAGGAGGCTAAAACGAGAAACAGAGAGAGGGTCTCTGAAGGAACAGGACTGTAAGTCCATCTTCCTACTCAAAAGCTTGGGATAGGGACTCCCACATTTAAGAGCATCCAGAGAGTTGCTGGATTCCCTGAGGCCCTGGAAGCAGGGTTTGACTGGGATACCTGCACCTCCCCAGATAGACTCAGGGTCCTATGCCATCTTGGTAATGGATAAAGTGGAGCCCCTACAAATGGTGCAGTAAGTGTTTATTAAATGTTTATTAAGAGGGGGCTGGTTGAATCCTACGAGGGGGAAGAACAGGGGAGAATCCTTACAGCAGCAGAATCCCAACTTGTGAGCACCACTCCACAAAACAAAAGCCTGCAATTAACCAGACCCATCCTCATTAGAACACAATTTAGGGACTAAGATCTGTTTTACTTGAACATAGGGGTAGTGGGAGAAGGATCAGTTCTTACACACACACAGCAGCTGCTTATACCTCCATCCCCACCCCATGGCTTATCAAATAAACTCTTGTAAACTCTAGAGTAGGCATCCCACCCAACCCATCGCACCGCCAGAAAGGTACTACTGATCAACAGTTTTCTCCATCTTATTCCATTTCCATGGGCATTTTAGAGCTACGATGTTCAAACTTTAATGTGCAGGACAACTACCTGGTAATCTTGTTTAAAAGCAGATTCTCATTCAGCAGATCTGAGATTTGAGATCTGACCTTTCTTTTTTCTTTAGACAGGGTCTCACTCTCTTGCCCAGTGGCGTGAGAACAGCTCACAGCAGCCTCCACCTCCCAGGTTCAAGTGATTCTTCCACCTCAGCCTCCTAAGTAGCTGGGACCACGGGTGCATGCCACCACTCCTGGCTAATTTATGATTATTAAAGAGATCAGGTCTCACTCTGTTGACCAGGATTGTCTCAACTTCTGGGCTCAAGCAATCCTCCCTCCTCAGCTTCCCAAATTGCTGGGATTATAGGCGTGAGCCACCGTGCCTGGCCAGATTTGGTCTTTTTAACAAGCTCCCTTATCCATGGACCACACTTTGAGTAGCTAGATTTTAGAACAATTTATAGATTTGTGTCCATAGCAGCCACCAGCCCAACCCAACCCTTTAGCCATCTGCCTAGGATAGTAGGGAATTCACTGTGAAACATGGAGGAGGTAAAAACAGGATTGAGTTTCATCTGTGTGCTTGTCAATCAGTGGCACTGGGTTGCTCGCTTTGGAGCTAGTCCTGGGCTAGTTGCTTACTAATCACTTACTGTTCTCCCCCTCCATTTCCTCATCTATTGTTAAAGAAAAAATTATCATTAACATTTGTTAAAGCACAGTAAGAGTAAGTAGACTTTATTCAGAACCACTGTGGTAAGTTTAGAGACCACAGCAATCAGATTTTGCAGGAGGAGAAAGAGCTTGGGCTCAAGTCCAAATACATCATAGGCAAGTGAGAATTTATACCCAAGGAGCAGGGTAGAGGTCAGTGGATGGAAAATCACTAAGAGGAAACATCAGGGGCATGGGGAATTCTGAGTAAACCAACCTAATGGGATTCTTGCTAAAGATGGGTCAGGTGATCAGATATTAACCAGGTGGTGGTGGAGGATGAAGAACCTCATTAGATATCGAGGGAGATCAGATATTGAGGGTAGCGGTTCTTGTTAAACCAACTTAGCAGGGTTCTTGCTAAAACTGGATTTTATAAGGAAGTGCACAGATGGACCTAGGAAAAGATTCGGGAGCCTGACTAAAGTTTGGTCAAGCAAAGAATCTTTGTCACGTAATGTGGGAATTATAATATTTGCCCCTCAGGGCAATTACACACAGCTCATTTATCCCAAATTCAAGAATGGTAGTTCTGTCAAGAAAAATGTTAAGAGGCTGGGTGCAGTGGCTCATGCCTATAATCCGAGCACTTTGGGAGGCCGAGAAGGGAGGATCACTTGAGGCCAAGAGTTTGAGACTAGCCTGGGCAACACAGCAAGACCTCATCTCTACAAAAAATTTAAAAATTAATCAGGCATGGTGGTGTGTGCCTGTAATCCCAGCTACTCAGGAGACTGAGGTGGGAGGATTGTAACAGTGAGCCATGATCACAACACTGCAATTCAGCCTGGGCTACAGAGAGAGACCCTGTCCCTAAAAAAATGTTTTAATAAAAAAGAAAAATGATAGAGGAGAGGCACTGGAATAAGGAAGAGTTAAGATTTGTTCTTAATCCCAGCATTTTGGGAGGCTGAGGCCGGCAGATCACGAGGTCAAGAGGTAGAGAGCATCCTGGCCAACATGGTAGAACCCCGTCTCTACTAAAACTACAAAAATTAGCTTGGCATGGTGGCACACGCCTGTAATCCTAGCTACTTGGGAAGCTGAGGCAGGAGAATGGGTTGAACCCGGGAGGCGGAGATTGCAGTGAGCTGAGATCGCGCCACTGCACTCCAGCCTGCTGACAGAGCGATACTCCGTCTCAAAAAAAAAAAAAAAAAAAAAAAAAAGATTTGTTTTTAATCAGTCCAGGAGAAGACATGCTCCACCTGGGGAACAGTGTGTGCTAGCATTGACCTACATTAGCACTGGTCCTCTGAGCCACCCTCAGGATGAGTCTTATTGTCCCATTGCACAGATAAGGAGCTGGGGTGCAAGGGGGACATGCAACAGTGACATGCCGGAAGTGGCCCAGGTTCCAGATGACAGAGCTACCACTCGAATTTGGCCTGATACTCCCCCCAGGCCCTTCCCATCCTCTCATGGAGTGACTTCAGGAGGAGATAATGATATCACTAGAAGAGAGGCAGAGGTTGACAGATGTCCCCAAAGGGAAAGTTAATTAGAAATAAGGCTTTTTCTTCTCATTCAGCCCCAGTCACAGCTATGATACTGCTTATTACACTTGACATGTTGACAGTGCCCAGCCACGTTAATAAGCTTAATTATTACATTGACTCGAATGTTTCTGAGCACCACTGTTGAGTATTCAGTGCTGCCCAGTTCACCTTATTCCCGTAATAAACACTTCCTTTTGTACCAGCTCACATTATGCATTATTCAAAAAAAAAACTACTAAAATATGGCAATCGCAAATGATGGGAAGTTGCTGAGTTACCAGGGCCACAGCCATACTCATCTCCATCTCTGGCAGGCACATCTGAGGCAGGCTCAGAGCACCTTCCACCACAGCCTGCTCCTTGGTCTCTCAGGCCCCTTTTCTACCAGTTCATTCATTTCTCCTCTCTAATGCCACCCACAAGGAGCTTCCCCAGTGCTTGCTTGAATTCCCAAGGATTCTTGCTGGGTTTTCTTCAATGTTTTTTTTAAAATGTCCCTGGTCATTTCCATGGCAGACAGTTCGGGAACACATAGTGTTTTTAGAATCAAGCTGAGCATGCTCTTGCCTTTACCCTGTTGTGGGTACCCCAGTGGGGGTGGCATTGTGTGCACCTGTGGGAAGTGATGGAAGAATTGCCAGGGAATTCTGGAAGCATGGGGCCCACCTCATACGCGGCAAGTCTGTCAGGCACAAGCCAAGGCTGCAGAAGAAGGTTTGCAAGTAGAGAGGCCCCAGGACAGTGTGGGTAAACGCAGCCCCAGCCCAGTAAAATTCTCCATCCCAGGAGGAGCCCAAAGGAGTCAGAGTTTTTGCTACGGAGCCAAAATTGGGAAGAAGAACAAAAGTAATGTGTAGAGATCACAAAGAACATCCCATCTCTGTCCCCAAAGGCATAAGAAGGACACAAAATCAAACAGGATATCAGTCTAGGGCCAACCTGGCAGGGTTCCCAGGCTCTCCAGAGGGGCTAGCTGGAAAGGGCTGGTGTCATCAGAAGCTGAGACAATCAGCCACCATCATTTTCCTGGGGGCCCAATTATCATGCCAGAGCCACTTCCTCCTAGTTCTTCTCTCAGAATCACCTTCCCAGGAGTATGGAAGAGGGCTCAAGCTGTACTGATCAATTCCACAATTCAGCTTGCACCCAGGCTCCCCGGAGGCTCTAAGCCACTCTCCTGGCCCCGAGAGTCACCAGCCTGCAGCTGACCGTTTTAGGAACAAGGGCATTCACTGTCTCTGGGAGACATTCTCCATCCAACTCACTGGCTCGGGGATTCATCTCTTATGCTCTGATTAGTAATTATGAATCATACGCAATTCTAGAAATTGGCAAATTTTGACAAGCCTGGTGGAAGACAGATATATTTCTTGAAATTTCCAAGTGAAAATCACACTCGGAATGAGTCTCCCTCGGAACAAAATCTAAAGTCCTTCCCACAGCCTACAAGGTCCTTTGAAAGCTGGCCCCCGCCCACCACGTGCCCACCTACTCCTCCTTCCCTCCCTCACTCGCCCGACTCCTCTCTGACCTCCCCTCGGGATGTGCAACTTCATGTCTGCTCTACTGTGAGCATACCATAGGGTTCCCCCTGCCATGTGTCAAACATGCCCCTCCCACACTCACCTCAGGGCCTTTGCACCTAGTCCTCTGCCGGAATGTGCGGCAAATGTTCATTCTGCCTGCGTGGCCTTCTGCCTGCGCATTCCTTACTTCACTCAGGACTCATTCAAAGACCACTTTGTCAGACTGACCCTCACCAGCCACCAGGAACATGCACTTGCTTTCTTAAGTCAGCTACTGAGACTGACCCTCTTATTCCTATTTTGTTAGTATCCCCAAGTTGAGTTTTAGGTCATGTGATTAACCTATTTAACATCTCATTGATGATGTATGCATTTTTTGGAAGGGCAAAGGTAAATACCATCAATCTATTTCTATTCTTTTTAAATTTTTTATGTTTTTGGTTTTCTTTCCACATGCCCTTCCTTTCGACGCTCCTTCCAAAATCGAAAGTCCTGGAGTTTGCTTCTAAAGAGAACTTTTGGGATGGTATAACAGATGAGTCCATTGACAAGCTGGAAGTGGAAGATTTAGATGAAAACGTAAGTTGGATAAAAACTTGAGACCCCCCCCCCAGCTTCCTCCAAATGTAGGGTGGCCCAAGCCTAGCCCAGGCAAGCTGGCTGAGGTCTTGGGTTCTGAGGACCTGGGTTTTCTTTTTGCTTCATATATCCCAGACTGGGTGTTAGAGAAGACAGCAACCCAGAAACTCCAACAAGCACAGACAGAAAAGCCCCAAGGAAAGCCTACTCCCTCTATGTAGATGGGGCAACCTGGCAAGACAGAAAACTCCAGATGCTAACCTCTCCACTCCAGGCAGCCACCACAGCAAATAGCAGTGGTGTTTCTCTCCCATCTCTGCAGGCCTGTGACCACCACCACCCTGCAGAGAGACACAGAACCAGCCCTGGAAATTCAAAAGGGTGCTCTCCCCAGCTGTTCCCAATCACCAGAGGGGAGATGAGATGGGGAGTCATCATGGTTTCAATAAGCCTTACATCCACTGGATGTTTTCTTGTCTTTAAGACAAAATTTGTGTTATGATTTTGTAAATATGCCACATGAATGTTTTGCCTATGGGGGTAGACTAGTGGCTCGAATTTCCTGCATCAACTTCCTCTAGGGCTGACACTTCATGCTGATTCTGAGGGAAACATCATTATTCATTGTGTTCTCGATTGCTAAGAAGACTTCTCAGATTGTAGGTACTGACTACAATCCTAAAAATGAAATCTTGTGTCTCTGGAACCCAAAGTTAAGCAGATATATGTTCCTAAATTTATAAAAGAAAATGCAAAAAACTAAATATTTCATTTTGTAAATGTTTTTAATTGAGAAATTTTCTGGTCTCAGTTCATATTTAGTCCTAAATTCTATACTTGCCTCTCTACAGCACCGTATTACTAAGATTTACTGAAATACTGCAATGAAGGGAGGAAAAAAAATGACATAAATTTAGATTTACTGCTTTGGATTTACAAAGGCAGGAAAGTAAACTCAGGCATTTTGGAAAGATTATTCTACTAGAGTTGAAACCTGAAGGAATTGTTTTAGTTAGACACAAATTATTCAGAAATCTTCAAGGCTCCTGTCCATTGATGTTTTGCTATATCAGGTGGCACTGAATTCTCAGGTGACAGACACATCTTCCATGTGTGTGTTCTGGAAGGACATGGCAGATTTGGGAGCATTCCAGAGTTTTCCTTGGGACAGGTGGGCTGAGCAGGGGAGCTCTCATCACAAGCACCGTGCCATTCCAGGACTTTGCTACTAAAGGATTTTAGGCAAGAATGTGACACCATTAGACTTGTTTTTAATTTCTTTAAGTACTTCGATTCAAACTACCTAAATTGTCTAGCTTTTACACTGTGAAGCTACCAGCTGCACACCATTTTAAAATATTGAAGTAGGAAAGAAGGCTATGAAATAAATGTCTCAAGCCTCCAGTTCCTTAATGAAATAACTGCTGTATACTGCTATTTATGTATCCTGGAAATTTTAACGCATATACACATATACATATATTTTAAAACACATGCATATCCACAAATGGAATCATGATGTACATTCTGTTCAATAACTTACTTTTCCCTTAATAACATATTTTGGAAAGCTTTGGTATTCCATTACATCTTGTACCATAATTTAACTAGCACCCTGTCAATGGATGTTTAAGTTGTTTCCAGTCTTGTATTGCGTGTGTGTGTGTACATATAAATATATATGTATTCAATGCAATGAATGGTACATATATTATTATTACATACAAATGCAAGTGTATGTAAAGAATAAATTTCTAGCAGTTGATGCTGGAACCAGAGCTATCTGCATCCTTAACTCAAAAAGCACTGACAAATTTCCCTACCAGTAAGTTGTACCATTTTCCTATTCCCACCGAGAGGGCATGAGAATGCCTCCTCCATCATATCCTCGACCACCAAGGTCATAATTCTGGCCCATCTGATAGGGTGGAAATAGCATCTTATTGTTGGTTTTTGCATCTCCTCCATTATGAAAGGTGCCGGGCATTTTCACAATTATTGGACATTTGTGTCTCTCTGTGACTGGCCAGTTGGTGTTGTCTTCTCTTCTACCATGTTGCTTATTTCTCTTTCTTTCTGATTTGTGAGGGTTTTTAATATATGAAAGACCTTAATTCTTTTTCTGACATACATGTAAATTTGTTTCCAGTTTGTATTTTGTTTTCCAACCTTCTTCTTGGTATTTTCCATGACAGGGTCATTTTTTATGTGCAGGTAGTCTCATGTATTAGTATTTTCTTTTCTGATTACTAAGTATTGTTTCATGTGTAGAGAGGTCTTTTCACTCCTCAAAAGAGTTTTTATAATTCATTTACGTGTTCTTCTAGCTCTCTAAGGGATCTCTTTAAAACTATGTGGACTTTATTTGGGGGAAACAATATGGCGTAGGAGATCTAGCCAAAGCCCCCAACAATACTGAGTCCTTTCTCCAAGGAAAGGATCAAATTTGCATTTTTAAAGGTCACTCTGGTGGCTTTGTGGATGATGAATTGGAGGGGAGAGGCTGAGGGCAGGAAGATTAGTAATATGTAGTGGTACAGATGAACACATGGGAAAGCCTGGCAGCTCAGGGCAGTGCCCAGCACAGCTGCCATGACATGGTACAGATTTCTACTCTAGAGGCTGGAAAGCTGAAGAGGACAAGAAGGGTACATTTGTAGGGTGAGGTAGAAAGTTCTATTTGGTACACACTGAGTGTTAAGTTTCTATGAGATATCCAGATAAAGTTCAATTGAAAACCAGAAATATACAATCTAGGTCTCCTGGGAGAAAGCTCTTGGCTAAAGATTTTTATTTGGAATCTGTATTAGTTTGCTAAGCCCTGTTGTTAACAAAGTGCCACCTTTGAGTGGCTTGAACAACAAAATTTACTATATCATAGTTCTGGAGACTCAAAATCTGAAATCAAGGTGTTGGCACAGTTGGTTCCTTGTGAGGGCTGTGAGGGAAGGATATGGCCCAGGTATCTCTCCATGACTTGCAGAGGACCATCTTCTCCTACATCTGTTCACCCCATTCTCCCTCCATGCATGTCTCTATGTCCACATTTCCCCTGGCTGTAAAGACACCAGTCATACTGGATTAGAGCCCACCCTGAGGACCTCATTTCAACTTGAGTACCTCTGTGAAGAACCTATCTCCAAACGATCACAGTCTAAGGGAGACTTCACAGACTTCATTGCAGTCTAAGGTATTGAACTTCAACATATGAATTTGGGTGGCAGGGAAGCAGGGAAATACAATTCAACCATAATAGAATCCTTAGCAAACAGTTGAAGCCTTAGACGGAGAGAGGATCACAAGACATTTTTTTGTCTGACTACTGCAGGTAGACAATACCCCCTGTCCCCCAACTCATAAAAACATTCCAGCATTAGCTGGTGTTTACACATGAGCCTAGGAGCTTTCTTGGTTTGCAGTTAGTGTGCAGAATAGTTTTTGGTAAGCAAGGAGGAATCCAAAAAAAAAAATGGTTGGAGGGAATGATGCCATATCTTCTTATCTAAATGCCATAGACAGAAATAGGACCCCTATGATTAGGGTGTAAAGACTAGTCACTTACGAAAACTAGTCATGATACACATTGTGAAACTCTAGACACAGCAGTGCTACTCCAGGGTCCAGGTGACAAAGTATGTCACAGGGCTGAGGAGTCCTTTCCTCCTGACATCTATGCCACTCTGTTCCCCAAGCATTGAATGCTCAGGGTGCTGTGGCAGCACATATGGCACAGACACTGCATTCCCAGGATAGGCAGTGATGCAGCTTGGCAAAGCAGCACGTCTCCAAGCAACATGGTAGGCAGCAGATATGGACAAGTAGGGACAGAGCAGGAGGAGAAGAATGGAGTGAATGCCACACGGAACCTGCAGCTGCAGTGGAGCGAATGCCACATGGAACCTGCAGCTGCAGTGGAGTGAATGCCACACGGCACCTGCAGCTGCAATGGAGTGAATGCCATATGGAACCTGCAGCTGCAATGGAGCGAATGCCACACGGCACCTGCAGCTGCAATGGAGTGAGTGCCATATGGAACCTGCAGCTGCAATGGAGCGAATGCCATATGGAACCTGCAGCTGCAATGGAGTGAATGTCACACGGAACCTGCAGCTGCAATGGGGCAAATACCATATGGAACCTGCAGCTGCAATGGGGCAAAAAGCCACATGGAACCTGCGGCTGCAATGGGGTGAATGCCACACAGAACCTGCGGCTGCAAGACTTGTTTAAGTAAACTTCTGAGGCACATTTTGAGAGACTACCAGAAACCAGAGGGGTACAAGCCAAGGAGAGGAAGCTAAAGCCCTCCTATTTGGAGGGGGTCTATCAACCTATAGTTCAGTTATTCTGACAACTTGACTCATTGCTATTTTTAATTTACTATCACGTTTGTTTCATTTTTTTCTTGTAAAGGAAGGGTCTCACTATGTTGCCCAGGCTGGTCTCAAACTCCTGGGCTCAAGTGATCCACCCGCCTCAGCCTCCCAAATTGCTGGGATTACAGGTGTGAGCCACCATGCCCAGCCTTCATTTTTTATTTCAGTGATACACTTATGCATCACAAACCTTGCTGTGAAAATTCTTTTGGTTCCAAGAACCAGATATTAACCCAGGAGAGGTCTCTGGGCATGGGAGACCTCATCAGTGAGGTCCCCAATACACCTACCATGATGATAGGGATAGTTCCACTCTGTAGGCTAG
Organism: Homo sapiens; assembly: GCF_000001405.40. NCBI lineage: Eukaryota > Metazoa > Chordata > Mammalia > Primates > Hominidae > Homo > Homo sapiens. The sequence goes on along the minus strand of NC_000013.11, from coordinate 45,570,140 downwards.
GCAAACAAATGGAATAAACCCCATAAGACGTCACATATGCTGGCTGCATAGAGTGGGGTGGCACAGTTTAGAGAACCTCAGTTAGACCCACCCAGGTGGTCGGCCATCCAGCAGACCACAACAGACATTCTGTTTTCTGGAGAACAGAACATAAAATGCAAACAGAATGGGGATAGATCATTGGCCTAGGCAAACAGAAAGTCACTTCATCCCAAAGGAGGGATTGTCAACAATGAGGAATTTAGAGGCAGGAATATGGGCAGCAAAGGCCTTCACCTCAACCTGTCCTGAAGCACTGACTCAAGAAATAGAGACAGACAGGGCTCAGAGGCTAGGAATCAGGCAAGTCGGACCTAAAGCACCCCAGCTTTCTCCCAACCTAGAAACACTGGCCAGCCATAAGCCATAAACTTGTATCTGTCCCAGATCATGTGAAACTTCGGATATGTTGGTCTTTCACTTGCTGTAGGAAGATAGTGAGTTAATGGTATATTTTCCATGATCATACATTGAACAACAGCAATCTCAACCTGTTGGTAAGCAAAGAACAGGGAACATGACCGATCCCTGGCTGTCCTAAGAAGCCAGCTTCACTTTCCATCAAAAGGGATCCAAAACACAAACTCTTGTGAGGACCCACCTATGGGTCAATCCTGGTCAGCAGCACAGACATGGAAAAGAATGATCAAACTGGCCAAATAAAAAGGCAGCTTGTGGACGAGTGCTGTGGCACACACCTGTAGTTCCAGCACTTTGGGAGCCTGATGCAGGCAGATCACTTGAGGCCAGGAGTTCAAGACCAGCCTGGCCAACATGGTGAAATCCCATCTCTACTAAAGATACAAAAATTAGCTGGGCATGGTGGCACGTGCCTGTGATCCCAGCTACTCAGGAGGCTGAGGCATGAGAATCACTTGAACCCGGGAGGCGGAGGTTGCAGTGAGCCCTGATTGTGCCACTGCACTCCAGCCTGGGCAACAGAGTGAAACTCCATCTTAAAAAAAAAAAGGCACCTTGTAACATCATTACTTTGGAAGAATCTTTAAAAGCAGAACTGCCCAATACAGTGATGCACAAGGTGCTATGCTACTTTTCTGAAGACTCATTCTTCACATTGAATAAATAAATCACCATTGGGAGCTTGGCCATTTGTAGAATGCAGAAAACTTGTTACGCTCTTAAAGCATGGAAGCATTTTTACATTCCATAGCCATCTCCACATTTGAAAAAAGAAGATAATTGTATGTTCTCCAAAGATTTTTTGGCATGTTGATGTTTAAAAAAAAATTTTAAGGAAATTGAGGAACAAGAAGAGGATATGATGATAATGGAAATACTCTTTAAAAGAATTCTTGCTAACCATCTTATGGGTCCCGTTTTCTTTTTCCTTTTGTTTTTTTATCTTCAACTTTTAAATTCAGGGTACAGGATGTGCAAGTTTGTTACACAGGTAAACGTGTGCCATGGTGGTTTGCTGCACAGATCAGCCCATCACCTAGGTATTAAGCCCAGCATCCATTAGCTATCCTTTCTGTTGCTCTCCCTCCCCCTGCCCCTGGTTCCCATTTTTGTATTTTTAGAATAATATGTTGAAGTGTCACACAGTACCTTTGAGAGTCAGAAAAGTGATTAACTAACAAATCATTAATTTCCATTTTCTGAATATTTCATTCTTTGATCCTTTTGTAGTTTTTGAACAGCTCCTATCAGACAGTATTTAAAACAATAATCAAAGAAATGGCTGCTCACAATGAACTGGAAGAGGATTTTGACATTCCCCTAACTAAGCTACTGGAAAGTGAAAACAGATGGAAACTGGTAATTATGTAAGTAACTGGTGAGGCCAAGTGATTGGTCAGTGGATTTGGGTATGCCAGAGGTGGCAGCAGGGAAAGTGTAAACTGAGCCATCAACAAAAAAGAGCAAGTCAGGACCAGACAGGTTCCCTGAGTCAAGGAGCAGGAACAGGCCAAGCACAGGGAAAGGGTGAGATCCAGGGGTCAGATGGGCAGAATGATCCAGCTGCCAGACCAAAATCAAACTCAAGAGCAAGGATATTGCAAGCATGGGAGGTACAGGATAAGATCAAGGCAGATGGTGACAGAGGCTGGAAATTCAGGGTAAGAAAAGGCTTGCAGGGACCATGAACTTGTACAAAAGTCTAGGGAGCAAAGTTCAGACCCCTGGCACTTAAGGAGAAGACACTGGGGAATCAAGACCTGGGGCATCTGCCCACCAAATTCCCTGGCTTCACGCTAGGTGAGCTAATGCTTTTCCATGCATCCTGAAGGAGGGAGAGCCTTGAGCTTCACTGACCTGGGGTCATGGCCAGGGCCCCTGTAAGGTTATTGTAGACCTGTGTCACTGGCATCAGGTCTTTCTAGCTGGCAAGGCCCCAGGTCACAAACTGTTCCAGCCATTTGTACACTGTATTAGTTCATTTTCATGCTGCTGATAAAAACCCAAGACTGGGCAATTTACAAAAGAAAGATATTTAATGGACTTACAGTTCCATGTGACTGAGGAGGCCTCACAATCATGGCAGAAGGTGAAAGGCACATCTTACTTGGTGGTAGACAAGTGAAGACAGCTTTTTCAGGGAAACTCCTCCTTATAATAACCATCAGATCTCATGAGACTTACTCACTATTACGAGAACAGAACTGGAAAGACCTGCCCCCATGATTCAATTACCTCCCACTGGGTCCCTCTCACAACACGTGGGAATTCAAGATGAGATTTGGGTGGGAACACAGCCAAACCACATCATCCCACCACCAGCCCCTCTCAGTCTCATATCCTCACATTTCAAAACCAATCATGCCTTCCCAACAGTCCCCCAAAGTCTTAACTCATTTCAGCATTAATTCAAAAGTTTACAGTCCGAAGTCTCATCTGAGACAAGGCAAGTCCCTTCTGCCTATGAGCCTGTAAAATCAAAAGCAAGTTAGTTACTTCCTAGATACAGTGGGCGTACAGGCATTGGATGAATACAGCTGTTCTAACTGAGAGAAATTGGCCAAAACGAAGGGGCTACAGGCCCCATGAAAGTCCAAAATCCAATAGGACAGTCATTAAACCCTAAAGTTCCAAAATAATCTTCTTTAACTCCATGTCTCACATCCAGGTCATGCTAATGCAAGAGGTGCGTTCCCATGGTCTTGGGCAGCTCTGCCCCTGTGGCTTTGCAGGGTATAGCCTCCCTCCCAGATGCTTTCATGAGCTGGCATTGAGTGTCTAAGGCTTTTCCAAATGTACAGTGCAAGCTGTCAGTGGATCCACCATTCTGGGGTCTGGAGGACGGTGGCCCTCTTCTCATAGCTCCATTAGGTGGTGCCCCAGTAGGGACTCTGTGTGAGGGATCTGACCCCACATTTCCCATCCACACTGCACTAGCAGAGATTCTCCATGAGGACCCCGCCCCTACAGCAAACTTCTGCCTAGGCATCCAGATGTTTCCATACATCCTCTGAAATCTAGGCAGAGGTTCCCAAACCCCAATTCTTGACTTCTGTGCACTCACAGGCTCAACATCATGTGGTAGCTGCCAAGGCTTGGGGTTTACACCCTCTGAAGCCAAGGCCCAAGCTCTATGTTGGCCCCTTTCAGCTATGGCTGGAGCAGCTGGTATGCAAGGCACCAAGTCCCCTAGGCCGCACACAACACAGGGACCCTGGGCCTGGCCCATGAAACCATTTCTTCCTCCTAGGCCTTCAGGCCTGTGATGGGAGGGGCTGCTGTGAAGACCTCTGACACCCTGGAGACATTCTCCCCATTGTCTTGGGGATTAACATTCAGCTCCTCGTTACTTATGCAAATTTCTGCAGCTGGCTTGATTTTCTTCTCAGAAAATAGGATTTTCTTTTCTATTGCATTGTCAGGCTGCAAGTTTTCTGATATTTTATGCTCTGCTTCCCTTAGTAAACTGAATGCCTTTAACAGCACCCAAGTCACCTCTTGAATGCTTTGCTGCTTAGAAATTTCTTCCACCAGCTACACTAAATCATCTCCCTCAAGTTCAAAGTTTCACAAATCTCTAGGGCAGGGGCAAAAATGCTGCCAGTCTCTTTGCTAGAACATAAAAGGCTCACCTTTGCTCCAGTTCCCAACAAGTTCCTCATTTCCATCTGAGACCACCTCAGCCTGGACTTTTTTGTCAGCATTTTGGGCAAAGCCATTCAACAAGTCTCTAGGAAGTTCCAAACTTTCCCGTATTTTCCTGTCTTCTTCTGAGGCCTCCAAACTGTTCCAACTCCTGCCTGTTACCTAGTTCCAAAGTCACTTCCGCATTTTCAGGTATCTTTGAGCAGCACCCCACTCTACTGGTACAAATTTACTGTATTAGTCTGTTTTCACACTGCTGATAAAGACATGCCCAAGACTGGGCAATTTACAAAAGAAAGAGATTTAGTGGACTTACAGTTCCACATGGCTGGGGAGGCCTCAGAATCATGGTGGAAGGTGAAAAGCACATCTCACATGGTGGCAGACAAGAGAAGAGAGCTTGTACAGAGAAATTCAATAACATTCAGATCTCATGAGACTTTTTCACTATCACAAGAACAGCATGGAAAAGATGCCCCCATGGTTCAGTTACCTCCCACCAGGTTCCTCTCACCACACATGGGAATTCAAGATAAGATTTGGGTGGCAAGACAGTCAAACTATATCATACATACACCCAGCCTGTGGTGCAGGCATGCTCTCAGAATGGAAGCCTGCTCTTTCCTTTATCCACTCTCAGAAACCTGGAGAGCCAGGTATGAGTTTGTGCCCCCATGGGTCTGTTGCAGACTCTCCAGCAGTGGCACCAGGGAGAGGCTGTGTGAAACAAGGTGCCCTACCTAATCACGTGGGCAAGTTCAGGTGTTCACAAAAGTCAGGAAGAGATTGACTTCCACTGTGGACTCAGTAGAGGCATGGGGCAAGAGACCCCCAGGGCTTCTCTGGGAAATGGGAAGGCAAAACACAAAGAACTCCCAAGCTTTTGGATCAGCAAAAAAAAAACACCAAATAATATCTCTATACGTTATCCCACTGCCTCTGTGCCATTTTCTCCCTCTCTTCCCATTTAGACAGTATCAAAGGCTGATTCTAACCTAATTGCATTCAACAGATATTTCATGTGCACCTACTATGTGCTAATTTAGGCTCTAGGGATACAGTAGAGTGCACCCCAGTCTCTGGTATTGAAGAGCCGCCTGATGGGGATTCCACTCGCTTGCAAAGGTGGGCAAAAAACAAGAGACGAACAGCCAGTCTTCCCAAAAGGGCCTTGGGTGCCTCTGGCTAGATCCCCTCACTGGAGTTTAACTGTTATCTGTGTTTGGTATCCTGCTCTGAGCATAAAGGATAGGCCCCCACTCCACCCATTCCTTGGTCCTTATTTTTTCACAGGTGCCAATAGGCTAGGTAACTGCTTCAATTCCATTAAAAGTCCTTGCATTATAAGTGAATAACATTTGGTACAAATGGGCCATGGACTCATTCTCAAATTTCCCTATTGCTTCTAGGGTACGAATAAGGGAACCATTGCTCTGTGCTAGGTAACAGTGCAGCCCTTTCCAGCAAAGGATGTTTGCTTCCTGGAGTTACTCTGGGCTAAATTAATATGCCCTCTTCAAGGAATCTGATCTAAGGATTTAAAATCTGCAATGGCAAAGGCCTCCTTTTCAGATCCAATTAAGCCTGGGAAGCTTACTCTTTCTGGCACATTCCCTTTCAAAGGGGCTCTGATCTGAGAACTAGAAAACACAGCTGCCCTGGAGAGCACACTTATTTGGAAGGAAAACAGTCCACACCACTGAAACGCCAGGATGACTCACTCTGTGTGTTAACATGAGAGGGAGAAAAGGGCTTGATCATGTTGAAGAGCTGTGACTCGTGTGGCTTTCATGATAAGTCCTTTTGAGTAAGGCTATTTGAAATTGTCCTACTAAATGCAAAGGGGTTTCAGGTGGTTCTGGGTTTCACTGGGATATAGACAAGCTGCAGAAAATCAAATCCATCTGTGTGAGTTAATAATAGGGCCATACTTGCATTTGGACCTCCCTGCTCTGTCAGCTGCCCCCAAGATTACCCTAGTTGAATTCGTTTCGAAGGGTTTAGGGTTCAGCTGTATGCCCTGGTTGTGGGTCAGACCATATGAGGGAAGCACTAAATGGATATCATGCACCATCCCTTTACTCCTGGGCATTGACTCGAAGAAAGCTGGCCTAGAAAGCAAAGCCATTGGCCCCATTTCCACCTGCGAAAGAGACTCTGCAGGCTCCAGTACTGTCTGCACTGTGTGTGATGGCATGTATGCGTGAACTTAGTCTTGGCTTCTAAAGATGATCCACTTTCCTTTTAGGCTGAAGAAAAATTATGAAAAGTTCAAGGAAACAATCTTACGGATTAAGAGGAGACGTGAAGGTAGGCACCACTCCACCATTTTCCACCACGTGCTGGCTCTCCTGTCTGCATCCCACCGCCTCTCCCCTTCTGCATGTACTGTAAAGAAGGTGGAAGGGCTCATTCACTCACTTCAGTGCCTACAGGGCTGATGTGGTCCTGGCTGCCAGGGATGAAATACCGAGCATGGCAGGCACAGTCTAGGGCCCCAGTGAGTTTCTTTCTTGGTGGCAGGGGCAGGTGGGGGATCTGAACACAGAGCGAGTCACCTTGGCATTTCAGTGGTGTGGACTGTCTTACTTCCCAATAAGGATGCTCCCCAGGGCAGCCGTGTTTTCTGGTTCTCAGATCAGAGCTCCTTTGAAAGAGAATGCTCCAGAAAGAGTGAGCTTCTCAGGTTTCATTGGTCTATTCTTGGAAGGATAGATAAGAAAGTAGGGAATTACCATATAGAATGGTTAGGCCCTGTGATGGGAAGGGGACACTGTGGGACCACACAGTAAGGGATCTAACACAGATTTGGGGGAGTGGGGTACTCCAGGAAAGGAATATTAATGCAAAAATTGGAAAACAAATAGCTCCTTTACCAAGAGACCAAAGGCATTTGGTGTCCAGCTATTAAGATTTGCAAATCATGGAAGTTACCAGCTTCATGGATCTAATCATGGAAGGCTTCAGTGAAGGGACTAAGCTATCTTCATTCAAAAACTCATACTACAACACGAAGTATCTTCCAGGTGACTGGACCCAATTAACGTGAAAATGATAGCCATATTCATGGGAGACATAGCACTAATCAATCATGGTACTTTTTCTCGCTGAGCCTTGTCTCTGCCTGATTCCCTCTCAATAGAGTACACTTACCCCCAGTACCAATTCATGCCCCTGACCTAACTCTTAAAGAATAGCTGCTGCAGGCCCTGCCTGCCTCTCCTGAATCCTGTGTCACCTCTAACCCATCCCCACTCCAGCCTCCAACCACACAGTGCTTATGCTGGGACTCCTCCTTTGCATGCTACAGATTTACCTTCCATTGGAGGTGGAAATCTTCTCAGCTTCAAAGCCCGGTTAAGTTCCCTCCCATGAGCTCTCATGGAAGCCTGTATTGACCTCAATCATGGGATGCACGGCGCTCTCCTAACTGACATCCCCTTAAGTAGTGAGCTGGGGCTCCTCACCCCCACCAAGAGCATGTTGGCTGATACCACAGCTAGAAGCCCCTCACCATGGCTCCAGCCACTCAGCTCCCACTGTTAAGCACTTATCAAAAGCCACTAGGCTTGTTTTTCAGTTGTCCTTACCAGTTTAGTTCCAAAATTCAATTGTCATAAAAATGGACAAAATGAATATAAAAAGAAACTTGTTGCTATGAAATGAAAACCAAGTTGAATGCTTTAAAAAACAAAACTCAGCCAGGTGTGGTGCCTCATGCCCATAATCCCAACACTTTGGGCAGCTGAGACGGGATAATCCTTTCAGGCCAGGAGTTTGAGACAAGCCTGGCCAACATGGCAAAACCTCATCTCTACATTAGCCAGGTGTGGTGGCACACGCCTGTAATCCCAGCTGAGGCACAAGAATTGCTTGAACCCAGGAGGCAGAGGTTGCAGTGAGCCAGGGTCATGCCACTGCATTCTAGCCTGGGCGACAGAGCAAGATTCTGTCTCAGTCAATCAGTCAATCAGTCATTGGTGTGATTTGAGCAAAAATGATCACAGAGCCCAATCATCAGACCTGTACATTGTCTTACCTTTTAAATGACATGTTAATATACACTTCCATTTTACCTTTTTTTGATGACTCCCTGACTTTCGCCTGTTTTTTCAATTAGCAGCCACACCATTCACTGTGTGAGCATTCCTCTCATTACGTTGTAGTTGGCATTTTCATTGCATCACCCACTCATACCCACACATCTGTACAGGTTGACCATCACTGTCATATCAGGCATCCAGCACTGGGCTGACACGCACTAGGCACTTGATAAGTACATGTTGAGTGAATGTGTGACCAAACAGAGTGAGCTGGAATGTCAGCCCCAACACTTCTCTCTTCAAAGGCCTTAATCTTCCCACTACCCGACAGCCTTCCTCACTGGGGAAAAATGGCAGATCTCCCAAACCCTCAAACTCCCTTTGGCACCTTGAGAGAGACAGATCTAAGTTTCCTTTCTCTTTCCCACCAAAATCTTATTCAATGCAATCGTTGAATTGAATGGCAGCTCAAAAGTTAACAGAGATGACCAGTTTCACATTTCATTTAATGAGCAAACCAACACCTGAGAAGCCTGAGACAGAAGAAATCCAAAAGCCTCAACGTGTTGTTCATCATAGGAAGAAATTAGAACGAGATAAGGAATGGATACAGAAGAAGACAGTGGTAAGAGGGACAGTACATTGCTGTTTTTTACTTTGCACAGGATTTTTTTTGGCTCTGGTGAGGTGTGCATACACCACCAGAGAGCTGTAAGGAACAACACACAATGTAAACACAAAAATGCATCCAAGATATCAGAGGTACACCTGAGTGTGTGGGTTGCTGGCAGACTGACTAGGATTTTTACTAGGATTTATTGAGTCTTCTGCCTGCAGGGTCTCTATTAGGCAATTGGATGGGTTTGAGAGTGGAATAAAGGAAATGTATATTATATAGGCCCCAGCCAGACACTGCGGCATGCATCTGTAGTCCCAGCTGCTTAGGAGGGTGAGGAGGGAGGATCACTTGAGCCCAGGAGTTCGAGGCTGCAGTGTGCTATGATCACGCCTGTAAATAGCCACTGTACTCTAGTAGCCTAGGCAACATAGCAAGACCCCGCCTCTAAAAAGAAAAAGATATATATAGATCCATCCCCCTAACAAATTAGAATCCATATCAAAAATCAATCACACAGTGAATGGATAAATAAGCTATGGTACATTCATACAATTAAATATTATTCTGCATTAAAAAGAAATAAGCAATTAAGCCATGAAAAGTCATGGAGGAAACTTAAACACATATTACCAAGTGAAAGAAACCAATCTGAAAAGGTTACATATTATGATACCTACTATATGACATTCTGGAAAAGACAAAGCTATGGAGACAGTAAAAAGATCAGCAGTTGCTAGGGCGTGGGGGCAAGAAAGGATAAAAAGGTGAAACACAGGAGTTTTAGGGCAGTTAAACTCTTCCATATGATTCCACAATGTTGGATACATGTCATTGTACATTCGTCCAAATCCACAGAATGTGCAACATCAAGAGAGAACCCTAATGTAAACTCTGGGCTGTGGGTGATAATGGTTTGTCAGTGTAGGTTCACCAATTATAACAAATGTACCACTCTCAGGTGGGGGGGTGTTGATGGTTGGGGAGGCTGTGCATATATGGGAAACTGTACTTTCCACTCAATTTTTCCATGACCTGCTCTAAAAAATGAAGCCTATAAAAAATCTATCTCATGGTAGTATTCATAAAGACTGATACTATTATACAAAGATCTGAGTGAAAACTAGCCTCAAAATATTAGAGTCATTCATTCCATGCAAATGAACACCAAAAGCGAGAAGGAGTAGCTATTCTTATGTCAGACAAAACAAACTTTAAAGCAATAGCAGTTTAGAAAGACAAAGAGGAAGATTATATAATGATAAAAGGCCTTGTCCAACAGGAAAATATCACAATCCTAAATATATATGCACCTAACATTGGAGCTCCCAAATTTATCAAACAATTACTACTGGACCTAAGAAATGAGATAGACACCAACACAATACTCCACTGACAGCACTAGACAGGTCATCAAGACAAGAAGTCAACAAAGAAACAATGGATTTAAACTATACCTTGGAACAAATGGACTTAACAGATATTTACAGAACATTCTACCCAACACTGCAGAATATACTTTCTATTCATCAGTGCATGGAACTTTCTCCAAGACAGACCATATGATAAGCCACAAAACAAGTCCCAATAAATTTAAGAAAATTGAAATTATATAAGCACTCTCTCAGACCACAGTGGAATAAAACTGGAAATCAACTCCAAAAGGAATACTCAAAACCATGCAAATATATGGAAATTAAATAACCTGCTCCTGAATGATTATTGGGTCAACAATGAAATCATGATGGAAATTTAAAAATTTTTAGAACTGAATGACAATAGTGACACAACCTAACGAAACCTCTGGGATACAGCAAAGGTAGCTAAGAGGAAAGTTAGTGGCCCTAAATGCCTACATCAAAAAGTCTGAAAGAGCACAAATAGACAATCTAAGGTCACACCTCAAGGAACTAGAGAAACAAGAACTAATCAAATTCAAACCAAGCAGAAGAAAAGAAATAACCAAGATCAGAGCAGAACTAAATGAAATTGAAACAAAAAGAAAGAAAAATGAAACAAAAAGTTGGTTCTTTGAAAAGATAAATAAAATTGATAGACCCTCAGCAAGATTAACCAAGAAAAGAAGAGAGAAAATCCAAATAAATTCAATTAGAAACAAAACGGGAGATATTACAACTGACACCACAGAAATACAGAAGATCATTCAAGGCTACTATGAACACTTTTACATGCATAAACTAGAAGACCTAGAGGAGACAGACAAATTCCTGGCAATATACAATCCTCCTAGCTTAAATCAGGAAGAATTAGATACCCTGAACAGACCAATAACAAGCAGTGAGATTGAAATGGTAATTTTAAAAATTACTAACAAAAAAAATTCTACCAGACATTCAAAGAAGAATTGGTACCAATCCTATTGACACTATTCCACAGGGAAACAAAGAGGGAATCCTCCCTTAATCATTCTGTGAAGCCAGTGTCACCCTAATACCAAAACCAGGAAAGGACATACTGAAAAGAGAAAACTACACACCAATATCCCTGGTGAACATAGATGTAAAAATCCTTAACAAAATACTAACTAACCGAATCCAATAACATATCAAAAAGACAATCCACCACAATCAAGTGGGTTTCATACCAGGGATGCAGGAATGGTTTACCATATCCAAGTCAATAAATGTGATTCACAACATAAACGAATTAAAAACAAAAATCACATGATCATCTCAATAGACACAGAAAAAGCACTCAACAAAATCCAGAATCCCTTTATAATTAAAACTCTCAGCAAAATTGGCATACCAGGGACATACCTCAATGTAGTAAAAGCCATCTATGACAAATCCACAGCCAACATAATACTGAATGGGGAAAGGTTGAAAGCATTCCCTCTGAGAACTGGAACAAGACAAGGATGCCCACTCTCACCACTTCTCCTCAACATAGTACTGGAAGGCCTAGCCAAAGCAATCAGACAAGAGAAAGAAAGGGCATCCAAATTGGTGAAGAGGAAGCCAAACTGTCACTGTTTGCTGATGATACGATTGTATGCCTAGAAAACCCTAAAGACTCCTCCAGAAAGCTCCTAGAACTGATAAATTAATCCAGCAAAGTTTCCAGATACAAAATTAGTGTACACAAATCAGTAGCTCTCCTCTACACCAACAGTGACCAAGCTGAGAATCAAATCAAGATCTCAACTCTTTTTACAATAGCTGCAAAAAATAAAATAAAATACATAGGAATATATCTGACCAAGGAGGTAAAAGATCTCTACAAGGAAAACCACAAAACACTGCTGAAAGAAATGATAGACAACACAAACAAATGGAAACACATCCCATGCTCATGGATGGGTAGAATCAATATTGTGAAAATGACCATAGTGCCAAAAGCAATCTAGAAATTCAATGCAATTCCCATCAAAATACCACCATCATTCTTCACAGAACTAGAAAAAAAAAAATCCTAAAATTCACATGGAATGAAAAAAGAGCCCACATAGCCAAAGCAAGACTAAGCAAAAAGAACAAATCTGGAGGCATCACATTACCTGATTTCAAACTATACTATGAGGCCATAGTCACCAAAACAGCATGGTACTGGTATAAAAATAGGCACATAGACCAATGGAACAGAATAGAGAACCCAGCAATAAACCCAAATACCTATAGCCAACTGATCTTTGACAAAGCAAACAAAAACATAAAGTGGAGAAAGGACATCTTATTCAACAAATGGTGCTGGGATAATTGGCAAGCAACATGTAGGAGAATGAAACTGGATCCTCATCTCTCACCTTATACAGAAATAAACTCAAGATAGATCAAGGACTTAAATCTAAGACCTGAAACTATAAAAATTCTAAAAGACAACATTGGAAAAACTTTTCTAGACATTGGCTTAGGCAAGGATTTCATGACCAAAAACCCAAAAGCAAAGGCAATAAAAACCAAGATAAATAGCTGGGACTTAATTAAACTAAAGAGCTTTTGTGCAGCAAAAGGAACAGTCAGCAGAGTAAAAGGACAACCCACAGAGTAGGAGAAAATCTTCACAATCTATACATCTGACAAAGGACTAATATCCAGAATCTACAACAAACTCAAACAAATTAGCAAGAAAAAAAAATCCCATCAAAAAATGGGCCAAGGACATGAATAGACAATTCTCAAAAGAAATGCAAATGACCAACAAACGTGAAAAAATGCTCAACATCACTAGTGATCAGGGAAATGCAAATCAAAACCACAATGCCATACCACCTTACTCCTGCAAGAATGGGCCATAATCAAAAAATCAAAAAATAATAGATGTTGGTGTGGATGCGGTGAACAGAGAACACTTCTACACTGCTGGGGGGAATGTAAACTAGTACAACCACTATGGAAAACAGTGTGGAGATTCCTTAAAGAACTAAAAGTAGAACTACCATTTGATCCAGCAATCCCACTACTGAGTATTTACCCAGAGGAAAAGAAGTCATTATACAAAATGGATATACTTGCACCCACATGTTCATAGCAGCACAATTCACAATCGCAAAAATGTAGAACCAACCCAAATGCCCTTCAACAAATGAGCGGATAAAGAAACTGTGGTGTGTGTGTATGTGTGTGTATATATATATACACACACATATATATATGATGGAATACTACTCAGCCATAAAAAGGAACGAATTAATGGTATTTGCAGCAACCTGGTTGGGATTGGAGACTATTATTCTAAGTGAAGTAACTCAGGAATGGAAAACCAAGCATCATACGTTCTCACTCATAAGTGGGAGCTAAACTATGAGGATGCAAAGGAATAAGAATGACACAATAGACTTTGGGGATTCAAGGGGAAAGGGTAGGAAGGGGGTGATGGATAAAAGACTACAAATTGGGTTCAGTGATTACTGCTTCGGTGATGGGTACACCCAAATCTCACAAATAACCACTGAAGAGCTTACTTGTGTAACCAAATACCACCTGTTCCCCAAAAACCTATGGGAAAAAAAATTAGAGTAATTGAGAGTGAGCTAATAATCAGGTCTAAAGCTCAAAAAAGAGGCATTAAGGTGGGAATTTAAAAGATGTGATAGTCTTCATGTCTTCAGTAAATACATGTGGAGAACCTACGGTGCCCTAGGCACTCTGCTAAGTGCTGGAGATACAGAGGCAAATGAGACACAGCCTTCTCTCCCATGGAGCTTATATGTTCCAGTTGAGGAGAGAGTCAATACACAGAAGTACTATTTGGTGCTATGTTGGCTATTTTTAGGAGCCACGAGGAAACAGCAGCAGAGGGGGCCCTCCAGCTGGGCTGAGAGAGAAGATGCTCTCATGCCTATAGAGTAATCAGGGAAGGCCATTTGGGACAAGTACCATTTGAGCCTAGGCATGTATGAAATGAGGGCGTGAGCCATGGAGACTCCTGGGGAAAGGGCATTCTAGATAGAGCCAACAAGTGCAAAGGCCCTGAGGCCTTTGCCTCACGGACACCCATAGGCAAGTGGGAAAGAAATAGGAAATTAGCTTGGGTGCCCAAGTCAAATAGAGCCACTGCCTCAAGGACACAAAGCTGTATTCATCTGGACAATGCTCATCAGCTTCTGAAGCAAATGCTTCCCAAAGCCAAGTGGCTTAATGAACAGATGTCTATTTCTTTCTCATGTCATGTCTATTTTGAGCCTTGTATTTCTTTTGAGTGGCTCCCTTTCAAAGTGCATCTCGGGGATCTGGGTCTTTTCATCATAGGTCTCTACCATCTTGCAGTTGTCTATGTCCAGTTGTATGGACAAGAAGTGAAGCCAGGGTCCAGGCTTAAATTCCATTGACCAGAATGGACCCCATGACCCCAGCTAGCGGCAAGAGAGCTGGGAAATGGAACAGCTTGCACTAAGAGGAAAAGCAATAGGACAGCTTTACATCATGAGTGTGGCCTCAATTGTGGCAAAAGTGAAGGAGCATAGGAAATCAACACGGTTAACCAAGGTATGGACTTTTCTGACCTCCAGACAAGGAATGAGAAGTTCAGTATTCCTTCAACACTTGGGCCTGCATTGAGAAGGGAAGTCTGTGGGACCAGTCAGAACTCCTATAGACAGGAGAAGGGGGCTCTCCAGGTTGTAGCAGACAATGGTAAGGGCGTTGGAAGCCCTCATATAAAGTCTTCAGCTTTCTCCTATCCCTGGCCTCACTTCTTCTAATAGATAAAAGAAACCTTACTTGGCTTATTGCTCCGATTAGGCTATATAACTCCATGTTCTTCCACACTCCAGGCCCTATCCTGCCTCAGATCTTTGCCAGCTCTGGCACCATCTACCCACCATGGCGCCCCCTCCCCACTAACATCTAAAATGTCCTCCCTGCAGCCAAGAGGAAGATTCTCACCAAGATCTCTAAGCAGAGGATCCTCTCTCACCTACCATTCATGTTGGGCTGCACCAAGCACCCATGAGGTGTGGCAAGGAGTGGCACATTTAGTTTTGTTTGTTTGTTTTACAAACAGGCAATAAATCCCAAGCTGTTTGCTGAGTGCACACCTTCTGTGTGTGCTGGTGTTCAGGCCAAATCCAACCCCTCCAGGCCAGGACCCAGGGCCTCACAGCAGCCATGGTGAGCTCCCAGAACAGCTCTGGCACAGCTCGGGGTCCCGCCTGCAGGACAGGCCAGAGACACAGTCTCTTTACTCTGCACTTTAAGCTCTTGCCTCCTATTCTGTCCCCAAGCAAATGCTGACGAGCTTCAGGCTCTTAGACATGCTGTTTGTTATATATTTCCCAGTGAGAGAACATGTGCCAACTCCAGCTCTGTGTAAGAGATTTTGCTTTGTCCATGGGGTTCTTGTCATCAGGAAAATTTCATTACATGACAAGTGAATTCGACGAACAGAAAGCATCTCAAGAAATTCTGGCTTTTGGGTGGCTTTTGAAAATAAGACCTAAGTGACAAATACCCGCTACCCATGAAAAACATCTGGACATTTCCAACAGGTCACCAGGCAAACCAACTGTGGGTAAAATACAAAGCACTTTTTAAACCAAGTCTCTATCAACAGATGGATGAAAAAGGAAAACGTGGTCTATATACACAATGGAATACTACTCAGCCTTAAAAAAGAGGGAAATCCTATCATTTGTGAGAACATGGATGAACCTGGAGAGGATTATGCTAAGTGAAAGAAGCCAGGCACAGAAAGTCAAATACTTTATGACATCACTTATGTGTGGAACGTAAAAACACCAAACTCATAGAACAGAGTGGCCAGGAGCTGAGGAGTAGGGAAACGGGGAGGTGTTGGTCAAAGGATACAAAATTTCCGCTAGACAGGAGGAATAAGTTTAAGAGGTCTATTGTACATCATGGGGACTAAAGCTAATATTATATATTGATATTATATATATCAATACATTGCATACCTGAAAATTGCTAAGAGAGTAGATTTTAAGTTTTCTCACCATAACAAAACATATGTGAGGTAATGCATATGTTAAATAGCTTGACTTAGCCAATCACAATGTATACATACATCAAAACATCATGTTGTACAACATAAATATATACAATTTTTAATTGTCAATTAAAGAAAGAAAAAATTTTAAAGGGCTTTTTTTAGGTTTAAAGAAAAAAGCAGTGCTTTGTATACTAAATGTCGCAGGTGGCTGGGAGCTTAATGGTTAGAGGCAGCATCAGGGATAAATCTGAAGCTTGGGGGTCAGATTGCTGGAGCCTGGCTCTCTTCTAACTAGATAACTTTGTGTAAGTCATTTAGCCTCTCTTAAACAGGAATTAATGATAGTGCATATTTTGTAAGGTCAGTATGCTGTGGAATTAAAGTATTTAGTGCAGTGCTCGGCATAAGGAAACAGCCACTGTATGTTGGTTATATGATCATTGTCACCTTGAGGAGTGCTTTCTACCTGATGTCTAGGTGGAAACCAACAGACAGCTTTCTCTCAAACAAAACTGCATCTCTGTCTCTTATCACCTTAAATGTTGCATTCTGCTATAAGCTTTCTTTGGGCAAAGAATTCTTCAGTTTACAATAATAATTTGAGCCCATCCAGTGACCACAGCGCCCACCGTGGCCCCAACCCTCCACCCCTAGATTTAACTGGCAATGCGGTCCCCAGCTTCATACCGGTGTCAGAAGGGAGAATCAGCACTTAACTAACAAATCAGGCCTCACTGGAGACATTCAAGCAAAGATTGGACAACTGCTTTTCCAGAACAGAAAGGAAACTCATGTGTCAAAAACGGTGACTAATAAACATACTAAAAGAATATGGCTGCACAAATACCAGAATCTGATCAGATAAAACAGTTTAAGGAATGTCTTGCAACTACAAGAAATTTCCAGAAAACTGCTTTTTTCTACTGAGTTAAAGACTTCACAACAAGAGAACTAAAACCTGAAGAGACCATCCGCTCAGAACATTGCTTACGGAAATATTTTTAAATCATGCAAAGAATATCCATGAGATTTCAGGAATATCATTCAGCAGCCAGACAGGACTCCATGGCCAACCATGATAGAGAAGTCCTGATGGATGAACTTTTAATAAAAAATGTCCAATAGCTATTGCACTAGAAACGAGGACTCATCCAACAGAATCTCCTGAAAGCAGTAGCCACCATGCTAAACCATCACTCATGACTGTTTGACAAATGGAAACTACTGGAGACACAAAATCTCTATTTCCCTGGAATATCAAAATAGAAGGCCTTATTGTTCAATGACAATAAGAGGCAATATTTTTTGAGGCCTTAAGATTCAGTAGCTGGGTCACTTGGTTAGAAAAACTATTGTTTCTTCAAAAAAAATCAAAATAAAAATGGCTTGAAAATCACTAATCTGACTTCTTCTAGTTAAGTTAATGTGGGATACTAGATGGTCTGCAAAGCCTTCCTGCTGCAAACACCTGGGAATTGAAATAAAACATAAGAAGCATCCTTTTCCATGCAGAACAGAGAATGTAAGAAAGTAAGGGAAATAGCCAACACCAGAAATAAAGAGAAAACTACAAAACCAGAAGAGTGAGCTTCTGAGCCAGGTGTGTGTGCTGAGGAAGCAGGGGAACAACGGGTCTTGACAATCCACCAACATGGGGACAGGGGACAATTAGAGGACACACACCCTTTCCAAGCACATGCAAAACATCTATTATAATTGATCACATGCTAGGTCAGAAAACAAATCTCAGCAAACACCAAAGAAGGGATATTATATAGGCTATGTTCTCTTGCCCCAGTGCATTTTAATCAAGAATAGTAATAACATAACCAAAAGTCCTTTATACATTGGCAAATTTAAGAACACCCTTGTAAATAACTTGTGTGTCAAATCTGAAAATATTTAGAATGGAGTAAAATGAAAGGCAAATAACTACACTCATGGGAAACAGCTAAACAGTAAATTGAGGGGAATGTTACAGCTTTTTTCTGAGTCTGTTTTGTGCTGCTGTAACAGGGAATCACAGACTGGGTAGTTTACAATGAACAGAAATTTATTGGTTCCAAAGGCTGGAAAGTCCAAGCTGGAGGGGTCACATGTGGCAAGGGGGTTCTTGTTTCATCATCCCATGGTGGAAAAGCAAAATGAGGGCAAGAGAGAGAACGAGAGCAAGAGATCAAACTAGTAGCCTCAAGCCCTTTCATAATTATTATTAATCTACTGATGAGGTTAGAGTCCCCATGACCTAAATACCTCCCATTAGGCTCCATCTCCCAACACTATTGCATTGGGGATTCAATTTCCAACACATGTTTTTGGGGGGACACATTCAAACCGTAACAGCTTTAAACACATATTTTAAAAATCTACAGCCATATCACCCTGAATGCTTTCAATCTTGTCTAATCTCAGAAGTTAAGCAGAGCTGAGCCTGGTTACTACTTGGATGGAAGACTGCCTGGGAATACTGGGTGCCAGGGGGCTTTCTTTTAAATGCTTTCTCTGATAAAGGAGGAGGAGGATGTGAAGGAGGAGTAGGAGGAAGATCTTGAAGAAGAAGAAAGACAAAAACAGAAGAGTTTAGTATTCAATTCCAGGAATTAGAAAAATAAAATAGAATAACATAGAAAACCCACAGAAAGTAGAGGATATAAACGATAATGATATAAGCAGAAATTGATAAACTATAAAACAAAGAAATAATGGAATAAACAAACCAAAACTTGGTCCTTTGAAAAGATTAATAAAATAGGCAAACTTTCTGACAAGGTTGATTCAGAAGGTATAAATAATAAAGAGAATGAAAACAGCGATGTAACTACAGAGACAGCAGAGATCTCTTTAAAACACTATAAACTTAAAATTTTTATGACAATAAATTTGAATGTTTACCTAAAATGAACAATTTTCTAGAAAAACAGTTTGCAAAAACTGATTGAAGAAGAAATAAAAAATTTGAGTATACCAATGTTATGGGTTGAATTGTGTTCCCTCAAGAGACATGTCGGAGTTCTAACCCCCAGTGCTTCAGAATGTGACCTTATCTGGAAATAGTCTTTGCAGATGTAATGAGTTAAGATGAGGTCATCTTGAAGTAGGGTGTGCCCCAATCCAATATGGGGTCCTCCTAAGAGGATGGCCACGTGAAGATACAGAGAGCACCACATGAAGATAGAGGTAGAGACTGGGGTGATGCATCACAAGCCAAGGAATGTCAAGGATCTCCGTCTATCATCAAAAGCCAAGAGAAAAGCATGGAAGAGATCCTTCCTCAAAACCTCTAGAAGGAACCAACCCTGGGGACCCTTTGATTTCAGACTTCCAGCCTCCACAATAGTGAGATTAAATTTCTGTAGTTTTAAGATGCCCAGTTTGTGAGACTTTGTTCAAGCATCCCTGGGAATCTAATGCAATCAATAATCATTGGGGTGATTGAAATGACAGTTTAAAATCTACACACACACACAGATCCAGTCCAGCCTCCTCATCATATAGACAAGTAAACTGAAGCCCCGCAGCTCCCCAGCAAGTTGATGAGGTAGCACGTGGCATCGGAGAGCAAGCAGATGGGGTCCACACCGTGCTCTGCAGTAGGACAGTTGGTACCCATGTACTTTTCACACTTTTCATAGGCTTGTCTTTTCTTCCCAGGTGCATCAAGGTGATGGAAAATTAATTCTCTACCCCAACAAGAATGTCTATCAAATTCTCTTTCCTGATGGGACAGGCCAGATACAGTATCCACAGAAGCACAGGGATGCTCGTATTGACATATATTGGCACCTAAAATGTCTACGATTTTTTATGGGGTAAGGGGTTTGACTGAGGTGTGGGGTTTGACTGAGGCCTGCATCATCTGCAGGGCCCTACCTTTTCCAGGGGACCCCAAGGACTGACTACTTGTGCCTTAACCTTCTCCCAGTTATCCATCAGGAAACCTGGCTATGCTCATCTTATATGCGAAAATGAAAAAGTTCACATACATCATTCTGGAAGACAGTCTAGAAGGGAGGATCCGGGCCCTTATCAACAACTCAGGCAATGCTACCTTCTATGATGAAAATAGTGATATCTGGTAAGCTTGGGTCATGAGTCCCTAACACTCCTGCCCATGGAGAAGCAGCTGGAAAAAGCGTGACTCCCAGACTGTATGAACTTCCTCCCTGTCTCAGAGTTACACATGTTGGAAATGGGAGAATGAGCACCATGATGGACCAGTCCATGAGGTCCCTGACCACAGAGGAGGCACGATGTTCTTCCTGCACCGTTGCTCCTCCATGTGTGAAATAGCCGTCAAGGCTCCACAACCACCACATTCTATTGGTTTCATCTCCTAAATACTTCTTAAGAGTCACCTTTGTGATAATTTGCTTAGGAAGACCCAGTGCCTCCCTGTTCTGGGTGCCTCAGAGAGGAGGGTTTGGTGACGGTTTGGAGACACATGCATACAGAGTCCATGGTCCAAAACGTGACTTCTAAATATTTCACTATAACTGAAGTTAGTTCTTAAGTTCCCATTTCTGGTAATGGTGGAAAACCATCTTACCAATTCAAGACCACTCAGTCACTTCAAAATGTTTCTCCATCTCTTTGAGGTAAAGGACTCTCTTTTCAGGATTTTTTCCTTCCCTCCCTCTTCTAAGTGGTCATGGTGTGGGGACTTATATATACTTTTTTTTTTTTTTGTGACGGAGTCTGCTCTGCGGCCCAAGCTGGAGTGCAATGGTGTCATCTCGGCTCATTGCAACCTCTGCCTCCCCGGTTCAAGCAATTCTCCTGCCTTAACCTCTCGAGTAGCTGAGATTACAGGCATGCACCGCCAAGCCCAGCTAGTTTATGTATTTTTAGTAGAGATGGTGTTTCACCATGTTGGCCAGGTTGATCTCGAACTCCTGACCTCAGGTGATCCATCCGCCTCAGCCACCCAAAGTGCTGGGATTACAGGTGTGAGCCACCGCGCCCAGCCAAAGGGACTTATATTATCTTGGATCAACTTTATACTTTCTTCTTGTTGGTCAAAGCCAAACATAGTTCCAAAAAAGGATTTTCATTCTGCAGACTTTGGTTTTTAACAATATTTTCTCTGCTGTGAGTCTTTTTAGACACCATTTCCTGATTGTCTTCTTTGTTCTGGAGGTATCTGCCCTCCCCTGAATGCCTTGTGTATAGAAAATGCTGTCCAAGAGTGGACCAAGGTCTTGGGTACAGAAAGCACAAAGGAGTGGGGCAAGAAATTCAGTTAATTACCTCAGAGAGGATCTGGTGACAGACCATCAAGCAAGCCAGGGAGGGAAGAGCTCCCCCTCTCAGTCCTATCAGCATGTCCCGGCCCCTCTGCACCTGAGCATCTGGATGAGAAACAGACGGTCCCTGTGTATCCTTTCACGGCACCCCTCACCCCTGCAAAAGTCAAACCACAGGGCCAGCCTCTCTCCCTCTCTCTGTGAATGGGCTGCCCTACCCGCAAACTGATTCCTTCCCCCAGGGGCAGCTGCTCCAGAGGAAAAATGTTACCCACAGAGGAAGGGCTTAGTCCCCGAGGGAATTCATCAGCAAAACTGCAGTCTCATTGACCTAGGAGAAGATTTTATGGAAAAGCCTCCCAGAGTCACTTGTGAATACAAAGCCATTTGGTCAGGGCACGACCCTAACTGCTAGAATTCCCTCCACACCAACAGGACTTCTCCATGGTGCCTTGTGCACTGGGAGGGACTTATAGCCAAGCCATTTCAAGAGCTGAATACTTCTTAGGTCACTTTTCGATTTCCATTTCCTCAGGGAAGATGGAAGGCATGGCTGTCCTTTGCCAGGTGTGTGGAAACTAAAATCCAGCACCCATCTTGACTCCCAGCCCAAGGGGTCTCAGGCCAGGCTTCCTATCTGGGTTCAGGGTCCCACACAGTGTTGAGACCTGCCCAAACTCAGGGTCCCTGGTGGGTGGGTTCTACTCATTCAACAGTTCAGGATCTTTTCACCCCCTGAGCAGGAACTTCCCAATTCTGACCATTTCTAGATGTTCCAGATCCCATCTTCCAAAGGGGGACTTAGCCCAGAGCTGGGCACCCTCAGGCAGGAGCAGATCTCTAACACTAGGGAGTGGGGGGTGGCCTAGTGTTGCTACTGGAATCCTAGGTTCTTTGGATCTCCCAGGATAGAAATCAAGAGAGATCACCAAACATAGCAGCAAAGTAAAGTTTATATCAGCTTGTACACAAGGGAACCAGCACTGAGAAAAGAAAAGAATGGGCTACTCCCTGAGTGCAATGTGTGGGTTGGTTTTATAGGGTCTTCCTATAGGAAAGGGTTATGTTTATGACAGGGCATGTACAGGAGCAGTTATTCTAGTGCTTGCACGGTGGCTCAACGTGCTTCTTCATACATCTTATGTAACATTCTCACTTTAAATCTCCACCCCTGCGTGTGGCTTTTAGCATTAGTTTAAGTCTAACTGCACATCCAGGGCTCCAGGAAGTCCGTAGCCACCTGAAATAGGAGCTTCTTGGGTCTTTTGTTACTGATTGGTTAAGAGCTAGCTAAGCCAGAGCTTGAGTGAGGGGCTTTTATTCTTTTCCTCCAGACCACCTTAAAATTGAGAACCCACCAGCCTGCCCATCTCAGTGTGAGAACTCTGATGGGAGCCATTTAAAAGGTTAAAAGCTAGCAGGATCTGCTCCCCACAGAGTGAAGTAAGAAGATTCTTCTCTTTGCTCTCCTCCCATCAATGATAACAAGGAAATTTTAACGTTTTCTCAGTTATTGCTGTGTATAGACATTTAATTCTTACTCAGCCCTCTGAACAAAGTACTATTATTGTCTGCTTTTTACAGTTGAGGAAATGGAGGCATAGAGAGGTTAAGTGACTGGCCCAAGGTCACACAGTTTGCAAGTGGCACAGCCAGACTTTGAACCGAGAGTCTGGCTCCAGAGCCCAGGTTTTTGTTTGTTCATTTGTTATTTTTATAATTTCAGTATGTATATAGCCTCTTACTTAGAGAAGGAGGAATGAGGTTGGACAGGCTGGGGTCCCAAGACAAAGGACCTTAGAAGTTTGCTCTTTGTTCAATGGAAAGTGGGAAGCAAGAGGAGGATTTGGGATTGAGTGACTGGAAGTCCTCCCCACTGGAGGTGAGCAAGGCTTCCCATAGCAGGCCTCTGAGCCACCTTCTCACTCCGATGAGGCCCCTGTGTTCCGTGAAAGGTTCATATATACAAAGTGACCCCCAAATGCAGAGGGAGCTGGAAACCAAACAAGGCAGACAAACCCGGTTTGTCTGTACAAGGTGATTACTAGGGGAACTTACAGACAGAAGTGCAGTCTAGGGTAGATGCAAGACAGGTATATCTCTGCACCAAAACCTCCCAGACCTGGGGCCTACGTCTTGGGGAAAAAGTACACGTGCCCTGGAAGGAATGTGTAGGGAGCTACGGGCGTCAAAGCCTGTCACGTATGCAACAATATCAAGGGTTGTTTTCAAAGAAAGGCAAAGTTTACAGTGAATAGATATTTCTAGATAAAATGTAGTACATCGCCACACCCTGGACAGCTCAGACGAGACCTGGCAGACAGTAACCCAAGCTCCCCAAGCCCTCCTTCTCCAGACGAACCCAGGCCTCAGCATCGCTTCCTTTCTTCATGTGATTCCCTAGAGATGTTGCTGCCCCAAGGGCACTGATTCTAGGAACTGCCCTTTGGGATTTGAAAAGCAGAAGCCAGGGCCAGAGGAACACGATGGGTTTGAAATGTCAAGAGAGGATGACTCAGAGGGCAGGCAAGCCCCACAGAATAGGGTCAGGAATGGATGAGAGAGAAATCCATCCACCCTTCATTCCCTTGTACCTATCAATATGGGTGCCCTGCACAAGGCTGGGCAACAGGAATTCAGCAGCGCAGCAGACAGACAAGGTCCCTGCCCTCACAAGTTTGTGCTGAGAGAGAACAGATGATGGACAAATACAGTCAATTCTCATGATTCATGGTAGTTATAGTCTATAAAGTCATTGAGAACACTGAATTGGCCAATACTGAACCCCTTGCTCCTAGGGGAAATACATACATATATAATATGTAACTCACGTGGAGCCAGGGACATGCCCAGAGCAGTGGGAAATTTGCACATGCCCAGTGTGCACATTGCTGGCTGAGATTGAACAAGGCCACGCTCTGCCCTTCTGCTCAGCTCTCCTGCAGAGGCAACCAGAGGACACAGGTGTCCCTACACAGGGCAGTGTTGTGCAAGAAGCTGCAGCTCTGGGGCTGGTGGGACAGGGTTTGAATCCCAGCTCCAGCAAGTGTTACTGGGATAGCCTCAGGCAAGTCACATGACACTTCTGAGCCTCCTATTCTCTTTTGTAAAATAAAAATTAAACAAAAACAAAAACAAAAAATGGTATCTAGCAGGATGGGCTGCTTTTAGGATTTAAGATGATAACCTATGTGAGATGTGTCTGTGTGCATATTTCCCCTAGGAGCTATGGGTTGTTTTGGTATTCACTAAATCACTGGCTTTCTAGAACATAATACAGTGAACAATGAGAATTTACCATATCTATTCGTAAATTATATGAAGGAAACCAACAAGGCATGGCAACAGAGTCCCGTAGGGAACCAGGTAGGCTGCTCAGGCTGAGGAGGTGACGTCTAAGCTGAGACCTAGAGGATAAGTAGACACCAGCCATGCCACCTGGGGCAGGGGAACTTTGCAGGCAGAGGGCAGAGCATGGCAAAGCTGTGAGCAGGAAGAGCCTGTGTGTGCCAGGAACTAAGGAGAGGGAAGGAGGGCAGGACAGGGCCATATGGTGAGGCCAGCGCAGGGGACAGTGCCTGGTGTTGGGTTGGTTGTCCATGTTGGAGCTTCTCCTACCCATCAAGTCCCTGTCAGTCTTTCTGTGCCAAGTAGGGGAAAAGAAAGGGAAGGAGAAGAGGAGGAGCAGAGGCCCAGGGCTGAGCGCCCTGGCTGCCTGACATGCTTTCTCCTGGTCCAGGTTGAACCTGAGCTCCAACCTGGGCTACTACTTCCCCAAAGACAAACGCCAGAAGGCCTGGAACTGGTGGAATCTGAACATCCATGTCCACGCACCCCCTGTCCAGCCCATCTCCTTGAAAATCAATGAGTACATCCAGGTACAAATAAGGAGCCAGGATAAGATCATCTTCTGCTTCACCTATGAACAGAAGCAGATTTGTTTAAACCTGGGCACCAGGTACAAGGTAAGGTCACAACTCCCCATACCCTCCACCAGGTGGGGTGCCCACCTGTACAAAGGCCACTGCTGGCTTGGACTGGCCCATGCCACAGGCCTCCAGGCTTGTTCTATATATGCCAACCCGTATAAAAACAAGGCCACTTTGGTTTACCTGATGTTTAAGTACACACAAATACATTCATGTGTCTCCCCAGCACTGTGAGCTTAGGATCTGAGGAAATTCACATTGAAATGCTCAGGTTAGCTGGGAAGAATGACTTGCATCTGTAACCCCAGGGCTTTGGGAGGCCAAGACAGGTGGATCCCTTGAGCCTAGGAACTTGAGAGCAGCTTGGGCAACATAGCAAGACCCCTTCTCCACAAAAAAAATTTAAAATTAACTGGGTGTAGGCCAGTTGCGGTGGCTTATGCCTGTAATCCCAGCACTTTGAGGGGCCGAAGCAGGTGGATCACTTAGCGCCAGGAGTTCGAGACCAGCCTGGCCAACACAGTCAAACCCCGTCTCTTCTAAAAATACAAAAAATTTAGCTGATCCCAGTGGCTCACGCCTTTAATCCCAGCTACTCGGGAAACTGAGGTAGGAGAATTGTTTGAACCAGGGAGACGGAGGTTGCAGTGAGCTGAGATCACACCACTGCACTCTCAGCCTGGGCGACAGAGCCAGACCCTATCTCAAAAAATAAATAAGTAAATAAATGAATAAAATTAACTGGGCATGGTGGCTCTCGCACCTGTAGCCCCAGCTACTTGGGATGCTGAGGCAGGAGGCTCACTTGAGCTCAGGATATGATCCTGACAATAAAACACAGATGTCACCCTGCATTATCTCACTTGACACTCACAGTGGCCGTGTCAGAAGTCAGGGCCAGAAACAAGGGGGAGTCTGTGTCCCCAGGCCTGCTGTTGTGTCCTCTTCCCTCCTCCTCAAACAAACTCTTCTCTAGACAGATGATCCCCTGGAAGTTCAAGGCACACTCCCCAGGCAGGCAGGAGACGACCAATGCTGTATTTGTTTCTTAGGGCTGCTGGAACAAATCAGCACAAACTAGGAGTCCTGAAACAACAGAATTTTACTCTCTCACAGTTCTGGGCCAAGTCTGAGATCAAGGTGTCCATGGGGCCACCATCCTCCAGAGGCTCCAATGGGGGACACTTCCTTGCTCTCCCAACTTCTGATGGCTTCTGGCATTCTTGGCTTGTGGTGGCATCACTCCAGTGTCTGCCTCCACCTTCACACAGCCTTCTTCTCTGTGTGTCTGTGTCAAACCTCGTCTTTTTTCTTAAAAGGACACCAGTAGTTGGATCTAGGGCCTACCCTAAATCCAGAAGGAGCTCATCCTGAGAGCCTTAACTTAATCATATCCACAGAGACCCCGTTTCCAAATAAGGTCACATTCACCAGCACTGGGGTTAGGACTTGGACATCACTTTTGGGGGACACAGTTCCACCTACTCAAAATGTTGAGGCTGGACCCCCAGAGCTCCAACTGTAGTGGGGGAAGAAGGTGGGCTCCTGAGACCCTTCCTGAGGACCAGAGTTAAGGAGAGGAATGAGGGTGTCCTTGGCTCCCCCCGTGAGGCCTAAGCAAGGTTCTCTTCCTGCTCAGCTCCCCCGGCCCATTCCACAGGGAAGGCTCCACTTACAGACCCCCACACCACCAGAGAGGTGTCCCGGGGCCCCTGGGAGCAGGACTGCCTTGGCAGACAGACAGATGGACATGTCCCCTGGGAATGAGGCAGATGGAGAAGTGGGCTGATAATAGCAGACTCCAGCAGAATAGATGCAGCTGTGTGCAGAGTATCTGAGAAGAGAGGAGGGAGTGTGCTAGGTTTAGGGTGGCCAGACACGTCGGTTTGCTCAGGACTGAGGAGTTTCCTGGGACATGGGACTTTCACTGCTAAAACTGGGAAATTTCCACACAGGCCTGGCCTGCTGACCCCCCTAGGTTCCCTTGCCTGGGAAGGCCTCCTATTTTGCAGGTGAATAATGACATCCCAGCATCCTTGCCTATCCTGGATTTCTCAGAGCAGCCAATCCAGTGAAGAGGAGGCCAGCACTACCAAGCCCGAGTGGCGGGACCAGCTGGGGCTGGACAGCATGAGGGCCTGGGGCACCGGCCTTTGAATGGCGGAGGGAGGAGGGCAGGGACAGGAAGGAGGTGCCCAGCGAGGCTGCAGGAAGGGCTGCTGTGGGCAGAGAGACCAGGGGGCCTGACGCCTTGGAGAGCTAGAGTCCCGGGGAGGGGCAGCTGTGCCTGTGCAGGGCATGTCCCAAATGAAGCAAATCAGCACCAGTGTAACTAATCAGAGCCAAAGAAATGAGACAGAGCCTGGCACAGGGTCAGCCCACGTGGGCAGTAGTGTGCCCAGGGAAGAACAGGCGCCTCCATGCCCAGCCTCTCCACTTCCTGGGTGACACTAGCCTGTGGTCTGAGCCCATAGTCTTCTATAATATGGACATAGGTTATTACATGGCTAAAATAATAACAATATTGTGTGAAGACATTTCATACGCATACGAATGGAGCACACGGGTATCGTCCTATCTTATCCCCTCCAGGAGACTCTGTCCTCAGTCTTCTGCAGGCTGCAGACCCAGGCAGAACTTGGCATAGAGGCGGCCTCCCTGGGCCAGGCCTTCATCTCAACAAAACCCAGATACACTCCCAAGGAGCCCAAGGTGGAGGCGGGGCTCACGGGTAGCCACTGTGAGGCATCCCAGCTCTTGCAGGGCCCCATGGTCGGGACCCCATGGGGAGAAGCCCGGCAGCCGCAGGAAAGCACCGCCTTTGGAGGGCAGGCCGCGCCAGGGCACCAGAACTGCTTTCCCTCCGGTTTAGGGCCAGGCATGGGTGTGGCCTCAGCCCACATCACCATGGTCCACCTGACTGCAACACCAGCCAAGTGAGCGTATTTGGAAGCAGCAGGAAGGTGGCAGGTGGCAGGGCTGAGAACACAGATGTGCTTTCTCGAGTGAAGGCTCAGGGAACGCTTGGTCCTGGCCACAGGAGATCTGGCCTGGGTCTGGGGCACCGTGCTCAGGCAGCATGCATTCTCACCCAGTCCTCTGTGAATCCCCACAGTTTGTGATCCCAGAGGTGCTGAGCGAAATGAAGAAGAAAACCATCCTGGAGGCAGAACCCGGCCCAACAGCCCAGAAGATCCGGGTCCTTCTGGGGAAAATGAATAGGCTCCTGAATTACGCGACCACCCCTGATCTGGAAAACTTCATAGAGGCCGTCAGTATATCACTGATGGACAACAAGTACCTGAAGAAGATGCTCTCTAAACTCTGGTTTTAAGGCGGGGCTTATCTGGCATCCACCAAATGCCTTAGGAAGTTGGAGACCTTGGGAGCTCCAGGGAAAAAAAACCCAAAGACCTGTTGACCTTTTATGAGAGTTGGTTTGTAATTTGGGACCTGTCGTGGCTCCTTGATTTGAAGTAAACATTTTTGGCAGAAGGGCTAACAGAGTCTGTGGCTGAGCACAGAAAAGGCTTGACAGCCCTGACCCAACAGCACGGAAGCAAGTTGTCGTTTCAGTGACATGTCAATGCCTGTCCTGCCTGCTTCTACGGTCACTCACTCAGTTCTTTTGTGGCTTTCAGTACGGGCCTTGACTCAGGACAACGACTGTGCTCACAGCCAAGCTCTGTCTTTTGTTGGCTGTGTGATCTTGGGCAAGTACTTTTATACCTCAGTTTCCTCATCTGTAAAATGGGCCTAAAAATAGCAACGATCACCACAGAGTTGGGAGTATTAAATTAGATAATGCACGTACAGTCCCTAGAACAGGGTCTGGCCCATAGGAGCCACTCAGCGTCACTCCAATTACTGTCAGCTTGGCCCTTCCTTCACGTCTGGGCAGCTCCTGGGAAGGGTCTGTGAGACAATCGGGTAGGCTGAGTGTCTGCACTTCCTTGGGCTGCGAAGGCACAGCCCCTTCAGCTTCCTCAGGCCTTTCTCTTCATGATGCTCCCTATTGTTACTGAGACTGCGCACGAACCAGGCGGGCCCTGTTGTGAGCACTGTGCAAGCTGTAGCTCGTGTGGCTCCAGGATGTGGGCAGTATTTTCTCAAGGACACTGGGATGCAGAGAGGTTAAAGGACTCGCCCAGGATCACACACCAGTATGTGATGGTAAAGACTGGTATTCCAGCCTACTCGACTACAAAGTGATATCACTGTGGTGATAATATGAGTATGTTTATGACCCTGCCACCACCACCACTCCAGGGTATCTCAAAGACTCAAGGCCACTCCAGGTGCTACTGCCCTTATCCTACCTTGTTGCATGGCCCCTACCCACCTCCACCCCACTCCAGGGAGCTCTGGAGGCCAGTCCCGGCCAGTCAGCTTCTGCTGACTTGGCACAAATCATGCATCAGCCTTGTGGGGGTCCAGCCACTCCTCCTGGTGTTGGAGCCTCTGGGCACCACCCCAGAACACAGCGCCTCCTCCTGAGGCTGAGAGAGGGGAGGCTACGTGTGGCCCAGTGCCTGGATCCCCCACGCTTCCTGCACGGCCCCAGAGGCTCTCTCCAACCCTGCCTGGATCCCACACGCTTCCTGCACAGCCCCAGAGGCTCTCTCCAACCCTGACCTCATTACACCTCGTCCACCCCTGCCAAGCCAGAGGGAAACCCAGATGGCAAACCCACATCGGCCCAAATCCAGTCCCCGAAACCCGTAGGTGACTGAGAGCCTGAAAGGACCCACATGCCAGCTCCTCCCAGGAACTGGGTGGGACACTTGGGGTCACTGGTAACAGTTACCAACTTGAATTGCTAAAACAAAAGGGGGAAATGTGTCATCTGGAGAGAAGAACACTGACCCGAACTGAAGATGCAATGGGTCTCGGAAATGATTGGAGCGGAGAAGCTGCAGACCCCATCTTTCTGCCTCTCAGTCTTCGACACTCATCTTGTCCAAGAGACGTTTTCTACGCATCTCAGGTCACATGGCTTTGTCTCCCAATCACTCTCAAAAACACCCCAGTGGTCTCTGCAGTTGGCCTTGATTAAATCAGGAGACCACCCTTGGTCCAATCCAGTGCAGTAAGAGCAGGTGGGATTACGTCTTGTAAATGGCTCCCAGCTGATCCCAGAGCATGAGTAGGGGCAGCTGTTTCTAAAAATAGGAGATTTGGGCTGGGCAGCCCCCAGGGGATGATTTTATACACTCTCAGGACACCTGCAAACTTCCCAGAATGACCTGAGCTCCAGCGTCAACCAAGACAGTATAGAAAACCCCAGGCCTGGCTGGGCACAGTGGCTCACTCCTGCAATTCCAGCAATTTGGGGGGCCAAGGTGGGCAGATCACTTGAGGCCAAGGAGTTAGAGACCAGTCTGGGCAATATGACAAAACCCCACCTCTACTAAAAATACAAAAATTAGCTGGGTGTAGTGGTGCATGCCTGTAAGCCCAGCTACTCGAGAAGCTGAGGCACAAGAATTGCCTGAGCCCAGGAGGCAGGGAGGTTGCAGTGAGCCAAGATCACACCACTGCACTCCAGCCTGGGTGACAGAGTGAGACCCCGTCTCAGAAAGAAAGAAAAAAGAAAACCCCAGGCCAGGTGCAGTGGCTCACACCCAGAATCCCAGCACTTTGGGAGGCTGAGGCAGGTGGATCACTTGAGGTCAAGAGTTTGAGATCAGACTGGCCCACATAGTGAAATCCCATCTCTACAAAAAATACAAAAAATTAGCGCGGTGGTGTGCACCTGTAATCCCAGCTACCTGGTAGGCTGAGGTGGGAGGATCACCTGAGCCCAGGAGGTCAAGGCTACAGTGAGCTGTGTTCATGCCACTGCACTCTGGCCTGCGCTACAGAGTGAGACCCTGTCAGAGAAGAGAGGAGAGGAGAGGGAGGAGAGGGAAGGAAAGGGAATGGGAGGGGAGGGAAGGAGAGGGGAGAGGACCCTTCCTCTAGCAATTAGCCATTCTCTACTGTGAACAGTGACACCCAAGTGCTGCCTTCATGGCCCTTCTCCCTGAGGCTCTCCCACTGTCTGCCACCAACCTCCACTTAATGCTTTGTCCTCACCCCCAAACCATCACCTGTGCAGCTGAGCTGGGACTAGGACAATCAGGCTGTCACAGGCAGGGTGCTACATGTCACTTCCTTGGCCTGACAGTCACACCTTGCTGGTGAATGCTGTCATCGGCTAACACACAACAACAGTTCCTTTGTTGCAAGGTAATGAGCCATAAATGACTACTGTGGTAGCATCCCTTTATATAGCCACAAAGTTTGAGTGCCTGGTTAGTTCCACACCTATGCTCAGGGTACACAGAAACCCCTGTCCTTACCACACATCAAAGACAGAAGCTCCCAAGTGGATCTCAGCAACACACAAGTCATCCCTAGCCAGGGCGATGGTATTGGAAAAACAGAGGGAAAAAACTAAACAGCTGTCTGGGATAGAAAATGCACAGGACTTAGTAGTAATGGGATGATGTGGGGAAGGCTGCATGACTTGGACAACAAAGTCACACAACACTTATAGAGCATCTTCTGCAGACACTGTTCTAGGTGCTGCGTATGAACAAAACAAAGTTCCTTTCCCAAGGAGTTTGTGATCTGGGTTGGTGGGGAAGACAAAAAACAAACAAGCAAAATACATCATGTGTCAGGTACAAAGACAACTAATGCAGGTGAGGGGAACAGCAAGTGCTGGGGACTGGGACTCGCTATTCTATATAGCAGGGTTTCACCACCTCTGCTCCACTGACATTTAGAGCTGGATGATTCTTTGTGGTCGGGACTATCCAGTGCTGTAGGATGTTCAGCAGCATCCCTGGTCTCCACGCACTAGAAGCCAGTAATACCCCACCCCTAACACACACACACACCAGTCACAACCAAAATGTCTTCAGATACTGCCGTACATCCAGGGCTGGGGGCAGGGGCAGGGATTGCCACTGCTGCAGGTCATACTTGGGTTTTTTGGTTTTGTTTTCTTATGGCCCAGCACATCTATCTTGGCAACTGCTCCATGTATATGAGAAGGTATATCCTGCAATGTTAGGGTTTCTGAATTTACTAATGGGAAACAGGACCATCTGGACTGTGATTCATTCTATAAGACAGCTGGCCTTAGACTCTTCCTTTAAAAAAAAAAAAAGTCAATGTCAAGAAAATAAGCATATGAAAACTCTTAAGAGTAGTTGTCTAAGCTAAAAGGAAGTAAAGAGACATGACAACCAAGTAAAATGTTGAACCCAGGATAAAGAAAAGCTATGAAACATTTTGGGGGAACAATTAGGGAAGCTGAAATATGGACTTCATATTAGATACTACTGAATTTCTTTTTTAGGTGTGATAATGGTGTTGGGTTATGTAGGAGAATGTCCCTATTCTTTGGAAACGGATGCTGAATTATTTAGGGGTATAATTTAACAGTAAAGTGTCACGATGACTGCAACTTCCTTTCAAATAGTTCAGCAAAAGAATATGTATGGGTGTGTTTGTATACACTAATAATGAAAACCCACTTGATTTCCTTTAACATGTGTAAAAGGGCCCAATCTTGTAAGACAAGTTATTTTAGAATATACATAGAAAAAAATCTGGAAGGTATATGCCAAACATTCAACCGTGGTTGGCAGTTATAAGTTGTCTTACTTGTAACAGCAGAAGAAAATTTAAAGATATGGTGTTGTTAAGCCAGGGGAGAAAATACAAATATTTTTGGAAAATAGAGGGAAGAATACAATACTACTAAATTTCAATACAACTATGTATGTCAGTACTATGCTGACAGTACTCATGAAATTGTCAGTTTCACAAAGAAAAAGTTAAAATGTCTTTTAACTAAGGAAGCATTAAGATGCTTCAAAAATGTCTTTCCATAATAATTTTCTTGCCAAAGGAATTTATACAGTACAAGTAAAACTGGCAAAATCTGAGTAAGATTGATAGAGTATATTAATGTCAATATCCTGGCTGTGATACTGTGCTATAGTTTTGCAAGATGCTACCATTGGGGGGAAGCTGGGCAAAGGGTACATGGGATCTATCTGTATTATTTCTTAAAACTGCATGTGAGTCTGACACAAGTTATCTCAATTAAAATTTTAATTAAAGAAATTTTCCTCAAGGAATGCACACACGTATCAGACACGTGAGGACAAGGTAGGAAGCAAAAATCTTTATTTTTAAAAAATTCACATTTATTAAAAACAGCAATTTCTAGCCAAATAATATAAAGCATTTTAAATTATTTGAAAGTATATACACTCTTTGTATAAGTGAACACTTAAAACTGTACAGATTTAAACAAATAATCATTTAGCAAACAAGTTGGGTCACTATTACCTACTCAGCACTTTGTAAGGTGTTTGAGTGTTTCAGAAATAAAAGATCAAAAGACAAGAACCAATGTCATTAAATATTTTTATAAGAACACACTCCGCTCTGTAAATCAAATTAAATCAGTCACGTACTTACTGTACAATAATCATGCCCTCATTTCTTTGGAAAGGCTATTAAAAATCAAATGTACATATAATACACAAAACTGGATATTTTACAGTTTATTTCATTAAACATGTATTTAAAAAACAGTTAAGTAAATACAATCTTCCTAATTCATTCATTTCATGGCAAAGAATGAATATGGGCCCTCTTACCTTCTACCTTCTCAAAATAGAGAGTAATAAGCTCAATCAAGCAACGTCCATCACCAATTTAAACTGAGTGAAAAGGAAGTGACCTGTTACAAATGACAACAATCAGGGTATGCACCCTGCAGAAGTGCTGCCTCAGTACGTCTAATGAGTTACAGGCACCCACTGCACCAAAAGGTCCCCTGGTCCCATTCCAGAACCCCTGACAATGTCCACCTCTAGACTAGTGTTTGAAAAACTCAGAATTCTTTTTGAACTAAGAAGCTGGCTGCCTTAACATCAGCGGCAAAACCAATCCAATCAGGAAGTAGGAATTTGTTGGAAAATTCATAGATATGCATAATTTATGATCCCTGATATGGTGTGGTAGTTTTCAGATGTGGATAGTGTTTGTCATCCTTAGGTTTGCTGGTAAAATGTATTCTGCTGTAGCTGGGCTAGAGATCCACACAGCTGGTCCACAGCACAGCACAGCCAGCTGAATGAATAGACAGGACATGAAAGTGTTTGCTTTTCAAAGAACTGCTAAAACCAAAGGCAGTGTACAGAAGGCTGGTGACCTGAACCTTCATTCAGGAGGAACACTACTCCTCAGGTTTCCTTCTCTCCTCTATGCGCCAAATTTAAGACACCTTAATTGGTACTTCGCACTCACAAACACACACTATCATACCATGAAGATACTCATTAAAGATACTGCACGTATCTATGATGAGAATGCTGCAGCTCCTTGCTTTAGAACTGTCTGCACCTAAGCAATTCAAGGGGCACAGATGCTGGAGCTTCACACAAAGTCCTTGTATCTTTAAACTACCTCACATCAAACAGAGGAAAGGATGACACCCCGACTTCCCAGGAAGGCAGAATGTGTTCTCAGAAGCAACCAATCTACTCCAAACTCAACTTCAAAAATGACAGGAGAAACATTACATTAAATAAGAGCATAGAAATAACATTTCACTGTGGAATGCTCAGTGGTTAAAAGTGTTACAGTGTTTCACGTTTTAGCAAACCTTACTCTTACAGGCCTTCTAATTCGCTTGATTTCTGTAAAGTTCTTTGCACTACTTATTGTAATCTATTTTTATTGCACATTTTTAACAAAGAACCATTTCACTGCATGTCTGCCCTAGCTCTCTCTTCACATTTCTTGTGACCATTTAAACGAGGCAGTTATCACCAATCACAGATTAATCTTTGGCATTTTGATGTTTTAGAAAAGAAAACACTGATCCTGTAACACTTTGCTTCTATTTCATTCTGCAGTCAGCACTGAGCAGCACGCTCGTGTGGTTCTCGGGGACGTTCCCACATACGATTCCTCGGTGTCCTGCAGACTGCAAGACTTCTCAGCCTGCTCCTCCCAGACAGACATTTAGGTGCACAGCCCGGCTGGCCTGCTTATTTAGAAACCAACAGCAGAAGGCTCAGCTGAAAAGCAAAATTAAGAGCTATGTTAGTTCTCCTATGGAATACCGTCCTCAAGAAAAGTCAAGGAGGGAGGGGAACCACAAGGGTTGAAAAACCTCAGCATCATGCAATACAGCCAGGTAACAAACCTGCATGTATGTACCCCTTGAATCTAAAATAAAAGTTGAAAAATAAAATAAAGCAATTAGAATGGAAAAAAAAAAAGTTGTTTAGAGCCCCAAAAACAGAATGAGAGAAAAAGACCAAGATTTTTATGAGACCAGTAAACATGGCTATAAAGTAGAAACTGGCCCACAATGTTGGTCTATTTCTGAGGCAGCCACTGGGCACTGGCATTGGGAGGCCCTGTCAGGGGTCACACTTCATCACCAAACCTAGGCCATCAAATCACTTAAAATCCAATGAGAATAATGGCAAAAACTATATACAAACACTGACAAGGACAGAAACATACCTCCATAATCCACTGTGCCTTGTTCTATGCAGTGTGTTGTTGGAAGAGTTGTAAGCTGTCCTTTAAGTGACTTTTTAAAACGCACAAGAACAGACATGACAAGTGAATTTCAACTCACATGCCAATTCTGACCAACTGCAGGAGCAACCTGCCCGCTCTGTAACGGAGGACTGGGACACCAGAGCCGGGTCACAGTAGTGATAGGAGGGAAATGGCTGCCTGCACTCCAGGTGTCTGACACCCAGGCCCTGGAACCTTGTGGGTAAATGGACCTGGCTGTGAACCATTCTATCAGTACAGCTGTTTTGCTGATGCAGATCATCACCCCGATGTCATTTATAAATGAGTGCTGTCAGAAGAGGGATACAGAATCACCTCTGTGCTTTCCCTGCCAAAGTACAAAGCCTAAATGTAATCATGATGAAAGAGACAACACCAAATGGAGAGACAGTCTGCGGAATAACTGGCCTGTCAAGGTCAAGAAAGGCTGTCTAACTGCTCCAGGTTAAAAGAAGCTAAAGAGACATGACACCTGACAGCAATGCATGACCTGGGACTGGACCTGGACTGGGGAAATGTCAGCAAGAAGATCAGCAGGAACGGTACCGGGACTCTGATGAAATGTGTGTATGAACTGTGAATTAGACACTAGTATCAATGTTAAGTTTCCTGTTTTGGTAACTATACAGGAGTAGTGAGAGAATTTCCTTGTTCTCAGGAATACACTCTGAAGTATTTAGCAGTACAGGAGCACAATGTCTCCCAACTTTCTCTCCAATTATTTAAAAGCGGGGCTTCAGGGACAGGGAAGGGAAAAAATGAGAAAAATGAAGCAAATGGGGCAAAATGAAAATGGGGTAAAGGATATATGGGCACTCCTTACACTATTCTTGCACCTTTTCTGTAAGTTTGAATTTATAACAAACTAAACTTACAAAAATAATGTCTTCTGCCATAAAATGGATCTTATGATCAAGTACTCCACATCTACATTCATGCAAGTGACTATAACTGGAGAAAAAAAAAATAGACAACTAAGTTGAATGGTCTCTCTTGGATTCATATCCACTAAACTCACCCGAGCCTGTCTCCTCCCTCTCGGTGATGACCTTGCTTCTTATTTCACTCAGAAACGTGAAGCACTCAGAAGAGCACATCCATGAGCTCCCGCCACATTCACAGCCCCCATCCATGCCCATACACTCGGCCTCCTCCTGTTACCATGACTGAACCCCCGTGTGTCTCACAAAGGCCCCACCCTGCCTGTTCCTGAAATTCCACCCACATTGTCAAGATATTTTCCCCTCCTTGTAGATCTTCCCCCATGAACACAAAAACACGCGTTTTTCTCCTATCTTTAAAAAAAAACAAGTTACCCTACGGAAAAATGTGGCCAGGCACGGTGGCTCACGCCTGTAATCCCAGCACTTTGGGAGGCTGAGGCGGGTGGATCACGCGGTCAGCAGATCGAGACCATCCTGGCTAACACGGTGAAACCCCGTCTCTACTAAAAATATAAAAAAAATTGGCGGGGCCTGTAGTCCCAGCTACTTGGGAGGCTGAGGCAGGAGAATGGCATGAACCCGGGAGGCGGAGCTTGCAGTGAGCCGAGATCACGCCACTGCACTCCAGCCTGGGTGACAGAGCGAGACTCCAACTCAAAAAAAAAAAAAAAAAAAAAAAAAAACAATGGAAGGATAACCCAATAACTAATAAAAAGAGTTAACTATAGGGGAGGGAAGGGAAAGGCTGGAGGGGATCGGAAAAGGAACAAGACTTCTCCAAATGCACCTTGTTCTGTAATTCTGACTTGGAAACCATGCAAGTATTTTATATCATTAAGAAACAAAATTAAATCAAAATAGAAAAAAAATCTCTAAATATTGAAAAGAAACCCAATTATATATCGAGTTAGTGGTACAATCATATAGAAAGTAATTACTTCAAATAAATTATTTGGAAGTATTTTGACTGTACAAATATCCTAGAATGATACAAATATCTTTTTAAAATGTGACCCATCTATCCACATAAAGGAATATATACAGCCATAAAAAGGAAGCTCTGATACATACAACACG
Source organism: Homo sapiens (assembly GCF_000001405.40). Classification (NCBI taxonomy): domain Eukaryota; kingdom Metazoa; phylum Chordata; class Mammalia; order Primates; family Hominidae; genus Homo; species Homo sapiens. The sequence goes on along the minus strand of NC_000013.11, from coordinate 45,532,166 downwards.
GATGAGCCTTGAAAACATGCTAGGTGAATGAAACAAGCAGCGATATGAGGCCACATATTGTATGATTCCATTTAATGAAATATCCAGAATAGGCAAATCCACAGAGACAAAAAGAAGACGGGGAAATGCAGGATCTGCTAATGGCTAAGGGGTTTTTCTGGGGAGTAATGAAAATGTTCTAATTAGATAGTGGTGAGGACTGCACAACTTTCTGAATATACTAAAAACCATTGAACTCTGCACTTTAAAAAGATGAATTCTATAGTATATGAACATCTCAATTTTAAAATGACCCCATTTCTCCCTCCGGCTACCACCCCATCTTTCTCCTCTCCACTACAGTAACACTCCTCAAAAGATTCTGGCTGGGTATGGTGGCTCGACTGTAATCCCAGCACTTTAGGAAGCTGAGGCCGGCAGATCACTTGAGGCCAGGAGTTCAAGACCAGCCTGGCCAACATGGTGAAACCCTCTGTCTACCAAATACAAAAATTAGCTCGGCATGGTGGCAGGCACCTGTAGTCCTAGCTATTTAGGAGGCTGAGGCACAAGAATTGCATGAACCTGGGAGGCAGAGGTTGCAGTGAGCCGAGATCACACCACTGAACTCCAGCCTGGGCAACAAAGACTCCATTTCAAAACAAAACAAAACAAAACAAAAACACAAGATTTATCTACACTCACCATTGCCTAGTCCTATTCACCCAGTTTCTACCCAGCCCAGTCAGGCTCTTGCCAGCCTGATCAGTCTCCCCAGATTTCCTAGTCCTTACCATATACTAAATTTCTAAACTATCCTAAACTTAAGACCAGATATAAAATATCCTCCACAGCGCCAGGCTACTCCTAATACATACTGGGTACTCAGTAACTTCCATGTTTTCAATCTTGAAGTTATTAAAAAACTACAAATAGGGTGCAGTGTATACTGCTCGGGTGATGGGTGCACCAAAATCTTGCAAATCACCACTGAAGAACTTACTCGTGTAGCCAAATACCACCTGTACCCCAGTAACCTACAGAAAAATCAAAAATTTTTTTAAAAAATGTATTTCTCTTATTATGCATATTTCAAACAAAATTATTCAGCAAGCTAAATGCCACTATTTGAGTCTTTTACAAACAGGTCATTCTCTTAAACACAGCAATATTCATATCAGAAAGGATTAAACAGAATTTTAATCCTGAGATTAACTGAAAATTCTAAAACTATCCCCCAAAAGTTTGAGAGAACAATTCAAAGGCTGAATTCTTACTCATCAGAATAAAAGAAGGTAATATTTTTTAAATTAATACTAAAAATATGTTTGCTCAAAGACATTATCTACTCAGGTGAAATAACCAAGAGGGCATAAAAGTAATAAGGATCTTCAGTCTACCCATTACCTGTTCCATAGATGGACAGGCAATGATCTGGATGTCTTCAGGGCTGAACTCTTCCTTTAACAGAGCGTGGAACTTCTGGAAGACTTGCTGAATATTATTCTTAGAAAGGAGGAGAGGAGATCTTATCAAATGAGTTGTCTTAAACACGAAGCACCATGAATGTTAAATTGTAATGATATTTGCCAAAGCGAGTGGAAGCGATGTATCTTTCATGATATTACCAAAGACGCATAATTTGCTCTTAATATTTCAGTGCTGGCATGACCTGATGAAGACTTATCAGATAATGCTTCCCAGGAAGACTAAACTCTAGCGAGCCTTGTCCCCCCAGAGAATAATTTTAAGGGTCTTCTGCAGCAATTTCTTACACAAAAGATAACAAAGTTCCTAGACACATAAAATATACTTTAAAAATCAACCCATGCCTTGGGTAAGAACAAGAGCTCAACACAGAGCTGGAAATTATGAGCCCTAAATTTGCTCTGACATTTAATCCCTTGGTTGCCACTGCAAGCCATTTATTTCTACTACTCACCAGTAAAATGGGGCATAATTCCTGAAGTGCTGCTCTCTTGAGAGCTGGGCCACATGCAATGTAAGGGTCTGATTTTTTTTGGTTTATTTACTAATTTCTACTTTCAGTAGTAACATTAAAAACTTAAGACAAAGTGACAGTGGGAAAAAAAGATAATCAAGACAGAGGCAGACTTTGTAAGCCTTTCATGAATCATAGTGATTATTCAACTTCACTAGAACAGTATACCAACATTTCTAAATGTCTACAGCAAAAGGAAAATGGTAAATGAGGCAAAGAATACTTGAAGTCACCCGCCAACATTCAAATGAGTTATCTGATACTCACCCTCACAGGTTTAAACAAGATGAACTCGGTATCTTTATTGGATAGGTACAAGGACATACTTCTCAATGTCACAGGCAGCTTTGTTTTTATTGTCTTATATGCAGTTGCCGCAAGGTCATTGACCTTTGCTGGAAATAAAGTAACCTCATTAGTGTCATAAAGAAAAAGAAAAGAAATATTTCCATTTTAATTCAAAGGGGAATAAAGGGAGAAAAAAATAGCAGAAGAAAAGACTCTTTATTTCCCCAAAGAATTTCTTTCATTTTTATAGCTTATTTACCAAGTTTAATCATAAGCCCTATAAACATTCATTAAATATCTACTATACAAAATTCTAATCCCAAGGGCTAAGGCAGCAAAATAACTCCCCTAGCATGCTTCAGGACATTCATAAGAGCTGTAATATGTACCTTTGGAATTTGGAGGTAAGAGATTAAAGTTAAAAAAAAAAAAGTCATTTTCAGAGAGACACTAGTAAGAATTACTTCATAATGAATGAGTTTGTTCATTTGCAGAAATGACTCACAGTAAGAGATGCTTAGACCATTCAGAAAATATCCACACATATTTAAGGGGAATTAAATATCTATTTGTTATATTCTTATACTGTATTATCAGAAGGGGAACAGAATCCCAAAAAGTTATAACAAAAATAACTATGAAACCCAAGTGTCATGTCTGAAGGAGTTACATAGAAAAGGAGAGTAGTAATCTGTAGGAAGTATTTAAAAGAAGTTATCTAGAAAACTACAAAGAAAAAAGACTATTAACAATTTCAAAGATGCTCAACCTCACTCATAAATAAATGTAAATGAAAGCAGTGAGATATTTACAGATGATTGGCAAAAATTACTAAGATTGTGATATCCATGTTTGACGAGGGTATGGAGAAACAGGCATCTTTGTGTACTGCTGATGGAAGTACAAGATGGTTCATCTCTTTGGAAAAATATTAGGCGCTATCTAGCAAAACTGAAAATGCAGATACTTTTTCCTTTAGCATTTCCACTGCTAGAAATTTACTTGCAGATATACTAAAAAAATACCAAGATATGAGTATACAGACATGTTAAGAGTATAAGGAAAAACAAAAACTGCAAATAATTTAGGTTTCCATTACAAGAATTACAAAAGAAATCATGCTATAGTGATGTATTCGATGCATCCAATAAATAGAATGGATCAAGTTGGATATGCTATACAGAAAGGCCTCTAAGATATATAAGAAGTGAAATAGCAAGGGGTATAGTACAATCTCATTTGGGTAACATTTTTAAAGTCCACATGTGCTAGTAAACACATAAACAATTTTGGGAAGGAAACTTTAATAGTAGTTGCCTCTGAAAGAAGGACTAGTTTGGAGGTAGAAAATATAATTACTTTTCATTTTATAGCTTTTCATAGTTCAAATAATATACCATGTAAAAAACAATGTTTTAATTGAGGAGGGTTGTAGTAAAGCAGGGTAAGAAAGTACCAATGCTCTTGCTACTGGAAAGGGGTCCTGATCCAGACCCCAAGAGAGGGTTCTTGGATCTCATCCAAGAAAGAATACAGGCGAGTCCACAGTATAAAGCAAAAGCAAGTTTGTTAAAAAAGTAAAGTGGTGAAAGAGTAGGTACTCCGTAGACAGTAGGGTGTTCCCAAAAGTAAGAGGAGTAACGTGCCCACCCTAGATCAATGCTTGTTTATATATAGGATAACAAAAAACATCATGGGGATATGTACTCTGCTACAAAGGCTTGTGATAAAGGGTTAATTTTTTTTAATTACTATATTTTGCAAGAATCAATATTATTATCTTTAAAGCAAAATTAGGAATGCTTTTGTTCTCAAGATATCAGGATATCAGGACATTCCTGGGCCTGGGTGTGTTTAGTAAACATTACTAATCTGTTTCATTAAATGTAAACATCTAGAGGCTAGGAATACCTAACCTCCTGGGAATGCAGCCCAGCAAATCCCATCCCCATTTTTCCTAGCTCTCTCTCGAGATGGAGTTGCTCTGGTTCAAATGCCGCTGACATTCTCAGGAAGAAAGAATAAATAATTCAGGAACTGCTTATTTTTCATTAATACATGAAAGCTCCTTCAAGACCCTTACTTCCATGGGCCCTGGTTCTATCATTACTAACACACCTCAGGGATCACTAAATCGGTCTTCAGAGCCCTTGATAAGCAGAGAGTGGGTGCACAGGCTGGTGACTAAAGTGTCCTCTAATTCCTAAAAAAGGTTTCTTCGTCAGAGTAAATTAACAAATGGGCATCCTAATTTATAACTCACTCTCCTGTGAGTTTGTTTGATCATGAAATGATCCCTGAGAACTTGACCAAGTCTGAATGAACCAGTAACCCTCAGTTTTTAGAGCAGAGAGGCCCAAGACAGTTCCTAGATTGTCCTCAATGCTCCCACCCCAAGGGGCCATAAATCTCTCTTTGGCATTCAAGTGTGGGCTTCAAGTACTACAGATTCACAAAAACCAACTCCACACCTCTGCTATGCCTAAATGGGATAGAAGATACAACTACAAGATAAACTGAACTGTCATTGCTATATTCACTAAGATCTCCTCACTAAGAAAGAAGGAACTGGGTTAAATGACAAAGCAGCAAGTCCTACTTCAATCTGTCCTTTTGTCTACTCCTGCCAGTTTCCTTTTATCTACTCCTGCTTTACTATGACAATTCTAAATTCTAGTAATGCTTAAGAGCACAATACATCTAACACTTTGAATCCTATTAGGGTTCCACTTGAGAAAATGACAGTCCCTATTTTGAGAGAGAGGATCTTTCCAAAGGGGAAAGAGCAATACGTTAATTATGCATCAAGACACTGGGCTTAGCTGTACTGGTTTCTACCTTTAAATCTTAAGAAAGATTTATCATACCCAAGAGTTTCATTTACATAAATGTTCAAAATAAAAATCAGCTCCTATTTCTAACTAAGCCCTATAAAAGCAATTGGAACCTTGAGTCAAAGGCTCCAATTAATCCCCAAATCATCAGAATTCCTTCAAGAAGTATGCTGAGTTGTGAACTGATAAGTCTGCCTCTTGACTGTGAGGAATCAGAAGAGGTGGTTAATACTATGTCAGACTATGATTAGAATTTCCAGTATTGTCGGTAAAAGATCCTGATTTTCTGTCTTCTGACAGAATGTACTACTGTATTAAGTGTGCTTTTGTAGTAAGATGTCAAAGATTTCTATTTCACACACAACGTTTTTCACAACGTATTTCACAACGAACGTTTAAAATAATAAAGACAATAGAACGTTCCTTGTCTGCATCATGGTAAACGAAACACCTAAAGTATGTCACAAAGTTTATTTGCAGTCAAACAAATGAACTCAAACCTATATTGACATCATCAAAGTTCACCTGAGGAACCTTTGAAATAAAATCCTATCTTCCTTTCAAAGACAACTGACATTCTCTACATTTACAAATCTTCCTAAGTGATACATAGCTATTCTTCTAATTTCTCAGTTCAACTTCAAGTTAACCTAAGGCATTCATAATTAAAAATTTTGAGGCCAGGCATGGTGGCTCAGGCCTGTAATCCCAGCATTTTGGGAGGTCGAGGTGGGCGGATCGCCTGAGGTCAGGAGTTTGAGACCAGCCTGGCCAACATGGTAAAACCCCGTCTCTACTAAAAATACAACAATTAGCTGGGCATGGTGGCAGGTGCCTGTAATCCCAGCTACTTGGGAGGCTGAGGCAGGAGAATTGGTTAAATCCAGGAGGTGGTTGCAGTGAGCCGAGATCACGCCACTGCACTCCAGCCTGGGCAACAGAGCAAGACTCCATCTCAAAAAAAAAAAAAAAAAAAAAAAAAAAAAATTAAAATTTTGGAGGCTTTGAATAGCTTCAATCCTTTTTCCCAAAGAAAATGAATACCTAACAGATATAATGCTCTTTCAATATGGAAAACCAATCATATTAAAAAGTTGATTCCAGATTAGGTGACTGTGCATGCCAATTTTTCATGGATGCAAAGCCAGAATCATTTTTTGGATCTCTCTCACTGAGTGGAAAGCTGCCCTCCAACTTGGACACAGCTTACCCATAATTAAAACACTCATTCTTTCATCATTTTGCCCATTTTAGTTTCAAAGGCTATCACAATATTGGCTAGAGAATGGCCAGAAATATCAATTTAACAAAATGATTTATTCTGGTTTAATGGCAATTTAAAATGCCGCAAGAGGTACCAAAAATAACTCACAAAGTTAGTCATGATTTTAAATGTCTAACGCTAAAGACCAAAAAAAAAAAAAAAAAACCCAAAGCCCTCCAGCACAAAAAAATTTACATTTAAGAAAGAGTAAGACTGGGAACATCTCAAATACATCTGCCAATCAGACAATAGTATTGCCTGCCAACTCCCAACTGACGCCTCAATTTTTACAATTTTTTTTCCCAATACTCTAAAATGTCAACAGAGGATAACTTGGACAAAATGTGGAACAAAATAGTGGCCCAACATTTCTTCATACACTTGAAAGTGGGTACACTCGCCATAATTTCTTCCTATCAACCACAGTATTTTCATCAAAGCTTGAACACAATGAATAGTGGGTGTACAGAAATCAACAGACTCAAAGGGTTTCCATCTTAGCCATATTTTATTTTTAACTGGGTGATTTAAAAAAAAAAAAATTCTTCCTTCCTTGGAATGCTTGCTGAAATGCAAGTAGTGCTAACCAATTAAGACCTGTCAGCTCCAAATTGAATCCTGCATTAACTCAGATTGCAGCACCCCAGAGTGAATAGGAAACCAACTCCAAGCTGTCACAGTAAGGACTATATAAATGCAAACTAATAACATCCTAAAAAAGAAATCCAAAATGGTCAAATCAGAATACCTGGTTGTGCCCAAGGCTGCTGTGAGAGAGTATACTTGGGGCCTCCCTGACTGGCCATTGTTTTTAACGCTGAAACCTAATAGAGGAGACAAAAAGAAAAAAAGTTTCATTTCATCAATGACAAATTAAACTGGTACTGCTCTCAAGGGTGGTACTGCTCTCAAGGGATACACAACACCATTTAAACCTATTAAAACACAATGATAATCAAATGTGCAGCCCTAAAAAAAATGCATTATCTCATAATCCTTTACAAGTAATCAACGTTTTTAGTAAAACTTCTTTTGTGATTTCAAGGCATATGGTTATCTTGCTAAAAATCATACCTAAGTCCTGAGGCATTCTATCTGAAATACTTCCCACTAGGAAGACAAAAATGAAGCCCTAGAGAAATGTCAACACAAAACAGGTGTCTCTTAAGGGGACTGTTACGTCAATATTAAATTATTTTTGTATGTAATTAGAAAAATGTCACCCTAGCTGGATAAAATCTCCTTTACATATGGAGGATCATTTTTCTTATATCACAGGCAGAGAGAATGTCATTAAAACAAACAAATAAGATTTTCAAATACCATCAAAAAGTCACATATGACTGACCAATCAGTGCTAAAGATAGACCTGAATGACCATCTTCTAGTCATCTCTTTTCATTCCTTAGCAGCAGTATAGAGAAGTGGATCCAAAAAAGGGCACTTAGCTGCTTGAACAAGACTGTTTCTAAGACAGTAAGCTGTGGTGGAGCTATGGGGTAGCTGGGGAGGGTAAGAGAGAGAAACTGCATAAAACGTGTTTTAAAATAGACAGTCATGTGCCAAAGGTGCAGTCCATGGCTTTGGCCTCACGGGAAAGTCTCATTAGAAAAGCCCGAGCAACAGCTCTAGATTTCTCAGACAAAAGGCCATACAAACATTTAGGCAGACACAGGGTATAATGGGCAGACACAGGGTATAATGTTGACTTGGATCTCTTCAGCCTCCCCTTTATTTCTAGTTTCTATTTCTCCTCCTGGACCACTCTAGGCCTTTGCTCATACTGCCTACCTGTATAAAATCACCTCTTTCCTCCTCTCACTCCATCCCTCTTCATATCTTTATTTTTTGAGGTGCACTTTAAAAAATGAATCATATATATTATAGATACTAGACACTGCTAAAAGAAAAATACATTCACATTTTAGTGTATGTTATCCAAAATATTTTCCGTTGTAAAAATATAAATATACTAATGTGTATACATTTACAAATCTGGGAACAGTGTTCTGTGAACTTTTTTCCCCACTAAATCTACATTCTGGTCATTTTCCCATATCCAACAGTTTTGTTTTAATAGTAATGGCTGCCTACTGTTGCACTGATTGCTCCAGAATTTAACCAATTTCATAACATAGATTTAGGTTTCGCACAAGTATTTTTATGTTAAAAACAAATATAAACTAGTATATTAATCTCTATTTACTATCCAGATAGTTTACTTATCTTTAAGTCAAACCTCAAAGAGCATTTGCTTCAAAAGTTTTCCCCAATCAGCCTCATTTTTTTAAGGCTAGTCAAGTGAAGCCCCATCTTTTTAAAAATTCCTACACAATGAACAAAGACCCATCGTCTCACAATAACATTGCTGTATACAGTTTCATGTTTACCTATTTTTCTATCTTAATTTCCCTTTAGGTTATACCTCCTTGAGAGCAGGAATTAAACTTACAGATCAAACTCCATTACATGCACTAGATCAAGAAAAAAAATTTAAGTTTATAGTGTTACTGAAGAAATTAACAACACTTCAGAGGGAATATTAAGAATAAACTCGTAATAATCAAATTACTTGAAAGAAAATGAATATTTTCTATATATAAGTCTGAGTTTTTAGCATAAATTGGTCCCATCAGAAAAAAAAAAAAAACACTTTTAAGCTTAGCTACAAACCTGGAATTATACTTCCTTTAAAATGCCTTAATTTAGACTTTGTGCTAAAGCAAAATCTTCACCTCAAATTTGTCAAACTGTACTACAAAATAACATTTCTGCAGCAAGCACTTTACAGATACACATATGATCTTGTTTTCTCTCCTGATAACCTTAACTTCAGTCAGAAGGTGGCAGACGCAGTTGCAGGATCTAGGGCTCAGCTGCCTTGACACAAAGTTCTTGCTTTCTACTATAACCACTACCATCCCAAGTCCTACTTAAGAGTTTGTTTCAAGCAACATTTAGTACAATGGAATTCTAGAACGATAAAAAAGTATCAACACTTTTTGAAGTTTGGTAGAAAATAATCTAAGCCAAATGTTTTCATATGAGCCTCTACTCCTAAGCCTTAGAATAGCATTACATTCCCTCAGGCCAAATACTTAGAGGTTATTTTTCCAGGGGCAGGAAATGAGGCAACAGAGCATATACACTCTTCTAGTACTTATTTTATTTTTTCTCAGGAAAGATCAATAATTATACCAAAAATCAGGTATTAAACAGAAACCAGACAGGTGAAGATGTTGTAGAAATGCTTATCTCATGAATACTCAACCCATTTCTCAACCTGTCAAATAAAGATGCTTCTCTTACTCCAGGTTCCAGGGATGTAGTAAGAATTAATGCATACAAAGTGTCTCAACAAGGAGCACAGAGGAAGAAGCTACATAAACAACAAGGCCAATTTACAGTAGATGAAAGGGATCCAAATCAGACCCCAACTCTTTAAGCTCAAAAACAAGTCTCTGACAATCTAAAAATATTCTCTACACGGTAATACATCTATATTGTTAAAAATCAGTCCAAACTTAGAAACAAGCTGAGGACATTTTGTTGATGAGCCTTACACCCAAATGATAAATACCGAGACCTACAAACACACATCCAAATGAGATGAAAGACTTTCCCATCTGTACCTATGGGTGTTGATTTTCCTGCAACCGTTTATCAAGGGACAAGCATTATAAAATGCTAACTAAGGCCAGGCACAGTGGCTCCTGCCTGTTATCTCAGCACTTTGGGTGGCCGAGGAGAGCAGATCCCTTGAGGCCAAGAGTTTGAGACCAGCCTGGTCAACATGGTGAAACCCCGTCTCTACAAAAAATACATAAATATTAGCCAGGCACGGTGGCACACACCTGTAATCTCAGCTACTCAGGAGGCAGAGGCAAAAGAATTGCTTGGACCCGGGAGGCAGAGGTTGCAGTGAGCCGAGATCGTGCCACTGCACTCCAGCCCAGGTAACAGAGCAAGACTGTCTCAAAAAAAAAAAAAAAAAAAAGCTAACTAAATAAAAGAGGCATGAGATTCTGCACTTGCAGGTAATTAATGCTGAGGTTTACCTTTAAAGAAAATCATTTTAAAGTTTTCTATAAAATCTTCCTGTTTCTCTGCTATTCAGAATGCTAGTAACAGTCACTAGGTAAAAAGTGAAAAATCTTTGGTCCACAAATTTTAAGATGCAGTGTCTGAAATGGTTGCGTGTGTGTGTGTGTGTGTGTGTGTGCACGTATGTATCTTTGTCTCTGACTCACTCTATGCCACAGGATGAAAGGGAACTGAATCTGGAATATGACACCATAAAAGGGAAGCTCAGTCCTCCAGGCTGCAGTGTCCACTCAGTAGAAACTCAGTGAGCAGCAGTGAGGGCCCAGGGTTGACAGAGGAAAAGGGAGGCAACTACAAGTGGTCTGAGCAAGGGCAGCAGAGACTGATCACGTAGGATGAGACTGGCTTCTAATGGGGATGAGAGGCAAGGCCTTTCCCTTCCCAATCCCATTACGAAGGGAATATAAAAACAGGTCCATGAACATTTGTTCAGGGATCCCTGCTATACGCATGTAGCATGTCCATGGAGAACCATTACATAATTCAGACTTGGAATATTTTCTACATAAACCTCTATTTCCTTTTTCAAAAAAAAAATGTTTTGAGACAGAGTCTTGCTATGCTGCCCAAGCTGGTCTCTAACTACTGGGCTCAGCCATCCTCCCACCTCAGACATCCAGAGTAGCTAAGACTATGGGCACGTGTAAATTTTTATTCTCTTGATTTCTAGAAAAACTGTGCTGTTCTAGAACAACCTTTAATCCTGGATTTCATTATAATCAACTTGCTTATTTCAGAAGATTCATTCTGCTGTTCTGTTATTGTACAATATTCATCTATAATACTTCCCACCAGTACTACTGTGGATGTTCTCCCAGAAATATACACTACAATCTACCAGCTTGTTTTTCACAAGGGTAGTTTCAGTAAAAACTGTAAGTTATCTGTAAATTACAAAGTACCAATACTCAAACCTTTTTTAAAAAATCAAAACCTAGGAGAAAGCATTTCTATCCCCCTCCTTTTTTATGGCTTTTGTGGTGGGAAAAAAATGCATATGCACACATTGCAAATACTCGGAATAAAATCCACTTAACAAGCAATATATGCCAGTGATAAACAAAAGAGTACTTTAACATTTCTATGCATTTTTGGCCTTTTTAATTATTTTTTAAAACTCGTATTTTCTGTCTTTACCACAGGCTTCAGGCATATTAGCGTTGATGGATCCAACAAGAAGTTTCTAATGAACAATTGCATAGCTGTCTCCTTGTTATTTCATACATATATCCTGTCTGTCCAGTTAAGACTAGTCAAATTTGAAAATAAGAGCCATCATATTTTTATTCTTTTTATGATGTCCTCTGATACAAGTCTGGGGTAAACAGTAGCGGCTTAATAAATAAAAATTTCAAGACGTTTTCTTTCTTTCTCTTTTTTTATTTTTATTTTTATTTTTATTTTTTTTTTGAGACAGTCTCACTCTGTCACCCAGGCTGGACTGCAGTAGGATGATCTTGACTCACTGCACCCTCGACTTCCCAGCTCAAGCAATCTTCCCACCTCAGCCTCCCAAGTACCTGGGACTATAGGCACACGCCACTACACATGGCTAATTTTGTTCGTTTTTTGTAGCGACTAGGTCTCACTATGTTACCCAGGACTGTTAACCAGTGTCAAACTCTGGGGGCTCGAGCGATCCTCCTGTTTCAGCCTCCCAAAGTGCTAGGATTATAGGTGTGAGCCAACACACCCAGCCTAATTTCAAGACTTCTTAAATATCTTTAAGTCCTTAGTAATGACACTTAGATTTTTTTTAAATGATTAGGTTGAAACAAGAATGTCAAAATAGCCATGATCTGCTTTTCTCTTTGCTGGCATTTGCCAGTTAATGGATTTTAGATTAGAAGACAGAGAGACAGAGAGAATATACTATCCACACATATAGTCAGTCCTCACTTAATATCAGCAATAGGTTCCTGAAAACTGTGACTTTAAGTGAAATGACGCACAGCATGTCCTCAAATAAAGTCGTTCCTTCAACGTTCAACATTGTTTCATTATACTGTTGATGAGGAAAAAAAAATTGGTTTCATTTTATGTTGTTTCACTTAAAGTCACAGTTTCCAGGAAGAGACCACCAATGTGAAGGAGGACTGACTGTACATTAAATCCATATATCTGACAGTTAACAATGCTATGTTATAAAAGTCTTCAGTTCTCAATTATCCATGCAAAATGGAAGAGAAAAACGGCATGTAAAACAAAGAGGAAAACAAATCACCCATTTTAAGAATAGGAAACCCTGATTCCCAGGACTGTGGTTGCTGCCATGCAGGTCCAGGAGAAAGTGAGAGTCCCAGCCCACATGCAGATAACCTACAAGGCGGATAAACAGAACACAGCTAACCAGGGGTCAGCTATAACTAGCTTTGCAATATTTCGACTCTTCCTCTTAAAAACAAAAACTGTGCAAGCATATCTAAAAGTCCATAAACCAGAAAGCTTCCATAATAGGAAACACAGTGATTTCCTAGACAGAATCATTAAGACTTGGGCTTAATATCTCCTTCTGCCAGAGTTTACACAAGAGAGTAATTCAAAAGGAAATCTAAGGAAGAATGCAAAATGACTTTACCACATAGGCACCAAGGTCTATACCTTTGTCATGAACTCCTCCAGCTGTTCTACAAACAGCTTGGTCTGCTGCTGAATAAACTGCTCACAGGCCGATTTCAGATGACGGTCTACGTCTTTTTTAGAGTCAAGATAATGTTCTCTTATCTCAGGAGTACCCTTAAAAAGAAGATAACAATTTCCTCCTGTTTTTATGTGCCTAGAAATCACCAGACATGTAAAGAATGTCGTTTATCTCCCACCACCAATGAAACAGACTCCTTCTCACCTCCAACAAGAACTCTATCAAGGCATTGTTGCTATTCAGCCTAAAAAATCTTGGGACAGTCATAGGGTTCAGGATTTTAAATGCTGCATCTGTGAAACAAAATTACTCATCCAGTGAACATGTAAAGTTTCAACAGCAAAGCCATGAGTAACATACACCAGTTCTCTACCACCACAAGGCAAAAAGCCAATTCACCTTCAGCAACTCACCTCCATGAAAGGCTGAGAGTGAGATGAGCACCAGTGATGGCTACAGTACTCACAGAGTTATTTTCTAGAAGTTCAAATTGCAAAATGACTATTAATCTCAATTATTCACTTACCAAAAAAAAGAAAAATGATAAATGGTAATCGGCACCTTAAAATTTCACTGCTTTACTTTTAGGATATTAAATAGGTTTTTAAAAAATACTCATATACTTACCCAGCTTCTTTATTAAAATCTTGGCTGGCACAGAAATTTATTCATTTGAAGCAGAATAATAAACTAATGTGTCAGCCAAGAAGAAAACACCAAAAGGACGTATTTACCCCTTAACCTCCAGACTAACTAGAATCTATGTGAAGTATTAGCTGAGGTCTCATTGATGTTCAAATGCAATACAATATAATGTTAGTCTTGAGAGGTTAGAGGCGTAAAAGTAAAGATAGCAAGTATTATTAAGTGAGTAAGAAAAAAACATCTCTTTGCTTTGCCAGACCAGATAAAGCAAAGCATGAAATGCTTGTAACCCTGGTTTGGCAAGCACACACTACCATAATACTTACTGCCTTGACCCTGGTAGTAATGAAGAAGACCCTCTCTCTATCAGTTCAGTATTCAGAGTAAAGCTTTAGTAAATAGTTGTGTCTGCTGTCTTTTCTATAAGATCCCTCAAAGATTCTGTCTGCACAGAATCAAATCATCATATGGTAGAGTTACACAGGCTTTGTAATATTTGGAGGAAAACACACTTTCAACCAAATTTTGCCACAATCTCAAGATATTTCACTTTCTCTCACCTCAGTTGATCTACACTAGAACCAAGCAGCAACAAATTACAACTTTAGAAAAAAATGAAAGAAAGTAAATCAACCCTGCTCTATCCCATCACTTAAAGTAAGAACTGTCAGAAGCTGGGAATTCTTCAAGGTGTAAGAGCATGATTCCCACACCTCACACTGAAAGGAATGAATGAAATCAACCAGAATGGGTGGGAGATGGAAGCCTCTGATGAGAATAAGCTTTAAAAAAACTATGTGTTCTGTAAAGGCAAAAGCCAGGGTATCTGGCTCCTATTTAAAAACCAAACCAAAACAAAAACACATGGTGTGCCACTTCCAAGATTAGAGAAAAAAACAAAAATAATTTAAAAATTTTAAAATCACAAAGTACATAACACACATGCTTTACAGAACCAAAACATATTCTCCGTGGTGGACAAGAGAGAGCACTAGGGAACGAAATAGAGCAAACTGTTTTAAGAAGAATCATCATGAGGTTACACTGGCTCTCGGGTGAGTTAAATCAAATCCACTATCAGATAGGCACAGGAATTGGGGAACTAAAAACCTGCTATCCTTGAACATCCTATATTTGGGGTTCCTCTAAACTGTAACACATAGAAAATAATTTGAGTGACCATTTTTTTAATTGCCCCAAAACATTAGAGAGAAGTTAACTGATCACATAAATGAATGGCTTAAGGCATCAGAGCATAAATCTCTTAGAAATGTTTAAGATAAAGTTTACATAAATTTGTAAGTAATTAAGGGACATGAGGGATGTGTATGGTATATCCTTAACTGCTTAAGATCAATTATCTTAAAAATTAACTACTCTGATCTTTTAGAAATCATCTCTTACTAATTCAGAGACAAATCATTAGGATGGATGAATCATCTTTCTCAAGATGATTCAATGTCTATTACCAACTCAAAGACCCTATCTTACATGATTACTGATTTAATACCACTGAAGTTTATTTAAGCACCTGAAATTTATGAAGATGTTAACATATATTTTCATTCCTTTTCGGTCTTAATGATCTTGATAACCTCGTGAAGGTATCATGACAAGTTCATTATGCTCATTTTACATAAAAGGAAGGTGGCATGGAGAAGCTAAAACACCCACCCAAGATCACACAAAGGCCGGGAAATGATGGGACAGGAAGAAAACCCAGTGCTTTCAAATTCTTAGATAAGTACTCTTCTCATTTTACCCAGCTGGCTTCCTGAATTTTCATAAACTGACAAACTCAACTCAGTGCTTAAAATCATCCCAACTAGCTGACATTACTTACTTAGGAAGCAGTTATTATACAGATTTTTCACTTTTTAACTGGTTGTAGGAATATGTGGCAGAGTCTAAATGAGTCTAATATTACAAACTGAAATGTCCAGATACAGTTCCCTTCATAAAGAAAATACAGCAAGTTAGAAGTCATTAGCATGGTGACAGCTCAGCTTAGTACGAACAAATAACATATTTAGCAAGCAAAGCATGCAAAAAATTGCAGATGAACATAAAATAAACCTAAAACCTGTGCTGACACATCTGGACAGATCAAACACACCCAAGTGTGCCAGCCAGGACAGCAAAGTACCTCTAGTTTTCTTGAGGTCCAGGGAAATTTCCTTAATGGTGAATTCAGTGTGAAATGGAGCAATTTGTTCACGAAGTATCAAAAGGTGCTTAATTAAGAAAAGTTGTCCATCAATCTGAGTCTAAATTATAAGACAGAAAAATGGATATGATCACATATTAAATCAAAATAAAAGCATATACAGCATACATTATTAATCAACATTAATCTACCTAGGTTTACAGCCTATGGTGTCAATTCTCTTTAGTTGTGCAATGAACTCTCCCCATGCTAGAATTAAGTTAAAAAATCTTGCTTCAAACTCTTATTTGCACTGTCACTTGCTCTACTTTAAAAATCCAAGAAAGTCAGACACAAGGCTGTAAAGCAACACATTTACAAAGAGAAGTCCAATCTACTTTCACCTGGTGCAGAGGTAGAAGAGATGATGCAGCCTAACTGTGGCCCAGAGCAGAGGAGGTAAAGAAAGGCTCAAATAACAAGCAGGATCCTGACCTGGCCTGGCATTCTAGTTTCTCCTCAGGAACATGGCTTTCACTATTTGGTCAAAGTGGTTTCAATATCTAGAACATCAGACATACTTATATTTATACAAATGTAAAATGATTTGAGGTTGCCATTTTGGATCCTCCTGCCACCAACAGAGCTCTGACTACCCACATCCCTGAAGGTCCAGCATGTCCTTCTGCCCTCTCAGGACCCATCCACAAGAGTCTTGTGATTCAAACTCCGTTCTCAAACCTCTGACCCAATCCTCAAATACTGAATAATCATAGCTCTCATTTCAGAAAAGAGTTTGTATATTAATAAGAGCAAGGCTGTATTTGCTCCTTCTTGCTGTTACTCAAGGCAGAATCTTATTTTGAAAATATTGCTAATGAAACTTTTATATTACCTTAGGAAAAGATAAAGTTATCTTTCAGTAAGCAATATAAATTTTAAAGGAGTTATTAAATGAAGATTCCTTCCCAGTCTCGCTTACTCTCTCCACTGATTTTAATAAACATAATCAGTGACTTATGTCATGGAAACTCACTCTGCATACGGGAACACAGAGCACCAGGTAAGTGGGAAATGCTACACATTTTAAATACTTGCTCTATTTTTAAAAGACCTAACAACTCTGATGCCAAAAATTGTATCATATAGATTTTATTACTTCACTAAAGCTATTGTAATCCAGCAAATAGTATCATGTTAATTTGTTGACAGGTGCTCAGTTTAAGTATGTAAGAACAATTTCTTGCCTTAAAAAACTGTTTAAGACATTAATCCATTTTCACTGATCACTTTTTAAGATAAAAGTACACAAGCTTGGCCAGGCGCGGTGGCTCACGCCTGTGATCCCAGCACTTTGGGAGGCCGAGACAGTCGGATCACGAGGTAAGGAGACAGAGAAACCATCCTGGCTAACATGGTGAAACCCCGTCTCTACTAAAAATACAAAAATTAGCCGGGCATGGTGGTGGGCGCCTGTAGTCCCAGCTATTAGGGAGGCTGAGGCAGGAGAATGGCGTGAACCTGGGAGGCGGAGCTTGCAGTGAGCCAAGATCACGCCACTGCACTCCAGCCTGGGCGACAGAGGGAGACTCCATCTCAAACAAACAAAAAAAAAAGTACACAAGCTCAACCATGAAAATAATAAGCTAGTGTCTATCAAATTGAGAGCTTCTCCATACATATTTAAACCTCTTATAATATGTAGGAAACAGAATTAGATAAAAGAGGATGGCCTACAGATAAGGAGGGCAAAAGACCGAACTATCAAAACGCTTTTCATGCCTCCCTTAAGAGAAAGGACATGGCCAGGTGCAGTGGCTCACTCCTGTAATCCCAACATTTTGGGAGGCCAAGGCGGGTGGATCACTTGAGGTCAGGCATTCAAGACCAGCCTGGCCAACACGGTGAAACCCTGTCTCTACTACAAATGCAAAAATTAGCTGGGCGTGGTGGCACACACCTGTAATCCCAGCTACTTGGGTGGCTAAGGCACAAGAATGGCTTCAACCCAGGAGGTGGAGGTTGCAGTGAGCTGAGATAGCGCCACTGCACTCCAGCGTGGGTGACAGAGTGAGACTCTGTCTCAAAAAAAAAAAAAAAAAAAAAGAGAGAGGACAGTGGTACAAGAGGACATAAGCCTATGAACTTTTTTTAAAATTAGGTCATATTTTTCCCTCCTGAGATCTGAGAAACACAGGATCACTGTAGAAAATAAAGAGATGTATAGGGAATGAGAGAAAAAATCATCCATAGTCACCTAAAAGCTTTCACTGTTACATATTTTCTTCAATGCATTTTATTACATAGTCATACCATATTATCTGATTTGCATCTTAAATACCTGTTGTCTTAATATGTTTAAGTTAAATTTTATTGTTTCATTTTTAAAAATTTAATGACTGTGTAATATTGTTATATAAAACATGCCACAATTTATGTAACCATTTCCTTAACATTAGACATGTGTTTTCTAATTTCACCTATTATCAAAAATGTGCGGGCACAGACTTGGAAATACTTGTTAAAACTTAAATCTGCCTGTCTATAACTTTATTTCTAGTCCCCATGTGAAAATTTCATTTCACCTCTCCATTTCATGAATGAGAAAAATATAGTGGTCACAAAGATAAAGCTTTCCTAGCAACAAGATCCCAAATTATTCTGTGGAGAGATACATATATATAAAATGTATATATCACTTTTATATATATAATTTATATGTATATATTATATATATAATTTATATGTATATATTATATATATAATTTATATGTATATATTATATATATAATTTATATGTATATATTATATATATAATTTATATGTATATATTATATATATAATTTATATGTATATATTATATGTATAATTTATATGTATATATTATATGTATAATTTATATGTATATATTATATATAATTTATATGTATATATTATATGTATAATTTATATGTATATATTATATGTATAATTTATATGTATATATTATATATAATTTATATGTATATATTATATGTATAATTTATATGTATATATTATATATATATAATTTATATGTATATATTATATATATATATATAAAAGCCTTAAAAGTCACGTTTATAAATCCATATATCAAAAAAAGTTCACAGGATCTGAACACTCCAAGTGGGAAGAAAATTTTGGCTAGAAACAGCTCCCACAGCTCCTTCCCTATAGGTGACAGGTATTTTAAGAGGAGAGTTAAGCAAAGCAACACTTTTGAACATGCTCTACTTCCTGGGAAAAAAAAAAAATCTCAGGGTCTGTGGGAGAAGCACATGCCAGCAGCCTTCAGCCCCAGATCCCTTCTGGATTAAAAACTGTAAACCGCTAAGTGCGGTGGCTAACACCTGTAATCCCAGCACTTTGGAAGGCTGAGTCAAGAGGATCATTTGAGCCCAGGAATTTGAGACCAGCCTGTGCAACATGGTGAGATCCTGTCTCTACAAAAAATAAAAAATTTAGCCAGGTACCTGTAGTCCTGTTGCTCAGGAAGCTGAAGCAGGAGAATTGCTTCACCTCAGGAGGTTGAGGCTGCAGTGAACAGAGATCATACCACTGCACTCCAGCTTAGGTGACAGAGTAAGACCCTCTCTCAGAAAAAAAAAAAGGCCAGGCACAGTGGCTCACACCTGTAATTCCAGCACTCTGGGAGGCCAAGGTGGGCAAATCACTTGAGCCCAGGAGTTTGAGACCAGCCTGAGCAACATGACAAAATCCTGTCTCCACAAAAAATACAAAACTTGGCAGGGGCATGAAGGTACATGCCTGTAGTCCCAGATTCTTGGGAGGCTGAGGTAGGAGGATGGATTGAGCTCAGGAGATAGAGGCTGCAGTGAGCTATGATCACACCACTGCACTTCAGCCAGGGAGACAAAGCAAGACCCTGTCTCAAAACAAACAAACAAAATTGTAAGCCATACAGTCATGGTGACTCCTTCTAGTCACACAACCCAGAGCCACAATTACCTGTCCTCAAAATTGACTGACTCATTTCCTCCATGTAAGAACATTCAACTATTTAAAACATTATCGTAGAGAGAGATGATTATAAATTGTGATGTTTCCTTGAAAATGCTTTCTTGGTATTCCAGGGAAATAGTATCATTTCCCCAGTGGCTAGGACTACAACAAGAAACCTTTACTCTATAGAATGTGTAACCTAAGTACCACTTTTGGTACTTTAGCAAAGTTGGACTCTCTTATATAGTACAGTCTTTATTTAGCACTATAATGAAATAACAGTTTCTCTCAAAGAGCCTCAAAATTCAATCATGTTAAACAAATCCTACTGCCAAAACAGCTTTAAACTTCTGTGCCTATAAGTAAATGCTATATTCCACAATATTTTACCAGGAAACAGGATTTCACCTAACACTTCATCAAACCTTGTTTTTGCTGATAGACTCTGACGCTCCAAGTAAGGACTGAATGCAGGCAGACAATGCTTCCTGTGATAATCCTTGGAACACTGCCCTCTGGTGGAATAAAAGAGAATAATCAGCCTGTGGCATTTGACAAAACAAAAAAAAAGGAATATCCTAGGCTGTAAGTGCAAATAACAATGCCTGCTTGCCCTCATGGTTGGATTAATTTACTACTTGTATTATTCTTCCTGGTTTCCTATTCCCATGCAACCTTTCTAAACCAACACATAGATATGTAATATGCAGTCATCCCTGGAAACATTCATGTGACCATTCAATAAATATTGATTAGCATACTAGGCACTGTGCTAGATGCTAGAAATATAGGCAGGCATGGTTCTGACCTCACGGAGCCTTCGCTCCAACAAGATCTCATGTGGGGCTCTTTTTTAAATCTCTAAAACCAACTTTAAAACAAACCCTCAGTAAATCCACTTCTAAAAATACAACAGAATTGTATTTTAGGAAATCATGTACATGGCTCTTCATTACAGTATTATTTAGAACAGCCATAAACTGGAAATAACATAAATGTTCAAAGACAGGGGACTGACAAATAAAATAGGACTAAATCTAAATTATAGAATACTGTTTATGAAATCAAAGAATGCTGAAGGAGGCGGTGAAATTCATAATGGAGTTTAAAAAAAAAAAAAACAGGTTACCAAATGGTATAGGCAGTATGATTCTTAATTTAATTCTGCCATTACTATCTTCCCAGAGGTGTGGCATGGTGGTTGGACCAGGACTCCTGTCAGTCCCCTTGCTTCACTCCCAGCCTCCATTCTACATAAATATGAGCCTATTCATTATTAGGCCACTGTCCTGGGCCCTGGTCTCCAACTTGATGTTATTCTCTTTTTACATTGCTTCTCCCTGTTCTGTGGTTTCCCACAAGGCTATTACTATAGGAAGGAGAGATTAGAGCTGCCACCTGCTGGGTCACTAACCCTGCCTAAGAAAGCTTAAGATGAGCAGCTTAGACCAAGACCCTCGCCTTCCCTTGCTCAGCCTTAACGTATTTTACACTGGATTGTCTTTCCCCACCTTTGATCGGTAAGACTAAAAGTGTTAAGATTTGAATATAAGCTAGGTGAAAAAAGAATAAGCCAGCCTAAGGCATAAGACAAAACTGGCATAGTGACCTCCTCAGGCCTACCTACTATTAAGCTAAAATCCCTGTTAAGCACCCTAAGAGGTTTTATTTCCTAGAGTCTGTGATGACAATGGGTTCTATGTGGAATATGCCTCCTGCGTATTTTCCTTGGGATCCTGACTCCACTGCAGGAAGTTGCTGAATCTCAGCCTAATATCATTATTCAATAAACCTAATGGACACCCTGGGGAGGAAGAGATGCCAAATATCCAAACCTCTCTCTGGAAGAGATCTCATCAGCTGGGCAAAAAGGCTGAGACATCTAAGTCTGTAGAGGTGATCTGGGCCTGTCCTTAAGAGTCCCAGAACTGGGCAAAAGGCACTTTTGGTAGCATTTCAAAATCTATAAGCACAAAGCCCAGCAATTATGCATTTTAAATTAAATATAGAGTAGTGTACATTCTACTGACCCAATGAAACAACTGTGCAGTCCTACAATATAAAATATCTCTGCGGTGTAAGGGTAAATGCATACTCCTTTTGAACCATATCCTTAAGAAATAGTGGCATCTAGACAATTCATTACATGACTGCTGTATTTAATCATTGCTCTAAATGCAGTCAGGGTCTTCTCTTCAGGAATGCACACATAAAACAGTCATGCAAAATTTGCCCACAATTTTGAGGTGTCCATAGACTCCCCAAAGCCCATTACTGAATTATAAGTTTCTATAGAAAGTTCAGGTTAGAAATTCCTAAATTAGCTTGACCTCAAGTTACTTCCATATCTAAAAATCATGATTTTAAGAATATCCAACAAAATACTTTATCAAGATCTTAAAATGTAAATTTAAAAATATTTCAAGTGAAAGAACGAGCAATTCACAGTAAAGATACACGTACATCTATGCATCTGTATAATTTGGAGAGACAGACAAGAGTTCTTCGAACCGTAGGATACCACATTCCATGAAGATCTGCTGGAGAAATTGTGGTCTGTGGTCTAGGATTGAGGGATTCTGTTGAACCTAAAACCCAAGTGGAAAAGAAGACACATTTCACACATGTGGATATTTGTCTTACAATAATTTACATGGCAACTATAAACTGCTTATTCTCATTAGCTATAAGTAGCTAGAGGGCACCAATTTTTTCCCACCTCAGTTTTCATCAAGAATACCCTAAGAAATCTAAATCAGTGACAGGTGAGATTTAACACAGTAACTGAGAATACACATGAATATGGACATACATACATTCCAGCTTCATATATATATGCTCAACCCAAGTTGCTTTTCCCAAATTGTGATCAATAATCTTTATGGAACATAGGAAAAGCATAATCACATTATAGAATGCAGCCATTAAAAAGGAGGCAGATCGTCTGGGCACAGTGGCTCACGCCTGTAACCCCAGCACTTTGGGATGCCGAGGCAGGCGGATCATGAGGTCAGGAGTTCAAGACCATCCTGACCAATGTGGTGAAACCTCGTCTCTACTAAAAATACAAAAATTAGTCAGGCGTGGTGGCGTGTGCCTGTAGTCCCAGCTACTCGAGAGGCTGAGGCAGGAAAATCGCTTGAACCTGGGAGCCGGAGGTTACAGTGAGCCAAGATCTCGCCACTGCACTCCAGCCTGGGCAACAAAGTGAGACTCCGTCTCAAAAAAAAAAAAAAAGGAAGCAGATCTCTATGTAGTCATGAGGAAGGAAGCAGGTGGGAGCCTGTGGAGGTGGGGGAGTAACAAGAAAACAAAGCACTTCTAAACAGGGGGATTAATCAAATTAGGTTCACCTGTCAGACTGTCTTCCACACTCTGAGTCAAATCACATACAGGCCTAGTTAGTACATCCAATTCCCAGGTGACCAGAGCGGGCTTCCCCCCACCACTGGGAAGGTCAGAAAAGGCAGACTCTGGCGACTGTGAGGAAGAGCAGGTGGGGAGTATGGTTGAGCAAAGACACCTCTGTAAGGGAAGTACAATCACTTCTGGGTCGAGGGACCAAATTTCAAATGAACCATGAAAAGTGGAGCTGGTATAATACTTTGAGACAACAGGTGATATTGAAAGATGGACTAGGCATTAGAGGACATTAGCAAACTCATTAAATTTTTAGTGCAATAATGGTTTATTGTTAAGTAAAAGATGTCGTTATTTTTTGGAGATGCTGAAATACTCAAGGGTGAAGTGTCAATGACGTCAATAATTTAAAATGGTTCATAAAATATATATTTACACACACACCCCAACACATACAAATACACACATACACATATATGTATATATATGTGTATGTGTGTGTGTGTGTGTGTGTGTATATATATATATATATAAAAATATATATAAAAAATAAAATGTTAAGTCTTGAATCCAAGTTGTGGGTATGGGTGTTCATCATTCATCTTTCTTTCAACTTTTCTGTATATTTGGAATGTTTTCAATAATAAGAAAATAGAAGTAGATCTATGATACACTGGTATTAAGTTACAGAGCAAACATTAATTCCTTTTTATAAATGGTTATAGCAGCATATTCTTACAAGAAGGCCTGTAGGTTGTATAGCACAGATTTGAGGGGAAAGGGATGAGGGAGAAAGGTTGAAGCTTAGTGCTTTCTTTCCTTTTTTTTTTTTTTTTTTTTTTTTTTTTTTTAGGTTGGACCTAGGCTCTGTCACCTAGGCTGGAGTGCAGCGGCGCAATCTCAGCCCACTGCAACCTCCACCTCCTGGGTTCAAGTGATTCTTCTGCCTCAGCCTCCTGAGTAGCTGGGATCACAGGCTCATGCCACCACACCCGGCTAATTTTCTGTACTTTTAGTAGAGACAGGGTTTCACCATGTTGGTCAGGATGGTCTTGATCTCCTGACCTAGTGATCCACCCACCTCAGCCTCCCAAAGTGCTGGGATTACAGGCATGAGCCACCACACCCAGGCTTTTTTTTTTTTTCTTTTTTTCTGAGACAGAGTCTGGCTCTGTTGCCCAGGCTGGAGTACAGTGGCACAATCTCAGCTCACTGCAACCTCCGCCTATTGGGGTCAAGCAATTCTTGTGCCTCAGCCTCCCGAGTAGCTGGGATTACAGGCATGTGCCACCACACCCAGCTAATTTTTGTATTTTTAGTAGAGATGGGGTTTTGCCATGTTAGTCAGGCTGGTCTCAAACTCCTGACCGTGGGTGATCTGCCCACCTCGGCCTCCCAAAGTGCTGGAATTACAGGTGTGAGCCACCGTGCCTGGCCAGTACTTTCACTTTACAATTCTGTAAGCTTTTTTTCCAAAAACAAGTACTACTTGTAAAATTTTTTTTTCTCTCTCTCTCACCACTCCTATTTAACTTGTATAATTTTTAAATTTCTTCCATAAGAGCTCACTTTAAACTAACATTTAATTTGTATTAAGTTTCTTAAAGAAAAAGAATAAACAAATTACATCAAAGAATATTTAGGAGATGAAATATTTATAGTTTTCCTTAGGAATATGGTATGTGCAGGATCCCTTCTTCAAAATAAAGTGCCAAAAGAATTCTCCCAAATAAAAGTTTAGTCAAACAAATGTGTTTAAGTACTTTAAAGCCAGAAGTCAGCTTGTGTTCATTTTTTCCCTTTCCTATGTAACTAATACTAGTTCACCGGGGCAAACCCTCAAAAGCCAAGTGCCCTCTGGCTGCCACTCCTGAGGAGCAGAGCAGGCCCCGGGACCAGGGCTTCTCCCACAGCCCTCCTGCACGTCTGCCTCCGTCGTCCTCCACGGGCCTCACCTCCCCCTTACTTGCTCTACATACAGAACAAAGCTGTACTTTTTGAAGGTACTGATAACTGGTCTCTTCACAAGATGGGTCCCTCCACCAATCTGCCCTGACACCTCCTTGTATGCCATGAACTTCACATCATTTAAAGCCCTCCTTTCAGAGGCTTCTCATTCTCTCACTTCCAGCTTTAGAGGTGGGAACCAGGGAACCGGGAAACCAGGAAAAGTGATTATGACTATTCTTTTTGGTTTTGCTCCACTTCCTACCTGACTCAGAGCCTTGCTTTCCACCCCAAGTTCTATCGCCATTGTGATAACACTGATAACTGCACAGATGACGAGCTGTTCATCCTTACCTTCTCAACTCCAAAGACTTTCTCTTCCATCCTCACACCCCTACCCCAGGGGCAGATTTTCTTAATACTCGCAGAATCGCATTCTTATTACTTTCCACAGACTTCCTTCTTCCTCTCAACTGTTCCACCTCTAAAGTTTTAAAACTTAGCATGCCACTTTATAACTACAATGTTCTTGAGATTTCGATCTTCTCACCTGTTTACGCAAACTACACTGCCAACCCCTCCTCCTCTGACATCAATCACACCCTCTCACTTGCCCACTTCTGACCACGCTGGCTGTTCTTTCTTGGTGGGCTTAGTTTACTCCTCTATCTCCATTTGCTCCTTAACGTCAGCACTGGCTCAGTTTCTCTCCCAAGACGTCTGCTACAGTCACTCTACAATCTGTCCTAGGATGATCTTACACAAGCCCAAAGCACCAACTACACCTCATCCTTTATTTCTAAATCAGTCTTTCTCTCTACAGCTCTACGGCAGTGCTGTTCAATGGAAATATAATGTAAATCATAAATGTGACACAGTAAAACGTCACATTTTAAAAAAGTAGAAAAGTTAGCTAGGCGTGATGGCATGAGCCTACACTCCCAGCTACTTGGGAGGCTGAGGTGGGAGGTTGGCTTTAAGCCCAGGAGGCAGAGGTTGCAGTAAGCCAATATCATGCCACTGCACTCCATCCTGCCCGACAGAACCAGACCCTGTCTCCAAAAAAAGAGTAAAAAGAGGCCAGGCACAGTGGCTCACATCTGTAATTCTAGCACTTTGGGAGGCCAAGGTGGGAGGACTGCTTGAGCCCAGGAGTTCAAGACCCATCCTGGGCAACATAGCGAGACTCCATGTCTATTAAAAAAGAAAAAAATGGCTGGGCATGGTGGCCCATGCCTGTAATCCCAGCACTTTGGGAGGCCAAAACAGGAGGATTGCTTGAGCACAGAAGTTCGAAACCAGCCTGGGCAACACAGCGAGACCTCATCTCTTTGAAAGAAAAAAAAAAAGTAAAAAGAAAGCAGGATTGGTCAGGCGCAGTGGCTCACGCCTGTAATCCCAGCACTTTAGGAGGCCAAGGCAGGCAGATCACTTGAGGTCAGGAGTTCGAGACCAGCCTGGCCAACATATAGTGAAACCCCATCTCTACTAAAAAATACAAAAATTATCTGGGCGTGCTGGTGTGCACCTGTAGTCCCAGCTACTCAGGAGGCTGAGGCAGGAGAATTGCTTGAACCCGGGAGGCGGAGGTTGCAGTGAGCTGAGACTGCACCACTGCACTCCAGCCTGGGCAACAGAGTGAGACTCTGTCTCTCAAAAAAAAAAAAGGAAGCAGGATTAATTTTAGTATATTTTATTCAATCCAATATGTCCAAAATATCATTTTAACATGTAATCAATATAAAAATTACTAATAAGATATTTTCCTTTTTTTTTTTATTTTTCTGAGATGGAGTCTCACTCTGTCGCCCAGGCTGGAGTACAGTGGCACAATCTCGGCTCATGGCAACCTCCACCTCCTGGGTTCAAGAGATTCTCCTGCCTCAGCTTCCCGAATAGCTGGGATTACAGGCGCATGCAGCCACGCCTGGCTAACTTCTGTATTTTTAGTAGAGACGGGGTTTCACCATGTTGGCCAGGCTGGTCTCGAACTCCTGACCTCAGGTGATCCGCCCACCTCAGCCTCCCAAAGTGCTAGGATTACAGGCGTGACCCACTGCACCCAGCCTGTTTTCCATTCCTTATATCATACTAAGTCTTGGAAATCTGGTGTGAATCTTACACAATTATGGCACATTCAGACTAGCCACAATTACAGCACATTCAGACTAGCCACATTTCACACGCTCAATGGCAGTGGCTACCATATTGGACAGTACAGCTTCTAGAACCATATAATACAGACCCTCTCAGTTGTTCCACATGGACCTTATTCAACCCTCACATCTGAGGTGCCATCAAATTCTACTGATTCAAACTTCTAACCATATCCCTCATCTCTGTATTTCTCTCCATCCCCCCAACACCACCCTGGTTCAAACCACCTTTATCTTTCAAATGGAAAAATATAACAACTTCCTGATCAGTCTCTACAGTTCTGCCAATAACCCATCACTGCCTCATTGTAATGCCAGTAATGGGTTAAAAAGTAGGCTTTAGTGGGGAAAGAGAAAACGCACAAGTCCGGGGTTGGCAAGACAGAAATGTACTCTCGTCTCTCCCGTGCTCATAAAGAGGTATACTAGGACCAAGAGGTATACTAGGACATGGTATGGGTTCTATTGCAGAGGAGGAAATTTCAGCCCTCTGTGGGTCCTCCCTCCTATAGGGCGAGCATGATAAAATGACTTTGTCAGATGGGCAATATCCAGCTGCTTGACAGTCTGGATTTAGTGTAGCAACTGTTTATAGAGTAGACTCAGAATACCTGATGATGCCCTTCACCTGGGGATCTTGAGGTAGCTGGGGCTCTTTAAAGCCCATGGAGTTACAGTACCCACCTTCCCAGTTGTCCCATGGGGAGCTACGCTTTAGGGCCACTCTTATAGCTGGGTGGGGAAGAGATGGCTTACTTCCCATCTAGCTTGCTGTCTAGGTCCCTAATGAGTATCCAGGGTGATTCTTGGGACAATTTTGCTCCTTGTATAACATGTACCCTAGTCCAAGCCATCCCATACAACTGTGTCAATAGTATTTTACTCCAGTCCCAGACACTCAGTATGCTTACAAAATGCAAATCTGATGGTCCAGTCACCATGATACACTATGCCAGCTAGAAGTCCAAAGGCCATGAGACTATCACATGACATCTATCCCTATCTGGCCTATTTTACCTGCTCCTTCCCCACATACAACCTGGGCCCAAACATACCAAACCACTTGAATTATGCAAAATAGCCATGGTTTTCCATTCCTGCATGCCTTTCTACATTCTATTCTATCTATCTTAAACAAACTTACTTCACCTGGCTCTCTCATACTCTTCATAAACACATTATAGCTCTCAGACACCACACCCCACACTGAGCCCACCTTCCCACACTCAGAGCTCATCTCCCTTCGCAATTTCCATGCCCCTCATCCATGGTCCAAGGGTACCCTGTGCAAACCATTAGCATCTCACTCACCACTGAATTCTGTCTGTGGCTTGGCAATCTCCCCCCATAAAGTGTGGGCTCCTCAAAGGCACAAGTTGTTTTTCATGTCTGGGACAGGACAAGTCCTCAGTAAAGGTTTGTTAACCCAAATGAATAAATGCTGGCAGTTAAGACATCATAACATACCAGATTTTGTCAGACTGTTAGACTCTCCTTCTTCTAAGTGAACATCTGAAAATGAAGCTTCTGAAGGTACCTTCTTCTGTTCATCTTTCAAACTCTGTGCAATCTGCTGTATAAAGAAATCAGAAGGAATGTTACCGTTTTCAGCAGTGTTTGGCAACATGAACATGTTCTTTATACAAAGTACATATATATATATTTTCAACTTGACATTTGGAAACTATTCAGATTTAAGACTGGATACATTCTGAATATTAGAAATGTTTTTGTTCAAGTAACTGGCCAATCCAAATAACAGGTTTTTGCTTTATGTGATAATAGCTACAGTATGCTATTTTTGAAACAGATATTTTTTAAAAATTAGCATGGACTCACTGCCTAAAGAATATCATGCAGTATACAAAGGAGACACCAACTACTAAATTAGTAATGAAAATCCCACTAATTTGCATTAATTATAAAGGTGGAAATACACAGAAATGAAGACCTAACAGTCATTTAGTTACTGTCAAAAAGAATGGCCAGTCATAAAAATGAGACAATGGACTTTGGGAATTCCGGGGCAAAGACTGGGAGGCAGGTAAGGCATAAAAGACTCCATATTGGGTACAGTGTACACTGTTTGGGTGACAGGTGCACTAAAGTCTCAGAAATCACCACTAAACAACTTATCCATGTAACCAAAAATCACCTGTACCCAAAAAACTATTGAAATTAAAAAAAAAAATTAATAGCCAGAGAATTGATTAGGAAACAGACTCCCTACCACATAGGCCAGTCCACTCATTCCACGTGCAGAAATTGGAAAGTACAGCTAATTCCTAAACGGCATGCAGATGTCACAGCCAGACCACTCTTATACCCCAGTCCCTCACCAAAAGAAAATCACAGTAAGCATATTTACTGCAAGTGGTTACCCTTAAGCCAAAAGGTCTACTACACAAGGGAGCATCCAGGATACAGGCCATGTAATGACTGAATAAACATACCAAATATACCACTAAATTACACTGGGAAGGGAGCATATAGAAAACTTTATCACCTAACATCCTATCAGACACAGCAATTAAAACAGGCATTCTTATCTATAATACAAAAACTGATACTCCTAATGAAGGCCAGGACGGGAGGAAAAGGAGGGAGCACCATTCACTAGATCAGGCTGGGAAACAGATCTAGTCTTCATCATACCTGCTTTGTGGCCCTCAAAGTCAAGGCAGCTCCTGCAAATGGACCACCCATCTGCTCCCTGTTGTTATCCGCAATACCAAGACACATAAAGATAATTCCAGCTATGGACCACAGAAAAGAAACAGCCCCCACTGCCTGCCCTACAAGGGGATCTGATCCCTGCAAGGTTGATTCTGTATATTATTTAAAAAGTAACAACATATAAATAATTAATATAACTAGCCAAAATGCAGTAAGTTTAAATAGAAGTCAGAGGAAGAGATGTAAGTTTAGGAGAACATCCTCAAAACAGGTAAGAACATATTTCCAGCCTGTTAACTTTAAAACGAACATACCTATTATTACATATTTATCCACCTAGGCATTGAAATGAATTAGGTTAAGTCAAAATGCTGGTGAGGATTTGGAGCAACAGGAATGATCT
Source organism: Homo sapiens (assembly GCF_000001405.40). Taxonomy (NCBI): domain Eukaryota; kingdom Metazoa; phylum Chordata; class Mammalia; order Primates; family Hominidae; genus Homo; species Homo sapiens. The sequence goes on along the minus strand of NC_000013.11, from coordinate 45,501,737 downwards.
AGTACACACACATATTTCTATGCCAGCACCTGAGAGAGCTTAAAAGCAACAATACCCCTGTAGCAACGAGCACACCTAATGCCCAGATCTCTTTCTAATACAATCCTTCAATAAAGGAACCAGCACTCCTTGAAGAAATGGTCGATTCTAGGAGAGAAGCAGGAAATATACTGATGCACCTGAAGTTCTTATAGTGCCAGGAAATAAGAAAGTTCTCAAAATAAAAAATCTACATAAATGAGTATGTCAAAAGGACATAGGAGCCAACTGAAAGAGCTCCCAGTGGTGAAAGCTGGAGCAGCAAAATAAAGTACCAGTGAACTATAACCCAAAGTATGAATAAATATCCGTTAAGTCCACACTGACATCAGTAAGTGATTGAATCAACAAATTGGAAAAAGAGACCAAGTCCACACTGACATCAGTAAGTGATTGAATCAACAAACTGGAAAAAGAGACCAATCTCCCTTACAGAGAAGTTCCAAGTATTTACATAGATACTTTGCCCTCAAAAAAGGTAGAGCACAACCCACTCCTTGAGCATGGGTTACACATGGGACTTCCTTCCAAAGAGTACAGTGTGGAAAGTGGGGAAGAGGAGTAACTGCACGGTGGTGAAACCTGACAACACTACTTCAGCCAGATGGTCAAGTTCAATATCAACAGTGAACATTCATGTTGAAAGGCTGTACCCTTAATATGATGTAATAACAATGGCATTTTACACCACTGTGGTTTTCCTCCCCAAAACCCAAAACACTAGTCTAATCATAAGGATAACATCAGACGAATTCCAACAAAGGGGCATTGTATAAAAAGCTTGAAATACTCATGACAACACTATAAACCAGTCCTCAACACTGCTAAGTCATCGAAAACAAGAAAAGTCTGAAAAACTGTCACAGACAAAAGGAGCCTAAAAAGACATAAAAACTAAGTGCAACGTGGTGTTGTAAATGGGATCCTGGAATAGAAAAAGACATGAAAAACACTAAGAAAATCTGAATAAACTATGGACCTTAGTAAATAAATACCAGTGACTCACTACTGGTTCATTAATTGTGGCAAATGTATCATACCAACAGAAGATCTTGGTAATAGGAGCAACTGGGTGCAGGGTATATAAAAACTCTGTACCACCTTCTCAATTTTTCTGTAAATCTCAAACTATCTTACAATACAAAGTCTACTTTAAAAATAAAAATAAAAGAAATTAGGACATTTGACATCCAAGAAAAGCAGTCTAAATAGAAACAGGATAGTATCTGAGCCACATCTGACAACTTTAACAACACAGATTGGCACTTTGTGACAAAAGATATGCTGATGAATACAGGATACACTTAGAAAGAAATTATCTTTAATCTATTTTCCACAGATATTTAGGTCTACAGCACTCCTTATATAAACTAATTAAGCAAGATTAGTGTTTAGACCTGGCAAAAATTAGATTACATTTTTAAAAAATTTAATAGCTTACAGATTTCTCAAGATTATATTTTTTTAAAACACGTTAGAAACATGATGACTTAGCAAAATTATTTCAAGGGACATTTTTTAAATTCACCAGCACCAAAACTGCCTTTGGAATTTTTCAAATAAAATAATCAGGCCTCTTTTTTATATATATATATATATATATACACACACACACACACACACACACACACTCACACACACACACACACACACACACATACATATATATATATTTTTTTTTAAGGCAGTGTCTCACTCTGTGACCCAGGCTGGAGTACAGTGGCACAATGACAGCTCACCCCAGCCTCCATCTCCCGGGCTCAGGTGATCCTCCCACCTCTGCCTCCCGAGTAGCTAGGACTACAGCCGCCACCATGCCTGCCTCATTTTTGTATTTTTTGTAGAGATGGGGTTTCACTGTGTTGTGCAGGCTGGTCTTGAACTACTGGGCTCAAGTGATTCGCCCACCTTGGCCTCCCACAGTGCTAGTATTACAGGCGCAAGCCACCGTGCCTGGCCAAGACTATTTTTAAAAAGTCAAATATTCTGTTTTTCAATATTTCAAGGGTTAAATAAATTACAACAGCCACTGTCTCTCATATGACTACCAGCATTAAGTGCTTTCTGGGTCATTATCTTTACTCTTACAACAATACTCCAAGGTCAGTATTATGCCTGTTTTACAAATAATTAAACATACTAATAAAAAATAAGAAAGAGCTACTAACTGGGCTGGGATTTGAACCCAGGTCTATCTCACTCTTACATTTCCCCCTATGCCATGCAAATGGCAAACTTACATGGGCAAAAATCTCTAAAGAGATTTGAAATCTGCAGATCTATATTTAGAATCAAACGTCTGACAGCAATCTCATTGTATATCTTAGTAGGATATATTCTAAGAACAAAAGTAGTATAAAAATCTTGAATTAAGTTTGCTATTAATCATGGCATTAGTGTTATAATTCTGAAACTATTTGTGTATGTTGTAACTTGAAGCAAATGAGTAAATACATTAGAGGTGCTAGGAGCCAGGGTTTCTTCTGTGAGACTGGAAACATGAATACGAGATATGGGAAAAGGAAGAACCCTGTGGAACTGGATCTGAACTGGAGATTTCAGTATGAACTCATGATATTTTAAAATGTATATTTTCTAGCTCTTTAAAGAGGGCTAGAAGTAATCCACCACTAGAAATGAGCACACCTAATACTCAGATCTTGGTTTCTAAATACCACCCTCTTTCCCCTTAAGGAACCAAGGGTTCCTGGAGAAAGAGCTGACCGTAGGTCTGGAGCAAGGAATGTGAAACATTCCTGGAGCAAGGAAAAGGTGAACGCCTGTATCATCTTGTGCAAGAAAACAAAGGACTCTAGATTGACCAAGAAAAAAAGAAAGAAGATTCAAATTATTAGAATCATATGGCATTGCAAGGAGCCCAAAATAGCCAAAACAATTTGAAAAAAAAAAAAAAAGAACAAAATAGCAAAACTGCTTCCCAAGTACAAAATTTATTACAAAACAACTGTAATCCAGACAGTCTGGTGCTAGCACAGGATAAGACATAAAGATGAATGGAATAAACTTGAGAGTCCAAAAACAAAACAAAACAAAACAAAAAAACCATTAATCTATGGTCAACTGATTTTCAACAAGGGTGCCAAGACCATCCAATAGACAAATAATAGCCTTTTCAATAAATGATGCTGGAACAACTGGATAGCCACATGCAGAAGAATGAAACTGGACCCCTACTTCACATCAAGAAATTGTTTCACATACAATTTCTTGAAATCGCTTGAACCCGGGAGGCAGAAGTTGCAGTAAGCCAAGATGGCGCCACTGCACTCCAGCCTGGGTGAAAAGAGTGAAACTATGTCTCAAAAAAAAAAAAAAAAAAAAGACATCTGAAGGACAAATGGGGAAATTTCAATATGGACTATATATAAATAATATTATTGAATTAATGTTAATTTCCTTAAATACAAAAATGATACTGTGGTTATATGAACAATTGTCTTTATTCTTACGAGAATAAGAACTGAAGTACTTAGGAATGAGGAGTCATGATGTCTGCAACTTTCAAATGGCTCAGCCACACACACACACAAAGAGATAAAGTAAATGGGATGAAATATTAACAACTGGTGAATCTGAAAAATAAGTTCTAGATACTTGATGATATTAAGGAACTACACTGTTTTTAGGTGTGATAATTATATTATGGTTGTGTTAAAAATAAAAATGCCCTTAACTTTTTAGAGTTACCTACTGAAAGTTTCTTTTTAATTCTGTTATTGTTGTTTTGCTTATTTAACCTCTTGACTTGATATCTTTACTCATTGGTTTCTGCTACTTAGAAGGAGTAACCCAGAATCTATTAAACTTCAGGAGTGTAAAGTTATATTCCGTCCTGCTTAGCCTTGAGTGGTCATACTTTGTTGTTGTTGTTGTTGTTGTTGTTGTTGTTGTTGAGACAGGGTCTGGCTCTGTCACCCAGGCTGGAGTGCAATGGCGTGATCTCGGCTCCCTGAAACCTCCACCTCCCGGGCTCAAGTAATCTTCCCATCTCAACCTCCTGAGTAGCTGGGATCACAGGAGCACACCATCACACCTGGTGAATTTTTGTATTTTTAGTAGAGATGGGGTTTCTTGCCATGTTGCCCAGGCTGGTCTTGAACTCCTGAGATTAAGTGATCCTCCCGCCTCGGCCTCTCAAAGTGCTGTGATTACAGGCATGAGCCACCATTCCCAGCCTGAAGTATTTACTAATTGAAATCATGTTTGGAATTTGCTTTAAAATAATTAATGGGGGTGAAAGGGAGTACAAAAAGTCTAGCCATGTTGAAGCTGAGGTAATGGTACCTAAGAGTTCATCATATTACAGTTTCTACTTTTGCTTATATTTGAAAATTTCCATTTAAGAAGTTCTAATTCTGTTTCAGCACTAATATCTTAGGCATTATTTAAAGTCTGTCCAGAACTCAAAGAAAATGAAGACATATATGGAACTGAAAGATCAGGAAGATAAACCCAAGTCTTCAAACCATAAACTGGACACTTGTACGGTATAATTTTGAGGAGACGGCCTCCAGGGTTTTTATGAGAGAGCATGACACACGGTTACATCATCACCATCAACCTGGTGGCTTCTACATTATCAACCTTCTTCTATTTCTAAAGAGAAATCACAGGGATCACTAACTCAATTTTAAAATTGAGAACGTGTATTTCCTGCCAATGGGAAGAGAATGGAATAGAATGTTTATAAAACATAACTTGAAGGGGCCGGGTGCGGTGGCTCACGCCAGTAATCCCAGCACCTTGGGAGGCCGAGGCGGGCGGATCACGAGGTCAGGGGATTGAGACCATCCTGGCTAACACGGTGAAACCCCATCTCTACTAAAAATATAAAAAATTAGCCGGGTGTGGTGGCGGGCGCCTGTAGTCCCAGCTTCTCGGGAGGCTGAGGCAGGAGAATGGCGCGAACCCGTGAGGCAGAAGTTGCAGTGAGCCGAGATCACACCACTGTACTCCAGCCTGGGCGACAGAGCAAGACTCCATCTCAAAAAAACAAAAAAAACAAAAAAACATAACTTGAAGGAAAGACAACCTAACAAACTATTTTTAATTCTTTTAAATTTTATCTCCTTTAATTTTTATAGCAAACTTATCTTGATTTTACATTTTGAGGAAGAATTAAAAAGAAAAATCCCATTTTAACTAGTAAAAAACATCTAGGCTAGGCACAGTGGCTCACGCCTGTAATCCCAGCACTTGGGAGGCCGAGGCAGGTGGATCACTTGAGCTCAGGAGTTCGAGACCAGCCTGGGCAACAAGGGGAAACCCTGTCTCTATTTTAATATATAAATTTTTAAAAAAATAATAAATAAAACATCTAAAAGCTGTGTGGGGGCAGACGGGAGATCAAGTAAGGAGATCCTACCTCCATCATGACTAACTTATCGGGATATGCCAGATCTCCAGGAGCTGGTTTATAGCCCGTGATGTCCGTCTGAATATAGATGTGGGTTCGGTAGACGAGCCGCTCCTGTACATCTTCTAACATCTGCTTGACTCCAGCTGCAAATGCCCCCAGTTGCTCAGCTGATAAAAAAGTGCAATCATCCATTCTTTTAGATTTAGAAAAACACTTTCTTTTAAACAAGCAAAGATGTTACTAAATTGTTCAGAAACAGTATGAACCACTTTTGCTTCAGAGGCTGTGATTGTATTCTATTTCAGCATGACTCAATGAGCTTGGAAAAGTTTAATAAATGTCTTTCAATTTCCTCAACTTTAAAACTGGGCAGTACTCTGTTTAATTATATTATTAATATGAATAATAAAATCTGAATTTTAAGAGTGCTTTGCTCTTTAAAAGTTATTTCATATAGCTTCAGACCAAGCCTAAGAAATTGCTAAGGTAGCTTATTAACTGGGCTATCATCATCCCCATTTTACAAATAAATTGAGTACCACAGATATTGAATGACTTGTTAACATTTTCACAGAGAAAAGTAAAAAGTAAAATAAAGTATGAGTTTACTTAGTATTTCTTTATTTCTAAGATGCCATCAGCAAGGCGCAGTGGCTCACACCTATAATCCCAGCATTTTGGGAGGCTGAGGCAGGCAGATCACTGGAGCCCAGGAGTTCAAGATCAGCCAACCTGAGCAACATGGCAAAACTCCATCTCCATAAAAATACAAAAAATTAGCCAGGCGTGGTGGTGTGCATCTGTAATCTCACCTACTTGGGAGGCTGAGCTGGGAATCACCTGAGCCCGGGAAGTTGAGGCTGCAGTGAGCTGTGATCATGCCACTGCACTCCAGCCTGGGCAATAGAGTAAGACCCTGTCTCAAAAATAATAAATAAATAAAAAAGATGCCATCAATGTTAAGACACACTAGTAATCCTGTAACAGCTTTCCAAAAGACAGGGGGTTAAAGATAACACATAATCACATTAGGCGAGGCATGGTGGCTCATGCCTGTAATCCCAGCACTTTGGGAGGCGCAGATAGGATGATCACTTGAGTCCAGGAGTTCAAGCCCAGCCTAGGCAACACAGTGAGACCCTATCTCTATTTAAAAAAAAAAAAAAAAAAAAAGAGGCCAGGCGTGGTGGCTCATGGCTGTAATCCCAGCACTTTGGGAGGCCGAGGCGGGCAGATCATGAGGTCAAGAGATCGAGACCATCCTGGCCAACACGGTGAAACCCCATCTCTACTAAAAATACAAAAATTAGTTGGGCATGGTGGTGCATACCTGTAGTCCCAGCTACTCGGGAGGCTGAGGCAGGAGAATCACTTGAACCCGGCAAGCAGAGGCTGCAGTGAGCCGAGATCGCGCCACTGCACAGAGCGAGACTCCGTCTCAAAAAAAAAAAAAAGAAAAGAGAAAAAAAGAAAAAAAAAATCACATTAATTTTGGCCAGGTACAGTGGCCCACACCTGTAATCCCAGCACTTTGGGAGGCCAAGGAGGGCAGACTGCTTGAGTCCAGGAGCTCAAGACCGGCCTGGGCAACATGGCAAAACCCCCTCTCTACAAAAGAAATATAAAAATAGCTGGGCATGGTGGCATGCACCTGTAGTCTCAGCTCCTCAAGAGACTGAGGTGGGAGATCACTTGACCCCGGGAGGCAGAGGTTGTAGTGAGCCGAGATGGTGCCACTGCACTCCAGCCTGGATGACAAGAGTGAGACCCCCAACTCAAAAACCAAAACAAAACAAAAAAACCATATGAATTTTAAAATCAGAAGCAATAAAAAATTTAGAAGCAGTAAAATGTGAGAAAATGAATGAGTTAAATGCAATTGAGTAACTTTGGAAGAGTAACAAATTAGTGTCTCAATGAAAGCCAAACTGAGGACAATAAATTCTGTGAGTAGAATAATTACTTGAAAGGTTGTTTTTTTTTTTTTTTTTTTAAGACAGAGTCTTGCTGTTGTTGCCTGGGCTGGGGTGTAATGGCGCAATCTCGGCTCACTGCAACCTCCCCCTCCCAGGTTCCAGCAATTCTCCTGCCTAAGCCTCCCGAGTAGTTGAGATTATAGGCGCCTGCCACCAGGCCTGGCTAATTTTTGTATTTTTAGTAGAGACGGGGTTTCACCATGTTGGCCAGGCTGTTCTTGAACTCCTGACCTCAGGTGATCCACCCACCTCGGCTTCCCAAAGTGCTGGGATTACAGGCATGAGCCACCATGCCCGGCCTAAAGGGTATTTTTTAAAGGTACCTAGGTACTATTAGGAAAATCATGTTCTCTATGACAATCAAATCAAATACTGAAGAATGTATCAGATGGACAAAGTAGAGCTATTCCAGAGAACCGCTTTTCTTTATTTGTAATTTCAAAACAGATCAACTATTATTATGAATATACACAAAACAATTCCTGTTTTTTAATCAAAAGTATACAATATATTCAATTATTTATTTATGTATTTTGTATTCTGGTAACAGTGTGCTAGAAATGCCTAACCCAAAAGTAACGATGTGTTCTATCTGGATTCCAGATGCCAGAAAGAAAACTGACTATAATTATTTTATTACTAATTTTACCCAGATTTTAAGATTCTTTCCCTATCTGATTGTGTCTTTAGTGACAGAATAAGGTGCAACTTCATTCAAGAAGGGGTAAGGCATCAAGCCAAGCTTCAAAAATATTAAATTTATCTATTTAGTGGGGTGAGGGAAGAAGCACTTATTTTTTTTTCAAATTCATTGAGCCAGTGATATAACTTAAAATGATCATTTCTACTCATTTACCATTGTTCTGCACATGATCTTCAAGCACCTCATTTTTAAGAATCCCACAAAGTTCCGACAGAGTCTCTAAGTGAATAACATGAATGATCAATGGCCTGAAGACATCATACAATGACACACACAGTTTCTCCAAAAGCTCACTAAAATGAAAGAATAAAAATGTCTATTAGTAGTAGTTTTTTCAGGATTTTGTAATAATTTAGAAATCCTCATTGATTTCTTCCAGTCAATAAGAACAATAAGTATCTACTGGAAAATAGTATCTGAGGACATTATAGAATGATAAGGGAAAAGCTGAAAGTAATTCTATAAACAGTTTTTGCTTTAAAAGCTCAGAATCAAGCAATCCACAGCAGTCAATTCAAAGTAGCTGCCCCCAAACAAAAGTCAACCTATTACAACTTTTATCTATTTCAGCAATAATTTTCTATATGTCCTTTCAAAAACAATAAAAAGTATTTCAGAGGACTTAATTACCTTTTATATTCTACTTCACTATCAATCAAATGGTAACTTTTTCCCCGAGGAAAGACAAGTTTAAAATTATTGAATACTTATAGATTTAGATAAACAAAATTCAAAGTACTTTGGTCATACGCCAAGTATTTTGAGAAATTTTAAACATTTAAAAAGAAAAACTTAAGTTGTCTATATGCTTCATACTGTCAATGGTACTCTTCTACACAGAATTTCATCAAAAGTGATCACTTCAACTAAAACCATAAAATACTTTTCTCTTCCTCATTACAAGAGTCATGAGCTTGGAATGTTTGTAAGAGTCAAAAGAGTGAACATTAAGAAACCAAAAGTGACTAACAGTGGATCTGAAAGACATTTTGAGAAAAATAAAGAAAAGGTTATTAAATAGTATCTGTATTTTTAAATCTTTCATTAGTTAGAATCATAGAATTTTTTAACTAGAAGGAATTATTGTACTTAGTGGAGATAAAGGGATCTAGATCCCGAGGCTACAGAATTCTGTATAGATTTCTTCCTATCACACCATAATATCTAAATAATTACATTACAAACAATACAAAAGCATGTTAAGTTGCACATTTAAGAAAATAACTTTTAAGAAAATATCTGTCCCACCCAACAATATTCTGTTCACAGACACAAACAAGTTAAAACATTCTCCAGTTAATGATAGAATACTCCTATAATATACTGATTCATTATGGTCATTAGCAAGTTAAATTTTATGAACAAGAGTTAGATTCCATGTCCACCTACTCTAATTTTGATGTTGGTTTTGTGAAAAATTCATTGTAAAGTTGGTGTTCATCCTGGCAGACATGAACCATGAAGGCACAGCCACTACGAACCTGCAGTAAACAAACACACACCACCTACAGTTAAAGACACACAACATTTCTGATGTTTATGAAATAAAGCCTACACTTTATGTGCAGAGATAACACATACACACTCTTAAAACAACTTACTGAAGAACGGAAAATGGTTGGTTTTCGATAGATGACTGCATAATGAGATTATAGGTGACTTTTAGTTTCTTAATGCTTTAGTTTCTAAACTTCTCATAATAAACACAAATTACTTTTCTAGTTCAAAAGCATTTCAAAAAAGAGCGCTTATGCATTTTTTATAGTAAAAAAATTTATAGTATGAATAAAATTACACTAAACAAAAAAGCACTTCTGCAGCAAAAGCTAAATTGTTAATATAAATCTACAAACTTTGAAATCTCATTTTTCAAGAACAATATTTATTTGTGAATCTTCTTATCTCAAAAAATAAGTAAAAAATGAGAATATTTTGCAAAGGTGAATAAGGCTAATTACCAAACTAGATTTGTCATAATGAAAAACATGCTTTTTCAGTTAACTATGGGCCCCAAATCTTATTTAACCAGGTATAGTTTCTAGGATATCAACATAACTCAAGAGGAAGATTTAACATTAAACCAAAACAAGTAGAAACTTACCAAGGCACAGTGATCTCTATTATTTTGGCTGGTTAACTCTGCAACAGTGCAAGCAATACTAGGGCCCAAAAGGAGCTCCCGCTGATCAAGGTAACACTGGTGGATATCATTTAGCAGTTGTTGGTATCTGACAGAAAGCAAATGAGATTAAACTTTTCATTTCAGATATGTAAACTAAATTTCATCTTAAATCCCAGTGTAGGTTGCCAAACCTCTTTTAAAGCTATAACGGTCACCTCTCATTTGCCCACATTAACTATTTAATACTAGAAATACAGACACAAAACAAAAGCAAACCATAATGAACTGTGATGCCATAAGCTTTATCTTTTAAAGAAAGCTTTCTTTTCCAAGTATAGTGACCCCACATCTGCCCAAATAAGAAGCAAATCCTAGTATGGGAAAAACTGCTGTCATGTAAACTGGCTAAGTCTGTGACCTTGCTCCCCAAAATAAGTGGTATGTTACAAGAACAAGCTGGAAGGCAATTGCTCATAAAATATCAGAGATCCAGATTTGGAAAAACAGTACTACAAGACAAAGGTTCATGTGGAAATCAGATTAACTTCTAGGTACTCACTCAGGTATTTTTTCAGACCGCAGTTCTATTTGTTCAATAAGAGTCTGCAAAGTAAGAAAAAATGCATCAAAAAACCATCTCTGTTATATTATCCATTACTTTCTGATTATAATATTAATTGTATCACATATTCAGAAAAACTGTAAATATAAGAAAGTTAAAAATCATAAAAATCACTTATACCAAAAATTCACCACAGCATTTCAGTATATTTTCTTTCAGTTTTTTTATATCCACAGTTCCTATATTTTTCTTTTTAAGTAAAACTGTAATTATACTACATATTCTGCTTTATAATCTGTTTTTTAAAAATTAACATTATTTCATAAACATTTTCCTATGATTAAATACTTTTCAATACTAGATAAAAATGTATAGAAGGCCTTAGCATAGTACCTGGTACCTAGTCAACACTCAATGAATCATTGTAAGCATGATTTAAAGCATTATGCTAAAAGGCTACATAATATCCCATTTCTACTGATATCTAGGTTGTTTCTGAAGAATCAGAGCCCATTTGTGAAGAGCCTTGAGTGAAACTAGAGGGTTCCAGCACCCGCTCCTTAGTAGCTGTTTGAGCCCAGGCAAGCTGGTTCACTTCTGAGATTCCACTCCCTACTGTATAAAACTGGTGTAATAACACCTACCTCCCAGGTGGGGACCCCAAAACACCAGGTCAAAAGAGGTATGTATTTTTATGGGTTTTTGGTCTATTCTTCTAAAATGTTTTTTAGAAAATAATCCAATTACATTCCTATCAGCAGTACTGCCTGTCTCATAAATCCTCAGAAGCACTGACCTTAATCTGCCAATTTATGACAGACAAAAGTCACCCAGCCTTAACTTGCATATAGTTTCCACTAAGTGAATATATTCACTTAGAATATATTATTTTGGTAATGTTATAGAGTAAAAAGCTTACTATTTTTTCAAATATTTAGCAAATCTTCCCAATACCGTGTAGAAAACTCCAGTCCTTCCTATTTGGGATGTTTCTTAATATATTAAGTACCACAACTTTCCATTCCAATCTGTCAGTGAATGCTTGAATCAATGACACTGTATTTTTCAAAATTTTCTTCTTTAGTCTTGCCTATTTACCAGATCAAGTTTAGAATCATGCAAAAAAAAAAAAAAAATCCATTGGAATTTTTGCTAGGAGTACATTCTAACCAACAAATTACTCTGGGAGAAAGTGACATTTTAAAAATTAAATCACCCCAACCAGGAAGAAGATGGGCTTACCATTTACTCAGTCTTTTATAATTTTCTGTCTAGTTTTGTCATTTTCTTCATCCTTATGTTTGTTAAGGTTACTGCTAGGTAAGTATTTTATGCTTTTTGTCACTGATATAAATGGGACCCCATCACATATATTAATTTGTTACTAATGGTATGTAGGAAAGCCACTGATAACTATATAATCATTTTATAATTACCCACCACACTGAGCCCTCTTATCTATACCTTTTCTTTTCTAATCAAATTTTTATCATTAGTATTTGGCTAATAAGCAAAAGCAATCAATCAGGCACAATCTAAATCTTCATGCCATAAACTGACATCCAGTTAGACATCTGTTAGACATCTAGGTTGTATACATATTCCACATATATATTCTATAAACAAAACTAAGTTTCTCCCATTTCAAAAAAAAAATTCCTTTAAACTGGTTGGCTTTTTTTTTTTTTTTTTTGAGGCTGGGTCTCACTTTGTCAAAAAAAATTCCTTTCAACTGGCTGGCTCTTTTTTTTTTTTTTTTTTTTTTTTTTGAAACAGAGTCTCACTTTGTCACCCAGGCTGGAGTGCAGTGGTGCTATCTTGGCTCACTGCATCCTTGACTTCCTGGGTTCAAGCAGTCCTCCCACCTCAGCCTCCCAAGTAGCCGGACCACAGGTGCACACCACCGTGTCCAGCTAATTTTTGTAATTTTGGTACAGACAGGGTTTCGCCATGTTGCCCAGGCTGGTCTCAAACTCCTAAACTCAAGGGATCCGCCCTCCTTGACCTCCCAATGTACTAGGATTGCAGGTGTGAGCCACTGCACCCAGCCATCAATTGGCTGACTTTCAAGACAGAAACAAGCAAGGAAGTGAAGTCAGTAAGCAAAAGTAGATTATTATTTCTAGAAACTTCACAATGAGTAGAAAGAATATATATGCACCAGCTTCAATTAAATGTATCTCAGATATGTTATAAAATATAACATATATTGATCTTTGCCCCCTCCATGCTATCAGTTAATCCAAATAAATACATCATGGACTCCTGCTACGTAGAATGAATAAGGCACATACCCAACCTCATGAAATATCCTACCAATGCATTAATTCACCCCCTAATCTCACCTGGATTACTGCATAATCTTCCTTAGTAATGAGGCCTCCCTGTCTCAAATCTCTCTTCACCATAATCCATTTTTTATATTGCATCCTTAATCTTTTTTATTAATACATAATTGTACATATTTATGGGGTACATGTGATATTTTGATACATGGATACAATGTGTTATGATCAAATCAGAGTGTTTAGAGTATCCACCACCTCAAACATGTATTATTTCTTTGTGCTGGGAAAATTTCAAATCTTCCCTCTTAGCTATTTTGAAATATACAATAAATTGTTAACTACAGTCATCCTACTACACTACTGAACACTAGAACTTATTTCTACTATTAAACTGTACATTTATACCCATTAACCAACCTCTCCACCTCCCCTCCACCCAACCCACCCCAGCCTCTGGTATCTATCATTCTACTCTCTACCTCCACAAGACCAACTTTTTTAGTTCCCACATACGAGTGAAAACATACAATATTTGTCTTTCTGTATCTGGCTTATTTTACTAACTTAATGACCTCTAGTTCCATTCACGTTGCTGCAAATGACAGGATTTCATTTTTTGTTACAGCTGAATAGTATCTTATTGTTTATATATACCACATTTTCTTTATCCATTCATCCACTGATTGACACTTAGGTTGATTCCATATCTTTACTATTGCGAATAGTGCTGCAATCAACACAGGTATCCCTTTGATATACTGATTTCCTTGCCTTTGGATAAATACCCAGTAGAGGTATTGCTGGATGGTATGACAGCTCTATTTTTAGTTTTTTGAGAAATCTCCATACTGTTTTCCATAACAGCTGTACTAATTTACATTCCCATCAACAGTGTATAAGAATTTCCTTTTGTCTGCATCCTCACCAGCATTTGTTTTATGTCTTCTTGATAACAGCCATTCTAACTGGGGTGAGATGACATCTCACTGTGGTTTTGATTTACATTTCCCTGCTGATTAGTGATGTTGAACATTTTTTCATATACCTGCTGGCCATCTGTATAGTCTCCTTTTGAGAAATGTCTACTCAGTCTCTTTGCCTACTTTTTAATGGGATTATTTGGGGCCTTCTTCTGTTAAGTTCCTTGTATATTCTGAATATTAGTCCCTTGTCAGATGAATAGTTGTAAATGTTTTCTATCATTCTACAGGTTGTCTCTTCACTCTGGTAATTGTTTTCCTTTGTTGGGCAGAAGATTTTAAGATTATTATAGTCCCATTTGTCTATTTTTGTTTTTGTTGCCTATGCTTTTGAAGTTTTAGCCATAAAATCTTGGCCTAGACCAATGTCCTAAAACATTTCCCCTATGTTTTCTTCTAGTAGTTTTATAGTTTCAGATCTTCAGTCTGTAATCCATTTTGTTTTGATTTTTGTATACAGTGAGAGACAGAGGTCTAGTTTCATTTTTCTGCATATGAATATCTAGTTTTCCCAGCAATCATCCTTTCCCCACAAAATGTTCTTGGTGCTTTTATCAAAAATCAGTTGGCTGAAAATGCATGCATTTATTTCTGAGCTCTCTATTCTGTTCCATTGGTTTACATGTCTGTTTGGCAAATCTGACCAAATAACTCCTCTGTTTAAGATACCACTTCATTGGTTCTCTACTTTTCCTAAATTAGCACGACATGTAACATCCCTCGTGAGAGAGTCTTTGTAGTATAAAGATCTCTCCCAAAATGTATGTCTTTTATGTCTCCTACAAACTTCCCTATATGTGCTGTTCTCTCTTTATCAAAACACCTTATTGGTCCCTTCAAGACCACCAGCCAAGCTTTTAAAACCCGTCTATCACCTTCATCTAGAAACCATCCCTGAGCATCACAGGAAAAGCTAGATGCTTCCTGCTCTGTGGACTTAAAGAACCTAGACACAACACTAAGATACACTGCTATAATGTGGAAGGACAATGTCAACCTTTCATTCAAGTTCACTTCCTCGGTATAAACAAAGAGCCTAACATACAACAGTACTTCAAAAGGGCAGATGAACAAATTTCATAGCAATGTCCTAGTTATGTCAATAGACTTACTCTGACTTTGGGGGCAGCAGCTCGAAATTTCACATAAAATAATGTGAAGGCATTGTCTGCATTAGGTACAGATGAAGGATCCTAAAGAAACATGGGGGAGGATAAGGAAGGAAGATAATTAGCAAACAAATAATTCAGAAAACCCAACAGCAACCATTTCCTATGGCTACTGCTTGGCCTGCATACCAATCAAAGCTTAGGGAGAGTCTCCCTCTCCCTCTCCCTCTCCCTCTCCCGTCTCCCGTCTCCCGTCTCCCGTCTCCCGTCTCCCGTCTCCCGTCTCCCGATGGTCTCCCTCTCATGCCGAGCCGAAGCTGGACTGTACTGCTGCCATCTCGGCTCACTGCAACCTCCCTGCCTGATTCTCCTGCCTCAGTCTGCCGAATGCCTGCGATTGCAGGCACGCACCGCCACGCCTGATTGGTTTTGGTGGAGACGGGGTTTCGCTGTGTTGGCCGGGCCGGTCTCCAGCCCCTAACCGCGAGTGATCCGCCAACCTCGGCCTCCCGAGGTGCCGGGATTGCAGACGGAGTCTCGTTCACTCAGTGCTCAATGGTGCCCAGGCTGGAGTGCAGTGGCGTGATCTCGGCTCACTACAACCTACACCTCCCAGCCGCCTGCCTTGGCCTCCCAAAGTGCCGAGATTGCAGCCTCTGCCCGGCCGCCACCCCGTCTGGGAAGTGAGGAGTGTCTCTGCCTGGCCGCCCATCATCTGGGATGTGAGGAGCCCCTCTGCCTGGCTGCCCAGTCTGGAAAGTGAGGAGCGTCTCCGCCCGGCCGCCATCCCATCTAGGAAGTGAGGAGCGCCTCTTCCCAGCCGCCATCACATCTAGGAAGTGAGGAGCGTCTCTGCCCGGCCGCCCATCGTCTGAGATGTGGGGAGCGCCTCTGCCCCGCCGCCCCATCTGGGATGTGAGGAGCGCCTCTGCCCGGCCGAGACCCCGTCTGGGAGGTGAGGAGCGTCTCTGCCCGGCCGCCCCGTCTGAGAAGTGAGGAGACCCTCTGCCTGGCAACCACCCCGTCTGAGAAGTGAGGAGCCCCTCCGCCCGGCAGCTGCCCCGTCTGAGAAGTGAGGAGCCTCTCCGCCCAGCAGCCACCCCATCTGGGAAGTGAGGAGCGTCTCCGCCCGGCAGCCACCCCGTCCGGGAGGGAGGTGGGGGGGGTCAGCCCCCCCGCCCGGCCAGCCGCCCCGTCCGGGAGGTGAGGGGCGCCTCTGCCCGGCCGCCCCTACTGGGAAGTGAGGAGCCCCTCTGCCCAGCCAGCTGCCCTGTCCGGGAGGGAGGTGGGGGGTTCAGCCCCCCGCCCGGCCAGCCGCCCCATCCGGGAGGGAGGTGGGGGGGGTCAGCCCCCCTGCCCGGCCAGCCGCCCCGTCCGGGAGGTGAGGGGCGCCTCTGCCCGGCCGCCCCTACTGGGAAGTGAGGAGCCCCTCTGCCCGGCCACCGCCCCGTCTGGGAGGTGTGCCCAGTAGCTCATTGAGAACGGGCCAGGATGACAATGGCAGCTTTGTGGAATAGAAAGGCGGGAAAGGTGGGGAAAAGATTGAGAGATCGGATGGTTGCCGTGTCTGTGTGGAAGGAAGTAGACATGGGAGACTTTTCATTTTGTTCTGCACTAAGAAAAATTCCTCTGCCTTGGGATCCTGTTGATCTGTGACCTTACCCCCAACCCTGTGCTCTCTGAAACATGTGCTGTGTCCACTCAGGGTTAAATGGATTAAGGGCGGTGCAAGATGTGCTTTGTTAAACAGATGCTTGAAGGCAGCATGCTCGTTAAGAGTCATCACCAATCCCTAATCTCAAGTAACCAGGGACACAAACACTGCGGAAGGCCGCAGGGTCCTCTGCCTAGGAAAACCAGAGACCTTTGTTCACTTGTTTATCTGCTGACCTTCCCTCCACTATTGTCCCATGACCCTGCCAAATCCCCCTCTGTGAGAAACACCCAAGAATTATCAATAAAAAAATAAATAAATAAATAAATAAATAAATAAATAAATAAGCAAGCTTAGGGAGAAAAATCTCAGGAAGATTAAATATTATTATGGCTACACATGAGAAATAATTAAATGGAACTGTCATCTCTCTCTCCTTTATAGTTAAAATTAACCTTACATTATTTAAATTTTGGTGGTAAACAGATCTGAATTGAGATTCACATTCTGCCACTCACTGAATGTAGGACACTGGCCCAAGTACTTCATCCCTCTAAGACTCAGTGCATCCATTAAACTCCTAAAGGTTTGGTGCAGCTCAATAGCAAAGCACTAGCACATAATAGGTACCAGTCTTTATGAGCTATTAGTTTCCTAAACTTACTGAAAATTTTGCAAAAAATAAAAAAAAATATAGGTTAGTTGGTATGTCAGCTAAGAACAATGTGAACGGTAAAAATGCAAGCCAAACATCACAAGCTTTGCATGGAAAGTTCAAGAAGACACTCCACGTTCTTTAGAAAGCAAGCTTAAAAACCAAAACATAACGTTTATGATTTTATTTTCTTAGGAAAGGAATATTTTCAATGACCATCTTAGCTTATTCTACTCTTATTTTCTAACCTTACACTCTGTTAATTTTCCACCTAGAATCAACTACAATCCATAATTAACTAATTGATTTGCTTCTTTCTGTACTGGTTATTTCTTTTGAATATAAGCTCCATGAGGGCAGGGACCTTATTAGCGCCTCTTTGTTTCTATACAATTCCTAATATAATATCAAGCATTAGGCAGTGCTCAATAAAAATGTTTGCTAAATATAGAAAAGTTGAAAAATACAAAAAAAGGGTAAAGAAGAAAATTTAAATTATGCATTATGAGATGCATAATTTTGCATATGAATATGAATATGCTTCAAAAGCACATTAACCCACCACTCAGACACAGCCACTTTTATGATTTTGGTATATTTCCTTCTAATATTTTCATGAAAAAGATAGAAAAGGAATGTTTTAAGAGACAAATAATTTGTATCTGATTATTCATCATATAGTACTGAATACTTCTCACACTATTAAACATTATTTGAAAATAACATTTGCAAGGGATATTTATAACATAGTCATTTTTCCCTACTATAAATAAAAAGCTGTAGTACATATTCTTAACAAAAGGTTAAAATTTTTTGGAATTACAAAGTACTAATCTCAGCCAAAGATTATGGAAGATGAATGAATCAAAACAACAACAATAACAAAAACCTGTTGTTGAGATCAGTTAACTCACCCTTTTCAGTAACTGACTTGTGAGGGTCTGTAGTGTGTTCACAGTATATGTCTTCATGAGGTGCAAAGCTTTAGAAAGACACTGTTTAAACTTCAGCAAATATATGGGATAATCTTTAAAATTAGGCTGTAAGGAAAAGAGAAAGATTTACAAAGTGGAAATGAACACAGATAAAAAGCAAGCTTTTAGTGAAAACCAAGGTGTCCCTATGTAAAGCAATATATAAAGTTCAAAAACAGGTTTCATAAAGATCATAAACTCCATGAAGATGAATAAATACTGTGACTGTCTTAGTCACAGTCAAACCCCCTGTGCCTGGCACAAAGTAGGAGCTCCATACATATTTGCAGTTGTTAGTAAAAGATATTTTCAGCACCCCACAGACTTCAAGGCTAATATGTAAGACCCAACTAGGAAAAGAATAGGAGTTAGGGGAAATAAACACAGCAATAAATCCTGAAGAAACAGAAATAGAGGGTGATTAAATCAAAGGGCTTGTCCCTTTATTTCCCCCCAAGTAACACTTTCTGTTTCCAAAGAAATACCGGGCATGTCAAGACACCAACAATTTAAAAACGGCTCATCCTGTTAGATGGGATAAAGCTGAGTCAGCCAGGATGTGTTCCATTCCAGGGGCTATTGCAGGAGCTAAAAGTACTTTTTACACCACTGCTAATAACGACTAAGAATTCACTACAACTTTTCTTTAATATGTTACAAATACATATTTTTCCCTTGGACAGAAATAATCACTTTACAGCACAAGAAGTGATATAATAGGAACATCTGCTAAACACAGAAAAGTTGAAAAACACAAAAAGATAGGAACAGGAATAGGAATCTAAGGATTTCTTTAAAACATGCAAAAATACTCTGACTTACATGAGATGAGATATATGTTATACAATCATCTAACTTGGCCAGCATAGGTATAAATCCGTCACTATTCACCGACAATGTAGGGGAATTCAATTTCTTTAAGAGAAAAAGAAAACAATCTTAATTCATAAAAAATGATACAGATAAAAGTTGGAAACTATGGATTAGAGTCAGCATATTTGCCTTTAGGACATAACATGTCTTTATAATAAATTTTAAAAGTCACCAAAATATCCTCGAATGTAGCCCACATGTACAATAAAGAAGGGACAAACAGAAAAAGCATACTGATTTAATTCAGTTTATTCCTAATAAGCTTTAATTGGACTCTTCATGAATTAGGACATGGTATATATTACCCCACTATACAATGTCATATTCAAATAATATATGAAATACCTAGATTTCTCACTTTCTGGTATACAATATACATAATTTTTCTACTTGCAGTGGTGATTTTTCTGAAGATTAAAGGATTAACTAGCAGTCATACTATATTTAGCAGTCATACTATGAAAGTAAAATGCAACCAGTCAATCATTTCTTATCCTGATATACAAATAGCTTGGCAATGAACTACTTTCCATTGCATTCCATTGTTAACTAGCCACAAGTTTTAGTTCTATGTCTTTAATAAACTAAATACCTATGATTAAACGATTTTAATAACATGACTTATACATAGTTATGATTAATTTATGAGTCAGAAACACAGAAATATAATTTACACACTTGTCTTTATTGGAACTATTATACTTTATTGGGATGCAACTATACATTTTGAGGACTATACTTTTCTTCAAACTAAACATGAGAATAAGTTTTAAAAATGTTTTGACTACTATCATGGTAGCATAACCACAGCAAAATCTAAAACTGAATATTTCTTCTTACAATCTTCTTCAAAGCTTACAAATAAGAAACTATAAGAGGTAGCCAATAAAGAGATTTTAATACCAAGAATACAATTTAAGAAACACATCTTAACTCAAATATTTAAAAATCTGAACTGGTAATGGTATCTCCACTGTCTACAAATAGGAATATCTATCAGCAAGCAAGCTAAATTAAAATATCACTCAAGCCAATTTATAGATTAAAAGATGACACGAAGAAAGGCAAAAATAAAACAAAAATCACTAACTTTATAAGAAGTAAAGAACAATGCTTACTGTGTTAATAGTTTCCAATTCGTTAAAATAGGAAAGCTTTTGTTGAATGTTTTCAGCCAGATCAACAAGTTCCGACTTGCATTTTTTAAAAGAGAAAAATCAATTATTATAAGAATATAAGAATCAACATGCCAGTCTCAAAGTTACACTAAACAGATTTACATTAGACACAGAGGTTTATATCAGATATGAGAATTCAGCTCAAGTATTTCTACAATCATGAACTAAAAGGGGCGATAATATTACAGTAAATTTTATATGATCTCTTCATAAAATAGTAAATGATCGCATTTTTAAAATACACAAAAGTACATACAGAGAAAATTCTGAGACATACTAACTTAAGTGTTCTAGCTCTAAGTCAAAAGTAATCAATCAGTTGATCTTTTCAAAATCTCACCATTGGTACAATCACTATGCTTCTTTGAAAAGTGTCAGTAGCTGGGTGCAGTGGCTCACACCTGTAATCCCAGTACTTTGGGAGGCCAAGGCGGGCAGATGACTTGAGGTAAGGAGTTTGAGACCAGCCTAGCCAACATGGTGAAACTCTGTCTCTACTAAAAATACAAAAATTAGCCAGGTGTGGTGGCACACGCCTGTAATCCCAGCTACTTGGGAGGCTGAGGCAGGAGAATCGCTTGAGCCCAGGAGGCCGAGGTTGCAATGAGCTGAGATCACGTCATTGCACTCCAGCCTGGGCAACAGAGCAAAAAAAATAAAAATAAAAAATAAAAGTGTCAGTAATAAAGAGTGATCAGAGCAAACCAACATAGCCACTACATTTGGAAATTGTACTGAGACCTAACAGCTCAAAACATAAGAAGGCTTGCCTTTGCTATTCACATGCACTTAAAAAGTAGGCTGTCAGTGTAACAATCTGCATGCTGAGCACAGGGCCTCAAACACAGCAGAGTTGAACATCTTGGAGAAATTAAGAAAATTAAAATAAAACTGTATTCATCTATTTTAAAATATTAAATATAATGACTGATCCTCTCTCTTACTCCAAATTACCTGTTCTTTTAGGAGCTGTTCACAGGCTTCATGTAGGGTTCCTGTCTTATTGGACACAAAAAGATACTGTTTCTGCAAAGACTCCAGATGCTGAAGAGCACTGTTTACATCATTCAATATAGCATCACACTGCTCCTGAAACCCAGACAAGTAATCCCTCATCTGTCTAGAAAACAGAACCAAAAGGGGATTGGCAATAATCTTTTCCCCCAATAAGCACAGTAAAAAAACAACAAAGGCTCATTTTTCCCAAAATGTTCGAATTTCAGGAGGAAAACTGCCTATGCACATAAGTTGATTATGTTAAGAAATGTACCAAAAGTTATGTCATAAACCGTTTCAATACTTAAGAAGGCAAATCACTAATCCTATAAGTAACAAAAGGAATTAGCCTTGAAGCCATAATCTGGCTTTTCACATATAAGGCAATGAATCACTGGCTCAACTTCTAAAGACTGGGACACCAAAGCCATCCCAAGGCACCAAGTAAGGCCAATCCTTCAGATCACTTCCCTCTTTGAAAGATGGTGTGATGTCATGGCAAGAATTCTAGATTTAGAATTAGAAGACCTGGGTCCAAGCCCCAGCTCTGCCCAGTCTGCATGAGATTAAGCAAGTAACTTATTATTTCCAGGCCTCAGGTTGCTCATTTGTAAAATAAGAATAGTAATATCCTTCCTCACACAGCTGTTACGAAGATTAAATGGGATCATACATTAAAGAGTCTACCACACTGCCTAGCAATAATAGCCATCAACAAATCAATACCCTGAATGTGGACACTCAACCCACAGCCCCCAAATCAGCCGTCAACATTTCCCCCATGCTGTCAGCATCCACTGACAGAAGTATAGTTACAACCAACCTAAGTGGCCATCCTGAAAGTCTTTCAGGGATGTTTCTCCTTCTAAAAAGCAACAAACACCTCCTAGAATTCCTCTACAACTCCTACCTGAACCTAGTTCTTTCTGGAGCTATCTAAAAACTAACATCTATCCCTCCTAACCTATTAATTATAATGTAATTCTTTTTGTTTTTAATCACACAACTTCTAAATAACAGTTTTAAAGACCCAAATCTTCTCACTGGCTATTCTTAAAGAATATATGGCTGTTACAGTTTTCTTAATACCTCAGTTTTATTTAAAGACACTGATTATGAAATGCTTCAGATGACTGTGATCTAAAAATTAAGATATTCAACAAATGCAAGAGACACACATACCTATATTTAGTTCCTTCATCTTGATCCATCTGAGTTTGCAGCTTTGCAAACCATGAGAAAAACTGGAAAAACAGAGTATTATATTGTGAACAAAACTAAAACTGACAAAATTAAAAGTGGCTACATGCTAAGCAGCAAGTCAAAAGGACAGACGTTATCCAAGTTTTATTGCTTAGGGCTCAGACATAATCAGTTTTAGGCCAGGAGAAAATAGTTTAATTATATCCACAATACCCATATGCTAGGAAAAGCAAAGGATATTAAAACATCGGCCATTTCACCGGGTGTGGTGGCTCACACCTGTAATCCCAGCACTTTGGGAGGCCGAGGTGGGCGGATCACCTGAGGTCGGGAGTTCGAGACCAGCCTGGCCAACATGGTAAAACCCCGTCTCTACTAAAAATACAAAAATTAGCCAGGCGTAGTGGCACATGCCTGTAATCCCAGCTAATCGGGGGACTGAGGCAGGAGAATTGCTTGAACCCGGGAGGCAGAGGTTGCAGTGAGCCAAGATCACAGCGAGCCGAGATCGCGCCATTGCACTCCAGCCTGGGCAACAGAGCAAAATTCTGTCTCAAAAAAAAAAAAGGCTGGGCGCGGTGGCTCACGCCTGTAATCTCAGCACTTTCGGAGGCCGAGGCGAGCGGATCACAAGGTCAGGAGATAGAGACCATCCTGGCTAACACGGTGAAACCCCGTCTCTACTAAAAATACAAAAAATAAGCCGGGCGCCTGTAGTCCCAGTTACTCAAGAGGCTGAGGCGGGAGAATGGCATGAACCCGGGAGGCAGAGCTTGCAGTGAGCCGAGATCACGCCACTGCACTCCAGTTTGGGTGACAGAGCGAGACTCCGTCTCAAAAAAAAAAAAAGGCCATTTCAGATGTCTTAAGGATTGAAAAAAACAAACAAAAAACTGACCATTTTCACAGTCAAATTAAGGAAGAGTATTAAACATACAATAGGTAAAAAATGAATATTTCTTCCTAACAGGCTAATGCCTACTTGCTATAATCGTTTACAAAATTTGAGTAGGTAACATAGTGCTTTGGGCAAATATCAATATTAACGTTATCTAATAAGAACTGTGAGGCTATAACTCAAAAATAATATTACAGAGTGGTTTAAGAATATGGACTGTGGGGCCGGGAATGGTAGCTCACGCCTGTAATCCTAGCACTTTGGGAGGGCAAGGCAGGCAGATCACGAGGTCAGGAGATTGAGATCATCCTGGCTAACAAGGTGAAACTCCACCTCCACTAAAAATACAAAAAATTAGCCTGGCGTGGTGGTGGCCGCCTGTAGTCCCAGCTACTCAGGAGGCTGAGACAGGAGAATGGCGTGAACCCAGGAGGTGGAGCTTGCAGTGAGCCAAGATTGCCCACTGCACTGCAGCCTGGGCAACAGAGTGAGACTCCATCTCAAAAAAAAAAAAAAGAGAATATGGACTCTGGTATCAGCTAGCCCTGGATCTGAATTCTGGCCTGAAAAATATCTATTATTTAAAAGGGGGATGCGGGGAGTTGACCTTAAACAAGTATGAAGAAACTTTTGGGGTGATGATAGAAATGTTTTATATCTCAATTATAGTTGTTAGTTACATACATAGGTATATACACTTTTCAAAACTCATTGAGCTGACACTTAAAATGAATACATTTTATTGTACATAAATTATAAGTCAGCATATTAGTTTTTTTAATTTTAAAGAGAGAACAGGTACGAGTTTCATCCAGAGGACTTTTTTTAAGCAGGCCAAACAAGTTCACAGATGTGGTGCAAGACTACCTTCAAGTGAACCTGAGAACACTGAATCTCAAGTAAGATTCAATGTCAAGGGTATACAGGCTTGCCATGTACCTTGGCTATCATTTGCTGAGCATTTACTGTGTACTTGCTACACAACGAATTTACATGCATTATCGTATTTAACGCTCACAAAAATCCTGTGAAATAATATATAATTATCCCTGTTTTATATATTAGGAAACTAAAGATCTAAGAAGCTAAGTAATTTGCTTAAGCTCACAAAGATGCTAAATGATGGAGCTGACTTTCAGGTGCAGGTCAGCCTAGCTCAGGAACTGTAATTCTTCATCGGTTTGTAGAACTGCCTCTCTCAACTTACTATATATGTAATCCAGTTCCAACACATGTACTTTATGTTTTATTTGGTCAATGCCTCAACTTTGACTCTTAATAGGAAAAGAAAGAGGAGACAAGGAAAGTGGCAGAAGAAACTACTGTAAGTTTAGGTTTCTAATTAGGAATGAACAAAAACCAAGAAAAAATTACACATGCTAAATTACTGAAAAATAACTACAAATGTTAATATAAAAAGAATATTTGGGTTTTTTAAAAAAGGACTACCTAGCAACAAGTGAGATGGAGGGGTACCCATGCACACACTGAGGGAACAGGTTAACAGAAGACAGACATTGGGGGAAGTCAAAAGTGCATAAGACATTAAAACCTCAATAATCTATCAACGTCCAAACATGGAATCTCATGTTTTTTTACCTATATCATAACTATAATTGGGCAATAGATTCATTTAAAACACGTAAACAGCCACAACTAATGCAAAATCAAGAATGTTCTAGAAAGACTTAATGTTAATTATGGTGACAAATGTTCAGAACTTTTAATTAGGACTTTATTAGCCTTGTCTTCAGACATCTGAAATAATCAAACATCCTTAGAAAAGATACTGCAATTCACCTGCTGTGCGGTTTCAATTCTTTCTTCTTCCATTCCTAAGGAAGTGAAGCCCTTCAAGAGAATGTCTTCTGTAGATTCAGGCACTACTGAAGTCAGTTCAATGGGCAGTGACTGGGATGTTAAACTGCACAAGTCTTCAATTGGAAGCTTGAAAAAAGAGAGTCACAAAGATATTTAAGTGACTTGAAAATTCTCTGAACTTAACTCAAGATTGGGTTTCCATCTCAGTTGTTTTGAAAGAGAAAGAAATATTTTCCATTAAATCACATTAAGTTAATAAATACTATATAGTACTAACATTTTAGGCTCTATATTAAATGCTCATCTCAAAATATAAACATGACACTGATGTCCCACCATTAGTAAGCTTTTTTTTTTTTTTTGGTGACAGGGTCTTGCTCTGTCATCCAGGCTGACATGCAAGGTGCCACCTCAGCTCACTGTAACCTCTGCCTCCAGAGTTCAAGCCATCCTCCCACCTCAATCTCCAAGTAGCTGAGATTACAGGCACGCAACACCACGCCCAGCTAATTTTTGTATTTTTGGTAGAGTTGGGGGTCTATACATGTTGCCCAGGCTGGTCTCAAACTCCTGGGTTCAAGTGATCCTCCTACCTTAGCCTTCCAAAGTGCTGAGATTACAGGCATGAGCCACCAAGTCTGGTCTGAGTTAGCTTTCTAATAAGGGTGGTAAATCTGTACTAATCCACACACATTTTCTCACTTGAGCCTCTTGTGAACTACCACCAGGCAAAGAGAAAACCTATGTGCTATTGAAAGTAGTTTGCCCTCCCCAGTATCTAACACAAAAGCCTGACCAACAGGATTAACAAATCACACCCAATGACCGGGTTCAGTGGCTCACGCCTGTAATCCCAGCACTTTGAGAGGCAGAGTTGGGTGGATCACTTGAGCCCAGGAATTTGAGACCAGCCTGGGCAACATAGTGACACCCCCGTCTCTACTGAAAATACAAAAAAAAAAATTAGCTGGGTGTGGTGGCACACATCTGTGGTCCAGCAACTTGGGAGGCTGAGATGGGAGGACCACCAGAGCCCAGGAGGTGGAGGTTGCAGTGAGTCAAGGTCGTGCCACCCACCCAGGGTGACAGAGTGAGGCCCTGTCTAAAAAAATAAATAAATAAATCACACCCAAGAATTGATTAGAAATAAACATTACCTCCTCCTACCATTTCCACCCACCCACTGGCACATCTCACCACACCTTCCTGCTGACAAATTTTGAAATTAAAACTGAATAGGAAGAATTTTAGAGTTTTCCATCAGTTTCAGAAGCGGCCCACAGACAAGGTCTCACTTTGACAATATTAGACCTACAGTACTTTCTAGTTCTCCACTATCAAAGAAAGACCAGGTGTTAATTTATTTATAGACATACAGACTGTTTTTAGACCAAAACAAAGGGAAAGTAGATGCTGGGGAAAGTAAAAGGGCCTAATTGTTTAGGTTCAAATTCCAGTTTTCAGCTCTCAGTTCTTAGTTTATGACATTTAAGGTCCATTGATATAAGACAAGATCCAAGGTCTCAGGAAGGTGCTACCCTGTCTACCTTCTAAATATAGAAGTTTCATCTGAAGATAGCATTTTCTCTTCAAAACTAAAATAAGCTAGATGCAAAATGCACCACTAATTTAGAAACACTGTCCTTTAAAAATAGAGTTTTTTGTGTATGGGTTCAAATAGGGCTATATTTATGGTACAGTAAAGTACATTACAATGCAGCCTAGTTAGAATCCTGCTCCTGTTCATTCATAAGCTGTGTGACATGGGGCAAATTACTTGATGTTTCTAATCCTCAATTATCTTCTCTTAGCTGATACGGATACACTGTCTGTATCATAACGTTACTATAAGGAGTAAAAAAGAAGGCCAGGCACGGTGGCTCACGCCTGTAATCCCAGCACTTTGGGAGGCTGAGGTGGGCGGATCACGAGGTCAGGAAATCGAGACCATCCTGGCTAACATGGTGAAACCCCGTCTCAACTAAAAACACACAAAAAAAAATTAGCCGGGCATGGTGGCAGGCGCCTGTAGTCCCAGCTAGTTGGGAGGCTGAGGCAGGAGAATGGCATGAACCCGGGAAGTGAAGCTTGCAGTGAGCCGAGATCGAGCCACTGCACTCCAGCCTGGGCGACAGAGCGAGACTCCATCTCAAAAAAAAAAAAAAAAAAAAAAAAGAGTAAAAAAGAAAACAAAGATGTGGGAAAACTGGCTTTTTAGAATGCTGGAAAGCTGCAGACAAAGTATTTAGGAAGGTCCTTGATCTGCCTTCTCCCCACAAATGAGCCTGGCTCAAGAGTCAGGAGGGTCCTAGGTGTAGGTAAACAGTTCTTATTAAGGGCATCACTTGTTCATGTAAACTCTTTCTGAATGGTAACACAATCCCTGAGTATAAAAGGACTGTGGCCCAGCAAGAATTAAGTTTCTCAAATCCAGTAAGAATTTATCCTGAGTCTAAAGTGTCATCAGCAACCGTATGCTGCCACTAGGGGTTCTGGAGGACAGAGGAAGCTGTGCTGAGATAAGCCGCATCTACACCTGCTCTGCAGAACCCTTCTAATGAGCAACATGAGCTGTCTCCTTGGGGAGCCACCCAAGACTCAAGATAACCCACCTGAAGCAATGCTGCATGTAAAGCACTTAGCACAGACCTGACATATTGTAAGCAATAAATTTGAGTACTGATATTATATTATTATTATTCCCATCTAATAGCAGCAACAGAGTAAGTTTATAAATCTAATCAACTTCTTGTAAAGCCGTCTTTACAAAATTATATTTTATTAGCAATAAAATTTAGTTCTATATGAACAGATCATCACAAATTCAATCACATAATTCTATCAGCACTGTTTAGATTATATCTAAGGGGGGCCGGGGTGATATGGCTCAGATTTGGAAAATATACCAGAAAACACACGAAAGCTAGGCTAGGATGAAGAAAGCTGAAAGAAATGTTGCTTGTACCCTCACAATAACAAAAAGCCAAATAATCCACAAGATTATAACTAGTCTTGAATCCACCAGTCTTGCAGAGTAACCAAGTAGATAAAAATCTGGGGAGCGACAGGCACCTCCAGGAAGAGACAGGCTGCAAGCACTGGCTCACCTGTGGCAAATCATGGGAAAAAAGAGATGGCAAACATTACAAGAGGAAACAGGCCGGGTGCAGTGGCTCACACCTGTAATCCCAGCACTTTGGGAGGCTGAGGTGGGAGGATCACGAGGTCAGGAGATCAAGACCATCCTGACTAACACGGTGAAACCCCATCTCTACTAAAAATACAAAAAATTAGCCAGGCGTGGTGGCGGGCGCCTGTAGTCCCAGCTACTCGGGAGGCTGAGGCAGGAGAATGGCATGAACCCAGGAGGCGGAGCTTGCAGTGAGCTATGATTGCACCACTGCACTCCAGCCTAGGCGACAGAGGGAGACTCCGTCTCAAAAAAAAGAGAGAAAACAACTCAGTCAAGAGACAAAGCAATCAACAGAGCCAGACTCAGATGAGCAAGAGACTAGAACTATCAGACAAGGAATCTAAAATAACTGTGATTAACATGTTAAAGGCTCTGGTGTAACACACAGATAAGAAGTATAAACAGATACACAATTTCAACAGAAAACTGAAAACTGTGTCAAATGGAAATGTGAGAAATAAAAATAATGGTAACAAAGATGAAGAATACCTGCAATGGGCTCATCAGTACACAGAACACAGTTAAGGAAAAAAAATCAGTGAACTTGAAGTTAGGTCAATAAAAATCACCCAAAATGAATCATACAGAGAAAACAGAGTGGGAAAATAAAAACTGAACATAGCATCCAAGAATTGTGTGATGGTATCAAATTATATGATGATATCAAATTACATGAAATGGGATCCCAAAAGAAGCAGAACAAGTGAGAACAGGGTGGAAGAAATATTTGAAGAAATAACTGTTGAGAACATTCCAAAAATAATGAAAGATATAAAACTACAGCTCTAAGAAATTCAGAGAATCCCAAGCAGAATACACACATACACACAGGCAAACCCCTCTGTGCACATCATATTCAAACTTTCAAAAACCAAAGATAAAAGCTTGAAGGCAGCCAGAGGGAAAAAGACATATTCTATACAGAGAAATAAAGGTAAAAATTACAGCAGACTTCTCATCAGAAATTACACAAGCCAGAAGACAATAGAGCGACATCTTTAAAGTGCCAAAAGAAAAACACTCAACTCAGAGTTCTACACCTATAGAGAATTATCTGTTTAAAATGTAGGAGAAATAAGGACTGTTTAAAACAAACAAAAGCGCCAGGTGTGGTGGCTCACACCTGTAATCCCAGCACTTTCGGAGGCCGAGGCAGGTGGATCACCTGAGGTCAGGAGTCCAGGACCAGCCTAGCCAACATGGCGAAACCCTGTCTCTACTAAAAATACAAAAATTAGCCAGGCGTAGTGGCGGGCGCCTGTAATCCCAGCTACTCAGGAGGCTGAGGCAGGAGAGTCGCTTGAACCTGGGAGGCAGAGGTTGCAGTGAGCCGAGATCGCGCCATTGCACTCCAGCCTGGGCTACAAAAGCAAAACTCCGTCTCAAAAAAAAGACCAAAAAAAAAACAAAAGCTGAGAGAATTCATTACCAGCAGACCTATACTACAAGAAATGTTAAAGGACATTCTTCAGGCAGAATATAACGCTAGATAAAACACATATCTACCCAAAAAACTGAAGTGCTCCAGAAATGATTAAAATGAAGGTAAATATGACAGTTTTTCTTTTTTTAAATCACTCAGCAAGAAATGTCAAAAGCAAAAGTAGTAACAATGTATTGTGGGTTTATAACATATGTAAAAGTAAAATGCCTGAAACAATATCACAAAACAGGGAAAGGAAGAAATGGAAGAATACTGTTTTGGGTGTTTTTTTGAGACAGGTTCTTGTTCTGCCACCCAGGCTGAAGTGCCATGGTGCAATCACAGCTCACTGCAGCCTTGATTTCCAGGGCTCAAGCCATCTCCTGCCTAAGCCTCCCAAGTAGCTGGAGCTGCAGGCGTGCACCACCACACCCAGCTAACTTTTTGATTTTTTTTTCTTTTTTTTTTCTGTAGAGACGAGGTCTCACTATGTTACCCAAGCTATTCTTGAACTCCTGAGCTCAAGCAATCCTCCTGTCTCAGTCTCCCAAAGTGCTGGGATTACAGGGGTGAGCCACCATGCCCAGCCAAAGAATCCTGCTGTAAGGCTGTTATACCATAATGAAGTGGTATAATATTTAGAGGTAGGCTGTGACTAATTAAAGTAGTACAGACGCTCCTCAGCTTATGATGGGGTTGTGTCCCAATAAACCCTTCGGAAGTTGAAAATATCCTAAGTCAAAAGTATGTGGCTCACTGGGAGCTGTGGCTCACTGCCATGCCCGGCACCACAGGTACACTTTCTACTGAATACATGTAGCTTTCACATAAAGTCAGAAAGTCATAAGCTGAACCATCATAAGTCAGGGACCATCTGTATATTGTAAATCCTAAGGCAACCACTAAAAAAACTGAAAATACACAGAGGACCTGGCAAACTTCAGTCTTCCAACATCACCTAGACCCATATCCATCTGTAATTCAACTTCTTTTGAGAAAAACGATTATAAGTCTATCTGAAAGAATGTAGATCAATGTCAAAATCCCAGTTGTGACACCAGATACTATAGTTGTGCAAAATGTTACCATTGAGGGAAAGTGGGCAAAGTGTACCGATCACAGTAGTATTTCTCATTACTGCAAGTGAATCTACATTATTTCACCTTTTTAATAAGTAATGTAATAATCATATTCTCCCATCAGAGTTCATGAGGCCTTACACTGCATAATTCTAGTACTACCTCACAACATATAACAAATTCCAGATAAAAAGTATAACTCCTTTTGTCCCAGAATCATTTATAATACATAGAGCTGTCCTTTTAAGTGTATTTATTTGAATAGGTAATAAATCTCAAGGCACAAAACTCAAGGGAGTCAGTGAAAAGTCTCCTTCCCCTGGAACTCATTCTCCAGCCATCTAGTTTCCTCCTCAGGGGCAGGCTATCAATGTTACTAGTTTCTTAAGTATCTTTTCTAAGATGGTCTATGCATATACAAAGGAAGTATACCTTAAACCCAAATAACAGTATACACACCTCCCCTTTTTCACTTAATATGCAACATTTTAAAATGTCTCTTCAACAGAGTATAAGGAAAAGACAGAATTTACTCTTACATTGTCATTGTCATTAAACTATAAAGGGGTGCTTATTTTAAAAGTCCCAAGAATACAGAATATTTAAGTGAAAAGCAAGTCTCCCTTCTTCCCTCTCCCCTGCTCGTCCAATTCTTCTTCTTTAAGCCAATACCAATGTTTATAATTTGAGAGTTTTTCTAAAGAATTTGAGGGTAAAATGAAGAACTGTAAAAGTAGAAGGAACTAAAGAAATAATTTTGAATTTTTGATCAATCTTTTATGAAAATTATTCAAAATATATGAATATAATTGTTTTTAATCCAAATCATCAGAAGAGTTAAAATGAAAAGTAACATTCTCCCCCACCCTCAGTTTTCACCAGTTTAACCATTTTCAGTTTTCTTTTATGGTAACTCTACAACTCTTAAAAAAAAATATTTACTGCTTTGTGTTTGAATTCATCAATTTTAGGTCCTATATATACACTCTTACTTACTTCACCATGTAAGATAAAGAAATTAGTAACTCTATATCTGTTCCCTGTTTACTGTCAAATTCTGTCACCTGTACTATCTCTTTTTTAGATTATCAAATTTTATAATATTTGCACCTGGTTCTGTGATTAAGTCTTTAGAATGATTTTTAAAAGGATACTACATGCTTCCTGCCTTCTATAAATATGCCCAACTTTCAGGTTCATTGATACCATCTTTGGTTTTGGTGTGCCACACATTTATTACTGTCATTTCAAAGGGATCCAGGGATGTCATACACGTGTGCTCAGTCTGTTATCTTGAACCAAAAAAAGTTTATCTTCTAATTAACTTTAGAAAATAAAATAATTTGAAAACTCTACTTGAGAAACTACTATAGATATTCCAGATATGTTCTGTAACCTAGATGTGAGTAAATATATTCTAAATTTATAAGAGTATTCTATTTGATTACTTCAAGTACAAATACTACTTTTCAATCATAAGAACTTTAAAAACTAGAGGCAAAAGGAGGCTCCCTGTTTCCTTGTTCTAATACAAAACCATCTTCTCTCAAACCAAGCAAGAGAGAAGCCATAATGCAATTACTTCAAACAAATCATTTTTTAAAGTAGCAAAACAAGTTGCTTTTTAATAACATACGAGAAAATGCCCCCATTAAGTAGACTAGGCAGCTGCCTTCCTTTCTCAAAACACCTGGTATAGAATGACAAGTCAAAAAGGGGTGTGGTGGTATCACACACTTTCCTGTTCTGACCTCTCATTCACTTCTCAGGAGGAGGTGACTGAATGCCTGCTGCTTACCAGCACTGTCCTGGCTTCCAGATGGAGCAGACAGACACCACTAGAGAGAGAACACAGTTCTAGATTGCTAATGGGCCAGTGCTGCAGAGCTACTGTATAGTTTATGCAAATGGAGACACTAACATTAAATAGTAAGTACAATAAATTCTCAAGCTTTGCCTGACCAGCTGAGCAGGTCCCTGAAATAACAAGTAACATACCTTTCTCTCCCAAGCTTTACTTCTTGCAGAGTTCTGGGTTGGAGAAAACCACTTTTATAATCAATCTGATCAATTAATTCCCTAAATGAAACCTGATGTTTTGTTCTCTGCTTGGAGCAAATTACTGAAGAGGTATAGGTGGAGTCTCAGAACCTTCCTCAAGGCACTTAACCTCTCCTTTTCTTACCTTTGGTCTGAATGACACCTATACCAGCTCAGCATCACAGGATTCTAATCTATTCTTTTAAGATGTTAATAATTTGAAAGAAAGCACAAGAATAATAGCAAGTAACTTGCCACGTGCACCTTGCATACGTGATTTCACATAATTCTCACAATTCCCTATGAGATAAGTACTCATCATGAGTTAAGTCCCCATTTTATAAAGAAGAAAATTAAGGCTTAGAAAAGATAAACATCACATCTAAGGTCACACAGCCTACAAGAAAACAACAGCTGTAACAGTAAATTATAGGTAAATGTCGGGGTAAATTATTTTAGCACTTTATCAAGAATTACTAAATTCAACAGAAAGAAATAGGCCCCTCACTACTAAGTTTGCCCTGGCTACAAAAGTCTACCTAATATTCTATTGTAAATTATTTTCTCTAATGCCAAAAAAGGCATAATTCCTTTTTAAGATAAGACTAGTTCTCTTTCATAAAAGAGAAAGCTATTTTCTAAAGAAGTTAACATCTTTATGATATGTACTTAAGAGTTAGTTGGCCTCTTGCTATTCTACTAGCCTGCTCAGTTCCAGTTGTTCAGGAAGTAATTTATCTCGTGAAAATTGTGAAACACTACAGAAAATCCTTGAGTTATACTGATTGGACAAAATGAAAATTGTGGCACTCTCTTTTGCTGCCAATGTTAAAAGAGTAGTATAGGGCTAAAAAAATTAATTCCAAAGTCTTCCCAACAGACATATAAACACTTCAGAAAAGGAAAATGAGGGCTGTAAAGCTGAAGAGCAATGAGAACTGCCTTCTCAAAGATTCCAGGATGTGTGCATAACCAGCTCGGCTACTGCATTCTTTTTGAGACAGAATCTTGCCTGTCACCCACCCAGGCTGGAGCGCAGTGGTGCAATCTCGGCTCAGGGCAATCTCTGCCTTCTGGGTTCAAGTGATTCTCATGCCTCAGCCTCCCAAGTACCTGGGATTACAGGCATGCACCACCACACCCAGCTAATTTTTATATTTTTAGTAGAGATGGTGTTTCGCCATGTTGGCCAGGCTGGTCTTGAACTCCTGACCTCAAGTGATTCTCCCGCCTTAGCCTCCCAAAGTGCTGAAATTACAGGCGTGGGCCACCGCACCTGGCCTCAGCTATTGCATTCTCACAGGAATCCAATACCAAGCTGCACGTACCAGAAGACCCTCACTGAATTCTTGAACTCATTAAGCTCATCCTCTACCCATGACCTTATGCTGTTCTTTCTTCCAGCTGCAATGTTATTTCTTTAGTCTTTATGAGGCTAGCTTCAGGTAGTCCATCATCAGTTCTCACCTCAGGCTGTCACTTCCTTGGAAAGGTCTTCCCTCTTTCTCTAAAAGGGCACACCTCATCCTTTTCTGTCACACCATCCTATCTGATTTTCCTTATATTATGGACCACCATCTGAACATACCTTCTTTGTTCTTTTTTTCCATGTTCATGATCCCCACAATTATGTCAGCTCTATGAGGCTAAGGATCTCATCTTTCCTATTTATCTTTCTATCTTCAATACCTAACTCAGAGTAGGGACATAACATATGTTAAAGACTGCATGTGGCTAATGATAAATATGGAAGAATGGGGTGAAAATGAAAGATTCCATTTAGTTCATTCCAAACGTTCTCCTTCATGCTCAATGAGAATAAGAAATAATAGTTTATGACCCATGACAATGAAAACAAATTTTTTTGTAGAATATGTATCTCCCCCATCACACCCTCAGTGCTATTAAGTCCAAGCATCCTGCTGCAGTAGGAGCCAAATCAATTATAAACAGACTGGAAAATTTATAGAGCAAACAACTTTTATTATCCAGGGTATAAAAGAGTTTGATAGCTGAGCCAAAGAAATTTCCACCTGCGCCTTCATTGATTTCAGATCCACTTCCGGTACCATATCCTAGAGGTGGAAAAAGAAACCCAAGAAAGAACGCCTATTTGATGGCTGAGCATACAACAGTGAATGTGAAGAGAACGTTTAAATCAAATCTCTAAAGTTGGAGGACAGAAAAAGTTGAAGACTCTAAACTCAATCTGCATTTGGACACAATTCCAAATCGTATAAAAAGAATGCTTCAGGCCAGGCACGGTGGCTCACGACTGTAATCCCAGCATTTTCGGAGGCCGAGGCGGGCAGATCACTTGAGGTCAGGAGTTCGAGAACAGCCTGGACAACAGGGCGAAACCCCATCTCTACTAAAAATACAAAAAATTAGCCGGGTGTAGTGGCAGGCACCTGTGATCCCAGCTACTCGGGAGGCTGAGACAGGAGAATCGCTTGAACCCGGGAGGTGGAGGTTGCAGTGAGCCGAGGTCACGCCACTGCACTCCAGCCTGGGCGACAGAGCGAGAGAAAAGAATGCTTCCAACATCAAAAGTAACCATCACCACTGCTTATATAAAATAATCCTCCTAAACCTGGCCCTCAAAACTGGAAAACGTTTGTCAAACATCTGACAATTCATGTTACTTCCTGCTATTACAACTAATTGAATTGAATCACACAAGAAGCAGTAGTGCATAATATCCTAATGGTAAGTGGATTAAACACATTGACTCTAACACCGAAAACCAGCACTGCTTAATAATGTACTGAGCCAACTTTCAAATAAAATTCATTTTTATTGCTTTGCAATAGGTGAAATAAATCTGATCTCCCATAACTTGCACTTGATTGAGAGCTCATAGTTCAATGTGCGATAAATGAAACTCACTCAGGACCAAGTTTTGGTCTCCCCAAGACCC
Source organism: Homo sapiens (assembly GCF_000001405.40). NCBI lineage: Eukaryota > Metazoa > Chordata > Mammalia > Primates > Hominidae > Homo > Homo sapiens. Next base: position 45,465,671 of record NC_000013.11, on the reverse strand, counting down.
CCATGGACAAAGCAACCTAGGTGAATCATTAAGGCGGTAAACGAGCACGCGCTGGAGACTGTCCTGCAGCACAGCACCTCGGGTTGACTGCCTCTCCTTCTGGGAGAGAGTGGGCAGCAGGATTACGCCTCGGCTGACAGGACGCCTCGTCTGGGGCAAAACGTTCGGTGCAAGGCTCCGGGCCAACCGTCCCATGCTGCTGGGGGAGGACTGGGTTCCGGCGAGCACCAGCTGCAGGACACCCCCACAGCCGTCCCCAGGCAGAATTAGAGTCGGGGTCGCAGGCAGAGCGAAGCCTGACAGCCTGGGAGATGAGGCCCCTCCCACCGGATCCGCCACCATGGCCAGGGAGGAGTGGAGAGATATCCTGGGCAGAGGCTAGTGAGGCCGGGGTCCTGCCGGGGCGCCCGAGGAGAATCCCAGCCCCATCGCCCCGGCCCGGTTCCTGCCCATCACCTCACCTCAGCTGGCACCGGCAAGTTCTCTGCCGCCGCCTTCAGCTCCAATACCGAGTCCGTCTGCCTGTCGGTCAGCGGCGCCGTCGTGTCCGGTCTCCGATCCCAGAGAGCCAGCTTTTCCCTAGCGTCCCGCTCCGCCGCCGCCTCAGGCAGCAGCAACAGCGCCGCCTCCGCCATCGCCGCCGCCCTCGCGGCCTTCAGCAGCAGCGAGATGGAGGGGACCCCGACAGAGAGACCTGGGCCACTTCCGGGAGAACCGGAGCTTCCAACACTGCACCGGCGGCGGGGCGGGACGGAATGCCCTGACCCCGGAAACGGTTCCGCAGTGTGGGGGGCGGGACCGAGGCCAGTACCGACGTGGCTTTAAATGGGTACGACTATTTCCGGTTGAAACGTAGAAGGTGGAGAAGACAGGACCCAATGGAAATAGAAATGCCCCTACCGGAAGTCTTTTCCTCAACATCAATAACTTTATTGTTACGTGTTGTACAGATTATTGACAACTGCGCTAAATCACCCTGCCGGCAGGAGACTTGGATCTACACCTCTCTGCTTACAGCTGGGTAGTCTGGGTAGAATGTGTGGAGTGTATGATTTCCATGTTGGCATGTTGACAATTTATGCCTCTTGGATCAAAACCAAAAGCATAAACTTTTCCAACATCCAGTAATTCCCCTACTAGAAAACTAATTTACGGAAACACATAAAAAATTCAAAGATGTGTGTATCTCAGACATCATTAATGGTATCAAATAACTGGAGACAACCTAAATGTCCAACATTGAAGAACTGGATCAAGAATTTGTGGCACAGACCAGGCGCGGGGGCTCAGGCCTGTAATCTCAGCACTTTGGGAGACCGAGGTGGGCGTATCACCTGAGGTCAGGAGTTTGAGACCAGACTGGCCAACATGGTTGAACCCCGTCTCTACTAAAAGCACAAAAATTAGCCAGGCGTGGTGGCACATGCCAGTAATCAGCCTGAGAGGCTGAGGCAGGAGAATCTCCTGAACCTGGAAGGTGGACGTTGCAGTGAGCAGAGATCTTGCCACTGCATTCCGGCCTGGGCATCAAGTGAGACTGTCTCAAAATGTATAATAATAATAATTTGTGGTACAGACATGTAATTCTACTCTACCATTTAAATCATATTGTAGATTTGAGCAACAAAATAAATAATGATAGTATTGGATCATAATTTACAGAATAAAATAAATACCCATGAGTCCATACTGCTATAAATAAACGATTGAATAAATAAATGGTGGAGAACAGACAATCTTCTACAAGTTATGGAGGCCTCTTCCTGCTCCTCCCTGGAGTCAAGGCAGGTGGAAACAGCTTCGTAGCAATTTTGACCATTGTCTGGGTAAAGTCTGAAGGCTTTATTCAGGCTTTATAGCACAAATCAGTGCCTGGCTATGTTCCCAAATGAAGGCTCTGATCTTTTAAGAGCAGAATTTGAGACCGGGCGCAGTGGCTCACACCTGTAATCCCAGCACTCTGGGAAGCCGAGGTGGGCGGATTACCTGAGGTCGGGAGTTCGAGACCAGCCTGATCAACATGGAGAAATCCCGTCTCTACTAAAAATACAAAAAAACTTAGCTGCGCGTGGAGGTGCATGCCTGTAATCCCAGCTACTCGGGAGGCTGAGGCAGGAGAATCGCTTGAACCCAGGAGGCGGAGGTTGCTGTGAGCCAACGTTGCACCATTGCACTCCAGCCTGGGCAACAAGAGCTAAACTCTGTCTCAAAAAAAAAAAGAATAGAATTTGAAGTTGGAAGAGAATTTTAAAATCATATAATCAAGCCCTTTCTGTCTACAGAGGAGCAAACTACAACCCGTAGAGGTGAAGCAAGCAGCCTAACATCCTGCAATCAGGTGGTTAACATCAGCGTCACCACTGGAACTTAGATATCCTGACTGTGTCTGACACCCTTTATATACCACAGCTTCTCCAAGTTGCCTGCTGTACAAAGCCCTTAAAAAATCTGCAGATCCCCAATGTTGATGTAAATAATTGTATTATATTGCTTAAGTATGAACAAAAATAAGACTTGACATAAGCTTTGGATGTTTATACCAAAATAGACATGCAAGTTACATGCCAACAGAAATATAACTAACATATAACGGTATATAACCAATAACATTCACATTAACAACTCAAGTGAGATGTGGGATATTATTTTGCTGGAAAACGAAATTGCTTCTGGCAACACGAAGACAGTCCTGACTACTGCTATACAGCTGCTTGGGAGTTCATCACACTTCTGTTATACCAGCAGCATGCTGTGTTCCCCACCATTTGAACTACTGGGAACACTTGACTCAGGGTAAATCCCTAATACCATTTTTCCTTTATCTGGCTTGTATATATCATTTGCATATTAAAACAACCCTGCTGTTTTTAGTAGCTTTATTAAAAATATTCTATATGCACAAACAAGGAGGGTGGAAGCTGAAATCATGTGGTAATCCTAAACTATAAAACTGTCATGTTGGTGATCCAGAATATGCATGAATATAGTTTTAAGAGTTGAAATGAGGCTGGGTGTGGTTGCTCACGCCTGTAATCCCAGCACTTTGGAAGGCTGAGGCGGGCGGATCATGGGGTCAGGAGATCGAGACCATCCTGGCTAACATGGTAAAACCCAGTCTCTACTAAAAATACCAAAAATTAGCCGGGCGTGGTGGCAGGCACCTGTAGTCCCAGCTACTCGGGAGGCTGAGGAAGGAGAATGGCATGAACCCGGGAGGCGGATCTTGCAGTGAGCTGAGATTGTGCCACTATACTCCAGGCTGGGCAACAGAGCGAGACTCTGTCTCAAAAAAAAAAAAAAGAGTTGAAATGAAAACAAATATTTTAAAAATGTAATCACAAGCTCTAGTTTGAGAAAGACTGCACCACATCCTACTGTCTACTGCCCTAATAAAGACATAGACCATGGTTAAACTTTCCTATTACCTACTACAAGTGTCTGCAATTCCACATTTCTTTGCTTCCTAGGGTTTTTCACCCAGTAATATCTTAGAATAGGCCCCTGGAAATGGAAAAATGCCTAAGGGACAAGGGGCAGAGGTGCTCTAGATTGAGGAAGGGGAGAGATAGGGAAGGAGACGGCGGTAAGGATCCAAAGACCTCCTTATAGTGAGGGCTTCATAGCCTCGCCATGGTCAGCCCTCCTCAATGACTCAAACCTGGACACTGCAAAGGACCCCCGCTAATAATGTGGCATTGCAAGAATAGCTCATGTGTTGATTTCCAAAGCACCTCTCATCTGCTGCTCACTTTCACTCAGGTAGGTAGTTGGTGGATATTATTTTTTGCCCTATTTAATGAATGATAAAAACAAACTTCAGGGAGGTTTGTGAGCTGCTCAGGATAACAGTTAGTAAAGGGCAGACCTGTCATTGGAACCAGGACACTGGGCAGGACCTTCTCTTTTCCCTCTGTGCTAACACAAATGAAAGTGAGCAACATGAACCCATTCGTACATTTGAACCCATTCGTACTTTTTTGTCACAGGACATTTTAGCAAGCATGAGTTCCAAGGATGAGCATTACAGGCTGGCAGAACTGCTTCCCAGCATTCTATGGTACTTCAAGGTTGTACTAGTGCCAAAACACTAAACATGGCGTAAAAGAGGAAGAACGTTAGAACACACAGACTTCTCAGATCATTTTCCATTTTACTTCACTGCTTATAAAACAGCAAAGTTACAAAATGGAATAGTTCAAATCATTCTTATACACAGCTGCATGTGTACAATTGCCTCGTGAATTTTCAGAGCACGTTCTTGTGGAATTGATGGATTTCTTTATGTATACTCTCCAGCCTATTATCAGAAGAACCACTTCCCTTGCTATAGGTTTCTATAGCTTCATCAAGGGTCTGAAGATCTGTTTTCCTTTTCAAATTATTTCCTTTCTTACTCACTTTATCAATTTCTCATTTACACATCAGTGACTATAAATCACTGTAAACCTTGACAATTTATTTAAATAGTAGCTAAGGCTTTATTTCATAATAACAGAAGAATTAGACAAATAGTACCACAGCTTAGAATTCAGAATCAATATTTAGAATCAAGGCATGTTTTGAAGAAAGACATAATTACCTTCCAAAATTTCAACCTCAAAAAGCTATGAACTGCCTCTTTGCTAATAATAAAATTAAAACACATGCAATAAAGTCATGTGTAAATGTTGGTAAAAACATTTTTGGAAATATCTATCACTAGCCTTGAAATGCTCACTTTTTTTTTACTTCCTTTTCTAGGGCTTTTTCATAAATTGATAATCTCTTAATTTTTTTTAAAAAAGCTTTATCTACAAAGATGTTCACAGCAGGATATTAAAAAACATTTAGAAACAATTTAAGTATAGAATTATGGTAAATTTGCTTGATGGCTTACTAGACAGTCATTTTAATTACATTTAAATTTTACTTGTATTTTGTTTTTCAAATGTTTTAATGAGTATGTGTTATTTATAATGATACGCATATATCATAATTATGCCTATATGTTCGTTGTGTGGGTGCATGTGTGTGTGTGCTTATTGTACAGCATTAGAGATCTAGTAACATTATAGATTACCCATTCATTCATTCACTCATCCTCTTATCAAACATTAATTGTGTGTTGGGTTCTGTATTAGTCCATTTTCATATTGCTGATAAAGACATACCTGAGAGCCAGGCACAGTGCTTATGCCTGTAATCCCAGCACTTTGGGAGGCCAAGGCAGGTGGATCATTTGAGGTCAGGAGTTCAAGACCAGCCTGGCCAAGATGGTGAAACCCCATCTCCACTAAAAATGTAAAAATAAGCCAGGTGGTAGTGGCACACACCTGTAATCCCAGCTACTCGGGAGGCTGAGGCGGGAGAATCACTTGAGCCTGGGAGGTGGAGGTTGTGGTGAGCCAAGATGGCGCCACTGCACTCCAGTCTGGGTGACAGAGTGAGACCTTGAATCAAAAAAAAAAAAAAAAAAAAAAAAAAAGACATACCCGAGACTGGGCAATTTACAAAAGAAAGAGGTTTATTAGACTTATGGTTCCACCTGGCTGGGGAGGCCTCATAATCATGGCATAAGGCAAGGAGGAGCAAGTCACATCTTACATGGATGGCAGCAGGCAAAGAGAGAGCTTGTGCAGAGAAACTCCCGTTTTTTAAAACCATCAAATCTCATGAGACCCAATCACTATCATAAGAACAGCATGAGAAAGACCCACCCCCATGATTCAATTACCCCCCACCAGGTTCCTCCATAACATGTGGGAATTGTGGAAGTTGCAATTCAAGATGAGATTTGGATGGGGACACAGCCAAACCATATTACATTGTGTGCTGATCTGAGTATTCAATACTAAATCAGAACATTTCCTGTATTCAAGGAGCTTACAGTCTGGTAAAGTAGACAGACAAACACTGGCGAGTGCAATACAATATAAAATGTAGTATCTGTGAATAAGCATAAGATGATTACAGGAAGCAAGGAAGAAAAGCATCTAATCCATACTTGGATGATGAGGGTAGGTTTTCTGGAGAGACCTTTAACAGTGCTTGGCATACAGTAGATACTCAATAAATATATTTTGAATGAATTGGGATCTGAATAGCAATAAGACAGAGAAGGAGAAACTTTTTCAAGTGAGAGGGAACAGTATGTGCTAAGGCCTAGAAGCAAGACCACAGAACACCTGTAGGAAGTAAAAAATTTGACAATATGATTAGAATTTGAAGTTGGAGGTAGAAAGATGACAAGAAATGATGTCAAAGCGGTGCATAGGGACAAGACTGTGAAAGCCTGGGTGCCATGATAAGAAGTTTGGCCTCTGTGCTGAGGAGATCGGGCAGTAAGGACATTGCCCATTGGCCATTTAGAAAAGTCCTGGAGAGTGTGGCACATGCATTGACCAGAAGCCAATCCAGAAGTGGGAACAGAGAGTATAGAGGCTGTTTCAGTCATCTGGACAGCCTGAATTAGGAGTGTTGGTGGACATGGAGAGAGGAGAGTGAAAGGAGGAGATATCAAAAAGATAAAGCCCACCGGGATTGAGGTGTAACTGAATGGACACGAAGGAGTCAGGATGTCTGGTTTGGACACATGGGTGTGTCCTTCACTGAGAGGGGAGCACAGAAGAAGATAGCTTGGCAGAGGGTGACGAGTCCAATGTTTGACATGAAGCATGCTGAGAGAATGTTTTCCACATACACACAGCTCCTTGTCTATTCTAATGAGCCAGACTTGAGTATCCACCACCTGAATGGAGGATTGTCACGGCAGACCCAACAAACAACCGTGTCACATGGACAGCTTTTGAGCTTTAAAAGCAGCCACTCAGTTGTAAAACAGGTATTGGAAAAATACACCTTCTATTTTTGTCCTACCTTAAGAAACTACGTGTTTTAGAGAAAAGAGGGAGTCTACAGAGGGGAGCAGGATGGTATCTTGCAGCAAGTGTTTTTGAGAAGGGGTTCTACCATCTGGGTGGTGGGGATGAGGGTGGTTCATGAATGTTCTGAGATCAGACAAAATATATCTCTTGCTTCCTAAGTATGGTGGTAGAGAATGAAAAAAGCCTAGAGTACTCCCAAGTCCTACTAGAGTAGCGCATGAACAATGGAGTAGGCACACGTGAGAAATTCTGTAGGCAGCTTCACAAAGACCCTTCACACAGACTCAAACATAGTGCAGGGAACGACAGATGCTACTGTATCTCCAAGGGTGGTAGAAGAGACCATGGAGCTAGAGTTGGGCCTGGAGAAGCCTGGAGTCCAGCAATTTGGGTACCATTACAAATGGCTAGATATCCCTCAGTTCTCAGCTTTAATGTCTTTCTCAGGGGCATCTACTCTGCAGTCTGGGTGAGGTCCAGCCTCCCATCATACACTGCTGGGGCCCTGTACTCCCCCTTGTCAAAGGATAATTTTCAGAGCATGGCTCTCATATACATGTGAAATGAAGGAAGCCCTGCATGGTGACACATGCCTGCAATCCCAGGTACTGGGGACGCTAAGACAAGAGGATTGCTTGATGCCAAGGAGTTCAAGACCAGCCTCGGCAACACAGCAAGACTCCATCACTAAAAATATTTTTTTTAAAAAAAGAAAGAAATCAAGAAGCAAACCAAACAAGGGAAGAAGACTATCAAAAATAGCCAGGCAGATTATAAAATAATCATATAAAACTACACAGTTGACCCTCAAACAACATAAGTTTCAACTGTGCATTTCCACTAATACACGGCTTCTTTTCAACCAGAAACGAATTGAAAATACAATATTCACAGGAGGCAAAGCCTGTGTATGCTGAGGGCCAACTTTTGGTATATGCAATTTCTGCAGGGCCAACTGCAGGACTTGAGTAAGCATGGATTTGACTATATGCATGTGACCCTGAAACCAATCTCCTTGCATATACCAATGTATAATTGTAATGATAAATTTATAGTTTTTTAAAAAATTGTATTTTTAAAACAATCCTTAAAACTGAAAAATATTATTATTGGAATTAAAATAGATAGGTAAATAGTTGAAGAGAGAATTACAGTAAGTTGGAAAATAGATATAGAGACATTTCTCCAAATACAGCATGAGACAAGAAGATGGAAAATAGGAGGTTTAGCAACATGGAGGAGAGAATTAACAGATTGTATTTGGTTAGGGTCCCATCAAGAAACAGAATTTATCTGAGATTGTTCAAATAAAGAGACTTAGTAAAGGAAATAATTACAGAGGTGTGGGGAGAGTTAAGGAGACCAATAATAGATGTTGAGGCACTGTATTAATCTGTTCTCACAATGCTATAAAGAACTACCTGAGACTGGGTAATTTATAAAGAAAAGAGGTTTAATTGGCCCATAGTTCTGCAGGCTGTACAGGAAGCATGGCTGGGGAGGCCTCAGGAAACTTACAATCATGGTAGAAGGTGAAGGGGAAGCAAGCACATCTTCATATGGCCAGCAGGAGAGAGCGAGAGAGCAAAAGGGAGTTGCTACACACTTTTAAACAACCAGATCTCGTGAGAACTCTACCACGAGACAGCACTAGGGGGATGGTGCTAAACCATTAAAAACTACCCCCATGATCCAGTCACCTCCCACCAGGCCCCATCTCCAACACTGGGGGATTACAATTCAACATAATATTTGGGTGGGGACATGGAACCAAGCCATATCAGGCACCTGGAGACTTAGCAACAGTGGGAAACCATTACCACCTGTAGGTTTGAAGAGACAAGGTTAGAAAATAGTGTTAGCAGAGCCCAATGAGAGTTGTAGCTGTGGGGGAACCACAGTTATCGCCAGGGACATGGCAGTGAAGCAGGGAAAGCATGAAAAAATACCATCTTCTCTCTCCACCTCCAATTTCCTGCTAGTGTTTTTCATTGGCTAAATGCAATTGGAAGCCAGAAAGTAAGGGAATCTGAGTAATGCAGTCTCTGAGTCATGCAAGAAGCCAGCATCCAAAAACATAGAGCAGGGCACAGAAGTTATAGATCTGAGGGCAAATGGAGATTAACCATCTTGTCCTTGATCATGGATTCAAGATTTCCAGTCCTGGAAGTACATACATACTGGCTGGAGTGCTAAACACTTGGAAGATTTTCTTTTCCAACTATTTTTCAGTGACACTCATGACTGGGGCTGTCACAGTGTGGCAGTTCATTTCTATCTGGTGCCTATATATTGTTCAGAACCATCAATAAATGACGCCTCAGTTTTTTCTTTCTCTGTTGACTGGCCATAGAGAAATGCCTATGATGCTACAGGTGTGGTCTGAGGGAAAGGCAGCAGTAGATATCTGAGCCTTGACTCATGCCTTCAGGAACTGTTTGAGCTTGACACTGTATATACCATACCACCTCCATTTGCTGACAGAGTGCTGTTTTTTTTTTTTTTTTGAGAATAAAGTATTGAGGAAATGAGATCTAGACAACTGGGTAATCTGCTGATCTGCATTCAATTTCTTTTTGGTGCCTAGTGAATTTCCTGTAAGTCTTAAAATTGGGTCATAAAGGATATCATAATGTATGATATCAATTTAGTGCATTAAGCTCTAATTTCTAATTAGAAACCATGAAAAGTTATTGTCTCAAAGTCGGCTGGGCCCCCGCCAGCAGTAAAGGAAGAAGAGATGGCGTAAAATAAACAGCCTAGCCAGATAAAATCGGGGCATCTGATGGTGTCCACATTGGTCGAATTCTCTGTTTTACGTTGTGATGACCAGAGACAATTGAATTCTCAGAGGCTTCATTTATTTAAACAATGAGAGGATGAGATAGAATGTTTGTTCAAATTAACTATGAATTACGTGGTAAACCTAGCCTTTCATTTTTACATAAAGGCCTGATACTGTGGTAGAAACCTACTCCAGAGAACTCTTTGAGAGGTAACTGGGTTGTTACACTTGGGCGTGAATGTATGGGTGCAGAAAGACTATATAGGCTGTGGGAGGCTGGATAATGGCCCCCAAAGATGCCCAGGTGCTAATGCCTGGAACCTGTGAGTGTTAACTCATATAGTGAAAGAAGCTTCACAGTTGAAATTAAGTAAAGGATCTTGAGATGAGGAGGTTATCCTGGATTACATGGGTAGGCCACAAATGTCATCACAAGAGTCCTTATAAGACACAGGCAGAGGGAGATTTGCCTGTAGAAAAGGAGATGACAGTGCGACAATGGAGGCCAAGATTAGAGCGACGTACTTTGAAGATGGAAGGAGCCACAGCCAAGGAATAGGGAAGTCACCAGCAGCTGAAAAAGGCAAAGAATGGCTTCTCCTCTCAGAGCCTCCAGAAGGAACCAGCCCTGCTAGCACCTTGATTTTGGCTTAATGAAACTGGTTTCAGACTTCTGACCTCCAGAACTAGAAGACAGTAAGCTTGTGTTGTTTTTGTTTGTTTGTTTTTTGAGACAGAGTCTCGCTCTGTTGCCCAGGCTGGAGTGCAATGGTGAGATCTTGGCTCACTGCAACCCCTGCCTCCTGGGTTCAAATGATTCTCCTGCCTCAGCCTCCCAAGTAGCTAGGACTACAGATGCACACCACCATGCCCGGCTAATTTTTGTATTTTTATTTATTTATTTATTTATTTTTGAGAAGAGTTTTGCTCTTGTTGCCCAGACTGGAGTGCAATGGCACAATCTCGGCTCACCACAACCTCTGCCTCCTGGGTTCAAGTGATTCTCCTGCCTCAGCCTCCCTAGTAGCTGGGATTACAGGCATGTGCCACCATGCATGGCTAATTTTGTATTTTTTGTAGAGATGAGGTTTCTCCATGTTGGTCAAGCTGGTCTCGAACTCCTGACCTCAGGTGATCTGCCCGCCTCGGCCTCCCAAAGTGATGGGATTACAGGCGTAAGCCACCATGCATGGCCTCTTGTGTTGTTTTAAGCCACTGACTGTGTGACAATTTGTTACAGTGGCCACAGAAAATGAATACATGTCCTTTCTGGGATTTCATGGCTTCTGAGGAGTGGGAAGCAAAGCATCTGAGTTACATGCAAGCTATGATGCTGTGCACATCGGCTGCTGCCCTGGCCTTGTCATCTGGGAAGCAGGACCTGAGGCAAAGGTTAGGACCTGAACAAATGGATATGGGGGTGCAAGCCAGGGGTGGTGAAGGTGAGAGAAAAGGAGAAGTGAAGCAGAGAAAGATGCCTAGATTTGCTATGAGGATACTGCCTGGCCACTGCTTTGCCATGAGTTGTGAGGAGACACAGCAGGTTGCTCAGCAGGCATTCATGCATCCACCCACAGAGAGGGCTGCATAGACGGGCAGAGCAGTCCGCGGAGCCAGAAAAGAGGTAAAGTGTCTGTCTGGCTCCCTCCTGTTCTCCATTTCCAACTGGTCAAGGTTCACTATGGGTGGTTAATGCTCCAGCCCCTCCTCCGAGGCTGCCCAGGAGATTATATTCCAAAACTCACGTTATGTCGTTTTATTTATATCCAAAAATGCAGTTCAAGTTCACACGGTGACTGGATAAGGATCTAAGAGATCAAGTAGTCACTGCAGACCTCTTGAGGCCCAGGCTCAGAACATGCTTCCAGCACATTCTGTTGGTCAAAGCAAATCCCAGGCCAGTCCAGATTTGGCAGATGTGAAGATAGACTCCATCTCTTGATGATTGAAGCTGCAGAGGCACCTCGCAAAGGAGCCTGGATACAGAGAGGGGAATGATTGGGATAGTTTTTACAAGCAATCTAGCAAGGAGTTAACCAGAACAAAGGAATGGGAAGGGGCCCAGGCAGAAAGCCCAGTGTGAAGACTGGGAGGTGCAAGCACTGCCTATGCGGCGAAGTGCTCCTGCCTTACCAGAGCTGAAGTTCTGCACGCCATGGTGTGGAGGAAGGAGAGGCTGAAGCCAAAGAGGAAGGCAGAACCCTGGTCCAGAAGGCCCTTGGGTGCCATGCCAGGGCACTTGGATTTTAATTAGAAGACAGTAGGGAATCACAAAGGGGGAGATGAGCAGATTTGCATTGTTTGTGTGTGTGTGCGTGTGTGTGTATTTGTTGTTGTTGAGACTGAGTCTCACTATGTTGCCCAGGCTGGTCTTGAACTCCTGGCCTCAAATAATCCTTCCACCTCAGCCTCCCAAACTTTTGGGATTACAGGCATGAGCCACCATGCCCAGCCAGATTTTCATTTTTGAAAGACCTTTGACCCGCATATGGAGACTAGTTTAGGTAATCCAGGCAAGTCCAGAGGCAGGAGGCCAGTGAGTCCTGGTGGGTTACAGCAGTGCAGGTAAGGAGATCGTGGGGGCCTGATATAGTTTGGATGTTTCTCCTCTCCAAACCTCATGTTGAAATATAATCCCCAGTGTTGGAGGTGGGGCCTGATGGCAGGTGTTGGCTCACGGGGGCGGATCCCTCATGAATGGCTCAGCACCATCCCCTTGGTGATGATGAGTGAGTTCATGGGAGATCTGCATGTTTTAGCTGGGCGTGGTGGCGCACACCTGTAGTCCCAGCTACTTGGGAGGCTGAGGCAGGAGAAGCGCTTAAAAACCTGGGAGGTGGAGCTTGCAGTGAGCCGAGATCGTGCCACTGCACTCCAGCCTGGTGATAGAGTGAGACTGTCTCAAAAAAAAAAAAATTAAATAAATAAAAAACAAACAAACAAACAAATAAATAAATAAAGGTGTCTGGCACCTCCCACCTCACTCTCTCGATCCCACTCTTGCCTGCTCTCCCTTTGCCTTCCACCATGATTGTAAACTTCCTGAGGCTTTTACCCGAAGCAGATGTGGGAGCGCTGCTTGTACAGCCTGAAGAACTATAAGCCAAACAAACCTTTTTCTTTTTTTTTTTGAGACAAAGTCTTGCTCTGTCGCCCAGGCTGGAGTGCAGTGGTGCGATCTCAGCTCACTGCAACCTCTGCCTCCCTGGTTCAAAGATTCTCCTGCCTCAGCCTCCCAAGTAGCTGGGATTACAGGTGTGCACCACCATGCCTGGCTAATTTTTGTATTTGAGTAGAGACAGGGTTTTGCCACGTTGGCCAGGCTGGTCTCAAACTCCTGACCTCAAGTGATCCACCTACCTCGGCTTCCCATAGTGCTGGGATTACAGGTATGAGCCACCGCACCCGGCCACAAACCTCTTTCTTAATAAATTACCCAGTCTCGGGTATTTTTTTTTATAGCAATGCAAGAACGGCCTAACACAGGACCTGTTCAAGGGATGCATGGGAGGGGACACATTTTGGGTGCAGGAGGGAGACACGCTAGTACTTGTGGGTGGAGGTGAGGGAGACGATGGGTTAAAGATGACCCTGGAGCTCTGACTTGGACGACATAAGGAGCAGGATCAAAAAGAAGATGATGGGCTGAGGAATGGGGTTTTGTGGTCAGCAGTCAGGAAAGGAAGTGAAGAGTAGGGTACTCAGAGAAGAGAGAAGCCCACACTGGTCTGGGATGACTGAAAGATGCCCTTCTTATTCAGTTTAATACCCAGCCTATTATCAGAATTTTGTTATCCTGAATCACTCAACAGAAGGAATGGGAGTAATTAATGCCATCGCCGGCCCTCAAAGTCCACTATCCTGGGCTCTTGATGCTGTCAAACACAGTCCAGGTTCAGTGTGTATTCAGGTGCTTCTCCCAGGCCTGCTGCCCTTTGACTGGAAGGGTCGGCACAGAGTTGGAGTAGGGGCCCTGATGCTACCATGTCCTGCCTTTTAAACTGGATCGATGAAACTAGTTCCAGAAACTTTCTCAGACCAAACAGTCTTACAAGAATCTGATATATAAAAATTCAGAATACTACTTTCTTTTTTTTGTTTTTGTTTTTTGTTTTTGAGACGGAGTCTCGCTCTGTAGCCCAGGCTGTAGTGCAGTAGTACAATCTCAGCTCACTGCAACCTCCACTTCCTGGGTTCAAGCAATTCTACTGTCTCAGCCTCCCTAGTAGCTGGGACTACCGCCGCACACCACCATGCCTGGCTAATTTTTGTATTTTTAGTAGAGACAGGGTTTCACTATATTGGTCAGGCTGGTCTTGAACTCCTGACCTTGTGATCCACCCACCTTGACCTCCCAAAGTGCTGGGTTTACAGGCGTGAGCCACTGCGCCTGGCCCAGAATACTACTTCATTATATTCAATGAATAATATGGAATAGATGGGAAATTTGTATTTGCTGCTCAAAGCATTCTTTCCCAATAAGCAAAGCTACACAGGTTATTGAGTCATCATTAGGGTGCTTGTTAAATCTACATCCTGAGCCTCATTTTCCATGTCTGGAAAATGGGGATAATAATTCCTATCTTCCATGGTTTGTTACAAGGATAAAACAAAATAAAGAATTGTGAAAGGAAAGTAAACACTTGGGACCCCAACTCACTATGCCAAAAGAAAAAAAATTAAGCTGAAAGCTGAGTAATGCAAGAAGCTGCCTTTCAGACCGGGCGTGGTGGCTCATGCTTTAATCTCAGCACTTTGGGAGGCTGAGGTGGGCCGATCACTTGAGCCCAGGAGTTCAAGACCAGCCTGGGCAACATGGGGAAAATCCATCTCCACAAAAAAATACAAACATTAGCTGGGTGTGGTGGTGCTCACCTGTGAGCCGAGATCATGCCACTGTACTCCAGCCTGGGCAACAGAGTGAGACCCTGTCTCAAAAAAAAAAAAAAAAAAAAAAAAAAAAGGAGTGGGGAGGCAGGTGTGGTGGCTCACACCTGTAATCCCAGCACATTGGGGGCCTAAGGCAGGCGGATCACGAGGTCAAGAGTTTGAGACCAGCCTGGCCAGCATGGTGAAACCCCATCGCTACTAAAAATACAAAAATTAGCTGGGTGTGGTTGTGGGTGCCTGTAATCCCAGCTACTCAGGAGACTGAGGCAGGAGAATTGCTTGAACCCGGGAGGCAGAGGTTGCAGTGAGCTGATGGTGCCACTGCACTCCAGCCTGGGTGACAGAGCAAGACTCTGTCTCGAAAAAACGAAACAAAACAACGACAAAAAAGAAGCTGCCTTTTCTTTTGTTCCTAAGGAGACAGCTACAGATAAAGGTTAAATACCTCCACAGGTAGCTACTCTATGTTCCCTTTATCTTCTGTAAAATGTTGATTTACTGATGCCAGGTAAATATGTAATTGACAATTCCCCTACCTGCTCCTTTTCTCTTGCAACATGTGGATTCAGTAATGTGACTATAACCTCCCTCTTTTCCCTCCAGCCCACTCTCCTTCTGTAAATATTTGAAGCCCTCAAAATCATCTCTGAAGAAAGACACATACCAGAGACTGTTTCTGTGATTCTGTGTTTATTTCTTCCAGGCATGTTCTTAACCTTGGCAAACTAAGCTTCCAAATTGATTGAGACCTGTCTCAGATACTTTTTGGTTTACCGTATGTAACACACATAGCACAAAGACATTAATGTATGTGCTGTGGGCCCAAGAATTAATTGCTGAGATATCTTTTTTTATTTTTAAAAATTTATACTACGTAAAAGAGACAGAGTCTCAATATGTTGCCCAGGCTGGTCTTGAACTCCTGGGCTCAAGTGATCCACTAGCTTCAGCCTCCCAAAGTGCTGGGATTTCAGGCGTGAGCCACAATGCCAAGCCTTAAATACATGTTAAATAGAGTATGTATAATTTTATAATTAATAACAATATGAGTAGCTGTATCAGTGAACCAACCTTTTTGTTTTCTTTTTTCTTTTTTACCAAATACCCAGACTTCAAGGAGAGAACTGAACTTTTGGCAACCAGACTAACTAGTTCAGAAGTTAGAAAAGTTGGACTCTGGCTGGGCATGGTAGCTCACGCCTCTAATCGCAGCGCTTTGGGAGGTCGAGGCGGGTGGATCACGAGGTCAGGAGATCAAGACCATCCTGGCTAACACGGTGAAACCCCGTCTCTACTAAAAAAACACACACACAAAAAAAAAGTAGCCAGGCGTGGTGCTGGGCGCCTGTAGTCCCAGCTACTTGGGAAGCTGAGGAAGGAGAATGGCGTGAACCCGGGAGGCAGAGCTTGCAGTGAGCTGAGATCACGCCACTACACTCCAGCCTGGGCGACAGAGCGAGTGTCCGTCTTAAAAAAAAAAAAGAAAAGAAAAATCGGACCCTTACCAAGATTAATTTTGAGTGATCAACAAAAGCAACACTTAAGAAAAGACACATATGTCCATCCAAGCTGTCCTATAAAATCCTCCTTGAGGTCACATTTTACTTGGTGTAGTGTAATGCTTGGTGTTAAGCCTTAGAATTGTATGATCTCTCTTTGTTTTCTATTAAGTCCCTGGAAAAGTTAAAAAAAATAGCCTCATAAGCTGAATTCCACAGTGGTGTTTGCATTTTATTGCCTCTATCAGCTCTAATACTTATGTCAGGGTCACCTCCCAATGAATAGTGGCTCATGGTTCAGTTTACTGTACAAAGTAGCTGTTTGGCCTTGGGACTTTTTCAGTTTGGAAGAATTATTCTCAAGGTATTTTCTTCAGTCATCTGGAATGTTTTCCCAGGGAATCTTAATGCCATTTCATTGCCCTCCTGGAGTCCTGCTGTTTTCTCTTGACTGTTCTGGGTGTTTCCGGAGGTGAGAACTTGTACTGGAGGGTAGTGTTAAAGGTCAGAGGATGAACAGATGCAAGGTCAGGATGAATCTGGAGGGAGTTGAGGAAAAGGAAGCTCTTTGGCAAAATTCTAGAGTCTTTGTCAGACAACAAGTATTATTGGACAGCAATTGTGTACAAAATATTGTGCTCAGGGTGAGCAGTGTGGCTCATGCATGTAACCTCAGCATTTTGAGGTGGGAAGACCACTTTAGCCCAGGAGTTAAGAGACCAGCCTGGGCAACATAGCAAGACCTCATCTCCAAAAATAATAAGAGAAAAATTAGCCTGGTGTGGTGGTGCCCATCTGTGGTCCCAGCTACTTGAGAGGCTGAGGTGGGAGAATTGCTTGAGCCTGGCAGTTGAGGCTGCAGTGAGCCATGATTGTGTCACTGCACTCCAGCCTTGGCAACAGAGCAAGACCCTATCTCAAAAATAAAATAAAATAAAATAAAATAAAATAAAATAAAATAAAAATATTGTGCTCACTGATGTGAAAGAGAAGCATCAAGACATGATATCAACACTAGATTTGAGATTGAGATATAAAATTATTAAATAATAAAAGGGATTTACCAAGATAAGTTGGTTGTCGATATTAATTACTGAATAATAGCATCAATAAAACCTCTTATGGAGTTAGATTCATTCATTGATGACATACTTGGTTCTAGGCATCTAAGCCCTAGGTTTCTTGGTGAACAATTTGTTGAGGCTGCAAGCTCCGCCTCCTGGGTTCACGCCATTCTCCTGCCTCAGCCTCCCGAGTAGCTGGGACTCTAGGCGCCCGCCACCACGCCTGGCTAATTTTTTGTATTTTTTAGTAGAGATGGGGTTTCACCGTGTTAGCCAGAATGGTCTCGATCTCCTGACCTCGTGATCTACCTGTCTCAGCCTTCCAAAGTGCTGGGATTACAGGTGTGAGCCACTGCGCCTGGCCTGTTGAGCCTTTCTAGAGGGTGGGAAGTTTGACTGTGTGAACTCCAAATATCTGAGTTATTGGTTTCTCAGTCAGTTTAGAAAGTGCCAAGGTAAAGGACGTGTCCATGTCACAGCCTCAGGAGGTCCTGACATGTGCCCAAGGTGGGCAAAGCTTGGTTTTATATATTTTCGGGAGACATGAGACATCAATCAATATATGTAAGATGTACACTGGTTCAGTCCTGAAAGGCGAGACAACTTGAATTGGGAAGGGGGCTTCCAGGTCATAGGTAGATAAGAGACAAACAGTTGCGTTCTTTTGAGTTTCTGATGAGCCTTTCCAAGGAAGCAATCAGATATGCATTTATGTCAGTAAGCAGAGGGATGACTTTGAGTTTTGTCTGTCCTTTATCCACGGGAATTTATCTTAGTAGCTATCTTTTTTCGAAATAGAATGGGAGGCAGGTTTGCCCTAAGCAGTTCCCAGCTTGACTTTTCCCTTTGGCTTAGTGATTTGAGGGTCCGGAGATTTATTTTCCTTTCACAGCTGGGCCTTCAATAACAAGTTAAAGGAAGAAAGTGGGAAATGACAGTGTGAAAACTCCAAGATGAATTTATGGGACTGTGTGTAAATCATTTGAATTATTTCTTCCCAATGGATCTGCTGGACCAGGAGCCTTTTAAGAGATGAAATGAAAGGGAATTGTTAAGAGGTTGTTAATTTTTAACAGAGCAGCTCTGAGCTCTCCAAAATAAGCTCAATTGCTTTCACTGTCTTGTCAGAAAAGGTCTCTGTTATGCTGAAACCCGGCATGACGTGCAGGATAAAGGTCAGGGACAAGCTTGGGGCACGTAATGAAAAGCTGGGAGCAGAGTGGGAATGATGCCGCTTTGAAGCCAGTCCCTCTGCAGTGTTGAGATCAACAACCATGGGACCTGCACCAGCGACATCACCTCCCAGACACCCTGGGTTCCAACTGAGGGAGTCAGTGTCTCTGCTGAGGTGGGATGGCTTTTCCTGTTACAACCAGGACGCCAGGAGCTGCAGGGTCCTGTAGGGGTGGGAGACTCAAGTGAATAGATCTCGTCCCACTGAACTGCCTTTGCAAAAATTGTAACTGAGGAAATTATGACAGTGAAAGAGATCTGACCGAACCGACTCCATCTTGCTTCTAACCTCCAAGCTATCCTTGTTCATTACTGGTCAAACTAACTTTGGGAGGAACTTAGTTTATATTTTAACTTTGAAGCAAAGATGATAACAGCCCTTTCCCAAAAGAGACTCCCTTCTTGCCTACGGACCAGTCTACTTTTGTAGGACTAACAAATTAGCTACAGGATTAGAAATTATGGTTTAGGGCCGGGTGTGGTGGCTCACACCTGTCATCCCAGCACTTTGGGAGGCCGAGGCAGGTGGATCACCTGAGTCAAGAGTTCGAGACCAGCCTGGCCAACATGCTGAAACCCCGTCTCTACTAAAAATACAAAAATTAGCCAGGTGTGGTGATGGGCACCAGTAATCTCAGCCTCTAGGGAGGCTGAGGCAGGAGAATCGCTTGAACCCAAGAGGTGAAGGTTTCAGTAAGCCGAGATCGCGCCACTGCACTCCAGCCTGGGCGAGAAGCAAGACTCTGTCTCAAAAGACAAACAAACAAAAAAACAATTATGGTTTAGGAGTCATGCATCCTGAGGCTCCAAGATTCTGGACCTCCCCAAATTGCTTCTAGGAATAACATCACTGTTGTAAAACCTAAGATCAGTGCTTGAGATATTTTGCATTCCAATGCATCAGCTGACATCACCCATACCCGTAATCGGGCTCATCTGGTCTTGTGGCCCCCACCCAGGAACTGACTCAGTGCAAGAGGACAGCTTTGACTCCCTCCCTGTGATTTCATCTCCCACCCGACCAATCAGGACTCCCCACTCCCTCGTCCCCTACCTGCCAAGTTATCCTTAAAAACCCAACCCCGGAGTTTTCGGGGAGCATGATGTGAGTAATAATAAAACTCAGGTGTCCCATACAGCCGGCTCTGCATGAATTAAACTCGTTCTTCATTGTAATTCCCCTGTCTCAATAAATCATCTCTATCTAGGCAGCAGGTAAGGAGAACCTACTGGTTCTCCAACCACCACTGCACCTGTTAAGATTCGGTTCCCTGGGGCTCAGTAGGACTTACCTTGGCTTTGAGAAGGCTGGTGGAGAGAGGGCCAGTGAAATCCCCTTTGCAAAAATTATAACAGTGAGAGAATTATAGCAGTGAGGTAGATCTCATCTAGCCAACCCCCCTCTTGCCTATAGCCTTTAAGCTGCCTTAGTTTTTACTGGGCCAAGCTAACTGTGGGAGATACTTTGTAATAGACCTTCCCCAAAACTCAACTGCCTATGTAAAGCTACTGAGAGACCACCAGGCTAGGCAGAGGAGAGGAGCCTGAATTCTGCCAGAGGAGAGGAGCCTGAATTCTGCTAAGGTGTAGACATAAACCATTGCTACCCATCATTCTGGAAGTCACAAGATATGCAACTTCCCCAATGCCTCCTGCAGATAACATCACTACTGTAGAACCTAAGACTGGCTTTTTGAGATGCTTTTCAGGTTTTTTGCATGTCTAACACCGATGATGTTTCCACCTGGACCCACCAACCATACCTGTGGCCCCACCCAAAGCGAATCCGCACGCAGGAGGACCATTTCCCACACCCCTACGATGGCACCCCCCCAACCAATCAGCAGTAAGCACCCACTTCTTCCCCCAAACTACCTTTGAAAAACTCCTAACCTACAGGCCTTGGACAAGATTGATTTGAGTGATAATCTGTTTCCCACGTGGTGTGGCTGGCCTCAGGTCAATTAAATGATTTCTTTACTACAGTGCTATGGTCTCCATGAGTTGATTTTGTTTGTACAGCAGGCAGGAAGAACCTATCAGGTATTCAGCATGAGTGGGAAGGGAGTCCCACATCTTAAAGGAAGAAGGAAGCGTAGACGTCACCCAGGCTTACCAGGATCACCTGGCTTGTTGGTGACAGAGCTGGCCCTCATCTCTACCGTGCTTTCTTGTCTTTTGTGGAAACGTGTTATTGCTCAGTCCCTGACCAACTGTGTGCCAGGAACGATCCTCAGTAATCTCCTCTTCAATGTGTCTCTGATGCTATCATTTGCCTTTTTCTTCCTCTCCAAATCGTCTCTTTATCCCCCTTTCCCCTTCACTTCTTTCTCAGAAGAAAAGGCGGTATCCTTCATTTCAAAGGTTATCCTATTTGTCCTGTCTTAGTTCAGGTTACTGTAGCAAATTACCACAGACTGGGTGGCTTAAACAACAAACATTTGTTTCTCACAGTTTTGGAGGCTGGAAGTCTGAGATCAGAGTGCTAGCATGGCCAGGTTCTTTCTTTCTTTCTTTTATTTTGTTTTAGATTCAGGGGGTACATGTGCATGTTTCTTACATGGACATACTGCATACTGGTGGGGATTGGGCTTCTAACGTACCCATTACTCCAATAGTGAACATGGTTCCTGACAGGTAATTTTTCAACTTCACTCCCCTCCCAACCTCCACCCTTTTATCACCAGCGTCTACTATTTCTGCTTATGCCAAGACTGGTTCTTGGTGAAGGCCCTTTTCCTGGTTCACAGATAGCTGCTTTCTCCTTGTATTCTCATCTGGCAGAGAGTAGAGAGAAGAAGCAAGCTCTCTCCTGTCTCTCTTTTTTTTTTTTTTTTTTTTTTTGGCGGAGTCTCACTCTGTTGCCCAGGCTGGAGTACAGTGGCGCGATCTTGGCTCACTGTAACCTCCGCCTCCTGGGTTCAATTGATTCTCCTGCCTCAGCCTCCCAAGTAGCTGGGATTACAGATGCTTGCCACCACACCCGGCTGATTTTTGTATTTTTAATAGAGATGGGTTTTTACCATGTTGGCCAGGCTGGTCTCAAACTCCTGACCTCAGGTGATCCACCTGCCTCAGCCTCCCAAAGTGCTGAGATTACAGGTGTGAGCCACTGTGCCTGGCCCTGTCTCTTCTTATGAGGACACTAATCTCATCATAAGGGCCTCATCCCCAGGATCTAATTACCTCCTTTTTCTGTCCCTGCTGCTATAACAGAATACCACAACCTGGGTAATGTACAAATGACAGAAATTTATTTCTCACAGTCCTGGAGACTGGGGAGTCCAAGATCAAGGCACTGGCAGGTTTTGTGTCTGGTGAGGGCTGCTCTCTGCTTCCAAGATGGTGCCTTTTTGCCTCATATCCAGAGGGGACAAACACTGTGTCCTCACATGGTGGAAAAGATGGAAGGGCAAAAAGAATTAGGATACTCCTTTTAACTTCTTTTATAAGAGCATGAATCCCATTCATGAGGGCAGAGTACTCATGACTTAATCACATCCCCAAAGACCCCACCTCATAATAATACTACATTGGATATTGGGTTCCTACTTAAGAATTTCAGGAGAATGCATACATTCAAACCATAGCACCTCCCAAAGCAAGCACCTCCCAAAGGTCCCACCTCCTAATACTATTACATTAGGGATCAGGAATTCAACATATGAATTTGGGGAGCCGGGGACACAAACATTCAGTCCGTAGCAGTCCTTTTGGCTTGTGATGTGTTGACCACTCCCTCCTGGGCTTTGGAGGCCCTGCTCTCCCAGCTGTCTGGCTCATGCCCCCATGTTGGCACCTCCTAATATGGCTCCCTACCTAATGCTCATCTCACTGCCCCTGGGAGCCGTCATCCAGAGCCATAGATTTAGCTACTGCTGGTGTAGCTTCAATGACTCTACATTTGTTTCTAGCTCATACATATTTCTTGAGCTCAGACCCAGCACATAGCACATTGACTCCTATACTCTTACACATAAATACTCTTGGACACCTTAGACCAACATGTCTCAAACAGAACCATCACCTTGACTTCTAAACAGCCCCTGTTCCCTCAGTCTGTGCTCTGTGAGACATACAACCAGACACCTTTTGCCACAAGCCAGGAACCCAGATGTTTGCCTCAATTACCTCTCCTCCACCTTCCTAGCAGATCAGTCAAATTCCATGGATTTTACCTCCTTAAGCTCTCTTGAATCTATTCTCCCCATTCCCACTATTGTAATTTAGCTTTTGCACTGGGAAACCTACATTAATGCTTCAAGACTTGGTCAACTCAAGTGTCATCTTGACCAAGCATGGTGGCTTACACCTGTAATGCCAGCACTTTGGGAAGTCGAGGTGGGAGGATTGCTTGGGGCCAGGAGTTTGAGACCATCCTGGCAAATATAGTGAGGACCCATCTCTATTTTTTTTTTTTTTTTTGAGATGGAGTCTCGCTCTGTCGCCAGGCTGGAGTGCAGTGGCACAATCTTGGCTCACTGCAACCTCTGCCTCCTGGGTTCAAGCGATTCTCCTGCCCCAGCCTCCCAAGTAGCTGGACTACAGGTACACGCCACCATGCCCAGCTAATTTTTTTATTTTTAGTAGAGATGGGGTTTTACCACATTGGCCAGGCTGGTCTCAAACTCTTAACCTCAGGTGATCTACCCGCCTTGGCCTCCCAAAGTGCTGGGATTACAGGTATGAGCCACCACGCCTTGCCCTATTTTTTTTTTTTTAAGTGTCATCTCTCCCAGGAAGACTTCTTTTTTCTTGCTCTGTTGCCCAGGCTGGAATGCAATGGTGTGATATCGGCTCACTGCAACCTCCACCTCCTGGGTTCAAGCGATTCTCCTGCCTCAGCCTCCCGAGTAGCTGGGATTACAGGTGCCCGCCACCAGGCCCGGCTAATTTTTTTTGTATTTTTAGTAGAAACAGAGTTTCACCATCCTGGCCAGGCTGGTCTTGAACTACTGACCTCGTGATCCACTCGCCTCAGCCTCCCAAAGTGCTGGGATTACAGGCGTGAGCCACTGCACCCGGCCTCTCCCAAGAAGACTTCTAAGCACCCTTCCAGGCCATTATATAATTTTGGATTTTTTTTTCCTCTTCCATCAGACTGTAAATCTCTAAATGCAAAGGCATTTCCCCACCTTTTGTACCCAGCATGGCAATCAATCGGTGATTGTTAAATGCATGCATTTAAGTAAAAAATACATTTATTTTCCACAGCAACATGTGAGATTTTTGGTGAAATGTGAAATGTTTCCATTTTTACCAACCACTCTCCACAGATTTAATCAGGTTTTTTTTCTAGGCACATTTCCTCTTGTGATTGTTTCATTTTCTACTTTACTAAACCCAAAAGGAAACAAATATTCAGGATTCACATTGGTAGCTAGAAATTCTGTTCTGGTTTGCTGGGCCAGAGAATTAAGTGAATGCGTATCTTCAAAGGAAGTTGAATTTGTAAACCACAGTCAGACAAAATTAGCAATCAGAAATGCCATTGTCCTAGGCAAGAGAATCTTTTTACACCCCTCCTGTGGCTGGCTGTGGAAGCACCACAGCCAGACAGATCACCTCCTGTCGTGTTCTTGCTGGATAACTTGCTGTTATGATTCATTTTAAGGTGAAGCACTAGTGCATGAGAGCAAGTAATAAGGTGTAAAGTTGGAGACATTCATCCTGGACAAGCCCTGGTAGTGTTCCCCTGGTATTCTCATAGAAACCGAGACAAGAAACAATTTTCAGCTGAATCTTGTAAATTTCCAGATTGGCTTTACTGATGATAACTTGCCTAATATTTATTTAGCACTCATATCATGCTATGATGTGTATGATAGAGTAACAACTGAAAAACTGAACAACTGAAAGTTGTTGAAAGTAACAACT
The DNA here is from genome assembly GCF_000001405.40 of Homo sapiens. Lineage (NCBI taxonomy): Eukaryota > Metazoa > Chordata > Mammalia > Primates > Hominidae > Homo > Homo sapiens. The sequence continues at coordinate 45,441,460 of NC_000013.11, read as the reverse complement.
GAAAAAGCCATCTGACCATTCTATCAAGTTTCTTTTCTTTTTTCCTTTTCTTTTCTTTTCTTTTTCTTTTTTTTTTTTTTTGAGAGAGAGTTTCACTTTTGTTGCCCAGGCTGGAGTGCGATGGCGCAATCTCGGCTCACTGCAACCTCTGCCTCCTGGGTTCAAGAGATTCTTCTGCCTCAGCCTCCAGAGTAGCTGGGACTACAGGTGCCCACCACCACACCCGGCTAATTTTTGTATTTTTAGTAGAGACAGGGTTTCACCATGTTGACCAGGCTGGTCTCAAACTTCTGACCTCTGGTGATCCACCTGCCTTAGCCCCCACAAAGTGCTGGGATTACAAGCGTGAGCCACTGCACTCAGCCTTCTTATCTTTTTAGTATAAATGGAAAGAGGACAATGAACACATACAAACTATTTTGTTAAATCATCCTTAGTTTTTGTTTTTCAGTGAACTTTGATTAAAGGAAACATATTTGGGGACAGAGTTATTCTGTTTATTTATGTGGACATTGCATTACATCTGGGAAATAGACTGTCAAGGTACAGAGGGTACTCTGTGGCCTATATCAATAAGCCCCAGCCAAGGTCTAGTTATCCCTTTTTAGGTAAGTAGGTGAAAGGGTGATGGTGGTAATGTGAGTACTTGCATCTCTGGTTGTAGAATTTTTCCTAGGCTATTGGAAAGTCTATATTAAGGCTAGGAGTTCCTGGTCATATAGAGACCTCTAGCCATTGAAAAATCCTTCTGTGGTGTTGATAGAGCAAGTTTGGCATTTGTCCACTCTAAGAGGACTGCATGTCCTTGTGACTCAAACCATTAACTGAGAACTGGCCTTGACCTGTGGGGAAGGACATGATGAGGAGAGAAACCCAGCAGGACATTGTTATCAGTGCCAACATAAGCACGAGGGTGAAATGCATCTGCTTCTTGAGCTGCCGTTCTGCAGAGGAATTTGTTAGTTAACCGGCACTGGCTGAGTGTCTGTTCTATTTAGAGCTCCTGTTATGTGGGTTAGCTAAGTATCAGCTCTTTAGGTCATAAATACATTGAGCATTTTGGGAAGACATTTAATATATGTGTGGCTATGTATTTCTCTAACAACCATCCCCTAATTTTTTTTACATGATGTATGTTGTCCATATTAGATTCTGTACAGGGTTCCTTCCATCCTTCCTTCCTTCCTTCCTTCTTTCCTTCTTCCGTCCTTCCTTCCTTCCTGTCTTTCTTCCTTTTTTTTTTTTCAGGGGGAGTACAGTGGTGTGATCTCAGCTCACTGTAGCCTCAACCTCCTGGCCTCAAGTGATCCTCCTACCTCAGTCTCCTGAGTAGCTGAGACCACAGGGTGTGTGCCACCATGCCCAGCTAATTTTTGTATGTTTTTTTTTTTTTTTTTGTAGAGACAGGGTTTCACCATGTTGCCCAGGCTGGTCTCCGACTCCTGGGCTCAAACAATCCACCCGCCTTGAACCCCCAAGGTGCTAGGATTACAGTTTTACAGTGTGAGTCACCATGCCCAGCCTTTTCTTTTCTTTTTCTTTAACTTACAATGCTTTAATTTTTTGATAGCTTTATTGAAGTATAAATGATATACAAAAAATTGCACATATTTAAATGTATAAAATTTGATGACTTTGGTTATAATGCACATATACCTATGATATCATTGCCACAATCAAGGTAACAAATAAGTTCATCATCTCCAAAAGTTTCGTTGTGCCCCTTTGTCTGCCTTTTTGTGTGTGTGTATGCGAGGAAGAACACTTAACATGAAATCTACCCTCTTAACACATTTTTAAGTGTACAACATGGTATATTGTTAACAATAGGCACTATGTTATACAGCAGATGTCTAGATCTTAATCATCTTATATAACTGTAGCTTCATACCCATTGAAAAACTCCCCATTTCCTCCATCCTCTGGCAACCTCCATTGTATTTTCTGCTTCTCTAAGTTTGATTATTTTAAAGTCCTCATGTAAGCTTCTGTGACTGACTCATTTCACCTAGCATAATGTCCTTTAGGTCCGTCCGTATTGTCGCAAATCATCCCCTAACAATTTCATGCAGGGCTGCCTTGATTCTATAGTAGCTCCCTTTCACATGAGCAATATAAAGTGTGCTTAATTGTGTATTTGAGTGAGGTCTTTATACTCTTACTGCATGCAGCCATCCACAACAATGCACATGAGTAGTGTCTGTGTAAGAGGAGGCACAGTCAAACAGAAAGCATTCTCTTTCCGGCATGTCTGCAGAGCCTGGACACTGGCATATGCAGAGGCCCTCACAGGACTCACCTTAAAACCCAAAGTGGTTTTAAAACTTGTGGTTGGGCGTGGTGGCTCATGCCTGTAATCCCAGCCCTTTGGGAGGCTGAGGTGGGTGGATAATCTGAGGTCAGGAGTTTGATACCATCCTGGCCAAAACGGCGAAACCCTGTCTCTACTAAAAATACAAAAACTAGCTGGGCGTGGTGGCGCATGCCTGTAATCCCAGCTATTCAGGAGGCTGAGGCAGGAGAATCGCTTGAACTTGGGAGGCAGAGGTTGCAGTGAGCTGAGATTGCACCACTGCACTCCAGCCTGGGCGACAGAGCGAGACTCCGTCTCAAAAAACAAAAAAAAACACCAAAGAAAACCACTTGAGGTTGTACAAGAAATAGTCGGAGTGACTGAATCCTGCTGTGGAATCACTAACGTGTGATTTGCTTAAAAGTTTACTTAAATAAGTTATAAATCTATGATACATTTTTTTTTTTATGTAGCCCAGGCTGGAGTGCAGTGGCTTCCATCTCAGGAGGTGTCTCCCGTGTTTTTTTTTGTTTGTGTGTGTTTTTTTTTTTTTTTTTTTTTTTTGAGTAGCTGAGTAGCTGGGATTACAGGCACCCACCACCATGCCTGGCTAATTTTTGTATTTTTAGTAGAGACGGGGTTTCACCATGATGATCAGGCTGGTCTCGAACTTCTTGCCTGAAGTGATCCACCTGCCTCGGCCTCCCAAAGTGCTGGGATTACAGGTGTGAGCCACTGCACCCAGTCTATGATGCACATTTTGTGATTAGTTTTACATATGCAGTGTTATCAGTTAGGAAAACCATAAGCAGTGATACCAAGTTAAAGTGGTCTTTTTCTCAAGAAACAAGAAGCCTGGGGGTAGAAAGTTGGTTTAGCTGCCTGACAATGTCAATAAGACCCTGACTCTTTCTCTCTTTCGGTCCTGCCTTTCTTAGCATGTGGGCCTTTTGTTAACATGCTTGTCACTTTGTGAGAGTGAGACTGTGGCCACAGCTGCACGTACCATGTTTGTATTCAAGGCACGAGAATGGGGAAGGGGCAGTGCCAGTGACCACTGCTCCTGGGCCTGTTCTCTTTGTACAGAAGTAAAGCCTTTCTCAAACACTCCTCCTTATGCTGCCCAAGAGTTTCATGTTTGTCTCGTTGGACAGAACTTGTCACTTGGCCATGCTTAGCTGCAAGAAAGGCTGGGAAAGAAGTTTTTTTGTTTTGTTTTGTTTTGTTTTGTTTTGTTTTGTTTTTGAGATGGAGTCTCACTCTGTTGCCAGGCTGGAGTGCAGTGGTGCGATCTTGGCTCACCGCAACCTCTGACTCCCTAGTTCAAGTGATTCTCCTGCCTCAGCCTCCCGAGTAACTGGGATTACAGGCACATGCCACCACGCCCAGCTAATTTTTGTATTTTTAGTAGAGATGGGGTTTCACCATGTTGTCCAGGATGGTCTCCATCTCCTGACCTCGTGATCCTCCCGCCTCGGCCTCCCAAAGTGCTGGGATTACAGGTGTGAGCCACCGCGCCCAGCCGGGAAAGAAGTATTTAACATTTTCAGCTTCCATAGTGGAGGGTGGCACAACAGAGGAGGATTAGAAATAAGCTGCTCTACCAATGGCTTCTGGAGAGTCCCCACCAATCCTTCATTAAGGAAGGAAGATGTGACCAGAATCCTTTCAGTGGCTTCCTTTTGTGGCATTTAGATGTAAATTAGATTTTTCAGGGTTTCAAGGAGCAGGCACATCCTCAGGTTATTTCCATGAATGAAGGCCAATTATAAGGCTACATAGGGAAATAAAGGACACAGGAAGTTGTCTCCGGCCATGTGGTTAGGCCATATAGGACGTAGTCTGGGATGTACTTGTAGCCCCATTGCTCTGATAGCAACTCTGGTGGCACCGTCACAATACCTGGCAAGTGACTCTTCAGAACTGGGCAACTATGGATTCCTGCTCTGGGTCTCCACCATGACAGGGACTCAGATATTTTGCCTCTGACTCTACTGCTTTTGTCTGTATCAGCGGATTTTCACTCGTGCCTTATGTCAAATGTCCCAAGAGTTCCTGTGGGACAGCCTTCACCATCCAGCAGAGGGGCCACTACAGGGCAGAGTTCTCAAGGCCACCTCAGACCTCTATCCATGTCTCCCTTGGCCTATCTGTGTGACTGGGTGATGGATCATGTGTAACCACTGTTGATCACACTCAGAGGGGACTGTGGGTGAGGTGGGTTCCCCAGGGCTTTGGAGGAGGTAATGAAACAATGGCTAGTCCTGGACCCTGGCTCTAAGCCATCTGCTAAGCTGTATCAAACTAGCCTTTTTTTTTTTTTTTGGTTGTTAGTTTTTATTTCATAATCATAAACTTAACTCTGCAATCCAGCTAGGCATGGAAGGGAACAGGGAAAACATGGAACCCAAAGGGAACTGAGCGAGAGCACAAAGATTCTAGGATACTGTGAGCAAATGGTGCGGAGGGGCACTCTCCTGAGCTATAGAAGGAATGGTCTGGTGGTTAAGATAAAACACAGTCGGCAATTGTGATCTCCTTGCTGGTCTTGCCATTCCTGGACCCAAAGCGCTCCACGGCCTTCACAATAATCAGGCCTTCTTTCTCCTTGCCAAAGACCACATGCGTGCCATCCAACCACTCAGTCTTGGCAGCGCAGATGAAAAACTGGGAACCGTTTGTGTTGGGTCCAGCATTTGCCATGGACAAGATGCCAGGACCTGTATGCTTTAGAATGAAGTTGTCATCATCAAATTTCTCCTCGTAGATGGACTTCCACCTGTGTGATTATGGCGTGTGAAGTCACCACCCTGACACACAAACCCTGGAATAATGCCGTGAAAGCAGGGACCCTTATAACCAAATTCTTTCTCCCTGGTGCTCAGAGCGCAAAAGTTTTCTCCTCTCTTTGGAAACTTGTCTGCAAACAGCTTGAAGGAGACTCAGCCCAAGGGCTCGCCGTCGATGGCAATGTTGCAGAACCCCTTGGGGTTGACTGTGGCTGATAGTACAAGGCTCCTGGTGGCAGCAGCATCTGCAAAGCCCATTTAAAAAAAAATTGCAGCTATTTCACTATTTATACAATCATTCATCTTTCTATCTTCATTTTCTTGAAATTAAATCCCTAAAACCTTTCTGTCTTGACTATGCAAGGTGCCAGAAAACCAGAACAAATAATAACCAAAAAGGTCACATTTGTATTGCTTTGGTGGGTGTGTTTATATATATATATGTATATATATATATTTTTTTTTAATAAAAAATATTGATAGGCGGGGCGTGGTGGCTCATGCTTGTAATCTCAGCACTTTTGGAGGCCGAGGCTGGCAGATTGCTTGAGGTCAGAAGTTCGAGACCAGACTGTCCAACATGGTAAAACCCGTCTCTACTAAAAATACAAAAAATTAGCCTGGTGTGGTGGCGCATGCCTGTAAACCCAGCTACTCTAGAGGCTGAGGTAGGAGAATCACTTGAACCTGGGAGGCAGAGATTTCAGTGAGCCGAGATCGTGCCATTGCACTCCAGCTTGAATGACACAGTGAGACTGTCTCCAAAAAAAAAATATATATATATATGTATTTGTATTTATTTATATATATATATATATATATATATATATATATATATATATATATATGAAGAGAGAGAGAGGTGAAATTTGCATAACATTTAACTGTTTTGTTTTGTTGAGACAGGCTCTTCTTCTGTCAGTCAGGCTGGAGTGCAGTGGTGCCATCACAGCTCACTGCAGCATTGACCTCCTGGGCTCAAGCGATCCTCCTACCTCAGCGTCCAGAGTAGCTGGGACTACAGGCACGTGCCACCATGCCCAGCTAATTTTTGTATTTTTTGTCGAGATGGGGTTTTGCTGTGTTGCCCAGGCTTGTCTCCAATTCCTGAGCTCAAGCGATCTGCTCACCATGGCCGCCCAAAGTGTTAGAATTATAGGCGTGAGCCACTGTGCCCAACCCATTTATGGGTTTTAAAGTGTACAACATGGTGACATTTAGTGTGTTTACAGTGTTGTGCAACCATCACCTTTACCTGGTTTCAAAAGATACATTTTTGAACAAGTGTGCATGAGTGTTGGGGATGATCTTGTCTCCTGTATTGAAAAGACTCTGTCAACGCTGCCTGCCAGACTGGCCCCAGGTGCTATAGGTTTATGGACCTAAACACCTTTCTTGACTTTGCATAAGGAAAAAGTATCTTCCTGACCAAATATCTCAGGGAAACTCTCCCAATTCTCAGAAACTCCTTGCTCTTCCATGGTCTGCCATCCCTCAGCTGCAGAATTTGCATTGAGACCCTGTGTGTTCACTGAGGGTTTATTGTTTAACCATTTTATGGCTATTTAGATAGCAGTTAAAATTACACAAAAACAAACAAATGATGACCAAACCGAGTCACTGTCAAGGTCACAGGTGGCTGTGTCTGACATAAAAACAGAAGCTCTCCTTCGATTCACTCATTGGGAGAGGAATTTTTCAGCAGCATAAGGCCTCAAGATGAGTTGTCAGAGGGTCAGCTGCTGCTCAACCTGAACACCTATTTATTTATTTATTGCTTTTTGAGACAGAGTCTTGTTCTGTAACTCAGGCTGAAGTGCAATGGCACGATCTTGGCTCACTGGAACCTCCGCCTCCCAGGTTCAAGCCATTTTCCTGCCTCAGCCTACTGAGTAGCTGGGATTACAGGCACACACCACCACACCCAGCTAATTTTTGTAATTTTAGTAGAGACAGGGTTTCACCATGTTGCCTAGGCTGGTCTCGAACTCCTAGCCTCAAGTGATCTGCCTGCCTTGGCTTCCCAAAGTGCTGGGATTGCACTCAAAACAAAACAAAACAAAAACACAAAGAAAAAAAAACAAAGAGTATGGTTTGATTGAATTTTTTTTTTTTTTTTGAGATGGATTTTCACTCTTGTTGCCCAGGTTGGAGTGCAATGGTGTGATCTTGGCTCACTGCAACCTCTGCTTCACAGGTTCAAGCAATTCTCCTGCCTCAGCCTCCCGAGTATCTGGGATTACAGCCACGTGCCACCATGCCTGGCTAGTTTTTTGTATTTTTATTAGAGATGGGTTTCACCATCTTGGCCAGGCTGGTCTCAAACTCCTGACCTCAGGTGATCTGCCCGCCTCGGCCTCCCAAAGTGCTGGGATTACAGGCATGAACCATTGCGCCCAGCCTGATTGGAATTTTATAATCAGTATTTTTTTCAAACTGGATTTTCATTTTAGTTGGTTATGAACAGTGTGAACAAAAAATAGAATAATAAAGAATACAGTGCATTACAGATACAGTAAGTATTCCTTCCGGAAATGTTTGTCTCAGTAGTGTGTTTGTGTGTATATGTGTGTACTGGATTATTATGTAAAATGCATTTCTTAATGTGGGTTACAGTTTAACGAGTTTGAAAGCCATGGACATAAATGGCTGTGGCCCCGTCAGAACAGCTCAGACTTTTTTCACCAGCCTCAGGCCTCGGCCAGCTTCCCTGACTCTTCCACTATTACCAGATGGAAATGTCATGGTTATGTTCAGAGTCCTCGTGCTAAACTCATGTATGCTCTTTATCAGAGGCAAAAATGGAGCATGACAGTCTGTTCTCAGGGCAAGTTCCAAGAACTGAGAACACAGCCCTCACAGGGTAATACAACTTTCAATTTTCCAATTCCTAAACCAGTGTCAGTTCTGGCTTTGCTCTCCTTGGTTATTCTGTGAATGTACTTGAATGTTCGAGGGAGTTTCTGCAGTGACAGGCTGGGGCACTGTCCTCCCTGACGCTCCGAAAAGCCACACTTTAGAACACTCTGGCTAAAATTACCTCTGGGAGCCACCTGTTTAGTACCCTTTATACTTGAACCTCTCAGCATGAAGTGCCCCAGATCACTTACAGTTCCCCAAATTCTTTTTCATGAAAAGAGCCATTTATTTCATCTCTTGGAGGTCACAATTTGCCCTTTAAACTTTGCCTGTGATAAACTTAAGTCTGATAGTTTGCTTTGGCAGTACCTGTGTGAAAGCAACTCAGAAAGTTAGAGAGTGAAATATTTAGCCAAATGATGGGCTAAAAAAAATAATACAGGCAATTCCAGTTAAGGTTCAGATTGAATTTTTTTTTTTTTTTTTTGAGAAAGAGTCTCATTCTGTTGCCCAGGGGTGCAATGGCACGATACGGCTCACTGCAGCCTCAACCTTCCCGGGTTCAGGTGATCCTCCCACTTCAGCCTCCTGAGTAGCTGAGGACTACAGGCGTGTGCCATAATGCCCAGCTAATTTTTTTTTGTTTTTTTTTTGGTAGAGACTGTGTTTTGCCATCTTGCCAAGTCTGGTCTTGAACTCCTGAGCTCAAGCGATCTGCCTGCCTTGGCCTGCTGGGATTACAGGTGCAAACCACCACACCTGGCCTTGATTTTTTTTTTTAACATGCTGAATTGATTGTTTTTTTTTTTTAGTGTCCTATAGATATACCTGGCCATAATAATTAGTAAGTAGCCATTTAGGTTGCTTTTAATATCATATTTTTGAAATTGTATTGTTCAATACAAATTAATTGAAAGTACTGAGTGTAAACCTCAGGACAAAACTACTGAGAAATATTAAAGGTTTTAATTTTATACCCAACTATTTAGTGATACTGGTTTTGCCTACATGTGGTGGATCTTTAGAAGATGAAAGAGATGTGTGGAATAATGATAATCCTGATGATGGTAATAATAATGATAGCAATGTTTATTATGCACAGGGCACTCTGTAAATTATTCCATTTATTTCCTTTAATTCTTGCTAAAAAAGCCATCTGAAACAAGTATGTCTATTTATTTTACTTCTAAGGAAAATGAGAATATGAGAATTATAAAGAGGATAAGTAACACTGTTTTTTTTTTTTTTTTGAAACAGAGTCTTGCTCTGTTGCCCAGGCCACAGTGCAGTGATATGATCTCGGCTCACTGCAATCTTCACCTCCCAGAGTCAAATGATTCTCCTGCCTCAGCCTCCCGAGTACCTGGGATTACAGGTGCGCACTACCATGCCCGGTTTGTTTTTGTATTTTTAGTAGAGACGGGGTTTCACTATGTTAGCCATGCTGGTGTCATACTCCTGACCTCAAGTAGTCCACCCACCTTGGCCTTCCAAAGTGCCAGGATTACAGGTATGAGCCACTGCACCCGGCCCTGAGATGTATTTTAAAGGCAGAGACAGCAGGACATATGGGGTGGATATTGATGATAAGAACAAAGGAAAAATTAAAGATGACACCTTGGTTTTTGGTTTGAGCTCAAATAGCTGATGGTGACATTTACTATGAGAAAGACTAGAAAAGGAACAGGCTTCGGGGACAAAAGTAGGAGGCTCTATTAGGTGTACTAAGTTTGAGTTGCCTAGTTACATCTAAGAGAAGGTGTCAAATAGGCCACTGGATATGTGAGTCTGGAGTAGCAAACAGAGCAGGGCTAGAGATAGAAGTGTGCAATCGTTGGCTGGGTGCGGTGGCTCACGCCTGTAATCCCAGCACTTTGGGAGGCCGAGGTGGGCAGATCACCTGAGGTCAGGAGTTTGAGAATAGCCTGGCCAAGATGGTGAAACCCATCTCTAATAAAAATACAAAAAACTAGCCAGGCATGGTGGCACGTGGCTGTAATCCCAGATACTCGGGAGGCTGAGGCAGGAGAATTGCTTGAACCTGTGAAGCAGAGGTTGCAGTGAGCCAAGATCACACCATTGCACTCCAACCTGGGCAACAAGAGTGAAAATCCATCTCAAAAAAAAAAAAAAAATTCAATCAAACCATACTCTTTGTTTTTTTTTCTTTGTGTTTTTGTTTTGTTTTGTTTTGAGTGCAATCCCAGCACTTTGGGAAGCCAAGGCAGGCAGATCACTTGAGGCTAGGAGTTCGAGACCAGCCTAGGCAACATGGTGAAACCCTGTCTCTACTGAAAATACAAAATTAGCCGGGTGTGGTGGTACATGCTTGTAATCCCAGCTACTCGGGAGGCTGAGGCAGGAGAATCGCTTGAATCCTGGAGGCAGAGGTTGCGGTGAGCCAAGATCACGCCATTGCACTCCAGCCTGGGCAACAAGAGCGAAACTCCATCTCAAACAAAAACAAAAACAAAAACAAAAGAAGCGTGCAATTGTCGGGTGGTGTTTACAGCCCTAGAACTAGGTGGGACCATTGGGTAGAGTATATGCTTTGAGAAGGGAAAGGACTCATGATAGAGCCCTGAGGCATCCTAATATTTAGAGATTCATAGAGAGAATGAGAAGGGCTAGCCAGTGACAGTGGCCAAGGAGAAACATTAAGGCATATTTCTTTCATTAATAAAACTAAATTTTAAAAAATCAAAGTTATACACATTCATAGTCTCACTGTGTTACCCAGACTGAAGTGCAGTGGCATGATCTGGGCTCACTGCAACCTCTACCTCCTGGGCTCAAGTGATGCTCCCACCTCAGCCTCCCAAGTGGCTGGGACTACAGGCACACCACCATGTCTGGCTAATTTTTGTATTTTTTTTGGTACAGATGGAGTTCCACCATGTTGCCCAGGCTGGTTTCAAACTCCTGAGCTCAAGTGATCCACCTGCCTCGGCCTCTTAGAGTGCTGGGATTACAGGCATGAGCCACCATGCCAGGCCCCATATTCTTAAAAATAAAATTGTTCTACAGGGCTTTTGCAATGAAAAGAACAGTTATCTGCTTCATCCTTCTCCATTACTCAATCCCGATGCCCAGAGGCAACTACTTTAAACTCTTTCAGTTGCTTCTTCTGTGTTTTCATTTGTTATTTCTTTTCTTCTTTTGCCATCTCTATAGAGATATCATGTCTCTATAGAGACATCCTCTTTAAGTAAAGACTTACTCTTTACTCCTATCACTCATCCTCACACACACTTGCACATATTCACGCAAACACAGTTTCTCACTATCATTTCATTATAATTACATCACATATTTTGTTAAATCAATATATGGTATTAATTACTCTGACTTTGTAAATGTTATTGATAACTGAGCCGTATAGTATACTATGATTATATTTGTTTTTAAAAATATAACTCTCTGTTTTTTCCTGGAATTGACAGTTGCCTTCATTAAAAAAAAATTTAGCTTCATTTTCTAGGTACCTATTTCTAATTCACTTCAAAATTCTCCATTAGAAGTATAAAGTATCAATATTTTCACCAACATCAGGTGATGTATCAGTTTCATTTTTTTTTCTTGGCAATATATTTCCAGGATCTCTTTGTACTCCTGCTCCAATCTGGCCTGGTTGCTGTTGTCCTGAGATTTCTTTCTGTTTTTTTGTTTTTGTTTTTTTTTTTCTGAGACAAGGTCTTGCTCTGTTGCCTAGGCTGGAGTGCAGTGGGGCAATCACAGCTCACTGTAGCCTCAACTTCCTGGGCTCAAGTGATCTTCCTGCCTCAGCCTCCTGAGTAGCTGGGACTATAGGCACTTCCCACCATGCCCAGCTAATTAAAAAAATTTTTTTTTGTAGAGACAGGGTCTCTCCATGTTGCCCAGACTGGTTTTGAACTCATGAGCTTAAATGCAATCCTCCTGCCTCAGCCTCCCAAGTGCTGGGATTACAGCCATGAGCCACTGTGCCCAGCTGTCATGAGAATTCTTTTCAGTGTCATCTTGAGAATTCCTTTCCCCATCCTCCTTTGCTGGTCGCTTATTTCCTGAACCCCATTTTTCAGTTTCTTCCTTAGTTCTGGGGAAGAATATCCTCCATTAGCTTTCTAGGGGACACATACATGAAAGAGGTCAATTCTTTAAGAGCTTGCACCTGTCGGGTGTGGTGGCTCATGCCTGTAATCCTAGCACTTTGGGAGGCTGAAGCAGGCAGATAACCTGAGGTCAGGAGTTCGAGACCAGCCTGGCCAACATGGTGAAACCCCGTCTCTACTAAAAATACAAAAATTAGCCAGGTGTGGTGACACATGCCTGTAGTTGCAGCTCCTAGGGAGGCTGAGGCCTGAGAATCGCTGGAACCCAGGAGGTGGAGGTTGCAGTGAACTGAGACTGCGCCATTGCACTCCAGACAGGGTTACAGAGCAAGACTCCATCTCAAAAAAAAAAAAAAAAAAAAAAAAAAAAAAGAGCTTGCACATATGTAACTTTTCAATTCTTCCCATTGCTGGTTTGGTTAGGTGGATATTATAGTTTGGTAATAATTTCCCCTCAAATTTAAGTCATTGCTCCATCATATTCTAGTTTCCAGCATTGCTATTGAGAAGTTTTAAGTTATCATTATTCTTAATCCTTTAGCTGTGATTTGTTTCTCTTTTTTTGTCTCTCTCTCTCCACCCAAATTAGGCTTTAAAAGTTAAAAAGAGGCCAGGTGCAGTGGCTCACACCTGTAATCCCTGCACTTTGGGAGGCTGAGGTGGGCAGATCATGAGGTCAGGAGTTCAAGACCAGCCTGACCAACATGGTGAAACCCTGTCTCTACTAAAAATACAAACATTAGTCAGGCATGGTGGTGCGTACCTGTAATCCCAGCTACTCAGGAGGCTGAGGCAGGAGAATCGCTTGAACCTGGGAGGCAGAAGTTGCAGTAAGCAGAGATCACGCCACTGCACTCCAGCCTGGGTGACAGAGCTGGACTCCGTCTCAAAAAAAAAAAAAAAAAAAAAAAGTTAAAAAGAAGGCTGGGCTTGGTGGCTCATGCCTGTAATCCCAGCACTTTGGGAGGCCGAGGTGGGCAGATCACGAGGTCAAGAGATCGAGATCAGCCTGGCCAGTATGGTGAAACCCCGTCTCTACTAAAAATACAAAAATTAGCCGGGTGTGGTGGCATGCGCCTGTAGTCCCAGCTGCTCAGGAGGCTGAGGCAGGAGAATCACTTGAACCTGGGAGGCAGAGGTTGCAGTGAGCCGAGATTGCACCACTGCACTCCTGGGCGACAGAGTGAGACTCTGTCTCAAAAAAAAATAAAAATAAAAAAAGAAAGAAAGAAAGAACATGAACAAATTGGAGAAGGGTATAAATGGCAGAAAAAATGCCCAGGGATGAAGGTAGCAAAACTCAATTACAACAGACCCTCCTCAAAGTCCCTGCTGATGGATCAGACACAACTTCTCTATAAAAATGGGACATATAATAATTGTAGGGGGCCGGCATGGTGGCTCATGCCTGTAATCCCAGCACTTTGGGAGGCCGAGGCGGGTGGATCACTTGAGGTCAGGAGTTCAAGACCAGCCTGGCCAACATGGTGAAACCCCCGTTTCTACTAAAAATACAAAATTATCCGGAGTGGTGACGCATGCCTGTAGTTGCAGCTCCTCAGGAGGCTGAGGCAGGAGAATCGCTTGAACCTGTGAGGCGGAGGTTGCAGTGAGCCGAGATGGCACCACTGCACTCCGCCTGGGCGACAGAATGAGATCTGTCTCAAAAAGAAAAGAAAAGAAAAGAAAAATTGTAGGGGGCCAAGGGAAAACTTCCCTTTTGCTGTCTGAAGCCACGCTGAAAATAAATTCACAAACGGCAGATTAATAGGAGAAATGCCAGGCAAATTTATTAATGTGCATGGGGGAAAATCACAGAGTGATTTCCTCACCATGCAGTAGGGTACAGATGATTATATATCCTCTTCTTGAGTGAAAGGGAGATGGGGAAACGTGGATGATTTAGGAAGGTAGTAAATGATTTTCAGGGGAAGTCAATGGAATTGAAATATACAATGGCCTGGGACAAACTCTGTTGGGCCCAATGAGCAAACAGTGGTTTGTGACAAAAGTCTATCCAGGTGTATGGACCAAGTTCAGTCTTTCTTCTTGCAATGAGTTCAGTTAATGAAAACTTAAGGAAAGGACCAGAGGTAATTGTTTTCTTTTTTGGTGGATCCAGACTTTAGGCAGACAAAGGACCTTCAGAGAACAACTTTATCCTATGCTTCGGGAGAGACAGAGGATTGAGAGACAGGAAGATGGGAGGAAAGTCAGAGAGATGTGGCCTCTTCTTCAGTTCAGCATGTCAAAGCACCGTGTTTTGGGATATCAGTTTTGGGACCCAGCCTAGTATAGCTCCCTAGTCCTGGGTCCCAGTCTCAGATCTCTTCAAGATAAATGATCTCATTAATGTCCTGATTTTTTTTCATCATCCAATTACCAAGCTCATCTGAGCTGGTAAATCTGTTGTTATATGATCATGTAACTCTGGAAGGTTTAGAGTTAAATATAGAAACGACGAGCTAAATCAAACCCATAGTACTAATATTTTTAGTACTAACCATTAAGTGTAAGACAATCTGTGTGTGTCTGCTATTCATGCGAAGTTTAATAGTAAAGAAAGAAATTATCCTCGTAGGGAACCTCACAGATTACCTTGCAATTTCAATTTAAAATGTGCAATTGATTTTATACTTGTGACTTTAAATTGAAGGTGTAAGAGAATTTGATAAAGTGTATACATTGTACTGATTGTATTAAGAGAATCTTGTTACAAGAGTGTCCGCTAAGGCTGTCAGGAGGTCTTCCTGAAGGTCTCATGACAGTTGCTTCTGCTACAAATGGCTGTTATAGGCTGTGCCATTTCCCCTTTTACCAAATGAACCCCAACAGGCTCAGGAAACGATAAGGCACAGCTGAGACCAGACTGCAATATTTAAATGCAAATTTTGCTAAAGGTTCACGTAGGGATCAGCAAACATTTTTTGTAAAGAACTACATTGTGAAGATTTTACTCTTTAGGGCCCGGGAGGAAAAATTGAGATTATGTAGATACTTACATAACGATTTAAAATGTAGCCACTTAAAAAATATAAAAACTGGGCCGGGGGCGGTGGCTCATGCCTGTAATCCCAGCACTTTGGAAGGCCAGGGCGGGTGGATCACGAGGTCAAGAGATTGAGACCATCCTAGCCAACATGGTGAAACCCCGTCTCTACTAAAAACACAAAAATTAGCTGGGCGTGGTGGCGCACGCCTGTAGTCCCAGCCACTCAGGAGGCTGAGGCAGGAGAATTGCTTGAACCTGGGAGGCGGAGGTTGCAGTGAGCCGAGATGGCGCCACTGCACTCCAGACTGGTGACAGAGTAAGACTCCAACTCAAAAAAATATATACATTTAAAAATATATTTAAATGTATATATATATTTAAAATGTATATATAAAAATATATACTTTATATATTTTATATGTATATATATAATACATATAAACTGACCAGGCGAAGTGGCTCATGCCTGTAATCCCAGCACTTTGGGAGGCTGAGGCAGGTGGATCACTCGAGGTCAGGAGTTCAAGACCAGCCTGGCCAACATGATGAAACCCTGTCTCCACTAAAAATACAAAAATTACCTGGGCATGCTGGCGGGCACCTGTAATCCCAGCTACTCTGGAGGCTGAGGCACAAGAATTGCTTGAATTCAGGAGGTGGAGACGGCAGTGAGCCGAGTTCCCACCACTGCCCTCCAGCCTGGGGGATACAGCGAGACTCAGTCCCAAAAAATATATATGTGTGTATATATATTTATATATACTTATATATATATTTATATATACTTATATATATATTTATATATACTTATATATATATTTATATATGTATATATATATGTATATATATATTTATATATATACTTATATATATTTATATATATACTTATATATATATACTTATACATATTTATATATATGCTTATATATATTTCTATATACTTATATATATTTATATATGCTTATATATATTTATATATACACTTATATATTTATATATACATATATTTATATATACTTATATATTTATATATATACATATATATTTTCATATATACTTATATATTTTTATACATATACTTACATATAGTTATATATACTTATATATAGTTACATATACATATATATTTATATATACGTATATATACGTACATATATTTATATGTATACGTATATATACGTATATATATTTATATATGTATAAATATTTATATACATACGTATATATATACTTACATATATTTATATATGTATATATATTTATATACTTATATATATTTATCAATATATTTATATATATTTATATACTTATATATTTATAAATATATTTATATATTTATAAATATATTTATATATTTATATATATGTATATATACTTATATATTTATATATTTATATATACTTATATATTTATATATGTATATTTATATATATTTATATATTTATATATATTTTTATATACTTATATATATTTATATATTTATTTATATATTTATTTAAATATTTATATATTTATATATATTTATATATATTTATATATATTTAAATATATATTTATATATTTATATATATTTTTATATATATATTTATATATATTTTTATATATATATTTTTATATATTTATATTTTTTTATATATTTATATTCTTTTATATATTTATATATATATATTTATATATTTATATAAATAGATATAATATTTATACATATTTATATATATTTATATATGTATTTATATATCTTTATATATATCTATATATAACTATATATATTTCTATATATTTATATATATTTATGTTTATATACATATTTATATATATTTATATATATTTATATATATTTATATATATTTATATATATTTATATATTTATACATTTATATATATTTATATATTTATATATTTATATATATTTTTATATATTTATATATATTTTTATATATTTATATATTTATATACATATATTTATATATTTTTATATGTTTATATATTTTTATATATTTATATATATATTCATATATTTATATATATTTTTATATATTTATATATTTATATATCTATATATTTATATATATTTTCATGTATCTATATATTCATATATTTATATATATTTTTATATATTTATATATATTTTTATATATTTATATATTTATATATATATTTATATATTTATATATATTTACATATATTTATATATTTATATATATTTACATATATTTATATATTTACACATATATGTATATTTATATTCATAAATATTTATATATATTGATATATTTCTATATATATACTTATATTTATATATTTATATATTTATATATATTTATATATATTTTTATATATTTATAGATTTATATATATTTATATAAATATATATATTTTTATAGATTTATATATATTTATATAAATATATATTTTTACAGATTTATATATATTTTTATATATATTTATATAAATATATATTGTTATATGTTTATATATATTCATATATTTTTTTATATATTTATATATGTTTATATATATTTTTATATATTCTTATATATATTTATATATATATTTTTATATATTTTATATATATTTATATATATATTTACATATTTATATATATAAATATATATTTATATTTTTATATATATAAATATATATTTATATATTTATATATTTATATATTTTTATATATTTATATATATTTATATATTTATATATATTTATATATATTTATATATGTTTATATATTTATATATTTATATATATTTATATAAATATGTATTTTATATATATTTATATAAATATGTATTTTATATATATTTATATATATATATTTTATATATATTTATATATATATATATTTATATATATTTTTATATATATTTATATATTTTTTTTATGTATTTATATATATTTGTATATATATTTGTATATATATATAAACTATTCTTAATTCTGGGGCTATACCGAGACAGGCTACTGGATAAATTGGTCCATGGACCATAATTTGCTAACCCTTGGGCATAAAAATTAAAAAGATACCAAAATAAGTAAATGCAGAGAGTAACGTAAAATTAAATAAACCAGATTTCTAAGTACAGCTCACCAGACTTCACATGAGTTTCCCTGCACTGTTGTTCTTACTATTGTGTCTAGTGGAACACATCTAAGGAAGCAGAAGTACTTTTTAGCAGGACTTACAACTGTGGTAATATCAATGGGAAGGGACAGACAATTTGACAAAGCCTCCATCCTGACCTCTGTCTTCCTGCCAACTCTCAAATTATAGAGACTCTCCAAATGTGCTTATATTTATTGGGGACCCACAGTGCCAGGTGCTATGCTGAGCACTAAGAATACAGTAGTGAGCAAGACTGGGTCCCTACCCCAACGAGCTTACTGTTTCATGGGAAGACTGTCGAGAAAACTGCTCATTCTTTTGAAGTGCGGTAACTGTTCTCATAGCAGCATGGATGCACAAAGAGGGCAGGCACCCATTTCACCCAGTTTTTAGTGATTAGGAGAGACTTCCTGGAGGACATGGTGTCCAAACTGAGGCCTGATGGATGAGAAGGGCTTAGCAAGAGAAATAACTCAGCAGGTGCAATGCAGTGTGTGCCAAGTTGCAGAGGTAAAAGGGAGTATCCCTGTGTTTGGGGAGCTGTGAGTATTTTATACAGCCATTCAGTGACTTACACAAAAGATGCATTCTCAACAAAGCACCTGTAACCAAGAAAAACAAATGCCCAAAGCAACATTCCTATAAAACAGGATTTCTAAAACTTCAGTACTATTGCCACCTTCCTGGGCATTGTTGAACGTTTAGCAGCAACCTAGGTCCCTACCAACTTGCCAGTAGCAAGCATCTAGTTGAGGCAACCGAAAAACTCCAGACATTGTGAATTTCTCCTGGAGGGCAAAATCTGATTCAGATTGAGAACCGCTGCAATAAAATATAATGATAAAGAATTTTATGGGCTCATTCCCAGTACACCAGCTAGGAACACTGGCCTATCCAGGTGTTCTTCTTAGGAGTAGCAATGGCTCATTGCTTCTGCATTTTGCCAAGGAGAGGAGGTGACCAGATGTCTCAGTCAGATACAACCTCCTCCTTTCGCCAACCACCAAATGTTACCCCTAAAAGGTCTGACTAAGCCCTTTCATTCTGCAAGCACCAACCATCCAGAAAAACCTGTGAGACTCATTCTTGACAAGACGCAGGTCCATATTATCTGCATCATTCCTGTAGTTTAATGTAATTAAACAAACATTTATCAAATTGTAGTTGATTCCAAAGCATTTGTTATTTATTGCCACTATATAGTGCACACACAATTGCCAAGATGATGAAAACCATGATGTGGGTAAAAAATGGTTCCTGCTGCCCAGCTCCTCATAGAGATTGGCATCATCCACCTAAGGGAGTGTAGTGAGGGCTTTTGGCTGTGTGGATGTTACTGTTCTAACAGTTTGCTAATAAAAGGCCTAAATGGCAATAAAAGCCCAGCTACTTGAGAAGTGCCTATATGGCCAGACTTTAGAATGTAGGATTGAGGGGCAAGTGCATGGGTGAGGAGGATAGGGAACTGGATTCTTATGGCTGGAGGGCTCTAAGGACCACGTGGTCAGGGGCCTTAATCTTGAGGACACTGGGGAGCCAATGAAGAATTTTAAGCTGGTGAGTGCCATGGCCAGATGAATTCAAAGATATTTCTACAGCACTTACATTTTACAAAGTATGTTTTTGCACACGTCGCCTCATTTAACATTCTGTAGGGAGGGTATTGTTTCCATTTTGCAACTGAGGACTTTAATTAACTCAAGGCCAGAGAGCTAATAAAGCTGTGGCCAGGATTGAGTAGAACCTAGGTCTTCATTTCCATATTGCTACCTGGGTGTGTTAACTGTAGTCAGATAAAAAACATGCACAAAGAGCCAAATAGGGGGAAAGTTGAAGGCAAAGAATAGATGAAAAAGAAGTTGCTTCCAACAGGGACTGGCACTGAATAGTTCGTAGATATATTTCTGGACTTACCACTTTTTTTTAATTCTTTTTTTTTTTTTTTTTTTTTGGAGATGGAGTCTTGCTCTGTTGCCCAGGCTGGAGTGCAGTAGCACGATCTCAACTCACTGCAACCTCTGCTTCCCAGGTTCCAGCAATTCTCCTGCCTTAGCCTCCCAAGCAGCTGGAACTATAGGCAGGCAGCACCATGCCCGGCTAATTTTTGTGTTTTTAGTGGAGATGGAGTTTCGCCATGTTGGCCAGGCTAGTCTTGTACTCCTGACCTCAGGTGATCCACCTGCTTCGGCCTCCCAAAGTATTGGGATTATAGACGTGAGCCACCACGCCTGGCCTTTTTTTGTTATTCTTGTTTCTAAACTGGTTATGCTGCTGCAACCAAGTTACTATTCCCTAGAGAAATAGTTTCCAATCCCTGGGCCAAGACCCTTGGAGGAACCCAAGGTTACTGCAGGGGCCCCACAAATTCCATATGCATTTTCATAATGGACACTGAAAATACTACCATCTATTTTATAGGGACTCAAAATTTTTAAAAAATTCAGTTTTCTTTCAAAAAGATCTTTGGCCAGGCATGGTGGCTCATGCCTGTACTCCCAGCACTTTGGGAGGCCGAGGCAGGAGGATTGCTTGAGTATAGGAGTTCGAGGCTGCAGTGAGCTGTGACTGGGCCACTGCACTCCAGCCTGGGTGACAGAGCGAGACCCTGTCTTGAAAAACAAAACAAAACAAAAGCACAAAAAAACCCACAAAGGGATCTTCATACTTGAAGGCTGGCCATTCCTGTGTATTTCTAAGTATTATCTGAGTATTAGCATGGGCTGGTGGGGCTTAGGGTAATGGTAGAGTTTGGGTGTCCAAAAGCTCTACAGGAAAGGGAGGAATCCAGTGCTTTGTATGTAGTACCACACAGTCATGAGTCTGGAAAGGACTTGGTGAGGTGAGAGAGAGGTAGAAAGGGTCATGTACTTATTTCCCTGCCCTAGAAAGGCAAGCATTCCAATGACTTTCCCCCACAGGCTGGGGATTGTATTTGTTTTTATGGCCAGAATTCAGGGGATACTTCAAAGGGGTCCAAATTTTATTGATTTCAAAACATTGTGTGGCCAAAAATCCAGGTACTCACCTAGAGTCCAAGTTGGAGCACAGAAAAGAGATTGTTTAAGCTCAACCTGGGGCCTGAGCTGGAGACACAAGAGAAGGAAATGAGAGAGAGATGGCCCTGGGCCCTGGTTCTGTAACAGGGCAGTTATCTCATGAAACCTCTGTTCTGTCATCTGTAAAATGGAAATAACATTTCTTTGTCTTGAATGAACCAAGGGATGTAAAGATTCCTGGAGTAGCACTTTGCATCAACAGATGCAAGTTTTATACATATGCATTTTCCTTCCTCCCTTCCTTCCTCCCTCTTTCTCCTTTCCCCTTTCCTTTCTTCCCCTTCCCCTTCCCTTCGCCTCCCCTCCCTTTCCTTTCCTTTTCTTTCTCTCGCGCTGTCACCCAGGCTAGAGTGCAGCAGCTAGAGTGCAGCAGCTAGAGTGCAGCGGCGTGATCTCGGCTCACCTCAACCTCCACCTCCCAGCTTCAACTGATTTTCCTGCCTCAGCCTCCCGAGTAGCTGGGATTACAGGTGTCCATCACCACGTCCGGCTAATTTTTGTACTTTTAGTAGAGATGGGTTTTCTCCATATTGGTCAGGCTGGTCTCGAACTCCCGACCTCAGGTGATCTGCCCGTCTCGGCCTCCCAAAATGCTGGGATTACAGGCATAAGCCACTGAGCCCGGCCCCAGTTATATGTTTAAATCATGAGTTCACAGCCGGGTGCCGTGGCTCACACCTGTAATGGCAGCACTTTGGGAGGCCGAGGCAGGCGGATCACCTGAGGTCGGGAGTTCGAGACCAGCCTCACCAATATGGAGAAACCCCATCTCTACTAAAAATACAACAATTAGCCGGACGTGGTGATGGGCACCTGTAATCCCAGCTACTCGGGAGGCTGAGGCAGCAGAATCACTTGAACCTGGGAGGCGGAGGTTGCAGTGAGCTGAGATGGTGCCATTGCACTCCAGCCTGGGCAACAAGAGTGAGGCTCTGTCTAAAAACAAAACAAAACAAAAATATACCTGGGTATGCTTGAACACAAACACTGCCATACCGTTAAAAATGTTATATATTAATATATAAATAAATATTTACATATATGTATATTAGATATATATGTAAAGATTTCTACTCATAGTACGGTTCTTTTAATTTTTTGTTCTGTTTGGACATTTTCTTTCTTTTTTTTTTTTTTTTTTTTTAAGAGGGAGTATCACTTTGTCGCCCAGGCTGGAGTGCAGTGGCGCGATCTTGGCTCACTGCAACCTCCGCCTCCCGGGTTCAAGCGATTCTCCTGTTTCAGCCTCCCGAGTGGCTGGGATTACAGGCACCCGCCACCAGGTCTGGCTTTTTTTTTTTTTTTTTTTTTTTTTTTTTTTTTTTTTTTTTTTTGAGACGAAGTCTCGCTTTGTTGCCCAGGCTGGAGTGCAGTGGTACGCTCTCTGCTCACTGCAATCTCCGCCTCCCAGGTTCAAGCGATTCTTCTGCCTCAGCCACCCAAGTAGCTGGGATTATAGCGCCCGCCGCTATGCCCGGCTAATCTGTATATTTTCAAGCTAAAAGCTGGGGTATAAAAAAATAAGGGCAAGTTTACTTCCATCCAACTGTGAAGGTTCACGGGGGCACCGTGAGAAGGTTGCCCCCTGCGAAGGTTGCTTTTCCACGGTTCTCGATGCGTTCCCCAAATTTCTCTTCCACCTCCCAGTCGATATCGGAGGCCACATCAGGTGTCACCGAGTCCCGGGCAGCTCCCTCAGGCAGCGGCAGGGGAAGATCCTGAGGGGCACTTGGGACGGGCCCCGCCCCTCCGTGTCCCCATCTGGGGCTGTCAGGGGTGTGGCTAGTGCTGGCAGAAACCAATGGGAGCTGAGGAGGTCGCGTGTTTGCGCGGACGGGGCGGGGCGGCGCGGGGCTGCGTGCAGGCTCGTGGGTCTGCCCCGCCCGCGACGGCATTTTTTCCTTTTCTCCAGCGGCCTCAGGTTCTTGTTACAACTGAGTCCGGGTTGGAGGAGGTGTGGGGCCGCTGCCGCCAGGTAAGTCCTGGCCCGTGCCTCCTCCTGCCGGCCCCGCTTTCTCTGCGGCTCCTGGAACCCGGGCCTGGGGTAAGGTTGGGCTGCGATTTCCGAGGAGCCTCCTTTGCAACCGGGCGTGCTCGGGGCTGCCTGTGCTCTCCACTTCGCAGGCCGGGCCGGGCTCGGCGGGGCGCGAGGTTCCGGGGACTGGGGACAGGGCTCTGCTTCTCGGGCTGCTGCCTCCTTGGGTCGGGCCGGTGCCGCGGGGCCCCCATCGCTGTTGGCGTGGGGTGATTCCTGTTCCAGGGTCATTCAGATCCGAGTGCGAAGCCCGTCCTGGCATCTCCGCGTCTGCTAACGAGCCCCGGGCTTGCAACCCTGCTTGTGCGTCCCTCCCACTCGTGCGTTCATTCAAACGGCAGCCTGAGCGCCCGCGAGCTTCGCACTGTGGGAGAGGGCACACCACATTCGGAATCGCTCGTGGCACACAGGCTGGGAGGAACTTGCCTGGAAAGTTAATGTACCTCTGGGTTTTGAAGTCTTTCTAGGTGCACTTTCATGTAAAGCAGTTGCAGTGATTAGCATTTTTGTTCTGCGCAAGAGTAGCAAACAATGTTGGCACTGCCCTGCGGATTCGGCTTGCGGTGCTACTTGGGTAGTGAGAAAGTTGAAAGGCATGAATCTTGCTTTTGGCTTTGCCGTTGCGAAGCTTTGTGACCGCGGGCTCAGTTAATTAACGTGAAACGAGATGATAATTTCGAAGATTTCTTTTAAACCCGGCTTTTTGTAAGTCTGTGATGAGCTTAGTTTTCCTTCTGCACCTTTAAAAAGAATAGGAAATAGGAAAAGTTCATGAAAGGGCATTATTGAAAGGGCAGTCGGTCCAGCAAGGAACAATAAATGTATGAGAGCACATTAAAGGCTGTGCAATTACAGTTTTAAGACTTAAGACTAAAAAGGGAACAGGAAGTAAAACTGAAAGAACTTACCAAGAATTAAATAAGAGAAACGGCTGGGAGCGGTGGCTCAGGCCTGTAATCCCAGCACTTTGGGAGGCCGAGGCGGGCGGATCACCTGAGGTCAGGAGTTCGAGACCAGCCTGGCCAACATGGAGAAACTCCGTCTCTACTAAAAATACAAAATTAGCCGGGCGTGGTGACGGATGTCTAATTCTAGCTACTCGGGAGGTTGAGACAGGAGAATCGCTTGAATCCAGGAGACGGAGGTTGCAGTGAGCCGAGATCATGCTATTGTACTCCAGCCTGGGCAATAAGAACAAAACTCCGCCTCTAAATAAATAAATAAGAGAAACTTGGAAAGCGTTCAAAAGTACGAACAGCTAGTATTATATTTAATTACCTCCCTTTACAGCTGTACACATGAGGTCAGGTGGGTGAAAATAAATACTAAGCAACCATGTAAGAGAAAATGTAGACAGGATGTGTAACTTAGCATATATCCTAAGTGTAGGGAGAATCCTTTGAAATTCTTAATTTGTATAGACAATTTCATTCAGAAAACTTGTTTTTAACCTTTATTTATTATTTGGGACAGGGTCTTGCTCTGTCACCCAGGCTGCTAGAGTGCAGTGTCATGGTCTTAGCTCACTGCAGCCTTGAAGTCCTGGGCTTATGTGCCCCTTCCACCTCAGCCTGCGGAGTAGCTGGGACTAGAGTCGCGTACCACCATACCTAGATAATGTTTTGGATTTTTTTAGTATAGGTGGTCGTCTCATTCTGTTGCCCAGGCTGGTCTTGAACCCCTGGCCTCAAGCTATTCTCCAGCCTCAGCCTCCCAAGTAGCTGGGATTACAGGTATGTGTGACTAGCCCAGCTAACATTTTTGTTGTTGTTTTTTTACTTTGTATTTTTCACTTTTTTTTGTATTTATTTATATATTTATTTATTTATTTGAGATGGAGTTTTGCTTTTGTTGCCCAGGCCGGGGTGCAGTGGTGCGGTCTCAGCTTACTGCAACCTCCGCTTCCCAGGTTCAGGCAGTTCTCTTGCCTCAGCCTCCCGAATAGCTAGAATTACAGGCGCCCACCACTATGCCTGGCTAATTTTTGTATTTTTAATAGAGACAGGATTTCACCGTGTTGGCCAGGCTGGTCTCGAACTCCTGACGTCAGGTGATCCACCCGCCTCGGCCTCCCAAAGTGCTAGGATTACAGGCATGAGCCACCGTGCCCGGCCTGTTTTGTTTTTAACTTTAAAAAATTTGGACCGGGCGCCGTGGTTCATGCCTATAATCCCAGCACTTTGGGAGTCGGAGGCAGGCAGATCACAAGGTCAGGAGTTCGAGACCAGCCTAACCAACATGGTGAAACCCCATCTCTACCAAAAATACAAAAATTAGCTGGACGTGGTGGCACGTGCCTGTAATCCCAGTTACTCAGGAGGATGAGGCAGGAGAATTGCTTGAACCTGGGAGGCAGAGGTTGCAGTGAGCTGAGATAGCACCACCGCACTCCAGCCTGGGTGAAAGAGCGAGACTCAGTCTCAAAAAAAAAAAAAAAAAAAAATTATTCAGCCAGGCACCAACAGCTTTCTTTCTTTTTTTTTTTTTTGTGATGGAGTCTCGCTCTGTCACCCAGGCCACAGTGCAGTGGCGCCATCTTGGCTCACTGCAACCTCTGCCTCCCGGGTTCAAAGCTATTCTCCTGCCTCAGCGTCCCGAGTAACTGGGATTACAGGCATCTGCCACCATGCCCAGCTAATTTTTGTATTTTTAGTAGAGACCGGGTTTCACCATGTTGGCCTGGCTGGTCTCGAACTCCTGACCTCAAGTGATCCACCCTCCTCCACCTTCCAAAGTGTTGGGATTACAGGCTTGAGCCACCACACCCGGCCAACAGCTAACATTTTTAAAAATAAAATTTTTTATTTCCTCTGCTGGAAAATTCTATATTTATTCTGAATGTATAGAATTCCCTGCCCTGCCCCCCACCAATATTTTTTTAACAGCCCTTGGAAGATAGTGTCTGCAAAGTACTATCTAGAGGAAGGGTCATGTGATCCTTCAGAGAAACCTTAGTTTGAATATTTGGTAGCTTTGACCAGGGAAAGTTACTTTTCTTCTCTGAGGCTGTTTGCTTAGTTGTGAGATGTGGATAATGATACCTCTTTCATAGGACTGTGAAGAAAATGTATAGCAATGCCTAACAGCAGGTATTCAGGGATGACTGCTAGTGTTAGTATTATGTTCATAACGCAGCAAGGAGAAGTAAGGAATTACTGGGTTTTAGCATGGCTTAGAGAACATGGCTGTAAGAGGACTGTCAAATCAGAAGTGATCTACAGCCACTGCCCGACACTGGAATTTCTGCAAAGTTGTAATTCCTTCCCCGAGATGCTGCCCAGACACTATTGACTGCTAAGGACACATTAATCTCTCTAACTGTCTTGGCTTGTCAGCCTTGGGACTTCTGTAGATCCAGTTGGGATTTTTCCAAACAACTGTGTTTGGAATTCAAGGAAGTGTTTCACGAGACTTCCCTTCAGAAAGAGCTCCAAAACAAAGAAATGGGTTAGTTTACTGAACAGAGATTTCAGCCTAAGATACTTATAGCCCTGTCACAGCTTGCTGTGGCCAGTACAGCTTAGTGGACATCTACTTACTTATTCCAGTCCTAACTAGAACCGTTTTCGTGTGTGTGTGTGTGTGTGTGTGTGTGTGTGTGTGTATGTGTGTGTGTGTGTTTGAGACAAAGTTTCGCTTTTGTTGCCCAGGCTGGAATGCAGTGTCAAGATCTTGGCTCACTGCAACTTCCGCCTCCCGGTTTCAAGCGATTCTTCTGCCTCCGCCTCCTGAGTAGCTGGAATTACAGGCACCCGCCACCATGCCTGGCTGAGTTTTGTATTTTTAGCAGAGACTGGGTTTTGCCATGTTGGCCAGGTGGTCTTGAACTCCTGACCTCAGGTGATCCGCCCACCTCGGCCTCCCAAAGTGCTGGGATTACTGACATGAGCCACTGCGCCCGCCCCCTTTTCCTTATTTGGATGTTTGCCCATGTACTGCGGCTCTCTAGTTCATATTTAAGCCAAATTATTCTTTTACTCAGCAAACATTAACTTGATAAGTTCCAGTAATATTAACTGCTTAGGGATCTAGTCCTACCTTTTGGAAAGGAAGAGAAAGGCCAAAAAGTTGTTTTTACCTCCTGACTAGCTAACTTTTAAAAATCGTAATTGAATAGAAGTACTTGCTTATAGGATGCTGATCCAGGAGTGGACACTAATTTGTAGAAAAGTTTTATTGGTGGTACTTCTGAATGAATGGGCATGTGATTCATCCCATGTGATTGAAAACTATGAAGAAGCAATTCCATCACATTTTTAGCTCTAGTTAAGTATTTGCATATTAGTATTAACCCAGAGCCTCTGGATTTTAACCTAACCAACTGAAAACTTAATATCAAAACCGACAGAGGAAAAAGTAGCCAAATCTCATTAAAACTTAACTAGCTGGCCAGGCACGGTGGCTCAGGCCTATAATCCCAGCACTTTGGGAGGCCAAGGCAGGTGGATTACCTGAGGTCAGGAGTTCAAGACCAGCCTGGCCAACATGGCGAAATCCTGTCTCTATTAAAATACAAAATTAGCTGGGTATGGTGGCCCATGCCTGTGATCCCAGCTACTTGGGAGGCTGAGGCAGGGGAATCACTTGAACCTGGGAGGTGGAGGTTGCAGTGAGCTGAGATTGAGCCATTGCATTCCAGCCTGGGGGACAAGAGTGGGACTTTGTCTCAAAAAAAAAAAAAAAAGAGATGGAGTCTGACTCTGTTGGCTAGGCTGGTCTTGAACTCCTAGGCTCAAGCCATCCTTTCAGGAACTACAGATGCGTGCCACTACACCTGGCTTTGTTTTGCTTTTTAATCTGCAATCAGCTAGGTCTAAGAATGGGTTAAGGAAGTTAGTACTGGGTGGTAAATGAATTATTGGATTTATTATTAATAGGTTCTTACAGTCTCTTACAATCTTAACTATTATATGAGTTATGAATTTAATAAGGCTAAGAATTACTTAAGTGCAGTTATTAAATATTTTCAAAGATAATAGGGAGATGAGAGGAGTCTTTTGGGAGAGGGCTTGCTCCTTAGTACTGAAATACCTAAAAACATACAGTGGTTTTCATGTTTCATTCTTACAGAACCTTCTATTTTACTCATTTGTAACTGCTATGAATTTGGTTAATATCCATAAACAAGGAATAATGATTAATAGATTTATTCAAGGTGCCCGATGGGGGGTCCTAGTGTTGGAAACTGATATTCTGGGCAGTGGTGACTTGTGGTAGTCCTCTCCTGGGAAAAGGAGACTTGGGAAATTCCTAAACACAGGCAAAGTAAACATGTTGGCATATTGCTTGCCAATAATGACTGAAAAGTTAGAAATTTTATTTTAAACCAACAGTAGCTATAGTTGATAGTATATATACAAAAGTATTAGTCATATGAGTCTCCTGTTAAGGGGTGTGAGGCCACATTTACCAGCTCTAATTACATACAACTGCAGAACATGTCATGAATGTGAAAGGCCTTAGCTGTGGCACATAAGTACATGTCACAGTGAGCAAGGTCTTATTATGGAAAAGGAAGATGGAGGGCAATATTTGTGAGTGTCTTTAAAATATATATGGCTTAATGCCCACAATAGGCCTACAGCTTGACATTTATTTAACTTAGTGAATAAAAGTATGGATGTCCCCCTAATTGGTTGTGTTGCCTGCTGTGGTGATGATGGTGTTGGCGAAGAAGAAAACCGAGACTCAGGTTAGCAGGAACTTCTCTAGGAAGGGTGTGGGGTGGCTCTGACCCCAGAGTCAGCCTCTTTCCTCATGCCAAACTGCCTCACAGCTGGTAACGTAATAAGGCTAAGAGAAGTGAGCCGATATTTATAGAATGTAGACTACAAGTAGCCTGTGGTGGCTGGGCATAGTGGCTCTCACCTCTTTTCCCAGCACTTTGGGAGGCTAGGGCTGGAAGATTACTTGAGTCCAGGAGTTAGAGACCAGTCTACAAAAAATAAAACAATTAGGCTGGCATGGTGGTGTGTGCCTGTGGTCCCAGGTAGTTGGGAAGCTGAGGTGGGAGGATCACATGAGCCCAGGAGGTTGAGGCTACGGTGAGCCATGTTTGTGCCACTACGCTCTAGTCTTTGTGACAGGGTGAGACCCTGTCTTAAAAAAAAAACAAAAAAAGAAGTAGCTTGTAATTTTAAGTAATTGTCATTTTACCTTATGACACAAGTTTGCAACATTTGTCTGCTGCAGTGCACCTGAGGGATGTGATCCCCACCCCACCCCCCCACCCCCAGTAAGGACTCACTAAGATAGCAGTGAACGAATAGCAAATACTTTTTTTTTTTTTTTTTTGACACAGGGTGTTACTGTGTTGCCCAGGCTGGTCTTGAAATCCTGGGTTGAAACAATTCTCCTACCTTGGCCTCTCAAAATGCTGGGATTACAGGCGTGAGCCATCATGGCTGCTGCAAATACTTATTGCATGAAGAATAGATTTAAGATAAAATAGACTTCCCAGAGAACAGCTTCCGCTGCACTACACTGAATACATACACGCATACCAAGGTATCAAAGTAGCTGATTACTTCTTGAGGTCACAGTAAAAATTAAGATCACTGATAAAGTAAGATTGGAAATTGTTGATTTGAGGTTGAGGAAATAGGGGTGCTTTGCTTTATTAAGGGGAGGCTCCCCTTGGGAATTGCTGCAGGGGTTTTGGTGATAGCACTCTCCAAATAAAACCTAGGGGAAGAGTTTGGAGAAGAAACTGCCTGTGTGAGAAGTTACAGCTTGATAATATCTTATTGTTGTGTCCAGGAAAAACAGCACTGGAGGCAATGTTTCTATAAATCAAAGAAGAGACAGTGTGAGAATGTCAGCCCTCAACTGGAAGCCGTTTGTGTACGGGGGGCTGGCCTCCATCACTGCTGAGTGCGGTAAGGACCTGAGGGTGGTGGATCACGTAGCCTGCTGTATGTGATGGTGTTTGATGTGAATGTAGTTCAAGTGTAGAATGTGAGATGATGAAATGTTTGTCTCAGAATTCAAAATGTCTGTTAGCTGGGTGTGGTGGCTCACGCCTATAATCTCAGCACTTTAGTAGGCTGAGGAAGGGGAATCTCTTGAGTCCAGGAGTTCGACACCAGCCTGGGCAACAGAGTGAAACCTCACCTCTATTAAAAAAAAAAAAATTAGCCAGGTGTGGTGGCACAGGCCTGTAGTCCCCGCTACTCGGGAGGCAGAGGTGGGAGGATTGCTTGAGTCCAGGAGGTCGAGGCTGCAGTGAGCCATGTGTGAACCACTGCACTC
Organism: Homo sapiens; assembly: GCF_000001405.40. NCBI lineage: Eukaryota > Metazoa > Chordata > Mammalia > Primates > Hominidae > Homo > Homo sapiens. Next base: position 45,410,988 of record NC_000013.11, on the reverse strand, counting down.
TCCAGCCTGGGTGACAGAGTGAGACCCAGTCTCAAAAAAAAGAAAGTTTTCTTTTGGTAATGCTTTTTAAGACAAAATAGTCATTTTGGCTGCTATTAGCAGTTTAGGGTTCGAAGTTTAGTGGAGAGAAAGTTGATCCTATTGACCAAACACAAGTTTTTTAAAATTTTTTGTTTTGAGACAGGGTCTGGTTCTGTTGCTGAGGCTGGAGTGCAGTCGTCTGATCTCGGCTCACTCCAGCCTCCGCCTCCCGTGCTCAAGCGGTCCTCCCACCCGGGTCTCCCAAGTAGGTGAGACTACAGATGTGCACCACCATGCCCGGCTAATTCTTGTATTTTTATTAGAGATGGAGTTTTGCCATGTTGCCCAGGCTGGTCTCGACTCCCAAGCTCAAGAGATCCACTTGCCTCGGCCTCCCAGAGTGCTGGGATTATAGGTGAGACTACAGATGTGCACGACCACGCCCGGCTAATTCTTATATTTTTATTAGAGATGGAGTTTTGCCATGTTGCCCAGGCTGGTCTCGACTCCCAAGCTCAAGAGATCCACCTCCCTTGGCCTCCCAAAGTACTGGGATTATTACCATGCTCAGCCTCAAACACAAGTTTTATGAATCATTTTTGGATTGTGTCTGTCCGTTTTCCTTGTCCTTTCCCCCAGCTTTGCCACTGTTAACCTGTTTGGCTGTAAAGAGGTTTGAGAAGCTCAAGGGTGTTCCCTGAGCCAGATGAGATGGACTGTAGTTATCTAGTCACTTTCTGATGATGCACATTATCCAGTTCCCATTTGTGACTTCCTCATCGGTTGGGTTCCACATCAGATCCTGTTTGTTTATTCTCTGGAGTCATTCATTCAGCAAACACTGATTGAGCAGCTGTTGAATGCCCTGTGCTGGGTTGGGGACACATCATTGCTTCCAGGGCTCAGTCACTGCTGTCCAAGGATAGAATACTGCCCCTGTGGGACTGGGGAGAATTGAGGCCAAGGTGGGTAAGCTGGATGAGCCGTGGTAACCACCCACTCACCAGCTTAGGCTCTCTGTGCTGGTGGGCTTTCCCATTGACACAGTGAATCAAGGTTACTGTCTGAGGATGGGTTTTATATATTTGGGTGGACTATTTGTTAGGTACAGTATTTAACATATTTATCTGCATTATCAGATTTATTTTATTTTATTTTGGAGACAGAGTCTCACTCTGTCACCCTGTCTGGAGTATGGTGACGTGATCTCGGCTCACTGCAACCTCTGCCTCCTGGGTTCAAGCAATTCTCCTGCCTCAGCCTCCTGAGTAGCTGGGGTTACAGGTGCCTGCCACCACGCCCAGCTAATTTTTGTATTTTTAGTAGAGACGGGGTTTCACCATGTTGGCCAGGTTGGTTTGGAACTCCTAACCTCAGGTGATCCGCCCACCTCAGCCTCCCAAAGTGCTGGGATTACAGGCATGAGCCACTGTGCCTAGCCAGATTAATTTTAGACTATAAAACACTCTCCCAAGTGGAAAACCACTTTAGAAAATGAACTTTTTTTACCTCTTTGTTCACATTCAACCCCATTTTAACCTTCATTTATATACAGAATAGTAACTTATGTTTTTCAATGGATTTCCTGTTTAGGTAAATCATACCACGTATTTGCTTTCTACAACAATGCAGCCTACCCAAATCCTGTGTAGAATAAGATGAGGTATAAATAAAAAGATAAAGAAAGGAAAATATATCTATGCATTTTTTGGGTTTTATTAATCTTTTGATTCCTCAATTTTTAAAAATATAAACAAGATTGCAAAGTGCCATTTCTTAATCACTTTCTTAGTTTATATTGTAGTCTGAATGTTTCCTCAGTAATATATCACTACGTATCCTTTATTTAGTGGAATTTCTTTTTATTAAGTGAATTTCTTTTTAAATTTTAAGGTACATTTCCAATTGATTTAACCAAGACACGGCTCCAGATTCAAGGCCAGACGAATGATGCAAAATTTAAGGAAATTAGATACCGAGGAATGTTGCACGCATTAGTGAGGATAGGCAGAGAAGAAGGGCTGAAAGCACTCTACTCGGGGTGAGTAGGCCTTCATGCATTTCTGTGTCACTGTTCACTGTTTCACATGGGTATAGACTTCAGACCAAGACTGCACAGATCACAAGTAAAAAGTTTGAGGTGTGTTTGAAAAGAACAAATAGCATGACAGATTTTTCACTTTTAATTTCAACTCTAATTTCTAAGTATATATATTATGCAGCAGATGTTTTGGTGAAACTGTTTTACTATATTCAAGTACAGACAGACAACAATAAAAAATTATGTTTGTTTAAAAACATTCTGTTCGGTTTTTCATGCTTTGAAAATAGCTCTTTTTCTTAGATATTCTGAATTAAGGAGGTTTTTGCCATAATGAAAATTATATGATGTTGATAAGAGTTGCAGTGAACTACTTTCCAGTCTTTCAGTATTTAATGAACAGTATTCTGTAGGCACTGGATAGTGAGTGAGACCTATATCAGAATACCTGCAGGAACAGAACGTGGACAGCCTCATGTCACGCTAAGCATCTTGATTTTCTCCAGTACACCACAGCACAAACTGGTGACCCACAGCCCTGCCATGGATCCACCAATCCCCAGAGGTTTTTGTTTTTTTAATTGAGCCAATATTTTAAAAATGAGAAATTGCACATAAAAATCTGGGACTCCATCTTCTTGAGAGAAATCAACATTAGGCCCACATTCATTCAGTTATGACAGTAGTAGCTGGGGTGAAGGATACTGTCTCTGGTTTACAAAACCTCTGTCACTCACATAGTATATGTGTGTGCAGTTCGACCCAGCCTGGATCATTCACTCATGGCATCTGCTTTCTTGGTACCTGTCAGCATTTGAGTTTGCTATATCTATGGCAGACAGAAGCCACTGAAAGTGTTTAAGTAGGAGGATGGACCTGATCAGCTTTACATTGTAAACATCACCTGCCTGCCATGGAGAGAAAGAATTAAGAGACAGGGAGCACTAGAAGCAGGGCTGTCATGTAGGAAGACTAGATGAGGATCTGAATTGGTTTTGGGGATGAGGAAAAAGAAGACAGGCTAGAAAACTATTTAGGGTGTAGGACTGATAGCACTACGTGACCTAATATGAGGTTTCCATACATGAAGCGGGTAGAAGGGAAGGAGGAGCCAAGACTAATGTCTCAATTGGTGGTTTTTGCCAGTGTGTAGCTGGAGCTTCCATGTCCTGGTTTAGGAAACACAAGAGGAGAGATGACTGTTTGGAGAAGGAAGAGAAGTAGTTCAGTGTGGGACCCTATCTGAAGGTATACACAGGACATCTAAATGGAGAATCTTGGAAGATTGGAAATGTGTCTTTGGATCCATGTTGGAAGCATGGATTTGGAGTCATCAGTCTTTTATTTTATTTTTCATTTATTTATTTTGAGACAGGGTCTTGCTTTGTCACCCAGGCTGGAGTGCAGTGGCACAAAATGGCTTACAGCAGCCTCTACCTCCCAGGCTCAAGTGATCCTCTCATTGCAGCCCCCTACATAGCTGGAACTATAGGCACAACAAGCCACTGCACCTAGCTGCACACACACAAACACACACACACAATTTTTTTTTTTAGATGGCGTTTCACTCGGTTGCCCAGGCTCACTGCAACCTCTGCCTCCCAGGTTCAAGCAATTCTCCTGCCTCAGCCTCCCGAGTAGCTGGGATTACAGGCACCAGCTATGACAACCGGCCAGTTTTTTGTATTTTTAGTAGAGACGGGGTTTTACCATGTTGTCTAGGCTGGTCTTAAACTCCTGACCTCAAGTGATCCACCCGTCTCGGCCTCCCAAAGTGCTGGGATTACAGGTGTGAGCCACCGTGTCTGGCGCTACTTTTATATTTTTTATAGAGATGGGGTTTTGCCATGTTGTCCAGGCTGGTCTCAAACTCCTGAGGTGCAGTGATCTGCCTGCCCTGGCTTCCCAAAGTGCTGGGATTACAGGCATGAGCCACCGTGCCTGGCCAGCCTTTAGATGGCAGTTGAAGCCTTGGGAGTAGGTGAGCTCACACAGGGAACATGTACAGTAAGGAGAGAAGAAGCATAGGATAGATTTCTGGGGAACCCCAGCAGACACAGGTAGGATGCTGTAGAGAAAAGAAAAGAAGTCAGAGGGGGTGATGCTACAGCAGAACAGGGAGGAGACAGCTACAAGTAGGACAAAGGGTAAACAGTGGCACACACTGCAAAGAGCTTATACAAGATCCTACTTGAAAAGCCTCATTTAACTTAGCAACAAAGATGTCAGTTGGTCACCTTGAAGAGGGGAGTTTTGAGGGTGAGGGCAGCAGAAACCCTGATTGCAATTCAAGAAGGAAGTGGGGAAATGCAGAAAGACACCCGGGGAGTGTCCATGCCACAACGTGGTTGTGGTTTGGAGAGGATAATAGGACAGGCATATCGGATGGAGGAAAGTAGGCTTGTTTTTCCTGATTCTGTCTTGAACTTCTTCACTTACATTTTCATTGAGAATAAATATGAGGGGCTAGGCTTTCACTTAGTGAGCTAATAATTTGCACATCTGGACCCACCTGTGTTTTTGTTGGATTTTGAATTTTACGAAATCGTTTTAGAGGCCGGGTGCAGTGGCTCATGCCTGTAATCCCAGCACTTTGGGAGGCCGAGGCCTGAGGTCAGGAGTTCAAGACCAGCCTGACCAACATGGCGAAACCCCGTCTCTACTAAAAATACAAAAATTAGCCAGGTGTGGTGGCGGGTGCCCGTATTCCCAGCTACTCGGGAGGCTGAGGCAGAAGAATCGCTTGAACCCGGGAGGCAGAGGTTGCAGTGAGCTGAGATCAAGCCATTGCACTCCAGCCTGGGTGACAGAGCGAAACTCCGTCTCAAAAAAAAAAAATTGTTTTAGAGAATGTAGTTTGATTATGGATGGCACTCTGCATGTGGGTTGCCTAGCCGATGTTAAGTGATTTTTAGATTGCTTTTGTCCCTTTGTACATTGGTTTAACAGGATTGCCCCCGCGATGTTACGCCAGGCATCCTATGGCACCATCAAGATAGGCACTTACCAGAGCTTGAAGCGACTATTCATTGAACGCCCAGAAGGTGAGTGGGGAATCTGTTTTCCACTGTGGACAGGAGGTTGGTTGTCTGTCTTTTTATTCAAGTGGTTTTGGAGCAGGTTTTCTTCAGCTTATTTGTGACTTTCCTACTGCTACAAGAACTCTGGGTGTAAAGTCTTAGTTAATTGTGCTGAAAGCAAGTTGGTTATCAACTCAATTGAGGGGAGAAATAATGAAAAGGAACCATCTCTGCAAACATTTTAATTAGTTGTCCCCATCTCCAAAATGCCTAGACCAGGGGATGTGTTGTTACTATTCCATCCAACTTAAAATTTGCTAAAATCATATGAATTGTCATCTATTTTTCAGGAAAACAGTGAATACATTTCTTAATATTAACAACACTGAATGCTAATACTCTGGCTTTTTGGTTCTGTGGCTTTGTTTTGATCCATAGAACTGTCCATCTTCATCTCTTTTCACAATGGGATGAGTACCAGACACTATTATGTAAGAGTGGTGAACAAGAGCTAAGATGCTTTGGAAATACTTCAGGATATTTCAAACTAAATACATACGATGTGCTTTAAAAACTTTCTGTGCCAAATAAGTCGTCATGTTATCTCATAGGAATTATTGTCCTAACAGATATAGCTCATCTTAATTATGATGGTCTGAATTTATACATAAATGTGAACTGGGGCTGGGTGCGGTGGCGCGTGCCTGTAATCCCAGTGCTTTGGGGAGGCTGAGGCGGGCAGATCACTTGAGCCCAGAAGCTCCAGACCAGCCTCGGCAACATGGTGAAACACCATCTCTACAAAAAATACAAAATATTAGCCAGGCGTGGAGGTGCACGCCTATAGTCCCAGCTACTGGGGAGGCTGAGATGGGAGGATCACCTGAGTCCAGGAGGTCGAGGCTGCAGTGAGCTGTGATTGTGCCACTGCACTCCAGCCTAGGTAACAGAGTGAGACCCTATCTCAAGAGAAAAAAAATAAAATCACATTTAGATATCAATAAATTTTGCAAAGCAAAATTCCTTCATTAGTGAAATTTCTAATCCTTTTAAAATTACTTGATTCATGAAACATACTTTTATTTTTTTGAGATGGCGTCTTGGTCTGTTGCCCAGGCTGGAGTACAGTGGCGTGGTCTTGGTTCACTGCAACCTGCACCTTCTGTGTTCAAGTGATTCTCCTGCCTCAGCCTCCAAGTAGCTGGGATTACAGGCAGCTGCCACCATGTCCAGCTAATTTTTGTATTTTTAGTAGAGACGGGGTTTCACCATGTTGGCCAGGCTGGTCTCAAACTCCTGACCTCAAGTGATCTCCCCACCTTGGTATCCCAAAGTGCTGGGATTACAGATGTGAGCTACCATGCCCGGCCTGAAGCATATGTTTTTACATCTTAAGGTGAACAAGTAATGTGTAAATAAGTTAGACCTATAGTTGAGTTTCTCACGGGAAGAACTCTAAATATGTAGAGTCAAATAATGTGTCATTGTTTACAGATGAAACTCTACCGATAAATGTGATATGTGGAATTCTGTCTGGAGTCATATCTTCAACCATTGCTAATCCAACTGATGTTTTGAAAGTAAGCTGTGCTATCTATATCTTATAGGCACATTCCACATTTTCTTATTGAGAACAACATTCGGGTAATGGAATCTGTGAATGTAACATCTGTGTATATGTGAATCTGTTTATAATTTAAGTGCCATGAAGACTAACTTTTAAAGGTCCATGAGGTGGGTTTTCCACTTATACAGATGAGCTCAAAAGCAGAGCTCATTTTGGAGACAAAGATTTCGGTGATTGAGGAGAAAAAATTATTTAGGCTTGGACTGCATTTCATTTTCGTTTTTCACGGAAAATGTTCCTTGTTTTATTGGTTCATTAAATATAGATGGACTGCAAGTTTTGCACAGATCTAGGCTGCTCATTAATGACTATTTTTGAATCCATCTTTTTTTTTTTTTTTTTTGAGATGGAGTCTCACTCTGTCGCCCAGGCTGGAGTGCAGTGGCACGATGTCAACTCACTGCAACCTCCACCCTGCTGGGTTCAAGCGATTCTCCTGCCTTAGCCTCCTGAGTAGCTGGGATTACAGGCACCTGCCACCGTGCCTAGCTAATTTTTGTATTTTTAGTAGAGATGGGGTTTCACCATCTTGGCCAGGCTGGTCTTGAACTCCTGACCTCATGATCCACCCGCCTTGGCCTCCCAAAGTGCTGGGATTACAGGTGTGAGCCACCGTGCCTGGCCTGCATCTTCTTTGTTAAATTTTATTTCAGGAAATACAGATGAAAAAATTTAATTACTACAATTAGATTACATAACACATTAGGAGACCTTATTGAAAATACTAGGGATAGAGCATCTTTAAATCCTTTTTTGGAAGCAACTAATTAAATAAAATAAAAATTAGGAATGACTTACTTTTTGAACCCCACAGAGTATTCCTTTCCTACTTCCCCTCTTTTCTTTTTCTGCCCCACTATTTAACTAGTATTCTATGCTTCTATCTTGTACCAGTTGGTATACGCCATGGTTAGAATCCAAATATGAGTAAGACAAGGACCCTGCCCTCAGAGAGCCTTCAATCTAATAGGGGATTCTGACAAGCATTACAGCCATCTGCAGTATTCTGGGTACACTACAGTTATATATGCATTGTAGCAAAGGGACCTCGTGGGTAAGGAAGAAATACAAGGTACCTTTGCCATAAGTTTACCAGTGTTGGGGTAAGAGAGCTAGAGAAAAATATTCGTACTCTCATTAATTTCTTAATTATATCTTAGGCCTTATGGGAAGGCAGTTCCTGTATCTTGGTTTATTTTCCCACGTTCGTGTGGCAATAACAGTTCTTTTAGAAGTTAGTGGTAACGTATTTGCTCCCTAAACAAAAATAAGGTACACATTTTGTAGTAAAAAATCTTTCTTCATTCTTAAAAATGCAAAGAGCTACATCAAACATTCTTTTTATGTTGGAATCTTGGTCATGTGGATTCCACTAATTAAAGTGTAACAGAGTGTAACAGGTATCATGTGGCTGTCACTTGGCTAGCTCGCCTGCATACCTTTTGGTTCAGCTGGCTGGAGACTGTAGTGGCTTGGAGCAGCTAATTTAAGAACTATGCTTGCCTGTGCTTCGTGCTGCCAGGTACACTGGATAACTCATTAATTAGATTAAACCTTTGAAATTAACTTTTCTCTCACCTATATAGTAGTAGGGAAGTATGCTGTTTTCTATCCTAGAAAGACTTTTTTCACAAAAATCAGTTTCTCCTTTTGACATTTAATGAACTGCTGTACGTAGGACTCTGGACTCTCTTAGATGCTTTTTGGAGATCTCAGAGTTCCTAAGAATAAATTTTTATACGTTTTAGTCATTTTAAGGTAGCATCATAGCAGTATTTATATGACAGTTTTTTCCTTGCTAATGGTTATTAAGCAACTGACTGACGGACTGACTGTCAGAGGTATACATTGGTTGTGGGTGGGATTGTGGTAGTTTCTTTCTGATGTTGGTCTTTAAAATAATCTCTAGATTCGGATGCAAGCGCAAAGCAACACCATTCAAGGAGGAATGATAGGCAACTTCATGAACATTTACCAGCAAGAGGGGACAAGAGGACTGTGGAAGGTAAGCCAGAAGGATGGATCGAACTGATTTATTTAGTTCTTTTTTCCTTTTTTGAATTTACTTGTTCTATCACTTAATTTTAATCCAAGTGTCGTAATGGAGTAAGGGAAGAGGAGTGGCATCTTCTGCCCATGAAAATATCTTTCTTTATTTCCCTATCTATAAAATGGGAATATAAGGAATATGTCATGATTTTTTTTTTTTTTTTTTTTTTTGAGATGGAGTCTTGCCCTGTTGCTCAGGCTGGAGTGCAATGGCACGATCTTGGCTCACTGCAACCTCCACCTCCTGAGTTCAAGTGATTCTCCTGCCTCAGCCTCCTGAGTAACTGGGATTACAGGCGTGCGCCACCACACCCCGCTAATTTTTGTATTTTTAGTAGAGATGGGGTTTCACCATGTTGGTCAGGCTGGTCTCGAACTCCTGACCTCAGGTGATCTGCCTGCCTCGGCCTCCCAAAGTGCCGGGATTACAGTTGTGAGGCATTGCGCCTGGCCTATGTCATGATTTTTAAAGTTGCTTTTGAATAATTTATGTATAAGATATTGTGTGAAGGATAAGCACTTTTTTTGTTGTTGTTTGGTCTTTTGCTCTTTTTTTTTTTTTAAATTCTTATGGAGAAGGATTTTAGGTTACAGTTCCATTGGGTGTTTTGATCCATACAATTTCATGGCTTGTAACTGAAGTCTGTGTTATTAGGCAAGCATGTGGTGTAGAGTGTTATTTCCTAGTATTCTAATGACTTGTCAGTTCATAGAATAGCCCCTAAAGATCATCCAGTGTGATCTCTCAGTTCATAGAAGGAAACTGGAGGCTCTGAGAGGTGACTTGTCCTGGCCAAAGTCTGGCCCAAGGTCATATAGTTAATGCCAGCATCAGAATTAGACTTCAGAGTTTTTGAGTTCTTGCTCTGTGATCTTTTCCGCTCTGTCACTCTACATTTCTGCCTCCCCAGAGGAAAAGATAAACCTTGATCATAGTTTATGGATTAGAACCTTTGCACATTTGCAAGGCTTGTTCTACAGAGGCATATCAGAATCATTTTTATTGTTAATATTTTTACCCAGGGTGTGTCCCTTACTGCGCAGAGGGCTGCTATTGTTGTTGGTGTGGAGCTGCCGGTCTATGACATCACCAAGAAGCATCTTATTCTCTCAGGCCTGATGGGAGACACTGTGTATACCCACTTCCTGTATGTTCATGGCTTTTTTTAAAAAATTATAGAAATTCTAAAGAAAGTTTATTATAAAAGTATTATATTCTTATATTTGAAAAGTTGCAATGCAGAAGTGAAGCAGGACCAGGTAGAAGTCCTTATTCCTCTACATAGGCAGCTGTTGTTAACAGTTTGATATGTATCTTCCAGGCGTTTTCTACGTGTATGCAAATATGTCTACAAAAGTGTATTATATGAACTTTATTACACAAATAAGATCATGTTTTACATTCTTTTATTTGCTTTTTAGAATGTAACAACAGGCTGGGCACAGTAGTTCACGCCTGTAATCTTAGGACTTTGGAAGGCCGAGGCAGGAGGATCACTTGAGCCTAGGAATTCAAGACCAGCTTGGGCAACAAAATGAGGCCCCATTTCTACAAAAAATTAAAAAATTAGCTGGGCATGGTGGTGCATGGCTATGGTCCCAGCAACATGGGAGACTGAGGCAGGAGGATTGCCTGAGCTCAGGAAGGTGAGGCTGCAGTGAGCCTTGACTGGGCGACGGAACCCTAGCCTGGGCAACAGAGAAAGACCCTGTCTCTAAAATAAAATGCGATTTAACAACATATTCCAAATATCTTTGAGTGCTTACAGACTTCGTGTCAGTACTTACGGACTTTATTTATTTATTTATGTGAGACGGGGTCTCACTGTTACCCAGGCTGGAGTGCAGTGGTGTGATCTCGGCTCACTGCAACCTCTACCTCCTGGGCTCAAGTGATCCTCCTGCCTCAGCCTTCCAAGTAGCTGGGACTGCCGGCGCATGCCACCACACCCGGTTAATTTTTGTATTTTTTGTAGAGCTGAGGTTTTGCCATGTCACCCAGGCTGGTCTTGAACTCCTAGACTTAAGTGATCCACCCGCCTCAGCCTCCCAAAGTGCTGGGATTACAGGTGTCAGCCATTGCCGGCCTGGCCTTCATTTATTTTTAATAGCTGCAGATTATCACATTGTATGGATATATCATACATATATATTATCATTCATATGTGTGTGTGTGTGTGTGTGTGTGTGTGTGTGTATATATATATATATATATAATCATACATAATCCATTGGTGGGCAATGTGTGGAGACTGTTCTGATTGTCACAACCAGGGGGGAATACTACTGACATCTAGTGGGGCCAGGCCAGGGATATAGCTAGTGCTGAGGTTGAGAAACTTTGCTCTGGGTTAATTGATATAAAGTATGGTCTGTGGTAGTCTTGTGGGACTGAAAATATAGCAGAACCTAAGACCTTTGCGGGGCATTATAGTAAGGAGATCTTTTTCTTTGATATCTAGGAAATGATATAATTATGATATGGCTAGAATTACTCTGATGTCCACTTACAGGTAAATAGATGGAAAAGATCATCCTTGGAGGATTTCCTTTATGTTTTATGATCCTTTGACATTCTAGAATGTCAGGTATTCTTAGCTGTCGCTGGGATTTATCAGCTAGTATAATCGGTGCTAATATGTAAGCAGTTTATCAAGCTCTCTAGATATGGCTCTTCTTGACATGTTTCATGTTGATACATGTTAGTTCAACATAGTTTTGGGGCTGGGCATGGTGGCTCATGCCTGTAATCCCAGCACTTTGGGAGGCCGAGGTGGGCAGATCACTTGAGGTCAAGAGTCTGAGATCAGCCTGGCCAACATGGCGAAACCCCGTCTCTAATAAAAATACAAAAAAAATTAGCTGGATGTGGTAGAGTACACCTGAAATCCCAGCTACTTGGGAGGCTGAGGCAGGAGAATCGCTTGAACTTGGGAGGCAGAGGTTGCAGTGAGCCAAGGTCACACCATTGCACTCCAGCCTGGGCAACAGAGCAAGACTTCGTCTCAAAAACAAAACAAAACAAAACAAAACACGAAAACCACAAACAAGAAAACCCCATAGTTTGGGCAGAAGCTGTTTTCTGCCTTTGATGGTGGTTGTAGCTCAGTGATGGTTAACTTTTTTTTTTTTTTCCAATGGTGTCTTTATAGCTCAAGCTTCACCTGTGGTCTGGCAGGGGCCCTGGCCTCAAACCCTGTTGATGTTGTGAGGACACGTATGATGAATCAGAGAGTGCTTCGAGATGGCAGATGTTCTGGCTACACAGGAACCCTGGATTGCTTGTTACAGGTAAGAGCAGATGTCTGTCTCTGCAGGGTTGTGAATTATATATTTTTTTGATCTAAGAAGTAACTAAATTATGAAAGCTACTAAAACTAAGATGAATGATGCTTTAAAGCCCAGAGATGTACATGTGTGAGACCATTTTTGCCACACTGTGCTTAGCTTTTATAAATACAATGTTGTTTTCTTTATACCTCCATCTGCTGTGAAAGGTGAGGAAATATTTCCTGTGATTATAAAAGAACTGGGTCTCCTTCCAAAATGTACTTTCTTCCTGTTGGGTCAAACTAGTATGAATATCCCTCATTCAGACATCTCTGTTAAAGGAACACATCAATCTTACTTTAATTCTCAGTTTAAATAATTGGGCCTCCTGTTTTATGAGTGGGTGAAAGGTTTCACCTGTCTCTGCCACTAGATTGCCAGTAGTAGGATTAGGAGTCACTTTTTTTTTTTTTTTAAGGTGATATTTATTTATTTATTTTCAAGTTTTAATGTATTTTAGATTCAGGGGGTACATGTGCAGGTGTGTTACATAGGCACATGCGTAGTGGTGGAGATTGGGCTTCTAATGTACCCATTACCCAAATAGTGAGCATTACACCAGACAGATAATTTTTCAACTCTAGCCTCTCCCCTTTAGGAGTCCCCAGTGTCTGTTACTTCTATCTTTATGTCCGTGTGTACCCATTGTTTAGCTCCCACTTAAAAATGAGAACATGTGGTTTTTGATCTTCTGTTTCTGCGTTAGTTTGCTCAGGATAATGGCCTCCAGCTCCATCCATGTTGCTGCAAAGAACGTGATTTCTTTTTTATGGCTACAGGGGCCACTTTTGTGGTTCCTGTTTTCCAACATGACACTAGCACATTTTATTCTTCAGGTGTTGCCTTAATGAAGCAAAGACACTTATCGTATTCATCCACCTGACATCTTGGGAAATAGTGGTACTCTGAATGATATCTCTACCACTATTGCTTCTTTATTTGTGACCTGTTCAGGAGCCCACATGGCACGGAAGCAACAGACCGTAATTGGAATTAAATCTAATTTTTTCCTCACTCAACAGTGTTTATCTCCTTTGTGTGGAGTTCATTCAATCCTTCGTGTGGGGTTGTTGGGCATGGAGCCTTAGTCTTCCACCCACACAAGCCTCTAAAGAGCAAAGATTTCTTAGGCAGTCCTTCCAAACAGGATTTTATTTTTAAGAAAAATAAATCAGTCTGGCCACTAATTATTATTATTATTTTTTGAGATGGAGTCTCGCTTTGTCGCCCAGGCTGGAGTGCAGTGGCGTGATCTTGGCTCACTGCAAGCTCCGCCTCCCGGGTTCATGCCATTCTCCTGCCTCAGCCTCCCGAGTAGCTGGGACTACAGGCGCCTGCCACCATGCCCGGCTAATTTTTTTTTTGTATTTTTAGTAGAGACAGGGTTTCACTGCATTAGCCAGGATGGTCTTGATCTCCTGACCTGGTGATCCACCCGCCTCGGCCTCCCAAAGTGCTGGGATTAAAGGCGTGAGCCACCGCGCCTGGCCTGGCCACTAATTATTAATGCATTTGGCATAATTAGAAAGTTGGAAGTTAACTTTTTTTTCTTCTTTTAACAGACATGGAAGAATGAAGGGTTTTTTGCTCTCTATAAAGGCTTTTGGCCAAATTGGTTGAGACTTGGTCCTTGGAATATCATTGTATCCTTTTCTGTTGCAATAGATCTGAAAAAAGATACAGCTAAAGAATACTATTTGTATAAACTCTCATGTTATTAATTATAATTTAGAAGTAGGTTCTGATTATTTTGAGTTCCTCTGATGCTAAGAAGTCACTACTTAGTTTCTTTTTTAGGAAGTGTAAAGTCTCCGTGCTAGACACTGAATCTTGCTTTGATGGTGGTATTATTCAAAAGTAGTGATACTACTAAAAAGGTTTAGTTAGACTCTGTTCTAGAAGCTGAGGGTATTTACGATTTCAGAGAGAGAGAGAGGAGGATTGGCTTTATAGCCCTAGCCACCTTGGGAAGGATGTGGTTGGCAACAGTGTCTTAGAATGCTTATCTTAGAAAGTGCCTGAAGATAAACAGGAATTAGCTCCGGAATTGTTTGGCAGGCCAGCACGCTTCCTATGTGCCACAGTGGGAGGCAGGAAAGGAAAGGCAGTTAACTTTTTTTTTGTTTTTGAGACTGAGTCTTTACTCTGTCGCCCAGGCTGGAGTACAGTGGCGTGATCTCGGGTCACTGCCACCTCCGCCTCCTGGGTTCTAGCAATTCTCTTGCCTTGGCCTCCTGAGTAGTTGGGATTACAGGCACATAAAACCACGCCTGGCTAATTTTTGTGTTTTTAGTAGAGATGGGGTTTCACCATGTCAGCCAGGCTGGTCTCAAACTCCTGACCTCAAGTGACCTGCCCCTTGGCCTCCCAAAGTGCTGGGATTACAGGCGTGAGCCACCGCGCCCGTGAGGCAGTTAATTAGACACTGAAGGGCAGAGTGATGAAGCAGGAATGCTGGCTTTTGCTGTCCTCTTGTTGCTCTTCATCAGCTCCTGCCTCCCAAGGAAGGATGCATAGTGGAAGCCTTTGAGGAGAGCTTCCCAGGGCTTGCTAACTCTCTCTCTCTCTCTCTCTCTCAAAAGCTTACAGTGCTGGAAAGTTTTTCCACCACAGCAAAGCCACAAAAGCTTATCAGCGTAGATGCCATCTCAGAAGAGGCTGATACCAGGGGATTTACATATCTCAGCTGTGATCTTTCTGCTCCAAGCTGACCTTGGAAGATAGTTTGATGTGGTTAAGGGTGGAACCCCTTTTATTTAATCGTGTCCATAGCGTGGGTCTGCCTGTACCTATTTGTTATTAAGTGTGCCATTTGTAAGTCTGTTGTTATGCACTGGAGTTGTGAAGATGGCATTTTCTGTGTCATCCTTAACCCATAACCACAGTTCTTTGTGACATACGAGCAGTTGAAGAAATTGGATTTGTGACAAGCCAAGGCTGCATGAGACATCTTTCTGAAAATGGTAACTTCTGAAACAGCAAAGCTTCCTGTGTTTCACTCTGCTTCTCACTGCTTGGCTCATCACAGATTCTGGGATGTGAGCAACAGATGAAGACTGGGTTAGTTGAGATTGCTGTGTGTTGGCATTGGATGCTCTTCATCAAACGTTTAATGGCATAAACTAACATCCAAACACTAGTCTTTACCACTGAAGTGCCCTTCAACATCAAAGATAATATGTGAAATGCATGTTTCTTGCTAAAGAAAACTTGCAAGAAAATCAGGAGCGATGTATTGTTTTATTCAGGGAGAGTAGCTCCTGATGCATCTCAGCTCATGACTGAGAATCAGACTGCTCTAGAAAAGCTCACTGGAACCATGGAATGGAGCCTCCGAGAAGGTGTTATGGTTTCTGAATTTCTGGGAGATTTTGCTCCTTGTCAACTGAAGAAATTTCATGTATGGAGACCTGGACTGTTCAACCCCAGGTATAAACGGTGCAGGAAATGGATCCTAGGAATATCACACTGCTTTATCATTTCCTATTTTGGCAGGATCTTCCACTTATAATAAGTGATTTTAAGCTTTGAAGACTTGACATTTGTGAGAAATTGTTACAAAGTAATAATCTCTAAATTCGTGGTGGTGTTATGTGTTGGCTTTGAAGGTTGCAAGGTCTGTATTGGTGGGGGGTGTTTTCAAGCAGCTTAGGTTCTGTCTTAGGTCATGTTAGTAATTAGCTTTATGATTTTTAGCAAAGCATATGTATTTCTCAATGAGTAAAATGGGGATAATAACGTCTATTGATGTAGAGGGTCAAATGAAGAACAAATAGTAGCTGCTGCTACTTGACTGGAAAGGTAAATGTGTTTACATCATGCTGTGGAACAGCTCTAAACAGTCTATGTAGAAGAGGGGCATGTTCTCATGGGCTTCTCATGGTAATTGTGAATGAAGCCCTTTGTTAAGGTCTTGTTGAAGAAAGAACACTGTATAAGTTCAGGCTTTAGTACATTTTCCTTAGCAAAATGTTGGTAGTGAATCAAAGAGTTGATTTTTCCAGGTTTCCAGTTTTTACTTTAGTTTATGTTGTGCCTGTCTTGGACTTTCTGTTTAGTTTGGATGGAAAATACCTGCTTGAAATTTTAAAAATGATTTCTTTAGTGCATCTATTTAGCTAGTTTCTGATAGGTGGTATGTAATATTTTCCCTTTTTCTTTCCTTCTGTAGACACAATAAGTCATTCTCCCTCTTCTTTTTTTCTTTTTCTATTTTCTTATTCTTTACTCTAACCTGCTTCAGAGAAAGAGCCCTCTTCCTTCTTGTCTTCATCTTAGTCTTTTCAAAATAAAAGATGACTGTGAGAACCCCAAGAACTTCCACTTCTGGGAGGCAGCCACAGGACAGGGAACATATTTATTTGGGTCTCTTCAGTTCCCCCTTTGAGAACAACATTAAATACATGTTAGCTGGGGCTCCAGGGCATTCTCCTTCCACAGTAGTGCGGCCAAATTCCCAGTCTGGCCAGTCTCTTTGTTGAGACTGAATAGAAGGACTGCAGGTTTTTTTGGAGGATGAGATAATTTTTCCTCGCAGGCATTTTTCCCTTGCCTTCCTTATGCATGAATGGTCCCTTTGAATATTATTTCCAAAAGTGAGAGCTAAGACAAAGTCATCAAAAAGAGAGGATAACAGAAGGTGGGGGCGGGGGCGGGGTGCAGTGGGGTAGGGTTACCTGTTAATTGCTGAGACTCAGATGAAAGTCCAGCTCTCCCTGGGCAACCCTAGAGGGCAGCAGAGGACCCCAGAGCTCATTCAGGCCTTGCTGCTTGTTCTAAACTACACCTTAGGATTTTTTCTTCTTTCCAAAACATTCCATTGATTTTATAAAGACTTTCTATAGAGAGGCTTTCACTTTTGAGTTCTTTGAGTTTAAAGATTGCTTTTCTTGAAATGCTCTTTTTTTAATGTAGAAAAATTTTACTTTTTCAAATATGCATACAATTTTTAAAACAGTAGAAGCAAATTCATTTTAATGACCATGTAAAGAGCGAATGTCAGACAGTATTATTACCAGTTTATTCAAATTACATACATGTTCCTACCAAGGTGGAAAGAAATTCAAACCTCATGGTAAAACTTAAGCACGATTTAAGATAAAAGCATAGTATTTCTTCAGTGTAGACTTATTAAGTGCCTTATTGAACAGGATCTTAACCTGCTTTTTCTGTTTTTTTGAAAGAGTTAATGCAATTGTTGAAGCTTCTAACCAAGAAACAACTTAAGGAATTGGGAGACTTGGTCCCCTCGTTGTCAGGGTTCTGGCTATAAGTACCTCCCCACCTTTGGGTTTTCTTAAATATGCCAAAAGGAATTCTAGTTTTTATAACCAATGGGTTTTTTTGTTTGTGTGCTTATGGATTTGTGTAATCATTGATGCTTAATGTTGTGGATTCATAATATAAAAAGTGGCTCCTGTCCTTTATATTTATTCATGTGCTAGAAATAGTATGCATTATATAAAGAGTATGAAGTTTTCATAAGCCTTTATATTTCAAGCTCTTTATTTAAACATTGTTGGAATATGTGGCATAAGCCTTGTTTCATTTATTTAATAAACTGGAGTAATATATAATAATAAAAATGATTTCTGGTTATTTCAGATAAATAGAAACATTCAAACAAAGGCAAACTACATGGAGTCTAGAAGGCTGGAGTAGAAATAGTGTTGCAGCTGCAGACATTTCTCTCTGCATGGAGAAGTTGCTGGGATAATCTTACTCATTGCCTGGCACCTGTGTGATCCCCCTACCCTCCCCCCCCCCAACCCCCCTCCCCATGTATGAAATACTTGGCAGCTCAGTCGAGGCCAGTGAACTTGATTTGAGGGCTGGCTTGGCATTCGAAATACCAGTGAGAGGATGTCAGTGACGTGAACTGTCAGACCCCCTCAGCCCTTCATACAGTGTTGGGTGTTGCTAGAGGCAGATGCAGGGATCCTTGGTCAACTGTGGACCAGGCAGGGACACCTGGTTGGCAGAAAACAACCAGCTAACTCAATGCGAAGTGGGTTCATTAATCTTTTTACTTGAAAGTATTCTCTAGGTGCCTGTTAGCATGTGAATTAAACATAGTCGTTTATTTAAAAACTAACATTGGGGGCCGGGTACGGTAGATCACTTGAGTTCAGGAGCTCGAGACTGGCCTGGCCAACATAGTGAAACCCCATCTCTACTAAAAATACAAAAATTAGCTGGGCATGGTGCCATGCGCCTGTAATCCCAGCCTCTCAGGAGGCTGAAGCAGGAGAATCTCTTGAACCCGGGAGGTGGAGGTTGCATTGAGCTGAGATCACTGCACTCCAGCCTGGGAGTCAAGAGTGAGACTCCATTTCACAAAGCATAAATAAATCGTAAAACTGGGGAAAGAGGGGAGCTTTTTTTTTTCTTTAATTTTATTTTTTAGAGTAGTTTTAGCAAAATTGAATGGAAGGTACGGAGATTCCCATGTACCCCTGTCTCCTCCATCATCAACATTCTGCACCAGAGCAGTGCATTTATTACAACTGATGAACCTATTTGATGCATCATTGTCACTCAGAGTCCATAGTTTACAGTAGGGTTCACTCTTGGTGTTGTACATTCTGTGGATTTGGACGAATGTATAGTGACGCATATCCACCATTATTGTATCATACAGAACAGTTTCACAGCCCTAAAAGTGGGGAGATTGGCCTCAGTTCGCCTACCTAAGAGACTAAATGACTTACCCATATATGGTTGCCTCCATATGAAGAGCAGTGAGAACCGCCGGCCGCTGGTGTGTCTCAAATGCCTGTGAACAGTGAAATCCTCACTTGGATGGTGGCACCTGTTAGACACAATTGGCTTTAAATCCAGGATATTTATTTTTAAACCAGCAGCTGGGGAAATGTGACAGGGTAAATTTTTGGTAGGTTACAAGTAGATTCATTCTGTAGCAAAGGAGGGAAGTATAAGACAGTGTATAAATATGTTTCTCAAAAGGTTGATGTAAATAGTGGAACCATGAGTACCAAGAGCAAAACACTGGAAACAACTTATATGTCTGTAAGCATCTCCTGCTTTCCAGACTATGGCCCCTCTGTATAATGCTTGCCACGTTCTTCATGAGAAGAATGAGTTCCATCTCAGCCTGCTGAGATTTCTTCTTCTTTTTTTTTTTTTTTTTTTTTTTTTTTTTTGAGACAGGGTCCTGCTCTGTCGCCTAGGCTGGAGTGCAATGGTGCATGGTCATGGCTTGAGCCTGGTTAATTTTTGTATTTTTACTAGAAACAGGGTTTTGTCATGTTGCCCAGGCTGATCTCAAACACCTGGATTCAAGCAATCCGCCCATCTTGACCTCCCAAAGTGTTGGGATTACAGATGTGAGCCACCGCGCTTGGCCACGATTCCGTGATGGTCAAAGAAATCAAAACGTCTGTCAGCTAGTGTTCAGTTCAGGCTGAGGTGAAAAAATTTTTTTACTTGTAAAATATACATAACATAAAACTTGGCCGCCGCGCTCCGAGCCCCCATTCCCGAGCTGCCGCTGTTGTCGCTCGCTCAGCGTCTCCCTCCCGGCCGCCCTCTCCTCGGGACGATGGCGCGCGGTGGCCGCCTGGGGTTAGCCCTGGGGCTGCTGCTGGCGCTGGTGCTGGCGCCGCGGGTTCTGCGGGCCAAGCCCACGGTGCGCAAAGAGCGCGTGGTGCGGCCCGACTCGGAGCTGGGCGAGCGGCCCCCTGAGGACAACCAGAGCTTCCAGTACGACCACGAGGCCTTCCTGGGCAAGGAGGACTCCAAGAACTTCGACGAGCTCACCCCGGACGAGAGCAAGGAGAGGCTAGGGAAGATTGTTGATCGAATCGACAATGATGGGTATGGCTTTGTCACTACTGAGGAGCTGAAAACCTGGATCAAACGGGTGCAGAAAAGATACATCTTTGATAATGTCGCCAAAGTCTGGAAGGATTATGATAGGGACAAGGATGATAACATTTCCTGGGAAGAATACAAACAAGCCACCTATGGTTACTATACCTAGGAAACCCCGCAGAGTTTCATGATTCTTCAGATCATCACACCTTTAAAAAGATGCTGCCACGTGATGAGAGAAGATTCAAAGCTGCAGACCTCAATGGTGACCTGACAGCTACTCCGGAGGAGTTCACTGCCTTTCTGCATCCTGAAGAGTTTGAACATATGAAGGAAATTGTGGCTTTGGAAACCCTGGAGGACATCGACAAGAACGGGGATGGGTTTGTGGATCAGGATGAGTATATTGCGGATATGTTTTCCCATGAGGAGAATGGCCCTGAGCCAGACTGGGTTTTATCAGAACGGGAGCAGTTTAACGAATTCCGGGATCTGAACAAGGACGGGAAGTTAGACAAAGATGAGATTCGCCACTGGATCCTCCCTCAAGATTATGATCATGCACAGGCTGAGGCCAGGCATCTGGTATATGAGTCAGACAAAAACAAGGATGAGAAGCTAACTAAAGAGGAAATATTGGAGAACTGGAACATGTTTGTTGGAAGCCAAGCTACCAATTACGGGGAAGATCTCACAAAAAATCATGATGAGCTTTGATAGACACTCACCAGAATATGGCAGACTGTCATAGGCATTCTGTTATTGTCTTGGATTGTTGCTACAACTGTCTAATTTACAGCAGTTGTGATCCCACAAAAAGCAAGTTTATACCTCAGATTGGGGTATAAAAATTGTTTTTCGCTCAGTATTTACTGGAAAATGGACATCACTAGTCTTTCAGTAAGATTTCTCTCAAAACACGTGAAAACCTTGGTAAATTGCAATTCTTGCTGGGGATATATTGGTACAACATGACTTAAAACTTTTTTTTTTTTTCTATTAAAACTTAAAGGGGAACAAAACTTGAAAAAGCCCTGTTCTTCAGAAGTTGAGTGGGTTGAGGGAGGCAGTAATATGAAGTGACTGCTGTGTATTTTAACTACCAGATTTTTTATATTTGCCACTGTTAAATAGTTGGGAAATCCTGATTAAGTGAAAGTGGTATCATCCTAGGTAAGCTTATTTCAGAACAAGTCTAATATTTCAGATTCTTTCTTTTCGACTTTATACTCTGAGTTATTACTTACTGTAAGTGGTGTATATGAAACCTCCATGCATTTTCCAGTATGGATCTGCTAATATGCACAGTAAATCCATGTCTTTGTTTGTTTTTCTATTAAAAAGCAATCAAGAAAGATAATGTGAAAAAGAAAGGAATGTAGAGGTAGGGAAAGGATGAATGTCAGACATTTGAAGAACTATAGTAAAATGATAAACACTAAATATACTTGAGAAAACTTTCTTAATATGCCAATGAGGTAGGCCTGATCTTTGAAATAGTGAATAGGAATACAATGCATTTCCTCAATGATCACTGATTAGAATGAGGTGGTGGGATCCTTGGGAAGCCAAACGGAGTGGAGTTCTGGATCATGTCCCATCCAGTCCAGTGAATCCACGACCCTCAGACCTGTCCCCCCACAACAGCTTATACCATGGAATGAGGACAAGGTGATACTCTGAGCTGTGGACTGAACTGGCAGACACAACCTGTACAGATTGAAATTTCACCTTGTAAGGAGGAAGTGAATGAAATAAAGGATCCCCCTAAGGAAAAAAAAAAAAAACTTTACCATCCTAACCATTTTTAAGCGTACAGTTCAGTGACATTAAGCACATTCACATTGCTGTGTAACCATCGCCACCATCCATCTCCAGAACTTTTTTGAAATAAATGGTTTTGAGTAGATTTTGGTTTTTAATTGATTTAGCATTGTATGTCCTTGTAGCCCTGGTACAGGCCCAAGCTGGAAAATAAGAGCCCCAACTTCCATCTGAATACTTGGATTTTTCATGCTTGTGAGAGGCTCCCATAGTTCCCTGAATTCATCTAGAAATAGCAACTATCGTGTCAAGCAAATATTTTTCATTCAACCAGCCTACTCCCTGGGCTTCAAATCCTTTCATATGAGGAACAAAGCCAAACACCAGCAGTTGGTGATTGCTGTTTAGGTCACTCTTCAGTGCTGTTCCTCAGCATTCCTGTATCTATACGCGGGCATGGCCTCACCGAACACAATACAGAGTGGTCCAGTGCACAGTTGCTTTTGAGTTCTGTAATAACTGGTGGTGCCTGTAAAAGTCCCAGTGCTTTGGGAGGCCAAGGCAGGAGGATTGCTTGAGCCCAGGAGCTCAATTTTTTTTTTGAAGCAAGGTCTCTCACCTAGATTGGAGTGCAGTGGTGTGATCTCAGCTCACTGAAACCTTCACCTCCCAGTTCAGGTAATCCTCCCACCCCAGCCTCCCGAGTAGCTGGGACTACAGGCACGCACCACCACACCCTGCTAATTTTTAAATTTTTTGTAGAAATGGGGTCTCCCTATATCGCCCAGGCAGGTCTTGAACTCCTAGGCTCAGGAGATCCTCCTGCTTCGGCCTCCCAAAGTGCTGGGATTACAGGCAGGAGCTGCTGTTCCTGGCCTCAAAAAATTTTAAAAAATTGGCTGGGCACGGTGGCTCACGCCTGTAATCCCAGCACTTTGGGAGGCCGAGGCGGGCGGATCATGAGGTCAGGAGATCGTGACTATTCTAGCTAACATGGTGAATCCCCGTCTCTACTAAAAATACAAAAAATTAGCCAGGCGTGGTGATGGGCACCTGTAGTCCCAGCTAGCTGGGAGGCTGAGGCAGGAGAATGGCATGAACCTGGGAGGCGGAGCTTGCAGTGAGCAGAGATCGTGCCACTGCACTCCAGCCTGGGCGACAGAGTGAGACTCTGTCTTAAAAAAAAATTAAAAACATTAACTGGGTGTGTTGGTATGTGCCTGTAGTCCCAGCCCCTTGGGAAGCTGAGGTGGGAAGATCTCTTGATCCCAGGAGTTTGAGGCTGCAGTGAGCCACGATTACGCCACTGCACTCCAGCCTGGGGGACAGAGCAAACTGTCTCTAAACAAACAAACATACAAAAACAAACAAGCAAACAAAAAACCGCTGTGGCCATGTAACTCAGAAGTTTGCCCACCATGCCTTCGCTGTGACTGTATGCTGAGGCGTGGGGCAGCTGGAGGTTAGAGCAGATCCCACAACTGGGGCAGGAACAGTGGCGTGCTGGAACTGGTCCAGCAGCGTATGAGAGCAGATTGTCACACTTTCAGGAAATTTGTGGGCCGGTTATTACAGACATTATTAACAATTAAGTTATATAAACATAGTTAAATAGATTATATTAAAGACAAAGGCAAATAAACTTCACCACTTCCTAATTATTCACTAGTGTCTGTGCTCTTGAGGTTATTTCTGTCTGTTGTATCTGTCTGGTAGAAATACTGTAAAATGTGCTATTGCACATCTTCCCAGCTGCACGTTGACATTGTTGATAGCTTGATATTGGCCATGATGGTGAGAGGTGAAGCCAACTGGGCTTCTGGGTTGGGTGGGGACTTGGAGAACTTTCTGTCTAGCTAGAGGATTGTAAATGCACCAATCAGCGCTCTATGTCTAGCTAGAGGATTGTAAATGCGCCAATCAGCATTCTGTAAAAATGGACCAGTCAGCACTCTGTAAAATGGACCAATCAGCACACTGTAAAATGGACCAATCAGCAGGACATGGATGGGGGCCAAATAAGGGAATAAAAGCTGGCCACCTGAGCCAGCAGCAGCAACCCGCTAGGGTCCACTTCAACGCCCGGAGATCTTTGTTCTTTCGCTCTTAATTAATAAATCTTGCTGCTGCTCAGTCTTTCGGTCCGCACCAACTTGAAGAGCTGTAGCATTCACTGCCAGGGCCTGCGGCTTCATTTCCTTAGTCAGCCAGACCACCAACCCACAGAGAGGAACAAACGACTGCAGACACGCCACCTTTAAGAACTGTAACACTCACTGCGAGGTCCGTGGCTTTATTCTTTTTTTCTTTGAGATGGAGTCTTGCTCTGTTGCCCAGGCTGGAATGCAGTGGCCTGATCTCAGCTCACTGCAACCTCCGCCTCCCGGATTCACGCCATTCTCCTGCCTCAGCCTCCCTAGTAGCTGGGACTACAGGCGCCCAGCTAATTTTTTGTATTTTTAGTAGAGACGGGGTTTCACCGTGTTAGCCAGGATGGTCTCGATCTTCTGACCTCGTGATCCACCCGCCTCAGCCTCCCAAAGTGCTGGGATTACAGGCGTGAGCCACCGCGCCCGGCTGGCTTCATTCTTGAAGTCAGTGAGACCAAGAATCCACCAGAAGAAATAAATTCTGGACACAATGGGAGTGCTTATACTGCAGATACTGACAGATGCTACAAATCAGGCCTTTGTTTTGTTTTTGCTCTGGAGATCTGGTTGTTAAACATTTGCCAGCACTCTGTTCACCACTAGGTAGGAGGGCAGACAGAGCCAGGTAGAATATCCTATGAAGTTAGCCACCTGACCCTTGTGGGAACAAGTTGGGATCACGTTCATGCAGCCATTGTTATTTTGCATCATATGTGGACCTTCACACTAAGATTATAAAAAAAATTCATCCCTTGACTGTGTCCCTCAGGGCCCAGAGGACACTCCCTTTAATGAGGTTTTAAGAAATGTGCAGGCTGGGTGTGGTGGCTCAGGCCTGTAATCCCAGCACTTTGGGAGGCCAAGGCGAGAGTATCACTTGAGCCTAAGAGTTTGAGACCAGCCTGGGCAATGTAGGGAGACCCCATCTCTATAAAAAATTAAAAAATTAGCCAGGCATGGTGGTGCATGCCTCTAGTCCCAGCTACTCAGGAGGTTGAAGTGGAAGGATGGCTTGAGCCCAGGAGGTCAAGGCCACAGTGAGCTGTCATCATGACAGTGCACTCCAGCCTGCGTGACAGAGTAAGACCTTCTCTTACAAAAAAAAAATGTGCGGAGGAGAGCTCCATTTCCCTTTAGGAGCTTTGTAGCGGGTATCCTCTGCCTGCTGGGGGTGACAATAAGAAATGCTACTCTTTAAATTGCCTTCCTTATTTCAGAGACCAAGTGACAGTGTTTAACACCAGAGACACAGTGGGCACAGTTACTTTCATGGGCAGCAGGGCCACAGTGGTAAAATGAATGTTTTTGACTTGTGAGGGTCTTTGGTAGTATCTCTAGGAATAAAATAGCCTACTAAAATATATGTTGATCTACATAATTAGAAAT
This sequence comes from Homo sapiens, assembly GCF_000001405.40. Lineage (NCBI taxonomy): Eukaryota > Metazoa > Chordata > Mammalia > Primates > Hominidae > Homo > Homo sapiens. Next base: position 45,385,767 of record NC_000013.11, on the reverse strand, counting down.
TATCAGGTAAGTAGAATTCTAATTTGGATCACCATAATAGTCATGGCCCTTCCCCCAGTTCTGGGAGCTGAACAATTTTGCAGACCTGGAGCCCACTGACATTGCTGCAATATATACTAAAAATCATTCTTCAAGCCCTAAGAGACCCATGGCCATTGTCATGGGAGAGGAAAATACTTGGGACTGTTTCAGGATCGCTGAACACTGACTCTCAACTGTTGCTAATCTCTGAGACTGTATATGTTGGGTCAGGCTATTTTAGGCTTTGGTAGTGTCATCAAAAATCCCAGTGGCAGACAACAAAAGTGTCGCTCTGTTGCCCAGGCTGGGGTGCAGTGGCATGATCTCGGCTCACTGCAACCTCCGACTCCCAAGTAAAAGCGATTCTCCAGCCTTGGCCTCCTGAATAGCTGGGATTACAGGTGCCCCCCACCACACCTGGCTAATTTTTGTATTTTTAGTAGAGACAGTGTTTTACCATGTTGGCCAGGCTGGTCTCGAACTCCTGACCTCAAGTGATCCTCCCGCCTTGGCCTCCCAAAGTGTTGGGATTGCAGGCGTGAGCCACCACGCCTGGCCAACAAAAGTTAACTTCTTATTCTTGCTATGTGTCCACTGCAGCTTGACTGAAGCTCTTTTCCATTTTATCTTCACTCCAGATGGAGGCTGTGGATCAGCCTCTGTTTGGAACATTGCTTAGTCTTATGGCAGAGGGAAAATACATCATAACAAAGCACACATCAGCTCTTAGATCTTCTGTCTAAAGGTGACGCATGTCACTTTTGTTCACATTTCATTTGCAAGTCACGTGGACAAGACTGCAGTTAAGGAAGTATGATTCCTCAGTAGGAAAGGAGCCAGAATATTTGGCAAACAATGATATATTCTACGTGATTTCCTGTTATCTCTCCATTGCTTATTATCAATATTTAATTGATTGCTGCTGCTGTTTCAAATATGTTATTCTTACTAGAGTAAATCAAAATGGCTTTTGACATGTGGGATGCAGCTATTTATGTAAAATATACTTTTTTTCCTGCTGTATTGGTTACAGGCACTTTTGGAAGGTGTTTGCTTTCACATGGCAGGGACAGCAGTACATCTTCACGATTTGAGCTCAGGTCTATGGCAACTCTCCTGTTCTGTCATAAGCAAGGCTTCAGGGGTCTTGATAATCACAACATCCCATAAAATGCAGAACTAGTCCATTATATGGATAATATGTTGAGCATGTGACATTTCTAGGAGTTCAGTGGCCTGAGGCATGTTGGTTATCTCCTTCAAATGAAAACAAATTGCTGCATCATGTACTCCTATGCTAGGAAAGAGTTAAAAAAAAATACTTGACGGGTGTTTTAGGAGGTAATATACAGCACATTTTACCATGCTGCCCTGGCCCATTTACGAAGGAATTTGTAAGTCTGCCGGTTTTGAGTGGGGCCCAGAGCAAGAGAAGGGTTGCAGCAAATTCAGACTGTTGTGCAAGATGTTCTGTCATATATGGCACATATGCCTGAAGTGTCCAAGGCAGATAGAGATACTGTATGGAGCCTTCAACCAGCCCTGAAAGGAGAATCACAGTGCAGACCCCTGGCGGTTTGCAGCAAATCCATGTTATCTTTTGCAAATAACTTTTCTCTCTTTGAAAAATAGCTCTTCTTACTGGGTCCTAGCTAAAAACTGGACATTTGATTTTGGGACCTGATCATGAACTGGGTGTGCACCCCTCTTCCCCCTCTGGCTCTTAGGACCACCATCGCAGGAGGGGGAGGCACCCCCCACGAGGCAGGGACTGAGAGCCAGCCCCTCATCACCCCCTGGCTTAGGACCCCCATTGCGGATCCTAAGAACCTTAGGACCCATCTGGAGGACTGTGGGTATTAGGTGTCCAAGAAAAAAGCTCAAATCTGCCGACGGCAGCTACCTTACTTCGGATTTACTCTCCGACAGGGGTCCGAACGCAGCCCGGGAACAGAAAGAAAGCAGGTCATTTGCAATCTACCGGAGCCTAAGGGCAGAAGGCAGGTGAGGGAATTCTTAGGGGCTGTGGGGTTTTGTAGACTGTGCATCCCAAACTTTGCAGTATTAGCCAAGCCTTTGTATGAGGTCACAAAGGGGACGGGGACCGGGAACCTTTGGAATGGGGATCCCAACAACAGCAAGTCTTTCATGAGTTAAAGGAAAAACTTCTGGCAGCCCCAGCCCTGGGGCTACCCGATCTGACAAAGCCTTTTCCATTGAATGCGTCAGATAGAGAAAAGATGGCAGCTGGACTTTTAACCGAAACTCTGGGGCCCTGGATGAGGCCGGTGGCCTACGTCTCTAAACAACTAGAGAGGGTTTCTAAAGGATGGCCCCTCATGTTTGAGGGCCGTGGCATCAACTGCCCTGATAGTACAAGAAGCAAATAAGCTGACTCTTGGGCAAAACCTGAACATAAAGGCCGCCCATTTTGGGTTGGATGACAGCCAACCCCTCTTCCCCCCCTGCCTTAGGACCCCCATCGCGGATCCTAAGATCCTTAGGACCCACCTGGAGGACTGTGGGTATTAGGTCTCCAAGAAGAAAGCTCCAATCTGCCGACGGCAGGTACCTTACTTGGGAGTTACTATCCGACAGGGGTCCGAACGCAGCCCGGGAACAGAAAGAAAGCAGGTCATTTGCAATCTACCGGAGCCTAAGGGCAGAAGGCAGGTGAGGGAATTCTCAGGGGCTGTGGGGTTTTATAGACTGTGCATCCCAAACTTTGCAGTGTTAGCCAAGCCTTTGTATGAGGTCACAAAGGGGGCGGGGACCGGGAACCTTTGGAATGGGGATCCCAAGAACAGAAAGTCTTTCAGGAGTTAAAGGAAAAACTTCTGGCAGCCCCAGCCCTGGGGCTACCCGATCTGGCAAAGGCTTTTCCATTGTATGCGTTAGAGAGAGAAAAGATGGCAGCTGGACTTTTAACCCAAACTGTGGGGCCCTGGCTGAGGCCGGTGGCCTACGTCTCTGAACAACTAGACAGGGTTTCTGAAGGATGGCTCCCCTGTTTGAGGGCCTTGGCAGCAACTGCCCTGCTAGTACAAGAAGCAAATAAGCTGACTCTTGGGCAAAACCTGAACATAAAGGCTCCCCATTTTGTGGTGGCTGAGAGTCAGCCCCTTTTCCCCCGCTGGCTCTTGGGACCCCCATCGCAGGGGCGATGACACCCTCTGCGAGGCACGGACTGAGAGCCAGCCTCTCTTCCGCCCCAGGCTCTTAGGACCCCCATCGCAGGGGGGGAGGCAACCCCCGCGAGGCGGAGACTCAGAGCCAGCCCCTCTTCCCCCTCTGGCTCTTAGGACCACCATCGCAGGAGGGGGAGGCACCCCCCACGAGGCAGGGACTCAGAGGCAGCCCCTCTTCCGCCCCCGGCTCTTAGGACCCCCATCGCAGAGGGGGAGGCACCCCCCACGAGGCGGGGACTGAGAGCCAGCCCCACTTCCCCCTCTGGCTCTTAGGACACCCATCGCAGGGGGGGAGACACCCCCAACGAGGCAGGGACTGAGAGCCAGCCCCTCTTCCCCCCTGGCTCTCAGGGCCCCCATCACAGGGGGGGAGGCACCCCCCGCGAGGCGGGGACTGAGAGCCAGCCCCTCATCCCCCCCGGCTCTCAGGACCCCCATCGCAGGGGAGGGAGGCACCCCCCACGAGGCAGGGACTGAGAGCCAGCCCCTCTTCCCCCTCTGGCTCTTAGGACCACCATCGCAGGAGGGGGAGGCACCCCCCACGAGGCAGGGACTCAGAGGCAGCCCCTGTTCCGCCCCCGGCTCTTAGGACCCCCATCGCAGCGGGGGAGGCACCCCCCACGAGGCGGGGACTGAGAGCCAGCCCCTCTTCTCCCCCTGGCTCTTAGGACAACAATCGCAGGGGGGGGAGGCACCCCCAACGAGGCAGGGACTGAGAGCCAGCCCCTCTTCCCCCCTGGCTCTCAGGACCCCCATCGCAGGGGGGGAGGCACCCCCCACGAGGCGGGGACTGAGAGCCAGCCCCTCTTCCCCCTCTGGCTCTTAGGACCACCATCGCAGGGGGGGGGAGGCACCCCCCGTGAGGCAGGGACTGAGAGCCAGCCCCTCTTCCCCCTCTGGCTCTTAGGACCACCATCGCAGGAGGGGAGGGGGAGGCACCCCCCACGAGGCAGGGACTCAGAGGCAGCCCCTCTTCCGCCCCCGGCTCTTAGGACCCCCATCTCAGGGGGGGAGGCACCCCCTACGAGGCGGGGACTGAGAGCCAGCCCCTCTTCCCCCCCTGGCTCTTAGGACACCAATCGCAGGGGGGAAGGCACCCCTAACGATGCAGGGATTGAGAGCCAGCCCCTCTTCTCCCCCTGGCTCTTAGGACACCAATCGAAGGCGGGGAGACACCCCCAACGAGGCAGGGACTGAGAGCCAGCCCCTCTTGCCCCCTGGCTCTCAGGGCCCCCATCGCAGGGGGGGAGGCACCCCCCGGGAGGCAGGGACTGAGAGCCAGCCCCCCGTCCCCCACAGCTTAGGACCCCCATCAAGGATCCTAAGAACCTTAGGACCCACTTGGAGGACTGTGGGTATTAGGTGTCCAAGAAGAAAGCTCAAATCTGCTGACGGCAGGTACCTTGCTTGGGATTTACTATCCGACAGGGGTCCGAACGCAGCCCGGGAACAGAAAGAAAGCAGGTTATTTACAATCTACCGGAGCCTAAGGGCAGAAGGCAGGTAAGGGAATTCTTGGGAGCTGTGGGGTTTTATAGACTGTGGATCCCAAACTTTGCAGTATTAGCCAAGCCTTTGTATGAGGTCACAAAGGGGGCGGGGACCGGAACCTTTGGAATGGGGATCCCAAGAACAGAAAGTCTTTCAGGAGTTAAAGGAAAAACTTCTGGCAGCCCCAGCCCCGGGGCTACCCGATCTGGCAAAGCCTTTTCCATTGTATGCGTTAGAGAGAGAAAAGATGGCAGCTGGACTTTTAACCCAAACTGTGGGGCCCTGGCTGAGGCCGGTGGCCTACGTCTCTGAACAACTAGACAGGGTTTCTGAAGGATGGCTCCCCTGTTTGAGGGCCTTGGCAGCAACTGCCCTGCTAGTACAAGAAGCAAATCAGCTGACTCTTGGGCAAAACCTGAACATAAAGGCCCCCCATGTTGTGGTGGCTGAGAGTCAGCCCCTTTTCCCCCGCTGGCTCTCGGGACCCCCATCGCAGGGGGGGAGGCACCCCCCGCCAGGCACGGACTGAGAGCCAGCCCCTCTTCCGCCCCAGGCTCTTAGGACCCCCATCGCAGGGGGGGAGGCACCCCCAACGAGGCAGGGACTGAGAGCCAGCCCCTCTTCCCCCCTGGCTCTCAGGGCCCCCATCGCAGGGGGGGAGGCACCCCCACGAGGCGGGGACTGAGAGCCAGCCCCTCATCCTCCCCGGCTCTCAGGACCCCCATCGCAGGGGGGGGAGGCACCCCCCACGAGGCAGGGACTCAGAGGCAGCCCCTCTTCCGCCACCGGCTCTTAGGACCCCCATCGCAGGGGGGGAGGCACCCCCCACGAGGCTGGGACTGAGAGCCAGCCCCTCTTCCCCCCTGGCTCTTAGGACACCCATCGCAGCGGGGGAGGCACCCCCAACGAGGCAGGGACTGAGAGCCAGCCCCTCTTCCCCCCTGGCTCTCAGGGCCCCCATCGCAGGGGGGGGAGGCACCCCCCACGAGGCGGGGACTGAGAGCCAGCCCCCCGTCCCCCACAGCTTAGGACCTCCATCAAGGATCCTAAGAACCTTAGGACCCACCTGGAGGACTGTGGGTATTAGGTGTCCAAGAAGAAAGCTCAAATCTGCTGACGGCAGGTACCTTGCTTGGGATTTACTATCCGACAGGGGTCCGAACGCAGCCCGGGAACAGAAAGAAAGCAGGTTATTTACAATCTACCGGAGCCTAAGGGCAGAAGGCAGGTAAGGGAATTCTTGGGAGCTGTGGGGTTTTGTAGACTGGATCCCAAACTTTGCAGTATTAGCCAAGCCTTTGTATGAGGTCACAAAGGGGGCGGGGAACGGAACCTTTGGAATGGGGATCCCAAGAACAAAAAGTCTTTCAGGAGTTAAAGGAAAAACTTCTGGCAGCCCCAGCCCTGGGGCTACCCGATCTGACAAAGCCTTTTCCATTGAATGCGTCAGATAGAGAAAAGATGGCAGCTGGACTTTTAACCGAAACTCTGGGGCCCTGGCTGAGGCCGGTGGCCTAGTTGTCTAAACAACTAGAGAGGGTTTCTAAAGGATGGCCCCTCATGTTTGAGGGCCGTGGCATCAACTGCCCTGATAGTACAAGAAGCAAATAAGCTGACTCTTGGGCAAAACCTGAACATAAAGGCCGCCCATTTTGGGTTGGGTGACAGCCATCCCCTCTTCCCCCCCTGCCTTAGGACCCCCATCGCGTATCCTAAGATCCTTAGGACTCACCTGGAGGACTGTGGGTATTAGGTGTCCAAGAAGAAAGCTCAAATCTGCCAACGGCAGGTACCTTACTTGGGATTTACTCTCCGACGGGTCGATGCCACCCGGGAACAGAAAGAAAGCAGGTCATTTGCAATCTACCGGAGCCTAAGGGCAGAAGGCAGGTGAGGGAATTCTCAGGGGCTGTGGGGTTTTGTAGACTGTGCATCCCAAACTTTGCAGTATTAGCCAAGTCTTTGTATGAGGTCACAAAGGGGGCAGGGACCGGGAACCTTTGGAATAGGGATCCCAACAACAGCAAGTCTTTCATGAGTTAAAGGAAAAACTTCTGGCAGCCCCAGCCCTGGGGCTACCCGATCTGACAAAGCCTTTTCCGTTGAACGCGTCAGATAGAGAAAAGATGGCAGCTGGACTTTTAACCGAAACTCTGGGGCCCTGGATGAGGCCAATGTCCTACGTCTCTAAACAACTAGAGAGGGTTTCTAAAGGATGGCCCCCCTGTTTGAGGGCCGTGGCATCAACTGCCCTGATAGTACAAGAAGCAAATAAGCTGACTCTTGGGCAAAACCTGAACATAAAGGCCGCCCATTTTGGGTTGGGTGACAGCCATCCCCTCTTCCCCCCCTGCCTTAGGACCCCCATCGCGGATCCTAAGATACTTAGGACTCACCTGGAGGACTGTGGGTATTAGGTGTCCAAGAAGAAAGCTCAAATCTGCCAACGGCAGGTACCTTACTTGGGATTTACTCTCCGACGGGTCCGATGCCGCCCGGGAACAGAAAGAAAGCAGGTCATTTGCAATCTACCGGAGCCTAAGGGCAGAAGGCAGGTGAGGGAATTCTCAGGGGCTGTGGGGTTTTGTAGACTGTTCATCCCAAACTTTGCAGTATTAGCCAAGCCTTTGTATGAGGTCACAAAGGGGGCGTGGACCGGAACCTTTGGAATGGGGAACCCAATAACAGCAAGTCTTTCATGAGTTAAAGGAAAAATGTCTGGCAGCCCCAGCCCTGGGGATACCCGATCTGACAAAGCCTTTTCCATTGTATGCGTTATAGACAGAAAAGATGGCAGCTGGACTTTTAACCCAAACTGTGGGGCCCTGGCTGAGGCCGGTGGCCTACGTCTCTGAACAACTAGACAGGGTTTCTGAAGGATGGCTCCCCTGTTTGAGGGCCTTGGCAGCAACTGCCCTGCTAGTACAAGAAGCAAATCAGCTGACTCTTGGGCAAAACCTGAACATAAAGGCCCCCCATGTTGTGGTGGCTGAGAGTCAGCCCCTTTTCCCCCGCTGGCTCTCGGGACCCCCATCGCAGGGGGGGAGGCACCCCCCGCCAGGCACGGACTGAGAGCCAGCCCCTCTTCCGCCCCAGGCTCTTAGGACCCCCATCGCAGGGGGGGAGGCACCCCCAACGAGGCAGGGACTGAGAGCCAGCCCCTCTTCCCCCCTGGCTCTCAGGGCCCCCATCGCAGGGGGGGAGGCACCCCCCACGAGGCGGGGACTGAGAGCCAGCCCCTCATCCTCCCCGGCTCTCAGGACCCCCATCGCAGGGGGGGGAGGCACCCCCCACGAGGCAGGGACTGAGAGCCAGCCCCTCTTCCCCCTCTGGCTCTTAGGACCACCATCCCAGGAGGCGGAGGCACCCCCCACGAGGCAGGGACGCAGAGGCAGCCCCTATTCTGCCACCGGCTCTTAGGACCCCCATCGCAGAGGGGGAGGCACCCCCCACGAGGTGGGGACTGAGAGCCAGCCCCTCTTCCCCCCCTGGCTCTTAGGTCACCCATCGCAGGGCATGGAGGCACCCCCAATGAGGCAGGTACTGAGAGCCAGCCCCTCTTCCCCCCTGGCTCTCAGGACCCCCATCGCAGGGGGGGAGGCACCCCCAACAAGGCAGGGACTGAGAGCCAGCCCCTCTCCCCCACTGGCTCTCAGGGCCCCCAGCGCAGGAGGGAGAGGCACCCCCCACGAGGCGGGGACTGAGAGCCAGCCCTTCTTACCCCCCTGGCTCTTAGGGCCCCCATCGCAGGGGGGGGGGGCACCCCCAGCAAGGCGGGGACTGAGAGCCAGCCCCTCATCCCCCACTGGCTTAGGACCCCCATGGCGGATCCCAGGAACCTTAAGGACCCACCTGGAGGACTCTGGGTATTAGGTGTCCAAGAAGAAAGCTCAAATCTGCCGACGGCAGGTACCTTACTTGGGATTTACTATCCGACAGCGGTCCAAGACAGGGGTCCAAACGCCCGGGAACAGAAAGAAAGCAGGTCATTTGCAATCTACCGGAGCCTAAGGGCAGAAGGCAGGTGAGGGAATTCTTAGGGGCTGTGGGGTTTTGTAGACTGTGCATCCCAAACTTTGCAGTATTAGCCAAGTCTTTGTATGAGGTCACAAAGGGGGCGGGGACCGGGAACCTTTAGAATGGGGATCCCAACAACAGCAAGTCTTTCATGAGTTAAAGGAAAAACTTCTGGCAGCCCCAGCCCCGGGGCTACCAGATCTGACAAAGCCTTTTCCATTGAATGCGTCAGATAGAGAAAAGATGGCAGCTGGAATTTTAACCGAAACTCTGGGGCCCTGGCTGAGGCCGGTGGCCTACGTGTCTAAACAAATAGAAAGGGTTTCTAAAGGATGGCCCCCATGTTTGAAGGCCACGGCATCAACTGCCCTGCTAGTACCAGAAGCAAATAAGCTGACTCTTGGGCAAAACCTGAACATAAAGGCTCCCCATTTTGTGGTGGCTGAGAGCCAGCCCCTCTTCCGCCCCAGGCTCTTAGGACCCCCATCGCAGGGAGGGGAGGCACCCCCCACGAGGTAGGGACTGAGAGCCAGCCCCTATTCTTGATTTAGCCAATTTAAGTATGTAAAACGGGGGGAAAAATGTGATGACAGCCTAGTTTTAAGGCATTGATTTGATTGTGTTGTAAAAAATACATTCTTCTTTTTCTTTTTTTGAGACGGAGTCTTGCTCTGTCACCCAGGCTGGAGTGCAGTAAGCCCATCTCTGCTCACTGCAAGCTTACACCATTCTCCTGCCTCAGCTTCCCTAGTAGCTGGGACTACAGATGCTTGCCACCATGCCCGGCTAATTTTTTTTGTGTGTGTTTTTAGTAGAGATGGGGTTTCACCATGTTAGCCAGGATGGTCTCGATCTCCTGACCTCGTGATCCACCCGCCTCGGCCTCCCAAAGTGCTGGGATTACAGGCGTGAGCCACCAAGCCTGGCCAAAAAATATATTCTTTCAGAAAGATAACATGTTTGTTCTTTCATTCAGTCAATATATATTTATTAGTGTTATTGCTATGCCAGTGTCTTAGTCCATTCGTATTGCTATAAAGGAATACCTGAGGCTGGGGTGGTGCCATGTTGGTTAGAATGGTGCCATATTTTCTGGGATAGCACCATGCTGGCTGGGATGGTGCCATGTTGGCTGGGATGGCACCTGCCTCAGCCTCCCAAATAGCTGGGATTACAGGCATCTGCCACCATGCCTGGCTAATTTTTTGTATTTTTAGTAGAGAAGGGGTTTTGTCATGTTGGCCAGGCTGGTCTAGAATTCCTGACCTCAGGTGATCCACCCACCTCAGCCTCCCAAAGTGGTGGGATTACAGGCGTGAGCCACCACACCCAGCCCAGATTTCTTTTATCACGCTCCATAGGCTCAATAGCAGGAAACGTGTAGAGATTCCTCTTGGGAACTGGTCACCATATCATTTGGATGAGCTACAGACAGACCTTCAATCATCCTGTATCTTACTGTTTTGCTATCTCTGTACACTGCAGTTATGTGGACATGTGTCACCTCCGCCCCACTATCCAGAAATGTGGGCTCCTATGTGCAGGGCCAGATCTGCTCCCATGTGCATCCTCATCACCTGGCACCAGGCCTGCCCATGCTAAGCCTCCATAAAATTGTTGGACTAAAAGGTGACATAGGATACTCAACTTCTCCCAGCCATATGTCTTCATGAACCAAATGGCAGTGCAGAAAGGGAATGTTTGCAGTTTCAGTGGGCCTTTCTGAGGGCACTGCAGGGCACACTTCTCCCACCAGGCCCTTGGTGGAGGTGCAGAATGGGGTCTCTTCAGAAGCCACTTCCAGAGCCCCTACCAAGGGTGGCTCAGAAGGTCTGGTTTTCAATGAGTCCACTAGGGAAGTCCATGTGTGACTGATTCGACCTCGATGCTTCTACTTCGCCTTCTTTCCATCTGACTGACTCAGACCTAATAGTAGGGTTCTAGGCTGCTCCATGAGCCAAATAAATTTTCTGCTCTTATAAATGACTCAGTCTGTGGTCTTCTGTTATAGTAGCACAAAACAGACTAAGACACCATTCCAGAGATATGCAAATATTCAACTGTAGGTCTCCAAAAATGAGATGGCAATTTCAAGTTCAGCTCTGACAGAAGTAACAAGAAGGTACACACAATGAGCAGCACACACATCTCCCACCTTCTGGGCACATGTGGCCCACATCTAGCCAGTCTTCCTGAGCCAGCGGGTCCCAAAGCTGTCTTTGGATCATTGCTTCTCCATGACAATTTTTGCCAGCTCTTCACTGGCCTGCAGCGTTCCTTTCAAGTAAATTCCTGACCTGTGGGGGACAATCTGGGCCCAGCGTGCACCCCTGGTCGCGAGGACCACATGGCCAGAGAAGCAGAAAGGAGGCTTCAGGCACGAGAATTTAGGTTCTTCAGCTGCCACAAGTGAAGAGCACCACTTGTATTTTTTATTACTACCTGCTATGGACTGAATTGTGTTCAGTTCATAACACGTAGTAATAAAAATGTGTAGGTCGAAGCCCTAATCCCCAGTATGATGGTATTTGGAGTTGCAGGGCGGGGGGCTTTGGGAAGTGATTAAGGATAAGGTCAAGAGAGTGGGGTCCTCATGATGGGATTAGTGGCTTTATACCAAGAGGAAGAGAGACCAGAGTTCTCTCTCTCCCTTCCCCGCCCTCCCCCCACCTCTTTCTCTTTCTCTCTCTGCAATGTGAGGACATAGCAAGAAGGTGCCATCTGCAAGACAAGCAGAGAGCATCCTCCCCAGAAACCATGTCTGCTGCACCTTGATCCTCAATTTTCCAGTAAGAAATAAATGTCTGGGCTGGGCGTGGTGGCTTACGCCTGTAATCCCAGCACTTTGGGAGGCCGAGGCAGGCAGACCTCCTGAGGTCATGAGTTCGAGACCAGCCTGGCCAACATGGCGAAACCCTGTCTCTACTAAAAATACAAAAATTAGCCAGGCATGGTGGCAGGTGTCTGCAATCCCAGCTACTTAGGAGGCTGAGGCAGAAGAATCACTTGAACCCGGGATGCGGAGGTTGCAGTGAGCTGAGATGGCACCACTGCACTCCAGCCTGGGAAACAAAGTGAGACACTGTATCAAAAAAAAAAAAAAAAAAAAAAAAAATACAGGAAACTCACCCAGTGCCATTCCCTTCCTTCAAGTATTGACTCCTTTCTGAGATTCTGGCTTTTGATCTCCCTTAGTGACTTCAGGTAATTTTTCTGCACTCCAGAGTTTAGAGTTGTTATCTACAGGAGGTCATTCTGATAGGTTACCTGGCTACCACTGGAAGTGGTCCCTGTTGAGGATATTATGAGTAGACCAGCTGATTGCTCATCATTCACCTCCCTCACTTTCTTCCAGCCTCCCAGGAAGTTCATTCTCTCGCTATGAAAACAGAACTTGTCTACCTGAGAAGCCCCGTCCAAGCAGTGGTCATGCAGCTCACATGTCAATACAATTTAATAAATTAAGGGACCAGTTTGCTAAGTGGCCCAATCTTGAATTCCACCACTCTGAAGTGCTAAGGATTAAGATTCCAGAGGGATGAAAACAGAGCCAACAGGCCTGTGTTAGGCCCAGTTCTTCCAGGAACCAGCAGTGTGACCTTAAACAAGTCACTGACCTTCTCTAAGCCAGCAACATAGAAGGAGACTATCATACCCGCCACACCCCACCTGCCTCATGGGTTGATTACAAAGATCAAATGAGGTAACATATACGAAGCGTTTCGTAGACTGTGTCTGACATTGTGATTCTACTGTGACTTCCTGAAGTTTAAAGACAGAATTCTAGTCCCCAGGGCTTGACACCGTAGTAGGAGCTTATGTACACAGAAGAATGAAGGGAATGAGTCTGTCCAGATTCTTTTCCATACAGTGTCTAGTAAGATGTGTAAGAGAAATGGTCACTCAACTAAGTCCCAAAGGGAAGAGGGTCTGCTTTTCTTCCTTTTAGAACCCAAAGCTGAAGTCATCTGTTTGTAAAATGCAGAATGAAATACAATCCTAATTAAGTTGTGTCACAAGACATGCTGCTCAGGAGCCCTCTGCCCCTTGGGAAGCCATCCAAAGGAAACACGAGCCCAAGGTGACTGGGAAGGCCAGATGGTGTCACTTAATACAAAGGAGAAGGAAACTAGGCACGAACTACTGATAGACAGTTACTCTACAGGGAACTGGGTTTTAATTTCAATGGAAATAGAGCCCTGAGAACTCACAGGGAAAGCAAAGGGCATGGAGCGGGAAAGCGGAGGGGCACGGGTGCGGGAAAGCGGGGGGCATGGATACGGGAAAACGAGGGGCATGGATACGGGAAAACGAGGGGCATGGATGCGGGAAAACGAGGAGCATGGATGCGGGAAAGCGAGGGGCATGGATTCAGGAAATCGCGTGGCATGGATGCAGGAAAGCAAGGAGCAGGGCTGGAAGGAAATTGAGATGGGGGCCATCATTCAGTGTGCTCTGGCTTAGTGCCTCCTGTGTGAAATGAGTTAAATGGCACCCATCTCTTAAAGTTATGCAACTATTTTCCATATCCCCCCATCCCTCAGACCTCTCTGCCTCTGTGACATTTGTCCCGAGGACAGGGAAAGTAGCTCCCTGTGTTCGTATGGCCTGGGCAGGGCCTTACAGCAGCTTGACCAACCTGCAGCTGCTCTCCCTCTCTCTCCAGATGCAGCCCTTCCCGTTGGTGCTGGCTTTAGTTCCTGCTTTCTCTCTCCACGGGCTAAGAAGCCGGCTCCCTCTCTGCCCCGCACATGCTACTGGCCTCTCTTTCATGGCGTTCCCTCCTTCCAGTTCTCTGAACACACCAAACTCCCTCCTTGGGGTTTTTGATGGCTTGCTTTCTCCTCAGCCCAGTAAGTTCTTCTCACCTGGAGGTGCAGTCAGCGCTTTTTCATTGTCCAGATCACTGCTCAAATGTCATCTCCCTGGAGAGGACTTCTTGGACCCACCAGCCTCAGCTCCCTCTTGCCAGCCACTTTCTATCACATTCCTGCATTCTGGCTTCCTCAAAGCTCTTATCTCTATGGGAAATTATCTTGCTTATTTGTGTGGTTGTGATTGTCAGCATCTCTTCATCAGAATGCATGTTTGCTCATTGCTGTATCCCCTGTGCCTAAGACCCTAGGATCACAGGCCACTATAAAATGATGGTCATTCATTTAGCCAAAGTGATAATTCCAAAATTTCTTTCTTTCTTTTCTTTTTTTTTTTTTTTTTTTTGAGACGGGATCTAGCCCTGCAGCCTCTGCCTCCCAGGCTCAAGCTATTCTCGTGTCTTGGCCTCCCGAGTAGCTGGGATTACAGGTGCATGCCACATGCCTGGCTAATTTCTGTATTTTTAGTAGAGACAGAGTTTCACCATGTTGGCCAGGCTGGTCTCGAATTCCTGGCCTCAGGTGATCCTCCCACCTCAGCCTCCCAAAATGCTGGGTTACAGGCCTGAGCCACAGGGCCTGGCCTAGCCCTATCTTTACCATTAGCTCCATTTTACAAGTTGTCATGGGGGGTAGTACACAGAAGGATCGCGCAGCTAAAAAGCAACAGGGTTGGGAGTGGAAACCAGGTTTGTGTCCTCCTCTCTCCTTCGGCTCCCTAGTCGCCTTGGGGAGTTCCCACCAATGGGGCCCAAACCTGATCATCAAAATCAACAGGAAACATCTTCAAGAGGGTCCAGGGCCCGCCCAATTCCCATGGAACCAGAATCTTTGAGAGTGCCGCCCAGAAATCCGTGTTTTTCAAAAGCTCTCCAGATCCCAGTACTCAGCGGGAACTTGGAAACCATTCACTTTACCGGGGTATGAAGCCACCCAGCAGCTGGAAAGCGTCCTAGGAATGCGCTGATGGTTCTGACTGCGGTCATTGGGAATATCATTCCGCTCTCCCCTGCCCGGCGGCTGGAGCGGCGTGTTCGCAGCGCCCTCTGCCGGACATTCGGCGAAACCGTAACTGCAGCAACCCCCTTGGCGGGGTGTGTAGGGGCGTCAAGCCGCGCTCATCAGCCCCCTTTGCAATACAGCTCCCTACTGCTAAGTGGAGGTGAGTAGTAAATAATACTCGCTGACTGAGAAAGTGCAAGGTCATCCGATTTTATTAATAGGCCGGGCGCGGTGGCTCACGCCCGTAATCCCAGCACTTTGGGAAGCCGACGCGAGAGGATCCCTGTAGCCCAAGAGTTTGAAACCAACAAGATAGTGAGATACCGTCTCGATCTTGCAGATAAACATTTTTAAAAAAAGAAGAAAAAAAAAAAAGGCCGGGCGCGGTGGCTCACGCCTGTAATCCCAGCACTTTAGGAGACCGAGGCGGGTGGATCACTTGAGGTCAGGAGTTTGAGACCAGCCTGGGCAACAGGGCAAAACCCAGTCTCTACTAAAAATACAAAAAATTAGCCGGGCCTGGTGTCAGGTGCCTGTAATCCCAGCTACTCGGGAGGCTGAGGCAGGAGAATCGCTTGAACCTGGGAGGCAGAGGTTGCAGCGAGCCGAGATCGTGCCATTGCACTCCAGCCTGGGCAACAGAATCAGACTGGCTCAAAAAAAAAAATTAAATTCTATTAAAGAACAAACAAATTTTTACTTCTAATTAGAACACTCCATTCTAGCAAAACACACATAGGTTAAAAAGATGGGTACATACATGGTTTATCCAGTAGCTTTGGCCACCGCTAGGTAGAGAGTTGCATCCTCAGGAGTTTCCCACACTTCATTTATTCGTTTACTCATTCTTTTTCCCCCCAACAACTATTTATTTCATGCTTAGTAAATACCATGCACTCTTATGGCAGAGAACCAAAACAAAAAATTCTCCCCTCCTGAAGTGTATCGCCTAGTGATGGAGACACGTAGTAAACAGATAAATATCTACTTACAATTGGAGGCCAGTGCTCTGAAGGAAAACAGCCAGGTTTTGAGAGCTCTATTTTAGGAAGATGGGCAAGGATAGCCTCCTTGGAGCTGACCTGAAGTGAAGATCTGAAATTGACATGGAATGAGCCAGGCAAAGCAGAGAGGGATTCCAAGTGGCTTCATGAGTTCTCAGATGAGGGACTGGGAGGAAGCCGGTGTGCGGTGCTCAGGAGTGGCGGGGTGTAAACTGTGGTGAGGTTAAGGAAGCAGGAGTTAACAATAAGCACCTGGGCCGGGCGCGGTGTCTCACGCCTGTAATCCCAGCACTTTGGGAGGCCAAGGCAGGTAGGTCACTTGAGTTTAGGAGCTGGAGACCAGCCTGGGCAACATGGCAAAACCCCGTCTCTACAAACAGTACAAAAATTAGCCGAGTATGGTGGTGTCACCTGTAGTCCCACCTACTTGGGAGGCTGAGGTGGGAGGATTGCTTGAGACTGGGAGGCAGAGGCTAGAGTGAGCCATGATTGGGCCACTGCACTCCAGCCTGAGTATCGCTCAGAGTGAGATCCTGTCATGGCGGGGAAAAAAAAGGAAGAAAAAGATTTAAACCCAGGCAATCCACATCAGCAGCCATTCTCATACCTATCCACTCCTCACTGCCTTCTAGGCATTGCTGAATTTGAGCTTTATTTTAAGTACAATGAGATATTTGTAAGCTTTTAAGTGGGACTCTGCATGATCTTTTATGTTTTAACAAGATGGTGCTAGATGATTACAGACTTTAGGGAGGAAGAGTAGAAGGGTGAGACAGCAGGCTGAGACAAGGAGGAGAGGTGCAGAGGTGGGAGACAGTGCAAGGATTTAAAACAAGTGACAGGACTGGTGACAGATCAGGTGAGGTGGTGTTGGAAAGGAAGGTGTCAAAGAAGGCACTTAGCTCAGGAAACTGGGTGGTACCATTGGCTGAGATGGAGCAGAGTGCAAGTTTAGGAGAGTCAGTAGAATTCAGATGTGCATACGTTGAGTTAAATGAGATGCCGGTGATACGGCTAAAACCAAAACCAAGGAGGCTGTTGGATAAATCACCGGCATTTCAAACTTAAGGTGTATAAAGGTGAATTCTTCATTTACCTTATTCTGAAATTCAGAGACGTCCAGGCTAGAAATGGAAATTTTTTTTTTTAAGCATTATGAGTGCTATTTAAGTCACTTACGGATGATGCTATCTAGGGAGAACACATAAACACAGAAGAGTTCCAAGAATCAAACCCTAAGGAACTCCAACATTTGGAGGGTGGATCCAGAAAGAGAAGGCAGGAGAGAGGAGAGAAAGCCAGTGCCTGAGGGGAGCCAGGAAGGACTCACAAGACAAACACAGCCTAGAACTGTGCTTACATTGTGCTTGGAAAAAGAAATAGACACCAGATCCCTGCTTCCTGTTTCCTTATGTGAACCCAAAGTATCCGAGACAGGTCTCAACCAATTTAGAAAGTTTATTTTGCCAAGGTTGAGGACACACGCCCGTGACACAGCCTCAGGAAGTCCTGACCACATGTGTCCAAGGTGGTCAGGGCACAGCTTGGTTTTATACATTTTAGGGAGACATGAGACATCAATCAATATGTGTAAGATGTACATTGGTTTGGTCCAGGAAGGCGAGACAACTCGAGGTGAGGGACGGGGCTTCCAGGTCACAGGTGGATAAGAGACAAACAGTTGCATTCTGTTGAGTTTCTGATTAGCCCTTCCTTGTGGAATTAGGTATTTCCTTGTGGGCAAATTATGAGCAAGGTGTGTAGCTTTTTTTTTTTTTTAATCTTTGTAGCTCTCTTATTTAGGAAATAAAATGGGGGGCAGGTTTGCCTGAAAGTTCTCAGCTTGACTCCTTGGCTTAGTGATTTTGGGTTCCTTGGAAAATGATTTATTTTCCATTCACACTTGTGGCAGGAAGTGGCCCAGACTCATGGAGTTTCAGTGTCAAAGTCTAGGCTGGTATAGAGGGAGCCCATGTGCTTGTCTAAGTTTATTCATTTGTCTACACTAGCAGGTGACGGGTGGCTGGGCACAGTGGCTCATGCCTGTAATCCCAGAACTTTGGGAGGCCGAGGTGGGTGGATCACTTGAGGTCAGGAGTTCAAGACCAGCCTAGCCAAGATAGTGAAACCCTGTCTCTACTAAAAATACAAAAAATACGGCCGGGCACGGTGGCTCACACCTGTAATCCCAGTACTTTGGGAGGCTGAGGCAGGTGGATCACGAGATCAGGAGATCGAGACCATCCTGGCTAACATGGTGAAACCCCATCTCTACTAAATACACAAAAAAATTAGCTGGGCGTCATGGCAGGCACCTGTAGTCCCAGCTACTCAGGAAGCTGAGGCAGAGAATTGCTTGAATCCAGGTGGTGGAGGTTGCAGTGAGCCTAGATCATGCCACTGCACTGCAGCCTGGGTGACAGAGCAAGACTCCATCTCAAAACAAAAACAAAAACAAAAAATTAGCCAGGTATGGTGGCACATGCCTTTAGTCCCAGCTACTGGAGAGGCTGATGTGAAAGGATCACCTGAGCCTTCATCACTGCAGTGAGCTGTGATGACTGAACAGGGTGAGTCAGCTCGGGGGCAGGTGCCCACAAGCCTTTGAGAGAGGGAGTCCACTCTGAGGATGGGTGGGTGGGGCTCAGGCATTGTTAGTCATATTCTTGTTCTCATTTCCTGTTTTTTTTTTTTAATCTCTCTCTGCCACTTCCTTTGATTACACCCATTTCTCCTCTTTCTACCTTACTATCTTCCCCCGCCAGAAAGCTAATTATGATTTCAGCAATCATTTGTCCCCATAATCCCATGATAATAAAATGTCCTTGTCCTCATCAATTACTATGCTGATTTATTTATTTTTTTTTTTTTTTGAGACAGTCTCCCTCTGTTGCCCAGGCTGGAGTGCAGTGGTGTGATCTCGGCTCCCTGAAACCTCTGCCTCCCAGGTTCAAGCGATTCTCCTGCCTCAGACTCCTGAGTAGCTGGGATTACAGGCACGTGCCACCATGCCCAGCTAATTTTTGTATTTTTAGTAGAGACCAGGTTTGACCATGTTGGTCAGGCTGGTCTCGAACTCTTGACCTCGTGATCCGCACACCTTGGCCTCCCAGAGTGCTGGGATTACAGGCGTGAGCCACTGCTCCCGGCCAAATTTTTTTCCTTCACATCTCTTTTGAATGCTTGAAAATTGCTGCCAGATATTTTTGTTTGTTTGTTTATTTATTTTGAGGCAGAGTCTTGCTGTGTCGCCCAGGCTGGAGTGCAGTGGTGCAATGTTGGCTCACCGCAACCTTCGCCTCCTGGGTTCGAGCGATTCTCCTGCCTCAGCCTCCCAAGTAGCTGTGATTACAGGCGCCCACCACCACGCCAGTCTTTTTGTATTTTTAGTATAGACGGGGTTTCACCATGTTGGCCAGGCTCATCTTGAACTCCTGGCCTACCAAAGTGCTGGTATTACAGGCATGAGCCACCACGCCTGGCCTGTTTGAGACAGAGTCTCGCTCTGTCGCCCAGGCTGGAGTGCAGTGGCATGATCTTGGCTCACTGCAACCTCCACCTCCTGGGTTCAAGCGATTCTCCTGCTTCAGCCTCCCAAGTAGCTGGTACTACAGGCGCCCACCACCATGCCTGGCTAATTTTTGTATTTTTAGTAGAGACAGGGTTTCACCATCTTGGCCAGGCTGGTCTCGAACTCCTGACCTCAGGTGATCCACCTGCTTCGGCCTCCCAAAGTGCTGGGATTACAGGCGTGAGCCACCATGTTTGTTTTTTGAGATGGAGTCTCACTCTGTAGCCCAGGCTGGAGTGCAGTGGCACGATCTCGGCTCACTGCAACCTCCGCCTCCTGGGTTCAAGCGATTCTTCTACCTTAGCCTCCTGAGTAGCTGGAATTACAGGCACATGCCCCCACACCCAGCTAATTTTTGTATTTTTAGTAAAGGATGGGGTTTCACCATGTTGGCCAGGCTGGTCTCAAACTCCTGACCTCCAGTGATCCACCTGCCTCAGCCTCCCAAAGTGCTGGGATTACAGGGGTGAGCCACCGTGTCTGGCCTACTGCTGGATATGTTTTATTTTTTGTTTTTGTTTTTGTTTTTTGAGATGGAGTTTTGCTCTTGTTGCCAAGGCTGGAGTGCAATGGCGTGATCTTGGCTCACTGCAACCTCTGCCTCCCAGGTTCAAGCAATTCTCCCGCCTCAGCCTCCCGAGTAGCTGGGATTACAGGCATGTGCCACCATGCCCGGCTAATTTTGTATTTTTAGTAGAGACGGGGTTTCTCCATGTTGGTCAGGCTGGTCTCAAACTCCCGACCTCAGGTAATCCACCCTCCTCGGACTCCCATAGTGTTGGGATTACAGGCGTGAGCCACCATGCCAGGCCCGGATATGTTTAAGAGGATTTTGTCTCCATGGTGGGGAGAAGGGAAAGATGAATCCCCACCCTAAGGCCTAACAGTAGTTCAGGGAGGTACAATTCTATGCAGAATGGTCTCCAGTGTCTAGCCTGACAGGCCAGAAATACAGGTAGCTGACTCATTGGGGAAGTTCTACCATTTAAAAGAAACTATCCTTTTCCTAATTATAAATGTATATTTTGTAGTAGAATTGGATTCCTGAAACTTTAATGAACTTGTGGATCCCTGGGGGGCCTCGTGAGGTGGCAGTATCTGACTTGGGAGGGCTGTGGTGGGGTTGGGATGCCGCATTTCTAACAAGCTCTCTGGTGGTGCTGAGATCACTGGCAGACAAACCACACTGGGGACTATCAAAGACTTAGCAAACAAACAAAAAATAGCTAGGATTACAAAAGCCAGCTGTAAATTTGCCTTCTCAAAAGGGACACTGCTTTCCATTCCTCTCTCCACGCCGGACTAGGTCAGGGCTCCGGGCTTCCCTCTCCAACGTCACCCACAGCATCGAGAGAGGGAACAGATGGAGATGAGGATGTAGAGTTGCTGGGGAGGCCAGAGGTTTGGAATGAGTGAATATGGGGTGGGGAGAGGTGGCCAGGGAAGGAGAAAATCAGAAAGGAGTCTCGTCCTGCTGCTGCCTGAGATAACTGATGATTTGCCTCCTCGCCTGAGATGAGTCAGGCGCAGGGATCTGCAGGATGAAAGGGAGAATTGGGGCAAGAGCTCTGAGTGGGTGAGAAGCTGAGAAAACAGGTGAGGTGGACCAGACCCAGAAATCCACTTCTCCACCCTCCCCTCCAAGCCTAAGTCTGGAGAATGATAATCCAAGGGATGCCCCCTGCCAACCCCCCATCATCTCTCAGTGCTCTCCCTGGAAGGATGAAGAGAAAGCCCTGAGCTTGCTTCTAGGGTGGGAAGCCTTGGTGCCTGGGACTTTCCACTCTAGCGTGTGTACGAGGCCATTCTTCCATTGCTATACAAAAAAAAAAAAAAAAACCGGCTGGGCACGGTGGCTCATACCTGTAATCCCAGTACTTTGGGACGCCGAGGCAGGCGGATCACCCGAGGTCAGGAGTTCGAGACCAGCCTGACCAACATGGAGAAACCCGTCTCTACTGAAAATACGTAATTACCCAGGTGTGGTGGTGTACGCCTGTAATCCCAACTACTCGGGAGGCTGAGGCAAGAGAATTACTTGAACCCGGGAGGCAGAGGTTGCAGTGAGCCAAGATCACGCCATTGCACTCCAGCCTGGGAAACAAGAGTGAAACTCCATCTCAAAAAAAAAAAAAAAAAACCTGAGACTGGGTAATTTATAAAGAAAAGAGATTTAATTGGCTCATGGTTCTACAGGCTGTACAGGAAGCATGGTGCTGGCATCTGCTCAGCTTCTGATGAAGACTCAAGGATCTTTCAATCATGGCAGAAGGCGAAGTGGGAGCAGGCATTTCACATGGAGAAAGCAGGAGCAGGGAGGGGGAGAGGTGTCACATACTTTTACATGACCAGATTTTTTAATAACTTGCTTATTTTCGCAAAGAGAGCATATGCGGGGCACTAACACTGCCCCCCTGGTCCAAACACCTCCCACCAGGCCCCACCTCTAGCACCCACTATTACATTCTGACAGGAGATTTAGGCGCAGACAAATATCCAGACTATATCGGGGGTAACCCCCTCCCACCACAACCCACACCGCCATGACCATGTCACAAAAACAACAAACCATACAGAAGAGCCAAGTGGAAAGATCAGGGTAAAAAATATAATATTGACATACAGAACAGAATTAATGGAATAAATTGACACGGTCAAGAAAAGAATTAGTGAAAATGAAAGATCAACTTGAGAAATTCTGATAGGAAAGAAAGGATAAAAAAAAAACAAGGAAAATAACTTAAAAAGTTAGAATCATGGAGGACAGAAACAGAAATGTTAATATCCAGGTAATAGGAGTTGCAGAAGGAAGGGGAAAATATGGAAGGGAGGTGATATTTGAAGACAGAATGGAGATTAATTTCCCAGAATTAAAGAGAGATGAAAGACCTCAGACTGAGAGAACCCACAGAGGCCACAGGAGAGAGATGAGGAAAATCTGACATCTACACATACTATTGTGAATCCAAAAATATCAAAGTCCTTAAAGTTTTCAGAGAAAAGGAGCAGATCATTGACAAAGACACCCCACTACACACACACAGCTTACTAAGTGAACATATATCAGAGGGTCCTTACACAGATGGGGGCAGGGAGAGAGGACAGCAGTGGGTGGGAGGGCTGAGGGGGGCTCCCAAGGAACGCCTGCTTGCTGGCACCACGAGCAGACCCCAGGATACAGCAGTATCCTGGGAAGGGCCGTATGGAGTGGAAGGGCCACCTCCTTACAGACCAAGACTGCACTCTTGGCTATTCCTGACATCAGTACCTCCTGGGAAGGGTGAATACTTATCTTTTTTAAGTTAGCCAGTGCCCATGTGGAAATGTCTCAGAGGCTGCTGGCTGCTCAGACAAGGCCCTCACTGAGGGTTACCACTGACAGGAAGCTGGTCCTCAGCTTTGCAAGTCAGGGCCCTGAAAGAGGATCCACCTCTGGGTGATTGGCACTTACTCGGGAGGAGCTGGGGATGGGCCTGCCTCTGGAGAGCCCCCTCTGCTGGTGGCCTTTTACCCCCAGCCACTAGCCTTCCTTTTACCACCAGCCACTAGCCTTTGCTGATTGGGGTGGAGACAGGGAGGATGGAAAATGAACACTTGACCCAAGTGAAGTGGGTTTCCCCTTCCTGGGGCACTGAGAGTTGAACCCGTGGACTGCTTTGAGCTGAGCAGAGCATGAGAAATGGGACCAAGATGGCGCCATGGCAAACCAAACACTGAGGAAGCCAATAAACAGAAAGGACAGTGGAGCAGATTCATGAAGGGAAAAATGAAGAGTTCCTCTAGCTCCCAAGACAGAGAGAGAGCATCCTCGGATTCTGAGGATTCTCTGCTTCGCTCATTCATCAGGAAAGAGATTTCCTCATCACGTACCATGTGCTAGGCACTATTCTAGACTCTGAAAATGCAGCACGGAACCAGGCAGCCAGAACCTCTGCCCTGTCAGAGCTCACCTTCTAGTGGAGGCAGAAAAGAGATAAATATACAAGCAGACCCACAAGAGCATGACAGCCTGTTCTAGCAGGGGCCATGGAGCAGCCATTGCAAAGGGTGGTCAGAGAAGCCTCTCTGAAAAGGGAGGAGATGGATGGACTCTGGAGCAGCAGGAATGGAAACAGGAAGCGCTGTTAGTGAGGACAGAGGTCCAGGGAGCAGTGGTGACGACTTCATCAGAACGTTCAGTCAAGACGGCAAGAAAGGGATGGATTTTCAATACGTGTGAATGGTCTGAATGACAGGACTTGCTGAAAGCTCAAACGCGGAGGCAAGAAAGAGGGTCTATTCAAGGATGACTCCTAGGTTTGAAGCCTATGCAACCAGGAGGAATATAACGCATTTACTGAGATGGCGAAGTTTGGAGCAGGGGAGAGGATCAAGAGTTGAATTTTGAGATGACTGTTTGACATCCAAGAAGGGACATCAAGCAGGCAAATAAGTATATGACTCTAGAGCACTTGGAAGAAATCAGGGCTGGAGGTGGGAATCTGGGCATCACCAACACATTGACTCATACTGAAAACTTAGGGCCAGATGATGTCATCTAGGAAGGGTGTGGCATAGAAGACTCCCCACACAGAGGTCTGGGGCATTTCAATGCACCTGGAGTAGAGCAGGCAGAAGAGTCTGAGAGGAGAGGCCAGCGAGGGAGGAGGGAAACCAGAGGATGTATTTCCAAAGGAAGAAGAAAGTGTCCATCCTGGCTAACACAGTGAAAACCCGTCTCTAGTAAAAATGCAAAAAAAAAATTAGCTGGGCGTGGTGGCAGACGCCGGTAGTCCCAGATACTCAGGAGGCTGAGGCAGGAGAATGTCGTGAACCCGGGAGGCGGGGCTCGAGATAGCGCCACTGCACTCCAGCCTGGGCGAAAGAGCAAGACTCCGCCTCAAAAAAAAAGAAGAAAAAAGTGCCTCAAGCAAAAGGGTGTGGGCTGGGGCGGTGCTCATGCCTGTAATCCTTACACTTTGGGAGGCCAAGGCCAGCAGATCGCTTGAGGCCAGGAGTTTGAGACTAGCCTGACCAACATGGCAAAACCTCATCTCTACTAAAAATATAAAAATTAGCTAGGCATGGTGGTGTGCACCTGTAATCCCACCTACTCTGGAGGCTGAGACAGGAGAACTGCATGAACCCAGGAGGCGAAGGTTGCGATGAGCCAAGATTACGCCATTGCACTCCAGCCTGGGGGACAAGAGCGAAACTCCCTCTCAAAAAAAAAAAAAAAAAAAAAAAAAAAAAAGGAGAGGGAAGGGGTGAGGGGAGGGGGAGGGGACGACAGAGGGGACGGGGATGGGGAGGGGAGGGGAGGGAGTGGTTAACTGTGCCACGTCCCCCACATTGATTCATCAGCAAATCTGACTTAGGGTCTCTACCTTCAAAATGCACCAGAAGGATAAGATGTGGTGGCTCACACCTATAATCCCCGTGCTTTGGGAGGTGGAGGGGGAAGGATGAGGCCAGGAGTTCAAGACCAGCCTGGGCAACATAATAGCCAGACACCCAATCTCTATTTTTATTTTAAAGCATAGGCCAGGCGCAGTGGCTCACGTCTGTAATCCCAGGACTTTGGGAGGCTGAGGCAGGTGATCACCTGAGGTCAGGAGATCGAGATCAGCCTGACCAACATGGCGAAACCCCGTCTCTACTAAAAATACAAAAATTAGCCGGGCGTGGTGGCGCATGGCTCTACTCCCAGCTACTTGGGAGGCTGAGGCAGGAGAATCACTTGAACCCGAGAGGCAGAGGTTGCAGTGAGCTGAGATCGTGTCATTGCATTCCAGCGCAGTGGCTCATGCTTGTAATCCCAACACTTTGGGAGACCAAGGTGGGTGGATCACTTCAGCCCAGGAGTTCGAGACCACCCTGGGCCACATGGCAAAACCCCGTATGTACAAAAAAAACCAAAAAATTAGTTGGGTATGGTGGCGCACACATGTAGTCCCAGCTACTCAGATGGCTGAGGTGGGAGGAACTCTCGAGCAGGAGAGGTGAGGGCTGCAGTGAGCCATGGTTGTGCACCTGCACTCCAGCCTGGGCGACAAAGCAAGACTGTCTCAAAAGCAAAAAAAAAAAAAGGAAATTTTGATACGTGATACAAAAAGAAACAAATACTGAATGATTCTATGTGAATTATCTATAACAGGCAACTTGATGGATGCAGAAGGTAAAACAGAGGTTATGGAGGGAGAGAAGGGTAGAATGGGGAGTTACTATTTAATGGGTACAGAGTTTCTGTTTCGGGTGATGAAAACCTTCTGGAAATGGATAATAGTGGTGGTTACACAACATTGGGAATGTAACTAATGCCACTGAACTGTCCACTTAAAAATGGTTAAAATGGCAAACTTTTTGTTATCTAGATTTTACCACAAGTTTTAAAAACAGAAGAAAAAAGAAGGCAGAGGTTGTGGTGAGCTGAGATCTTGCCATTGCACTCCAGCCTGGGCAACAAGAGCAAAACTCCATCTCAAAAAAAAAAAAAAAAAAAAAAAGTATTACTAGACATCAAATAAGAAAACATCAACAAAATTAAGTTACACAAATGTATTCCAGAAACTAGTCTTTTAATATGTCCTCCAGACAAACTGGAAACAGCGCAGCTCCTTCCAATGGTTCATCATGACTTAGTTGTTTAATAAAGCAAGAGGCTTAACACCAAAGAAGAGCAGCAAATCTCCAGAACACGGCTTCTGTCTTGCATGTAAGACCTGTACCAACTCAGTGATGTCCACCTTACCTCCTGAGCTGCGTCCTCCTGAGTGACAGTGAGTATTTGTGTGCAGATTTCACCTCTTGAGATTTAACATCAGTGGAAATGCCAAGACAGCAAACAGGACAAAGAGCACTTTGGTTCATTCTAAGAACTGAATCTTGGCTGGGCACAGTGTCTCATGCCTGTAATCCCAGCACTTTGGGAGGCCGAGGCAGGTGGATCACCTGAGGTCAGGAGTTTGAGACCAGCCTGGCCCACATGTTGAAACCCCGTCTCTACTAAAAATACAAAGTTAGCCAGGCCAGGTTCATAAACACTTAATATCATATGCAAAATTTTGTGGATATATGCATTTTTCTGAGGAAAAGGTCAATATATTTTATCAGATTCTCAAAGTGGTGTAAGATCCAGATAAAATCAAGAAACTTGGGCCGGGCGCGGTGGCTCACGCCTGTAATCCCAGCACTTTGGGAGGCCGAGGCGGGCGGATCACGAGGTCAGGAGATCGAGACCATCCTGGACAACATGGTGAAACCCCGTCTCTACTAAAAAAAATACAAAAAATTAGCTGGGCGTGGTGGCGGGCGCCTGTAGTCCCAGCTACTCGGGAGGCTGAGGCAGGAAAGTGGCGTGAACCCAGGAGGCGGAGCTTGTAGTGAGCCGAGATCGTGCCACTGTACTCCAGCCTGGGCGACAGAGCGAGACTCAGTCTCAAAAAAAAAAAAAAAAAAAAAAAGAAACTTGAAGGCAATCTATTTCAGAATGCTGTCACACGCTGGGCTTATGGAATTGAATGTCCATCATTTCCTGTCTGAGCTAACATAGGAACTGTGCTTTCCATTCTCCTCTGCCTCCAACCTTAATGTGCCTTCTATTCCCAATGAGAAGCACATCATTTTACAAATATCCTTGGCCATGAATTCAGGCCAGATACCATGTTTTTAAAGTGCCCAGGTTGAGCCCTGCTCGGCCAGCCCTAAGGACACAAACATTCATACAGCATGCCAAGGCAGAGGTCCTCTTCAAGCTGCCTCTGGTGACTTGAGTTAGGGCCCTGATGCTTAAAGTCAGGACATTCTGATAATAGAAACTGTCATAGGTATCACTGGTAGAGAAAACTAAATGAGATCTCTGAGAAATTAAAATTATGATCCTGTAAAGCAATCAGCTGTAAAAGTGTTTGTTTGATGTATTCCTTGATGAGTGGCCAAACTGGTGTGTGTGTGTGTGTGTGTGTGTGTGTGGTGTGAAGTCCCATATATTCTGGGAAGAGGGCAACAGGCAGGGGTGGAGTCGTTTTTTGTTTTTTTGTTTGTTTTGTTTTGTTTTGTTTTGTTTGTGTGACAGGGTCTCACTCTGTTGCCCGGGCTAGAGTGCAGTGGTACAGTCTCGGCTCACTGCAACCTCCACCTCTCAGGCTCAAGTGATCCTCCCACCTCAGCCTCCCGAGTAGCTTGGACTACAGGTGTGTGCCACCATGCTTCGTTAATTTTTATATTTATTGTGGAGATGGGGTCTTGCCATGTTGCCCAGGCTGATCTCGAACTCCTGGGTTCAAATGATCCATCCACCTCAGCCACCCAAAGTGCTGAGATTACAGGCGTGAGCCGCCGCACCCAGCGAAAAGTGTGCCTGTAATCCCAGCTACTCAGGAGGCTGGGGCAGGAGAACTGCTTGAACCTGGGAGGCAGAGGTTGCAGTGAGCCGAGGTCACGCCACTGCACTCCAGCCTGGGCAACAGAGCGAGACTCCGTCTCAAAAAAAAATAATAAAAAAAAGAAAGCTGCCAGGAAAGGAAGTGGTAATTCTCATTCCTTAAGAATATCCGTACGGTCATTTGAGCTCCTTGGCCAGAAAGTGCTTTGGAAATACCATGTGTCTCAAAATTCCTCTCTTAGTGAAACAAATGCCTTGTGAGATGATGTCCCATTGCTATAAAAAATTGTCTGTTTTTCTTTTTGAGACAGAGTCTCACTTTGTCGCCCAGGCTGGAGTGCAGTGGTGTGATCTCGGCTCACTGCAACCTCCGCCTCCCGGGTTCAAGCAATTCTCCTGCCTCAGCCTCCCTAGTAGCTGGGATTACAGACCCACACCACCACGCCTAATTTTTGTATTTTTAGTAGAGACAGGGTTTCACTATGTTGGCCAGGCTGGTCTCGAACTCCTGACCTCAGGTGATCTGCCTGCCTCAGCCTCTCAAAGTACTGGGATTACAGGCGTGAGCCACCACACCTGTCCCTTCTTGTTGCTTTTATATGCTTGACTTCAGTCACTCCTCACAACTACTGTGAAAGTCACACCCCATTCTACAGGTGAGGAAACAGAGGCTTGCAGGCTTAGTAGTCATGTAGCTAGTAAGTGGTGGTTCTTTCCACCAGACCACACTGTCTTCCCCAAGAGGCATTTGTTAACCCTGTGCGGAGCCAGCCAAACCACAGGCTCCATGACTACCGGGAAGGTAAGGGCCAGGTTCTAGTTGACCAGAACTGGTGAAGAAACTAATCTTTGCTTACAGGGAGAAACCACAGGACATCTGCTTCCTTTGAGCAAGTGAAGGAGACACAGGAAAAGAGGTCCTGGTGAAAACACGACTTTCAGAAGTTATATCTGAGCCTTCCAGGAAGAAGTGGCAATCAGAGCCATAAGCTTGAAGTGTGGCGAGGAATCGGAAGGGCTGGACTGGAAGCTGGCTTCCTTATCCGGCCATGGCCTCAGGAACAAGGCAGCTGTAGGCTGTCTTGACCCCAGTCAGCAACGTGGCCTTGGCAGACTGCACATGGAAGGTGATTTGGGGAGGGCCTGAATCTCCCAGCATGCCTCTCTCCATGCCCACCCAAATCCACATGGTCAAGAGTGAGCTTGGCACTCCACCCTGATAGCTTTAAGGGGAAAGAGCAGGTGCCCTGAAATTTCCATTAGCCAAACCTGTAGCTATACCTTACATCCATTAGGATGAGAAAGTTGTAAAATCTGTTTTGAAATTCATGCAAAATCCATACGTTTGTTTTCATGCTACAGTGTTTTCTCTGTACTTGATTTTCTTTTGTTCTCTGGTCATGTTATTTTTGAAAATTTTCAGCTTTTGCTTTACAGAAAGAAAAGGAAAGGGATTTCTGCAGATCTAGGCCAAGGTAGCTGGGGAGATGAGAATACATCAGGGGCCAGATAAAGCTTTATCAAGGGTGGCCCCCAGTTCTTGAGCTGGGAAGAGTCTTTGAGGTTGAGGCAAGAGGAGGATGAAAACCCAGAACTGGAAGCTGAGACCTTCATTGCTTTCCATTAGTCTGTCCCCACCTCTCTCCATTCAATAGGTGATGGTCTTCTAGCAACTTGTTAGCCACACAGCATTCATCTGCAGTAGGCCACATTCTGCTGTACAATGCTACAGACATCTCAAAGACCACACCATGAGAACCACTGTGGTAGACATATGGCATGTTAAAATGCTAACTAGGCTGGGCACGGTGGCTCACGCCTGTAATCCCAGCACTTTGGGAGGCCGAGGCGGGTGGATCACCAGGTCAGGAGTTCAAGACCAGCCTGACCAACATGGTGAAACCCCATCTCTACTAAAAATACAAAAATTAGCCAGGTGTGGTGGCGCACGCCTGTAATCCCAGCTACTCAGGAGACTGAGGCAGAAAAATCGCTTGAACCCGGGAGGTGGAGGTTGCAGTGAGCTGAGATCGCGCCACTGCACTCCAGCCTGGGCGACAGAGTGAGACTCTGTCTCAAAATAATAACAATAATCATAATAAGGCCGGGCGCGGTGGCTCACACCTGTAATCCCAGCACTTAGGGAGGCCGAGGCTGGTGGAACACTTGAGGTCGGGAGTTCAAAACCAGCCAGGCCAACAAGGCGAAACCCTGTCTCTACTAAAAATACAAAAAAAGTAGCCAGCCATGGTGGTGTGTGCCTGTAATCTCAGCTATTCAGGAGGCTGAGGTGAGAGAATCCTTTGAACCCGGGAGGCGGAGGTTGCAGTGAGCCGAGATCGTGCTACTGCACTCAAGCCTGGGCGACAGAGCAGGACTCCGTCTCAAAATTAATAATAATAATAGTAACTAATAATGGTCTTCATCTAATCTAAGACATTATCAATCATAAGAAGCATGATTATTTTATGTATCACTTAGAAAAAAAATTCTGACAAGTAATCATGGCATACCATAAGATGCATCCCAAGATGAGAAATCTTAAAATGTGAAAAACATGCATCTCAGAATTGGTAATATGCTGATGTTTTCAATTAGTCTTCAAGCCATTTTCCAATTACAGTGTTTTCTACTGAAGTTTGAAACCCCCCATAAAGGCAGAAATGAGCCTCTCTTCCCCTGAAACCTCCCATTAAGGCAGGAATGAGCCTCTCTTTCCCTGAATTCCTAGAGTTCTACAAAAGAAACGCTAAATCCTGGTAGCTCCATTCATTTTAACTTTGCCTCTGGGGAGAAGGTGCAACCCTTCCTATGGACTTTGCTTGTACTACCTTTGTGATCTATCATATTCTGTTGTTTCTGGTAACCATTTACACGTATGACAATAGATTTTTAAGTTCATCAAAGGCAGGAATGGTATTTTATACATTCCCAAGTTTTAAGAGTGCATTTTAAAAAAGATTTGGACCAGGTGCAGAGGCTCACGCCTGTAATCCCAGCACTTTGGGAGGCTGAGGAGGGTGGATCACCTGAGGCCAGGAGTTCGAGACCAACCTGGCCAACATGGTGAAACCCCATCTCTACTAAAAACACAAAAATTACCCAGGCGTGCTGGCATGTGCCTGTAATCCTGGCTACTCGGGAGGCTGAGGTACTAGAATTGCTCGAAGCCGGGAGGCGGAGGTTGCAGTGAGCCAAGATTGTGCCACTGCACTCCAGCCTGGGCGACAGAGTGAGACTCCATCTCAAAAAAAAAAAAAAAAGATTTGAAATTCCATGAGTTCTCACTCTAGGTATTTCTTTTTTGTGTCCTGCCTTGTTTCAAACAGAATTGTATGTGGTTTACAGAGGTATACCTGATAGCACAGCAAGTAAAATACATACGAGGAAAATCCTCGGTATAAAAATTGAGGCCGGGCATGGTGGCTCATGCCTGTAATCCCAGCACTTTGGGAGGTTGAGGCCGGTGGATCACTTGAGGTCAGGAGTATGAGGCCAGCCTGGCCAATGTGGTGAAACCCCGTTTCTACTAAAAATACAAAAATTAGCCAGGTGTTGTGGTGCAAAGCTATAATCCCAGCTATCTGGAAGGCTGAGGCAGGAGAATCACTTGAACCCAGGAGGCAAAGGTGGCAGTGAGCCGAGATTGTGCCACTGCACTCCAGTCTGGGTGACAGAGCGAGACTCCATCTCAAAAAAAAAAAAAAAAACAAAAAGCAAAACAAAACAAAAAATTGAGACGGTGATTGAGACGGTGATGTGGTTCACACCTGTAATCCCAGTACATTGGGAGGCCGAGGTTGGCAGATTGCTTCAGCTCAGGAGATGGAGACCAGCCTGGGCAACATGGCAAAACCCTGTCTCTACAAAAAAAAACAAAAAATTAGCCAGGCATGGTGGTGCACGCCTATAGTCTCAGCTACTTGAGAGGCTGAGGTAGGAGTATTGCTTGAGCCTGGGAGGTAGAAGTTGCAGTGAGCCCAGATCACGCCACTGAACTCCAGCCTGGGTGACAGAGGGAGACCCTGTCTCAAAACAAAAAAAAGAAAACAAAAGCAAAACAAATCAGGACAAAGGGGAAATGAAAGTAGTGAAATTGGGTATAACCAGGAGTAAGCTGTAACATAAAAGCATTCTGTAAGATCCTGTTAACAGAAATAAGCCCAAATTTGGCTCTGAGCTTGCTAGCAGTCAAAGAGAGAAGGGAAACATGATCAGTTATAAGACTGGGTCCATATAATAAAAACTAATTGCTCAAAAGAATCAGCTAATGGTATACCCTGCTTGTGTGCACCTGGCTAGTGTGTATTCCTTAACCTTTCATTTATTTGCATATTTCCAGATCCTGACATGGGGTTTGTATTACGGTAGGCCAGTAATTCTCCAACTTTTCATCTTGGAAGTCTTTTACACTTTTTAAAAACTTTTTTTTTTTTTTGAGACAGGGTCTCACTCTATCACCCAGGCTGGAGTACAGTAGCATGAACACGGCTCACTGCAACCTCAACCTCCCAGGCTTAAGCAATCCTCCCACCTCAGCCTCTCAAGTAGCTGGAACCACACATATGTACCTCCACACCTGGCTAATTTTCAAAATTTTTTTTGTAGAGAGAGGGTCTCACTATGTTTCCCAGGCTGGTCTTGTTCTCAAACTCCTGGCCTTAAGTGATCCTCCCTCCTCAGCCTCCCAAAGTGCTGGGATATCAGGCACGAGCCACACAGTGCCCAGCCTTAAAAACAGTGGCTCACGCCTGTAATCCCAGAACTCTGGGAGGCCGAGGCAGGAGGATTGCTTTAGCCCAGGAGTTTGAGACCAGCCCAGACAATATACTAAGACCATGTCTCTATTTAAAAAAAAAAAAAATGGCCAGGAGAGGTGGCTTATGCCTGTAATCCCAGCACTTTGGGAGGCTGAGGCAGGTGGATCACTTGAGGTCGGAAGTTCGAGACCAGCCTGACCAACATGGAGAAACCCCGTCTTTACTAAAAATACAAAATTAGCCAGGCGCGGTGACTCACGCCTGTAATCCTGGCCCTTTGAAAGACCGAGGCGGGCGGATCACGAGGTCAGGAGATCGAGACCATCCTGGCAAACATGGTGAAACCCCTTCTCTACTAAAAATACAAAAAAAAAATTAGCCACGCGTGGTGGTGGGCACCTGTATCCCAGCTCCTCGGGAGGCTGAGACAGGAGGATGGCGTGAACCCGGGAGGCGGAGCTTGCAGTGAGCCGAGATCGCGCCACTGCAGTTCAGGCTAGGTGACAGAGCGAGACTCCGTCTCAAAAAAAAAAAAAAAAAAAAAAAAAAACAAAATTAACCGGGTATGGTGGCACATGCCTGTAATCCCAGCTACTCATGAGGCTGAGGCCGGAGAATCAATTGAACCCAGGAGGTGGAGGTTGCAGTGAGCCGAGATCACGCCGTTGCACACCAGTCTGGGCAACAAGAGAGAAACTCCGTCTCAAAAAACAAACAAGGCCGGGTGCGGTGGCTCACACCTGTAATCCCAGCACTTTGTGAGGCCGAGGCTGGCTGATGACAAGGTCAGGAGATCAAGACCATCCTGACTAACACAGTGAAACCCCGTCTCTACTAAAAATACAAAAAATTAGCCGGGCGTGGTGGCAGGCGCCTGTAGTCCCAGCTACTTGGGAGGCTGAGGCAGGAGAATGGCGTGAACCCAGGAGGCGGAGCTTGTAGTGAGCCGAGATCGTGCCACTGTACTCCAGCCTGGGCGACAGAGCGAGACTCAGTCTCAAAAAAAAAAAAAAAAACCCTGAAAATAGTTTTGATGTAATAGATCCCTGAAAAGGTCTGGGAGACCACTTTGAGAACCAAGGTGGCAGGCAGATACCATGCTTAAAATGTTCATTCAAACGTTTATATTTCCAAAGTCTTGTTTTTCTTAGTCTGGCTAATTTCTTTCTGACTCGGGCCCCATTAGCATTTGATGTGAGTGTGTATAAGCCTGTAGCTGCGAGCCTGAGGCTCCCGAAGCCTGAGTCATGACTGCTCCACCTTCCCTGGCACAAGGAAGCGTTCGCTATTCTCTGAGTAAACCAGGTGTTATGGTTCATGCCTGTAATCCCAGCACTTTGGGAGGCCCGAGGTGGGCGGGCAGATCTTTTGCGCCCAGGAGTTTGAGACTAGCCTGGGCAACATGGCAAAACCCCATTTCGACAAAAAAAACAGAAAATTTAGTGGGGTGTGGTGGTGCACACCTGTGGTCTCAGCTACTCAGGAGGCTGAGGTGTGAGAATCACTTGAGCCCGGGAAGTGGAGGCTTCAGTAAGTCGTGATGGTGCCATTGCACTCCAGCGTGGGTCACAGAGTAAGACCCTGTCCCAAAAACGAAAACAGAACAAAAACCGGGGTAAGCATCACAGATCGACCTGAAAGCACTAATGTCCAGTCCCAAGAGCTGTCCCCTTCTCGTTCTCATCTTCCTCACCACAGGCTCACAAGCAGGTTCATGGCCACCTGGAACAGATTGGGCCCCAAGAACAAAAGTATTTCCCCCACCACTGCCAGCACATACAGGATAGTTACCCTAAGTGAACTCCTCCACAACCATAAGGCCCAGGGATGGGTACCAGCTAACTCCACTTTCATCCTGCATATATTCTTAATAAACCCAGCTTAATTGTCCAGCCAGATTTCCTAAGGTATAGCTACTCTCTCTAACTTCAAAAGGAGATCCTGTAAGGAATCAACCATACTCCATTGTGAGAATCTGCTTTGCCCATGGCCTTGTTCCCCTTGTCACCTATATGGGGAATCTGGAAGGACAAACTGACATGTGTAGCCTCTTTCTCTCCCTTTTTCCTATTAGGAGCTGGCCTACCACTCCCTCCTCTACTTAGTAAGGTTTAGAGGCCTGTCTGTCTCATTTTAGGCTTAAGTCTTATAAAGTATTAGGAAGTCACTTGCTCACAGAGTCTCTGACCTCTGCCAGGTGCAGTGGCTCACACCTGTAATCCCAACTACTGCGGAGGCTGAGGCGGGAGGATTGCCTCAGCTCAGGAGTTCAAGACCAGCCTGGGCAAAATAGTGAGATTCTGTCTCAAAAAAAATTTTTTTTTCCAAAAAAAAAAAAAAAATCTCTGCCCTCCAACCTAGCCTTTGTCAGTAGTAAAGGTGACATTTTAGTCTCCATCTGCTGCCTCCCTGTTCTTATATCTTAATTGCTTCAGAACCCTGGTGAGGAATAAGGGCGCCATTACAATGCCCCTCAGAGACCCCAAGATGGTCATATCGGTAAGCATTAGCAATTTTAGGTCACTGCTGAAAACACAGTTATTAAAGGAGTTCTAAAGTTTAAAAATTTGCTTTGACTATTCTCTTCAGAAACTTTTAACACTCTTTTTTTATTTTTATTTTTTTGAGACACAGTCTTACTCTGTTGCCAAGGCTGCAGTACAGTGGCATGATCTCGGCTCACTGCAGCCTCCACCTCCCAGGTTCAAGCGATTCTCCTGCCTCAGCCTCCCAAGTAGCTGGGATTACAGGTGCCCGCCACCACAACCGGCTAAATTTTGTATTTTTAGTAAAGATAGGGTTTCACCATATTGGCCAGGCTGGTCTCGAACTCCTGACCTCAAGTGATCCACCTGCCTCAGCCTCCTGAAGTGCCAGGATTACAGGCACTTTCTCAGGATTACAGAGGATTACAGGCGTGAGCCATCGCACCCAGCCGAGAAACTTTTAACACTCTGTAGAGGAAGGAACTGATATTGTGATTGACTTTTGTCAGGGTTAGTTGCTATCGGCAGCTCTCTGAGGAAGAGGCTGTAATTTGCATGCTTAATCTCATGTCTATTCCACTTTTCCTTCAGGGAAAGGCCTTGTTCATGTACATCTAGTAGGAGTGAACCTGATACATCGTGATTGCGTCATATGTATTTGCTGAATGAATTAATAAAAAGCTAATACTACTCAATTTCTTTTTTTTTTTTTTTTTTCAGATGGAGTTTCACTCTTGTTGCCCAGACTGGAATGCAATGGCACGATCTCAGCTCACCATAACCTCCACCTCTTGGGTTCAAGCGATTCTCCTGCCTCAACCTCCCGAGTAGCTGGGATTACAGGCACGTGCCAACACGCCCAGCTAATTTTTGTATTTTTAGTAGAGACGAGGTTTCTCCATGTTGGTCAGGCTGGTCTCGAACTCCTGATCTCAGGTGATCCGCCTGCCTCGGCCTCCCGAAGTGCTGGGATTACAGGCGTGAGCCACAGAGCCTGGCCTAATACTACTCAATTTTTATCAAACACTCTGGCGCTAGTAGACAATCTCCTTTAGGGAAAGAACTGCTTTCAGGAAAATATTTTAATAAGTTACCTGTAATAAAAGTGAGAGGCCTTTAAGGAAGGAAAAAAAGAATATTTATGCTGCCTCTTTATGGGAAAACAAGAGGGATTTGTCACTTATTTTTTCCTACTGATGGGGAGTGGGGCTAAGGAGGAAAGAGAGACAAGAGCCAGTGAGCTGGTCTGAGTTGGGGACTGCGGGAAGTCATGGTGGGTGAGTGATAATATTTTAAGCACAGGGACACTCAGAGTTTAATCTGAAGTTCCATTGCTGTGATGTAATCCACTCTCTTCCTTCCCACATGTCATCAGTGATTATGACAATATAAACATCAGCAGAAATCTTGGGGACGGTTTGGGATTCCCTAGAGGGTATGTGCCAATGTTCTCTGCCCTTCAAGTCTTTGTTCTGAAGCAATACTTGTGGCAGATTGCTGGAAGAATATTCTGTCCATTACAGATCATGAAAAAATTTTACCTGTGGATCAATCCAGACCTCAGAAAGCTGTTAAGTTATGACTTCATTAGAGAAGAAAGAAAGAAAGAAAGAAAGAAAGAAAGAAAGAAAGAAAGAAAGAAAGAAAGAAAGAAAAGACAGACAGCAAGCAAGCAAGCTGTGAGGCAGGAGCCCTTTGTTCCACCTACCAGTAGGCTTATTTTTACTGAACTGAATATGAAGGTTAGGCCTACACCGAAGAAAGTTGTAAGAAATGGGCTGGGCACCGTGGCTCATGCCTGTAATCCCAGCAGTTTGGGAGGCCAAAGTGGGCAGATCACGAGGTCAGGAGATCGAGACCATCCTGGCTAACACAGTGAAACCCCATCTCTACTAAAAATACAAAAAATTAGCCAGGCGTGGTGGCACATACCTGTAATCCCAGCTACTTGGGAGGCTGAGGCAGGAGAATCGCTTGAACTTGGGAGGCAGAGTTACAGTGAGCCGAGATTGCGCCACTGCACTCCAGCCTGGGTGTCAGAGCAAGACTCCGTCTCAAAAAAAAAAAAAAAAAAAAGAAAAGTAAAAAGATATAAACCGGCCAGGTGTGGTGGCTCACACCTGGTAATCCCAGCACTTTGGGAGGCCAAGGCGGGCAGATCACGAGGTCAGGAGTTCAAGACCAGCCTAACACGGTGAAACCCTGTCTCTACTAAAAATATAAAAATTAGCTGGGTGTGGTCGCATGCCTGTAATCCCAGGACTCAGGAGGCTGAGGCAGGAGAATCGCTTGAACCTGGGAGGTGGAGGTTGCAGTAAGCCGAGATAGCGCCACTGCACTCCAGCCTGGGCGACAGTGCGAGACTTCATCACAAAAAATAAAAAAATAAAAAAGAAAGAAGCCATAGGCCACCCATTACTAAATTCACTGTAGGGGTTTCGTTGAGACTAAATCACATAATGAGGGCCCATGAGAGAAATGCCTTGTGTGAAGTCCACCTCTGACAACTGTGCAGGACTTGATGACACATCCTTTGATATCATCCTTACCCCTGGCTTCACCTTACTGTCTTATTTGTATTTTCGGTTTGCACCAATGGCCTCCTTAATGTTTGAGGGAGCTGTGCTACATAGAACTCTAAAAGCTGCTAGCAATAATTTTTCAAGCAAGGCAAAGCATAATGAAAAAAATTAATATGCTTTTCAAATTCTATTATCTCTAATTCCCACCTCACTATGCTCTTCACTTGAAAACGTGGAAAGTAAAAAGATAATTTATCTTCCTCCTGCGGCATGTTGGCAAGCATTCACCCAGCCCCTCTTCACTACTCCCAAATAAGGACTTGCTGATATTTTTAGCAAAACAATTTATGGGTCCATTTTTCAAAAATCAAGCTAGTTCACTCCTGTGCGTGCTCATGCGCGCACACACACACTCACACTCACATACTGCTTGAGTGATCAGAAAACCCAGCCACACAATTTATTCATTTATTTTTAAAAGTAGAGGCGGGGTCTTACTACATTGCCCAAGCTGGTCTTGAAACCCTGGGCTCAAGCTATCCTTTTGCCTCAGCCTCCCAAAGTGCTGGGATTACAGGTGTGAGCGACTGCGCCTGGCCAACAATTTATGCATGGCCCTCCCTTAGCTTGTTTCAGGTATATATGCTTATTTCTTTGGTGCATTTTCCTTATATATTGTTTACATATGATATAAATACTTCCCCATACTTTATTTGCATTATTATGTTTGGTATCTATGAGAAAAAGAATATTTTGGATATTAAATATGAAACATTATTGGATATTAAATTGAAACAATTAATGCTATAGTTCCCCTTTGACCACTCACTTTTCCCCAGCTGCCTCCCAGAATTAGCCACTGTTACCAGTTTGATGCATAACCTTCTAGATTCTCATGTTTGCTTTTGTAAATATATACACATAGGTAGAGCAGTCTATTGGTTTTTGTCATGTGTATCTGGGTGTTAAATGAAGGAGTGATGTTCTACAACTTGCTTTTATGATTTAACTATGTCTTAGGCCACTTTTCCTCCTCCCAGGGAAGAGCTCTTCTCTATGGTTTTGTTTTGTTTTTTTGTTTTTTTTTGAGACGGAGTCTTACTGTGTCACCCAGGCTGGAGTGCAGTGGCATGATCTTGGTTCACTGCAACCTCCACTTCCCAGGTTCAAGGGATTCTTGTGCCTCAGCCTCCCGAGTAGCTGGGATTACAGACCCATGCCACCAGGCTCAGCTAATTTTTTGTATTTTTAGTAGAGATAGGGTTTTGCCATGTCTCTACTCCTGACCTAGAGGCTGGTCTCAAACTCCTAACCTGAAGTGATTTGCCCACCCTGGCCTCCCAAAGTGCTGTGATTACAGGTATGAGCCACTGCACCCAGCCATAGGCACTGTTTAATGCACCGGGAATACAACTGTGAGCAAAAAAACTCTCTCAACCTCCATGGCACTTACATTGTCTGGAGGGGAGACAGAAAATAAAGTAAGTATAAGAAAATAACATGTTGGGGCTGGGCATGGTGGCTCACACCTGTAATGTCAGCACTTTGGGAGGCCGAGGTGGGCAGATCACCTGAGGTCGGGAGCTCAAGACCAACCTGACCAACATGGAGAAACCCCGTCTCCACTAAAAATACAAAATTAGCCGGGTGTGGTGGCACATGCCTCTAATCCCAGCTACTCAGGAGGCTGAGGCAGGAGAATCGCTTGAACCCAGGAGGTGGCGGTTTGGGTGAGCCAAGATTGTGCAATTGCACTCCAGCCTGGGTAATGAGCGAAACTCCATCTCAAAAAAAAAAAAAAAAAAAA
The DNA here is from genome assembly GCF_000001405.40 of Homo sapiens. Lineage (NCBI taxonomy): Eukaryota > Metazoa > Chordata > Mammalia > Primates > Hominidae > Homo > Homo sapiens. The sequence continues at coordinate 45,346,662 of NC_000013.11, read as the reverse complement.
AGAAAAGAAATAACATGTTGGTTAATTAGTCCCACAAATAAATATTAGGGATAAATGGGGCCGGGCACGGTGGCTCACGCCTGTAATCCCAGCACTTTGGGAGGCCGAGGCGGGTGGATCACGAGGTCAGGAGATCGAGACCATCCTGGCTAACATGGTGAAACCACGTTTCTACTAAAAACACAAAAAAATTAGCAGGGCGTGGTGGCGGGTGCCTGTAGTCCCAGCTACTCGGGAGCCTGAGGCAGAAGAATGGCGTGAATCTGGGAGGCGGAGCTTGCAGTGAGCCGAGATTGCCTCACTGCACTCCAGCCTGGGCGACAGTGCAAGACTCCGTCTCAAAATTAAAAAAAGAAAAAAAGAAAGAAAAACCAGGCGTGGTGGCTCATGCCTGTAATCTCAGCACTTTCAAAGGCCAAGGTGGGTGGATCACTTGAGGCCAGGAGTTCAAGACCAGCATGGCCAACATGGTGAAACCCTGACTTTACTAAAAATAGAAAAATTAGCCAGGCATGGTGGCACGTGTCTGTAGTCCCAGCTACTCGGGAGGCTGAGGAGGGAGGTGGAGGCTGCAGTGAGCTGTGATTGTGCCGCTTCACAGCCTGGGCAACAGAATGAGATCCCGTCTCAAAAGGAAAAAAAACAAAAACACAGGGATTTCCAAGAGGCAGGGATTGTAATTTTAAACATGATGGTCAAGGATAGCCTGTGGAGAGGGTGACAATTTGAGCGAAGTCTATGCCTTTTGTTTTTTTTTTTTGAGACGGGAGTCTTGCTCTGTCGCCCAGGCTGGAGTGCAGTGGCGCGATCTCAGCTCACTGCAAGCTCTGCTTCCCGGGTTCACGCCATTTTCCTGCCTCAGCCTCCCAAATAGCTGGGACTACAGGCGCCCGCCACCACGCCCGGCTAATTTTTTGTATTTTTTAGTAGAGGCGGGGTTTCACCATGTTGGCCAGGATGGTCTTGATCTTCTGACCTCGTGATCCACCCACCTCGGCCTCCTAAAGTGCTGGGATTACAGGCGTGAGCCACCACGCCGGGCCGCCTTTTGTTTCTATAGACAGTAGCTTCTTTTTCAGAGGGAGAGAAAACTGAGGTGTTTTCAACAATTTTTTTTTTCAGAGATGGGGTCTCGCTATGTTGCCCAGAGTGGTCTCAAACTCTGCCTCAAGTGAGCCTCCCACCTTGGCCTGCCTAGGCTGGAGTACAATGGCACTATCTAGGCTCACTGCAACCTCCACCTCCCGGGTTCAAGTGATTCTCCTGCCTCAGCCTCCCGAGTCGCTGGGATTACAGGCGCCTGCCATCACGTCCAGGTAATATTTGTATTTTTAATAGAGACAGGGTCTCACCATGTTGGCCAGGCTGGTCTTGAACTCCTGACCTCAGGTGATCCACCTGCCTCGGCCTCCCAAAGTGCTAGGATTACAGGCATGAGCCACCACGCCCAGCCGGCTTTTTTTTTTTTTTTAACTAGTCAAGGACAGTAGTGAAAAAGGGAGGGGAGAAAAATTTTCTGCAATTTCTTTTTTTTTTTTTTGAGACAGAGTCTCGCTCTGTCACCCAAGCTGGAGTGCAGTGGTGCAATCTCGACTCGCTGCAACCTCCACCTCCCAGGTTCAAGCAATTCTCAGGCCTCAACCACCCGAATAGCCGGAACTACAGCCGCCTACCACCATGCCTGGCTAATTTTATTATTTTTAGTAGAGACGAGGTTTCACCATGTTGGGCAGGCTGGTCTCAAACTCCTCACCTCAAGTGATCCGCCCAACTTCACTTCCCAAAGTGTTGGGATCACAGGTACGAGCCAGCTCACCCAGCCTGTTTTCAGCAATTTCTTTCCCGCCATGCAGCCCTCCTGCAGTTGCCTCAAGTTACTTTCAAGATGTGACTGTTGAGCAGTTTCCTGCTAATAGAGGGTCAGAATGATCACACTTCTCTCAGCCCCTACACAGCAAGCCAGATCTCCATTTGGCTGTTTTCTCTTTCTGGCAAAAATTGTTCAAATGAGCTAGAGTCAAATATAAGTATTCACAAAACACTGGGGTCATTTAAAAAAATCATTTGCTGAAATTGAAGAGTTTATGGTGCCAAGTAATATATTTGAAAAGAAAATTTGCCCAAGTCAATGGATTTCAAAACACTTGACTTATAACCACAGGAAGAAATATATGTGGGATCTAGTACATTCATACATACATAAATCTAAAACATACCTGGGAGTGGTGGCGCGTGCCTGTAATCCCAGCTACTCAGGGGGCTGAGGCAGGAGAATCGCTTGAACCTGGGAGCCAGAGGTTGCAGTGAGCCGAGATGGTGCCACTGCACTCCAGCCTGGACAACACAGCGAGATTCATTCTCAAAAAATAATAAAATAAAATAAAATAAAATAAAATAAAATAAAATAAAATAAAAATAAAATAAAAGCTTCACAAAATAATACTCACCTTTACTGTGATTCGCCTTTATATATGATTTTTCTTTTCTATTCTTATTTCATTTTAAATAAAGTTGTTCACTATTCACTAAATTGTTTCTCAACCGTCTGTTTATTCTCATTGGTTGGGTGTTCAAGATCTTTTCTTTTCAGAGCCCGCAATTTTATCAATAAAATTTTTGTTGTTGTTTGTAGTTTGAGACAGAGTCTCGCTCTGCTGCCCAGGCTGGAGTGCAGTGGCGCAATCTCGGCTCACTGCAACCTCCGTCTCCCAGGTTCAAGCGATTCTCTTGCCTTAGCCTCCTGAGTAGCTGGGATTACAGGCAACCGCCAACAGGCTCGGCTAATTTTTGTATTTTTAGTAGAGACGAGGTTTCACCATGTTGGCCAGGCTGGTCTCAAACTACTGACCTCAAGTGATCCACCTGCCTCGGCCTCCCAAAGTGCTGGGATTACAGGCGTGAGCCACCGCGCCCGGCCAAAGGCAAGATTTTAATCTAGGGTGCCATGACTCTTCAGTACTTTTTTTCACCACGACTATATTTTTATAAAACTTAAAGAACTGTTTCGACCTGAATATGAGATTGGGCAGTTGAGAGTAATGTTTGAGAGTACTGCATGGGTCAATGATAATATTTCTGAATAGTTTGGAAGTATTAAAACTGAAGAAAATAATTATACTTGCCGGGTGCAGTGGCTCACGCCCGTAATCCCAGCACTTTGGGAGGCCGAGGCGGGCAGATCGCCTGAGCTCAGGAGTTTGAGACCAGCCTGGCCAACATGGTGAAACCCTGTCTCTACTAAAAATACAAAAAAATTGCCTGGGCGTGGTGGCAGGCACCTGTAATCCCAGCTACTTAGGAGGCTGAGGCAGGAGAATCGCTTGAACCCGGGAGTCAGAGGTTGCAGTGAGCCGAGATCATGCCACTGCACTCCAGCCTGGGCAACAGAGCAAGACCCCATCTGGGCGGGGCGGGGTAGAAAATAATTATACTGTAATAATCTGGAAAAAAAATGTTCACACAGTATTAATGTGTGATAATCATCTCATACATTCCAGAAATGAGGTTTGAGAGCCTTCACTGACCATGTGTCATATCCATTTATTTTGGGATCCCTTTCACCCCATTTTTAACTTCCTCCCAGTTGCCCAATGTCCTCTGGAGTTTTCCATCCAAGACCCCCATCTTTTTTTTTCCCTTTCCCCCCTTTTTAGCTTCCTCCCAGTTGCCCAATGTCCTCTGGAGTTTTCCATCCAAGAACTCCAGCTTCTTTTTTTGGGGGTGGGGGAGGACGGGGTTTCACTCTTGTTGCTCAGGCTGGAGTGCAATGGCGCGATCTCGGCTCACTGCAACCTCCGCTTCCCGGGTTCAAGCGATCCTCCTGCCTCAGCCTCCCGAGTAGCCGGGATTACAGGCGCGTGTCGGGATCACACGTGTGAGCCACCACGCCCAGTCCCCCCATCTTCTTAAAGGGGTTAATTTCTTGGCTCTTGCATTTTGACTTTTCCATCATTCCAATTGCCATCCTGTGTCCTGCTCTTTCCCAAGGGTTGCATTCTTACTCTGCTGAATGCTATATTATTGGATTTATGAACAATTGTTAATGTATTATAATTGTCTGATACTTTGATTTACCAGAATGAACACTTCTATAAGTAGGACTGGATCGAACTTGTTCACAATTGGAATCTTGGTGCAAATCCTAGTTCTAAGGGATACAAAGCACAAAATATTTGCGAAATAGAACAAGCTTTCAGACTTCATACTGGCATGTATCTTTGCCTTATGCCAAAGATGTGACGATGTGACTAAATACGGAAGTTTTGTTTTGCTATTGAGCCAAGGTCTTGCTCTGTCATTCAGGCTGGAGCGCAGTGGTGCAATCATAGCTCAGTGTAACCTCCAACTCCCGGGCTCAAGCGATCCTCCCAGCTCAGCCTCCCTAATAGCTGGGATTACAGGCAGGCACCACCGCACCCAATTAATTTTTAATTTGTGTGTGTGTGTGTGTGTGTAGAGACAGGGTTTCAGTAGTTGCCTCCCAAAGTTCTGGGATTACAGGCATGAGCTACCATGCAGGACCTGTTTTGTTTTAATACTTAGTAATTGGGTGTAAAGTCCTTCAAAAAACAGGTGGGGCAGGTGGGAAACTCCCTTTGTGTGACCCTCTAGCACCAGGGATAAAATTTCAACTTCATCTTAAAGCGACAACATACTTTTCCAAGACCAAGTGCGAAATAGTAAAGGGAAGAGCTAGCTCCGTAGCCGTCCGCCACAGAATGCCACAAGCTTTCAATTATGGGACAAAATTGGAACACATGGAAACCCTGTGCAGACTCCCGTGACATCTTCCCTCCTCTCCAAGTCCCTTCCCACAGACCTTGCGCCCCACACGATTATTCCCCAGGGGCCGAGCAGGACGACTTGGGTCCCACTATCCGGACTCAGCGGTGCCCCCACAAAAGCGTCCCAAAAACTCCAGCTGGGGCAGCCCTGGGGCAGATGCTGAAAAGTTGTCAGAGGCCCTCGGGCAGTCCCGAGATCTACCCCAGGCCAGAGGGCCTGACCCTCCCTAAATGCGACGTTCTCCTACCTTGGTTGATACTCACGTTCCCAGAAAAGGGTGGAACCTAGGCTGGACGAGGCGCAGGGCCAAAGTTTAATTCCTCTAAGCTCCACCCAGCTCCCAGCACCTCTCCAGGCGGCCCCGTGGGGTAGGGCGGAGCCGGGTCCAACGTACTCCGCTTCCCCCGCTCCACCCACCCAGGGCTAGGGAGCGCCCCGAGAGTTGGCCTCCTCCCACGCTGCGCGCGCACCTCCCCGCCCCCACCCCTACCCGCTGGCGTGCCCAGTGGAACGGAGCCTTGTGTCTCCGCCTCAAGTCCCCGGATGCTCACCTCCCCGACTCGCCCCCGCTGTGGCCCCGCCCCCGCGCGGCTCTTCGTGCCACGTCACCGCCTGCGTCGCTTCCGGAGGCGCAGCGGGCGATGACGTAGAGGGACGTGCCCTCTATATGAGGTTGGGGAGCGGCTGAGTCGGCCTTTTCCGCCCGCTCCCCCCTCCCCCCGAGCGCCGCTCCGGCTGCACCGCGCTCGCTCCGAGTTTCAGGCTCGTGCTAAGCTAGCGCCGTCGTCGTCTCCCTTCAGTCGCCATCATGATTATCTACCGGGACCTCATCAGCCGTGAGTCCTCACTGCACTATCCTTACTGCCGCACACGGGGGTCTGGGGTGCGGGTGGGGGCGGGGAAGGCGCAGCCGTCGCGGGCCTAGGGGACGCCGGCGGTCTTAGCCGAGCGCGGAGGGGTCGGTGCCCGGGGCTCGCGCCCAGCTCTGGTGTGCTACGGAGGGGCAGATCCCGCGTGCGGCCGCCGGCGCGGGAAATGCGGGAAATGGCGGCGCCAGGCGCACGGTGATGGGCGGCTCTGTGTATCCGGCAGACGATGAGATGTTCTCCGACATCTACAAGATCCGGGAGATCGCGGACGGGTTGTGCCTGGAGGTGGAGGGGAAGGTGAGTCGGTCGGGCCTGCGCGTGGGGGAGTCCGGGCCGAGCGGGCTCGGGTTTCCTCCGCTCCCCCGCCTGAGGTTGTGCAATCCTCCCCGCCGCCTCCTGGCGGAGGAGACGCTCTTTCCGGGCTTGGGTTTTTCTAGAAAACTGGAGGCGGAGCTGATCCTGGAAATAGGCCCGCCGCCTCGGCGCCCATCCTCCTCCCGGGGTTGTCCGGGACATGATGCTTCCGGCTTAGGAGCCTGGAGTCCTTTCGTGTTTGTCCTGTCCCCACTTACCAACCGGAGGCATCACATGCCCGCAACTGGAAACAACTTTTTAATGACCCCATTTTTTGTTCCGGCCAACAGACAACTCTTTTAAGTTAGGTCGTTTTGAGAAATCCACGGGTCACAACTTTATTCCCAAAATGGTGCTTTTTTTATTTTCAGCAAGAACTAAGAATACTTCTTATCCGTGAACTATTGGCGTGGAAGGTGCTTTGGATGCGTTTGTGTCTTTTGCAATTATACTGCTTTTTCTTAATGCAGATGGTCAGTAGGACAGAAGGTAACATTGATGACTCGCTCATTGGTGGAAATGCCTCCGCTGAAGGCCCCGAGGGCGAAGGTACCGAAAGCACAGTAATCACTGGTGTCGATATTGTCATGAACCATCACCTGCAGGAAACAAGTTTCACAAAAGAAGCCTACAAGAAGTACATCAAAGATTACATGAAATCGTAAGTGATACTGGCAGTACCTAGCTGATGTCTAGAATCTTACAGGATTTAAAGATTGGCTAACTTTTGAGGTTCTTTCGCAGTGGGTATACTTTTGTGAAAGTCCTTGCTTTTTTATTAATGAGTTCACGGAAAAGAGTGGTTGCTTTTCTATAATATGAGCATACTGAAGCCTGCAGTCTGTTTCCGTTTAGAATTAGAATAGTATTTTGAAAATAGTCAACAAGAAATGTAAACATTCTTGAAAGATACCTTCTGTGAACTAGTAATTTCTTAACAGCTGGTTGCCTTTTTCAGTGTTTTCTTTTTTTAAGCTTGGATATTTTTTACTTTAAAAATTGATTTTACTGAAAATTCAATACTTCAACCTGTTAATGAAATGTTGTTTTAGAATCAAAGGGAAACTTGAAGAACAGAGACCAGAAAGAGTAAAACCTTTTATGACAGGGGCTGCAGAACAAATCAAGCACATCCTTGCTAATTTCAAAAACTACCAGGTAAATACCTTAAGTATCTGGATCAAAGGATTGTACAATTTTAACTGCAAGAGCAAAAATTAAGTTGATTAATCTTCAATTCTATACTAGTATTCCAGGTGTAGAAAGTGGCTTTCCCAGCTCGCAGGTGTTTCCAAATCTTGTCTTCTGATTGAAAATTTGCTTCCCAGATGACATTTCTCAGTTTTTCTTTTTGTGAATTGCTTAACCACCTAAGTGTTCTTTCAGTTTTTTGCTTACAATTTTAATGTGTCTCATTGCTACTGGTCCTCCTTCTAATGTATCTGAGCTTGTTAATTCTACTTTTGGAAAATGTCAGTGGCTTTCCCTTTCCTCTAATTTTCCAGCTTCATGCATCCCCTGGCCATAAGATACTTCCAGACTGTATGATATATTCTATCACTGTCAGCCTTATGTTCCCTGTGGTTGACTATATAAGCACGCTTTAGGGTTTGGGATTGTATTTAGGATTGAGAGTAAAGGTTTCCTGAAAGCCTAGTGTTCCTGGATTGCTCTGTACGTTATTTTTCTATTTAGGTCACTATTAAGGTGCCTTAATCCAGTGAACAGATGTCTATGATAAGTGAGCATCAGAGCTTTTGGGTACTGAAGTTTTGATTTTTGTGGTGGTCTAAACCTTCCCTTGTACTGTAGTTTGTTTTGAATGGCATGTATTTGTATGTAATAGTCTAATTCTAGGTATTTTGTTTGCTTCCCAAGTTCTTTATTGGTGAAAACATGAATCCAGATGGCATGGTTGCTCTATTGGACTACCGTGAGGATGGTGTGACCCCATATATGATTTTCTTTAAGGATGGTTTAGAAATGGAAAAATGTGTAAGTACAAGGAAGTGGGTTAAAATAAATAATGTAAAAAAGACATTTTAGATGTGATTTGCAATTGTTTTGTGACACTGAGAATGAGTTTTACAGCGTTCTGAAACATGGTTTTAGTTTTCTCTTTGGGGATCAAGAGAATTGTGTTTCATATGTAAAAAATTCTTAGGGTATAAAAAGGCTTAGAATCTTATTTGTGGAAAACGTTGAGTGCAGATGGGGCATAATAAAGTACAGTTTAGGCTGGGTGTGGTGGCTCACACCTGTAATTTCAGCACTTGGGACGCCGAGGTGGGTGCATCACCTGAGGTTGGGAGTTCGAGACCAGCCTGGCCAACATGGCGAAACCCTATCTCTGCTAAAAATACAAAAATTAGCCAGGCATGGCAGCGGGCACCTGTAATCCCAGCTAATCGAGAGCCTGAGGCAGGAAAATCACTTAAACCTGGGAGGGGGGTTGCAGTGAGCAGAGATCCCACCACTGCACTCTATCCTGGGTGACAGAGTGAGGTGCTGTCTCAAAAAAATACAGTAGAGTTTAAATGCTGAAGGAGATCAGAGAACACCATTGATCTTCCTCTAGATATGGCCTCACTTTCACTTCATAATCATATTTTGCTGTATACGTATGGATCAGTATCAGTGGTTTTCACTTTGGTTTACTGATAATGGGCAGCTGATCATTGAAAAGCCTAGTGCAGTACTAGCTTAGTAAATAGAGCTGACTGCTGAACTGGTATGCAAATTGTTTTACTAATAATAAATAACTTGGTGTCTTCTATGGAAGGAACTGCTGGAAGCTGTACAGAAACAAAGGCATTCATTATCCTAGTTTTCATAGGCTTCTGTATAAGGAAGAAGAAAAACATAAAGCTATACTGAACAAGATTAGAGTCAACAGTAGACAGAAATTACTTAGAACAGTATAAGATGACTTACCAAAGGGGTTATTCAGACAGTATCTGAGGTTTTTGTTGGTAGAGCAGGGTGTGGGTGGTACATGCCACAGCCTTCTGAAAAATGAGCTACCGCTGATTTGGTAAGGGTGTTCTGCATCCACTGATAGACCTTGAACAATTTACTGTTGTTCTTTTGGTTTGCACTAGGATGCAAAAGAAAGAAATCCCTGCGCTTTCTGTCTGTCTTTGTGGCGGCCCAGATTGAATTGGGGAATACATCTTTAGCCTGGAAATGTAGGCTGCATGTTAATGGTAATGTAACTTTTGCAGTGTAATGTTTGAAAAATATTAATGTAGTTTTTGCTTTTACAGTAACAAATGTGGCAATTATTTTGGATCTATCACCTGTCATCATAACTGGCTTCTGCTTGTCATCCACACAACACCAGGACTTAAGACAAATGGGACTGATGTCATCTTGAGCTCTTCATTTATTTTGACTGTGATTTATTTGGAGTGGAGGCATTGTTTTTAAGAAAAACATGTCATGTAGGTTGTCTAAAAATAAAATGCATTTAAACTCATTTGAGAGAATGCCTTTTAGTTTAATGCATATTTAAACTAAATTGATCCTGTAGTGTTCCTGGAGAAGCTAGAGCCTGATTGTAGGCTACTACTCATCAATTAACTTCTACAGTGGAGACTACTTCTGGGACTGGAATATAAAAAAGAATCAAAGGTTCTGATTTTGAGTTGCAATAAAGGGAAAGACCATGCTCATAGCAGTGCCAACATCTGAAGTGTGGAGCCTTACCCATTTCATCACCTACAACGGAAGTAGTTAACTGGAAGAGATTACCAAGAGAATAAAAAGAGACTCATTCAGTGGAAGCAACTTTGTCTCAGCTTATTTCACATAAAGAGAGCGAAGTCTTTTGGGATGAATGTTAATTAAACTCCCTGGTAACTAGAACAGGGACTGGCAAACTAGCCTATCTGACCACCTGTTTTGTACACTTTAAGGTGGTTGGTTGCCTTTTTAAATGGTTGAGGGGAAAAGAATACCTTGTGGGATATGGAATTTAAGTTCGAGTCCAGTTTTATTGGAACGTGGCTATGCTTATTCATTTATGGATTGACTGTGGCTGTTGTCAGTGCATGAGCAGAGTTGTGTCTAACAGACTAGAGCCTGCAAGTTTGCCAGCCCCTGATTTAAAAGATGAAGGTACACAGAATGTGGGCTGGCTGGTGGGCAAAGGGGTAAAAATGTTCTCTATATTGTATCTGAAAAGATGGGGTGTCTGAATAAGAAAATGCATCTATTTGACAGACCTGGAGCAGTTGCTATCTGCTGCTATGGTTTCCACCACAGATGCAAGAAGAACATGTCCTTGCGCTTTCCGTCTGTCTAATTGTGGCAGCTGAGATTGAATAGAGGAATACAGGAGGAAAAAAAGCGGGAAGAGTTTTTGAGGCAGGTCGGTCACCCAGGCTTGTAGTGCAGTGGCACAAGCAACTCACTGCATTCTCTGCATCCTGTGCTCAAGCCATTTTCCCACCTCAGTCTCACTAGTTGCTGGGACTGCAGGCATGCACCCCTATGCCCAGCTAATTTTTGTAGAGACCGAGTATCGCTTAGTTGCCCAGGGTGGTCTCAACTCCTGGGCTCAAGGAGATCTGCCCACCTCAGCCTCCCAAAGTGCAGGCCTAGCCTGGGAGGGGAATTTTCAAAACGTGAGTTTTGGGAAATAGTCTATCAGCCTTACCTGGTTGATTACACTTGTAAAAGAAAGATTAAAAGCAGGCCAGTGACTCTGGTCTGCTTGAACATGTGAATGTAGTGGTTTGAGCAATCTGGAGTTTGCCCTAGTGTCAAATTCCAGACTGTCCATAGTGTCCAAAACCTGAGGCAGATACTAATGTTAACCCCCAGCACCCCGTGATTGGAAACAAACCTAAATACGTATTGGGAACTTAATAGCAATTTTAAGCATTCTGATAGATTTTTTGTAGGGATGGGGTCATGCCATGTGGCCCAGGCTGGTCTGAAAACTCTGGCCTCAAGTGATCTCAAGCTTTGGCCTTCTAAAGTGTTGGGATTACAGGTGTGAGGCATTGCACCTGGCTTAGCGTTCTGATTTGACATTGTAATGAAAAGTGTGAGTCTCATCTACAGGGCCTTTTGTCCTCTGAAATGATAGCAGGAAGGGAATTTTCAGGCAGTGGTCAAAGCTGGGGAAACCAGGATAGTGAAGAAGGCCTTGAGGTGAGAGATGGAAGCTAATTGGTGAACTAGCCTTGGAAGCCTGAAACAGACAAGTAGCAATTCAGAGACTTTGTGGGCTCCACTGCTCCAACTTGTTTTGAAGATTTTCAGTTCTGCAGAAGAGGTATTTCCCCAGTTGTCCTTTCAGTGCTCTTAGCTGTTTTCCCAACATCCAGATCCAATCAAGGCTGGGACATAGCATTTTATCATGTCTATTTAAGTCAGAAGTGATGAACCCCAGCTGTTTACCTCATGGTAAACCTTTGAAGATTCCAGGTAGAATCTTCTCAGACTTTGAAGACTGTCTCATTTTATATCTTTTTCTCGTTATTCCTAGGGTCAAGACGTTTTGGGCAAGAATAAGGATGTGAACATCAGAAAGCTCATAACATTTTGTTTTTGATGCTAAGTTTAACAAAGGCATGCTTTAGTAGCCTGTGGGCCCTAGGGTTTGTTAAAGTGTGGAGAACAACTGAGTGGAGCAAGAGGACTTTTCTAGGAAGGTCCTTGTAATGTGACATTTGAAAACAAATGAAGGTGTGGAAGTAGGCCATGTGGATATCAGGACAAACCATTCCAGGCCAAGACAACAGCAGTTAGTCTGGAGTGTGATGTGTTCTGGGAAAAAAGTGGCCACTTTGCTAACCCAAGAAGACAGGAAGGGTTGTAAAGCAGTGGGAGTGTGCAAGGAAGGAAGACCAGACCTCAAGGAAACCACAGGCGCTCTGAGCAGAAGAGTTACATGATATGACTCAAATTTTTAAAGGATCACTTTGGCTGCCAGGTGGCAGGGTAAAAGCATAGAATAATTGTGTATAATGTGTTTTTAAGGCAAAGATAGTGGCTTAGTCTAGGGTAGTAGACTGAGGTGGTAGGAAATGAAGATAGAGACAACAGGATATGCTGGTGGGTGAGGATGGATTTAATGTTGATACAAGTATTTTGGTCTGAGCGTTTGGAAGAAAGTTGGCACTGAGGTGGGAAGTCGAGTTTAGTTTTGTTAGTTTTGGATGTGTTAAGTTTGAGATGCTGATTCTTCAGAGAAGTCTAAGCTGGAGAACTATATAGAGAGTGGAAAGATAACAATAGACATTGAAAGCCATGATACAGGATAAGGTCATTTGGAGAGAGGATAGACTGCATTCCAACATGAGATTGGTTGACAAAGAGAAACCAACAAAGGTAATTAAGAGGTGCTCCCACTGCACTTGTACTCAGAAGGCTGAGGTAGGATTGTTAGAGGCCAGCCTGGGCACCACAGGGAGACCCCATCTCTAAAATTTAGCCAGGAACCATGGCTCATGCCTGTAGCCCCAGGAATTTGGGAGGCTGAGTGGGGAGGATCGCTTGAGGTCAGGAGTTTGAGACCAGCCTGGGCAACATAGGGAGACCTAAAAAAATTAATTGGGCATCTGTAGTCCCAGCTACTCAGGCGGCTGAGCTGAGAGGATGGCTTGAGTCCGAGAGATTGAGGGTGCAGTGAGCTGTGATCATACCACTGCACTCCAGCCTGGGCGGCAGTGAGACACTATCTGAAAAAAGTTTAAAAATTTTAAAAAAGAAGGAACTGCCCCTGAGGTAAGAACCAAGGGAGGGCCTCCCAGAGGTCAGGTGGAAAAAGTTTTAGGAAGGAGGAAGTAGTCAACAGGGTTACCTGTTGCAAAGTACTTAAGTAATATGAGGCCTGATAGTGGTAAACTTGACTACCGTTGGATTTCACTAGTGGGAAAGGAAGTCTAATTAAAATGCACTCAAGAGACTAACAGTCGCAGGCATGAAATACAATACAGGTACATGGTTTTTTATTATGTGTGCATCTGCTTCAGTAATAGGTGTGAATTACTCATTTGGATCATTAGGAGTTTCAAAATCTAGTTAAATGACTAGATTTTTGTTGATGTAAATTCTGTCATTCTGAACTGCAGGGATTGTCAGTAACTTAACTGCAAACTAAACTGGTGATAATTATGGTAAAATTGCAAGACGAGCAATAAATCTCAACCAACTTGAGAGAACACTGATAACAAAGCATCCTTAAGGTTATATGTGTGTGCACACAGGTGGAGTGGAATGACTGGCTGGCAGCAGAATACTCAGTAAAATGGAACTAAAACCAGGAGGATTTACTAATTTACAACTAGTATAGTGATCAGTAATTTACAACTAGTAGGTCACTACTAAAGAGCTCCAGCTTTGTGGCAATTAGCATGTGTTTCTAGAGACTATCCATAAGAACTGTGAGTGCAACTTGAAGTTTCTGGAAACATTTAATATTTCATTATTCCGAAGGAAAAGGCCTTGATTAAAGTGTTTTTAACATAAGCAAGTAAAGTAAAAGGTGCCATAGCTAGGCAGTGGCTCATACCTGTAATCCCAACTACTTGGGAGGCTGAGGAGGGAGAATCGCTTGAGCCCAGGAGTTTGAGCTTGGAGCGAGTTAATGGCTGCAATACTGCACTCCAGCCTTGGTAATAGAGGGAGGTCTTGTCTCTTGAAAGAGAAAGGTGCCACATACCTTCCATTGAATAAAAGTTGGCTGCTATGCTAGCCATCTCAATTAGCTACACTCTAAATGTGGAGCTTGCAGATAAGTTAAAAATCATAATAGTGCTGATAGTTTCTATTTACCTCACTTAAATCCTCCAAGTCTATCCCTTAATCAATGCAGCAATGATAAATCAGGCCCCTGTGCATGTCAGCAGTTCAAAACAGATTTTACTACTGTAGGGGCATATTTTTAACTACCAGAACATTCCAGTTTATTTTTTGAGAGCCTGTAGATTTGTGCGGTTACACATAGTTTCATATAATTGAGCCTGGAAGTTGGCATTGAAGTTTCCTCCATATGCTGGGCCATGAGAACCTTTGGGAGTGGATGTGGCTTTAGCTGGAGTCAATACAATTCAATGAGAGAAACATCAGATATGAGTTTAGGGGAAGATTCTTGCCAAAATAACTTGTGCAATGATGTTTCCCTCAATTACTTTCTCCTCCATTCATTTATGTATGCATTCCACTCTTCTCTGAGTCCAGAGGTAGAGCAAGGAGCACAAACTGGGAAGAACACTGCAGTGCTGTTTTGTGTGTGAGTCACAATCTACAGACAAAGGAAAATTGAGACATCAAGGGACTCACTGGAGGGGCCCTCTGGGACACAAGCCACAATTATTAGTCAAGAGTTATAACACAGTGTTTTTAATAATAGGACAGTAGAGCTACTGGCTACCATTTAGTCCTGAGTTTCTGGGTTTTTTTTTTTTTTTTTGTGGGGGAGCGGGGGGAAGTCAGGGTCTTGCTATGTTGCTGGAACTAATCTCAAACTCCTGGCCTCAAGTGATCCTCCTGCCTTTGCCTCCCAAAGTGCTGGGATTACAGGCATGAGCTACCACACCTAGTTACTAGAAATCTAGTTGTTGGCCAGATGTGGTGACTCACACCTATAATCCCAGCACTTTGGGAGGCTGACGCGGTCAGAGCACTTGAGCTCAGGAGTTTGAGACCAGTCTGGACAACATGGTGAAAGCCCATCTCTATAAAAAATAGAAAAAAAAAATCTACTTGTATAATTGCTGATTTTCTCCACATGTAAAGGAAGCAGATAAGCCCTAGTTTATTATCAATTGCGGCTTGCACATGACCTCATCTAGAGCACAGGGTTATCAAATTATTCTACTGTTCCCTAAGCAGTTGGTATAAAATTGGTATTTTCTGGACATCTATTCAAAACAGCTATACATGTAATTTCCTCTTCCTTGAGTACATTAATTTGGGAGTTATCCTTAAGAACTACCAATTCATCATGTAAGTCAAACATCCAAACTAGTATTCAATCTGGAGGTGGAAACTGGCAGTTAAAGAGGAAAATTACTGCACATGAAATTAGAAAGAAAATGAATACCTCTTTTGACTACCTCAGTGAGGTGGAAGAATGTGCATCAACAGATGGCAAGGATAAAATTGGAAGCTAAGCAAACACAGATCTTGGGCATGATGCACTGTAACCTTTTCTTCATTATGTTCCTAGCACCCCATCCTTCCTAAGCCTCTCCCATTGTATTAGCTTGAAGGGATTCAATCCACAGTGGTGGATTTTGTCAGATGGAACACAGGCTGTGTGTTAGTACCGTTGGTGACTGCCATTATATCAGCATGATGGTAACACCAACTGCTGGTATCTATTAAAAGTAAAAGTGACTAAGCTTCTGAAATTTGGTTAAGTAATGTGCAACCTGTTCTGCTCTGTTCCATAGACCAGGGAGGAGGAGGAGGACTGGGTGTGAGTGTCAGAGCAGCAGAGATTTTCATGTAGGGGAGGAAAAATTGCTTTCCACACCCATTGCTAAGTTCATGACTGAGGCCCTTATAACAAAAGACAAATCGACAAAAGCAAAGCGTACATTTTTTTGTTGTTTTTATTTTTTGAGACAGTCTTGCTCTGTCGCCAGGCTGGAGTGCAGTGGCACGATCTCGGCTCATGGCAACCCCCACCTCCCGGGTTCAAGTGATTCTCCCACCTCAGCCTCCCGAGTATCTGGGACTACAGGCACGCACCACCAGGCCCAGCTAATTTTTGTATTTTCAGTAGAGACAGGTTTCACCATGTTGGCCAGGACGGTCTTTATCTCTTGACCTCGTGATCTGCCTGCCTCAGCCTCCCAAAGTCTGGGATTACAGGTGTGAGCCACCATGCCCAGCCAGCGTACATATTTTTTAAATGTTTTCTGTGACATGGGAGCCTTTGTAAGGAAATGAGGACCCAAAGAAACAGGTGAGCTTGTGTATTTTTCTGTTTTGGTTTAATGAAGAGTGAACAGTTGTGCAAAAGTATTGGACAAAGCGGATGATCTAATGGTAAACTGGGGGGAACTTAGCAAGGCCTGTTTGTTCAGATTCTTCTCTGTGTTTCTGTGTCTTCAGAGATGAGGATATTTATTTTCCCTGGGTATATGGAGGGTACCTCTCGAATGAGAGTAATTTCTTTCTTTCTTTCTTTGAGACAGGGTCTCACTGTGTTGCCCAGGCTGAAGTGAAGTGCTGTGATCATAATTCCCCGTAGTCTCAAACTCCTATGCTCAAGAGATCCTCCCAACTCAGCCTCCCAAAGTGTTATGATTACAGGCGCCAGCCACTGTGCTGAGCCTACACCACACCTATTGAAACAGAATATTCAGCATTTAATATTTCGGGTTTTTTGTTTGTTTTTTGAGGGAGAGTCTCACTCTGTCACCCAGGCTGGAGTGCAGTGGTGCAATCTTGGCTCACTACAACCTCTGCCTCCTGGGTTTGAGCGATTCTCCCGCCTCAGTCTCCTGAGTAGCTGGGATTACAGGTGCCCACCACCACGCCTGGCTAATTTTTGTATTTTTAGTAGACACGGTTTCGCCGTGTTGCCCAGGCTGGTCTTGAACTCCTGGCCTCAAGTGATCTGCCCGCCTCAGCCTCCCAAAGTGCTGGGATTACAGGCATGAGCCACCGTGCCCAGCCAGAATATCCAGCATTTTAAAAACCCTTCTGGGATTTCAGCTCCCTGCTGGGGATTGAGGAACCACTATTGTAGCAGGAAGCATGGGAAGGAAATGAGCTCATGAGATAAAGGAAAACAGCTCAGGCAGCTGGCTTGTGGTTACTGCCCTCTTGCTAAAGCAACATATAAAGCGCCAGAGTGGAAAGGAATCTAATGCGCCTGTCCAGTGCTCAGCACCCTTGACTTCCGTCCCTCTTAACCACAGTGCGTGAAGGCCCTGCAGTTCCCCAGGTATGGCTTGGCCTCGTTTTCCACATTGTATGTTAATGCAATAATTTTGTTTTGTTTTTTTTTTTTTTGAGACGGAATCTCGCTGTGTCGCCCAGGCTGGAGTGCAGTGGCGTGATCTGGGCTCACTGCAAGCTCCCCCTCCCAGGTTCACGCCATTCTCCTGCCTCAGCCTCCTGAGTAGCTGGGACTACAGGCGCCTGCCACCACGCCCGGCTAATTTTTTGTATTTTTAGTGGAGACGGGGTTTTACCATGTTAGCCAGGATGGTCTTGATATCCTGACCTCATGTTCCTTGCCCTCAGCCTCCCAAAGTGCTGGGATTACAGGTGTGAGCCACTGCGCCCAGCCAACGCAATAATATTTTAATGCAGCCTAAACTGACATTTGCTTCTTTTGGGTAATATCAGACAGGAGACTTGTCTTGAATTTCTGCCAGCTAAAACTTGTCTTCATGCTTGCTGCTGAAACCAGGTCTGCCCCATCCACACACTGGTGCAGTTGGATTTTGGACTCACACGCAGGAACTTACACTGTGATACCTTTTTCTCACTTTGCATACCAGATGTCTCAGCATCCGATGTGTACTTTAGACATGTTCCTTCCTAATTCCTTTTTCTTTTCTTTTTTTTTTTTTTCATTCTATTTTAGCTCGGCTAAAACAAATAAAAGATAAGCGTCTGCATCAATTTGGCAGACTTACAAGAAAAAAAGGCATTCTTTCCATTTTGGAAGAAGGCATGTGGAATTAGTACTATGCAGTGGTGGTATTTTGAAATCTGGGTTCTAATAAAAGCCCAACCACTTGCTGTGAGAACTCCAGCATCTTAACCTCTCTAAGCCTCAGTATCTCCATCTAGAAAACAGAAACTCATACTTACCTCATCGGCTGATTTGGTAAGTAGAGGCTATCATAGGAGTGCCTTTACCATGAGAAATTCTTACAATACTGGTCTCTACTCTGAATCAGTGCAAAATACAGGATGCCTGTTCACATTCTCTGACTTGCAAAATACAGGATGCCTGTTCACATTCTCTGACTTTTGTGTAGCCTTGGGAAACTGCATCATGAATATGTTTTAGGGGTCAGGCGCAGTGGCTCACGCCTGTAATCCCAGCACTTTGGGAGGCCGAGGCAGGCGGATCACAAGATCAGGAGATTGAGACTATCCTGGCTAACACGGTGAAACCCTGTCTCTACTAAAAATACAAAAAATTAGCCGGGCATGGTGGTGGGTGCCTGTAGTCCCAGCTACTCGGGAGGCTGAGGCAGGAGAATGGTGTGAACCCGGGAGGCGGAGCTTACAGTGAGCCAAGATCGTGCCATTGCACTCCAGCCTGGGCGACAGAGTGAGACTCCGTCTCAAAAAAAAAAAAAAAAAAAAAAGAATATGTTTTAGGCCGGGCGCAATGGCTCACGCCTGTAATCCCAACACTTTGGGAGGCCAAGGTGGGCGGATCACAAGGTCAGGACTTTGAGACCAGCCTGACCAACATGGTAAAACTCTTGTCTCTACTAAAAATACAAAAATTAGCTGGGTGTGGTGGAAGGTGCCTGTAATCCCAGCCACTTGGGGGACTGCGGTGAGAGAATTGCTTGAATCCAGGGGGCAGAGGTTACAGTGAGCCCAGATTGCACCACTGTACTCCAGTCTGGGCAACAGAGTGAGAAGAGGTCTCAAAAAAAAAAAAAAAACTTTTTTAATCTATCCCTAGATTCTTCTTCAGGGTTGACAAGCAGTTTGATGTCACTTTAAAATGGGCAACTCATACCTTCCCTGTACCACGTGAAACTTTGTGTGCCTATATTCTTTTTTTTTTTTCCCCCCAAACAAACATTGCAGGGTTGATCCTAGTCTTGAAAGTTCGGGCCTTTCCTCTTGGCCTGTTTCTGGAGGAAATGCTCATGAGGTGGGTGAGAGGCGGATGACATCCTGTCGCTCTGGCCTCACCCTGGGGATGCCACATGACAGCACCGCAGCATTTTCAATAGGTGACCCATCTGCGAGGAGGAAGGAAAAATGTGCCCAAGGCCATTATGGAGAACAAACACCTATGCAGTTGGAGAATGCTGAAGACACCCAAGGGTGTTGTCCTCTCCCTCCTGAGAGAAGCTAAGAAGATCCAGGCTTAGAGTGCTACAGAAATAGAGATTTAGGATAGAAAAAAAGGAAGGATTTCCTAACTACCACCAGGGCTATGAGGCACTGATATGACTTACTTGTGAACACAGTTGTATAGAATTGTTATGTGGCAAAGACGAAGATCACGCTGGAATGTCTTTCACGTATCCCTTGGTGGCAGCAGTGGGCAGCATAAAAGTACAAGATGGCAGGTGGAATCTTTAACCTTGTGGTCTGGAGGCCGCATGATAGGGTTGCAGTGTATTTTCCTTCTCTACAGGCTTGGGCCCTCATTCTGTTTTCTCACATTCACTCCATCCTAGTATTCTTGAATCCTGTCTCCCTCCCCTTGAGATTCTGGCTCTAACTAAAGCCAAATATCAGACCAACTTTACCTGTCTTATTAGACCAATCACAGGCCGATTCTTTATTTTTCTTCTTTTTGAGACAGAGCCTTGCTCTGTTACCCAGGCTGGAGGGCAGTAGCACAATTACAGCTTACTGCAGCCTGAAACTCCTGGGCTCCAGTGATCCTCCCCGCTCGGCCTCCCAAGCAGCTGGTATTAGAGGTGCGCTGCACCACGCCTTGCTTAGTTTTTTTATTTTTAGTAGAGATGAGGTCTGCTATGTTGCCCAGGCCAGTCTCGAACTTGAGGGCTCAAGTGATCCTCCTGCCTTTGTCTCCCAAAGTGCTGGGAATATAGGCATGAGCCACTGTGCCCAGCCTACATTTATTTTTACTTTTTTTTTTTTTTTTTAGACAGAGTCTTACTTTGTTACCCAGGCTGGTGTGCAGTGGTGCGATCTTGGCACACTGCAGCCTCGACCTCCTGGACTCAAGTGATCCTCCCACCTCAGCCCCCTAAGTAACTGGGACTACAAGTGTGCACCACCAGGCCCAGCTAATTTTTTTTTTTTTTTGGATTTTTTTGTAGAGATGGGGTTTTGCCATGTTGCCCAGGCTGGTCTTGATCCACTCACCTCGGCCTCCCAAGGTGCCAGGATGACAGGTGTGAGCCCCCCACCTGCCTGGCTACATTTCTTTTAAGAGAGAAAAGATGGTTCATCAAACTTCAATATAGCCAGGTTGAAAATGTTTCAGACTGGCCGGCGCGGTGGCTCATGCCTGTAATCCCCGCACTTTGGGAGGCCGAGGCGGGTGGATCACGAGGTTAGGAGATTAAGACCATCCTGGCCAACAAGGTGAAACCCTGTCTCTACTAAAAATACAAAAAATTAGCCGGGCGTGGTGGCAGGCGCCTGTAGTCCCAGCTACTTGGGAGGCTGAGGCAGGAGAATGGCGTGAACCCAGGAAGCGGAGCTTGCTGTGAGCCGAGATCGCACCACTGCACTCCAGCCTGGGCGACAGAGCGAGATTCCGTCTCAAAAAAAAAAAAAGAAAAGAAAATGTTTCAGATTTGGGACATGTGATAAACTGGTTGCACTGATGGCTAAACAATCTCCTTGTATTTCTGCCTTTTGCAATGCGGCTTTGCAGCTGCTCCCACCAAGGGGGAAATCTACTTCCCCGTCCTTCACCACCAGCCCTGTGACTTGCTTTGACCGTGAGAATGTGACAGAAGTGTTGATGTGACAGTTCCAGGCCTAGGCTTCAAGGGGCCTTGAGCACTCCTCTCTCTCCAAACACTGCCTCCACTGGGAACACAATCCTGGACTAGCTGCTGGAAATGAGAGACTGGGTGAAGCAGGGATGAATCATTCCAGCTAAGGTCATCCTAGAACAGCCAGCTGCGCTGACAGCTGACAGCAGAGGCATGAGAAAGCCTACCCCAAATGACTCAAGACCAGAACTCCCCAGCTAATTAAACTCAGCCTAAATTGCTGATCCCCAAAATCGTAAGCTAAACATATGGTGGTTGTTTTAAGCCACTAAGTTTTGGGGTGGCTTTATGTAGCATAATTCTGGTAGTAGGTAACTGTTTCAGAAGACAGGAATGGTTCTGATAATTAGAACCACAATGACTCCCATATTTATGTCACCAGCCAACACTTCTCTCCCTTGAGTTCCAGACCCAAGTATCCAGCCACCAACCCAACATTTCTATGATCAGAACCAAGCTCTTGATAACACCCTAAAATTTACTCCTCCTATAGCCAGTCTTTACTGTCTTGATAAAATGAATAACTTTCTATTTCCAGTTGCTTAGGCCTAATCCTTGCACTCATTTTTAAGATTTCTTTTACATTCCATGTCCAATTTCTTAGCAAATCCTGTGGGCTCTGCCTTCAAAATATATTCAGAATCTGCTCACTTTTCACCAACTCTATGGCTACTACTCTGAGCCAAGCCCCCACCATCTCTTGACTGGATTGTTCCAGCAGCCTCTTAACTTATTGCTGTTTCCAAGTTAATTGGGCACCTTGTATGTTACCTGCCAACCCTAACCAGGCATGCTTCCACTTCACAGCTTTTGCATCTGCCCAAATGCCCTTCCCAGATAGCTGCATAGCTCACTCTCTGACCACCTTTAAGTTTCTGTTCAGATGTTATCTTGTCAATATCAAGAGGCCTTCCTGGCCAGGCACAGTGGCTCATGCCAGTAATCCCAGTACTTTGGAAGGCCCAAAGCGGGTGGATCACTTGAGGTCAGGAATTTGAGACCAGCCTGGCAAACATGGTGAAACCAGCTCTCTACTAAAATACAAAAATTTGCTGGGCATGGTGCATGTGTCTGTAGTTCCAGCTACTCGGGAGGCTGAGGCACAGAGAATCACTGGGAGGCAGAGGCTGCAGTGAACCAAGATCATGCCACTGTACTCCAGCCTGGGAAAGAGAGTGAGACTCCGTCTCAAAAAAAAAAAAAAAGGCCTCCCGGACCACCACATGTATTTATTTATTTATTTAATTTTTTGAGACAGAGTCTCGCTCTGTCTCCCAGGCTGGAGTGCAGTGGCGTGATCTCGGCTCACTGCAACCTCTGCCTTCTGGGTTCAAGCGATTCTTGTGCCTCAGCCTCCAGAGTAGCTGAGACTATAGGTGCGCATCACCACACTCAGCTAATTTTTTTTTTTTTTCTGAGACAGAGTCTCGCTCTGTCACCCAGGCTGGAGTGCAGTGGTGCGATCTCGGCTCACTGCAATCTCTGCCTCCCGGGTTCAAGCGATTCTCCTGCCTCAGCTTTCTGAGCTGGGATTACAGGTGCCCGCCACCATGCTTGGCTAATTTTTGTATTTTTAGTAGAGACAGGGTTTCACCATGTTGGCCAAGCTGGTCTTGAACTCCTGACCTTGTGATCCGCCCGCCTCGGCCTCTCAAAGTGCTGAGATTAAAGACGTGAGCCACCGCTCCTGGCCCACTCAGCTAATTTTTGTATTTCTAGTAGAGACGGGGTTTCACCATGCTGGCCAGGCTGGTCTTGAACTCCTGACCTCAGGTGATCTGCCAGCCTCGGCCTCCCAAAGTGGTGGGATTACAGGCGTGAGCCACCACGCACAGCCGACCACCACATTTAAACCTACCTTCCCATCATGGTATGCCCAACCCTCTTATTTATTTTTTCTCCATGGCACTTATTACAATGTAACACACTATGTATTTTACTTACTTATTTGTCATCAATCTCAAGCCCAATCCCATGCAAGCTTCAAGAGGGTTTGGTTTTGCTCTATTTTGGTTTGCTCGCTGCTGTATCCTCAGTGTTTAAAACAGCTCCTGATGCTTGGTAGGTACTTGTGGTGGTTGATTTTCTGTGTCATCAGAAAATCTGGGCACCAGGGGGTGCCCAGATTAACTATTGTTTCTGGTTGTGTCTGTGAGGGTGTTTCCAGATGTGATGAGCATTTCTGGCGGTGGACTCAGTGGAGTAGATGGCCAGTGTGAGTGGGCATCATCTAATCCATTGAGGGCCTGAACAGAACAAAAAGACAGAGGAAGGAGGAGTTCACTCCTATTGCTGCCTGCCCACCTGCTTGAGCTGGGACATTCGTCTTTTCCTGCCCTTGGAATGGGATTTATACCACCAGCTACCCTGGTTCCCAGGCCGTTGAGCTTGGACTGAATTACACCACCAGCTTTTCTGGGTCTCTAGCTTGCAGATGCCAGATCATGAGACTTCCTAGCACCCATAGTTATATGAACCAATTTCTCACTCACCTGAATGCCATATCCCCTTTTTCCATCTTGGTGAAACAGCTCTCTAACAGTTTATTGAGAAGCTACTTTTTTGTTTTGTTTTTTGAGACATTGCTTGTATAAAATATCCTTATTTTCTCCTTACACTTGATTATTTGACTAAATATGGAATTCAAGATTAGGAAAACTTATCAGACAGAGTTTTGAGGGCCCTGCTTCATTGTCTTCCAGCTTCCAGTGTTGCTGTTGAGAAGTCTGATGCTATTGTAATCGTCAATTCTTTGCTTGTGACTTGCTTTTTTTTTCTCTCGTCTCTGGAAGCTTTTAAGATCTCTGTTTCTGGTCCTGAAATTTCATCATATTGTGCCTTAGTAGGTGTCTTTTTAAATTTCTTGTGATGGATACTTGGTCAGGCATTTCAACTTGAAAACACATTTTTCATTTCTTGGAAACTTTTTTGAAAAAAAATTTGTTTCTGGTATTTTCATTTTCTCAGCTCTTACTTTCTGGATTTACTGTCAGCCAGATGTTGGGTCTTCTAGACCTACTCCTTGAGGGGGAAATTCAGCATAATCTGGGCATCACACAGACATCAGGCTTACCAAGGAAGCCAGTTTATGTCCAGGGCGTCAGGAGGCTAATGCTTGACTGCAGCCTGTGCCAATACCTCTCTGCTTCTGTTTCATGAATTAAATGAGAAGTGACCAGTAGGCTGGGCGCGGTGGCTCACGCCTGTAATCCCAGCACTTTGGGAGGCTGAGGCAGGTGGATCACGAGGTCAGAAGATCGAGACCATCCTGGCTAACATAGTGAAACCCCGTCTCTACTAAAAATACAAAAACAAAATTAGATGGGCGTGGTGGCGGGCGCCTGTAGTCCCAGCTACTCTGGAGGCTGAAGCAGGAGAATGGCGTGAACCTGGGAGGCGGAGCTTGCAGTGAGCTGAGATCGCGCCACTGCACTCCAGCCTGGGGGACAGAGCAAGACTCCGTCTCAAAAAAAAAGAGAAGCGACCACCTTGTTAACCCACTGTATTAGTCAGGGTTCTCCAGAGGGACAGAGCTAATAGGATAGATATATGAAAGGGAGTTTATTAGGGAGAATTGGCTCACACAGTCACAAAGCAAAGTCCCGTGATAAGCCATCTGCAAGCTGGGTAAGAAAGAAGCCACTGGCGGCTCAGTCCGAGTCCAAAAGCCTCAAAGGCAGGAAAGCCAATAGTGCAGCCTTCAGTCTGTACCCAAAGGCCCAAGAGCCCTGGCAAACCACTGGTCTAAGTACAAGAGTGCAAAGGCCAAAGAACTTGGAGTCTGATGTCCAAGGTTAGGAGAAATGAATAGAAGCATCCAGCACAGAAGAAAGATGAAAGCCAGAGGACTCCGAAAGCCGGCTTAGCCCACCTTCTTCCACCTGCTTTGCTCTAGCCCCACTAGCAGCCAACTGGATGGTGCCCACCTACATTGAGGATGGATCTTCCTCTCCCTTTCCACTGACTCAAATGTCAATCTCCTCTGGCAACACCCTCACAGACACACCCAGAACAATACTTTACCAGCTATCTAGGCATCCCTCAATACAATCAAGCTGCCATCTAATATTAACCATCACACCCACCTTGTTAGCATGTGGGTATGTGTTGAAAGTCTACAGGTTATGTTGAGAAGCTTTGTGAGAAACGAATACATGGAAGCTTCCGGGGGTTAAAGAAAATCAGAATACTGGCTGGGCATGGTGGCTCAGGCCTGTAATCCCAACACTTTGGGAGGCCGAGATGAGCGGATCACTTGAGGCCAAGAGTTCAAGACCAGCCTGTCCAATATGGTGAAACGCCATCTCTACTAAAAATACAAAACTTAGCCAAGTGTGGTGGTAGTCTCAGCTACTCTGAGGCCCGCCTCAGCCTCTCAAAGTGCTAGGATTACAGGCATGAGCCACTGCACCCAGCCTGTCTTTTTGTCTTGAGAATATGTCTGCATTCCTATTTCTTGGTGCATCCTGCACTGTCACCATAGGCCCCGGTGCGTTCTGCCCTGCACATGCACCATGTGTAGTGTAATAGCGAGGCAGCAAGGCACAGAAGGAGGGTGTGTGTTATTACATAACATCATGTAAGCCCAAACCCTGCCACCCAACCCAGATGGGAGTTATTATACAGTGACATTTCCCTGCAGTGTCTTGTAACATTAGACTTCCCTTTTCTTTCCTAGAATTCTTTAAAACACCCTTCCCTTGTATATAAATAACTTCTAAAAATATTGGAAAGTAGCTGTCCTGCCAGGTTATAGCAGGAGGTTAGCATTAGAAGAAAGCTTCAATTCCCCCCCCCCCATTATTTTGTTCTTCATTTATTTAATAGCAGCCTAGACTTTAATCTGAGTATAGTACAAGGTTTGGGGAACACTGCAGGAGTCTGAAATCAATAGTGATGTCATTAAATTGCCACTTTAAATTGGCTTATCCTGGCTGCTGACACCCCTTCCGCTCCCTGGGCAAACTACAACTTTTTAACAGCCAACACTTAGTGTGCTCTCTCTCTCTCTCCATAAACTAACCTAAACTATAAGAGAAAACTCTTGTCTTGCATTATTCTGACTCTAGTCCAGTGCTTTCCAAAGTATCTGTGGTAAAGGACTGGTTTTCTTTTCTTTCTTTATTTCTTTCGAGACAGAGTCTTGTTCTGTCACCCAGGCTGGAGTGCAGTGGCGTGATCTCGGCTCACTACAAACACTGCCTCCTAGGTTCAAGCGATTCTCCTGCCTCAGCCTCCCGAGTAGCTGGGATTACAGGCATGCACCACAACGTCTGGCTAATTTTTGTGTTTTTATGTTTTTAGTAGAGTCGGGGTTTCTCCATGTTGTCCAGGCTGGTCTCAAACTCTTGTCCTCAGTGATCCACCCGATTCGGCCTTCCAAAGTGCTGGGATTACAGGCGTGAGCCACCGCACCCAGTCTCAGGACTGGTTTTCTTTAAATTTGCAATCTGTTTGGACTGATAACTTTCATAAAATATAATAAATATGAATTATTATAAATGTAAGTTGGAAAGAAAAACATGCAAAATACAATTCCAAATAACTTTTTTGTTATTACATTGTATTTTTAGATTCAATAAACAAAATTATTCTATCATATTGCCTGAAAAGCTCCCTTCCTTCCTTCGTTCCTTCCCTCTTTCCTTCTTTCTTTTTTTTTTGAGATGGAGTCTCGCTCTGTTGCCCAGGCTGGAGTGCAGTGGCATGATCTCAGCTGACTGCTGCCTCCTGGGTGCTGGGATTACAGATGTGAGCCACCTCACCCAGTTTCTAAATGTGTGCTCTCAATCTCTGTCCCACACAGTGGACCACATGTTGAGTCACTATGCTTTAGTTGATACTGGCCTGAACATTACATAGTTTTGAGTTCTGAACTTGCAGTCAAATACTTTCACACTTCCCTTTTCAAAACCTTGCAAACTTTTGGCCTTTCTTTCTCCTTTCTCCTTCCTTCCTTCCTTCCTTCCTTCCTTCCTTCCTTCCTTCCTTCCTCCCTTCCTTCCTCCCCTTCCTTCCTCCCCTTCCTCCCCTCCCCTCCTCTCTCTCTCTCTTTCTTTCTTTCTGACAGTCTCGCTCTGTCACCGAGGCTGGAGTGCAGTGGCGCGATCTCAGCTCACTGCAACCTCTGCCTCCAAGGTTCAAGCATGCCTCAGCCTCCTGAGTGGCTGGAATTACAGGTGTGCACCACCACACCCAACTAATTTTTTTTTTTTTTTGAGATGGAGTCTTACTCTGTTGCCCAGGCTGGAGTGCAGTGGTGCGATCTCAGCTCGTTGCAACCTCTGCCTCCCGGGTTCATGCAATTCTTCTGCCTCAGCCTCCTGAGTAGCTGGGATTACAGGCACCTGCCACCACACTGGGCTAATTTTTGTACTCTTAGTAGAGACGGGTTTCTCCATGTTGGCCAGGCTGGTCTTGAACTCCTGACCTCAGGTGATCCACCCACCTCCGCCTCCCAAAGTGCTGGGATTACAGGCGTGAGCCACCATGCCTGGCCTGTATTTTTCTTTAGTAGAGATGGGGTTTCACTATGTTGGACAGGCTGGTCTCAAACTCCTGACCTCAAGTGATCCGCCCGCTTGGCCTCCCAAAGTGCTGCGATTACAGGCATGAGCCACCGTACCTGGCCTGACCTGACTTGCAAAACCTTCACAATGTGCCCCAAACCTACTTTTTAAAAATCACCAGAAGGCCCAGTTTTCTTTTTATTTTTTTCTTTTTTTGAGATGGAGTTTCACTCTCATTGCCCAGGCTGGAGTGCAGTGACTCGATCTCAGCTCACTGCAACCTCTGCCTCCTGGGTTCAAGTGATTCTCCTGCCTCAGCTTCCTGAGTAGCTAGGATTACTGGCACCTGCCACCACGCCCTGCTAGTTTTTGTATTTTTAGTAGAGACAGGATTTCACCATGTTGGTCAGGCTGGTCTCAAACTCCTGACCTTAGGCAATCCAGTCACCTCGGCCTCCCAAAGTGCTAGGATTACAGGCATGAGCCACCGCACCCGGCCTCCAGTTTTCTTTTTCTTTTCTTTTCTTTTCTTTTTTTTTTTAAAAAAAAGATGGAGTCTCGCTCTGTCGCCCATGCTGGAGAGCAGTGGTGCGATCTCGGCTCACTGCAACCTCCGCCTCCCGGGTTCAAGCGATTTTCCTGCCTCAGCCTCCCGAGTAGCTGGGATTACAGGCATGCGCCACCATGCCTGGCTAATTTTTGTATTTTTAGTAGAGACAGGGTTTCACCATGTTGGCCAGGCTGATCTCGAACTCCTGACCTCAAGTGATCTGCCCGCCTCGGCCTCCCAAAGTGCTGGGATTACAGCCACTGTGCCCAGCCAATAAATGTTTGTTGAATAAAGGAATATAATTTATAAAGTTTGGAAAGGGTCAGCATATATGGTTTTTGAGAAAAGGAAATGGGTTAATGAACTGCAGAGAAGAAAGCTAAAGATGGGTACAGTAGCTCACTCGGGCCAACTGTATATGAAAAAAGATGAAGAACTTGTCTACCTTATATGATGTGAAGTGTTATTTTAAAGGTGCCAAGATCATCTGATTATCTGTACCCCAAAATAGCCCTCCCCCCATTGACCTGCTTGCACACCTGAAATTCCATTATTAACTGTACATTCTTTTTTTTTTCTTCTTTTTAGACACAGGGTCTTGCTTTGTTGCCCAGGCTGTAGTGCAGTGGTGCAATCATGGCTCACTGTAGCCTTGACCTTCAAGCAATTCTCTCACTTCGGCCTCCTGAGTAGCTGGGACTACAGGCATGCTTCACCGTGCCCAGCTAATTTTTTAATTTTTTTGTAGAGATGGAGTTTCATCATGTTGCCCAGGCTGGTCTCAAACTCCTGGGCTCATGCAATCTGCCCACTCTGACCTTCCAAAGTGTTAGGGTTACAGGCATGAGCCACCAGGGCCCAGCCCTACGTATCCATTCCTACCTGGGTATTGAGTATCAATGATTGTTAATATCACAAAAAGAGAGACAACCAAGTATCTGTTACATACTTCCTGATGGAAGAACACACCACCAACTATGAAATGGCCTTGTCAAAAGATCAAACCTAAAGCTGATTGACATCCGTATACCAAATTATGGCAACTGTAGGGACAGAGGGCATATTATATGACACTACAGTGATGCCATTGCTGAAGCCCTGACTGGGGAATTCTAAAGGACAAACAACTTGAGTTTGTTTTTGTTTTTTTTAACAAATAAATCAAAAGAAAAAAGAAACAGATAAATTCTAGATTAATAAGAGATTTAAAAGATCAACCAATCGCAATGTATAAACCTTATTTGTGTTACCGGAAAGGGGTTCCAATCCAGACTCCAAGAGAGGGTTTGTGGATCTTGTGGAAGAAAGAATTCAGGGCCAGTCTGTAGAGTAAAGTGAAAGTAAATTTATTAGGAAAGGAAAGGAATAAGGAATGGCTACTCCATAGAGCAGGCCCAAGGGCTGCTGGTTGCCCATTTTTATGGTTATTTCCTGATGACATGCTAAACAAG
The DNA here is from genome assembly GCF_000001405.40 of Homo sapiens. NCBI lineage: Eukaryota > Metazoa > Chordata > Mammalia > Primates > Hominidae > Homo > Homo sapiens. The sequence goes on along the minus strand of NC_000013.11, from coordinate 45,317,487 downwards.
GGGTGGATTATTCATGCCTCCTCTTTTTAGACTATATAGGGTAACTGCCTGATGCTGCCATGGCATTAGTAACTGTCATGGCACTGGTGGGAGGGTAGCAGTGAGGACGACCAGGGGTCACTCTCATCACCATCTTGGTTTTGGTGGGTTTTGGCCGGCTTATTTACTGCAAGCTGTTTTATCAGCAAGGTCTTTATGACCTGTATCTTGTGTTGACCTCCTAGCTCGTCCTGTGACTCAGAGTGCCTTAACCTCCTGGGAATGAGGCCCAGCAGGACTTAGCCTTGTTTTACCCAGCCTCTATTCAAGATGGAGTTGCTCTGGTTCAAAGACCTCCGACATTTGATCCTGATTGAAGCAAACTATAAAAAAAGAAATTTATGACATTGATGATATTATGGTTATTTTTTCTAGTCTTTTTTACCTTTAGTTTCTTTTTTTTTACTTTTATTTTAGGTTTGGGGGTCCACGTGCAGTTTTGTTATATAAGTAAACTCGTGTCACAGGGCTTCGTTGTATAGATTATTTCATCACGCAGGTACTAAGCCTTGTACCCAATAGTTATTTCTTCTGCTCTGAAGTCTTAATCTTTTAGAGAACATTATCTCTTGAGATTTGTTTTAAAATAATATAGCAAGGGAGAAGTGAGTGGTGAGATAGTTGAAACCAAATGGGCTCTGGTTGATAATACTGAAGCAGGAGGACGGGTACACAGGTTATTATTGAAATTTTCCATAATTAGAAAAATTAAAATTAAAAAAATAAAACAGACTGCCCCTCAGCCAAGTCTTCCGGGCTCCAGAGGGCCTTTTGAAAAACTGTTAGCCCTCGCAGTGGGTTAATATAGTAACAAATGATTAATCATTAACATTTTAGTCTGTGATGGTTTCCAGCAGCTTCACTGAAATGCCTGCCTTCCGCAGCCCAGCCTTTCACTCTTCAGCCCACCTCTCCAGCTTCTCCCTCCGAGACCCCTGCAGCCCCAACATACCCTCCACTTCTCTGCACCCAACCCCTTGCTGCCGGTGCCATTTTGCCTCCTGCAATGACCCCTCTGCCATCCTCGACCTGGCAGAGCCTGCTTATGTTTACCAATCCAGATAAATGCTGCTTCCTTTGTGAGAGCTTCCTCCTCCTCTTCCTCCTCCTCCTCCTTTCTCCCACTTTTCTTCCTCCCCCTCCTCCCCCTCCTCCCCCTCTTCCTCTCTCCTCCTCCCCCTCTTCCTCCTCTTCCTCTGTCAGAATCCATCACTCCCCCCAAAGAGCTCTGATTCTATTGTTCTTTCTATGTACTTAGCACCTTATGTTACATTTTCTTTCTTTCTTTCTTTCTTTTTTCTGGAGGGCAGTGGCGCAATCTCAATCTCTGCTTCCCGGGTTCAAGTGATTCTCCTGCCTCAGCCTCTCAAGTACCTGGGACTACAGACACATGCTGCCATGCCCGGCTAGTTTTTTGCATTTTTAGTAGACATGGGGTTTCACCATGTTGGCCAGGCTGCTCTGGAACTCCTGACCTCAAGTGATCCTCCTGACTCGGCCTCCCAAAGAGCTGGGATTACAGGCGTGAGTCATGGCACCTGGCCTTTATGTTACATTTTCACGTAATATTCCAACTTTTTTTTCATGTAATATTCCAACTTAAATTAAGATGGACATTTTTGGCAGATTAACTATTTGGGTTAATCTATCTGTCTACTCTAATCTCAGTCAAGGCTGGACAACCTTCATTTAAAGGCACTTTGGCCTTTGGCCAGAGTTCAGCGGGCCACACTCAGGCTGGATGGGCTGCAGGGCTGCAAATTTGAAACAGCAACAGGTGCTGACAGGCCGAGCAGCTGGGGAGAGACTGGCACAAAGGAGTGCACATGCCCTGGCCCAAAGGCGCACCCACCTCCCAGCTACAGGGGACTGTGGACCCTAGGTTAAGGGCGCCTTTAAATATTCATTCTCGGACCTCATTTTGGATTCATTATTTTATATTCATTTCCTTAACCAGGGCCTCACAAATGGTATCAGTTTAGGCCCTAGAAAGCCTGGGCCCTGGGGCTGGGCGCGGTGGCTCATGCCTGTAATCCCAGCACTTTGGGAGGCCGAGACAGGTGGATCACTTGAGGCCAGGAGTTCGAGACCAAGCTGGCCAACATGGTGAAACCTCGTCTCTACTAAAAACATAAAAATTAGGTGGGCGTGGTGGCGCACGCCTGTAATCCCAGCTACTTGGGAGGCTGAGAATTGCTTGAACCTGGGAGGCGAGGTTGCAGTGAGCCAAGATCGTGCCACTACACTCCAGCCTGGGCGACAGAGTAAGACTCTGTCTCAAAAAAAATTTAAAAAAAGAAAACCTGGGCCCCACCCCCTGGCTGCACGTTCCACCTTTTCTTGCTGATTTGGAGTTGAGCCCAATCTCTCCCCCACTGGGGAACAGTCCTTATATATATGGTGACGGCCCCCCGACTAAAGTCTGCCATTCCACTTTAACAAGTGTCAGTAGTGACCCTCCCCTCCCCTCCCCTCCCCTCTCCTCTCCTTTCCTTCTTTTTGAGATGGAATCTTCCTCTGTCGCCCAGGCTGGAGTGCGGTGGCGTGATCTTGGCTCACTGATTCCTCTGCCTCCCAGATTCAAGCGATTCTTCTGCCTCGGCCTCCTGAGTAGCTGGGATTACAGACATGTGACACTACACCCAGCTAATTTTTGTGTGTGTTTTTTTTTTTTTTTTTGAGACGGAGTCTCGCTCTGTCGCCCAGGCTGGAGTGCAGTGGCGGGATCTCGGCTCACTGCAAGCTCCGCCTCCCGGGTTCACGCCATTCTCCTGCCTCAGCCTCCCAAGTAGCTGGGACTACAGGCGCCCGCCACTACGCCCGGCTAATTTTTTGTATTTTTAGTAGAGACGGGGTTTCACCGTTTTAGCCGGGATGGTCTCGATCTCCTGACCTCGTGATCCGCCCGCCTCGGCCTCCCAAAGTGCTGGGATTACAGGCGTGAGTTGTGTTTTTAGTAGAGACGGGGTTTCGCCATGTTGGCCAGGCTGGTCTCGAACACCTGACCTCAAGTGATCTGCCCACCTTGGCCTCCCAAAGTGCTGGCGTGAGCCACCACGCCCGGCCATGAGTAATTTTTTCTGTAGCACACATCTGGCACGTCCCCTCTCCCTCACTCAGCTCCAGTTGCTCAGGCCTCCCCAGTGCCCCTCAAACATCCCCCCCAACTCCTGACCTTATGCTCGCTCTGCCCTTGGAGTCCCATGTGGCTTACACTCTCATTTCTTTTTCTTTTTTCTTTTTTTTGAGATGGAGTCTTGCTCTGTCCACCAGGCTGGAGTGCAATGGCACAACCTCGGCTCACTGCAACCTCTGCCTCCTAGGTTCAAGCCATTCTCCTGCCTCAGACTCCCAGGTAGCTGGGACTACAGGCATGTGCCACCACGCCTGGCTAATTTTTTTTTTTTTTTTTTTTTTGGATTTTTAGTAGAGGTGGGGTTTCACTGTGCTGGCCAGGCTGGTCTCGAACTCCTGACCTCATGATCCACCTGCCTCGGCCTCCCAAAGTGCTGGGATTACAGATGTGAGCCACTGCGCCCAGCCTACACTCTCATTTCTTAGGGTCTCTGCTCTCTTATCAGGAAGGGCTTTCCTAAAGAACCATCTAAATAGCAGTGCCCGACACTCTATCCCGCCTCCCGACTGACATACCATTACCTTCTGATGGGTGAGACCCTGACTTGCTGTTACCGTAGCCCCCATCAGAATGACATCCATTAGAACAGAAGGACCATGAAAGCAGGGACAAGGGCTCTATTTTAGCTTTCACTTTAAGAACACATTTTGTGGGTACTTCATTGTGGATACTTCATAAATATTTGCTTTATAAAGCACAAAACAAAAAATCAGATCAGAAAACAATATGGGCTTTAAAACCTAACAAGACCAGGCATGGTGGCTCACACCTGTAATCCCAGAACTGGTAGGCAACATGGTGAAACCTCATCTCTACCAAAAATACAAAACAAACAAACAAACAAACAAAAGCCGGGCATGGAGGTCATCACCTGTAGTCCCAACTACTAGGGAGGCTGGGGTGGGAGAATCGCTTGAACCTGGGAGACAGATGTTGTAGTGAGGCGAGATCATGCCACTGCACCCCAGCCTGGGTGACAAAGTAAGACCCTGTCTTAAAAACAAAAAACAAACAAAAACATCTAACAAGAATGTTGGCATCAAGCAAAATGTTTCATCTGAAAATAAGAAACTCTGGGTATGGCCGGGTGGGGTGGTTCATGCCTGTAATCCCAACGCTTTGGGAGGCTGAGGCGGCAGATCACTTGAGGTCAGGAGTTCAAGACCAGCCTGGCCAACATGGTGAAACCCCCATCTCTACTAAATAAATAAATAAATAAATAAATAAATAAATAAGGCCGGGTGCGGTGGCTCACGCCTGTAATCCCAGCACTTTGGGAGGCTGAGGCCAGCAGATCACGAGGTCAAGAGATCGAGAACATCCTGGCCAACATGGTGAAACCCCTTCTCTACTAAAATACAGAAATTAGCCGGGCGTGGTGTAGCGGTAGTCCCAGCTACTCGGGAGGCTGAGGCAGGAGAATTGCTTGAGCCTAGGAGGCGGAAGTTGCAGTGAGCCGAATCCCGCCACTGCACTCCAGCCTAGGCGACCGAGAGAAACTCCATCTCAAAAAATAACATAACATAACATAACATAACATAACATAACATAACATAACATAACATAAAAAATAAAATAAAATATAAGCAGGGCACGGTGGCACCCGCCTGTAATCGCAGCTACTCAGGAGACTCAGGCAGAGAATCGCTTGAAACTGGAAGGCGGAGGCTGCAGTGAGCCAAGATCATGCCACTGCACTCCAGCCTGGGAGAAAGAATGAGACTCTGTCTCAAAAATGAAAAAGAAGGCCGGGCGCCATGGCTCACGCCTGTAATCCCAGCACTTTGGGAGGCCGTGTATATTCAGTAGAGACAGGGTTTCACCATGTTGGCCAGGATGGTCTCGATCTCTTGACCTCGTGATCTGCCGGTCTCGGCCTCCCAAAGTGCTGGGATTACAGGCGCGAGCCACCGCACCCGGCCTCTTTTTTTTTTTTTTTTTTTTTAGTAGAGACGGGGGTTTCACCATGTTGGCCAGGCTGGTCTTGAACTCCTGACCTCAAGTGATCTGCCGCCACAGCCTCCCAAAGCGTTGGGATTACAGGCGTCAGCCACCCCACCAGGCCTGCAGGCGATGTTCTTCAGCCTCCCCAACCTTCTAAACAGGGTAAAAGGACCCTGGCGACTATCCCATTGCTGCTTGCCGCTAGGAGCCACACATTTCAAGACTTTTGGCTGGAAAGATAACCGTTTTTACGGTGATACTTCTAAGGTGTTTGTCTGTGTGCTTTTTGGTGTAGTGTCAAATCTTCTGGTAAACATGCGATGAACACATATAGACTTTTGGAGGGGACTTATGGCTTGGCCCCCTCTGCGGATCACCCTAGAGAAAATGCAAACATTACCGTTTAGAGCCGCACCCGCAGAGCTAGAAGAGTTTTCTGTGTGAGGACCGGGCGGCGCTGGAAAGTGCTGCGGCCAGAGACCCCCTGGCCTTTGTCTCTCTGGCGGGCGCGGCTGCCCTGCCCGCCCAGGACTCGCCCCTGCGCCCTCCCTGCGAGGCTGCGGAGAGCAGAGGAGGCCCGGCTCTGGCAGCAGGAACTCAAAGACAGCGAGCGCTCCCCGGACGCTGAGGTCCCTCCGCGCCAAGCCTGGCCTCGCCTGCAGGGCTCGGACGCCGGGGCGGGCTCGTGGCTCCTGCTGCGGGGTCCCGAGGACCGCAGCTCGCTCCGCGCGGATGCTGCTCGGCAGACGCCTCCTTTCTACCTTCCCCTCCACCGCCATTCAGACCAGAATGTACTCGAACATACCCAAATTAAAAAAAAAAAAAAGTAACTCATCGGCATTATCCATTTCCTCCTCCTCCTCCTCCTCCTCAACCCTGTTTTCCGGGGACCATGACAAGAGGCGGCATTTCGTGATGACAGTGTGGGCCACTGCAGTCGTTGCTATTTTATAAGCCAAACGGCTGCTCGCTTTGCCCAGGGAACATAAAAATGACCACCTCCGCCCCTCAAAAAAAAAAAAAAAAAAAAAAAAAAAAAAAAAGAGACGCTTTGTGGTTTGCAGTCCGAGCAGGTGAGAGGCCCTGCCTCTGGCCTCTTCCCGCGCGCTCACAGCCGGGAGGTGTCGCCGGGAGGGGGCGCCCGGGCGCCAGAGGATCTGAGATGCACTGAAGCGCCAACCTGTCTCTATTGGGAGCGGTTCAGGGAAGGAGAAAAAGAACAGGAGGAAGCAACCATAAAGAGCATGTTTGGGGAACGGTCACGTTTCCTTCAGAGCCAGGAGAATGAGGCTGACATTTGTACAGGTGTAGTCTGGCGAAGAGCCCCAACGTGGCACGTTGCTTAGCGACGGAAGCCAAAGCGTTAATAAAAACCGTTAGGGTGAACACTTACAATAAAAGACAGGTGGTACAAAGTCAATGGATGCTGCCGCATCTTATTATTGAAATTCCTGCTGGCTAAGTGGAAAGAGAGGCAGTCTTGCTTCCAAATTTTCCTTTGCAGAAAGATACCAAGCATTCCGTTGGGGATGGAAGTGGGGCTGTTGGTACATTAAGTCTGATGCGGTTATTATTGTGTAGGCATTCTGACATGGCCAGAGTGGTTAGCATGTGTTTACTATGAACGTATTCTTTCAGCAGTTAAGTACGTAATGTGCAAAACACAGGTGCATCATCACAGATTGTCTTCATTTAAAGTTCTTCATGTATGCATCTGCAGCCACCCTTTTGTATCTTCTTGTGAATACTTTGCCCTGTGACTGCCCTCTCCTACCCAAAAGACAGACAAAGGCAGGGAAGATGATGAAATAGTGGGTGCTAGGTGGGGAGGGTAAACAACTGATAGTTCCTACCCGAAATCTTGCCTCAGGGGCTTCTGAAACCAGCAAACATGAAAACAGGAGTTGAGTCAAGCATTGGTATTCTAGCTCTCAAGTGAAATTTAACAAATTTTGCAGCCACTTCTCTAAGGCTTCCCATAATTAGACTGATGAAATTGTAAGGGTTCTATTAAAATTTGTACAATCAATCAATAACCATAACCCATTAGTTGCACCCTGCTAAGGTATAGATAAAATAAATGCAGTAAAGAATGAAAAATTGGCCGGGCGCAGTGGCTCACGCCTGTAATCCCAGCACTTTGGGAGGCCGAGGCGGGCGGATCACAAGGTCAGGAGATCGAGACCATCCTGGCTAACACGGTGAAACCCCGTCTCTACTAAAAATACAAAAAAATTAGCCGGGTGCGGTGGCGGGCGCCTGTAGTCCCAGCTACTCGGGGGGCTGAGGCAGGAGAATGGCATGAACCTGGGAGGCGGAGCTTGCAGTGAGCTGAGATCCAGCCACTGCACTCCAGCCTGGGCAACAGAGCGAGACTCCGTCTCAAAAAAAAAAAAAAAAAAAAGAATGAAAAACATCCGGGCCAGGGGCAGTGGCTCACGCCTATAATCCCAGCACTTTGGGAAGCCAAGCTGGGAGGATCGCTTGAGCCCAGAAGTTCGAGACCAGCCTGGGCAACAAAGGGAGACCCCATCTCTATAAAAAAATTAATCCAATAAATAAGAAAAATATCTGCAACTGGCTAAAAAAAAGTATGTAGGTACGGTTTTTCTTTTCGGAAATCATACTCCCAGCTGCTGCATCTACTGTGTATGTACAGAAAAGGGACTTTAGTAATTTAACTCATAGATGACTAACCTGTTGATAAAATAATTGTTAATGTTTGGGTGGTGTAGTTCACCAGAAGGGCACCAGAGGGCGCCCAAGTTTGCTTCCCACAGAACCCCAGGGTAATTTGCAGTTCAAAAGGCTGGCACTCAGCCCAGCATGGTTTCAACACCTGGAGGTCCTGTTGCTGGAAAGCATTTTGGAAACACAGGACTGATAACTTCCGTTCCACTGGTATGAACTGGAAGATGGCTAGGCTAATGCTCACTGTTGGATTCGAAGTCTTGACCTTGTTTTCAGTTGTGTTTGGGGCTGCTTTGTAGGAAGACCCGTCTCCCAGCTCTCAGCTTGTCTCCCACCCTCAGCATTTTTATAATGATAGTGCACAATGACAATCCCTGGAATAGTATAATTACAGTCTAGTGCATAGAGCGGTATGGATGAGGGGGATGTGTACATTCACAGAGGAGAACAGTGAGTGAAATCAGCCCTACCTAATCGACAGAGCTTTGTCATATGTTCTAAAGGTTAAAAATTCTCAATACGGGGACTCCCTTTTATTTCAAATCCACATCTGAATCTCTTTCACCTTGTTTACTGTGAGTCACTGAATCAATTATCTACTGCTGTGTTACAAATAACCCCCAAATATAGTTAAGAATAATAAATATGTATTATCTCAAAGTTTCTGTGGGTCAAGAATTCAAAGCCTCTTGGCTAGATGGTATGAGCCTGGGGTCTCTTTGTTGAGGCTGCTGTGAAATGGTGGCTGTGTCTGCAGTCATTTGAACACCTGACTGGGTTGGGGTATCCACTTCCAGGATGTTCACTCACATAGCTGCTGGGAGGAGGCTTCCTCACCTCCTGGATCTCATCATTGGACCGTTTCAGTCTCTCCCACGATATGGTAGCTGCTTCCTCCAGAGTGAGAACTCCAATGGAAATACAGTGGAAGCCACAATATGGTTTATGATCTAGTTTTGGAAGCTGCACATCATTTCCTCAATGTCCTAATGGTTACATGGTTAGCCCTGGGACTGACTACCCAAGGGCATGAATTCCAGGTGCTGGGGATCATAGGAGACCCTCTTGGAAGCTGGCTGGAGTGCAGTGGCGTGATCTCAGCTCACTGCAACCTCTGCCTCCCAGGTTCAAGTGATTCTCCTGCCTGAGCCTCCTGAGTAGTTGGGATTACAGGTGTCTGCCACCATGCCCAGCTAATTTTTATATTTTTAATAGAGATGGTGTTTCACCATGTTGGCCAGGCTGGTCTCGAACTCCTGACCTTAAGTGATCTGCCCACCTCAGCCTCCCAAAGTGCAGGGTTTTACAGGCATGAGCCACCTCACCCGGCCCAATTTACCTTATTTAATGGAATCATTTCTGTTTTAAGAATGCATACACGAATCACTTTTTACACTTGATCTTAACCAAAAGGCCAAGAAACAATACATGAAACACTTTTTAAATGCATACCAGAAGTTTATTTTCCTGAGTACAAATTGCTCCCCCTTCTGTAGATCAGAAAATAATTTCTGAAGAGGTGTGTGTTGGGGTGGGGAGAATGTCCTATCTTTAATAATATATATGTGTTATTAAACATATTTGTCTCTCACAACTGTAAAATTGATGTGTTAAGGAGAAGCTTTCCACCTTCTGGTTGGGAATGTTTTCTTCATTTCTTTCTGCAAGCAGACTTGCTAGCAAATGGCAAGTTATATCAAACAGTAAGAATCAATAAAAGTCATCAGGGAGTTACTGGATCACTTTGTTTTAAAACTAACCATCCCAAGCCCTTTTCTTGTATGACCTGACACTAGCCGACCCTAAAAGGGAACTGTGATGATTCTTTTATTCATTATTTTTTCAGAAATAAGAGCTCCAAGGCAGAAAGGTTTGAAGCAACCTCAGAATTGGAAAATGGCTGCGAACTCAAAGTTCTAACCTGCTGAGTGACCTTGGATGACATCAGAAACTTAAGAGAAGGGTTCTGACACTCACTCAGCAGCCTCCCTCCATTTCTGTCAACAGCAGAGGCAGCGCCCAGGCATCCTCCTGCCTTGGCCTCCCAAGTAGCTGGGATTCATATGGCTTTTGGAGTTAGAGAGATACGAGTTTAAATTCTCCCTTCACTTCTCATCGGCTGTGTGACCCTGGATGTTTTATTTAACCTCTCTAAGGCTCAATTTACCCTTGTGGAATATAGGGATACTAGTATTTACCTTCCTGGGTAGTTGTGAGGTGATCTATGTCAAGTACCTATTATAGTTCTTGGGCCTCCTAGGTGGTCAACATTTGGAGGCTGTTATGGAAGGGGGAGGGGATGGAATATGGCACCACAGTGATGTGCAGAGGGGATCTATAGTCAGCTGTTTCTCTCTAGGTGAGATCATGTAAAACATAACATGACATTCCATAGTATTTTTCTCTTTAGAAAACTGAATAAGCTTTCTGGGGAAAATCAGGGAAGTGAGAATGTGTGGTGTCCCAAATTTAGGTCCTCCACATGCTGGCATTTCAGGATTCCCAGAACCATGGCTGGGTTCCCACCTGCTCACCCAAAGCAAAGTCTGTTGGTGACAGATCCTGCCCACACAGAGAACTCCTAATCAAACATTTCATTTCCTCATTAAAAAAATGTGAACAAATAGGCAAGAAGCACCAACAGAGCCTTCAGCATGAAAGAGAAAAACCAAGATGAACAAATAGAAAACAGATATAATGCAGGGTACAGAAGAGTACAACAAGACCGCTAATTAGCATTCTAGAGAAATCTACAACAGCGGATCTATAAAAGAAGAACAAACATGATGCTATAAAATAAGAAAAATCAGGCAGTTGACTAACACCTGTAATCCCAGCACTTTTGAGAGGCCAAGGTGGGAGGATCATTGAGCTTAGGAGTTCAAGACCAACCTGGGCAATATATCAAGACCTTGGCTGGGTATGGTGGCTCACACCTGTAACCCCAGCACTTTGGGAGGCCAAGGCAGGTGGATCACTTGAGGTCAGGAGTTCAAGACCAGCTGGCCACTATAGCGAAACCCTGTCTCTACTAAAAATATAAAAATTAGCCGGGCATGGTGGTACACACCTGTAATTCCAGCTACCCAGGAGGCTGAGGCAGGAGAATCGCTTGAACCGAGATCGCACCACTGCACTCCAGCCTGGGCAACAGAGCAAGACTATATCTCAAACAACAACAACAAACAAACAAACAAAAACAAAGACCTTGTCTCTACCAAAATAAAAACACTAGCTGGGTGTGGTGGCATGCACCTGTAGTCCCACCTACATGTGAGGCTGAGGTGGGAGAATTACTTGAGCCTGGGGAGGTAGAAGTTGCAGTGAGCTATGATCACGCCACTGCACTCCAACCTGGGCGATAGAGCAAGACCCTGTCTCAAAAAAAAAAAAAAAGAAAAGAAAAGAAAAATAAATAAGAAGTAGCTGATTCCTTCATGAAGGAGTTGGTTCTAGAGCATAAGAAAAATATATAAAAAAAAGAAACAGACTTTGAGCACATTTAAACTCTGAGAGAGAAGAAAACTTATTTAAAAAGTAAAAATCTGGTTTGGGCATGCTGGCTCATACCTGTAGTCCCAGCACTTTGGGAGGCTGAGGTGGGAGGATCATTTGAGCCCAGAAGTTCATGACCAGCCTGAGTAACATAGCAAGGCCCCCATCTCTAAAAATAGAAAATAAAAATAATTTTTTTTTGGGGGGGGACAAAGTCTCACTGTGTTGCCCAGGCCGGAGTGCAGTGGTACAATCTCGGCTCGCTGCAACCTCCATCTCCCAGGTTCAGGCAATTCTTGTGCTTCAGCCTCTGGAGTAGCTGGGACTACAGGCATGCACCACTACGTCCGGCTAATTTTTGTATTTTTTGTAGAGATGGTGGGAGTGGGGGTGGGTGATGTTTCACCATGTTGCCCAGTCTGGTCTCGAACTCCTGATTTCAAGTGATCCACCCGCCTCGGCCTCCCAAAGTGTTGGGATTACAGGCATAAGGAACTGCACCGGCATAAAATAATTTTTTAAAAGTAAAAGTCTGAACTTGAATAGGTAGCAATAAACCTGTTTCGTGTCAGAAAATTTTCTTTAAGGGTAGAGAACGTTCACGGCACAGATATTGGAGGTGAAAGTTTGTTAAACAGAAGTCGAAGAGGTCAGTAATCCCTAGGGTTTATAGAAACTTGTTTCCTCAGGAATTTTCACAGCAGATTTGCAAACGCCTTAGCTCCTAAAGCTTGAGTAGAATCAGGATAGAACTCAGGCCTGAATATACCATGACTGAGACTGCCTGATGATGCTGGCCTCTCCCTCAGGGACAGGGCCTCCTAAAATGGGTGTGGCCACACAAAGCGCAGGGATCTATGTATGGGCAGAGGTGTTCCTTCCAGCATTGTTACAAAATGAAGCAGAACAGAACTCAAGTCTGGAAACAGCCTCAATGTGTATTAGGGGAACATTTAAATAAATTATGGTTTGTTCATATCATAAATCCTATGATGGCTGTTAAAAAGGATGAGGCTGGCTGGGCGCGGTTGGCTCACTCCTTTAATCCAGCACTTTGGGAGTCTGAAGCGGGTGGATCATTTGAGGTCAGGAGTTTGAGACCAGCCTGGCAAACATAGTGAAACCCCATCTGCATTAAAAATACAAAAAAAAAATTAGCAGGGCATGGTGGCACATGCCTGTGGTCCCAGCTACTGGGGAGGCTAAGGTGGCAGGATCACCTGAGCCCAGGAGGTGGAGGCTGCAGTGAGCTGAGATTGTGTCACTGCACTCCAGCCTGGGCCACAGAGTGAGGAGACCCTGTCTCCAAAAATAATAATAACATCATCATCACCAACAATCAACATCTATTTGATGGTTTCTGTTTACTACCAATCTCACTCCTCTGGCCCCCTCCCCCAGTTCCAAGAACTTTGTCATCTCCATCACTAAGTCCAGACCTCTAGTCTGGAGTCCCACGTTTTCAGCTTTAGAGACTGGACTGCAGTTTAAACTCATTATGTCCAAATGGAAACGGTCAGTGCTTCCCTGTATCAATTCATTGGAAATAAATAAAAATCCATTTCATTTGGGATCTTTCTTCTCTATCTCACATATGCATTATTAACTCTGGTCATTTCTTCTTTCAGAACATCTTTGTTCTGCCCTTCTTGTCTACTTCTACCTTAGTTCACAACATTGTTATTTATCGGTGTATTCATTTAGCAAGTACTTATTAAGCGTCTCTTGTGTGCCAAGCGCTGTGCTACCTAAAGGGGACAAACACTAATTCCAAGCTCTACCTCGGTAGGAGGAGCTCACAGTTTAATGGGCCTCCCCACGTGGTAGCACGGTGTCTCCCCTCCATCTTCCTGCTCTTGCACCCCTGCTGACCTGCCAGGCTTGGCCTGCACCTCTAGGCAGTTCCAATCACAATTCCCAAGGGCCTGTGAGTTTCAGCAGTGCTACTATTTCATAATTCTCACATTTTGCTATAACCTGTTACTCTAGTGCCACTTCCTAAAGAAGAAAATTTAAAATATCCACAAGAATTCTCACGAGTCTCTTCCTACAGAGCATGTTTGCTAGCAGAGCGACACCACGGAGGAGGCAGTGTTCTAAAAGCATGGAGGATGCTGAGACTGGAGAAGACCATGTAGGAGACATGCTGTCACCAGGCCTGCAGTTTCTCTAAGCTCATTACTTGCATCAAATCAGTCTCAATGGCTGGACGCAGTGGCTCACACCTGCAATCCCAGCACTTTGGGAGGCTGAGGCAGGCAGATCACTTGAGGTCAGGCGTTCAAGACCAGCCTGGCTAACATGGTGAAACCCCATCTCTACTAAAAATATGAAAATTAGCCAGGCGTGGTGGCAGGTGTCTATAATCCCAGCTACTCGGGAGGCTGAGACAGGAGAACTGCTTGAACCAGGGAGGCAGAGGTTGCAGGGAGCCGAGATGGTGCCACTGCACTCCAGCCTGGGCAACAGAGGGAGACTTCGTCACAAACAAACAAACAAACAAACAAACAAAAAAATCAGTCTCAAGATGTGCTGTTCTGGAAGTACAAGCTCAGTTCCTTATTGGCAAGCCTTCATTAAGTTATATTGTAATGGAATCAGTAATCAACAAATGGGCCTATATACTATGTCTTTGCATTATTTATCCCTAATATTAAGGTCCATGGTGCAGATTTATTCTATTTTTTGCTTAGGCCTGTCTGAGTTTCCATCATTTGCAACTCAAGGGACCTGCGCTAATAAAAATAAATAACAACAGCTAATAGGTTTACCCTTACAACATCTATGTAACATTGGTACTTTGGTTGTACCCTTTATAAGGAAGAAGAAATAAAAACTCAGAGATAGAAGCTGTTCCCAAACAGCTGAAATTTGAGCCAGTGTTCCTGCCCCAGAGCCTACGTCCTTTTCACTAGAAGTCCCTTCATCTGTATAGGAAGTTTTAAGTAATCTCAATTTTTTTTCTGAGAATAGGTGTGGTTCACATTGCTTGTACATGATAAACTGAAGTAGAGTGATTAGAAGTTATGTTTTCATTAAATTATTTCTAGTCTCTTTTTCTTTAGGTCCTTTTAATTTCTTTCAAGTCATTGACATCGGGGCCTGAACTAAACAGTAATTTTGTGAGACCCCCTGACTTCTCTTTACACAGTCAAAAACCTTATGGTAATCACTAATTAATAGCCCAGCCATCCATCCTTCCTTGTCCCCCAAATCTAGAGGAAGGAGCTGTTTCTTCACCCATTATCAAGTCTCCTCGAAGCCAAGTGAGGGACGGTGTCAGCTATCAGAAAAAGTAAATGAAGCTCCTGCAGATCTGACTGATACAGTTTCTGAATTCCTTTTGCCAGATCCCAGAGAAAGATGCTTAGAAAGACAGCCCCCAGGCTGACCCTGCTGCTTGCTCTCAACTGTATGTAATGCTAATTTTCACCACCCAAGCTCGAGGTCAGTCAGAGTGATTTCAACTCACCCACGGGGATTGTATTCAGCCCAATTTAAATTAATTTGGCAAGTCAGCCTTCATGCGCTGTGGCATTAACCACCCTCTCCAAGCCCAAAAGTAGATCCTGTGTAGGTGTAGCCTCCACTTTGAAAAATAACAGAGTTGTGCATTCATTTCAGCTGAGGAAGGAAGGCAGCAAATAGTTGTTTTCAAAATAAGGTTTATTCATCATTTTAAAAAAAGATACAGGGCAAGACCCTGACTCAAAAAAAAAAAAAAAAAAAAAGAGAACACATTCTCATATCAAGCTCGTTAAGGTATGACTACCCCCAACTGTTACAGAGTGAATGTTTGTGTCCTTTTTTTTTTTTTTTTTTTGAGACAGAGTCTCACTCTGTCACCCAAGCTGGAGTGCAGTGGCACGATCTTGGCTCACTGCAACCTCCGCCTCCCAGGTTCAAGTGATTCTCCTGCCTCAGCCTCCTGAGTAGCTGAGATTACAGGTGCATACCACCATGCCCAGCTAATTTTTGTATTTTTAGCAGAGATGGGGTTTTGCCATATTTGTCAGGCTGGTCTTGGAACTCCCGACCTCATGATCTGCCCGCCTCAGCCTCCCAAAGTGCTGGGATTACAGGCGTCAGCCACCGCGTCCGGCTGTTTGTGTCCCTTCTAAAATCCATGTTGAAATCCTCATCTCCAAGGTGATGGCATTAGGAGGTGGAGATTGGGTAGGTGATTACGTCATGAGGGTGAAGCCCTCATGAATGGGATTAGTGCCCTTATAAAAAAGACCCCAGACAGCTCTCTTTCCTTCTTTCTACCACATGAAGACACAAAGAAAAGGCAGTCTGTAACCCAGACAAGGACCCTCACCAGAACTGACTTCCAGCCTCTGGAACTGGGAGAAAAAAAATCTGTTTATAAGCTGCCCAGTCTATGGCATTTTGTGAAAGCAACTCAAATGGGCTGAGACACCAGTACCAGCTGCTGCACCAAAACAAAAATGTGCCTGGATTTCTCATTATCCTACAAAGTGAGGAGCTGCCAGCTCAGAGACTTCTCCTTGTATGTCACAAATGCTAAGGTACAAAACCAGTAAGGAGAACCCTGAGCGTGATCCACCTTTATTTTGTTGCCAATATGCACTCTAAAGCATACCTAACAGTGTGACTGAAGTGCTTGCCTTCCCGCGAGCGACCATGAAGAGGCACTTTCTTCAGTTACTCCCAGTGCTGTTATCGCCTGCAGAAATCACACCCTGAAGGGCAAGGAAATCGGAGCAGACACTGTACGAGAAGGAACCAGGGGACCTACAATTTCAACCAATTGGACTGTTTTTTTTTGTTTGTTTGTTTGTTTTTAATGTTGAGATGGAGTCTCACTCTGTCGCCCACGCTGGAGTGCAGTGGCGCAATCTCAGCTCACTGCAACCTCCACCTCCTGAGTTCAAGCAATTCTCCTGCCTTAGCCGGCTTTTTCTTTTTTTTTTAGACAGAGTTTCACTCCTGTCACCAAGGCTGGAGTGCAGTGGCGTGATCTCGGCTCACTGCAACCTCTGCCTCCAGTTCAAGCAATGCTCATGCCTCAGCCTCCCGAGAGGCTGGGATTACAGGCCCCCGCCACCACATCCGGCTGATTTTTTGTATTTTTAGTAGAGACGGGGTTTCACCATGTTGGCCAGGCGGGTCTTGAACTCCTGACTTCCAGTGATCCGCCCACCTTGGCCTCCCAAAGTGCTAGGATTACAGGTGTAAGCCACTGCACTTGGCCTGGACTGATATTTCGAAAGGTAAGTTATGCACACGGGGGCAACAAATACTTTCTCCTTTCCATTTTTCCTATTGGGACATTCACCCCAAGGAGGGACACAATCAGGAAAACCTATAGTCAAGCAGTGGGAGGTCCAGGTCTGGCTGTGTAGGGGCTGACACAGCTGGTTTGCTGGCTCTGATGGCTTTGCGTGGGGGTACAGTGGAGACATTTGAGCACACAGGACTCTAAGCTAGTTAGCAAGGGCCCTAGGGCCAATAAATATTTACCTTTTATTCCAAACTGGAGTTACTGTTTGGTGTGTTTGATAAAGACAACCTTCTTTACTCACTATGAGATTTCCTTGGTCCCCGGCTTTTCATACCCGTTAATGGCTTTATGGCCATTTCCTGTGAGGTAGCTAGAAATGTGTGAAATGCAGGTTATCTTCACTATTGAGTGGCAGTAGCTCTGAAAACAGTCAATAATAAACACTGAACATCTACTATGTGGCAGGCACTGAGTGAAGCCACTTGATACTCTTCTCGTTCACCCCTCCCACCGCTATTCTCATCCTTGGTTTTCAGGTGAGAGAGCAGGGAGGCCTCCTAAGGCTCACACTGTCAGTGGATTCATTCTCAAGTTCTCAGGGCAGGGTGCGTGGTGTGATGTGTAGGTGGGATGTCACTGTGCTTTTTCAGGAAATTCTTGAACTCTCCTACAAGCTGTTTGTTCATGGCCAGGAAAACCCTACCACCAAACAGCCGTTTTTATTAATTTTCTGGTTGAAAATGTTTTATGAGTGCAATGGTTTTCAGACCTGCTTGATCATCAGAAATAACTGTGGAGGTGTGGTATGGTGGCTCACGCCTGTAATCCCAGCACTTTGGGAGGCCGAGGCAGGAGGATCCCTTGAGCCCAGCAATTGGAGACCAGTCTGGGCAACACAGGGAGACCTTGTCTCTACAAAAAAAAAAAAAAAAAAAAAAAATTAGCTGGACGTGGTGATCCATGCTTGTAGTCCCAGCTACTCAGGAGGCTGAGGTGGGAGGATTGCTTGATCTTGGGAGGTTAAGGCAGCAGTGAGCCACGATTGCACCACTGCAGTTATGAGGGCCTTTCCCTCATAATTGTCACTGTTATCTTGAAATTCACTGGTGAACCTTTTTTTCAGTGCTCTCTTTAGTTGTGGAACTCAGACCTAGGCACAAGTTCTCACCAGAATGGAGTACGATGGAACCTCAGGGCTCATATTCTCAGAAGAGCATTCCCGAGGAGCTGTCGCAGTCTGAGGATACTGTGGTCTTTTTCTGGAGTGCCCAGCTAGACATGAACCCTTCCTTGGGAATCACCCCAACCCCACAATTACAGCTCCTACTGGCTGTGAACTCACATGCACCCTCCTGCTTTCCTCTCTCTAACCCCTCTAGCCCCACTGACCTGACCCAAGATGGGCAACAATCAGATTGGTCTGGGAAACCTGGAAATGGGACCTAGAGTGAGTCAGCCAGTTATGGGGAGCTAAGCTGACCAATCATGTAAAATTGAAGCCAGAGTTGGCACCATATCAAGACAAAGCACAGTGCACGCCAAGTTATGGAGGAACTCAAACTGCATGGACCCAGGGAAGCTAATCTGTAGAGAGCAGGATGCCGCAGATAACACAGAGGCAGGCCACCAGCAAAGACCCTGCAGCCCAAGAAAGGGAGGGCCGGTCTCTGTGAAGACTGTGCCTCCTACCTTTGAGCCACCTTGAATGGACTTTTTAAACTTGTGTTTTGTTTTTTCAGATAGGGTCTCATCCAGTCACCCAGGCTAGAGTGCAGTGGTGTAATCTCAGCTCCCTGCAACCTCCACATCCTGGGTTCAAGTGATTCTCATGCCTCAGCCCTATGAGCAGCTGCAATAGGGCTACACCCTGCTAATATCTTGTATTTTTGGTAGAGATGGGGTTTCCCCATGTTGGCCAGACTGGTCTTGAACTCCTGGCCTCTAGTGATCCATCGTGCCTCGCTGGACTTTTTAGTCATGGTCTTGCTCTATCGGCCAGACTAGAGTACAGTGGTGCAATCATAGCTCACTTTAATCTCCAACTCCTGGGCTCAAGTGATCCTCCCACCTCAGCCTCCAGAGTAGCTGGGACTACAGGTGTGTGTCACCACGCCCAGCTAATTTTTTATTTTTTTGTAAAGATGGGGTCTCACTATATTGCCCAGGCTGGTCTTGAACTCCTGGGCTCAACTGATCCTTCCGCTTCAGTCTCCCAAAATGCTGGGATTATAGGCATGAGGCACCATGCCCAGGTGTGAATAAACTTCTCTTTCTTACAACTGAAAGGGCCTTGAGTAGGAGGGAACTGAGTAAGGATTAAGTGATAAAGACAAGCATTTTTGGGTGCATGCAAAAGTGTGTGTAGAAGCAGGTGGGCCTGCAGCAGGGGGGAGGTGAGACTGTTGTGAAGCCATGCAGGGAATGGTCTTTTCTGAGAACATGCATGCCTGTCTGGTGCCTGCCTCCTGTCCACAGTGGGATGTCCATGTGTAAAATTCAGTGTGGGTGTTGTAGCTGGGCCTCTGCCATGTCCAGAGTCTCTGGGTGAGAAGAACAATACAGCAAACCCCTCACCAGTCTTGAGCTGGGCGAGGCTGACAGGATCTTCAAACCACAGCAACATTAAAGATCATTTTCACCAATCTCCCGCCCAGTACAAAGATACCCTTTTCTTTGTACCCAGTACAAAGATACCAGACTCACCTCAACCACTTTACCCAAACCAGGACAAGTTTCTCCATCCCCAGTTACTGATGACAACAGCTGTTTAAAAACACCCAGCAAAAATAAATATCACATGTGCTGCACAGTGTGCAACCCCAGCTCTCACTTCCTGGCTTCTTTTCTAGTGCATGTGATGCCCTAGTCTTGATTGACACATTGTTTTTTGTTTTTTTTCATGTGGCAATCAACCAATTGAGCCCAACAGATTACTTGGTATCCATGTGCAACATCAGTTAAATCCAGCTTGAGAAATCAACATGTCGAGGTTCAATTTATTTAGCTTGCAGGCTAAGGTTTATGGAGCTTGGGATGAATCTTTGTGTAGGTGGGTAACAGAATGTGATCTCAAAGCTGAGTGCTTCACGTTGTTAAGGTTTCACTTGCTGATGCTGTCTCAAGGTGATTAAGAGTTTTATTTTTGAAGTGGATAGGAAGGTTGGTGAGTAATAAGGATTCACTACCTCCATAAGCTGTGCTTGAACAGAAAAGCCTCTAGCAGATGTTGGCGCTGCTGTTTTCCATGCGTAAGGCCCTGGGCCGAGGTGGCTGAGCCATGCCAACAGTGCAGCATGGGGAGGGAAGCGGGCACCCACCCTCCTTTCAGATCCATGACTCCATCAGAAAGAAGAAAGGAGACATTGTGGGGCTAGTAATTTAGCAAAAGCTTTGGCTCAAGCGGACTTGAATTCTAGCCTTAATTTTTTTCATTTGGGCCATGGCATGGTCAAGAACTTACCTTGGTTTTCTCTGCTTTTATTATTATTTTTTGAGACGGAGTCTCGCTCTGTCACCCAGGCTGGAGTGCAGTGGCACGATCTCGGTTCACTGCAACCCCTGCCTCCTGGGTTAAAGCAATTCTCTCAGCCTCCCAAATAGCTAGGATTACAAGCACCTGCCACCACGCCCGGCTAATTTTTTCCTATTTTTAGTAGAGACTGGGTTTCACTGTATTAGCCAGGATGGTCTCGATCTCCTGACCTCAAGTGATCTGCCCACCTCAGCCTCCCAAAGTGCTGGGATTACAGGCGTGAGCCACAGCGCCCGGCCTTCCCTGCTTTTAAACCAGTGTATCTCTTACCTTCCCTCCTTCAGTAGGAAAGTTACTCAAAATTGCTTTCTCAAACATTTGGTGAATCATCAAAGCAGAAATGGCTTCTCCTTCTTCGGTGACACTCATTTCCCAAATTTGCCATAGGCATACATATGCCTCACTCCATGCGTGGATCCTCTTCCAGTTGACTTAATTCACAGCCTCCATCACTGTACGGACCAGGCACTTTCTTCCATTTTGAGATGGAACTTACTTCTGTTGATCCCAGCAGAACCTGCAAGGCCTCCAACTCTGTAAACAGATCCCAACCCACTTCTCTCCCCGCTTTCCCTGACTGAAGCCACCTGCAGACTCCTGGGTTGTGGAGGACACAGGTGTGTGAAATTCAATACATGTCTGTCCAATCACATCTATCCTCTCTCCCACCTTTAGTCCTCTGGGGAATGGTTCCTCCTTCATGTCAGAATTTCAGGTGTGCTTGAACCCAAAAGTCCAATGGGGCACAAATACAGCATTATGTATTTCTTGGAGAGGCCTTTAGTTTACCTTATAAAAGGCATTCTCTTCATATATATTTTTCATATATATATATGAAAATACCCCAAATCATTAACATATGTATTCTCATTGTAAAAATATACACACAAAGAAAATTCCCCTTGTCTTGCTTCCTATTCTAGTCTCCTCCCCAGAGGTGGCACTGTTAAAGAGTTTGGTATGTTTCCTGTTTCCTGTGTGTGTGTATATGTATAAGCTCATGTAGCAATAGATATTGTTTCATTTTTATCAATTTAAAGGGGGTGGGCTTACTGTTAACATTGTTTTGAAACTTTTTACACTTAAGCATGTGGAACTCTTTCCCTGTCAGATACACTGATGTGCCCCTCCTTTGTTTTTTTTGGAGAGAGTCTTGTCCTGTCACTCTGGCTGGAGTGCAATGGTGCTATCTCGGCTCACTGCAACCTCCACCTCCCAGGTTCAAGCGATTCTCCTGCCTCAGCCTCGCGAGTAGCTGAGATTACAGGCACGTGCCACCAAGCCCGGCTAATTTTTGTATTTTTAGTAGAGGCGGGGTTTCACCATGTTGGCCAGGCTGGTCTCGAACTCCTGACCTCAGGTGATCTGCCCGCCTCGGCCTCCCAAAGTGCTGAGATTACAGGCGTGAGCCACCGCACCTGGCCACTGATGTGCCTTTTTAACTGTTGCAGACATTCCATGATACAGACAAGTCATACTTTATTTAACCTGTCCCTGTTCATCGACATTCATTTCCAGTTTCCATCCTATTTAATTTTCTAGAGTCAGTTTTACCGAGATATACTTTTGTGAAAGAAAATAAGCACCGAGGACTGCACTCACACCTGCTGAAGGTCAAACCACAGAATGTTCCAATAGACTTGGATAAACAACTGCAGTCAGCATTCGCGGCTGTCAACAACTCTCAGCTGGGAATAGCCTAGTTAACTAACCAATCGGAACAGGTTTGCCATTTAGGATTTCTGCCCAGCCCAATGAAATGCCTCTGAAAACAGCGTTTTGTGGAAACTCCCTATAAAAATCCTCTACTGAGCTTGCCTTACAGTCTACTATTCAGGACTGCCTTGCTTCAGTGTACACAAATTGCAAATCTTTATTTCCCAAATAAAAGCTATTTCCCTCAACCTCTTTTTTTTTTGAGATGGAGTCTCTGTCACCCAGGCTGGAGTGCAGTGGCACCATCTTGGCTCAATGCAGTCTCTGCCTCCCATGTTCAAGTGATTCTCCTGCCTCAACCTCCCAAGTAGCCGGGATTACATGTGCGTGTCACCACACCTGGCTAATTTTTGTATTTTTAGTAGAGACAGGGTTTTGCCATGTCGGCCAGGCTGGTCTCGAACTCCTGACCTCTGGTGATCCTCCTGACTCGGCCTCCCAAAGTGCTGGGATTATAGGCCTGAGCCACCGTACCCAGACACTCTTTTAGTTAACACTTTTATGCAGTAAAACTCACAATGTGCAAGTTTTAACACACGCAGTGTCATGTAGCTGCCACCACTATCAGGATTTCCATTACCTGTGAAGTTCCCTTGTCTTTCTTTGTAGTCAACCTCAGGCAAATACTGTCCTGTGTTTTTATCCCTCTGGTTTTGCCTTTTCCAGAATGCCACATACACGGAAGCATACAGTACATACCACTAAGAGTCTGGTTTCTTTAAACCATTCCATTGTATGACTATACCACAGTTTGCTTTCTCTAGTTACAAGTTGGTGGACATTTGGATGGTTTTCTGTTTTTGGTGATTAGAATTAAAGCTGCTATAAGCCAGGAGCAGTGGCTCACGCCTGTAATCCCAGCACTTTGGGAGGCCGAGGCAGGTGGATCACGAGGTCAGGAGTTCAAGACCAGCCTGGCCAACTTGATGAAACCCCCATCTCTACTAAAAATACAAAAAAATGGCCAGGCGCAGTGGCTCACACCCGTAATCCCAGCACTTTGGGAGGCCAAAGTGGGCGGATCACCTGAGGTTGGGAGCTTGACACCAGCCTAACACGGAGAAACCCTGTCTCTACTAAAAGTACAAAACTAGCCAGGCGTGGTGGCGCATGCCTGTAATCCCGGCTACTCAGGAGGCTGAGGCAGGAGAATTGCTTGAGCCCGGGAGACAGAGGTTGTGTTGAGCCAAGATCGCACCATTGCACTCCAGCTTGGGCAACAAGAGCGAAACTCCGTCTCAGAAAAACAAAACAAAACATTAGCCAGGTGTGGCGGTGGGCACCTGTAATCCCAGCTACTCGGGAGGCTGAGGCAGAGAATTGCTTGAACCTGGGAGGCAGAGGCTGCCGTGAGCTGAGATTGCGCCACTGCACTCCAGCCCGAGTGGCAGAGTGAGACTCCGTCTCAAAAAAAAAAAAAAAAAAAAAAAAAAAATTAGCTGGTTGTGGTGGCGCATGTCTGTAATCCCAACTACTCTGGGGGCAAATCTGGAGAATCACTCGAACCCGGGAGGTGGAGGTTGCAGTAAGCTGAGATTGTGCCACTGCACTCCAGCCTGGGTGACAAGAGCGAAACTCCGTATCAAAAATAAATAAATAAATAAATAAATAAATAAATAAAACTGCTATAAATCCTTCTATACAGGCTTTTGTGTGTGCATATATGTCTTCATTTCTCCTGGGTAAGCTTCTAGGAATGGGATTGCTGGGTTGCGTATGGTAGTGTGTTTAACTTTACAATAAACTGCCAAACTGTTTTCCAAAGAACCGGTATCCTTTGGCATTCCATGAACCATGTGTGCGTTCTGGTTGCTCTGCATGCTCGGTAGCACTTGACACTGTCAGGTTTCTAAAGTTTTAGCTATTCTGGCCGGGGGCAGTGGCTCACGCCTATAATCCCAGCACTTTGGGAAGCTGAGGTGGGCGGATCACCCGAGGCCAGGAGTTCGAGACCAGCCTGGCCAAGATGGAAAAAAAACCCATCTCAACTAAAAATACAAAAGTCAGCTGGGTGTGGTGAAGAACGCCTGTGATCCCAGCTACTTGGGAGGCTGGGGCAGGAGAATCGCTTGAACTGGGGAGGCAGAGGTTGCAGTGAGCCGAGATTGTGCCACTGCACTCCAGCCTGGGTGACAGAGATATACTCCGTCTCAAAAACAAAACAAAACACCCCCTTTCCCCACCAAAAAAAAAAAAAAAAAAAGTTTTAGCTATTCTGATAGGTATGCAGCATTCTTTTGTAATTTGCATTTCTCTAATGACCAATTATGCTGAGCAGCTTTTCATGTGCTTGTTCATCTATACCTTCTTGATGAAATGTATGTTCTCACATTTATTAATTTTTTTTCTTTTTTCTACCTCGCCTGGATATTGCCTGTTTTAAAACTGAATTGTTTTATTATTTTATTAAAGTTTTAAGAGACCTTTATATAGTCTGGATACAATCCTTTATATGCGTTTCACAAATATATTCTCCTTTATATGAAGTTTCCCTTTTAGCATCACTGGTGAGAGAACATTATTTCTGAAGTGCTAATTGGCAGTTTCATGCCAGTTGTGTCTCTTGGAGGTCAACATCTGACAAATGTCTGAACATATGGCTGAGCGAGTGCTCACAAATGTCTCAGCTGTGTCTTTGGGATAGGGGTGGAGGTAATTGGTAGTCCAGAGGGGAATCTGGGGGAGTAGGCAGGCTTGAAGGCACTTGGATAAGAGTTCATTTGGTAGCCTGCTACCATTCAATCATTTGTGCCTTTTCAAAAGTCCATCTTTTCTATGTCCACTAAGTTAACAAACATTCCTTAACAATGTATGAGGGAATTTTGATGTGGTTAGGTTCATCCATTTCCCATTCTGTATTTGCTGTGTTCTTGAACCCCTATGTCCACTCCCACAGGGTGTGCACACTAGGCTGTGACACCTCTGGGAGACCAACTACTCCAGATTTTTCACCTGCAAGTGGTAAGTCAGGCCAACTTCCGTTGGTGACCCGTTATCTCTGCTTGAAAAAAGATAAGGAGATTCTCCACTTTGGCCTCAGCTCTTAGCTAGGTTCTTTAGTCCAGCTAGGAGTTACTGAGCCTCCACCAAGAAGGTGAATCATTTGACCTCATTTAGCTCCTCCTCCTTATTTATCTTTATTAGAGCTTGCAGTGATGGAGAGTAAGTGATTGGGACCTCAAACTTCTAACACATAATTCTCTCAGGCTGTTTTGGAATGCTACTCTAATTAGACTATATTAAAGAAATGTGTTCAGGGATGAGTCAACAGGAAAAAGCCTGCTGCAAATAAAGGAGTCATTGAGTTGTTGGCATCAGTTTGCACCTGTGTGCAGAGCTGATGGAGGTTAGCCCCGCCTAACACCTCATCCATTCCACTTGGGCCCAGGGTCAGATTACCTGATTCCAAGTTGCTCTATTAGACTGAGAAAATACTTAACTTGTCAAGTCACAATCCTTTACAATCTGCTGTATCTGCAGGTACACTGAAAGTGTGTGCAGGTTCTCATTCAAACCACCTGGGGAAGTAAGGCTATTAGAATTCTCTTGTATTTGCTCTTTCTGTATTTCCTGCTCTTTGACTTTTATGAACTCCTAGACTTCTTTAAAACACAATTCATATACCAACTCCTAAGAAGCTTTCCTGATTCTCCAAAAATTTAACTAGTTGTTTCATTCTCTGTGCTACCCCATATTTTATATAATAGCCAACCCTGATAAAGTACTTTTTATGTGCCATGCAGTGTTCCATATATGAGCATTAAATTGACATTTAATTTTCATCACAATTCTATGAGATAGATACTCTTTAACATTTCGGTTTCACAGACAAGTAAACAGGCACTGATGGTAGGCAACTTGTTCAAAGTCCCAAGCTTTGAATGTAGGTAGCTCTTAAAACATTCTCCCATATATTTCTACTGCTGCACTTAAGACACTATGCTGCCATTTATTTGCTTCCCAGTCT
Organism: Homo sapiens; assembly: GCF_000001405.40. NCBI lineage: Eukaryota > Metazoa > Chordata > Mammalia > Primates > Hominidae > Homo > Homo sapiens. The sequence continues at coordinate 45,291,719 of NC_000013.11, read as the reverse complement.
TCTTCAATACCACAGCTCCCTAAATGCAAGGACCTGTCTTATTTGTTCGTCTCTGTATCCCCATTACCTGGGGGTCTCAAGCTGACGGACTTCCTTTGTGCTCACTGGGCCATGGCAAAGACCCCCAGCTGTGACCACCCAAGCCGGCAATTTTCTCATGAGCCTGGCATTGGAGAGTCATTGAGTCTTGGATGGAAATAAATCAAATACACTGGCCATCTGTGGTCATTAATGGGAAGTATCTCCTCATCTGAATCTACAGCAAAGACAGAACATCATTCCATAATAAGAAACTCTACAAAAGAAATAAACACTGGAAACCCAATCTCTACAGGCAAAGCAACTGAGGCAGAATCCTGAAGCAATTATTTTTGGTTCAGGAAAGGTAACTCTTGAGACTTTGCCACCAGCATTTAGTGAGGAGTCACTGAACCCTAGGGAGGTGAATGATAGCTGTGGGCACTGAGCAGTGGAGCACCCATTATCTAACACATGGTGGCCAGGAGCCTATGTTCCACAGTGCCATTCTGGGATTTGATCTGCCTCCTTTCCTTGGCTAGACCTGGGGCAGGTTCTACTGTATATTCTACTGTATGACCAAGGGCAGGTTCTTTAACCTTTCAGTGCCTCTGGACTCACATTGATAGAACACAGATAATAAGAGAACACAGATTACAGGGTGGCTGGGAGGATTAAATGAGTTATATGAGTTAAATGTTTAGCATGGTGCTGGACACACAGTAAGGGTCCAAGAAACATGAGCTATTATTCTTCCTTTTTATTTAGTAAGACAGGCAGAGAACTGGTAGTACGTATTATCACAAATACGTATCACCTCTACCCCTGTGCCTGGCACACAGTGGGCAGCAATGTTTTTTTGAGACGGAGTTTTGTTCTCGTTGCCCAGGCTGGAGTGCAATGGTGCGATCTCAGCTCACCACAACCTCCGCCTCCTGGGTTCAAGCAATTCTCCTGCCTCAGCCTCCTGAGTAACTGGGATTACAGGCATGTGCCACCACGCCTGGCTAATTTTGTATTTTTAGTAGAGATGGGGTTTCTCCATGTTGGTCAGGCTGATCTCGAACTCCCGACCTCAGGCGATCCACCCACCTTGGCCTCCCAAAGTGCTGGCCACCGTGCCTGGCAGCAATGATTTTTCACTGAATAAATAAATGGCAAAGTGGTTGACAGGCTTTTGTTCAAGGAAATACACTGGAATGGTAATCAGAAGTAAAGCTTAAATGTCAAGAGGACCAGCCCAGTAAGCTCTTAATTCAACATTCTATTGAGATCGTTGTATTACAGACATCCACTGTGTGTTCATAATAGATCAGCCTGAGGCACTGTATAAATCCTTTTGTGTCTTAAGAATTATCAATGATTAAATTATATTCAATGAGGTTTTAAAATTAAGTATACGTTACTGCATTCAAATACCTGAAACACTGGAAATCCATGAAGAGCACAAGTGGCAACAATGAATTAACTAGAGTCTTCTCATGGAGAGCAACACTTCATTTGCACTTCTGTACCTACACGGTATTGTTACCCATCCACAGCTGCATTTCCCACTAGATTGTGAATGCTTATGTCTAGTGCTTTTGTGTCTCTAGTGCCTGAGATACAGTCATGCTTAGTAAATACTTCCCAAACAAATAGCCATTGTGTTTCATGACCAAACCAGATTATAGTTTTTAGTCCAGAAACATATTCTTTTGGTGAACTCACACTTCTACAACACAATAAAAAAACTTATACCCTTGAGACCACTTAAATATAAGTTTCAACATTTAAAAATACGGTACACAAGAAAATCATTCTTGAAAGCCCTAATATTTTAGACTAAATGACTTAATAGAACTCAGTTAAACTGAAAGCTAACGCATCTGCAAAGTCCTTTTAAATTTACAGTTTCTAGGCCGGGCACGGTGGCTCACGCCTGTAATCCCAGCACTTTGGGAGGCTGAGGCAGATGGATCATGAGGTCAGGAGATCGAGACCATCCTGGCTAACACAGTGAAACCCCGTCTCTACTAAAAATACAAAAAATTAGCCAGGCATGGTGGCCGGTGCCTGTAGTCCCACCTACCTGGGAGGCTGAGGCAGGAGAATAGTGTGAACCCACAAGGCAGAGCTTGCAGTGAGCCGAGATGGCGCCACTGCACTCCAGCCTGGGGGACAGAGTGAGACTCCGTCTCAAAAAAAAATAAAAATTTACAGTTTGTAACACAATCAGCTAAAAGCCCCTGCTTTTCTTTTTTTTTTAGATGGAGTCTCCCTCTGTTGCCCAAGCTGGAGTGCAGTGGCACAATTTTGGCTCACTGCAACCTGTAATCACGCCTGTAATCCCAGCACTCTGGGAGGGCGAGGTGGGTGGATCACAAGGTCAAAAAATCGAGACCATCCTCGCTAACATGGTGAAACCCCATCTCTACTAAAAAAAACAAAAATTAGCTGGGCGTGGTGGCGGGTGCCTGTAATCCCAGCTACTTGGGAGGGTGAGGGAGGGAACTGCTTGAACCCGGGAGGTGGAGGTTGCAGTGAGCTGATACTGCGCCACTGCATTCCAGCCTGGGCGACAGAGTGATCCCGTCTCAAAAAAATAAAATAAAATAAAATATGACATTAAGTCAGGCACAGCGGCTCATGTCTGCAATCCTAGCACTCTGGGAGGCTGAGGTAGGAGAATCAATTGAGCCCAGGAGTTTGAGAACAGCTTGGACAACACAGTGAGACCCCATCTCTACAAAAAACGTTTTAAAAAAGTAGCCAGGCATGGTAGTGCATGCCTGTAGTCCCAACTACCTGGGAGGCTGAGATGAGAGGATTGCTTGAGCCCAGGAGTTTGAGACTGCAGTGAGCCATGATCCTGCCACTGCACTCCAGCCTGTGTGACATTAGTGAGACACCATCTCTTTAAAAATAAAAAAGAAAATGATATCAGGCTCAGGAACTTTCTCTGGACTCACGTCAGAGAAACTAATCCGAGCACTTTGGGAGGCCGAGGCAGGCAGATCACTTGAGGTTAGGAGTCCAGCCTGGCCAACATGGTGAAACCCCGTCTCTTCCAAAAATACAAAAATTAGCCAGGTGTGGTGGTGGGCACCTGTAATCCCAGCTACTCGGGAGGCTGAAGCAGGAGAATCACTTGAACCCAGGAAGTGGAGGTTGCAGTGAGCCGAGACTGCACCACTGTACTCCAGCCCAGGCAACAAAAGTGAAACCCTGTGTCAGGAAAAAAAAAGAAAAAGAAAAAGAAAAAAGGGCAAACAAAATAAAAAAGAGAGCCACTTTATCATCTCCTGGACTCTCTCACACAAATGCTAGGGAAAACGGCCAATGCGGTGAAGGTGATCTGCAGCAGGTGATGTCTGCAGCTCCCCTCTCAGCCCAGCACCCCTCCCCACAACACAACTGCATTGGGAGCCTCAACCATGCAGAGGTCTAAATCATAGAGTCCACTCTAAAGCTGCACTCTCTACAAGGTACTTTCTTTTGCGGCGGGACGGAGACTCGCTCTGTCGCCAGGTTGGGGTGCAGTGGCGCGATCTCGGCTCATTGCAACCTCTGCTTCCTGGGTTCAAGTGATTCTCCTGCCTCAGCCTCCCGGGTAGCTGGGACTACAGGCGCACACCACCATGCCCAGCTAATTTTTGTATTTTTAGTAGAGACGGGGTTTCACCATGTTGGCCAGGATGGTCTCAATCTCTTGACCTTGTGTGATCCACCCGCCTCGGCCTCCCAAAGCGCTGGGATTACTGGTGTGAGCCACTGTGCCTGGCCTCTACAAGGTACTTAAATGTCACAGAGATTACATTGTTAGCGAAAGGATCTTGACTCTAAAGGTGGAAGTTTATTCTTCATCCTGTGGATAGGAGGAGTTTGGGTGTCAGGATTTAAGGAGGGTGGAAGTTTAGTCTTCATCCTGTGGCTAGGAGGAGTTCGGGTGTCAGGATTCAAGGAGGGGTAACAAAGACAAACTCCCATTCCTTCACAATTTTGCTGGGATCAGCTCCATTTTCTTGGTTTGGAGGTGAGATGGGGTGGGGAGAGAGAATTCTGGGAAAGTAGACTCTGATTTTGGCCATGGGTAGAATTCCTCCCAAGAGGAACCAGTACTCACGATGGTATGCTAGGCAGGAAATGGTTCCATAAAATGGACATTACTTACCACTCAGCACTGTGAGGATCAAATGAGATAATATTTTACACTACTTACCATACTATTAGGCACATATGGCCTGATAAGTGTTTACTATTATTTCACTGATATGTACCAACAATGATGAAAATAAGCTTCCAAAGAAATTTGCTCACAGACCATTAGAAACAGTTGTACTTGTGCTGAAATCCATAAGTACTGCTCATGATATAAAAGAGTGCAATCTGTTCCCTTTTTAAAGATCTATCACTTTTATTTTTTATTTTTTTTTGGAGATGGAGTCTTGCTCTGTCGCCCAGGCTGGAGTGCAGTGGTGCCATCTTGGCTCACTGAAACCTCCCAGGTTCAGGTGATTCTCCTGCCTCAGTCTCCCAAGTAGCTGGGATTACAGGCTTGCACCACCATGCCCAGCTGATTTCTGTATTTTTAGTAGAGACAGGGTTTTACCATGTTGGCCAGGCTGGTCTTGAACTCCTGACCTCAGGTGATCTGCCCGCCTTGGCCTCCCAAAGTGTTGGGATTACAGGCGTGAGCCACTGCACCCAGCAGATCTATCACTTTAGAAGTTACTGTGGTAGCTGGGTGCAGTGGCTCACGCCTGTAATCCCAGCACTTTGGGAGGCTGAGGTGGGCAGATCACCTGAGGTCCGGAGTTCGAGACCAGCCTGACCAACATGGAGAAAACCTGTCTCTACTAAAAAATACAAAAAATTAGCTGGGCGTGGTGGCGCATGTTTGTAATCCCAGCTACTCGGGAGGCTGAGGTAGGAGGATCGCTTGAACCTGGGAGGTGGAGGTTATGGTGAGCCGAGACTGCGCCATTGCACTCCATCCTGGGCAACAAGAGCGAAACTCCGTTTCAAAAAAAAAAGAAGTTATTGTGGTAACATGTAATTTCAAATCTTTCCAATGCCCAGCAACTATATCTCCCCTCTCGCCCATCCAAGACGGAGTCTTGCTCTGTTACCCAGGCTGGAGTGTAGTGGCGAGATCTCGGCTCACTGCAACCTCTGCCTCCTGGGTTCAAGCAATTCTCCTGCCTCAGCCTCCCAAGTAGCTGGGTTACAGGTGCCTGCCACTGCACCTGGCTTATTTTTGTATTTTTAGTAGAGTTGGGGTTTCATCATGTTGGCCAGGCTTTTCTCAAACTCCTGACCTCATGATCTGCCTGCCTTAGCCTCCCAAAATGCTGGGATTACAGGCATGAGCCACCATGGCCAGCCACAACTATAATTTTATTATATTTTGTCACTTAAAGCATCCCCTCAGTGTATCAGTTGAGTTTAACAATATCATTTATTAAATATGGCCTTCCTGGCCGGAAGCAGTGGCTTGCCTGTAATCCCAGCACTTTGGGAGGCTGAGGCAGGTGGATCATGAGGACAGGAGATTGAGACCATCCTGGCTAACATGGTGAAACCCCATCTCTACTAAAAATACAAAAAAATTAGCTGGGTATGGTGGCGGGCGCATGTAGTCCCAGTTACAACGGAGGCTGAGGCAGGAGAATGGCGTGAACCCAGGAGGCGGAGCTTGCAGTGAGCCCAGATCACACCACTGCACTCCAGCCTGGGCGACAGAGCGAGAATCTGTCTCAAAAAAGAAAAAAATATGGCCTTCCTGTCTTATGATGTGACATCTTACCAGAAGTGTGCATCTTCTTTATCTGTCTTCCTTTCACTCTCACAGTTTATAAGGGTTTAGGATTCCTACTTATTGATCTTTGTCAAAAGTCTGTTTGTCAGAGTAAGAGAGTCCTGAAATAAAAGAATAAGGGAACCTGGGTGGAAGGGAAAACCTCCTCCATGGCCAGCACCCACATTTTAACATTAAATAAGAAAGCAATTTAAGCCAGGTGCGGTGGCTCACACCTGTAATCCCAGCACTTTAGGAGGCTGAGGTGGGCAGATCACTTGAGGTCAGGAGTTCAAGACCAGCCTGGCCAACAAGGTGAAACCCCGTCTCTACTAAAAATGCGAACATTAGCCGGGTGTGGTGGCATGCGCCTGTAATCCCAGCTGCTTGGGAGGCTGAGGCAGAAGAATCGCTTGAACCTGGGAGACAGAGGTGGCAGTGAGCCAAGATCACACCACCACCGCACTCCAGCCTGGGCAACAGAGAGCAAGACTCTGTCTCAAAAACAAACAAACAAACAAACAAAAACGTAATCAGAAACAGCATCAGTCTAGCACCTAAATTATGTATCCTACTGAAGAGATAAGTGTTTAAGAGACTCAAGCTCATGCAATCAGGTGTGCTGAGGTAACAGGCAACTAAAAGAAGCAGAAAAAACCAGTTTACAAAAAAACCAAAGCACAGCTTCAAATAAGACACAGCTCTGCCCTGGGAACTCTTGTGGCACAGCCACCTCGTTCAATATGGCAGGCACTGTCCCCAAAACAAAAGACATCAGCAGAGGAGACACAGTCTGTTTCAGGGCAGTACCAAATATATAAAAAAACAAGGTTTTGGGGAAGATACATGCTATGAACCAAGCACATGGCAGGTATCCAGAATCCTCAGTTCTATATAGATTTATCAGACCATTATCCACGGGCTTCCTGACACAGAGCTTCCAGTCATCAGGAACTAGAAGGTGATGGGCATACCACATTTGGTGCCTGTACATAAGAAAATCTGAGGTGGAGTGGGGAATGGGAACACTTTCTTTACTCAGAATTTTATTTTTCAGTGTGTACACAGAATAAAAATCTTCTTAGTGCTATAACAATCTCAGAATTCTAATGCTTTGCTGCTAAAAGCAAATAATATAAAAATTGTTTTTCTCAATGGATAGATATCTTCTTGCTTTAATTATATAATATTTTCTTCAATTTTTGGCATTGCTCCTTCCTTATTTTTATTATTTTTTCTCTTTTTTTCCTGCAAACACTATGGCAACTTGGGCATTTGCTACTTCTTGATTGCAGCATCTAGAAGCAGATGACAAAATGAACGAGTGAAAAAACAACTTTTCCCTGTGCTTAGTTCACTTAAGCTTCTTTGTTTTGTTTGATGGTCTTGACAGTATGATTTTGGATCGCTTAATATATAATATTGTGTTGTGCTAGAAAAAACTAACATATACATGTATTGTTTTCATTTAAAAATTAATTAAAGAGAAAGAGAAAAGCAACATTTTAATGCCCCAGGAATTGAAACTAACGTTTTCTGTCTCGGCTGGACCCCTACGCCCATCTTTTGATTTGCTGATATCATTTGCCATGTGATGGTCAATACATGTCTGCTGGGTAAGCAGTAAAATTCTGGGGGCAAGCCAGTTTTGAGAAGCTTATAATCTGACTGGGGGAGACATATCTTCAAATTTTGGAAAGATATTTAATTTCTAATTATCTTAAAAGCAAATAAAAGAAACATCAACTGACCATGATCCTGCACATTTCTCATCTCAGCATCACTACGGTAAAATAAGCCAATGATGAACACTGCCATTTCACTACAAACTCTCTCCTTTTATTAACGTTGAGTATGAACACGAAACGTGATCACCTGTTTAAAAGAAAAACACCGCTTTGTTCTTTGACAATTTCAAAATAAGGAACTTTGGGTTTTTATTCCTTTTAAGAGTTTCTGTAGTTGACTGTTTTTTTCTTGCTATACAATTCTCCTTGGATCTGTATTACCTCAGCTCCTTAGATACGGCAAGGGTAGAGAGTCCTCACTTAAAAAAATTTCCTAATTGTACACATTAAAAGCTAATATTTAAGAAAAACCCTCTTAATCCTCCAACCCCTATTCCTACTGTGAATAATCTGGTTTAATACAAGTTAAGTCTATAAATAAATCTGTTCTTTCTCCTCAAAAAAACAGTTAAGAAACTTTACAAGAATTACAGGTTTAAAAAATTTACCGAGAGAAATCAAAGTACTGTCACTTAACCCCTATTAACATACGGTGTTCAAGCCTTCCAGTATCAGCGCCTTTTGCATAGCATCGCTGCTAGTCGTTTCACTAGCATGCTGGCTAGGAGTCTTCTTAGTCACTCTTTTCTTCTCCTTGATAGTGTCTGTACTCTGGCTTCAGCTCCCATGTGTTTTTGTGGATCCCTTTTACATTCTGAACACCAATTTCTTTTAAGATTTCCTTCAGGTACACCTAAAACAAAAACAAAACCCCTAACAAATGAGATTATAAATGCAGGGGACAAAACTTAAAATAAGATGATATGCCAAAGCACATATGCAAGCCATAAAAATTATGATCCTAAAAGCTCAGCAAGATTTCTCTATAAGGAGGTTCAATAAACTGCCTTTTGATTCTACATGTGCGACATGGTAACTGCACTAAATATATGATCATGTGCATTAAAGGAGTTGAAAGTCCTGAATGCCAACAACTTAAAAGCTAAAACAAACAAACAAAAAAAACACAAAAAACACTACATGAAATACACGAAAAAATTACTGGTCCTCACTCAGTGTGACACGGTACACCAAGGGTAATCTGCCCTTGAGTTCAGTGGCCTCATGGGACTCAGTTCACAGATTGAAACCAGTAGTTTCAGGAGCAGTAGCATATAAAAAAAATGAGCAACATTTTTGAGAATATTCTATCAAGCAGGCATATGACAGGTATTCAGAATTCTCAGTTCTAAGGTGAGTTCTCAAATTTGTTTTTAGGCCACCCACTTATTTTTTCCTATGTGAGAAGGAGAGTTGTTATTTGTATTTACTACTATTTGTACTTTAGCCAAGCTTGCCAACACAGATAAGGGAGTAAGAAGTGATAATAAGGCCGGGCTTGGTGGCTCACGCCTGTAATCCCAACACTTTGGGAGGCTGAAGTGGGCAGATCACCTAAGGTCAGGAGTTCGAGACCAGCCTGGCCAACATGGTGAAACCCCGTCTCTACTAAAAATACAAAAATTAGCCAGGCATGGTGGTGGGAACCTGTAATCCCAGCTACTAGAGAGACTGAGGCAGGAGAATCACTTGAACCCAGGAGGCAGAGGTTGCAGTGAGCTGAGACTGTGCCATTGCACTCTAGCCTGGGCAACAACAGTGAAACTCTGTCTCAAAAAACAAATAAATAAATAAAGTGATAAGAAGACATCCCCTAAAACTATCAGGGATGCAGCCTTGTGTTTGGCTTCTCCAAAGAAAAGAGTCATATTATGGTGTTTTAGGTCCCTAAAAATTCAATAAACATTTACTAAATGATTACTATGGTCATGGAAATGATGGCTATGTTAAGTGTAATATGAAACTAGACCTTTGCTTGCCAATGCTGAAGGCCAAAAAGCATTCCACAATAAGCTGACCAATATAAATTACAGAATTTCCTTCTTGGAGAAGAAAGGAAAGATAATAATATTAATTATTATTATCATTATTATTTTGAGATGGAGTTTTGCTCTTGTTGCCCAAGCTGGAGTGCAGTGGCATGATCTCGGCTCTCTGCAACCTCCGCCTCCCAGGTTCAAGCGATTCTCCTGCCTCCTCCCAAGTAGCTGGGATTACAGGCGCATGCCACCACGCCCAGCTAAATTTTTTGTATTTTTAGTAGAGATGGGGTTTCACCATGTTGGCCAGGCTGGTCTCGAACTCCTGTCCTCAGGTGATCCACCCACTTCGGCCTCCCAAAGTGCTGGGATTACAGGCCTGAGCCACTGCACCCAGCCAAGATAATTATTTAAAAGCGACTCTTTTGTTGTTGTTGCAGAACAAAGCAATCCAACAATAATTTGTGTGCGTGTGCTTCAAAGAACTAGTTACGGTATGATGATGACTCATCCCATTGATGGAAGATGTAATTTTTCTTATTGATTGAAGTGAGGCATTAATAAGAAAAATGGCTGAGAAGCTCTTGTCTGTATATTTAAGGTAGTGCTTTTCTCTAGCATGGTGCTAGACCACCTGCATCAGAACCCTGTGGGGAGCTTGTTAAATGAGACACAGCTTGGGCCTACTGAATCAAAGTCTCTTGGGCTAGGCCCAGGAATCTGCATTTTAACAAGTGCCTAGGCGACTCATGTAACTATATACTAAAGTTCCACCACATCTGGCTTAAGGTTCTTCCAGTTCTGATACTCTAGGATCTTTGAGTCCTTAGTGTGTTGCTTCGTTCTCTGAGCCTCATGTTTGCTGTAGAGTACGTGTTACCAACATAATCTAATGCCACTTTACACTGACTGATATAATGCTCTAGAGTTCATAAAGTCCTTTTAGTTAGGGGTAGGTTGTCACCTAGAAACATAATAGCTGATTAGTACTGGAAGTATACAGAGGTTCCTTCAGGATGGCTCAGCTCTCTCGTGGGCAGCCTTCCCATGCCAGCAGCCAAGCCCCAGCAGATGGCAGCAATGAACCAAATGAGCCCTGGGTTCCCCCGAGGCTTGCCTACCTCCCACACCTTATACAGTTGGCTTCACTAGCAGACCCGTGTGAATGAGTAAGCATAAAGGCTTGAGATATCTAGGTAATATAAAATGCAAGTCTGCCACCTGCTATTTCAAATTACATTTAAAAAACAGGACACTGTTCATAAACTACTTTCTAATTGAACAGGATTCATAAATGGAAAATGATTGGTTAGGCACAAATGATTCTCTGTTTAGGTGCCAAGAATGACATCTTTGTAAAATTCCAAAGAATGGTTTATTATGAGACTGGCTAAGACGATGTTGCACAAACAACCATACAATTGTGGATGCACTGCAATGGGTCAAAAATGAAAAGAACAATTGCCAGGAGCATTTTAGTAGCTCCATAGAAAAGAAGCTCTCCTGACTTCAAGTCTAGTGTGCCCATTTATAATCTAGGCCCAGAAAATGAAAATCCTAAAAAGGGTTAAACAAAAAATATTAATAAAGTCTGAAGTGTACAAATTCAGTTGTTTTCATGTCCACCCTCATTTTGGCAATCTAGTAGAACATATGGAATTCTTTTTATAAACGAAGGTGTCATTCTTTTTTCCTTGTAACAATAAGAATGGAATGAGATGACCATAGTCAGTCAATTTCTCAAGCAACAAAATGCAATCAGGGTCACAATGTACTGTGATCAGGGGGTAGGGGACACAAACTTCCTGATTTTTAGGATGTTCTAAACTGCAACCTAAGACCATTTTACTCTAATCAAATAAATTAGCTTGGCAGGGAAGTAGGTATAAAACATTAGCAGAGAAAGTAGTAGTGACGATAGGGAAAAACAAGGTCTCTGAAGGGAAAATCTCTAAAGGGAAGACATGGACAGAGAACAGAAAGAGCACATGTCCTTCCTCTGTCTAAAATATTCTAATGACTTCCCCGTTTGGGCTACACATTAAATTCCAAACGCCTTTGTAGGCATCCACTCAGGTCTGCCTTCTCCCTTTAGCCTCATCTTCCAACACTCCCCCTCACGCATGCTTCCCATTTCTGCATCTGCGTGCTTCTGGGTTTTTCCCATATGTTGTTTCCCTTCCTTGTAACGTTTATCTCCTTTCCTCAAATCTGGACCCCTCATTCTTTAAGACTAGGCTCAAATGTTACTTTCTCAGAGAAACTTTCTCTAACAGCCTTACCTTAGATTTACATTTCACACCGCACAACCTTCGATGGTAGCTCTTATTATATTATAATCCTTTATTTATATGCCTTGCTCTCCTCTTAAATCACATGCTCCTTTTTTGGGGGGGGCGGGGGGACGGTGGGAACAGAGTTTCACTCTCGTTGCCCAGGCTGGAGTGCAATGGCATGATCTTGGCTCACTGCAACTTTTGCCTACTGGGTTCAAGTGATTCGCCTGCCTCAGCCTCCCGAGTAGCTGGGATTACAGGCATGTGACACCACGCCTGGCTAATTTTGTATTTTTAGGAGAGACGGAGTTTCTCCATGTTGGCCAGGCTGGTCTTGAACTGCTGACCTCGTGATCCACCCGCCTCGGCCTCCCAAAGCGCTAGGATTACAGGCATGAGCCACCGCGCCCGGCCACATGCTCCTGTTATAGTGCCTGCGTGCACATCACAGAGACTCAGTGTACTTATGCAAAGTGAATAAGGCGTGCTTAAGACTAACAAGGCAGCTAAGAGGACTGCTGGGTGGTGGTGGGGATATCACTAAGAAGGTCCATAAAAATAGACCATTCAAATTCTAGTTCAGTTTTAGAACTCAAGCAGTGATCTAGTTTGAGAAACAAAGTTTACTGACTAAACTGTACTACGTGAATTTGAATGTCACTTATTACTAAAATCTGCATTTTAGTGCTAAAATATTGTTGGTGACAGAGCCAACTGAAGAAGAGGTTTTAAAGGTTCTACCAGGATTGAAAATTACTTGGTAATCTTATTTCTCTTTTTAACATTCATATATTCACTCAAACATTTATTCCAGCACCTACAATGTGCCAGGTGGAATGGTAGACACTCAGTCTTCCTCTCAGAGTTCACAGTTTAAGATTAGTGCAGAGGATGGGGGCAAAGAAAAAGGCATATTACGCCGGGTGTGATGGCTCACGCCTGTAATCCCAGCACTTTGGGAGGCTGAGGCGGGTGGATCACCTGAGGTCAGGAATTCAAGACCAGCCGGCCAACATGGAGAAACCTCGTCTCTACCAAAATTACAAAAATTAGCTGGGCGTGGTGGCAGGCCCCTGTAGTCCCAGCTATTCAGGAGGCTGAGGCAGGATAATCACTTAAACCCAGGAGGTGGAGGTTGTAGTGAGCTGAGATCGCACCACTGTACTCCAGCATGGGCAACAGAGCAAGATTCCACCTCAAAAAAAAAAAAAAAAAAAAAAAAAGAAAAAGAAAAAGGCAAATTGGCAGGTAATCAGAAAATATAACAGAGGCATGTGTACAGGGTATTATGAGACCACTGAGAAGGGGGCACCTAACACAGCCCGCATAGAGATGTTAGGTTCTTTGAGGATAGATATTTGATCATTCGATTTGAACAGCAATTCTGTGTAGAGATCTAGAGAAAGGAGTTCTCCTCCTCTTACTTAAACACTGAGTGACTTTCCAATTAAATCTTTTGTCTAACCACCTGTATTTGAAACAGAGGATTCTAGAACTGAGTAGATCACTTTTATGTCACATAGGATTGGGGATATGTCTTATTACAGACTATGTGCCAAGCTGCAGCACAAGATCTGAATAAACTGGCTCAGGTCCAGCAATTCTTCATCAAAAGGATGTGTGGGAGAGAATTTACGGCAAGTCTGAATGCAGAGAAATAAGGGATAGAACATCACAGCTTTCTTGGAAGGAAATGGCAAGGCACATACTTGATCAAAGAGGTCAAGTGATTAGGATGTTTGTTTGCATTTGTGGGTCAAGTTAAAACTGCGGTGGGCAAAAAGCCAGAAGTCCATGGATCAACATCCTAATTGGCCCCCAAGACTGAGACAAACCTATAGTCATAAGGCACAGTAGCCTATTATTTTAGTCTTTTGCTCCTTCCTTCCGTCCCTCCACCCCCTACCATTTCTCATATCATCTTTTCTTCTCCTGCTCTGTCAAACAAATGGAGGACTTAATCTGCATTTCATCTTATCATGCATTTCAGTGATAAGCATAATAATAAATCAATTATATCTAAATTTGTAGATGTTCATTAAAAACATACACCTTTGACAGGGAGATGATCACCAACTACTAATGCTTTAAGTAAGTTAACAATATGACCCTGTTAGTCTTCCAGTCACAAAATCTTCCCAAAATGGTGAGACTGAATATTCAATATGCAAACTTACACTGATGATGGCACTGATTAATGCAGCTGACAAAGGAAAATGCACTATATGCTTTTTATAAAGTGATCCAACCACAAGAAGGGCATTATCGATTCTGTGATAATTTCAAAGTATCATTTCATCTTTACATGATTTTTGTGTGAATGACTGCAACTCCTTTAAGAGATATCAACAGAATGAAAACTTACTGATGAAGATGTTAGTGACTTCAAGGCAAAACATTCTTCTGTTAAAATATAAACTACACATTAGGAAGAAACTGTGATCAAACGTGATATAGTTTGGATGTGTGTCCTCATGAAAATATCATATTGAAATGTAATCCCCAGTGTTGGAGGTGAGGCCTGGGGAGAGGTGATTGGATCATGGGGACGGAACTCTCATGAATTAGCACCATCCCTCTGGGTACTATCCTCGAGATAGTGAGTGAGTTCTCTTGCCATCTAGTCGTTTAAAAGTGTGTAGCATGTCCTGCCTCACTCTCTCACTCCTGCTTTTGCCATGTGACATGCTTCCACCATGACTGTGAGTTTCCTGTGGCCTACCCAGAAGCTGAGCAGATGCCAGCATCATACTTCCCGTACAGCCTGCAGAACCATGAGCCAATTAAATCTCTTCTTTATAAATTACCCAGTCTCAGGTATTTTGTTAGAGCAATGCAAGAATGGCCTAATACAGAAAATGCAACAGACATTTTCCCTCATTTAGAGGAAAGGCGATGCTAGGAAACTTCTCTGAAACACAGACCATTTCTGCATTTTTCTTCTTTTCTCCTGGTTTCACTTCCTCTTCCCCACTAGATCCCGCCTCCTATCTTCCACTCAGGGTCTCCATTCCTCCCTGTAAAAACTCTAAGCAGCACACAGATGGGTGATGAAATGGTCAAGGTGCAAACCCTACTCCACCTTCCCCCAGCCCTACTTTACTGCTTAATCCAAACCTTGAAAAAGCAATTATTGCGTTAATATTTGTGTGCTGGTAAATTATCTCACTTTAGTAACATCTCCTCTATCCAGCACTGACAAATGCTTCACATGCTTGAATATTTCAGGTAAACAAAATTTACTTTCTTTAGGCTAAACCTTTTAACTTTGTTTAAAGACATGCTTCTAAACTGTATTAGGCCGGGCGCGGTGGCTCATGCCTGTAATCCCAGCACTTTGGGAGGCCGAGGCAGGTGGATCACCTGAGGTCAGGAGCTCGAGACCAGCCTGGCCAACATGGCGAAATCCCTTCTCTACTAAAAAAAATACAAAAGATTGGCCAGGCATGGTGTCAGGCACCTGTAGTCCCAGCTACTTGGGAAGCTGAGGCAGGAGAATCACTTGAACTCGGGAGGCAGAGGTTGCAGTGAGCCGAGATCATGCCATTGCACCCCAGGATGGGTGGTAAGAGCGAGACTCCATCTCAAAAAAAAAAAAAAGTCTAGCAGTTCCTCAGAAGGCTAAACAAAGTTACCATGTGACCGAACAATTCCACTCCCAAGAGAAATGAAAACATATATTCATATGAAAATTTGTAGGCAAATGTTCATAGCAGCCTTATTCATAATAGTCCCAACGTAGAAACAATGCAAATGTCCAACCCAAATGTACCAATGTATAAACAAAATATGGTATATACACACTATGATATATATTTGCAAATAAAAAGAAATGAAGTACAATCAGCCTTCCATATTCTTGCGTTACAAGTCCATGGATTCAACTAATGGCAGATCAAAAATCTTCTGATTCTTTTCTTAATGCATTTGTACTGAACATACACAAACTTTTTTGGGTCACTATTCCCTCAGCAATATAGTATAACAATTATTTACATAGCATTTACATTATATTATATAAGTAATCTAAAGATTTAAAGTATACTGGAGGATGCATGTAGGTTATGTATAAAAAAAGATGCTGGAGAGGATGTGGAGAAATAGGAACACTTTTACCCTGTTGGTGGGACTGTAAACTAGTTCAACCATTGTGGAAGACAGTGTGGCGATTCCTCAAGGATCTAGAACTAGAAATACCATTTGACCCAGTGATCCCATTACTGGGTATATACCCAAAGGATTATAAATCATGCTGTTATAAAGACACATGCACACGTATGTTTACTGCAGCACTATTCACAATAGCAAAGACTTGGAACCAACCCAAATGTCCATCAATGATAGACTGGATTAAGAAAATGTGGCACATATACACCATGGAATACTCTGCAGCCATAAAAAAGGATGAGTTCATGTCCTTTGTAGGGACATGGATGAAGCTGGAAACCATCATTCTGAGCAAACTATCTCAAGGACAGAAAACCAAATACCGCATGTTCTCACTCATAGGTGGGAATTGAACAATGAGAACCCTTGGACACAGGAAGGGGAATATCACACACTAGGGCCTGTCGTGGGGTGGGGGGAGGGGAGAGGGATAGCATTAGGAGATACACCTAATGTAAATGATGAGTTAATGGGTGCAGCACAACAACATGGCACATGTAAACATATGTAACAAACCTGCACATTGTGCACATGTACCCTAGAACTTAAATAATAATAATAATAATAATAAACACCATTTTATATCCAGAACTTGATCATACTTGGATTTTGGTATTTGCAGAAGGTCCTGGAGCCAATCTCTCATACTGAGGACAGCTGTACTGATGTGTGCCACAACATGGATAAAACATAAAAATATTATGTCTAAGTTAAAGAAGCCAGGTGTAAGAAATCACATATCCATATATATTAATATCCAGAGAAAATCTACAGAGACAGAAAGTAACATTAGTGGTTCCCTGTAGGGGAGAGAAAGGAAATGGGGAAAAGACAGGAGTGACTAGTAATGGGTATGAAGTTTCTTTTTAGGGCAATGGAAATGTTCTAAAATTGATTATGGTGTTGGTTGCACAACTCTATGAATATACTAAAGTCCACTGAACTACACTTTTTTTTTTTTGAGACAGGGTCTCCCTCTGTCATTCAGGCTGGGGTACAGTGGCACGATCTGGGCTCACTACAACCTCTGCCTCCCAAGTAGCCGGGAACTATAGGCACATGCCACCATGCCTGGCTAATTTTTGTGTTTTTTGTGGAGACAGGATTTTGCCATGTTGCCCAGGGCTGGTCTCGAACTCCTTGACTCAAGTGATCTGCCTGCTTTAGCTTCCCAAAGTGCTGGGGGTTATAGGTATGAGCCAACACATCTGGCCTGAACTACACACTTTAAGAAAGTATAATTTGGTCGGGCGTGGTGGCTCATGCCTGTAATCCCAACACTTTAGGTGGTCAAGGTGGGCGGATCACGAGGTCAGGAGATTGAGATAATCCTGGCTAATACAGTGAAACCCGGTATCTACTAAAATTATACAAAAAAATTAGCTAGGTGTGGTGGCATGTGCCTGTAATCCCAGCTACTCGGGAGGCTGAGGCAGGAGAATTGCCTGAACCTGGGAGGCGGACGTTGCAGTGAGCCAAGACTGCGTCACTGCACTCCAGCCTGGGTGACAGAGCGAGACTCCATCTCAAAAAAAAAAAAAAAAAAAAAGTATAATTTGTACTAAAAATAAAAGGTTTTAAATTGAGAGGAAAAAGGGAGGCTGCTTCAGCTTATAAAACAAATTAAGATGACTATTTTTATTATCCAATTATCTGGGTAATGTAATATATCCAATAAACAGTGGCTGGCTCTGCATGTTAATGTATAATTGAACTCGCTGTCTTGGGACATTTGAAAAAGAAAGAAATGGCTCTGTAATGCTGCAATACCGAAGTGAAGAAGGCCAGTGCTGGCAGTACAAGGTCCTCTGCCAGTTGGTTTATCCTCTGGTATCTGAATCCACCTGCTCAGAGAAATGGGAGGCTTCGAACACCGATCCAACACCACAGAATAATGTTTTCTTAAACGCAGAGCCCAACACAAAGAAAATTATTTCTTTCCCGAGGGAAATTATTTCCATAGAGATGGCAAGCCCAAAACCAAGTCTTTCTAGCGTGTTCAGGAACTAAATGAAGAAACCAGCAGCAGACAGTTAATAAGCTTAAAAATTTTAGCTGGGCATGGTGGCGGGCACCTGTAATCCCAGCTACTCAGGAGGCTGAGGCAGGAGAATCGCTTGAACCAGGGAGGTGGAGGTTGCAGTGAGCCGAGATCGCGCCATTGCACTCCAGCCTGGGCCACAGAACAAGACTCCGTCTCAAAAAAAAAAAAAAAAATTTTACCACTCTTTAAAATCAAGTGGGACTGGAAGGATGGTATGGAGATTTTATTGGTAAGGGCATTTTTCAGAAAATATAATTTTTGTGGCCTATTGCTTAATTAAAATTTCAACGTAAATTCTATATAAATAAATACCAAATTTTGTTTACTGGGTACCTATCCCAGATATTGCTCTTATCCATGTAATACCTTACGTAAAATTCTGACTCATTTGTTTATATTACTAAATTCACCCCAAATTTCACCTCATTCAGGATGAGGTAAAAAACAAACAAGGGCCAAATGCTGTGGCTCATGCTTGCAATCTCAGCACTTCTGGAGGCTGAGGCAGGAGGACTGCTTGAGGCCAGGAGTTCAAGACCACAGCAAGCAACATAGTAAGATCCTGTCTCCACAAAAAAAATTTTAAAAAATTAGCCAGGTGTGGGCTGGGCACGGTGGCTCACACCTGTAATCCCAGCACTTTGGGAGGCAGAGGCGGGTGGATCATGAGGTCAGGAGTTCAGGACCAGCCTGGCCAAGATGGTGAAACCCCGTCTCTACTAAAAAAATACGAAAATTAGCCAGGCGTGGTGGCGGGCGCCCGTAATTCCAGCTACTCGGGAGGCTGAGGCAGAGAACTGCTTGAACTCGGGAGGCGGAGGTTGCAGTGAGCCGAGATTGCGCCACTGCACTCCAGCCTGGGCAACAGAGTGAGACTCCGTCTCAAAAAAAAAAAAAAAAAAAAAATTAGCCAGGTGTGGTGGGGCATGCCTGTAGTCCTAACTACTCAAGAGGCTGAGGTGGGAGAACTGCTTGGGTCCAAAGATTGAAGTGACAGCGAGCTATGATCATGCTATGAGCTATGGAGCTTTGAGCACTCCAGCCTGGGTGGCAGCAGGAGACCTTGTCTCTTTATTATTTATTTGAGACACGGTCTCGCTCTGTCACCCAGGCTGGAGTAGAGTGACACAATCTTGGCTTACTGCAACCTCCACCTCCTGGGTTCAAGCAATTCTCCCAACCTCAGCCTCCAGAGTAGCTGGGACTACAGGTGTGCACCACCACTCCCAGCTAATTTTTGTATTTTTTTGTAGAGTTGGGGTTTCACCATGTTGTCCAGGCTGGTCTTGAACTCCTGAGCTCAAGCAATCCTCTCACCTTGGCCTCTCAAAGTGCTGGGATTACTCACGTGAACCACTCACCTGTTCAGACCCTGTTTTTTTTTTTTGTTTTTTTTTTTTTTTTAAAGAGCCAAAACAAAACCATATAAAAAGTTAAAAGGGAAAATGTTACTGTTCCATAATAAAGTTGGTAGTAGATCATTGGTCCTTCTATTAGAATCACTATTCAAAAAGAAAGTATTAAAATTTTATAAATGTGTTTAAATTTCACCCACTTATAGTCAACATAGTTAATAGTTTATTTTACATCACATTTCATATTCTAAAACTTTTAATTAAGGCTCTATTTCATAAGTTAGCAAATAATTATTTCTTAAAAGAGAAGTCTTAAAGAGGGCTGTCAATATGCTCTGTTGGGAAATTGTCTTTTTTTTAAAATATAAAAAATTTATATTTAAAATATAAAAATATAAAAATTTAAAAATAAAAATTTCCAGTTATAGGAAAAATGAAAAGATGAAAAAAGGAACCAAGTGAATATATGTCAGTGGAAAGCATTATAATAAAAACAGCAGTTATTAAGTAGTAGTAAATTTGGGAATAAGCTTCAAACATTAAAAATACCTATTTTTCCTTTTGGAGTAGAAACTGAACTAAGATAAAGCTTAAATTCTACTCTCTACATACCTGGCTTAGGATTAATGATGATGATTCTTAATAATATAGAAATCAGAAAGCAGCCTGTCTGACGGGCAGATCACCTGAGGTCAGGAGTTTGAGACCAGCCTGGCCAACATGGCAAAACCCCATCTCTACTAAAAATACAAATATTAGCCAGGCATGGTGGTGCCTGCCTGTAGTCCTAGCTACTCGGGGGGCTGAGGCAGGAGAATTTCTTGAACCCGGGAGGTGGAGGTTGTAGTGAGCTGAGATCGTGTCACTGCACTCAAGTCTGAGGACAGAGCAAGACTCTGTCTCAAGAAAGAAAGAAAAAAAAAATTAGCTGGGTGTGGTGGTGGGCGCCTGTAATCCCAGCTACTCAGAAGGATGAGGCAGAAGAATCGCTTGAACTAGGAGGTGGAGGTTGCAGTGATCCGAGATTGCACCACTGCACTCTAGCCTGGGTGACAGAGCAAGACTGTCTCAAAAATAAAATAAAATAAAATAAAAATAAACTTCTCTGAATCCTGACTTGAAATTGGGTAGGTGGTGCAAAAGGAAATTAAGAGGTCCAGTTATAATCAGCGCTAGTTTTCTTTTTTTTTTTCTTTTTTCTGTCGCTCAGGCTGGAGTGCAGTGGCGCAATCTCCGCTCACTGCAACCTCCGCCTCCCGGGTTCACACCATTCTCCTGCCTCAGCTCCTGAGTAGCTGGGACTACAGGGGCTGGCCACCACGCCTGGCTAATTTTTTATATTTTTAGTAGAGATGGGGTTTCACCGTGTTAGCCAGGATAGTCTCGATCTCCTGACCTCGTGATCTGCCCGCCTCAGCCTCCCAAAGTGCTGGGATTACAGGCATGAGCCACCGCGCCCGGCCAATCAGGGACTAGTTTTCAATGACACTTTTTAATACAAGTATGCTGTACAGGAACACTGGTAAATGAACGCTGTTAGATAGAAAACAGAGTGTTGAAGTTCAGAGTGGTATTGGCAGTTTGGTGTTTCAAAGGGAGCAATTAGATAAAGTTTTTAATGGTTTATATCTTCAAAGGAAACACTATATATGCTTCTATTTGACAGATAAAATATGAAAAAAGCTAGAAATAACTCATTCAAGGTTAAAAATCAGAGTATCAGGGAGAAATAATAGGCCTCCTGTAATTTTCTATTTTTGAGGGGGGAAAAATCCAGAAGTTAAACCATATAAAAATACCTGCTGTGGTTTGTATATCTGTCCCTTCTAACACTCATGTTAAACTTAATTCTCAATGTGGCAGTAGTAAGAATTGGGCCTTTGAGAGGTGACTAGGTCATGGGGGTTCTGCCCATTCATAGATTAATGGGTTATCATGGGAGTGAAATTGGTGGCTTTATAAAAAGAGGGAGAGGAAGAGAGACCTGAGCTAGCACGCTCAGCCTCCTCACTAAGCGATGTAAAAAGCCTCTTACCAGACGTGGCCCTTTGATCCTGGACTTCTCAGCCTCCAAAATTTTAAGAAACAAATTATTTTGCTTTAAAAATTGCCCAGCTTCAGGTATTCTGTTATAAGTAACAAAAAACAGACTAAGATAATATATCTTTAAATGGATACTATGTCCCCGACTTTATATCAGTTACCAAAGCTTGGCCTCCTTGATGAGTAACTTTCACTCTTTCTAGTTGCTTATGTAAGTCACATACTGGCAAACAAGAGAAAAAGACGGGCCCTAAGCAAAGTTTCTCTAGCCAATAATTTTACTTATAGAAATGAAGGTTTTGGCCAGGAACGGTAGCTCACGTGTAATCTCAGCACTTCGGGAGGCTGAGGCATGTAGATCACCTGAGGTCAGGAGTTCAAGACCAGCCTTGTCAACATGGTGAAACCTCATCTCTACTAAAAATCCAAAAATTAGCCAGGTGTGGTGGTGGGCGCCTATAATCCCAGCTACTCAGGAGGCTGAGGCAGGAGAATCGCTTGAACTCGGGAGGTGGAGGTTGCAGTGAGCAGAGATTGTGCCATTGCACTCCAGCCTGGGCAACAAGAGCAAAACTCCATCTCAAAAACAAACAAACAAAACACCCCACCCCCAAAATAAATTATAATTTGAACATATTGGTAAATTTTATATTATTACATATGTTAAGTGAACTAAATATAAGTAATGTATTAAATGTATTTAAGTACCTTGTCCAGGACTATTTGGCTAAATGGTAGAGCTGGGACTTGAACTAGGATCTCATACTCCAAATCCAGGTTCTTTCCATTATACCAGAACACCCCCTTTCCTGGACCATTGATCTTCATGCTAGAATAGATTCCTCAAGTCTCTTGGGTACTGATGACCATTAGTACAGATTCACTTATGTCCTCGAATCCTTTTAAAGGGGGATAGTTGCCTACTTGGGGGAGAGCTAGACTTTGGCAACTTTCTTTCCCAGTCAATGGACTGGAATCCATGCTGACCACTTCCTGCCCTCTCCTCTAGGAGGAGGTAACTACCTCTGGCCTACCCCCAGCCTGGGGAAGGCATTCCACACTTTCTTGGCACTGGCTCTTTGCCCCAACCTCACTATAAATGACGTGAGAGGCCTGCCAAAATCCATCTGAAGAAAATATGGTGGCCCTTGGAGACTGAGGATTTTCTTTTTTCAAATCAATTCATGAGATATTTGCTGAATTTTTACCATCTTTTACACTATGGGGTATATGAATATTTAGGGATAGGAATAGCATACAACTCTGCCTTCAGGAATCTTATGCTTATTGAGGCAATTTAGTCTCTAAATAATAAAACTATTATTTAAAAAGTTAGTTTTGAGATCAGCGGCTTCTATGAGAATCTGATACAAACTATGGATGATATGTTCCCCAGAACAATTCATACATTTTTGCAGATTTTCAGGAAGTTAATGGATCCCCTTAAGTCCATCCACTGGTTAGGAATTAAGAAGCTCTGTTGTAAGAGATTCACTGAGTACTACCATATAAAAAATATCTTAAGAACCAAAACCAAAAGACACACTAGTAATACTTGTTCTTTGATGCAAAATGAATAAACCTTATATCCCATGTGAAGGCAAAGAAACTGCTTTCCCTAGTATCATCTGAATGCCCCTCTACAAGTGATTATTTTCCATATCTAATTTTTTGTGTTTAATTCCATGAGAATCTCGTCTGTTTTCAGAGTTTCTGGAAGGGTCTTTTCATACAGATATATTTATATATATAAATACAAAGATAAATTTCATTAAAACCAGAAGAAACACAGCTTAGCTAATGAGTTATTTATTCTATTTCAAAAAAAATTTTTAATCTAGCTTAGAATGCTGTTTCTAAGGCTTTGATGCCAAAGGGAGTGAAGTCATTGGGATGAATTGATAATACTCCACCATGAGCACTTTCTTCTTATTAAAAAGTAAATCTTTTGGAATTCAAATTAATTTCTTAACAAAAGGCAAGGGTTGATGTATAATAGTAAAGAAATATCTGCAGGAGAAACTGTATAATGAACATTAAAATTTCATAAATCATTTCCTAAAGCTTTGTATAAATAAAAAAAATCAAGTCCTTTCACAAATAGGTTATTTGGTTATGTTAAGATGTTTTTTAAAATTGGTTATTGTTACATATTCTGAATCCAATAAATGGAGCAGCAAGAATCAACAGATTCTTGAGTATACCGGCAGAGTAGACAAAATGGTAAAGGAAATGAGATAAAAGGGTTTCCATTCAATTTTCTTAAACCTATAAGTAAATACTCAGTCTGATACTTTGGTGACATGTGGTGGAGAAAGTTAAATGGAAAACAATGTGACTCAAAGACTAGAAAAAGAATTTGAATTTCTTATTGTTATCATCATTTTAAATGGATTATTAATGCAAATTACTAGTAAATGCACAAAAGCCTAGAGAAGAGATAAAAATGACTATAAAACAAACATAAACTTTCTAAAATACGAATTTGTTAAATTTGTCCTTAAAAATGGGGAACAGGCCAACCTAATCACAATCTCTGCAAGCATAATTTGAAAGTGCAGTTCAGTTCAGGTTTAAAAGGACCTACACAGATTCTAATTAAAAAAAAAAAAAAAAAAAATCCACAGAAAACAATTCACAAGACAGGGATAAACCCTCCCACAATGACAAAACAGTATAATTCTTTAAAGAATGCGATTTTTCTATGAGGCATGTTTTCCAAAAAAAGGGAAGGAGTTAAACTTTCTCAGAGGAAGATAGGGAAACAAAATAAAGACCAGAAATGGTATCAACAGATTTCAGGCTTAATGTCAAGAATAAATGAACATGAGGATAATTTCTTTTCTTCATAAATAATTATTAAGAGTACTAAAATGTAAAATAAAAGCTGATGTTACCAAAAATGGCTGCATTAAGACATCTTTTCTGAGTGTTGTCATAAAATTAGTCATTAGCATAGGTAAATGTGAACTAAATCATGTATGACACACTTTCAGTAATGTCGTGTTAATGAAGGAGGGCATATTCAAAGGATCAGTATGAACATATACATACCACAGGTTGCTTTGTGATGTCCACCAAGTCCTTAAGATTATAGTATTGATGTTTCTCAAAGGCTGAAAATAGCATGTCTAAAACATGTTGTTTATCAGCTCGAGCTCGCTTTCCGTCTTCTTTCTTTTTCCTTTCATATTCGATCTATATGCAAACAGCAAAGGAAATAAAAGCATCAATTCAACATGCTCACTCTAAAACACAGGCATTCTCTTTTTTTTTTTTTTGAGACAGAGTTTTGCTCTTGTTGCCCAGGCTGGAGTGCAGTGGCATGATCTCAGCTCACTGCAACCCCCACCTCCTGGGTTCAAGTGATTCTCCTGCCTCAGCCTCCCGAGTAGCTGGGATTACAGGTGCCCGCCACTACGCCTGGCTAATTTTTTGTATTTTTGGTAGAGACGGGGTTTCACCATGTTGGCCAGGCTGGCCTGGAACTCCTGACCTCAGGTGATCCACCTGCCTCAGCCTCCCAAAGTGTCGGGATAACAGGTGTGAGCCACCGTGCTTGCCCAGGCATTCTCTTTTGAGTCATCCATTAACGACTAGATCGTAAGTTTCGAGGCAGCAGGCCTCTGAACAGTAGTTCAGAACCTGGGACCTGTTACTCCTGGGGTCCCCGTATCTTTAAGGCTCTAAGTTAGTAATAATTCCAGTCACTTTCATTATCCCCTAA
This sequence comes from Homo sapiens, assembly GCF_000001405.40. Lineage (NCBI taxonomy): Eukaryota > Metazoa > Chordata > Mammalia > Primates > Hominidae > Homo > Homo sapiens. The sequence goes on along the minus strand of NC_000013.11, from coordinate 45,266,703 downwards.
AGCTTTATGTAATGCATAATGTGTACATTTCCCCCCAAAAAGGCCTTTTGCCAAAACTGTATCAATTCAGTGCGGTTAACTGGTTATCTTGTGTTGATCGAAAACTCTAACGTGTAGTGCTTTTGTTTTTGATTAACAGTAAAACAGTTTATCTAACAGATGCAGTTTCATAGGTAACATCTTTCAAATGTGGGGTTCTTGGAGGCAGGCAGATTATAAAACGGGTTCTTTACGGAGTGAAAAGTTTGGGAAGCATTGGTAAAAAGGAAAGGACATGGACCTTTTCTCATCCTGACCCTGTGCAACCTCCTTGAACCTGTTTCTCTTCCCATACAATAAAAGTTAGTTTAACAAGAGAAAGGGGTAATTATATACTTATCATCTCAGACACAAGCAAACCATTTTTCTGAAATTCCCATTTAAAACTTCATGTGACCTCTAAATTCACCTGTATAATACATCTTTATTTTTTAACATGAAGTAAAAAATACAGTATCTACTATCCAAATAAAAATGACACTTCAGGACCATGTGTTATGTTTATTCTGCAGTTTTGTGTACCTCCATGCATGCCAGCTTAAAAAGCAGTGGCACTAACACAATGAAGAAGTTCCCTCCTACTGTTACCATCCTGGGACTGTTCAATTGTAAAACATCACCCTTTTTACTTAAAATATGCAAGTTCTGTTCTATTACTTAGTTAATTGAGATATTTGTTTGTTTCTTTTTAGGAACACTTCACTTGTATAAACCATCAGAAACTTGTTGAAGGGGCCAACCTGGTGAAGAAAGCATCAGTAGGTTGGGTGGAAACTGCCAGAGAAGAATGTCCTGTGGGTCAGCTGGAATAATTATAATCTGGGGACTAGCTTCGAAAACAATGGGATACATTTAAAAACTTACAAATAAATTATTCCACAAATAGCCTCAGGTAGTTAGCTTACTCTATTTTAACAATAAAGATTTGTTATAAAAGGATAAAATTTAGTTTCTATTGATTTATTGATATTAAAACTAAAAATATGTCTTATGAGAGACTGTCAAATTAGTGGTAAAAGGTAACTGAAAACCTTGAGTATCTACTTTTCAATTAAATAAAGTTGGGAGTGAGACAAAGGGAAAGGACTCAATCATCTTCATTTTTTGATATGTACGAACTGGGAGTAAAACTCAAACTCCACTGAGCTTCAGCAGATTAAGCATGACTATATGCTAGGCATTGCGCTAAGATATGGGGAGAGTAAGACAGCTTTTTCTTTCTAAAACGGCTTTAAATGGATTAAAATGATTAGAGAGGGGAGGGCCTTGAGCATTTTAAATGCAGTAATGGACAAAGAGCTACCTAGGACAAGATCACCATGCTTAAAAAAAATGCAAATGAATGACACAGATTGTATTGTTAGGGAAGACTGAAATCCAGCCAGTCTCAATTTTTTTTTTTTTTTGAAATGGTGTCTCACTCTATTGCCCAGGCTGGAGTGCAGTGGTGCAATCTCGGCTCACCACAACCTCCACCTCCTGGGTTCAAGTGATTTTCCTGCCTCAGCCTCCCGAGTAGCTGGGATTACAGGTGCGCACCACCATGCCCAGCTAATTTTTGTATTTTTAGTAGAGACAGGGTTTCACTATGTTGGCCAGGCTGGTCTCGAACTCCTAACCTCGTGATCCGCCCGCCTCGGCCTCCCAAAGTGCTAGGATTACAGGCGTGAGCCACCACGCCTGGCCTCAGTCTCAAGTTAAATTCAGGAAATAGCAGAGAAGTGATGGTATACTCAGTTTCCACCTTCAGTAGGCTGTTTCTTGTGTAAAATGATTGGAGAAGCTAGGAAGTTTAACATGAAAAATGTTTTCAAATAAGCCCACTGGTAAAGTAAGATAACCTACTTTACAGAGGGCGCACATTCTAGTTGGCTGTGGAGAGAAAACTTAAGTGTTGTTATCAAGTTGTCCCAACCCAGAGTCACATGTCAGATGCAAGAGGACCTGAATCAAAGGTAAAAATTAATAAATTAGAAAAGAACTTTAAAATCAACACTAGGGATAAGAGTAAGGGTCGGATTAAGTTGTAATTAGTAACATTAATGAGTAGTAAGAAAATTACCGAATTCTACCCAGATTTTTCAAAAATCATGGGGCCAGGCGCAGTGGCTCACGCCTGTAATCCCAGCAACTTTGGGAGGACAAAGTGGGCGGATCATTTGAGGTCAGGAGTTCAAGACCAGCACGGCCAAGTCTCTGCTAAAAATACAAAAAAATTAGCTGGGCGTGGTGGCACACGCCTGTATCTCCAGCTACTAGGGAGGCTGAGGCAGCAGAATCGCTTGAAGCCAGGAGACAGAGGTTGCAGTGAGCCAAGATCGTGCCACTACACTCCACTCTCAGCAACAGAGTGACTCTGTCTCAAAAAAATAAAAAAATAAAAAAATAAAAATAAAAAATAAAAAATAAAAAAAAAATCTTGGTTTACATGCTTCAATCTCAAATTGAAGTTAATGTTGGTGCTTTCTCTTTAAAATTAGAAAAACAGACTAAAAATATATGCTTATCTTTCTGTGTTAACATGTATATCACTGGTTTAGTTCCTGGGGGCACTGCAGCCTACCTCTACATTTGCCTAGTGAACAAAAACTGTTTTTTTTCTTCCTGTCCGAAATATTTGTTAATTGTTTACTTATCAAGACGAACTCTTTCTCAGCCTAGATATTCGTGTTTCATAGTTCACGAACACAAGTCAGTGACAAACTTCCATGTGATTCAATCCAAGCAAATTCTTTATATTCCCAAACCACTTTGCACTCTGAAAGATACCAGCCTTCCTCATCTCCTCAATATCTTTCATGGAATCCTAATTTCTGAAGAAATCTGCATATGCCTTATTTCTTGCTTCAGCACAGCAAACTTACAGAGAGCTGCAACCCCCAGGGATGCAATGAATGCTCCAACAACATAAAACCTCAGATGCATGGCGTTTGGTTTCATCAAAGCACTGGAAACCATGGTAGTTATTGTCCTTGACAGGCATATGTCAATCTTAAGTAATGAGATTCAGAAAATAAAATTAACTATATAGTTTATTCGAGCCCAAAGCTTGAGGATAGCCACCTGGAAGCATAGTTTCAAGGTATCCTGACTACATAATCTGTAGTAAACAAAAACTCTTAAAAATGTTGTCTGTAAGCCAGGTGCGGTGGCTCACGCCTGTAATCCCAGCACTTTGGGAGGCCGAGGTGGGCAGATCACGAGGTCAGGAGATCAAGACCATCCTGGCTAACATGGTGAAACCCTGTCTCTACTAAAAATACAAAAAATTAGCCGGGCATGGTGGCGGGCGCCTGAAGTCTCAGCTACTCGGGAGGCTGAGGCAGGAGAATGGTGTGAACCTTGGGAGGCGGAGCTTGCAGTGAGCCGAGATCGCGCCACTGCACTCTAGCCTGGGTGACAGAGTGAGACTCCGTCTCAAAAAAAAAAAAAATTTAGTCTGAAAACCCAGACATACAAAATAACGATAGCAAGAACAAAACAGAAACATTCCTCACTAGAGAAATTTAAGTACTTTAAATTTAATCCTACATTTATTTAAATTTATTTAAAAATAAAAACAGAACATCTCTTTAATGTCCTCAGGGACTGTTTAACTACGGGATAATTTATAGAAGATTGTTTTAAAACAAAATTTATGGCCACACATGGTGGCTCACACCTGTAATCCTAGTGCTCTGGGAGGCCAAGGGGGGAGGATCACTTGAGACCAAGAGTTTGAGACCAGTCTGGGCAATAAAGTGAGACCCATCTCTACAAAATTAGCCATGAACGAGCCTGTAGTCCCAGCCACTCAGGAGGCTAAGGCAGGAGGATTACTTGAGCCCAAGAAGTTGAGGCTGCAGTGAGCTATGATCATGCCACTCATGCACTCCAGCCTAGGCAACAGAGTGAGATTCTGTCTCTAAGACAATAAATAAATAAATAAATAACAAAATAAAGATTAGGCCGGGCGCAGTGGCTCACACCTGTTATCTCAGCACTTTGGGAGGCTGGGGTGGGCGGATCGCTTGAGCTTAGGAGTTCGAGACCAGCCTGGGGAACATGGCAAAACCCAGCCTCTACAAAAATTAGCTGGGTGTGGTGGCACTCACCTGTAGTCCAAGCTCCTTGGGAGGCTGAGGTGGGAGGATCACTTGAGCCCAGGAGGCAGGGGCTGCAGTGAGCTGAGAATGCACCAATGCACTCCAACCTGGGCAACGGAGTGAGACACCGTCTCAAAAATAAATTAAAGATTTAACTAATACTGTACTACAAAAATATTATTGTTTTAATTAGTTAACTAATTTTAGAGATGGGATCTCACTCTGTCGCCCAGACTAGAGTGCAGTGGTGTGATCATAGCTCATCGCAGTCTCAACCTCCTGGGATCAAATTATTCTCCTGCCTCAGCCTCCCAAGTAGCTGGAACTACAGGGGCATGACACCATACCCAGTCAATTTTTAAAATTTTTTTGAAGAGATAGGGTCTGGCTATACTGCCGAGGTTGGTCTCAAACTCCTGGCTTCAAGTGATCTTCTAACCTTGACATCCTAAAGTGCTGGAATTACAGGCATGAGCCACTGCACCCAGCCAGTTAAATTTTTTTTTTTGATAATGTCTAAGACAGGCTCATAATCCAAATTCTGCTCTGTGGTATCAGATAAGTAGTTCCAGTGTATGTGTAATTATCGAAGGGGATTTAAATAATTTCCATGGCCATTAAGTTATTAATAACTTATAGTTAGGACAAAACCAAGGTCACTGAGGTAATTTTTTAAAACTAAACAGTGCAGAAATGGTAATCTTAATACTATATTCACAACTTGACACTACAAATAAAATTAACTGTACAAATAAACTACCAATGATATGAACTATTCTATTTAGGAGAAGATTACAGTTTTGAGATAATGTTATTTCTTCTCTTTTTAGCTCCTTGCCTTTTGGGCATTTTGTTTCTCAGTGGAGCTCAGGCACTGTAAGGAAATGATATTAAAGCAGTCAGATATCTAACTTGTTGGCAGCCACTACAACTCTTAGTAAGACTGGAGTAGAAACAGCTTTTATATTGTGTGAATTTTAATTACCAATCTTCTATCCAATGATCACAGATCACTGCGCAACTGACTATATAGAAATAAATGTCAATTCAGAAAGTACTTTAGTCTTCAGTTACAAATTTTTACCAAAAAATCCATCATATACAATTAATTTTCACAACAGAACACAAATTATTCTTTTTTTTTTTTTTTTTTTGAGATGGAGTCTTGCTCTGTCCCCCAGGCTGGAGTACAGTGATGCTATCTCAGCTCACTGCAACCTCAGCCTCCCGGGTTCAAGTGATTCTCCTGCCTCAGCCTCCCGAGTAGCTGGGACTACAGGCGCGTGCCACCACACCCAGCTAATTTTTTGTATTTTCAGTAAAGAAAGGGTTTCACCGTGTTAGCCAGGATGGTCTTGATCTCCTGATCTCATGATCCGCCCACTGCGGCTTCCCAAAGTGCTGGGATTACTGGCTTGAGCCACTGCACCCGGCCCCCAAACCTTTTCTTTTTTGAGATGGGGTCTCACTCTGTTGCTTAGGCTGGAGTGCAGTGGCGCAATCTCACCTCACTGCAGCCTCCGTCTCCCGTGTTCAAGTGATTCTCCTGCCTCAGCCTCTTGAATAGCTGAGATTACAGGCGTGTGCAACCATGCCTGGCTAATTTTTGTATTTTTATTAGAGACAGGGTTTCACCACGTTGGCCAGGCTGGTCTCGAACTCCAGGAACTACAGGGGCATGCCACCATACCCAGCCAATTTTTAAAATTTTTTTGAAGAGGTAGGTCTGGCTATACTGCCCAGGCTGGTCTCAAACTCAAGGCTGGTCTCAAACTCAAGTGATCCACCCGCCTCAGCCTCCGAAAGTGCTGGGATTACAGGTGTGAACCACCACGCCCAGCCTATTCTTGACTAAAATGCAACCAAATGTTGACAATCCTTTGTGGATTTGGTATATATATGTTCAACCATCATTACTGAAGCTGTAATCACTGACTAAAATTATAAATGCCACCCACTACCAATTAAAATTTATAATACAGACATCTATAAACTTCTAGATTATTGTTTGCAGAAATACTGTGTTTTGTCAAGGCAGTCTTTGTAAAGCCTTTTAACTTTTGAAGTGAGCATGACAGCTTTGAATATCATGGTTCTGCATGTTAAATCCTTATGAGATATTATTCCCCCTCCCCTCAACTAATGCTTCTATTTCTGCCTAGTGTGTCATTATCTCTTGGGAGGAAATTATTTCTTTAGAATTGGTCAGTCCTTTGTGTGCAAATTCAAATGGACAAAGCATGTAGTATACTTATACTATGTATTATAACAGGCAAATATTACTGAAAAGCCCTCATGATATAGTCCTACAAACATCCTTTTTATTTAGGAAAATTCAAATTTATGCATAGAACTTTAAAAGATCAACCACTCAAACCCCAAATCTTAGTTCTGCAGACTAACACAGTCGGCTGCCACACTGAAGGGAACAGAGCATATATGCATAAAAATGAATTTCCTTTCTAGTTCCTGGGGGTTTACCTCAACAACCAGTTTACTAAGTAAGCTTTTCTTTTTTTTCTCTTACCCATCTGAGCACAGTTAAGGTTTTCGAGTTCTTTCTGGCCAAGAGCTTTTACCAGAAATAAGAAAAAAAAAAATGAGAGAGAGAAAACTTATTTTTTCAAACTGTGGGGCAGAAATTCTAACAAAGAAAAGAAATATTAATTCTTTTTAAAAGTTCTAGGTTTGGCCAGGCGCAGTGGCTCACGCCTATAATCCCAACACTTTGGGAGGCCGAGATGGGTGGATCACATTGGCCAGGTGTGGTGGCGGGCGCCTGTAGTCCCAGCTACTTGGGAGGCTGAGGCAGGAGAATGGCATGAATCCGGGAGGCGGAGCTTGCAGTGAGCCGAGATTGTGCCACTGCACTCCAGCCTGGGCAACAGGGCGAGACTCTGTCTCACAAAAAAAAAAAAAAAAAAAAAAAAAAGTTCTAGGTTTGCGAGAAAGAGGTTTCCTTCTAAGTACCATTACTGAACACCCCACCCTCAACAGGAGATGGCAGAACTATAAAAAGTTCTCATCTCTTTGGTTCAGTGGCTGCATACTAGAATTACCCAAGAAGCTTAAAAACTTAAGATGGCTGGCCTCCCCATTAGATTAACCAAATCAGTTTCTGAGGGTATTTTTCTGTTTTGTTTTGTTTTTTTTGAGATGGAGTTTCGCTCTTGTTGCCCAGACTGGAGTGCAGTGGCATGACCTTGGCTCACTGCAACCTCCGCCTCCCGGGTTCAAGCAATTCTCCTGCCTCAGCCTCCCAAGTAGCTGGGATTACAGGCATGTGCCACAATACCCAGCTAATTTTGTACTTTTAGTAGAGACGGGGTTTTACCAGGTTGGTCAGGCTGGTCTCGAACTTCTGACCTCAGGTAATCCACCTGCCTTGGCCTCCCAAAGTGCTGGGATTACAGGTGTGAGCCACCGCACCCGGCCTATTTTTCTTCTTTAAAAGCTTCCCAGGTGATTCTAGTATACAGCAACACCGAAAACAAATGTCTAGACAACAGAGGACATGATTCCTTATGAGAAGAAAAGGAATTCCTTATGAGAAAGTTTATAAGAGGCCATGAAATACATAAAAGAATGCTATGAAATTTACATAGGCTAGATACGATGTTCACAAAGTCAACCAGAACACACAGAGTCGCCCTTACTTGGATTCAAAGTTGGAGGGAGTTGCAAAGAACCTTACGCATCAGCTGACTCTATAACTTTGATTATACACCTTTGTGAGCAAAAAATTAAAAGCATGAGCTATGCATATATCTTTATAAACTGGACAAACGTACTACTGTATTTATAAATAGATATAAGCATACACAAGATAAAAAATTTTAAAGGGATGAAAGAGTATAATTTTAAGAGTAAGTTTTGTCAAAACTACAAAATACGTTTTCGTTTTGCTCTCAAAATACAGTGATTTGCATTCATGTTCTGTATGCTTAGTTTTTAAATACATTGAACACCGTGATAGCTTTGTATCAGCAATAGCTAAGCTAATATAACAAGGTACAACACTCACAAAGGTCAAGGGCCACTTTGCCAGTTATTTTGCAACAAGTCTTCAACTCTAGCCTTGGTGGTAAGGGTGGGGTGGCAAGAGGTCTGCAGGCTACATTTCCAAGATTCCCTTGCTAGCGGGTTTCCAGCTGGGGTTCTGCCAATAGGAGAATGAAAGTGGGAGGGAGGGAGATTTTTCTTCTTTTTTTTTTTTTGTATTGCAGGAGCACCTCTGCAGCAGCTTCCTGATCTCTTCTTCCTTTTGCAACTCCAGCCCATCCATTTGGTATTCCTAAATCATTTGTAACTAACTCCCTACATTACATTCTTTTCTGCTTGGAATATCTAGAGTTGTTTTTGATTCCACCATAGACACTAACTGAGTCATCATTAAAGACAGGGCATGACAAGCCATATTTAAAATGATACTGATAATTTCCTTTTTGGAAGGGCCAAGTTCTTTTCAGATCTGATTACATCATCACTGTTTGTCACCTCAAAGATTGACTGATAAACCATTTTTAGAAGCAAGAGAAGTTCAGTTTTTCACTTTCTTGTTCACATATGCTTGGTTTATTAGTATTATCTCTAATTGACAGTTTCTCTGCAGAAATCATTTGTTGAGACTGAGTTTAGTTAAAAATAGATACTATAATCTGTAAATCTCTGAATTGAGCACCAATGCTAAAAAGCTGAAAGCAAATGAAAACATGAAGGCACAACGCTCAACCCCTCTGTCCTGTCCCATTTCCGCTCTTCTGCTGAAAAACGACCGACTAGCACAGGAGCTGCAAAAAGATGCCAGGGTCAATCTACATAGTATTTCTAAAGCTCAGTTTCTTTCCTTTACTAGGTGCCAAACAAGATACATGTAAGTTTTATAATAATATAAATATAATAATTTTCCCCCTCACCCAGTGGGCCCTCTTGTAAACCATACTTTGACATCTCCATTATTTCCCAATGTCTGTTTTCACTACTTCAAACAATGGGGGGAAATTTGATGTTCAAATGTTTGTAAGTGCAGGATTAAACAAATTCCTAAAGCTTACTAATCTTGAGTATATTAAAGTGAAGTGTCAATTTAAGAGGAGGATATAATCAGAAACTACAAGTTTTTTAAACACAGAATCCTTTTTATGTGACCATCTCACCTAGTTAATGTTACAAAAAATTTACTGTGGAAAATGCTGACCTACATGAACTGATTCAAGTTTCAGACACTCAATGAAGATTTAAGGTACAGGAAATGCCACTTAGGGAAAAAAAACCTGACATGTCATATCCTAGTAAGAAGATGGTTTTCAGGGGTGCGATTTCAATGGAGTATTCTAAGAGATAAAAATAATCATATAATTCTTTTTGGCCCAGTAGATGGTTTCTGAATGGCAAGTATGACAGACATTATACCCAGATAGTTTGTGAACTAAAAAGATAAATCTGAATTTAATTCTTAGAATAGCTCCAAGAACAAAATTGGATATTTTCTTTACATATATACAGGTAAATTCATCTATTTGCCATAGGTGGGTGAAAAAACTGTGGGTAAATGCAAGGTAGTTTCTTTCTGACCAAATGTAGGAACATTGTTTTTCAAATACATATGCAATTTCCCAGTCCCTCTTTCACTTTTTTGTACAAATTTTTTTTGAATTTTTATTCTGAAAATTGCATTCAAAGAAGCTCAACTGTTAGAATGAAACACTGAGCTTCATGTTTATATAACTTTATCTGGCAAGACTTTCAAAACATTTCAACATTATATCGAGTTAAAATTTTTTATTAAAAGTCTTTATTATGCTTCCTCTAAATCATTCTTGCTGACCTGTGTTCGTTTATGTTTCTCAGTCTTTTAAAAGTCAATGTCCTCTTCTAATAAATAACAAAAATGTTATACTCTTTCTATAGTTGGTATTACACTACAATACTGAATATGTTTTTTAAAGCTATGCAGGTGCCTATCCTGGTTTACTCCCAAAAGAAATAATGATTAAACATTCAAATGCAATGTGGTAGATTATAGTCAATCTTTGTTTGGATGTAAAAATCTTAATCAAAGATTCATTACTATAATGACTCATTTTCACTATGACAACCTTAACAAAGGTTGATATCTTGAACTAAAATGTCACTTAATGTTAATTATCTTTATAGAGGGTGCTATAGCTTTATATACTAAGGAGTTCAGAATATAACATGTTTGTACTTACTTTATTCACCAGGGGTATGTATCTCAGACACGAAGCAGATATTTAAAAAGTACTTGTTTAAAGAAGGTAAATCTTAGACAATCAGTAAGGTACTATTATGGCTTTCTTCCCTGGCTTTCTTTCCTTTCCAATCTTCCCCTTCCCAACATAACTTTATTGCTTACCAACAATTCAGGCAATACGTGCTCACTGTGACAATTTCAACAATTGGAGAAGATTTTATAAAAAAGAAAATTAGGATAAAATCACGTAGATCCTACCATCCAAAAATAATGACTTAAAATATTTATTTAATGAATCCCCAATTTGGGACACTTGTTTCCAATCTTTTCCTATCTTAAATAATAGAGAGAAGCATTATTGTATATATATCATTGAGCACTGGTCTCACTATAATAAATTCCTAGACACAAAACTGCTAGGTCAAAGGATATATCCTTTTATAGTGCATTTGACATAAATTACCAAACTTCCCTCTAGAAAGGTAACAACTCTTTACAGCCTATGAAAGTGCAGTCTTTCTTGTACCCACTGTAATAAAAATATACACAAGGGTAGAAATCACAGAGAAGCCTGGCCCATAAAAGGATAAAAAAGGTGAGTCAGGAGCTACAGAAGCAGCACACCAATGAGGAAGAAAGGCAAAAACAACTAAGATCTATACTGTTTTACAAAGTAGAATAGAATCTCTATTTACACGTAGCTCTCAGAAAACTGTGTGTATTCCCATCCAACAGTAGAAAAGACTACAATGGAAGAGAACAAAGATGTGGACTTTAATCTATTTATCTAAGTCAGAAAACAACAGAAAAATACCTCTTCTGGATCATCTGAAACCTTACCTGTCCTTTAGTTTATTTTCCTCCTAAAGCATAACCAGAGGCTATAAAATGAAAGCTTGGCTGAATGCAGTTGAACTTTTACCTGGTTTGTTTAACTCACATAGTGTAGCAATTTCAAAATGTGAATGTATTTATATGGGTCATGTGCACTCCAGTTCACACAGTCTCTAACACTGACTTTCTTAAATTTCATTGTTCCACTCATTTAAGATATCTACTTAGCCCTAGTGGCATTTGCTACTTTCATATAAAATAACCATTCAAATATCATAAAGTAGTAGTTTGGTAGATGCTATCCTGTGTCACTTAATAAATGTTGATACTAAAGGCTAGTCTTTTTTTTTTTTTTTTTTTTTTTTGAGACAAAGTCTCACTCTTGTCCCCCAGGCTGGAGTGCAATGGTGTGATCTCGGCTCACTGCAACTTCTGCCTCCTGGGTTCAGGCGATTCTCCTGCCTCACCTCCCGAGTGGCTGGAATTACAGGTGCCTGCCACCACTCCTGGCTAATTTTTGTATTTTTAGTAGAGATGGGGTTTCACCATGTTGGCCAGGCTGGTCTTGAACTCCTGACCTCAGGTGATCCACCTGCCTTGGCCTCCCAAAGTGCTGGGATTACAGGCGTGAGCCACCGCACTCTGCCAAGGCTAGTCTTAAAGAAAATTTTCTTCCTAAACTCAGTATCAAAGGTAATCTTAAACAACAAAGTGGGATACAAAATTCCAACTGTTAATTGCTATTTGACTTAACTTAGGTATTTTATTTTCAGGAAACCATCACACTTATTACATTACAGATATTTCAAAACCCAAAACCCTTAGCCCTTTTAGCAACTGCTAATCACCAGCGGCAACATACACAGTGGTTAACAGTATGGCTCCTAAGCTAGACTGCCTAAGTTCAACACCTGGACTGATAAATTACTGGCTGCACCACCTCAGGTAAGCCAGTCTCTCTGCCTGTTACCTTATCTGTTGTAGTTTCTTCATAGGGTTGGTATGAAGATTAAGTGTCATTACTTACGAAGCACTCAGACCAATACCTGGCACAAAGTATACATAATATGTATGCAATAAATGTGTATATTGTATAATACATATAGTACATATAAGATACACAACAATAAAAAAGTCTTGAAATATAAATATACAATACTTTCCCCTTATTGGCAGGAGATATGTTGCAAGACACCTCCCTGCCCCACTTGGTGCCTGAAATTGTGGATAGTACCAAACTCTATATATTATGGTTTTTCCTATACATACATATCTCTGATAAAGTTCAATTTATAAATTAGGCACAGTAAGAGATTAACAAAAATAACCCATAATAAAATAGAATAACCCTAACAATATACTGTAATAACAGTCTGTGAATGTGGTCTCTCTCTCTCTCACTCTCTCAAAATATCTTGGTGTTCTGTACTCACTCTTCTTCTTTCTTTTTTTTTTTTTTTTTGAGACGGAGTCTCGCTCTGTCACTCTGTCACTCAGGCTGCAGTGCAGTGGCGTGATCTCGGCTCACTGCAAGCTCCGCCTCCCATTCTCCTGCCTCAGCCTCCCCAGCAGCTGGGACTACAGGCACACACCGCCATGCCCGACTAATTTTTGTATTTTTAGTAGAGACGGGGTTCACTGTGTTAGCCAGGATGGTCTCGATCTCCTGACCTTGTGAACCGCCTGCCTCGGCCTCCCAAAGTGCTGGGATTACAGGCGTGAGCCACCGCGCCCAGCCTCTTCTTTCTTTTTATCATGTGTCAATAGATCTGTTAACCAAGAGGGCTACTAAGTGACTAATGGGTGGGTAGCATATACAATGTGGATATACTGGACAAAGGAATGACTCACATCATGGATGGGATGGAGCAAGATGGTGCTAGGTTTCATCATACTACTCAGAAGGTTGCACAACTTACAACTTATGAATTGTTTACATCTGGAATTTTCCATTCAATATTTTTGACTGTAGTTGACTGTGGGTCACTGAAACTGCATAAAGTTTTAAAATTGTGGACAAGGGAGTACTACTGTACAGATGGTCCTCACTTTGCATGGTAGTATGAGACCATTAAAATGCCTGTGAAAGCTGAAATCAGGCAAAGTGATCTTAATAATCAATGAGAAAAATTACTGCTGTTCCATGACCTTTAAAATTTTTTAACACATTAAAAACTTTCTTATGGTTCATCACAAAGGTATAGAATAATTTTTAAAAATAGTAAAACTAATATTTAGTTAGTACATTGTAATTTAAAACATCAGCAACATTGCAACATTGAGAATTGAAGTGTTTTACTTCTTTGTAAAAATTTATCAAGGGTACTTTAAACAGTGGTTGCCTTCTTTTTGCCATGATATAACTTGCAATGTAGAGTGAACATCTTTTCTGTACTTTTAGCAAATTGTCATATTCCTTACTAAGTCCAGATCAGGTACTGTAATTCAAGCACCTGATGGCAAGGTGTGTAAATTCTCAGGTTCTTTGGAAACCTAAGACTCTATGATACAGAAAAGAATGAAGATATAAAAGAATGAAAAGAGACAAGCAGAAGACTTACATTGTATTGATGATTAGCAACAGGTTTGTAATTGGTTGTTACAACTTTGTCCAGCTGTTGTGATAGCCTCACTGGTTTGGAAGACTCTTCTATTTGCAATCTGAAAAAAAATATAAGGCATTATTAACACTCTTGTTTAGCAGAGTGAAATATGAAGAGTTATTATTTCTATAATTCTTATTCAATGAAAACTAATATATAAAAAGGTAACCTCAGAGGATACACTAGCTTTAATACTTTAAAAATGCACTGAATATACGTGACTATAATGCAGAAACCAGTACACAAGCTAAATATACAAACTAACTCATTATAATGCCACAATGTACTTTTCACCCGCTTATTATATAGGCAAATCTTAACCACTAAAACCAAGAAGCTAATCAGCCTTAAATTTCTGGGGGAAAAAATCTTCATGTAAAAATAAATCATCTTAAATTACATGGTCTAAAATCAATCAAGTTATTAATTCAAAATGTCTACTCAGCTGATAAAAGATAAAGGTAAATAAAAAGAGAATACATCAACACTCAAGGTTTACTGAACAGCACAGAGAGAGAACATTTCTATCATCACAGAAACCTCTATTAGACAGCACTGCTCTAGAACTACTGCAGGACACCATCTAAACTGATCCTGTCTCTACAAAAAATTAAGAAAAAAAAAAATTAGCCAGGCACAGTGCCTGTAGTCCTAGTTACTCAGGAGGCTGAGGTGGTAGGATCACTTGAGCCTGGGAGGTCGAGGCCACAGTGAGCTGTGACTGTGCCACTGCACTCCAGCCTGGGCAACAGAGAGAGACCATGTCTCAGAAAATAAAATATAACTCAAAACACTGCTTTTGAAAATATATGCCACCATGTATAGTATATTATAAAACAATAGCTGACTAGTACATGTATATTTAAGTAGCTATCTTAGGATATTTTGTTTTATATTAAGTATAGCAAGGCTTATAATCATTTACTTATTTAGAAAATTAATTCACTTGGTATATCAGCACAGTAAATTTAAAAAACTGTTTTAAGGAAGGAAAAGTACAGCTTTCTAAGCCAACTATTTTTAATGATGCAAAAGTTATCACTGTACCTTTTAAACTCATCAGCAAGATATCAAAATATAAGATTGCAGTTTTTTAAGAAAATTGCCTAACATATCTAGTTAGATTACAATTGAAGAGTAAGTGTAAAACATAAGCATTTTTGGACAAAAGCTTATGTTTATTATTTATAGATCCTCACTGAGAAACTACTCAAGAATTTATTTCAGTAAGAAGGAAAATGAATCCAATAGGAAGCAGTGAGATGCAATGGTTACAGCAAAAAAATTGAAAACGATGTTAGAAAATTGCCTTTAATTAAAAAAAAAAGGCAGTTTTTTTAAATGGTGAAACTAACATGAAAGATGGGAAGGAAGAGATCAGACTGGATGCATTTTAAGTTTGTTTTCTAAATGTTCTGCAATAAGTATTTACTACTTTTATAACCTGAAGAAGTACACTTTCTTAAAAAGAGAAGAAATACTATAATTCCTTGGATGGTTCATTTGAAAACCACAAAAATGCTGGCTATTAAAAAATAATACAAGTTTAACATTATGTATTATTTTATTTGAATGGGACTTTAAATTCTTTGGTTCAATAAAATAGAAATTAAAAACAATTTCCATTTTAAATTCCTTCAAAAGCAGAATTAAGTATAAAAGGTGTCTGTATAACATTCCTATTATTTAATTCCTTGGATGAAGATAATTCTCTATTTACTTCTGCTTATTTTCAGGTATATACTATCAAATTGCTGAGAAGATATAAGATATTTACCAATTGCCTTTTCAATTTGAAATCTAAAAATGCCATAGGTTTTGTTTTTACCAAGATCCCCAAATTCAGTATACTCATTTCTGTATGGAAATGTAAATATTTAAATTATTCCAGTTACATATAAATCCATGCTTATCCTTTAAATACACAAGATGATTTACTTTATAAAGTACAAAAAGTTCTCTGGAAGTGTCTTTAGAAACTTACTGGATATGTAACCATAAATAATACTTACAATTATACTTTGCTTTTCATGTGCCACACAGAGTTTCTATGAACAAGGATTAAATTTTCTTGCTAAGACTGAGAAATCAACTAGCTAGAGTCTAGAAGGGAGATGTGCAACCCAAGGATGGATTTAGATTAATGATTCTTCGATGGCCTCTTACTATTCTCGGGGTGCAGCACAAGTTCCTTCATAGGACTTTAAGACTCTTTGGGATCTAGTCCCTGCGTATCTCTCCAGTTCTCCTTACCATTCTCCTGTATCTGCCTCTGGCTGCAGCTGTGCCACAGCCAGACTCTGGAAGGAGCCTCTTGCTGTCAATTATCCAGCAAGTGTTTACTGGGTACCCACTTCTGCCAGGCACTGGGTTAGAGGTTGGAGACATAGCAGTAAAGACTTGCTCTAGTGGAAGACAAGCATTTAATACTATAATTAACTGCAGTACTGAAGATGAACAAGGGTGATGGAGGGATGGTAGGACAACTGACTGCATACTGATAAAAAGAAAATATTAATCCCAAGGTGTGCATTTTGAGAGTAAACTGGAGCAGAGCTGCTCATGCTTATAAGAAATAAGGCAGGCTGGGTGTAGTGGCTCACACCTGTAATTTGGGAGGTGGAGGCAGGCAGATTACTTGAGGTCAGGAGTTCAAGACCAGCCTGGGCAACATGGTGAAACCCTGTCTCTATTAACAATACAAAAATGAACTGGGCATGGTAGTGCATACCTGCAATCCCAGCTAGTCAGGAGGCTGAGGCTCGAGAATCGCTTGAACCCAGAAGGTGGAGGATGCAGTGAGCCAACATCGTGTCACTGCACTCCAGCCTGGGTGACAGAGAGAGACTGTCTCAAAAAAAAAAAAAAAAAAAAAAAGAGATAAGGCAAAAAGATTAGGTGGAAATGATTCCTCCAAGGAAAGTTATGTCAAAGCTTCTAAGAGATAAACCTTTAGAGAGAGAAAAAAGATTGAAGACAGATATAGGAATGTTTACAAAGTGTCGGGACAGCTAAATGTGTTAACTTGGTGGGGGATGGGAGTGGGTGGGAAACACAAGTAAGTGTCAGCCTGTTTCTGAACACACCTGTGTCCTAATCTTGGCCCCCCATCCTCCTCTAATGCAATCAGCTCTCAGGGGTTTGGCCTCTCTAAATGGTAATCTGTTATGTTGCCGCTAAATTATCTTCCCTGTTTCAGTCATCTCCACGATTTGATCTTATGAGACATCCAAGGAAGGAGGCATGCACTAGCTCCTTCCTTCCATATTAAATGATTGTTCCCATTACTTCACAATTTGAAAATTCCTCAGGGTTTCAGTTTGTTTAGTGAAGTGCTTCTTTATAAACGGTAGCTTATTCTGGTCACACTCTTACACTTGAATTTATTTGTAGCCACTGCATCCAGACTCAGGTTTATGCAGCATACTTTCCTTTCAATTTTAATTCTACAATTCTAAAAGCCAATTTCATCACTCATACAGTGTCATGCAGTTTTTATCCTCAAAGCATTTAACCTTTTACATAAAGGAAAACACTGATTTTTTTTTTAAAAATAAACTCATTTTAAAAATTTAACTGTTCTATCATACATTTAAAAGGCAACCACAAGGGTTTTAATTAAAAGAGGACAACTTATGATTCAAAACTAAAAAGGTTAATGTATGAACTGAAAATATAACAAAGAACTAAATCTTAAAATACTTTAACTCGCTTTGAATCGTTTAAAATAATTTAGCAGGGTCCTTAACACTAAATAATTCATTTAACACTATCTCATGAAGTGACAAGAACAACTGGCAACTCCATTTCATCACTGAACAATGTACTAAATTAAACATTACTGACCTTGATATGCTTTCAAAGTCAAGGTAAGGTTTATCTAGGTTTGTACAAAATAATATAATTTGGAAATATGTGGTTCGTAAAGCACCACATATTTCCAAACAAACTACACAGAGGTATTAGGCTGACTTGGGAGCAAGCTAAAAGGCTACCCTGACCATTTTAAAAAATGAGTCTCCACTTTTTCAGAAAATTTAAAAATACAGTGTTGTTTTCAGGAAACAAATAGAAAAATAATGGCTGATCACTTAGATACAGCCAGGCTACATTTTACTTTGTTTTGTAAACCATTAAAAAAATACTTGGTGCTGGCTGGGAGTGGTGGCTCACGCCTGTAATCCCAGCACTTTGGGAGGCAGAGACAGGTGGATCACCTGAGGTCAGGAGTTCAAGACCAGCTTGCCCAACATGGCGAAACCCAGTCTCTACTAAAAATACAAAAAAATCAGCCGGGCATGGTGGCAGGCGCCTGTAATCCCAGCTACTCAGGAGGCTGAGGCAGGAAAATTGCTTGAACCCAGGAGGCAGAGGTTGCAGTGAGCTGAGATCGCGCCATTGCACTCCAGTCTGGGCAACAAGAGCGAAACTCCGTCTCAAAAACAAAAAACAAAAACCAAAAAAACAAAACACACAAAAACAAAAACAAAAAAACAAAAAACAAAACAAAACAAAAAAACACAAAAAAAACTTGGTGCAAATTCAGAATATAAATATATATTCTTCAAATGCCAGGACTAACCATGCCTTCTGGTGTTCCCCATAGACATAGAGAAAGTGCTTGGAAACATACAGTACATCTATAAAATAATTGCTATTCTAGTCATAAATCACGCATATCTATTTGTCACAATGTAAGACTATTAAGTATCAAGTAACAAATTTAGTCAAGCTTGAACTAGTATTCATTCTAATGAAATAAAACTCCATTTATTTAAAAAAATCAGGCCAGGCACGGTGGCTCACGCCTGTAATCTCAGCACTTTGGGAGGCTGAGGTGGGCAGATCATGAGGTCAGGAGTTCGAGACCAGCCTGGCCAACATGGTGAAACCCCGTTTCTATTAAAAATACAAAAATTAGCCAGGTGTGGTGATGCACGCCTGTAATCACACCTACTCAGGAGGCTGAGGCAGGAGAATTGCTTGAACCCAGAAGGTAGAGGTTGTGGTGAGCTGAGATGTCTCCACTGCACTCATGCCTGGGCAACAGAGCGAGATTCCATCTCAAAAACAAATGAACAGACAAACAACAACAACAACAAAAACTGCAATTTTAATTTTAGGTAACTTCAGAATGGTATTCTTGGAAATTCAAGTTGGTGAAGCTTGAAAGTAGTCCCTAAATTATTTGCCTGAGTTATAACATCAAAAACACTAAAAATAAAATACAGGATACAGGTGGCCGGGCACAGTGGCTCATGCCTGTAACCCTAGCACTTTGGGAAGCTGAGGCAGGTGGATCATGAGGTCAGATCGAGACCATCCTGGCCAACTCGGTGAAACCCTGTCTCTATTGAAAATACAAAAAATTAGCTGGGTGTGGTGGCACACACCTGTACTCCCAGCTACTTGGGAGGCTGAGGCAGGAGAATTGCTTGAAGCCAGGAGGCGGAGGTTGCAGTGAGCTGAGATCCGGCCACTGCACTCCAGCCTGGGTGACAGAGACTCCATCTCAAAAACAAAACAAACAAACAAAAAAACCAGGTATCTGTCTAACAGAATAGCTTATATTCAGGAAGCTTAATTTAATTTGAGACAGTCTCTCTCTGTCTCCCAGGCTGGAGTGCAGTGGCGTGATACCAGCTCACTGCAACCTCTGCTTCCCAGGTTAAAGCGATTCTTGGGATTACAGGCATGCACCACCACACCTGGCTGATTTTTATTTTATTTTTTGTATTTTTAGTAGAGACAGGGTTTTGCAATGTTGGTCAGGCTGGTCTCGAACTCCTGTCCTCAAGTGATCTGCCCGCCTTAGCCTCCCAAAGAGCTGGGATTACAGGCGTGAGCCGCAGTGCCCAGCCAAGAAGCTTAACTTTTTTTTTTTTTTTTTGAGACAGAGTCTTGATCTGTCGCCCAGGCTGGAGTGCAGTGGCGCTTATCTCGGCTCACTGCAAGCTCCGCCTCCCGGGTTCACACCATTCTCCTGCCTCATCTTCCCAAGTAGCTGGGACTACAGGCGCCCGCCACCACGCCAGGCTAATTTTTTTGTATTTTTAGTAGAGACGGGGTTTCACCGTGTTAGCCAGGATGGTCTAGAGCTCCTGACCTCGTGATCCGCCCGCATTGGCCTCCCAAAGTGCTGGGATTACAGGCGTGAGCCACCGTGCCCAGCCAATGAAGCTTAATTTTAAAGTGAATTTACACAGAGTAAAATCTAGGAAGGCAAGTAGGAAATATATGGACTGTCGTAAGTATTTTAAATCCTAAGATTAATGAAAAATCAGAGAATTTTTGAAGCAAGGAATTAAATTTGTGTTTTAAAAATATTCCTCTGGCTACTATTTGCAGAATAGAATGGGGCAAAAATGGACATCACTGACTAGGAAAGCTACTGTACCAATCCAGAGGAAAGATAATATTCACTTGGAACAGGGTGATGGTAAAGGAGTGGGACTCAAGTTAAACAAATTTAGGAAATATTTTGAAAACAGATTCAATAGAAAGTGGTGCCTAAGTAAGATAAAGGAGAAATAAAGGCATCAAGAATAACTGGGCTCAAACAATATGATACCACCTTACTCCTCCAAGAATGGCTATAATTT
The DNA here is from genome assembly GCF_000001405.40 of Homo sapiens. Lineage (NCBI taxonomy): Eukaryota > Metazoa > Chordata > Mammalia > Primates > Hominidae > Homo > Homo sapiens. The sequence goes on along the minus strand of NC_000013.11, from coordinate 45,246,326 downwards.
AAAAAATAAAAAAATAGGCCGGGCGCGGTGGCTCACGCCTGTAATCCCAGCACTTTGGAAGGCCAAGGAGGGCGGATCACGAGGTCAGGAGATCGAGACCATCCTGGACAACACGATGAAACCCCGTCTCTACTAAAAAAAATACAAAAAATTAGCCGGGCATGGTGGCGGGCGCCTGCAGTCCCAGCTACTCGGGAGGCTGAGGCAGGAGAATGGCGTGAACCCGGCAGGCGGAGCTTGCAGTGAGCTGAGATCCGGCCACTGCATTCCAGCCTGGGCGACAGAGCGAGCTCCGTCTCAAAATAAATAAAATAAATAAATAAATAAATAAATAATAGATGTTGGCGTGGATGTGGTGAAAAGGGAATACTTTTTTTTTTTTTTTTTGAGATGGAGTCTCGCTAGTCGCCCAGGCTGGAGTGCAATGGCGCAGTCTGGGCTCACTGCAAGCTCCACCTTCCAGGTTCACGCCATTCTCCTGCCTCAGCCTCCCGAGTAGCTGGGACTGCAGGCACCTGCCACCACGCCCGGCTAATTTTTTGTATTTTTAGTAGATACAAAAAAGAGTGGATACAAAAAAGAGTGGATAAACAAAATGTGGTGTGTGTGTGTGTGTATGTATATGTATATATATATATATATATATATATATATATATATTCACACCATGGAATACTACTCAGCCATAAAAAGGAAGAAAATAATGGCACTTGCAGCAACCTGGGTGGAGTTGGAGACCGTTATTCTAAGTGAAGTATCTCAAGAATGGGAAACCAAACATTGTATGTTCTCACTTGTAAGTGGGAGCTAAACTATGCAAACGCATGAGAATGATACAATGACTTTTGGGGATGTGGTGGTGGGAGAGGTAAGGAAAGGGAGGATGAGGCGTAAAGACTATACATTGGGTACAGTGTACACTATTTGGGTGATGGGTGCATCAAAATCTCACAAATCACCACTGAAGAAATTATACATGTAACCAAACACCACCTGTTCCTCAAAAACCTACTAAAAATTAAAAAAAAAAAATTTTAAAGAATAACTGGGCTCAGATTTCTGGCTTCAGCAACTATAACCTACGCAGGGTAGACAGACTACATCTCTGTAAAACTGTTTCCTATGGGATTCACCACATTTTACTTGAAAATTTGTAAATTATGTGTTCCATTTTCAGATGTAGAAAAACTATTCCAGTTGAAAATAAGAGAAGAAAAATTACCACCTTCTATTTTGAATTCTTAATGTTTTACATGAAGATATCAGTTTCTCTTTCTGTCTCACACTTATATTAAAATAGATACAAACATCTGATGTAGAAAGCTTCAAGAGCAACTCATTTCTCCGGACAAGAAATAAGGACCAGCTGGGCACGGTGGCTCATGCCTGTAATCCCAGCATTTTGGGAGGCCGAATCACTTGAGGTTAGGAGCTCGAGACCAGTCTGGCCAACATGATGAAACTCCGTTTCTACTAAAAATACAAAAAATTAGCCAGGCATGGTGGCTCACATCTGTAATCCCAGCTACTCAGGATGCTGAGGCAGGAGAATCGCTTGAACCCAGGAAGCGGAGGTTGCAGTGAGCCAAGATTGTGCCACTGCACGCCAGCCTGGGCAACAGAGTGAGACTCTGTCTCAAAAAAAGAGAAAGAAATAATGACTAACAATGACTATCATTGTATAACCTTGGTCATATAAAATTAAATAGCTTTGTTACTATTATAAGGAAACAGTCAAGATCAACTTCTTGAATTACTAGTCTTTCTATTATTATTATCTAAAGAGTAAGTTTAAGCTCATATTTTTTCCCATCAAAAAAACAAAGCTCAAGGGCTACCTAGCATAGAAATACAACAAGAATAAAATGACAACTGTAACAAAAATAAAACATTTAAAGAACACTTACTATGTGCTGGAAACTGTGGTAAGAACTTTTCCTATATCATCTCAATATCATTTTTTCCTCATAGTAAGCAAAAACAAAACAAAATTGGATTTTTCTCTTTTCAATCTAGGGTTCATGCTATTAATCCTAACTCTATATGGTCCCATAAAAGGTCATATAACAGAATAAAATCTCTAATAAAAACTTCACGAACTTAGTTCAAAGTAATTTCTCCTTGACAGTCATCAGCCTCCCTACAACTAATACAATTCTATACACACACAGAAAAAGCACATTCTCCTTTATAACACTGAAAAAAAAGACTCCTAGTAACTCAGTGTCACTAAGTCATTGCGACATAACCATGGTTCATAATCACCCTTGTCAAAATTACAGTTGGGCCACTGTATATGCATATTGGGTACCTGCAGATTCAACCAACTGTGGATAGAAAATATTTGTTTAAAAAAACAAAAAACTGGCAGGGCGCAGTGGCTCACGCCTGTAATCCCAGCACTTTGGGAGGCCAAGGTGGGTGGATCACTTGAGGTCAGGAGTTTGAGACCAGCCTGGCCAACATGGTGAAACTGTGTGTCTACTAAAAATACAAAAATTAGCTGGGTGTGGTGGCAGCTGCCTGTAATCCCACCTACTCAGGAGGCTGAGGCAGAAGAATCGTTTGAACCCAGGAGGTGGAGGCTGCAGTGAGCCAAGATTGTGCCACTGCACTCCAGCCTGGGTGACAAAGCGAGACTCCGTCTCAAAAAACAAACAAAAAACCCAAAAACAACAATAAAACAAAATGGATTTAAAAAAAAACAGTAAAACCACTACTTAAACAGCATTTACATTGTGTTAGGTATTGTAAAGTAATCAAGAGATGATTTAACATATCGGTCCCACAACCTTTTTGGCACCAGGGACTGGTTTTGTGGAAGACAATTTTTCCACCAACAGCGTGGAGGGTGTGGCAAATGAAACTGTTCCATCCCAGATCATCAGGCATTAGTTAGATTCCCATAAGGAGCACGCAACCTAGATCTCTCGGAGTTGCAGTTTACAATAGGGCTCATGCTCCTTTGAGAATCTAATGCCACTGCTGATCAGACAGGAGGCGGAGCTCAGGCAGTAATGTTCACTTGCCCTCTGCTCACTCCACCTGTTTGGCCTGGTTCCTAACAGGCACGGACCAGTATGCGGCCCAGGCGTTGAGGAACCCCTGATTTAAAGTACACAGAAGGATGGAGGTAGGTTATATGCAAATACAACACCATTTTATATAAGGGACTTGAGCATCTGAGAATTTTGGTATGTGACGGAGTCCTGGAATCAATCCCCTGGGGATACCGAGAAACAACTGTACTTCATTATTACACTTTGTGAAAAGTTATGTACTATACTGAGAATTTAATTTGCAAATTACTGTGTATATTCTGAAAATACAAAATTCATGTAATAAAAATAATAGTAGCATATACATCCTCCAAGTATTTTACAGGATGAACACTGGTAAGACCTAACTAAACGAAAAAATGCCAAACTCTCAATCTAAACTGCTGGCAGATTTGGAAGAGAAATCTGTAAGTTTTAGTCAATAAATCCTCCATTTATCTCATTTCTAAGTACAGCATTTCTCACATAATAGCAACTCAATAAATATTCTTTAAGCAAATGAATAAATGACACCTTTGTTAGACAATTAGATCACAAAGAAAAAGGCTGAGTCCTATATTAACAAATACTATAATTCTGCCTAATTTAATACATGTGGACTATTTTCATGTCTAAGCAAAAGCCCTAATACTGCCTTGCTAATCTTGTTATCAATGGAATTAAACAACTACAAAAACACTAAACAACAAATGTTTCCACCAGCAACTGTCAATGTAGAAGTCATTTAAAAACATAAATATATCACTCCAGCATTCATCTATCTTTTGTGCATTTGATTGCAATTTGTTATTTTTTAAAGGATAGGTTCTACAAAAGAATGTGTATTTTCTAAACATGTGTATTTCATTTTTGAAAGGGGGAGACGGAGGCTGACATTTGCAGGGTGAAAGGAGGAAAAAAGTTTTCACAGCAAGAAGCAGGAAGAGCAGTAGAGTTACTGAGACTGCCCGTGAGTGAGAGCACACATACTTGGCCCAAAGTCAAGTTAAAAAAAAAAAAAAAAAAAAAAAAGAAGTGCCAGCAGAAGACGCAGCTTGGAAGGCAGACAGAAGGCCAGGAGAAAGGCCAGGTGAAGTAATAGGGTGAGGGTTGAGCTGATTTACTAATATGAAAAAGATATGAAGAAGCCTAGCTTTAAAACAGCACCTTTATAGGAAGTTTCAATATTTTGGGAGTAAGATGCTTTTCAGAGGACTGCAATAGTAAGTATACGTCAATCTATTAGAAGTGAATCTAAGTGGCAATGAGGAAATTTTAGGGCTTGGAATTAACAAGTAAATGTATTATATCCTTATCTGGCAGGGCTACTGAAGGGATTACAGATAGTAAATATTAAATTACTTGGGCAAGCATCTCTTACAAATATTTATTAATTATCTGTAAGCTTCATGAAAACAGGGACCATGATCATATGCCTAGGGCCCAGAACAGGCATGTAAAACCCAGTGCGTTGAATAAATAAATAAGGAGGAAAAAAGAAGAAAAGTCTCAGGCTCCATTTCATCAGAGAGGGTTATTTGGTTTTCAAATCATAAGGCTTACAGTAATATATGCTAACATTTAGATTCAGCATTTAAGAGAATAGATATAAAATGCATTAAGGCTTGCTTTTCACTCTGTAGGAAATAGCCAATAAAGGAAAATACTCCATTATTGACTTGAACTGTCCAATATGGTAGCCACTAGCCGTGTCTATTTAAATTAATTAAAAATAAATAAAATTAAGAATTCGCCTCCTCAAGGACACTAGCCACATTTCAAGTGCTTAATTGCCACATGTAGCTAGTGGCTATCATACTGGACAACAAAGATATAACACACTTCTACCATTGCAGAAAATCTATTGGATGGTGGAAGAGAATCACAAACTCAAATGTCTACAGGGGCCTGTCCAGTGCAGTAGAACATAAGAGAGAGAAGCTGGGGCTAGAGTGAACCAGAAAATAGAGAATATGCTCCACCCCAGGTGGGTAGCAAGTACTCAGCTCTAGCTGTTTATCACCCTGTAGGAATGTAGGCACAGTGTTTATTATCAGATCTTCTAACTATTTAAGAATGCAGATATATATATATATATATATATTTTATATTTATTTACTTTTTTTTAAGGCAAGGTCTCATTCTGTTGCCCAGGTTGGAGAGTGCAGTGGTCTGTGGTATGATCACGACACACTGCAGCCTCAACCTCCTGGGCTCATTTGATCCTCCTGCCTCAGCTGCCCTTGTGGCTGGGATAAAAGATGCATGCCACCACACCCGACTAATTTTTTCTAATTTTTTTTTTTTTTTTTTGTAATAACAGGGTTTTGCCATGTTGCCCAGCTGGTCTCAAACCCCTGAGCTCAAGTGATCCGCCCACCTGGGCCTCCCAAAGTGCTGGGATTACAGGCATGAGCCACCATGCTCAGACAAGAATTTATAATTTTCTTTCCTTTTTTTGAGAGGTAGTTTTCCTCTTGTCACCCAGGCTGGAGTACAACGGTGCGATCTCAGCTCACTGCAACCTCCGCATCCCAGGTTCAAGCGATTCTCCTGCTTCAGCCTCCTGAGTAGCTGGGATTACAGGCGCCCACCACCATGCCTGACTAATTTTTGTATTTTTGGTAGAGACAGGGTTTCACCATGTTGGCCAGGCTGGTCTCAAACTCCTGACCTCAGGTGATCCAACCACCTTGGCCTCCCAAAGTGCTGGGATTACAGGTGTGAGCCACTCTGCCCGGCCAGTAATTATAATTTTCTGTGAAATCACTTAACAAATATTGCTAACTAATTCAATTTTTAAAATGAGCAATTCTCCCATACCAAACCAAACCAACAGAAAACCCTTTCAAAACCAAAAAAACATACACTAGCTACACCAGGCCACTAGTTGGCTGTCCTGATCTATATATATCTATATTCCAGGGGTTTTTTGTTTTAAACAAAGCAGCAACAAAGAGTTATTACTAGAAGCAGCAAAGTCATGACACAAGTGGGAAATAACCACTGGCATCAAGACTACAGTCTTATGAAAGGAAAAGCAATTCCCTTCCCTTCCATCCCCATGCTCCCATCCTAAGGTGAATCCATGAGTTGGCTGATGGGCTCTCCTAGATTGTTCTTAGGAGAGTGCATGGCAGTTGGTGTTCAGGCTAAGAACTAAAAAAAAAAAAAAAAAAAAAAAAAATCCCTCTACATAATACAGAAATTGGAACATTTTTGGTATATAAAACTAGCATCTTCATAAGATTCAACCTAATAGCTCCCTCTTAGTGAAAGACTTAATACTGAGTTGAATTCTTCTATATTCTCATATAATTCAAATCCCTAATTAAGTCCTGGCAGAATTGTGACATGCCCATGACCATAAAGCTTGTAAGGGGCAGAGTGGGGGAAAAAATTCAAGATTCCTTGTTTTGTGTTCATCACCTGTATCATAATTGCATCTTAGATATAATGAAGCAATGCAGGCATATTTTAAAGCTTATTAAATATATACTATCCCAATTTAAAATATTTATAGCTATTTAAGAAAATATATAATGTCCACACTATGTCCATTATATGCCATAAAAATACGGCAGCTTACAGTTTTGGGTAATTTCTTATACATCTGATTCAAATGTGTTCCGAAAGGGCCTATGCCCAGTGAGGGAATGATGATTCACACTGGACTTGGTTTTCTCCAAGATTTCTGTTAGAAACAACAAGCACCCACAAGTTTTTGGTATGTGTTGAGTAAGGTCAAATAGATGACAGACTAATGGAGTCTTTTTGTGCCTGTCTTGTTTTATTTTTTTAAATTACTGCCCAACTTCTGTTTTTCAAAGAAACACTGTAAGACTGTCAATCCACTGCCTAACTATCACTTCTTTAGGAAGAGTATATCACCAGCATTCCAGAGAGTCACTATATTACCTCTGTTAGCTAGACAACACAAGATTTCCACTAAACAGTCCAAAATATAAATATCTTAACTTATGATCAGAACATTTCTACTATCTTACGTAGTTTCCTTATCTCTTAGATTCTTTCCTTTTGAAATCTCTTTATCTGGAACTTGAAGGTATGTTCAGGGGATACTTTTACCTTAAGCAGTGGCGTTACTTCTAAGTCACCAGCACTCTGGTTGCAAGCAAGCACACAGATGCCCAAACTGGGGAGGGGCCAGGGAGGCAGGCAGCTCACCTAACAACTGCTTCTCATGAATCTGTGAGCAACAAGATACCTAAGACTGTACTGCCTGGAGATTTTGTCCAAATAATTATACATTTTGATTACTTTCAATTTATTCACTGCAATATATATTTTTCTTTTCCTTTTTTTCCTTTTTTTTTTTTTTTCGAGATGGAATTTCGCTCTTATTGCCCAGACTGGAGTGCAATGGCGCCATCTCGGCTCACCGCAACCTTTGCCTCCCAGGTTCAAGAGATTCTCCTGCCTCAGCCTCCCAAATAGCTGAGATTACAGGCATGCGCCACCACACCCGGCTAATTTTGTATTTTTAGTAGAGACGAGGTTTCTCCATGTTGGTCAGGCTGGTCTCGAACTCCCAACCTCAGGTGATCCGCCTGCCTCGGCCTCCCAAAGTGCTGGGATTACAGGCGTGAGCCACTGCACCCGACTATTTTTTTTTTTTCTTTACTTCAAGTCAGGCATGATGTGTCATGCTACTTTATGAAAGTAAACTGCTTTTCATCTCGAAAGTTCGGATTCCAAAATAAATGTGTGTGTGACAGGGAAGAGGAACAAGGGAGTGGGAAGAGGGAGGGGAGGCATAAGGGACAGCATGTGATAGAAGAAACTTACTGCTAATGCTTTTCCTGTTAATCACGCACTCTAGACACTATTTTAGTACAGGCATAAAGCAGAAATATATGAGGGGAAAAAACGTTGAGCTGATCAGGGACCATTTATTACTCCTCAATACATGACCAAGTGGCTATTCTTTCCATGATAGAAATAAAATCACCTTAAACTCCAATGGATGATGAATGAGAAAATACTTGAGTTTCATTCTTTAAAAACTTTTCAGGCCGGGCGTGGTGGCTCATGCCTGTAATCCTAGCAGTTTGGGAGGCTGAAGTGAGTGGGTTACCTGAGGTTGGGAGTTTAAGACCAGCCTGGCCAACATGGTGAAACCTCTTCTCTATTAAATATGCAAAAAATCAGCCGAGTGCAGCGGTGTGCACCTGTAATCCCAGCTACTCTGGAGGCTGAGGCAGGCGAATGGCTTGTACCTGGGAAGCAGAGGTTGCGGTGAGCTGAGATGACGCCACTGCACTCCAGCCTGGGCTACAGAGTGAGACTTCATCTCAAAAACAAACAAACAAACAAACAGAAACCTTTTCAAACTCTAACTCCAAATAAAGTGCCTAAATAATTTGATATGGTTCCCAGGAGTGGGGATGAAAGCTTTTCTATCAGAAGAACCAGTAATGTTTATAACTCAATATTAAAGAGAGCAAAAATGAAGTATCTTTTGTTTTTGATCCATGCCAGTAACTTTGCATTAAAAATCAGAGACTAAAGCAAATTCATGGCATACAGAATAGCCTTAAATAATACTTAGAGTAAAAGAATGTACCATGGTATGGCAGGTCTGAAACCAAGCTCTGATTTTAAGTTACAGGTCCATCCCTAGGTGTGACCTTGGTCAAGTTATTCAACTTCTTTAGTCCTTTGGTGCTCTCATGGAAAACAATGAGAATTATAACAGAAATAAGTGAGATAACCTTTATAAAACACTTAGTAAATGGCCTGTCCCATAGTATGTATTCAGTATATTTTAGCTATTATTGTACATCTTATTATCACTCCAGTACCCATATTGAACAGAAATGTATGGGAGTTATTTGAATAAGCACAACTTTTAATATTTATTTAGTTTACATATTGGATTTTAGAATCAAGACTTGTAAAATCTGTGTTCATCCTTTATGTATTCTGATAGGGGATATTTAGCTATATTAGATCAGAAAGCACTATCTCTTCTGATGTTTTCAAAGATTAAAAAAATTTCTTCCTAAATGTCATTCAGCTGCAGGTAAAACATGCAATGTTCATGGAAGTGCTAATTATAATCAATTATAATTTAACCACAGCACCGAAAAACATAAAAATATGGCAGTTTACAGCTTTGGGTAATTTCTTATATATCTGATTCAAAGAATTCACTGATCTTTAGGTATAATATTTTTTAGATTTAATCTTTTAGGGTACTCAAATCAATTCGTCATATGACTTTCAACCAGTAGTGAATAGAATGTCTGAGTTTAACAAAAGTAGAAAAAAATCATTTCATTGGAACATCTCCTGAAATTATACAGATTACTCATGATAACCATTTTTTTAACTAGTCTCAAAAATTATTTTTCTCAATATTCCTCGTCATATTAAAATATGACTCAAGAAGGTTATATAATTTTCTTCACAGGAGACAGGGTCACTTTCAGACAAACTGCATAGTTGGTGCAAATGAATAAAAAGTAACTGTTTTATTCCTCTTCTGCTCTTTATCATATCACAATTATCTATTTTACTTAGACTAGTATCCCCATTTTTCACTTCCTCGACCCTTTTGGTTGATTTTCTATACAGCTCTAGATTATTTCATATGCATTATTTTTACCTCAACAGTCAAATAGGCTAATGCTTTTAGGGAACACTAAACAGTAACACTTAGGCACCTTTCCTCCCATAATCCCAAAAGATTAGATTTTTATACTCCACACTTATCTACACTGAGCCTCATAAACTTGTGTGTGTGTGTGTGTGTGTGTGTGTGTGTGTGTGTGTATGTGTGGCGGGGGGTGAGGAATCAATTTAGAGAGCACTTAGCAATCTTCTTGACACCATCATTTCACTATACACAACTCAGGAGATTTCACTATCCATTTCTTCTCCCAGATTATTTTCATAAATAGAAAGTCAGTTATGCCTAAGTACAAATTCTAGGGCCTCCTACTGCTTAAACTCTCCCATTTAGATAAGTAAGTCATTCCTGCCTTTTGGTTCCTTGCCAACTCCCCATCTACAAGAGTCCACAGAGTCCCATGATGGTATGTATGACTCAGAGGAATGAACAGTTTAGGGGAACTGCAGGCCATAGACAGTGGGCCAGACCAGTGTGATGTATTTGGGACTGCCAAGCCCTTGAATATTCTCAAGTCACATCATATACATTTTGATTAGAAATACTTGGGAAATGAATTCTTTCTCTAGAAAACAATTAAATGCATCTAGATAGTGGCATCAGGCACAAGACTACTACAATAAGACCTCCTTTCAGTCCCTCTTTTCTATTTTTGTAATTGGTTTTTGTACTTTTTGTGGTAAATAGTAAAGACTTACAGCAAAGGTTAATACAGAAAATAAAGTATCTGGCCATGTGCGGTGGCTCATCCCTGTAATCCCAGCACTTTGGGAGGCTGAGGGGGGCCGATCACCTGAGGTCAGGAGTTCGAGACCAGCACGGTCAACATGGTGAAACCCCGTCTCTACTAAAAATAAAAAATAAATAAAAAAAAATAAAAGCCAGGTGTGGTAGTGGGTGCCTGTAATCCTGGCTACTCGGGAGGCTGAGGCAGGAGAATCACTTGAACCTGGGAGGCGGAAATTGCAATGAGCTGAGATCACGCCACTGCACTGCAGCCTGGGCAACACAGCGGGACTCTATCTCAGGAAAAAAAAAAGAAAAAGGAAAGAAAGCATATGGACATAATTTCAAATTTTACTTCATCAAATCTCCATTTAATTTGCTAATTTCATTAGCATTTCAAACTGCTAATCAAACATTAGAAAAAAAAAAAAAGATAAGTGCCTCCCACTACATATGTCCTTAAGAAGTCAGAAGAAAACTCAAGCCTATCCTGTGCCAAAATGATGAACTATAATGCATTACTTGTCAGAAAACGTTAACAGCTCTTCCTTTTCATAAAGAATTGAAATGTATTCATTAAGGATGAAGTTTGGTTTTGAGAATTTAGTCTCACAAATATTAATTTTTAAATAAAATTGTTTAAAAATTAAAAGAGAAACTGCTGGAAATTACCGGTAATATAATAAATTAATTCAGTTTCATAACAGAAACACTAATATTTATAAGTTTACCATATTGACAAAGTGTTGACAATAATTACTACTGTAAGATTTTCTGTTTTCACAATGTTGTCAGTTCATGTTATTAGCCTTCTCAATAAACATTCAACTATGACCTTTTTTTTTTTTTTTTTTTTTTTTTTTTTTGAGTTTCCCGCTCTTGTTGCCCAGGCTGGAGTGCAATGGCACAATCTTGGCTCACTGCAAGCTCTGCCTCCTGGGTTCAGGCGATTCTCCCACCTCGGCCTCCCGAATAGCTGGGATTACAGGCATGCGCCACCATGCCCGGCTAACTTTGTATTTTTAGTAGAGACGGGGTTGCTCCATGTTGGTCAGGCTGGTCTCAAACTCTCAACCTCAGGTGATTCGCCTGCCTTGGCCTCCCAAAGTGCTGGAATTACAGGCATGAGCCACCGCACTGGCATGACCATCTTTTTGTAAGCTGCCCAAAGTGCATATTTACTAACTGATATATAGGTTTCTGGTCTGGTATAGTCTGATGAGGAATTATGCAACTCTGACATTAAGTTACCTGGCCAACATGCAAGTTTTTCTTTTATATTGAACCCATGGATAGATTAAGAACTTAATAATCATTTTATAACTTTAATAAAATAAATATTTTTGCTATTAGTAGGAAAAAGGCATTATAAAAATGTTTAAGCCAGTTTTTTTCCTAAATATACAAAATATCTGATTCCATTCAAACAGATTTTGTTAAAAAGCTAGTCTTAGTACAAAAGCAATTCAACTTAGCATACAGGAAAAAGATTTGTGAACAAGATGCTTGTGAAAATAGTTGATGATTTACAAATCTAGACTCTGTATATTATTTTATGTGCACTGCTAGCTCTATTTACAAACAGCTTTATGTTTCAGTCACTTATTTTATATCCTATAAAAACTACAAAATGCAAGGGATATCAGACTATTCTTCACATAGCTCTGGTTAGTCACAGAATGACTATTATTATAGGACCAAAACAAATGTATAAAAATGTTTTCTGCATCATCAACATGCATGGATGGTAAAAATTATAATACAGGCTATTAAAGCCATAATGCATGTTCAAGAAGTGATGGACAAAATCTGTTTTATTTTTTTAAGCTGTTAATATGATGATCTGCGTTGCTTATGGCCATCTTTGCAAATGTTGCTTTGGTAGACATCTTTATAGTGGGAGACGATGAGGTTGATTCACCAGTAGGAAAACATAAACTCCTATATTATTTTTTTCCAACTGTGGCAATGGTTTTGTTTTTCATTTTTGTTTTTGAGACAGAGACGCGCTCTGTTGCCCAGGCTGGAGTGCGGTGGCATGATCTCGGTTCACTGCAACCTCGGCCTCCTGGGCTCAAGTGATCCTCCCACCTCAGCCTCTTGAGTAGCTGGGACTACAGGTGCACACCATCACACCCAGCTGACTTTTCTATATTTTGTAGAGATGGGGTTTGCCATGTTGCCCAGGCTGGCCTCAAACTCCCAGACTCAAGGGATCCTCCTGCCTTGGCCTCCCAAAGTGCTGGGATTATAGGTGTGGGCCACCATATCCAGCTAGCAATTGTTTTATAATAAGTTGTATTCTCCTGTTTCCTCTATGACTGGCTAAAAGTTCATTCACAGTGTTGCTAGCTGAGGCAAGGGCAAAATCTGTGTCCATGGAACAGTCTACAGTGATATGCTCAATTGGCAACCGAACCTACAGCCTTGGTTTCCTAGTAATAGCCATTCAACAACTGAGTTAGGTAGGAACAAATGAAACATACATATCGGAATGAACACGTGCCCATGTTTCTTCTGGTTAATTATGAAATTAAGAAGGATTTGAGCCTGCTGTGTTTTTATACAGATCAAAATGAGAATACAGATGACTAAACGGAAGTGGACTTCTATGGATTTAATTCATTCTTATTTTAAATTGTTTTTTTATATTGCAGAGATGGGGTCTCACGATGCTGCCCAGGCTAGAATGCAGTGGCTTTTCGCAGGCACAATCATAGCATATTACTGCCTCAAACTTCTGGGCTCAAGCCTCGGCATCCCCAGTAGCTGAGAATACAGGCATGTACCACTGTACTCAGCTTTGTGGATTTAATGCATATACAAGGTAGAGCTTAAAATATGGAGTACGTTTCATAAAAGCAATTTAGATATAAAACGAACTTGGTAGTTTAAAGTGAGCCTTTACAAATTTTGTAACAGATGGTCAAGTGATCATCTTTACATCATTTAAGATTAGATCAGATTCTTGAAACTGTAAACACTATAACCATGAACAGGCTATACTAACTTCTCCAAACAATGTCTATCAAAGAAAATGTATTTTCTGCAAAGTACACACTTACACTATGTGAAATCTGAAGGAGATACATTTAAAAAGTAAAAATATATTTATGTAACTGTTAGTTTCAGTAATGACTAAAGGAACTTATGGTGGGTGGGTAGAAGGGAATGAGGTAATGCAGTTCAAGAAGGCTGACCTAACAGAAATTACAGAATAAAGACTGGAAAAATTACTATAATGAGAAGTGTTTTTCTTCATTTCTTTTTTTCTGAGACAGGGTCTTGCTCGTCACCCAGGCTGGAGTGCAGTGGCGTGATCATAGGTCACTGTAGCCTCAACCTCCTGGACTCAAGCGATCCTCCTGCCTCAGCCTCCTGAGTAGCTGGGACTATAGGTACATGCCACCACACTCAGCTAATTTAAAAAAAATTTTATTTTTAGTGGAGACAAGATCTCACTGTGTTACCCAGGCTGGTCTTGAATTCCTGGGCTCAAGTGATCCTCCTGCCTCAGCCTCCCAAAGTGCTGAGATTATAGGCATAAGCAATCATGCCCAGCCAAGAAGTATTTTCAATTTTCACATTATACTAAAAACTGAAGTCTTAAAACCAGAATTATTTATTTAAAGCTAAGCACCCAAGATGGTTAAGAAATCTCAACTTCTAACCCTCTGATCATCAACTTCTTTAACTCCTAAAAATGTTTAGGTTAGAAATTCAATAAGCTGCTTATGATGATGGAGGCCATGTTTCTCCAGCCAGCTACTCTGATATATGTAAGTATGAATCATTTTTTCAAATTAAAATTTCTGTAATCCTATGACTATGTGATAAGTGCCAATGGAATACAATGGTGGGATCAAATAACTTCTATTCAGCAAATTTAAAAATACTATTCTGCAAAATTCCTGTTGCCTCTGAGTAGAAATCAGAATTATTAGCTGCATATCATGTCAAACTGCAGGAAGCTACCCAGGCATACACTAACCGAGACAATGTTGCTATGGTGACTAAGTAAATATAGCAAATGGCTACTTCATTAGTGACTCCATGAAACTTTAAATGCTAGAAAAATAGATGGGAAATACCTGGCAGTATGTGGCTACCAATGTGAGCTGGGATTCAGAGAAAAATTCTTAAAAGAGAAGGTAGTTTTTAATATGCTGTTTGAAAATTAAGAAGTTTTCTTGTGCTAACTAGAGCCAAATCAAGCCAGGAAAAAAAAAATGAGAGAAAGAGTAGTCACCCTTTCAAGGAAAAGACCTTCATTTACGACCAGTTGTGGTGCTGATACTGATATTAAAGAGTGAAAGCCATTGGGAGTATCATTTAGGACTGCAAAACAGGAAAGGAGGACTCCCTATTGATTCATTGCTCTGTGGACGTGGTTTCAGGCCATATGGTCTCTCTCTCTCCATTGAGAGGATGAATAGAAGTGAGAGAATTTCTGTACATATTTCAACTTTGAATAATTTAACTTTAAATTCAAGAATGAAAATAGGCCGGCACAGTGGCTCATGCCTGTAATCCCAGCACTCTGGGAGGCCGAGGTGGGCAGATCATGAGGTCAGGAGTTCAAGACCAGCCTGGCCAATATGGTGAAACCCCATCACTACTAAAAATACAAAAATTAGCTGGGCGTGGTAGCATACGCCTGTAGTCCCAGCTACTCGGGAGGCTGAGGGAGAAGAATTGCTTGAACCTGGGAGGCAGAGGTTGCAGTAAGCCAAGATTGTGCCACTGCACTCCAGCCTGGGTGACAGAGCGAGACTCCGTCTCAAAATTAATAAATAAATAATAAATAAAAAAATAAATAAATAGAAGAATAAGAATGAAAATTAAAAAATAAAAGCTGGATATGAACTTCTGTGATACAATGACAAACAATTAATACTAGAATTGAACCTGAAGAAGTTAAATTATCTAGCATTCTACATACTTCTACTCCAATCTTATAAAAAACAAAAGCTGCAAAAAAAACCCCACAAAAGCTGCAAACTAAAAAAAACCCAAACTTAAACACTTCTGTCTTATCCTTATGAATTTACATTGTCACTAAGAACTTTTAGCTGACACCGTGTAGGAATTAACAAAAGATATTCTTACATTTTAGTAGATGGTAGTGGTATTGTGACCTTTTGATGTTACAATGCCACATAAATAAAAACCCTAGTTCAAAGTAAAGTTATAATTACATGACATGTAGCTAGTTATGTATAACATATCACTGTAAACAATTTTATCTCAAAATGGACAATATATAAGCAGTACTAGTTTTAGTTAGACTTTTCATAAAACTACCAGACTATTTTAAAAAAAGACTGGCAATATACTCAACTTTCTGACTTGTAGTAAATACAAGACAATGCTATGGTTGTTTTTGTCCTTGCTTTTATATGTGTAAACCTTGAGACGAAAAGCCATGCTTACCAAGTACCTCAATGTATCCTCCCATATTTCTCCTACTAAAGTCCTTGTAATCCTGTCCACTTTACCCCAGTAACTTGTGCACACCACCACACAAAAGATTCTCCTCCAACCACCCTTTCCAGTACTTTCCAGTACACCCTCTGCCTTTCCAGTACTTTGTATCTGAATGGCTTTCTCATCAGCAGTGCTTAAGACATACCAATTAGTACTGGAGTTACCTCTCCTACCATCCTTTTTGTTAATTTTTTTTTTTTATTTTGAGATGGAGTCTTGCTCTGTTGCCCTGGCTGGAGTGCAGTGGTGCGATCTTGGCTCACTGTAACCTCCGCCTCATGGGTTTAAACGATTCTCCTTCCTCAGCCTCCAGAGTAGCTGGGATTACAGGTGTGTGCCACCACGTCCGGCTAATTTTTCTATTTTTAGTAGAGATAAGGTTTCACCATGTTGGCCAGGCTGGTCTCAAACTCCTGACCTCAAGCGATCTGCCCACCTTGGCCTCCCAAAGTGCTGGGATTACAGGTGTGAGTCACCGCACCAGGCCTCTCCTACCATACTTAAGCACCCTAACCACACATAGGTTGCCATTATTAAACTTTTACTCTATTTTTTTATGTATTCTACTTTCCTTGTTAAACTGAAAGTATGGGGGCAGGGGAGAGGAGAAAAGAGGAGGGTGTGACCTGTACCTATTAGTCCTTCTAAGTGTTCTGAATATTTCTCAAATAAAATGTAAGAGATGACAAAATACATCCTTACATCACTACATTTTTTCTTCTGGCCAGGTTTCCTTTCTGTCGACAGCTCTCTAACATCTGGCCTTCACCATCTTTCCTACCTCTTTTCTTTTCCTACCTTTTTTCTTCACACTGGATTCTTCACAACCTCTCTAATTTCTATTAAATATTAATACATATTTATACTATCTTCTCATGAGCCTCCTTCTATCCCCAAAAAAAGCCTCTAATTTCAAACCAATATCACATTTCTACCATCTCCCAACAGCTTAAAGAGATAAGTATAATCACAGTGTGTAGGAAGAGCTGCCATGGAGAGACAAGTGAAGCACATGGGAAGAGGGGGCAGCTGCCTGGAGGAGGATAGGGAGGCTTTTCCGGAGGTGATGGCCTTGCTAGGAATTTGCTGTACAAAGAAGGCGGTGGTGGGAGGTGGGGGGAAGTAAGGGGCAAAAAAAAGGGTGGTAAATTTCAGGAAGGGTGTGCAATCCACAGAAGCTCAAGAAGAGACAGTGAGAGAGAAAAAGAGGGAGCGAGGGGAGTGGAGGGGAAGGGAAGAGCCAGGTGCGGTGGCTCATTCCTGTAATCCCGGCACTTCGGGAGGCCGAGGTGGGCAGATCACCTGAGGTCAGGAGTTCAAGACCAGCCTGGCCAACATGATGAAACCCTGTCTCTACTAAAAACTACAAAAATTAGCCGGATGTGGTGGCAGGCACCTGTAATCTCAGCTACTCGAGAGGCTGAGGCAGGGTTCATTTAAAAATGAGGATTGGTTGGGTGTGGTGGCTCATGCCTGTAATCCCAACACTTCAGGAGGCCATGAAGGGCAGATCACCTGAGGCTGGAAGTTCGAGACCAACCTGACCAACATGGAGAAACCCTGTCTCTACTAAAAATACAAAATTAGCTGGGCGTGGTGGCGCATGCCTGTAATCCCAGCTACTTGGGAGGATGAGGCAGGAGAATTGCTTGAACCCGGGAGGCGGAGGTTGCGGTGAGACGAGATCATGCCGTTGCACTCCAGCCTGGGCAACAAGAGCAAAACTCCGTCTCAAAAAAAAAAAAAAAAAAGATTAACTCTGGCAGCAATAAGGAGAATGAGGCGAGATAAGCAGAGACTAGTGTTTAGGGAGAACAATACCCAAGGGATGAGGAGAAGCTGCTCAGTGCCCATTGGTTAAAGGGAAGAACGGTGTGTGAGCATGGTAAGCAGACAAATGCTACTGGTCTCAAGAGGTTTCTGGGGGCCTAATCTAAGTCTGGCCCAGCGTCAGGTACTGCTCGAGAAATGAAAAGGAAAAAGCTACAAGCTACTGGAGGGGTGGGCAAGATAGACTAGTACCTAAATGAAAGAGCTTCTGGAATGTCAAAGGATTCCTCATTGGTAATTCCTATAATTTGTCACCTTGTTTTCTGGCAACAAGAGTGAAACTCCGTCTCCAAAAAAAAAAAAAAAAGATTAACTCTGGCAGCAATAAGGAAAATGAGGCAGGATAAGCAGAGACTGGTGTTTAGGGAGAACAATACCCAAGGGATGAGGAGAAGCTGCTCAGTGCCCGTCGGTTAAAGGGAAGAACGGTGTGTGAGCATGGTAAGCGGACAAATGCCACTGATCTCAAGAGGTTTCTGGAGGCCTAATGTAAGTCTGGCCCAATGTCAGGTACTGCTCAAGAAATGAAAAGGAAAAAGCTACAACCTACAGGAGGGGTGGGCAAGACAGACTAGCAACCAAATGAAAGAGCTTCTGGAACGTCAAAGGATTCTTCACTGGTAATTCCTAGGATTTGTCACCTTGTTTTCTAGCCTTCAGTCCCCCTTCTTTGTATGGCAAACTCATCCCTTGGGCCATCACCTCCCCAGAAAATTTTTCCCTTATTCCCTGGGCATTTGTGCCATTTCCCCATGCACTTTACTCATCTCTCTACTGCAGAGGACTCAGGATTCCCACAGCCTCCTAAAAAGTGAGCACCAGCATGGTGTTAAAGAAGGAAAAATAACCCAATATGTCATTTAATTACATTCCATTTAATACATTCAGAATGTCTGTCACCTATCAGGGACTATGTTAACTACTGATCTATATTCCTTTTAAAATACATTAGTAAAAACTTTTAAAGAATTCTTCAATGAAAGCAAATAAAGGCAAGACTATCACAGAGAAAGCCTAACTCAAGCAAAAGTTTTGCGATATTTGTTTTTTAAAAAAGTTTTGAGATATAAGTGACATATAAGCTGTAGATAAAGGGTACAATTTGATGTTTTCACATATGTATATGTCTGTGAAATCATTTGCTATTCTTAGAAAAACTGTCCAGCCTTATAACCTAGGTTCTTCAATGCTGAATTTTGCTCTCCCTGTGGATAAACTGAAGCAGAATATATAAGTTACTATCTATCTCTGATCAATAACCTGGAAACTGTATCTTACATTTTTAATTGAATATGAAAATATATATCTATATACAACTCAATATGCTCTTCTAAATTTCATATGCTAATAAATACTTTTAAAATGTCAACATACTTTTGCAGGCAATATAATTATATACCTTAAAGAGAAAGAAAAAATTGAAAAATGAAATAATACAAATATACAAAAATAATTTTCCTATAATCCAGCTATATAATATTTTTTATTTTTGAGACAAGGTCTCACTCTGTTGCCCAGGCTGGAGTGTAGTGGCATGATCACAGCTCACTGCAGCCTTGACCTTCCAGGTTCAAGAGATCTCCCACCTTGGCCTCCTATTTCTCCCCAGTAGCTGGGACTATAGGTGTGCACCACCATGACCAGCTTATTTTTAAATTTTTTGTAGAGACAGGGTCTTACCATGTTGCCCAGGCTTGTATTTTTTAAAGAAACACATTTACAATAGCAACAAAACTATAAATACACAACCCTTACCAGAAAAAGGTTCAACCCTCTTAGAAGAAAACTATATACTGCAACTGAAAGATATAAAAGAAGGCGTAAATAGACAGCTGTGTTTTTGAATGGGAAGATTAAATATTCTAAGAAGTGAATTCTTCCCAACTAATTTTATAAATTTAGAGCAAAAAAATTTTACTGGAGATTTTTGAACCTGGGAAAAAAAAGTGTTCTAAAATTTGGACAAGGAAGACCAAACAGGTAAGAAGAATTAAGAAAAACATTTAAACAGAAGAACAATAATGGGGAATATAATATTCTAAGGCATTAAAATATATTAAGCTACAATAATCAAAATAGTATGTCTCTGATATAAGATTGGAATGACAGAATGGAAAAAACTGCTTAGAAACAGACCCTATGATGTATAAGAATGAAACTTTTAAAGTGCCATCTCAAACCTCTGAAGGAAAGGATTATTCAAATAAAGTGCTTATAAGAGAAAAAGGCCCACCCTCTAAGATATGCTGATGGGGAAAGTTACCAAAAAGAAAGTTAAGTTAAGAGGTAGCTACACAAATTACAACCAACAGCGTAAGTTTAGAGCTATAGTTACAACATGATATATAGCCTCAAATTTCCTTTTGGTTAGGTAATACAGTCACATGGTACTGAATTCGTATCACACAAAAGGATACATGATTATAAATAAGTCTCCCCTACCCACCCAGACCTTCTCTTTGGGGACAACCACTGACCCAATTTCTGGTGCATACTTCAAGATATATTCTATGACATTGCTTTTTTTTTTTTCCGGATATAATCACCATTTATTTTACTATCACAGCCCATAAAAGGAAGAAAACAGATGCATTTTTCCTAATTCCAACAGAATCTGCCAATTCTTTCATACTTGTTGAGTTAATTACAATAAGATTGATTATAATGCTGATGAAGAAATTCAAATTGAACTTCCTGTAACAAACAATGAGGAAACAAAATTTATTGAAACAAATAAGTACAACAGGCACCACTGTCCCAATATTAAGGGTTATATGACAATAATCCATTGTAGCAAAATATCAAGATATAGCTGGGAAACTTCTTAAATGCATTTGAAGATATGGTCTATGACATTTCATTTTTAAAGAAGTACTTGGGTGGAAATATTTTGCCTTTGCTCTGGCTTTCTAATCACGGTTGTCTTTGGGAGACAGCTTGTCATAGGCCAAGGCTATTCTTTTTTTTTTTTTTTTTTTTGAGACAGAGCTTCACTCCTGTTGCACAAGGCTGGAGTGCAATGGCGCTATCTGGGCTCATTGCAATCTCCATGTCAAGCAATTCTCCTGCCTCAGCCTCTGAGTAGCTGGGACTATAGGCACCTGCTGCCATGATGCCCGGCCAACAGGCCAACGTTATTCTTATAGGAAAGATTAATTATTGGTAGGGTGTTTAAGAAATAAGAAATGATATTTAAAGTCAACCAAAGTATTTAGTCATTTTATCTCAACATGAGGGTCATAAGGAAAAACATTAAGTGATTGATTTCAAAAATAGGGTTTTGAGATAGTTTAAATTACAGATGAAACGGCAATCAGGTCGAATATGACATTATATTGTTCTTGTCCATATATTATCCGAAAGTTGTACCTCCTTGTTAAGAATTCTTTATCTGCCAGACTACAGAATATATTTCTCAAAATATGTTCTAAGGACCACCTACATCGGAATTGTCAGGGTGCCTATTAGCAATGCATATTTCTAGTCCCAACTCAGACCTGTTGAGTCAAAATCTCTGAGGGCCAGGCCATGGAATCTGTAGTTTAGTGAAGGCCTCAGCTGATTTGTATACACAAACATGAAAGTTTGAGAACAACTTGGTACTAAGCCCCATAAATACAGAAATCCTGTCTTTCTTATTCACTGCAGGGACAGTGCCTAGCACAATGCCTGACAAAGATGGTATCCCACAAAATATGTTGGAGGCTTCATGAACATACATTGAGATTGACTGCAGAATATCTTGATATGTTGTCAACACTGAACTGATTCTGAAACTGCATGCTTCATCCATGATAGAGATTTGAATAAAAATCAGAAAAACAAGCTTTGGCAATCAACAGCTTAATAGAGTTCATTTACTTGCATAATTCACTTTCACAGCAAAACACTTGGAAAGATGTCAGGAAATTTAATTAGCAATACTTTATTATATATCTGAGTTTCAGATAGATGGTACAAGTGTATCACATTAACAACAAAGACCAAGTGACCCAAAGGGAGTGTTCCTCCAACTAAAATGAGATATTCTACATATTTTCTATTTTGTGATTTATTAAATGCAATGACATCTGCCCTAACTAGAATCAGAAAAGAAGAAGGGAAAAAAGGGCATCTCAGCAACCAAAACAGATGTCACAGGGCCAAACATGACAGCTCTGACCACTTGACTCATAGGCAAGCCCATCAGACCTTCACTCAGAGTCTATTCAGTCTTCTTTTACACACACTATTCATTCTAGTGGAATTTTTAAACTGGATTCTTTGCTCACAGGAAATTAAAAACACTAAATCAGAAGGAAGAGAGAGGCTGCAACAGACAGTAACACAATCAACATGACAAAATGATACCTGATAAGAGGGGACTGAAGAACTACATATAACTCTCAAAGGACTTGCAAAGCATAATACTCTGGGGCCATCTTGTAAAGGGGCAAATAATCCTACTCTTCTTGATGGTGTATGAAGGCATTTGCCATATAATCAAAAAATGGGTATTCATATGAAAAACTAAGTTACAGAGAAAGTTAGATTATGTTCTCAACAAACTCTTCATGAAGTATGGATACAGTTTAATATATAATATAGCTTAGAAAGATATTCATTCATTAAAGTGAACTAAAAATTTTAAGTTACAAACTTTTAAAGGAGTTTAGTAACTATTTTGAAAACCCAACTACTAGAAATAACTTACTCCTCTAGAATTTCAAGAAGGGAAAATGGTATTAATGTACCAAACCAACAGAGATAATTGTCAAGACAAGACATCCTTTAAGATTTTTAGTTCTTTGTTAACATGCTTAGCAACAATTCTTATTTTATATATTTGAAGGACTGTATAGCACAGTACTGTCATTTATTCACCATTTAGAGCTGACATGGGGGATTACTTCTAGAAAAGTCATAGTGCAGTATTCTATCAGTTATTTTCATCTTGAATAGTTTTTTATGAAAAAGGAATATCTAAAGTTTTGTATTTAAAAAATGTGCTACTGAAATGCGTTAATGATAACACAAATAGAAGTATAAACTGCTAGTAATTTAATGAACTACAATAAAACACCATATGGCATTCAATATAATTATGTAATAAGAATTGAAAATTCTGTGAACAATAGCATTTGGCCATCACCACCCCCACTCCCTCCAAAATTGGTGTGCGTACCCGACAGGATTGGTAAACAACAGATTTATAAATTAATTTTATGTATTTCTTGTTCGTATTAGCCTCATAAGGGGTGCACGCATGCGCACGTGTTTTGTTTCTCCTATACAACTGCATCATTTTGGATTATAAAAATCAACTTTTTTTTTTTTTTTTTTTTTTTTATTGAGACAAGGTCTCCCTCTGTTACCTAGGCTGGAGGGCAGTGGCATCATCTCAGCTCACTGCAACCTCCTGCACCTCCTGGACTCAAGTGATTGGCCCACCTCAGCCTCAGGAGTAGCTGAGACTACAGGAGTAGCTGAGACTACAGGCGTAGCTGGGACTATAGGCACACACCACCCTCAGCTGCTTTTTTAAGGTTTTTATAGAGATGAAGTCTCCATAAAATTATTCAAGATGAAAATAACTGATAGAATACTGCACTATGACTTTTCTAGAAGTAATCTCCCATGTCAGCCCAGAATGGTCTTGAACTCCTGGGCTCAAGCAATCCTCTTGCTTTGGTCTCCCAAAGGGCTGGAATTATAGGCGTGAGCCACCGTGCCCAGCCAAAATCAAGTCTTAAAAGCTAAAGGATCTAGCCATAGTTCACGAAGCAGGTTTAGTATTTATCTTTTTGAAACTACACAGGATGTTGCATGTCAAAGAACAAATTATCTACAGTGAACAACTCAAGGGCAGGAAAAATGTCTTATTCATCTTTTCATTCCTGAGTGTCTGTTATATAATAGATGTTCAAGGTTTACTGAATGGGTTTACATGCATTTCTGAAGCTTGGGCTGTAAAACCCTTGGAATTACAATATTGATTCTGAGGGGAAAAAAAATGTGCTCATCCTATAGTATTAACCTTAGTTCTAACAGGAAATGACATCTTTAATTCCTTATCCAAGCTAAAGTACATTTATGTATCATGATATGTTATACTAAAGACATGCCATTTTAAAGAGAAGGGGGCTTCTTTCATTGAGATTCTAAAATTAACTTGGAATACATTAAATAAAAGTCAATTCAATTTTATAAGGACTCAACAAATAAAAAACTTAACAAGGGAAGGGCCCTTGTTAAATTCCCAAATAAACAAAATCCCAAAGGATTTTGTTTGTATTGTATGTATTCCTTTTGTTAACAGAAAAACATTGTTAACTTCAGATAAATCTCCTAAAATGAAAGAGGCTAAAAAGGTTATGATAAACATTCATTCGTGCAATGAATACTTACTGAGCACTATTATGTATGAGACACTATGCTAGGTGGTGGAGATATAGTCAGTATGTCATAATTAATTAATTAAGGTAGTCACACAATGGTAAGTGTTAAGAATACAATAAACCTGAGTAATGTCATAGCACATAATTAGGTGGTGGTAGTGGCGGCGGTGGGGAGAAGTCTATACTATTTCACCCAGCAGTGGTCGAGAAAGGCCCATCTGAGGAGGTTCCATATAAACTGAGAGAACTGCATGGTTGGAAGGGGGCTACCAACTGAAGATCTGATGAAAGATATGTGTTTAGACAGAAAGAAGGGCCCTGAGATGGGACTATACTTGTTCTTTTTGACAGATAAAAGGTGGCAACTATGGCTGCTGTCTAATGAATGAGATGTGTAGTGGAAGAAGAGGTTAAAAAAGCTTCAGGATCAGATCAAAGTTCTGAAGGCCAGATGATGCAGGATTTGTACATTTTATTTTAACTGCAATAAGCAGGGAAGTGGTATGACTAGATCTACACTAATGAGTCTGACCTGTGAGGGATGGTCCATAGGGGGAAGGAAGGAGCTACTACTTAGGAGGTTACTGCAGTAGTGGAGGCAGGGCCAGCTTCATGAAGAGGGAGCCTGTGCAGTCATACTGGGACCCCACTTGGAAGGGCCCTGAGCTTGATTTAATGCTCCACTGTCACTGATTTCATTTTTATTAAAATTTCTATAGTTTTGGGGGGTACAGATGGTTTTTGGTTACATGGATAAGTCCCTCAGTGGTCTTTTTGAAATTTTTAATAATGTATGAACAAAAGGCCCCATATTTTCATTTTGCACTAGGTCCTGCAGATTATATAGTCAGTCCTGAACTTATATTCTGGAGCAAAAATGGCAGCTTAGAATAGTGTAGTAGGATTCAGGGTGTATTGTGTTGGTACAACTAACAGGACTTGGTCATTGACTAGATGTGTCTTGTCAAGAAAAGAAGAATCATGGATAACTCCCAGGTTTTTTACCTGAGAAACTGCGTAAAAAATGGGTAAGACTGGGGGCAGGGAGGACACTGCATTAGAGGTGGGCTAACAACCAAGAATTCAATTTTACGCATGTGAAGTTAAAACACGAAGGAGACATCCAAGTAGAGCTCTGAAGGGGAATGGTGTACATGAGTGTAAAGCTCAGGAGAGAGGTCTAGAGGGGTCTAGGCCAGAGATACAAATTCTGGGGTTTCTCTCTCTATATATATACACACACAGACACACACACACACACACACACACACACACATACATTTTAAGCAGATGGGATCACTTACCAAGATAAGGTCGGAGGCAAAAAGTTCAGACGGTAAGTAGGAGCCTACAAAGATGACTAAGGTCAGTAACCAAAGGAGAAGAATTGTACCAAAGACAGAGCCCTGAAGGAGACCTAGGAACCCCCCTCAGAGTAAAATACACTCGATCAGTGACTCTTACTAGATCAAGTCTAGCCCGTTCAGTCTGGCACAAAATAAACTACCATCAGCCCAACCGACCAGGCAATTCTATGTATTCCTTTTTCTGTCCATCTCGGCTTTACCAGGGTGACCTCTACTAAGTTTCCCAGAACACTGCTATTGTTTTATCCCTTCCTTGGTTGGGCTGTGCCATTCCTGCCTGGGAGCCCTCCCTCCACTCTTTATCTAGTCAAAGTCTACTGATACTTATATGGTAGTATAAGTATGGAAAATACTTATATGATGAAGTTTGACTTCTGAAATCTAGTATTTACTGCCTGTGCCAATTTCTCACACAGCATAAAATAATACCCTAAATTATTAGTTACATTAAATTAGTATGATCAATTTTCCAAGAAACATAAGATCTGGTTGCTTTTTAATGTTACACTGCTTAGTATACACTAGATGCTCAGTAAACATCTGTTAAACAAATGAGTAATAAATGGCACTCTGAAGCTATGAAATATAGGGAAGTAACAAAAGCAGATAAATCAACTTGGCATGCAATAGCTTAAAAAAGAATGAGTCATTGTGATCAAACCCTGGGCAGCTTGTAGGACACAAATGCATAAAGCCAAATCACATGCTTTTCATTCCTTTCTTTACTTAACAAGTATTTATCACGCACCTACTAGGTGTCAGGTACTCTTCTATTCATGAGAAACACACCCATAAATGAATCAGACAAAAAAGGTCTTTGCCCTAATGGAGCCGCGTTCTACTGGGAATACTGCTCATTGGCATATTTTGTTTTATGTAACCTCACCACGCCCATATATGTCATCCTTTCCCGTTTTTCTGACATGTACTATTTTTCAGTTTGAAAAGTTTCTGCCTGAACATTATTAATTCCTTCCTTTGGGATTTCCTCAAATATATAACACATTAAAAGAAAAAGGTTTTAGACATTTTGAGGCTTTCAAGTCATAAAAACAAAAGTGTACAATATATGACAATAGAAATATCTGGGGTACATTATAGATTAGCAGATCTTCAAAACAGCACAACTACTAGTTCATTAAAACTACCCACACACAGCATTAGAGATTTCACATAAACTTCAGAAAAGTAAACTTCACAGACTCGTAAAATCATTTAATGTCCTACCTCTCCTGCAGAAATATGGAGCTTTGAAATTCAATTCAATCATGCTATCAAAGTTCGCTTTTAAATTAAAAAATCAGAAATTAGATAAAAATTCCAAACTAAAAGAATGAGACCATTTTACATCTTATATGAATCTTGTATTTATTTTATAATGTAACGGAACCATGGTACTAACAATGTTGGTTTAAGTTGTGGGACTTTGAAGGTCATTCAATAAGAGGGAGGAGAGAGACAGTACCAGCTGCTCCTTTCTCTTTTCCTACGAATAAGCCAGGCAACCTTTTGAAACTGAAAGCTGAAAGAGGTAGCTTGTCAGCTGATTCCTTTGGAATCAATCAGATGTGGGTTCAAATTCCAGCTTTGCCATTTACAAATCATGACCTTGGGCAAATCGCAACTTTTCTGTGATTCAATTTTCTTTTTTGTGAGAAAGGAAATGAGATTTTTTTTTTTAAGGATAGTCACTAAAAAGAACTTCTAATTCATAAAATATGAAGCCATATAAAAGTGAGGGACCCACTATGCAGGCTGAACCATTCTAGCTGAAAGTCATTTCCTTTGAGCAGCCTTTTTTTTAAAAAAAACAAAACAAAACAAAAAAACCCCCAACATCTTCTCTTTCTCTACTTAGAAACTCAAAGATTCCTTAAATAATTCAAGTTTTCTTTACAATACATCCCATGGCAACTGCATTACAGTCTCAAGCAAGACAGATAGAATGTAACACACTTAGGAGTCAGGTGTTCCTGTACTGTCAGTGACAAACTACTAGGAATATTTAAATCCTGATCATCCCAAAGTCTAAATTAGTTCTTCCTAATAGTAAGCTAAAGACTTGATTAACAGCATTTAACAATCCCAGACCATTCGGCACCCCATCAATTCAATTCCCTAAATGAGACCCTTTTTCTTGAACAAAGAACATGTGGTATCTTTTCTGCATTTTCAAATGTTTCAGAAAAATCAAAGACCAAGAATTGAAAATTCCAGTGCCTGCAAGGACAGGCAAGTTTATTTGAAATTACTTAAATTTTAAGTAAACTGGTAAGAAAATAGGACACATTGGCCTGCAGCAAACTGGAGGGTGCAGCCCCTTCCTAGATCAGCCTGTTTTATAGTGCACAATGACGTTGTGTTAAAGGGGCACATTCACATGAGAGATGGCAATTATCGTGTCAATTTTCTGACAGATGGCAGTAATTTCTTGTTTAACAAAATCTGTAAATTACCACAATTTTCTGACAGATAAAAATAAAAACACTTGAGGAAGGAGCACCTTTTTCTAATACGTACAAAGATGCCATATGGGCTAGTCAGTGACTGTCCTGCTCCTGCCTAAGGGAATTTGGTCACTTCTGTGGGTCACCTTCAGCACCCATTTTAAATCCTCAGAACAGATCTCTAACAAATGCAGCTAGGTCAGATCTGCCCATTTGGCCCACGAAGCAGAGATGGTTGTCCTGGTGACAAATCCTCCAGCAAACTAAAACGATTCCTTAATTTTGTGTTTGGGGCCAATCTATAAATGGTTTAATTTCAGTGAGTTCTCTTTCTTTCCCATGGGGAGAAAAAAATCTGCCTACTCAAATTACTTGAACAGGTAATCTAATGGCTTTTATTTCACACTTAGTAATAAAAGGTTTAAAACCAAATACCCAGTTTGACTTATGCCCATTCATTCTTAAAATATATCCAGAATTGACAGGCTAGAAAAGATCAGAACAAGATAAAAAGTAGACACCTAAAGACAGACATTGCTAAGGGGAAAAAGTAAAAACAGGAGATGCCTGGATAATAAAGACAAACTTTCCATACTTCATAGTTTTGCCTAAGGTTAACCCTGTTGATTTTCAACTGTGAGTGAACAAAGAGAAACTGTGTGCTGAGGTATTTTTATCCTGCAAAGCTGTAAGGCTTTGTAGAAACACCATCACATGCCAATACTGCTTCTCAGGACTTATAATTTGAATTTTAAACAAAGCTAACTAAAAAAGAGTATCAATTCTGGAGATTCATTAACCAAGGTGTAACTATAAATCCTTAACTTTAAAATGCTCATCTTTGGTTGCTCTACTAGTGTTAACTGAACATAAAGCTGTTAGAATGAAGATGAACAAGATACAGTCCCTGACCTCAAGGGGCTCACAATCTAGCACAGACAGAAACAAAAGTAATAAAGGTAAAATAAAAAGCAAAATGTGAGTAATGGTTTATTTTAAAAAGTGTAGCTGGAGTTTGGTGGACATGGTACTTATTCTGTGTGAAGAGAAACGGTCAGGGAGATTTCCCATTTGAGCTGAATCTTTTTTTTTTTTTTTTTTTGAGATGGAGTCTCGCTCTGTCACCTAGGCTGGAGCGTGGCGGCGTGATCTCGGCTCACTGTAACCTCCACCTCCCAGGTTCAAGCAATTCTCTGCCTCAACCTCCCGAGTAGCTGGGATTACAGGTGGCCACCACCATGCCCAGCTAATTTTTCTATTTTTAGTAGAGACGGGGTTTCACTCTCTTGGCCAGGCTGGTCTTGAACTCCTGACCTCATGATTCACCTGCCTCGGCCTCCCAAAGTGCTGGGATTACAGGCGTGAGCCACTGCGCCCGGCCCATTTGAGCTGAATCTTAAAGCAACCAAGAGCACTGCAGACATTTAGGGACATGAAAGCACTTGATGCACTTGGGGAAGAGTGAAAATGGCTGGCTTTGATATGGTGCACACCTGAGTTAAAATGGCAGCAGAATAAGATGAGGTCAGACCCCCACAAGGAAATTCCTGTTCTATAGCCTTAAAAACAAAAACAAACTTTGGGCCGGCGCGGTGGTTCATGCCTGTAATCCCAGCACTTGGGGAGGCTGAAGCGGGTGGATCACTTGAGGTCAGGAGTTCGAGAGCAGCCTGGCCAACTTGGAGCAATCCTGTCCCCACTAAAAATGCAAAAAAATAGCCAGGCGTGGTGGCGCATGCTTATAATCCCAGCTACTCTGGAGGCTGAGGCAGGAGAACTGCTTGAACCCAGGGGCACAGAGGTTGCGGTGGGCTGAGATCACACGGCTGCACTCCAGCCTGGGTGACAGAGCAAGACTCTATCTCAAAAACAAAAAAACAAAAAAACAAACACAAGACTTTGATTAAAAAAGACGTACAGCCCCACATATTAAAAATCACACATTTGGGTATGTCAGGAGAGTCACTAACCACGGAACACAAGAGACCAGGCAGAAGAGATGGGGAATTCCAAAGAAAACAAGAGATGTTCAGGGTGAGACAACACTTAGCTACTGAAAAAACTCCTTCACTCCCCCTATCTTAAAGTGAAAATATCAGAGATCACAAGAAGGAAATATACATATATATGTATAACCTTTGAGTTTTTAAAATTATTCCAGTGCCTTCTTTTTTTTCCTCTTGAGACAGGGTCTCGCTCTGTTGCCCAGGAGGGAGTGCAGTGGTGCAACCTCAGCTCACTGCAGCCTTGACCTCCAGGCTCAAGCCATCCTCCCACCTCAGCGTGCACCACCATGCTTGGCTAATTTTTGTTGTTGTTGTTGTAGGGATGGTGTTTCTCCATGTTGCCCAGGCTGGTCTCAAACTCCTGGGCTCAAGACTCGGCCTCCCAAAGTGCCGGGATTACAAGTGTGAGCCACTGCACCAGGCCTCATTCTTTATACACATTCCCAAGAGCTTTTACAACCATTTGGAAGTCCTTGTTTCATCACAATAGTAAATCTTCAGGGGCAGTCTACAGCTCAAGGCTGTGAAAGAGACAGCTGCTATGGCTCTTCAGAGGAAAGAGGGTGATCTCTACCACTGAGTTTCCCTAAGGAGTCTTTCTTAAAACAAACAGTTTTAGTCTTTTTTTTTTTTTTTCAGACAGAGTCCCGCTCTGTCACCCAAGTTGGAGTGCAGTGGTGCGATGGCTCACTGCAACCTCTGCCTCCTGGGTTCTAGTGATTCTTCTGCCTCAGCCTCCCGAGTAGTTGGGATTACAGGCACCTGCCACTACATGTGGCTAATTTTACTGTATTTTTAGTAGGGACGGGTTTCACCATGTTGGCCAGGCTGGTCACAAACTCCTGACCTTAGGTGATCCACTCGCCTCAGCCTCCCAAAGTCCTGGGATTACTGGCATGAGCCATCACGCCCGGCTCAGTTTTAGTCTTTTAAAAAATTCTGGGTAAAACACCTTGCCTAGTTTTCTGTTATAGTTTTATTCCAAAGGTATTTTTATACTTTTATTACAACCATTTATAAAATGTTTTACATTATAAATTAGTGCATTTTTAATGGAGACATCCAGTGCCTGCTTTCATTCTCAAAAGTATCCTGTTTTCAATGATAAATTATATGATCATCCTATTTATAATTCAGCTTATACTTCTTGGAACAGCAATGTTTCTGATTTGGGGATATTTGCATTAAACTTAGCATCCTTAACATTTGAAGTCTGAAATGAGCACTTCTCAAAGCATTTCCTCTGAACATCATGCCAGTGCTCAAGTAGTTTTGGATTTTGAAATGATTTCAGATTTTTGGACTAAGGATATTCAACCTGTATCCCATTCAATATTTGAGCTAGTATTTGAATGTTTTATAATCATATGGGAACCTGTGTTTCTATAGGAAAAGGGTTTTCTTAGGTTTTTGGAAAAAATCCACAAACACTGGAATAAAAATAAAAACTTTTAAGACAAGTATTTTCAGATGAGTTAGTGACATAAACATACAGAAGTCAAAAAGCCATATAATTTCATATTTCTATGATTTTCCTGTAAGAAAATATGTTAGGATGATTGCCTTATATTTATGTTCCTTTATACTTAACAAAGTACAATATGAATTATAGAGTGGGCACATAAGCCACCATTCAAAGACTAGGGAAAAGCTCAAGAGGCTGAAATAAAAGTTACACTTAAAATAA
This sequence comes from Homo sapiens, assembly GCF_000001405.40. Taxonomy (NCBI): domain Eukaryota; kingdom Metazoa; phylum Chordata; class Mammalia; order Primates; family Hominidae; genus Homo; species Homo sapiens. The sequence goes on along the minus strand of NC_000013.11, from coordinate 45,214,706 downwards.
TCCAAATTAAATCAGTTTAATACATAAGACATGATGTGATATTAAGTATATTTATATTTACCAATTCAAAGTAATTTTTCTCCTAATATTCAGATTAATCCAAACTAATGTCAGATAAAGAAAAAGTAAGAGAAGTAGTAGAACACTTTTTTCTTCTCAATATGAAAAGTTAGGCTGTTAACAATTTTAAGACTAGCAAACAAAATCATTAGGTTTTTATTTAGTTAGTTTTAGATTTTCCTGGTGGCTAACTGGAGTCTTGCAGGATTTTTTATTATGTGAGGGGATCTGATGAAAGAAATCATTTCCTTCTTGGCCTGAATTTCATCGACTGAAGGTCATTTCTTGGGGTTAGTGTATGTATTTACTAGTATGAAAGTATGTATTTAATTTCCACCTTTATCTAAATGAATGACAGAATCTTACTAACTTACATTTGATGAATATGGTTATAATTCTCATAACATCTGGCTAATTTATCAGCCAAAATTTAACAGCAGAGAGCTGTAAGAATTACTAAAATTAAATTCCCACTAAAAGAAGACTAATCATTCTTAAAGATCATTATTTATAAATGTGAAATACACTTTGTGATAGTCATTTATGTTTCCAAGAATGTAGTTTAGCTGCTAGTTACTAAAATATAATACAGTAAAAACTCACTGATTAAAGAAAAGCGACTCATTGACTTAAGAATAGGTCTTTTTTGATGAAAAGCCTTTCTCTTCTAGTCCTCCATAAATAGAAGATTCATTTCTTTATATTTTGAAAAACAGATTTGTTGATGAAATGTTTTTATATTTATTTTGAAATCACTTTCTCCTTCTCAAAGCAAGAGACACGTGCACATGTGTGCACAGAAATATGCATATATACAAAACTGAAAAATAAAGTCCAGGTTTCAAGTAAGTGCAAATAAAAAAATTATTAATAAAGAAGCTGAATGCTGATGATTCTCATATTTCTGTACCTACCTTTGCCATTTCTATTTCAATCCAATAAATACTTTTGGATATTTACACAAAAAAAAAAGAAAGGAAGGAAAGGAGACAGGGAGACTAAGAGGGAAAGAAGAAAGAAAAATAAAACTCATAGTCTCTGCTCTCATGAAGTTTATAATGTTGTAGAGGATACAACTATGAATTCCCAAAACATTAAAGAAGAATAAACATTTAAATATGTGGGAATGCAGAAAAGAGGAACACAAGATCCTAAATGGGGTGGGGAATAGAAACTATAAGGAGGTTTTCCTGAGTAAGTGATGCTGGGTTGGTTTTAAAGGCTCAGAAAGATCTCCGTAGGAGGTAGATAAGAAATCCTAGGTAGAAGCTGGGGCCTCGTGGCTCATACCTGTAATCCCAGCACTTTGAGGGGCCGAGGCGGGTGGATCACAAGGTCAGGTGATTGAGATCATCCTGGCTAACACAGTGAAACCCCACCTCTACTAAAAATACAAAAAAATTAGCCGGGCGTGGTGGCGGGTGCCTGTAATCCCAGCTACTCGGGAGGCTGAGGCAGAAGAATGGTGTGAACTCAGGAGGCAGAGCTTGCAGTGAGCCGAGATGGCGCCACTGCACTCCAGCCTGGGCGACAGAGCGAGACTCTGTCTCAAAAAAATAATAAGAAGAAGAATAAGAATAAATAAATAAATAAATAAATAAAATTAGCCGGGCATGGTGGCTCACGCCTGTAACCCCAGCACATTGGGAGGCTGAGGCAGATGGATAACTTGAGGCCAGGAGTTGGAGACCAGCCTGGCCAAAAAGGTGAAACCCTGTCTCTACTAAAAACACAAAAATTAGCCAGGCGTGGTGGCACATGCCTGTACTTCCAGCTACTCAGGAGGCTGAGGTGGGAGAATCGCTTGGAGGTGGGAGGCGGAGGTTGTAGTGAGCCAAGATCGCACCACTGCACTCCAGCCTGGGCAACAGAGTAAGCCCCTGTCTCAACAACAAAAAAAAGAAACTACAAAAATTAGCCAGCCGTGCTGGAGGATGCCTGTAGTCCCAGCTACTTGGGAGACTGAGGCAGGAGAATCGTTTGAACCTGGGAGGCAGAGGCTGGAGTGAGCGGAGATCGCTCCACTGCACTTAAGCCTGGGAAACAGAGCAAGCAAGACTTGTCTCAAAAAAAAGAAAGAAAGAAAGAGAGAAAGAGAGAGAGAGAAAGTGAGAAAGAGAGAAAGAGAAAGAAAGAAAAGAAAGAAAGAAAGAAAGAAAGAAAGAAAGAAAGAAAGAAAGAAAGAAAGAAAGAAAGAAACAAGAAAGAAAGAAAGAAAGAAATCAATCCTAGGTAGAAGATGCAGCATTTAAGTAGCAAAGGCATAATATGGGCAAGTGCCAAGCATATGTGGGATAAGAACTTGTAGTGTGCTATAACTATATAATGCCTATGTAAAAGAGAATAGCTGAAAATAAAGACAAGTAAGACAAGAGCCAGATAATAAAAAAACTTGAATATGACTAAAAACTATGCAGTCAAAAGGAGGCCCTGAAAAATTGTGAGCATGTTTATGAAAAATCTAGGTATAGAATATCTCAGACTTACCAATTCTGTTCTCAAACACTTCTACTTTAATGTTACCTACATCTGAAAACTGCCTTTCCATATTACATTCAATAGCACTACCACGTTGCTATGCCTTTCCTCCACGACACTGTCTGTAAACAGATCCTTTAGGTAGTAGGGTAACTGTGTGTGTGCGTGCGCATATGTGGGGGTGTGGTGTGTGTGTGCGTGTGTGTGTGTGTTTCTTCAGGTTTAAAGACTAAACTATCTGGAATAAGAATAGTATCTTATGATTCTTTAAAATTTTGAGCCTGGGCTGGCGCAGTGGATTACGCCTGTAATCCCAGCACTTTGGGAGGCCGAGGTGGGCGGATCACCTGAGGTCAGGAGTTCAAGACCAACCTGACCAACATGGAGAAACCCGTCTCTCCTAAAAATACAAAATTGGCCGGGAATGGTGGCACATGCCTGGAATACCAGCTACTTGGGAGGCTGAGGCAGGAGCATCATTTGAACCCAGGAGGCGGAGGTTGCGGTGAGCTGAGATTGCACCATTGCACTCTAGCCTGGGCAACGAGAGCAAAACTCCGTCTCTCAAAAAAAAAAAAAAAATTTTTTTTTTTTGAGCTTGGCCAGGTATGGTGGCTCATGCCTATAATCCCAGCACTTTGGGAGGCTGAGGTAGGAGGATCACTTGAGCCTAGGAGTTTGAGATCAGCCTGGGCAACATAGTGAGATCCTGTCTCTAAAAATAAATAAATAAATAAGTAAATATTTAAAAATAATTTCAAACCCATGTTGTTCACAGTTTAAAAAAAAAAAAACAAAAAAAATTTTGAGCCTCACCTTAGTGATAATGTTGGGTAATTGTAAATAAAATAATTCATGACTTAAATTAGTTTGCTATTTTGATAATTTATACCTTGGTACCGTTCTTACAATTTTATGTATTTTCTGCTTCGAGTCTCTTATGTAAACTGCCAAATGGGATTAAATTATAATGGACACGGGGACTACAAAAACTTCCCTGTCCCTCTCCTCTCATCAGTGTAAACTTTCCTTGCAATGCACAGGACAGCAGGGAGCCAATCTGGGATATTCACAGCTGGGCCACAAGAGCCACCACCAACCAGAAGAATCTCCCATTCCACAACCAAAGAAGTCTGAAGTAAGTTCATTAAGTCCTATTGGCTCTACCTCCAGCTATCCTCAAAAGAGACTCTCATCTCCCTTCTGACTAGAACCACCTTGTTTAGTCATTCAGACATTTTGAACCTGGATTATTATATCTGCTTCAAGCTTATCTCCCAGCTTCTAATCTTTATACTATGGCCAGAATGATCTATCTAAAATACAAATCCCTTTAGATTCCACCCAGCTTAAAATTTTTCCATATCTCCTTAATAGTTATAGCACACTGTCCAAATTTCTTACCATAGTATCTAAGACTCTTTAACATTTTAAACCTCATCTTGTGCCATTCATTCACTCACCAAATATTTACTGACTAGCTACTATGTGGAATGAACTATTGTAGACAAATGTGTGTATGTAAATGAGTGAGCCAAATCGACATGCACAAAAAATAAAGTCAAAAAAGAAAAAAACAAACTTTGTTTTCATGGGAACTTATATTGCAGGAGGGAAAACGTGGCAATAAATATAAGTAAACTACATAGTTTAGTAGGAGGTGACGTGTGCTATGAAGAAGATACAAGTACAGAAAGAGGTAGGGTAGTCAAGGTAGGCCTCATGAAAAAGTGGTATTTTGAGAAGAGACATGAAAGGGGTGAGGCGGCAAGCCATGCATTTATCTGGAGAAAGGCTGTTCCAGGCAAAAAAGAATGTCTGTGCAAAGGCTGCAGTGTGGATGTGTGCCTGGAGGGCTCATGGATTGTTAGGAGACAGGTGTGGTTGGAGCAGAATGAGTGGAGGGGAGGGAAGAAAAAGATGAGGATGGCAAGAAGGTGTAGACAGTCGTAGGATGATCACATAGGACCCTGTAGATCATTATTAAGGACTTAGATTTTATTCTGAGTAATATAGGAAGCACTGCAAGTGACACTTGAAAAGACGAATGGCATGATCTGACTTAGATTTTAAAAGAACTTCCCTGGCTACTGTGCTGAGAAGAGACTACAGTGGGGCAAGGGTGGAAGCAGGAACTCTGGTAGGAGGCTACTGCAGTAATCCAGGTAAGAAATAATGGCAGTTCATGGGGGTGATCAGACTATGGATGTGTAACATTTTGAAGGAACAGTCAACAAGATTCTTCTGACACATTGGATGTGGGGTGTGAGAGGAGTCAAGAACTAAGACTAAACCAAGGTTTAACTAAAAACCAATGGTTTTGGACTGAAAAAATGAGAGGACAGAGTTGGTATTAACTGAGACAAGAAAAGTGCTAGTAGAGCGGGTTTTGCGGGAAAGATCTGGAGTTCAGTTTTTTACATATTTGAAATGTCTATCAGACATTCAACCCGGCTTTTGTATGTATGTTTGATGTTGAAGAAAGAGGTCTGGGCTGGAGCTTCTGCCATCCTCTCAAACAATTCCTCCATTCCAGGCTTACAGAACCACACACAGGTCCCTAAAGTCTTCCCCATGTCTTTGTGCATGTCTATTTTGAATGTTCTTACCCCATCTCTTTCTCCACTTGGTCAAAAAAAGCTGTCTTCAAGACTTATGTCATCATCTACTTCATGAAACTCACATGATCCTCCTGAACCACTTGTTTCTTTTTCTAAGTCACTTAAGTAAAGATTAAAATACAGTCATGCATGGCTTAACAATGGGGATACCTCATGAGAAATACATTGTTAGGCAATTTCACTGTTGTGCAAACATTATAGAGTGTACTTATACAAACCTAGATGGTATACTCTGCTACACATTACTGTAATGAATACTGTAGGCAACTGTAACACAATTTTAAGTATTTGTGTATCTAAACACAGAAAAGCAACAGAAAAAATACAGTACTGTAATCTTATGAGACCACCAAATGTCCTTATATAGTGCATGACTATGTAACAGCTGATCTTTCAGCATACTTGAAAGGCTAAACAATTTTCACTTCTTTTTTGGTAGGAAAAAAGCAGCCATTTTATAAACACAGCAGGTGACCTGCCTGATCTCATCATCAGAAATCTTTAGAACCCTTTAAAGAAAATTACGGCCACAGAAAAAGATCTTGGTAAGCAGCTTGGTAACCAGATTTTGCATTTTTTCAATTTCAGTAGTTATATGAAGAGATAAATTTTCAAAAAGACTTCAAAAATTTACTACTATACAATAAGTTTTATAAGCTAAAAACAATGAAAGAAACATCTTCTGCCTGTTTTCCAAAGCTATTTTCTGTTATAAATATTTTTCATTTTGATTGTCATTCTTTTATTTGCCCCAAGGACACATTTAAATTAGAGGAATTATTTGACAAGAGAACATGTCTATGTCATTCTCAGGAGACAGTCTAATCTAATTGACAAAAGAAGGAAACTTTTAAAGATGATGCAAAATTTTGAGATGATCCAGCTCAACTGGCCTCTTATGTAGATGAGAATGCTGATATCCAACAGGCCACTACCACTACTTCAGCAGTGTCTTCTCCACTACCGATTCAGTGTACCTACAATCTGCGACAATGGAAGGTCCACGAACGCAGAGATTTTTGCCTGCTTTGTTTACAGCTATTTCTCTCACTTCTAAGAAAGCACCTGGCAGACAGTAAGTACTGAATGAATGAACAAAAAAAGTATAATTCTAAATCACATGGGGCTAAAACACATTAAAAATAAACTATGAAACAGGTATAATATATTTCCTCAGGGCTTAAAAAATTGCTGACTCTTTGAACGTCATAAAATTTGGGGTATCAAGAATTTACAATCAGCATTTTTAAATACTAATTACAAAATGTTAACCACATAAAAATTTAGGGGGCAGGGGAAGATCCTGAAACAAACTCTCTAACACAGTATATATGTTTATAAAAATTTCTCTATAGATCAAGAGAATAGGACGATATTCTGGCAACTACACTTGCTTTATACAGTACAATTTTTTTTTTTTTTTTGAGACAAGGTCTCACTGGGTCACCTAGGCTGGAGTGCAGTGGCATGCTCTCAGCTCACTGCAGCCTTCACTTCCCAGGCCCAAGCAATCCTCACACCTCAGCCACGCCCAGCTAATTTTTCTATCTTTTTGTAGAGATAGGATATCACCATGTTGCCCAGGTTGGTCTCAAACTCCTGGGCTTGAATGGTCCACCTACCTCAGCCTCCCAAAGTGCTGGGATTACAGGCATGTGCCACCATGCCTGGCCCAGTTACAGTATTTCGGATACATATTTATTATGGAAAAATTACAGCCCTGGAAAATAAAATATTACAAAGATCTTATACATGTCTTTAAAGAATCAAAATTTATAAAGACAACTAGAAAATGTAGTTTAAAAACTTTGATTCCAGGATGTATTAACAAAGTAGCTTAAAATACCTCAAATAAACAGCCCAGATACTGAAATTTCTTTAGTGCCAAAGAAACTCTTACTTGCTTTTAAAACCAAACAGCTTTTGAAGCAAACACTCAACAATAACCACAGTTTTAATGCAGTCAATAGGCGATATAACACACGTATCTCAATCCCCAAAGGGAAATATCAGGTATCATTCTGGAGTTACAAAACACCAACCTTTTTAATCGCATGTAGTTTTCACTGGCAGCTGGTCGGCATTCAGCTCTTTGTACCACTATTCCTTCCAATGACAGCTTATCTTGAATGGAAAAAAAAAAGGATTCAGAGATAATACTTATCATTTTCAAGACTGTATTTTGACACACTAAACACAGTAATATGACAATCAAATATAATTAATATCAAAAATCAAGAAAAAATAGTTAAGTTTCAGGAATCTCACTGGTCAGAACAGAGAGAAGCCTTATTCTTGGCTTAGTAACAAACTGGGCTCCTGTCAGATTTGTTTATTAGGCTGCTGTGGCCCTTTGCCAGGAACAGCTTTTATACACTCTGCTCCTTCTAAATAAGGTAGCTTAAAAGGGCATAAAATCAAATTAAAGAGTATAAAGGCTATCGTCTTTGACAAAGAAGTAACTTCTGAAAACACAGCTAGTCTAAACCACTAAATCAAAGACCGTGTGTGTGTGTGTGTGTGTGTGTGTGTGTGTGTGTGTTTGTGTATGTGAATAAAATTCTCAAGTACCTTGTGACTAAAACAGCCAGCCCAGAAAATACTGTGACACTGGGCAGGTCTACTGTCTGGGTTATATTGTGTACCAGTTCAGCCTGCCAGCTGCTCTGACTTCTGTTTTCCTGCAGAATTCTAAATCTGGGCATGTCAAAACAGAATCTTTAACTGCTATGAATATTTGTCCAAACAGAAAGGCAATTTCCCCTATCCTTAGTAATTCTTATAGTGACTCTGACATAAAACCTAGGAGAATCAGAAAAAGGAAACAAAGGCTAGCATCTATTGTGTGCCTACTGGCCACCAAGCATTGTGGTGTGGTCACTTGACAGACCTTACCTTATTGTATAATACACATATAAATGTCTCATAATGGTACCAGCTTTATACCCTGGAAATGTATGACTGTGGTTAGAAACAGTCATATTTCCACAAGAATTCACCTGGGTTTTAAGAAAAGACTCAGGAAATTCCCTGGCTCATGAGTAGTGCATTTATGATTCATCTTTTCAGAGAGAATTACTTCATTCCACTAACATTAGCAAAATGTCTGCTATGCAAAAGGCCCCATCTAGGCATTGTGGAATCAAGATGATTAAGACACAGTACTGTTTTCAAGAAGCATACAGTTCACTGGGGGAGACAGATAAATTGATCAAAATGCAGAAAGTGTATAGAACCATGCCTACATATTTATACTAAAAAATCTTTTTTTAGTGATCTTTGGATGTCTCCAAAATCTAGGAGACTCTGTACGAACTAATTACAAGCACACCGTATATAATCAATGTATCCAGGGTCCCTTAATGCAACATATGCAACAAATCTCAAGAAGATGCAGAAAAAGCAATGATGAGAAGCATGACTACCTTATACCAAAATATGGCAGGAAGAAAATATTTTAAAAGCCGTTATTATTTTATAATAAAGTTTAAATTCTAAAAATAATTTCCTCTCATTAAAGTCTTTAATAAAATTAAAATTTGAATTTTCTTAAAGCAAAAAGCTTATATTCAAGTTTGGCTCTTGCTGAAGCTGAAAGTTCTATCAAGAAAAATTCTTTAGTCGTCACAACAATAGCAAGATTTGGGAAAATCTGATATATCAAATGTCTTAAATGCATAAGGAAAGTCCAATAAAGGAAGACAATTAATCCTTTAAAAAAATAAATCTAGGTCGGCCACGGTGGCTCACAGCTATAATCCCAGCACTTTGGGAGGCCGAGGCAGGCAGATCATGAGGTCAGGAGATCGAGACCATGCTGGCCAACATGGTGAAACCCTGTCTCTACTAAAATATAAAAAATTAGCCAGGCATGGTGGCACACACCTGTGGTCCCAGCTACTCAGGAGGCTGAGGCAAGGGAATCGCTTGAACCCAGGAGGCAAAGGTTGCAGTGAGCCAAGATAGTGCCACTGCACTCCAGCCTGGCAACAGAGCAAGACTCCGTCTCAAAAAACTAAATAAATAAAATAAATCTAGACTACTATCCCTGCAAATAATTTAGTCACATATCCACGTTTATTAATGTTGCAACTAAAAGAGCTACTGATATGGTCTGGCTCTGTGTCCCCAGCCAAATCTCATCTCAAATTATAATCCCCACGTGTCAAGGGAGGGAAGTGACTGGATCATGGGGCAGTTCCCCCTATGCTGTTCTCGTGATAATGAGTGAGTTCTCACTGGCAGCTTTTTCCTGTGCTCTCACTTCTCCCTCCTGCCACCTTGGTGCCTGCTTCCCCTTTGCTTTCCACCATGAATGTAAGTTTCCTGAGGTCTCCTCAGGTATGCGGAACCGTGAGTCAATTAAACCTGTTTCCTTTATAAACTACCCAGTCTCAGGCATTTCTTTATAGCAGTGTGAAAATGGACTAATATAGCTACCTTTTACTAAGTGAATGCTCCCCACTTATTTAGCAGTACCTACTCCAGGTGGACAGGCTGAATTTAACTTTCAGTTAAAGGTTTGTGCTATCAACCTTCTCCATATGACAGCTCAAGGGTAGAAATCAGGTCCACAGCAACTGCCCATTACAACTTGGCCACCAATCTCCTCACTATTCTTCAGTCAAGGTCACTCACACAGAGCAATAACATTTACTTTCTCAAACCATAATTTTCTATCATATCTTCTTTTCAAACCTAAAATAGCTTCCAAATGCTACTCAAAGTGAATGGAAAAGTCTTCATCAGCAACGAATTTTCCCATCCACTGGATGTTCCTAAGTAACCTGACATCTCTGTTCACTTCCTTTCTCCCCTTCTCTTCTTAAATACATTTTTAAAAGGCCAATTTACTCCTGATGCAGCCCCCTAGGCATGATTTGCCTGCTCTCTTTTTAAAGCCTCATAGGAACACATTCTCATATTCTTTCCACTAAACCACACTTCTTGTCTTTTTCAAAATACTGCTTAAGATTTCAAAGGAAAGGTATTAAATTTTATTTTAAAAGTATTTAAAAGCACCCACTTGCACATTACTGCTGTTAATTATAGATCCTATTCATTAATATAGAAACCTTTACTTAAAGCTAGTTTGTTGACCCAGTTTAAAAGACCATAAATACTTGAAAAATAATTCATTTTATTCTCACACATTTCTTAACTATTTACTGAGTGCCTACTATGTAAAAGACAATGCAAGAGCACATCAGGAATAACAAATGAAACACGGCTCCTACCCTCAAGGAGCGTAGACTTTCTTAAACGTTCTGTGGCATGTATTAGTTAAAAAGTATAGATATGAATAGCTTGATTTAGCCATTCCACACATATACATATATCAAAACATCACGTTATATACCATAAATATACACAAATTTTACTTGTCAATTAAAAATAAGCTTAAAAAACCTAAATTTAAATGTTTTTAAAAGGAAAAATGTATAGACTCCCAAAAAACCTGTTTATAAGTTTTAACTGCTGATATCTACCATATTAGAAACTAAAATTAAGAAATTTCTAGAGAATGAGAGTGAAAAAATAAAAAAAAGCCATTAGCATTATTATAGAAATGGTCTTGACATCATTGATCCCTTGAAAGGATCTCGGGGACCCCTCTGCCCAGTGGTTCCCAGACCACATTTCGAGAGCTGCTGGTCTCGTAGGATAAGACAGGTACATAAATCATCTTAATACACCAGAAGCACTTTTGATACACCTCTACTTAACTCACCTCTAGATTAACAAAGGCTCTCAACTGCCTGCTATTAAATATAGCGACAGATGCCCACAGTCACTATATACTAGTGGGTAATAGGTTAATCTCTAGTACTCCCACACACGTCTGCTCAAACGATGCTAGAACTTGTCTATATTAGTTTTAATAATTATGTAATCTGATTATATATTACAGAAGCCCATTAAATTGCAAGTATGAGGGGAGTTTGGGGGGTGTTTCTATAAAAACTATGTAGAATGCTTTGGTAAGATGATATAAAGTTAAGTTGTAACACAATACTGTCAAATTAGGTACAGGTGAGACAACTGGAGACTGAAAGGGAAGCACAGGAGTCTAGAAAGAGTCTGCATTTAGATAGTTTCACAGTGTCTAAGTTCTTGCTCCTTTTCAAAGAAACCAAAATCGAAAATCTAAACTAAATCATGGGGCCAGGTGCAGTGGCTCACGCCTGTAATCCCAGAACTTTGGGAAGCCGAGGAGGGCAGATCACTTGAGGCCAGGAGTTTGAGACTAGCCCAGGCAACACAAGGAAACCGTCTCTCTACTAAAAATCCAAAAAAAAAAAAAAAAGGTGGGCGTGGTGGTGCATGCCTGTAGTCCTAGCTATTTGGGAGGCTAAGGCATGAGAATTGTTTGAACTCTGTAGGTAGAGGTTGCAATGAGCTGAGATCACATCACTGCACTCCAGCCTGGGCGACAGAATGAGACTGAAAAACTAAATGATGGGTTTAATTTTTGAAAAACAAAGAAAACAGATGGTCAGTCAGTATCCTATATTCAAAGCAAAGGCCTTGTCTTACATATACATCAGCAACTAAATGTACATTTATTTTATTTTATTTTATTTCTGAGATGATGTCTCACTCTGTCACCCAGGCTGGAGTAGCTGGAGTACAGTGGTGCAATCTCAACTCACTGAAACCTCCGCCTCCCAGGTTCAAGCAATTCTCATGCCTCAGCCACCTGAGGTGCTGGGATTACAGGCGTGCGCCACCATGCCCAGCTAATTTTTGTATTTTTAGTACAGCCAGGGTTTCACCATGGTAACCAGGCAGGTCTTGAACCCCTGACCTCACGTGATCTGCCCACCTCGGCCTCCCAAAGTGCTGGGATTACAGGCGTGAGCCACCGTGCCCAGCCAACTAAACGTACATTTATAAGTTTTAAGATAAAATGTTTAAGGCAGATAGGAACTGCATATTGATATCATTTTTATGATTTCCCATCTTTTAATGTAACTGACCAATTACTGGTTATTCCATATGTGCTGTAGGATTCTTCTGTCAAGTTGAATATGTTAAAGGTCATAAAATAGAAACATACAAGAGTACTGGGATTAAACACACATGTACTTGCACACACACACACACCCACTCAGATGTCTAGCTAGAGATCAAGAAGAGTTTTTTGTTTTGTTTTGTTTTGAGATGGAGTCTCGCTCTGTTGCCTAGACTGGAGTGCAGTGGCGCGATCTTGGCTCACCGCAACCTCCGCCTCCTGGGTTCAAGCGATTCTCCTGCCTCTGCCTCCTGGGTAGCTGGGATTACAGGTATGTGCCACTGCGCCAGGCTAATTTTTGTATTTTTAGTGGAGATGGGGTTTTGCCATGTTGGCCAGGCTGGTCTTGAACTCCTGACCTCTGGTGATCCGCCCACCTCAGCCTCCCAAAGTGCTAGGATTACAGGTGTGAGCCACCACGCCAGGCCAAGAAGAGTTTTGAAGAATAAGCAATGATTGTGCTGGACCTTGAAAAATGGGTAGGATTTAGACTGGGGTGGGTGGGGGTAAGAAGGAAGAGTACTGAAGGTGGTAGGAATGGCCTCTGTGTGTCTGTGCTTGCTCGCTCTTGTGCTTGAAATGTTCAACTAAGGGGCTCACACCACCAATTACTAGAAGGACATGGTCTTGCCAGCACTCTGCAGAGAAGCCACACAAACTCATCCTACCAAAGGCTTTGGAATGGCTCAATTCATATCTTTTCCTTGGCCATTTGCTCTTCTTTGGATTCTGGGAAATAGTATGGGATTCTTTCTAAATTCTCCCCCGCACTCCTTTTTTGGCTAGATTGGTTTGTTGACTGGTTTCTGCTACTTGCAACCAAAAGAATCTTATTGAGTATGAACACACATCTTTGATGATGGTAATTTATGTATATCCCACCACCTAAAATCAGAAAAAACTCGAGAGAAAATTTTAAAGGTTATGTATATAAAGCACATCCTATAAAAAGAACTGAAGGCTTCTAGTTAAGATTCTGTCACTAAACAGCAGTGTTACTTTGGAGAAGTTATTTTACATCTCTGGGCCTCAGCATCCATAATAATGATATTACTAGAATGTCTGAGATCTCTTCTAGGTCTCTTTCACTAAATAAAAATGCTAGCCTTCCTCTCCAACTGGGGATGTTTTATTATTTCATTAGTGTTATTTTGTTTGCTCTAGTACTTTCCAAAAGACCTAGATATAATTAAATTTTCTTTGAATAGAAAGAGAATAACAAAATGTTAAGAAGCTGCCCAAGGCTTGAAAATATTTAAATTTGTGCTCTATGCTGGATTATCCTGCCCTATATCTGAACTTGACATACACTCTATGTCAAAGAACTGAGGAGAAATGATACTGGCACTTTTTTTAAAAAGTTAAGGGCATCCCTAGTTTGAAGAAGTTAAAGGAATAAGCAAGCAGCAACACTGCTTATTAGCATTGGCATGTAAGTAATGAAATCAAGTATGTTAGGAAGTCTTAGGCATCAGGAAGTTACACTCATTCATTTCCACAAGACCTTCTGGATCCAGCTGAATGTGGAGGCCTTTAAGAGAACTTCCAGCTCCTGTAAAAACCCAGACCAGAGGACTACTGACCAACATTTCAGGCTGATCCTCCAGACCTCGAAGTTACTCTCCTTACTCTCCTGACTCTTAATTACATCACACCTGTGTCGACACTCTCTGGGAAAAGACTGAAGAAATAATCTTTTCAAGAAGCAGGTACATTTAAAAGGCAAACCATTTTTAATATTCCTAGTAGTCTCCTTTCTTCTCATTTAAAATATGTTCCTAGAAGTTTTTTTGCCTGTGGTTCTGAGTTGAGGTCTACTAATAAAAGGTACTAGCATCTTAACAAACCAGTTAGGCAAACTTTCTATCCCTGTATTATTAAAAAGCTGCTCTTTACTTGTGAAGTAATATTCTGATCTCTATTTGATCTTCAGGAATTTTGCCACGCATGGTGGCTCACATCTGTAATCCCAACACTTTGGGAGGCTGAGGCAGCAGCATAGCTTGAGCCCAGCCTGGGCAACAAAGTGAGACCCAGTCTCCACAAAAAGATAAAAAAGTTAGCCAGGTATGGTGGGGTATGCCTGTGGCCCCAACTATACGGGAGTTTCCTAAGGCAGGAAGATCACCTGAGCCCAGGAGGTTGAGGTTGCAATACACTCCAGCCTGGGTGACAGAGCAAGACCCTGTATCAAAAAATAAAATTTAATTTTATAAAAGTTATAAAATAATTTGCCTAATTTTAACATCAAGCAGCCACATTGTTTTGTCTCTCCCTCTCTCTCTCATCTCCCTGCAAAATTCTTTCCCTCCTCCCTGTCTGTTAATTTTACTTTCTTGTGATACGGAGGGAATAGCTCACAGAGCTGCTCAAATATTTCATCAACTATAAGATGCTATCATTTGTAATAGCAACCATTATTTTACGTGCCACCAAGACAAAATACTGCTGCTAAACTTTGACAAGCTAACGATATTAAGATGTACCTCAGTTATAGAAATGGTAAATATGAAAAAAATGTGTGATATGATAGAGTTCTCCATCCCTAGTTTATAACTCCTCCCTACTCTGTAAGAAACCACATTTGCTCCCTTGAGCCATCACATCCTGTTCTCCTGTTCAGATCCTCTTCTCTCTTCTCCACACCACCTCATCACTGAAGACACAAGCAGATGTTAAGTGATGAGAAAATCAGAAGGAACAGTGGCAGGCGCTAGTATACGGTAACAGAGACCCTCTTTAGTCATTTACTTCCTAACTGTACTACCTTTACAAGAGTTTTCAAAGTTATGCCCTTCATTTTGAGATTGTAGATAATGGTTATTAGCTTAAAATATCTTCTTCCCAAAGAGAAAGTAAAATTGCATTTTGCCAAATAGCACTATAAAAATGAGTTCTGTACAATATTATAATTTTAATGTTCATTTGATGGCTTACATAAGTGCTATGCTCATCTGGTTACAATAGAATTTTCCAGTAAATAATAACGCACAGGTTATATTTCAAAAAAAAACTTCATTTTTAAAAAACTTAAGGTATGACTTCTGCTTACAAAATTATAAAACACAGGTTTCCCTGAAATACTCATTTTCCAAAGTACATGTAAAACATGAATTAATATGACTTATAAATTGTCAAGATTGCCTCTGTAGTGAAAATCAAAGAAATGTGGAATGGAATTTCACCTGAACTTCTGAGCTAGTCTGTTGTCTTTATTTGTGCTCCTTTTGACACATAGTGCCTTATGTTTTTCTATACTCCTCAAATGAAGCTAAAACATTTACCAATGTAGGCAATTTTCCTGGGCTTCCTTGAAGACGCAGTTCAACACTGCAAAATATTTACAGCTGTATTCTTTGGACTGCAATGACATGTTCACACGACCTTGTGGCCAGAGGTTACGTCCTATTAGTCCTAGGAAGGTTCAAGTACTTGGCACAGTTTGTGAGATGCTGTGGTCAATCAGTTACATAAAGTGGCTGCCATAGTACTTTTGTTAGTGTAATACCAGTAGCAGACAACATTTAGAGCAGATAAATTTTATATTTCAAAATAGAACTAAAATTTGGACACTCAAAAAGAATTACATTAACATGGGAAAATCCTTGATTCTTAAAACATGTCAATAATTAGACAGTGTAATTTTTATTTTTAACACACAAAAGAAGCCAACACAAAATATTCATACCTCAATATCAAAATGAATGTTTCTTACATTCAGTGCTATTGACAAGAGGCAATGAAGCAAGTACATGTTAAAAAAAAAGAAACTCAGCTTGTGAAAGGCAGAGGAAGGTCAAAACACAGATCAATAAACAAAAAAACAAAAAAAAAATGTGGGCAAGTCCAAGGCAGAGATATACTGTCAGATTTAAGTAAAAAGTTGACAGCAGCTTCTCTAGCTTTTACTTTCTTTCTAAGGTAATGGGAATGAAATCCTTTTAAAAGACAAGCAGAGAAGCATGCAGCTGACAACAACCAAGATTTGATAGCAGGGGAGAATGTGGAGACAGAAGCTCCCTGTTCTTATCAAACGCAGCTTCTAAAACCATTCCTTTTCCTTGAAGAGTGTCTGAATTTTATAGAGGAATGATCTGTTAAGTCTAGGAGAATTATCATACTTTTTGTATCTTCCAGTCGGGAGGGATAACCTCCTGGTAAGGTTTCACTTCCTTCCATGGCATGGGAGTATCTCTGGCATATAAATGGAGCAAGTGTATATATTACAATGATGTCCTGCATCAATCACGGGATGACAAAGACCTCATTTCCCATAAGGAGTTGGTAAAAAGATGGGAATTCCTGCTGGAATGAGTTCTGCCTTATGCAGATGGTAGGACATTAGTATTACCTCATAGTGGAAGGTTCTGCCAGAGTTTAGTTAGGCATTGGACCCAATTAACTATAGGATATACTCATACTAAGGACCAGTTTAAATTCTCAAAGTTGGTTATATATGATTAAAGCTGTCTAAGACAGAGGTGATCTAACTCTAATAAAGAGTTAAGGTACTGAGTAGGAAACAGGACCCCAATCTTTCAAATTTTTATATGTTTTTGCCTGCAAAGGCAGATAAAATCTTCAAATCTAGTGGCCAAGTGGATCCAGGTAAGCTAATCTTTGACATGTGTGGTTTAAACCCTTCTGCTGAAACCATTAAATTGAGCAGTTCCGGTTTGTATCTGCAAGGCAGAGAAACATAGTCCCATGATCCAGGGATGTCTCCCTTGGTATAGGTACTGAAGCACCATTTTTATAGTTTTAGGGCTGTGGAGACCTTACAGATATTACCTTGGACAAGCAACACCCACTCGCCACCCCCTAGCAAGTAAATATAAATTTAGAATAGACTAAAACGAGATAATCTGGCTTTCTCCTAAGGGGCATGTGTACCACCACAGGCAGCAATGATCAATGAACTCCTATAATTTCCATGAACTACAGTCATCTTGCTTTGCTGGAGGTAATATGGAGTATTAGGCATACAGCGGGGCCTACTGGGTGCCTTTTTTTTTTTTTTTTTGGAGACAGGGTCTTACTGTGTTGCCCAGACTGGAGTGCAGTGGCGCTATCTCCACTCACTGCAACCTCCACCTCCCGGGCTCAGGCGATTCTCCTGCCTCAGCCTCCCAAGTAACTGGGACTACAGACATACACCAACACACCCCAGCTAATTTTTTTTTTTTTTTTTAATTTTTGGTAGACAAAGGATTTCCCTATACTGGCCAGGCTGGTCTCAAACTCCTGGCCTCAAGTGACCTGCCCGCCTCAGCCTCCCAAAGTGCTGGGATTACAGGCATAAGCCAACATGCCCGGCCTACATTTTTCTTCTTTAAGTCTGCAAGTTGGGCCAAAGAGGACACAAAAGTCCTATGGATTTGTATAAGCCAGGCACTAAGACAAAGCTTCAGTTATACTACTGTTGCCAGGCCATGGGTGGCAAAGAAATCACACATGTCAACTTTGCAGAAGAACACCAGAGTGAAGTCTAGAGTGAGAAAAAACAATCAAGGAGAAGAGGCACAAGATGGAATGGTTCAGAGTCTGTTCAGGCAAGCCTGCAGAAACGAGCACTCATCAGTGGTTTTGAAAACCTGGCAGGAGAAACCAAAAGTGAGTGAGCTAGGAAGTGTAAGGTGGCCCTGGGGTGATGACTGAAGGTCAGCAGTCCCACTTCCAGCTGTCCTGACTCACTCCTGCCTTCTCATCACCTCATGGAAGCCTATCCTCCAACAGCAACAGCATTGGGGCTTCCCATGAAGACATCTATAGACAGGCCAAACAGGGTGTAAGGAAGCAGACCCAGAGTACATAGTATCTATCCACATCACTTTATTTAAACAAGAACATGCTAGCACAGTCTCCATCACTATACTACAGTTATGTTGTACTAATTCTGGTATCCTATAAAGTTCAAAAAAAGAGGACTATACCTATAAATGAAATTGTTATGCCTTTTTGATTTTGCTATTATATGATGCTACTCATGTGCAGTGACTATTTGTAATGGTAACACAAGAATTCCATGAATGTACTTCCAGAGTTGTATCCCTTCTCCCTCAAAATCTATTCAGTATTTCTTAAAAAGTTGTATTGACAGAAAAGACTTAATCTAAAAAAGCAAAATCAAGACAAACATGAGATTGTCAGAATATAAGAGTAAGTCTTATTAAGTGCTGCAGGAGTAAAGGACGTTTTAGTCAAAATGTTGGCTTTGCTGTGAAGTCCTAGATAAAATACTAAAAATTCTCTGGAATGCAATGTTATCTTTGGTGAAATGAGGAAGTTGAATTTCACAGTCTCTAAGCAAAAACACAGCTCTAAAAACATTATGCCTTAGTTTTCTAGTTCGATTTCAACGAACTTTTGATCTCAATAATACATAAATGTTAACTTCAAGATCACTATAAGAATATAATTTTTTATACCTGAAAATCTAATATTGTTTAAAGAAAATAAGAAGTATGCATTTTAGAAGAATCTCTTCCAATATTCCTATGTCAACATACAGTTAAATAATTTTAAAATACTTTTAATGCAAGAGAAATATAAACTAAAGTCTAACTTTTAACAGTGTGGCCCAGCGCAGTAGCTCATGCCTGTAATCCCAGCACTCTGGGAGGCTGAGGTGGGCAGATCACCTGAATCCAGGAGTTTGAGACCCGTCTGGGCAACATGGCAAAAACTTGTCTCTACAAAAATAAATTAAAAACTAAAACTACAACAAAAAACAATGTAGTTTCCCAGAATAATTTAGCAGATAGGCCAAATAATAGTGTACTGGGGACAATGTTTACATTTCTTACCACTGAGCCTTTAAATGCTAGAAGTGAAACCTCAGAACCCTAAATTGCTTTGGAAGGGAAGTTATAGGGGAAAGAGGAAAAAGATGTGAGAAGTGGAGGGTGACATCATTCACACTGTTCCAGCTCCCAAGTTGAAAAACAAGGTTAGGCTTTGGTGATTTATTTTGCCCACTGTGAAACAAACAAACAAACAAACAAGAAACTAACTTACCCATGACACTATTTTGTAGTAGGTATTCTGAATCTAGATCTTTCTCCTATCTTCCTACGGTATATACATGCATGCACATACACAGTCACAGTATTTTCTATAATTGTCCAAGTCTTTGTTCAGCACAGAAGCAGGCTCCGAGTGAAACAAGTTCATGAATTTTCCACAGAAAATCTTAAGCAAAAAAATTAAGTGATTACTGTAAAGCCTATTTGATTTTTTTTTTACTTTTAGGGTAAATAAAATAATAAAAAATAAAAAATAAAAAAAATTCTTAACATCCTTTAACATAGATCTCCAAATCAGAATCATATGCAAATCCAATTAAATTCAAGTGCAGTGTCACAAGTAGCAGGTTAAGTATTCTTATTTGTGTCTCAAAAATGACTACAATACTTTGAAATGTGTGACTTTTTCCGGGAAAGAAAATTGTATACACCTAGAATTTTCACCTTATGTTTCCTACTTAAATTTACTTTAAAAAGATGACACTAAATCAATATACATTATTTTCCAAAAGATGACAATATTATTCAACATTAAGCCTGCCTGATTAAAAAATAACTTAGGCATTTAGAAATAGTTAAACATTCACATTTGGATGAAGAATTAAACATTTGGATCTGCTTAACTGACAAGAGGAAATTCAATTTATTCTGAGTAACTCTTATTACTTCAAAGGATAGACATGAAAATCCTTTCACAACAAATCCCTTCCCTGATACAGTTAAATGCAAATTCTCTTTTCCGTCTTACTCCAGAAAGCTCCTGCATACATAGGCTGATACGCCACCTACTGCAAAACCGAGCTGACAGCGCAGGCGATGCTGCCAGCGTTTCCATTCCATCACCAGGCTGGGGCTGAATAAAGGCGTGCTTGTGTGGTAGTGTCTCTTTTTAAAAAATCTCAAAGCCAAGAAGAACAAGCTGAAATAGCATCTTCAAAAAATGGAGCGTAAAATAAACAGAAGAGAAAAAGAAAAGGAGTATGAAGGGAAACACAACAGCCTGGAAGATACTGATCAAGGAAAGAACTGCAAATCCACACTGATGACCCTCAACGTTGGTGGATATTTATACATTACTCAAAAACAAACACTGACCAAGTACCCAGACACTTTCCTTGAAGGTATAGTAAATGGAAAAATCCTCTGCCCGTTTGATGCTGATGGTCATTATTTCATAGACAGGGATGGTCTCCTCTTCAGGCATGTCCTAAACTTCCTACGAAATGGAGAACTTCTATTGCCCGAAGGGTTTCGAGAAAATCAACTTCTTGCACAAGAAGCAGAATTCTTTCAGCTCAAGGGACTGGCAGAGGAAGTGAAATCCAGGTGGGAGAAAGAACAGCTAACACCCAGAGAGACTACTTTCTTGGAAATAACAGATAACCACGATCGTTCACAAGGATTAAGAATCTTCTGTAATGCTCCTGATTTCATATCAAAAATAAAGTCTCGCATTGTTCTGGTGTCCAAAAGCAGGCTGGATGGATTTCCAGAGGAGTTTTCAATATCGTCAAATATCATCCAATTTAAATACTTCATAAAGTCTGAAAATGGCACTCGACTTGTACTAAAGGAAGACAACACCTTTGTCTGTACCTTGGAAACTCTTAAGTTTGAGGCTATCATGATGGCTTTAAAGTGTGGCTTTAGACTGCTGACCAGCCTGGATTGTTCCAAAGGGTCAATTGTTCACAGCGATGCACTTCATTTTATCAAGTAATTACCTGTGTCACGAACAAAGGCAACAAGCATGCAGCCAGCAAGCTTCGGAAAACCACAGCATCAAAGACATCCCAAATAACATGCCCAGCTAGCTCTGTACTACAGAGCCCTGCTACTAATCAATTACTGTGAGCTAACGGTATGTAAATTCTATCGCTAAAGATGTCCTTCCTCTGGGGTGTTCCTACTGATCAGACTCTTCCACCTAAAATGAAAACAGTAACCTTCTATATACTGTAAATAAAGACTGAAAGCTTTTGCTATTTATTTGTCCTTAAGCTGTCTTTCAATTCAGATTGTCTTGGGTATTTGCACAAAAAAGAAAGCATGTACATTATCTATCGTTCATTTAAGTAAATGGTAATAAAATATTTTAAGGGGCTATTAATATTTAAAATCCTTTTCTACTATGGCAAAAATCTACAGAGAAACTGAACTGGCAAAATTAACTACCTGGAGCAAAACAGATGTGCAGATCTAACTAAAACAGAGCTATAGTGAAACAAAATGAGATTGTAAGAAGACATTAAAGCTATTGATTTGATTTTTCCATAGCAAGCACCAAAAGCTTATATTCACAGTTCCTGTGTTTCATATTAGACTTATAGCTGAATTGGTATTTTGCTGAAAATTCCTAGAAAACTGCTTGATGACAATAAAAAGTAAATAAAAGCACTGCTACCTTCTTTGATTGTATTAATGATTATAATAAAAAGTTACAGGTCACTTTAAAAGCAAACAGTACCACTTGATGATTTTGCATAAAATTATGCATTGATGTCAACCGGCAGGCTACAGGAACCCTGGCTGGTCCTGGAAGTGACAAAAACCAGCAAATTCAATTCTTTGCAGGCTGAGTTCCCACAAAGCATGGGTAACTTAGTCTCAATAGAGTATCTGTTATTAGAATAATAAAGGAGTTCATTTTCAGAATCATCCTAAGTATCTGTTCATTTTTCAAGCTCAAAAATATTAAATGAACATCACTAAACATTATTCTTATGAAAGAACTTTGATTGTTTTCAATACCTTTTTGGATGCTAAATCTCAGACTCAGTGAGTTAACATTACTTCATGCCAAACAAAAAATTATTTTTAAAAATTACGTTTTATGTATGGCCGTTTCAATGAAGTAGTCTACAAACTTAACTTTAAATGAGTGTATTTTCCCCCTGCAAAGGACAGCTAAATCATTTCACTTGTTCTTTAACTTCTAAGAACAAAATATATTTAAATTTGCTCTTTTAAAATTAAACGATTAAATCTGGTAACTAAATCTTAATTTTAATAATCTCAAGAAGATGTCTGAAAATCTTGACTGAGGTTACATAAATTAGCATATATGCCAAAAGTTTGATGACTCATAAAAACTTAGAATAAGTAAAGCTAATGTTCATTTCCAGAACTATAACTGACTTCTAGTTATAACATCTAATGTAATGTAAAAGTTGGCTGTATATGCTAAAAGAAACCTTTTAAAATCTGTTCTACAAAAAAATTCCTTCAAAAATCACATTTAAAAACCAAATTCCACATTAGCTACATAATATTTTTATATATACTAAGAAAAACAGATTTCTACTAAAACATTATCTTTTACATACTTTAAAACAGCTTAATCAAGACTGAACAAAACTATAAAAACAGGAAAAGAATTGTAAAATTTATTTGAATAGCCACTATAATTGAACTGTTTATATGCCTCTCCAACTTAGGAGTTGACTTTTCCTTGGCATTTGGACTTTGGTAATGAAAAAAAGGTAGTGATTTACTGTCAGAGCAAGATTTTCTCTTACAAGATTTCATTACGGATAATAAAAATAACCCTGACATATCTTTTTACAGGAGATATAGCTGAACAGATCTCCTTAGAAGCATTACAAGTAAGGTTTTTTATCAAATCCAAAGAGGAGAATTTAACTATCTTAACAAAGTTATTATTGATAGAAACCATTAAAAATATCAGATTCATTTTTATGTAGCATCTTTTAGAACTTGTATCTGGACACATTTAATTCCTCCTCACACTTCTAATAAATCACAATGTTCTAAAACAATTTAGTAATCTAGAAGGAAATCTGACTAGACTGACCACCCTTGTAACTTTTTATAAATGTACCTTTTTAAATTCCAAATTACTTGTACTTGGATTTATATATTCAAATGCCTAAATATTGTGCTCTAAGTATACAGAAAATATCTATATTTTAATGTTAGTATTTTCTAAATATATTCAGAAATACTTTCCATTCAAGAAACTCAAGAAATCACACAAAATGTCACTTATAAGTCAGAGTGAAGCTTTCAGAGTATTTCTGTTCCCAGTTACTGAAAAATTTATTTCTCAAATTTTTTCTCATAAGTAAATACTGTTCCAAAAAACAAATCACAAAGTGACTATCTTTCTCAAAAGAAAGGTAATAAAAAAGTAGGTTACTATAGTTGCCATGAGCCAAACATATATTCTCTTATATTTGGAATTACCCCATGCAGTGACTCTAGCACCATCCTTAAAATGTGAGATTATGGCTATATATATATATATATATATATATATATATTTTTTTTTTGTATTTTTAGTAGAGACGGGGTTTCATCATGTTAGCCAGGATGGTCTCGATATCCTGACCTCGTGATCCACCCACCTCGGCCTCCCAAAGTGCTATGATTACAGGCGTGAGCCACTGCGCCCGGCCGGCTTTTACTATATTTTTAAAATGTATATATGGTGGTATACAGAACAAATGAAACACGAGACTTTTCAAATAATTCAAGGAAGATGACTACCATGCCAGACTGAAGATGATGTTACTGAATCAGCTTATTCAGTTTTTTTTTTTTTTTTAAAGAAAATTACTTGTATTTCAATTTGCCACACGTGGTGGCATACACTTGTAATCCCAGCTACTTGGGAGGCTGAGGCGAGAGGATCGCTTTAACTGAGAGGTGGAAGTTGTGGTGAGCCGAGATCGCACCACTGCACTCCAGCCTAGGTGACAGAGCGAGATTCTGTCTCAAAAAAAACAAAAACAAAAACAAAAAAACCCCCACAAAACTTATACTTCAAATGTTACTTACTTTTAGGGTGATAAAAAAAGCTAACATTTATTAAGCATTTTACTATATGCCGGATACCATGCTAGGAACATACATTCTCTCAATTAAACCTCAAACAATTCTAAGAAAGGTATTAATTATTCTTTCCTTTTTACTGATGAAGAAACAGAGACTTAGGGGGTTAAGTAACCTGCCCAAGATTACATAGTTATAAAGAGGTGGAACCAGGATTTGAAGCCCAGGTATACCTGTACCAGAGCCAACAGAAACCACGTCTGATTTTGCAAGCCACTTATATCCCTAACACCTAGAACGTGGCAGAAAACAGGCATTCACAAGGTAGGTGTTGAATACAGAATACCAAAATATAGGTTTGCCTCACTTGATACAACCTTATAATGCAAGTATTCCTAAAACATTGAGTGAAAAACTGAATTTTAGAAAAGTAATATTTTTAATGTCATGTCATTTAAAAAACAGGTGAATCACATGTCTGTTGGCTGCATAAATGTCTTCTTTTGAGAAGTGTCTGTTCATATCCTTTGCCCACTTTTTTATGGGGTTGTTTTTTTCTTGTAGATTTGTTTAAGTTCTTTGGAGATTCTGGGTATCAGCCATTTGTCAGATGGATAGATTGCAAAAATTTTCTCCCATTCTGTAGGTTGCCTGTTCACTCTGATGACAGTTTCTTTTGCTGTGCAGAAGCTCTTTAATTAGATCCCATTTGTCTATTTTGGCTTTTGTTGCCATTGCTTTTGGTGTTTTGGTCATGAAGTCCTTGCCCATGCCTATGTCCTGAATGGTACTGCCTATGGTATTACCATTTGCAATACCATCCTGAATAGTATTGCAAATACCATTTTTAAAGTATAATTTTAAAGTATAAAATTGAGGAAGTCTACTAATTCTTAATTTGCAACCCATTGATTTTTGACTGCAAATCAAAACCACAATGGCCTTTGCTCATGCCTATGTCCTGAATGGTATTGTAAATAAAAACCACAATGGCCTTTGCCCATGCCTATGTCCTGAATGGTATTGCAAATCAAAACCACAACAGCCTTTGCCCATGCCTATGTCCTCAATGGTACTGCAAATCAAAACCACAATGAGACACCATCTCATGCCAGTTAGAATGGCAATCATTAAAAAGTCAGGAAGCAACAGATGCTGGAGAGGATGTGAAGAAATAGGAATGCTTTTACACTGTTGGTGGGCATGTAAATTAGTTCAACCATTGTGGAAGACAGTGTGGTGATTCCTCAAGGATCTAGAACTAGAAATACCATTTGACCTAGCCATCCCATTACTGGGTACATACCCAGAGGATTATAAATCATGCTGCTATAAAGACACATGCACACGTATGTTTATTGCGGCACTATTCACAATAGCAAAGACTTGGAACCAACCCAAATGTCCATCATAACAGATTGGATAAAGAAAATGTGGCACATATACATGATGGAATATTATGCAGCCAAAAAAAAGGGGTAAGTTGATGTCCTTTGCAGGGACATGGATGAAGCTGGAAACCATCATTCTCGGCAAAATATCACAAGGACAGAAAACCAAACACCACATGTTCTCACTCGTAAGTGGGAGTTGAACAATGAGAACACTTGGACACAGGGAGGGGAACATCACACACTGGGGCCTGTTGTGGGGTGGGGAGCCGGGGAGGGATAGCGTTAGGAGAAGTACCTAATGTAAATGACAAGTTGATGGGTGTAGCAAACCAACATGGCACATGTATGCCTATGTAACAAACCTGCACATTGTGCACATGTACCCTAGAACTTAAATTAAAAAAAAAAAAAGTGAATCATCCATCTCACAACAGTAAAGAATATCACAAATTTGTCTGCTGGTGAATATAAGATTTTCACATATCAAGTTTGGTGAAAAATAGGTTAACTTTTTATGACTGTATAATCCACAGAACTGACATATTAGGAGAAAAAAGCACAGTGAAACACACATGGGCTCTCGAGTTAGACTTGGGTTCTAATTCCATTAACTTCCACTAACTTGCTTACATGATTATAAGCAAGATCCTTAACTTTTTAAAATTTCAACATCCTCACAGTAAAATAAGGATAATAGTAACTATTTGACAGGGCTTTTGCAAGGTTTAAATTAAATTCTGAATTGTATGTAAAGTACTTCACCTTCATGAACTTTTGATAAAGCACTAATTATTATCTTGTCCAGTAAAAAGTATTTTCATGGCATAACCATGAACAGGTCTCCCCAAAATGCACATTTACATTAATTAGGCTTTCTACTTACACATGAATAGAATGGAGAACTTTTAACAAGCACATGTTTAATTCTGTGATGAGATACTACAAAACACAAGACTGTACTTTAAATTGCTATAGGCAAGCATGGTTTTCATTCTATTCATTTAAAATAGATATAATAGGTTTCTTGGGACTTTTATTTTCTAGCTTCATGTCAAAATCTACAATAACAAAATAATAATAGCAGCTGTTTTGTCAGCAATATAAAATCAGCAGGGGCCAGGCACAGTGGCTCACACCTGTAATCCCAGCACTTTGGGAGGCCAAGGCGGGTGGATCACTTGAGGTCAGGAGTTCAAGACCAGCACGACCAACATGGTGAAACCCTGTCTCTACTAGAAACATAAACATTAGCTGGGCATGGTGGTGCGTGCCTGTAATCTGAGCTACTTGGGAGGCTGCGGCATGAGAATCGCTAGAACCCAGGAGGTGGTTATAGCAAGCTGAGATTGTGCTACTGCACTCCAGCCTGGGCAACAGAGTGAGACTCCCATCTCAAACAAATAAATAAAATCAGTAAGGAGTTACATATGTGATAATGCTATTTTAAAGACATGCCAATCTAATAAATTATGAATATTTTAAACAGCAATGCATGTTAGTCAAGGTTAAAATTACAGCATCTGAATCATAATTATCCTTGCTAACAAAACAAAGATGTAATATGGAGGACTATCCAAAACAGCATGCAACTTAGAAATCATTTGTATTTAGCTTTAAAATATACAATGGCTTCTTCTGTAGCCGACTTATCGTCCTAATCATATTTTGCTTAAGATAATATTACAATTAATTTGTTTCTGTCAACAAACACCAAGGGAGTGGCGGTAAAGGAAAATAGGCTGGACAGAGAGAAATATTTAAGATGAATCTAAAATATGGCTAAAAAAATTTATGAAGAGGTGGACTGTATTTCTACTTCTTCTCTTAAAAAATACATAATGGTTCAATATTTTCTAGCAAACAAAAATCATGAACACATATAAGTTGTTATAAATGACCTATATTTAATAAAACTTTTCTAACAATGCAGAAATGTACATTAAGCATTGTATAATAAAATACACAAATTCTAGTTTTATTTCAACCACCAGTTATTTTAGAAAAGATACTGAATTGGATATTTAAAAATGAGACAATTAAAACATACCCCTTTTAAATTTTTAAAATATAAATTTAAAAAAATATATACTTTCATAGAGATGGAGTCTCACTTTGTTGCCCAGGCTGGTCTCAAACTCCTGGGCTCAAGCAATCCTCCTGCCTTGGTCTCCCAAAGTGCTGGGATTACAAGTGTGAGTCACCACACCTTGCCAACGTATCCCTTTGTAAATGTTTTTAAAACCTACTCCATATTATAAAATATAACACATTTAACCTAAAACCATGACAGGTTTTTCCAAAACCATAATTCCAGAATATTCAGTTGCATTTAAAAGCAAGTTTTAATAGTAATTTTATTTTAAAAACTAGTTAATTTTTGAAAATTCCTTTTTAAAAACAGGCTCAACTTTTCAAAAGTAATTTTGATTATTGTCCTTTAGGATGTTTAGCACATATGTTTTGACATTATTAAAGTATAAAATTGAGGAAGTCTACTAATTCTTAATTTGCAACCCACTGATTTTTGCCTCGTTAAAACAGGTATTTATTAACTATTTTTAAGGTTCTTAAAAAATGTTGAGTGATACTAATTTTGACTTGATTTATCTTCTATCACTTACTGTTATTTTACAAAGAATTAGACCAATTATCATTTACATTAGGTATCATAGCATTTGATAAATTTTTATTTATTTTTAAAACACTAAAAATAGGCTGGGCGGCCAGGCGGCTGGGTGCGGTGGCTCACACCTGTAATCCCAGCACTTTGGGAGGCTGAGGCGGGTGAATCACCAGGTCAGGAGTTCGAGACCAGCTTGGCCAACATGATGAAACCCCGTCTCTACTAAAAATACAAAAAATTAGCAGGGTGTGGTGGTGGACGCCTGAAATCCCAGCTACTTGGGAGGCTGAGGCAGGAGAATCATTTGAACCTAGGAGGTGGAGGTTGAAGTGAGCAGAGATCGAGCTATTACACTCCAGTTTGGGTGACGGGGCCAGACTCTGTCTCAAAAAAAAAATTAAAATTAAAAAAAAAAAAAAATAGGCCAGGTGCCGGGGCTCACGCCTGTAATCTCAGCACTTTGGGAGGCCAAGGTGGGCAGGTCACTTGAGGTCAGGAGTTCAAGACCAGCCAGGGCAACATGGCAAAACCCCATCTCTACTAAAAATATAAAACTTAGCTGGGCATGGTGGCGCATGCCTGTAATCCCAGCTACTCGGGAGGCTGAGGCACAAGAATCGTTTGAACCCAGGAGGCAGAGGTTGCAGTGAGCCGAGATCGTGCCACTGCACTCCAGCCTGGGCTACAGAATGAGATTCTGCCTCAAGAAAAAAAAAAACCATGTTAAAAATATGAATGAAGATACCATAATCCTATATCCTAACAAAACTATTTTGATTTTTACATATTTTTTTCTATCTACGCAAAGATATTTTAAGAGAAATCCATCTAGAAAGAAAAAAGAAAGACTGTGCATAGCTGTGTATGGAAATAATTACTAATAAAGGTGAGATAACTGGAGAGAGACACCAAACAGAAGAATCTAAAAGTCATAAATGATTTAGTGCATTTTCTTTCTTAAAAAACAATCTTTAATTGATAAAATTTGTATACATTTATGGTATACAACATGTTCTGGAATATGCATATATTATGGAGTGGCTAATCAAACTAATTAACATATATATTACCTTATATACTTAGTTTTGTGGTAAGAACACTTAAAAGTATATAATACATTGTTACTGGGTATATTCACCATGTTGTACAATAGCTAAAGGTTGTGGGTGATAGATTTATAAAACAACAAAACGAAAACTAAAACCAAACACAACCGCAGGCATTTACAACATGTGTAAGTCTACATGTGCTTACAATATGTATAAGTTTACAACATATTATAAGTTGGTGTTACAACACAGCCAAAATCTAACACATTGAGATTTAGAACATAAAATTCAGCTACCTTGAAAAGTGGAAGCAGGCTATATTAAAATACATTTTGGTTCCCAGTTATATTTCCCTCTGCTCTTTCTTTGTGTCTTAAGGAAAATTTGGATTATCTGGATATCAGGCAGATTGTCCTTAATAAGACAGAAGAAAAAGGAGCTTCAAATATATTTCTTGCTGTTACAGAATACAACATTTTTAGGTATACTATAAAATTCACTAGGTGACAGGTATGTAGAAAATAATGGGCTAAGCGGGGTGTCGCACCTATAATCCAGGCACTTTCAAAGGCCAAGGATGGAGGATCACTTGAGCCCAGGAGTTCAAGACCAGCCTAGGCAACATGGCAAAACCCTGTCTCCACAAAAAATACACACACACACACAAAAACAGTTGGGCGTGGTGGCCCACACCTATAGTTCCAGCTACTCAGGAGGCGGAGGTGGGAAGATCGCTTGAGCACAGGAGATTGGCTGCAGTAAGCCATGACTATGCCACTGCACTTCCTGCCTGGGCAACAGAGCGAGACCCTGTCAAAAACAAAGAAAATAACAACCTTGTGCTTGTATAAAATATATACAAATTTGGCAGTTAACACTCAGGTGTTTAGTGAAGCAAAAGGCACCCTAAGTAAAATCTTTCCTAACTTTCCGAAGACTTTCCATTTAACTAAAGGATGTAATAAAAGAAAAGTTGAGGTAGAATCTTAATTCACTTTATCTTTTTAAAAATGAATATGCATCAAACAGTGGTGTTTTGGCTCAAGGCAGTGGAAAAGAAAAGCAGGTGAGGATTTCACAATTAAAGGGAAAAAAGGCTAGCTACAGTGGCTCACATGGTAATCCCAGCACTTGGGGAGGTCGAAGTGGGAAGATTGCTTGAGCCCAAGAGTTCGAGGCTGCAGTGAGGTAGGATCATGCCACTGCACTCCAGCCTGGGTGACAGAGCAAGACCCTGTCTCAAAAAAAAAGGGCGGGGGGGAATAAAGTTAAAAAAGACTTCACCAATCAACGCCACCCATGTTAAAAATTACTAATGAAGTAAAAGGCTAAAACCTCTTCTACAGAAACTAACAGTTCCCCAACAAGGGAACAGCCACACCCTATCTACCTCTTTCCTGCGAAGAAATCATCTATGGTTGTTTCCATACAGAAACAAGTTTCAGGTATTACAGTATTATAAGAAATCACTCTTCTGGGAAAGTATGTGAATGAGCCAAAAGAATAAGAGGCCAGGTGCAGTCGCTCACTTTGGGAGGTTGAGGCGGGCAGATCACTTGTCGGGAGTTCAAGACCAGCCTGGCCAACATGGTGAAATCCTGTCTCTTCTAAAAAAAATACAATAATTAGCCAGGGTTGGTAGTGCACACTTGTAATCCCAGTTACTCAGGAGGCTGAGGCAGGACAACTGCTTGAGCCCGGGAGGAAGAGGTTGCTGTGAGCCAAGATCGTGCCACTGTACCCTAGCCTGGGTGACCAAGAAAGACTCTGTCTCAAAAAAGAAAAAAAAAGAAAAAAGAAGTGGTAAATGCAGACAATCTGATCCTTTAACACAGGAGATCATAAAAATGTCTGGCATTTGATGAGGTATTACTTTGTATCAGGCACAGTACTAAGTATTGACATGCACTGTCTGCTTTAAAGCGCACAACACATAATGATCTCATGAGGTGATGGGGCAGATATTGATAGTTACTTCTCCTGTATCCATTCCCTTCTTTGTCAGAAATGGAACCCTAATTAAGGGTAGCAACTACACCCAAATTAAACCTGCATTTCCCAGTGTTCTATGGCTGCAAAGTGTGGCCAAGTTATCAAGTTCTGACTAGTGGAATGTAAGCAAAGTGACTTCTGGATATGCTCCTGCAAAGAATTAAAAAGTCCCTTTACCTTCCCCGTCTTGCTTCCCTTTTGATGCCTGAGAGGTAGATATGACAGTAGTAACTCCAGCAGTCATTCTGGATCCCCCTGAGGATGGAAGCCACAGTTAAACAATGGCAAAGGCCTGCTGATGACCTTGGAAATGCCATAGCACACAAGGACTTCTTACCTAGGAACTTCCCTTACAAGGGAAAACAATGTGCTTAAGTCACTGATACTTTGCTAGCGGAGTTAATTCTAACAGATAGAGGTAGGTAGTATTAACACTATTATTTTATAGATGAAGAAACAGGGATCCCCAGAGTTAAGCAATTTGCCTGCAGTCACACAGCAACCAAGCAACCTTCAAAGTGCCAAGCTCTTAACCACTATGTGATAATGCCTTCGGACCAGATCCTGGAACTCAGTAAGAGACTTACTTGACAAAGGACATGAACCTTGAAAATGGGCAAAATAATACTGAAGGAAGGGGGTGCCTCCACTCATTCATTAGTCTAGGCCAAGACCTAGTTAAAATAATGGAAGAAGCCACAGTTAACCAAAAGGGAACCCAGCCTGCCTGACGAGTGTGCTACAAGAAAAAACTAGTACAGAGAATCCATTTCTGAGACTTGTGGGGCCTCAACCACAGAAAGAAAAAGGGGGACTGGCACGTGAGGGATAACCAGGAAAGAAGCCTCTGTGAGCTAGGCCTATTTTCCTCATTCATGTACAGAATTATTAACAAATTAAACCTGAAGAATAGCTACCAATAGTGAACAATCAGCAAAATGATTTCTAAAAATGAACTAAAAATTCTTCCATGGGACCATCTAAGAAAAAAGTAGACTACCTTTAAGCAAATCGGAGGAGGGAGACTATTTTTACATCAAGTAAGCAAAGCAACAACTTCACAGATTTTTGAGATATAGTAAACTCTTGTACTGCCCTGCTCTGGAGATGGAGGAAGAGTATAAACATAGAGAGAGAAAGGCATAATTCTGTTTCCCCACAGTACCAAGCAATTTTAAAAAACACTTAAGATCACAAAGCATCTTGAACGCTATTTTAGAGTCATCTGGGAAGGAGTGAAGTAAGAACATTGGGAAAGTGGCCGGGTGCAGTGATTCATACCTGTAATCCCAGCACTTTGGGAGGCCGAGGCAGGTGGATCACCTGAGGTAACAAAAGTTAGCCGGGCGTAGCAGTGGGCGTCTGTAATCCCAGCTACTCAGGAGGCTGGGGCAGGAGAATTGCTTGAGCCCGGGAGGCAGAGGCTGCAGTAAGCCGAGATTGCACCACTGTACTCCAGCCTGGGCAACAGAGCGAGACTGTCTCAACAAACAAATAAACAACACTAGGAAAGTGAAATGTAGTCTAAAAAACTAAACTGGTGGAAGCTGGAAGAGAGACATGGTCAAATTCTTAGAAATGGCAGGGTATGAAGAAGAAGGGGCTACATAAGGAGCTACCTCCAGAGAGAGGGAGGAGTCTAAAGCTTCAGCCAGCAGGGCGGCCATTTGTTACCTAAGGAGCTAGCATTATTCTCTCTAGTTTTCTAAATTAATAAGCTTGTGGTAGACTATTCAAACAATTAGGCATTCTCCCCAATACCATATCAATAGAAGCATCAAGAAAAGCTACCGCTAGCTTTTTGTACACTTAAGCTAACACAATGTGCTCAAGCTCACAAAGTTTTTTAAAAATTAAAAAACAGATGAAAAGCAACCCAAAAGACAATGCTTTTGGATGAGACATTTTCTCAACCTAAACTTTCCCTCTAGCTTTCAAAAGTGACCCAAAGACAATAATACTAAGTAAGTTTTTTTGGCTTATATAGCCGAAATATGAAGATCACTTAAAAGCAATACTGACTCATCCACAGGTTAATAGATTTATTTTATATTTACTTCTAAATACATACTAATTGTTTTTGTATTATACAGCTTTATAACATAAAATGTAAAGTTGCTGTTGTTTAAAACCTAATAATTGTCTTTAAGAACATCAGAGAGAAATGTTCATATACAAGTAATTGACATGCTTAAAATGTTCTTGGTTATTCATTTAAGGATTCCTTAAAGGATCTCTATTGACTAAGCTCTTTTACTCTGACTCATTATTTTACAGCAAAAGCAATGACTCCTTAAATCTACTGTGAAAAATAAAATATATTTCAAGGTGCCACTAGTTGAAAAGTATGACCCTTTCCTTTTTTAAGGTAGCCAGCAAGAAGAAGAAGAGAGGGAGGTATATGAAGGGAATTGATGCCATGATATCTGGATATCACCTTTGGTTTTTCTGGTTTTTTTTTTTTTTGTTTGTTTGTTTTTTTGTCTTTTGAGACAGGGTCTCACTCTGTTGCCCAGGCTGGAGTGTAGTGGTGTGATCTTGGCTCACTGCAACCTCCACCTCCTGGGTTCAGGCAATTTTCCTGCCTCAGCCTCCTGAATAGCTGGAACTACACTACCGGCACGTACCACTATGCCTGGCTAATTGCTGTATTTTTTGGTAGAGACGGGGTTTCACTGTGCTGGCAGGCTGGTCTCGAACTCCTGGGCTCAAGTGATCCTCCTGCTTTGGTCTCCCAAAGTGCTGGGATTATAGGCGTGACCCACCACGCCCAGATCACTTTCGTTTTTTGATGACTACATATGACAAAGACCACATCAGAGACCAGCAATTTACCAATACAAAAATATACTTCTTTTAAAGAAAAATCCATGCTTTCTTCAAGTCACTACACCCTTCTAAAGAAAACATTAGGACACAATAAAAAATTAATTAAATAAATTTTTATTGGATAAAAATTTATTAAAGCAACAAAGTAAGGTAACTTAGATGACTGACATGAAGTATAATAAACATGTAGAAATAAAAGTACAATTCATTTGGCTACAAACACACAAAACTTGAAAAAACAAAATGAGCAATCTTTTCCTTACACAAGCAGTATGGACCAAATTAGATCAGAGTTTATAATTACCACAAAAATACTCATTTAAACATTTGCTGACCAGCCAAAACTTTGCTTTGAGGAAGATATATTACACATACATACACACACATACGGAAAAAAATGACAAAATTATAACTGTCTAACTAAAACAGACACAAAATACGCATGAGTCTATAGTATAGACTAAAATTCTATAATGGACCTGAAAAGAAACTACGTATATTTTTAAAGCTCACCTATGAGTGTTTTTTAAGAAAAGAGATGTAACTGTGAAATCTAGACAATACAGAATAAAAATAAATAATTCAAGAATAAGATGACATGATCAAAAGCCAAGAAGAAAGTACAAACTTATTTATAATTTATACTAAGGTTAAACAGCAGGGAAATTAGTTGTGGAATGTTAGTCTTTACAGCCTTGATGAAGTGATAACACAACTAAGTAAAAATGAGACGTTATTTTGAGGATTATAATTTTCAAAATTTTCGTAACAGAGAATTGATAGATTGTCAAAAAGTGAAAAACATGGAGTTTTTAAAAAAGATAATATAATGACTCCAATTCTTTAATTCTTCACCCACATCTACACCCCCACCTCCCAACTTAAAAGAAACTCTTGGGAACTTGTATTTCTTGTGAAAAAGAGGCATTTATTTGATGTTAAGAAATTCCTTCAGTTCTTTTTCATCTGTTATTTCGAGTAAATTAACTATGCTGGTCTATATTCTCTATAATGGTGGGCTAACTTAATTTAGATAAAATCTCCCTCTGAAAAACAATTAAAAAGCTTAATAAAATCTTAAAGTATCAAAAAGACCACAAGATAATAAGAAATTACAAGCCCCAAATATGGGGAAAATGAGATTCCCTGTGGTCATGAGCCAATACAAGGAAAATGAGACTCTTTGTTTAGACAGCCTCCCAAGGCATGAGGGACATAAATCAAAGTCCAGTGCCTATACAAGGTAGAAAGTCTAACAGGAGTTCATTTCCACAAAAAATTAAAATCCCAAAGGACTATATACCTTCAGGGCAGTGATAAGAAGGAAATTTTAAAAGCTCCTGATAAACTAACTAGGGTGACCCAGAGTCCTAGTTTGCCACAGACAGTCTAGTTACACCCCAAGTATTGGCATGCTTAAAAATAGTGCTCCTTTTTACTCTCAAAAAGATTCCACCTTGTAACCAGGTAAGCTACATGGTCACTGTAATGATCACCTAATTTCAATCCCTGGATACCCCATCAAAGAAATCTCAAGCCTTGAGCATGGTTTAATGTGATAATGGTAGACTATCTCTGAAGATGACTGAAAACAATCCCTTTCTTCCCTGTACTTGCACACCGCTAGTTTCATCAAGAGGTGGGGTCTATTTTATTTTCCCTTGCTTTGAATCTGAGCAGGTCCTGTGACTTGCTGTGACCAACAGATGCAGCTGAAGTGATGCTGCACCAGTTCCAAGCCCAGTCCTTAAGAGACTTAGCAGCTTTTGCTTTTGCTTTCTTGGAAAACAGCCACCATGTAAAGAAGCATGGGCTAGACCTACTAAATGACGAGAGCACTAAAGAGAAACCACAAAGGACAGAGCAAAGGTACCCCAACCCACATGCACCAACTCTCAGGCAATAAGTGAAGCAGTCCTGGACACTGCACCCTAGCCAACCCCCCAGCTGAATGCAGATGCATGAGTAACTCCAGTCAACATCATGTGAACAGTAGAGCCCCCAGCTTAATCCAGCCAACTCACAGATTCATGGAAATATGACATCATTGTTGTTTTAAGGCCCCAGTTTGGTGGTGATTTGTTATAAATTACTGAAACAGTGGATCAAAACTGGTAGTGGTCTGTAGTGCTTGGGTGAGAGTAGGTACATAACTTTCATTTAAAGTCACATGTTTGGTAAACGGAATTTGAGGAGAAAAAGAAAAAAAGAAAAAAATTTAAAGAAAGTCATGTTATTCCTATAAATAAATATAATGCCAAACACGAAGCTTTGAAACTAGATTCCTTGACTAAGTACCAGTAAAAGCATCAACATAAAGGGACTCTAAAAGACTTCAGAGATTGGAATTCTCAGATACACACTATAAAACAACTGGACTGTGATTAAAAAAAAAAAAAAAGACAAACTCAGAAATACCTACAGGGAAAATTGTCACAGATTCAAAAAAGAACCACATAAGACATCTAGAAATAAAAAATAAGAAGCATAATTTAAACCTCACTGGACAAGTTTAATATCAGACTAGACACAAGTGAAGAAACCATTAGTGAGTTGGTATATAGGAAAAATAAATTTTCCAGAGTGTAGCACAAGCAGAAAAGGGGCAGAAAAATCATTACAGAGACACAGAAGATACAAAGAAACTGTTGGCCCTATGTTTAAAATATTTGTTTCATCAGAATCTCAGGAGGAGAGAAAAAAAATAGAAGTAACATTTAAAGGGCAGGTGTCAGAAAGTTTTCTACAAATGAAGGAAGACAGCAATCAACAGACACAAGAAGCTCAATGAATCCCAGGCTGCTTAAAGAGAAACCCACATGTAGACATATCACATTAAAATCAAAGATAATCAAAAAAATTTGTATATACTCACAGGAAATAAAAAGACATTACCCTTAAAGCATCAGCAATAAAACTAACAGAATTCTCCACAGAAAAAACAAGACTGTGGACTCTTTCAGCAATAAAACTAACAGTAGAATACTCCACAGAAAAGCAAGACTGTGGACTTTTTCCTTCTTCACAATTTTACGAATGAAAGATTCATTTTTACCGTAGATCTTAGCAACCTCAACATATATTTTCCTTTCCTTATTAAGTTAGGAACTCTTACTTTTTCATTTAGAGGAGGCACTTTAAGGTTTCTCTTTGGCATATCTGAATTGCCAGCATCACTACTCTCATACTTTGGGGCCATTATTAAGTAAAATAAGGGTCATTTGAACACATACACAGTGATATTAAGACAGTCTGTCTGATAACCAAGACAGTTACTAAGTGACTCATGGGCAGGTAGCATATACAGCATGGGTATGCTGGACAAAGGGAGGATTCACATCCCAGGCAGAATGAACTAAGATGGCCCGAGAGTTCATCATTCTACCCAGAACAATGTACAGTTTAAAACTTTGGTATTATTTCTGGAATTTTCCATTTAATATTTTTTGGACCTCAGTGGACCACGGGTAACTGAAACTGCAGATGGGAGGTGGTAAGGGGACGCAACTGTATAACTTTGCTACCAAAATAAGGCTAGATGATATCAACCACTGGAGAAGAGAGTGAGCCTAAAAGCAGACCTGTACTTCAGTAAATAGTTGATTTATGGCAAAGCTGGTATTGTAGAACAGTGAGAAAAAGATGGTCTTTATTAAAAAAAAATACATCATTCTCATTCATATGGAAGAAAAATACAATTTGACCCCTATCTCACACCTACAGAAAAAACAATTCCAGGCTGGGCGCAGTGGCTCACGCCTGTAATCCTAGCACCTTGAAAGGCTGAGGTGGGTGGATCACTTGAGGCCAGGAGTTCAAAACCAGCATGACCAACATGGTGAAACCCCATCTCTACTAAAAATACAAAAAAAAATTAGCTACGCATGGTGGCGGGCACCTATAATCCCGGCTACTCGGGAGGCTGAGGCAGTAGAATCGCTTGAACCTGGGAGACAGAGGTTGCAGTGAGCCAAGACTGCACCACTGCACTCCAGCCTGGGTGGAGCGAGACCGTCCCCCCC
The DNA here is from genome assembly GCF_000001405.40 of Homo sapiens. Classification (NCBI taxonomy): domain Eukaryota; kingdom Metazoa; phylum Chordata; class Mammalia; order Primates; family Hominidae; genus Homo; species Homo sapiens. The sequence goes on along the minus strand of NC_000013.11, from coordinate 45,176,804 downwards.
AAAAAAAAAGAAGAAAAGAAAAAGAAAAAACAATTCCAGTTAAACCACAGATGCAAATGTGAAGAAAGACAATACAAAAAAGCTTATGGAAGATGACAGAGGAAAATAACTTTATGATCTCAATTTCTTAAAGAGACACAAAAGCACAAGCCACAAAGACAAGACTGACAAACTGGACTATTAAAGATAACTTCTGTTCATCAAAAAATACCTTTAAGAGAGTAAAAAGGCAAGCCACTGAATAAAAGTTATTTTAAAACCACATAACTAAGGGCTATACCCAGAATATATAAAGAACTACAACTCAAAAAGAAAAAGACAACTCATAAAAAATGGACAAGAAATCTAAACAAGCATCTCTCAAAATAAATTCAAATGTAAAATAAACACAAGGGTAACTTCATTTAAAAAAGAGACGGATGTCAAATCAAACCACAGTGAGAAATCACTACAAATTCACCATAACAGTTAAGATTTTTTTATAAATATAATATCATTAGAGAGGAGTTAAAACAAAAAGAACTTACATACACTACTGATGGGAAGATAAACTAAGATGGCTTCTTTGGAAAACAGTTGGGCCTTATCAACCAGAATTGAAGATATATGTATCCTGTGACCAAAGTCCACACTTAGAAATTATAGCAGTATTGTTAATAAGCTAAAAATTATAAACAACATAAATATTCACTAACAGTAAAAATGAGTAAACTGCAGTAAACAAATACTCTGGAATGCAACAAAGAAATGGAATGAACTACTGCTATATACAACGTGGATCAGTCTTAGAAAACAGTACTCCATGACAACTGTAATAAAATCTATACTAACAGGAATAATTCAGGCAAAAACAAAATGTTACCCGATAGAATTTGGCAAATGGGCCAGGTGCAGTGGCTCATGCCTGTAATCCAACACTTTGGGAGGCCGAGGCGGGCGGATTACCTGATGTCGGGAGTTCGAGACCAGCCCGACCAACACAGAGAAACCCCATCTCTACTAAAAACACACACAATTAGCCAGGTGTAGCGGCGCATGCCTGTAATCCCAGCTACTCGGGAGGCTGAGGCAGGAGAATCACCTGAACCCGGGAGGCAGAGGTTGCAGTGAGCCGAGATAGTGCCATTGCACTTCAGCCTGGGCAAAAAGAGCGAACCTTCATCTCAAAAAAAAGAGAAAAAGAATCAGGCAAATCCAAGAAGGAAGAGAACTGAAGAGTACACACATATTTGGATACAGATACTGATGCTGTTTAAGATAATAACAAAAATGTTTTACAGGACATAAAACATATATAAAAAAGAACACTAAAAAACAGAACAACCATATGATCCAGCAATTCCACTACTGGGTGTATATCCAAGAGAAAGGAAATCAGTATGTTGAAGAGATGTCTGCACTCCTATGTTTATTGCAGCACTATTCACAATAGCCAAGATATGGAATCAACTTACACGTCCAACAGATGAATGAATAAAGAAAATGTGGTATATATACACAATGGAATACTATTCAGCCACAAAAACCAATGAAATCCTGTCAAACAAGGCAACATGTATGAGCCTAGAGGTAATTATGTTAGTGAAATAAGCCAGGCATAGAAAGACAAATATCATATGTTCTCACTCATACATGAAAGCTAAAACAGTTGATTTCACAGAAGGAGATAGAATAGTGATTACTAGAGGCTGGAAAGTGTGAGGCATGATAAGGAGGGACTGGCTAACAGATGCAAAATTACAGCTATATAGGAGAAATAAGTTCTACTGTTCTATTACACTGCAAGGTGACTATAGTTAACAATAATTTAGTGCATATTTTCAAAGAGCTGTAAGATTTTTAATATTCCCAACACAGAGAAATGATAAATGTTTGAGGTGACAGATATGCTAACAACTCTGATTTGCTCCTTATACATTGTACATATGTACCAAAATCATACTGTACCATAAATGTATACAATTATTGAGTGTTAAAGAAAAATCTCCCAGTGAGAAACCTGTTTGGATAAGGCCCTAGACCTCAATGAAGGCATTAACCTGTGGATCTTTCTCCCTCTCCTTCCCTCTGAAGTCCTCCCTGACCTCTGTGTATGGCTTCCAGGTATGTCATGTATCCAGGACCTGTAAGTAATAAAACTATTATTTCTAAAAAAAAAAAAAAAAAAAAAGAAAAAAGAAAACAGTGCTCCATGAAAAACTCATACCAAAAAAATGGTGCATATTCATTCTATTCATATAACACTAAAAAACAGGCAAAGTAAAATATATTACTGAGGAATAAAGGCTTAAATGCTAAAATTATAAAAGAAAAAGTTACTATCATTAATGTCAATGATGGTTTTCTCTGTGGATGAAGAAGTGAGCTGTGATCAAGGAGGGATACCTGGCAGCTTTTGAGGGGCTGAACATGTTCTATTTCAGCTGTTTCATGTTAATACATCTTTTCTGTATGTGGCAGTGGTCACATTTTCAAGTTTTAAAAAAATTATCTATACTTTTAAAAATAGCTTCTCTGGAAAAGTTTTGTGGTTATGTATTAAATTTAACTTGCAATTACCATATTACCCAGCAAATGCACTCTTGGGCATTAATCCCAAAGAAATGAAAACCTGCACTCACACAAAGATCTATACACAAATGTTCACAACAGCTTTATTTGTAGTAGCCAAAATCTGGGAACAACCCAGACATTCTTCAATGAGAGGCTAGTTAGATGTACTGTGGTACATCCATACCATGGAATACTCAGCAATAGAAAGGAATCAGCTAGTGATTCACATAAAACCTTGGATGAATCTCTAGAGAATTTATGCTGAGTGAAAAAAGCATTTATATAGTACTTGTTTACATAACAGTTATACGACACTTTTAAAAAGTGACAAAGTTGGCCGGGCGCGGTGACTCACGCCTGTAATCCCAGCACTTTGGGAGGCTGAGGCAGGTGGATCACGAGGTCAGGAGATCGAGACCATCCTGGCTAACACCGTGAAACCCCATCTCTACTAAAAATACAAAAAATTAGCTGGGCGTGGTAGCGGGCGCCTGTAGTCCCAGCTACTCGGGGGGCTGAGGCAGGAGAATGGTGTGAACCTGGGAGGCGGAGCTTGCAGTGAGCCAAGATCATGCCACTGCATTCCAGCCTGGGTAACAGAGCAAGACTCCATCTCAAAAAAAAAAAAAAAAAAAAAAATGACAAAGTTATAAAAATGCAGAACAGATCAGTCATTTCTGGGGGTTAAGACAGGGTTGGGGAAAGAGGTGGGAAGTGGGGGTGGTTAGGAGGAAGGTGGCACGGTTACAAAGGGTAACCTGAGGGATTCTTGTGGTGATGGAACTGTTCTGCATCTTGAGTGTGGTGATGGGTATATGAAACCACACGTGACAAAACTGCATGAAACTAAACAATACACACACACACACACACACACACACAGTTAAGTACAAGTAAAACTAGGGAAATCTGAATGGGACCAGTGGACTATATCAATGTCAATATCAATGTCAGTGGTTTGTATAGTACCATGAATTGCAATATTACCACTGAGGAAAACTGAGTAAAGGGTACATCCAATCTCTCGGTATTATTTTTTACAACTACATGTGAATCTACAATTACCTCAAAATAAAAAACTTAATTAGAAAAATAGAACATATTTTTTCTCTCTGTACACTTTTTTCTATATCTATGTGTCTCTACATTGCATATTTTGTAATGCTGTCCACCAAATAATACTGTTAAGATGGCAATACTCTTCAAATTGATGTATAGATTCAATATGATCCCTACCAAAATCCCAGCTGGACTTTTTACTTTTTGCAAAAATTAAGGAACTGATCTTAAAATTCATATGCAAACTTGAGGGACTCAGAATAGGTCAACAATCAACAATCATGAAAAAAAAAGAAAGGTGGAGGGTTGGAGGGTTCACGCTTCCCAATTTCAAAACTTACTACAAAGCTACAGTCATCAAGACTGTGTGGTACTGGCATGAGGATAGATACATTGAGCAATGGAATAGAACTGAGAGTCCATAAACAACTCCTGATCAACTAATTTTCAACAAAGGTGCCAAGAGAATTCAATGGGGAAAAAATAGCCTTTTCAACAAACAGTGCTGGAAAAACTGGATAGCTGCATGGAAAAGAATTAAAGTTGGCTTCCTATTTCATACCATATACAAAATTAACTCAAAATGGATCAGAACCTAAATCAAAGAGCTAAGATGATAAAAATAAAAAAGAGACATTAGATTATATCAAAATTAAAAGTTCTGTACTCCAACGAATACCATCAGAAAAGTAAAAAAGACAACCTACAGAGTGGGAGAAAATATTTGCAAATCATATCTCTGAATAAGGGATTTGTGTATATATATATTGAACTCTTACAACTCAATAATAAAAAGATAAACAACCTAGTTTAACAATAGGCAAAGGGTCTGGAATAGGTATTTGTCCAAATGAGATACACAAATGGCTAACAAGCACATGAAAAGATATTCAACATCAATCATCAGCTATCAGAGAAATACAAGTCAAAACCACAGGGAAACACAAATGAAAATCACAATGAAATGCCACTGCACACCCATCCACTTGGTTGGCTATAATCAAAGGGACAGACAATAACAAGTGTTGGTGGGGATGTGGTGAAATTGGAACCCTCACACACTACATTCCACTCCTAGGTATATATACAAGAGAAATAAAAACTTAAGTTCCCACAAAAACTTGTACACAAATATTCATAGCAGCATCATTCACAATAGCCAAAAAAACGGAAACAATCTAAATGTCCATCAACTGATGAATGGATAAACCATGAAATATTCAGATGATGGAATACTGTCTAGCAATAAAGCAGAATTAAGTACTGATAAATGCTACAACATGAATGAGCCCTGGAAACATCATGCTAAGTAAAAAAAAAAAAAAAGGTCACAAAAGACCAAGTATTTTAGGATTCCATTTATATAAACTGTCCAGAATGGATAAATCTATAGAACCAGAAAGTAGACTATGGCGTGGGAGGTTGGGGTGAGAATAACAGGTGACTACAAATAGGTGTGGGTTTCTTTTGAGATGATGAAAATCTAAACCTGTGGTGATGGATGTACTAAAACCATTCACTTGTACACTTTAAATGGGTGAATTGTATGGTATGAGAATTTTCATCTCAATAAAGCTGTAATTTTTTAAAAGGCAATATAATGTAAATACTCCTTTTCATTTAAAATACCACTAAATAATATTAGGTTTACTTCCTTCCTAACTTCAGATAGAAAGAAAACTCTAAAGTGTTTCAATAGGGATCCTTCTTACTCATTGCAAAGGTACAAAATGGTATCAGAATGCTTGGCAACACCATGCAGAACCCTCAAATTACTTAAACCTGTTTCTTTTAAAGTTGAATTAAAGTCAAGATATGGTTTTAGGCTGGGTGCTGCAGCTCATGACTGTAATCCCAGCACTTTGGGAGGCCAAGGTGGGCGGATCACCAATTCGAGATCAGCCTGGCCGACATGGCGAAACTCCATCTCTACTAAAAAACAGAAAAGTTAGCTGGGCCTGGTGGCATGCACCTGTAGTCCCAGCTACTCAGGAGGTTGAGGCAGGAGAATCGCTTGAACCTGGGAGGCGGAGGTTGCAGTGAGCCAAGATCGAATTACTGCACTGCAGTCTGGGTGACAGACCAAGACTCTGTCTCAAAAAAAAAAAAAAAAAAAAAAAAAAGATAGGGTTTTAGGCAGTAGCATTTTCACGGCTATGTCACCTCATGCAAGCAACGTTGCTTTCTCTCTACTAAATTGCTGCCTATTTAATTTCTGCTGCTGCCTGAGCCAACTGTCTGTTACCATTCTGACTGACCACCATGATCTTCCTCCACTCTCTCTGCTACCCTCCCAGTATGACAGATCACACTGCTACTACCTTCACTGGGCTTTCATTACAATCTCCCCTCAGTCAGTTGGAAGCCACATCCTTTTCATTCCAACCCTTCTCTTGCATCTAGACTTCTCCAATTCCTCCAGGGACCATTCTTCTGATCTCATGATGGTTCTCTCAGATACCACCTCTGATCCTTTCTCTGACTGCAGCCCCTAGTCTTTCTTGTATGCAGATTCTCTATATTTTCCAGCTTTCAGGAATAACTACTTCAAAGCCACAGAACCTTTCCATTAGAATATAATTTACTCAGAAAGACAGTTTCAAGGGGAAAATATTCTGTGTACAGAGTACCTCACTAGCTGAAAAAAAAGTCATTTGTTGGAGATGATTTCAAGACTGCAAAACTCATGAAAAGTAATTCAAATAAATTACCTGCATCACTGACTCAACTGACATTCACTTTCCACAAAAGCTTTTATTTGCTTCTAAGCCTTGTCAGAAAAAAATTTTAAAAGATGTTAAGTGGGAGAAAGAAAAATTAATTGGAGCCCATGTAATGATAAATTTACCAGACTATGCGTGTTACAAAGATAACCAGTCTCAGCTGGGCACAGTGGCTCACACCTATAATCCCAACACTTTGGCAGGCCAAGGCAGGGGGGGTCTGAGACCAGCCTGGGCAAGAAAATGAGACCCTGTCTCTACAAAAAACATTTTAAAAAATTAGCTGGGTGTGGTGGTATATGCCTGTAGTCCCAGCTATTTGGGAGGCTGGGGTGGGAAGATCGCTTGAGCCCAGAAGTTAGAGGTTGCAGTGAACTGAGATCATAGCACTGCAGTCCAGCCTGGGTGACAGAGCAAGACCTTGTCTCTAAATAAATAAATAAATAACCAGTCTCTTATTAAAAATCAAATAAAATAAAATAAATGTTGGAACTATAACTCTCTGGTTTGTGTTAAAAACCTAGTTCTTAAGAAGCTTAATATTTCTAATATTGCAACATTTCTAAACAATACTGGTTGTGTCCATGTAAACTTATGCTTGAAGGTTAAAAAATAGTAATCTATATTTAAAAGGGAATAAGTTACTGAAGACATGTAAAAAAAATTAGTCTAGAAAATTTGATACTGGATCCATGGATTCAAAAATCAAAGCATAGCTGACGATGTTCTTTTGTTACCTGAGTGGTGGTTACAGGGATGTGTTCACTTTGTGAGAAATCAACAGTATAAACTTATGATTTGTGCTGTTTTCTTAAATGTAGGTTATGTTTCAATTAAAATTTTAGTAACAAAAAAGCAAAACACAAGAAGAAAATCAATTTTTCTAAAAATCCTCAACTAGACTTCTTAGTTCAAAAAACTAAATCACAAGTATTAAATCACACTGCATTAGTTTGCTGGGGCTGCCATAACAAATTTCCACAGACTGGGTGGCTTAAGCAACAGGAAGGTATTTTCTCATAGTACTGGGGGCTGAAGTCCAAGATCGAGGTGCCTACAACTTTGGCTTCTTCTAAGGCTCAGCTCCTGGGCTTGCAGATGGCCACTCAATTGTGGCCTCCTCACATGGTCATTCCTCTGTGCATGTGCAACCCCAGTCTCTCCTGAGTGTCCAAATTTCCTTTTCTTATAAGGACACCAGTCAATTGCCACTGCCTCTTTTTAAATTCATCGCCTCTTTACAGGTCTTATCTCCAAATACAGTCACATTCTGAGGTACCTGGGTTTAGGACTTCAACCTATGAATTTGGAGCAGGGGCGGGCACAGTGGCTCACGCCTGTAATCCCAGAACTTTGGGAGGCCGAGGCGATCGGATCACTTGAGGTCAGGAGTTCGAAACCAACCTGGCCAACATGGAGAAATCCCAGCCTGGGCAACGGGGTGAAACCAAGGAAGGAGGGAAGGAGGGAAAGAGGGAAGGAGGGAGGAAGGAGGGAAGGAGGTAAGGAGGGAAAGAGGGAAAGAAGGAAGGAGGGAAGGAGGGAGGGAGGGAAGGAAGGAGGAGGGAGGGAGGGAGGGAGGGAGGGAAGGAGGGAGAGAAGCAAGGAGGGAAGGAAAGAGGGAGGGAAGGAAAGAGGGAGGGAAGGAAGGAAGGAAGGAAGGAAGGAAGGAAGGAAGGAAGGAAGGAAGCCAGCCAGGTGTGGTGGCACACACTTGCAGCTCCAGCTACTCAGGAGGCTGAGGTGGGGAAATCACTAGAGCCCCAGAGGTAGGGGGTGCCATGAACCGAGATCGGGGCACTGCACTACAGCCTGGGTGACAGAGTGAAAACCTGTCTCAAAAAAATAAATAAATAAAGTTCAGGTAGTTTATTTGTCAGAAAACACTGAGGGTTGGAAAAATGAGGAAGAAGAAATGAGCCTATAAAATGATTAGTGTAGAAAACCAGTACCAGCTGGATACTACTAAGGACAACTGTTGCTTAATATGTGCCTTAGTCACCCTACCTGAGGATTAAAGGAGCTGGGTGTTTATCAACTAACAACTCCTGGCAGATATTGGCTGAACGCCACTCCCAAAGTGAGTGTTAAAATCCTGGCATTTCTGGCCTGCCCTCCAGGCAGGCAGAGTAGTTGGCAGCAAGAGAAGCTCTCAGGCAGACAAAGGTGCCGAGATGTAAAAGTTGGCTAGTGTGCACAGTAACGGCAAGGCCTTGAGAGGCTATGGGCGAACACTGACAGCACCTGGGGCATCTATGCCACAGCCCCTAATCTATAGGAGTCTGTCCCAAACTTGTGAATGTAAAGACACATCAGCCTTCACCTAGAAGCAGCAGAAAAGGGGTTGAGAAGTGCTCTAAACCAGACTTTTTTCTTTGCTAAACGGTACAGATCTTTCTCTCAAGAAAAGTCTGACACATAACACATTATACAGTAAGGAAAAAAATGTGTCAAATCATCATAGTCATTAAGTTCTGCATAGCTATATAAAAGAAACTGAAGCTGTAAACAACACTGGGTGGTGTACTTTTTTTTCCCTCTATCAACAGAAAATGCCACAACTTTCAACCATAAAATATTCTCAAGAAAGGTTCTTTTAGACTGGGGGGAAACAAGTGAGGCTGGGCGTGGTGGCTCATGCCTGTAATTCCAGCACTTGGGAGGTTTGGGAGGCCTGAGGTGGGAGGATCACTTGAGGTCAGGAGTTTGAAACCAGCCTGGCCAACATGGTGAAAGCCTATTGCTACTTAAAACACAAAAATCAGCTGGGGGGCCGGGCACGGTGGCTCACGCCTGTAATCCCAGCACTTTTGGGAGGCCCAGGCGGGCAGATCACGACGTCAAGAGATCAAGACCATCCTGGCCAACATGGTAGAACCCCATCTCTACTAAAAATACAAAAAAATTAGCTGGGTGTGGTGGTGCGCACCTGTAGTCCCAGCTACTTGGGAGGCTAAGGCAGGAGAATCACTTGAACCTGGGAGGCGGAGGTTGCAGTGAGCTGAGATAGCACCACTGCACTCCAGCCTGGTGACACAGCAAGGCTCTATCTCAAAAAAAAAAAAAAAAAAAATAGCTGGGTGAAATTAGCTGGGTGTGGTGGCAGGAGTCTGAAGTAACATTTATTTGGGAGGCTGAGGCAGGGAGGCGGGGGTTGCAGTGAGCCGAGACTGCAACACTGCACTCCAGCCTGGGCAACAGAGCGAGACTCCATCTTTAAAAAAAAAAAAAAAAAAATAGTAAAATAGTATGTATAGTATGTGTCTGTAGGGCTTTTTACCCTTTATTATTTTGAAATAGCTAATGATACAGTCTGTATAAGCAAGAATTTGTGGGCTGATACACATACACGAAGTTCTTTAAAAAAAAAAAAAAAAGACTTCAACTGCATTTCTTTTTAAACAGAGCAGTCTTTCAAAGTGTGCTGGCCACTACCAGAGTTTCGCTTCTGGGCAGGCCACAGCTGTCTAACGGCTGGTAGGAACATATAAGAATAAGGTTTTCTTTCAGAACTTAAACATGTTTAATTAGTCAGTTTTGTATTAAAGATATATAAATGGACCTAACTTTCAAGAGATTTTAAACTCAAGACAAAATTGGTTTCTCAATTATTTATCAATATTCCAGGGAAGAAATTCATACTCTAAATTGAGGCTTGTATACAAGTTGTATATAATGTCCCTACTGGGATATACCAATATAGTCCCTATTCATATTCACTCTATTACATTAAATAACATTTTTTATTCCATTCATCATACGAATTCTCATACCACCTACTTCTATTTTACTTTGACTTTTATTTTAAAGCCCCCTATTCCCTAAAGTCTGGTCATAGTGGATTGACAAGATTTTCTTTCTAAACTCATCTGCTTGTTAACTTTAACTTGATGCAATCTGAAAACAATCCATATGAAGCTCAGTGAACACAGCTTTCGTACTTTCCCTAACACTGGCTCCAGTTTGACATCAGTACCTCAGTACTATTCCAGAAATAATTTTCTATTCTGTCATTTCCTTATCAGCCAAATCCCTCAAACAGTTCTGCAGAAAGACTGCATCATGTCTTCATAGTAACATGAATGACTTGACGAAGTGCATCTTCACCAGGGGATGCTATAACCTATATAACTGCAATCCATGGTGACTTCTGATAGAGTTGGACCATAAACCAGAAAACAGAATGTATTTAAAAGGGAAAAAATATCAGAAAACACTGAAATTTAAGCATCACATAGTTCCCAGTGACTAGATCTACCATGATATTTTGGAATTGTTAATTTTTTTAGGTATCATAATGACCTTATGGTTATGTATTTTTCTAAAAAGGAATTTGTATGAAGAATGTACTGAAGTAGCTGGGTGTGGTGGCTCACGCCTGTAATCCCAGCACTTTGAGAGGCTGATGCTGGCAGATCACCTGAGGTCAGGAGTTGGAGACAAGCCTGGCCAACATGGTGAAACCCCGTCTCTACTAAAAATACAAAAATTAGCCAGGCGTAGGGGCGGGCGCCTGTAATCCCAGCTACTCGGGAGGCTGAGACAGGAGAATCACTTGAACCTGGGAGACAGAGGTTGCAGTAGGCCGAGATCACACCACTGCACTCCAGCCTGGGTAAGAAGATTGAAACTCCGTCTCAAAAAAAAAAAAAAAAAAAAAAAAGAATGTACTGAAGAATTTAAGGATGGAATGATATGCTCTCTGAGGTTTTCTTTAAAATAATCCTGTGAGGTACACAAAGGCAGTGACTGGGGTATAGCTGAAACAAGAATGACTATTTGCCATCTTCACAGGAAGATGAATGATAGGTATATGGAAGTTCACTGTACTATTTCTCTACTTTTGCATATGTTTTGAAATTTTCCAGAATGAAAAGGTTAAAAGCGGGCGGCGGGGGGGGGCGAGGGCAGTGGAAAGAAAGGTTTATTTTCTTTCCTGATGAAAAATCCTACAAGTAAATCTTCTCTACTAATATACAGCTGAGAAATCGGTCACACTTCAATTTTATACTTCATTTTTCTCTTTACTGTATATGAATCTTTAAATTTGAACTTAAAGAATTAAATTAAGCTGAGATTGTGCTACTATACTCTAGCCTGGGCGATAGAGCAAGACTTTGTCTCAAAGAAAAAAAAAATATATATATATATATATATATTTTAGATATAAATCTAATGGATAATGGGTATATATTATATATAAATATACATTTTTTCCATTCTATTTCTCCGTTTTTTCCATTCTATTCCACATATATATGAATATATAGATATCTATATATATTTTTTCCATTCTATTTCTCTTTATTTCTTAATGTTGCCTAGTACCTCACAAATTGATTCTGCATCCACACTGTGTAAGTGCTCATCATAGCAAATAAAATAAGTGCTCAACAGGTTACCTATATCTGTCCGCTTAATAAAACAGCTATAGCAGCTATAGCGTAACAAGATCATTGCTTAATAAAGATGTAAACATTGTGTATCTATATGCCATAATTAAAACTTCCTTCAATTCTTCCAAACAAATAGTTATGAGAATGTAAAATGGTTCTAGGCACTTTGTATCAGAACCAACGTAATCAAGAACACAGTTCAAGTGTAGGTCTCTAATCCATTTTTTGGTAACCCTTCCCATTCTGCTGTGATGCAACTTTTTGTTGTATAGCCTTTTTACCAGCACTGGGTACCCCAAAAGTGACACTAGTAATGCTGAGGGAGAAGGAACTACTATTTTTTTTTTCCAGACAGGGTCTCACTCTGTCACTGACACTGGAGTGCAGTGGCACAATCACTGTACTCACTGTAGCCTCAACATCCCAGGCACAGGTGATCCTCCCACCTGAGCCTCCAAAATAGCTGAGACTACAGGTGCATGCCACCATACCCAGCTATCTTTTGTGGAGATAGGGTTTCACTCTTTTGTCCAGGCTGGTCTCTAACTTCTGGGCTCAAGCAGTCCACTCACCCTGGCCTCCCAAAGTGCTGGGGTTACAGGCATGAGCCACTACCTGGCCACTAGGGCTGCTACTTCTTTACTTGAAAACCTTCAGTAAATCGACATGTTTTATTGCTTTTTAAAAAAATAGGTCAGTTTTAAAGTCTTACCTTCTTTTCTTCTTTGTTCCAAGGGAATTACTATACTAGTGCCATCACCATATCAACAGACTACCTTTCTCTTTTTTTTTTTTTGAGACTGTCTCACTGTGTTGCCCAGGCTGGAGTGCAGTAGCACAATCCTGGCTCGCTGCAACCTCCACTTCCTGGGTTCAAGTGATTCTCGTGCCTCAGCCTCCCAAGTAGCTGAGATTACAGGTGTCTGCCACCACGCTGGACTAATTTTTGTATTTTTAGTAGAGACGGGGTTTCGCCAAGTTGGCCGGGCTGGTCTTGAACTCCTGGCTGGAATTACAGATGTGTGCTGAGGAGCTGGGATTATAGATGCGCACCACCACACTTGGCTAATTTTTGTATTTTCAGTAGAGACGGGGTTTCGTCAGGTCAGCCAGGCTGATCTCAAACTCCTGGCCTTAAGTGATCTGCCCACCTTGGCCTCCCAAAGTGCTGAGATTACAGGCGTGAGCCACCACATCCAGCCCTCAATAGACTACATTTCTAAGTGATAAAAATACAAAGGCAACCAAATAACCTGTCTCTGTTTTTATAATGTAATGCTATACTGCAGAGGGAAAAATCAGTTACATGGCATTTTTTACACTTTAAATTTTGATAATGGTACCCTTATGCTCAAAGAACTAGAGAAAAAATCATGCTACTATAACCTTGAATGAGGTTTTTAAAAATAGTGGCAATGTTATTTGAAAAAGCCAAAGGAAATGAAATTTTTAAAATTAAAGTATTTTAAAATTACAATTGTTTCAATTACTTAGTTTTAATACCGCGACTAAGTAATTTACTTTTTTTCTTTTTTTTTGAGACAGAGTCTCACTCTGTCGCCCAGGCTGGAGTGCAGTGGCGCTATCTCGGCTCACTGCAACCTCCGCCTCCTGGGTTCAAGCAATTCTCCTGCCTCAGCCTCCAGAACAGCTGGTGCTACAAGCGTGCGCCACCATGCCTGGCTAATTTTTTTTATTTTTAGTAGAGATGGGGAATCACCATGTTGCCCACGCTGAAGTAATTTACATTTTAATTGATTTTACTAAGTTAGGTTTGGTTTTACAAAGAAACCAAGTTCTTCCTAAGATCTTAAGTATACAATGAATCAAAACAAAGAACCGACTTTATAAACTGGAAGCTACAGAAAATCAAAAGGAAGAAGAGAAATATGTTTGTATAGCCTGTCATTTTCTCCAGGTATGACACAAAAAAATCTCTACTCAAGCTAAACACTGGACTTCCACAATTGTTAGAAATTTGGAGCACATTGCCTAACACATCTCCAAGGAACTTGGTTAGTTTCCACCAGTTAAACTATAAAGATTTTGTTTTGAGAATTGCAGACTAGTCATAATGAGTCACAATAATACACGCCAACTCCAGGACAACAGTTACCTCTAGCAAGTGAGGTAAGGGTTAGGGGGTGGGGGGTGGGGAGAAATCTAAAATGTTTTCTAGCTTTAAAGAAATATGGCAAATGTCAACACTTATGAAATACAGCTGTTAGGCATAGGTTAAACTATTCACTATACTTTTCTGTAGGTTTGAAATATTTCACAATTAAAAACTGGAGAGTAAATCATAAGTTTTAATAAGTTTGTGATTCCAAACCTTAATATTATCCTACACTGCGGTTTCTTTTAATCCTCCTCATCCCAACCTCAGATTATTAAAGCTACCACATATTTATGCATGAATACCTGAATATGAAGAGTGCAAACACTGCTTTTACAAATCTCTTTCTGGCCACTAAATAAAGGAACATTTTCTGCTATTAGGTTTAACTTTTCAGAGAGCAGACCTGGCTCAGGCAGTTGGCAGTAAAATACAAAACTAAATCTCTGCAGTCAGTCACAACCTTGGTGGCAGTTCAGGAAATAAACACTAAACTCATATATTTTTGTTCCTGTTTGTTCCTCCTCACAAGTATAAGATTGTCAGAAGCTGGTATGATTCCAAATGTTCAGTGGCAAGGCTGTTACTCAAAGGAGTAAGCAAAAAACAGAGCTTCCTTACTCCTTCCATAGGGCCTTTACTAGCGGAGTGAGAAAGAACCACTAGCTGCCAAAGTGAATGGGACTTGAAGATGGCTGCCCTGTGAAATGCAGTGATGAAAGAGACAAGCTGGAGTCACCACAGAGCATCTATCCAGGCAGACCTAGCAGGATTTCTATTACCTACTTAAAGAGACTGTTTTAACATATATTTCTAAATATCAGGAAATAGGGGCTAGTCACACAATCTCTTAGAGCTTCTGTCATATCATCTGCAAAATGAAGATTTTTTAAAAGTCCCTCCCTCGTGGAGTTGTGAGGAGAATTAAATAAGATAGTAAATACAAAGACAGGTTGTATTTACTATCTTATTTAATACAGATTTATTAAGACAGGTTATCCACCAACAGAAGTGGAATAAATACCTAAAAGTGTAAACTATACCTAAAAGAAATAGTTTAAAAGTGGTTCAAATCTGGTTAAAAAAATATGTACTGTATTCATTTTTTCTTTTTGAGACAGAGTTTCGCTCTTGTTGCCCAGGCTGGAGTGCAATGGCATGATCTCGGCTCACTGCAACCTCTGCCTCCTGGGTTCAAGTGATTCTCCTGCCTCAGCCTCCCGAATAGGCGGGATTACAGGCACTCACCACCACAGCTGGCTAATTTTTTGTATTTTTGGTAGGGACGGCGTTTCACCATGTTGGCCAGGCTGGTCTTGAACTCCTGACCTCAGGTGATCTGCCCACCTTGGCCTCCCAACCTGCTGGGATTACAGGCCTGAGCCACGGTGCCCGGCCCCTGTATTCTTAAAACCAACAATAAACACTGAAACAGGCATGCAATTCAGTGTTACGCATGAGGTTCCCCTAAGAAGCACTGGGGGGAGGAGTGTCTCTATTAGGTAGGCCATCCCAATAAAAAGTGATCAACACTTCACCAGGTATTTTAAAATGGAGCTTGCAATCTTTTCACACTACCACACACTAAATTAGCATTCTTCAAAGTATGGTCTATAAATCCCCAGGGGTCCTCAAGATCATTTGGGTGTCCACAAGGTCAAAATATTTTCTTAAAATATTTAATTACCTTTTTCACTGTGTTGATATTTGCCAATAGTGCAAAAGCAACGGTGGGTAAGGCTACTGGTACCACCACAAATTGAGGCCAAATGGTACCAAAACTGTATCACTGTTTTGCTACTACACTAAAGTGCTAGGTGTATTCTTCACCACCTAGCACTTGCAATTTTTTAAAAAGTCTGTTTCACTTCACAATGTCCTTGATGAACAGTAAAAACTGTTTTTATTAAATTTCAACCCTTGAGTATGCATCCTTTAACATTCTGTGACACCAAATGGCAAATGCACATGAAATGCTTCTGCTGGACACTAACATAAGATGATTGCCTCAAAGAAAAGCATAGTTGCAACTGTTTGAGTTGAGTGCTGAGCTAGCTACTTTTGTTGTGGAAGATCATTGTTACTTGAAAGAATGACTGACAGACAAAGCATAATTATTCAGATTTGGGTATCTGAAAGATATTTTTTCAAAAATCAATGAAAAAAGCCCATCCTTTAAAAAAAAAAAAAACAGCTGACAGGATTTGTTGTCATTAATAAAATTCAACTTTTTAAGTGAAAATTAAAGTCTGAAGAACTTGTACCTATCACCATAAACTTAACAGCTCCCCTATATTTAAAAACTTTTCTGATAAAATCAGTAGTGATGCTAATGAATGTAAATTTTTGATATTCTATAATGAAACGTGTCAACATTCAAAAGAACTACATAATTCAGGAAACCAATAGTCTCCAGATGATGGATGTATGATGCTACAAAATCATGTCTGGGTAAGAGATTCATTCCAAATACAAGACAGACCTGTGAATTTAATGTAAGAGAGTAGAAAAGGTTTGCTAATAGTTTCAGATTCTATACTGCAAGTGACCTTTAAGAAACTACCACTTGCAGAGTTTTAGTGTAGTAGCAAAAGAATGTCCACAACTATCTGAAAATGCTACTAATTACTCCTCCCTTTTCCAACTATGTATTTATAAGAGGTAGATTTTCTTCAGATACTTCAACCAAAACAGCAGATCTTTACAGATTGAATACAGAAGTAGAGATGAAAATCCAGCTTGTCTTAAGCTGTCAGACATTAATGATGCCTGCAAAATGGCACTCTTCCCACTATTTTTTTGGAAAATCGATTTTTAAATAAAAATGTTAGCACATAATGTATAAAAGAGCCCTGAGACCAAAAAGTTTAAGAAATGCTCCATTAAAGTGACAACAGTAATTAAATTATGATAGATAAGGTAAATAAAGCCTCAGAAAGTCCCACTGCATATGCAGCTGGTGATAATTCAGGAAACAGAGTGTAATTCATGTTTTAAACCAGTGACAAGAAAAAAAGTTCAATGAAAAAGTACTTTGAATGCTTATAAGCACACATATAAAGAAGGCTTAATTCAAACCTCTCAAAATCATATACCTGATATGATATTCCCCCAAAAATAAGGGAAATGCACCAAATTAATGTTTCCCATTAGCACCCAACAATCCAACTTAAAAATGAAAACATGGCCAGGCATGGTGGCCAACGCTTGTAATCCCAGAACTTGGGAGGCTGAGGCGGGCAGATTACCTGAGGTCAGGAGTTTGAGAACAGCCTAGGCAACATGGCAAAACCCCGTCTCTAATAAAAACACAAAAAATTAGCCCGGCGTGGTGGCGCACGTCTGTAGTCTGTAATTTTTTGTATTTTTAGTCATGTTGGCCAGGCTGATCTTGAACTCCTGACCTCAGGTGTATTCTGCTACTTGGAGTATTCTGCTACTCGGGAGGCTGAGGCAGGAGAATCACTTGCGCCTGGGAGGCGGAGGTTGCAGTGAGCCGAGATCGCGCCACTGCGCTCCAGCCTTGGCAACATAGTAAGACTGAGTCTCAAAAAAAAGAAAGAAAGAAAACGCTTACCTTTTTCATTTACTATACTTGCAGGACAGTACCATACAGGACAGATTATAAATTCTACAATTTCAGTTAAGTTTTCAAAAGACTGGTAATTCAGCATCTTCAAAGAGCACTACCATTGCTATACATTCTTCTTCAAATACAAACTAGTATGTTCTTAGTCATATGTGTAATTGGTACATGTTACCAAATTCAAGCTTGAAAGTAAATACCTACCATCAGTGAACTCAGCTGCTACTTTATCTGGGGAATATGTCTCATGACAATATGTAGAGTGGCTAACCAAGTGTCACAGAATATGGTACTAAGCTAATCTGATTAGCCAAGAGAAAGTTTAAAAAATCACCTGTGCCAAAATATAATGAGCAAAAAATAAAGTGAGGAATATTCGATTCTGAACCTCAAGTGTCTTAAGAAAACCACTTTGAATCAAGAATATCTGAAGGGAGACTAGCCATCCCGTGAGTAACTAAAACAAGCTATCTCACTTGAAAACCATTCTAAAAAGTACCATTAGAGTACTACTAATTCTTAGGAGGAAATAAATGATTTCAACATGTTTGCTTTAATGAACCCATCACTCTGTGCTCAATCCCAAGCCACAGATGTGCTCAATGCTATACTAGGCACCGTGGAGATAACCATGAGATACAGTCCTCTGCCCACAAGGTTTAATAATGGGACAAAACGAGCTAACCTACTGCCATACAAGTCTAAATGAAGGAAGAATCAACAAAGGCTGGATCAGAAAGAGAAGGCTGATTATGACTATAGAAGACAAATCCCTGACAGAGGAAAAAGAAGGGGAAAAACAGAGGTCACTGTGCAGGAAAGTATGGTAAAGGTAAGAGATTTTCACAGATGGGGCTGGAAAAAGGCTGGGGATGATGGGTGGAGTTTTCAGAGGGTTGCTTTGGATTAAGTGGTGTATTAGTCTGTTTTCACACTGCTGATAATGACATACCCAAGACTGGGTAATTTATAAAGAAAAAGAAGTTTAACAGACTCAGTTCCACATGGCTGGGGAGGCCTCACAATTGTGGCAGAAGGCAAAAGGCATGTCTTACATGGTGGCAGACAAGACAGAATGAGAGCCAAGTGAAAGGGGAAACCCCTTATCAACCCACCAGATCTCATGAGACTTATTCACTACCACAAGAACAGTATGGGGGAAGCTGCCTCCATGATTCAATTATCTCCCACCAGGTCCCTCTCACAACATGTGGGAATTATGGGAGCTAAAATTCAAGATGAGATTTGGGTGGGGACAGAGACAAACCATATCAAGTGGTATCCAGAAATGTGTATATGTGATTCCTACTACAGAAACAACAAAATGACCAAATACGAGAAATAAGAGGAGGCTAAGAATTATTATGGCCAAGACAATAGAAGAATAATGTATCACTGGCAGAAACATGGATATATAGAGAAAAAGGAAATGGATAAATGAAATTTGATTTTCTATTTCCTGGTTTCAGGTAACAAATCCAAGTGGCAGACTGGGCACAGTGGCTCATGCCTATAATCCCAGCACTTTGGGAGGCCGAGGCAGGTGGACAGCTTTGCACGCAGGAGTTCGAGACCAGCCTGGGAAACATGGCGAAACCCTGTCTCTACAAAAAAAAACAAAAAAATAAAAAACTAGCCAGGCATGGTGGCATGCGACTGTAGTTCCAGCTACTCGAGAGGCTGAGGTGGGAGGACTGCCTGAGCCCAGGATGAGACCCATCTCTCCCCACCAAAAAAAGAATCCAAGTGGACTGTCTGTTAACACAACTAAAGATATAAAGCTGGATATCAGGTGAGTGAGTAGATCTCTGTCACTGCTACCACTCTAATCCAAGCTTCTGTCATGTCTCCCCTGGATTACTATAAGAGCCTCCCGGTTCCAGCCCTGCCCCGACTCCATGGTCTCTTCTCAACCTACCAGTCAGAGTAGGTCTTTAACATGTAAATCAAATTATATCACTATTCTGCTTAAATCTCTCCAGTGACTTCCCACTTCACTAAAAGTAAAATCCAAAATACTTTTTATAGTTTAGAAATCTTTTCATGATCTGCCACTGCCAACATCCACCCTTCTTCCCTAACCTAATTAGCCCACTACTCTTCCCCCTTGCTCATCTACTTTATCCACACTGACCTCTTGGCCACTCCGTGAACATGCCAGTCTTGTTCCCAACTTGGAGCATTAGTCATTACTGTTCTCTGTCTGCCTTAAAAACTCCTAGCTGGCTAACTCACTCCACATGGCTACCCCTTTTGCCTCCTTCAAGACTGTTCAAATTTCACCTTCTCAATGAGGTCCCACCCCCAACCTGATACTCCCGAGCCTACTTCCCACTTTATTCCCAGAAAATTTATCAACTTCTAGCCAGCAATATAATTTACTTATGTTTACTGTTGTCTCCTCTTAGTAAAATGTAAGCACCACAAGGGCTAAGCCTTTGCTTGTTAAAGCATCCCAAGCCTAAAAGGGGGCCTGAAAAAACCAGGCACAAATGTTAATTTATTGAATTAATGAACTGCTACAAAGGCGTCAAAGATAATGAAAAATGAAAGCAAAAAAGTCACTGCGTTATCAGCTCTAAGCCTGCCCATTTCTTTGAATATTTTCTAATTCAGTAATGGTTTCACTATCCCTCCAGATGCTCAGGCCAAAAAAAGCACGGAAACCACTCTAGGCTTCTCAATCTTCCAATTTCCTCACAGCCGATTCATCACCAAAAGCTGTCAAAATAACCTCTAATTCTGGTCGACTTACCTGATGGCAAAAAAGATTAAAAAAAAATTACCTCTATTATCCCATGTTCTATCTTTTCCACTCCCATTGCACCAATTAAAACTTTTTTCATCTCTAACCTAGTCTGTGACATCCACAGCTAAGTTTTTTGCTTTAATGAATTTTTATTTAATGAACTTTTAGATAGCTATGACAGAGGATGACAGGTAAAAGAATGCCAAGTGAAGAATTGGATCCTTGAAGGCTAGAAAAATGAATTTATCCTCACTATCTTTCATCCTATTCATATACTTCAAGGTCCAGCTCAAATATTATCTCCACTTCTGAAGCCAGTTCCCTCAGGCAAAGTACACATGCTTTTTTCCTCTTTGTACATATCTCCATTAGAGCATTTGTAGCATTTATTCACTTACCAGTTGCCTCAGTGCACAGGAGGCTAATCTTATTCTAGCACAGGGCTTAGCACCAAAAATATCTATTGAACAGATGAATGAACATTTTTGTCTAGAGTTGGCAGTTATAAATAATAATATCTAAGAGCCAGACATGGTGGTGCACGCCTGTAGTCCCAGCTACTCAGGAGGCTGAGGTGGGAGGATCACTTGGGCCCAGAAGTTCAGCCTGGGCAACACAGTGAGACACTGCCTCTAAAAAAAAAAGAAGAAAATCTAACTTTGAATAAAAGTAGGAATGCCAAAGAGGATGCCAAAGGCAGGAAAAATAGAAATGATCTATGGTTACCAATAAATAGTAAATACAAATACTAAACTGAAGACCCAAGGCAGGGAAATGTAAGGCCAAACACATGAGGTATTTCCACAGAGATAAGGGTAATGGATAAGCGAGCTCCATGAAAATAACAGAAAAATATTAATAGATCATTTTGAATTTCATAGAGGAAAGCAGAAGTGGAAGAAAGGGTAACCCAAAATAGCCCATAAAAATAAAATATATTCTCTCAGACAGGAACACTGAATTAGAAAGAAATTAACTGAGTTCATAAAATGTTGATGACATGCAGATTATTTTAATTAATGAGAAAACACTGTATAACTTAATCATTAGTCTCCTCTAATTCGCTCTCCCTAAAAGATACCCAGTGTGCCAAATTCAATCATTAGGAAAATGGGCTCAAAGGAGACCTCTCAAAAACCAGCAAAATCACATTAACAGGAGTAAAGTTATTAAAACTAAAACTCCTAACACACTGAACTAAAATGTGGTTTCAAGTTTCCTTACAAACTCTACATTTTATAGACCTGTGCACTAATAAAAAGAAACAAAGAGCCTAGAAAAGCAGGTACAGTTCTATACTTGATAGAAAATGTAGAAATATCCCAGATAATGCCTACTTCATTTATATTTCAATGTAAAATCAACAGCTTACTCCCTGTAAAATGGCTTAGTCACTTATACTTTGGCAGGTTCATGACCAACCAAGGTTAAAACTAGGGTAGTGGTTCTGTAGCTTTTCTGGGCCACAGATTCCTCTGAGATTCCAATGAAAGCTCTGGTACCATCCTATAGAAAAGAACGCACATATACAACATACATCTAACATTTTAAATATGTCACAGCAGTCACAGAGCCCCTGCTACTATTTATGACTTCCTAGAGATCCAAGGAACCCACTTGTAGAACTGCTGCTTTAATGACTAGAAATAACAAATACATAAGACTCCTCAGAGGAGATAAACTACTAAGAATTCTAGAGCTTTTTTCTTGGTCATGCAGGCAATTGAGAAACATTTAACATAAAAATCCCTACTGGCTGAATTTTACCAAGTGATATACATCCAGATTGAGCTAAAATGCATGCACTTGCCTTAAAATAAACTTAAAACCTAAAGTGTTTAAAAATAAGGTGTAATATTAACAACAACAGCTAATATTTGAGCATTCATTATATACTGAGCATTGTTCTAAGTGTTTAAATGTATTCATATTTATATATAAATGTCAATAAATTATCCTTATTTCATAAATGAGGAAATTAAGGCACAGAATGGTGCAAAGAGAATCAAGGAACAATGACTTGAAACAGAAATAATGAGGTTAAGAAGCAAAAAATTGTTATAGTGTATTATAACTAATAGCAACTTAGAACTGCATTTGTATTATCACAGTTCTATAAAGAACATACTGTCCAAGCCCCAGAATAAGGATGACAATCTTAATTCTCTTCCATATCCCTGCCAAGATAATCCTTATAAAACCACATTCCCTTTAGAGAACACTGTAGCCAGAAACGTGAACACGAAATGTTCAAAAAGAGCACAACACTGAAGTATTTTTAAAATGTAAAATGGAAGACTAATTTTGAGGCTAACAAATGTTAGCTTTCTAAATTGCTGTCTTTGTAGAAGTACCAGAAATAAATCATGCTTTCAAAAAATTAGTCACTTAATAAGATGTAAAAAATCTGAAATAGGGTACTTTTTTCTACAAAAAAAAGTTCAAGTTTCTCTACCTCAAACGTTTATCAAGGCAATGACTCCTTTTTACTGTCTTGGTGCCATGCCTCTTCCACTCCAGGGACAATCACAAAAGTAGAGAAAACCTCACACGTTCAACAGATCTTATTAAATCTCATCAATCAAAAGGAATAAAGTTGTTGAAACTAAAACTCTTTAACTCTTTTTTTTTTTTTTTTTTTTTTTTGAGACTGAGTCTCCCTCTGTTGCCCAGGCTGGAGTACAGTGGTGCAATCTTGGCTCACTTCTACCTCCACCTCCTGGGTTCACACAATTCTCCTGCTTCAGCTTCCTGAGTAGCTGGGATTACAGGCACCTGCCACCACGCCTGGCCAATTTTTTATTTTTAATAGAGACAGGGTTTCACCATGTTGGCCTGGTTAGTCTCGGACTCCTGGCCTCAGGTGATTTGCCCACCTTGGCCTCCCAAAGTGCTGGGATTACAGGCATGAGCCACCATGCCCGGCCAAACCTAAAACTCTTAACATACTGAATTCAAATGTGCTTCTAATTTCAGACAAATTTCAGAATTTTAGATAGGCCTATACTATGCCCTGAACTATGTAGCACGCAATAAATATTTGTTGAAGGGTTGAATCTTCAACAGTATAAAATGGATATACTGAAGATACTGTTACTTTAACATTTTCTGCCTCCCATACTACTACACTACTAATTATCAGAGCATCAGAAAACTGCAATGAAACCAACCTTCTACCTTCAACTACATAACTGAAGAGTTATAATTTACCATTCTGTTATACTGTACATCCAAGAAAAAAAAGAATAATTTTTTAGATCATTTTATGTAGCTATTGGTAATCTAAGATACCACAAAAAAAATTCGGCCGGGCCCGGTGGCTCATGCCTGTAATCCCAGCACTCCGGGAGGCCGAGGCGGGCGGATCACGAGGTCAGGAGATCGAGACCATCCTGGCTAACACGGTGAAACCCCGTCTCTACTAAAAATACAAAAAAAAAAAAAAATTAGCCGGGCATGGTGGCGGGCACCTGTAGTCCCAGCTATTCAGGAGGCTGAGGCAGGAGAATGGCGTGAACCCGGTAGGCGGAGCTTGCAGTGAGCCGAGATCTCTCCACTGCACTCCAGCTGGGCGACAGAGCAAGACTACGTCTCAAAAAAAAAAAAAAAAATTTACGAGGATGTTCCTTTTTTTAAACAATGGTGTTCTTAACATACTATAATTTCTTATAGCTTTCTTTGAAATGCTTGATGAAATACAACAAAATCACAAATGTTTTCTTTTGTCAATAAGCTTTTTGAACTAGATAGGAGAAAATTAGCTCCATTAAGCTAAGGTGGCCTGTTGCTTTAATAGTATTCTAAACTCAGTGACAGATAAAAATCCCAAAACAAGGAAAATATACTCAAGCTGAGTGTGTGCCACAAGAAAGTTCTCTCTGTATTTAATTCACAAATGGAAACATTTGCTTCTGATCTATTGAACTGTTAAAATATCTCATTGCAAACACATACAATCTTAAAACTCTACGCAGAAACTTCTTGGAAGCCAGTGTCAATTAAAAGTTATCTCTATGCAATAAAAAGGCCCTCTTGGTATACAAAGCATACAAGTTGAAAAATTCAGACTAAAATATTCCCTAATATCAAACTGTATTTTTTAAGTACAACTCATACTTGCTGAATATCAATTTACTAAAACAAGCAAGGATGACCTTATCTTGGCAAAATTCAGAATACTATTTCTTCAACATCTTAGAAGGCAGCTTGATGAACCACATTCTTCCATCTGCTTTGTTCTACATCTTCATATCCCAAATGGAAATTAAACCCTTCTCAAGTAATGGCCAAAATTTCATTAATCACAAGAAAGTACACAGAGCAGAGAAGTAGCATAGTATGAATAACAGAGGTAGACAAAATGAGAGATGGAACAGTATTGGTAATGACCTTAAAAAAGCAAACAGGAGGCTGGGTGCGGTGGCTCACGCCTGTAATCCCAGCACTTTGGGAGGCCAAGGTGGGCAGATCACCTGAGGTAGGGAGTTAGAGACCAGCCTGACCAACATGGAGAAACCTCGTCTCTACTAAAAACACACAATTAGCCAGGCATGGTGGCGCATGCCTGTAATCCCAGCTACTCGGGGGGCTGAGGCAGGAGAATCACTTGAACCCAGGAGATGGAGGTTGCAGTGAGCCAAGATCGTGCCATTGGACTTCAGCCTGGGCAACAAGAGCGAAACTCCATCGCAAAAAAAAAAAAAAAAAAAAAGCAAATAGGAGTGTATGTTGAGACAGAAAATCTATACAAAATGTACAGGAATCACATTAAATAATTCCATTCCCACTTACCTGATGAGCTCTCAGTAAATACTGTTAATGTCTGTCCTCCAACACTTTGCAAGACAAATGGATGTTCTCTAGGAGCACTGACTGAAGCTGGTTTTCCACCAATATCATGAATATTTGCAAGATCCTCATTCAAAGTAAATGACACCTAATAGACACATTAACCAGAGATTATAACAGACTTCTGTATTCAAACTATATATATATAAATTTTTGTTATAAATCAAATTGTTTTTAAATGTGTTTTCCAGTCATTTCATTAAACACTTTATTAAAAACTCCTTAATACTTGGTCATAAAAAGAGAATATAAACTGGACACATTGGTGCACACCTATAATCCCCGCTACTTGGGAGGCTGAGGCAAGAGGATTCCTTGGGCCAGGAGTTCCAGGCTGTAGCTCACTATGAACAGCCATTGCACTCCAACCTTGGCAACAAAGCAAGACCCTGTCTCTTAAAAAAAACAAAAGAGAGAAAGATAATCTATTCCCATTTGTCAGAATAATGGGGCTAATAAAAAAATAACAGAATCACATCCTTTGCAGCAATGATGCAGCTGGAAGCCATTATCCTATGTAAATTAGCGCAGAAACAGAAAACCAAATACCACATGTTCTCACTTACAAGTGGGAACTAAACATTGGGTAGACACGGACCTAAAGATGGGAACAACAGACATTGGGGACTCCAAAAAGAGAGAGGGAGAGAGGAGACCAAGGGTTAAAAAACTACCTATTGGTTACCATGTTCACTATTTGGGTGACAGAATAAATATCAGCCCAAATCTCAGCATCATGCAATATACCTATGTAACAAACCTACACATGTACCCCTGAAATAAAATAAAAATTACTAAACATAAGAAAATAAAAAACAAAAACAAAAAGAATAATGGGGCTAATCTATCATTATAAAAAAAGACAGTTTTCATGTTTTCTCTGGTCTGTAGCTGAAGAAGTCTCCAAAACAGGAGTAAGATTATTTTTTCTGGCTGGGCGCAGTGGTTCACACCTGTAATCCCAGCACCTTGAGAGGCCGAGGTGGGCTGATCACTTGAGGTCAGGAGATTGAGACCAGCCTGGCCAACATGACAAAACGTTGTCTCTACTAAAAATACAAAAATTAGCCGGGCATGACAGAATGAGACTCCATCTCAAAAAAAAAAAAAGATGATTTTTTTTTTTTCCCTAAAATCTCTGAGGTCTGAGGTCAAGGGATCATGTCTTACTATCTTTTATATCTTTAAGATCTAGCAGAGTGCCTGGCATATAGAAGGAAAATAATATTGCTGAATAAGTGAATATTTTAAGAATATTAAGAAAGCAATTGTACTTCAGATGGGGGGGATGAAGTGAACTATTTACTCTGAAAAGCTTAAACACTCCCATAAACAGAGGATGTATTTATTTTGTATGTCTTAATGACAACTGTATGAGTACATGGTATTATTTTTGATTGTTTTAACAAATACAACTCAACAGTTAAAAGGATAGCTCAATAATAAGGTTTAGAATAAAAATACATACTAGGTGTTCTTTCAAAATGCTTTTTATTATATACCAGATCTCCCCAAAAGAACATCACATTTTACACTAAACAGACTTATAAACAAAATTACTCATCTCCCAAGCATGTAGGAAGATTATGAAGTATTTATTAAACATCTCTACTATGTGATAAGTATTGTAAATCACAAACTGGCCTCAATGGGTCAGAATCTAAAGTTCTCAAAAAATCCATATCAAATGCCTTTGTCACACTGAAGTAATACTAACGTATTAGTAAAGTATTACAGAAGTTTTACTCAGTTTCATGGTACCAAGAGAGGGGAAATGTAGGTCAAAGAAGAAAAATGCTGAGAATGAACAACTAGAAAAGGGTCCATTCATTCACACAAGGGTGGCATTTATACCTTTATGTGTTCTTAACCATCAGCCATGCACTTGATGTGGAGTTTTCCAAAATTCAAACACTCTTTTTTCACTATTATTAATGAAAAGATAGTCTCAAGTTTTAACTAAAATTTCCATATAAATAATCTTACCTCAGTCCTTCCTTGAGTCCTAAAGGAGAGGAAAAGAAATATTTAAAATAATTTAGATTTCATGTTGTTTTCAAATGTGAGTTAAGAGCTTAAAAAAAAACTTCATATTTACATAAAATATTACATTTACAGAGATTAACCAATATTTACCCTTGACTCCCCACAACTATCCTATTTATAACCTTATGGGAAAAATAAACTCACATTAATCACACATCATTATTTTGGATATTATGAGTTTATGTCACTTAACACTATTATAACCTCTGCTAGTTCTATTTTATGCAAATAATGATCTTATTACAATTCTTTTTTCTTTTTTACATTTTCTTTTTCCCTTTTTTTTTTTTTTTTTGGAGACAGGGTCTCCCTCTATCAACCACAGTGGCCCAATCATGGCTCACTGCAGTCTTGACCTCCTAGGCTCAACTGATCCTCCCACTTCAGCCTCCCAAGTAGCTGGGTCTACAAGTGCATGCCATCACACCCAGCTAACTTCTGTATTTTTTTTTTTTTTGTAGAGACAAGGTCTCACCATGTTGTCCAGGCTGGTCTTGAACTCCTGGCCCCAAACAATCAGCCTCCCAAAGTGCTGGGATTACAGGTGTGAGCCACTACACCCAGCCTTATTACAATTCTTATCTTTATTTCTGAGCATTTTTGGCATTCAGTAGCATGTTAATACATATATAATACCAGATCTATACAGTACTTCATCAAATTTTACTACTCATTTTATCTAGCTGAAGAGGTTTCATTTACCTAACAAAATCTTAAAGATCAAGTTATTAAATTTAATAATTTAAATTATGAGCAATTTTCCTCTATTATAAAACAATATATGCCCACATATAAATATTTTTAATACAGACGAGCAAAAAATAAGTTTTAAAATAGCCACAATTCCATTGTTAACATCTTGGTGCAGTATCTTTCCACACTATTTTCTATATACTGTATTTGAATTACGTTTTTAAATTTTAATTTTTTTTACAAAGCAAAATCAATGTACATCCTATATAAGAACTTAATTTTTTAAAAGTATGTATTAAATACCTCTTACATGCAAAGTACTGAGTTAACCCTGTCCCAGCCAGCAGAAGGAATAAAAGGTACATCCATAAACTATAAAATAAGATAAATTTTAATGTTCAATTAAGGGAGCCACAATGCACCAGGATCAGACAGGAAGAAGCCATTTCTTCCATTTTAAGAGTTAAGGAATGACCCAACAAAGACGGAACTCTGAGCTCAGCCTTAAAGGGTACTAAGATTGCAATAAGTTGAAGTGGGGAAATACAGTACCAGAAGTGAGAATTGAACGAAAGTCACAAAAGGGTCTGATCACAAATGAGTGATCAGACTTGGCTAGAAGGGAAAGGCAAAATAAGAAAGGGGAGGAGATAAACTCTAAAGGGGCTCAACCATAGAAGCTCTTGAATATCACAGTACAAAATACAGACTTTATTCTTTGGGCAATGGAGATCTGTAGATATTGTTTGACCAAAAGAATAACAAGTACAAACATTTCCTACAGGAAACTTGCACTAGAAAATATATACAGAGTAGACTAAAGGTGACTAGAGATAGGAAGACCAATTAGAAAACCACTGTTTCTCCATAACGTTCAGTTTGGTTCCAACCTGCCTTCATTCACTAGCTCAGTTAATCACTCATTCTATTATGAAGGGTCTACTATATGTCCACTATGCATTGTGCTACGTACATGGTACAGTATTAAGTATGGATCCTTGACCTCAAGGAAGTCCCAGTTTAATGAAAATAGACACGTCCAATCATAAACAACTACAAATAAAACAGTTATATCTTGCCATAACAACAAAAACTTTATGGCAAAGGTATATACCATAAATGTACCTGTCATGGAAATGCAAACTGGAAAGCCAGGAAAAGAAGTGAGTGAGGGATGAAGTCGAAAACATGGGGGATTTCCAGGCTAAGGGAATAGCCCAAATGAAAAAAGAAAGTATCTAGCACATTCTTTCTGACACTAGTGAATGGCAGCCCAGAGTCAAATGGTAAAGAATCACTTAGGACAGACTAAGGATTCCAGATTTTTCCGCAGATTTGTTTACTGTAGGACTTCTCAGTCTTTTACATATTAAAATGCAATGTCAGTCTCTTCTTTGTTGAGGAAGTATCTTAAAACGAGGTGAGAAAATTTTAAGATTTCACATAAAAATATGAATTTCCAGCTTCTCTTACAAGAATCAGAGATATGGCAAAGATTGGCCCCCAATTCAGCATGACAACAATACCCTCAACTTGCATTTTGAGGCAGGCACTAAATTCACCACAGTCCCCTCTCTAGCACTCCTGAATTTAGCTTCTAGAGCTCAATTTAATGTAACTGCCTTTAATTTAGCTACCTGTTTAAGGCAGAGGTGCTGTAGACAAAACAAACGAAAAGATGCAGAAGACACTTCCATAATGTTTACAGAATTCTACTGAGGCTAAGGCAAACACCCACATAGAAAGTAAAGACAGCTTGAAGCAGCTAGTGGTAGAACGTAAGGAAGAGATACATAGCAGGTCATTAAATTGTTAAAACTAAGAGAAGAGGAAATGACTGGAAGTGGGCAGCATAGGAAAAAAGATGAATTAAAGATCATGTTGACATTTTCAGTCTTGGTAACTAGATGCAATCAGGGAACACAGGAGGAGAGGACAATTTCATTTTCACACATATATAATTATAACAGCATCTTAATTGGAATGATAGATTGATGAGCTCTAGATGAGTTAATACTCTCTAGGAAAAAAAGCTAATCCTTGAAGACTTAAAACTTATTTTAAAAGAATGACATATTCCCTTGTCTTGGTGTGTGAATGTATGAAGTACACATAACCTTTTGTTATTCTACATTACAACTATAATATACCCTTTGTATGATGACCTGTGTGCAAAATTTTAAATGCTAATTATTGTACAATACAGTGCTATCTTCAGAAATTAATGAAGTAAACATCTGGCCATCCTTTCACTAAATTTCTCAGAATGCTGTGCATTTTCTCCTTTACTACTCTGAGTCTATTTCTCAATACCCCACAGCTACTTTTTTAGATTCCGGTCTCATTCCTGTTGCCTTTCTTAATTTGTATTAATCATGTCTTTCCTTTTTCTTACACTTTTAAAATACTTCTTGGATTTGGTACCAATGGGGCCTGGCTTTTCACTAACAGGCAATAAGCAACACCTTTTCCAGGTTAATAAAACAATATCATTATTCAACTGTTGGCTCTTGTTGGTTTTGTTTTGTTTTCTTTTTGTGACAGGGTCTTGACCTGTCACCCAGGCTAGAGTGCAGTGGCATGATGATGGCTTACTGCAGCCTTGACTTCCTGGGCTGAAGTGATCCTCCCACCTCAGCCTCTGGAGTGGCTGGGACCACAGGCGCTCATTACCTTATCTAGCTAACATTTATTTTTATTTTTGTAGAGACAGGGTCTCACTATGTTGCCCCAGCTGGTTTCGAACTCCTAGACTCAAGTGATCCTCCTGCCTTGGCCTCGCAAAGTGCTGAGATTACAGATATAAGCCACCGCACCAGGCCTTGTTTTAATTCCTATTCATACTTCCCCTAACTGAACAACTGAGCTCAAAAACCATTAGGTGAAGCCAAACAACATAGGTATCTTCTTCAGAGTGGGTTGGATAGGATGGTCATAGTCCAAATGGGGTGAAGAGGATGCCACTGGGGTGAAGCAGGCAAGCAGGGGCAAGGTATCAGAGCCCAGTCAGGTAAGGAGGGCATCGCTATAAAGGAGTGGCTCAGTAAGAAATGTGTCAGAGCCTGGCGGGTGAGAGCATCCACATATAGGAGGACAACCTGAAACAGGATGCTGGACCCTTAGTGGGGTAAGGAGGCATTCCTATGGAGGAGGGGAGAAACCTCAGAACAGGAATGAAAGCCTGAACAGGGTGAGGAGGGTGTCCCAGTGGAGGACAGCAAAAGTGGCAGCACACTGAGGGGAGCTACAGCCCAAGCAGGGTGAATAGGGTATTTGCACATGGAGTTGGGAACGGACTGAACAAGTAAGAACAGAGGCCCAAACAAATAAGTAACTATATTAAGGACAACAGGAACCAGGTTTCTCACTTTTGGAAAAGAAGCACAAGTAAGAAAAGGAAGAAAACTGGAACAAAGTATGTGGTATTTTATTGGAACTGGATATATTAGTGCAAACTCATTTCAATATATGTAAATATAGAAATACAGATGTAAAGAGGGATGTGTGTGGGGGAGGTATGTGTGTGTGTACATATGCTCCCTAGCTCTGTTCACTGAGAAGGCCTTGGAAGCAGCAAGAAGCATTTGGGGTATCCAGATCTTAGTTTCTAAATATCATTCTCCCCTAAAAGGAACCATGGCCAACCCCTTGGAGAAATGGCTAACTCCAGGGCTTAGGCAGAAATGTATAAGATGAGTCTAAAACATCTCTCTATGTCAAAAAAATAACAAGTGCTCAAAGAATGATGAAGACATGTCAAAAGGGCATAAATATTTTACTATTAATTTATCCTCATATATTAATCTTTCCATCACTCACCTATTACTTCCCTGGGATAAGTTCCTAGCAGTTGATGGAATGAAAGAAACAAAGAGAAATTTACAGAATTGCTGGATGAAAGGCATGAATTTTTTTTATTAATTTTTATAGCTTTCTCATTATCCCAGTCCCACTCTACTGGATGAGCTCATTTGTCTATCTCTCTAGATAATGGCATCATCGAGAACTGAATAAAATGCTTGAGCTGTGAGCTAACTGGCAGAGAAAACAGTGGGATTGTTATTCTATGTTGTTTTGAGCAGGAATATGTGTGCATGTTGTGTAAGTTATATACACACACATATATGTTGCCAGACTGCCTTTCAGAAAGTTTGTAACAAATTGAACTCCCGTCATCATATTATCAGTATAACACTGTTCTAAACTCAGTCAATTTTATAACAGAAAAATTGTGTCTCATTAATTTTTTGTTTCCATACTTTTTATTATTAGCGGGTCCCCACATGACCCAGAATGTTAAACATGTTTAGAAATAAAGCTAGAAATAAGCACTTTGGGAGGCCGAGGCGGGTGGATCACGAGGTCAGGAGATCGAGACCAACCTGGCTAACACAGTGAAACCCCGTCTCTACTAAAAATACAAAAAATTAGCCAGTCGTGGTGGCGGGCGCCTGTAGTCCCAGCTACTCGGGAGGCTGAGGCAGGAGAATGGCGTGAACCCAAGCCGAGATCGCGCCACTGCACTCCAGCCTGGGTGACTGAGTGAGACTCTGTCTCAAAAAAAAAAAAAAAAAAAAAGACCAAAAAAAGAAATAAAGCTAGAAATAAAAATCTCGGGGAGAAGCCATATTATTAGTACAGGCTACATGATTATCAATAAGATATAACATATATCAAACATTTGGACAACTGAAGTATTCTGAGGCAGGATGGTGATGTACAAAGAAGGTTGCCTTTAAAATTAAACAAGCTAAAGCAAAACTATAAACTAATTTTTTTTTTGAGACTGAGTTTTGCGCTTGTTGACCAAGCTGGAGTGCAATGGTGAGGTCTCCGCTCACTGAAACCTCTGCTTCCCCGGGTTCAAGCGATTCTCCTGCCTCAGCCTCCCGAGGAGCTGGGATTATAGCCACACACCAACACATCTGGCTAATTTTTGTATTTTTAGTAGAGACGGGGTTTCACCACGTTGGCCAGGCTGGTCTCGAACTCCTGACCTCAGGTGATCCACCTGCCTCAGCCTCCCAAAGTGTTAGGATTACAGGTGTGAGCCACCATGCCCAGACCAGCAAAACTATAAACTAATTAAAATGTGGCACACATCAGATGTCCAAAGATACAAAAATAATCCAGGTACATTGGTTTAGAAATATCATATAAATTGCTTGATAAAAATGGTCCAAATGTTACCAACTGTCAGAACAAGCTGTTACTCTCATCTTATTCACAACTGGACTCTCCTTTTTTCGAGTATTAAGACAGAACCAAATTCAGGAAGAGCTGCATTCCAGGCTGCACGTCTTTTCCCTCCTCTCTGCCTCTCCCAATCTCTCCACCCACAGCCCTGTCTTCTGGAATAAGCAGCCACGCCATACAGATCTCCTAGTTTCTGGCCTGCGACACACAGCAAGCTGCTGCTGAGCTTCGGAAGATGTGGTAGGGAGGGAAGGTCCTCCCACACCACATTAGACACAATGCAGTATCTACTATCTGGCCTGTGTAGTATGCGTGGTTACAACAGCAGGAGAACTCTTATTAACTACGTATTTTACATGCATTTGAACCTATGAGGTATTAATATCATCTCCTCAGATGAGGAAACAGAGTAAACAATTTACGCAAAGTCACATAGCTAGTAAGTGATAGGGTAAGGACTAAACCTCAGGCTAATTCCCAGGTCCATACTCATAACCAGTATGCCACACTGCCTTTCTAAAATCTTAGTTGTTTTCATTTTGTACCCAAATACACATTTTTTTAAACCACAGGTAACCTATAACCTATAACCTATAAACCTACATACTTAGAGGTTAATCTGCCTCTAGGAATCAGTAGTTGATTCTACATCTGTGAGTACAGTTTACCTGGTCTGCCCTACATCTTCTCTTAACAGCCCTAGACTTTCAAATGTTCCTTATAAGACATTAATTTTTTTTTCCAGCTTTCTGATTATCCTAGTCTCACTCCACTGAATGATCTTATTCATCCATGTCTCTCTTTAAGTGCAGCACTAAGAACTGAACATAATGTTTTCACTGTGAGCTGACTGGCAAAGTAAGGAGGAGGATTATCATTCCACTTCATTCTAAACAACAGACATCTATCAATGGAGCCTTTTGTTTATCGGCTCATAAATTTGATGACTCATATTAAGCTCAAAATCAACTAAAATCCTGATAACCTAGTCACATGCACTGTAAGACATTCCCCACCCATCCTACACTTGTTTAACAGTGAATTTAGTTAATTCAGTAACAGCAATGAAAACTAAGTAAATTAGTAAAGTAAACAAGACAGCCTGGAGAATACAGCCAGGAGACCAACTAGGCAACAAGCTGTTTTCAAGCATTTTCATAGCAGTCTTAGGGTACTAATTACTATAAGTCTGTTCTCATCACTAAAAGTATCTAGATCTTCTACAAGACTGATTATGTGTTACGTTAGGTAGAAAATCTGCTAGACCTGTTGCCTACATATAAAACATGCAAACACACACAATTTGCTCCTTATTTGTCTCTGATATTGGCATAGGTAAAAACCACTAGATTCCCTTTTAAGAAATTCTGAGGGCCAGACGTGGTGGCTCACGCCTGTAATCCTAGCACTTTGGGAGGCCAAGGCAGGCAGATCACTTGAGGTCAGGAGTTCAAGACCAGCCTGGCCAACATGGTGAAACCCTGTCTCTACTAAAAATAAAAAAAATTAGCTGGGCATGGTGGCAGGCGCCTATAATCCCAGCTACTCAGGAGGCTGAGGCACGAGAATTGCTTGAACTCAGGAGGCGGAGGTTGCAGTGAGCCGAGATCACGCCACTGCGCTCCAGCCTGGGCAACAGAGCCAGACTCCATCTCAAAAACAAAATGGTGGGCTTACTTTTTCTTCAACTGTGGTTGAGGAAACTGATTTGAATAAAATAATTTCAACTCACTTCTACTGAGGTTTTACTTTCAAAAGAATTCAAGACTAAAGTGAGAAAAACAAGGAATGTAAGTACTGGCCATGTACTCTAGGGAAGAGATCAAGATGCAACAAAGTAAACCAAAGCCTCAGAACTACATACAAGAGAGAACAACAAGGAAAGCAAAATCAGACTTCTGTGCTATGTTCTGAAGTTAGCAAAACTAAGCCTAAAGGGGTTAGAAAAATACCTTGCTCTGGTTAGTGGATTTAAAACATAACAATGTTTTAAAACTTTGTCCGTATTAAACACCCAAAATGATTTGTATGGAGAGTAATCTGGAGGCTTACATACCAAGCAGTTACCCATGGCCACCTCTAAAGCATGTGAATGGGGAAAACAGAGACCTTTTCATTTTGTAAAAATTTTAAAGGAAAAAAAACAAGAAAGTAGGTATTACTTATACACTAAAACACACACACACAGTATTTGTAAGGAACTTTGGTTGGATCCCTAGAGAAATCAAACAATGCCAGCTCATAAATCAGCCTAGTAATGCATAGAATAACTACCCACCGTCTTCACCCCTACCCCTACACACACATCTGCTAACACTTAGGACAACTATATTATCAAAACCAGGACACCCTGGAGAGTGGAAAAGGGGGCACTATTAATAATTGCATAGGGAAACACATAAACTGGGAGGGTTCCAGGCAAACCTGGAGGTTTAGCCACCCTATGTGGATTAGCAACTATGTGGACCATCTGCTTTAAACTAAGAAAGAAAAAGACCTTGAGATTTTCTACCAAGCAAGGATTCATAAGGAAAAATTGCAGCATGCCCATTATTGCTTATTTAGCATGCTATCTTTAATATTTTACTTTAGTGATCAAAGTGGTACTTGAGATTTACATGGGTTTCTCTCAGCCTTGTTTCCTTTCACTCTTTTTCCTGTAATATTTTCCCCCTCCTCCCAAAAAGAGATACTATATTTCTGAACCAGGTATTTTCTTTACATAGAGGTTTTCAGGAATGTATTATTCATGGGACATGAATATTACATGGAAGGAGAACATTTGAGTTTACAAATATTTTAACAAATGCTAAGCTATTTAATGTTTTATAAACATCCTATGGGTTGGGAAGGCATTATTATCCACATTTTACAAACAAGAAGTGTAAGGCCCAAAGCCAAACAACTATCAACAGCCATTCAGGACTAGAAGCCAGGTCTTGAGCTGTATTGTGAAGGCACTCCACAATACCATGAGGTTCATCATCTAAGTACTCTCTCCTTTAGCCTGCCTTTCTTCAGTGACATACATTCCTGAGATTTTATCTTGGTTGTGGCTCCCATTTCAGTAAAACCTAATATAAAAAACTCTGAAGTTCATTACAGAACAGTAGCTAATTATGTACATTACAAAGAACTTCACATTGAGGGAAAAAAAACCTGTACATTTCAATATTATTTTTCTCTTTCAATAAAAGTATGACAACTCATAAAAATGTGACACATCTACAACTTTCCAGGAATATGTTCATCTTATAAACTTAAATATACAAATAAATAACTATTTCCATATTATCTTAATGGATTCATATAAAAGCCCTGCAAAAAGGCAACTTTTAGGATAAGAAATCTAAAGTCAGAAGATTCAGTGACTTGTACAAAGTCTCACTCATAGTAAATGATTGAGTTAGAACTAGGACATGCTGGAGTTTTCTGACCAATAAAAGGCCAGAATACAAGCCTGACTCCACTATGAACATATACTCAATCATTCCTTGAGAAAACGAGATATTACAGTTGGCCCCCTATATCTGAGTGGTCAATATTCGTGGAGTCAACCAACTGCAGACTGAAAATATTTTAAACATCGGCTGGGCATGGTGGTTCATGCCTGTAACACCCACACTTTAGGGGCTGAGGAGGGAGGATCCCTTAAGCCCAGGAGTTTGAGACCAACCAAGGCAACACAGGGAGACTCTGCCTCTACGAGAAAAAAAAAAAAAAAATTAGCTGGGCATGGCAGTGCTTGCCTGTAGTCCTGGGAACAGAGTGAGACCCTGTTTCAAAAAAAAGAGAAAAACAAATAGTAACAACTATTTACATAGTTTTTACACTGTATTAGTTATAAGTAATCTAGAGATGCTTTAAAGTATACAGAAGGATGTGTGTAGGTTATACGTAAATACTGTGCCATTTTATATAAAGGACTTGAGCATGGTAGATTTTGGTATGGGAGATGGGGCATGCCAGACACCAATCTCCTGCAGGTACTGAGGGACAACTGTACTTGTCCCCACCTAACTTTAGAACACAGTGTCTACTATGCCAAGCATTGTTCTAGACAATGGAGATATAGTAATCATCAAGACAAAAATCCTGACCTGGTAGAGTTTATACTTTAGTAGGCGATATGAACAACACATAAACAAATATACAGTATGTCAGATGGGTATAGTAGAAGGAGAATAAATAACAACACAAAAGAACAGTGAATAATAAGAGGGTAAGGGAGATAGAGCCTGCAGGGTGCTATTTTACATATGGTGGCCAGAAAATACCTCAATGAGCTGAAATTGTGAACAGAGACCGAAAAGAAATGTGGGAGTAAGGCATGGGGATTATCTAAAGGAAGAGTGTTACAGAGAGAAAAAACAGAAGAATAGCAATTATTAAGTTTGAGATGCTTCTGAAACATCCGAGGACATCCGAGGACACAGTCCAAACATCAACAACACAGTCAGAATTACGAGCGTGGACAGAGAGAGAGGTGTGTAAATACATTTTTTGATTTTTACTTATTTTCAGTTGAAATGAACATTTATTGAGCCCATATTAAATGAGACACAGCTAAGAAATGCCCCTGCCCCATCCATGCACAATTCACATCACCCAACCCAGGATCAATGTCTTGCTGTTTCTCCTCAGCTGGGTACATCCTACATTTCACTAGTTTTCTACCATTATGCAATCTCCTATAGTGGAGTAACAGGCTTGTCTTAAAGCTCAGAATCTTCTTAGAAAGTAGTGGATAACAGTCATAGTCACAGCTAACTAAAAATTTGCTTTAACATGCGCTGAGATGGACTCATTGCTTCCTGTGAATCTGCTAAGCTTGTCTGTCACTCTAATGATGGGCTCTTTGGAATAAACAGCATTCATAATAATCTTCACTCGCGGCCGGGCACAGTGGCTACCGCCTGTAATCCCAGCACTTTAGGAGGCCAAAGCAGGTGGCTCACTTGAGGTCAGGAGTTCAAGACCAGCTTGGCCAACATGGCGAAACCCCGTCTCTACTAAAAATACAAAAATTAGTCAGGTATGCTGGCGCACATCTATAAGCCCAGCTACTCAGGAAGCTAAGGCAGGAGAATCGCTTGAACCCGGGAGGCAGAGGATACAGTGAGCTGAGATCACGCCACAGCACTCCAGCAAGGGCAACAGAGTGAGACATTGTCTCGAAAAATAATAATAATACTGATCTTCACTCACATCATAATCGTCACTCACAAGTTCTCTGAAATGGATTATAATCAGCTGTGGCCTCAGCAGCTTCTTCCACAAAGCTAGAGTTGGCTGACTCCACATCAGTAAAGAATTCCAGAGCCTGCGTGTTCTGTGGTTGGCTCTAGGTCCGTGGTCAAGTCTAGGTTAATGGTTAAATCTTGGTCTGTGGTTAACTCTAGATCAGCGGTCAATTCTAGTAGGTCAGTGGTTGATTCTGGGAGTAGTGTGGAGAAAGTCACAGCCAGGGCATGGAACACAAAGAAAATAAGGACCTTCCTGAGCACGGTGCCTCCACGGAGGGCAGAAGCATCCTGAACTGTATATTTAAATACCACCTGGTACTTAAAGCCATGAGACCAAATGAGAACACCCAGGAAGTGAAAAGAGAGAAAAGGAAAGAACTAAGGACTGAGTCCTGGGGTCACATAACATTTAGAGACAGAAGATGAGAAGGGGCTTAGCAAGAAACTAAGAAGGAACAGCCAATGAGGCGAGAGGAGAAGAGATGTGTCCTAGAGTAAAGTGGGGAAAAAAAAGTCTCAGGAAAAAAGTGATCAACTATGTCAAATTCCACCGAAGTTCAAGTAAGAGAGCTGCTAGTTGACTCTTGGATTTAGGAATGTGGACGTGGCCGATTATGAAAAGGAACATGTGCTCGCCTCAGCAGCATATACTAAAATTGGAACAATACAGAGAAGATGAGCATGGCCCCTGCACAAGGATGACATGCGAATTAGGAAGTATTCCATATTTTGAAATAAATAAATAAATAAATAAGGAACACAAGTTTTTTTTGCAGCAGCTTCCATCAAAAGGTGGAGTCTGTTTTCCCATAACTGAATCTGGGCTTGGCCATGTGAGCTGCTTTGGTCAAAAGGACTTTAGCAAATGTGACACAAGCACAGGCTTTCAAAGTGCTTGTGCACTGGGGCTTCCTCTTTTCCTACTAGAACTCTTTCACCATCATGTGAATGAGCTTGCTAGAGATGAAATAAATAGCTGTTGCCCCTGCTAATGTCAACTCAACCACCACATACAAGTGAGGACATCCTTGCCAGGAAGGCCGCCCAGGCCAGCCCCAACCAGAATTGATCCATAGAATTATCAGCAAATAAAATGGCTTTTGTTCTAAGCCACTAAGTTTTGGGATGGTTTGTTATGAAGCAAAAGCTAATTGATAAAGAGGAAGATACCAGTAACAGACAAGAGCTGTTTCAATGGAATCATGGACATACGAATCTGAATGGAGTTGGTTAAGAATGAATGGATAGAAAGAATGGAACACAAGGCCTCCAGCTGACACTAGCTGAGCTTTAGAGGCTTTCCTTTCTAACAAGGCCATTTCCTCAACCAGAAAACTATATTGTTACACTGTTTTCTAGATACTCCCCACCCACTTCCAAAGCCCCTATAAGTAGGCCCAGTGGTACAGTGGCAAAGTCCTGCTGCAAGTACTTTCCTTGGTGCATCCAGTTATACCCAGCCTAAGCAAACCTGCTCAAGGAGGCAGACAGGATGGAGGGGTGAAAGAACTACATAATCTGCTGCTTCACCGCCATTAAGGTAAACCAATAAACTTGATATTATATTTATACCACCAGTCACTAGGAGTGTGGGTGTGGGGATATGTGTGTATGTGCAAGGATGTCTCCTTACAGGGCACCTAACCATCTCCTGACAAGCCTTGACATGCTCATTACTTGTCATTTTCCAAGTAAACTCTGATCAGAAATTATAATCACTTTTAAAAGCACTTATAAAAATTTCAAAAATAGCTTTTTAAAATGTCAAGAATATGTAAATAACTTACTTGGCAATCCGCAGTTTCCCAACTTCACCTCTTCCAGAGGCTTTAGCCCATTGCTGTGACAAATATTTAGGAACCTAAAACAAAGTAAAACACTAATAAGTCTATTTTAGATGCTAACATCTTTTCAAACATAAAATGATATATTGCTTCTATTTTTATTTTCTGCCTCTAATAAGGGATCATTATCAAGTTACTACTGTATGTTTTACACTATATAAAATACTAAGACACGTAAAAAATGATTTTAGCTCTCAAAGAACTTAATCGAGGTGGCAACACAAAACTAACATAGGTCAAATAACCTAACAATAATAAAGCACCAACTTATCTTCCCAAATAAGTCCAATTAAAGGTCACAGAAGAGAAAGGCTATCAGAAAAGGCTTCTCAGAAGAGAACAGCACTCACTATAGTAACAGCATTATTTAGAAACACCACTGGGCTTACGATTATTTCAAAAGTCAAGTTTTATTATGTAGAAAATTGTAACTTTGACTACTGTGAAGAAGAGGCTGCTAATATAAAAGGATTATTAAACAGCATAGCTAACATTTATATAATCCTGCCTTCCTGACACTGTTGTAAGCACTTTATATAGATTGACACATTTAATCCTCACATCTCTATGGAACAGGTACTATTACCCCCATTTTACAGATGATGAATTTGAGGCACTCAGGGACTATACAATTTACTCAAGGTTATACAATTAGTAAAGATGGAGACAGGATTTGAACCCAGGCATTCTGCCTCCAGGGTCTGTGTTCTTAACCAATACACTATATTGTGTTGTAACTGGATACATGCAATAAGAAGGACTTTAATTCCCAAAAAGGAAAAGTGGATGATATATGCTGAATCCCTACTATATACCTTATCTCATTTCTTCTAAAAAGTAATTTGGACTCTGGAATCAGGGCATACCTTGAAAGTTATCCTATTATTAGGAGTAAATGAGATACACCAAGTATAAAGCATAACACCTTACACAAAGCAATTACTCAGTAAGTGTCAAGTGTCATTATTTTTTCATGACAAATTTGGAGTGACAGTCTAGCTGCCAAAGCTGAGAAGGAAAGAAATTCTACCTAGCAGTACTTCATGTGCAAAAAAACACGACTTGACCACTAGTCAAATAAATTGCAGTACCTTGGTACAGCAAAAATTCAGGAATAGAAGGATGAAAAGAAGCCCCTGATGGTATTTGTTCAATTATGTATGCACTCTTCACATTAAAAGTTACTGAACAGGGCTGGGCGCGGTGGCTCACGCCTGTAATCCCAGCACTTTGGAAGGCCGAGGCGGGCAGATCACGAGGTCATGAGTTCAAGACCAGCCTGACCAACATGGTGAAACCCCACCTCTACTAAGAATACAAAAATTAGCCGGGCATGGTCGTGCGTGCCTGTAATCCCAGCTACTCAGGAGGCTGAGGCAGGAGACTTGCTTGAACCTGGGAGGCAGAGGTTGCAGTGAGCCAAGATTGCGCCAGAGCAATACTCCGTCTCAAAAAAATAAATAAAGTTACTGAACAACTACTAGATACTATGGGTTCATGGGGTGTGGTGGCTTGCTCCTGTAATCTCAGCACTTTGGGAGGCCAAGGCGGGCAGATCACTTGAGGTCAGGAGTTCTAGACCAGCCTGGCCATCATGGCGGAATCCCGTCTCTACTAAAAATACAAAAATTAGCTGGGCGCAGTGGCACATGCCTGTGGTCCCAGCTACTTGGAAGACTAAGGCACGAGAATTGCTTGAACCCAGGAGGTGGAGGTTGCAGTGAGCTGAGATTACACCACTGCACTCCAGCCTGGGTGACAGAGAGAGACTCTTGTGTCAAAAAAAAAAAAAAAAAGTTAGACAATATACTAGAGTCCAGTCAGGTACCATGCTAAACATCCACTATCCTGTTTCATCCTTCCAATTGCCCTGCAAAATCACATTCTCCTCATCCTACAGATGAGAAAACTGAGGTTCAGAGGGTTGAAATAACTCAAGAAGCCAGGATCAGATTCAAGACTCAACTCCAGACTGGTCTTCTGCTCTCTTCACTAGACCATACTACCTCTCACAAGGGTATACATGCTAAAGAAGAGTATGTAATAGATCTAAGGGAAGGAGGATTTTGAAGATTCCATATCTCAACAAAACTTCCACTACACTCTACTCCATTCATCCAAACAAGCTTAGAGGATTTGGCAAACTCCTTACGATGACTGTACCTACCCATTCGGTCTCCTTTAATTACAGGTGACAGAAAACCCACTTAAAGAGGATTTCATGTGCCAAATAACAAAAAATTCCAGAGGTAGCTTTAAGGTGGCTTCATTAAGGGCTCAAATGATGCCCTCAGGACTCTTTCACTATTTCTTATCTATCCCTCCCCCATGTTAACTCAGTTATTTGGCAGACCCCCACCTCAGGCAGCAAGATGGCAGAGGCAGCTCCCGAAGAGCATAAGTCTTCTTCCCAGAAGTCCCTAGCGAAAATTTGTCTTTCATCAAGCTGACAAGGGTGTGTGCCCTTTCTTGGACCTATCACTGTGCCCAGAGATGAGATACTTCACTGGCCAGCCTGAGTCAATGACATCTTTGCGGAAGGGTAGTCAATACCATTAAAATCACACAGATTGAAAAGGGGAAACAGTGGTTTCCACAAGCACAATCAAGATTCTGCAACAATGTCAAAGTAAATGGATACTGGTTAAAGAAGCAAATGTCCACAACATTATCTGCTGGATATCCTATGAACTTCTCATTCTCAACAACAGTATCCCCTTCATAATCTGTATTTCAAGCAACCATCCTAAGCACCATCTCCTAAATTCCTAGCTCTCTCCTTAGTACTTTTGTGGCGGAATCAGGAGGACCAGAGAGAGACCATGGGGTGTATACAGGAGGATATCTTTAATGAGTGCACTCAGACCCAGCGGACTTAACATCCAAAGACTGGGCCCAGAACAAAGACAGCACTTGACTTTTATACACACTTTAAAAAGGGGTGGGCTAGCTTGAAGCAGGCTTACAGTGGCACGAATGCAGCGATACAGAGGCAGGACAAAGACAGTTAATCAAATTGTAACAGGTTCATAACTCAGGATTACACATGACCATTGCCATGCAGCCCAGATGTCCATTATCTAGGTTTGCCTAGTGCCTAGCATGGCTTATTCCACGGCCTTCACTATGGCGCCCAGGTGGCCTGCTCAGATGGTTTATGACCACTCCACTACTTAGATAAAACAGAATACTTGAAGTCACCAGTTACAGAGAATGGAATTTATAAACTCATACCATAAAACAAATGAAAATTTGTTTTTCTTCTCCCTATGTTGAGGGAGTGCTGGGAGAGTCTCCAGAGCACATTCCTTTGTGTCCTGGCTTCTTAGATAGATAGCATTATCAAGACTTTCCCTGGGTCTGGGCTGTGCCTGTTGCTGCCTCTGGGACAAGTCAGCCTAATATAGGAAACCTTATTTCTCTTTTTAATTTTATTTTTCTTTCTTTAACTTCCCACCTCACTTTGACTCCCAACAATTCTTCTAACCCTCAATTCGCTGACTCTAATTAACATCTTCTCACTGTCCCCCATCTGCTATGTCCTCATTTCTCTCTTTAATGAAACTAGATTCCATGGTCCATCATTATAATCATTCCCTTGCCCCATCTTCCTCTGTCATACTAGCGTGGCAAAACCTTAATCCTGATTAAAGCCAATCTCTACTTCTCTTTATTAATTTATAATTTATCTGTGGTTTTATTTTATTGTGTTATTCCTCTTCTCTGCCACACTTGCACCTGAGCAGCTGAAGGAAAGCTCTCGATCACGCTAGCTGGTCTCACATTAAATACATGGTTACAAACATCAAGTGAGCCCTTAGTGACACCTGGCAACTTAACTACATCTCCCTAGTCAATTCAGTCCCTCACTCCTGATTATTCAAATGTTCTCTTTTCACTTCTCGAACCTAGAACACCTCTTCCTTCCTCCTCCCTCTGTGCTGACCTGACTTCCTCTTCCACCGAGAAAAAGCAAACCATCAAATCTAAACTTCTACATCTACCACCTAGCCACAATTGGATACTTTTACTTGCTTTACCCTCTTTAAACAATGGATAAACTATGGCCAATCCCTCCACTTGTGCACTGAATTTCTTTCCCTGTTATGTAACCAAGGACATATTTCCTTCAAGTACACCCTTAGTATCTGTGACTCAGGGCAAAAGTAATGGGACTTCGCTTCTGTAATTAGGTTACATAAGATTATAACTTCTGTCTTCTCTCATTGCTTTCTCAGTGTGCACACTCTGATTTAGAAATCTGCCATATTGAAGAGGCCGATGTGGCAAAAACAAAACAAACCAAAAAAAAAAAACACTAATGACAAGCTTTAGCCAAGAGTCAGCTAGGAACTTGGACTCTTAAGTCCAACAACCCTGGAGGAACTGAATTCTACCAACCACGTAAGCTTGGAAACAATATTTCCCCAGTCAAAACTTCAGATGAGAATCCAACCCTGGCTGATACCTTGACTATCGCCAGTGAGAGACTTTGAAGCAAAGGAGCCAACTAAGCCATGCCAGGAGTCCCAGCCCACAGAAACTGTGAAATAATAAATGCATGTTGTTTTAAACTACTAAGCCCATGGTAATAGGTTATATACCAATAGATAATTAATACATTAAGCAACAAGCACTCTTCTAAATGCTGTAAATATATTAATCATCTACTTCTCACACAATCCTATTAGTGTCTTCATTTTACAGATGAGGA
The DNA here is from genome assembly GCF_000001405.40 of Homo sapiens. Taxonomy (NCBI): domain Eukaryota; kingdom Metazoa; phylum Chordata; class Mammalia; order Primates; family Hominidae; genus Homo; species Homo sapiens. The sequence goes on along the minus strand of NC_000013.11, from coordinate 45,132,035 downwards.
AACTAAGGCACAGGGAGGCTTATAAATTTGCTCAAGAGCATGCACCTTGGAAAGGGCAGACTTAATAATCCTTCCCACCCAGTGTCTGATTTCTCTACCTTTTCTCTCTCTCTCTTTTTTTTTTTTTTTTTTTTTTTTGAGACAGGGTCTCATTCTGTCACCCAGGGTGGATTTACAATTTTGGCTCACTGCAACCTCCACTTCCTGGGCTCCAACGATACTCCCACCTCAGCCTCCCAAGTAGCTGAACTACAGGTGTGCACCACCATGCCCAGCTAAGTTTTGTATTTTTTGTGGAGATGAAGTCTCACCACATTGCCTAGCCTGGTCTCAAACTTCTGGACTCAAGGGATCATCCCACCTCAGACTCCCAAGGTGCTGGGATTACAGGCATGAGCCACCGTGCCTGGTCCTCTGCCTCTCTTTATGGCAAAACTCCTTGAGAGAGTTCTCTATGCCAGCTGTCTACACTTACTCCTCTGCCACTTTGTTTTGAACTTACTCTAGACAGGCTCTCCTCCCTGCCACTCCACTGAAACTGATCACAGGGTTATTAGGATCTCCAAATTACCAAGCCAATGTTTAGTCCCCATCTTTCATACTTAACAACAATATCTGAGAGCTAATTATTTCCTTTTCCTTCAAATACTTTATTCACTTGGCATCTGAGTAATCACACTCTCTCGATTTCTCCCTCTACTTCTCTGGACTCTCCTTTTTGGTCTCCACATCTAGATTCTCATCTTTCTGGCCCCTTAACTTCAGTGGGCACTGGATTCAGTCCTTGGATCCCCCCTCTTCTCTCTATACTCTTTTTTTTTTTTTCTGAGACTGAGTTTCACTCTTGTTGCCCAGGCTGGAGTGCAATGGCGCGATCTCGGCTCACCACAACCTCTGCCTTCCGGGTTCAAGCGATTCTCCTGCCTCAGCTAATTTTGTATTTTTAGCAGAGACGGGGTTTCTCCATGTTGGTCAGGCTGGTCTCAAACTCCTGACCTCAGGTGATCCGCCCACCTCAGCCTCCCAAAGTGCTGGGATTACAGGCATAGGCCACCGTGCCCAGCCCTGTATACTCTCAATCTTAAGTAACTTCATCCAGTCTCGTGGCTTTAAAATACCATCTGTATGACAACTCTCAAACTTACAACAAGCTCAGGTTCTCCCCTGAAGTCTCAATTTATATATCCAACTGCCTACTCAAACTCTCCATCTTAATATTCAGTAAGCATTTCAAACTTAAAATCTCCATACTAGAACTAATTTCTCCCTCATAAACCTTGCTCCTGCTGCAATTTTCCGTATCTTAATAAAAGGCAACTCCATTCTTCCAAACACTCAGGCTGAAACCTTGGAGTCATCCTGAATATTTTTTTCTTATACCCCAAATCCAATCAACTGATACATCCTGTCAATATCTTCAGATTATATCCAACTCCAGCCTTTTCTCACCAACTCGAGTTACTACCCTAGCCCAAGCCACCATCATCTCTTGAATAATTATTGTTTTAACAGCCTCCTGATTTCCTTGCTTCCACTTTTGCCCATGTACAGTTTATTCTCAATAAAGCAGCCAGAATGGTCATCTTAAAACCTAAGTCAGATGATACTGTTCTGCTCAAAACATTTCCATTTATTTAACAGACATCTACATAGTGCTTACTATGTTTACCAGACACTTTTCTAAACACTTTACAAATATTACTCCATTTAATCCTTATAACAGCCCTATCATCATTCTATTTTGCAACTGCAGAAACTGAAGCACCAAAAAGCTATTATTTGCCCAAAGTCTCACAATCACTAGCGGTGAAACTAGGATTCTAACCTAAGCAGTCGACTCCACAGTCCACGATTTTAGTCACCATGCCATGCTGCCTCTCCATGGCTACTAGCTTCCCATCTCACTCAGAAGAAAACTCCTATAATGTCTTAGGTGACCCAGTTCCCTGGATGATCCTATCCCATATCTTCAACTCCTACTCTCCCTCTCACCTTACTCAAACCACACAGACCTGTGAACATTTGCGGTGACGTCCCATCTAAAGACGCATTTGCTGTTATTTCTGTCCGGAACACTCTTCCCATGGGTATCTGCAAGGGCAAGCCCATAAATTCTTTACGTCCCTGCTTAAAGACCATCTTATCAGTGAGGTCCCTTCCTGCCCTATTTAAAATAGCATCACCAGTTACTTTATAGATCCTTGACCTTGTTTTATTTTTCTTCAGAGCACTTATCATCTGCTTTAAATGTATTTGTTTATCGTCTATTCTCCCTCCTCATTAGAACGTAATCTAATTAGAACGTATCTGAATAGGCAGATATTGTAATTTTGTTTACTGTCATATCTCTAGCATCCAGAATAGAAGAATAGTTATCATTTTAATGAGTGGATATTGAAGAAACACTAATGTAACAGCAATGATGGTCAATACTGGAATATACCTAGGATATATAATTTACTACACTTCATTTCATTCTCAGAGGGAAGTCTCAGTTCAGAGATCCACCTTAAAATAAGGGGGAAGGGTTGGGCATGGTGGCTCACGCCTGTAATCCCAGCACTTTGGGAGGCTGAGGTGGGTGGATCATTTGAGCACAGGAGTTCGAGACCAGCCTGGGCAACATTGCAAAACCCCAACTCTACAAAAAATACAAAAATTAGCCAGGCATGGTGGTGTGTGCCTGTAGTCCCAGCTACTCGAGAGGCTGAGGTGGGAGGATCACTTAAGCCCAGGGAGGTCGAGGCTGCAGCGAACCATGATCGTGCCACTGCACTCCAGCCTGGGTGACAGTGTAAGACTCTGTCATAAATAAATAGGAAGAGGACAAAATGCAAATAGTAGAGTAGGACATTTTCTAACCTACTACTTTGCCCTAACTGCTATACCCTGAAATGCTCTTAAAGAGAACACAAGAATGTTTGGAAGCTTTGGAACTCTTAAATGAGATCATACTTCTTCAACATATTAACCAGATCAGGATTTTCTGTGATCAAACTACTGGAGACTACGATTTAGGCCTTCAAACAAGAAAGCACTTCAAGGGAAAGTAACTATATATCATACATTAAGGCAAATTTAAGAATCAAATTCAGTACAACAAATTATACCTAATACAAGCAACTGCCAACTTAAAAACATTGTGTCGGGCATGGTGGCTCACACCTATAATCTCAGCACTTTGGAAGGCTGAAGAGGGAGGATCACTTGAGCCAGGAGTTCGAGACCACCCTGGGCAACATACGGGGACCCCATCTCTACAAAAAATTTAAAAATTATCTAGGCATATTAGTGCACACTTGTGATCCAAGGTACTTGGGAGGTTGAGGCAGAAGGATCGTTTGAGCCCAGGAGTTGGAGGCTACAGTGAGTCATGATCACATGCCACTGCACTCCAGCCTGGGTGACAGAGCGAGACTCTTTCTCAAAAAATAAAATAAAATAAAATAAATTTTATTTTTTTGAGACGGAGTCTCACTGTGTCACCCAGGCTGGAGTGCAATGGCATGATCTTGGCTCACTGCAACCTCCGCCCCCCAGGTGCAAGTGATTCTCTTGCCTCAGCCTCCCGAGTAGTTGGGATTATAGACGCCCGCCACCATGCCCAGCTAATTTTTGTATTTTTAGTAGAGATGGGGTTTCACCATATTGGTCAGGCTGGTCTCGAACTCCTGACCTCGTGATCTGCCCGCCTCGGCCTCCCAAAGTGCTGCAATTACAGGCGTGAGCCACTGTGCCCGGCCGCAAAAATAATTTTTTAAAAAGGCCAGGGGGGAGGCCGGGCACAGTGGCTCACACCTGTAATCCCAGCACTTTGGAAGGCTGAGGCAGGCGGATCACGAGGTCAGGAGATCAAGACCATCCTAGCTAACATGGTGAAACCCCATCTCTACTAAAAATACAAAAAATTAGCCGGGCATGGTGGCGGGCACCTGTAGTCTCAGCTACTCGGGAGGCTGAGGCAGAAGAATGGCGTGAATCCGGGAGGCAGAGCTTGCAGTGAGTCGAGATCGCGCCACTGCACTCCGGCCTGGGTGACAGAGCAAGACCCGTCTCAAAAAAAAAGAAAAAAAAAAAAAAAAAAAAAAAAAAAAAAAGGCCGGGGTGCCAGGCACAGTGGCTCATGCCTGTAATCCTAGCACTTTGGGAGGCTGAGGCGGGCAGATCACAAGGTCAGGAGTTCGAGTCCACCCTGGCCAACATGGCGAAACCCCGTCTCTACCAAAAATACAAAAATTAGCTGGGCGTGGTGGCAGGCGCCTGTAATCCCAGCTACTCGGGAGACTGAGACAGGAGAATCACTTGAACCCAGGAGGCGGAGGTTGTAGTGAGCCAAGATCGTGCTACTGCACGCCCAGCCTGGGCGACAAGAGCAAGATTCCGTCTCCAAAAAAAAACAAGGCCAGGGGTGGTGGCTCATGCCATAATCCCAACACTCTAGCACTTTGGAAGGCCAACGTGGGTAGACTGCTTGAGTCCAGGAATTTGAGATCAGCCTGGGCAACATGGTGAAACCCTGTCTCTACAAAAAAAAAAAAAAAAATTAGTTGGGCGTGGTGACACATGCCTATAGTCCCAGCTACTCAGGAGGCTGAGGCAGGAGGATCACTGCAGCCCAGGAGGCAGAGGTTGCAGTGAGCCGAATTCACAGCACTTCACTCCAGCCTGGGAGACAGAGTGAGACCCTGTCTCAAAAAGAAAGACCAAAAAAAAAAGCAGATTGTGCTCCATAAGTTAATGGACAAAAACAAGTTTGCAGCTCATATTGCACTGTCTTCATTATTATAATAAAACTGTAGATTCCCAGGTAAGCCCACCAGCTTATTTAATTCAAAGGTTCCTAAAATACTACACCCTTGCAATAAAAAATAATAATAATAGCACATTAATTATATATAACTCTCTACACCACGAACTTACAGAAATTGGCTTCCCAGAAGTCCCGGCCTATTAAGTCTCAAAAGAGGGAGGGAGAGGAAGAAAAAAATGACAGTATATATGGTTTCAAGGCTCCAAAACACCACTGTCAACATATCACTTACGATGTATCTGTGTTATTTCCACTATCTCACTCATTACTGAAAATCAGATGGAGACAAGGTAATAAGTACAACAGGGTATGGTTGCTTAGATTTCCCAATACCAGAGAAAGTGACAGAAAATAACTCACTACAGCATTATTTCCTCAAGGAAACCTCCCTTGACTTCCTAGACCAGGACAAGTCCCTTGCTATTCACATGCACAGAAACAATATTCCTTGCTTCAGTGTCCTTCTCTGAAAATAATTGTTTTCGTTAAGACCAATATTTGACTGATGTCTGTCTCCTATACTGGGCTATAAGTCGTAGTTTACACAGTATATATACCATGTCCGTTTTGTTCACTGTAACATACTTAGAGCCTAGCAATCACTGAAAGCTTGTGGGATGAATCAATCTGCCCACCCATTCACTCAAACTGGGCAGCATAAGAAAGTGGTTCTTGTCGCTGGGCACAGTGGCTTACGCCTGTAATCCCAGCAGTTTGGGAGGCCAAGGCAGGGGGATCACGAGGTCAGGAGTTTGAGACCATCCTGGCTAACATGGTGAAACCCCGTCTCTACTAAAAATACAAAAATTAGCCAGGAGTCGTGGTGCACGCCTGTAATCCCAGCTACTCAGGAGGCTGAGGCAGGAGAATCGCTTGAAGCCGGGAGGCGGAGCTTGCAGTGAGCCAAGATCACACCATTGCACTCCAGACTGGGCAACAGAACGAAACTCCATCTCAAAAAAAAAAAAAAAAAAAAAAAAGTCGTTCTTCCCTTTGAAGCCAAGGTGCTTCTTTGCCAACTTTGCTTCATCAAATATCTAGTTCCCCAACTGCTAGCCTCTAAAGCCCTGTTTCTCCCAGAAAATTAAAAGCACTGAAGTGGACATCATGATGTGACACCCAGATTCCCCCTTCAGCACTGAGGGCATTATTCCCACAGCTGCTGAGAGTGTGGCCAGCAGACAGCCCTCAGCTATTAGGCCTCTTTGAAATTGCCTCCACTAAAGAAAGACCCCTTGCTCAAGGTCACGCCCACTTACTGGGGCAAACCATATCCACTGACTGGCTGGGACAGGAGGACAGCTCTGGAGGGCTCCTGTGGAATCATCCTGGCTTTTCACTGAGACTGCCTTACATGCTCTACCCAATCTTGCTTAAATCCTTTTCCTTCCATACATGCTGATCCCAAGAGTACTCACTAATAAATCCCTGTCTCCATCTCAAAATCAGCTGCTCAGGGAACCCAATCTATGACATGCAGCATTTATTCCCATGTTTCCTTGAACTTCAAGATACAGAACTGACAAGACCAAAGACATAAAAATGAAGTCCCCACCTCACCTCTGAATCTCTAGGGAGATAACCCATTAAAGAGACACAAAGGGGGCTGGGCACAGTGGCTCACACCGGTAATCCCAGTACTTTGGAAGGCCGAGACGGGCAGATCACGAACGAGGTCAAGAGATTGAGACCATCCTGGCCAACACAGTGAAACCCCGTCTCTACTAAAAATACAAAAATTAGCTGGGTGTGGTGGCCCGCGCCTGTAGCCCCAGCTACTCGGGAGGCTGAGGCAGGAGAATCGCTTGAACCTGGAAGGTGGAGGTTGCAGTGAGCCAAGATTGCGCCACTGCACTCCAGCCTGGCAAAAGAGCGACACTCCGTCTCAAAAAAACAAAAACAAAAACAAAAACAAAAAAAAACAGAGAGACGCAAAGGGGAAAAAAAATTTCTATGGCAAAGCTTTTAGCCTAACAAATTTGAATCACTATTTCCATGCTTAGGCAAGATAATTAACCTCCCTAACCTTAAATTTTATCATCTGAAAAATACAGGTAATTAATACCTACTTTACCGGTTTGCTTTGCAAAATACTCGCTACACAAGAAATGTTAAGTTCCTTTTTCTCCTACTATCTGCAAGGCTTTAGGGTATCACCCATTCCAGTTTCATCTCTCCCTTGTATATAACTTTCTCTTTGGCCACCAATGTCCAAGCGCTTGCCTGTCTGTGAAAAAATGAAAGCTAGCCGGGAAGGGTGGCTCACATCTATAATCCCAGCACTTTGGGAGGCCAAGGTGGGTGGATCACTTGAAATCAGGAGTTCAAGACCACCTTGGCCAACATGGTGAAACCCTGTCTTGGCTGGGCACAGTGGCTCATGCCTGTAATCCCAGCACTTTGGGAGGCCAAGGCAGGCAGATCACGAGGTCAGCTGTTCAAGACCATCCTGGCCAACATGGTGAAACCCCATCTCTACTAAAGATACAAAAAATTAGGTGGGTGTGGTGGCACACACCTGTAATCCCAGCTATTCGGGAGGCTGAGGCAGGAGAATAGCTTGAACCCAGGAGGCAAAGGTTACAGTGCGCTGAGATTGTGCCATTGCACACCAGCCTGGGTGACCGGGTGAGACTCCATCTCAAAAACAAAAACAAACAAACAAACAAAATAAACCCCATCTCTACTAAAAATACAAAAATTAGCTGGGCATGGTGGTCAGGCTGGTCTCCAACTCCCAACCTCAGGTGATCCACCCGCCTCGGCCTCCCAAAGTGCTGCGATTACAGGCATGAGCCACCATGCCTGGCCGCAAAAATAATTTTTTAAAAAGGCCAGTGGGGAGGCCAGGTGCAGTGGCTCACGCCTGTAATCCCAGCACTTTGGGAGGCAGAGGCGGGTGGATCACAAGGTCAGGAGATCGAGACCATCCTGGCTAACACGGTGAAACCCCGTCTCTACTAAAAATACAAAAAATTAGCCGGGCGTGGTAGCAGGCACCTATAGTCCCAGCTACTCGGGAGGCTGAGGCAGGAGAATCGCTTGAACCCACGAGGTGGAGCTTGCAGTGAGCCGAGATCGCGCCACCTTAGATGCTGGGGCTGGCATTGCCCTCAACGACCACTTTGTCAAGTTCATTTCCTGGTAAGACAATGAATTTGGCTACAGCAACAGGGTGGGGGACCTCATGGCCCACATGGCCTCTAAGGAGTAAGACCCCTGGACCACCAGCCCCAGTGACAGAACAAGAGGAAGAGAGAGACCCTCAATGCTGGGGAGTCCCTGCCATACTCAGTCCCCAACCACACTAAGACTCTCCCCTCCTCACAGCTTCCATGCAGACCCCCTGAAGAGGGAGGGGCCTAGGGAGCCCTGCCTTGTCATGTGCCATCAATAAAGTCCCCTGTGCTCAGCCAAAAAAAAAAAAAAAAAAATTCAAAATTCCAGAAATAGCACTTCATTAGGCCAGAACAGTACAGGTCCTGGATATTTTGTTATTTTGGTAAACAATCTACTACTATATTTGTTTTTCCCTAAACACACTATTTATCCCCAGTCCTGCCCGTAGGTTTTGGTTGTTTTTTTTTTTTTCTTTTTAGATAGGGTTTCACTCTGTAGCCCAGCCTGGAGTACAAGGGGTGTGATCTCAGCTCACTGCAGCCTCAACCTCCTAGGCTCAAGTGATCCTCCCACCTCAGCCTCTCAAGTAGCTGGGACTACAAGCGTACACCACCACGCCCAGCTAACTTTTTATAGTTTTTGTAGATAAAGGGTTTTGCTATATTGCCCAGGCTGGTCTCAAATTCCTGGGCTCAAGCAATTCGCCCACCTCGTCCTCCCAAAGTGCTGGGATTACAGACATCAGCCACTGCACCCGGCCTGCCATAAGCTCTTCTTGAAAGCTTCTTTGGAGGTTCTAGCAGGGGAGTACAACCATACATATACCCTTGACTGAAGACCAGTCCTCCTCTATCCGGATGGTCATCCTCTTTGGTCAAGCGTGCAGCTTCGGGAGGGACATACATGGAGCAGTGTGGGAGGAAGGAGACACCCGCCTAGCCAGCCAGATTAGCCAAATCAACCCTAGTAATCAATGGGGTGACAGATGTCCCAGACAGATCACACTCACATCCATTTTTTTTTTTTGAGACAGGATGTCACTCTGTCGCCCAGGCAGGAGTGCATGCAGTGGCACAATCTTGACTCACTGCAACCTCCAAATAGGCTTTTCTTAAACGTCACCTTCTTTATGATGTCTTCCCAGTTCTGGTGAAGCACTAATTTTTTTCCCGCTCAAAACTCTCAGAGATCTTGTATGTATAGTTCTTACTGTATTTACACAGTTCTATACCTGTCTAGTGATGGAATTAAATATGTACAAGATGATCTATAAACCGTGAGATATCCTAGGAAGAAACATTATTTAGCAACAAAGATCAGAACTCAAGGTATTATTTTTAATAGGAAAATTAATGTAAGGAGAAAAAACTTGAAATCAATATGTACTTCAATTCAAATTCTGATTAGATGAGAATGAAGATACACTTTCTAAGCAACAAATTACACTTTTTTTTAATTTATTTATTTTTTTGAGAAGGAATTTTTGCTCTGTTGCCCAGGCTGGAGTGCAACGGAGCAATCTCGGCTCACTGCAACCTCCGTCTCCCGGTTTCAAGTGATTCTTCTGCCTCAGCCTCCCAAGTAGCTGGGACTACAGGCGCACACCACCATGACTGGCTGATTTTTGTATTTTTAGTAGAGATGGGGTTTCACCATATTGGCCAGGCTGGTCTCGAACTCTTGACCTCATGATCCACCCACCTCGGCCTCCCAAAGTGCTGAGATTACAGGCGTGAGCCACCATGCCCAGCCCGATCCTGTGATAATTTTCTAATTGTGACTCTGGTTACCCTCCCCTCTAATTCGTACTGCACACTGCCAAACATTTTTTTTTTTCCTGAATAAATATCTGGCATCTCTACCTCACTCAAATCCTCCAAAAAGTTCGTTACTTCCTTGTAAACTAAAGTTAGAATATCTCCGTTTCATGATATGACAATCTGAGTATATGGTCCCCATCTTCATCTACACAGATCTTCTGCTCTAGGTTCTCTCTGTTTTCCACAACACGCCATGCTGATTATATATTTTGAGTCTTGCATTTCTGTTCCATTCCCCATGGTATACACTGTGTCCACCCATCCAAATCCTGTAAGACAAACATTGAGCATTTACCATGCTCCTAGGACAATGGCACCATCTCAAGTCACACCATTTTTTCAAGCTTTTTCCTTCAGTCCGTAAGGGCAATCTCCTCCTTAGTGACTCTCCCCCCAAGTAACATGCTGCTGGAGAGAGAAATGCCTATTTAATCCATCCTTTTAAGTCACACTGAGTTTGGAAATAAGTCAAATGAGTGCCACAGACTAAGGCGAGGGCTGAAGAATGAGAGGTCATGCATTTATTCATCATCTATTTGTTGAGTAATTACCATGCGCCAAACACTATTCTGGGTATGACAGGCAAAGATCCTGTTCTCATGGAATGTGATTCTGTGTGTTGGAAAGACAGAGGTAACCAACTTTGAACATATGAACACAAAATCACTCTACACTGTGAAAAGTGCTTTGAAGAATGTAATACACATCTGTCGTGTTAGCAAATGATCACAAGGGGGCTGTTTTAGGAAGGCCGACAAGAAAGACCTCTTAGATTTAATTGACGAGAACTCAGCCATGTGATAAAACAGTTAAAGCATTAAGAAACCAAAAGTCCTTACATTTTAAGTTTCAACGACTTTCAGGATCACATTTTGAATATGCTTAAGTATTATGAAACTCCCCTAGGAGAAAACACTCCCCAATATGAAACAATAAAGCACAAATAGTGCTTACTGTGAGCTAACCAAAATTGCTGTCTTCACATAAAACGTTTATTGACGGCCAGTTTCACGAGACCCAAATGTGCTCTAAAAGAATACTCCAGTCCAATGACCTCTCCTTCTGTGAGTTTGGGGCTCTCTCGCCTCTTTTGAGAGCTTCATTAAGGACCATCAACCTAAGAGAACACTTTTAAGAGTAGGCAGGGACCAGTCCTACTTTCTGGCCGAGAAAACTGTACAGAAAGTAGACATTCAACTACCTCACGCAGGCTCATGGCTAAAACCAGTTTCACCAAGGGAAGATACAAGGAATTCTTCAGTCTGGGATAAAATGCACCGTCCAAATCTGGGGACACCAAGACAAGATTCCAGGAAAGCCGTGAGAAAGAGATCTAGTCCAGGCAGATTCAGAGTAGTAACTGGCTGAAAGACACTTTGCGTCCCTAAACTAATTCCTCGTCTGCAAACAGATACAACAATGACTCCTGCCTCTCAAAATGTGTGAAGCTCTAACGAGATAGCCGTAAAAGAACTTTAAGAGGCGCACGGAGCGGGATAGGCTCAAGTTACTTAAACTATACTTGTGTTAGGAGGAGCGCAAGTGGGAGACTCGCGAACATTACCTTGACTAGCCACACTCCTGTGTTCTGTTTGGCGCCGGTCAAGTCGAGTTCCCCGCGCTCGGCCATGGGTCTGCAGCCGGTGGAGGCGTGCGGGATGCAGCAGCGACCCCAGGAGCCGCAGGGCTGAGGAGCGGGCGTCCGGAACAAAGGACAAGCCGCGCTGAGAGGCGAAGAGCCGGCGTTCCTTACCTGCCAGAACACTGGGAACCGAGGAAAAGAGGAACACGCCGCCAGGAGCCGGGACTGCGCCTGCGCACTGCTACGTCAGTACGGCGCGCTGTTGCAGACAAACTTTCTGTTTCGGAAATTTCTTGAGTGGGCGTGGCTGTCCGCGATGTCTGCATCTGAGGGATTAAAACGTAGGGTGGGATGAGCTAAAACGTTAGCAATGTATTTAAAGACATGGTCAGCATAACTGAAGAAAAAGATTATCAGAACGGAAAAATGGGGTTCAAAGAGACGAAAGGTGTCAGAACATGTCCAACCCTAGCCAAGGAGAGAGAGACAATATTTGAAGGACAGGGTCAGGGTAGTAAATTGGCGTCCCTGGCCAACGTCATTAGCACAAATGGGCACTGGGATCAAACTTAGTAGCCTTGGGTATATTGAAAACATGCCGTTTCTAGACCTGGAAAAAAAAAAGCCGTGTTTCAGCTCAGAGGCTACCCGAGCTGTTCTGATGAAGCAAGCGGAGCACCTCAGTTTCCAAAACCCGGAAGTCTGTAACGAAACGAACAAGTAAGAGACAAACCTGATCGTTTCCTCCCCTGCTTAAACAGTTTTCTCTTTCTCTTATTGCCTCTAGAATAAAGTTCAATCCTCCTGCTTCAACTGGGCCCTCTCAATTTCATCTCTTTGCACCTCCCACCATCACTCCGCCATGCACCAAACCACATCAAACCCAGCAGACTTCCCTAAACACGTCAGAATCTTCGTCGGTCATTTCAGAGCCTCTGCACACTGGATTCCCTTCCCTTGGAAGCCCTATTTTACCCCTGCCCTCACTCTCACCCCTGTGCTCTGGTTGGCAAACTCCTACTTATGGTTCAAGACCAATGAAAATGTCACTTCCTATGAGATCTTTTATCAACTTCCCCAGAAGAAATTAGTTTTTCTTCACATCACAGTGTGATACTTAGCACTCTGAACTATAATATATATGTTTACATATCTGCCTTTGCTTTCCAGACAATGAACTCCTCCTAGGCGGAAAGAGCTTTATTGAGGTATAATTGACAAATAAAAAATAGTGCTTTATTCATTTTATATCCACAATGTCTAGCACAGTGTTTAACACATTGTCAGGTTTCAGTAGGCTTTGGGTGAAAGAACATTCGCTGAAGAGAAACAAACAGTAAGGTATTGTTAAGAATGGCAAGTAATTTATTGAATCACACATCAGAGCCTTGCACAAAATTGAGGAAATTTTATGTGTGTTCAGCATAGGGCCAGGAAAAGCTGTCAGAACTCTGCTTTTAGCTAGGAAAACTAATAGGAAAGATGGGAGAGACCAGGAGTGTGTTGAAGATGAAAGTTTCAGGCTAGGCTCAGTGGCTCAACCCTGTAACCCTAACTTTGGGAGACTGAGGTGGGAGGATTGTGTCTGCCCAGGAGTTCAAGGCTACAGTAAGTCATGATCGTGCCATGCACTCCAGCCTGGGTGACAGAGCAAGGTCCTGTCTCTAAAAAATAAATACTAAAAACAAAATTTTTTTGGCCAGGCGCAGTGGCTCACACCTGTAATCCCAACACTTTGGGAGACCGAGATGGGAAGATCACTTGAGGCTAGGAGTTCGAGACCAGCCTGGTCAACATAGGAAGAACCCTATCTCTAAAAAAAAAAGAAAAACAAAAAAAAATTTTTTTAAGCAGAAAATGAAGGTTTCTTCTTGTGCAACAACTTGGAAAAGGGCCTTTTTAAAACATATAAAGAGTAAGCAGATTAAGGGAACTGCTCTAAACTTTAATCAAGGAGAAGGAATAAATTGAAATATGAGACCATGGGAGAAGAGAAGCAAAGTCTAGAGCACCCCAGGAATGGACTTTAAAGATTGGAACCCTGGCTTTGGTCTCTGGGTCATGGGAGGCCTTAAAATGTGTACGTGGTGTGGGTATGTGTGTATGTGTGTGTACACAGAGATTGAGAGAGAAAAAAAATGGCTGATGAAAGGGCTAGCGAAGAACGGAAAAGTGGAGATTTTAAAATGATACATAGAAGAAAGAAAAAAACAACGTATTGAGCACCTCTTCCTCGTACGCTGTTGAACAAAGAGCAAGCTTCTCCTGTCTGTCCTTTTCAAACCCCTTCTAGCTTGAAGAGGGATGTTTACAGAACCCTGATAGAAAAGGAGGGCATGGCCCCTATGAACCAAATTCACAGATTTACTGTGGAGACCCTTAAGGTGGATAGATACTACAGGCAGATCCCTCACCTTCCTAAGGACTCATTATATGCCAGATCCTCAGCTAGTTATTTTCTGTATTATCCCATTTAATCCTTATAACAATTTGCCAGAGTAGGTATTATTTTTCCTCAATATAGCCCTATATGTCATTAAACATATCAACATCCAAGAGCTGAGACCATATCCCAGGATGGGGCTCACAGAGCATAGGATGCAGAAGTCAGTGCCCCAGAGAAGGTAACACCAAAATTTTTTACTCCCTCAGATGATTAACTAGTCAAGTTGTTACCAAAATTTTTAAGGCGCAAATGCAATTCTAGGAAGGAGGGCCCAAGAACTCATTGCTGGCTGCAATTTTTCCAAAAAGTCTGGTAGTGCTTAGGCCAACTTGAACCTCCATCTTTATCTAGGGCTTAGATTCTAGGTCAGACCTCAAGGCCACCCAACCTTCTTTGCTGCTTTGTTTTTGTTTTTGTTTTTGTTTTTAGGCGGAGTCTTGCTCTATCACCCAGGCTGGAATGTGCAATGACATGATCACAGCTCACTACAGCTTGACCTTTCGGGCTCAAGCTATCCTCCCACCTCAGCCTTCCAAGTAGCTGGAACTACAGGTGCACACTACCACACCCAGCTAATTTTTGTATTTTTTGTAGAGACGGGGTTTCACCATGTTGCCCAGGCTGCTCTTGAACTCCTGGGCTCAAGCAATCCACCCACCTCAGCCTCCCAAAATGCTGGGATTACAGGCATGAGCTACCATGCCCAGCCCCAACCTGCTTAATAGGCAGAACTACGTTCTTTTTTGTGTGTCTTCCAGACTAGCTGCAGCAAGAAAAACCCCTAACACCACACCCACCACAAAACATGCTTCAGTCTAGATGAGTGTTCTCAGCCTCTGGTTCCTGTACAAGTTGCATTAGAATTACCTGGGGGAAATGTGTTTTAAAATGAAGACACCTGAGCCCCAATCCAGGCAAACAAAATTAGACTTTCTGGATGTGAGTCTAGAAATTGACACTTTTAGCAAGCTCCCAGAGTGTTTCTTAGGCACACCAAAATCTGAGAATCATTGTTCTAAATGATAGAGTTCTAATCGATAGAATTCTAATCGATATTTTTCTAATCAATATAGTTCATTAGAACTGGGCCAGTTTCCAAAGTCTGAGACACGTGAAAAAATTTACCAGAAAGCCTTACAGCTAGAATTCCCTCATGCCTTGTTAATTCAGAACACCACAATTCTATCAGGTAGCTATTAGAGAATAAGCAGCAAAGCCATTAGGCGAGATGTTACAAGTGAGTTGAGGGAATTAGAATGACTTTAACAGATAGCTGAGTTCACTTTCAGATTTTGTCCTTGTCTATCATACACAGGCCTGATCTCTTCAGGCCAGAGATTTTCTTTGTTCACACTTACTCAGAAACATTCTAGCAAGAAAAAGTATTACCTCCAGGAGAGTTCATATAGGCAAAAAATGCTACCACCAGGTCTTTCTTAATAGACCAGACTCATTACCTATTGGTTACTAACATAAACATTGTCATTCAAAAATTACAAATGAATACAGCATTGTGGTAATTCATTCAATTTCCCTGACATCAGTGATGTAGTAGGTAGATAATTTTGCTTCGTTATGACACCAAGGCTATAAAACGTCTCTGAATTCTCCCTGCCTTTCCCTTCAACCCTAACAGTTCCCTCCTTCATAGAATGCCCAAATTCCTGGGAGATCCCTTGTTTCCCCAGTTACACACAAACAAAAAGAAATACTTCCTAAAATAGTTTCCATATTGTTTAGTATAGAGAGAGAGCATGAGCTTTGGAGTCAAGCTTTTTACTATTTTTTTTTTTTTTTTTTTGAGACAGAGTCTTGCTCTATCACCCTGGCTGGAGTGTAGTGGCACTATCTTGGCTTATTGCAACCTCCACCTCCCAGGTTCCAGCAATTCTCATGCCTCAGCCTCTGAAATAGCTGGAACTACAGGCATGCACCACCATGCCCGGCTAACTTGTATTTTTAGTAGGGATGGAATTTTACCATGTTGGCCAGGCTGGTCTCAAACTCCTGACCTCAGGTGATCTGCCCACCTCTGCCTCCCAAAGTGCTGGGATTACAGGCGTGAGCCACTGTGCCTGGCCAGTCAAACATATTTCCAAGTGATACCTCTGCTGCGTACCAGCCTAATTATGTTAATCTCTCTGCACCTGTTTCCTTGCTTATATAATGGAATTACTATACTCACTTTGTAGAGTTATTATGTGACTAAACGAGAAAACATATTAAAAGAATTTAGCATTATGATGTGGAAATTATTTTGTAACTGCATTAATTATATTGCAGTTATATATATTGCAATTATATAAATAATTGAAAGGAAACACAAAAGTTTTATTATAGGCAGCAGTATACTGGCAAGTGTTTAACAGCTGGGCTCCCTAAACTCCCCTACCCCCAGGAAAGCCCTGATTTGTAGTGTTTGCCAATTTCCATGGTGCAAGTATTTCTGCAATAGCTGATTTCAAGCTGCCAAGAAGAGATCACTGAAGGCAAATTTGGAAGAGAGGCACTGTACATTGTATAGTATATAAACTCTATAGGCCAGGCGCAGTGGCTCACGCCTGTAATCCCAGCACTTTGGGAGACCCAGGCGGGTGGATCACTTGAGTCCAGGAGTTTGAGACCAGCCTTGCCAAAATGGAGAAACCCCGTCTCTACTAAAAATACAAAAATTAACTGGGAGTGATAGTACACCCCTGTAATACCAGCTACTCAGGAGGCTGAGGCACAAGAATCACTTGAACCCAGAAGGTGGAGGCTGCAGTGAGCCAAGATCATGCCACTGCACCCCAGCCTGGGTGACAGAGCGAGACTAAGTTTCAATAAATAAATAAATAAGCTGTATAGTATTGTAATACATTGTATAGTATTTTTCACTAGGTAGATATATTAAATATAATTTAAGAGCACGGATAATAATAAAATACAGAAAATAATTAGGAAGTGATGAGTATTAAGTGTTTATTACCTTTATGTTTAATATTATTTATTTCTTCAGCAGTATTTTAGGAAAAGGAAGTAGCATCTGCAAACCCTGAGGAGGGAAGCCCCTGGTATGTTGGTGTCTGTGGGAGAGAGAGGATGCCAGTGGGCAGGATATAGTGAAACTGTGGCAGTGCCATTGGCTGAAGAGGGAGAGAGTAGCTAGACCATGCAAGGCCTTGGAGACCTTGTACACAGCAAATGTAAACTGGAAGGAGAATTTTTTTTTTTTTTTTGAGACGGAGTCTCACCGTCGCCCAGGCTGGAGTGCAGTGGCGCGATCTTGGCTTACTGCAACCTCCGCCTCCCAGGTTCAAGCGATTCTCCTGCCTCAGCCTCCTAAGTAGCTGGGATTACCGGTACACGCCACCACACCCGGCTAATTTTTTGTATTTTCAGTAGAGACAGGGTTTTACCATGTTGGTCAGGCTGGTCTCGAACTTTTGACCTTGTGATCCACCCGCCTCAGCCTCCCAAAGTGCTGGGATTACAGGCATGAGCCACCATGCCTGGCCAACTGGAAGGTTAATTTAAGCTTTTTTTTTTTTTTTGAGATGGAGTCTTGCTCTTTCGCCCAGGTCAGAGTGCAGTGGTGCTATCTTGGCTCACTGCAAGCTCTCCCTCCCGGGTTCACGCCATTCTCCTGCCTCAACCTCCCGAGTAGCTGGGACTACAGGGCACCCGCCACCAGGCCCGGCTAATTTTTTGTATTTTTAGTAGAGACGGGGTTTCACCATGTTAGCCAGGATGGTCTCGATTTCCTGACCTCGTGATCCGCCCGCCTCGGCCTCCCAAAGTGCTGGAATTACAGGCGTGAGCCACCGCACCCAGCCAATTTAAGCTTGAATATAAAATAATATTTACATTTCCAAAAGATCCCTGTAGTTGCTGTGGAAAAAATGGATTGGAGGAGACCAGAATGAAAACCAAGAGACTAGTTGAGACACTATTTTACTAATCCAAATGGAAAAGGATAGTGGTTTTGATTAGGGAAGTGGTAGTGAAGATGAAAGGAAGTGGATCAATTTGAAAATATCAGAGATAGTTTTAGGAGGCAGAATTGACAAGGCTTTGTAATTCTTTGCTGTATAGCAAAATAGGAACAGGACCATCTACCAAGTGATAACTCAGAACAAGAGAACAAAACAAAACATACACACACAGCATTGCTCCTTCTGGGAGATCAGACAAGACTCTGCATGTATTTTGCCTGATGGATGACATGATTCCGTTGAATTGCTTCTGTTCAGTGCCTTATGTCTGATGTGACATATGGCTGCTGTGACCTGCAAGAAGCCTTCACTCTCAGTAAGTCACTTTAATTGCTCATTAGGTATTGCTGTGGGAATAAAGTGTTAAATAAAGCATGAGAAAATTCAATTCATCATTACTGTATTGAAATCCAATTTATTTTCATATGTAATTTACCAAAACATGTATATCATATTTTATATATTAAATAAAATTATAGTTAGGAAACAGCACTGAAATACTTGATCAAAGTGCCCAAATAAAAACCACAAATAAGAATAAGCCCTAAAATACCATATTAAACAGACAGATCTTCACTAGTGTTCAGATTTCAAAGCCAGAGAAGCCATGTGTGCTGAATATCAATGAGCAATTGTGTCCACATTCCACTAAGGGCAAAAGCTAGGGGCTTCCTTTTTGATGGATTTCCTCCCCAAATACACAAGCATCAGGGGAGGACAGTTTTCACATCCAGGGGTAGGTGAAAATATTAGATAAATATCAATGGGTGGAGTCAAGGAATGTTCAGTTTAAGGACCTTTTCTATAGCTCAAGCTCTTGCCATAGTTTTGTCAACATAATTCACTTCCCTCGTGTGTAAACGACTAAGCTGACATGGTGGCTGTGCTGCATATAAAGCTGTTTGGGGACCATGGTCCTTCCATCTCATATTTTGCCATCCCTGTGTGGTGTCCTTGTCTGCATGGGGGACCGTAATGTCTGCATTTTTCAGCCAAAAGGAAAAGTGAAAGGATAAAAAGAGTGTATATGACTTTGGCCTTTTTTCTTTTCTTTTTTTTTTTTTTTTTTTTTTTTTTACAGTGTGTTTAGATTGGAAGCCAAATAAGGTCCATACATTGTGGTTGGTTTTGATGTCTCTTAGTCCTCTCCTCTCCTTTCTCCTTGCCTTCCCTCTGTTCCCCTTCTCTCTCCTCCTCTCTCTCTGATTCATACACCACTCTCCATCATTGTTGTTGATGAAAAACTAATTTACTTGTCCTATACAGTTGTTGTTGTGTGTGTTTTTTTTTTTTTTGAGACGGAGTCTCGCTCTGTTGCCAGGCTGCAGTGCAGTGGCATGATCTTGGCTCACTGCAACCTCCACCTCCCAGATTCAAGCGATTCTCCTGCCTCAGCCTCCTGAGTAGCTGGGACTACAGGCACTTGCCACCACGCCCAGCTAATTTTTGTATTTTTAGTAGAGACGGGGTTTCACCATGTTGGCCAGGATGCTCTCGATCTCTTGACCTCATGATCCGCCTGCCTCGGCCTGCCAAAGTGCTGGGCTTACAGGCGTGAGCCACCGCACCCGGCCCTGCTATACAGTTTTCTACATTCTAGAGTTTTCTGATTGCATCTCCAAGGTCTCATGTATGATGTTACTTCTTCCCTTGTTTTTTGTTTTTTGTTTTTTTGAGATGGAGTCTCACTCTGTTGCCAGGCTGGAGGGCACAATCTCAGCTCACTGCAACCTCCACCTCCTGGGTTCAAGCACTTCTCCTTCCTCAGCCTCCTGAGAAGCTGGGACTACAGGCATGCGCCACCATGCCCAGCTAATTTTTGTATTTTTAGGAGAGACGGGGTTTCACCATGTTGCCAGGCTGGTCTCAAACTCCTGACCTCAGGTGATCCGCCTGCCATGGCCTCCCAAAGTGCTGGGATTACAGGTGTGAGCCACCACACCCGGCCTTTTTTTTTTTTTTCTTTTTTTTGAGACAGAGTCTCTCACTCTGTCGCCCAGGCTGGAGTGCAGTAGTGCGAGCTTGACTCACTGCAACCTTTGCCTCCTAGGTTCAAGTGATTCTTGTGCCTCAGCCTCCCAAGTAGCTGGGACTACAGGCGCACACCACCAGGCCCACCTAATTTTTGTATTTTTATTAGAGACTGGGGTTTCGTGATGTTGGCCAGGCTGTTCTTGAGCTCCTGACCTCAAGTAATCCATCCACCCACCTTGGCCTCCCAAAGTGCTGGGATTACAGGTGTGAATCTCCACTCCTGGCCTTCCCTTGAGTATTTTCTCAACATGGTAGATTGATTTCAAGGTATGATCAGACTCAGGTTGGATTTTGGTGGAGGGGAAGACTATTTAAGTGGTCTTGTGCACTTCTAGCATGAGATATATAATGTCTGGTTTTCTTTCTTTCTATAATATTAGCAGCCATTGATGAATGTTGCCTAGATCCAGTAATTCATTAGGCATTGCAAAATTGTTATATTCTAATTCTGTCATTCCTTCTTTGCAGAAACTTCCTCATCATTTTCTCTATTAAATATAGCATTAAAAGTTGATTCTGGCACAGATCTGAGCAAAGATAGTGTGACGTTTTCATACTGTGAATGTGAAATAGTTGGTCAATAAGTACTTGGATTCAAAAATGCATCCTTTCTCATTTTATGTTAAGGAGAAAAAAAGAAAAAAAAATGCACCCTGAGCGGTGTAAGAGTACCCCAGACAAATCAGCGCTCAATTCTCTACAATACTGATTCCCATGCTCACAATCCTCTTTATCAACTTCCACCCCAAAGCCATTGTCTTTTGAGACGGAGTCTCACTCTGTCGCCCAGGCTGGAGTGCAGTGGCGCGGTCTTGGCTCACTGCAACCTCTGCCTCCCGGGTTCCAGCGATTCTCCTGCCTCAGCCTCCTGAGCAGCTGGGATTACAGGTGTGTGCTACCACACCCAGCTAATTCAAAGCCATTGTCTTTTTTGTTTTATTTTTTTCCACAACATCTTTTGATCACTCATCAAGAAAAGCCTTTATAGCCCATTAAAATTGAAGCCCCGAAATTCACAGTTGCTTGATTTCCTAGTTGCTTTTATTCCTAGATATAGTGGATTTCTACAGCATTTGCCTGTGAAGCAACCAGAAAGAAAGGTATGGTCTTTCTTCTGGAATTGTTGAACTAGGAGAATCGAGTGCCAGGAAACTGGTGTGTCTGTATATGTGTTCAACTCTCTGGATGTTAACACCTTGCTGGCTGGCCACCAAGTGAAGATAAACTGGCCTGGGTCACAAGTCTTTTTTCTGTGGCTAGTTGCCCAAGGTGGACACATCTCTGTCATGTCTCAGGACCAGTAAACTCAAGCTATGCTTGGAAGGACAGAATTGATCAAGATGGAATGACTCCTGAGAGGAGACAGTAGTGATATTTCTGCTCCACTGCTATTTATTTTTCTGGCTTCAAGGTTCAGATTCAACCATGGCAGGAGAGAAAGTCCTTAGCAGTTTCTTATTTTATATTTTTTTGTTCCTATGTACCCCTCATTAATAAAATAATCAGCCAGGCATGGTGGCTCACGCCTGTAATCCCAGCACTTTGGGAGGCCGAGGCGGGTGGGTCACCTGAGGTCAGAAGTTCAAGACCAGCCTGACCAACATGGTAAAACCCCGTCTCTACTAAATATACAAAAATTAGCCGGGCGTGGTGGCGGGCGCCTGTAATCCCAGCTACTCAGGAGGCTGAGGCAGGAGAATCGCTTGAACGCGGGAGGCAGAGGTTGCAGTGAGCCGGGATCGTGCCATTGCGCTCCAGCCCGGGCAACAAGAGCGAAACTTCGTTCCAAAAAATAAAATAAAATAAAATAATCAGAATTTGCCCATTTCCTGAATCCAGACAGCATTATGTGAATCACATTTTAAAACTGATTATTGATCTTTTACAGTTCCTTCAGCTTTCAGAGACCTTGAGCAATGAATGCTATTTTGTGAAAGGGATGTTACTTGCTTCCCTGGGGTCAAACATCCTCTTTGTAAATCACAAATCCAATAGCCACAAAGAACCCAGACAAAAAATTGACCATTAGTCTTATGAGAGTTATAATTTAGCCTTTTAAATTTAATTCTAATGCAAAACTTTTTTCAGTGTTTTTTTTTCTTCTAACATCTTTAACATGAAATAATTACTGTGACTCTTTAGACTCAGCTTATTCATTATTTTGGTTAACTCTATGAGGCTTCCTTCCAAGAATCTCTTCCCTCTGTGATGAAAACATCTCTCTCTCACTCTATTTTTTTTTTTTTTTTTTTTTTTTTTTGCATAAAGCAGGTGTCTCTGATGATTTTCCAAAGTGTGCACCTAACATCCCTGATTTTCTGTATTGGTTGTGGTGGTGGGATTGCCAAATGGCAGAGAGACAAATACTAGGATAAAATTCCTCTCTATATCCAGAGAGATTTAACCAATATCTTCTTGTGTGAGGCGGCAGACTAGAGTAAATATGTTGCACCTGCTATAGTACTATTTGAATTTAGATGAATTCTATATTATTTTAATTCCTCCAAGCAAGAAAAATGAGGACAGTAATACTTATGTTGAGAGAATGCTAGAACAAGCTACTATTGGACCTGAGTTACTGCCTATCTTCCTGGGCAACTCCTTCTACTGCCATTGGATATGACCATCAGGTGGTTTCAAAATATGTCCCAGTACATCTGACACTACTTTCTTGAAAATGTGAAGCCTAGTACACTCCCTCATGATGTGGGCCAGACCCCCTGGTGATTCACTTCAAAGAAATAGAATGTGGTGAAAGTGAGGTTACAGGATTTCCACAGCTAGGTCATAAGGATAGCTTGTGCTCGCTCGTGCGCTCTCTCTCTCTCTCTCTCTGTCTAAGGAGATGATCTTTTTCTGGCTATTGCACTCCAGAGTGTCTTAAGGTGGTTTTACCTTAGACTTTTTTTTTTCCGGTCGGGAAACAAGTTACAGATGGGGTGACTTTTATGGTTTGGGTTCTTTTGCAAGCAGGGAAAGTCTCAGTAATCTGAAGAGGAGAGGGTATTCTCTGTGGTTAGCTGGTTTCAGGGGGACAAACTGTTCTAAGCTTAACTAATCAACTGTAAACCAAAAAGTATCTGAGGTGAGTTTCAATCAATTTAGAAGTTTATTTTGCCAAGGTTAAGGACATGCCTGTTGCACAGCCTCAGGAGGTCCTAACAACATGTGCCCAAAGTGATCGGGCTACAGCTTGGTTTTATACATTTTAGAGAGACATAGACATCAATCAATATGAGACAGCCGGGTGGGAGGGGTCCGGGAGGGGTCCCTGGCAAAACTTCAACCGGCCTGCGCACTGGGGTGGAGCTACAGAGGTTCACCCCGTTGGTAGCGGGGAGGAGCCTGGCCCCTCCTCTTCCTGTGTGGAACCTAGGATTCAAACTGCAAGGCGGGAAGCACACTAGAGTAACTCCGACCTTGCGGAGAGTCCCTGTTCCCCCTTTTATTCCTTTTCACCCAATAATACCCTGTTTTACTCATCCTTCAAACCATCTGCAAGCCTAAACTTTGGCGGCTGTGGGACAAGGAACCCCGTCTTTAGCTGAACTAAGGAAAGGTCCCGCAACAAATCCATGTAAGATGTACATTGGTTTGGTCTAGAAAGGTGGAATAACAAGAAGTGGGGGCTTCTGGGTCATAGGCGGACTCAAAGATTTTCTGATTGGCAATTGGTTGAAAGAGTTATTATCTAAAGACCTGGAATCAGTAGAAAGAACTATCTGGGGCCAAGTGTGGTGGCTCATGCCTGTAATCCCAGCATTTTGGGAGGTCGAGGCAAGAGGATTGCTTCAGCCAAAAGTTCTAGGCCAGCCTGGGCAACATAAGCAAGACCCTGTCTCTACAAATAAAAAAATTATTAGTTACTTGGGAAGCTGAAGTGAGAGGATCACTTGAGCCCAGGAAGTTGAAGGTGCCATGAGCCATGATCTTGCTGCTACCCTCTCAAAAAAAAAAAAAAAAGAAAGAAAGAAAAGAAAAATTAAAAAAAGATAAGAGGTTATGAAGACCAAGGTTTTCTCTTTTTTTGAGATGGAGTCTTGCTTTGTCACCCTGGCTGGAATATAGTGGCCCAATCTCAGTCCACTGCAACCTCCGCCTCCCAGGTTCAAGAAATTCTCTTGCCTCAGTCTCCCGAGTAGCTGGGCTGCTTGAGTGTCAGTATGGTGGTCAGAAGAAGCACTCCTCCAGAATGAGTGAGGAGACATGGACAAACACATCGACAAACCTTTCCCCTTTGCTTGAACCCACTGAACACATGCTCCAACATGGCCCTCCAACTTCCAGTTTTTTTGTCTCATGATAATGTAAACCAAAAATAAAATTCTATGCACCTCAACTTACTGATGCCTGCCCCCTGCCTCAGCCAAAGGCATTCCAAAGTAAACCTGAAAATCTAGTTCAGGTCGTGATTGGAAGGGGGTTGTCTGAGATCCCTCATTTTACTTTCCTCCCTTTGAAATTCAGGCACAGCTAGGCAGTTTTAACATTACAGCAGAAATCTTAAGACTGAAGAAACAGACTTTTTGTAGCAATAAGACACCAAATTCCAGCCTGACTTTGGTATAACATCACATGACAGAGAGCAGGCCCTGAAAGAAATAAAAATATTTTACTCCAAAATGTATTTCTTTGACATATTTTGAAATGACCCTGCAAAGCTGCCTCTTGTGGGGAAAATCTACATTTTGTAAAAAAAAAAAAAAAAAAAAAAAAAAGTCCCTTTAGCTTTCCAAGTCTTTTTCCTGATCTAGGAGAGAATTCACTTAAGAGTCGGGCACCTTTTCAGGTCTGATAAGAACTCTGAAACTTGCTACAGGGAGGCTTAATCTGCACCATAAAACCTTGGTCCTTGGTCTAGGACTGGATGGGGTGGCTCATGCCTGTAATCCCAGCACTTTGGGAGGCTGAGGTGGGATCATTTGAGGTCAGGAGTTCAAGACCAGCCTAGCCAAAATGGTGAAACCCCATCTCTAATAAAAATACAAAACTTAGCTGGGTGTGTTGGTGCGTGCCTGTAATCCCATGTACTTAGGTGGCTGAGACGTGAGAATCTCTTGAACCCAGGAGGCAGAGGTTGTAGTGAGCTAAGATCATGCCACTGCATTTCAGCCTAGGCAACCAAAGCAAGATTCTGTTTCAAAAAAAAATTCTCATTTTAACCATACCCTTTGATAGAGGCAGGAAGCAGAGAAATTCTAGGCGGACAGGTGGGTCCCTGGCAAAACCCTACCTTTGAGCCCAAAAGCCTGAAACCTGCATCCAAAGTGAGAACGTCTATCCCCGTTTGCTGGCTCTCTTCCGATCGGTTCTTTCTGAATAATGTCTTTTTACTGATTGAATGTTGCCTTTTCTGAAACTACCTATGGCCCACCCCATGCCCCTATCCTGTGCCTATAAAGACCCCAGACTCAGTCAGTAGAGGGAGAGAAGTGGCTTGACTGGAGGGAGGTGACTTGCCTTCAGAGAGACAGATGGGCTTCAGAGGAGAGATGGCTTAATTTCAGAGAGAAGGCTTGACTACAAGGAAGAGCCGGCTGGAGACAGCCGGATTTCATGGGAAGATTACTTGCCTGTCCTGTCCCCTCTCCGGCTCCCCTCTTTGCTGAGAGGCATTTCCCATTGCCTAACACAATTCTCCACCTTCACCATCCTTCAAGTGTCTGGGCTATCTCATTCATCTTAGATGCCACACAAGAGCTTGGGATCCACTGAATGTGGGTACCCAAAAAAGGCTGTCACAGTGGCCCTTTGCGCTCACTGGCAGAGGGCAGCCACCCCACACGATGAGGCAAGGGGCTCACTGAGCTGATAACACACCACTGTCCACAGACGGCAGAGCTAAAAGAACACTGTAACATGCCCTCTGGAGCTTCAGGGGTTGCAGGCACCCCAACCTGGGCACTGCTGCCAGGCCTGCACGCAGCCTGCTCCTGGAAGCACCCAAAGCAGCCATCCAGATCCCGCACTTGCTCACTCATGTGCTCCCTGCTGCAAGGGGTTGAGCGTGGCAGGCTGAGTAAATGGGGTACCCCCGTCACAAGTCTGACAAAGGGGTTGAGAAAAATCCTGCATCACCTTGGCAACTGGATAAGTCAGTTCACTTAGTTTACAATCTCCACATACTCATTTGTGATGCAATAAGGGCTGATTGTAACATAACCCAGTTTTAAAATCTCAAGTTTAATGAGTAAAACAAAATGCACAACTGGTAAAGCCAGTTGTATATTTTTTTTAAACATAGGAATACTTATGAGAAGTTTGAGCTAGGGGTGGT
This sequence comes from Homo sapiens, assembly GCF_000001405.40. Taxonomy (NCBI): domain Eukaryota; kingdom Metazoa; phylum Chordata; class Mammalia; order Primates; family Hominidae; genus Homo; species Homo sapiens. The sequence continues at coordinate 45,105,972 of NC_000013.11, read as the reverse complement.
GGCTCATGCCTGTAATTCCAGCGCTTTGGGAGGCCGAGGTAGGTGGATCATTTGAGGTCAGGAGTTCAAGACTAGCATGGCCAGTGTGGTGAAACTCCATCTCTATATTTTTATATTTCATAAAATATAAAAGTTAGCTGGGCATGGTGGCACATGTCTGTAGTCCCAGCTGCTTGGGAGGCTGAGGCAGAAGAATCACTTGAACCTGGGAGATGGAGGTTGCAGTGAGCTGAGATAGCGCCACTGCACTCCAGCCTGAGCGACAAAGTGAGACTCCATCTCAAAAAAATAATAATAATAATAAGAAGAAGAAGTTTGAAATGTGTGATTAGAACCTTGCTATTCAAAGTGTGGTGCCTGTGGCCGAGCATGGTGGCTCACATCTGTAATCTGAGAACTTTGGGAGGCTGATGTGGGAGGATCACTTGAGGCCAGGGGTTCAACACTAGCCTTGGCAACATGGCTAGAGCCTGTCTCTACAAAAAAATAAAAAATTAGCCGGGCATAGTAGCACATGCCTGTGGTCCCAGCTTCTTGAGCAGCTGAGGTGGGAGGATCCTTGAGCCCAGGAAGTCAAGGCTGTAGTGAGCCATGAAGGCACCACTGCACCCCAGCCTGGACAATAGAGCAAGACCCTGTCTCAAAACAAAAAAAAACCAAAAAGTGTAGTCCCAGGACTAACAATATTAAGTTATCTCAGCGCTTTATTAGAAATGTAGAATTTAGAGGCCCATCTCTGACCTACTGAAGCAGAAGCTGCATTTTTTTTTTTTTTTTTTGAGATGGAGTCTCGATCTGTAGCCCAGGCTGGAGTGCGGTGGCACAATCTCGGCTCACCGCAAGCTCCGCCTCCCAGGTTCACGCCATTCTCCTGGCTCAGCCTCCCGAGTAGCTGGGACTACAGGTGCCCGCCACCACACCTGGCTAATTTTTTGTATTTTTAGTAGAGACGGGGTTTCACTGTGTTAGCCAGGATGGTTTTGATCTCCTGACCTCGTGATCCACCCGCCGTGGCCTCCCAAAGTGCTGGGATTACAGGCGTGAGCCGCTGCGCCCGGCCAGAATCTGCATTTTAAAAATATCCCCAGGTGATTGCTGTGCATGTGAAAGTCTGAGAAGCCTAGTTTAGAATTCTGGCTCCCCCAATTTCCTGTGAAACTATAGGTGCATCATTCATCGTTGTGACTGCAGATTTCCCATCTGTAAAATGGGAAAGAGTGATGCTTCACTCATGTACACATTCGATAATTACTGATTGAATATTCATTGCTCTGGGGATAGAACAGCGAACAAGACAAATAGTTTTTCAGTCCTCTTCTAGCTCTAAAGTTTCACAGCTCTTTAATCTGATTCCTTGATATAATTATTTTTCCCTAGGCTTTCACTCCCTGCCCCACCTCCCGATCTCATGAGAGTACTTACAGCATCACGCAATTTTGCATAAGAAGACAGGTGCCAGAGAAAATGGGAGAAAACAACTCCCTCAAGATGGGAAACCCACTTAAAATTGGAGTAAGAGAATGAACACATACATTAAACGCCCACTGCTGCTGCCAGCTTGCTACAAATTCCCTCCATAAGGAGTCTAAGATTCCCTGACTTGACTTTCAAAATTGCTCCACAAATCATGGGAGATTTCACAGTATTTTACAAACAGCATGATTCTGACAGCATGTCAGGCATCTACTGTTGTGTCTTTCTAGTATCTCTAAAAACAAACCCATAGGGCATGCTAGAAAAAGTGGCAGAGGAGGTTCAGCTGTAATTATAAAGCCCAAACTTGCTGATATTTGCCACCAGCCAAGGGGCTTGAAACCTTTTTAAATTCCATTAATAGGCTATTAGGCAGAACAAAACAAAATGGGGAGGAGAATAAAAAGAAAATGGCCATCCTGGCCAACATGGTGAAACCCCGTCTCTACTAAAAATACAAAAATTAGCTGGGTGTGGTGGCGCACGCCTGTAGTCCCAGCTACTCAGGAGGCTGAGGCAGAAGAATCACATGAATCCAGGAGGCAGAGGTTGCAGGGAGCTGAGATTGCACCACTGCACTCCAGCCTGAGTGACAGAGCTAGACTCCGTCTCAAAAAAAAAAAAAAAAAAAAAGGAAAGCAAAAAGAAAGAACTGCAATACCATCAGGACTAAACTCCATTACTATTCAGTGGCACCAGGTACCTTGGGCCTTTGGTCTAGTGCCTTCATTTAGCAGCAACAGCTCTTTACAGCTCATTTAGAGCTGTAAAGGAAAAGCCACAGCTGTCATTTTAAAATGGCACTCTTTTCCCTTCAGAGGTTAGATTTTCAAAGTGACTCTTTTCAAAAGCTTAAGGAAAAATTGATTTGTAAGACAAGACACTAGATTTTACAAAATTGCTCCTTTACTGGCCCTTGAAAATAGTGTGACTCTTCTTTATGCATAGGAGAAACAGGGCGCTATTCTGCCAGTAGCATCTCTAGTCTTCTATATTTGCAGAAACGGGTTGAAACAACATGGTTCAGATTATTTGTTGGTAAAGAAATTTTGTTAATTAATTATACCACTGTTTATCTGTACTTTTAAGTCTTAATGAGTGCCCAACACATATTAATATCAAAAACATATCAATAAATATTTGTTAAATTAATAAATAAAATAGTGTTCTGAAAGGCGACAGAAAATATAATTTAGACCCGCAACTGTCAAGGACTCAGCAGTTAGTTATATGACCGGTCACCACCTACCACCTGCTTCTTCAGCAAGCCTGTTTTAATGAAAAAGAAAAAAAGAAAAGCCATTGATTTATATCCTTTAGTTCCAGTTTGACCCCAGGACTGCTCAGTATTATGGTTTTTCAGGAGGCAAGCTCATTAAAAAGCAATGCAGGGTGAGGCAAACACATCACAGTCAAATGGCTATGTGACTGCAAAATCCTCCTGAACCAAACATTCACCTAATGAGCTCGGTTTGTGAGTTTTGAATTATAATGAATAACAGGCAGCGTCTGAAGCCCTAAAAAGCGTGTGTGTGTGTGTGTGTGTGTGTGTGTGTGTGTGTGTATGTAAGCAATGGCTTCTGAAGCACACTTTACAAAAGTATGTGCTTTAAAGAAGCCAGCTGAAGGTTTTATGTTCACTGCATGCTCATTAGTAACTGGTCTCATTTCTGCTGTGTTTACTTCTTCTTCTTCTTTTTTTTTTTAAAGAAATCATAAGGATACAATTAAAATCCCAGTGACTGGTGGTTTCTGCTAGAGAGATAAACAGTACCTGACCCCATGTGATCTGTTGCATGAATAGATCAGGATTTCATCTTCAGGCAACTTGATTTTGGATGGTTGCTAAGGAGACTATTGGTATCTCTGTGTCCTAGGTGCCCCATTGCTTGGAGAGAATTACAGCAGATTTTGCCTGTTATTTACCCAGAGAGAAAATCTGAAAACTCATTAAGACAGTGAACACTTTAAGATTTTGCTGGTCTTTTTAATGTTTTGAGTGTTTCTGGCTTTGGAGTGTAACTGGTGAACATGTTGGCATCTAAATGCGTATGCTTTCAGAAATGACAATGCAGCTTTGTTATAGAAAAGAGGCGTAAGTAGTCAGCGTCTGGGTATCAAATTCTGTGACCCAGCTCGTGGCACAGGCCTGTATTTGTTTCTTTGTTTTCTTTTGTCAGAGTCAGGAGATCAGGATTAAATCCCAGCTTTTTTTTGTTTTTCTTTTCTTTTCTTTCTTTTTTTTTTTTGAGACAGAGTCTCACTCTGTTGCCCAGGCTGGAATGCAGTGGGGCATTCTCAGCTCACCGCAACCTCCGCCTCCTGGGTTCAAGCAATTCTCTTGCCTCAGCCTCCTGAGTAGCTGGGATTATAGGCATGCACCACCACACGCAGCTGATTTTTGTATTTTTGGTAGAGATGGGATTTCACCATGTTGGCTGGACTGGTCTTGAACTCCTGGCCTCAAGTGATCCACCCACCTCAGCCTACCAAAGAGCTGAGATTACAGGCGCGAGCCACCGCACAGGGCCCCAGCTTTTTTTCTAATAAGCTATATGGCCCTGGGCAAATATCCTCTTGACACTCAGTTTTCTTATCCTAAAAGCAGAAAAATAGTTAATGCCTGACAGTGTTGTTTGTGAGGATTAAAGATGATAGTGAGAACATGTCAAAAGCTACTCATAAATTACAAACAGCTGTCAGTTACTGTCCTAAGTGTGGTTCCCCTAGGGCACAGACTTTCAGGAAGTTACCCTCCAACATGTATATTAAGGAGTCCTAGGATCAGTGATCCTGGAAGGAAAAAGAAGGAAGCAGGATAAGTAGAGGGAGAAATCGAAAGGTGAATAAATGCAGGCCCAACAACAGACTCAGCTAGCCCTACTGGTGAGCTCTGATGTTAGAATGGCCCTTCAGGATTGTCTTGAATAGAACAAACCTTTTTTTCTCCCTGCAACCCTACCCCCATTCGTATGTTGAAGCCCTAATCCCCAGTGTAATGGTATTTGAAGATGGGGTCTTTGGGAGGTAATTAGCTTTAGATGAGGTCGTGACGGTGGAACCTCCATGATGGGATTAGTGTCCTTATAGAAGAGCAAGAGACGAGAGCGCTCTGTCTCCACCATGTGAAGTCACAGTGAGGAGGCAGCTGTCCGCACACCAGGAAGAGAGCCTTCACCAGGACCCCAACCATCCTGGCACCCTAATCTTGGACTTGCAATTTGTTAAAAACCTGTTGCCAAGCCAGTGCACACCTGTGCAGATTATCTCCAACACCTGCCCTGCCAGCTTAACTTTGTCTCTTCCCTTGCTTTATGGAGGTAGAAACTATTTTCCAGAAAAATCAAAAGGGGAGAGGCTCTGAATCAGAGGCTACAGGGCTCTTCAGAGGGCAGGAGTAAAGATCCAGACTGAAAGGGAGGAGTCTGCATGTGGAGCAGTGGCACGCTAGAGAGATTGCCCAGCTCCTCGCATGCCAGCAGCCACGTATAACATCCAGGCAGGAGCCCCAAGGTCCCCTTCCCGAAAAAAGGGGACATCCCCAGGGAACAGACTTCCTAATACTGGTTATCACTGTCATTTTTATAAGTCTTAAGAGTTGATGAAAAAGAAAAGTTGTCATTTTAGTGAAACAACTTGACTAAGATTTTAGCAAACCAAATCAGGCCCCAGTTGCAAAATAGGCTGTTTAGGATATGCTGAAGAGAAGGCGTTCAGGACAAATACTCTGAAGAAAAAAGACTAGAGTTGAAGAAATTACACCCTTTCTGTTTGGTCTGGGCCAATCATTGTAAATTTCCTGATGTAACAGCCTATAATAAGGGACCTAACTGATTGGGTGATAGATTAGAGAATCACCCTGCAAGGGCCCCTCAGGCACTCTGTCCTCAGTCCTGAGATGTCAATGGTCAACCTGAATCCACAACCTTGGCCTGTCTAATAATAAACACTCCTTCTCTGGGTTAAATAATTAAAACTGTATCCTTAGGAAGAAATAAAAACTAAAATTACACTGTAGATATGGAGAAGGATAAATAAATGTAGATGAAGGCCAGGCACAGTGGCTCACACCTGTAATCCCAGCACTTTGGGAGGCCAAGGTGGGCAGATCACTTGAGCCCAGGCATTCAAGACCAGCCTAGGCAACATGGAAAAACCCCATCTCTACAAAAAATATAGAAAATTAGCTGGGCATGGTGGCACGAGCCTGTAGTCCAGCTACTCTGGAGGCTGAGATGGGAGAATCACCTGAGCCTGGGAAGTTGAGGCTGCAGTGAGCTGTGATCAAGCCATTGCACTCCAGCCGAGGTGACAAAAATAAAATAATTAAATAAAATAAAAACATAGATAAATAAACATAGATATAATTTTAAAAATAATTAAATCAGGCTGTGCATAGTGTCTCACCCCTGTAATCCCAGCACTTTGGGAGGCCAAGGGGGGGTGGATCACCTGAGGTCAGGAGTTCGAGACCAGCCTGACCAATATGGTGAAACCCTGTCTCTACTAAAAATACAAAAATTAGCTGGGTGTGGTGGTGTGCACCTGTAATCCCAGCTACTCGGGAGGCTGAGACAGGAGAATTGCTTGAACCTGGGAGGTGGAGGTTACAGTGAGCTGAGATGGTGCCACTGTACTCCAGCCTGGGCAACAGAGCAATCTTGGCTCATTACAACCTCTGCCTCCTGGTTTCAAGCGATTCTCCTGCCTCAGCCTCCCAACTAGCTAGGATTACAGGCGCCTGCCATCATGCCTGGTTAGTTTTGTATTTTTGGTATAGACGGGGTTTCACCATGTTGGCCAGGCTGGTCTCAAACTCCTGACCTCAGGTGATCCATCCGCCTTGGCCTCCCAGAGTTCTGGGATTACAGGCATGAGTCACCATGCCTGGCCTCTGATCAGTTTTATAATCATTGAAATATATAAATATTTTGCTTACTTTCAAAGTAATTACTACATTTAAAGAACATTTAAAGAAATCTAAGATATTAGACTTGCAAAAAAATTTAATTGACCATTTGCAATTAATGTATGCTTGGAGACAACTCATTTGTAAAATTATGACTTTGATTAATTAGTGTCGTTTGTAAATAAAGGAACACCAATTGTTTACATATTAATAAATTCAGGATTAGACAAAGTATAAGTAGCAGTGAATATTCCTTTCTAAGAAGAAGATCCCCAGACAGTCCAACAAAATGAAGCTTTGAATAAACTTGTACACACAGAGTAACCAATCAACAATTTTTTTTTTGAAACGGAATCTTGCTATGTCACCCAGGCTGGAGTGCAGTGGCACAATTTCAGCCCACTGCAACCTCCACCTACCAGGTTCAAGTGATTCTCCTGCCTCAACCTCCCGAGTAGCTAGGACTACAGGTGCATGCCCCTGCGCCTGGCTAATTTTTGCATTTTTAGTAGAGACGGGGTCTCACTATATTGGCCAGGCTGGTCTCGAACTCCTGGCCTCAGGTGATCTGCCCACCTCAGCCTCCCAAAGTGCTAGGATTACAGGCATGAGCCACCGTGCCTGGCCTCAATCAACTTTTTTTTTTTTTTTTACAGCTTTACTGAGGTATAAGTAATGAACAATAAGTTGCACACATTTAAATTGTATAACTTAATTAGTTTTTGCATATTTAAATACTTGTAAAACCAACTATCAAGATAATGAACATTTTGGCTTAGGCTCAAATGATTCCCCTTGCTCCTTTGTGATCCAATACTTCCTCCTTAACACCCCACCCCACGGCCCAGACAAAATTGGCCTGCTTCTGTCCCTACACGTTAATTGTATTTTCTAGAATTTTACATGAACGGAATCACACAGTATGTACTCTTTTTGTCTTGCTTCTTTTAACTACTATAATTATTTTGAGATTCATCCATGTTGTTGCATATACAACAATTCATTCTTTTTTTTTTTTTTTTTTTTGAGTCAGGATCTCCCTCTGTTGCCAAGGCTGGAGTGCAGTGGTGTAATCACGGCTCACTGCAGCCTTGACCTCCCCGGGCTCAGGTGATCCTCCTTCCTCCTCAGCCTCCCAAGTAACTAATTGTTTTTTTCTTTTTTGTAGAAATGGGTTTTGTCATGTTGCCCATGGTCTGGAACTCCTGGGCTGGAATTCCTGGGCTCAAGCCGTCTGCCTGCCTTGCCCTCCCAAAGCCTGGGATTACAGATATGAGCTGCCGCAGTCGGCCCATTCTTTTCTATTGCTGGGTAGTGTTCCATTATATGGATATACCACAATTTGTTTCACCATTCACCAATTGATGGACACTTGGGATATTAGATATAAAGTGCTAATAACATTTATGTACAAGTCTTGGTGAACATATGCATTCATTTCTATTGAATAAATACTTTAGGATTGGAATGGCTGTGTCATAGGTTATGTATATGTATAACTTTTAAGAAACTGTCAAGCTGTTTTCCAAAGTGGTCGTTTCATTTTACATTCCTACCAACATAGTAAAAGAGTTTTAATTGCTCTATAGCCTTGCAACACTTGTTATAATCAGTCTGTTTCCTGCAAATTATTCTAGTGGGTGTTTAATTCTATTTCATTGTGGTTTTAATTTGCATTTTCCTAATGACTAATGATGTTGAACATTTTTTTTGTGTGTACTTATTTGCCATCCATATATCTCTTGTGAAGTGCTTGTTCAAATATTTTGCCAATTTCTTATTGGATTGTTTGTCTTGCATTATTGAGTTGTAAGAGTTCCTGGTATATTTTAGATACAAATCCTTCATCAGGTATGTGTTTTGTGACTATTACCTCTTCAGTCTGTAGTTTTCATTTTCATTTTCTTTTCTTTTCTTTCTTTTTTTTTTTTTTTTTGAGATGGAGTCTTGCTCTATTGCCCAGGCTGGAGTGCAATGATGCGATCTTGGCTCACTGCAACCTCTGCCTCCCAGGTGCAAGCGATTCTCCTGCCTCAGCCTCCTAAGTAGCTGGGATTACAGGTGCCCACCACCACGCCCAGCTAAGTTTTTTGTATTTTTAGTAGAGACGGAGTTTCACCATGTTGGCCAGGCTGGTCTCGAACTCCTGACCTTGTAATCTGCCCACCTCGGCCTCCCAAAGTGCTGGGATTACAGGCTTAAGCCACTGCACCCGGCCTTGCATTTTCATTTTCTTAACAGTGTCTTTTGAAGAGCAAGTTTTAAATTTTCATAAAGTCCAATTTATCAAAACTTTATTTTATAATTCATGCTTTGTCTCTTCTTCAAGAAATATTTTCCTACACAGTATCATTAAACTTTTCTGGCAGAGTGTGGTGGCTCACACCTGTAATCTCAGCACTTTGTGAGGCAAAGGAAGCAGGATTGCTTGAGCCTAAGAGTTCTGAGACCAGCCTGGAAGCACAGGGAGACCCTTATCTAACTAAAATGTAATTTAAAAATTAGCCAGTTGTGGCTAATTACTTGGTTACTTGGTAGGCTAAGGTGGGAGGATTGCTTGAGCCTGGGAGGTCAAGGCTGCAGTGAGCTGTGATCATGCCACTGCATTTCAGCCTGGGTGACAGAGTGAGACCCTGTCTCAAGGGAAAAAAAAAATTTAAAAATATTTTTCTTACGTGTTCCTTTTGAGCTTTATAGTTTTAACCCCTACATTAGGTACATGATTAAATTTTCTCAATTTTTTTTTTCTTTGAGACAGTCTTGCTCTGTCACCCAGGCTGGAGTGCAATGGTGCGATCTGGGCTGACCACAACCTCCCCCTTCCAGGTTCAAGTGATTATCCTGCCTCAGCCTCCTGAGTAGCTGGGATCACAGGTGTGTGCCACCATGTCTGGCTAATTTTTGCATGTGTGTGTGTTTTTAGTAGAGATGGGGTTTTACTATGTTGGCCAGGCTGGTCTCGAACTCCTGACCTCAGGTGATCCACCCACCTTGGCCTCCCAGAGTGCTGGGATTACAGGTGTGAGCCGCCATGCCCAGCCAAATTTTGTCAATTTTTATTTATGGTGTTAGGTAAGGGTAAAGGTTCATTGTTTTTTTGTGTTTGTTGAGTTGGTTGGTTTTTTGCATATGGCAAGTCTTTTGTTTCAGCATTATTAATTGAAAAGATTGTCTATTCTGCTATTGAATTGTCTTGATACTTTTATCAAAAATGAATTGACCAGGCTGGGTATGGTGGCTCACACCTGTAATCCCAGCACTTTGGGAGACTAAGGTGGGAGCAACATAGTGAGACCATGATTCTACAAAAAATCAAAGAACTAGGCATGGTGGCACACACCTGTGGTCCCAGCTACCGTCTAGGGAGGCTGAGGTGGGAGGATCACTTGAGCTTGGGAGATCCAAGCTACAGTGAGATGTGATCATGTCACTGTACTCCAGCCTGGCTGGGCAACAGAGCAAAACCATGTCTCAAAAGAGAAAAAAAAAAAAAGGCTGGGTGAGGTGGCTCACGCAGGTAATCCAGCACTTTGAAAGGCTGACACCGGAGAATCGCTTGAGCTCAGGAGCTCGAGACTAGCTTGGGCAACAACCCCGTCTCTACAAAAAATACAAAAGTTAGTGTGCCTGTAGTCCCAGCTACTCAAGAGGTTGAGGTGGGAGGATCATTTGAGACCGGGGCTGTAGTGAGCTGTGATCATGCCACCGCACTCCAGCCTGGGTGCTAGAGCAAGACCCTGTCTCCAAAAAAAATAAAAATAAAAAGACACAGGATCTCTATGCTGTCCTTGCTGGTTTTGAACTCCTGGGGTTGAGTGATCCTCCCACCTCAGCCTCCGAAGTAGCTCAGACTACAGATGTGCACCACTGCGCCTGGTAAGGCTTGTCACTTGGGAGGCACTCATTCTCAAGTGCATGCTCAGCACCTCAGGATTTACCAGAATCTACCTCCCCAGTGGCTGGGTGTGTGACCATCTATCACTCCTCTGTCTTGTCACTGTCTTTTTTTTTTCTTTTTTTTTGAGACAAAGTCTTGCTCTGTTGCTCAGGCTGGAGGCAATGGCACGATCTTGGCTCACTGTGGCCTCTGCCTCCCAGGTTCAAGTGATGCTCGTGCCTCAGCCTCCTGAGTAGCTGGGATTATAGGCGCGCACCACCACACCCAGCTAATTTTTGTGTTTTTAGTAGATATGGGGTTTCACTGTGTTGTCCAGGCTGGTCTCGAACTCCTGACCTCAAGTGATCCACCTGCCTCAGCCTCCCAAGTGCTGGGATGAGCCACGACACCAAGCCTTTTTTTTTCTTGAGACACGGTCTGGCTCTGTCACCCAGGCCGGAGTGCCGTGATGCGATCATAGCTCACTACAGTCTGGAACTCACTACACGCGATTTTCCTGCCTTAGCCTCCCGAGTAGCTGGGATTACAGGCGTAGGCCACTGCCTCACCCTTCTCACGGTCTTTATTCCTGCTTTCTTATGTTCTTCTCCTATGATGAGCTGAGGCATAATGGGAGACAAATGTGTTTCTTTTAAAATTTACATAATTTGTTTTTAATTAAGTTTAGGGCATGGGTTTATCTTTTAAAGTTCTAAGAGATTTCTTTATGTTTTGTGAGGCCAAATTTTAATTTTAAAGTACAAAATCAACTCTGTCACCTCAGAATTTTTTACAGGCAAGAAAACCTCCAAAGGTTTTCATTTCATTTCACTGTCATAAATGACAATCATTTATGATCCATGCATAATAAAGAACAGAAAAAGTATAAAGAAAAGAAGAAAGTGGTGGAAAAAATGAAGTATTAAAAACACATTTTATCATTACAAGTCCAATAAATTATACTGCTCATTGAAAAAAATTTCCATTTCCAAAGTTTAAGGACAGTGTTTTCTCAAGCAATTGTGTGAGGCTGCATGTGCATACTAAAATATTAGAAACAGAAGAGCAAAAATCCCCACAACTGTCTCAAATCTGCTTCTGAAAATGTGCAGAAGCATTTTCAAGTGGTTCACAGAGCCTCTATTTGCGAGATCGCTTCAATGAAATTGCTTTATCACAATCTACTTATCTCCAAGGCCAGGAGTTGAAAATAAGTCCTTACTTTAGTCAATTCTGATTAGAGTAGAAGTAAACTTCATACTGCAGTGGTAACATCCCCATCAGCCAAAGACTCTATTGGCTGTGCTAGAAAAAAAGTCTCGCTACTCTTCCAACCTCGTAGGAAATTGACCATTTAGTAACATTCATGTGCAGTGTGGTGAGGACAGACGCAATCCAGGGGCTAACAATGTTGTTCTTTACTATATCAACTTTTAACATAGACCACCAAAATCTATCATAATAAATTTTTAACAGTTATTGAGACATTTTGATAAAATGCCAGCTTTATTCCTATATTTCAGAAATTCATTCTATGTTAGTAATACTTAGCCTTGATCTTGCCTTTGTCAAATAATTGATTTTAGCCAAGCACAGTGGCTCAAACCTGAAATCCCAACACTTTGGGAGGCCTAGGCGGGTGGATCACTTGAGATCAGGAGTTCAAAACCAACCTGACCAACATGATGAAACCCCGACTCTACTAAAAATATACAAAAATAGCTGGGTGTGGTGCTGGGCACCTGTAGTCCCAGCTACTTGGGAGGCTGAGGCAGGAGAATCACTTGAACCTGGGAGGTAGAGGTTGTAGTGAGCTGAGATTGCACCACTGCACTCCAGCCTGGGCGACAGAGCGAGACTCTGTCTCAAAAAACAAAAACAAAAAAAAGGAAAAGAAAAAAGAATTGATTTTAACATTAACACTTGGCCACGAAGCATTCAGCCAATATCTGTACCTATTAACTCTATTAGTAATGTATTTTTTAATGTATTAACATGAGTTTTCCTCTTTCCACCCCCACTCCCTTTTCCCTTACCATTTTGTATGTGTTGGTTTGGTTAATTTTCAATTTAGTCCACAGGTTGCAGTATATCAAGACAAAATTTGACTAATCTAGAAGAATTAAAAGTCTCCCAGAGGACTCCCAGGAACTCCTGTGACTTTGGGCTTCCCATTTTAAAGAGAAGGAGAGGGCTTTTTGTTTATACAGAAGATAGTTGCTTTATGCAAAGCAGGTGTTTTTCTGTACAGAAATTTAAGTATATGGCCGGGTGTGGTGGCTCACTCCTATAATCTCAGCACTTTGGGATGCTGGCAAAATTTTTTTTTTTCTTTTGAGATGGAGTCTCACTCTGTTGCCTAGGCTGGAGTGCAGTGGTGCAACCTTGGTTCACTGCAACCTCCACCTCCCAGGTTCAGTGATTCTCCTGCCTCAGCCTCCTGAGTGGCTGGGATTACAGGCATGTGCCACCATGCCCAGCTGCTTTTTTGTGTTTTTAGTAGAGATGGGGTTTTAGCATGTTGGCCAGGCTGGTCTCGAACTCCTGACCTCAAGTGATCCACCCACCTCGGCCTCCCAAAGTGCTGGGATTACAGGCATGAGCCACCATGCCTAGACAAAAAAAAGAAATTTAAATATAGGAAGAAACCTCAGAGATTGAGTAGCTACATTTGTGAGCTCTTGCAGATACTGACTGTCTCCATGTCCATTGCAACCACCTGCTGGCATGGCTTTCTGCATGGCAAAGCCTGGAAAACTAAAAATGACATTCCCAGAATCCTCTGCAGCTAGGGGATAGAAGTATTTTAGGCTTCCATGATTAGATAAACTCACATGAAGTTTTAATTTGGAATGAAAATTCTGGAGAGAGAGGCAGGCTATGAATCATCTCTTGGCTGGCATGGATGATGGCAAAGACGGCATAGTCAAACAGCAGCTGTGGTTGTGGTTTCCATAGTCCTTAATTTCCTACTTGTGGCAGGGGTAGCAGCTCTCTTGGCGGGTTAGTTTTTTAATTGGTGTGGTTTTGTTCTGTGAGTCCAGGTTTTTGCCCCTCGCAAAAGTTCTGTGAGCTCTTCAGTTCCCTCAGTCAATGCCTTTATACTTAAATTAATGAGAGAGGATTCTGTTTTCAACTATTTGCGACTTGACCAATTCAATTTGTCTTGTAACATGCCAAGCCCTTAAGCTACATTAATTTAGTAATCACAAGACCAAGAGATAATTACTATTGTTTCTTTCTTTTTTTTTTTTTTTTTTTTTGAGATGGAGTTTGTCTCTTGTTGCCCAGGCTGGAGTGCAATGGCGTGATCTCTGGCTCACCGCAACCTCCGCCTCCTGGGTTCAAGCGATTCTCCTGCCTCAGCCTCCCAAGTAGCTGGGATTACAGGCATGTGCCACCACACCCAGCTAATTTTGTATTTTTAGTAGAGATGGGGTTTCTCCATGTTGGTCAGGGTGGTCTCGAACTCCCAACCTCAGGTGATCTGCCCACCTCAGCCTCCCAAAATGCTGGGGTTACAGGCATGAGCCACTGCGCCTGGCTGTTTATTTCTTCTTCTTCTTCTTCTTTTTTTTTTTTTTTTTAAAAAAAGCAAAGTCTCACTCTGTTGCTCAGGTTGGAGTGCAGTGGTGCCATCAAGGCTCACTGCAACCTCTGCCTCCTGGGCTCAAGCAATCCTCCCACTGCAGCCTCCACATTTCCTGGTACTACAGGCACACGCCACCATGCTCGGCTAATTTTTGATTTTTTTGGGGAGAGATGGGGTCTTACTATATTTCCCAGGCTGGTCTCAAACTCCTGGGCTCAGATGATCCTCCTGTCTGTTTCCCAAAGTGTTGGGATTACAGGCATGAGCCACCATGCCCAGCCTTTATTTCTATTTTGCAGATGAGGAAACAACTTTTTGATTCTCTTCAAAAGATAGAGAAGGGATGTTGGAGGGTAACTTTTTATTATAGAAACTTGCCGAAGGCCAGGCGTGGTGGCTCACACCAGTAATCCTAGCACTTTGGGAGTCTGAGGCAGGAGGATCACCTGAGCTCAGGAGTTCGAAACCAGCCTGGGCAACATAGTGAGAACTTGTCTCTACAAAAAATTTAAAAAATTAGCCAGATGTGGTGGCACACACCTGTAATCCCAGCGACTTGAGTGGCTGAGGTGGTCGGATCACCTGAGCCTGGGAGGTCGAGGCTGCAGTGAGCTATGATCATGCCACTGCACTCCAGCCTGAGTGACAGAGTGAGACCTTGTCTCAGAAAAAAAAAAAGAAAAAAGAAAATTGCAAGAATAGTAGAAAGAACTTTTCACTTATATTCCCTAGTTGTAAATATTTTACCACATTGCTTTTTCTCCTCACATTTTTTTCTCACATTTTCTCTCTCTCATAATACTCACGAGTACATATATCTCCCAGATAGATATAGTATTTTGTATATGTTTTGTATGTAAACAAAATATGCATTGCAGACATGATGCAGACGTGATGCCCTTTGCCCTTAAATATTTCAGTGTATATCTTTCCTAAGAATGAGGATATTCACTTACATGACTACAGTGTAATAATCAAAATCACTAACTTGGCATTGATACAATACTATCTTCTAACCTACAGACTTTATATTTTGCCAGTAATGTCCTTTGTAGCAAAAATGTTTAAATTTTTTTTTCAGTCCAGGATGTAATCCAGACTTGTCCATTGTATTGTCAAGCTAATTTAGTCTCCCTTAATTGAAACAGTTCCTCGTCTCAGTCTTCCATGACCTTATCATTTTGAAGTATAAAAGCCAGTTATTTTATTTTATAGAATGTCTCTTAATCTGGGTTTGTCTGATGTTTCTTGAGTAGATAGTTATATACATATCTTTTCCCCTGTGTGTAAAGTAGAAAGTAAAAATGTCCTCTCCTCCATCTCCCTTGCCATAAATCACTGTTGGTAACAATTTTACTTTTAGAACATTTTAGAGCCTGGGCTCAGTGGCTCACGCCTGTAATCCCAGCACTTTGGGAGGCTGAGGTGGGAGGATCATTTGAGCTAGGAGTTTGAGACCAGCTTGGGCAACATAGTGAGACCCTGTCTCTACAAAACATAAAAGAGCATTTTAGAATTTCAAAATGTTGCTTAAAAACACATTTTTTGGGCCGCTCTGCCTATGGAGTAGCCATTCTTTATTTCTTCACTTTCTTACTAAACTTGCTTTCACTTTAAAATAAATAAATACATAAATAAAATAATAAATGTTGTGGCCAGGCACAGTGGCTCATGCGTGCAATCCCAGCACTTTGGGATGCTGAGGCAGGTAGATCACTTGAGGTCAGGAGTTCGAGACAACTTTGGCCAACATGGTGAAACCCTGCCTCTACTAAAAATACAAACATTAGCCTGGCATGGTGGAGCGCGCCTGTAGTCCCAGTTATTGTTGAGGCTGAGGCACGAGAATCACTTGATCCCAGGAGGCAGAGGTTGCAGTGAGCTGAGATTGCGCCACTGCACTCCAGCCTGGGCGACAGAGTGAGACTTTGTCCCCAAAAATAAATAAATAATTGTTCGTTCGTACAGCTGAAAGTTTAAGAATATGGCTGAAACAATGTATCACCTTAAAATTGATCATAATCTTTTTTTTTTTTTTTGAGATGGAGTTTCGCTCTTGTTGCCCAGGCTAGAGTGCAATGGCACAGTCTCGGCTCACCGCAACCTCTGCCTCCCGGGTTCAAGCGATTCTCTTGCCTCAGCCTCCCTAGTAGCTGGGATTACAGGCACATGCCACCACGCTGGGCTAATTTTATATTTTTTTTAAAGTAGAGACAAGATTTCTCCATGTTGGTCAGGCTGGTCTTGAACTCCCGACCTCAAGTGATCTGCCCGCCTCAGCCTCCCAGAGTGCTGGGATTACAGGCGTAAGCCACTGCGCCCAGTCACAATTCTTTAATATTATCTAATACCTCAGTCCACATTCAATTTATTTCCATTGTTCCGGAAATGTCTTTTATGGTTCATTTGTCCAAACCAGGATTCAATCCACAATTGGACATTTGTAACTGATTGCTATGTCCTCTAAACCTCTTTTGCCCCAGAATCTATGTTGAACAGTAAGAAACAGTATCATGTAAGGAAGGAAGCACCAACCTCTGACATTGACTTTGGGATTCTGTCAAGAAGAAATGTTTGGGCCCAGCTTGGTGGCTCACGCCTGTAATCCCACCACCACTTCGGGAAGCCAAGGTGGGTGGATCACTTGAGGTCAGGAGTTCAAGACCAGCCTGGACAACATGGCGAAACCTCATCTCTACTAAAAATACAAAAATTAGCTGGGTGTGTTGGTGTGATCTCTAATCCCAGCTCCTTGGGAGGCTGAGGCAGGAGAATTGCATGAACCTGAGGGGCAGAGGTCCCAGTGAGCCGAGATCGTGCCACTGTACTGCAGCCTGGGCAGCAGACCAAGACTCCATCTCAAAATAAATAAATAAATAAATAAATAAATAATAATAAGAAGAAATGTTTGGCTGAGGTTCCGAGGTTCCAGAAGTCATTCTCATGCCAGGAGTGAGAGCCCTCACCACTGTAGACCAGCACAGGATTTCAGGTGACTCAGAACCTGGCTCTCTGAGCAATTCTCTGTGGCCTTGTCTAGTTACCCTAGGTCCTCAGCTTCTGCCTCATCAACTATAGCCAAGACTCAACTCTCTGAGCTCTGGTTTTCTTTTTGCAATGCCAGTAAGAAAGTACCTAGTCCCAGCAGTTTCTAAGACAAAGGCACATTGGCTCAGGCCTGTAATCCCAGCATTTTCAGAGGCTGAGGCGGGAGGTTCGCTAGAGCCTAGGAGCTTGAGACCAGTCTGGGCAACACAGCAAGACCCCATCTCTACAAAAATGTTTTAAAAAAATTAGCTGGGGCTGGGCGCAGTGGCTCACGCCTGTAATCCCAGCACTTTGGGAGGCCGAGGCAGGTGGATCACCTGAGGTCAGGAGTTCGACACCAGCCTGGCCAACATGGTGAAACCCCATATCTACTAAAAATATAAAAAATTAGCCAGGCGTGGTGGTGGGTGCCCAATCTCAGCTACTTGGGAGGAAGAATGAGAACTGCTTGAACCTGGGAGGTGGAGATTGCAGTGAGCTAAGATCACACCATTGCACTCCAGCCTAGGTGACAGAGCAAGACTGTCTCAAAAAAAAAAAAAAAAAAAAAAAAAGCTGGATGTGGGGGTACCTGTGGTCTGAGCTACTTGACAGGCTGAGGTGGGAGGATTGCATAAGCCCAGGAGGCTGAGGCTGCAGTGAGCTGTGTTCTACCACCACGCTCCAGTCTGGATGAAAGATCCTATCTCAAAAAAAAAAAAAAAAAAAAAAAAATGAAAGAAAGAAAAGAAAATGCTCATCATTTATCATATATAAAGTATTAATACAAATATACTTCCCATAAAAAAATGTCTAAAAGCAAACAAGAAGAAAACTTCAAGCCACAAGGAATTAGATAATGAATGCTCTATTCACACAAAGGAAGACAAGTCTGTAGTCTGAAGATGTTTTGATTTGCTTTTCAATTTTTTTTCTTTCAATGTTTTCTATACAAATGGCAGTAAGAAGGTGAGAATTGATTAAATTAGATACTTTAATTGGAAGCAATGGATAACATTATATTAATAGATCTGAGTGGAGTGGGAGTGAATCTCCACCTATGATACAGGAAAACATACACTAAACAACATTGCATAAACGTTAGCTATGGTCTGAATGTTTGTGGCCCCCACAGCTTCCTATACTGAAGCCTAATTCCCAGTGCAGTGGTGTTGGGAGGTTGGGTCTTTGGGTGGCAGAGCTCTCATGAATGAGATTAGTGCACTTATACAACAGGCCTGAAGGAGCTTGTTCACATTTTCTCCCATGTGAGGATGAAGGAAGCAGGCCTTGTCCTTGAGGTAGAGAGCAAGCCCTCACCAGACACCAAATATGCTGGTGCCTTGATCTTGAACTTCACAGCCTCCAGAACTTTTTTTTTTTTTTTCGGAGATTGAGTCTTGATCTATCTCCCAGGCTGGAGTGCATTGGCACAATCTCAGCTCACTGCAACCTCTGCCTCCCAGGTTCAAGCGATTCTCCTGCCTCAGCCTCCTGAGTAGCTGGGATTACAGGTGCGTGCCACCACACCCAGCTAATTTTTGTCTTTTTTTTTTTTTTTTTTAGTACAGACAGGGTTTCACCATGTTGGTCAGGCTGGTCTTGAACTCTGACGTTGTGATCCGCCTGCCTCGGCCTCCGAAAGTGCTGGGATTACAGGCGTGAGCCACCAAATCCGGCCAATTTTTGCATTTTTAGTAGAGACGCGGTTTTGCCATGTTGGCCAGGCTGGTCTTGAACTCTTGACCTCAACTGATCCACCCGCCTTGGCCTCTCAAAGTGCTGGGATTATAGGCATGAGCCACTATGCCTGGCCAGAAATATATTTCTATTGTTTATAAATTACCCAGTCTAAAGTATTCTGTTACAGTGGCCCAAACGGATGAACACAGCATTCTTTCATGTCAGTAAAATGCCCTGACTATTACTTCTAAAAAGTTCAGCTGGGCGTAGTGGCTCAGCCTGTAATCCCAGTGCTTTGGGAGGCTGAGGTGGGGATGGATTGGCTGATGTCAGGAGTTCAAGACCAGCCTGGCCAACATGGTGAAACCTCGTCTCTACAAAAAATACAAAAATTAGCTGGGTGTGGTGGTGCATGTTTGTAATCCCAGCTACTTGGGAGGCTGAGGCAGGAGAACCACTTGAACCCAGGAGGCAGTGAGTGCATGTTATTAACAAGCATGTTAATAAGCCTATCAATAAGTCATATTTAATGGTGACTAATGAACATTTGTACTGGGTTGGAAGGCATCCCTCCAAAATTCATATTTACCCAAAACCTCAGAATGTGACCTTACTTGGAAATAAGGTCTTCACCGATGTAACTAGTTAAGTTAAAGTGAGGTCATACTGGATGACGATGGGTCCTAATCCAATTAATGATGTCTTCGTAAGAAGAAGGAAATCTGGACACAGACACATTGGGAGAAGGCTGTGTGCTGATGGAGGCAGAGATAGGAGTGATGCATCTTCAAGTTGAGGAATGCCAGAGGTTGCCAGTAACCACAAGAAGTTAGGAAGAGGCAAGGAAACATCCTCCTTTAGAGCTTTCAGAGAAGCACAGCCCTGCTGACACTTTTTTGTTTTGTTTTGTTTTGTTTGAAATGGATTCTCACTCTGTTGCCCAGGCTGGAGTGCAGTGGCACTATCTCGGCTCACTGCAACCTCCGCCTCCCAGGTTCAAGCAATTCTCCTGCCTCAGCCTCTCGAGTAGCTGGGATTACAGGCGCATGCCAACACACCTGGCTAATTTTTGTATTTTTATTAGAGACGGGGTTTCACCATATTGGCCAGGCTGCTCTCGAACTCCTGACCTCGTGATCCACCCGCCTTGGCCTCCCAGAGTGCTGGGATTACAGGTGTGAGCCACCGTGCCTGGCTCCCCTGCTGACACCTTGATTGGAATTTCTGGCCTCCAGAACTGTGAGGAAATACATTTCTATTGTTTTAAGCCATACAAGTTTATGATAATTTGTTACAGCGGCCCTGGAAACTGAAAAAACATTGCAATGTCCCATGCAACTGGGCTTTGGGGAGCTGAATCATTGTAACCAGAACTCTCCAGCTGCTTTATAAACTTGAATTCAGTTTATTAATCTACAGTGGGAAATAGCTGGCAGGATAATAGGCATTCCCTCAGTGAGCACCAACCTGGTTGACAGGCCTAAATTATAAATGAGAAAGAAGGAACTAGTATTTATCAAACATCTGATATATTTCAAGTACCATATGTGTCACAAATACATATAAAATTACAACTGTGGTAAGAGATTTGAGTGGAGATATATTGTGGCACATAATCGAGGGAAATTGGAATGTCAAGGAGATAAAAGATGAGGACTGGGGGGAATGGATTTGGAAGAATAACAGAAATTAAAAGGAATGGGACACAGTGTGGGGGCAGGTGGTGGATGGCAGGTCCAAAAGCCGTACACATCCAAGGAACTGAAAGAAGGGCCAGGTGCATCAAGGAATGGGGTAGGGTTGTACAAGGTGAGGGAGGAGAGAAAGTTAAGGGTAACACATGCAAGGCCTCCTAGATGGTGTTAAGGTTTGTGTCTTTCTCCTAGGGACAATGAGGAGGTGTTAAATTTTACTCTACAAAGGAGTGACATGATTAGATTTGCAGTTTTGTTTCTTTTTATTTATCTACTGTTTTGAGGCAGAGTCTCGTTCTGTTGCCCAGGCTGGAGTGCAGTGGTACCATATCGGCTCACTGCACCCTCCACCCCCCAGGTTCAAGCAATTCTCCTGCCTCAGCCTCCCAAGTAGCTGGGACTACAAGAGTGCACCACCATGCCTGGCTAATTTTTTTTGTATTTTTAGTAGAGACGGTTTCACCATGCTGGTCAGGCTTGTCTTGAACTCCTGACCTGAAGTGATCCGCTTGCCTCGGTCTACCAAAATGCTGGGATTACAGGTGTGAGCCACCGAACCCGGCCTAGATTTGCAGTTTTGAAAGCATCACTCTGGCTGCAATGGGGACTACAAATTGGAGGGAGAGGGAGAGTCTGATGCCAGCTGAAGGCCCAGGGATTATGACTCAATACACCACACCCCAGCAGAGACTGCTATCCCCCATCACCTGCAACAGCCAGCAGGAGGCCAAGCCCCCTTTTCCCAGTGCCAGGAGGTCCTCCTAGCCACAGCCGTCACCATAGACCCAGACCTCCTCTTTGAGAGAACTAGAGCTGAATATTTGCCTGAATTAGCCAAGCAGAGAAAGAGTAACTAAAATGGTATTGAGATCATTGGATTGGTTTAAGATTGTGATATTGGACTACCTTTTTACTCTGGCTACTGCCCCAAATGATGAGAGTTCATAAGATGCAATCTGTAACAGGATATAATGGAGTAAGATTCTATTTATACACCTGAGTACAGTGTGAGGGAATTTACAACCCTGACAGGTGAATAATAAACACTCAACCATGTATTATAAACATGCTTTCAGGTCAGAATATACTTACCTAAGGCATTCTCTAAAATGGCTACAGTACTCCTTGCATGCCTGTCCTATTATTTAATTATTTTCTTATTAATTGGTAAGCAATCTCTCTGTGGTATTTTGCTATATTACACCAGTATATTGCATGTATATTCATGTACATTTCTGAATGTACATTTAGGAATAGTCTTAAAAAATGTTTTTGAGACAGGGTCTTGCTCTGTTACCCAGGCAGTGAGTGCAGTGGTGTGGTCACAGCTCACTACAGCCTCAACCTCCTGGGCTCAAGCAATCCTCCCACCTCAGCCTCCTAAGTAGCTGGGACCGCAGGTAGATGCCATCATGCCCGGCTAATTTTTTATTTTTTATGGAGACAGGGTCTTACTATGTTGCCCAGGCTGGTTTTAAATTCCTGGCTTAAAGTGATCCTCCTGCCTCGGCCTCCCAAAATGCTGGAATTACAGGTATGAGCTACCGTGCCTAGCCAGAATGGAGTCTTGATAGGAGGATTTCCAGGTCTAAGAGAAAGCATATTTAAACACTGACAGATGCTGGCAAATCAACTTCCTAAAAGATTCTTCTGATACATAACTCTATCAATAGTCAGGCTGTATATTAACAACACTTGTTTCTGTCTGGGTATGGTACACATTAGATAACATTTCACACATTATTTAATTTTTCAAAGTTTATTTTTCTGATTATAAAAGCTATATGTTTCAGGAAATGGGGAAAATTTCTTTCCCTTGGCCTATTAAGGAAAGCACCGTAGGAGTTTGAATGAAATACCTGGAGAAGCTGTTTGTGGTGAGGGATAATTCTCACCTGTGAATGTTCCAGTGACTAGAGCTCTCCAAGGAGGATGGGCTTCTTGCCTTGCTGAGCTTGCGTTTCAGGATAAGCCCTGAGACACAAATGAATCTCCCCCATTACACAGGGGAAAATTTGAAGTTGGCAGGTGGGGTAAGGTCTCTGAGAAGAGGGCTTGAAAAGCCTGTGTCCCTGAACCTGGGAAGGGGAAGGACCGAGAGGTAAATCCCGGACACAGAGCAATAGAAAGGGATTTTGTTTTGTTTTGTTTTGTTTTGTTTTGTTTTTTGAGATGGAGTCTTGCTCTGTCACCCAGGCTGGAGTGCAGTGGCATGATCTCGGCTCACTGCAATCTGCGCCTCCTGGGTTCAAGCCATTCTCCTGCCTCAGCCTCCCAAGTAGCTGGGATTACAGGCACCCGCAAACATGACCGGCTAATTTTTGTATTTCTAGTAGAGACCGGGTTTTACCATGTTGGCCAGGCTGGTCTCAAACTCCTGACCTCAAGTGATCTGCCTGCCTTGGGCTCCCAAAGTGCTGGGATTACAGTAGCGAGTCACCACGCCCAGCCTAGAAAGGGATTTTGGAAGCCAACACACCAGTTCCTAGAGTTCATTAAATTCCATTCTTTTTGTGTCAATTATACCTCAAATATGTATTTAACCTTTTATTAGAGATTTTGTGAGATGATTAATTCTGGCCTTCCTCCCAGGAAGGCAGCTGTACGGCTTTCATGAGTTGTTTCAACAGAGGGAGAAGAAGCCAGGAGAGCCAATTTCTGACGGCAAGTGTTGAAGAAGGTAAGGAGAGGTTGCTGCTGATGGATAACGCTGTGTGTCCGAAGGCTTGCTCTAGGTACTGTTTTAGGTAACAAATCTATAAGTCTGTTTTTACCCTCCTGTCAAAACTCAAGGGAGCAAGTGTAAGGGGGAGGGGGATCACTTAGATGTGAGGCTGAGTTACAACTTTTAGCCACAGCTTTGGGAAGGGACCTGGGAATCCTTGAAGACAGTCACTGCAGGGCTTAGGCATTGTGCCAAAGAGAAGGTCAAGGGCGGGTGGGTGTCACCAGAAAATGAAACAAGAACAATGGGAGAAACCCCATGGCAAGTGAGAACCACTGTGAAAGACCCTGGGCAAGTTGAGAGCAGGAAGGGCCCCCTCTACCTGAGATGATCAAGGGGGCCCTCATGGAGAACGTAACACCTGAGTGAAGACTGAAAGATGAATAGCAGATCACTGGGAGGACAGAGTGTGGGAGGGTGGATTGGTTTCTTACGGCTGCAGTAACAAACTGGGTGGGTCAGAGCAGCAGAAATTTATTCTCTGTTCTCTGTTCTGGAGGCTACAAGTCAAAATCAAAGTGTTAGCAGGGCCACAGTCCCTCTAGAAAAGACTCCACTCCTTGCCTGGTTCAGCTGCCAGTGGTTGCTGGCTTCCGTGGCTTTGGCCCCCTCTGCCTCCATCTTCACATGGCCTTCTCCTCTTTTCCTCTATGTCTGTTTTCTCCTCCTTTTTTTTTTTTTTTTTGAAACGGAGTCTCGCTCAGTTGCCAAGGCTGGAGTGCAATGGGGCAATCTCGGCTCACTGCAACCTCCGCCTCCTGGCATCAAGCAATTCTCCCACCTCAGACTCCTGAGTAGCTGGGATTACAGGCACCCGCCGTCGTGCCCAGCTACTTTTTGTACTTTTGTAGAGACAGGGTTTCAACATGTTGGCCAGGCTAGTCTTGAACTTCTGACCTCAGGTGATCTACCCGCCTTGGCCTCCCGAAGTACTGGGATTACAGGCATGAGCCACTGTGCCTGGCCTGAGCCACTGCTCCCGGCTGTCTCTCCTTTTTTTTTTTTTTTTTCTCAGATGGAGTCTTGCTCTGTCGTCCAGGCTGGAGTGCAATGGTGATATCTTGGCTTACTGCAACCTCCGCCTCCTGGGTTCAAGCGATTCTCCTGTCTCAGCCTCCAGAGAAGCTGAGATTACAGGTGCCTGCCACCATGCCTGGCTAACTTTTTGTATTTTTAGTAGAGACTGGACTTCACCATGTTGGCCAGGCTGCTCTTGAACTCCTGACCTCAGGTGATCCACCCGCCTTGGGCCTCCCAAAGGATTACAGGTGTGAGCCACTGCATCTGGCCTTGTCTTCTCCTCTTCTGTCTCTTTAATGACACTTGTCATTGGATTTAGGGTCCACCTAGGTAATTCAGGATGATCTCATGTCAAGACCCTTAAATTAATTCCATCAGGGAAGATCTACTTTCAAAATAGAGTCACATTCACAGGTTGCAGGGGTTAGGGTGTGAACACATCTTTTGGGTGATCACCATTCCATCTACTACAGAAGGTGCTCCATCCTGAGGATCTGTGCGACAGAACCCACTCTTCTTAACAAAAGGCCTTTGATGAATAGGTCTTTGATGATCACTGTCTTTCAAATCCCACCATCTCCATCTTCTCTGACTTCAAGGTGTGATTAATTCTTTTATTTCCACAAATGAAAGTGTTTTTTTTTTTTTCATGTCTCTATGCTTCCATGCAGTTCCCCTTTCAGTTTTAATTAATCAAGTCAGATGCTGGAAGGGAAATCAATAGGATGAAGGGGTTGTTGGGAGCAGGT
Source organism: Homo sapiens (assembly GCF_000001405.40). Taxonomy (NCBI): domain Eukaryota; kingdom Metazoa; phylum Chordata; class Mammalia; order Primates; family Hominidae; genus Homo; species Homo sapiens. Next base: position 45,081,223 of record NC_000013.11, on the reverse strand, counting down.
TTGCAGAATGAGAACAGACTTTCTGGTTCCAAATGTTCATATCTCAACAATAAAAGCTTCTTTTGGGCAATTTAGCTAAGCTCTGGAGGTCCTTTCACTATTTTGCCTGACTTTATGTAAGTAGCAGTTAGAGGGTTTATTTGTGTGAAATGTGAAAACTTCATCTCTGAAATTTGATTTCTGGTTTACTCATGAATAGCAGCTGCTCCCAAAAGTTGTTCACTTTTTGAGTAAATGATAAGTTTGCCTCTGAGCACATAAATATCCTAAAGTTTTATTTCATTTTGTGTCTCAAGAGAAGGAAGAGGAACAAAATGAGCTGGATATTCATGAGGTTGCACATAACTTGTTTTGGATGCTCTCAGTAGACTGAGGAGCAGCGGTTGATGAAGAGAGATGTTGAATTTCGATGGGAGAAGTCAACATGAAGTGAATGACAAAGAGTCAGCCACAGATTAATGTATTCATATCCCTCTGTTATTGCCTCATTGCAATTAAAGCCTAAAGTAGATTATGAAAATATACAAACAAATATCTTCCATCCTGGATTTCCTCCTGGCATGCTATGAAATTGTGGTGGGATATGGTTGACATTATGTAGATTTTACTGTAATGGAGGGACTATAATATGTAATGGAGTTTCCATGTGATAAAAATATAAGTCTATCAGCACAAAGGCAGACAAAAAGGGTATTGTTTATTAAAGATCTTAAGCAGATCTGGGTGTGGTGGCTCACACTTATAAAATCCCAGTGCTTTGGGAGGCAGAGATGGGAAGATCGCTTGAGCCCAGGAGTTGGAGAACATTTTGGGCAACACAGCGAGACCCTGTCTCTACAAAAAGCAAAACACTAACAGACTAGGAGAAATTAAGGGGCAGAAAAGAAGTAGAAGGCATCGTGTGCCAGACACATAGAAGATGTAGAATATCCAGTGCATAATCAAAGGGACCTGGTGAAGGAGTGACTGGGAAGCAGATCAAAGGAGGACCCTAGTGTATCACTCCTCTCTCACTCTGTCACAAAAACATAAATAAATAAATAAAAATAAATAAATAAAATAAAAATACATTTTGTATTCCTCATTATGTAAGGGGACAAAAACTGCCCTTCTGCCTATGACAGGAGGAAATCCCAGTGGAAAAAGAAATGAAGAGATGCTTTCTGGCCTTCTATGTGCAGAAGGGACAAAGCTGTGCATGGAGAATCTAAATTGTCTTATGCTCCTGCCTACCATCAATGTGTTGTTCTTGCTCTGTTTTTTCCCCTTTTATGAACCTTGACTATGCCTCAGCTACTTAGAATTGCATAATGAAATAAAATTCTGCTCCAGCAACTGTCTGCACATGAACTGTTGTGGTATTAGTTTAAACAAAGATGGACTATAAGAAGAGTTCACAAATGCATAGGTAGTATTATCACCACAGGGATATTATTGGCTAGTCAAAAGTAATGGGCTGTGAAACTTAATTGAAACAAGATGTTAGTAAATTACCTAAGTTTGGAAAAATGAGCACATACAGAGAACATGTTACCTTAATAAGCGGATTAGAATGAAATGCTGGTATTCATATAGAAGAAGTACAGCCCATTGAGAGCATCTTGCCTCAAGTATGGCTTGTTCATATCACTTACTTTCAGAGCATCTCCTACTCATGGTCCATAAACAAACTGCATGGTATTTGCAATGTGCTAACTTTTCCCGTGAGGTATGATGAAGCTTCTTCGTGGACTCTTTGTTTATAGTGTCCTCTAACTATGCGGGGGTGAAAGTGCATGTTCTCCTTCTGTTCCGCAGGTGGTGAAGAGGAGGATTCTGTGAATAAACTGCATATTTACTGGCCAAGGGCAATGACTGCTTAACAACTTCTCCGATTTATCTGGGAGATATTTGCCAATAAATACAAACTAGGTTGAAGACTAGATTAAATCCAAGAAATAATTTTAATCACCGGAGACTATAAGTTTTAGTCATTTAACGTTGGTGGTTACACTAATGCTTTGTCCTCCGCATTGCTGTTGGATTTATTTTTCTAAACTGTACATGATATCATGACACTTCCATGCTCCAGAACCTTCGGTTTTCAAACCTTTCCTATTTTTCAAACCAAAGTTCAAAATGGCTGGCATACAAACCCTTGCACAATCTGACTGTTTCAAATCTGCGTTTCTTTCCTCCATTTGGGATCCCAATATGGAATCTGTGCAGTAGTCACAACAGGGGTCCAGCCATTCCTGTTTTTGTTTTTATTTTTTTTTTGAGACACTCTGTCGCCCAGTCTGGAGTTCAGTGGTCGGTTCACTGCAATCTCCGTCTCCTGGATTCAAGTGATTCTCCTGCCTCAGCCTCCTGAGTAGCTGGGACTATAGGGGTGCACCACCATGCCCGGCTAATTTTTTTGTATGTTTAGTAGAGATAGTGTTTTACCATGTTTGGCAAGCTGGCCTCAAACTCCTAATCTCAAGTGGGAGGCCCGCCTTGGCCTCCCAAAGTGCTGGGGATTACAGGCATGAGCCACTGCGCTTGGTCCAGCCACTCCTGTTTTGATGCACATTTTTTTTCTTCCTTGTTTCTAACTGTGGTGCTTCCTCTATCTAGACTGCCCTGCCACTTCACATGGATCACTCCCCTGAGTCTTTTAAGAATCACTCCAAGTAGGTTGAGGGTGTAGACAAAATGACTGCACTTGGAAACCCAGATTTAGGGAGTGAGTCGAGATCCTTGTCCTTTGATCTGTACATGAATGTCAGTTTGATACTTGCATGGGTCATTTGCAAATAGATACCTGCGCAGCTATCAGGATTCCCTCTTTCGAGGGTTGCCACCTGGATCCATAGGTTACAGGAGTAGACCTCTGGCAGCTGAATTTGTTCCATATGATCCACAGTTTGGGGGGCAACTGCTTGACACTCTGTAGAATTCTTTTTTCTGGAAATTTTAAACTGGGACCTAGGAAGAATTATGTCATACTCTGATATCACATGGTTAGAACCACAACTTAACACATTTAACAAGTGTGAAGCAGTTGTCCTAACTGTGAACCTGCAGAAGATACAGAGGAAATAAGTTTATGGAGAGAGAAAAGTATAACAAATCCATACGGAGTAGAGATGAGAGATGGAGAAAGAGACCTAGAAGCTTCCTAGGTGTTAATTTTAGTTCCTTGGCTACATTCTTGTCTTTGGAGTCTATGAAGTAACAGTGTATCCTTATAATAAATCCTTATCTTTTAATTTCTTTCCTTCTCACTTGCAGAGAATAGCATACTATGCTCATTTGACATGCAAATCACTTCTCCCGGTTTTAACAAATTTTTCACTTTCATCTTTGACCCTTACTTTTTTTTTTTTTTTTTTTTTGAGACAGGGTTTTTGCTCTGTTGCCCAGGCTGGAGTGCGATGGTGGGATCTCAGCTCACTGCAACCTCCACCTCCTGGGTTCAAGTGAGTCTCCTGCCTCAGCCTCTCAAGTATCTGGGATTACAGGTGCTCGGCACCATGCCCGGCTAATTTTGTATTTTTAGTAGAGACGAGGTTTCACCATATTGGCCAGGCTGGTCTCAAACTCCTGACCTCAGGTGATCCACCCACCTCAGCCTCCCAAAGTGCTGGGATTACAGGCATGAGCTACTGCACCCAGCTGATCTTTGACCCTTACTTTCTTCCCTGCAACCCCACTGCTGAACAGCATTCCATTGTGTGATTGATTATAATACAAGTTATTTATTCATGTTCCTGGGGATGGACATTTGGGTTACTTCCTTTTTTTTTTCCTTAGCTATTTTAAAGACAGCTGCTAAGAACATTCTTGTATATGTCTACAATCGTACACAAGTACATTTTGCTAATTTTAGGGCATACTACTTGGAGTGGAATTGCTGAGTTGGAGGTTATGTAAATGTTCAAGTTTACAAGATAATGTCAAATTCTCTTCCAAAGTTGTAATGGTTTACATTTTTCTGCCATTATTAACAGCCAATAATAATAACTAATACTTAACATTTATCGCATGTCAGGTAGTCACCCATGTGTAGAGTTTTTGTTTGTTTTTTTGACACAGGTTCTCACTCTGTCACCCAGGCTGGAGTGCAGTGGTGTGATCACAGCTCACCACAGCCTCCACCTCCTGGGCTCAAGTGATCCTCCCACCTCAGCCTCCCAAGTAGCTGGGATTATAGGAATATGGTACCACACGTGGCTACTTTGTAGAGACAGAGTCTCATCATGCTGCCCAGGCTGATCTCAAATTCCTGTGTTCAGTGGATCTGCCTGTCTTGGCCTCCCAAACTGTGGGACTATAGGTGTGAGGCACTGTGCCCAGCTCCATGTGGAGAGTTTGATGCTGCCCTACACTTGCATTCCTACGACAAATGCTATTTGAGCATGATGTACTTTTTTTTTTTTTTTTTGAGACAGAGTCTTGCTCTTTAGCCCAAGCTGGAGTGAAGTGGTAAGATCTCGGCTCACTGCAACCTCCGGCCCTCCAGGTTCAAGCAATTCCCCTGCCTCAGCCTCCTGAGTAGCTGGGACTACAGGTACCTGCCACCACACCCAGCTGATTTTTTTTTTTTTTTTTTTTTTGAGATGGAGTCTTGCTCTGTCACCAGGCTGGAGTGCAATGGCATGATCTTGGCTCACTGCAACCTCTGCCTCCTGGGTTCAAGCAATTCTCCTGCCTCAGCCTTCTGAGTAGCTGGGACTACAGGTGCACGCGACCATGCCCAGCTGATTTTTGTATTTTTAGTAGAGTTGGGATTTCACCATGTTGGCCAGGATGGTCTTGATCTCTTGACCTTGTGATCTGCCTGCCTCGGCCTCCCAAAGTGCTGGGATTACAGGCGTGAGCCACCGCACCCAGCCTAATTTTTTTTTAACTATGAAATATTTGTAACTTTCTGTTGGATTCAGATGGTTAATATTTTATTTCGATTTGTACATCCGTGCTCACAAGTGCAAAGGACCCATAATTTCCTTTTCTTGTTCTGACACTGTCTGGGTTAGAAATCAAATTATCCCAGCCTCAAGAAAGGAGGCTATCCTTCATTTTCTATTTTCTAGAATGATTCGCACATAAATGGTTATTTTCTGTTCCTTGAAAATTGCCAACTCAATAGTTAAACCACTTTGAGCAGGCCCTTTTATGTTGGGAGTGAGGTTGGGGATGTCCTTGATAATCACGTCAATTACTTTAAATTATTAGTCTCTTCAAATGTCTTTTCTTTCTTGTATTAATTTTGGGATTTTCTGATTTTTTCTTTTTTCAGAAATTTACCTCTTTTATGTAGGTTGTCAGATAGTTGCCATTTTATTTTATCATTTTTTTTTTGAGATGGAGTCTCGCTCTGTTGCCAGGCTGGAGTGCAGTGGTATGAACTCGGCTCACTGCAACCTCTGCCTCCTGGGTTCAAGCGATTCTCTTGCCTCAGCTTCCCGAGTAGCTGGGACTACAGGCGCCGGCCACCACACTCAGCTAATTTTTGTATTTTTAGTAGAGACGGGGTTTCACCATGTTGGCCAGGATGGTCTTGATCTCTTGACCTTGTGATCCGTCCACCTCTGCCTCCCAAAGTGCTGTGATTACAGGCATGAGCCACTGCGCCCAGCCTCATTTTATTATTTTATTGTTATGTTAAACTCTGTCGTGTTTGCATAGTATTTATTTTTCCATTTCATGATTTGGTGACTTCTTGTCTGCTGTTTTCTTCATTAGTTTTGTCAGTTCTTTTTTATGAAACAGCTTTAATTTTGTTGATGTTCTCTATTGTGTAATTGTTTTGGGTGTTCTCTTTAATTTCTGCCTTTATTTTTACGGATTTTTTTTCTTCCGTTTGTGACTTGTTACTTCTTTCTGATTTCTTTTCTTTTTCCTTTTTTTTTGAGACGGAGTCTCACTCTATTGCTCAGCTGGAGTGCAATGGTGCGATCTCGGCTCGCTGTGATCTCCGCCTCTCAGGTTCAAGCAATTCTCCTGCCTCAGCCTCCTGAGTAGCTGGGATTACAGGCACGCACCACCATGCCTGGTTAATTTTTGTATTTTTAGTAGAGATGAGTTTCACCATGTTGGCCAAGCTGGTCTCCAACTCCTGACCTTGTGATCTGCCCGCCTTGGCCTCCCAAAGTGCCGGGATTACAGGCATGAGCCACCGCTCCTGGCCTTGTTTTCTGATTTCTTACCTTCATTTGTTTTCAGGATTTGGTTTTTGCTTGTTTCTTTGTTTTCTTATCTTTCTGCTTGGAATCATTGTCCTCCAGACAGCTTCACAAATGTTCTTTCCCTCCTTCCAGATGCCATTTGAATGACACCCTCTCAGCCCTGCCTTGCCTGCCCACTCTATTTAAACTTGCCCCTCCTCCTCCCTCTCCATGCCCCTTCCCTGGGTTATTTTCTCTATAGCGTTTGTGTGTGCATTTTACTTCTATTTATTGTCTATTTCCTCCCAGTAGAATGAGAGTTCTTTTAATTTCGGTAAATTTATGGAATTGTTCAATCGTGATCGTGTCTAGAACATTTTCATCACCCCAAACAGTTTGCTGTGCCCCTTTACCATTAATTTCTGTTCTACTCCAGTCCTAGGCAACCACAGATCTGCATCTGTCTCCATAAATTTGGGAGATAGGAATTTTGACTGTTTTGTTCACTTCTGTACCCCCAATATCTAGAACACATCTGGCACATAATATGTGATCAATAAATATTTGTTAAGTGATTATTTCAAATAATTTTTTTTTTAATCGGGGGAAATTCAGCCCCCGATATTTCAACGTGGGTTCTTTTCTATTTCCCTAAGTGTCAGCCGGTCTGAGAAATAAAGGGAAAGAGTACAAAAGTGAGAAATTTTAAAGCCGGGTGTGGTGGCGGGCCCCTGTAATCCCAGTTACTTGGTAGGCTGAGGCAGGAGAATCACTTGAACCTGGAAGGCGGAGGTTGTGGTGAGCCGAGATCGCGCCATTACACTCCAGCCTGGGCAACAAGAGCAAAACTCTGTCTCAGAAAAAAAAAAAAAAATTGTTTACCCATCTGTTTATCTCTGTGATTTTGTTCATGGATGCTTTATATATTTTGGAGCTGTTGTTGCTCATATGGTTTGGATCTGTGCCCCTGCCTAAATTTCATGTTGAATTGTAATCCCCATTGTTGGAGGCGGGGCTTAGTGGGAGGTGATTGGATCATGGGTGTGGTTTCTAATGGTTTAGCAGCATCCCCCTAGTGCTGTCTTGTGATAGAGTTCTCACGAGATCTGGTTGTTTAAAAGTGTGTGGCACCTCCCCGCCCCCTTTTCCTCCTGCTCCAGCCATGTAAGATGTGCCTGCTTCCCCTTCACCTTCCATCATGATTGTAAGTTTCCGGAGGCCTCCCCAGGCATGCTTCCTGTACAGCCTGCAGAGCCTCTTTTCTTTATAAGCTACCCAGTCTCAGGTATTTATAGCAGTGCAAGAACTAATACAGTTGCTATATGTAATGTATTCATGATCTTTAAATCTTCCTGATCTATTGTTCCGTTTTTCAATATTTAATGTCCTCTTTATGATACTTTAACTTTGAGTCCTATTTTTTCTAATATTGAAGTTGTGGTCTGTGTTATCTTGTTGTTCCTATGCCTTCATCTTTTTCTACCTTTTTATGTTTTACCTGTCTATATCCTTTTTGTTTTAAGTGGGTCTGTTGTTATATAGTTTACACATTACTAGATCTTGTTAATTTAAAAAAACTCTGAAAGTTTTTATCTTCAGATTGATGAATTCAACTTTTATTTCTCTCTACTTTTTTGTCATTCATTTTTGCCACTTATTATATATATGTGTGTGTGCATATATATATACACACACACACACACATATATATACACACACATATATATATATATTTTTTTTTTGAGATGGAGTCTCGCTCTTTCATACAGGCTGGATTGCAGTGGCGCGCGACCTTGGCTCACTTCAACCTCCGCCTCCCAGGTTCAAGCGATTCTTCTACCTCAGCCTCCTGAGTAGCTGGGACTACAAGCATGTGCCACCATGCCCGTCTAATTTTTGTAATTTTAGTAGAGACGGGGTTTCGCCTTGTTGGCCAGGCTGCTCTCAAACTCCTGACCTCAGGTGATCCACCTGCCTTGGCCTCCCAAAGTGCTGGGATTACAGGTGTGAGCCACCGGCCTTGCCTTATTTTATGTTTTTTATACTCTAATTTTTTGGATATATCTCTTCTTTCCAGCTTTCCACTAGGTAGATTGAATTAAGACCTTTAATTATGTTTATTTTTCCCTATCACTTTTTTAAATGGATTAAAATATTTATCTTCTCTGCATCTAAGACAAGTCTAACAGCATCCCCTCTGTCTCCAACCAACCCTGCTTCCCTTCCCCAACATGCTGGTATCATCTAACTTTAGTTCTGAATTGTAATCATCTGGAGACAGAACAGCACCCTCCCCCAGCCTGTCCCCAGCACCAGATCCTAACCACTCTCTCTTTCTCCCTTGGAGGAAGGGGAGAAGAATTCTTGCAGCCTTTGTAGTTTCCTAGGTCCATACACTTTTTCTCTGTAGCATTTATTACCATCAGCCATCGTATATATTTTACTTATTTATTATCTGTGTTTCCCTACTAGAACATAGGTGTTAAAAATTTATAGAATTGTTCAATCATAATCCAGTTTTCCCGGGGCAGGGCTGGGCTGGGAGAGGGTAGCCAGCAGCCTTTGCTAGTTTGCCGACTTCTAAAGTTCCATCTTTCTGCTTGGGCTATTGCTATGGTCTGCATGTTTATGTTTCCCCCAAATTTGTACTTCGAAACTCTAATCCCTAAAGTAATGGTATTTGGAGATGGAGCCTGTGGGAGGTGATTAGGTCATGAGGGTGGAGCCCTTGTGATGGGATCAGTGCCCTTAAAAGAAGAGACATAAGAGGCTGAAATGGTGGCTTGCTCCTGTATTCTCCTGTAATCCCAGCACTTTGAGAGGCCAAGGTGAGAGGATTGCTTGAGCCCAGGAGTTTGAGAACAGCCTGGGCAATGTAGCGGTACCTCATCTCTACTGAAAAAAAAAAAAAAAAAAAGAAAATAGCCAGGTATGGTGCCACGTGCCTGTGGTCTCAGTTCCTCGGGAAATTGAGCCCGAGAAGTTGAGGCTGCAGGGAGCCATGATCTCACCATTGCACTCCAGCCTGGGTGACAGAGTGAGACCCTGTCTCAAAAACAAAAAACAAAAAACAACAAAAAAAAATTTAGATGTTATACTCACATCCAGAATATAAAAACAAAAGAAAAAACCAAACAAACAAATAATAATAATAATAATAATAATAATAATAATAATAATAAAGAAGAGGCTGGGCGCAGTGGCTCATGCCTGTAATCCCAGCACTTTGGGAGGCCTAGGCGGGTGGATCACCTGAGGTCGGGAGTTCAAGACCAGCCTGGCCAACATGATAACCTTGTCTCTACTAAAAATACAAAAAATTAGCTGGGCATGATGGCGGCCACCGGTAATCCCAGCTACTCAGGAGGCTGAGGCAGGAGAATCGTTTGAACCCAGGAGGCAGAGGTTGCAGTGAGCTGAGATCTCATCATTGCACTGCAGCATGGGCAACAAGAGCAAAACTCTGTCTCAGGTAAAAAAAAAAAAAAAAAAAAAAAAGACACAAAAGAGCTTGCTTGTCTTTCTCTGCTCTCCACTGTGTAAGGACACAGCAAGAGGACAGCCATCTGCAGATCAGGAAGCAAGCCCTCACCAGATACTGGACCGGCCACAACCTTCATCTTTGGCTTCTCTGCCTCCAGACCTATGAGAATTAAATGTTGTTTAAGCCATCCACCCTGTGGTATTTTTGTTATAGCAGCCTGAACTAAGATAGCTAGCTTGAGTTGGTTCTTGCTAATTTTATTTTATTTATTTATTTTTTAAGACTGAGTCTAGCTCTGTCACCCAGGTTGGAGTGTAGGGGTGTGATCTCGGCTCACTGCAAACTCCGCCTCCTGGGTTCAAGTGATTCTCCTGCTTCAGCCTCCTGAGCAGCTGGGACTAAAGGTGCCCACCACCGCTCTTAGCTAATGCTTGTATTTTTAGTAGAGATGGGGTTTCACCATGTTGGCCAGGCTGGTCTCGAACTCCTGACCTCAAGTGATCCACACGCCTTGGTCTCTCAAAGTGCTGGGATTATAGGCATGTGCCACCACACCTTGCCTGCTCTTGCTATTTTTAGGCACAAGGTCCTAAGAAAATATGTCAATAATTGTGCTATGAGAATTAAATTGAATATTTTAACAGGGTAAACTATATACTGTTTAAAAAGGACCCTCTTTAGAAATACATAAAATACTGCAATGGGGATGCAACCATCAAAATCTACAATGTGGGAAACTCTGTAGGACAAATTCTCCAGTTTTTTAAAAAAATTAATTTCATGAAGAAATAAGGAGGGGAAGAGGGAACCTATAGATTAAAAGAGATTTAATGGTATTAAATAAATAAGTAAATAAAATAGAGTAGCTATATAACCAATTGTAATGATTTTTTAAAAATTAAAAATGTTTATGAGTCAATTCAGGAAATTTGAATATTGACTGGATATTTGATGGTTAACATCAAATATCAAAAATTGTTAATTTAAGAAGTATATTGTAATGATATTATGGTTATGTTTTTAAAAATATAATTATCTTCCTATTTTATTTTATTTTATTTTTTGAGACGGAGTCTCGCTGTGTTGCCCAGGCTGGAGTGCAGTGGCACAATCTCGGCTCACTGCAAGCTCCGCCTCCTGGGTTCACGCCATTCTGCTGCCTCAGCCTCCCGAGTAGCTGGGATACAGGCGCCCGCCACCACACCCGGCTAATTTTTTGTATTTTTAGTAGAGACGGGGTTTCACCGTGTTAGCCAGGATGGTCTCGATCTCCTGACCTTGTGTTCCGCCCGCCTCAGCCTCCCAAAGTGCTGGGATTACAGGCGTGAGCCACTGTGCCTGGCCTATCTTCCTATTTTAAAACAATTTTTCAGGCTGGGTGCCGTGGCTCATGCCTGTAATCCCAGCACTTTGGGAAGCCAAGACGGGAGGATCACCTGAGGCCAGGAGTTTGAGACCAGCCTGGCCAACATAGTGAAACCCCATCTCTACTAAAAATAGAAAAATTAGCCAGGCATGGTGGTGCATGCCTGTAATCCCAGCTATTCGGGAGGCTGAGGCAGGAGAATCATGGCAACCTGGGAGGCAGAGTTTGCAGTGATCCAAAATCATGCCATTGCACTCCAGTCTGGGCCACAGAGTGAGACTCCGTCTCAAAAAAAAAAAAAAAATTCAGACAGTCTCACTCTTGCCCAGGCTGGAGTGCAGTGGGGTGATCATGCCTCACTGTAGCCTCAAACTCCTGGGCTCAAGTGATCCTCCCACCTCAGCCTCCTGAGTAGCTGGGACCACAGGTGCATGCCACTATGCCTGGCTAATTTTTAAATTATTTGTAGAGATGGGGTCTCCCTATGTTGCCCAGGCTGGCCTTGAACTCCTGGGCTCAAGCAATTCTCTCCTGCCTTGGCTTCCTGAAGTGCTGAGATTATAGGTGTGAGCCTCTGCGCCTGGTCAGAATTATCTTTTTGAAACATTTCAGATGAAATGATGTGGGGCCTGTGATACACTTCAAAGGAACTGGGGTTGGGTAGTGGGTGGGAGTATAGATGAAGGAAGAATGGCCATGAATTAATAATTGCTGAATCTGGATGACAAGTAAGTACATAGAAATTCATTATACTATTCCCTCTGCTTTTGTACATGTTTAAAATTTTCCATAATAAGTTTTTCTTTCAAAGTTCTTCTTTATAATTATTGACTTGGAGATCTAAAAAAATTAGTGAGAAAAGAAAATTGCAAAAACCACTTATGTAAAGATTATACTAATTGCTGTAATGGTCTAGTAGTGGAGAACATCAAGTAAATATGCAATTAAAATACAATGCAATTAACTGCTATAATAGAAGTATCACAGGGTAGAATGTGTGTAGGTGAGGGTCACTCAACCCAGCCTGGAATATCAGAGAAGGAGAAGGCTTTGGAGGACGGCATGCTGCCCAGGTTGAAATAAAATACAGTCTGTTTGGCTTCCACAGTGACCGAGACCCAAGTGTACCTCCACCTACTACCAGCCTCTGTTTTAATCATTCTTTTTATGTCCTCTGAGATGCCTGTCCATTGAAAAACACAGTCTCTTAGTCTGTACCCTCTGCATCTCCCTGCCTCGAGACTTGCCTCTCTCTAGAGATACTGCCTTTCTGGTGGCCCTCCCAGAGGCTGTCCATGCTCCCATACCTGACTCTTTGTGGCTGTGGGCAGGCAGGAGATTGGCTTTGTCCTACCAGATACCATCCATCTCCTGCCTCCTCAGCACCCGGCTTCTCTTTCTCCTCTTATGTCCTCAGCCCCTTCACTACATTGGTTCTTTATTGCTCAACCGTGTTCAAGTTTCCTGCATCCTAAAAACAGGAACCCTGACTCTCCAGGGGCCACTTCTTTCCTTTAGTAACCACATCTCTCTCTCTTTACAGCCAATCTTCTTCAAAGAAGATAACTTACATGAAATGCACAAAGAAGTGAGCTCATTTCTATTCCTTCTTGAGTCAATGTTGGTAGTTTCAGTGTTTCTAGGAATCTGTCCATTTCATCTAAGTATTCTGTTATGCATATATGCCACATCTTCTTTATCCAATCATCCATTGATGGATGCTTGGGTTGATTCCATACCTTTGCTATTGTGAATCCTGCTGAGCTTGCAAATTAAATATATATATATATATATAATTATTATATATATATATTATTGGATTCTCTCTTGTTCCCAAACTTATTTGGAGAGTCACTGTCACGTACTGATGGTCAATATGCATCAAATAAGGCTGCTATTATTGACACTGCCTCTTGTCATGAAAAGCACTCCTGAGACAAGAGAGGTTTCAGGGCTATGAGCCACCTGGTCATAACAGAGCAGCACCTGCCAATTTGATCCTGTTGTAGGCACCAGGTTCGTGGGCAGGAAGTCATCATGGAAGTACATAGTGCACTTTTTGTTATACTTGGCAAGTATTCATTGACTACAGTCTTTAGCTGTTGGCGTATTTTATCTGCCCACCAAGGGAAATTTGTAATGAATGTACCCAGACTTCCAAGTAGACCCCCTTTTCTGATACTTTTACTCTAAAATACCCAAGGGAAGAAATTGTGGACTTTTCTAGATCTTGGTCCACAGCTCCTCTCTGTAAAATTTATTGAATTTTGAAACTTTCTTCCCAATTTCCTAGAGTGGTGACACCAAAGTTCCGAGTAATTACTGAAAAAAGTTGAATTTGGATTTAAGGATTTAACTTTCCTAGTCATTCTTTAGATAAGTATCACAGAAAAATCAATAAATGAAAGCTTGACAACAACGAAATTACAGTGAGGATCCTATGCGCGGTGGTGGGAGGGTGGTGATAACCAACCATCTGGAAACAAGGAGCGAGTGCCTGTGTCCCAAGTACTGACAGGAAAGGCACAAGAACAAAACATGGTTCCTGCCTTTGGATGGCCTATGATCTGGCGAAGAATGCATGTGGGCAGCAGAAGTTAGCTATCGAAGATAGCTCTCAATATACCTAACCCCAAGTGTACACACACTTTCTCCCACTTAGTAAACCAAACAATAATCTAGGCATTGCTGTGAAGAGATTTTGAAGATGTAATTAAGATCCCAAGTCAGTGGACTTTAAGATAAAGAGATTTTATCTAGATGGGCCTGACCTCATCACATGAGCTCTTTAAATCTGTGTCTAGGTCTAGAGGTCTGAGACAGGGGAAGTCAAAACTTGAAAATGTGAGAGGGGACCAGGTGTGGTGGCTCATGCCTATAATCCCAGCACTTTTGGAGGCCAAGTCGGGCGGATCACTTGAGGTCAGGAGTTCAAGACCGGCTTGGCCAACATGGCGAAACTCTGTCTCTACTAAAAACACAAAAATTAGCCGGGCGTGGTGGCATGCGCCTGTAATCCCAGCTACTCAGGAGGCTGAGGCAGGAGAATCACTTGAACCTGGGAGATGGAGGTTGCAGTGAGCCGAGATCATGCCACTGCACTCCAGCCTGGGTGACAGAGCGAGATTCCATTTCAAAAAAAAAGAAAGACAAAAGAAAATGTGAGAGGGATTTAATGTGACGAAGACTCTTCATTGAAGATGGAGGGGCCATGTGGCCAAGAACATGGGTGGCCCCTAGGAGATGAGAGTGGCCCCTGGCTAACAGCCAGAGAGGAAAGAAGGACCTCAGTTCTTCAACCTCAAAGAACTGCATCTAGCCAACAACCCAAATGAGCTTGGAAGAAGTTTTTCGTTTTTTGTTTTGTTTTGTTTTTGAGAGCTTCCAGCAAGAAATGTAGCTTGGCGAACATCTTGATATCAGCCAAATGGGACCATGAGCAGAGAACTCAACCAAATCTGCCCAGACTTCTGGCCTATAGAACTGTGGGCTCCGAAATGAGTGTTGTTCTAAGCCACTAAGTTTGTGTAATTTGCTACACAATAATAGAAAACTACTACATGCATGAAAAGATAATATTACAAGAAAGCTTTCATGTCAGACATGCTACTGTATTACAAGTGGAGCTGCCTCTATCTCTAGAGCAGGTTATATGTGCAGATAGTGTGAAGAAGTATGGAGGATTTTTTTTTTTTTTAGATTGGGTGTCTATGTTATTTTGCCCAGGCTGGACTCAACTCCTGGACTCAAGTGATCCTCTTGCTTTAGCTTCTTGAGGAGCTGGGACTAGAGGCATGCACTGCCGCACCCTCTGGAGGATATTTTTGAGAGTCTGTGTTTAGTAATTAAGAGCTCAGGCTTTGAAGTCAAATGAGCAGATTTAAACCCTGACTGCACCTCTTACAAGCTGCTTGATCATCTATAAACTACATAACATCTAGGAATATTGTGAAAGGTAAATAAAATGATGCTTACAGAAGGCTTAGGTAGTGACTGCACAATACATATAAATATATATTTTAAAAAGAAACATTTGTGGTGCAATCATGCTCACTGCAGCCTCGACCTCCTGGGCTCAAGCAATCCTCCTACCTCAGCCTCCTGAGTAGCTGGGACTACAGGTGTGTGCCACCATGCCTGGCTTTTTAATTTTTTCTTTTTTTTGTAGAGAGAATCTCATTATGTTGCCCGGGTTGGTCTCGAACTCCTGGACTCAAAGGATCCTGCCACCTCAGTCTCCGAAATTGCTGGGATTATAAGTCTGAGCTGCTGCACCCAACCATTTATTAAGTGCCAAATTATTGTTGTTTGCTAGAATTTCCACCATATGGTCTTTAGAACACTCATCGTGAAAGATAGGCTGGGCGTGGTGTTTCATGCCTGTAATCTCAGCAATATGGGAGGCCGAGGTGGGAGGAACGCTTCAGCCCATGAGTTTGAGAAGAGCCTGGGCAACGTGGTGAAACCCCATCTCCACAGAAAAATTTTAAAAAATTAGTCAGGTGTGGTGGCACACACCTGTAGTCCTATCTACTCTGGAGGCTGAGGTGGGAGGATTGCTTGGGCCTGGGATTTGAGGCTGCAGTCCGTGAGCTGTAATTGTGCCATTGCACTGTAGCATGGGCAACAGAGTTAGACCCTGTCTTGAAAGAGAGAGAGAAAGAGAGGAGGAGAGAAAGAGAGAAAGAAAGAAAAAGAAAGAAAGAAGAGAGGAAGGAAGAGGAAGGAAGGAGGAACGAAGGGAGAAAGAGAAAGAAAGAAAAAGAGAGAAAGAAAGAAAAAGAGAGACAGGGGCTAGGTGTAGTGGCTCATGCCTGTAATCCCAGCACTTTGGGAGGCCGAGGTGGGTGGATCACCTGAGGTCAGGAGTTCAAGACCAGCCTGGCCAACATGGCAAAACCCCATCTTTACTAAAAATACAAAAATTAGCTGGGTTTGGTGGCACGTGCCTGTAATCCCGGCTACTCAGGAGGCTGAGGCAGAATTGCTTGAACCTGGGTGGTGGAGGTTGCAGTGAGCCGAGATTGCGCCACTTCACTCTAGCCAGGGCGACACAGTGAGACTCCATCTAAAGAAAAAAAATAAATAAAAAGACAGTAAAATAAGGATTCTGTAATGTAACTTGTTTGAGAAACATCACATACACTTCCCCTTTCAGGTTCTGTATTCACAGTGTTCCTTAATAAATTATAGGCTCTGAGATGTCCTGCAGTACAGAAACCTGTTGAACTTTGTTTAACTCAGTTATTTAACAAACTTATTTGATCGCAGAACCCTTCTGTCTGGAAACATATATTGTCATCCAAGAGAATGATTTCTGTGGCCCTTACTTTACGAAACACAGATATGGACAATTCACTCCTTCATCCAAAAAATCCTGAGCCCCTGCTTTGCCATAAGCACTCTGCTGGGCACTGACAGCAGGAGCCAGGGTTCCTGTTTCCTCCACACTCACACATGGGCTGGGGGGCCAGGCAATGCACGGGCAGTCCTCAGACACACCGTGAAAAACTGTGATAAGCACTGTGACAGAGACGTATGGGGACAGGAGAGAATGCCATTTGGATTGAGAGAGGGTCAGGGAAGGCCTCTTTGATGAAGTGACATTTAAGCTGAAGATAGACAGAAGCCATTCAGGTAAAGAGTGGGAGAAGTGCATTGTAGGCTGAAGGACAGTGTGTGTGGTGCCTTCCAGAGTCCAAAAATAGAGCAAATGGGTGAATATTGATAATATTTATCAATATGAGAAGATTGGTGGAAAAGCAGATTTGAAGAGAAAGATCAAGAATTCAGTTTTGGACATAATTACCTTGAGATGCCCATGAGAAATTTAAAAGATGTCAGAAGGTGGCCAGGTGCAGTGGCTCACACCTGTAATCCCAGCACTTTGGGAGGCCGAGGTGGGCGGATTGCCTGAGGTCAGGAGTTCGAGATCAGCCTGGCCAACATGGTGAAACCCCGTCTCTGCTAAAACTACAAAAATTAGCCGGGCATGGTGGCTGGCACCTGTAATCCCAGCTACTCAGGAGGCTGAGGCAGGAGAATTGCTTGAACCTGGGAGGCAGAGGTTGAAGTGAATTGAGATTGCACCTCTGCACTCCAGCCTGGGCAACAAGAGTGAGACTCCGTCTCAAAATAAATAAATAAATAAATAAATAAATAAATAAATAAATAAAGTCAGAAGGCAATTGGATTTGGGAGTTTGGAGCTCAGAAAATATTAATAGATTTAGGCTAAATAGTTAAATTTTAATTTGCTGATATTTCAATTAAGAATTACTAAAATTATAGTAACTGAAAAAAATCACTAGTGGGTATTAGGAAGTTAATCACCAAATTTTATGCCTCTTCTAACCAGGGGAAAAATACCTGAGTGTGTCTTTAATTTAGTCTTTTAGATGGGGGTCTCACTGTGCTGCCCAGAATGGTATTGAACTCCTGGCCTCAAGCGATCCTCCCACATCAGCCTCCTGAGTCTCTCAGACTACAGGCATGAGCCATCTTGCTCAACTTAATTTAGTCTTATTTTCCTTAAAAAAGAACAAAGCATATTCTGGTGATTAATGCTCTTAAACCTCCTGGGAATCCCAGCTGGCAGCCATAATAGCTGTTCTAAAGCCAAAGAGGAAAAGTATTTGCTTAAAAGTGGAGTAATTAATGATGTGGGAAAATATTTTTCCTTCATTTGCTACTCAACATGGTAGATTCGTATGGCGAAAGGTGGAGTATTATGGTTCCATATGAATACTATGAGGGGAAAATATGTGAGTTGATATGCCCGTGTTGTATGAAAATGTTTAGATGTGTCACAGATATGCTGCAAAAATCAAGATGGCATCTTAAAACATCTAGAGAATTCTCAATATAGGCTAGGCACGGTGACTCATGCCTGTAATCCCAGCACTTATGGAGGCTGAGGCTGGAGAATCACTTGAGTCCAGGGGTTCGAGACCAGCCTAGGCAACAATGTGAGACCTCATCGCTACAAAAAGTACAAAAACTTATCCAGGTGTGGTTGTGTGCACCTGTGGTCCCAGCTACTTGAGAAGCTGAGGTGAGAGGATCATTTGAGCCTTGAAAGGTCGAGGCTGCAGTGAGCCGAGAAGCACCACTGCACTCCAGCCTGGGTGACAGAGCGAGATCCTGACTCAAAATAAATAAATAAAAGAATAAAATAAATAACAAATAAGAAAATTTTCCATGTAAAACTCTTAGAAAATGATAACATCCATAAGACACTTTGGGCATCTAAGAATTGAGAAACTAAGGCTATTGAAAGGGGATGTGGCTGGACAAGTTTTCCTGGTAACAAAGTAATGGTGGGAATATTTTTGGTGGGGGGAAAGGACATGAGAATGTTGGAGCTAAAAGCACTGGAGATGAGATACAACTGCTTGGACCACATCCTTCGTCAAGTTACTTCATATTCGTCCTTGAGATCTGAGCTCAAATTCAAGGAAGCCTAACCCAATCGCCTGCTGCCCCCTTTTCTCCCAAGATCGGATGCCCATTATAGGCTCTCATGAACTCCAGTCCTTCTTTCACAGAGCATAATACCATTATAATAGACTCATTAACTGCATATAGAAGTAGGGGTTTCAGTTCACCTCAGGTGAGCAAGAAATATAACTTAATTTATATTTTAAGATCCCATTCGGCCGGGCACGGTGGCTCACACCTGTAATTCCAGCACTTTGGGAGGCTGAGGCGGATCACGAAGTCAGGAGATCGAGATCATCTTGGTTAACACGGAGAAAGCTCGTCTCTACTAAAAATACAAAAAATTAGCCAGGCGTGGTGGCGGGTACCCATAGTCCCAGCTACTCGGGAGGCTGAGGCAGGAGAATGGCGTGAACCTGGGAGGCGGAGCTTGCAGTGAGCCGAGATCGCGCCACTGCACTCCAGCCTGGGAGACAGAGCCAGACTCCGTATCAAAAAAAAAAAAAAAAAAAAAAAAATCTCATTCAACCATGGTGATAGAATCATAATTTCAGTCAATTTGGGAGTCCTAAAGGGTTTTGTTTTTTGTTTTTTGTTTTTTTTTTCTGAGACAAGAGTCTCACTCTGTCGCCCAGGCTAGAGTTCAGTGACATGATCTCTGCTCACTGCAACCTCTGCCTCCCGGGTTCAAGCGATTCTCACCTCAGCCTCCCAAGTAGCGGGGATTACAGGTGCATGCCACCACAGCTGGATAACTTTTGTATTTTTAGTAGAGATGGGGTTTCACCATGTTGGCCAGGCTGGTTTTGAACTCCTGACCTCAAGGGATTTGCCCACCTCAGCCTCCCAAAGTGCTGCGATTACAGGCATGAGCCACAGCGCCCAACCCCAAAAGTTTCTATAGTTACGTAGGACTAAGCCTCTATAGTTGGAGTGAAGAGGAGAAGAGGGGAAGGTGTTGGGGGTGCCCCCCTTATCTTCAGTGTTACCTGTCTATAAAGCTGTCTGTTAAGATAATCTAAAGTCCTATATGGTTCTACTTAAGTACCTAGGCTATTGGACGCCATGGCCAGAGAGACCCTTGGAAAAGGCTTTTTGCTGCTAACACCTCCTCTAAGCAGTGAACACGGCCTCACTATTTTTTTTTTTTTTTTTTGGAGACAGGCTCTTGCTCTGTGGCATAGGCTGGAGTGCAGTGGCGTGATGTTGGCTCATTGTGACCTCTACCTCCCAGGTTCCAGCGATCCTCCCATCTCAGTCTACCTAGTAGCCAGGACCACAAGCGTATGCCACCATGCCTAGCTAATTTTTTGTATTTTTTGTAGAGACAGGGTTTCGCCATGTTGCCCAAGCTTTTTTTTTGGTAAGACATGAGAGTCTTGCTATGTGGCCCAGGCTGGTCGCAAACTCCTGGGATCAAGTGATCTTCCTGCCTTGGGCTCCCAAATTGCTGTGATTACAGGTGTGAGCCAGTGTGTCTGGCCAGCGTCACTATTTAAATGGGGAGAACACAGGGAGAGGAAGGAAATAGCTAGAGAGAAAAAACAATGGTTAATATTTTAAAAATAGTAGGTCAAATATATATTTACTCTGTCAGGGAATGTGCAGTTAAAGTTATGTGAGAAGAATAATTTGCCAGTGTTTACTGGCTTTATAAGTCTAGTGTGGAAACTTAAACCTCTTTTAAAAAAATTTAAAATACCTCTTTTTCTTTTGAGACAAGGTCTCACTGTTTCCCAGGCTGGAGTGCAGTGACACAATCATGGCTCACTCAACTTCTCTGGGCTCAGGCTCCCACCTCAGCCTCCCAAGCAGCTAATGTTTTTCCCGTATTTTTTGAGAGCTTGAATGGAGGTTCTGGTAGGGGAGTGCAGCTACTCATATACCCTTGACCGAAGACCAGTCCTCCTCTGTTGGGGATGGTCGTCCCCTTTGACTGAGCACACAGCTTCCGGAGGGACGCACATGGAGCCGTGAGGGAGGAAGGGGACACCTTCCTAGCCAGCCAGATTAGCCAAATCAACCCTGGTGATCAGTAGGGTGACAGATATTGCAGCCAGATTGCCCTTACATTCTTTTTTTTGTATTTTTTGTAGAGACTGGGCCAGCTAATTTTTTTTTTGGTATTTTTTGTAGAGATGGGGTCTCCATATGTTGCCCTGCTGGTCTCAAACTCCTGCACTCAAGCGATCCGCCCACCTCAGCCTCTCAAAGTGCTGGGATTACAGGAGTGATCCACCGTGCCTGGTCAAAAATAGCTTTAAAATATTATCCAAAAAGTGGAGACGACCCAATTGTCCATTAACAGTTGAATGGATAAATAAAATACAGTGTATGCCTACAATGGGATTTTATTCAGCCTTCTAGAGGAAAGCTATTGTGACACACAGTACAACATGAATAAACTTTGAGGACATTATGCTAAGTGACATAGCACAAAAAGACAAATACTGTGACTTCACTTGTATGCGGTACCTAGAGTGGTCAGTTTCACAGGGATAGGAAAGACTGGTGCTGACTAGCAGGTGGAGGGAGAGGGCGGTCAGTTATCGTTTAATGGGTACAGAGTTTCAGTTTTGCTAGATGAAAAGAGCTCTGTGGGTGGATGGTGGTGATGGTTGTACAACAATGTGAATGTGCTTAATACCCCTGAACTGTACATCTACAAATGATTAAGATGGTACAGTCTATGTGTATTTTACCCCAACTAAAATAATATTATCCAAAAACATGCATAACTTGTTGTTCACTATTTTTTCCTTCTACTAGGCATTCTGTGAGAATGGGATCTTGTCCGTCTTATTCCCTGGTATATGCCCCACATCTAGTACAGTGCCTAGCACATAACAATAGCTGTATAGATATTTGCCAAATGAATAAATCGTCCTAGGAGTGGGATTTGGGGGCAGAGGATGCTCCAGAAAAGCAATATCTCATATAATTAATTACCTAGGAAACTTTGGCAGGGGACTGCATAATTTGCTACTGATAATATTCAGTTACCATAGCGTTTGAGAATTTGTGAATGTATCTTTTGATTAACTACGAAAGAGAGGAAAAATAGGTATCATATTACAAACCTGTAGTTACATTGTTGATTACTTGGTCTCAGGCAGAAGAGGGCTTCTTTCTTTAAGCCTTTTAAAACAATGGGGATTTCTTTATTATATAATATTTATTGCATTTTTATATAGTAGCACAAATGTTTTACATTTTAGCCTGTAAGACTGACCTAAAATAAAACATTTCAGCCTTTTAATTTAATTATAGAAAATAGAAGCAAGAAAGGATGTAGCAGGGAAGAGGGGAAAATGAAGAATTGTAGGAAGCTAGGGAGAAAAAAAGGATAATGTGAAGGAATCAAGCCATTGCAATTGAAGACAATGTTGATTAAAATTAAACATGGCTTTTGACCCAGGAAGCTCATGCCTGGGAATCTATTCCACAGAGATGAAACCACTAGTTCACGTGGATGCTATTGCAGCATTATTTGTTGTGACAAAAAGCACAAAACAAAGCCCATGGCTGAATAATTTATGGCATATCAATATAATGAATTATTAATCAGCATCAGCCATTAAAAATAATGAAATAAATCTAAACCAATGGATTTAAATAGATGTTCATGAGGTATAGTTGAATGAGAAAAGGAAGATGCAGAAAAGTGTATATAATATGTTCTCACTTTTTTTTTTTTAATGGAGTCTCACTCCGATGCCCAGGATGGAGTGCAGTGGCACAAATTTTGCTCACTGCAACCTCCGCCTTCTGGGTTCATGCAATTCTCCTGCCTCAGCCTCCCAAGTAGCTGGGATTACAGGCATGCACCACCACACCTGGCTAATTTTTTGTACTTTTAGTAGAGACAGGGTTTCACCATGTCGGCCAGGCTGGTCTTGAACTCCTAACCTCAAGTGATTCACCCACCTCGACCTTCCAAAGTGCTGGGATTACAGGTGTGAGTCACCGTACCCAGCCACGTTCTCACTTTTATGAAGAAGAAAATGTCCAAACTCCCAATTTCTACACAAGATTTTGTAAGCATGGAGAAAAATACAGAAGTGTGCATACTTGGTTGGTGATCTGGCTTGTTGTGTGTGTTAGTGGAGCAATGGCTGCTGCTGGAGGGGAGAAAGGAGAAGAAGAGAAGGGGGAAATCAAGCAGAAAAAAAAAAGAGGAAGCATTGCGCCCAAATAGCCAATGATGTGCATCTATGTAAAATTATATGTGGCTGGGCGCGGTGGCTCACGCCTGTAATCCCAGCACTTTGGGAGGCCGAAGCAGGTGGATCACTTAAGGTCAGGAGTTTGATACCAGCCTGGCCAACATGGCAAAACCCCATCTCCACTAAAAATACAAAAATTAGCTGGGCATGGTGGTGCATGCCTGTAGTCCCAGCTACTTGGGAGGCTGAGGCAGGAGAATTGCTTGAACCCGGGAGGTGGAGGTTGCAGTGAGCCGGGTCGTGCCACTGCACTCCAGCCTGGGTGACAGAGTGAAATTCCATCTCAAAAACAAAACAAAACAAAACAAAACAAAAAACAAATAAAATTATATGTGAAACAGAAAAAAAAATAAGTTATGCAGAAAAGGCTAACTACTTGCTTCCTGATATCAGGAGGCTTCTCTTTAGCTTTGGTTTCACCAAACTTATAGCAGTGGGGTGGAACAGCCTTGAGTGATGCTGGCCTCCAAGAAAGATCAGGACTCTCCATCATGGTCAGCTTTCCTTTCTCCTGAGTGTGATGGGGCAGGGGTGAGGGCACGCTGGGAACCAAGTTACTTATTAATAATAATAGAAACAAAGGTGGTCCTGAGGACCTTATCAGAGACTCTCAGGGGTTTAAAAACATAGATGGAAATTGAGTGAGAAGGAAAAAGTATGGCAAACATACAACGTGGCTGGGTACAGTGGCTCACACCTGTAATCCCAGCACTTTGGAAGGTCGAGGTGGGTGAATCACTTGAGGTTAGGAGTTCAAGACCAGCCTGGCCGACATGGTGAAACCCTGTCTCTACTAAAAGTACAAAAAATTAGCCAGGTGTGGTGGTGCATGCCTGTAATCCCAGCTACT
This sequence comes from Homo sapiens, assembly GCF_000001405.40. Classification (NCBI taxonomy): domain Eukaryota; kingdom Metazoa; phylum Chordata; class Mammalia; order Primates; family Hominidae; genus Homo; species Homo sapiens. The sequence continues at coordinate 45,057,727 of NC_000013.11, read as the reverse complement.
TGGGAGGCTGAGGCAGGAGAATTGCATGAATTGGAGGGCACCATATTCACTCTGGGATCTAGTACAGATCCAGGAAGTGAGCCCCACGTTCATCAAAGTGGTCTGCTATATGATCTGTGAAATGTTAAGATGTATTGTAACATGTATAATAGAGAAGAGGCCCATGGTGTGGAAAACATCATGTGGTGGTCATTCAGAGCTTGGATTCTGAGATCAAGTGGCTCTGGGTTCCAATCTGCATTTGCTAGATACAGGCTACTTTCATGAGACTCAGTACGGTGGCTTAAACAGGAAAGTCATGGCCAGGCATGGTGCCTCACACCTGTAATCCCAGCATTTTGGGATGCTGAGGCAGGTGGATCACTTGAGGCCAGGAGTTTGAGAGCAGCCTGGCCAACATGGCAAAACCCTATCTCTACTAAAAATACAAAACTTAGGCTGGGTGTGGTGGCTCACGCCTGTAATCCCAGCATTTTGGGAGGCTGAGGTGGGTGGATTGCCTGAGGTCAGGAGTTCGAGACCTGCCTGGCCAACATGGTAAAAACCCATCTCTACTAAAAATATGAAAAACTAGCCTGTGTGGTGGCAGGCACCTGTAATCCCAGCTACTCGGGAGGCTGAGGCAGGAGAATCACTTGTACCCAGGAGATGGAGGTTGCAGTGAGCTGAGATCGCGTCACTGCACTCCAGCCTCGGTGATGAGAAACTCCGTTTCAAAAAACAAAACAAAAAACAAAACTTAGTCTGGCATGGTGGCATGCGCCTGCAATCACAGCTACTTGGGAGGCTGAGGCAGGAGAATCGCTTGAACCTGGGAGGCAGAGGTTGCAGTGAGCCGAGATCACACCACTGCACTCTAGCCTGGGCAACAGAGACTCCGTCTCCAAACAACAATAACAACCACCACCACCACCAAACCAGGAAAGTCGTGCAGTTCTCAGGTTCACAATCCAGATAGTGAGTGGAGCTAGTCTGGTGGATTGATGGTGATGGACACCCAGGCTCCCTTTGTCCCTCTGCTGTCCTGTCCCTTATCAGTTCACCATTACATTTGCCTTCAGGCTGTTGAAGGGAGAAACAGAAAAAAGGAGGCTCCCCTCCTTTCCTTCTAAGTGCTACACTCAGAAGTTGAATGCAGTCATTGGCTAGATTCCAGTCACGAGGCCACACCTAGCTGCAAGGAAGGCTGGGAGATGGGGTTTCGGACAAGCAGCCACCCAGCCAAAACATCCATGACTGAGTAAGACAGGAGTTGGCCTTAATCCCCAAATCACACAACAATAGCCTTATAAGCCTAAGAAGGAGTGGCAGCATGAACTCTGAAAGCATGTAACAGGGAGCCCTGATCCAGCCACAGGGCTTGGGGTGAGGAGGTTTAGGGAACTGACTTTTTCCAGAGGAAATGATTTTGAGCGGAGATCTGACAGGTCACTGGATGAAGCAAAGAAGAGGGTTCCAGAAGGAGGAACACTGCACAAAGGCCCCAAAATGGGAAGGACAAGGCATGTTTGAGGAATTGAAAAAAGGCTTAATTTAAGGAGAAGCATAGATGGGGTTTCTTCCCAAGGAATGGAGCCTGGCTAGTGAAAGATATTCCAGCACGAGCACCAGCTCTCACAGATACCATTTGTTTTCTGTGGCTTGGAAACATCCCACGGTGGTTTGTCTGGCAGCCCAGAGAGAGCTGACATTGGTTTGAGAAGGTCTAATTATTCCTCGTCTAAGACTTGTGTAAATGAGTAAAGTCTTTGTGTGGGTTGCTTTAGAAGAATTTGGCAAAGTTGTGTGCCTCGTTTGTGTTATTTATAATTTTAAGAAAGCTTAGGAAACAGTTTTAGCATCTTGTCTATAATATATTGAAATGCAGTGGCTTTGAAAATCATTTGCCTTTTTGAATTAAAGGAACAGATCGGCAATTGAGTAATGGATCCACCCTGGGACGTGGGAGGTGAGAGCAAAAGTAGTTGTTGACTCATCTCCATGTATGTGTGGTAACACATGAAAATCAGTTTCATTACTTTATAGCTTCACCACCTATTAAAGCCCTGTAAAGTGTGAGTCACAGGAAACTTGAGGTACTGGAATTTGAGAGAGCCCAGTATAAAAATTCATGAAATCTTTCTGCACCACTTACTCTACTTTTAGTTATTGCAACTGGGTAATCGTTTTTTTAAATTTTAATGTGCTTCTCCTTCACTTTCCCAAGGACACAACCTGTACTTTAGCTGGCTCCAGGCGTCTGTCTGATTAGGGAACATGCACATCTGTTATGGGAGGAAAGCCGAGAGAAAGACTGGGTAATTTCGAATTTTTGGCACTCAAAACCAGGATCAGGCAGCTGGCTTTCATCTTGAAGGTGGATTTTGCACTTCAGCATCTTTATCACACTCAGAAACCGGGGCCTGGCTCAGTTTAGGAAAAGGCAGTGCAGCATAGAGAAGATACTCCTAAGGCGAGCTGCCAGAGAAGATGCAGAATGCCCAGTGAATTTTAGATAAACAATGAATAATTTGTTAGAATAAATATGTTCCAAATATTGCATGGAACATAATTACACTAAAAAATTTGCTGTTTATTTAAATATAACTGGGCATCTCGTATTTTTTTTTTTTTGATAGGGAGTCTCACTCTGTTGCCCAGGCTAGAGCGCAGTGGCGCGATCTCAGCTCACTGCAGCTTCCATCTCCTGGGTTCAAGCAATTCTCGTGCCTTAGCCTCCCAAGTAGCTGGGACCACAGGTGTGTGCCACCATGCCTGGCTAATTTTTTGTGTTTTTAGTAGAGATGGGGTTTCATCACATTGGCCAGGTTGGTCTCGAACTCCTGAGCTCAAGCAACCTGCCTGCCTTGGCCTCCCGAAGTGCTGGGATTACAGACGTGAGCCACTGTGCCTGACCTGTATTTTTATTTGTAAACCTGGCATTCCCACCCCTTAAGGCTAGGACAGCTAGATAAGTACCACTCTATCTATAGTGGGAAAATAAACCAGGAGGGAAGAGTAGAGTGTGCTAGTCATACTGACAGGCCAACCTTGAAAGCCCCTTTCTCTATTTGAGCAGAACCCATTCCCACTAGAGAATCAGAAAGTACCAGATCTTGCTTTTCCAGCTCCTTGAGCACAACTGAAGGCACAGGCCAGTCAGGGACATCTTCCCTAACCCTGATTGATGAGAAATCAGGGGTTTGGAAGAAGCAGGTGCGGTACAGAGCAGATGATGGCAGTGACCGTAGCCGCATTATTGATCCCGTGTTGTCAGTGGTGGAACTTGTGGGGTCCAGCACAGAAGTGTTTCTAAGGCTTTCTTGTGGGCAATTGTTCCTGGCTGCAGAGCCTCAGTGCCTGGCTCTGGGCCTCTCAGGTTCCTGCAAGCCATCCAATATCCTTCTGATAAATTCCTTTGCTCCTTAAGTCCAGCAGCGTCGGTTCTGTTCCTTGCACCTAAAAACTGAGTGATAAATGAAATAAAAGCCTTTTGAGGTGTGAGGAACTGTGGAGAGAACAAGAGGAGTGAGATGGGAAAACAGAGTGGGCAGAAACGTGCCTGGAGAGCAGGTAGTATACAGTAAATCAGGGGAGGATAGGGGCCTTCTTACAGGATGCCCCTGTACCATTCTGCACTCACAGAGCCACTTGGGGAGGTTGCAGCCAGTTTTGATTCATAAGGACCAGTTTCCATGCTGATTGTATGGTGCTTGTACTTTACTGGCTTTTAAGTATTTCGAATGACTCCCGGGTGCACCCATTTCATCTTGGACAGTCTCTGAGAGTTAGTTGTTTAAAGCCTCCCTTGATGCCAGTATGTTACAGATAAAATCTAGAGTTTAGCTGAGGAGATTGACATAATGGAGGAGCAGTAGTTCCACAGCAAAGAACTGTGCAGTGAACAGCACTCAAGCCAGGGTTGAATGGGAAACACAGACAGACTTGACTGTGTTAGGGGACCCAGTAAGTGTTCATAGTCCAGGCAGCACCCCTGGGCCAGGTCAAGCTAAGTTAGACTAGGATAGCCATGGAATTTCAGCCTCAAATGCCAGCCCTGCCAGGGGCACTATGAAGGAAAGAGATGCTGCCTATGTTCTTGAAGTCCCCAACTCTTTTTGGCCATCATGAGGTTATAAAAACCATAATCTTCCATGCTCCCTTAGGGAGAGAAGCAGAGGGCAAGGTGGGCATAAGACACACACATGGACATAGGTGACCTACATGGATGGCCAAATTATTGTATTAAATATTTAGTCACTTCTGTGGCCCATGCCTGTAATCTCAATACTTTGGGAGGGTGAAGTGGGAGGATCTCTTGAGGCCAGGAGTTCAAGACCAGCCTACGTCACATAATGAGACCTCTGTCTCTACAAAATTTTAAAGCTAATTAGCTGGGTGTAGTGGCACGAGCCTGTGGTCCAGCTGTTTGGGAGGCTGAGGTGGGAGGATTGATTAAGCCCAGGAGTTTGAGGCTGCAGTGAGCTATGATCAAAACACTGCACTCCATCCTAGGTGACAGAGCAAGACCCTGTCTCAAAAAAAAAAAAAAAAAAAGAAAAGAAAAAAATAGTTTACTTTCTGCACACCTGAATAATGACATGTATTAACCTTGGTGACCCTGCTTTCTCCACTTCTGAACCCACACCTTGTGCCCCAGCCATCATTCTCCAGACCCTGTACACGTTGCCTGTGGGGCTCATGAAGCCGATGTTCTCATGTGGAGTTCGGGATGGTGGCTCAGCTGCTGCTGCTTGTGACCTGGGAAAATCAATGGTTTCCAAGGTGCCTCAGCGTTGGAGCCTATGTCCTCCTTTTCATTCTGTTCCCTCGCTGTGGAACTCTCTCTTCTACACTTGAGAAAACCCATTAGCCCCTCAAGAGCCAGACCAAATGTCATGACTGAGAAATTTCTTAAGACCTGCCTTCCCTTTCTAGACAGAATTGATTGCAGCCCTCTTTCCCTGCCCTTTGCATTTGAAGGCTGTGTGGCTGTCTGCCTTGCTGGGCCAGGAGCATATAGAGGACAGAGACCACATGGTTTTCATTGTTCCACCCAGCTTCCAACATTGACCCAGCAAAGAGCTGGGCCCTGACAAATGTCAGCTGAGCTAATTGAATGAGTATCCTCCTTTGTCTTCTATTTACCTACCCAGTCTCATATTGAAATGGCCTTTAATTGTATTTGCCTTTGATCTAAATACTGGTAAGTGTTCATTCCTATCCATTTATTACAGCATTTAGTGCAATAGCTTGTGCGTCATAAGTGTGCACATGGTGGTTGATTTAATTGGATGTCTTGGTTTAATGCCTCCATTCACAGGATGTGACTTTGAAGAGACCTTAGAAATCATCTAGTACTAGCCAGGCACGGTGGCTCACGCCTGTAATCCCAGCACTTTGGGAGGCCGAGGTGGGTGGATCACCTGAGGTCAGGAGTTCGAGACCAGCCTGGCCACCATGTGAAACCCCATCTCTCCTAAAAATACAAAAATTACCTGGGTGTGGCAGCGTGCACCTGTAATCCCAGCTACTCGGGAGGCTGAGGCAGGAGAACTGCTTGAATCCGGCAGGTGGAGGTTGCAGTGAGCCGAGATCACGCCACTGCATTCCAGCCTGGGCAATAGAGTGAGACTCTGTCTCATAAAAAAAAAAAGAAGTCATCTAGTGTAACCTGGTCTGTGCATTGATGAGGTCTGTATACCAATGAGTGTACGTCACACACATGAGGATACTATCTCTACTAACTTGGTCTAAGTTACGACATGGTCAGGTCTCTGTTCAGTTACAGAGGCATTTGGTGTGTGCTTTCTGATGTTGATGGTGGTGACAATGATGGAAAGTGTTAGCTGCCAAGGCAGTTTCTCTGCTGTCTCCTTGATAACAATATTAATATCTAATGTTTAGTAAATGTCTACCGTTGTCGAGAAATTTTGTGGGGCACTGATGGGACAAAAAATACAAGGACAACAAATAAGTAGTACTTGTCCTTGAAGAACTAGTAAGTCTAAAAAGGAAAATAGATGAGTCCAACGATTATAATGCAAGCGAGAATTGTTGGATGAGAGTATGTAAAAGGCACAAGGAAAGCCAGGCCTGTGAGGGAAGGGCGGTGGCAAAGAGGAAGTAGAGAATACGGGGGAGGAGTCTGCCGGATGAACACCCTAGGGAAATGTTCCAGAAAGAAGGAATGGATGTGCCAAGTAGGGAGGTGTGAGAGACATGATTGGGGCCATTCCATCTGGCCCAGTACTGTAGCCACGGTGCTAGAAAGGCAGGGGTTAGGGAGGTGGCCAGACAACTGGTGAGGCTGGAGAGAGAGATGGGAGTCAGGTCATATGCAAAGGAATTGGTTTCATTATGTTGGCATTAGGGATCTTTTGGTTTTGTGGAATGGAGTGATATGCATATTAGAAAGATCTCACTGGTATCCTTACGGTTGAGGCTTAAGGAGAAGGGAGACTGGTGAGGTGATTTTAATATTTTAGGAGAGAAAGGATGACTAAGGCAGTAGTGGAGGGGTCAGGACAAGGAACAGAAAGCTATATATGAGGGGTCATGGGGATGCCTGTCAGAGGGATGAAGGACTGGAGAATGACTTCAGATATTGTGACTTGGGCTTCTGGGTGGATGCAGTGTTGAGTTGAGGATGGGGAGTCCACAGATCACGCAGCTGAGATAGTCAATTGCCATTTTTATCCATTGATGTGAATTCAGAATGGAGGCTTAGTTGAAGATACAGACATGATACTGACAGCGCCCAGAGAGAGGAAGAGCAGGTTAAGGGTCCAGAAGCATACCCCAAAGTAAGGAATAGGCCATGAGGGAGGAGCCAGTAAAGGAGACAGAGAAGGAAAATCCAGAGTGGAAGCACAGAAGAAGGTCAGGCCAAGGGAGGCGAAGGTTTTAAAGGGGAGAAAGTGATCAACAGAGTTAAATGCTACAGAGAGAAGTGGGACTGAGGCTTTTAAAAAGCCATTTATCAGGAACCCGGGAGGCGGAGCTTGCAGTGAGCTGAGATCGCGCCACTGCACTCCAGTCTGGGTGACAGAGCGAGACCCCATCTCAAAAAAAAAAAAAAATAAATAAATAATAAAAATAAATAAATACAAAGCCATTTATTTTAGCAACCTTGGGGGCCACCGGGAGAGCAACTGCAGTAAAGTGAGGAAACCAGACCTCAGAGGGTGCAGCACCCATGGGAGATGAAGGGGTGGAGACAAGCATAGACAACTCGAGCCAGGAACTTGACTGTGGAGAGGAGAGAGGATAACAAGCAGAGAGACTCAAGTGGTGTTGAAAATAGTAAGGTAGGGGCTGGGCGCGGTGGCTCATGCCTGTAATCCCAGCACTTTGGGAGGCCGAGGTGGGCAGATCACTTGAGGTCAGGTGTTCGAGACCAGCCTGCGCCGCACGGTGAAACCCTGTCTCTACTAAAAATACAAAAATTAGCCAGTCATGGCGGCGGGTGCCTGTAGTCCTAGCTACTTGGGGGAGGCTGAGGCATGAGAATCGCTTGAACTTGGGAAGCAGAAGTTGCAGTGAGCTGCACTCCAGCCTGAGCGACAGAGTGAGACTCTGTCTCAAAATAAATAAGTTAATAAATAAATAAATAAAATAAAATAAAATTAAAAAGTAAGGTAGGACATTTTAGCCAAGTTCAAGAATGGGGAAAAAATATATAAGGCAGGATGGGCTTGCACCTGCTGACATACTGAGAGGAAGATGCCAAGTGAGAGGAAGGATTGGGGATCAGAAACAAAGGGGTAACTGAGGGAGCAAGGAACTTGAAATTGGGGTGGGAGGATTAGAGGAAGGCTGGTTTTTTCTTCTGAAACATGGACTAGGGGCTGATGAAGATGCGGGTTAGTGCAGGCAGATGTTGGCGTTGAACAGGAGACATCTGAGGGAGTTCATTCATATCCGTTGGACTCTATTCACAGTGAACATTATCACTAGAGAAAGCCTGACTATTGAACAGTGGCTGAAAGGGCAGACTTTGCAGGCACTACTAGGGTTCAAATGCTTTTTCTGCCATTCTGTAGCTTATGACCTTGGGAAATTTCCCTAACACCTTGTGCCTCAGTTTTCTCATCTGTATGATGGAGATGACAATAATCCTCAATGGCTTGTGGTAAGAATTAAATGAGTTAAAATATGTGAAGTGCTTAGAACAGTGTCTGGTATATAATAAGCCTCATACAACAACTGCGGTTGTCATCATTGTCTCCATCATTTTCTGCTGAGACAGATGGTTGTTTGTTTGTTTGTTGTTGTTTTGAGATAGGATCTCACTCTGTCACCCAGGCTGGAGGGCAGAGGTGCAGTCTTCGCTCACTGCAACCTCCACCTCCCAGGCTCAAGTCCTCCTCCCACGTCAGCCTCCTGAGTAGCTGGGATTACAGGCACACTCAGCTAATTTTAAAATTTGTTTTGTAGATATGGGTTCTCACTAGGTCTCACCCAGGCCGTCCTCAAATTCCTAGGCTCAAGTGATCCTCCCACCTTGGCCCCCCAAAGTGCTGGGATTACACACGTGAGCCACCATGCTCGGCTGGTTTTGAATGCACTGTTGGAAGTTGTAAACATTTAGACCACCTGTTGAGTAAAATAGGAGAAAGGGCTAAGAACATGAAAGACTGCTGAGTGATATCGGGAAGTAAAGATAAAACCAGAAGATAAAACTTGGTAGCAGTTTAAAGTTTCACAGTTGAGTGAAGTTGTCACTGAATAACCTAAAGAGATTGGTTTTATTTCCTCTTTATAGATGAGGAAACTTGAGGCTTAGGAAGGTTTAATAGCTTGTCTAGGGTGACACACGGGTAAGTGGCAGGCACAGGTGATTTGACACTGCACTCTACCTTTTCACCACACTGGTGTTCAAAACACACAACAAAGCAGCTCCCCTGACAAACTGTCATCAAGGCCTTTGAACCTGTGGTTGCCAGAGGAGTGATGGGGTTGTAATGCACACAGGGAAAGAAGAAAAGAAATGGGACGGAGAGAATGGTCTGACTTTGTGAAGGACTTCTATGACATTGGAATAATGAACATTTCCTTCAAAATGAAAGAAGTCTAGTTCTCATCTCACTTACTGAAAGCACAAACCCAAATTCTGACAGATTCTGGTAAAGAAGCCTCTTGATAAATGGACCCTTTTATTCAGGATTTGCCTGGGCATTAAAGCTGCTAGGACAGACAATGTATATGAACTGGGATATATACAGATAATGTATATATCTGTATATACACCATATTATATAATGTATACGATGGGATCCAGTAGTGCCCAGCACACCAAGGTGATTACAAGGCAATTAGCGTGTGTCTGCTGAATGAATGACTGATTAAGTCATGACTCTGGAGGTGTGGTAAGAGGGTTGGGGAGAAAGATGTGGAGGATCCTTCAGAAATTAGTCTAACATAGGAAGTCCTATGAAAAGGCCTTCTGTCGAACATTTTAAAGCATTGGCAGTACCCAGAAATTACTTAAATGTCTGTAAAACACTCACCTAAACAATTGACATCACTTGACCACATTAACTAGGGCTAACAGTCCTTCTAATTGCCACATCCCCACCAGCTTCTAGATGGTAATGGCCCAGCTGGTTTCAATGGGTCTCCATGGTTACACTCATGCTCTGGTTTCCATGGTTACATTTCCAGGTCTCTCATAGGAGTTACATATATATTTGAAATTTAAAAGGATTTTTTTTCTTTCTTGTCAGCCTACACAGAAATCTAGGGTTCAGAGGTCCAGGATGAAAGTTTCAGTGACCTCTTGGGAGGTTACCAAGGAGGAAATGGTAATATTTGTGACAGCTGTGATCTATCATGGAATAAGGAAGAGAGCACTCAATTGGGAAATACTGTGGAGCTAGAATGATAACCCAATATTTTATGAGCCTTAGTGTTTTGCTTAATTAGAGGAGGCGGAAAAACTGGACTGAGAAAAGAATACCCTATTGTTTGGATACATGGCTCCCAGCGCTAGGAGTAGGATGTTGTCCAGAGATGGGGGTGGGGGGCTTTCTATTGAAGTCCCTTTAAAATGATCATTTCTTTACCATAACAGTGTTGTGGCCTCCCTGCACTCATTCCTCCCTCAGTCCTCATTCAAATCATTTTTCTTGGCTTACTCGGCTAAAGCAGGCATCTGCTACAAGGTACCAGCCGGGGCAAGACTTAGTTGGCTCCGGCTTTTCTCGGCGGAGGGAGACAGGTGGAACTCTAGTGCCGCCTTGTGGAATCGCTAACATTTCCAGGTCTACCTCACCTAGAAAAGAACTCAAGTTTGTACTGTTAGGATTTAAGAAGACTTTCTCCATTTCTTTTAATGTATCCATCCCTCCCTCCCTCCTACAAAGTTCACTGAGTATCTATTATATTTCAGCTAGGCCCTAGAAATAATACTAATACAAAAGATAGGATATTGCCTTCACGCAGTTCATAATCCGTTGCAAAACAAGTAAACAGCGCATAACAGTCCCAAGAGCTAATGGAAGAATGACAGTGGGGTGACCTACTGGCTGGGAAAGCTGTGTAAGCTATCGAGCTAGGGGCCTTTTTTTTTTTTTTTTGAGGGAGTCTCGCTCTGTCGCCCAGGCTGGAGTGCAGTCGCACGATCTCGGTTCACTGCAAGCTCCGCCTCCCGGGTTCACGCCATTCTCCTGCCTCAGCCTTCCTAATAGCTGGGACTACAGGCGCGCGCCCGCCACCACGCCTGGCTATTTTTTTGTATTTTTAGTAGAGTCGGGGTTTCACCGTGTTAGCCAGGATGGTCTCGATCTCCTAACCTCGTGATCTGCCGGCCTCGGCCTCCCAAAGTGCTAGGATTACAGGCATGAGCCACCGCGCCCGGCGCTAGAGAACATTTTTGAGCTGGGTCTTCAAGGATTCTGTCCCTCAAGGTTGAAAGATGAAATAATGCAATGTTTTATCAGTAGGGGGACTTTGTCATCAAAATAAACCAGAGAATAACATGTAGTAATTCCTGTCTTCATTTAGGTTCATATGCTTGCTACCTTCCAAACAGCTCTTCAGGCAGAAGCAGGTACACAGACAGTGCTGGCGGAAAAACCTGAGAAGCAGCTATCAGTATTAGACCACATACGAAAGCCTCTTCGGGACATTTGCAAGCATCCAGAGCAGAGATGGTAGGCACCTCCTTGCAGGAACAGGCTCTTCACTGGGCAGGGGGAGGGAGGGAAGGGGTGTGAGGAGGGTGGCAGAAATGAATGACTTTAAGTAGGTGAGTAATGTCATCAAATTTGAATTTTACAGATTTGTTTCTATGGCATTACGTTCTTAACCAAGTTCCAGAATGACTCTCCGGCCCTGGATTGGGCGACTTTGTTGTCTGTGCTTCTGATTCATAGAAAGAGGGAATATTAGGGGAAGAGGTTGGAATATGACAGCTATACTTACTGGTTTCTTGTGCCTTCTCCCAGAGATATTCTTTGCTTCTATAGGCAGATTTTGATTTAAAGCAAATATTGAATTATCCTTTGGTCCTGCTGTGTGTGTTTGAAGTGCTCGCGGATCATCCAAGTGGAGAGAGCACCGAGTAGGCCCTCCTTACTTTTTTTTTTGGTAACACATGATTCTACACTTCAGTATTCTTATTATATCTTGGAGATGGATATATAGAACTGACTCATTCTTTTAAATAGCAGTGTAGAATAGAGGTAGAATGGAGGTAACAATGTATTTAACCAGGCCTCTTTTAATGGGCTTTAAAAGGCCACACCACCGGGTGTGGTGGCTCACGCCTGTAATCCTAGCACTTTGGGAGGCCAAGATGGGCAGATCACGAGGTCAGGAGTTCAAGACCAGCCTGGCCAATGTGGTAAAACCCCGCCTCTACTAAAAATACAAAAATTAGCTGGGCGCAGTGGTGCGTGCCTGTAGTCCCAGCTACTCAGGAGGCTGAGACAGGAGAATTGCTTGAACCTGGGAGGCAGAGGTTGTGGTGAGCCCAGATCGCGCCACTGTAGGGAGACAGAGCGAGACTCCATCTAAAAAAGAAAAAAAACAAAAAAGCCACACTAATTTATATTTGACTGTCAATGCATGAGAGAGCCAATTTCCCACTACCTGCTTTTGTGAATCGTGTTCAGATTCTTTGCCCATTTATCTATTAGCTTGCTGGTTCTTTTTTATTTTCTTATTTTTATCAGCTGTTTAAATGCTAAGAACTTAGGCTTTTGTCTGTGATGTGAGTTGCAAATATTCATGTCTTTTGATTATGCTTTCTATGCAGAATTTTTCTTTAATATATACCAATTTATCAATGTTTTATTTTTAAATTTATTTTTATTTTTATTTTTTGAGACGGAGTTTTGCTCTTGTTGCCCAGGCTGGAATGCAATAGTGTGATCTTGGCTCACTGCAACCTCTGCCTCCTGGGTTCAAGCGATTCTCCTGCCTCAGCCTCCTGAGTAGCTGGGATTACAGGCATGCGCCACCATGCCCTGCTAGTTTTGTATTTTTAGTAAAGACGGGGTTTCTCCATGTTGGTCAGGCTGGTCTCGAACTCCTGACCTCAGGTTATCCACCTACCTGGGTCTCCCAAAGTGCTGGGATTACAGGCACGAGCCACCCTGCCTCGCGAGCCACCCTGCCCGGCCTATCAATGTTTTATTTTAGGGCTTCTGGATGTTATGTTATTCTTAGAAAGTTCTTGCCAATTTCAACATTACCGAAAAGACTTTTATTTTGTATCATATATATGTGATACAGTTGCAGTGGCTCCGCCTGTAAACCCAGCAGTTTGGGAGGCCAATGCAGGTGGATCACTTGAGGTCAGGAGTTCAAGACCAGCCTGGGCAACATGGTGAAACTCTGTCTCTACTAAAAATACAAACATTAGCCAGGTGTGGTGGCGTGCGCCTGTAATTCCAACTACTGGGGAGGCGGAAGCAGGAGAATTGCTTAAACCTGGGAGGCGGAGGTTGCAGTGAGTTGATGTGGCGCCACTGCACTCCAGCCTGGGAAACAGAGCGAGACTCTGCCCCAGGGGAAAGAAAGGTTTAATCTATCTGGAGTTTATTTTGATTTACAGAGATCTAATGTATTTTTTTCCCCCACATGTCTACCCAGTAGTCTCAACACCATTTATTGAGTAATCTATTTTTTTCCCACTGATTTGAAATGCTATCTTTATATATATGTCTGTTTCAGAATTTTCTATGGCAGATGAGTTTTTTGTTTGTTTGTTTGTTTGTTTTTGGGTGGAGTTTCGCTCTTTTTGCCCACACTAGAGTGCAATGGCGTGATCTTGGCTCACTGCAACCTCCACCTCCTGGATTCAAGTGATTCTCGTGCCTCAGCCTCCTGAATAGCTGCGATACAGGCGCCCACCACCACACCTGGCTAATTTTGTATTTTTAGTAGAGATGGTGTTTCACCATGTTGGTCAGGCTGGTGTTGAACTCCTGACCTTAGGTGATCCGCTCGCCTCTGCCTCCCAAAGTACCGGGATTACAGGCATGAGCCACTGTGCCTGGCCAGCAGATGAGCTTTAAGTCCATCTAACCTTGTCTTTGAAGGAAGGTTCAATGTTCCTGTTCTTTTGTTTTTGAATGTGGGAAAGCCTTGAGCATGTTTGTATGTGGAGGGAGAAAAGCAAGTGGTCAGGGAGAGGTGCAGAGGAGACCCAGATGGGACCGTGAAGGGAAGATGGGTTATGACAATTAGTGAGAGATCCAAAGAGCTGACAGCTGTGCCTACCTCAGCAAGGGAGGAGGTAGGAGCTCTGCATTTTTCCAGGAGTTTTTGGTATAATGTGAGGTAGCATCCCTTCCAGCTCACAAAGCCCTCTCTCCCAGTTTGTCAGTCCCCTCCTGGGCTGTCTTCTTCACTACCTGCTCTGGAATTTGTGTTAATCACTTCAGTGTTCCTAATGGGCATTCTACTCTCTTAAGTTCCCAGCCTGGATCAATGCTGCAATTCACCTTGGCACAGTTGTGCTGACAGACATGTCACACTACGGTTTCTAACCCAGGCCAGGAACTTTAGCTCTGTCATCTGCTTGTCTTTGTTTTGGTCCCTCTCACTTGGGCTGCAGTGTTTATTCCAAATCTTTAAGCACCCCGTGTCCCCCCAATTCCTTACTGTCAGCAAATGACCTGTCTTACCTGGGTAGAATGCAGGCTCTCCGCCTGGTGTCTGTGGTTGGGATTCAGCAGGTTGAGAAACTGAAATTATATGTTAAAATTTGGGTAATGTTCTTTTTTTTTGAGACAGGATCTTGCTCTGTTGTCCAGGCTGGAGTGCAGTAGCGTGATCTTGGCTCACTGCAGCCTCTGCTTCTGGGTCTCAAGTGATCCTTTCACCTCAGCTTCCCAAGTACCTGGGACCACAGGCATGCGCCACCACCCTCAGGCAGTTTTATTTTATTTTATTTTTTTGTACAGATGAGGTCTCACTATATTGCCCAGGCTGGTCTCGAACTCCCAGGCTCAAGTGATCCTCCTGTCTTGGCCTCCCAAAGTGCTGGGATTATAGGCGTGAGCCATGGCTCCCGGCCTAATGTGCCTTTTTGAGAGAAAAACATTGGTAGTTTTCATCAGATTGTCAACATCCTGAAAGGTTAAAAACCTCTACTCCAACAAATTGAATATGCCAGGTCTGATCTCCCTTAACTTTCTGGCCCTCTACTTCCAAGCTTATCACTGCCCATAACCATCTTTATCTGCTCTTCTCTGGGTTTGGAGGAGGTTGGGCCCCTCTCCCTGTTTATTCTGGGCCAACCCACTATACATCATCCTGTAACTCTAGCCTTCCCGTTGGATCTGTTTTCTCTCTTAGTTACTCCAGCTCTCCCCTTCCATTGCTTCTTCTTTTCAAACTGGCTTCTCTCACTCCTGAATGTACACATAACAACAGCAGCAACAACACCCACAGGCCACTTTGTATTCCTCTCTCGTTCTGTCTGTTTTCAGCTCATCTCTAGCCATTCCTAGTGCCTCTCCTCTGTGACCTCAATCAGTGTCCTGCGCATATCTCTGTTCTCTGCTCACCACATTGCATAATTAGAGCTATTTCTGTGTCTCTGTCTCTCCCATTGGACTGTGAAGCTGAGGACCATGTCTTTTATATTTATCTCCAGACCAGTCTCACACATTGTGGAAGCTCGATAA
The DNA here is from genome assembly GCF_000001405.40 of Homo sapiens. Taxonomy (NCBI): domain Eukaryota; kingdom Metazoa; phylum Chordata; class Mammalia; order Primates; family Hominidae; genus Homo; species Homo sapiens. The sequence goes on along the minus strand of NC_000013.11, from coordinate 45,042,605 downwards.
ATATTTGTAGACAAGAACTACTCATCAATTCAGTTGTTCTCTAGAACTTCTTTTCTTACCATGTTTTTTCTTGAGGTATCAAAACTAGAATAAGAAACAGGTTTTTGTTTTTGTTTTTTGAGACAGAGTCCTGTTCTGTCGCCCAGGCTGGAATGCAATGACACGATCTCAGCTCACTGCAACCTCTGCCTCCTGGGTTCAAGTGATTCTCATGCCTCAGCCTCCTAAGTAGCTGGGATTACAGGCGTGAGCCACCATGCCCAGCTAATTTTGTGTTTTAGTAGAGATGAGGGTTTCACCATGTTGGCTACACTGGTCTCAAACTCCTGACCTCAGGCGATCCACCAGCCTTGGCCTCCCAAGGTGCTGGGATTACAGGTGTGAGCCACTGCATCCAGCCAAGAAACAGTTTTCTAGATAGATCCACCATAGGTTTGTCCAAGTGTAGCACTTTTTTTTTTCTTTTGTATTTCTTTTCTCTCTTCTATTATCCAATATTCTACTAGCTTTTTTTTTGGCTATAGCTACACCCCCCCCGCTTTTTTTTGCATTATTACTGAGAACTCAAAACTCACACTCTAATAGGTATAATTTGTATTATTAAATGCCTAAATTAATGTCATTATTGCTCACACTGAAGTTCAACTGCTTACTAGGCAGTATAAACAAAGCTCATTTAGGGATATTTACCTATGTAAGAAAAAAAATACCTTCCCTTTTTTTTTTTTGAGACAGAGTCTTGCTCTGTCACCCAGGCTGGAGTGCAGTGGCATGATCTTGGCTCACTGCAACCTCCGCCTCCTGGGTTCAAGTGATCCTCCTGCCTCATCTGCCCAAGTAGCTGGGACTACAGGGATGTGTCACCATGTTTGGCTAATTTTTGTATTTTTGGTAGAGATGGGGTTTTGCCATCTTGGCCAGGCTGGTCTTGGACTCCTGACCTCAAGTGATCCCCCTGCCTCTGTCTCCCAAAGTGCTGGGATTACAGGTGGGAGCCACCACGCCTGCCCTTCTATTCTCTTTAGAATAATACATTTACAAGTTATCTAATGGCCATGTATGGGAGGCCAGCAGGATTATAGCATCACATTTGATTGCTAATTATAAACAACCATTTATTAAATACCTACCTCTCTACAATGCTTTAACAATTCCTTTTCGAACTACTCTATGTCAGGCTTTTTACTGATTGTAGTTTCTTTCTTCCTCTTTATGTTTTTACCTACCCAGAATACATTATCTTCTTTTGGTAACAATACCTCCAGTTTCCTTTAGGGAAACATTGTGGTACACAGAGGCTAGAGAACTGCAGAACAAGCTGAGGAATCCAGTGGCCTACCAGTGCCCTCAACCAATGATAATGGTTAGCTGGGAGCAGCTAACTCTAGACCCCTTGAGCTTGAAGTGACGGTGAATCTGGTTTTGACTTTGGCTAACCTCTCTCCAAGCCTCCTGTCATTGGACATCTCATATCCAAGAGACACGATTAATTGGCAGAGTTAAGCAGGCTTCCTTGCTATTGATTGGGTTGGAGCTGGTAATCCTTCATATTTTTTTCATTTCCCTTTCTTTTTTTTTTTAGATGGAAAGGCTAAATAAATCATTTTGAATTGTACTGTGATTTATAAATTGCAGCAGAATGTGGTGAATAAACTGTGACAGCTCATTTCTCATCTACCTTGTTTGTGCTAAATGTACTTCTTGATGTCAGAGGATGTGATGGAAGCAAATCAGGAGGGAGGAGCAGGCATTTTAGAAACAACGCCATCTTACTGGGTGGCACCCACCCTGGCTGAGTCATCTCTGAAGCATGTCGATGTGTGCATGTGCCCCATCCCCTCTGCACATGAAAATTCATAACCATGAGACAGGACTAGCAGATATCTAATGAAAAGGGGGTTCACAATGGCCAGATGCTAACATTGGTAAACCTGAGATGAATGGACAGGTTAGGTGGGTGAGACCGCAGTTTGGTAAACACAATGTTGGTATTCTCATTAGAAAACTGGTGGGAATCAAAGGTGAGACGGAGCCATAGCATCAGATGTTTTTGCCTTTATAGTATGTGTAATCTTTGTTTCCAATGATAACATTTCCACTTTCTTTTAGGGAACTACCCTGCCAAGTTTTTGTTCTAGGTGGTTTAGATAGAGTTTAACCCACCCTTTGGCTCCATGGGTAGAGACAGGAACTAGCCTGGGCTATTGGGTGTTTTATCTCCTGTCCATGTGATTGATTTAGGGTGAACAAGTGACCAAAGATGAGCCAATCAGCATCAGTTCTTGGACTTTGGCAGGAAAGAGCAGCTTTCTTTTCACTGGTTGGTTAAACTGGCAGAACGTCACTTTAGACATGCTGCTATCAAGCTTGTCACTGTCTAGGAAGCCCACCTGAGGATGAAATTCACACAAAGGAAGGCAGGCTGAGGAAGAGAGACAGAATCCTGTGACACATTTTGGGCACCCAGATCCAGTTGTGCCTAAAGCCAGGGCTACAGTCTGGACTTTTCATTACATGAGTGAATAAATCTTTATCTTCTTTTTTCTTTTTTTTTGCTTCCTTTTTTTCCTTTTAACTTGTTTTTGTTTTTTATTATTTTTATTTAAAAAAAAATCTTTTATTTTTAATTAGTTTCTTGAGAAGGGGTCTCACTCTTGTCGCCCAGGCTGGAGTCCAGTAGCGTCAACATGGCTCACTGCAGCCTCAACTTCCCGTCTCAGTCTCCCAAGTAGCTGAGATTACAGGCTCACACCACCATGTCCAGCTAATTTTTGTTTGTTTTTGTTTTTTTTTTTTTTGAGATGGAGTCTCACTCAGTTGCCCAGGCTGGAGTGCAGTGGCCCAATCTTGGCTCACTGCAACCTCCGCCTCCCCGGTTCAAGTGATTCTCCTGCTCAGCCTCCCAAGTAGCTGGGACTACAGGCACCTGCTACCACGCCCGGCTAATTTTTTGTATTTTTAGTGGAGACAGGGTTTGACCGTGTTAGCCAGGATGGTCTCAATCTCCTGACCTCGTGATCTGCCCACCTCGGCCTCCCAAAGTGTTGGGATTACAGGCGTGAGCCACCGCACCCGGTCCCTAGCTAATTTTTAAAAATTTTTTGTACAGACGTGGTCTCCTATGTTGCTAAGGCTGGTCTTGAACTTCTGGCCTCAAGCAGTCCTCCTGCCTTGGCCTCCCAAAGTGCCGGAATTACAGGTGTGAGCCACTGTGCCTGGCCACATGAGTGAATAAACTATCTTTTTTTGATTAAGCCAATTTGAGTTGAGTTGCTATCACTTACTGCAAAGAGTCCCAATACAGGAATCTTCTGAGGTTGTAAGAAATAAGTGAGCCTGTTTACCAGAGTTGTCTGAGTGCATCTAATAGCCAGGGGGCTACAATAACGACACCATCATTTATTGCTGGATTTTGTGCTAATTATTTAAATATGTCATCTCATGTAATCCTGGTAACATCTTGTGAGTTATTATTGCCCATTTAAGAGACAAATAAATTACAGCTGAAATAGGTTAAGAACCTTTCTCAGGTTTACAAAGCTAGTGTTTACATAGGAATTGACTGCAGGCTGCTGTCTCCAAAGTTTATACCATGGTTAACTGGCATGGTATAACTTCCGTATGTTAGTCAGGGCTTAGTTGCAAACAAAGTAGTATACTCTGATTAGTTTAAGCTGACCAGAAGTTATATAAGCAGGAATATATCCACCCACACTGCAATGCTCCTCTAGAGAAACCCCAGTCTCACAGCCACAGCAGTTGACACCACTGATGCTTGGGACTGGGTGCCAGACATGCCGCCTCTGCTGCTGTTGAAGATCAGTCCGTGTCCACTAATATGCCCATCAGAAGACGATTCTGGGAATGCCAACTTCTTCCCTTATCTCTTGGAATACCAACTGCACGTGGGTGCATCTGATTGGCAGAGGCCAGGCCACATACTTGTGCTCTAGCAGCAAGGGAGCCTAGGAAAATGAGTTTTGCCTTCTATCTTTTGAATCAAGAGGCTCAGTGGCCACAATCTGACAACCATCCAACATCTTTGATTCTAGAAATCTTAATCTTGATTCTATTAATGTTAGACTCTAAACTGTGGTTTGACTGCAAACATTTTAAGCTTTAAGAACCTCTAGAAATGTCATGTTCAGACCAAACCAAGTTGGATTCTCATACTTCAGGGTACACAGAATCACCTGGGCAGCTTGCCCAAAATAGACGGCCCAACCATCTATTGGGCCCAACCCCAAACCTATAGATGGAATCAAAACTTCTGATTGGCTGGGCATGGTGGCTCACACCTGTAATTCCAGCACTTTGGGAGGCTGAGGTGGGCAGATCACTTAAGACCAGGAGTTTGAGACTAGCCTGGCAAACATGGTGAAAACCCCGTCTTTACTCACAGACAATAGCCTGGTGTGGTGGTGCATGCCTGTAGTCCCAGCTACTCAGGAGGCTGAGGCAGGAGAATCGCTTGAGCCTGGGAGGCAGAAGTTGCAGTGAGCCAAGATGTGTACCACTGCACTCCAGTCTGGGCAACAGAATGAGACTCTGTCTCCAAAAAAACAAAACAAAACAAAATCCTCTGGAAGGTTAGGGCATCTATGTTTGTAATAAGCTCCCAGGGGATTCTGATTCACATCAAAGTTGGAAAGACATCGATTTTGCTGACTAAATTGGTCATCATTTTTGTTCAACTATCACCTTCCATTCACCTAAGCCTAGATATTACTCAGTTCTGGTAAATACTCAATAAAGATGCAGCCCCACTGTGTGTTCACATAAGCTCACTGGAAAGACTATAAATGTGATTTTAAAAAGCTCTTTATGATTTGCTGGTAGAAAGAAATATTCTGAAACCATCTTTTCATGTCATTTTCTTAGAGGCAACACAGTATAATGGATTGATTAGCATCTTACAAACTGACAGGTTAAAAGATAGTTTTAAATCTTTATTGATAAACTGTCATTTGACTGCAAGCATTTTAAACTTTAAGAATCTCTGTTTTCAAATATGACAATTTTATTAAGCAATATACAAGGCTGTTAGGGAAAAACACTAATTTAAATTCAGTTAAAATGAATACTAAAGAATAAGCACAATTTCTAGATTTATTTGCTGGTCAATATTAAGTTAATTATGTCTGTACCTGTTATAAAAATTAGCAATCTTAGGCTGATGATAAATTGCTTTTGTTAAGTGTGTAGTGTGAATTAGGTATTATAGTATTATTTATCCTTAGGTTAGCAAAATGTGTTGCTTTCAGCCATTACCTAAAAAGACAAAAATCATCATATTATATACATAAGCAACTTCATTTGTTGTTTTGTACCTAGTGATAAAAAAGGAACAAGTTTATTTTCATCTCAGAGCTCTGATTGTATGAAGATAAAACTAGGACTAAATACTTTATCATATAGCCTGTTTGGCCAACATTACCCCATCATAAAGAAAACAAATGGAAGTGCTTTAAAGGGCAGGACAGCGGTAAGTAATCAGAGATATGAAAATGAACTTTGAAATACTTTTCAATATTCTTGAATAGGTTCTCGAAATTTGTCTAGATCTCAAAACAATGATGCACCCTTGTAGCTTTTATTGTCTTTCCTACCTAGTTCTGCAGAATTTTATTGCTTTCTTTTTTTCTCTTTTAGAGATGGGGTCTCTCTGTCTCCCTGGCTGGAGTGCAGTGGCATGTTCATAGCTCACTGCAGCCTTGAACTCTTGGGCTCAAGTGATCCTCCTGCCTTAGCTTCCTGAGTAGCTGGGACTACAGATGCATGCCATGCCACCATGCCCAGATAATTTTTAATTTTTATTTTTTTGTAGAGACAGGGTCATGCCACGTTGCCCAGGTTGGTCTTGAACTCCTGGCCCTCAAGTGATCCTCCTGTCTTGGCCTCTTGAAGTGCTGGGATTACAGATGTGAGGCATTGTGCCTGGCCTTTTGTTTCTTTTTAACATTCTTTTACCTACTGTTATCTTTTCTTTGTCAGCAAATACAGAAACTGGTATCTAAAAGTAAACTCAGTTGCTTCTGAAGTTAATACCTTAGCTGCCAAAGCACAGTTATCTAAGACCTCAAAGTAACATTAACTGGTTAATTCCCCCAAGGAAAATAGTCATAAGGTAGAGACCATCCTTTGCAGATCATCTATAGCCCACCAGTGCTCCCTTTTTGTGCTCCCTGCCTTTTCAATGTTCTGCATTCCTGAGGCATTCAGTCTTAAATGGCCCCAAGTCAGCCAGGGACAAGGAACTACAATCTGACTATTCCTCTTAGGGACTTATCTATTTTAAAAGGTGCTGAAGAGAGGGCAAAGTGCAATGAAACTGAATTATCAATGGCAGTAGAATCTTGATCACTGTAGCAACTGGCTGGTAGATGTTTGAAGGGTGAATGCTTTTAGGCATTCACTCAAGAGAAGTGACAATCCATTCTTCAAGAGGCAAGTATTGCTGGTGCTGGTGTTTGTTGCTATGCAAAGTAAAGTGATTATGTATTTAGGAATATATAATAGGAAAACAGAACATATAACAAAGGAGAGGGGATTGTTTATAGGAACACATGTAAGTGCGGTGGTTATTATTTTTTTAAATTTCTTTTTAGAGTCAGGGTTTCACCATGTTGGCCAGGGTAGCCTTGAACTCCTGGCCTCAAGCAATCCTCCCACCTTGGCCCTCCAAAGTGCTGAGATTACAGGTGTGAGCTACCTTGTCTGCCCATAAATGCAGTGGTTCTTAAACTTGAATTTACAAAGAATGGCCTGGGATAATTGTTAAAAGTGAAGATGCTCTGATTCTAACCCCAAAGATTCCTATTCAATAGGTTTGGGCCTGGAGATCTGCATTTAAATGAACTCCTAGGTGATTCTGATAGAAATAGTTTAAGGATTACAAATTAAGAGACAGACTGATCTACTGTATTTTTCAGTCCCTAAGTAAAAACATTCTGCTATGTCCAGAATTCTAGAGACTTGACTAATAATTGTTGAATTCATCTGGTGCTATTCAGTTCTTAAAAAGAATGTAAATAACCCTCAATAATTAGGCCCAGGAGGAAACAAGTAATTTACAACAACTTCTTAAAAAAACAGCTATTCTTAAATATTTATGGTTTTGATGATAAAGTATAGGCTCAATGTTCAGATCAATGTATTAATGTTCTGATAACTAATGACAGTTATTAGTGGAGTTACATACAGGGTGTTTGCAGAGCAAGGGCCTAAGAGTGAATTCAGACACATTTGGGCAATTCTGGAAGGCCAGCAGAGTAGACCTTTGGTGTAAGAACCATCTGGCCAACTCCAATGTCATGTTTATAACTTGGTTAAGAAGTATTCTCCATTGGAGGCCGGGGGCGGTGGCTCACGCCTGTAATCCCAGCACTTTGGGAGGCCAAGGCGGATGGATCAACAGGTCAGGAGATCGAGACCATCCTGGCTAACACGGTGAAACCCCGTCTCTACTAATAATACAAAAAATTAGCCGGGCGTGGTGGTGGGCGCCTGTAGTCCCAGCTACTGGGGAGGCTGAGGCAGGAGAATGGCGTGAACCCGAGAGGCGGAGCTTGCAGTGAGCCGAGATGGCGCCACTGCACTCCAGCCTGAGAGACAGAGCCAGACTCCGTCTCAAAAAAAAAAAAAAAAAAAAAGACCAGCCTGGCCAACATGGCGAAACCCTGTCTCTACTAAAAATACAGAAATCAGCCGGGTGTGGTGGCGGGTGCCTGTAATCCCAGCTATCAGGAGGCTGAGGCAGGAGAATCACTTGAACCTGGAAGGCGGAGGGTGCAGTGAGCCGAGATTGCGCCATTACACTCCAGTCTGGGCGACAGAGGGAGACTCTGTCTCAAAAAAAAAAAATAAAAAAAAAAAAAAAGAAATAAAAATAAAAAAGTATTCTCCATTAGGAAGCTTCCTTTCACCTCCCAGGACTGGGTTAGATGTTCCTATATAGGCTTCATAGTATCAGTAGACACTATGAAGACCCAACCCTGAACCATCATATTTCTCACAATATACCCGCCATACTGGAGCAGTTCCTCAAACACCAAAGAACTAAAGCTTCAGGGCATTTGCATATGTGATCAGTCACTTTTCACACTGCTAGCTTTTCATTTTTTTAGGTTTCAGCTTAAATGACACATCTTCAGAGACTTCTTATCACTCTAACTAGATAGAATTCCCATCCTCAACTACTTGTTCTAGTCTTTCACTACCGTGTTTTCTTTCTAACACCTATCAACAATGTGCAATTACTTGATCTTTTTTACTCAGATCTTTTTCTGCTCTCCCACTAGAATATAAAATCACAAATCAAGGAATCTGCTTTACTTATCTGTGAATACCCTATAAGGGACCAGCACAGAATCTTCTCCCAGGGAGGAAGACTATGCCTGCCTGGTTCACCATTGTGTTCTTAGCACCTAGCATACACTGAGGCATTTAATAAATGTTTATTGAATAAATGAACAAACATATAAGTTCCTCCAGAAATACTTATTATAGGGAAATGATCTGAGAAAGCAAAGGCTCTCTTTTTGACCCTACATGTTCAGATTCCTATCATTCAATGCTTAGCTTTGATGTTGCAAAGCATCTCTTTTGGTCACTTTCAATTTGGGAGTTAGAGAGACCAAACCAAACCAAACCAAAGAAACTCATACTCAAACAATCCAGAAAAAACCTACCCACTGTTACAGGTCCTGTGATATGAAGAACAATGGAATCTTGGTTATAACCCAGTGTCACAGTGCTCTCAAGAACATTTCCAGTTTGTCTGTCTTGTGTTTCTAAATAAACAGATAATATCTGTATAGTTATATTAGATAATGAAAACCTGGCAAGCGAGTTGGAGTTAAAGTTGTTGTTGTTTTTTACAATAGCCTACAATGATCTGGTTGGCCGGAATAAACCTTTACAGAATATTCTCTTTACCAATACTGCCTGCTTCAGAAAAGCTAATAATGTTAAAACAAAAATAAATACTACAACTTCTCAGATATAGATAAAACTTTATTTATACATAAAAAATTACACTTTAGGAATTCTGTTCCTAAAAGCATTCTCTTAGTAAAGCTCAAAATGAAAAGGTTGAAAGGGGCAGTGAACAGCTTTTTAACTGTGTACATACTGCAGTCACAAGCAATTTTTTAAGCTGCAAAAATCATCTAAGTAGCATGAGCTTTTGAAACTGCAGACTTAAATCTCATGATGGCATCAAAAGCCAAAGCGAAATAAATCAATATTCTGAAATAGAAGACTTGGCTGTCGATGTTAATTGGGTGCTATCTCCAACCACTTTCCATCATGTTACTTCTTCCTCTTAGGTGTAACTCAAGAAATAACTTTTTTCTAATAATACCTATCACTGCATGGAAAAAATGAAAAGAGAAGTGATAAGGGCCTCCTATTAGTAGTTTAATATTAACATTATCTACCCTCAATAAGAAACAAAAAATGTCATAATGTTTTAGGATAAAATTACTTATACAATAACCATTGATCTATTCTGAAGCATGTAAGCCTTGGTACCATGCAAATCTCAACCTCACTTTTTTTTTTTTTTGGAGATGGAGTCTCGCTCTGTCGCCCAGGCTGGAGTGCAGTGGCGCGATCTTGGCTCACTGCAACCTCCGCCTCCTGGGTTCAAGCAATTCTTCTGCCTCAGCCTCCCGAGTAGCTGGGACTACAGGCGCACACCGCCATGCCCAGCTAATTTTTTGTATTTTAGTAGAGACAGGGTTTCACCATGTTGCCCAGGCTGGGTCTCAAACTCCTGAGCTCAGGCAATCCGCCTGCCTTGGCCTCCCAAAGTGCTAGAATTACAGGCGTGAGCCACCGCACCTGGCCAATCTCAACCTCACTTCTAAATAAATCGTTAATACAAAGAATCATTCAGGCCAGGCGCGGTGGCTCACGCCTGTAATCCCAGCACTTTGGGAGGCTGAGGTGGGCGGATCACCTGAGGTCAGGAGTTCGAGACCAGCCTGACTAACATGGTGAAACCCCGTCTCTACTAAAAATACAAAAATTAGCTGGGCACGGTGGTGGGCGCCTGTAGTCCCAGCTACTTGGGAGGCTGAGGCAGAAGAATCGCTTGAACTCGGGAGGTGGAGGTTGCAGTGAGCCGAGATCACGCCACTGCACTCCAGCCTGGGCAGCAAGAGTGAGACTCCATCTCAATAACAAAAAACAAAACAAAGAATCATTCAAGGTTAAGATGATAAATTAAATGTCAAGTGGTTGCTACATCTAAACAAGATCTACATCTAAACAAGGTTGCTAGCATCTAAAAACTCTTAGATCAGGGCTTTTCTCTTTTTTCTTTTTCTTTTTTTTTAGAGCAAGACTTAATTTACCATGTTGTGCCTAATACAAAAAGGATTTCATTTATCTGGTAAGGCAGTCTTAGTAGGGGTGTAGCCACCATCTCTCGTGTTTTGTTCACCCCTTACTTCCCCACTTGCTAAACCCAATAACCCCACCGTTTACTTACCAGTAATGTGGTTACTATTTGAAGCATCTAAATCTATTGGAGATGACAATTTAGAGAGCTGGACAAAAATCATATAATTTCAAGTATAACAAACTTAAATGGCATATTCAATGGTAAGAACATTAAAAGTATCTGCTCCATTATATTAACTTAGTGTTGCTCTTTTTTTCTTCTTCATTTTTAAATTTCAAAAGAGGCCACATTCCTATGACACTTGGCCAAGAAATGTAGGAAATTAAAAAGTCCTTATTAAAATGTCTCCTGCCAGATGGAAAGGAGACTTGATTCAATTAGGCCTTTTGCATCTTTGGAAGTGGGGAGGGGATGAAATAAAGACACCTTTCCGTCCTGTGCAATAACTACTTTGTCCTTTTGTTGTCAATATTCTTGTATTGGGATTAGTCTCTCTGTGGGGCAAAACAACCTCTGAAACTGGCCTTACATTTTGTTAAAATTATCCTCAGGTTGGCACAAAAGAGCATTATCTCCAAGGCCAGTAAGGTAGTAACTCCTGGAAGCAATAGGCGGAAAGCAGAGGTTTCTCTCCTTCATGCCAAGGTCATGGTCACTCCAAAGGTGAGGGATGAAACAGTAAATATATAATACAGAAATATCCCTATTCTCTTTAAATGAGGAAAACAAAGAAAAGTAAGTATCCAAAGATAACAATTTTACTTTAAAAAATGCAAATTTCTCAAAAATATATGTTAAGAATTTACATAAGGAAGAGGAGCTACAAAATACTTTTTTCCTTTCATTGGGAAAAAATTATAACAAAATTAAATTAATGCAATGGAGACACTCTTGTACAAAATTTTGTGTTCAGAAAATACTGCTCATTAAAAATGACATTTTTAGTCAAAAGGTAGCTCTGTTCAATTTTGAGTACACAAGAAGCTTTTTCAATTTGCTTAGGAGAAAAATTCATCTATTTATTTACTTATTTATTTAGAGATGGAGTTTCACTCTTGTTGCCCAGGCTGGAATGCAATGGTGTGATCTTGGCTCACTGCAACCTCCGCCTCCTAGGTTCAAGCAATTATCCTGCTTCAGCCTCCTGAGTAGCTGGGATTACAGGCACCCGCCACCAGGCCCGACTAATTTTTATATTTTTAATAGAGACAGGATTTCACCATGTTGGTCAGGCTGGTCTTGAACTCCTGACCTCAGGTGATCCACCCACCTCGGCCTCCCAAAGTGCTGGGATTATAGGTATGAGCCACTGCGCCCAGCTAATTCATCTTTTTAATAGCAATGCTCCTTTAGTTTGCTATGGTTTACACTGATGCTATGGAAAAAATATACTGTACTGCTATTATTAGAGGAAGAATAATTTGTACCATCATATAAACAATATACTCAATTTTCATAAAGCTTACATGAACTGGGAATCAGAATATTTTTCCATTAAAAATTTGTGTCTTGGCCAGGCATGGTGGCTGATGCCTGTAATCCCAGCATTTTGGGAGGCCGAGGCAGGTAGATCACCTGAGGTCTGGAGTTCGAGACCAGCCTGGAACAATATATAGTGAAACCCCATCTCTACTAAAAAATACAAAAATTAGCTGAGCATGGTGGTGCACGCCTGTAGTCCCAGCTACTTGGGACACTGAGGCAGGAGAATCGCTTGAACCCAGGAGGCGGAGGTTGCAGTAAGCTGAGATCACGCCACTCTACTCCAGCCTGGGTGACAGAGCAAGACTCCATCTCTCAAAAAAACAAAAATAAACAACAACAAAAATTTGTGTCTCATCAAAACTAGAATACTAGTGGAACAATTGGGATTAATCTGCAAGAAAATATAACTTATAGAATTGGCATTTATTTAACAATAGTTTAATAGTTTAAATAGAATTTCTCATCTTATAAATTTATCATCTTAAGAGGCAGTGCTTAAAGCATTACAAACTTATAATACTCCCAATTAGGGGGGTTATGATTATAAATTTTCCATTTCCATTTTTGTATTCAGGGATTATTAAATTTTTAAAAAAGGCTATTCATGACTGATATGACCCCCGTAAATTAGCTAAAAAAAAGATATGACCCCATAAATTAGCTACAAACTGTTAAGTACAGCATATAAATGGGTAAAGTAAAGTTGTCCCAAAGCAAAGTTCCAGGACTCAGAAAGCTTTGGTTGAGATCAGAGATTGAGTCTTACAGATTTCACAATGCTAACAGTTAATGGCATATCTTATCTTGATTGCCTCCCCTAGAAATACTAACTATTAAAGTTGGAAAAAGCAAAATAGTTTTTCCTTAGCACATGAGATAACCCAGAGATCTTTCTGACTTAAAAACAATTAAAAAATTAAATAACAAATAAAAAGCCCTGAGTGCTAAAACAAGCAAACTGATTACAAAACAGGCAAAACCCCATACCCTCTATTTTCAAGTAAATTTGTATTCACTGGCTGCAGTTTAAAGGGAAAAAACAACAAATTTCAAAGTCATGGATTTACAGTAAGGACTTGACACACTGACTCTAGGGCAGGTTAGGTATATTTCACAAGGAGGTCCAGGCTGTGGTAGAGATTTGGTGGTCAGTCCTGACCAGACCTTAGAGGGTACTTGTGAGACACCACAAAAATCAGGGGGAATGGAAGCCTCTTAAAATAATTATTTGAAGAAAAGCCCATAATTCCCCATACTTCCACAGAAGCTAAAGGCACATAGAATATTCTGTTCTACATAAAAAACATTCGTTTTATGTTTCCACATGACCTTAAAAGGACATACAGAACAAGGTAAATTTGTATGTTTTTTAAGATTAAAGTAATCTCTAATCTTAAGAAGCCAAAAACAAAGAAATAAAGATGGACAAAGAGTATTCTTCAACTTTTCTTCATTGCACAGGGAAATCCCCCTGAGGTAAGAATAAGAAAACTCAGTAAGTTGGAAAATATTTCTAAATTTAACATATTTTCCTCAAAAATCACATTTGAATATTGATATAGGTTTAATACAATTAAAAATCATAAAGATATTAAGAAGCAACCTCAGCTTTTATGTAATTTCTTTTCTTCTCTTTTTCTTTCTTTTTTGAGACAGAGTCTCTCGATCTTGTCACCTAGGCTAGAGTGCAGTGGCACGATCTCGGCTCACTGTAACCTCCACCTCCCGGGTTCAAGCAATTCTCCTGCCTCAGGCTCCCAAGTAGCTGAGATTACAGGCACGTGCCACCACACCTGGCTAATTTTTATATATATATATTTTTAATAGAGATGGGGTTTCACCATGTTGTTCAGGCTGGTCTCGAACTCCTGACCTCAGGTGATCCACCCGCCTCACCCTCCCAAAGTGCTGGGATTACAGGTGTGAGCCACTGGCCTCTTTTTTTTTTTCTAAAGAGACGAGGTCTCACTTTGTTGCCCAGACTGGAGTGCAATGGCACAATCACAGCTCACTGCTGCCTTGAATTCCTGGGCTCAAGGGATCCTCCCACCTCAGCCTGCTGAGTAGCTGGGACTATAGGTGTGCTCCACTGCACCTGGTTAGTTTTTTGTAGATACGGGGTCTCACCATCTTAAGCAGGCTGGTCTCAAACTACTGGGCTCAAGCGATCCTCTCACATTGGCCTCCCAAAGTGTTGGGATTACAGGCGTGAGCCACTGCACCCAGCTTTATGTAATTTCTTAATCACCATTCTGAACCCTTGTCAGATTGGGCTATGGATGAATATTGGAATAGTTTTGAACCTTAACTTATAGGGGACCTTTCTAAGCAACAAACATTTCCTAGTTGGGATTTTGTTTAACATACAAACAACCAGCAAGCCTTTCTTCATCTTTAATAAAGCATGCATATTTACTCAAGTATCAAACCACACCTTCCTTTGCCATTTCTCATAAGCTGAATTTTTATTTTAGCATTTTTAATAGCAATGCCCTATTAGGTTATTATGAGGGATTTTTCCAGTAAGACATATTTTTCATCCCACAAGGCTGACTTTTCAAAAATCACTGTTTACTTATAAAAATATAAAATTTTTAATCTATTATAAAAGGAAATAGATTTCAGCACAATTATTAAAGACAATAGAGTATTTAGAAAAGTTCACATTGATCAGTATTAAAATATACCTCACTGAAATATACTTACTTATAAAAACATATTGCCTTTGCCGTGTGAAAATCTGGTGTTTAGTTCTCTAGATTTTTTTATTAGGGCTTTTTTCTGAGCTTCATCAAACCGATTAACCTTGAGATCTTTATCACGGTCAAATGGTATTCTCTCTTGAGGCTTATTTTTGTCTTCAGCAGCCTTACTCTTTAACTTTTTATGATGTATGTCCATAAGAGATTCTGATCTTTTTGATTCCTGGAGAGAGCAGGAGAGCAGAAATAAAAACTATAGTTTGTATATAGATTATTGACAGAATATGACCATGAAACGGAATAGATAGTAATGGTGCACATTAAGGAGGGCTATTTACAAACCCCAGTAGTTTTTTTTTTTCCAAATCCAAGACAGCATTTATAAAGAAAATATGTAATGAAAAGCATTATGGTTATTTAAATACTAAACATCAGAGTACAAACCAAGAACGGGGTGTGAAAGAAAGAGCAATCATATTGTCACTTCATAGACGTGCTGGTCTTTGAAGGCTAAATGGACGGATAGGAAGGAAAGGCACTGTCAGGCTGAAGCAAAAACAAAGGTAAAAGAAAAGTAGTAAGAACACGGATGTGGCAAAATTCAAGGCCTGTGCAGCATATGTTGGCATGTTCCATAAGCTAAGATAATTTTTGTTCCTTTCAGTTTTCTGTCGTTCTCTTTTTCCCTTAATTCCCTCAATTTTTTTTCTTCTTAGCTAGGGTAGGTGTTCACATTTTCAGATGTATCTAGTAAGACAAAGTCTGAGCAAAAACAATTGATTTAATAAACTAGGGATTGACTACAGACCACTGAGTATTGACTAAGGTAAAGGATAGAACAGTCCTGGATGGAAGGAGCAGGGAGGGAGATGGAAAAGGAGATGCAGGTAGTACAGACCAGCAGCCTTCAATCTGGGGTATACGTATCCCTGGGTGCTACAGAGAGTAGAGTCTATGGAGTATGAAGGCATGGGTAATTTTAAGGCTATTTTTCCATGATTCTCTACTTCTTCATGTAGTCTTTCTTACAATTGATTTGGCCTAGACTACCTCTTGTGAAGATGCCATCCCTTTCATTATAGCCCTTTCTCATTTAACAAAGGAGGCTATAGAATATTGTTTAGGAAAGCAAAAGTCTTCAGGGTATGAGACAAAAAACCTAAAATACCGGTATGATTGAAACTTCCTTTAATCAAGAAACTGTAAACACAGGAGGGTTCTGTGTCCTTCTGTGTCTGAAACACATTTCTCCTAAGAGTGTAGTGTCCTTTAGAAATGGGTATTTTACCTTTTATTGAAATGTTCTGAATTCAGATATATTGAAGAGTGGGTAATGGAAGAAAAGACAATTTTTGCTTAACAACCATACCTCTTCCAGGCCCTTCCTACTGCCAAAGAATGTACTTGAGGGGGAAGGAGTGAAGAAACCTCAGTGAAAGCAAAATAACAAGGCACTAGTAAAAAATGCTGAAAGTGACAGTATCTTATTTTATCTAGAAGGTAAAATGGCACCTAGATCAGAATTCAGAGTGTCATATGAATGGTCATTAACACATTTATTTGAATGGAAAAAGTGAATCAGAAAGTAAGTCTGGTCTGGCTGATCTGACAACCAGAAATGACTTTGTCAATTAGATTATGTGACAGCCATGTCTCATAAATTAACTGAACTCAATCTGGAGCCATAACGTTTTAGCAGAATGTACAAAAGATACATTAGTAAATATGTATTTAAATTGACACTATTCACATTTTCCTATTTCTGCTCAATATACTGGGTTAAGCAAAGTACTTCTTAAGTATTTTATAAATATTGATAAAGTCTTTAGAAACAAACTGATTAGCAAATCAAGTGCTTTCCAATTCTTTATGTTCAACAAAATTGAAGGAGATAAAAAAAAAATCATCAAATATTGCTAAGAAAAAATAGGTAATCAAGGCTGGGCGCAGTGGCTCACGCCTGTAATCCCAGCACTTTGGGAGGCTGAGGTGGGTGGATCACCTGAGGTCGGGAGTTCGAGACCAGCCTGACCAACATGGAGAAACCCCGTCTCTACTAAAAATACAAAATTAGCCAGGCATGGTGGCGAATGCCTGTAAACCTAGCTACTTGGAGGCTGAGGCAGGAGAATCGCCTGAACCCAGGAGGTGGAGGTTGCGGTAAGCCAAGATCATGCCATTGCACACCAGCCTGGGCAACAAGAGCAAAACTCTGTCTTAAAAAAAAAAAAAAATAGATAATCAATACACGGAGCATGGAGAAATAAAACTTAAGTTCCAAATTCAGAAAAATCTGCATTGCAATGATGGTCCTGCTGCTTTCAACACTGGTAACAATGGGCAAGTAATTTAAGTCTCATTTTCCCAGCTGTAAAATGGTAGTAGTCATAATAATAATTTCTAAATTTTTGAGGGAGGGAGGGAGGAGTTAAATGATCTAATGAATACACAGGATTTAGTACAGTGTTGGCTATATAAGAAACAATAAATAAATGCTAAATGTTAGATATATTGAGCATTTACTATATCCTCACAACATCTCTGTAAATTAAATGTTGTTATTCTCATTATACAGACTTGGAAAGATCTTATTTCCAAGAAAACTTATTAATAAGATCAATGTGGAAAAAAAATCAAAGGAGATCCTAATGACTTGACAGTTAAGAGGCTATTAATAATACTTTTTGTAAACAGATCAATATGAGGTTTAAGAGAATAACTCAAATTGTTCAAAGAACTGAATGACATCGCTATAACAAAATGGGTTCATTCTCATTTACTTCTTCATAAAAACCTGGTTTCTTAACTCTTAGAAGTATAAAAAAACACAATTGATGGTAAAATCTGTCTTAATTTTTTTTGTTTCTATTTTTATTTCAATAGCTTTAGGGGTACAAGTGGTTTTTGGTTACATGGATGAATTGTACAGTGGTGAAGTCTGAAGTTTCAGTGTACCAGTCAACCAAGTAGTACACATTGTATGAAACCTGTCTTATTCTTGCAATAAGTAACATTCATCCAAAGACCAGGAACTAACTAGAAAAAAAGTCTTTCACTAAAAGAGTAAATTAAATTTACATTTTACTTTTTTACAGAGTCTTGCTCTGTCACCAGGCTGGAGGGCAATGGCGGGGTCTCGGCTCACTGCAAGCCTCCTGAGTTCAAGTGATTCCTGCCTCAGCCTCCTGAGTAGCTGGGATTACAGGTGCCCGCCACCACGCTCAGCTAATTTTTGTATTTTTAGTATAGAGGGGGGTTTCACCATGTTGGCCAGGCTGGTCTTGAACTCCTGACCTCACGATCTGCCTGCCTCGGCCTCCCAAAGTGCTGGGATTACAGGCATAAGCCACTATGCCTGGCCCTTATGATAAAAATTTTAGATGTCAAATTTAAAAATACACAGTTTTAGGGCCAGGTGCCGTGGCTCACACCTGTAATCCCAGCACTTTGGAAGGCCAAGGTGGGCAGATGACCTGAGGTCAGGAGTTCAAGACCAGCCTGGCTAACACAGTGAAACCCCATCTCTACTAGAAATACAAAAATTAGCTAGTATGGTGGCATGTGCCTGTAGTCCCAGCTATTCGGGAGTCTGAGGTAGGAGAATCACTTAAACCCAGGAGGTGGAGACTGCAGTAAGCCGAGATCGCGCCACTGCACTCCAGCCTGGGCAATGGAGCAGAGCGAGACTCAGTCTCAAAACACACACACACACACACACACACACACACACACACACACACACACAGAGTTTTAGGGGATACCAAGCAAAAACACTTGAAGATTGAGACTCAGTCTCAAAACACACACACACACACACACACACACACACACACACACACACACACACACACACACACACAGAGTTTTAGGGGATACCAAGCAAAAACACTTGAAGATTGCTGGTCTCCAGCACTGATGGGTTGAAAAGAAATATAGATTGCCTGTCCTATCATAAATTTAGTGAATCAAAACTGCCAACTGTGGGTCTCAGAAACCTTGCTTTTACCACCCAAGTTCTGACAGAGGTGATCCACGGGATGTGGAACCTACTTGTGGATCATTCTTTCTAGTAGTTTGGTATTAATAGGAGACAGGATGCCAATACAAAGGAGTGTAGTAAGGTGAATTTTAGGATGGAAAACCATATATGTAGCATTATATGTATGTATAAATGTAAAAAAGCTACACTATCAAAACTTGATCTTTTAGCTCCATTTCTCCATATTTCTCCTCCCTTCCCTTGCTTTCACATCTTTCCTTGCTAGTGAGATAATAAGTCCTTAGTGAGGTAGTAATGATGAAGGTTGACAGGCTAACAAGAGTTGGAAGCGGAAGGCCTAAATATATAACAAAGACCTGGAGAAAATAGAGAACAAAGTTTCAGCAGATGTGTGGAGATGTGAGAAAGAATGGAGTTGTAGGGATCTTACTACTTTACCTAAAGCCACTACTGAGGAAAATGATTTATAATGATGAGCAAAATTGTATGTAAGGTAACAAAAAGCAAACAAAAATGGAGAAATAAAGATGTCAGGTTTCAATGTACTGATTCCTTATATTAGTAAATTGAACATCAATAGAGACAGAGGAATACATTAAATCACTGGACTATTATTATACAATCAATCCAAACAATTCAAGTGCTCAAATTCATGATGATAAAAGAAATAAACTTTTATATCAGTTGTTTCAGGTGTACTACTGTTGGTCTGATTTAGGATAATTTGCATATTGTGACACACAGGACCAAACTAGTGCTAAAATATAATAAAATAATAAATAACACCTAAAAGCAGTCAACTCACTGAAAATCAAAAGCTGAAAGCCAGCTGATGTAAGAGATTAATCTGCTAAATGACTAATTTGCTGACTTACCACATTTAATCATTTAACACAAATGTTTGCATTTTCTAACAATATACAATATTTAGAGCATTTTTTATTTATTAAAAAAAAGTTTTTTAGAGACAGGTCTTGCTCTGTGTAGACCCTGCACTGGAGTGCAGTGGTGTGGTCATAGCTCACTGTAACCTCAAACTCCTAGGCTCAAGTGATCCTCCAACCTCAGCCTCCCAAGTAGCTGGGACCTTGAGTGTGTGCCACCAGACCTGGCTAATTTTTCACCTTTTTATTTTGGTAGAGATGGGGTCTTGCTATACTACCCAGGCTGGTCTCTATCTCTTGGCCTCAGAAGATCCTCCCGTCTCAGTCTCCCCCAAAGTGCTGGGATTACATGTGTGAGCCACCATGGTTGGCCAAGAGCAATTAATTTTTGAATAAGATGGGTTTGTAACAGCTTTTGAAAACTAATGTCAAACTTCTACTTGATTGGTTTTTGTCTTCATTAAAGTATTTTAAAGACTGCTCGACTTATCAAAAGCTAAGGTTTCTAGAGTGGCTTAGTCTTAAGACTATATTAATACTTTGAATAGAAAGTATCTGGAATTTCAGCTTTCAGGCTTCAGATTAGAACCCTAATTTTTTGGATGCATTTTAAAGTAAACTGTAAACATCACTACATGTCCCCCTAAATACCTAAGCATGCATTTGAGTTCAATATTTGTTTTTTTATATATATATTTAAGATAAATATACATATGATAAAATGCATAAATATTAAGTGTATATTCAATGAGTTTTATAGTTCAAACTCCAATCAAAATCTGGAACCTTTCTATCACTTCAGGCATATGCTGTTTCCTAGTCAAATTCCATACCCCTATTCCGACTATCAGCATTGATTTTTTTCCCACCATAGATGCATTTTGCTTATTGTACAGCTCTATATAAACATAATAAGAAGTATGTACTTGCTTGTGTAAGATTTCTTTCACTCAGTATGACTTTTGAGATTCATCCATGTTGTATTTATTTGTAATGTGTTCCTTTTTATTGGTGAGTAGTTTCATTTATACCACAGTTTGGTTTTCTTGCTCTTACTGATCAACATTTGAGCTGCTTACAGTATTTAACTATTATGAATAAAGCATCTATGAACATTCTTGGATAAGTTTTTTTGAGGCTATTAAGAATAACATGTTCAACTCTTTGTGTGGATATGTTTTCATTTGTCTTAGGTAAATACCCAGGAGGAAAATAGCAGGGTACATGTCTGTTTAGTTTGATAAGAAATGCCAGTTTGGAAAAAGGCTTAGCTTATTTATCTTTAGCCATTGGTCTTTTCTTACATAACTCATTATGGCTCTAAATTTTCCCTCTAAATACCGCTTCATATGGCATCCCACACATTGTGATATGTTGTATTTTTGTCATTCAGGTCTACATTTTTCTAACTTCCATTATCATTTTTTCTTTGATGCAAAGTTTAAATTTTGAGTTTTTCTGATTTCCAGGTTTTTTTTTTTTTATGTTTTTTTTGAGACAAGGTCTCACTCTGCCATCCAGATTGGAGTGCAGTGGCACAGCCATAGCTTGACTCAACCTATCTGTCCGCCTCAGCATTCCAAAGTGCTGGGATTATAGACATGAGCCACTACATCTGGCCATAGTGGGTTTTTAAGTTATTCTGAATCCAAACTTCAATTCTTTGTGGTCAGATAATTTGGGTTGAATGATAGTAATTCCTTCGATTTTGTTGATATTTGACTTCTGAGCTGGTCAGTTTTCATAAATACTTCAAGTGGCTACGTTTTTGGTCAATTTCCCAAAATGTTTTAAGCATGCTTCACTGTGGTACTGGTCAACATATATAAATCAAGCTAACTATATTTTAGAGCTTATGGAATTTTCTTTAATACACTGGGAACAGAAAATAATTTTCCTAAACACCTTTCAGGGACCAATGGGTTCAGTAATTTACATTTATTCTTTGAGCGGGGACATTTATCATTTTTTCTTTTTGTGCAGGCACCATCCAACATTTGCCATTTTTTTAAAAGACAGAAGATAACAAAATAATATGCCAAATGAATACTGACTGTTTAGTTTATAAATTTAGATTGGACTACATTCAAAAAACATTTTTTCTCCCATATTTAAATATTTACATCCAACATTCCAAATCTGTTTATAATGTAAACATTTATAAATGGAAGATCTCCATGAGTGAGTAGGGGTCTTGCTTTCTCTCATCAAGTGCTACCTATCTCTAATAATTAGATTTCTGCTAATTTAATACGTAAAATGTGAATTGGAAATATTCATGAAAAACACAGAAGAATTTTATTAAAACAAAAATATATGCAACATAGTGTATTTCAGGATAGATGTATAAAAAGTGCATGGTAAAGAGGCAGACATATAAAAGAAAGAGAAATAAGTAAAAGAGAAAAAAATAAACAGATAACTAAAAGATAGGGGAAAAAAGGCTATATATTTTGCTTCTGGCTTCCTTTTTTTTTTTTTTTGAGACATTAGGCAGGGAGGCCTTCAAGTGATCCTCCCAACTCAGTTGGCTAATTTAAAAAAATTGTTTTTAGAAACAAGGTCTTGCTATGTTGCCCAAGCTGGCCTTGAACTCTTCGTCTCAAGTGATCCTCCTGCCTCAGCCTCCCAAGTAGCTGGGATTATAGGCAAGAGCCATCACACCTGGCTCTATATATCTTATTTTCTTACTTACATTGTATGAAGATACCTGCTCAGCCAGTCTCTTATCTCTTCCTGATAATATATGTTCTTCATCTTTCTTACTGGATGACTTCCTTGCTTCTTGTGTTTCCTGAGGAATGAACACAGATAACACATTACTGAATCATAAGATTAAGATAAAACAAAAAATAAATATTATTTTTACTTAGATTAAGTAACAAGAGACACAACTAAGCCAGGTTTGTGAAATCCCTTCTGATCAGAAATATTAACATACTTTGCCGGGCATAGTGACTCACGCCTGTAATCCTAGCACTTTGGGAGGCCAAGGCGGGTGAATCACCTGAGGTGACGAGTTCGAGACCAGCCTGGGCAACATGGTGAAACCTCATCTCTACTAAAAATATAAAAGCTGGGCATGGTGGCGGGTGCCTGTAATCCCAGCTACTGGGGAGGCTAAGGCAGGAGAATCGCTTGAATCTGGGAGGCAGAGGTTGCAGTGAGCCGAAATCGTTCCACTGCACCCCAGCCTGGGAGACAGAGTGAGACTCGGTCTCAAAAAAAAAAAAAAAAAAAAAAATCAAAATATTAACATACTTGATAAGAGATCAGTTACTGCTCTAGTCTGTGATTTTCTTGAAAACAAGGAAAAAAAAACCCACTCCACTCAATCAACCTATTTATTGAACTCAGGATGAGTTTGACTTAACAGTGGTGAGATGTAGAAGTGAAAATAAGGCTTAAAAAGATATCCTACATTACTGTTTTCAAAAATAATAAAATCACCCTGGAGGGGGAAAAAAAAACAAAGAAAAGGAAATAAAAGGTGTACATTTTGAGAAAAAAAAAAAAAAAGAAAAATTGTGTTTATTCACAGATCCTAGCACTGTGTAGCAAACTGTGAACTGCGTAGCAAACTCCAAAGAATTTACTAAAAAAACTCCTGGAACTACTAAGCAAGTATAGCAAAGTTGCAGGATACAAGATCAATATACAAAATATAGCAGCAAGAGGCCGGGCGTGGTAGCTCACGCCTGCAATCCTAGCACTTTGGGAGGCAGAGGCAGGCAGATTGCCTGAGCTCAGGAGTTCGAGACCACCCTGGGCAACATGGTGAAACCCTGTCTCTACTAAAATACAAAAAATTAGCTGGGCGTGGTGGCGAGTGTCTGTGGTCCCAGCTATTCAGGAGGCTGAGGCACAAGAATTGCTTGAACCTGGAAGGCAAAGGTTGCATTGAACTGAGATGGTGCCACTGCACTCCAGCCTGGGCAACAGAGCAAGCTTCTGTCTCAAAAAATATATATATACATATATATAAATATATACATAGAAATATATATACATATAAATATATATAAATATATATACATATATTTATATGTATATATTTATATGTATATATTTATATTTATATATTTCTATGTATATATTTATATGTGTATATATATTTATATGTATATATATTTATATGTATATATATTTATATGTATATATATTTATATGTATATATATTTATATGTATATATTTATACATTTATATGTATATATTTATATGTATATATATTTATATATATCAGCAAGAAACAACTGGAATTTGAAACAAAACTATCATTTATATTAGCACACACACATGAAGTGCCTAGTCTAACACATTTTAATTCAAAAAAATGTTACAGGAATATTCTAGAGCATATGCTCCCAAATTGGAATGGGGAAGGCCCATATAAAAACTACTGAAAACCACTGGTCTCTAAGCATATTCTTATATTGTTTTTATTTGCTTAGGAGGCCTCATGGACTAAAACAACACTGTATTTAATAAAGTAAGTTAAAAACATAGAAATAGCTCATTTCTACATTTTCCCAGAAAATAGATGTTTTACTTATAAAAAAAGAAAAGTGATGTTATGGTACAATGGAGATAAAAACCTAACCATTTAATATTAAGAGGTAGTAGATATCGTCAAGACTGGAAAGTGAGGACTTAACTGATCTCATTCAATTAATGTATGTAAAACATTTTCATTACTTTCTAAAGAGCAATCTTTTTTTTTTTTTTTTAGACAGAGTCTCGCTCTGTTACCCAGGCTGGAGTGCAGTGGCACAATCTCGGCTCACTGCAAGCTCTGCCTCCTGGGTTCACGCCATTCTCCTGTCTCAGCCTCCCGAGTAGCTGCGACTACAGGCGCCCGCCACCACGCCTGGCTAATTTTTTGTATTTTTAGTAGAGACAGGGTTTCACCATGTTAGCCAGGATGGTCTTGATCTCCTGACCTTGTGATCCGCCCACCTCAGCCTCCCAAAGTGTTAGGATTACAGGCGTGAGCCACCACGCCCAGACAACAGCAATCTTCTTTTAGGCCATATTGGCTAAATTAATGTGAGAACAGTAGAGGTATGAGAGGTATGCTGGAAAATCAAATATAAGAAGTAGGATGGAATGGAGGGAACCTATCAAGAAGGAAATATGGCTAAGATCTGTTATAAAAATTAGTCATGAACTTTACACGGGATCAAAGACAACAGAAAATGAATAGCTCTGTGATACTATATAGTTTGTGACATAAATATATGTCTGTGGTACTATATTCTGTAATGTAGTATTATATAAAATTTAAGACTTATTAATCCCTTTATGAGTCCACTGCAAATACTAAACAAAACATTTCAGCACAGAAAAGAATGACCAGGTCTAAAGAACTCAGTCATAGGGATTAAAATCTCTTAAGTTCAAACAATATAGCCTGGTTTCCATATGTTCCATTATTCCATGATATTTTCCTCCAAGGAAGACTCCCTACATATCTGGCTGTAAGCTAGACATCTATTCATCTCCAATGAGAAACAGGATATAAAAAAGAACAAATAAATATGGACACAAATAAAAAGGCATGTAAGCAAGGGAATTAATTGTCTTTTTGGAGACAATCTTAAAGGCCAAATTATAAAAACTCCAATAAATAATTATTATTTCAAAACCAGCTAAGAAATAATAGGCATTCCAACACCACCCTTTCAAGGTTTTTGTGGCTCTCTTGGATCCACATCCTTTGCTGCCTCTCCTGCCCCTATATGTGTTGGTTCACCTCACCTTCCTATTATAACTCTCAGATTCTCTTTAATCTTAGGACAAAAAAGAAATTATGTATAATGTTGCCCAATATGCAGGCAGAGTGCTCAAGTGTGGAGACTGAAACATGCCCTCCACACTTTAAGGGTACCACTGTTTATTTCACAGGCAATTATCCACTAAAATGGAAAGTCCTTAAGGAGCTCTTGACTCTTTCTATCACCTGAAACCAAATACAATTCCTGACAAAACAGGAAAATTGATCATTACAGATTGAAAACAGAAATCCTGACAATTCTAGGTACTGATGAGTAATACAAACAGAGCTAGTGGAATGAACTAAGTGTGGAACTGCTTTAGTCAGAACTGATGAATTTATAATCATAAGGTGACAATTAGTCAAGCATTTGAGAATTGAATGGGATGTCTTAC
This sequence comes from Homo sapiens, assembly GCF_000001405.40. Classification (NCBI taxonomy): domain Eukaryota; kingdom Metazoa; phylum Chordata; class Mammalia; order Primates; family Hominidae; genus Homo; species Homo sapiens. The sequence continues at coordinate 45,016,954 of NC_000013.11, read as the reverse complement.
AGAAATTAAAACCTTTAGAGAGAGGCTGCGCACAGCGGCTCACGCCTGTAATCCCAGCACTTTGGGAGGATTGCTTGAGCCCAGGAGTTTGAGACTAGCCTGAACAACATAGCAAGGCCTTGTCTTTACAAAAATAAAAAATAAAAAAAATTAGTTGTGTGCCTGTAGTCTCAGCTCCTCAGGAGGCTGAGGCAGGAGGATCACCTGAGCCCAAGAGGGTTGATCCTTTGAGACTGCAGTGAGCTGTGATTGCACCACTGCAGTCCAACCTGGGTGACAGAGAGACCTTGTCTCTTAAAAAACAAACAACCAAACAAAAAAACCAAAAAGAAAAAACCAAAACCCACAGATGGATTAAATTGAAGGAGTAGTACTGGGGATACTGGTTTAATTCCTAATATACAATGAAATATTTTGTAATAAACAGAAAAAGATTCAAGAACAGAAGATTAAAAATAATGTATTTTATGCATACAGATTTTTGTTTTTTTGTTTTTTTTTGAGATGGAGTCTCGCTCTGTTGCCCAGGCTGGAGTGCAGCGGCGCAATCTTGGCTCACTGCAACCTCTGCCTCCCGGGTTTGAGTGATTCTCCTGCCTCAGCTTTCCAAGTAGCTGGGATTATAGGCACATGCCACCGCGCCTGGCTAATTTTTTTATTTTTAGTAGAGACAGGGTTTCACCATGTTGGCCAGGCTGGTCTCGAACTCCTGACTTCAGGTGATCCGCCCTGCCTTGGCCTTGGAAAGTGCTGGGATTACAGGCATGAGCCACTGCGGCCGGCTGGTATTTTTTGGATAACTTACTGTATTAATGACAGTGGTTCTTGTCTATCTTGACAGTAACATGAAGCTTAGTGCACCTGAGATATGGTCATTTTGAGAGAAATTCTCTAGGCACCATTTAATTTGCTAGGTTAATCTGCAGCTTTGTTTTTTTTTTCTAAAATATTTTAAAAGATATATGTTCATAAAGATAGTATGGTGTAAAAAGACCAGGGAATCTGGAGCTAGAAAGGTCTAAAATGAAATTATTTTTCATCACTTACTAGCTTTGTGACCCTAGAAACGTTGACCTCATAGAGGATAGTTTCTCCATCTATAAAATAAGGCCATTATACCTATGTCTCAGAGTTTTCTTGAGGTTTAAATGAGACCGTTTATTGGGAAATAGTAAGTAAACAGCAAGCAATTGGTGTCACTTTCCTTCCTCATACTCTTCCTCCAGAGGAAAATCCGCATTATCCTTTTGGAATCATAATTTTAAAAAATAGTACCCTTAAATAATTTTGCATTATATCTTTTCAAAATCCAGCCAACATGAACAGAAATACATGAACAAACAAACAAAACCTCTCACCTTAGCTTTCCTTTCCCTATCAGCTGGAGTATCTGTCCAGATTGATCGATCTCCAGATGTGTCATCAGCTCTTCTCTTAAAAGTCCTTGGCCCAAGACCAAAGTCTTTCATTTCTGGAGGAAGTTCAGTCATCCATGACTCTCTTACAATGGGTTTAGATGAATCCTTTAAGAGAAAAAAAAAACACAGCATAGAAAGTACATATCGTGTATAAGATGAGTACATATATATGTACAAGCAACTGTGTCATGCAATTGAAGTTTTAAAGTTACTTAACAAACTCTAATATAAAGGATCGATGTTTTTGTCACATATATTTGTCATATAAGTTACAAAGACGTTCATCCAATTTGTTATTTTTCTTTTAGAGTTTCTGGGTTCTAACTCCTAAATTTAAAAAAATGTTATGCATAAAAACAAAATATATTAAAAGTTATATAGTTTAGTGTTTATTTCTAAAATTTAGATTTTTAATCTATTTAGTGTATTTCTTAAAGTGTTTTTAAAACTTACATCATCTCCTTTGGTCAGTTTTTCTTTCATTCTCTGGGCCCTTTTTTCAAACTCTGTCGTTACATTATAGTTAACTGGTCCTTTTGCAGGCATTGGTCCAATAATATCCTCATCTTCACTGCTGTCTGTTTCCTTTTAAAACAAGACATTACCTTTAAACCAAGAGCAGAGCTACAGGTTATAAAAAATAATTCTAAATTACCTGCATTTAACTGAAACTTATTATCCATAAAAAATAAAAAAGTAAACAATGTATTGCTGGCTCATCACTGAACCATGAGGACTTTTTCCTCACCTTCCTCAAGTGCCTAGCACAGAGATGACAAATCCATGGCATGCAGACTCTCTCCCACCTCCCACCTCTCTTCCTGTGTCCATGACAGACCTCACTCTCTTCCTGAAGGACACAGATGTAGACTTAGAGCTCTTTTCAGCATAGTACAATAATTAGACAACTATATACTGTCTTGTGGCTTACTCTAATACACACACACACACAAACATACTCTTAATAACTATGGATTTTGTCATATACCTCATTTGATCCTTGTAACAAAACTGTAAAATGGCACTATTTCTGGTTTCTTTTTTTTTGGAGGAAACTTAGGCTTAGAGTGTAATAAAACTATTATCCAAGAATGAAACATTCCAAGATCAAGGCCAGTATATTTTTTCCATGTATACAACAGTGGCCTGTCTATTATTTTATCTCAACTGTTAGTGATTTAGCATTAAGTGTTTCTAGCTTATATCTACAATAGTAAGCTTTCTGATGTTACAGACATTATATTAAACATATTTATAACCCCCTACAGATATAAATATTTGGTGATGCAAAATGTTCAGATGTAAAAGCTATAATGAAATTTTAAAACTATGAGACATGAAAACAAAACAAAACACAAACTCTAAGAGTCATGGTACCAATACAGTATTAGTGGAATAAGCTAATGATCGTCTCACTTCCATCTTAATAAGAGATGGTTTAATAAAGGTAGAATTTCAGCATGTCCTGGTAGGATGATGCCTGCAATTTTTAGAAATAAGTATCACTTACGTTCAGGGGCAAACAAAAGCAGGGATGGAGAAGCAAACAGAAAATTAGGCCAAACACACTAAACTGAAAATCAGAAACAGAATATGCCCAATTCCTATCTATGGGTATTAAATTATTTTGGTGTCCTGGATGAGTTATTTCTTTTAATAAAAAAAATGGTGCACATTTTATCCAGAATTACAATAGAAATTAGGTACCTTACCAGTTTATACTTTGGGCTGACTTTGTTGAAGGCCTCATTTGCCATTGTACTAGCCCTGTGACTTCAGGCATGTTATTTAACCTTTCTAAGCCCTGATTTTCCTGTCTTTGGCATGGAAATTATAACAGCTTCTACCAATAACTACTCTATTGCCAAGAGAAGCCTGCATTTTCTTTATCCTCTTTAAAGCCACACCCTTCTTAGGGAACTGGGGCCTTCTCTAACACCTGGGGAAAAATATTGGTAATTCTAGTCCAGTCACTAAAAAAAAGTAGTAACTATTGTATGGACATGTTTACAAAATATTACAAAGTAGTCACTTTGGTCTTATTCTTCTTGCTCAGCTGACTGGTTTAGGCATGGACATGACACAATTTTTGTGAAATAAACACAAAAGGTCTGTAGGAAACTGGTAGAGATTTTCCTTTCTCTACAAAAGAGGCACAGGGAAAGGACCATTCCTCTTCTGTGTCTGGACACTGCCAGCTGCTTATAAGTCTTAGAACTTTGGCAGGCTTCTTGGTATGATGAAGGCAGTCAGCCTCAGTCTTAGAACTTTGGCAGGCTGCTTGGTATGATGAAGGCAGAATTAACATACTGTTAATTCTCTTATAGAGCAGGAAGGTGGAAAAACTGGAGCCTTTGATGATATCACGAGGCGAAGGAATTAATCAAGCCTGGGATGATCTTACCTCTTGACCTCTTATTATGTATGAAACATATTTTCCTTATTTTGAGAATACAGAACATACATCACCAAGTAAATTAACCCATTTGCTAACTAAGTAGGTTAAGATAAAGTTCCATTTTGAGTTGGATTTTCTGTTATTTGTAGCTGAAGGCATTCAGCTGATACACTACCTCCCTGGATTGTTGTTTGGATTAAGTTAAGTTTATGCTGCTGTTGCAGTGTCTGGCTTGTGGTAAGTGCTCAAGAAATGTCAACCATTAATATTATTGTGTATGTCTTAATTTGGGGGTATATGCCGGGAATGAGGCAAAGAAAAGCCCATCTTTGAGAAACGAAAATCTCAAAACTGAAAAAGAAAGGTCTTTTGAAAAAGGTTCAATTAAAGGGAAATTATAAGGCAAACAATCAGAGCAAGAACACCTCACATATGGACCTACAGTGTAATCTCTGTCCCAGCCTGACCCTCGCCTTCTACCAAAAGAAGCCAGGGAATGTAGAATGTGTACCACCAAGGAAACGATGTAAGCTACTCATTTGCTAACTAGGTAGGTTAGGACAAAATTCCAAGTGTGAATAATGCTGAATTGTGCTACTCCTTTGAAAATTTTTTTCCCCAATTTTTTATTTTGAAAAATTTTGAACCTATATAAAAGTGCTAAGATGAGTGCAATAAACACCAATATGTCATCACTCAGATTTACCAACTGAGTGGCACATTACATTTTAACACATTCATTTTTTTTGGTTTGTTTTCTGTCCCTCTCCCCACGAGATAGACAGACACACACTTTTTTTCAGAACCATTTGAAAGTAGGTTACAGATAGAATGACAAGGCTCTAGGCAGAAGCAAATTTCCTTGCCACCTTCCTAGGGACAGTGGGTTACATTTCTCTGGTCCTCTAGTCCCCTTGTCCTCCTTTTACAGACAGAGCAGAACTTTGAGGCTGCAGGTTTTATGCATGGTGCTCAATTCAATCTCCTCTGGCTGAGTGAGCCAGAAGCCAGGGCTCCTGTTCCCAGATTCTCTAGGGTTTATGACTGGGTTCTCTAAAACGACTGTAGTCCCCTGCTGTGTAAACCTGTGTCTGGCTTTGAATTCCCTCAATGTTGTTAGTATGTGTGAATTTTCCTTTCTTCCTTTTGAGCTTTGCTGTGTTTTAAAATGGTTGTTATTTTATTTCTTCCCCTAGCACTCCTTTGTGTTCATGGCAGGGAAAGCCTAGCCTGACGATGTCATCTCAGTCTTCCATATGGCTGGAAGTCCTTCCTCTGGTAATTTTTTCTTCAACGCCCTTGTTAGAAAGGAGTCCTCGTACTTAGCCTAAATTCTTCAGTTACACTCATGGCATCCATAGTGGAGGCAATAAGAACAATGGTAATAATGAGAGCTATTTGAAGTTGAATACTTGCTGATATGGTTTGGCTGTGTCCCCACCCAAATCTCATCTTGAATTGCAGTTCCCATAATCCCCACGTGTCGGAGGGACCAGGTGGAGATAATTCAATCATGGGGTGGTTTCCCCCATCCTGTTCTTGTGATAGTGAGTTTGTTCTCACAAGATCTGATGGTTTCATCAGGGGCTTCCCCCTTCGCTGGGCACTCAGTCTTCTCCTTGGTGCTGCCATGTGAAGATGGACGTGTTTGCTTCCCCTTCCACCGTGATTGTAGGTTTCCTGAGGCCTCCCCAGCCATGCTAAACTGTGAGTCAATTAAACCTCTTTCCTTATAAATTACGCAATCTTGGGTATGTCTTTATTAGCAGTGTGAAAATGGACTAATACAACTACTATTCTGATTTAATCCTTATAACAACCCTATGAAGTAAGTGTAATGACCTGCATGTTACTGATCATGAAGCTAAGCGTACCCAAGCTAGGCTCAACGCAAAGCTTTGAACAGCTCTTACCTACTTTCCTCACCTTCTCTCTCACCATTCTCCCTGCATTCTCCATTCTAACCATATTGAACTTCTTTAACCCTAACTTTCATCCTCTCCACACTCTCTTTTGCCTTCAAATAAACCATCTGCTCTCTCTGGAACAATGTTCCTTGCCTTCTTTGCTGAACTAGCTCCAATTCATCAAACTTCAGGTTAGTAGACATTCACTCAGATAAGAAGACCTTTTCTTTTTTTTTCTTTTTTCTTTTTGAGACAGGGTCTCGCTCTGTCACCCAGGCTGGAGTGCAGTGGCATGATCTCAGCTCACTGCAACCTCCACCTCCTGGGCTCAAGCCATCCTCCACCTCAGCTCCCAGGTAGCTGGCACCACAGGCATGTGCCACCATGCCTAGCTATTTTTTTGTATTTTTGGTAGAGATGCGGTTTTGCTATGTTGCCCTGGGTGGTCTTGAACTCCTGAGCTCAAGCAACCCACCCGCCTTGGCCTCCCAAAGTGTGGGATTACAGGCATGAACCACTGCGCCTGGCTGAAAAAGACTTTTTCTCATTTTCAGATTACATTCCCCCATCATGGTTCCATTTATATTTTGTCTCATCTTTTGAATAATTGACAATGTTAGAAACTGATGTATGTATTCCCCACTACCTTGTAAGTGTGATGAGGGCAGGCACTGTGTTTGATTCATTCATTCATTCGACAAATACTTCTGAATATCTACTATGTATAAGGCACTGGTGATAAGATAAAAAAAATCTCTGTTATTATGGAGCCACATTCTAGCGGAAAGAGGTCAACAATAAACAAAAAGAAGCAGTAAAATTAATAGTATCTTCGGTGGTAATAAATACTATGGGGAAAATTAAAGAAGGGAAGAGGAGGTTAGCATATTTTAATTTGGAGGCCAGAGATGACTGTATTGGAAAGATAATATTCCAGCAAAAAAACTGAAGGTCTAGGAGGCCAGCCACATAGATATGTAGGAGAAGACCATTTTGCATAGGCTTGGACAGCAGGCATAAAGGCTCAGGAGTAGGAAGTGGCCTGCTGTATTTGAGGAGGAACAGCAAGGAGCCCAGTGTGGTCACATCAAAGCAAAAGATAAAATCAGAGTGCTAATAGAGGCCAGACTGTATAGGGCCCTAAAAGGACTTTGGTTTTGACTTAGGGAGAGGAGGAGTAATTTGGTGGTTTTGAGTGTTAGTGACATGATCTGACTTTGATCTGCCTTTGTTTCATCTGGACCCCTTCAGCTGTTGTGTTGAGAAGGGGTAATAGAGGAGAAAGGGCTACATAAAGCATGAAAATCAATAAAAGGGGTGAAATTTGATGGTTATTTGGACCAGGGTGGGAGCAGAAGTGGCTGAGTCCTGGATGTCTTATGAAGATAGGAACAAAATAATTTGTTGACAGATTCATTTCTGTGACTATGTGCCTGCCACACTGTGGGTGTTCTATGAGCATTTGTTGAAAGAATAAGTAAATGACTCTGAAATTCATAATTTTAACCACTGCATTATACATCCTTTGAGTAACAACCTCAGTGTAACTGTTGAATTCTTAGTGGAGATAAACAGGAGTCTCTGGAATATATGAATTCATACATAGGAAGGCACTGCAGTATAACAGATTGAACAAGTGATTTAAAGTCATAAGAACTGGGTTTGTGCCATGGCTTTGATCAGTAAAAATTGTGTAATCTTGGGTAAGGTACCCAATTTTTTTGGTCTTTAGCATTTGTAAGGTGCAGATAATATCTATTTCATGAAACCGTGGAGAAGATAAAATAAGGTCCACATACAGGGAAAATGCATTACAAATTGTAAAGTACTCTACAAATCTCAACTCTTGTTAAGGAGAAAAACAGCCTTTATACTTTACTCCAAAGTCATTTGGTCTATCTTTTCCTAAAATCACTTATCCACCAGTGCATTTTTTTATACACAGATACTAAAGCTTAGTTAGGAGAAAGTAAATTTCAAGGTAAAGACCATTGTTAAAAAGCTCTTCAACCTTCTCTCCTAAAGGCCAAATCACAATCATTCCTTAAACTTTTCTTCATGTTCCATCCTTCTAACACCTTAAAGTCCCCCTTCAAAGATAAGAAGTATGAATAGGTAACACCCCGTCAATCCTGTTATTTTCCTAACAGAATCTCAGGTTTGTGAACAGCTTTTTATTTCATCTACTTATGTTACAATCTTAAATTAATCTGAATATAACTGAGTCTTACATTACAGTTGAGTCCAGTGGTTGTAGTAACTGCATGCATAAAGTTTGGAGTTTGTTACAATACATCTTATTCTTTCAATGAAAACTTTCCAAACCTTAGAGTTGAAATGGGATGATGATACCTGTTGTCCTGGATCATCTCTGCCCTTGTCACTTTTCTGTGTAGATTTAATGAAACCAGGTGGCAATGCAGGACCTATTATGGGCCTGAAAAATAAAATGTACTTTTATCATTCTCCCTGACTTTAAAAAGCAGTTATAAGAATAAAAGTTCACAAAAATAATAAAGCCAAATAGTGACAAATGTTGAAAATAAGAATTTTATTTAACACTTTATTTTTACTAGTATTACCTAGTATCTTTCTGCTAGACGTCTTTTAAAAACCTAATTTTCACATTTGACTTTTCTACTTGTTAGTCAATAATTAGAGACTAAGCCAATAATTCTCAATCTTTGTGACACTGGCATATGCACACTTCCTAAAAAGAACTATATTAAATAAAAATGGCAATGTTTTAAAAAAATTGATGTACTAAAATCTGTGATGGTCTTTTTTTATTTTGTGCCTTGGCTTTCCTTCAGTTTTGAGATTCATTATCCCGTGAAAGATACCTTAGGGGCATTATAATTATGGTCAGAACTACCAAAGTAGAAATTGAGTTCTTCTAAGGACATATATAGCATGTGCAGACAATGCCAGCAATCTGTGGTCTATATAACATGGCAGTATTAAAAATCTATACATTGTCCTCAGTAATGATGTGGAACTGTAGAAGAATGCAGCTAGTTCATTAAGACCCACAGAAAGGGAAAAGGGTACCGTGCTAACCATATTTCAAGCAGTGCATCTGTTTCCTTAAAACAATCCTGGTCAGTGTAAGTCACTCCACTTTTAAGATGAGCAAAATCATGTCCAAGATTAACACAATTAGTAAGTGGCTGAGCTAGAGTTTAAACCCTGGTCTACTTGATGTCAAAGTGCATTTTCTTTCCAGCTGCCCTACTGCCAAATAATGAGGCAACTGTCATCACTTCAAAAGAGAGACTTGCCTTAACACTGGGTCTTAAAAGGAGACAGCCTTACTTTATGAAGGAAAAAATTAAAAAGATAAAAATAAAAAATAAAAAAATGCTCTCTTTCACACTTTTAAGATTCTTCATCCTTGCTTTTGTACAAATGTTTTTTCCATAGTTGTCACTGTGCCAGTGTTACCAACCCAGATGGCACTGAAGTCCTAAGCTAAAATTTCCAGGTTGCACCATGTTCTATCAGAACCCCACAGACAGGCATCCTGGCAGGGGAAATAACAGTACTGACAGTCAGAAAGTCTGGGTTCCCATCCTGACCATTTAATAATCTCTTGTCTTGATTCATGAAACTTCTTTGAGCAGAACAATTTGCTTATGAAAGACAGGGAAGTTTGGCACTGTTAAAAAGATAAAATTAGGTATCATTTATAAGCTATGAGTACAGCATAGGTTTTTTCTGAGTACAATTTTTAGCAATCTACAAATGCAATTATAGCTTAACTTTCTGGCCTCAGGGGATTGGTGGTGATAAAATTACTGGTATATAAAATCATAAAACATAGTAAAGGAATAAAACCATGGCATGTTATGATACTATAAAAGGTTTCTAACTCCAATATATAATGCCAGCTGTTTATTTTACACATACATTTTATTATTGCCAAAATAATATTCTTAAGAATAAAATTGGTATACATTTAAGTAATATGTTTTCTTAAAAGGAATGTTACATCCTAGGGGTCAGCAAACTTTCTATAAAGGGCTAGATAGTAACTCTTAGGCTTTGAGAGCCACATGTGGGTCTCTGTGGCATATCTGTCTTTGTTTTTTCAGCTACTCTCAAAAATGCAAAAATCATTTTTAGTTTGGGGACTGTAGATTGCCTATCCCTGTATATCTGAAACAACTAAAGTTAATGGAAGTTAGGAGCTGCCAAATGTGATTATAAACTTTGAATATAAAATAAAAAGCCTTTTCTGCTTGTTCTTGCATATTGGTATACAGTATTATGAATTATAAACAATTTGATGTGCGATCTTATATTTGGCATTTAAAAATTTTACAATTCTGGGAAGAAGACAGGAATAAATATTTACTATATACTTACTCTGTGCCAGGCTCCATATAAATTAAACACCCACACACAAAGTCAAGGTATGTAACTATGAAACCTCAATCATCACAATTCTGTAAAGTACATGCTGTTATCCTAGCTTACAGATAACAAATTTAAGATTCAGAGAAGTTAGTCCAATTGTCTAACATGGCACATGGGGATGTGTTTCTTCTATTGATAAATAATTAAGAAAACAACTGAATTAAAAGTCACAACATCAAGATTCTAGCTCCAGGTCTGCTACTATGTGTGTGACCTTATCTGTTTATAAAGTGGGGAGAGGGGTGATCCACCTCGTTTACCACAAAACACTTTTGTGAATATCAAATAACAGATGTGGAAGTTTTTTGTAAACTATGAAAGTGTCATAAACATGTAAATAATTATTTTTATTGTAGGAAACAACTTCTTTTCCTGGTGAATGACCCATTTCAAAATGTTATATAAATATTTCAGTTAAAACATAATTTCAGACAATTCTTTAATTCATTAAAGATTCATTAGTTAAAATATTTAAAGAAAGACTGGCCTAAAATATTACACATTATCACCTTGGAGGAGAATCATCCTGCTTTTTAAATCCAGGAGGAAGGGCTGGTCCAAAAAACCCATCATCATCATCATCGTCATCATCCTGATTTTTCCTCTGTTTTCTGAAAACATAGTAGTATAACTTTATGCATATATGTCAAAATTTTTTTCACAAAAGCACATTTTAATTTTTTTTAAAAAAGCATTAAATCTAGTTGTATAAACACTGCAACAATAAATTAATCCTGCCAAATAAAAACTGGATACTACGATAGTTCTTTTTTTTTTTTTATTTTTTGAGAGGAAGTCTTGCCTTGTTGCCCAGGCTGGAGTGCAGTGGCGTGATGTTGGCTCACTGGAACCTCCCACTCCTAGGTTCAAGCAATTCTCCTGCCTCAGCCTCCCAAGTAGCTGGGATTACAGGGAAGCGCCACCACGCCCAGCTAATTTTTGTATTTTTTAGTAGAGACGGGGTTTCACCATGTTGGCCAGGCTGGTCTCGAACTCCTGACCTCAAGTGATCTCCCCACCTTGGCCTTCCAAAGTGCTGGGATTACAGGCGTGAGCCACTGCACCTGGCCTACGACAATAGTTCGTAACTAGTCTTTTCCTGGAATTTATTTTTGGCCTAAAATACAGATTGGTTATTTCTTTACAGCAGTAATATATCACTATTCTATATTTTCTGTGGTATTAAAGATTCCCCTCAATGCAGTTTCAAAGTCTATTGGTCAGATGTTTCTCAGTAAAAAGTTTATGACTGTGACTTTTATTCTCATCTAAGGAAGGGTTTTAAGTTGCTATTTCCACCTGATAATATTTAAAATGAATCAAAAAAGCTTGTTACTCAATAATAAACAAAGATTTGACTTCTCATTTACATAGACTCATAGTGGGTAAGGCCAGATTAGAGGAAAATCATTCAGCTGGGCACAGTGGCTCATGCCTGTAATCCCAGCACCTTAAAAGGCCGAGGCGGGCAGATCACTTGGGGTCAGGAGTTCAAGACCAGCCTGGCCAACATGGTGAAACCCTGTCTCTACTAAAAAATCCAAAAATTAGCCAGGTATGGTGGCACACACCTGTAGTTCCAGCTACTTGGGAGACTGAGACAGGAGAACCACTTGAACTTAGGAGGCAGAGGCTACAGTGAGCTGAGATCGTGCCACCGGATTCCAGTCTGGGCTACAGAGTGAGACTTCATCTCAAAAAAAAAAAAAAAAAAAAAAAAAAAAAAGAAAACCATTAGTTTATTTAAAGAAAACATACACTGCATATATAATTTTAATAAGAAATTCTATGGTTTATGTAGCCTATTTTGGCACTTCAATGACATCTTAAGAAAAATCATTTATGTAAGAATTTTATTGGCTGGTGTGGTGGCTCATGCTTGTAATCCCAGCACTTTCTGAGGCTGAGGCGGGCAGATCACTTGAGTCCAGGAGTTTGAGACCAGCCTGGGCAACATGATGAAACCCCATCTCTACAAAAAATACCAAAAAATCTACAAAAAATACAAAAATTTGCGGGCACCTGTGGTTCCAGCTTCTCAGAAGACTGAGGTGGGAGGATCGCTTGAGCTTGGGAGGCAGAGGCTGCAGTGAGCCAAGATCGTGCCACATCACTCCAGCATGTGCGCCAGAGTGAGCCCCTGTCTCAGGAAAAAATATACATATATATTGAAATTCTAGATATCTCTATAGCTGCAAACTACTAGAATAAATTTCTTTGTAAAAGGTATAATTCAGGATGAAATGCCACACAAAATGATTTCTCCCTGTGCTGTATAAATGGAAATATGATATCCCCTTACTAGCTATCTGTTCCAGCCAACTTATACTAGCTCTGAAGTTTGGTCTATCATTTAATTTAATTAAATGACTGACCTTGCAGTTGGACCACTGTCATCTTCTTCAGATTCTTGATTTCCTTCTTCGTACAAAGAACTACTGTCTTCATCGCTGTCTGATGAATCTGAACTACTGCTTTTATAATTAGGGGGCAGAGCTGGTCCTGCAACTAAAGAACACTTGTTGTTTGTCATCACTAGCCACTACTGTTTCAATGAACCCTTCTAGCTGATATTTTTCACTTTCTTTTCTGAAATAAACAGCACTGGCTGTCTATCATTTATTATTCACTTTAATCTCAATTGCTGTTGTTTGTGTACAGTGGTTTTGTCTTTCCAGCTCTAGGAAGGCAGAAATCATGTCTTACACAATCTCTTTCATGAGATTCACAAAAGCTTTGTTAATATCTGAACTTATAAACCCGAACTTATAGATATAGCAATAGCATGTAATTTCCTTGATAATGTGCAGTTTTTGCATTGGTTGGTGCACCTGCCAAAAAAAACAAAAAAACAAACAAACAAACAAAAAAAAACCCCAATGGCTTCATGATTTTTTTTTTTCTTACAGTTTACGGTAGAACCACTACTTAAAAAAAAAAAATCTTTCCTGGCATCCCCATATTTCTTGGTTAGTTTTCTTTTTGAGATGATTTTCCAAGCAGAAATAAAATTAGAGTCACTCTAAGTTTTACTGCTTGCCAACAGAGATACAGGGAAGAGAATGAGGCTGCACTGTAATGGGGATGTTAGGGAGAGTGGTAAGGGTCTTCTAGGTCCACTTATCAGAATGACTTGCTCTCACTTTACATCTCAGCAAAATTACAAATTACTATATGGTGTCACTGCAGTGTCATGATGTCACTGATGATGTCACACAGACACAACTGTCCAGGTTGATCCTAAATAGTGATGCTAAAAGCCTACTATCATAGTTCCCAAGGTTGGATATTTATCAGACTCCCTAAAATCTATGTATTTTTAAAAGATTCATGGGCCCTTTTCTCAGATATTCTAACCCAGTTGGCCTGGAGGAGGGCCTGGAAACATGATTTTCCAAAGAGTATTCTGGGTATGCCATTCATTCAATATTATAGTAATAGTAATATTTGTTACTACAAAAACTTAAGTGTAATAAATAAATAACAAATAACATGGTTTGAGTTCTTAGGTGTTATGAATTGTTTTAAGAGACATACACATTATTCTATTTAATTCTGATAACAATCCTATAAGGGAGATATTATTTCTATTTTACATATGGAGAAACTGAGGCCAAGAATTGTTAAGTGACTTGCCTAACTTCATACAACTAAGTAGTGGGGCTGTGACATGAACCCAGGAGTCTGATTTCAAAGCCTATATCCTTAACCACTATACTAGCCAATACTCAATAGTCAGCAACCATCCATCCAACAACAGTTATTAAGTAAATACTTCTAGAGAAACAAACATTAAAAGAATTAAGATCAATTCAGATAGTGTAAATGCTACTATGAAAATAGGAAAAAGGTGACACTGTATATGTGGGAGGGTAATTTTAAAGACAGTGGTAAGGCAAAAATCTCTCTGAGAAAAAGACATTTGAATGGAGACTTAAATGATGAGATGACAGAGGAACAGCCAGTGCACAACTCCTATGCAGGGAGCAAGCCTGATGTGCTTGAGGAATAAAAAGGCCAGTGTGGCTAAAGAAAAGCAAAATGACGACATCAAGTTGGATGGTATAAAGGGGCCAGACTCTTGCTTTGGAGGCAGACTCTGTGCTTTGAATTCCAGGTTGGCCACTTACTAGCTGTGTGATTTGGATAAGTTACTTAACCTTCCTATTACACTCTTGCTTTGTAAAATGAGGTTAATAATAGTTTCAACCTCACAGGACTGTTGTGAAGATTATATCAGTTAATATATGCAAAACACCTAACAAAGTCTTTGGCATATAGCAAGTGCTCAATAAATGCTAGTACAGGCTACAATAAGGAGTTTGGACTTCTCTTTCCCTTTCCCTTTTCTGTTCCCTTTCCCTAAGAGGCGAGATCTCACTGTGTTGTCCAGGTTGAAGTGCAGTGGCTTTTCACAGGTGCGATCCCACTGCTGATCAGCACCAGAGTTTTCACATGCTTTGTTTCCGACCTGGGCTGGTTCACCCCTCCTTAGGGCAATCTGGTGGTCCTTCACTCCCGGAGGTCACCATACTGATGTTGAACTTAGTGTGGATACCAGAATGCATAGCGCACTACAGCCCAGAACTCCTGGACTCAAGCGATCCTCTTGCCTCAGCTTCCTGAGTACCTGGGACTACAGGCATGCACCACCACATCCAGCAGGAGTTTGGATTTTAATTACAACAGGCAGTCATTGGGAGGTTGTGGGTCAGGACAGACATGATATGAATTACCAAACAAACAAACAAAAAACTGTCAGCTTGTGGACAATAGACAAGAGAGATCAGCAACAGGGGATATGCATTAGAAAGCTGATAAAAAATGGTGTGGGCCAGGTGTGGTGGCTCACGCCTGTAATCCCAGCACTTTGGGAGGCCGAGGTGGGCGGATCACCCGAGGTCAGGAGTTCGGGACCAGCCTGGGCAACATGGTGAAACCCTGTCTCTACTAAAAATACAAAATTAGCTGGGCATGGTGGTGTGCGTCTGTAATCCCAGCTACTCAGGAGGCTGAGGCAGGTGAATTGCTTGAATTCTGGCAGTGGAGGTTGCAGTGAGCCAAGATCACGCCATTGCACTCCAGCCTGTGCGACAGAGCAAGACTCCATCTAAAAAAAAGAAAGAAAAAAAAAAGGTTTGATTTGCAACATACTCTGATGTAAGGGCAAAGAGGACTGCTAATGGTTTGGATGTTAGAGGTGAGAAGAAAAAAAAAAGGAACCAAGGATAGGTCTTAGGTTTTGTGCCTGACTAGCTAGGCAGGTGAAGGGCAATGGTATTCTCTAATATGGAGAAGGCTGGGAAGAAAATAGGCTGGGAGGGGAGAGTTGAGAGTTTGTTTTTCACATTTTAAGTTTCATACAGCCTTAAAAATTTAGGTGGTGCTATCAGTGGTACTTGGGCATACTAGGGTGTATAGGGTGTGTAAGTCCGTTCTCATGCTGCTATGAAGAAATACCTGAGACTGAGTAATTTATAAAGGAAAGAGGTTTAATTGAGCCACAGTTCAGCATGGTTGTGGAGGCCTCAGGAAACGTACAATTATGGTGGAAGGGGAAGCAAACACATCCTTCTTCACATGGCAGGAGGAAGGAGAAGTGCAGAGAGAAAGGGGGAGAAGCCCCTTATAAAACTATCAGATCTCATGAGAACTCACTATCACGAGAACAGCATGAGGGTAACCACCACCATGATTCAGTTACCTCCCACCAGGTCCCTCCCACAACATGTAGGGATTATGGAAACTATAATTCAAGATGAGATTTGGGTGGGGACATAGCCAAACATTATTACAGTGTAAAGCTCAGGGGAGAAACTAAGGCTAGTTTTGGAATCATTGGCCTATTTCAAAAAAATTTTTCCTATCTCTCTTGGTGCATTACTATAGAACAGGTAATAACATGCCTTAGAAAAGAATAACTCTAAGGCATGCTGCGTTACAGCAAAAAGGAAAACATCAAGCATCATGGATGGGATTCCTATCTCCAACTGCTGTTTAGGGTTTACTAAAGAAGACTTAATGTCTTAGTATGTAAGTGTTCCCCAATTTATTTATAATTTAGAGACTATATGTGACCTCTAACCTCATGTGTGACCCCACAGGAGTGATTGGCTCTTTTCATCTTCTTGATTCTAAGTACATTAAAGAGGGAAGATATGTTTTTTCCTCTTCTGCTTCTTTCTCTTCTTATATGTGACTGCTATCCATGTAATTTATCAATTGTATACTATTGGCCAATTTTGGATAGGTTTGTATCAAGAAAAAATTTTATTATTCTTTTATATATTTTAAGCAATTAGATGTGTAATATGGTCTAAATATGTGCTGTTCTTGGTATTATAACGTACACACATACCTTTTATTTATGTATTCATTCACTCATTTATTTATTTAGTCTTGCTCTGTTGCCTGGGTTAGAAAGCAGTGATCATGGCTCACTGTAACCTTGAACTCCTGGCCTCAAGCGATCCTCCCATCTCGGCCTCCTGCATGGCTAGGACTACAGGTGTTTGCCACCATGCACAGATAATTTTTAAATTTTATTTTATTTATTTTTTTGAGACCAGGGTCTCACTATGTTGTCCAGCTTGGTCTTGAACGCTTGGCCTCAAGTGATCTTCCTGCCTTGGCCTCCCAAAGCACTGGGATTACAGGCATGAGCCACCACACCTGGTGCTATTACAACTAAAAAATTGCCATGGATTTTTAAAGAAACAAACGAGATATACATTTTTTAAAAAGATAATAAGCAGATGAAGATAAAACTCATCTAAGAAAACCTGGCCTTTTAAAAATAATCACGGAAAAATAGTATAAAAAAGTAACATTCAGCACATAGTACCATTAATTTCTATTTGAGTTGTTCAAAATAAACAACTATTTCATCATGAAATGATAGAATACTGAGATGGCGATATAAAAAAGAAAAAAGGGGCCAGGCGCAGTGGCTCATGCTTGTAATCCCAGAACTTTGGGAGGACAAGGCAGGCGGATCATGAGGTCAAGAGATCAAGACCATCCTGGCCAACATGGTGAAACCCCATCTCTACTAAAAATACCAAAATTAGCTGGGCGTGGTGGCACATGCTTGTAGTCCCAGCTACTCAGGAGGCTGAGGCAGGAGAATCACTTGAACCCGGGAGGCGGAGGTTGCTGTGAGCCAAGATCACGCCACTGCACTCCAGTCTGGTGACAGAGTGAGACTCTGTCTCAAGAAAAAAGAGAAGAATATTAAAAGTGTCAGTCAGTATACGCCACAATACAGACCCCCTAATAAAAGTAAGGACATGTCTGGCTTCACTTTTTTATAGATATCCTTCTGAACTATGAATAATCTCAAAAAATTATTTTGGGAACATGTAATGAACTATTCCATATCTCTCCTAAAGCAGTGATGCTTGTCGTCATTAAGGAGGCTCTCCTATTGCAATGATAATTTTCCAAATAGATTATAAATTCCATGAGAACAGGAGTTACGCGTTCCTTATATTTCACTTATTTCCCTTTCATATCACACAGAATTGTGATATGCATATAAAAAAATGAACTCAGTATAATACATAAAAATCTCATTACAGATCAGCATTAACAGATGAACATCCACAACTGATTCTGATGACTAGGAATGCTAACTTGAACTCCGATGAAATGAAATGTTACTCCCCCAAAACCAATTCTGTTCTTCTCATTAGTAGACCTGTATTACAAAAAAATTATATGGTATTATGTTTTAGATTGCAACAATAAAATTTTGTGAAGTTTGCTTCCTTCTTGTTGTACACATACTTTTACAATAATCTTGATTTTGCCTACTGACCTACAGTCAAAAGTACAGTTGTCCCTCGGTATTCTCGGGAGATTGGTTCCAGGACCAACTCCCCTGTTTGCAGCTACCAAAATCTGTGGCTATGGCCTTGGTTCCACTTCCCTTGAATATTGTACTTTCAATCTAGAGTTGGTTGAACCTGAAGACTCAGAACCTGCAGATCTACAGGGTCAACTGTATTTACTATCTGGTCCTTTACAAGAAAAGTTTGCTGACCCCATGACATGGTTAAATCATGCAAATATAAAGAAGGGGCACCCAACCCATCTTTTACAGGCAGTAGGTAGTTAACATCAAAGAATGTTTCCTAGAAGCAGTGATGTAGGGGTGGGACCTGAGTTAGCTGGGCAAAGAAGGTGGGGACTGGACGAAGAGTAGTCCAGGCAGAAAGAAAAGCATCTGCAAAAGCCTGAAAGCAAAAGAGTCATCACATTTAGAAAACTGAAAGGTGTTCAGGATGGTTGGAACCAAGAGAGGATAGAGAGGGGCCAAATGTTGCTGTGAGGTCAAGGAAGACTAGGACTGAAAAGGAAGCCTTGAATTGGTGAGGGTCTCAGTGGACTGGTGAGGGCAGAAATGCAATGGGTTAAGGAGAAAATAGAAGACCCAGAGACAGTGAGAAAGAAAAAGATGCAGCTAGAGGGGGATATGAAGTAGAGTTTTCTTCAAAGATGGGAAAGATTTGAATGTTTTGGTTAAATGCTAAGGGCAGGCAGCCCTAAGGACAGGGAAGGGAGTCAGAGTAAAAATGGAAGGATTAGCTTTAGAAGGAAGCAGTATACCTCTTCTATTGTTACCAAAGGGCAGACAAAAAGCTTGGCGTGGATTTAGGATAGTTTTTAGATACAGTAACAGAAAATTGAGGAAGTTCTCTTATGATGGCATCTACTTGTTCAATGAAGTAGACGGAAAAATAAAAGTTTTAGAAAGAAAGGGAAAGTTTTAAAAAGCCAAGGTTGCAGATTGGGGAAGAGAAAGGAGGTGAAGCCTGTGAGGATTACTGGACAGACCTATGGACCCAGTTAGGGAACAGGCCATCTTTTAGCAGCATTAGCTTGTGGAGGCGTGAGGTTTCTTCTAGCAGCATTAGGAAGCCTGGCTGTAGGCTCACAAGGGGTAAACACTTGGACTGATCCAGGGCTGGGCTTTTGTTAGATGGGTTTGGCAGAATACCCAATGGGATAAAGCAGTTGAGAGCACCAGCAAGAGAGTGGATGAATGGGTGGACCATGGAGTCTAACAGGAGTAGGGATGTAAGCACTCCTCTCAGATGGAAGTACTTAGGGATAGAAGTACTTAGGGATGGAAGGCTCAATGAGGTTAAAAAACAAAAATAAAAAGCAAATGAAATGGGAGTAACTTGAGTGAGAACAATGAATGAATAAGGGGTTCTTGCTGAGAATGAGATTTGAATTTGAGTTTTTGGAGCTGGAGTAGGGTAGACTCACTACTCCAGCTTAAAATGTAGGTGAAATTAGTGGAGGTGAAGGTCACTGCAGATAGGAGACTGGAGTTAGAGTCAAAATGGCCAAGGCTCCACTCAGCTTCCATAGAACAGCATATGGAGTCTGTGGATCGCTCTTGAGAAAATATTTGCACCCCAGGGTTTCTAATGACATGACGTTGGGGGACATTTTCCAGCAGTCAATTTTCAGAGTATTCAAATGAAGTTAACTTGTTCCATCTCAGACCTGTGTGCTCCCTCACTCCTCTTTACTCTGGTCATGCTTGTCAGATCTCCTTCTGGGACAGCAGAGTGTGAGGAACACAGGACAGATAACAGACTGGATTCAGGAATCTTCACTTGAAGGTAATCCTGACACCTGCTACCACATGGATGAAACTTAAGGACATTATGCTAAGTGAAATAAGCCAGTCCAAAAAAAAAAAAAAGACAAATACTGTATGATTCCACTCAAATGATGTACTTAAAGTAGTCAAATCATAGAGACAGAAAGTAGAATGGTGCTTGTCAGGAGCTGGAGGGGGGAATGAGGAGTTATTACTTAGTGAGTACAGAGTTTCTGTTTTACAAGATGAAAAGAGATGTGGATATGTTGGTAATAGTTGCTCAATCATCTGAATGTATTTAATGCCACTGAACTGTACATTTAAAGATGGTTAAGATGGTACATTTCATGTTATGTGTATTTTATCACAATTTTTAAAAACTGGAAAAAAAAAAAAAAAAAAAAAAAAAGAGGCTGGGCACAGTGGCTCACGCCTGTAATCCCAGTACTTTGGGAGGCTGAGGCAGATGGATCACTTGAGCCCAGGAGTTCCAGACCAGTCTGGCCAACATGGTGAAACCCCATCTCTACTAAAAATACAAAAATTAGCCAGATGTGAGGGTGCATCCCCGTAATTTCAGCTAGTCAGGAGGCTGAGGCAGGAGAATCACTTGAACCAGGAGGCAGAGGTTGCAGTAAGCTGAGATCATGCCACTGCACTCCAGCCAGGATGACAGTGAGATGCTGTTTAAAAAAAAAAAAAAATCCCGTTCCCAGCCAGCCATTAGGTTTCTTCCAGACTCCATACAAAGGATTATGGTTAGCTGTATTCATGCAGGTCCTGGCTTCTCCAACCCCCATAAATCCTGGGCCCCTCTTAAGGAATTTTTTTTTTTTTTTGCGACAAGGTCTTGTTTTAACACTCAGGCTGGAGTGCGGTGGTGTGATCACAGCTCACTGCAACCTCAAACTCCTGGGCTCAAGCAATCCTCTTGCCTCAGCCCCCCAAGTAGTTGAGACTGCATGTGCATGCTACCATGCCTGGCTAATTTTTAAATTTTTAGTAGAGATGAGGTCTTACTATGTTGCCTAGGCTGTTCTTGAAGTCCTGGGCTCAAGTGATCCTCCCACCTTAGCCTCCCAAAGTGCTGGGATTATAGGCATGAGCCACTGCGCCTGACCAGGAATTTTTACTGTCCTCTACTCCGCCAAAAGGAATCTACTGAGTACCCACTTTGTGCTGGGTACCCTGCTAGTATTGGGGATTACAGAGGCTTAGGACGTGGTTCCTTTCCTCATGGTTTAGTGGGGCAAACCAGCAAACAATCCAGCACAATAACTACAGATAGAGAAAGCCACGTGTGCTCCCATCCCTCACCACAAACACTGTGGTCTTGGCACCAGCAGGACCAGCAGCAGCAGCAGCAGCTGGGAGCTTGTCAGAAATGCAGAATCTCAGGCCTCACCCAGATCACCTGAATCAGAGTTGGCATCTTAACAAGATCTCTGGGTAATCCATGTGCATGTTCAAGTTTAAGGTGCACTGCTACAGAAGACAGAAATAGGGTGACCAATTGTGCTGGTTTGCTTGGGATTGAAGGGCTTCTTGGGATGTGGGATTTTTAGTGCTAAAACTGGGACAGTCCCAGGGACTTAGGGGGTAATTTAGTCTTTGCTCCTGAACTTGGAATACTTTAAAATCCTGTCAGGGGAGGAAAGAAGAGACTGGCTAGAACATTGAAAGATTTTTTTTAGAAGTTCATCTCCTTTTTTAAAGATTCTGATAGGAACTCTCACTGGGAATCATTAAACAAAGATGTTAGATAAGCATCTAAGTTCTTATATAAAAACCTTCACCCCATGGGTGGGAATATCATCACTTAAAAGAGAGAATAGAGTATTAAAAAAAAAGAGGGCTTAGGAGTCAGCTTTCAGAATCTTTAACACCTGAAGGTTTAATTGAAGATAAACTATTCGAGATGAAGAGGAGCTGCCCAAAGAGGAGACAAAAATGAGGGGAGTATGGTATCATAGAAACCAAAAGAGAAGGGGTGTGTGTGTGTGTGTGTGTGTGTGTGTGTGTGTTTAAAGATAGGGGCTTGTGTCTGGGTGCAGTGGCTCACGCCTGTAATCCCAGCACTTTGGGAGGCCAAAGCGAGAGGATCACCTGAGGTCGGGAGTTCAAGACCAGCCTGACCAACATGGAGAAACCCTCTCTCTACTAAAAATACAAAATTAGTTAGGTGTGGTGGTGCACGCCTGTATCCCAGCTACTTAGGAGGCTGAGGCAGGAGAATAGCTTGAACCCAGGAGGCGGAGGTTGTGGTGAGCCGAGATTGTGCCATTGCACTCCAGCCTGGGCAACAAGAGCGAAACTCCGTCTCAAAAAAAAAATAAAATGCTCTCTCTCCAATGCCTCACATTTCTAATTATCTAACGATATATATAATGTGATATTCTGAACAATGACCCTAAATCAACAACAACAACAAAAAACCACGAATAAATAATTTCAAGAATACTTTTATTATGAAAACCATGTATTTTGGAAAACTGTGTGACTTTATGTTTATCACGTGAGGAGGCCCATAACACCTGAATCCCAAGATGAAGTTTTGTACTGAGCTCTGAAAACTAGCAAAACGAACGAAACTAAGGGATGGGAGGAAGCACTCAAACTGAGGGAACAACATGTATGAAGACTTCAAGGTAGGATGGGACATGGTAGGCAGCAGGAACAGAGAAGACCAGGTAATTCAATTCTCCTGCCTCAGCCTCCCGAGTAGCTGGGATTACAGGCATGCACCACCACACCTGGGTAATTTTTGTATTTTTTTAGTAGAGACGGGGTTTCTCCACGTTGAGGCTGGTCTCGAATTCCTGACCTCAGGTGATCCGCCCGCCTCGGCCTCCCAAAGTGCTGGGATTACAGGCGTGAGCCACCGTGCCCGGCCGCGAGAGGGCATTTTTTTAAGAAATTAGACTCTAAATTCAAGTTTCTTTCTTTCTCTCTCCCTTTTTTTTTTTTTTTTTTTTTGAGACAGGGTCTCACTTTATCACCCAGGCTGGAGTGCAGTGGCATGATCATAGCTTACTACAACCTCCAACTCCTGGGCTCATGCGATCCTCCCACCTCAGCCTCCCAAGTAGCTGGGACTACAGGCATGCACTACCTGTATTTTTTGTAGAGATGGGGTTTTGCCATGTTGCCCAGGCTGGTCTTGAACTCATGGGTTCAAGAATGCCTGCCTCAGCTTCCCAAAGTGCTGGGATTACAAGCGTAAACAACCATGCCTGACCCAAGTTTCTTAAACCTAGATGCACAAGCCAATAAGCATATGAAAAGGTGCTCAACATCACTAATCGTTAAGGAAATGCAAATCAAAGCAATGAGATACCACTTCACACTCATTAGGATGACTATTATAAAAAAAAAAAAAAGACAAACAGAAATTAACAAGCACTGGGAGGATGTGGAGAAACAGACCCTTGTACAGTGCTAGTGGGAATGTAAAATGGTGCAGCTGCTGTAGACAACAGTATGCTAGTTCCTCAAATTTTTTTTTTTTTTTTGAGACGGAGTCTCGATCTGTCGCCCAGGCTGGAGTGCAGTGGCGCGATCTCGGCTCACTGCAACCTCTACCTCCCAGGTACAAGTGATTCTCAAGCCTCAGCCTCCCCAGTAGCTGGGACTACAGGTCCCAGATCACCTGAATCAGAGTTGGCATCTTAACAAGATCTCTGGGTAATCCACCACGCCTGGCTAATTTTTGTATTTTTAGTAAAGACGAGGTTTCACCATGTTGGCCAGGCTGGTCTTGACCTCTTGACCTCAGGTGAGGTCACCTGCCTCGGTCTCCCAAAGTGCTGGGATTACAGGTGTGAGTCACCGTGCCCGGCCTCTCAAAATGTTGTAGAATTACCACATGGTCCAGCAATCCCATTTCTGGGTATACGACCAAAAGAAATGAAAGCAGGGACTTGAACAGATTATTTGTACACCCATGTTCATAACAGCATTATTCACAATAGCATACATAGCAACCCAAGGGTCCAGCAACAGATGAATAAACAAAATGTAGTCTATACAGTATATACATACACGGAATACTGTTGAGTCTTAAAAAGAAAGGAAATTCTAACGTGCTACAATAAGTAAAGCTTGAAAAAATTATGCTAAGTGAAATAAGCCAGTAACCAAAGGGCAAGTACTGTATGATTCCATTAAATGAAGTACCTAAAATAGTCCAATTAACAGAAAAAGAAAGTAGATGGTAGTTACCAGGGACTGGGTCAGAGGGGAGAATGGGGAGTTATTGTTTAATGGGAATAGGTTTCAGTTTTGCAAGATGAAAATAGTTCTAGAGATGGATGGTGGTGATGACCGCACAACAATGTGACTGTACCTAAGTGCCACTGACCTATATGCTTACAAATGGTTAATATGACAGATGTGTATATTTTACCAGAATAAACAAGAAAAAAAACTAGATGCATATATATGGTTGCCTGATTTATAAGGAAGGTGATAGTGGTGAAAGGATGGTCTGTTCAATAAATGGTGCCAGGATACCCTTACAGGGGCAAAAAATTTTCATCCCTATCTCACACCACACACAAATATCAATTCCAGATGAATTGCAAATATAAATGTGAAAGCTGAAACAATAATGCTTTTAGAAGAAAACACAGAAGAGCTTTATAACCTTGGGGTGGGCAAAGATAGCTTAAATAGGATGCAAAAAATTCTACCATAAAAGAAAAAAATTAAAAGTCAGAATATATTAAAATTAAAAACTTATGTTAATCAAAACATACCAACATGAGTGAAAAAACCACAGAATTAGAGAAGATATTTCTGATACACCTATCTGGAAAATGACTCATATCCAGACTATAAAAAGAACTCTATAAATCAATATGAAGACAGACAACTCAATGGAAAAATAAGCAAAAGACTGAACACAGCATGTATTCATATGGTCAAATAACACATGAAAAGGTGGTCAATTTCATTTGTCACCAGGGAAATACAAATTAAAACTACCATGAGATATTGCTACAAACCACCGGATTTAAAAGAAAAAAACTAAATATTAGAATGTGGAACAACTAGAATTCTCATACACGCTGAGAACTTTGGTGACTTTGGAAGCTGGGAGTATCTACCATAAGACATATACTACAATGCATAGCAGCACATTTTATAACAGCCTCCAAATGGAAATTACTCAAATGTTCATCCAACGTAAAATGGATAAATTGCAGAACATTCATCTAATGGATGACTATATAGCAATGTAAAGAAACAA
This sequence comes from Homo sapiens, assembly GCF_000001405.40. Classification (NCBI taxonomy): domain Eukaryota; kingdom Metazoa; phylum Chordata; class Mammalia; order Primates; family Hominidae; genus Homo; species Homo sapiens. The sequence continues at coordinate 44,991,942 of NC_000013.11, read as the reverse complement.
CCTATAATAATTCTGTTTGTTTAAAGACCAGATTATGAACTTCAACAATCTATAATAATGCTAATCTACATGAATGAATCTCACAAAGTAATGTAGTACCAAGATAGGAAGCCAGTTATGAAAGAGAAAACATGCAAAACGAATCTGTGATGCTATAAATCAAGGAAGCAGTTACCCTCTGGTTGTAGGAGGGGTGGTGATGCAGGTAATAACTGGAAGATGGTCCAAGTGCAGCTTCTATGGTGTGATATAGTGGATGTGAAGGCCATTGGTACTGGCAAACTTCTTAAAAATCCAGATAGATGAAATAAAAATGATATATGAAGATTTTTTGGCAACCGTTTTAGGTTCAGCCATCTAGGCGGTTATGAAGGGAATGGAATTATAGCAGGGGAGATTATGTGTTTAAAATGACACACTACGTGTAAGATATTGTGCTTGACGAAGAGAAGTCATTCAACAAATATATACGAAGAATCTTTTTCTTTTTTTTTTTTGAGACAGAGTCTCACTCTGTCGCCAGGCTGGAGTGCAGTGGCGCGATCTCGGCTCACCGCAACCTCCGCCTCCCAGGTTCAAGCAATTCTCCTGCCTCAGCCTCCCAAGTAGCTGGGACTACAGGTACGTGCCACCATGCCTGGCTAATTTTTGTATTTTTAGTAGAGACAGGGTTTCACCATGTTGGCCAGAATGGTCTCGATCTCTCGACCTCGTGATCCGCCCGCCTCGGCCTCCCAAAGCGCTGGGTTCACAGGCGTGAGCCACCGCACCTGGCCTTATTTTATTTTTTTAAAGCTATCTCCTACAGGAAGGAAAGCATAATTTTTCACATTTACTTTTATTTATTTATTTATTGAGACAAACTCTCGTTCCGTCGCCCAGGCTGGAGCGCAGTGGCACTCTCGGCTCACTGCAACCTCCGCCTCCTGGGTTCAAGCGATTCTCCTGCCTCAGCCTCCAGAGCAGCTGGGATTACAGGCGCCCGCCACCACGCCCGGCTAATTTTTGTATTTTTAGTAGAGATGGGGTTTCAACATGTTGGCCAGGCTGGTCTTGAACTCCTGAGTTCAAGTGATCCGCCCCGTCTCAGCCTCTCAAAGTGCTGAGATTACAGGCTTGTGCCACCTCGCTCAGCTGGAAGGCATAATTTTTAAAGTGGTTATGACAGAAATTATATTGGAAAGGGGCCTGTAGTAGAAACATAGCCTCCGGGTAGACCAGGAAGAAAAATTAGATTCAGAAATGGCAGGGTTACTCTTTCAGCTTTACTCTTCTCCAACTGGGTGTCGGTGCTAGTCTACAAATGTGAATAAACATTAAAGCAGATAGGTATGCATGCCGGAATCCGAGAAGCATTCGTTTCGTATATACCAAGTGCCTGTTGCGTGTTCAGGTAGAAGACCATAGTGCAATGGTGGAGACAGATTATGTCGACAAATTATTCAAATACAGTGTACTAAATATGCAATGTAATTAGGAAAAAACCCGAGGGCAAAAAGAAAGGCATGACAATGCTTCGGGGAATCTGGAAAGGTTTTATTGGTGTGACATTTAAGTTGGGCCTTGAAGGATGGGGAGAAGTTTGTCAGTTATGTTTAGGAATGCAACCAGAGGAAGCCCAGAAGCCTAGAGCGTTAAGGAATTGCGCAGCAACTCAGACTGGATTGAGTATTGGGCTGTGTTTGTCAGATGCAATAACAGAATGAGAGGCTAGGAAGGCAGGTCGGGGGCTGGAGAGAACAGGATCTGCAAGGTTCTTGTAATCAGAAGGCAATATGGCACAGAGGTTAAGAGAACCGCTTCCTTCTAAGTCGCGCTCCATCACTTGCTAGCAGTATGATCTAGACACTGGCATGGGCTTGGGCGTACCCATTTGCAACATGGGAAAATAGTTTTTTTCTTATACGGCTTAAATGACTGAGTGGGTATCAGTCAGTTAGGGCAGCGTGCAGCTCATATTAAGGCTAAATGAGAATGTATTATCATCACGAAGCCAAACCACGCCAAAGCTCGTTTCTAGGAGGGTCCCCCAGCCTCCTCCCCCCTGCTACTGTTTGGGAAGAGAAAAGTTCTCTCGGGTCAGGCCGCGCCCACTCCCCACTCCTCCGCCCTCCTAGGCCTCCGACTTTCTTCAGCGAGCAGGGCCCGGCCAGGGAGTGGGTAGATGGGCCTGGTGGGCAGCGGAGACGCCGCCGCTTACCAGGGCTCGGGTCCCGCTCTTCGTCCTCCGCTGTTCCGCGGGCCTTGAAGCCGGGCGGCAGGGCCGGTCCGATCAGGTCTCTTGCCATCCGCGGTGGCGGACACTGGTCACAGATATGAGTCTATCCACGAACGTCAACCCTATCCAAAAAGAATCCCGCGATCAGCAGCGAAGAATGGCAGGTTTCCCGGCGCCGAGAAATGACGTAAAGCCTGTGGTTGGCTGAGCCTTGTAGTTCACGGTAAAGGAAGTGACGCCTAATGCTTGCTCCACAGTCGCGTGCTAGACTCCGGACCCGCCAGTGGTATGGCTGAGCCGACTAGTGATTTCGAGACTCCTATCGGGTGGCATGCGTCTCCCGAGCTGACTCCCACGTTAGGGCCCCTGAGCGACACTGCCCCGCCGCGGGACAGCTGGATGTTCTGGGCAATGCTGCCGCCACCGCCACCACCACTTACGTCCTCGCTTCCCGCAGCCGGGTCAAAGCCTTCCTCTGAGTCGCAGCCCCCCATGGAGGCCCAGTCTCTCCCCGGGGCTCCGCCCCCCTTCGACGCCCAGATTCTTCCCGGGGCGCAACCCCCCTTCGACGCCCAGTCTCCCCTTGATTCTCAGCCTCAACCCAGCGGCCAGCCTTGGAATTTCCATGCTTCCACATCGTGGTATTGGAGACAGTCTTCTGATAGGTTTCCTCGGCATCAGAAGTCCTTCAACCCTGCAGGTAGGCTATTTTTCCACGTGAGTCGACCCCTTTACCTTTTTCCCCCGTTCTTTCCTCTCCCCTTTCTCTGCTTCCTCTCTCTACTCTGCCTTGCCTCTGCACTCTTGGAGTCTGGTCATTAGCATCTCAAAGCAAAGTGAGACCCCCGTCTCTACAAAAAAAATAAAATTAGCCAGGCATGGTGGCATGCCTGTGGTCGCAGATGCATGGGAGGCTGAGGCAGGAGGATTCCTTGAACCCAGGAAGTCGAGGCTGCTTTATCAACTAAGTTTATATAATATTGTAAATCCTTTGTTCTCAAAATATGTCTGACTAGAATGTTTTCCTGTTGACTGTTAATTCCATTTAGCAGTTATTTATTGAATTCCGACTATGTACCAGAATCTGGGTATATAGCAGTGAGCAGAACATACAAAAAATATTATGGAGCTTAATATTATCTCTCTTGTGTAGGAAGACAGACAATAAGCAAAATAAAATATTGTGCATTAGAAGGTTGAGTGGCATGGAGAGAGATAAAACAAAGAAGAATGGTAAGTAGTGCAGGATTTTCTTTTTTTCTTTTTTTTTGGAGACAGAGTGTCGCTCTGTCGCCCAGGCTGGAGTGAAGAGTAGCGCGATCTACTTCACTCCAGCCTATGCAGTCTCTGCAGAGAGGCTCACTGCAACCTCTGCCTCCCGAGTTCAAGCAATTCTCATGCCTCAAACTCCTGAGTAGCTGGGACTACAGGCCCACGCCACCACACCCGGCTAATTTTTTATATTTTTAGTAGAAAGGGGGTTGCCCCGTGTTGGACAGGCCTGTCTCTAACTCCTGAGCTCAGGCATCCGCCCGCCTCAGCCTCCCAAAGTGTTGGGATTACAGGCATGAGCCACCACGCCGGGCCAGGTAGTGCAGTTTTAAATGTCATTGTTAGTCATAAGGAAGGTGACATATGAGCGAAGACTTTAGGGAGGTGAGAGATCACAGCCATGCATACAACTGGGAGAATAGGGGTACGGGCAGAAGGAACTGCAAGTGCAAAGGTCTTGAGGCTTAGAAGCTATACATCAGAATGGGAACCAGTGTGGCTACAGAGGACTGAGTCTGGAGTATAATTGTAGAAGATGGGGGAGGAGGGTAAGACCTGGTATGTCTTTGTAGATCGTGGGACTTTGACTTTTACTGTTGTGAGGTGGGTAGTACAGCGGATTGACATGACCTGATTTACGTTTTAAGAGGATTAATGTGTCTGTTGGTGAGAACTGACTGAAAGGGAAACCGGTTAGGAAGCTATTGTAGTTACTTTTCTAAACAAGAGATATTGGAGACTTGGACCAGGGTGAAGCCCAAGGGATGGTGAGAAGTAGTTGGATTCTAGATCTGGGGATACCTTGGAGCTCTTGTGGGTTCAGTTACAGACCACTGCAGTAAAGCAAGTCACACAATTATTTTTTTTTTGGTTTTCCGTTGCATGTAAAAGTATGTTTTCCTGCAGATCCTATGGGGCAAAAAAGTTATTTTTACATTATACCATAGTCTAGTAAGTGTGCAATACCATTATGTCTTAAAAAACAACTTACATACCTTGATTAAAAAATACTTTAGGCTGAGCAGGGTAGCTCACACCTATAATCTGGGCACTTTATTTATTTTTTTTTTTAATTTGTTGAGACAGAGTCTCTGTTGCTCAGGCTGGAGTGCAATGGCGTGATCTTGGCTCATTGCAACCTCCACCTCCCAGGTTGAGGTGATTCTCCTGCCTCAGCCTCCCGAGCAGCTGGTACTACAGGTGCCCGCCACCATGCCTGGCTAATTTTTGTATTTTTAGTAGAGACAAGGTTTCACCATGTTGGCCAGGCTTATCTCGAACTCCTGACCTCAAGTGATCCATCCTCCTTGGCCTCCGAAAAGTGCTGAGATTACAAGCGTGAGCCACTGCACCCAGCCTAATCTTAGCACTTTGAGAGGCAGAGGCAAGAGGATTGCTTGAGCCCAGGAGTTTGAGACCTGCCTGGGCAACAAAGTGAGACCCCCGTCTCTACAAAAAAAATAAAATTAGCCAGGCGTGGTGGAATGCCTGTGGTCCTAGAAGCATGGGAGGCTGAGGCAGGAGGATTCCTTGAGCCCAGGAAGTCGAGGCTACTTTATCAACTAAGTTTATATAATATTATAAATCCTTTGTTGTCATTTCAACAGTGTTCACAGCATCTTCACCAGGAGTAGATTCCTTCTCAAAAAAGCACTTTCTTTCCTCATCCATAAGAAGCCACTTCTCATCCATTAAAGGTTTACCATGAGATTGCAGCAAGTCACATCTTGTGGCTCCACTTCTTTTTTTTTTTTTTTTTTTGAGATGGAGTCTTGCTCTGTTGCCCAGGCTGGAGTGCAGTGGCTCGATCTTGGCTCATTGCAAGCTCTGCCTCCCAGGTTCACGCCGTTCTCCTGCCTCAGCCTCCCTAGTAGCTGGGACTACAGGCGCCCACCACCACGCCCGGCTGATTTTTTTGTATTTTTAGTAGAGATGGGGTTTCACCATGTTAGCCAGGATGGTCTCGATCGCCTGACCTCGTGATCCACCCACCTCAGCCTCCCAAAGTGTTGGGATTATAGGCGTGAGCCACTGCGCCTGGCCCCTCCACTTCTAATTGTAGTTCTCTTGCAGTTTCTACTACATCTGAGGTGACTTCCTCCACTGAAGTCTTGAATTCCTCAAAATCGTCTATGAGGGTTGGAATTTCTTCTTTCAAACTCCTGTTAATGTTGATCTTTTGACCTCCTTCCATAAATCATGAATGTTCTTAATGGTATCTTGAATAGTGAATCAAAACCTCCTTTCTAGAAGGTTTTTAATCTACTTTGCTCAGATCCATTAGAGGAATCACTATCTATGAATCACTGTGGATTTCTTTCAAGAACTTTTCATCCAGACACGGTGGCTCACGACTGTAATCCCAGCACTTCAGGAGGGCAGAGCAGGAGGATCCCTTGAGCCCAGGAGTTTGAGGCTGCAATGAGCTATGACTGCACCTTTATATTCCAGCCTGGCTGACAGTGAGACCCTTTCTCAGTAGTTGCATTCACAACTTGGCTAGCCGTTTGGCACAAGAGGCCTGGCTTTTGGCTTGTATCAGCTTTCAACGTGTCTTCCTCACTAAGCTTAATCATTTCTGGCTTTCGATTTAAAATGAGAGACATGTGACTCTTCCTTTTGCTTGAACACTTAGAGACCATGATAGGGTTATTAATTGGCCTACTTTTGAATATTGCGTCTCAGAGGATAGGGAGGCCTGAGGAGAGGGAGAGGAGAACCACCGGTTGGTAGAGCAGTTAGAACATACACAGCATTTATAAAGTTCACCATCTTATATGGCCACGATTCATGGTGTCTCAAAACAATTACAGTAGTAGCATCAAAGATCACTGATCACAGATCAGTATAACAGACGTAATAAAAATGAAAAAGTTTGAAATATTTCGAGAATCACCAAAATGTGACACAAAGACAGCACATTGTTGTTGGAAAAATGGTGCTGATAGACCTGCTTGATGTAGGGTTGCCGCAGACCCTTAGCTTGCAAAAAGCTGTGTAAAACGAAGTGCAGTGAAATGAGATGTGCTTTTATACCTTAAAGGTGGGGACTGCATGATTTACTGAAAGATAGGATATATGGGATGCAAGATAAAGAGGAGAGAAGGATAATTTAAAGTTTTTTTGCCAAACAATTGGAAGGATGGAGTTGCTATTAACTGAGATAGGTAAGAATGTGGATGGAGCAGATTTGGAAGGAAGTCCAGGAATTAAAGTTGGAATATATTTGTGTCAGGTAGAGATATTGAATAGGCTTTTAGCTATTAGTCTACTTTCAGGGGAGATTTGTGGCTGGAGCTATAAATTTGGGTGTTGACACCATATAGATCATATTTCAAGCTACAAGAGTGTTAATTTAAAACCATTCTCCAACTTTGCAGAAAATTCAATTCTGCATTCCATAAAAAATGATGAGTTCATATCCTTTGTAGGGACATGGATGAAATTGGAAGTCATCATTCTCAGTAAACTATTGCAAGGACAGAAAACCAAACACCACATGTTCTCTCTCATAGATGGGAATTGAACAATGAGAACACATGGACACAGGAAGGAGAACATCACACTCTGGGGACTGTTGTGGGGTGGGGGGAACGGGGAGGTATAGCATTAGGAGATATACCTAATGCTAAATGACGAGTTAATGGGTGCAGCACACCAGTATGGCACATGTATACATATGTAACTAACCTGCACATTGTGCACACGTACCCTAAAACTTAAAGTATAATAATAAAAAAAAATTCAATTCTGCATTAAACTGAATCTGAACAATTAGTGTTTTATTTTTATTTTATTTTATTTATTTTTTTAAATAGAGTCTCTTGCTGTCACCCAGGCTAGAGTACAGTGGCACCATCTCGGCTCACTGCAGCCTCCACCTCCTGGGTTCAAGGGATCCTTCTGCCTCAGCCTCCTGAGTAGCTGGGACTACAGGCACGCACTACCACACCTGGCTAATTTTTTGTATTTTTGGTAGAGACTGGGTTTCACCATGTTGGCCAGGCTGGTCTCGAGCTCCTGACCTCAAGTGATCTGCTTGCCTTGGCCTCCCAAAGCACTGGGAATACAGGAATGAGCCATCACACCTGGCCCAAACAGTTAGTGTTTATTGTATGGCAGATGCTGGAAATACGGACTTGGCTGAGTCAGATGAGATATGTTATAAGTATGAATCAAAATACAGTGTGACTGATGATAGAGGCATATAATAGCTGATTTCAGAATGTAGAGGAAATTGGGAAAAGCTTTTGGAAGAAGTGTCTTAGGAGATGTATAGAATTTGGGAAGAGATGTTTCCTAGGTAGAGAAAGAGGTGTCAGTACAAGGCAAGTTCTGGAGATTGCAGGGTTCTGGTGTGACTGAAGCAGAGTATGTGAAAGGTATGGGGAAGGGTAGGGTAAGAAAATAAATTAGAATCTCATGGAAGGTCTCTAGGAAGCTGTCTTAGTCCCTATTGTGCTGCCATAACAGAGTATGACCTGTTGGGTAATATATAATGAACAGAAATTTATTTGGCTCATAGTTCTTGAGGTTATGTCCAAGATCAAGGGGCTGTTGAGGACCTTCTTGCTGCATGGTGACATCAAGAAAGGCATCACATGGTGAGAGAGAGTGAGAGAAGGTCAAACTCATCCTTTATTATTGTTGCTTTTTGAGACAGGGTCTTGTTCTGTGGCCCAGGCTGGAGTGCAGTGGCACATATATGGCTCACTGCAGCCTCAACCTGCTGGGCTCAAGTGATTCTCCCATCTCAGCCTCACAAGTAGCTGGGACTACAGGCACATACCACCAAGCTTGGCTAATTTTTGTATTTTTTGTAGAGACAGAGTTTCGCCAGGCTGCTCAGGCTGATCTCAAACTCTTGGGCTCAAGTGGTCTGCCCGCCTTGGCCTCCCAAAGTGTTGGAATTATAGATGTGAGCCATCATGCCAGCCCCTCCCTCAACTTTTTTTTTTTTTTTATTTGAGACGGGGGGCTGGGTGCGGTGGCTCACGCCTGTAATCCCAGCACTTTGGGAGGCCGAGGCAGGTGGATCACTTGAGGTCAGGAGTTCGAGACCAGCCTGGCCAACATGGTGAAACTCTGTCTCTACTAAAAAATACGAAAATTACCTGAGCATGGTGGCACATGCCTGTAATCCCAGCTACTCGGGAGGCTGAGGCAGGAGAATCGCTTGAACCTGGGAAGCAGAGGTTGCAGTGAGCCAAGATTGTGCCACTGCACTCTAGGCTGGCCAACAAGAGCGAAACTGCATCTCCCCCGCCAAAAAAAATAAAATAAAATAAGAGACAGGGTCAGCTGGGCATGGTGGCTCACGCTTGCAGTCCCAGGACTTTGGAGGCTGAGGCAGGCAGATCGGTTGAGCCCAGGAGTGTGAGATCAGCCTGGGCAACATAGTGAGACCCCATCTCTATACAAAGAATAATTTTTTTAAAAGAGACAGAGACAGGGTCTTGTGCTGTTGCCTAGACTGGAGTGTAGTGGCATGATCATAGCTTACTGCAGCCTCAAACTCCTGAACTCAAGTGATCCTCCCACCTCAGCCTCCACAGTAGCTAGGACTACAGGTGCATGCCATCATGCCAAGCTAATTTTTAAATTTTTTTGTAGAGATGGGGTCATGTGAGGTTACCCAGGCTGGTCATGAACTCCTGGCCTTGAGTAGTTCTCCTGTCTCAGCCTCCCAAAGTGCTAGGATTATAGGCATGAGCCACCACGCCTGGTCCATATGCAAATTTTTGAGCCAGGTTGTGACAGGATTGGAGAATTTTTTTTTTTTTTTGGTGTCAGTATGTAAGGTTTGTTGGAAGAGGGGGCTTATGAACTGGAAGACAATATAGGAGTAATCTGGTGGAAGATCAGAATTTCTGACTTGGGGCATGGTAATAAGAATGGAAAAGTACAGTGGGATTTGAGAGGAGATATATTTCACAAGGTTCTGTTTTCCTGGTGCGAAATTGATGCTGAAGGAGCAGTGTTGGGGATTTTACTGGTTACATTTCTAATATTTGAAATAACCGAAGGAATTTCATCAGGTTAGGTTGTCCATTTCTGCACTTTGACGCCTAAAGTTTCTGTGGACATATAATCACACCAGTCTTTCTTTGTTTGAAAAATAGTCATTTGGTAGACTAATCTTAATCTTTGTTATTTTGTTTGAACTAGTATTCTTCCTAGAAGGGTAGTTTACTAGTGTTTTTACTGAAATATTTGTAACATGCTGTAGTAGATAAAATTTAATTATAATTTAAATAATTACATTGTTGCAAACATTTATGGATCTTTTTTTTTTTAGTTAAAAATTCTTATTATCCACGAAAGTATGATGCAAAATTCACAGACTTCAGCTTACCTCCCAGTAGAAAACAGAAAAAAAAGGTATTTGAAAGATGTTCTTGAATTTGACCCCTTGGTCCCTATGTTACTGTTTCATATCTTGCATTTCTGTCATAACTGTCTTCAGTGTTTTGCTTCCATTATTGACACAGTGGAGCCTTGCTATAAAAAGGAATTTTATGGTTAAACATGAATATAGCAAATTGGGATTCAAAAATAATACATAACTAAATTTTTGTTTCTTTTCTGTGGTTTTAGAAATAGATATATATTTGATACTTTTATTTTACCTTATTTTTTTTTAGATGGAGTTTCACTCTGTCGCCCAGGCTGGAGTGCAGTGGTACGATCTTGGCTCACTGCAACCTCCGCCTCCTGGGTTCAAGCAATTCTCCTGCCTCAGCCTCCCAGAGTAGCTGGGACTGCAGGTGCGCACCACCACACCTGGCTAATTTTTGTAGTTTTAGTAGAGTTGGGGTTTTACTGTGTTGGCCAGGCTGGTCTCGAACTCCTGACCTCAAGTGACCCGCCCACCTCCGCCTCCCAAAGTGCTGGGATTAAGGCGTGAGCCACCATGCCTGGCCATATAGTTGATACTTGAACAACGCAACAGTTAGAGGTGCAGTCAGAAGTTTGTGTGTAACTTTTGACTCCTCTAAAACTTAACTACTAATGGTCTACTATTGACTGGAAGTCTTACCAATAACATAAATAGTCGGTTAGTATAGAAATGAAATGGTGTCCACATATATTTTATACCTTCTTGACATACTTTTTTTTTTGATATTTCTAAGGCTATGTGGTTTATCTGTGAGTTTTTCCAAATTGTCACAAATCTCCAAAAAAATTTTCCAATATATTTACTGAAAAAAATCCTTTTATAAGTGGACCCTTGCAGTTCAAACCTGTGTTGTTCAAGGGTCAGCTGTAGTTATTTTTTTCTAAAAGATGAGCTGCTGTTTTTATTCTATTTATTTTCAGATCATTTCAACATATTCTGTACTGAGTCTTAATTAGATAACCAATTTGCAATCTGCTCATAATTTATATTAGCACTATTTGGATTAAAAAAGTTTAAAATTATGCCTGGGTTTCACTAATATATTTGTTAAAAACAAAATGAAAGAAAGAAATAGAATAATCTCTTCATTGGAAATATACTCACAAGCTTCTCCCACACGAAAGGGTTATTGGAAACATCAAAGTGTGTATTACTAGAATGATAGTTATGTTTTTATTATTGATTACAGATTTTTCACCAAAAGCCTAATTCCTCTCTGTTTTTGTTTGCAGAAAAGAAAGGAACCAGTTTTTCACTTTTTTTGTGATACCTGTGATCGTGGTTTTAAAAATCAAGAAAAGTATGACAAACACATGTCTGAACATACAAAAGTAGGTTTTCTTAGTTGTCCTGAAACTGATGTAGCAATTGTGCTTCTTCTATCTGTATATTTGGTAGAAATGCCAAGCTTGTTTTCCTTTAAAGTTTATAGTTTCTGTAGAGATATAGTTTGACAACTTGACAGATAGGGGCAGTGACCCTGGGGTTTGAAAGTGGGGATCCCGCTGCTTCAGGGACGAGGTAAGATGGTAGCAAAGAAGGGAGCTCTGACAGCTTTTTGTATGTGTGTACCTCTACTGCTTGGGAAGAGGCTGTCCTCTCCTCTAGTTACCTTGTGCATCTTAATGAGTTCTTTCCCCTTTAAGTCTGCCCTTGACCATTAAACCATACTGTGTAATGTGGCTGTGCCTATCACCCTCAAAGGCTGGTCCACACCTTGTCAGGTACTAGCTAGAAAACTTTAACCAAAATGTTTAAAAGGTTTAAAAGGAAGCCTTTGGTTTTGAAAGGTTCTTTTTCTGTTTTTGGGAATGCCCCTCAACTTTAGGAATTAAGAGCATTTCACAGGTTTATTGATGTATGCCTTTGCTCAAATGGAGAAGTAAATAAGATATATTATTGTGCCACATACTCTGAGAGTGTCATTCCTTTGCCTAAAGGCAGCCCTGTTTTGGAGTCATTTTTGTATGCAGAGATAATACTATACAGATGGGATAACTATGTAATACAGCCAGAATATGTCTGTGTATGTATAGTGGGGTAAATTTAACATGGAAAACATTTGTTAAATAGTTTTTTTTTTCTTTTAAAAACTCATAGTGCCCTGAATTAGATTGCTCTTTTACTGCACACGAGAAGATTGTCCAGTTCCATTGGAGAAATGTAAGTTCTGTTTTTTTATCCTATTTTTAAATACATGCTCTTTTTATTGATCTGTTATCTTCACAACTGTTTATTTATATACCTAATAATAGGTAACACTAATGGAGTACTTTGTAAGGATTTTGACATCATTTATTCAACTTTTTCCTCACAAACAACTATGGTTGTTTATATTGGCCCCATTTAAAATATTTTAAAAAATGAATTGCCCAAGGCCTGAGAATTGATTCTTGGACCTCAGTTTCTTGACTCCAAATTGTATACTGCTTTACTACACCATGCTGCTACAGATTGTCACGTCTACTCATATCTTTAGTGGCCTCTCTAGGTTTTGATTGGTAAGTCATTCATTTGGGTGTTTAATGTCATTTGAGAGAATGGGTGGCATATCTACTTTGTAATCAAAATTATGTTACCCCTTTTCCCTCTATTAATAGCACTAATTAAATACATGATAGATTCTTCTTCCTTTAAAGGAAAAGTTATAACACAAATAGATACAACCTGCTTACTTGGTTTTAAAATTGTGTCCAACATAAGTTTACTTGTAGAAACAAAGTCTCCAAGTTAGTCAAAAGCATATGATATTGCCTCCTGATGTTCAGCAGGCTTTTTCCCCCTAGATGCATGCTCCTGGCATGAAGAAGATCAAGTTAGACACTCCAGAGGAAATTGCACGGTGGAGGGAAGAAAGAAGGAAGTGAGTAGAGTTCAGAACTGGTGAAATAACTGTTTTACTGTGACAAGGCTTATTAATGTAGTTAAATTCATTGAATTCCCTTAGAATGTTGGAACTAGGGAAGAGGACCATAAGGCATATTATGTAAGACTATTATTGAACGTAGTTTTAGGAAGACCTAATAAGAACTCTTCATTTAAGTAGCAAATGTGTCATAATGGGACTGTATGTTGCTCTTTGAGGGGGGCTACTGCATGTCACCTGTCAGATGTTCAGTGGTTGAGGCAATAATGGGTGGGTACTCTTACCAAAAAGTGTATTATACAGAAGTGTATTATCACAGAACAGTACATCTGGCACATGACTACCCATGTCAGTGGATTTAAACTGAAACCTTAAACTAAGGTGAGCTAAGTACAAATGTAACCTGCTGCTCAAAGGAGTTTGAAGTATCTTTCTTGATCTTTAAGGATAGTTCTTCTTGTTTTCATCCCAGGCTTACCGCTAAATAAGATGCACAGGTGCTAAGGATAAGAGATACAGGTGCTTGTTCTTAACAATGAGAAGATCAGGAATTCATTCCTATGATTAAAGAAATTTGAGCATCACCATGTAACCTGTGGTTTTACACTTACTAAGGAAGAAAGTTTAGTTGATGTCTAGCTGTAATATACTTGAAATTCCACTAGGGCACTGTTATACTGCCTTCTCAGAAAATACTAGAACACTTCATCCTGAAGCAGAAGACTATGCAGAACTACTGTAATGATCAGTTGCACTTTTAAAGTCAACTGCTCTTTTCCTGGAATTAAAAAATGAAGAGAGCCTGGGATGAAAACAAGAAGAACTATCCTTAAAGGGCAAGAAAGATACTTCAGACTCTTATGAGCAGCAGGTTACATTTGTACTTGGCTCGCCTTAGTTTAAGGTTCACTTTAAATCCACTGTCGTGGGTGGTGATGTGCCAGATGTACTCTTCTGTGAAAAAGTTAGATGCTGCCCTTTAAGGCTTTAGAGGTAATTCTGAGGAAGACCAGCAGAAGCACGAAGATTCAGAACTGAGAATAAATATAATTCAACGAAAGTGTATCAGGTATTAATACTGTGTACAAAGGAAAGAGTTGGATAAGGGTGAAGGGACAGTTAGAGGAATTCAATTTTTTTTTGAGTCAGAGTCTCTGTCACTGAGGCTGGAGTGCAGTGGCGCAATCTCAGCCCACTGCAACCTCCACCTGCTGGTTTCAAGTGATTCTCCTGCCTCAGTCTCCCAAGTAGCTGGGATAACAGGCGTGCACCCCCACACCTGGCTAGTTTTTGTATTTTTAGTGGAGATGGGGTTTCGCCATGTTGGCCAGGCTGGTCTCGAACTTCTGACCTCAAGTGATCTACCTGTCTCAGCCTCCCAAAGTGCTGGGATTACAGGCATGAGCCACCACACCCAGCTGAGGAATTCAATTTTTAAACAAGTCAGGTCCAACCAGTCAACGGGACTTGGTGGACATAATATAGCATTTCAAGAGCATCTGTGGCTAGCAAATGAAGGAATCTAGGCCACCTGTAGTAGAGTATATTAGAATACCTTTTTCTTTGATCTCTTTGGCAAAATCTTACTTATCGTGTAGGCTTGTTTTAAAGGTTGCCTGACTTACTACTCTCTCCTTACTTTTCACCACCTCTATGTCAGTGCTACCAGAGTGCCAGTCTGTAACAAAAGAGCTTGTACCAGAATGTAAATCAGTATATTACTTCCTTTGTTGATAAGAAAAAAATGAAAAAATACCAGCTGAACTAAATATCATGCTTAGTGACGTAGTTGATTTCTACTCTGGTGTGTGTGGATTGGCTGGTTGCCAGTCCCTGAAACACACTACCCTAAAGCATTATTTACTACCTCCTTTGCAAATACATAGCTTATTTATACAACCATAGTACATTTGTCACATTACATTGTAGTTGGCCCTGGTCTTATACATCTTTAATTCTGCTGTGCTTTGCACAGTGCCTAGAATTTAGTATGTGAGAAATACATATTTGTTGACTGAAGTACTTAAACAGTGTAGTGTGGGAATACTTAACCTTGGCAGTGATAAGGGAGCCTTAGCCAATTGCAAGGTCAAACTTAGAAGTTGAAGGAGTGTGGACCATGCTGTGGTTTAAATGTGTCCCCCAAAAGTTCATTTGTTGGAAACTTGGTCCCCAGTGTGGCAGTGTTGAGAGGTGGGAACCTTTGGGAGGTGATGGGTCATGAAGGCAGAACCCTCATAAATGGATTAATTCATTCATGGATTGGTGGATTAATGGATTAAAGGAGTAGTGAATTGTCAAGGGAGTGGGCTTGTTATCATCAGAGTGAGTCAATTATAAAGATCAATTTGCCTGTCTCCTGTGAGCCCCCTTGCCCCTCTGCTGCCTTGGGCCTCTGCAGAGAGTTCCCACCCAGCCACCAAAACTGTAAGAAATAAACTTCTTTTCTTTATAAATTATCCAATCTTATGATGTATTCAGTTATAGCAACATAAAATGGACTGAGACCATGAAGTAGTTTGACATAGGAATTTTGAAGCACGGTATCTGAAGTTCCTTGGCTTCTGTAGGTAGCTTCTTTATAGATACAAGGTTTTCTCCTCATGACACCACTCCCCAAGTAGCTGGACTTTTTAAAAAATGTTTTGTTTGTTCTGCTTGTTTCTTTTCTATCTATTGGTTGTTTCTTCTTCCTCCTCCTCTTGTTGTTGTTATTCTTCTTTTTCTTCTTCCTCTTCCTCCTCTTCCTCTTCCTCCTCCTCCTCTTCTCTTCTTCCTCTTCCTTCTCCTCCTCCTCCTCACCTTCACCTTCGCCTCCTCCTCCTCCTCCTTTCTCCTTTCTTCTTCTCCTTCCTCCTTTCTTCTCCTCCTCCTTTCTTCTCCTTCTCCTTCCTTCCTTCTTCTTTCATTTTTTGCATAGAGCAGTAATCAAACAAGAAGTTAACTCCACTTCGTTTCTGATATGTACATTATAAAGAGCTGATGACGATGGTATGGAAGATTGTATCCTGCTGGATGGGATGGAAGTGGCCTAACTGCTAAGACACTAGGTTTTTTCCCCCTACTACTTAGCCTGGACTTTGATCAGTTAGAGGTTGGTTCAACTTATTGGTGTCAGTCCCTTTTATAAATGTTTAATTCTCTTGAGGGGAATGGTAGCGGTTACTAGTCAGCATTGATTGTAAAGCAACTTAAAAGTTATCTAACTAAACAGTTAAATTTCTGAAGCTTTGAGTTTACTGAAGGGTATAAGGAAGGTCTGAAGTGACTTCCTGATTTGCCAACTTCGGTTCTTCTATCTTGTGGTGGTATAAATTAAATAATTTAAACTGGGAAATGTGGAACTGCTATTAAATTAATGGTAACCAACTTTACTCTTTTCTACGATGTCTATAGCACTTTCACTCTCCCACTATCCTCTGCTATTCCCTTGCTCAGCATATAAGAGGAAGGGGACTTCATCTAGTCTGGAAGATTAGGGTGTTTCATGACAAAGGCAGGGGTAGCTGAATTCAGAACTAACTAGGAAAAGATAAGGAGAGGCAGGGATTAGTGGTCAGACAGAGGTTAGCATGTTCAAGGAACTGTGAGTATAGGTAAGAGAAAATAGAAGCTTTACAAAGATGGCAGTTGTGGGGATGGAGAGAACTAGGTGGATGTAGAACATTTGGGAGGTGAAAATGGGCAGTGTTTGGGGATTAAATGATTGTGAGGTTGAAGAGGAGAGAGGTTTTAGGAGACTTCCAGGTTTCTAGGCTTAGCACCTCTATGAAAGGTGGTTCTTATTACTGAGGTGGGGAACACTGGAAGAGGATGGGCTTTGGAGGTATTGGGTTGGACATTGTTGAGTCTGAGGAGATCCTGAGGCATCTATTTGAAGATGTTGAGTAGGCATTGGGACTTGGACCAGACTAGACTGGAGATAGTTTTTTGAGTCATGAAACTGGGAATATGGAACAGATTCCCCACAGAGACAGGGTAGAGTGAAAAGAGAAGGTAGCCTAATATTGAACCTTGAGCCCTTCCAACATCCGAAGGTCTAATAGAGAATAAAATCCAACAAGCCTGCTGAGTGGGAACCAGAGAGGTAGAAGAAAACTTCCTCTGGAAGCCAGTGGAGGGGAAAATTTTGAGAAGGAAGATATGGTTAGCAGTGCAGATTGCGATGGAAAGGTCAAATAAAACAAAAACTAAAAGTGACTGATGTTGAGACATACACAGGGCCTCCTTGATGAGGATTCCAGATGATTACTCCTTGGCCTTTCTCCTTTGAGCTCTGTGCCATCTGTCTTCAAGTCTCACACCCTCCCCAGGGATTGATTGCCTTTGTCACTCGCCCTTGGCATGTTAGATGCTGCAGTGGAATTGTGTATATTTTGAATTCATTCAGTACCTTTTCACTTTCAGATTTCTAACGGCCAAGCCTGAGCAACCAAGTGATACCCTTGGTATCTACAAAAATAAAAAGTTAGCCAGGTGCAGCGGTGGGCACTTGTAGTCCAAGCCTCTCAGGAGACCGAGGCAGGAAGATCCCTTGAGCCCAGGAGTTTGAGGTTGCAGTGGGCTGTGATTACGCCACTGCGCTGCAGCTTGGGTAACAGAGCGAAACCTTGTCTCAAAAAAACAAAACAAAACAAATTTCCAGTGCCCTTCACCTTCATGCAGTTTCAGCCACTTACTTTCATGACCACATCCTGGATTCTAAAGTTGGACATACTCCTCTTTCCATCCGTCCAGCTCACTGTGATCTCTACCAGGGCTTGGAATAGTTGAGGCTTCCCATCCTCTTTACCTTGTTTTTCTTTTATCTTCCTTCTTCCTTCACTTCCTACCCAGCCTATTTCACTTCGGCTGCTCTTGTCGATATCTCAGCTTCCTTCTTCCATTATCCTCCATTGCACTCATCTGGCAAAATCCCAGCTCTGGCTCAGTTGCTACATCCTGTTCAAGAAAACCACACAATTGAAATGTAGTCTGCAAGTGAACACTTGGGCAGTGCTATCTGACTTAAGGAGTTGACTTGACCAAAGAGAAGTTTAGGGTATTTTCTTTGTATTTGTTGTTTTGTGGTGCAAAATTAGATGTTCAATATGCATATGTTTCTTAGTTATGTAGATGACTGTGTAGTGTAAAATTTAAAAGTTTGTTAAACTGATTTTATTTTTAATCAGCTGAAATGCCTATGAGAATAAAACTCCATAGAACTGGAAACCAGAATCCTATAATGTGGGCTTAACTTGTCTTTTCTGATTATTTCCATATTATTTGCTTATAGGGGCTTTTTGTCTCAGTCAAACTTGTTATTTATCATATCTCATACAGGGTTTGTGAACTTTCGCCCTTTTAGTTTTGTTCGTGCTGCTGCTTCTAGAAGATCTTACCTACTCCATCTTTAAAGTTCTGCTCATTGCTCTTAGCTCATCTGAAATCCATCCACTTTTGGGTATATTTTTTCTCATCTGCCTAGAGAAATGTCTTGCCCTTCTTTGAATATGGTATCTCCTTTCTGCCTCTTTAGCACAGATATCCTTTATTATGACCCTGTTGGTGAACTTCTTTGCATATGTGTCTTTTATTCTTGAATTAAGTGTGAGCTCTGAAATGTAAGAACCAACTTTTACCTGGCTGCTTCTATCCCATAGTGCCATAGTTATAGGGAATGCTTATAAATGTTAGTGTGTGTAAATGGTGCTTGAAGATATTTTTCTTATGGGTATAATTCTGTTTTGGTACACACAAGTAAGTGGTTGGAGAAGTCTTACTGAGACTTGTATTTATAAATCATGTTTGAGCTGTATCTTTGTTGTTTTTAGAGAAATTGGGCAGAAATATTTTGATATGATTAATAATTATGCTTGGAAATTATAGTGTAACTAATAGTACTTAAACTGCTGTGGTTTTGAACATTAAATTCTCACTACATAGGGTAGGGTAGACCATCACTGGGACAAACCAAATTCATCCGTATTTTAAAGTATTAATGGCTTTTCCCTACACGAATGTGAACTATGCCCCCTTGTGGTTTCGTGAATAAATGATTAAAGGAAAAAATTTCCACTGGCTAGAGAAACTTTGGAAACATTAATATTTGAAGATGAAAACTAGCATAGGCAGCATGTATTTATTTAAAGTTCCTGATAGAAGACTAGTTTGATTTTCTAATGTTAGCAAGAAATCTCAGCAACCTTTGAATATATGTTAACAGACATTTTGCTTATCTTTGCATAACTTCTTGACAATAGTTTAGTTTGAAAATTAGAGGTAAACATTCAGTATTTGAAAGGACAAAGATTTTGCTATATGTGGCTGAGTTCACCAAAACAAACACTAGTAACTTCTTGCCTTTAAGGTTCTCACTGTAGTGTGAAATGAATAAATACACATGAGGTGGCCATAAGACTACAAGTAACTGAAGCATTAATTTTAGCTATGTAGGGATAATCCTGACTGGTCAAGGGATATTTGAGTTTTTGGAGGGGAGGGCCGTCTATTTGTTTTTCAAGACTTCCTATAAGAGGCCTCCCTCCCCCAGTTTATCTTAATGTATATTGTACATATAGTGAAATTCACCCTTTTTAGTGGATAGTTCTGACAAATATATACTGTCATATAAATACCACCAGAATCAAGATATAGAACAGTGTTTCTTCACCTGGAAAAATTGCCTTATGCCCTGATGGCAGCCTCCCCTCCACCCACTGGCAACCACTGATTTATTTTTTGTTCTTATATTCATACTTTTGCAGCAACATCATATAAATGGAATCATACAGTATGTGGCCTTTTTAGTCTGACTCACTTATTTTTAGTCTGCATTTGAAAGTTATCCATGTTGTTGCATGTAGCAGTTGTTTGTTTTTTATTGCCGAGTATTACTCTTTTCCATAGTATGGATGTATATCAGTTTGTTTATCCGTTCTCAGTTGAGTGTTGTTTCCAGTATTTAGCCTTTATATAAAGTCTTCATAAACATTCACGTATAGGTTTTTGTTTTGAATATAGGGTTTTATTTGACTTGGATAAATATCCAGGAGTGAGATTGGTTGGTCATGTGGTAAGCATATGTTTAACTTTATGAGAAACTGCCAAACTGTGTAGGAGGATAGTTTTAAATCAAGATAAGCCTATTTGAGCATGGAAAGTATTCAGATAAAAGGAGATGGTAGGGTGCAGTGGTGCTTGCATTAGCTAGTCATGCTCTAGGAAATGGAATGGCAACCTTACTACCATGGCTTAGTGCAAAGAGGTGTCATTTTCCCAAGGTTAAAAAAAAAATAAATCCAGGGCTGCTGTTGCTGCATGACAGTACCATGGACGTAGGCTGTCTCTTGTTGCACCGGAGTAGGCGGCTCTCCTCTTGCCTGTCACCAGAATGTTCTTGCATATGCAAATATTAAGCCACAGAATAGGCAGAAAGAAGAGAAAAAGACAAAAGGTACACGTAGCCTAGTTTCCCCCCTTTTCACTGGGAAAACAGTAGCTTTGTTTTTATTTCCAACCAGGAGATAATTTATATAGATCTCATTGGCTAGAAGTGGGCTGCTTGACCACCTTCAGTGGCAGTGGAGTTGATGGGATGCCTGAAACAAAATTGTTAAGGAATGGGGGAGAATAGTCAGTGTTTGCTTTAGTTCTTGGTGGCACAGTGGAATTTCAAAACTATAAGTGAATTTTGGAAGCGGCTCTGTCCTTCTGAATAAAGGATTGGTTTGAGCAAGCATTTAATAGGCTTGCTGGTGGCTCTTTTTATGTAGGACAGGTGGGGGCTGAGGGGATAGAGTCTAGCTCTGGTTTCCAGAGGTATGCTATGACAGCAGGCAGAAGTGCCTTGGAAGAGGAATGGGCAAAATCTGTTGAGGGAATAAGTGAGGTTATAGGTTTGTGAAATTTAGAGGTGTTTAAAGAGAATGAGGAAATGGGGTGAAGATGGCAATTTTGGATGAAGTTTATTTATACCTGTGATGTTGCTTTGTTTAGTAAGTGCTCTGAAAATTCTTTGGGCACTGGGTGAGTTCATCTGAGGTTCTTCCATAGTTTGTTTCTCAGGTTCTTGCTCTTTAATATATTCTGAAGAGTTCATATATATTTTTTCTGTATGTATATTTTATTAGAGGATATGGGAAATACTGCTTTTCTTTTGGTATGTTTGATAGATTTCTCAAAAATGCATAAATACTATCCCCACTAGCAATTTTTTAAAAACCTATTATGGGCCGGGCGTGGTGGCTCACACCTGTAATCCCAGCCCTTTGGGAGGCCAAGGCAGGCAGATCACTTGGGGTCAGGAGTTTGAGACCAGCCTGGCCAACATGGCGAAACCCTATCTCTACTAAAAATAAAAAAAATTAGCTGGGCATCGTGGCACGCACCTGTAATCCCAGATACTTGGGAGGCTGAGGCAGGAGAATTGCTTGAACCCAGAAGGCAGAGACTGCAGTGAGCCAAGGTCGTGCCACTGTACTCCAGCCTGGGCAACAGAGTGAGACTGTCTCAATAAAAAAACAACAAACAAAAAAACCCTGTTACAAAAATATACTTACTTTCTACATTCCTGTCATTCTCAATTTTTAAAAAATATTACTTGAACTCCTAAAAAGAGTAAGTTCCACATTGGTGTGGCAGAATAGTCCTTATTTCATGAATTTGATCTTTGTGTGAGAGCTACATTCTTTCCGATGAAGCCACTATATTCTTTGACATGCAGGAAAAATAAGGTCTTTATGTAGTTGCTCTGTTAGGAAAAGCTTGTGAAAGATTTCACAGAGTAAGAATTTTAAAGCTTAAAGAAAACTGAAGGTTTGCTTGGCATATGGCTTCCTTATCTTTGACAAAAGTACATCTTTGTCCTTACTTCTACATCTCTGTATTTTTCAGGTTAGTCAGACTCAGGGGTACCGAGTGTATTTAATTTAATAACTTTTAAGGCTTTCCATTAATAGCCTTTCCCCTACCTCCCCAAAAAAGCCACCAAAAAAAGTTATTCTTTCTTAATTCCTGTCCTATGTAGTACCAATGCTGTATGATTTGGCTTTAGGGAAAATGAGTGGTAGAGGTTTGTTTCCAAAACCTTGCTTTTATTATAGAAACAGTGGAACATTTTTCACAGCAGACTGGGAGTCCACTAGGTGGAGTAGTTTTACAATTTATTTCAACGCTTACTGTGGCTCTGAGGAAATCCTTTTGTTTCCCTGGTTCATGCAGAATTCCAACACAGGAGATCTGCTCTAAAGAATGCTGTATCTTTTTGATGTTCAGAAAGAAAAGTACAATAGTGTAGCTTGTGTGGAAGCAGTTGTGGTTTAATGAGAGTGGGAAGAGTAACTATGTTTTATAGAACAGGCAGAGGGGAAAAGCCAATAAATGGGTCGTGATTTGAGCATAAGGAAAAAATTGGAGAGAATAATGTGACCAGAATGGTCTGTGCTAAGATAATGGTTAGGACGGTTTGCCCATGTGTTGGCTCTGTAGTGCTTAAAGATTGTCACTGGAGGCATAAGGTATAGGCAATGAGGAAGGTGAAGAAGAGGTAAAAAATGAAAGAAGAGAGGAAGGAAAAGAGCATAGTTTCAGGACCATTTCCTCTTAGTGAACTGAGGAAAGATAGAAGTACAGGGAGAAAATGATTTTAGTAGATAAAAATATAGAAAAACCAACTGTGAAAATTTCCCTTGTCACGGTCTTTATAACTTCATATTATCCATTCTCTAACAGGAGATATTGGACTAAGCTTTACATGTATGTAACTGCAATGTAAGACATAATTTATGTTTTTTCAATAGTCTTTGGATTTGTTATTTCTTGTACTTTAGGAACCTGAACTCCTTCATCAGAACTCCTTTTTTTTCGTTATTCATTTATCTCAGCTTCATGTTGGTGGAGTGGGGCTTCCTACTGTTGTTTATGTGTGTAATTAGGTCTTGTGTTTCTGATTTTTCTTTTTTGCGATAATGTGCTTTTTAGCAACCATTTTTCTCTCTAGTTTTAAATATCTGGATTCTGTGTAAATAAGAATGTAATAAATTTTGGAAGAGGATTTTATTGATTTCAGCACCAAGAAAAATAAAATCTTACAACTTTTTAAAACTCTAATCTTACTTTTAGGAACATGATACTTAATTTTAGGAAGACAAGTTTCCTTACCTTTAGGAACATGATATTTAATTTTAGGAAGTTAAGTTTCTTTACCTTTAGGAACATGATACTGCAGTCTGCCTGAAAGAGAAAATTAGCTGTTTTAAAAGGCTTCCATCAAAGGAGTTTCTACACATCACATCTTTGATGTTTCACTTAGGGAACTCTTTCTTATATCTTACCTAAAATCCACTTGCTATAACAAGTTTAAATTCTTTACCAATGAAAAGCAGTTACCTAGCATCTGCTCTCTGGTACGTAGTACACTGTAGTGCCAAATTTTATCATGTAACATATAGCCCAACATGGTAAGAGTCTGCAATACTCTGCAAAAATGTTGAAGAAACTTAAGTAATAAGTAAATTTGAGAATTGTGGAGGGTGTTGAGTAGCTGTGAGTTACATGTCTCGCCACTGTGAGGCCTGTAAAAATCATTACTGTTTTTCTCATTTCTACTTCTGCATATTCTCTTCAGTTTGAGAACAACTGGACCATCCTCTCTGTAAAACTATTTTTATTGTCGCTTCTCATCTTCTTTTAAAGGTTGCAAATAGTTCCTTTCATCTTTCTTTGGAGGTTTTATTTTTCATCCTATTAATCATCTTTGAGTCTCTTCTGAATCCCTTCCAAGTCTTTTTTTTTTTTTTTTCTTCTCAGTGTTCCTTTAGTTTAGAAGTACAGAACTGGACACAGTGCCCTGAGATTATCTGACTGCTTTTGAGTATCCTGGAGGAAGATTTCACACTCGTACAAGTGCCAGAGTCTACTTCTTATAACCTTAGATTATGTTTGCTTTCGAAAAATGTAGTCATGTATTGCTGACTGTCAGATTTTTATCTCCTATGACCTTGATCTTTTCCTTTTATGTTTATTTATAGTTTGTACATTAATCATCTTTTTTTATGGAGTCTATTTTTCTTGACTGGATATATATTGCTTCACACTGTCCTCATTGAAATTCATTACATTTTTTTTCTGATTACTTAACCACTTACCCAATGTCATTTCCATTCCTGTCTTTCAGTATGGCCCACCCATAGGCTTTATATATTGTCTGTGCTATTCAAGTCAGTGTTGCAAATGTTAAAAAAAAAAAGGCAGAAGGTAGAGAAGTGTCCTAGAAGCAATGGCAGAACACATTTGTTGATGTTTCTCCAAACTTACTCTGATCAGCAGCCAGACGGGGTAGTAGAGAGCTGTGTTCCCTTCCTTCTATGTTTTTTATACTCCTAGAATCTATTGCCCTCTTCCTGAAAGTTTGGTGTCTGCATCTCCACACAGCTGTGCAGAGAAACAAAGAAAGCAGTTCATCTGGCACACTTCTGTCAGATTTCATCTTAATCACTGCTTTGTACATATCTCTCCCTGTTCATAACTTTCTGTGGCTCTCTATCACCTGCTGAATTAAATATAAACTTTCTAGTTTGGTATTCAAGACACATTTTGGCCTGAGTCTCCCTTTCCAGTCTGATTGCCTGTAACTGTGTTTCATACCATATTAACTACTTGTCATTGTCCAGATATCTCTTTCACTTTTTTTTTTTCTGTGAGACAGAGTCTTTCTGTGTCGCCCAGGCTGAAGTGCAGTGGCGTGATCTCAGCTCACTGCAACCTCCACCTCCTGGGTTCAAGCAATTCTCTTGTCTCAGCCTCCTGAGTAGCTGGGATTACAGGCATCCGCCACCATGCCCAGCTAATTTTTTTTATTTTTAATAGGATGGGGTTTCACTGTGTTGGCCAGGCTGGTCTCGAACTCCTGACCTCCCAAAGTGCTGGGATTACAGACGTGAGCCACCACACCCGGCCTCTTTCACTTTCTGAAGTCTTGGTTTGTTTGCATTGTTTGGCCTACTTAACATACTCTGATTTCTGTTACCATTTAAGACCAATTTCTTTCATTTCTTTTCTTTATGGATTTTTCCAATTAGATATAGTCTTTCCATTCCACCCCTACCCCCCAGTCTTTATACCCTCTTGGGTACTTTTGTCTTATGTTATCACTATTTGTGTGCTTTTCTTATCTTCCTGGTAGACAGTATATTTTTTATTTTATTTTATTTATTTATTTATTTATTTATGTTTTGAGGGGGAGTCTTGCTCTGTCACCTAGGCTGGAGTGCAGCGGCACGATCTCAGGTCACTGCAACCTCCACCTCCTGGTTTCAAGAGATTCTCCTGCCTCAGCCTCCCGAGTAGCTGGGATTACAGGCGCCCGCCACCACACTTGGCTAATTTTTGTATTTTAGTAGAGATGGTATTTCACTACGTAGGTCAAGCTGGTCTCGAACTCCTGACCTCAAATGATCCGCCCACCTCAACCTCCCAAAATGCTGGGATTACAGGCATGAGCCACCGTGTATATTTTTTGAGAACTGTCTCCTCCTCGTCTTGGTAACTTCGATATACCTAGCATGTATTTGCATAAGAAATTGGATAGACTTGGCCGGGCGTGATGGTTCACGCCTGTAATCCCAGCATTTGGGGAGGCTGAGGCAGGTGGGTCACCTGAGGTCAGGAGTTCAAGACCAGTTTGGCCAACATGGTGAAACCCCATCTCTACAAAAAATACAAAAATTAGCTGGGCGTGATGGCAGGTGTCTGTAATCCCAGCTACTTGGGAGGCTGAGGCAGGAGAATTGCTTGAACCCAGGAGGCTGAGGTTGCAGTGAGCTGAGATCGCACCATTGCACTCCAGCCTGGGTGACAGAACGAGACTCCGACTCAAAAATAAATAAATAAATAAGAAGGAAATAAAAGGTAATGACTAGAATAAATTGAATAGACTTAAAAATTTTTTTTACAGTATTTATGGGTACATGCCATATAGATGAATTAAATCAGTTTGAGCACATTGTATGATATATTTGATTTAAATTCCAGTGTACACTTGTCTAGTTGCAGACTGCTAGCAAAGTTTGTGGATTAGCAGGTGGTCCACACTTTGAGTAACATTGTTATAAGTACTTTTTTCCCTCTTAAAAAATTGTAGAAGCAGTTAAAGGTTTATAATTTGCTGTGTTAGGTGTTAAACAAAATTGCTAAATTCAGCAATTGCTTGATTGCTTATTTAAAATTGTACTCTAAAAGCCCTATTATAATTAACTTTTATTATTTTCTAGAAACTATCCAACTCTGGCCAATATTGAAAGGAAGAAGAAGTTAAAACTTGAAAAGGAGAAGAGAGGAGCAGTATTGACAACAACACAATATGGGTAAGCTCCTTATGCTTATGAATAATGAAAAGGAGCACAAAACAAAATCTTAAAACCCTTATGTACTCAATTATGAAATCTTTGCTTTTGTAACTTATTTACTTAAAAAGATAAATTTATTTATTTTTATTTTTATTTATTTATTTTTTTGAGATGGAGTCTCGCTCTGTTGCCCAGGCTGGAGTGCAGTGGCGCCATCTCGGCTCACTGCAAGTTCCACCTCCCAGGTTTGTGCCATTCTCCTGCCTCAACCTCCCGAGTAGCTGGGACTACAGGCGTGCGCCACCACGCCCAGCTAATTTTTGTATTTTTAGTGGAGATGGGGTTTCACCATGTTGGCCAGGATAGTCTCGATCTCTTGACCTCGTGATCTGCCCACCTTGGCCTCCCAAAGTGATGGGATTACCGCACCTGGCCCCATGCCTGGTAATTTTTGATTGGATACTTGACACTGGAAATTTTACATTATTGGGTGCTGTATTAGTCCATTTTCACGCTGCTGATAAAGACATACCCGAGACTGGGCAATTTACAAAAGAAAGAGGTTTAACTGGACTTACAGTTCCACGTGGCTGGGGAAGCCTCACAATTGTGGAAGAAGGCAAAGAGGGGCAAGTCACATCTTCTATGGATGGCAGCAGGCAGAGACAGGAGAGCTTGTGCAGGGAAACTCCCCTTTTTAAAACCATCAGATCTCATGAGACTCATTCACTCAGTATCACAGGAACAGCTCAGGAAAGACCCAATCACCTCCCACCTGGTTCCTCCCATGACATGTGGGATTGTGGGAGTTACAATTCAAGATGAGATTTGGGTGGGGACACAACCAAACCACATCAGGTGCTGTATATTTTTGTGTTTCTATAAATGTTCTTGAACTTTTTTCTGGGAAGACAACTGAGTTACTTAGAAACGGTTTCATCCTTCTGGATCTTGCTTTTAAGATTTTGTTAGATGAAACCAGAGCAGTGTTTAGTCTGAAACTAACTACTCACTACTGATGTAATATCTTACTGGGTATCTTACCCCATGCCCTGTGAAATATGAGGTACAAACAGGCCCTAGTTATGACTCGGAGTGAAGATGAGGTGCTGATAACTCTGATCCTTTTGGGTCGTTTTTTTCCCCCAACCTTGGATAGTTTCCTGACAAATACATGCCAATCAGTCTTCTGCTAAATAGTCCAGGGTAAATCCTCTGCAAATCTCTAGAGTTCTCTCTCTTTCTGTAGTTTTTTCCTCTCAGGTACATCCTGAAGCTCTAGATGTCTTGCTCTCTCTGGTGTCTCAACTCCAGTTCCTCAATTCAGGGATTCTACCAGGTCCCATCTGGATTCCTCTTCTCCGCAGTCTGGAAACTCTTTAAGGCTGTAAGCAAGGGCAGTTGCAGGGTTCACTATTCATTTATTTTCTGTCTTTCAGGGCTCACTTCTCTTGTTGCTTCATGCCCTGTGTCATAGAGACCATCGTTTATTCATTTTGGCTAGTTTTTTGGTTATTTCAGGTAGGAGGATAAATTCAGTCCCTGTTACTTTATTTTGGCCAGAAACAGAAGTTCTTAATGGTGTCTTTTATAAATAAAAATTTCAATTTTCATGAAGTCTGATTTATTAATCTTTTATTTTTATGGTCAGTGCTGTGTGTGTTCTGCCTTAAAAAAAACTTTTGCTTACTTGGAGATCATAAAACTATTTCTTTATGTTTTCTTTTAGAAGATTTATTGCTTTGTGTTTCTGGTATATGTCTAGAATTAATTATTGTACATAGTGTAGGGTTTAAGGACCTTTAAAACTTTTTCACATATGAATTACAGTTGATCCAGCACTAATTGTTATACCATGCAAACCCCAACCAAAAGTAACCTGGTATAACAATATTAATGTCAGACCAAATAGATGTTAAAGCAAGATGTGTTATTAGGGATAAATAGGAATATTTTGTAATGTTAAAAGAGTCAGTGCAACAACAAGAAGACATACCAATTCTAAATCTGTATGTGTCTAGAACATAGCTTTAAAATATGTAAAGTGAAAATTTTGAAACACAACTCTTGAGCAGAGAGACAAAAATCCTATACAAAATGTTAGCAAATCAAATCTGGCAATATGTAAAAATATGTAAAAATATGATATAACATCATGACTAAATGGGATTTATTCCAGGAGCATGTTTATTTATCACATTAACAAAGTGAAGGAGGAAAATGCTATTAACTTAATGAGTAAGGAAAACAGTTCGATAAAATGTACCACCTGTTCATAAAAAAGACATATTAGCAAACTAGTAATAGAAAATAATTTCTTTAATCTAATAAAGGATATCTATCAATACTCTGTAGCCACATCGTACTTAATGGTGCAATAGTGATCACTCCCCCACCTCCCCTAAGATTAGAAGCAAGATAAGGATGTCCAGTGTTACCACTTTTATAAATGAATTTAGCAAGGTTGCCAAATACATGTAAGATCAATATTTTTAAAATCAACTCTATTTCTATAAAGTAGCAACAATTAAAAATTGAAAATTTAAAAGATACCACTTAGAATAGCATCAAATGCCTAGGAATAAACCTAACAAAAGATGTGCAAGATTCTACACTCAGAACTACAAAACATTGCTCAGAAAAATTCAAGGCCTGTATAAATGGAGCAATATATAATAGTCATGGACTGGAAAACAATATAATTATCTTAATTCTCCCCCAAATCCAATTAATTACAGTCAAAATTCCAGCAAGTTTTTTTTTTGTTTTGTTTTTTTTGGTGGAGGAGGGATGGGGGAGATTGATAAGCTTTAAAATTACAATGTGTCACTTAATGACAGGGATACATTCTGAGAAACGGGTTAGGAAATTTTGTCGTTATGAATATCATAGAGTATACTTAAACAAACTTAGATAATACAGCCTACTACACACCTAGGCTGTGCAGTAAAGCCTGTTGCTCTTAGGCTACAGCCCTGTACCGTGTGTTACTGTATCCAGTTGTAACACAATGCTAAGTATTTGTGTATCTAAATATAGAAAAGTTTCATTAAAATGCACCATTAAAGGCAAAAAATGGTATACCTGAATGGGACACTTACCATGAATAGAACGTGCAGAACTGGAAGTTGCCTTGGGTGAGTCAGCGAGTGAGTGGTGAGTGAATGTGAAGGCCCAGGAGGCTGCTATACATTACTGTAGACATTACAAACATTGTACACATAGGCTACACTAAATTGTTTTATAAAAGTAATTTTTTACTTTATGATGTTATGACATTACTGGGAATTATTTAGCTCTGCTATAATCTTATAGGACTACTGTCATATATGTGGTCCATTGTTGATCAAAATGTCATTATGTGGTGCATGATTGCATATGAAAATACAAAGGATCTAGAACAGCAACTAAGAAAGCTCGAGTAATGAAGATAGTGTGGTGTTGTCCAAGGATAAATAGATAAGTAGAGCAGAATAGAGCCCACAAACAGATCCACTGAGAAACAATCACCTAACTTATGATAAATCTGGCAATATAATGCAGTGGAGAAAGGATCGTGTTTTCAACAACCTATTCCTTTTAAACTTTTTGTGTCTCTATATTTAAAGTGTATCTCTTATATATTATGTAATTTTGTCTTCTTAGTAATCCAAACTGAAAATCTTTGCCTTTTAACTAGTGCTTAGTTCATTTACGTTTAATGTAATTCCTAATATAGTTGGGTTTTTAATTTGTTCTTCCTTTCTTGCCTTCTTTTGGATGGAATCTTTTTTTTATTAATCTCTCCATTTTATATTCATCTACATTTTTATTTACATTATGCCTTTTGTAACTATTTTTAGATGGTTGATTACATAAACTTTTCTTTTCAAATGATTGTCAAGTCGTGGTATAACAGAACTACTCCCTTGAAGGTGAAATAGAGTGCAAATAACAGATACACTACTTTCTCAATTAAGTCTTATAGATGTCATTAGTGAAGGATCTTCTTAACTCATTACTTATTAGTGAATACCTTAATGATGATCATTCAGAAGCTAGCTGTGGTCAGATGCTGTAAGAGAAAAGATAACGGGGAAGGCATCCGTGAATGGGAGCTCAAAGAAAGTGGCATCTCTTCATTATCCTTATGGGGCCAGTGGGCTGGAGGCAGAAACTAGACCTGTTTTCTTTGCAGTGACACTGTTAGGTTCTTAGCCTGACATCTGTGGATGGACATAGGAGATTGGTCCATGGCTTTCTGCAAAATTTGGACTATACATATATATTAATTTTTGTAATGAGATTCTCCAAGGGTTATTATGACCCTAAAGGGATTAAAAATCTCTGGATTGCAGATATATAAACATGTTGATTTAACAAATTATTTCAAAAATGTTATGATAGTAAACTACCATTTATTAAGGGCTTAATGTGTTATCTTGCTCTGTGAAGTACTGTATTTATATTATCTGAATTCTATGTCCCTATAATTCCCATTCTGTTTAAAGGAGTAAACAGGCTTAGGCTTACAAATATTTGTACAGCAGACACAGCCCATAACTGACAAAGTTGAGATTTAGATGCAGATTTCTAATTATTTACTGCATCCTCCATTATTAATGAAAAATGAATTTTGCCCAATAAATGGCAAACTGTCAAAAGCCTATCTTTGCAAAAACTCAGTCCCACCAATGAATACCTTGTGTTATTGTCTACTATGAAGGAACCTTTTTTTAACTGTCTTCCCCGCCCCCGCACACACACACACAGTTTAAATTAGAAGATGCTCACATAAATACGTGCTTTCTTTTTTTTTTTTTTTTTTTTCTGGAGACAGAGTCTTACTTTGCCCGGGCTGGAGTGCAGTGGCACAATCTCGGCCCACTGTGACTTCCACCTCCCGAGTTTAAGCAATTCTTGTGCTTCAGCCTCCCGAGGAGCTGGGACTACAGGCACCTGCTACCGTGCCCAGCTTATTTTTTGTATTTTAGTAGAGACGAAGTTGCCCAGGATGGTTTCGAACTCCTGAGCTCAAGTGATCCGCCCACCTTGGCCTCCCAAAGTGCTGAAATTAAAGGCGTGAGCCACCGCGCCCGGCCAATACTTGCTTTCTTTCTAAAAGTAGTTGTAGCTGTTGAGAGGGCACTTGATTTGAGCTGGCTGTGAAATTGCAATAGGCTTATGTGTTCTGATAGGCCTATAAAGCAGAGAAAATAGTACCTGTGTTACCTATTTCAGAGGGTTCATGAAGGTCCAACAAGTCATATTTGTAAATGCTTCAGAAACTTTAACTCCTTAAAAATGAGTAGACAAGGCCAGGTGTAGTGGCTCATGCCTATAATCCTGGCACTGTGGGAGGCTGAGGTGGGTGGATCACCTGAGGTCAGGAGTTCGAGACCATCCTGGCCAACATGGTGAAACCTTGTCTCTACAAAAATACAAAAATTAGCCGGGCTGATGGTGGGTGCCTGTAGTCCCAGCTACTCGGGAGGCTGAGGCAGGAGAATCGCTAGAACCCAGGAGGTGGAAGTTGCAGTGAGCCAAGATCATGCCATTGCACTCCAGCCTGGGCGACAGAGTGAGACTCCGTCTCAAAATAAAATGAGTAGACAAGAGTGAACATACTTTATAAACTCTGAGAAACACTTTGAGCTGGGCACAGTGGCTCACACCTGTAACCCCAGCACTTTGTGAGGCCGAGGTGGGCAGATCACGAGGTCAGAAGATCGAGACCATCCTGGCCAACATGGTGAAACCTTGACTCTACTAAAAATACAAAAATTAGCTGGGTGTGGTGGCACGTGCCTGTAATCCCAGCTGCTTGGGAAGCTAAGGCAGGAAAATCGCTTGAACCTGGGAGGTGGAGGTTGCAGTGAGCCAAGATCATGCTACTGCACTCCAGCCTGGGTGACAGAGCAAGATTCTGTCTCAAAAAAAAAAAAAAGAGAAGAAAAAAGAAACTTTCATGTACAATAGAAGAATGAAATAATGCTGCCAGTTAAATTGGCCTTTAATGATAATACGACACAGCCCAATTTCAGAGGGATAACAATATGGGTAGAAATTTGCAGCGTAGAATCAAGAAGGTGTGGTATATTGTGGGGTGCTGTCCTTCTAAAGTTCTATCATAGGCTTCCCTGTCTTTGAAAGTCACTGGAATTTCTTTTATTTTCGTCTCTTTAATGTACTAGGCTACAAGTGATCAGTTTTACAGCTAGGTTTCTTTTGTATCTAGTAGTCTTTTTCAAAATTTTCTTGGAAGGTCAGTGCCTTTTATATTAAAAATTGCAATTTTCTTACTCCAGCAAGATGAAGGGGATGTCCAGACATTCACAAATGGCAAAGATCAGAAGTCCTGGCAAGAATCACAAATGGAAAAACGACAATTCTAGACAGAGAGCAGTCACTGGATCAGGCAGTCACTTGTGTGATTTGAAGCTAGAAGGTCCACCGGAGGCAAATGCAGATCCTCTTGGTGTTTTGATAAACAGTGATTCTGGTAAGCTAAACAGGAAAATAACGTATTTATAAGTGTATAGACAATGATGCTGAAGTTGATTATTCACAGCCTTGCTTGTGGAAAGTTTAATATCAAATGTATAACAATGCAGAATGATGCTTTTGTTTTTGTTTTTAATAGGAGCATCTTGTTTAAAACGTCATTTCAGAACATCTTTTCTGAGTCTTGGGTGGGCACATGGGGCAGGGAGGCTATAGGAGAAGGACTGTATTTGCTGGATAATTTTCATTAGTATGAGGTAATCTTAGAAATTTCTTAAGATTGTTTTGAATGTATTAATGCTGTGCATTCAAATTTGCCCAAATATGTGGATTTTCCCTTTACCTATAAAGCAGCAATTCTAACGGAAGTCAGTATACTTTATGCTACTGAGCATGAGCATGATCTCTGGGCAAAAAATACTAATTCATTATGTTTGATCAGTACTGTTCTTCAGAGCATAGATTATATTTATATATGTTTGTCCTTGAATTTCCTCTAAAACATATAGGGCAAGTTAACTTGCTTATTAGTTGAAAAATAAAAGCATTAAAATGCTGGTGTCACATACAGATATCATTTAGCCTTTGAGACTCCATTTCTCTTCCTGAAAAATGAAATGTGTATGTAAATATTTTTACTACATTTTTCTCCAGTAACATTGTGAGGCTTTATCTAATTGCATATGCTTTGTACTGCAAAGGAATACCCAAAGATTATTAGTGAGTGAATTGACATTAGTGACATTGTAGATTTGATTGTAGGCTGTTTAGCTTGGATGATGTTGGCTTCTATGATAATCACATGGCAAGTTTTTGAACTTACGAGTGGCAAGAAAAGAGAGGATAACTAATTCGTTGACTGAATTAGGATGGAAAAAGATCATTGCATAAGGGAACATTAGGCTAAGTAGAAGATAAAATTTAATAACATTAATGATGATATATTAATATCAACTAACACTGAATAAGGCACTTACTGAGCTCTATATGCTTTATATAGATGAAGTCTTCTTATGACAGCCTTTTACACATATACCGTTACTGTTACCATTTTAGAAATGAGGAACATAGAGACTAAGTATGTTTATGCCATTGAAAGTAATAGTAAAAAATGCAGTTACTTTTGCATCAACCTAATAGTTTATCTTAGTCATTCTGCTCATTAGTGGCAGAATGAGAATTTGAACATATGAGTCTCACTCCACCAGTACACTACACATCCTCTAAATATGAAGTCTGAATTTGTATAAAAAAATATTGTTTGAGTCTAGGATAGTTGAGATGTGAGAGAGAGCAAGAAAAAGGCAGATGATATTTTGAGCCAGTGCTGAGTGTACTCTTGGGCACTGATTTTTTGTTTGTTTTCTTTCAAAAAATTTTAGAGAGAGCTCACATGCTTCTTCAGACTTGTAATGTGTGGCCTTGATGACAAAAGACCATCTGTACTCAAATATAAGCTTTTATGTCATTAAAACACTTAAAACACAAATGTGAAGACTACCATTATAATCAGTAAGTTACTAATTTGAAAATTATGTAAATCTTTTACTTTGTGCAATTTTCTAAATGAACACTTGAAGGACTCTAAGACCGATATTGGATAGTCTTTGTTGTTCTTCATTTTGTTAACTTAGCTTTGGTAGATGGTTAATTCTGTTTTCCCTTTTTATTTAAAAAAAAAAAGTATTTCAGTATATACTAATCTGGTAAAACACCAACTAAAAGACGATTGTATCTTGCTTCTATTTAAGCTTGTCTTAGTCCTCAGTAGATGCCTTAGACATGAGAAACAGTGGTAAATCCTCTCATCCTTATTGGTAGAAATAATTCAGTTGGATTCTGAGGAGCAGTTGAAAGAGAGATCTCAGGCTGGGCATGGTGGCTCACGCCTGTAATTGCAGCACTTTGGGAAGCTGAGGCAGGTGGATCAACTGAAGTCAGGAGTTCACGACTAGCCTGGCCAATATGATGAAACCCTGTCTCTACTAAAAATACAAAAATTAGCCGGGTGTGATGGTGCATGCCTGTAATCCCAGCTACTCGGGAGGCTGAGGCAGGAGAATTGCTTGAACCCCCGAGGTGGAGGTTGCAGTGAGTTGAGATCACACCATTGCGCTCCAGCCTGGGCAACAAGAGCAAAACTCGGTCTCAAAAAAGAAAAAAGAAAGAGAAATCTCAAATAATTTTGTTTTGGTTTAAATGTTGAAACCCTTACCTATAATGAGGGTCAAGGATGGGAACATGCCTATTTCGAGTGTCAAAGATGAGAACCTGTATCTTGAATATAAAAATTACCCATATAGACTACAAATTTATAATTTTGAATATTTAAAAATTTATTAATTTTTATAATATTGTATTATAACCAAGGAAATCACAATGCCAATGATCAAATTATGGTAGCTTAAGTTTGTAGGAAAGCTGTCATTTAAATTCACCTTATCCTTTACCTGGGATTTCCTCTGGACTTTGACATTTTCCAAATCTGTTTTAGACCAGGGGTTCTTAACCCCTGGGCACAGACTGGTACCTGGTACAGTTCCTTAGCCTGTTAGGAACCCCAGGGGGGAGCGGGGATGGGGAGGCGGGGAGCAGCGAGCAAGCATGGCTTCATCTGTATTTACACATTCCCTATTGCCTGCCTTACTACCTGTGAGCTCCGCCTCCTGTCAGATCAGCAGCAGCATTAGATTCTCATAGGAGCGTGAACCCTATTGTGAACTGTGCACGTGAGGGATTTAGGTTGTGTGCTTCTTATGAGAATCTAATGCCTGATTATCTGTCACTGTCTCCCATCATCCCAAGATGGGACTGTCTAGTTGCAGGAAAACAGCTCAGGGCTCCTACTGATTCTACATTATGGTGCATTGTACAATTATTTTATATATTACAATGTAATAGTAATATAAAGTACACAGTAAGTGTAATGTGCTGAATCATCCTGAAACCATCCCCAATCCACCCCCCACCCTCTGTCTTTGGAAAAATTGTCTTCCACAAAACTGGTCCCTCGTGCCAGAAAGGCTGGGGACCGTTGTTTTAGGCCATAGGTTCTTTAACTTTTCACTGCAGGTATAGCTACAGACAATCTATCCCCGTTTTCATATGTCCTAAGTCAGGCTTGTCCAAACCATGGCCCATGGACTGCATGCAGCCAAGGATGGCTTTGAATGCAGCCCAACAAAAATTTGTAAACTTCCTTAAAATATGAGATTCTTTTTTTTTTTTTTTTTTTTTGAGACGGAGTCTCGCTGTCGCCCAGGCTGGAGTGCAGTGGCGCAATCTCGGCTCACTGCAGGCTCTGCCCCCTGGGGTTCACACCATTCTCCTGCCTCAGCCTCCCGAGTAGCTGGGACTACAGGCGCCCGCCACCTCGCCCGGCTAATTTTTTGTATTTTTAGTAGAGACGGGGTTTCACCGTGTTAGCCAGGATGGTCTCGATCTCCTGACCTCGTGATCCACCCGCCTCGGCCTCCCAAAGTGCTGGGATTACAGGCGTGAGCCACCGCGCCCGGCCAAAATATGAGATTCTTTTGTGTGATTTTTTTTTTTTTTAAGCTCATCAGCTGTTCTTAGTATATTTTATGTGTGGCCCAAGACAGTTCTTCCAATGCGGCCCAGGGAGGCCAAAAGATTGGACACCCCTGCCGTAAATATTCTCCACTCTCCAATATATGTTTTCCACTTGTTTGGAGGCAGCTTCTCTTACCTTGGGCAAGAGCCAGCCAACCTTAAAATCTGGTTATTCAAGTTGTCAGTGGCAGGCCAGCGGCCAGCACTGTGATAACAAGACCCACTGTTCTCATATGGCAGTTGATACTTTTCAGCACTAAGCTCACTTTAATAATAAAGCTCTCCCTATTGCTTCCATTTTTTGCCTTTTTCTGGCTCAGAACTTAATCCAGACATCAGCACTCACATTTTAAACAAGACTCAAGTTCTAGAGGATCTTCATAACTTTCAGATCATGCTTGGAAAATCATTGCCTGGGTTCACCTTTTCTGTATTGTATTTGGTGCCATGTGTACTCTCAGTAATTGTGCAGCTACTTTGAATTGAGAATTGACATTGTTTTGATGGGAAAGCCTTTTATTTAAAGAAGTCTCCCAATTTATCAGTTTTGAGTGTGGCTTATTGTCTGTCATTAGATTTCCTTACTAGCATATTTTTTTATTTCCTTGTGTATTCTGCTGACTGGCCTAACTTAAGGATTGTTTTTTCTTTGTTTATTTTGGTATCTCATTAGTTAGCATCCAGTTCATTTTGTTGCCATTGTTTAAAATATATATGCAACAAGTTTATGGCTTTCCTAGCCTGTAGTTTTAAACAGTAAGTCAGTTGTCTCAGCTAGGAAGAAAGTGGGTCAGTAAGGTAGCATTGAGCATCTGTGACTGAAGTGCCTCAGCATCCACAAGACAAAGGCAACCCAACTTATTAGTCATTTGTTGAAATACAGCTATTGTCGTAGAACACTGGGACGTAAGTCTAACTATGCACTCACGTAACCTAGGTTGTTTTAAAGGTAGGCATTAAAATAAGAAAATAAACTGGCCCAGCACATCAGGTGTCATGGATACCCACTGGTAACTGTCTTCTTTGAGAGCTGGAGACTATAAAGCAAAGTCCCTATTTTTGAGGGTGACTTTGAAAATATATTGCATTTTTTAAAGAATACTTAATTGCAAATCTTGGGCTAGAGCATATAATTGTGCTTTGCTCCATAAAGGCAATAGGAAATCGTGGGATGGGGGTTGGTGGGCAGGGGGTACGGATAAGTAAGTAAAGAAATAAGTTACAGGAAGAAGCCAGATAGGAAGCTTTTACAGTTGGTGTTTAGAGCGGACAAGGCATTCAAAGGGCAATGTTATTTTGCTACTTTCCTTTCAGTGGGGATTTATAAGGTCCTGCGTTTGGCTTACCCAGCACTGTAATCCACTATAATGCCGAGGATTTCAAAGGAGTCTCCCTGCCTTCCAGAAACTCATAGTCTAAGAATAATTTTTAGATCATTGCATTAGATTTTTTTAGGGGGGGATGGTGGGAACATGATGTGTGTATACGAGAGAGGTGAGATTTACCCTAAGAAAAGTGTCGCTAATGTTTTAATGGTAAAAGAAATTGTTTGAGCTCGTATTTTATAAAAATGCTAAAGTCTGGTTCTGTCAGATCAATTGCTGCTATCTCTATGCTGGTATTTTCAGTTTAGAAAGATGTTTTAGCTGTTTTTATAAAATGAAGTTTCTTGAGTATTATTTTGTCAGCCAGTACAATGCCTTCAGCATAGTCTTTACCTATAGGTGCTAAAAATGCCTGCATTAGAACTACTAGGTAGATCCCAGGGACTTTTCTTTCTTTCTTTCTTTCTTTTTAAGATGAAAAGTTACTGTAGGAGATGTTCTGAGAGTGCCAAAAGGACAGTATTTTTCAAAGTGTTATTACATATGGTTTGTCCCTTAAACATTTAACTGAGTGGAGAAGAAAAAATAGGGAAAGAGTTGTTTATTTGTGTGAATTTGTAACTTACCCTTTAGGTAAGTCAAGTATAGTGAGCTTTGACACTCCTAGGAACAAGTATACCTAGCACTCTAATTGTGGTTTCCAAATACTATTCTCCAGGTAAAGGAACCAGAGCCTGTTGGAGAAATGACTGATTCTGGGGTTGGGACAGGGAAAATATAAGCTGAACCTAGAGCATCTCATAGCGCCAGAAAGTAAGAAAATGCTAAAAAAATGTGAAGATGTGGGTATGTCAGAAGGATACTAGAAAGAGTTCCCAAGGGCCAAAGTTGGAACAATTGGTGCCACAAAATAAATAATAATAAATTATAACCCTCAGAATAGAATAAATACCCATGAGTCTATACTGATATGAGTGCCTAAATAAATAAATAAATGTGGGGGAGGAGGGACAGGTCTTTCTTACAAAATAATTCTAATTATTAAATGTAGAAGAAATGAGAGAAATAGCAAGTCAGCATTAGA
The DNA here is from genome assembly GCF_000001405.40 of Homo sapiens. Taxonomy (NCBI): domain Eukaryota; kingdom Metazoa; phylum Chordata; class Mammalia; order Primates; family Hominidae; genus Homo; species Homo sapiens. The sequence goes on along the minus strand of NC_000013.11, from coordinate 44,953,396 downwards.
GCACCACAGTAATAATTGTTTTGGGCAAGATCCACTGATGAATGGTAAAATTAGTGGTGAAACGTTAAAATGAAACAATATTTGTTATAGCCTCAAAATATCTCCCCCCAAAATATTTATTAATTATAATAATTATTAATTACCATGGTTTTAACATATGTCGAAAATTCTTTGATATTCCTTACTTGAGTTGAAGCTTAATTCTTCTTCCCTGGAGTGTGAGCTAAACTTAGTAACTCATTTCAAGAAATAGAATAATGAAAGAGAAAAATAGTAACTTTGTAGTAGAGAAAGCAGGCAGACCATAAAGTGGTCAAGGTCAACATTGCCAGTAATAAGTCCTACTGATATTATGGACCTGGGTTGTGATGAGAAGGGCACATCTCTGTGGTATTCCTTCTCAAAATCCATAGCCTCAGTCTAATCTTCAAAAATGTCAGACAGACCCAAACTGAGGGACATTCTAAAAATACCTGACAATAATCTTCAAAGTATCAAGTTCAGGAAAAACAAGGAAAGACTGAGAAACTGTCACAGATTTAAAGAAGATTAAGGAGTCATGACAACCGAATGCAATGTAGTATAGCAGATTGTATCCTGGAACAGAAAAAAGGACGTTAGTGGAAAAGCTGGTGAAATTACATTACAGTCTATAGTTTAAATACTAGTGTGGTACCAGTGTTAACTTCTTAGCTATCATAAAGTACTTTGGTTATGTCAGATGGTAACATCAGGGAAGCTGGATGAAGGATATATGGAGACTCTGTACTATCTTTGCAACATTTGTATAAATCCAAAATTGTTTCAAAATACAAAGTTTAAAAAAGAAGGGAGGAGGGAAAGGACATTAAAGCCTTGCCCTCGGCTTCATGAATTGGATTGTGAAGAATACAGTTTTCCAGAGTCAATTTCCCTTTGTTTTTATTTTTTTCTGTTATTTTCTGATTATAAAAGTAATATAGAAAATGTGGGAGCTGGGCATAGTGGCTCATGCCTGTAATCCCAGCACTTTGGAAGGCCAAAGTGAGCAGATCACTTGAGGTAAGGAGTTCGAGACCAGCCTGGCCAACAGGGTGAAACTCCGTCTCTACTAAAAATACAAAAATTAGCCTGGTGTGGTGGCACGTGCCTGTAATTCCAGCTACTTAGGAGGCTAAGGGGAGAATCGCTTGAACTCAGGAGGTAGAATGCACTGCACTCCAGCCTGGGCAGCAGAGTGAAACTCTGTCTCAAACAAAAACAAAAACAAAAAAACAGAATTATCAAGATGATTGAAGCTGAGTAAAATAATAGAGAATGGTGGTCAGAAAAGGGGATATGTGCTTTTATCTGAAGTGATCAGTAAAGGCATCTCTAATAAGGTGACATTAAGACATCTGAATGAAATGCGAGGCTGATACCTAAGGGAATAGCAGTCAAGGCAGAGAGACTGCCACAGTCACCCCAGCCTTTAGTGACCACAACCCTGATCAGTCAGCAGCCAGCAACATCAAGACAGTACCCTCCATCAGCAAAAATATCACAATCCCCTGAAGTCTCAGATGAGTTTTAGCATTTTTTAGCAATGAAATATTTTTAAATTAAGGTACATTTTTTAAGACATAATGCTATTGCACACTTCATATGCTACAGTATAGTGTAAACATAACTTTTATATGCCCTGAGAAACCAGAAAATTTGTGTGACTTACTTTATTGCCATATTCACTTGATTGCAGTGGTCTGGAACCAAATCTACAATATCTCCAAGGTATGATTGCATATCAAATAACTGTTTGGAGTTTTACTATAAAAGGGAGGAAAGAAATGGAGCTATAGCTGGGAGACATTATTAGCATTATTGTGGACCATAAAGACACTTTGATAGGATGGCTTCATTTTAAGAAGACTTTGTCTGTGGGAAGCATTCTAGCTCACTGGTAACAATTTGGATTTGGAGTCAGATAGCCAGGCTTTAAATTTGACCCAACTGATTTATAGTTATCTTAAGGAAAGGTTACTCAAATTCTCTGGATTTTTGTTTCATCCCTCATCACATACCTCATAAGGATTAGGTCAGATCATGCTTTTGAAGAGCATAATATTCAACTATTACTGTACTTTTTGTTACCTCTCTTTGAGTCTTGGAAATAAATGCTGCAGTTTTTTCTTTCATCATTCAGCCAATGAATGGGAAGTCTCCATACTAACACTGTGGTGGATTTCTGCTTAATCTACTAGTAATTCACATAAACTTCATACTTTCCTTTCCCTTTATTAATCAAGGAGTAAAGGTAACTTAGCTTAAAATTGACAAGGAGTACTTTTATAGGTGTGATGGTGTGTAGTGAGGAGAGAGGATTTAGCTCCATCCAGCAGAAGGTGGCAGTTGAACATTCACATAGAAAGATATTCCCATTTCCTACTGGCATGCTTTGGTTTCCCCTAGACTGACTTGGTGAACATTAAATGCTTAGTCTTGAAACATTTTATATTGGTTTTAGGTTGAGTTGGTTAATTAAATAGACAAATTACTTATTGTCTTCAGTGAGGCCTTATTTTTATTGGTTGTCTAGAATAGAGTTACTAGATTGTTAGAGCTGCCAAAAAGAAATGTAATAGGTGGTGTCCTGGGGCTACAACTAGGCTTGCTGGGCCTGGATCAAACACTTTATATTTGGCAGGCACTTTAGTATTATGCTTGGTAAATTCTCATGGTTGCCTTGTTTATTTAAGTTCTTAGAAGTTTTAAATAATAAAAACTTTGAGTGGGCTGGTCACAGTGGCTCACACCTGTAATCCCAGCACTTTGGGAGGCCAAGGCAAGCTGATCAACTTGAGGCCAGGAGTTTGAGACCAGCCTGGCCAACATGGTGAATCCGCATCTCTACTAAAAATACAAAAAATTAGCTGGGCATAGTGGCACACGCCTGTGATCCCAGCTACTCAGGAGGCTCAGGTAAGATAATTGCTTGGGCCTGGCAGGCAGAGGTTGTGGTGAGCCGAGATTATGCCACTGCACTTCAGCCTGTGTGACAGAGCAAGACTCTGTCTCTAAAAAAACTTTGGGTGGATTAATTCCAGCATTACTGTTTGACTAAGCCTATAGAATGCTTTGAATATTATTTGGATCCCCAAAAACAGTCTTAAAAACAGTTAAAAGCATAGGTATTTTAATACTTCATTTATTTCTAAACCTAATTTTCAGAGGCAGTGATCCCAATCCAGTGAAGTTAAATAAAGTTTGGGTCTTCCTACTACCTGTAAATGAACAGCAAAGACTATGTAATTAAGTTAATTTAGAGTATGCTCAGATTGTATAACCTGTGAAGCATGCTAAGTAACTGAGCTCTATATAGCTTCCTTTTCCCTCACTGTCTCCTCTGGGGCAAATGGTTTCTTGGCCCATGAAGATGTCTAAACCAAGGGGAAGTGTTTCTGGCCCCCTAGAATTAGTCTTTTGGAAAGATTAAGGAAATGATCAGAAATTACTTAATTTTCACTAACAAATGAGGGAATGGGGGATGGACAGCTTTTTTATGGTGGTAGATGTTTTGAATCTGACTTCTTTTCCCTTCAGAGTCTGATAAGGAGGAGAAACCACAACATTCTGTGATACCCAAGGAAGTGACACCAGCCCTATGCTCACTAATGAGTAGCTATGGCAGTCTTTCAGGGTCAGAGAGTGAGCCAGAAGGTAAGTCATGGTGTGTGTTGTTACAGGGTTTTGTTTTGTTGCTTTTTGCCTTTTGTGCATGCTGCGCATTAATAACATCCAGGATGTGCATCCTTTATTTGGTTTTCAAATTCCTTTTCCATTTGAATCAGAAGTAAAGTTAACATGGGTTAAAGGAACTCTGGAGTAATAAAGAAATGTGTTGCTACTCTGGGAATAAAAAGGCAAAAAAATACAATATAGGCCGGGCGCGGTGGCTCACGCCTGTAATCCCAGCACTTTGGGAGGCCGAGGCGGGCGGATCACGAGGTCAGGAGATCGAGACCATCCCGGCTAAAACGGTGAAACCCCGTCTCTACTAAAAATACAAAAAATTAGCCGGGCGTAGTGGCGGGCGCCTGTAGTCCCAGCTACTTGGGAGGCTGAGGCAGGAGAATGGCGTGAACCCGGGAGGCGGAGCTTGCAGTGAGCCGAGATCCCGCCACTGCACTCCAGCCTGGGCGACAGAGCGAGACTCCGTCTCAAAAAAAAAAAAAAAAAAAATACAATATAATGAAAGAATAGGAAGGAAAAGAAAATATCCACTAACAGAACTGAAGAAAATTCTAAACGAAATGGCAAAAAGAAAATTCATTTTTTTCTCTCTGCTCTGAAGAACCCTTGTTATAACGTGTTTATAGCATCTTTGGTAGATGGAGAGAGATCTTTTATGACAAAGAGTGTGATACAATTTTTTTAATGCATATAGGGCATTGTTCTTCCTAGAGCATATTTACATAAATTATCTCATTTGGAAAACACAACAACCTTATACTTGTGTCTGCATTAGCTTGTGCATTTTAAAGGTCGGAAGAAATTGAATCTTTTCAAGAGTCTTTCTGAGAAGTCAGTAACTTTCAGAATACATGTCTTACCTTTAAAGATGATGTTACGGATGGTAACGTGTGAGGCTTCATTGTGAAATTTAATTGTGATAAACCAGTTTAATTTCCTTCAGCATCTCTTTCAGGGCTACCTGAAAGAGCCATGAGTAGGCTCTTGATCTGATGCAGTGTAGCAGTTTTTAATCCAAGGTTTATATCAATAATCCAGCATATGTTTAATGAATAAATCTATGTTCCACTGTTGTGGACACCTGGCTCTGTGTGGTCATTTTATTTAGACTTTACCAGCCGTGAGAAAATTCATGTCTATGTCTCAGGACAAGATGTGTAATCAAAGTAGGAGCTGTGCTGAGAATAAGAATACAGGTCTAAAAGTGTTTATATAGAATGAAGAGAAGATTCAAATGTAATTGGATGGGCCAGGCACGGTGGCTCACATCTGTAATCCCAACACTTTGGGAGGCTGAGGAGGGTGGATCACCTGAGGTCAGGAGTTCGAGAGCAGCCTGGCCAACATGGTGAAACCCCATCTCTACAAAAAATACAAAAGTTAGCCGGGCATGGCAGCACGTGCCTGTAGTCCCAGTACCCAGGAGGCTGAGGCAGGAGAATTGCTTGAACCCAAGAGGCAGAGGTTGCAGTGAGGTGAGATTGTGCCACTGTACTCCAGCCCGGGTGACAGTGAGACTCTGGCTCAAAAAAAAAAAAAAAAAAAAAGGAAATGTAGTTTGATGGAGATGGCAGCACTTTTAATGTTGACTAGGCTAGAGATAATCAATGTTTATGTATTTGGAAGATGTTGAATAAGGAGCCGTTAGGCTTTAATATGAAAAATGGTGTTTACATGTATCTGTAACATGGGAAGTTTTTTCTTTTTTAAGTGGGCCATGGCTTACTATGGTAGCTTCTTAATAGCTACTTGAATTTTGAAATATAAGCTACTTTGGCTTTATCACAGTATTCCTTAACAGATGGTTGCCTATTTTAATTTTAAGAAAAATAGCATTTTTTTGTGCTCTTGTTTCTCATACATTGGTGTGAAGATGGAGTTATTCTTTAAACACATATTACATTTCCTGCTTATCAGTTGTATTCATAACAGGTGATAGCAAAGAAAACTATTACCAGAATTACAGAATCCCATAAAAACAGGCTGGACTAATGCTTGCTTCTCTGTTTCTTAAGATGGAACAGTATTTTTATACTCATGTCTTCATTTTGAGACTGCCATCATTTTAAATTGGAAGAAAGGAAACTGGAAGGGATCTTTGAGATCACCTCTTTATTTTATAGAACCTTAAGCATAGAAAGGATAAGCTTGGTCGGGCACGGTGGCTCATGTCTGCAATCCCAGCACTGTGGGAGGCCGAGGCAGGTGGATCACCGGAGGTCAGGAGTTCAAGACCAGTCTGGTCAACATGATGAAACCCCATCTCTACTAAAAATACAAAAATTAGCCTGGTGTGGTGGTGTGCGCCTGTAATCCCAGCTACACAGGAGGCTGAGACAGGAGAATTGCTTGAACCCAGAAGGTGGAGGTTGCAGTGAGCCAAGATCGCACCACTGCACTCCAGCCTGGGTGACAGAGTAAAACTCCATCTCAAAAAAAAAAAAAAAAAAAAAAGGAATAAGCTTGGCAAGCTGGTATGTAGCAGACCTGACATATAGGTTTGGAGTCTTAAAAGTCCGAAGAAGCCAACTTTCATTGCCTTCCATTATAGTCTTTCTCTCTTTGGCATTTACTGTCATCCTGCACAATAATGCGTAGACTTTTCTTTTATAGATAACAAAGGATATTATCTGTTAAACTATATATAAGATTTTGTATGAATGTATTTTGACTAATTGTTAAAATGTCCTGCTTTAAGGAAAAAACCCTTGCTTCACATTCCTAAGTCTTAAGAATTATTTTATATAATTTGAATTCAGCTTTATTAAGCCATCCAGGTCACTAGCAAATTTCTAGCTTTCAGTATTAATTCTGGGCTCTAGGATGGGATATTGACACATAGGGAGTTTTAAATAAATAATACCAAGGAAACAAAGTGGTCTTTTAACCATGAAATAGTATCTAGAAGGCTGCTTATTTACCTGGATTCTAAATATATAGGAACAATCTGTTTCTTCCTGAGTTTAACAATTGTGTCTTCATAATTAAGATCTGTCTTGACTTAAGAATTAGCATGAAAGTGTTTGGAATCTTAAACATGGATAGCATTTTTCTGGAAAGATATTTAAACAAGGAAAGTGTCCCTCAAGTAAGACTGAAGCAAAGGAAGAGGTAATACTCACATCAGGGTCTGTAAGAATCACTAAGATACAAATTTAATAAGAAATACTTCCAAATGGGTTGGTTTAATATCTATTCTGCATGTTAGCATTTTAGCATTTTTTTAACTGTGTTAGAATTTAAGCACAGTTTTACAACTCCCCAAAATTATGTTTCCTCAAACTGATTTGGCTATAATGGGGGAGATTTCCAAATTAAAGACTATTTCAGAAGGCCACAAACCAAAAAGGGTGTTAAATGTTTGATAGAACTGAATGAGCTATATTTAAAATTTAATTGGTGAACATTACATTAATATATGATACTTATCTGGGAAATGTTGTAAATCTCAAGAAAGAGAAAAATATAAATGTTAGTCCCGTCCTCATTTCTTAGCAGAAAATTGACAATTATAAGCTCTGATTCATTTGACTTTGTGTTCCTGAATTGAGTGATCGATACTTGAGGGGAAGGGAATAATAGAAAATAGTGTCCTGGTTTTTCTTATTTATCATCTCTATTTTATAGATGAAGAGATTTAGGTAGAGATAAGTAGCTTGCCCAAAGGTCACACAGCTAGTAAATGATGGAACTAGGATTTGAACCTAACAGTCTGGCACCAGAGTCTGCTTTTAACACTTGTCCCTATACTTCTTTTCAAATATAATTTCTACATTCAGTCCTATGTAATGTTTGAGTATTATGGGTTTTGCCACTCTTGTCTAGGCAATTGAACCCTGTCTCCCAACTTCTAGAATAGAATTCTTTATATCATATCACACTGATTCATAGTAAGTAAATAGTATAACTATTGGGGAGTGGGGAGAGGTGAAGATTCTGAGCTTAAAATTTGTGAATTTTCAACTGTTCATATGGTTTTTCTCCTTTATTCTGTTAATAATGGTGAAATGTCAATTGATTTTCAAATGTCAAACCAGCCTGTATTCCCAGGATAAAATCTACTTGGTCATGGTCTATTACCCTTTTAATACATTGATGGATTTGATCTAATATTTTATTAAGGAGTTTTGCATACATGTTCATGAGGGATATTAGTCTATGGTTTTCTTTTATTGTAAGAGATTTGGTATGAGTAGGGATCTATTTCCTCCTCTTTTTTAAGGGTTTGTGTAGGATTTCTACCAGTTTTTCTTTTTGTTTCTTGTTTGTAGAATTCAGTAGTGAAGCCATCTGAACCTGGCATTTTGTTTTTGGGAAAGTTTTAAATTATGAATTAAATTTCATTAATAGGTCCAGGACTATTCATATTTTCCTATTTCTTCTTGAGTGGGTTTTGATGATTTGTGTTTTTCAAAAGAATTTGCTTCACCTAAGTTGTTAATTTATTGGTATATAGTTCATAATATTTCCTGTGATATCTGTAGGATCTATAATGATGTCCTCCTCTTTTATTTCTCAAGTTGTTAATTGATTTTTTTCTCTTTTTCTCAAAAAGTCTTGGTGCATTTATTAATTTTATTAATCTTTTCAAAGAACCAACTTCTGGTTTTGTTGGTTTTTCTCTGTTGTCATTGATTTTCACTCTAATCCACTGATTTTCACTTTTTAGTATTTCCTCTTTCCTCAGACCCTACACATTACAGTAGAAGCATAGATAATTGATTTTAGACTTTTCTCATTTCTAATTTAAGCATTGAAAGCCATAAATGTACCTTCATGAACTGCTTTAGCTGTAGTCCACAAATATGATACATTATGTTTTCATTTTTATTTATTTCAAAATATTTCCTAATCTCTCTTATGATTTGTTCTTTAACTCTTGGATTATTTAGAAGTGTGTTGTTTAGTTTCTAAATATTTGGGGGTTTTCTAGCTAGTTTTCTGTTAATGATTTTAGTTTAATTCTGCTACAGTCAGAGAACATATCTCTATACTTTCAATTTCTTCAATTTATTGATACTTATTTTATGGCCCAACACAAGGTAAATGTTCATATGAACTTGACAAGAAAATGTATTAGGTCGGGTGTTCTTTGTCAATTTGAGTTAATCGTTAGTGATATTTTGTATCCCTACGAATTTTCTGTCCAATTTTTCTTTAATTACTGAGATTGGAACGTTCAATATTCAATCATAATAATGGATTTGTCTAATTCTCTTCTCAGTTCTATCAGTTTTCGCTGCAATGCATATTGAAAATCTGTTCTTAGGTGTTATTCTTTGTCTTATTGACGAATTGACCCCTTTAGCATTATGAACTGTTCCACTTCATCCCTGGTGATGTTCACTGTTCTGAAGTCTTTTTTGTCTGACATTAATACAGACTTTCGGCGTTCATGTGATTGGTATATGCTTGGTATCTTCTTTCATCCTTTTGACTTCTTTGTTTTACTTTTTAGGAGTTGGTCTGCAGTTTATAGTATGCAGCTTAACTTTTCATCGTGTACTTTCAAATGATATCTACTTCACATGTAATTTAAGATTTTACAGTGTATACTACTTACATATTCCTTCTGCCTTTTTACTATTGTTGTCAGAGATTTTATTTCTATAGATGTTATAAATTGCACATACACTTAATATTTTTGCTTTAGTTTTAAAATTTTGCCAATGAGGAAAAAAAGTCTTTTATATTTATTCACATATTTACTTTTTCCAGCACTTATCCTTCCTTTGTATAGATCCAAGTTTCCATCTGGCATTATTTCTTTCATAGAGATCACTTTCTGTAGCTCTTCATGGTAGTCTTCTCAATTTTTGGTAGTTACAGCTTCCAATTTGAAAAATACTAGAATACATTATAAATGCCTTGCAAAAATCTTTCATAGTTTTAAGTTATTAAGTGAACAATATTATGGCTAGGAGGATTATTATGGATTTGTTGGTTGCTTTTGAAAGGTCTACCTGTTTTGTTTTGTTTTGTTTATTTTTGTGTTTGTTTTTCATCACACTTAGAAACTCCCATCAAGACTGAAGCAGACGTTTTGGCAGAAAACCAGGTTCTTGATAGCAGTGCTCCTAAGAGTCCAAGTCAAGATGTTAAAGCAACTGTTAGAAATTTTTCAGAAGCCAAGAGTGAGAACCGAAAGAAAAGCTTTGAAAAAACAAACCCTAAGAGGAAAAAAGATTATCACAACTATCAAACGTTATTCGAACCAAGAACACACCATCCATATCTCTTGGAAATGGTAAATTATTTTTCTTTAGGTTCTAATCTTTGTGTTCTCACATCATAAAGATAGAGCCACTGGGGTGTGTGTGTGTGTGTGTGTGTGTGTTTGTTTTAAGGTTACCAGAGACACATTGACCTTGGAGACTTTGTATCTTAATTCTGTAGCTACATTTGGCATATAGCTGGTATATTCAGTGAATGTGGAATAATGTAATTTTTACAACCACTTAAAATAAATTTAGGTTTCACTAGTTGGTAAGGAAGTATCTACTGAGGTTTATTGACTTTCTTTTAAGTTTCCAGTGAAAGCACAGCTAAAAGTACAATGGCAAGCTGAAGGGAAAAAAAGATTTTTAGTACAAATGTCTATTGAGAACCATACAGTAACAAAAAGGAAAGGCCTAAGGTTTTCTGACAATTCTCATTTGTTATCTTCTGGGATTGTCTTCCTTCCCTCCCTCCTCCACCTATTTTTTTTTTTTTTTTTTTTAAGAGTTGAGGTCTTGCTTTGTCACCCAAGCTGGAGTGTAGTGGCGTGATCATAGCTCACTGTGGCCTCGAATTCCTGGGCTCAAGTGATCCTACTGCCCCAGCCTCCCAAGTAGCTGGGACTATGGGCATGCACTACCATGCTAATTTTTTTTCTTTGTACACCTTTATTTATTTGTGTTTATTCTGTGCATTCGTGGCTTTATTCTCAGCATTATGTGCTCAAAAATCTAATAGCTTTCTTCAAATTATAAAGAGGAAGCAATGCATCTTCAAGTTCTCAGTAGTGGACATGAAGCTGTTTGAAAATCAAAGATTTTCATGTCTAAGCAATAGAAGTATTTTACATTTTTTAGTGGAGTTATAAAACTTGACATTCTGTGAAAAGTCTGTTTGGTTTTGACTTACAAGTTAAGTACTTATTTTGTAGCTAAAGTGTTCAGTGGCTACACTCTTGAGGTGCTACATGTAGCACAGTTGCTTCCTATTAAAATGGATCTGAAATATACGCTCCATTTTGTATACATAGTAAATTACATTTTAAAAAGTTACCTTATAATTGGTAAATTAAGTGAGCTTTCCACTGAAAGTTTCTGTATGATGTTTCTGAACTCTATCAATAACACCAGAAAATAAAATAAATTCCTTTTTGGCAAACTACATGTGATTCCTTGATTATGTGCTTGTTCTAAATACCAGGGATTTCTAGCTTTCTTTTAATTACAATAAGCACAAAAATGGAAAGTTATAAAAGTCAAGGAATGTTGGAAGTTTTTACTGCTATTTTCATTGTTACATGTAAATAGATGTACTTACCAATTTCTAGACTGCTTATGAATTTGGGTTTGGGCAATCCTCTTTGACATAATTTTAGATTAAAGAATTGCAGACTTTTTAGCCGGGCATGGTGGAGCATGCCTGTAATCCCAGCTACTCGGGAGGCTGAGGCAGGATAATTGCTTGAACCCGGGAGGCGGAGGTTATGGTGAGCTGAGATCGCATGATTGCACTCCAGCCTAGGCAACAAGAGTGGAACTCTGTCTCAAAAAAAAAAGAATCGCAGACGTTTAAACCTATTTTCCTGTCCTATGCTAGATACTCTTAGAGAGGACTCCAAATATAAGCGTTAGTACTGTTTAAAAAGCTAGATTGTCTTGGCCGGGCATGGTGGCTCACGCCTGTAATCCCAGCACTTTGGGATGCCGAGGCGGGTGGATCACAAGGTCAGGAGATCGAGACCATCCTGGCTAACACGGTGAAACCCCGTTTCTACTAAAAATACAAAAAATTAGCCGGGCATGGTGGCGGGTGTCTGTAGTCCCAGCTACTCGGGAGGCTGAGGCAGGAGAATGGCGTGAACCCGGGAGGCGGAGCTTGCAGTGAGCTGAGATCCCGCCACTGCACTCCAGCCTGGGCAACAGAGCGAGACTCCGTCTCAAAATAAATAAATAAATAAAAAGCTAGATAGTCTTGATATAAATTAAAAGGACATGTTCTTGCATCGTTTTTTAGCAAAATAGTGAATATAATACATATTTCTTATTGTTCTGTCTTCTTTATATGGTGAGGGTACATGCAATATTTTAGATTGTATTTCCCAGATATAATTTATTTACTACCTCATCTTTTTTTAAATTGTGTTTTAGCTTCTAGCTCCGGACATTCGACATGAAAGAAATGTGATTTTGCAGTGTGTTCGGTACATCATCAAAAAAGACTTTTTTGGACTGGATACTAATTCTGCGAAAAGTAAAGATGTATAGGCATCTGGTGTTTCAGCATACATAACTGAAGCATGTGAAACAGTATCATCCTCGTTAGTAGAGGAAAACCAAAACCCTTTTTTCCGTCAAAATTGGATTTGTAATTAAATTGTAAGCCTCGTAGGATGTATGTTGGAATTTTAAGTCTTTCCTTTGGTTCTATGCAAATAAAAAAATAACTGATTTTTTAAGACTGTGTCTGTATTGTTGGGATTGAATCTAGTATTTGCTGGGAGAATTTTTTCTTTGTATTTATTTTAATGTATTGTTCTCATGTAAGAATGACTGATGTTGTGTTAGTTAAGAATTGAAGATAGGTTTAGCAGTAAAGAAGAAAGCTTTTAAAAGGATTGATTCAGCTAAGCAAAGTTGGGCAGAGAAATACAGCCATTTTGTTTTTAATGCAGAAAAGGAAGATGTTCTGTAGCAAGGGGGAATATTTTAAAAATAAACCAGATCAAATTAATACAATCAGAAGGTTTCGAAATGTAAATATTCCTTATTTAAGACATGTTTAAATTCACCTACTAGCACGACTTACATAGCTCAAATATTGAATGTTTAAAATATTAATACAGATGGGGCCTCTTTATGTTTAGATAAAATTGAAGTACTTAATTGAAGCTTTTTAAAAATTGTAAAGTAAATGAAAGCTATTGAGATCTTTTTGTCTCCTATAATACCAGGGAATTTGAGCTTGTGTTCTAGTCATTGTACTAGCTGTAGCTATTGGTCTGTCCTTTTGACATACAGCTAAAAGGGACTAAATTTGTAAAAAATTAGTTTGTTATAGTTGAAGATTAACTTTTCCTAACATTGTGATTATTGAAGTTCATGAATCTTGCTGTCAAGGAAGAAAGGTAAGAAAGCTGATAGCTCCTCCATGTTGGTAAAATCCTCTCCAGAATCTTGGAACACCTGGCATGTGACCCTAGTGACGTCACAGACCTGAGATGAAGATTCATGTTTAGCCAGTGTTTTCCAGCCTTGTACCCACCATACAGATCTGTTTATTCTGTTTCACCCTACTCCTCCAGTGAGCCCCATATTTTGGGAAATTATCTGCCTTATACATTAACTAATTCAATTCATGTAACACTGTTGAGTGCTTACTCTTTGTACCTCTATTGTGCCTATATTAAAGGTATACAAATAAATAAGGCCATGTCTGACTTCAAGGAACTCAGTTTAATTTTGATATATTCAAAGATGTGATTCCCAACCAACTCAGGATGAAGTAACTAGTGTTACAACTGAGTTGATATTCTAAAATATAACACAGTTTGTACTTTTATTACTAGTTAGCATACACATTTTATAGGCTTATGGGTTAATAAATGAATTCATGGACTCCTGGACTACTTTCATTGATGACCATATCTCCAGGGATGTTGTTGATCCCCACACTGCCTTAAGGTATATTATAGAAACAGTTTTATTTTCCATTTTTCTTGTTTCCTGATAATAAATGTATTTAGGACTGAAAATACTCCTGAGTACTCCCTTGGCTGTATGTCTGACAGTCTTTAGCTATGGTGACTATTGTTTATTTTTAATGGGTATTTCAGATTCCAAGTGTATTTAAAATTTCTAAGGAGATATAATATAGCCTGTATGGTTTCTACTTTATGGAATTATATGGTCAATATTTGTAAATATTCTATGAGTTTTGGGTGGGTAGAGGGGTGCTTTGCCTGTTTTGGGTACAGGTTTTTTTGGATTTAGCTTGTTAATTGTTCAAACTTTCTGCCTTCTACATTCCTATCTTATTGTTCGTTTAATCAGTTTCTGAAATGTAAGCATTACATGACTATTGGTGAGTTGTGCCTTTTATAACTGAAATACTTTACTTTTTCTCATATCCTCTATAATTGACTTCTATTTTCCTTAATCAAACCAGCTCTGGGAAATTTAATACATTTATATTAATTGAGATTATTAAAACATTTGGACTATTCCTGGCTGTCTTACTTTGTATTTTCTATATATCATGCTCTCTTGTTTTTATTTTGTCATCTTACTGGCTTGTTATTTTTTTCTCCTTGTTATTCCTCCAGTGGTTTGGAAGTAATTAAACCTATTGCTATTTCTTTAGTGATTACCTTTTTTCTTTAAGTTTAGAGTTAATTAGTAGCCACATCTTCCATCCATCTCCCAATTAAGTCAGTAACCTTAGCATTGTTTCACTTCCCCACCTCAGCCTCTTTTTGTGATGTAATCAGATACGATTTTAGTTTTAGATTAATCCCTGGGATCTTGGTGCGTATGTGTAAATAGTTATTAGGCCACTGTGAGTTTTACTGTTTTCTTCTGATTGCTTTCTCTTGCATCCCAGGATTAGTTTTCTGGTGTGCTGCTGCATATCTTCAAGTAATTAAATGTTGAATCTTCAATTTAAAGTTTTTTAAATTGAGTTATGGTTTTAGACTCAAAATCATTTTCCTTTGGAATTTTGAAGCTATAACAATCATTTGCTGTTATCCAGTATTGTTGATTAAAGTCACACCAATCCGATTACCTCTCTTTATTTATTGATAAGTAACCTATTTTTTCCTCATGAAAAACTTTTGGGGTTTTCTTTTTATGCTTGGAGTCCTAAAATTTCACCAATTTGTGTCTAGATCTCTGGGACATTTGTCATTCATGCTGCTTACCCCCACGGTCCTTTCATCTGAGTCATTGTACCATTCTTGTACTAAAAGGCAATTTTAAATAAGATTTTTAAAATTATTTTTCTTAGGTGGATGTCAAACCTATTAACTTACCCTCTACACTATACTTCTGTATTTTGTCTTGATCTATTTATTCTGAAAGATTTCTTCAGATATCACCTTCCAGACCACTAATTCACTCTTTGAACATATCCATTACCTTATTATTCAGCTCTTCTATTTCATTTTAAATTTAGTAATTCTTTATTTTTTAGAGACAGGGTCTCACTCTGTTGCCCAGGCTGGAGTGCAGTGGCATGACCATAGCTCACTGTAATCTCAAACTCTGGTGCTCCAGTGATCCTCCCACTTCAGCCTCCTGATTAGCTGGGACCGCAGGCACGCACACCACTATTAGCCTGGCTACTTTTTAAATTTAAATTTTAATTTTTTGTAGAGATGGAGTCTCACTATGTTGCCCAGGCTGGTCTCGAATTCCTGGCCCCAAGTGATCTTCCTGCCTTGGCCTCCCAAAGTGCTGGGATTACAGGTGTGAGCCACCTCGCCTTGCTAGTAATTTGTATTTACATATTAAAGATTGCTGTCTCTAATTCTTTTTTCTCTTCTTTTTCTTTCTTTCTTTTTTTCTTTTTTGAGACAGAGTTTCACTCTTGTTGCCCAGGCTGGAGTGCAATGGTGCGATCTTGGCTCACCACAACCTCTGCCTCCTGGGTTCAAGCGATTCTCCTGCCTCAGCCTCTTGAGTAGCTGGGATTACAGGCATGCACCACCATGCCTGACTAATTTTGTATTTTTAGTAGAGACGGGGTTTCTCCATGTTGATTAGGCTGGTCTCGAACTCCCGACCTCAGGTGATCTGCTTACCTCGGTGCTGGGATTACAGGTGTGAACCACCATGCCCAGCCCCAGCCCCTCCCTCCCCCGCCCCCACCTTTTTTTTTTTTTTTTTTTTTTTTGAGACAGTGTTTTGCCCTGTCACCTAGGCTGGAGTGCAATGGCACTATCTCGGCTCACTGCAACCTCCACCTCCCGGGTTCAAGCGATTCTTCTGCCTCAGCCTCCAGAGTAGCTGGAGTTACAGGTGCGCACCACCACGTCCGGCTAATTTTTGTATTTTTAGTAGAGATGGCGTTTCACGATATTGGCTAGGCTAGTCTCAAACTCTCGACCTCAGGTAATCCACCTGCCTTGGCTTCCCAAAGTGCTGGGATTACAGACGTGAGCCATCACGCCCATCCTCTAATTCTTGTTTCATACATGTAGTACCCTTACATCTCAGAGGAGATCAATCAGAATTTTCACATTTTCTGTTCCTTGTTTTCCCCTTTGATTATCATTGGCTCTGTGTGCTGTCTGTTGTCCTTAAATGTTCCCCCTTAGCTAGGAAAGAGGGATTCCCTCTTGGTAGTTGGTGTATGTTTTCCCTGCATTTGTATAAGCTGTCTTTCTGCATTTAACCTTGACTGAGAAGGGAGCTTGTTAACTGGCTGAAGATTTAGAGTAGTGGTCCCCAACCTCTTTGGCAGCAGGGACCAGTTTCACAGAAGACAATTTGTCCATGCACAGGGCAGGGGGATGGTTTTGGGATGAAACTGTTCAACCTCAGATCATCAGGCATTAGATTCTCCTAAGGAGTGCACCTAGATTCCTTGCATGCATAGTTCATAATAGGGTTTGCACTCCTATGAGAATCTAATGGTGCACTTAGATTCATGTACAATCTAATGGCGAAACCCTGTCTTTACTAAAAATATAAAAGTTAGCTGGGCATGGTGCATGCCTGTAATCCCAGCTGTGCCGGATGCTGAGGTATGAGAACCACTTGAACCCAGGAGGCAGAGGTTTCAATGAGCTAAGATTGCACCGCTGCACTCTAGCCTGGGTGACAGAGGGAGACTCTGTCTCAAAAAAAAATTAACAACAACAAAAAAGTTTGAGAAACAGTGTACTAGAGCATTGTCAAACAAATTCACCTAATGGGTAATTAACATATTGTGACTATGATTTACTGTTGTTAAGGCCCAGACTCTAGAGCTAGATGTTAACTTGTACATCATTTGATAAGCTGCAAACGATGATCTGGTAGAGTGGTATGTTATTTTTCTGTGATAGAAAAGAGGTTACAGTTTTTTAGCCTTGTAGAACATTAACCACATTAGCATTTAACTATGAGATCTTATTCCAGCATTCTTCTGTGACATTCTCTTTTGTCATCTTGCAGGGTCCTATGGTAATAAGTTTAATAAGTTTTTTGACCTGTGCTTACTTTGTTATGTTTTTTACTTTCTGAAAATTATTATTTGACTAGTACATGAGAATTTCTTTTTACCCATGTTCTTACCAATGTATTACAAATCTTTCTACTAGTTTTGCCAATGCGTGAAATGTGCCAGTGTGTAAGATGTATCCTAATTTAGAAAAAAAAATTTAAATTTTCCTCAGAGTTCAGCTGGGGATTATCATTCAGGTGCTTCAGGAGAGTGTGAGACTGGAAGAAGGACCAGGTAGTGTCCAGGCCTCCTTTTTCATACCCCACATGGCTTTTGGCTAGGGAGTTGTGCCTTTCCTTCTGGAGCACCCTCTACCCTGAGGACTGATCCAGTCAGTCAGCAGCCCCCAGTCCAGAACAGTAGTGCAGGGATCCCAGTGTTGGACTTTTCAAACACAACACAGGTTACATTTAGATGACCTTACTGAGAGTCAAGAACATCCCACAACAGCAAATATGGTAATGTTACTCTGTCAGGTGAGAATGCCTTTTTTTCTCTTGCATTTCCCTGACACTAGTGAAGCCATGCATTTTTTCAAATATGTATATTTTTGGCCCTTGTATTCTGTGACTTGTCTGTTCTCATCCTTTCTCTATTTTCCTGTTGTTTTGCCTTTTATTCTTGATTTGTACAAATACTTTATTATAGATCTCAATCTTTTGTTAAATATTTCAATTTCTTGCTAGTATTTTAACTTTTGCAGAGGTTGGATCTGTTACTTTGGCTTTGGGGCTTTGTGTCACCCCCCAATACATATTTTTTTCTATTACTTTTGTGATACTACATATCAGTCTTTAATCTGTTTTCCATATGGTATGAGATAGGGATCTGTCAGGTTTTTCTTTTAAATTCTCTATTTTATAGAAGTAGAGAAGAGGACCTTCAACTTTTTTTGTTTTTGCTCTAATCCCCTTACTTTTACAGGTAACATGGCCTATCTTCTTGATAATGCCTTCTAGGTTTTGTAGGGTTTTTTTCCTTTGAACATGATAATACCATATACCACAGCAAACAGTTCATTATTATTATACAATTTTACAGTTAGTGTTTTTTTTTTTTTTTCTATCTTCAGGGGCAGAGTAATTTACTCAAGCCTATCTTTTCTTCCTTCCTGTGCTCTTTTCCATTTTCTTAAAACTATTAAATTGCTTCCTTGTTTTATTAGAGTCATAGCAGCAGCCACTTCATAAATTCTGATTTTATGTACTCAAAGGTTGCTGCCTGTAACCACTAAACTTTCTGAAACTATCCTAACCAATAATTACACACTTTTTACATGTTAAGGCGACCACTCATTTTTTTTTTTTTTCACTTCTTACCAGGGCTGTGGCCTTCTTAAATCTTGTGGGAAGTGAGTCACATATCATTGTCTTGCTTAAGAGCTTCTGAGAAATGTAAAATTACCTCTAAGAGACCAGTCAATATTATTTGTAGATCAGCTGCATAAATTTCAGCATATGGGAAAATTCTTGAAAATGCTGATACTTGAAAATGAATCTATGATATTATCTGTTCTTTCAGCTCTGGAAGGTTTTTTGTTTGTTAACGTAATATTGTCTTAATTCATCCCATATTTATTTGTATGTTTATTTAAAACAGTGCTGAGGCTGGGTGTGGTGGCTCACGCCTGTAATCCCAGCACTTTGGGAAGCCAAGCTGGGCAGATCACTTGAGGTCAGGAGTTTGAAACCAGCCATAGCCAACATGGTGAAACCTTATCTCTACTAAAAATACAAAAATTAGCCGGGTATGGTGGCAGGCACCTGTAATTCCAGCTACTCCGGAGGCTGAGGCATGAGAATCACTTGAACCTAGGAGGTGGAGGTTGCAGTAAGCTGAGATTGTACCACTGCACTCCAGCCTGGGCGACAGAGTGAGACTCTGTCTCATAAATAAATAAATAAATAAAAAATACTGAGTCACGATAGTAGAAAATCCATTTCCTCGCAGAGGCAGAGAAAAAAGTTCTGAATTGGGTGCCTGTTTGTATTACAAGGCTGGATGATTTTCTTTTTGATATTTTGAAAGGGATATTTTCCAGAACAGATTTTTAGACTGCAGCTAAAAGCATAATGCTTGAATTTGGTAAGCACTTATTAAGTCTCATACAGTTTGTGGTGGCTGTGATGATATAAGACTGAGAGACAAGGAGAAATTTCTCAACAAATGTCAAAATTGGAAGTGTCTTATATTGTTTTAAAATTGGGAAGAGCTAAGGAGATGGAAGATATAAATCAAATAATGTACTGAGTTGGACTGGCAGAGCCTGAGGTACTTACTACCCTTAATTACTTGGCAAGGACAAATGACACTTGGAATTAATTGCTCACTGTGTCAGACAATGTGTTACTTTGATATAGACCAGTGGTTCTCAAACCAGGATGATCATCTCAATATAGATTCCCAAGCCTTGCCCTGAGATTTCAATTTTTGTAGGTATTGGGGTGTGGCCCAGGAATATTTTAACAAGCTCCCAGTTGCTTCAGATGATCAGACAGGTTTGGGAAGCACTGATTTAGACTATTGTCTGTGCAACAGGAACCCTTTTTGTGGGGCTTTTTGCTTGTTAAAATTCAGATTGCTGAGCTCCACCTCCCATATTTCTGATTCATAGGTTTTGAGTGGGGCCTTTGAATTTGCTTTTCTAATAAGTGTTTAGGAGATGCTGATGTGGCTGGTCCTGGGACCACACTTTGAATACCACTGACATAGACCATCCCCAAGACTCCTGGGCACACTCAACAAAGAAAAATTCCATAGCGAGGTCTCCAGTTTTTGTGGCTCAAGTTTTTGCATTTCCTTTTCATGTTCTACTTCGTGATTTCTTTTTTACCCTGGAATGAGCATTAACTGATGGACCTCTGTCCCAGGGGAAGGTTTGGAGAGGAAAGAAAATGAAGTCTGTTGACTAGGAAGGTGGTAGTATAAGGAAAGTATCCCAGAAGTTGTGTAGCTGTGGGCAAAACCCTCGTTCTGTGACCTTGGTTTTACTGTGATCTGGCAGGTCTCCTCATCTTCCTGAGCTCCAGCCATGCTTCCTCAGTGTGCTTCCGCCTGCCAGGAGGCGTTTGCTCTTCTCTAAGTCTGGAAAGCTCTTCTCGTTTCCCTATTGTCTTATTGCTTGCTTAAACTTGAGTCTCTGCTTGGTCATCGCTTCCTCAGGAAGCCTTTGCTGACCTCCCTCAGTGGGTCACTCCTTTTATACACACTCAGCACCATGTACTTGCCTATCTCAGCAGTTACCACAGTGGCAGTTTTTTATTTCCTTGCGTGATAATTTGATTTGTCTCTCTCCACTAGACTGTAACCTCTGTGCTTTACAATGTAAAAAACCGTATCTGTTTGTGTTCCTATTGTGTTCCGGCCTCAGGCACTGTGCCTGGCACATAGTAGCTGAATGAGCAGCAATGAATGGGGTCACACTGTACAAACAGAGTGGCAAGGGCAGGGTAGGTATTCCAAACTTGGCTGCATTTCTGCCTGCGTGTTTCTAGAAGATACTGCTATTCTTATAATTTCCTATTTTTTGCTCAGATTCATTTCTCTTATTTTCCAGAGTCCTGACAGTACGACTACTATTTATTGAGTGCTGACTACATAGGCCAGGCATCAGCTATGATCTCACATTTGACACTGATTTAGGAGGTCAAGAATCTTAGTCTACTAACATTTAAGATAGCATTTTTTCCCTGAGATTCTAAAAACCACAATGTGTGTTGTAAAGATACAATCTATAGATAAAAGTAATTTTTTAAGTTTTATATTAAGGAAAAACAGCAAAAGCAATTTTATTTTTAAACTAAGGCTTTTTATGGAATTGGGGATAGGTGGTGCCAAAGGATAGATAGTAAGGTGATTTCCAACGAATTGGAAATAGGACTGCCCTCTAAATCTCATAACTGGTAATGTCCAGAAAACGCACTCACTTTATAGAGACAGGGTAGTTTGGTTACTGGCTAGAACAAGGCTTGACTAACAATACTTAAATGTCCAAACCATATCTATGTCAATAAGAAAGGGATTGTGGCGTGGTGGCTCATGCCTGTAATCCCAGCACTTTGGGAAGGCAAGGGGTGGGCAGATCACCTGAGATCAGGAGTTTGAGACTAGCCTGGCCAACGTGGTAAAACCGCGTCTCTACTAAAAATACAAAAGTTAGCCAGGTGTGGTGGTGCACACTTGTAATCCCAGCTCCTGGGGAGGCTAGGCCAGGAGAATCGCTTGAACCCAGGAGGCAGAGTTTACAGTGAGCCAAGATCGCGCCACTGCACTCCAGCCTGGGCAAAAGCACAAGACTGTCTCCAAAAAAAAAAAAAAAAATTGGGGGGAGTTGGTATGCTGTAAATAAAAAAAAAAAAATCTAGATTCAGAGAGTCACAATGGCACTAAATAAGAAAAGATCAGGGGGACCCTGGCCCAAAGACTCAATTACTCTAGTTCCTGTAGATAGATCTTTGCTATGGAAACCAATTGAATCATCCAACTAATTACCCTCACTGGAAGTCCATGTTGACTTGCAAGCTCTAGATGAGCGTTGGGAGATAGTTCTCCAAGGGTCCCTCACGCTTCCTTTGTGCTGGACTATCTTTTCAAGGATGTTTGTGTAGCACACAGCCTTGGAAAAGAGACACGGTGGCTCTCCATGGAGCACAGGGCAGGCAGGCTTACTGCCCATTATAAAATATATGCGTTTCCTAAGAGCAGGGTTCCCTATGCAACTCGATCCACTGCATATGCAGATGTCACCTAGTCCTCTTCACGGTGTCATGTGGCAATTGGGGCTTGAGGAACCAGTACAAATACTGAGACTCTGGCTACTGCTAAGGCCATGAATAGAAAGCCGTTTGTCTCTGACTCAGAGGTTTTGTGCCTCCCAGCATCCATGAAATTGTGGCAGGCTAATTGTGGTCATGCTGGCCCAGATGTCTCTCTCCTCACGACAGTGACATGAGGGACAGATTCCCTTTTGTTTTTTGCTGACACAGCCAATTTCTGAGCCTAACAAGTTGAGGACCAGCCCCTGGAACAGGAATTAATAAAGATAAAGACCTCCTGGGAGATTGCAACAGCAGCTGTGTTCTTAATTGTTCATAAGAAGGCAGATGGAAAGAGTTCCTATAAGGGACTTGTATTGGTCTGAGTTCAGTCAGGAGACAGAAACCACGATAGGAATTTCAACAGATAACTTAATAGAAAGGATTGTTAGCCAGGTATTAGGCAAGAGAAAGGCAAAGTGGGGATACTCAGGTATCACAGAGGTAAGAATAATAGGAAACAGGCTGGGTGTGGTGCGGTGGCTCACACCTGTAATCCCAGCACTTTGGGGGGTGGAGGCAGGCAGATCACTTGAGCTAGGAGTTTGAGACCAGCCTGGCCAGCAAGGTGAAACCCCGACTCTACTAGAAATACAAAATTTAGCTGGGCCTGGTGGGGCACGCCTGTAATCCCAGCTACCTGGGAGGCTGAGGCAGGAGAATCACTAGAACCAGGGAGGCAGAGGTTGCAGTGAGCCGAGATCATGCCACTGCACTTCAGCCAGAGTGACAGTGTGAGACTCTGTCTCAAAAAATAAAAAAAAAAAGAAGAATAGGAAACAGCAATCACCCTTGGGGCTGGGTGAACAAAAGTCAGAAAAAATATTTTTTGAAACTTAGGGGCTTGGAGCAGGGCCCTGCAGGGTGAGGACTCAGCCCTCTGGGCTAGGAAGGTCCCGCTTGGCTGGCCCCGATGCCTCATGCTGAGGAGGGGATGCCAGCCAGTAGGTGCTGGTGTCTCTGAGCAGAGAGAGATGGGGAGGAGGTGGTGAGGCTGCTTCTGGAAATGGTGGAAACACTGGAAGCAACTGCTGCTGCCGGGATGAGGTGGTGTGATCATGGTCACTCTTAGGAACAGGAAGCCAACAGCTCCCTTCCTCTAGTACCCCTCCTGGCAGAGCCAAACAGAGACAGCCAGCTGCCAAAATAAGCCTGGGCTGCAGAGTCCCAGTCCCAGCATCCCAAAGGATAAAAAATAATCAGCACAGGATTTTAAAAGGCTATTTGACTACAGGTTAGAAAGTGGGAGGAGGGAGTGGCCTGGGAGGGAGTTGGGCAGTTGCCTAGGGGTCCTCCAGCATTAACTTGAACTTGAATCTTTCTTTAGGTCGGGGAAGGGAGCAGCCATGGACAGCTGACTTGGTAACATGGGCGATTACCAGGACTATTTTGTAGAGCATGCTGGAAGGAGGCAGAAAGAAACATGTTCATATGCTGCAGGGAAGATGGCCCCACTGGCTACTTTTTAAGATTGCATACAATTTTATGGGCTTTGCAGAGAACTGCGCAAATTCCCGTGTCTGTCCCCCACCCTGTTAATGACTGCCATATTGTAAGAGAAAGAACTTGGCAGATGTTTGATTATGCCTCACCCACCATTTGTGGCCCACATGACTTTCACATGAACTGATTTGTAAACTATAAAGCAGTATGCAAATGAGAAGTGGTATTTATTATTTGTATCCTTTCTGGCCATTGGCTGAGTTCCAGGCAGATGATGGGTTTCTATCTTCAACAGAGGATTTCAGAGGAGATCAAAATTACAGAGAGTAAACACTCAGAACTTATAAATTTTTGTTTTGTTGTTTTATTGTTTTGCTTTGTTTTTTGATTTGTTTGAGATGGAGTCTAGCTCTGTCACCCAGGCTGGAGTGCAGTGGCATGATCTGGGCTCACTGCAACCTCCACCTTCCGAATTCAAGCGATTCTCCTGCCTCAGCCTCCCGAGTAGCTGGGATTACAGGTGCCTGCCACCACACCCAGCTAATTTTTGTATTTTTAGTAGAGACGGGGTTTCACTGTGTTGGCCAGCTGGTCTCGAACTCCTGACCTCATGATCTGCCTGCTTTGGCCTCCCAAAGTGCTGGGATTACAAGCGTGAGCCACTGTGCCCGGCCAGAACTTATAAAATAAACAGGATAGTTTTACACTCTTCCGATTCGGTGTTTACACATAATGGCCATTCTTTTGGAATCTAGAATTTGAACCCAGATAAACTGGGTGAATGTCTTAAAAAAGAGCGGTAGTGCACATACTGTTGCAGTTTTAAAATAGCTGTGAACTGATTTTGACCATATATGTATTTGAAAGCTTTATAATGGAGGGTTTAAAATTTATTTACTTTACTTTTTTTTTAAATTTTTTATTTTTTGAGATAGAGTTTCACTCTTGTCACCCAGGCTGGACTGCAGTGGCACCATCTCGGCTCACTGCAACCTCCACTTCCTGGGTTCAGGCAGTAGTCCTGCCTCAGCCTCCCCAGTAGTTGGGATTACAGGTGTGTGCCACCATGCCTGGCTAATTTTTGTATTTTTAGTAGAGATGGGGTTTTGCTATGTTGGCCAGGCTGGTCTTGAATTCCTGAACTCAGGTGATCTGCCTGCCTTGGCCTCCCAAAGTGCTGGGATTACAGACATGAGCCACCGTGCCCGGCCATATATTTATTTTAATTGAATAGAACTTATTATAGTGCTGGTACTGAGTACTGGACAAAAGCTCAGGCCACATCAGGCTTTCCTGATGGATGATCCGAGGTGTTTCAGGAGCCAATCTGAATCTAGGTAAAGAGCATTGTCATATTGCGATGCTGTTATGTTCGTCTTTATTATACTTACTCAATTTATTTTGTAGTTCTGATTGTAAATGTGGAAGGCTGATTTCATTCTTGTTATTGCCATGTGGCTTTAGTTTAATAGCTATCATAGGTGAAAATTTAATTAAATCAGTACCTGGATTTCGTTTACAGATCCAGATACTGATTTAATTAAATTCTCACCTATGATAACTATTAAATGTTATTTAATGTTTATATACATATAATATTGGGTGTTATATATTATTTTACCACTCCTCAAACAGAGCTGGGAAACTGTTTTTCCAAATGCAGAGGATGCACACAGTTCTGAAATGCCTCTGGTGTGTTTCTAAATTTAAAATAAAAGAAGGTCTGAGGAGAAAAGCTATCACCCAGGGTTAAGCAGATGATGTGAAACTCTTCTGTCTGGTTGACTGGCATTGCTCTCGGTTTTTCCAAGGCATAGCTCTGTCTTTTATCCTTCAGAACCATTTACTAAGCACTTCTCTGGCAGTATCCCAGGCTCTGAGCAATCTTGGGAAACAAACATAGCCACTGTTATTTATGTTAATACCCCGTGATAAGTATGTGTACCTGTAAATAAATAATGGACCCATAAACACTGTAGAGAGAAAAGGGGAACCGGAGTTTTTTGGGAGGGGGCTGGTATCGGAGACTGCATGAAGGTGATTTTCTTTCTTTCTTTCTTTTTTTTGAGATAGAGTCTTGCTCTGTCGCCCAGGCTGGAGTGCAGTGGTGTGATCTGGCTCACTGCAACCTCCGCCTCCCAGGGTTCAAGAGATTCTCCTGCCTCACCCTCCCTTGTAGCTGGGATTACAGGCGCCTGCCACCATGCCCGACTAATTTTGTATTTTTGGTAGAGACAGGATTTCACCACGTTAGCTGGGCTGGTCTTGAACTGCGGACCTCAGGTGATCCACCCGCCTCGGCCTCCCACAGTGCTGGGATTACAGGCGTGAGCCACCGCACCTGGCTGAAGGTGATTTTCAAAAGGATTTTAAATATAAAAGAGATATCTTGCTCAAATAGGTGAGGTAGGAGAGATGCTACAGTGAGGAAAAAACGAAGGGAAAATTTAGCATTGTTGGGCCTTAGGAGAGGGGCGCAGACTGGTAAGTGGAAGGAAGAAGTGAGGGGACGCTGGATTATATCTTGTCGTGCAGAGGAGTTTTGAAGCTGCAGTGAGACTGCTGACCCTCTTGGAAATGAGAGACTGTGTACACAGATGGGCAATGGCTGGACCACATGTAAAAATGGAGCTCTGGCCCGCAACCTGCAGCAACCTGCCCAGGAAACAGCCCCATCTCCATAATAAACAGCCCAGGAAACCAGCCTGCTGTAAGTCAGACTTGGAGGAAGTCACACTGCTATCTCTAGAACAATCCAGGAAGCTAAATAGTAGCTTCTGTACTAAGAAGCCCCAGGACTTGATTAATAACTTACAGCTCCTCTAATTTTTTGAAATAGGGTCTTTTTTTTTTTTTTGAGACAAGGTCTCCCTCTGTCACCCAGGCTGGAGTGCAGTGGCGCGATCTCAGTTCACTGCAACCTCTGCCTCCTGGGTTCAAGCGATTCTCCTGCCTCAGCCTCCTGAATAGCTGGGACTACAGGCATGCGCCACCACAGCCAGGCTAATTTTTGTATTTTTAGTAGAGACGGGGTTTCACCATATTGGTCAGGCTGGTCTCAAACACCTGACCTCAGTTGATCCCCCCGCCTCAGCCTCCTAAAGTGCTGAGATTACAGGCGTGAGCCACCGCGCCCAGCCTGATATAGGATCTTGCTCTATTGCCCAGGCTGGAGTGCAGTGGCACAATCTTGGCTCACTGCAGCCTACGCCTCCCGTGTTCAAGCGATTCTTGTGCCTCAGCCTCCCGAGTAGCTGGAACTATAGGCACGCGCCACTGTGCCCAGTTATTTAAATTTTTAGTAGAGATGGGGTTTCGTCATGTTGGCCAAGCTGGTTTTGAACTCCTGGCCTCAAATGATCTGCTTGCCTCGGCCTCCCAAAGTGCTGGGATTACAGGGCGTGAACCACCACGCCCAGCCTCTAATTTTTGTTCTTACTTTTAATTTAGGACCAACCAGAGAAAGCCAGATATGCCCCCACTAAAATCCCATAAGATGTTCCTCTTCTAGTTAGCCTGCTCCCATGCAGACAGCCTCCAATCAAGGCACACCTGAAACCTTCCCTGTTTCTCACTTTAAAGCTTTCCCGCTCCTCTGCCTGCCTTGGAGTCTCACCAAAACACAAGCGATGGTGGCTGGCTCCCTTGCTATGGCAAGTTCTGAATAAACCGCTTTTAACTTTTCTCATTTAGTTGTCTTTGTTTATTTCCATAGGAATATTGCTGCTGGTGGTTCGGATTCATCTGCTGCGTAGCTTCTCTCTTGCATTTCTGCTTCTACTTTGGCAAGCACTGTTCCTTGCTCAACGTTTTGTCCAGGGAAATAGGGGAAAAGATTAATAGCAATGCAGATGAGTGTTTGCAGGATCACTAGGAAATGCTGTTGATTAAACGTTTACTTGTAGGTAGAGTGGAAAGACCCTGACCTTTAAGAGAACAGGAAATGGAAGACAGTGCTGTTCTGATGTAGTCTGAATAGCCTTTTAATTTTAAAGGATTGCTAAAAGGAGATTCAGCTCCTCTTGCGCCAGTAATCAGCAGCTGACTTAACCTGTACTCAGTAGTACATCCGAGTCCCTTTATAAAATTATTATCCTCAGAAGAACTCCAAAGAAAGATATTATTGTTCAACAGTTTCTCATGGTAGGGAACTGTCTATCAACTGCTCGGAAATTAACTACATGTTCTAATGAATGGCCCCTCTCCAAATCTGCTTCCGAGTTATGCTCATTTACATCCCGCGTGCTAGGTTCTGTCCACCACCTAGAGTCCTACCTTCTTTTTGACATTTCTGTGACTGCCCTCACCAGAAGTGATCTTAATTCTCATGGAGAGAATTAAGAATTAATGCCTCTTAATTCTCATGGTGGTCATTATCACTCAGCATACCCTTGAATGCTGTCATCTGTGTTACTGTCCTTATTCATTCATTTGTTCAACAAATATTTATTGAATGTCTACTAAATTTCAAGTTTTGTTCCAGGCGGGGGATATAGTAGTGAACGAAACAGCAAAAATGTTTGTGCCACGGTAGAAAAGACAGACAACAAGCAAGATAAATGTAGCACACACACAGTATGTCAAATATCAGTATGTGCTAGTGAGAAAGTGAAAAGCAGGAAAACTGCAGGACATTTGCTGAAGCTTCAGATAGGGTAAACAGAGAAGATCTCATTGAGAAGATAATTTCTAAAGGACCTGGGGAAGGTGAGGGAGCAAGCCATGCAGGTGGCTGGAAAGCTCTTTCCTCCCCACACAAGTGCAAAGGCCTTGAGGTGAGGACATAGCTAGAGGATTAGAAGAATGGCAAGTGGAGCCTCGGTGCATGGGGAGGGAGGAGAATGAATGGGAGGGGGTGGTTGTCATGCAGGACCTTGTAGATTATAGTCAGGATTTTGGTTTTTATTCTGAGTGAGATGGAAAGCCACTGGAAGATTTTGAGAAGTGGCATGAGCTGATTTGTTTTAAGATTCCTTCTGCTTGCCTTGTTGAGAATAGGCTGCAGAGGTGGGGAGGTGGCGCACAGTCTAACCCAGGTGAGAGAGGATGGTGGCTCAGACCAGGGGAATGGGAGAAGTGATCCAATTCTGGGTCTATTTTCATGATGGAGCCAGTAGGATTTTCTGAGGGGTTGGAGGTAGGCTGAGAGAGAATGGAATCCAGGGTGATTCCAGGGTTCTGGCTTGGAACAATGGGGAGAATAAAGCTGCTATTAACTGGAATGGAGAAGATGCAGAGGGAGCTGGCTGGGGAGTGCGGTTGGGGATGGACTCTCAGGAGCTCAGCTTTAGCTATGTGAATCCTGAGGTCCTCATTAATTGCCCATGTGTAGATGCCAAGAAGGTTGCAGCTTTAGAGGGATAGGATGTTTTATGCCTCATGAATCTTCTAGCCTGGTTTGTTGATTGCATGAACCAATCAATTAACCAATCAGTGAACAATAGTGAAGCTCTATCTGAGTAGAGGTTGCAGGGGGAATTGATGAGATTTCTGTCTCTAGACTGGGTTGAGAGAGAGAAACATTAGTTTATTTTTGAACAGCCCCTATTTCTGAAAATGGATAGATGAGGAGGGAAGAAGGGACCAGGGACAGACATCTTCTCCGTTCCAATGTTAGCATCTATGAAGTCTTAGATCACAAAATGTTTATTTTTATTGGTTTAAGAAGATCCCATAACCTCTTCCTCATTCTCCTTTGAAGATGCCATCAGGCTTCAGAATGTATGCTGCCATTGTTGCTGAAGGCATTATCATTATGATTATTTATGACAGTGCCCTGTTTTATGCAATATGCTTATAATAGTAGGGGTAGATTTATTAAGGTATATGAAAATACATTAAGACTCCAGAGATGAAATGCCTGGGTTTGAATCCCGCATCTACTATTTATAAGTTGTCAGACTTTGGGCAAGTTACTTAACCTCCCTATGTTTCAGTTTTCTAATCTGTAAAATGGGAATAATATTGGTACCTATCTCATTGGGTCAGTGTGAGAATTAAATTGTTAATTATTGAAGTGTTTAGAATTATCTGGCACATAGTGAATCCTATATGTGATAGCTATTGTTTTTATATCAAGCACTGTCAAATATATATCGGGTAGTCATGATGAACATTAAACTTGGCATAATCCCTGGCCATGGACCTATTGAAGATTATTGAGATAGATCATCTCACGAGGAAAGAAGAAAATGAGTTTAGAAAGCTCACTCCACTCTGAACTACTGCTGAGAAGTCCAGAAATAAACCAGAAATACCTTTAACCTCCAATACAAGGTCCAACTTGATTTCTACCTAGCACCTCAGGAGCAAAGCAAATTAACTGAGGGTCTCGGCGGGCCATAATTTCAATATTTGAGCAACGGCAACATGGAACAAGAACCTACAATGGTGGGCAAGTTTTCCGGATGTCAGGCCATGAAGTGCTTGGACTCACAATTCCTAAGTGTGTTCTTGAAGAAAAACCAGGTCTGAGCCCTGGTAGGAGCACACAAATGAGGGTGAGTATGATGATGGGCTGGTGAAGCTCTTCCTGTCTTGGGCTATCAGATCAGGTGAAGGGAAGGTAGGGGAAGAAAGAGAGTGTGTGCCAGCGATATTAGGAGACAGGGATGTAGTTTCTTGTTCTTTGTTGTTGTTACTTAAATATTAAAATTATGGCCTTCTGAGACTCTCAATTAGTTTGCTTTGCCACTTCGGTGCTAGGTAGAAACCAAGACTATTTCTCTGAGATGGACTGATTCATTATTGGATGAATGAATGAAGCAAGCGATCAATCATGCAAACATGCACTGAGTGCTGATGATGTGTAAAGAAAGATGCTGTGGAGATATTTTCACCTAGCTGAGGAATAGTTCTCTCTTGTTATATGCTGATTTAAGGGGAAAAGTTACTTTTATAGGAGGATCCCCAAAGAAACCAAGATATTTTAAGAGACTCATTAAGTTGGTGCAGGAAGTCTTACATGAAAAAAATATATATATTAAAAAAAGATTAATTAAGTAATTATGCCCAGATGAAATGCCTGGATTTGAATCCTGCTTCTGTAACTTACTTAATCGCCTATGTTTCTGTTTTCTAATTTGTAAAATGGGAAGAATATTGGTACCTATCTCATTGGGCCATTGTGAGAATTAAATTGTTACTATATTAAAATGCTGATTCATTAAGTCATTATGTGTGCCAAGCACTGTGCTGGAAGCTGGGAATACAACAGAGTAAGACCCAGACTCTGCCATGAGGGAGCTTACTGTCTACCACAGGAAGGGAAACAGGGAACTCCATCCAACCTAATGATAATCCAGAATGAGCACCTCACCCAGCACTGAGCGTTCAAGGATGTTTGCCCTGAGTCACAGAACAAGTAGGAGTTGCTAGATTTGGCACAGAGGGGAGGGGCAGAATTCTATGATCTAAACAAGCCCTCGAGGAAGCTCTGTCATTCCAGTGGCCTCCTGAGATCAAACCCTATTTTAGAAACTGAACCTAGTGTTAGGCCATGAAGATTAATTCACACTGGTCAGCAGGGGCAGGTGCTGTTACTCAAGAGAGCTTTGAGGTTTAACCTTGTGCCATAGGCTGAGTTTGTGCTGGCCAGAGCTGTTCTTGGGAGAGTGGAATTTAATTGGTGCTTATTTGTGATGGCCTTATAAAGCATGACTCCTGGGCCTACTAAAGTGGAAACCATTCTAACTCCTAAATGACTGGCAAACACAAGCCTGAATCACACCCCAGATTGCTTTGGCTAATGGAGATGCCTGGCAAGTACAATGTGTTTGGGGCTTTTTTCCAGTATCAAATGGTGGATAAAATGGGACAGTTGCCCACTGAAAATCAGACCTAGATGCATGGGAACAGGAATAACTGTTTCTTGTGTCAACAAGAAGGCTTTTTTTTTGTGTGTGTGGAACTAAAGAAATGCAGCTCACTTACTGGTCTGGCCAAACTTCAAAAATTCATGTTTTTTTTTTTTTTTTCCTCCTCCCAGGAACATTTTGTTCCTGCTGGTGGTTAAAAGGTGGCAGCTTTCATATAGAAGTACAGCAGGAAGTATTTAAGTTAGATAAAAGGAAGGACTATGTGACAGAATGATTGAGTGCAGGACTGGGTTCCCAGGGGGATTACAAAATCTGATTTTTATTCATGGACTTTCCTACTAAATAACTGAAATAATAAGGGTGGCAAGACGTAAGCTTATATCACCATTTTTTAAAGGTCTGTGCTTTGGGATTCAGAGGAAGCGGGAGGGAGTGCCTTGTGAACAAGAGGACCTGAGGTGACTTCAAAGGCTGAGCTGGCCTTGGGATTGAGGTCGGGCTTGGAAAGAAGAGTGGGAGGGTGGTGTGGAGCAAGGTGGAACAAAGGAACGGGAAGGACAGAGCAGGTCGGGTGATCTGGAATGTGGCCCCTCTGAAGAGGGCTGCGGCGGGATAGTATTAGCAGGCTATGTCAGGGCTGGATTATGGAGAGCCTGGAAAGCTTGCCCAGAGAATTTAGATTTTACTCAACAAGCAACGAGATGCCATTTTTCCAGGCTTTTGAGCAGGAACAGGAAATGATAGAAACTGTGCTTCAGGGATCATGGGCTTTTAGCGACTGAAGGGGATTTATTGTCGTGTGGTTCATTGTTGCTCAAACTCTACTGGCATCAGAATCATTTGGAGGGGGAAGTCCTTGTGAAAATTCAGATTCTCATTTGTAAGTCCTGGGTGGGTGGGGCTGGGAATCTGCAGGTGAAAAAAGCCACTGACGATCCTAATACCAGTGATCTGAGGCCCACACGGGGCAAACACTGCTACCCCCTTCTGTGAGGCCCTGTCCAAGAGGCCCAGGGAAGCCTTTGAGAAACCCACAGAGTACCACTGAGAAAAGGAGTCAGCCCTAAAACAAGTTTAGGCCCAGAGAGCTGGAAGCTGACATTGGACAATGCCAGTTGAGTAGGAACTTCTGTGCCCCACCCCCACTTTTTTTTTTTTTTTTTAGACAAGGTCTTACTCTGTCGCCCAGGCTAGAGTGCAGTGGCACGATCTTGGCTCACTGCAACCTCCGCCTCCCCGGTTCAAGCAATTAACCTGCCTCAGACTCCCAAGTAGCTTGGATTACAGGCACCTGCCACTGTGCCCGGATAAATTTTGTGTTTTTAGTAGAGACGGCGTTTCACCATGTTGGCCAGGCTGGTCTTGAACTGCTGATCTCATGTGATCCACCCGCCTTGGCCTCCCAAAGTGTTGGGATTACAGGCGTGAGCCACCACACCCGGCCCTGTGCCCCTTTTCGTTCCCCTCCCCACACTCCAATCTTGGAGGACCCCAGAGCCTCGAAAGGCAGAAGGCCAAAGAAAGAAAGAAGTGGCTCATTCCTGGTGTGATATTTAACCAGCACATTGCTATTTTTTGACCAGCACACTGGCTTTTCAAGGAAAAAGCCCTGCCTTGTAGCATTTACCTATTTCCATGGGGTAAATACTCCCAGTGTGGCCATCTCAGGCTACCAATATGATGTCACTGAACACAGAGTTAGGAAGAGAAGCCCACCATGGGCTCCTGTGAGGCAGTAAGAGCCTGCTCCAGCAAACCACCACTTCGAGCTGGAAATCATGCCCAAGTTGGGCTGGGGCAAACTATTTGAGAATGAGGACTGAGCTGTTAAACAGTGTATTGCGCTGGATTGTGTTTTATTACTTAAAGTGGCCACAGGGCTCCCAGCACTTTGGGAGGCCAAAGTGGGCCTCCTGAGCCCAGGAGTTCGATACCAGCCTTGGCAACATGGTGGAGCCCTGTCTCTACAAAAAAGACAAGAATTAGCTGGGCTTGGTGGTGAGTGCCACCAGCAGTCCCAGCTACTTGGGAGGCTGAGATGGGAGGATCACTTGAGCCTGGGAAGTCAAGGCTGCAGTAAGACGAGATCAAGCCACTGCACTCCAGCCTGGGTCACTGAGTGAGACCCTGTCTCAAAATAAACAATAAAAATAAAGTGACCATAGGGCTTTCTGCTACTGCTTGAGTTTTCATCCACTGGTAAAGAGAAAAATGGAACAAATTTCAGTTTAGTGATCGTGAGAAACCAAGAGTAAATTCACATTTTGGTTACATCCTAAGGATGGTGCCCGTCCAATGGATGGGTTACTGTGAGAAATTAGATCTTGAAAACCTGTAAGATGTCTTTTTTAAAAAGAATTATCATCAAAGGGAAATATAAAACTGAAAAGTATTTATGAAATCTGAGCCCTCAAATTGAGAACCACAGATGTCAGGTATTCCGTAGTTGAGGGCGTTTGTTTTGGAGAGTTTTCTTTGGTGTTCCAAAGCAAATATCCTCAAAAGGAAAGCAGTTGTCTGATTAAGAAACTCTGTACTCTGTTCAAAGATAGTACAGGAAGAACCAACTAAAATGTGGGTAAGACCTACCTCATAGGTACACTATGAGGATTAAATAAACACATTTGAATGTGTCTGATACACAGAGTAGGTTTGCTGTCAATGCTTCTGGTTTTTTTCAGAGCCACATTCCCATTTTTTTTTCTTTTCTCTTTTTTTTAGACAGAGTCTTACTCTGTCACCCAGGCTGGAGTACAGTGGCATGATCTCAGCTCACTACAACCTCCACTTCCCCGGTTCAAGCGATTCTCCCTGCCTCGGCCTCCCAAGTAGCTGAGATTACAGGCGTGCGCCACCACGCCCGGCTAATTTTTGCATTTTTAATAGAGACGGGGGTTTCTCCACATTGGCCAGGCTGGCCTCGAACTCCTGACCTCAGATGTGAGCCACTCTCCTCAGCCTCCCAAAGTGTTGGGATTACAGGCGTGAGCCACCGCGCCCGGCCCATATTCACTTTTAATTATGTTGGGTTGCGTTCATTCCCTGTTGGGGAGCTTCTTCGTGGTAATGAGTGCGAGGCAGAACAATTTCTATTTCCAGTCTATTCTCGCCCCTCCTCTGTTGAGGATGAATGTCACAGATGAACCTTAGCCTGAGAGGGAGAAGGAGGACCTTCTAAGTCCCTGCGGCAGTTGGGGGTGTGAGGAGTGATCTTAGCTTTTAAGTGGGCTTCAAAGTGTCCTCTGCTAGTTGAACTGTTCGAAACTTCCACAATTTGTCCCCAGACTTCCATTAACACAGTTTCTGCTAGTAAACACAACTTATGTGTAGCTTAAGCCACTGAGGACACCAGAGCCACAGCTCCTCTCCGCCGGCTATCCCCAATGGCTGACTCTTTGCATTTCCCTAATTCAAACAGTAGACTGCTAAGGCATCAACCGCTCCCTTGAAATGCTTCAAATCGAGGAGGGCCTTGGAAACCACACGGAGTTTCCATCTATCATGAACGCCTGCAGTAAGAGACTTTCTCCACTTTTCTAAGCTACATTTACAGACCGCCACTCTGGCTGCTTTCGGTGACACAAATCCTGCCTTCAGCCGCTGAGTCATCAGAACCTGGAATGTTCCAGGCTTCCGGGCAGTTCTCATTCCTGTTTTTTCAGAGGAAAAGATCCACTTTCAGGGACGGGGTGGTGCCTGTGGCCAGCCTGGACCAGCGCTGAGGGGAGGGACAGATTCGGGCAAGGCACTGCGCGTCTGTGGCACACACCCTGTCGGCGGACACCGGCCAGTGCAGCGTGGCCTCCACTGCGCGGTGTTATGACGCCCCGTGGTCCTCACTTCTTCACCAGCCTCTAACATTCAAACCCCAGTTCTTTTGGACTTTGCAGGAGTTTTGTGAGGAATTGTGAACAATGACTCATCCAATCTAGTGTCTACATTGGTGTCGACATGGTACCTAGCACCAGGAGACTGGATGAGATCACGAAAGACGCGAGAGTAGATTGAAGAAAGATTCAAGGGCCCCTGCAAGGAGAGAAACAGTAGAATGCGAACCTGAACGGTTTAAACCGCTGCAGACTCCGCGCAGGCGCAGGAGCAGGTTTGACGCCTACGGATGAACGCGATGGAGTGGGCGGAAGCCGACCGAGAAGACTCAATTTGTCTAGGCTTGGAGTCGCTATTGCCGTCTCCCACATGGTCTAGCGGTTAGGATTCCTGGTTTTCACCCAGGCGGCCCGGGTTCGACTCCCGGTGTGGGAACGCCGAAATTTTAGACTGGCGTTCAGTCGATTTAGATTCTTCCTAACTCGGAAAAGGCATGTTTTTAACCAAAACTGTAATTCCATTTCAAAGCACGAGGGACACATCGGGGCTGAAGGGAACCAAGGAGCTACCCCTGGGGCGGGTGTGAGGTTCAAGTGTGCTCAGACCCTAGCCACCTGCGGCAGGCGGCGGAAGGGACGTATCTGGCAACAGCTTGAAGTCAGTTTTTGAAGTGAGAGATTAGGTCAGAGGTGAAGGAAAGCGGGGGAACCAAGCGGTCGCATGCCGAAATACACCCGCTGGTTTTTCTCCAGTATTTTCTCCTTGTACTGTGAAGATGAGCAAATGACCAAAAGAGTGCTCTTTTTTGAAAGAAAAAGGAAAGATGCAATTTTAGAACATTATAGGGTTTTTTTGTTGTTGTTAGGAGGATGCTGGGAGAGGGAGGGAGGCATTGCAGGGCTTTTAAGTTACCTAAAGTCATTCTAGGACAACAAGATTTCTAGAAAATACATATATTAAAGGCAGGGTAGTTCAATGTACAATTTGTTGTGTTTGTGATGCAGAGAGTTAACTAAACCAGTTTGGAAGGCGGGGAAGAAAATTAGGTTATAACAAATACTGAGGCTCCAGCCGATGGCAAAACAAAACAAAACAAAACGAAACCAAAACATTTTACTCTTGATATATTTATTTGACACATTGTTTTAAAAAAACTTTAAGAATTTGTGATATGCTAGATTAGAATTAGAAGTCTTAGTATTGACTTGTGACAGTTTCCAATTGTTATGCAAATAAATGCATCCCTTTGTTATTAGATGAGATTATCTAAAATGAAGACTATATTTAAAGACTAAAATAAAGACTATAATTTTTTTTGTTTGTTTTTTGAGACGGAGTCTAGTTATGTCGCACGGGCTGCAGTGCAGTGGCGCGATCTCGGCTCACTGCAAGCTCCGCCTCCCGGGTTCACGCCATTCTCCTGCCTCAGCCTCCCGAGTAGCTGGGACTACAGGCGCCCGCCACCACGCCCGGCTCATTTCTTGTATTTTTTAGTAGAGACGGGGTTTCACCGTGTTAGCCAGGATGGTCTCGATCTCCTGACCTCGTGATCCCCCTGCCTTGGCCTCCCAAAGTGCTGGGATTACAGGCATGATCTCGCTCTTGTCCCCCAGGCTGGAGTGCAATGGCACGATCTCGGCTCACTGCAACCTCTGCCTCCCGGATTCCGGCGAGTCTGCTGCCTCAGCCTCCCGAGTAGCTGGGGTTACAGGGGCCCACCACCATGCCCAGCTAATCTTGTATTTTTAATAGAGATGGGGTTTCCCCATGTTGGTCAGGCTGGTCTAGAACTCCTGACCTCAGGTGATCCACCCACCTCGGCTTCCCAAAGTGCTGGGATTACAGGCGTGAGCCACCGCACCGGGCCTATTTTTATTTTTTGATTATTATTTTAGATTATTTTACTCTCAGATGATATTATTATCCCTGTATCAATCGCGGCCCTGTAGGAAACTCGTGATATATTCTTAGCAGAGTGCTTAATCAAGGATTATTTAAGTTTTTCTTAGGGTTTAGGGAAACAAGAAGGGGTAATGCAGCTCTCACAGCTCCTGAGCCTAAGGGGCAAGGCCAGGGAGGATAGCTGATGCCGGGGGCTGCCAGGCAGAAGCTGTGTAGTTTTTGTTTGTTTTAAACTTGTTTTTAGGCCAGGGGCAGTGGCTCATGGCTATAATCCCAACACTTTGTGAGGCCGAGGTGGGAGTATCACTCGAGCAGGAATTGGAGACCAAGACCAGCCTGCACAGCGTAAGGAGACACCGTCTCAAAAATAAAAAAATAAAAAAAAAAAAAAAATTTGCCAGGCAGTGGTGCGTGCCTGTAGTCCTAGCTGCTCAAGAGGCTGAGGTGGGAGGATCGCTTGAGGCCAGGAGTTCGAGGCTGCAGTGAGCTATGATTGCTGCTGCACTCCATTCTGGGCTAGTGAGATCCTGTCTCCAAAAAGCAAGACAAAACTGCTTTCAGATGGCAGGTGAATTCCATTTATATGAAGGCTGTCATGTCTACTCATCCTATTAATCATTCATTTTCATAAAATAGAGTTTTGACCTCATGGATTTGACAGAAGCTTTCTTGAGATGGCTGTAATATTTGGTGGACTCAGAGCATAGTAGATATTTCTGAAGACAGGTACTTAATGATATGAAAGGGTTTCACTTTGTGGGGAGATGGTTACTTCAGTTATATTTGGCATTTTTATGGCTTTCCCTTTTTGTAAAACATTTTGCCATAACTTCCATTCATCATCCTCATAGTCTTTAGATTCATAGACTATTTGAGCTGGAAAGGCCCTTAGCAGTCGTTTAACTTAGACCCTCGTTTTACCCGGGAAACATCTATTCTGAGATTTTATTTCTCTGATTCCCTAGTATTGGACTTTAGATTGTATCCACAAAAGATTGAATTCCTGTCTGGTGCTCTAGCCAGACACCACTCTCTCCAAATCCTGGCGTCAAGGAGCGGGGCTTAGGGGGATTGAGTGCAGAGAAGATTCAATTATTTTTATTTATTTATTTATTTATTTATTTATTTATTTATTTATTTATTTTGAGATAAGGTCTCCCTCTGTCACCCAGACTGGAGTGCAGTGGCGCGATCTCAGCTCACTGCAATTTCTGACTCCTGGGTTGGAACGATTCTCGGGTCTCAGCCTCCTGACTAGCTGGGATTTTAGGTGTGCGCCACCGCACCCAGCTAAGTTTTATGTTTTTAGTAGAGATGGGATTTCACCATGTTGGCCAGGCTGATCTTGAATTCCTGACCCCAAGTGATCCGCCTGCCTCAGCCTCCCAAAGTGCTGAGATTACAGGCGTGAGCCACCGTGCCTGGCCAAAAAAATATTCTCTTGTATTTTTGGTCAGTGTTCACAGCATAGCTGCATAAACATAGTAGTAATTTTTCTACGTGAAGTTTTTTTTTAAAAAAATTCATCATATATAATCATTTCTAGAAAGTGATGAGCTTAACCTGTTTGGGGTATTTGAACTAACCATGTGTTCCTGTATGCTTTCATTTTTGCATATAGTCATAAACTCTGATGGATTCCACATGAAAATTGCTTTGTGCCCCTCAACAAGTGTATTTATAGTCATGCAGATTCATATGTATGTTCCCTCAGAGTATATCTGATGCCGCATGCAAAAATATCCTAAATAATTACATTAACACTTCATATATTAATATGAAAGCAAATATGAATTTTAACTCACCCACACTGTAAAGCTGAATAACTTGGAAAAACACTGACTACTTGGAAAATCACTGGAACAAATAATCAAAAAATCAATTTGCAAACTTCTAGAAGACCACAGGGCACTGGGTAATCATCCCACATTACTTTGTGAAAAACAAAGCTTATCAGATGAATCTAATTTCCTTTTGTCGCAGAGTGACAGCCATGGTAGATGGGGGAGCAATCAACATAATCTATCCTGATTTAAGAAAGCTTGGGATTTTGCAACTTGTTGTGTACTCATTAAGAAAATGTAGGTATGGCCGGCATGGTGGCTCATGTCTGTAATCCTAGCACTCTGGGAGGCCGAGGTGGGTGGATAGCTTGAGCTCAAGAGTTCCAGGCCAGCTTGGGCAAAAAAGCGAGACACCCTCCCAACCCCGGCACCGTCTTCTACCCCTCCCCGCCGCCCGTCTCTACAAAAAACACAAATCGCTTCCTCCTGCCCCTCGTCTCTACAAAAAACACAAAAAAATAGCTGGTGGTGCACGCCTGTAGTCCCAGCTACTCAGGAGGCTGAGATGGGAGAATGGCTTCAGCCTGGAAGGTAGAGGTTGTAGTGAGCCGAAATCGCACCACTGCACTCCAGCCTGGGAGACAGAGCCAGACTCTGTTTCAAAAAAAAAAAAAAAAAAAAAAAAAAAAGAAAGAAAGAAAGAAAGAAAATGTAGGTAAGACTATTCCTGTTTCATAGGGATACAGTCAAACTGAAGTTGGGGGCTCAGCTTTATGCAAATAGGCAACTTCAACACAGTATGTGCAAAAGTGACCTCTTTCTCCTTCCCAAGTCCTTTTCTACTTGGATTACTTATTTTTTAGTGTCATCCAAGATCTCCTTGTTTGAGTTACTTAATCTCTCTGTTCCTCAGTTTTCTAGAATCTAACGTGGGGATAAGAATGGGACCTACTTCATAGGGTTGTGAAGATTAAATGACATAATGCGCATAAAAGGCTTAGCCCAGTTTAAGGCCATCACCGTCATCATCATCACCATCATCATCATTGTCATCATTGGCATGTTTAGTCCCTCTTTCTCCTCCACTCGCACCACGTCTAATTAAAGCTTATTTTATTTTACTATTTATTTATTTTATTATTTTATTAAATCTTATTTCTACCTCTTCAGTTATGCTCACATATATTCTTATCTACTTCCCTGGCCACTCTGCTGGTTTAAATCATCTTGTTCTCTGGACTATTGCAATAGGCACCACACTGGTTTCCCTGACCCCATCTTGCCCATCTTCTCTATCTTGCATTCTCCTGGCTGTTACAGCGCAGAGCTGAACATGCTGCTTCCCTGCCCTAAACCCGAAGAGCTTTGTCTTGCTGAGTGCTCCCAATCTGCCTTTGCAGCCTAATTCCTACCTCTTCCCTCCATGTATCCTAGATTCCTGTTAATTTCACACTGTTTCCTGTATCTGGCCTTTACTCAATTTTTCTTCTACTTGAGACGCTCTTATGCCCTTTCTCTAAATATCTACATCTTATCCATCCTTTAAGGCTCAATTCGAACATCACATGGTTCCTATAGCTTCCCTTACCTCTCCTGTGGATGCTGGTTGCTTCTGATTCCCATGGCATCTTGTGTACTTCTCTTCCTATACTTACTCCTTTCTAAAGTTAGGTCCTAGCTTAGATGTCATTTCTGCCCTGACTGTGGGTGAGATGCTTTCTCTGCACATTTCCCTCTCATTGCATTTACCACACTTGTTGTGGCCCTGCTAGATTTTACTCTCCAAGGCCAGTGCCGTGCACACAGTAAACACTTAATAAGCATGTGTTGAAGGATGTGTGAGCAGGACAAGGACTTTATTGATTGGAATACCTTAAGTTTCAAGTTACAGAAAGCCATTGGAACTCCACTAGGGGAGGATTGTTGGCTAATGTAACCAAACTGTGTGAAGTAGAATGGGATGGCTGGCCTTGGGGACAATCAGAATCAGTGTTTTCTCTCTGTGTGTCAGATTTATTCTTAGCTATCATGGACCAACTGCTTCCACATGGCAAGGGATCTGGGCACTCTGGCTCAGTACTCATTCCTCCCAGCTTCCCCACCCGAGAAGGAAGGTCTTTCTTAGTTTCTGTTGGAAAGTGCTGGGGGAATGTGACCTCGCCTAGGCCCTGGGCCCTGCCTAGGGTTGATGAATATGGGGTATTATGATTGGCAGCTCCTATTAGAACCACAAGGTAGAGAGGAAGGATGAACTGGTATTAAAGTTAAGCCAGAGAAATTAAAATAGTGGTAGTTTAACATAAAGAGTGGTGATTTACCATATTTACAAGGTTGCACAACTTTGTAAACATACTAAAAAGCCCTGAATTGTAAAAGACTGAATTGTATGGAATCTGAATTATATCTCAATTAAGAAAAAATTAAGCCAGAGATGAAATCTTGCTGGCAAAAATAAGCATTTCTATATTCTTTATATTTGGGCTATTCATGTATTCAGCAAACATTTACAGTGTGTCTAGTATGTGCTGGCAGTTATCTAGATTTACACTGTAGTGGGAAATAGCACACGCACAAACACACAAAAAGGGTAAGAGGGTTGGATTTCATTCTAAATGTGATGGGAAAGCTCTGGAGGTTTAGGGGTGGAGAGAGGTCCACCCCCTGGATGAGGACCTTCTGGACTCTAGGGCCTTCTGGCTGGTGCTCTGCTGTGGTCAGCACAAACCACACCTTGGAAGGAAGATGAGACTGTTTTAAGAGGTCTCTTGAGATGGATTCCAGAACCCTCATTTTCAGAATTTGGCAATTTTGTCCTAAAATAAAGTTTTCCTTGTGGACTAACCCAGATCACAGTATGCTTTGCTTTAAGGCTATTTGCCCAGATTTAGCAAATCTGCAATATTTGAGGGCACAGTTTCAAGACTGCCCTCACTTCTAACACCAACTGCAAGTTTGGGGGAGTTTCCAATACCACCCTCAGGTTTGATGATGTTCTAGAAAGATTCCAATAACTCAGTGGAAGCTGCAATATTCACAGTTATGGTTTACTGCAGGGAAAAGACAGAGACTGAAATCAGCCAAAGGAAGGGACAGAGTCTGGGAGGGTTCTAACTGCAAAACTTCTGTTGCCCTCTTTCCATGTGGAGTGTGTGGGCCCTCCTGATACTAATGTGTGACAAGATACATGCAGTATTGACAACCAGGGAAGCTCACCTGAACTTTGTTATCCAGAGTTTTTATTGGGGCTTCATTATGTACGCATGATTGATTGATTGTCTGTGTGATTGAACTCAGCCTCCAGCTTGAGTGATACCATGTGACACAAAGCCCCCACTCTAAGGCACATGGTTGGTCTTTCTAGCACGACTACCTCCCACCCTAAGACTACTGAGTATGGCCAGCCCCACCCTACAATCTGAAGGGATCAGCCCCTGCCTTAAACAAAGATCCTCCTATGAGAAATGACATAGATTTCATCCCAGAAGATGAAGGCAAAGGCCAGACCTCTCTTTGGGCAAAGCCAAATTCTTTTTTTTCTTTGTTTGTTTTTTGAGATGGAATCTCGCTCTGTCACCCAGGCGAGAGTGCAGTGGCGTGATCTTGGCTCACTGCAACCTCCACCTCCTGGGTTCAAGTGATTCTCCTGCCTCAGCCTCCTGAGTAGCTAGGATTACAAGCATGCACCACCACACCTGGCTAATTTTTGTATTTTTTAGTAGAGATGAGGCTTCACCATGTTGGCTAGGCTGGTTTTGAACTCCTGATCTTAGATGATCTGCCTGTCTCAGCCTCTCAAAGTGCTGGGACTATAAGTGTATGCCACGACACCTGGCCTACCACTCATTATTTCTTCCAGTTTTCTTTTCAGTAGAGATGAAGGAAGAAGGATTGTCTATTGCCACAAACTGTTTGCCAAAAGATAGGTAAGTGTTCAGAGCAGCAGCTCAGGGGAAACCTGGAACATGCTGGTTCTGACCTCTCTCCATCTTTTCTCCCAACTTTCCAAGGGGAAGTTCCCAAAAGAGGGGTAAGGAGGGGCTGGGAGGAGCAGCAGCTTTTATGGGAGGCCTGCCTTGTGTGCCCTGAATTTTAAAATGGAAACAGTAGGTCCTTGGGGTGAATCTGATGCTGGGGATTTCTGCGTCATCAGAACTGCAGGTTAGTTGCGGGGATGACGCCCGCATTAGGATTTCCACTGGAAGCTTCAAAGCAGTTGCAGAATTGGAATGCTGCTGTGTGCAGCAAAGGGGGGCCTGTCAGAACTTT
Organism: Homo sapiens; assembly: GCF_000001405.40. Taxonomy (NCBI): domain Eukaryota; kingdom Metazoa; phylum Chordata; class Mammalia; order Primates; family Hominidae; genus Homo; species Homo sapiens. Next base: position 44,910,409 of record NC_000013.11, on the reverse strand, counting down.
GCCTAGATGTTGCAGCACTTAACAGTGGACCTGGGGAGCTCACCTTGCTGTTGTCAGGGAAGCCCCCAGTGGGTTTTGGCTCTGTTGGCTGAACACCTGCAGCCCGTGCAGTTGCACCACCTTCCACCTGACTCTCTCATTATGCATAAGCTTAGCGAATCTAAGCATCGACCTCACCATTTATTTCTTGCCCCTGGGTGCCTCTCCATCCAGTGCTGTTTTCCACTGTAAGCACTCATACAGGGGGATTGTCTTCAATGTGTTCATTGAGTCTAAGGTAGGAGCAGTAAACTTGACAGTTATCAGAAGTTGGAGTAATTTTCCATAACCTGTGCTCATTAATGTCCTGATTGGGGTTAATTGATTCAGGGGAGGTGGAGAGAGAGCGAAACACTAAGAGAAGTGAAGGAGGAATAATCAGAATTTGGCAACAGCTTGGTGGTGGGGCGTGAAGGGAAGGGATGATTTGTTGACAACCCCAAGATGATAAGCATCCCCAGAGAGACAGAGAAGTGGGGCAGAGAGAATGAGATTTGTCTCCTCTGACAAATTTGAGGCACTGCTGGGATATCTAAATGGAGCAACCTAAGAGGGCAGGAAACACAGACTGGAACACCTTTGAAAGCAGACACCTCTGGGGGCAACTGTAATTTCCAGGCAAATAGGAGGCTTAGGGGTTTTCTAACTGAGCAGTGCCTGGCTGGTGCGATCACGGAGTGGTGGAGGAAGGAGGGAGACTGAGTGTGTGCACCAGCAGGTGTGACAGGTTCTGTCGTGTATCTGGCCTTCAGTGACAGAGATAAACTTTGGCATAGAATCCTCTAGACCTGCAGTGGCAGACATCTTGAGAGTAGCAAATGTGCACCACATGGCTCAAAGGACCTGCCTGTCCATTGCAGTCATTGTAGATTTGATATTTATTATGATCATTTTCCGACAGATGGAGTAAAGTGCCTTGAGGAAGATGTGATTTTTAATGTTTGCAACATTACAGTATGAGCTAACAGGGGGTCTGGGGTGCTTGTTACTCCATTTTTCACAAGTCTTGGTCAATAAAGCCTGCAAATTTTCCAATCCCTTCTGATCTTGTTATATTATGTGAGGAATCAGTCAAAGAACCTGACTCCCCAAAGACCCTGCAATAATTTTGTAAATGCTTTAATGTTGGCACTTAGCATCTTGCAGGCTCTGCGTGTGACTGTGGGATACACTGGGAAGGTGAATTGGTACACATTTCGTGGAAAGTTGCTTAGCATGTAATACATAGTAAGAGCCATAAGCATGCCTTTCCTTTCACTTGGTAATTCTACTTCCAGAAATCTACATCTTTGATACATCAAGTATCAAAGAAGGGCAAAGATACAGATTATGAACAATGATGAACAACAGCATCACCCGCAATGATGGCAGAGAAGGGACAAGATTCCAAGCCAGCTGTGCTGCACCACTTCCTCCCCTCCCCCAGGGCAAGGCGGGTGGTCCCTCTTCTCACCCTGAAACGAAACCTAGATGCCTTGGGCCTTGCACAGGAAATGCTATTTTGGTTATAGGTGATATTTTTTAGTAAACAAAAAGTGTCAACCACTCACAAAATGCTCTTCTCTAGCATTTGAAGACTTTTTAACCGCATAACCTAGATCCCGTTGATTTTTTTCCTCTGGGTAACTTCCCTCTTGTCAGAGTGCACCTTCCCTTATTCTCTCGCAAATGAAAATTGAAGGTGTTTTGTTTGTTTATTTATTTATTTATTTTTTAAACTTAAATTCTTGTAAGGTGGAGTCTTGGTCTGCTATTCCTTAGCTGGGTGTGGAAGGCCCTGGGGAGATTTATCAGAATGAATTTCTATATCGAGAATTACAATAATTTGAGCTCTTATTTAAGGGTTAGCAGAAACAACTGGTACTTTCACAAGCTGGAAAGAGGCCAATGTCAGATATGACAAATACAGTAATAAAAAGGGAAAATAAAATTCACTTCCTAGGAGGCTCAGCAATAATAAAAACAGAATGAAAAGCTTGGATATTTAGAGAGAGGTTCTGTCTCTCACATATATATGTATGTGTGTGTGTGTGTATATATATATGTATGTATATATATGGATTTCTTCTCCAGAGTGGTTGTCTCTCACATATATATGTGTGTATTCATATATGTATATAAATATATATATATATAAAATCATTCTGCTTGTAAGAAAGTTAGACCCTAAGTGTTCATGAATGTCTAGTCTCCTGTTACTCTTGTCCTCATGTTGTGTCCCCCATAGAGCAAACAGACCTCCAAGAAAGGAAGATACAGTGAGTAAGACCACAGCTCTAGGCCTAGCATGGTGGCTCACACCTGTAATCCCAGCACATTGGGAGGCCTGAGGCAGGTGGATCGCTTGAGGTCAAGAGTTCGAGACCAGCCTGGCCAACATGGTGAAACCCCATCTCTACTAAAAATACAGAAATTAGCTAGGCATGGTGGCGGGCCCCTTAATCTCAGCTACATGGGTGGCTGAAGCAAGAGAATCACTTGAACCCGGGAGGCGGAGGTTGCAGTGAGCCGACATTGCTCCACTGCACTCCAGCCTGAGCGACAGAGCGACTCTGTCTCAAACAAACAAACAAACAAACAAAAGCTACGGGTCTTATCTCAAGTAAATTATTGTTAAATTTTAAGCGTTCTGCAACTTCTTGTGAGCCTATTATTATTTCAAAACAAAGTTTTAAAAAGTTTAGTGAGAAGAATAAACATAAGGAACCTATAGATTATGTGGGTTCAATACGCTGACTACCACAACAATCTGCCAGCGGACCTAAGTGCATGACACAAAGACAAAGGTAGGTCACTGCTGAATGAGGGTGATTGGCTTGGGAGTCAGTGGTAGAAAGGAGTCAGAGGGCCTGGAAGAGAATACCTATGCTTCCACTGCTCCATCAGCACATAGACGAAGCAGCTGCTGTATTCTGTTGGTTCTTTAGTTTTGAGTGACCAGGTGTAGATGTGAGTCCCTGGCATCGCAGTTCTCTGTTCCCTTCCTCACCACCAATTGCTTCCTTGTTTCACCCAAAGTTGAACTGGGTGAAACAAGTTCAACAACCCTTGGAGATGTTCTGAGGGATCAACCGTGCAGCCAGTGCAAGATTCTTTATGAAGTTCGTGTCACAGATTCATTCTCCAGCTTCTGCTTGATCCATAAGCCCCTGGCAAGCAAAATGAACTCAATGACCAGACACCAAGCAAAAAGCCTGATACTGGGGCATTGTTACTTCCCCCGTTCTGGCAGCCCTGATGCTCCTGCTAAACCCAACCTTCTCTAGTGAGTTTTCCAACTAGTTCAAATTATAAAAAAGCCAGCAGATCTGGGCACAGAGCCTTGGCTACTTTCACCAGCCGTTTTGAGTCCAAAAGCTGGTTCCTCGTTGTAAGTGGTTGCCCAGCACACGGCTCTGAAAGGAAACCTTCACAAATCCTTTTCACTTGGCCTTGTAACTTGAGCTCACGCTCCCTTTCTGGCAAGGACACTGTGGAAAATTCCCTGTGCATAGAGAGCTGGCTCCAATTCCCAGCAATTCTACGAAGTTCTCTGTAATGGTAAAAATTGGAGCAGCTTAAACATCTCCAAAGCACGGAGATCTAAAAGAGTACCTCAGGCACTGATGACAAGAAACAGAGAGTCCTGCTTTTCAGGATGGAGCTTTTAGAAGTCAGAATACATTTGCCATCAAAGGTTGTCACAGTGACTGATTCAGCCTGGAGAGTACTGCACATTAGCAAGCGCTTAATATTTGGAATTTCTTGGTAGAGCTGTCCCAGCCCGTGTTACCTTTCTTTAGGTTACCTTTCCTATTTTCTGTAATCATATGCAAACAGCTACAAGTTTGCAGAGAAATAAAGCTGGTGGGGAGGGGAGAGAGTTAGTTAGCCCTGGGGAGCAGCGTCAGCCTTGATGCATGACTTGGGATGACTCTGCCAATGTGTGACCTTGGGGAAAGTTCTGTATTTTGTTCAAATCCCGGCATCATCTATAGAAAGCAATAGAACACACAGTGCCTGCCTGATAAGGTTAATGGGATGATGGCTAAATTAGCTAATGTGTGTGTGTGTGCATGCCGCCCAGTTGGCACACCTGTATTCCTACCCCTCCTCCCTCCTCCTCCTCCTGCTATTCCTCTTCTTTTCTCAAACTGTGATTTTCAAGGTGTTTTAACTGCTGGAACTTTTAAAAAATTCAATCAAATATGCATGTAGAATCACACACAGAAAACAGATAAAAACTCAAGCTGCTGCAAATGAAGCACTGATTCTGTTCCTTCTTCCTCCCCTTAGCAGTGGCTTCCACAATTCACGAGCCATAGAGATGGCTTTTCTCATTGCCTGGGAGTCCCTGCAGGGCACATGGGATTGGATCGCAGGCCCCTGGCTGCTCCCCATCTTCCGTGGCCCCTGCCTCCCAGATCTGGGCACCTGAAACCTTACCGTAGAGGGCTCTGTGTGTTTGGGGTTTAAATAAAAGCCCTCTGGACTTGAGTCCTTTCCATTCCAAGTGTTTTTTTCTGACGAACTCATTTTCCAGAGGAACGGCTGGGCTGCCTGAGAGATCTTTGCAAGCCTGAGACTTCTTTGTTCTTGTTTAGCAGTTTGAGGAGAGCTGTATCCATTCTTGTTTTGTGTCCGTGTGTCAGGAAGCTGGGAGGCACTTGGTGTGCACAGCCTTTTACTTGGGCTTATGTGTTTACCAGGATTTTATTGGCACATGGAAAAGAGTGATGGAATGAGGTATGCTGGTGTGTGAAGGGGTCAAAGGGTAAGTCACAAAACACTTGAATGTGAACTTGAACTTGCTGTTGTGTGTTCAAGTACCTCTCGGGGTCTGAAGGCCTGTCTCTGGAGCATGGCCTCAGTGTGAGGCTGTTTCTGCAGGGCCGACCTCAGAAGGCAGCCACCACAGCTAGAATTAGGCAGAGAAACCCCTAGAACTGTAAGGGCTCCAGTACTTCCCCACATAACTCGTCCCTATCCAGCCTCCCTCTCATTTTGGCCTACTGTTTCTTGCAGGACCATCGAGAGCCTTGATGGAAGCGGCATATCCCTCACCCCCAGGGAGGAGCAGACCAGGGCTGGGAAAAGGGCTTCTCTCCCTTTCTGTGGCTCTGATTATAGATGCTGGACTTGGAAGATGAGGACGGGCTGGAGTCCTGCCCTGAGCTGGGAGTTGGAATGTACAGTAGTGCTTTCAAGATCTTAGTCATCAGTAAACAGAGCTATTATGCGCTGTGTCTGGATGTGTTCTTTCTTCTGCTGTGTGGCCTGTGGTTGCCATGGATATGGCTTTGTCTTCGGAGGCCCATAACCAAGGAGGATTTAAGTAAAACCTGATGGGTCAATATTTCCATAAAACAAAACAAAACAAAACAAAATAAAGAAAGAAAGAAGAAAAGGGGCCACTTTCTTAAATAACTCCAAGAAAATCCTTAAACAGTTCCGAAATTGTGACCAAAACAACAACAAAATCCTCAGGCTTTAGTTGCCAGAACCTAAACGGACACACTTTTTAAAAAGTACTCAGAATTAAAAAAGATGAGGTCTATTGATGGCTCTGATTGCAGCAAGTGAAAATAATGGCATTTCCCCGTTGAGTGTTTTGGACAATATAAAGTTACATTTTTTTTCCCAGCCAGTGCTTATTTTTCAGAATGCTTCTCGATTTGCCATTTGTAAGATGTGTCATATTCCAGCATATAAATGAACCTGTGTTTCAAGCAAACAATTGTTGTTTCTGTCTGACACAGGGGATTCGGTGACATTTGGTAATGAGTATGGAAGATGGGTAGATTGAATTAAGGAGGCTAAAAAAAGGAAAGAAAGAAGAAAGACTCATTCCTGCATAGTAACCAAACAGCTCTGCATCTTTGTTTGAAAACACAGGCATACCCTCTGAGATTCCTTATAAGTCACTCTAAAGAGAGGTGCTTGGTAAAGCAAAGGTCAGAGGCTGGGAGCTGGGGTACAGCCACCACTCTGCCATGATTGGGCTTTTTGCTCAAGGACCATATGCGTTTTACTGGGATGCTCTTTGGTTATGTTTCTCTATGTTTCCAGAAACCACACGCCCAGGCCAGGAAGAAAGCTGTGGATTCTAGGATAAGAACCCCAGCTGAAGTGTGCTGGGTCCCTGGCTTGTTTGCCCACAGCTTGGAAGGACCTGCTTCCATAGTGTCTTTGCCAGCATCATGATGTTCCCTCCTCCCCTTCCCCTAACACCCCAGTGTTTTATCATGCACCTTGCTTCCTTCCCCAGTCACTGTCGCTGGCTACAAGGCACCTCTAATGAAGGAGTTGCATCTGAACTGCGATTATCCAGCAACCTCTTTAAGTGAAGTGGAAAAAAGTGATGTTAGTTTCCTTTCTGTATGCTTGAGTTTTCCCATGTTTGTACTTAAACACCGGCTTAATCCTCAGCTTCTGCTTCCCTGCCTGCCTCAGGACTTCTCCCCAGTCCCCTCCTATGATGTCACCTGGCAACTGCTGGAGCTTCCCAAGCAGAGGATTAGGACATTCTTGTTTTGACTCCAAGAGCTTCAACGCAAAGGCCTCTGTGGCTGTTAGGAACAGAGAGGGCAGTAATGCGGCTGGCCAGCTGCCACCAGGGTCAGTGGTGGCCAGCCTGGATGAAGAAAGGAAGCTCGTGCTTGAGCTGCCTCTGGTAGGTCCTGAGAGAGAGGACTTGCCTCCCAGACCAAGTGTAAATCAGCTCTCAAGCTTGCCCCAGCTGCTGCAAACTGCCTGGGAGGCTGAGGTCATGCTCTGCAGTGAACAAAGACATGGCAGCCAGCAAGGCCAGGCTGAGCAAGGCTTCTTGGTTTGGCTGGGCCTGATTCACAGTAGGTCTGGAAGTGCCAAGAAAACTTTGAGTGTGCGGATGAACGTTCTGGTCAAGTGAGGCTGTGAACCACCATGTCAGACCCTGAAAAGGAATTCTGACCCCCTGGCTTCTGTAGAGTTCCTCCTGGGCCACAGCAAACGGGACAGACTTCATGGACAAGCCAAGGGTTTGATAAATCTTTACTTGACACCAGTCTGAGAGAGACAACTCTGATCTGGATTGAAAGGAATTTTCTGATTTTCCAAGTTGGTAAAATGGAATAGGGGGGTGCCTGGGATTTGGATTGGGGGATGACTCCGAAAGACCCTGGGAAGGTTGTGAAGCCTGCAATGACATCTCATCTGGAACATTACAGAAAATAACAACAAGGAAGAAAATAAGAGAGGCAGTTAAAGGAACCAGCATGGCGCTGAGGGAAAGCCATTCTAGCCTGGATTTTAAATGAACACAAACAAAAGATGGAAGGAGGGGCATGTCATGAAGGGTGTCACAAAAGAATAGCAGGAATCTGTATCTGAGTGTCAGGAAAAGCTGAAGTCCAGAATACGCTACGACTTGTGGAACAGCAGCTGACATGAGAATAATGCTCCATGGTCTGCAAAGCATTTTCATGTAAATGATCACATTGATCCTCACAATAACCCGTGAGAGTGGGGATGGGAGTTATCCTCGGAGTGTGGAGGGGCTTCTCAGAGGCAAAGCTGGGATGAAAGCCCAGATCATCTCAGGCCAAATGCTGGCCTTTTCCCACCATTCCACATCATTTTCTATGTTACATCGCCCATATTTTGATGATGTTTGGAGTAAGAAAAATGGGATGGGGTCATGCTTTGGGAGATAGGGTAATGGAGGCGGATGCTAGAAAGCAAAACTAGTTGCTCCTATTTTTTTCCTCCAGTATACATCACAAAGCAAAATAATCTCTAAAGGACAGAACAAATGTCTCATGATGGGTGAGACCTTTAAGAACTCTCACCCAAGGTGAGAACTCACCTAGCTCTCTAGGCCCAGGGCTGGACATTGAAGATGGTTGTTTGCAAAGGGACCTGATTTTCTCCTCCCTAATGGTTCTCACCCCAGACATTACTTGCACAGTATCTGTGTCCACAAGACTTGAGGGACTGTGGCCAGTCCATGTGCTTTCCCCATTGACAGCACAGGCAATGAATAACTGACCACAGACAGGTCTGCAGTGATTTCTTTGAATTTATGGAGAATGACAGGTATGCCGCAGAGAGAGGAAGAAGTTATCATGATTTCCAGGAAAAGAGAAAAAGTATATTCAATAATTTACATACCAATTAGCTGACATTAGTCTCTGAGATACTTACGTTCATTTCAAAGGTAAACCTGAAGTCTGAAGACAGAGTCATATGAGCCCATTTCATCTATCCCAGAGACCTGACTGGAACCCTTGTCTTGGGTGGCTCAAAGCTGAGATGGGGCTATCTGAGCTGCCATGTCCTAAATGCAGAGAAAAGGGGTTTCAAGGCAAGATTCTTTTTTGTCACTCTCAGCCTTGCTTTTAGGATTAGTTGTTCCATTAAACATTCAGCCTTAATAAAAAGGAGGTTTTACAATCTGAGTGTGCTGAAAGATATGTATCTTAGAGGAGTTGGAATTGGAAGAGGAGGATACACTCAATATGGAAGTTTAGCGATGCTGTCAATTACCAATACTTATTGTCACTATCAGAATTACCACGCGTACAAGTGTAAACACTGCAGGCAGAGTATTCTTTAAAGGACATTGAATAGATGGGGACTGGGCCCAGGAACCCAGACTCACAGAGGTTTCTTCAGCTCCTCTCTTCTTGTTGGGAAGAACAATAGTTAAAGGTGGGCATCTCACTGCTTCTTTCCCTGACCTTTCCAATGTGTGAAAAGAGGGGCCGGAAGGAGTATGAGCTGACTCCATCTCATGCCCTTCACCCCTTATTCACTGCACTGTAGCCATAAGCGTCTTGGTTCTTCCCCTCAACACACCCAGTGTGTTCCCACCTGGGGGTTTTGGCATCTGCTGCTCCCTTTCCCGGACCAACAACTTCCTGTCATTGGAACTTCAAGTCAATCAGTGTCTCCTGGGAGAGACCTTCCCTGATCCATACCCACTGTGTTTTCTTCATAGCATACTGAATGTCTTCCTAGCAGTCTGAAATTTCTCCATTTTTCTTCTTCCCATTCTCTTTCCCCTTCTCCTCTCTTTTCTTCCTCTGCTCCTCCTTCTCTTCTTCCTTGCCTGTCTCTCTCCAGCTAAAATGAGAGTTCTGTGTCCTTGACTGTCTGTTCACCAGTGTATCCCCAGTGCCTAGGATGGTACCTGAGCAGGTGCCTGACAAACAATTGTTGCAGGAACGAGTTGACTTACCCCACCTTTTTTCTTGGCTGCTTTCATTTAGACTACTTAGAGACATGATGATCATCTCTGTTCAACAAATGGTGAATGGGCTTTGATATTTTTGATGTCTGAGGGGTCTCTAATAACCTGAAAACAATCCACAGTGACAAGCTCAGATCACATGTTCTGGAGGCATCTCTAAGGCGAAAGAAACTGTGCTTCTATTTTGGTACGGTAAATGAAACCTCAGGGAAAGCTGAGAAAAAGGAATGGGGCAAATTCCATCTGGGAATGTAAAAAATATTGCTAGTAGGAGATAAGCCTGCTTAGCGTCTCTCAAAGTATCCATTATTCAGATCTGTTGTGCAGGCTTATCAATGTCCCCGGGCAAGATCAAGACAGGAGCTGAAAGAAGGGTAAGGATAGTTCAACGAAGAGAAGAAGCTTGGGCGGCCGAAGAAGCCGAGGAAACGCGTCGCAGGAGACGGTGGCTCAACATCTAGAATTTCTGCTGATTTCATTGAGCAACAGGGGCACACCCTATCTTGACCTCGGTTTAGCAAAATGGAGGTGATACTGCTGACTTTTCTTAATGGGGAAGGTAGAAAAGTGTGGGGCCTACAAGGGCATTTTTTAAAAAAGATCCCAAATAACAGTCACTTAAAATAGAAAGTTCTATCTTGTGGAACCTTCTGACCCCTCATCTGGGCTGCATGGCGGCTATGAGGTTGTTGACCCAGTTGCCTTCCACTTTGTTGTTCTGCCATCTTTGGATGTTGTTTTCATTTGCATGGTTGGCACTACCACATCCACATTTAAGCCAGAGAAGGAAAGAAAGGGAAGACACTCATTTTTCAAGTGCATGATCTGGAAGCTGCACACATACCTTCCATTTGCAACCCACTGGCCATAACTTTATCTCCTGGCCATGCTTAAGTGCAAAGGAGGCTGGGAAATGTGGTTTCTAACTAGGTGGCCCAACTGAAAATTCTACAGCCATGAAAGAAAAGGAACAGGGATATCAGTAGACAGCCTCTCTGTCACAGGCGATGGAGGAAATTATGGCAAAATGCCAATGTAAATACAGTGAAAATTCTCCTTTGCATCTGCCCCAGGGGAGGAAAATAAAATGGGAGTGGAAGTCTCTCTGTCAGGTCTTTGCAGAGCAAAGAACTGGATAGATTTTTGACAAGCAGACCGATGAAAATGTATTCCTACAATAAAGCCCAGTGATAATATATGAGGTATACTAGTGCCATTAAACAGCACAAGTGTAGCAATTTTATTTTGTTTTGTTTAATTTTACTTTAAGTTCTGGGGTACAAGGGCAGAATGTGCAGGTTTGTTACAGACGTATCGTGTGCCATGGTGGTTTGCCGCACCTATCAACCCATCATCTAGGTTTTAAGTCCCGCACTCACTAGCTGTTTGTCCTAATGCTCTGCCTCCCCTCGCCCCTCACCCCACAACTAGCCCCAGTGTGTGATGTTCCCCTCCCTGTGTCCATGTGTTCTCATCATTCAACTCCCACTTATGAGTGAGAACATTCGGTGTTTGGTTTTCTGTTCCTGTGTTAGTTTGTTGAGGATGATGGCTTCCAGTTTAATCCATGTCCCTGCAAAGGACATGATCTTATTCCTTTTCATGGCTGCAAGCAATTTTGAAATCTTCATTAGAATGTAGCGCCTACCAGGTAATTTACCTAATCAGTCAGAATTCTGCTTCAGGCTCCCACCATCAACCATTTAGAATTAACTATAAAGCAGGATCACTGTGGAGTCTAAATCTAGAAATACTCAAATGTAAACTCCGTAGATATTAAATTTGTGGTAGGCACTTATTCATAATTACAAGATACCTACCCAATGCATAACTCTGTGCTAGTAGGCAGGCAGCTCTGCTCTTGAGAATAAGAGAGATGTACCCTGAGAGTTCAATAACAAATCACCTACTTATGAGTTAAGGTACTCATTTTTTCATTCATTTATCAGATAGAATACTTATTGGAAATCAGACTTACGGTATTGTGAAGGGGCTGGATATATTGAGGAACAAGGTAGACAAGATTCCTCTTCTCAGTGTGAGAAAAAAGGCAGGGAAGGAAGCTGAGTTAAATAGACAGGATACACTACAGGGCCAAGTATGAGGATGGAACCAAAGAGAGCCATGACAGAGAACGTGGTGAGTAAACGGGAGGTCAGTGAGGGCCTCCCTGCGTCGATGACATTTAAGCTGAAACCTAAAGAGTAAGAAGCGGTCAGCCACACAACGAGCCAGGAGAATAGAGGTAGAAGAGGAGAAGAGAGGTAGAAGAAGAGGTAATTTCCTGTGTTAGCTAGGCAGTGCAGTGACCCACATGGCTGGAGATTACTGAGAGAAGGGGAGAGGGCTGGTCCTAGACAGTTTCTAGAAGGAGGTGGAGCTTGGGCTGGTCCTTGAAGTACAGGTGAGGTTTGAGATTGAGGCAAGGCTGGAAGGAAACATTTTCAAAGCAGAGTGATCTGTGAGGGGCCTGAGCAGTGTATGTGCAAGCCGGGGGCTGGGCAGGAAAGGTTCATGTTAGGGAGTAGTAAGACAGAAGGCTGGTAGCAAAGACATGTAATTAACCTAAATGCCCATCAATGGTAGAATGGATAAAGAAAATGAGGTCTATATACACCATGGAATACTATGCAGCCATAAAAAAGAATGAGATTGTGTCCTTTGCAGGGACATGGATGGAGCTCCTGGAGGCAATTATCCTTAGAAGCTAACACAAGAACAGAAAACCAAATACTGCATGTTCTCACTTACAAGTGGGAGCTAAATGATGAGAACACATAGATATGTAGAGGGGAACAACACACACTGGGGTTTTTCGGAGGGTGGAGGGTGGGAGGAGGGAGAGGATCAGGAAAAATAACTAATGGATACTAAGCTTAATACCTGGGTGATGAAATAATCTGTACAGAAAACCTCCATGACAAAAGTTTACCCATGTAACAAGCCTGCACCTGTACCCCTGAACTTAAAAATAAAAGTAAAAAAAAAACAAAAATAGTCAAGGCAATTTTGAAGAAAAATAATAAAAACAATTCTTGCTGTAAAAAAAAAAAGAGAGAGAGGCCTGGTGCGGTGGCTCACGCCTGTAATCCCAGCACTTTGGGAGGTCAAGGCGGGAGGATCACCTGAGGTCAGGAGTTCCAGACCAGCCTGGCCAACATGGCGAAACCCTGTCTGTACTAAAAATACAAAAAATTAGCCAGCTAAGGGGGCAGGCGCCTGTAGTCCCAGCTGCTCGGGAGGCTGAGGCAAGAGAATCCTTGAACTCGGGAGGTGGAAGTTGTAGTGAGCCGAGATGGTGCCACTGCACTCCAGCCTGCGAGACAGAGTGAGACTCTGTCTCAAAAATAAATAAATAGAATAAATAAATAAATAAATAAAAGAGAGAGAGAGACAAGGCTGGAAAGAGAACCCTGGGGAAAATTCTGGAAGGTTTGAAAGGCCAAGGAGCTTGAATTCTCAAAGATAATGTGCAGCAATTTGAGTAGGAGAGAAATATGATCAAAGCGTGGTTTTAAAGAGATTTTCTACATGCCAGATCAGAGCTTCTCAACCTCGGCACTACTGATGTTTTGAGCTGGATAATCCTTTGTGTGAAGGGCTGACCTGTGCGTTGTAGGATGTTTAATAGCATCCCTGATCTCTAGGTGCCAGCGACACTCACCTAGTCATGACAAGGAAAAATGTCTCCAGACATTGCCAAGTGTTTCCTCGGAGGCAAAAATTGCTCCTGCTTGAGAACCAATGCTTCTTATTTTTTTTTAAATTGGTTTAGTTTATTTTTACCACCAAGAAATTAAAATATATCCTTTTATTGCTTCCCTTCTCCCCTAGAGGATATATGAAAGCTATGCAAGAGAATATGAAAAAAAAAAAAAACAAAAACCCAGAGAAAATGCCTTAAAATTTTGTTTCTCTTCCTATGTCTTTTAAATTGTGTACTGGGTTGAACAGTGTCCCTCCCAAATTCTTGTCCACTCCAATTTGGAAACAGGGTCTTTGCAAATGTAATTAAGATGAGATCATATTGGATTAAAGTGGGCCCTGTATCCAATGACTGGTGTTTTTGAAAGAGGTGGGGACACTCAGAGACAGACACAGAGGAAAGAAGCTCAAGTGAAGACACAGGCAGAGATTGGAGTGACAAATCTACAAGCCAAGGAATGCCAAGGATAGCCAGGAGCCACCGGAAGCTAAGAGGGAAGGAAGGCTCCTCCCCTAGAGGTTTCCCAGGGAGCATGGCGTGTGGCACATGGTGTGTGGCACCAGCCTCCATAACTGTGAGAGAGTACACTCTTGTTTTAAGCCACCCAGTTAACGGTAATTTTTAGTAATTGCAGCCCTAGGAAACTGATACGAATGGTAATTTTATAATTGCTTTTAGTTTTTTATTAACATGTGGGCTTTCTGCTCAGACTCCCTGCTTTTCAGAACTGGTATCCACTTCCAGCCAAAGATTAGCCTTTGCCCCATGCTTCTCTACCACTGGAGTTACTTCAAACACCACCACCTAAATAAAGCTCAGTTCCCACTGCACCAACAAGCCACAGCCGAGAGTTCTGTGCAACAAATGCGTTTCTGAAGTTCCGGAAGCCTGGACATAGCAGTAATTCCAGGACAAGACAGTTGGACAGCCCGCGGGGGTGGGGGTCAGGAGGAATGGCTCCCCAGACTCCTGAACAGAGGATGGTGACCCAATCAGGGAACACGTCTCAACCCAACATTGAAAGGACAAAGGTGAGGCTTTTGGTTAGAGTCCAGAGAAAAATATTGGGAGTCCAGTCCATGGATAATGGGTATAGGAACAAAAGGGAGGAGGAATTGGGGGAACGGGGGAGGGAAATGGGTTGGGAGGGCGGGAGGAAGGAGGATGGGAGGAGAAGCTGGACAGCTGAATCCTTTCAAGGCAAGAGCAAAACTATCTTAATTTACCATAGGCAAAAACAAAAAAGTAAGATTATGCAACATCTTTAATGACAGTGTTTCTGTCACTCACCCTGATAATAGTAATTATGTCTATTATGCAGATATGGTGGTGGGGGTGCTGTCCCGGAGCCACACACCCTGAGGGGATTGATGGGGGAGGTTTAGCGTCCCCACATAGAGCCTGGGAGGTCTGGACGTTCTCATTTATAATCCTACAAATACAGTTTCTTATAAAATAAACTCCCCAAATGAGCCAAAAGGGGTAGACATTTTCTCCTCTTGAAGCTGCATCCTCAATTTATCCTATGTTTGTTTTTCTGACGTTAGAGGGGGCTAGGTGTTTGCCTGGCTTGATCTTTAGCCAAAACAAATGATTCGCACACATGTGTTTGGAGGGGAAAGAAGTGAATGTATTCCTTGTCAAGAGAAAAACTCAGAAATTCATCTAAATCTTAGATGAGGGATGAGGGTGTGGGGTGGAAGTGCCCAATTCCCAGGACAGCCAGAGAGCAAACAGTGCCTGCTGTTGGCGTCAGAAACTTTCACTTCATTCAGAAAACATTTAATCATCACGTAGTGTGTACCAGACACTGCTACAGGGGCTGTGGATATAAAAATAATTATTTAAAGGGGTATATGGTTTAGTAGGAAGATGAATAATTATAAATCATCATTCATTTATTCATCCAACCTTCAGATAGTTGAGTCTCTCCCATGTGCCAGAGTCTGTTCCAAATACTGAGAGTCCAAGGGTAAACAAAGCAGATGAAGGCCACACCCTCTCTGGATGTAATAGAGGAGGTATGGGTCGAGTGGATGGAGGATGCTTCATTCTGCCTGGAGGAGTCAGTGAAGCTTTCTTAGCACATCGCTAAAAGCTTGGAAGGCACAGAGGAGCCACTGCTGACTATTCTTTTAGCTGTGACTTTAGAATTTTTGCAAACTTTTTATATGACTGTTCTCACCATTGTACTTCCTGATAATCCTAAAGTGATCTGGCACTGGAAACACAGCATCTCATCTGTGTTGAGGAGGAAATTTTACTATGATGTTTTTTGTAATCCGTCTTCTCAGCCTACGTGCTTCTGCTATACAGACTCTAAGTCTAGCCACTCTCAAGGTGTCCGTTCTTGGGCTGAGCACAGCGGCTCACACCTGTAATCCCAGCACTTTAGAAGGCCAAGACGGGAGGATCACTTGAGGCCAGGGGTTTGAGATCAGCCTGGGCAATATAGTGAGACCCCCTGCCTCTACAAAATACTTTAAAAAATTAGCTGGGCGTGTTGGCACACACCTGTAGTCCCAGCTATTTGGGAGGCTGAGGTGTGAGGATCACTTGAGCCCAGGAGTTTGCTATGATTCCACCACTGCAGTCCAGCCTGGGTAATAGAGCTGTCCCAAAAATAAATAAATAAATAAAAACCAAAAAAAACCCACACCCCAAGCCAAAACAAAAACCAATGTCCACTTCCCACTGCTTACTCATGATCCCTGAGCTCCACACCCTCTGTCTACCTGCAGGCGGGATGACTCCCAGCCACCTTGCCCAGCCAGGAGCTATGCGACATTCCAAAATCCTCTCCATTGCTTGCAACAGACTCCCTGTTACTGTGACCAGGACAGAAACCTGTGCTTACCTAGCTTGACCTTTGTATTTGCACAGGACTTGAGGAGCCGGGGGAGGAAGTGGGTGGCTTCTCAGATCCACTGGGCCATAGTCCCACATGGAGTTTGTGGCCAGGCAGCAGGAGGTGGGAAGGGACATGGCCTATGGTGGAGGCAGAAAGAGGGGGAGACTCCTTTCTCTGGCTATTCCCCAGGGGTTTGTCCTCGAGTTCTCCAACCTTCTCTACCACAAAGCTTAGATAAGTTTCCGATTCTTAGGCTTTGAGGATCCATTAGAGGATTCAAAACAGAAACGACTGGACAGCAGCTGGCCTAGGGATCAGCGAGAGAGAGGGAGAGCGAGGGAGGGTGCCCACGCTACAAAGTCCTTCCTATCTCCAGAGGTCACTGGCTCCTGGCAGGAGGGACAGGCCTTTCTGCTTCAGGGCTCCCGTTTCTGACTGTGGTGTAGCTGTTTTCTGTCATGGCCTGCAGGCTTCGAGGCAGAAGGCTGGGGGCTGGCCTGTGAGTGCTCTGGGGTGTGAGAGATGCAGTGTCTGTCCCCACGTCTCTTGCTAAATGAAACATGCTCACCTAATACTCAGTGGTCGGCTCCTTCTGTGCCAGGGTTACACCCTAAACCCCATGGGGAGAGACTTCTGAGCCGGCTCTCTGTCCACCCTGTTCCTCGGCAGGGCCTCAAGGCATGCTTCACCTCCTGCCTCCTGTCCAGATCCCTGTCAATCCTGCAACGTAGACATCCGAGGGCCATCACTAATGCACCGGGTGTCCTCCTTCTGCCTGGGCATGCATTTTTAATTAATGTTTATATCAAGACTCAGGTGACACAGCCCTGCCCCCTTCTCTGTCCTCATGGAACTGAAGTCAACTATAAGCTGTTATTTTACTCAGAGAGCTCTCTCCAGCCACCTCCCGGTGAAGCAGCACTTGCTACTTATTTTAAACCTATTCTGAATATTTTAAAGATTTTTTAAATGGTTATGGAGTTAACTTTAGACTAGTGCCTTCATCAAATTGCTGGAAGAATTCTTGTAGATTGATAATTCCAGGCTGCTAGGTGTGATGGCTCCAGGCAATAATCCCAGCACTTTGGGAAGCCAAGGTGGGAGGATTGCTTGAGGCCAGGAGTTTGAGACCAGTGTGAGCAGCATAGTGAGACTTTTTCTCTACAAAAAATACAAAAATTAGCCAGGTGTGGTGGTATGAGCCAGTAGTCCCAGCTACTCAGGAGGCTGAGGCAGGAGGATCACTTGAGCCCAGGAGTTTGAGGCTGCAGTGAGCTTCAATCATACCACTGCACTCCAGCGTAGGCAACAGAGTGAGACCCTGTCTCTATGAGGAAAAAAAATTCCAGACTCCCAATTTTATAGTTGAACAAATGAGATCCAGAGATGTTAAGTCATTTTCTTGAGGTCACACAGCATGTCTGCAGCAGGACCAGAGTGAAAACCCAGGTCCTCTGAGTCCCAGGCATTTGCCCCTTCAGCATGCTATGATGCCTCTTAAGTGATAAATTTAAATCCTGTAATTCTAAATCAATGCATGAAACAAATCTTTAAAATGCCCAGATCTCCAAGAGAAATAGTGAAGTATGGTCATTCATGTGAGGGTGAGCAATAGTTATCATTACTGTCATTAGGTTCCTTTGTTATTTTAGACCTGTAGAGAGATAAAGAGATTTAAGTTCTTAAAGCATAATCCACATAGTTCAGAGAGAAGAATAAGAGAAAGTATAAAATAAAATCTCAAAGAAATGAGAACCTGGAACAGAAACCACAGTCATGGGAGCCTGGATGGGGAATACCACCAAAGGTGGAAATGCAGAGAGGCCCCAGGGTATATTGGAACTGGGCAAGGACCCTGGAGACCAAGACATCGATTTGAATCCCAGTTCGGGCATTTACTAACTGTAATTTTTTTTTTTTTTTGAGACAGGGTCTCACTCCGGTTGCCCAGGCTATTGTGCAGTGGTGCGATCTCGGCTCACTGCAGCCTTGACCTCCTGGGCTCAGCTGACCCTCCTCAGCCTCCTGAGTAGCTGGGGTTACAGGAGTGTGCCACCATGCCTGGCTAATTTTTTGTATTTTTTAGTAGAGATGGGATTTCGCCATGTTGGCCAGGCTGGTCTCGAACTCCTGGGCTCAAGTGATCCACCTACCTCAGCTTCCTAAAGTGCTGGGATTACATGGGTGAGCCACTGCACCCGGCCTACTAACTGTGATTTTGGGGGCAGTTAATTTCTCAGAGCTTCAGTTTCTGCCTTTGTGAAATGAAGGTAACACCTGTACTGGAGTGTCGATGTGATGGTTAAGTGAGAAAGTGCACCTGGGGAGGCCTTGTAAGGCACTCAGTAAGTGGTAGAACTTGTGATCACGTTAAACTTGAATTAGAGGAGAGACCCTGGGGCCACTGAGGCCAGGCCCAAACAAGGATTTGAACAGGCCTGGAGATCTCTGGCTCTGTTATCCAGCCTCTACAAACCCAGTTCTCCTGTCCCGGACTCCAACTGTGTAGGCCCCAGGACTTCAGAGGGACCCGGCTGAGCCTCATGTTTAGAACTTTCTGCTCTCATGCTTTCTACCGTGGTGGTTTTCAGTGGGGGATGGGGCAGCAATTTCTCCTCGCAGGGGATGTTTGCCAATGTCTGGAGACATTTTTGGTTTCACAGCAGCAGTTGAAGGTGGGAGTGGTATTGGCATCCAGTGGGCAGACAGAGATCAGGGATGCTACTAAACATCCTACAACGCACACAGCAACCCCCACAACAAAGAATCAGCCAGCCCCAAATGTCCACAGTGCCGAGGTTGAGACACCCTGTTCTACTACAGCAAACTGTGTTTTTATCCTTTCAGACAAATGCTTAGGTCTATATTGTTAGTGCAAAGCTAAGCTTCACAGAAGGTGGGCGATAGACCCCTGATTTCTTGGGGCTCCTTTATTTGGTTTATATTTTAAAACCTCTGTTGCAACCCGTGGGACCCTGGGCTAGGCCGCTGATTGACCCTTGTAATAGACATCTCTTGTTTTTGCCTACCCGGCTTCCTTTCCCTTTTCCCTCTGATATTAGCAGCCTGCTTTTCCTGAGTGAATGCAAGCCTGCATTCACTGCCCTTTGGTTTGACTGCCCTTTGGTTTGGGTGGAGCTGGCTATTTTTTTTTTTTTTTTTTGAGACGGAGTCTCACCCTGTCACCCAGGCTGGAGTGCAGTGGCAAGATCTCAGCCCACTGCAACCTCCGCCTCCAAGGTTCAAGTGATTCTCCTGCCTCAGCCTCCCGAGTAGCTGGGATTACAGGCGTGTACCACCACGCCCGACTAATTTTTGTATTTTTAATAGAGATGGGGTTTCACCATGTTGATCAGGCTGGTCTTGAACTCCTGACCTTGTGATCCACCCGCCTCGGCCTCCCAAAGTGCTGGGATTACAGGGGTGAGCTACTGTGCCCAGCTGGAGCTGTCTTTCGGTGTAGCAATGTGACCTGCTGTACTCCCTGCCCTTGGTGGCTGGCTCAGCAATGACATGTTAGATCCCATTGAGATGCCATCCCAAGATTTTTGTGAACTGCTGGGGAGAGGATCTCTCTCTGGTCTGGGTGCATGAGGAGGAGAGAACGCATGCCTCAGGAGGCAGCCCTGTGTCTTGCCACAGTGACGGGGGGACCACAGTGACAATGGAGGGCCTTCGAGGACACAGAGCAGAGACTGGGAGAGAAGGGGCCCGATGACATCATGCAGGCCCTTGAACCCAGACATGCCTGTGCTTTTTACTTGTTTGCGCCTGTAAGCCCTCTTCTTTTTGAAAAAAATACCGTAATAGTTTTAATTAAGTTTCTGTCACTCATAATGGAAAGAGCCCCTGATGAAGATAAACCAGGAAGTTGAATATAAAGAGCTTGGAGGAACCAACAGCCATCAGAGAGCTTTTAAAACCTGAGAGTTTCCACAGAACCATATTGATCTGGAAGCATTTTTCTTCTGGGAGGACAATTTGTAGTTTTTTATTTTTATGTTTTGGCTGCCTGACAACTGAACATCTCTCCTATAGGAGTCGTAATGGGACTAGAATTGCTGAAAAAGCTGGCTACGTACCCCCTTCCTGAGCAGGCAAAGCTTGGGTACTTAATCTAGCTATGGCCAGTCGGAGTTTCTGGCCTTGGCTTAGACTCTGGCACAAGAGAGGCAAGGAAGCAAGGATGGGGGGAAATTTGTTCTGATAGCAGTGACAACAGACTCCAGGAGCCATGGTGGTCATGGTGACACATATGACGTCCAGTTCCTGCTGTTAGCTCTGGAGTCTAGTGTCCAGGGTCCTGCAGTGGCCACTGGGGTGACATCGCCAAGTGGTTCCTATGGTATAATAATTTTGGGGCATAAGTCCAACTGCCTAACTTCCCTTCTTCCTGCCTGTTTTCCTGAAGTTGCGTCTGCAGGCTTCCTCTTAATTCTATGGATCATGCAATAGTCTTTCAAGAAATTATCTTCTGCTTAGCTAGTCACTTCCTGTTGCTAGAACCATGAAGAGGCCTGGTGAAAGATGTTCAGTATACTACCTGCATCAGCTGCTACTGCTATGTGACAAGGTAACTCAGTGGCTTAAAACAATAGATATTTATTATTGCTCAATAATTTGGTGGCTCAAAAAGGACAGAATTTTTCCTCTTTCTCAGAAAACAGTATGAAGTAAATGTGCCAGATTGGTAGGTGGGTCTGCTCCAAAGAGTCATTCAAGGATTTAGGCTTCTTCCATTTCACTTTTCCACCATCTCTGAGGGTGTTGCTCTCATCCATGTAGCTGAAGCTCAGGTGCCTTCATGTCAATGTCCAGCCACAGGGAAGGGCACACAAAGGAGACACACCCATGGTCTTGAGGTGGAGGCCAGAGGTAGGTAGCATGTTTTGCTTCTCCTTACATTCCACTGCAAACTGCAAGGGGACTTAGTAATGAGGAGGGGAAGATGGATATTGGTGGACGTTTGACTTTTTTTTTTTTTTTTGAGACAGAGTCTTGCTCTGTCACATAGGCTGGAATGCAGTGGTGCTATCTTGGCTCACTACAACCTCCACCTCCCGGGTTGAAGCAATTCTCCTACCTCAGCCTCCCAAGTAGCTGAGACTACAGGCGTGCACTACCACGCCTGGCTAATTTTTGTATTTTTAGTAGAGACAGGGTTTCACCACGTTAACTAGGCTGGTCTTGAACTCCTGACCTCAGGCAATCTGCCAGCCTCGGCCTCCCAAAGTGCTGGGATTACAGGCATGAGCCACTGCACCTGGCAGACATTTTCTTCTAATAATATAATATCATAATTTGGGAGGAATGAATCAAATGGCAGAAATTTGAAGCACGTGGTAGGTGAGTGAAAGCTTATTTTTCTGATGATGAAGGAAATTCAGTCTTCCAGTGTTTAGTACATAACGTGATATAAGTCAAACCAGAGGTAGGGAGACCTGGGTTTTGGTGTATTTAAATTTTCCATTTCTCTTTGCCTCAATTTCCTAATCTATAAAATGAGGATAGTGATAACTGCCTGATAAGATTGTTGCAAGAATTCAATGAGATAATTTATGTGTCCAGAACAGTTCCTAGTATATATTAGATGCTCAGTAATGATTAAAGTTACTTATAGGGCAGTGTGCTGGAGTATGAACAGAAAAGGTTTTTTGGCCAGGTGCCATGGCTTACACCTGTAATCCCAGCACTTTGGGAGACTATGGTGGGCAGATTGCTTGAGCTAAGGAGTTCAAGACCAGTGTGGGCAACAAAGCCAAACCCCATTTCTACAAAAAAACAAAAAAAATTAGCTGGGTGCGGTGGTGCATGCCTGTAGTCCCAGCTGCTTGGGAGGCTGAGGTGAGAGGACCGCTTAAGCCTGGGAGGCAGAGGTCGCAGTGAGCAGAGATCATGCCACTGCACTTCAGCCTGGGTGACAAAGCCAGGTCTCAGAAAAAAAAAAAAGGAACGGTGTTGTTGTTGTTTTTTTCTTCTGCTACTTACTAACTCTGGGAATTTGGGAAAGCTTTTTAACATCTCCAGGTGTCAGGAACTTCATCTATAAAAGGGACAATAACTTCTGTCTGCCATTTGTGGTTTAAGAACCTATGGGTCTATGGAATTTTTCCATATCTTATTCCACATTTTGAAGATCTAATTTCATCCCATAGCTCACTTGTAGGAAATTTTGGTTCTGCCACTTGCTAGCTATAAAAACTCTGGAGAATTCACTTAACCTTTCTAAATCTACTTTTCCATTTTGGTGAATTGTGACTAATTTCTCCTTTGCAGGACTGTTATAGATATTAACTGGGATCACGTATGTGAAAAAGAACTCAGCAAAGTATTTGGCTCTTAGAAAGAGACTCAAGACATGTTAGATATTCTTATTCTTCTTATTATTAAATGTGAAATTAAAGTCAATTTTCTATTTTGTGTTTTCCCTAAAAGCAAATTTTCCAGAAACACTGACATGGAAACAGGATCTTTCTTCTCCTACTGTTTGTTCCTCGACTACAGTTATAATCCTCTATTTGTGACATCATAATTAGTTGCCACTGGAGAAGACGATCGTGTCACAAAAGGATTAGGACCTAAGGTGAGATGACAGGAGCGACGACCACTTTAAAGTTGCTGCTGCTGCTGTTGCTTTGCATGATTGATGGTATTTTCTCATCCAGCTGCCCTAAAGTGGCAGCTGCTTAAAGAAAGATGGTGATACAAAGGTCTTGCAAAGAGTATAAGATCTGAGTCTGAAGAACTTTCCAGTCTCAGGCCTTTACAAATATTATGCCATAATGAATGTTGATTAGAAACATTAGTATATAAGTATGGAAATAACCATGCAGTGGTGTGATCAGCAATTCATGTATTCGTTCATCTGTGCCCACCCAGAGAGCTGGACTATTAGCAGTCCCTCTGGAGCATTAATCACATCATATGTGAATTGCAGAATCACTTAGGGTGCAGTACTCGAGGCTTATAGATGAACTCAGTTTAAGAGGAAACCTTGGGAATGGTATAAGGATCAAAGGCCTGGGAGTCTGTGTATTCAATTCCAATTCTAGCTCTGCCATTAACTAGCTGTGTCCTTGGACAATTTTTGGAAATTCTCTGTATACTTATTCCTCACTTGTGTAACAAGGGGGCTGGCCTAGACTCATCCATCACTAGATGCCCCTTAGGTCCTTTCTGGTCATGATTTCTGTGCAGCTATGGCTGCCTATTCATATCTCAGCTGAACTGGTTTGTTTAGGTCAAGTGCTCTGCTTATTAGTCTTGGAAACCTTGATTCTAACAATGAAACGAAAATAGTCCTGTGAGAACACCCTGTGCAAAGGAACAACAGGGATTAGAGAGCAGTAAACAAAGCGTTTCCCTACAGGCGGCACATCTGAGCTCAGAGATCATACATGAAGGCTTAGCTACTGGAACAGAGGATAAATAACTTCAACACATATTGATTGAGTGACTGAATTGCTAGGGCATCTGATGATAAAGAACTCAAACCAAAGCCTCTCTCCAGCCCCTGCCCTCAAGTAGCTTGATTATCTAACACACACACACACACACACACACACACACACACACACACACACACACTCTCTCTCTCTCTCTCTCTTTCTCTCACTCACAATAATGAATAGACATGATACTTCCACAAACACTGACTTAGCATGGAAGACACTCACCAGGTCATTCAAGGGCACCAAGGTGGAAAATGTCCCCATCCTCAAGAAACTCAGGTAAGGCAAATACCTAAAAAATGATTTTAAAAAGGTAGAGATGAGAGCAAAAAATAATAATTATTGAAGGTATTATTGCATAATACCTTACTAAAACCTTTTTTTTTTTTTTTGAGATGGAGTCTCACTCTGTTGCCAGGCTGGAGTGCAGTGGCGCGATCTCGGCTCACTGCAACCTCCACCTCCCGGGTTCAAGCGATTCTCCCTCCTCAGCCTCCCGAGTAGCTGGGACTGCAGGTGCCCTCCACCACGCCCAGCTAATTTTTGTATTTTTAGTAGAGATGGGGTTTCACCATTTTGGCCAGGATGGTCTCAATCTCTTGATCTCATGATCCACCCACCTTGGCCTCCCAAAGTGCTGGGATTACAGGTGTGAGCCACCGTGCCTGGCCTAAACACTTTCATATATAGTCTACATACTCTCTCCTGGGTGGCTTTTAGGACATTCCTTATGGTTTTAATCTCCCCTCTCTGGCCATTACTTCTCAATCTCCTTTGAGGGATCCTTGCCTCAGCTTAGCCCTGAAATATGGTCTGCAACTTACCCAAGACTACATTCCTGGTTGGCCTCATGCACACTCATGGCCTCAACTGTCACTTATCCGATGACAATGATTCTTGCTGGAAGGAAGCTCCATGAGGTCAGAAATCTTGCCTATTGTGTTGATCCATTTATCTTCAGCACTTAGCAGAATGTCTTGTCTATAGTCAGCTTTTAAAAGTATTATTGCTGACCAAATCTGTATTTCTATTTTTACTTTTTGAAGAGACAGGGTCTCACTATGTTGCCAGGCTGATCTTGAACTACTGGCCTCAAGCAGTCCTCCTGCCTCAGCCTCCCAAAGTGCTGGGATGACAGGGCATGAGCCACCACACCTAGCTAATTAAAAATTTCTTTTGTAGAGGTGGAGTCTTGCCATGTGGTACA
Organism: Homo sapiens; assembly: GCF_000001405.40. Taxonomy (NCBI): domain Eukaryota; kingdom Metazoa; phylum Chordata; class Mammalia; order Primates; family Hominidae; genus Homo; species Homo sapiens. Next base: position 44,885,944 of record NC_000013.11, on the reverse strand, counting down.
GGCTGGTCTTGAACTATTGGCCTCCAGGTATGAACCACCATACCCAGCCCAGTATGTATATATTTTTATAAGCAGCTTAAAGTGGCCAGGCACGGTGGCTCATGCCTGTAATCCCAGCATTTTGGGAGGCCAAGGTGGGTGGAACACCCGAGGTCAGATGTTTGAGACCAGTCTGGCCAACATGGTGAAACCCCTTCTCTACTAAAAATACAAAAATCACCTGGGTGTGGTGGTACCTGCCTGTAATCCCAGCTGCTCGGGAGGCTGAGGCAGGAGAATTGTTTGAACCCAGGAGGCAGAGGTTGCAGTGAGCCCAAGTTGTGCCACATGGCACTCCAGCCTGGGCAGCAGAGTGAGACTCCATCTCATAAACAAACAAAAAACAGTTTAAAGTACCACCTTATAGGGTGGTAAATAATATATACACACTATGTTATTCTTAAATATTTTGATTACAAGGGAAAGAAAACTCAAACAGGCTTACATAAAAAGGAGGATGTATTGGCTCATGCAGTTGGGCAGCGCTAGGATTATTTTGACTTCAGGCACAGTCAGATATATAGCACAGACATGGTTATTAACTATCTTTCTTTTTTGTTTGTTTGTCTGTTTGTTTGTTTTTGAGACAGAGTCTTACTCTGTCACCATGACTGGAGTACAGTGGTGCGATCTTGGCTCACTGCAGCTTCCACCTCCCAGGCTCAGGCAATCCACCTGCCTCAGCCTCCCAAGTAGCTGGGGTTACAGGTGTGCACCACCACGCTCGACTAATTTTTTGTACTTTTTAATAGAGATGGGGTTTCGCCATGTTGGCCAGGCTGGTCTTGAACTCCCAGTCTCAAGTGATTCATCTGCCTCGGCCTCCCAAGGTGCTGGAATTACAGGCATAAGTCACCGTACCCGGCCCATTAAGTCGTTTTCTTGTTCATTATCTCTTGACTCTGAACTCCTCTGTCAAATTGGAGATCTCACCTTTGCTAGTAATTTCAAATATATAAGCAATCTGACGGCACAGGGGAAACCAGCATGAGGCAGACTGCACTTTCCATGATGGCCCCAGCAAGCTCTCCCATCCCATGTGCCCTTCTCATTGTGTGACACTGTCACCTTTCCCTCAAGAGGTGAGGTCCATGTTGCCTTCGATTGCACCTGGGTGGGCATGTGAACACAACAGAAGTGGCACTAGATGACATTCGGGTCTAGGTCGTAAAAGGTGATATGGCTTCTGCCTGTTCCTCTTGGGATTTGCAGTCTTGGAGTCCAGCCACTATGCTGTGGGGAAGCAAAGAAAGCTGTGGAGAGGCCACGTGGGGAGGAATGCCATCCTTAGCATGGGCTGAGCTCCCAGGCAGCACCCATCTCCAGACATGCGAGTGAACAGGACTTCCGGCAATTCCAGCCCCAGCCACTGAGTCACTTCCAGTTTCTCAGTGTTTCCAGGGGAGGCCTCAGACACTATGGAGCAAAGAAAATCTGACCCAGCTGTGCCCTGTCCAAATTCCTGACCCATAGAGAATACAAGAGAGAATAAAACGATGTTGTTTAAACCATTAAATTTTGAAGAAATTTGTTACACAGCAATAGATAACTGAATACAGAGAGAGCTGTGAGATATCCCATGTGGTTCCCCAGGTCCTTCTTTCCTGTATGAGACATACTTTCTGGCTGAGAGCAATAAGATGAGGTCTCTAAGTAATGTTTGTGTTCATCTTACACAGCAAGGAGTGTTTATATTATGAGACATCTCCATTTTCTTCCAAGATTGTTGCTGAGCTTATGTGCCATTTTCAATTTTTATGTGCCTCATTTATCCATCGATTCTACATTTGTTTACCATAAGCAGTTCTAGGCCAAGGAAATCTTGCTAACAACATTCCATAAATAAGGACTTTTCTTCTTGAAACTATTTATCAAGAGGTCAGTTATCAGCATATTTACAAATAAATTAGACCAGGTCATTTGTCCTCTTTCCCTACAAATCCCCCTAGTGATTGAGAGGAAAATGGATCATAGGCCAGATGTTTGAACCCGCTCCACCTCCTCTCCTCCTTCATTCCATTTTCAGCAATCTCCACTGATGGAGGCAAGATGGCTGCCATGGGCACCAGTCCCACAATCTATCTCTTAGTAGACCACTGAGGAAAGAGGATGCCTCTCTCTCATTCTTCCAGAAAAGGCCCCAGTGTAGCTCTGATGGCTCTGATTGACCTTTAGAACTGGTTCTACTTAATCAGTTCTACTTAAACTACATGGATTAAGAAAAATTAGGATGTTATAAGAAGGGAGAATAAATGTTGGATTTGAAAAAATAAAATTAATAGCTGACAGATATATGTATATATAGGTGGGTATATATACATATATAGGTGTGTGTGTATCTATATCTATATCTATATGTGTCTTCCTTCTTAGGAGGCACTTCAGTCTATTCTCCATCTTGTTGCTAGAAAGAGATTTCTTTCTTTCTTTTTTTTTTTTTTGGGACAAAGTCTTGCTCTGTTGCCCAGGCTGGAGTGCAGTGGCACGATCTCAGCTCCCTGCAACCTCTGCCTCCCAGGTTCAAGCGATTCTCCTTCCTCAGCCTCCCAAGTAGCTGGGACTACAGGTGTGCGCCACCATGCCTGGCTAATTTTTTTGTATTTTTAGTAGAGATGGGGTTTCACCATATTGGCCAGGCTGGTCTCAAACTCCTGACGTGGTGATCCGCCTGCCTCAGCCTCCCAAAGTGCTGGGATTACAGGTGTGAGCCACCGTGCCCGACCTAGAAAGAGATTTCTAAAATGCAAGACTAAATGTTCTGTACATCAGCATCTCTGTGATAGAGAGCATATCTTGTTCATTGTAAAGTCAGAGTAATACTAGTGATGTAACAAATAATCCCACATATTTCAGTAGCTTAGCACAGCGGAAATCCATTTCTCAATCACATAATAGGCCCATGCAGATATTCTGGGTTGGTGGGTGATTTTCCCTTCCTTGGTGATCTGGGGACTCTGGCTCCTACTCTGTGGCTTTTCCATGCCTTGCTGCTTTGGAGTCCTCTGTATCCAGCCAGTGGATAAGGGAAGAGGGGGTAGGGCAGCCACACTTCTTAACACTTATTCTCAGGAATGACACACATCACTTTTACTCACTTACCTTTGTTGAGAAATGGCCACGTGGCCCCATCTAATGCAAGGAGGATGGGAGATGTAGTTCCTGGTCTGGAAGCCAGCTCCCAGGGACAACTTTATTAAAAGGGGAGATAAAATTTGGTGATCAGTAAGCTGTCCCTGATGTATTCAGCTCCTAACTCAGTGTCTGGCACCAAGGGGATGTTTGGGAAGTCTGTGGAGTTAATGAGTTTGTCTGAGCCTTAGGTAACCATAAAGTACCAGGGCAAGTGAAAAGATTTAGTATATGAGAAAGTGTTTGGCAAATACCAGATGAGGTCCCTGGAGTGGGCATGAAAGGCTGAGCAGGAATTGCACTTTAGCTGATCGTGAAGGAAAGAGAGTATTTGTGGGTATGGCAGGTGGTCCCAGGATCGCAGTGAAATGTCTCTTCTGCTGCCTCCATCTCCTGGCAAAGCTCCCTGTCCTATGTCGTGTGCTAGGGAGAAGCGTCCTCCTTTCAGAGGCCTCTGGGGGAAAGTGAAATTTAATTGTAGTTCTTTGAAACATTTCTGGGATTAGATAAAAGATGGGGAAAAGATCATTTCAGCACCCTCAAGGGTTTCTAGTCATGCAAGGGGTAAAGTCTTGAATATGCTTTTAATGGAAACTGTCCCTTTTTAAGAGAAGTCTACCTGAATGGGCTGTTTAATTGAGAGGCTATGGCTGGAAGCAGTCATTGCTGCCCTGTTTAAGGATTCAAAGACTGTCTTCATGGTAGGCAGAGGTATATCTTTGCAGCCAATGTTTCCTTTGGGAAACGGCTTCTTTCTGCCTGTGGACTCACACTGTGGCTTGTCTGCAAACACTGCTGTGGTTCTTGTGGAGCTGTGTATATTAGGTCCAACTTCGCTGTTTGCTGGAAGGAGGAGCAGAGACCCCAAGCGCATAGGAAGAGCAGGCTGGCATCACCTTGGCCTCGTGCTGGAGAAGGGACCACACAGACTTGGTCTGGGCTCAGCAAATCTCAACTCTTTAAGATGGAATAACCTAGAGTTTAAGACATATCAAAAGTGTAAACATAGTTGCTGACCCGGGTAGTTTTATGGAGGGAGGTATTCCTTCGAGAGAATTCATCTAGCTATACCTTATGATTTGTGCAATTTTCTATATGAATGTTATGTATCAATAAAACATTTGAAAATGAAAAGGCAAGGAGCTGTCCATTCTTTGGGTAATTTGGGAGATAGAGCTACATCCCCATTCCCTCGCCCCCCACACTGCATGGGTATAGCCTCCCCTGATACAGCTCCTGGGCATGGGGTGGAACACTTCCACCGAAGGGTATGGACTTGCACATTGTCATCTCTGGGAAGTTCTGAGACTGGAAAGAGGAGCTTGCTAAGCAGGCCTTTTATGGGGTGAGAGGAAATTCTCCCTCTCTCTAAACCTCATGGCCCTGGGCCCTGGGAAATTTTGGTAATACGAATTGGTGGCTTTGACTTGGGTAGAAAAGGATCTTGTAGATGAATGCTCATTAATCCTTTAAAAAATGGATGCTTATTTGATAAACATAAAATATAAACATTCCATTTAAGTGGAAGGAGTGGTCTGAACCAATAACCAGAGACTGGAAGACTGAGGTGTGCCGGGAACTGAGTGTAGGCTGGCTTAGCTGCATTGAAGCTTGGTGTGGACTCTTGGAGCTACATCTCTAGAAAGGGCATGTTGCTGTGCTCTCCCGTTCCCATTCTCAGCCCCGTTGTATTGTAATCATCTATTTGTCAGTATCTTCCTCTAGACACTAAGTTTGCAGAGGGCAGGCACTAAGGCTTTGTGTTGTCTTAATTTTATTTTTAAAATCAGATGGGGTTTCACCATATTGCCCAGGCTGGTCTTGAACTCCTGAGCTCAAGCGATCCTCCCATCTCAGCCTCCCAAAGGGCTGGGATTAGAGGCATGAGCCACTGTGCCCGGTTGACACTCAGTCTTTGACTTTCAGCACAGCTCTTGGGCTTAGGAAGTGCTCAGTGAGTGTCTGTTAAACAAATGCCTGCCTCTTTATGTGCACCTATCTCGGGACGTGTGTTCCCTTCTAAGCAATTTTCCCCTAGAGGCTCAGCTCCCTATCCCCAAGCCCAGTGTGAGGCCTGGCACAAATTCAGAGCTGTGTAGACACCTGGCGGGGGTGGGGGGGGGGGCAATAAGGTCCTTAACTAACTGAAAGCAAGAAAAAAAAGCTACGATTCTTTTTTCTCTCTCTTTCTTTCTTTCTTTTTCTTCCTCTTTTTTTTTTTTTTAGACAGAGTCTCACTCTGTCACTCAGGCTCAAGTGCAGTGGCACGATCTCGGCTCACTGCAACCTCTGCCTCCCAGGTTCAAGAGATTTTCCTGCCTTAGCCTCCTGAGTAGCTGAGATTACAGGTGCAAGCCACCATGCCTGGCTAATTTTTGTATTTTTAGTAGAGACAGGGTTTCACTATGTTGGCCAGGCTGGTCTTGAACTCCTGGGCTCAAGTGATCCACCTGCATCAGCCTCCCAAAGTGCTGGGATTGCTGTGGGCGTGAGCCACTGTGTCCGGCCTTGATTGTTAAGTACTCAAAAAGCAAAGTAGCATGGATCCTCTTTGTGTCAAGGAATAGGGTATGTCTGCTTATGAAAAGTTAAGCACTCGGGACTATTTTCATAAAAGTATGAAGTCATTCACAAGCATCACCTTGAGGATGAAACACTGAGTCTGACAGTGGGGCAAAGAATACCAGATTCTCTTTTAGGATGAATTCATTTCCCTTCTTCCAGAACTGACCCACTCCTGATGGGGCCTGAACAAAGATGGAAAAATGTGATGCTAATTTTACTACCCAATTTTATTTCTGTTTCAGCCCATTTTCCTGTTGCCAAGTTTCCTATTTGCCCACAAGGGGGGAGAAGTTGATGATATATTTAAAGGTTTAGAATCCTTTCGGTGTATCACACCATCCTAATTTTCCCCTGAGAAACCTGATGCTCCCGGAGGTACACAGAGTTTGGCGGCATAATAATCACAACAACTTCTATTTGTGGAGGATTTATGGGGAGCTGGAGCTGGACAATGGGCTGGCTAAACATTACATTCAATGATGTCATTTGATAGCACAACTTCCCATTTTACAGAGGAAGACACTGAGGCTCAAGCAAGTTTAGGAATCTTGCAGAAGGTCACGAAGCCAGTAGGTGGCAGACCTGGTACTTGAACATGGGCTGACTGCAGACTTGTGACACCTCTTTTCTAACTGCCTTCCTGGAGGAGAGAGGGTTGGATTATGATTCTGCTGGGTTCCAAAGTGGTGGAGGATGTGGATTATGAACCAGAGCGTAGAACATTTTCAGAAGACCACAAAGGCCTGTGAAGTCCCATTTACTGCTCAGACTTAGTACGTGCTTGGTGTCACTTGGGTCTCTGGGAGAGTCTGGCTTTTTCACATTATACTGGCTGCCACCAAGACACAGGTCTAGATGTCCCAGTGCAGAGTTGCAAACAGTTGCTATAGTCCTGTTCTTCTAATGCTTCCCAGGATGGTGCTTCAGATCCTCTTGCCCTCACCTGCCTCTTGTCTCAGCTGCTGTGGCACATGGGCTCCAGTTGACATCACACAGGTACAACAGTGCCTTGCCTATGTGCACACTGGTCACCTCCCGGCTCAGGGCAGAGACCTGCCTGGTGCCCATACATGTGCAAGCTGGAAGTGTTGGGGAGTTAATGCCCTCTGGGGTGAATCTTTGCCCAGTGAAGGCAAGAGATGATGGTCAATTCTTCCCTTCCCTGCATTCCCATGGACAGACTTTAGATGCCATTCACATGATTTCTCTGTGAGAAGCACCTGGGGTTTAATGAGTGTTAAATATATTTTGAATGAGTGCCCACAGATGTAGCCATCATTGGCACCTGGTGGCAGGCAGCTCAGTAACTGGCCCTCCTGAGTTGGTTCTCTTTCCTTCTCTGCTTCCTTCCCTTTCTCCCTTGGCCCTGCTCCCTGGGATTATACTCCCTAACAAAATAGGGACGTCTGAAGAATCCTATATTCATTCATGGTCTTCTGAGATAGCCAGCACACCTGGCATCAACAGGTGCTTTGAGTGAAGAGTGAGACACACTGAGATGGATGGAAAGTCTGTGACCTGGGCTGGGAGGCAAATTGCAGAGTGTCACCTCCATCATATTTCAAATAAGTTTCCGTTTAATTTCCACAGATCCATTTTCTTCTCCCCACTTACAATTCACCTTTTAGTGGCTTCCCTACGTGACTAAGACATGTGAGAAAACGGTACTTAAATACTAAAGGTTAGTCCAGCCCACTCGGTCTCTTTTTCAGGCACTTTCTTCTGCTGTAGGGAAGAGAGGTATGTGACATTAGTCTTTATGCTCACTTGACTGATACCTGATTGAGCAGCACTGTCCCAGGGTGGACCCCACTGCAGCTGTTCTCTGTGCAGGAAGTTCACACTCACAGCATTTGAGGAAGACAGGAGAAAGCTGCATTGGCACTGCTGACCTCCTGAGACCCAGGGGAAAGAAAGGGGAGATCCCTGCGCAAAGAGCAGAGTTAGGGGTTACAGTTTCTTACCACCTCGAGTGGGGTGGGTGCTTATGGACCGAAGAGGAGGGGTCTGATAGCATTCCAGCAGCCAGTTGAGCCCTGGAAACACTGAGTCCTTTTTTTACCCAGTCAGTGGGGTGTATTAGTCCGTTTTCATGCTGCTGATAAAGACATGCCGGAGACTGGGCAGTTTACAAAGGAAAGAGGTTTAATGGAGAATCCACAGTTCCACGTGGCTGGGGAAACCTCACAATCATGGTGGAAGGCAAGAAGGAGCAAGACACACCTTACGTGGATGGTGGCAGGCAAAGAGAGAGCTTGTGCAGGGAGACTCCCGTTTTTCAAAACCATCAGATCTTGTAAGACTTATTCACGATCACGAGAACAGCATGGGAAAGACCCTCCCCCATGATTCAGTTACCTCCCACCGGGTCCCTCCCGCAACACATGGGAATTCAAGATGAAATTTGGGTGGGGACACAGCCAAACCATATCAGGAAGGAACGGTACTTTTCCAGCAGTGTGTATACTGTTGCTACTCTGAGGGACTTCTATAAGATCCTCTCAAAAAACAGGGTTTATTTAATTTATTTTTTATTTATGATTTATTTATTTTTTTGAGACGAAGTCTCACTCTGTTGCCCAGGCTGGAGGGCAGTGATGCGATCTCGGCTCACTGCAAGCTCCGCCTCCTGGGTTCACGCCATTCTCTGGGACTACTCCCGTCACCACGCCCGGCTAATTTTTTGTAGAGGCGGGGTTCTACCGTGTTAGCCAGGATGGTCTCGATCTCCTGACCTCATGATCCGCCCGCTTCAGCCTCCCAAAGTGCTGGGATTATAGGCGTGAGCCACCGCACCCGGCCCCAAAACAGGGCCTATTAAGGGTAGTCCTGACTTTTACCAAGAGGCCAGAAATTCAGAGACACAAGCAACCCATAAATCAATACAGCTACACATAGAGCTTACACACAGAGCAATTGTGAGAGAGATGAAAATGAATGTAACTGGCACGAGCGGCTGCCCAAGCTTGGGGCACAGGGCTTATGATCCCAGGGCCTTATTGAGCCAAAGGGACTCAGTCCTGCCTCTTCCGGCTGAGCCAGATACGAGCCTGAGCGGCCCACGCCTGCAGCTGGCGTAGCTGCCACACGGTGTCGCTGTTGGAGACGAGTCTTGCATGGTTTGTTCCTCCCCTGGGATGGTCCCCGCTACAGAGGGTATCTGAAAGATGACCGCCCATATCTTGTTCCATGTCGGACTCAGCCAAGGTGTGCCGCATGAGCTGCCTCGGTTCCTCGGTGCTCACTCGCAATACCTGAGCATGCCTGCTGTGTCTCCAGCAATCTGCCTTGCACACTGCTCCACCAAGGAGCAAGCCCAGGACTTCGCCCAGATGTCCCTGGCGTTCCGCAGCGCCTTGTTTTGAAGTATGCTGTCATCTTGCCGTATGCATGCCATTTTGAAATATGAAAGTGACCCATTTGTCCCTAGAGATCTGCTGGGCAAACCAAAGGATATTTATTTTTCGGGAACCTGTATCTGGCCGCAAACAGTTCCATTGTCTCCTTCCCTCTGGGCAGCAGATGTGTTCTGGCTCTATATAATTTAAACACTGTGTGGCTCATAAGACTAAAAGGAGATCCTGATATGATGCAGGGGAGGGGGTAATGATTCCCCTTCAGGTAACCTCCAGCCCCCCTCCACCAGACGTGGGAAGGCTGTCATAATTTATAAATATCTTCCTCAGCAGGTACCTCTTAATCTCTGCCCCAAAATTCCATGTTACACTAAGAAGAAACACATTAAGCAGAAAAGTAGACATAAACTTCCTACTGAAATTATACCAAGTTGAAAAACAAAGTCCTATTTCTTATCTTCTGTATTAAATAGTTAAAACCACTCTGACAAAAGTCAGCCAAGTGCCTGTTCACAACAATATTTCTCTGTTGTTTGTGTTTGCAAAGAGCCCCTTGCTAGCTTAGTAATAAGGAGTAAGGTCCCTCTCCTGGAATTCTTGAAAACGTGCAGGAGAGGAGAAAATGTTCCTGCTGGGTGCGGTGGCTCATGCCTATAATCTCAGCACTTTGGGAGGCCGAGGCGGGCAGATCACTTGAAGTAAGGGGTTTGAGACACGTCTGGCCAACATGGTGAAATCCCATCTCTACTAAAAATACAAAAATTAGCTGGCTGTGGTGGCGCATGCCTGTAGTCCCAGCTACCCGGGAAGCTGAGGTGGGAGTGTTACCTAGGCCTGGGAGGTCAAGGCTGCAGTGAGCCGAGACTGCTCTACTGCACTCTAGCCTGGGTGACAGAGTGAGACCCTATCTAAAAAAAAAAATGTTGTTCCCAAGTGGCAGCAAAAGTTTGAGGTCTCATTTCTTCCTCTGTAGTTTGAGTTATCTGGCTTTTCTACTTTTATCTGAAGCATTTGTTCCTGAGCAATAATGATGTGATGTGAATTTGTTTTGAAGTTGGTGATATTTTTGTGGACTGAGCCTTTTTAGGAATTATCTTCAAGGCTGTGCTGAAGACCCACAACACTGAAGATATCTGAGGATGCAAGTTCTGGTCCTTGTCAGAGATTCCTAGCTAATATTAATACCTCATTTGTTCTTGAGGCTACAACTGTCCAACTGTAAACCGAGAGACTGTTTCTTCTTGACCTTATTTTTGAGGCTGGCAAAGATAAGACTTTTCATTGAACTCCTGATAGAAAGAGCACTGACCCCTCTCAAGGCCTCCTGTCCCACAGTGTCTGAAAAAATCCCCTAACGAAGTGGCAGAAAAGTGAGGACTGGTCTTGAATTGATGATGTGTCATATGGGTATTTCAAGGCTGGCTTCTTAACATACTTCTCCCCAGCTGGGCTCCACATGTAGGAAAGAAGGCTCCTTTATAAAATACCTGACACAAGATGCTGACCTCTTGAAATCCCTTGGATGGACCATTTCAAAGAGTGGGCATTGTCAAAGGTTACCTAAAAGTAGAAGAAGGTAAATATAAGTTAATCAAAAAGGGCTGGAAGGCCACGCTCTAACCACACAGATGTGGCAAAGCTGGGATTGTGGGAGGTCAAATCGCCCACCTTCACCTCTGACTCACACCACCCGGAGGAACAATTTGAAGCCTAGGTGTAGGAGTCAGGGAGGCCTTACACTTACCCACTTTGCCCAAGCTCTGACAGTGTGAGCACCAGCCCAGGCTCCTGTCAGCCTGCCCGACCCTAAACCACACACCAATTAACTCTTAGGTCTTTATTAAATAGTTGAGGTCAAGTTACCCCAAGGCTGCCTCTCAGTGTGCATTTCCGGGATTATTTTCCCAGCTTTTCCTCAGTCCCCATTCACCCTCTGAAGCACGCGGCTGGGCTGTGAGTTACAGAATTCTTAGCAAGGTACTTCCAATTCAGTTCAGCAAACATTTACCAGGCACCCACTGTGCATCAGACACTAGGTTCTGGGAATAGAGATCCGGCAGGATTGGGAAGCCAGGACACAGTCAGCCTCAGAGCATAGTTCGACAGAAACAAAATGAAATGAACAATAAAAGCCACAGTCCAGCCACCAAAAATGTAATCTCTAGCAAATCTTGCATGTGATTCTTGACCACCCCTAAGTGGATTCTGGCCTGTACCTTAAATTATGCCTTTTCTCTCTTCTCCACTCTCTTCACCCCTGACAGTCATCCCATTCCTCTCCCAAACTCTCTGAAAAACTCCTCCCTAGCCTTCCGGCCTCTTCTGTGTCTTTTGCCCCAGCTCCCAGCTCGCCATCACTAAACCCAAAGAGCCGGTTGGGCCAGGGCAGAGCAAGGGTGTGTGGGGCCAGAGCTGTCTTCGGGGGAGAGGAGACAGGCATGACTAAACAGTTTGATGCCCCGAGGTTCGGTCCTGTCCCACAAAAATGAGTGAGATCTAGCCCTTGTGCCGAGGAAGATCACTGCCTAACTGGGGCCTCAGCACCAATTGCAGTTCAGCATGAAACACACCCTAAGAGTTGCTCTGGGATCCTGGAGAGTTCAAAGATGGCGCTGGGGGAGCCCTTGAGTGAAGGTTTGAAGGATGGATCTGGCTTGAAACTCAGCCTCCACTGCTTTCCATCCATGTGAACTTTGGGCAAGTTACTTAATTTCTCTGTGCCTCCGTTTTCTCATCGTAAACACAGGGATACTACATTATATGGTGGTTGTAAGGGTTCAATGATTTAATAATAGTAAAGGGCTAGGAATAGGGCTTGCCACAGTGCTCAGCAGGCTCAGTAAATGTGTAATTTGCACCTTGATTCATTGAATAAGGAAATTCCTGCGGTGTAGTCAGGAAAGCAGCCTGGTTTTCTTTCTCCCACTGCCCTGTGTGTCCGGATGGAAGGTCTCAGGGCTTCCCTGGTGACTCTGAGGGTGCTGTATTTTCCTCTAATCTGGTCCTGCGGTCTTGCTCAGGAAAGTGGCTATACACTCTAGCCCTCTCCTGCTGGGGTTCCAGGGGAGGTGGCTGTGAGTGTTTCCCACGTGCCTTTCACAGAATGCTTCTTTATCCTCGTGGACAGCCTCATGCCTTGGTGTCTGGCCTGTCACCAGGTGTCCCACTCACAGGAAACTTGTTTATACTGGCAACTCCCTGTGGCTCTTGGCTGACCTGTGTGCAGTTCATTCCTCCCGAGATAGCCACTCTCTAGAGAGTGCTGACCACGAGAGAAATGAGGTATGGGTCTGGGGGTCAGGTGAGACACAGAGGAGGCCACTTAATGAAGCACACGAAACAACAGAAGCTGTGGATGTCTTACCGGTCAGAATGAAGAGGGCAGCACGTCTTTCAGGGCCAAGGGGAAGAAGGGGGCTGCCCTTGCCTGATGGATGGGGAGCAGGAGAGGGAGAGGCCTGTAGGCTGAAGCTTTTTTGTTTGTTTGTTTGTTTTTTTTGAGACGGAGTCTCATACTCTGGCCCAGGCTGGAATGCAGTGGAGCGATCTCGGCTCACTGCAAGCTCCGCCTCTCGGGTTCACGCCATTCTCCTGCCTCAGTTTCCCGAGTAGCTGGGACTACAGGCGCCCGCCACCATGCCTGGCTAATTTTTTGTGTTTTTAGTAGAGACGGGGTTTCACCGTGTTAGCAGGATGGTCTGGATCTCCTGACCTCGTGATCCGCCTGCCTCGGCCTCCTAAAGTGCTGGGGTTACAGGCGTGAGCCACCGCGCCCGGGTGGCTGAAGCTTTTATTGCGGTTCAGGGTATTACCCAAGCAGGTTTTCCACAGGGAGTTCTAATTGCCTGGTGTACAGCAAGTGACCACGAGCTCTGTGGAGTCACTGCAGCAAATCTTCCCAGTCCGTGCAGGATGCGGGGGTCAGTGGGAGAGTCAAGCAGGCTGTGTCCAGCTGTCCCGGAGGGAGGTGGCCCCTGGGAGCCGAAGGGAGAAAGGAGATAACTGGATTGACCACACTGAAGACCTGGGAGGAGGCAGAGAGCTGGAAACTGTGTCAAGGGTGATTAAGCCCTGCTTCTGGTACAAGAAAGTTAAACCTAGATTTAAAATGGATGCCGAGGAAACATCAAATGGTAAGCATTCACTAAGGAAATACAATGTTGTTTAGTCATTTTCACTTTCAGAAATCAGATCTCCATGCTCATGTACTGGTCACCACTGCAGTCCTCTGCTCTGTCCAGCGGTCTGGCCATGGTCAACAATCTGCATGGGGTCGCCTCCTTTCTCTTCCTTGCTCACCTCCTTCCATGCTCGCTTCCTCACGGTCTAGTAGCGATTGAGCTGCCCTGGGTTGGGGTGTGGGGAGGGAGATGAGGGCGACGGGAAGCTCTTCCGCCTCAGACATGGTCATAACTGGCTTCGTCCTCTCCGTGCTGCCAGGGGCTCAGAGCTGACTTGTTTTCTCCTGGGAGCTTTTGTGGGTTCTTGGGAGCCTTCCTCCCACCCCCTCCATTTATCCCCAGGAATTCGGAAGCAGCTCTAGTCTGACCTTCCCAGCCCCTCGTGTCCCAGCAGTCTGCCTCTAGCTCTCGGGCGGACAGCAGCTTGAAGCCCCACACAGCCTCCTCCTGCCCTACCCAGAGTGGGGCCCTGGGAACTTCTAGACACATTTTGCCCCAGTAGATCCTGGGAGGGCAGTGCCTTCCCAATGCAGCAGCTCTCCCTTGCTTGGGAGCACCTATCCAGGCTTCCCTGTGCTCTTCAGACTTCTCACCTGGAGACAGACACCAGCCTTCCCTGTTCCTGTCCCCAAACTGGAAGGGATTCACATCAATCTCCAGGTGGTCTCCTTAAAGCTCTGCTTTCTTGCATTGAGGTAGACGGGGACCCAACCTCTGTCCTTTCTCTTTAGGGAGAGTGGGACTCAGCAAACAAGGGATTCTTCAAAAGTTGTCCTCCCAAATCCCTCTTCCTAGAGTCCCCTCATACCCTCCACAGTAGGAGGATCTGAGTTTCTGGACTGTTCTTGGCAATCCCCACCTTTGCTAGGGCTCCAGGCTGGTTTGCTTCACAACTTAATGTAGTGTCTACTGTCTGTTGTCTCAGTGTTTCAGTGGAAACTTCTAATTTTTTTTCAAGTTGGGGTCTTGCTCTGTTGCCCAGGCTGGAGTGCAGTGGTTTGATCATAGCTCACTGCAGCCTCAGCTCCCTGGGCTCAAGTGATCCTCCTACCTCAGCCTACCAAACAGCTGGGACTACAGGTGTGTGCCACTATGCCCAGCTAAGTTTTAAATTTTTTGTAGAGATGGGGGTCTCCCTATGTTGCCCAGGCTGGTCTCAAACGCCTGGGCTCAGGTGATCTTCCCATCTCAGACTCTCAGCTGAGACTACAGACACATGACTAATTTTTGTATTTTTAATTTTTGTAGAGATGGGGTCTCTCTATGTTGCCCAGGCTGGTCTCAAACTACTGGCCTCAAGTGATCCTCCTGCCTTGGCCTCCCAAAGTGTTGGGATTACAGACGTGAGCCACTTTACCCAGCAGAAAACTTCTAATTTAACCCCTTCCACAACGTTTAGTGCCCATCATTCTCATGGGAGCAGACCATGAGTGCATGCTCTGCTGGAAGCTGGCATGTGTAGGAGAGGGTGGCAGAGGAGATGGCAAAAGTGGACAGGGGCTTCTTTGTTCAGATGGCTCACGACTGTGACCTTTGCCTAATCAGGTCCTGCCTTGATGGAGAATAGGGGCGCAGAAGGTTAGGCTCCTGTCTCCTTATGAGAATAACAAGGCTTTGTTTACTATGGCACAATTACAGAGTGTGTTTAATATACACATTCTCATTAAAACTCCCAACAACTCAGTGGGATTGTTACTATATTATTCCCATTTTTACAGATAAGAGTACAGGTTCAGGAAGTTCAGCCATTGCTCACGGTCACACAGCTAGAAGGTAACTCATTTGACTTAGGCCGAGCTCCTTCTGTTACACCATAATACCTGGAGTCAGGGGCGGGGACCTCTCTGAAAGCCTGCCTTTGGGCAGGATGTTGTCCTTGGGAGATGGCTGTGGAAGCTGCCCGCGCCCAGCTGGCTTGCTGTGCTCTCAGGAACTGTGGACATTCTGTCCTCCACACCTGCCTGCCAAATGGAACTGGCTGTGCTGAGAAAACACAGCCTGTGACTTCACTCTCTCTGCTTCCCACCTGACACCTCAAAGACTCAACTAGTCCTGCCCAGGATCTTGGCCACCTGCCCTGTTTTCAAATCTCCCTGGTCACCCAGACCCAGAGGTTGTGAGGACAACCTCTGTATCCAGCAGAGGGCCCTGGATGAGTGCCTTGCAGCCCCCAAAGAGAAGAGCAGGTTTCTCAGCAACATGGGACCCGCCCCATCCCTACCCACGGGACCTGCCAACCTCTGCAGCCCCACTAACCCTTTGGTTACCCGTGTGTAGAGAAGTTCACCCAGAAATTCTTATCCCCTCACTTCTCTTCTGCAGAGTTTGGTTTCAATTCATTAGAAGACGGAATCATCTGCCAAAGGAGGAGGAGAAGAGGGAATTTAAACTTTGTTCTCCCTAGCAAGAGGCTGACCTGACGTTTTGCTTTAATTAATCTTTGTTTTTAGGATAATAAAAGCAACACATATCGATTGTAGAAAATTGAGAAATACAAAAAAAGGAAACATTTTAAAATCACACATGAGTATTACACTCTAAGATTTTTGTGCATTTTCTTCTAGCATCATACTCACATATGTAAAGCATATCTGCATAATGCTTTTAACAAAATTAGAATGATATAATATATACTGTATTGTTAACTGCTTTTTTTTTTCACTTATCAGTATGTTACTGAGCATCACTACTACCAACATTGTTTGGCAGACTTTTTTGAGAGAGAGAGAGTCTTGCTCTGTTGCCCAGGCTGGAGAGCAGCAGTGCAATCTCGGCCCATTGCAACCTGTGCCTCCCAGGTTCAAGCGATTCTCCTGCCTCAGCCTCCTAAGTAGCTGGGATTACAGGCACCCGTCATCACGCCTGGCTAATTTTTGTATTTTTAGTAGAAATGGGGTTTCGTATTTCTGTTGGCCAGGCTGGTCTCGAACTCCTGACCTCAGGTGATGAGCCCACCTCAGCCTCCTGAAGTGCTGGGATTATAGGCGTGAACCACTAAGCCTGGCCGGTTTGGCAGACTTTTAAATAATCCTGTGTGACACATTCCACACTGTACTAGAAAGACAACAGAAAGGCTGTGGCAGTGGCTCGTGCCTGTAATCTTAGCACTTTGGAAGGCCGAGGTGGGCAAATCGCTTGAGCCCAGGAGCTCAAGACCAGCATGTGCAACACAGCGCAACTCTGTCTCCACAAAAATACAAAAAATCAGCCGGGTGTAGTGGCGACACCTGCAGTCCCAGCTACTTGGAAGGCTGAGGTGAGAGGATGACCTGAGCCTGGGAGGTCAAGGTTGCAGTGAGCTGAGATTGCGCCATTGCCCTCCAGCCTGGGCAACAGAGCAAGACTCTGTCTTAAAAACAAACAAACAAACAAACAAAATACAACAGACAGAACAAACTCGTGGGAGGATGAATTGTGGGCACTGCCCAGGGACCTCTCCCTGGCAAGACCCCAGGCACATCTTATCAACCCAGCTTGAAGAAACTGACCCATTAGTGCTGTTGAATCTTTGAAATCTCCTTTCCTTTTTCCTTAAAAATAAAATTGAACAGTGTGCCCAGTTTCTCCTGCCTCCTATGGCTTGGGCTGTGGCCTGCCACAAAAGGCTCCTCTCAAGGAAGAGGATATGCGTCCTTCTGTTCTTCCCCACCGACCCCGCCACGTCTACAGGTTCTGGCCCTCACTGCTCCAGGGCTCCTTCTTTATCGTGCCCTTTAAGTGGAGGTTGGTACCAAACCCTATCCCAGTCCTCCCATAATTAAGATGTGCACAATTCTGTTAAAAGCCCTTTTATGTAACAAGATCATTTGGCCCCTGAATGATGGGGCTTTGAATTGGATTTTTAATCATAGACCAAACCCTGCTGCCTCACAGTATCTCAAAGGAAAAGCTCCCTTGCTTTTAAATTCAAGTACACAGCACATTCAGCCAAATGCATTCAGAAACTAAATGATGGCAATGGGTTATGATGGGGGGTTTTACATGATTTGTAAGTGTCAAGAAGAGTAGCAACAAGAAGCCTAATAGCTTCTAATACCTTCTCATGAAATGTTCTCACAGCCTGTGACTAAAAACACTCCCTCCTGACCTGCCCAATGTCTGTGGCTTATTGTGAGAAGTGAGTAACGTACCACAGGTAGAGAAATTTCCCTTCCGGTTCGGGGCTTTGCTAGAAGCTGCTTTAACCACTTTTCAGATTGGTTTCAGATTGTCCTGGACTCTAGTGTAACCCTCCATTTTTTTACTTCTCAGTTGATACATATTTCTATATTAGAGAAATCAGAGTGTACTTTAGAAATATTTTCAGATGTGTTTCCATAGCCTATAAACCTTGTTAGCCTGGGGGCTTGGCACTCAAAGAAGCAATGGGTTTTGGGAGCTTCGAGTGAAAGGCAGATAGCCAATAGATCAATAAAGCAATTGGTCAGTTTTAATTGTTAAAAAAATATTTTAGATTTAATCCTTAGCCAGACTACTGGCTTACGGGAATGAGGAAGGGAGGGCGGTGAGAGGAAGAAATTCCTAAATTAATCTAGCATATCAAGAACTATGCCTGGAGAACTTGAATCATTAGAGCTCCTTCGGCACACTGTCCAGACGTTTCCTCCCTTGCCTGTGCTGGTTCAGGCTGAGGCTGTGGAGTCAGCCCTGAGGGAGGAGGGGTGTGAGGAAGAGAACGGCCGGGAGACTTCTGCTGAGGTTGCTGATGTGTAAGTGAGGCAGAGGGACACGGAGGTCATAGGAAGTTGGCTGACCCTTATTTCCTCCCCTGCTCTAAGCTAAATCTGGGGTCTGGGATGGAAGAAGCCTTTAGAAACATCAGATCGTTAGGACGCCTGAGGATTCAGGGGCTAGAGGCCTACTTGGAAAAGCCATGAAGTGGAGGCTGTGGGTTGGTAGTGCGGCTGACTGAGTACCGGGACCAGCGCATAGGTGTGGAGGGGTTGGTGGGGGCAGGAGCAGACACAGCACTCTTGACCCTGACACCTCGACATGGTTTGTTGTGATCCAGGCCTTTTCTTCTCCAGCCCTGAAGAGGGGATTTGCAAGTTGTGGCATGGAGGGTTATGGCCTGCCACAGATGTTCACATCTGAATCCTGGAAGCTGTGAATATGTTATATTATGTAGCAAAGGAGGATGGAGGTAGCTGATCAGCTGACTTTAATGTAGGGAGACTGTCCTGGATTATGTGAGTGGGCTCCATGTAATTGCAAGGGTCCTTAAAAGTTGCTAATCAGGAAGAAGGAGGCAGAAGAGAGAACCAGAGAGACGCCAGCATGACAAGGACCCAACTCACTGCTGCTGGCTTTGAAGATGGAGGATGGGGCCACCAGCCAAGGAATGCAGGTGGCCTCTAGAAGCTGGAAAAGAAAAGGAAATGGATTCTCCCCGGAGCCTCCAGAAGGAATGAAGATCTGCTGACACCTTGATTTTAGTCCAGTGAGGCCCATTTTGGACTTTTTTTGTTTGTTTGTTTGTAGACAGGGTCTCGCTCTGTCACCCAGGCTGGAGTGCAATGGCGTGATCTCAGCTCACTGCAACCTCTGCCTCCCAGGTTCAAGCAATTCTCCTGCCTCAGCCTCCCAAGTAGCTGGGACTACAGGCACCCGCCACTACGCCCGGCTAATTTTTTGTATTTTAGTAGAGACGGGGTTTCACCATGTTGCCCAGGCTGGTTGTGAACTCCTGAGCTCAGGCAATCTGCCCGCCTTGACCTCCCAAAGTGCTGGGATTACAGGCGTGAGCCACCGTGCCTGGCCAAGAAAGTACAATATTAAAAAGAATAGGGAGTTAGCTATTAAGTATTCTGAGAACTAGTCGATGCATAGACCTACTCTTGCCGACTCTGTCTTCTCATTCTCTATATTTGAGTCTGGAACTAAGGTTGGAATTAAGGATGTTAAACAGCTAACTTTAAGATAGGGAGATTGTCCTGGATGATCTGGGCGGGCCCAGTGTACACAAAGATCCTTAAAAGTGAACTCAGAAGGCAACTGGCAGATGTTTGTATTCAAATTGTCACAAAATGTTCCATAGCTCACAGTGTTTGATGATAATTTATATCTACAGTTTAATGGAATTTTATTTCCTC
Organism: Homo sapiens; assembly: GCF_000001405.40. Classification (NCBI taxonomy): domain Eukaryota; kingdom Metazoa; phylum Chordata; class Mammalia; order Primates; family Hominidae; genus Homo; species Homo sapiens. The sequence continues at coordinate 44,866,582 of NC_000013.11, read as the reverse complement.
TTTATCTTCTGTCTTTCTCACTCCCTTGCCCCTTTCCTTTGGTAGGGAATATATGGTAAGCACAGCAGAGACTGTGATTTATTACTGTAATATAACAAATTTATGTCTTTAAAAAACCAACAATGTTCGCAAGACTATTTTTCTTGTAGATAGTCCACTTTGTAGAATCTGATGTCTCCTCCTCTGAAGCTCAAAAAAGACTCAGGACAGACCCTCCCCAATTGCCCTGCCCCCCTGGAGGCAACACTTTGTGTTGCTCCCCGGTCCCGGGGAAAGAGGAACTGGAAAAGACAGGCGAGCTTTGGGAGGCGGGGCGGAAAGGGAGGAAGGCCAGAGAGACAAGATAGCCAGGATTCCCATTCATGGTGAAACAAGAGGTGCTGGGTTGGGATAAAAATGGCTCTGCACCACCCTCTGGATGCTGTGTCCAGAATCAACTCTTTGACAGCCTTCTGCTTGTAGGGATGAACTGTACCAACATGCCTTTCCCGAAGTTATTGGGATAACTGAAAACTTACAGCTGAATCCCTAAGGGCTAAAGGGGTGCCACCATGATTTTCACCATCATTATACAAATGAAAAGACATTGAGACTCAGGGGTAGGGCGGTGAAGCGATTGGTGCAAGTTCACATTTGAGTCAGAGGATGGCTGGGATCAGCTCTCCCATCTTGCAGACTGGGTACACACTCCCAAATTCAGATGACCTTCATTCAGCCCGAGTCCCCTGCCCTCGCACTTCCTCTGGGCCCAGTCTTGGGCTCCCTGTGGTTGGGCCTCACTCTTGTTTCCTCTCTGGTTTCTCCAGAGTCCCACATTTAACCTTGGGATACTTTGTCTTGGGGCAGGTGAGAGGCAACCTGGACCATCGCAAGGAGACAGTGCTCGTGGCAGGAGAGATTGGGTGGCTTGGGAAGAGTTCAGAGCCCAGTGGAAAAGTTCAGTTCCCATTGAATTAGAGTTATTCTGGGCAAAAATGGACAGAGTTCCTGAAATCCACACTTTGAAAAAGGGGGACAGTGCATATATAGAGTCAGGTTATTAAGACTGACAACTGCCAATTGGCTTCTGTCACCGACAGCCCATATTACTCTAATCATTCACTGCCCTAATTCATTCAGCAAATAGGTTTTGAAACTTGGGAAGAGTGTAATATTTTTGCAAATTTCAGGATGTTACTTGGACATTTATTTTCATAATATTCCTCCTTTTTATTTATTTTTATTTTTTGAGACAGGGTCTCACTTTCTATGGTTCACTGCAGCCTTGACCTCCTGGGCTCAAACAATTCTCCCACCTCAGCCTCCAGTGTAGCTGGGACTACAGGTGTGCATCACCATGCCTGGCTAATTAAAAATTTTTTTTTAATTAAATTTCTGTAGAGGTGGGCTCTCACCATGTTGCCCAAGCTGGTCTCAAACTCTGGGGCTCGAGCGATTCTCCCTCCTTGGCCTCCAAAAGCGTGATATTACAGACATGTGCCACCATACTCAGCCCCTCTTTTTTTTAGTATTTGATGGACATACACCAACGGCAAACATTTATTCATGTTTTAGATCTCAGGAAAATGTCAGCTCCTCAAAGAAATTTTCCCTGCCCCCTTCATCCTCTGTCCTAATCACAATGTCGTCCCTTTTACCTATTTTTCTCATAGTAATCTCTTATTTTCCAGTATAGCCCTTGTATCATGTAGATATTGTGTTTTAGGTTGTTGGTGACAAAGACTCCACTAGAGTAGCTTAAACACACAAAAGAATACTCTCTTATAGAGATGATGACAAGAAGTAGGTGCTCTAGGGCTGGCACTACAGCCCCACAGTCATCAGGAACCCAGGAACCTTTTATTTTTTGTGTTGCATCATCTTAGTGTGTCTTTTATCCTCAACATCACCATATGGTCCAGTATAGCTGCTAGGGTGCCAGCCATCATTTGCACATTTCAGAACCAAGAAAAGAGAAAGTTGAGGGGGGAGGGCTAAAAGCATATCTTTAAGTCAGATTCCTTGAAGGAGTTTCTCAGAAGTCCCACACTTTACATCTGCATACATCTGCGTCTCATGGTTCAGAACTTTTTTGAACATGCAGATGCAAGGGAGACTGGGAAATGTAATTTCTGGGAGTACAGAGAGTAATATTGAGTGCTTCTTTTATGAAGAAGGAAGGGAGAATGATGTGGAGTGGGAAATAATCTCTGCCCCAGCACATTGTATTTATATATATATAATTTTTTTTTGTTATGGAACATTTTAAATGCAAGGAAGAGTAAAAAAAAATAGTGTGCTGAGCAGCTATATATCTATCACCCATGTTTGATAATCATCAACCTTCTGCCATTCTTGTTTCATCAATTTTCACATTTTATTGCTAAGATATCTTAAAGCAAATCTTTTTTTTTTCTTATACTTTAAATTTTAGGGTACATGTGCACAACGTGCAGATTTGTTACATATGTATACATGTGCCATGTTGGTGTGCTGCACCCATTAACTCGTCATTTACATTAGGTATATCTCCTAATGTTATCCCTCCCCCCTCCCCCCACCCCACAACAGGCCCTGGGGTGTGATGTTCCCCTTCCTGTGTTCAAGTGTTCTCATTGTTCAATTCCTATCTATGAGTGAGAACATGTGGTATTTGTTTTTTGTCCTTGTGATAGTTTGCTGAGAATGATGGTTTCCAGCTTCATCCATGTCCCTACAAAGGACATGAACTCATCATTTTTTATGGCTGCATAGTATTCCATGGTATATATGTGCCACATTTTCTTAATCCAGTCTATCATTGTTGTACATTTGAGTTGGTTCCAAGTCTTTGCTATTGTGAATAGTGCTGCAATAAACATATGTGTGCATGTGTCTTTATAGCAGCATGATTTATACTCCTTTGGGTATATATTCAGTAATGGAATGGCTGGGTCAAATGGTATTTCTAGTTCTAGATCCCTGAGGAATCGCCACACTGTCTTCCACAATGGTTGAACTAGTTTACACTCCCACCAACAGTGTAAAAGTGTTCCTATTTCTCCACATCCTCTCCAGCACCTGTTGTTTCCTGACTTTTTAATGATCGCCATTCTAACTGGTGTGAGATGGTATCTCATTGTGGTTTTGATTTGCATTTCTCTGATGACCAGTGATGATGAGCATTTTTTCATGTGTCTTTTGGCTGCATAAATGTCTTCTTTTGAGAAGTGTCTATTCATATCCTTCGCCAACTTTTTGATGGGGTTGTTTGTTTTTTTCTTGTAAATTTGTTTGAGTTCTTTATAGATTCTGGATATTAGCCCTTTGTCAGATGAGTAGATTGCAAAAATTTTCTCCCATTCTGTAGGTTGCCTGTTCACTCTGATGGAAGTTTCTTTCGCTGTGCAGAAGCTCTTGAGTTTAATTAGATCCCATTTGTCAATTTTGGCTTTTGTTGCCATTGCTTTTGGTGTTTTAGACATGAAGTCTTTGCCCATGCCTATGTCCTGAATGGTATTGCCTAGGTTTTCTTCTAAGGTTTTTATGGTTTTAGGTCTAACATTTAAGTCTTTAATCCATCTTGAATTAATTTTTGTATAAGATGTAAGGAAGGGGTCCAGTTTCAGCTTTCTACATATGGCTAGTCAGTTTTCCCAGCACCATTTATTAAATAGGGAATCCTTTCCCCATTGCTTGTATTTGTCAGGTTTGTCAAAGATCAGATAGTTATAGATATGTGGCATTATTTCTGAAGGCTCTGTTCTGTTCCATTGGTCTATATCTCTGTTTTGGTACCAGTACCATGCTGTTTTGGTTACTGTAGCCTTGTAGTATAGTTTGAAGTCAGGTAGCATGATGCCCCCAGCTTTGTTCTTTTTGCTTAGGATTGTCTTGGCAATGCGGGCTCTTTTTTGGTTCCATATGAACTTTAAAGTAGTTTTTTCCAATTCTGTGAAGAGAGTCATTGGTAGCTTGATGGGGATAGCATTGAATCTATAAATTACCTTGGGCAGTATGGCCATTTTCACGATATTGATTCTTCCTATCCATGAGCATGGAATGTTCTTCCATTTGTTTGTATCCTCTTTTATTTTGTCGAGCAGTGGTTTATAGTTCTCCTTGAAGAGGTCCTTCATATCCCTTGTAAGTTGGATTCCCAGGTATTTTATTCTCTTTGAAGCAATTGTGAATGGGAGTTCACTCATGATTTGGCTCTCTGTTTGTCTGTTATTGGTGTATAAGAATGCTTGTGATTTTTGCACACTGGTTTTGTATCCTGAGACTTTGCTGAAGTTGCTTATCAGCTTAAGGAGATTTTGGGCTGAGACGATGGGGTTTTCTAGAAATACAATCATGTCATCTGCACACAGGGACAATTTGACTTCCTCTTTTCCTAATTGAATACCCTTTATTTCCTTCTCCTGCCTGATTGCCATGGCCAGAACTTCCAACACTATGTTGAATAGGAGTGGTGAGAGAGGGCAGCAAATCTTATACATTATGTTTTCACTTATAAATAGTTTAGTATGGGCCAGGCGCAGTGGCTCACGCCTGTAATCCCAGCACTTTGGGAGGCCGAGGTGGGTGGATCACGAGGTCAGGAGATAGAGACCATTCTGGCTAACACGGTGAAACCCCGTCTCTACTAAAAGTACAAAAAATTAGCCAGGCGTGGTGGCGGGCACCTGTAGTCCCAGCTACTCGGGAGGCTGAGGCAGGAGAATGGCGTGAACCCAGGAGGCAGAGCTTGCAGTGAGTCAGATAGTGCCACTGCACTCCAGCCTGGGTGACAGAGCAAGACTCTGTCTCACACAAAAATAAAATAAAATAAAATAAAATAATAATAATAATAAATAAATAGTTTAGTATGATTTTCTAACAGACAAGGACTTTTAAAATAACAAAAATAGCACTAAAATGAACAAAAATCCCTTAATATTATCATAAACAGTCTGTGTTCAACTTTCTCCAATTGTCTCAAAAATGCCTTTTTATAGTTGGTTTAGTTAAATCAGAATCCAAAGAAGGTCCACACATAGCCTTGGATTATATGCCTATACGTCTCTTTTCGTCTAAATTACCTTTTTCTCCTATTTTCTTTTCATGATACTTACTGATGAAAATGAGTACTTTGTTCTATAGAATTTCCCACATACTGGATTTGGTTGGTTGCATCCTTGAGATTTTATTTAACAACCTTCCATATCCTCTGTATTTCTTTTTTATTTTATTTTGTTTTATTTATTTATTTACTTATTTATTTATTTATTTATTGAGACGGAGTCTAGCTCTGTTGCCCAGGCTGGAGTGCAGTGGTGTGATCTGGGCTCACTGCCAGCTCCGCCTCCCGGGTTCACGCCATTCTCCTGCCTCAGCCTCCCGAGTAGCTGGGACTACAGGCGCCCGCCATCACGCCCGGCTAATTTTTTTGTATTTTTTTTAGTAGAGACGGGGTTTCACCATATGTTAGCCAGGATGGTCTCCATCCCCTGACCTCATGATCTTCCCGCCTCAGCTCCCAAAGTGCTGGAATTACAGGCGTGAGCCACCGTGCCCGGCCTATCCTCTGTATTTCTTATAGTCTGATAAATAGATCTAGAAGCTTGATCACATTCAGGTTATCATATTTTTTAGGGCAAAATTCTTCACAGGCCGTGATGTGTACTTCCTATTGCACCACTTCACGTGGTGGAATTTCTCTCCCCTTGAGACATTAAGATTAATCACAGGGTCCTGGTGATGTTATCCTGGCCACTTACCCAGACCTTTCAGAATCCCCAGTCAACTTGTGATCCACTGGTTTTGACAGTCATTATTGATGCTTGTTGCCTAGACATGCGCTTTCTTTAGGAGTTGCAAAAGGTGCCTGGTAATTTTGTTTATGTGCATAGTCTAGTTGGGGAGACCAGGGAATAGATTCTCCCTTAGAGCCTCCAGGAGGAATGCAGCCTGGCCAACACCTTCATTTTAGACTTCTGACCTCCAGAACTGCAGGAGAATACACCTGGGTTGGCAAGTTGTTAGAGCAGCAATAGGAAACTCATCCAGAGGTGTCACACCCTTTCTGGATTTAGTAAGAACAGAGAGCTGCAGCTGGAGGAAAGAATGTGCTTTGTTTCATAGGTTGGTAAAGTTTTCAAAACGTGTAGAGTCTCTGGAGTGGAGGGTTCTCCTGAATGGTGCCCTGTTCCTTACCTAATATTGAGACAAGGATGATGTGAAATAGCATGTAAAAGAACTTCTTGGTAACTATTAGGATTTGATTAGATTAGGTAACTTGATTTCACTAAATGCCCATAGTAATGGACAGTAGGGGTTCTAGAATTTCCTGTAGGTTGAGCTAAGGTTTTTATCAATTTGGAAGGGGGTTAAGGGACTTGCATTAGACCAGGGTATGTAAACCTACTGCTTTTCTAAACCTACTACTGTTAATTGGATTCCATGGTTTTCATGGTTTAAGGATGGCTTGCAGATGAAAACACACACACACACACGCACACACACACACACACACACACGCTTTGATTTTGCTGAACCACTTGAGAATTAGTTGCAGGCATCATCATCATTGTTTAGCCTTAGATCTTTTGGCATGCATCTCTTAAGAGAAATGATATTCTCCTACAACTATAAAACAATGTAAATAGACTCCAAAAATTTTATAACAATGTAATTGAATACACAGTCTACCTTCAAATTTCCCCAACCATCTCTAGAATGTCCTTTATAGTTTTTTTTTTTAATATAGGATCCCATTAAAGGTCATACTTTGCATTTAGTTGTTATGGCTTTTAAATTTTGATAAAGATTATTGTAATGGATTATAAACTGCGAGGGAGCAGGCATTTTAATGTGTTTGGTTTGTTCATTACATAGCTGAGTAGATGTTTAATAAATACATTTAAAATGAAAATTTAGGGAAGTAGTTGCTACTCCTCCCAGCCATTCCTTGGTGTAGCCACTGTAGTATTTATCCCCCACTGTCCTTCTGATAAAAAACTCCCTGCCCTGCCATCACGTTTGCATTCACGATCCATTCCCTCCAATCACCTGTGCATATATGACCCATTCTGGATCCCTATTCCCATGAAAAAGTGACGACTGCAGAGGAAGGCATGTGACAAAATCAGTGCCAACGAGGATCCTTCTAAGGATTGGTTGATTTACATACTAGGAAAGAGATCTTCTCTTCCCAACAGGACTTCCAAGCCAGGAGCATATGGTCTGGAATAACCAATAGCCATTTCCCCCTAGATGTTAAAGAAAGCCTGCTGAAACAGGAGTGAATAAAAATTTAACAATTTCAGAGGAAAGCAAGCTGAGAAATGGAGTACATGAATGTTGAGAATCCTGACAACTTTGTTTTAGCACCTAGATCCAGCCCTGCCTGAAGTCCAGATTCATTCATAAATATGCTAGATATATAAGGCAATAGAGACTACTTTGCTTGAGTAGTTTGAGTTGGTTTTCTGTCACTTCTACTCTAAAGGGTCCTCAGTAATCCAGTCACTGAATCTTGCCTTAAGGATAGTTTTAGTCTATCCTTCATCTGATGATAAAGATTAGCTTCTGAATCACATTTGTTTCACTGCCATAATTCCCTTAAGGTGAGGATTCATTTAGTTATGTAACTTTTTTTTGAAATGGCTATTGTCTTAGGGCTTCTGGGAACCACTACTAAATATAAAATCAATTGGAAATCATGCAACTATAAGGAAAAATATTCAAGGGAGGAAACTTGGCAGGAAATTCCAACTCGGGTGGAACATTTTAGGCTTAAAAGTGAGGTTCCATTTATAAGTGCTGCCTTGGATAGTCTTATAATTTCAATTTTGTTCAAAACAAGTTTTTTGAAAACAGCCTTCAATATATTTAGAAATAACAAAAAGGCAAGAAACAAAGAAGGCAGCCCCTGCCCCCAACCACATTGAAATCACTAGGAATCCCGGTCAAGCGATTATCTGTGCTGTGCTGCGCGACTGCCCTGCAGCAGACTCTGCTGTCTCTTACTCAGATGTCAGGTACTGTTGGATAAATAGAGCCATGGTGAGAAGCCACTGGACTAGTGCAGAGACAAATGGAATGTGTGGTAGGAAGATTTTAATTGGCATCCCCACTCTGTCACAAGGACTTAATTAGGATAAATGGCAAGGAGTAGCTCAGTTCAAGGCAAATCCATTCATCAGCAGCATATTGGGGCCTTGAAGGGTTGAACAACAACAACAACGACAACAATCATTAGTTTCATTTTGTTGGAGTGAGAGAGAAAAAAGAGAGCGGAAGAATGAAGGCTGATATCCTTCTCTTGGGGTGCAGTCAGTCAGTGGAAGGTTGTGGTATGGGAGGGATCATAAATTCTTTAAGCTCCTAACCCACTTGTCCTTAGGAATTTTCAGAATAGACGTCCCTAGAGCCCCTACGCTCATGTTCAGCGTTGAAGGTCAAGGACTCTGCATTTGTACCACTCTCAGCTTCTTTGCCCTCACCTGGCTTGACTATGAATTTTTCCATGAAGAAATGGGACTGATTCCACGTCTTTATGAAAACATTTGATGAGATTGAAGCGTATTCTCTTATAGGAATACTTCTGCCATAGACACAAGATTTCTGTCTCAAGAAACTGACCTTCAGATGAGGCACCCGATGCCCTGGAAATTGGTGTAACCCCTGCTGCGCCCACCCGGCCCCACCCTCTTGCGTGGACCGGCTGCCCTGGGAGGGTTTGGTAGTAGGGGGCTTTGCACGTGGTACCATTGTCCTCTTTTCCTTCTTAGTCTTAGTTTCTTTTCCTTCTTAGTCTCTTTTTTTTTCCACCTTGTTTAAAGTTTTTATAGTGCCTGTATGTCTTCAGAAGTCAAGTGTTTGATTTGGTGAATAATGAATGTAGGAGGGAAGGAAGGAGGGAAAGAGAGAATCTGTCAGAACTTCCCGCTGAGATCACTGCTCAAGAAGGAAGGTATTTCTATGCTAACTTTACAGTATGATCCTAACACATCTGGTGGTTAAATCCATTGATTTTAACACTAAAATGAATTTTAAAAAGTGAAGCCTTAAAAGCTCTTTTTGATGTATGAGACACAGGTGCTTCTTGTGTGCTTGAGTACAAAATAATGTGAAGAGTGAAACCTACATGGCCATTGCATCCTAAATTCATCTAAGCGAGGAAGAAATGCTTGTTGACTGTCTATTATGGGCATGGCCCTGTGTTAGCACAATAGAAACTGCTGAGAAGAATAAAATATGTGCTCAAATAATTAATAACCTGATAGGAAGAATGAGATCATTTACTCATCTGCTAATTCTTCCTATTATTCATAAAGTATTGACTCAGAGCCTGGTGTGTGTCAGGCTTGGGGCTGGCGGGACAGTGGGGATAGAGGGGTGAGACAGGATGAGACAGTTCTGCCTTCTGGGAGTTAGGTGATCTAGCTGAGGTTACACAAAAACGAAACCTTGAACAAGACCAAATGTGATAGACACCTCTCCGAGGCATACAGGCTCGTGGCTATGCTGTCCAGTACTGTCCCCCTGGCCACATGTGGCTACAGAACACTGGAAATATGGCTAGAGAACTAAGGAGCTGGAATTTTAATATTATCTTATTTTAATTCATTTAGGTTTGAATTTAGAAATGAATACTTGACTCAGTGATTGGCAGACTTTTTAGTATATTTGGAACAAACTTGGGCACTCGAAACTACTTTTTTAATTGTAAATTTTATGAGATTGACATACACATCAAGTACTTCCTATAAAAACTTAGCATCCTGCCGGGTGCAGTGGCTCACACCTGCAATCCCAAGACTGGGAAGCTCAGGCAGGAACTTCTCTTGAGTCCAGGAGTTTGAGACCCGCCTGGCCAACATAGGGAGACCCCGATTCTACAAAAAATAAAAAATTAGCCAGGTGTGGTGGCATGCACCTGTAGTCTCAGGTAGTCGGGAGGTTGAAGGAGGAGGATTGCTTGAGCCCAGGAGTTCAAGGTTACAGTGAGCTATGATCACACCACTGCACTCCAGTGTGGGTGACAGAGGGAGACTCTGTCTTGAAAAAATCCCCCAAACCAAAAAACAATTTAGCATTCTAAGTGAGATGTGCTATAAGTTGAAAACACAAATGAATTTTGAAAATTAGGTACAAAAAAAAAAAAGAATGTAAAATAAAGCATTGTTAGTTTTTATGTTTGTTACATGTCAAGATAAAAGAATTTTAACTATTTTGGGTGAAATAGAATAATATTACAGAAACTGATTTCATCACTTTCCTCCTTTTTTTAATAGGACAACTGGAGAATTTTAAGTTCCATTTGTGACTTGCATCTATTTTTTATTGAACAGCACTGGTTTAGGGGTTTTGAAGGAAAGAGAAAGTGTATCATGAAGTTAATGTTTTGACATGAATGTTACAGAACCGATTGGACTGAGCAGCTGGAAAGGGTAGAGGGCCCTCCTGAGAGAGGAGACTGCACAATGACATTGTGTAGGGTAATGCCAAGTGGGTTGGGTGTGCGGGAGAGCCCTGGGCATTGTGTTCAGGGAGCAGCTGTGAGAAGGGCTGGTCAGGACAATGGAGGGCTTAACATGGGAGCCTTGACCAGCCAGGCCAAGCGGGCTGTGCTTAGTCCAGGTGGCCCAGAGGGGCTGGGAGGCTCTTAGGCAGGGGGCACAGTGATAGGAGCAGCTTTAGTGATGTTTATCTGGCCTCAGTGTGCAAAATGGGACGGAGTGGGGAGAACCAGAAGCAGGGAGACATGCTGTGATGATCGCACAGTACTTCTGGAAGTACCCCGTGGGGTAGAAGGTGGGCTTCCTCTTTTCAGCCAAGACTCTAGAAAACAAAGAAACAAAGCAAACCATAAAAACTTCATGAGATTCTGGCTGGGCACGGTGGCTCATGCCTGTAATCCCAGCACTTTGGAAGGCCATGGCGGGCAGATCACCTGAGGTCAGGAGTTCAAGACCAGCCTGGCCAACGTGGTGAAACCTCGTCTCTACTAAAAATACAAAAGTTAGCCAGGTGTGGTGGTAGGTGCCTGTAATCCCAGCTACTTGGGAGGCTTAGGCAGGAGAATCGCTTGAACCTGGGAGGCGGAGGTTGCAGTGAGCTGAGATAGCACCATTGTACTCCAGCCTGGACAACAGGAGCGAAACTCCGTCTCAAAAAAAAACAAAAAACAAACAAAAAAAAAACTTCATGAGATTCTTCAATGAATTAATGTGGGCCTTATCCACATTCTGTTTCCTACAAACTACTCTTCAGTAAATCAATTTCCTCCCCTTGAAGTGTTTTTAAAAATGTTTCTATTTAACTCGTGTGCAGCTGCGTATCGCCTGGGCCTTGTCCTGGAGCCTGGGATGCAGTCATGTTAATCACCTTGTGAGGGGACCTGGTCAGTGTGCTTATCACTGGGCAGCCCCTAATCTCCAAAGAGAAGGAAATCCATGGAGTCAGCCACAGGAAAAACATATTATGAGAAGTGAATACTAATTACTAGAGAGGATCTGAGAAGTTCATGGATCATAGAATTGTAAAACAGCAAGGACTTCTAGGTATCATTCAATCCAACTTTCTATTTCATTGAGGAAACAGGCCCAGAGAGTTTGATGACATCTCCAAGATCACACAGCAAGTTAGCAGCAGAACAGCAGTTAGAATGTGTGCCTCCAGGCTTTCAGTAGCCTTCCACCGTGCCACATGGAATACTGTCCATTAGGAACATCAAATATACAATGAGTCAAGAAAGATAAGGTTAAACAAGGAGGAACTGTGAAAGCTAATAGCTGGGTCTGTCTATATACAGAGAAAGGTTATATGAGCACACACTGTCCTATGAATAAAAAGGCACGCGGCTTCTGTTCTCTCCAGTGTAGCTCTCTGGCATGTCATTGGCTGGTCCTAAATGGCTTGGGGACAGCTGCCCAGTGTTGGGACGTGAGGGAGGAACACTTAATCCTCATTAAGGAGGGGCTGCAGGGCGGAGGGCCAGTCCTACCACCTCCCCAGGAAGGTTTTCAGTGTCACAGCCTCTCCCTTCACAGGTTTGCAAGGGAGAAAAAAGGAGAGGACTGCAGTGGGAGAGAGGTGTTGAGAAAAAATAAGAGAGGGAGAATGTTGAAAGGTCGAGCTGAGGGCTTGGCTCAAATGTAAATGTTCAGAACATTATGAAGGCGCTTTAAATAGACCTCTCACAGGTGAACACAGTGACAGAGAAAAGCTGCCGGTACTCCAGGGAACTAAGTAAATAAGCACAGATGTCAAATATTCAGAGTTGGATGGGGCTGGGGTGGACCAGGAGCTCAGCAGAAAATACAAGAATGTCTTTGGTTTTAATTGCCAAGTCCTGTTCTATTAGATGGCACCTGAGGAGTTGCTCATATTTCAGGAAATATTTTCTGCTTAGGGACTTTCAGAGGAATAAGTGAAAATCCAGCCTCCACTCTGAACTAATGCAGTATCCGAGTCATGAGTAGGGTTCATAAATAGCTTGAGCTTTCTTGAGGGGTCCTTATGCCATTCAATGAATCTGCCCATCAGCATGTGTTTTATATATTTTCCTTGATAATGGAAACCCAATGATTATCATTAAATAATTAGAGAATCCTATATAACCCAACACATGACCCCTGGAAAAAAGCCACACGAGCTGGTGTCCTCCCAACCCTGCTGTGTTTTTCTCTCTGAGCATAGCATAAGTGGGCATAAAACAAGAGCAAAAACACAAGCAACGGCTATGTTTGGCTTTCGATTAGGCATTAAACCTCAGACAGTTGCTAAACTTCTTGAACTCCATGGCTTCAGTCCAGGTTGGAAAGCAGGTCAAACAAGTCAAGCTGAGTAGAGGATGCAATCTTTTGTTCTCAGCAGGCTTTGAAGTTTGTTTTAGGATTAATATTTAACTTTAGATCTTAACTATTTTATGCCTCAATTTCTCCACATACAGACAATACATAAATCTTGCAATGAAAGAAGATCACACTTTCTTGTAAATGTAAATAGTATAAACTCTTTCCTTTGGAGGGTAAAAAATGGTAGAGTTGGGGCTGTAGAACGGTGTGGTCCAATAGGGGTATAATGTGAGGCCCAAGCACAGGAGTGTTAACTTTCCTAATAGCCACATTTAAAAAGTCAAAACAAGTAGGTGAAATTAATTGTAATAGCATACATATTTTATTTATTAATTTTAACAGCCCATTTTTATTTTTGTATGTTAACATGGAATCAATATTTTAAAAATTATTAGTGAGATATTTTACATTCTTTTCTTTATACAAGTAATCAAAATATATACTTACCACACATCTCAATTCAGACTAGGCACATTTCAAGAGCTTCATAGCTGTATGTGGCTAGTGGCTACTGTATTGGGCAGGTGGTTCTAGAGCCAAAATGAATTGACTGAGAAACTGCCTGATCTTAAGCAAGTTACTTAAGCATCCTCAGTTTCCACATCTCTACAATGGGAATAAAATAATGATACTGTCTATCTTGTTGGATTTGTCATGAATATGATATGTGTAAATATATTTAAAACCTTAGATTTGATCAACCGGTGGCAACCACCATTATTAGTTATCATTCTTAGTACAAAGGATGAATGTGTTAAATTATCTCAAAATGTGGCGATTCCAAGCCAAGTGAAATTCAGTTGAATTTACAGCTTAGCTTTTTTTAAATGTTGGTGCAATTATTTAGTAGCCAAAACCAGGAAAATATACTTGAAATAGTTTATTCTATGATTTCATCAAACTTGTCATTTAAAAATTCATAAAATGGCCTCTCCCCACTCCCATGGCAAAAGGAAGTGAGAATAATTCTAACTAGTTACCTGTCAACTTGTACTCCAGCTTGCCAAAAACATCTGAAGCAGCTGAGTAGTTTTGCATGATTATACTATTTGTAAAAGTGCATGCATTTACATTTTGAGGGGCGGAATTTTCATTTTGGAGCTTTCCAAAAGAGTAAAGCATTCCGTTTAAAGCTGGAATTCCTTCCCTAGTTTTCTAAAGCAGTTTTGCCTTTGAATGACAGCCACATGCTGTGTGAATTCTGCGTTGTCCTGGAGTCTCAGTTTCATTTTGGTGCTCCAGATGCACACCAAGGGAATGCATCTATGCTTTGTGGCCACAGGGGCCAATTCGTGATATGGATGTCTTCTTAATCTCTTCTTTGACACCTGGGAATGGCATAAGAGAGGTGTAAAATTTGATCAGGCCAAGTTACCAGGCCTTATCTACATATGGCCAAGACTAAGACCTATCAGTTTCTCTTGTCGCACGGTAGTAAGAAGACCTGCAGGGAGTCAGGAAACTAGCATTTGGGGTTCGTTTTGCCCTGGTTCTTAGTCTTAGTGGTGGCACCAAACATCTCTGTGGCATTTGCTCCCCACATCTGCTCATGCTGGGACCTTGAATATAGTCCATGTTTTTTAATTTAATTAATTAATTAATGTTTTTTGACACAAGGCCTTGCTCTATCACCCAGGCTGGAGTGCAGTGGCATGATTTCGGCTCACTGCAACCTCGACCTCCCGGACTCAAGCCATCCTCCCGCCTCAACCTCCCAAGTAGGTGGGACTACAGGCACACATCACCATACCTGGCTAATTTTTAAATTTTTTTGTAGACACAAGGTTTCACCATGTTCCCCTTCCTGGTCTTGAACTCATGAGCTCAAGCAATCTGCCCATCTTGGCCTCCTAAAGTGCTGGAATTACAGGTGTGAGCCACCGTGCCCTGCCTAGTCCATGTTTATCACTTCTGCACATTTGTATCTTCTGTAGGTCTGAGGGACTTGGGGGCTGATCAAGGAAAGAGGGGACCACAAGAGGCAGTCACACACAAGCTTTATTGGGTGATGTGAGGGTTGCATGAGAAGAGAAGCCCCTCACAACATGAGATAGCCAGAGGCTCCAGGGGGCCAACATCCAGAAGGAGAGGAGGGATCAGTGAGGGGGCTTCTGTGTCTTGGTGATGTTGTTCAGCAGCACAGAGGCGAGTCCCTGGATCAGAGAGCCCCAAAGTGCGGTAGTAGCTTGGGGTCTCATCATTGCAATGCTGTATCTTATCAATGGCCAACAGATGCTGGGTGAGGTTTCAAGGAGTATGCAAAACAGGTGGGCTCTAAATGGCTAATAGTCTACTTGTTTGGGCTATTTTTAAAAATAACTGGATGTATAAAAGTTTGAGTTTGGTGCCTGCAGGCTTTTGAGCTAATTGGTCTCAGGTTGCAGTGGAGGAAAACACAACTGAGGGACTAATACACAGAAGCCTTCTTTGATTCATTTATATAGCAGTCTTTCATTCTATGCGTAAATAGCACGGCTTGCTGGAAAGACTACAGGTGAAAGCCTCGGGTTCAGGTTGTGGCTCTACTACTTGCTGCGTAGCTGTTCCTTGGGTAGTCACTCAATCTCTTAGGACCTCATTGTCCTCATCCATAAGGTGATGGGTGGGGCCAGCTGACCACTCAGTTTCCAGATCGAAATATTTATGACTCTTGGCTTCTTGAAACATCCTCATGATGGTAGACATGATGGTAGCATATGTTTCGTTATTACCATTTGTCGGATGAGTACCCTGAAGCAGAGTGGATAGATGCTGATCTTTACATAACACTCACCCAGTTCCTCACCAAGAACTGGATTAGAACTCAGGTTTGTGGATGTCTACATCCTTTGTTTTCTACTACCCTGGTGGGCAAATAAGGGGAATCTTCAGAAATGAAATTAAAATTCTGCCACTGCACATAGGTGTAGCCCAAACCAGAGGTAACCAAAACTGAAGATTTATGGAAATGCCATAATATTGTTGTCCTATTTTCTTTACATGTTTACATTTATAAACATTCAGAGTAAAAAAAGATAGCACCATTTTTTTTACTCATTACTGCTTTTTGTTGTCACCTTACATTTGTTCACCTTTTATGATTTAATAATCATATTTCTAAAAATTTGTTTTTTAGAGGCGGTGTCTCACTGTGTCACCCAGGCTGGAGGGCAGTGGGACAATCATAGCTCACTGCAGCCTTGCACTCCTGGGCTCAAGAGATCCTCCCACCTCAGCCTCCCAAGTAGCTGGGAATATAGGCGTGCACTACCACCTGTGTTACATCTTTTATTCTCTCAGCGATAGCGTGCTGGTATTGTTCAACAAGAAGCTCTCCAGAGGAGGAGATTTACTAAGTTTTGTGGTGTGAATATTCTTTCCAGAGCTGAATTTGGGATACCAACATGAGGTCACTGACTGCTGAGTTGGGAAAGGCATGCACAGTCAGGCCTTGTGACCCCGTGTCCAGGACACTGTGGAGAGTGAGGTTCAACCAGTGCACCGGCTCTTACTTGATCCACCCATAGATTCTAAACTCTTAAATCACTGAACATGCTTGTAAAAACGTGCTAAATGCTTGTTCCCGGGGGCTCATGACTCCATGGGTGTAGAAGCTGTGTTATCCTGTTCACCACTATTTCCAGGGTTTAATCTCACTTCTTCATCTGTTGCTTTCTTAAAATTGCATAGCCAATGAAATGTGATTCCTGAAGAGCCCACATCTGGTGACATTGTGCACAGGTACCAGTATTTCCTCCACATCCCTGGGGCTCAGTCTTATTCTGCATTGATTTCTCAAGTGAGCTCTCACTTCTAACAAAGATCCTCTCTGTGCTGGTCATTACTATGAAGATTAATGACTATTTTTAATAAAGAATATCAATTGCTTACTTGCAATTGATACTGAACCCATCTTGGGGACTGTGCTGGAGAAATGCACTCTCTGTTTTACTCACCATTATTGGTACTGTGGAGTTTGACTTCCTCTTATGGTCATCAGTTAGGGAGTATTTCTTTAGCAAGGAGGGAGGTTTACCTAAAAATAAATGAGTTTTAAAATCTTTATCCTAAAACTTGTCTGAATTGTAAAATAAATCACTCTGGAGATTCGGTGAATTTTCTGGCCCTGAAAGCTTCTATATTTGACTGTCCTGGAACATGGTGTTCTCTGACTGTTAAACCATGTCCATTTGTTCCTGGCTCCAACATTTCAGAGGACTTTGTGGCCTTGTTTTCCAGATCTGAGTTTAATTGGAGAGTTAATTATCTGAGCAAGAACATGTAAGCCAAGTTGAGTTTGGGAGTGAAGCCTGTGATCTCCGTTCCGCTTCAATAGACAAGAAGGTCTTTGTGAATCTTTGTTGATTTATATTTTTACATGAGCAGATGTGCCATATAGCAAAGGGAAGAAGTCAGGGAGAGGAGCCTGTGACAAGATCATGTTTAGCTAAGATGAGTACAAAGGTCCTTTATCTCTTTGCAATAACTTAGCCCACGAAGACCCACAGCCAGAACTGCGAGATGTTCGGTTCAGTTCCAAGCAGGCGTCTGAGCTCTCAAGCAAAACAGGAAAGCACGAGGGTTCATTCGCGTGGCCTCAGCCTTGGTCATGATTTCTGATCAGCATGTGCTTCCCAGACGGAATTCATAAGCACCTTGAATAATTTATCCTTCTTCTCATTCCAGAAATTCTTTAGTTAGGTATTTTCAAAAGTTTCTTTCTTTTAAATCCACATGACCCAGGCTACTAGACTGCCTTCACTAATTCATGGTTTCCATGGCAACCAACTGATGGCTCTATTCAAGTCCATCTACGACAACCTTAATGAAAATGATGTAACATTGCTTAAAATAGGTGTCTCTTGTCTGTAGCAGGGTTAGATTCCCTATACTTCTGTTGACTGTCTCTTAAAGAATCCTCTCCTCCACATCACAGGTTTTACACATTTTGTCATTCCTAGAATCCTATAGCTTATCAAATTGTTGTTTTACTACAGGGAAACTACATACTAATCTTAGTCTCCTCATCTGAAAAATGAGGATAATAATATTCCTATATATTTTGTAAGATTAGTTCAAGATTAAGGTGGATGCCGGGCACTGTGGCTCATGCCTGAAGTACCAACAATTTGGGACACAGAGGCGGGAGGATGGCTTGAAGCCAGGAGTTTGAGACCAGCCTGGGCAACAAAACAAGAACCCTACTCTACAACAACAACAACAACAACAAACTAGCCAGGCATGGTGGCATCTGCCTGTATTCCCAGCTGCTCAATCTGAAGCAGGAGGATCACTTGAGCCCAGGAGTTCAAGCCTAGAGTAAGCCATTATCAAGGCACTGAACTCCAGCCTTGGTGACAGAGCAAGACCCCATTTCAAAAACAAAACAAAACAAAACAAAAAAGAATGAACAATGATATGTAGGTGCTTGAATGTAAAGAAGCACTTGGCATGGGTTACACAAATGCCTACTGAGACCAGGTGGGAAACATGAAGGTGAGAGAGAATCCAGGAATAAGAAAAGTGACAGTAACATCACAAGGAAAAATGGCAGCCAACACTAGGAGACTTTATCCAGCTGGTGGACTATGAATATGGGGGTCCAGGCCCATCTGAAGGCAACAGCTGCTACTCAATTCCAACCAACTGTTGTTTTTTGGGAATATGCGCCAGTGTTGCCAGTTCTTCTGATTTCATTTTTAAGGAAGAACCAGAAATCCAGATCTTTAAAAAAAAAATCCTAATTTTTAAGTTCTGGCAACAAATTCACACTGAGTATATACATATGTACACATGTGTGCACACCCACCGGATGGGACAAGCAATATGTATCTGTTGTCTGGAAGGAACCTGCAGGCATTTAGTTTGAGACCTTTGCTCTAAGACATTTTTAGAACCATTTGTAAGTCTGGAATGAGCTAGATATTAAACTCTGTTTGTTTAATCTTGTCACTCGTACTTGCAGAGGTGTGTTAGGAATATATTGAGAACCACTGGAGAATGCCAAGAAGTGAAATTTACAGGGAGGTTATGTTGGCTCAATGTTGGGAGAAATTTATTGGGAATCAGTGATGCTGAAAATAGGACGCAGAAATCACTATACACCTATTAGAAGGGCCAAAATCCAGAACACTGACAATACCAAATGCTGGTGAGGATGTAGAGCAACAGGAACTCTCATTCTTTGCTGATGGTAATGCAAAATGGTACAGCCACTTTGGAAGACAGTTTGATGGGGTTTTTTGTTTTGTTTTTTTTCGCCAGCCTAAACATACTCTCACTATAAGATCCAGCTATCACACTCTTTGGTATTTACCCAAAGGAATTGAGAAGTTATGTTCACACAAAAACTTGTAGACAGATGTTTATAGCAGCTTTATTCATAAATGCCAAAACTTGGAAGCAACAAGATGTCCTCTAATAGGTAAGTGAACAAATTGTGGTACATCCAGACAATGGAATATTATTCCATGCTAAAAAGAAATGAGCTGTTGAGCCATGAAAAGATGTAGGAGAAACTTAAATGCGCATTACCAAGTGAAAAGAACTAATCTGAAAAGGCTACATACTATGTGATTCCAACAATGACATTCTGGAAAAGGAAAAAGTATGGAGACAGTAAAAAATCATTGTTGCCAGGAGTTGTGGGGGAGGAATAAATAAACAGAATACAGAGGATTTTTAGGGCAGTGAAAATACTCTCTGTGATACAACAGTGGTACATGTCATTATACCTTTATCCATCATATAGAATGTATAACACCAAGAGTGAATCCTAATATAAACTGTGGACTTTGGGTGATAATGATGTGCCAATGTAGGTTCATCAGTTATAGCAAATGTATCACTCTGGTGGGAAGGTTGATAGTAAGGGAGACTGCTACACATGTGTGTGTGCAGGGGATATATGGCAAGTCTATCTTCCTCTCAATTTGGCTTGAATCTAAAATTCCTCTAAATAATTGCTTGAAAAATAAGATGGAGACAAACCAATCAAATATGATGCATAAATCTTGAAAAGATCTTATATCCTGGGGAAGAAAGAAACAAGAAAATAAATTCTGTCCAGGACAATTGCAGAAGTTTAAATAAAGGCTGCATATTAGATGGTATTATTCAATTAATATTAATTTCTTGGGTGTGTGTGGTAATAGTGCTGTAATTATATTGGAGAAGTTCTTTATTCATAGGAGATGCATGCTGAAGTATTTAAGAGTGGAGTGTCAGAATGAATACAACTTAGTTTTAATGGTCTACCTAAAAAAAGTGTGTGTGTGTGTGTGTGTGTGTGTGTGTGTGTTGAGAGAAGGAGAGAAGGCAAATGTTAATAGAAAGAGTGGCTAAGCTAGGTGAAGCGTATCCACTGTGCTGCTACCCTTTCAACTTTTGTATAGGAATATAATTTTTATTTTTATTTATCTATTTAAAAAATTTAATGGAGACAAGGTTTCGCTATGTTGCTCAGGCTGATCTCAAACTCCTGGGCTCAAGGGATCCTCTTGCCTTGGCCTCCCAAAGTGCTGGGATTACAGGCATGAACCACCATGCCCAGCTTGGAATTTTTACTTTTAAACAAAAGGCCGGGCATGGTGGCTCACGCCTGTAATCCAGCACTTTGGGAGGGCAAGGTGGGTGGATCACCTGAGGTCAGGAGTTTGAGACCAGCCTGGCCAATATGGTGAAACCCCATCTCTACTAAAAAATACAAAAATTAGCTGGGCATGGTGGTGCATGCCTGTAGTCCCGGCTACTTGGGAAGCTGAGGCAGTAGAATCGCTTGAACCTGGGAGGCCGAGGTTGCAGTGAGCCGAGATTGCACCACTGTACTCCAGCCTGGGCGACAGAGCAAGACTCCATTTCTCAAAAAAAAAAAAAAAGAAAAAAAATAAAAATAAAATAAAATAAAAATGTAAATAAAATAAAATAAAATAAAATTTAAAAAATTAAATAAATAAGATAAATAAGATAAATAGGATAAATAAGAAAAAAAAAAAAGGCTGGGTGCAGTGGCTCATGCCTGTAATCCTAGTAATTTGGGAGACCAAGGCGGGCAGATCACTTGAGGTCAGGAGTTCGAGACCAGTCTGGCCAACATGGTGAAGCCCTGTCTCTACTAAAAATACAAAAATTATCCAGGCGTGGTGGCAGGTGCCTGTAAGTGCCTGTAATCTCACCTACTTGGGAAGCTGAAGCAGGAGAATCACTTGAACCTGGGAGGTAGAGGTTGTGGTGAGTCGAGATTGCACCACTGCACTCCAGCCTGGGTGACAGAAGGAGACTCTGTCTCAAAAAAAAAAAAAAAAGGTTTCAGATGAGGTAAGCTGTGAGCTTCCTGCCATGGGAATCATTCAAGTTGATTTGCTCAAGGGACTTTGGGTGACAGCGTTGGTGCAGTGGCTGACTAGCTGGACCTCGATAGATGGCTTTCAAGTCCTTTATTAAGGGTCTACTAAGGGAAGGACCCAAAGAGGCACATCTAGAAGGCTTCAATTGCTCAACTGCTCAATTCTGCAAGCCATCCGTTTTAGTTTCCTTACTTAAACTAGATAATGTACCCAAATGAACCAGCTCAGTTCTAGACTTATGATAGGTGTGCATCTAATGCTATTTTTCTTTTCATTTTTTTACTTACCTGTGTAATAACTAAAGTATTAACATCTTACTAAAAACATATTAGGAATAAACTTCAGCATGAGGGGAAGTATTTTCAATTGCTTTCCAATTAAAACCTATTCTGGTGAGTCGTAATATCTAAACCCAGGAAATAACCTCATATTAACACTTAAAGAAATGATTTGAGGCTGGGCGTGCTGGCTCATGCCTATAATCCCAGCACTTTGGGAGGCCGGGGCAGGCAGATACCTGTGGTCAGGAGTTTGAGGCGGGTGGATCACCTGCGATTAGGAGTTTGAGACCAGCCTGGACAACATGGTGAAACCTCGTCTCTACTGAAAATACAAAAATTAGCCAGGTGTGGTGGCGTGCGCCTATAATCCCAGCTACTTGAGAGACTGAGGCAGGAGAATCACTTGAACCCAGGAGGCGGAGGTTGC
Organism: Homo sapiens; assembly: GCF_000001405.40. Taxonomy (NCBI): domain Eukaryota; kingdom Metazoa; phylum Chordata; class Mammalia; order Primates; family Hominidae; genus Homo; species Homo sapiens. The sequence goes on along the minus strand of NC_000013.11, from coordinate 44,844,744 downwards.
AGTGAGCCGAGATTGTGCCATTGCACTCCAGCCTGGGTGACAGAGCCAGACTTGGTCTCAAAAAAAAAAAAAAAAAGAAAGAAAAAAGAAATGATTTGAAGTTCTCACTTTAAGAGTACTCTCATCCTCAGCTCCTGCTTAAGGACAAATGAAAAGGTGTGCTACCTTAAAAGTTTCAGAACAATCAGATGGCACACAGAGAGATGCCAGAACAAAACAAAACACTTCATACAGACACGTGGACATCTTTGGGAAGTCATGGCTATAACCTAGAATTCCTGTTGTGGTCTCCTCCGTGCGGATGCTGAAGGGCTCCTCTCTGGTAAGCTTCCCCTCCCTGAGGACACCCTGCCCACGTTGGCATCAGTAACTACAGCACTCTGTGGAGCCCACTCTCACATGGAGTGTCTGCTGTCCCCCCGGCATCTCCAAATGGGCATATGTCTAGGATCTGTCCTCATACCGTATTTTACTTGACCTTCTAAACATTTTCTGGGACCCTGGAGCACTATTTTCAACTTGTCCACCTTGGAACCTGTTTTAGTTCTCATTGCCTCCCTAGAAACCACTCTGTCGCTGGGTTTCCCAAGTCCATCTCCTTGGGACACGGCTCTGCTCTCCAGAAGTCAACAGTCACAGTAGGGCATGCCGTCTTGAAGCCCTGCCTTAGAGGCAGGTTTGCTGGCATATTTGTAGGAGCTGGGTGAGAATCCAAGTAGAGGCCCATATGACACCTGTTTAAGTGCATAAATGTTTGAAAGCAAGTTTATGAGCTGTTACTTCCTTGGCAAATATACCTTCTGTCGATGCCCTCCAGGCAAAGACCACCAGGAACATATTTGGAGTGAACAAAGTTGGGTGGGTTGACTCATTGCACTGACATCATACCCCATGGGGACCCATGGAGCATCTCAATCACATGTAGAAGGGAATTGTTGGAGCATTTGGGCTGATGATGGAGGACTTGCGAGGAGGGTTCAAGGAGGTATGACTTTGCTCTGAATTAAATGGATGCCATCAGAAAGTGGGGGTAGTTCAGTGAGTAAGTATCTTAACAAAGCAGGGTTCATGCCCTGATTGGTAAAGGAGTAGTGATCACTCATACTAGCAAGGATAAAGGGATGTGGTCATTGTTGTGGTTTGGATAATGTTCTTGTTTTGGTCTGTGCTCAGATATGATTACAGACTGGTCTTGTTTTCCTCTTGCTCCATCCTGGTCACAGAGTGGCCTTGTCTGATGCTGGTATTTTGTGAAATTGTTTGGGTTCAACTGGAGAACACCAGGACCCATCTGAGAGCTGGAGCCAGCTCCTGGTGACACTGGTCTGGGTAATGGTGCCACTTTGCTTTTCTCTTTCTCCCTTCATAATGACAAGGAGGGCCAGGTTTGAATTGAGAAGTATTGAGCTCCTCAGTGTTCTGAGCCGGGACATGGCAGTGGGGGGGACCCATCTCCACCCCCCTTCTCCTCCCACTCCCCGCTGGCTCCTTCCTGCTCTGAATTTGTCTTGTGCTGTGAAAAGCTGAACACTCACGAGTATGCACACCCCATTTCACACATCCGAGCTGATCGCTCGCCACCACTTGGGCCTAGAGGTCCAGTCACACTGGCAGCGATGTGCATCCTTGGGAGGATGATCTCTGGAGAGAGGCCTCCACAGACCTGGTAAGGGCTTGGGCTGCTTGGGCAGGCAATTCCAGGGCCCTGGGTACCTGGAACATAATCTAGGAGTTGGCTCCAGGTGGACCATGCCTTTGGTTCAACAGATTTCTCACATGATGGGGAAGGGCATGGCCAGAAGGGGCTGCAGGAGCCCCTTCTCTCTCTGGTGTGGGCCCAGGAGCCCTCTTGCCTAGGTCTAAGATGGTCTGTCTATAATTGTTGACTCCTTGCCTTGGCCCATTCATTTTATTGATCTCCCGAGTCTGGCAGGACTTCCACTCCTGGTCTCTTCTGGCTTGCCCAGTTCTGTTGTCACTTATGCCGTGGTATGATGACAGTCACTCAGCACACATGTATGCATGCACACACACACGCACACAAACAAAAGAGGTGAACCCAAATTGACAGTAACAGTGAAACCTGTTCCATATTTAATGCCATTTCTATTCCCTCAACTTTTTTTTTTTAATAGAGAAGAGGTCTTGCTATGTTGCCCAGGCTGGCCTCAAACTCCTGGGCTCAGGTGATCCTTCCACCTCAGCCTCCCTAGTAGCTGGGACTACAGGCATGTGCCGCTGCACTTGGCTCCATCAACTTTTTAAAAGGAAACATAACAATACACAAAAACTGACTTATAATTAATGTTTGTATAAATGGCCTAACTCTGTAGGAGTAAAAATAGGTCCCTAATGGGTCAGTATTTACAAAAATGCAGTAATGGGTGAGTCACACTTCCTGAGAAGCTATGCTTCCTTCTATAATTCTATCTTCCTTAAAGATGTTTTGGTTTCTAGATTAGAAACAAGATTAACATATCCAGAATGAATGTTCATAATGTATTTTAGTTCTTACCTAAGAATATTTGAGGTTCTTCTCTTGATTCTTAACTATCAAAAGAGGAAAAGTCTTTATTATTCTAGAAGGTAGAGAACATAACCTCTCATTTTTGTGCTCAAAGAATACCCCTTTAGATAATAATAACCTCCAGTGATGATACTTTAGGATATTGGAGACAAAGGTTTTTCAAGCAAGGCAGTGAGGGGTTATTGGTGTAAATGTTGATCTACAGCTGACCCCATGAGAAATGGCATCCTGAATTTTTTATTTTTCTCACCCGGAAAAAAGGGGCTATTTTTCTGTTCCTTTCATTTATGCAAAATAATATTTGTCCTTTCCTTCAGGTACTAATATTTAAAACATTTTCACCTTGCTGTTGGTCACTGCTTAGTGAAATTTCTGAGCGCTGTATGTGTGTATTTTCTTCTTGAATCTTCCATCAGTTCTTCCTTTCATTCCATGAGTATGATCAATGAAGGGGGTAGGTTTGGAGTCAGACTTTTTGTTGAATCCCAACTGCATAATTTAGAGTTCCTGCACCTCAGTTTCCTACCTTAAAATGGGGAAAATAGGCTGGGCACAGTGGCTCACACTTGTAATCCCAGCACTTTGGGAGGCTGAGGTCTTTGGGCGGATCACCTGAGGTCAGGAGTTCGAGACCAACCTGGCCAACATGATGGAACCCTGTCTCTACTAAATACAAAAAATTAGTTCAGCTTGGTGGCACGTGCCTGTAATCCCAGCTACTCGGGAGGCTGAGGCAAGAGAATCACCTGAACCCAGGAGGCAGAGGTTGCAGTGAGCTGAGATCGCACCACTGCACTCCAGCCTGGGCAACAGAGTGAGATTCTGTCTCAAAAAAAGGTGGGGAGGAAATAACAACAGTTACTTCATAGGGTTGAAAGGATTAAATGGAAATCGCATTTAACCTGGCACATGGTAAGTGTTTACTTACATGCTGGCACACAGTAAGCATTGAGTAAATGTATGCGTTGATTTTTTTTTCAACAGTATTTAATGAATGCCCACCATTGATGAGGCACTATGCTAGATGCAGAGGACACAGTAGTGAACAAGATGTGTTTTCTATTCTCCGGGGACTGACAGTACACAGATGTAGACAGGCAAGTAAATAGTAGGGCATAATGTGATCGGAGTTGAGATGCCATAGGAGTGCCCCCTATCTGATTGAGAAGTCAGGTAAGCCTTTCCAGGGCTGATGTCGCCACTGACTCCTAAAGAATGATCAAGAACCAGTAAAGTCACGTGCGGTCTAACGAGGCATCCCAAGCAGCAGGAACAACAGCATGTGCAAAGTCCCAGAGGCAAGAACGACAGTGGACACTGCAATCCTACCATCTAATCTCCTCGAATCCTTGATGCACTAAGAAAGAGTGAAAATAAATTAAACAACTTTCCCCCACTACATCTTTGGTTCTTTTTGAGTTTTTCTCTGTTTCTCAGAAGCCGCAGGTGGAGCCCAGAATGATTGCCCCTTGTGTAGAGGGGCTAATGTGATGCTGCTTCTGCATGGACAGCTTCAGATCTTGCTTTGCTTCCCTCTCCCTTTACACATCCTCAGCTTTTACGTCTTGTTCATCACCCTCTCTCCCTGGGATTTTTCATCCCAGAGACTATTTATTTTAGCTTCTTTTACCCTTTTAGACTTAGTTTGTTGTTTTTAAGGTTAACTTTCTTCCCATTCTATAAAGTCTTAAGATTTTTCCCCCACTGTTTCCTGTTGTTCTTAGTGCCTTCAACTGATGGTCATTCTTAAGTTTTTCACGTGTTTATTTCATTCCTTTGTCTTGTTAGTGGTGAAGACTAAAATGTGTTTAATCCCCAAAATGGTCTTTTGGAATACAGTATTTTCTTTCACAGTGATCATCTTCCTTGCTATACAACGCTTTTACTAGGACATAGCCCATTTTTAGGATGCTCTTGGCCAAGATATGGAAATTGGCATTACAATAAAAATGTCACATGCTTTTGAATAACATGCCTTACTGAAGCCAAAATAAATAATTTCTACTGGCTATTTCAGTGGAGTCTAAGATACTTGGGCACTCAAAAATCCACAATCAAAATTTGCCTAGAAGTATTAGTGACTGGCTCAAAACTGAATACCTTAGATATCTCAGAAAATCATCTTTTTTTTTTTTTTTTTTTTTTTTTGAGATAGAGTCTCGCTCTGTTGCCTAGGCTGGAGTGCAGTGGTGTGATCTTAGCTCACTGCAACCTCTGCCTCCCAGGTTCAAGTGATTCTCCTGCCTCAGCCTCCGGAGTAGCTGTAGAGGGGCCAATGTGATTACAGGCATGCGCCACCATGCCCAGCTATTTTTTTTTTTTTTGTATTTTTAGTAGAGGTGGGGTTTTGCTAGGCTGGCCAGGCTGGTCCTGAACTCCTGACCTCAAATGATCTGCCCACCTCAACCTCCCAAAGTGCTGAGATTACAGATGTAAGCCACTATGCCTGGCCTAGGAAAATCATCACTCTTAATCCTGATTGTGATACCGTCACCCACCACCACCTTTTCCAATGATAATAGCAGAAGTTAATAGAGTTTGCACTTGCTTCGCTGAGTGAATGCAAGCACTAGCTCATCTAGTCCTTATAAAAACCCTGCAAGCTAAATACTTTTATATTATTTTCCTCTCTGTACAGAGGAGATTTCAAGAGTTTAATGCTCTGCGCAGTTTCACACAGTAATATGTGACATAGCTGGGGTCAAGCCCTTTTCAGAAGTCTACTTGATATTACTTTACTTTGTGGCCAGATGACCTTGAAACCATAAATGAGCAAGTGAAAGAGAAATTGGAGGTGTTGATTAGCAGTCAGGTGGGCCAGTGCAAATTCTAAGGATGCTGAATTTGTCTCCCTATTTGAAGTTTGTAGTCAGGTGCCCTGTACCTCTAGTTATCTAGACTAGAATATAGCTCATTCCTTATTGCTGATTTTCAGTATCTCTAGGTCTATTGTTAACTTTTTCTTAAGTGTGCTTATAGTATGGTGTTCAGATTTTGTTCGTTTTGTTTTTGTTTTTGAAATAGGGCCTCAGTCTGTCGCCCAGGGTGGAGTGCAGTGGTGCCATCATGGCTCCCTGCAGCCTTGACCTCACCAGGCTGAGATGATCCTCCCACCTCAGTCTCCCGAGTAGCTGAGACTACAGGCATGTGCCAGCATGCCCAACTAATTTTCGTATTTTTTGTAGAGACAGGGTTTTACCATGTTGCTCAGGCTGGTCTCAAACTCCTGGGCTCAAGTGATCCACTCGCCTTGGCCTCCCAAAGTGCTGGGATTACAGGTGGGAACCACCATGCCTGGCCCTGTGTTGTGATTTTTAAAAGGTATCCACCTTATCTTTTAAGAGATTCATATTGAAATGATGTGATATCTGGGATTGGCTTCATAATAATTCATTTGGTGGAGGAAGGGGAATGGGTAGCACTAAACGGAAATAAGATAGGCCATGATTGTTGTGATGAGGTGGTAGATAGATGGAGTTCATTATACTATTCTCTATGTGTTTGTGTATATTTGACACTTACCATAATAAACAACAACAAAAAATTTTTTAGCTACATCGCTTACCCCCTGTAAGGATGTCTTCTCCCTAGCTTCCCAGGCTGATTATATTTTGTTGTCATTTTTAACAGTTCTGTAAATATGTCACGTAAGGGCAGCACTCATTCAGGCATACTCCTTGTGGACTCTTTTCACTCCTCTGTGATAAGACTTTTTAAAAGCTTTGTTGTTATAATTCATATTTTCCTTCATCTTCCCCCATCTGCCTTTTTGTTAAAGCAGCACTTGACTTCTAGCCAGGTTTTTCCTCCTGGACCTTTTCTCATCCATTCTCTAACACATTTTTCTCCTGACAATTAGATTTTGTGCAGTTAATTATAACATGACATTGGTGCTTTTTCCCTACACAAATCCTTTCCTAGAAGTACTGCAGTGTTCCAAATTTTAGGAGAATATTGATTCTTTTTTCCTATTATGAAACTCGAATGGCTCTCTGGTGCATCTTTCCTATGAGAGACACTCACATTCTTATTAAAACAGAGTTCGGGTTTGAATGGTGGGCTCACCTGTTTATTTATGCATTCATTTATTCATTTGTCAATGAGAAAATTATTAAATACCTATACATATTGAGTACTGCAAAGAAGAATCTGCTGTCTTGAATACTAATATTTTTGCAGGGATTTTGTAAAATATTACTTTAAAAAAATGTAGCCTGGGTGCGGTGGTTCACGCCTGTAATCCCAGCACTTTGGGAGGCTGACGCAGCAGGTGGATTGCTTGAGCCCAGGAGTACGAGACCAGCCTAAGCAACATGGTGAAACCTGATCTCTACAAAAAAATACAAAAATTAGCTGGGCGTGGTGTGCACCTGTAATCCCAGCTACTTGGGAGGCTGGTTTGAGGCTGGGAAGCAGAAGTTGCAATGAGCTGAGATCGTGTCATTGCACTCCAGCCTGGGCATCAGAGCCAGACCCTGTCTCAGACAACAACAACAAAAAATGTGTTATGCTGAAACTGAATTTGGAGCCATAGCTAACATTAGCTGAATTATATTCCGTAGGCATCATAAAGTTCATGTTTCTTTTTACATAGTATGCACTAAAAAGTATGATAAGGGGAAGATTCATTTGTTCATTCACTCAATAAATATTAATTGAGAGCCTAGTGTGTGCCAGATACTTTCCCAAGCTCTAGTGATATTTTGTTGAACAGATGAAATTCCTGACATCTTGGAGCTTATATTCTACTGGAGGAGACAGATAACCAAAATAAACAAGTTTACACACAGTGAGTCAGAAAGTAATGAGTGGGCAGAAAACAAAGCAGTGAAGAGGAAAAGGAAGCACAGGCTGTGATGTTAGAAATGGTGGTGCTGTGGACTGAATGCTGGTGTCCCCCCAAATTCATATGTCGAAAACCTAATCCCCAATGTGATGGTATTAAGACATGGAGCCTTTGGGAGGTGACTAGATCAAGAGGGTAGATTCCTCATGAATGGGATTAGCATCTCATAAAAGAGCCTCCAGAGAGCCAGCTAGCCCTTTCCACCATGCAGGGACACAGCTAGAAAGCACCATCTAAGAACCAGAAAGCAATTTCTTCCCAGACACCAAGTCCGCTGGTGCCTTGATCTTGGACTTCCCAGCCTCCAGGATTGTGAGAAACAAATGTCTGTTGTTTAGAAACCACCCAGTTTATGGTGTTTTGTTACAGCAGCTTGGAGGAACTAAAACAGGCATCCAAGAAAGGCCTCCTTGTAAGTAGCTTTTGAGTGAAGAACTGAAAAAGTGAGGGGGCTGGCCTGGGTGACTTGGGAGCAGAGCAGTCCAGGTAAGGCCTGACGCAGGAGCAGCAAGGAGGCTGGTCCGGAGTGGCTGGGGCAGTGATGGGAGGGAGAGAGGCAGGAGGTGGGGCTGAGGTGCCAGAGCCCAGGGCCTTGGGGGCAGGGAAGGCCAGGCTCTTCCTCTGAGTGAAGTGGGAAAGAAAACTTACACTTGAAAAAATCACTCTGGCTGCTGTGTTAAGACCATAGGAGAACAAGGGTGATGGAGACCAGTCAGGACCCCAAACAGTAATTCAGGTGAAAGCAGGATGCTGGCAGGTGGATGGTGAGAGGTGATTGGATTCTGTACATATTTTGGAAGTACAGCTGATATTGGTGCAAAAGTAATTGCTGTTTTCTCATTGTTGAAATTTGCTGTTTGACACTGGAATGCATTCTTAAATAAATGTGGTTACATTATACATCATTTCAATGCACATTTCTCGCTTTTTGTTTGCTAATGATTTATTACTTGTTATTTTATATTTATTTCAGACTATGGAAATGATGTTAGACAAAAAGCAAATTCAATTGATTTTCTTATTTGAGTTCAAAGTGGGTCATAAAGCAGTGCAGACAACTCGCAACATCAACAACGTATTGGCCCGGTAACTGCTAATGAACATACAGTTCAGTGGTGGTTCACGGAAGTTTTGCAAAGGAGACGAGAGCCTTGAGGATGGGGAGCCTTGTGGCTGGCCATCAGAAGTTGACGATGACCAGTTAAGAACAATCATCAAAGCTGATCCTCTTACAACCACACGAGAAGTTGCTGAAGAACTCAAGGTTGACTGTTCTATGGTCATTCGTCATTTGAAACAAATTGGAAAGGTGAATGAGCTTGATAAGTGGGTGCTTCATGAGCTGAGAAAAAATTTAAAAAATTCATCATTTGAAGTGTCATCTTCTCTTATTCTACACAACAACAATGAACCATTTCTGGATCCGATTGCGAGGTGTGATGAAAAGTGGATTTTATACAACGACTGAAAACTGGCAATGAACAGCTCAGTGGTTGGACTGAGAAGAAGCTCCAAGGCACTTCCCAAAGCCAAACTTGCACCAAAAAAAGGTCATGGTCACTGTTTAGTGGTCTGCTGCTGGTCTGATCCACTACAGCTTTCTGAATCCCTGGGAAACCATTACATCTGAGAAGTATCCTCAGCAAATCCATGAGATGCACAGAAAACTGCAGCACCTGCAGCCAGCGTTGGTCAACAGAAAGGGCCCAATTCTTCTCCACCACAACATCCAACCACATGTCGCACAACCAACGCTTCAAAAGTTGAACAAAGGGATGTGAAGTTTTGCCTCGTCTGCCATATTCACCTGACCTCTTGCCAATCGACTATTACTTCTTCAAACATCTCAACAACGTTTTGCAGAGAAAATGTTTCCACAACCAGCAGGATGCAGAAAATGCTTTCCAAGAGTTTGTTGAATCCTGAAGCATGGGTTTTTATGCTACAAGAATAAACAAACTTATTTCTCATTGGCAAAAATGTGTTGATTTTAATAGTTCCTATTTTGATTAATAAAAATGCGTTTGAGCCTAGTTATAACAACTTAAAATTCATGGTCCAAAACCGCAATTACTTTTGTACAAACCAATATTTGTTGCTGGGTGGGATGTGGGGAGTGAGTGAGAGAGGAGTCAGGGATGACAGCAAAATATTTGTTCTGAGCAGTTGGAAACTGGAGTCATCATCAGTTGAGATGGGAAGACAGGAGGAGTGGCAGCATTGAGGACGATCAGGAGACTGGCTTGGGCGTGTTCAGTTTGGGAGCATTATCAGACATTCAAGTGGAGATGTCAAATCAGATCTGTGGTTTGAAGTTCAAGAGGGAAAACTGGACTGGATAAAAATTCGGGAGTCAAAATTTCCATCAATGGCTTCCTAGACTATTTATAAAGTTAAATGAAGGCCCCAAGTAAAAATTTCAGAAACATCCTTTATAGCCTCTGTTAATTGCCAAAAGTCTCTCTGCTGTTTAGAATTGAAAAAGGATGGTATAGTGGGAAGAAAAAAAAAGTTTTTTGATATCAGAAAGACTTGTTGGAATCCCTGGTCTACCATGTAATAACTGGGTAACCTTGAGAGAGTTACTCAACTTCTCTGAGCTTTCTTCTTGAGAAAAATGACAATTCGCTGTACCTCTCCAGGGCCGTGGGAGGCTAAAATCTGATAATGGATAAACAGTCCACTTGCACAGAGCTGGGAAGTGCTGGATGATGTTAGTCCTTTCTTCCCCTGATAGGGACTGCTTAAATGGTATTTATAGCAAAATGCCTCACCAGCCATGACTGGGTTATTCCTAGGGTGTGGGGAGATTAATGCTGGGGTGAGGAGAAAGCACCTGGAGAGTGTGGAGGGGCCTAGAACCCATCTGCCACTTCACACATCCCCGCCAGTGTGATCCTAGGCTCCACAATTTATCTGTTAAGTTGAATTCTTGTCCGTTTTGTGTAACTTGGCTAATTTAGACCTAAGGACTGTTTTGGCATTTAGATATTTGCAAACATACACAGTTTCTGGGAAATCCCAAAGGCTTTAGAGGTTTTGCCTCAAGAGGTGGGTCCTGAATATTGATGAGCAGCTTGCTTCAGAAACTGTGGTAGTGCAGAGCCCAGCCAGCATGGTTACAGGATTACAGGGACCACCCCAGAACCAGAATATTTGATCCCATTAACTCAATAAGGATATCTCTTGATTAGCCACCGACAAAAATCTCATATTAATGTAAAAACACGGCATCTTGTTTATTTTCCATGAGCCTGAATTTTAGCGATTTTGAAATCTTGAGTCTCTTTCTAATTTGCTTGATTCCTGACTAAGGGGTCTACGCAAGTGAAGGGGGGCCGCGGGGGGTGAGGAGTAGACCCCCAATTCTCAGAGCAGTTGCCTCTCCTTAAGGGATGCCCTCTCTTGGTAAAACCACAGGAGTCCTGCTACTCTGCCTCCTTCTCGAATTCTTTCTGGAGGTCTGAAAATACCCTGTACCCCAAGCCTGGAAAAGCCTCCCTCCATCCTGGTTTGAGTGGGGTCTCCAAGTTGTCCTTCCGACTCAGCTCAAGCGCATCCTGCGCCCAGACCCCGCATCAGCGCCCGAGGGCCTGGAGGAAAGGACAGGTTTACAATGGCTCATTTTTCTAATGATGCCTCTTGTTTGTCTCTGTGCTTATAACTCTGTCTGAAGTGGGTTTAAAAGTCTTGCTCCTTGAAACCTGAGGCAAAGGGATCCACAGACCTGGGAGAGGAGGAGGCTCTAGCTTTCCTACAGCCTGTGCACTACAATTTTTCTTAAATAGTAAAGGAAAGGGCGACTCCACAGGGCTAAAGTTAAGCCATGGATATAAAAAATAAATAAGCAAATTATTATTTTTTAAAACAACCTTTCTCCTCGTGATGCTCCTGAGCCATTTACTCTTGGAAAAGCTCCTGGAACACCAGTGTTCTCAAGTCGCCTCCCACATGGACAGGGAGGGCTGCGTGTCCTTGTTTCTCCCTCTCTCCAGCCTGGAGGGACCTAAGAATTATTCCAGCCTGAGCCTGTGATCAAATTCCCCATGAAGTCACATGATGATTCCATTACAGGTGACTGTGAGAAGAGATCTCAAGAGGTTCAAAGGCTCTATTTTCCTTGGGGCCCTAGTACTGCACAAAAGGAGTTGCATTAATGATTTTATAAAAAAGCTTAAATCATGATTACTTTTTTCTGATCATAAAAATCGTGTTTACCTGGGTGCATCCAGGTTTTGTGGATCCTAAAGCTTATGCAGCTTAGGAATACTTTTTTTTTTTTTAAATAAATAAGCGAATTTTTTTTTTTAAAAAAAGATAGGCCAGGCGTGGTGGCTCATGCCTGTAATCCCAGCACTTTGGGAGGCCAAGGCGGGCGGATCACGAGGTCAGGAGTTCAAGGCCAGCCTGGCCAACATGGTGAAACCCCGTCTGTACCAAAAATACAAAAATTAGCTGCGTGAGGTGGCATGCACCTGTAGTTCCAGCTACGCGGGAGGCTGAGGCAGGAGAATTGCTTAAACCCAGGAGGTGGAGGTTGCAGTGAGCCAAGACCGCACCATTGCACTTCAGCCTGGGCAACAGAGTGAGACCCTGTCTCAAAAAAAAAAAAAAGATAAAAAATGATGAATACAAAATTAGCTATGACTTGATTATTTATTTTGATATATCCCACACAAAGGAGGGTCCTGAAGTGTAAGCTTCATTAGCTTTACATTAAATCTGCCCCTTAACACAACTTTCCCAGACAGGGAATTTACTTTTTTGAAGAAAAAAAAAAAAACCAAAAACACTTTTATTGAGATATAACTTACATAGCATACAATTCATGTATTTAATGTGTATGATCCACTGGTTTTTAGCATATTTACAGAGTTGTGCAACCGTCACCCCAATTTATTGTAGAACATTTTCAAAACCCCAAAAAGACATCCTGTACCCATTAGCAGCCATCATCACTTCCCCAACCCACCCAGCCCTGGGAAGCTACGAATCTACTTTCTCTATATATAGATTTGCCAGTTTTGGGCATTTGAGAGAAATGGAATCATACAATGGATGGTCTTTTGTGGTTGGCTTCTTTCACTTAGCCTAATGTTTTCAGCCTTCATCCACGTTGTAGCATGTGGCTACATTTTTTATTGCTTAATAATATTCCATTATATGAATATGCCACACTTTTAAAATCCACTCATCAATGGATAAAATGTATTAATTCTTTAAATCTCCTTTTTTTATTTTTTATTTTATTATACTTTAAGTTCTAGGGTACATGTGCACAACGTGCAGGTTTGTTACATATGTATACATGTGCCATGTTGGTTTGCTGCACCCATTAACTCATCATTTACATTAGGTATTTCTCCTAATGCTATCCCTCCCCCATCCCCCCACCCCACAACAAGCCCCGGTGTGTGATGTTCCCTGCCCTTTAAATCTCCTGGAGACACAGTTGATGGCATCCCTAGGGAAAGGGGAAATCCTATTTCCTTAGCTTCATCCTTAGCCCTTCCTCTTCTGTTTCCTCCTTTCCCATCCCCAGATTCTGGTTGTATTGGAAATTAAGAGAGAATCAGAGCCGGTGAGCTGGGTACCATCATTTCCATTGTGTTACTGAGAACTCCTGGTTCTTGAGCTCCATGACACAGGCCCTGCCTGTGGGGTGAGCTGGGTAGCAGCTGCCATTCTTCTGCTTGCTGGTAGGATTTGGTCCAAGGAATGGGCCGGCCCAGGGCACTGATGGATGGCCATACTCTCCTTCCTAGGAAAGCCAGATGACAAGTTCAAGGAAGACAGAGAAGAATAACAACTGGAAGGACCCTGAACAGGCAGGTGGTTTGGAGTAGGGCTGTCTCTTTGATTTTACTTCTGATCCTTGAGTTTATGCACATGCCTGGAAGGTGGGAGAAAGTGGATCAAGCCTAGTCTGGAGTTTAAGGTTCACTAGAGTTCAGGCCTGGCACTATTATAAATACAAGGCCCAAGGGGCAGAGAATACTAACCATTAGACTTTTTGCCACTCTAACCTGAAAGACACTGGGGGCTTCTGAAACAGCTGACTTCTTACCAAGAAAGGATGTGGGCATCTCAGAGAATTGGGCTGAGTATTCATTCATCCAACAAATACTTACTGAGCACTTACTATGTGCCAGGCACAGCTCTAGGCTCTGAGGATACAGTACCAAACAAACCAGTCAAATTCCCTCCATTCAAGGGACTTATCTTCTAATAGGGGAGACAGTCAACAAAATGATAAATATAGTATACTGATGATGATAAATGCTATAGAGAAAAATAAAACCAGGAAAACAGAATTTGGAAATATAAGGTGCTATAATTCCAAATACGTTTCTCAGGAAAGGCCTCACTGAGAAAGTAATATTCAACCAAAGACTTGAAGGAGTGAGCCATATTCATAGCTGAGAGGTGCTCCTATGCAGAGAGACAGCCAGTGCAAAGGCCCTGGGGCGGAAACATGCCTGGTATGCTCAAGGAACAGAAAGGGTCACTGTGGCAGAGAGAGTAAGGGGAAGAGTAGGAGGAACTGAGGACCAACAGGGGACAGGGGCCAGATCATGCGGGCATCCCACATCATTTTAAGGACTTTGGCTTTCAGTCTGGTCATCAGAGGATTTTCAGCAAAGGAGTATCATCTACCTGACTTGAGTTTTAACAGGTTTGCTATAGCTGCTGTATAGGGAATAGACTGCTGGGTGCACAGGCAGAAGCAGAGCCCACCAGTCAGAGGTGCTTGCAATAATCCAGGAGAGACAGGATAATGGTGCATAGCAGGATGGTAGCAGTGCTCAGGAGTAATCAGATTCTGGATATACTTTAAAGGAAAAGGAGATGTGAATTGTGGATGGCTTGGATGTGGGGTTTGAGGAAACCCCACTGACTTTAGTGACAGCAAGGTTTTGGGACTAAAGAATTGGACCACAGAAATGTCTGGTAACTGGGATGGAGGTAAGGCAGGGATGTAAGGCAGGCTTGGAGGGGAAAAGGGGACTTTCATGGATGCAGTTCAACTTCGGATGTATCACTTTTGAGATGTCTATTAGATACGTATGTGAAGGTGTTGAATAAGCAGATACATCTCTGACTTTGGAGTTCAGAGAAGACATCTGGCCTGCAGAGGGAAATGTGAGAGTTTGCAGTGTTTAGATGTGTTTAAAGCTGTAGATTGACTGAGCTCACCAAGAGAGGATAGTTGATTAAAAAGGAAAGACAAAGGATAATCTCTGGGGTACTACAACATTCACAAGTTGGGGAGATATGGAGGAACCAGAAGAGAAGACTGAAAAAGAGCCACCTGTGAGGCCCAGGAATACCTGGGAAAGGGAAGTGCCAGAAGCCAAGAGAATAAAGTGTTTCCAAGCAGAGGGAAGGATCAGCTTAGTCCAATGCCAACAGGCCAGGAAGGAGCAGGGCTGAGCATTGGCCGCTGGGTTTGGTAATGTGACGCCAGTGGTGACAAGATCAGTTTTGGTGAGGGGTGAGGGCGAATGTCCTATTACAGGGGATTGATGAGGGACTGAGAAGGAAGGAATTAGGGGTGGAGAATACAGATGACTCTCTTAAGAAGTTTAAACTTCTTTATAAAGAAGGAAAGAAATGGGGTGGTAGCGGCATGAAGATGGGGTTGAGAGGGAACCTTGTGTTTGAATGAATCAGTAGAGAGAGGAATTGATGATGCAGGAGAGAGGGAGAAAGGCCAGGGCTAGGTGAGTGGGTGGGGGAGGACATGACTGTAGTCCTTACACAGGAGTGGGACTGTTCTGTAAAGGCAGAAGGGCAGGGGAGCTCGGGTGCTCTCTTTGGAGGGCTTTAGGGGAAACAGGAAGCATTGGTACCACTTGAGAGGAAGGAGCTGGGAGTAGGGTGTGAGGTTGGAGGAAAGCACACAGTAGGAGGGAAGGCCCAGGGGCACTTCAAAGGATGTCTGGAGAAGGTTGAGGACCACTGGAGCATATATCATCCAGCATGTACTTTTCTCCAGCCACGGTCAGTGGCCTGGGCATGGGTTTAAGATGGGTGGAGATCTGGGTTTTACCAGAGGTGGATGCTTGGCAAGTAAGACTGACTAGTTAAGAGAGAGAAAAGAGAGTTTAGAGATACTGAGGTTTGAATCTGTTCCCCAAAGTTCATATGTTGGAAATTTGATCCCCAATGCAACAGCATTGAGAGGCAGGAGCTTTGAGAGGTGATTGGGTCATGAGGGCTCGGCCCTCATGGATGGAGTAATGTCACTCTCATAGGAGTGGGCTCCTGATAAAATAATGAATTCAGGCCAGGTGCGGTGGCTCACGGCTGTAATCCCAGCACTGTGGGAGGCTGAGGCAGGTGGATCAATCACTTGAACCCGGGAGGTGGAGGTTGCAGTGAGCTGAGATCATGCCATTGCACTCCAGCCTGGGCAACAGAGTGAGACTCTGTCTAAAAAAAAGAAAAAAAAGAATGAATTCAGCCCCTTTCCTTCTCCTCACTTGTGTCGTTTCTAGTCCTTCCACCTTCCACCATGGGATAACACAGTAAGAATACCCTCACCAGATGCAGCTTTTTGATCTTGGACTTCCCAGCCTCCAGAAGCATGAGTCAAACAAATTTCCATTCATTATAAATTACCTACTCTCGGGTATTATGCTATAGCAGCGCAAAATGGACTAGGCAAGAATGTACATGAGGAAGCACTCTACACTGCAGATTTTAATGATGTAAGATTTAGTAAAGGTGAGGAGGGAAAAATGGACATGTAGGGGTAAGGACAGTAAAAAGTGGTAGGATCAATGGATTTACAACTTACATGTAGATGCAAAATACAGTAGTGTTCTTTGGTTTGTTTTGGGCACTTAGGGTGTTTGGTGTAGTTGAAAAAGCATAGACTTTGGAGCTGCACAGATATGAGTTCAGTTTTTCAGCTCAATCACTTAAGAGAGGCTTCGCCACACCTCATTTCTTCTTCTATAAAGCAGGGCCCTCATTCTTCCCTTGCACGCTTATGTGAGGTGCCATTTAGAAGACACCTGTGAAAGGCTGCAATGGGTGGCACTTACCACAGGGGTTTCTGAAACAAGCGCCCATGTCCTCACCCACCTGCACTGAAAGTCTTAAAATGATTATTTAAATCATTTAATGACTTACCTCATTATTCATATGAATAACTATTTGTTATTAATTGGTTAATTAACTATTTAAATCACCCTCTGAAGATAGTGATTCAAGAAAAGTTCAAAAAAATAAAAAGAGCTGGGTGTGGCAGTACACACCTTTAATCCCAGCACTTTGGGAGGCTGAGGTGGGCAAATCACTTGAAGTCAGGAGTTCAAGACCAGCCTGGCCGACATGGTGAAACCTCGTCTCTACTAAAAATAAAAAAACTAGCTGGGCACAGTGGTGCACACCTGTAATCTCAGCTACTCGGAGGCTGAGGCAGGAGAATTGCTTGAACCCAGGAGGTGGAGATTGCAGTGAGCTGAGATCCCACCATTGCACTCCACCCTGGGCAACAGAGCAAGACTCTGTCTCAATAAATAAATAAAATAAAAAAGAAAAGGAAACATAAGGGGAAGAAAAGGATAAAAGAAAAAAAACAGAAAAAAAAAGATGAGAGGAGATGAAAATTAATGAAGGGAAGGAGAGAGGCACTAAGAAAATCAGCTGTGGCCTTGACCAAGGAAGCACCCTTGGTCCTGTCTTTAATTCCTATGACTCAATTTTCCTTCCTCTTTTACCTTTGGGGCCTCCCTCCATGTACTGTAAATGGATAGGAGGCAGGAACTAGGCAACAGGTTCATTCATAAGGTATTGAACTTCATTCTCATGTCCAGGATAATGGATTTAACCTCAAGATAATTTTTTGTTGTTGTTGTTGTTGAGATGGAGTCTCTCTTTGTCACCCAGGCTGGAGTGCAGTGGCATGATCTCAGCTTACTGCAACTTCCGCCTCCCAGGTTCACTCGATTCTCCTGCCTCGGCCTCCTGAATAGCTGGGATTACAGGTGTGCACTACCACGCCCAGCTAATTTTTGTATTTTTAGTAGAGATGAAGTTTCACCATGTTGGTCAGGCTGGTCTCAACTCCTGACCTCATGATCGGCCCACCTCACCCTCCCAAAGTGCTGGGATTACAGGCTTGAGCCACCGCGCCTGGCCTAAAGTTTGTCTTAAATAAAGGGGATAAAGTACTCTCACAGTGAGGAGCTGTCTGCTCCGGAGGCATTTGTGGTTCCAATACTGCTGGTAGGCAGGTGTAGATTAGATCAGCACCTGGGAGTGCCTGCCCATAGTGGAGGGGTAGGGCAGGTGGCCTGGTTAGCAGGGAAGAGGGCTGGTGTGGAAGGGTGGGGGTCATATACTGGACACTAATTTGTGGGAGAGGGAGAGCTGCTTGTCTTCCGATGTGTTTGGGCTGTGTTAGTTAGTTTCTGCCATTCTGTTTCTTCTTACTTCTTTCTCTTTTATTCCTGTTTTTCTTCAGGGCCAGGCATAGTGTCCCTTCTAAAGCATGGCTCGCCTACCGGGAAAGTGCTTGACCGTAAATCTTCACGAAAGATTAAGCACATGAAGGCACATGGTAGGAATGTTGGTGATCCCACAAGGCTCATTCTAGAGGAAGGAGAGGCAGTCACCTCCCTACCCTGCTGGGATTGAATCCCTGAAGCCCAGTGGGCCGGTATCCACCTGCTGCCTGCACTGACACCTGGCACAGCAGTTACTGCCCTGTTCTGCCATCCATGCTTCGGTCCCTTTCAGTCCTCTGAGAGTGGGGATTGCTCTGGATTTAATGCTGCGTCCCTAGAACTTAGCGAAGCCCCTGTCACTCAGTTCAACTGAGTTTCAGATCTGCAGAGAGGCAGAAGGATTCTCTTTAATCTGCACCAGGTTAATGTTCCCATTTTTAATAATGTTTACCTTTAAAAATATTGTGTTCCAGGGCCTCTCTGTTTCAAGACAACTGCAATGTTTCCCAGTAACTAGGGACAGTGCAGCAGCATGAAGTTACTTCACCTGGGCAGATGTGCCAGTGCCTCGGTCACAGTCCTTGGCTAAGCCGAGAGTTTACCTAGAACTTTGGCGGGCAGTTCACCTGCACCTCTGCAATAGGCATCCTCTACAATGGCTCCTGGGGGTCTCCTGCTATTCCAGCTCTAGTGTAAACCCCTCCCCTTGACTGTGGGATGAACTTAGCACTCATTTCTAATGAATAGAAAGCAATGAAAGTGACGGATGTCACTTTTGAGGTTGGGTTACACACAGAAGACTGTCTTCAGTCATGCTTGTCCTCTCTTGCCCTCCTGCTTGCTTACTGCGAGGAAGCCAGCTGCCATGTTGTGAGCTGTCCCATGGAAGGCCCATGTGGCAAGGAACTGAAGGTGGCTTTTGACCAACAGCCAGCAGAGAACTGAGCTCCTTAGCCCATCAGCCTGTGAGGAGCTGAATTCTGCCCACAACCCCCTGAGTAAGCCTGGAAACAGATCCTCCCCCAGCTGAACCTTGAGATGCTTGCAGTCCTAGACAAAACCTTGCTGGCAGCCCCTGAGAGAACCTGAGCAGAATCACCCAACAAAGCTGTGCCTGTGTTCCTGACCCCTAGAAACTGATATCACAGTGTGTGTTGCTTGAAGCCACTAAATTTTTGGGTAACTTTTTATGCAGCCATAGAAAACTAATGCAACTCACCTGCCTGCTTAGCTTCAGCTACTGCTTCTCTCTGACCAAGGGCCTTCTCTGTCCACTAGAGCATCCTTGGTTGCAGAAGCGACAGCCTAGACAGGCCTGGAGTTAATGTCTCAGGAGCAACCCTCAACCAGTGAGGAATGGGAGTTGGTAGATGAATATTCTACCTCCCTAAGGCCTAGAGGCACAATTCTAAGATGTGTTCGTGTTTGGCACAGCCCGTTGGAGGGCCCAGTAGAACTGAGCCATGGTTGCCCACATAGGTCACCGTTTGTTAAAGCGCACGTCAGTGGCTTCCTTCCCTTCCCCGACTTCTTACCATGCTTCCCGGGGTCACTTCCCAAATACACTACTAGCACCCAAATACTGTCTCAGGGTCTGAAGGAACCAAAACTCCAACAAAGCCTTGATATGGTATTTTCTAAAAGTTCCCTTAAGGATGTAAAATAGCTAACACAACCTCCAAAAGTTGTATTCAATTCCATATGTAAGGCAATAGCAAGCACCTCCTCTAGATTAGGGTGAAGAGGGTGAGCCTGGGCAAATTTTGCAGTACTTTTTCTCTCTTTCCTCATTTGTAAGTCTCAACGTCTGCTCCATGATGCTAAGAATCCTAGGGCTTGTGACAGTGACAACCACAAACAACACATGTTTTAGAGTCGGGAATCTAGATACTCCCAAACAATCGAATAGTGAAGCTGTGTGATGGGTCTCAGAGGATCCTGGGGATGCTGGTGCCATAGAGATAATGGCTGGTGGTCTCTGCTCCTGACCAAGTCCTCTGTCGCTACTCCACTGTCCCTCTCAGCACTGTTGTGCCTACGGAAATTACAGAGCTTTTTATGCCTCTAGTAATCCTTGGGCTCCTTTCTTGAGGATTAGTTGAAAATGAGGCTGGGCATGGTGACTCATGCCTATAATCCCAGCACTTCGGGAGGCTGAGGCAGACGGATCACCTGAGTCCAGGAATTTGAGACCAGTCTGGGCAACATGATAAAAGTCCCTCCTACAATAACTACAAAAGTTAGCCAGGTGTGGTGGGGTACACCTGTGGTTCCAGCTACTCGGGAGGCTGAGGTGGTAGGATTGCTTGAACCCAGGAGGTGGAGGTTGCAGTGAGCTGAGATAGCACCACTGCACTCCAGCCTGGGGTAAAACCCTGTCAAAAAAAGAAAAGAAAGAAAGGAAGGAAGGAAGGAAGGAGGGAAGGAAGGAAGAAAGAAAGAAAATGACCATATTGCCAGGATACTCTAATGTAAGTGTAGGTTGAAAATACTTTCTAGAATGAGCTGATGGGAATGGTGAGGGGGAGCTCTTGAAATCCACTGCCCCTTTGGAAATAGGCACTGAGTGTAACGCTAGCCCAGCCCAGCAGTTCTCAAGTGGGGATGATGCTGCTCCCTCTTCCTCTAGGGAGCATTTGCAGTATCTGCAGACATTTTTGAATGTCACAGTTGTCGCAGGGGTAAGGGGCGTGTTACAGGCATCTAGT
Source organism: Homo sapiens (assembly GCF_000001405.40). Lineage (NCBI taxonomy): Eukaryota > Metazoa > Chordata > Mammalia > Primates > Hominidae > Homo > Homo sapiens. The sequence goes on along the minus strand of NC_000013.11, from coordinate 44,824,203 downwards.
GGGCTGGGTCCAGGGATGCTGCTCAACATCCTACAATGCACAGGACAGACCCCACAACAAAGAATCATCCAACCTCAAATGTCCATAGTTCTGAGGCTGAGAAACCCACACTACAGCCAACTCTTTCAAAATAAAACTGTGGGGCTGGGCGCGATGGCTCATGCCTGTAATCCAAACACTTTGGAGGCTGAGGCGGGCAGATCACTTGAGTTCAGGAATTCAAGACCAGCCTGGCCAATATGGCAAAACCCCATCTCTACTAAAAATACAAAAATGAGCTGGGCATGGTGGTGGCACCTGTAATCCCAGCTACTCAGGAGACTGAGGCACAAGAATTGCTTGAACTGGGAAGGCGGAGGTTGCAGTGAGCTGAGATCACACCACAGCACTCCAGCCTGGGCGACGAAGTGAGACTCGGTATCAAAAAAATATAAATAAATAAATAAATAAATAAATAAATAAATAAATAAAACTGTGAGGAGATGGGTTTACACATAATGCTGTTGACAAGTGAAAGCAATTTAGAATGTAAAGAACAAAGTTTTTATTTAAAGGGAAAGGCTGGAAGCAGTTTTCTTTGAGGGAGGTCGTGAAGCCCAGTGGTTAATGGCTTGGCTTTAAAGTAAAAGTTGACGTGCCGCTGGACTCCAGAGTCTGTATTTACTGCTCTGCGACCTTGGCGAATGATGTGACCTCTTTAGGTATGTTTCCCCATTTGTAACATAGGTATAGTAATGGTGCCTGCCTCACTGAATTGTGAGAGTTAAATGAGCACAGCATAGAAGTGTGAAAGGAAAAGATCTTGGGCCCCTTCAAGCTGGGAACTGCTCCCATTCTATTCAAAGTCACCCCTCTGCTCGCTGACATAGATGCATATCTGATTGCCTCTGTTGGAAAGGCTAATCAGAAACTCAAAAGAATGCAACCATTAGTCTCTCATCTATGTGTGACCTGGAGGACCCCTTCCCTTTGCTTTAAGTCTTCTTGCCTTTGCTTCAAGTTGTCCCGCCTTTCCAGACTGAACCAATGTACTTCTTACATATATGGATTGATGTCTCGTGTCTCCCTAAAACGTAGAAAACTAACCTACCCAGAACAAGAATAGTTCTGGCCAGTGGGCCCTGGAAATGAGACCTGGGAATGTGAAGTCTCCGTGTGGGCAGGACTTCCTGAGGCTGTGCCACAGGCGTGGGTCCTCAGACTTGGCAAAATAAACTTTCTAAATTAACTGAGACCCATCTCAAATATTCGGAGTTCACAGAAGGCTTTCGGTGCAAAGCGTAGCATCCAGTAAGTGCTTAATAAATGGAGGCAAGGTAAGAGCAAAAGCAGGGAAGAACAGGGGCCTAGAATCCAAGGACTTCAGGTAACTGCACTGCAGCGAGAAAAGGGAGCGTTCCACCCTCAAACATATTTAGTATAAGGACCGAATCCTCTCCGAAATCCTCCTTGTGAAATCATCACACAATCTTCCTTACCACCCAGAATTTCGCTGTCTAAATTTCTGCGGGTTTTGATTTTCATTCTTCAATATTTATTTCTTGAACTTAAATAAGCAATCCACGGCAGGGGCCTGTGGAGGCCTTCACTCAAACGAAAGCATTCTCACGGCGGAGCTTGCTCCCAGCCGCCTCTCCCCACGCTCCTTAAGAGACGCTCGGGGTTACTGCGGTTAGACAGCCTGCACAAACAGAGCGGCCCAAGACCAATAAATGCTGGCCCTATTTGGTCTCATATTCAAGGCATGAGGCCTCAGAAGAAGAATGAGTCTTCACAGGCTGGGAGGTCTCCTGGATGCATCTGCTGGTAGCTGGCTCCTGAGAGAGAGAGACAGTGAGAGGTGCAGAGAAAAAGAGAGGGAAAGAAGGAAGGGGAGGAGAAGAAAGAGGAGGAGGAGGGGGCGGGAGAAGGCGAGGAGGAGGGGAAAGGGAGGTAATGATGGAAGGAGAATGTGTAAGCAAGGAGTCACAGTCTCTCATAACCGACTCTTGGAAGTGACATCCTATCTACTCCAGTGTAGCCAGTAGAAGAAAGTCATCAGGTCCAGCGCCCCCCTCAAGGGGAGGGAATTCCAGCAGGGCATGAATAGCAGAACTCACTTCAGAGGCAGTCGACCACACGGACCTGCATGTGCTTCGTGCACACACAGCGTAGGTCCTCATGGAGTGGACCTACTGATGGAGTGGACCTCCACCTGGGGTGGAATAAACAGGCGCCTTGAGGGCAGGGACTTGTATACACTGTGTGCCTGGGAGCCTGTGGAGGAATCTACACTTTCAGAGGATTTAAACTGGAGAAAAAGAATAGTTCTGGCCAGTGGGCCCTGGAAATGAGACCTGGGAATGTGAAGTCTCCGTAATTTATGAACTTGGCCCATACTATATTCAGTTCCTATTGCTGCTGTAACAAATTAACACAAATTTAGTGGCTTAAAACAGCACAATGTTATTCTCTTACAGTTCTGGAGACCAGAAATCCTAAGTCAGTTTCAGTTGGCTAAAGTTATTGGAAAGGTTGGTTCCTTCTGAAGTTCTAGAAAAGAATCCATTTCCTTGCCTTTTCCAACTTCTGGGAGGCCACATACTCCATCTTCTAAGCACATCACTCCAACCTCTGCATCTGTTGTCACATCACCTTCTGACTCTGCCTCCTTCATCTTTCTTATAAGGACCCCTGTGTTTACATTGGGTCAACCTGGATAATCCAGTATAATTTCCCATCTCAAGATCCTTCATTTAGGCTGGGCACAGTGCCTCACATCTCTAATGCCAGCACTTTGGGAGGCCAAGGCAGGTGGATCACCTGAGGTCAGGAGTTCGAGACCAGCCTGGCCAACATGGCGAAACTCCATCTCTACTAAAAATACAAAAATTAGCCAGGTGTGGTGGTGGTACCTGTAATCCCAGCTACTCAGGAGGCTGAGGCAGGAGAATCGCTTAAACCCAGGAGACGGAGGTTGCAATGAGCTGAGACTGTGCCACTGCACTTTAGCCTGGGTGACAGAGCAAGACTCTGTCTCAAAAAAAAACCCCCAAAAAACAAAAAACAAACAAGAAAAAAGATTCTTCATTTAGTAGCATCTGCAAAATCTTTTGGCCATATAAGGTAAAATCACAAGCTTTGGGGATCAGGATGTGGATATCTTTTGGAAGCTGTTATTCAGCCCACCATGATTATACAAATGTTCACAGCAATTTAATGGATCTTATTGTCATCCTCCAATGCTATGATTGTTACATTCTCCTCCAGGACCTCCTCCTTCCCAAAGTGCAATGCCATGATTGTTAACATTCTCCTCCAAAAACCCCAAGCACAGTCAGATTGCGGGATTGGACTATTCACTACTTAATGAATCGTCTAATCCTACAATGAATAGTCCAATCCTACAATATGACTATGCTGTTGCTTGCCTGATTGCTCCCAGATCTGTCCTGCCTTTTCCCCGCAAATTAATTTCCAGTCCAAGGCTCTCTTGCCAACCAGCTCACAGCTGCGTTTGGCCAGTGCGCTGGTGAGAGATTGGAGGGTAGTGGAAGAAGCCAGGATACACCCTCTGCCCCAAGTCAGGCAGTGTCTCTTAGTGGCTGTGCTCTCCTTTATGGTTCCAACTCTTGCCAGACAGACTCCTTCCATGGACCCAGATCTTACTGGGCAGCATCCACAGAAGATCCAGCTCCCCCAGGGAAGCCCCAGCTTTTAAGGCTCTGGCCCTATGGGTGGTAACAGCTCCCCGTTGGTGATAAGCCCAAGGTGGCTTCACCATCCCCTCATTAACTTTTCAGCTTTCCCAACACCTTTGTAACTAATTCCTCTTATGAAATTATTTCAATTGGTCTTGAGCTCTATAGGCTCTGACTGAACCCCAACTGATATACTGGCTTTCAGGGGTTTTTATAACATTACACCTAACTATTTGTTCAACTTTATCTCCCAGATTCCTTTATTCTAGCTAACCCAAACCACATTATTATTATTATTATTTTTGTTTTTAAATATACTTTTCTGCTTCAGGAAAGGTATGCTCAAGCCACTCCATCCACGTGAAATGCCCCTCCTCCATTCTTGGCTTTGCTTGTCAAAATACTTCGGGTTTTTGGAGGATCACTTCAAAATCATCCTCTTCCTACAATGCCCTCTTGATTACCATGTCTGGAATTATTTTCTTTTGCAGACGCAGTGCTTTATAGTAATGAGCTGTTGGAATGTATACAAAGCCTCATCACACAACTGCCTTGCATTGGAGAGATTTGTTTAGGTCGTAAGTTCCCACAGTTTGAGTCTGTGCAGTATACTCTATGCGTGCTCAATACATAGACCATTTAATCAAATAAATGTTGGAATTCCAATCATGAGCATGACTCTTAACTATCATTCTCTGTTAGATAAAAGAAGGTAATCAGTTTTCATTTTATCCTTACGAATTATGTTTACTAGAGGCTAGAAAAACAAATCTAATGTTTTAAAATTACAAAATCACTCTCCAGTCTTTCCATTCTAGTTAATTGAAATTGAGTATCAATTTCCCAACCTAAAAATTCATATCTGTGTTTCACAGTACATACATAGCTTAAAAGCGCAATCAAATGTAAGGTATCTCTGTCATTATTGTCACTAGTAGAGGGGTTGGCATCAACTATTTTCTTTGTTCATCAGCAGTTACTCCAGTAAATTTGCAGGCTGACAAAGTCATGTGCTCTTCACCTTGTGTGATAAGCTGCAGAGTTGACCAAGTAAGCATGTGTTTGATGAATTTTTTCCATTTATGTGAATGGGGGAAATGACTCATAGCAAAGAAACCTGACCTCATCACAGACGTAAGACTGTCTAGATTGACTAGGCTACCTAAGCCAGCCCAGGATAGTGCAGACAGGGAGCATAATGATCCAGGTGAGTATCTTACCTATCAAGCGTCCAAGAGCAGGTCAAACATGGGGTCCATTCTTCTCTTCATGCTTGGCTGCTCAGGCTCAATTTTAGGTATCCCTTAGTGACAATGACCCACACGGATCAAGAGGCAAACAGACTCAGGCCTATCCCCCTTCCTCCCTAGCCAGCATCACTGGCCAGAATCCCAAAGGCCTGGCCCATGCTGTCAACATGGCCTAACAGCAGGGCTACGAGCTGCGAGGAGCTTCCTGGAGACATTTGAAAATCTGTGGTGCCGTTCCCAACAGCCTTATTCAAACAGAAGGCAGCAACTCTGACCTGGAAAAGAGGTGCAACCTCTAAGAACAGGCTGTCTACAACCTTCCTGAAGACCAGCACTTTCGGAGGAGGTGGCTGTTTGCTAGCCTACCCAAACCTACCCTCCTGAGAAATATGACTTCCCAAGATGCAGAGCATTTGAATTGATAGGTGGGCCTGCATTCATTAATGCTTTTGCTTGTGGGTCTGTTTTTGAGTAGCAGCCTCTCCAGGTCAGGAATTCATCTTTATGGTTGCTAGCAATTGTTTGGGGACAGGATATGGAGTGAGAAGGAGGGTCTGGGGACTGCAGCTTGCGCTTGACTTCCCTCTTTAAATGGCAGCATCCATGACCATTTCCTGTTCTCTCTTCATGTGGCCACAGGATGGCAATGTTTAGGAACGTTACTGTTACCTCCCAGGGGCTGTTTAGATCCTAGATTAGAGCTCAGCAACGCACAGATTAGAGCTCAGCAACGCACACGAGCAACTGGAGATTTGTGTAGGACCAAGAGCTTTTAAATCAGGAGGAAGAGGAGGAAAGGAAGGGTCATTTATTATGAGATTTTTAGAAATCCAAATAAAAATATCGCAAAGCGTACGCTGAAGGGTACTTAAGTAAACGCTGCGTTTACTTAAGGCTGAATCCTGCGTGAAGCCACACTGCCGGGGGTACCTACTGTCCCTCCTGATGCATCTCATGCTGAATTCTGACCATTACAAGTGATTTTTCTCCCCCTGCTGGGAAGCACTTCCACAATTTTGTCACATAATTAGCTGAGCACCTACCATGCTGTAATACCTCGATCTGAATCAGTAGGTTTCCCTAGGTTGGAAGTTCCCTGGGACAGGACCCATGCTTTCTTTATCTGTTTCCTCAATCCTGAAGATGGATTATAAACAACCTGGGCTCACTGCATGTTAAATAAGTAACTCATGGGCTGAAATAGTATCAGAGTTTAGGGACAAAAATTCCTATAGACTAATTTGTCAAAGAATGAGCCCTAAAGGTAACATTTGGCCTGAATTTTGAAGAGGATGCAAAGGAGAGGGGGCTGGGAAGGAGTGGCGCAGATAGCCCCCTCTCCACTCACTTCACTCAGCCCTGAGCATGGGGAAGAAGACATTCTGAGTTTGGAGGAGCGGAGGCAAAGCGGTGCGGAAATCGGAAAGCCGTGTTCAGGGCTGCTTGTGACATGGAGGAAAAAACATGGGATTATGGTAAATATAACTGGGAGAGCAGATCCAGGCATTTAATTTGAGGAGTTTTAAATGATGTTAATGAGGCCTTTTTGCTTGATTCTTTCCATTTTTCCTTCCAGTGATTGCCCAGATTTGCGATTGACACAATGAGGAAGCAGCTGTTTGCTTAAATAACCCAGGAAACTGCTAGAAAGGAATGGGAAACGGTGATCCACAGACCTCAAGCTCCGGAGAGGCAGGAATAGGCACCCTGACCTGCTCTGACTCACAAGGCTCCAGGCAATGGCCCCAGGGGAGAGTCCTGGGTAGTGGCCCCAGGAGGTGGCATTGGATGGTGGCTACGGGTGGTGGCCTCAAGTGATAGATCCCAGATAGTGACCCTCAGGGTGTGGCACCGGATGGTGACCCTGGGTGGCTGGCCCTGCTTCCCTGTCCCTGTGACTCAAACAGAGGCTATTTTCAGCTCCACTACCCCCTCCCCACTTCATGATCTCAGGGTGCCCAGAGGAGGCTGCACAGTTTTGTGACTTCAGAACGTGGCAGGCAGAGGAACTGGAGCTTTCCTGCCAGCAGGAGTTGGATAGATCAGACAGGGCCCCTGGAGAGGTTGCTGATGAGTATGGATGAGTCAAAAAGCCAATGGCACCCTGGGAAGGTGTTGGGCATGGCTTGTACCTCTCACACACAAATTTAAAAAGTTGGTTTGCAGCATAGACATCCCTTAGTGTAGTGCAAGTTCAGCAAATTACTGGGGAGCTAGATGCCTGTTTTATTCCAGTTAATCAGATTATATGAACTGATGAAGTAGGATTTGTTAATAACATTCGCTTACAAGTGGTGGAGAGCTTTATTAATAAGTCATTAGGTTGGCAACTTTAAATACCTGGCATTCAAAAGCAATTCCAAATGCTTTTGTATTGCAAACTTCTGGACTCTAAGAAAATAGCTAACACCTGGTGTGTTGCATTCCTGCAATGCTCAAAGACATTATAGAAAAAAAAAAACCACTTGTGTCCCAAGCTTTCACAAAGTAAGCTATTGCTCTGCTCTGAAAGCTGTTCTTTATTTTGTTCATGGTTTCCCCCAACCTTCCTTCAGAAGAGTTGCAGCCCTGACGGGCTCTTGGTGAAGAGATGCATCATCAACAGACGAGGCTTCTCTGGGCAGTAGATGGATACAGGTGGTCTGTTCTTCCCATTTTGAAGACAGAAAAGCTGGGACACATCATAATTTGTTTGCTTAATATGCCCCCTCACATAGAGAGGAAAGAAATTAAGGAAACGAGAGAGTAGGAATTGGAATCCAGATGCCTCAACTCCCAGACTTCCCCATGACTTCTCCAACGTAATTAACTCAGTGGCTGTCCACTGTCAATGGTGAATTTGGCTTTGGGTGTGGTGATTGAGCATGCAGCCTGTAAAGTTGAAAGGGTTTGGAGTCCTGGGCTTTCCCTGTGTTAAATTTGGCCAAGCTAACTACTCTGTGCCTCAGTTTCCTCATCTAAACCTCTTTGTATTTTAGGATCGAATGAATTATCACACGTAAAGTGTTTGGAACAGGCCTTGCCACATGTGAGGAGCTCAGTAAATGGCAGATATAGTGATACCTGTGGTTCCTGTTACGGCCGTGGTGAAGCGGAGTGGCAGTGGGATGCCTTTACTGACAGTGCCTACCTTCAGTAACTTCAAGATGTGGTGGTGGATGAAGAACACAGACGCATAAAATAATACTTAGGAGGGCACATGCGGATTAGGGCTCACAGAGTGGAAGCCAGGTGTCACCTACGCAAATGCGTTAAAAGGCCAAGTAGGCAGCTCAAGCCGGGAAGTGGAGGATGTAACAAGAAGTGGGGATTCTGAGGCCTCGAGACATGTGGGTCTGTCTACAGGCATTCCAATGCCTCGAGACGTGCAGGTCTGTCTGCAGGCATTCCAATGCATTGTGAAACTTTCTGTGGGCTGTACCGATCACATCTGAGGGCTGAGTCATGCTCAGAAGCTGCTGCAATTACTGAGATTTGAAGTGAAAAGGCAAATAGGATGGGTAAAAAAAATGAGACAATAACTGAGCAAGCCAGACTATGGCCAAAATGAAAGGTGAAGAACTCTTACCCTTTGGACCTGTGGTGCAATACCCAGGCCCCAGGGGGGACACAGGTGGGGAGCCAGAGACTGGGGATCTTATTGCCAGATTAGCTGCCCTACCCAGGAGCACCCCTTCTTCTATTTCCCCTTCCTCCCTCCCTTTTTTCTTGCCCTCTCTTCTTTCATGTCTCTTTATCTTTTCCCCCACATATATCTTCTCCTTTTTTGTCACCCTAGGCCTGGTGTGGTGCCCAGTGGTACCTAGGGACGGTGCGAAGATTCATCGGTGACACTCAACATTGGTTCAGCGATCTTATACCAGACCACGCTTTCCACATCCTCCACAATACTCATATCCGAAAGTGTTAATTCTGGAAAGAATTGTTAGCACAGAAAGGAGAAGGAGTAGCAACATACAAAACCTCAAGGAAGAATTGAAGAAAAATGGATAAAACCAGAGTGCCAACAAAGCTAAACTTCTGGCTCATCCAAGCATGGACCAGAAACTAATTCCTCAGAAACAAAAACTCATTTTCTATGTTATAAGTAATACACAAAAGAAATCATCACTTGTCCTTAGCTATTAATCCATTATATTTGGCAAAGATAACATCAAGCTTATTTCTTTCCCTTAGCTAATCTGCTAAATTTCTCTGAGTAACCCCCAAGACATTATTTGGATGAAGTTACATTATCCATAAACATTACTAAGAACCACACCCTGATCATCTGTCAGCAATATGGATCTTGACTAATTGGAAACTAAGAAGTTAAAGGAAACAAATGAGCATACCAACAGAGGAGAGAAGGAAAACTTTGCTGCAAGAAGAACCATGGAGCACACGGCTCCAAGTGTTAGTGTGAATGAGGCAGGGGAGAATGTGGGGACAGTACGGATAGATGGCTGGTCACTCTCAAGTGCAATATTAGCAATATGGCCTGTGAGTGCCACATGATCAATATGGCCAAGGGACATAAGTTTAGTATCAGAAAGACAAGAGTTTACATCTTGACCCTGTCACTGATGATCGCTGTAATCATGGATATGTTACTTTGCCTTCTTGGGCCTTTTGCTTCATTTGAAGAATGAGAGTGATAACATCACGAGGGTCATTGGTACAGAAATTCACCTACATTCAAAGGTACGCCTATCAAATATACACCTATCAAGGCATTGGTTCAGAAATTCACCTACATTCAAATGTAGGTGTGCATTGGCTGGGGCAGATAAAATCACCAATTGTTACAAAGCTTCCTCCCAATCTGGTTTTCTACTGTTGTGAGGAGCTCCCTCTTTCTCTGGGTTCAGTTGCATTCCGCTTGCACACTTTAGGAGAAAGCGCTAAGCTTGGGATATTTTCCTTGTACTCTTACCCTCCCCTCAGCATATCACCCTTTGAACTTCTGTGGTAATAGTTTTACTGTTTGTTTTCTCTTCCTTAAAAGTATTCCCTGCTTCCAGGAGTTCATGCAGGAGTTTCTTCCTTTGAAACCCCAATTAAATGACATTGTTTTTTAGATGATATAATTCCAACAGGAATAAAAAGATAACAGCAACAAATTTTGGAAACTAGTAAGCAGATGGATGAGTGTTGATCAATTTGGCTGACCTGAGGGGACAGAATCCTAGCCAATAGTCAGAAAAAAAAAAAGCCCAGCAATTTTACAAAGGTACCCAAAGGCTCAGGAATCCATGACACAAGTATCTATGGAAATGGGTTTAAAGGTGAGACTAGAAACAAGACTCTTGATGAAAAGTCTAGTCAAGAGGCAGTTAGATCTCTAGATAGCTTTGCCTGCTCTTTGTAGACCAGGGGCTGCTTCTCACCACTCCCAGCAGGAGATAAGTGTTATTTTCTGGACTGAGTACTAAGAGGAGGGGGTCTCTGTCCTGGGGAACACTAGGCACAGTTAACAAAAAGGATACAGGGGCATTGACCCCCAGTCCTCTTCCCATAATATTGACAGCCAGGCCTCTAACCTCCAGGCAAGAGACCAGATGGTTCTTCTCTGGGGAATTTGCCCAATTCAAGAGGAAAGACCTAAAGATACTAATGTCAGAGGTTCCCTAAGGGAATGGCCCAACCTGGTCACTTTACACTTAAGCTCACATTCAATAAGCCCCATCCGTGTGTTGACCGCTTCCAATCAGAATTTTAAGGCTTTGCTCTTAAACATGAGCAGACAATCAGGGGTCACTAGGCATTTGAGGTGAGCCTCTAAAAATAAAGATGGAAACAAAAACAAATAGCAAAAGACAAATTGGAGAAACAGAAACCATGTAAGAAAAACTACTTAAAAATATAATTAAATTCTCAGAGAAAGCATCCATGAAACACGAACAAGATGCTGCTTTGCTATTAAAAAAATCAAGGGAATAAAAGAGGGCTTTTAGAAATTAAAAGCACTGCAGCTGAAATGGAAAACCAACAAGAGGTTTTGGAAGATAAAGTTATCTCAAAGTGGAACAAAAATAAAAACAGAAATGAGGGAAAAGAGAAAAGATAAGACTGCAAAAACAGAGGGAATGAAAATAAACACTCAGTCAGAAGATTTCACAGAATGAAACATCCAGAACAACCAGGGAAAATAACACCACATGAAGGTACCGAATCAAGAGCTTTCAGACCACTTAAAACCAAAAGAAGATCCTATGGGCTTCCAGAGGGGAAAACCAAGCTACTTACAAAGGACTGGAAATGTGAAGGTCTTTGTGTTTCGCAACAGTTCTGAAATCTACACAGCAATGGATCGATGCCACCTAAAATTATGAGGCTATTGAAGTTATTTTTAGATTAGTATTCTATTTTCAGTCAAATATTAATCAAGTGAGAGGGGAGCACAAAAACATTTTCTGGATCTCAAAATGTTTAATTCCCAAGCACTTTTTCTTGATAATTGATAATTTTGGGATAATTGATCAAGAAAAAGGAAGACATGAGTTTTAGAAAACAGGAGGTCTAACACGAAAGGCCCCCTCAGGATGAGGGTGAGGCAGCTGTGTACCAGGCACAGTCTGATCTGTGTACCAGATTAAATTGGAGCCATCAGCATTTCTAGGAGAGATGACTTCCAGGCAAAAATCGCAGAACAGTTAATGCATCAGAATGTCTTGATTTAGACAGTTGAATGTCTTTAAATAATTCTTGACTAGATGGAAAGGTTGAAGTTGACTCAATGGCAAATACATATTTGCCATTACAAAGCTAAACCAACAGAGAAAACAATCATCATTAATTCCAGGGAAAACAGAATTGTACAGAAAAGTAATCAGAGAGTATTATTATAATAATGTAATCACTGGTTATTGATCTAACCAAGATTATACAACACACATGCACATGCAGATAGATTGATAGATAACTATATTGAGAGGATGTGTGTGTGTGTTGATGCTAGTGGAAATAGAGTTAAATTCTCATCTTCCACAGTGGAAAGTCAAAGTGTAATGATTTCATCTAAGAAATATTAAGAAGTGGCAGGGTGCTGTAATCCCAGCATTTTGACAGGCTGAGGTGGGAGGATTGCTTGAGCCCAGGAGTTCAAGACTAGCCTGGGCAAGCTGGTGAGACCCTGTCTCTACAAATAAAATAAACAAACAAATAAAAGAAATCAGCCAGGCATGGTGATGCATGCCTGTAGTCCCAGCTATTTGGGAGGCTAAGGTGGGAGGATCACTTGAGCCTGGTAGGTTGAGGCTGCAGTGAGCCGAGATGGCTCCACTGCCTTCCAGCCTAGACAACAGAGGGAGACTCTGTCTCAGAAAAAAAAAAAGAAAAATTAAGAAGTACTCTCAATTGATTTAACAAAAAACCAGAAAAGTATTGGGTAAAAACAAGCATATAAATAAACTATTTAGGATTATGGAGGTAAATGCCAAGATAATGGCTAAAAAGATGTGAAAAATGGTTGCCTCTGACAAGGAGAAAATGAGAGCAACTGGGTGGGACCACTGTTATTTTTCATAATAAACTTTGTAAAGTTATCTCACTCTTTAAATGTATGCAGCCATAACACAGATAGAAAATAAAATAGATGTGACTCATATTACCAACCATTTTATCTTTGACATGCTGATCTACAAATATTGGAAGTTTATTTATTATCACTGCAAGCAATACATTGTTTTTGCACAGTGTGCCCGTGTCTTTTCTAACTTTCCTCAGTGACACTTATTTCTGGAAGTGTTGGAAATTTAATTTGAAATTGTGTTATAGTAACTTCTCTTGAATCTCTCTGTTGACATCAGCTCATTTTCTCTATTTGATGTTTCAGGAAATAGCTCATCTCTGGTCTGGCCTTAAAGCTTTCCTTAACGAACAGCTTCAATCTTTAACATGTTTCTGGGTCTACTGGAGGCATTTTCATTCCTTTTGTTTTGGCATCTATATTCATGTTATTGTTTGGTGGTGAAATGACTCCTAAGTAAGTAGAATCAAAGGATGAACTTGAAGACTGCTGATTAAAAACATGGGCATGTATTAATAACAGAAGGTAAACTTCTAGGAGGTTATCCTAAGAGTAATCAGAGATGAAGTTAAAGATTTTCATTCAAAGATGTCCATCAAAGCCTTACTTATGACTTAATAAATAAAGGATTACAATACATCCAAATGACAGAACTGTATGTAGCTGCTAGACAACATATTAAAGAAAATATCAATTGGTATGGAAAATATTTATAATATGTTGCTAAGTAAAATAAATAGATCAGTGACCAAAAGACTTTATGTATAAACATGTAATTTTTGTAAAAAAAAATCTATTTAAATATAAAAGAGACATACATTAGAATGCCTGAAGTAGTCCTGGCAAGATCTTAAAGTGACCTTGAATCTGTTGTGTTTTTGTTTTCCAAGCTTTCCCCATGAAGCATAAATGGATTTTGTAATTAGGAGAAAAGTGCTATTTTAAAAGCAAAAGCCAACAAGAAAATACACCCTGACTTATTTTTCTTGTCACTGAGGAGACTTGGCTTTGCTGGAATTAAGATTATTGGAGGAAAAAAGAGTAGAAATCCTTTCAGTCAATGCTATCTGGGTTTGGTTCTGGGTTTGGAAGGCTTAGCATTTTTTGGCCATTTCTGTTATTTGTTCTGGCCGTGTGAGTAGACGTGTTTCTTATCATCCTCTAGATTCTTCAGATTACTGCCATTTTAAAGTAGTTTATAACAGCATGGCTACTCAAATCATTCAAAGGTATCAGATTTAATAGATTTGCTATTTGACTTAAATCAAAGGCTCTGTAATTGGTGAGCAAGGTCACTTGCCAGTTCCTGGGCAATTAGAAGATCAGGCTTCCTATATGTTTTTTCCCCTGTCTGCTTAGACAAGAGGCTTTTTGTTACCATATAAGTCTTTCATGCTACACTTGCAGCAGTAGTGACAAGGAATACTGAAATTTAGTAAAATGCTCACACCAGGCCACAGAGGGGAGGGTGTGGAAATGGTGTCTGTAACAGCAGTTGGCATGGTGCCAGGGAAAGACAGCTTGAGATGACAACTAGCACTTGCAGAACTGCTTTTGTGATGCCCATGTCCCAGACTAGCTGGAGAATGTGCCAGGGTGTGGCAGGGAGAAGGAGGCCTGGATGCTTCCCCGCATCGTTTACTGTGGTCCTGCATTTGAAAGAGATAACTACGATGGGGAAGATGGCAGTTGAATTATAGGGTAAGACATCTGAGCCCTTAAAACAAAATTTCCCTTGAAATACGGGGCTATGTTTGTCCACACTGTGCTAAGCTTCCCTACAGACATATATGGAGTGTCTTTAAATCAGTGGAGAACAGGTTGGGTGTGGTGGCTCACACCTATAATGCCAGCACTTTGGGAGGCCAAGGCGGGCGGATCACCTGAGGTCAGGAGTTCGAGACCAGCCTGGCCACCGTGGTGAGACCCCCATCTCTACTAAAAATACAAAAACTAGCCGGGTGTGCTGGTGTGCGTCTGTAGTCCCAGCTACTCAGGAGGCTGAGGTGGGAGGATGGCTTGAGCCCGGGAGGCGGAGGTTGCAGTGAGCCGAGGTCACGCCACTGCACTCTAGCCTGGGTGACAGAGCTAGAACTTGTATCAAAACAAAACAAAACAAAACAAAACAACAACAAACAGTTGAGAACAGACTCCACCTTGTAGGACAGTGGCATTTCTGAAAGTTCAGAACAATTCCCCGAGCAACTTTACCTCACAATCTCATTGGAACGGCTGCATCTGTGGGGCCCTGGGAGAGACTCAGCAGCAGACAGGGTCTCCAGAGCACACGACAAGAGGAAGAATGCATGAAGGTCCACCGGCAGTCGAATCAGCCAAAGCACAAGACAAACACAAGTAAGTGCTTACATTGTGTAGCTCGCACGAGAGCATGTGCTTTCCCAGGGTGGAAATGAGGGAGAAATCTTAAGACTGGTGAACCACTCACAGTAGAATGAAAAGTAAACACTGAGTCCTTGAGAAATTTCTGAATATCCATGAGGAAGTATTCCTCACTGGATCCACCTGACTGCGTTAGCGTTCCCTATTAGTGTCCCTTTAGCACTTGCAGGACTCTGTTCCTTACTTTTTTCACTCTATATAAAACATGATCTGCATTTTCTTCTTCTTTTTCTTTTCACCCAGGCTGGAGGGCAGTGGTGTGATCTTGGCTGACTGTGGCCTCAACCTCCGGGCTCAAGTGATCCTCCCACCTCAGCCTCCTGAGTAGATGGGACCTACAGGCGTGTGTCACCACATCTGGTGAATTTTTTTTTTTTTTTTTTTTTTTTTGCTTTTTGTAGAGATAGGGTCTCACTGTATTGCCCAGGCTGGTCTCAAACTCCTGAGCTCAAGCAATCCTCCTGCTCTTTCCTCCCAAAGTGCTGGGATTAGAGTGGTGAGATACTATACCCGGCCTGATCTACATTTTCTGGGAATGTTTTATCCTCTGCTATCTCGATCCCAGGTCCTTGATCTTGTGCCTGAAGTCATGGATGGACATCATGAGATTCAAGAATTCCCAGAAATTTAGTGTCACGTTGTGTAGGCATGTAAGTGATCCTCAGAGGAGCCCCTGACTCAAAAAATGTTGGAGCGCCACTAGTCTGTCTGGGTGCTATGCTTAGTCAAAAGAAAAATCTCATCTTTAATTTGCTTTGTACTAAGATTTAACATCCATTTGTTGAGAACTTACCAGGTACCATGCCTGGTGCTCTAATATATATTCTTTCATTTAATCTCCACCCAACCTAGATAGAGTTCATAATGTCACCTCCATTTTACTTCAGAGGCACTGTATTCACAATGGTGAAGTGACTTACTCAGGATGTCACCACTAATAAATGTCAGAGCTGTGTTGAGATTGGGCCTCTCTCTCCCCTGGATGCAAGGCCTGGACTTCCCCAAAACTTGGTACAAAGGGCAGGCATGGCCCAGGACTGTCAACATAGTCAGTGAAAAAAATCCACTGATTGACTGGCAGCGTGTGAAGGGGGTCATTGAAATATGGGTTATGGAATCCCATAAAAGGAGTCAATCTCTGTGGGCTTCCTGAAAACCTCAAACCCTGAAGGGCCAATCCTGCTCCCTCTCATATTCAAAGGATCCGTAATTGACCTGCAACTTAAAAAGACAGCTTGTCATATTATTCAGCCTTAAAAAAGGAAGGAAATTCTGACACATGCTACAACATGGATGAACCTTGAGGACATTGCACTAAGTGAAATAACCCGGTCACCGAAGGATAAATACCATGTGATTCCACCTATCTGAGGTACTTGGAGTAGTCAGACTCATAGAGACAGAAAGAAGAATGGTGGTCGCCAGGATCTGGGGACAGAGGGAGCTGGGGAGATACTGTTTAATGCATGCAGAGTTTCAGCTTTGCAAAATGAAGAGTTCTGGAGATTGGTTGCACAACAATGGGTGTGTACTAAATGCTACCAAACTGTGCTCATGAAAATAGTTAAGATGGTAAGTTTGATATGTATTTTGCCACCAAAAAAAATGAATATTTACAAAGACAGCTCATATGTTCACTTGCAGTAAAGTTCTATAGGCCCATCGTTCTGTTCTTGTTGATCATTCTCCCCTCCCCAAGTAGAAGAGTGGAAATCCAGACTGCCTGAGCAGAATGGGTGTGACTGCGAGGCACAGCCACACAGAGTGACACTGGTTCATACACAAGTGCCTGGGTGTCTGCTAACAGGCTTGAGGCTCTGCCCCAGAAATTAGCTTCCCAGTTGTCCTTTTCTTTAAGCCTGCAGTCTGTCTGAGCAGAATGAGCATAATAAATAAATAATTCTTCATAATAAATTCATCCATTAAATTTGGTTATCCCCCCCACCCCCCGCCATTTTCTTCTCCTTAACAACGTACAAAGCCGTGGCAGTGGCTTCCCCCCCGCCGACATGTGGGATGATCAGGCTCTGAAGAGCATCTACCAAGAAGACTGCCAGGTCCTTGCCCTTCCAACACCAATAACGCTGGCTCCTGGAACCTAGGAAGTCTCTCCAGAAGTCAATCCTACCCACTGGCAGGCCACGGCCCCTGGGAAATCTCCATTCGGAGAGGAGCAAGGTCATGAAAATTAATTGCTGATTCTCCGAATTTAAAGCCCGAGGTTACAAGAGCCCCGAGGGCAGGGCCACTCTGAATGAATTCACGGCTGCACTCAGGCAGCCTGGGAGCTTGGACACATGGCAGTGGTGAACTGGTGCTACTCCAACCCAAACAGATTTGTAACAGTGGCCCAGACATCCAGGACTGCCAGAGCAGCATTTGTGTCCGACAAATGAGGCCTCACTCGGGACAAAGGGGGCTCTTAGTACTCATTCTGCTTTGGCTGTTTCATACCCAGCAAGAGCCAGGGGACATCTTTTGTCAGGACAGGGAAAACAAAAACGATTCATTTCATCATGCACCATCACCACGTTCTTTGTGGTCAACCAATGCAGGGAGGCCTTGCAGCCAGCGATCCTTATGGCCACTGCTTACTGAGGGCCTACTAAGACCCAGGGACTATTCTAGGTACTGGGCATGTGTTGCCTGATTTAATCCTCCCAACAAAGCTATGCTGTAGGGTTTATCCCCCTGTAGTCATGTGGAAATTGAGACGCAAAGAGGTGAAGGTCACGCAGCTAGTGAACAGTGGCAGAGCCAGAATTGCTACCCAGGCCCGATTCACTCTCAGCTGACTGCTTTTCCTAATGTATACCTGCTACAGATGGCAGACAGGCCAAATGTGGACCTGTCCTCTGACCCTCCATCTCCAGGGAAGCCTAGAATGCCCCTGACTTTCAGCAAATACTTATGTCAAACGCAAACAGAAACAAAAAGATATGAGGGGATTGAGATTCAAATATATTTTCTTCTAAAAGCCACAGAAAATGCCCCTATAAAAAAAGAATGTTGAAAAAAATCAAGATAAAAAGAAATGAAGATCCCTGGGCATGGTGGCACATGCCTATAGTCCCAGCTACTCAGAAGTTTGAGGTAGGGGGATTGCTTGAGCCCAGGAGTTTGAGGCTGTAGTGAGCTATGATTGTGCCACTGCACCCCAGCGTGGGCTACAGAGTGAGACCCTGTCTCTACAAAATAGATTACTAAATAAAAATTAGCCAGGCATGGTGGCATACCCATAGTCACAGCTACTTGGGAGGCTCAAATGGGAGGATCACCCAAGCCCAGGAGTTTGAGTCTGCAGAGAGCTATGATGGCACCACTGCACTTCAGCCTGGGCAACAGAGCAAGACCTTGTCTAAAAAATAATAATAAAATGAAGAAGAAGAAAAAAAAAGAAATCGAGATCAACTTTTCTATCAGTAATTAAGCTATTGGTCTCTTATCTCTCCCTTATGAGGGTCAGAAGTTCCAGCTAACACATGTTCCTACCTGGTTATATTGCTGATCATTTCCAATCCCTGACCTTGGACTTCATGTGTGCTAACGTCCAATCACCTTTCACTGTCCAGATGCCCTGAATCAGCATGTGTGGCCTTAGGTAGGGAAGGGCCCCCGAGTAGCTGGCCTCTCTCTTTTATCATTTCACTATGGGTCCAGAAAATGAGACAATCTTCCATCCCAGTGGGTCAGCATGTTAAAATGCCGAATGAGAAGCTCTCTGGCGTGGTGAGTGTGAATCCAGAATTCCCCTTCCCAAGCCCATTTTATTCTCTGTTGTGTCCATTTATGCTGGGTGGGGTGTACTGCTCCTGTATCAGTCTGCTGACTTCCATGCACTGATGTCTCCCATCTCAACAACCACTGGTGTCACATTTTCCACTGACATTTTAGGAAGAATCCAAACACTGGTTTGGGGCATCAGGTTTTGGGATGTTCCAGGTGTCAAATTCCTACTTTTGTCTAAGAGGTGATGGGTGACTATCCTATCAGTTCTAAGTTGCAGGGGACAATTTCAGAGCAATATCAATAACCAAAGCCTGAAGGGTCAAAAGTTTGAGAAAGGAATGGAGGAAAAGAAGGAGCTAGGAAGAGAGAGAAGGGGGAGCAGAATCACCTCAGAGCTAAAGGAAAATTAATAGCCCATCCATCAATCCATTTTTCCCCCAAAATACTTATCGAGTACCTACTTGTGATGGTTAATATTGAGTGTCAATTTGATTGGATTGAAGGATGCAAAGTAGTGTTCCTGGGTGTGTCTGTGAGGGTGTTGGGTGTGTCTGTGAGGGTGTTGCCAAAGGAGATTAACATTTTTTTTTTTCTTCTGCGACAGAGTCTTGCTCTGTCGCCCAGGCTGGAGTGCAGTGGTGCGACCTTGGCTCACTGGTTTGGGGCATGTTCCTGGGTGTGTCTGTGAGGAGCAAGAAAGCCAGTTCAAGTCCCAAAACCTCAAAAGTAGGGAAGCCGACAGGGCAGCCTTAAGTCTGTGGCTGAAGGCCTGAGAGACCCTGGCAAATCACTGATATAAGTCCAAAAGCTGAAGAACTTGGAATCTGATGTTGGAATCTGATCTTGGCCCATCCTTGAAGAATCTGGGGGTAATAAATACCCTGAACATTGATGAACCCAAAGGGAAGCCAGAAGGTAAGAGTCCAAAGATGCAGCTCTTAGAGATTAAGAACTGAGGCATGGAGCAGGGTGGAGAAAAATGGAGAATGGAATGGATCAGGAGGAAGGGGAGGCTGTGGTTTGAATGTGTCTTCCAAAATTTGTGTATTGAAAACTTAATCCTCAGTGCAACAATGTCGAGAGGTAGGACATTTAAGATGATTAGGTCATGAGAGCTCAGTCCTTGTGAATGGATTAATGCTGTCATCTTCAGAGTGGGCTTGTTGTTTCAAGAGTGGTTTTGTTATAAAAGCAAGGTCAGCCCTCTCTTGCTCTTTCTGTCACTCCTGCTCTCTTTCCTTTCCACATTTCACGATGAGATAAGGCAGCAAAAAGGCCCTTGCCAGACGCAGGCACCTCAACCTTGGACCTCCCAACCTCCAGAACTGTAAGAAGCAAATCTCTGTTTATTTTTATTTTTATTATTTATTTTTTTGAGGCGGAGCCTCACTCTGTCACCCAGGCTGGAGGGTGATGGCATGATCTTGGCTCACTGCAACCTCCGCCTCCCAGGTTCAAGTGATTCTCCTGCCTCAGCCTCCCGAGTAGCTGGGACTACAGGCGCACGCCACCACGACCAGGTAATTTTTGAAATTTTTATTAGAGACGGGATTTTGCCATGTTGGCCATGCTGTCACGAACTCTTGACCTCAGGTGATCTACCTGCCTCAGCCTCCCAAAGTGCTGGGATTACAGGCGTGAGCCACCCACCTGGCCAAATCTGGTGTTTTTTTTTTTTTTTTTAAATTACTTAGTCTCGGGTACTCTGTTATAGCTGCACAAAATGGACTAAGATGGATTTGCAAACATCCAGCATATGTGGCAAACAAGATAGAATTTGTTCAGGGTCAAGAGATACACACAGGAACCTGGGTCCAAGCCCATCGATATATTAAGTCAAGGAACATTTTGGTTTTTACCAACAAAGTAGGTGAGGAGGTCTTCTAGTAGAACTTCTCTGAAGTTCTCCCGGAATAGGTAGGATCAATGACTGAATCTCTGGTGACCTAAGGATACCCGGTTCATTTGACCCTCCCTGTGTGGGGGCCCTCCCAGGGCTGGGCCTGACAGCATCTACTTCTGCCTTTTGACCTTGGCTCTGGCTGGTCTGCATCAGTGGCCTTCCCTGAACTGAAGTTCGCAATAATCACCATCCCCTCAACACGGTAAGAAAGACAATAGAGAGAAATTCTTTTCATGAATAAGAAAGCAACTACTTGCAAACTCTCATGGGGATTTACTATAAACAATGGAAAGCTAATTTCAAAAACACACTTATTTATTCATTAAAGCAGATTCCTCAAGGATTCTCCCCCAGGCAGCACTTTGTTGGCCTACTTTATATTTCATGTACACTTGGGAGTAATAAAATTGCAACTTTAAAGACATCCTGTAAGTCCGTTTTTTTCCTTTTTTTTCTTTTATGACATTCTTTGCAATCAGTCTAATTAGCTGAGAGATCCTTGAATATCTCTGTAAGATGGGAAACTGTAAGTCTGGGGACCACAGGCTAGGAGTTGAGCCTTATTAAGGAATACTCTGCCTCTCAATTTCTTCCTGCAATGGTAAGTGTCCCCTTTGGGAAGTGCAGACAGGGTGAGAAAGGTTAGAGGACAAGAACATTTGCAAGGTTGAATCATCTGCTACTTAATGGAAGGGGAAACAGGATGAAATACTGGAAAGAGCATTGGCTTTGGAGCTAGCCATGGGCTGGACTCTCACTTCCATCATTTATGCTGGGCAGTTATTGAACATCTCTTTGTCTCCATTTGGCTTATCTCTAAAAGGGGGAGAGTAATGAGTATGTCCTAGGACTGTCTAAGGACTAAATGGGATGAGGAATGTGTAATATAGAGTCTGGTGTCCTCAAAAATGATCAGTTCATTTTCCTCCCCAAAAGTCAGGGGCTCAGCGTCCTGGGAAAGCATGAGCAATATGGAGAGGCCTCTGGTTTGGAAAGATGACTAGCACTTGTGTTAGTTTCCTGGGGCTTCTGTAACAAAGTGTCACACACTGAGTGGCTTAAAAAGGGAAATTTGTTGTCTCACGGTTCTGGAAACTAGAAGTTGGAAATTAAGGTTTCAGCAGGGTTGGTTTCTTGTGAGGCCTGTTGGGGGGAATGGGCCCCATACCTCTCCCCACTTCCGTGGGCTCAACTGTTCCTTGGTTTGTAGATGGCGTTCTCTCTGTGTCTTTTCATGGTCTTCCCACTGTGCATGCAGGTTTCTGTTGTCTAAATTTCATTTTTTATGAGAACACCAGTCATAGTGGATTAAGGTCCACTCTAATGACCTCATCTTAACCTGCTCATCTGCAGAGATCCTATTTCTAAACAAGGTCATGTCACAGGTACTGGAGATTAGGACTTCAGCGTCTTTTGGGGGAATCCACTTCAATCTATAACTGGAGTCAACAGCCTTTCTCCTACTAGGGAAGGAAAAACCACATGTTTCTTCCTGCACATTTATGTGACTCATTTTAAACAACTTCCCTGGTCTGGGGCCCTCTTGGCCAGAACCCAGCATTGCATTCTGGTCAGGAGGATACAATTATGAATATAAGGGTTAGGGCAGGTTGTGAAAGGGTTATATTAGGCAAAGGAAGCAACATGTGTGCTTCCCAGTAGGTGGTAGGAGAAACGCTATGTTGCTGTGGCCAAGAAAATTATGTGGAGGTGTCCTCACGTACAAATTAAGTATTTTAACGGTACCCACCTTATAGGGTTATTGGAGAACTAAAGAAGTTATGAAAAGTGCTTAGTCTAATGCCCAACCCAGGGTCAATATTTAACAATGTTACATAATTATTTTCTTGCAAATAGCTTATTAATGGCTAGTCAGTAAATATGTACAATAATAATTATAGCAGATATGATTAGCAATTTTATAAGCAAGGCATTGTATACTTGCTCCATAGTATCTAATTAAATCTCTACAACCACTGCAGTGAAGTAGACATGATTATTTCTCTTTTATAGCTGTGGAAACTGAGGCTTAGAAAGACCGAGTGATTTGTATCTGGAGCTCCCCTTGTCATTGATGTGGAGATTTAAATTCAGAACTCATTTGCTCTATGTTGGGTCACTGTGTAACACTGCCTCTTTCCATTGCAAGATAATTTAAATTCCAACTTGATATTACAGAAAAGAGATTTGCACCAGACTCTCCAACTGGATGCAAATGATTATCGATGCTGAGATATTAATCCTTTCGATCCTTGGAGGGACTTGGTGTTGGGAGCAGCCAGAACCCTGGGGCTCACTTCCCATGTGTATCCTCATGAGAAAAATTGAGAATCCCCATTCCAGTCACTGGGAGGAGGTCACCAGGGGCTGAAGTGGTCGAGGGAAGCTGCAGAGAGGACTTGAGTTGGAGTTTGTAGGTTGTGCGTGAGATTTGGGTGACTGGAGAGGTGAGTCAGTGGAAGACAAGGCCATAGCAATGGCGTCCAGGTGGAGCTCACATAACATGCCTGGGTAATTAAACTGCTTGGAGTACCAGAGAGATGCCTATGAAGAGATTAAGAGGGAAATGAGGTGGCTGGGCATAATCAGGGTTTGATCAGAGAAGCGGAACCATTAAGAGTGGTTTATTCCACGGGTTAGCCCTGATGCAGTCGTGGGTGCTGGTGGAGGAATCTATGCAGGGCTGTTGCTTCTTGAATCTGATGTTGGACCTGCTGTCTCCATAGGTCAGATGTCAGCTGTCGGGAAGAAAGGCTGGATAGGAAATAGGAAAAAGCAGGGCAAACAAGGAGCTTCAAGGACTGAAACCCTTAAGAACCACTTGACTCTGTCTCTCACCACCTCCAGCCTTGATGACACGGTGACATATAGAAGAACTGATGCCCTTTGCTTTGAGCTGCACAAAAACCTGGCGCTGGACTTGGAGAAGCTGAAAGACAGGACCCGGCAGGAGCCTGAGGAGCTGCAGGCTGCTAGCCTGTAGACCACCGTGCTGTGTTAGCCACTGCAGCTGGGACCATTCTGACACTCAGAGCCTGGAAATGGCTGCTCCCTCCTGCCTGCTATCCAAGTATCCTGTGGATACTTGGCTTTTCTCTTGTGGGCAACACTAACCTGAAACTCTTTGGGGAAGGGAATTGAGGAAATGTAGTTCCAAGATTAGCCAATTTAACTCAGCATAAACCCATCACAGGGTTTGACTACAGAGTTATAACGTTATTCTGTAGGCAATGAAAACAGAAGTTTTTGAAAAAGGCATCAATTTGATGAAATTGATATTTTGGGGAAGATTAATCTTCTGCTGAGTAAAATATAACAGGTTGGAGGAAGATGAAAATGGAGAGAGTAGAGTGTAATTAAAAGTTTGTTGGAGGCCGGGCACGGGATTACGGCTCACTCCTGTAATCCCAGCACTTTGGGAGGCTGAGGTGGGCGGATCACCTGAGGTCAGGAGCTTGAGATCATCCCGGCCAACATAGTGAAACCCTGTCTCTAATAAAAATACGAAAAATTAGCTGGGCATGGTGGCGCACACCTGTAATCTCAGCTACTCGGGAGGCTGAGGCAGGAGAATCCCTTGAACCCAGGAGGCAGAGGTTGCAATGAGCCAAGATGGTGTGATTGCACTCCAGCCCAGGGGACAATGTGAGACTCTGTCTCAAAAAAAAAAAAAAATTTGTTGTAGTAGTCCAGGTGTCCGGGTGTTGTTACCAGGGCACCCATGATGAAATAACTGGGAGAGTCCTTTTTTCTGACTGGTTTTCTTCAGTCCCTTTATCTACAGGCACAACTGCTGAAGAAACCAGATGGCCTGGGATGGCACCAGAGCTTTTTTACCCTTGACCAGATACTAGAGGGAATTAAGACCCCACAAGTGGGCACGAACTGGAACTGGCGACCCCTAGTTGCCTTCAGATCATTAACACATCATTATAATGCTAAAATTCCCTGCCATTTTGTGAACATGGGTTGCATGAAGACGTAAGTTTATGAATTGCCTCTGCACACCTAGAGTCCCACCCTGTACAGGCTAACATTCCTCCCTACATGCACCCCCCCACAAACACACCCTGCCTCCCCCAGTCCTTAGAAACCCTATGCCTGGCCGGGCGCAGTGGCTCACGCCTGTAATCCCAGCACTTTGGGAGGCTGAGGCGGGCGGATCACTAGGTCAGGAGATCGAGACCATCCTGGCTAACACGGTGAAACCCTGTCTTTACTAAAAATCCAAAAAAAAAATTAGCCGGCGTGGTGGCGGGCGCCTGTAGTGCCAGCTATGCGGGAGGCTGAGGCAGGAGAATGGCGTGAACCCGGGAGGCGGAGTTGGCAGTAAGCCGAGATCGCGCCACTGCACTCCAGCCTGGGCGACAGACCAAGACTCCGCCTCAAAAAAAAAAAAAAAAAAAAAAAAGAAAGAAAGAAAGAAAGAAAAAAGAAACCCCATGCCTTCTACTGTTCGGGGAGAAGGTGCGTTTAGAGTGAGAGTTCGCGTTCTGCCTTCTCTGGCTAGTGAATAAAATCCGACTGCTTTTTACAATTAATGTTCTTTCTTTGCTACCAATACAAAGTAGGGAAAAAAACTCAGTTTACCAGTGACAATAGGAGACTATAAAGATCTGAACAGGAAAACATGGAAATTAGGTGTCAGATTTTAGAAACATTCTAAAGGAAGAATTGATAGAACTTGCTAAGCGGCTGAATTGGAGAATGAGGGCAATAATAGAATCCAAAATGCAGCCCGGAGCGGTGGCTCAGGCCTGTAATCCCAGCACTCTGGGAGGCCGAGGCAGGCGGATCATCTGAGGTCAGGAGTTTGAGACCAGCCTGGCCAACATGGTAGAAACCCCGTCTCTACTTAAAAAATGCAAAAATTAGTTGGGTGCGGTGGCAGGCGCCTATAATCCCGGCTACTGGGAGGCTGAGGCTGGAGAAATCGCTTGAACCCGGGAGATGGAGGTTGCAGTGAGCCGAGATTGCACCACTGCACTCCAGCCTGGGCGACAGAGCGAGACTCCATCTCAAAAAAAAAAAAAAAAAAAAAAGTGCTTCTGAGATTTTTGAAATTTATTTCACAAGGGTTGTTCTTTTGTATGTACCACACCAGGTGCATAACCAATGTACACTAAGTACTTTTCAGGAGGCTAATTGATTAAGGGACTCTTTCTAGCCCAGATGATGAGAAATGTGGCCCGTGAAAGGAAATTACTTGATTAAAAGCCATTCTATTCTAATAGACTAGCCATTCTACTCTATTGAAACGCAATACAGTATTCAGAGAATTTTAAGTTTGTAACAGTTGAACAGTTTAAAATTGCAGCGCAGCAAAGCGGATGACTGTCTTGGAGTATTGATAAAGGAGGAGGAGGAAATTTCGTTGAGTTGTTAGTGAACTTAAAAACAAAAAAAGAAAAAAAAAAGGGTTGTTAGTGAACTTGTTTCTGAGGACTCTTGTCTGTAGAAGGTGGTTGAGTCTAGACGTCTCCTGCAGAAAGATGGCCTTTCCTCCAGGTTTTATGCTTTAAAGGTAAAGGAAGGAAGATACATTTATGGAAACTCTTCTTTTCTTAATTTTAGATCACAATTATTAATCTTTGTTTCTTAGATTCTTTTGAGTTTCAGGAAAGTTGTAAAGTTTCTCAAGTGTTTTGCAAATTTGTTGGTGTTTTGTGAAGTGTTAAACAAAATTTATAGGAGACCATTGATTTGGACTTAGCTCCTGCATTACACCCCAACAGACCAAACCAAAATGGAGTCACTGATGCTAAATTTCCACTTCACCAAGCTGAAAGTAAATTGTTTTAAGTGACCTTCTGAGAAATCAGGTGGGAGAGAGAATAGCCAAGTCTCCAAACAGGCCAGTTTTGGCCAGATGATAAGGAAGTCTTTTCCGCTTTAATACTTCCAAGGAAAGTAACCTGATGTTAACCAATTCATTTCCTGTATTATGCTGTTTCCTTGTTCCTGCTCAGCTGCTTTATAAAAGCTAGTTAATCTGCCATGCCTGGCATAGCACCTCTTTATTTTTAGACGAGATGCTGCCTGATTCATGAATCGCAAGTAAAAGTCAATTAGATTATTTAACTAAATTTGTTGAAATGTCTTTTGAGAAGACATGAATTTTTTTGGTGGGGAGGGTGCAGGAGGGATGTAGCTTTTATTAGATTTTTAAAGGCATCTTGTTTTCAAACAGGTGAAGAATCTTTCCCATACAGTGAGACCACTGAGTGTGGCTACTCACTCAAGCCTTACTCAGCTTCATTTCACTTCCAAGTTTTGATCCAGGAACTGGGACCTGTGAGCATAGAGGGAGAGAAAGCCCAGAAAGTACAGGAATTAATGGAAACAAACTCCAGACAGAGCAAGGGGCCAGCTTCTGACAGCTTCCTCCTTT
This sequence comes from Homo sapiens, assembly GCF_000001405.40. Classification (NCBI taxonomy): domain Eukaryota; kingdom Metazoa; phylum Chordata; class Mammalia; order Primates; family Hominidae; genus Homo; species Homo sapiens. The sequence continues at coordinate 44,797,340 of NC_000013.11, read as the reverse complement.
TTCTGTCCTGCTAAGTGAACATAGTATGCCAAGGAGAAGTGGAGAGGCTGAAAGGCCTGTTTATTTCACAAGGGTTGTTCTTTTGTATGTACCACACCAGGTGCATAACCAATGTATACTAAGTACTTTTCAGGAGGCTAATTGATGAAGGGACTCTTTCCAAAGTTTCTGCTTGGGTCTCAAACACTAAGTCATCCAAAAGCAAGCCAAATGCCCTTTCTCAGATGTTGCTTCCTGCTTCTGATTATAATCCCCTGTGCCAAGCTTACTAATTGGCGTGTTTGCCTTGAGTTCCTTTTATTCTAAGCACTGACCACATGAAAAGCAGGTCAGTTCTAACAGGACTGCAGTGCATAATTGCTACTTTGGCTTCCCAGTATCTGAATCCACTTCCTGGTTGTGGAGAATCCTCCATTCTTATAAGTCGGAAACAGGCCTTTACCTTCCACTAAATAAGACAGAATGGAAAGACGATGTTTCCTCTCCCATCCCTCTGGCATCAGGATAAAGGCACACGACCTGTCTGGGCCAATCAGACACTCCCACCAGGTACTTTGACCCTTGAGGGACACAGAGGCAGACAAATGATCAGATTTGATTCACAGCCATGGCATGGATTTAGCAATGACAGCTGTGTGGCTTTAGTGTCCAGTGGTGGGGCCGTGTGTAAGTTGGTGGTGGTAGAGCTCTGGCAAGCTAGTTTCTACAGGCTAGCTTCCCTGGATACCTGCTACTTTAAAATCATGTTTCGCCAGCCCTTCTATCCATGTTGCCAGCAACCTGATATCCTTCCAACAGATACCTTTTTACATAAATCAACCTGATTTGGTTTCTGTTGCTTGCAAACCCTGAACAATATAGGAAAAGAAAAAAGATAGTCTCCCAAGCCCTTTGAATAATCTTTACCATGAAGCATGGGTAGAAATGGAGGTGCCAGCCCTTGAAATGACTCCTGTAATGGTTAATTTTATGCATCAATGACTGGGCCACAGAATGCCCAAATATTTGGTCTAATATTATTCTGGGTGTTTCTGTGAGGGTGTTTTTTGATATGACTAATGTTTAAAGTAGATTGTCCTCTGTCTTAGTATGGCCAAGCTGTTATAGCAAAGCACAATAGACTGGGTGGCTTATAAACAGCAGAAACTGGTTAGGCATGGTGGCTCATTCCTGCAATCCCAGCACTTTGGGAGGCCAAGGTGGGTGGATCACCTGAGGTCAGGAGTTCAAGACCAGCCTGGCCAACATGGTGAAACCCCGTCTATACTAAAAATGCAAAAAATTAGCCAGGCGTGGTGGCAGGCACCTGTAACCCCAGCTACTTGGGAGGCTGAGGCAGGAGAATTGCTTGAACCCAGGAGGCAGAGGTTGCAGTGAACTGAGATTGTGCCAGTGCACTCCAGCCTGGGCAACAAGAGCACAACTCCATCTCAAACAAAAACAAAACCAGCAGAAACTTATTTCTCACAGTTCTGGAAGCTGGAAGTCTGACATCAGGGTGCTGGTATGGTCAGGTTCTGGGGTTGCAGTACCTCTTCTGGGTTATAGACTGCCAACTTCTTGTATCCCCACATGGTGGAAAGAGAGAGAGTGCTCTGGGGTCTCTTTTATAAGGGCACTAATCCCACTCATGAGAGTGCCACCCTCATGACTTAATCACCTCCTAAAGGCCTCCCTCCCTCCTGATACCATCATCCTGGGGGTAAGGATTTCAAAATATGAATTTTGGGAGGACACAAACATTGAGTCCATAACACTTTCCCAAATGTGGATGGGCATTATCCAATCAGTTGCAGGCCTGGTTAGAACAAAAAGGCTGACCTTTCCACAGATAAGAGGGAATTCCTTCTGCCTGGCTGCCTTTGGCCTGGGACAGCTTTTTTTCTGCCTTTCGACTCAAACTACACCATCAGCTTTCCTGGTTCCCAGGCCTTCAGATTCTGCTGGAACCAAACCATTGTCTCTCCTGGGTCTCCAGATTGCTGACTCACCCTGCAGATCTTGGGATTTGCCAGCCTTCATAATCATGTGAGTCAATTCCTTATAATAAATCTCTTTATATATCTCTATATATCTCTTTCTACATCTCTATATATCGCTATCTATATATATTATCTTCTATTGGCTCTGTTTCTCTGAAGAACTCTGACTACTACAACTCTCCATTGGACTGCTTTGTGAAGCTGTCTATCTGGCTGTTAGGAAGGCCTAACAGTCTAATGTAGGGGGATCTCCTGGTGGGTAGGGTGCAACATTTCAGACTGAAGTCTCCCCTACAAAAAGGCATGAGCCACTTGGGAAAAAGGTAGAGTTGCTGTCCTGACCTTCTGGCTAAGTGCTCCCACTCTCTCTTCTCTTCTCTCTCTCTTTGGTGATAATGTTGATAGAAGATCTTTGTGCAGACAGTTTTCTTAGAATTTGGGCTGTTTGACAAGAAGTGTTTTCTCCTTTGGGCCTAAAAGTATTGTATATATTTCTGTCTCTTCTTTTTGAAATGAATCTTTTAATGCTTTGAAAAAATGCCAACAAAACAAACAAAAAAATGACAAATACTTATTGTTAAAAGAAAAATTCAGAGACTATCACAAAGAAAGTAAAAATCACCTGAATATTTTAATTACATATTTCTTTCTAGACACATTATCATTCATTCATTCAATACATTCATTCAACCGTGAAGGCTTACTATAGCCCAGAGGATTGATTTTCAACAAAACACACATGATCTTGGCCTTGCCCTATGGAGCTTATGGTTTATTGGCGAAGACTGACAGTCATCAACAGGTGCCACATGGCCATGTCTCCCACATGGGTGGACAAGTACACAGGACTCAGGTCTTACAGCTTCTAAAATGAATTTCTTGTTTATAACGCTGCAAAGTCATCTTCCTTCTCAAATATTTATTAGGTCCCACATCACCAGGCAGCAGACTAAGATTAGTATTTTCTCTTATCTTCTCCTAGATTATTTTTTAATTGCAAAACTATGCGAGATGGTGAGAAAAATAATAAAAGCTATCCAAGCCATCTCTGTTACCTTAGTGAGTTGAATTATCTGACTCTCAGCAATGTGAATCTGCACACCTATATTTTGTTTCACCCAATTCCCTCTGCAGATCCTACACTTGTCCTTAGTTTTGTTTTCTCTTCTTTGTTTGTTCCTTTGATGAGATGGAACAATCTAGCCATTTCAATATTGAGTAATGTGATCTGGGCCCCTGGACAACTGTTCCTAGGCACCGCCCTGAGAGGGTGAGCTGTCTGTGAAGGTCCTCTGGCCATGTCCTGAGCTTCTTCACTTTTAACAAATGCCTACTGATATGGTTTGGCTATGTCCCCACCCAAATCTTATCTCAAATTGTAATCCTAATAATCCCCATATGTGAGGGAGGATCCTGGTGGGAGGTGATTGGATCATGTGGATGGTTTCCCCCATGCCGTTCTTGTGGTAGTGAGTGAGTTCTCATGAGATTTGATGGTTTTATAAGCATCTGGCATTTCCGCTGCTTACACAGTCTCTCTCTCTCTCGCCTGCCACCATGTAAGATGTGCCTGCTTCCCCTTCCACCATGATTGTAACTTTCCTGAGGCCTCCCCAGCCATGTGGAACTGTGAATCAATTAAACCTCTTTTCTTTATAAATTACCCAGTCTTGGGTATTTCTCTTTTTTTTTTTTTTTTTTTTTTTTGAGACAGAATCTCACTCTGTCACCCAGGCTGGAGTGCAGAGGTGCCATCTCAGCTCACTGCAACCTCTGCCTCCTGGGTTCAAGCAATTCCTCTGCCTCAGCTACCTGAGTAGCTGGGACTACAGGTGTGTGACACCATACCCAGCTAATTTTTGTGTTTTAAGTAAAGATGGGCTTTCATCATGTTGGCCAGGCTGGTCTTGAACTCCTGGCCTCAAGTGATCCACTCGCCTTGACCTCCCAAAGTGCTGGGATTACAGGTGTGAGCCACTATGCCTGGCCGGGCATTTCTTTTAAGCAGTGTGAAAATGGATTAGTACACCTACCAACAACTGTAATTATTTCATATAGGCCTCAGTATCTAGCCTAAAGCCCCACACCCAGATGTCCTTTTTGAAAGAAACCATATAGAGTGAATAGGGCCATACAAATTAAGAGGGAGGTCACTGGGGCAAATAAAAGCATATTTAAATAGGAAAATGGAGTCTCATATAGACATAATCCCAATCCTAAATATTTTGAACATAGCAAGACAGTAAATCATTATTTTTTGGTCAAACAATTAAACCTTATGACAGGTTACATTCTTAAAACAGAAGTCCCACTATTATAATTTGTGCTCATGAAATAATCTAGAAAGAGACTACTGTCAAAAAGAATGTGTATGGAACCAGAAATTGGGAAATCTAGATTCCACTGCCAGTCTACTTTTCAATAATTTATTTCATGCATATAACCAAGTCCTTAATCCAAGTTATCCACATTTTTGGTAACTCTTTGTCTTGCTTTGTTTTGTTTTTACTTCTAGAATGGGAGCAATGACACTATGTTACCGTTATCAGAGGTAGGATAATATATAGAAATTTGGAAATATCACTTATGATAGTGCTTGAGAAGTAAAAATTCCTAAACCAAATCGCACTATTTGCTATCAACATTCTAGACAGTTAGCAAAACCTAGCACTTATCTAGCATATAACAGAGAATTCAAAATTGTATTCTGCAAGTGTTCAAACTTGTTTTTGGATCCTTTATGGAAAAGACCAACTTCTTAGAGAGGCCAAGTATTTACTTGAACTTTAAAGAGGTTCATTGTGTCTAAGTGTTTGCTTTTCTGGGAGAAGTAAGGAATTTAGGCTACAAATAAAAATATTTTTTAAAATCAGCATGGACTTTAGCATTAGAGAAGACTGGCATTGGAGAATGGGTCAAAATTCAATTCCACTATCTTATTCGTTTGTATTACATTGGGTAAGTTATTATTTAATTTCTCTGAGCCCCAGTCTCTTCACATGTAATGAGAATAAAAGTAGCCTCCTTATAGATGGCAGGAAGGATTTGCTGACGTCATGTTTATAAATGCCTGGTAGGTTTCCTGGCACATACTGGTGTGCAATGTCTGTTGGTTCCCTTTTCTTTTCGTGCATGAGGAGTTTTATTTGTTTTGTTTTGCTTTTTGTTTTTTTTGTTTTGTTTTGTTTTGTTTTTCAAGATGGAGTCTCTCTCTGTCGCCCAGGCTGGGGTGCAGTGGCGCGATCTCGGCTCACTGCAACCTCCACCTCCTGGGTTCAAGCAATTATCCTGCCTCAGCCTCCTCAGTAGCTGGGACTACAGGTATGTGCCACCATGCCCGGCTAATTTTTTGTATTTTTAGTGGAGACAGGGTTTCACCATGCTGGCCAGGCTGGTCTCGAACTCCTGACCTCATGATCCACCCGCCTTGGCCTCCCAAAGTGCTGGGATTATAGGCGTGAGCCTATATGAGGCCTGGCCTGTATGAGGAGTTTTTAAACAACACTAGAGACTTAACCAAGGATAATAGGAGAAATATTGGTCTATGGGTAGAATTAGGTGCTGTCTTAGTTCATTTGTGCTGCTATAACAGAATACCCGAGACTGGGTAATTTAAAAAGAACAGAGATTTATTTCTCACAGTTCTAGAGGCTAAGAAGTCCAAGATCAAGGCGCTGTCAGGTTAAGTTGTCTGGTGAGGGTCCAATCTCTGCTTCTAAGATGGTGCCTTGAAAGCTGCATCCTCCAGAGGAGAAGAATGCTGTGTCCTCACATGGCAGAAGGCAGCAGGGCAAAGAGGTAGCTTCCAACTGTTACAGGGACTCCATCAAGTCCTTTTATAAAGGATTAATCCCTAATCCCATTCATGACCCACATCCTCCAATACTCTTGCATTAAAAATTAAGTTTTAACATGAATTTTAGAGGAGACAAAAACATTTAAACCATAGCAGATGCCAGATACAGATATAAGTCTGTAACTTGAAAAAATGTGATATCAATGAAAGGACTAATCATGCAACACAAATAGCTAATATTGCTAATAAAGTAACATAATTAGCTAATATTAGATAATATTGACCAACAAAGAGGAAAATTTAAATTACATTTCAGAAGTTTATAAAAATGAAAAATTTTTACAAAAAAGCTAACTTTTAATACTGAGGACTAACAGAAGCTATATATATATATATATGTTTAGTTTCTTCACTCTAGGCTTCATTGAACTGACTGAATAACCAAACGAAGTTCTTCACTTTTCTTAACTTAGCCTCCAGAGGGGAGAATAAGGGGTTCATTCTATTTTGCTGGGCAGTCGATGCCCTGTGTTTGGGGATTCTTGGACAGGAGACTGGTACATCTGAAATATTGCTGTTGACAGAAGTAAATCAAACATTAAAACCTTCAATGCTCTGCTCATCACTTCATTTTTTTAAAAGTGGCATAGGGCATTTCTGGTGAAATGTAACACATAATTCACTGTAAATATCTTGAAAATTATTTTCATAAGATAAAATATTATTTCATTGTGACTGCCACTCTTATTTTAACATTTTACTTGGAAGACAACCCTCAAATCTACCAACCAAAAAATAAATGAATTGGTCTCTCTTTGGATAGATAAAAAATAGAAGAATTAAAGGCTAAAAAAATGACCCAGGGGAAAAAACTACCTATTTCCCTCCTAAATCTTAAACTCCCCAAGCTATGAACAGCAAAGATTAGCAGTGAGCAGGGAGGCATGGCTAGGGCTGCACACTCCATGAAGCCAGTGGAAACCCCACCCCTTCTGAGGTGGGACAGGAGCTCCCCGTTCTGCTGCAACTGCCCAAACCGCAGCTGCAGACCCAGACCTGCCTCTTGCTCTATGGAGCAGGCAGGAGCCCCGCCCTCCTGGGCCCAGCTACAGCCACCCAAACTGCAGCTGTGTATCCGAGCCTCCCTGTACTCTTGGGGGAGCTGGGAACAGGCAGGATCTACCCTCCTAGGTGTAGCAGTGTAGCTGCAGCCTTGGCACCTGTGGCAGCAGACCTGGGTCTCCAGCTCCAGGAAGCAGGCAGGAGCTGGGGACAAGCGGGAGTCCTGCCCCTTCAGAGTTGGCAGGGCAGGAGCTTTGGGTGCAGCTGTAGCCACCCTCCCAGGTGCAGGACCGAGGTATCTGCGCAGCCTGCACCCTCAGGTGCCCCAGGAAGGACCCCACCCCCATCCCTGCAGGCTCAGGGGTGTCTGCTCCCACTGCCTGGCCTCTCTCTGCTCCCCGCACCCACTCCGATCTCAGAGCAGGGTTGGGGCCAAGCCCTGGAACCATGAATGGCAGCTGGAGGCAGACAGAGTCCTGGGTGGAAGGGGCTGGGGGTTCCCAGTAAGGCCCCACCTTCAGGCCAGGGAGGGCCTGAAGGTTGGGGGCCAAGCTGCCAGTCCTGCGGGCTGGAGTGGGGACTCATGGTGCCTCTTCCGGGCCTGCCCATGGCCACCCATGGACCAATCTGCAGGCACTTCCTTCCTCTGAGGTCCATAAAAGCCCTGGGCTCAGCCAGAACAGGCCAGAGGGTGGCTAGAGGGCAAAAAGGTCAAAGAGACTACGGACAGGATGAGCAGCTGCAGAGAGGAGTACCCTCTCCACTGAGAGCTGCAGAGATGACTGACCAGCAGAGAGGAGCTACCCTCTCTGCTGGGAGCTTCAGAGACCTGCAGAGACTTCCAAATGACTCGGCTGTGGAGAGGAGCCACCCTCTCCAGGGCCTCCTCTCTGCTAAGAGCTGAACACTCAACTGGACTGGATGGCCTGCCTACAGAGAGGAACTACCACTCCTCTCAGCTGTTCTAACACTAAATAAAACCCTTCTTCTTCACCCTTCACTTGTCTGTGTACCTTATTCTTCCTGGATGCAGGACAAGAACTCAGGCAAAGTTGTCATGGCCACAGAGGTTTCCGGCCAAAAAAAATGGACACCCCAGAGATCCTATAACAGCAGGAATACGTGGTTTTGATGGCATTTGTAGGGCATCAGATAAAACAACATAGTTCTCTTTTCTGGAATTGGTTACTTTAAACATATAAGTTCACACTCTTCTCAAGAAAAAGCAGAGAAGTAAAAAAAGAAGCTGTAGCTCTGCACCAGCCTCCACCTCCCACCCCACCCCAGCAGAGTGAAGGTCTTGAAAACCCTAAAGGCCATACTGAAAACATGCACACCCACAAGAAGATGATCTGGAGGCCGTCACGCAGCCCGAGGCTCCAGGTATTCCTGGGCTGAGCTTTACTTGCCTGAGTACCCCTAGACAGGCATGTTTGATCACCAGTGTCAGCATCATGCTTCCTCAACCACGGAGCCCACCATGAAGACAGAAGACAAAACCATACTGGGATTGATCAAGTGTGATCAAGCCAACAAGCAGGAGAGCAAGCAGGGTCTGAAGAAGCTGGTGGCACTGATGTGGTCTGGGCCGGAGCAGTAGACAGAAGGCAATGGAGAGAAGATGTCAGGCCAGCCCTGACTGCATCACACTGGGTGCCATCAACACAGGTTAGTCACATCAACACAGCAGGCTTGTCCTAAATATAATGCATTTTTTCCACTGGAGAAGGGAGATAACCCTGACCTAGCCTAACATAATAAGATAAAGCCTAACATGCTTACCAGACCTGAAATTTCCAATTGCTGGTCAAAGCTAGTGGCCAGGAATTTCATGGGAAAACAAAAAACTGGCTCTAGGCTCTTTCTCAGATCCACTACTATTTAGTTAACTGAACCCAGATGGTAGCTTCCAGAGTCAACTCCATTTGTCCAGAGCTGATTGAGTGACAAGAGAGCTAAGAAGTCTCTGCAAAGCATGGGCAATGTAACCTGAGGGCCTGTATGAGGAAGACAGGAGTGCCTGCAACTTTCTGGTCAAGTACTGCTAGTGCCCAAGTCACCCAGAATCATTTGACCTGATTTTCTGTGTTGGATCTCACCCCCTGCAGAGATAGGGGATTCTGTGGTGTCCTGACCCCCATCACTTGTCTCTACCATCTTTTTTTCTTTCAGGGCTAATGTTTCAAGGCTGCCTTATTAAATTCCAGCCTCTGTGTGCTTTGTATGCATTGCTTCATTTAATCACCAGCCACCCTGTGAGGTAGGTACTACGGTTAACTCCATTTTAAAGATGAGGAAACTAAGGCCTAGAGGAAATAAGGCCCTCACCCAAGCTGCTCCGTTAAAGGGACAAAACAGGGATGCTGATCTGGGTCAGTTTTAATCCAAAGCCAGCGCTTTTAACCTCAACACGGTATTGGCTTCCATTGACTGCTTCTTCATTTTGAATTGAAAAAGACATCTGATCCAAAGGAAATGAAAACAGAAGGAAACAGCCATGAATGTGTGCCTGAAGTGCAGGGTCGTTAGTGGGTACAGGGGAAGAGGGGAAGGGGCAGCAGGTCTGTGAAAGAAAATGCCGTGGTGATTTTCCCCGATGATCCCCTGCTATGGTCATTACAGCAGCCACCAGCAGACAGCTGCCAGCAACTGCAGAGTGAACTATGAAAACCAGGGTGGAGACCTCAGATGCTCAGTACACCAGAGAGGCACTCCTCATTTCCATACTGGGAGAGCTCTCTCCCCAATCTGCTTTCTTCTCCAGATTGGGTTTGGCAATGTTGGCTGGCCCCTAGCTGTAGTTGATACCACCTAAACTCTCGGTGATCGTATGCGTGGGCAGCCTGGAACTTGCAGGCAGACGGTCAAGTTAGCTGCCTTTGAGTCTCAGCTCTGCTCCTTACTAGCTGTGTGTCCTGGGGTTGATGTCTAAATCTCTCTGAATTGTCTCATTATTTAAAAATGGCAACAATAATCCCTACCTTGCAGGGCTGGTGAAAGGATCAAGTAATATAACGAATGTAAGGTGTTTAGCATAGTGTCCAGTACATAATGTGGTCCGATCTGATCGCCATTCTTTTTTGTGTGAGCAGAAACGAGATCTCACTGTGTTGCCCAGGCTGGCCTTGAACTCCTGGACTCAAGCAATCCTCCCACCTCAGCCTCCCAAAGTGCTGGGATTACAGGTGTGAGTCACTATGCCTGGCCACCATTCTTATTTCATAGATTTTTTAAAAATTAATTTGTAATATGGTTTTCCCCAACTAAAGAATTTCATACTCAAGAATGGATTATATGTGCCTTCTAATCAGAGTACAATACTACTGATGCATTAGTTTGCTAGGACTGCAGTAACAAAGAACCACAGACTAGGTGGCTAAAATAACAAGTCTATCTTATCACAGCGCTGGAAGCTGGAAGTCCAAGATTAAGATTTAGGCCGGGTTTGTTTCTTCTGAGGCCTCTCTTTCACCTTGCAGATGGCCTTCCCTCTGTACCCGTATGTGTTCTAATCTCTTCTTCTTATAAGGACAGTAGTCATATTGGATTAGGTCCCACACATATGACCTCATTTTCACTGAATGACCTCTTTAAAGGCCTTATTTCCAAATACAGTCACATTCTGAGGTGCTAGGGGTTATGATTTCAACATACAAATTTAAGGAGATACAATTCAGCCTGTAACAACATGTGTGGTATTTTTGCCAACAGTACATATCAAGTCAAGGAAATACAGGACACAGAGGAAATTGTTTAAAGTATCATGGGGGAAGTTATTAGCAAAATCTAGGAAGTGAAAAACTCTACAGGACAAATAACCTGGTCTGAACAAATTGCAATTGCAAGGAAAAATAGGATGGTGAAACCTAATGACTAAAAGAAACTTCTGAGACCTAGTAAGCAAAAGCTAGGTATGGACTGCATCTGGAGCTTTTTTTGTTTTTTTTTAGATGGAGTTTTGCTCTTGTTGCACAGGCTGGAGTGCAATGGCATGATCTTGGCTCACTGCAACCTCCACCTCCTGGGTTCAAGCAATTCTCCTGCCTCAGCCTCCCAAGTAGCTGGGATTACAGGCATGTGCCACCATGCCCGACTAATTTTTTGTATTTTTAATAGAGACGGGGGTTTCACCATGTTGGCCAGGCTGGTCTTGAACTCCTGACCTCAGGTGATCCACCCACCTCAGACTCCCAAAGTGCTGGGATTACAGGCATGCACCACCGCGCCTGGCCTTGCATCTGGATCTTAACTGGAACAAACTAACTTTTTTAAAAAAAGGCACAACATTTTGAGATAATCGAAGAAATTTAAACACTGTTTTGATATTGATATTAAGGCATTATCATCAATTTTGAGGTGTATTAATGGTATTGTGGTTTTGTGTTTTAAAAGAGCCTTATTATTTGGAGATACATGCTGAAATATTTATGAAAGCATTAAGAACTCTGGGATCGGCTTCAGTGTGGTGCAGGGAGGGAGGAATAGGGAAACTAGTGTGATTGTAGATGAAATAAGATTGGCCATGAATAAATAACTGTTGAAACTGGATAATGAGTTTGTTATAATAGGCTTGCTACTTTTTACATGCTTCAAACATTTTATTATAAAATGATTAAAATATATGGAGAACATTTTTCTATGTCTTTAAATATTTTTCTACAACATGAAGTTGTTAATGTGGCATTCCATTGTATGGATGTATTATAACTTATTGACATAATTTTTTCATCGTCAAACTGTTAAAGGGTTTTTTCCTTTTGCTATTAAAGATATGCAAATCACTGTACACTCTCTAATTGTTTCTTTAGAGTGGATTCCTAGAAATGAAACTGCTGAGCCCAGAAGCAGGCTTGTATTCATGGCTTTGGTTCCATGCTGCCAAAATGCGCTCCATCAGTGACAGCCCCTTTTCTCTCTTCTTCGCTAACAGTCCTAGGCTCTCTCCTGCATTTCCCATTAGTGATGTAGGACATACAAGCCAAGCTCCAGAATTGATCCTGCTGGAGAGCAGTCCCAAAGCATCTCCTGAAAAGAGTCTACTGAAAATGTTCCCTATTTGTTTGATGTTTTTCTCTATTTTCCTTTCTGATTTTTTTTTTTTGCGATATTTATTTATTTATTTATTTGAGACAGGGCCTTGCTCTGTCGCCCAGGCTGGAGTGCAGTGGCACAATTTCGGCTCACTGAAGCCTCAACCTCCCAGGTTCAAGTGATTCTCCTGCCTCTGCCTCCTGAGTAGCTGGGATTACAGGTGTGCGCTACCACACCCGGTTAAGTTTTGTATTTTTAGTAGAGAAATCATTTCACTATGTTGGCCAGGCTGGTCTTGAATTCTCGAGCTGAAGTGGTCCACCTGCCTCAGCCTCCCAAAGTGTTGGGATTACAGGTGTGAGCCACCGCACCCAGCCTGTTTGATGTTTTTATTTCCTTAGAATGTGCTATAAATGTTATTGATCATGCTTTGGCTTTGCCCTAGAACCTTCATCATGGGAATGGCAAATAAAACCACACCAACTAACCGACAAGACTCCTTGTTTGATGTGATAAGAGGATAGGGAAAAATACATTAACCCAAAGGACCACAGTTGCAAGAAACTTACACTAAATATGAGAAGATAAACTATTAAACACAATTATCAAGCATAAAAACTGGTGTCAGCCTAAAGAACAAGAGGAATTATAAACCCTAGCTGAAAAAAAAAGAGTGAGCAGCAAAATATCTAAGTAAGTTATTCCCCAAGTTAGACAATGACTCGGCCTCATGACCCTGCTTCTTCATACAGTTGGCCAGAGGTACCTTAAACAGACAGATCTGAAGCCTTGTTTATACACGATATTTGTGTTGGTGTTTTCTAATTGTGCAAAGGACCAGAAGAACACTTACCTTACAACAGCTTAGTTGGTAAGCTAGAACAACCATGGACTTTAGCCTAACCTTGCATATCTGAGGTTCCATCCCAGCTCTACCACCCATTGGTTGTGTGACCTTGTTCAAGCCACTTATCAACTTCATGTCTGAGTTTACTTATTTGTAAACACGGATAATAAAACCTACTTCATGAGGTAGTTGTGAGAGTTGAGCAAATAAGTATTTGTCAAATGCCTAGCACAATGCTGGGAATACAGCAGAAATTTCAGAAATGCTGACTGCATATGGTGAACTACTTTTAAATAAATCTTCTGTGCTTCCATAGAATTTTCTTCAAATGGTCATTAAAACTCTATTATATTGTCCTATGATTGCTTGTTTCCATTACATTGTCTTATTCATCTGTCCTTGGGAGCATATACTTAGCAAAACTTTTTTGCTGACTGAACAAAATTCAAATTCCAACATCCACAATAGTAAATATATAGTTATTGTCAAATGTCCTAGAAATTACAAGAGAGCTCGAGCCATCTAGTTAGCCAAGGAATGTTTGTTGGTTTATGTGTTTGGGAGGCAATATTCAAAAGTGCTGGAAGCGTGGCCTTTGGGATCACAGACCACTGTTTCAATCTTGGCTTCACCATTTACCAGCTATGTGCTCTTAGACATGTTTTATAGCCTTAGTAAGTTTCTTTCTTCTTCTAATAAATTAGATGTAATTTATTAGATGTAATAAATAGGTCTAATTTATTAGATGAGGAAAGGGAAACTTACAAAGGTTATAAAACATGCCAAGTAGTATGTGCCCAAGTAGTAGTAGTACCTTCCTCTTTTGGTTACTGCAAAGATTAAATGGGATGGATGCAGCAAAGACTTAGTATATAGCATGCTGGCATATAGCAAGTGTTCAGGAAATGCTATATAGTATTTTTAAAATCTTTTTTAAAGACTTTTTTTTGGAGTAGTCTAGGTTCACAGGAAAATTGAGGAAAGTGCAAGCTATCCCATAGGCACCCTGCCCCCGCACATGCCTTGCCTACTCTATTATCAATGTCCTTCACCACAGAGGTACATTTTTTACAAGTGATGAACTTACATTGATAGGTAGTGTTATTACTGATATATTACTGATAGGGACAGGAGGCAGGGAAATTCTGGTCAGAAGAGGGTGGGTCCCCATCAAGGGGCCCACCCTCAAGCCTGGAACCATGGCCCAAAGTGAGAACAGGATTTTCTGTTTTTCTGCTCAAATGTTGCCTTTTTCAAAACCACCCATGGCCCACCCCAACCCCCATCCTGTGCCCATAAAAACCCCAGGCTCTGCTGTCAGAGAGAGGAGAGGAGAAGAGAAGCAGCTGGACTTCGGAGACTATGGCTGGACATCAGAGAGAAGCAGCTTGACTTCAGAGGGACAGCTTGATGGTGTTGCTTCAGAGAAGAGTCCGGCTGGCCAGGGGAAGATTATCTTCCTGCTCTGGACCCTTTTCAGCTCCCCTTCCCACTGAGAGTCACTTTCATCAGCAATAAAATCTCCCACGTTATCATCTCCAATTTGTTTGTGTGACCTTATTCCTCCTGGATGCCAGACAAGAACTTGGGTGCGAGTGCAAAAGGCTGCTACACTGACCCTCCACTGAGCTATTAACACTTCTGCCATCATGGATAGCAAAGTTAAAAGACCACTGACCGTAACATTCTTTCTGGGGCTTCAGGGGTCTCGGGCATCCTCCTAGATGCTGCCACAGGGCCACATGAAATTTTGCTCCTGCCAGTGCTTAAAAGTGCTTGCTGCAGCTCCTGCACCTGCTTACCTGTGCTCCCTATCCCGTGTCGGGTGGAACACAGTGGAATCTGCCCCTGCTGGCACCAAAGTGGCCGGCTAGTTCTAGTGCCCGTGCACTCCAGTTCCTGCCCACAAAGGGGTCAGGGAAAATTTCCTGCTTCATTACTATGAGAAAAAAATGAGTTAGGGATCTTACGTATTAAAAAAATAATAATAATGTGATGTAATTGCTATCTTCAAGAGGATTGTAGGTTTATTAGGGAGATAAAACAAATAAACACGAGTAAATAGATAATATGTCCATCTATGGTTAAGCATTCAATGAATAGAACAGAGAGGAATTCTCAGCCGGGCACGGTGGCTCACGCCTGTAATCCTAGCACTTTGGGAGGCCGAGGCGGGAGAATAACGTGAGGTCAGGAGTTCAAGACCAGCCTGGCCAACATGGTGAAACCCCATCTCTACAAAAATACAAAAATTGGCTGGGTATGGTGGCTCACGCCTGTAATACCAGCATTTTGGGAGGCCAAGGCAGGTGAATCACCTGAAGTCGGGAGTTTGAGACCACTCTGACCAACATGGAGAAACCCTGTCTCTACTAAAAGTACAAAATTAGCTGGGTGTGGTGGCACATGCCTGTAATCCCAGCTACTCAGAAGGCTGAGACAGGAGAATCGCTTGAACCTGGGAGGTGGAGGTTGTGGTGAGCCGAGATGGCGCCACTGCACTCCAGCCTGGGCAACAAGAGCAAAACTCCGTCTCAAAACAAACAAACAAACAAATAAACAAACAAAACAAAAATTAGCCAGGCATGATGGCAGGTGCCTGTAATCCCAGCTACTCAGAAGGCTGAGGCAGGAGAATCACTTGAACCCAGGAGGCGGAGGTTGCAGTGAGCCGAGATGGCACCATTCCACTCCAGCCTGGGTGACTGAGCAAGACTCTGTCTCAAAAAAAAAAAAAAAGAAAGAAAGAAAGAAAGAAATTCTCAAGTCCTGGGCATGGATTAGTGAAGCAGATTTTTACCACTCTTTCCTCCGTTTCCTTTCTTGATGATAACCATTGAAGGTTGGCCAATCTTTTATTTTGTCGTCTTCCTTCCTCTTCTTTTGAATTTTGAGGATACAAAATTAAAAGTTTAGACTGGTATTCACAAACTCAGGTGTCTTCATGGACCATGCAAGTAATGCAAATGTGTGATGCAGCAAGGGTGTTAGCTAATAAAGGACAAATCCCAGGTCTAAACTCATGAATCTAATATATGCATTTAGAAACACTGTTGGCTAAACACAATTTGACCTACAGGTCATTGTTTCAATCCTTGGTATAGGGGGTTTCTAGTTATAACATACTTTAAAACAGGCTGAAAAATATGACAGTAAATGCTACTAATGATAAATGACTGGCTGGGCGTGGTGGCTCACTCCTGTAATCCCAGCACTTTGGGTGGCCAAGGCCAATGGATCACCCGAGGTCAAGAGTTCCAGACCAGCCTGGCCAACATGGTGAAACCCCATCTCTACTAAAAATAAAAATTAATGTGCACCTGTAATACCAGCTACTCTGGAGGCTGAGGTAGGAGAATCGCTTGAACCTGGGAGACAGAGGTTGCAGTGAGCCGAGATGGTGCCATTGCACTCCAGCCTGGGTGACAGAGCGAGACTCCATGTAAAAAAAATTAATAATAAAATAATAATAAATGACTAATGTTTATTGAATGCTTACCACATGTCAGGTACTGTGTTAAGTACTTTACGTTTAATTCTGGAAGCAAGCCAGAAGCTGTTATTGTTCATTATTACAGATAAGGAAATTGAGGCTCAGAGAGATTTAATAACTTGCTCAAAGTGACAGAACTGTAAACGGTTAGAGTCAGGACTTGACTCAGACAGGTATTTTTGATGGTAAATTTCATATTATTTTTTGTTTTTTTTCTTGAGACAGCGTCTTGCTCTGTTGCCCAGGCTGGAGTTCAGTGGCACCATCTCGGCTCACTGCAGCTGTGACCTCCCAGGGCCGAGTGATCCTCCCACCTCAACCTTCTGAGTTGCTGGGACTACAGGCATGCACCACCACACTCTGCTAATTTTGTTTCTTTTTGTAGCGATGAGGGCTCACTGTTGCCCAGGCTGGTCTCCTGGACTCAAGTGATCCTCCCTGCATGCCTCCCAAAGAGCTGGGATTATAGGGGTGAACCACTGCGCCTAGTCAAATTCCACATTCTTGACTGTCACACAAGTCTTGGATTTTAGTCAGAGAATCTTTCAAGAAGATAGGAGAGTTTGAGGTCCATGTTGAAAGAAGGATAGAATTGGTAAAAAAAAAAAAAAAAAAAAAAAGACTTCACAAACATATTCAGGCTGAGGGCTGGGCTTGGTGGCTCATTCCTGTAATCCCAGCACTTTGGGAGGCTGAGGCGGGTGGATCACCCGAGGTCAGGAGTTTGAAAGCAGCCTGATCAACATGGTGAAACCCTTTTTCTACTAAAAATACAAAAATTAGCCAGGCGTGGTGGCACATGCCTTTAATCCCAGCTACTCAGGAGGCTGAGGCAGGAGAATCGCTTGAACATGGGAGGCAGAGGTTGCAGTGAGCCTAGATCACGCCATTGCACTCCAGCCTGGGCAACAAGAGTGAAACTCCGTCTCATAAACAAACAAACAAACGAACAAAAAAACATATTCAGGCTGAAAAAAATAAAGAAAGACTTAACTTATGCTAGATTGTCCTTATCTATTTAAGGATTTTTTATTGTTGGTAAAAAGTAAGCAATGTTCTTTAAAATTACAATCAATTTAATATCTAATATTCTGGTTTCTTTTTCTGGCTGACCTCAGTGAAATCAAAATATGTAATACAATAATAATGTTGCAAAAAAGAATACAAAGTAAGACAAACGTAGCCTTAGTCGAAGCCTGCCCTAGCATCCCAGGAGGATCCCAGATAGCTAACAAGCAATGGGTATTTTCTGATCCTTTGCTTCTTCACTGTGCACAACACATTTGCCAGAAGTCATGTAGGAAACTGCCACCATCTTGGATGGAATTTGGAACTAAGAGTGTAACTGTCTAGCTAACTATTCTCCAAGCTGTTTGATAAAACTTATCACTGCCCGGGCATGGTGGCTTGCACCTATAATCCCAGCACTTTGTGAGGCTGAGGTGGGCACATCACTTGAGGCAGGCAGGTCACACCAGCCTGGCCAACATGACGAAACTCTGTCTCTACTAAAAATACAAAAATTAGCTGGGTGTGGTGGTGCACATCTGTAATCCCAGCTACTCGGGAGGCTGAGGCATGGGAACTGCTTGAACCCGGTGGTGGAGGTTGCAGTGAGCAGAGATCACGCCACTGTACTCCCGCCTGGGCGACAGACCTTGTCTCAAAAAAACAAATAAAAAAACACAACAGGAGTTTAAGACCAGCCTGGCCAAGATGGTGAAACCCTGTGTTTACTAAAACTACAAAAATTAGCCAGGTGTGGTGGCAGGCGCCTGTAACCCCAACTACTCAGGTGGCTGAGGCAGGAGAATCACTTGAACCAGGGAGGTGGAGGTCGCAGTGAGCCAAGATTGCGTCACTGCACTCCAGCCTGGGCGACAGAGTGAGACTCAGTCTCAAACAAACAAACGACTGTCCCCCTCTCCCCCCCGCCAAAAAAACCCCCTCACCTTATCACTGTACTATCTGCGTGCTTTTATAATGTTCCCAAGAATATTTTGTTAAGGCTTATTAGACTGGGAGCAGTATAAGCAAATTTGTCTGTTTGTTTCAAGTTTTCCAGGAGCAGACTTCTGCATGGAGACATACAGCTTAGCTCACTCAGCTAGCACTGCTGCTCCTCTGAAGATACCATCACCCAGAGGTAGCTCTGGTAGAGTGAGATAACTCTGCTCCCAGACAGTCAACCAGCTTAACCACTAGCAGGCATTTATTGGGCACACACTAAGCATGCAGTAGGCATACATTGACATTGTGAGTTTTACAAACTTCTAAGACTAGAATTCTTTCTCTAAAGGGAGTTTTAATCTAGCGAGGACAGCTAATATTTAGCCATCCAACCATCCTCCTCTTTCTCTTTCTACATACATGCAGTCCTGTGTTACATATGATGTTTTGAGTAATGACAGTGGTCCCACGAGATTATAATGAAGCTGAAAAATTCCTATTTCTTAGCGACGTCGGAGGCAGTATAACTTCGTAGCACAACACATTACTGACACATTTGTGGTGATGCTAGTGTAAGCAAGCCTACTGCATTGTCCATCACATAAAAAGTACAGTACAGTACAGCAATGTCCTAGGTCTTCACATTCACCCACCACTCACTCACTGACTCATCCAGAGCAGCTTCCAGTCCTGCAAGCTCCAAGCTCTATTCGTGGTAGGTGCCCAATACAGGTGCACCATTTTAAAAATCTTTTATACTATATTTTGATTGTACCCTTTCTATACCTAGAGATGTTTAGATACACAAATACTTATCATAGTGTTACAATTGCCTACTGTATGCAGTATAGTAACATACTGTACAGGTTTGCAGCCTAGGCACGGCAGGCTATATTATATAGCTTAGGTGTGGAGTAGGCTATACCAGGGGTCCCCAACCCCCAGGCCATGGACTGGTACCAATCCGTGGACTGTTAGGAACCTGGCTTGCACAGCAGGAGGTGAGTCAAGGGCAAGCTAGCATCACCACCTGAGTTCTGCCTCCTATCAGATCAGTGGAGGCATCAGATTCTCATAGGAACATGAACCCCTATTGTGAACTGCACATTCGAGGGATCTAGGTTGCACGCTCCTTATGAGAATCCAACTCAAGCTTGTCCAACCTGTGGTCTGCGGGCTGCATGTGGCCCAGGGGGACTTTGAATATGGCCCAACACAAATTTGTAAACTTTGTTAAACATTATGAAATTTGTTTGCAACTTCTTTTTTTTTTTTTTAGCTCATTGGCTTCATTAGTGTCAGTGTATTTTATGTGTGGCCCAAGACAATTCTTCTTTTTCTTCCAATGTGGCCCAAAGAAGCCAAAAGATTGGACTCTCTTGACTAATGTCTGATGATCTGAGGCAGAACAGTGTCATCCAGAAATGATCCCCACCTCTTCCTTCCCCCTACCCTCTCCCATCCCTGGAAAAATTATCTTCCACAAAAACTGTCCCTGGTGCCAAAAAGGTTGGGGATATTGCTGGGCTATACCATTTGTGTTTGTGTAGTACATTCTATGATATTCCTACAACAATGAAATTACCTAACAATACATTTCTCAGAATGTCTTAAATCTTAATAATTACCTTAACTAATAGTTTTTTGTAAGAGAAATTTCCAAGGCCATTTTTAAAAAGCCACTTAAAAAATACATTCTTCAGGAATTTTTCCAAAAGATATACTGCCAGGAGTATATTTGAACAATAATACAAAGGTCTTAAAAATAAAGTAAGCCAGCTGGGTGTGGTGGCTCACACGTGTAATCCCAGCATTTTGGAAGGCCAAGGCAGACAGATCATCTGAGGTCAGGAGTTTGAGATCAGCCTGGCCAATGTGGCAAAACCCTATCTCTACTTAAAAAAAAAAAAAAAGAAAATTAGCCAGGCATGGTGATGCACACCTGTAGTTAAGAAAAAAAAAAAAAGAAAAGAAAATTAGCCAGGCGTGGTGATGCACACCTGTAGTCCCAGCTACTTGGTAGGATGGTGATGTACACCTGTAGTCCCACGTACTTGGGAGGCTGAGGCAGGAGAATTGCTTGAACCGAGGAGGTGGAGGTTGCAGTGAGCTGAGATCGCACCACTGCACTCCAGCCTGGGCAACAGAGCAAGACTCTGTCTCAAAAAAAAAAAAAAAAAAAAAAAAAGAAGTAAGATGGCTAGGCACAGAGGCTCATGCCTGTAATCCCAGTACTTTGGGAAGCCAAGGCAGGAGGATTGCTTGAGCTCAGGAGCTCAAGACCAGCCTGGGCAACATGGTGAGGCCCCATCTCTACAAAAAATACAAAAATCAGCTGGGCATGGTGGTGCACACTTACAGTCCCAGCTACTCGGGAGGCTGAAGTGGGAGGATGGCTTGAGCCTGGGAGGCAGAGGTTGAGGTCATGCCACTGCATGCCAGCCTGGACAACAATGTGAGACCTTATCTTCAAAACAAAAAAAAAAGTAAACTTACATAAAGCTATATATGCAATAAGGCATAGAACTATCTACAAACAAGACAAAAACCACAAAGATGGGGAGAAACCAGAGCAGAAAGGCTGAAAATTCCAAAAACCAGAATGTCTCTTCTCCAAAGGAACACAACTCCTCGCCAGCAAGGGAACAAAACTGGACAGAGAATGAGTTTGACGAGCTGACAGAAGTAGGCGTCAGAAGGTCGGTAATAACAAACTTCTCTGAGCTAAAGGAGCACGTTCTAACCCATTGCAAGGAAGCTAAAAACCTTAAAAAAAGGTTAGATGGATGGCTAACTAGAATAAAAAGTGTAGAGAAGACCTTAAATGATATGACAGAGCTGAAAACCACAGTATGAGAACTTTGTGAAGCATACACAAGCTTCAATAGCCGATTTGATCAAGTGGAAGAAAGGATATCACTGATTGAAGATCAAATTAATGAAATAAGGCAAGAAGACAAGATTAGAGAAAAAAGAGTGAAAAGAAATGAACAAAGCCTTCAAGAAATATGGGACTATGTGAAAAGACCAAATCTATGTTAATTGGTGTACCTGAAAGTGATGAGGAGAATGGAACCAAGTTAGAAAACACTCTTCAGGATATTATCCGGGAGAACTTCCCCAACCTAGCAAGGCAGGCCAACATTCAAATTCAGGAAATACAGAGAACACCACAAAGATACTCCTTGAGAAGAGCAACCCCAAGACACCTAATTGTCAGATTCACCAAGGTTGAAATGAAGGAAACAATGTTAAGGGTAGCCAGAGAGAAAGGTCAGGTTACCCACAAAGGGAAGCCAATCAGACTAACAGTGGATCTCTCAGCAGAAACCCTACATGCCAGAAGAGAGTGGGGGCCGATATTCAACGTTCCTAAAGAAAAGAATTTTCAAACCAGAATTTCATATCCAGCCAAACCAAGCTTCATAAGTGAAAGAGAAATAAAATCCTTTACAGACAAGCAAATGCTGAGAGATTTTATCACCACCAGGCCTGCCTTAAAGAGCTCCTGAAGGAAGCACTAAACATGGAAAGGAACAATGGGTACCAGCCACTGCAAAAACATGCCAAATTGTAAAGACCATTGATGCTATGAAGAAACTGCATCAATTAACAGGCGAAATAACCAGCTAGCATCATAATGACAGGATCATATTCACACACAACAATATTAACCTTAAATGTAAATGGGCTAAATACCCCAATTAAAAGACACAGACTGGCAAATTGGATAAAGAGTCAAGACCCATCAGTGTGCTGTATTCAGGAGACCCATCGCATGTGCAAAGACACACACAGGCTCAAAATAAAGGGATGGAGGAAGATCTACCAAGCAAACGGAAAGCAAAAAAAGCAGGGGTTGCAATCATGATCTCTGATAAAACAGACTTTAAACCAACAAAGATCAAAAGAGACAAAGAAGGCCATTACATAATGGTAAAGAGATCAATTCAACAAGAAGAGCTAACTATCCTAAATATATATGCACCCAATACAGGAGAACCCAGATTCATAAAACAAGTTCTTAGAGAACTACAAAGAGGCTTAGGCTCCCACACAGTAATAATGGGAGACTTTAACACCCCACTGTCAATACTAGACAGATCAATGAGACAGAAAATTAACAAAGATATCCAGGACTTGAACTCAGCTCTGCACCAAGTGGAACTAATAGACATCTACAGAGCTCTCCACCCCAAATCAACAGAATATACACTCTTCTCAGCACCACATCACACTTATTCTAAAATTGACCACATAATTGGAAGTCAACACTCCTCAGCAAATGTAAAAGAACAGAAATCATAACAAACTGTCTCTCAGACCACAATGCAATCAAATTAGAACTCAGGATTAAGAAACTCACTCAAAACTGCACAACTACATGGAAACTGAACAACGTGCTCCTGAATGACCACTGGGTAAATAACGAAATGAAGGCAGAAATGAAGATGTTCTTTGAAACCAATGAGAACAAAGATATAACATACCAGAATCTCTGGGACACACTTAAAACAGCATGTAAAGGGAAATTTATAGCACTAAATGCCCACAAGAGAAAGCAGAAAAGATCTAAAATTGACACCCTAACATCACAAAAGAACTAGAGAAGCAAGAGCAAACAAATTCAAAAGCTGGCAGAAGACAAGAAATAATTAAGATCAGAGCAGAACTGAAGGAGATAGAGACACAAAAAACTTCCAAAAAATCAATGAATCCAGGAGCTGGTTTTTTGAAAAGACCAACAAAATAGGTAGGCTGCTAGCAAGACTAATAAAGAAGAAAAGAGAGAAGAATCAAATAGATGCAATAAAAAATGATAAAGGGAATATCACCACCGATCCCACAGAAATACAAACTACCATCAGAGAATACTATAAACACCTCCATGCAAATAAACTAGAAAATCCAGAAGAAAGGGATAAATTCCTGGACACATACACCCTCCCAAGACTAAACCAAGAAGAAGATGAATCTCTGAATAGACCAATAACAGGTTCTGAAATTGAGGCAATAATTAATAGCCTACCAACCAAAAAAAGTCCAGGACCAGGTGGATTCACAGCCGAATTCTACCAGAGGTACAAACAGGAGCTGGTACCATTCCTTCTGAAACTATTCCAATCAATAGAAAAAGACGGAATTCTCCCTAACTCGTTTTATGAGGCCAGCATTATCCTGATACAAAAGCCTGGCAGAGACACAACAAAAAAAGAATTTTAGGCCAATATCCCTGATGAACATTGATGTGAAAATCCTCAATAAAATACTGGCAAACCAAATCCAGCAGCACATCAAAAAGCTTATCCACCATGATCAAGTGGACTTCATCCCTGGGATGCAAGGCTGGTTCAACATATGCAAATCAATAAATGTAATCCATCACATAAACAGAACCAATGATAAAAACCATGATTATCTCAATAGATGCAGAAAAGGCCTTCGACAAAATTCAACAGCCTTTCATGCTAAAAACTCTCAATAAACTCGGTATTGATGGAACGTATCTCAAAATAACAAACCTGCACATTGTGCACATGTACCCTGGAACTTAAAGAAGAAGAATAATAAAAAAGTACTATCTACAAACAAACACACTTTTACAAATAAGCTTATGTAAAACTGGTGAAATGTGAATATGTTCTGTGGATTGTAGCAATGTCAATTTCCTGTTTATGGTAGTGCACTATAGGTCAGATGTGACCGTTACATGGAGGCTGGGTGAAAGGTGCACTGACTGGACCTCTCTTTCCTTTTTTTGTTTTTTCAGGGGGAGGCAGTAATTTCTTGTGAATCTACAATTCTTTCAAAATAAAAAAAAATTAATGCAAAAAATCATGTAAGAGAAAAATTAAGTTAATCTCTACACACTAATAAAAAAATATCCAAGATATTTGATAAGTTAAAAAAATAAATTGTGTCCAGGTGCGGTGGCTCACATCTGTAATCCCAGCACTTTGGGAGGCCGAGGCGGGTGGATCTTGAGGTTAAGAGTTCAAGACCAGTCTGGCCAACTTGGTGAAACCCCATCTCTACTAAAAATACAAAAATTAGCTGGGCATGGTGGCACGTTCCTGTAATCCCAGCTACTCCAGAGGCTGAGGAAGGACAATTGCTTGAACAAAGACATTGAGTGAGCCGAGATCATGCCATTGCACTCCAGCCTGGGCAATAGAGTGAGACTCCATCTCAAATAAATAAATAAATAAATAGTGTTTTGTCACCTGTGATAGATAAAAAAATAAAATTATAGAAAAATATGTATAGTATAATAATATTTATATTAAAAAGCATAGGCCAAAGGCAGTGGTTTATGCCTGCAATCCTAGCACTTTGGGAGGCTGGGGTGGGCAGATCGCTTGAGTCCAGTGGTTTGAGACCAGCCTGGGCAACATGTCGAAACCTCATCTACAAAAATTACACAAATTAGACAGGCGTGGTGGCATGTATCTGTAGTCCCAGCTACTTGGGAGGATGAAATGGGAGGATCACTTGAGCCTGAGGAAGTCGAGGCTGCAGTAAGCCCTGATTGCACCACTGCACCCCAGCCTGGGTGATAGAGAGAGATCATGTCTCAAAGAGGGAAAAAAAGCATAAAGCAAAAATACATATTCATATGCTGTATATGCAAAAGTATATTATGCAAACATAGTAGAAAAAGATCTTGAATGATACACATCAAACTGGTAATAGTAGAAGGGTTTCTGTAATAGCTGGTGGGGGCTTGTTAAATGAGATAACTTCTGATTTATCTGATTATTAGAATTTAAAAAAATGAGAATGTATTCCTTGTGTAGTTAACAAATGCAAAAGGAAATACTTGGAGTTACACTCCACAAATTTTTGGTAATGTGAGATTGCAAAAGAAACAAAAATTGATTAAGAAATAATTTGGGGCCGGGCATGGTGCCTGGCCAATATGGTGAAACTAAAATTTCTGCCTGTATTAAAATTACAGATTAGCCAGGAGTGGTGGTGGGCACCTGTAATCCCAGCAACATGGGAGGCTGACACAGGACAATCGCTGGAACCTGGGAGGCGGAGGTTGCAGTGAGCTGAGATCGTGCCACCGCACTCCACACTCCAGCCTGGGTGACAGAGAGCAAAACTCCATCTAAAAAAAAAAAAAAAGAAAAAAAAGAATTTTGATGACTGATTTTTCATGTTTATAGATAAATAAAACATAGTTTCACCCATTTAACAGCACGTTCAAACTGTGTAATTAGGCAAAAGTCCTGAAAACATAGATTGTATTTGTGGTCAATTTTATGAATTTTCAGGGTTTTTTTTTCCTTTTTCTTTTTTTTTTTTTTGAGACAGAGTCTCACTCTGTTGCCCAGGCTGGAGCACAGTGACATGATCTCAGCTCACTGCAGCCTCCACCTCCCAGGTTCAAGCAATTTTCCTGCCTCAGCCTCCTGAGCAGCTGAGACTACAGGTGTGTGCCACCACACCCAGCTAATTCTTTTATTTTTATTTTTAGCAGGGAAGGGGTTTTGCCATGTTTCTCAGGCTGGTCTTGAACTCCTGGGCTCAAGCGATCCACCTGCCTCAGCCTCCCAAAGTGCTGGGATTACAGGCGTGAGCCACCATGCCCAGCTGAGTTTCAGTTTTAAAAACAATCCATCAGGCCGGATTCAGTGTCTCATACCTGTAATCCCAGCACTTTGAGAGGCTGAGGCAGGTGTATTACCTGAGGTCGGGAGTTCGAGACCAGCCTGACCAACATGGAGAAACCACATCTTTACTAAAAATACAAAATTAGCCAGGCTTGGTGGCATATGCCTGTAATCCCAGCTACTCAGGAAGGCTGAGGCAGGAGAATTGCTTGGACCCGGGAGGCAGAGGTTGCAGTGAGCCGAAATCGCACCATTGCACTCCAGCCTGCGCAACAAGAGTGAAACTCCATCTCAAAAAAAAAAAACCAAAACCAAAACAAGAAACAATCCGTCAGATGTTATTTATTTACCAAGAACCATGCCTGCAATTCAGGTAGCTGCCACCATTGAGTCATTAACTGCTAACCTTGTGTAAAAAGAATGCAACTTACAGCAAGATATAAATAAAAATAAATTCCTTGGCTATTTTTGGCACACTGCCTATGGGTAGCCCTGGTCCAAAAGGAGCAGTAAAAAACAACAACAACAAAAAAAACCTAAGTACAATTTGATACTGCTAGCATTTAACATAGATAGTTCATTACCATTGCTTAATCTAACTTTGGCTCTCCATGAGACCTAAACTGGTTAGCTTACCTAATTTTTCTCTTTTTCTTTTTCTTTTTTTTTTTTTTTTTTTAAGACTGAGTCTTGCTCTGTCACCCAGGCTGGAGTGCAGTGGTGTGATCTTGGCTCATTGCAACCTCCACCTCCCAGGTTCAGGCAATTCCCCTGCCTCAGCCTCCCAAGTAGCTGGGACTACAGGTGCCCGCCACCAAGCCAGGCTAATTTTTGTATTTTTAGTAGAGATGGGGTTTCATCATATTGACCAGGCTGGTCTCAAACTCCTGACCTCGTGATCCACCCACCTCGGCCTCCCAAAGTGCTGGGATTACAGCTGTGAGCCACCACGCCCGCCACTTACCTAAATTTTTAAGTCAAATGTCTCTGGGTATAAAACATTGATCTCTATCTCCAGCACTTTAGAACCCCAGAACAATTAAAGCTTTTGATCCCTCTTTCTGGTTAAAAATTTTGACTCATGATTTGTAACTTGTTGGAGATAACGAGTGTATTGATCTTTTGACCACTGCTAATGATTTTTAGGGTACTGATATTTACTCCCCTTTCTACTTCTTATGGGAAGAAACCTGTTTACTGCTCCATCCAACTTGGCTTAGCTCAGAAGAGACCATCTGGTCATCCACTTCTCCATGACAACTGTCCCAACAGAGGTCATTTCTCATTGGATTTGTCTGATGATCACCCTCATTAATTTGCTTCCCAGTTTCCTTCTCCAGCGTACTGTATATACTTTTGGTTAAGACTACTAATTTAGGATTGTTTAGTAATCCATGCCAGTTTCCAGATATTTTAGGAGAGATCCCAAATGGAATAGGATCTTTAATCATCTGAAAATTTTAAAGCATATTTAAACGAACAGTTTCAAAACAGAACTCTCTCCAAGTGGTTTTCCTGTTACCTTCCTAACATTGCAGTGTGTGTATACGTGTTTACGTGTGAAACTAACCATAGATATACATAACAGATATGTCATAGTCTGAAGTAACCAGACAGAAAACAAACAAAATGAGAAACTGGGAGAGACTTCCTTGATTTGGAAAATTTTGGCCTTTTCAGACTCATTTCTCATGGTTTTTCCATTGGCAGTGGTTAGAATGGAGATGGCATTAATAGTAGCCTGCAATGAATTTCTTAAGTTTTTTTTTTCTGTGCTCTACATTCACAGTATTTATCAGACCACAGTCTGCTTTTTATTGGGGGAAAAGCCCAATTTTTATATCCTGATGACAAAACCACTTCACTAGCCTTCTTGGGACTGCTAACATAGGATATGAACTTCACCTCATTACATCAGGATCACTTTTTTTCAAAAAGGAATAAGAATGAGGCAAAACCCAAAAGCAAAATAAGAGTTTTAAAAAAATCTCTGCACAAGTTCCCCAAATCGAGATGGAGTAATAACTACTTCTGTGATTTCTGCCAATTAATCCACCCCCACAACACAAACCAAAGTTTCCAAAATGAGTTAAAGAGCAGCATTAGTGACTCAGACCGAATGGCTTCACCCACATGGCCCCACTGCAAAGGTTTTTCAGTTGCCACTGCTATTTCCCTTTGCTGATAGTGACATTTACCTGGGGAGAGTGATAGGAGAAGTGACGTCATTGCTTTCCCAGCAACTTCTGCGGTCAGAGTCCCTGCCATTGGAAGTGTCTTGAATTTTTTTTTCTTTTTTTGAGACCAGGTCTCCCTCTGTCACCCAGGCTGGAGTGCAGAGTCACAATCATGGCTCACTGTAGCCTCAGTGTTCCTGGACTCAAGGACTCCTCCCACCTTAGCCTCCCCAATAGCTGGGACTACAGGTGTGTGCCACCATACACAGCTAATTTTGAAATTTTTTGTAGACAGAGTCTCCCTGTGTTGCCCAGGCTGGTCGTTTGGAAGTGAAGGAAGTAAACCATATCTCAGGGAACCCTAACCACATGCTCTTTCCTGTCAGAGCCCTTCACTGGCTTCCCACAGGTATGGAATCAGTTCCACAATAAAGCATAGTGGTCGAGTCATTTCCTGACCTGCCATAGTCTGCCCCTCCAGCCTTACCTATCACTATTGTTTACCCTAAGCCAACAAACTGAATTATTCTAGTTCCCCCTAAATGTCATTTTTTTCTTTTTTTGGCCTTTGTATCTGGCTCATGTTGTCCCTACCTACATTGCCTTCCTCCTTTCCCAGCTCCAAAAAGCCAAATCATACTCATCTTTTAAGACCCACGAACCTCTCAGTTACCCTCTCTTATTTTTTCCAGAGATATGCACCTCCCTTAAAGCATCAACCACCTCTGCCTTATAATCAGATTATTTGTTTATATTTGTTATATGCTGTTTGAAGGATAAATCTGTTGCTTATCTGTTTTTGTGTGCTGGACTCTGTTTAGCATGGTTTTTGCCAGGACTCAGTGACAACTTACTGGCTTCAACCTCAAACTCAACATGTCTGAGCTCATGATCTGTTTCCTCCACTCCCACCGCAACCTCTCCCTCTTGAATTTCCTGTCATGCTGATGGAAACCCCCTCCACTTCACTGCCCATGCCAGAAAATTTCGTGTTACTCTTTCTCCTCTGTACCTCAATCCCCAGCCCCCATGTGATCAATGACAGTCCTGTCAATTTTGCCTCTCTGATAACTCTTAAATTTATACCCCAATTTACACCCCTGTTGCTTCTAGCCACAGACCTATGACTTTAGTTCTGGCCATCATCAGCCCTGGCCTGTGTCACAGCACTTCCTAATTGATCAGTCTATTGCCCTTTTCCCCTCCCCTCCACTCTCACCCAAATCCATTGTCTCCCCAGGTAAATGTCACTATCAGCAAAGGGAAATAGCACTGGCTCCACACTGCAGCCAGTTTGATCTCTAAAATTCAGACCTGACTATGCCACTTTCTTGCTTACGATTCTCAAAATCTACTTCAAACTCTTTAATTTTATGGATAAGCTCCTTTACAACCTGACTCGTTCCTTTACCATTCATATAGCTCTCCTCTCATCTTCCCCCCTCCAGAATCCAAACTCTTCCCACACTGGATGCAGAGATTTCTCAGAAGTTTCTTTAGGATTTCTACCAATGTCTGATTCAAATTTATGGTTTAAATACATTTTAGTTATTTAACAAAATATACAAGAAAAAGCATTCATGTAAATGTATTACATAACACAGTTCTATGTATTAAGGACCATCATTAATTTTGGTATCGAGTTAATTCTTCAGTATGGAACTTCTACCTTCTCTGTGAGTATACGCTGCCATGGCTTAAATGTCCCCTTCAAAATACATGGTGAAACTTAATCACCAATGTGCAATTTTGAGAGGTGGTGCCTTTAAGAGGTGACTGAATCATGAGGGCTCTGCCCTGATTAATTAATTCATTTATTCATAGATTAATAGATGAATGGGTTATCATGGGAGGGGAACTGATAGCTTTATAGAGAGAAGAGAGACCTGAGCTAGCATGCCCAGCCCCCTTGTCATATGATACCCTGTGCAGCCTTGGGATTCTCCAGTGTCCCCAACAGCAGGAAGACTCTCACCAAATGCAGGCCCTTGACCTTGGACATCTTAGCTTCCATAACTGTAAGAAATAAAGTTCTTTTCTTAGAACTTACCCAGTTTCAACTATTCTGCTATAAGCAAGAGGAAAAAAAAGACTAAGACATACTTGAAGTTTTTGTAAATATGTCATTAATTAGAAAAAAAAAAGTGGGTAGTTTTGCATAGTTCAATGGTTCTCACTTTTTTTTTTTTTTGAAACTAGGCCAGTGCTGCTCTGCTCAAGTAAAAATTAAATAGCATTACTATAGAGCTCAATGAAACCTCAAACCAGGTGAAGGCCCATAGCCTTGACACATTTATCACTACATGTCAAAGTGTCGTATTTTATTAGAGATATTTTACCATTTACTCTGAAGTTAGGGTGTTTGATGCTGACTTTTATATTATGATAAGAAATGCAAGCCATTGTTAAATATTGTTGTGACTAAAATTTGAATCTAAAAATCTCTTCAACTTCTTGTCCAAGTTTTTGGATTAATTCATTTGAGGAGTATATTATACTTGATAGGAGATCTAAAACACACACACACACACACACACACACACACACACACACACATTCCGTTTGCATCTACTTATGTGAATAAGGGTTTTCTAGTTGCATAGATGTACATAAACAATTTTTTAAAAACCAAAACATAATCAAGGACAACTGAAATAGATAATTTGGATTGATGTGGAGCAAAGCATGATACCTAATTCCAAATATTTATGTTCTTCAAAGTTGTCTTGCTGTTATTACTTATTGATAAGCAAATATTAAAAACAAAAATGTTCAAAGTAAATGTATACTAGTAAAAAAATGTCATACTTATCTGTTCTATATATCTGAGCCCCAAGAAAAATTTCATTTAAAAAGACAGGTTTCAGTAATTTTTATTTTTTAATGTGAGAACCATTGACACCTCAGTACAGACTCTATCTTCCTCTTGATCCCAGTAAGGTGTTCATACTATGTCCTCCAAGTGCAGAGAAGAGAACCACCAGATGCCCACATCTATGTTTTCTGTTCCAGCCAGGATTACCTCTGATCCAAATGGAGACCTGTCCATTTCCTGTTGGCATTTCCTGTTGGCATTTCCCATATGTTCTCAGGGGAGCTAAGGTATGGCTGATTCTTGGCAGAATGTCCCCACTGTCTCTGCCCTACCCTTTCCCCTCCTCTCACCAGGTCGCACCTGTAAGATGCCTCTGGGTGTTAATAGCATGGCCACATAAATTCTTTCCTTTTGCTGCACTCCCTCTGCCCCATCTCATCTCACAATACACACACATTAGTCTATTAATTCCAAAGACTCCAAAGAACAGAACTTACTCAGCAGAACTAATAAGATTGCAACAATGTCAGACAGTACCTTGCTATGCATGATTTTTAAATAAAGAAGGCACCCTACTTCAACATGGGATTATATAATTTCTAGGATTTAGATCCTTCCTTGATCAGCAAGAAATATGTATGTATTTGCCAAATCTTGCCTCCTACAGAGTGCTAAATTAACAGCACATTTGGTGCCTGTGATCAGCAGAGTTCCATAGTACTTTGGCTGGTTATGTGCTTGATAGGGGTCTAGCTGAATCCATAAAGATATGGGTGATGAACTGGGCGTAGTGGCTCACGCCTGTAATCCCAGCACTTTGGGAGGCCAAGGCAGGTGGATCACCTGAGGTCAGGAGTTCCAGACCAGCCTGGCCAACATGGTGAACCCTGTCTCTACTAAAAATCCAAAAAATTAGCCGGGCATGGTGGCGGTGGGCACCTGTAATCCCAACTAGTCATGAGGCTGAGGCAGGAGAATCGCTTGAACCCAGGAGGCAGAGGTTGCAGTGAGCTGAGGTCGCACCATTGCACTCCATCCTGGGCAATAAGAGCGAAACTCCATCTCAAAAAAAAAAAAAAAAAAGATATGGGTGATAATAATGCTATTTCCACCAGGTTAAATTCCAACACAAGGTGCTCACAGCTGCCCAGAATGGCACTGGGAAATATGAGTTTGTCCTTGTCCTTTTGACCACCTTGCTGTTTAGATTCCTGAGAGCTTTAATTATTGCCCTGTGAACAGAGCTGGTCTTTGGCTTGTTTATCAGCTCCAGAGCTGAGGAAATTGGGCTTTATCTCTTTCAGATTAGATCACTACAAGCCTCATTGGGTAAGGATAGAGGAAGGAGGGGTGGGGAGGATAAAGCCCTGACTCCCTTTACTCAAAATGCTCAGCAAAGCCCAAACCCTTTCTAGAATAAAGCACCAAGACTTTTCCTCCCAACTCGGTGCAGGATAACTAACTGGGGATTTCTTTATTTACTCCTTTCAGGAGGCTTTTAATTGGAAAACCTTTTCCGTAACCAAAACGCCGATCTCTTTGAAGATAAGGCCCTTTTTGCCTCAGGTTTCTGCTTCTCCCATTTTCCATTTCCTTCAAGTTTTATTAACTCTGTAGCCATGCGGGAGGTGGGGGCATCTGGGCCACTCAGGAACTTGGTACCTTTCCTGCCTCCCAACAGATTCCACCCCCTCATAAAAAAGAAAAAAAAAAAAGGAAAGAAGAGAAACACACACACACACACACACACACACACACACACCCCAACACAACGAAACACCCCACTCTGCAGTTGTTCTTCATGGTTCTTATTTTAAAGGATCCCGGTTCTTATTTTAAAGGATCCCGGTTCTTTGGGTGTGGCCTGGCTGGCTGAGTGCCTTTGGTGGCTCTTGGGCGCCTGGGGAGGAGAGTGGGCCCCAGGGATGCGCTGGCAGGGGCAGGCCCTCCGTCCTTCACATCTCTCAGCTTCTTTCTGAAAGGCTCTGCTCCTGGCTCACCATTTATCATTCCTTCACGCTGCCTTCTGTTCTTTGACCTCCAGCCACAAAACAACTTCCTGATTACCAAAGCCGGGTGCCACCTCCCTTGGCCAGAAAGCCAACCTGGAACTGCACGAGGCTTCATTAAAATTCACCACCCCACTGTTGCTCCTTGGATTCCCATGAAGTTACCTCCCTGGTGTATTGATCTTGAGGGCGAGCTGGCTGCATTGGAGCGCCTGGTTAAATGTCTCCTTTGTTGTTGTTTTTTTTTTTTTTTTCTTTTCGTTTTTTTTTTTTAACCCGTGGAAGGGTTTAGAAAGGAAAATTTGATCCTTGACACTTTTGCAGACGCCAGTCAGCCGAGTGAATAATGTATCTGTCCACTGTACATCGGGGGAATTGAGGGCTCCTGAAGGGGAAGTGGCCAGTGGCCGGACAGAGAGGGGAAAACCAGATCACAGGATTTCTGAAACTCAAGTCAGCTGCATTCATGAGCAAATCAGCAGTCTCCTGGTTCTTGACCTCCTTTGGGCATTGTGAGGGCTGATGAGCTCATGCTTGTAAAGACTGCAAGCCTTTAATTGAAGTATAATTAATAACCATCTGATAAGTGAATAACAATAATAATGCTGATGTAATCCCCTTCCCCCATAGCCCCTCTCCTGTTTCCTCGGGTGGGTAACACCCTGGGATAATGTCCCAACACATTCAGCTAGGTGAATGGCTCTAGCTACAGACAAATCATCGCAGCCATGTGCTTGCCGGCACAGCCTAGGGTTGGCCCGCCACCAGGAGACCTCAGGGCACAGAACAATGCAGCAATGTTCTGCAAGTGTTGGGCTGTTCAGGAAATGGGAAAGTTCAAGCTGTTTCAAGACTCAGGTAGCAGGACATCCACTAGCTTCTTGCCAACCTGGTGGCCTCTCAGGCAGGACAGCTGCACCTGGAAGCCTTACTAACACTGACCGTTACTTATTTCTCCTGTGCTCTGCTTCCCATTCTTTCCATAGACCCCTCATCCAATAAGATGAGTTCATGTGTCTCCCTAGGAAGATACGAATGGATCAGGCTGCTGCCTCCACACTATTGATTATCAGAGGGATATGTGGACATCAGTCAACATGCATCAGGAGGCATCTTGAGTACCTGATGAGATTAATGAAGATGCCATAGGCTTTACAAAAAAGAATCCTTTTGGTTCTTAGGCTTCACAGAGTTTAATCCATAAAACAGAGTCCCCAAAGCAGACTCCAGGCTTAAGAAGTGGTTAGAATGGAAACAGGAAAACAATGATGAAAGAAGCAGTTTATCATCCACTTTTGCCCTAAAGACTTCTCGGGCCAAAAAGCTGAGATAGACAGAATGGAATCCACAGCTAGAAAAGATAATAATACTTTTTAGTTGCAAACAATTTACAGGTTACCAAGTGCTTCCATATAGCATGACCTCATTTGAGCCTCACAATATCTCTGTAAGGTTGGCTGAGTTTATGATTCCCAGCTTATAGATGAGGAAACTGAGGTCCAAAGAGGCTAAGTGACTCACTCACACAGAGTGGCAGAGTCAGAGCCAAAGCCAAACCCATGTTCCTAGTAAGACAAGAAGACTTGCTCCATAATGGGCAGATTCTATAATCTCCTCTCTACTGGGAAGATAAGTAGTCAATTTATCCAATAAATAGGTAATGAATGTCCATTCTATGTTCAGCACTGTGCTAGGTGTTAGGGAGAGGGCAGTGAACATAACACAGAAGGTTTTCATAACATTTTCATCTCTATATTAGTGTTGTCCTTGCTTGATGCTCTAGGCCATGGGTTCCTTCTAGAGAGATGTGTAGTTGTTAAAGTTCTTTTGGCCAAAGAGTAAAAGTCAGTTCTGGCTAGCTAATGCATAGAGAGGGAGTTTATCTGAAAGATCATAGAGTAGCTGATATACTTTGGATGGATATTTGCCCCTCCAAGTCTCATGTTGAAATTTGGTCACCAATGTTGGAGGTGAGGCCTGGTGGGAGGTGTTTGGGTCATGGGGGTGGATCCCTCATGAATGGCTTGGTGCTGTCCTTGCTGTAATGAATGAGTTCTAGCACCACTGGTTCCTGTAAGAGTGTGTTTAAGGCCAGGCATGGTAGCTCACACCTATAATCTCAGCACTTTGGGAGGCCGAGGCGGGTGGATCACCTGAGGTCAAGAGTCCAAGACCAGCCTCACTCACATGGCAAAACCCTGTCTCTACTAAAAATAAAAAAATTAGCCGGGCGTGGTGGCACATCCCTGCAGTCCCAGCTACTTGGGAGGCTGAGGCAGGAGAATCACTTGAACTCAGGAGACGGAGGTTGCAGTGAGCTGAGATTGTGCCACTGCACTCCATCCTGGGCAACAGAGTGAGACTCTGTCTCAAAAAAAAAGAGTTGGTTGTTTAAATGAGTATGGCACCCATTCCCTCTTTGTTTCTTTCCCGCCATGTGAAACGTCTGCTCCCTTTTCACCTACCTTCATGACTGTAAGCTTCCTGAGGTCACCAAAAGTGGATGCTGGCACCATGCTTCTTATAAGCCTGTAGAACTGTGAACCAAATAAACTTCCTTTCTTTATAAATTATCCAGGCTAAGGTATTATTTTGTAGCAACCCAAATGAACTAAGACAGTGTGTCATGGAATTTAAGCAAATGTCATTCCACCCCAAGCTTTGGGAAAGCCGATAACTTATATTCCCTGGGTTTGGGTAGAGCAGTTTCCAGGCTCTCAGCAGCAGAAGTAAGGAGACCTTCTCTTTCATCTAGAGTTTTTCCTGACATGTTCTGCTCTCACGTTCAAATCCCAGCAGAGAGAAAGAATGCCATTGGCCCATCTTGACCCAAAGTCTCTACCTTTGGAAGAACTCCCTCAAGGCCACAGGGCAGGATCACAGCGAGGAGACGTTACTACTAATCAGTTTCCAAGGAACAGAAATCACTGGGCTCTGGGGAAGCCACACAAAAAAGTGTTTAGTACAATATGCGTACCCGCGACTTTGGGTGATGCTGCAGCATAGAGCAGGTAGGCAGGAAGGAAAGCCAAAAATTCTCAGTTATTGCTTCCCTGAGACCATTATCCCCTTGTAACATTCCCTTTAAGTTCTCTATCTTCCAGATGGAAATTTCTGTCAAAAATACAAATGAAGCAAACTTTCGTAAATACATTCTGAAATATTTATGAGTGAAATGGTAAAATGTCTGGGATTTTTCTTTGAAATATTCCAGGGAAAAAGAGGGGTAGGACCAGATAAAATAAGAAGGGCAAATGTTGATGTTTGTTGGAGTGGGGTGACGGGTACCTGGGGGCTCATTCTACTCTTCTCTCTACTTTTCTCTATTTTTGAAAATGTTAGCTAGACTCAGTGGCTCATGCCTGTAATCTTAGCACTTTGGGAGGCTGAGGCAGGCAGATCACTTGAGGTCAGGAGTTCAAGACCAGCCTGGCCAACATGGTGAAACCTGGTCTCTACTAAAAATACAGAAATTAGTCGAGTGTGGTGGCACACCCCTGTAGTCCCAACTACTTGGGAGGCCAAGGCAGGAGAATTGCTTGAACCCGGGAGGCGGAGGTTGCAGTGAGCCGAGACTGGGCCACTGCATTCCAGCCTGGGTGACAGAGTGAGACTGTCTCACAAAAAAAAAAAATAAATAAATAAAGAAAAGAAAAGAAAAAAAAAGAAAGAAAGAAAATGTTTATTGAAAAGGAAAATGTTTATTGAAAATTGAAAACTACAAAGGAATTATTCTGTTTAACTAAGCTCCTTCATTAGGTCCTTTTAAAATGAATGTATTTTTCTGTATGGGTTTTTTTGGGCCATTTCCTACTCTCCTTGTCACCTCCATTATTTGATGTTTCCTGAAGGCCAGAATGACTCCATCAGTCTTACAAGTATGCACTGTGGTACTCTTATGGGTTAGGCAATGTCTCTTGCTTCCAGGTGAGCTCATAGCCCTGGTCGTTTTGGGTACTTGCCTGTGTATTACTTTCACCACTGGTTCTTTGCACAGGGTTCCACAAAGTGTTTCAGCAACTCTTGTTTCTGTGGTTGCTCTGTTGACCCTCCAAGGCTGACCCTTCTGTTGGGGGATGACACCACCCCAAGGAACAACTGGAGTGAGAACTCTGGAAGCTCTTGGGGCATTTATACCTGGAAGTGGCACATTTTCCCCAGCATCTGATGCCCAGCATTCCCTCAGACATTGGTTGATTGCCCTGCAATCAGGCCAGGTTCTAAAAAATACTGAGAACAACCTTTATTTTTGACCCAACGGGAAAGAAGAAACAAGAAAGACAGCTTGCTGTGGGCCCCAGATCAGGTGGGGTTGGCCAGGTCAGGCGGCTGGTGGCAGGTGCCCAGTAGTCTTTCTTTCCAGCAGTTCCATTAACACTTGGCAAGTTTCACTCCCCTTCAGCATTTGTAACATGCAACTGTTGACATAACTAATATTACCTCATTCTCTTAGGCCCCTGTGTGTTCCTTCGCCACTGTAGTCAGAACTCAGGATCTACACGGCTTATTTTCTGTATGTGCAGTGTTTGTATTTGGAAGGGAGACAGTTTAGCCTTCCCCCTCTGCCCCCCACCAAATCCTCTCACCAAAACCATGGTGCCCTCATTTTTTCCTTTCTGGATTGATGTTAAGCACTTAATGTAATTGCCTTAGGGAAAAAAAAAACAAAACAGCCAAAGATATATAATCAGCCACACCATGGCCTCATATTTCAAAACCTGCCTGGCTTCTTTTTAAATGCTCCTTTACAGGGTGTGAAATCACTCATGTCATGGCTGGGCCTCCTACAGCATGGGAGAGACAGACATCTCATCTTACTCCAGTAAGACAGCCAATGACTTGATTCCTCCTTCCTCCCTATCCCTCTTCCACTTCCCCGATCCCACTCCCAGCCTTTTACCCCATAGTTTCCCAGTCAGCCCTTCTCCAGTGGGCTTTTACTTTTAATTTGGCAGCTTGCTCTCTGATTCTCCTTTGCCTTCCATAAAGAAACCATGACTAAACCATTAGCACTCCATTCTCCTCCCAGTGTCAACCTGCACCTGGGCCTTGTCTTTCACTTCTGCTAGTGCCAGTGGTATTCACTCCAGTTAATTTCTCAGGGTGACTCCATTCCCGAGCCCTGGCTATTTTACCTACCCTCCCTGTCACCTGTCCACCCTTGAAATTCATTCTTCTGATGTAGCACGAACTGGGCTTAATGCAGATCCCTGCTTGTCTTCCCTAAGCGGCACGCCCCTTCTCCCTTACAGGGCCCTGAACAGCAGCGAGAAACACAGAAAGCTTTGGGCAGTTTGTTCTTGCTGATCTATTGTATTAGAGGGTGGGACCAGGAGTAAAGCAGAAATAGCTGGGAACAGTGAAACCTGTATCTAAATAAATAAGCCAACGGCTAAGCTAACGATATTCCATCTCTCATGCGGAGTCACAGTTGGCCAGTGAATATTAGTTTACTTTTACTTGCTGCGTACTCACTGGTGGAGAATGAGCAAGGCTTGGGTTGAGGAGATGTAGGCAGAGGGGAACATAAAGGCAAAGGGGGTGGAGAATCTATAAACCAGACAGACAGGCCTTAACTATGCTGTGTTGTGCTCATTTCCTGGCCCTGCTGAATCATCCCACCGCCACACAGGGTGAGCCAGAAAATCTGAAATCTGAAAATCGTTCTCTGCCTCTGCCTCTGCTCTGTTCTGTGTTTGGCTTTCTTGTCTGTATCACTTCTGTGATGTATATGTTGTGATATCCTAGGAGGTAATGATATGGCTATTATTGTTCCCTAGCAACCCTGCTTTCTAGAGAAAAATCAAAACACACACGTTTTGCTCCTCAATCTGACCTATTCCAATCAGTGTTAACTTTGCCCTGAGCCCTCTCCTTTGTGTGCACACACCCACTCACACATCCAATGTGCTGACCTCCCATCTCTGTGCTACGTTCTGGTTAATAACTTAAAATCTGAATATTATGATCTCTTTTCTCCATAGGCTATGAGTTAAGAGTTTGTGATAGTGAGTCTCATCAAGATGCTTATGGCTAGTTCAGAATGATTACAAATAAGAATACACTAAGGAGATCTAAACACCAGGCTATGCAAATGAGACATCTATTACCCCTTAGGAGATTTTTTTTTTCTGTTTCTCTAAAATAGAAAGCCTGGTTCTTTACTCTGGCCAGTTAGTTCTTTACTCTGTTCTTTACTCAGTTCTTTACTCTGGCCATACAAAGAATGTATGCCTTATAGATTAACTTTGATCTTTACCTACAGTTAAAATGATGAGAATTTCAAAATATGTTGAAAGGAAATACAAGAAAAGGTATAGAACACAGATGCCTAAGAGCTATGCGCCCTGCCAACTCCATTTGCCTAATCATAGCACAGTTGAGTGGAGACCTCTAACTACTCATTCATCCATTTCCTATGCCAGATATGGGAGAAACAGCAGTGTAGAAAGAAACAAGACAGGGACCCTCCCTACCCTCATGGAAAGTAGGGTCTAGTGAGGAGACAGACTTCAATAAACAAGAATAAATAATATATAAGACTGCAATTCCATGGGCGATAAATGCTTTGTTGCTAGGAAGAAAAACTATAAGGCTCTGTGATGGTGTACGATACATCCACAGGCTGGAGTATCAGGGAAGATGCTATTTATGCAAGAGATGTCAAGGATATGGTGCCGGGGGAAGATGGGGAACAGAGTGGGAAGCAGAGAGAGCACAGCCTACAGGTTTGCCAGAGCAAATAGTGATGGTGGAGGCTGTATTGCATAGTGATTATAAATTATAATCACCCTGGCAGAAATTTAAAACACTTTAATTCCTTTTGGGAGTTTATGATAAACAAATTTGGTAGGTATGGGTCTAATTAATAACAGTTATAATGACAACACTAACACTTATTAAATGCTTACTTATACATCAGAGGTATCAACTGTCACCCTCATGGTTATAGTCCCTGAGTACGCTAGACAGCAGTCCCCAGCTCCTAGCTCCTTTATTTATTTATTTATTTATTTATTTTTGATAGGGTTTCACTCTGTCACCTAGGCTGGAGTGCAGTGGTGCAACCTCAGCTCACTGCAACCTTCACCTCTTGGGTTCAAGCGATTCTTGTGCCTCAGCCTCCTGAGTAGCTGGGATTACAGGCACCTGCCACCACGCCCAGCTAATTTTTGTATTTTTAGTAGAGAGGGGGTTTCACCATGTTGGCCAGGCTGGTCTCCAACTCCTGACCTCAAGTGATCTGCCCTCCTTGGCCTCCCAAAGTGCTGGGATTACAGGCGTGAGCCACTGTGCCCGGCCCCACCTCCTTTACTCTGCTTTTCTTTTCTCTATAGTACTTACCACTATTTGACATTTTATATGTCCTTGTTTGCTTGTTTATTGTCTATCTCTCTGATTAGAATGTAGCCTCCCTGAAGGCAGGTACTTCAGCCTGTTTTGTTTACTACTGTTTTCCCCAGAGCTGAAAACAGTGCCTGGCACAAACTTGGCGCTCAAGAAATAAAGATTTGTTAAATGAATGCACAGCTATTATTCAGTTAGTCTGCACAGCATCCTTATGAAATAGGTACTATTTTCCCTATTTTACAGATGAGCAAATTGGCAACAAGAAGTTAGGTAACTTTCCCAAAGTCACGCTGGCAGTGGAGTGGTAGAATCAGGATCCAAACCCAGGCAGTGTGACTCTGGAGACTTGCATGGCAGGGATATCTGCAAGATGGAAATAGCTGTGAAGAGAGTGCACCAGTTTGATTTACAGCTTTTATTTTATTCAAAAGTATTCTGTTTAAAGACTTCAGAAAAGTAATCCAGTTTGGTATTGCAGTTGGAAATATTACTGATTTTATAAAACAGAGATCACCGAGCAACTGATATGTAAGGACTATCTCGGTGATAAGAAGCATTGTGCCAACCCAGGGAAGTTGCAATCCAAATAAGATAAGGAAATCCTGAGTCATAAAACACTTTCAGATCCTGTAATATAATTTATAGCCAGTGTTCCTGGAATATTCCTTTACAAGTGACATTTTAGAAACTCAGTCTGGTTACTAGGGATATGAAATAAGGAGTATGGAAACATGGTTTACTCTTTTGACTTTTTCAGCGGAATTAAAAACTTAACAAGCCTCCACTGGATGAGTCCATGCATCATGCATTAGACAAATTCAATCTTGATGTGCTGCTTCTTGCCATATCTCCTATGAATCTGTGCAGAAATTATTTCAGCCACTGAGATATGACTCTCTTCTGAGGCCATTCTGACGGTTCTCTCCTTTTTACTGATGACTTTTCAGCAATGTAACTGTCTATAGTTTGCTTTTTCCTTGATAAGAATGGCTTTATCCTTGTGTATGTATGTATGGAGTTGCCAAAGAAAGGAATTTGCTTTTGATCTCAGAAACTTCAGCTTTTCCTTTCTGCCCACATATCCCTGAGTCACTCAGCAATCTTTAACCTCTTTTTCTAATGAGTCTATTTAGGTGGTTTGGCATTTGTTTTGTTCTTTTTTGACCACATACCATGTCAGAATTGGTGAGCAATACCCGGTCCTTTCACACGTCTGTCTTTATGCTGTCTTTCTGGGTCTATCTCGGTGTCTTTCGCCTGTCCCCATCCTTTCTCCGTCTCAGATATACTACACGTTCTCTTGCACACATGCACACATTTAGATTTACAAGAAGTTATGTATTTAGAAAGGGTATGTACAACTGTCAAAACTCATCAAACTGAACTCTGAAAATCTGTACAATTTATTAATATAAATTTTACCTCAAAAAAAAAAAAAAAGAATAGCTGGGCATGGTGATGTGTGACGGTAGTCCCAGCTACTCAGGAGGCTGAGGCAGAAGGATCACTTGATCTTTGGGGTTCCAGACTGCAGTGAACTCTGATCATGCCACAGCATTACAGCCTGGACAACAGAGCAAGATCCAGTCTCCTAAAAATAAATAAATAAATAATAAAAAATAATAAAAAAGAAGTTTTTTTTGTGTACAAATTTGAGTTAAATTTAAGGAGAGGTCAAGCATCTCTTGAGTGGATTTGTGTATTGATTACTGCTTCTGTACTATTGTTGGGCAAAAGAAGCAAAACAAGACAATGCTTGTTGTTTTGAGAAACATCGTAAGCAACCATTTTCATAGATAAGTGTTCGAGTTTTAATTTTCATAATTTCT
This sequence comes from Homo sapiens, assembly GCF_000001405.40. Lineage (NCBI taxonomy): Eukaryota > Metazoa > Chordata > Mammalia > Primates > Hominidae > Homo > Homo sapiens. The sequence continues at coordinate 44,755,380 of NC_000013.11, read as the reverse complement.
CCATATATAATTAGAGACATTGGAAGCCTATTACCACCAGGAAATTAAAAACTTCAGCGTGTTTTCATTGCAATGAGGAGTCAAAGACTGCACAAGGATTCTAGCCAACACCTTCTCATGGGATGCCCAAGACAAGTAATTCTGTTGCTCTCATCCTCAGCCTTCTTATCTAAAAAAGAGGGTAACATCTGTCCTGCTTACTTCACAAGGTTGTTATTATGAGGATAATTAAACTGAACTCAAGTAAACAAATATTTAGTGGGCACCTACTACCCTTCATGGAATTTATGGACCAGCATAGGAGGAAAGTAGATACAGTTCACAATAGAAAGTATCACATTGGCCAAGTGCGGTGGCTCACACCTGTAATCCCAACACTTTGGGAGGCTGAGGTGGATGCATCACTTGAAGTCAGGAGTCCAAGACCAGCCTGGCCAACATGGTGAAACCCTGTTTCTACTAAAAATACAAAAATTAGCCAGGCATGGTGGTGTGCACCTGTATTCCCAGCTACTCAGGAGGCTGAGGCAACAGAATCCCTTGAACGTGGGAGGCGGAGTTGCAGTGACCCGAGATCACGCCATTGCACTGCAGCCTGGGTGACAGAGTGAGACTCTGTCTCAAAAAATAGAAAGTTTCACATCATCTAGGTGACAGGGAAGCAGAGTGATCCAGACACAAGTAAAGGGAACGTGAATTCTGGCTGGTGCCATCGGGGAAGGGATCATGGAAGTGGAAGCATCTGAGTAAGACCTTGAAGGAGGATTCTTTAGAAGGGGAGCTTTCCAAACAGAGGGACAACAAGAGCCAAGCGCAGAGACAGGACACCATGAGAACTCAGTGGAAGTCTATGAACTGTAAAGCACTCTTCACTTACAAAATACTGCTTGTTACCTCTACTGGAGCCACCACTCACTCTTCCCAACAGCCATGGCCCTACTAGGTAATAAGATAACAGTGATTCAGAGCTAAGGCCGGCCTACCTGCATACAGAATTTGGGAGTAGGCAAGACTGACTTCATGGCATCTCCTGTCTCAAAGGAGGTGATGGAACATCGCAAGTCCAGCTCGGAGGAATGAACATCAACCAAAGATTAGCAGTTCAATACTCTTTCCATCTCCCAACTTCTTTTCCAACTCCCCCTCAGTTAGCTCCTTTCTGTGCATTACCACCGCAACTCTCTTCCCTTTAAAGAATCAAGGATAGCCCTTGATTTTTATTACAGCCAACCAGGGATCAAAATCCTGGTTATGTAGATTTCTAGCTATTTGATAAGAAGCAGCTTTGTTTAATCTATATAAGACTTAAACTTTACATATGTAACCTGGGAATGAAAATAAGAGCAGTCACTTCATAGAATTGCTGAGAAGATTAAGTAAGATAGTGTACCTGGTATATAGCACTCAAAATGTTATTTATGATTATCATCTAGAGCAGGGGTTGCCAAACTATGGCTCATGGGCCAAATCCAGCCACGTCCATTCATTTCTGTATTGCCTAAGTAGTTTTCTGCTGCAATGGTAGAATCAAAGACTTGTGACATAGGTGGTGTGACCCGCAAAGCTGAAATACTTAATATCAGGCCCTCTTGTAGAAAAAGTTTGCTAACCTCTGATCTAAAGAGAGAAGAAGAGAAACCTGCTTATGTTACATTTACAACCAGTTACAGGGTTTTGTCCTCAGGCTTACCCGTGACTTTATCTCCTTTCTGTTGGTTATTGGTATCTTATGATACATGGTATGTACCCTTCAGTAATGGAGAAGTCCTCACATAGATCTTCACATCTGAGTACCATGGAGAACACTGAAGTCTCCTTCTATATTCCCAGAGTCTAGTATTAATAGATAAGGACACATAGCAAATGACGGATGACAAATTCTGGCTCTGATTAGCGAGACCATAGTCTCAAATGGCAACTGCAGAGTACTCCTAAGATGAAAGGGAATTTAACATGTTATGAGGCGGTGAAACAACTGTGACTCAGTCACTGAGCAGAAGGAAGCAACAATATGGAAAAGTAGGCAAACCATGGTGAACTGTTTGAAATTCCTGCTAACCTCCCACTGTGCCCCTTAAATTAAGGGCCCAGTAGAGCCTACTTCAATTCCATTTAAATATCTTTCTTTTCTGCCAGGTACTGTGGCCCACACCTGTAATCCCAACAATGTGGGAGGCTGAGGTGGGAGGATTGATTGAGGCCAGGAATATTGAGACCCCATCTCCACAAAAAAATAAAAAATAAAATAAAACTTTCACTTCAAGATTTCTAGCATTATTGCTATTATGAGATGTACAGAAACCTAGGTAGATTGGGACTGTGCATCCAGACAGTATTTCTAGAATTTTATTATTTGTACATTGGGGAAAACACTGGGCTTGTGTTTAAGAAATATTGTCATATTCTAGATGGGACTGTAGAGGCATTTCACCTCACCTCTCTGGGCCTCCATTTCCTGGCATACACAATCTCTTTGTTAGCTGTAAAATATTATTAAAGGGAGACATCCACGGACCTGTGTATGCGTGTGTATGTCGTTGTGTGATGGGGGTGTTCTGTAAGGGAAGTGACTGTGAGCTTTCTTTTGAACGTTAAATGCAATGAGAAAATACTCTAAAACAAGCTCTGGTTGCTACTATTTTCACCTACTATCCCCCAGGCCATCTGGATTGGTTCAGCTTGTTCAATCAAGGGAAGCATGTTTGGAACCTAGGCTCTCATGAAGGGAAAGCAAAAAACGTGTTCATTTCTTCACACCTTTGATTCAAATGTCTCTGTTCCTAAAATTATTGGCCCAGAGAATTATATCTTGTCAGTGTAAAGAGGTTTTTCTTAATTGCTAAAAAAAAAACACACACACACACACAACAAATAGTTATTCATTAAAAATGCCAACATTTGCTGAGCTGTCACTATGTTCCAAGTGCTGCAATAAGTGCTGGGGCCAGGAAGAATGGGCAGTCATTGTCCTGCGATGATCTCAGTTCCAACCTTGGAATACTCTTGGACAATTCCGTTCTGGTAACATGTTGTTTTATTTTCATCGCTAGCCACAACAGTGAAGGTCTTTGACCTCCCCTTACCGCATAACTCTTCCTCACAGGGTGCGCGTGTCCTGTTGATTCTCTCTCCTCTCCTGCTTTCCCTCTGCTTTTGGAGTTTCATTCTCAGGAAGGTACAAATGACTGTCAACAGTTCAGATTTTTCTTCCTGGTGTAATTGCATTATAGCAGAGTTCAACGCCTTCCCTATAGCACCTTTTCCTGCATAACCTGAATTTGGTCTTAGAACTCATCTGTCATTACCAGTCAATGGAGGTTTTATGAATTTTTTTTAGAGCCCTGAAAAATTAGATGATATAAGTAAGAGCCTACCCCTATTACATATAAGGTCTGAACTTAGCAAAAAGCATAGCCCAAAGGTGGCAATTTTCATGTGGAAATGTTCTTTATGAGAAAGAAAACCAGAGATGACATTTACTATGCTGAAAAGCTAGCCATTGTGAGGAGTGTGGCATTTATATCATTATAAAGGCACAGCTGCTTAAAATACCCACATGAAATTCAGAACTCAGAGCACAAGAATTTTGGGCATTGAGAGTCCCAGAGATGCTTTAAGGTGATCAGGTGACCAGTTTGCCTCAGGAAGAATCTAATTTAAATGTTGTAGAACAACCCTATGAGGAGCTCTATTCTAGAAAGTTCTACCATCTTAAGCCCATTGTTCAAAAGGCACTAATGTCTTAAGACAAGCTTGTCCAACCTGTGGCCTGTGGGCCACGTGCAGCCCAGGATGGCTTTGAACGCAGCCCAACACAAGTTCATAAACTTTCTTAAAACATTATGAGATTTTTTTTTTTTTAGCTCATCAGCTATAGTTAGTATTTAGTGTATTTTATGTGTGGGTGAAGACAATTCTTCTTCCAATGTGGTCCAGGGAATCCAAAAGATTGGATGCCCCTGGTGTTTTGTTTGTTTGTTTTTTGTTTTTTTGACAGAGTCTCACTCTGAAGCCCAGGCTGGAGTGCATTGTCACTATATCGGCTCCCTGCAACTTCCGCCTCCCGGGTTCAAGTGATTTTCCTGCCTTAGCCTCCCAAGTAGCTGGGATTACAGGCTCCCGCCATCATGCCTGGCTAAGCTTTTGTATTTTTAGTAGAGATAGGGTTTCCCCATGTTGACCAGGCTGGTCTCAAACTCCTGACCTCAGGTGATCCACCTGCCTCGGCCTCCCAAAGTGCTGGGATTGCAGGCATGAGCCACCGCGCCTGGCCTGGACACCCCTGTTTAAGAAGAAAAATGAACACATAAATTAATGAGGCTTTAACTTGCAATTATATTGTCAAAAAGACTCATTTGATAATTTAAGTAATATTTTATACCTTTAACAGTATTTAATGTGAAACTGTCTGTTAAACTTGGGTACCTGCTGGGTTATACTAGATTGTAAAAATTGCAATATAGTTGTGGAATTTCAAAAGCAACATTATGCACTTATGACTATAATAAAGACAGGAGAGCAGAGTCCAAGTAGATGCATTGTTGGAGTTGACAATAGAAGCATGAAGACCTCCCTGATTAATAGGTGTGCACAGTGCTCCTTCCTGGAGTACTAGGAATGTGTCAGGAGATAGAACCATCTGTGATACTATCTTTGCCCTTGGCAGAGGTGCCAACTGGGCCTAGACCGGGCTCCTTTAATAAGCTCTCTTCTCCATGTATTAATTGTGAAACTCTGAAACCCTTCACCAGCTGTGGAAAGTATTTGAGACACCTGTCTATAGGTACATGAGTATAGTAGCATAGCCCATTTAGAAATCCACAGAAACCAGTAGTATGTTCAAAGTTATTTTTTTGCCTGACATCTCATTCCCAATATAAAAGCATCATCTACTGTTTTGATTATAAGCATTAATTATTGACTAGATGACTTTTTAAAATTCCTAATTCCTTCAAAGCTACATTTTTGTAAATACTCAATTTTTTCTCCCTCAATAATTTTGTGATGGAGTTTTTGGTGTTTTTACCAAGTAAGTATTCTTTGTAACTAATAAATGCACATAGATGTAAAAAGTATTAACAGTTAAGAGCTCATAAAATATCCCCATTATTTTTATCTGATTGTAAACACTGGCTTAACATTATACATACACATATCCACGTGGTTGTCTGGATCAGCAAGGTTATCCTTGAACCATTTCTTCAAAGGCATTGTCCCATTAGATGACTGTGCCCATTACTTCACATAGAAGGAGCCAAAATATCTGCAACATTCTGAAACATATTTCCCCCGGAAATATGCTATTGTGCTGGAGTAAAATAGACAATGGGTTTGGAGTCTGGGTCTTCAGAGTCCAGCTTCTCTGTCCACACTGCAGCCTACCTAAACCTCAGCTGCCCTCTTGTCAGGTCAACACCAGCTTTTAACCCTAGTGCAGGGATAAGCTTTTAGAAAATCCTTATAAAATCTTTTCTGATGTCTCAGCTCCTCTCTGACCCATTCGAGTTCTCTTATTGCCTGTGGAAACTTTAGATATTGCCCAGAACCAGCCCCATACCCCAGTGACTCCCTCAGACTCTGGTCATTGCCTGAACTGGATTTGAGCTTGCCCCATGCTCTGAATTTCTCCTGAAGATAACACTGAATATAAAGTCCTGCTAACCATCCTCCTCCACCCTTGACAGGGCCAGCCTTTCCTTCTCAGTTTTCTCTGACTTCTACTTGGGCAATTCTTGCTTCCCCTCTACGATACTTCGGGTGGGTGAAAGCAGTTTCATTAATTGACCCCTACACTTACATTCAGGCATATGGAGTCTATATCAGGACCTTGAATGTACCTTGTGAAACTCAATAATGTTCTCAACTCCCCATACATACCCAGTGTCTATCACCAACCCGCAATTCTGAGATCAGAACTCACCCTGGAGTTCTCTGGTGAGACACTACTTTGGAAACCCACCAAAGGGAATTTCTGCAGTGGATTGGTCCCGAACCATTTATGGCAGGGCAGTTGGGGAACGTGTGACTCCAACAAGACAAGGCCTGCCCAGTCATTTGGCACAGCCTCATCGGGATCCTTCCAAAGCAAGAAAAGTGGAGAATGTCCACTGAAGGCAGGCGTGACTGGAGGCTCCATCCCTGGAATTGCCCTTGAACTTGCCTTCGAAGTCGATGTTGGGTGCTGACCAAGAGGACTTTGGAATTGTTGGTGAAGCTGGGACATATGGGTCCCTTGGTTGGACCATTCCTCTTGTTCTCAAGTTGGTGCCTGAGCCTCCTGTCACCTGAAGGAATGAGGGCTGGGTTCCCTGCTTGGATGTGGGAGCTGAAGACAGAGCTCCCAGACCTAGGCTGCCTTATCCCCAAGGAACCCTGGCAAAACCACCTACCCCAGATCACTGAACCAGCCAAGATTTTCTTGTCTCCTGATGGCCTGAGATCATCTCCTGTTCTGAACATGACCGGCCTGTGGAACTCTTGCACCTCTGTGGGCCAGTGGAGAGGAAGTGGATCCACCAGAAGAATCCAGAATCCTCCCCACGCAACTTTGATCAGGAGAGGCTGATTCTCAAACCAAGAGTCTCATGAGGATCCAGCTCACAGGAGGCCAATGCTCTCCTTAGGAACTGATTGAGTGCCTGAGGAACTGAGGCAAAGTTAGAGGTCATGGAAGAGAGCCAGAGGCCAAGGTGGAGACTTTGCACCTGCCACCTCAGTCCTGCCATTCTTCCTGTGATGGGGAGAGGGAGCAGGTGGTGAGTCCTAGAGAGAGGTATGAAACCTGTATAACACTTTCCATATAAACAATAAATGCTGGCCACGCCCTAGGCTACCCACAAAACTTGATTTAACATATCATATAGGAAACAAAGATTTATGCCTACCAGAAATTTGCTCTGAGAAAAAAAAAAATACAAATGAACTTGGGCCCACACCTTCTGTGTAAAACTGGAGACAGCCTGTTCCATTCTTGGGTAAACTCAGAGTGGTTTTTGTTTTGTTTTGTTTTGTTTTTTTGAGACGGAGTCCCGCCCTGTCGCCCAGGCTGGAGTGCAATGGTGCGATCTCAGCTCACTGCAACCTCTGCCTTCCAGGTTCAATCAATTCTCCTGTCTCAGCCTCCTGAGTAGCTGGAACTACAGGTGCACACTACCACGCCCAGCTAATTTTTTGTATTTTTAGTAGAGACGGGGTTTCACTGTGTTGCCCAGGCTGGTCTCAAACTCCTGACCTCAGGCAATCCGCCCACCTTGGCCTCCCAAAGTGCTGGGATAACAGGCGTGAGCCACCGCGCCCGGCCAGAATGGTTTTGAACATATGGCAAGTGCTTGATGACCACTTTAATCCTGGTAGATTAGTGAATCTATAAAAGTGTACTCATGTTCCTTTCTTTTGTTTTCTTTGTAACTCATCTTCAATTAACTTCAGCATATGACACTCAGGATCCTAACAGCAGAGACGTCTTTAAAGGTACACGATCCGTATGTCCATGTGTCTCAAGTCTTCCTTTTCTTGAGATATATTTGCTGCTCTATCTATCTATCTTCTATCCATCTATCTATCTATCTATCTATCATCTATCTATCTATCTAACTATCTATGTATTCTATCTATCATCTATCTATCGAATCTCTTACAAGGCAAAAAAATTGTTTCTTTTGAGAGTTAAATAAGCACAGTACTTTTACTATTTATATAATAAAGTGCAGATTTTCCTTAATGGTAAATTATCCATTTCAAAAAGGCTGGTGAGGAGGGCAGCATGGGATAAAGAATTTCAACAATGTAAATTTGAGGCCCTGGGAAAAGTCCAGATGGAGAACATTTTCTAGTTTTGGGAACACAGCATTTTTATTTGACTGTTTGTTACAGAGTCAGAAAAGCTCTGTAAAACTCGATAAAGAGTATGTGAAAGTCTGAGGGCAGGCAGGGAGCTGAGAGGCGACAGGCCGTCCTCTGTTTGTTCCTGGTGAAGGGGGACAGGACACTGTCTGAAGGTGGCAGGGCCTCACATGATTGGCCTGGCTCACTGCTTGGAGGTGGCTCAGCTCTGGCGAGTGACACAGTCATTCATGCCCAGTTCTTGAATTTCAGCATATTTTGCTTCTGAAAAGACAAAAACCACTTATTGATAGCTATGCTGTGCTCAGATATGCAATCTGTCTTAATTAAATGATCTTTTCCAGCCATATTATTTAGCTAGCTAAAGGTAACACTGAACTTGTTGACATAATTTCAGCAAAAAAAAGAAAAAGACAAAACAGACCAAAACCAAGAAATAGATATTTTCCCTGAATTTCGTGTTTTTGGTTACCAACATGGTTTTGACCTCCCTTTATCTTTTCTCCAGCCTTGCTCTCTCTTCCCGAGGAGTCCTTCCTATGATCACCCCCGCTCTGCTGGGTATCACTATTGGAGCAAGCATGTTATCACACGATTTATGTTAGCTGTGACCTACCTCTCTGTCTTCCCCAAGAAAATGTGTTTCCTATGGGTCCTGAACCACATGTGTGTGACTCAACTCTCTGTCCTTCACTGGAGCCAGCAAGTGCTTCAAATATAGTAAATGCTCAGTAGATATGGCCTGGAGTTTTGAAGTTGAACTAAACTAGACCTTGCCAGTGTCAATTTATAATTAAAACAAGATTTGGCCCCAGCACGGTGGCTCATGTCTGTAATCCCAGAACTTTGAGAGGCCGAGGTGGGAGGATCACCTTAGGTCAGGAGCTCAAGACCAGCCTGGTCAACATGGTGAAACCCATCTCCACTAAAAATACAAAAATCAGCCAGGCATGGTGGCATGCACCTGTAATCCCAGCTACTCAGGAAGCTGAGGCATGAGAATCCCTTGAACCCGGGAGGCAGAGTTTGCAGTGAGCCAGGATAACACCACTGCACTCCAGCCTGGGCGACAGAGTGAGACTCCGTCTCAAAACAAAACAAAACAAAAAACCCCACAAGATTTGGATTAGGATTTTTTTTCCTTCCCAATCTCAGTCCCCACAACTCAAGTCCCAGCTTCTTATAGAAGTCCCAGGAGCCCTCTGCCTAAAGGAAACCCTGCTCTGTACCTTCTCGAGCTGCCCAGCTCCACTCCCCCATTAACTCTTTCTGGGCAAGCAGCAGCTGCCACCACGTGCCTTCCTTCTCTCCTTCCCTCTACCTGTCTTGTCTGCTCAGCCTCTACTGCCCTGGGCTCTGGATGTTGAATTCAGGGCTTCTGATATTTCAAGACATCTATAAATAATAGCCATTATATATCTACCTTTTATTGAGGATTTGCTATGTACCAGATAATATGCTAGCCATATTTAGAACATGTTATTGATTTACCTAGCCTCAAGCCAGATGAATAATTCCCTTTGCTAATTCATTTGTTTAAAAAATATCTACCGAAGGCTGGGCGCGGTGGCTCGTGCCTTGTAATCCCAGCACTTTGGGAGGCTGAGGCAGGTGGATCACCTGAGGTCAGAAGTTCGAGACAAGCCTGGCCAACATGGTGAAACCTCGTCTCTACTAAAATACAAAAATTAGCCAGGTGTGGTGGCGTGCACATGTAATCCCAGCTACCGGGGAGGCTGAGGCAGGAGAACTGCTTGAACCCGGGAGGTAGAGGTTGCAGTGAGCCAAGATTGCATGACTACACTCCAGCCTGGGTGACAGAGAGAGACTCCATCTCAAAACAAAACAAAATAAAACAACAACAAAAAAATGTCTACTGAATAGTACAATGAGAATCCCTGCCCTCGTGGAGCTTGTCTCTCTCCTCATGGAGGAGAGAGACACTCAACAAGGAAACAGAGCAATTTCAGACAGTGACCGAAACTATGAAACTACAACTGGGTAATGATGTGGTGAGCCCCGCTTTAAATAGCAAGATCCGGGACAAGCTCTCCAAGGGAGTGACGTGAGTGCTGAAACCTGACGGATATAAAGGAGACTGATGGTGTAGGAGCATTCACACACAAAGGACAGCACGGGCAAAGCCCTGAGGTGGGAATGAGCTCATCATCTTCTCATGTACAGACCTGTCTTCTCTGCTAGAATTTGAGCAGCACCGAGGTGCCCCTGCATACTTGGCTCCAGGGAGGTCAGCCTTTTCCTTATCGGTAACTGTGCTTTCCATACCCAGCATCCACCTGGCTCAGCTGGGACACTCTAGTATACCCATTAGTATCTTCTTTATCCTTCAAAATTCAGCAAAAACCCTACCTCTGCTTGTCCCATCTTGGTGACTTCTGTGGATTCCTATTGCATTCGGTTTCTCCTGGTGCTTTGCCACATGAAACATGGGTCATCACACCTGCCCTGGCACATCCTAGCACTTGTGAGACTCAGAAAAGGTAATTCATCCCACAGATTTCCTAAGCATCAATCTTGGGCCAAGCACTGATTGATGCTGGGGAACTCTGTGGAATGAATCTTGTGCTAGGGCTTAGGACCTCAAGATGAACAAGAGTTGGTCACTCCTGTGAGCTTTCATATCATGATAACTAGCTTGCATTTCAGACAGCTCTTTTCAGCAACAACATGGAGAACTATCTGAAGAACAACCAGACAGGCTACGGGGAAGCCATTATTATGCATACATGTGCACGAATGCTATTTCTGCAGGACTAGCATCCATCTGTACTTCTTTTTCCTGGAAAGAACACCCCAGTCTTCATTGCTTACCCCCACCCCCTCCTTTCACTCTTGTCCCATGTGGTTGCATGAGATTAATCCCCATCTTTAGGTCTAAGGGCCATGTGATAGGTCCTGGCCAATCAACATCAAGTAATCCTGAGCTTTTTGTAAGGAAAAAAATAAGGGAAAGTGCTCAGTTTCCTCTGAGGCTCTCAAGAGGATAGAATGCAAAACTGGTGCTCTGGCAACAATATTGCTACCATGATGGAAGAGCCTGTGTGAAAGTGGAGCGTCAGTACAGAGGAAACCAGCCCTAACAGAGAGAGGAAGTGCATGTGCCACGATGGGCTCCTAGAGCTAGCTGGACACCCTGATACCACTAGATGAACAAAAAAATTCCTTTTTGTTGTTGTTGTTGTTGTTGAAGGCAGTTTGGGTTTGGTTTGTAATAAAAAAATTCCTAAATAATATAAATGTGCCTGAGGCACACTTAAATGACTTGCCCAACACACCATAGCTAGTAAGTAGCAGTGTTTAAACCCAGGAAATCTATCTCCAGGGTCTGCTCTAGATCACCGCTTAGGTTAGGGTAGGAATGGAGAGGGGCAAGTGGATTTCAGAGGCTTTTAAGCAGTTGAAGCTATGGAAATTGGGGACAGGCTGAATAGAGTGAATAAGGGAAAAAATGACTTAAGTGATAGAGAGATGCTGGTGCCATTCAAGGAGAAAGAGGAAATACCAAACAGAGATCATGTTCATAGGTAGAGAAGAGTTGGAGGCAATGAGTTGTGGTCTGGAGGTTTTGAGTATGAGGTGCCTGTGGGGCAGGCAAATAGAGAGGGTGAGACTGCAGGTGAGAAGGGAGTTCTGGGCTAGGTTCATTCAGTCTTTCAATAAATATTTATTGAAGTCCTGGGCTAGATAATGGGGATATATGGGAGAACCCAACAGTCATGGAAAGTTGGTGGACTCATGGAGCTTGCATTTAAGCCTGAGTCATCTGTGGATGGTGATCTTTGAGGCCATGTGAATGAATGAGGGTACCCAGGGCTTGTTTATAGGGTAAGAATAAAAGAGGACTTAACTTCTGTATCTTGGTTCCCTCAGCTGTAATTACCCCATAGGGTTGTAGTGAAAAGTAAGAGAATTAATAAACATAAAGCATTCAGAACAATCCCTGGTACATAATGAGCTAAATGTACGTCTTCACTATGATGAGTGTGAGGATGCTGATGATGTTGATAATGAGGACATTGTGAAGAGCAAAGAAACTGGGACAGGTGACAGACATCAGGGTTAATGCATAACCTGGAGGTAAGATTGTGCTTATCCCAGAGATAATGATTCTCAACATATGGGATGAAATAAAAAAGAATACACGATTGAACTTTTAGTGCTTACTATTGCAACACTTGACACTATATAGGCAAGTGTTAACAAAAGCAAACTTGCCAGGCATGGTGGCTCATGCCTGTAATCCCAGCACTTTGGGAGGCTGAAGTGGGAGGCTCACTTGTGCTTAGGAGTTCGAGACCAGCCTGGGCAACATAGTGAGACCCTGTCTTTATTAATTAATAAAAAGAAAAGAAAACTTATTTGGCTTACAAATACTCCAGCCCCTGTTAAATTAAGTGTAAATGGATGCACCACTTAGCTAAATGCCAAGAATACAAATAGAAATGTGACATGGCCTTTTTCCTCACTGAGGTTTATGTCCTGATGATTACCATTAGCTCCAAGTTCCTGCCTCCATGGTGCTCCTTTTCTTTGCACTCGTAGCTCTTCCTTCATTGATAGACCAGCATTAACCCACATGTGAAGCTCAGTCCCTTTTCTTGATTGACAAATACACACTCACACACAATATCAAGTCAAGGCCTTGCATGGTGGCTTGACTGAAAGTTTAGGGAAGCAAATGAAATCTACTTCAGTCATCCCTTCTCTACCCACTCAGAACAGCCTAAAAAATCTACCATTTTTCTTACGCACAGCAATACCACTCTCTTGAAGCTCAAACCCAGAGTTATTTCTAGGCCCCTGTTTACACATCCAAGGATTTAGCAGATGCTTTGAGGTTTCACTTTAAAGAGTTGTTAGGGCTGGGTGCCGTGGCTCACACCTGTAATTCCAACACTTTGGGAGGATGAGACGGGCAGATCATGAGGTCAAGAGTTTGAGACCAGCCTGGCCAACATGGTGAAACCCCATCTCTACTAAAGATACAAAAAATTAGCTGAGCGTGGTGACACGTGCCTGTAATCCCAGATACTCAGGAGGCTGGGGCAAGAGAATCACGGAGCTTGCAGTGAGCCAAGATCGTGCTACTGCACTCCAGCCTGGATGACAGGGTGAGACTCCGTCTCAAAAAAAAGAAAGTTCTTAGACAAGGGCCATCTTCTTCCCCAGCCTCTATGTAGAGTGAGAGGTGGTTTTACGCTAAAATAGAATACGGGTATGAATATAAAAATATTTACACACAAATTCAAACACACATACATTGTTAGTGAAAAATGGCACTGTGGCCTATATTTTGTTGTCTGCTCTTGTTCATTATAACAAATAATTTTAAAGATCTCTAGTGTCAACAAGTGTGGTCCAAGACATGATTTTTAAAAAATGGGTACATATTATTCCATGCTATGACTATATCATAATTCTCTTTTGTTTTGTTTTTTTTTTGAGATGGAGTCTCACTCTGTCACCCAGGCTGGAGGGCAGTGGTGTGATCTCGGCTCACTGCAAGCTCCACCTCCTGGGTTCACACCATTCTCCTGCCTCAGCCTCCCAAGTAGCTGGGACTACAGGTGCCTGCCACCACGCCCAGCTAATTTTTTTTTTATATTTTTAGCACAGACCAGGTTTCACCGTGTTAGCCAGGATGGTCTCGATCTCCTGACCTTGTGATCTGCCCGCCTTGGCCTCCCAAAGTGCTGGGATTACAGGCGTGAGCCACCGCGCCCAGCCCTATCATAATTTTCTTAATGTAGTTTTGACATTTAGGTAGTTTTCAGTGTTTCACTATCATAAATAATTCTCTAGAGGACATCCTTGGGCCTATATACTGGCTCCCTGTGTCCCTGGCACCCATAACAGTGGCTGGCATAGTAAATGGTCAATAAAATATTTGTTGAGTGAATGAGTGAATAGTGAATACATCAATTCAATTTCCATTCCCTTTGCTAGTGTTTATTTTCACATTCTGTATTAAGTCCAAAGATTTAAAAATTTTTTTTTTAATTTTTTCTTTTAACAGACCTAGAGCTCCCAACAAAGATTTTTTAAAAGAAAACATAAGGCAGGGCACGGTGGCTCACACCTGTAATCCCAGCACTTTGGCAGGCAGAGGCAGGCTGGTCACTTGAGCCCAGGAGTTTTGAGACCAGCCTGGGCAACATGGTGAGACCCCGTTTCTACAAAAAATACGAAAATTAGCCTGGCGTGATGGCGTGTGCCTGTAATCCCAGCTAGTGGGGATGCTGAGGCTGGAGAATCGCTTGAGCCCAGGAAGCAGAGATTGCAGGGAGCTAAGATGGCACCACTGCACTCCAGCCTGGTGGATAGAGTGAGACCTTGTCTCAAAAATAAATAAATAAATAATTTAAGAAAATATAAATAACTATACCTATCACAGAACAGTGTAAATTGAGGTCACAGTTTCAATATGCAGAGTTTCAGTTAACACAATATTGTGTAAAGCAAGCACTGCCTGTATTACTTTGCTTCCTTAGTTCAAAAGTAATGCATGTTAAGTGTACAGAATTTGGAAAATGCATTTAAAGAAAAGGAAGAAAGGTAAAATCACCTGTAATTACCGCATTATTCAGAATTAATCACTATGACATACTGATACTTGTTCTTTTAATCTTTTTTGTGCCAATACTTTTAATTTTATTTTTACAAAAAGGAAGGAATAAATATTGTACGTAGTGTTTTGTAATCTGCTGTTTTTCATTGAATAGATATATTGTGAACACTTTCTCATATAATTAAATGTCTTTATTTTATATACTTTTTACCAGGTTCTTAGAGTTAGAGATTAGATTAGAACTGATCTCCGATTCTTGATAAAGGACATTTTTTTCTCATTTTCCCCATTACAAACAGTGCAAAAAATTCTGAAATCTTATTGATGTATACTTTTTAATCATTTTCAAATGTTGTACTATAAAGATGCATTCGTTTATAAATTGTTAAAAACCCTAAGTACACCCTAAATGATAGTTTAGTTTTGGAAAGTAGATTGCAGAAAAAGCAGATGGGTCTTTTTCTTTTTTTTTGAGGCAGAATCTCGCTCTGTCACCCACGCTGGAGTGCAGTGGCTCCATCTCGGCTCACTGCAACCTCTGCCTCCCGGATTCAAGCAATTCTTCTGCCTCAGACTCCTGAGTAGCTGGGACTACAGGAGCGTGCCACCATGCCTGGCTAATTTTTGTTATTTTTAGTAGAGACAGGGTTTCACCATATTGGCCAGGCTGCTCTCAAACTCCTCACCTCATGATCCACCTGCCTCGGCCTCCCAAAGTGCTGGGATTACAGGCGTGAGCCACCACACCCTGCCAGGGACTTTTTCATGTCTAACTTGGTACATTTCTATGTTGTTCAGAAATTTTGACCTGGAGTGGTGGCTCATGCCTACAATCCTAGCACTTTGGGAGGCCAACATGGGAAAACTGCTTGAGACCAGTAGTTTGAGATCAGCCTGGGCAGCAAAGTGAGACCTGTCTCTACAAAAACAAACAAACAAACAGAAAGAAGGAAAATTTTTCCAAGAGTGTATATTAATTTTATAATTAAAAATAAATGCTAAGAAGTGTTTTAAAAATCTAACTGACACAGTTTGGATGTCTGTCTCCACCAAATCATGTTGAAATGTGATCCCTAATGTTGGAGGTGGGGCCTGGTGGGAGGTGTTTGGGTCATGAGGGCGGATTCCTCATGAATGGCTTGGTACTGTCCTCTGGATAGTGAGTTCTTGTGAGATCTGGTTGTTTAAAAGTATATAGCACCTCCTCCTCTCTCTCGCTCACGCTCTCTCCGTGTGACATGCTGGCTGCCCGTCGCCTTCGTCATGATTAAAAGCTTCCTGAAGCCCTCACCAGAAACAGATGCCAGCACCAAGTTTCCTGTACAGGCTGCAGAACTGTGAGCCAAAATAATATCTCTTTTCTTTATAAATTACCCAGTCTCAAGTATTCCTTTTAAGCAACATAAACACAGCCTAATACGCTAATTTATGCCCAGCACCCAGGTCTTCGTTTCTAACACCATTCTCCAATAAAAGGAACCAGGGCTCCTTGGAAAAGTGGCCAACTCTAGGATTGGGGCAGGAAAAATGCAAGATGAGCCTGGAGCGTCTCATGGTGCTAGAAGTAAGGAAGGGCTCAAAGAGCAAAAGTAAGGAAGGGACACCTTCAAAGGGGCACAGGAGATAGCCTGGAAGAGCTCCTGGTGGCCAAAGCTGGAACAATACAAGCAGGAAAATATAGGCACTTCCCTACTTATGATGGTGCCACTTCCGATTTCAACTTTACGATTGATTTATTGGGGGTATTAAATGCATTTTTGACTTAAGATTTTCAATTTACAATGGGTTTGTTGGGACATAACCCTATTGTAATTTGAGGATCATCTGTAAATAGTATTGGATTACAAACCCAAAGTATAAAATAAATATCCAGGGGTCCATCTTAATATAAATAAGCTATTGAAGAAATAAATACATGGGGCAGGGGGAGGAGGGGAAAGAGACAACTCTTCTGTGCAGAAGAATTCCAAATAATTTCCATAGATATTCCCCCTCCAGGGGGCAAAGCTCAGCCCCCCTCCCACACTTGCCACCATACACACATTTTGAGTGTGGGAGCTTGGCTTAGGGACTTGCAAGCACTACCTGGATCAAGGTCAGCATCCACAGTGATGAATCATGTTAACAGTAGTTACCCTTGATATAAGGTGATGAAAATGGCACTTCGCCTCTGTGGTCTTTCTTCTTCCCCAAAACACTGTCATCCAGCCAAGTCATGAGAAAACACCAGACAAATCCCAGTGGAGGGACTTTCAACAAAATGCCTGTCCAGCACTCCTCAAAACTGTCAAGCTCATCAAAAACAAGGAAAATATGAGAAACTGTCACAGCCCTAAGGAGAGACTAGGAGAGAGGACCACCAAATGCAAGGTGGGATCCTGAATTAGATCCTGAACAGAAAAGGGCGTTAGTGGAAGAACTGGTGAAATCTGAGTAAAGGCACTCAGCTGTGGCTGCCTTGCCTTGGCTGGAGTTTAGCTAGCAGTACTTTACCACCATTGGCTTCTTACTTTTGAGAAATGTACTATAGTAATGCAATATGTTAACCTCAGGGAAAACTAGCTGATGGATGGGTAGGAACCCTTGTACTATTATTTGCAACTTTTCTGTAAATATAAAACTGTTTTAAAATAAAAAGTTTATTTTAAAAAAGGAAAAATACTTCCATCAGTAAAAATGCCATCAGCAAGTATCTTTGTATATTAAAAATAAATTAAATGTAGTTTTAGCCTTTTAAATTATATTTAATCATGTTATTATAAACACTACAAATTAGAATAATTTATTTAGGCCCACACAGTCCAAAGTCTAAATTTTTAATATTGTATCTTTCTCCTTCTTCAATAGGGCTGCCCACAGCTGTGCCTGAGAAATCTTGGCTTTACCTATAAACCTGTCCCATTTCCCTGGGGCTTCTGGTGTTGCCAGAGGCTCCATCCAGTGTGCTGTGTCTTGGCTATCTGGGGCTCCCAAAAGCTGTAATAAAGCCTAGGTATATTTTGCCAGGAAGCCAATGATACTCTGAATCCTTTGCATTTCAATTCTACCTTCTCTCATTCAATCAGGTCTAGTCAGAGCTAGTCTTAAGGATTTTAGACTATATCCTAAGGGCAATGAAAAGCATTTGAAGGGCTTAGTAAGGGAGATGTATAAAGAGAGGAGTAGGAAATAGAAGGGAAAGGGAGGGAAAATGACTTTAGGGAGTCATTATAGTAGTCTAGACCAGAGATGATGGTGGCTTAGACCAGGATGCTGACACTATGGGTAGGAACTTCTGATACCAATTGTTATTAATGATGATAATAATAAACATTTATATGATCCTTTAGAGTTTTCAGTGCAAACACTTTCACATTCTTCGCCAATTAATGTTTACAACTCTGGGGAGAATTTCCATGTTGCAAATGAGAAAAACTGGAGCCATAGAAAATTAAGTGAATTGCTCAAGGCTTAAGGTAGCATAATTTTAACCCAAGCGTTTTGATTCCAAATTCAATGCGTTTTCCAGTGACCTGGCTGCCAGATTAACGGTGAGATATATGTTAACAGTTTGATCTTTTGTTCTTCGGGTTAATGGTTTTCAAAAGAACTATACTTACAAGCTTAAAAATACAGATTCCTGAGCACCACTCTCAGAGATTCTGACTGAGTAGTTCTGGGGGTAGGAAGCATCTGGAACTCTGCAGCCAGCTGGGGGATGCAAGGAAGGGGCCCATGGACCACAGTCCCAAAACCAGCACTGCTAAGGTTCTTTGCTTGCTTTCCCAATTTCCATGCATGAGTAAATACTAAACCTGGGGAATCGTTCTCCAGGTGCATATCACAATGATTTAAAAATGAATATAGGTTTTTAAAAACTATTATTTTAGTGGTCATCTTTTCTAATCTGGATAGCATTAGTGCAATGGACATAATGCTTATGTTCTCTCCCGACCAATTCTATATGTTGAAATCCTAACCCATAAGGTGATGGTATAAGGAGCTGGGGGCTTTGGGCAATGATTAGGTCATGAGAGTGGAACTCTCATGAATGAGATTAGTGCCCCAGAGAGCTAGCCTCTCCCTTCCACCATGTGAGGGCACAACAAGAAGGTGCCATCTGTGAACCATGAACCAGGAAGCAAGCCCTCATCAGACATCAAATCTGCTGATGTCTTGATCTTGGACTTCCCAGTCTCCAGAATTGTAAGCAGTAAATTTCTGTTGTTTAGAAGCCACCCAGTCTAAGGCATTTTGTTACAGTAGCCTAAACAGACTAAAACAATTAGCATAATTGCTTTGAAACTATTTTTGCTGTTTAATAACTACCTTGTTCCTTTTACTCCTGTCCTGCCAGAAGCTTCTCCTGTGACCACTGTCCACATGCCTGGGCCCCTCTCCTTGTGGCTCCCCAGCAGCTGGCCTCTGAGCCATGGTGAAGGCAGTGGCCTCCAGTCCTCCACAGCCCTCGACCCAGAATTGCTTGCCACACAGCTGCCTCTTCTCAATAGAAACCTCAGCTGATACACAGAGTCAGTGCTGGAGTTTTTGTAGCTCTAGAGAAAAGGGGCCAGGAGAGTCTGGTTTTTGTATTTCCCCATCTTAAAGCACCCCAGCCAAAAAACTGCAGGTGGGGGCTTCAGTGCATCTGTCATTCTTCCTTTAAGAAAATAACTAAGTTGTCCATAATCACTCCTTGTCTTGTTTGGCCTGAATAATGAATTTTCTTTCTATTTTGGTTATCTTTCTGGCACATTTAAAATGAGATGTATATCTTTATATAACTATTTTTTGTTACTACTCTATTTGAAGGTCATTTAAGACATGTGGTTCACTATTTATTCATTTTATCTACTTTTTAATCACAAACTGAAAATAAATATCCAGGCACTTGCAACTTAAGTTAGAAAAGAGAGGCCCTGGCTAAAGCGGTTTCAGTGCTTTGAAGAGCAAAACCGCAGTGACCCAACAAGGCTTTTTTTCTCACAGTTGGCCTCGGCCTCCACGGGCAAACCCTAAAGTTCCTGTCTCTTCAGTTTCCATAGGAATATTTTACTGGAAGGTAGAGTCAAGAACCTAGAGAAAACTGGTGATGGCTTCTCAAAGTCCCTCCCAGAGACATGGCCTCAGCAGGAGGTATGGGGGAGGGGGCAAATTTCCACTTCACCCAAAGGAGCCCTGGGCTGCCCCCGCGTGGTATCTGCCAACCCCAGGAGGGGCATCCTCCTCTCTTCGTGTCAGCTTCATGGGTCTCCGGAGGGTGGAAGCTGTGGATGTATACTGAGTGCCCACTATAAGCCAGACACTGCAGAACTGCTTCAGACAGCCTGATGTTGCTCAGTCACAGACATCTCTTTCTTTCAAGCAGATGGGGCTACATATGGCAGTCACCAGCTGTGGTTACCTTGGTGGTTGGTACTATCTAGGACCCCTCAGCTTCAGGGATCTTATACCCCACAAGCTGGACTAGGCAGGGTTTCCTGATGACGCCCCAAAGATCACAACTCCTTTTGGCCAGCAGTGCCCATTGCTGGGGGCACCAGGAAACTCTGCTTCCATGGGACATGATTGGCTGTTACAGCCCACCGTTCCCTGCCCCCAACCTTGGGTTTATCTGAGAACTGATCCCAAAGTGTTCTCCTCTTATAGCATGCCCCTGAGAGTCAGGAAATATTTCAGCTCTTTCTCAGGCACTCCCCACCTTAAAGGATAGGACCAGAGGGGGCCTTTACCTGTCCTTCCCAAGGTGGGAGTGATGGTGCAACATTCCATTACTCTACAGCAGCATGGCCAGGCGGGGCAGCAAACCTTGTTCACTCCAATGCAATGTGCTCACTTTTGACCCTTTTGAAAACCCTCCTGATTCAACTTGTGGGAGAGAGGAGCAGGCCCCTCTATAGTCATCATCGTACAAACAACACGCTCCTGATATTAGGGGACCTGGCTGCACCCTCCACATGGACCATCTTCTGGGAAGGTGAGACATCCATCTGCTTTCATGACCTTTTTAGACAGTGGGTCAGTGGGAAGAGGGGAGGACCCAGGATTGGCCTGAGCTGCTTCTAAGGACAGCCTGGAATCAACATCATGACTCCTCAGGGGTTTGGTGTACTTGGGTCTAACCTTCTAGGGGGTTTAATCAGAGAGATGGAACATGCAGGAGGCATGGGATAGTTAGGATTTCCGAACAGAGGAACATTCACCACAGGCAGGTGGCTTCATGGGGGTGGGGCCTGTCTAGGCCATCAGGGTGGAAGCAGGACCCCTCTCAGCAGCCGAGGGAAGGGTATGGTGACCAGTTCCTGCCCTCCAGAGAGAGAGAGAGAGAGAGAGAGAGAGAGAGGTTATTCCAGCAAGGAGGAGGCAGATTGTCAGGCCCCAAGCCAGGCAGCTGTGGTTTGGGGCAGGGTTCCAGGGCCAGCAGGGAGCTGGAGTGCCAAATGGGAGCTGAGCAGGCACCCAGTCATATGCCAGGCTTGGCCCACAGGTAAGTTTAGACAGCAACACTCTGGGGCAGGACATCTGGGTGCCAAAGAGCTTTCCACAAGCACCTGGATCCTGGCCTTGGAGCAGCAAGACTGAGTCCCCATTCACCCCACTAGCAGACAAGGGCCCTAGATTTTGAAACAGCCAGGCTTGTGTAGCATCAGCTCAGCTACCTAGCAAGACAGAGTGAGTGTGCAGATGCCCTGGGGGATATGAGATTACCATACCCCAACCTCCTGCCAGATTCTTTCCTGTTATAGGCAGCCATTCCCATAACCTGAAACAGATGAGGTCTTGCAAAGGTTCCTAGCGGTTTTGTTTTGTTTTAAATCTCTGAAATATATATACAAAAAGAGACTATAGACAATAGATATGTACTTCTATGCATACACAGAGATACACTCACATATACAGATAGGTCTCCTATACATAGTAGATTAATCCCTAAAAAGTTATATTTAAATTTAAATTCTTTTTTTTTTTTTTTGAGACAGAGTCTCACTCTGTTGCCAGACTGAAGTGCAGTGGCACGATCTTGGCTCACTGCAACCTCCGCCTTCCGGGTTCAGGCAATTCTCCTGCCTCAGCCTCCCGAGTAGCTGGGACTAAAGGCACATGCCACCACGCCCAGCTAATTTTTGTATTTTTAGTAGAAGCAGGCTTTCATCATATTGGCCAGGTTGGTCTCAATCTCTTGACCTCTGATCCGCCCACCTCGGCTTCCCAAAGTGTTGGGATTACAGGCGTGAGCCACCGCACCCAGCCCTCTAAATTCTATTTTTATAAACAATCCTTACTTGAAATGTATCAAGGCAACTTCTCCAGATGAATTTGTATGCTCTCTTGCATTAAATAATGGCACATATGTCGCTTTTATTCCCTTTTATATTTTATTTATTTATTTATTATTATTATTTTGAGACAGAGTCTCACTCTGTTGCCCAGGCTGGAGTGCAGTGGCAAGATCTCCGCTCACTGCAACCTCTGCCTCCTGGGTTCAAGGGATTCTCACGTCTCAGCCTCCCAACTAGCTGGGATTACAAGCATGCAACAGTACGTCCTGCTAATTTTTGTGTTTTTAGTAGAAACAGAGTTTCACCATGTTGCCCAGGCTGGTCTCGAACTCCTGACCTCAAGTGATCCGCCTGCCTCTTTTCTATTTTACTGCAGAAGCTCAGAGCTAAATTTCATACTTCCTTAGGTTAAGTCTTCTAATATAATTGTTTTCTTCTTTCCACCTATTTTGTGACTTAACTTTTGTCCATAAGTGCTTGATGTAATAATTTTATGGTTATAACATATCACATGCAGTTTTCACTGATTTGGGAAGTGAATAATGTATAATAATGAGTTGAATTTTTCTAGAATCTTAAAAGTATGTATCAGGGAAGTTTGTCAATTGATGGATTACTAAATTCTGGAAAAGCAGATTAATTCTATTGTAATAAACAACATCCTGTTGTAGAAGCCACCGGGAGAGAGTTGGGAGTGCAGGATTCACCATCTATGGTCGTGTGTGGCAGCGTGTGTGCTAGTGGGTTGGAAGGGATTTATTCCGAAGTCCCCTGTGACAGCAGGGAACCACTGGTCTCCAAATGTAGGCTTACTTTGCCAGCGTCTCTCACTTGGCACCTACTGTCTCAGCCATATTTCCAAACACACCTAGGAATGTTGGCCACATCCTCCCTGGGCAATTCGGACAATGGCTTTGTAGTCCTTTATCTGACCCACTTGGTCAACACGGCGCCTTGACTCAAAGATATCAGAGGAGAGAAAGCCCTGCAGTGTCCATGAGTCCATTCCTCAGGGTGGGGCCGGAGTGAGAGGCAACTTGATCTGCCCCTGCCAGCCCTGGGGAGAAGCAGTGATGAAATCTCACCTTTCCACCCAGCGCAAGCCGTCGGCACTGGCTGTCTCAGGAAGACCGAGTTTAGTTTCTCATTTAGACATCTCTCCTTTAACTTATCTTCTTCCTCACTGTGTTCTTGGAGTTAATTTGCTAAGATGGGAATGTGTGTTTGGGAAATCTCTCAGCAACATGTCAAGTGGCCAGTGGCTGATGTTATTAGCCCTGGTCCAGGGGTGCAGGCTGAAGCTTTGCCTGGGAGGGGTGGCATCTAGGAGGCTCTGCCAGTCCCTCCTGCTACGGGGTGAGACTACGAAGATGAACGACCCTCTCACCCAGTTCTCCAGGCAGGCGCCATTGTGTGGAGTGAGTGGCATTAAGGCTTCAGTCAGCATGAGATGAAGAATGAATGGACAAAAGGTATCTCCCGTCTCAAGCAGCCCGTAGGCACTCGGCACGTGTCCTCAGGCCTCATTTCATAGCACAGAAAGGGAAAGTCCTAGAGACAACCTGGAAATTGTCCTAAAATAAGTGGAGCACTGACATGGGCGAAGGGATTCAATTTTCTTTGTGTATCTTTTGAAGGGCAAAACTAGGACCTGTGAACACAAGTTAGAAGGAAACAAAACTGAGTTCAAAATAAGGAAGGCTTTTCTGTCCCTTAGAGTTCAAAAGTAGATTGGTCCCACAGATACCTAACTAGATAAACAAAATGTGACATACACACACAGTGGAATATTATTCTGCCTTAAAAAGAAAGGAAATTCTGACACATGCCACAACATGGATGAATGTTGAAGACATTATGCTAAGTGAAGTAAACCAGTCACAAAAAGACAAATATTGTGCAATTCCATTAACATACAGATAATATATGAAGTGTCTGGAGTAGTCAAATTCATAGACACAGAAAGCAGAATGGTAGTTGCCAAGGGCTGGAGGAAGATGGAATGGAGTGCTAGTGTTTAATGGGCAGAGAGTTTCTGGGAAGATGAGAAATTTGGGGAGACCAACAGTCATGACGGTTGCACAACAATGTGAATGTACTAATGCCACTGAACTGTACATTTTTAAATGGTCTGGGGCCAGGCACGGTGGCTCCAGTCTGTAATCCCAGCATTTTGGGAGATGTAGGAGGGAGGATTGTTAAGCTCGGGAGTTTGAAACCAGCCTGGGCAACATAGTGAGACCTCCATCTCTACAAAAAAATTTAAAAACTTAAAAACAAGCCAGGTGTGGTGGTGCACACCTGTAGTCCCAACTACTTGGGAGGCTAAGACAGGAGGATTGCTTGAGCCAGAAGTTTGAGGTTGCAGTAAGCTATGATTACACCACTGTACTCTAGCTAAATAAATGGTTAAACGGTTTGGCTGCTGCTGAGCTGTAAGCTAAAATAATATAGAAAAAAAATTTTTAATGAAAAAAGGAAAACGAAAAAAATGGTTGCAAGGGTAAATTTATGTGTGTGTGTGTGTGTGTGTGTGTGTGTGTGTATCCACAATTAAAAAAACAAAAAACCATGTGATTGAACATTCAAGGTCCATGGGGCAGTGAAAGAGAAGTGGCAATTAGCCAGCTGATCACCTTAGCATGAATGTGACTCTCTGGTAGTTGCTGTTGGTTTCATTTTGGAGAAACAGTGCCAGCTACCACAATCCAATGTGGAGAGGAAGAGGCTCCTTACTCAGAGTTTTAAGGACAGTTAGAAAATAGAGGCAGAAGGGCAAGCTCCCATAGGAAGGGAGAGTCACCACATGCTGAGAGATGCAATCTCATTTGCTTTCTGCTTGGAGTCTCATTTTCCACATTGGTAAAATGGGAATAATATCTACTTTGCAGAAAGGAGGAGTCATCAATGAAAGCACCAGCCACATAGTGGTCACCCATGAAAAAGCTCACTGTCATTGTTCTCTCATAATATTAATTTTTTTTGTTTTACTATTTTTTTTTTTTTGAGACGGAGTTTTGCTCTGTTGCCCAGGCTGGAGTGCAATGGTGCAATCTTGGCTCACTGCAACCTCTGCCTCCCAGGTTCAAGCGATTCTCCTGTCTCAGCCTTCCGAGTAGCTGGGATTACAGGCATGCACCACCATACCCGGCTAATTTTTGTATTTTTAGTAGAGACAGGGGTTTCACCGTGTTGGTCAGGCTGGTCTCGAACTCCTGACCTCGGATGATGCGCCCACCTCGGTCTCCCAAAGTGCTGGAATTACAGGCGTGAGCCACCGCTCCCAGCCTGTTTTACTTTAAAAACATATTTTACCATGATTTGTTTGTCCATGATGTGGTTCCTGCCAAACCCGTCGTAGGAACCAGGAAATGGAGTGGATGCTGCAAAGTACATTTTCCTCATTGTGCGCTGACACATCACTAAAACACCGCACTCTTTTAGACATCCTGGAGTGTATTACAAAAGGAAGGGTGATTTCTTGTTTTAGTTTCGTTGAGACCACCCCCTCAGAAGCACATCAGTAGCAGAGCTGAGACTTGCCTCTTGATCCGGGAGACCCTTGGCATCGCTGCGTGCTCGCTAAATTGTCGTCAGCTCTCACCTAATTGCCTCAATGGGAGACTCTTCTGGAAGGAGTCCAAGGGGTATCTCATCAGCGTTCTGCACCTCTGCCAAAGGACAATTGGGAGAAAGAGGCCAAAGCCCACAAGGGGAGATGAAGGCAGCAACTCTTTTTCCTGACTAATCTATCAGCACTTCGATGCTGGCGGGGGGCTCCCCTCCCAACCACCCCCTGCACACCTGCCTGCTGCTGCTCAAGGCAGAATCGATAAGCTGGAAGAACACAGTGAAAGTTCCCCAAGAACTTGAGGAACAGAAACACCTTGGGGACACCTCGAGTCCCCAAGGATTTGAGGAACAGAACAGAAATGTCGACCTGCCACTCTGCCTCTGCAACTGCAGTTTGGGGCCGTGGAGGTTCATGCCCCCCAGGCACAGAAAGGGCGATTTGGGTCTGTTTTCGGGTCAGCATGAAGTGCCTCCGCCCACTTCCTCACCCCCACTGAGGTGCATTTGGCAGTACCTGGAAGTGACAAGAGTCCATAGGTGAGGGCTGTCCAGCCTTGGCCCACAGTGCTCCTGGCTTGGATTTAGCCAGGTCCTCACCGCCAGAGGCTCAGCTCGGCTTGTTCTCACTGCCTGCCTCTTCTCAGACGGAGGTAGTAGCAATGTTTGGGGAGATGGTGCTCCACTGTAAATCTCCGATAGTCCGGACATGCGCCTCACCAGATTCCTCATACCTTGCCCACAGCTTGGTGTTTCATGTTAAAGGTCTACCTAAATCCACTGACAACGGAAACCCAATTCAAACGTATTTAAGCAAAAACGGGTAATTATAGGCTCTTGGGAAATCTAAGGATGAATTTTGGGAGCTGGATCCAGGAGCCCAAATCATGTTATTATAATAGTTGTGGTGTTATGATATATATTTGTTTTCCTCCACAGTTCCTGGTTCATTGCTTCCATAGTCCCCTTTACAGTCTTTTGTTATAATCTTGAATGTATTAGGCCTCAGGGGCAGGCCCCAGGAAATCTCAACTTTCTCCTGTCCTCATTTCACCTACCCCAAAGCAAGACTAATCTTTCCCCACCTTTCTGATGGTGGGGCTTAGGACCCTTCCCAGACAAAACATTGCAGGAAGAATGTTGACATCACTCAGCTTCCACAAAAACTCAAGACGGGCTGGGCACAGTGGTTCATGCCTATAATCCCAGCACTTTTGGAGAGTGAGGAGGGAGGATCTCTTGAATCCAGGAGATAAGCCTGCAGCAAGCCGTGATTGCACCTCTGCACTCTAGCCTGGGTGACCACAGAGCAAGACCCTGTCTCAAAACAACAAAACACCAACCAAACAAGAGGACTGGGTTCAGGGAGCTTCTGGATAGCTGAACATGTGAGGTTCCTGGAGGGTGGTGCACCCAGGAAGGGCATGGAATCTCCATGCCCCTTTCCGCATACCTCACCCTATCTGTATCCTTTGTAATATCCTTTATAAGAAACCAGTAACCAGCCGGGCATGGTGGCTCACACCTGTAATCCTAGCACTTTGGGAGGCCGAGGCAGGTGAATCACCTGAGGTTGGGAGTTTGAGACCAGCTTGACAAACATGGAGAAACTCTGTCTCTACTAAAAATACAAAATTAGCTGGGCATGGTGGCACATGCCTGTAATCCCAACTACTCGGGAGGCTGAGGCGGAGGCTGAGGTGAGCCGAGATCATGCCATTGCACTCCAGCCTGGGCAACAAGAGCGAAACTCCGTCTCAAAAAAAAAAAGAAACTAGTAACCAAAAGTGTTTCCCTGAGTTCTGTGAGCCAGTCCAGCAAATTATTAGAAGGCAAAGAGGGAGTCGTGGGAACCCCAATTTGAAACTAGTTGTCAGGAGTTCCTGAGGCCCAGACTTGCAACTGGTGCCTGGGGGTATAGGGAGCAGTCTTGGGGACTAGGCCCCCAATTTGTGGGATGTGATATTATCTCCAGGTCGATAGTGTTGGAATTCAGTTGGAGAACACCTAGCTGGTGTCTGCTACTTGGTGTGTGGAGACAAAAAAAAACAATATTTAGTCACAGAAATCCTTTTCTGTGTTGATGTGTAATCGCCCAAGGGGTTCACCTATCCCACTGCCCAGATCAGTATAGGGGAGTTGCAATAGAGAAAGAGAAATTCACGCAAAGCCGGCTGTGCGGGAGACCGGGGTTTTATTATTACTTAAATCAGTGTCCCTGAGCACTGGGGGAGCAGAATTTTTAAGGATAACTTGGTGGGTGGGGGAAGCCAGTGAGCCAGGAGTGCCGATTGGTCAGAGATAAAATCATAGGGAGTCGAAGCTGTCTTCTTGCGCTGAGTCAGTTCCTGAGTGGGAGCCAAAAGATCAGATGAGCCAGTTTATTGATCTGGGTGGGGCCAGCTGATCCATCAAGTGCAGGGTCTGCAAAATACCTCAAGCACTGATCTTAGGAGGAGTTTAGGGAGGGTCAGAATCTTGTGGCCTCCAGCTGCATGACTCCTAAGCCATAATTTCTAATCTTATGGCTAATGTTAGTCCTACAAAGGCAATCTAGTCCCCAGGCAAGAAGGAGGTCTGCTTTGGGAAAGGGCTGTTACCATCTTTGTTTAAACTGTAAACTAAGATTCTCCCAAAGTTAGTTCAGCCTATGCCCAGGAATGAACAAGGACAGCTTGGAGGTTAGCAGAAAGATGGAGTCAGTTAAGTTAGATCTCTTTCACTGTCTCAGTCATAATTTTGCAAAGGCGGTTTCAGATGGTTGTTGTGGTGTGAGAACATATCAAAAACACAGTATTTTCCTACATAATAGTTTACCTTAAATTTGTAACCATCCAATGGGTCCTCCTTGCCCACTGCCTAGACAACTGATTTATCAAGACAGAACTGCAACAGAGAAAGTTTTTAATTCATGCAGAGCTGGCTGTACAGGAGATGGAAGTTTTATTATTACTCAAATCAGTCTCCCCGAGCATTAGGGGATCAGAGTTTTTAAGGGTAATTTGGTGGGTAGGGGGCCAGTGAGTTGGGAGTGCTGATTGGGCAGGTCAGAGATGAAACCATAGGGAGTAAAAGCTGCCTTCTTGTGCTGAGTCAGTTCCCGGGTGGGGGCCACAAGACTAGATGAGCCAGTTTATCAATCTGGGTGGTGCCAGCTGGTGCAGCGAGTGCAGGGCTTTACAATGGTGACGTTATCCCCAGGAGCAATTTGGGGAGGGTCAGAATTTTGTAGCCTCCAGCTCCATGACTCCCAAACCGTAATTTCTAATCTTGTAGCTAATTTGTTAGTCCTACAAGGGTAGTCTTGTCCCCATACAGGAGGGGGATTCGTTTCAGGAAAGGGCTGTTATCATTTCTGTTTCAAAGTTAAACTATAAACTAAGTTCCTCCCAAAGTTAGATCGGCCTGTGCCCAGGAATGAAGGAGGACAGCTTGGAGGTCAGAAGCAAGATGGGGTTGGTTAGGTCAGATCTCTTTCACTGTAATAATTTTCTCAGTTATAATTTTGCAATGGCGGTTTCATTGTGTTTCCACATTTCCTGTGTTGCCTTCATTCTTTCCCTTCTAACTCAGTAGCAAATATGGCCACCAAGATTCCAGTGTTACATTATCTTTACAGCTGGCAAACAAAACATAGAGGCTGTTTTTTAATCATTCCAGAAAAATCCTGGGGAGAGCTCTGCCCATCCTTGAAACAATCTCTCTGATTGCCCAACCTAAACTGTGTGTCCAGTTTTTAAGTCAAAGCACGTGTTGAATCATGCCTGAACCATATGGTGTAGGAAAGGGAGAAGTGTTTGTTATTCCCTAAGGAGATTGTGAGCAGACAAAAACCATCTACTGACAATCTGGTAGAGATGTCCATGTTTATTCTTTTTTTTTTTCTTTGAAACGGAGTCTCACCCTGTCGCCCAGGCTGGAGTGCGATGGCACAATCTCAGCTCACTGTAACCTCCACCTCCCAGGTTCCAGGGATTCTCCTGCCTCAGCCTCTCGAGTAGCTGTAATTACAGGCATGTGCCACCACACCCAGCTAATTTTTTTGTATTTTAGTAGAAATGGGGTTTCACCATGTTGGCCAGGCTGGTCTCGAACTCCTGACCTTGTGATCTACTCGCCTCGGCCTCCCAAA
The DNA here is from genome assembly GCF_000001405.40 of Homo sapiens. Taxonomy (NCBI): domain Eukaryota; kingdom Metazoa; phylum Chordata; class Mammalia; order Primates; family Hominidae; genus Homo; species Homo sapiens. The sequence goes on along the minus strand of NC_000013.11, from coordinate 44,725,988 downwards.
GTGCTGGGATTACAGGCGTGAGCCACCACACCTGGCTATTCTTACTATGACTTGTACAATATGTAAACTTAGCTTTTGGCTGGGCGCGGTGGCTCACCCTGTAATCCCAACACTGCGGGAGGTCGAGGTGGGAGGATCACTTGAGTTCAGAAGTTCAGGACCAGCTTGGCCAACACAGGAAAACCTCATCTCTACTAAAAATACAAAAATTAGCTTGCAATGGTGTGCACCTGTAATCCCAGCTGCTCGGGAGGCTGAGGCAGGAAAATCGCTTGAACCTGGGAGGCAGAAGTTGCAGTGAGCCGAGATCCTGCCACTGCACTCCAGCCTGGGCGACAGAGGGAGACTCTGTCTTTAAAAAAAAAAAAAAAAAAAGCCGGGCCCGGTGGCTCACGCCTGTAATCCCAGCACTTTGGGAGGCCGAGGCGGGCGGATCACGAGGTCAGGAGATTGAGACCATCCTGGCTAACACGGTGAAACCCCGACTCACTAAAAATACAAAAAATTAGCCGGGCACGGTGGCGGGTGCCTGTAGTCCCAGCTACTCGGGAGGTTGAGGCAGGAGAATGGCGTGAACCCGGGAGGCGGAGCTTACAGTCAGCCGAGATCGCGCCACTGCACGCCAGCCTGGGCGACAGAGCAAGACTCCGTCTCAAAAAAAAAAAAAAAAAAAAAAGAGAGAGAGGGGTACAAGGAGGAAAACAAAGAGGAACCTAAAGTGTCCAGAGGTGAATGGAATAGCCACATTTCATTGGTGGTGAAAAGCAGGGTGATGAACAAGTGAAAATGGTTTTGAAGGTATTGAAATGCTATTCAAATCTGAAAACAAGCCTGCTCATGCCCATCCACCTGAGTTTTCCTTAGCTTGGCCTGGTCATCAACCCCACATTCTGTCTACCACAGGGCAACATGAGAGAAAAGACTCATTTGATTCTAGTGTTCTGGTTCAAGGGCCTTTCACCTATCTCACGGTCTCAAGTTGTGACTGTCTCAACCTGTGTGAGGTCCAGACTCACCAAGCCAAAGTGCCTTCATTTTGCAAATCCATTTTTCCAGAAAATATTTCTTCCTTTTACAGATGCAAGTCCTCAATAGTGCAAGTGAATTTCTAATTACTTCAAGCTGATAGAGCCAAGTCACAAATTGCTTGTGGGATATATTGAAAAATGATGAAACTTGAAATGATTACCCGAAAGCATAAAGTCTGTAAAAAATTGAGGAATACAGACTTGGGATAAAGATCCTACAAATGTAGTTCATTAACTTGATATTAAATATAAACTAATGGTAGGGAAGTGAAAACCCTATTAAAATGTCTATGAAAAAATTAGAGATACAACTTCAGAAGGTGGGAGAGTGTTCATGGATTTGGGTTATTGGGCAGAAGCCAAAATCAACCTTCCCAAGAGGTTAGTCTTTTCTTCTCTTTTAAAGACCAGATAAGAGGTAGAGCCTCCACTAGAAAAATGCAACTATGAGAAAACAGGGTCCCTTCTTATTTTATCTTGGACACCCTAAAAGCCAGAGGAGGTGGTAGAAAGCACTGTGACAGTAGCTCCAAATTTCCTGCCCTCAATCACTCAAGGTATACTCAGAAAGTGAACAATTATGAAGTCCAGTGTCAGATGACATTCTAGAATCTGATGAAACACCAAAAAGAAGATTTAGTTCCTACCTTCAAGCTTCTTATGGTGAACGGGTTAAGCCTTTCAGGTCATTGGAGTTTGACTATCTTGTAAAAAGAAAAAGAGCATAATTTTGAAATAGGATGTGTCTATGTGCGAAGCTTCCAGAAGGGATTTTGGAGAGTCGGGGAACTGCCTGAATGTTACTGAAGGCCTGAAGTCAAGGAGAGGGCTCCAGTATGTGAAGTAGAAATAAAAAAGGTGAGCACTCAAGAGAATGCTTGCCTTCTTACGACTTTTATTAGGGCTCTTTTTTATATATAATTTTCAACAACTATAGTCAGTATCAGATAATCACGAGTTATGGGAATCTAAACATGAAAACACTGATCATCACATAAAGTATATGTGAATGAATCAGGTAGACCCAAACTTGGGAAACCAAGGGTTTGACTCTCTCTTGCTTTAGAGATCCAGCAGGTGCCAGGAAACAAAATAGGAAAAGAAGCCTGCTGCTAATGTGACCAAAGTGAAGTTCCAGCATGATTAATTTTTTTTTTTTTTTTGAGATGGAGTCTTGCTCTTGTTGCCCAGGCTGGAGTGCAATGGTGCAATCTCAGCTCACCTCAACCTCCACCCTTGGGTTCAAGCCATTCTCCTGCCTCAGCCTCCCAATTAGCTGGGAATACAGGCATGTACCACCACACCTGGCTAGTTTTGTATTTTTAGTAGAGATGGGTTTCTCCATGTTGGCCAGGCTGGTCTTGAACTCCCGACCTCAGGTGATCTGCCCACCTTGGACTTCCAAAGTGCTGGGATTACAGGTGTGAGCCACCATGCTCGGCCTCTAGCATGATTAATTTTTATTTTACCATCAAACTTGGTAAGGAACTGTAGAATCACTAGGGAAAGTTATAGAAAATAAACAAACATTTTTCCAGCCACAAACATTCATTATAGGGGATCGGAAGACTTCTGCTTCTGGCCATGATAGAGTAATGGGGGATGGATTTACCCTCCTGTCTTAAAATACTAAAAAACTAGACAAAATATATGAAACAGTAGTTTTCAGATGTTAGACAACAGGCAGCACAGAAATATGATCCAAGAGGAAGGGAAAATAAAGAGGTGAACCCTATGATTGCCCCAGCTTGCTACCTGGAGGCAATTTCCAGATTGCAGTATAGGGAGGAAGAAATAGCACAGCAGTCTCATTGAGATGAGGAGCAAGAGATCCAGGCCAAGGGAGGTCAAAGTCACTAGAACGTATGGGTCTATGCACTAGAAAGGAGGGAGATGCAGGGGAAGACAGGGAGAAAAAGAGAGCACTCCAGAGATCTATAAAGGAGCCACTTTGAAGCTTTGGCTGATGGCTGATTCATGTATACACAAGAGGAAACTATCTAAGGGGAAACCATCACCCAAAAGCAGCAAGCTGAACAATTCCTGGGGCTTACACAGGGCTAGGAATAGTTTGTGTTCCCACCAGTCAGAGTAGAAAGACCTCCTAGAGTCCTCAGAGGGGGACTCTTCTTATGTAGTCCCACCTTACTAGTGGGACTAAATAAGCCCTAGACTAAAAGCCACTCTGAACTCACCATTAAAATGCTTGAAAAGGAAAGGATCCAATAGATTCCAAGTAACTTAATTTTGTACCAGCATAAAGCTCAACACTATTTAAAAGAAAATAACAAAATCCAGCAACCAACAATGTAGAATCACAATGCCAGGTATCCTGTCAAAAATTACCAGGCATACAAAAAAACAGGAAAACATTGCTTATAACCAAAAGAAAAAGTAATCAATAGAAACAGTCCCAGAAATTATGGAAATAATGAATTAGCAGACAAGAACATGAAAATATCTATTTTAAATACACTCCTATCTATAAGAAAGTAAATAAAAACATGAACATGGTGAAAAGATAAATTAATGATACTTTTTTTTTTTGAGACGGAGTTTCGCTCTTGTTGCCCAGGCTGGAGTGCAATGGCATGATCTTGGCTCACCGCAACCTCCGCCTCCCAGGTTCAAGCGATTCTTCTGCCTCAGCCTCCCTAGTAGCTGGGATTACAGGCATGTGCCACCCCAGGCCCAGCTAATTTTGTATTTTTAGTAGAGACAGGGTTTCTCCCTGTTTGTCAGGCTGGTCTTGAACTCCCGACCTCAGGTGATCCGCCTGCCTTGGCCTCCCAAAGTGCTGGGATTACAGGTGTGAGCCACCATGCCCAGCCAAATTGATGATACTTTTAAAAGACTCAGATAAAACACATAAAGATGAAAAATGCAGTATCTTAATTGAAAAATACTGCATGGGATTAATAGTTAATCAGATATTGCAGAAGAAAAGGTAAGTGAAGTTGAAGAAATAATGAAGCACAGAAAAAAGACTAAAAAAAATGAATAGAGCATTAGTGACTTGTGGACTTTACATATATAACCTAGATGAACACATGTGTATAATTAAAGTGCCAAGAAAATGATGTGAGGGGGGAGATAAAATATTTGAAAAAATAATAAATAAAAGTGTTCCAATTTTGAAGAAAACTATAAATTGAAGATTCAAGGGGCTCAACAAATGCCAAGCAGAATAAACATTAAGAAAATCATGCCAAGGCACACCATAGCCCAATTGTTGAAAACCAGTGTCAAAAAAATTTTTTAAAACAGCCAGTGAAAAGGGGACATCTTATTTACATAAGAACAACAGCCAAAACCAATGGCAGCAGATTTCTTGACAGCAACTACATAACCCAGAAGACAATGAGACAATATCTTTAAAGTAATGAAACAGAAGCTGTAAATCTAGGATTTTATACCCAGCAAAAAATGTTTCAAAAATAAAAGTGAACTGCTAGGCGCAGTGGCTCATGCCTGTAATCCCAGCACTTTGGGAGGTTGAGGTGAGTGAATCATAAGGTCAGAAGTTCAAGACAAACCTGGCCAAGATGGTGAAACCCTGTCTCTACTAAAAATACAAAAATTAGCTGGACGCAGTGGTGGGTGCCTGTAATCCCAGTTACTTGGGATGCTGAGGCAGGAGAATCCCTTGAACCTGGGAGGCAGAGATTGCAGTGAACCGAGATCATGCCACCGCACTCTAGCCTGGGCCACAGAGCAAGAGTCCATCTGAAAATAATAATAATAATAATAATAATAATAATAATAAAAGTTAAATTAAAACTTTTCAAACAAAAGCTGAAAGAACTCATCACTAGCCATCTGCACAACAAGAAAGAAAACAGAAGTTTTCAGGCAGGATACAGCACAAGAAAAGGATCTATACAAATGACTGAAGAGTGCCAGAAATGATAAATATATAAATGACTTCTTTAAGACATCATCAACTAATTAAAGTGAAAATAATCACAGTATATTGCAGGATTCATAACATATATTGAAGCAAAATGTATCACAATAGCATAAAGACAAGAAGGAAGAAATAGAAGTATACTTCTATTTAAATACTGCACTGTACTTAAAGTAGAAAAATATTTGAAGTTAAACTGTTATAAATTAAAGTGCAATTATGTACAAATACAAATAGACATTACAAAATATGTTACACAGATCAAATCCTGTTAAAACAAACTCCAAAGTCTTATTTCAATAATTTTATCTTTCTCAAATTTGTGTCTTTTATTCTGGCTTTAATTAGTTATAATGGCACTGTAATTTCAAAATTTAACCTGTCCCTATAGTTCAACATCTGCTCTTCTTTTATTAAATGTTGCCAAATAACAGCAGAGGATGTATTTTCAGCATCATGCTTGTCTCACCAAGCTAAATTTGGTACTGTGGAATTTGTTGGTGAGGACAAATGATATGAGAATTCCTATGCTTGAAGCAATGCTGGCTTTGGGCCATTTCTATTTAAATGATGGGTTTGGAACAAATTGTGTTTACAGACTGATTCTGCCACTTACAAACTGTACTATTTTCTATTTGGGGAAATATCTAAGGTCTGTGACGTGGAGGTCCTATATGTTGATATAGCAAAGAAAAGAATGGAGCACCTCCTTATTCATTTTGGAATGAGTAAGATTTTTGGAAACCACATTGGAAAATTTGCTTCCTTAATAAAGTGCCATTCTTGTCAGATGAGTAGAAAAGAATACTGACCTCATTTATTTTTCCATCAATGCATCTCTCTATTCAGGGCTAAAAGTGGGGCATATTTGGAATTGTTAGCTTCAAACAAGCTCTGTAACTTAGGGGGTAAATAATTTCATGGTGGTATAACATGCCAAGTGGTAGTGAATAGCTTAGAGAAGTAAGGCATATAGTTAATGAGTACCTCTACATAGAGGCCCAGGCCTGGCTTGCGGTAAAAACTGGCTGCTTTGCAGTAAGAAAAGCCAGCTTTGCGCAAAGCTGGCTGACTTTGTGGTAAAAACAAGTAGGGAATTCAGGAGATCCAAGGAATGTCCCAGTTCTGCCATTTGCCAGACCTCAAGCAAGACCATTTAACCTCCCTGGACCTTAATGTCTGCAGTGGGCCAAGGCAGTGTTTCCCTAAGTAGAGTGCATGCCACTGGTGGTACATCAATATTTTTTTCTTTTTAATATATATTAATGTATTTTAGAAAATATAACTATATAAGAAAATCTAACTATATTCCACCCATAATTTTATTAATGTTATTGATTAGGATGAGTTTAAAATATAAAAATCAAGTCAATATAAAGACTACTACAGTTTGAATATCCCTAGTCCCAAATCCAGAATCTGAAATGCTGGAAAATCCAAAACCTTTTTTTTTAGATGGAGTCTTGCTATGTTGCCCAGGCTGATCTGGAACTCCTGGCCTCAAGCAATCCTCCCACCTCTGCCTCCAAAGTAGCTGGATGCATCACCGTGTCCAGCTCAAAATCCAAAACTTTTTAGGACTGACATGATATTCAAAGGAAAGGCTCACTGGAGCATTTCACATTTCAGATTTTTAAATTAGGGATACTTAATTGGTGAGTATATAAGTAAATATTCCAAAATTCGAAAAACTCCAAAATCTAAAACACTTTTGATCCCAAGCATTTTATTTTTTAATAAAAAAAAATTTTTTGGGGACTGAGTTTTGCTCTTGTTGCCCAGGCTGGAGCGCAATGGCGTGATCTCAGCTCACTGCAACCTCTGCCTCCCGGGTTCAAGCAATTCTTCTGCCTCAGCCTCCCTAGTAGCTGGGACTACAGGCATGCGCCACTACATCTGGTTAATTTTGTGTTTTTAGTAGAGATGGGGTTTCACCATGTTAGTCAGGCTGGTCTCGAACTCCTGACCTCAGGTGATCCACCTGCCTCAGCCTCCCAAAGTGCTGGGATTACAGGTGTGAGCCACCATGCCTGGCCCCAAGCATTTTATATAAGGGATATTCAACCTGTATTAGGTAAAGGCCAGAAAATAATAGGATAGGAGGAAAAAAACTGAAAGGATTTTCAGTTTAAAACCACTAAAATGTGGGTTCAGAAGGATGTTTTTAAAAGCATACACAACAGTACATAATTTTCACATAATAGTACAAATAAAATGAGAAATACCATGGCAACAATTTTAGAAACATTGAACGGACATGGGATAACTTACCTGGAAGATGCAGGAAATCTCAACCATCAGCCAGCAGTGGGGGAAGCTGAGAAGCAACTTAATTTGCATCCAGAACCTCTGGAAGGCCCAGGAATTTGTTGCACCCATTGTCTGTGGAATCAGATGCGGAGGAGGTAAAGTCGAAAACAATTCCAGTTGAAAGTCATCGTAAGAAGCAGTGGGACATCCTCTGTCATTCCACACAGCCAGAAACCTGCCTCTCCTCAGAAGATCCCAGAAGAGAATTCTTCTAAAAGATCAAACTATAAGGCTACCAATGGCATGAAGATTGAGAGATTTATGCAACTAGGGGAAAGTTTGTACATACATTAGTGATAAGTGTACTTAAAAATCTTAAACGAAGGCTGAGAGTGGTGGCTCAAGCCTGTAATCCCAGCATTTTGGGAGACCGAGGCGAGAGGATCACCTGAGGTTGAGAGTTCGAGACCAGCCTGACTAACATGGAGAAACCACATCTCTACTAAAAATACAAAATTAGCCGGGCATGGTGGCGCATGCCTGTAATCCCAACTACTTGGGAGACTGAGGCAGGAGAATCACTTGAACTCAAGAGGTGGAAGTTGCGGTGAGCCAAGATTGCGCCATTGCACTCCAGCCTGGGCAACAAGAGCGAAACTCCGTCTCAAAAAAATAAAAAATAAAAATAAATAAATAAATAAATAAATAAGCTTAAACAAACTATTATTTATATTATTATTTATTCTATAAAGGGTTTTCCAAGAAAAATAAATAGCTGTGTAGAAAAAGAAATCAGTTCACTATGCTGTTCAGCTGTCAATAGTATCTTTAAAGTACAGAATACTAACAAAAGACTGATTTTACCAAAATATCTATATTGGAAGAATGGGGAAGGATAGGAAATAATAGAGGGGGAAAAGGGATTTAGGTCAGAAATATTGAAATAAAGCTTAATCTGAATCTTCCACAGCAGGAAGTCAATAGATAATGCTAAAACTTGAAAAATCAAGTACAAATATCAAGACTTCTGTTTAAAGGGAAGAATTGGAGGTAAATATGAAGATAATAATTTAGTGGCCAGGCATGGTGGCTCACGCCTGTAATCCCAGTACTTTCGGAAGCAGGGCAGACGGATGACCTGAGGTCAGGAGTTCGAGACCAGCCTGCCAATATGGTAAAACTGGTATCTACTAAAAATACAAAAATTAACTGGGCATGGTGGTGCACATCTATAATTCCAGCTACTCGGGAGGCTGAGGTAGGAAAATCGCTTGAACCTGGGAGGCAGCGGTTGCAGTGAGCCGGGATCCTGCCACTGCACTCCAGCCTGGGCAATAGGGCAAGACTCTGTCTCAGGAAAAAAAAAAAAAAAAAAACAAGGAGCAAGAAAAGAAAATAATAATGTAGCAGCATTGAAAGCCGTAACTTCAAGGAATGGAGGACAGGCTTTCTTTTTTTGTAACAAATATTGTAAAACTATTTCATCATTAATTATATGAAATTGATACTTTAAAAAAATTCCATTAAAAAAGTTATGAAGATGGTATGCAAATAAGTGAACTTGGGAAAATACTAACCAGGAAGTCTTTTAAGTTCTGACAGCCAGTGAATTGATTTAAAGAAACACTGAGTTACCACTCTCCATTGCCATTTGTTTGTTGTCATGATACCCAGACAGCTTAAGTCACATGCATGTTACACGCATTTATTATTTATTTTATTTTTTCTTATTTTTATTTTTAATCTAGTTAGTTTTTGTTGCTGTTGTTGTTGTTTTGAGACAGGGTCTCAGTTTGTCCTGCAAGCTGGAGTGCAGTGGCATGATCTCAACTCACCGCAGCCTCCACCTCCCAGGTTCAAGCGATTCTCCTGCCTCAGCCTCCGGGGTAGCTGGAACTACAGGCATGTGCCACGGCACCTGGCCAATTTTTGTATTTTTAGTAGAGACGGGGCAGGGTGTGTTACCATGTTGGCCAGACTGGCCTTGAACTCCTAGTCTCAAGTGATCAATTCACCTGGGCCTCCCAAAGTGCTGGGATTACAGGCATGAGCCACAGAGCATGGCACATTTATTATTTAAATCACAGTGGATTATTTGGGGGAAGGTGGTGTAGAGAATTATAAAATGGAGACATTACAGGGTTTCATAAACCAAGGCTAGAAGCTACCTGGGACACTTAAAAAATTTTAAACTCAGGCTGGGCACAGTGGTTAATGCCTGTAATCCCAGCACTTTGGGAGGCCGAGGCAGGCAGAACAAGAGGTCAGGAGTTCGAGACCAGTCTGGCCAACGTAGTGAAACACCGTGTCTACTAAAAATACAAAAATTAGCCGAGTGTGGTGGCACACACCTGTAGTCCCACCTACTCAGGAGGCTGAGGCAGGAGAATCGTTTGAACCCAGCAGACGGAGATTGCAGTGAGCTGAGACCGCACCATTGCACTCCAGCCTGGATGAGAGAGCAAGACTCCGTCTCAAAAAAATTTAAGAACTCATTTATAAAGGTATATTTATACATTTTTGCCTAGTAAAATATTACCTCCCTCCTCCTTTTTTAAAGTTAAAGATAATCTCTGGAATGGCTGGGACTAGGATATAAGATTTTAATAGTTTCATTTCCTGCTATTTGTTAAGTTAATTGAAAATATAACAGGCATAGATATGATCTACTATTCAATGGAATAAAGAGTGTAAAATACCAGGTACTAAACGAACAACTGCTATCTTGTCCCTTGCCCAACCCTGTGGGAAAGGAGATTAGCTGGCAGTCGCCCAAATTATAACTGATCGTTTCTTGGGTTCCAGGAACATGGTTGGGATGTGAAGAGCTCCTTTAACATGGCACAGAGTCTGGTGACTGGAAGGTCTAGAAGTATATCAGAGGAAAGGAAAAATTAATGGATAATGACCAGATTTTACATCCACCTAATGGCTTGGAATGTTCCAGTGCCAAGAGAAGGCCTTCTTGTCGCATGTGATTTCATAATAATTAGGGCCAGCTGTGTCTGTGCGAATCAGGTCAAGCCAGATGCCAAACCCTAACTCAAACACTTACAGGAAGATCCTCATTGCCAGGAGCCTCAAACGTCCTGCAGAAAATCAAAAAAAGGTAAGTTATTCGATCTGTTCCCAGTCTGCCAAAATATTTTTTCTCCTGGGTACTGCTAACCTCTATGGTCTTCGCTTGTGCTTCATATCCGAAGATAATTCTACCGATATTACATTGTGTGTACATGGAAGAATGTTTTTTAAAAGCTTCATTAACAACTTTTCCATTCTGCTGGGATTTGTTCTTGGATCACTGCCCTTACCATGGGCCAAACCAACTCACCCATAATTCAGATATTTGTTGGCTAATAAAGATGAACTGTGCCAGCCTGTCTCTGAATTGGAGAGGAAACGGGGAACTGGGTGATGGGGAAGGAGGGAGATTTTTACTATATGCTCTGTTATAACTTTTAAATTTCAGTGAAACCATGTGCAAGAGTTTCCTATTGCAAAAAGTAAGTACTGTTTACTTTTTTTTTGTTTGTTTGTTTTTGCCTTTGCTGCAGAAATTGTAGTTGACGTGAATTACACTCCAGAGAATTGGAGGCTTCTTTTTCTCCAGGTCATTTCAATCATGTTTTTTGTTGTTGTTGAATTGTAAACTTCATGGAGCATTTTAAATGGCAGGTCCTGTCCAGGCACGGTGGCTCATGCTTGTAATCCCAGCACTTTGGGAGGCCGAGGCGGGTGGATCACCTGAGGTCATAAGTTCTAGAGCAGCCTGGCCAACTTGGTGAAATCCTGTCTACTAAAAATACAAAACTTAGCTGGGCGTGGTGGCACATGCCTATAGTTCCAGCCACTCGGGAGGATGAGGCAGGAGAATAGCTTGAACAAGGGAGGCAGAGGCTGCAGTGAGCAAGATCACTCTACTACACTCCAGCCTGGGTGACAGAGGGAGACTATCTCAAAAATAAATAAATAAATAAATAAATAAATAAATAAATAAATGGCAGCTCCTTTCATCTCTTGTTGCTTTGAATTCTACTTCAGGACTGCTTTTTTTTTCTTTTTTTTCTTTTTTTTCTTTTTTTTTTTTTGAGATGTAGTCTCGCACTCTCCCCCAGGCTGGAGTGCAGTGGCGCGATCTCGGCTCACTGCAACCTCTGCCTCCCAAGTTCACGCCATTCTCCTGCCTCAGCCTCCCGAGTAGCTGGGACTACAGGCACCCACCACCATGCCCGGCTAATTCAGAACTGCTTTTTTAAAGCTACAGCTTGAAGAGACTCCCATTAAAGCCATACAGCCTTCAGCTTCAGTAGCATTAAAGTAACCCAGATCTAGAGTGGTGCTGGCGGTGTACATGGGCCCAGGGCTCCCTGTTTCACTTAGGCTGGCCTGCTCTTTCCCCTGGCCTCTGTTTCCAGTAGTCACTTTGTTGCAGCTGAAAAGGAGATGGAACAAGAGCCACAGCCCTCACTGCTATTTGCGATGGTGACTAACTTGGGGCTAAATGTTGAATTCACTGCATTCCAGAAGTTGACTCACTTCCATCCAAAACCCTCGGGCTGGGGTTGGAATTCAGCTCAGGCTCTCCAAGGGGCTGCTCTGTGAGCTGTGGTCTAGGATAACCTTGTCTGGGTCAGCCCAGGCTTGTTCTTCATCTTGGGGTCCAGGTTCCAGCTTGCTCTGGAGCAAATTGATAGAAATGGTTTAGATGTCCTGAGATATGAAAGAGAATCCAGAGAGGAAGGTTCTGAGTGGATCTGAGACTCATCTGGGTTACTTGATCAGTAATAGCTCCAACAAAGTTGCCTCCTCCATCTGTCCTGGGACTGACCTTGTCAAAGCTACAGCAGAAAACAGGCTGTCTTCAGAAGTTCAGGGAGCTCACATTTAATTTGAATCCCTGCTTTGGTTATCATCAACCACACTTCTGGATTCTCTCAATTCTTGTAGCAAAAATATTTTTCTTAAAGGCATTTTAGCCCTTTTACTGAATAATTCAACAAAGTGCAATGGAACTCATACCGTCAACTCCTACGTTTCTCCTGTTTGGGGGAAACTTACATAGTTGACCTTTGAACAACACAGGGGTTAGGGGCCCCAACCCCATGTGAAGTTGAAAATAACTTTTGAGTCCCCCAAAACCTTACTAACAGCCTACTGTTGCCTGGAAGCCTTATGTGTAACAAAAAGTCAATTAACACATATTTTATATGTTATATGTATTATATACTGTTTTTTTTTTTTTTTTTTGAGACAGAGTTTTGCTCTGTTGCCCAGGCTGGAGTGCAATGGTGTGATCTTGGGTCACCGCAACCTCTGCTTCCCAGATTCAAGCGATTCTCCTACCTCAGCCTCCCAAGTAGCTGGGATTACAGGCATGTGCCACCAAGCCCGGCTAATCTTGTATTTTTAGTAGAGATGGGCTTTCTCCATGTTGGTCAGGCTGGTCTCGAACTCCCGACCTCAGGTGATCCGCCTGCCTTGGCCTCCCAAAGTGCTGGGATTATAGGTGTGAGCCACCGTGCCCAGCCTGTGTACCGTATTCTTACAACAAAGCAAGCTAGGGAAAAGAAAATGCTTTTAAGAAAATTATAAGGAAAAGAAAATATATTTACTCTTCTTCTTCTTTTTTTTTTTGAGACAGGGCCTTTTTCTGTCACCCAGGCTGGAGTGCAGTGGCGCAATCTCAGCTCACTGCAACCTTTCCCTCCCAGATTCAAGCTATTCTCGTGCCTCAGCCTCCTATGTAGCTGGGATTACAGGCGACAGCCACCAACGCCTAATTTTTGTATTTTTTAGTAGAGACAGGGTTTCTCCATGTTGCCCAGGCTGGTCTCGAACTCCTGGGTTCAAAGCAATCCACTTGCCTTGGCCTCCCAAAGTGCTGGGATTACAGGCGTGAGCCACTATACCCAGCCTATTTACTCTTCATTAAGTGGTAGTGGATCATCATAAAGGTCTTCATCCTCATCGTCTTCACATTAAGGAGGTAGAGGAGGAGGAAGAAGAGGGATTAGTCTTGCTGTCTCAGGGATGGCAGAGGTGAAAGAAAATCTGGGTATAAGTAGACTCACAAAGTTCACACCCATGTTGTTCAAGGGTCAACTGTCTCTAAAATAAAGTGTCTGTACCTAGTGGATACGCAAGACAATCTTTTGGAGCACAGTAAGAAAACATTTAAACTTAGATTTATTTTGATTTAAAATATGACAGAAGTTGGCCAGGCACAGTGGCTCATGCCTGTGTGCATGAGCACTTTGGGAAGCCAAGGTGGGTGATCACCTGAGGTTGGGAGTTCGAGACCAGCCTGGGCAACATGGTGAAACCCATGTCTACTAAAAATACAAAAAATTAGCTGGGCGTGGTGGCAGGCACCTGTAATCTCAGCTACTTGGGAGGCTGAGGCAGGAGAATTGCTTGAACCCGGGAAGCAGGGGTTGCAGTGAGCCGAGATCATGCCATTGCACTCCAGCCTGGGCCAAAAAGCAAAACTCTGTCTCAAAAAAATAAATAAATAAATGAAATAAATACGACAGAAGTTAAGCTTTACTAATAGTTAATCAATGGATTGGCACTGGTCTCCTCTCTCAGCCCACATGTCAGAAGGTTGAGTGTTCTGGATGATGGAGAAAGAAGCCTGAGGGCATCCCATGATTTGGCTGGAATAATAGCATCACTCTAATTTGATTGTTTTTAGTGTATTGGGACACAGTGCATTTGTGTATGGCAGGTTACATAGATTTATAGCTTTCATAATTTAGTTTTAATAAAGCTAAACTTGAAAAAATAGGTCAGTGACATGAAAATATTTTTTTCTAATGGAATCAGAGAGTAAAGCTAAGAACAAAGTTCTTACTTAGCCAGCATAAGTAAAACCACAAGAATATGGCACAGCAGACACCGCCTTTATTTGTCACATGAGGTAAAAATAAGGACAATCTAGTTCAGTCACATGGTCTCAACTAAAAATATTAGTGAGGGCAGAGTTATGGCTATTTTATTTTTATCTTATCCTTTTGAAAGTTCTATTTTTGTAAATATTTTTAACATACATAATATGTTAAAATGGCTTTATATGTACATAACTTTATAAAGAGATAAACATTTCATGAACTAGTGTTCTCAAACTTTTTTATTACTGGTGGCATGTGCAATCAAAACAGTACAGAGACCACTGCGAAAGAGAAGCAAACTAAAGCAAAAGAATATTCAACTGGCTGGGTGCAGTGGCTCACATCTGTGATCCCAGCACTTTGGGAGACCAAGGTGGGAGGATTGCTTGAGCCCAGGAGTTCAAGACCAGCCTGGGCAACATAGGGAGACCCCGTCTCTACAAAAAACTTAAAAATTAGCTGGGCATGATGGTATGTGCCTGTAGTCCAAGCTAGTTGGGAGGTGGAGGTAGGAGGATCACTTGAGCCTGGGAGGTCAGAGGCTGCAGTGAGCTGTGATCATGCCACTGCACTCTAGCCTAGGCAACCGAGCAAGACCCTATCTCAAAAAAAAAAAAAATTATTATTATTTCTCCAAATTCACAAAGCAAAAGAGTGAGAGCCAGATATAAGTTCTGGCTTGCTAGAGTCCCAACCACAGCCAGCTCCCACCTCTCAGGGGCTCTTTGATCTCCAAACTCCCACCTTCTTAAAATTTTTTTTCTAATATTACACAGTATGTGAATTAAACCCAAGATGTAGTAAAATAATGCTGTGGAAAGAATGAGAGTTCTGGGGTCAGCTGTAGGAATGTTGTCCAGGCCCTGCAATTTATCAGCCCTCTAACTCCCAGGGGTTTCGTTTACTCCTCTATCAAATGCAGGTGAATGACCTCATAGAGTTGCTGTGAGGATTACATGAATTAATAAATACGAAGTTTCCATCCTTCCCAGCCCTTGTGGCTATTATATTTTAATTCTAATTCATGAAATTTAACTCTAGAAAGTGAGTTTGGCCCAAATACTTCCATGAGTCAGGAGTCCTGTGGAAATGAATCATTTCCTCCATCCCCAACATACTCACATAGACAGCACCACCTCCACATCAACCTGAAACCTGAGACACTTTCACTTCAATTCTCCCCAGCCTATGACATCTGCACTGCAGTGCTCCCAGGACTCAACACTGAGCCCCTCTAGGATGCCTCACTCTGCCAAAGAGAATGTTCAGTTTCTTTTTTTTTTCTGGATGTAGTCTCACTCTGTCGCCTAGGCTGGAGCACAGTGGTGGGATCTACAGTGGTGGGATCTCGGCTCACTGCAACCTCTGCCTCCCAGGTTCAAGTGATTCTCCTGCCTCAGCCTCCCGAGTAACTGGGATTACAGACGCCCGCCACCACACCTAGCTAATTTTTGTATTTTTAGTAGAGAAGGAGTTTCACCATGTTGGCCAGGCTGGTCTTGAACTCCTGACCTCGTGATCTGCCTGCCTCGCTCCCCCAAAGTGCTGGGATTACAGGCGTGGGCCACCATGCCCCGCCTCAAGAATGTCCAGTTTCTATAACTCTCTTGGCAATACTAATGTACCATGTCACTAGGAGGCTAGATATGGAAGCCATGTTCCCTAGGGAGTCATATCAGAGTCTTGGAGTGGTGGTTTGGCAAAGTAGATCAATATAAAGGTGTAATTTTATTTTTATTTTTATTTATTTTTTTCATTTGTTTCTTTTTCTCTCTTTCTTTTTTTTGAGACAGAGTCTTGCTCTGTTGCCAGGCTGGAGTGCAGTGGCGTGATCTGGGCTCACTGCAACCTCTGACTCCCTGGTTCAAGCGAGTCTTCTGCCGAGTAGCTAGGATTACAGGCACGCACCACCACGCCCAGTTAATTTTTATATTTTTAGTAGAGATGGGGTTTCACCATGTTGGCCAGAATGGTCTCGATCTCTTGACCTCGTGATCTGCCCACCTTGGCCTCCCAAGTGTGCTGGGATTACAGGCATGAGCCACCGTGCCCAGCCTCATTTGTTGTATTTTTTTTAACTCAGCATCTAAAAGGGTATAATTTTATACTTAGAAAAAAGCTTGCATAATACAAACTACAAAAGGTAAAACTCAACAGGCCATGTTAACTGGTGAGGATATCCAGAAGAACCTGTGACTGTAATGGTGGGAGGTGGGAGGGAGTAGAGTTAGGGGAGCTCCTAAAGGAGGGAATTTCAGAAAAGGGTGAGTGTGAGAGTTTTATGTCTATAAAATGGGGACAAGGCTTAAAAACTAATGAGCAAGAGGACAGACAAAAGATTTGAAGAGACACTTCACCAAAGAAGACATTCAGGTGGAAAAAAAAGCATATAAATGGATGCTCAGCATCATTGGTCATTAGGGACATACACATTAAAATCATGAGGAGGTATCATGACACACCTTTTACAATGGCTTAAGAAAGAAGAACAAACTGAAAATACCAAGGATGATACCTCATACCTCGTTGGTGGGGATTCAAAATGGTCCAGTCATTTTGGAAAACAGTATGCCTACCATACAACACAGCAACCCCACTCCAAGGTATATACCATGTGAACTGGAAACTTATGTTTTCACAAAACCTATACATGGATGTTTATATTAGCTTAACTCATAATCAACCTAAACTGGAAACAGCCTAGATGTCCTTCAACTGGTGAATGGATAAACCATATCTATGCAATGAAATACTGCTCAGCAACAAAAAAGAATAAACGATTGATCTATACAACAACATAGATGAATCCAGAACCAAAGGGCTACATATTGTATGATTCCATTTATATTACATTATCAAAAATGCAAAAACTATAAGGACAGTTGCTGGGGGGTGAGGAGAGAAATTGACTACAAAGGACATAAAGGAATTTTGGGGGTGATGGAACTCTCCTGTATGTTACTATGATGGTGGATATACAACTTAATGCATTTGTCAAAAATCCATAGAACGATACAGGCCAAATAATGAATTTTACTCTATGGAAATTAAAAAAATATATAAACCAGGTTGTCGGAGGCCTAAGATGGAATGCATGCTGTGGCAAATGAATCCAGTGGTATCACAGACGAATGACACACCATGCTGAAGGGAGTGGGAGAAGAAAGGAGCCAACCTGAGGAACTCTGGAAAACAGCAGGTTTTTTTGGTTTTGTTTTGTTTTTTTGAGACAGAGCCTCACTCTGTCTCCCAAGCTGGAGTGCAGTGGTGTGATCTTGGCTCACTGCAACCACTGCATCCCAGGTTCAAGCGATTCTCCTGCCTCACCCTCCCAAATAGCTGGGATTACAGGTGCTCAACACCATGCCTGGCTAATTTTTTGTATTTTTAGTAGAGACAGGGTTTCACCATGTTGGCCAGGCTAGTCTTGAACTCCTGACCTCAGGTAATCTGCCTGCCTTGGCCTCCCAAAGTGCTGGGATTACAGGCGTGAGCCACTGTGCCTGGCCTCAAAACAGTGTTTTGAGTGGATACTGTAAGGCTAAAGACAAAAAAGAACTGGACACAAACACTATATTCTAGTAAGTAAATTTGTCTCTCACAGAGTATGAAGCAGCAATTTTGAAACGATCTGTATACTAGAGTTGAACAAATAAGGAACTGTATTGTAGATATTGTTAGCCAGGTTTCTTACTGGAGAAAGAAGTTACAAAAAAGCAAAGGAAGAATGCTAGAATAAAGCACCCTGTTCAGCTGGGTTGAGTGCGAGTTATCAGTATGAATTCATATGTGTTTTGTGTGTTTTTAATAAATATACAGATAGATCAGGGCTTTTCAACTTTGGCACTATGGACATTTGGGCTGGATTCTTCTTTGCTGGTGGGACCCCTCCTCTGCATTGTAGGATGGTTAACAGCATCCCTGGCCTCTACACAGTAGATACTAGTAATATCTTCCCTTTGAGTTGTGATGCCCCAAAATGTCTCCATAGATTGCCAAATATCCCCTGGGGGTGGGCAAAATTGCTCCAGGTTAGGATCTACTGAGGTAGAGATATACAGAAGTAAATACAGATGTGCATGTCTGCCTGGGTTAGTATACAAACAATATTTCCTAGCTCTGTTCCCTGAAAGGACCTAGAAATGGTGACACTCCAGTACTAATGAGTCACCTCCCACCCAGATCTTGGTTTCTAAATACCATTCTCCAATAAAAGGAAATAGGGCTCCTTAAAAAAGTGGTTGATTCCAGGACAGGAAAAATACAAAATAAGCCTGAAGCATCTTGTGGTACAATAAAAATAAGGAAGCTCAAAAAAAACAGGATGAGGGCTTGTTGAAACCTAAAAGAACTTGGACTAACCAAAGCTGGAACAATTTGAGCAACAATATCCATGAGTCTATAGTGATGTAAATGAATAAATGGAAGAGAAGGACAATTGTTCCTTCCAGAATTCAAATTACTCAATGTAGAAGAAACAAAGGAGGCTGGGCGCAGTAGCTCACGCCTGTAATCCCAGCACTTTGGGAGGTCGAGGCAGGCGGATCACGAGGTCAGGAGATGGAGACTATCCTCGCTAACACGGTGAAACCCGTCTCTACTAAAAATACAAAAAATTAGCCGGACGTGGTGTGGGCGCCTGTAGTCCCAGCTACTCAGGAGGCTGAGGCGGGAGAATGGCGTGAACCCGGGAGGCGGAGCTTGCAGTGAGCCGAGATTGCGCCACTGCACTCCATCCAGCCTGGGCGACAGAGCGAGACTCTGCCTCAAAAAAAAAAAAAAAAAAAAAAAGGAAATCATTAAAACTATTAGAACACCACGGTAATCATTGCAACAGACAAGAACCACTTATGAATGTTAAACAGGTGGGTGAGAGTTTAAGAAGAAACAGGATGTTAGGGAAACCCGGCAGATGTCACCTTAATCAAATAATCACTGTTAACATCACTGGTAATAAGACATACTGATATTATGTATCCCCTGGTACAATCCCCTGACAAGAGACCCCACCTGTGGTATTCTTCCCCCAAGTCTATAGCCCCAAACTAATCAGGAGAATATATCAAACAAACCCAAATTGAGGGACATTCTCCAACATCCCTGATTTGTAGTCTTCAAAACTGTCAAGGTCACAAAATACAAGGAAAGACCAAGAAACTGTAACAGACTAAAAGAGACTAAGGAGACATGCCAGCTAGTTACAATGTGGGTGCTGGAACAGAAAAAGGAGATTAGCAGGCGGGACGTGGTGACTCAGCCTATAATCCCAGCACTTTGGGAGGCCAAGGCGGGTGGATCACCTGAGGTCAGGAGTTCAAGACCAGCCTGGCCAACATGGTGAAACTCCATTTCTACTAAAAATAAAAAAATTAGCTGGGTATGGTGGCGTGTGCCTGTAGTTCCAGCTACTTGGGAGGCTGAGGCAGGAGAATCACTTGAATGGGAGGCAGAGGTTGCAGTGAGCTGAGATTGTGCCATTGCACTCCAGCCTGGACAACAGAGTGAGATACTGCCTCAAAAAAAAAAAAAAAAAAAGAAAAGAAAAAGGAAATTAGCAAAAAAAATTGGGAAAACCTAATTAGAATCCATAGTTTAGTTAACAATATTGAAGCAATGTTAATTTTTAAATTTTGCTAATTGCATCATGGTTATACAGGACAGTAACATTTGGGGAAACTGGGTGAAGACTATATGGGAACTCTCTGGACTATTTTTGCAACTTTTTGTAAGTCTAAAATTATACAAAAGTAAATAGTTTTAAAAAAGATAAGAAACATGGAAGTGTTTCTCTGCATAACAGCCTCAGTCCAATCACAACATAAAGTACATTCCAAATGCTAGACACTAACCCAAAAAATTCGTAAATTTTCTAGAAATTGCCACCAAAGGTCCATGGAGGTAATTAAGCAACACAAAGAATTCCTGTCTACCGTATATTCTTTAGTGTATTTTTAGTAGTGATGGGGTTTCATCATGTTGGCCAGGCTGGTCTTGAACTCCTGACCTCAGGTGATCCACCTGCCTCGGCCCCCCAAAGTGCTGGGATTACAGGCCTGAGCCACCGTGCCTGGCTTGTCATTTTCAAAATCATTGCATCTCCAGTGCCTGCCTGTTAGTAGGGACTCAAATATTTGATGACTGAATGAATGAATGGTACCTTCCTTGTAACTGTCGTGGAGATTAAAATTAGACAATGCATATGAAATGCTGGTTAGCACTCAATATTGAAGGGTAAGAGAACTGAGACTGCAGATATAGTTTGATTCTGGCTGAATTTGGGATAAGACAACTAGAAATTATAGGGAGATTCTTACCTATTGGCATGTAACTGTAAAAAACAGATAACAATTTCAAAGATCATTATTATGAAATTCTAGAAAAATAACTATGGCACATAAAGAGGAATGGTGACACTGCAAAGACTAGGCATTTAACAATATGAAAACAGATCAAAAATGTCTTTTTTTCCCCAGTTCACACACCTTCTATAAGCACTCTCCAAATTATGCCATGTTTTCATTTTCTTGGTGGCAGCGCCAGACATTCCTTATGTCTTGTGTGTTTGGAAGGTGCTGCACGAGACCAATTTTGTTTTTAAGAGGTGAGGACTAAACTCTGATTTTTTTTTTCTTGCCCAAATTCCTATCTAAGCGGTCTGGGGAGTCATGCCCTACAAATCATAAGTTCTCATCAGATGGGTTTTATTTAACTCACCCTGACTCTGGCAAAACATTACGAGACGATGAAGAAAATAAAAATATTTTACCCCAAAACATGTTTCTTTGCCATATTTTGAAATGGTCCTGCAAAGCCGTCCATTGTGGAGGAATACTTGCATCTGTAAAGAATCTCTATTAACATAGCCAGATCTTTTACTTCCAGGCCCTCCCAATCCTTAAGAGATTAAGATCTGAATAGGAAACATTTGTCATCTATTGTCTCTAAAGGCAGCCACTATAAGACTTCAAAAGAACTTTGGTCTCCACAATCTGCTATCTTAACCTGAACATTCCCTTTCTATCAATCCCAGGTCTTTAGACAAACTCAACCAATTGTCAACCAGAAAATGTTTAAATGTACCTGTAGCCTGGAAGCTCCCCAACCACCTCCCTTTTGAGTTGTCCCGTCTCTCTGGACCAAACCAATGTATTTCTTTCTTTTTTTTTTTTTTGAGACAGTCTCACTCTGTCGCCCAGGCTGGAGTGCAATGGCACCATCTCGGCTCACTGCAAGCTCCGCTTCCCAGGTTCAAGCAATTCTCCTGCCTCAGCCTCCCAAGTAGCTGATGCCCGCTATTATGCCCACCTAACTTTTGTATTTTTAGTAGAGATGGGGTTTCACCATGTTGGTCAGGCTGGTCTCGAACTCCCGAACTCAGGTGTTCGGGACATCAACCCTGACATCAACAGAGGACCAAAGCTAGCACATCATTGCTCTCCTACCCCCAGTCTTTTGATTAAAAAAATCTTCAATCTTTTATGTTCCTTAATAATCCATCCTCACGTATGTAATCACAACACTTTGGGAGGCCAAGGCAGGCGGATCACTTGAGCTCAGCAGTTTAAGACCAGCCTGGGCAACGTGGTGAAACCCCCGTCTCTATAAAAAATACAAAAATTAGCCAGGCATAGTGCCTGTAATCTCAGCTACTCAGGAGGCTGAGGCGGGAGGATTGCTTGAGCCTGGGAGGCAGAGGTTGCTGAGAGCCAAGATTGTGCCACTGCTCTCCAGCTCAGGTGACAGAGTGAGACTCTGTCTCTAATAATAATGATAATAATAATAATAATAATCCATCTTAGATTATCTTCCCAAACCATGGAACAGACCACATTCCTAAACCTGCAAGGAACACCACTGCCTATCTAGTGACCCAGAAACTCCTTGGACTTCCATTCCAGGCCACAATCTGGCTCCAAGTGTCTTTCTGATCTCAAACAAGGTCCCTCTGGTTTCTAGATATAGTGTATCATTCACAGTTTGCCACTCCCTAAACATTTATCCATATTCGGCAACCGTGTACTTATTCCTTAACCTGAAATTCCTCTCTCCACCATTCACACCACCATCAAAATTCTGCTCAATGCTTGGTTCAAACACATATTCTTGTGACTTCCCTTTTCAATGCAAAGCTTTCCTGTCCCCTACCCCTGCCCTTCGCTGTTTCTTCCATTGCACCCACTTCATCTTGCCATATTTTAGGTGGTGTTTTGTGTTTATCTCTTCTCCTACAACCACGGTTCTAGAGGGCAGAGACTGTCTGATTCCTTTTGGGAAATCTTCAGGGCTTTGCACAAAGCAGGTGACTCATGGAGGTCTGACAGACACATGTTCTCTTTGCAGCTCAGCTCAGCCTCTGTGGTTTAATATTTATGGAGAGTCCACTGTGAGGCAGGCCCTGGACAGAGCTCAGCAGCATCTTCTCTGCCACTCACATCTTCACTGAGATGTGTAACCAGGCAAATCCTGTGGACTTGGTTTTTCTTTCTTATCATCAAAAATCTTAATTTTTAAATGAAAATATAATGCTGGGTTCGGTGGTTTACACCTGTAATCCTAGCACTTTGGGAGGCCAAGGTGGGAGGATGGCTTGAACCCAGGAGTTCAAGACCAGCCTGGGCAGCATAGTGAAACCCTGTCTCCACCAAACACACACACACACACACACACACACACACACACACACACACACACACACACACACACACAATTTAGCCAAGTACAGTAGCATGTTCCTGTAGTCTCAGCTACTTGGGAGGCTGAGGTGGGAGGATTACCTGACCTTGGGGAGGCTGAGGCTGCAGCAAGCCATGATTGTGCCACTGCATTCTAGCCTAGCCTGGATGACAGAGTGGGGACCCCCATCTCAAAGAGAGAAAGAGAGAAAGAAAGAGAGAGGGAGAGAGAGAGAGAGGAAGGAAGGAAGGGAGGAAGGAAGGAAGGGAAAGGGAAGGGAAGGAAGGAAGGAAAGAAGGAAGGAAGCAAGCAAGCAAGAAAGAAAGAGAAAGAAAGAAAGAAAGAAAGAAAGAAGGAAAGAAAGAAAGAAAAAGAAAGAAAGAGAAAGAGAGAGAGAGAGAAAGAGAGAAAAGGGAGGGAAGGAAGGAAAGAAAGCAAGAAAAGGGCGGGAAGGAAGGAAGGAAGTTAGGAAGTTAGGAAGTTAGGAAGGAAGGAAGGAAGGCAGGCAGGCAATATAGGTAAAGTGTAGCAGCTAGGCTGGGAAAGAAAATAGACCAAAACATTAGACAAACCCACAGGTAACAAATGGTGTGTAAACCTTTAATATCTTTTGATTTTGTGACATTTTAAACCTCATATTCATCCCCTCATTTGGTACAGTAGTTACTTAACTGGTACAGAATCAAGTGTTATGTTCATAATAGGATTGAGATATGGTGGCACATTTATATAACTGAGCTTAAAGCGGGGGATGGAGAGAATGTTAAGCAAGTTACCTAATAGTAATAGAAGGTTATTTACAAAAATAAAGAAAACAACCTAAATGCTCATGAGTTGGGCACTCATTAAATAAATTGGTGCATATCCATACCTGTAACACATTGTACCATCATGGGAAAATAAGCATAATATGTAGTTTATTTGGTAAGAAAAGCAAGTTATGAAACAACGCATTTGGTATATAATTTGTGTTGATAAAAACTTTCTGTATAAGTGCACATACATGTAAATTAAAAATATAAATTGTCTATATATACATATATAGTATATATGTGTAAAAAATATAATATATATTAATATAGCTATATAATTATATATATTATGATATAAAATATATAATATACATAAATATTTGCTATATAAATATTTATATAAAAATACACTACATATTTTCTTTTGGAAGAATTCGTACATTATATTTATTTTATTATTATTATTTTTTTGAGACAGAGTTTCACTCTTGTTGCCCAGGCTGGAGTGCAATGGTGCTGTCTCGGCTCACTGCAACCTCCACCTCCTGGGTTCAAGTGATTCTCCTGCCTCAGCCTCCTTAGTAGCTGGGATTACAGGTGCCTGCCACCGCACCCAGCTAATTTTTTTGTATTTTTAGTAGAGACAGGGTTTCACTATATTGGCAAGGCTGGTCTCGAGCTCCTAACCTGAAGCAATCCACCTGCCTCAATCTCCCAAAGTGCTGGGATTACAGGTTTGAACCACTGCGCCTGGCTTGAATTTGTACATTATAGTTACCCACAAAGAAAGGAATTGGAGGGGAAGCACAAAGTGTGGGAAAGGGAGAAATAATGTTCAGTTTTTACTTATATTTCTGTGTTATTTGAATTTGTTTTAATAACTGCATATTATTTTTGCAATTAAAAACAACAATAACAGCAAAATCACTAAAAGAAAGAGGAAGTTCCCTGGGCAGAAGTCTGTCAGGATTGCAGTAAACATACAGGGGGCCTCCAAAACCCAAAGAGGAGCTGTCAGTGGGCCACAGAGAGCTGGAGCCACTGTCCTCTTTGGGGACCTGCCCTCTATTGATGTGAATATGAGTTTGTCAAAACGGACCCCACATTAACAGAGCCTCAGGAAGGACCAGCCACCTGCCTGGTCATCATTGCTCTTTGATAGGGGACAAATGGATTTCCCTCCTGTTAGAAACATCTTCAGGGAAGGATTCAAGAGTCACCTGGCAGTGTAGGCTGGAATTGGTGGCCACCTATAATCCAGGCCTCCCTGGCCGTGCATGTGTCCTACTCACATTTGAACCTCTATAAGGACACCTAGTCGGGACTTTTTCTAAATAAGTATTGATAATAAGTTTTGCAGGATATCCTTAAGTTGTTCCTTGGCATTCTGTCTTTTAGGTAGAGTCATCTCAGTTCATCTTTCCTCCCAGTACATATGTATTGACTCGCAAATCGTTTCTGCTCAAAGCAAGATTTCCTTGGTTGTTTTTCATGCAAGGTTGGTACAGGAGACAGAGCTGGCTTTGTCCTGAATCTTCTGTTTCCTTCTCGGTGCTTCAGTGTCCTCATCTGTAAAACCAAAGGGTTGCACCAGATGATCTCCAGGGTCTTTATACACACTTAACATTCATGTTCCTGTTCATGAATCTTTGAATGGATACAGGCTCTCTACCAAGAGCTGTGTGGGGCATTGTGAGGCCCCCAAATTTATAGTTTAAGTGAATATGAAATCCTTTCTCTTTTTATTGGTCCTTTGTCCTTTTTCCAAGGCAAAAAACTAACCCTTGTTCATGTTATAACCTGATACAGAATCTGACAAAGGGGCAAGCACAGAAAACAGCAGAAACTACATTAAGGGTGCCCATTCTGCCACGTTCAAAGATGGAGGCCCATTGGCAGGCACTGCATCCGACACTAAAAGGTGCTCAATATAAGTTCTTTGAAGAGGTAAATGATTGAATAAACAATGCTACCAGCTGAGAGGAAGGCTAACTTGTTCAGAGAAAAGCTTGAGTTGCCTGAAATGGACCTTGAGGGCCAGTTTGAAGGTTCCCGAAGGCCCACAGCAACTTCTGTTGGCCATGAATTGCCTTCTCTTCTGTGGAGATCTCCTTGATGGCTAAGAGTTTCTCAAGGTGCAGTGAATGAGGAGAACAACATGGCAGCATGAGACTGGCCATCCCCACCCACAGAATGTTCTTAAACAGAAGTAGTTTTAATCTGTCAACAAATAGAGCCCTTTATTTTTCAATTAAGTTGGAAGGTAAACTAACCATTAGTGAAAAGATACAAATAAAGGTTTTTTTCTGGGTCTGTTTTAGCAAGTAGATGCTACCCATTTAAAGGAAGCATTTTTTTAAAAAGCCTGAATAATGCTTGAAAGTTATTTTGTTGTCTTAAGTAGGTTAATTTGTCTATATTTTTGTTTATTTTATTTTATTTTATTTTTGAGACAGTCTCACTCTGTTGCCCAGGCTGGAGTGCAGAGGCATGATTTCGGCTCACTGCAACCTCTGCCTCCCAGGTTAAAGCGATTCTCCTGCCTCAGCCTCCTGAGTAGCTGGGATTACAGGCGTGTGCCACCACTACCAGCTAATTTTTGTATTTTTAGTAGATATGGGGTTTCACCATGTTGGCCAGGCTGGTCTGGAACTCCTGACCTCAGGAGATCTGCCTGCCTTGGCCTCCCAAAGTGCTGGGATTACAGGGGTGAGTCACCGCACCCAGCCTTGTTTATTCTTTTTTTTTTTTTTTTTGAGATGGAGTCTTGCTCTGTTGTCCAGGCTGGAGTGCAGTGGTGCGATCTCGGCTCACTGGAGCCTCTGCTTCCTGGGTTTATGCAATTCTTTTGCCTCAGCCTCCCGAGTAGCTGGGACTACAGGCGCACACCACCGTGCCTGGCTATTTTTAGTAGAGACGAGGTTTCAACATGTTAGCCAGGATGGTCTCGATCTCCTGACCTCGTGATCCGTCTGCCTCGGCCTCCCAAAGTGCTGGGATTACAGGCGTGAGCCACCACACCCGGACTGCCTTGTTTATTCTTTAATGGTTTAACAAGTTCTTCGAAGATAACACAAAGAGAAACGTTAGCCAACTTTAATTATTCGCAGATGCCCAAATTCAATTATTCATATTAATTTATAATAGGAAAATTATATGTTAAAGTACACATTAGACACTTCCAAAGGCTTCTACCTACTTATTGTGGTGCCAGTCTTCTTTGTCAACTTATATTTTGCTGTATCTTTCTGATCTCTATTAATAATTCTTTTATTTTTCTGCTGGTCCTTTGTTCCTGCTAGATTTTCTAGTTTTAACTTCTCATGACATCATACAACCAAATGGCACCAAGCTGCACTGTTTCCAGTATCTTTAAAAGGTTGGATTTAAAATGCTTAAAATGTTGTGTGTGCTATCAGCAAATCAACATACATGAAGAAGATCCAAATGTGGTGTGGTCTCTTTTTAGTGTCTCTTTTTTTTTCTCAGCAAAGTAGTATGGAATTGGTCATTGTCAAAGTAAGAAAGAAGCAGTCAATGCAACAGTGTGGCCTAGGATGGGAGAAGGCTTAACAATGGTCAGCAGACCAGGTCTATGATTTAGGGACCATAAGTTCGCCTTTCGGGGCCTCAGTTTCCCATTGGCAAAAAGAAGCCATTGAAGCCGACTGAGCTCGGTGTTTGCAGTCCTGATTTTCAACTGTATTGTGAGAGGCAGTATTTGGGAGTAGCTGGTATGATTTCTAACCCATTTTAGATCAACCAGAAAGGAATAATGTAGATCTTGAGAAATATGACTATTGGGATGCCCCTGAGAAACAGGTAGTCACCTCTCTTCCTGGCGAGATGAGGAAATTGTGGTTTAAAAATAAAAAGCCCTGAGTTGCATCCTTCACTCACTGATTAGGAAAAAAAAGCTAAATCAGTATTTTTCTTAACAAAACAAAACTATAAACAGAAGGTTTTGAGGTAAAAGGAAAGTAAGTGAGAATAAAAATAAGTTTATTAAGTATTTTAAATTGTAAGCCACCCAATTGTTCCAAAACACAAAAGCCTTCCCTGTTTTTGTTACTCAGTGGCCCTGTGATTTAAAGCTGCTGACAACACCAGTCGCTCACAATGACACTGTCCCCCTTTCTTCCGCGCACAGTGCACAGTCCTAGCAGACACTCATTTGTATGTATGGTTTCAGCCTGTCTGCCGTGTCTGGCCAAAGGGACAGATACTAATGGCATATGTTAATTACTATCCAACAACTTCCTTTCATTAGAGTGTTTATTAACATTCTCACTTCTGCCCATTGAACCAGCTGGCACGAGGGTCTGCTGGCAGCCCTGAGTTCACGTGCTGTTTTCACTCTGGGCTCACAAGATGTAATAGATTTTTCCTTTTGAATAATGAAACTCTGTTTCTAGCTCAGCCGAGAGCTTTCTGAGATGTCCAAAAGATGACACCAAAATAATAACTTTGAAACAAATGCTTTGCCATCGCAGCCATCATCAGAATTGGTCTAGATATATTTTGCTACTATAACAGGATAGGCATCCATCTATCTGTTTAGACATCTCTTTATCACTAGCTGGTACCAAATAACCCTTATTCTAACTGTACATACTCAGAAGCTATGAGATAATATATGTATTAGTGAGAATATAAACGATTTTAGAAGGAACAACAGCCTTCTCTAAATACATCTCCAGGCCAGGTGCGGTGGCTCATGCCTGTAATCCCAGCACTTTGGAAGGCTGAGGCAGGTGGATTACTTGAGATCAGGAGTTCAAGGCCAGCCTGACCAATATGGTGAAACCCCCATCTCTACTAAAAATACAAAATCAGCCGGGTATGGTGGTAGGAGCCTGTAATCCCAGCTACTCAGGAGACTGAGGCAGGAGAATTGCTTGAACCTGGGAGGCAGAGGTTGCAGTGAGCTGAGATCGGGCCACTGCACTCCAGCCTGGATGACAGCGAAACTCCAGCTAAAAAAATCCCAAACGATTTCCAGACTAGATTTCTCAATAGCATGACAATATACAGTTTACTAAAATTTAAGAGGGTGGGGATTGGGAAACAGGGGGAAAGTAAAATATTGGGGGAAAGGTCTAAAATGCCAAAACTGTGGACAGCATGATAAACTATCAACTGACATCTACAGCATTCATATTTCACAATAACAGCACCATTAACCATAAAAGACTCTTTAGATCTGTCTATTTCACTGACTGCACATGTGCCTTTAAAGTGCTGTGAGGAGGGTGATGGACAAGCCACCACCAGAATGACAAAGCAGGAATGACATGGTAAACAAGTGTTCTTCAGCAACCTCCCCCAGTGACGATGTCCCTCAGCCATCACTTGTGGCAGAATATCAAATGCAGTAAAGAGTTAGTGCAGAATGCTAAAGAAGGCAATTCTTAGACAGTTGCTTTGTTGGCATCATAGTAGATGCCACTTTAAAGGGGACCAGAAGTTTTGTTCTCATCTAATCAAGCTCCCTTGCCACAAATATTATTAGACGAATGGCTTTGTTTTGTTTTGTTTTGTTTTTGCTTTCAAATTAGAACACAACAAAGAAAACTAATTTTGTCAAAGGATTCCATAGCTGCAAAAGACATGGGGCTTTAGTACCTTCTTTTTAAATTAAAGCGAAAGCAGGTCTATGCATTATATTCTTAGTCCTGTGAGGAGGCCACACTCCTTTTCTTTTTCTTTCTTTCTTTCTTTCTTTCTTTCTTTCTTTCTTTCTTTCTTTCTTTCTTTCTTTCTTTCTTTCTTTTTTTTTTTGAGATGCAGTTTCGCCTTGTTGTCCATGCTGGAGTGCCGTGGCATGATCTCAGCTCACTGCAACCTCCACCTCCGGGGTTCAAGCGATTCTCCTGCCTCAGCCTCCTAAGTAGCTGGGATTATAGGTGTCCAGCACCACGCCTGGCTAATTTTTTGTATTTTTAGTAGAGACTGGGTTTCACCATGTTGGCCAGGCTGATCTTGAACTCCTGGCCTCAGATGATCCACCTGCCTCAGCCTCACAAAGTGCTGGGATTACAGGTGTGAGCCACCGCCCCCGGCCCAGCCCACACTCCTTTTCTTCTCGCTCCTCAGGTCCCAGCCACCAGAACCACCAGCTCCCCAGGATATGTGATGTGAAGCTAAGACCATACTTAGTCACATTCTCTCATGGGTCAAGGAGCCCTGGGCAGGAAAGTCTTTGGCATTTTGTGGGAAGGCAGATGGAGGAGTGCCACCAGCCATAAGAAGGATGCTTTAGTGGGGGGTACTCATCGAATCAACAAATACGTGTTACCTACAAACAGCTGATATTCAGCTGTCATGCACCAGTATGGCTGTATCTACTAATTTCTAAAATATCAAAATACTTCTGTGCTGATTGGCAAAACGTCTCTACCTTGAACCTCGCCAGTGCCTTCCTCTGCTGCAGACATAGCAATCTCTTCCCCAGGACCCCCTGAATTCCGTAAGACCAGCATTAGCACCTGGCTCTATGGTGGCCTCCAGGACTCTGCTCCAGCACTGGGGCTGGCATTGTACAGAAACAGCCGTGCTGCTGACATGGATGTATATATTCAGACTATCATCCTTGCCTATGGTGTCTTGGAATTAAGGTGGTATTGGTGATACACAGAAGAATCAAACACTGACCAGCGTCTTCCAGGAGCTCCCAATTTGGTGGATCATGAAAAACACTCTGTGCTAAGCCCCAGGAATTTTGAAATGGTGCCACTTTGGTGAAACTAATCTGCAGGTTTGGAAACTAGACTGTTTCAACCTGCTAGAGTGAGTCAGGTTCTCAGGGACAGATCCACATCACTCAAGCTCTCAGGAAGCGGCTATCTAAACCAAAATGACAATTTATTAATTTGCAACAAGAAATAAGAACTTCTAAGCTGAGTGGACATTTGTGTCACCTTGACTAACATGTTCTTTCCCAGTAGAAAACTAAAAGGAAGACAAATGGTAATGAGAATGCCGCTTGAGCACAGGCTGAGCAGGGGATATTAGAAGGAAGGTTTAATGTCAAAGGGTGTCTTTTTTTTCTTTTTCTTTTTAGACAGAGTCTCACTCTGGCACTCAGGCTGGATCTGGAGTGCAATGGCACGGTCTTGGCTTACTGCAACCTCCACCTCTTGGGTTCATGCAATTCTTCTGCCTCAGTCTCCTGAGTAGCTGGGATTACAGGTGCCTGTAGCCACACCTGGCTTATTTTTTGTATCTTTAGTACTAATAGGGTTTCATCATGTTGGCCAGGCTGGTCTTGAACTCCTGACCTCAAAAATGATCCACCCGCCTCAGCCTCCCTAAGTGCTGGGATTACAGGCGTGAGCCACCGTACCCAGCCAGGTGCCAAATTTTCTTAAGCTTGTCCCTTCATCTCTTCTTTGGGGACAGACCTGCCAAACAGATAGGACTGGATGTTCCCATGAGGTCACCCATGCACTGCCCCCTTGGCTAGACCTTCCTCTCTGACTCCCACTTTCCCTGTTCCATGCAGACATCCCGCTTTGGTTGACATGTTCTATCTTTAGATTTGCTAATACAACCAACCAGCCTCCTGCCAAACTCTGTTGATTTCTTATTCCTAGCTTGGAAGGTAGGTCCCCTTTCCCAACCTCCTCAACCGCCACACACCGAGATCCTACTGTTTGAACTAGACTGTTATCATTTAACTCATTGGTTCCCAATTTGGCTGAACTTTTGAAGTATCTGAGAAATTTTTTAAAATACTGATGCCTGGTTCCCATCTCCAGAAATTCTGATTTAATCGATATGGGGTACAATCTGAACACTGGGCTTTTTTAAAGCTCCCCCAAAATATGTGACCAGAATGTTGGGGTCCTAAAGAGTTAAAATTCAAAGGAAAGAGTTTTTTATATTTGAGCAAAGTTTAAGAATCACTGATTTAGCTCTCAGAGTTGGCAGATGCTTCCACCTGCACCAGCTCTTAGCAAATGCCAGTATTCCAGCCTGACATGCTGAATTATTTGGTCTGGGGTAGGAGCCAGGCATTAGGCATTTTTGCAGAGCTCCCCAGATGAGTTCAATGTGTAGCCAAGGCTGAAGTGCACTGGTCTAAATATCAGTTTATCTGACTGTTCTGTGTCAGTTCCTTCTTGGACATGCATTGCACAGAGCAGAACACAGAAGAGCCACCTGGAGAAAGGTCTGTAAAGGTGAGCAGCAGGGGCCTGTGTGTGTGACCCCATGGCAAACACAGGAAGAGCATGTGGGCACAATGTGGCAGATGAGCTCAAAGCATGTTTGATTCTCTGCTTCCATACCAAATTTATGATATTTCCCTGGCATGGACATGGGCTGGGCCATAGAATCCTGGGGCCATTTTCTACCATAGCTTTGGGCAACTTTTTTTTTTTTTTTTTTTTTTTTTTTTTTGAGACTGAGTCTTGCTCTATCGCCCAGGCTGGAGCACAGTGGCACCATCTTGGCTCACTGCAACCTCCACCTCCCGAGTTCAAGCGATTCTCCTGCCTCAGCCTCCTGAGTAGCTGGGATTACAGGCACTTGCCATCATGTCCGGCTAATTTTTGTATTTTAGTAGAGACAGGGTTTCACCATGTTGGCCAGGCTAGTCTCGAACTCCTAACCTAAGGTGATCCACCCACCTCAGCCTCCCAAAGTGCTGAGATTACAGGCATAAGCCACCGCACAGCTTTGGGCAACTTTAATAGAAGTCGATGAGTCTGGGTGTGCTTGAGAAAGTGTGCTCTGCTGCATGCTTTTCCACGAGGACTCTGACTTCCTTGTCTTCTGTGGGTGCTCTTTGGCTGCTCCCTTGCCTCTCCAGCAGCGACTCTGGCTTTCTGGAGGCCGCCATCTTGAAAGAGGCCATCCTGCATTTTTGTGCTACTCTCTTTAGCAGTAGCTATGCTTGGCAGAGAAGCAAGAGACTGGAGAATTCCAATCTGTCATCTTCATAAATTGCCTAAGGATTTTCCATTTTCCTCACAATTCTCTAACTTCCTGTTGTCATTTTGAACCTTTCCAGCGTGCATGAGAATTCATTTGTGTTTTCCCAGTGTGCGCAGTCTTGTCTGGTGGCAGGGCATCTGGGAAAGCCATCAGCTCTGCTCTGTAAGTAACTTTTTAAAATAAAATGCATTCCTAGGAGAGGAAAAGGCAGTGGGCAGGGCAGAGGACTGCTCCAGCACCTCCACCCTTCCTTTTCCTGGGACTTCCAGTCATGGGACTTGGAACTAAATTTTGAGAGTAGGGACAAGGGGGACAGAGGAGGGCCACCATATACGGTTGGGCAGGTGACACACAGCACAGTTCTAGGGACATCATTGACAGCATTCTATGGTCACAGAGCCCTACAGCCACTGCCCCCACTGCCATATCCCGCAGTCCTGGCAGAAGCACTGTTTTTTTGAATTCCAGCTCTTCAGCGGCCTCAGATTCTGGTTACATTGTGCTTCTGAGAATAGTAGCACCAGAGAAGTCGCTTGTTTGCTCTGAGATTCACTTTGTTCATCTAGAAATTAGTAGGTGCATAATTTCTAAAAGTCACTTACTGCAGGCCTGCGGGAGCCCAGCTGTTGGCATGACTGAAACCATTTGCATCTAATCTCTGATAAAATAGAGAGAACATTAATTTGAATCTGCTAGCAGATATCTTAGAGATCATTTGTCTGACACCTGCACCAAATTTCTCCACATGAGGAAAGCAGAGGTATAAAGTCACACAGTAAGCTTGTGGCAGATAACACCCAGGTCCTCTTGATTATGTTATCCCTGAGCATCCCCACTCCCTGCCCTGTCATTACTAGAGCAATAAACCAAATTTCACTAGTTTGTGCCCACACCAGCTCAGCCAGGACCTCTTCAGTCCTCTGCAATATGTCTTCCCGTGTTATTTCTACAAGTCTCTGTATACTCATGGACAAATTAACTCCTGCTACGCACTCATCATTCCACTGATCACCAACAGGGATCACTGTGCTCACTAGGCCTCTTTTTCCCCCCAGATACCTTCTGGTGCTGCTGTCTCATACCACAGCAGTGGAAAGCAGCAGGGCCCTCAGGATACTAAAGTTACCCTGTCTCCCCCCTCTCTTTGTTTTAGTGTATAAACCCTAAGTTAAGCTATATTTTTGCAAGCTCTGATGTTCTCTTTGTAGAACTTGCAAAGATGACAGGGGCAAGCTGTTCATGTGAAGCTCCTGCTTCCCTTAGGGTGAGTTCTTTCCCAGAAGGCTTCTCTGTTCTTCATGCAAATAATGTCTTATAGGCCAACCCCAGCAGTTTATGATTTATGTCCAGAGTGGAATCCCAGCTTAGATGCAAGGTGGGGTTCCCTTTATACTCAACATTTCCTTCTTTTATGTCCATGATGATAATTGGATATTGAAGGATCTAGTTGGCTTGAGGGGAGGAGGTGCGATTTGACGTTTGTTATGAATGTGGTCTAAAATAAGACTGACTTTGTGTCTCTCGATTTTTTCATCTATGAAAGCCCCCATTCCATCCCCATCAGTCTGCACATTCAATTACTGCAAACTCTAGCAGAATAGGACAGTGCCCAAGAAGCAATTGTCGTCTGCCCACTGCACCTCCAAGGTAAACAGATGCAGATCCAGGCTTTGCAAGGCCTGAGGCTTGTATAATTTTTGGCACCATCTTTGTTTGTTTGTTTGTTTATTTTGAGATGCAGTCTATCCCTATTGCCCAGGCTGGAGTGCAGTGACATGATCTTGGCTCACTGCAAACTTCACCTCCTGGGTTTGAGCAATTCTCCTGCCTCAGCCTCCCAAGTAGCTGGGACTGCAGGTGCCCGTCACCACACTCGGCTAATGTTTGTATATTTAGCAGAGACAGGGTTTTACCATGTTGGCCAGGAGGTCTCGAACTCCTGACCTCAAGTGATCTGCCTGCCTTGGCCTCCCAAAGTGCTGGGATTACAGGCATGAGCCACTGTACCTGGCTTTTGGCACCATCTTAAATAAAAAAGACTACACGAAGAAGAAAAAAAAAGAGTACAAAATGCCTAATACAAAGTCAGGTACAAAAGTGATTTCTTTAGAATTAGAAAAGAAATCACAACAGATTTAAAAATATAAAAAGCTGATCAATAACAGAAACACTACAAAACCTAGAAAAATATTATCATAATTTTTTTTTTTTTTTTTTTTTTGAGACAGAGTCTTGCCCTGTTGCCCAGGCTGGAGTGCAGTGGTGCAATCTCGGTTCACTGCAACCTCCGACTCCTGAGTTCAAGCAATTCTCCTGCCTCAGCCTCCTGAGTAGCTGGGATTACAGGCATGCGCCACCATGCCCAGCTAATTTTTGTATTTTTAGTAGAAACGGGGTTTCACCATGTTGGTCAGGCTGGTCTCGAAGTCCTAACCTCAGGTGATCCGCCTGTCTCAACCTCCCAAAGTGCTGAGATTACAGGCATGAGCCACCATGCCCAGCTATTGTCATAATTTTTATTGCTAAACTGCCAGGCACATCTTCCTAAATGCCTTTTCATTACATTTTTGGGGGCTGCACACTTATTTACATTACCATGATTTTGTACTATCAATGCCTATAGCGATCATAAATAATTCAGTCTTCCCTCTAGCATGATTGAGGGGAAATTGTCTTTTATTACTATTGATAATTAGAAAAGTTTTCTTGGCTTCACAACATGTTATTGGTCATATGTAAACTTTTAGGATCGGGAGAACCTCTACCAAATTTCTTTCATATATAAGCCATAAGATTCCAGGGCATTCAAGTGTTTGCACAGTAGCTAATCTTCAATGCTTTTTGGATTGGTGATACGCATTAACTGAGTTTGTGGGAGGGATTCTAAAACTTAAGCTGCAGTAACCTCCTGGAAACCTGCCTCCTTGACTTCCCACCCATCTTCTCTGGAAAATGAGTAGGAAACGCCCAACAAACCTCTTTCTCATCCCCACTGCTACCTGCCAGTGTGCTGGGGTGGCTACAACCATTGCCATTGCTCAGATCTAGCTTAGAATGAACGTGTGCATAGATGGCAGCTGCGGCCGAGATACTGAAACTAGAATCAGGGTCCCAAGCTGACTTCCTTCTGGTGCTTAAAGCACTTCCACTTAGTAAGTGGATACATTTAAGTTGGATCAAGTCACTAAGAAAACGTTGGGCATGAATTCTTGTTCTTGTGTATTACACGCACTGTGTCTTCTTTCTTTGATTGAGTGGTTTTCAAATGTGCTGCACAGACCCCTGGGTTTCCTTGGAGGTTTCTCAGGGACCACTTAGATGAGTGTGAGAGAAGGTGGTGCCTTGATCAGGGGATGGGGAGCACAGTGGTCGGGGCTCTTGGTCCACTGTCAATCATACTTCATCAGATTCAACGGAATTAAATGCAAGTGTTTTGCTTGAAAATGTTTGAAAAATTTTCCAATCAGCTCATTTTGATCAGGAACAAGCATTATGCTTCCTAGATCTGTCCTCTCTGCCATTTAAAAATCTTATCAATTTATTTGCCAACAATGAAGAGTCAAAGCACTTGCATAAATGCAATTAAATGATTATCCTGCTTCTGTGTTTTGCTACTACACATTCATAGAATATGTATGTCGGTTTGTTTCAGGATTACAATCTTTTTGCTTTACTTTGTTTTCAGTCTTCTGTTCAAAATGCAGTTGTTTGAATGAAAAACATTTTGTTTCAGTTACTTAACACAGATGCCCTGGGAACACCAACATTTCTTGGTACAGCAGGGACACATCTACCGTTTGGCATTTAATAAGTTGTTTTTTTAAAAAAAAAAAAACTTTCCTTTTTAGCTCTCAGTGCTATTCCTGTATTCACTTGAGGTTTGCCCTAGTATTTCTTCTCTGGCTTTCTTTACCAAGCTCTACATTTTGCCAACTCTTCCATTTAGGTGTCTGCTTTTGTAAGATAATTTGCGAATGAGGCATGATTCGCATTTTTTCATATGTTGTTTGTCAGTTTTATGTTCTATCCAATTCTCTCTCTCTCTTTTAAAGGTCATGGTACATGTATTACTTTTCTCTCTTCTTTCTTATCTTCAGGAGCTGGTCAGGAATTACATACCTTAGGCGACTAGTAAGTCAACTTATACTTGGTTAGGTAGCTACTTGAATGACTTGGTACTTCTGATTCCAAGTCTTCCTTCCTGTTTTTTTTCCTCTTCTGTGGGCTGTTTAGGAGATGACTTTGGCTCCGTCTCTGATTCCACATGTTCCACCTGAGAAATCCTACCTACCACTATTGCTCCAGTACCACATGTGCAACAATGACACCCATTTGTCTCTGAAGCTGAGTCTGCTTTCCTGAGTTCCAGACCCACATTTTTAATGACTAGCAAGCTCTCACTAGGAAGTCCCCCAGTGCCTCAAACACAATGTGTCCAATATTAAATTATACCTTGCAATAAAGGATTAATTTGCCTCTACGTCATGTGATAAACCACTGTGTTTGCTCTTTAATGCTATTTACTTTTGAGAGAAGTATAATGTGAATTCAATAAATCCCTTTTCAGGATTGGCCATATTCAAAATGGAAAGAACAAGTTCAAAATAAAATAGCTATTTTTAGAAGTAATCTGTTATGCTTTCATGTGAGGTAGTCAAAACAAGACACTGCTCATTGTGATAAAGGTTCACCAACCTTCTGGGACTCTAACACTCAGTCCTCTGGTGGGGGAGGCACATGCCCAAGCTGGTTCATGACCCATAGCTATAAGACTATAAAATATGGAACATTTTCCATTAAAAATATTAATTTTGAAAAATTTTAACAACCTGTGAAAACATACCTTTTTTGACTGAAATTTGGAACAAAACATCTTTTCCCAGGAGAGATACTTACAAGTATCTAAAAGTCTAAATCATTTAATCCTTTTACAGCCATTCATCATCCCACCAAATATTTGCTAAGTGCTTTCTTGTACCAGGCACAGTTCTAGATGCTGGGGGGCTGTGGAGAACAAGGCAGACAGTGCAGTTCACCTTCAGGAATCCAGTAAACAAGTAAACAAACACAAAACACCAAAACAGCCTGACTTGAAAGAGTGGTAAGTAAGGTGGGGAGAGGAAGCAGATGGAGGGAAGGAGCGTGACAGATGAATGGGGGTGCTTCTTTGGACAGGTAGTGAGGGAAGGCACCCTTTGGATAGAAGCTTGAGCAAGATAAGAATAAGCTATGCAGAGATCTAGACGGAGAGCATTCCAAGTGAGGGAATAGCAAGTCTAAACGTCCAGAGGTGGGAATGAGCTTGGTATGTTAAGCAGAGGGTCTTAACTTGGGGTCCATGGATAAAATCAGGAGGTCCCTGAACTTAAATGGGGAAGAAAATTACTTCTCTATTCTCACTAACTGCTAACTGAAGTTTAGTTTTTACTTCAGTAAATTACTGCAGTCAAACATGCTGCAGTAATATTAGCAGCATCTGTGACTCTGACACCAATGAAAATCACAGATACTCTCCCATCACATTACAGTTGTTACAGGTATCTGGAAGTATCTTTCGTGCTTATCACAACTTCCAAATTATGATAGTTATTAGAGCTGCTGCTAGATCTTGTTCTTTCACACGATGATAAAGAAGGACATTCATTACTGTAACACAAATGTGTTTTTAATATTTAAATATTTACAATTTCATTGTAACTTTTTCATTGTATACATCATATGTATACATATTTCATTGTAAATTTAATATACTGTAACTATATTTCATCCTTTGTCATCTTATGAATTTTATTTTATGCATTTAAAAACCTTCTGATGGCAGGTGCAGTGGCTCATGCCTGTAATCCCAGAACTTTGGGAGGCCAAGGCAAATGGATCACTTGAGGCCAGGAGTTCAAGACCAGCCTGGCCAACATGGTGAAACCCCATCTCTACTAAAAATACAAAAATTAGCCAGGTGTAATGGTGTGTGCCTGTAATCCCAGCTACTCAGGAGGATGAGGCAGGAGAAGTCCTTGAGCCTGGGAGGCAGGGGCTGCAGTGAGCCAAGGTTGTGCCACTGCACTCCAACATGGGTGACAGAGGGAGATTCCGTCTCAAAAAACAAACAAACAAACAAACAAACAAACAAACAAACCTTCTGAGAGGGGCCTGGGTGTGGTGGCCTACGCCTGTAATCCCAGCACTTTGGGTGGCCGAGACGGGTGGATCTCTTGAGGTCAGGAGTTTGAGACCAGCCTGGCCAACACTGCGAAACCCCATCTCTACTAAAAATGCAAAAATGAGCCGGGCGTGGTGGCACACGACTGCAGCCCCAACTACTGGAGAGGCTGAGGCAGGAGAATCACTAGAACCCAGGAGGCAGAGGTTGCAGTGAGTCAAGATCGTGCCACTGCACTCCATCCTGGGTGACAGAGTGAGACTCTGGCTCAAAAAATAATAAAATAATAAAATAAAAAATAAAAACTTTCTGAGAGATCTATAGGGCTTACCAGACTGCTGAAGGGGTCCATGGCACAGAAGAGGCTAAGAACCCCCACGGGAGAGGCAAGCAAGAAGGCAAGTGTGACTGGAGGGAAGTGGAGATGTCACAGTTGAGCTACCCACTAGGGGAAAGGAGATCACTAGGGCTGGAGACACCATAATACTGAGGTTTTATGCTGAGGGCTATGGGAAGTTATTGGAGGCTTTTGAGTAGGGAAGTAACATGATCTAAGTATTTGGCCACCCTGGATATGGTATGGGGTAATGATTGCTAAGGTCATGAGTGCTCTCCTGGAGACCATAAAAAGGTCAGCCCAGTTGGAAGATGACAGGAACTTGGGCTAGGGTGGTAGAGGTGGAGGCGGTGAAAGAGGTCACGATGATGAATGTATTTTGAAGGTAGAACTGACAGAATTTCATGACAGACTGAATGTGGGTGTGTGAGGAAAAAGAACACTCAGGCAAGACTTTTAGGTTTGTAGCAAGTGGGTGAGTCGTGGTGCCGCTTATCAAGAGGGAGAAGATTGGGGAGGAGTAGGTTTGAGAGTGGGGAATGAAGTAGCTATGGAACCAAGAGTTCTTTTTGGAACATGTTAACTTTGAAGGGCCTATGAGCCATGCACATGGAGCTATGGAGTAGAAAGTTGGGTGTAAGTCTGGAGTTTGGAAAGGAAATAAGGACTGGAGAGCTAAATTTGGGGATCCTGGATATACAATAGGCATAAGCTATGGTTTGGATGTTTGTCCCCTCTGAACCTCATGTTGAAGTTTGATCACCAAGGTTGAAGGCGGGGCCTAGTGAGAGGTGTTTGGGTCATGGGAGCAGATCCCTCATGAATAGATTAACGCCCTCTCCCAGAGGTCAGTGAGTTTTCACTCCATTAGTTCCCACAAGAGTTGTTAAGAAGAGCCTGGCACTGCCCTACTCTCTCTTTCCTCCTCTCTCCCCAAGTGATTGCTACACACACCAGCTCCCCTTCACCTTCCTCCATGAGTAGACAAAGCCTGAGGTTCTCACCAGATGCAGATGCCAATTCTCGAACTCTCCAGCCCCCAGAATCATAGGCCAAATGAACCTTTTTCTATATACACATTACCCAGCCTTAGGTGTTCCTTCCTAGCAACACAAAATGGACCAAGAGAATTTATAAAGTCATGAGACAGGATGAGATCACCTAGGGAGAGAATATAGCTAGTGCTCTGAATGGCCAACACTTAGAGGCTTGAAGAGAAGGAGGAGTTGGCAAAGCTGACTGAAAGTGGCAGCCAGTGAGACAGGAAGATAGGTTGGACGTTTAACCCATTTCCTGTTTAGAAAAACAAAGTGCAGCTTGCTGCCAGTATTGTATTCTCAGGGCAATCGGGACATAGGTTAAAGAAAGAAAAAAAGAATCTGAATTATAAGACATGCCTTAGCTCAGATGCTACAAAATACTTTAAAATCCTAATTTTGTAACACAAACAATAACAGTGGAACAGAGTATGTTACAATTTTTGGATTACACTGGAAACCATGGCTTATTCATGGATAGGATCCTAGATTGAAGAACTTGATATCTGTGAATCCTAGACCATGATTGGCTTTTAGCATTTTCTGTTCTTGGGCAAGTTGTTTTGCCACTTTGATCTTTTTATTTTTTTCCTTTTTTTCTGTCTATAAATTGAGATCCATACAGCTAAACTATTTTGTAGGAAGATAGTGAAAATTTTCACATATCCACAAGAGAAGATGGACCACAATGTGTGTTACAATATCAAGGTGTTAAACATCCAGGAAGAATTCTGTGTTCAGCATGGCTCTTATTTGGACCCTGAGATCACCAGTCTGAGTCTCCATTATATGATTCTAATAGGGCCTGCACTAGACCAAAATGTGAGAGGAAAATTTGTCATTGGCTGCTCCGAGTCTTATTCAGGCACTTCCAGCCTTACTTTGTCAGGCCTCAAATGGAGCCCCTGAGTCTGGCTTCTTCAAGGGTCTTCCATGCTGACAATCTTTCCCTGGTCTCTCCCCCACCATGCAGCATGGATTCCATTTCCCAGCCCCTCGGGGCTGTACCTTAGGGATGCATGCTGCTGACTCCCTTCCCCACCTTCCTCAGTAGTAGGTGCAGAGACTTGCTGGAGGTGTGGGAAAAATCTGGTCCTCAATAGGTGAAAGTGCGGGTTCTAACTTTGTTTCCCATTCTTCCAATTGTCTGTAACTCAGCATCTGCCTCCTGTGTCCCCTCTTTCCCTGTTGTACGGCTAACACCAGATCCCAGTCTCTTCAGTGGCACTCAACTTTTTCAAGTCACAAGATGGAAGCGCTTTGGAAGAGGAGTAAAGGACCTGGACTCTGATTCCATGCCACCGCAAACTCGGGCAGGCACTTCAAAGCAGA
This sequence comes from Homo sapiens, assembly GCF_000001405.40. Lineage (NCBI taxonomy): Eukaryota > Metazoa > Chordata > Mammalia > Primates > Hominidae > Homo > Homo sapiens. The sequence continues at coordinate 44,684,682 of NC_000013.11, read as the reverse complement.
GAGTCTCATTTTCCACTTCTGAAAAACACATGGTCTAGATGAGCTCTAAGTCCTTTGCACTCAATAATTTCACAGTCTTTTTTATTATTAATATTATTTTCAATTGAAAAATCATAATTGTATATTTATGGGGTACAATGTGATGTTTTGATATATGTATTCAATAAGGAATTATTAAATCAAGATAATTAACATATCCATCATCTCACTTGCCTATCATTTAAAAAAATTTGCCTATCATTTTTTATGGTGAGACATTTGAAATTTATTCTTAGTTATTTTGAAATATACATACGTTAATATTGACTATAGTCACCCTGCTAGGCAATAGATCTCAAAACCTATTTTTCCTGTCTACAAAGAAACTTTGTACTCTTAAATCAACAACTCTCCATTCACGGCCTCCCCACACACCATCCCCAGCCTCTGGTAACCACCATTCTACTCTCTACTTCTGTGAGTTCAACCTTGTTATATTCTGCATATAAGTGAGATTATGTGGTATTTGTCTTTCTGTGCTTGGCTTATTTCACTAAGCACAATGTCCTTCAGATTCCTCCGTGTTGTTCCAAACGACAGGATTTCCCCCATTTGGGGGCTGAATAATATTCCATTGTGTTTATGTATCACAATTTCTTTATCCATTCATCCACTGATAGACATTTAGGTTGACTCCATATTTTGACTAACAATGCCACAATCTTTTTCTTTTTTTTGAGATGGAGTCTCACTCTGTCACCCAGGCTGGAGTGCAATGACATCATCTTGGCTCACTGCAACCTCCGCATGCTGGGTTCAAGTGATTCTCCCGCCTCATCCTCCTGAGTAGCTGGGATTACAGGTGCCCACCACCATGCACAGCTAATTTTTGTATTTTTAGTAGAGACAGGGTTTCACCATGTTGGCTGGTCTTGAACTCCTGACCTTAAGTGATCCACCCACCTTGGTTTCCCAAAGTGCTGGGATTAGAGGCATGAGTCACCATGCCCAGCCACCACAATCTTATATAAGGGACTAAGATAATAGGAAGTCATCACCAGATAGCATAACGGTCCTCCTGGAGAGCAGGAAGAATTCTCAGGGTGCTGCTAAATTCAGAAGGACAGACTAACTTTTTGGATTCAGCCTGCCTCAGTGTCATGATGGTAAGGGTGGAAACATCAAAAGCAAGGATTTGAAAATGCCCCCCTCCCCCTCTCCCTCCCCCTCCCTCTCCCTCTCCCTCTCCCTCTCCCTCCCCCTCCCTCTCCCTCTCCCTCTCCGTCTCCCTCACCCCACGGTCTCCCTCTCTTTCCACGGTCTCCCTCTGATGCCGAGCCGAAGCTGGACTGTACTGCCGCCATCTCGGCTCACTGCAATCTCCCTGCCTGATTCTCCTGCCTCAGCCTGCCGAGTGCCTGCGATTGCAGGCGCGCGCCACCACGCCTGACTGGTTTTCGTATTTTTTTGGTGGAGACGGGGTTTTGCTGTGTTGGCCGGGCTGGTCTCCAGCTCCTAACCGCGAGTGATCCGCCAGCCTCGGCCTCCCGAGGTGCCGGGATTGCAGACGGAGTCTCGTTCACTCGGTGGCCAATGGTGCCCAGGCTGGAGTGCAGTGGCGTGATCTCGGCTCGCTACAACCTCTACCTCCCAGCCGCCTGCCTTGGCCTCCCAAAGTGCTGAGATTGCAGCCTCTGCCCGGCCGCCACCCCGTCTGGGAAGTGAGGAGCGTCTCTGCCTGGCCGCCCATCGTCTGGGATGTGAGGAGCCCCTCTGCCTGGCTGCCCAGTCTGGAAATTGAGGAGCGTCTCTGCCCGGCCGCCATCCCATCTAGGAAGTGAGGAGCGCCTCTTCCCGGCCGCCATCCCATCTAGGAAGTGAGGAGCGTCTCTGCCCGGCCGCCCATCGTCTGAGATGTGGGGAGCGCCTCTGCCCCGCCACCCGGTCTGGGATGTGAGGAGCGCCTCTGCCTGGCCGCGACCCCGTCTGGGAGGTGAGGAGCGTCTCTGCCCGGCCGCCCCATCTGAGAAGTGAGGAGCCCCTCCACCCCGAAGCCGCCCCATCTGAGAAGTGAGAAGCCCCTCCGCCCGGCAGCCACCCCGTCTGGGAAGTGAGGAGCGTCTCCGCCCGACAGCCGCCCTGTCCGGGAGGGAGGTGGGGGGGTCAGCCCCCCGCCCGGCCAGCCGCCCCGTCCGGGAGGTGAGGGGCGCCTCTGCCCGGCCGCCCCTACTGGGAAGTGAGGAGCTCCTCTGCCCGGCCAGCCGCCCCGTCCGGGAGGGAGGTGAGGGGGTGGTCAGCCCCCCGCCCGGCCAGCTGCCCCGTCCGGGAGGTGAGGGGCGCCTCTGCCCGGGCGCCTCTGCCCGGCCGCCCCTACTGGGAAGTGAGGAGCCCCTCTGCCCGGCCACCACCCCGTCTGGGAGGTGTGCCCAGCGGCTCATTGAGAACGGGCCATGATGACAGTGGCAGTTTTGTGGAATAGAAAGGGGGGAAAGGTGGGGAAAAGACTGAGAAATCGGATGGTTGCCGTGTCTGTGTAGAAAGAAGTAGACATGGAAGACTTTTCATTTTGTTCTGTACTAAGAAAAATTCTTCTGCCTTGGGATCCTGTTGATCTGTGACCTTACCCCCAACCCTGTGCTCTCTGAAACATGTGCTGTGTCCACTCAGGGTTAAATGGATTAAGGGCGGTGCAAGATGTGCTTTGTTAAACAGATGCTTGAAGGCAGCATGCTCGTTAAGAGTCATCACCACTCCCTAATCTCAAGTACCCAGGGACACAAACACTGCAGAAGGCCTCAGGGTCCTCTGCCTAGGAAAACCAGAGACCTTTGTTCACTTGTTTATCTGCTGACCTTCCCTCCACTATTGTCCTATGACCCTGCCAAATCCCCCTCTTCGAGAAACACCCAAGAATGATCAATAAATAAATAAATAAATAAATAAAAATTAAAAATAAAATAAAATAAAATAATAAAGTAAAAAAAAAAAAGAAAGAAAATGCCACCGTTGTCTTTCTTTCCACATCTGCAAAATGACCCTGGCTCCACGTGGGCACAGACTGACTCCACGTGGGCACAGATTTACTTTTTTTTTTTTTTGAGACAGAGTCTCGCTCTGTTGCCAAGCTGGAGTACAGTGGTGTGATCTCAGCTCACTGCAACCTCCAACTCCCTGGTTCAAGTGATTCTCCTTCCTCAGCCTCCCGAGTAGCTGGGATTACAGGCACGCACCACCACGCCCAGCTAATTTTTGTATTTTTAGTAGAGACGGGGTTTCACCACGTTGGCCAGGATGGTCCTGATCTCTTGACCCCGTGATCTACCCTCCTTGGCCTCCCAAAGTGTTGGGATTACAGGCCTGAGCCACCATGCCCAGCCCAGATCTGCCTTTTTAAGGCTAGATTTTGATGTCATTCCCAAATGTGCCAAAGATCTAGAAGAAGCCACATAAAAGAGAATGGAGAGGAAAATACTACCCAATCCTTGTTTCTCAAGGCCTGGAAAAGGAGTAGTAAATGGAATTGTGGAACACTGAGTAGTCTCCTTGGGGAGAAAAAAGACATCCACTATCTGGCTAGCTTTGGATTGTGTTGGGGAGAGTCCAAAATCAGACAAAGGATGCCTGAGAAATAAGATATAGCCCTTAAGTATTCTGTTTTCCAAAATGTCTGCAATTTAATTAAACAACAGGGTTGATCTACCTCTTGAGGAGCTATTTTTAATTAAACTTTACATTTGCATTTCTCCTCTCTGCTCTGTGGGGGCATTCCAGGGTAGCAGAGGGAGCAGTCATCTGGTCACACAGGATAGTCTGGGAAAGTCCCATTTCTGAGTTAACAGAATTCTTAAATGTGACTCCTATTGAATCTTCATTTTCACCAATATTCTCAGTAGTGTTGGTAAAACTTGTGTTATGTTATTTATTCTTTTGTGGCCTGTCTGCAAAATACCTCTTCTATATGGAACTCGAACATTGACTAAATTTCTGGTCAAGTTTCAGTTCGTCCATCTATAAAATAGTGCCACAAATCTCACTCTTAATACAGAATTGTTTTTATGCTTTGGGTTAGGACCAAAAACTCATGACAATGTGTGTGGCATGATATCTCAGGCATGGTAGCAAAATTTGCGAAAAGTCAAGATACCAGTCACGCTGTGTATTAGTCTGTTTTCACTCTGCTGTTAAAGACATACCCGAGACTGGGCAGTTTACAAAAGGAAGAGGTTTATTTGACTTACTGTTCCACATGGCTGGGGAGGCCTCACAATCATGGTGGAAGGCAAGGAAGAGTAAGTCACATCTTACATGGATGGCAGCAGGCAAAGAGAGAGCTTGTGCAGAGAAACTCCCATTTTTGAAACCATCAGATCTCGTAAGACCCATTCACTATCATGAGAACAGCACGGGAAAGACGCACCACCTGATTCAATTATCTCCCACAAGGTCCCTCCCACAACACGTGGGAATTATGGGAGTTACAAGATGAGATTTGAGTGGGGACACAGAGCCAGACCATATCACCCCGCAATGAAAGGAAGAAACGACCACTGGGGACATTGCTTGAGTATGACATATTTTTAATCCTTAGTGTGAAGAGAACCCCATCTAGGATAATGAGGACATCAAACTACTATGTAGACATTATTCTCACAAACTACTCATGTTCTAACTTAAAGAGACTTCTAGGCAATGAAAAAATAAATGGGCAAACTGATTGACCAGGAAGGTCAAGGTGGATGAGGAAAGACGGGTGTGTATTAATGAAGTAGTAATTGTCTTTCTATAACACTGGCTGTAATAATTTGAAACTGTGTGGCCATTTTGTGTTTTGGAGAAACATACAGCACAAAAACCATGTTCCTGCTGAATCCTCTATGCAGATATACACAATCCAAATGCCTCCATGTAAACTCTTGGAAATGGTGAGTCAGAACAGCATAATTTCAGATTGAAAACAAAATATGCCAAAGGAACTCAGCTTTTTTTTTTTTTTTTAAGACAGGGTCATATATTTGTTTTCCTTTTTGTGACTTCAGTAGTACTAATGTGACTTCAATAATACTAATACGGCTGGGCGCGGTGGCTCATGCCTGTAATCCCAGCACTTTGGGAGGCCAGGGCGGGTGGATCACCTGAGGTCAGGAGTTCAAGACCAGCCTTATCAACAAGGTGAAACCCTGACTCTATTAAAAATACAAAAATTAGTTGGGCGTGGTGGCAGGCACCTGTAGTCCCAGCTACTCAGGAGGCTGAGACAGGAGAATTGTTTGAACCTGGGAGGCAGAAGTTGCAGTGAGCTGAGATCTTGCCACTGTACTCCAGCCTGGGTGACAGTGTGAGACTCTGTCTCAAAACAAACAAACAAATAATAATAATAATAATAATAATAATAATAATATCTATTCACCTAAGAATACTTTTTCAAGACAATATTAACATTTTCAGACTGGTTTTCTAGTTCAATAAAATTTCACTTCATACATAAGCAAAACAGTCAGTAAGAAATCCATGAATGTCAAATTTTAGAAGTAGTTTAGTAAAACAGTCTTGTATTCTTGAAGATAAAGTTAACATCACGATGCAATTGAAATGTGCATTACATGGATAGCAAATCTAATCACTGCTTGAATAAGAAACAGAAAAATGCTTTATTGTAGATTTACCATTATGCTTGCTGCTAATGAATTTTTGCAAGTCGCTACAGATAATGACGGGCTCTGCTTACAGGAGGAATATGCACCAACTGCAGTGGAGCAGATTCTTTTGAATGTAAAACTTTGACCATGGGATTAGTGAATGAACTCTCAGCACTTTCCTCTTTTCAAACTCCTGCAAAATGTTGGCCCATATAGCATCCTCTTTGAAGTACAAGTATTGTGTGGATGTACTCAGGGTTCCATGTGATTCTAATAATATTAATTCTTTTTTAAGATTATCACTGAAATTAAAATATAATATTACCTGCCCCCCACAAAAAAAAGAAGACTCCAGGCCCCTGAGAAAACATGCAGCCCACAGCTTGAGAAATATCACCGTATAGAATGCTGCTCTATCAGGCCACCTCCCAGTGGATAGAACAGCAGCAACACAGGGTTGGGATGGAGAGGCCATCTCCAAGCCCCAAGAACAGGCTTCTTTCCATTCTTTTCTGCCTCACCGCTTGTCATCACATGTTCTCATCAGTGGATGGACCAAGCCATTGCCAATCGGCTCCTGCCTGGCTGCAGAGGGGCCATCGTCCACCTTTACCAGATGGTGGTGATGAAGACAAGGCTAAGGAACTCTGGGCATTGCGTCTCTCACTTTGCCGTGCACACTGTTCCCTGCAGCTGGTGCCCAAATGCACATTCTGACTCTGTAGGCCTGGAGTGGGGCCCGAGACTCTGTTTTTTAAACAAGCTCCCAGGTAATCTATCCAATGCCACTGACTCAGGACTCACATTTCAAGAAGCAAGCATCTAAGACCTGCTGGGTTTCCTTCTAGAAATAGCCTTAGAGGAGGCCAATTTTCCATCTTTTGCCTCAAGTTATTAGAAAATTGCCTTAACCTTGTGTTTTACTTGGGCCTGAGGCATTTTGGCTTCTATGAAATAGAGCAGGGAATTATTAAGTAGATTAAACAGATTCCAAGATTACTTCAATCTGAGAGAAAGCAAAGTTTCACTAGACTCAGAGGGTATTTATATTACAGGAATTTTTCATACCACTAGTTGGCATGAAGTTTCAATAAGAGTAACAGCACAAGAATCAATATATCAAACTCTAGAAACCCTAAATTAATTATAAATATACTTGGGGAAAAAATCAATAAATCAAACAATTTAGAAGCAAATGAAATGATTTTGTTTTCCTTTTGTGGTTGGATTTCAGTGACTGCCAAAAGCTTTAAGGTGCCTTTATATCAGCCTATTTCTATACTGATATTAATGGCTAGGAAATATTTTGATTTTTAATTAAATGCTACATATTGTTGGCAAAAACTAATGACAAAGCTATTTCCTTCATGTGAAGCCTATGAAAATCCTGAATTGTTGTAAATGGAAATCCAAGTCACCGTAGTTTTAGCAGATGGTGGGTTATTTTCCTTACATAGCAAAATTTCTGGAGATAGACAACCTAGAACCAGCAGGTTGGTGATGTCCTGGTCACTGTCTTGGCAATTCTCCAGGCCTTCTTCTCATCATCACACAATGGCTACCTCTGTTTTAGATGTCAAGTTTGCATTTAAGGCAGGAAGAAGGGGGTTGAGGACAGCATCAGCCTTATCCATCCATTTAACCAGGAGAGCCAGACGTTTCCCAGAAGTCCCTAGCAGACTCCCGCCGATGTATCATTGGCCAAAACTATCAAAGGACCACCCTGCAACCTTCCATTAAGGAAGGCAAGGGAAAAGTTTGGAAATAGATCATGGATTAACCCTCTAATTATTTTTATGTCTCAAACTTCTGTTTAACTGAAAAGCAGAATATTGTTTATTTCTTTTTTATACTACCTCTTCTTGACAGAAATTGTGGTAGTTTTAAAAAGTATGGGATGCTGGGTGCAGTGATTCATGCCTGGAATCCCAGCACTTTGGGAGGCTGAGGTGGGAGGACCGCTTGAGCCCAGGAGTTTGAGACCAGCCTGGGTGATATAGTGAGACCTCATCTCTATTAATTAAAAAAAAAAGTAGGGGAGATACATGACATTCTTGAAAGGAACCTTGGGGGTCTAGAAATTTCTGGTTATGGAAAGTGAAAAATATTATCCAAAGCTTCCTCCTAAGAACATGTGAAGTTGTCCTAAAGTGAAAAGATCACATGGTCGTCAACAAAGGTCATCAAGGCATTCTTGATGGTTTCATCTCCCTAAATCCTCTTCTGAGACTCCAGAATTTAGCAGGGAAGCTTATCTTTCTCGTGTTTAGAGCCAATTCAGAGCTTTTACAAGGAGAGCTTCCAAAAATACAGTGTTATGCAATACCACAGAGTTCCCTCTCCTAGGCCCCTGGTCCTTCCCTGGTCTCATCTCAGCAGGCCACTATTCCCAGTGGGCTCACATGCTGTGGGGGCCTCAATGCAGCAGAATTTCACCTTTCTGCAAGCACCAGTTAAGACCACCTCATTAAGGAACTCAGAGAGAATGTTGCAAAGATTCCAGCACTTGTTCAGTCTTTGATTCCTCGACTTCCTCCTTATTTTGATGTTCTGATATCATACAGTAGTTCTTAGCATTAAACTTTGCATATTTGATATATTTTGAACTTGACATGGATTCTTGGCTTTAACTACCTTAGATTTTAATTCTTTCTTTCTTTCTTTCTTTTTTTTGAGATGGAGTCTCACTCTGTCACCCAGGCTGGAGTGCAGTGGCACGATCTCAGCTCGCTGCAACCTCTGCCTTCCAGGTTCAAGCGATTCTCCTGCCTCAGCCTCCCGAGTAGCTGGGATTACAGGCACGTGCCACTGCGCCTGGCTAATTTTTTGTATTTTTAGTAGAGACGGGGTTTCACTATTTTAACCAGGATGGTCTTGATTTCCTGACCTCGTGACCCACCCACCTCAGCCTCCCAAAGTGCTAGGATTGCAGGCGTGAGCCACCGCGCCCAGCCAATTTTAATTCTTTTAATAAACATTAGTGTTCTGAGTGACTAGTTCTAAAGAAGGGTTCATTTGACTCCTATACAATTGTCTGTGTGAAGAGTATTCTGTTTTCTAGATTTACTAGGAGTTCTGCATTTCTTATCTTCTTACAGAACTGTGAAGTGGGATGGTTGCTTTTATGATGTTAGGCTAACCTATTAATATATTTCTTAGTGTACTTGATCTTTAGGCAGTGCTAGAAAGGATGCCGGGGTTCTAGGTCACAATTCATGCCTGGTGCCTGCCACTCACAGACATCACCCTCAAACATGATAGAAAATATTTAACCACATGTCAAGCCTTCTTTTCATTGTGTCTAGGACCTACATCACAGAGGAAGTACTGGATTATAATCACATGAAATTGTAATTTCAATAGGAGAAAGTCTGTTAATACATATTTAAATCTATAACAGCATCTTTTTTTTTTTTTTTTTTTTTGAGACAGGTTCTTCCTCTGTAACCATGGTGGCAGTGCAGTGGCACAACCACAGCTCACTGTGCCTCGACCTCCTGGGCTCAAGGGATACTTCCACCTCAGCCTGCTGAGTAGCTGAGACTACAGGCATGTGCCACCATACCTGGCTAAATTTTTTTAATGTGTATTTTTGTAGAGATGGGGTCTCCCTATATTGCCCAGGCTTGTCTCGAACTTCTGTGCTCAGGTGGTCCTCCCACCTTGGCCTCCCAAAGTTCTGGGATTACAGGCATGAGCCACTGCACCTGACCTATAACAGCATCTTTTGGAGACCTATTTTAATGAGTTATTCTTCCAGAAGTATGTATATTTTAAAGAAGATGGGGAAAGAATTCAGAGATATAACTCTGAATGGAAAGAGTTCAGGTCTTGGGACACCTGCATGAAAAAAAGAATTTTAAGCAGGGAGTCCTGTCTGAGCCCTTTAAATCATGTTGCGTTGAAGGGTCAAGTGTGCCTACTTTACCAATCGTTATAAGAATTGGGCCCACCCACACAGTATGATCATAAAGGTCTTACCATGAGGGAAGCTACCCCAGAATAGCTTGAGGTAAACGTCTGGGGTAGGGGCGGTGGCTGAATTGCAAGGAAATAGCATGGAAGGAGGAAGGGAGAAGCTCTGAAGAGAAATTGAACCTGCTCCACAGTTCTTGGAGGAGCCCCCATGGTTCCTTCTATTAGAGACTTTTAGGCTGGGCACAGTGGCTCACACCTGTAATCCCAGCACTTTGGGAGGCCGAGGTGGGCGGGTCACCTGAGGTTGGGAGTTCGAGACCAGCCTGACCAATATGGAGAAACCCCATCTCTACTAAAAATACAAAATTAGCCAGGTGTGGTGGCACATGCCTGTAATCCCAGCTACTCTGGAGGCTGAGGCAGGAGAATCGCTTGAACCCAGGAGGCAGAGCCTGCAGCGAGCCAAGATTGCACCATTACAGACCAGCCTGGGAAACAAGAGTGAAACTCCGTCTCAAAAAAAAAAAAGAAAAAAACTTTTAGAGAGTAGAGAACTATAATTTCTGTGGAAAGAAATTGTGAATGAAAAATCAGATTTCAGAGCCAGGCATCGTGACTCACACCTGTAATCCCAGCACTTTGCAAAGCTGAGGTGGGAGGATCACTTGAGCCTAGGAGTTTGAGACCAGCCTGGACAATATAGGGAGACCCCATTTCTACAAAAAGCATAAAAATTAACCAAGCATGATGGCACACGCCTGTAGTCTCAGCTACTTGGGTGACTGAAGCAGAAGGATCACCTGAGCTCAAGAGGTGGAGGTTGCAGTGAACTGTGATCGCACCACTACACTCCAGCCTAGGCGACAGAGTGAGAGCCTGTCTCAAAAAAAGATTTCATCTTAACTGTCTCACACAGTGAACCAAAAAAGAGTAGATTTTGGGAGGGGACTCAACTTTCCTGATTTACTTTGACAAAACAAAATGTCTCCATTTCATACATGCTTATGATAGTGAAAATCCAAGCACTTCTTTCTAAACAAAAAGTATTTCATTAGCAAAGAATATGAATTGCAAAGAATGTGACCCACATATTTAAAGATGAAAAAAACTTAGAAAGGGTAGTATCAAGATATTTGGAGCTGGGCTCAGTGGTTCACGCCTGTAATCCCCTCACATTGGGAGGCTGAGGTGGGCGGATCACTGGAGGCCAGGAGTTCAAGACCAGCCTGGCCAACATGGCAGAAACCCCGGTCTTTACTAAAAATAAAAAATTAGCTGGGCATGGCGGTGCACACTTGTAGTCCCGGCTACTTGGGAGGTTGAGGCAGGAGAATCACTTGAACCCGGGAGCCAGAGGTTGCAGTGAGCCGAGATCACACCACTGCACTCCAGCCTGGGTGACAGAGAGAGACTCCATCTCAAAAACAAAACAAAACAAACGATATTTGGAAACGACAAAAGTTAGATGACTACTTAAATACATACAGTGGCAAAAATATACCCTTGCTGTTTGGAGCAACAAAGTTGTGTCAGCTTATGGAACAAGGAAATGATGGATCTCTAAACATACTCCTTTGATGAGCTACAGCTGGTGGCTCTGTTCTGGTTGTGGCATTTCAGAGTGTTTTTATGGGTGCTCTTCTGCTAGCATGCCAAGAGTTGCATGTGCACCAACTGCTGGGGCTTGGGTGGGTTTTTTTCCCCCAAACCAACTGTGGCCCTCTGATCTCCTAGGAGTCACGAAATCACAATCTTTGCATTGAAAAGGACTTGAAAAGTTCTCTAGTGAGATGGTTTCTAACCTTTTTGATCATGAAGATCCCTTTTAACCTTAAAAGAACAAAGGCTGCAAGTCTTCCCCATGATAGTAGTTGCATTTTTAATATCTGAGCTTCGAGAAAATGCAAAATGGGAAAAGACTTTTATAAATTCAGTGACATCCATAATTAATTTGTACTTTATTAATCATAATGGCATTACATAATTTCAAAAGGAACAGTATACACACTTGCCAGACACATATTTCATTCCCTCTAAAGCAACACCACTTGTGCACATGAATTCACAAACCCCTTCTAATAGCTCTACTGCTCACCACCCCATCCCTGAAGATCTTTTATTCACAAATTGGGAGAACCTGCCCCAGATAAATGACCCTTTATATATGCTACAACAATCCTGCCAAGCTGTTGTCCAGCTTGTACTTGAAATCTTTCAGTGACAGGGAACTCACTACTCAAAAACGTATCTCATTTTTGAATCATTTTATTCATATTAAATTATTGAGTTCAATATTTGAACTCAATCTTGAACTCAAGTTACTATTACTTACCTAACTTGCTCCTATCTCCTTAGGTTATATAGACAAATACAAACCTTCTTCAAATCTATGGACAACATGGATGCCCTCTCTGAGCCATCTCTTATGCAAGCAAAACTTTCCAGGTTCCATGGAGTATTTCCGAGTTGGCGCTTTCTCCAAATTTTTAAATTTTAATATTTGAAGATCCTGTGATGATATTGCTTCTGAATCCAATCCTCCCCCTTTTTTTCACTGTCTTCTTTGATCCTTTTAATTTCACCCAATTGTAATAGAGCACTTGTTGTCCAGACTGTTGGGCACTACACCAGAAAGGGAACATTTCAAGTATTGCCACATAAGGGTAGAAAATAGATAAGATTTTGGCCGGATGCGGTGGCTCACACCTGTAATCGCAGCACTTTGGGAGGGTGAGGCGGGTGGATCACTTGAGGACAGGAGTTCCAGACTAACCTGGCCAACATGGTGACTGTCTGTCTCTCCTAAAAATACAAAAATTACCCAGGTGTGGTGGCGGGCACCTGTAATGCCAGCTACTCAGGAGGTTGAGGCAGGAGAATTGCTTGAACCCAGGAGGCGGAGGTTGCAGTGAGCCAACATGGCACCACTGCACTCCAGCCTGGATGATAGATTGTGACCCTGTCTCAAAAAAAAAAAAAAGAAAAGAAAAAGAAAACGGAAACAGATTTTGTTTCTCTGTGTCTCAGAACAAGAATTTTTTATTTATTTATTTTTATTTTATTTTTTGTTTTTTGAGATGGAGCCTAGCTCTGTCGCCAGGCTGGAGTGCAGTGGCGTGATCTCAGCTCACTGCAACCTCTGCTTTACAGGTTCAAGCGATTCTCCTGCCTCAGCCTCTCGAGTAGCTGGGATTACAGGCAAGCACCACCATGCCTGGCTATTTTTTTGTATTTTAGTAGAGATGGGGTTTCACCATGTTGGCCAGGATGGTCTTGATCTCCTGACCTTGTGATCTGCCTGCCTCAGCCTCGCAAAGTCCTGGGATTACAGGTGTGAGCCACCGCACCCAGCCCAGAACAAGAATTTAAAGGCAGAAGGTTTTGTTTTCCTCCTTACCACTTCCATTTCCAATCTCATTTACTCAGTGCTGCGCTGTGCAGAAGCGGGCCGCAGGAGCAGCAGGGCTGGGGCTAGAGGATGTGAGTTCAAGTCCAGGTGGTGCCTCAGTGACCTTAACTGCTCCGAATCTGTTTCATCATCCTTAACACCGAAAAAGTAATTCAGATGCAACTGATTTGCATAATACTTTAGTATTTACAACATATTTCCCCACACGTTATCTCTCTTTTACATGCTCTACCTCCCTGCGTTCCTCCTAAGTCATTGTGAAAAGCAGGGAGATACTGGAATTAATCTACCTGATCCTCTTTGACCCAGTGGCTGCATTCCCACCTTGCTGGGTACTGGATGTGGTGTTCTCTTACCACTGAATTTGCTTTTGCATTCCTTGATGCTCTGGTTTGCATTTTAAATTATTTTCTCATCACCAACCCTACAGAAATAATATAGCCTCTTTCAATTAAAAAAAAAAAAGAGGCTGTTTGGTCTAAACTTTTTCAACTTCCTTCCCAACCTTTGTCAAAATGAATGCTCTTTTTACCATCCTGACCCCCTTTCTGTCTCAGAGGAAGCTTCACCCTTCATTCTTTCCAGAGCTAATCCCCCTCCCTGGGATCTTGATCCTTGATTTATGACTCTTCTCCCCTCTTTCCTCTCTCTTCTCACTGGCATGTCTCTGACTTATATACATGCTTAACGATATGATTTGGCTGTGTTCTCACCCAAATCTCATCTTGAATTGTAGCTCACATAATTCCCACATGTCATGGGAGGGACCTGGCAGGAGGTAATTGAATCATGGGGCAGGCCATTCCCATGCTGTTCTTGTGACAGTGATTAAGTTTCACAAGGCCTGATGGTTTTATAAAGGGGAGCTTCCCTACATACGCTCTTTCTTGCCTGCTGCCATGTAAGATGTGACTTTGCTCCTCCTTGCCTTCCACCATGATTGTGAGGTCTCCCTGGCCAGGTGGAACTGTGAGTCTATTAAACCTCTTTCCTTTTTAAATTACCCAGTTTGGGTATGTCTTTATTAGCAGCACGAGAACAGACTAATACACTTAATTCCTATATTCCCTAAATAAAACACACGACCTTTTCATGGCCACACCCAACTTGCTCCCCTGCCCATCATTGCTCTTGGTCAGACCTGGGGCCCCAAGTTGCTGGGAGACAGCTGCTGCCCTTGCCTCAACATTTCTCAATTTGTTAAAGTCCTGGAGGCCGGGCTCTTGCTCCTTGGTTCTGACCAGTCCCCTTCTTCACATCACAATCTCCCTCAGAACTCCAACCCTTTCCTGCTCCTGGGCTGGTGGCTGGGAGCTCAGGAGCCCTGTGCTTGTTTGTCTCAGGCTTGACTTTCTTCCTAGACCAGATGAACCTGCTACCTGAGGACAGACGTCTCTGACCCAAGGCAGAATGTTACAGAGGAAAGAATCAGGGCTTTGAGGTTCCACAAATGTGGGTTCAAATTCTGCCCTCTCAGTTGGATTTGGGCAGTTCCTTGGCTCTCTGAGCCTCACTTTCCTCATTTTTAAATTATACCTTGCAAAGATGTTCTGAAGCTCAAACAAGATAATGAAGGTGAAGCATCCCCCCCACCAAAAAAAAGCCTCTAAGAAATGGCAGCTCTTGTTAGAGCTAAGTTCTCTGGACTACAGAAAACTGACTCCCGCACTCCCCACCAGCATAGCCTCTATCCCACCTCTCCACCAGTCAACTGTTTCCAGAGCTGAAGCTGCACCGTGGCGTGAACATCTCCCCCCGGCAATATGGCTGGTGTGTGTGACCATGCTTAAGTCAGCAATCTCTTCACTTTGTACCTCTCCATTTCACGCACCTCGACTCAATCAGCTGGGTCTATTTGCACAGTTTCTGTTTTGTCTAAGTAAGTGGACCACCCCACCCTCAGCTTCACGACACATAATGTCTCAAATCTTGGCCATAGATCATGACTTGTTCCTTAGAACCTAACTTGCTCTCTCAAAGGCCAGAGTTCATTCTCTGAATTGCTCAGCCTGGTTTGTACCTCTCTGTATCATGTCAGTCTGCAGACTGGCTTTTAAAATCTCTCCCATTGCTGTGACTGATTTCGGTCTAACTCCCTTCTTGCTCTGCCTGTCCTCATGCCCACTCCCTCTGTCTTTTTATACTTTCTTGCATGAGCAATTTCATGCACTTCAACAAACTCCAGCCATGTCTATATGCTGGTAACTTCCAAATCACTGGTCTAGGCCCTTCCTAACTCCATGCTCATGTTTCTAGTGGTCTGTCACACGTGTCCAGAGAGCCTTCAAACCGTACCTCCAACAGCATCTCATTCCTTCCTTTCTCTTGAGTTCTCTGACTCAGTGAATGGCTCTGACTTAGTGAATGGAACCACCACCCACCCACCCACGCTCAAAGCAGAAACTTCACTTACCCCTGACCTGCTCTTTACCTATTGCCCCAATCCCATTCCATCTGTCTCTATTTTTACTTGTTTCCCATCATTTCACAATGCTTGGTTCAAACTCAGTCAAACTGGTCTCCCTTCTGTCTGCTGGGGCCAGAGATATCCTTTTAAAATGGAGAACTCACATTGTCACCTTGCCTGAATGTCTGTGGGAAGTGTTTTTTTGCCAAAATCATCAGTAAGGCATTCCATGCCCCTCACAATTGGGCTCCAATTTGTCCTTTCATGCTCACCCCTTGCTGAAAGTCCCTTGGACCCAGGCTGAGTGGTATGTGGCCTCTGTTTAGCTTGCAATTTCAGTTCATTAACCGATCATTTTCATTCACAGGCTCTCTCCTCTGCCAAATAACCCAGTTCTGCTTGAATTGTTTAGCATATGTAGGTGATTCAATCACAGAAAATTTCTTCTCGTGGATATTTTTAGTCATCAAATGACATAAACACTCTATACAATAATCATAGAGTTTATAAAAATCTTGAGGGAAACCTATAATTATCTGATGGCATCTCAGAAATATTTGAAAGAATTATGGCATAATGACATTACCAGAGTGAGTCTCAAAACTTTTTCCAGTTAGCATTGAACTTTTATTTATCCAAGCTAAGAGGAGGAAATGGCATAGATAACTCACAGCATTAAAGGCAGAAATACACACATTTTGTTGTATAGTACACTATATGACTTTTTTCCTTCTTGCAGAGTGACTTTTCTAATGAAGCTTTCATTAGGTTGATAAAAAATTAATTACTAATCCCAGACATCAGCAGTTAATGCTAAATTGGGGAGGGACCCAAAAGCATGGGCATTTTAGGCACCAGGCTGCCTGGGAGACCACATTTGCTACAGATAATATGAATTTACAATTATGATTTGGACTGAGAGTATGTTTTTCTGTCTTCACTTGGCTGTTGATTTGCTTATGTTTTATGCAACCATGTCTTCTGTCTTAGCTAAAAACTGTCATTAATGCTACAACCTGCTGCCTGATAGACACTCTGCACTGCTAGGCATACAGAAGGCTGATTATTTTTAGTTTCTTCGTCATTATGTGTGGGTCAGATATAAGGCAAATTCATACCCCAGAGTCTACAAAATACAGTCATTGTGGAAATGAGAGGTCATTCTATTTTTACTCACTTTCACTTTAATTGCAAATTGTTAGTGCAGGAATTTCCACAAAAGGGTTATGCAAGCATGCCCAAATTGCTTGAAATATTTTCCACTTCTCTGACTTCCCATGGGAAAAGCCACTAGGTTGCATTTGTGGCATCTCAGTTGGTTCGAGCAGCCTAATTGGGATTTAGAAGCTTTAAACTGCTCGGGTTTACAGATGGACACCCATGGACATCCAGGAACTCTTGTGTCCTCTCCCTCAGAATCTGGAAATGTGTGAATTACTCATGTAAAATACAGTCTGGATGATGGCAGCTAACATCCAACTTTTATTTATTTGTTCAATATCCCATTTTTATATTTATTTATTAAAATAATTTTTTTAAAAAAATTTGAACTGTTAGCCAGGAATTTCATCAGGAAGGAAGGTATACTGTGCTCTTTAAAAATAAGAAAAAAAAAGAGGAGCTCTTGTATGTGAGAAATATACTCTTGGGCACAGGTAACTATCCCGCCTCTTGGGCAGAAGCGCCTCATCACCCTGCCCCATCTGTGAGAGCCATCTAATTGCAAACACAGGTCCTTCACAATGCAGTGTACTAATGCAAAACAATTAATTAAAGCTCAGAGGAAAAGAGCTGTTTAAGATATATACTCGACTCAAGAAGTAAAACTCTTGCTGTGATCCTGCTTTAATTCCCTCTAGTGGTCTTTCTTACACACCCCCCTCCATGCACCCACGCAAATTTCATTTGTCCTAGTTTTCCATTTCTGTTATCTAACTTTCAAAGTAATTTAAACTAGACAGGGAAAAAAAGCCAGTGTAGGCAATTCTTTGTCTCTTAAACTTTAGAGTGCATCTAAGTCACTGGAGGATCTTGTTGGAGTACAGATTCTCATTCAGTAGGTCTGTGACCGACTGGGAAGCTCCGTTTCTACTGAGTTCCCGAGTATTCTGATGCTCGTGGTCATGGGCCACAATTTGAGTAGCAGGGGTCTAAACTATAGATACCCTCCCTGATGTGAATTTGGACTTCATTTTTTCGGGATCCCTATGTAGATGTGTCACCGTCTTACTTGCCTAGTGACTGATATAATTGGCATTCTACAGATATATCTTGCCTGCTTCACCTCTTCTCAAATCCATTTTTCTTCTTGGCCTTGCTATTCCCTCTGGAATCCTTGAGGAAATATATCAGTGTCTAGGCCTTTGATATATCACATAGGAATATGTTCAAGGCTGAGCACGGTGGCTCATGCCTGTAATCCTAGAACTTTGGGAGGCTGGGGCAGGAGGATCACTTGACACCAGGGGTTCAAGAACAGTCTGGGCAACACAGTGAGACCTTGTCTCTACAAAAATATAAAAGTTAGCCAGGCATGGTGCAATGCCTGTAGTTGCAGCTACTGGAGAGACTAAGGCAGGAGGAATGCTATAGCCCAGAAATTGAAAGTTGCAGTGAGCTATGATTGCATCACTGCACTGCAGCCTGGGCAAGACCTTTTTTTTTAGAGATAGGGTCTGGCTCTGTCTCCCAGGCTGGAGTGCAGTGGCGCGATCTCTGCTCACTGCAGCCTTGACCTCCCAGGCTCAAGCAATCTGCCCACCTCAGCCTCCCAAAGTGCTGGTATTATAGGCATGAGCCACCCCGACTTTCATATATATATATGAAATATATATATATATTTATTTTTTATTTTTTTGAGATGGAGTCTCGCTCTGTTGCCCAGGCTGGAGTGCAGTGGCATGATCCTGGCTCACTGCAACCTCTACCTCCCAGGTTAAAGCAATTCCTATGCCTCAGCCTCCCAAGTATCTGGGATTACAGGCATGCGCCACCACGCCTGGCAAATTTTTTGTATTTTAGTAGACACAGGGTTTTACCATGTTGCCCAGGATGGTCTCAAACTCCTGAGCTCAGTTAATTCAACTGCCTTGGCCTCCCAAAGTGCTAGGATTACAAGTGTGAGCCACTGCACCCAGCAAATTTTTTTTAAGGGCCATGTTTGAGACATAGACCCTTCTGACAATTTTTAAAACGAAATGACACATTTATTCTTTCCATTTTAACTGAACTATTGTGTGGCAGGGCAGTGTTTGGAAAAATGCACTGGGCAGGGAGGAACTTATGAGTCTGAAGCCGATATGCCTCAGTTTCCTTCCCAGTAAACAAAAAGGCAGAAGTTATTTAAGTGTGGATATGAATCCTCCAGTGATTTATATGCACATTAAAGTTTGAGAGGCAAACAAAGAATTGCTCACTTTGATAAGGCAGAATGTGGTTATATCTAAAGCCCCTTCTGGCAGGGTGCGGTGGCTCATGTCTGTAATCCCAACACTTTGGGAGGCCAAGGCAGGAGAATCACTTGGGCCCTGGAGTTCAAGACCAGCCAGGACAACACAGTGAGACCCTGTCTCAAAAAATTTAAAAAAAAATTGTTAAGCACCTTCCTACTCTAATCTTTTGAAATTAAATTCTGAATTGTTCATTTATTCATCTGGATGGATTCCTATGGGCTTGAGCCAATATATGCTCCTTTAGAAAGATAGTTCTGTTCATGTTGAACCCTGCTGAACTCATCAGGTTCCACTCCCACGACTATGCTCCCAAGAGCAGATTGCTTAGCCCATAAGAATAGTGAGATGGCATTACATCTTCATTAGTTCAAACCCATCTGTCTTACAGCTGGACTCTGAATGTCTGGACCTGGACTGTTTGGGGA
The DNA here is from genome assembly GCF_000001405.40 of Homo sapiens. Lineage (NCBI taxonomy): Eukaryota > Metazoa > Chordata > Mammalia > Primates > Hominidae > Homo > Homo sapiens. The sequence continues at coordinate 44,665,456 of NC_000013.11, read as the reverse complement.
AAAGAAGGCAGCCAGTAACGCTTATGTCTGGTTGCCAAGATTATAGGGCTTGGCTGGACTAGGCAAGACTTTACCTAAAGCACCTGAAATCAGCCCAACCCAAGACAGGAAGTAGAAATTAAATCTAAGAAGTGAAGCCAGAGATGAGAGCTGGAGGACTGAACTATCGAGGAAGTGAGGTGGAACCATAGTCAAGAAAACAAGATGTGTGGGCCAGGTGCAGTGGGTCATGCCTGTAATCCCATCACTTTGGGAGGTCGAGGCAGGCCAATCGTTTGAAGCCAGGAGTTCATGACCAGCCTGGCCAATATGGTGAAACCACGTCTCTACTGAAAATATAAAAATTAGCTGGGCATGGTGGTGGACACCTGTAATCCCAGCTACTGAGGGGGCTGAAGCAAACGAATCACTTGAACCCAGGAGGCGGAGCCTGCAGTGGACTGAGATGGTGCCACTGCTCTCAGCCTGAGCGACAGAGCGAGACTCTGTCTCAAAAAAACAAAAACAAAACAAAAAACAATAAAAAACAAAAACAAAAACAAAAAAACAAGATATGAACAGAAACCATGTTCTTAGGAGCACCTATACATATTTGCACAGTTTTGAATATGATGTCAAGAGGTTCAGGAATCCCCTAAGCCCCATGCAGACCCCTAAAGTTGATGGAAGTCAAGCCTGGAACTTCTGCTGGAGAAGAATGAAGGTTTTACGCAGCTAAAAGACCCTCCCTTTTTTCCCCTCTGGGACCCCTGCCCCCATCCCTGACACCTAATATTGGGACACAGAGGATCAGTCCATCAATACCCATTTTGAGATGGAAAACAGAAAACACCCAGGAGGCAAGGCACAGTATGTTTTTTGCCTTTGTCAACAATGGTCTTTGTCATGGGATTATGGAAAACAAGAAAGGATTGGCTGATGTGACCACTATTGAAGCCTGGAAAAATAGGCAGGTGCTTTAGAAATTGCCAGCTGATGAAAGAGCGCACAGAATTACCTTCCACCCAGTCCCATTGGCCCTTGGGAGCCTCTAATGATCCTTGAAGGAGATGTTAATAGCAAGGGCTGATTCTGAGCTTGAGAAGTCTTTTTTTCTTTTCTTTTCTTCTTTCTTTCTTTCAAGATTCCTTTCTTGTTTTTTCTGCTTCAAAATAGTGTATAGATCTGATATATAAGCAAAGCTTGGTGGGAAAGAGAGATTAGGGTCTCAAGGATAAAAATAAACATTCACCTGTCAAATGTTGATTCTAGTTTAATTTCCTGACAGCTTTATCCCATAAATAAGGGCTCCCAAGTTTCAATATCCTTTCAATATTTCAATATCCTTTGCAGTTTCTAAAAAAGAAATTTCACTGATGCAAGTTGTCGTAGCATGACAGAAGAGAACGGGAAAATCTGATGAGATCTCCCAATCCACTCACCTTTTAACGCTCTTTTTCTTTCCACTGCTTTCACTGGGCAGTCTCCCTTCTTAAAGTGACAGATTCACAGGGATCCATCCAGCATTTGAAACAGGATTCTCAACCTCTTTGTAGGGTAGAAGTCATCTTGCTGGGATCCACCTGTTCAGATCATGATTGACTTCTCAATATGTTGAGAGACAGAACGTTTGATAAGTAGCATGGTGATGCATTAAAAAATATGATCATTGATTACCAACTATATAGAAAAATTGTGGTGTAGTAGCATCAATTTTGACCTAACATCACCAGAATAGGTGTAATTATGGGGCAGGAATGGCAGGTTCATATTTCATCTGATTAACTTGTGAAAAAAACAATCATTTTGCAGCAGCCTTCACCTTCAGTTAGTTCAAAATGAGAGAGAAATAAGTTGAGGCCAGAATACAGGTTATTAGGAAATGTACAGAGGTGAAGACCCTGCAGTTGAGAGGAATATGGATGTTAAATTAATCCAAGCATCATCTGATAACAGTTATACAGAGGGTGTCTGTGCATACAAAGCAGTGGAGTTCTATAAGCCTATTCCTACAAATTTTGTTCGATAATTACTGCTCTTATTTGTAATCCCTTATACAAATAAGTTATATGAATCACACCATTCTTTTTTTTTTTTTTTTTTTTTTTGAGACAGAGTCTCCCTCTGTCACCAGGCTGGAGTGCAGTGACACGATCTCGGCTCACTGCAATCACCACCTCCCGGGTTCAAGTGAATCCCATGCCTCAGCCTCCCACGTAGCTGGGACTACAGGCGCACGCCACCGTGCCTGGCAAATATTTTGTATTTTTTAGTAGAGACGGGGTTTCACCATGTTGGCCAGGATGGTCTCGATCTCCTGACCTCGTGATCCACCTGCCTTGGCCTCCCAAAGTGCTGGGATTACAGGCGTGAGCCACCGCGCCCAGACGATTCACACCATTCTTAAGCAAATAAATGTAATTTTGTACAAAAAAGAAGGGATGGTTTGCTTTAAGATATGACTTATCTCAGTTACCTGTGGATAAGGAAGAAACCACAAAAGTCCAACATCTCAAACTCAGGGTCCAGCATCTCATCTCCCACAGCAGTAAGCAAACATCACACACAAAATGCCATCAAATTAATGTCACCACACTAATTGTTCTCTTTAGCAATAAAAGATAAGACATAATATAGATAGGAATTGAAATGAATCTATTTGGAGGGTTTTTTTTGACAAGCTTGTTGCTACTTAACTGTGTGGGCTTAGACAGGCACTTTGCATGTCTAGATCCTATTTCCTCATTTGTGAAATAAGAGGATTATATTTACAAGACTTAGCATTTATTGCACATTTTAACGGTGTCAAGCACTGTGCCTGGCATTTTAATGCATTGCCTTTAATCCTTAAAACAACTTTCTGAAGTAGATATTATTATCTCCACATTACAGAAAGGAAAGTTGAGGCCGAAAGAAGTGAATTAACTTGCCAGAAGAGACGTTAAGAAACCAATGATGCATCTGCAATTGGAATCCTACTCTTTGGGGATCCAAGATATGGTCCTTGTCCTTAAGGTGCTTGTATGCATTTGGGAGGACTGCTGTAATAATGTACCTCAAACGGAATGGCTTTTACAACAGCAAGTGATTATCTCTCAGTCCTGGAAGCCAAGATTAAGGTGTTGGCAGGGTTGGGTCATTCTGAGGCCATGAAGGAGAATCTGTTGAATGCTCCTCTCCTTTCTTCTGGTGGTTTTCTGGTAATCTTTGATGTTTCTCGGCTTGTGGCAGCATAACTCCAATCTTTACATGGGGTTCCTTCTGTGTGCATGTCTGTGCCCAGGTTCTCATTTTTATGATACTAGTCATATTGGATTAGGGACCTACCCTGCTCCAGTATGATGTCATCTTAACTAATTTCATCTGCAATGATGTTATTTCCAAATAAGATCACATTCTGAGGTACTGGGCATTAGGACTTCAACATATGAAGGTTTTGGGGGAGAGGAGAGTGAGGGGGTACACAATTCAATCCATAATAATGCGTATAAACTTGTTAAGGCTTCGAGATCAAAGTGCACAAAGTTAACTAACAGACTAAGCAACAGTTCCAGATGACACTATATGTCAGAGGGCATGAATGTTTGCTTCACGGGGTAATCAGTGCTAGTTCTTTAGAAGCCTGAGATAATACATTCAGCTGAGATGATCGGAGAATGGCCCACACTGTGATGGGGTTTGAACCAAGTATCATACAGAGACAAAGAAGGGGTGTTCTGCGTGTGCAAGACAGCTACATTTGTTAGAAGTTATGAGATACGTAAAGAAGTGGGGATGTTGTCCCTGCCATCAAGGAGCTCACAGTCTAGCTCTATAGACAGAAATCAAACTTGAGAAAAGTGAACTATCAAGGCAAAGGCTTGAAACATGACTAAGCCACATGGATGTGGGTGACCATGCATTAAGGTGAACCACAGCGGCCACATGAGTGACAGAGGCCAAGGTGAGCCCCAGTGCTTTGTGCGATGTTCGAGGTGAATAGTGACGTGGCCTGGACTTTTCAAAGGGTGGGCTTTGGATAGGAGAAGAGCAGGGAGAGGGGTTTCCAGGGAAAGAATGTGCTGTACACAAAGGGAGTAAAACTCCAGGCCTAACTGAAAGCCATTGGATGTGGTCATTGGGTGGAAGCACCAGGTCCTCATGGGGAAATGCTCCAGGTTTAAGAGTGGAAAAGCTGCCTGGCTGCCTCCATCTTTCCAGAATCCTGTTCCTAAGCTGCTGTCCTAGGAAGGCATTCACCAAAGTAGGTAGTCAAAACTTTTGGTCTGTAGGACATTGTAGGGTGTTCCTCAATTAAAAAGAAAAAGGTTACAGGCTTAATAAGTGCAGGAAATAATAGATTAATCAATGATACAATTTAATTCAAGTCCTGGTGCGACTCAGATGGCGTACTCAAAGTGAGTAATTTTAGGACAGTTTAGTAAATGACTGTGCAGGGTTTGAAGAAACCACAAAGGAGAGTACAGTGGCATTGGACTGGTACCAGCCAGGAGCTTTTAACCACCCAAATGGCTGAGGGATGCGGGAGAGAAAGATTACCTCAGAGAGATGCCCAACAGGACCTGTGTGCTTGACTTGAGGGGCACAGGCAGCCCACGATGACTGGACAGGGCAGGGCTGGAAAATAACATGCCCGCCTCATTCTCCTCCCTCCCTCTGACCTCCCATTGCCACTCGATGGCGAAACGCCCCTGCCTTTGGGCCACTTGAGACCCAAAGGAAGGAGGACCCATGGATAGAGAGCATCATGGCAGCCTCCAGGGCACAGAACAGGGTGGGGACGATGCACAGTGGTTGTGGAGGGATGAGATGGAGGGATGAGATGAACGGATGGCTCAGCACAAAGTTCCTTCATGGGAGGACTTCTTAGTACAAACCATCCAAAAAGGGGCAATGGAAGGCAGTATTCCTAAACTAGTTTTAGCATAAAACTCCTTTTTTGAAGGAGGACCAGCGATCAAAGGAAACCACTTTGGGAAGCTTCAATCTATGGGATGAAATCCAAGCCTCTCATATCAGGCAAGCTGCTTTCAGATGAAAGTGTCAGAACCCAATCTCTAACTGAAACAGAGAGAATGTGTTGGTTTACCCGTAACTGACAAGCCCAGGAGAGGAGCATTGATTCTGGCATGAGTGGAAGTGGGAGCTCCGACAATGATCAGAACTGTCTGTCCCTCCAGCTTTGCACACTGCCTGCCTCAGCAACGTGTCATCCTGCATGCCAGCTCTCACCACAAGCTGGGCAATACCATCATGACTGCCCCACACCCACATCCTCCGGCTCAGGAACCCCAATGAGGAAGGCACCTCCCTCTCCCATGTCTACACACAGATCCCTTGACGATTCTGAGTGCTCCTGCTTGGCTGAAGGCTTCATGTCGGAACAGTAACTGCCATTAGTTATGCCCAACCCTCTGGAAGTGGGGAGGGTGACTGACCCGGTTTTCACAGACCCACCAGGACCATGTGAGGTGAGAAAGGACTACTCCAAAGAAACAGAAAAAAGGGGTCATGAGAAAACACACAGACTTTAGTGGAAACTAAAACTATAGCTACCATGATCTACCATATTTCTTTGCAGGACATTCATGATTTCCCCCCCAGTTTGGCCACAAATTGTAAATTCCAGTACTCGCTGCTCTCTTGTAAGACCTCTCTGCTCCCCTGTAAGACCTCCCTGCTCCATCCAGCTGGGCTGATCTGCTTACTATTCCTTGAACACACCATACATTTCCATATTTGTTCCTTAGGCCCTTTTTTGATTTGAATTCTGCCTCATCCAAATCAAGTCTCGAGGCTGCAACAGGCTAGGCACTATGGCTCACGCCTTTAATCCCAGCACTTTGGGAGGCCAAGACAGGAGGATCACTAGAGGCCGGGAGTTCGCCATTAGCCTGGGCAACATAGTGAGACTATGTATCTATGAAAAATTTTAAAAATTAGCCAGACATGGTGGTATGCACCTGTAGTCCCAGCTACTTGGGAGGCTGAGGTGGGAAGATCACTTGAGCACAAGAGGTTGAGGTTACAATGAGCTATTATATGATCGTGCCGCTGCACTCCAGCCTAGGTGACAGAGTGAGACTGTCTCTAAAAAATAAAATTAAATAAAATAAAATAAGACTGCAACAGAATCTGTCCACTGAGTGTACATTCCTTTACTCCAAACTGCAGTTCTTGTTTTCCCTCCTTGTAACTCCTATTGTATAAAAACTTCTGCACCATCCATTTGATATTTATTACAATCACCTTTTTTTGTTGCTCTGTGTGTGTGTGTGTGTGTGTGTGTGTGTGTGTGTGTGTGTCCTGTACCTCTACAGACATAACAAGATTGTAGCCTCCTTGAGTTCCACAGCATCATCTTTATACTCTTTGTATCTTTCTTGCTTGGCACATTCTAAGTGCTAATATAATGTGCTTGGTTGTACTTCAAAATTTCAAGGCTAGCCTCCCACCTTTTCCTGCTTGCCTGCATATTTATCTGTTTTTTATGTCCTCTGCTGACTGATAGAGTGGCTTTGAAAAACGTTCTTACCTTAGTTGGGTCCCAGTTTCCCATCAAGTGAGTGAGCAATGCTGATATTGTGGAAAAGAATAGCCCATTCATTCATTGATTCATTCATTTATTCACACATTCAGCACCTACTGAGCACCTTCTATGAACAATAGACTATGTTAGTGCTGTGAAGCAAAAAAAATGAAAAACAGATGTGTCCTAAGGATATTCAAAACCCTGTATGAAATATAAAATAAAAATAAAATTTTTAAAAGACAAGGTAGAAATGTCAAGACATTTTACCAACCTCCAGTAGACTGGAATTTGGGAACATCCAACAAAGCTACATATAAGTTGACCTCTTGACCCAGCACTGCCACTTCTAAGAATTTACCATGAAAAGAGGCCTCCAAATATATGAAACAACATACTTACAAGAGCTTTCATTGTAACAATTTTGTAATAGAAAAATTAGGAAACAACCTAAATGTCTATCCTTAGAAGACTGGTCGAATAAATCATGAAACATGATTCATTATTATGTAATAATTATAAATTATTTTAAATGTTATTTAATTAATTATATTAATCATAAATTATTATGATTTATTCTACATTATGGAATACTATGCAACCCTAAAAAATACTGAGGAAAACTGTTATGGGTTAAGTGGATTAATTTCCAATATATATAGTTGGGAGAAAAAAGAAGCAAGGTACAAAAGTGCATATAATGTGCTACCTAGGAAGTATTTGTGTTAAAAATGTGAATCTAATCCTGAGTAAATGATCAGATGAATCAGAATATGGTACATTCTACAAGACAACTGTTGTGGGTCCTAAAATATAAAAGACAAAAATAAAAATAAAAGAGAATGTCATTTAAAAAATTAAAATTAAGGGTATATTCTAAATAAAAGAGACAGAACAACTAAATTCGAAGCATGAAACTTGATTGGCTCTTATGTTTAAAAAAATAAAATTAAAAGGCAGATTGAATACAATTAAGAAAAATTAAATATGGACCACTATTAGATATTATTAAATTGATCCTAATTTTCTTGTGTAATAACATTGTTGAGGTTGTGTCATAGCAAAACGAAACATGAAGATAGATGATAGGTAGAGATACAAATAGGTAGATAAGTAGAGATAAGGTTAGTGTGTCAAATTATCAATAATTGGTGAATTTAGGTGAGGAGTATACAGATGTTCATTTTCTTTCTTTCCTTTCTTTCTCTCTCTCTCTTCTCTCTTTCTTTCTTTCTTTCTCTTTCTCTTTTTTTTTTTTTTTCAAGATCTCGCTCTGTCACCCAGGCTGGAGTGCAGTGGTGTGGTCATAGCTCTCTGTAGCCTCAACCTACCAGGCTCAAGTAATCCTCCCATCTCAGCCTCTTGAGTAGCTGGGACTACAGGTATGTACCAACACACCCAGCTAATTTTTGTATTTTTAGTAGACAGCATTTTGTCATGTTGTCCAGGCTGCTTACTTTTTGTGGGGTTTGAAAGCATTAAAAATAAATAATTGGGGAAGAAAAACATATCAAAAATTGTATTCATTAGTCAGAACACTTTCAATTCCAAGTAGAAACCAAACTCAAACAGGCTTAAGCAAAAATGAGAATGTATTAGGTGCTCAGATGATGTCATATTTCTCTTTCTGTCAGGTGGCTTTCTTCTAACTTAGGCTCATTGCTGCCCGGTGTCAAGATAATAAGCAGCTTACATCCCACCAGTTAGAAACCTCCATAGAAAGAGGACTTCTTGACCAATCATTCCAGCAAATGTCCCAGGCTGTCCCTTTTTGACAAACTTCAGGCTTGTTCTTGAACCAATTCTGGTTCCAGGAAGATACTGAGTTCTGATTGGCCAGGACTAAATGTCTTGCCAGTGTCTGGATATAGCCACCCAAAAGCATGTACCTCCACCCCTAAGGTGAGGGAAGGATGGCTCTGCAAAAGAAAATCCAGATGCTATTGCCAAAAGAAAGGCAAGTGGGTGCATGCCAGACAAAAGGAATGGTTCTCCACTGCAAAGAACATCGAAAAATTGAACATAAACATTAAAGCAAATCAAGCACTTATTATTTTTTTATTTTTAATTTTTTTTGAGACAGCTTCTCACTCTGTTGTCCCGGCTAGAGTACAGTGGTGCGATCTCAGCTCACTGCAACCTCCGCCTCCCGGGTTCAAGCGATACTCCTGCCTCAGCCTCCTGAGTATCTGGGACTGCAGGCACGTGCCACCACACCCGGCTTTTTTGTATTTATAGTAGAGATGGGGTTTCACCATATTGGCCAGGCTGGTCTCGAACTCCTGACCTCGTGATCCGCCCACCTCAACCTCCCAAAGTGCTGGGATTACAGGCATGAGCCACCGCGCCCAGCTAAATTAAGCACTTATAAGCATTCAATCATATTAACCCACAAGAGAAAACATATTAGCCATTCAAAAACCCTGGTCATTTATTTCATGACTTTAGTATGGCAGAAAAAAATTGTCACTCTTCATTTACATCTCTTAAACAAATTCAATATGAGGGGCAAGCTGAAAAGGAAATAACTACCTTGGATCTGACCTTATTTCTCTCAAATAATAGTTTAAAGAAGCTGTTCACTGCATGTGTACCTGAAGCCAGAAAGACCTCTTTTGATATAGACTTTGACAAATGAATGGAATACAAATCTCAATCTGATTGCTAGTTATGGGATCTGTACTATGGTCAGGGGACCACTGAGGGCAGCCTCAGTTCAACTGAAATATTTTGTTACTGGTTGGGTGGATTGTTATTTTAAATAGCATATTGTTGTTTTCAGATAAATTTCTTAATGGTTATATTTTTCCCTCTCAACATTGAGAAATAGCCCTTTTTATTCTATCCATGTGCAAATCATTACTTTCATGTTTAGTGTTTTATCATATTGAATATTTATTGAGTCTACTATGAATCATGGAGTTTGTAAATACTGTCACAAGAAAATAAATTCATAAACTACCGTTATCATAAAGATTCCTGGAGCCTTCTGCCGTGTCGAGAACCTATCTCATTAGTCACTTAGGAAAGTTATATATGAGATTTACAGTCCCTGCAAGTGGAGCTTTAGAGGTTTTCATATGTGATTGAAGTGCCCATCCATTATTACTGTTACCCAGTAAGTGCACAGATGGTGCTGCGAGCTGAGCAGCAAGGTGGGTGGGGACTCAAAGGCACTCCCCTGGTGCTTACAGAGGCCAGTGTGTGGGCTGGCAACAGAGTAGAAGGCGATGCAGCCAAATTCCATGTCTGACACCCTCAATCAGCAGGTACTGCTGTTCGAGGGACAAGTTAGGCAATGCAGTTTCTACAGGGTTTCCAAAAGGCCTGTGTCCCAAGGAGCACTGTGACCACAGCCCCCACAATTGATCACACCCTTTGGGTGAAGTGTTCTAAGGTCGGCTGTAGTCAAGGCGAGTCATCTACACAGGGCCCTTCTTTTATTTATTTATTTATTTACTTATTTATTTACTTTTTTAGAGACAGAGTCTCGCTCTGTGCCCCAGGCTGGAGTGCAGTGGCACAATCTCGGCTCACTGCAAGCACCGCCTCCCGGGTTCACACCATTCTCCTGCCTCAGCCTCCTGAGTAGCTGGGACTACAGGCACCCGCCACGACGCCTCGCTAATTTTTTTGTATTTTTAGTAGAGACAGGGTTTCTCCGTGTTAGCCATGATGGTCTCGATCTCCTGACCTCGTGATCCACCCGCCTCGGCCTCCCAAAGTGCTGGGATTAAAGGCGTGAGCCACAGCACCCGGCCAGGCCCTTCTATTAATAGATCTTTCCCACAGTGCCTTGGGCTTCACGTCTGTGGAGCTGTTTCCTTCCTGAGAAATGTAGGCTTGGGTGGAGCCTGCATTTGCGCCTACATCCTGGCTAAGGAAGTCCCAGCCTCTACTTCCTATGCATTTCATCCTTCATAACCCATAGCTCTCTGAGACAAGCTGTGCATTCCTCTTTTTTTTTTTTTTTTTTGAGACGGAGTCTTGCTCTGTTGCCCAGGCTGGAGTGCAGTGGCGCAATCTCAGCTCACTGCAAGCTCCGCCTCCAGGGTTCACGCCATTCTCCTGCCTCTGCCTCCCGAGTAGCTGGGACTACAGGTGCCCACCACCACTCCCGGCTAATTTTTTGTATTTTTAGTAGAGACTGGGTTTCACCATATTAGCCAGGATGGTCTTGATCTCCTGACCTTGTGATCCACCTGCCTCGGCCTCCCAAAGTGCTGGGATTACAGGCGTGAGCCACCGCGCCTGGCCTGCATTCCTCTTACTTTCAGATTGCTACTGATGTTCAGTATGTCAATCTAATCTTTAAAGTATGTCTTATTTAAAGGCTCTGGAGATGTTTTCTATTTAAAGAAAGCAAGAGGCAAATCTTAGAAAAGTGTGAGTAGGCTGCGCTGGGTGGCTCATGCCTCTAATCCTAGCACTTTGGGAGGCTGAGGCGGGTGGACCACGAGGTTAGGAGTTTGAGAACAGCCTGATCAACATGGTGAAACCCTGTCTCTACCAAAAATATAAAAATTAGCCAGGCGTGGTGACGTGTGTCTGTAATCCCAGCTACTAAGGAGGCTAAGGCAGGAGAATCACTTGAACCCTGGAGGCAGAGATTGCTGTGAGCCGAGATCATGCTATTGCACTCTAGCCTGGGCAACATGAGCGAAACTCTGTCTCAAAAAAAAAGAAAGAAAGAAATGAAAAGTGTGAGTAATTACTCCATATTGATTTATTCTATAAACTTGCATTTTATTTCACTGAAATTTAAATATCGGAGGCTTGGGCGAGTTGGTCCACAACTGTAATCCCAGTGCTTTGGGAAGCTGAGGTAGGAGGATTGCTTGAGCCCAGGAGTTCAAGACAAGCCTGGGAAACATAGAAAGACCCTGTGTCTACAAAAAATACAAAAAAAAAAAAAAAAAAAAAAAAAAAAAGCCAGTTGTGGTGGCACACACCTGTAGTCCCAGCTACTTGGGAGGCTGAGGTGGAAGGGTAGCTGGAGCCCAGGAGGTAAGGCTGAAGTGAGCTGTGATCATGCCACTGCACTCTAGTCTGTGTAATTGAGTGAGATCTTGTCTCCAATACATATATATAAGATATACTTTAAAGATTAGATTGACATACATACATACATATATATACATATATATATATATATATATATATATGGTGGTTAGTTTACTCTTTCCAAGGGCCCAAGTTGGTGATCATATCACAGTGACTCTGGCCAGAGAGCTGAGCTTTCTCCTTGCTGCCCTCTGTTACCAGGGTATCTTCTCCTTTGGGCTTGGGGCAACCATCCTCAGCTTCTTTATCTTTTCCCCCTTACTGTACAACACAGTGACTGAGCAACCCCAAGGACTCATTTTGGAGGAGTTGAGGGAATTCGCCTGGGGCACTGTATTTGTGATTCATTTCCATTAGCCTTACAGAGATGATGGATGGCACTGAATAGCACATCTAGCATTTGAGGCTTGATATTAGCTAATGATAGAGCCAGGTCCCTTTGGCTCTCACTGAACGGGAAACTTAGCTATTAACTAAAATTAAGTGACTCATTTTGAGGTCAAACAGTAAGTCAGGGATAGAATGAGAATTGAAATCACAGCACCAAAGAGCTGCAAACACAAAGACTTGAAGATGGGAAAGAAAGGATACAATTCAGGAAGATTAGTTACCCTTTCTCCTGCTTCACTGACAGCCAACCCTGGCTATGGACTATTTTCAGAGATTAATAATTCATTTTGAACCTCAATAATGAATTAGAGTGTTTATGTACACAGCAGCTTTGTGTGACAGTTCTGTGCTCTGCTCTTGAAGAAAAATGAAGCAGGTTTAAATGGTTTACAGATCTCTGACCACTCCACTGTCTACAACGTTGATGCAGTTCAACTTAATTCAGCAAGAATTCACTTAGCACACATTGTGTGCCAAGCATTGGGCCAATCCTCTAAAATGAATACTGGGGTGCAGTGACTCATGCCTGTAATCCCAGCACTTTGGGAGGCCAAGGTGGGTGGATTACCCGAGGTCAGGAGTTCGAGACCAACCTGGCCAACATGGCGAAACCCCATCTCTACTAAAAATACAAAAATTAGCCAGGCATGGTGGCAGGCGCCTATAATCCCAGCTACTCGGGAGGCTGAAGCAAGAGAATTGCTTGAAACTGGGAGGCGGAGGTTGCAGTGAACCGAGATCATGCCATTGCACTCCAGCCTGGGTTACTGAGCAAGACTCCATCTCAATAATAATAATAATAATAATAATGTTTAAAAATTAAAAAAATAAAATGAATAATAAAAATTTAAATAAGACCCAATCCCTGCCCACAATGAACTTGGAATCTAGTCCTCTATTCATTTATTACCTTAAATTTTATTATTTGTACCATTCTCTTTCTGACTGGTATAATTACAAGAAGAACCACAATTACATTTTGACTTAAAACTATCAAGAACACACAGTGTTCTTGAGGACACGATGGTGATTTGTCATTTGGCCAGATGAACTGGCGAATGCCAACAGGCACACATTAACATCGGCTGCTGCCCTTCAGTTGTAGACTTGGAAAGCATATTCTAAATCCCCCAGTGAAATGTTTTGGCAGGCATTTTCATCCAGATATTATTAACAGTCAAACTAAAACAATCCACACATCAATTCTGACTCTCAGGGAGGTCCTGGATGGAATTGTTAGGGACTAGAGCTTCAAGTGCTTTTGTCCAACCAAATCACATTTCCCAGTCAGTCATAATCTTTTAAGTAGCTTTTCTGTTTGGGGTAAATAAGGTAGCACAGGCATTTCCTTGTCCAGCCACTTTTTGTGTTTTTCAGTACTGTCACATTTTTGGAGGTTATGACTGATCCAAGACTTAACTATATAAGAATCCTTTCAACAGTAAAAAGACCTTTGGGGAAAAGCATCACACAAGTATACAACCCGTTGGAGAGCATGATCTGTGCAGTCCATTCATTCAACAATTACTTATCGAGCGCTCTGCTAGACCTTGTACATCTTAGACCAATGACTCAATCTTTGAGCCTCAGCTTTCCTCATCTGTGAAATGGGAATAATATACCTACCTCACAGGGTGGTGATGGACATGAACACAGCAGCTATGTGAAAGTTCTCATCCCAGGTCCCACACATCCCAGGGGAGGTGTTCAGTCAACATGAGTTTCCTTCACTGCTAGGTGAAAAGGGTCACACATATCAGTGAAATGTTTTGTTTTGTTTTTTCCCTCGCTTTTTTCAGATTGCCTTCCCCACTTCAGCCCTCTTCAGATTTACAGATGCACTCTTGGAAATGCCTTCATGCTTCTGTCCTCTGACCTTGTAGTCTATCCTCATTCTTACCTACTGGGTCTCAGAACATTAGCCATCCTTCCTGCTGGCCAGATCCATTCCTCCTGTGCTTGGGAGCCCACCTTCCTGATTCCTAAGAACACCCTGCCATCCAAAACATCATTCTATTCCTGTCTTCAGGTACCATATTACTTTCTGCCTATAAAGAAGCTTGACTTTCCTCCTGGGCTCTTGAGCGCCCCCATCTGACCGACCACAACCCTCTCACTCTGTTTTACTTCCAAGCCAGGCTCTGGAAGGAGTGGAGACTGTCTACTCTCCCTACACAAGCCACTGTCCTCTGGCTTTCAGCTTCCTCATGCCACTGAGGCAGCCCTTGCCAAGGTCATCATTCATTTCCAGGCCTACTGGATGTTATTTCACCTTCTTCTTCTCCTCAGTTCTTCATAACTTTGGAGACTGTGTTCTTTTTGAAACTTCCACTTCCTTGGCTCTGTGTTGCTGCCATTTGAGTCCTCCCCTTCCTGGCTACTCTGGAGCTCCTCATCCATTCCACCTGATGATAGTGACCAACCTGCACTCTGGCCTTAATTTGTGCAGGTGGTTTTCTAAGCACTTTACATATATTAGCTCATTTTAATCTACACAACAAACTTTTTTTTTTTTTTTTAAGAGGCAGGGTCTCGCTCTGTCACCCAGGCTGGCATGATCATAACTCACTGTAACCTCAAACTCCTGGGCTAAAGCAATCCTCCTGCCTTAGCCTCCCAAGTAGCTAGGACTACAGGCACGCACCACCATACCTGAATACATTTTTATCTTTTGTAGAGATAGGGTTCTCCCTATGCTGCCCAGGCTGGTCTCAAACTCTTGGTCCCAAGCCATCCTCCCGCCTCAGCCTCCCAAATTGCTGAGATTACAAGCATGAGCCACCATGCCCACCCAAATCTTTAATGAGTACTATTATTTCCCCCCTTTCCTATACAAAGAAAGCAATGCTGGGAAAGGCTAAGCAATCTGCTAAGAGTGACAAAGCTCAGAAGAGGTGGGACCTGCCTCAAACCCACGTGGTCTAGCCCCAGGAAACCCTTATCACTACCTACGTGTGAGTTCTTCTCCTCAATCTTTTTATTAATTTTAACATTTCAACATTTTTGTTTTCATTCTATATGTTCTCCCAGGGATGTCCGATTTGCTCCCATTCTTTTAATTATTAGCTACCTGCATATCAATGACTTCTGTGTCAGTTCAGTCTCTCCAAGAAGCAGACACCAAAAGGGAATGAGAGGTACCAGGCATTATTGGGAGAAATGCCTGCAAGAGATAAAGAAGAGAGGGAGCAAAAGAAGGCAGGGCCAGCCTTCAGACCATTGTACCAATCAGATATCTGTGAAAGGAAAAGGGGCAGGAAAGAGGATTGGGTAGGAAGGAAGAGCCCCAGACTGGAGTAAAGGAGAAGAAAGTCTGCCAACTACACTCCTAGTAGCAGGTTCTCCCATCAGGATATCCCAACAGCCCACCTCCATGGTCACCAGAAAGCCCAAATCTACATTTCCAGTCCTAACCTCTGTTTCAGCTCCAGTCTTATACCCAACCACTTCCCATATGCATACAAGACCCACAGAACCTCAACATCAGCATGGCCAACAATGACTCATTATCTTCTTCTGGCCTCACTGCTTGAAGCTCCACATTCTCTATATTCCTTAGCTCCCTATGTGATAATACCATCCACCCATCACTTAAGCTTATCCCTCCCTATCCCTCAGGTCTGCCCATACAATCAATAGCCAAGGTCTATGGACTTCATGTCTAAAATTTCTGTTGAATTTGTTGGTCATCTCCTCTCCATGCATACTACTGCTGCCTTTGTACCCTTGTCATTTTACTATCAATGACACATTTTACAAACACTATCAATGGTGATTCCTCTCCCCGCTGCGCCCCCCTTCCATAATGACCCCATGAACAGAAAATCTCGATACAGTGAAGGCTTAGAGGCAAGCCGGAGTGCTACAAGACTTCAGATAGGGGACCCTCAGCCCCCGACAGAAGTGCAAGGAGGGCTTTCTAGAGGAAGACACCCAGAAAAAGCACAAAGCAGATGACCAGGCCCTATTTAAATAAATAATTATTCACTCGGCCATGGTTTTTCATGGCCAAGAAAGGTTTGGTCATAAGAAAATTTCATGCTGCTATTAAAAGAGTTGATTGCTAAAGGCGAGTAGGAAGGTGCTTCAGTTTTTCCACAACTTTGAGGACCTTTAGTGGGGCTTCTCTTTTAACCACAGTCAACATTGACACCTAACTGTCGGATGGGTTTCAAGTTCAGCCGCTGACTTTGCCACAGTGCTCCCTGACCTCACCTCACACTTCCCACCTCCTTTTAACTTGAGAGGCAAACTCATTCTCACCACTCTGCAGGGAGGTATTGTTTATTGTCTCTTGGAAGAGAAACTTGAGAAGGCAAACTGTGTGGGCCTCTCCTGCAGGTACAATGAATTCTTGATGGGTCTGAGAAACAACTGCTGATCACAGTCTATTTCAGTTTACAAAAATATATCAAAGATCTGTAGAAAATCACAGGTTTTGAGTCTTTTGAGTTTAATTTCAGAACATGTCAGTAGAGTTATGACTGTAAGATATTCTGGAGGATACAGGATACTTTGCTCAGTGAACTGACTTGTGAAAGTTTAATCAGCTCACTTACCCTCCCCTATCTCCACCCATCCAGGATACAGAAATGAACACTTCCCTCCTTTCAGAAGTAATTTATCCCACATTCTGTATGAGATAGTGGGTGGAAACTATAATAGATCAGATAAACTGATACACGTGAAGATGTTATAACTATAAATATTACCAAAAATATGCCTTATAATTACAGTGTCTAAACATGATTTCCTTAGAGAATTTCATTTTAGTAACACATAATTTATAAACTTGCTTTATATTCATGTTTCTTTTCTAAAGTAAATAATTGCAATATCTTCCCTTTGACTGTAGGGGGAGAGACAGCAGGAGAAACAACTGAAAGGAAAGGTCATGGGTATTGATTTGATTGTTCAGGCGGATGATTAACTGCCTCTGCAGAGGCAGCCCCAAGGGCCATGAAAGCCATTGCTCAATTTAAGACTTTCCAAGTTTCCCTCTTTATTATTGAAATCTGATCTTTGTTTCTTAGCTTGAAAACTTCATTTTGTTGACTGTAGTTTTTCCTCCATGCTCAAGACTAGCAAAGTAGGTACCAGCTCTATGCAGAATGGTGCCTCTCCGTGCTGGTGTTTGTCTTTGCATGCCAAGGTGCAAAGCAACCAGGGCTATGAGAAGATGCCCAGAGAGGTCAAGCCTGGCATCTGGGAGAGGAGGCAGTGACTACCACCTTTTGTGGCCATTCATTCTCTTTGGAATCAGATGGACCACAGTACAAAGGGGCACTTTCCTGGTGGACCAAACGACTGGTTTTCCATAGTCCAGGTAGATGCTGCACACACCTTGCTAATAACCAAGCTGCAGAGTGTTTATTAGTAGCTACCATTATTATTATTATTAAATAAATGTGAGCAGATTAGTGGCGCTTAAAAGAACATGTTGCTTGGCCGGGCGCAGTGGCTCACACCTGTAATCCCAGCACTTTGGGAAGCCGAGGTGGGTGGATCACCTGAGTTCAGGAGTTTGAGGCCAGCCTGGACAACATGGTGAAACCCTGTATCTACTAAAAATATAAAAATTAGCCAGACATGGTGGTGGGCACCTGTAATCCCAGCTACTTGGGAGGCTGAGGCAGAAGAATCACTTGAACTGGGGAGGTGGAGGTTGCAGTGAGCCGAGATTGTACCACTATACTCCAGCCTGGGTGGCAGAGTGAGACTTGGTCTCTAAATAAATAAATAAATAAATAAATAAATAAATAAATAAATCTCACTCAGGTCTATTCCATGAGCTTCCTGGGCATGAGATTGAGGAGGGGTTTGTGCCTAAAATCCTCACCTCTGTTGGGTGTCATGACAAGACTAAGGTTGTGAACCTCTGGTCCAAGAACAATCTCTCAGGGGGGATCTCTGGGCCCCTAAGCTGGTGTAGGACCATACTTATGTACATGACCATATTTTTTTCCCTCTTCCTTCTCAGTTTGCTGCCTGACCACAGGTACTAACATAACACAATGTTCAGTTGGCTCTTAACTTCAGATACTCTCCCTCTGAAATCTCCTTTTGTTGAGTTGTCTGGAACCAAGCTGCTGCCTCCAACCTGTTCTGCAGCTCTGCCCTCATACCTTTAAATATCAAAGGAACAAGGAAATAGAATCAATCAGTCTGGGCAACATGGCAAAACCCTGTTTTTACAAAAAAAATACAAAAAATTAGTCGGGCATGGTGGTGTGCACCTGTGGTCCCAGCTACTCAGGAGGCTGAGGTGGGAGGATTGCTTGAGCAAGGGAAGCAGAGGTTGCAGTGAGCTGAGGTCGCACTACTGCACTCCAGCCTGTGTGACAGAGTAAGACCCTGTCTCAAAAAAAAAAAAAAAAAAGGAAAATAGGATCAATAACCCAGCTGTTCCAGGACATTGTGCATTTAGTGTATCAGAACAATCAGCTGTGTTTTCCCTATTTCAAGCAATAAGTATTCAAACCCCAACTCTGCCATTTAATGACTGTGTGGTCTTGAATAAGTTTCCTAACCTCTCAAAGACTTGGTTTCCTTATCTGAAAAATGGGAGTACAATAGGGCTGCTGTGAGTGTTAAGTGAGATAATATTGTTGGGATAAAAGCTTTTCCTCTTCCAGCTTGGGTTCAGCGGCTAGGGGCTTACAAATTTAACTGACTGTAGACAGATTAACAGAGAGAAGACAAAGTTTATTATGTGGGTAGGAGCCTCTAGATTAAATAGTTCCTCAAGGCTGGACACAGTGGCTCACACCTGTAATCCCAAGCACTTTGGGATTGGGTGGGAGGATTATTTGAGCCCGGGCAACATAGCAAGACCACATCTCTACAAAAAAATAAAAATAAAAATTAGTTGGGTGTGGTGGTGCACGCCTGTGGTCCTACCTATTTGGGAGGCTGAGGTGGGAGGATGGCTACAGTCCAGTAGTTCAAGGCTGCCGTGAGCTATGAAGGTGCCACTGCATTCCAGCCTGGGTGACAGAATGAGAACCTATCTCTAAAAAAAAAAAAAAAGAAAAAGAAAAAGAAAAAGAAATGGCTCCTCAAGCAGCTAGAGATAGGAGTTTATACCAACTACATAGAGAAAAAGGAGGCAGGAGAAAGGGCTTCCATGGAAGACCAAATGAAAGGTATGACAGTTTCAGATAATTTGTTTAAGCAATTGCTCATCCCAGTACTAATGGTTAGTCTCCTTGCTGGCTGTAAACCCCCTGGAGAGGGAATTTATGGCAGCTATAATTTTTGGAAGATCCTGCTTAAGTCAGCAAAATGAAGTTTAGAAAAGGTTTCCTTTTTCACGGCTGCTACTTCTTCAGATGCTTTTAGCTTGAAATATTTTTTTTTGAAACAGACTTCCGTTCTTGTCATCCAGGCTGGAGTGCAATGGCACAATCTCAGCTCACTGCAACCTCCGCCTCCCAGGTTCAAACGATTATCATGCCTCAGCCTCCCAAGTAGCTGGGATTATAGGCGCCCAGCATCATGCCCAGCTAATTTTTGTATTTTTAGTAGAGACAGGGTTTCACCATGTTGGCCAGGCTGGTCTCGAACTCCCGACCACAGGTGATCCAACCAACTCAGCCTCCTAAAGTGCTGGGATTACAGGCGGGAGCCACTGCGCCCGGCCGCTTGGAATAATTTTTATGCTACTGAGGTGCATTTCAGATCCCTTCATTTTAAAATGCATAGTGCTATCTATGTATTAGTTTGTTGTTTTGTTCCTATAGTGTTGTTGTCGTTGTTGTTACAAGATAGGTAAATCTTTCATAGAGGCATTAACAAAAAAGTGGTACCTTACCCTTAGGACCAATGGCTCCCCTTCGGGAGCTGAAGAGTGGGATGTTTCATAGAAGTTATGGCAGCAAAGGCAGCCATGAGGGGAAATACTCTGCTTGTCCCAAGAGGAGAAAAGAAATTTCCATTCCCCCGTCCTTTACCATAAGCACAAATGAAGAGTTTCTGTAACAAAAGGCCTCTTCTTTGAGCCCCAGCACAGAAAAAAACATAAAGCCAAATAAAAATCATTTTATTTATGAAGTTTTTGTTCCAGGTGTCTGCAGAGATACCCAGAATGAGGTAAGATACATGGCAGAGGGATTCTAGCATTGAGGAAGAATTAATCACCTAACAAGGTCTAGATGAAAACTCACACCCAAGGTTGTATATTTTTAAATCCTGGGTCACAAAAAGACTTGCTTAAAGTGAATAGTTTTATGTAAAGGTGTTTTCTGGTTTCAAGATATTTTAAACACTTATTAGAAAAAAAGTCATTAAAATAAGAGAGAAATCTCTGTTTTGCTCATTAGAGAAAAAAATGGCAGAATGATCCATATTGCATAGATTTTCATGTTTTAATTTATTTTTCAGGAAATCACACTCATTCTATTTGTGGTACAGAGTGTGTAGTTTGGGGTGAGGTCACATTAGAAAAAAGTCCTTGTATTATGTAATAATGTCTAACAGAGTCATTATACCAAAACAGACTGACTCTCAAAGGAAAATTTACTTTAATTTTATCATTTATCATTTTAAGGATTTATTAACTGCATGCAGTGTAAAGGACATTGCTTCAAATCTATTAATATTTTTCTATACTCGTGCAAATGATTTTAAAAATGGATAAATCTAAAGTTTATTTATTTATTTATTGAGACAGAGTCTTGCTCTGTCGCCCAGGCTGGAGTGCAGTGGCACAATCTCAGCTCACTGCAACTTCTGCCTCCCAGGTTCGAGCAATTCTCGTGCCTCAGCTTCCTGAGTAACTGGGACTACAGGTGTGCGTCACCATGCTTGGCTAATTTTTGTATTTTAGCAGAGAGGGGTTTCACTATGTTGGCCAGGCTGGTCTCGAACTCCTGACCTCAGGTGATCCACCCACCTCGGCCTCCCAAAGTGCTGGGATTACTTACAGGCATGAGCCACTATGCCCAGCCAACCTGAAATTTCAATAGGGCAAGGAAGATGATTTATCAAATCTTTTATTCAGGAAGGTGGACTCCCCACCTCTTCCTGGCTAAATGGTAACTAAATAAGAAGAGAGGAGAGTAAGGTACACTATTGATTGGAAAATGAAGTTTGCTTGCTTGTTTGTTTTAACATAAACACACTGCCTAGCATTTTTTGGAGTAACCTGGTGATGCCAATGATAATTAGTTGAGTTGTAGAGTTGTGCGCGTTAAGAACATGGAGCATATATTAACAAATAGGCATTTTTTGAATCATTTAAAAAGTGGCATTTTTCTTACTCCAAGAGGTCCCCCATGTTTCCCCACTTTTCCTTCCTCACAGGCACTTCCTTATGACAAGTAAATAACAGAACTGCTTAATTGATCTATTCACATTTTTAAAAAGTCTTATTCTCTGCATGTTGCCAGCATTTTTATCTGCATAATTAATTCT
Source organism: Homo sapiens (assembly GCF_000001405.40). Classification (NCBI taxonomy): domain Eukaryota; kingdom Metazoa; phylum Chordata; class Mammalia; order Primates; family Hominidae; genus Homo; species Homo sapiens. The sequence continues at coordinate 44,644,080 of NC_000013.11, read as the reverse complement.
TTTGGATTATAAATCCTTCAAGCAGTAGCCTTCAGCTCTGATGTCATGAGCTATTGGTATGTCATTATCTGTACAAGAGAAAGGAAAGGAGCCATAATTTGTGGGGTGGGATGTGGGTGGGATTGAGTATAACTCATGGCCTAGGCCCATAAAGCATTTATGAAGCCCTGGGAGCTGGTGCCCCAGGCAAATGTCCTCCAGCAGGTGTGTCCCTGCAGAACAAAGGTTGAGACCCAGAGCCTGTATGGCTTGGGGTCATGTTGACCCAGATGATTCTGCCCAGCATAGAATACAGTGTCACTGCAAGTGGGCATCTCAAGAAGGTTGCCGGCTGGTGATGGTGGCAATCACGATGACAATGAAGGTGGTAGCGGTCATGATAACGTACCTTTGCTCTCAAGCAATTCTTAACTTCCTCTATTTCACCATCTCTTAGCCTAGACCTAGAAAAATTGGACGATGAGTACTTAAAGCCAAAGACTCCTTCCTCAGAGGAAGGCCAATGAAAGAAAGGTACGAGGTAGGTTGCGTCAACTCTTCTCCTCTGCTTGTCACACTTGTAGTCACGGATAAAGATCAGAGCTCCTTTCCCATGTCTGGGGCCCTTCCAGAGCCCCATCCATATGAGGTCCAAGTTCAGCTCCACTAGAAAAGATTAACAGGTCTTGCTTTTTGTAGCAGACACTGTTCATTGCGTACTCAACAGCCGGTTTCAACTCACCCATTCTGGCTTTCACTCTGCAGCCATGAGCTCATGGAAGGCATTCATTGTCAAAGGCAATCATAGCAGTGTCCTTCTCTTTGCCAGCGACTGGTGTAGGCTTTGGCACCGTGACCCAATCCTTATTTGAGGGTAAGATACTGGAGCTACTTCTGAGGAAGCTTTTCCTCATCAATTAAAAACAAAAAGATGAGGCCAGGTGTGGTGGCTCATGCCTGTAATCCCAGCACTTTGGAAGGCCGACGTGGGTGGATTGTTTGAGGTCAGAAGTTCAAGACCAACCTGACCAACATGCTGAAACCCTGTCTCTACTAAAAAAAAAAAAAAATAGAAAAATTAGCCGGGCATGGTGGCAGGTGCCTGTAATCCCAGCTACTTGGGAGGCTGAGGCAGGAGAATCACTTGAAGCCAGGAGCCGGAGGTTGCAGTGAGCTGAGGTGGCACCACTGCACTCCAGCCTGGGTGACAGAGCAAGACTCCGTGTCAAAAACAAAACAAAACAAAACAACAAAAACAAAAAGATCTCAGGCGCGGTGGCCCACACCTGTAATCCCAGCACTTTGGGAGGCCGAGGAGGGTGTATTGCCTGAGGCCAGGAGTTCGAGAGCAGCCTGGCCAACATGGTGAAACCCTGTCTCTACTAAAAATACAAAAATTAGCTGGGCGTGGTGGCGCGCGCTTCGGGAGGCTGAGCAAGAGAATCACTTGAGCCCAGGAGGCGGAGGTTGCAGTGAGCCAAGATGGTGCCATTGCACTCCAGCCTGGGCGATAGAGTAAGACTCCATCTAAATAAATAAATAAATAAATAAATAGAAAAAGATGCACAGGAGAACACACTTCTCTCCTTTGCTGGATACCTTCATACCCGCATATGATGCCTGGAAGTGCTGCAGCCCCTGGAGCCCATGAGAGGAGACATGGGCAAGACACTGGGGATGTTGAGCTGCTGAACCAGAAAGAGGAAAGCACCCAGGTACTTCACGGCATCAGGGTCCCGCGGTAGTAAGCAAACCTAGAACTACCCTCCCCGTGGACTTCTAGTTATGTGAGTGAGATAAGAAGCCCATTATGGGCTAGCGCCATGGCTCACGCCTGTAATCCTAGCACTTTGGGAGGCCGAGGTGGGTGGATCACTTGAGGCCAGGAGTTGGAGACTAACCTGGCCAACATGTTGAAACTCCATCTCTACTAAAAATACAAAAATTAGCAGGGCGTTGTGTGTGCCTGTGATCTCAGCTACTCAGGAGGCTGAGGCAGGAGAATCACTTGAAGCTGGGAGGCAGAGGTTGCAGTGAGCCAAGATGGCACCACTGCACTCCAGCCTGGGTGACAGAGCAAGACCCTGCCTGAAAAAAAAAAAGAAAAAAAAAAAAGAAGAAGAAAAAGCCTGTTACTAGGCCGGGCATGGTGGCTTACACCTGTAATCCCAGCACTTTGGGAGGCCGAGGCGGGTGGATCACCTGAGCCCAGGAAGTGGAGGCTGCAGTGAGCCCTGATTGTACTACTGCACTTCAGCCTGGGCCATAGAATGAGACCCTGTCTCCAAACACACACACACAAAGAAGCCTGTTATGTTTAAAGCACTTCAGGATTGGCAAGTCTTCTGTGGCTCACAGGCAAAAGCTTTCCAACAGACACATCTTTTATAATAACCCAGGCTTATGATAAGACAATCAGGGATGAGAGCCCTGAAGGTGGTAAAGGGACCATAGACCCAGGCAAATATGTTGTCCCAGCCACCTGGATTCAGTTGCTCATTTAAATCACTAAAAAAATCACTAAAAACTATAGTTCCTTAGTCCTCTATATCCATTCATTCACTCATTAAGTGATTATTCAGTGAGCTCTTCCTATGGTTTTGCTATAAAGGACACCAAGAAACAGAGTATCTAGCAGTGACTTAGTACTTGAGCATCCCCCGAGAACTTCACATACACCTCATTTGATGCCCTGAAGAACCCAGTGAAACCAATATTATTATTATTCTCATTTTATCTATTAGAAATGTGAGGCTCAAAAAGATTGTTGAAATTTCCATAACCTGACTTTAAGTCCAGGGATTTTTTTCCACCAAACCCAAATTGCATGTTGCCCTCAGGAAGCTTAAGGTATAAAAGTAGGGATCTAGGTTATGCATATATTTAAAATTAAATAACAAACAAGATTTAGATAGCAATACAAATAGTTATTCAGAATTTTTACAGGGTAGTAAGTAGTTAAGGACCAAACTGGTAAGGGAGAGAATAAGCATTGTTCAAAAGGAACTTAGTACTCTTGATGGAGAAGCAGATTTTATGCTCACTGCAAATGGAAAAAATCTTTCCCATACAAGCACTAACAGCTCATATTTGGAATCTGACATAATCATATAAAAACTATTGCTAACTTCAAACAAGTAAAAAAATGCATAAACTAGACTCATATTTCTTATCAGATCTTTGTCACCTACTTTTGTCACCTCTAAATAGTTAATTCTATTTATAGAAAAGAATAGTTAAGCTTGAAAGAACTTGATAAAATAACTTCATTTGAAAAGCACTAATGTGTAGATATTAAGAATATTGGAAAAAAGGATTTAAGGTAATCTTGATTTGCCCCAATAATAACTGAAGTGAATGAAACACATTAACATTAGGTTCTTATTTTTACTAACTTCATGGAATTACTAATACTCAAGCACTCTACAACAGCGTTGCCTGATTCATTAGCCAGTAGTCACTAGGTACATTTGGCTATTTAAATTTTAATAAAAGCTGGGCACTGTTGTTCATGCCTGTAATCCCAGCATTTTGGGAGCCCAAGGCAGGTGGATCACTTGAGCTCAGGAGTTCAAGACCAGCCTGGGCAACATGGTGAAATCCCATCTCTACTAAAAATAAAAATTAAAAAAAATTAGCCAAGCATGGTGGTACTCACCTATAGTACCAGCTACTTGAGAGGCTGAGGCAGGAGGATCATTTGAATCATATGATTCTGGTGACAGAGGTTGAAGTGAGCTGAGATCGCACCATTGCACTCCAGCCTGGATGAGGAAAGTGAAACCCTGTCTCAAAAAAAAAAAAAAAAGTAAAGGGAGGCTGAGGCAGTAGGATAACTTGAGGCCAAGAGTTCAAGACCAACCTGGGTAGCACAACAAGACTCCATCTGTACAAAAAATAAAATAAAATTTGCCACATGGATGGTGCATGCCTGTAGTCCCAGCTACTCAGAAGGTTGAGATGGGAGGATTACTTGAGCCCAGGATATACAGGATACATGAGCTGTGATTGAGCCACTGCACCCCAGCCTGGGTGACAGAGTGAGATCCTGTCTTTAAAAATAAATAAATAAAATGTAAACTTTTGTTCCTCAGTTGCACTAGCCACATTTCATGTCCTCAATAGCCACATGTGGTTAGTGGTTATCATATTGGACCATGCAAATATACAACATTATCATCTTTGCAGAAGTTCTACTAGACAATGCTGCTCTAGATCCTGGCAAATGAGAGGCTATCATGAGGAATAGAAAATGATTTTTTAAAAGAAAATGGGTGGCTGGGCACGTTGGCTCACATCTGTAATCCCAGCACTTTGGGAGGTCGAGGTGGGTGGATCATCTGAGATTGGGAGTTCAAGACCAGCCTGACCAACATGGAGAAACCCCATCTCTACTAAAAATACAAAATTAGCCGGGCATGGTGGCACATGCCTGTATCCCAGCTACTCAGGAAGGCTGAGGCAGGAGAATCGCTTGAACCCAGGAGGTGGAGGTTGTGGTGAGCTGAGATCGTGCCACTGCACTCTAGCCTGGGCAACAAGAGCGAAACTCAGTCTCAAAAAAAAAAAAAAAAAAACGAAAATGGAGAAAATATGGAGTCCTCCTTATAGCACTTCTCATTGCTTTGTATAATTATTGCATCAGAGTTGCCTTATTCATTCATTATTTTAATACTCACTAGGCACCGTATTATATTAAAAGCTGTATAAATGTACTACTTAAGTTCTGCTAGGAACTGGCAGTTGTTTCTCCCAGAATCTAGCACCTAACACTGTTCAGGAAAATAGTTCTATTGAATAATTACTGATTGACTGAATGGCTCTGAGGAACACTGCAGACATTAAGACTTCTGCTGCTGTTAAACAGGTCAAGAGTGAGAATAGAAGCTCCATTGCAGAAGACAAATTCTTTTACTTTTTTTTTGAGATGGAGTCTTGCTCTGTTGCCCAGGCTGGAGTGTAGTGGTGTGATCTTGGCTCACTGCAACTTCTGCCTCCTGGGTTCAAGCAATTCTCCTGCCTCAGCCTCCCAAGTAGCTGGGAGTACAGGTTTGCACCACCACACTTGGCTAATTTTTTGTATTTTTGTAGAGACAGGTTTGCTCCATGTTGGTCAGGCTGGTCTCGAACTCCTGACCTCAGGTGATCTGCCCGCCTCAGCCTCCCAAAATGCTGGGATTACAGGCATGAGCCACTGTCCCCAGCCTGAGAAGGCAAATTCTTAGTCACCTATCTAACATCTCTTCCCTTCTTCCTCCTTACTAATAGACTCCCAATTATCAACCTAAATAACAGAGAGGGGCTTTCTAGAGGAAAGTTATACTTATGTAGGAATAGGGCATTGCAATAGAAATACACATATCATAGTATGTGCATATTCAAGGAGGTAAGGACAAAGGATTTTAAAGGAAAAATGAGGATTACATATTGTTTTGAGATAACTATCCTTGGCTACAAGGATCAATAAGACCCTGATGCCAGTTCCAGGAGGTACAGGCAGTTGCTGGACAGATGTCCTCAAAGAAATATTTTTTGTTTGTTTGTTTATTATATATTTTCATTTTTATAGAAACATTTTATTGGTTGGCTAGGTGAAGTGACTCACATCTGTAATCATAGCACTTTGAGAGGCTGAGGCAGGAGGATCACTTGCGCCCAGGAGTTCGAGACCAGCCTGGGGTAACAAAGCAAGACCCCATCTCTACAAAAAATTAAAAAATTAGTCAGGCATGGTGGCACATGCTTGTAGTCCCAGCTATTCAGTAGACTGAGGTGGGAGGATCACTTGAGCCTGGGAGTTCAAAGCTGCAATGAGCTGTGACTGCATCACTGCACTATAGCCTGGATGACAGAGTGAGATCCTGTCTCAAATTGAAAAATAAAACAAAGGCCTGGCGTGGTGGCTCATGCCTGTAATCCCAACACTGGGAGGCTGAGGTGGGCTGATTACTAGGTCAGAAGTTCGAGACCCTCCTGGCCCACATGGTGAAATCCTGTCTCTACTGAAAATACAAAAACTAGCTGGGTGTGGTGTTGTGTGCCTTTAATCCCAGCTACTTGGGAACTGAGGCAGGAGAATCAGTTGAACCCAGGAGGCGGAGGTTGCAGTGAACTGAGATCATGCCACTGTACTTCAGCCTGGTGACAGAGCTAGATGCCATCTCAAAAAAAAAAAGAAAAAAAAATTTTTATCAGGCAACACTTCATTCTATAAAACAGAATAAGTGTTCCAGTCACAGAAGTATTTTTTGTTACAAGTATTTTTGTGTAAGATTGCAATGGCCTTTGTGCAAGATTGTGGTTTTTGCAGTCTTTTGTAATAGTTTTTGTTATCAGGTATTTATGCTTGAGAACTCCCTCTTCATGGCCTTCCTTGGCTGTCAGGTTTTTTTGTTTCTTTTATTTTTTGCTTTTTTTTTTTTTTTTTCCAGATGGATTTTCACTCTTGTTGCCCAGGCTGGAGTGCAATGGCACAATCTCAGCTTACTGCAACCTCCACCTCTTGGGTTCAAGCCATTCTCCTGCCTCAGCCTCTCAAGTAGCAGGGATTACAGGTGCATGTCACCCCGCTTGGCTAATTTTTGTATTTTTAGTAGGGACAGTGTTTCACCATGTTGGCCAGGCTGGTCTTGAACTCCTGACCTCAGGTGATCTGCCTGCCTCGGCCTCCCAAAGTGCTGGGATTACAGGTGTGAGCCACCGTGCCTGGCCTTTTTTTTTTTTTTTTTTTTTTTTTTTTAACAAAACAACTCCAGTTTGATTCTGACAATGTTCATACAATATTATTCAAGACAGTCATGTCCCCAGCCAGGGTAGTGGATGAAGATTTTTCTATACCCACTTGACAGTTTTATTCCAGTGTTCCCATCCTCTCCTTGAGTGAACATGGCCATATAATCCATATTTGCCAGATGAGATCTAAGTAGAGCTCTAAGGAGGATAGCATTTCTGTGAAGACTTTTATCTCTCAATAAAAGGAAACTGATGTGGCTATACCACTAGCATGCTTCCTCCTTATTCCTGCTTTCAGTATGGATATGACATTTAGAGATGCTACAGACATCATGCATAAAACATGAAGAGGCAAGTATAAGGGAAAAACCAAGGAAACTGTATACAGCAATCTTGTCATGGTTGAGCTGCAGAATCAAGGACCTCAACTGTTTATCACTAAACTTCTGTGGAAAAAAGGTGTACCACTTCATTTGAGCCACTTTCGACTAAATGTTCTATTACTTGCAGCTAAAAGCAATCCTAATTGATACAGAGCATCATGGTACATAATGTATGCAGAGAGGCCAGTTATGCCTTCTCCATGAGGCAATTTCTTATCTGCTAAGATTCTGTATTTGAGGTGGCCATTATAAAACACTGCTCAAATCTCCTGCTTCAGGGAGCACAACTGACTGATGGCTTCAGCTGCTGCCAGTGGGGACCCAGCCCTGAGTTCATGCCAAGGCCATCCTTCTCGGGAGATGCTCTGAGTCTGTGACTGAGCAAGGCGGGGAGACTAATGCAGGCCCATTCCTGCAAGAAGAAGGGCTCCTTTAATGGGTAACTTTGGCTCAAGGACTCCCTCTCAACCTTGCTGAAACTTTAAAAAATTATCCTGCATGTGAGACTCTTCTCTCCAATTTTCCTTCCTTGCCCCTCTTCTTCACAAGCATCAGATTTGCCCATGGTCTGAAAGCTCTCCTTGCCTTCTCTTTTTTCCTTTTCTTTATCCTTCATGGGGATTTCTCCCGATAAACCTCTTGTATGCCTAATATTTTCTTGAAGTCTACTTCTTGAAGAACCCAATCTAACACAATACTTCTGGCTAAATTAATTAGGAACATAATCTAACCTAGGAAACTAGAAGAGGCTCAGCCTGATTGAAGCAAAAGAGGGCTTGTATTAGTCCATTTTGTGTTTCTATAAAGGAATACCTGAGGCTGGGTAGTTTATTTTAAAAAGGTTTATTTAGCTTACAGTTCTGCAAGCTGTACAAGAAGCATGGCCCCAACGTCTGCTTAGCTGTTGGTGAGGGTTTTTGTGCTGCATCGAAACATGGTAGAGGGAGCTGGGCGCGGTGGCTCACGCCTGTAATCCCAGCACTTTGGGAGGTCGAGGTGGGCAAATCACAAGGTCAGGAGTTTGAGACCAGCCTGGCCAACATGGTGAAACCCTGTCTCTACAAAAATACAAAAAATTAGCTGGGCATAGTGGCGGGTGCCTGTAATCCCAGCTACTCGGGAGGCTGAGGCAGGAGAATTGCTTGAATCTGGGAGGTGGAGGTTGCAGTGAGCTGAGATCACACCATTGCACTCCAGCCTGGGCGACAGGGGGAAACCCTGTCAAAAAAAAGAAACATGGTAGAGAAGGTCAAAGGGGAAGTGGGCATGTGAAAAGAGAGACCAGACCTGAGGGTCATCCTGGCTTTGTAACAACTCACTCTCTTAGGAACGAATCCATTGCCCCAGAACTAATCCAGCCTTGTAAGATGGAGAACTCACCACCAAGCCATTCATGACCAATCCACCCCCATGACCCAAACACCTCCCACTAAGCCTCACCTCCCAACACTGCTACCTTGGGGATCAGGTTTCAACACGAGATTTGGTGGGAACAAACACAACATATCACCATATCCAAACCACAGTAGGGCTGGAGAAGTAAGAAGACTCCGAAGCAACATTCAAGCCACTTATTTACCAGCCTCTCTCAGCTTTCCTACATTTAAAATTCTTGCCACTAAAAAAATTTTCTTTAAATTTCAATAGCTATAAGGGTACAAGTGCTTCTGGGTTGTACATGGATGAATTGTACAGTGGTCATGTCTGGGCTTTCAGTGTACCTGTTACCCAAACAGTGTACATTGTATCCAATCTTGCCATTTTTTAGTCTAGACTCCTCATTCCCTCTGGATCAATCCCAAAAATCCACTCCTACCTTTCTGGATAATTCCTATCAGCATCAGTTTGGTTGCTTGTTTTCAAGATGGCCACAATAAAATCCTTTTCTTCATGTGTGCTCATAGCATTTTTAATATCGAGAAAGAGATCAGTCTGTTCCTATCCTCCTCCTGAATCTGGAATAGTCTTGGCAACTTGCTAGACCAACACATATGGCAGAAGTGACACCATGACTTTTGAGACAGTCATAAGAAGCCTTGCAGCTTCTCCTTACACCCATGGGCATGCTGTCTGCTGGGATTCTCTTGCACTCTGGGGGAAACCACCTACCATGTAAGCACTGTGGCCACCATGAAACCACCTTTGTAGACAGAGAGAGACAGAGTGAGGCCGGCCAGCCCTCAACCGTTCCAGCCATCCCAGCCCAGGCACTATACCTGAGTGAAAGAGACAACTTAGACTTCTTAGGCCCATCAGATGTCCCAAAAAGAAGAAAGGAGGTTTCAGACATACGGCCCCAGTAAAGATATCTCAGCCATCTCCAACCATTCAAGCCACGCTAGTGGAGGACCCAGATATCATGGAGCAGAGATAAGCCAGCCATTTCTGCTGTGCCCCGCCCAAGTTCCTGACTCCCCAGATCATGAGTGCAATAAAATATTTGTTATTTTATGCCACTAAATTTCAGGATGGTTTGTTATGTAGCAAAAGATAACCGGAACATCCTTGGGGTTTCTCAACATCCACATGGCTAAGCCATTTAAAACAGTGACTTCTCAGAACTTCATTTAGCTCTCTGAACTCCATCATCATATTGAACCAATTCTTCTAAGTCTCTCTCACATTCCTGCCAGACTTGTTGTCTTCCTCACTGGATCCAGTACCATCTTGTACACTTGTAGCTGTCATGCGCTACACAAAGGTATCAGGCCAATGAGTTGAGTGGTGGCTGATGAGGGTGTCGTTTTTTGGTTTTTTTTTTTTTTTTTTTTGAGACGGAGTCTTGCTCTGTGGCCCAGGCGGGAGTGCAGTGGCGCAATCTCGGCTCACTGCAAGCTCCGCCTCCCGGGTTCACGCCATTCTCCTGCCTCAGCCTCCCGAGTAGCTGGGACTACAGGCGCCCGCCATCACGCCCGGCTAATTTTTTTTGTATTTTTTTAGTAGAGACGGGGTTTCACTGTGTTAGCCAGGATGGTCTCGATCTCCTGACCTCGTGATCCACCCGCCTCGGCCTCCCAAAGTGCTGGGATTACAAGCCTGAGCCACCGCGCCCGGCCCTGTTTTTTGGTTTCTTTTGAGATGGAGTCTCACTCTGTTGCCCAGGCTGGAGTGCAGTGGCGTGATCTTGGCTCACTGCAAACTCTGCCTCCCAGGTTCAAGGGATCCTCCTGCCTCAGCCTCCCGAGTAGCTGAGATTACAGGCACAGGCACACCACCACAATCAGCTACTTTTTTTGTATTTTTAGTAGAGATAGGGTTTCACCATGTTTGCAGGCTGGTCTCAAACTCCTGACTTCAAGGCGATCCGCCCACCTTAGCCTCCGAAAGTGCTGGATTACAGGCGAGAGCCACCGCACCCAGCCAGGGGTGTCCTTTTTTTAGTTCCCGTAAATGTGTTAGGCGAGGCACGGTGGCTTAAGCCTGTAATCCCAGCACTTTGGGAGGCCAAGGCGGGTGGATCACCTAAAGTCAGGATTTCGAGACCAGCCTGGCCAACATGGTGAAACCCCGTCTCTACTAAAAATACAAAAATTAGCCAGGCGTAGTGGTGCATGCTTGTAGTCCCAGCTACTCAGGAGGCGGAAGCAGGAGAATTGCCTGAACCTTGGAGGTGGAGGTTGCAGTGAGCCGAGATTGCACCACTGCACTCCAGCCTAGGCAACAGAGCGAGACTCCATCTCAAAAAAAAAAAAAAAAAGTGTTATACAACTTAGTGGCTGCCATGACTGGGACAGTCAGATTCCCAAATTTTTCACTCCATCAGTTTCTATTGCTGATATCTGATTGCCTGTGCAGTATAATCCAATCTGCCTTTACCTCTATTTTCATTTTCTTGAATCCCTTATTGAAGTGCTTATTGTGCCTATCCTCAGTCTTGGATCTCTTTTTTTCCTCTTTCTCTATTAATAAACTTTCCTCTCTCTCAATGAAAATAGTTTATTTTCCTAATTATATGTATTTTCATATTTAAAAAAATTAAACAATGCATAAATTTATAAGAAGAAAGTAAAAACTCACCTGAAATCCCATCCCTGATGCAACTGTAATTTAACTGCCATTAACATTTTAATGACATTTTTCATGTGTTTCTATATACATGGGAGTTTTTGGATCAATCTCACTGTCTGTTTTCTTCAGTCCTTTTCCCAGAGATAAATGAAGAACCATCTAATTAGAGCCCACTACATATTTAGTTGTCAGACTTTGCCTGAATACTTACACTGCTTAGCCATATTTAAAAATCTGTTTCATTTCATGTGGTAGGAATGTGGTTCCTATCACATCCAGTTAGTTGATGCCTTCTAATTTCTCCTCAATAACTACCCATCTTGCTGAAAACAATGAGTCTCTCCTCAACTCCCCTTCATCTCAGTAGATTTCTGTCATGGCCCATGCATCAAAAAACAAAACAAAACACACTAGGAGGAACAAAGACAAGGGAGGCAAGTCAGGGATACTTTGGAGTGGGTTGTTGACAAACAAAGAAGACAGAAATTGGGAAGGTGAAGTATGTCAGGCCAGGATGGCATGTTCCCTGGAGCAAGGCCAAGCCTATTCTAGATGCAAGGGTCAAAAGCCAAAATGAAATTGTAATGGAAGCAAAATAAAAAAGATCTTGTAGAAATTCTGCTAGTGTCAGTCTGTTTTGTGTTGCTATAACAGAATACCATAGACTGGGTAGTCATAAAGACAAATAATTTATTTCTTACATTTCTGGAGGATGCAAAGTCCAAAGTCAAGTGGCCTTCATGCTACGTCATCCCGGATGGGCAAGAGAGGAAGAGAGGACAAGAGGCGACCAAATATGCTTTTACCAATAACCCATTCCTGGCCGGGCACTGTGGCTCATGCCTGTAATCCCAGCACTTTGGGAGGCCGAGGCGGGTTGATTACTTGAGGTCAGGAGTTCAAGACCAGCCTGATCAACATGGTGAAACCCTGTCTCTACTAAAAATACAAAAAAATTAGCCAGGCATGGTGGTGGGCGCCTGTAATCCCAGCTACTCGGGAGGCTGAGGTACGAGAATCACTTGAACCTGGGAGGTGGAGGTTGCAGTGAGCCGAGATCGCACCATGGCACTCCAGCCTGGGCAACACAGAGATTCCATCTCAAAAATGAATAAATAAATAAACAAAAATACCATCACAATAGCAATTAAATTTCTTTTTTTTTTTTTTTTAATTTTTCTTTGAGACAGAGTCTCGCTCTGTCGCCCAGGCTGGAGTGCAGTGGTGCGATCTTGGCTCACTGCAAGCTCCGCTTCCTGGGTTCACGCCATTTTCCTGCTTCAGCCTCCCAAATAGGTGGGACCACAGGCGCCTGCCACCACCCCCGGCTAATTTTTTGTATTTTTAGTAGAGACGGGGTTTCACCGTGTTAGCCAGGATGATCTTGATCTCCTTACCTCGTGATCCACCCGCCTTGGCCTCCCAAAGTGCTGGGACTACAGGTGTGAGCCACCGCCCCTGGCCAGCAATGAAATTTCAACATGAGTTTTGGAGGGACATTCAGACACTAGCATTCTTCATTAGTCCCCCAAAACTTATGTCTTTCTCACATACAAAATACATTCATCCCATCACAACAGCCCTCAAATTTTTCACTCATTCCAGCGTTAACTCAAAAATCCAAAGTCCAGGGTCTCCTCTAAGTTAGCTATGGGTAAGCCTAAAAGCACAATTCATCCTGAGACCAATTACTCTCCAGCTGTGAGCCTGTAAAATTAACAAGTTACATGGACCCAATAGGTCCCATGTCAAGTCCAAAAGCTAACCAGGGGAACAACATCCAGTCTTCTTAAAGCTCCAGCATAATTTCCTTTGACACCATGTCCCGCATCCTGGGCACACTGGGGTGGGATATGGTCCTCCCAATGCCGCAGGCAGTCCAACTCCTATGGCTTTGTTGGACTCAGTCTGCCCAGCAGTTCTCATAGGTTGGAGTCCTGTGCCTATAGCTCCCTGAAGCTGGTGCTGCAAGCTGGTAGCTCTACAGTTCTAGGGTTTTAGGACTGGCCCCACTTTCATGGCCCCAGTAGGCACTGCCCTAGTGGAGACTCTCTGTGGCAGCTCTGACCCCACATTTCCGCTTGACAATGCCCTAGTGGAAGCTTTCTGTGGTGACTCCACCCTTGCAACAAGTGTCTCCCTCGACCCCCAGCCTATCTGCAACATCCTTTGAAATCAAGGTGGAGGAAGCCATGCCCCCACAGCTCTAGCATTCTGCTTGTCTGCGGAATTAGAACCACATGGACACTGCCAAGGTTTCTGGCTTGTTCCTTCCAGAGCAGCAGGTCAAAATGTATCTGGGCCCACTTGAGCCATGGTTGGGGCAGTCCAGGAACACTGCACCAGAATGCAGGGAGCAGAGATCTGAGGCAGCTCTGAGCAGCAAGTCCGTGGAGGGTACCCCAGGCCCATCTCCCGAAACCATTCTGCCCTCCTAGATCTCTGGGGCTGTAATGGGAGAAGCTGTCTCCAAGATCTCTGAAATGCCTTCAGTGTCTTTCTCCTATTGTCTTGATGATCTCTTCCATCCATGTATTAATCTACTTAGCAAACAGTCACTTGGCCACATGCTTGGTTTGCTCTCCCAACATGTTTGTTCATCCTTTATGTAGCCAGGCTGAATTTCTTCAAAGTCTTTTTATTCTGCTTCTGTCTCTCTCTCTCTCTCTTTTTTCCCCCCCCCCCACAGACACTATGGTGACTTATGCTTTTCTTTTAATTATAAATTCCAACTTCACATCACTTTTTTCCTCTCATATCTTGCTGTACGTGGTTAAAAGTAGCCACATAGCTCCTTTAATGTTTTAATTAGAAATTTCTTCCACTGCATATCTTAGTTTATCACTCTTAAATTCCACCTTCCATAAAGGCTTAGGGCATAGATAAAATTCAGCCAAATTCTTTACCAGTTTATAACAAAGACGGCCTTTACTCTAGTTTCCAATACTTGTTCCTCAGTGTCAGCCCTTACTATTCATATTTCTGCCAACATTCTGATCATGACAACTTAGTAATCTCTAAGAAATTCCAGACTTTTCCTACATCCCTTGTCTTCTTCTGAGATTTCACCAGAATTGCTTTTAATGCTCCATTCAAGACAAAGGCTTTTTCTAGGCTTTTCCTCTAAATTTTTCCAGGCTCTATCCATTACCAGTTCAAACTGCTTCCACATTTTCAGGTATTTGTTAAAGCAACAGCCCCATTTCTCCATAACAATTTTCTATCTTACCCATTTTGTGTTACTGTAACAGAATACCACAGACTGGGTAATTTATAAACAATAGAAATATATTTGGCTCATGGTTCTGGAGGTTGGAACATCCAAGAACATGGGGCTGGCATCTTGTACTGGCCTTCTTGCTGTGTCATCTCATGGAGGAAGGTAGAAGGGTAAGAGAGCACAAGAGAGCAAGAAAGGGCAAGAGGGGAGTAAACTTTAACCAGGAACCCATTCCGATGATAACAACATTAAACTGTTCCTAGGGGTGGAGCCCCACATGACCTAATCACCTTTTAAGAGTTCCACCTATTAACGCTGTCACAGTGGCAATTAAATTTCAACATGAGGCCCAGCAAAGTGGCTCACACCTTAATACCAGCACTTTAGGAGGTTGAGGTGGGCAGATGACAAGGTCAGGAGTTCAAGACCAGCCTGGCCAACATGGTGGAACCCCGTCTCTACTAAAAATACAAAAATTAGCAGGGCGTGGGGGCATGTGCCTGTAATCAGAGCTACTGGGGAGGCTGAGGCAGAAGAATCACTTGAATGCAGGAGGCAGAGGTTGCAGTGAGCCAAAATCATGACACTGCACTCCAACCTGGGTGACAGAGGAAGACTCTGTCTCAATAAATAAATAAATAAATTAAATAAATAAATTTCTCCATGAGTTTTGGAGGGGACATTCAAATCATAGCAACCAGATACCAGAGTGTGACTCCAACTGGGCTTTGTTACAACCAAGTCCAGATGCTAAATTACTTAAAGATGTAAGTGTGGGCTGGGTGCAGTGGCTCATGCCTGTAATCACAACACTTTGGGAGGCTAAGGCAGGCAGATCTCTTGAGCCCAGGAGTTCAAGACTAGCCTGGGCAACATGGTGAAACCCTGTTTCTATAAAAAATACAAAAATTAGCCAGGCATGGTGCTCAAGCCTGTAGTCCAAGTTACTCAGAAAGCTGAGGTGGGAGAATCACCTGAGCCTGGGGAGGTTGCAGCTGCAGTGAGCTGCAATCATACCACTGCATTCCAGCCTGGGCAACTGAGTGAGATCCTGTCTCAAAAAAAAAAAAAAGAAAAAAAAAAGGATCCTTTTGTAGTTCATGAGGATGATGGTTGGGTGTTTCACACATGTGTGTGAAATGTACCACCCTCAAACCTTGTTACAATGTCAGCACATTACCTGCCTGACCTGAAAAAAAAAAAAAAAAGTTACGAGTGTGACCTAAGACCCTCTGGAGTTCTGGTTCTTGAAAGTGACTCCACATGAATCCTTGGCTAGTTGCTCCATTCACTCCAATTGCCTAACTATATGCCTTGGAACCAGCTCTTGCTTGCATTATGGCTCAGCTTGTACTCATGGCAGAAGGTGAAGTGGGAGCAGGCATGCCACATGGCCAGCGCAGGAGCAAGAGAGACAAGTGCCACATACTTTTTTTTTTTTTTTTTTTTTTTTTTGAGACGGAGTCTTGCTCTGTCACCCAGGCTGGAGCGCAGTGGTGAGATCTCGGCTCACTGCAAGCTCCGCCTCCTGGGTTGACGCCATTCTCCTGCCTCCCTAGTAGCTGGGACTACAGGCGCCCGCCACCCAAGCCCGGCTAATTTTTTTGTATTTTTAGTAGAGGCGGGGTTTCACCGTGTTAGCCAGGATGGTCTCAATCTCCTGATCTCGTGATCCACCCGCCTCGGCCTCCCAAAGTGCTGAGATTACAGGCGTGAGCCACCGCGCCCGGCCAGTGCCACATACTTTTAAGCAACCAGATCTCCCAGGAACTCCACTCACTATTTCGAGGACAGCAGCAAGACATAAAGGATCTGCCCCCATAATCCAAACACCTCCCTCCAGGCTCCACCTCCAGCATTGGGGATTACAGTTCAACATGACATTTGGCAAGGGCATATATTCAAACTATATTGGCCCTACAAAAGACTGGAAAGTTTGCTGTGATGGAGAAGGGGCTGTGTGCAGTAGCGGTAGGAATCTAAGGATCTAATGACTTTTTATGCAGACTTTTAAGCTATCTGCTAGTTTTCAGCTGCATGTTCCTTGCCAGTGAGTGCCCAAGCTTCCTGTGATTCCAATTCCTAAGAATCTCGGAGATTTTGTGATATAAATCAGGTCACTTACAGACTTCCCTCACTGGTTTAGAATTCAATTTTCACAAGTCTAGTGAGTCAGTTATCACTCATCCATCTGCTTTACAGTTTTCAAAATGTTGATGATGTTTGTCTTTATGGGTTTATTTATTTTAAACATTTTACTGTCATTTTCAAGGGGTTTAAGAAAAGAATTTGAAGTCAATATGTGCTCAATCCATCATCTTAAACAAGAGGCTAACATGAAAGTATCTGCAAAGGAGAACAACATGGAAAAAACCTTATTTTAAGAAGCTGAGATCATCTGTAAAATGCAGAATAAATTAAAGGGGCAGAAACTAAAGCCATGGGGTCAGAAAGACATACAAAAATCCAAAAGGGAGACAATAGAAGGACCAAAATATGATGGCGGCAAAGGGGATAAAAATAAAGAACAAGACTTTTGAAAAGAAAGAAAAGAAAAAAATCTGTGGACCAATTGACTAAGACAAAGAGGGTTCTGTAGTGTTTGTTTGGAATAGAATGACTGAGATAATTCTAGGGAATTTATGAAAAGTAATGAAGAGTAAGGGAAGAGGATTAGGGGACAGGTCATGGGTTGTGTTTTTATAATAGTGATTATTGAGAGTGTGTTATGGAGGCTGATGTGAGCAGATCACTTAAGCCCAGGAGTTCGAGATCAGCCTGGGCAACATGGCGACACCCCCATCTCTACAAAAAATACAAAAAAATTAGACTGGTGTGGTGGCGTGTACCTGTAATTCCCGCTACTTGGGAGCCTGAGGCTCAAGAATCGCTTGAACCAGGGAGGCAGAGGCTGCAGTGATCTGAGAACACAACACTGCACTCCAGCCTGAGCAACAGAGTGAGACTCCATCTTAAAAAAAAAAAAGAAAGAAAGAAAAGAAAAGAAATCTGGCCATCTCAAGAGGAACACCCTAAATATACAGACAGCAGAGACTCCTTTTGTCAGTTAGGGTTGTCAGAGAAACAGAACCAATAGGATATATGTGTATTTATATTAAGAGATTTACTTTAAAGAATTGGCTCATGTGATTATGGGAGCTGGAAAGTCCAAAATTTGTAGGGCTGGCCAGCAGGCTAGAAACTCAGGCAAGAGTTGACTCCTCAAGTAGTCTTGAGTCTGAAACATGTAGCGCAGGCCAAGAGGCTGGAAACTGAGGCAGCATTTCTTTGTTACAGTCTTGAGGCCAATTTCCTTTTCTCTGGGAAGCCTCCAATTTGTTTTGCTTTGCTTTGTTTCTCTTAAGGTCTTCAACTGATTAAAAGAGGCCCACCCACATTATTGAGGGTAACCTCTTTTACTTAAAGTCAACTGATTGTTGATGTTAGTCATATCAACAAAATACCTTCACAGCAATGTCTAGCCTAGCGTTTGACCAAACAACAAGGCTCCATAGCTTAGTCAAGTTGATGCATAAAATTTAGCTTTTACACTCCCCAGTGAAACTGCCCAGCTAGAGCCTTCCAATGTCAAAGTCCACTACCAATCAACAAGGTCCACTCATAGCACAGAACTCCCAGTCAGCCTTCTAAATGCCCTATCCTGAAGAAAGAGCAGGGAACCAAAAATAAATAGACATCTGTGGAAGTCACTAGGAGGAAACAAAAACAATTCAGGAAGAAGAAAATGACAAAAAGTATTAATACCTTCAGAGAGATAAGAGAAGATAATTCAGTCATGAAAGAAAGAAGCTAGTGGGGGAAAAGATTTCAGAGAACAAAAAGGAACTCTTGGAAATTACAAATATGATAACATGAATGAAAAACTCGGTAAAAGGATTATAAATTAAAGGTAAGAAAATCTCCAAGAAAGTTAAACAAAATGATAAAGACACAGAAAAAAGAGAAGAGAAGAAAAATAGCAGTTTAGGAGGATTAGCATCTGAATAAAGTTTCCAGAAAGAGAATGGAGAAAATGAAGGAGGGGAAATTATCTAAGTAATAACTCAAAAAAATTTTTGAGCGTTATCAATCATGAGTTTCCAAATGAAAAGTCTACCAAGTTCCCAGCACAGTGGCTAACTACATATCCACACCAAACCACTTCATCATTGAAGAAATTAAAGAAAACAAAGATAAGATAGTAAAGTTTTGAGTGGGTGAGAGGGACAGATGACACAGAAATGATCAAGAATCAGACTGACTTCAGGTATCAGGAGAGGGCAATGAAAACATGCCTTCAAAACTCTAAGGAAAAATGACATTTCGACCCCGGATTCTATTTCCAACCAAACATAGCAAATTTAAGGGTAGCAGAATGATCTTTTCAGAAATGAAAATTCATGGTGACTCAAGCCTGTAATCCTAGCACTTTGGGAGGCCAAGGCAGGAGGATCACTTGACCTCAGGTGTTCGAGACCAGCCTGGCCAATGTAGTGAGACCCTATCTCTAAATTAAAAATATTACATATAAAAAAATAAAAATCAAAAATAAATAAAAAATAAACAAAATGAAAATTCTCCAAAAATTTACTTCCCAAGAACTTTTTATCAGCAAGTGATAGTGGAGGTATTCCCCTAAAAAAAGGAGAAACCAAAGAAAGAGGAGGACAAAATAGTCAGGAATCAAGAGAATCTGAGGCCAGGTGCGGTGGCTCACTCCTGTAATCCCAGCACTTTGGGAGGCTGAGAAGGGTGGATCACCTGAGGTCAGGAGTTTGAGACCAGTCTAGCCAACATGATGAAACCCCATCTCTACTGAAAATACAAAAAATTAGCCAGACATGGTGGCTGATGCCTGTAATCCCAGCTATTTGGGAGGCTGAGGCAGAAGAATCACTTGAACCTGGGAGGCGGAGGTTGCAGTGAGCTGAAATTGCACAACTGCACTCCAGCCTGGGCAACAGGAGTGAAACTCCATCTCAAAAAAAAAAAAAAAAAAAAGGAAACTGAGAAAGAGAGAGGCAGGGGAATACTTAGCAGGATGAAGGGAGATCCCAGGATACAGCATTAGACATAGATAGCAGTCAGTCCAAACTGGATGAGGTCAGAGGATTCTGGGAGAGATGCCTTCAAGAATATGGAATCCATAGGGCACCTGACATGTTTCAACTAGTAAGAGGAGATTTATACCTCTTGAGGACAATTTGGGGCCAGAAAACTAAGCAAAATTTTTTTAAAGAAACAAGAAAAGCTGGGCATGGTGGCTTTCACCTGTAATCCCAGCACTTTGGGAGGCTGAGGTGGGTGGATCTCCTGAGGTCGAGAGTTCAAGACCAGCCTGATCAACATGGAGAAACCCTGTCTGTACTAAAAATACAAAATTAGCCGGGGTGGTGGCGCATGACTGTAAGCTACTCGGGAGGCTGAGGCAGGAGAATCGCTTGAACCTGGGAGGCGGAGGTTGCGGTGAGCCGAGATCGTGCCATTGCACTCCAGCCTGGGCAAAAAGAGCGAAACTCCGTCTCAAAAAAAAAAAAAAAAAAAAAAAAAAAGAAGCAAGAAAAGTATTAAACCTAAGAGAAGCAAAAGGTTATTCAAGAGTGGAAAAGGAATAATATGGGTTCATACTACTTGGGTCACTTATGCATAATATTTACCTAGTTAAAATAATGTAAATAGTGAATATTGTTTAACAAAATTACCTTTTTTTTTTTTGAGACAGGGATCTCACTCTGTTGCCCAGGTTGGAGTGCAGTGGTGTGATCAGAGCTCACTGCAACCTTAACTTCCTGGGCTCAAGGGATCCTTCTGCCTCAGTTTCCCAAGTACCTGAGACTACAGGTGCACACCATTACACCTGGCTAATTAAAAAAAATTTTTTTTATAGAGACTGGGGTCTCACTTTATTGCCCCAGCTGGTCTTGAATTCCTGGGCTCAAGCAATCCTCCCACCTCAGCCTCCCAAAGTGCTGGAATTACAGATGTGACCCACTATGCCTGGCCCAAAATTACATATTTGTATGAAGGATGATATTTGTGGTGAAGGCAAGGAAGTGGAAAAAGAGAGTTAAGTTTTTATCATTTATGATGAATACAGATAATATATAATATCACAAAATTAAGAAACACTGGTTCAGGAGGGTTGTGTAAAGATTTAGGGGTAAATAACAAAAACAAAAACAAAGATTTGATTTTTTAATTTATTTTATTTTATTTTATTATTTTTATTATTTTTTGAGATGGAGTCTTGCTCTGTCACCCAGACTGGAGTACAGTGGCGTGATCTCAGTTCACTGCAACCTCCACTTCCCGGTTTCATGTGTTTCTCCTGCCTCAGCCTCCCGAGTAGCTGGGATTACAAGCGCCCACCACCACGTCCAGCTAATTTTTGTATTTTTAGTAAAGACGGGGGTTTCATCATGTTGCCCAGGCTGGTCTCACACTCCTGAGCTCAAGTGAGCCTCCTGCCTCGGTCCCCCAAAGTGCTGGGATTACAGGCATGAGCCACCACGTCCAGCCAAAAATAAAGATTTAAAAGGACTTGTCTTTGGAAGGAAAAAAATGGTGGAAACAGGGAGAAAAGATGACTACTGTTTTTTATACTAAGCATTGCATAACTGTTTACCCTTCTTGCATACATAATTTTGATTAAAAATATAAACTTTCTTTTAAAAAAAACTTCTCATACCTGTAGAAAAAAACCCAAACTCCTGACAGTCTAAGAGCTCAGCTTACAGGATCAGAGTACCAGCTATATAAGCTTGGTCAAGTTATCTAAGTTTTCTAAATTCTGTGAAAAGAGAACAATAGTTCTCATGGTAACGGTGCATACTGACTGATTAGCAGCCCTGGTTGTGAAGAATGAATTAAAAAACCCATGTGGAGTCTAAGCATTATGCCTGACACACAGTTAGTGTTGTGTAAACTTTCACTAGTTTTGATATTATCAGGCTGACATTCAAGGATCTTTGTAATCTCTCTCCAATCTGCTTTTTCAACCTCATGTCTTATTACTCTCCTAGAGAAACTCCAATCTTAGACCAGGCAGTTCTTATCCTTTCTAAAATATATCTTGTTTTTTCAAACTGCCTCCTCACTATTGCTTGTGCAATTGTTTGTTTTCCTGTTCACCAACCTATTTGGTTGAAATAACAATGGAAATGAAATGTGTTACACCCTGTAAATAACTGGACAGTATTTGCATTCATAGGATCAAAATCCAAGATGTAAATATTTCCTCTAGGGGCTAAAAGCTGAAAGGAGGAGTTCCATTTTTGTTCAAGATGTGTTAATCTTGTCATTGCTCAGGTTGCCATGGTTCCTGTTTGAAATATTTTCTTGATGCTTCTAGGACTTAAGCTTATGCCACTGCATCTGAACAAGTGGTAATAACCCCATTCTATTGAGACAACGATATGGAGTAGGGAGGGGGTAGGATTCTTGTGGATAGGTCAGTGCTAGAACCAGAAATATAAGCCAAGATTTTTCATGTCTCTGTTACAAACTAATTCTTGCTACTGATGACACTGCATATTTCCATTTTCATTTTTTCCTGGTGAACAGGGAGCAATTTATTTTGTAAACCAGGGAAATACTCTTTTCCCTTTCTCTCCTGTGGCATAATTTATTAAATGGGAAAAACCTAGTAACTGTTTCCTTGTAGCTTTTTTAAAAAATAAAGGCTTTAATTTTATAAGTAAATTGTTAGTCAATTATTTTATTAGACAGAGAGATAATTCACTAGAATATAAAAAGGAGTAAATTCTAGCCTAAAAAAAGATTCAACCAATGAAAAGTAAGTAAATTAACTTTGGTAAATCATAATCATCGGTCAACTTCACAATCATTTTTAATTTCATAATCATAGATAGAAGAGTTCCTTGAACAAAATGGAAACTGTGTTTTTATGAATCTTGCTAATCTATCTCTGATGACATTTATGTCCCATGGGACATCCTTGCTTCTTTTCTAACCTCCTAGAGACTTGTGGTCTCTAGTGTATATAGGAAGTAAATAGTAATATGAGAATAGTGTTAATTGCTCTTGATTGCCTAAAATGATCATAACATTTCATAATTTTATGAATTTCATAAATCATTTTATAAGATTTTCTTTTGCAGATTCAAAGAGGAGGGATAATATTATCTTCTTTCTTTCATTCTAATTTGAATTCAGATAGACTATCCAGAATCTTACACAAATTCACCAGCGTTTCATTATTTATTATCCTTGCCATCAATATTTTGTTGACATTTGGTGACACTTTATAAGTGTCCTTAAGGCATATGATAATAGATCAGTTGCTGTAAGTTGTGCATTTGTATGTACTAGGAAGATTCTCTTTCCTCATAGGGTAATTTGTGAAGGGCTGTTTCATGTGAGCTGTATTCATTTTTTTAGATATGAACAATAAAGTGAGATACCTTTTAATGCAAAATAGAAAAATGGAAAAACCTCAAGTTAAGTTTTGAGAACGTTTTTTCCTTGGCTTTAAGGAAGGATAAAGTAGAAGCCATTTAGGTGAGTAAAGGGCTGCTAAGACTTACGCTTTAATTTCAATTGCTCAGTCCTGTTCCTGTGTTCTCCCTTCCAAGCCAAATATTGTTGCATAGGATATTTCAGGAACAATTAGAGCACAGCTTAGTCTCTATTGGAGATAAATTCTTATAATCTAAATATTAACCCATGACTGCCCTTTATTTCTAATTACTTTCTTGCTTTTTGATATCTTTGTTAATTTAAACATACTGTCCCTGCTTAAATCTCATGATACCAAAGTCCTGAAAAGTAGACAAGGACATGTTGCCAATGAAAAGTTGCCAACTACAGGTTGAGAATGTTCTTAAAATAAGAGCAGGGCACAGTGGCTCATGCCTGTAATCCTAGCACTTTGGGAGTCTGAAGCAGAAGGATTGTTTGAGTTCAGGAGTTTGAGACCAGCCCAGGCAACATAGCAAGACCCTGTCTCTATAAGAAAAAAAAAAGAGAGTCTTCTTAAAATAAGAAAGTCATATCCAAAAAAGTACCCATAAACCAAGAAACCAAGTTCCCAAGACCCTCTAGTATACTCTAGATACCAGTGATTTCATGTGAAAGTAATACTGAATATCAACCTCTAGGGTTCAAAAATTTCATCCAATAACAACATCTTTCATGGATTCAATACTACAATGACTTCAAGTGCAATGGCTTCCAACTCATCAATTAACAGATTGTTTGATGAATTTATTGAAAAATTGGCAGTTCTCAAGTGGTAATCCCACTAATGGATATTATGCCTGATAAATTAATTCTGAGGCTTACAATCTATGCAATGTGGAAAACAATTAGAAAACCAAAATAAAAACACTAGAGCACTAGATACACATTTCAAAGAAATGGCCTGTAGCCTCTTGTATAGAAGAGGACAAGGAGAAACAGACATTCCTGAAAACATGGCACATGACACAAGATGACTTATTAGCTTGCCTCAAGTGGCTAAGTGGCATGGAATGCTGCCTTGAACTGAACCATGCACATGATGTGAGTGCAAAGGCTGTTTGTTCATGATGATTTTTACTGCTGTCTATGCAGAATTCACTCAATTATATGTGATGACCACATATTTTTTTTTTCCAAAGCAGCATCTATAGGACATTCCAGAACAGCAGTCTAAAGGCCAACAGGACCTCACCTTCCTTCCCACCAAGTGGTGCCCAGTGAATCCTCTTCCTGATTGTGGTTGATAACTGACTTAGGTTTCATATTTTCCTGATTTCTTTACCTTAATTTTTGACTTTTTTCTTCTCTTTCAATTACTGGTGACATGCAGATTGGAGTAAAACACTTCACAAATTATTTCTGGCTTAACATTCCTCATTTCCAAATGTGCTTTTCAGACTTTAATTAAACCTGGTCTCCCTGAGCACCAACAAAGAAGCACTGTTTTCCTGCTTTCCAGAAGGGGACAATGAAAATGGAATAATGAATACAGCCAGTAAAAGTGAGAAGGGACAATAAAAAAGAAGCTCTCCTGACTTAATCAGAGTTTAGAAGCTTTTCCGCCTTTCTTTAGATCTAAATTCACATTATCAAGCATTTTGGAAAAATTTGTTTCCTTGAGGGGATTAAAAGGCATTGTGTTCTATTTCAAATTATGAGAAAAAATTTTATTAACGAATTCCTTTTAGATGTAACATTATATATAAATTAAAATACAAACTATAAGAAAAAATTACACTTTTAGCTGATTTGCATACATAAATTATTTTTGTGTGTGTGTGTGTTTTTTTTTTTTTGAGACCAAGTTTCGCTCTTGTTGCCCAGGCTGGAGTGCAATGGCACAATCTTGGCTCACTGCAACCTCCGCCTCCTGGGTTCAAGCAATTCTCCTGCCTCAGCCTCCTGAGTAGCTGAGATTACAGGCATGCACCACCACACCTGGCTAATTTTTTTGTATTTTTAGTAGAGACGGGGTTTCTCCATGTTGGTCAGGCGGGTCTCGAACTCCCAACCTCAGGTGATCTGCCCGCCTCTGCCTCCCAAAGTGCTGGGATTACAGGCATGAGCCACTGCGCCCAGCCCTAGATAAATTATTTTTATTATTTACTGTTAAACATTAAACATTTACTATTAAATAATAAATATTATTTATCATATTTAGACAAAATTCACTTATAATTAGATTAAAATGTTTATAATTTGACCAGCTGATCTTCAAGTCACATAACTTTTTTTTTTTTCCTTAAGACAGAGTCTCATCCTGTCACCCAGGCTGGAGTGCAGTGGTGCAATCTTGGCACACTGCAACCTCCGCCTCCCGGATGCAAGCGGTTCTCCTGCCTCAGCCTCCCTAGTAGCTGGGATTACAGGCATGCACCACCAAGCCCAGCTAATTTTTGTATTTTTAGTAGAGACAGGGTTTCACCATGTTGGTCAGGCTGGTCTCAAACTCCTGACCTTAAGTGATCCACCTGCCTCAGCCTCCCAAAGTGCTGGGATTACAAGCATGAGCCACTGTATCTGGCCTAACTCACATAATTTGATGGTTTTATAGAATTATAATTTATTAAGAAAATTTAAAATATACCTACTTTGTCTTTAAAACCCACACAGGCTGGGCAATCCAGCGAAATCCCATCTCTATTTTTAAAAAGTTTAAAAAAACACCCACACATACTGGACATAAAAGAGTTAAACTACAAAACCTCAGTGAGGCAGCCACTGGACAGCTGTAACCACATTTACTGAGGCCAAAGAGTACATTTGCTAGTGGTATACACAAAATAACCATAGAAAACATTTTTGAGGGGTAATGAAGTCCTTGAGGTAGCACTTACCCTTTCTTCCAAATTCCTCAGCAGGACAAAGAAAATCTTTTTTTTTAAAGGCCTGTTTTTGCAAAGGAGGCATTAAAACAGAGTTTCCCTTCCTTGAGGTCTGGTGCTGCACAAATATTTTTAACAGCTAGTAGGGACAGAAGCAAAGATGTACAGAATTTAAGCTGATAAAGATACTCTTATCTGAAATTTATATTTTTAATAATTGCAGATACAGAAATGAAAGAATAAGAATGTGCTACAGATATTATATTAAGAAAACACTCTGGCTAGGCACAGTGGCTCATGCCTGTAATCTTAGCACTTTGGGAGGCCAAGGCAGGCAGATCACTTGAGGTCAGGAGTTCCAGTCCAGCCTGGCCAACATGGTGAAACCCCCATCTCCACTAAAAATACAAAAATTACCCGGGCATGGTGGTGCACGCCTGTAGTCCCAGCTACTCAGGAGGCTGAGGCATGAGAATCGCTTAAACCCGGGAGGTGGAGGTTCGAGTGAGCCGAGATTGTGCCACCGCACTCCACCCTGGGTGACAGAGGGAGACTCTGTCTCAGAAAAAAAAAAAAGTAAACTCTCCAGCACGGGCCGGTTTGGAATGAAGGGAGGAATGTGAGTAACTCAGAATCCGAGGGCAAAGGAAGCAGAGGACATGGGCAAGTCCAGGTGAGAAACAGTTGCCTCTACAGCAGTTCCTTGGTGCTATGTAACATTTATTATGGTTGACTCCTCATTATCCATTCCACTCACCAGGTGATTGGTGTAAGTCAATTGTGATAATCCCATTTGTTTCGCCAGTGATTGGGTTAGGAATGGGAATGTGACTCAATGAGAAAAAGTCTGCTGGGGGGGTTTTAGAAAATATTTTCTCACTACCATGAAAGAGACAGAGGAAAAAATGAAATTTCTTCCTTCTTTGGGAACCAAATCTATACTCAGAAGTTGGCAGAGTGGGAAGAACTTCAGTATCTGATGACATTTTTGAATTACTATATCAACCAGTCTTGAATTCTTCCATAACTATGGACTTCCGTTTATGTAAAATAACGTTTCCCAATGTTTAAGCCAGTTGAAATCAAGGTTTTCTATTAACTATTAACCAGGAGTATTCTAATTGTTATAATTATTTGGAAAGATTAGATATTTTATCAAAATTCTTTCATGGTTTTATTTTATTTTATTTTATTTTATTTTGAGATGGAGTTTCACTCTTGTTGCCCAGGCTGGAGTGCAATGGCACGATCTCAGCTCACCGCAACCTCTACCTCCCAGGTTCAAGCAATTCTCCTGCCTCAGCCTCCCAAGTAGCTGGGATTACAAGCATTTGCCACCCCAGCCCCAGATAATTTTGTATTTTTAGTAGAGACAGGGTTTCTCCATGTTGGTCAGGCTGGTCTTGAACTCCCGGCCTCAGGTGATCTGCCTGCCTTGGCTTCCCAAAGTGCTGGGATTACAGGCGTGAGCCACCACGCCCGACCCATGGTTATATTTTAAATATGACTTTCATAATATGTATTTATACTTAAGTTAATTGCACCTACTTTATTCCACAATTCGAGTTCTCTTCTGACTTCTGAAGTCTAAATTCTCTTTCTTAAATCCTAACTCAAGAACCCTTTATAGCCGGGCGTGGTGGTGCATGCCTGTAATCCCAGCTACTCAGGAGGCTGAGGCAGGAGAATCACCTGAGCCAGGAAGGCGGAGGTTGCAGTGAGCTGAGATCAAGCCCCTGCACCCCCAGCCTGGGTAACGCAGTGAGACTCCATCTCGAAAAAAAAAAAAAAAGCACTTTAGGCCAGGCGCAGTGGCTCGTGCCTATAATCCCAGAATTTTGGGAGTCCGAGTCAAGTGGATCACCTGAGGTCAGGAGTTTGAGGCCAGTCTGGCCAACATGGCGATATCCCATCTCTACAAATATACAAAAATTAGTCAGGTGTGGTGGCAGGCGCCTGTAGTCCCAGCTTCTTGGGAGGCTGATATAGGAGAATCACTTGAACCCAGGAAGCAGAGGTTGCAGCAGTGAACTGAGGTTTTGCCATGGCACTCTAGCCTGGGCGATAGAGTGAGGCTGTGTTTCAAAAAAAAAAAAAAAAAAAAAAAAAGAATCACTTTAAGGCCAGGCACAGAGGCTCACACCTGTAATCCCAGTACTTTGGGAGGCCGAGGCAAGAGGAATGCTTCAGAGTAGGAGTTCAAGGTTGCAGTGAACTATAATTGCGCCATTGAACTCCAACTCCAGCCTGGGTGACAGAGCAAGACAATGTCTCTAAGAAAAAAAAAATTACTTTACATGTTAATAGAAAGATAACTGATGGCTGGGCATGGTGGCTCACGCCTGTAATCCCAGCACTTTGGGAAGCCAAGGTGGATGGATCACCTGAGGTCAGGAGCTCAAGGCCAGTCTGACCAATATGGTGAAAACCCATCTCTACTAAAAATAGAAAAATTAGCTGGACATGGTGGCAGGTGCCTGTAGTCCTAGCTACTGGGGAGGCTGAGGCAGGAGAATCACTTGAACCCGGGAGGCGGACATTGCAGTGAGCCAACATTGCGCCACTGTACTCCAGCCTGGGTAAAAGGGCGAGACTCCGTCTCAAAAAAAAAAAAAAGAAAAAGAAAGATAATTGATGAATTGACTTTAAACGTCTTTGCAACTAGGATTTTGGTGTTCAAAACTGGAAGATAAAACAAGCAGCATCACTGGTAGAATAACACTTGAAGCATCTATGCAGGTGTCACATGTTATCCTTTCTAGATTATATAATAAAATGGGCATATTTGATATTCCTAATAATGTGAACAGAAAAATGTGTAGAATTTATACAGAATGGCCGGGCGCAGTGGCCCATGTCTGTAATCCCAGCAATTTGGGAGGCTGAGGCAGGCAGATCACCTGAGGTCAGGAGTTCAAGACCAGCCTGGCCAACATGGTGAAACTCCATCTCTACTAAAAATACAAAAATTAGCCGGGCGTGGTGGTGCACCTGTAATCACAGCTACTCAGGAGGCTGAGGCAGGAGAATCACTTGAACCTGGGAGGTGGAGGTTGCAGTGAGTCGAGATTGCACCATTGCACTCCAGCCTGGGCTATAGAGTGAGAATTTTCTCTCAAAAAAAACACCAAAAAAGAATTTATACAGAATTTATTCTTCCCCTCACACTTCCACCATCTGATGATGATCTTATTTATGACTTAATATGTTCTCCATTCTTTTTTTATTTGAAACGGGATCTCACTCCGTCCTCCAGGCTGGAGTGCAGTGGCACAATCATGGCTCACTGCAGCCTCGGCCTCCTGGGGTCAAGTTATCCTCCCACCTTAGCCTACTGAGTAGCTGAGACCACAGGCATGCACTAGCATGCCCAGCTAATTTCCTTTTTTTAGAAAATTTTTTGTAGAGACAGGGTCTTACTATGTTGCCCAGGTTGGTCTCGAACTCTTGTGTTCAAGAGATCTTCCCACCTCAGCCTCCCAAAGTACTTGGATTACAGCTGTTAGCCACTGTGCTTAGCCGTATGTTCTCCATTCTATGCTGGCATTGAGAGGTAAGCATTCACTATGAATATCCATGTTCACGTTGCTGGGATGAGGAATATTGAGTATTAAAGAAGAATCCTGGCCAGGCATGGTGGCTCGCACCTGTAATCCCAGCACTTTGGGAGGCCAAAGCAGGCAGGTCATGAGGTCAGGAGTTCGAGACCAGCCTGGCCAACATGGAGAAACCCCATCTCTACTAAAAATACAAAAATTAGCCAGGTGTGGTGGCACATGCCTGTAATCCTAGCTATTTGGGAAGCTGAGGCAGGAGAATTGCTTGAACCTGGGAGATGGAGGATGCAGCGAGCTGAGATCGTGCCACTCACTCCAGCCTGGGCAACAAAGCAAGACTCTGTCTTAGGGGGGGAAAAAAATAGAGGAATCCTATTATTTCAGGAATCTGTAAATCAGTATTTCTAAAACTGAAAAATTACAGGTCTTTCAGAAAGAAAATCATGGTTGAAATTTTGACCTTTTAGAATAGCATGGTAAGAGCACCACTACAATGAGCATAGCCTGTGGCAGGTCTGGATAACGAAGTGAAGTGGGATGGCCGCTAGCCTAGAGTATCTTACATCCTATATAGGGCCCCTTTGAATGAGTCTTAGGAGTCATCTGCCCTTTTGCCAGGACTCTTTTGTTCCTAGTTTGATCCTAATAATAGAATACAGATATAAGGTAACAAAAGGGGAAATATGATAGAGGAGACATTAGTTCTTACACCTAGTATTCTTAGCAATACATCCCTTCCCTTTCTATTAATAGTCTTTCCATAGTGCTTTAGGGTATCTAAGTGCACCTTAGAGTGCATCTAAAGTTGTCTCAACCTCTTGCCTCTACTACTTCCCACTTCAAATAAATCTCATCTCATTGTCTTTCTTGCCTATAGTTCTGATTTATTATCCTCATGACAGCCACAATGATTCTTTTTTGTTTTTTTTT
The DNA here is from genome assembly GCF_000001405.40 of Homo sapiens. Classification (NCBI taxonomy): domain Eukaryota; kingdom Metazoa; phylum Chordata; class Mammalia; order Primates; family Hominidae; genus Homo; species Homo sapiens. The sequence continues at coordinate 44,613,965 of NC_000013.11, read as the reverse complement.
TCTTGAGACAGAGTTTTGCTCTTGTTGCCCAGGCTGGAGTGCAATGGCGCAATCTAGGCTCACCACAACCTCTGCCTCCTGGGTTCAAGCGATTTCTCCTGCCTCAGCCTCCCTAGTAGCTGGGATTACAGGCATGCACCACCACGCCTGGCTAATTTTTTTGTACTTTTGGTAGAGACAGGATTTCTCCATGTTGGTCAGGCTGGTCTTAAACTCCCGACCTCAGGTGATCCGCCCACCTCGGCCTCCCAAAATGCTGGGATTACAGGCATGAGCCACCACGCCTGGCCCACAGTGATTCTTTCAAAACATTTTATTGGCGTAACATTTTGCATCATCTCACTCTCAACCTTTCCGTATCCTTATATTTAGGATATGCTTCTTGTAAGCAACATAGAACTGGGTTTTGTTTTCTTACCCAGTTTGACAATTTTTATATTTTAATTAGAACATTTAGTCCACTTACATTTAATATATGTATTGATATATTACATTTTAAATCTACTATAGTAATGTTTGCTTTCTGTTTGTTCCTCTATTCCATGTTCTATTTTCTCCTATTTCCATCAACTTTTGAACTTATTTTATGATTATTAACATTCCAGTTTTTTGCTGGGTATAGTGACATATACCTGTAGCCACAACTACCAGGGAGAATGAGGTGGGAGGATCGCTTGAGCCCAGGCATTTGAGGCCAGACTAAGCAACACAGACAGAACTTGTCTCTGAAAGAAAAAATTGTTAATTCCAATTTTCCCATTCTATTAGTTTAGAAGTTATACACTTTTATTTTTCTCTTACTGTAGAGATTATTAATTTATCAAAGTCTCAGACTGGGCACAGTGGCTCACACCTATAATCCCAGCACTCTGGGAGGCCGGGGCAGGCAGATCGATTGAGCTCAGGAGTTCAAGACCAGCCTGGTCAACATGGCGCAACCCCATCTCTACAAAATATACAAAAATTAGCCAGGCACGGTGGTCCCTGCCTGTAGTCCCAGTTACTTGAGGGGCTGAAGCGGGAGGATTGCTTAAGCCTGGAAGGTTGAGTCTGCAATGAGCTGCATTTGTACCACTACACTCTAGCCTGGGCAACAAGCAAGATCCTGTCTCAAAAAAAAAAAAAAAAAAAACAAAGTCTATTTATTTTTTTAAGAGACAGGGTCTCACTCTGTCACCTAGGCTAGAGTTCAGTGGCACAATCATAAATCACTGCAGCCTCAAACTGCTGGGCTCAAATGATCCTCCCACCTCAGCTTCATAAGTAGCTGAGACAACAGGTGCATGCCTCCAGACCCGGCTAATTTATTTTTCATTTTTTGTAGAGACGGAGTCTCTCTATGTTGCCTAGACTGGTCTTGAACTCCTGGTCTCAAGTGATCTGCCTACCTCAGCCCTCCAATGTGCTGGGATTATAGGCATGAGCCTATGTGCCTGACCCCAAAGTCTAATATTAATTGGTATTTTCATGCTATTACCCAAGTCTGTAATGAAAGCGCCTTAGAAACTTTAACGCCATTTATACTCTTTCTGACTTGGATGCCATTGTTGTTATATTTTAATTTTACATTTATAAAGGATTCTACATTATTATTATGTTATACGGTCCATATTTATTTATATTTATTCACATATTTGCCTTTCTCATTGCTCTTTATTCTTTCTGGTATCTCTGGGCTTCCACGTAGGGTCATTTTCTTTCTGCCTAAAGAACACGCTTAGTGTTTTCTTTATTGTGAATCTGCTAATAATGTATTTTACCAATTTTCATTTGCCTGTATATTTATTTCAGCTTCATTCTTGAAGGATATTTTCACTGGGTAAATAATTCTAGCTTGATGATTTTTCTTTTCTTTTCTTTTTAAGATGAAGTCTTGCTCTGTCACCCAGGATGGAGTTCAAGCAATTCTCCTGCCTCAGCCTCCCAAGTAGCTGGGATTACAGACGCTAACCACCATGCCCAGCTAATTTTTGTATTTTTAGTAGAGACAGGGTTTCGCCATGTTGGCCAGGCTGGTCTCGAACTCCTGATCTCAGGTGATCCACCTGCCTCAGCCTCCCAAAGTGCTGGGATTACAGACATGAGCCACTGCACTTGGCCGACAGCTATTTTTTTTTGCTTTTTTTTTTTTTTTTTTTGAGACAGAATCTCTCTCTGTCATCCAGGCTGGAGTGCAGTGGCGTGATCTCGGTTTGCCACAACCTCCACTTCTTGGGTTCAAGTAATTCTTCTGCCCCAGCTTCCTGAGGAGCTGGGATTACAGGTGAGTGCCACTACACCCAGGTAATTTTTATATTTTTAGTAGAGATGGGGTTTCGCCATGTTGGCCAGGCTGGTCTCGAACTCCTGGCCTCAAGTCATCCCCCTGCCTTGGCCTCCCAAAATGCTGGGATTACAGGCGTGAGCCACCACACCCAGCCTTCTTTTAGCATTTTCAATTTGTCATTCCATTCTTTTCTGGTTTCTATAATTTTATGAAGAAGTTAGCTGTAAACCTAGTTTTGTTGCTCTGAAGTTAATCTTTTTTTTTGTCTGTGGTTTTACTATGATAAATCTAGGTATAGTATTTTTTTATTTATCCTGCTTTGGTTCATAGTAATCCTTGAATCTGTAGCTTGGCGTCTTCTTTTTTTTTTTTTTTTTTTTTTTTGAGACAGTGTTTTACTCCCATTGATCAGGCTGGAGTACAGTGGCATGATCTCAGCTCACTGCAACCTTCACCTCCCAGGCTCAAGTGATTCTCCTGCCTTAGCCTCCTGAGTAGCTGGGACTGTAGGTGCATGCCACCATGACTAGCTAATTTTTATATTTTTGGTAGAGATGGAGTTTTGCCATGTTGCCCAGGCTCATCTTGAACTCCTGAGCTCAAGTGATCCACCCACCTCAGCCTCCCAAAGTGCTGGGATTACAGGTGTAAGCCACTGTGCCTGGCCAGCTTGGTGTCTTTTATCTATATTATTTAATTCTGGAAAATCCTTAGCCATTCTCTTCAAATATGGTTTCTGCCTCATTTTCTCTCTCTCTTTCTTGTTGGGGATCTTTGTATGAGTATCTTGTACATTTTCACTGTATGCTCTATGTCTCTTATACTCTGCTCTGTACTTTCCATCCTTTTTTCCTCCCCATTCTGGATATTTTCTTGTGCTCCATCTTCCAGTTCACTAATTCCCTTTTTATCTTTGTCTAATTTTCTGTTAATCTCATCTCTTGAATTTTTAACTTTAGTTTTGTATTTTTCAGCTATATAATTTCTTTTTAGAGACAGAGTCTTGCTCTGTTGCCCAATCTGGAGTGCAGTGGCATGATCTCAGCTCACTGCAACATCTGCCTCCTGGGTTCAAGCCATTCTCCTGCCTCAGCCTCCTGAGTAGCTGGAATTACAGGCACCTGCCACCATGCCTGGCTAATTTTTGTATTTTTAGTACAGATGGGGTTTCACCATGTTGCCCAGGCTGATTTTGAACTCCTGAGCTCAAGTGATCCATCCACCTTTTCTTCCCAAAGTGCTGGGATTACAGGCATGAACCACCGTGCCTGGCCTCCAGTCATCTTATATCAGATAGTAGCCACTCATTCCATTACTTTCCATTCTCATTCTACTTCATTTTTTCATTAAGGCCTTCCTCTTCCCTCTCTCTCATACACACATATACATATCCATATACATACAGATTTATATATATATGAATATATATATAGACACACACATACACATATTACAATGGTCCAGAAGAGCCTCTGTGTTCCAGCTCCAGCTCTTATAATATAAAAAAAAAATTATTTTTATATGTATAAATTCGTTTTGATTTGCCTCACTCTATTTGAATATATGCTTCCTCATAAAGATGACAACTTTTATTTGTTCAGTGCTGTATCTGATACCTAGAACAGTGCTTTGATTCTTGCAAACACTCAGTAAGTGTTGAATGAATAAACAAAAATGTAGTAATCAATACTGCCTTGTAGAAGTACCTGAATTTTGGCAACTAGTAGTTGGTTAAGGGATCTCCAAGTGTCTTAGGATGCAAAAATTCTCTTAATGTCTTCCGCAAATTAAAGGGAATTCTACTCCTTTTCATTTATATTTAGCAAGTCAGTTTGTGTGAACATAGAGCAGTTCTTCACCAATAAATATTGTTGGTAGCCTACTCTATGCCTTGGTGGAAGGATATAACAATAAATATGACATGGTCTCCCCTCTTAAGACTCTAGAGTGGCTTTCTGTAAATCTAAGGATCAACACAATATAAACTCCTAAAGAGATCATGTGATATGTTTAAAGCATTTAGATTACTATCAAAGCAATATAATCAATATGATTAAATTTGACTACTTTAAACAATAAAGATCCCCCAAATAGTGGCTTCAACTAGAAAACGTACTTTTTGCTTAAAGGGAAGAAATCCGGAGATTGGCAATTCAAGGCTGATATGAAAGCAGCACGTATTGGGAATCCAAGCTCTTTCTATCTCACTGCTTTACTGTACATGGCAGGCCATCTGTGGTGTAAGATGGCTGCTAAAGCTCCCGCTAGGTAGCAGTAAGAAGAAAGATGGAAGTAAAAGGGTGCCCCCACATTTTAGGAGACCTTCCACAAGTACTACATGCTACCTCTGCTTTCATTCTCTTTACCTAAAACTTAATCACATGGATTCATCTAGCTGCAAGGGCAGCTGGGAAATGTAGTCTTTTAGAGGAGCTGCAGTGTGCCTAGCTAAAAAATTGGAGTACTTTTATTAAAGGAGAAATCAGATACTGGTATGCAACTGGCAGTCTGTTCCACAAACCCTAAGCATGGCTTTCTGAAATTGGAGTTTCTTAGTGTCTTTTTCCTTGATCTTGATCTCCTCAACTACTGCTCATAGACTCATTCATTCACTACTCACCTCATTCAAATGCACTATTTCAATTTCCCAAAGATTCTCCATGCAAAATCCTACAATTGAAACTTCTCTACTAAGGAAACCAATCTCTCTTCTCTTCCTTACACAAATATAGAAATATTATCTCTTTAGTGAAATCCTCTTTGACTGAGTGAGAGACGGGACAATTTCCCTTGAACACCCGGAGTTACCAATTGTATTTCTCCAGTGAGTTCACCTGGCATCTGCAGAATGTGAATATTTCCCTTACTTAACTCATATCTATATTTAACTTATGTAGTGTGAGTGTGACCATTTGTGAACCTCTAATTAATGTCTTTTGATACCAATATTGTCTACATTAGATTTGACTAATGTGTGTCTTTTCCCTGAGAATGTAACCTCCAAGAAGGTAGGAAGTCCGTCTGTTCCCATTTTATTCCTACTGTGTAGCATAGTGTAGAGGGAAACCACAAGCGCTCAATAAATATTTGTTAAAAAAAAGGAATTTTAACACTTACTGAATACCCTCTATGTGCCAGACAATATGGTGAGTACTTTGTAAATACTATTTTATTGACTTTTTTTTGGAGACAAGTTCCCAGTCTGTTGCACAGGCTGCAATGCAGTGGTGTGTTCTTGGCTCACTGCAGCGTTGACTTCCAAGGCTCAGGTGATCCTCTCACCTCAGCCTCCCGGGTGGCTGGATCTACAGGAGTGCACCACCATGCCTGGCTAATTTTTGTACTTTTTGTAGAGACTGGGTTTTGCCATGTTGCCCAGGTTGGCCTCAAATTCCTTGCCTCAAGCCATCTGCCCACCTCAGTCTCCCAAAGAGCTGGGACTAAAGGCATGAGCCACAGTGCCCTGCTAATTTTATTGACTTTTCACAACCAAATGTTATAAGAATTTTATCCCCATTTCACAGCTGAGGTAAATGGAGCTTAAGGAAGATGAATAATTTCACCAAGCCCACACAACCAGAAAGAAGTAGATCTGAGGTCAGTCCTATGAGCTCTGCCTCCATAGTAAATGCTAATTTCACTCTGCCACATTTATGTTGGGTGGGTGGGTTGATACCTGGCTTCCTATGATAACATACGTTGACTGATTTTATAGGATGGAAAAAAATAAATAATGAATTAATATCTTTCAGTGGTAAATTCCTCAGGTCTCGTTGCTTTAACCAAAGGAATGAATTTGTAACAATTAAATTGTAGGCATAATGGCAGGCAATTGAATGAGTTGGTAGTTTGGAAGGGATAAATTCAGGAATATTTCTTCAAATATTATGCTATGTAGACATTTGCCTACTTAGCCAACACCAATTGCCCGTAAGGATCAGTTGTTTAGGTGATACAATTTTGATATTAGTGTTACTAGTAAAGAAGTGGGAGCAGTGACAAAAATTCCAGCCAAGACAACAGATTTACATTCTATTTTTATCTATTTAATTTTTTTTTAATTGAGACAGAATTTCACTACGTTACCCAGGCTGGTCTTGAACTCCTGTCCTCAAACAATCCTCATTCTTTGGCCTCCCAAAGTGCTGAGGTTACAGGCGTGAGCCACAGAGCCCAGCTGAGATAAATTTTAAAAGGCAAGAAAAAGGAAGATTTAAAAACAGAGAGATAGACAAAGGAAGAGAGAAAACATAAAAAAGGAGAAAGCACAGTGAAGTGGAAAAGGGATGGGGATGGTACCCATTCTTTTTTTGGTTATTTTGCCTTTCTAGCTTTCAGTCCATCTTCTTGCAGCAGTAGCATCCCCACTTACTATTTGAGAATTACTAATTACTACCTGGATAAATCTTGTGGGACTGTTGTTCACATACGCTGCCTTCTCCCAGTGAAGGAAAGAGGAACTGACTCTAGGACCCTATTAAACCAAATACTCTATTCCTGGAATTGGCATCATTCGTGCTGGATGGGGTTGTTTAGATGTGCATGCTTTGGAGACTCATGTGAGCTGCCAGGGCTGTCTTCTCAATCCTTTGATGTTCCCCCAATTTGCCCAGTAAATTCCCTTATTACTTAAGTTGACCAGCAGCAACTACTATTGCTGGCAACCAAAGAACTCTGATACAGCCAAGGAAGAAGAAAATAAGTGGAAATAAATGCTGAAATCAAGGCCTGGAATGAGACCCATTGAAAACATATTTTCACTTCCTACAATAGTAGCTATTGGAGACAAACAATTCTAGTTTAAACCTGAATCAAAGTGCAAATTAGTGTTCAATCATCTTAGTACATCTCTAGGAGCAAATGTAATTACACCATAAAGTAGCAAAGAGCTTTTGAAAGATGTGAGTACAAAGAGCTAAAAGCAGAACTACCATTCAACCCAGCAATCGCATTACTAGGTATATACCCAGAGGAATATAAATCATTCTACCATAAAGACACAGACACACAAATGTTCATTGCAGCACTATTCACAATAGCAAAGACAGGGAATCAACCTAAATGCCCATCAATGACAGATTGGATAAAGAAAATGTGGTACATATACACCACAGAATACTATGCAGCCATAAAAAAGAATGAGATCATGACTTTTGTGGGAACATGGATGGAGCTGGAGGCTATTATCCTTAGTAAACTAACAAAGGAACAGAAAACCAAATACTGCATGTTCTCACTTACAAGTGGGAGCTAAATGATAAGAACTTAGGAACACAAAGAAGAAAACACTGGGGTAGACTTGAAGCAGGGGGGTGAGAGGAGGGAGAGGAGCAGAAAAGGTAACTATTGGGAACTGGGCTTAACACCTGGGTGATGAAATAATATGTACAACATATTACTGACACACATTTACCTATGTAACAAACCTTCATGTGTAACCCCAAACCTAAAATAAAAGTTAAAAAAAAAAAAGATGAGGGTAATAATCTTTTTCAAGGCTAACCTACTATAGGATTGATGTAATAATTTTTAGTATTGAAAAGAGAATGCAAGGCAGAGGTTTGCCTCTGTTTTTACAATGTTAAATCTTCGTTTCTTTAATAATTTTACATCTTTGGCATGACTAAAGAATTTTCGATTCAAATTAAACTCCTTCAACTTGGCTAGTCCCTCCCCTCCCCCCACTGACTTCCCCTGTGGGATTCTTTCTTTTCATTGCCACGGATTAAATTATCTGTGAAAGCCTTGAAGGCAATAAACATCTGTACTAGAAATGAGATACAAAACTATCCAGAAAGAACGAAGCAACCTCAAAGCTTATGTGAGAAAATAATTGAATGCTTATGCATATTGGGGAAATGTCTGGTTTCAAACCGAGTTTTTTTTTGTCATAAAAAGAATTATAATTGATGTTAAATTGAAACTTTATTTATTTTTTGAGACAGAATCTCGCTTTGTTGCCAAGGCTGGAGTGCAGTGGTGTGATCATGGCTCACTACAGCCTCAACTTTTCAGGCTCAAGTGATCCTCCCACCTCAGCCTCCCAAATAGCTGGGCCATCATGCCTGGCTAACTTTTTTTTTCTATTTTTTGTAGAGATCGAGTCTCCCTATGTTTCCCAGGCTAGTCTCACTCCTGGTCTCAAACAATCCCCCTGCCTCAGCCTCTCAAAGTGCTGGCATGAGCCACCACTGCACTTAGCTTGTTATTATTTTCCTTTGCCAAAGATTGCAAAATTTTGTATGTTTTAAATACCAAACATTTCCACAGAAAATGACTTGCTGCCAATATCTGGTGTGTCCGGGAATGCAAACTGATCTTGTACCTAATGCACATCATCACATATCAGATTCTTTGAATATTGGTAATAAACATAATTTAACCAAATGTCTAAATGTTTTAGAAAGGCAAACCACCTGTGATTTAACTAAGTTATAGTGTGGTAATGGAGTGATTCTTTTTCTTTACATGGGCTAAGAGCAAGAGAGCAATCTTTGGACAGAATGATCTTTCTCCACATGTGAAGCTAGTTGCAAGCATGCCCGCCCTTCAGAACAGTCCAGTGACACCAGTTCTGTGTTGGCAGTTGAGTAATTCAAGGTAGAATGCTGAATTAGAATTCAATCCTAATCCTGCTGCAAGTGCTGGTTTTACTGGGTCATATCTTGGTAGTCAGAAAATGACCCCACAGCCCCACAGTTTTACAGATCCAATATCCGCCCATCAAGTCACACACATGAAAGGCATCATGTCACTAGTGATATGCAAACATCAAATGTGATGAGTACAAACAAAAAGGACCCACAGTATACAGTGAAATTCTTCATTATTGTTCTTTTATCAGTCCTTAATCTCTCCACCCTCATACATGAAATATCTTACAATAATTTTACATACTGACACGGGTGGGTGGAGTCATAAGTTGTGCCAAACTAAATTGATTTAGACATGATGATAAGGAGGATCATAGAAGAGTGATGTATTATCAGAACTGTACCACCTCAATTGTCGTTGGCCATTCAGTGTATTAATCCAAAAACTGTGAGGAGCCTGAGACTGGATTTGGGGAAACCTGATTCAATGAACAAGAATTGAGCTCTAAATATTAGCGCTTATAGAATAGCCCCTTGAAAATGTCTTTTCTTTATGCTTATTTGCATGGGAAATGACATCAGTTTTGTTCTGTGTGAGAAAATTTAGCTTGGGGTAAAATCACTTAGGTTATCATGTCAGGTCTCCCAAAAGGTTAGATGACCCTTTAATTAAGAAACCTAGGCTGGGCGAGGTGGCTCCCGCCTGTAATCCCAGCACTTTGGGAGGCCGAGGCGGGTGGATCACGAGGTCAGGAGATCGAGACCATCCTGGCTAACACGGTGAAACCCCATCTTTACTAAAAATATAAAAAATTAGCCGGGCGTGGTGGCGGGTGCCTGTAGTCTCAGCTACTCGGGAGTCTGAGGCAGGAGAATGGCGTGAACCCGTGAGGCGGAGCTTGCAGTGAGCCGAGATTTTGCCACTGCACTCCAGCCTGGGCGACAGAGTGAGACTCCATTTCAAAAAAAAAAAAAAAAACCTAAGAGTACTCTGCTTTTCTTATAACTGCTCAAGCTTCAAACCTACTGAAAAGTGACTGGAAAGGTCATTCTATGAAATAACTCTTTAATATTTGATGAATGATTCAGTCTTATGGGCCTACGCGGTTACATCAGTCACCAGCTAAGACTGCATATGTTCACATGGGATGGCCATTAAAACTTTCAAGATGACAGGAGTTCAGTTCTTCTGTCTCATTTCCCAGGAAGAAAAATAAGGCATAAAGTCTTCAGAGTTAAAAGGAAAAGAAAAGGGTGTGTACACAGACACACACACATACACATAAACACACATGCACACACAGGCACATACGCAGATATGTACATGAGTCTTTCTAACCTAGAGATACCACATACTTTAGTGGCAAAGAGTCATATTCTAAGTGGTAAAGTGAACAGGAGACACTTTTTTTTTTTTTTGAGACAGAGTCTCTGTCGCCCAGGCTGGAGTGCGCCACCACACCCAGCTAACTTTTGTATTTTTAGTAGAGATGGGGTTTCACCATGTTGGCCAAGCTGGTCTCGAATTCCTGACCTCGTGATCCACCCGCCTAGGCCTCCAAAGTGCTGGGATTACAGGAGTGAGCCACCACACCCGGCCTCAATTTATTTTTATAGAGATAGGGTCTTGCTATGTAGCCTAGGCTGGTCTCAAACTCTTCAAGCAACCCCCTTGCCTTAGCCTCCCAAAATGCTTGGGATTACAGACATGAGCCACCATGTCAGCTGCAACACCAAATTATATTGGTAAGGTTAATTAATGTTGTTTATTAAATAATAAAAGAAATCTCTCTCTCTCTCTGTCTCTCTCTCTCTATATATATATATATTTTTTTTTTTTTATTTTATTTATTTTTTTTTTTTTTGAGACAGAGTCTCACCCCGTCACCCAGGCTGGAGTGCAGTGGTGCAATCTCGGCTCACTGCAACCTCTGCCTCCCGGGTCCAAGCAATTCTCTGCCTCAGCCTCCCCAGTAGCTGGGATTACAGGTGCCCGCCACCATGCCTGGCTAATTTTTTGTATTTTTAGTAGAGATGGGGTTTCACCATGTTGGCCAGGCTGGTCTTCAACCCCTGATCTTGTGATCCACCAGCCTCCCAAAGTGCTGGGATTACAGGTGTGAGCCACGGTGCCCAGCCGGAAACCTATACATTTTTAAAAGATGCCTAGAGAGGTGGGGAGCAGTGGCTCCCACCTGTAATCCCAGTCCTTTGGGAGGCCAAGGCGGGCAGATCACTTGAGGTCAGGAGTTCGAGACCAGCCTGGCCAACATAGTAAAACCCCAACTCTACTGAAAATACAAAAACTAGCTGGGTGTGGTGGTGTGTGCCTATAATCCCAGCTACTTGGGAGGCTGAGGCAGGAGAATAACTTGAACCCGGGAGGTGGAGGTTGTGGTGAGCTGAGATCATGCCACCGCACTCCAGCCTGGGCAATAGAGCAAGACTCCATCTTAAAAAATATTTTTTTTTTAAAAAAAAGATGCCTAGAGAAAATATGCACAAAGCAGTTCATACTCATACTGTAATTAAGTATAATATCTTTTTTTTTTTAATAGAGACAGGGTCTGCCTTTGTTGCCCAGGCTGTTCTCGAACTCGTGGGCTCAAGTGATTCTCTTGCCTTGGCCTCCCAAAATGCTGGGATTACAAGTGTGATCCACTGCATATGGCCACTAAGTGTAATTTTCTGAATATGACATTGCAGTTTCTGACATTAGACTCTTTTTGTTAACAGCTTTACTGAAGACTTAGAAAATGAGGTAAGCACTATGATGATGGCAATTCTGTCCATTGCTTAGACAATTCTGTTCTCCACCAAAACAAAAAATATTCTTGGCTGGGCGCGGTGGCTTACGCCTATAAATCACAGCATTTTGGGAGGTCGAGGTGGGTGGATCACTTAAGGCCAGGAGTTCAAGACCAACATGGTGAAACCCCGTCTCTACTAAAAAAAATACAACAAAATTAGCTGTGCGTGGTGGCGGGCGCCTGTAATCCCAGCTAGTAGGGACGCTGAGGCAGGAGAATCTCTTGAACCCGGGAGGCAGAGGTTGCAGTGAGCCGAGATCATGCCATTGCATTCCAGCCTGGGTGACGGAGGGAGACTCTGTCTCAAAAAGAAAAAAAAGGATTCTCAAGGACAAGAAAAAACAACGAGGTTTAACCTCTAGCAAATAATTTTGTTAGGCTACTGATCCTGATAGCACCAGCATCTCCCTTTGCTTCAGAGCTATCTCCAATTTCCCAATTACAGCCAGAGGGGAGGGCTAGACCTGGGCTAGAGCTAGGAGGAAAGAGCTAAAGTAAGGGCACTAAGAGAAGACTGTGGCTGGTTGCAAAGGTGATTATGGGCTGTGATTAGCTGCATTCCAACCCAAGGGTTGTTCCTTCTGCATCACCTGGGTAAATGACGTGCACTGTCTGGGGTTTCCTTTCCCCATTTATACAGTAGGGACAATAAAACCTACTTTTGATAGTAGTAGATGTTTCTTGAAAGTTTGACTATTGTCATTTATAATTCATTTATATTATTTCATGTATTTCTACTTGCCCTTTACTTTTTTGACCATGGAATTGCAGCCCATTTCAACAGCAGTTCTCGTTGCTTGCATTTGTTCATTTCATCCTTATCATTAACCTACCGGACTAGTTCTATGACAACCCAGACAGTTTCCTTCTAGCCTCGGACTTGCCATTTGATGTTTAATAAAACTCTTAGGTAGCACTGATAATATTCTTTAAACATTCATTAAACAAAATATTTCCTCAGTAATTTTTTTATTGAGAGTCTATGTGCTAAGCATTATGTCCTAAGGACTATGCCAAATGATATATCTAGAAATTTATAAATCCTGGCTGGAGAAAACTCTCTGGATACACTTAGGAAAAAGCTTGGGCAAATATTTTTTAAATGTGTAACAAATAGGGCTAACAAAAGGTGGAATTCTAGGTATGTCATGAGTTAAAGACAATTTTGATTTAATTTCAAGAAGTTTTCTGATAGGGAAAGGATATGAATTAAGAAATTGGAAAGTCAGAGTGAAATAGCAATTAGGAGACTTGATCTTCCGGCCATGAATTTGCTATAAAATTTTGAGCAAGACATTTAATTTTCCTGGACTTTAGTCACTTTATCTGTAAAACAGAATTTAGGGGTAACAAACTGAAAAAATACTCTTCTAAAAAACCCATGGGTTCAAGAGAACATCAAAATGGAAATTATGAACTATTTTTGTATGTACAACATACCAAGACTTGTGGGCAACTAGAAAGATAATGGGAATTAGTGTCAATTTAGAATGAAATGCATAAATAGAAATGAATTTATTTAAGATATAGGACAGATTGAGAATAATTGAACTACATGTGCAATTCAAAAGCTAGTAAGAAACAAAGTAGAAGAAGAAAATAAAATTAGCAATGGAAATTAACGAAATAGAAAAAAATAATAAAAAATATAGATATAACCAACAAAACCAAAAGCTATTTTTGGGAAATAATCCAGACAAGGTAATTTGTGGAAAGAAAATTATAGGCTAATTTCACTTATGAATTTAGAGGCAAAATCTCTAATTTACTAACAAATCATATTCAATAATGCATTAAAAATACATTGCAAGGACTATGAGCAGTGGTTCATGCCTGTAGTTCCAGCATTTTGGGAGGTCGAGGTGGGAGGATCCCTTGAGCCTAGGAGTTCGAGGCCAGCCTGGGCAACATGGTGAAACCCCATCTCTACAAAAAATACACAAATTAGTCAGGCATGGTGGCATATACTTGTAATCCCAGCTACTCTAGAGGCTGAGGCGGGAGGATCACCTGATCCCAGGGAGGTTGAGGCTGCAGTGAGCCATGATTGTACCACTGCATTCCAGCCTTGGTGACAGAGTGAGACCCCGTCTCAAACAACAACAACAACATTGTAATCAAATAAGGTTTATCCCAATATCTGTCAGCCCAAGCGGGTGCGATCATAGCTCACTACAGCCTCAAACTCCTGAGCTCAAGAAATCCTCCTGCTTCAGCCTCCTGAGTAGCTGAGACTACAGGTGCATGCCAGCATGCCAGGCTAATTTTATAATGATTATTTTTACAGGTAGGGCATAAACATTTATATATAATATACCAATCATGTAAAAATTAAAATGCATATATAATTACGTTAAAAAAAGACTCGGTGCACCCTGAGGTTAAGCATTGAGAAGATAAAACAGCACGTATCTAGTATTCCTGTCTGTAGTCTCCTCCTCAAAAAAAGTTTAACCTGCATCTAATTATAAAAAACAAACAAGGCTAGGTGTAGTGACTCACGCCTGTAATCCCAGCACTTTGGGAGGCCGAGGTGGGCAGATCACGAGGTCAGGAGTTCGAGACCAGCCTGGCCAACATGGTGAAACCCTGTCTCTACTAAAAATACAAAAATTAGCCAGGTGTGGTGGCACATGCCTGTAGTCCCAGCTACTCGGGAGGCTGAGGCAGAAGAATCACTTGAACCGGGAGGTGGAGATTGCTGTGAGCCAAGATCGTACCACTGCACTCTAGCCTGCACAACAGAGTGAGGCTGTCTCAAAAAAAAAAAAAAAAATCTAGCTTGTGGGACATACTACAAAACAACTGGCCTGCAATCTTTAAATTGTCAGTGTCAGGAAAGAACTAAAGAGACTAGAGATTGTTCCAGATTAAAGAAGGGTAAAGGGACATGTAAATGAAATGCAATGGATTTTCTTCCATTGACTCTGGGATTTTTATTTTTTCAAGTTATAAAAGACATGACTAGAACAGAATTGGAGCCCAGGTGTGGTGGCTCACACCTACATTTCCCAGTTTTGGGAGGCTGGGGTGGGAGGATCTCTTGGGGCCAGGGGTTCAAGACTAGCAAACAAGGCCAGGTGTGGTGGCTGGGCAACATAACAAGACCCTTTTTTCAAAAAAAATTTATATTAAGAAGAAATTAAAGAAAAAGTTTTTTTAAAAGAGAACAATAATTGGGAAAATTTGAATGTGGACTTTATATTAGATAATAGGATTGTATCAATGTTAAATTTCTCAAGTGTGATCAGAGTATTGTGATTATGGGAAAGAATGCTATCATTCTTAGGAAATACATATTGAAAGCTTTAGGATTAAAATGAGACCAACTCTCAAGAGTGTGTGTGTGTGTGTGTGCGTGTGTGCGCGTGTGGGTGTCAGAGAGAAAGAGAGGGCTACACAGAGAAAAAAGAAATGTAATATATTAATAATTGGTGAATCTAGGTGAAGAGTATAAGCTGTTTATCCTAGTATTACAACTTTTCAAGTGATTTGAAAGTTGAGAAAATAATCTTTTAACAGTAAATGCAAGATTAGAAGGCATTGAGGTATTAAGCATAGCTTTATGTTATTGTAAAATTAAGATACATTTTTGCGCTTTTTGGCCAGGCGCAAAGACTCACACCTGTAATCACTTTGGGAGGCTGAGGTGGCTGGATCACCGAGGTCAGCAGTTTGAGACCAGCCTGCCAACATGGTGAAACTCTGTCTCTGCCTAAAGATAGAAAATCAGCTGGGTGTGGTGGCCCGCACCTGCAGTCCCAGCTGCTTGGGAGGCTGAGGCAGGATAATCACTTGAACTACACTTTTCTGTAGTTCTGTATTTTCAATATTTTAACATGCTGAGCCTGTTTTTCTTATTGGCAAATAATTAAAGATGGAAAAAAGGCTGGGTGCGGTGGCGCACGCCTGTAATCCCAGCAGTTTGGGAGGCTAAGGTGGGTGGATCACCTGAGGTCAGGAGTTCGAGACCAGCCTGGCAAACATGGCAGAACCCCGTCTCCACCAGAAATACAAAAAATTAGCTGGACATGGTGGTGGGTGCCTATTATCCCAGCTACTCAGGAGGCTGAGGCAGGAGGATGGCTTGAACCCTGGGGGTGGAGGTCGCAGTGAGCTGAGATAGCGCCATTGCACTCCAGCCTAGATGAAAGAGTGAAACTCCGTCTCAAAAAAATAAAATAAAATAAGGAAAAAATGACAGATTCTTCTTTGTTAGGAACATCCATTTTAGTTTTGTGTACCTGATTCTATAAATTCTTTAAATTGGCTTTATTTAACTTTGTACATGGCAGAAATTTTGCCTTGACATTCAAATGAGATCATTAGGAGATACCAGTCAGAACCACCATGTATGTTGGTTTTAAAAGACACGAGTTAACAACATGGATGATCCTTTAAAGCATTATGTTTATTATATTAAATGTCTAAGAAAGGCAAATATATAAAGACAGAAAGTTTGGTGGTGCCTAGGGCAGGCAATGGGGATAACTGTAAAAGGACATGAGGTTTCTTTTTAGGATAATGGAAATGTCCTAAAATTAGATTGGGATTATGGTACACAACTCTGTAAATATAGTAAAATTCATTGAATTGTATACTTAGAATTGATAGAGACAGGAGGCAGGGAAATTCTGGGAAGAAGAGGGCAGGTCCCTGGCAATGGCCCCACCCTCAAGCCAAAAAGCCTAATGCCATGGCCCAAAGTGAGAACTTACATTCCTGTTTTCCTGCTCAAATGTTGCCTTTTCCAAAAGCACCCATGGCCCACCCTGCCCACCCATCCTATACCTATAAAAACCCCAGAACTCAGCCAGCAGAAAAGAGAAGCAGCTGGATGTCAGAGACTACAGTTGGACGTTGGAGAGAAGCAGTTCCTGACTTCAGAGGGAGAGTTTGATAGCATAGCTTTGGAAAGGAGTCAGGCCAGGGACGGCCAGACTCCAGGGGAAGATCACCTTCCCACTCTGTCCCCTTTTCAGCTCCCCCTCCTGTGAGGGGTGGAATGCAGTGGTACCGAGTGAGTAGAGTCCACCCCTGCCAGCACCGAAGCAGCCAGCTAGTTCTAGCATCCGTGCACTCCAGTTCCTGCTAGTGAAAGGGTCAGGAATATATCCTGCTTCAGAATGGGTGCGTTTTATAGTATATAAGTATCTCGGATGTTAAAAGAAGGTATGTAGATTAAAAGACGTTAGCCAGCTGAAACATACAATCTCAATTTGAAGGGACTTAAAGGTATAAGAAGTCTATTGTAACTACTTGTGAAATATTCAATAGAATCTTATTGTTCTATCCTTAGATTTTCCCTATTTTTACCAAAAGAAGCATCATAAATTCAGACTGCCTGGAGGCATTTAGATGTAGACGAACATCTGATTTATAGAATGATTCTCTAAAACATACTTTAATAAATTTAAACTATACACAATGACTAGAATCAAGCTATTAGAGGATCAGAGAAGACCCATTCCTTAATTATTAAGTTGCTCTGCAACTACAATTTAAAATTTTAATTCCTTCAGCAAATGACTATTGAAGTTTATTATGGCCAGTTTTACTTTTGTTTTTTTAAAGACGGGGTCTCACTATTTTTCCCAGGCTGGTCTCCCACTCTTGGGCTCAAGCAATCCTCCCGCACTCAGCCAGCCTCCTGAGTAACTGGGATTACCAGTTACTGTAGCCAGCTCATATTATGGCCAGTTTTAGAGACAACTGCCAAGATATAATTGTATATAGCTAATGATAGATATAAATATTTTAAAATGCTATTTGGAGCCAGGTTTTACATGCTTAATTTCTCAATTTTTTTTTTCTTTTTTTCTTTTCTTTTTTTTTTTTTTTTTTTTGATAGATCTTGCTCTGTCACCCAGGCTGGAGTGCAGTGGCATAATCTCGAGTCACTGCAACTTCCACTGCCCGGGTTCAAGCAATTTTCCTGCTTAACCTCCCGAGTAGCTGGGGCTACAGGCGTGGGCCACCATGCCCAGATAATTTTTGTATTTTTAGTAGAGACAGGGTTTCACCATGTTGGCCAGGCTGGTCTCGAATTCCTGACCTCAAGTGGTCCACCCACCTCTGCCTCCCAAAGTGTTGGGTTTACAGGCGTGAGCCACTGCGCCTTGCCTACATGCTTAATTTCTTTTTTTTTTTAAACCAAAAAACATTTTTTCATTTAAAAAAGTATTTAGAACACATAAAACAAGGCAACATTTATTCTTTTTTCCCATCTTCTGGTATGGGATCTGTTGGTGGCTCCTCCACTGTTGGGCTGTTGCTCTCTGAGCCAGTGTTACTATCCCTGGTTCCTTCCTCTGCCATACTGTCCACCCCCTCCTGCCACTCTCCTTGTCCTCAGGAGTAGACGTGCCTTCTTCACCATTCTGTTGGCTCTCTGTCATTTCTTCAAGGTGTGTCTCCTCTGTCTCCATTGGAATGTTGTCGTCTTCTTTCTTCTCCTCGCCTTTGTTGGCTGCTTGTTCTTCCTCAGGAAGGATGCTGCTCTGACTGCGCTCAGCTTGCTCTGCTGCCTCCTTCTCCCTTTCCTCCTGCCCTTTGCGGGCCTGTTCCTCTGCCTGTGCAATCTCAGCTGCCATTTTCTCCATATCCACTTCTACTTTCAGAGGGCACAACCTTTTAAGTTCATTGTTAAGTGAATCTGTGCTTTCCAGGAATTTCCTCTTCTTCTCCTGGTGTCGTTCCTCTATTTGAAGTTCAGCTTCTAGTTTTCGCTGATGAACCATTAAGGACTGGACCTGTCCTTCGAGGACCTGCATTCTAGCTGTTGTGACAACTGACCGAACGTCTGCCACCACACTCCCACTAAGGATTTCACTGATGAGGAGGTAGTTTCTCTGGAAATGGGTAGTGACTGTATGCTTCATTGAAAAGCCATCATCATAATCATCTGGATCTTCAGCAGGCTGAATGCTCATGTACGGTTCTCCTTTCTCCAAGCGAGACTGTCTCTGTCCACTTTCTCCCTCTAAAACAGCTTCTGCACGACTTTTTGCATTTATGTAAGCAAAGTACACGGGGGAATTATGATAGGCCTTCATAGATTCATTGTACTCTATCTTTTCTGCTTTGTATTCGTTTAAATATTCTTGTTTTTCATCAGTGAGATCTTGCCACATGCCACCAATAATCTAGCCAATCTCCCACAACTTTAGGTCAGGGTTGGAAGCCTTTATTTGGTCTCAGACCTTTCTGCTGTACCTCATGTAGGGCATCAGCAGCTTATCTGGTGGCTTTCAGGGTTTTGGAATGGTAATAGCGGAGGATGCCCTGACCCAGCTGTTGGTGGGCGGGTTTCCTCCCAGCCTGTAGTTGCTGTCGGTGAGCTGACTGTATGGATTGTATCCCACAAACCCTGGTGTGCTGGGCATTTGTGTTGCAGGAGCTGGGGTGGGAGGTGGGGCATAAGATGGTCTTTTTGACATTTTGGAAGATTAAGTTCTCAGTTCCTTAAGAACGAATCTGAGACACCATGGGCAGAAAAAGCGCCTGCAGCTCCAGCTTCACTTCCCTTTACGTGCTTAATTTCTAAGCAGACCCTTTTTAAAAAAAAAAAAGGTAATACAAATTCAAATTTACTCTCAGTCCATGAATCCTGGTGATTAATGCAGTCTGAATTTGTGAGATCTTACTGTGTTTTTGAAAGGTGAAGCCCGCTGGGCTTCTGGGTCGGGTGGGGACTTGGAGAACTTTTCTGTCTAGCTACAGGATTGTAAACACACCAATCAGCGCTCTGTGTCTAGCTAAAGGTTTGTAAATGCACCAATTAGCACTTTGTAAAAACACACCAATCAGCGCTCTGTGTCCAGCTAAAGGTTTGTAAACGCACCAATCAGCACTCTGTAAAAAAGCACCAATCAGCACTCTGTGTCTAGCTAAAGGTTTGTAAATGCACCAATCAGCACTCTGTAAAAACGGACGAATCAGCACTCTGTAAAATGGACCAATCAGCGCTCTGTAAAATGGACCAATGAGCAGGATGTGGGCGGGGCCAAATAAGAGAATAAAAGCTGTCCACCCTAGCCAGCTGTTGCAACCCACTCAGGTGCCCTTCCACGCTGTGGAAACTTTGTTTTTTCGCTCTTCACAATAAATCTTGCTGCTGCTCACTCTTTGGGTCCCTGCTACATTTATGAGCTGTAACAATAACTGTGAAGGTCTGCAGCTTTACTCCTGAAGTCAGCGAGACCACGAACCCACCGCAAGGAACAAAGAACTCCACACGTGCTGCCTTTAAGAGCTGTAACACTCACTGCGAAGGTCTGCGGCTTCACTCTTGAAGTCAGTGAGACCACGAACCCACCAGGAGGAACAAACAACTCTGGACGCACCACCTTTAAGAGCTGTAACATTCACTGCAAAGGTCTGCGGCTTTACTCTTGCAGTCCGCAAGACCACGAACCCACCAGAAGGAAGAAACTCCGGACACATCTGAAGGATCAAAATGTGGACGCACCATCTTTCAGAACTGTAACGCTCACTGGGAGGGTCGGTGGCTTCATTCTTGAAAGTCAGCAAGACCAAGAACCCACCGGAAGGAATGAATTTCAGACACATTTTCACATGTATTAATGAGGTTGTGCTCAGTAAATCTAAACAACTCTCTAAGATATTAATTGAAAGGTATTTAATCAGAATTAGATTAATATTATTCAAATTGTGGCAATCAATTCTAAAGCATAGTGATAGCACGACACTTTTTTTTTTTTTTTTTTTTTTTTGAGACAAAGTTTCCCTGTGTCACCCAGGCTGAAGTACAGTGGTGCAATCTTGGCTCACTGCTCTGCCCACCTTGGCTTTCAAAGTTCTGGGATTACAGGTATGAACCTTCACACCTGGCCTCCTGGAAAACATTTTTATTTTTATTTTTTTATTTATTTTTGAAACGGAGTGGTGCTCTTGTCATCCAGGCTGGAGTGCAATGGCACAATCTCGGCTCACTGCAACCTCCAACTCCCAGGTTCAAGTGATTCTCCTGCCTCAGGCTCCCAAGTATCTGGGATTACAGGTGCCTACCATCACGCCCAGGTAATTTTTGTATTTCCAGTAGAGACAGGGTTTCACCCTGTTGGCCAGGCTGGTCTTGAACTCCTGACCTCAGGTGAGCCACTTGTCTCGGCCTTCCAAAGTGCTGGGATTACAGGCATGACCCACTGTGCCGGCCCTGGAAAACATTTTTAAAGGTGCCGCAGTGATAGCCAACTCAGTACTCATCTTAGTGTCTTCCTTCCTTCCCTATTTCACTGCCCCTGCTGACATTCATGCCCACTGGCTCCATTTTTTCAAGTACACTCTGCATGTGAGTTTTATCTCTTATTTTGAGGAACTCAGGCTAAGATATATGGGGTATTTGATATACGCAATATGTAATACTTGATAGTAAATAAGTACAATGTTGTGCCAATAATATTTGCATTACTCACTTGGATCATTCAGATAGCATGAATTTTATACAAAATATGTGCATAATCTGATAGGAAATAAGTCCCTAATGCACATTTGATGGCAAAATCTTCATAGCATAGTTCTGATTACAGCTGTCATTCAAACCACTCAACAGTATATCAGGGTCATTGTCATTGAAAATCAGCTTAGGCCTCAGTGGAAGAAAATAGCAATGTTACGGGATCTCTGGGGTGTCAGTTTTCTTCCTGGAAACCTCTGTGGCTGGTGGCACTTTTGCCTGAGTTCTTGTCCTGCATCCAGGAAGAATGAGGTACACAGACAAGTGAAGGGTGAAGGAGACGAAGAGGAGTTTTATTTAGTGTTAGAACAGTTCAGAAGAGCCCCGCAGTGGATAACTCCTTTCTGTAGGCAAGTCCTCCCATTGAGTGTTCAGCTCTCAGCAGAGAGGCGGCCCTGGAGAGGGTGGCGGAGAGGAGGCCCTGGAAAGGGTGGCTCCTCTCCACAGGCTGTGCAGACATCTCTGCAGGCCTCTGAAGTGCTCAGCAGAGAGGGTAGCTCCTCTTTGCAGCTGGTCCTCCTGTTATCTCTCCATCTTCTGCCCTCTGCCCTGCTCTGGCTGAGCCCGAGCCTTTTATGGACCTTAGAGGGGAAGAAGTGCCAGCCGATTGGTCCATGGGCGGCCATGGGCAGCCCAGAGAAGGCACCACAAGTCCTCATTCCAATTCATGAACTGGTAGCCCAGTGCTCAGCCTTTAGGCCCTCCCTGGCCTGAAGGTGGGCCTTGCTAGGAACCAGCGCCCTTCTGCCCAGGAGCCTGTCTGCCTCCTGCGGCCATCCATGGCAGGGTGCTGGCATCAAAGGGCACCTGCAGGCCACTACCCAGCCACCCTCAGCTTCCCCTCCTGTGCTCCTCAGTGCCCAAAATCCAGAGGGGGCCGAGGTGGCAGAGGGATAGCATGTCAGCACTGGCCCAAGCCTACGCATACCTGGTCTGGCTGTGACAGTGCTTGGGCTCCACCCAAATCCCACTTTAAGATCAGAGTAGGCCCTGGGAGTGGGGAGATGCTAGACAGTGGGAGTAGGCACCTCTGAGTCTGCAAGGGCATGGGGGGGCCTTCCCAGGCCCCCCAGGCCTGCAGGATACCTGGCGCTGCAGCCCCGGTTTTCAGTGGGGTGGGGTGGGGCTCCTGCCTGTTGCAGGGAGCTGGAGGCCCTGATCCACAGCCAAGACTTGGGAGGCTGTAGCCCCGCCCAGGAGGGCGGAGCTCCTGCCTACTCCCGGCTCCCAAGAGCACAGAGGTGCTGGAGTTGCTGCTGTAGCTTAGGCAGCTGCAGTTGTACCTGGGGAGGTCCCGCCCCACTAACTTGTAAGGAGCAGAGTTCCCGCTTGTCCCTGGCTCCCAGCGCCTCGCACCGGCAACCGGCAGCGCCCCCTCGAAGCCTGGGGCAGGGGCTCCAGGTCCTCACTGGGTCTGGACCGGCATCTCGGGTAGGGGCGATATTGCTGAAAGCTCCTGCTGTGGTCCTGGCTCTTAGGGGTGGCCTGGAGCTCCCCCTCGCCAGGCGGGCGACTTGGCCAGGCCCCATTGTGGCGGCCCCCAGGGTGGCGGGCTGGGGCTGGGGGTTGCGGTGGGGTGGAAGGGTGGAGGAATTGGGGGTAGAGGGGTGGGGGCAGTCTGCCTCCTCCCTGTACCCTTCTTGCAGTGGCCGGCGTGATGGCAGCGACACACCAGATGGCCCACTGCTGCCATCATCATGTATAATAACAATATAGGGCCGGGTGCGGTGCCTCACGCCTGTAATCCCAGCACTTTGGGAGGCCAAGGCGGGCAGAACACTTGAGGCCAGGAGTTGGAGACCAGCCTGGCCAACATGGAGAAACCCCATCTCAACCAAAAATACAAAAATTAGCTTGACATGGTGGCATGCACCTGTAATCCCAGCTATTCAGGAGGCTGAGGCAGGAGAATCGCTTGAACCTGGGAGGTGGAGGTTGCAGTGAGCTAACACCACTGCACTCCAGCCTGGGCAACAAAGCGAGACTCTGTCTCAATAATAATAGTAATAATAATAATAATAAACAATATAAGATGATGTTCGCCAGGCGCGGTGGCTCACGCCTGTAATCCCAGCACTTTGGGAGGCCCAGGCGGGTGGATCACGAGGTCAGGAGATCGAGACCATCCTGACTAATACGGTGAAACCCCATCTCTACTAAAAACACAAAAAATTAGCCGGGCGTGGTGGCAGGCGCCTGTACTCCCAGCTACTCCGGTGGCTGAGGCAGGAGAATGGCGTGAACCTGGGAGGCGGAGCTTGCAGTGAGCCGAGATCGCGCCACTGCACTCCTGGCTGGGCGACAGAGCGAAACACCGTCTCGGAAAAAAAAAAAAAAAGAGAGAGAGAAAGCTGTTCAGGCCAGGCATAGTGGCTCAAGCCTGTAATCCCAGCACTTTGGGAGGCCGAGGTGGGTGGATCACCTGAGTCCAGGAGTTTGAGATCAGCCTGGCCAACATGGCGAAATCCTGTCTACAATTTTGCCGGGCTTGGTGGCTCGCGCCTGCAGTCCCAACTACTCAGGAGGTTGAGATGGGAGGATCCATTGAGCCCGGAGGTCCAGGCTCCAGTGAGCCGTGATCGCACCACTGCACTCCAGCCTGGCCAACAGAATGAGACCCTGTCTGTATGAGATCCAGTTTCTGTATGCCTGGGCTTTCTTTTTGTTTGAAGAAGGCATGCCTGCCCCGAAAAATAAATAAATAGAAAGCAGGCTTCTTACTCTTACAGAGACCTCTCCCAGCCGCTCTCCAACCAACTGGAGAGTTCTGTGTTAATGTTAAACAGTATCCCCCGTGCAGTCTTTGAAGAATTCTGGACATTACCTCAGTTTCCTGAATGAAGTTCTTGCTCCACGATTGACCCCCTTGTCCTGCCTTTAGTGTTTATTCTTCAACGACCCAATTATTCCAGATTTCTGCTGGTGGTCTAAGTATAATACAATTTACTGAAATGTACTGTTAGAATCATTCTAGAATGACCTGTTATGAGAAATGTAGGCACAAGCTGAGTTTTCTGTTCCACATTAAAAATGAGCTACAATTTAGGTGAGTTCTTAGTAAATGTGTGCAGAGAGATCTCATTGAAACAGCAATCAATTCTTCATTAACTTTGCTATTAGAAGCAAGCAATAATAAAATTCTCCCAAAATAGTGGATAAACTATAATATACTTTGAATTAAATTTAATGGATTTCTTCCCACTCAATGGATTTGACTGCCTAAACTCTTTTGGTCTGAATTTTAAATGATTTCATATCCCCTGTGCACATATTGCGGTGTGGCCATGGGAGACCTGATTGGTGTTGGGTAAGAGGTTCAAGGTGGTCTGGGAATGGAAACGGCCCATGGGAAATTCACATGCAGATAATGAAGTGGTGGTTGTACCTGAAATAGTGAACAAAATGCAATTCAATCTGTGTAGAGACTTCAGTCTCTGCTCTTCTGGGGCCTTTCCTGCATAGGACAAGCAAGTTAATGCTTTTAAAATGATCCCCATGTTCCTTCTTGAGAATGGAATTTAAAGTTACATTTTAAATCTTCGGTTCAGTGCTT
This sequence comes from Homo sapiens, assembly GCF_000001405.40. Classification (NCBI taxonomy): domain Eukaryota; kingdom Metazoa; phylum Chordata; class Mammalia; order Primates; family Hominidae; genus Homo; species Homo sapiens. The sequence continues at coordinate 44,589,265 of NC_000013.11, read as the reverse complement.
TAAAGGTAAAGTTGATAATTTATTATAATTATTTAAAAAAATAAAACCCACTTTCTAGTCCTTCTCTTTATGGAATATTCTATCTGTCACTATGTAGACAATGGCCTGCTGTGGAATAAAATTGGTGAATGCTAAATATATGAGATAGAAACACAATTTTATTATGCATGCTTATTTGCTATAATCACATTTATCAGGGAACAGGTAGCCTCAAATAGTCCTTTAGTGTGTTGTTATTGTCCCTGTTTTCCATTAAGTTTTGTGGATTTTCCTGGTCTTACTAGTAATATTACTATATTTAGTTATATTGCAAACACAATCTTCCTTTTGGTAGGCTTTGCTCTTCCTAAATGTCTGCCATGAAAAACCAGCCAACCAACCAACCAGCCAAACAAACAGCAAAAGCTCAATTACCAAAAAAAAAAAAAAAAAAAAAATTAAGACAACCAGGAAAACTCAAACGTTTACTCAGAATCAATTATCTTACTAAGAAGCTGTAATTGCAGTTTTTACATATGTACCAAGCACTAACCATATGCTCAGTCCCCAGCAGATGTATGCATCAACGAGGCCTCACCATCATGGTTTCTAAACTATATTGCTGTCATTATTTCACATTAAAATCATTCTTATCTAATTTCCAAAGATCCATATTGTGCCTATATGTAATTGGTGGATTAATAGGTATTTACAATTGTTGTAGGGCTTCTTAGTTCAGCTAAAAGCCAGGTTCTTGTCACATGGCCATGAGAAATTAGGCTCGCAGACACTTTGAAAGGTAAGAAGAATGGAATTTATTGGGTGAAAAGGAAAAAAAGGGAAATGGGGGCTCTTGCTTGCTAGCTGGTTTCCTGCCTCACAGATTGAATCCCAGGTTCCACCCCAGAACAGAAGAAGCCAGGCTGGAATCCCAGACTCCTCTCCCATGCAAAGGGCGCAGACTTCCATGGCTCATCCTATTCTCCCAGTGTGCAGGCCAGTTGGAATTTCTCCCAGGACCCCCTTTATACTTGGCTGTCTCACAATGATTTGGAAGTCTCTGATTGCCTTTAACCTGAAGGAAATATATCTTTGGTGAAATATGAACCAAATTGTTCTCCTACTTCCTATTTGTCCTTTGTTTAGAATAAGGTTATGTAAATACACCTTTGAGCTGGGGATGAGGTTTGGGGAAGTTGCCTCAGTTTGTGCCCTCATTGATATGTAAAAAAAACAAAAAATGGCATTTTTGTCTCCTAAAGAACTGGAAGTAGATATTTAATTAATGACACCAAAGTTGGACCAACTTTAAATGTTTGTAGTTTTTCTTTTCATTATATACATAAATACATATATACATACATATATATATTTAAAATTAATAGTGTAGGCCATGCGCAGTGGCTTACACCTGTAATCCCAGCACTTTGGGAAGCTGAGGTGCATCACTTGAGGCCAGAGGTTCGAGACCAACCTGGCCAACATGGCAAAATCTTCTCTCTACAAAAAAATACAAAAATTAGCCAGGCATAGTGGCACACACCTGTAATCCCAGCTATTAGGGAGGCTGAGGCACAAGAATCACTTGAACCCAGGAGGCGGAGGCCGCAGTGAGCCAAGATCATGCCACTGCACTCCAGTATGGTCAGCAGAGCGAGAACTTGTCTCAGAAAAGAAAAAAGAAAAAAGAAAAAAACATTGATATTGTAAACCAAAAATAAAATTTGAAGGACCCTAAACATCTGAATGGACCCCTCCTCTCAGTCAAGGACATGCCAGAGTCATCTAAAAATCTAGTTCAGGCCATGAAAGAAGAAGGGGTTGGACATGCCTCATTATACCTCTCTAGAATTAACGTCAACACAGACCTTTATATGGTAGTCTATTCTCTCCAAAGCCTGTTAATTGGAGGCTTCATCTGCATGATGAAACATAGATCTCTGCAACCCCTTATCCACAAACCCTTATCATAACCCAGACATTCCTTTCTACTGATAACTCTTTTAATCAATTGCCAATCAGGAAATTTTTAAATCTACCTATGACCTGGAAGCCCCACCCCCTCCCTCAGACCTTTGAGTTGTCCTGCCCTTCCAGATCAAACCAGTGTAAACCTTACATGTATTGATTGATGTATTATGTCTCCCTAAAATGTATAAAAGCAAGCTCCACCCCAACAACCGTGAGCACATGTCATCAGGACCTCCTGCAGCTGTGTCACAGGTGCATCCCTAACCTTGGCCAAATAACCTTTCTAAATTGACTGAGACCTGTCTCAGATGTTTTGGTTTCACAATAGTGATGGGGTCTCACTAAGTTGCCTCAGCTTGTCGTGAACTCCTGGGCTCAAACCATCTTCCCCTCTCTGCCTCCTAAAGTGCTGAGTTTACAGGTGTGAGCCACTGCACCTGGTCCCTGTTCCTTTTTTTTCTAAGGAGAACAGAATCCCATATTTCCCATCTTGTAGTCCTTAACAATGTAGCAGCCCTTAAATTATCATATACTTTTTTTCCTGAGACACAGTTTCACTCTGTTGCCCAGGCTGGAGTGCAGTGGCCTAATCATGGTTTACTGCAACCTCTGCCTCCCAGATTCAAGCAATCCTCTTGCCTCACCCTCCTAAGTAGCTGGGATTACAGGCGCACACCACCATGCCCAGCTAATTTTTGTATTTTTAGTAGAGACGTGGTTTCACCATATTGGCCAGGCTGGTCTTGAACTCCTGATCTCAGGTGATCCGCCCGCCTCGGCCTCCCACAGTGTTGGGATTACAGGCGTGAGCCATCGCACCTGGCCCCCTCTACTTATTTTTATCCAGTTTCTGTAGCAGTATTATTCATGAAATACACTTATTATGCACTTAGGACGAGCAGAATGGTGAATGGTGTTATTAGTTGACTGCTGCTGCACAATTACCACAAAGAAGAAAATAAAATATTACTATTTGGGGGTTTTGTCAACATGAAGATCGCTGTAATTTCAATTTCTGAGTTACGGTAAGGAAAATGGGAGCAGAGGGAAGAGTACAGTGGAGCAGTGAATGGGAAGGGAAGGGAAGAAGGGTTGGGGACTGGTGTCCAATATCCAATGTATTTGGCATTCAAAAGACTTGACTTGTATATCAAAGCCATTTTGAATGTATGTTAGCAACTGAGTCTTAAACGAGTGACTCATCTGGCACAACTAGTAATAAGATGAATGCTAAATTAATGTTTTATTAGAACAGAATTACTGAAAACAGTGCCAAAGGCATTCTCTTTGGACATTTTAATAATGTGGAGGTGGCCGCACTTTTGGCAGCACTTTGAGAGGCTGAGGCAGGCAGATCACAAGGTCAGGAGTTTGAGACCAGCCTGGCCAACACAGTGAAACCCTGTCTGTACTAAAAATACAAAAATTAGCCAGGCATGGTGGCACATGCCTGCAGTCCCAGCTACTCAGGAGACTGAGGCAGGAGAATCGCTAGAACCTCGGAGGCAGAGGTTGCAGTGAGCTGAGATCAGGCTATTGTACTCCAGCCTGGCTGACAGAGCAAGACTCCGTCTCAAAAAAAAAAAAAAAAAAAAAAAGATTCTTCATTTAGTAGCATCTGCAGTCTTTTGGCCATATAAGGTAACATCACAAGCTTTGGGGATCAGGATGTAGATATCTTTCGGAGGCTGTTATTCAGCCCACCATGATTATATAAATGTTCACAGCAATTTAATGGATCTTATTGTCATCCTCCAATGCTATGATTGTTACATTCTCCTCCAGGACCCCCTCCTTCCCAAAGCTATCAGAAAAGGAGATACAGATTCAACTCCTATCCTATTACCATTTTCACCGAACTTTGCTTCTTACAAAAAAAAAAGTGCTTTGGGCATGATGCTTAATGAAAAAGAGTAGTCAGCAAGTTGTTATTGGCTTAGGTTGGGCAAGGAGAATTTTACAGGGATCAAGTGAAAGAACAGAGAAGGAAATTTAATACCATTGCATGCCCTTGACCAAAATTTTAATAATGAGCTTGTTTTTAATGCCGTAATGTCTGAACTTTATGTTCTTCAGAAACACCTTGTGAAACGTTCAGTAGTAAAGTTCATGTGATCACTTATGTTGACAATGTTACTACATAGTATAGGATTTAGAACATTTTTTATAAGAACTTTTAAGTTTCTGCTATATACTTGAAATAACAAAGAAAACTTAGCACCTTTCTCAAGATGCTTTTAATTGGAAGTATTCCTTTCAAAGCTCTTGTTTTTATTATCAAATAATTTGGGATCAACATTGGGGTAAAACAGTATTACTCCCATTTTACTCGAAATATACCTTGAGTTGTAATACAGTTGTACATCTACTAACCATTTTGTATGTCAGTTATATCAGTATGTCTCTTGAATAAATTCTTTTGAAACACTGAAATTAAACCACTAAGTTGGCATTATCATTCCTGTCTATAAATAACTGTGGCAAGAAAATACCTGGACCTTTCCAGTTTTTGATGGAAAACTTTGTTGGTATCTTTGCAATTAACTTTATGTTTAACTCAGTGAAGGGGCTGAGTCAGTCATATTTTTAATTTTCTTGAATGTGATAAGTGTGTATATATTGCATATAAAACAAATCATTTTGCTGGGCTTTTTCTCCTAAATCCCATCTCACAATTTTGTCTAAAAATCTAACATTTCCTCTTTAATCATTCTAATTTATCATTCATTAGAAAGGTTTTGTAAACATCTACCATATGTAAATTGTGCTGTTGCATTTAAATTTTTGTGGTCATAATATTTTTGGGAATTGATTTTGTGTCTCTGACTCCAATTTAGAGTGCACACATTTAGGATTTTCTTTTCTTCTTTTATTAATGGTATTAAAATCAGAAAAGATGTTGGCCTTTAAGACTACTGATTTCCTGTTTTCTACAATGAAAATAACTGGAAATGTCAATTTGAATGTGTTACTAAAAATTATTTTAAAACTATTTTATCAATTTTCTTATCTTAAAAGATATGTTAGAGCAGAGGGAGAAAATAAATGATCAAAGGAAATTTCCAGACTAAGGAATGACCCCAGTAGCCATTCTTTTTTCTTTGAGCTTGAAGACTTGAGATATACCTAAATATTTGTGAATGTAATCTTTAAATACAAAGGAATATTGGTTGCTTTCATTTTTAAATTTCATTAATTTCTTTTGAGGCAGGGTCTTTCTCTGCTGCCTAGGCTGGAGTGCAGAGGCATGATGCTTATGGGCTCACTGGGCTCACTGCAGCCTTGACCTCCAAGGCTCAACCAATCCTCCCACCTCAGCCTCCCAAGTAGCTGGGACCACAGGTGCACACCACCACACCCAGCTAATTTTTGTATTTTTTGTAGAGATGAGGTCTTGCCATGTTGCCCAGTCTGGTCTCGAACTCCTGGGCTCAAGCGATTGGTCTGCCTCAGCCTCCCAAAGTGCTGGGGTTACAGGTGTGAGCCACGGCACCCAGCCGCTTTTGTTTGTACAACTTGACCTTATTTTTGTTGACAGTGAATGGACAAAGGTCTTATTAGAATCATGATATAAACAAATGTGATAAATGTGTTTATTTCTATAATTTTATATTCAAAAAATATATAAATACAAATGGGCCCTTAGAACATGTTGAAAAGACTAGGTTATTACTCTTATTACTCTCTCTATTCTACGGGCTCTTATGTTCAATAAAGACTAACTGCTAAAACAGGAAAACATTTATTTTGTCCTATATAGATAGCATTTCTCACTTATGTGTGATTGATGCCTTTTTTCAAGCATTTGGCATCTGTTTCGATCAGTGAAGAATCCTCCCACTTAAATCATTGTTCTGTTCCTTTATGGCTAATTCCTACATGGCCACAGTAGTCTCTAAAATGTACATTCTTAGAATGTCTCTGCATAGGAGAAAATGTGCTTATAGATTCTTTGGAGATGTCTAATTAGAAAAATTAAAACATGAGTATTCTGTAGAAACAACTTGGGAGCATGAGTTGGCAGTAGCCTGAATTAACAATATGCCTTGGAAGCAGCCGTGAAGGGGTGGTTAGACTGCCAGGATTTTCATTTTAGCCCTACCACTCTAGTTAAGTTGTAAGACTGAAACCTCCCGGCACCTCACTTTCCTCACTTGTAACATGGGGCAATTTCAGCTCTTACTTTGTATAACTGTGAGGACTGAGTGGGATAGAACACTTACAGCATTGAAAACAATGTGCAGTATATAGTAGGCATTAAATAAAATTAGCTAACACTGGAAAGATTTGGAGGGCTATTTGATCATAGTCTTTAAAAATATAAATTAATAAATTCTTTTTTCAATGTCACTTCACAGTACTGTAGCAGACATTAGAAATGATTTTTTTAGGTTGTGAGAACATTCTCCAAATTAACACGTTTATAAATCAGAAAGGAGTGTAGAAGAATCTATAACATTTACATTGGTTCAAACAGGGAAAAAGTCTTTTATCCTCTTCGTACAGAAGAAATGCTGTTTCAAATTGTGTATATGGCACATCTTCTTTGGCACTCAAAAGCACTGAAGGAACATTTATTAATTTCAAGAGATTTTTGAAAAATACTTGTCTCTAATGCTCAGACTTTTTCAGAAAAATCCTTAAATACAGAGGCATAGAATCTGATACTAAGAGGACATGAGTATTCAGATTTAGGCATGAATCTTGGAAAAGTTATTTAACTTCCCTGTGATTACTCACTTCTAAAACGAGAATGATAATGTCTTCTCCCTCAAAGGGTAGAATTAAATGAGCTAATGTGTATCAGTGTGCCTTCTGAACCACAAATTCAAATAACTATACTTTTCTGTTTTATAAGCATTATCTCCTTTGAGGATACAAAATTGTTTAGCTGAACTGAAATATACTATTGAAAAACTTAACAAATGCTGCCAAAATTAATCAGTTATAAGCTAAACTGTACTCATTAAAATCGAAATTAAAGTTTTGAAATAAGCATTTTGCGATATTGATAGAGATGGCACACTCCTGGTCTCATTAAAAATTTTACAGAGAGCAAATTGATTAATAAACATACTGCAATATCCCCTTGCATTAGGTTCTTCATATGTAAAAATGTGTGATTATTTAAGTTTATAAGTCATATTTAAACATCTGACTTTTTTTTTCCCAGATGACATCTAAAAGCTATAAATAAGTATTAATAATATTACATGACTAAAGCACTGGTTAGCCAGAATAATTACTGGAGTGGAACAGTGGCATATTTTCTGTACACATTTCTCTTTAATAGTATCTATTGTTGTAGCTCAGCCATTTGGAGTACAGGTATTCCCTTTCTGCTTTTCAAAGGCATTGCTTTTGGAGAATTACTTTATTTATTTATTTTTTTATTTTTTTGAGACGGAGTTTCACTCTTGTTGCCTAGGCTGGAGTGCAATGGCATGATCTCGGCTCACCACAACCTCTGCCTCCTGGGTTCAAGCGATTCTCCTGCCTCAGCCTCCCGAGTAGCTGGGATTACAGGCATGCACCACCACATCCGGCTGATTTTTTTGTATTTTTAGTAGAGATGGCGTTTCTCCATGTTGGTCAGGCTAGCGTTGAACTCCCGACCTCAGGTGATCCACCCTCCTCGGCCTCCCAAAGTGCTGGGATTGCAGGCGTGAGCCACCGCGCCCGGCAAGAATTACTTGATTTTAACTGATCTATTTCGCAGTACTCACAAATAGATAATTGTGTTACAATGTTCAGCAAGTTTTTTTTTTTTTTTTTTTTTTTTTTGAGACGGAGTCTCACTCAGTCGCCCAGGCTGGAGTGCAGTGGCGCGATCTCGGCTCACTGCAAGCTCTGCCTCACGGGTTCACCCCATTCTCCTGCCTCAGCCTCCCGAGTAGCTGGGACTACAGGCGCCCGCCACCACGCCCGGCTAATTTTTTGTATTTTTAGTAGAGACCGGGTTTCACCGTGTTAGCCAGGATGGTCTCGATCTCCTGACCTCGTGATCCGCCCGCCTTGGCCTCCCAAAGTGCTGGGATTACAGGCATGAGCCACTGCGCCCGGCCGCAAATTTTTTTTTCTTTATTTTTGAGACAGAGTCTCACTCTGTGGCCCAGGCTGGAGTGCAATAGCGCGATCTCGGCTCACAGCAACCTCAGCCTCCCGGGTACAAGCGATTCACCCTGCCTCAGCCTCCCAAGTGGCTGGGATTATAGGTGTGCCCCACAGTGACCGGCTAATTTTTGTATTTTTAGTGGAGAGGGTATTTCACCATGTTGGCCAGGCTGGTCTCGAACTCCTGACCTCAGGTGATCCGCCTGCCTAAGCCTCCCAAAGTGCTGGGGTTACAGGCGTGAGCCACTGCACCCAACCCAAATTTCCTATTTTTACGGTACATTAAACAGTAAACATGTCCAAATATATAAGGCTGGTTTGTAATGTTGCAACTGGATTTAAGTGAGCACCGCAATACAGGCTAATCTTTGAGTAAGCAGAAAAGTAATTCAGAGGCTGGGCGCGGTGGCTCACACCTGTAATCCCAGCACTTTGGGAGGCTGAGGTGCATGTATCACCTGAGGTCAGGAGTTCGAGACCAGCCTGGCCAACATGGTAAAACCCCGTCTCTACTAAAAATACAAAAATTAGCCGGGTGTGGTAGCACATGCCTGTAATCCCAGCTACTCGGGAGGCTGAGGCAGGAGAATCGCTGGAACCCGGGAGGCGGAGGTTGCAGTGAGCTGAGATTGTGCCATTTTACAGCCTGGGAGACAGAGCATGACTGTGTCTCAAAAAACATCAACAACAAAAAAGTAATTCAGAGGTACAGCTTCAGAATGAAAACAGCTAAAATTCGATCTTTCAAAAGGCAAAGGATAGCTCTAAGTACTTGGTTTAAAGGATTTAATGACTTTATTATACATAGCAGTCGGCATTTAATGTTTATATAATAAAAATCCAGACCTTTTTAATTAAAAGATGATAGTATAACAAAATCTGGCTCTTGAGGTGCCTTCTCCTTGTTTCAACGTATTTGTGTTCATATATTGCTGTCGTAAGAATTTTGGAGGGGGAGAGACCCAGATTTTTGAAACTCAGATTTCCCTAACTGTAGAGTTGCCCTTTTTATTTTTTATTTTTTATTTTTATTTTTTTGAGACGGAGTCTCGCTCTGTCGCCCAGGCTGGAGTGTAGTGGCCTGATCTCGGCTCACTGCAAGCTCCGCCTCCCAGGTTCACGACATTCCCCTGCCTCAGCTTCTCACGTAGCTGGGACTACAGGCACCTGCCACCACGCCCAGCTAATTTTTCGTATTTTTAGTAGAGATGGGGTTTCACTGCGTTAGCCAGAATGGTCTTGATCTCCTCACCTCGTGATCCGCCCGCCTCAGCCTCCTAAAGTGCTGGGATTATAGGCACGAGCCACCGCGCCCGGCTGACTTGCTCTTTATATCTTAGTGGGACTTGATGCAGCCTAAGCAGGAGTTTGAAAGTGATATGGCAGGCAAAAATTAATACACTTCAAAAGATCTTATTTTCTTACGTCTTAAATTCTGGATTTTTTTTTAAACCTTTATTTTAAAGGGAATAACACCCCAACCCTTCCTCCCCCATCAAAACAGCTCAAACAGTACCCTTTGCTACTGGTCATTAGAACAAGTATCTGCTTCCAGAGGGGCTATCTCAACAGCTCTTTTACTCTATCAGCTTTGGGTAAGACTTTAATATATGTGTTTATTAAGCGTCAAAGCATATCAGCACAATCATGGTGAGTTATTTAGGTGGCCCAAAGGGTATACAGCTGCTGTTTGGGGTAATTTAAAACTTTGACTTAAAAAACAAAACAAAACAAAACAAAAAACCTTTGACTTAAGGCTACATTTTGAGAGATCAAGAGCATTTTCTTTCATACTGCAGTCCAAAGAAAGGACATTCCACCCATCTACATTCCATTGCAGTTTCAATCGGTTAGGGTAGTTTCTATTTTCCATTCAAAAACTATTGAAAAAGAATGTCAAATTTGCATTTCAACAATGGATGGCAGCGATTAACCAGGCATATTACTTGCAACAAAAGCTCAAAAAGTAAAAAAGAAATTATTTTTGTGAAAACACAAATAGCCATAGTTCTATAAAAACAACCAATCACATATTAATATCATAGAACAAGTAGTCTTCTCAAACATATTTGATGTTTATTACTGTATCACTTTGAATATTTGCGAGAGCCTATTTACTTCTAGCAGAGGTTTACATTAGCAATATAAAGTAATAAATAAATAAATAAATAAATAAATAAATAAATGAAGTCCGGGTTTTTCTTTTCAGTGTGGGAGACCCCACATAAAGCAACAATGTATCATAGCTTTGACACTGGATAAATGGGATGTTAAGAGTGCACTTCTATTCAATAACATGCAAATGGTGACATAATTCACTTTTTGAAAGCTTCCCCTTGGAACAAGGGGAAGAGTTCAGAGAAAACTAAAGGTAAAAAGTTGAACTGACAACTAGAGGTGTATCAAAACTGCAAATGACAATCGTTTTTGCTTTAACAATCTTCTGAAATAGGAATGTAAATCCTTGAGACTTCCTGAATCAGAGGTCTAACCATAAGCGTTGATTCCCCTAACAACCTAAATTTAACAAAATGAAAATTCCTCCCTACAGTTTTTCGGCTTGCTTTATCATTTTTAAATTCCTGGGAAAGACTTACATTCTCGATTATTGGTAAGAAACGCTTAGAACTAGGTTTTGACATGAAATACCAAGAAAGTAACCGCCAGTAAATTGCCCCCAATCAAACCTAACATTGCTTCTGTAGAACTACATTTGGACCCATGAAATGTAACGTGTGTGTGTGTGTGTATTTTAAAACTGGAATTTCGGATGGCTTTTTCTTTTCTAGCCCTAAAAGGCATTCTTATCATTTGTGTTGCTCACATGTCCGGACCACCTTGCCTCCTGAGTCAAACCAATGGGGGATATAGCCAGGACGATGAACGAAAAAGGCGTCGCTGCTTGGAGACACCTGTTGAGGTCAGTCGATTACAGGGCCGGCCTGCTTCTGTCCTCCAGTTAAGGATGGATTGCAACCACTCCTCGTTAGAGAAGAGCCTAGCCCAGAGGAGCTCAGGCAGTTAACTGGAAACAGCTGCAACATCTGCCCGGCCGCCTCGCCCCTGCCCGTGGAAGGGCGAGGGGACCGCATGGCAGCAACTGCACTGCACAAAAGACAACACCTATCACCGGGAGCCACCGGCCTTCCATAGACCCCACAGCTCCCGGCCCTAGGGCATCCCCCGAGGAGGCAAGGGCCGGGGGCGAGCCCAGGTGCGGCGAGGGGGAGGAGGTTTCCGCCACGCGCCAGGGAAGAAAGCCTGACTCATGTCGTGGCAGCGGCAGCAGCCGCGGCGGCGGGCTCCTGGGAACTGAAACTCGTGATGCTGTTGCTGCGGAGAAAAGCCTCATTACCCATTCCGCAGGCGGGGGACACCACCCAAGGCGCGCACACCAAGCGCCGGCGCTCCCGCCGCCTCCGCCGGCCCTTCCGCGCCGCGCCCCCTCCTCTGCCGCGTGCCCGCGCGCGCCGGCCGCGAGTGTGAAAAGAGCGGACACACCTAACCTGGGCGCGCGGCAGGCGCGCACCCTGCCCGCCCCCACCGGGCCGAATCACGCAGTCCGACCCGGATTCGCTCCTTCGGCCGGAATTCCCCACCCCCACTATCCCCTCCGGCTCCACCACTCCCGGCTTCGGCGCCTCTGCCAGCCTTCGGTAATTTCCGTCGGGAGACCTGGCGCTCGCCTAGGCCCGAAGACCCGCCGCCTCCTGCCCCGCCAGACCCGGCTTTATGTCTGCGGCGCCGAGGCGCATGCGCAGACGCCATCTTCCCTCCTCCTCCTCCGCCTGCCCCCTCCCCCCAGCCACCACCGCCTCCTCTCGCCGGCGGTCGCCCCTCCTCCTCCTGCGCTCCGCGCTGGTCCCTCCCCTCCCGATGCCGCGAGAGACTGGGGGATACGGTGGAGCCGGGGGAGCCGAAGAAGAGCACTAGTAACAACCACCACAGCCCCCTCCCCGCCCGACACCCTCCCTCGGCACCCACTCACTCCCCCGCCCCGTTTGCCGACACCGACCAACCCCACCTCGTTCCTTTGAACGGCGTCGGCTGCAGTCGCTGCACCAGCCCGTCTGGCCACCAACGCCGCGGAGAAAGGAGCCGCCGCCGCCTGCGGCCCTCTCCCGCCCGGTCGCGGGAGCAGCGGGGTGAGGAAGAGCCGGCTGCGGAGGAAGAGGATAAGAGAGGGTCGCACCCTCCGCCCTAGCGCACGTCCCGCCGCCCTCCGGAGAGGCTCGGGTGCCGGCCCCTTCCTCCCCGAGGACGTGTGCCGAGTCGAGGCGCCTGCCCTGAGGGAGGAAAATGCTCGGGCTCCATGGCTGCCAGTGATGGAGCGGTCCCTGGGCTCCCGCTGCCACCGCCGCCGCCGCGCCCCGGCCGTGCTCCGCGAGGACCCGGCGTCTCTGCGCGCCCGCCCGCGCCTCGTTGCTGGGCTCACCGTACCGGGCGCCTCGCCGCCGCCCCGCTCGCAGCCGCGTCGCCCCGGCCCCAGCCGCGGCCAGCGTTTCCTCACCGAGCAGCCGCCGCGAGCCCAGGGGGTTTGAAAGGGTCTGCGGGGCGCGGGGGGAGGGCCGAGCGGGGCCGGGAGGGGAGGTTTGAGCGACACTGAGCTCGGGGCTCGCTGGCGGCGGCGGCGGCCCCGGGGGTGGCGAGGGGAAGGCGACATTTGCTTGGCGCTGCCTCCGTGCAGAGCGGCCGGGAGGGCTTTGCAGCGGCCGCCGACGCGGCGGGAGGAGGGGGCTGAGGCGGCTTCGGAGTTGGCCGGAGAAGGTGGGCATTTCTCGCTTTTCCTCCCCTTCCTGCGCTCTCCCCCTCCCTCCTGCCCCGCACCCCACGTGAAGCAGAATATAAAGGGGGGTGTGAGGCTAGAGGGGAAAGTGAATGGCGAAGGACTGAAGGGATCCCCCCTTCGGGTCCCCGGCCGCCCTGTTCACCCTCGTTCATCCTCCTTTCCGAAGCTCGCTCTCGAAGGCAGGAGCGACCGGCGCCTTTGGCTGAGGAGGAGGAGAAGGAGGAATCGCGCCAGGCGGAGCGTCAGGTCCCGTTTTCCTCTCCGGCGTCTCCAATACAAAGATTACGGTGCAGAAGGAAATTGCACTCGTCTCCTCCGCGCCCCCGGTACCCAACACAATGCACCAGCCGCCTGAGTCCACCGCCGCGGCCGCCGCCGCTGCAGACATTAGCGCTAGGAAGATGGCGCACCCGGCAATGTTCCCTCGAAGGGGCAGCGGTAGTGGCAGCGCCTCTGCTCTCAATGCAGCAGGTACCGGCGTCGGTAGTAATGCCACATCTTCCGAGGATTTTCCGCCTCCGTCGCTGCTTCAGCCGCCGCCCCCTGCAGCATCTTCTACGTCGGGACCACAGCCTCCGCCTCCACAAAGCCTGAACCTCCTTTCGCAGGCTCAGCTGCAGGCACAGCCTCTTGCGCCAGGCGGAACTCAAATGAAAAAGAAAAGTGGCTTCCAGATAACTAGCGTTACTCCTGCTCAGATCTCCGCTAGTATCAGCTCTAACAACAGTATAGCAGAGGACACTGAGAGCTATGATGATCTGGATGAATCTCACACGGAAGATCTCTCTTCTTCGGAGATCCTTGATGTGTCACTTTCCAGGGCTACTGACTTAGGGGAGCCCGAACGCAGCTCCTCAGAAGAGACCCTAAATAACTTCCAGGAAGCCGAGACACCTGGGGCAGTCTCTCCCAACCAGCCCCACCTTCCTCAGCCTCATTTGCCTCACCTTCCACAACAGAATGTTGTGATCAATGGGAATGCTCATCCACACCACCTCCATCACCACCATCAGATTCATCATGGGCACCACCTCCAACATGGTCACCACCATCCATCTCATGTTGCTGTGGCCAGTGCATCCATTACTGGTGGGCCACCCTCAAGCCCAGTATCTAGAAAACTCTCTACAACTGGAAGCTCTGACAGTATCACACCAGTTGCACCAACTTCTGCTGTATCATCCAGTGGTTCACCTGCATCTGTAATGACTAATATGCGTGCTCCAAGTACTACAGGTGGAATAGGTATAAATTCTGTTACTGGCACTAGTACAGTAAATAATGTTAACATTACTGCTGTGGGTAGTTTTAATCCTAATGTGACAAGCAGCATGCTTGGTAATGTTAATATAAGTACAAGCAATATTCCTAGTGCTGCTGGTGTGAGTGTTGGGCCTGGAGTTACCAGTGGTGTTAATGTGAATATCTTGAGTGGCATGGGCAATGGTACTATTTCTTCCTCTGCTGCTGTTAGCAGTGTTCCTAATGCAGCTGCAGGGATGACTGGGGGATCGGTTTCAAGTCAGCAGCAACAACCAACAGTTAACACTTCGAGGTTCAGAGTTGTGAAGTTAGATTCTAGTTCTGAGCCCTTTAAAAAAGGTAGATGGACTTGCACTGAGTTCTATGAAAAAGAAAATGCTGTACCTGCTACAGAAGGTGTGCTGATAAATAAAGTGGTGGAGACTGTAAAGCAAAATCCGATAGAAGTGACTTCTGAAAGGGAGAGCACTAGTGGGAGTTCAGTGAGCAGTAGTGTCAGCACACTGAGTCACTATACAGAGAGTGTGGGAAGTGGAGAGATGGGAGCCCCTACTGTGGTGGTGCAGCAGCAGCAGCAGCAACAACAACAACAACAGCAACAACCAGCTCTCCAAGGTGTGACCCTCCAACAGATGGATTTTGGTAGCACTGGTCCACAGAGTATTCCAGCAGTTAGTATACCACAGAGTATTTCTCAGTCACAGATCTCACAAGTACAATTACAGTCTCAAGAACTGAGCTATCAGCAAAAGCAAGGTCTTCAGCCAGTACCTCTGCAAGCCACTATGAGTGCTGCAACTGGTATCCAGCCATCGCCTGTAAATGTGGTTGGTGTAACTTCAGCTTTAGGTCAGCAGCCTTCCATTTCCAGTTTGGCTCAACCCCAGCTACCATATTCTCAGGCGGCTCCTCCAGTGCAAACTCCCCTTCCAGGGGCACCACCACCCCAACAGTTACAGTATGGACAACAGCAACCAATGGTTTCTACACAGATGGCCCCAGGCCATGTCAAATCAGTGACTCAAAATCCTGCTTCAGAGTATGTACAACAGCAGCCAATTCTTCAAACAGCAATGTCCTCCGGACAGCCCAGTTCTGCAGGAGTAGGAGCAGGAACAACAGTGATTCCTGTGGCTCAGCCACAGGGTATCCAGCTGCCAGTGCAGCCCACAGCAGTCCCAGCACAACCTGCAGGGGCATCTGTCCAGCCTGTTGGCCAGGCTCCGGCAGCAGTGTCTGCTGTACCTACTGGCAGTCAGATTGCAAATATTGGTCAGCAAGCAAACATACCTACTGCAGTGCAGCAGCCCTCTACCCAGGTTCCACCTTCAGTTATTCAGCAGGGTGCTCCTCCATCTTCGCAAGTGGTTCCACCTGCTCAAACTGGGATTATTCATCAGGGAGTTCAAACTAGTGCTCCAAGCCTTCCTCAACAATTGGTTATTGCATCCCAAAGTTCCTTGTTAACTGTGCCTCCCCAGCCACAAGGAGTAGAACCAGTAGCTCAAGGAATTGTTTCACAGCAGTTGCCTGCAGTTAGTTCTTTGCCCTCTGCTAGTAGTATTTCTGTTACAAGTCAGGTTAGTTCAACTGGTCCTTCTGGAATGCCTTCTGCCCCAACAAACTTGGTTCCACCACAAAATATAGCACAAACCCCTGCTACCCAAAATGGTAATTTGGTTCAAAGTGTTAGTCAACCTCCCTTGATAGCAACTAATACAAATTTGCCTTTGGCACAACAGATACCACTAAGTTCTACCCAGTTCTCCGCACAATCATTAGCTCAGGCAATTGGAAGCCAAATTGAAGATGCCAGGCGTGCAGCGGAGCCCTCCTTAGTTGGCTTACCTCAGACTATCAGTGGTGACAGTGGGGGAATGTCAGCAGTTTCAGATGGGAGTAGCAGCAGCCTAGCAGCCTCTGCTTCTCTTTTCCCGTTGAAGGTGCTACCGCTGACGACACCCCTGGTGGATGGCGAGGATGAGAGGTAAGATCATGTCATATTTCTGGAGACATTCAACAGATTTGAAGTTAATCTATTTAGTAGCTATATGTATGCACAAAATGACTCTAAAACATTGTATATTGTGTTTTGTATGTGAAAAATGCATTTTTATGGGAAGTTTTATAGAGCAAGAGTTATGGAATGGTTTCAGAGGGAGTAGGAAATAATAGTAATATGTAAACAATATTTTCAGAATAGTTGTTGAGCATGTGTTCACATTAAAAACAGGTTTGGGGGCGCCAAGTGGTTTTATTATCTCTAAAATGCTTTTTAGAAATATTATGGAAAGCTTAATTTTTGCTAACCCACATAATAGTTAATCTATTTTGAGCTGCTAAAATAATCTCTTGGGGGGTTGTGGTTCCCACGTTTGTTCTCCTTTACTAGACATCCCTTTTTCATTTCTACTGTGTTTGATCTTAGTCTGTGAAAGATATTGTTGCCTACTTTTCCTAGTCAGATATGGTAGGAAAGATGACTTAATCTGGGTTATATAGGTTGCCCTCATACTCCAACTGACCAACTTTTGCGTACTTATTTAATGGTCATTTTATCTGAACAGTAAAGGAATGGGAATCTTATTTTGTGGGAAAGGAGGACATAAACTATCAAAATAACCAGACTTATCTTGATAGTATGCTGAACATTTTTTCTTTTGCATGGTAGATCAAGGTGGTAGCCATTTTAAAGAACAGAGAAAGTAAGTCTTGGAGGATTGAATTTATAGAGGCGTGAAAATAAGACCTTGGTCTCTGGCTAATCTACTCCACCTGTTCCTTTCTTTCCTTACCAAAAAGATACAGAAAGCCTAAAGTACATTATTAAACCAAGCGTTTTTTCACGTAGATTGGAAATAATATGCCAGTAACGCTTATTGAATCAAATTGTGTCTTTGAAGCTGACTGGCTAAAAAAGTTGTGAAATCTTTCATGTTGATTTTTAAAGTAATGTTCTTTTCACAAATTTTCCAGTCTGTTACTAACCTTGATTAAAATGCTATTATAGGAGTTATGAAAAGACATCATTTTCACGGTGGAATTTGGAGTAAGCGTGCAAGATATTTAATTATTTTAGTATTAGTTGGAGGGTTTTGTGATTGAACTTTCATCAAGCGAATTTAAGCATTTATATTCTATATGTATGTTTGTGGGTTTTGCTTTGGAAAAATTGAGCATATTGCAAAATAGTTGTAATTTTAGAAAAAGAAAACAGGTCAAATGTTTCAGTGAGGTTTGTGTTATTTAGTTGTTTAAAAGGTAAGATAAAGACATGGTTAAATTGATAAAATCTTATCTTTCAAGATTTTTATTATTTTTCTAATAGTCAGGTAATTAAAACCTTGTTACCTAACCAAATGTATTCTGTATTATTTGTACAAAACTGTACTCTAAAAGATAAACTTTTAGGAGGTAGTTTCCTTAATTGTTCCATTATTATTGTTAAACCTTTAATTTTATCATGCTAATACTCAACTAATTTTAAAAGAATTACCACAAATATTAATGTTTTTTAAGTCAAAAGGTTATGATTTGAGTGAAGCCTCTATAAAAACAGCTATATTATGTGGATGCTAAGTTTAGAGAAACAAAAGACGGGTAAAATACACAAACAAAAACACTCATTTTGAATTCAAACTTGCCATGATTTTGTAATTGCCATTTGTGGTCTCCTGGCTTGACTTTCACCTCTTTTTCCTCCTATTGGTAGGACATGATAGGATTTTCCACAGCTTGCCCTTCCAGGCAATTAAAGTCAGATGATGCTACTTTCAACTAGAGTTTTAACTATAGGAATAGGGTCCCAGTTTAAGATATTAATATAAAATTAATTTTTCCAGATAATAATTGAGAAAAGGAATAATAAGGTGGAAATTATGGAATTCTAGAAAGGGACAAAAAGACATACTGAGAAATAAGGAAATATAGCTCTAATACAAGTTGTCTTCAGACACTGTACACATTCAATTATAATTATGTTTAGCAGTCTCTCCCACAAGACCAGGAGTTCCTCAAGAGCAGGGACTGTTTTGAATTTACTACCTATTTGGGCCTTGGTTAGTTAACATCAAAGTTTCGTGATTAAAAACCAGAAAATTTTTGTTTTAGCGGTATCTTAAATTCTGTGAAATCGGAATGTAGCCCTAAAACACCTTGTAAGATCAGAAAAGATATATATTATATTCTTTATTGTGTTTTACTGAAGATTATTTATCACTACAGTTTGGAAAAAAGTTAATTTTCATTTAAATTTGCCCTTGGAAGATAATTTAAGAATAACTACAAGAGAAAACAGTGATATGATTAAAAAACAAACTTTTAAAACCTTTCTTCCCATGGTAGCTTCTGTTGTCACTTGCATCTTCTGGGCTTGGTCACCATTAGTCTCAGGAGAGAGGGAATACATATATAATTTCAATATTATGAATCAGGAAATGTGTTAACAATATAATTTGGGCAGTAGGACAGATGAGGATGGTTATCTTTTAATCATCTTTTGAAATAATACTCTTAACACTTTAGATTATAAAATGTTTAGACATGTGGAAAGTGCCTTCAGTTGATCACTGGGAGAGACTATAAACATGGATCAGGATGCTAAGATTATGTATCTTGTTTTAAA
The DNA here is from genome assembly GCF_000001405.40 of Homo sapiens. Lineage (NCBI taxonomy): Eukaryota > Metazoa > Chordata > Mammalia > Primates > Hominidae > Homo > Homo sapiens. The sequence goes on along the minus strand of NC_000013.11, from coordinate 44,570,525 downwards.
AAAAATCATTCTTATTTAAAAGGTCTTAATGTCAGGCCGTGTGCGGTGGCTCACACCTGTAATCCCAGCACTTTGGGAGGCTGAGGTGGGCAGATTGCTTGAGCCCAGAAATTTGAGACCAGCCTGGGCAACATGGCAAAACCCTGTCTCTACAAAAAAATACAAAAATTAGCCAGGCATGGTGGCGCATGCCTGTAGTTCCAGCTACCTGGAAGGCTGAGGTGGTAGGATCCCCTGAGCCCTGGAGGTCAAGGCTGCAGTGAGCTGGGATCATGCCACTGCACTCCAGCCTGGGTGGCAGACCAGGACCCTGTCTCTAAAAAAAAAAAAAAAAAAAGTCTTAATGTCTTAGACTGTAACATGAACTGTGAATTCACCTTTACAAGAATGGGAAAATACAGGTATTGCATCTTTTATGTTTTGTGATTGTTATTAGCACAGCCTCTTAACGTGAAATGGGTCAAACTTCTATTCATCCTTCAAGACTCAGCTCAGATGTTCTCTTTAAAGCATTCTTTTCACTCAGGGGACATTGTTTCCTTAGCACTTTTTAATATTCCTCTATTTAAGCACTGTACACATTCAATTATAATTATGTTTACCAATCTTTCCCACAAGACTAGATGTTCCTCAAGGGCAGGGATGAATTATTTTTTTGAATTAATTAGCAGGCATTTCTCCTGATTTTTTTTTTGTCATGATTTAAAGTTTATATTGTCCCTCATCTTAAGCACAATTGTGAGAGATGCAGGATCATATAATTTATGCAACAAATGGAAAAGAACTGAATAAAAAGACTTGCTTTTTTGTATCTCTCATCAACATTTTTAGGTGAATTGATGTATGTCTGCAAAGTACATTGCCTGTTTTATAGTAGGTCCTCAAATATTTAAGACGCATGTGTGTTACCTATAAAATAGGAGTAATACTCATTTTGCCTGCTTCTCAGGATAGCAGTAGTATCAGTTAAAATACTTTGTTAACTAAAATACGAAATTATAATTTTTAAAGTTTTTTTTTCAAGATGTACATGCACAGTTTAAAGATAGTTTAAATGGTTTTCCAAGAAATAAATGGAAGAGCTTCCTGCACCCTTACTTTCCAGTTTTCCTTTCCTAGAAACAATCACTTTCACCTCTTTTAGATGATTATTGTGGTATTTACCTCCCAGTCTCTAAATAACTTGCTTGTCTTACCACTAGATATGTAATATAGCCTGCTCGTTAGGAGCATGGACTGTGGAGTTAGATTGCCTAGATTTGATCTTTCTTGTCATTTACTAGTTTTATGTAACATCGGGCTATTTATCCTCTTTATGGTTCAATCTTCTCATTAAAAAAATGATGACAATAGTAGTTACCTCATTGGGTTGATATAAGAATTAAATGAATTTGGAAATTCCCTAGAACTTTGTCTAACTCACATGCCCTATGTAGGTATTTGTTAAATAAAATACACCTTTCATTTCTTTTTGTCTGTATTAACTTCCTGGATAGAAAATGAAGATTTAATTTTGTTGTTACCATATACCTACCTGGTCTCCTTTTTTCCCAGTACCCTTCCTCCCAGTAGTTATCAATATTGATTATTCAGTATTCTTGTCAAATATTACTTTTCCTATCCTGTACAGTGTTTTGTGGCTGCTTCCCTGCTCCATCCCCACCTGTCTATTATAGAAATGGGTTTTCCTCCACTCCCAGGTTTTCATCTGTCAGCGCTGTCTGTTTTCTCCAAGTTGCCCCTCCTTTCCCCACCCTCTTCCCATTTTTGTATGTTTTGGGCTCTACCTTTCCTGTAGAACCTTTCCTTAGATGTCTGGTAAGTCTTGATTGTCTGCTTGCAAATAAGTGTTAAAGGATTAAAGAGCTGATTAGAGATTTGCAGTGTGGGGCTGGCCATGGTGGCTCACGCCTATAATTCCAGCACTTTGGGAGGCCAAGGTGAGAGGATTGCTTGAGGCCAGGAGTTTGAGATTAATTTGGGCAATATAGCAAGATCCTGTCTCTACTATATATATATAATTATTTTTAAAAATTCTTTTTCCGTGTGGCTTGTTGACTGTTAACTTTACCGCAGAGTAATCTGGCTGGAGTTCATTGTCTTTTTTTACCTCTTTGCCTAGTTTTCTCTATATTTATCACTAAATCCACTTTTCATCAGATGCCTCTTAGGATGTTCCAATATCAGATATTGTTAACAATTTTATCTTTCTCAGGAAGTGTTATATCCCACTGACCTCCATTCTTGACTGGTTGCCTTCTTGGCTTGGTACACAACTATTATTCTGGGATTCCTTTCACTTTGTCTTGTGTTGGATCTTTATTTTCCAGAGACTAGTGTCTTTATTCTTAGTTTGCTTGTTTTAAAATGGCTTTAGTTTACTCTGACACTTTCTTAGGTAAAGAATACCAGGTGGGGAAGTTATGTTCTCTTATATTTTGTGCCATTGCCTTCTAACATCCATATTGCTTTTGAGAAATCTGAAGCCATTCTGATATCTTATATATTGTATGTGACCTGTGTATTTTGTTTTTCCTTCCCTTCCTTTTCCTTCTTCCTTTTCTTCCTCTCATTTTTAAAACCTCTAAAACCTTTATAAGATTTTATGTTTCCAGTGTTCTGAAGTTTTGCCATGATGGATTTTTGTGTGGGTCTGTTTTCATTCACTGTGCTGAGTACTTGGTGAACCCTTTCAGTTTGGAAACATCTTTTCATTCTGGGACTTTTTCTTGAGTCAGGTTGTTGATTATGTCTTTCTATTTTTTCTCTCTTAAACTCCTCTTATTTGGATAACGGACCTTCTTGACTGGTCTTCTAATTTTCTTGTGTTTTCTCAACTACTTTTCATCTGTTTTTCTTTTTGCTCTATTGAGTTTCCATTTCCCTTATCACATATTTAAATTCCAAGAACTTTTTTTTTGCTCCTTTTTAATAGTATACTATTCTATTTTAATAATGATAGTATTTTTTCTTAGCTATCTGAATATATAAAATGTTAGCTTTTTTAAAAAGTTTTTTTTTTCTTTCTATGTGGTGTTTCCTCTAGGTTTTATTTTCTTACTTTTTATTTGCTTTGGTCTTTATCTTTCATCTTATAGCCTTTCCTCAGATAGTTGGTAGTCATGTGTAAGAGTAAGGAATTAAAATGCTAATTAGAAATTCTGAGCGTGGCTTGTCAATTGTTAGCTTTCCTGTATGGTAACCTGGCTGTGGTGTTTGGTTGGAGGACTTCTAGTGTCGGTTTCTTCTTGTATATCCTCCTAGCTGGTTAGATCCCTATAAGAAGGCTCTTCTGATTTCTTGCTTGGAATTGAAGGCCTTTCTACAAGCATTCTGTGGGGTGGGCAGTGAGGGGGATGTGGAATGAAAGGTTTTGGGGGATCCCCAGATACGTTTCTTCACTCAACCCTGTTTTCAGTATGTTCTGCATTTTGCTGTGCCTGATTTCCTTAGTCCTGTGATCCTATGTTTTACCTTCTTCAGACAATATTCCTTTTTTTTTCTTGGGATTAGGGAGGGACAGTTGGGAATCTGTAGGACTGGTTGCTTCTTAAACTGACTTCTAAACAATCTTTTTAATTTTAGCACCTTCTCCCCCCACATCCCACTTATATAGATGTGGTACTGCCAATTCCTGAGTCTTTTGGGGATTTTGCAGTTTAAATTGGGTTTGTTTTTGGCATTCTCCATTGTTTGCTAAAGCTTTGATTTTCTAGTGTTTGCTAAGTCATTTGTCACTCAACTGTCTGCTTTCCAGCTTTCAAATTTTTTTGCTATTGTCTTTTCATCTGCCTCAGTTTTTGTGGGCTTATGTCTTTGTATCTTAACAAATTGCTTTTCTGTCATTTTAGTGGGGTTTTAGGGAAGGAGTGAAAAAATAGATGTGTGTGTTTAGTATCATTACACATCTATTTCAATGGTAGAATACTGTACTATTAAATGTAATGAATGATGCTAATTTTAATTAAGTCATAGCTCCAAGTTAGTTCTCTAATGAATACATAAATTTTAAGAGTGGAATTACTTAGTTTATATTTGTTAGAAATAAGAATAGTATGTAATTCAGAATTTCAGTTCATAGAAGTGATGAAAAATGTTAGTATTAGATTCAGTTAATGTCTACCATATTTAACCACTCAGTAATCTTGTGAATTAAGTTTTTTTCTATTTTATTGGTGAATAAACTGAAACTTGCTGAGTATTTAGAGAGGGCAAGTTGTCTAAGGTTACATACATAGCAGTAAAGCAGAGCTAGGATTCAAGGCTGTTTTTCCAATTCGAAATCTAGTGCCGTTTTTACTTCTTATAAAGCTAATAAGAGGTAAGGCCAGTGCCCATAAGGAATTTTTAAGAGTGTCTGAAAACCTAAAAAATAGGCAGGCTTCATTGCTTTGTGTATTCGTATAACTGATGGAATTGCCATAGAACATAACATTTCCCTGCAAGTCCTTGGTGAGAAAAAAGTGGGTAAAGTCATCACAGTGGTGTGCCTGGAATGCATTAGACATTCAAATGTTAAATGTTAAGGTGGACATGTTTTATTTATTTATTTTTTCTTTTGAAACTTATGTGGAAATTTTAGGAAAACCATTTTAATTTTTTAATAATTTAGATCAGCTTTTGCAGCATTAGCTTCAGAAATACAAAACATGTAAATTTTATTTCTTGTTTAGAAAGTTTAATTTCACACCTGTAATCGCATCACTTTGGGAGGCCAAGATAGGAGGATCACTTGAGCTCAGGAGTTCAAGACCAACCTAGGCAACATAGTCCCCATCTCGATTTAAAAAATTCGATAAAAGAGAAAGTTTAATTTAAAAATATGAAGCTGTTAAGCATGACCTGTTCTGATGCTGCAGTATTAGAACTTTGGTGGTTGGTTTTTGCCGTCTCACTTTTGTTAAGGTTGAAAATGTCATGGTAAGAACATGCTTTATTGGCTCATTAAGAGAAACTACACAAGGTTGAAAAATTTTAAAGTATCTTTATACTGATTTTTAAAAAATTATAACAACTTTTTAGATTCTAGGTTAACTTTTTTCCTAGTCTCACATATATTCAAAAGCTGCCCTCCACCACTCCATTTCTTCTTTACCAGTCAATTTGACCAGGAAATCTTGACCTTTCAGCACGATTAGGCCTAGTTGACCTTTGTTTGCCCTCCTTGAAACACTCTATTTTGCGTTTTGTGATAATCTTCCATTTTCTTCCCACTCTTCTGGCCATTCCTTTTCAGTCTGTCTTTCAGGTTTCTCTCTTCTGTCAGACTCTGTTTCCTAGGTTTTCTGAGTCTTCTTTATACTTACTACCTTTTCCCTAGGTAATCATTGGTTCCCATGGCTGTAAAGACAGTTTGTATGCTATTGGCTTCTGAAAGCCTATCACTAGTCCAGACTTCTCTTCTTAGCCTTAGACGGGTAAAGTCATCTGCTTTCATAACATTTCCGCTTGCATTCTCATAGGCTTATCAGTCTCAACAGGTCATAAATGTAACTCTTGATTACCTAGCCCCTCAAATTTCCTTCTTTAGTTGTCTTTATTTTGATAAATATAATTTCTTAATGCAGTTCTTCACTTTAGAAACCTGAGAGTCATTCTTGATAGTTTCTTTTCCTTGCTCTCTACATCTTGATCATTACTTTAAAATATATCTTCATCTTTTTTTTCCATCCTTATTGCCATTGCTCTAACATAACATCAGCTCTCATTTAATGCACTGCATGTAGTAGCTTCCTCACAGAGCCTCCTGCATATGTCTTGTCTTTTTCTAATATTGTATCTTACAGTCAGAATCATATTCTTAAAATGGAAATCTGTTCAGGTAACTTACTTGGCCAGAACCCCTTTTAAGCCTTTCCATTTATTTTAAGGTAATTTCTTTCTGTCTTTGCTTACTGATGGCTTCATCATGCTTCTTTCTCCCAACTTTCTTCATTCCAGTTGTACTTGACCTTTCAGAAAGTTTTTCAGTTTTCATCCATTCTTCTTCTAGGCCTTTGCACATGCTGTTATTTTAGCCTGAATATCCCCTATGCCATCTCACTTTCATTCCACTTTAAAGCTAAACTCACTTTTTGAGAGGCTGCCTCTGACGTACCAATCTAAACTTAGGTTGTTTGTTAATAACTGTTTAATAGCACCTTGTTCTTTTCTTTTATAATGCTTATTACAGTTCGTAATTAGATTTTGTTTTCATGATTATCTGATGATTTTAAGCTTCTTGAATAGGAATGGGGATGTTTGATGTGCTGCATATATTCAAAGCCTATTTCAATGCCTATTAGATAAAATCTGCTTAATCAAGAAAATATACTGTTAATATTGTCATAAGAAATCTGCTTAATCAAGAAAATATACTATTAATATTGTCATAAGAAAAACCAAGGAGAACTTCTATTTTTAAAAACAGAAAGATAAAGTTCTTTATGATCATGTGATAACACTATTTTCTCCTTTAAGAGAGAATTAACTGATTTACTTTTTGCTGTGTTTGTGAGCCAAAAAAACCAATGCTTAGGTATAATCAAATATGGTTCTTGTCCCCAAGGAGTGTATAATATTATAAGAAGATATGTATGCATGTGGCAGTTATTTGGCAATATAAGGGCTAAGTAATAGTTTTAAGCAACATGAAATATTAAATAAAATAATCAGAAACTTAAGAGTTGGAAATCTTGATCTCATTCAACCTATGAAGGAACAAGTTTTGGTTAAGTGAATTCGCCGAGACAGTTTTACAAATTGTTTCTTAGACTGTACCTGGAACTTGGGTTTTCAAAATGACATAAGCAAAGTTCACAGATGGTGTAGATTTGACCTTTGGTAGGTCAGAAAAGCAGTGTTACTTGAAGTGACTTTTCACAAGTTTTAGGGTGAAGGAAAATGTGTCAGGTGGGAGAATATTAATAAAAATGGGGGGAAATAAGAAAAACACCTGGGCAGCAGTAAGGCAACAGTTGGATTAAGTGATAGGAAATGACTGAAGGTTGAATTGGGGAGTTAATGATTGGCCCTCAACACTTGTTGACTAAATGGTGTTCAGGGAAGATTAGTGTAAAAGGAATCTGTAGTTTGGATTGAAGTGGGAAGCAGGAAGAACCATGTTGGATGTTATGCATTTCTATAATTTGTTAATGAATGAAGGAAATAAATGATGGGGATAGGGATTTTCATTGTAAAATGTTCAGTACAGGGTTTCTTTGCTGAGCAGATTCCACAATTTGACAAAGCACTGTATTCACTTTCCTGTCTTCTCTCTCAAAGCAATATGTTAATTCTTCTCATTTTGAAAAAGGGGGTAACAACCCCAAAACCCAATTTCCCCAAAAATTCATGACCCAGCCTCAGTTTTAAAGGTTTGAAGGATAAGCAGTTATAACCTTAAGACAGGGTTTTTGGCAATTTAATTTTTTTTTTTTTTTGAGATGGAGTTTTGTTCTCGTTGCCCAGGCTGGAGTGCAATGATGCAATCTTGGCTCATTGCAACCTTCCCCTCGCGGGTTCATCGATTCTCCTGCCTTAGCCTCCCAAGTAGCTGGGATTACAGGAATGCACCACCATGATCGGCTAATTTTTTGTATTTAGTAGAGTTGGGGTTTCACCATGTTGGTCAGGCTGGTCTCGAACTCCTGACCTCAGGTGATCCACCCACCTGGGCCCCCAAAGTGTTGGGATTACGGGCATGAGCCACGGCTCCCGGCTCAATTTAGCGTTTTTATAGAGTTTATCCATATCTGAAATTCAAAGCAGATGTGTCCCAAATATGTTTGGTAGTGAAAAGAAGTCCAGGTAAATGCGAACTAATATGAATATTTTAGGATTGGTTCCTTATATTAGTGATTGTAGAGACGTTTGCCAGCTTCCTTTTCATACTAAACAGATTTCCATTGTCAGTCTCTTCCAGGCAGTAGAGAGGAGGAATTATTTTTTTCCTGTCTACTGGGGACTCCTAGGTCTCTACCAAAAAGGAAGTGGTGTACATCTTAAATTATTTAAAATGTGAAAAACATTAATGCTACTGTTGATACTAAATGTGAGCATTTTGGTTATTTTGCTGATATTTAAAGAGCCACAATACTAATGTTTATTCGGTTCTTTGTTGGTGCCCTTTTGCACGTTGTCATTTTCAAAGTATAAGGATATATACATGTTTGTAGATACATATATAAAGAAATATAATTTTTTGGTCTGGACTTGGTGGCTCATGCCTGTAGTCCCAGCAGTTTGGGAGGCTGAGGCAGGTTGATTGCTGGAGTCCAGGAGTTTGAGACCAGTCTGGGCAACATGGTACCCTATCTCTACAAAAAAAATACAGAAATTAGCTGGGCATGGTGGCGTGCACGCCTGTTGTCCCAGCTCCCTGGGAGGTTGAGGTGGGAGGATCGATTGAGCCTGGGAGGTGGAGGTTGCAGTGAGGTGAGATGGCGCCACTGCACTCCAGCCTGAGTGACAGAGTGAGACCTTGTCTCAAAAATATATATATATAATTTTTTAAAGGTCATTTTGAAATTGTCCTTAGATGATTATAAAATCTCTTAGGTATCTGAAAGAATGTAATTTATTTAATAAGTATGTGCATAGCTCGCTCTCTCTCCTTAAGGAGAGCCAGCAGTTGAATTCAAGAATAAACGTGTGTTTGTATTTAAGAAAAATGACAAAAGATTCCTTCTATTACTCCTGTAATTTTTGGTCCTTTACTTCAACTTTTTTTCACCTATTTTAAATTTATTTTGTTTCAAAACATTTCTGTCTTTGTAAGCTGCTTTAAATATTTTAAGGAATGGCTTGGGATGGAAATCTAATCGCATTTGGGAAAAGTATAACAAGGTAGAAAATTATGTTTAGGAGAGGTACTAATAAAGGAGTATTGGGAGTCAGAGAAGTTAAGATCACATGCTTGAGGAGGAGTTTGATAGCTACTGGGTTTAGTAAGTCATTTTAGTAGAGAAAACATTAAGCAAAGAGGTTCAAAGTACACCGATGTTTATAGAAAAGAATATAAGACATAGTCCAAGTTGGTATCAGATGGGCTTTGTATACATAAGGCTAACTTTGAAAAGCCTTAAATGTAAGATTGAGAAGTCTGGATTTGATTGGACATGGAATGGAGGGCTCTTTTTTGTTTTTGTACCATGCAGTGGCCTGATCAGTACTATGTTTTAGGAGGGTACTGGCTTTACTTGGGATGTCTAGTTGCTTCCTTCCTTAATTGAGTATGAGAAACTCAATAATTCCTTTTTCCTCAGTGGTAGAAATGGAGGCATATTCTCTGTCATTGTCTGAGATAATGGTTTGAATCAGTCCCTTTGGCCTAATTAGGAAAAGTAAGGAGGTTAGGACCCAGTCCACATATGGTAACACTCCACTTAATCCAGAGGTTAAACCAGCTGTGGAATGTAAGGAGCCCAAAAACTGCTTGAAATTGCTATCAAAGCCATGTCCCCTCCTCTCCCTGGTCCCCCGACGCCCCGGGGGGTATTTTTGCATAGCATTTCTGATCCTTTTTTGGACTTCCATTAAGTCTCCTTATGTTTACTAGCTTTGTTATCTTAAAGCAGATGAGACTAGGGAGGGAAAAGAAATGGGATTCTGAGGCATGTAAGTTGACGTCAGGAAAGTTAGCAATTTATAGCCTGACATGAAGGTAGGAGTTAGAAATTTTAAGAAAACCCCAAAGAACTGTGATAGGATATTGAATATTTGCTAGTTGAAAGTTAGATTATGTTCGTTATATTGTTTTAAGGAATCATGGGTGTAAGAATAAATTCCAAATGATGTTAATGACTGAGCTATGGACAAGTATAAACCATGTTTTAGTCGTATTGCCTCCACTGTATCATTTAAGCATAGACAAATCCTTTTACTCCTCTATATTGCTTTTTTCCTGTTCTAAAATAAGACAAGTTGTTTCATACTTTTTTACCTTTTAGGGCAGCAAGGTTATTCTCTAAGACATTCTTAACATATGTTCTAAATATGTTACAAAAATAAAAGCTAGACCTTTACATACAGAAATTACGAAGAATATTTGTAGTAATATTCAGAAGTAAAATTAAAAGTTCCTAATAGGTGCTAAGATTTAAGTAATTGGTAGTGATAATTTTTATTTTTAGTTAAATTAGTGAATGACATATTAGGTACTAAGTCTGCATAAGGTATTTTGTAGACATTTAATGATTTAGATGTTTAGGTATAATGAAGATCCCCCCCCAATTTTTCTCTTTGAAATATTTTTATTAATTACCTTTTTATTTTTTTAAAAAGAGACGAGGTTTCACCATGTTGCCCAGGGTGGGCTCAAACTCCTGAGCTCAAGTGATCTTCCCACCTCAGCCTCTCAAAGTGCTGGGATTACAGGCGTGAGCCACTGTGCCTGGCCTGATTACCACAGTAAATCAAATACTATATCAAGGAAAACTGACTTTTCTCATTGTATATGTTTTTATTTCCTTTTTTAGAAATTGACAACCAAGCCAACTTGGTTTCTTTCATAAGGAAGCTTTTGTTTGTGCCTAATATTAAACTAATTTTTAGAGACTGGGTGTGGTGGCTCACACCTGTAATCCCAGCACTTTGGGAGGCCAAGGCGGGCGGATCACTTGAGGTCAGGAGTTCAAGACCAGCCTGGCCAACATGGTGAAACCACATCTCTACTAAAAATACAAAAATGAGGCAGTCATGGTGGCACACACCTGCAGTCCCAGCTTCTTGAGGAGGCTGAGGTATGAGAATCGTTTGGACCTGGAAGGCAGAGGTTGCAGTGAGCTGAGATCACGCCACTGTACTCCAGCCTGGGCAGCAGAGCAAGACTGTGTCTCAAAAAAAAAAAAAAAGAAATTTTTGGGCTGGGCACAGTGGCTTACACCAGTAATCCCAGCATTTAGGGAGGCTGGACAATTGCTTGGGCCCAGGAGTTCGAGGCTGCAGTGAGCTGTGATGGCACAACTGTACTCTAGACTGGGTGACCAAGTGAGACCCTGTCTCAAGAAAAAAAAAGTTAATTTTTTTTCTTGGTTGTGTCCTCTAAACAAATTTGTTGTGGTACTTTTGACAATGACCAGTACATCTTCCTGTTGAGGAAATACACTCCCATGTTTTAAAAATTACTTTTTAAAAAAGGTGGTACTTAGTGAAATTTGTCTTAGTGAATTTAATTTAGGAAAAAATGCTGCTTTATAAGTTATGTTTTTTGCTTTATTTTTGGTTAAGGTTGTTCCTTTGGGTACAAGGTGTGGTGTGAGATGTGTGAATTGAGAAAATCCCTGGTTTGGGCTATAGACTGTCCACTGCTTAGGTGCTCAGATATCTGAGTCTTTCCTTTTCTTCCTCTTTTAAAAGGTTTTTATTGCTGTAGTTCACCTAAACTTTTCTTTGAGAGTCAAACATGGAGCCAAGTCTTGTCTTTGGTTGATGGTTCATTTTACTGTAGAATTTGGAATAAGAGTTTTAAACTGTTCTTCATTTTCAATGTGTTATTTTCCTCTATGGAGATCCACCAAACATTCATCAGTTATTCTCTGAAATAATGGATAGCAGGATTTATACATTTGTACAATTGGTTATGTTTTATTATTAGGAATTTTACCTATTTTGAGGTTCCAGGCAGGAAGGGTGGTACAGAAAGAGGAGATGGAAATGAGAATTTCACCCTAGATAACTTAGCGGTTTCCTACCTCCATCTCTGAATCCCATAATAACGATCATGATATCACACCCTAATCCTTTTAGGAACAAGTATATTTAATACTTGGTGAAGGTACATAATGTTTATTTTATTTTATTTTTTTGAGATGGAGTCTTGCTCTGTCACCCAGGCTGGAGTGCAGTGGCACAATCTCGGCTCACTGCAGCCTCTGCCTCCTGGGTTCAAGTGATTCTTCTGCCTCAGCCTCCTAAGTAGCTGGGATTACAGGCATGTGGCACCATGCCCGGCTAATTTTTGTATTTTTAGTAGAGATGGGGTTTCGTCATCTTGGCCAGGCTGGTCTTGAACTTCTGAGCTCAGACTGTCCATCCGCCTCAGCCTCCCAAAGTGCTGGGATTACAGGCATGAGCCACCACGCCCAGCCTGAAGGTACATAACATTTAAATTGGCAACTGTTTAGCTCCTCTTTTTTGTAAGCTTGTATAAGATTGATAATAAATTCATGGGAGACCTGAGGATTATATGACAGGGAAATGATTCAAAAATTTTTTTTACTGTATTATTGGTTGATATGTTACTACAAATAAAATATTGTGAAGTTAAGGACCTTGGTCACATTAACTACTAAGTGATGGAGCTAGTCAGTATTCCATTAGGTGATTTCATTCCAAAACTTGCACTCAACCACATTCTGGAGGTTTCTTTTGTCCATTGAGAAGAACAAAAGGTGACAGCTGACAACTATAAAAAGCAGTCGTTAGCCTATTGAGTATAGAGGCATTTGACACTATAGACTTTCCTGGTTATTTCGGTCACTATTTTATGGAGTTGTCCAGTAATGAGTGTACCTAATAATTCCTTCAATCTTTATTATTATTTTCTCTTAGTACATTTAAAAAGTATAGTTTCTACCCCAGTGGTTAAATTCTCCAAATTTATTGCTAAAAAGTAAACTTTAAATTTGGAAAATTTGCTGAAGTAAATTGCAATTTCAGAAAAATAAGTGAATATGGAGACACCCAGTTTCATGACATAAATATTTCAATAAATTATTAGATTACTGGCCTTCTAGTGGTCTCAGATTCTATAAGCTGTTGATACTTAGGATATTTTTTATAAGCTTAATGCAATCAAATTAAAATTCTATTAAAATACTTTTAAAGTAGAAACCTAATTTTAATCAGTTGAATAATAGCACATTTTATGAATCAGATTTTTAATTTTGAGTGGTTACAACTTATCTTCACATCATATTTATTATTGGAACAAGAAAGTGATAATTTTCCTGTGAACTCACTTGGGGAAGTATAAAAAAAATGATAGTTTATATGAATGCTTTAATATTCATTTGAAAAATAGGATTTAGCTTGTCCTTTTGCTTATTCTAGAAGGTAGAATTAACTTTTTGTTTTGTTTTGTTTTGAGACGGAGTCTCGCTCTGTCGCCAGACTGGAGTGCAGTGACGTGATCTCAGCTCACCGCAACCTCCACCTCGCAGGTTCAAGCAATTCTCCTGCCTCAGCCTCCCAAGTAGCTGGGATTACAGGTGTGCACCACCATGCCCAGCTAATTTTTGTATTTTTAGTAGAGACAGGGTTTTACCACATTGGCCAGGATGGTCTCTATCTCTTGACCTTGTGATCCGCCCACCTTGGCCTCCCAAAGTGCTGGGATTACAGGTGTGTGCCACTGCGCCCGGCCACTTTTTCTTTTTTTGTAATTTTTTTTTTTTTCCTTTGAGACTGAGTTTCTACCTTGTTGCCCAGGCTGGAGTGCAATGGTGCGATCTCGGCTCACCACAACCTCTGACTCCCGGGTTCAAGCCATTCTCCTGCCTCAGCCTCCCAAGTAGCTGGGATTACAGGCATGCACCACCATGCCTGGCTAATTTTGTATTTTTAGTACAGATGGGGTTTCTCCATGTTGGTCAAGCTGGTCTCGAACTCCCGACCTCAGGTGATCCGCCCGCCTCGGCCTCCCAAAGTGCTGGGATTACAGGTGTGAGACACCATGCTCGGCCTTGAATCTTAGACATCTGCATTAGGTCTTCAGAGGTGGCATGATCTCGGCTCACTGCAACCTCCGCCTTGTGGGTTTAAAGGATTCTCCTGCCTCAGCCTCCTGAGTAGCTGGGATTACAGGTGTGCGTCACCACGTCCAACTAGTTTTTGTATTTTTAGTAGAGACGGGGTTTTGCCATGTTGGCTAGACTGGTCATGAACTCCTGACCCTAAGTGATCTGCTCGTCTTGGCCTCCCAAAATGCTGGGATTACAGGCATGAGCCACTGCACCTGGCTACAAAAATTTTTTAAAGTATTCAGATTTTTTTTTTTTTTTGAGATGGCGTCTCATTCTCACCCAGACTGGAGTGCATTTGCACGATCTCGGTTCACTGCAACCTCCGCTTCCTGGGTTCAAGTGATTCTCCTGCATCAGCCTCCCTAGTAGCTGGAAGTACAGGCGTGCACCACTGCGCCCAGCTAATTTTTGTATTTTTTTTAAGAGACGGGGTTTCACCATGTTGGTCAGGCTGGTCTTGAACTCCTGACCTTGTGATCCATCTGCCTTGGCCTCCCAAAGTACAAGGATTACAGGTGTTGAGTCACCGTGCACGGCCCCAAGAGATGGTGGTGGTGGTGGTTTGTTTTTTTTTTTTAACAGTAGAACTGTTTTTTTCGTTTCCATTATTTATTTCCTGATTCACTTATAAATGTTGGAGCTATTGAAGCAATTGGAATTTTTTTGAATTATAGTTAACAATAGTAAAGATGTATCTTAAAAGATATAGTAGCTTTATTTATCATTTAATAGTAATGTAATATAAGCCTTACTTGTGTGTTCCATAATTTTTACTTTCTGCCAGTATGAAATAGCCAAAAGTGACTGAAAGCCAGTAATTTTCACATCCCGTGCAAGTCGATTGCATTTCTAGATATTTTACTTATTTAGTATGCTCTTGACAGCCTAAAATTGCCATTCTCCCCAGTGTCAGCATTCATGGAGAAAAGAGAATTTTTTTTCATTTTGTTAGATATTATTTTAATACCATATCAAAACACCTTGACTAATGAAAAAAGCTTTTCTCTCAAGCTTTGAACATTTTTGAAGGCATTTCATACTTTTTTTTTTTTGGTATTTTAATGTATAAATACAGAAACCTATCTTGCATGGGTGGGTGCCACATGTAAACATCAATGGCTAAAATGTTCTCAAAGTGCTTGAAGACAAGGATGGCTGTACATATTTGTTTATTTATTTATTTATTTATTTATTTTTAGACAGGGTCTTTTGCTGTCGCCCAAGTTGGAGTGCAGTGGCACAATCTCGGATCACTGCAACCTCCACCTCGTGGGTTCAAGTGGTTCTCCCGCCTCAGCCTCCTGAGTAGCTGGGATGACAGGCTCGCGCCACGACACCCAGCTTATTTTTGTATTTTTAGTAGAGACAGAGTTCACTGTTGGCCAGTCTGGTCTCAAATTCCTGAGGTCAGGTGATCCATCCTCCTTGGCCTCCCAAAGTGCTGAGATTACAGGCATGACGCACCACGCCCGACCTACGTATTTCTTATTAGTCTTTTGTTGTTGTTGTTTGCTTACGTTTTCTGGAAAAAAAAAAATTCACAAGGGCCTAAGAATAACATTCTGGCATTTTTGCAAGACACTTGTGATTATTGAATCTTCTTAAGAGATAATATTTTAAAACTGGATTACCTTTTATAAAATGGACAGGCTAAGATCAACTTTGGATTTTTTTTTTTTTTTTAATTTAGAGGTCTAGTTATCTTTCCAGTTGTATTCAGACTCTTAGCCCTTAGGGATCTACAAGTGGCTTATTAGGAAATTGATCCAATATGTAGAAACAAAAGCTTCTAACAAGTGGACACATTGGCCTAACAAAAACCAAGTTATACTATATTTGAGTTCATGAATGTCTGACTTAAATGCCATTAGTACCATTCATTCAGTAATCTGAATTAGGCTTAACACATGAGAAGGGGAGAGGAGACAAGAGAAATAGGGAGTTGAAGACCATTAGAAGGAGTGGAAGAGAAGGAGGGGATTTGGTGATAATAATTTGGTAAACATTTGGTGCAGTTTGCGGTCAGGGTCACTGTGTCCTCATTGCCTGCATCAGCGAATTTATCTATATAAAAATTATTTTAGAAAAATTACCTAAGGTAGTTTAAGCAATTGTCTTTTAGCCTAGAAGGTTTTTAACAGTACCTCTTTTTTTTTTTTTTTTTTTTTTTTGTTCCTGGTATTGGGATGATTTATTTACTTCAAAAATACTCATTCAATATTTATTGAATGCTTGTTACATACCTAGCACTGAACAAAGATACTAAGGGTATGAAGAAAAAAAAAGACATGGTTTTGGTCTGCAACAGTTTCGTCTAGTACACTCAAGCATCATAAGATCTTGATTTATCTTCTCAATTATCCAAATAAGTTTATATTGTGCTCAATTGTTATTCTGTATATGGTATACATGACAGTTTTTCTATTCAAATGAATTGATGCATCTGGACTATCGATGAATAAGCATAATGAGGTAGAGTTTAATGAACGTTAGTCTTGGCATCAGCCCTGGCATCTCATCTTATTTCTGCTACCTCTTCATTGTATGACCTTTGTAAATGAGTTAACTTTTTTAAGCCTGATTTCCATAGCTGTTATGTGCAGGTAATAGCTACCCGTGCTGTTGTTGTGAGGATAAAAGGAGAAAGGCATATAATGCACCTGGCTCAGTTCTTGATAGTTCTGTAAATCGATGGCTGTTTTTATTACTGTGCTAAGTAAGAGTGATTCCTTTCTTAAGCACTGTAAGTTAAAATGGAAAGCTTGTTTACTTGTTCAGAGGCGTTATACATAATTTTCTAAAGCAGCGGTTCTGTACCTTTGTGACATTTTTGGTGCAGTCTTTCTCACCTGGGGTCCATAAGACAATCCCTACAGGAAAAGAGTGCCTACTCTCTTAGTTCTAAGAATGGCATATATCTAGCACCATCATTCTAAATGCATAAGAAAATAGCGAATTCATTACATACAGTGGAGCGATCAGGGATTAATTCTTTCGCTGACTCTCATGCTGCCAGGACAGTATTATATGTGATTATTGAGCAGTTCTTTGAAATTCCTAAATTCACAAAAACATAAGTTGTTGTAAAAGCAACCTTTCCCTTTTTTTAAATGGGGGTGGGGAATACTTGGAAGAAATACAGCGTCATGTAGCAGTTTGTTAATACTCTAAAATAGAACCATTACCCCAATTAAGTGATTCTCAACTTTTTCATTCTGAAAGATTGTTTTAGATGGGCATTATGCCCTGAAGACCATCTCTTCCATGCTCAGTCCCATATGGGCCCGAAAACTATCTCCTTAGAATGAATGGGATTAAGCTGTTTGTTTTAAGTAAGATTATAAGTCAATATCTGGTTTTTTAAGTTTCAAACATTCATTGAACTGGATTTTGAAATCTATAAAGTTTCAAAACTAGTTTTTTTCTAATACTGATTCTAAAAGTGAAAAAAAAAAATAGTATTAGAGCCCAGAAATTTGGGGGAATGCTTTTTGTCTGTATATTTTGGAAGTTGACATTACATTTTAGTTTATTGAAGACCGATACATTTTGAAGAAGAAAGACGGTTTTATTGAAATCCAACTCTTTCATCATATAATACCTGTTACTGACCTGGAGAACCAGTGTTCCTTGAAACACAGATTGAGAAATGTTCGTTTGCTTCATTTTATATATGAGAAATGTCGTTGGTCATGTATAGTCAAGTGACGGCAGGCCTCAACTGCAGCCCATCTCTACATTTATTATTCTGCTGTAACAGTTCCCTTTCTGTTTACCACCTTATTTTCGTTTTGTTTGTTTGTTTGTTTGTTTTGAGATGGAGTCGCGCTATGTCGCCCAGGCTGGAGTGCAGTGGCACGATCGCGGCTCACTGCAAGCTTCGCCTTCCGGGTTCACGCCATTCTCCTGCCTCAGCCTCCGGAGTAGATGGGACTAAAGGCGCCTGCCACCACACCCGGCTAATTTTTTGCATTTTTAGTAGAGACAGGGTTTCACCATGTTAGCCAGGATGGTCTCGATCTCCTAACCTTGTGATCCGCCTGCCTCGGCCTCCCAAAGTGCTGGGATTACAGGCGTGAGCCACCACGCCCGGCCTACCACCTTATTTTCTATTAGTATTCAATTCATATTAGAAATAAAAGTATAATTATTGTCATGTGAGAGTGTTTGTAACAAGTAGAGATCTGGCAGATGTTAAAGAACACATTTTGAGAAGTGCGGCACTGACATATTTGCAGGCTCTTTTAATTGGCCCTGTCTTTGTAAATGGTTTGCAGACCTTAGTGGGGGAATAGACTTTCTATGTGGTAGCATATTCCTGACGGAAATCTTGTACATAAGTTAGAAAGAACTAGTTAACTTCATAAATGTAGGGAAATGATCAGTTTGTTACGTGCTTCAATTGCCATCAGTATGGGATATTTTACTAGCTTTATGTTCTCTGTTCCTCATGTTGGAGAGTTAACCCTTGATGGTGTTCGTGAAGTAAAGGAGCCAATTGAACATTCTTGTCTATTATTTATCCATTTCCTAGGTTATGCTTATCAGAAAAATGAAATATGAAGTACAGAAAGGGTTGTCAAAAATGGAGAAACCTTGAAGTCATTTTGAGAATAAGATTTGCTAAAAGATTTGGGGCTAAAAGATGGTTATTGGGAGACATTTCTGAAGATATACAGGTAAATTAGGGAATGAATTCATGGTTCTTTTGGGAATTCCTTTACGATGGCCAGCATAAACTTCATGTGGGGATAACAGCTACCCTTGTAAAGGAGAGAGGTGTATAATGCACCTAGTGAAGTTCTTGGTCGTTCGTAAATGGTGTCTGCTCTTACTACTGTGCCAAATAAGAGTGATTGAAAGTGTTGGTCTTTTTTTTGTTTTTTTACTTTTAATTTTTAGACACAGGGCCTTGCCCTGTTGCCCAGGCTAGAGTGTAGTGGCACAATCATAGCTCACTGCAGCCTCGAACACCTGACCTCAAGCATTCCTCCCAACTCAGTCTCCCAAAGTGTTGGGATTACAGGTCTGAACCACTGTACCCAGCCTATGTCAAAATCTTTAAAATACCAGCTGATGGCGGCCGGGCACGATGGCTCACACCTGTAATCCCACCACTTTGGGAGGCCAAGGCAGGTGGATCGCTTGAGCCTAGGAGTTCAAGACCAGCCTGCCCAACATGGTGAAACCTCGTCTCTACTAAGAACACAAAAATTAGCCAGGCGTGGTGGCACGCTTATGTAATCCCAGCTACTTGGGAGGCTGAGGCACGAGAATTGCTTGAACCTGGGAGGCAGAGTTTGCAGTGAGCTAAGATTGTGCCACTGCATTCCAGCCTGGGCAACAACAGAGTGAGACTCTGTCTCAGACACACACACACACACACACACACACACACACACACACACACACCCATCTGATTGGGGTTTTGGGTTTTTGTTTTAGTTTTTGAGACAGGGTCACACACACACACACACACACACACACACACCCCCAGCTGATTGGGGTTTTGGGTTTTTGTTTTAGTTTTTGAGACAGGGTCTTGCTCTGTCACCCAGGCTGGAGTGTAGTGGTGAGATCTTGGATCACTGCCACTTCTGCCCCCAGGCTCAAGCGATTCTCCCACCTCAGTTTCCCTGAGTAACCAGGACTGCAGGTACATGTCACCATGCCTAATTCTTGCTTTTGTTTTTTGAGATGGGATTCCATTCTGTTGCCCAGGCTGGAGTACAGTGGTGCAATCACAGCTCACTGCAGCCTCAATTTCCCCAAGCTCAGGTGATCCTCCCACCTCAGCCTCTTGAGTAGCTGAGACTACAGGTGGGCGCCACCATGCCCGGTTTATTTTTATTTTTTTTTTTTGAGACTGGATCTCACTTTGTCACCCAGGCTGGAGTACAGTGGCAGTCATAGCTCATTGCAGCCTCAACCTCCAGGGCTCAAGTGATTCTCCCACGTTGGCCTCCCGAATAGCTGGGACCACAGATGTGTGCCACCACACTTGGCTAATATTAAATTTTTGTAGAGATGGAGTCTCACTATGTTGCCCAGGCTGGGCTGATTGGTTTTGAAGGAAGTAGGGAAATAAACTTTTCTTCTATTTAGAAATACTATAATCTGGTATTCTGAATAATATTTTAAGAAGTGGCTTATTAAAAACTGAAGGGAATGTACACTAGCTTCACTTCTTTTCTTTTTTTCTTTTTTTTTTTTTTCCCCGAGACAGAGTTTCACTCTTGTTGCCCAGGCTGGAGTGCAATGGTGCAATCTCGGCTCACTGCAGCCTCTGTCTCCCAGGTTCAGGCAATTCTCCTTCCTCAGCCCCTCAAGTAGCTGGGATTACAGGCATGCGCCACCACACCTGGCTAATTTTTGTATTTTTAGTAGAGATGGGATTTCACCATGTTAGTCAGGCTGGTCTCGAACTCCTGACCTCAGGTGATCCACCCACCCGGCCTCCCAAAGTGCTGGGATTACAGACATGAGCCACCGTGCCCGGCTGCTTTATTTCTTAATGGAGCTTGCCAAATAAAGAACTTGAGTTCTAGTAATATTAGCACTTTCAAAGACATAAACTAAGATCCGTTGTGGCTTTTGTGAAGTTTTACTGATAGTTATTACAATGTTAACTAGACTCCACATACTTTTTAAATCAAAGCATATTTTTAAAATTGTTAATTTAATGGTGGGTTGATGTTCTTTCTTAATACCTTTTCATTTTCTTTTTGGCAACATTTTACTTTCCAGACGTGGATTAGTCGCTATCAAAATTTTATTCCTAAAATGTTTGGAAAGTGGAAATAGCTGTGGAAACTGTGAATAGTCAGTAAGGTAGCAGGATTCAAATTATTTTTTCCAGTATTGACATTTAGAATGTCATGTTGGACATTTAAAATTTTTCTGGTTTGTAGCCTCATTACTGTATAGAAATCAACTACCAGATGAGTAGTTGACAGACACAGCTAGCTTGGTTGCTTGCTTGCTGTTCTTGCCGCCGCCGCCTTCTTCTTTTTTTTTTTTTTTTTCTTTTTTTTTGAGGCAGGGTTTGGCCCTGTTCCCCAGGCTGGAATGCAATGGTGTGATCTCAGCTCACTGCAACCTCTGCCTCCTTGGGCTCAAGCCACCCTCCCACCTCAGCCTCTCCAAGTAGCTGGGACTACAGGTGTGCGCAACCATGCCTGGCTAATTTTTTGTAGAGATAGGATTTCACCATGTTGCTTAGGCTGGTCTTGAACTCCTGAGCTCAAGAGATCCTCTCTCCTCAGCCTCCTAATGTGTTGGGATTACAGGCCTGATCCACTGTGCCCAGCCCAGGCTTTCTTAATTTCTGAGTTTGCTGAAATGGGCCCTAAGGCTGAGGATGCCTTCTGAGATTGGTGGAAGCTACTGATATTTCCTTGTCACTTTAGGCTCAATTGCTGTATAAGTTATAATAAGATAGAGTAGATTAAAGGATTTATTTGTAAGTAGATGTGTTCTGTCTTTTACAAAACCTACCCCACTTTATTGATAAAGAATTGGAAAGCGCCCTGTTTTAACTAAAATGTTGATTGCTTCTGCAGATGTCTAATATCATATTTATATTTTTTATTAAATTCAAGTTGAGATAAGGCAATGACCTTTTCATCTTATTATATACGGAGGAACTTGAATAGATATATTGTAAGCTATCATAAGTAATACTTAAAATATATTAAAATTCAGGTCAGCCACAGCATTCATACAGATTATTATCTATTCTGTAATAAACTAAAGACTGTTTCTCTGGGTCTTTAAGCAGAATTGAGCTCTGAATCTAGTTTATTATTGTCAGATTATTATTTTAATCATGCTTATAACAAATGGTGACTTAAACTGTTGCTATAATGTTTACATTATGTTAGGATAATAAAACTTATTAAATTATGAAGTTCTTGTACATTTAAAAGTCTATCTTATATATTTGTTATGCAAATCAATAGATATGTATCAGGTAAACTAGAAATTCTAGTTAGAAAAAATCCTTTTTGTGTCTTGGTTTTTGAAGATACTTAAAAGGTGAAAGGAATTTCTGATTACCATTTTAACATGTTTAGATATGGGCTTTTTAGTTTCAATAGAAACATCTTTTCCTAGATTATCTTGCTGGTATTAAGTTGTTAAATTTTGCTACGCTTTATTTTGAAGTTTTACTGTCTTGTAAAACTCCATATTTTTACATAGTTTTACTGTCTTGTAAAATTCCCTATTTCTTAGGTTGATAGAAATGGCAAAACAAGTTAACTTGCTTAAGCTTAGCTTGCTTAACTGTCAATTGATGTATGTTTAAATGAATTTGAAGTTGTTTCAGAATTCTACTTAAAACAGTATGTTTATTCTAGCTTTTATCATACACTAAGTATTTATTTATTTGAGATGGAGTCTCACTCTGTCACCCAGGCTGGAGTGCAGTGACGTGTCTCTATTTTAGTAGAGACGGGGTTTCGCCATGTTGGCCAGGCTGGTCTCTAACTCCTGACCTCAAGTGATCGGCCTGCCTCAGCCTCCCAAAGTGCTGGGATTACAGGCATGCGCCACCGCGCCCAGCCCCAGTCTATATACTAAGTATTTAAAAAGAAGTACTCAGTTGTTAATCAAAATAATATGATTTGGAAAAATGTAAATTAAACCTCAGAGTCCTAGAGTCAAACTGGTTTTGAATTTCCTGTTCTTTACTAGACATGTGATCTTAGGTGAGTTAGTTCACCACTTTGTGCTTTAGTTTCCTTATCAAGTAAAGTTGTGATAATAATATTCCATATATGATAGGGTTATGCTAAAGATTGAATGAGGCAATATATATAAAATGCATAATACAGTGCATAATAATAATGCACACAGTGGCAAGTTCCTGTAGTTCCAGCTACTTGGGTAGCTGAGACAGGAGGATTGCTTGAGCCCAGGAGTTCGAGGCTGTAGTGTGCCGTGATTGTACCCGTAACTAGCCACTGCATTCCAGCCTGGGCATCATAGGAAGACCTTGTTTCTCTTTTTTTAAAAGCATAATACATTACCTACCATATACTAAGCTCTCAGTAAGTTAAAAATTAAAACAAAAAGTTATGAATATTTACCTGTAACCAACTTTGTAAGTGAAGGTATTAATACATTGGAGTTTATCTCTTGAATTTTAATTTAAAAAAAGGAAGGAGGATATTTATGGCACTAAACTCTATTTCCTGCGAAAATTTTTGAAGAAACAAATGAGGAGAAGGTCTTCAGTTTTAATAATGCAGGAATAAACATACATGATAATGTAAATTGGAAAGAACTTTTGCTTTTTTGTTCACCTGTTCTATGATATGCTTGCTGTAGTCTGGAGTTAATTTCCACACTTGCTATTTAATGTAAACATTGTTTTTCTATTTGTAGGAAAGATTTTCCCTTTTGATCTCTCACATATTATCTTCTGAATTAAAGTTCTCTAGAGAACTGTTTACCAAAGGGAAAGAAAAAGACTATTAACATCTGGTTACTTTTCTGATATTAGTACAGAACATGACATAATGCTATCATTTCCATTAGGATTAGCTTTTAAAGAAAGATTGGACTAAATTTTTCATCTGAATGAAAAATCGGAGATTTATGTTTCTTAATTTCTCAGTGGATATTCCATAGGCGTGTCGAGTATGGAACCATATTCAGGATGTTTTGTTCTATATTTTTAATTTTCTATTGAAATAATTTTAGACTTACCAAAAGTTGCAAAAATTTAGTACACAGGCTTGGTGTGGTGGCTCATGCCTGTAATCTCACCATTTTGGGAGACTGAGGCAGGCACATTACTTAAGCCCAGGAGTTCAAGACCAGCCTGGGCAACATGATGAAACTCTGTCTCTACAAAAATTAGCCAAGCATGGTGGTGTGTCCCTGTAGTCCCAGGTACTAGTGAGGCTGAGGTGGGAGGTTCGCTCGTCAGGGAAGTGGACATTGCAGTGAGCCACGATTGTTTCAGCGCATCCTAGCCTGGGCGACAGAGCCACACCCTAAGTACATACATACATACCTACACACACACACACACACACACACACGTATTTCACACAGAATTCCCATATACCTGTCACCCAGCTTTCCTTAATGTTTGTATCATGTATAACCATAGTACAGAAGTCAGGAAATTAATACCAACTACTCTAGGCATTTTTGAATTTTGACCTTGTCTACTAAATGATCTTTTTCTGGTCCAGGATCCAGTTTAGGAATTCATATTGTACTTGGTTGTCATATCTCCTTAATCTCCTTTAATCTAGGCCTGCTCTTCATTCTTTCTTTCCTTTCATGACTTTGACACTTTTGAAGAATACTAGGTAGTTTCATTGGTCCTTAATCTGTGCGTTTTTGGCAAGGATATGACAGAAGTGATGGTATATTCTTATTAGTAGATAAGGAGGTACATGATTGTGATCCATCCCATTATTGGTGATGTCATCTTGATCATTTGGTTAAGGAGGTGCCTGCCAGGTTTCTAAACTATCAAGTTACTGTTTTTCACTTTGTAATTAACACATGTCTTGGGAATATTTTGAGACTGTGTAAATAATCTTATTTCTCATCATACTTCCATTAATTTTAGTATCCATTGATGATTCTTGCTTGATCAGAATCTTTTACATTTAATTATTTAACATCTTTTTTTGTTTCATTGACTGATACATTATTTTCCTTGTCATAAATGGATAAAGACCCAAAGGAATTAATGTAAAGGCAGCCTAATTCGCAAAACGTAAGTGGTTTTGTTGCTATGGTCTTTCTTTTCTTTTTTATCTATTTGTATTTGTATTTTTATTTATTTATTTTTTTTTTTGAGACGGAGTCTCGCTCTGTCACCCAGGCTGTAGTGCAGTGGCGCGATCTTGGCTCACTGCAACCTTTGCCTGCTGGATTCAAGTGATTCTTGTGCTTCAGCCTCCCAAGTAGCTGGGATTACAGGCATGCACCATCACACCTGGCTAATTTTTGTATTTTTAGTAGAGACGGGGTTTCACCATGTTGGCCAGGCTGGTCTTGAACTCCTGGCCTCAAGTGATCCACCCGCCTTGGCCTCCCAGAATGCTGAGATTACAGGTGTGAGCCAGCACGCCTGGCCTGGTCTTTCATGTTTTCTGAGTTTTCTAAGTGCACTCTTATGAACGTAACGCAACCCAAGATCCTAGAATGAAAAAATACAGTAGGAAGATTATCCTTTTTTTTTTTTTTTTCAGTACCTTATAGGTCCAAAATGTGCTGCTGGCCATTATAAGAATAAAGCTAAATATTTCATGCTAGCAAGACGAAGAAGACACTAGCGAGGTAAAAGTAATGGATAGGTTAATTATGAAAAAAGTATTTGTTAGAGCAATTTAGAGATCTTCTTAAAATTACTAAGGTTTTTTTAATGACATATACTAGCCTTTTTCACTTTAAGGAGTCAGTGGCAAATTTAAGCTTTATTTATTTATTTATTTTTTGAGACAGAATCTCGCTTGTTGCCCAGGCTAGAGTGCAGTGGTGTGATCTCGGCTCATTGCAACCTCCACCTCCCGGGTTCAAGCGATTCTCTTGCCTCAGCCTCCCACGTAGCTGGGACTACAGGCGTGTGCCACCACACCCGGCTGATTTTTGTATTTTTTATTAGAGATGGGTTTTACCATGTTGGCCAGGCTGGTCTTGAACTCCTGACTTCAGGTGATCCGCCTACCTTGGCCTCCCAAGTGCTGAGATTTCAGGCGTGAGCCACTGTGCCCTGCCAAATTTAATCATTTTTATATTTAGTTTTCTTGACCCTTAGGTTGCCTTATCCTTTTTTATAGTCAATATAGTTTATGCAACTGTGTTTCTATGATTGCCTTTTATCTTTTATTCTATAGTGAATTAACTACTCTAAAATATATATATTGTAGATTGTTTCTTTTTCATCTGTTTTACTTCATCTTCTACCTCAGTGGAGCATGAACACATTTGGGTTATCTGTTGGTTGTCTTTTAACAAATACTTGATATTTATATCTAGTGGACTAACTTGAATACCGGTAACATTTTCAGATGGTATATTTTCCAAAAGGTTGAAGAGAAAATATACAGATAATGGAATTTGGCTAGATGTTGAGCTCTAAAAATGCTTTAATAGTTAGGTTTTTCTGTTTTCATTACAGCTTTCTTCTCTTTTAGGAAATTACTGTCCATGATTAAGCACATATCCTCTTGATGGTATTCAGCCCCTTAAGTTCAGACTTCCTTCCCGTTGGTTTTTTTTTTTTTTAATTAAAAAAAAAATTCTTTTTAACACACAACTTTGCTCAGAGTCTTCCCTATTTTTTTTCAAAAAATGTGTATTCCATTTGATAATACACACAAGATTTATGGTTTAGAAATAATCTTTACCTCCAGTGTCAGTACAATACCTTAGTTAACTAATTCCGAAGAACTTGGGTGGGTTTTTTTTTTTTGCCTTTTTGTTTTGTTATCGGGTAAGATCTCTCCCTTTTTGAAATTGGATATTCTGGCAGTATCTGGTTTTTGTACTACTTTTAAATCTCTGAAAAAGAATATTAGAAATCTGTAATTGTTGCAATTTGGCTAACATTTGTATCATCTCTCAGGATAATACCTTTGAAATTTCTGCTAACTATACTAAAAAATTAATCCTTAGAAGTTGACGACCCCAAAAAGAGATGGATACATGAAAGTTTATTTTTTATTTTTTATTTTTTGAGACGGAGTCTTGCTGTGTCACCCATGCTGGAGTGCAATGGCACAGTCTCAGCTCACTGCAACCTCTGCCTCCCAGGCTCAGGCGGTTCTCCTCCTTCAGCCTCCCGAGTAGGTGGGACTACAGGTGAGCGCCACCATGCCCAGCTAATTTTTTGTATTTTTAGTAGAGACAAGGTTTCACCATGTTGGCCAGTCTGGTCTTGAACTCCTGACCCCAGGTGATCGGCCCACCTCAGCTTCACAAAGTGCTGGGATTACAGGCGTGAGCCATGGTGCCTGGCCGAAAGTTATACTTTTGATAAATTTTTTGTTTTCTTTAGGATTAGAAAGTTGAACTTTTTAGTGTCTACTTTAGATATCGGCCACTTGACAAAATTCTCCTTTGTTTTTTGATCAGTAACTTATTTGTAAAGCATTTACTGAGTTACCTATTCCGTGTGCCAAGCACTTTTCTAGGGTCTAGAGATAAAAGACACACTGCTTCTGTTAAGCATGTTCTTTCCTTTTCTTCTTACTGCCAGCTAGGACTGTTTTGGATACTTAGAGGAATTTGTGAAGAATTTGTTTTCTTTGTAGAAGTGCCTTAGAACCAGTATGAATGGGTGATAATAGGTAAAGAATAAAAAGATACTTCCAATGTATGTAGAATGTCCAGGTTAATGAATAATCGGTAAATTTATAAACCATTAAGTTCAACTTTAGATCAGTCAGTTGTAGCACATTTGAGTAGAAATCAGTCTTTGTAGAAACATAGTGCCTTCTATTTCATAGCTTAAATAGGTGTAGCCTTCCCTTATGCTTAGATATTAGAAATGCTTAAAACTAATAAGCTGTGTATGCTCATTTCATAATTTAATATTGAGAACAAATATTGCAAACAGCCTAATTTGATGTACTTCTCATAAAATTTTCTCAGTGGTATTTATATATAAAATACTGCTTCTGATTTGAATATACATGGATTTTCAGTAAGAATCTTTAAAAATTTCATTATTTACAGAAAATGTTAAAATGATTTCATTGATGTACTGGTAGGTTAATAGATCTATAACAGCCATTTGAGGTAGCAGCTTAGCATTGCTGATTTTGTTAGCTTTGGTTTGAAATTTTTTCTCTAGTGGTTGAAATGTAAGTCTTGCAGTGTAATAAATATTTCTCCCTCTTAAAATATCACATAGAAGAATGTTGTCCACTAAAATAGAATTAGGTAAGGGCTTCCTGTATCATTTTTAGGAGCTTCCATCAATAATATTCTCACAAAGGCTGCACTTTCTTTTTCAAATAATGACCCCATTTTGAAAGCATCTTTACATTTTTTATATAAATGATACATTATCAAATTCAGAGTCTTCATAAATTATTAACTCTTAAAGCAAGCTCTCTTTACCAGCTCTCCTCAGTGATTTCAAAATAATTTCTACTTAGAGAAATCTGCTTATTCATTTCTGAGTATGAGTGTTGAATTATTATGTTTTGGTACTTCAGGCAAAATAAAGAAGTTATATTCTGAAAGCGTTCTGACTTAGGGGAAGTTTGTAAAGATTCATTTTCTCCAGTGAGCTCTCATATTTAACTTGTTGTGTAACTTAACCTTCGGACATTTGGTTTTTTAAATCTAAGTTTGTTGTACTTTTTATCTATATTATACTGTGGTGTGTGATAAATAAAGATTTGGATGCATTTAACGTAAAGTTCCTGTTGTAGGAGAAATTCTAAATTTAGACCAATATTAATCTGAGCAAGATCTGGTTTTTTGTGAGTTGTTTTTCATTTTCAAAGTGAAGTAGGCCTGTAAACTTAAAAATGAAAATTACGAGGTGTATTTCCTATATCAAAATGTACCTCTTTCTTTTTGCCTGTATTTTCACTCACCTATATATTATTATGGATTAGTATTCAAGAACTGAAGGAAAACTATTGGAAAGTTAACTATTGAAAACGACTGGAAAGGAAACTAAAGGAAATTTGGAAAATCGTATCTTAATTATAATTTCTGAATAGGTTTTAAACTATTTTAAAGTAGTTAAGTTTTACTTAGATTTCATTAATTTAGAAATCTTAGATAATTTTCATGGTTGATATTGAGCTATTACTATATGAAAAAGAATAATTTGTCAAGGAAATTGATTAGAAAAGGCTAGAGGATGATTGTTTAATAAATAATTTTTAAAGCACTTTTATAGCACCTATTTGCACCATATAGGTACTGTGAAAATGTATGTAGATAGCTCCAACGTACTGATTTTAAGCCTTTTTCCTCTGTTAAAGAGCCACTCCTTAACAACTCCAGCTGTGGAATGCTTTGTTAATCTACTAGGGTGTTTTAGACTCTTGAAACTACTTAATTAGATTGCATTTGTTAAGATTCAGCATTCAGATCCTTTTTCTAATCTGTGCTCCTTTCTTCTTATCATCCATCATATACCTCCTCATTGTGATTATACTGTAAAATACTTTTTAAAGCCTACTGATCTAAAGATACAGTCTTTTAAATACTAAAAGGCTTTTGGACTTAAAATCTGTTGGAAGCTTAAATTGAAAAAATAGCTGCCACTTTAGGTGCATAAAGTACTTTCATAATTATTTGATACCTCTTGTTAGATGGCAGTTTCACCTTCTTCTTTCCAGTTTCTTTTTTCTTTTCTTTAATATTTGGTAATTGCAGATTTGATGGTTAAATTCATAGGTTTTCTTTACTTAGGCCAAACTGTCATTTCTCATTTGTACAGAATTGGATATGTCCCTGTGCAGAAGGGTTAGCTCATTCTTTTCATCTTTAAGCTTTTAAAATTACTTAGTCTAAATGTTGTTAGGTAATGGAATAACCATTCCTTTTCAGCTTTTGGTACATTTCCAAACTGGCTGGCAGAGCCAGGAGGAAGTGAAGGCATTAGAAACACTAACTTTGGTTGGTTGCTACCGTCTTAGTGCTGAGACTATAACCTTTGTTGGTTGATTGATAGAGAACAAGAGAACACAATCCTCGTTCCACTAACAGGTAAGGAACCCTTGTGATAACTAGTTGGTATGAGAGGGAGATTACTTGATAGCATTTCATAAAAACTTTATCCCAAAATATAACATGTCCTAGAAATAGGATACTGTGACTGACTGTACTCCGTAGAACAAGGATACGCAGCACCTTTATATTTAGAATAAGATCTGAAATTTAATAGGGATGTATTACTCTGTACCACAAAGCATAATTGATCTGTTTTCCAAAGGCAACACTGTTAAAATTTATCCTGCAGTCCCTGTAACTTTAAATATGTATCTGCCTATCTTATTCTCCTTTCAGCTTTTCCTTGATCAGATGCTATGTGCTTTGAACTTCCTTCTCTTATTTATTCCTATAATAAAGCTAACTATTTTCTAGTATCTTTGCCATCATCTATAATTTGGGTATATCTTACTGCTTTAATTTCTATGTTATAGCCATTAATGATTATTCCTGGTTCTTCTTGACCCAAAAGAAAATGATTATGCATTTTAAAAAGGATTTTGAGTCTGTATTGCCTATATCCACTATTCTGCCTTCCCAGTTTTAAAGCTGAGTGCTTGAAGAATAAATCTTTTCAGTGACAGTAGTCATAAGCTTTCATAAAATATAGGCTTAGCTTTGTATTGCTATAATATGGGCCTATAGTGTGATTAATTCTTTAAGTTAATGAAGACTTGAACTCAGAGAAGAAATTCAGCTTCTTAGACTTTCCCAAAGTTTAGTAGTATTCCTGTTAATATACTTGGTTTTTTCTGTTTCTACTTTTCAGTCCATCTTCTTTTCTTTGACAGAAGAATTAACTGGGACTCCTCCTTTGATATATCTGAGGTTGTGTGCCTTTTCCCTGTCCCTTAAAGACAACTATGATCTTGTTTCCAGTCATAATTTATCATTTTTGATTTGGTCTTCCACTCAGAGTTGAGTGGTTTATCACAGAGTGTGTTATGGCTTAGACCAATACAGGTCCCTTCTTAATAGTTACTGAGGAATTAATCATTTGTGGTGACAGACTTCTAAAATTCAAATTAAGAAGGCACTAAAGAAAGTATGCCCAAAGGTAGCTCCTTTTTATCCTGAGGATTAAGCCATTACAAACTCAAATGACCAGAGAATGTAATTTCTTAATAAGAATTTTTCCTTAAATCTATATTCAGCTCTCTATTTCAGTGCTTCTCTCCTACCAGAGGTGCAAGGAGTGATCCTAGAACCACAGATACAGCCAAGACCACGGAGAGCTTTTGACGTCAGGGGTCCACTTTCTCCACTGAACCCTTGGAGACAGAATATCCAGCTTCTGGAGAGAGTGGGAAAGGATAATAAACAAGTGGGTGCTTTCCATTATTTACTTGGGTTAATTTATAGATTGGAGTGTCCTTCCATTGCCCATTTAATTCTGTGGTAAACTCCTTGGGTTCATTTAAGAACCAGGTGGGACTGCAATCTGTTTTGTTTTTCTGAGAATGCTAACTAGTACTCATTCAAAAATGAGACCTAAAATTTAATTTTCTCTCCAGATAATTAAAGCAGTGGATGATTTGGGGCACATGATTTGACGAATGCCTATGTAGTCCACAGGAATTTTAAAACGGGAATATCTACCCATTTTGGCCTTTGTGGTATTAGTGGACTTCTAAGTGCTCTTTTATATTCAAGTAATTTAAAAGGTTCTGTATTTCATCTTTGGGCAAACTGGACATTTGAAGTCTAATTTATACAGTCACATGTCCAAGTGTTATCCTACACTGTTAGTGAGAACCTTTTGGTCTTCTTCCTACCTCAAATGTTAGGACTTCATATTAGATCTTTTAAAAGATGCAATGATAGTACTATTATGGTTTTACTGTCAATTCTAGGCTCCATTCTTTAATAAAACATAAGTATGAATGAATGTAAGTTTCAGGATACAGTATCCCTGAAAGCTATGTTTAATATACTCAAAAGTCATTTTCTAGTCCCTAGGAATAAATATTTATGGTAAAAGAACCCTTTCCTAGATTTCCCCCATGGCATTAAGATGGTTTTCTCTTAGTTTCTTTGATGCCAAGGGTAGGATTTGATTCCAGGAAGTTCTTATCACCTACAATGGGTAGAATGTGAACTTGTTACCTTTGGCAAGTTTTCATTTTTCCTTGGTGGATTCCTTCTGTGACTCCAGGTATCTTGATAATGGGAGACTGGTTTATTTGTTCTTTAATTGCCCAGATTTCTTTCAACTGGTAAAACATCATACTTCTTCAGCAAAAGGAATTCTTCTAGCAGAGCCTTCATGGATGATATCTGTCACACATGCCAGCACCTGCAGTTTGGAAGGCAGTGGTGAATGGATCCATGCAATATGTCTAGAAGACACAAGGATGAGCCAGCCACCTGATCTTGTCATTTATAAACTTTTAAGAATTACTCTGGTTTACTTTTGGTCTGAAAATGGAAAGGCCCAAATAATGAAATAATCTTTTCAGATTGGAATTTTACATGGCCATGAAAATATTTCTTTCTATTCAGAAGACTGAAATAGAGGAAGCTTGAGAGACTCCTTTCTTTTAAAAGCGGCTCTCTGTATCTGTTTCATTTAAAACATTTGTGGGATTGAAAATCACCTTAATGAAGTAGGCAAACATTTTTTTAAGTAGTAGAGGAAGTCCAGAAAACTTAATGAAATGGTTTTTTTTGTTGCCTGACACTGAAAGTAACTAGTAAATAAAGGGTGAACTTCTTAATTATTCGAAAACTGCTTTTAATATTAGGATATACTCTTTTAGCTCATCTTCGCTGGTCTTGAGGCTTATTATAATTGTCAAATCAACAAAGTTTCTAATAGAGAAGTAGAAGAAATATCTTTTGAGATGTAAGTAGCTTGGTCTGTCTTCTAAAGTAATACATACCTGTTAAACTTGAGGTATTTTTTTCATACTGAAGGCATTCTAAAGTTTGGTACTGTCACAAAACAGTAGTTTACAGAGCAGAAGCACTTAGTATTAGAATAAGCCTGTAGGTGTGAAGGAATAAGTGTTGCAAAATAGTTATTTATCCAAGCTGTCAATTAATTGATTGAAGTAGTTATCAAAATGTTTCTGTTTCTTTCTTTGGTATCTATTAACTGGTCAGTCAAAAGCTATTAAAGAATGTTTTTAAAGTCACCTAATGCTGCCAGTTTGTTAAATTTGGTATACATTTTAAGAATAGACATTCTAGAGTTATTAATATGGAAGCAGCTAAAATGTTTTAGGAAATCTCAAAAGTTTTAGAAGCCACATTTGCTAAAGCATAACCTGCACTTAGTCTTTCTTGGCTATCTGTATTTTTTTCTCATTAATTATAAATAAATTTTTGTTAAGTATAGTATTTAAAAGTAAGTTTAAAGGTTCAATTTGAACTGAAATTTCCCCAGAGAGCTTTGAATTCCCATAAGTGATTACAGCTTTTACTCCCGACTTGTTTTTAGTAAATGTTAATAAGACAATTGGTTTACAAACACATATAAATTAAAAAAAACAACTGTCCATCGTTTTAGGAAGAACTGAAGGAACTAAAAATGATATTTGCTTGGAAATTAAGTTAGTTGAACTCTTTGAACCACAGTAGAAACCGCTTTGTGTGGCCTGTGAGATTATAAGCTTTTTGTTTCAGCTTTGAAGATGAAAAGTGATTTAATCTCTTAATCTCATGCTTTGATTGAATTTTAGCTCTGTTCCTTAAAATATGCAAAAGGAAATGTAAGTGCATTTCTAGTCACCTCATGCCACTACAAGCTATTTATTTAAAAGTGAAACTTTTTGTATATTATTGTGAACTGATTTGTTTATTTAAACTTTTATTTTGGTGAATTTACCTTTGAGTTTTTTTATATTTTATGTCACAAAATGAAGTCCTATATTTTTCAGTGTTTATGAATATTAATATAAACTATTTTTTTCTAGAATGACTAATTGTGTAATATCTGTATTATGTGATAATTTGAAATCTAATAAATATTTTCTCCATGAAAAAAATGCACTTACTGATAATGGCTTATTTCTGTTTCAGGAGTAGAAAGTGAAAACTGCAACAGTATTTTTAAATGTATTTTAATTTTCTGTGTCTTTCTCTAAATATTTCTGAATATGTATTCTTTCTGTGTGTTAGTTTTTTTTGTTTTTTTTTTTTTTTTTTTTTTTTTTTTTTTTTCAGAAAAATACTTTTTTGAACTGTTAAGGTGATTCTTCGTGGGGGTCACCAGTGAATGTATGAAATAGGTGATCTGTTTTGTATGTTTTTGCATTTTCCTGATTAGCATCATCTTTCCTGATTAGTTTCCAGAATTGGACTTTTTTAGATGCAATTTTTGTACCTCAATTTTGCAAACCATTAAAACTCTCTTGAGTTAATACTGTAAATATCAAGAGTAATTTGACCAAGTCTTTTAATGCTAGATTGATCAAAATATAACTCTTACAGAATAGCATCCAAAAACAGTTCCTTTACCCAGAAGAACATTTGAAAATAATGGCTGATTAGAGAACTATGCAATTCATAAGAACTGTTGAAATGAAAAATGTTTTGTATTTTAGTGTTCTACTTGCGCAAATAATTGTAGTGGGAGAAATCTTGGCCTCATAGTCTCTTGTTTTTAAATCTTATCAAGACAGCATGGAGAAGGGTAATATTTAGTTTTATTGATTCTTGTTTTTATAGCTACATAATTTTACTTAATTGAAGCCACAGGAACAATTTACCTTTTCTATGCAGGATTTGCTTAGAAGCAAGAGGATTTCCTTTCAGATTTGAAGAAAAGTTATTGAAGAAATGGACCCCCAAAATTAAAAATAACATTAAGATGGGGTCCTAGGCAAGAAGTAAAAATTGAATTAATGACAATTGGTGGATTAAAATGTAATAATTTGGCTCCCCAAAGAAATTAATACTCTGAAAGAAATCAAATTTCTAAAAGGCAGTTATGATTTAGAATAGCTGTTGTATTGGGGGTGGGGGAAAGGAAGCTAACATTCTTGGCTTTATTAACCTGGTAAGTTTGGAAAAAAAGTAAAGATTCTGTGCACAAAATTTTGTTTTTAGAATTAAAGCTATTAAAAGGTTTACAGACACAGTATATTTCAATGAAAGGCTGTATTTTATTTGAATATAAAAAAAATCTATAAGCTTTTCCTATATGTGTATGAAAGGGTAGGTTGGGCATGGAAGTTAAAATACACCCTGCATTGGAAACCTGAAAAATATTGCAAAGATAATGGTGACATGAGTTTTTAAAAAGTAATTTTTAAAACATAGACTCTCCTCTACATCATCAGTAACCTTCAAAATAAAAATACTACAGAATGTTGAATTTGGCTTACCATTGTATTTTTGAGGTATAGGAACATAGGCTTATGGTTTCACCATCACTGACGAGGTTAACTATAGTATAAAAATCTGTTTTGATTGTTCTTTAGTAAGGAAACAAATGGTTTTTTTTGTTTGTTTGTTTGTTTGTTTTTTGTAGCTTCTGTTTAAAAAAACATGACAAGCAGTGTGACTGCAAAGTCCTGACTTTATAGGTTATTGTAAATATGTACACAGATCTTATTTTCTTTGCCATATTGAAATACTCTGACAAATGTCAGTGCTTAGA
This sequence comes from Homo sapiens, assembly GCF_000001405.40. NCBI lineage: Eukaryota > Metazoa > Chordata > Mammalia > Primates > Hominidae > Homo > Homo sapiens. The sequence continues at coordinate 44,535,485 of NC_000013.11, read as the reverse complement.
TGTCCTAAGCAATTTTTTTACTTTATTTTTATCCAGGTATTTTTGTTTCCCTTTAAAAATATTTCATAGTAATTTAGTCCTAAAATGTGAAAGACTTGTTTCAAAATTCAGCACTTAGGTACTCTGGAGTGTTTTTTCCACTAATATGTACATCTAAGGTAATTAGATTACTGCATTAAAAATGTTAGTGAACTTTGAAGTATTCATCGGAGTTTTCAGGAATTATGATCAAAGGGATCTCTGCTGAAGAGGTAAGGTATGGCATAGGTAGAAAAATATTCAAAATATGTTTAATGTTTGGATTATAATGTAAACTACAACAGGTATCCTTGGGTTTTCAGATAGATGGAGAATTAGGAAAATAATTTTTCTTAAAACTCTCAGAGAAGTGAAATTGATAAACCACAAATTTGTTTTTGTGTGGCTTTGGAGTGCATTTAGAAACATGTCCACAGACATTGTACTCTGTGTATATGTAGCCTCCAATATTCCAAGGCATTTCCTACCCCTGCTCTCAGCATTTATGATTCATATTTAATTTCTCAAGCCTGAGCACTGTAAAAATACTGTACTTTGGTAAGTTGAGTATATATTTCATGAGATTATTGCCTGGAATATTTTTGGCAAAATTTTTGCAGATTTTGGCAAAGCAAAAGGAAAGTACAATCTCCTTTTGGCTGTTTGTATTAAAATCTAGAACTTAGAAAACAATTGCTTGACTTAGAACTTTTATTTTGGTTTGAGAAATTAAGGAATTCTGTAAATGTTTACTTAGCACTGTAACTCGGAAGTCTTGTACTGAGGATCAAGAAATAATATTGTTGCCTGGTATATAAAATAATTGACAGGAGAAAGTGATATACTATTATTCTCTAGGGAATATTAAGTAGGTTCAAAGGGTTGTGTTAGGATAATAGCATATCTAGAAACAAAGAAAAATGCAATATTGAATATGGACAAGATAGGAAAATAGATTAGGACTTTTCCCCCTAGAATTAAATTACTAGTGTAATTTACTCAATAAAGGATAACATCGAAAAATGCAGTAATCCTGCATCATGTTTTTGAGTTCTTTAAAAAGAACTGCTAGTGGACATTTTTGGCTTTTTTTTTTTTTTTTTTTTAAGACGGGGTCTCACAGTGTCACCTAGGCTGGAGTGCAGTAGCACCATTATAGTTCACCAAGTGATCCTCTCGCCTCAGTTTTTTCTGCTACAGGCGTGCACTGCCATGTCTGCTTTTTTTTTTTTTTTTCTCCTTGAGACAGGGTCTTACTCTGTCGCTCAGGCTGCAGTGCAGTGGCTCAATCCTGGCTTACTGCAGCCTCGAACTCCCCAGGTTCAGGTGATCCTCCTACCTCAGCCTCTCAAGCTGGGACTATAGGTATGCACCACCATACCCAGCTAATTTTTGTATGTTTTTGCAGAGATGGAGTTTATGTCGCCCAGGCTGAGAAGTGATCCTCCCTCCTCAGTCTCCTAAAATGTTGAGATTACGGGCATGGGCTACTGCTCCTGGCCTGGCTTTTCTTAAAATAATTTGCTATTTATTCCACCTTACCTTTTGATGTAGAAAAAGTGATAATGTGAATCAACATGCCATCATTACCTTTGCTAAGTCCTTTGTGATAGAACTTGGCATTTCATAGCTGATTCCATGTACATTCAGGATACTATTTTTGTTTGTTTGTTTGTTTGTTCTGGAGACAAGAGTCTCGCTCTATTGCCCAGGCTGGAGTGCCATGGGGCAACCTCAGCTCACTGCAACCACCACCTCCTGGGTTCAAGTGATTCTCCCACCTCAGCCTCCCGAGTACCTGGGATTACAGGCACCTGCCATCATGCTCAGCTAATTTATGTATTTTTGTAGAGATGGGGCTTCACCATGGTGGCCAGGCAGGTCTTGAACTCCTGACCTCAGGTGATCCACCCGCCTCAGCCTCCCAGAGTGCTGGGAAAGGATACTCTTTGCTAAGAAGTTGATTCAGAATTTGCTTCCATGCCTTTTTTTTTTTTTTTAATTTTATTTGATACAGAGTCTTACTCTTACCTAAGCTGGAGTGCAGTGGCAAGATCTCAGCTCACTGCAACATCTGCCTCCTGGGTTCAAGTGGTTCTCGCCTCAGCCTCGTGAGTAGCTGGGATTACAGGCACGGACCACCATGCCCAGCTAATTTTTTGTACTTCTAGTAGAGATGAGGTTTCACCATGTTGGCCAGGCTGGTCTCGAACTCCTGACCTCAAGTGATCCATCCACCTCAGCCTCCCAAAGTATTGGGATTACAGGCAGCGGCCATCATGCCTGGCTAATCATGCCCTCAAGTGAACCACCATGCCTGGCCCCCGCTCCCATGCCATTTTTACTTGAAAATTACTTTAGAATTCTCTAGTTTAGCACCCTTATTTTACATGCAAGATAATTGGTATCCAAAAATACCACATACGTTTCTAATACCACACTCTTTTAAACAAATTGTCTGTAGTACTCAAGTCTCTTCACTACCAGATGTACCACTTTACTACTTACTGCTGCTTGTTGATCCTAGTTTGAGACGACAGAGCAAGTCTGATCCCTTTCAAATGTGACAGCCTTCAAGATAGCTATTAATTTCCCATCAATTCCAAGCCCAAGTCTTCTACATATTAAGTATCCCCATATTCTTACCTCTTATTCATGTAGCATGCTTTTGAGATCCTTAAAGATTTTGTAGATCGACTGGGTGTGGTGGCTCACGCCTGTAATCCCAGCACTTCGGGAGGCTGAGGCAGGCGGATCACAGGTCAGGAGATCGAGACCATCCTGGCTAACACGGTGAAACCCCGTCTGTACTAAAAATATTAAAAAAATAGCCGGGCATGGTGGCGTGCGCCTATAGTCCCAGCTACTCGGGAGGCTGAGGCAGGAGAATGGCGAGGACCTGGGAGGCGGAGCTTGCAGTGAGCCGAGGTGGTGCCACTGCACTCCAGCCTGGGCGACAGAGCAAGACTCCGTCTCAAAAAAAAAGATTTTGTAGATCTTCTGTGAGCGCACTGCAGCTTCTGTTAGTGTGTGACACCAAACCAGCACATTACAGATGTGCTCTGCCTGGGCTTATAACACGTGACCTTATGTTACCTTTGGCCTGGAATACTCATACCGCTTTCTCCTTAAATATTTATCCAGTAAAGTGCTTGATTTTATGCATGTTGAGATTCTCCTAGGCAAAGAAATTATAGTGATATGAAAAAGTATTTTGTTTCTAAAAATTAGGCTAGTAGTCCGTATCTGCAAAGTATTTGTATTTTGCACAGCTTATAAAAGAAATTGACTCAGTGTTACAGCCACAACCTTGAGAAATCATAAATACAAAAGTACAGTCCCCATTTAAGTTATTTTCAGTTTGCTTTAATTCTGACTTTAAATTGTATATTAAATTGTGTAAACATAAAATGTTATTTTTCGGGTTGTATTTACTAATTTAAGGGTAACCAGGCTTGTTGGAGACACTTGTTATGTGACTGGTATTGAGAAGAAAATAAACTTGAGTTTAGTAACATAATTAAAATTAGTGGAAAAGTGTAGGACATATATCAAATAGCAGAAGATGGTGAAGAAGTAGTCCTGAAAGTTTGAGAATATGGCCTAAGTTCTAATTCAGGCACAGTCTTGTGTTGCATATTGAAATACAGTGCAAACATTCTGCTATAGCAACATTATTTTAGTATAATAGTGCTTTTAATTACCATTTAAAATATTTATCATTCCTCCCCCAAATCTTGAACTCCTGGAAGACATGAGGTGTTTTATTTATTTAATGGTTGCATGTACATCTAAGGGTATAGATACCCCAATTTGAGAAACACTGGTTGAGTTAGGATATATCCTGTCTTGCCTGATTTAGAAAGAATTTGGGGGAAAATAAGAACAAACATTTACATACCTACTAAGTGTACCTTTGCTAGATGCTTCAGGTATATTTACCTAATTTAATTGAGTTAACCTGTGAGAAAGGTGATAATTTTTTCATTTTACACATAAAAATGTTGAAGCTCAGAGTTTACAAGACCTGGCCAAGGACATATAATCTGTAAGCAATGAAGATGGCATTCCAAGGCAGATCTGTTGATCTATTACACCATTGATAATGCATTTGCATATTCTCAGAATTTCATATAGAACCTCAGTGTCTGAATTAAAGGGTTATTTTAGTATTTTTAATAGACTTTTAAAAAAGAGCAGTTTTACATTTATGGAATAGTTGACCAGTAAGTGTAGAGAGTTCCCATTTACCTCCTCCTCCCTCCCACAGTTTCCTGTTACCATCTTGTGTTAGTGTGTTATATTTGTTATAATTGATGAACCAGTATTGATCAATTATTAATTAAAGTCTATAGTTTACATTGGGGTTCATGCTTTCTGTCGTGCAGTTCTATAGGTTCTGTCAAATACATGTCACGTATTCACCATTAGTATCATACAGAATAGTTTGACCTAGAAATGTCCTTTGTTCCCTTATTTGTGTGATGGCTGGATCATATGGTAAGTCAGTGCTTAGCTTTGCAGTACAGAAACTGCCAAACTGTCTTCTAAAGTGACTTTACCATTTTGCATTCCCATCAGCAATGAATGTGATTTCTGTTGCTCCACATTCTCACCAGCATTTGATGTTATCATTTGGTTGTAGCTACTCTAATAGGTGTGTAGTGGTATCTCATTGTTTTAATTTGCAATTCCCTAATGATATATGATGTTGAACATCTTCTCATACACTTTCCACTCAATCTGCTGAGTGTCTGCTTAAATTATTTACCCATTTTAAAAATCAGGTTTGTTTTTTTTTTTTGAGTTTTAAGAGTTCTTGATATATTTTGGATACCAGCTTTTTATCGGGTGTTTGGTAAATGTTTTATCCCAATCTGTGGCTTGTCTTCTCGTTCTCTTAATATTGTCTTTTGCAAAGAAATTTTAATAAAGTCTGCCTTTACTGGGTCATGATTTTGGTGGTGTATCTAAAAATTTAAGGCCACCTAGATTTTCCCCTGTTTTATATCCTACAGATTTTTTTTTAAGTTTTGTGATTTACATTTAGATCTATGACTTGGTCTCAGTTTTTGTGAAAGGGGTAAGGTTTGTGTTTACATTGATTTTTGGGGGGATGAGGGACATATGATGTCCAGTTGTTCCAGCACCATTTGTTGAAGACTGTTCTTTCTCCATGAATTGCCTTTGCTCTCTTTTCAAAGGTCTGTTGACTATATGTGGTTCTACATCTGGGCTCTTTATTCCATTCCACTGATCTTTTCTTTGCCAATATCATACTGTGTTGAATACTGAAGCTTTTTACTAAGTCTTGAAGTCTGGAGAGTGTAAATCCTCTGACTTGGTTCTTCGGTATCGTGTTGGCCATTTTGGACCTTTTGCTTTTCCACATAGACTTTCAAATCAGTTTGCCTGTATCCACCATGCCAGGATTTTGACTGGGATTGCACTGAATCTAAAGATCAAGTTGGGAAGAATTGACATCTTAGCATTATTGAGTATTCCTATCTATAAACATGGAATATCTCTCCATTTTTTCAGATCTTTGATTTTTGATTAGCATTTTTTAGCTTTTTCCTTATATAGACCTTATATGAGATCCTATTTTGTTAGATTTATACCAAAGTGTTTAATTTCTTGGTGTTAATGTAAATGGTGTTTTAATTTCCAATTCCAATTGTTCATTGCTGGTGTATGGGAAAGCAATTGACTTGTGTACTAACCTTATATTCTTCAACCTTGCTATAGGTGTTAGTTGCAGGAATCTTTTCCTTGATTCCTTGCGGTTTTCAACATACACAATCATATCATCTGCAAACAAGTTTTATTTGTTCCTTTTCAATCTGCATACCTTTCATTCTGTTTGCTTATTGCACTAGCTAGGACTTCCCAGTATAATGTTGAATTGGGGTGGTGAGAGGAGACATCCTTGTCTTGTTCCCAATATTAGGGGAAAGCATCCTTCTTCACCAACAAGAAAGACATTTCTCAACAGTAAGTGAGATGTTCACTGTAGGTTTTTTTTTGTTGATACTCTTTATCAGGTTGAGGGAGTTTCCCTCTCTTCCTAGTTTGCCCAGAGTTTTTATGAATGGATGTTGGATTTTTGTCATGTGCTTTTTCTGCATTTATTGATAGGATCACATGATTTTTCTTTAGCCTATTGATGTAGTAGATTTTATAGATTGACTTTTGAATGTCAAACCAGCCTCGTATATATGGAAAAATCTCACTTGGTCATGGTGTAGAATTTTTTTTATACATTGTTGGATTTGATTTGTATTTTGTCAAGGATTTTTGCATCAATATTAATGAGAGATTAGTCTGTAATTTGCCTTTCTAGTATTATCTTTTTCTAGTTCTGTTACAAAGGCCTCACAGAATGAGCTAGGAATTGTTTACTGTTTCTGCTTTCTAAAGAGATTATAGAGAATTGGTATCATATCATGAGATACCTGGTAGAACTCTACATGGGAAGGTTATTAATGATTGATTCAATTTCTTTAATAGATATGGGCCTATTCAGTTTATCTGTTTTTTCCCATGTGAATTTTGATAGATTATTCAAGGAATTTGCCCATTTCATCTAACTTAACAAATTTGTGGAGACAGAACTGCTCATAACACTTGTTATTCTTTTAATACCCATGGGATCAGTAGTCATGCTTTTTGATTTGTGGTATTATTTTTTGGTGTCTTTTATTGGCTAGCCTGGCCCTAAGTTTATCAGTTTTATTGATCAAAGAACTAGATTTTGGTTTTGTTGATTTTTCTGTATTAACATGTTTTCAGTTTCATTGATTTCTGATCTGATTTCTTTTTCTGTTTGCTTTAGATTTATATTGCTCTTCTGTTTCAGTTTTCCTAGATTATTGGTTTTCAGTCTTCTTTTATATGCTTTCAGTGTTATAAATTTCCCTCTAGCACTGTTTCTGCTGCATTCCAAAAATTTTGATAAACTATTTTTATTTTCATTTAGTTTGAAACAATTAAAAAAATTGAGGCTTCTTTGACCGATGTTATATTTAGAAGTGTATTTTTAAATTTCTAAGTATTTTGTGGGTTTGCAACTATCTGTAAATATTTGGTATGTGTTATTGATTTTTAGTTTAATTCCATTGTGGGCTGAAAGCTTGGTTTGTATTCTTTTACATTTGTTTTATGTTTTTATTGCCCAGAATGTGGTCTGTTTTGGTGAACATTTATGTGAGCTTGAGAAGAATGTGTATTCTGTTTGTTGTTGGATGAAGTAGCCTATAGATGTCAATTAGATCCTGTTGATTGATGGTGCTGTTTAGTTCAATTATGTCCTTACCGATTTTCTGCCTTCTGGATCTGTCAATTCCTGATTGAGGGGTGTTTAAGTCTTTAACTATGATAGTGGATTTGACTAGTCCTCCTTACATTTCTATCAGTTTTTGTCTCATATTTTGATGCTCTATTGCTAGGCACATACATATTAAGAATGGTTATGTCTTCTTGGAGTATTGGCCCCTTTATCATAATGAAATGCCCTTTGTCTTTGATAACTTTCCCTGTTCTGAGGTCTGCTTTGAGATTAATGCAGTTATTCCCACTTTGTTTTGATTAGTGTTAGCATAGCATATCTGTCCCTATCCTTTTACTTTTAACCTCTATGTGTTTTTATATTTAAAATGGGTTTCTTGTAGCCAACATATAGTGTACAGTCGGATCTTGTTGTTTTAAATCCACTTTGAAAGTCTCTGTGTTTTAATTGGTGTATTTAAGCTGTTCACATTTAAAATGATTATTGATTTAGTTGGATTAGTTATCTGGTCTAGGTTTGCAGCTTTTCTGTTCATTGCTCTTGTTCTTTTTTAAAAAATTTATTTTGCCTTCCACTCTTTTTCTGCCTTCTCTGTTATTAGTTGAACATTTTAAATAATTCCATTTTCTGTCTGTTCATAGCATATCAATTATACTTAAAAAATTTTTGTTTTAGTTGCCCTAGAGTTGGCAGTGTACATTTACAACGAATCCACCTTCAATTAACATTAAAACTGTTTTATGGGCAGTGCTGGTACCTTATAACATAGCATTACCAATTATTTCTCCCATTTTTTATAACACTGCTGTTTTTTATTTTGCTTTTCCATAAATTATAATTATTCAATATATTGTTGATGTCATTATTTTGAACAAATTTATGTGTTAGATCAGTTAAGAATTTTTAAAATAAACGTTTTGTTTTTATCTTTTATTCTTTAATGCTTTTCCTTTGTGCAGATCGGTAACCTATATTTTCCTTCTTTCAGAAGAACTTTTAACATTTTTTTCAAGACAGGTCTAGTAGTGACAAATTCTCTATTTTTATCTGAGAAAGTCTTTTTTTCTCTTATACTTTTCAAGAATTTTGCTGTATGCAGAATTGTAGGTTGCTAGTTTTTTCTTTCAGCACTAAATATTTAACTTCAATCTTCTTGCTTGCATGGTTCCTGAAGAAATGTCTGATGTAATTCTTATCCTTGTTCCTCAATAGGTAAGGTTTCTCTTAACTACCATCTGTGGCTTCTTTAAGTATCTTTTTGTTGTCTTTGATTTTCTGCAGATTGAATATGACATGCCTAAGTGTAGATTTTTGGTATTTATCTTATGTCATGTTCTCCAAACTTTCTGCCTCTGTGATTTGGTGTCTGTCATAAATGTTGGAAAGTTTTCAGCCATTTTTTCTTCGATTACTATTTTAATGATTTTTCAGCTTTACAATGGTGCAAAAGCAATATGCATTCAGTAGAAACCATACTTCTCTTGCTATGCTGGGCAGCAGCAAGCCTCAGCTTCCAGTCAGCTATGCCTTTTTGACTGACAGTATTTTCACTCAGGATGGACTTACTGGGACTTAAGTGGAGGAGCATCTGTATTCTGTTTCCTTCTCTCTTTCTTTTCTGTCTTGGATTCCTATTATGCATACATTTTACCTTTTTAAATTGTCCTACAGTCTTAGGATATTCTATTCCTTTTTTTTTTCTTTGCTTTTCAGTTTTGGAAGTTTTTATTGACGTATCTTTGAGCTCACTGATTCTTAGGCCATGTGCAGATGATCTGGTAATATGCATTCTTTTTTTCTGTTGCTGTTTTTTTTTATTTCTGGCATTTCCTTTTGATTCTCAGAATTTTCATCTCTTTGCTTATATTACCCATCAATTCTTAACATGTTCTCTACTTTTTCCACTAGAGCCCTTAGCATGTTAGTAGTTATTTGCAATTGTTGGCCTAATAATTGCAAAATATCTGCCATATCTGAATCTGATTCTGACACTTGCTTTGGATCCTCAGACTGTTTTATTTTTCCTAACCTTTTAGCATGTCTAATGGTGTTTTTTGTTTGTTTGTTTGTTTGTTTTTGAGACAGGGTCTCACTCTGTTATCCAGGCTGGAGTACAGTGGCACAGTCTTGGCTAACTGCAACCTCCACTTCCCGGTCTCAAGAGATTCTCCAGCCTCAGCCTCGTGAGGAGCTGGGACTGCAGGCGCAAGCCACCAACACCTGGCTAATTTTTCTATTTTTGTAGAGATGGGTTTTTGCCATGTTGTCCAGACTAGGTTCAAACTCCTGAGATCAAGGCAGTCCGCTCACCTTAGCCTCCCAAAATGCTGGGATTACAGGTGTGAACCACTGAGCCTGGCTATTTTTTTTTTTTTTTTTTTTTTGTTAAAAGCTAGATATGATGTATTGGGTAAAAGGAACTAAGATCAGTAGGACTTGAGTATGAAGTTTCATGTTTATCTGGCTAGGGGTTAATCTGTGTTTATTTGCTGTTGATGTCAGAGGCTAGAATTTCCTATAGTGTCCTTGATCTTGTCTACTCTGTGGTATTTGGGTTTCCCTAGAGACTCCCTTTTATTTTTACTTTTTTAGAGACAGGGTCTTGCTGTGTTACCCAGGCTAGAGTGCAGTGGCACGATCATGGCTTACTGCAGCCTTCAACTCCTGGGTTCAAGGGATCCTCCTGCCTCAGGCTCTTGAGAAGATGGTACTACAGGCATGCGCCTCCATGCTTGGCTAATTTATCTTTTGATTTTTGTAGAGGTGGGGGCTCACTGTGTTGCTAGGCTGGTCTTGAATTCCTGGGCTCAAGTGATCCTCCTGCCTCGGTTTCCCAAAGTGCTGTGATTACAGGCATGAGACTCCTTTTTAAATAGAGCCTGAGCCTTACCATTCTTTCAGTTGTGATTTCCTGTTTTACAGGAGCTCTGTTGATTGTAGTAAGATGAGTGTTGTGGAGCGGGGAGAATAGTCTGTATGTAGTCCTGTGATTAGGCTCAGGTTTTTTGTGGGACAGTGCCCCTGGGCTTTCACCTTTACAAATGCTTCTCAGCTTTTTTACCCCCCTTAGGTGGAACAAGAAAGCTAGAGAGAGAACCCTAGTTGGATATTTTCCTTATTCCACTTGGTCAGGCTTTGATATACCCGCTGTTGGTTAGCCTCTGGTAAAATAATTTTCCTTAAGGTCAGTCCTTTGTTAAGGATAACAGAATGTTCTGGGAATATTTGAATATGGTTACTTTTTCCTTTTTTCCTTTCTCCTTCCAGAAGCACAGGGATTTTTTTCTCTTTTCTTTACCCTGACAACCTGATGGGGCTTTTGGAGTTAAAAATCATGGAAGTAGCTGGGCACGGTGGCTCACGCCTGTAATCCCAGCACTTGGGAGGCCTAGGCAGATGGATTACTTGAAGTCAGGGGTTTGAGACCAGCCTAGCCAACATGGTGAAACCTCATCTCTTCTAAAATAATACAAAAATTAGCTGGGCATGGCGGGTGCTGTTAATACTCAGGAGGCTGAGGCAGGAGAATTGCTTGAATCCGGGAAGCGGAGGTTGCAGTGAGCCAAGATCGCGCCATTGCACTCTAGCCTGGGTGACAAGAGTGAAACTCCATCTCAAACAAACAAACAAAAAAAATCATGGAAGTGTGGGGAGCCCCTTAAGGCTGGTTTGCCAGGAGTTTCCATCTGTCAAACTAGTCCATATTTAGACTGTCTTAATTAATCTATTTAAGTTTTTCTTCCAGTTGTTGGCTTCAGCAATAGTTGCTGCTTCTGGTAAGCTGTGATTTTCTGTATTTGCTTGTTTCTTTAGTTTTGGAGGAGGCAGCAGATTGTCCTGTGATCTCGGTTCTCTGATGGATCTAAGAGAAGCTACTGATTTCCAGTTCAGTTTTTTTTTTTTTCTGTTGTGTGGACAGGAGTGACAGCTTCACTAGTTGAACTCAAAACTGGAAGTAGTATGAATTTTTCAGTGTCTGAATTTGCCTTCAATTTAGTTTGAGTCCCACGACTTAGAAGTAGGCTGTTCTACTAGGAGCTTTTTAAACCATTACAGTTATTTAATTTGATTCATTTAATCTCTATTGAGGATCTACTAAGTTTCATGCATCTTTTATTATGTATAGTATTTCATGCACTGGAAATATTAAGATGCTTCTATCCCCATACTTCTTTTTTCAAAGGCTTTTTCTCATTGTTCTCTAGAGGATGGGTCTATCTCTTATATTTTGCTAAAGATTTGTTGCCTTTTGTATTTTATCTTTCCTTCTATTAGCAAATGTTTTTCTCTATTAGCTCATTCTCATGAGTATCTAATTATGCTTTCATACATCATCTTAAGGAAGCCACCTTGGGTCTTTCCACACCCCCTAACTTCTGCAATCTCTGTTCACTTTCATTATCAAGAGTTGTCTACTTATATTGTTACAATCTCTCAAATTTAGTTTACTTTTCAATCTATTCCATTCTGGTTGTCGCTTCTGATACCACTGTGAATGCTCTGTCATCAGGGTCCTCCCTGTTGCAAAATCCTTCTTCTCTGCGTGCCACATACTCCTACCTCCCCACCTCAGGCTCTGGCAGCCACAGATCTTACTATCTGTCTAGTTTTGCCTTTCCTGGAATGTCATAGTGTTGGAGTCATGCAGTGTGTAGCTTTTTCAGACTGGCTTTCACTTAGCAATATGAAAGTTTTTTTCATGTCTTTTTGTGACTTGGGAGCTCATTTCTTATTATTGTATATATCTACCACAGTTTGTTTATCCATCATCTAATGAAGGACAGCTTGGTTGCTTGATGTTTTTGGCAGTTCTGAATAAAGCTGCCGCAAACATTCCTGTGCAGGTTTTTATGTGGACTTGTTTTCAACTCATTTGGGAAAATACCTGTGTGTGCAATTGCTGAGTCATGTAGTAAGCCTGTGCTTAGCTCTGTAAGAGACTGCAGACTGTCTCAACTCGACTGTACTGTTTTTGCATTTCCACCAGCAATGAATATGAATTCATTTGCTCTGCATTCTTAGCAGCATTTGGTGTTGTCAGTGATTGTAGCCTGTCTAATAGGGGTGTGGTAGTATCCATTGTTTTAATTAGCATTTCTCTAGTGATATAGGGTGTTGAGCTCCATTTCATGTTTTTTTTTTTTCTCTATTATCTTTGGTGATACATCTGCTCAGATTTTTTGCTCTTTTTTAAGATTTTTTCTTTATTGTGTGTTAAGAGTTCTTGGTATATTTTAGATACCAGTCCTTTATAAGATGTGTTTGACAAATATTTTCTCCTAGTCTGTGGCTTGTCTTTTCATTTTTTTTAAACAGTGTTTTACAGAGAAGAAAAATTTTCAATTTTAATGAAGTCTACCTTATCAATTTTTTCTTTATGGGTCATGATTTTCGTGCTGTGTTTACAAATATATTGCCAAACAAGATTTTCTTCCTCATTATCTACAAGTTTTACAGTTTTGAATTGTATGTATAGGTCTGTGATACTTTCTGAGTTAACTTTTGTGAAAGATAAAAGGTCAGTGTTGGATAGATTATTTTTCCTTTTGCATGTGGTTGTCCAGCACCATGAAGACTCTTCCTTCTCCACTGAATTGTCTTTGTACTTTTGCCAAAGATCAGATTTACCTCTTAAATCTTTGTCAAACCTGTCCACTTCTCACCATCTCCATTTTCAATCTCTTCAAGCCACCATCCTCTCTTGCCTAATTATTGCAGTAGTCCTTACTGGTCTTGCCTTATCTGTTGATCCCTGTTTTATTCACAGAATATGATTTGTGATTTTAAAGGCATAAATAAAATGCCTTTTCTGTTTAATATCTAATTGCTTTCCTTTATACAAACAACAAAATCCAAATTCTTTATCATGGCCTGTGAGACCCTAAATGATCAGGCCCTACCTTTTCTTCCAACTTTACCCTCATTCTTCCTCTCCAGCCACCTTTGGCTCATTTAGTCTCTGAATGTGTTACTGTCTACTACCTTAGGGGATTCCTAATGACTGGAATGCCCCTTTTAAGTCTCAGCTTAAATGTTTCCTCTTCAGGGATGCCTTTTCTAGTCATTATATCTAAACATTTAGTTCTCTTCCTTGACTTTTACTCTCTAACATTACATCAATTCTTTACTACTATTTTGCCCAATTTAAAAGCATATATTGTTGGTCTATTTATTGTCTGACTTCCTGAGACCAGGGATCACGTCTGTCTTGTTTGCTATTGTTTTTTTTAGCAGCTGCTACACAGTAGGCGCCAAACAAATATTTTAAGGAAGAAGACATAGGCAGCCTTTGAGATGCCCAAATTTAGTGAGGAAGATCCATATGTATGTAGGTAAATTATAGTGCCATTTTAGTGCTGTTAGAAAGTTGTAGTTTTGGAAAACAAGTAATGAAAGGTTAAGAAAGAAAAATCTTTCGGATTCTTCCTCAAGTGTGTGAACTTTATAGCTGTCAATTTATGAAGTCTTATTGCCTAGGTTTCTTTTTTTTTTTTTTTCCATTCTTTGTCACTTTTATTCAGTAGGTTTTTTTTCCCTTATTTTCAGTGCCAGACATGGCGAGGAGTGATTACAGCCAACTGTTATTAAAACATTTGTTCACAACATATACCCCCTTTATACCACTGACCCCAAACTGACTCATTTTATGTGCTTTCATTCTTTCTTTTTTTAATATACCACTATCAAGACCGGGTGGAGGGGGCAAGGGTAAGAGAGATGAAGGGGAGGAGTCCAGGAGGCCAGAAGAGGGGAATGCTACAAGCCACAGTAAGAATGAGCTGTATTTAATTTAAAAAAAAGGGGGAAGGGGTGTACCCCACAAATGATACAGTAATGAGGATACACAATTAAATCCCATAGCATGACTGAAAGCTTTCACTGTGTTTGACATCATCACAATGGAATTGCCTAGGTTTCTTAGCTAAAAGTAAGTTTGTATCTTTTATTATTTGATAGTGGGGGGTTAGCGTCCTAGAAGTCCCAGACTTAGGTTCTCAATTGTCTTAAGAAACCATCCATCTGTATTGACAATATGGGTGCTCTAGGGGCAGTCTTAAGCCCAATAAGAGGTCTTTTAGCGCACTGAGCTTTTGCTCTCTAGGGTCAGTGTTTGGATTTGAATATCCAGCACTGCCACTCACCTTGGGCAAGTCATTTAAACTGCATGTCTCAGTTTCCTCATCTGCAAAGGGACTAATAAACACACCTACCTCCTGGGATGGTTTTGAGGAATACATTGGCTAATATATGTAAAGCATTTACTATGTGCCAGACCCTGCAATAAATGTGAAAGTAGTCTCTGTTACTACATAAAGGGCTTCTCATTTAGCCAAAATTTTATTACATTCTAGTACACTTACGTTGAGTAATATGCAGCTTTTTCAGTGGATACTTCATTTCAACCTTACAGAGAAATTAGAAACCATCAGATGGGATATCCTTCATTCTGATACCAAACATAAATCTGACATGTTCAACACCCCTTCCTTCAGCTTCACCTATGCTCTATATCTTATCACCTCTGCTATCTGAGATCTTAAGATTTTTAAAAAATTACTTCTTTCTCATATTTAACTTTTTCCTTTCAACTAGATCCTTCTCTTATGCATAGAAGCATGTTAAAGTTTGTCTAAAACTTTCATTGATTTATATCTAGCTACTTCCCCATGCTTCCTCTGCATACCCAAACTTAAAAACTCTGTAATCTCTCCATTCCTCCCCTACTCAGCCCACTTGAATCTTGCTTCCACCTCTGATAACCTCACTGAAATAATACTATTGAGGTTATTAGTAGATCAAGTGGACAGCTTTGTATCTAGTCATATGTGTACCCTCAGCAGCATTTGAAACAGTAGACTACATTCTCTCTTCACACTTTGGGTGCTATTAATCTTTAGTCCTCTGATTTCCTGTCTTTCTGGCCAGTTTTTAGTCTGATTCGCAGACTCATTCTCACTCTACCTGGACTTTATATATGGGAGTTTCTTAGGCAGGGTCCTTGGTTATCATGTGTCAATTCTCTGGGCATTTCTACCAATACCACAGATTGAATACCTTCACACAGATGACTCGTGTTTATAACACTGATCAACTTCATAGATCTACCTATTTGACTTCTCTTTTTGGGTGTCCCAGGAGCACTTCAAACATGCTTTATGAATTTATGATCTTCGCCTTCAAATCTGGTTTTCTTTTGGGAGATCTCATCTTAGTGACTGTCACCCACATGTGTTCAGTTATGTATGCTGGAAACCTGGGTGTCGTATTTCAGTATATCTGTAGTCCTTACACCATAATCCATCATCTAGTCCTGTTGGTTTTTTTACGGGCTGGAGGGCTGAAATATCTCAGCCATATATCCTGTTGTCATTACCTTGTCTCAATCCATGATTTCCTAACTTGGATGCAAGAGTTCTAATTGGTCTCCTTGTATATAACCTTATGCTAATGAAATTCATTCTCCAGAATTTGGCTGGAGTGATGTTATTCCTTTAATTAAAACATTATATTGGCTTCCAATTAATTTTGGGATTCATGGGTAGGGTAGAGACAAAAATTCTTGCTATAATTTTTGAAAACCTGAGAGTCGCCATTTACCTTTCCAGTCTTACCTTTGACCACTTTTTGGCTGTCTCTTTTGCCCATTTACTTACTTCAGGGACGTCTCTTGTGATGTTCTTGAATAGGTGAGATCATTCTGTTTGCTGTCATTGTGCCATGTATACTCCATTTTGTATACTCCTGGTTTTACATTTTTGCGTGCCATTTCTCCCTGTAGCTAAAATCCTGTGAGAGACCAGGATCTTGTTTACTTTTGCTTACCATTTGCCATTGCTTATTAGCATAGCTAATTGGCTTATACCCTTCATACATTGAATTTTAAGATGTCAGCCTTATTTTTCATTTACTATGAAAAAAAGGGAAGGAAAGTAATCAGTGAAAGAAGAAACCTAACATGATAGATGTAAAACATACTGCTTTGAATCAATGAAAGATAAGATCACAATGATATTGTTGAAATCATTTTCTGTAAAAGCTGAACTAACTTAAACTATAACATCCTCTCCCAGCCCCTTGCTTTTCTATAATGGTAAAATAAATGCTATTGAAGAAAAAAAATTTAGACCGGTTCTAGATTCTAACACCTTAAGAAAATAATTGGCACTAAATCCACTGTTTCAGGCCTTTCAAAACTGAAAAATTACATTGTGTTTCTAACATTGAAAATAAAGTTTCAAGATAGTTTTAATTAATTTGGATATAAGTATAGAAGGTTTGACCACTTTCAGAACTCTCAGGTGATTTTGACTTGTGATCATCTCTGGGAAGGGATATTTAGTGATAGCCTGAATTTTAAAAACCTCAACTTGAACACTGGGAGTTGATGGGAGACCATCTGATTAAGGGATGGACTAAGTAAGTGTACCAGTGTCAGTTTGCCTATTAAATACAATCAAAGCGCAATGTCTTTCCTTTTAAGATAAAAAACCAGTAATTTGGATAATATTTTAATTCAGCACCAAGTAGATTGTTTCTCACACCTGTGTTGGAAGTTACTGGTTTAGAGTATGGTTTAAAATTTTTTTCTCTCATAGGCCTTTAAAATTAAAATAATTTGCATGTTAATTAAATTCCAGCCTTAATAGGGTTTTCCATCACCTTAATTCCCACATTTGTTTTTCATTTCCAACATCTTTGAACTTTTATTGAATAAAATAATTGTACAATCTTAGATAAATATTAAACCAAAATTTGATGAAAGTAATACTGCATTCATGATACTTTGCTAGCTAGATACTATAATTAGAACTGAATGAAATAAACAACCTGTTTTTAATTTTTCCCTTTTTTGAGGGATGACACAGTTTGCCTAATTAGAAATACCTTTTGTGACTGTCGTTTGTTTACCTCTATTTTGCAGCAGCATAGCACTTCTGAGATGTTTAACTTCTTTTTTCATCAAAATTATTTTGAACATGCTGACATATCTTTGAGATTTAATTCCTAGTCATTTAAAGAAAATAAGGGGCTAGGGGTGGTGGCTCACTTCTGTAATCCCAACACTTGGAGGCCAACGCTGGAGGATCACTTGAGTCCAGGAGTTTGAGACCAGCCTGGACAACATAGAGACCTGTCTCTACAAAAAAAAAAAAAGTTAGCTGGGCGTGGTGGTGCACGTCTATAGCCCCAGCTACTCTGGAGGCTAAGGTGAGAGGATTGCTTGAGCCTGGGAGGTCCGTGTCTGCAGTGAGCTGTGATCCTGCCAATGCACTCAGCCTCGGCTCAGTGAGACCTTGTTAAAAAAAAAAAAAAAAAAAAAATATATATATATATATATATATATATATACACACACACACACACACATATATATGTGTGTATATATATGTATATATATGTGTATATATATATATACACACACACATATATACGTATATATGTATATATATATAGTATTAAGCTGGAAAATACTTAAACTTTTTTTTTTTTTCTTTTGATAGAAACAGGGTTTCACCATGTTGGCCAGGCTGGTCTTGAACTCCTGACCTCCAGTGATCCACCCACCTCAGTCTCCCAAAGTGCTGGGATTATAGGCGCAAGCCACCGCACCTGGCCCGGAAAATACTTCAAAATGCTCAGGTTTTGATTGATCAATGGATAGTAATCCTGCACATTTTCAGTTTGAAAATTTAACAATTCTGTTGTTATTGATATGTCTTGCCAATTGTAGATAATTTCTTGTGGGAAATTTTCTAATTTATGCTTACTGTTTATTTTTTCTAATCTTTACCCAATTTTTGTGAGGAAGGAGTACATTTGTGTGTGTGTGTGTGTGTGTGTGTGTTTTGTTTTTGTTTTTACGGTAACGATGGTTACTATTGCTCTCTGTTTTAGAAGTAATGGTCATACATAAGAGCACATTGTGTACAAAAATAAATATTAGTTTGTAAAATAGGTTGTAGTACAGGATGAATAGAGAGGTTTGAAAAATAGGTCCGTTTCCATTATTTCCTTTAAAATGCATATACACACATATAATCTAGATCAAATTTTTATATACAGGTATACATGTGTATACACACAAACACACACGTGTATATCTCTGTGTAAACCTTTCATTGATCTCAGACCAGGAAGGGAACATGATGGATCAGGCAGCTGTACTTCCAGGTTGCTTTTTTAGGATTGTTGCCCTGGTGTAGAGCTGAGATCAGCAGGTGGCAGGAAGAAGGCGGGGTGACTAACTGGGCAGGACTTAGGAAGAGACTGCTATCCCTTTCTTCCTCCATCTTATAGGTAATTGATCTGCTTTTGCTGAAATGTTTTCTGCTTTGATAAGCTTCTGTTGTTAGTAGTGTTGCTGTTTCCAGAAATAGGAGGAGAAATGAAGGGAATTACAGAGGGAAAATTTAACTTTTAAAAATCCTGCCTTTGAGGGAAGAAAACTAAGTGCCTCAGCCTCATTTCTTCTGCTTAATGGATTCTTGATGGGGTACTTTAAAAAATGTCTCTTTATACATTTTGCTAATTTTAACAAAGGTAGATCAAGTGAGTATTCACTTGTAATATTAGTTTGCTTTTTTTTCCCCCCATAAAAAGAATATTTCTTTACTGGTATAATGCAGTCACTGGTGTGCTTTGAAAATGGCCTGGGTGTCTTTGATGTGTTGGGGTGTCCTGGGTTTCTTTTCTGTCTGATGGCCACCATGTGGCTAGTTTCCATAAGCCTTTATGCCGAAGTCCCCTTTGGGAGCTTGATTTCAAGTCTTCAGGAACTTTTATTTATTAAGAGATTTTAAAAAGACTATTAAGAGAATTTGTTTTTAAAAAGCAGGTTCTTCAGAATTAGAGGGAGGTAACCTGTGGTAGAGGGGAGCTGGTAAAGGGAGGTGCTTTCTCACCATTCAGCGTCAATTTCTAGTGCCCCCAAAGTCTCAAGTAAACTAATGATGTTCAACAAGAGAACTTTTTTTTTAGTAGCATAGGTGCTAAAGTTCTGCAGGTCAAGTAATGTATTATTCCGGGGATACTGCATACTACTAATAGCTAAAACACTTGAAACCACTTTTTGGGAATTGGATATGTTTTTATTAAAATCAACCCCACTTTCTATTTCAGCTGTTCATTTCAAAAAGTATTAGAAAACATGAAAAGTTTGCCTACTCTTGAAAATAGTATACTAGAAGTGTGGATTTTGTTTATATTAATATCCTTATTTCTCCCTCTGTGAAGTTCTACTGCTTATTTGAAGTGAGGTGGTTTTTCTTTTGAAAATTTGTAATAGGTGTAAAATGGTACATATTGCAAAGTTTTGCTCTTATACCTGTTTTAAATTCACCAAATACTTCTCACCTTCCTAGCCCTAGGCAGCCACTATTAAGTTTTTTATATGTTATTTCAGATATATACATATTCATGCAATTAAGAATTTTTTTCACTTAGGCCAGGCATGGTAGCTCACACCTGCAATCCCAGCACTTTGGGAGGCCAAGGTGGGTGATCACTTGAGGCCAGGAGTTCGAGGCCAGCCTGGCCAACATGGCAAAACCCTGTCTCTATTAAAAATACCAAAATTAGCCGGGTATGGTGGCACATGTCTGTAATTCCAGCTACTTGGGAGTCTGAGGTAGGAGAATCACTTGAACCCAGAAGGTGGAGGCTGCAGAGAACCGAGATTGTGCCACTGCACTCCAGCCTGGGTGAAAGAAAGAACTGTCTCAAAAAAAAAAAAAGATTTTTTTCACTTAAAATTTTACACAAAACTTGTACACTATATATGCTGTTCTGCTCTTTGCTTTTTTTTCACTTAATATTTCTTGGCCATCTTTCCATATAGTAAATAGATGACTACCTTATTCTTTTTAAAAAAAAAATAGTTGTAGAGGATTGTGTCTCATGGATATACCACATTTTACTTAACCAATCTCTAATCAATGCTTATTTTAGATAGTTTATTATCTTTTGCTACTAAATATAATACTGTAGTGAGTAACTTTGTACAGGTGTCGTTCCTGTCTATCTGCATATATATATTCATAAGTTAAATTCCCAGAAGTAGAATTGCTGGGACAAAGGGTATGATTTTATAATTTTGATGACTATTGTCAAATTGCCCTCTATAGGAGTTGCACCAGATTACCCTCCCACTAGCAATGGATGAGAATGCCTCTTTTCCTGCTGCCTTATCATTAGAGTATGCCATTAAACATCTGGATTTTTGCTTATCTATTAGGTTAATACTGTATCTCAGAGTAATTTTAATTTGCATGTTTTTAATAAATGACTTTAAACTTCTTTTATTTATTTATTTTTTTCTTTGAGACAGGATCTTGTTCTGTCACCTAGGCTGGAGTGCATTGGTGCGATCTCGGCTCACTGCAACCTCCGTCTCCTGGGTACAAGCAATTCTCCTGCGTCAGCCTCCTGAGTAGCTGGAATTACAGGTGCATACCACCATGTCCAGCTAATTTTTATATTTTTTGTAGAGACGTGGTTTCACCTTGTTGGCCAGGCGAGTCTTGAACTCCTGACCTCAAGTGTTCTGCCCCCTTTGGCCTCCCAAAGTGTTGGGATTACAGGTGTGAGTCACGGTACCTGGCCTAAACTTCTTTTTATAAATATTTGTGTTTCCGTATACTGTCAGTTTGTATCATCGTGTGTGTGTGTATGTGTGTGTTTTGGATTAGCCCTTTGTCAGTGATATGAGTAGTAAACGTTTTTCCCAGTTTGATATTTATCTTTTGATCTTGTTCATGGTGGTTTTTTTGTGTGTGTGTGATGTGGGGGGCATGCATAGGTTTTTTTTATGTAGTCAAATTCATCAAAGTTTCCTTTTATGACTAGAATTTTGAGTAGGGAAGATCTTGTTTACTTCAAGGCGATAAAGGAATTATTTTACATTTACTTTATTGATTCTTTTTTTTTCCTACATAAATCTTAACTCCTTTGAAATTGATTTTGGTGCACTGAGTGGATTCAATTGTATTTTTTTGCAGATGGCTTCTAGTTGTTCTAATAACACTTAATGAATAATTCATATTTTCTCCAGATCATCAGATCATATTCAGAATGAGTTTTAATTGGAATGTCCTTCAAATTTGCATATAAGGGTGATAGAATAAATGAGTAATAGAAAAGGTAACATTTTCTATTCTCAGTTTCCTTGTTAGTTGAGTTGCCAAAACTTTAGTTGTCTATACCTGCAAGTTGAAAGGAACTTTTAGCAACTTTTCTACTACATGGTTTGAGTTTGGTGTGGGTTATCCTCAAGGTTTATCTATTAAAACTGTTTTTAATTGGTGTCTGAGGTTATTTGTGCTTACTGAAGTAACTTGTCATCTGAATTCTCTTTTCCCGAAGGCCTTAATTAGCTGAGAACAAAGTTAAAAGAAGTTAGAAGAGAAAAGATTCTCTACTGCGGTTCAGCATTGCCCTGGTTGATACTGCTTATGGTGACTGTAGTTGGATATGTCTCCTGTTGTTAGGGTTTCCAGTGGTTTACACAAACTCTGAATCTGAATGAAAAAACATAGCCAGGGTTTATAAGTGGATCTCTGTCCTAGCCAATTCACTTTATTTCTGGAGTGTTTTCTATTGCTAAATATTTCACTCTATTTTGTTAGGCCATTTTCTTCCCAATCTAGTTATCTCCACATTTTCAAGTATGAAGACCTATTTCTGTTATCAAAAAAAGTCACAGGTTATGTGTTTTGTGTATTGTGACTTTTGAAAATACATGACAAAAACCTATCATTTCTAGCAGTGATTTAAATTGGTATAGTATTGATCACCAAAAACATTTATATATGTTTGGAAAAGTATGTTCATGTTTGAGATATAAAGCATGAGGCAATTATTAGTCACATGTTAGATCACATATAAGTGATTTTAATGAACTCCTAGATGCAGTAAAGCAAAATGGTATCAGAGAGACAATCCCTTCTCTCATGCAGAAGCTCACTTAATAGGATAAAGACAACCATTACAAGGACATTTTTTAGTGTTAGGGGAAGTAGAGGAGTACTGTGAGATCAATTGCAGTTAAATCCAACCTGACCTAGAGAATGGGCAAGACCTTCCTGAGGATGTGACATTTAAGCTGATTTCTGAAAAGAATTGGTGAAAGTTAGGACTGGAGGTGAGAAAGTCAACTAGGAAGCAATTTCAGGATTTAGGAAGGAGCTAACCTGATCCTGAATTAGGACACAGGCTTTAGAGATAAGAATGAAGAGGCCAGGCGCAGTGGCTCACGCCTGTAATCCCAGCACTTTGGGAGGCCGAGGCAGGCAGATCACAAGGTCAAGAGATCGAGACCATCCTGGCCAACATGGTGAAACCCTGTCTCTACTAAAAATACAATAATTAGCTGGGCGTGATGGCGCACGCCTGTAGTCCCAGCTACTTGGGAGGCTGAGGCAGGAGAATTGCTTGAACCTGGGAGGCAGAGGTTGCAGTGAGTTGAGATCGCGTCGCTGCACTGGTGACAGAGCAAGACTCCATCTCAAAAAACAAAACAAAAAAGATTGCTTTTACTAAGGAATTCCTAAGTCTTGTTAATTTATAGATGTAGATGTAGAGAAAGGGATGAAGATAATCTGATTTTCCAGGTGGGAAGTGGTTCTGTTTCACAGTAATAGGGAATATAGGAGAAACAGGTTTACAGAGGAAACACTAAGCTTAAGGCATGTTGAGTTTGAAATAAATATCCAAGGCTGGGCGCGGTGGCTCACACCTGTAATCCCAGCACTTTGGGAGGCCGAGGCGGGCGGATCACGAGGTCAGGAGATCGAGACCATCCTGGCTAACACGGTGAAACCCCGTCTCTACTAAAAATACAAAAAATTAGCCGGGCGCGGTGATGGGCGCCTGTAGTCCCAGCTACTCGGGAGGCTGAGGCAGGAGAATGGCGTGAACCTGGGAGGCGGAGCTTGCAGTGAGCCAAGATAGCGCCATTGCACTCCGGCCTGGGCGAAAGAGCAAGACTCCGTCTCAAAAACAAACAAAAAAAGAAAACAAACAAACAAAAAAAGAAATAAATATCCAAGTAGAGATGGCCAGTGGGCGTTCAAATTTGAGTTTGAAGATTGGGATACAATTCTGAAATGAAGATGTTGATGGTGGGAGCTGTCATCTTAAGTGATAATTAAAGCTGTGAGAATAAATGCGATTGCCCTGAAAATGTGTGTAGAATGAGAATGAGAAAAGCAGAAGGTTGAAGGTACAACTTTTGGGAGCATTGGCATTTAAAGGGGATGGAAGATCCTAATTCTGCCCTTTGCTTGGGTAGCTCCTGTTTATCTAAATTGCTCTCCAAGCTCTTCACTTAACCAAATATAATCAGGCCCTCCTTCAGTGTCTGAATTAAAACTTACCTTCATGAATCCATTTCTACTACTTCCTCTAAAGATTGTTTTAAAAAGCATTCATTGGTGGCAGCATTTAAAAAAAATCATAAATTCTACTTCAGAGATTCCCAGGTTTTTTGGCTTGGTTGTCTGATTCCTGATTGTTTAACAACAACAAAAAAGTGTGTGTGTGTGTGTGTGTGTGTGTGTGTGTATTTCTTTTTATTCAGAAAGCTGTCATTTAGATGGATAGGTGTTTTTGGATTGTCATATTGAACAATTACTATATGTCAATTAGTTATATGCCAGATGTTAGCGATAAATAAAACTTGGCTCCTGATCTTAGAGTACCAACAACTTAATTGAGATGATAGACAGCTGGGTGGATGTTTTATGACGTTCATAGCTTTCTTTTCCCAAATATAAGTTAGAAGTAAACTTCTTCCTTTCCCACTATTACTGTGACATGAGCTCAGCTATAGAAAAGCAGAAGAATTACAGGCAAAGGTTTTTGTTTATGTTGTTTGAAAATTTTTTTTGGTTTTTTTTTGAAACAGGTTCTCACTCTGTTGCCCAGTCTGAAGTGTAGTGGTGTGATCATGGTCACTGCAGCTGCAACCTCCCGGGCTCAAGCAATCCTCCAGCCTCTCAGCCTCCTGAGTAGCTGGGATTACAGGTGCGCACCACCATGCCCGGCTAATATTTTGTATTTTTTTGTAGAGATAGGGTTTTGCCGTGTTGCCCAGGATGGTCTCCCTGGGCTTAAGTGATCCTCCCACCTCTGCCTCCCAGAACGCTGGGATTGCAGGTGTAAACCACCACATTGGCCTGAAAATGTTTGAAATTATACTTGGTATATACAATTTTTCATAATTTTTTCACAAATTACCACGAGTTCTTCAGAAACATTGTGAGTTTCTTATAAAAAACATATGGCTGGGCTGGACATGATGGCTCGTGCCTGTAATTCCAGCACTTGGGAGGCTGAATTGGGCAGATCACCTGAGGTCAGGAGTTTGAGACCAGCCTGGTCAACATGGGGAAACCCTGTCTGTACCAAAAAATATACAAAAATTAGCTGGGTGTGGTGGTGCATTCCTGTAGTTCCAGCTACTCAGGAGGCTGAGGCAGGAGAATCCCTTGAACCTGGGAGGTGGAGGTTGTAGTGAGCCGAGATCATGCCACTTCACTCCAGCCTGGGCAACAGAGAGAACTTGTCTCCAAACAAAACAAAACAAAACAAAACATATGGCTGTACCAGAGCTTTATTCTTATTGCCTGATGTTCATTTCATTTTCTACTATATTTATAAATAGTGCTGTGAAGAACATTCATATTTGTGCATTAATCTTTTTAGACACTTAGGATTATTTCGTTAGAGTTAATTCACAGAAGTGCAATTGCAGGGCCGAAGAGTATGAACATTTTTTGTTTTTTTTTTGAGACGGAGTTTCACTCTTGTTGCTCCTGCTGGAGTGCACTGGCGCAATCTTGGTTCACTGCAACCCCCGCCTCGCAGGTTCAAGTGATTCTCCTGCCTCAGCCTCCTGAGTAGCTGGGATTATAGGCATGCGCCACCACGCCCGGCTAATTTTGTATTTTTTTTTTTTTTTTAGTAGACAGGGTTTCTCCATGTTGGTCAGGCTGGTCTCGATCTCCCGACCTCAGGTGATCCACCCGCCTCAGCCTCCCAGAGTGCTAGGATTACAGGTGTGAGCCACCGTGCCTAGCGGAGTATAAACATTTTTAAGACTCCTAATATATGCTGACAAGTTCCTTTTCCAAAGGGCCTTGACTATAGCTTCACTAGCAAAGTACATGAGAACTCATTTTCCTTGCCCAGGTTATTTTTTTTTTTTAGCTTTTTTTTTTTTTTTTTTTTTGCTTATTTTCTAGTTTGACAGGTGAAAATAATATCTTGTTTTAATAATGTAAGTTTATTAGTGAAGCTAAACATGTTAAAAATATATTTCTTTCAACTGTCTCTTTTTTCTGTTAGTGAACCATTACATATTCTTACTGCATCTTCAATTTAATAGATTTAGAAGGTATCTTTCTTAGCTTTTATGTTTTTTCATGGTGAAAAATTGTCTTACAGATCTGTTGAAACTTTCCTATTCCTTGAAAAAAAACCTGGTAAAATACACATAATATAAAATTCACCATCTTAACCATTTTTAAGTGTATAAAATAATGGATGGAGTCTCGCTCTGTCGCCCAGGCTGGAGTGCAGTGGCACGATCTTGGCTCACTGCAACCTCCGCCTCCTGGGTTCAAGCGATTCTCCTGCCTCAGCCTCCTGAGTAGCTGGGACTACAGGCGCCCGCCACCACGTCCGGCTCATTTTTTGTATTTTTAATAGAGACGGGGTTTCACCATGTTGACCAGACTGGTCTCAAACTCCTGACCTCAAGTGATCTGCCTGCCTTGGCCTCCCAAAGTGCTGGGATTACAGGCGTGAGCCACCACGCCCTGCCTTATACACTTCTTAAATGTACAGTTCAGTGGCATTAAGTATATTCACATTGTTGTGCAACCATCACCAGCGTCCTACCCTCTTCATCATTTTGATTACTCCTCCAGCGTAATAATCTTGGCTTCAGAATTCACTGGTATTGACTGTAGCATTGTTAGTGTTAGTGCACCATTTTGGGGGGGGTACTGTTTTGTTTCTAATAATTTTATTGGCCTGTCTGAGTGTGGAAGCGCACTGGGTAAAGTTGAGATTTTCACTTTATATTGGGTCTTGGGTTGTTTGATAATAATTCAGAGTTCTTCATTCAATGAGTATGGCTTATTAACATTAATTTTAATTTTCCCTAAACTTGTTATTTTGTCCTGTCAAGATTGTTGCTTATCTGCCACTTCATGCTTATCACATGGGGCCTCATGTGCTTTTTATATAGTTTGTTTTTGCTTGGACATTTCCTTCCTCAGTTCTTACCCATGAGCACGGGGGCTGTGTCTGACTGTGTGTATTGGCTGAGGACACAGGAGGTACAAAGGCTCTGCTGTGGAAAGGAGCCTTGATTTGCTCGAGGAACAGCAGGGAGACTTGGGTGGCTGGAGCATGGGGAGCAAGGGGACAGTGGTGTGAGATGAAGCTGCAGAGGTAAGCAGGGGCCAGATGCTGTAGGGCCCTGTAAGAGTTAGGTTCCTATTATACTGTGAATAGAGCTTTGTTGAAAGATTTTTAACTGGAACTGGGTGGTGGGCAACATAGTCTAATGTGCCTTTAAAAAAATCATCCTGGCTGTTGGATGGAGAAACGGATTATAGAGGAATAAGAGTGGAAGCTGGGAGGTGTGTTGGGACATGATTTATGTTATCCAGGTGGCAGTGTTAAACTGATTCGTTTCCTTTTTTTAAAAAAACAATTCATATTGTGACCATCTGCAGCACAACTGAAGATAACTGGCCAAGTTTACTCCATGGAAAAGTTAAGCTTATAGAACGTATGAACATCGGAACCATGTGTTCATTAGTATCATACTTTAACCAAGCTCACCAACCCCTGGCTAAATATAGTTTCTATGTATGTGAATCTCAAACATTTACTGTCAGCTGTCTTTGAACATCC
This sequence comes from Homo sapiens, assembly GCF_000001405.40. Classification (NCBI taxonomy): domain Eukaryota; kingdom Metazoa; phylum Chordata; class Mammalia; order Primates; family Hominidae; genus Homo; species Homo sapiens. Next base: position 44,508,253 of record NC_000013.11, on the reverse strand, counting down.
CTGTGAAGTTAACTGAACTTTAATTATAAATGATTGAGTGAATTCAGAAGATACTAATATTGCTATTTTACATAGGAAGAATGGGAAGTCTGGTCATTTATAGTACTGAAATAAAAAGCAAAACACTTGTCAGTTTCTCCTAGCTGCAAGCACCATTTTATTAACAACATGTTTTAAGTTTAATTCCCTCCAAATCTATTATAACTTCAGTGTATGGATGAGACTTGAGAGTTCTGGGATATATTATTCTTGGGACACCAGTTAAATTATTCCCACACTTAACTGCTGTCGCAAGTTAGAATTTGTATAATTCCTCTAGGAAGCTGCCTGTGATTCCCCAGGGCTCAGGAAGGATCCCTCTTTGTGCTGTCGTAGTGCCTTATATCTTCCCCTGTGGTAGGCATTTATCATGCTGAATTATATGGCACTCTGAGGACAGAGCCAAAGATTCGGGAGAATGAATGCAAACATGGGGAGTTGGGGAAGCAAAACTGAAGGGATTGAGGCAAGAGTGAAAATTCTTTGAAGTCTTGGGAATCTTCTACTTCATTTCTTAATGCGGTTTTGTTTTCATATGAAATACTTTACCTAATGAATAAAATTGACATTACAGCAAGCTGTAAATTTTGTTTATATTGCAGCTTCATCTATTTTCAGTATCTTCTTCAGTCTGAGGGGTTGCAATTCTATAGTATTTTGTGTACTTTAAATCCATCTCCTGTGTTAGCTATAGGGGGCTAGCATCAATACATACATATTAGTCTTTGCACATTAAAAAAAAAAAGTAAAGTAAGATATTTGCTTTGCAAAACTTTGAAAACATCTCCTTAGTTTGAAAACATCTTCCTTAGTCCTTCAGTATAATGTATTACTCTGACGCCTTCTCAGACCTCCCTAATCTTGGCCTTTCGCTCCTTTTTGAGCCTTCCTCATTTTGAACCTTGCGCTACTGTAGCAACGTTATTCTTACCTCTGCTGCTTTTATCTCCTTTCTTGGCTGTTAACCCTTCCTCCCATAAGGTACCTGTAGGTATAAAAGGTTATCTCCTTAGTTCTGTTCCTTTCTGTCTACTTACTCCTGAAGCATTTGCTGTAGTTCTTAAAGTCTAAACTCTGCAATTGACTCCAAATCTTTATCTTCAACCTGGGCCTCTTTCCCATTGCCCTGTGCTGAGATAGCTGCCTTATATTTATATGTGCTCCCTCTCCTCAGTTTATAGCTTCTATTGATGATTGTCCCAATTTTCCAGTACTCCAGGCTAAAAGCCTAGGACCTTTGACTCCATTTTCTCATGCCTCTGACATGCTTGTTCCTGAGTCCCCAGATACACAGCAGGCACTGTGTACACATTCATCCCATTGTGAAATCTCAGATTCTGTAGTGTCTTGCCTTTTTGTTCTTCTCCTCTCTATCCCCATTATCACCACTGTAGTCCAGGCTGTATGACCTCTTTAAATTATCTGTGGAGACACCTTACTGGTCACCCAGTGTCCAAGCCCACTTCCATCTTTTCCATACTCTCTCGATACCCAGCTCAGAAATCTTTAGTGGTAGAACACTTTTCCCTGTTCCCTTCTAGCTATCTTCTTACATATACTTTTTATTTATTTTTTCCCATCCACTTTTAAGTTCTGGGATACATGTGCAGGATGTGTAGGTTTGTTACATAGGTAAACATGTGCCATGGTGATTTGCTGCACAGATCAACCATAGGTATTAGGTCCAGCATCCATTAGCTATTCTTCCTGATGCTGTCCCTCCCCTGCCCCCTCAACAGGTCCCAGTGTGTGTTATAACCCCTGAAGTGTTCATATGACATCATCGTTCAGCTCCCACTTATAAGCGAGAACATGCGGCATTTGGTTTTCTGTTCCTGCATTAGTTTGGTGAGGATAATGGCTTCCAGCTCTATCCATGACCCTGCAAAGGTAGACTGCTTTCACACAATGTCTTGCTTTTTCTTAGGCATCTCTCTTTCCCAGAATTCCTACTCAACTGTTCCCCTGAAACTCACCTGCCCTTCTGGGACCATATTTAAATTTCTACTTGATGGAATGTAATCTAATTTTGGAAACTCCATACATTTTTTCTGTAGCTTTAAGAAACTGCCATCATTATTACTTCGTTATACCTTCATCAGTGCTTGAGAGTAAGTGGGGCAGAGTGGTTAGAAGCATGGACTCTGGAGCCACACTGCCTGCATTCGCATCCCAGTTCACCTCTTATTATTCCCCACCTTGCTCTGGTTACTTAACCTCTCTGAGTCTCATTTTCCTACCTATTTCACAGAGCTGTTAGGAGGAATAAAATGAGTTAATGTATGTTTAAAATACTGAAAACACTGCCCAGTACTAGAGAGATTTCTGCTGTTATCATTACATGTTAAAAAAGATTTCTTCTGTTCCATAAGCCCCTTTAGGTTAAGAAATGTCTTATTCTTCTTTGGATGCCCTCACAGAATGTAGCATGGTGCCTTATACATAGTAAGCATTCAATAAATAAGTACTTAATGAAATGGAAATTTATTGAAAAGTCTAGTAGTTCAATAACAATGATTTTTGGTTTTGATCCTAAAGTGAAATCACAGAGTTTTTTCTGGGATAATTTAATAGCAGAATATGTTGTTTCCTTGTTTAATTGCACAATTTGGATTTTAAAAAACTGTATAGTTTAAATATATATAGTATGTATTTTATTTTTTGAGACGGAGTCTCATTCTGCCCCAGGCTGGAGTGCAGTGGTGCAGTGTTGGCTTACTGCAGCCTCAACCTCCAGGGATCAAGCAATCCTCCCACCTCAACCTCCCAAGTAGCAGGGATCATAGACACGCACCACCACGCCTGGCTAATTTTTTGTATTTTTGTAGATACAGGGTCTTGCCATATTGCTAAGTCTGGTCTCGAACTCCTGAGCTCAAGTGATCTGCCTGCCTCAGCCTCCCAAGGTTACAGGCAGGAGCTGCTGCACCCACCCTTATTTTAATTTTTTTTGGAGATGAGGTCTTGCTTTGTTGCTCAGGCTGACTCAAGCGCCTGGCTTCAAGTGATCCTCCTGCCTTGGCCTCCCAAAGTTCTGGGATTGCAGGCATGAGCCACTGTGCTTGACCCAAAAATATATATTTTGACCAAATCATACAAGGATGATGAAATGGCAAACCTGTGAGTACTAAAATATAAGACACAGGCTTTGACATTAAAGGAAAAGAGCACTACGATTCACATTAGGCAAAAATTTGCCTGCAATGGAGATAACCTTCTAAATGAAAGCATCCCAGAGTAGAAAGATCCCAGAGTAGATCCAGTCATGATGTATAATTTTCTTTCAAGAGCACTAGTTTTAAAAGCACCATTCTGGGATTTTTAGCTTATGTATGCATTTGGCCTTTAACATATATTTGATAGAGCTTTTTAGTACCTCTTAGAATTAAATAAGAGATGTCCAGGATTAAAATTTGCTGTTGATGTTGATATGTGAAACTTTAATGCATTGTAGATTGTGGTAATCCGATGTTTCAACTTTAAGTATTTGACATCATTTGGGGTGTTAGTTTTATGATTTTCAAGAAATGAAAAACATTATCATTGGGGCAGACATTTCATTCAAATTACTTCTATCAGTTTGCTTGAAAATTTTTTTTTTTTTTTTTTTTTTGAGACAGTCTCCCTCTGTCACCCAGGCTGGAGTGCAGTGGTACGATCACTGCTCACTGCAACCTCCACCTCCCAGGCTCAGGTGATCCTCCCACCTCAGCCTCTCAAATAGCTGGGAACACAGGCGCAAGCCACCACGTCCACCTAATTTTTCTATTTCTTGTAGAGACAGGGTTTCATCATGTTTCCCAGGCTGTTCTTGAACTCCTGTGATTCTCTTGCCTTGGCCTCTCAAAGTGCTGGGATTACAGGCATGAGCTACTGGGCCCACCCAGTGACTTTTAAGAGAGTCACTTGAGACTTTTAAGAGAGACTTAAGAATGCTCTAAAACTAGACTACAGGTGAAATGTAGAGTGATATTTGGTTTCCGGGGAGGGGCGGGTGGGGAAGGAAGAAATATTCATTAAATACAGGCTTGCTTTTTCTGGCTTCAAGTCAAGTCAAGTAGTTTTTTTTTTTTTTTTCATTTGTACATTTTACAGGGGCTTTGATGGGTCTGACAAAGAAGCACTTGCAATGTTTTGGGGTTTCTGTTATGAAATTAACACATAGCTCAAATTCCCATTAAGTAATCATGACTTAAAATAGAGTCCAGCTATATAGTCTTGCATATTTCAGAGTTAAGAATGTAATCTTTATCTTTTATTGTTAATATTCTCTAAGGTTTATTTACTGTATTATTTTGTCATGAGTTTATTTAAAATATTTTTTAATATTAAAGTATTTTAAGTATTTCTAGTTGTAATAAAAATGTAGATATATTCAAGAAATTATAAAATTAGGTTTTGTAATTGATCGGTATTCAAGTAAAAGGAGGAAAGCTATCAAGTAGTCATGATGAAATATTCATCAAATGTAAAATGACCTACTCATCAACTTGCCAGGTCTAACCTCTGTTTCTGTTTCATTTGTCTTTACAACCTTTTAAGAAGTTTATTTTGTAAACTTCTTTTTTCTCTGCTTTAGAGTTGGAAATACTGAAAGACTTTTCTATTCTAGATTGTATCTTTTCCCCCCAGCCCCAACCCAAATTGAAGAAAACTATTGGGACAACTGGATGATTTACAAATCTATTAGCAATGGCAACAATATGAAAATTTGAAGGTATTTATGTATGGCATCCTGTAGTTTGGGTGGAAATCATTTTTTTTTTCCTTTCACTTCTGCCATGTCAACTTTAGTCTCAATGTGTAGATTCCAAAATAGAATCCCAACAGATTTCTGGAGACTTTCGTCTTTAACTATGTTGTCTCTCTCTTCTCTGTTTTTTTTCTGTGTACTTTAGGATATCTGTGTGGGAACCTAAGAAACTATCAGAGGGAACTAGGAAGTAAAATTGCTGAAATAGCAGCCTTTATATTAGTATTATATGATAACTTGAAAATTATTGGTGATATGTTTATGTTATGTAAATCTTGTTTGTATTTTTATCTTCAAATTTCAGAATGTTTAATATACACATATTAGCATGTCTCTAACAACTGATGACTATAGTTTGGCTCGAGAGGCTTATATCATGTAAGCTAGTCACACCTATTTGAATTCACTTTTCTTTGTTTCTTGATTTCTTATGGCTATTATTGCAACAATCAAACAAATTTTGAATACCTTTTGTGAGCTAGCACTGTGGAAATATGAGGGAAGTTTATTGTGGTTCTTACTTTAAATAGTTTGCAGTTTTATTGTGTATACAAATGTATGCATGTGAAATATACAGATTTTAAAAAAGCAGATCATTAAAGATTAGGTCATAAGGTGTAGTCTGTACATGGAGGAAGAGCTAAGTTGATTCAGAATAACATGGTTAGATTTTGAAGCTAGCCTGGATTTGAATCTTGGATCCACCACTGACTAGCTATGTAAGCTTAGTCAAGCAACTCAACCCCTGCCACTGTAGGGGCACAGTTTCCTCATCTGTCAACAGTTTCCTCATCTGTCAAATGGTGACGATAATATAACCTACCCACTGTATAGTTGTGACTTGTGGCCTTTCTTTACTGGTATTTCTTGAGAAAATTGAGCCCTAATGAGCTAAGCATTTGTTGTATGAATGAATACAACAGTTTTGTGGTTCTGGAATAGCATTGGTCATCAACCATCCTTGGGATATTTGAGAAAACAGGCACTCAGATCATTTTCTGTGTGTGGTGGTTCCAATGAAGGAATCTTAGTTAAGGATTAAATGAGTTAACATATAATAAATAACAGAAAACAAGGCCTGGAAGTTTTAAAACTAGTATTGTTGGACTCTGAAAAATGAAGACAATTTAATTAATCAGAGGTGAGAGTTTTCAGCCTGAGAGAAATCAAAGGTTTATATGAAAATGTTTTTCATCTTAAGCAAGTATCCAATTACTTTGTGTCTCTGGAACCAAATGGGACTGGGAAAATCAACAACGTACTCACCAATCAGGAAGGCATCCAACATTTGGAAGGAGGCTCACACATAGAAAAAAGATTCTTAATAAGCATATTACCTGTATCAGAATCATCAAAATTTACAAATATATTGAAACGATAGGAGAGAGAGTGCACATAAGAGTAAGCCTTAAAAACTTCTAATGAGAAAGAGATGGTGAATGGAAATGAACCATGTAGGATAAGATGTGTAAACTGATACACCTTTTGTTGCTATATATAAAGACAAATTATTTCACTTGGTCTTCAGTGCCATGTGAGTACAATTTTAGGTAGGTTAAGTGTGAAGAACTGGCTGTTAAGTATAAAGATCATTTGGCGACTTTGGGAAAGAGCCATTTTAATGGACGATCAGCCCACAGCACATGTGTTAGCGCTTATGTTTTCTCTCTCACACACATACATTAGTTTCAATATGATATTAGTAAATTTATGAGGCTTTGATACAGGTAATATGCTTCTTAAGTTTAGCTTTTCATGTGTTTATTACAGTAGACTCTTAGCTCATTATCCTTCTTTTAGGGTTTCTCTTCCTGGCAGTTTATTCTGCATGTCACTGCCGTGATCATTTTCTTTCATCTGTTCCACTTGATTCCTACTAATACGCTACCCCCTCCACCCGGCCTAGCCTCTGGGACCAAGTGTGCCCTTAGGAAGGATTTAGAGTTCCATTTCAATGCCAGGGGATTCAGCAGTAAGGGTAGTTGTTGCTAGTTTGATGCTTTATTCAGTATTTATAATTAGTATACTACCTTATTCCAGTGATTTGTTCCCCACCTTGCACTCCAATTCAGGTACCTGGGCTACTTACATTTCTCTTTGAAGAGTCCTTGGTTTGATAACCCTAAGCCTTTGGAGAGGGGTCTCTCTGATGTGTGACATTTGTGATTTCCTATCGTTGGGATATCTGTTAATGCATGCTGAACTTCCCTCAAACCAGCCACTTGCCTGATTATTAACTGTTGCCTTTCAGGGTTTTATCTGTTTTCTATTATACCTTCTAAATTGTCCCTCACTGCTTGCTATTGGTTCACCACCTCGCAGTTTCTAGTCCCAAATCACTATTCTTTTCGGTCCATGGCAGGAACCTCTGGTACTACCTGGAAAATGACAACAGCAGAGAATGTAGTGTTCTTTATAAAATTCCTCTGGCACATGAAGGAGCCAGCAGAATCAATGCCATTAAATATACCAGTTGGACCACACATAGTTGCTCATGCCTGTAATCCCAGCACTTTGGGAGGCGAAGGCAGGAGGATCGCTGGAGGCCAGGAGTTTGAAACTAGCCTGGGCAATAAAGTGAGACACTCATCTTCACAAAAAATAAAAAAATTAGCCAGGCATGGTGGTGTGCATCTGTAGTCCCAGCTATTCAGGAGGCTGAGGCAGGAGGATTGCTTGAACCCAGGAATTTGAGGCTGCAGTGAGCTATGATTGCGCCACTGCACTCCAGCCTGGGTGGCAGAGTGAGACCCTGTCTCTAAACAAAAACGAAGCATGTCCATAGAAAGAAACTGAAAAATGTTAGCATTAAGAACCCAGATGGAGACCTTTCTTTTGGTCAAGATTATAATTTAGAAATTTTGAGATGGGGTGTGGTGAGGAAAGTGAGGAAGCTTAACTGCTTGGTTCTTTCATCTCTGAAATTTAGGCAGTGACATTATTTATTTAGAGTGAGATAAATTGTGATGGCTCAAAGAGAATGAAAAATCCCTATAATGGTTTATATGGGGGAATAGATATATAGTCAACTAAGAATGAACACAAGGATTGTTGAACAGCTGTGAAATAATTTTATGTCTGGCTCCTGTAACATTTGGAGGCCCAGAAACAGACTGGCTAATAATTAGCCAAGTGTGTATATGAGGTTTTTTTAAAGGATTTCTTCCAGAAGGGATTAAAGGCAGTTTACAAAAATATATCCAGCATGACAAAATTAAATATATATAATGGCAAAGGAGAAAAAAAGTTTAATAAGATGGAGCTCAGAATGAGGATAATAACCAGATTGCATATGAGGAAGTTTAAAAATGGGCCGTAAGTTAGCCGTGAGCTTTTTTCTTTTTCTTTTCTTTTTTTTTTTTTTTTCTTTTTTGAGACGGGCTTTCGCTCTTGTCACCCAGGCTGGAGTGCAGTGGGCGCCATCTCAGCTCACTGCAACCTCCGCCTCCTGGGTTCAAGTGATTCTCCTGCCTCAGCCTCCCAAGTAGCTGGGATTACAAGCACCTGCCACCACGCCTGGCTAATTTTTGTATTTTTAGTAGAGATGGGGTTTCACCATGTAGGCCAGGCTGGTCTTCAACTCCTGACTTCAGGTGACCCGCCTGCCTCAGCCTCCCAAAGTGCTGTGATTACACATGTGAGCCACTGCACCCGGCTAGCTGTGAGCTTTTTAGTAGCCAATTGCAAAGATGGAAATAATAATAAAGTGATCCCAAACCTGTAAAATATAAAACAAATGAATTACTTAGGCAAAGCACAAGAATTGGTGGCATTGAGAAAATGTTTGCCCGAGGTCTTTTCTGGGAATTTATCAAATATTAACTTGGGGGAAATGCTTTGGGTCCAGCAGAAATAGCCCTAGGAAGAATCAGTCTTGATTCTAAGAAAGTTTATAGTTGTGCTTCATGCCTTCCAGGGTTTGAAATCTATAGATGTTGTAAAGTGGGCAGAATTAGATTGGATTTGAACAACTAGAGTAAAACTAACCTCATTAACAAAACACTTTAATGTGTCACACAAATGTAATTTTATAGGAAATATTTATATATTTTAGATATTTTAAAATATTAATTTATCTCTAGTCATCAAGGAAATCCTGAGATATATTCTGGCTTTTCTTGGGCTCACCTGGGTACATTCAGATTGTCAAAACATTCTCAGATATCAAGTGTGTCAGCACAAACAAAAGGAAAGAGTAGAGAATACTTTCTTTGAAAAATATTCCAAAAGAATCTAGTTTCCAGCATATTATCTAATGCCAACCAAATGATTTGGCAAGCCTGAGAACTTGGCAATATGCCTTAGGGGATTGGTAGATAGTGGTACAGGAGTGAGTATAACTATGTCAAACTCTAAAGACTGAAATTGAATTGTATTTCCAGTGAGGGAGAGAACAGTTAGTTAAATTTTTGTATTTAAGGTTTTTAAAAATTTTCTAAACTAATTAAAGGATTTTGCCTTGACTGCAGTCTTATTTAATGAAACTTTGCATTTTTTTTTACATTTCCTTAGATTGACTTAGACTAGTTTTCAGTTTTTTTAATAAGAAGGATTAAAAAGTATTCTTTCGTGTATCAAATGTGTTAATCATGTCAAAAGCTCTTGTTTTACTTAGTTTGAGGATGGAGTACTAAACAGAAACATTACACAAACAAGTTGCCAGTTATTCTCAGATACTGGCTAGTCATGAAGGATGAGGGCAACGGTGAGTGGGGAATGACGAATAGTGATCCTCACTACTGAGGATCAGGTAGTGAAGGATGAGTGGATCCCTGAATTATTTTATGCTTGACTGAATGACTGAATGGATGAACATTTGCTGAGCTAGGTTCTTGAGACAGAAGTATGATAAAGTCATGGCCCCTGCTCTGAGAGTCTACTGGGGGATTATCTAGTTGATTAGAAAATAAGCCAGTTATACTACAGTGTGGTATAACTGTATACCAACCATTATCCAAGCATGGCATAAATGGTTGGTATGCTGTGAAATGGTTGGTATGCTGTGAAAATAGAGAATTGGAAACTGAATGAGACGTTTAGTTGAATTTTTAGGGAAGTTGCTCACTTGGGAAAGAGTATCCCAGGCAGAAGTAGAGAACTTAATTAAACAGCATGGTTTTTGTTGTTTTTGTTTTTGGTTTTGTTTGTTTGTTTGTTTGTTTTTGAGGCAGAATCTCACTTTGTTGCCCAGGCTGAAGGGCAGTGGCACCATCACAGCTCATTGTAGCCTCAACCTCCCAGTCTCAGGTGATCTTCCCACCTCAGCCTCCAGAGTAGCTGAGACCACAGGTGCATGCCACCTTGCCCAGCTAATTTTGTATTTTTTTGTAGAGACATTTTTGTGGAGACATTTTTTTTTTTGGTTTTTTTTTTGGTTTTATCATGTTGCCCAGGCTGAGCATAGATCTTGGAAGTAGGAAGACTACACCCTCTGTATAGTGGAGGAAGGGGAGGAGTGACAGGAAGTGAGCCCAGAGGGATAGGAAGGGGCTAGAATAGGAATGGCCTTTTGTGCTAGGATAAGGAGCTTCATATTATCCTGAAAGCTATCAGGGAACAAGGAAAGATTTTGAGTAGGAAACTTATATGATTAGATTTGCATTTTTAGAAAGGTGAATCTGGCAGCAACTTCAGAAGGGATTAAATGTGGGAACAGTGCTGTTGACAACTAGACAATCTATGAAACTGTTGTAATTAGTAGGTGAGAAGTGATGGTTCTGAATGAAGGCAGGGACAGTTGCAAAGGAAAAAGGGGGAAAATCACCTTCTAAAGTGGAAGTAGAATCTGCCTTAGCTCAGTGACAGGTGGGGTGTAAGTGATGATGGAAAAAAGAAATTGAAGATAATTTGTGGCTTTCTGATTAAGGCCACAGGTGTTTTGTTGTTGTTGTTGTTCTTGTTTCCTTTTTAAATTGAGGTGACATTTAATTTATAAACAACATAAGATTAACCATTTGAACTATATAATTCAATAGTATTTGGTACATCCACAGTGTTGTGTAACTGTCACCTTTATCAAGTCTCAAAACATTTTCATCACCCCAAAAGAAAGTGGCAATTCCCAGTTTGCCTCTGCCCCAGCCCTTGGCACCCACCAATATGCTTTCTGTTTCTATGAATTTACCTATTCTGAATATTTCATATGAATGAAATCATATACTATGTGACCTTGTATGTGGCCTCTTTCACTTAGCACGATTTTTAAGATCATCCATATTATAATACAAATCAGTACTTTATTTATATGGCTGAATGATATTTCATGTATATATTTACCACATTTTGTTTGTTTATCTACTGATGGACATTTGAGGTGTTTTCACCTTTTGGCTATTGTGAAAGCTCCTGTGAACATTAGAACAGGTAGTGTCTTACTACCCATTTTCAATTATTTTGGTAATATCTAAGAGTGGAAGAGTGACTCATAATTCCATGTTTAATTTTTTGAGAAACTGCTATATATATATATAGCACAGCAGCTATACCACTTTACACTCTCACCATTGTATGAGGGATCCAGTTTCTTCTCATCCTCACCAACACTTGTTATTTTCCATATTTTTGATTGTAGCTATCCTAGTGGGTGTGAAGTGGTATCTTGTGGCTTTGTTTTTTGAGACAGAGTCTCACTTTGTTGTCCAGGCTGGAGTGCAGTAGTAGCCTCACACTCCTGGGCTCAAGCGATCCCCCTATCTTTGTCTCCTGAATAGCTGAGACTGCAGGTGTATACCACTATGCCCCACTAATTTATTTTTTATTATTATTACTATTTTTTTGAGACAGAGTCTCGCTTTTGTTGCCCAGGCTGGAATGCAATGGCGTGATCTTGGCTCACTGCAACCTCCACCTCTCGGGTTCCAGTGATTCTCCTGTCTCAACCTCCTGAGTAGCTGGGACTACAGGCGCTTGCCACCACGCCTGGCTAATTTTTTTGTATTTTTAGTAGAGATGGGGTTTCGCAATGTTGGCCAGGCTGGTCTCGAACTCCTGCCCTCAGGTGATCCACCCGCCTCGGCCTCCCAAAGTGCTGGGATTACAGGTGTGAGCCACCACACCCGGCCACCCCACTGATTTTTTTAAAAAAGTTTTGTGGAGACAGGGTCTCCCTATGTTGTCCAGGCTAGTCTCAAACTCCTGGCCTAAGCAATAGCCTCCCAAAGTGCTGGGATTATGGGCGTGAGCCACTACACTGGCCTCTTGTGGCTTTGATTTCCATTTCCCTAATGGCTAGTGATGAGCATCTTTCATGTGCTTGTCAGCCATTTGTATATCTTCTTAATTCCACTCCCAGGTGTATACCCAAAAGGTCTTTTCAAATTCTTTGCACATTTTTTAATTGAGTTGTGTTTTTGTTGAGTTGTAAGAGTTCTTTATGTATTCTAGATACAAGTCTCTTATACAATTCACAAATATTTTCTCCCATTCTGTAGGTTATCTTTCATTTTGATGTACAAAAGGTTTAATTTTGATGAAGTTCAATTTATCTATTCTTTTTTGCTTATATGTTTGGTATTATATCTGTCTATTGTCAAGTCCAAGGTTATGAATATACACTCTATGTTTTGCTCTAAGAATTTTATAGTTTTAACTGTTACATTTAGTTCATTGGTATATTTTGAGTTGTATATGTTAAGGTGTCCAACTTAATTTTTTTGCATATGGATATCCAGTTGTGCCAGCACCATTTATTAAAACAGATTATTCTTTCTCCTTTGGATGGTCTTGACACCCTTTTCTGAAATCAGTTGGTTGTAGATGTAGGTGTTTATATCTAGATTCTCAGTTTTATTCCACTGGCCTGTTTTTTTTTATGTTGTTGCTACAAATTACTTCTTTTACGTGGTGTCACTGTCAACAGATTTATGATTATTGTTTTATGTAGATGTCTTTTAGTTCATAAGGGTAAAAAAAGAAGAGTTGCAAATTAAGAAGTAAAATAGTACTGACTTTCATATTTATCTATACAGTTACCTTTACCAGTATTCTTTATTTCTTTGTATGGCTTTGTGTTATTATCTAGCATCCTTTCATTTCCACCTGAAGGACTTCTTTAGCATCACTTGTAGGGCAGGTCTACTAGGGAGAATGTCTTAATTTCTCTCTCATTTTTAAAAGATAGTTTTGTCAGATATAGAATTACCGTTAGACTGTTTTTTTTTTTTTTTTCCTTAGCATTTTAAATATGTCACCCTGCTGCTTTCTGGCTTACATACAGTTTCTGCTGAGAAATTGGCTTATCAAATTTGGGAAGTTTTTGGCCATTATTTCTTCAAATAATTCTTTCCTTTTCTGTCTATTCTTTCCTTCTGGAACTCTCATTATGTGTTGAGAGTGCTTGATGTTACCTCACAGGTCTTTTGGCCTCCATTCATTTTTCTTCATTCTTTCTGCTCCTCTAGTTTGATAATTTCAATTGGCCTATTTTCAGTTTCACTGTTTCTTTCTTCTGCCTACTCAGATCTGCTCTTAAACCTCCCTAGTGCAATTTTCATTTCAGTTATTGTATTTATCAATTCTAGAATTTCTCTTTGGTTCCTTTTTATACTTTCTGTCTTGTTACTGATATTCTGTATTTGTTGAGACATAATTCTCCTGGTTTCCTTTAGTTCCTTGTCCATGTTTCCTTTAAGCTCTTTGAGCATACTTAAGAAATCTGATTTAAAGTCTTTGTCTAGTAAGTCCAATGTCAGGAACAGTTTCTGTTAATTTCTTCCATGATGGGTCATATTTTCTTTTTTCTTTGCATGCTTTGTAAGTTTTTGAAAACTGGACATTTTATTATTGTAATGTGTGATAATGCTGGAATTCAGATTCTTCCCCTTCCTCAGATCCTCAGAGTTTGTTTTTGTTGCTTGTGTGGGTTGTAATTGTTTGGTGACTTTCTTTTTATTTTTTATTTTTTTTGAGATGGGGTCTCGCTGTGTTGCCCAGGCCGAAATGCAGTGGCACAATTATGGCTCAGTGCAGCCTTGACCTCCCAGGCTCAAGCAGTACTCCTGCTTCAGCCTCTTAAGTATCTGGGACCACAGGTATGTGCTACCATGCTTGGCTAATCTTTTTTTTTTTTTTTTTTTTTTTTTTTTTTTGATACGGAGTCTTGGTCTGTCACCCAGGCTGGAGTGCCGTGGTGTGATCTCGGCTCACTGCAACCTCCACCTCTTGGGTTCAAGCGATTCTCCTGCCTCAGCCTCCCAAGTACCTGGGATTACACGTGCACACCACTACGCCTGGCTAATTTTTGTATTTTTAGTAGAGACAGGGTTTCAACATGTTGGCCAGGCTAGTCTCAAACTCCTGACCTCAAGTGATCCGCCTGCCTTGGCTTCCCAAAGTGCTGGGATTAGAGGTGTGAGCCACCATGCCTGACCATGCTTGGCTAATTTTTAAATTGTTTGTAGAGATGATGTCGTGCTGTGTTGCCCAGGCTGGTCTTGAACTCCTGGACGTAAGCAATCTTCCCTCCTCACCCTCCCAAAGTGCTGGGATTACAGGCATGAGCCACTGCACCTGGCCAACTTTTGTAAGCTATTTTTGTAAAGACTGTACCTTTGTCATGTATGATGTCTGAAGTGTCTGTTTGTTAGCTTGTGGTTAGCAATTGTTTTGACAGATGGCCTTGAATACCTGGAGCCTCACCACCCACCTCACCACTACTTCCAAAATAAAAATAAATAAACAACAAAATGTATTCTTCTAAAATTTGCTGATTGGCTCTGCACTGGGGCACTTTTTCAAAGCTTAGACAGGTTATTTACAGTCCTCTCATAGCCTGCTTGAACTGAGCCTAAAGATCAGCAAGATGTGAAAGTTTGGGGTCTTCTCAGGTCTTTTCTGAATATGCATCCTACCACGGGCATGCATATGGCTTTCTAAATTCCCCAGTAACACATGGCAGCTTTTCAATGCACTAAATCTCCAAAGAATCTTTCTTCCCAGGCTGCAGCATATCTTTTGTGTGCCTTAACAGTAATCTTTTGCTTCAGGTGACGGTGGTTTGTTCATTTGCCTTTCAATGTTTTCAAAGAATGCCCTCTGTATAGCCACTTTTCTGCCTTGAGAAAGTCTTGAGTTAGGTGAAAGTAAGGCAAGTGTCTTTTGTCAGGCCTGAAGGTTGTCCCCAGATAAGTCAAAACAGACAAACACAGTTCTTTGAAAATAAGATCTGCTCTGCCTTCTGTAGAACTGGAGTCCCACGCTGGAAATGTGGGCTGCCATTGTCAAGATTGTCACTAAATCAGGGAGGGCATTGGGGCAAGGGCAAGTAAAAATGCCACCAAAATTTCATGTTTCCTCTGTCTTGAGCCACTATTTACTTAGTTGCTGTAAACCTTTGACTATTTTCCAGCGTTCAGATGAAGTTAATTCTGATAGTTTCTTCTCATTTTTTTGTTTGTGTGTTTTTCTGGAGGGAAGGGCCATTGGTACTCTGCTGTCTTTGCTGACATTACTCCCGTGGGTGATTTTTTTGAAGAATAAATTTGATAGAAGAGTTTCTGAGCTAGAGAGAGAGGGATTTGAGTTAGCAGATGCCAAGAGCTACAAGGGAGGTATATCTCTTGAGCAGTTTTCAAGGGAAATATTAGAACTCATATTTATGTATTTTAAGAAGTTTTTTTTGTCATTTGTTATGGGATTCATGTAAAAGAAATACATAACTTTTAAGTAAATTATTAGGAAAAAAAACCCCTGTGAATCTAATACCAAACTTAAAGCTAACACATCATAGTAACTTTGAAACGATATTGTATTCCTCCCAGCCCCATCCTCCACCATTCCTCCAGAGATAAGTACTAGAGTGATTTTTTTTTGTTTGGAGGGGGGAGCTTATATTTCTGCGTTTTAAAACAAAGCAGACTCCAAAGCAGCTTACCTAGATATGTACATATCCCTAAACAATGTGTTGCTTAGTTTTGTCTTATGCTTTATATGGAATCCTGTACAGAGTCTTGTCTGTTTTACATTTTTCACTCAGTATTGATCTAAGAGTGTCAATGTCGTGTATAGCTGTACAGATGGTCTCTAACTTACTATGGTTCAATTCAAGATTTTCCAACTTTACAATGGTGCAAAAGCGATACACATTCAGTAAAAACTGTACAGCCATTCTGTTTTTTCACTTTGAGTATTCAATAAATTACATGAGATATTCAACACTGTTATAAAATAGGTTTTGTGTTAGATGATTTTGCCCAATTGTAGGCTAATGTAAATGTTCTGAGCACATTTAAGGTAGGCTAGGCTAAGCTATGATGTTCAGTAAGCTAGCTATTTAACTGTATTTTTGACTGACAGTATTTTTAACATATGATGGGTTTATAAGAATGTAACCCCATTGTAGATTAAGGAGCATCTGTATGTTGTTCATTTCATGAATGAATGAAACTTAGACGTGAATGTACCACAATTGATCTGCTCTCTACTTGATGGGCATTTAGGGTTGTTTCCAGTTTTTATGTTTTGTGAAGATGAACAATGCTAGTATGAACATTTTTATGTGTGTGCTTAAGAAGATATGTATAGTGTTTCCACTGAAATGAAATAACTGAATCACGGAAGATATACATGTTCAGCTTTACAAGATGATATCGCATTGTTTTCTACAATGATTGTTCCACTTTGCTTTCCTACCATCAATACATAAAAAACCCCACTGATTATTGTTTTCCTAACATTTGATATTGTCGGGCTGCTTCAATTTTGCTGATATAATGCTTGTAAATATTAGTTCATTGTGGTTTTAATTTCAAGCTAAGCATGTTATTTATATCTGTTAAACTGTTCATATTTCCTTTTCCGTAAATTCATTTTCTCAATTTTCTATTGGATTTTTTTGGATTGTACTTATTTACGGAAGCTCTTTATGTATTCTGGATACTAATCTTTTCTTTTTTCTTTTTTTTTTTTTTTTGAGACGGAGTCTCGCTTTGCCTCCCAGGCTGGAGTGCAGTGGCGCGATCTCGGCTCACTGCAAGCGCCGCCTGCCGGGTTCATGCCGTTCTCCTGCCTCAGCTTCCCGAGTAGCTGGGACTACAGGTGCCTACCACTACGTCCAGCTAATTTTTTTGTATTTTTAATAGAGACAGGGTTTCACCATGTTAGCCAGGATGGTCTCGATCTCCTGACCTTGTGATCCACCCGCCTTGGCCTCCCAAAGTGCTGGGATTACAGGCGTGAGCCACTGCGCCCGGCCTCTGGATACTAATCTTCAGGTTACATATATTGTCGACATTATTGCCTCATTTGTGGTATGCCTTTTCACATTCTCTGTGATGTCCTTTGTTAGTTTTGTTTTTTTGAGACGGAGTCTTGCTCTGTCGCCCAGGCTGGAGTGCAGTGGCACCATCTTGGCTCACTGCAACCTCTGCCTCCTGAGTTCAAATGATTCTTCGTGCCTCAGCCTCCCAAGTGGCTGGGACCACAGGCATGTGCCACCAGGCCTGGCTAATTGTGATATCCTTTGAACAGAAGTTCTTAACTTTAATGTAGTCAAATTTATGAATATATACATATATATGTATATATATTTTTTTTAATGAGACGGAGTTTCATTTTTTTTAATGAGACGGAGTTTCACTCCAGCCTTGTTGCCCAGGCTGGAGTGCAGTGGCGTAATCTTGGCTCACCGCAACCTCCACCTCCCAGGTTCAAGTGATTCTCCTGCCTCAGCCTCCCGAGTAGCTGGGATTACAGGCATGCACCACCATGCCTGGCTAATTTTGTATTTTTAGTAGAGACGGGGTTTCTCCATATTGGTCAGGCTGGTCTCGAACTCCCGACCTCAGATGATCTGCCCGCCTCGGTCTCTCAGAGTGCTGGGATTACAGGCGTGAACTACTATGCCCAGCCTATATATTCTTTATAGTTAGCAATTCTTGGGTTTAAGACATCTTTTATTACCTCAATGTCATCAAGAGAGTTTCCTATAATTTCTTCTAAAATATTGATTTTTTTGGTTGAACATTTATATCTTTAATTATTCAGAATTATTTTTAAAAATTGAAATATAGCATACAGAGAGGAAAATGTACAAATCATATCACTTGATGAATTATTACAAAGTAATGGGTATGTAACCTCCATCTACATGAAAAAAAAAAAAAAAACTTAGCATTCTCTCAAATGACCTGCTAAGTACTATTCTTCTCCCTAGCGATACCTCCTCTACAGACCTCTAACACTATCAGTTAGTTTTGGCCATTTTGAAATTTATATAAATGAAATTATATACTATATATTCTTTTGTTTCTTATCTTCCGTGTTCAATACTATGTGAGATTCATTCATGTTGAGCTTAATAGAAGTTTGTTCATTTTCATAGATATATACTATTTGTACAAGTATGCCACATTTTATTTCTCTATTCTGTTGATAGATATTTGGGTTTTTTCCATCTGGGGGCTAGTACACCTTTGCATCTCTGTTGGGGATATTTGTAGGAATGGAACTGCTGGTAGGTTTGTGTATGTTCGTCTTGAGTAGATACTGCCACATTTCCAAAGTGGTTGTACCTGTTTTCACTCCTAGCTGTGTCTGTGAATGTTCCAGCTGTTCCACATTCCATCCATCTCTTAGGTTTAACCCCTGTCAGTCTTTGAAATTTTGGCCATCTTGGTGGTGTGTAGTGGTACCTCATTGTGGTTTTAAATTGCATTTCCCTTATTGCTGTTGAGATTGAGCATAGATCTATCAATAGGCAGACAGACTATTTGGATATATTATTTTATAAAATGCCTGTTAAAGTCTCTTGCCTATTTTTCTTTTTTATTTATGTAATTTATTTTTATTTTTTAAAATTCTTTATAGAGATGAGGTCTTGCTATGTTGCCCAGGCTGGTCTGGAATTCCTGGCCTGAAACAATCCTCCCACCTCGGCCTCCCAAAGTGCTGGAATTATAGGCATGAGCCAGTGTTCTCAGCCTTGCCTATTTTTCTAGTGGTTTATTTGTCTTTTTTTTTTATTATTGATTTTAGGACTTGTCTTAATATTTATAAAATGAGCTCTTTGATGTTTAACAAATATCTCTTCTCTCCATGTGACTTAAATTTTTGTTCTCTTATTGATGTCTTTTAATAATCATAAATTCCTAATTTTGATGTAGTTTACTTTGTTCAGCTTTTCCTTTATAGTTAATGTTTTTGTATCCTGTTTAAAAAATCTTTGCCTATTCCCAAAATATTCTCCTATTTATCTTCTAGGAACAGTTTTACCTTTCACAGTTAGAGCTATAATTCTTCTGATTTTTTTTTTTTTTTTTGCATGAAATGAGGTAAGGCTCAAAAGTAATTTTTTCCCCATGTGGATACCTAATTGACTCAGCACCAATATTTGAAAAGACTTTCTCTTTTTTTGCAGTGCTGCTTTTGTCATAAATCCATATATTTAGGGTTAATTTCATTTCTGCAATCTATTCTTTTAATGGAATATTGCTTTGCTGAAAAGTTTTGGTATCTGGGAAGGTCTCTTCACTTTCTTCTTCTTTAAGATGCCATGGCTATTGTGGGGTCTTCCATACAAATTTTATGGTTCCTCATAAAACTCTTTTGGGATTTTGGTGAATACCATTGGATTTAAGAATACTGCTGAATCTACAGATGAATTTGGGGATTTTCGATATTGAATTTCTCTGTTTATTTCAGTCTCTTTAATATAGTTCAATAAAATTCTGTGTATCCTTTGTTAAATTCTAGGTGTTTTATATTTTTGTTTCTTTTGTCAATGGTATCTTTTTGAAAATTACATTTTCTAAGTGTTGATATATGCAGAATGCAATTAGCCATTTTGCTAAACCTTCTTATTGATTCTAACAGATTCTTTATATATTATTTTGTTTTTCTGTGTAGATAACCATAGCATCTGAGAATAATGACAGCTTTGTTTTTTCTTTTCCAATATTGGTTCGTTCTGTTCTTTTTTCTTGTTTTACTAACTGATTAGGATAGCACTATCCAATGGAAATGCAACGTTAGCCTTATGCGTAATTTAAAAATGGCTGGTAGTCACAGTGGAAAAAAAGCAAAAAACAGGTGAAGTTAGTTTTAATAATTTGCTTTATTTTATTTAACTCAAAATTGTCATTTCAATATGTAATCATTATAAAATTAATGAGATATTTTACTTTTGGGGGGGTACTAAATCTTAAAAAGCTGGTGTGTATTTTGCACTTACAGCACATCTCAGTTTGGACTAGCTGTATTTCCAGGCCTCATAGCTGTGTGTGTATGGCTAGTAGCTATTGTATTAGACAATGCAGGACTTCAGTTACCAGTAGAGTGCTGATACTGCACGTACTTGTTACTCATTTTGAAACAAATACTTCTGACATTTGACCATTAAGAAGGATGTGTTCTGTAGATTTTGGTAGATATCTTTTATGTTATTAAAGAAGTTTCTTTTTTTTTCTTTTGAGACAGAGTCTTGATCTGTTGCCCAGGCTGGAGTGCAGTGGTATGATCTCAACTCACTGCAACCTCCACCTCCCAAGCTCAAGCAACTCTCATGCCTTAGCCTCCCAAATAACTGGGATTACAGGCGTGCACCACCACGCCCAGCTAATTTTTGTATTTTTAGTAGAGTGGGGGTATTGCCACGTTGGCCAGGGCTGGTCTCAAACTCCTGGCCTGAAGTGATCCGCCTGCCTTGGCCTCCCAAAGTGCTGGGATTACAGGTGTGAGCTAATGCGACTAGCCAAGAAGTGTTTTTGTACTTTTAGTGTACTGTGTTTTCTTCTTAACAAGAAATTTATTTATCTTTTTTTTTTAACCTCTTGAAGTGATCTTTCTTGATTTTCTAATGGTAAGCTACTCTTGTATTGCTGGGATAAACTCAGTTTGGTCCTGATACCTCTTTATTCACTACTAGATTTGTTTTAATTTTGTTTTTAAGAATTTTTACATTGTTCATAAAAGGAATGGCTGGTAATTTCTTTTTCTTTTCTTTTTTTTTTTTTTTTTTTTTTTTTTTTTGAGATGGAGTCTTGCTCTGTTGCCCAGGCTGGAGTGCAGTGGCACGATCGCGGCTCACTGCAACCTCCACCTCCCAGGTTCAAGTGATTCTCCTGCCTTAGCCTCCCCAGTAGCTGGGGTTACAGGTGTGCATCACCACGCCCAGCTAATTTTTGTATTTTTAGTAGAGACAGGGTTTTGCCATGTTGGACAGGCTGGTCTTGAACTCCTGACCTCAGGTGATCCACCTGCCTTGGCCTCCCAAAGTGCTGGGATTACAGGCGTGAGCCACCACACCTGGCCAGTAATTTCTTTTTTTAACTATGCTTTTCTGATTTTGGTTTAAAGGTTTTACTAGCCTCTTAAAATAAGCTGGAGAGTAAATAATTTTATATATATGTAAAATCTCTAGAAAAGTTTTTATACAAGAGTTTCATCTTCTGTTACTTGGCAGTTTGGTAGATGGTAGAAACTTTGCATTTAAAACCTTATAGGTATTTTTTTTTTACATTTCCTAAGTTTATAATCCTCTACCTTATTGTAAGCATTTACAATAATATAAGCATTTAAGCTATACAATTCCTTCTGACTACTTCATAGCATATTTTAGAAATCTGCATTTCTTTTTCATTCTAAGTGTCTTAAGTTTCTATTAAGATTTATTTTTTGATCCACATATTATTTAAAGTGTTTTGAAATTATCCAGTGTGGGTGCTTTTATGCTTTGTCATTTTGTTAGTGAATTACACATTAATTAATTGCATAGTGTTCAGCAAACGTGGTTGTATGAACTGATTCTTTTAAATGTATTTGGTCTTGCTGTATGGTTTAGCACATCAACAGTTTATATAGATTGTCCATGTATGCCTGTAATTCTTTAATTTTGAGGCTGAGGATTCTCTATGTGTCCATTCAGTCAAGTTTTTAAATTGCTTTAATTAGATCTTTAGTATCTTAACTAATTTTATCTGCTAGACCTAACAGTAATATAGAGATTATTTGATACTTCCTTAGAGTTCTAGCAAATTTTTCTTTGTCTGTTTATCTATATTCAGTGCATGTAAGTTTAGAATTCTTATATCTTCCTGGTGCATTGAAGCCTGTTATGTCACGATTCTCTTTAACCCTAATGATGCATTTTGCTTAGATTTATTTTGTCTTATTTAACAAGGTTATTCCACCTTTCTTTGGTTAATATTGCCAGTGGTATCTTTTTCTACTTCCACTTTTCATCTTTTAGCATTTGCATGCCCTTATATTTTAGTGTGTTTCTTGTAAATATCATATAGTGGATTGTTTTTTTGTGGGGGTGACATTTAAAATCTTTGGTGAGTCTTGTCTGTTTATATTTATTGTGATTATGGATCTGAATTTCTTTATTCCATCCCTGTTCTTCTGTTTGTCCTGCTTTTTCTATGCTTTGCCCTCCATTCTTGCCTTATTTTTTTAGATTAAGATTTTTGCTTTGGATTATTTACATTTTCTTTTTCGCCTTTTCTGGTTGGGGAGCTATGTATTAATGTTCCTTTAGTTTATACTTTTGTCTAATCCATCTAACAAAATCTAAAATTATTCCATATTTAAAAACCCATCCCCCTTGAAAAAATACAGAAGCCTTACAACAGTTTAACACTAATTACCCTAACCTTCCCCTACTACCTACAATTTATTTGATACTCTTATCCATAATTTTAACTTTAAATAATTCTACAAATTTGACAGTATTTTATATAGGTAATGTTTGTTTAGATTGGCCCACAGGTTTACCAGTTTCTTTGCCTACTGTTCTTTCTTGTAACTCAGACCTTTCTAATGGAGTATTTTTCTTCTTCCTAAATAATATTTTTTGTGAATTCCTTTAGTGAATGTCAAATGGTGGTAAACTTTTATGCTTATCTGAAAAATGCCTTTATTTTATTCTAGTTCTACAAATATCTGAGTACCCATTTCCAGGTTATTCTAGGCATCTGTTCTCTCTGAACTAGTAGGACATTTTTGAAATGTCTTTCTAATTAGAAAGGTAATCTAGAGGTCTAATATTTGTTATGTATGGGATTAATTTAAAAATCTTACTAAAAACACTTTTAATAACCTTGTACAAAGTTTGTGTTATACTGAAAGAATTGCTATACAATTAAAGACTGAAATATGACTAAAAGAACTTTCCATATATATATCTTGGTGATTGCTTTTAGATTCATAGCTGGAGTCACTATTTATAGGGCCTATTGCTTATGGCTTTGAGTTTCATTTACTTATACTAAGCACTCATTTTTCAGAAAACTTGTACTTTATTAGTTCTTGGTGATGGGGGGCAGCATGCATTCTATTCTTTAAAACTCTTATTTTCTAACTATTGTCTTGATTGGAGTCAGCTTAAGTGGATATGTACTATTATTGCTGCCTGCTCCTTATTGCTTCTATAATATGGTAAAAGAAAGAGGATGGACTCCAATATTTATTGACTCTTTATGTACTACTCATCTTACATACTCTACATATCTATTCTTTTTCAGTTCTCACTACATATAATCCCACTTTACTTTCATTTTGTAAATGAGGAAATCGAATTTGAAAGTTAAGTGACTTCCTGAGTTATAGTATACAAGTGTTGGGACTAGGAGTCAAAACACAGATGCTCATGTATTTTCTACAATTCCAGTGTTATCAGTTAAAATATCTTCTGGTAATCAGTCCTTTATATGCAGCCCAGTAAGCAGAAGGGATACCCACCTGTGTGGCTTGAGGTTCGATGTGGGAAAGAGCCCATCAGCTAATGATACTGCTGTACTATTATTCTGTGGTGCTGCATATGTACTATTATTCTGTGGTGTGGCCTATACTTAGATTTACTTCTAGGGTTTGCGTTGGGCCATAAATTGTTAAATATGTTTATCATGAATATTAGTTGTACCTTTAACAATTTCCATCATTTCCTGCCTTCTCCAACCGCATCTCCCATTCTAGACTAACATGATAATAATACACAGCTATGCATTTTTCCGCTTCCAGACTAATTAAAGTAACGTATGTTTCTGTGCTCACATTCAGAGACATTATTTACCTCTGAATTGAGAAGCACTATTATTTATAAAGTATATAGGATGGGCTAGTATGGGAAGGGAGGAAGGACTGTGTTCCCTTGCTTGTCAACAAGAAATTAGTATATTCTTCATAGCCTTAAAGGGTTTTACAGTAAGAAATGGAAATCTTGTTACTGTAGAGACTAGAGATTTTTGAGGGATTTTTTTTAGCATTCCCATAGTTGAACTGTAGGCATAATTTCAAACTCTTAGGCTACTCAAACCTCAAAACGTTCAGATACTATTTGTTTTGAGGGTTTTTTAAAACCTGTTCCTACTTTTTTCAGTTTCAAACTTTGTGATAGTATGTATGTCTGTTTTATTTGTTAGCAAATTTTGTAGCTTTTTAATCTATGTTTAAGTAATGCTTTTAAAAAGGGCCAAGATTCGTGTATAAGATACCTATGTGTTCAGCTTAAGCAAAATTAGGTTAGAAATGAAATTATATGAATCAAATTGTACCTAATTTAAGAGCCCTGGTTGCATTCATAAAAATAATCTAGAAGGCTAAATGGACCATTTTTTAATGAAAAGGATACGTTGTATTAGCGCCATCTACTGTTAGGTCAGAATAATTACTTCTTGGTGTACGTTTGGATTTTTCCCAATGGCATATTCCAAGTCCAGCATCTTTCTGCATGTCCTTTAACTTAATTGACCAGTCTGTAGAATGTGGGCGTTTTAAGCTATTCAAATAATATCCTGTCTATGTTCAGGGTCAGCCAATTTTTGTAGATCTTGTTTCATAATTCTTTTTTTTTTTTTTTTTGAGACGGAGTCTCGCTCTGTCGCCCAGGCTGGAGTGCAGTGGCGCGATCTCCGCTCACTGCAAGCTCCGCCTCCCGGGTTCACGCCATTCTCCTGCCTCAGCCTATTGCTGGGACTACAGGCGCCTGCTACCACGCCCGGCTAATTTTTTTATTTATTTTTTGTATTTGTAGTAGAGACGGCGTTTCACTGTGTTAGCCAGGATGGTCTCGATCTCCTGACCTCATGATCCGTCTGCCTCGGCCTCCCAACATGCTGGGATTACAGGCTTGAGCCACCGCACCCGGCCCATAATTCTTGTTAAAGTAGCAATGGCAAATTTCCTACAATTTTCTTGATAGTTCATGATTTTAAAATAAAGCTAGCTGATTGTGCTAGCTTTCTACAAAGCATCCTTGTTTTAAAATTTGCTAATTGATAATTGTTATAAAGACTGGGATATTAAAATTGAACATCCAATTTGTAGCTGAAAGACTGTCTAGAGAAAGCTGTATCTCAATATGTTGCTTGTTAATTCACTGAATGTCTAACTCTGCATCGTACATTATTAAGTGTATTCGTAATTTAGGGGAAAACCTATATCTAAATAATGTAGTTACTTTTTTAAAATTTCTTAATGTAAAGAATATTACAAAAATAGCTTTATATAATGTACTGATTAGGAATATAAGCTTTAAAGTTAGATTCTCTGAGTTTAAATACCGGCTTTAGCACTTGTTGCATTTATGATCTTGGGATAATTGTGAAGCATAAATATCTTTCTAAAGCACTTGGAATAACATCTGGCATATTAGTAAGCACTCAATAAATGTTAGTTGCTATCATTAATATTTTAATCAATGTTTACATATCCAAAGTAAACATAATGTTTCAATAACTATATTTTTATCTTAGTAACTAATAACTTTTTTGGTAATGAAACCTATAATATTTGACATAAAATATGTAACTTAAGAATATAAATGTTCAAAATGTTTACTGTTTGTTTCTGCATATCATTTAGAGTAAAGGGTAGTATGGTAGAGCAGAAACAACAAAGTTGAGTCTTCAGTCTCAGCTCTGTCAGTTACTAGCAGTGTAACTTGAGGTTATTTAACCTCTCTACTGAGTTTTTTGTTTTGTTTTGTTTTGAGATGGAGTCTCACTCTGTTGCCCAGGCTGGAGTGCAGTGGCGTGATCTCGGCTCACTGCAGCCCCTGCCTCCCAGGTTCAAGCGATCCTCTGGCCTCAGCTTCCTGAGGTACTGGGATTACAGGTGTGTGCCACCATGCCTGGCTAATTTTTTTTTGTATTTTTAGTAGAGATGGGGTTTTGCCATGTGGGCCAGACTGGTCTCGAACTCCTGACCTCAGGTGATCCACTTGCCTCAGCCTCCCGAAGTGCCTGGATTACAGGCGTGAGCCACTGCACCTGGCTAACCTCTCTAAAGCTCAATCTCTTCACCTGAAAATGAGTTGTTTTGAGGATTAAATTATATAATGTATGTATAAAGTCATTCTTGGCACTTAGTAGACTAACAGCATAGATGTCAATTCTTTTATAACATACTGCAAATTTACTAACATGCACGTGTTTCCATAATTTTGCTTTATATTACTTATATGAAAATAAAAATATATTAAGCACCCTTTATATTTGAAAAGCTGATGGAGTTTGAGAAGGAACAAAGAAATTGTGACATCTTAAGAAGTATAATTGAGGATGGAATAGAAACGTGAAGAGTTTTAACTGGGAATAATGGTTCAGTCAGTAATATTTGTATGTGATTGCTAAATATACAGAATTTTTTTTAATTCAAAGGAGGAATACTTTCTACATTGGACCTAGATTGCATGTCCCCCACCGACTTTGTTATTATTGCTATAATTTTTTGGTAGTATGGCCCATTGCACATTCTAGGAGGACATAAAGAGGATGAAATCCACTTGTGGATTATTAGAAGTATTTGTTGATTTCATGTTATCTGCCAGCATCATGGACCACGACTGTAGATATATCCAGCCTTCAGGGTGGGTGGAGTTAGGTGGGCTCTGTTGGTAAATGATCAGCACCGAGTATTGTTCCTGAGCATAGTAGATGCTTGTAAATATTTGAATGAACAAATGAAAGTGTCTGTATCACAGTTATTACACTGACTGAGGCTAGTGTTCTCATCACACGCTAATTTAAATTTCTATGTCAAATGGTAAATAGCTCATTCCTTCCTGTGTTCTCTGGGACTTTGCTTTATCAGGATATATCATCTCTTGTTTAATCTTTTCCACTTTATTGACAACCTAAGTGAACCAGAACCACCCACCCCTCACCAGTTACCTGTCTTCCTCATTTTACCCATTCATCTACACTGCTGTGGTGTGGCTGTTCCTTTTTCCTTACCACCTCCCACCCCAAGCTTTTTCTGCAGATGTCACCAATGACTTCCTAACTGCGAAGTCTCAAGCCCCGAGGATCCCATTTCCATCCTTCTTGTCTCATTTGATCTCTCTGTATCTTTGGCATTGCTGCCTGTTACTTCCTGAAGTTCTCCTCTGTTGGCTCCAGTGCACCAGTCTCTTCTGGTTCTCCTTCTGTCTCTTGGCCTTCTCCTTTTCAGTCTCATTTACTATTTGTTTGGCTTCTCTCCCCAGCTCTCTTAAACGTTGGTGTTTCCCTAGGTTCTGTTGCTTGGCCTCCCTTCTTTTTATAGTAGGTTTTCTTTGTACTCCAGCGACCCAATTTATCTGTGGAACCCAATTCAGCCGCTCATAACACAAGGGGAAGAGGGTGTAGGCAGCAGCCCCCCATAATCTCTATGACCTGTTACACATGAAAGCTTCACTGAGTAAGCATACAATCTATGTAAAACAACCAAAAAACAAACATTTATGTAAAAGGAGTGTGGTTAGTATGGAAACTTGGCCTCAAGAAGTGTCTCCTAACCCCTGTCCCTGGACTCCTTTGTAGAAATTCTAGAGTTGTCTGGAGTGTCTTCAATTTCCCTGTGAACATATCTACTTGGATGTCTCCTCCAAACAGCCTCTTATTTATTCCTGTTTTCACATAATCCACCCCTCCTGTATTCTCTCACAGCTACTAGTACCAACATGTACTCTACCTTAAGCCCAAACCCTGCATCATCCTAAATTCTACTTTATTCTCAACAGCTGGTCCTGGGATCGCTGCTGCCTTCATCTCTCATCTGTGAGAGAATTTCCTATATTATAATTATTTGATTCATGTCTATTTCTTTCATTAGAATCTTTATGTCCCAGGCACCTACAATTTTTATAGTATTAAGTGTTCAACTAATACTTTTATATGTAAAAATGAATTTATCAGCAATCACTAATTCCCAAGGAATTAATAGCATTACCCTGTTGTCTTAAAAAAATGCCAAAACCATAAGAAAATTGATTTTCCAATCTTAATTTTTTAATGTTAATGAATGTTAAATTCATGCTATATTAAAATGAAATACTTTTAAGATCTTTGTCTTTTACAGTTGCTCAATTTAAAGGAAAGTTTTTTCAGGTGCTGTTGATAACATTTTGGAACTTGTACACATCTTATACATTCAATTTAAAAAAAAGATCCAAACTTATCAGTCTTGTTATTAACACTATTTTTCAAATTTAATATTTCTCAGTATTTATTCATTGAATGCTCTCAAATGGTGGCTTAATAGTTTCATGTTTGTTAAATACAGAGCTGTGTCTTCCATCTGCTATTTTTGAAATAAAATTTTCATACAGCAGTCCTTGATAGGGCCAGCCTAGAATCATAGACTTTTTCCATTTTAGTCCTAAATAAATAATAGGATGGCATGCTGTAGATTCTGAATAGTAACAACTTATTTACCTGATTTTTCATTGGTTTGAGTATTTGATACACAGAAATTGAAGCTTAAACTTTTATCTAATCTTGTTTTAACCTTCTGAGAAGACTGTGTGTCCTTAGTGACTCAGATTTAGCATACAGGTGATGAGTTGTCTCATTTGGTGGCCAGTACTTACTTTTTGTCTTATTAGGTTGAAAGCTATCTCTTCTTGAGAATGCTGGTGTATGTGGCTGGTAACAGCTTGCCATTTTTGTTTAGTTGCTTTTACTTTCCTGAAACCCAGGAAGCCAGATAATTAAGTTTTAAGGATTATACGATATACAAGTCAATAATTTTCTAACAAGATCTTAAAAGCACAGTATATTGCTTTGGTACAGTGGCTTTATGAGAGCTTTTTGAACTGTTTAGAGTAGGGGTGTCCAATCTTTTGGTTTCCCTGGGCCACGCTGGAAGAAGAATTGTCTTGGGCCGCACGTAAAATACACTAACACTAATGATAGCTGGTGAGCTAAAAAAAAAAAAAAAAAAATCACAGAAAGATCTCATACTGTTTTAAGAAAGTTCACGAGTTAGGCCGCATTCAAAGCTGTCCTGGGCCATGCCCGTGGGTTGGGCAAGCTTGGTGTAGAGGTTGGTTTTCATTCTTCAAGTTTCTAGACTGTGTGCTAAAGGTTAGGGTTGCTGATTCTAGATACACAGATGCATTTTCCATTCATAGATAACCTAGTTCTGGTGTTTTTTAGTATCAGTCACTCTTGTGTAGTTTATTTCATTGGATCTGCTCCTAGGGCCATCTAGGACCAAGTAAGAGGGCTTAATATTTTTTATTCAGTAATATTCAGAGACCTATAATCTTTGATGATACAGGATAGAGAGCCTGACTGAAAAGCTACACACATACACAAACACACACGTAAACATACACACATACATAAATACACACACACACACACACACTACCTGTGTGTTTGTTTATATATCAGACATAGCAAAAATTCATTAATCTCGTTTCTTTTGGTTCACTGCCAGAAATCCCTACCTAGTGCTGTTTGACAATTAGTGTCCATGTCTGCATACTGGGCTCTCTTGCTGGGTGGCGTCCATAGTAGGAAAACTAGATACCGTGGTAGAGTGTGGTAAACAAACTAATCATGAGTTTTCCATAAATAGTTTGATGGTGGCTTATGTTTTGGAATGTGGTGTAAATTTACTATCATTGGCTCATTTTAATTATGTAAAGAATTGCTATGCATGAAAAATGTGAAAAAATTCAAATACCCCATTATTTTACCCTTCCCCCCCAGATTTTGAGCTTCCTATTTATTTTATTCTTTGTAGAGACAATAAAGCATATACACTCTGGCATCAGACTGCCAGGTTCCAAGCCTGACAAAAAATTATTAATTTATGCCTATGAACTTGGGCATGTTATTTAGTCTTTCTGTGTCTCAGTTTTTCTGCCTATAAAATGGTAAAACAAAGTTAGAGTTATCATGAGGATTACATGAGGTAATATACGTATAAAGTACTTAGTGTGTGGAGTTCAATATTAGTAATATTATTCTACATGTATTTTTTCTGTATAAAACATACAGAAATGTAAGTAAATTTTAAATGTGAGTAAATTTTAATATTTCTTGTAACTTAAGGCTTGCAGAATTTTCTGGCATCTCTAAGAGAATGTTGTGATTTAACTGTTTAAGTAATTTAAAAATAGTTCTGCTTTTAAATTTTCTCCTAGTTTTCCCAAGGAATCTATAGACATTATTTTACTTATTATTATTATTATACTTATTATTTTACTATTTGCTTTTTATATAAGGACTTTACTTTAAAATAGTGTTAATACTTCTGTGTTCTTCATGGTCTCTTCTTCTGTCTCTTAAGGAATGGTATTTAAATCTATTAGCAGGCTGGGCGCAGTGGCTCACGCCTGTAATCCCAGCACTTTGGGAGGCTGAGGCGGGCAGATCACTAGGTCAGGAGTTTGAGACCAGCCTGGCCACCAAGGTGAAATCCTGTCTCTACTAAAAATACAAAAATTAGCCAGGCGTGGTGGCACCCGCCTGTAAGCCCAACTACTCAGGAGGCCGAGGCAGGAGAATCACTTGAGCCCAGGAGGCGGAGGTTGCAGTGAGCCGAGATCATGCCCACTGCACTCCAGCCTGGGCGACAGAGCAAGACTCCGTCTCAAAAAAAAAAAAAAAAAAAAATCTATGAGCACATTTGATAGGGAGACCTCACTTGATCTAAGGGTTCATGCAAGGCTCACTTCAGGAAGGAACTTCCTGAGATCCAAAGAGTGATCAGAGTTATAAACTAGAAAAGGTGTACCATGGAAGGACATGCCTTTCAGGCAGAATTAGACGTTTAAATGCCCAGAAATGAAAGGGAGCCATTATTATATATAAATAATATATATTGTTTCAGGAAAAATAATGGATTCTTATTTTTGCAGTGATTGTATTTTATTGTTAAATATATTCCATCTGGGAAGATCCATGCAACAATCTTTAAATTTTTAAAATCAATCAGTGACTAGGATAGTCTAATATAGTCTTAGTAAAATGTTTGTGTTTGAGAAAATATAGGTCAGGTTGGCCAGGCATGGTGGCTCACGCCTGCAGTCCCAGCACTTTGGGAGGCCAAGGCGGGTGGATCACTTGAGGCCAGGAGTTGGAGACCAGCCTGGCCAACATGGTGAAACCCCGTCTCTACTAAAAATACAAAAATTAGCCAGCTACTTGGCAGGCTGAGGCACGAAAATCATTTGAACCTGGGAGGTGGAGGTTGCAGTTAGCCAAGATCGTGCCACTGGACCTCCAGCCTGGGCGACAGAGCAAAACTCTGCTCAAAATAAAACAAACAAACAAACAAAAAACAGGCCAGGTGTGGCAACTCGTGCCTGTAATCCCAGCACTTTGGGAGGCTGAGGCAGGAGGATTGCTTGAGACCAGGGGTTTTGAGACCAGCCTGGGCAACATATCAAGACCCCCATCTCTACAAAAAATTAAAAAATTGGTGGCATGCACCTGTAGTCCCAGCTACTTGGGCTGCTGAGGCAGGAGGATCACATGAGCCCAGGAGGTTGAGGCTGCAGTGAGCCATGATCATGCCACTGCACTCCAGCCTGAGTGACACAGCAAGACCCTGTCTCTAAAAGAAAAAGAAAATATAAAAAGAAATTTGATTTTTAATGTAGATTGTAATTACTAACTATAGAAAACAGCCATCATAAAATTTCCCTTTGACTCATAATTGTCTATGATTTTTAAATTAAAGGTTGACTTCAAGTATAAGATTTATTTTTCATAATTCAAGTGTCAGATCATGCAGTTTATGGGCACTCTTGATAACTTTCTTTTTTTAAAATAGAGCACATCATCCCTGTTTTTGTATATTGATATTTTTTATTAGATAATAATCAACAAAAAGAAAAAAATCACTTCATTATTCTGTTTATTTCAAGTTACAAATAATTTATATAATTGTTGACTGATACAGTATTAATGATTCTGTTTTATAATAAACATAATGTATTTTTATATTTAAATTCCTGGACACAACACAAGTTTCCCTACAGTTTGTATATAGCTTATATAACTATTAAAGTAGAAAGTTGGATAGACTGGGAGTAATACTTAATTTATGTATATGTCAATAATCACATCTCAGCTAATATTTGAAAACTCCATATCCCTTAAGATGTAAACAGTTTTCATTAGAATATTAGTTTTTATTAATTATAATCCATGTAGCCCCCACCTAATGTGGGATACCAGTGCCTCTTCCAAATATTTTTTGGAGTCCCCAGAGTATATTATATGGTTCATGCAGAGCTCTGGGTGTCAACCACATGGCATTAATTTTAATTTTTTTCTTCTGGCCATGTACTAAGGTTTTGTCATTTTCACTGGAGACTGCCACTTTTGTTGGGCTTTGTTGTTGATCTTTCCTTTGGCCATTGCAGGGACTGGCTGAGCTGGGTCACTTAGTGCTTTGTAGGACTTTTTGGTGGAGCTATCTAGTCTGGGAGTTTTATTTGAGGAAATATTTTTCACTATTATATTGATTTAATTTTATATGATGGCAATATAGGACTATTCAGACTTTATATCTCTTTGTTTCAGTAAGTTATATTTTTTCTATTTGACCATTTAATCTATATCTCTTAAATTATGGTTACATATTTTTTTCGTTCCTGATACTGCTTATTTCTGCCTTCTCTTTTTTTCTTGATTAAATTATACTGGCGGCTTGCTGGTTTATGGTCTTTTTCATACAGCCAATTTTTGGTTTTGTTGATCTTCTAATATATGCTTGTTTTCTATTTTAACAGTTTTTGCTGTTGTCTTTATCTCCTTTCTTGAATTTTTTTTTTTTTTTGCTTTTGTTTGTTTTACCTCCCTCTCCTGACCCTCCCACCCTGCCAGTTTCCTTGAAATCCTTATCCCAATAATCTTTAGGCTTTATTCTAATGTTCAAGACTATACATTTCCCCTAAGTGCTACTTTAGATGCATCCTGCAG
The DNA here is from genome assembly GCF_000001405.40 of Homo sapiens. NCBI lineage: Eukaryota > Metazoa > Chordata > Mammalia > Primates > Hominidae > Homo > Homo sapiens. The sequence continues at coordinate 44,475,322 of NC_000013.11, read as the reverse complement.
TTTTAATATATGCTACATTTGTCATTGTTCATTTCATTCTTATAATTTAAAACTACTTTTGTGATGTTGGACCCTTTGGATTATCTTTTTTCTACTACAAAATTTTTTTAATTTTCTCAAGTTTATTTTTTTAAGGAGATCCAACTTGTATATTTACTTACTAATTACATACATTTTCCGTCTCATAATTAATACCATTCTGCTTTTATTCCTTTCACTTGTTTTTTTGGTTGGTTTTATCAGTCTCTTGTCTACCTTCTGGAACAACATTGCAGACTGTTTAAATAATAGAAAAACAAAGAATTGTAGATTTCTTTTTGTTTCCCGCCCCTTCCCCACCTCTGCTCCAATAAGATAGTATATTTCTAGGGCTAGAGTAGAATATCTAAGATATAAATTGCAGGAAGTACAATGAGGCCTTATTGTACTGGGAATGAAAAAGTTGTCAGATATCTCGTTTCTACATTTCTGAGGCTTCTTGATACCTGCTTGCCTGGGTTTTGGTTTACTTGTCTGGTTAGTTTTTCTTCCCTTTCCTCTCCCTCCCTCCTTTTACTCTCCTCCCGTCCTCCTTCCCCTACCTCCCTTTCTTCATCTCCTCTCCCTCCTTCTTCCCTCCATTCTTATTTTTAACCCTTCCTTCATCCTTTCTCTTCCTCTTCTCCTTCCTTCCATTCTTGCATCCTTATTGTTTTTTCACCTCTGACATAAGTGTGTCAAAAGTGGGGAAAACCCTCACTAGATTTTCCTGATTTTGGGATCAAGACGAAATGATCTGTAGAGGTCTTATGTTATTAACTTGTTGCACTCTAAGAAAACCTAAAGAAAATCACCCATGCCTTTTAAAATGCTTGAAACATAACAAATCACTATATTCATAGTATTTTTGTTCTCTTTGAAGTAATGAGTCATCATAAATAAATTGGACCACTGCCCCTTTAAGTAGAAACTGCCTTAGGGGACAGATGGAATTTTGGGACTACTTCCTGAAGCACTTGTTTGTCCACCAGGAGTGTCAGTTGGGCCTGGGTGGGAAGAGAGGCCCAAGAAAGCCACCATAGTCTGTAGCGTGAAGCTTTTCCTATAGTCTAGTGATAATCCTGCTGTGAGTACCTCACTGTAATTCAAATAATTGTGGAAGGAATTGTCTCTCAGTTGTCCTAAGTCCTGCCTAGTACCTTGAAAAGCAGTTGGTTTCTAAATACTCAGCTTGGAGGGTGAAATAAGGTTCAGTTCAGCCATTTTAGTTCTTTGCTTTGTTTTTCCCAGCTGGAAAAATTTTAAAGCTATTTTAAAAATCACTTGGAGGATTATTTGGAGATCATGATAGAAATTTTTTACTGGTTAACTGAGATGAATTGTATAGTCCTTTTTTAGCTTAAGATCTTTAAACATTTAGTTGCATAACAGCTTTTTAATTTGTTGGACTCCTCAGTTGAAGCCATTACAAATTGGCTTAAAATTGTAAAAGATTGAGTATTATATTGAGCCTTTCTATCAGAAAACATTAGCTTAATTAGTCTATAATTAAAGATGATGTTAGCTGTACTTTAGTTTGTCTTAGGAATAGAGGTCCTCAAATTATATGTAAACCATCAGTTGCATGGTTCTTTTGAAATGTGGATTTTTGTGAATGCTTAATAAAGCTGGCCTGACTAGCTTAATTTAAAAATATATACATCTATGCTAAATATATACACACACACACACACACACATATATACTGCTTCTACTGTTTGTATAACTTAAACTGATTTGCATGCTGACAAAAGTACTCATCCAATTGTACAGTTTTATTTTTATTTATTTATTTATTTTTTATTTTTAGAGTCAGGGGTCTTGCTCTGTCGCCCAGGCTGGAGTCCAGTGGCATGATCTTGGTTCACTGCAACCTCGACCTCCTGGGCTCAAGAGATCCTCCTGCCTCAGCCTTCCAAGTAGCTGGGACTACAGGTGTGTGCCACCATGCCCAGCTAATTTTTGTATTTTTTGTAGAGATGGGTTTTCACCATGTTGCTCAGGCTGGTCTCAAACTCCTGACCTCAAGTGATCCACCTGCGTTGGCCTCCCAACGTGCTGGGATTACAGGCCTGTGCCGTTGTGCCTGGCCTCCAGTTGTATAGTTTTAAATGAATGTAAAATACTTGAGTGATTGGTAGATTTAATATTATTTAATAAATTTAATATTTTAAATCTAAAAATGCATTAATCAGTTTGAATAAAAGATGTACATTGGGTCTGCAATTCCGTTTTAAAAAGAGGAATTCCCCTGCACAAGCTCTCTCTCTTTGCCTACTGCCATCTATGTAAGACGTGACTTGCTCTTCCTTGCCTTCCGTCATAATTGGGCTTCCCTGGCCACGTGGAACTGCAAGTCCAAGTAAATCTCTTTCTTTTTTAAATTGCCCAATCTCAGGTCTTTATCCACAGCATGAAAATGGACTACTGCAGTTGTACAATTAGATGTGGAGCTTATTTTGAGAAGAATTTGAGGGATAGAAGGAATGTTCAAAAATATATACCTCAAAACAAAGAAAATTGCCTTTCCTTGAAGATTAGGTCATGGCTCACTGCAGTCTCAACCTCCCAGGCTCAGGCAAAGGCAGTCCTCCCACCTCAGCCTCCAGGGTAGCTGGGTCTACAGGCACATGCCACCACAACCGGTTAATTGTATAGCCAGGGTTTCACCATTTTGTCCAGGGTGGTCTCAAATTCCCGGACTCAAGTGATCTGCCCACCTCAGCCTCCCACAATATTGGGGTTACAGGCGAGGACTATGCTTTTTCATGTTTCCGTTTTAGGGACCTGGTACACATAGCAGGTCCTCATATGTTTGTTGAGTGAGTGAGTGGGTGAGAGGGGAGACAGAAATCAGATATGTCAATGGTTGAGAGTGTCTGAAGGATTGATACCAGTGTGCAAAGTAAAACATGCTGTCTCATATGAAAAAAAAGGAACAGTTCTCAAGTTGTGAGACAAAAGAGATGACCAGTATTTGTTAAATAGAAGAATTCAAAGGATGCTGTATAACAGAAAAATGCCACAGTTTATCTTTGCATTTGTGACCCCTCTTTATTCCAGGGGTCACATTCTAAGACTCCCCATGGATGCCTGCAACTGAGGATAGGATCAAAACCAATATTCAGTATGTTTTTTCCCTATACATACATACCTCTGATAAAGCTTAATTTATAAATTAGGCACAGTAAGAGATTAACAACAACAGTAATAGAACAATTATAACAATATGCCAGCATTACTACTCTTGCACTTTGGGGCTATGAAGTAAAATAAGGGTTACTTGAATCCTCCAATCACTTTGACACGCTGACAGTGGATCTGATAACTGAGACAGTTACTGGGTGACTAATGGGCAAGTAGTGTATACAATGTGGATCTGCTGGACAAAGGGAGGATTTCAGCACATAATTTAACATTTATGACTTATTTCTGGAATTTTCCACTTAATATTTTTGGAGTATAGGTAACTAAAATTATGGAAAGTGAAACCACAGATAAGGGAGGACTCCTGTAATTGGTAGTTTATATTTTCACAGGATAAGCTTTCAATATTTTATTTGTCAAAGGAGACTTAGTCATCACTTAACAATTTTCTAAAAGTAATTATTGTAGATGATGCTCTGAAACTGCCAGTGGTTCTGTATTTTAATTCACTGTTTTAGAACTATTCTCTTATACGTCAATATGATGTTAAGAAACTTAAGTCTATTTAGGTTCATTGAAGAGTCTGAACAATCTAAAAATTATAAGTTTAGTAAAGATATAGAAATTTACCATACTTAATCTCTACTTGTAGTTAAAAATTGATCAAGCAATGCTATCTAGTAAGTTTTGCAGTTCTATTTATTTAACATTCCGGCTATTTAACTGTCAGAAAGGAAAGTGTGATGGTAAGAGTTTATCAAGAGATCCAAGTGCTACACAATTGCATTTCCACATCTTATGTTGGAAGAGATAATTTAGTTTTGACCTGAGAAATAATTTCATTTCAAACAAATTTCAGTGCATTTTAGCTAATGTCAGCATGAGTATTTAATATTTTAAAATAACTTTATCTTGATTAATATTTTTTCAAATAAGCACATTTTTTAAAATTAGAAAATTTATGGTAAAGTATGAAGTACTTTTGAACAGGTACCACAAGGTGGCAGGATTGTATTTTGTAGATTCTTTTTGCTTTGATGAACAGCAAACCATTGGTTATCTAAAATCTAAGTTTTCCAGATAGTTGGCTATTACACACTTTATATGCCAGAACTTTTAAATTTTAACTTTTTTGATGGAAAACTAAACTATATTTCACATTTCCTGATTTCTTAAGCAGTAGAATATAACTTATCTGTTGTCAGTGAGCCATTTGAATGTATTATTGGATGTGATTAAGATGGAGTGGTCAGTAACAGTAGTGTGGAGGGAATAAGGACTGGTCCCAGCAGAGACTCTGGACCGTGACTCTTAAAAGCTGGGTCTGACGTCAACTTGCTTTTTGCTTTATCTGCATTTTTTTCCTATTGGAGGTGAAGTGAATCATGTGAAGTGCCAGCCTCTGGTGTGGTACAACATGGCTGCTTTCCTGCAAAATTAAATAGCAAATGAAGGCAGACATTGCCTTCTCCCAGCGGCTTTTGTGACACAGGGTATTTGGGGGAAGGAAAATAAACTATGAGGCCTTAAAATTTCTTCTTCAAACACCAGTATCGTAAAGGTAGCACCAGACCATGAGGAATGAGTTCTGTAGTTATGAGAAATATTAGAAACAAATCTAACTGCTCATGGAGCAACTTTAAGGAATCTTTCCTATAAAAATATTTTAGACTCTGAGTTGTACATCATTTGTATGAATGAGATAATAATAATTATAAAGGATGTGGCCAGACGCGAATCTATTTTCCTTTCGAATCCAATTACCTGCTCTGGTAATTGGAGAGCTGTTTCAAGGCAGTTTATGCCTTTATTGGTGATACAACAAGCAGTGGGTAAAATCTTCATCCTTTGGACTTCTTGGTTTGCTCATTAGTGGATACTGTGTTTCCCTTTCCACAGGCTTCCAGGTCTGGAGTTGTTCTGCGAACCTGTTATAAAAGATTTGACTAGGGGGAAGTTTTCTTTCATATTTGTTCCCTTCATTAATTACTTGCATATTTTTCTAATCTTTTAAAAGATGAATCAGTTTAACATCACATAAGCACTAAGAAAGCAACAGTTGAGCCCTACCTTAAGGGGAGAGGAGAGGGCATGGTTTCCAGCAGCAATCCTTTCTCTGGCTCTCTAAAATGTTTATCTACCTGTCACTTTCTTACTCATATGGATTTTGCATGATGGCTGCATAAATCATCATATTTCCCCCCTCATCTTAAATTCAGTCCTCAAGGGGTAATGGAGAACTTTTATAAGAGCTCCAGAGAAGCCACAGGAAATAACTGATAAATTAGCTCCACCTGAAATGGATATTAGGGCATCGTCAATTGACTCTTCTCAGTTCTGCTTGGTAGTAGAACTTTTTTTTAAACTTCATAGTAGACGAGTAAGTGGAACTTTCATGACTTAAATAGATAGATAAATTTCACTAGCTTGTACTTCTAGGATTGGGTACATTTTCCTCTTGGCATGGTACTATGTGTTTTCAAGTAAAAATAATACAATTCAAGTCTGACAAACTGGCTCAGTGAATTATACAAGATTCGTGCTTTAAAACACAGTCTACACCCTCCCTGTTGCTTTGGGGCAGAGTTTTTGAGTAATTGGACATCTAAAACTAACTCTGAACTTCAAGATTACCAGAAAGATCAGATGCAAGAGCTTAATTTGTGTTAAGAACATCCTCCTACATATTCTGCCAAAAGTTTAAGAGCTATTAGTAAAAGCAGCTCATTTGAAGTAGTATGAGATTTGAACATTTAACTCCAAGATAGCTAGAATTTTATTAAAACGGATTTAAAGAATTAGCCCACAATTTAAATACTTTTCTCATTTTAAATGTGGCTTAAGATGTATTTGTCTTTATGAAGGAATTTTGGATTAAAAACTGTACTGTAGTTGAATTTAGGAAAGGGAAGCCGGAGATGGGTAGGCGGTGGGTACTTATAGATCTTGAATGCCTGGTTATAAAGATTGGGGGCTTACCCTGTAGGTACCCTGTAATCATTAACAGACTTGTAATTGCATGGGTGACAGGCAGGAAATGTTTTAAGAAAATTAGCCTGAAAGCGCAGGGTGCATTTGCTTGGATCCAGCTGGAGAGAGATTGGAGCCAGATGGACCAGTTGAGATGATATGGCAATCAATAATCTGGAAGTTTTATGATATAAATCTGAATTAGTGTGATGTCAGTAGGAATACAGAAAGAATTTAAAAGCCTTTAAGATATTATTAGGGCAGAATTGATAAAACATAGCAACTTGCTAGGTGAGGTTAAGAAAAAACTATGTTATATAAAATTTCTATTTTTGTTAGAAACAGCAAACTTAGACATAAGCCAGTCTTCTACAGGAAAACTATTTCTGTGCATTTAGCATATTATAAATTCTTCATAATAAAGATGATAATATTTCTTGATATAAAGACCAGTAATAGGAGATACTGTTGATTTTGTGTCTGATTTCAAAGAGTGAAATGGCTAAAGCGACTTGAACATTCCCATAGTATAGCGGTTCCCAAATGCTGGATTAAATACCAGCTACCTCAAAAAATTACTTGGTTTGTTGCAGGTGGAAGGTATCTTAAATAATGCAGAATGTCATGGTTAGGAGCACAGACTGTTTTGAAACCTGGATCCATCTACTATGGGCAAGTTACTTCTCTGTGTCCCAGGTGACTGTTAGGGTTGTTACAGGAACGAAATAAGATGATACATACAAAGTGCTTAGAAAATTGCCTAGCATATTGTAAATGCTGAATAAATGGTAGCAGCTTTTTTAAAAAAAAAATTCAATAGCTTTAGGGGTACAAGTGGTTTTTGGTTACATAGATGAATTGTACAGTGGTGAAGTCTGGGCTTTTAGTGTACCCATCACCCGAATAGTGTACATTGTACCCAACAGGTGATTTTCTATCCCTCACCCCCTTTCTACCTACCCCACTTCTGAGTCTCCAGTGTCCGTTATACAACTCTGTATGCCTTTGCATACCCATGGCTTAGCTCATGTTTATAGGTGAGAACATTTGGTATTTGGTTTTCCATTCCTGAGTTGAGTTTGCTTTGAATGATGGCCTCCAGTTCTGTCCAAGTTGCTGCAAAAGATATTATTTTGTTCTTATATGGCTGTTCTTTTTATTCCATTGTGTGTGTGTGTGTGTGTGCGCGTGTGTGTATAGGTTGATCCCATATTTTTGCAATTGTGAATTATGCTGTGATAACATATGAGTGCTAGTGTCTTTTTTATATAATGACTCTTTTCCTTTTGGTAAATACCCAGTAGTGGGATTGCTGGATTGAATGATAGATCTTCTTTTAGTTTTCTGAGAAATCTCCATACTGTTTTCTACAGAGGTTGTACCAATTTCCCACCAACAGTGTATAAATGTTCCCTTTTCACTGTATCTGTGCCAGCATCCATTGTTTTTTGACTTTAAACAATGGCCATTCTCCCTGGGGCAAGGTGGTATCTCATTGTGGTGGTTTTGATTTGCATTTCCCTGATGATTAGTGATGTTGAGCATTTTTTCCATATGTTTCTTGGCCATTTGTATATCTTCTTTTGAGAAATATCTATTCATATCCTTTGCTCACTTTTTAACGGAGTTATTTTTTTTTCTTGCTGATTTGTTTGAGTTCCTTGTAGATTATGGAGATTATTCCTCTGTCAGGTGTATAGTTTGCAAATATTTTCTCCCATTCTGTAGTTTGTCTGTTTACTCTGTTATTTCTTTTGCTGTGCAGAAGCTTTTAGTTTAAGTAAGTCCCATTTATTTATTTTTGTTTTTGTTACACTTGCTTTTGGGATCTTAGTGATAAATTATTTGCTAAGGCTAGTGTCCAGAAAGTGTGTCCTGGGTTTTCTTCTAGAATATTTATGGTTTCACGTCAGGTATCCATGTCCTTAATCTATCTCAAGTTAATTTTTATATATGGTGAGAGACAGGGAGGGATCCAGTTTCATTCTTCATAGCAGCTATTTTTTTTTGTTTTTTTGTTTATTTTGAGAAGGAGTCTTGCTCTGTTGCCCAGGCTGGAGTACAGTGGCGTGATCTTGGCTGACTGCAACCTCCACCTCCCGTGTTCAAGCAATTCTCCTGCCTCAGTCTCCGGGTAGCTGGGACTACAGGTGTGCACCACCATGCCTGGCTAATTTTTGTATTTTTAGTAGAAATGGGGTTTCGCTTTGTTGGCCAGGCTGGTCTCAAACTCCTGACCTCAAGTGATCTGCCCACCTCGGCCTCCCAAAGTGCTGGGATTACAGGCTTGAGCCACCATGCCCGGCCATAGCAGTTATTGTTGCTAATTTATTATTTTATATCTCTGGAGATTCTAATTCATAAGGTTTGACATTGGGCTCAGGAATCTATATATTGTTTTCTTTTTTTTTTCTTTTTGAGACACGGTCTCATTCTGTCACCCAGGCTGGAGTGCAGTGGTATGATCTCAGCTCATTGCAGCCTTGACGTCCTGGGCTCAGGTGATTCTCCTATCTCAGCCTCCCAAGTAGCTGGGGCTACAGGTATGCATCACAACACCAGGTTGATTTTTTGTATTTTTAGTAGAGACAAGATTTCACTATGTTGTCCAGGCTGGTCTTAAACTCCTGAGCTCAAGCGATTCGCCTGCCATGGCCTCCCAAAGGGCTGGGATTACAGGCATGAGCCACTATGCCCGGCCAAGGAATCTGTATTTTTAAAATATCCCCTCCTGTGACTCTGATTACCAAGTTTGAAAACTTTTGTTGCCACCCACTTATCTACCTCCATATAATAGGATGGTATTTAAACCACTCTGTACATTTTTGTCCTTTATTTTGACATTCCAAAGATGGCCATGTTTTAAAATGGTACGTGCTATTATTTGTATGTGCTAAGTCGCACTGAATAGTTTACCCAAATCCCTCTGGTACTAGTTCTAAGCTTCCACCCTCTCCCTATACCCCTTCCCTAGCTTCTTGAGGATCGTAAATCCTAGCCCTTGGATGCCAGCCCTATGTGCTGCCTTCTTGAGAAGTCTAGATGAGTGCTCCTGGGGGATTGGCCCTCACACTGCAGCTCTGCTTATTTCCAGCCCTGCTTGTGTCCTAGGAATATCCTTGTAAATTTTGTTGGGAAAAATGAACAAACAGTCTTATTTGCTAATTAAAAATTGCAAAGTTTTGTTTGTTTGTTTGTTTGTTTGTTTTTTCTTGAGGCAGAGTTTCGCTCTTGTTGCCCAGGCTGGAGTGCAATGGCACAATCTCAGCTCACTGCAACCTCTGCCTCCTGGGTTCAAGCGATTCTCCTGCTTCAGGCTCCCAAGTGGCTGGGGTTACAGGTGCCTGCCACCACACCTGGCTAATTTTTGTATTTTTAGTAGAGACAGGGTTTCACCACGTTGGCCAGGCTGGTCTTGAACTTTTGACCTCAGGTGATCCACTCGCCTCGGCCTCCTAAAGTGCTAGGATTACAGGCGTGAGCCACTGTGCCTGGCCCAAATTGCCAACTTTTTAATACATAAGTAATATCAGTCGTGGGCTTTGTTGTTGTTTAGAAAATTTCTTCCTAAGAGCTATTCTCCAATGCTCTGATTGCTGCCAGTGCCCCCTCTGGTCTAGTGGTTTGTAGCCCTGGCTTCACATTGAAATCACCTGTGGCAGCTGACTCACACAAGATGAGTACAGTCTGAATCTCTGAGGCATGAGCCTGAACATCTGTATTTTTTAAAAGCTTCCTACATGATTCTGAAGTTCATCCAAGGTTGAGAACCACTGAATTAGTCTCATCATTGTCATGCTCGTGTCCCCCCACAGAGTCCTATTAGAAAAAGGAATGCTTCAGCCATATGACGTGAATATAGCTTTCTTAGCCTGGCAAAGTCTTCGGGGGTAAAGACAAAGTTTAAGCCTGCATTTTTTTTTCCTGGGAGGCTCTCCTTGTATTCCTGTCTCTGTGCTTTAAACCTTCACACATGCTATTTCCATATTAGGTCAAGGTCCTGTGTTACATACTGTCCTAGTACCGTGAAAGTTTCCTTCAGACATTTCTTCTATGCCACGATATATATGTTCCTAAATACCTCATTCTGCAGCATTATGTGTTAAAAATAAGACAGCCTATGAAGAAAACACGGTGGGGGTCAACCACTCAAAACTTGTGCAGCATTGTAACCAGAGCAGTGAGAAAACAAAAAGTTGGTACCAGTTTAGTAAAACAGCAAGCTCTAATGGTAGGTATTAAAAAATACACAAAGAAGAGTGAAATGCTACCAACATTTTAATTAGAGCAGAGGTGGCAGGTGCTGATATAACACAGAAGGAAGTGGAGCTCCAAACCAGGGGCGCTGCAGTAAGGTTGGGTACAAGAGTCAGGGTAACCTGGCATAAGCTGAAAGGAGCACAAAGCTGGTAGGGGCTCCTGGTGGAAGTGCTTGCTTTTAGGTCTTGTTAAATACAAATGAAAAGATTCTTCCTGCTGCTATACAGCAGAGCTGAGAGCTCTTTCCATTCTTGATAAAGGCTGTAATTCACCAGCTGTACTGAGTGCTCTTGTGAAGGAAAAAACCCTGTGAACCAATACAATTTTTGTGTTATGCTGACATCATTATCCCATTTACTAATCACTTAATTGATTTGCCTTCTAGAAGGAATTAATTTGCCTTCCAGAAACATAGGGAAAAAAAAAAGACTATATCACTATGTCACTATCTGTAATCCTAGACAAATTTGATTAAAGTCTGTAAACTCCGTAAGGTCAGTGATGGTGACTATTCTGACTTGTCATCCTCGCAGGCATTTGTTCAATGAGTGAATGACTTCGGTAAAACTTCTCCAAAGAAAATGGTGGGAGTAATATGAACATTACGCTTTTAAAAAAATGGAACAATGAAAGTGACATAACCTTAAAGAAAGTTTAGGAAGTAGAAGACAAAATTACTCCCAGTCTTCTTCTATTACAGTCACACTAAAATACTATTATTATTTTTACATGTCCTTTTATTAGGTCTCTATTGCTACATTACAAGTTACCCTAAAATTCAGTGGCTTAAAACAATGAGGATCATCTTAGTTTCTGAGGGCCAGGAATTTGGAAGTGGTTTAGCTAGGTGGTTCTGGCTCAGGGTCTCTCATGAGGTCAAGATGTCAGCTAGGGCTTCCATCATCCCAAGACTTGACACTGGGGCCGGAAGATCCATCCTAAGACAGCTCACTCACATGGCTGGCAAGCTGATGCTGTCTGTTGGCAGGAAGCACCTCAGTTCTTAGCACTGTGGAACTCTCCATAGGCCAGCATGAGGGTTTCATGCTTGAATATGAAAATTTAAGCTAGGTACATACATGTAAGATAACTCAAAAACAGGTACAGTAAACAGTATGGGAAATGACTAATTTTTCTCTTATGATTTAATCTTCTACTCTGGCATTCTTTGACAATTACCATGATTGGATTATAGGTAAGGATTCTTTAAAACCTTTTCTTCTTTATTATATCTTTAGAGCAAATGGCCATTAATTTGCAAATACATTTTTTTCATGAAATCCTCTAATCAAATGCCACACATTTAAGGAGTTAGCTATTTGTTTAAAAAGGCCATTTTGAAAGAGAGAACTGTTCTCTTTATGCAAACCTCCTAATGAAATTCAACAGTGAATCTGATTTTATTTGCATTGACCCACCTCTGAGTTTAAGTTTTTTATGTTTAACATATGGGCTGTTTAGCCACCTTAACTTCTAATTCAAAGTCAACCAGTAATTAAACTGCAGTTTAGCTAGAACTGCTATTTCTATAATTCTGGATAGACTGAAGAGTAATACAGATATGTGAGAAGCTTGCAGATTTGTCAAATAAGTTGAATTTGATGTATGGATGTTAGGTCATTACCACACTTAAAAGAAATTTCCATGGACTGTTTGCTGAAAATTCATAATTTTAGGAAATACCATGTAGCTTTTATGTCTATTTATTACTTTTGTTCTCTATGCTTATACAGAGATGGTGATGTCTGTTTTTGTTACTTTGTCAAGTAAAACTGATCCCTTTAATCAAACACATGAGAAACTCATAGGCAATATTTTCTTGTATGATCAGCTTTAGTTTTTATTTTAGAACTAGGATTAGTAGGGGAAAGAAAGAAAGTATTAAGTGATCTCTTTCATTGATGACTGGCAGGATTTAAACTGTTTAAGTTCCTCAAACTCTTTGTAAGTGCAATATGCATCTAAAATCTTTATAATTTATAGTTTGTAATTATATGTTAGCTGTAACTCTTTACTTTTCACAAATAAGTGAACAGTTTTTAAAAATTCCCAAACACATTAATCGTCCTAATGGATCTGAGACATACCATGCTTGATTCTTTTTGTTCCTTATTCTCCTGTACTCTAGTTTTATGACTTATTTTGTGTTCCTTTGAGGGTCTTTCTGAATTTTTATATTATCTTATTGATTTGGAAATAGAGCCTATATCAACTACTTAAAGCACCCAGACAAATACTATAAGTAGAGGAACCTCTAATATCTTGTATCTCATAATATGGACACTTTACAGATCTTGATATTGTATAAGATTTGTTTTTATTTAGATTTTTGTGCTGTAATTGTACACATTGCCATTTGTAGGCTTGTAAATGGTTTACTGGAGTAGTGATCCATATAACTGAAAGTAGTGTGGGCCAGAATATATAGCTTGAACATTTGCTATAATAAAATGATCACAGAGTAGGACTCAGAGGCTTATTAGAAATATATCAGTACTTCTTTCTTTTGTTGAACAAGTCTGCTTTCTTTTTCCATAAAATAGATTAAATGAGGCCATTGTGATGTAGAGTTTATAGAACCATATTTTCTATGGTCCAGCACCTTTCCAAAAATGTTTGTAAAATAGATGTTTGATGTTATGTAACTTGAACAAAACAAGGTGCTTAGTTAAATGATAGTAATTTTCTTGTTACTCTGCTGAAATAACATTCAAATATATTTGTGGGGGTAATCGCAGAGTCACCAGTCTGAATTATTCTTATTGTGTAATGGTTTCTGTATAATACATAGTCCTATTTGTTATTGTAATAGACTCATTTGAAATGATGTTTACATTTTGATTACCTGGCGTCTTTTAAAATCATTTATCTCCCCTCTCCCTCCAGCAGAAACCCTTTAACAGAATTTATTCCTGGTCTCTGCTTTTGCCTTCCTTCTGTTCATACTTCATATTATATCTTCATGCTATATATTTAGGAATTGCCTTCCTAAAATACAGAGCTGGTCAGGCTACTCCCCTGCGGTAAACACCCCACTGGTGCTCCTATTTCCTAAAGGCAGGGTTGATATTTCGCTGGTTTGCACTAGTTAGGTTGAACTGGCCATTTACAACTGGTATCTGTTCTGATTGGCTGGGGCTCATGTGCTGTGGGGTGAATTTCGGATTCCTTAGCAGTGTTTTCAGTGTTTTGGGGGATTAGAAGATCTCTGAATGAGTATTTATCTGCCTTAATTTCCCACCATACTGTAATTATTTCAGAGGACCCTACTGTTTGGGCACCTTCCATAACGATGCTTTGACTTACTGCCTCTGTTTTGGACATTTTCTGCTTTTCCCTTAATACAGTCATTCTCTGGTCTAATTAATGATTTTAAGATTATTCTTGATGATTTAATTTAGGAGAAAATTCCTTGGTGAAATCTTTACTGACTACTCACCATCTAGTACTTTACTCGGTTACCTTCTCTTATGCTTTCCTGGTACCTGCCATATACCTAAGATATCACACTTATTACTTTGCCCTATAATTATTGCTTACACATCTACCACCCCTTCTGGACTATGGGCCAGTCACAATGCTTACCACAGGTAGGCACTAAATAAATATTTAAGTGTATGGAAAGAAGTTAGATTTTTGAGTCAGAAAAACCTGAGTTCATATTCCAGGTCAGCTATTATACTTACTAGCAGTATGAGAGTGAACAAATTAATTTTGCATAGTCTCAGTTAACTACTAATTTGTATATGCAATGATAATAGACGTGAGTTGAATATTAAGCAAGATACTGTGTACCATGCTTATTATATTACCTAGGATTTAGCTGTTCAATAAACATTCCACTGTCCTAGTTAAATTTGGTTTAAAAGTATTGTTTTGCATTTCCTTTTCTCTTTGAACTTTAATTTATAACAAGAAAGCTGTTTTTATCTGAAAACATCTCTGTTCTACTGGTCTGTGATAAAGCTAGATGATAAATTATATCATTCCTACTGCTAAGAAAAACCATTGTTTTCACATTTCTACTAGCATTTTTTGGTTTGAAAGCTTTTTAGAAGGAGGGCTTCTTCACTCCTCGAAAGAAGCCCAGTAACTACTATAATGCCAGGCACAAGATGTTTGTGAATTAAGTATTTGTGGAAAGGAGCTGTGGTGGGAAAGAAAGACTATCTCCTCTTCCTTGTTCTGGGGAGAAGGTCACTTGATTTCCTGCTGGAGCAACAAATATGACAAAATCAAGGGAAGAGAACACTAGAAGCGGATGGGGCCTCCCTCCATAGCTTTTCCTAGAGGACAGTCTAGGAGGGCAGAGATGGCCTCTGTGAAAGAGGCTGCAAGGACTCTAACACAGTTTAGGACATCAAATAAATGGGTGAGGAAGTAAGAGGTGGTTCTCTTTAAAGACATAAAGTAAAAAAATATTAGGAATCACCCTCTGAACTAATTCATCATGTCATAGGGATTAAGGCAAAATTTGAGTTGCCCTTTTACCAAAAACAATGAAGTCACTTATAAATTGCTTCTCCAGATAATTATTCTGTGTCATGGAAAAGGGCATCAAGCTGTATAAAGGTGGTTTTCGTATTTGAAAAAAATTTCCTTTGGAAGTAATCTATAATAATACTTTTTATATTAGGCCATTCTCAAGCAACTCTCTACTTTAAGGAGTAATTTGAGAAATGTGAGGATCTCTTTTGATTAACCCCAATTATGGCTAAAACCAAGTAGTTCAGAACACAAGGGCTTCACCTTAATTGGTCACCTTAATTACTGTGGAAAGAGCCAGGTTCTTTTCTTGTGTTATCTCTTTTAAATGTCATAACAATATTATTGTCACAGGATCCTTGGGGTGTCGCTTTTTCAGCCAGAAACCTCTGTGGCTGGGGGTACCTTTGCTGGAGTTTTCTCAGGCCCTCTGAGCTAATAATTCCACCCACTTGGCCTGGCTGGCTGCTTTCCGCTGGCTGCTCTCCGCTTGTGCTACTGTCCTGGATCCCATGCCTGCCAAGGATGAGACAGGCACCCATGCCTGCCAAGGGTCAGTGGCAAGGGGTGTGTGAAACGAGCCTGGGGTCTCACCACTGTGCACAGCCAGGTGTGCTGGCTGCAGCGGGGTAGGCAGCTCTAGGCGCCGGCTCTGTGCAAGGCTGCGGCTAGACCAGGCATACTGTAAGTGGCTTCCACTGTGGGCACCGGGGAGTGCAGTGGCGCCTGGAAGCTTGGAGATGCCAGGAACTGCAGAGCCCCAAAGAGGGTGTCACAGCCCTGGGTTGGGGAGCCCCTAGGTCTGGGCTTCCTGAAGGGCTGCAGCTCTTCTCTCTTTCTTGTCACCTGCAATGTGGCAAGCCCTGTTTCTGTTACAGCTCTTTCAGTCCCACCACTCGGCAGGTCCTGGGTTCTTGTCTCGTGTCCAGGAAGAATGAGGTATGTGGACAACTGGAGGGAGAGCAAGGCAGAGAGGAGCTTCATTGAGTGACAGAACAGCTCTCAGGAGACCCAAAGTGGGTGGCTGCTTTCTGCAGGCAGGTCGTGCCAATAAGTGTCCAGGTGTCAGCAGAGAGGATATCCATAGTGGGTAGCTCCTTTCCACAGGCAGGTCATCCTGGCAAGTGTCCAGCTCTCAGTGGAGAGGAGACCCATAGTGGATAGCTCCTTTCCACAGGCAGGTCATTCCCCACAAGTCGAGCAGACCCCAAGTGGGTCGCTCCTTCCTGCAACCGGTAGTCCCCACATCTGTGCAAGTCTGACTGAGTCCGGGGGTGTTTTATGGGCTTAGAAGGGAAGAAGTGTGTGCTGATTGGTCCATGGACGGCCATGAGTGGGCCTGGAAAAAGCACAAGTTCTCACTGCCATCCCACGGACTCCACCCGGAACTGGCAGCCCAGCCCCCAGGCTTTAGGCCATCTACCACTTGAAAGTGGGGTTTCACTAGGGATCCTCCCCTTTCTCTCCAAGAACCTGTCTGCCTCCCGCCATCAACATGCCATCCACAGTGCCCAGGCTGTTCGTACTGAGGGGTGCCTGCAGGTTTGCATGGAGCTGCCCTCAGCCCCACCCTGGCCTTCTTCCTGCACTTGTCGGTGCCCAAGGTCCAGAGGGGGCCGAGGCAGAGTAGGGGTGGCTGGCATGTCAGCTGCTGCCCCGAGCGCACACACACACCTGGTCGGACAGCGCCCAGGCTTGGCCATAACTTTGCTGCAAAATCAGAGCGGGCACTGGGAGTGGGGAGAGACCAGAGAGCAGGATCGGGCCCTTCCAAGCCTGTGGGGGAAGTGGGGCTTCCTGGGTCCCCGAGAGCACAGGGATGCCCAGGTCTGGAGGTACGGCTGGGCAGCTGCAGCTGTGCCTGGGAGTGCAGGCTTCTGTCCTGCTAACTTGGTAGGGGGTGGGGCTCCCGCCTGTTCCTGGCCCTTGCTGTCTCTCTGGAGCCTGCAATGCCCGCCGCGCCTCCCCAGCTGCAGCCAGCGTCTTTGCAGTGGCTGCTCTAGATGGGCTGCTGTTGCCATCATTATGAAATATGTATTATCACTTCCATTTTACTATGAATAAGTGATTTTTGGAAATTTGAATTAGGCTCTAACTCCAGTGCTCAAAATCTGACTCTTTAAAAAGCTGCACTAAAGTCAGTACTGATGAAGATGTTTTATAATTGCATTTATGGACTTAAATGGCTAAAACAACATCATAGATGCTTTCAAAGGTTGTTTGGAAATGATGCTTTAGTTGGAATTAAAAAGGAAAAGGATCATACTATTAAGAGAACATTAAGAATTTTTGCTGATAGAATCACAGTGAGAAATTAGGAGGATCAGATTTGATAGAATATAGTGACTGGAAAGGCTTCAAAGATTTCACCTATCTGTTTCAAAAGTGAAAGTAGATCCTAGAACTTGTTCTACTTTTATATGAGCAGACTTTGAAATCCTTGGAAACTTAGTTTTCTAATTCTGTCCAAGAATATGAAACAGTGTCAGTTGACAGATCTGATGTATGTGTAATAGATAACTATTTCATCAGAATTGAAAGTTTGACCCAATATATAGCCACCTTCTTCAGTTAGCTTCTGTATCACTGCTGGAAATTCTTTTTGCAGTTTTCTTAGGTGAGCTCTCTGCTTCACCCTACAACCGAAGGCTTTGGAAATCATAGAGATTTTTGAAACTACTAAACCAGCCACTGCTAGCACAAAAGGAGCAAATTCTGCAGGATTTAGCGATTTCCTTTTTATATAAATAGTGCTTTCTCTTTGATTCTGAGAAAAAGTATTCCTTTTTTTTTTTTTTTTTTTTTGCTATTTGCTTTTCAGTACATATATTCAACAAGCTTTCTTTTTCTTCTGTTTCTTTAGGGGTTGCTCTTTTTGCAGCCCTTGAAATTGCTTTACCAATAGGCGTTTCTTTTATTTCCATGCGTTGTTTGTGAAGGCCCACAACATGAATTTTATTTCTGTTGCTTGGGAGATACCACATGTTCTCATCACATATTCTCTCATTTCTTTCAAAATGCCTTATTTCTGGCTTCTCAATATTTAAAAGCTTTTCTTTTGTGCATGCTGCTTGATGTTTTTGATCCAGTGTGATTAGACATATTTGAGATGTTGAATGCGTGTTTTTATATAGAAAAGTTATCCTTTGCGAAAGAATAGCAAAACATAATTTTGCAGAGTAACAAACGTGCCGAACTGAGGTAGCTGTTACATGTTTGAGATATGTGCTGTTTGCGTTTTCCTAGGTGCAGTTTTGGTTCAGCTGGGTGCAGTTTCCTGCGTTCACCTGATGTTTCTCACAAACAAAATCACACATAAGCAAATGTGAAATGTGCATTACGCTCAAATTGTTCTCTAACATATGAATTGTGTTGGAACAAATTGGTGTTTTCCAAACAAGTTTTATAATGGAACAGATTGTACTTGATAGGCTCTGTTAATTTTAAAAAGCCTGATCTGTAGTTCTAGGAAGTTTTCTTGAATTATTTTATGACACTTTTCTCCTGTCCATATTGCACATTTCTGAAACTTCTTTTGTTAGGGTGTTAGCCCTTCTAAATATTAATAGCTGTTATTTATTTTCTTTCCTGTATTAACCTTTTTGGTATTTTGTTCTAGTTTCTGAGATAGTTCTTCAACTTTACTTTCTATTCTAGCACATTTTCACTTATGCTCTCATATCAATTTTTCAGTTTCCAAGAGCTCTTTCTAGTGTTCTGAATGTTGTCCTCCTCTTATTTTATCCATGTAATCTTTTAGGATTTTACAAGTTTCTTCAGTTCCCTACACTGTCTCTGTTTCCTCTAGGTTCCTTTTGACTGAGTGTTGGCTATACTAGAGAATTGTTAGTCATTGTGAAAGGTGAAGCCGGCTGGGCTTCTGGGTCGGGTGGGGACTTGGAGAACTTTTCTGTCTAGGTAAAGGATTGGAAACGCACCAATCAGTGCTCTGTGTCTAGCTAAAGGTTTGTAAACGCACCAATCAGCACTCTGTAAAAATGGACCAATCAGCGCTCTGTGTCTAGCTAAAGGTTTGTAAACGCACCAATCAGCACTCTGTAAAAACAGACCAATCGGTACTCTGTAAAATGGACCAATCAGTGCTCTGTAAAATGGACCAATCAGCAGGATGTGGGCAGGGCCAAATAAGGGAATAAAAGCTGGCTACTCCAGCCAGCAGCAGCAACCCGCTCGGGTCTTCTTCTCCGCCGTGGAAGCTTTGTTGTTTTACTGTTAGCGATAAATCTTGCTGCTGCTCACTTTTTGGGTCTGCACTACCTTTATGAGCTGAGCTGTAACACTCACTGCGAGGGTCCACGGCTTTATTCTTTAAGTCAGCGAGACCAACAACCCACGGGAAGGAACCAATTCCAGATACAATTGCTCAGTTATTCAGTTGAGTAAGATTGGGTCTGTCTTATACAGACTTATGTTGTCTGCACCTTGTACTTTTTGAGTATTGAGTTCTTTACTGCATATCAATGGTCTTTGGACTTTCTTTACGGCTTGCTCAGGTTTCAACTTGATGAATTACCGTCTTTTTTCCAGCTTTGAAAAACTATTGAAATTGACGTCTCTTTTATATTTACTCTATCCTTATGCATTTAAAACTGGGTTCTCATCTCTTTAGTGGTGTGAGGTAGAAATAAAGATAAATGAGTGTGTTCGGTGCACCATGCTTAGTCAGAAGTAGCTTTAAAAGGCTCTGTAATAGATTCCCTATGCGATTAATTCTCATGGCTTCTTGAAACTATCCAAAGCAAGACTCAAAAAAGAGCTATCATTGCATATCTAGTGCTTAAATTTTGTAGACAGATGATTCTACAGGAGGACCTGACTTATTTGTACTTCCAGACAGGGAA
The DNA here is from genome assembly GCF_000001405.40 of Homo sapiens. Classification (NCBI taxonomy): domain Eukaryota; kingdom Metazoa; phylum Chordata; class Mammalia; order Primates; family Hominidae; genus Homo; species Homo sapiens. The sequence goes on along the minus strand of NC_000013.11, from coordinate 44,455,580 downwards.
AGTTTTTATTGGAAAGTGAAAAGCATCCCAAAATAATTCTTGAAGAAACTAGTTTAGAATATAAAGTGGCATGTAATACCTATTGCTATTAAGTGCAGAACAGTGTTTCTTAAATGCACCGTGTACCATAATGATGGTCTCAGTAAGCATGTTTCTTTAAAAAAGAGTCTTTCAGAAAACCAAGATAGCAAAAGTGAGAGAGATCTCTTGTATCATACATTGGTTACTGCGCAGTCCTATGATGCATCATGCTGTCTTGACTTTGTTGGGTCTCTTGAATACAGCATTTCCCCTTGCTGTTCTCCCTGCTGGAAGAGTTCTTCCATGACTAATCCCATCATCTCTCTTAGGTCTTTACTCAAAACTCATTTTCTCAGGGAGTCCTTCTTTGAAAGCTAGCTAAAATTTCATCCTCTCTGATCTTTCATATCCCTGCTTCTGTTCTTTAATTTGTCTCCTGGGTACTTGTCCTTATCTCACATACTGTATATGTACTTATTTGTCTTGTTTACTTTTTCAGCCCCAGTTGAATGTAAGTTTCAGGAAGACAGAGACTTTTGTCCATTTTGTTCATACTGAATCCCCTGTGCCTAGAACAGTTCCTGACACAAAATGGGTGCTCAATATATATTTGTTGAATTTTTATTATTTTAAAAAAAAACTATTTCCAGTGATAACCAGTCTTTCAAGGGACTGAAGATTACTAAAACATGACAGCATCTGTTATGATAAGAGTGCAGAAGTATTTTTTGCTTTTCATAGTGGTGATGAGTATGACCTTATCAAGTCACATAACTCCTTTGCGCCTTGGTTTCCTCCTCTATATGAATGGGAATAATAATGGTACCTAGATGAGGTGGTTATTTAAAGGATTAAATGAGGTAATATACATAACGTGTAGAATAGGGACTGACAAGTAGTAAGTCTAATCAAGTATTAGTAAACAAAACTTCTGCCTTTGTCTAGTATGTTTTAGTGGAGGAAGGAAGCCAATAAACATAGTAACTAAACATAGTAAATATAGTAACTAATTAAATGGGAATGATTTCAGGCTGGAGAAGAATTGCCCCTGGTGTGGGAGTAGAGGATGAGGAGGAGCATAAGAGTTTCAGTGGTGTTGATAACGTTCTTAGTTTAGCGGGGGGCAGTTTGTGGGTGTTTGTTCTACCGTTATACTTCCTAACTTACATAGATGTTGTTATATATGTTTACATAATGTAAATACTTCATTAAAAAAATACTTTCTGTTCCAAGCATACCTCAGTGTTAAAACAGGTTAATCACTCATTTAATTTAGTTATCCTGATTAGGTAAGAAACTTGGTTTTAAAGAAAATCTCTTCATATAACATAACTGGTCTTCCCCTGCTGTCCCCCTCCCCCAATCTAATGTATTAAAGCCAAAGTTTTTTTAGAATTAACTCTGTTTTTACTAGCAATATGTATTTGAGGTATTCAGTTTTATGTGTTTGTGCAGCATTACCCTAACTTGGGTTACGTAATAGGTGATGGAACTTATGCTTTGTCACCAACATCATTTTAATGGCCTTTGTAAAACATCTTGTTTTATTCAAAATAATGCAACTGAATTTTTAAATATATGTAGTATTTAATTTGGGTAATGAAACAAAGGAATTCATTCCCTCTACACCAGACTAAATTAATCCTTTATGTTTTAACTTTACCTTCAAACCAATGCAAAATCATTAAGTAAAATTGAAGCATCTTCAATTAGGAGCATTTCTTATTAGAAACATACGTGTAATACTCTGATAAATCTGTATATTTTAGATATAAATTGTCTGAAGGTGTCTAGCCATGATGACTAGAAGTAACATTTACTATTTTAAGGACAGGTGTCAGTTTTTTACTAAATTAATTGAACTGCGTATTTCTGGGGTGTCTAGAAATAGCCCACTTTTTGGTTCTGCTAGATTATTGAGTCATGCCCTGTACCAAAGCCGACTGACTTGAGTTTGGATCTTGGCTCTGCCATTTGTTAAACATATGTCTCCTTGGGTAAGTTGTCTGACCACTATCAGATTTGTTTGTGTTAATGAAAATAAGCTTTATTGCATCAAGTAATAAATACATATAAAGATATAAACAGTTATTTTCTTCCAGTTTTGATCAACTTAAAGTATGCATAACCGAAATCTACTGATAGTTTGAAAATTTTGGGTGTTCCTTGTTAAGTTTGGTAGGTTATTCTGCTGTATTTATAACTTGTGCATTTTAAAAATTGACTTCAGTGCACTAATAGTCATGCATATGTTTATGCAAAAAAGTTATATTAAGCAGAAACGAGGAGTGGCTACTAAGTGCGCTGTTAGTATGCATTGAAACAAAATCCTTATGGTTGTATTAGCTTAACAGAACAGTTTGGGGCACAGAAACATATTCAAAGGAGAAGGTTAAAGGGAGACACTGGTATCTTAGAGGCAAACTAGTTTGCTGAGATAACTTTACATGCACCTTTTAAATCAATGCTTAAAAAATAACTTGGGTAATTCCTAACTACTGAAAATGTAAATTCTAATTAACTGCAAAATCTTTTTTCAATCTGTGAGACTGTAGTTCAGAGCCAGGTGAAACATGGGAGGAAAAACCAACCTGTTAGCATTTTGAAAACAAGAGTTTCATCGAAACAGGGGAGGTGAACTGTAACTTCTCATCTTGTAAAAAGATGGAAAACCTTTAAAGCCAAAAGCAGCAAGGATATGGCACTCTGTTCGGTTTTAGCCAAGCACTTACCTTACCAGCTTTCTAGAGTGAATAATGCCTCGATTTAGTCTCTTTATTCTGTTCTTACTCCACGTAGGCAGGGTTGATCTCTCCCCAACTCTTCACTGGGGCTCCTGGCTGTTCCCAGCTCCCTGGGTGTAGCCTATGGATAGTGGCCCATGGTCACTCAGCAGCTGGCGGTACTGGGGGGGCATCACCAGGCTGTCAGAAGGCAAGCAGACGTCCCTAGAGTGTAGCCAAGTTACTTTGTAAGACATACTCACCCTTCCCCATGAGTAGCCCAGCCAGGCCATGAGGACAGTGGTGGCATGGGGCCCTGTGAGGCGCAGAGGCCCAGGCTCCCTGTGCTCGGGCTCTGGGAGCACTGGCAAATATGATTGCCCTCACCCTCGTGCCCACTGTAGGGTGTCATCCACACATTAGGCAGGTGGGCGGGCACAGAGGAGGCCATAAACTTCAAGCAGACTTTTTAACTTTAAAATGAAGAAAAGAATGGTACCTACCGCCTCAGAGTAGTAAAGATTAACTGGGGTATGAGTGTGCGGCAGTTTCCTTTTTCGAGTAGTTGCCACCAACTCTGCCACTCCTTTTTGCTATACATTGGGGTTGCCTTACAACATCTCACTTTATTTAGTTCCATGACTTGTTAGTTACTTCTCGTTACTTAACCTCATTTGGGTTCTTAAGGCTTAGTTCTGTTATTTGATAGCTTTATATCGTGTTTTGTTCAAAGTTCTCCTCTTCTGTCAAGTCGGACTAAGCTTGTGTCTCTAGCAATTTGGAATTGACATGAGAGGACCTGGATTGTTTCCATCTATATCTGTCCCCTGCCTGCTTTCCTGACTGAACAAGTCCCTGATGTGGGGCTGGGAGCGCAAAAGTGGGAAAGGACAGGGGTGTCCTTGCCAGGGAGCCCTTGGTGAGTTTGCAGTCCTCTCCTCGGTCAGCCATGGCGGATGTCCTATTGGTGATCGGTGGGATAGATACGGGCATGCAGTGGCCCCAACAGCCCCACAGGTAAGGGGCTGTGCCCCCTATAGCTCACTGGGGTCTGCTCAGCCCCTGACATGATATGGCCTCATCTCACAGTTGATCCTCAGCGTGTGGCTTCATGCCGCATTCTTCTGGATCCCCTCCAGAGCCATTTGCTTAAAGTCTCAATTCATTGGTGAGAAATATGCATGTCATGGTTTGTTTTTATTTCTCCTAATAACTGCTATTAATTGTGCTCAGTTGAATCACCCTTTCACTCTGGTAGCAGGCTTCCTTACTAGCATGTCGACCCATTTCCATCGCTTTCCAGTTAATTTTGGTCATTTAAACAGTCACTTACCATTTTTTAAACACTTCGTTCTTTGCATTTTGAAATTTGACTCTCATGTCAGAATCAAAGCTCTCTCTTCTCTGCCCACTCTTTCCCTGAAAAGGAAAAAAAGAACCCAGTCTGTTACTGGCGCCTTGGAGTGGAGGCTGTTTTTGGCTCTCACACGCGTCCCTCCCTCTTGGCAGTAGCAGTGCGCTAGCATGGAGGTGGGAAGGAAGAACCGAGGGGCAGAGTCTCTGTGCTGACTGTTGCAGTGTCCCGCTTCTGTCACGGTTGCAGCTGCCGTCTGTCTGTTTCTGTCTAACGGACTGTCCATTGGCTCATTTCGTGAGGCTGCCATCCACATGAGCTTTCTCAAAGGACGCAGTTGCTGGCTCTTTGCTGGCACCTTAGGGTGCCTGGCATTGGAGAGCTGACCTGATCTCTTCATTTCCCCGCTCCCTCCACAGTTAAATCACTTTCTCTGTCTTGGTCTCCTTGTTGGGTAGAGGCTACTCTCCCATTCAAGGTTCTTGCAAGTGCCTCAAGCCTAGCCACCTTCTGTAGTGTCCACTAGATCCACAGAAAACTCAGGTGTCTTTGCTATGCCAAACGGCTGCCCCAGTGTGTGTGGCCGCCCAGCTCCACCATCTCTTGCCTATATGGATTTCTGAGGTAATCTCATCCACTCCCAAGGAGACTTACTGCTAACCTAACAACTTTTCTTATGCCAGTATTTTCTTATGCCCAACCCCACCTGAGTTCCAAAACCGTATTTCCCACTGCCTAGTAAGGCCTATCAATGTTATACCCCAGAACCAGTTTACTCCCCTTAGCCTACAGCCTTATTCTGGCTAATGGCATCACCTTCCACCTGTTCACATAATCCAGAAACCTGTGAGTCATCCTGCCTCCCTTACCTCACACAAGCCAGTTCGGTCAGTTCTATGTTGCAATGTCTTTGAATCCATCCCACTTTTCTCTCTGTCTCCCCTTTGCTCCTTGGTTTTGGCCCTCATTATTTCCTTCCTTTTACCCCCAGTTCCATCTCTTGTAGTCTTATACATTGTGGTCAGAGTGACCTTGCCAAAACACAAATCCCATTGCATCATTTGCCCCCTTTAAACCCTATTATGTGGACCTTCATTGCCCTCAGACTAAAGTCCAGTCTCCCATCACATGGCCTGTGAGGCCCCAGCCTGTCTTAAACTTTTTTCCTTCTACTGCCTTTCTCTTCACTCCCACTGCTAAACTCCAACCTCCTATTCCATAGCCACACTCAACTACTGAGAGGTGTCCAAACTCAGCATGCTGCTTCATGACCCTGGCTTTTGCCTGGCCCTTCCTTTTTCATGGAGTGTTCTCATTCTCTTTGTACCTTGTAGTCTAACTGGACAACTCTTATTTGTTTTTCAACACCCAGAGGGTAAGTCTTCTGCCCTCAGAAACACTCCCAGGCTGCTTTCTGCTAACCATCATTTTTTATATACACTCAAATTATACAAAATATCATACGTCTTTCTCCCCTTGCCCCCTGCAACTGCCCCCAAGTCACTAAAAGCAAGGATTGTGTCTTACTCATCTTGATAACTGTGGTGCCAAGCCTAAAGTTCCTGGCCTTTCATGGGTGCTCACTGTTAAATAAATGCGAGTAAATCAAATGGCTGAAGAGCTAATGTATAGAAAGTTTTTAAATTCTAGTTTATATCTTTCTAGCTAAGATGTATTATGTTGACCATTTCTTTTACAGTAGTTGGCAGCAGGTTTAAATGCTAAAAAGTGACCCTCATTCTCATTGTAAATTTTTATTTCCCACTTCATTGGCCCCACTCAGCACTTTATTATTTTCATCGCATTGTCTTCTTACCCTTATTTAATCATGGATAGGAGAATGTGGCAATGTCAGAATCACACTAAGATGATATGGAAGGAGATCCAAGCTGATGACCACCTAGAGTAAAAATCCTTGGGGTATATTGGGACACCACAGAAGTTCTTAAAGTGATTGCCGCTAAAGCCATTTCTCCTATTCCTGGCCACAAGCCTTGGGGACGCAGCCTGCCTGCCTTCTTTACAAGTGAGCATCATTTTCTTTGATCCCCTTGGACTTCCTCTAACTCGTCTTCTCACAGCTCTTGAGGGCTTTGCAAGGAACTGTCAGGGCTAATGAAAGGACAATTTGAAAATCTTCTTTAGGCACATTCACTAAGTAATGTGTCCGTCAGCAAGTGTGGCTCTGTGTCTGTGGTGAGCCCCTTTCTCTGTCGGGACCTTGTCCCAGTGCCTGGAGAGCACCTTCTCAAACTGTAGACCTCACTGGCACTGGGACTGATCTGAGTGCCCCTGTCAGCCTGCCCAGCCTCAGAAAGGAAGCTGTGGAGGGCCAGTTCTCACCAAGAGCTCACCAGCTCCACTCTAGACTAGGCCCAGAAACCCTGCAGCCAGGCTGCCTGACTCACATGCAGCATGGGTCTCTGGCTGTGGTTTCCACACAGCCTCCCAGCTTGTTTCTTAATCTGTAAAATGGGTGGCTTTCAATGAATACTGTGGCTCCGTTGAGATCAGCAGAAGGGCATTTCACTTTATGGTCCCTTTATTCTTCCAGGTCTAACATCTTACACACACACACACACACACACACGGATCTAGAATTTCTGGTGTGCACTTCTAGGGCACACTATATTGAATCAGCATTTGGTTCTATGCTCCATCCAACAGTTGATGAGGTAGACCCTGGACAAAGCACCTAATGCCTTTGAGCCTCCATTTCTAAACCTAGAGAATAAGAAAATTAAATGATCTCCAAGGTCCATTTTGCTTTATAATTCTGAATAGATCAGAGGGTTAAAGAAACCCTCAGACCTCATTTATGTCACAGAGCTGCTGCCCATGGAGGCCATAATGTAGAAATGTGTCCCTTGATCGAAGCAGAGGTATTTATTATGTAAACACACTGTGTCCCCAGCACACAGAGTCAACTTTGCCAATGTGTTAATGCTTACCTAGGCCTGTACTACATTAGACATTCTGGAGCTAGGTAATATCCTTAAATTTATCTTTACCGTTGTAAATACAACTGTGTAATTGAGCTTCATCTGATTGTTTTAGAGTCACCAAGAGACTGCCTCTAATGACCCTAAGTGGCTCTGTATGCATAGAAAAATGGTTAGTTGGTTAGTCTAGTTCCTACCAGGTCTTTTAGGACTGCTTATCGTTGTTTTCTTCTGGAATTTAACAGGAAAATTAGCTTAAAGTAACTAGTTATTTTTAAAAAGTGCTCAAAGCATCTATTTTTCATAGCTGTGCAAAAGTAAAAGAAATAATATTCATTTTTCACTTCATGCAAGAACCTCACTTGCATGAGGTTCTCGAAATAGAAAATCATAATCAGGACAACTTGTCACTTCTTCAGATGTTTTATATAGAATATCATTTGGCTTCTAAATCTGTGATTCCTTTTTTGTCTGTGGCTCCAGATTTTCATAATCTACCACTATTAAGCAGAAGTGGTAATTTATGAAGAAATTTGGGTTTGAAATGCTTATTATTTTCATGAAGATAAAAAGTAAAATAAGAATGTTAACCATTTGAGTCCTGTTGCTGAAGGGCATTGAGAGGAGTTGAGCCCCATCTCTCTCTCCCATTGCAGTAGTTCCTCTTAAAGTCTCCCTTACCATCTTAAAAAAAAAAAAAAAAAAAAGAAAAGGCATTGGGTCTTCTTAGCATTATAGATATTCTTTTGGAATTAGTAGTTATGCTAAATAAGGTGAAGACAGCCATGGGAAAACTTAAAATTGTTTCTAGAATTGTAACAATTTAAAAGTAATTATAAATGTTTAGAGAGAGAAAAATACAGAAAAAATGTATTTACAGAGGGTAAATACATGTGTTATATATAGGTGTATATAAATAAAAGATTATATTTAAATCTATTAGCATTTTAAGACTTTTAAAATTCTCACACTTAAAGCAAGTATTTAATTTTTACAAATCTTTTAACGCTAATATGAGATTTAGGAATGATTAATCACCAACAAACTCAACAGTTCTAAGAACAGAGCAAAATTATAGTTAAAAAATTCAAGCCTAGTAATGCATTTTATATAATGATAGAACAATTAGTTATAAAATAGGCATTTTTAGGTCTCCTCAATGAATATATTTAAGTCCTTGCATTATATCTTTTAAAATAGTTTTTGTTCCCTTTTTTCTTTTAGTTTAAAATGTTTTAAATCAAAATACTACATGTAGGCTGGGCATGGTGGCTCACGCCTATAATCTCAACACTTTGGAAGGCTAAGGTGGGAGGACTGCCTGAGCCCAGGAGTTCGAGATCAGCCTGGGCAACATGGCGAGACACTGTCTCTAATTTAAAAAAAAAAAAAAAGTATAGGTATCTAAAGTAGCCGAATTCATAGAAATAGAAATTAGAGTGGCAGTTACTAGGGGCAGGAGAAGGGGGAAATGGGAAGTTATTTAATGGATAGTTTCAGATCTGCACATGAAAAAGTTCTGAAGATCTTTTTCACAATAGTAACCATATGCTTAACACTACTGAGCTATACATTTAAAAATGGTTAATGTAAATTTTATGTGTTTTTTACTACAATAAAAAATGATAATGAAAATATAAAGATTAGATAGAAATTTAAAAATATGTTTCTTTTTCTTCTTCTTTTCCTCTTCTTCTTCTTCCTCCTCCTCTTCTTCCTCCTCCTCTTCCTCCTCCTTTTCCTCCTCCTCCTCCTCTTCTTCCTCTTCTTCCTCTTCTTCTTCTTCTTTTTTTTTTTTCATTCTTCCCAGTCTGCTATTTAGGGGCAGTCATCTTTTCATTTTTTAAGATGTAAATTACATATAGTAAAGTTTGCCTTTTTAGTGTACAGCAATAGTGTTGTTTGTTTTGATTCAGGGCATACAGGCACAGGTTTGTAATATGGGTATGTTATGTGATGCTGAGTCTTGGGGTTCTAATAATCCCGTTGCCCAAGTGGTGAACGAGGTACCTCATAGGTAGCCTTTCAGCCCTGGCTCCCCTCCCTCCCCACTTCTGGAGTCTCCAGTGTTTATTGCTCCCATCTTTGAGTTCTACATGTTTTGAAAAACAGTGGGCATAACACCACTACAGTTTAGATATGAGATAGTTCCATCACCCATAACAATCTCCCCTCCCTCCCCTACCCCAAGTTTCTGGGAACTTCTGATCTGGTTTTTGTCTCTATAGTTTTACCTACTCTAGAATGTCTCATAAATGGAATCATATGGTTTGCAGTCTTTAAGTGTGGCTTGTTTCTCTTACCATAATATATTTGAGATTCATTCAGGTTGTTATGTGTATCAGTAGTTTGTTTCTTTGTATTGCTGAGTATTATTGCATTGTCTAGATGTACCATGGTTTGTTTATCTTTTCTCCAGTTGAGTGACATTTGGTTTGTTTCCAGTTTGGATCTCTTAAGCGTTCATGTCCAAATTTTTGTGGTAACATGTTTTCAATTTTCTTGGATAAATAACTTGAATTGGGATTACTGGTTTTTATGGAAACTCTGTGTCTAACTTTATAAATAACTGCAAAACTGTTCTGCAAAGTGGTTGTACCATTTTTCATTCCCACCATCAATATATGTGTTCCAATTTTTCTGCCTTTTCAGCATTTTGTATTTTCAGGTTTAAAATTTAAACTATATTTTAGCTATTCTGATAGGTGTGTAGTGGTATATCATTATGGTTTTAATTTGCATTTCTCTAACAATTAATAGCATTCAGCATTTTTTCCAGGCGCTTATTTACCATCCATATATCTTTGATAAAGTGACTGTTCATGTCTTTTGCCCTTTTCTTTTAATGGGTTGTTTGTTTTCTTGCTATTGAGTTTTGAGTTCTTTATATATTCTGGATATAAGTCCTTTATCAGATATGTGACTTGCGGTACTTAATTCTGGTCTATAGTTTGTTTTTTCATTCTTGTAACATTATCTTTCAAAAAACAAGTTTTTCATTATGGTAAAAGTCCATTTTATCAATTTTTTTTCTTCCATGGATTGTGCTTTTGGTGTCTTACCTAAGAAATCTTTACTGGTTCAAGGTTCAAAAGATTTATGTTTTCTTATAGAAGTTTTATAGGTTGGGATTTTACATTTAGTCCTATGATCCATTTTAAGTTAATATTTCATATGGCGTAAAGAATGGATCAGTTGTATTTTTTTTTTTTGCAGTTGTTCCAGTACCATTTGCTGAAGACTCTTTTCTGAATTGCTTTACATATTTGTGGAAAATCGATTTGCTCTGTGTGTGTGTGTGTGTGTGTGTGTGTGTGTGTGTGTATCTTTGACCTCTCTGTTTTGTTCCATTACTCTATGTCTGTCATTTTACTAGTACCACACTGTGGTAATGCAAGTAGTTATTAGTCTGTAGTTTTTCTTTTTTATAATGTCTTTATCTGGCTTTAGTGTTTAGGGAATGCTGGCCTCATAGAATGAGTTGTAAAGTAGTTTTTTAAAATTTTCTGTCTCTCTGGAAGAGTTTGTATAGAATTGATATTATTTCTTTCTTTAAATATTTAGTGGAATTTACCAGTGAAACCATTTGAGCTTGAGGTTTTCTTTATAGAAAGAGTTTAAACTATAAATTCAATTTTGTAAATAGATACAGGACTATTCAAGTTATCTGTTTCTTCTCATGTGAGTTTTGGTAGGTTGTGTCTTTATAAGAATTTGTCCATTTTTGTTTAAATTGTTAAATTTATTGAAATAAATTTTGATATGCCTTGTTTTTATTTTCATTCAGTTCAGAATATTTCCTAATCTTCCTTTTGATTGCTTATTTGACCCATGGGTTACTTAGACGTGTGTATTTTTTCCCCAAGTATTTTTCAGATAATCTCATGTTATTGATTTCTAATTTAATTACATTGTAGTCAGAGAACATAATGATAAAATCGACCTTTTATCATTATAATGACCTTTATTCTTTATAATATTCTTTGCACTGCAGTCTACTTTGAGTAATATAGCCACCTCAGCTTTCTTTTATTGTTAACATGGAATATCTTCTTCCATATTCTTATTGTACCTATTTGTGTTTTTATATTTAAAGTCTATTTCTTATAGGCAGTATATAGTTGTATCTTGCTTTTTCATCCAAACTAGCAGTATCTGCTTTTTAATTGAGGTGCTTGAGACCATTTATATTTAATGTCATTATTGTTTTTTTTTCTTTTTCTTTTCTTTTCTTTTTTTTTTTTTTTTTTTTTTTTTTTTTTGAGACAGAGTCTTGCTCTGTTCCCCAGGCTGGAGTACAGTGGTGCAATCTTGAGTCACTGCAGCCTCTGCCTCCCAGGTTCAAGCGATTCTCCTGCCTCAGCCTCCCAAGTAGCTGGGATTACAGGCGTATGCCACTATGCACAGCTAATTTTTGTATTTTTAGTAGAGATGGGTTTTTACCATATTGGCCAGGCTGGTCTTGAACTCAAGTGACCCACCCACCTGGGCCTCCCAAAGTGCTGGGATTACAGGCGTGAGCCACCACGCCCAGCCTAATGTGATTATTGATACAGTTGGTTTAAATCTGCTATCTTGGTATTCATTTTTTATTCTATTCTTTATTCCCCTTTTCCTCTTATTCTTTCTTTTAGATTATACATTTTCCTATGATTCCATTTTATCCTCCTGTGTTAGCTTTATTAGATTTAGAGTTTATAGCATACATCTTTAACTTATCATAGTGTACTCAGCAGTATATTTCCCTTCTCCCTTCTTAGCCGTTGTTCTATCTTTGTCATACATTTTACATCTACATATTGTAGTACATTCCAGTACATTGTTATTTTTGCTTTAAACAGTCAATGATTATTATAGACAGAGCCTCAGTATGTTGCCCAGGCTGGCCTCAAACTCCTAGCTAGGCTCAAGTGGTTCTCCCACCTCAGCCTTTTGAGAAGCTGGGACTACAGGTATGTGGCACTGCACCTGGCAACAGTCAGTTATCTTAGATTTAAATACTAAGGGGGAAAAGTTTTTGTATTTAACCATTAGTTATCATTTCTGGTGCTCTTCACACTCTTGCGTAGATCTAGTTTTTTCATCTGGTATCATTTTCCTTCTGTCTGAAGGAGTTACAGTGATGAATCCTTCCAGCTTTTGTATGTCTGAAAAAGTCTTAATTTCACCTTAAATTTCTGAAAGATGTTTTCACTGGGCATAGAATTACAGATTGACAGGTTTTTTTTTTTCTTTCAGTTAAAGATGTTGCTGCACTGTCTTCTGGCTAGCATTGTTTCCAACCAGAAGTCGGCTATCATTCTTTGTTGCTCTGTACATAGCAATTTTTTCCAGCTGCTTCTAAGATTTTATCACTGATAGTAAGCAATTTGATTATGATACACCTTGTCGACTTCTTCACAATTCTCTTGTTTGGGGTTTGTTTAGCTTCTTGGATCTGTAGGTTATTGTTTTAGTAAAATGTGAGGAAAATTACCGTTATTTCTTAAAATGTTTTCTCTCCTTTTTTTTTTTTTTCAGGGACTTCACTACAGATATATTTGGTTGCTTGAAACTGTCCCATAGCTTATTGACACTTTGTTCTTTTTTTGATTTGTTCTTTTTCATTCTTTTTTTTTTTTTTTTTGACAGAGTCTCGCTCTGTGGCTCTGTGGCCCAGGCTGGAGTGCAGTGGCGCAATCTCGGCTCACTCCAACCTCTGCCTCCTGGGTTCATGCAGTTCTCCAGCCTCCCAGGTAGCTGGAATTACAGGTGTGTGCCACAACGCCCAGCTATTTTATATTTTTAGTAGAGATGGGGTTTCACCATATTGGCCAGGCTTGTCTCAAACTCCTGACCTAAAGAGATCCACCTGCCTCGGCCTCCCAAAGTGCTGGGATTACAGGCATGAGCCACCACACCTGGCCGATTTGTTCTTTTTATTCAACGTTTCTTCTGTGTTTTATTTTGGATAGTTTCTATTGCTCATATATCACTAATACTACTTCTGTCCTATCTAATCTACTGTTAATCTCATCTAGTGTATTTTTCTTCTCAAATATTGTATTTTTCACCTTGATAATTTAATTTAGGTTTTCTTACATTTCTCACACCTGTCCTTAATATGCTAATGTTTTCCTCTACTTTCTTGAACATATGAAATATAGTTATAACTGTTTTTAATGTTCCTGTCTATAAATCATCTTTGTCATATCTGGGTCATTTTGATTAATTTTTCTCCTCATGAGTGATATTTCCCTGCTTGTTTTTATGCCTAGTACTTTTTATTGGATGCCAGACATTGTGAATTATTGGATGCTAGAGACTTTATTAAATATTCTTGAGCTTTGTTTTGAGAGAAAATTAAGTTACTTGGAAACAGTTTGACCTTTCAGGGCTTCCTTTTAAACTGCTTTATGTAGGACCAAAACACTCTTCAGTCTAGGACTCATTTTTCCCTTAAATTAGTCCTAGACTGAAGGGAATTAGAATTCTTCTAAGCATTCAGAAGGAGACTTAGGCAGTATACTTCTGAATATCTGATATCCCTTTTTACAGAGTTTTTTTTTCATTTAGGCTGGTGGGTGGTAATACCAACTGGTGCCTACCCTATGTGATTTCTGAAAATTGTTCTGCTTGCTTCTTTTGGGTGGTTCTTTCCCCAGCCTCGGGTAGTTTCCTCACATGCAGGTGTGCTAAGGGCTCTGCTGAAGCCTGGAAGCAGGAAGAACTGCTGCAGATCCCTATAAACCTTTCTTTTATTTTGAAGTGTTTAAAATTTATTTTATTTAAATTTTTTAATCAAAATACATGTACATACCCAAAAAGCAAATAGAATGAATAGAAAAAAATAGCAGTTCTCTTTTTTCACTTATCCACTCGGTGCCTTAGACGCAGCCACTTTTAAGTTTTAGTTGTTTTTTCTCATTTTTACCTCCACATTTCTATGTAATATATTTATACTTACACTATTTCTTGCTTTTTCCATTTTAGATGTTAGGTAATCAAGCTGTAGTAGATTAGGATTTAGCAGTTTTAAACCATTCCTGCCATGCAATTTTTCTTCCTGTTACCTTCTCAATAAAGTTAACTTTTAAAAGGTAAATCCACAAAAAAATGAAAAAATAATATGGGTCATGTATATTTTATGAGCATTCCGTGTTTTCTTCCTTGCTCTGTTTTCAGTAAAACTGCCTTTGAGCTTATCTAATTGTTCCATTAGATCTATCATACACCTATCAGTAGCTCACCTGTGCCCTGCAAATGCTTAGATGTGTTAGATAATCTGTGTGTTCATTAGCACGGAAGCTCTCCCTCCTGGAGTTCTCCATCTTCCCTTACCATTGCAGACCAGGTACAGACCAGCTGCAGCTTGGGCTTGTCCAGCAGCAGTCCCCCTGAGATCTCCCTGCACTCCAGCCTGCTGATTCCCTTCCTTTCCTCCAGTATCTGAGTTCCTGGTTCCTATTTCCCATGCCTGCCTTTTTTCTTGATTTGCTCCTCCATTTTGGTGTCTGAAATATCTAAAAATGTTTTAATTCTACCTTTACACTCAAATGATGATTTGGCCAAGTAAAGAATTCTGGATAAAAAAACTCTTTTCTCTCAGAATTTTAAAGACATTTTCTTCATCTTTTTCTGACTGCCAGCAAAGTGGTTCTGTTCCTAGTCCCTGTGTTTGTAACTTGTTTCTTCCATTTGGAAGCTTTTAGTATTTTCTCTCTATGCCTAGTGATTAAGGTTTCAGGGTGGTGTGCTTTGGTGGAGGGCTTTTTCATTTCTTGTGGTGGGCATTTGGTCATCTCATTTAACTGGAGACTTGTGTCCTTCAGTTCTGGAACAATTCTTAAATTATTTGATAATTCTCTTCCTTCTGTTCTCTCTCCAAAATAGAAATGCATCCTATTTTGATGTTGGACCTCCTAGATTTATCCTTTTTCTTTTCCGATTCTTTTTTTTTTTTTTTTTTTTTTTGAGACAGAGCCTTGCCCTGTTGCCTAGGCTGGAGTGCAATGATGCGATCTCAGCTCACTGCAACCTCTGCCTCCTGGGTTCAAGCAATTCTTCGTCAGCCTCCCCAGTAGCTGGGATTATAGACATGTGCCACCACGCCCAGCTAATTTATTTGTTTTTGTTTTTTTTTAAAGTGGAGACGGGGTTTTACCATGTTGGCAAGGCTGGTCTTGAACTCCTGACCTCAAGTGATCCGCCCATCTCACCCTCTCAAAGTGCTGGGATTACAGGCATGAGCCATCGCGCTCGCGCCCGGCCACTGTTCTACTCTTTTGGAAGCTTTTTCCAACCAGCCTTTCTGTGGAGATAAGGAAATGTAAATTGTGGTTGAATTTAACAGCCATTTCTTTGGCATTTCTTCTTGTTTTGACAGTGTGTGGGACCCAACACTAAAACACTATTTGTTGTTTTTCTGCCATTCACATTTAACTGATAGTCCTGTAGTTTCATTTGTTAAACCTGGTAAGTATATTCCCATGCCTAGTGAGAGTAAACTAGAAAAATGGAGGTGACGTGGGAGTCCTTAGACAGCAGTGATTTGGTCAGGTACAGGGTAATGTGCCTTCGCTTCTTTCCTGGCAGTTGTTTTAGATTTGCAAGGAGTTTGGATAGGGGGAGAAAGAGGTTACTCTATTTCAGTGCTGAATCTCCAACTGTACCGGTGTTGGCCAAGTCAGATTAAGTTTGGAAGAAAAGCACATGTTACAGGAAACAGAAACACTCAGGCCTGTTCCTCTTTTCCTATCCTGTCATGCTTGCTACCAATATGCAGTAGCAGTTGAATTGGAATCTGTGTAAAAAGGCTTTTAGGCAGACAACACTAGAAAATACCTCAATCTCAATTGTCCAGGCTGTTTAATGTGTATGAGTTCCCACTGAGGTGATACCTCCTGATCTTTGCTCAGTGCCTGAAATAGACTTATATGGTCCATGGCTTTAAGGATCTCTCCTGGAAGCCTTGTAGTATTTTTCTCTGCCCTGTCAGCAAGTCTCAGTGAGCTCTGATGAGGCACCAGACATATGGATCGTTTGTCTTGCAATTAGAAGAGCCTTTGAATGTAATTCTAGCCATTTGTGCCACGGACATTTCTGATCCAAGGGTTTTCCCTCCATGGAGCTTTCCATTTCCTTTGCCTTCTTTTTCAAATTATGTCTTCTCAGTTTTCATACAAAAGTCTAGTTTTAAAGGAATCTAGCATATTTATGTGAAATATATGAGAAAATTAGATTTCTAATCATTTTTTTAGTTGCCTATCCTTTGGCTCAACAAATTCTCCAGAAGTGTGCACACACACATACATGTTCAAGGATGTATGTAGAAGGATGTTCCTTGCAATTTTATTTAAAATATCCAAGTATTAACAATAACTGTAATGTCCTTCAATAGGAAAATGGGTTAAATAGACTATGGTTGCTTATATTTGCTTCTCTTGCTTGATACAATGGATGATCAGTTAAAATGATTGAAATAAAAACAGCTTTCTGTTTATGTTGAAGAACGGCATGAATAAATTCAGTTAATTTAGTAATTTTTTAAAACTGCAGCTTGGAATTTAAAAATTTTTTTATATGACCTTAGAGTTTTGTTTTTTAAAGCTCTTTTTATAGCTTAAATGGTGCTTTAATACCCTTTTTTCATGAAGTTGGCATTCAGTTAAAACATGTAAATGGAATTTAGCATACAAATAGTTTTAGGTATAACTTTAACTTTCAAAATATAGAGACTATCATGTAGTAAATAATATTCTGGTTAGCATTCATAGACATAGGGACCACATGCCAGCTTCCCAAATAATTACGATTTCTAAGCTTCTACTTAGTCTCCTTTTGTTGGAAATGGGTATCTTTTTTTTTAAAGCATCATATGAGTTAATATATGTAATTTTTATAAATTATAAATATGTTAACAATTATTGTTATTCAAAAGCCAAGCCTTAAAATTTGGAGAATATGAACCTTTCAGTAAAAAGGGAATCTCATCACTTTATAGTTGGTCACACTTTGGTTTTTAACCCAAAAGAGAATTGTGGTCTTCATCATTTACTGTGCTTACCGATCTGGTCTGGTTCCTAATAACTTTGGACAGTTTCTGAAAACCAAATCTACCTACCCCCACTACCAGCATTGAGTCAACTTAAAAACTGTCTAAATGGATCTGATGGCAATTTTAGAAAAGGATGCTGCTTGAGGAAAGATGCTTATTTTGGAGAGAAGACTGTGTGTGTTTGTGCATGTGCGTGTATTACATATATATGTTCTACGGTCAGATTTTATGTTGGAATTATTTGTGATGACACAATTTTATCTACAGATTAGAGAGGTCTCCCCAAGTACTTTGTAGATTTTTTGGTTTTTATATTATGCCATTAGAGGGCAGTATTGTAGAGGTTAAGTTTTCTTTCTCGCATGTATTGACTTGGAAACTGTTTATGTTGTATTATAATTTAGCAAACTTCAGGGCTTAGATTTCTAGTATATTAAATTGTAGCCTTAATTGATGCATCCCTGCAAGTATTTTAAATTAATATAGGAAATTTTGAAAGGGTTAAGCTATTTTATACCCACATCTCTCGATTTTGGTTTGGAGAAGGGAATTATTTGGTCAGTGTGGCCAAGAGGGTGAAACAGAGGTGAGCCTACAGCATCTATTGGCTGCTTAACTATTTTTAACCACCATTATATCCTCCCTTTTCTGGTTCTGGACACTGCAAATGGGCAGAGACTAACTTCAAGGATTTGTATGCTTTGAATACATACTTTATAATATTTCAATCCCTCTGATGTAAGAAGGCTCATAGGATTGAGGGATTGAGTCTTAGAGGAATTGTCACTCAGCTTGCAAAAACGTGCCTTAGGGACTTAACTAAAAATAGATTTATGTGGAATTCAACCTGTGGATTGACTTTTTTGGGTCTAAATAGAAGAAGGCATATTTAGTTACTAGGGAGAAGATGCTAATAGGGAGATGTGATTTTAAGGTTTGTGGCTCTACGGGCTTTTTGGGAAGATCCTGGATTTTATCTGGAGTCTTTCCCTCATGCCTAGCAAAGAATATATAATGTTTTTTGTTTTGTTTCTATAAAACAAAAGGTAGTATCTCTCAAAGAGCAAATGTGATTTTTTTTCCTCTAAAATTAAAAAAATACATGATTGCAGGGTGATTATTATCTTTAAAAATAAAACCGTCTATAAAATCCTCCCAGTACCGCTGCCGGTAAGAACTAGATAATTGAAATCAAGACACTCGAAGTCTTACAGTGGTGGGACTGGGCATGCCCAGTAGCTCAGACGGTTCGGGTTACAAATAGGAAGCTTTCGCCGTTAAGCAGCCGCGGGACACAGCTCCGGGGACCGGGGTCTGACTCCCTTAAACGTAAGCACGTGTGGGGGCCCCCATAGTATTTTTCAGGGACCCTTCACATTTTCTGCCGAAGCAATGGCCCAGTGTTTTGAGGCCGCCGTGGAAACCTCCGAACCCAGCACCCCACTCCCTCTGAGCACGGCCCGCGCCAGGCCAGCCCACCCCACGAGCGGGATCTGGAGAATGGGGGCGGAGGTGGGGGTGGGGGGAGGCGGGGAAGCAGGGAAGCGGGAGGACCTGGAAGGGAGTAGGGGGCGGTCCCAGTGGCGTGCCGGCCAATCGGCGCAGCTCTTTCCTGCATATATTTTGCACTAAGACTGGGAGTCCTGGTCTAGAGCTGAGTGGAGCCCGGCTGCGGATCTGGGAAGCGCCTCTTCACGGCACTGGGATCCGCATCTGCCTGGGATCATCAAGCCCTAGAAGCTGGGTTTCTTTAAATTAGGGCTGCCGTTTTCTGTTTCTCCCTGGGCTGCGGAAAGCCAGAAGATTTTATCTAGCTTATACAAGGCTGCTGGTGTTCCCTCTTTTTTTCCACGAGGGTGTTTTTGGCTGCAATTGCATGAAATCCCAATGGTGTAGACCAGTGGCGATGGATCTAGGAGTTTACCAACTGAGACATTTTTCAATTTCTTTCTTGTCATCCTTGCTGGGGACTGAAAACGCTTCTGTGAGACTTGATAATAGGTAAATGTCGGCTAAGATAGTTTCTTTAAATTTATTCGTGGGATACTTATAATAATACAGGTGAAAGATAGCCAGGCGAATTCCTTTGTCCATTGCTGAGAGATTATGGTGACATGGATGTTGTTTTTCGAAATGTTAAAAAACCTTATTTTTGCAAGTCTGGCCAGAGAACAGGCTTTCCCCACATTATGTAATTTAGTCCTTTGTGGCTTACTAAAATAGGGAGATGCCTGGATATTCGTTAGTAAGAGAGGGGCTGGCATTTTCTGGAGGGTGATACATTACATAGTGTTAAATAACATTCAAAATATGATGCTAGCAATATCACAAAATTGGGAGATCCTTTTTATCTTGGAAGCTTAAGATAAATTCCATTTATCGATGACCTTTTTCCCTCCTCTTTTTCAGCTCCTCTGGTGCAAGTGTGGTAGCTATTGACAACAAAATCGAGCAAGCTATGGTATGTACTGATGAAAAATCATTTATACTAAATGTGGGCACAGCACAAAAATAAGATGTTTTGTGGAACCAGTGCATCCCTAAGTTCAGATGATGATGATTGCTCTTGATGCGCGTAGAAATGCCGGCGCTGTCTCCATTCGGCCAGCGTGGAGCCACCTACCACGGCAGCCGTGGAGGGAGAAAGGGGCCCTGCGGGTATTAAATGGTCTTCTTCCCCGGACTGGTTTCACACGACGGGATTTTCTCACGGTGACCCTTTTTGCTGGGGATTTATTAGGGAAGCGCTGGCCAACTATCTCCTTCGGCTGGTCGTGAGCACACCTTTAGCGATGTGGCTTTACTAGGAATCCTAATATTTTACTAGGGAGCCGGGAGGTGGGGAGGGCCCCAGAAGTCGGGATCCTGGATAAGGGTCTTCTAGACGGTGCACAAACGGGTCCCCGGTGGCGCGGGCTCCTTCACAATGAAGAAGAATCAGAGAAAAAGTTTTGTTTTCTTAGCCTGCGCCTGGATTTCTCCTATTTTTTATTTCCGCCTTGGCCGTTCTTTGTTATTGGAGCAGCGCCTGTGGCTCTTCTCACGGGATTCTCTGCCCACTGTTGCTAGGCAAACTCTGAACCTTTAATTCGGAGCTATAAATAACTCGGGCTCCCATTGGCTGCGACGTCTGCCCAGGTTTCTGTGATGTCAGCTTAATCACGAAAAGAGGGGGGCGGGGTGGAGGGAAGAAAATGCGGCAACATGTTCGGTAGGAACTGGCTGCAGCCGGTGCTGAAGGAGGCGGCTCCGGGCGAGCGCGGGGCGGGGCCTGGGGGCGGGGACGCGGTGGGCGCGCTGTGGCTTGGACGTCCCCGCTGCTGGTCTCAGTCGGGGACCCAGCGCCCGGCTCTGGCCCAGTCTCAGGAAGCCTTACTTGGGCGTTTCTGGCCAACGTCTGCAGAGAAGCACAGACTTTTACAAAGCTTGATCATTTATACGTTAAACTCAAGTATTGTACAGTCATGTTTGTATTCAGATTTCCCCAAGTGTCATTGAACCAACTTTAAAGGTGGAATATGTAAATAGTTAGGGAGATCCATGTAAAATAATGTCTTGGAAACTCAAAAGAGTCCAGAAAATACCAAATAATGAGTTAAACCTTTTCTGTCTTCTTTCCAGGATCTAGTGAAAAGCCATTTGATGTATGCGGTCAGAGAAGAAGTGGAGGTCCTCAAAGAGCAAATCAAAGAACTAATAGAGAAAAATTCCCAGCTGGAGCAGGAGAACAATCTGCTGAAGACACTGGCCAGTCCTGAGCAGCTTGCCCAGTTTCAGGCCCAGCTGCAGACTGGCTCCCCCCCTGCCACCACCCAGCCACAGGGCACCACACAGCCCCCCGCCCAGCCAGCATCGCAGGGCTCAGGACCAACCGCATAGCTGCCTATGCCCCCGCAGAACTGGCTGCTGCGTGTGAACTGAACAGACGGAGAAGATGTGCTAGGGAGAATCTGCCTCCACAGTCACCCATTTCATTGCTCGCTGCGAAAGAGACGTGAGACTGACATATGCCATTATCTCTTTTCCAGTATTAAACACTCATATGCTTATGGCTTGGAGAAATTTCTTAGTTGGGTGAATTAAAGGTTAATCCGAGAATTAGCATGGATATACCGGGACCTCATGCAGCTTGGCAGATATCTGAGAAATGGTTTAATTCATGCTCAGGAGCTGTGTGCCTTTCCATCCCTTCCGGCTCCCTACCCCTCACTTCCAAGGGTTCTCTCTCCTGCTTGCGCTTAGTGTCCTACATGGGGTTGTGAAGCGATGGAGCTCCTCACTGGACTCGCCTCTCTCCTCTCCTCCCCCCAGGAGGAACTTGAAAGGAGGGTAAAAAGACTAAAATGAGGGGGAACAGAGTTCACTGTACAAATTTGACAACTGTCACCAAAATTCATAAAAAACAATAGTACTGTGCCTCTTTCTTCTCAAACAATGGATGACACAAAACTATGAGAGTGACAAAATGGTGACAGGTAGCTGGGACCTAGGCTATCTTACCATGAAGGTTGTTTTGCTTATTGTATATTTGTGTATGTAGTGTAACTATTTTGTACAATAGAGGACTGTAACTACTATTTAGGTTGTACAGATTGAAATTTAGTTGTTTCATTGGCTGTCTGAGGAGGTGTGGACTTTTATATATAGATCTACATAAAAACTGCTACATGACAAAAACCACACCTAAAGAAATTTTAAGAATTTGGCACAGTTACTCACTTTGTGTAATCTGAAATCTAGCTGCTGAATACGCTGAAGTAAATCCTTGTTCACTGAAGTCTTTCAATTGAGCTGGTTGAATACTTTGAAAAATGCTCAGTTCTAACTAATGAAATGGATTTCCCAGTAGGGGTTTCTGCATATCACCTGTATAGTAGTTATATGCATATGTTTCTGTGCATGTTCTCTACACAATTGTAAGGTGTCACTGTATTTAACTGTTGCACTTGTCAACTTTCAATAAAGCATATAAATGTTGATAAACAAGTGTTTTTCATATGACCCTGTTAACATAATGGCAGTCATTTCCACAACTGTTTCCAGGTAAAGTTAACAATTTGACTAGTAAAATCCTGAAGGGCAGTGGAATGATTGGAAAAGTAGGGGCGTGATTTGACTGCATGAAGTAAAAGGAAATTGACACATTGAGTTGTTCAGCAGGTAAGAGAAGAGACAGTGGAGGAGTCCAGCTCAATTCTAACTACTGTGTGACTTGGACAGGTTGCTTCACTCCTGGACGGATGTAGGGGTTTGAAAGAGATGATCTCTTACATTCCCCTTTGGCTTTAAAATTCTAGGAGTCCTTGAAAATCTTAATTTTTTACTGAACTGAGAGGAAGAAGGAGCCTTATTCTGTGTATAATTGGAATAAGCAGATCTAGGATCAAAAGACGGAAGTTGGAGAAGCTGATTTCCACTTTAAGAACCCTGTCACCCTGGGTTGGGATGTTTCTCCTAGTGTAGGATGAGTTTCTAGCTCCTGGGATAATTCGTTTTGTCTAAGCAAAAGATGATTTGAGGTGGGACCAGATGAGCAAGGATGTCCTTGCAGTTGATTCTGCATGACTATAAAACAGGCCAAAATTAAAACCACGAAGGAATCCTGAGGCAGATTGGCCCCTGGCACCTGAGGAGTGAGCCTGAGGGATCCCACTCTGCAGTAGGAGTAACGTGAGCGAGCAAGTGAATGGGGTGGGTTTACCGGCTCTGTAATCTATCAACCTAGGGCCTCAGCAGTGGCCCCCTGCCCAGTAGGAATTGGACCAATCCCAAGTTCTAAGGCTTGTCTTAAGTCCTTGCAGAACAAGGACAAACTTTCTGAATCATTCATTTCTCTCATCTAGAGCTGGTGGGAGATTGAGAGGTGAATGGGACATCCAAGATCCCTAAAAAGAATTGTTCGATAGCGTGCATGTGTTATAAAGTGGTGACACGGGCATCCTGTTGAAATGATGGATGGCTCACTGCCATAGGCTGATAGCAGTTGTCATAAAGATATTTTGGGGGAATTTGAAAAGGACGTAAAGAAAAATCTTTCATATTGGCTTGTTGGTTATATAACTTCAAATTTAATAAAGGAATACTTACGTAGTAATTACATTTCCTTGAAAAAACTATAGTGAATAGAAATCCCTAGCCATTTCATTTTTTATGTTTTTAATGAAGATCTTTAAAATACCATAGGTGGTAATCGTGGAAAATTTGAAAAATCTCATGTCAGTGTATTAAGATGGTGGAGAAGTTTTTTTCTCCATTATTTAATGGAACTTTGGGTCTTTTTATTAAAAATGTGAGACTCATGAAATTTTGGCAGCTGAATATTTGTGAAATAAGAATGAATTATTAAAAGATGTCTTTCCATACATGTTCCTCATTTTAGTAATTACTAAACATACTTGAGATGATTGACTTATATTTAAACATATTTAAGGTAATTTAAAAAGGCATTTTGCTACTTGCTTATAGACCTGAGTGTAGGTCTTATTGGCCTGTGGGTTATTATATAACTGATTATGTTGCACTTATGTTCTGTGGAGAAGGAAAGATTTTTAAGGGGAATGGCATGCTGTACCAGCACTGAGTGTTCATGACATCAGTTGCAGCAGGAGAAACCCCCGTTCAATGAAGGAGAAGTAGGAATTTTACATGGATTTGAATGAACGTCTACTTTGTATTTCAAATGAACAGTGTTCATATTTCAGTAATTGTGTGCATTTTTTGCATACTTTAAAAGAGAACTTTTATTTTTCATTATGGAATAAATATGCAATGCCAGAACAGCTTTAAATTTATACAAGAAATGTATAAAAGTTAATTATAACTAAAATTAGGAATGAAAATTAATCTATATAGACACTACTCTGCTCTTGCTTTGTGTAAAATAAGTAGTTGAAACTACCAGGGGCTGACAACATGACTGCTTTTAGATGTCAACTTCAAATCCATTCAGGCAGCAATTGTGGCATTACGATTTTTAGAAATGGAGGCAGAGAAAATCAAGTTTCCTCTCCCTCTTAGGTAACATTGCCTGCAAGTGGAGATCTGTGCCCACCGATAGAACTTGGAAGCAGACAGTGCCATAGGTTCCTGCACTGGTGTGTGGGAGGACCCTGAGCTGAGAGGCAGGCTTCTGGCTGCTAGGCCTGGCCCTGCAGTCATCAGCTGTTTGACCTTTGGACCAGGAATGGAATCCTTCAGACCTGAGTTCTCACCTGTGAAATAAGGATTGGATCAGGTCACAAAGATCCTGTCTTGCCACAGATGCTACAGTCCTCTGCATCTGATAATGACTTTATTTTATTCTTCGAACTTTTGGTGGGAGGGTGTGTGTGTGTGTGTGTGCGTGCACTGTTTTTGTTTATTCATTTAACTTAATGGCTAAAATTAATTTGGTTTTAATCCTAGCTCCTCTGCTAGTTACTAGCTAAGTGACCTCAGGCAAGTTCCTTGTTGTTCTCTGTTTCCTCATGCTTAAAATGGGGACATGCTATCTCCATAGGGGTTTTGGGAGGCTGATGCTGGGAAGCTGTCAGCACAGAGACAGTTCAGAGTGAGGTGGGTTCAAGGAGTGTTAACCATTACTATTATTTCTGAGTCATTCATCTGCTTGTTTATGTTTGTTTATATATTTAATTTTGTATTTTTCATAGGGATAAAGGTGTGGCAGCTTTATTTTCTAATAGCTTTTGATTTAGTATTTGGTAATAGTAGTGACTGTTTAAACTTTACTGTGAAAACACACATGGGAATAATGTCCTTTAGAATACAGATAGAAACACACCGTTTTTTTCTGTATCAAAGAAATAATAGCAAAAGGCTGCATTTCATTTCTGTGAATTAGAGAAGGGATTCGTTGGGAATTGTCCATGTTTCAGTGTCCAATATTTTCGGTACTACAGAAATAATATTGGTGGAAGGAAATGATTACAGGTGGAGTATATATATATCTTAAATTATTAATTTCATTACAGAAAAAGGTTCTATGTAAACCAGTGCTATGGAATGCCAGGCAGGCCTGAAGTCGCTAGGCTTGGAGATCAGGTTCTGGCAACAGCTACTTGGAAGGTTCAGTAGCCATTTAAAAATGTGCAGTATTACAACAGAGGTCTGTGCTTTAGACCAGGTGTTCAGGACCCCAGTGTCTGTCGGATATGGTGGAGAAGCTTCTTGAGTGAGTAGGGTAAGCAGTAGGACATGGTAGTGACTGTGGCAGTTGGGGAGTGTGCTCAGCTAACAGGGACAGTGCTATGTAGCTCCATCCAGTTGCCATATGGGAATTCAAGCACTGTGTTGCTTGATCTTCCAATTTCTTCCAAGTTCCATAAATCCAGGATTCTGTCTGGAAATGCCTGACTTTTGGACACTGCACAGACCAAATAAGAGAGCACACCTACTAAGCTGGTTTGGCCCACAGGCCACATGTGTCCCCTCCGCCTTCTGTCGTCTGACTGTCTCAAGAACTAGAATCTGCCCTAAATGGCAGCTCACCACCCTTCAGCTCAAAATAAATCAGGAAAATCTCTTCTTTTTGATGAGAGAAAGGGGGCACAGGCTATTTGTGTGACTATGGTGCACAGTAAACTGGTACTTTGTGTTGAAAACCATGTGTTAACTTACTCAGAGAACATTTACTGAGTACCTGCTAGAAGCCAGAGATAGTGTAGTGAATGAGCCACAGTCCCTGTCCCCAAGGACAGTTCACATAAGCTGTCTTTAAGATAAATGAGGTAGTTTGTTTTCTGGCAAAATTTGCCTTATGCAATATAATATCTGAATTATTCATTTGTTGTTCCTTCTCAGACGAACCCTTTGGCAGAAATATTTCTGGGAATTCTTCTAGGAACTCTTGTTAAATGAGTAGTGTTTTTCAATGCGGTATATCCCCTACCACTACATTTTATAGCTGATTCATTTAGGAACAAAGACCATGTTTGTAGATGTGTATCACCAAGGTTATATAACACATGACCCAAATTTTCAGGGACACATATATTTCAGTTACAATAATCTGCCCTGTTGTCTCATAAGTGCATCCAATTCATGCCCTGATAAGTGGTTTGTAGTCACTGTAGATTCAGAGACCAAGAAAACAGAAGAGGTAGTGTCTCTACTTAAACAGTGAGACTTAGTGTCTCTACTTAAACTGGTTTTCCCAGGACTGAGGGTGTTCTGAGTAGTGGAACTTTCAATGTCACATCCATGAAAGTCCCAGGCAAACTGCGACAAGCTGGTTGCCTAAGATTCCATTTTCTATTCCACTTGGGCACACGCCTGAATTACATCTCCCCGCCCCCTTGGAGTTAGGAGTGACCGTGGGACTCAGGTTTAGTCAGTGGATGAGTGATGAAGTAACTGAAGCCCCCCAGGCTTGGCCCATGAGAAAACCATTCTCAGTGATCTGCCAGGCTCCTTCTCCTTCCACTGATGGGATGGAGAAGACCCGGCAACCTTGGGAGTGACAGAGCCTTTGTCAGCTGGATCCCTGAATGACCGAAGTATAGTGCCCTCCCCCACGAACCAGGCAGCATATTTGGATGAGCAAGAGTGTTGCCGCCATTAGGCATTTTAAAATTAGCTTCAGTGGCTAACCTTTGCTAATATGGTTATCAGTACCTGAAGTGGAGTGATGTCAAAAAAACCTTAAATATGGGGCATTGACTATGGTTGGCTGGTGGTGGGTGGTGATGAAACTAGTGGAGGCTAGAGAGATCAAGACCCATATTGTGAAGTGACAAAATGTTTTCTAAAACTGTGGCCAGCAATAACTTAGAAGGCTGGCCATGTGCCTGGTGTGCACGTAGCTGGTACAAGAATGTTAGGACCTTTCACTCTTCACTGTGTTACTCCTCTGATGTTTTTCAGGGAAAAGGTGAGCTCACAAAAGAATTAGTTTGTAAGTACAAAGGAAAGGGAAAAAGAAATGCAGAAATTTGGGGCTATTTGATACTGGAAAAGCCTATTGCTTCTACACCCCAAGGAGCTGGAAATCAGTAGGGCCCATTAAGCCTTTTCAGTTAAGGTGCTTTATCCCTTCAGCAAAGAGTAGACAAAGGGTATTAATTCCCCATATATGCCTTTTGTTTCAGATGACTTCTGCATGGTCACTGTCCAGTGGATAGAGGTAGGGGAGCAGAAGTACAGGCATGTGCAGAAGAATGTTTTAGGTCTTGCTACTGATAACATTAAAATGACTGGAAACAGAGAAGGGAGAAGCTTACTAAGTTTTTGAAGAACATTTACTACCAAGTAAATCACCAGCCAACCCAGACTTAATAACAGCAAGAAAACTTTGTTGAAACCTTCAAACAACCCTCAGGCCCCCCCAACACTGGCAGGAGATGGAAGTGGGTGAAGTGGGAGCCTAAAGCTGTCTAGCTCCCAGGAAGAGCATTATCTCCAACATCCATTTCATACATGGCCCTGGGGGATACTGGACAAGAAAAGCCTCCCAGAGGTAAGAGGCCTGCAGTTTTAGAGAACAATGCACCAAGGGTTTCTTCCCAGAGAATAGAATCATGGTCTAATGGGAGAGCTTCCCCTATTGCCAGGGCAAAGGGATCTTCTCAATGCCTGCCCAACAGGATTTCCTAATAGCTGAGGGCTGGAGCCTACTGTGTGTTTCCTATGCTTCCAATGGGAGGTTTATTGCAATTATTATGCTGCACTCCACCATTGTGCATTGTCAGTGGAAGGGAAGATAATTTGTCTTAGATTACAGATCACCAGACCTTAAGGAGCCACCACATTCAGACCTGTGCCTCATCTACAGATTTGGAGTTTTGAGCTGGATATAGTAGCTCAATGGGACTTTGGGTTATTGCCCCTGGAGAGGGTGAGTGTGTTCTGTGAGGGCAAGAAGATGAAACATACGTTAGAATCCATTGGCAAAAATTGGTAGGTGTTTTCCAAAAAGCCTCCTCTCTTCCTGGTTACACAGACTGCATTTCCCAGGTTCTCTTGCAGCTAGGTGAACCCACGTGATTAATTCTAGTGAAATAAATGTGGGCATAAATGTCATTTTGTCATTTCCAGGCCTGATTCATAAAAACTTCCCATGGGCAATCCTCCATGCTCTTTACCCTCCAGCCAACTGATTGGAGACAACTACAACCACTTTGAAAACCACGTGTTGGAAGATGGCAGAGCCTCATCTTGGGCTGGGCCCCTGAGTGACCGAGTAGGACCAGAGTTCTTGGCCACGTCCCCAACCTGAAACTGCTTAGGACTGTTATAAGAAAGAAAGGAACAAATTCCTATTAGGTTTTAGACATAATTTTTGAGTTCACTACCTTCATTGGTATACATACATGCATAAAACCTGAAACAATATTACAAAGAAATATAACTGCCGATTAACATAATGCAAGTTGAGCATGTCAGAGCCAAGGGGCAGTAAATAGTTAGATGAGTAGAATATATGTCAAAAAGGTAAATGTTGAGGTTGACTTCGAACTGTAAAATAACACATGGGAAGAATAATGTTTGGCATAATTATAAAAAGCAATTACCTTCCCATGTGGTAGGAATATAAGAGTTTAGAAACATTCTTCTATGCAGTGAGAATTGGCCTGCTGAACCTGTAAAGTGTAACTCACTTTGAGAAACACCACTGGCAAGGAGTCAGCTGAGATTGGAGTTCACAATCCAGGGTCCTCAGACCACATAAAGCCCACTAACCAGAGCTGCTGCTCAGACATGATTTTATGCAGTGTTTAAGAAAA
This sequence comes from Homo sapiens, assembly GCF_000001405.40. Classification (NCBI taxonomy): domain Eukaryota; kingdom Metazoa; phylum Chordata; class Mammalia; order Primates; family Hominidae; genus Homo; species Homo sapiens. Next base: position 44,426,784 of record NC_000013.11, on the reverse strand, counting down.
TAATGTGAATTAGTGATATCTCTTCTGAAACTGGGATATTGTTCCAAGTTCTAGCAGCTTTGAGTCTGTATTCCCATGTGACAGTCATCAGCTGTGCTGAGTCACAGAAGCTGCTCACTTTAGAATCGATTTGGTCCTCCGGCTGCCATGGCCCCACCACACCTGTGATGGCCCCATGCTGTCAGTGGCTGACGTGCCCCACTCATCTGGCTACATACCTGGCTCAGGTAGGCATTTGAGGTTGTGTTTCAAAGCCAGACTACAATATCTGGTTTTTAAAATGTTGTAGCTTAATTCATTTTAATCCTGCTCTTAAAATTCAAATGATTTCTTAAAGAAGACAACAACTAGATCTTGTTCTAGTATCTGTTGGATTTTATTTTGCTTCATAGATGCAAGCAGTTGGAAATGAGCCGTTCTGCATTATCCTTCACAGATGCATGAAGACCTGCGATCCCCTTCTGGAGAAAGGAAAATGGAATCCATTTACTACCGTCACATGTTATCGAGCATTTACTGTGTGTTATGAACTTTGAAGACAGTGTCTCATTTATTCTTCATACCAGCCCTGTGAAGAAGACATTATTAACCCATACTACAGAAAGGAGAATAAGTAACTTGCCAAGTCAAGTTGAAAGAGCTGATAAGTGTGATGCAAACCAGGTTTGCCCAGCATCAAGGTCCATGCTCTTAGCGCTATTTTAGCTGCTTCCCAAAGACAGGCAGCTCCTTCCTGACATGTGGTGCCTGTCTGGCATCTGTGGCTTCCCCAGAGCTAGCATTCAGCCCATCCCCTTAGTGTGTGCCCCAAAGAGGGATGCGAATCCCATCTCCTTCAGAAAAAAGCAACAGACAGGATTCCGCCAAATCCTTCTAGTGTATCAAGTTGCTTGGTTAGTGGGATCTGGTGGAATTCTATGTCTTTCCAGAAACTACAAAGGGCAGAGTAGGTGCAGATCAAGTCAGAAGATCCCCAGGGAATACACACACACAAAGGCAAATGGTGCCGCCCTCTCCCTGCCCAGCACAGCTGCAGACAGATCCACAGCATAGATAAGACAACGACATTTCCCACGCTGATATCACGGCCACTTGACCCCGAAAAGCCAGTGCTGGAGGACTAAATGTTTCCATAGACAATGCTACTATTTATTCATCCATAAAACCCTCCATAGTTATTAAGCACCCACAACGTGCCAAGCTTAGGGAGTCCCCTAGGTGCCATGGGTACAAAATGAAAACACTTTACTTCTGCTTTTGAGATACCCCAGTCTAGTGGCCAAGAAAGATATATTAAGAATTATTATAAGCCTACATGACACTCCCTCAATATCACTATACACTGAAGTGTCCTGGGAACAAAGAGGGAGAAGATTTATTTGTCTGTGAAGTGGGTAACTGAAGGAAGAAAAGACATAGCTTCAGAGAGGAAGTTTTGGTCTCATTACTAACTTGTTTTGGGAAGAGTATTATAATACCATCTGCTGTTGGCTGCCCAGCATGCATTCTCCTTCCTTCCTTTGGGAAACCCCATATGGCTACAGAAATGGCCCTGATTGGCATATGTCACTCACCTGGCCACAGCCCTGTCAGAGTGAACTGGTCCAGTCAGAGTGAACTTTACGTGTGTTACTCCGAATCTTGTCCCAGTCTCTTGTCCCAATTTCTCTCTCTCTCTCTCTCTTTCTCTCTCTCTCTGTCTCTCCTCTCTCTCTCTCTCGGGATTGGCAATTTGAAAATGAAACACTTGAAAGTGTCAAGCGTGGTGTCTCACGCCTGTAATCCCAGTACTCTGGGAGGCCAAGGCAGCAGATCATTTGAGCCCAGGAGATAGAGACCAGCCTGGGCAACATGATGAAACACCATCTCTACAAAAAATACAAAAACTAGCTGAGTGTGTTGGCACATGCCTGTAGTCCAGCTACTTGGGAGGCTGAGGCAGGAGGATCGCTTGAGCCCAGGAGGTTGAGGCTGCAGTGAGCTATCATCATGCCACTACACTCCAGCCTGGGTGACAGAGTGAGACCCCATCAGAAAAAAGAAGGAAGGAAGGAAAGAAGTGAGGGAGGGAAAAGGAAGGAAGGAAGGGATGCAGTTGTGAGCAGAAAGCTTGAGGACCCTGCAGGGGCCATTACTTGATCCAGAAGACAGAGGCAGCTGAAGGAAAGCTGAGCTGAGCTGTGCGTCTGCGGGCACATCGCTATTTTCTCTGAACTGGTTTAAGTTAGGTTTGCTGTGGCTTGCAAACTAGAGGATCCCTAATGAATACAGGTCCTTTCTCTGTTTACTTGTCAACAAATTGGGATTCCGTTTTTTTTTTACACAGAAATAATTATGGTTGCATGCTTTGGATTTTAGAAGAAATAATTATTGTTGCATACTACTTTGAATTCCCACAGTTTTATGGAAATTATAATTATCTAGTTATGAGATGAAGAAAGAACTAGAGCTGCCCTACCGGAGTTTCCAGTTGAATTCATTGTCATTCACCTGATACCATAGATGAAGGACACGTTCTCTGACATATTTAACTGGTCTTCGTGGTTGAGACCATTCTGTGAATGACTGACAGGAATCTACCTGGAGGTAGTGGTCAACTCTATCAGGGAAAGTCTAGAAGGATCCCTGAGCAAGTGATGATTGAGCGGCTCCTTCTACAATAAAATGCGGACAGCCAACAGGAAGAGGAGAGGAATGTCGGAGACATCTATCTTCTGGTGAACATGCAGAAAGGAGTAGAAAATACAGCTGGTTTCCTGTGACTGGGGCCCATAAGCTGGAAAGAGAGGGCCAGCGAGGTAGGAGTGGGGAGAGGGAGGGCTCAGGGCTGGCACGGCCTGCAATCATGCTACCAAGTTGCAGGGGAGGACCACAGTAGACTCTGTTTTAGGAAGAATGAAAGAGGATGAGAGTCTGCAGAGCAATCTGCCATTGAGCTATTGAAATAGATCAGAGGCTAGCTAACCGAGGGCCTGAATCCAGCAGTGGGGTAAGGGCAAGGAAGGGGTGAACCAGAGACTCACCAGGTCAGAGAGGCTTGTCAGGGTGGGGCCAGGGGAGGAGCGTGGGGCCCTTCTCCGGCTTCCGGCTCAGGTAATTGGGTGGGTGATAGTACCACTGCCAGGACAGGAAGATAGAGGGGCAATAAGTCTGACTATGTAGAGTGAGGAGCCTGTAAGATAACTAAGTGGAGATCTCTCCTAAGGCTCTGGGGCTAGGGGAGAGATCTGGGCTAGGTTGACAGAGGCTCTGACACTGACCAACATCCCTTCTGTGCCTTTCTCTTAATCTCCAACCTCCCTGGCAGCTGTGTACAGCCACGTCTGCCCACGGGATGTGAGCAGAACAGATCTGTGCTACTTGCAGGTGTGGCCCTGGGGAAACTTCCCACATTCTCTCTCTGCATCCACCAGCTGCCTGGGAGGACTTGGAGGATGTGGGGGAGGACAATGCCACAGGACTGAAGGAGCCAGCTCTCTTAGTGACTCTGAAGGGGGCCACCTCCTCCCTTTACTCCCTCCAACTCATAATGAACACCGAAGTGAGTGAAAAACAAAGTTGAAATGTGCTGAGCCACAGAAACTCAGGGCTGGTTACTGTGGTCCGCCAGCCTTGACTGACACAGCTGCAGAGGGTGACGGAGAGCCATTTCCACACAAAGGGTGGTGGAGCTGCTCAGGACAAGTGTAGCCCAGGAGCAGAGGGCCCAGGCTGGAAGCCCAGGCAGGGCTCGCTGAAGGCTGAGCCAGCAGAAGGGACTGGGAAGAGTAGCCAGAGGCGAGGGAGGAGGGCCCTGAAAGCCTGGGAGGTCCAGGTGGAAGCAGAGGTGCACGTCATCACGCGCTGGAGAGATGCCAGGCAGACTCGAAACAGGAAAGTGTCCACGCAGGTCAGCGAGTAGCAGGATGTGAGGAGCTTCCATGGGCTGGAGCAGAACCTAGTTTTAGAGGCCTGAGCAATGGGTAGGAGGTGAGGGGGAGTCAGTGGAAGTCGGCATTTGAAGGAACTCGGCTACAAGACAAAGAAATTGAGAAACAACTAGATGGAGGATCAAGGAGAAACACAGGAAGATAGGAGACATTGGCACAAGCCTATCAATCACAGAGCTAAGGCTGACTGTCCCCGAGGAGGCAAGAGGAAATTGGAATCACACACACGAGGGGAATCAGGGTCTTCTCAGAGAAAGGGCAAGAGAATGAAGGTCAGTGCAAAGATAAATCAGTCTGCAGGTGTTGGAAAACTTAATGTTCCTCCTCCCAACCAAATTTGTCCTCTGTGAACAAGGAAGTGGGGATCTGCCCAGAAAGTTTGATGGCAAAGGCTGCAAAGGAGTTTCAGGAAAGCAATCAAGCTAGAATCACACCCAAGATTTGGGGAAAGGAGTGTTGAAGTCAAGGAATTTTCACTCCAACAGGAAATTCAGACCTTGAAGAATCCTTGCAGTCTCTGCAGAAGCCTTTGCCCCCAAATAAGGTGACCTGGAGACCAGACTCTAGGGCTGGCCATCTGGGCTGTGCAGAAGGCAAGATGGACTTGGATGAGATGAGAGATCACGGAGTTGCTGACCAGGGTAGTTTGCAGAGAGAGAATGGGGGCCTGAATTCCAGCCAATGTCTAAGGGCAGGCAGGGGTGGGACTTAAAAACATGAAAGCTGTTAGTAAGGCTAAGTGGCCAGCTAGATATGAGGGTTAGGACCTTGGTCTTGGTGGGTACCTGGGACAGAGAGTGTGGCCTTGGGAGACTCTTCCATCCCAGCAGATGCTGACACCCACACCATTACACAACAGAATCACATTACATAGGAGCAAAAGAGCAGTCTCTAAACCACCTCTAGTTCTACCTACTCCCTTCCATTACAGGGACACTGAACCCCAGGGGCATAAAGTCACTTATCCATACCACAGAGTTAACGGCTAAGCCAGCACTGGAACCACAAGTGATTGTAGGAGAAATAGAAAAGAGTCCATGAGAAGGGGAAGAAGAAGAGAGCAGGGGCATTCATTCACTCATCCATTCATTCCTCCACTCACTTTTCATTCAGCAAGTAAGTATAGCCTTTTAGCCACTGGGGCCACAAACATGAATATAAATAGGACCTGGTATCTGCCTTGAAGGAACTTCTAGCCAGGGAGGGGACATCAAGTGTGCAGCGCACAGTGGGATGTGAAGGAGGAAACGGTCGTTTCTGCCTGAGGAGCTGGAAGATGAATACCAGGAAAAGTTTCCAGAAAGAAGCCACTTGGGCCAGGCGCCGTGGCTCACGCCTGTATTCCCAGCACTTAGGGAGGCTGAGGTGGGTGAATCACTTGAGGTCAGGAGTTTGAGACCAGCCTGGCAAACATGGTGAAACCCCGCCTCTACTAAAACTGTAAAAATTAGCTGAGTGTGGTGGTGCATACCTGTAGTCTCAGCTACTGGGGAGGCTGAGGTGGGAGGATCACTTGAACCTGGGAGACGGAGGTTGCTGTGAGCTGAGATCGTGCCACTGCACTCCAGCCTGGATGACGAAGTGAGACCCTGTCTCAAAAACAAAAACAAGCCACCTGAACTGAGTGTGGAAAGATGTGGGGGACTGAGTGGAAGAGGCCATCTCAGCAGAGAGAGTGGGGACGCCAGGCCTAGCGGGTGGGCTAGGAGGATTGTGTCTGAGCACTTTGAGAAGGAAAGTGGCCCTCCATTGAGCGGGTGAGCAGGTGAGTGCTTCTTGGACATCACATTTGGATTGGGTGGAGAATGTAGGAGACAACTCTTAGAGAGCTCCGGGTGCAGCGGGTGCCACAGTTTTGCCCCTGGTGGACCTGGCAGATGCCCATCGGCCAGTGGAGAGGGGAGTCAGCTACCCAAGTCACTCAGCCTCGAAGTGGGGGAGGCAGAGCTCGGAACAGGCCCACTGGGCTCCAGGACCGGGGCAGCCCATGCCACCACACAATAACACTGAGGGCTCTGGATCCCAGGCAAGTCAGGCTCATAAATAACGCAAATGAGAAGCTACAGTGCTAACATCTGGGAGGGAGCCTGCTGAGGGAGGAATGATTCACTCCAGCTGGGAAGGGGCATCCAAGGTAGGATCTTGAAGGCCGCGGAGGACTTTGACAGACAGAGAGGATTGGGAGTCGCAGAGTGCCAAGAGCTCTCTACTGGGGACACTTTTAATTATTCTGATGGAATTTCTTCCTTAGGGAGGGAACATCCATGGATTTCAAAGCAATGAGCAGCTGAAATCTGCATTTCCTCCAGCTGTGGCTCCGCTGGTGGGCCCAGCCCTCATTCTCTAACCTGCCAGAGTCAGTGATTCTCTCAGGAGGGCGTCTGGGTATTGTTTTTTCTCTTTGTTTGGCACTTAAAATTTTTTTTTTTTTTTTTTTTTTGAGACAGGGTGTTACCCTGTCACCCAGGCTGGAGTACAGTGGTGCGATCTTGGCTCACTGCAGCCTTGACCTTCTGGGCTCAATCAATGCTGAGTAGCTGGGCATACAGGCATGCACCACCACATCTGGCTAATTTTTTGATTTTTTTTTTTTTGTAGAGACAGGGGTCTCTCTATGTTGCCCAGGCTGGTCTCGAACTCCTGAGCTCAAGTGATACTCCTGCTTCAGCCTCCCAAAAGTGTTGAAATTACCGACATGAGCCACTTTGCCCAGCCCTACCACTTTGTTGACGCTAAATAAGTGTTTGTAGAATGAATGAATGAATGAATGAATGAATGGAAAAGGGATATGCAAAAATCTCTCTATTCTTCCACTATTAGGGAAATCTTTTATAACTTTGAGATTATAAAACAGAAGAGTTGGTTTACCCACAGGGCCCAACATTTAGCTTCCTTCTCTGAGGTTCTTAATTTTTTTGTGTGTCACAAACTGCTTTGGTGTCTGGTGAAACCTATAGAACCCCTTAGAATAAAGTTTTAAATGTTAAAATATGAATATATGGGATCACAAAGAAAACATTTATATTAAAATATAAATATTCAGTTATCTGAATATTTTAAGAAATGCATAGATATATTTGTTCATTAACACATTAAATAATAAGATCTACTATCAGGTCTCATTAATTACTGTAATTTCAAAGCCGTGATGAGCTTAATGACATTTAAAAATCTCTGCAACAACTGTAATAGATCTAAAAACATCTATGATTTTCTTCTGTTGACAAAGTCACAAAACTGCTAACACTAGTATGGACTGTTGCCTGCTGCATTTATCGTCTAAGTGACAAAGATTAGTGAAACAAATATGCCTTTTTTTTCCCCATCCAAATTCATGCAGCCACTGAATTCCATCCCTGGTTATGAACTTCCTCAGCCTCCTTACCAGGTATTCTTGCAAAGGCCATGGTCGCTGAGGAAGAGGCATACCTGAGACCAGGCCCTCCTGAGCCTGTGACTGAAACCATTGCAGGAAGGTCAGGTGGGGAAACCAAGTTACTGGAGTTTAGAATAATTTTGGTTCTTTGGTTGCAGAAGGAAATGGTAGAGACAAGTCATTTGCTTTGCCTAAGACCATGCAGGATTTGCCTCCAGAAAAAAAATGACTGGGTTCAGAAGCTCTAATGGATTGAGTAGGTTCCTGGCTTGGTGGCATTTAAGCAGGCCTCAACTCTGAATTTTCTCCTTTCACCTCAGTGGACAAGAACTCAATGAAATCCTTGTATAAATACCTTGCGTTACCAGCAATCGGCTGAAGAATTTTGTTTGTCTCCTCATTTGTCTTCTGGGCTGTGTATGAACTTAGAGATGAGGAGAAAAGAACAATAAAACCTCGAGTTGATTGAGAGTGTGTGGAAACACACAGCATTTCTGCATTTGGCTTCACATTTCCTCACGGCAGTTTGGCAACATGTACCCCAAACCTTAAGTCTGTGCACATACTTCGGTATAGTAATCCTGCTGCTAAAATTTTTTCTTAAGAAAATAATTATTTTTCATAAAGATATGTATACAAAATGTTTATTGGTGTTTTAAACAATAATACAAAATAGAATAATTAAAACACAAACAAACCAAGCAAAAGAAGAAAAAAAGAAGAAACCATTTGCAACATATTGCAAAAAGTGCAAAACCAAATGCTACCAAGATTCAAAAGAGTATTACCGTACAACGGCAATTTGGAAAGCTAAAACAAATATACATCAAAAATGCTAGAAGCACTTACATGAAATGTTAACAGTGGTCATCTTTGCCTGGTGGGATTCCTGATGAGTACTATTTTCTCCATGTGCTCTTCTAGGTTTTCTAAAGTTCTTGCAGGGTGCATATATTATGTAGCTCAGCTAGATGTATTTATTTTTGAGAAAATGAATGCTAAGTTTGTGTTTGAAAGAAGGACCAGTGCATTTGCTCCAAAAAATAATTTCTTCACAAAATTAGAGCTCAATTCAAATCTGTCATCTATCTCCTAACAGTGTGAATTCAATAAGACAACCTGGTTTGTTTTTTGAGACAGACTCTCCCTCTGTCACCAGGGTTGGAGTGCAGTGGCACCATCCTTGCTCCTCAGTGAAATAACTTGGAAAGGTCTGGACGGGAGTTGGCCTGGTAGCTCCCCTCTTGAGGTTCCTCCTCCCACTAAATAAGGGCAGCAAGCTCAGTGGTGAAGCAGGTCCTACCCAGCTCTCCTATTTACTGTTGTTATAAGCGAGCAAGGCTTCTGGGCTGCCATCTGCACTGAGACGTGGACATGAGAGTGGTGAGTGTCTCCTGGGGCTTAAGGACTACTGGGCTCATTGGGCCCCTCCACACTCCAGAGCTCTCACTTCCTCCTTCTCACGTGGAGGAAGCAGAGGTGGCAGCAGGAGGACCCAGGTGACTCCTGCAGGGAACACAGGCTCATCTCGCTAAAACTGTAGCCTTCTGGAATTCGCTAACTGTACATGTTTGAAATTCCTGATGCTCTTCTTCGGCCTTACAAACCTTTCCTTTCAGAGGCTGATCACATCTCAGTTGTAAATAATATTTAGCGTACCTTTGTGCCTTCACTACACAAATCTCCAGTGATTGTTTTCATCAGACAGAGCAAACCATGTGTAGCTCCCTCCTGGACCGTTGGGCCCCTCTGCCCCACCATCAACAGGCAGATTCCAATCATTCTTCCCACTGTGGCTGAGGGACGCCCTTCGGGTGAGGATGAGGGGAGGGACTGATGTCCTGGGCTCTGTGGAGGCCCCATTCGGGTGATGCTGGAGGCAGAAGGGGGCTTTGATGAGGGAGGAGTTGGTCAGGAATGCTTGTCACGGGCACAGCAATGAGTAGCCCATGCAGGCTGAGAGCCCTGCAGAAATGGGCCGGCCCAGTGTGTGCAGAGCTGATCGGTAGGGCTTTATGCCTGTGCTAGTCAGGGTTCTCCAGAGAAACAGAACCAATGGGATACATATACATATACTGTACATATACATATACATATGCACGTATACACATATACACATATATACATATACTATACAAATACATATACAAATACATATACATATACTATATACAAATACTTACACATATACATATACTATACTATACATATACAAATACATATACATATGCATATGTAAGAGGGGAATATAAGAGGGGATCTATTATGGGAGTTGGCTCATGTGATTATAGAGGCTGAGAAGTCCCACGATCTGCTGTCTGCAAGCTGGAGGACCACAGAAGCTGGTGGGGTAATTCAGCACGAGTCTGAAGGCCTGAAAACCCAGCGCTCTGACATCCAAAGTCAGGAGAAGATGGATAAATCATCTCAAGCAGAGAGAGCGAACTCTTCCTTCCTCTGTCTTTGTTCTACTCTTTGTTCTACTCCGGCCCTCAGTGGATTGGATGAGACCCACTGACACTGGGGAGGGCCACCTGCTTTACGCAGCTCACCAATTCAAATGCTGATTGTTTCCAGAAACCCTCAGAGACACTCCCGGAAATCATGCTTTACCATCCATCTTGACATCCTTTAGCCCAGTCAAGTTGACCCATCAAATTAAGGATCACAATGCCTCTCATTCTTTCACTCCACCCATGCATCTGAATGTGATGAGATATCTATGGAACTACTCTATATACTATATAGCTCTGGATGCCATAACATAGTTCCTACTGCCTGGGAGCAGAGAAAAGCAAGTAAACAATTGTCATCTAGAGAAAGTCCTGGGTGAGTGTGAGTTTAAGGGGTAGCCTGCTGGAGCTAAAGAGGAAGTGACTAGCTCTGCTGGAGATGAGGGGAGGGAGGGGATACAAGGGGAAGGAAGGAAGAGCGGTATGAAAGCAGAGCCACGTGAATTGGGACAGCCTCTCAGGGAACTGGGTCTTGCAGCCAAAGCCGAGGCTGCTCACCGTAGAAGAGGCTGGCAACATGGCAGGCGGCAGGCTCCGGGGCCACCGAGAGAGCTGAGGCAGGCAGGCGGGCCTGTGCCCAGACTCCTTGGGAATCCTATGTTGACATTCGTGAGGCAGTGTGGGTTGGGGGCCAGGGCCTGGGCAGGGGCCACGGCTGATACTGCAGCACAGAGGCCACTTGGGCAGCTGTAGCCATGGACACTGGCAGGAGGGAGCAGGTCTGAGAAATATTTAGGAATGAAAGGGTGGATGGAATGTGATGCGTTAGGAAAGAAAGGGAGGGCCAACAACGACTGGTGCTGTGTGGGCAACCCGCGTGTTCCGGGTCAAGAAGCTGAGTTCAGTTTTGAGTTGGTTACGGGGCAGCCCTGTGGGGAAACCAGCAGGCAGTTGGTCATTGGGATTTGGAGCTGGGATGGGGAGGAGCGGCTGCCGCTGAGCTTTACGCATAACACCATCCCGGGGAAGGGGCCCTGCCGCATCCCAGTGCACCGCCTACAACTGTGGGCAATTCCTTTCCTCTCTCTGTGCCCCAGCTTCCTCCTCTGTAGCGTGGAGTGCATTAGGTTGGTGAGGATTGAATGAGCCATGCTCGGTGCGTGTTAGCTATTGTTATGATTGTTTGGGATTCTGCAGGTTGTTAAGTGGTGGCTGAAACCTTGGGTGGATGCGACAGCCCAGGGACAGAATTGTGAGTGAGCGGGGAGAGGCCCCAGGACAGCGACGAGCCTCGGTGGGCAAGAATGTTTTCTCACTCCGATTCTGAGTATCTGAGGCAAAATGATGCAGAGAGGTTGTGGCTTAAAATCTCTTTAAAATAAATTCTCACCAGACCTATATCTAAGCATATAAATAACTGAGTTTTATAAGCAATCTGAATTAAACATTTACTCGTGATGTTTCTGAACGAACAAAGCGACACAGTAAACACTGTATAGGACATTTGGAGGCACCCAGGGACACTGCTGAATTCATGCCTCGCTGGTAAGGAGTTGCATGACATTGGGGAGTCAACCGCACTCTCTAAGCCTGAGTTTATTCACCGTAAAATGAATCGGTTGGATTAGAATCATTGCTTGGTTTCCTTTCAGCTTTGGGTCTAGCTTTTTTTTCTTCTTCCAAATGGAGTCGTCCTGTTGCCCAGGCTGGAATGCAATGGCACGATCTCGGCTCACTGCAACCTCCGCCTCCCAGACTCAAGTGATTCTCCTGGCTCAGCCTCCAGCATAGCTGGTATTACAAATCCTGCCACCATGCCCAGCTAATTTTTCTAATTTTTAGTAGAGACACGGTTTCACTATGTTGGCCAGGCTGGTCTCGCACTCCTGACCTCAGGTGATCCGCCCGCCTCGACTTCCCAAAGTACTGGGATTACGGGCGTGAGCGCTACCACGCCTGGCCGGATCTAGCATTAAGGGCAACGAAACGTGAAGCTGGTTTTAGTTACCCGATATACTTGAAAGTTAAATGTCGGGTCTTCTTTAAGAGCACGGATACGGAAGGCAGGCGGAAGGAGACAGTGGAGCGGCTGGCGCGCAAATCTAGGAATCGGGCAGCCGCTAGGCTGAGGCCACTCCGACTCTGACCCTGACCCTGGCTGGTTCCCAGTGTTACCAGAAGGGAGGGTCGGTGGGTCAGTCGGTCAGCAGCCCAGCCTCCCAGACGTGAGAGCTGCTGTGCTGGAAGCGCGCACACGCCCACTGTGTCCGGAATTGGTGGGTTCTTGGTCTCACTAACTTCAAGAATGAAGCCGCGGACCCTCACGGTGAGTTTTACAGCTCTTAAATTAATGTGGGGCGCCTGGAGTTTGTTCCTTCTGCTGTTCGGATGTGTTTGGAGTTTGTTCCTTCTGGTGGGTTCGTGGTCTCGCTGGCTGAGAAGTGAAGCTGCAGACCTTCGCGGTGAGTGTTACAGCTCTTAAGGCAGCCTGTCTGGAGTTGTTCATTTCTCCGGGTGGGCTCGCTGGCTTCAAGAGTGAAGCTGCAGACCTTCGCAGCGAGTGTTACAGCTCATAAAAGCAGTGTGGACCCAAAGAGTGAGCAGTGGCTCATTTGCAAAGAGCGAAAGAACAAAGCTCCAAAGTATGGAAGGGGACGTGAGCCAGTTGCCACTGCGGGCTCAGGGCAGCCTGCCTTTATTCTGTTATCTGACCCTACCCACATCCTGCTGATTGGTAGAGCCCAGTGGTCTGTTTTGTCAGGGCACTGATTGGTGCGTTTACAATCCCTGAGCTAGACATAAAGGTGCTCCAAGGCCCCACCACAGGAGCTAGATACAGAGTGTCCATTGGTGCATTCACAAACCCTGAGCTAGACACAGGGTGCTGATTGGTGTGTTTACAAACTTTGAGCTAGATACGGAGTGCCAATTGGTGTATTTACAATCCCTGAGCTAGACACAAAGGTTCTCCACGTCCCCACCAGACTCAGGAGCCCAGCTGGCTTCACCCAGTGGATCCCGCACCGAGGCTGCAGGTGGAGCTGCCTGCCAGTCCCGCGCCGTGTGCCCTCACTCCTCAGCCCTTGGGTGGTCGATGGGACTGGGCGCCGTGGAGCAGGGGGCAGTGCTCCTCGGGGAGGCTCGGGCTGCACAGGAGCCCACGGAGGGGGTGGGAGGCTCAGGCATGGCGGGCTGCAGGTCCCGAGGCCTGCCCTGCGCCAAGGCAGCTGAGGCCCGGCGAGAAATCGAGCGCAGCGTCGGTGGGCTGGCACTGCTGGGGGACCCAGTACACCCTCCGCAGCCTCTGGCCCGGGTGCTAAGCCCCTCATTGCCCGGGGCGGCAGGGCCGGCCGGCTGCTCCGAGTGCGGGGTCCGCCGAGCCCACGCCCACCCGGAACTCACGCTGGCCCGCAAGCACCGCGCGCAGCCCCGGTTCCCGCCCGCGCCTCTCCCTCCATACCTACCCGCAAGCTGAGGGAGCCGGCTCCGGCCTTGGCCAGCCCAGAAAGGGGCTCCCACAGTGCAGCGGTGGGCTGAAGGGCTCCTCAAGTGCCGCCAAAGTGGGAGCCCAGGCAGAGGCGGCGCCGAGAGCGAGCGAGGGCTGTGACGACTGCCAGCACGCTGTCACCTCTCACCATGACCACTGCAAACACAGTCGCTGCCCTTGTTGTGTTTCCAGTCAGTTGAGGAAGCGAGATAGTGAACAAGTTCCAGAAATGAATGAAAAAATTCTAAGGCCATGGGTGAGTCACTGAATTTCTCTGGGCTTCAATTTCCTTCCCTGTAAGATGAGATATAAAATGTTTAACTCAAGGGCTGTTATGAGAGTAAATGTGCTAACGTGGTTTATTCGCATTTGGCGGGGCTTGTGGAGATGCATTCAGTACCAGGAGAGTTAATAAATGAGGACAGAGTGGTCAAGTTATAAGAACATGAAGGCAGGGTGAATGAATCTTCAAACAGCAGAATGGTGGCCCCCAAGAGTTGCAAGCAGTGGGCTGCAAATTCAGTTCCTGATTCCAAGCTATCAAAGAAAGAAGGAAAGATGATCAGTCTGATGGCATTGCTTCTGGCTTTGAATTTTTCAACAGCTTCCTGTGGCTCTTAGATAAAATCCCAGCCCCTTCCTCTGTCTCACACCCTCCTCTCCTCTTGCCAGCTCTTCAGTTCCACAGCACGGAGAAACCAAATTTCTCCCTTTCTGGGGCCAGCTGTGTGCTGTCTCATTCTTCATTCCCAGCTCTGCTCACCAACCCCTTCCTCTGTGACTCTTCTCCGCCCTGGGTCAGTCGCCGGAGGCTTCCTCGCGCGCTCCCCTTGCCTGCCTGTAAATGTGGGCCTGTCTTCTGTCTAGTCACCACCCCATCCCTCTCAGGGTGCTTAACACCGAGTAGGTGTTCGGGAAATGTCAGTAGAGTGAGCGGATCTGCTGAGAGTACACAGTTTTCCCCATCCTGAGATCTCCGTGTCAGGATCCCCCCGCATCTTCAGAAACAGAGAGCCACGTGACGTTGTGGACACACCGCTTGGCCCAGGGCCTGTCTGCTCAGATTGCAAAAATGGTGATCTAAGAGGACCGAAGGAGGCTGGTGGAGAAACAATTTGAGATGATGAGACCTGAAGTGGGAGTTTACTGAAAGCAGGGAGGGAAAGGAGAAGGGGGAAACAGTGAGTTTTAAGGTAGTTTACACAAAACTTGCAAAGGACGCATTAGGAAGCCTGCTTTCTATGACCACCGCCTGTAAGGTACATCTGTAAAAGTTAGTGAGGTTTTTGGAAGTAAACAAAAGGTCAGCCCCAGAAAAGAAAGCCGAGGACAGTACAAACCCATAGAGTCAGGGGACACATTTTAAGGCAAAGATCACAAAGGTGAAGGGCCAGTAACTAGTCATGAATTATCCACAGTGTAGACAGGTAACAGGAAATCAGAAGTTCACATGGTAAAAGCTTTTCAGACATGTTGAGCTGGGAGGATGGTATATATGGTAAACCTCAAGGTAAAATATCGCCAGAACCTTGAAAAGTCATAGCAACCACTCCACACAGCATTTCACAACTAGACAGTGCTCCAAAGATTTTTATTTCCTCTCTCTCTCCCTCCCTCCCCTCCCCCCTCCCTCTCTCTCTCTCCCCCCTTCCCTCCCCTTCCCTTCCCTCCCCCCTCCCTCTCTCTCTCTCTCTCTCTCTCTCTCTCTCTCTGTCTCTCTCTCCCCCTCACTGTTACTCTGCCACACTGGAGAGAGCTGCTTCAAAACAGTAGAACATGTCCTTTTCAGACATCTTCCACAGTAACGATTCCAGAATCTTCACACCATACTGCTTGCTGAATTACATTGGATTCAAAGGATTGGAGATGTGTAGTTTTCAGATGTAGGGAAGACATGCTAAGTTTAATGACATAGGTCAGCATTTCAGGTGGTTTAAAAAGAATTATTGGCCGGCCGCAGTGGCTCACACCTGTAATCTCAGCACTTTGGGAGGCTGAGGAGGGTGGATCACTTGAGGCCAGGAGTTTGAGACCAGCCTGGCCAACACGGTGAAACCCTATCTCTACTAAAAATATAAGAAATTAGCTGGGCTTGGTGACACGTGCTTGTAATCCCAGCTATTCTGAAGGCAGAAGCAGGAGAATTGCTTGAACCCTGGAGGCGGAGGTTGCAGTGATCCATGATCATGCCACTACACTCTAGCCTGGGCAACAGAGCAAGACTCCGTCTCAAAAAAAAAATTACCCACGCACACAAAAATTACCACTTGTAAAAATATTTACTTGCCAATTAAAAAATGATCCAGAGCCTTAGGATCTGAAAAAAAACCTTAGGGCTTTAAGACAATACTGTTTTCCATGTGAGCCATCACAGTGAGATGACTTCCAGGAAAATCCTCAGGCCCCATGGGCTGTGTTCATAAAAGTGTGTGATGGTGCCTTCCTCCATTGGAGTATTGTTCTGTTGTGGGCCCTGTGTCTTCTATAGGACATGGATAAACTCAGAATGCTTTCGGGGGAAAGCGATCATGCTTTCAGGAAGGAGAAGACCCTCAAAGTTATGAGATGTGGGAAAAAACGGAAGCAAGATTCCATTCATGCCACCATCCACCTTCCCACCCAAACCGGAAACTTGCTACTAATTGTAGACTCTTGTACTTTACTCAGTCCCTCTGGGATCCAAGAACCGCTCTCCATTCCCTAGGGTTCCCAGCTGAGTTCTGGTGCCTGCTGTGTCTCCCGTGGCTTCCTCTGGGATGGCTCACCTCCACCCATCTTCCACACAGCTCTCAGAGGGAGCTTTCTAAGATGCACTTCTGTGTGTGTCCCCTCTGTTAAAATCCTTAATGAATACTCATGCGTTCCCCATCTGACCCAAGCCTTTCATGATCTGACCCACACTCACTGTGACAGCCTCCTCCTAGGTCCCCATTCACAGGCACCCTGGGTTCTGGCCAGGCCATACGCCCAGCAGGTTCCTCACCAGGCCAAGTGCCTTCTCCTCTCCATGCTTCTGCACCTGCAGGGTGCGCTAGGACAGAAATTCAGCTTCAAGACTGCAAGGACAGAAACTCACACTCAAACAAAAAGAGAAACGATCAACATGAATACAGTAGTATATGCCCAACTAGAAGGTAACCCTCAGTGAAAAACATGTCCCAGTAAAATTTCTGCCCCACCCCAATTTTTTCCTAAGTTGAATATGTATGCTTATTGGGATAGGGAGGAGATGGCAGAATAGTTTCAACTCTGCAGCCTCTCAGTCTCCTGAATTCAGAGGCAAGAGACAGTTTTTGTCACTAGTGGAAGATCCCCAGGGAAGACTCTGAGGGGCTGTGGCCAGGGAATAGGAGCATATTCTGATTTGCTACCCTGTACCAGAGAAGGACGGCACTGTTCTGAGATCCTACTAGGACCACGTGGAGGGAGGGAAGCAGGGAAGGCAGCTCTTCAAAGGAAAGGATGCTTGGAGACAGAACACTGGACTTCTTTCTTGCGAGCCTTCCCCAACCTCCCCAGGAGTCAAGCGCTTCCTCCTGGGTGCTTCCGGAAGTCGTCATTAATACCTCTCTTCCAGCATGAGTTATGGCACCACTGTGGTTTTTCTGATGATGTGCCTTCTCATCCATCCAATTCAAGTTCCCAGCAGGCAGTGATTTTGTCTGTCTGCCCTCCATATCCACCCTCCACCCTTTCCCCACTGCTCTCCCATGTGGATGGCACCCTGGTGTCCTGTGCCCTCTGGCTTCTGGGGGCATTTGGCCAATGCGGCTCACCATCAGCAGGAGATGAGAGCTGAGCTCTTGGTCTCTCTGGCAGCTTCCCTACAGGGTTCCTGTGAGCTGGTGGCCTCCTGACTAAAGGCGACAGCCTCTCTGTCAGGAAGTCCCCCACATAGCTTCAGGTTCTGGAAGCAGCTCCCTTCCCTCAGCCTTGCCCACCTTGTTCTGCTGTTCGTGGCCCTGGAGTCTGCACTATCTCCTTAGGGTTCCCTATACTCTGCCCACACTGAATCAATATGTCCTTTATTAAACTCTTCTCCTACGACCCAATCGGGGTGTGCCCTCCACCACCCTGGTTCCTGCCTGGACTGTGGCACACAGTGTCCTGTTCATCTTCATTGCCCCAGGATCCAGCTCAGTGCCTTCCACACCACAGGTACTGAATAAGCTCATGGATTATGGAATGATTAAACATCAGCTCGATATGGCAGTATTGAGACCTATATAGAAAATGGATCAGAGTAGCCGCCTTCAAAATTTTTTTGACCAGGTCTCATAGTAAGAAATATTTCATAATGCAATGCAGTAAACACATCATAATCATATATAACTGAACAAGAAATTTCATGAAGGAAGACTGAGTTTTCTATGTGCAATGCCCTGTGGTCTTTTCTATTTCATTCTGCTCTATTTCAATTTTCAAATGAAATTCTTATTATGGTCCGCTGCATTGTTTTCACAGCATGTGAAATGATAGCAACCCACAGGTTAGGAAGCACGAGCCTAGTGATGTTTAGCTTTCCCTCTAGGTTGGAGAATCTGTGATTGCTGAAGTAGAATTCGCAGGCACAATGAATGAGGATGCAGTAATGTCGCAGTGACGATGCATTTAGTGGGAGTTGACTTTATTGCCTTGAAAAAGCAAAGGAGGGCAGGCGAGGGGGCTCATGCCTGTAGTCTCAGCACTTTGAGAGGCTGAGGCAGGCAGATCACTTGAGGTCAGGAGTTCAAGACCAGTCTGGCCAACATGGCAAAACCCCATCACTGCCAAAAATACAAAAAAATTAGCCAAGTGTGGTGGCACGCGCCTGTAGCCCCAGCTATTCAGGAAGCTGAGGCAGGAAAATCACTTGAACTTGGGAGGCGGAGGTTGCAGTGAACCAAAATTGCGCCACTGCACTCCAGCCTGGGCAACAGAGCAAGACTCCATCTAAAAAAAAAAAAAAAAAAAAAAAGAAGCAAAGGAACTTGCCATTCTATCTTCAGTTTTTCATAGAACTCTTACTCAAAGTTGTCTTTGTTTTAGGTAAACCTAATTTGGGAGCGAGGAGGTGGGGAGATTGGAGTCCTTCTTTTTTTTTTCTAAGACAGGGTCTCACTCTGTTGCCTAGGCTGGAGTACAGTGGTGAGATTTCAGCTCACTGCAATCTCCACCTCCCGGGTTTAAGCAATTCTCCTGCCTCAGTCTCCCAAGTAGCTGGGATTACAGGTACCCACCACCACGCCCTGCTAATTTTTTGTATTTTTAGTAGAGAATGGGTTTCACCATGTTGGCCAGGCTAGTCTCGAACTCCTGGTCTCAAGTGATCCACCCGCATTGACTTCCCAAAGTGCTGGGATTACAGGCATGAGCCACCACGCCCGGCCCTGGAGTTCATAATGCATGCCAATGTCCATGAGCAATTTTAAGCATCAGGTTCATAAGCATTAGTGTCTAGGAACCACAGACCCTGAGAGCCAGCCGCGCCCATAAGGGTTCAGGATGAGCCTGAAGTGGAGGCTAATCAGGTGAGCTTGCCTCAGGCCTCCTGGAGCACTTCCCTGTGTCCTTGCTGGCACCAGCAGCTTCTCTTTAGCAAACACATTTCTTAGTGCCCTGGTTATGTGCAGGGTTAGACTGAATGCACAACACAGGCCCATCCGCATCGCCAGGTCTCTGTGACCCACTTGCGGTTGGATATTCTCTCAATGCTTCAAACTCAGCCGAAGTCTGTGATCTTGTCCACCTCAAAAATCGTATGATTCTATTTTAAAAACTGAGTTACGTATGTTCGCTAAAATGGAATCTCCCCTCTTAATTCATTCCCTGTCATTCTTCTGATATCTAAACCGTAAGGTCAAGTTAAAAGGGTAGAAGATGATCATAGATATATAGCTGTGATTCTGAGTCAAATTCCCAAACCCTGTCATCACCTCCCTGCAAGGTTCTTGAGAGAGAAAAATGCAAAAAAGGTAAGGCTCAGTAGGTGGGCTTGTGGCCAGGTGGGGGCACTGGGCTCAAATTTCCAAGGGGAGCCCTGGCAAGCTGGGCAGACACTCCCATTTCCTTGTTTCCTCATCATCCTTCAAATTCATATGAGCACCTACAATCTTTCAAGCATAGGGGAGAGAACAGTGAACAAAACAGAGCCCCTGTGCTCCTGAAGCTTATATTCTAGTTGGGGAAACAGAAAATAAATAAATAAAGATATATATACCAGCATAGGAGATGGTGGTTAGTGCTGTGCAGAAATCTGCTACGGCACGTGGTGGGCAGAATGTGTGTGTGTGTGAGCGTGCGCACGTGCATGTACATGCTTTACTATAGTTAGTGGTGTCAGTGAGGGCTTTTTGAGGAGTGACATTTGAAGAAAGAGCTGAGTGAATTTGAGTCATGGAAATATTGAGGGGAAAAGCATCGGGTGAAAGGAAGAGCATGTGCAAAGGCCCTTTGGTCTCACGCCGGGGGGTGGAGGCAGGCTTCGGGCCTTATCATAGAGGTCTGGGCAGCGTCATTTCTCTCCCCCTCAACGCTTGCCAAACCCTGGCCACTTTTTGGACACATACCCAACAATTTTTTAAATTATTATTTTTAATTGTGGTGAAATGCACATAAATTTAACATCTTAGCCATGTTTAAGTGTACAATTTGGCGGCATTAAATATATTTATTATTGTGCAACCGTCATCATTTCCGGAATGTTCTTATAATCCCAAACCAGAACTCTGTGCCCAGGAAACACCAGCTCCCCGTTCCTTCCTCCCCTGAGCTGCTGGCAGCCACTGTTTCCTTTCTGTCTCTATAAATGGGACCACTCCAGGTACCTCACACAAGTGGAATCACACAGTATCTGTCTTTTTGTGAGTGGCTTATTTCGCTTAAGCATAATGTTCTCCAGGTTCATCCATGTGGGGGCATGTGTCAGAATGTCCTTCTTTTTCATTGACGAATAGTGTTCCATGGTGTGGATGTGCCACGTTTAGTTTACCCGTTCATCCTCTACGGTTGGTGGACACCTGGGTTGCTTCTGCCCCTTGGCTATAGTGGATAATGCCTCTATGAACATGGCTGTACAAGAATCTCTCCAAGTCCCTCTTTCAGTTCTTTTGGGGACATTCCTAGAAGTAGATAGACAGTTTTAGCTCCCTTTTCCTTGAGTTGATCCACTGTGCTTTGCACGCTGCCCCTTGTTAGTTTATGTCACTGTTAGGGAGAGCGTGTTGATCGGCTCACCTGTTTCCCTCCTCTCAGCTGTAAGTTCCTGGGGAATAGGGAGTGGTGCTTGGCACTGCACCCCCTGATGCCATGGAAGGCGCACAGTCTGTGCCCCAGCAGGATTTATTCAGTGAGCAAGTCTGGAAAGGGCTGCTCCAGAAGGAGGGTGAAGGCTGGGCTGCACAGAGCCTGCACCTTCTTTGTATTTTTACATTGGGCTTCTCTGACTGCCCCTAAAATAAAAATGGGGATAATCCATTTTCCTGTGAGAGAAATGAAAACCCACGAAGACTAAATGTCCTGCCCGCTGTCCAGGTGCAGTGAGGGGCGTGGCCGGGACCAGAATCCCTGCTTCCCTGTTCTCTAGTCAGTGCTGCTGCTGGAAACCAGAGTCTTCTTTTGTTTTCCCTCTCACCTCTGGCTGCCTCTCTCTCCCCTCAAAGGTCAGAGCAGTGCCAAGGACAGAAGAGAGAGTAGATCCAGCCTTGGCCCTGCTAGGCTGGGCAGCCTGGCAGGTAGAGTCAGCAGGGATAGAGCTTGCTTTCCTGTTCACGATCTTCAGCCAAGTTCAGGGAGGTCTGAATACTGAGGCCTTCATAGCCACTGCACCCCAGGTAGCTCAGGAGAACCTCCGAGCGCAGGAGTGCAAAGGCTGGCATTCTTCAGGCTCTGAGGCTGTCCCTTCCGGTGGAGGTGAACTGCTTCTTATTGATGTGGACAAGACTGTGGGTATGTGTCTGAGTGTGTGGAGGTGATATAGAGAGGCCTAAGGGGTGTGTGTGTGTGTGTGTGTGTGTGTGTGTGTGTGTGTCAGGGGGTGAGTGTGTGTATGAGAGAGGCAGAGGCAGCGGGAGAGAAAGAGAGCGCAATGCAGAGAAGAAAGCAGAACCTTCCTCATAGAGTTTTGGGGGTTACGTGATCTGAAAAGCACTTGAAACAGTACCTTGCTCACAGCAATGGCTGCGTTGATGATTTTTATTGTTATAGAGGCACAGACACAGAGAAAGGCAGAGAGGGAGAGGGGAGAGTGGGGAAGGAAGGTGGGAGGCGGCAGGAGCGAGGAAGAACTACATTCTGGAAACCTCAGAGATTTAACAAAAGGGTGGAATCTGGGAAAAGCTCCCCTGCCTGCTTGTTCTCTTATAAAGCTGATTATGCTTACCTTCCTCCCCCATGGTATTTTAAACTTAAATAACACAGTCTCCATTGTGTAAAGCAAAATAATTTTCCAGATTCCCTGTGTACCTCAGTGCACCATGCTTAGGGAATCTGCCCGGCAACACAGACAGACTGTGGGAGTATGCCGCGGAGGCTGCGTCCCCCGCTTGCTGGTTAGGGTGCTCCTGTGTGCCCAGCCTTCCAGGTCTGGCCTCCCCCCAGCCCCCCAGCCAGCCCCCAACACAAATCATTTGGGCTTTATCTTATCTTTAGCAGGAGAATGCTTCCCAGATGTGTAGGATTAATGGTGAATATTACACAGCACCCCCTGGACAGAGATGGGTCCTGGGTGACTCCAGGCCCTAAAAACCTTTCTCCAGCGTGGACTAGCGGGGAGCTCCAGTCCCCACCTGAGAGTTGAAGGAGCATCCCCTCCCTGCTTTGCGATGGCTCCAGAGACAAGACGTGTGCCCTGCCCCCACCCCACATTGTCTACTTTGATTTACAGCACAGCCATCACAGGGGGACCTTTTTGGTTAACATTTACAAAAGTGCTTTCTGTCTGGTTTCTAGATGGAGACTGACAGGATCCTGGCTTGGGGGCCTTCCGGCAGGGCTGGCTGCTGGGCTGGCAGGCTCTGGCGCTCCCCTTCCCCAGAACTGACTTTGTTCCTGGCAGCCATGGTGGCTGCACTAACCACATTCTGCCTCCACCTTTGCACTAAGAAAAGCAAATAAGCAGACCACAGAACTGTTTGCATTTGCCCCAGATGCTCCCTGGCTGCGGGAAGAGGTCAGTAGGGAGCATGCAGGGAGAGGGGAAGGGAGACCAGCTTCTGCAGGGAGGGCACGCTGGAATCTAGGCTTGGGGAGGGACGAAGGGAAGGCTTGTCCAGCCCAGCACAAGCCTGCGGAGGGGCACTGTGGGCACAGTGCATGAAGTCTGAAGAGGTGATGTGCTAGATACCCCAATCCCTGGCATATTCTGCATTTCAAAACAGAGAATAAGTAGTCTTGCCACTATAAAGTGGCAAGAGCTGTTCCTTAGCAAGAGAAAGAGAAACAGAGACAGAGAGAAACAGACACAGAGAGACAGAGACGGAGACAGAAAAATACACAGAGAAATGGAGAGACAGAGAGAGAGACATACAGAGAGACAAAGGCGTAAAGAGGCCCCCCGCACCCTAGGGATATGTTGTCAAGGGTGGCTTTTTTGTTATGAAGATTGCAGCCTATTTTGCACGGCTGGCCGGCCTGGGGCTCCTGCCGTCATTGCTGCCCCAGGGAAGGCTGCTCGCTGGCTTACTCCCATCCCCTTGCCACTGGCAGCAAAACCAAGCTGGGTTATGACATCAGCGACTTTTCCCCTTCTCAGCCCCAGGGTAGATGGGCCAGGTTGGAAAGCAGCAGGAAACTTTTCCAACACTAACAAACAATGAGCTCAGGTAGCAAGCCCTGATATTAGAAAACGGGAGGGACCCTTAGGGGTTTCACTCAGCCTGAAAGGGAGCCATGTCTTTCCCAGAGCCAAGTCCCAGTCCCTTTTCAGGGCAGCCAGCCAAGCTGGGAGATTGGGAGCTGGAAAGATGTCCCCTGAAATACAGGTTTGGTGACTCTAACCGTGAATGGCCCCGATTCACAGGGGAGGGTTGCTGTTCCTTTGCCATCCTTTGCCTATTTGCAGCACTTGCTGAAAGATAGAAAGAAACACCGAGACAGGAGCTTGGGCTGTATAGGCAGGGGACAAATGAAATGTTTTCCTACTGTGTAAAAAGTTCAAGTGTTCCCATATATGCAGAGCTTGGAACAATGTCATCAACTCCTCTTCGTTTTTTTCCAAACAACCTCCTTTAAGACACAGCAAACAGCAGTGCTGCGGAGGTATGTCTAATTGCAGATACTTTTTGTTCATCATCGTATTGAACGTCGTTGCGTGTTCCAGCAGCCATCAACTTCCTCAGGAGGAAAATTCAATTGTGCACTGAGCGACAGCGTGAAGAGACCGGGCCAAGCAGGCAGGGTGCTGCAGGTCAACAAGGTGCTGCTGTGCTCCTGAAGCCTTCAGGAGCCTCAGCCTGAGAGCTCAGGAAAGGGTGGGGCTCCAACCCACCTGGCTTTCCGCCTTACTGAGCTCCAAACACAGGCTTGTTCCACATCACGGAGAGCCCTTATCCTGCATGTGCGTCTCGCTCCCTGACAAGCCTATTTGTGCCTTGTCACCAGAAATGTACCTTTTTTCTTCTCTCATCTGTCCCTGACACCCCCAGCTTATCTAGCCTGAAGAGAGGCTATCAAAATGGTAATAGCCAGATGGAAAACAAGGAAAAATAAGCCCTTTCCCATAAGGAAGCAATACGGATTTTGGAACCGGAGAAATTTCTACTATTCTCCCAACATCATTCCCTCCGCCTTGGGTGTGCTTCCGAGAGGGTTGGAGGTGTCACCTGCCGTACCCTAGGACTGGCTGAGGGAAAACACACCTGAAGATTTCCTGTAAATGAAAAAGTGAATCACTAAAAGGGGGAGCTGTCATCCCCTGGCATTTCTCTGTGCACAGGCGACCTAGTGTTGGGATGGCAGCAGAACCCAGACAACTGAGCCAACACGTGGAGGGAAGCCCTCACTAGCCTGCATTCGACTTGTGTGAGAGAGAAGTGAACGTTTACGTGCAAAGCCACTGAGCTTTTGTTGTTGTTCCTGCAGCACAGGGCATTCTAACCTGCCTAATACTGAAACGAGTACTGTTAGGCTTGATCTGTGAAGAGGAGAACATAAAAGGCCTGCATATTCTCTTTTAGGTCCTAAAAATGCAGTGCTCTCTTCTTGGCCTTGCTGTGACCAGGCTGTTTAAAATCTGTCACCCCGCCAGTCGCCACTGTATTATCTTGCTTTATTTTTCTTCATAGTATTTATTGATAATTTATGTGCTTATTATGTCTCCCTGACTGGAATGTAAGTTTCATGAAGGCCAGGACTTGTGCCTTAAAACAGGGCCTGGCACAGAGTAGGCACTTAATGTGTATTTTTGAAAGTGAATTGTGGGCTGAAAATTCTGATTTTTCAAAAAAGTTAATAAAGGTGAAGGCCTTCCTTGCCTTTATTAAATGCTTAAAATGGATCAGTGGTGGGGTAGAGATGGAAGGAGTCACACACATACTGTACCTTCAACGGGTTTCAATCTAACTGGGAGACAAAATATAGAAACATGAAACAAGCAGAGAGCAAATCTCTAGGTACCTAAGAGTTAATTAAGTACTAAGGGTGTACTTAAATTTGTGAGGGAGGAAGGGGAAGAGGACTGTCCAGAGGTATGGCTAACTACCAAAAACTCTCTGGAGCAGACAGCTTTGGCAGCAGACTGAGAGCAGGGTTCTCCAATTTGAGCTTGCAGAAGAATCACCTGGAAGGCTTCTAAAACCTATACTATTGGCCCCACCCCCAGAGTTTCTGATTCACTAGATCTGGATTATACCTGGGGATCTTTTTTTTTTTAGACAGAGTCTTGCTCTGTTACCCAGGCTGGAGTGCAGTGGCACTATCATAGCTCACTGCAACCTCGAACTCCCCGGTTCAAGGGATCCTCCCACCTCAGCCTCCCCAGTAACTGGGATTTCAGGCATGTGCCACCAAGCCCGGCTAATTTTTTTTTTTTTTTTTTTGAGATGGAGTTTCATTCTTGTTGCCCAGGCTGGAGTGCAATGGTGCAATCTCAGCTCACTGCAATCTCTGCCTCCTGGGTTCAAGTGATTCTCCAGCCTTGCCTCCTGAGTAGCTAGGATTACAGGCATGTGCCACCACGCCCAGCTAATTTTGTATTTTTAGTAGAGATGGGGTCTCACCGTGTTGGCCAGGCTGGTCTTGCACTCCTGACCTCAGGTGATCCACCCACCTCAGCCTCCCAAAGTGCTGGGATTACAGGTGCCCACTGCCGTGCCCAGCTTAATTTCAGTATTTTTAGTAGAGATAGGGTTTCTCTATGTTGGCCAGGCTAGTCTCAAACTCCTGACCTCAGGCGATCCACCCACCTTGGCCTCCCAAAGTGCTGGGATTACAGGCCTGAGCCACCACACCTGGCCTCACCTGTATTTTAAATTGAGTTTTACTGGGTAACAGCCATGGTCATTCATTTACATATTGTCAAAGGCTGCTTTCAAGCTACAACAGCAGAATTTAACAGTCTCAAGACCATATGGCCTGCAAAGCCTAAAATATTTACTGGCCCTTTACAGATAAAGTTTGCTGACCCCTAGAGAGGAAGTCATGGCCCATGGCTGGCAGATGGAAGCCTCAGGACCTGAAGATTTCTCAAAGAAAGGGACCTGCTGCTGACAGCAATTAATATATGTTCACAGCTTGCAGCTGAAGCCTGATGATGGCTGTAGGAGAAAGGACATCACCCAGATGACATTTTGCCTCCAAAGCTCTGGGGACCAATTGTGGAAGAACTGCAGGGATATTATGTTAGAATGTTCTTGTGTCTGGATAGGATGAGAACTGTCTTATAACAAAGTGCAGCCCCCATGTCTGAGGGCATGTTTCCTGTGTTTAGGCACTTCCGAAGCAGGGAGCACCTTCAAGGGGCACTGGCCTTCCCAGAAACAGTGTTTGACCTGTGATGATGTCCTGGGGGAGGGGACCTAGGAAAAGACCTTAGCCTTTCCATAAGGCACGATTATTCTCCTCTATAGAGCCTCAAAAGTCAAGTCAAGTAGCAAGCACACTGTGCTCCAGTCTGTGGCCACAGACACACACAAGGACTGGAGCAAAACCAAACATAGTGTATCATCACCGCTGAACCCCCAGGAGCCCCCAGATGCTTTTGAACGTGAAAGGAGAAAGAAGCTGTCAGAGATCAGGTTGAATGTGGTGGGTTAGGTGTGCGGCATTGCCTCTGGGTCCCTGCTTTGGTTTAATTAAACTAAGTCTGGTGGTGAATTGGTTCCCAAATGTTCATTGGTGGATGGGCGGCATCAGAATTGTCTACATCTTTTAAAAAACACGTACGCAAAACCTATGCATGTCTTCCTCTGAGAGTTTGATTTTCAGCAGGCTTGGGGTGGATTCCTACTTTTAAGAACTCCCCACGCCCGTCCTAAGTGATTGTGATTCCCAGTAAGTGAATGCTGACAAATTGAACCTTCCAGCATGGACATTTATTTATGAAATAAATGGACATTAATTTCACAGTCTTTCTATGGATTCGAGGTGGTGCTGGATCCACAGGCTCACCTGGCCCCCTAGCTTTCTCTGCAGAATCTGCCAGTGTGCCTTCAATCCCAAAAGAAGTCGCTTTTCATGTGCTGCTGGAGCTTTTGATTGGCGGTGACTGAGATGGGACTTTAAGTTCTCACCAGGATGCAAAGTGGGGTTCCAACTTTACTGCTTTCTGAACCCTGCTGATCTGTCCCCAACCAAGGCTTGATTTTCTTCTGAAGCGCAGTATTTTTAAACTGTGGTTGAAATCTATTCATGGGCTATAAAATCAGTTGTTGAGGATGTAACCATTTTGAATTAATTTTTAATTCAAAAAATTAGACTAGAAATTTTTAATTTTAATTCAAAAAATAGACTAGAAAAAAATCAGAGTGCATCATGTATGGTAGGGATAAGTGTAATTCTTTCTGTAAAACTTGTTTTGGAGGGTATGTTGTGCATTGGGCTTCTGTGTATTTCTTACTACGTTTCACAGGGAAACTGCTGTCATCTCTGCAGTACAATATAGATCAACAATGGCCCTAACTTCCCTAAGACAGCTCTCATGTCTGCTTGCAGAGAACAGATGGAAAAAGTCACCAGGGAGGGTAGATTGCCATATACAAGTACTTCAGGGAGGCTACCTGGAAACTAATAGAAAACCAGTTTATGGATGATTGCAGAGCCTGGGGAGAGAAATCAATCTTGGACAGTTTTATGGATGGCAGCCAACAGCCTACCATGCTCAGCCCATCGCACCTGTCACCTGGGGACAAGCAGGGTCTATCTGGAACGGACTCTGGCCAGGATTCAGTTTCTCTTTCCTCGAAATGGGGATAATCACCCTCTTGACTATTGCTGTTATGGGAAAGGCCAAATTAGGGGAAAAAAATTCTGTCCAATAAGGGATGAACCACAAAGCTCAGGCCAGTAATGGCCTCTATTGGTGGTTTGGGAGGTATGCTTGTATGGGCATTAAGGGAGAAAGAGAAGGTCTGCACTCTAATCAAGTCTAGGCAATGTGGGAGTTGGAAAGAGACACATGGGAACACAGACCCAGTCACCTGAAGGCAAGAGCCTTTCTTTTTCCTCCTCTTGGCAGGCAGCGTGGGCTCCCGGGCCCCAAGCAGGATCCCTTAGGGCTGATCTCTTACCACACACTGGTCTGACTTGGTGACCTGGAAGAGGACAGTCAGAGCCAACAGGATGAGGGGACCAGCTTGGAGAGCATCTATTGTATGCCACCCTTGAGTGGCTGGAAATGTCTTCTGCCACTTTGCAAGGGGCTGGGGGCTGGGGAGTGGGAGTGGCAAGGGAACACGGGGTGGTAGATTGTTCCCAGGGCTGCTGGTTTTGGAGCAGTCTGACTACCCTCTCTTCTTAGTGGGAAAGAAAGGAGGAAGAAGGGGGAAGGGATGCTTTTGGAGGGGAGCTCTAAGGGTGGGAGAAAAGAAAGCCTGAAAGAACATCACTAAAGGGTCTGAAGTTAAAGACTCCAATGAACAAGAAGCCCCTAATTCAAACAGTGCCACTAACACCAAAACCTGTAAAGTGGTCCAGAGAGACCCTGGTCATGTCTGTAACTTTCCTTTTTAAAGCTCTCGTGAAGTTAATGAATGAAAAAATTGCTAATGCAAAGATGGAAATTAATAAAAACAAAAGCGTGCTTCATATTGCAGGGTGACCACCTCTAATCCTACCAGTGATCCTGTGGCTGTCCCTGTAACTTCCTTTGGCAACACCATGCTTTGAGAAGCTGTGGGGAAGGCTGGCCAGGGAGAGAGCCTCACCCCCCAATTCTGCCAGCTGATCCCCCAGAGGGCTGCAAGGCTCCTGATTTACCCAGACCTCTGGAGTGGCTGAGGCTGGGCTCTGGGGTTGGATGGTTCTCACCAAGAGGCCTGGGACATCTGCTCTGTGCTAAGCTCCGAGGCAGACCACAGAGGAGATAATGACTAATCGGACCTTCACATACATTGTACATGCCTTTTCTGAACTGAAAAAGAGAAGAACAAACAAGATAAAAATATTGAAAAAAAAGAAGAATCAAATGTGTAGAAAATGCAAGGTCATTAGAACTGCCCAGGGCTTCATTCAGGCAAAGATCTTGAGGGTCTGGCCAGGGACCTGCTGAGTAAATCTAGCTCTGGTTCCCCTCCCACAGATTCCCTGCGCCTCCTCCAACTGCATAACCAAATCTCCCCACCTCCCAACTTTCCTTGAGCTATTCTGCTGTTTTCTTCACTTTAGTTTTCTCACTGTAACCCACACATGGTATAAGGTTGAACGAAGACATTTATTTGTAAAATCAATTCTCAATGGAGGAGAGATTGTATCCATAGAAAGTAAACCAGTGATCGTTCAGAGGGCCACATGCACGCATTAGTGAAACCAAGGGAAAAACCAAAAAAACAGCACTGCTGCGGACGACCCGCGTGGCTACTAATCCTGCCAACAGAAAAGCAAAATGTCCTTTCCGCTTGAGAACGCGGATGCACCAAGATGTCCTGTGAGAAGGCAATTTGGTCTGACATCCACGATGAAGTGATCAGGGAACAAGTGGGGGAGCGTTTTTTTCTATTCCGTGTGGCCTGCTTGTTTCCCGCAGAAACTGGCTGACCGCTTCCGTTGTCCTCCCGCCTCCAGTGGGAGGGAGGTGGTGTCAAATCCCTGGCTTTCTCACATGCCCATCCTTATGCTCTGAATGATCTGAAAGATAGCTGAAAAGAGGAAAACACCACAGCTCAGACACCAGACTGCACACAGCTGGAAACCCAGCCCACAGTGAGCCCGGCTTCTGCAGACCCCTGGGCCCTGACGTGTTAGCTCACAGCTGATTAGATATTTCCTAACAAGGAGTTAAGTTAACAAGAGGTCAGTGAACTTCTTTAAAAAGGCAGCCTCGCTCAGTCGGCTGATGGATGCCTCAGGGATTTATAGATAACTCCTGCTAATTCCACCAGCAGTTAAGGCCAGAAATCCCTCAGGCACTGAGAAGAGATTTGGCCCCCTTCCCCAGCAAAGTTCTGGGGCTGCCTGGGAGAGGGATATGGGCTTTCGTGCAGAAACTGCACTCATTAAACAGGTCAGTGAGTCTGCCTTTTCAAAATGGCTGTGACCTGTAAAACAATGAGCCCTGTGCTGGGAAGGCCGACCAGGTGCTCGGAGCAGCCCACGGGGCCCGGCCTCTGTCTGCCTAGAACCCTCCATGCGTGAGTATCTTCCAGCTGCTTGGAACTCTCTGAAAGGCGGCTGTCTCTTATGGAGAGCGGCACTTATTTATTCAGGGCTCAACCTTTAATAACTGGAGTTGTCAAGGGGGTGGGTAGCTTGTAAGCCCACAGAGAACTCCTGGGACCCTTGCCCATGTGGATGAGAGCTGGTTACATAGCTTCAGCCTGCTTCCAGCTATTGGGTTTCAAATGTGTCCCAGGAGCGGAAGATCCCAACTTCTTTTTCACATCTTCCCCAGTGAGCAACCGTGGTCAGTGTTGACAAAGATGATGGTAATGATAAGAGTAACTACCATGTATTGAATGGCTTTTTTTTTTTTTTTTTGAAGGAGGGTGGGTATCATCTCATCTAACCATGTGTAAAAACAGAATAAACACTGAGCTCTCAGGGGTCTTACCCCTTCTCGCCTTCTTAAAGTCATCCTGGAATACATCCAGGATCCACGGTAAAACAGAGTTATCCAGAACCCTAGGAAACCAGCCATTCAAGTTTCATCATCTGGCATCAATGAGCACATCCTATGTGTCAGACACTGCGCTTCAAGGATAGAAAGAGAAATGATGGACAGGGCCTTGGGGAATCGTTCTTGGACAGCTGGGTTTTAAGAGTAGACAAACATGAATGCATTTTTTGGCTTTTTTTCCCCGTAAAAACACTGTACCCATCATCACTACCTTTCTAAATTGGAGATACCAACATATTTCAATGCTAACTTTTCATGAGTGTTCAGTGTCACCATAATGAAAACCAGTAACTGATGAGACGTGCTGTGATCTCATTACAGAGGAGGCTGCGTGTGATCTGACACTGAAATGCTTCTGGTCAGCTGCACTTCTGGGCTCCCATTTCTGCTTCTGATCATTTTTTGGGTCTCTTTCTTCTCATCTCTGGTCACATCTCTTGTATTACTACACCAATCTGCAGTGGGTCCTGTACTATTATTTTGTTGCCGTAGACTAAGCTGAAAACAGAAACTGTTAGAATTACGAGTCAAATCAGAGTCAATCAGCTCCATGTGAGTGTCAGGGACTCATCTGTAGATATGGTGAAGGTGTTGGTCCAACAACTTGTGATATTTAATTCTGGATGTGCTCAGATATTTTCTTAGCTAAGTTTGGGTTCTTGGGTGGGTCTTTTTTTTTTTTTTTTTTTTTGAGACGGAGTCTTCCTCTGTCGCCCAGGTTGGAGTGCAGTGGTGCGATCTCGGCTCACTGCAAGCTCCGCCTCCCCGGTTCACGCCATTCTCCTGCCTCAGGCTCCCGAGTAGCTGGGACTACAGGTGCCCGCTACCATGCCCGGCTAATTTTTTGTATTTTTAGTAGAGACGGGATTTCACCGTGTTAGCCAGAATGGTCTCGATCTCCTGACCTCGTGATCCACCCACCTCAGCCTCCCAAAGTCCTGGGATTATAGGCGTGAGCCACCGTGCCCGGCCTTGGGTGGGTCTTAACAGGAGCAGTTGGAAGAGAAAGTACCCTACAACAATTTATAAGCTTGCAGAAATATCTGATGTTTCTTTCCTCCCCACCAAGGCTCACAAGGAGTAAAAATTAAATAAACATTCTGTATTCTGGCTCAATAGGAATGTCAGGAGGCAGCTGTATATTCAACATTAGGAAAAAAAAGATTACTTCTACCATGCCTCAGACTTTGTTCTTGTGATCAGGGAACTATCGCTAATCCTGACGAACAAGTTGACTTTAGAGCAGAAAGTTAGGATCAGATGGAATTGGGTTGAATATCAGCTCTTTGCTGAAAAGCTGTGTGACTGGACAAATAATTAATCTCTTAGAGGCTGCTTCCTGTTCTGTAAAATGAGGATCATGGCCTTTGCAGGGCTGTCACAGGGATTAAACCATATGACATATAGGAAGGGTCCTCACACATGGAGGACTCACTGCCTGGTAGCTACTGCTATCATCACTGTTACTATGACTACAACAACTGCTGCTTCTCCCTGTCCCAGCATGCAGACCAGTGCTTAGCACTATCTGCCAGCCTACAAAGCTGTGAACTTTGGGAAATTACTACACAGTTCTGAGCCCTGCTTTCTCTACCTATAAAACTGTGGATAATAGGTACCTCAAAGGATGGCAAGGAATAAATACGATGACATAAGTAGATGCTCAAAAATATTACTTCTCGCTTACTCTTGCCCTTAGACAAAAACTTATCAGCAGGATGTAAGTCAACAAATAGGAAACCATCTGTGTCTTAGTCCATGTAGCCCCCATATTAAGTTAATTCATAACTTCAAAAGTTCGAGGTAATAATAAGAAACCATGCAATTCTTTTTGAAGGAACTGTTACAAATCTCTTTAAAGAATCTAAGACAGTCCAGGTGCGGTGGCTCATGCCTGTAATCTCAGCACTTTGGGAGGCCAAGGTGGGCAGATCATGAGGTCAAGAGATTGAGACCATCCTGGCCAACATGGTGAAATCCCGTCTCCACTAAAAATACAAAAATTAGCTGGGTGTGGTAGTGCCAGCTACTTGGGAGGCTGAGGCAGGAGAATCGCTTGAACCTGGGAGGTGGAGGTTGCAGTGAGCCGAGATTGCGCCACTGCACTCCAGCCTGGGTGACAGAGCAAGACTCCGTCTCAAAAAAAATAAATAAATAAAAATAATAGAAAGAATCTAAGATAAAGTTTGCACGTCTCAGAACAGCGACACTGATATTAAAACAACTTACCTAGTTCTTTGAGTTTGCTTTAAAAACTGAGGATCATTCCTGATCATAATTGAATCCATGAATTAACATATAAGAGTCCAGCGATCCTTAACATGTTCACAGATGAACCTTCTTGGAGACACTACTTTGAATAAAGTCTATTTTTTTAAGTTCACCATTTACCTCCACAAGATAACAGAGAGATGACTGTGTTTATTATTTCTTTTTCAGTTGTATCATTGTCTTTAAGAAAACTTACACATTCTAATTATATTAACTGTAATTCTGTGTACCTGCCAATACTGACCTGCAGAGTAACCTCAGCCTTCCAAATGCTGACTTTCTGAGGCGGCAAATGGGAAGGGAGCCAGCAGTGAGTTCAAAAGAGGGAAAGGAAGCGGGGAGTCTAGACCCTGACAAGTTAATAACTTAACAGTGGGTGAACAAAGCTGAGAAAACAGCAGAACAGGCTGCAGGAGAGGAACTGTGGGCAGGCGAGACAGCGGGGAGGAGAGATGCCAAGAAAGGGAGGGACAGCAGGCGTTCCAGGGCAGGCGATCAGGGCGTGGGCAGGTCCCAGAGGTTCAGAAAAGTCCAGGGGAGAGCAGGAGCTACCAGACCCACGAAGCCTCTGCATCCTCCTACCTGTGTCAAGGATCCTGGCCCTTGGTAACCTTAGATGATACCATTTCTCTTTTTTCAGCACCCCTTTCAACAAAGTCTTTAGGCTTTAACATGCTAGGAGCACTCCCACTGAAAAATCAAATACACCAGAGCTATCTGCCTGACTCCACATCTCCATCCACAGGGCCCTCTCTTCCTCTTCACAACCATTTCTAAAGAGCTGTCTATGCTCACTTTCTGCACTCTCTTACCTGCTATTCTCATGTCAGTCCACCTCATTTTATCTTCTGCTCTCTTCCCTCCATTGAATATCTTTTGCTAAAGTCACAAATGACTTTTGAGTCGCTTAGTGTAACAGGCATTCTTCCACCTTCTTTTGCCTTACCCCCTGCTCACCCCCGCTGGGCACTTCCTGCTTGAAACTCTCTTCCCTTGGCCTCTGTGAAACCATGGTCTTCTAGGTTCTAATTTTCCTCCTTCTCTTGGATCTTTCCTCTAAACTTGTTTTAGAGGAAACAATCCACTTGACCATTAAACATAAGCGCTGACATTCTGCAATGAACGTCACTGGCTTTCTTCTCCTTACGTTCTTTCTTCTTAGGCAATGCCTCCCAGCCCACAGTTTGAATTGCCACCTAGCTGTTGATGATGCACAAATGTGTATCTCCAGCCCTGACTTCTCTGAGCTCCAGCACACCTTCCACTATCTAGTTGATATCTACAGCTGGGTGGCTCAGAGGTACCTCGGACTCAACAGGACCTTCTCATGATCTCGTCCCACTGCTAAAACTGGCATCATTATCTTCCATCTTGGATGTAGACTCAAAACACCACAGTCCTTCCTGACACCTCCAATTGATAACCAAGACCTGTGGATTTTACCTGGGAATCTTGTGATTATGCACCCTTCTTTCCATTCCTCAGAAGCCACCCTAGTCCAAGTTACCATCATCCTCCCCAAGACCCCAGTGAGGCCCTCCCAGTGCTCGACTCTTGCTCTTCTTCCATCCTTTCTCCATACTGTAGCTAGAATTATCCTTTCAATAAAAGCAAATAATATATTGTCACTCCCGTGTTTACTGCACATCAAAAGCTTCCCGTTGCCCAATCCCTGATGAGGCCTTCATGACCTGCACATCATGGTCCCTGTCCAGACCTGTCAGACTCACCTTGTATCACTCTTCTCCTTGCTTGGGGTACTCCCTCATGTTTTCAAAAGCTCCCTGCTCTCCTGCTCTCACCACAGGGCTTTTTTTTTTTTTTTTTGAGACAGAGTCTCACTCTGTCACCAGCCTAGAGAGCAGTGGCACGATCTCGGCTTACTGCAACCTCTGTCTTCCGGGTTCAAGCGATTCTCCAGCCTTAGCCTCCTGAGTAGCTGGGACTACAGGAGCGCACCACCATGCCCAGCTAATTTTTTTTGTATTTTTAATAGAGACGGGGTTTCACTATGTTGGCCAGGATGGTGTCAATCTCTTGATCTCACGATCCACCCGCCTCGGCCTCCCAAAGTGCTGGGATTTACAGGAGTGAGACCACAGGGCTTTTACACATGCCATTCTTTCTGTCTGAAATACTTCTACCCCACCCTATTCCCTAGTTTCCTTCATCAACCAAAATTTAATGTCTTCAGAGAAGCCTTCTTTGATCACCTGGAGCAGAGGTTCTCAGACTTGAGCATGCATCACAGTCTCTTGGGGACAGGTTAAAACACAAATGCTGGACACCTTCCCCCCAAACCCTGGAGTTAAGGGATGGAGAATCTGTGTTTCTAACAAGTTCACAGGAGATGTTGAGATGCCGGTCCAGGGACCACACTTTGAGAACCACTTACCTGAGAGTACACCAGTCCTTTGCATTGTATGATTTCATAGCCCCATGTGCCTCTCCTTTACATTGTTTCATGGCTGAAATTGTACAGTTTCATGGCTGAATTGAAAGTGTTTTGGTGTGATTACTTGATTAACTCATCTTTCTTTGCCATTAGACTATAAGCTCCAGGATAACAGCGACCAGGTATGGCACAAAGTAGGTCCTCTGTAAATATTATTGAATTACTGAAAAGTGAACGATTGCAAAGAGCACAGAGGAAATTACATTTTAAAAACCTCAAATGACTACTTTGCAAACCCAAAGAGTCAGCATCAAATGGCTGCCTTTAGATCCAAATGTCTCTAAAGCTCAGTCTTCGAAGGGGAAGTACAAGACTATAAACTCCTAAAGGCCTGATAATGGGCCATCCCAACCGACTCTCACCCTGGGGACTGACCCTCCCCAGCTAAGAGGGAGTGCCAGAAGGACACAGGGATGACATAACAAGTGGGTCCCATAGGAAAGTGTCAGAAAGCTGGAACCCTGCCAGGTAACAGGAGGCTTCCTAAAGCCACTTTTATTGACAATAAATTGATGATAAAAGAGATCAAGGGAGTTGCTGAGAAGAGAGATTAAGAGAGGCCGGAAGAAGAATATCCTTTAGGAGAAGAAGACAACCTAGAAATCATACAGTTTTGCTTATTTTTCATTAAAGAAAATGAAAATGATGAAAGAGCTGGTAGAAAGCAAAGTACAGGCCCTCTGAGAAACAAGCTGAAATGTTAGGAGACGAGACATTGCAAAGTGGATCACTAAGTTCTCTAAAAGAATCAGCACAAAGAAAGTCAAAAGCAAGATGCCATTTTCTGGTGGCTTCTCTAGAGATGGAGAAGAGGGAAAAAAGAGAGATGCCGGAGACAGGCAGGGCAAGGAGGCGCTATTAAAACCCAGATGTTATTAGCAAAGAATGTAAAGCTTTCTATCCGCATTAAAATAACAGAAAGATGCTTCTGAGAGAGAGCCTCTACACAATCCCAAATGCCCCCAGGGCACAAAGGAGGCTGCAGGTCACCTTAAGGGAGCTGATGGCTGATGAGATGTCTTCAGGCTGTGCATCTCAGATCCCGAGGATGAACTCCAGAGCAGATGAATGGCCTCAGTCTTTCCTTCAGGGCCAGCCAGTTCCTTTAAACATCTCAGTTGCCGGTCTTGGGGGTGGGGTGACTCCCTCTGGATGTTACAACTTTGAGAAAGTTCTGGCAGTCTCCAGGAGAGGCCAATTTATGTGGTTGACCTGCAAATATGGCGAATTCAAGTCTGTCCTGGAGCAAGTGTCCAGGGCGGGTGGGTGGGGACACCGGTGGCCCAACCAAGAGGCAGCCTGTGGCTGGGTCAAGTCTTTCTCCATCTGGGAGCAAGACCCAGGATGGCTGCACATCAGGAACCTCTGGAAAACACACTTTTTCTGGCAGGAAAAATAGGGGATGTTTTAGCAGGAGCTTTTTTCAATACACAGTCATATGCTAAAGGCCTAAATTGGTGGAAAACTTTTGCTCCATACAACTTCTAGGGAAACAGTAAGAGGGAATGCAGGGTAATGGAAAACAGATGGGTTTTAGAGTCTGAAAGAAGTAGGTTAGGGGACTATCTCTCTCACTTTTTAGCTATGGGACATTGGCCAAATTCCTCTATGAGCCTCAGTTTCGTGATTTGGAAAAATGAGTGTAATGGCATCTTTGCAGGGACTGTGTGACCAGAGGAGGAGATGTATGTGTAGAGCCTGGCATTACAAGTAGTCAGTCCTCAATAAATGGTAGCCAAAACAGTTGTATGAACAGATCTTTCTCACCCTCATGGGCTAGTTTATAAAGAATTCTTTCTAGACTTAGAGAGGTTCTAGCTATCCCTGCAGAGGTGACACCACTGACTCTCTGGTTTACAAACCCTATCCTTTATCTATCCAGGGGGGCTGCTGGTCTCGGCTCATGGAGGTTCCTCAATATCTCAGTGCTATGCTCACCCACTACAAATTTTCTCACCATCAAAAAGCAAAGCTACGAAAATGGGCAAAATTTTATTTCTTCCCTCTTAAGCATTCAGAGCTTTAGTAAGGACCTTCCCAGGGAGGTGGAGAGTTGGGAAGGCAGGGTGAGCAAGACCATAAACATAATTACAAGAACAGCAAACACTTATAAAGCCAATACTGTCACTCCACTAAACATTCCACATGCATTGTCTCAGTTAATCCTCAGGATTAATAGTCCTGAGAGTCTCAGGAGTTAGGAACCAGTACCATCCTCTTTTAAGAAGAGAAGAACTGAGTCTTAGAGTCGGTGTAAGTATCTTAGACAAGGCTACATAGCTAGTAGGTGGTTTCAAATACACAAAGTCTGGCCCTGAAGTTGTAGCTCTTAGCAACCATGTTAACTTCCTCCCTATGGCATGTGCACATGCTAATGTGGTGGCTTTCACCCAATACGCCACAAAATACAGACCTTCCTCAAATTTTGTGTCCCCAAAAGATTTCAGAGAGCACCTAACATTTCACAAAGAAACGTTTCTTAGTTGTTGCAAAAGGCTTCATTCTGGCTCCTCAACCTTTGGGCTCAAAGACATTTTGCCACAAAACTTGTGGCCACACAGGGAGTGGGAGGAGAGAGCACTGAAAAGAGTGTCTCTTTGGCCTCCCATATGTCCCTGGCATGTGTATGACTTGTACTTTTCTTCTTCCTCACCATCCTTAACAGAACAGCCAGTCCTGGGGAAAGTTTGGGTGTGGCCCTTCCAGAAATGGAGAGGCCTCCAGCACATTCATACAGGGAGAGACCTGGACCATCCAAAACACAAGGCTGGGAGAATGGGAGGATTCAGGCCCTGCCAAGGACATCTCAGAGAATCACTTCTTCACATCTGTTCTGAAAAGGCTGTCCTGAAAAAGGACCTGTCTGTGACATGATCTCACTCCCCTCCCGCAACCCGCAGCAGGCAGAGGCCCTGGAGAATACAGGGGGAAAGTGCCGCCTGTTAACTGACAGACGAAAGGAATGTCCCTGCACAGAAATGGCAGAGCGACTCCCAACGGATGGTGCCTGATAAACCTCACAGGCTCTTTGTTGAAAGGCATTAACTCTGCAATAACAGAGGCCAGCCCTGGAGCCAGGCACAATTTCCTATTTGATGGGCAAAGAGAGTCTAGATGTGTGCTCCCCTCTGGCGATGAGAAAGTCATAATATCCAGCAACATAGGGAGATATACTGTACATACACACAGACATGCAAGCATGCATATGCATGCATATACATACACATTCATGAACACACTAACACATACACATTCACAAATACACATACATGGAAACAAACACACACACAAAAAAACCCACATATACAAACACACACACACAAATGCAAACAGAAACATACACAGACTTCACTTCAACCAGAACAGCTGCTGTTTCATTTATTTCCCTCTAAGATTTGAACAAAGTTCTGCAGCTTAAAAAAAAAAAAAGACCAAAAACCACTAGTCTAGATTTTTTTTAAACACATTTTTTTCTGCTTATAAAAGTAATATATGCTGATTGACAAATTTGGAAACTATAGGAAACAGTGAAGAAAATAACAGTCACTAGTTAATCCTGTTACCCCAGAGGTTTCCCTTTGATGGGAATAAACGTTTGTCAGTTTCAAGAATAGCCAGGCTTTGGTCACCATTAAAATTCTCATAATCTCTAATTAGGAAATGAATATCAGGGTTGGCCAGAGAAAGAGTAGAGAAATAAAATTGAAATTAGGAATACATGAGGGAGAAATAGTCTGAGGGATGGAACTGGGGCATGGCTGGTATTTAAGAGTTTCCCTCTGAGAGTCAAAGGATGATGGGAATTAGATGGTGACTCCATTGATGCTGCCTGAAATTATCACTGAGACATCAGGACAGAGAGAAATACAACCGTATTGCAAAGAGTGGCATCTCAGATTGCTGCATCCTGTCAATGTAGGGTATCACACCCAGAGCTCAGAAAAGGTAAATAATACTGTGAGACCACAAGAAACATGTATAGGCTGACTCTAAATAAAATTATCCAAACAGGTAGCATATTAAGGAAAAGACCTCATTTCACCAAGTCCAGGAGGCATTCTGGTCAAAGAGGAAAGCTGGAAATGCCGAAGACAGCTGTCTTGTGAATACCGTGGCAATAACCTTATAAAAAGTTTAGGCTAAGGACAGCAAAGATGAGAACGTGGCCCTGCCAGCCATATTGTGTTCAGGACAGACATTACCAATCAACTGCAGCCCACTTTCCCACTAAGCATTGGTATAGCCCGGGAGTCCTTCTCAGTAAGGCTCATACAAGAGCTGGGGACAAAAGGAAAAGAAAACGCCCAGAGGAGAGGGCTCTGGGCACAAACAGCAGTGACTAGGTCCATGAATGGGCTGGGGAAGCATGTCAAGTCTGCAAGTGCCTTGAGAAGATAGCAGTTGACCTATCTGTGTGACAGTATCTTTGTGGGGAACGGTCTCAGACAGACATTCCAGCTAATGCTTGCCTCTGAGTCTTGAGATAAAAGCAAGCATTCTTCAGAAGCTTTCAAACAGCTCTCCAAAGAGGCAGGTTTCAAAACCCGGGACTGGCAGAGCCAGGATGAGCTGCTTATCTGGAAAGAGGCCCCACTGCCTGCAGAAATGGAAGATAATACTTGTATTAAAAGGGGAGAGAAAAAAAGGGCAAAGTCTCTTATGAGGGCACTGAAATCCCTTGGCCTTCGATGTGGATCTGGGTCCTAGTAGATCAAGTAGAGGCAAATCCAGCCAGTTAAACAGACTCAAGCAAAACAAAATCCCAGGCTAAGGTTTGACAAGAAGTTTCTGGCCTATTTGGGTTAATAATCTGAGCAGACCCATAACAGGTATTGATTAAGAAATGGATTTTTGATTTCTTAAATAATCTATATATTAACAAAGCCGTCTGGGTGTGGTGGCTCACGCCTGTAATCCAGCACTTTGGGAGGCTGAGGAGGGCCGATCACTTGAGGCCAGGAGTTTGAGACCAGCCTCAACAACAGGGTGAAACCCTGTCTCTACTAAAAATACAAAAATTAGCTGGGCATGGTGGCGCATGCCTGTAATCCCAGCTACTTGGGAAGCTGAGACAGGAGAATCACTTGAACCCAGGAGGTGGAGGCTGCAGTGAGCTAAGATGGTGCCAATGCACTCCAGCCTGGGCAACAGTGAGACTGTCTCAAAAAAGAAAA
Organism: Homo sapiens; assembly: GCF_000001405.40. Classification (NCBI taxonomy): domain Eukaryota; kingdom Metazoa; phylum Chordata; class Mammalia; order Primates; family Hominidae; genus Homo; species Homo sapiens. Next base: position 44,386,394 of record NC_000013.11, on the reverse strand, counting down.
AAAACACTGGTTATCAAATTAAACAAAATGAAACAAGATACAGCCCTGAGATGTTCTAATTGGATAATACCGTGTCTCAGAAGAATATACTATTCCCAAAGCTTTTGTATCTCATAAAGATAACTTTTACAGCAAAAGAGTGGTGGATTGGGGTTGCTTTAAGGAAATGAAACTCACATTTTTTTTTTCCTGACATTCAAATTAAAGGACAAACTGCTGTTCATTGATTGTGGTCTGCATATTGGTGTTCCTTCTCCCTCTGTGGGGAAGACTTGACGCTTTATCACATGGGAAAACAGCCTCATGCATCCAAAGTGTTATCACTTACACTGCTCCCACTCATCCGTGGAGTGAAGAGGCAGGGCTCATGGCTTGCTGATAGATTGAGACCAGTGTGAGAGGTCGAGTCTGCAACTGAACATGCAGCCGGGAAGGATGAAAGGCATGTGGGAGTTGAAGCACCCCACAGCACAACCGATGGTCCCGTGGTGCCCCTGTTTCCCATGAGGGCTACAAGGACAGAGGTGGTGGTGACTGTAGCTGCAGGCTTTGGGCTTGCTATGGGCCTGTACTTAGATCCCCAGAGCTGCTCAATGCCAGGACACCTTGGGAGGGCTGCTCATTATCCCCATTTTCTTGATAAGGGAATCAATACCAAGAGTAAATACCTTGTCCAAGGTCATTCAGCTGACAAAAGTGAATCTAGGCTCAAAACTGACATCTGGCAGATCCTGAAACTATCCTCCCTTCAGAGGCCTCCTATTCTGAGTGCCAGTTGGTCAGTTTTCAAAGCAGTCCCTTGCCTAAGACAACTTTTGCAATCATGGAAAGTAGAAATTTGCTTATTCTGAAAAGGATGTATTTAGATAACCTCCCCAAACTCCCTCTCACCAGGACAATGTATTAGAGGTTTCCACCAAGTGCCTAAGACAGAACAGGGCTTGGGTGCGCTCAGATCTGGGGGGCGTGGGGCAGCCCCGGGAGGTCTGTTGCTCCCATCTGGCTTTGCAGTGAGGGGTGGCATTCCCTGAGTGCGTGTTTATGCCAGGGGTCTCTGGGTGCCTGGACTGTGTCCCCTCACTACTCTCCCAGTCCTCATTCCTTCCTTTTCATTATCTTGCTCTTACTAGGATGGCAGGCATGAAAGGCACATGCAGAGGAGGAGGAAGCCACAGGAGAGAAGCTGAGAAGCAGGAGGCAAGTGATGGCAGTGACCCACAACTGTCTATAAGAAAGGGGTCCTGTAGACTTTTTACAGGCTTGTTAACCTGTTTTTCCACATAAAACAGAGAAAGGGTGACCAATAAGTGAGCACATACTTAAATGCCAGCTTCTTACCAGTCCTAACTCTTTCCCAGAAGACAGCCAGAAAAACAGATAAAATGTGCATTCATTACTGTCTGCCTGACCTGAATATTTATTTACCCTAGGTACACTGGCACTATTTCTAAAAAGAGCACTTTGCCCAACCAATCACCAATGAGAAAAGTGGGTTAATAGAGTAAGGTAATGAAAGCAAGTGAGACTTTCAAGAGACTCACATCAATGATCAACATCTTTATTAATATTAGAAGATTTCGCCTTTTTCCTTAGCATCTATATAAAAACATACAAAATAAGAGTAACCAACCACATGAATGCAAAGAAAGGCCATATGACCTCCAAGGTCCCACTGGAACTTGGTGAAATGGAACTTGAGCCTGGCATAGGGGTGTATCTTGTTCAAAGGAGAGCTAATAGAAGGGAATAGGAAAAGGGTCTATCTGTCTGCAGAGATGTGGAGATCCTACAAGACACTCCAGTGCATTTGGCCTGAGTGTTGCAGGCCAGGGCAGGTGTGCAGGTGCAGGTGTGCGTGCTGCAAACAGGCAGATGTGAGATGTAGGGGATTTTCCTATTTCAGATTACAAAGCTGGAACAGAGGTGAGACAGACCACCGATGAGAGCTTCAACAATCCCAGCACCTACCAGAAAGCTAATTACCTAAAGCAAAGCAGCTGACAAATGGGCTAGACTTGAGGACCGCACATTCGTTTAAATGTAGAGAAAAGAAGGGTAGGCACTTATGGCCTGTGACCCTAAAACAGGATAAACTCTAGAGGGAATAGTCGGTTCTGCAAGAAGAAATGAATCGTGACTAATTCCAGAGAGGTGGCAACAGGGACGGATCTAAAGGAGCTATTGTGTTTCCCATGACATGTTCTGTTTAGAAAAGGACAAGTACAAAGATAGAAGGAAGGGCACAGTACCAAGGACAAGCTGAGAAGAGTGACACATTTCTGTGAGAACAGTGCCCGACTTGAGCTGAGGCTTGCAAAAAAATTGCTAAAGTTGGCAAGAAAAAAAAAAGGTGGTGGTGAATTATTTTTAGTTATGATTAAAAAAGAGATGAGGCCCATTGCTTAGGGATCACGATAGCATGTTAATAGAAGACAGAGAAAGTAAGATGGCTCAACTCTCATTTCATGTCTAACCTCTCCATAAAAGCAAAATGGCTTTATAACTAGAAAGCTTTAAGTCAGCATCATTGAAAGAGCCCTGGGTGGCCGAGCGCATTGGCTCATGCCTGTAATCCCAGCACTTTGGGAGGCCAAGGTGGGCGGATCATGAGGTCAAGAGATCAAGACCATTCTGGCCAACATGGTGAAACCCCGTCACTACTAAAAAAAAAAAAAAAAAATTAGCTGGGCATGGTGGTGCGTGCTTGCAGTTCCAGCTACTCAGGAGGCTGAGGCAGGAGAATCGCTTGAACCTGGGAGGTGGAGGTTGCCGTGGGCCGAGATTGCGCCACTGCACTCCAGCCTGTCAATAGAACGAGACTCTGTCTCAAAAAAAAAAAAACAAAAAAAACGCAAACCTCCAGAGAGGTGGAGCTAACATACTCAATCCCTAGGAAACTGCTGGAGACCAGGAGAGTTCTAAAAGATGCTTGTTAGCAAATGTCCCAATTTACCCAAGAGGGAAAGATACAGGTCCTGCTGCATGGGCTGGTAAGCCAGGCAAAAGTTTAGGCCATATAATAGTTTTTTAAACCCTCCAAAAAGGAAGAGATGGGTTTTGAGAGTTGGCATGGGTTTGAGAAAAATAAGCCACGCCAAATGACTCTACTGGCTTTTTCCCTTATAGGCTGCCTAAGGGGGCAGACTGGAGAAGGCCACAGTTACTGTGTATCTTGAAGCCTATATATATCTTTATCTACTTAGACCCTTGACAATACAGGTGGCATGGTCACGGGGCTCAGGGATGCCTGAGAGTAGGCTTTGGCCATTCTGAGCACCTTATATTCTTGAGCCCAGCACATTCTCTGAAGCCACCATGCCACCGCCACATAGTGTTCCCATGCAGAATCACCTTCCTCACACCCTTTGTCTGGCTGTTTGTTCTTCAAGACTCCGCTCAAACAGCACCTCCCCTTGGAAACTTTCTCTTCTGCTGAGTATGATTTAGAAGTTCCTTATCCATGCCAGCCAAGCACCCTGTAAACTCTGCTGTCACTATCGCAGTGCGCTTTCCCTGGGCTGCAACTGACAGCTTCCTTATCTGCCTCTCCCAATGCCTGCAAGTACCCAAACAGGATTGTATTTCCAAAGCCCGGCACAGTGCCAGGCACAGAGGGGACCCTCAAGACATGATGATTGCTTGAATGAGTTTTGCTTAGAGGCTCAAAGTCAACCTGAAAGAGGTTGTCTCTGATTGTGTTCTGTGGGTTTCTCCAAGTCTAGACTTTTATCAGTGACTTGGAAGAATAATATATTTTCAGGGACCATAACACTGGGAAAAAAGGGTAAGTAGATCAGAGGCTTAAAGTTCAAGGTCTGACAATCTACAGACTGGTCATACAGCCTGAAAACATAGCTAACTTTTTTGTACAGGTTTATTTTCTTGATTTTCCTGTGGTATGATAAAGGCATAGTTTTGTTTGTTTTTATTTTGTTCTTTTTTTTTTTTTTTTTTTTTTGAGACGGAGTCTCGCTCTGTCGCCCAGGCTGGAGTGCAGTGGCACAATCTCGGCTCACTGCAAGCTCCACCTCCCTGGTTCACGCCATTCTCCTGCCTCAGCCTCCTAAGTAGCTGGGACTACAGGCACCTGCCACCAGGTCCGGCTAATTTTTTTGTATTTTTAGTAGAGACGGGGCTTCATCGTGTTAGCCAGGATGGTCTTATCTCCTGACCTCATGATCCGCCCGCCTCGGCCTCCCAAATGCTGGGATTACAGGCGTGAGCCACCGCGCCCAGCCTAAAATTTTAATAGAAGTAATCGTTCTTCTTTGAGAATAAAAAAAAAAGTCATAAAGTTTTATATTAGGTCTCAAAAAAGGTCAACTAGATATCTACAGTATGAGGAATATCTGGCTTTATCCATCCATCCATCCATCCATCCATCCATCCATCCATCCATCCATCCTAAGCACTAACTATGTGCTAAATACTAAACTAGGATCTACAAATTTAATGAAAAATAAACACTGTCTCCCCTGAGCTTATATCCTACTGGAGGGAAATGAACCTAAGTAAGTAAACTAAATAACTGCAACTGCTGATGAGGGTCATGAGTAAAATAAAATAATATGTGATGGAGACAGGAGAGACTTGGGATAAAGGGGTATGTAGATGTGTTTCCGGGGTTGCAGGAAGTTTATCTGAGGAAGAGCTGGGTGGCATCTGGCTGGCCATCAGCTAGACGTGAGTCAAGGATGTGCTGCAACTGTTAAAAAGTAACTGCAAGCCTGGGTCACATTAATAGAGGCAGAGTGGTGAGCAAAATCAAGGGCAGTGACAATCCTACTGCCTCTGTGGTGGTCACACTGCTTCTAGACCACCTTCTGCAGTTGCAAATGCTATACTTTTTTTTTGAGACGCAGTCTCGCTCAGTTGCCCAGGAAGGAGTACAGTGGCACGATCTCGGCTCACTGCAAGCTCCACCTCTGCAGTTCAAGTGATTCTCCTGCCTCAGCCTCCTGAGTAGCTGGGACTACAGGCGCGTGCCACCATGTCCAGCTCATTTTTTGTATTTTTAGTAGAGACAGGGTTTCACCATGTTGGCCAGGATGGTCTCGAACTCCAGACCTTGTGATCCTCCCCACCTCGGCCTCCCAAAGTGCTGGGATTACAGGCGTGAGCCACTGCGCCTGGCTTTTTTTTTTTTTTTTTTTTTTGAGACGGAGTTTCACTCTTGTTGCCCAGGCTGGAGTGCAATGGCGCGATCTCTGGCTCATGGCAACCTCTGCCTTCTGGGTTCAAGTGATTCTCCTGCCTCAGTCTCCCAAGTAGCTGGGATTACAGGCATGCGCTGCCAAATGCTACCCTTTAAGAAAGTCATTGAGCAGATCCAGAAGAGGAGTCTAGAAACCACATCTTATGAGGCAAGGTCGAGAGATTTAGGGAAGCTTAGTTTGCAGAAGGAGCCACCAGGCAGTCATCTTTAAAATATCTGATGATTCAAGGTGCTTAGAGGAGAACGAGTCCATTCTGTGTTACCCTAGGAGTTCAAATCTGAACAACTGAGAAGACAGCATAGTGTAATTCAAAACAGGAGAGACATTTCTAATAGAATTCCAGCAGACATGGAATAGGCTTTTTGAAGAAGTATTCAAATAGGGATTGGGTAAACAGCTGTTTAAAAGATGTCCTTAAAGATACTTCTTTGGGAATAGAGTAGAACTGTCTTTCTTTGAGTGTAAGATTTTCTCATCTTGGAATGCCAAATCATCTTTAAAATATTTGAGCCACAAGCAACAATAATGCCAAGTACTTTGGATCCTTCCTTCCTCCTAAGAGTTTTTGCTTCTTTGGAAGAGTGGTCTCTTGAAGATAAAAGGAACTGATCCATCTTAAATTTTTTTTTTAATTTTCATGATTTTAGGTTTGAATGCATGATTCATCTTTAGTCATGGGCTTCTCTTGTCATTGGGGCAGAGGCTGTCTTGCTGGGAGGCCTAAGCCTGAGCAGGAAGATGTGGACCTTCTGCCTCCCTGCCCTCAGTAACAGTGAGATGCTGGAGGGTGGGAATCCCTCAAGGCATGCTGTGTAGTTAGAAGAAGTGACCTCCACTCACAAGGATTTCTGAGACCCAACATATGGGGATCAGGAACCATGTCAAGGCTAGTTCAGCATGTAACTAGAAACAATGGCACGATGCTTCTGCTCATCTTCCCTGCATTTGTGTGTATGTGTGTATCTGCATGTGTGTAAGTAAAGCTCTCAACTTGCCACCTTACAGTATCAGGTGACCCATACCTTAAGGCTTGGGTCAAAGGCTCAGTTGTATCTAGGAAGTTGTATCTAGGAGCTCTGCAGAACTTTCTCATAAGGCATAAGGCCTCTCCCTTTCTCGGAATGTGGATTTATCACAGGCACACAGGTGTTTCACCTTCTGTTCTAATGCCCTTTTAAGGCTATGTCTGCACAAAAAGACTTTACTGAACTCTACAGTGTATACAGCCACTTTAACTACTCAGTGTAATCATTTTATGATTAGGATTTGATAGTGTATTAATTGTGTCTCTACCTATATTTGGAATAGAAACTAAATCAAAACCCATTAAGATTAAGGCTTAAGGCAGTGATAAACTTGAATCCCATACCAGTATGTTTTTCATCTATTTGCTTTGTGAAGAAAACGTGTGTTTTTCAAAGGCCAGTGGAGAACATGGGATATAAGTTCAGTGAAACACCCATACCTGAGCCACAGACAACAAAAACAAACAGTGCCAACAGCCATGGTCCCACAGGATATTTCTCCTCTTGCGGCCTCTAAAAGGGAATGGGAAAAAGTAAGATTAGGTTCATTGACTCAATAAACAATTATTTGAGTATCACTAGGCATTGTGCTAGGTGCTGGGGATTCTACTGCGAATGAGACAGACTTGGTTTCAATCCCTCAGTGGACAGATATAGATGAATGAAGTCCATTAAAAGGATTGAGACAGGTTTGTAAAAATTCATCCATAACCTTATTAACATCCCTGTAACTCAGTGAACTTGGTGGTCTTAAATATTCTGGGGACAGATATGGTATGAATACATAAACCAATATGGCGATTTAGGAACCAAAATGATATTAATAATAACTTTCCATCTGCTGAGTAATGCTCTGTGCCAGGCACTACACTAGGCAGTCTGCATTCATTATTTCTGGCAAGTATTATTATTTCCATTTTGGAGTTGAGAAACTGAGGCTCAAAGTTTGTTAACTTGAGCAAGAGCTGGGATTCAAATTTAGGTCTGCCTCATTATAAAGCCTGAGTATTTTCCATTAACAGATTCAATATTTAGTTTTTGCATCTGTGAATTCCAAGCAGGATCAGAGAGCACAGACATTTTCTGAAAACCTTTTACATAACCCCAAATTAGGAAGTCAGTACAGTGGAAATCCTTGCAACAACAGAAGCACCACAGCAATTGTGAATGGTTATGAGTGAAGCAGCATTTTGTAATAAAGCTCCTAAGCCTTAATAAAGCTTGCACTTGGGAGAAGTCTCTGAATTCTCTGGGAAGCAGAAGGGGACTGTCAAAACTGCATGAATGAAGCCCTACAGACCTCCTGCTTTTTCAAACCAAAAGCACAGACATAATAAGATCTTCCCTCCACAACACCTCCAGGTCTATGTGCAGGTAGGGCTTGGTCCTTAAACCCAAATCAGTCAGAACAACAAATATTTTCTGAGAGATGCATCAGAAAAGAAGTGAATTTCTCAAATAGAATGGGAGAGTGAAAAAAAAAACAACAACAAAGAACTCACTAATTATTTTCTGATTAGCTTGAAAAATAGGCTGCATTCAACACACGTTAAAGAATTCACATGCAAAACACACAAAGAAAAACGTGTTGGTAGAGTGGAATGTTCACAAGTATTGATTTGTGGTTGATCTCATAAAACCCAATTCCAGATTTCAATTAAATGTTGTTGACATTTAAACATTGTATTCAACATTGTAAAATATGGGCTAAAAGGTATGTTCATATCCATACAAATACCACAGCTTGACATTCAGACTGAAGGTATGTAATAGTGTTTCAAAAAAAACGAGTGGTGCTATCATCAAGGATGTAAGTTTTTGAAATGTTGAACAAGTTTTAGTAATGTTTCTAACAAAAACTTCTTTAAAAAAGGATAATCTTCCTTTGATTTTCACTGTAGTTGCTTTCCTAGAAAATTTATCATATATTAAAACTGTAAAATCTATGATGTGTTGTATTTATATGTAAAATTAAGTTCTAGGCTAATGTAAATGTAAACTGGCTTCTCATCTAAAAAAGGAATTTATTTTATCATAGATAAGGCAACAGTTCTTTAGTTTTCAGCTTACCAAAGAGCCCTTCTCTTTTACCTCACTTGGGTCCACTCGTCACTTGTATGGCCACATACTTTTTCTTGATAGCATGTGTCACAGTTTGTAGGTCTATATTTATTCTTGTGATAATTAATGTGTTTAATATCTGTCTCTCTATGAGACTACAGACCCCACAAGGGCAGGGACTATGTCTTGTTCATGTAGTAATATATAGAAATGCCTGCCACAGAACTTAAACATAGGAGATAATAAACGTTCATCAAAGAACAAATAAACATACAAGTTTCATTAAATAAGATTTCTTAGGTTAGGCAGAGTAAACACAGGTTCTAGGAAGGATATTGTCTTTTTAGTAATAATTCCTAATTGGTGTAGGATTATCCCTGTATCTCTCCTACATGAGAAATATGGATTAAAGTGTCAACGGCAGGTAGACTTTGACTAAGGATTAAGACATTCACTTCTCTGTCCTTGACTAAGCCTGTATCTACCACCACTTACATGCCGGCAAGTCACACTGCAAAGGAATCGGTGGCTGCTCTTAATCAGACGAGGACAAGATCAGTCTTAAATAATTGCATAAGATAACTGTGCCATTTTTTGGCCCTTAAGGCCAGGCCAAGTTCAGATCCGGTAAACAACATTCATAAAGCTACCTGAACAAAGTGTGACATTCGCCCTTCCCACCCTCTTCCACCACCTTCCCAGGAACTTGTCACAGTTGCCCAGAAACCAGTTCTGTTGCTGTTGTGCCACTGATGCTATATAAAAAAATTCATTTTATCTCTATTTCCAGCAAAGCTAATAAGTGAATTCAGAAGCCTGTAATGAATTACTTGCCCAGGACAGATACCAAATAGAGTCCTTTATTTTTCATATGCAGAAAAAACAGATGATCAGCATGTAGAGCTTGGACCATATAACACAAAAACCTTTTGGATGACATTCTCCATGGAATCAACATGATTTGGGGACTTTGGCTGATCATAGTACCCATATATCTTTTTTTTGACAGCTTTGGGTGACTACTTTTTAGAAGGGGTGCCCAGCACAATCCCATTGGGACAATTCACATAAACCTTACTCTATGGCTGGAAAAGGTGGGGAAAACTAGTAGTGATTCTGCAAATGACATGGTTTACTCCAAACATGAGTTTGCTACTTCTTGAGGCTCCAAAAATGTCAGGGAATGGCTTTCCCTGTGATTAAGATACCCGTAGGGTAACTCAGAACTCTGAAATTTAAATTCCCCCTTCATTCTGGAGAAGTTACTACTGTATAATCACAAAATGATTATTCCATTTCTCTGTTTCCTTTTTTTTTTTAGACGGAGTCTTGCTCTGTCACCCAGACTGGAGTGCGGTGGCGTGATCTCGGCTGACTGCAACCTCTGCCTCCCGGGTTCAAGCCATTCTCATGCCTCAGCCTCCTGAGTAGCTGGGATTACAGGCGCCCACCACCATGCCTGGCTAATTTTTGTATTTTTAGTAGATACGGGGTTGTGCCATGTTGGCCAGGCTGGTTTCGAACTCCTGACCTCAGGTGATCCATCCGCCTTGGCCTCCGAAAGTGCTGAGATTACAGAAAGTGCTGAGCCACCACGCCCGGCCTTGTTTCTTGGATTAGTCTGCTATCTGGGAGAATAATATTAATTTATCCGTAAGCTATTAGCTAATAATAAAATACTGAAGCATCTGCATACAATTAAAGAAGTTTATTTCTGAACAATTAGTCTGAATTTTCAGTTGGAATCTATACTTGTTCCCATTTAATGAATTTCATCCTGAATAGTGATCTTTTGCAAGTTACTTTTAACAAAGTATAATCATATTTGACTTGTAATTGAGAACATGAGATTTAGGATTTATCAAGTTTCTCTTTGAAAGAAAATTTCATTTTTCTATTGGATAGTAATCTATTTACAATAACATTAACCAAAATCCCCCCAACCAATGCAAAGCAAACATTGATTGTGGCTTGGTCTGGAAACCTTTCATTACAAATTTAGCTGGGCCATTTAAAAACTCTTATAGGTGCAAGGCACTATGAGAGTTTCTTGGGGGCCACCCCATGACATATCAGAGCATATTAAAATGAACTCATACTGTACATTAAATATAATTTAAATGTAGCTCTGAACATTGAGTTGAATGGCAGGTGACTGGTACCTTTTCTAGGTATTTAAACAATGTTTTCCCAATTTTTCCATTTTCTTCTTTTATTTTGGAGCTAATAATTTTTGTTTTGGGTCCCAAACATTTTCTAGTTTTCTTGAAGAACTTGAGGTGGCAGACACTGAGTCTACAGAACCTAATAGATACAACAGCCTTAGAAATTAGTTCTTGTTTTCTTCTTACTTTTGTAATCAGATAAGCTGTCAACTGAGATCTGACAACTGAACTCCGGTTTTTTAGTTCATGAAAAAGAGCCACATGACTAGTTATTTTTCACTGTGTCAGTTAGCAGGTCTGATCCCTTGAGAAGGAAGAATTGATCTCTTAGGGATATAAAACCCTGCATGCCTTAACATCAATTATAAGTTGCTTCTCAATGTCAACCCGGGCAGCCATTTTTTTTTCCTCAGTAAAAATAGGGAAAACATAAATCAATGTGACAAAATGGTTCCAATTTGATGGCATCTTGGCATTTTGCTGCCTAATCACAACTGAGTGATATAATTCCTAAATGAGAGAATTTTAAGGATTACTTAGGTCTTGTGTATAAAGCTCTGAGTAGAGTTGAGTTATGCTTAGACTTGTGTATAAAGCTCTGAGTAGAGTTGAGTTTGGTCCTAGAGTTTCTCTGCCGTAATACTGCTTGGTTTTGCAAGAATTCTGGTGTGATGATTACAGATCTAGCTTTTTGCTTAGTTAATCAAACCAATATAGTTTCTTTGGCTAAAAGGAATTGATTCATCAAATCTGCAAGCTTTCCCAGCCAAACTCCAGGCTTCAGCTGGATTTCCACTTAACTGTACGGGGTAACAGATCCCAGGCGCCTTTGCTCATATACTTGGAGACCAACTTCGCCAAACTACCCATGCGACTCATGCCTCTGAATGTCCAAAGTCACAGGCCTCGCATTTTCTGTTGATGATAATCTGCTTTGCTAAAAGAAACTCCTGAGTGTAAGGCACAGGTTTTACTTAAAAGTCCAGTTGCAAAGCTTGAATTTACAGTTCTAGGGACACCGAATGCCTGACAATAAACTGGTCTCTAAAGTTATACCATGAGAATGAGTCTGAATTCACCAAGTGGAAAGAATAGGAATGCTGCCCTTAGACTTTAGCCTAGGGGCTGAGGGAGGTCTCGCTGGAAGAGAGGTAAAAGAGAAAAAAGAGGCTGGAGGGAATGTGGGTCCAAATCTCACTCCCCATTTTGAGCTCTTTCCACACCTCCAGTGAAACCGTCACAAAGGGGCTGGAAAGAAAACTTGATCCTGGTGCAAGTCTGTTGGGGAGGGAAGACAGGTGGAGTCCGGGAGGAGATGACAAGTGGCCTCCATTTAGCCATTGATTCATTCATTCATTCAACAAACGTTCTAGAACATACTAGGTTCCAGGCTCTGTGTCATGCAACGTTCTAGAACATACTAGGTTCCAGGCTCTGTGTCATGCAGTTGACTTAACTGGCCCCTAAGGATGAGGCTTTCCGTCTTTCTCCGGGACAAGGCCCAGCTGTCTCCCGGGCAGGGGGACAGGGGGTGCGGGTCGGGGAGGAGGGCTCCTCTGCGCCTCCCTGGTAGCCCAGGTAGCCACTCCCAGAGGGGCCACGACCAACCAGGGCCCTCTCCGCCCACGAGGACGCCAAGCAGACCGCGCCGCCCTGAACCCAGCTCTCAGCCCCCACTCTGCAGGACCCCGCAGAAGGGGCGGGCCGGGAGCCGGGAGGCCGGACCCTGCGCCGCTACCCGCCCGGCCCCGCCCCCACCTTCCGCCCCACCCCGCCGGGCTGCAGGGCTCTGCCTGGCCGGCGCCGACCCCGCCTTACCAGGGTTTTGGCTACGTTCCCCCTCTGGGTGATGTTTTTGCTGTGCTTCTCGTTAGCCATCCGGATCCGCTGTTTGGCCACCATGGCTTGTGCGCTCTGAAATGCTCCCACCTGCAAGGATTCCCCCTGCGTTAGCTCCTGCGACAGGGCCGAGCGCGTCCCGCCGAGGCCCCCGCGGCCCACCCGGGCGCTGCAGGTGGCAAGGCGTGGCCCCGAGCCCTGCGCACCCCGCTCCCCGAGCCCCGGCTAGCCGACTCCAGAGAGAGGCCGCAGCCCGGACGGAAGTAATCTCTCATCTCAGGAAACCCTTTCCGACTTCCTCGCCATCCTTCCGGTCCCCGCAGCCACCTACCCCGCGCGGCCACCGAGGCAGGCGCGACCGCACGTCCTCCCGCGCCGAGCGGCCGGAGCGCAGCGCGCAGAGCCGGGGCCCTGCAGTGTCGCGGTCCTGTAGCCGAATGCTGCGGGGCCGAAGGTTCGGGCGACCACGGCGTTTGTGAGCGCGTCGGGGACGGGGACGCGGCCCCTCCTGTGTTTGTCGGCCGGTGACCCACCCCAGCCCCGGGGAAGGGATGAGGGCGGCCGCGCTTCAGGCCGGGCCGCGCGGTCTCCCCTGCACCGCCGCCCCCTGGACGAGGGCTGGACCCAAGGCGGTGGTCAGGGACCTCAGAACACAAGTAGAACCAGTCCAGGCCCGGGCCCGCGCTGCCCGGGTATGGTCCACCAAACGAGCCTTCTCTTTAAGGGTCTCGAGAAGGGCCCCACGCTGGGGGACCCCACTGCAGAACTTTTCGTGAGGGCTGCAAGGAGGGCCGCGTTGTAAAATAAAGAGGAGACACGAAGCGGCATCCCCTGAGGGTTGGGGATCGGGCCGTGAGGATGGAGTTGGGACAGGCCTTTTTGCTTTGGTAGTTGTAGGGGTTGCATTGGAAGATGGGCCAGCGGCAGAGCGGAGCATGCAGGAAAGAGGAAGAGGCCTTGGACCTGCAGCCCAGGTCGGATTTGGTGGTTACTGTCTAAATCTGAAGCTTTGGCCTGCCTTGACTCCCCACCCACCCAGGGCAGCTTGGACCTCTCTCTAGCCACCCTTGTCCCGAGGGGTCTGAGTGTCTCCCAGACTAAACTGGGCATTTTCTGCAGTGGAAGGATAAAAATGGAAGCGTTTACGCGCCTCCCAGACACTGGTATTAGGGCTCAAGAGCTCTACAGATTGCCTGGGGAGGTAGGGGTGGAAGGGGTTCAGTTCCTCACTTGGAGTTAGCTCTTAGAAGCTCAGAAGAGTGGAGGCGAAGAGGGGACATTCAGCCTGGGAGATCTGGGGCAGCGGGAAGTGGGGATACCGGGTCGGGGTGAAGGCAAGCAGCAGCACCCCCAGCATGGGGAAGAAGGCCTGAGGCTGTCTCTGGCCACTGCATCTCTAGGCCTTCTCTTGGAGCGGGAGGTGGCTGGGTTTCCAGGGAATTTTGTGTGAGTAAAATTTTCCCATGTCATTGGAGAGTTAGGAAGAGCTCCTCTTTTGGGGCCTTTTTCCAAGCGGGTCCCCCTCACCCCGCTACAGGCTTCTTGTCACTCAGGCTTCAATAAAGGCCATTCTGGGGGCTGCTTGCTGTAACCTAGAAGACAGAATTGCCTAGGATCATTAGTAGAGTCATTTTTTTTTTTTCCTACTCTACAGGCCAATTAATTTGAAACAAGCTTCTATGGTCTTTTAACTGTTAGCATCACCACTGTTGTAACAGGACCATAAACCCAGTCTGCCCCACTCTAGTCCCATGTTTTTAATAACTGTTGGCTCTTTTTTAGGGGTTTGGGTGGGGGGATTCCTACCTCAGTGATCCCTGCTGAGCCTGGCTGTTGTCTGTGGTCCAGAAGGTTCCTTTACCTGACTCACTCCTCTCAGATCATGTCCAAATACCAGGAGACTGACCCAGGTCCTCACCAGGTGAGTAGAGGTCTGGCTCTGAGCGACATTAAGGAAAAGACACAGACAGAGACTGTTTTCTCTTTGGGTCTTCACATTCAGTGAGTACAGTTCAGAAGTGTTCTTAACTGAGAGAAGCCCCTTTTGGGGAAAATTTTTCTTTACTGTTGACTCCTTTTTCCTGCTATGCTTCACTTTTCCGGCATTTTAAATTAGTTTGTTTTAATTATGAGTAGACTACATCTACACAGTAAATAGTCAAACAGAAATAGGATAGAAAATGAAAAGTAAAGGTCTCTCTTTCCTTGCCACCCTCCCCAAAAAGTTCCCACGGTTCCTGGGTTGCCCTTCCAGTATATACAAGACTATTTGTATATTCCCTTCTAAAAAAAAACGGAATAGTAGTATGCAAACTGTTCTGCCACGTGCTCTTCTAACTTAATATATCAACATTATCATATCACTTATATATGACCTCTTTCTTGTAGTTGTGTTATGTCTCATAGTATGATTATACAGTAATATATTGAACTGATGTAACCATGGATGATTATTTCCAGTTTTTCTTTTTTTGTGGTTGCCAACAATGCTTCAGTGAATATCCCTGTACATAGATCAGTGTGTACTTGTGCAGGTATATCTGCGTGTGATATTGTGAAATATATATTTGATTGTAGTCCCTGTTTCCTGACCTAAAACTCTTAAATTCCTTGGACTCTCCAGAGTGATGAAAATATCTTACCTTTTGTATGCTAATGAGATGGTTGGTGACTTGGAGACCCTAGATAGCTTCAGGATGGGGACTGGTCACCAGAAAGATCAAGGCAGGATTAGAGGGTTGGGACTTTTAGTCCCACCCTGTCCCCCCAGACCTCCACAGAGAGGAGAGGGGCTGAAAGTTAAGTTGATCACCAGTGACCAATGATGTAATCAATCAGACATATGCAATGAAGCCTGTATAAAAGCCCAAAGGATAGGGTTTGTTGAGTTCTGGAGAGCAGAACATCAGGTTCCTAGAGGGTGGCGTGCTCAGAGAGGATATGGAAGCGCCACAGCCCTTCCCACATTTCTTGCCCTGTGCATCTCTTCCATCTCACTGTTCATCTATATGCTTTGTAATATCCTTCCTCATAAATGAGCAAACAGAAGTAAAGTGTTTCACTGAGTTCTGTGATCCACTCTAGCAGATTAGTCCAAACAAGGAGTGGGTTGGGGGAACTCCAGTTTATAGCTGGGCAGGCAGAGGTACAGGAGACAACCTACTACCTGGGATTGGCATCTGAAATGGGGGGCGGTCTCATAGGATCAAACCCTGAGCCCCTGCTATTTCCAGGTACATAGTGCCAGAATTGAATTGAATTAAAGGACACCCAGCCGGTGTCTGTTGCAGAATTGCTTGGTATGAGGGGAAACATCCCCCACACATCTAGTGTTAAAAGTGTGCTGGCTGTGTGAGAGTGGGAGACAACACTTTGGTTTCTCCTATATCACAACACTGGAATTAGATTCCTGGAAGTGAAATTGCTGCAACTTTTTATGTCCTTGGTTGGATGAAGAAACCTCGTGCTGTGACCTCCACTTTACCTGCTCACACCCCTGCTTTTGTCCTCTGCAGTCAGGCCAGCTCCTCTGCAGGTCTCAGTCCTGTTTATTGCCTTGAGGATCACCATCATGGACCAAGCAGTTTCCCAGCATGGATCCTGGCCCTTCTTATACTCAGCCTCCAGACCCTTATGTGGGGAGCTGGGGCTAAAGTCTATAAGCTGTGTTCCTGGAGTTCCAGAGTCACTACTAGACTACGAAGGAGCAAAGCATGGAGTCGTCTTGCTCTTTCGAGGACTTAGGAGGGGAAAATGGAAACTTGATTAAGGAGAACTTCTCCTGGGTTCATCTATGGTGGCAGCATGGAGTTTTGTAATATACCACTAGCATGCAGTGCTCAACCACAACTTTTAAAATTGTTATGGGCAAAGTGCCAGGAAACTGCTAACTGGTTAAAATTTAATTTTGGCTGGTAAAATTTTCAGCCTTTATTTTTATTTTTGAGACAGAGTCTCACTCTGTCGCCCAGGTAGGGGTGCAGTGGCGCAATCTTGGCTCACTGCAACCTCTGCCTCCCGGGTTCAAGTGATCCTCCTGCCTTAGCCTCCTGAGTAGCTGGGATTACAGGCATGCACCACCACGCCTGGCTTTTTATATTTTTAGCAGAGACGGGGTTTCACCATATTGGCCAGGGTGGTCTTGAATTCCTGTCCTCAAGTGATCTGCCCACCTCAGCCTCCCAAAATGCAGGGATTACAGGTGTGAGCCACCATGCCCAGCCAATTTTCAGCCTTTAGAGCAAGAAATCCTAACAAGCCTATGCCCATTAATCATAAATCTGCCCCACTTAGGGCACTGGATGTGTGGCTGTACAGACTGAGTTTTACCCATCTTTATAAATGATGCTACACTACTAAACTGTGATGCATTGGACATCTCTCATTTTTCTGTGGCTGACCAGCATGCAAACATTCTTTATATTTGGGGCACTCCATCACTGTGAGAGTCTTAGGACCTTCTTTCCCACCGTGGAGCATAAGGGGGCCACATACTTGGTCTCCCAACCCCTCACAGCTAGGGTGGCGTGTGATCTGGCCAATGAGATTCTCCTTTTGGGAACTGTGAATCTTGATCAAGTGGTGCAAAGACAGAGACACGTTAAAATTCATCTTGGTGGTCGAGTTTCTAGAGACTGGTAGTACCTAGCAATCATGGTGGAACCAGTGACAGTATCCTTTTTATTCCGTGGTACCTGAAATCCTTACAATAAATTCTTCCGCTTCAATCAGCCAGAGTGAGTTTGTCTTATTTACAACCAAGAACCCTGACTCATGTACATGAAAACAAACAAAAAACCAGAATGTCTTCCTTTGTCATTTCCCCTTCCAGATCTGGAGTGACTGTCATGTCACTTGAAGCTTTCACACATTGTTAGCTAGTGGTCTCTCTTCACCTTATCTCACTAAGGGGAACTGAGTATAGAGGCCTTGACGACAGGTGCTGTGGGTGGCTGGTCTCAATTATGGATGGGAGTGGTTGACAGGCACACCCTGTGTAAATAAAACCAGCAGATAACCGACACTTCAAATGAATACTTTCTTCTTTTTCCAAACCATTTTCAGTACGGCTAGAAAAGAGGAAAATTTGGCAAATCTCAGGTCATCTCCTTTTATACATGTTACTTACATTCTGGTGGAAATGTTCATGAAGTTGTCTCAATAGTGGGCAGAGAAAATCAAGAAAGCTGATAGCAAATGTTATCTGCCACATGCATTGGAGTCAACTCAATGCACTAGATTATGATTTTATGGAATCATGTTATGTTGTAACTGGAAGGAAACCCAGACAGTCATTTATTCATTCGTTTAGTGTTTATTGAGTGTCTGCTATATACCAGACACTATTTTAGACACTGAGAATTCAATGGTTGCTAGAAGAATGTCTGCTTTAGAGAGCTCTAAGTTTTGTGGAGAGGACAAGTAAATGTCGTGAGATTGTCCAAATTTCACAAATGAGTAAAAGCCTCAGAATTGCAAAGGGAATTGTAGCAGACCTGAAAGCAGAATTGTGGCCTCCTGACTTCTCATTTTTCCCAAAAGTAGCTTTACTAGCTAAACTTGAATGGGAGCCAGGGTAACAGGGCACCCTCATGGCTGAGCTTTGGAGCAGCTTATACATGCACGGAAAATAAATCTCCTCTCTCTCTGTCTCTTTCTCTTTCTCCCTCACCCCGCCCCGCCACCCCCCCTCAACCCCCCACGCTGCAGAACAAAGATAAACTATTTCAGACCTCAAAGGCTTGAACTTTGGTCCACAAGTGGTGGCACAAGACAGACTTTATCCATTATGATAGCTATGTAATTCCTTGACCCTGGAGGTGATCAGATTAAGCTTTAAAATGCAAGATGTGATCAACCATCTTAAGTCTGTAATTGCCTGGCCACATCTGTTATTAATAGCAGTAAAACCGTCATATCCCGAAGGAAAAAAAAACACACCCTGCTACAGTACTTTCCCTAATGACCTCCCATGGCAATTCACTCACAACTGAAGAAAGGAGAGATGCTTCCACATGTTTGAGCCCAAGCTGTAGCCATGTGTCTGCTATAATTTCATCAGTTATTTCAGGATAAAGCCACTTTGTTTCTGTTCAATCAGGTGCATGTTTTTAATAGCTGGAAGAGTTTCCTGGTAGGGCAGGAATAACATCGGTAATCATATCTAGCATTTCCTAAACACCTACTGAGGGCCAGACACTTCACCTGCACTTTCTCACTCCTTACCACAGCCTTATAAATGTACATGCATCCTGAAAACAGACACATCTTCCTGACTCTTCCACTTGTTAGTTTGATGATACAGGTTTTCTTCCTGTCCAGGTGTGGTGGCTCACCTGTAACCCCAGTGATTTGGGAGGCTGAAGCAGGAGGATCTTTGAGGCCAGAGTTCGAGAGCAGCCTGCACAATATAATGAGACCCTGTCTGTACACAAAAAATTAGCCAGGCATGGTGGTACATGCCTCTAGTCCCAGCTACTTGGGAAGAGGGGGGTGGGAGGGAGGCTGAGGTGAGAGGATCACTTGAATCTAGGAGTTTCAAGCTGCAGCGAGCTATGATTGCACCATTGCACTCCAGCCTGGGTAATACAGCAAGACTTTCTCTCCAAAGATAAAAATAAAAAGTCTCTTTTCTCATCTATAAAATGGGGATGATAGCAAAACTAATCAGGGTTGTTTTGAGATTGGATAAAATAATCCATATTAAAAGCACTAAGCACACAGCCTGGACCCATGCTAGTTACTTAATAAATATCAGCGACCACTATTAGGGTCATTTCCATTTTACCATTGAGAAAACAGGTTTACAGAAGTTACAGAGCTTGCCCAAGGAAGGTCCAAACAAATGAGCCATAGTCCCTGCCCTCAAGTAGTTTGGAGTCCATTTGAGGCACTCAAACATACTGGGTGTTGTAGGCACAGATGAGCACCAGGAGCCACTGAAGTGGCAGACAGGACATGGGGACAAAGGTTTTCAGGTCATTTTTATCTTGTTAATTATTCTAAAATTCTGGGGAAAAAAAAAATTCAAGCATTACCATACCAAAGGAATATAGAGAAAAGTAGATTCTCGTTATCCCTGACACTAAATTCAAAGCAACCTCTGTTACTACTTCTGCAGGTGTCTATGTATATTCAAGCATGCATGCATAATGTATTTGTGATGTATGTGCATATATTATATGCTCGTTTGTGTATCATATATTTTTAAAAACTTTTATTTTTTAAAAGCTCATTTGTGTATATTTTAAAAAATTCTTTTAATCCCTTTAAGAATCTCAATGGTATCATGTTATTCATTATAACCTGCACCATATTTTTGCTTTTTTTTCAATTAATAATAGTTCAGAAAGATTGATCCAGGGCGGGCACGGTGGCTCATGCCTGTAATCCCAGCACTTTGAGAGGCCAAGGCAGACAGTTCATGAGGTCAGGAGTTCGAGACCAGCCTGTCCAACATGGTGAAACCCCATCTCTACTAAAAATACAAAAATTAGCCGGGTGTGGTGGAGAGCGCCTGTAGTCCCAGCTACTCAGGAGGCTGAGGCAGGGGAATTGCTTGAACCTGGGAGGTGGAGGTTGCAGTAAGCCGAGATTGCGCCACTGCACTCCAGCCTGGGCTACAGAGCAAGACTCCGTCTCGGAAAAAACAAAAAAGATGATCCATATCATTACATTTATATCTATTTCATTCTTTAAAAATGACCACATGGTGTTGCATTGTGTGATGATACTGTAATTGATTCAACCAGTTCCCTATGGATGAATATTTGGATTGTTGTAGTTTTTTGCTGCTATAAATTGACAGATAGCCTTGTATATGTGTTTTTGCAAACACACATGTGTATGGAAAGTCCTACTGGAGGACTTCTTAGAAGTGTAATTCACTGGGTCAAAAGTTATGTGCATAGAAGTGACGGACGTTGCCAGTTTATCCTCACTTTCTCCAGTTGAGAGGTTTATCACTTTATATTCCCTCCATAATGTATATGAGTATGTTCAGGCTAGTTTTTTTTTTATAGTTATGTGACATTGGACAAGCAATTCTGGGTAAGTAGCATTACTTCTTTCTGTTTATAGACTTTACTAGTTTGATTGAGTGCTACGTTTATGAGGCCAAGGTCATGAATTTGTGTACTAAGTAGTCAATTCATTTGCCATATCCTTAATCAAGGTCACTTCTTTCCACAGTCTGTGAGTCACAATAGGAACCAGAGGAGAAAATGGACAGATAGGCATTGCACTGGTAGCTTCTTCCTAGACCATGTGTGTTCATCATGGTATCCCCAGAGGTTAGCATCATGACGTAAAGACTGAAAGGATTAGGGGGATTCAGGTATTGATTACACTAAATAGCTATTCAGTGGTTTATATAATTTGCATTTCATTCATTTAGAGAACATGGCAACTTGTGTTAGATACACAAAGCAGGTTCATACTCCAAGCTGTGACATAGCCATCTAAAATAGATAATTTAAGCCCTCATTTAAATGACTATGTTATTTTCCTTTGATCGAAATGAAAAGTTAGATTACCATTTTAAATACACGAACATACATGTTTAATATACTCCATTAACTTATTCCTCATCATAGTTTTTTTTTGATCTCTGTCACATCAAATTTAAAGAAAAGTCCACACCTTTGCAATAACTTCATCACCAGGTTACTCAGAAGAAGCTATGCAGATGCTCGGAGTGCCACCAGCCTTTCTGAACATCAGCACGTTAAACCTAGGATCTCTGCTTCTAAAAATTCTGGAAACCTGTCACATCCAATATACTTTAAGAGGGTTTTGTAAAGAGCTTATTGTCAGTGATGTATGTGGATTAGTAAACCATCTGCGGAAAGCCCAGATGTTTTCAGGGACCTGTTTGCACCAAGACCACAGCAACTTATTAATCACACAACATTCCTGGGTAATTATGTAGGTGGTGAGCACTGAGCCACTCTGGTTTCTCCAGCTTCATCTTGGTGGAACTGCTTACTAGTCAAGGATTTCCTTAAGGTTGATCAATATCACAATGAAACCTGAGCCAAGATTAGGAAATAGGTGAGGGGCAGGAAGAGGAAGCTCTGAAGGTATCTCTACCTGGTGCACATTAGAAAGAAGCATTGCAGGCCTCATGTCATCTGGAAATACAAGCCTGGGGCCAGAGCCATGGTCCCTCTCCCGCAACAGACATGCACACCCAGTTTGTCTGGGAGCAAAAATCAGGAAAAGAGTCAATCTGCAGGAAGAAAGGAAGTGATTCAGAGCAGTGGGCAATTGTCAACACCAAACCAGTTCCCAGGAATTCCTCTAAGCATGATATTGGGTGTGTGGTTTAAGCTGCCCTTTGACTCCAGAGCCCTTTGTCCAAGTGTGACAAAATATCAGCAAAGGGTGACATGAGCTACAGCCGCCACCCTCGGGTCAGGCGTTGGGGGAATAGTGTGAATTCTTTCTGACAGGGAGAGAATCCTATTGTCTACTTTTCAAGGCATTTCACAGGGCTTAATTAGTCAATCCCCACACCACTACTACTGGGAGAGAGAGGTCGGTGTTACTATTATTCCAAGTTTACAGCTGAGAAACTAGCACAGATGGTGACCGCTACAGAGTATCTATATAGGAGGACCTTAGGGACAACAATCTGCTAAGAAGTGGGGCAGGGTGGACAGTGGCTGGAATATGTCTTGAAGTTGTGTTTGCAGAGCATTTTTTTTTTAAATAAAATTAAGAAAACCTCAACTATGCCCAGTCCCTTCCTGTCACTGCCGTATTGGCACCACGATTGCCTGAGGGCCGTACCAGTGTTAGCATTGGGTGAGGGTGAGAGTTGTCTGGCCTCTCTGCTCTTTGTTTGGCAGTGTATGACCCCACCTCCTTCATAGACTCACGGCATCTCGGTGTTGACAAGGACCTTGGACACTAACCAGTCCAATTCTCCATTAAAGGCGACACAAAGGAACCATCAGAAGATAGAAACACAAATCATGGCAGTTGCTTGGTAACTGAGAGTGATGATTTCCATATGCAAAAACTGTACTCAATGAACTTGAGAAGTGTGAGCGCGTGTGTGTGTGTTGTGTGTGTGTGTGTGTATGTAAGGAAGGGGGACTCATTTTCTGCTGCTTTCTCGATCATTTTGATAATATGTAGGACACAAAAAGTTAAAATAAAATGTCTTCATTTTAACACAGTTAATTATAATCCTCCAGTAAAAATCGTACACAGAGTTTGGCAGTTAAAGGAACAAAGTCTAGAAGGAAAAAAACTGACTGGTTCGGCTGAAGGTATTTTGTTCCTTTTCTCTGAAGTAGCAAAAATGTGTTTCCTTCAGCTTGATGGTGGTTAATGATGTTAGTGTTACTGGTTTAATAACAAATGTTCACAATTTTCCTTGCAAACCTGGTGCTCCAGGAAGCTCCCATTTTTGATTCCCTTTAAACTTTGTTTTGCTTTAGCAATTTGGGGCTCCTTTTGGGCTTTATTCCTTTGTCCTAATTGGTACTCCATGAGTGTGTTCACTTGGTTTGTATTTGCTTGGTCTGCCCTCTCTTTCTCTGGCCATGGTCCCTACTGCACTTTTCACAGTGTTTAACAGAACTTTCAAAGGCCAGGACGCTTAGGCATGTGGCCTTTTGATTGGCAAAGTTGTCCTAGATTAAGAATGGTGTTGCCTGAACGCACATCTAGCATTTTGACCCCATGCAATAAGAAAGAGCTTGATGTTTATATGGATAGCTCTCAAAAGGGAAGACTTGACTTACAATGCATGTAGCTCATTCTGCAGCTCTGTTATAATAATCTGACATGGAAAACAAAGCCTTCATCAATTCCTTCTACATACGGCCAGCCACAGCTGGTTTTTTTTTTTTTTTTTTTTTTTTTTTTAAGTCTCTGGTTGTCTTTGTGCTCGTGCCACTGTGAAGAGCTCATGGAAAGACAAGGTCCATCTGGGTCTTTCTTCACCTTTTGATGGCCAAGAGGGCCAAAGAGCAAGAGCCTGTTTACCTTCCCCAAGGTCCACATTTCCTCTTGCTTCTTCATCCCTCCAGAGATGCTACCATCTGGGCAGCCCATGGGAACATCTCCGTGAGTGGCTGTGTGGCTCTGTGGGCCTCTGGGTTTGGTTTGGGTCAACCCTTTCCGCTCTGCTCCATCAAGAATCGTCATGATTGGTATTACGTCATCCTTTCACAGTTCCTCCTGTTCTCTGGGCACTCTGGGTTTTCCTTTTTCCTTCCCTGCCCAAACCCACAGAGTCTAATCAGTACCCAGCAGAGCTTTATTACACACTTGGCTTTCTCAGTGACAACTTAATAAAAAGGGACCTTAACTCCCCTTCTCGTTTCTTCCCATCCATTTCCTTAACCTCGACTCCACCCCATGTGAACTTGCTGTGATAAATGGTACGGTTTGCTCTCTCCATCTCTGGCCTGTTGAGGTCTGGAAACAATCAACTCGTCTGACACTTATTTCCATAGCTAAACCTGTCTAAATCAAGTTGTGGTCTTCTGTGCTTCGCTGGCTATTTGTTTTCTTAACTCTGAAATGTGTCTCCTCCTCACCATCCCCCTCCATCCTGTGTATTTTGTTTATTCAACGTGGGTGGTTGCCAATATAAAAGGCAGAAAATGATCAGTTAGGACTCTAAAGAGTTCAGGAGGAGGAAGAGGAAGGGGACAGGAGGCCAACGAGAGAGAGACTGGGCCACTTGGAAAACTTCTGGCTGACAAGGGCCAGTCGCTTTGCCTGGGACACATGTCTGCAGAGTTGACTGACTAAATGCTGCCTCATGTCCATAATAACCTGTTTTGTGAAATATAATGCCCTCCCTCCCCTGCCCCACCAATGTCTGCCAATTCTTTTTTTTTTTTTTTTTTTTTTTTTTTTGAGACGGTGTCTCGCTCTGTCTCCCAGGCTGGAGTGCAATGGTGCCATCTTGGCTCACTGCAACCTCTACCTCCCGGGTTCAAGTGATTCTCCTGCCTCAGCCTCCTGAGTAGCTGGGATTACAGGCGTGCGCTACCACACCCAGCTAATTTTTGTATTTTTAGTAGAGACGGAGTTTTACCATGTTGGTCAGGCTGGTCTCGAATTCCTGACCTCGTGATCCACCCGCTTTGGCCTCCCAAAGTGCTGGGATTACAGGCTTGAGCCACCATGCCTGGCCATCTGCCAATTCTTTATTGGTCTTTTTCCTTAGGATTCACTTTTTCTTTTTTCCAGAAGGGATCTTTATTTTATTGTTGCAAATAGCTGAAGTGGTCTACCTTTTTTAAAAAGCTATGGTAAAATATACATAACATAAAATGTAACCATTTTAAAGTATACAATTCAGTGGCATTAAGTACATTCACAGTGCTATGCGACCATCACCACTATTTCCAGAACTTTCTCATTATCCCAAAGGGAAACTCTGTACCCAGTAAACAATATCCCCCTATCCCTTGGTAACCTCTATTCTACTTCTGTCTCTATGAAGTTGCCTGTTCTAGGTACCGAAATGTATTTGGTTGGTGCAAAAGTAATCGCAGTTTTTGCCATTAGTGATTTTTGCCACTAAAAGTAATGGCAAAGGCTGAGCATGGTGGTTCACGCCTATAATCCCAGTACTTTGGGAGGCCGAGGCGGGTGGATCATCTGAGGCCAGGAGTTTGAGACGAGCCTGGCCAAAATGGCAAAATCCCATCTCTACTAAAAATACAAAAGGTTAGCGGGGTGTGGAGGCGAGCACCTGTAATCTCAGCTACTCGGGAGGCTGAGGCAGGAGAATGGCTTGAATTTGGGAGACGGAGACTGCAGTGAGTGAGAGTGAGTGACATCAGGCCATTGTACTCCAGTCCGGGTAACAAGAGTGAAACTCTGTCTCAAAAAAAAAAAAAAAAAAAAAAAAAAGTAATGGCAAAAACCGTGATTACGTTGGCACCAACCTAATACTTTTGAAGACTTGGGTTTCTTAAACTCATAGCAATTGGCTGGAAGCCTCAAGGCACTTCTGTTAGACTGCTGAGTGACCATTCTGGGAACTGAGTTTTTCCCTAAGTAATCCAGGAAACAGCCATGATTCACCTGAATTACTCATACTATGGCTCCTAGCAAACAGTTTGACTTTTTTTCATGTTATGCACAAAGCCATCATTTCTTCCTTCCCTTCTTCATGGGAATTTTCTAAAAGTTTACTAAAAATTTGTCTGTCATAAAAAGGTGTCTTGTTATGGCCCTTAGGAGATGATTTTAGTAACTGGTTTAGAAACAAATTCTCTTCATTCCACTCTTTAAAAGAAATTGTGTGAATATACACAATGTAAAATTTACGATTTTAACCAGTTTTAGGCATACTGTTCTGTGGCATTAAGTATATTCACATTGTTATACAACCATCACCAACATTCATCTCCAGAACTTTCCCATCATCCCAAACTGAACCTCCATACTCAATGAGCACTAACTCCCAATATTCCCCTGCTCCCATCCCTGGCAACCCCTATTCTACTTGGTGTCTCTATGAATTTGCCTATTCTAGGTCCCTTATATAATTCCCTTTAATGAACTCAATGTATACAAATCCCATTCAATAGCAGAAATAAGATTCCACATCCAGGGAAAAGGAACTGGTTAAACTTATTATGGCCTTTACTTCAGGCATATATTTTGACACAGCTGGACTTGCAGGCAGAATTTTAAAACCCCAAGGTTCAGGCTGGGCGTGATGACTCTCGTCTGTAATCCCAGAACTTTGGAAGACCAAGGTGGGAGGATCACTTGAGGTCAGGAGTTCAAGACCAACCTGTCAGTATAGTGAGACCCTGTCTTTACCAAATAAAAATAAAAAATTAGCTGGGTGCAGTGGCATGCACCTGTAATCCCAGCTACCTGGGAGGCTGAGGTGGGAGGATGACTGGAGCCCAGGTGGTCAAGGTTGCAGTGAGCTATGGGTGAGTCACTGCACTCCAGCCTGGGTGACAGAGCCACACCGTCTCTAAAAAACAAAAACAACAACAACAAAAATTTAAAAATAAAAATAAATAAAACCCAAGGTTCCTGATTGCAGATGAGCTTTTGGTGATTCCTGTAACATGATAAGGAAACCACTTTTACAAATGTTGTCCATGTTGGGTTAGTTTCTTCTTGGGAAACAGGAATCACATGGATGGGCTAATGTTTCTTTAACTGCAGCCAAGGCATGCTGAGTCCTAAAAGGGAGGTTATTTCCTTGAGGGACTCTATGACTTAGTTTAACAGTTGGAGTGTGGGCCCCTGGACTCATTCAAAGGGCTTTCAGACTCTGGGGCAGGCCACTCAAGTAACCGTCTCAGTGTTGTGGTTAGATAATTTGTTGTTATCTCTCTTTTTTATTTTTTTGAGACAGAGTCTAGCTCTGTCACCCAGGCTGAAGTGCAGCGGTGCAATCATAGCTCACTGAAGCCTTGACTTCCTGGGCCCAAGCTATCCTCCCGCCTTAGCCTCTGGAGTAGCTGGGACTACAGATGTGTGCCACCACGCCTGGCTAATTTTTAAATTTTTTGTAGAAACATGGTCTCCCTGTGTTGCCCAGGCTGGTCTCAAATTCCTGGGCTCAAGAGATCCTCCCGCCTCAGCCTCCCAAAGTGTTGGGATCACAGACATGAGCACATGGCCTTGTCATTATCTTTCATATGTTGGAGGGTGAAAAGTAGGAGGGAGGGAAGGATTTGAATTCGTTTTCTCCCATCTTGGTCTAGAAAGGATCAAGGTAAATGTGCAGAGGCAGAAGTCCCAGGCTGAATTGTCAGAAAAGGCTTCAGGAGCCTTATAAATATTATGTATAAATAAACAGAAGAGCAAGAGCACAAAATGCTTCTCTTAATAGAATACTCAGGCCGCACCTGCCCTCCCGAAGGCTCTTCTGACAGTTCAGCTGGGACTTCTGCCTCTGCTGACATCCTGCTGCTCTCTTTTTGAGTTCTCCGGCTGAGACACACATTGCCCTGGAAAATGCTTATCTTTGTTTAAGGTCTAACTTACGCCTCAATAAGATTATAAATTCATCTAGAGCAAGAATCAGGTCTAATCAGCATTATCTTTGCACCTGCCCTTCAGCAAACATCAAACACCAAACCGAACTTAGTTCTGCCCACAGCAGGTGGTCAGTTATCATTTGACCAGATTGTTACTAGCAAGGAAAATATCTGTTTTAAGCTCTCTGGGATTTTTTTTTTCTTCTGAGTTTTCATTCGTTACTATCACCTCTTTTCCCCTCAACACTTGTGCAAATTCCTTCTTTTCCCTCCATGCTACCTAAAGCAGGAGCTCTTTAGCTTTTAGGGGCAGCTGAGGTAGAGCAGAAAAAACGCTGAATTTGGAACCAGAAGTCATGGGTTTGGGATCTGGAACTCTGTGACTTGGGAAGGCCTTGTTGTTCTATCTATAGAGATGAGTTAACAGTTTTCCCTCCATGGTGCTGCTGTGAGGATGAAGTGTGGAATAAGATGTCAAAGTGAGTTGTACTCTGTCATGATATGTAGGGAGGCACTAGGGTGGTTAGGGATGTGGCCTTGGGCACCAGCTTGCCTGGGTTTGGATCCAACTCAGCATTATTGCTGTGGCTGTGCCACAGACACTCTGGGTCTCAGATTCCTGATCCATTCAATGGGGATGTTAACAATACTCACCTCACAGGCTTGTTCTGAGATTTCAACAGTTAACATGTGTGTAGACTTACAGTAAGCACCATGTGAAATGACGATGATGATGCAATTATAAAGGGTTATTATTACAGGCTGCAGATAAATTCCAATTGTATCCCCGTTTTTATATTTTATCATCTTTTTTCCCCTCAGTCTGCAAGGTCCTTTTCTTCTTTTCTTCTTCTCTTCCCCTTCCTCTTCTCCTTCCTTCCTTCCTTCCTTCCTTCCTTCCTTCCTTCCTTCCTTCCTTCCTTCCTTTTTCTCTCCTCTCCTCTCCTCTTCTCTTTTCCTTTCCTTTCTTTCTCTCTCTTTCTTTCCAGGGTCTTGTTCTGTTACTCAGGCTGGGGTGCAGTGCTGCAATCACAGCTCATTACAGCCTTGAACTCCAGGGCTCAAGTGATCCTCCTGCTTCTGCCTCCGTAGTAGTAGCTGAGACTGTAGGCATGTTCTACCATGCCCAGCTAATTGATTTTTACTTTGTGTAGAGACAGGGTCTCCCTATGTTGCCCAGGCTTGCAAAGTGTTTCTACTGATATTTTACCATCATTTAAATCTCTATGTCTAAAATGGATCATATTATTGCAATCCAAGTTTCCCCCAAACCTTTTCTGCTGCTCAGCTCTACTACTGCCAGTGAGGGATGGTCCTCAGTTCTTAGTTGCCCATGTTTATCCCCACGTATTTATGCCCACAGTTATCCTTGACTCTCTTCTTCCTACCATCCTTCATGTCCAAGCCATCAATGGGGTGTGTGCTATTGCAAACATACTTATGCTTAGCCAAAAGGGATGGAGACAGTGTCTTTTGTGATAAGAAAATTACTATGAGACCAAGTCAGTGGGGGACACACTGGATTCAGTTCAAAAGCACTGACCACAGACTCAGTTGGAGATCCTTATTCTTGTTGTTTCCTCAGCTTTAGAAACAGCAACCAAGGCTTTGCTCCATGGATTGTGGATCACAACATTTCCTACTCTGAAAGCTTTGTCTTGACCTCCAGGTCTCAGTCAGGGTCCCTGAACAGGTACCAGATGTCTCCTTCATAGGATTAAATGTGGTATAGGATGTTAAAATGTATATATATATATTTTTTTTTTTGACAGGTTCTCACTCTGTCACACAGGCTGGAGTGCAGTGGCATGATCTCAGCTCACTGCAACCTCCACCTCCCAGGAACAAGTGGTCTTCTCACCTCAGCCTCTCGAGTAGCTGGGACTACTGGCACGTACCACTATGACTGGCTGATTTTTGTATTTTTTGTAGACAAGTTCTCACTATGTTGCCCAGGGTGGTCTTGAACTCCTAAGTTCAAGTGATCCACCCGCCTCAGCTTCCCAAAGTGCTGGGATCACAGGTATGAGCCACTGCTCCCAGCCAAAGTGTAATTTTACCTTTTTTTGTGTGATTTGATCAGTGTTGGCGTCTCCTTTGGGCTGTAAACTCCATAAGGATGGATACCTTACCAGCTTTTACTCACCATGTTATCCCCAGGACCAAGCAGAATAAAGAAAAATGGTATCAGTTGACTGAATATATAAAAACCAAAACACACTAATATTAATAAGATTAAAGAGCTACTCAACGTTTAGTCAGAATTCCAGACTTCTAAATCTTCAGTGCCCCCACCCCCTGCCCTTTTTTTTTTTTTTGAGATGGAGTCTTGCTCTGTTGCCCAGGCTGGAGTGCAGTGGTGTGATCTTGGCTCACTGCAAGCTCCACCTCCCGGGTTCACACCATTCTCCTGCCTCAGCCTTCTGAGCAGCTGGGACTATAGGCGCCCGCCACCACGCCTGGCTAATTTTTTGTGTTTTTAGTAGAGACGGGGTTTCACTGTGCTAGCCAGGATGGTCTCCATCTCCTGACCTCGTGATCCACCTGCCTTGGCCTCCCAAAGTGCTGGGATTACAAGAGTGAGCCACGGCACCCGGCCTTCAATCCCTGTTTTAAAGATAGAAGTTCAGATCAAATTAAACTCATATCAGAGTGGTTAAGGGTGTAGGTTTTGAGTTCAAATCCTGACTTTCTACTTATTAGCTAGGTGACTTAAGACAATTACTTGACTTCTCTAAATCTCAACTTCATCACTTGTAACACCAGTTTAATAATACTTAATCTCCTCAAGTAATGCATAACACTTGGTGAAAGTAGCAATTATTATTGACCAACTGTTTTGGCTGGAGGTTCCACAGGATACAAATTAATCCTCTCATGTCATTTCTGCATAAGAAAATAATGGATAAATGACTAGCAATGGGCCACAACTAGTTTGCTAAAGATATAAACCACTACTTTAAAGAGTTCTGGGAATCTCTCTTGGTTTGAAAATAAAAACACATTTGTGTTTTTGATTACATATATCCTAATACTATCTGAACTGTATTAAAAAAAAAAACCCTAGCACATGCTTAACTTGACACGTTTATGATCACATTTTCTCAGAGCAATTTCCATTGGATGTGTTGTTTCACAGATTGTGTTACTAGCGAGTTAGGCAAAATGGAAAATAAGATATCAAGTTGACATCTTGGATAGATGAAAATACAGATTAATGGGGCAGGGGAATTCACTCAGGGCTGTAAGGAAGTACACTGTAAGTTGAGCAGTAATTTCATTAGAATATGCCAGAAGATACAGGCAAATTGCCAGGCTGGGATATGACAAAAGTGAATACATTGGCTTTTACTGTCACAGCAGATTGTCAGATTTTTTTAAAGGAATGATTTTATGGGTCTATACATTGGAAGGAAAGAAAAAGAGAAATTCAGGGCTGTTGCTTATGAGATAGGTTGAAAGCGTGATCAGAAAAGCAAGATAAATAAAATATTTGGCATGCAAGCCCATAAGAGGACACAGATAAAATCTTTGTGTTTTTTTTCCTTGGTTGCTGTTAGAGCAAAACAAAACAAAACAAAACAAACAAACAAAAAAAGAATGAGAATTTGAACATCTGGGTTCTACTCCTATTTCTACTAGCTATGTGATCTTAATAAACCACTTACTTCCATGCCTAATTTGTCTGATGTGTAAAAAGAGAATAATATTTATTCTTTTAATTCATGAAATTTTTGTGATAATCTATCAAATAAAACAGATGAAAAAATCTTTGAAAAATATAAAGCATAATGTGTTCTTATTATATACATTTTCTGGAACTTTTATTTTCCTGTTACATTTTTTATGTTTCAAAAGTTATCCAAATTGTTCCTCATTTCCCAAAAATGCTTAGCTAATACTTCTGTTGCTTATTAACAGACTAGATCTGAAGATGAGCTTGGGGCTTGTTTACAGCTTTATTGTGTACTTAATGCTTTCTTCAGATATGCCTATCTTGCCTACCTTCAGTCTTTCAGGAGAACCATAAAACATGTTGAAGTTATGATGATTGATTTTAAGGATACATCCTGTCTAGGGCCAAAGCTTCCACTGTGGAGGGAACCCCGTTTATTTTTTTTTCTCTAGGAAGGCTGGTATGACTGATTAAAATGAGGTAAGTTCTTATGAGCGCTTTTCTCAGGGTTGGCGATACAGATTAGATAACAGCCTAATAACATTACTGATTAATCTAGATTTACACATACCTACTATATGAAAGAGGAAAGTCAGAACTACTATATTTAGCAGAATTGAAACCTCACTAATTATAAGACATATTTTTGTGTTGTTCGTGGTAAGAAATAAGAAAAAATTCCACCAATTATAATTTTAAGATACTATAGATTATAAGTAGACCCTGATTTCAGAGATTCTTAAATGGAAGAAACTGTGTGACTTAGAAGTAATGAAATATGGTCAGGATTATAGGTGTCTATTTTGCCTGAGGAATGAATAAGGACAGACCTTATTCATTTGTGAAGTTCCCACAACAGAGCCATGAGGAAGAGATTCCTTTCCGTATTTTATGGTGAAGGAGACTGAGATGCAAATATGTTTCTCTGCCAAATGATTCAAAACAAGGAAATAATGATCCTGGAATTTAAGTCCAGGTCTGTCTGATTCCTAACTCTATCACACCATGTTGGGATTTATTGTATATTGACTTATCAGGAAGTTTTACTCTTTCTCTGACTGTATTTTAAGATTAGAGAACTTAGAAAACTTTCTTAAAATACAGCTGGCAATGTTCTACATGCTAGCTAGACTTTCCTCCCTTTTTTTTTGAGACAGAGTATCGCTCTGTCGCCCAGGCTGGAGTGCAGTGACGCAATCTCGGCTCACTGTAAGTTCTGCCTCCTGGGTTCATGCCATTCTCCTGCCTCAGCCTCCCGAGTAGCTGGGACTACAGGTGTCCGCCACCATGTCCGGCTAATTTTTTTGTATTTTTAGTAGAGACCGGGTTTCACTGTGTTTGCCAGGATGGTCTCGATCTCCTGACCTCGTGATCAAAGTGCTGGGATTACAGGCGTGAGCCACCGCGCCCAGCCTACTTCCCTCCTTTCAAAACCTCAAGTTACATTTGACTTTCACAGAATAACTGACCCCAGAATTGGGCTGGACCCAATACTTGCTCAGGTCCTTACCAGAAGACAGGCGATGTACACCCTGATTGGGAAGGAAGCTGCCTGCACCAGAGTTACGAGGAGCTAAGATGGCGCAGCCAAGGTGGTGAGCAAACTGCTTTCCAGATCAGTGCTTTTTCAGGATACCATTCTCCTTTTTATTTTGGACAACAAGTATGTAAGTATAGAAACAATAGAGAATGTAACAAATGCCCCGTGCCCACTAGCCAGAAGGAGCAGATGTGCATGTTTCATTGTATTTGCTTCAGAGAAAGTCCAAGTCCCTTTTGTTCTCCTTCCCAGTCCCATTCCACTTCTTCCTTCCCCAGGGGTCACTGCTATCACAAATGTATTGTGCATCTTTCAATTTATGCCATTTTTTCTTTCCTCATATAACATATCATAATAGTGTATTTTAAAAACACCCACAGAGATGGTGACATGATATATTTATCATCCTGTGACTTTCTTTTTTTCACTTAACATTATGTTGCCAGGATGTAACCATGTGGATTTATGATAATCTAATTCATTCATTTCAACTTCTGCACAGTGTTCCCCAGTGTGAATGGGCCACAAAATCTATTAATCCCTCTATCTTTGGACATCACATAGACTGTTACAGTGAAACTTCTTACACACATCTCCTTGTGCACATATGGGACGTTTCCTCCAGAAATATATAGCTGGAAATGGTATAGCTGGGTGATAGGCCACATGCATTTTCAATATACCAAATGTTTTCTGAACTAATTTATACCATCAGCCATGTGCAAGAATTCTCATTTCCCCCACATGTTTGACGATATGAAGAACTGGTATTTTCAAATTTTGCCAATTGGTTGGGTGGGAAATGGTAGCTCTGTTGTTTTCATTGACTGGTGATATTTTATTTTTGACATGTGTTAAAGCTTGTGGGAATGTGGACTGTGCCCACACACCACAGGTCTCAGCCTCCTAGGAGCTGCATCTACAATCCACTCTGTAATCCTCGCTTGAAGTGTCTGAAGCAGACAGGGGTGGTGGGTGGGCCAGGGTGCTGGCAGTGTGTGTGGGAACTGTGTCATGCTCCATGACCAATGACTGCTCTGTGCCCACATCCTGTTAGTCTGCAGGACTTCAGGGCTGTAACAAATATTGACTCCAATTTTCTTAAGTGTAGGCTTCTCTCTGTTTATTGGTTGGACATATTTAAAGCCAGTCTTCTCGGTAAGCATGCAGTATAGCCAACACCTCCAGGCAACAACCCTTGGCAGAAAATGTTCTGCTCCAAGATAGCAGCAACATCTCACTTTAAAAATTTATGCCAAGGAGACATGGTGGTAATAACTTGTTGACCGAGATTCTCCCTGGGCCTCGCTCCCTTACTCTTCAAGGTCACGTAAGCATTAGGCATTGGGTGGTGTTGAGGAACCTGGGATTTGGAGTACACAAGATAGCTGATCTCAGCTCCACCTCTTAACAAATAGATGATCTTGGGAGAGTTATCTCTAAACCACATCTGTAAAATGGTGAGCATAATAACAGCTACCCTATAGAATTGCTAGGATTAAATAAGGTAATGCAGACACACAGGAAGAGCTCATTAGATGTCAGCTATCTGTGTAACACATATCTCATTTGTGTATGGTATTGCAGATCACAGTAAATGATGCAAGTACAACAAGATTTGCACTGGTTTTCAAGTTCAGTCCCCTATGTAATGTATTGTACCATTTGCATTGTTACCTTGTATAGAGATTGCAAACAGGCAGCCTGTGGGAAAGTGTTTTATTTGGCTTACAAAATATTCATTTTCATTTTAATTTGATTCAACTTTTAAAAACTGGGAACTCGCAAGTAAATATCTTGAAGTTTTGCTTCTCTTAAAAAATCGAAGCTCAGCTAACATCAGTCCAGATGTCTATGTATTTAAAATAATCCTGAGAAGCCTCTTTAAAGGTTATGTTCTCTCCTACTTGTCATGGCCCCCTGCACACACACTGGGCCCCCTTCCTGGCCCTCATAGGAAGCTGAATTTGCAGCTCCTGCTTTTTGTGACTGCCGGTTCCTCCATGATGATTAACTATTAATAGCATTCCCTGAGCAGGTAGGTCCTTACAATGTCCTCCTCCAGGGACAGAGGGCAAAAGAGGAAAGAATGCTAATATTTGGTGGCAGCCAGCTCCAGTGCTAGACAGTTGTGCTCTGCAGATTTTATACCCTGTGTTATTGAATCTTCTTCACACTAGCTGTGAGACAAATGCTGTCATTCCCATTTTACAGACGGTGAAACATGTTTGGCGAGTTGAGTAACTTGCCCAAGGTCACTGCTACAAAGACGCAGAGCTGGTATTTGAGGCTGGCCCTTTAGAACTCCTAACCGATTTTTCACTCATTACATTGTACCAATGGATAGAAAATCAGCTTATCAGAGATTTGAATGGCCATCCCAGCTGAGGCTCCATGTAAATGTTGCGTCAGTGTTACTGATTTTCAGGTCTGCTCCTGGGGAGAGAAGGGTGCACATGTGTGAGCCTCAGGGCATTATTTACCATGTCTGGTTGGAGCCTCTCCCCGGGTAGTCGTCTCCTTGCCCATCCCTGTGTTTATTCCCCTAAGGACTGAGGGTCATTCCCAACTGAGGAGTAGGTCTGACTCTTCAGGGATGGCTTTAAATTTCCCTGTGCCCCCACATGTTTTGAGGCACATTTTGACCGAAAGAGCCAGGCCTCCTCATTACCTGTCTGACGGAGACTTCTCAGCACAGTTCTGGAAAGTCAGAGAAAATGTCAGTCAGAGAGTTTGAGCAAGCAGAAACAGGATGTGTTCCCTTCTGAAGGTAATTACAAGGCCTGCGTAGTAAATGGTAATGAGGTGGGTGAAGTCACACAGAAGAAATGTCTCTGATTGGCTGAGGAATGTTTCTCTTACCTGGATAAATATTTTGCAGCAGTTACCTGGGTGAAAACCAACTTCCTGTAAAGGGTTGATTAAAAAAACAAAACAAAGACTCTCGTGGGGTGAATGTTCCGCACTGTGTAATTATTTCCCAACTAATGATACCAACTCGACCTTAGGCAAAAGGAAGGCTCAAAACCAATTCTCACTGGTGAAGGAATGCTTCAAAGTGTATGTCTATTGCTCCATAGCTTCAAGGTGAGAACCACTTGTTCCCTTTGTTCTTCAAACAGAATTAACAGCTAACAGAACCTCCTTAAATTAAAAAAAAAAAAGCACCATTTAATTTAATACCCACAATTTAGTAGAAAGTCCTGTACTGTGGCCTTAGAAGCCAGAAGACAGCACTGAGATCCTTGGTCAGTGAACTTAACTTCTTCGTTTTCACCTACACAAATGAGATGATATTATAATATGCCAATTTCTACTTTGTATAATGAGGATCAAGGAAGACTATGATCAATTCAGGCAACAGACATTTATTGTCGATTACATGCCAGGAACATACGACAGATACTGGGAACAGGGGATGAAAGGGTCCTTGAGCCTCAAACACTCGCAGTTTCCTGGAGACAGAAACTTCAATGTGTGATGTGTTCCATATTAAAGGATGACCGAACACTGGGGTAGAATCCGTTCTGTGTGACCCCAGGGGAGCCCAGGGAAGGCCATCATCCTGCTCTGGGTTGGCAGTCGGTAAGAGGTGACACTGTGCTAGGTCTTGAAGGTGCATGGGGGTCCACCAGAAACAGAAAGGGGGTGTCAAGGAGTGGGTGTGGGCAGAGGGAAGAGCATGTGCTTGTGAAACAGCATGGGGGAAACCCTGGCAGCACCCCCTGCCCACTACCGAATGTAGTTGCAGGGTTCAGTGGGCCCCAGGCAGAGAAGCTGGGAGGCTGGCGTCTAGGGCAGGGCTGTGGGGTGAGGCACTTGGGCCTGCTGCTGGAGGTGAAGGGCCGCCACCCAAGGAAGGGATATTTGGACCTTTTTCACTGCAAAGTGCTTTTTTATGCCATCCTAGACCTAGTGTAGGTGATTTCTCACAGCCTTCCACTTGCTCTTCCAATCACATTTCCTCACCCAGCCTTGGGCTCATCCTCAGCCAGGATTTCTGCCGTGCAGGGCCTCATCAGCCTCATTTGCAGCGTGCTCCGGACACATGTCCCTCTAACTCTATTCCTAGGAGAGATTCCAGGCCCCTGTGAAGAAAGCGCTGCCTCTCTGAGCATCCCAGGACTCAGCAGGCTCTCTCCCTGCCCTTCTGTGTTTCCTTCCAATCCCACACTCGCCACCTTGACCTTGCCTCTTCAGCAGAGTCTAGAGGAGTCTTTGGTCTTATAAGGGAGCAAGAGTTAGACTTCCTCGACGACAAAGTGCAGGAGCCCGCTGGTATGTCTTTTTTTTTTCTCCCTTTAGGGAAGATAAAAGTATTGGGCCGGCTCCCTTCCTCACCTGGGCAATCTAGACTGTTCCAGAGCAAGAGTTCCAACGAAGAAGCATAGCACTCTGGTCTAAGCATGGAAAACTTATTAATGGAAAATTAATGGAAATTAATGGAAAACTTAAACTGGTGAATAAAATGTACTGTCTGCCTAGCGTGCAAAATAGCAACAAAATTTAAAAATACGTGTTAAGCTGTTGTTTTTACTTGACTAGTAATTGGCAAAATATTACAGACTACTGAATTTAATTATCATTGTACGTGTCTAGGTCATCTTTTGATGAGCTGGCAATGTTTACATAAATAATAAATAGAGGCTTAAATAATGATTCTTATATAATCACTACATACATTTTATTTTTATCACCTATTTTAGCTTGGTCGCTATTTTGTTCTAATCAAGATTTTCACATCATTTATGCTCACTTCATAATAGTGGTATAAAAGATTAAAAATACAAATATATTTTTATTTAAACTATATTTAAAAGGTGAATTAATGTAAATGTGAAAAATTTGAATTATTTTATATACATTTTAAGCCACTTATTTTTCTCCTAAAATAGTTGAAATTACTTTTTAAAGTTAAAAGGCAAGTTACCAACAATAGTTAATGAATACCAAACTTTTAGATCAAAATTATCTAAATACAGCTGATGATTTAAAATGATTTAGTTTTGCAAATATTTAAATCCTATTAAATATTTCATAAAAATAAATCTATCTGCATTTCTAGCATTAAACATCTATCTAGTTGCCAACTAAAGAATTGCTATCATGTTTTATGCAGTCATAGATATATTTATAAATATACAAATTTGTTTAATATTGCAAAATGTTTTCCTGTCATCATGTCACAAATGCTCCACTGATTTACAAGTACATTCATTCCTCAGTAATTGCAGGGGATTGGGCCCAGTACTATGACAGATATCAAAATTAGTGGATGCTCAAGTTCCTGATATAAAATGATATAGTATTTGCATCTAACCTAGGTACATCCTCCCGTATACTTTAAATCATCTCTAGATTATTTATAATACCTAATACAATATAAATGCTATGTAAACAGTTGTTATACTGTATTATTTTTCTATTGGTATTATTTTGTACTGTTGTAATGTTATTTTTATTTTTTTTCCCTACTTTCTATGCATGGTCAGTTGAATACATGAATATGGGATCCATGGGTACTGACTCTACCTCCAGAACCACGCACTTGAGCACAAATAGGTCACTCAGCACTACAGTGAACCTATATTTAACTTTGTAAGAGTCTATGTCATCCATGTTATCTGAAAGGAAGATCACTCAAAAATTCCTAATACTTTGAAGCAATATCTGCCTCGGACCTTGGCAGTGGCCCAACCCATAAGCCGTCATGGCATTTGGATGAAATTCTCTTTTAGTTCAAGGACAAAAGTGCAAGAGGGGTGGACAGGTGATTCTGTGGAGCCTGAACAGTGTTAGCCATGGGAATGTTTTAGTTATAAAAGAGAATGTTTAGGGTTACAAGTTATGCTGTGCCACTGATGAACACCAGATGTGCATGACAAATACCAGAGTCCCCTGTATTTTTTTTTTTTACTACATTTATTTTTTTCTTGTCTTAAGTGCATTTATATTATGTAAGGCCCTCTAAAGCATGGAACAAATAAAGTACAGGATATGCAGTTAAATGTGAATTTCAGATAAATGATGAAACTTTTAAAATATAAGTATATCCCAAATAATGCATGGGACATACTTATACTAAAATATTGTTCATTATCTGAAATTAAGAATTAATTTTTCTTAATTATTAACTGTGGTTTATTTGCTAAATCTGGCAAACTTAGGAGCAACAAGCACACTCTCTTTTGCCCAGACCTAGAGAAAGCACTAATAGTCCCAGCTACTCAGGAGGCTGGGGTGAGACCATCACTTGAGCCCAGGAGTTTGAGGCTAGCCTGGGTGACATAAGGAGACCACCCTTTCTGAAAAAAACAAAAACAAATACAATACTAATCATGGCTTGATGATTAAAGAAATAGCTGGAAGAGAAGAGCCCATTTCCTAATTTCCTACAGACATTCCTACATTCCTGGTAAGAAACTCACCTTCCAGGCTCTACCTCCTTTTTTTTTTTTTTAGATATAGTCTGACTCTGTCACCCAGGCTGGAGTGCAGTGGCACGATCTCAGCTCACTGCAACCTCTACCTCCCAGGTTCAGGTGATTCTGGTGCCTCCGTCCCCCAAGTAGCTGGGATTAGAGGTGCCTGCCACCACGCCCAGCTAATTTTTGTATTTTTAGTAGAGACGGAGCTTTGCCATGTTGGCCAGGCTGCTCTCAAACTCCTGACCTCAAGTGATCTTCCAACCTTGGCCTCCCAAAGTGCTGGGATTACAGGGGTGAGCCACCATGCCTGGCCTACTGTACCTACTTCTGGTGATAGATAGAAATAATGCACTTTGTGTGTATTACTTAGCACACAAAAAAACGGAAAGGTGGGTCCCTGAATTCTGGAAATCCTCACAAAGACTCCTGTGAGAGGAATGTTGAATTTTCTTTCTACCCATCACCAGAAGTAGGTAGAGTCTGGGAGGCTAGTTTCTTACCAGGAATGTCTATAGGAAACTAGAAAATGGGCTATTCTTTCCCAAATATTTGTTTAATCATCAAGCCATGGAGTGTCATTGGTTCATTCTGCCATATAGCTTGAATAGTTGCTAACTCTATTTATTTATTCATTCATTCATAAAATGTTTATTAGGCCTTTTTATGTACCTGACACATTTATATTACACCTACTAGTTATAAAACCCCATGGAGTCAATATTATTATCTCCATTTTACA
Organism: Homo sapiens; assembly: GCF_000001405.40. NCBI lineage: Eukaryota > Metazoa > Chordata > Mammalia > Primates > Hominidae > Homo > Homo sapiens. The sequence goes on along the minus strand of NC_000013.11, from coordinate 44,346,718 downwards.
GATGTAGAAATGAAGCTCAGTGAGGTTACATAATTTGCATGAGAACACCCACTTGGTAAGTGACAGAGGAAGAATTTAAACCTATGTTGTTCTGACTTCCAACTTCTAGTAAAAATGTAGGCTGTGTTGTGGAAGGAGGGGAGAGCTAATATTTCTTTAGTACCTATTATGCCCCAGGCACAACCTGATATACTTTATTGACAAACTTTCTTCAAATTAGATTAAATTGTGACCTCTCAGAAAAGCAAAAATGAAAGAAATACAAAATTGTTTCCATAAGATAAAACTATAGTGCTCAAACAAGAAGAAGGAGGACTAGTTCTTTCTAAAACTTGTATGGAAATGCAAAGGACCTAAAATTGCCAAAATAATTTTGGAAAAAGAAGAACAAAGTTGGAGGACTTACACTATCTGATTTCAAAAGTTGTTTTAAAGCCACAATAATTAGATACAAAAGGATAGACATATAGGTCAATGGTAAAGACTAGAGTCCGGAAATAAATTCTCACATTTGTGGTTAATCGAATTTTGAAAAGGGTGCAAAGAACAAAAGGGTAGCCTTTTTAACAATGGGGGAAAGAAGAGACTTTTCAAAAATGGTGCAGGAACAATTGGATGTCTGTATACACAAACAAACAACAGCAACAATAATAAAGTGTTTAGATTTTTACCTCACACCATATGTAAAATATAACTCAAAATATACCATAGATCTGCATGTAAGAACAAAAGCTATGAATCTACTCAACAAAATCAGTAGAAAAATCTTTGTGAGCTTAGGTTGGGCCAAAGTTTCTAAGATGTGAGTTGCATAAAAGAAAAAATAGATGTTAGCCTTTATCAAAATTATGAACTTCTGCTCTTTTAATGACATTGTTAGGAGAATGGAAAGACAAGCCACAGACTGGGAGAAAAGATTTGCAAATCATTTATCTTTGATAACGGACTTGTATCTAAAATACATAAAGAATGCTTATGACTCAATAATATGACAAGTCAATAATAAGCAAAATGTGTAAACAATTTAAACATATTTACCAAAGAAGATACATGAATGGAAAAACAAAAACACATGAATAGATGCTTGTCATTAATCATTAGGGAAATGCATACAAAGCCACAGTGAGATACCAGTACATATCCACTAGAATGTCTATAATCAAAAAGATGGTCAATACCAAGTGTTGGAGAGAATATGGAGACACTGGAGCTCTCATATGTTGTTGGTAAGAATGTAAAGATGGTAGTTTCTTTGGAAAGCAGTTTTGTAGTTTTAAAAAACTTAAATTTACTGTAGAACCCGGCAGTCCTACTTCTAGGAATCTAGTAAAAAGACATGAAAGTACATAGCCACACAAAGACTTGTATATAAATGCTTATAGCAGCTTTATTCAATAATAACCCCAAAGTGTCAACTGATGACAAACAAAATGTGGCATATTCATACTGTGGAATACTACCCAGCAAGGAAAAGGAATGAAATATTAAAACATGCAAAAACATAGATAAAACTCAGAAACATTATACAAAGTGAAAGAAGTCAGATACAAATGACTGCACATCGTGTGATTCAATTTACATGAAGTTTCTAGAAAAGGCAAACCTGTTGGCTGGGTGTGGTGGCTCATGCCTGTAATCCGAGCACTTTGGGAGGCCAAGGTCGATTACGAGGTCAGGAGTTCAAGATCAGCCTGGCCAAGATGGTGAAACCCCGTCTCTACTAAAAATACAAAAATTAGCCAGGTGTGGTGGCAGGTGCCTGTAATCCCAGCTACTTGGGAGGCTGAGGCGGGAGAATCGCTTGAACCCGGGAGGTGGAGATTGCAACGAGCCGAGATCACGCCAATGCACTCCAGCCTGGGTGACAGAGTGAGACTCTGTCTCAGAAAAAAAAAAAAATGAAAAGGCAAACCTGTAGCTTGAGGTTGAGTATGGGGATTAACTGCAAACAGGTATGAGGAAGTTTTCTGGGGTGTAGAAAATGTGCTCAACCTGGATAGGGGTGATGCTTATACAGATGGCTTAGTTTACTAAAATTAATCAAACTCCACACCTGAAATAGGCGAATTTTATGGTATCTAAATTATACCTCAATAAAGCACTTATAAAATGCATTGCATTTAACCAGCCATCTTATTCTGTCTGATATAGCTTTCCCTCCAATACTTGACATGTCAGGCACTTACGACATTTTGGATTAGTAGTCGTGTAGGAACATATTTGCAAGTGTGTTGCTACTTGTTGTTGCCTTCCAATTGCTTCCCTTAGGAATGTTCTAAACTATGGAAGGAAAAGGATGTACATAGATACTGCAGAGTTCTACAAAAGATGATTTCTTAAGAGACACATTTGGATAATTGGAGGAGAAATCACTCAAGTAAGCAACTAAACTCTTCAATGTTCGTATTTTTATAATGGAAAAGAGTGCTATTAGGTTCACATTTGCCAAGAATTGAGTCAATGCCTTTTGCACTTATAGGGTCTATTGACACAGTAGAGAAGGCTGTTCTTTGCACCTCTGATTCAGGGAGTGAAGACCTGTTTTCCACCAACTGTTACAGAAGAAACTTATGCAACAGAAAATTCAATGTCCATGCTCTGGGAAGCTTATGAAGAAACTAGTAGATTCTTGAACAACAATAACAACAATAACAGTAATAAGACATCACCAGTTGCTGAGGTGGTACTTCTGTCTGGGTTCTGGCCCCATAGTTTTTGTTCCAGAGGATAAAAGAGGTGTCCCTCAACCGCCTTTCTTTGCAGCCCTCCCTCTGAGGGCAAAAAAATGATCCCAAAGAACAAATTTGATCCTGTCACTCCTCTGCTTAAACCTTTCAGACAATCCTACTCAATAATCTATTGCAATTTCCTCAAACTTTAGTCAAAATATATATATTTTTGCCTTATCCCAGTGCCATTTATACACTTTCTACTTAAAGCGTGCTCTTTGGACCACCCTCATGGGCAGCATCTGGGAGCTTACCACAAATGCGGAGTCTCAGGCTCCACCCCGACCTCCCCTCAACAGAATCTGCATTTAAACAAGATACTCAGATGGTGTGTATGCATATTAAAGGTTGAAGGACACAGTCCTACACTTTCTAGATATATATTTTTTAATTGGCATTCTTCTAAAAATGCAAACAAATCTCTTTAAAGACAACTATATCACTAATACAAGTGAAAAGCCAGTGCCATTTTCTATAAATAGCATATTATCTATAAAAGTAAATACAATAAACATAAAACAACGTGCCAGGAAAAATTATGAAAGACATTAAAATGGGCAAAAAATAAGGTTACTGGGTATCTTGTCTATTGCACCCTTCTGGGTTATTTGTTCTTTTAATTGTTCTTGAGCTATTTATAAGACTTTAAGTTATAGAAAACTTATGTGTAAATAGACTTACACAATACACATCTTACCAATAGGAGAGCCAATGAGTTTTAGCTGATGGAATGGAATTGCTTACTGCTCTGTTGATATTGATCAGTTTTGCCTCTATTGGTAAATTCATCTCAGCATTCCTTATCTGCCTCTTTATGTGTGTGTTACTTGAATTCTCCTTTGAACTGGTTGTAACATCTTACTTGTTCACTCATTAATAAGTTAAATAAAATCATTAACACATGTTCATTTTATATTTGTATGAAAGTTATGATTTTATCTTTTAAAAATTATCCTTTGACAAACATAATTTTCAACTGTAGCTAGATACTGATGCCTTCCAACAATTCTAAGCCTGAGGCCAATCTTTGTCTGATAAAGATGGAGATGAGCACATTTTTCATAGGTACTTATTCATTCAGCAAATATCTTTTGAACATCTGCTGTGTCCTGAACATTGTTCACTTTAACAGTTGGGAATTATTCAGGTGTGAAAAAAATGTTAAAAATTCCTGGCCTTAATGAGCGTATATTCTGGTAGGGATAGATACATACTAAACAAAATAAAATTGAAAATTATGTAGTATACTAATTGATGATAAATGCTATTGGGAAAAATAAGTCAAGGATGGAGTTATGAAGGGGATTCAATTTTATGTAACTGGTGTCAGGGAGGGCATCCCCGGGAAGACGACATGTGAACCAAGACTTGAAGAAAATAGGGGTGTGAACCACAGGTATCCTGGGAAGGGCGTTCCAGGCAGAGAGAATGGAAAGCGCAAAGGTCCTGAGTAGGAATGCGCTTGTTGGGTTCAAAGACTAGGAAGGAGGCTAATGTGACTCTAGTAGAATGCATGAGGGAAGGAGACAAAATGAGCTCAGAGATGTCATTGGAAGTCAAGTTGTTGCAAGGCCTTGTAGGTCATTGAAAGGACTTCAGTTGTTATTCCAAGTGAGTTGAGGAGCATGTATTAGGGCTCTGCAGAGAAACAGAACCGATAGGATATATATAAAAATAGAGGAGCCAAGAAGTCTCACAATCTTCTGTTTGTAAGCTGGAGAACCAGAAAAGCCAGTGGTGTAATTCAGTCTGAGTCTGAAGGCCTGAGAACCAGGGTAGATGTTGTCACTCTCAGTCAAGTTGGAAGTCCTGAGAACTGAGGGGTCAGGGGACTGCTGGTATCAGTCCTAGATTCTGAAGGTCCAGGAACCAGGAGCACCAATGTCCAAGAACGGAGAAGGTGGATGTCTCAGCTTAGGTAGAGAGAGCAAATTTGCCCTTCCTCCTGCTTTTTGTTCTCTCTGGGCTTTTGACAGAGTGGATGAGGCCCACCCACATTCATAGGGCAAAATCTTCTTATTCAGTGCATCAAGTCAGATGCTAATCTCTGCCAGAAACACCTTCACAGACACACCCAGAAATAATGTTTTACTGGCTATCTGGGCATCCCTTAACCCAGTCAAGTTGACAGAAAAAATTAACCATCACAGAGCATCACACTGAGACTTCCTTCTTGATAAAATTACAGGTTTTAAAAGAAAAATTTTAAGAGAATTGTTTTTTCACTAAATGACTAGACATTAGTTTGCTCTGTTGGAGAACTACCCAAAGTCTCCCTGCGTATGCACACTGGTCCTCAGCCACTCTTTTTCATAGGAACCAGCCCAGGCTTTTTAGCATGGCCTCCGTTGCTCTTCAGCCTCAATGTTTTTAAATATTAAAACTCACATTTTATACAGATGCATTCCAGCCACACCAGACTGCTCATCATCACACCCTTTCATTCAGCTCAAATGTCACCTTCACTGTGAATATTTATTTGACTTCATCAAGTTCCCTCCTCTTTATTCTCAAAGCTCTTACTGTATACTTGTATTAGTCAGGGTAGCTGGGTAACAAACATGCCTTAAGTCTTACAATTTTAGAACAACAAAGATGTATTCCTCATTGATGCAAAGTTTGCTGTGGGTTTGAGGGTCCCTCTTGAGTAGCTGATCCTCATGTTGGCTCAGTATTGCACCTTAGTTTTAATTCATATTTCCACAATCACCAGATTGTCACATGAAGACTCTGTGGCATCTCACACTGGCAATTAAGTGCTCCTGCCTCCATAATTTTCTGTAATATTTATTGACTAAGGCAACTTGTCTCTGTCTGGAAGAGGAACTGGCATATGGGTAGATGGCACTCATGTTACTATAGTGCCTCTTTAGGAGTGCTTGCTGTGCTTACTATAGTGATTTGTTTATATGTCTGTCTCCCCACCCTCATCAAACTGTGAGGGTCTCTAGAGCAGATACTACCACTTGTTATCTTGATCTATCTTGGCCCAGTACTGCACTGTGCCTGGCACTTAGTAGGTGTGGTGTAAATGTTTATGAAACCAACAAATATTCACCATGGAAAGCACAAATATGTGGCTCAGAGAAGCTGTGTCTTCTGTATTTTTGTATTTTACTTTCGTTCTAGTAAGAAGCAGCCAAAATTTGGAGGTTTCCATTTGTTATCCCATAAGCATTAGGTTGATCAGCTGTAGTTTTCACAACTTGGCCAGGTCAAATCATGAGGGACATTTGTCTCAACTTGGCCAAGTCAAATCATGTGGTTTAAGGTTTTTTTTAAAAAAAAAAAACTACAGAAAATCATTGGTTTCTCACTGTTGTTGGAGTATTTGTAACAGTATGATTTCTGCTCATACCCACTCCCCAGGGAGCTCAGTGTGGTTACAGGCATTACCTGATGCAGTCGCTGCTGGGAGTGGGGAAGGGAGGTATAATAACCTCCACCATCTGGGATAAAAACTCAGTAAGGGTCAGTTCTCTGCACAAGCACACCCAGGAGCCCCACAGGCCTTGATTTCCTGACTTCGGTTCATACCTTTCTACATGCCCTCTGGCTCTGTCTTAACTTTTCAAATAAAAAAAAGTGAATATTTTCATTGGCTTCTTTTAAGGTGAATATTTTTTTCCCTGTGTCTTTTTGATGTTCTAAACAATTTGGGTTCAAAATAATTATAATAACTAAATAATTATAATGACAAATCAACCAAAATAGCAAACAATATTGCTCTGAAGCCCAGGTTAGTCCTCAGATTGGGCTGGACAAGCTCAGAGCATGAAATTAAATGACTCTGCAGGACCCATCTGATTCTAAGATTTCATGATTCCACATTTGAGGGTATCTCCAAAGGAAATCTATACTGGAATCTGTTTTTTTGTTTGTTTGTTTTTGTGTTTCAGATTGGAGATATCTGTCTGCCTCAGGATGTTTACCCCAGGATACTAAATGGTCTTGGGTAGACAGTCAGCCACCCTGGTTTCTTCTTTTGGGAAAAAGTGGATCAGAGGTTAAAAAGTAAAACCCCGTATAAATTTACAAGTCATCTGGATTATTAGATGTGTTTTTCTTCCACTTTCTTTGTTGGCTCATTTATTCATTTCTTCATTCATTCATTAAGCATTTACCGAGTACGTACTCTGTGCTGGGCACCGAGTTGACTGCAGAACATGGAGAGGCGCCTGGTCTCTTTGAGATCTTACCATCCTGTGGTAATAAGGCCTGTGGATAATTACAATCCAAGGCGGTGAGTGCAAAATATGCACAGAATATTTTAAAAGCCCCGAGGAGTCATTTCATCCAGCCTTGGTGTGGTCAAGGAAGGGGTCAAGGAAGGCTTCCTGTAAGAGGTGATGTCTCAGGTTCATCGTTCAGGTGGGAAATACTCATCCAGGAGAAGAAGTGCATGAATGAAGGGGAATATGGTAGGATTTACTGGTGAATTTAAATGGAGACAGATGAGCCTGATAAAGTGTTTTCCTCCAGTCATGCCAGATGCTTGGGTGAAGGTACAGAGTACAGAGTAGGTGGGGAAGTGGGCTTTTTCCAGGGTTTGGCTTTTCCATGTGAGTGCAAGGAGGAGAGAGGAGCAAAGCTGAGGAGAGCACATGTAAGAGATGATCGTATTTCTAACCAGTGACAGCTCAAGTGGGGAGAGGATGCACAAGAGGAAGGTATAGCTGAAGGACTTTTGGAGTCTGGATATTGGAGCCCAGAGAGTGGGTAGAAAGATCAGAGAAGTGGAGATTGGAGAGTGATCCCACAAGTGGATGAGTTACAATTAGACGCAGTGACTAGATCCTGGGAGTGGGGTCTGAGATAAGTGTGGCAGGGCCTGGGAGGAGAGAGACTCAGGGACCTGAAAGAATTAAAGATATTGGATGGATTGTTAACTCTACATGGATGTTAAAATCTCCAGGGTTTATGAACAAAGTGATATTCATTTCCTATGACTGCTTTAACAAATTACCACAAACCTAGCAGGTTAAACTATGCAAATGCATGATCTTTCTCCTCTTTAGGACAGAGGACCAATGCAGGTTTCACTGGATTGAAATCTAGGTATTGGCGGGGTTGGGCTCCTTTCTGGAGGCCCTAGGAGACTTCAGGGGAGAATCTGTTTCCTTGCCTTTTCCAGCTGTTAGAGGCCACCTGCATCCCTTGGCTGATGGTCTCTTCCTTCCTCTTCAAGGCCAGTGCCACCTGCTCAGCCCTCTCTTTGTATCGCTCTGACATTTCTGCATCTCCCCCCCAACTTTGAAGGACCTTTGTGATGACATCAGGCCCACTGGCATAAGCCAGGCTCCTTTCCCTATTTAAAGCCAGGGCTTTAGCAACCTTCATTCCATCTGCAACTTCCGTTTCCCTTTGCATGTGTATGAGTTTTCTAGGACTATCATCACAAAATGCCACAGACTGGGTAACTTAAACAACAGAAATTCATTTTCCACCGTTCTGGAGGCTGGAAGTTCAAGATCAAGGTGTTGTCAGGTTTCATGTCTTCTGAGGCCTCTCTCCTTGGCTTGCAGATGATCACCTTCTTGCTGTGTCCTCACAAGGCCTTTCCCTGCATGTGCACATCGCTGGTGTCTCTTGTGTCCAAATTTCCTCTTCTCATAAAGACTCCAGTGAGATTGGATTCACGGCTCCATTTTAACGTAATCACCTCTTTAAGGGCCCTATCTCCAAATACATTCCCATTCTGAGGTACTGGGGGTTTAGGATCCCAACATATGAATTTTCTGGGGACACAATTCAGTCGATAGCACCATATAACATATTCACAGGTTCCAGGAATTAGGATGTGGGCATTTTGGGGAGCCATTTTTCTGTCTATCACATGAGTAATGTTGAAGAGTGTAACAATCATCTCAGTGCTAAAATCTTCAAGGAGTTACGGCATGGCGACATGTCTGCACCCGACTGCAACGGGGAGTTCTGGACTGACGCTAGGCACGTTAGAATCACTGGAGGTTTGTGTGGAGAGGCTGGAGGAGACAAGGAGGAGGCTGGCCCTGGGGTGACTAGGGGATGTGTGGGAGAAAGGGCTACTGCTTCAGAGGACTGAGGAGAATCCGTCCTAGGGTACCTAGGGCCGAGCTAGGTGTAGCTGTAGTGAGAAGGTGACAAGGACTCACAGAGCAGAGTTTAGGTTTCAGTTTCAGACCATGAGATCACGGGCATAGGGGAAGGGCTTGGTAGATTAGGAAGAGGGTGAGAATGGGTCAGCATAAGGGTAGACAGTGCTGGAAAGAGGATGGGGTTGGCCTGGGCTGGGAGTTTGGGTTTCCCACAATGACTGATGTAAGCAGAGACGCAAGGCATCTTAATTGCCATCACTCAAGGCCCTCCCTGGCCCCACCTCCTTCAAAAAGCTTTTTTCAAGCTTGCACTGATCTCATTTCTCTCATGCTTTCTTCCCTGAATATATTATTTGGATTTATACTTGATGTTTCTTTGTCTATATAGTCAGGCAATTGTATACTTTGTCTGTACAATTAGATTGCAGTTTCTTCTAGGACAGCGGCCATACTGATATCCCCAGTAATGCCAAGGACAATCCTGGGCATGTAGTTCAGATGCGATTCAGTTCTCCATGCAATTTTTTTAAAAAAGATAACAGGTAGGATAATCCACTACCTCCCACACCACCATTTTCCTCATTATAGTCACCAAATTCCCAATGACTTAAAGTGTAGATTGCTCTTGTTTCTATATAGATCCAAAATGATGGCTGGCCTTACTGAGCACTTTCTTTGTGCAGTGCTGTGCTACAAGAAACACCTCATTAAATTTAATCCTCCCAGTAACCTGATGAAGGAGATCGGTTTACTCTTCTCATTTTACGGATGAGGAAACTAAGGTCTGGACAGGCTGAGCAACTTTTCCTGAGGGCACATGGCTGGCAAGTGGTGGAACCAGATCTCACACTCAGCTCTGTATAAACCGAAGTCCATTCCTTCTGCATTTTGATGGGCAGCTTCCCGTTTGTCAGTCTTCCTTTCTGTTCTGGGGTGAAACAGCAAATGATAATGTTTATCATTTACTTGCACAAGATGGCCACATTTAGACTTTGTTGTAAAGCTTTATTTTTGTTGTGTAAAAGTTAAACCTCCAGAGTTCTGGTTCTTGCTCTGATTTCAGTGTGAGTCTGTGGCCAAGGATGCTTCTGGATGTGTGCAAATGAAATCTAGAATAGATCTCTGAAAAGAATTGATGGGAACTCCGCCTTCTTTGTCATCTACTCTGCAGAACTCAGTTTCCTGTGGTTTGTGAAGATGTCAAGGAGGCTGAGAGATGCTTCTACCTGGGACATTGAACTTTGGGGCAAGTGTCTGCTCCATGAGTCTTTCCAACAGAAGGAAGAATACGTTGTGTCTTCTAAGCACTTTACTTAAACTCATAGTTTAGTAAACCTCTTTTTTTTTAAAAAAAAAAGCAAAATATTTGTCAACTTGCTTTTCATGTCAGAGGGCAGATGAATTTGGGAGCAGAAATTCTGTCAAGGTCCAGAGTATTTTCTGCCTCTGCTGTCTTTCTCCACATTTTCCATTTCTTTGTGTGTGTGTCTAGAGAAATTGCATCTCAATGGTATTGTCCCTGTTTTTTTTTTTTTTTTTTTTTTTTTTTTGAGACAGCGTCTGGCTCTGTCGCCCAGGCTGGAGTGCAGTGGCCCTATCTCGGCTCACTGCAAGCTCCGCCTCCTGGGTTCACGCCATTCTCCTGCCTCAGCCTCTCAAGTAGCTGGGACTACAGGAGCCCGCCACCGCTCCCGGCTAATTTTTTGTATTTTTAGTAGAGACGGGGTTTCACTGTGTTAGCCAGGATGGTCTCGATCTCCTGACCTCATGATCCACCCGCCTCGGCCTCCCAAAGTGCTGGGATTACAGGCGTGAGCCACCACGCCCGGCCAGTATTGTCCCTGTTTGACCCAGTGTGACAGGGTGGAGGAATGCTCTAAATCATTCCATGAAACAGGCTCAGTCCTCTCTTGAGAGAATTCAAGTCACATATGTGCAGCCAGACCCACCCTTTACTCCATAAACAGGGCTTTCTGAACTCCTAAGATCTCCAGAGAAGAAAATGGCACAACAGCTTTTATGGAAATGAACTTCAGTGTCTCACAGCCCAGTGAATGCAGTCAGTTTTATTAGCTAACTGAAATCCTAGCTTGAGAGGAAGGACATCTTCAGACTGTTCTCCCTTTCGTATGGCCTGGGTTGCTGTCTCTAATGTTCATCTTCTCGTAGAATTATCTTCTGAGAGTGACGACCCAAACATCAGTGCCAGAGCCCATCTGTGTACACACACAGATAAGTGAGTTGACTCAGCCTCTCTGGGAGCCTCTTGGTGGCTGGGACCATGGTTGCAATGGAGCACTGCAGCAGTCTCCTTAGGACTGCTCATGAATGGTCAGGCACTGATCTGATTTTGATTGGCCTCAGCAGGTGGACATTTTGGAGCTATTGGGCTATTGGGCTACAGAGCTATTGGGCCCTGTAACAAGTGCTTGTGGGCTCGAGTAGTGGTTCTCCAGCATGGGTGTGTTGGAAAGAATACAATGCTGAGACTCTTTGAAATAGGATAGGACCTGCGCCTTTGTATTTTATGAATTCTCCGGGAGATTCTGTTGCATACCATTGTTTGAGAATCACTGTTCTAAGTTCAACACTAATTATTATAAATGTTTTAACTTTGTTGGCTGGCTAGCTAGATGTTGTACTTATACATGAAAGTATATATATATATTTTAGTGACAGGGTCTAGCTCTATTGCCCAGGCAGGAGTGCTGTGGCGTGATCATATCTCACTGCAGCCTCGAACTCCTGGGCTCAAGTGATCTTCCCTCCTCAGCCTCCTTAGTAGTTGGGACTACAGGTGCATACCACCATTCCCAGCTAGAAAGTATATTTCTTGAGGGTGACCTTTTACAAAATTATTTCTTATTGCATCTCTAAGGGAAGAGATAGAAGGTACCAAAGGTGCTATCTTCTTACAAGGCAATCAGAAGAAACCCTGAACCACTGATAAGGACAGTTACTAAGCAACCACATGCTGGCTAGCAGGATTAAAGTGCCTCACATGTGAAACCGCTTGGCCTGGGGATCCAAAGCTCTAGCCTCCACTTAAAGAATTGCCATTCACTTTATTTTGCTTCTATGATTATTCCTGGTAAACACGCCTTAAGATGCCATCCTCATCAAATACTTAAATTCTAAATTGTATTTCAAATGAAAGCTGCATAAATTATGCAGAAGGTGCAAACAGAAGACTTAAGTAAATAGTTCTTGATGAAGGGTAATTGGGTAAACTAATTTGCACTTGTATGTGAAGTTTTGCTAAACGAACATTTTCTTAAAGAAATGGGTAACAATATTGTCCATGAAGATAACAGAATCTTGCAAAAGAGCTTTAGTCAGTAGATGCCCAAACAGCAAATCCTTGTCCAAGTTCCTCTTATCCATGCCGTCGGAGCTGAATGGCTGTCAGCCCTGCTGGGATCAGAACATTTGAACTTTGGTTTTGCAGTGTGGAGGGGTTTCCATGCTGCTACTTGCTCCTCAACACCCTCACCGCCCTGGCTTTATTCCCAATGACAGGACACAGCAAGCTACATGTGGAAATTTAAAAAACAAGAAGAGAAAGAAAAAAGTCAAAACCAAAAGGAAAACTGCCACCAGATGCTTCAAGAAGCTTATTCCTTTGCTGGAAAATTTTTACAGGGACCCAATAACTGCCAATGTCTCCATAAATGAAGTGTGTATTTTTAAAAAAGCCCTAAGCTTAGAGTCCGCAAAGAAAGCAATGTCCTCAAAGGTGAGTGGTTCATGCCCACATCCTGTTAGCTCCTGAAGGACACACTGTGAGTCTTCACAAGAGTCATTTTCAAGCCCAACTGTTCAAGCCAGGACTGATGATCCCCCTTCCATGGCAGACACAGTGGATCCATGTTTACCAGGTTGCATTTTCCAAATCCAAATTTATAACCAGGGTAAATATTTGTTTTTGGAAGCAACTACACAGAATATTTGAAGCCAGAATGGTTGTTAAAAACTGCAGATGTGTAAATATGTCACCTAACTTGGTACTGGAGTTCAATGACCACATTTTCAACTCTAAGACAAGTATAAGATGACGGTTTTGGACAGCTTGCCCTCCAAACTTGTTCCAGCTAGGAAGGACTTTGAGGGGCCTTATTTGAGGTTGTATTTGCTTGTGCTGTGCTCAGATTCTAATTCTGTAAAGAGACTGTGAAAGGGCACCTCCTGTCTTCTCTAGGCACCCCCCTATTTCTTTCCTTTGGGAAGAGAATATATTTTCTGAATTAAAAATATATAAATGTCATCTTTGGTCTAAATGGTTATGAATACTGGACTGGAAAAGTCCATTGTTCTTCTTTGTTTCTGCTTTTTTTCCTTTCCGTGGTCAGCTTTATATGGGCAGCTCTGCAGAGCCATGAACTTGGACCAGGGTGCCTCAGCTGTTGGGGCTGCTAGCGGGGATGGGCAGAGTTAGTCAGGAGCACACAGGCTCCCGGGCAATGTGTGTATCAGGTTGTTATATGGCCTACCTGTGTGCTATTTGGGTCCACATCTAACATACCAGTCTCCTGCTGCTGTAGAAATGCAGATGTGGGCTCAGTATATCTTCCTCCATTCAACAAAGACACGCCTGCCACTGCCAAGCCCAGTGCTCACTGTGCCCCAAGTTGGAGATAATGGGCCAATGATGACTTGGAAACTTGGTAGAAGGAGGAGAAAGCCAAGCACATTTATTAAAATCCTGCTCTGGGCCAGCTGTTTGATATTTCTATTTCCTTAAAAACACCTCCAAACTACTTTGTGAGATTTGACATACCTACTTATGGACGGCCTACGTAATGGGTGAGAAAACTGAGGGCTTGATTAGTTAAATCATTTATCCAAGATCAAACAGCCAGTAAGTGGCTTAGACAGGATTTCAGCTCAAATCGGCCTGATACAAAATCTCTACCATCTCTATGGTCTTACAGTGGAATTGGGATATTGTATAATAGAATCCATCTGATCTGGTAGGAGAGCAAAACGTTTATTCAGTGAAGCTTCTTCTGTTAGACAGAGCTAAGGGCAGCCATTCCTCTCTGTATCTTGTCTGCAGGGGACATTTGCAGGGAGTAGGTGGGGAGTGAGATGGGTGGGAGCTGCCTGTCACTCGCGGGCCTTCCTCTTTTGGGGTAATTCTCTGCTGCACTATGTCCTGGCTGGAGGCAGCAGCAGCAGCAGGGAGGGCTGTTTTCAGAGGCGTGGGGCCTCCTGTGACTGCAGAACTGGCTCCTAATTGGATCATCCCCTTGGTGGGTTCTTGGCTGTGTGCCCAGCTTCCCAGACTAACTGTTCTCTAGTCTTCTTGCCAGTAGCCTTCTAACAAGCCCCATTTCTGCTTAGTTTAGCTCAGTGAGTTTTCGGTTGTTTGCAAACCAAAAACCCTGACTGGGCCATCCTCCTGGATATCTCTGCAGACCTGCCGCACACAGCAGCCAGGATGCAACCTCAACATGTGGGAGGTGCAGTTGCCTTTTACTCCTCTCCACTCTCCCTTCCCAGACTCATTTGTCTTTTGGTAGGGAAGGTACACAGTCCAGACTCCTCTCATTTTCCCATCAGACCCTCAGGAAAGACTGAAATGTATTGTATTTATCTTAAAGTGAAAAGGCTGATAAGAGCTTTAAATAGACTCCTAGGGGAATTTGCAATTTAACAGGACAGTAAAGAAACCCTAAAGGCAAAGGGCTGAGCTGCATCTGTGGAAACTGAGACCCCCCCGGAGACTTAGGAGGTTTCTTTTTTGAAAAGGGGGCTATGTTCCAAGACTCCTGTGGCTATGACTAAGCAGGCCCCTGTTGGATCCCAGCCCAGGATATCTGTGGAACTGCAGAGAACCTCTGAGAGCCAGAACGTTTGCTGGAAGGGCTTGTTTAGCTTCTGACAAAGGAGGTGGTGGAGGGAAGCCATGGTGAGAAGAGCTTGTCTCACTTCCACCTGCCATGAGGTGTGCCACTAGGGTGGGATTTGAGAGCATTCTCACTTTTAATCCAGACAAGCCTTTCCTCCTTCAGGGACTACCCCAGGTGGTCTTGACTGTAAATCCTGTCTGTGAAACCCCAAGTAAGTTTCTGAAAATATACAGGAGAGATGTAGAGGTAAACTATGGGTGAAGCCGAGTTTCTGTAGCATGAGTACTATTTTCCATTCACTGGAGTACTCTTCCAGGCACTGATAGGGTGACAGAGGTACCACATCATCCAGGCACTGATTGATAGGGTGACAGAGGTACCACATCATCTCCTCCCATGGGGAGGCCACCAATGAGACACCAGCCCTCTAAGGGGGTGGTGATGGGTGACGGGAAAGGAGATTTCTCTCTAGGGTACTATCTATTACCAGAAGATTTCAAAATCTCTGTATCCAGACTCCCTCTACACACGGGCTGTGGAAAAGTGACTCAACCACTCTGAAAACCTCAACACAACGGAAACCTCAGTTTCTTTTTCTGAAAAATAGGCAAAATAATGACATTTACCCCAAAAGGCTATCGGGAGGACTCAGTGAGATAATAAAGCTCCAGAAAGGCATTTAGAAGATGGTAGAGAACTATTCAAATGTAGATTCTGATGCCAGATTATTTTAATGCTAAACTGAATGAGACATCCTTCCTAATAAAGACAGCTTCTTCTATATGGTCACTTCTGAGACTCTGTGTCGGTGGCTTTTTGTTTTTTTTCCTGTTACCCGCAGGGAAAATAGAACTTCTCAAACCCCACTTAGTCTCCTTTTACTCTCTTTGACCCAAGGGTGAGAAGAAAGGGGCGGGTCTGCCCTGGGAATGGACGCTTAGAGGAGAGTGCGGGAAACTGGGTTTTCAGAACTAGAATTTCACTGAAGAAAAGGATGACATAATGGTTAGGTTTAAGTTTTTGGAGTAGAAGCCCGAGGGGAGAGCGTCTCTACAGTGGGGTGTAAGCTCTGTTTCATAGTAGAAGGGTCAGGCTTTGCCCACAGTCATTGGAAAGCTCTGCACTCTCACCTCCCTGGGAGGGCTTGTGATTCCGATCAAGGGGACATGGAGGATCCTGGCATTGGATCCTAAATCGGGGAGGGTGTTCTCGTGGCTACAAGCCTCAAGAAGCCAGAAGGCCCAGCCTGCGCACCTTTTGGAGCAGTGATTAAGAGGATGGATTTGAGGTTTGAACAATGACCTTGACACAAGTTGTATGAAATTGAATGTTACTTAACCACCACAAGCATCATTTTTCTCATCTGTTAAATAAGAACAATATTAGTACCTGCCTCACAGGTTGTGAGAATTTGTGAATATGCATGTAAAGGACCTGAAATTGTCTATAAAGCATGTAAGTAGGGTGACCAACAAATCTGGTTTGGCTGGGTCTGAGGAGCTCCCAGAATGTGGGAATTTGCAGTTGTAAAACCAGGGCAGTCCAGGCAACGTGGGACAAGTTGGTTATCCTATATGTAAGTGCTAAATATGCGGTAGTGATAAAGTCATGGGCCATGGCCACAGGGATGGAAATATGAGAAGGAGCCTTGCTTCTTACAGCAGACACTGACCCAAGGCACCTGTTTGGGGAAATCCCCCAGTAGCCCACAGTGAGGGAAAATTGGTGGCAGCCTCTCATGAGGCTGGGACCCTTCCATGGTGGAAGAACACAGCTGGAGCAGCCCACACAGCAGGCTGCAGGGGGACAGTTCTACCAGCAGCTCTAGGGAACGCAGGTCCAGCCAGCAAGGGTGGATCTGGGCTGTGCACCAGCCTTGCTAGTCTGCCCCCGATCTGCAGGGAAACCAGGGCAAGCGTGCTGCTTGTGGCAGGAGTGGGCCACTGCACTGGAGGCCTTGGGGGCAGAAGCCAGCAGAACACCAGGAGCTTTCTCCGAGGGCCGCAGCCCCACAGCCTCCTGGACGGAGATGGGCAGGCAGGTGGTCTGCCAAGAGGAGGTCTTCAGAGAAAACACAAACAATCTCTGAATGATTGGTGACTTGAAAATATCGACAGGGGAAAAAGAAGAGTTAGACTCCTGGACTGAACGTTGAAAGACCCCAAAGCTCATCCTCACCTCACTGTCACCGTGTGCTATGGCCTGAGCAAAGTCTCTTCTTCTTCCTGGGGCCCCTGCTCTCCATCCATGAACTGAAGATGTGGGTTGGCTCATCCCTGGTGGCAGTGCCCTCAGCTTTAACATTCTCTTACTCCATGATGCCCCAACTCAGGCGGAGGGTGCGGGGCAGACCTGTTTCCTTTCACTATTATGGAATATGTGAGTTCTGGATTTAAAAATATGTATTCTCAACTGAGGAGGAAAAGTACTTTATAGCACAGTTTTCAGCCCCGCCCCCCTGCTTTTTCTTTCTTTTTTTTTAATTATACTTTAAGTTCTGGGATACATGTGCAGAACGTGTAGGTTTGTTACATAGGTGTAGATGCACCATGGTGGTTTACTGCACCCATCAACCCATCATCTGGGTTTTAAGCCCCACATGCATTAGGTATTTGTCCTAATGCTCTTCCTCCCCTAGCCCCCCACCCCTTGACAGGCCCTAGTATGTGATGTTCCCCTCCCTGTGTCCATGTGTTCTCACTGTTCAGCTCCCACTTATGAGTGAACATGCAGTGTTTGGTTTTCTATTCCTGTGTTAGTTTGCTGAGAATGATGATTTGCAGCTTCATCCATGTCCCTGCAAAGGACACAAACTCATTCTTTTTTATGGCTGTATAGTATTCCACAGTGTATATATGCCAGATTTTCTTTATCCAGTCTATCATTGATGGGCATTTGGTTTGGTTCCAAGACTTTGCTATTGTGAATAGTGCTGCAATAAACATACATGTGCATGTATCTTTATAGTAGAATGATTTATAATCCTCTGGGTATATACCCAGTAATGGGATTGCTGGGTCAAATAGTATTTCTGGTTCTAGCTCCTTGAGGAATCACCACACTGTCTTCCACAATAGTTGAGCTAATTTACACTCCCACCAACAATATAAAAGCATTCCTATTTCTCCACATCCTCTCTAGCATCTGTTGTTTCCTGACTTTTTAATGATCACCATTCTAACTGGCGTGAGATGGTATCTCATTGTGGTTTTGATTTGCATTTCTCTAATGACCAGTGATGATGAGCTTCTTTTCACATGTGTGTTGGCCACATAAATGTCTTCTTTTGAGAAGTGTCTGTTCATATCCTTTGCCCACTTTTTGATGGGGCTGTTTGTTTTTTTCTTGTAAATTTGTTAGATTCTGGATATTAGCCCTTTGTCAGATGGGTAGATTGCAAAAATTTTCTCCCATTCTGTAGGTTGCCTCTTCACTCTGATGATAGTTTCTTTTGTTGTGCAGAAGCTCGTTAGTTTAATTAGATCCCATTTGTCAATTTTGGCTTTTGTTGCCATAGCTTTTGGTGTTTAGTCATGAAGTCTTTGCCCATGCCTATGTCCTGAATGGTTTTGCCTAGGTTTTCCTCTAGGGTTTTTATGGTTCTAGGTTTTATGTTTAAGTCTTTAATCCATCCTGAGTTAATTTTTGTATAAGGTGTAAGGAAGGGGTCTAGTTTCAGTTTTCTGCATATGGCTAGCCAGTTTTCTCAGCACCATTTATTAAATAGGGAATCCTTTCCCCATTGCTTGTTTTTGTTAGTTTTGTCAAAGATCAGATGGTTGTAGATGTGCGGTGTTATTTCTGAGGCCTCTGTTCTGTTCCCTTGGTCTATATATCTGTTTTGGTACCAGTACCATGCTGTTTTAGTTACTGTAGCCTTGTAGTATAGTTTGAAGTCAGGTAGCATGATGCCTCCAGCTTTGTTCTTTTTGCTTAGGATTGTCTTGGCTATACATCAATGTGCAAAAATTCCAAGCATTCCTTTACAGCAATAATAGACAAACAGCAAGCCAAATCATGAGTGAACTCCCATCACAATTGCTACAAAGAAAATAAAATACCTAGGAATACAACTTACAAAGGACGTGAAGGACCTCTTCAAGGAGAACTACAAATCACTGCTCAAGGAAATAAGAGAGGACACAAACAAATGGAAAAACATTCCATGCTAATGGATAGGAAGAATCAATATCATGAAAATGGCCATATTGCCCAAAGTAATTTATAGATTCAGTGCCATTCCCATCAAGCTACCATTGACTTTCTTCACAGAACTAGAAAAAACTACTTTAAATTTCACATGGATTCAGCCCCTTTTATTGCCGACTGCTCCTACCCTAAATAACTCATGATTTCATTATTTCTGTCAAAGGGCCCTTCATCTTCTCTGTCAGCCACTTTCTTCACGATACTTAACAGGTCTTCTTTTCCATTTTTCCTGCTTGAAAGTGCCTGCTCAACATGACCAGCTAACTCTACTTTTACCAGCACCAATAACAGCAACACTAAAGAGAAGAATCCTCCATGGCTTCCGCTTAGCAAAAGGACTGAGTCACCACCTCAGTGCTCCAGACCACCCCCTTTCTAGGCCTGACAGCCCTTTCTCAACATCCCCCCTTTCTCCTGCTGCAGGACTTGCCAAGGGAGCCAGGACCCAGGAGCTACACCCTGAATCTCTTGGCATCCCCTTCTCTAAGCCTTTGCTCAATGTGTGCCCTTTTACAAGCATGTCCGCCCCATATGAGGGTTAAGCCCTTGACCTACCTTACTGTGCACCCCACCCTTGCCACTCCAGAGCAGCCTCCTAGGCTCCTGACTTCCAAGACCCTTCCTCCTCTCAGCCTGGGCTCATCACTGCTCACAGTGGGGTCTGTGGACTACAGCATCCTGTAGTCCTGGGGTTCTGTTAGAAACACAGGGCTCAGGCCCCACTCAGGCCTCCTGAGTCAGAGTCTGCATTTTCACAGGATCCCAGGTGATTCCTTTGCAATGAGTGTTGGAGAAGTGCGACCTAGTGGGAGGCATTTTGCTTTTCTGCACTGGCTTGTTTGAAGTCCCCTCAAAGCCAGGCCCATGTAGTGTAGCCTTTTGCTGCCTGAGAGCACTCAGCACAAAGTCTTAAAACAATGGGTAGAAGTTAAAACAGTTCTCGTAATGGGTGGTTATTACACTTTTACCAACTGGAGTGAGATAGACCGTCAAATGCATGAAAGAGAAGTAGTGAAAATGGGTTCTCCTTTGTCCTTTCTCTGTCCCCCAAAGACATGCGCATGCACATGCACACACACACACACACACACACACACACACACACACACACACACAAAGCCTATATAGATCTCCATGGGAATCCTACTGACTTCAAGGATGAACAGAGTCAGTCAGCAGCGACCCCACCAGCAGACATCACTGAAGTGCTGCCCACCAGCACCAGGACATCTAGTCACCACCTTGGCATTTGTTTACTGATGCAAACCAGGCACTGTCTGGACACATCCTTGTATCCTGACTTGGCTTCTCTCTCTCTTTCTCTTTTTGAGAACCTCACCCATCGCTTGTTTAAACACTAAAATGAAATCTCAGCAGGCCTTGCCAAACCCAACTTTAACAATGATGATGACTCTCTGCGAGGTTCTTCCTTCCAAGGTCACAAACACTTCACATATATGATCTTAATCCTCATGCCTTCTTGAAGAATATGAAGCAGAGAGGACTCTCCCAGCACCTTTTAAATACAGATCCAAAATAAAGGCACAAGATGGAAAAGTGACTTTATCATGACTACATATCTAACCCCTAAGTTGATCATATATGATCAGGTCCTTTACATGTGTTAGCAAAAACCTTATGGGGAATCCTTTACCATCGGTTGTCAGAGCAGGAAAAATTCGACATTGGTTTACAGCTAGGTCAACTAAGTGGGTGCTTGTCAACTGAAAATGGATGACACCGGGATTTCGGCCTTACTTGGAAGTGGTCTTGAAAGATGGCTACTAGGGAAAAATCCTCCCAATGTGTGGGGCTTCAGGTGGTGCACTGGCCATCCACTTGATGTGGAAAGAGAAGTGGCCAGGTGTTAGAATATATATATATATATAAACTTCTGGGCAGTGATGAATAGATTGGATGGGTGGTCAAGCTTGGAAAGAGAAAGATTAGAATAATGTCTGGAGTAGAGACCCTTTTATGGAAGACATATCTGTGTGAGATCAAAGTATGATGTTTGTATCATGTTTGAAAGCCCTCCTGAGAACCACAGAAGAGGCACTAAGAAACCAAGTGGGCAGAATGGCACAGCCAGTCATCATCAGCCCAATTTGATCATTGGTGATCCCAGTGGTGGCCTGATGGATGTGAATGGAGTAGCCGTGGTAGAAAAGATGGAGGGTTCATATTGGCTCAGCAGAATGGGCTTCCACTTACTAAGGCTGATTTAGTTACTGCTGCTTCCAAATATTAGCTTGCCAGCTACAGAGATGAACTCTGGCCCCTCAATATGGAGCCAGCCACTTGGTGGCAACTTGCTTACACTGGGCTCCTGGAAGAGTCAAATCTTTGTTCTAATAGGAGTTACATATTCTAAGTATAGGTTTTCTTTTTCTTGACCACAGGTCCTCAGCCAGCACTACTATCTGAGGACTTAACAGAGTTTTTGAACCACCAACATCGAATCCCATACAATATGGCAACTGACCAGAAATCCTTTTCTTAGCAAGGACATGTGAGAGAGGGCCCTGTGAATATAGGACCCACTGGTTATACTGTATACAATGCCACTCAGAAGCTGCTAGCCTGACAGATCTTTTGGATGGTCTGTTGCAGGCAGAGTTATAGAGCCAGCTCCAAGATGATAATCTACAAAGATGAGGCTCCATCCTCCAGGATACATATTGAATCAAAGATTTTTATGTAATGCTATGTCCACAATGGGAAGAATACATGGGTCTGGGAACAAAGAGGTAGAAACATAATAGTGACATTTACCATCACTCCCAATAGCCCACTGTTGGGGGACGGAAATTTTTCCTTCCCACTCCCACAAATCTGAGTTCTTCAGGGTTAGAGGTTATGGTCTCCAAAACTGGACACATAAGAATCCCATTAAATATAAAGCTATGGCTGCTAACTGGGAATTTTGGACTCCGGGTATCTAGGTACCAGCAGAACAAGAGTCACCATCTCGGCAGGGAAAGTAGGGATCCCATTACCCAGTGGAGCCAGGAGGGAGATGAGTGGCCTGCAGATGATATACTTGGGTACATCTTGATATTCCCTTGCTCCACTGTGATGGTAAATAAAAAAGTGCTACAACTCTGGCCTGAGAAGGTCATGGTGGCCAGAGACTCAAATTCTTCAGGAAAGAGAGTTGGGTTCATGACACCAGGGAAGTCACGGGGGTCAGCAGATGTGGTGGCTGAAGATAAGAGGAATCAAGAAAGGGGAGCAGTAAAGGGAAATGCTGCTTATTGCTGTGTTCTTGATAACAGGTGCAGCATTGGGGGCTACAGTTCATTCCACTAGAATGGATCCTAAAGGGGTTGTGGTTGTCCCCCAAATGGATACGCTATAGTGGATCAGAGCAGTGCAAGAGGTGGACTGTGGTGGATACAAAATTGCATTGCTCAGAGCCTCCCTTCAAGGAATGGCTTGTTGCCCTTCTCATCAGCATGTATCTTCAAGCTGTTGGCTCCTTTAGGGTTTGCCTGAGCTGCAGAAAGCTGCTTCCTCCGAGGGCAGCCCACATCCAGTGACTGATTGAGGTGAGTATGCAAGCCTATCCATTTCAGCCCCATGTGAGACAACCTTGATAGGTTATTTGCCCTCCACAGTGAGCTGCTTGTGGGGCTGGCCAAGATTTTGCTGTGCCAGCATTGGTTTGTTTTCCCCTCTGGAAAATCCTCCTCCCCGTCTCTTCCACAGCTGTCGATCTCCAATAAATACTCTGTACATCAAATTCTATCTCAGAGGTTGCTTCTGGAGAATCCAGAATCACCACTGAACTGCAGGAGTTGGTACCAGGAGTGGTTCAGGAAAGCAGGCAATAAGGTGGGGTTGTGAAGCTGGATCACTCACCACCCAGCTTGCAAAGAGGGAAGAGGGAGTGCAGGTAGCTCCTGACACAATGTGGCAATCCACTTGCTTAGAGCAATTTGTCATGCATTTGAGAAGATTGAAGGAACCAGTAATTGTAAATACTAGTTTTACTCAGTGATTTTTAGAAAAGCCCTTAGTATAATTCAGATATCTGTCTTAAATTAAAGATCATAATTCAACCTCATTGTAAAATTCAAAAGAATTCTTGGGGGCTTTAAGAACTTTTATTGGCCAGGAATAAGTACCTAGGCATTCTCTGGATACCCAAGAAATAAGAATTGACTCACCTTGAGTAAAGAGTGGCAAATCTCGTGCTAGATATCACATTTTAAATTTCTGCAATTACTAGGTAATGTTTGGCTTACCCAAATTTTATTTTAATTGGTGGAAGTGACCCACCCTCTCTTTAGTAAATACCAATACCTGGGCATTAGTGAGTAGCTTCATGCAGAAATCCTGATACGTCTTGGTATTCCCTTGCTCCCCCTCACTGTCCTTCATGCTTTGAGCTGTCTAGAAGCCTGCCTTGCAGGCCCCGCATGCATTCACCTCCCTGAGTCCCGACCGGCTTGCAGTGCTTTAGGAAAGGCAGAGCATTTGGATCCCTTGGTGCTAAAGACCATGCTGTAGAAAATCTTGCCTACCTGCCTTTGTCAAAAGGCTTTTCAGCTTAGATTTCAAGCCTTCTTCTGTAATCAGGTGCTTGTAAACAGTTCTGGGAAGCTTCAGTTTCATGAGTGGGCAGCTGCATTTACCTGGACCTGGTTTTTTCCCAAATAGCTGAGCGGAGCCCTGAGTAAACTTGTTTCTATGTGTTTACAGAGACAGTGATGCAATGAGGCAGGTTAAATTCTGCCGCATGTATGGGAATCCCCAAGGAACACATCTAGGTTATAAGTCATTACTCTTTACCTGTAAGTACATTTCTGCCAAGAGGCCTGAACACACAGGCTGGGAGGTAGATACTGGCTAGCTGTTTTGTTTTTTTACTTGTGCTTGTTTTATAGTAAATACTGTTTTACTTCCTTGATTTTATGTAACAAATTATACTTTCCAGACCTCTTTCAACTGTTATCACATTTCATCTTCTTAATAGCCTTGTGAACTAAACAATTATCATCTCCATCTGATATATGAAGAAATAAACTTCACATTCATTTACTGTGATGTTTGGAGAACCTGAGGATGAATATCTTTGAAAAAAATTCTTGGAGATCCCAACTTTTGATTTAAATTATTTTTATTATAGCATTACATAAAAATGCACAAATATGAAAGTAGCCATACATTTCTTATGGTTATGTTTATTATAGAACCATTAAAAATGCACTAATTAAATACAAACAAGACAACACCAACAATAACATTCAAGTTAACAACACTGATTTCATGTGTTAGGTGATGTTTTGCTGAAACTAAATTGCTAATATTGGGCTAAATGGTAGGCTGATGTATCTACATTTTTATAGCCCACTTGTCAATATGAATCCTTGGATTAGTCTGAGTCATTGTGTTTACCATAGTCACTATTCTTCCATTTTGACATGACCTCATTTTAAACTATGAATCCATGGTTGTGAAGGACCAATCAATTGAAAAGTATAAATCAAATGCCATGCTAAAATTTAAATATTTAATGAAAAAATCTTCATTGCATATTTGCCATAGTATTTACTGTTAATGAACCATTGGAGACTGGTACAAACCAAAACAGGATTCAGAACTATGGCTGTAGGGTGATGCCTCCATCCTTCCACCATGATGGTTAATTTTGTGTGTTAACTTGACTGGGCTAAGGGATGCCCAGATAGCTGGTAAAACATTATTCCTGGTGAGTCGGTGAGGGTATTTTGGGAAGAAATTAGCATTTGACTTGGTGAACAAAATAAAGCAGATGGCCCTCCACCATGCCTGGGCATTTTCCAATTATTTGAGGGCCTGAATAGAACAAAAAGGTGAAGAAGGGGCCAATTTGCTCTCTCTGCTTGAGCTGAGACATCCGTCTTTTGGACTCAGACAGGGACTTACACTATTACCATCCTCTTTCTCACCTCCTCGCCCCCTACTCTCAGGCCTTCTGACTGAGTTATGCCACCAGCTTTCCTGGTCTTCAGCTTGCAGTGGTAGATCACGGAGCTTCTTGGTCTCCATAATTGCATGAACCAATTTCTACATCTCTTCTTATATATGTCTCTCTCTATATATTCTATTGGTTCTGTTTTCCTGGATAACCTTGACTAAAACACCCACTATATTTCTCCATTTGAAGTACCTTCTGTTAGTAAAGTTTTCTGACACCCCCACCCTTCTATGTTTATGAAAATCTGTCCCTGTTAAGTTGGGAAACTTTTCATAATAATTGAGATTCCTAAGATGACTAAAATGTCCTGGTTTTAGGGAAAACCAAAGTGAGAAGCCTTCGTAGGATGTGCATTTGAGCTTCACAAGAGGCAGAACTCTCTCTAAATCGCTTGCTTTCTGATATGTTGTAAAGCTCTCAGCATAGATTGCTTGATACAAAATTTTAAATGTTCAAAGCTTGAGCAGATTTAGGACTCATCTAATCCAATTCATCTAATCCAAATCCCTTACTTTATATAAGGGGAAACCAAATCCCAGGGAAATTAAATAACTTGTGCAAGGAAAGGTCACACAGGCAGATATTGGTGGCATCAATAATTACCTCAACATCACAACCTCTCTGCTGCATCAGACAGCTTCCCTGCTTTCAAGTCTACTTATCCGCAGAGAAGCCATTCAAAACAGAGTCTGCTCACATCTCAAAGAAAAGGCTGGATTCAATTGCTCATCACAAATTCTTGAAAACTGATTTGTATTGCCTGTCTCTTTCCAGTTTTTAATTTTCTTAACCAATTTCATCTACGTTATCAAGAAATGTAGTCTTGAGTCATACTTAATGGAGATAGGGCTAATTAAGAGCAGAACTGTAGGCAACGAAAAATCTTATATGCCTGGTTGAATGAACATCCACTTTCTAAATCCCATGATAAAGACATACATTGAAGATGTGAACCAAACACAAACTGAAAATTGGAAGAATACAGAGCTGATAGTCAGGAGGTCTTCCCATCTTATTATTCACACAGTAAGTAGAGTAGGGATTGGCAAACTATGGCCTTCAGGCCAAATCCAGTGCTTGTGTTTGTTAATAAAGTTTTATTGGAACATGGCTGGGCAACATAGCAAGACCCTGTCTCTACAAGAAATAAAAAATTCTGTGCCCCATTTGCTTACCAAATGCCTATGGCTGCTTGCATGCTGGTAGAATTGGTTAGAACAAAGACCATATGGCCCCCAAAGTCTAAATTATTTACTATCTGACCTTTTCCAGAAAAAGTTTCTAGACCCTTGAACTTGATGTGTGTCATAATCTGGGGTTTGTGACTCCATTAGGATCTCTAGACATACTTTTGAAATTCTACCAGGGCGTTTAAATGTTGTGTTCCCATGTCTATGATAATCTGGAGGGAGAAAAAAACATAAGCCTGCTCCACATCACTTGAATGACTACCCTAGACCTAGTCATAGTGCCTTGCATTTTAATGTTTGCATTTAGATTTGATTTTATGGTCATGTTAGAAACATGAGAAGGTGGAAAGACCTCACAGCAGGCTGGACAAAGTCCCTTTAGGAGCATCCAAGTGTGTTAACCCCCTTGCCTATGACTTGGAGGCATCTGCCCTGGAGTCAGGTAAATTTAGCACCAGAGAAAAATACTCAGGCTTTCTCTACCCCCGGGAGACTCATCCTGGCACAGCCAAACCCACTGTCCTGCTCAAAGGGAAAAGAAGCTTAGTTGTTTTTGCTGCATGGGAGAATGAGGAGGGGTCCACAATAAACTTTGTGTGGGGTGCATTTTTCTTAGTTACTTCACCAATTAATGTCCAAGGAATTCATGAAGCAGTCAGTGGTTTTCCAAGGACCTAGGCTTTTGCTATAGGAAACCGGTGTTACTCCGTCTGGACAGAGTGATTGTACTACTCACTCCCAGATTAGAAATGTGCCTCTCACAGAGAAGTAGGAAGTTGGGTTTGATCATCCATTTAAAATGGTGTCCTTGAGGCATTTAGGCATCCTTGGGGGTCTATGATAATTAAGTCAGAGTCATGAAGAAAAATAGGGAGATAAAACCAGACAGACTTTTAAAAGTTCACAGCCTTTGAAAAATAAGACTGATTGGTTCAAGAGGGAACTTTTAGTCCCTCAAGTGAAGAAAGCAGAATTTCACTTATAAAGCTTGAAACCCATGGCAAGGCAATCAAAATACTGATTTCCCCAAAGTATAAAGGCTCATGTGATATTTCAAACCAAGTAACTGCTTAGAGGAACTCAATTTCAGTCTTGAGTAGTTAAGATTAAGTTCACATGACAAACTGGAACATTCCTTTTGGAGAGAATTATGTAGCAGGAGGCACTAAGACAATTCATAGCCCTAGACCCAGAATTCCATGCCTAGGAATTTTCTCTTTAGGAAATAATGCACAGAAAACAAAATATATAAGCCAAAATGATCACTGCTGCGTCATCTCTAAGACAAAAAATAAGAAAGCAATTTATGTCAAAAATATTAATCCTGGGGGAATATATAGTAAATTATATCAATCTTATAAAGCTATTAAGGCAAATAATTATAAAGAACATGTCAATATATGCTATAATTTAAGTGAAAATAATAGGAAGCAAAACAGTATGTTCACTATAATTGTAGGTATGTGCATTTTACATGCCAGAGGTAATATCAAAAAACAAAAATTGTTTAATTAGGTAGCATGATACTATGGGTGACATTTCAAATATTTTTTTGAATGATGTGTTCTTTCAATAAGGAATGAGGCATTTTCTAATTAAAAAGCCAAAAGCTCAGACAAGGCCAAACATTAAGAAAACATTTTTTTTTTTTTTGAGATGGAGCCTCGCTCTGTTGCCCAGCTGGAGTGCAATAGCACAATCTCGGCTCACTGCAACCTCCGCCTCCCAGGTTCAAGCGATTCTCCTGCCTCAGCCTCCTGAGTAGCTGGGATTACAGATTGCCACCATGCCCAACAAATTTTTGTATTTTTAATGGAGACGGGGTTTCACCATGTTGGCCAGGCTGGTCTCGAACTCCTGACCTCAGGTGATCCACCCACCTCGGCCTCCCAAAGTGCTGGGATTACAGGTGTGAGCCACCGCGCCTGGCCACATTGTATTTTTATTTTGGCATAGATGTGATATGTCAGGAGAAAGTAAATGTTACTCTATTCAAAACATTACAAAGATTCTGATCAAAAGAATCTAGCCACCAAAAATCATTCAGTTCCCCTGCTCATGAAAACTAATGATCACTGAGCACCGACTGTGTGGAAATTTCCTTTGGTCTTCAAACAGCTCTTTGTGGCAGGTGCAATGATTATCCCCATTTTTCAGATGAGGTAACAGGCATAAAAAGGAGAGGTAATTTGCCCACAATCACCCAGCTAATTAGTGGCAGATCTGGGATTTAGTCCAAGTCTGTCTGACTCCAGGACCACTGCAGCTGTTGACTTGGAAACCCTTCGGGACTTTATGCATACCAGAGACAGACTAGAAAACTCTTGGAATGAGTAGGTTCTTGGTAATCACACAGACCTGGGTTTGGATCCTGGCTTTTTGTATCAGCCAAGATGCTTTTGATGAAAATGAAAGAGAACCTGACTCATCCCAGCACAGATGCTTAGGAAATTTATTATCTCATAACACGAAGTCCAGAAGTTGGGCTAGCTGTGGGTTGGTGGGGTTGGCAGCTAAGTGGTGTCATCAAGGACGCTTGCCATCTTTCCCCCTTGCCTGTTTGCCATCCTCGGTGTTATTCTCCTCGGGAGCAGAATGCATTCACATTGTTGCTAGACCAGAAGAGAGAGATCTCTGACTGGGGAGCCCGCTCTCAGGAAAGGGAAACTTTCCCTGGGAGACTTCCAGCAGAAATATGTCCCAGGAATATTCTTGAACTCATTCTTGGCTGGGGATCATGTAGCCTGATTACTTTATATTAGCATGATGTGCATGAATGGCAGGGAGTCAACCACGATGCTCATTACACTCTGTTCTTAGTCACCTAACTTGTTTACATTTCCATTTCTTCATCTGTAAGGTGGCAGATTTGAGGATGCAGTGGGATAAGGGTTGGATGCGGCTGGCCAATGGGCAACATTCAGTAGTTATTAGTTGAGTATGTCAGTTAGTGGGGGAAGTGTGCTGGTTGTATAAGCCTGGGCTCTCTGGGGTGCAATCTTAGTCTGCTTAATACTTTTCACCAATCCTCACGCTTGCAGTGATAGAGTGACAACTTGGTAAAGAATGAAGTGCTAGTATTTCCCAAATTTTTAACTGTTCTTTTCTCCTTCTTCTTGTCCTGAACCTTTACTCCACTTCTTTATTGAATTTATAGAGTTGATAATAAAAATACATAAACCCAGAGTTTTAAGATGTTATAGAGCTCCATTATTAAAAAGTGAAAATTGGACTTCACTGAGAATTCACAATTTTCAAGATCCAAGCAAAATGTGGTAATTTCTGCTGTTTCCCACCCCTGCCAGGCTTTGTTACTTGTGTTCCTTTAAGGAGATTTCTGGTTTATTCTTTAATGCTAGAATTTATTTCTCTGTGTTATTATTCAATTCTTACATATACTAGGTGAAAAACAATGAGTTTTTACAAATTGTAGAATTCATGCACCTAAACAGTTGTGGTTCTTCCTGTAAAAACAGAAAGCATACATGTTATGGACTGAACGTTTGTGTCCCTGCCAAATTCATGTTGAAGCTTTAATTCCCAGTGTGGCTATATTTGGACACAGGGCCTCTAAGAAATTAATTAAGGTTAAATGAAGTTCTAGGGGTGGCACCCTGATCCGGTTGGATGTGTGTGCTTAGAGGAAGAGACACCAGAGAGCTTGCTCTCTCTCTTTTCCCCATGTGAGGACACAGTGAGAAGGCAGCAGTCTGCAAGCCAAGAAGGGAGCCCTCACCAGGACCTGACCATGCTAGCACCTTGATCTTGGACTTGTAGCCTCCTGAATTGTGAGAAAATACATTTCTGTTGTTTAAGCCACCCAGTCAATGGTATTTTGTAATGGCAGCCCAAGCTGAATAATATAATTCATTTTCTCAGTTAAGTGTTCCTGTATGACTGAGTCTCCCCTGGAACAGTATCAGACACTGCCTCTGACTATTTTGCATACTAATGTGTGGGCTGAGCTACTCTTACCCATTCTGTGTGTTCTCCCCATCTCTGGTGCACATGCATGTGACAGAATGTTATCTGGAGGTCAACTTTAGGATCTGTGAAAAACAAGAAAAAGAAAACTGGTTTGCAGTGCATGTTAGCATGAATACATGATTCCTTCCCTCCTTCTGTCCTTTCTGCCTCTCCCTTCTTTCCTACCTCCTAGTGTCACATGGATCAAACCACTGAATGTAACTTGTAGTTCCTGTCGAATCAATCAGTGAGGTCACAGAAATCATAGGCATGTTTTGTCATTTGAGTGAATGAGCCTTGGTCCCACATTGAAAACAAAGTACTAGTGCATCTTACCAGTGTATGTGGGTACAAAGACACCACTGATTTTGGCATCCCTGGTTGAATGTCAAGGGATACGGATAGGAAGTATAATGTGGTTACTTCTATAGCCAGTTCTTGCTTAATTCTCCAGGCTTTACCCGTTTGTTGCAACCCCAAAGCCCTGCAAATACATTACAAACTATAAAATATCAATGGATTAAAGGCAACGGGGTTCAACCTACAAGAATATGACAACAGGGTAATAAATTGTTTGTGTGCATTTTATTGTGAAAAAAATACATAATACTTAGAAATGTTTTAAAAGAAAACTACTACCTAGATTTCTTTCACCCAAGTACAATTGTCTTTGTTTTTTATGTTTCTGGACAGCTATGGCTGTATGTCTAAATTTTCAAATTGTTGTAATCATAACGCATATGTACTTCTGAATAGAAGTAGATTGGAAGCATTCTTGAACTTGACATTCTCAATTTCAATTATTTGCCTAGGACTTCAAAGATCACAGTGGTTTGTAATGTTGAGGGCTTTGATTTGGAAATGGCTAGATTTTAAAGCTGATGGGCTGGGTGTGGTGGCTCACACTTGTAATCCCAACACTTTGGGAGGCTGAGGGGGGCAGATCACGAGGTCAGGAGTTCAAGACCAGCCTGGCCAACATAGTGAAAATACAAAAAATTAGCTGGGCATGGTGGTGGGCACCTGTAATCACAGCTACTTGGGAGGCTGAGGCAGGAAAATCGCTTGAACCCGGGAGGCGGAGGTTGCAGTTAACTGAGATCGCACCATTGCACTCCAGCCTGAGCGAACGTGCGAGCCTCCGTCTCAAAACACACACACACAAAAAGCTGGTGTGCAAGAAAGTAAGAATCACACAGTCAGTAAACAAGCCCAGCCCACCATTGGTGGGACCAGCATTTCAACACAGCTTTTGTGCTTTCATATGAAGCTTGCAAAGAACTCTCATGACGTGATAAAGACGTTGTTTCTTTGCAGATTTAGGTAAATTTAGTTAAGTAGCCTAATGATGTAATATAATGCATTCTAGAATTTATTTTATTGGCAGAATTTATTTTTATAGCTTTATAAGCAAATCCTGAGTTTATAGACTCCTTAAGAGTCTTGAGGGGTTACTTAACATTTTTAGCTATTGCATTTTAAAGGGAAAATTGTATGCTACAATGGTTTCCACTTATTTGGGAATTTGCAGAGATATTAGGCTATACACCTTGTGAATATCAATAGTGTACTGTATTCTATCTTTTCACGTGACAGTTTACTTCTTATAAATATTTTCCCATGGTGTTACATAATCCCCATAAAGATCATATTAAATGGCTACACAATATTCCATTGATTTGTTGTATGATCATTTACCAAACCATTGTACTACCACTCTACATTTAAATTGTTTTCAGTTTAGCACTACTCAAGATAATGTTACAATGATAAACTTTTTGTCTCCTTTTGAAATATTTTCTAGGGATACATTCCTAGAGGTGGGTAAAAGAGGATGGACATTTTAAAAGAGGGTTGACTTTTGGTATATATTATTATATTGTTTTCCAAAAGATGTATGACCATTTACAATATGACCATCAATATATTAATACCAGTCGAGTGATGCAAAGTAGACAGCATTGCACATAATGACTAAGGTTTTCTGTTAGTTAAATGGGTATATAATGATTCAGTATTATTGCTTTACTTTCCAATGCTTTGACTTGTGCCTAAGTTGAACATTGTAAATTTATGTAGAATTTAAAGTTCTCTTTTAAATGATTGTTAAAGCAAACTAAATATAGACTGAGAATATATTCCATATTTGAGTCCTTGTGGACAGACTGCAACCAATTTAATAGGTAGACAAGATTGAAAACCTAACTTAGGAGTATGCACCTGTAACAATAGCTGAGTCTTGGCCAATCCTAGCAGCCATACTTCAACCACTCATACACTGCTGAGTGTTCAAACTGTGTTCAAGTAAGGCAAATGCAGAGTTGTAACCAAT
Organism: Homo sapiens; assembly: GCF_000001405.40. NCBI lineage: Eukaryota > Metazoa > Chordata > Mammalia > Primates > Hominidae > Homo > Homo sapiens. The sequence goes on along the minus strand of NC_000013.11, from coordinate 44,314,398 downwards.
CCAACTGTTTCTGTATGTCACCTTTGATTTCTGTATGTCACTTCCCTTTTTTTGGTCTATAAATTTGTGTTCTGACTACGAGGCACCCCTGGAGTCTCTCTGAATTGGTTGTGATTCTGGGGGCTACCAGATTCATGAATCATTCATTGCTCAATTAAACTCCTTTAAATTTAATGCGGTTGAAGTTTTTCCTTTAACATGACGTATTTGTTCGTATCCTTTGCTGGACTTCTTTTAGAGGCTCATCCTGAGCTTTGGAGTCGAGGATTTGAATCCCAACTCTGCTATTTACTACCTGTGTGATCTTAAGCAAGTTAGTAAACTTTCCCAGTCTCTGTTTCCTCCTCTGGAAAGTGAGGATAGTCATGTGTCTCTCATAGAGTTGTTGAAGGATTCATCAGGATGGCACATGTGCAGAAGTACTGAGCACACACATTAAAATGACTCATTAGTTGTTAGTCACGCTACATGGGTTTGGTTTGTTGGTTGGTTTTTACCCCAGTCTGATCCCTCAGTGGCTTTCCTGTGCCTCTGGAGATAAACCCTTCTTGGCCTCTCAGTAGCCTGACCACCTCTCTTGTCTATGCTCATTCTGCCAAATCCACCCTTCACGGGAAGTGTCTCAAATATTTCTCTGCTTCAGAATTCTATCTATGCCTTCCTACCAGCAGTCCCTCTACTCATTGACCCCACCAAACTTCTTTATCTAGAAAACTCTGAATCACCCTTTAAAACATAGCCTCCAGAAGCTTCCCTGCTCCTCCAGCCTCCCTTTACTCCTCTCTCTTCCGTAGACCCATGTGTATCTCTCTATAGCATTTACTGAACTATACTACATTGTCAATTGACTTGTTATTTTCCTCAGATAGACTCTAAACCTCATGTGAGTAAAAACCATGTTTTATTTGATTTTACAGCCTCACTTGTAGCACAGGGCTTGCCATGTGGAAAGTGTTCAATAAATATTTGTTGAATGAATGAATCAGTACCTACATTACTCATCAGGCATGGATCCAAATGTCTCAAAGAGGAAAGAAAAGTCACTTTCACAGAGCAACCATTTGCCATCACTGGAATTGGTTGGATTTAGAGCAGCATAATGAGAGAAAGGGTTTCACTCAACAAGGGACAGCTGGAGATGTGTAAATTGTGGAACTACAAAATATCTATGTATGTGCTCTTAGTAACCTGCAATCACCAGTCATGGTTCTGAATGATGTTCTAAAACCTCTGAGACATTGCTGTAGGCTACCGTGTTCAACAGTGGGTGATGCATACACTGAGGGCAAACCACAAAGAGGAATCCCTAAATTATGATGGGCAGTGGTTGCATTGAAGGAAGTGATTAATCCCCCAAGATGAATATTTTCAAAGTGGCAACATCTATTTGGATGACTAAGTTCTGATTCAATTGTCTGAAAAATAAAAATTGATACATGCTTTGGCACATCTCTTAAGTGGTTAAAAAATACACACGTAAGGGGCATGGGTAGAGTCTAGCATGGGAAACCTTGGAATAAGCAAAACTAGAGTTAGATCTTGAAAGAAATGGGTAAGTGGGGAGTAAGCTTTTCTAACAAAAATAAGACATGAGGTGGGGAAAGAGTGAGGGGTCAGTTTCGGGTGAAGCAGAGGGGTAAGGGTGGAGTAGGATAGGGGGCTTACAGAGGTGCTAGAAGGCCACCTCAGGAATTCCTTGTTAGTGCAACTGTGCAGCTGAATGAGGGAAAGCCAGGGGCCTACTGCCTTCTAGGATGGGCTCCTAGAAGCAAAGCCTTGGATAGGATTTGGATGTGTGTGCTTTACTGAAGAGGTGTTCTCAGGAAATATCGACTAGGGAGTGAGAGGAGCAAGATAGAAGAGGGGAAGGAACTCAGCGAAGATCAGGTCTCAGGTGGAGATTAACCTCAGCTCTGTCCACTGGGGGGATTGGGTAGTCTCTTCATGAGCCCACTTCAGAATTGTGCCTGTCTTGAGGCCAGGGGGCTGGCCCTTTGTGCCATCACTGGCTGTTGGCCATCCTCAGAGGCAGAGTGCGGTTAACCTCCCCGCTGAGGTGCTCTGGTCAGCCAAGGGCAAACCTCCAGAAAAGGGGAGCAGCTGTGGGTAGAGAACAACCAAATTCTCAGCAGCCAGGAGATGGGAGCCCCACAGGGCAGAGAGGGGATCTGGATGAGGCCCAAACATCTCTATCTACATTCATGGTCACAGCTGATGAATTATTTTCTTCCCATTGCACATGGCTGCATCCCTGCCCCTTTTTAGGACTTTACTCAAATGTCTCCGTAAAGCTGTCTGTGGACTTACCAGTATGGAGGAGTGATCTCTTTCTTTAGATGTCCTAAGATGCTTCATCCATCCATACGTCACCTGCTAGATGGTCAGCTCCCCAGTATCAGGTCCTGTGTCTCATTCAGTTTTGTTGATCCCAGCACGGTGGCCAGCACATGGGCAGCGGGTGGTGGGGGGAGGTTCAGGATAAATGTGGTTAGAATGACAGAATGATGCTGTAGCCCCAAACAGGAAAGACTTCGGCTGTAAATCCATTTTTTTCTAGGTTGGGTCCTAAATGCTCTTGGTTTATTATCAGAACATAGCTCTGCTAAGTCCTTTATAATCTTGCTTTTCCCCCTTGAGCATTAATATAATCTTTTTTCTATCCCTTTGCCTGTGTACTACTAGTACAGCTTGCACAGTCGTGAAATTATAGCAATTCTGGAACGGCAACTTCGGGTGTTTTGTAGGATGCTTTCAGAAGACTAGCTTTTGAGCTACCCAGTGTTCAATCTCGCAGATGAATGTTGGGCCTATGAATTTCGTATTGAAGTGATGTATTTGACATGCCCATGAATACATGCGTCTGCCACACTGTGGCCTGCAGCCAGGCTGCAATGCTGAGCCTGCCTTCTGGATCCTCTTTTGAGAAGTCCCTGTAGAAAGCCTGCTAATTGCTTACCAGCAGTGGAGCAAGATGCCTTGGAAATTGCCCCATTGAACCTTCTTTTGCCCTTCAAAATGTCCTGGTGTTGCCTCTGTACTTCACATACTGAAGAAGGACCATGTAGAGGTCATGTAGGGCTTCCCAAGGCAGCATGGAGCCAGTCACCGTGGCCTGCAAGCTTCAGCTTGCTGAGTGTTTGGTCTCAAGGTGGAGAGTGGTGGGGGTTGGCAAGGAGCCTGTATTCTGGCAGAAGGACAGCATTTTCTGTACATGTTCTTTTGGAAGAACATTCAGGATGGTATGTGTTTCATCACACTATGCAACCTGATATATCCTGGGCAGGCTGGATTCATTATTTACCTTGTATAGTTTAATCAAACCGAATCTCCTTAAAAATGTTATTGGCAGAGGTGGGGAGTAGGTATTCCATGAAGCCTCTGCTGCCAAGTGTTAGAGTGCTTGACTTTTCATAATCCACACCGTCTGAAGGCCAAACATGTCATCTATTCAACTTAAGGGAAATTAAGTGATTCAGAAAAAACAGTGAATTCTGATTTCTTTTCTAGATTGAGGATCTGTATGTGGTCAGGTTTTTTTTTTTTTTTTTTTTTTTTCTTGAACAAAGCTACTTGCTGGCCAGAGAGAGGCAAATAAATAAGTCACTTACCACAGGCAACCAGGGTGCCCATTTGGGACTGGGTGATGTTCGTCGTGATGGGACTAATTAACTCTGGAAATGCTGAACAGGTCATGGTTAAGACCCTTTTGAAATGATTGGTGCCAGGCTTTTCCTGGGCATTAGTCCCTGTCCTCCCCAGATCCCTCACTCCAGCTACTGCAGGATGCAATTGACCAATGGCCAGAGAGACACAGCTGACGCCACGCTGAAGTGCTGAAAGCAGACAGCGCTGTCATTCATCTCTCTTCTGCTCCCGGGGCAAGGGGTGGTGACAGCTTCTTGTTCTTCTCAGGTGCCACCAACCCCCTTTTGATCTTCAGTCTGGTTAAACTAAAAAAATGTTTTAAATGACTCCATCTACTGAGAATTTCAATGTTGGCTCTATTACATTCCTTAATTTACGCTTGTTAATTTTGTCTGACTTGGCTTGCTTAGATTCCTTTGGACATATGATCCTTATGAATAAAACATTCAAGGGCCAAATGTTTGAGTGGGACATCTTGACGTGAATATTCCTGGAGAGTGGCAGAAAGCGTGGATCAGGGCAGGTGCCTCTGTCCCAGAGTGAGACCTAGAAACAGCTGTGGTGTGCTGGAAGGAATCCTCAAACCTGGAGTCTGACGATGTTTAAAGGCTGATTCTGCCACTAATGAGCTACTTGATCAGGCGGATTGCTTCCCCTCAGTTTCTTTAGGAGACGGTGTGCTGTGTAGTACTAGCACTCTCATTTTGCTGTCTCTGGGGGAAGATTATGCATCCTTGTCGCATTGTACTAGGTGTGGCCATGTGATTTCTGGCACCCCTCCCTCCTGCTGGCGAAGGACTATATATCCCTGCCCTATTGACGTCAGGCTTGGCTGTGAGATTTACTTTGGCTGGCAAAAGTGAGTATGAGGAATTGTGCCACTATTGTATAGATGCTTTAAGAGACATTGTGGTTCTGCTATCTCCATTTCTCTCTGTTACTGAGTCCTGGAGCAAAGAAGGCATGGACAAGGGCTGTAGCTGACCCATCATACATGTGTGACATGAGTGAGAAACAAACCTTTGTTGAGGCAAATGCTTAGATTTTTGGGGTTGTACATTGTTGTAGCATCGCTTAGTTTAAACACATTAATGCAACAGGGAATAATGTGATCTACTTGGTGGGCTTTTTATGAGAACTATTTGAGAGAATTAACCAAAAAATGCATTGCTTGCCTATGAGGTCCCAGGTACTGTATTCAAGGTATAAGGGCCACAAAATTGTGTAAGGCATGGGTCATGTCCTTCAAAGAGCTCATAGGAGAAGAGACAGAGATTTCTAAAAGTTATGTCAGTAACATTGTATAGTAGACCTATGCTTTTTGCAAGGCATTCAGACTGGGCCGTCACACATTCTCAAATTAAGGAAAACCTCTTAACATTTGACATCCCCCAGAAAATGCTGAAAGAACAGTGAGTAGAAAACAAAAAAGGCATGATGATGTGGATGCTGGGCAGATGGATGGGACCCCTCAGGAATTGAGTAGCTCACTCATTAAACCTAAGCCTTACAGATCAAAATACTTTATCAAACCCTCATGGAAATATTTTAAGCACGTGGTTGCTTGCAAGAAGTCAAAACCATAAATGTAAATGATCTAAGAACGAAGAGTATGTGGTATTTAACCTGGCAGTACATGACATGCAGTATAGTTTATTGCTTGATAAATGGCTGGTCTAAAATTAGAGAATTGGGCTAAAGTTAGAGAATAAAATTCAAGGAGATCCACGATGTTCTTGTTCTAATCAGAGGTTGTTCAGTTATCCAAAAGAGAAACCCACTCAAAGCAGTTCAGTTTAGAACTGGGGAGTGGAAGGATAAAGGGGAATCTTGTGCACTGGAAAGGCTCCCAGTCTCTGGTACCCCTGTCTGTCTCTCATCTCCATTTCTCACTGAGAATGTCCCATGTTCCTCTCTTGAAGCTAGCTTTCCCAGCAACCCTGCAGCCTCCTCACTCAGTCTTGCCTCCTTCTGCCTTGCTGCTGTGGCTGTGCTGACCTGGCCCCTGTCTATGTGATGATGATGGTTAATTTTATGTGTCAACTTGACTGAGCCATGGGGTACCCAGAGAGTTGGTCAACATTATTCTGTAGGTGTCTGTGAGGGTGTTTCTGGAAGAGAGGAACATGTGAATGTGCAGGCTGGGTGAAGAAGATGGTCCTTCCTAACGCGGGTGGGCCTCATCCCATCAGTTGAAGCTCTGCATAGAACAAACAGGCTGACCCTCCCCTGAGGAAGAGAGACTTCCCCTAGCCTGTCAGCCATTGCCTTTTTTCCTGCCTTTGGATTTCGGGTAGGTCTCTCCTGGGTCTCCAGCTTGCCACCTGCAGATCTTGGGACTTGGTAGCCAACCTCCATAAGCATGTGAATCAATTCTTAATAAAAAATTTCTCTCTCTCTCTCTCTCTCCCCCTCCCACACACACATGATGCATATTTATATCATATATATATATACACAATGAACTACATCCTATTGACTGTGTTCCTCGGAGGAGCTTTTACTAATACAGCCGTTGCATGGATTCAGGCTCACAGATTCCTTGGCTGTACTCTCTAAGTCTCAGTAGAATTCCTGTGGAAGAGTGACTCTGATTTTCTCTCAGCCGGGTGACTGTGGCCCCATCAGCCCTGGAGGGGCATCATGTGGCCTCTGGGAGCCACCCCACTCAGATTAGGGACAGGGCAGGTTCTTGAAGGTATTATGGGTGGAGAACAAATGAGTCACATTCTCTCACAGATTTCCTTTCCAGTTAATAGAACTAACTTCACTTTTATAGACTTGAGAAGAGATTTTTGCACTCTTTATGAGGCCACCATGGGGCTTATATATCTGAGTGTTTCATTTCCCAAAAGGCTGGTACAATAAATGGCTCCCTTCTGACCTTCACTTGCTTTCCAATTAAAAAAAAAAAAAAACAGGAATAGCAACACTTTGAGCTTATTCTTGCAAATGTCCTTTGATGCAGTTTAGGAACAATACTATTGTTCCACCATTGCCCTCCTAGAGCACTGGGCCCGGAATCACCGGGGCCAGGAACCACTAGTTCATTATGGGCTCTTCTCTCTACCAGATATGTGACATGGGGCCTCAGTTTTCTCCTCTGTAAGAGGGGGTTAGCACTCACTGCTGGAGATACAACGAGTGTTGTACAAAGCCTGCTGACAATTTCATTCCATTTAAATGTTAAGATTGTTCAAGAATTCCAGGATATCTTAGCTAGAAGCTACGTTCATTGTAAAGATAATGAAACTGAGACTCAAAGAGACAGTATTATTGATGCGGACATAAACAATGATTCTCACAATTCTCTGGTTTGTTCTGCTCTGACCCTTTCACCTTCCACAAGGCGGTTTGTTTTCTTAGCTGGGAGGGTCAGGGATCCCAGGCTGCCTCACTTCTTTTCTTTTCTCTTTTTCTCTTTTTTTTCTTTTCTTTTCTTCTCTTTTCTTTTTCTTTTCTCTTTTCTTTTTTCCTTCCTTCCTTCCTTCTTTCCTTCTTTCTTTCTTTCTTTCTTTCTTTCTTTCTTTCTTTCTTTCTGTCTTTCTTTCTCTTCCTTTCTTTCTTTCTTTCTCTTCCTTTCTTCCTTTCTTTCTCTTTTTTTTTGTGTGTGTATGAGTGCAGCTGAAGCTAGCAGGTCTCTTCCTCCTTTTAAGGACTTTCTTCCTTTCCCTGGGGCCACTCATTGGACCCCCTCTGAGGTTAGGTGTGCGATCTTCCTCCTTTATAAGGAATCCAGGGCAGCAAGCTGCTCTTCTCAGGGCAGACTTGCCTACGGCAGGCAGGGCTTAGACTCCTATGACAGGAAGAGTCAAAAGCTGTAGATCTGAGTGAGGCTTCAGTCTGTGGCAGGGAAAAGGCACACCACACAGGCGTGCCAGCCCTGTGGCCAGGTTTTTCGGGATGTACGGTTTGGCAGAGCCGAGCCTGGGGTGCCCAGAAAACAGCTTTTGATGTAACGCCATAGAGGTTTTTGAACTCGGCCTGCAATGCCTTTAATCTCTCTTGGCTCCGATTTCCCAGGTTAATTTCCTGACATCTAAGGAGCTTTGTTTAGCGTGTGTAGCTTCCTGCCTTTTATGTCAGAGCCTGCGAACTGACGGAATCGTGGAGTGAGCCAAGAAACTGGGGGTGGGGGCAAGCCTTGGAGGCTCTCTTCCTTCTTTATTTTCCTTAGTCGCACACTCACCCTTAGTCACTTTTTTCCTTGGATATTAGCACAATAGAAGCCTCCTTATGTAAGATGTAAAAGCAGGGAGGGAGGGACCTGGGAGGGCTTGGTGAAAGAGCCTGGTCATTGTGTGAGTGAAGTCCTGGGGGAGGTTTTACTCTGGTTTTGCTATTTTGCAGTGATATCTAATTAATGCCTTTGGGGAGCAGTCACTGAGGGCCAGGGCCCTGTGTCCCCCCATCCCAGTTCTCTCCACTCTCTTTTCTCTGCCATTCAAAGACCCTGGCAACCCCAGACTGATGGAGAGAGACAGAGTGAGTGATTACCCCCACTCCGTTGCCTGGCGTGTGCTAACTCCTCTCTTTCCCCTCTCACCTCCATCTTCTCAAAGGGTGGCCTCCTCACCAGTTCCTCATTTACATTCTCTTTATTTGCTTGACATTACCATTCTATCAGAATTTGCTCAGCTGCTTGTTTATCCTTTGTGTGGGTGAGTTCCAGCGTTTCTGGCCGCTTCTGGACAGCTGGCCTGTGCCTCTTTGACTTAGTGCATAGGCACTGAGCAGGCACCTGAGTAAGTGTTTTAAATTGTGGCAGATGTTGCAACACTTACCTCTTTCCAGGGGCTGTGGTGAGGCTCAATTAACATTTCAGACACCCACACTGCAAGTGCAAAGTAGTTAAGTTTGAGAACTCAAATGTAAAGAAAACAAACCGATCTCTTACTCAGTAGCGGCCGAATTCATTAGCTGGGGAGATGTAGGGAAGCCCTCCTGCCACTTAGGAATTATTTAGAGAATATTAGATGAGAAGGGACATCAGAGAGCATCTCCTATAAGCCCACTATTCCTGGGTCCATGTTGGCCATTTTGCTCTTTGTTTTTATAGCCATTGAGTCCTCAGTGCCCAGGGCAGTCCTTGCCATTCAGCAGGGGCTCAGAATTGATTGTTGAGTGAATAACTGTGACTACTCACACCCTGGCATCTCACAGAGGAGCACAGATCTACTGAAGTTAGATGGGATTAGGAAGATTACAGCCTGTCTCCTGCCTCCGAAGGGAGTGACTTTCCACTTAATTGACTTGTTTGTTTTGGTTGTCTAGTGTGGATCCCTGACTGCTTCAAAGGCACTCAAGCTCAGTCTGAGGGCCTTTAGGAAGCATCTCAGAACTCCCCCACTTGCTGAGGAAAGCCCAGGTGGGCACCAGCAGGACACCTGAGGCCATCTTTGTGGCAATTAAGAAGACTTGTTGAGATTGGAGGTGCGAGTGGGGGTGAGTCTCCCTCAGGCTTGGCTGGGTCTGACAATCCGAGTATGCCGTGATATTGATAGCGACAGGAGGCAGCCAAATGCCTAGGTAGATAGGGGCAGGTCCCTGGTGAAACCTCACCTCCAAGCTGAAGAGTTTAAAGCCTGAAAGTCAAGTTGCAAGTTAAATCCTTGGGCTGGATTGAGAATTTATATTTGGCGTGCTTTCCTCTGATTGGTCCTCGCACTTCACCTATTTTACATATACCTACTCTTTCCTAATTGGTTTTCTATACTGTTGGGCCCACCTTTGAGTGATGTCTTTGCTTTAATCTTTTTTGCATACTCACAAACCAATCAGCACACACTCCCCATTCTGAGTCCATAAAACCCTATGGACATAAAAGACACCAGCCCAGCCACATGGGGAATGTTCCTGCCTTTGGGTAGGGGGAACAACCCCGTGTCCTCTCTCTGCTGAAAGCCGTTTTCATCACTCAATAAAATTATTCTCTGCCCTCCTCACCCTTCAATGTCCAGTGTATCTTCATTCCTCCTGGGTGTGGTACAAGAGCTTGGGAATCACCGAATGTGGGTACAAGGTATAACCCAGGTGAGCTGGGGAACGCCAGCATGGCTGAGTGAGGCCCGGGGCTGGCAAAGTGACCAAGAAGAAAAATCCTACATCAATATTTGGCCAGAGACAAGTGCTCCTGAAGGCAATGCTGTTTGCGATAGCATCCCCCTGAGGGTTGTCTTCAGAGAAGTTGTTAAGGGGGCACACAACCACACAAATGTGCAGGGCTGGCTTCGGTGGAGCCCAGGGTATTTTTCACTTGAAAGTCTACCCTTCTAGCAGTTAAAAACAAACAATGAAATTCTTAGAAACAAAACCACTGTGAACAAGAGATTGTCTTGGTTCAGGAATTCCCACAGCCTCTGTAACTCTTGGCCTCTCTGTTTTTCTGCCTCTGTTTCTTTGTTTCTGCCACTTTGCCTTTCTGTTTGACTGTTTTTGACACACATATATGCACATGCATGCACATGTACACACACACACACACACAACGCAGTTAATTCTTTCCCCCAACTTTCATTATCAGCAGCCGTGTACCTTCTGCTCTGCAGCACAGACAAATCTTGGGTAAATGGGGAGGATACCAAGCATTAAAGTTAAGCTGACTTGTATTCCAAAGGACTGATTTGAAATTGTCCAGAGCCTCAGGAGGAATTGCCAAGGACATTCAGAGAGGCCATTTGGATCCCCAGGGGGATGATGCAGCAGGTGCAGAGGGGACAGTGGTGTCACTGGCGAGGAGCCCAGGAATGATCATCAGGGACCACTGGAGTCACATGGGAATGAGCCCTAACATAGGTCCCTGCTGCTTCTTGGCAGGCCCATCTCCTTTCCTGCCGCTGGCCATTTGGTGACCTCCCAGAGGCTGTGGAGTCAGACAGGCTTGGACTGCAAACTCCAGCTCCGGCCCAAGTTAGGGGCTAAAGCCAAAATAGCAAGGGAATGCAAAAAAAAGGTAGCTAATGGGAGGTTTTCCCTGCTTCTAGGCCATGCCTATGGAAAAATGCCAGTGATGGGAGTCCAATTCTAGAAACTTCTTGAGCAAGACACTTTATAGTCCTGAAGTTAGGCTTTCCTATGCTTGTTTATGGTACTGAGGCAAGGCAATGCCATGATTTCTAATTCAACTCTTTTTTTTGTTCATTCCTTCCTATTTCCTCTACCACCTAGCTACCTCCCCAGGGTGTTCATAGGAATAAAGAGAGTATGTGGAATTGCTGTGAGCTCCTTATAAGGAAAGTGTTACATAAACACAGAGTATTTTTATGTGTGCATATAAAATATATCTTCTCTGGCTAGAAGGGCCTTATTCACGGAGCTAAATAAAACAGGTTTATTTGGAATAGTAGCAATCCCAAAGGACCTGAGTATTGCAAAAAGCTTGTGTTTTGGGAAATATTAGTCAAGGGGAAAACTGTTTCTAGCATCAGTTTTTTTCCCCCATCTGTGAAGTCTTTTTTTTTTTTCCTTACACCACCGGCCACCCCCATCTGTGAAGTTTAACTTGTCTCTTACTGTCTTTGTTTTATCTTGATGAGGTTCCCCATGCATACTCATACGCTGGCATCTCTGCATAGTCCCTAATGTGGTTTGAGGCAATGGTGTGCTGGTAAATGTTTTAACAACTCGCTCTTTGTGGGGGATGACGGGGGCCTTATTTTGTAGTATTTGCCAGTTTTCATGATGTAAATGCTCCTTACCATGGCCAGTTTCAAGCTATCAACATGAGTGATTGCAGAGTTGGCAAAGATCCCCTACAGTAAGCTACCATTATATGGCTTTCCCACCACACAGATAAAGTATACATAAACAACTTCAAGAGCACAGGCAATACTAAAGTGTAGTAATGAGAAGTAATGAGTTTTGAGAGTTTATTACATTTTCAAAAATATAATTTATTTAATTCTTTTGATTTAATTTTTATTAATGGCTGTGTTAACAACTGGCTTGCAAAATTTCAGAATATTTAATAGTTGCTTCCCTGGAGCTGGTGTGAGCTGCCCCCAGCACAGCACTGGATGAGGTGTTGACCTTGATATAGCCTTGACTCCTCTGAAGCCCGTGGTTCACTTTGCCAAGGCATCTATTGGGTATTTCCACCTGGATGTCACACTATGATGGCAAAGTAAATGACTGTGAGAATAAACTCCTCATTTCCCCACTCACATCCCTTTCTGCCTTCATCCAAGTTAAAAATCTTAAAGTCACCTCTTTCCTCCTTCTCTCTCGGTCTTCCCGCTTGCTAGCCAACTATTACCAAGTCTTCCTTTGAAACATCTCTTAGTCATTCTCAAACTTGGCTGCACACTAAAGTCACCTGAGGAGCTTTAAGCAAATCCTGATGTCTGGGTTCCACTCCTACGTATTCTGGTTTAATCAGTCTAGGGTGCAGCCTGGACATCATGATTTAAAAAAGCTCCCAAGGAGAAACTAATGTGCAGCCAGGGCTGCCAATCACCATTTTTTTCTTTCTCGTTGTTATTATCTTCTAATTCAGTATAATGAAACACAGACTTGGTGATCCAACAGACTTCGGTGTGAATCTTGGCTTTGCCAAAGGGTATTCTTTTTAAGCTCCCTGAGATTCTCTTTCGCCAACTGTACAGTGGGAATAATGACCCTTTTAACATACGGTTATGTAAAAATGCCTCAGCTGAGCAGATATACAAAGCAGCAAGCAAAGTGTGACATGGAGGCTTGTATCATGGACCAAGTGAGGAATCACTAAAGCCTGAAATACAGTGATTGTCTACTGATATGTCTTTCTAAAATCTGATGTTTCACACCTATGCTCCAAGTCCTCTGTTTTTTCTCAATTGCCCAATGAATTAAGTCTGGACCCTTTAACCTGACCACATGCCTTCATATCTCACCCCAACCCACGGTGTCAGCCTCATACCTGCCCCATTTGCTCCCGTGTAACCTGTGGCCCAAACTCAGCAAAGTTTTCAGGGGTCTTCAAGCTTCCACATCTTTGCGGCTGCTGTTCCCTCTGTCTTGAACACCGTTCCTTTCCTCTCTCACCTGAACTTTCCAACACAGCTGTTAAAGTACAACTCAGAGGTCACTCTCTACAAAGTCTTCCTTGACTGCCTCTGACAAAATTAATGATCCCTTCTTTGTGTTCCCACAGCCTTTGGTACAAACCTTATTTAGCATTTGACTACATTATTTTAATGATTTGTTTTCATATCTGCCCTCCTTCAACTGTGGCTGAGTCATCTTGGTATTCCCCAATGGCCCAACGCAGATGTTTGCGAAATAAATGGGTGCATTTCCTGTCTCATTTTTCATCACTCTCTTGTCCTCCTGTATAAGAGATATGCCAATAGACTAGGTGGAGCGATCCTAGATCAGAAAACAGTACTTATAAGTATCTTAAAAGCCCCATTGAAAAGATATTTAAAACTCCCAGAAAAAGACTCCTCTCAGATCCCACATGGCAAAGCATATTGAAGTGAGTGGTGGCAGACAGGTGAATAGCATACCCTTCACCCTCAGAGAGGCTGTGAATATTAGTCACCCATGCAATGCTGCCAGGAATCCCTCTGGGGCTGGCCCAAGTCACAGAACATGTGTGGATTGTTTTCTAAGCTGTGCTGTGTTAAAATAGCAACTCCCGGTTTGCCTCAGGTGTAGAGTTTAGGTTCATGGTTCACTGGATATTTTAGGAAAATAGGAGTGAACATTCCAATCGCTTCTCTCCCCACTCGTAGTGTGTGAGGTTGTTTGTTCACATGGCTCAGACTCCGCAGAGAGCAGATTGCTGATAATGGCCATCCCGTCTCCTGGCCCTCTCCCAGAAGAACCATATTTAAGCTCTCAGTTGATGTGAATGCCCGGAAAACATTACTCTCCAGGGTAAGCTCAGGGGTGGTGTTGAGGGGCTTTGGAATCCCCGATAGAGCCAGAGCCCTGGGCCTACATTAGAGAAGAGGCTAATTTAGCTGTTTTCTGGGAGGCCATAGGTCTAACCAGATTGTAAGAATGAATAAATGAATTAACAGAGGAATCCTTCCCCTAAACTTGAAAAAAGAATTTGAAACCCTACTGTAGATTTAACCATTAATTCTCCCCTCTCATCGGTCTTCCCCAGTCTCTCCTCCAAAGATTCACCCCCTTGCTTTTGAGCACTGACTTGTTGAATGCTCTTCACTGAAGATCATTTGACCAGACTAACCTTCAGTGGCAGACAGTAAAAAAGGCCATCAGTGACCAACTCCAGGTATGGAGGCTGGACGGCTCTCTAATGAACTCCGGCTAATGCAGAAGAGAAAACACTTTAAAAACCAAAACAGGTGAAGGTCAAGGAATGATGATAGAGTAGAAAATGCCTTCATTCCTTTCATTCAAGAAAATGGCATGCAGGTGGTTGTCACTGGGTGGATCCAGTGGGCATATGTGCCAGAAATGGCATTGATGGGATGGAACTGGAGGCTGGGGACATGTTGGTGAAGTGGTGAGGTAGTGACAGGGAGGAGGGTTTGCAGAGTTCCTGCTGATTCTTATGAAAGCTCCAACAAGGGTGAAGAAAATGGATCATAATCATAGAAAACGGCTACTCCAACTCCACGTGGTTAAGTAATGGACAGGGGAGTGTCTGGGAGTGAGGGCAACGCTACCTCGTATCTACCTGGACAGGCATGGATGACATTTACTTGTCAGAATCTTCAGGTGCTAAAGAGTATACGTTCTATGAAAACAAGTGTGCTTAGAAATGCGAATGCAATTAAATTACAGGATTCAATTAACAAATACTATGTGGGATGGTGAAAGATATTGTAGGATTGCAGAGCTGTGGTTTGAGGTGCGATACCCCACAGAGAGTGTGCAGCCACCACCTGGCAGTGAGGTGAGTCTGCTGAGACAGGCTTCTCTTGATTGCCTCTCAAGGTGCTCAGAGGCTCCTGCCATCTTGGAGCGTTTGTCATTGTGATTCCAAGATAGGAATTTGCAAAGTTCTGTTTACTGGCTGTACCCAGGGATGGAGGTGGAGGTTCAGAGGGCATAGTCTTGGCCACACCACCATATTATGGGGCCAAATCAAACACCCAAATAATAGAGTGCAGGGAGTCACACCCTTATGTCACTTGATTCTCATTATATCCTTCTGAGTAGACAGGGCATTAGTTGATTCATTCAGTCATTCATCTATCCATTCTACACATACTAAGCAACATGTACCAAACTTTGTGCTAGGAATTAAGAACATAGACAGACCTTGGTTTCAAGATGCTCAGAGCCTAAGAAAGAATATTAACTTTGGTACCAGAGTGTGAAAACATCAGACTAGAGAGCTATACAGGATGGTCTGAGGACACACAAGAGAGGTGCTGGATCCAGCCTTGGAGAAAAGTCCAGGCAGTCTTGAGTTGACCTTGAAGGATGAGTAGGAGTGAGTCAAATTACAAGGAGGCAGGGGGTAGGGTTCAGATTCCAGGAAGTGGGAATTGCATTTATAAAGATATAGAGACACGAGAAAGTGTGATGATGCGGAGGGAGTAGGCATTAGAGTATGACTGGAGCAAACCAGGCGGAGGCCTAGAAAGAAAAAGTCAGAGAGATAGAAGGGGTCATATCATTGAAGACGTTGTATATCATACTAACTTTTTAAAACTTTTTTCTAAAGTAGTGAGAAACAATTGAATATTTGTTTTAAATCAACTTCATTGAGTTATTTTTACATGCAATAAAATGCACTTATTTTAAGTGTGCAGCTTGATGAGTTTTGATGGACACATTTACCTGTGTGGTAAATAGAACATTCTTATCTCCTCCAAAATTTCTTGAGCCCCTTTCTGGGTAACACTTTGCCTAACTCCCAAATCCAGACAACCACTTACCTGCTTCCAGTCACAATAGATTATTTCTGCTTATGCTAGAGTTTCATATCAATAGAATCATACAGTATGTTCTCTTTTATATCTGGCTGCTTTTACTCAGTATAATGTTTTGGAAATCCATCCATACTGTTGGCTGTGTCAGAGGTTCATTCCTTTTTATTGCTGAGTAGTATTCTGTTGTATATCACAACTGGTTTATCCATTCATCTATTGATGGCTATTGGAGGTTCCAGTTTTGGACTATTCTAAAGTTACTCTGATCATTCATGTACAAATTATTTTTGGTATGTGGATGTGAAATCTTTTTGCCATGAGTTATTATTTATCTTGAGTAAATAACTATACAAATATCCAATAAGCACATGAAAAGATGTCCAACATCATTAGTCATCAAGAAATGCAAATTGAAACTACAATGGGAGACTAGTACATTCCTATTAGCATGGCTAAAATTACAAAGACAGACCATAACAAATGCTGGTAAGGGCGGGGAGGAACTTGGGCTATCATATACTGCTACTGGGAAAACAAAATAGTACACCCACTTTGGAAAACAGTTTGGCAGTTTCCTATATATATTCATATACTCACCATATGACCCAGAAATCCCACTTCTAACTTTTTTTTTTGAGACATAGTGTTGCTCTATCACCTAGGCTGGATTGCAGTGGCACAATCATAGCTCACTGCAGCCTCAAACTCCTGGGCTCAAGCAATCCTCCTACCTCAGCCTCCTAAATAGCTAGGACTGCAGGTGAGCACCACCATACCTGGCTAATATAATTGATCTTGTTTTTTATAGAGACAGGGTCTTGCTGTGTTGCCCAGGCTGGTCTTGAAGTTTTGTCCTCAAACAAAGCTCCCACCTTAACCTCCTAAAATGCTAGGATTACAGGCATGAGCCACCATGCTCTGCCTACTAAATTTTTAACCATAGAATAACTTTGATAAGGGTAGCAACAGGAACAGATTTGGTTCTTAAAGGAACACTCTGGCAGCACTGAAGATGATAGATTCTGTGTTTAGTCTTCAGAAGCATTCATTTTGATTGTTGAAACATAGCCCATCGTGTTTAAATATTATTTGTGACTAATTATTTCCTTATTGTGGATAGTTAGGTAATGTTAGGTATTTTGCTATTGAATAGTATTCTGAATAAACGTCTTCATGCACAGAATGGGTTTGTTTCTGCTGAATTGCTTCCTTAAAATGAGTTTCTAGGATTGAGATCACTGAGTCATTGTTCTTAAAATTTTTATGCTTTTTTGGAGCCAAGTGTTGTCTGACTGCCTAAAGATTGTACCAATCAATAACAGCATTTATATTATTAATTATTTTTCATAGATCAGAAAAGAGAAGCTCAGATTAGTGAATTAGCTAACACAGGTAGGAAAATACACAGCTGTGCTTTGGAACTGTGTCCTGGACCCATCCTTAGTCTAGTGGTCCTTTCTCTCCTGCTTGCCTCTGTTAATCAAATTGTTTCTTCTAGTCACACTTGGATCTACATGAGAACCCGTCCTCTGTGCCACGGACCCTGCTAGATCCGAGGACTACAAAAGAAGAAAATGCAGTTCTTTTTTTCGAGGACCTTATGGTCTAGGGACCTTCCCCATTTCCCTCCTCTCTGCCTCACTGGCATGGAGAAAATCTCAAGTGAACAGACTGAATGACAAAAGGAAGGAAAGAAAAAGTGTTAAAGCCATATGCCAGGCTATGGCTTGGATAATAATTTTGACTCAGCTTCCAGGACCATGCTGAGAATAGCGAGCAAATTGCATCCCATGTTGTGCCAGCATTTGGCTGGGTCAGCCAGCCACTTGGGTGAAGGCCTGGAATTAAAAAACCTATCTCAGTGGGACATGACAGCAGAGATTCAGTGTGAGCTTAAGAAGGAGGGAGAATACAGAAGCGTTCAGCGGGGAGAGTGACAAGTTGAAGCAATAGCCGGGGGAGTCTGATGGAGGCATTCTGAATCGAGTGCATTTTATTGTGAACAACTCACATTTCTTGAGTTCTTTCTGTGTGGTTGGCATTGTTCTAAGTACTGGAAGAAAGTAGAAGAAAAGGGTTTGGGGGCTGGAGATCAAGATGTTCCAAGAAACATCTGGCAGTAATCAATGCAAGTAAGGTAGGAGGTGGAGTATGGAGGTGGTCCCGTCACATTTTAGTGTGTTTCAGCTCTCTCCCTCCATCCCTCACTCCATTTCAGCACCCCCTTTCTCTACCGTCTCCCCAACAGCATGTCCTGGGCCTCCAGACTCACAGGTAGCTCTGTGCTGCTATCCCGGCCCCTCACAGAGACACCTTGCCCAAGTCTGCCCCCCTATGCTAGGATGACAGCCCCAAATGCCTGCAGATGCCAGTCAGGTCAGATGAGTGAGTAAAGAGGGGTGTTACAGGGGACCAGTGGTGGGGGCTGTGCGGAAATAGATAGCTCCTCACCATCTCAAAGGAGGAGCTGCTACTGCTCTGCCAGAGGAATACTGTTGATGTGAATGGAACTGGGCATTACTAGATAGCCCAAGGTTCCAGGAGTGGGGAAATGAGTTTATATGAGATTTTCACTGTGTTTAAATTTTGGAGATCCAGTGAATTTAAACATTTTTTTCCCCACAGTTAGTATTGGCTAAATAAAATAAGACTTTGGGCTGGCCTCCACTGGGGGCCTCTCATCTGCGCTTCTGTTTTAGGCAATGTCATGTTTCTTTTTCTTTCTCTCTCAAAGACTGTCTCTCACTCCTAGGGTCTGCTCCCTCAGGACCCAGGGAGGTGGCTGATCAGATAATTAAGTTCTGAGCTTCATAATGGCTTCATGGTGACAAATTTGCCATTGCCTTCCAAGCTATGACCTGGAGGTACTGGGGCTGATAGGGAAAACTGAGGCCCCATAGGAGGTGGGAGTGATCTCAGGGTGGGCTGGCCCTTTTGGTCCTAGCCCTCAACAGACCCTATGGGCAGCCCATGAGCTCTGACCCTATCTAGAGTTAGTTCCCTCTTCAAGTTTTCTGGGGGAACTCAGTGATTATTTACAAATGGCTGCACGTGGGCCTGGGGCTTGGGATGGAGAAGGGTTGGCTCTGGGGGAAGGCAACTGCAGAAATGCAGGAGTGACTGGCCCAGAAGCCTTCTCTGTGTAGCTTAGGTTTAGCATTAAGGCCCTATCTGCATTGCCCAATATAGTAGCCACTAGTCACATGAGGCTATTTAAATTTAAATTCATTAAAATTACATAAAATTTAAAAAAATGTTGGTCCTCGGTTACACTAGCCACATTTCAAGTACTCAATAGGCACATTGAGCTGGGTGGCTACTGCATTAGCTGGTGCAGATCTGGGACATTCCATCACACAGATAATTCTATTGGACAGCACGGCTGGGCCACCAGCCCATGAGGAAACAGGCCTGGGGATCCGGAGAACTGAATTTTGGTCTTAGTCCAGGTACCCACTGGCTTTGTGACACAGTCAAATGGTTTAATTCCTCTGGATCTTGTTTCTTCATTGGTAAAAAGGAGATAACATTTTTCTACAAGATTCCCTTGAGAATCAAATAAAAATACAATCGTGTTGGCATTATAGTGATTAATAATGTTAACAAGGCCCATGACTTCCTAGCCAGATGCTGTCCTGAATGAGGGGAAGAAGCCTTTACTCCTCTCACTTGGTCTTCAATCTAATTCTTGGATTTTACTGTATTAACTTTGCTTAGCATAACCTCAGAAAGATTCCCTAGGTTCATGTAGGCAGGGAGGATGAGCAAGAAGGAAGAACTGTGATGTGGATGCTGCTCCATGAGTTGGGTAATGCCCAGTTTGCACAACTGTCCAAGGTAGACTGGGGGAGGTTCAGGGTTTCTTCACTGGAACCAGTGAAGAAAGGAGAACTGGAGGGGTCAAGCGGATCTGGTTAGCAGTGGATATTGGTAATGCTGAAAAGCTGCAGGGGATCAGCTCTAGTGCCTGGCATGTGGTAGAAGCTGAAGAAATACTTGTTAAATGAATGAATGAACCATGCAGAGGGTAAAGACTAATGGGCAATGGGCAACTTCTGATGACCTTGGCTGCTCTGCTGACTTCTCCATCAATATAAAGTCTTGAGTTAATGGGGCAAGGGAGTGGAGCAGGATTAACCTGCAAATAGGATGCAGAAAATACAAAGGATGTATTTCTTGGGCATCTGCTATGTTCTAAGTATTCTGCATGTTTCTGTGTATTTCTTACAAATATCCTGCAAGGTAACTGTCTTTATCTCCATTACGTAAGTGTGAATTGCCCAAAGTCACATATTCTTGTGCAACCATCAGTTGCAGATCCAATATTTAAACCTTAAATCCATACCTTCCTGCCTATGCCAAATGACCCCTAAACAGGTAGCATGTTCTCTCTGAGGACATGTTGCCCAAGCTTTAATGCAATAAGTTGCAGTAATCTCTGAATTTTAGGGGGACTCTTGACTTGACTAATGCTTCTTTTGGTTTAGTTTTTGTTTTAAACTGGCTTGTTTCTGCACAGCACCATTTATACAAGGAATTCACAGCACTTTGTGATTAGGTTCCTTGAACATGCAACAGCATTAAAGTTGTTTTTTATCCCATCTGTAAATGCAGAAAATACAGTGCAAGGAAGTCATGTGACTTGTCAGAGTGTAAAAGTGAGTCATTGGTGAAGTGTGTACAGAAATGAGGACTGTTAAGACTATTTTGAGAACTGACATGAATCTAGGATGTATAATATTATGTATCTATTGTTGTAGTTATGGAATTGTTTAATATTTTTTGCTTCTTTAACTTCAGTGCTTGCAATTGTATATTCCAGAATGCAACAAAGCAATGCCAAGAGGCTTTCAATGACAGAACACAGGCATCAGTTACAGGCCGTTCTGCCTGGAGATTAGTTTCTCTTATGCGAACAGCATGTTGAGTCACATCAGATCTTACTTACTACTTTTGTTTCTATTAATGGCTTTGCAAACTCTCAACTTGCAAGTGTGTCTGCATGGCTAAGGATGTTTGAAGGAATGAACATCAGAGAATTGTAGGGGAGCCCTCTGCCCTGGTCCTTCCTGGACCTTTCCTTTCACATTTACCCCCTAGATGAGGTCTTTCAATTGCAGATGTAACCACGTCCCCTCATGTTCCAATGAGGACCAACCTGGGAGCCTAGATGTTCTGAGACAGGGTCTCCCAGGCTTGGAATGCCCAACTCTGTTCTCGAAGTTGCTGGAAGGCAGCCTGGACGTAAGAGAAGAAAAAAAAATTAAGTCAATCATGTGTACAACTCCACAGTGGCTCTGATACCGAGTTCCTCAAAATGTGTTTCACAAGATGTCAGTTCCATGAACCGCTCTGTGATAAACAGATTCCAGGTCCAAAGATCTGGGGAAAGTTGTGGGTGATGTCACCCATGCAGAGACCCACAGTGTAAATCAGCATATTGGAAATGACAGGAGGCCCTGTAGAAAAGAAACCCATCTCTTTTCGTTTAAGATACTGATATCTTTTGGATGTTTGTCTCCTCCTAATCTCATGCTGAAATTTGGTCTGCGGCGTTGGAGGTGGGGCCTTTTGGGTCATGGGGATGGATCCTTCATGAACGGCTTGGTACCCATCTTGTGGGACTGAGTATGTCCTTGCTCTTAGTTCTCATGAGCTTTATTTGTTAAACAGTCTGGCACCTCCTTCCTCTGCCTCTCTTTCCACTATGTGATCTCTGCATGGCAGCTCCGCTTGCCTTCTGTCACGAGTGGAAACTTCCTGCAGCCCTCACCAAAAGCAGATGCTGACACTATGCTTCTTGTACAGCCTGAAGCACTGTGAGCCAAATACACCTCTTTTCTCTATAAATCACCCAGGCTGAGATATTCCTTTAGAGCAATGCAAAAGGACTAAGATAGATAGTTTTTCTAAAATTTTCTTGAATGTGGAACTCTACTCCCCCTCCCCCATCACATCTCTGAATATCCCAGGAAAATACTGACCACTGAGGGAAGAGGCAGATGCAGAAGACTGGATCTACTGGCTGAAAGAGTGAACCCACTTCCATTGCCTGTTACTCAGATTAGTAAATCCCAGACTCTGTTTAGTAAATCACCATGGTAGCAGGAAGCTGACATAATAATATTCAAAGCACATAAAAGTGCATTCACTTTGACCAGAAAAGCTCCCCTGTCACATGCAATGCTTAGCAAAAAGAAAAGGACTACAGGCTGGCCCTCCCAGAAGCCTGATCATTCTCAGTGACTTCCTCAGAGAACTCCTGCTGACTCCTCACTCAGCGTTGGCCTTCTTCACTGTATACTCTCTGAGAACCTGTTCCTTTCCTTCAGAGCACTCATCTCCATTGGAATTAGTGATCCACTATCATGGTTATTGGTTTATGGCTTTCATTTGACTAAAAGCAGCAAGAGAATACAGACTAATCCTTAATAGGTCTTCAGTAAATATGTGTCAAAATTTTTTATTAAATCCATTAGGGGTCATAAAAAATCCACATCCCTTGGGACTCATTAAACCAGACACTTCTTCACCCTCTAGGCAAAAATCTGTATGAGTTTGCTAGGGCTACTGTAACAGATTTCTACAAACTTAGTGGCTTAAAACAACAGAAACTGACTCTGTCATAGTTTCAGAAGCCAGAAGCCTGAAATTGGGGTGTGGAGGTTGATTGCTTCCGAAGGCTCTGAGGGACGCTCTGTTCCAGGCCTCCCTCGGCTTCTGGAGGCTCCTGGGAATCCTTGGTGTTCCTTGGCATGTAGACATATCACTTCAGTCTCTGCCTTGGTCTTCTTCTCCTCTCTGTGTGTCTCCTCAGAGATGCCCATAGAAAAACTCCGAATCTCTCACGTGTAACAAATGTTTACATGAAACCTTCTGCCGCAACACCATGTCCTTTCCCACCAGCAATTATCCACCCACATCCTTCTATCTTTTTTTGTGGACATCCAAGGTTCTCTAAAAACTGGAGGCTTACTCCTCTCACTCTCATTAAGTCTCTCAACAGACATTTGTTGGTCTTCCCTGAAGGGTAATAAGATTTCCCCAGATGGAGAAGACAAAGGCATTTCTGGTGGTGAAAACATAAGGAGCAAACCTTGGTCTGGTTGAGAAACAGAGAATAGTTAATCTCTTTCTTTCTCTTTCCCTGCTTCCTCGTGCCTGCAAGCCACAGAATTCCCAAATTACCCATTCACACACCTTGTCCTTAGCCACAGCAGGGCCAGATTGGTGTGGCTGCAACTATAGACAGGAGAGCTGCTGTAAAAGAGGTTGCTAGGTTGTGAGCAGAAAAACCCAGGCAGTTAACAAAATCAGAACTAGGAATTCCACCTTCCCCCTGGAAACTCACCTCTTGGATGAACTACATGATGACTGTGAAGTCTTGGGTAGCGGCTGCCCCTGAAAGAAGTAAGGCTGAATGTAAACTTGCTCGTAGAGAGTTTTGGTTCTGCATGATAATTCACTTCCTCCGGGGGTAAGATGAGAGCCAAAGAGCTAATCTAGAAAATTGAACTAGAAAAATGTCCTGCCCTACTTTCAATAAACTATAGAATTTATGGCTTCCCTTATGAATGTACATCTCAGGTAAATATATTGGTGGAGCATGGGAGGTGCCCTGTCTTTGAGCATTGAAGCGGGTCACCTTTGGAGCCATGGTTACCTGTTGGGCTAGGATTCCCCGTCCCAGAAAAGCTCTCCTCTTTGCGAGTCCCTTGCACACCTTCATCTTTCCCCTTTCAAGCCCCAAATATGCACTGTTACAGAGTAACGCCACTGGGCAGAATAATATCTGGCATAGAATAATACCTCTTATTGTCCCATATTACTTCGGATGAGGTGTTGAGGGCATAATGACGGCTCCATCAATATACCAAGAAGAAAAATGAAAGAAGAGGCAGTGTTTTGTCTTTTTCTGGTCATAGGGAAGGGGAGAGAAGGTACGTCTGAAATAATCCATTTGGTGTTTTCATCTACTCCCTAAAAAAAAAAAAAAAAGTAAAATGTGAACCCACATTTTATGAGGAAGAGCTTGAGAAAAAGAAATGAAATGCTGAGGAAATTTCTTAATGATTGCCAAATACATACCTTGCCTGAAGAAAAATATGTTTCTGAGAATTTTGTAGGAAAAGAGCAAAGAACAATGCAGTAACATCAATGTCTATGTCTGTGGAGGCAGGAAATATTTTCTCAAAATTAAACTTCAAACAGATATTGATGATTTCAATATTGAGACACTTAGACAGAGGAAACCTCGGATGGGTTTTAAAATTTCACTTTCTAATATTCTTCTCCTTTCTTTACAGGATGCCAAATATAAGAACTTCAGAATTAAATCTAAGGGATGTAGTACTTGGTATTCTGGAAGTATTCACTAGCAAATATGTCAGACCCTAATAACGATGGGTCTGACATATTTACACGAGAGAGAAAAGACATCTTTTTAATTCTTTCAGATCAGGCATATGAAATGTATTTCATTAACCCTGATGCATTAGAGACCCTCAGCTCACATATTTTATTTTGCAAAAGAGCACTATGTACATTTCTCTCTAATGTCTGCTTGCTTTGAGAAATCTTTTTACCCTTCACACACAGACACACACACCAGATGCGTATCTTCAAGGTATGTAAATTTCCAAACTATATCCTCAACTAGGTGAGTTGCAAAATGGGTCATTCAGTTCTTTCAACCAAAGAGAGAAACCATCATTTGAAGGTTTCCTTCCCAAGGCTGGAGTGTGGAGTGGAGACTTGGGGGAGGAGGGTGGACTTTTACTGGGACAAATGATAGAGGGTTTGGGAACCTTCCACTCTATCGATGAGGAAACTCTCATCTTAAATAATACTTGCTGCACCAGGTGTGCTCACTGAATCCTTGGACTGCATGACACAAGTGCTGATGAAAGTCAAGCCAAAGAAAGCAGCCAAGGAGGGACCAGAGCGGAAGGAAGATATTTCCAGATGCGATTTGAAATGAGATCATGAGTTGATGAGGTGAAGACATGCAGGCTGGCTGTTTAGAAGACAGGAGCTGCAGAAGGTGTCACTGCTTACAGCTTAAAGGGACAGGAACATCAAATATTAAAAGTTCTACATATGGCACAAAAGATTGTTTTAGAATCTGAAAATGTTATAAGAATACAGATTTAATTTTAAGTGGTTTTGCTGAAAATGATTTTCAAAAGCCCAGTAGTTGTTTTACATGATATGATGGTGCAGTGGTTGAATCGTGGCTGCCAAAAACATATGTCCCCATTCTACCCCCTAGACCTGTGAATGCAACTTTATTTGGAAAGAGTTCTTTGTTTTTTCTTTTAATTAATGAATTAGTTAATTATTTCTGTGCCTGTGCTTACCCCACCCCCTTTTTTCTAACTTAAAGTTAAGAATCTGTAGACGAGATCATCCTGGATACCCCAGGTGGGTCCTAACCCCATTGATAAGTGTTCCATAGCCACAAAAGAGAATGCACAGAGACACAGAGGAGAAGGCCTTGTGAAGAAGGTGGCAGAGACTGAAGTTACACAGCTACGAGCCAAGAAATGCCTGGAGCCACCAGACACCGGGAGAGGCAAGGGAAGTTTCTCTGCTAAGCAATTTCAGAGGGAGCCTGGTGCTGCCAGCACTTTGATTTTGGGCTTCTGGCCTCTAGAACTGTGATACAAAAAAGTTTTCCTGTTGTAAGCCACTAGTTTGTTGTAGTTTGCTACAGCAGCCCTAGCAAACGAATACAGGTGGTTGTAGCAGGATCGTAGCACCCAGGCAGACCTGGCTGTGAATCCTGACTCCTCCTTTTCCTAGCCTTTTGCAAGTTATTTAGCATATCTAAATATCAGCTTTGGCATCTGTAAAAGTGCTAAGATACTGGCACCTGCCTCATAGGTGTGAGGAGCAAAGGAGTCAGCATGTGGAAAGAATGGAACACAGTGAATAGGTGCACAGTAACGGTGGCTGATGTCATTATACAGACAATTGTCTCCCCTACTTTAATCCATGTGCCCTGGTGGGCACACATCACCCCCGTGTGCTGTCTGGGAAGGGGTTCTGTCTCAGTTCCAGATCCACCTTTCTATATTCTGCTCTGCTGGGCTGGGACTCTGCTGACTACACATCTCCTTTGCCAATCAGGGACCCTAGGGGGAAGCCGGTTGGCACAGGATGGGAGGAGAGACTTGGCCCTTCTGTTTGCCTGCCTGTGCTGTCAGCAGCATCCCAGCATTGACCTTTCACCCTGGAAGCAGCATTGGTTCCAGTGCGTTGTGGTTTCCAGTTTCTTGCAGTACTCCTGGAACCAGCCCCATCACAGCTGCTTTGAGGTACCAGCACGAACCAGGCAGTGCCCCCTCCACAGGAGTCTGAGTTCCAGCTTCTGAGGGGCTCCTCCTTCAAGCTGCTAGGAGCTGACGACCCCAGGCTGCTTCCTAAGTTTCCCTGCCCCTTAGAGAGGGTAGCTACTTCTTATATCCAGCACTAGAGGTGTTTGCTACTTCCTAATAAGCTTTTTTTACTCAGGGTTCCCCATTTGCCTCTCATATACCCCTACCCCCGTTTAACCAATTTCCTATAATAAATCATCTTTGTTAAAATCGCTAGTGACGTTTTGCTTTCTGACTGTACCTTGGCAGATACTACACTCTATGTAGGTTGCTTGCTTTCCTGTGTGTACGAGAAATGGTTGGTACAGCCGAATAAGCGCTGAATTAAAACCAGAAAGATGTAAGTTTGTTCCTTGGCTCCCACTTTCTAGCTGAGAAATCTTGGCCAAAATACTTGGCTTGTTTGAGAGTCCAATTTTCTTATTTGTGAAGTGGGATTAATCATGTTTATCTTGTAGGAATACATATAGTTGGATGAGATAATGTCTAAAAAGCATCTGGCACCTAACAAATATTTGAAAGATGTTGGCTGTCATTATGTATCAGAAACAAATCTTTGCATTTTGTATCTCTTATAGGTTCCTCTGCTTTTCACTCTTGGGCTTATAAACTCCTCTGGGCACACCTGGACTTTCTTATTTCAGCTTCCTTGGTTCATTTAGGGTATTTGTTTTAGATAAGAAGACTGAAGTTCTATTGTATTAATTAGCATGACCCCAAGCAACTTAAGAATGAGGACATGATAGTTATGAGTGTGAAAGGAGTTGGCTTTAAACTGAACAATAAATCAAAGATGAAAAACAAGACCCTCATTGGGGAGTGCCACCGGGATGTCTTTGATAGCATGGTGCTCACCATTGTTCACTCAGCAATCTTTTCTATATGGACGCACTCCTGACTTTTAGAAGCACAATCAATAAGAGGCTATTGACATCCCTGGGGGTGGTGAAATGTGCATTAAAAATTAAACAAATATAATCTGGCTGGGACTGTTTGCCTGAGAATTAGTCAAAACTCATTTGAAGCCACTTCCATGTTTAAAGACTTTTTCAATGTCAAAAACGTAATCTGTCAGCCACCAAACATTCTCTAGCCACCTGCTGTAGGTAAGAAAGCATTCAGGAGGGGCTGCCAGAATTAAAGGCAAATGAAAACTTTGATCTTAGCCCATGTGGGATTTTGAGTATACTAAGGAGACCAAACTGATGGGCCTGAACTTAAATAGAATATCTGCACATGTGATTCCTCTAAGCTCTACTATTACAGGATTTTCCAGAACTTCCAGGAAGACTCCTGATGCAGAGCCTGAGGCATAGGAAATACCACTGAAAACTTCTCAGAATCTGTTGGGAATGATTTCTCCATTCCGTCTTCACATCCCTTCCATCCACCCTCAATACCCTGAGGTGTTGCGGGGCATCATCACGTCAAACTACAGGAGGCTTAACCCATCCATTTGGTTCTCAATCATTCCTGTTGTCCACCATCAAAGTTTATCCTCCCTACTCTCTCAGGACCCTACTCTCTTTCTCTATATGAAAATATTCAGCTACTCAGCTATATAAACCAGGTCCTACACTAGACACTGGGCTAGGCCTCCTGACACAAAGATACATGGGCCATAGACTGTGGCCTCAAGGAGCTTACAGTCTCAGCAGGAGAGACAGGTGAACACTGTGTGTATGAAATCTTGGATTCTAGGATGATATAGCCCAAAGAGGGAGTAGCCATTCTACAAAGATGTGATGAGAAAGAGTTTCACAGACCCTTCTAAACGGATTGTTTAGGGAATATAAATTTAGAATGTGAGAAAAAGGGAATTGCAGGCACTATGACAGAATAGAGAGGAGGCAAGCAATACGTTGAAGTCTGAAAATACAGATGGATAGCAGGTTCTAACCTCAGGGGACCAGGAGAAAGAGAGGGGCCCAGGATGGTGGTAAAAGAATTGGTTTGGGAGACAGCACAAGAAAAAGGGTTCTTGCTTTAACTACCTTTGTTTCATGCTGCATTTGGAGAAAGTGCTTGGGGGAAGCAACAGGGCCCTGTGCTCCTGTCATCAGAATCCCTCGGCTGGGATTCTGATGACAGGTCTGCTGTGTTCCTCCCTACCTTCTGGCCCAGGAAACAAAACAGTGGATGTTTTATTCCAAAGATATCCATTGGGCATCTCTCGCAACATGGCTCTGTGCTAGTTATAGTGGGAGGTAATTAGTATGCTTTTTGACAAGTATTTTTGAACATCTATTATTTTCCTAGCACCATGCTAGCTGCTTTAGAGGCAAATGAAAATTGACAGTTTCTGCCATTAAAAATTTGCAATTTTTATTGGGAAGCCAGATTTATGTGTGGATCTCCATGTAACAGAGTCATGGCCAAGGGGGAGGTATACAGAGGATTCCTCAGGGGTACAGAGAAGCAGCACTCAGCCCAGCCTGGAGCTTCTGGGAAGGCTTCAAGAGGTGATGGAAGCTGAGCTGAGTGTTGAAAGGTGGGTAAGGGGTACCTACGTCAAAAAGATAGACAGAAACTCCAGACGGAGGAAGGAACATGAGTGATGGTGCAGAAACGCCAAACAACAGGCTACATATTGGCAACTACAAGTGCTTTAGCACAGCTGGAGAATAAAGTGTAAGTCAGGGAAAGGCCAACAAGGAAATAAGAAGCATAGAGTTCAGTTCATGCAGGACCTGAGGGGCTGGGCAAAGTGTGGACCTTTATTCTCTTGTATTGGGGAGCCATAGAATGTTTTATGTTGAGAGGGACAGGCTTAGATGTCATCTAACTGCAGAATAGAAGATGGCTCAGGGGAGAGCAGATGGGGAGAGAGCACTGGGGAAAAGAACTAATGTATGCTGGGCTTAATACCTTGGTGATGGGTTGATAGGTGCAGCAAACCACCATGGCACACGTTCACCTAGGCGACAGACCTGCACATCCTGCACATGGACCCCAGAACATTAAAATAAATTATCATTCTTAGTGCTTAATGTGTTTTATATTTCTTTAATAAATAATACTTAGAAAAGAAAAAAAGAAGATGGCTCAAAAGGGTCAACAGTGGAAGCAGGGAGTCAGGAGTCTTATTCAACAGTTCAGGCAAGAGACAGTGAGCTCCTCAGCTAGGAAAAGGCAGGGTAGGCAGGGAGGAGGGGATGGGTCTAAGGACTGTTTAGGAGGTAAAAGAAGAAATTGGCTTTAATGATGGGCTGGCTGAGGGAGATGAGATAAAAGAGAAGGATGAATCAGGTTGCAGCTTGGCTGAATGGGGCAGCTGAGATAGGGAATATGAGAGAGAGAGCAGAATTTTGAGGATGTGGGGAAAGTTTATGAGTTCAGCTTTGTTTGGATGAATATGAAGTACCTGGAGGGCGGAAAGAGGACTTATTCATATCCTTCGCCCACTTTTTGATGGGGTTGTTGGGTTTTTTCTTGTAAATTTGTTTAAGTTCCTTGTAGTGATAGACTGGATAAAGAAAATGTGGCACATATACACCATGGAATACTATGCAGCCATAAAAAAGAATGAGTTCATGTCCTTTGCAGGGACATGGATGAAGCTGGAAACCATAATTCTCAGCAAACTAACAAAGGAACAGAAAACAAAACACCACATGTTCTCACTCATAAGTGGGAGATGAACAATGAGAACCCGTGGACACAGGGAGAGGAACATCACACACTGGGGCCTGTTGGGGAGTTGGGGGCAAGGGGAGGGAGAGCATTAGGACAAATACCTAATGCACGCAGGGCTTAAAACCTAGATGATGGGTTGATGGGTGCAGCAAACCACCATATCACATGTATACCTATGTAACAAACCTGCACATTCTGCACATGTATCCCAGAACTTGAAGTAAAATAAAAAAAAAAAAAGAGGACTTGTTCAGCAGGGAGTTGGATATCTAACCTGAAGTTGCTAAGAGAAGCAGGAGTGACCGTGAGCATCATCAGCATATGGGTGACAACAGAACTGAGACAGGGGCTGGAGTCACTTACTCATGAAGGGCAAAACAGGAGACAGAAAGAAGAATAACAATCCTCCCTCCCTTGAGGGAATATATACTCTATGCAGGAGAGAGATATGTACCCAAATAACTGTAATAAAGGAACCATACAATAATCTCTATAATTATAGCAACTGCATTTTTCTGGTCAAATATTGGATCATGTGGTCTCACCAAGGTTTGGTCACAGACAAAATTGTTGAAGGAGAATTGTATCAGAAATCCATTTGGCTGAGTTCTAATAGAGGTACAAGTAAAGTGTTTTTAAAGCAATGAATAAGAAGAAATTTGTGGAGAGAGAGGAATTTGAGTTGATTCCTGAAAGTGGGCTTAGAAAGCTTCAACTCTACCTGTACTTAATACTATCTTTGTTGTATATTGTGTCAACCTGCAGCCAAGAATAGGGTTGGCACTGGTGAAAAAATTGTGAGTCCTGCAATAATCTCACCCTGGCTAAAGGATTTTAGAGGGGATGTGTCTTGGGGCCCCAGGTCCTCTTTTGGACTTCTGAGACCTAGTAATTTGTACTAGTGTCATCTTTTCCTACCCTGTGTCAACCAATGGGCATATACCTAAATGTATACGATGAATGAACTCCAGTGTTTACAAGTGTAATGGGGTCTCAGTTATATCTAAACTGGAATTCAGAGTATGTTTATCTGCAAGTAAATGAGCTATTGACTAGCTAGCTTCCCCGTCCCCCTCACATCTGTTTCTTGAATTGTTCTGCATGAGTTTTTTTCTTTCCTGAAGGGTGGTGGAGGTAGTTTAGTGAGTAGGGATCTTGGAGAGTCATGAGAGAAATAGGAATGGTAAGAATTCCAACAGTGTATATCTCCTCTGCTTTGTGTTGTGAATCTCAACTTTTTATTTGGAAAAATTTGAAATCTTCAAAAGGTTGCAAGAATAGTGCATTGAATACCCTTCACCTGGATTCACCAATATTAACACTTCGTAGTATTTGCTTCCTTTTCCTCCATGTACACATGTGTACATAGGCGTTTATTTCTTGCTGAACCACTTGAGAGTTAGTTGCAAGCATCATGAGCCTTTATCCCAAAATACTTCATCATTTCTATCCTAGCAAAAGGGGCATTATTCTATGTAACTACAATATAATTTTTACATTCAAAGTTGAGTGTTTATACAACAATATTATCTAATATGCATCCTATTCAAATTTCCTCAATGTTCCCACTAATATCTTTTATGGCATTTAAGAAAATTTTAGGATCTAATGCGGGACCATTCACTGTATTTAGTTGTCATTTCTCTGGTGTCATCCTTTGCAGGGACATGGATGAAGCTGGAAACTATCATTCTCAGCAAACTAACAAAGGAACAGAAAACCAAACACCGCATGTTCTCACTCATAAGTGGGAGATGAACAATGAGAACACATGGACGCAGGGAGGGGAACATTACACACTGGGGCCTGTTGGGGAGTGGGGAGTTTTGGGGAGTCCCCTTTAGTCTAGAGAACAATCCTCAGATTTGTTGTGGTCTTTCTATAACATTAAGATTTTTGAAGAGTCTGGGACAGTTATTTCACAAATCCTCAGTTTGGATTTTTCTGGTTGTTTCCTTGGGGTTAGATTCAGATTAGACATTGGGTGAGACTAGATTTTGAGCCTTCAGAGTGAGGGTTCAAGGCAGAACTGGAAGAGCTGCGGAATGGGGACCCTGCCCTGGACAGGGGAGCCTCTGTGGACAGCACATCTCAGCCTGGCTCCGGCATGTGAAGGACTATGTGGGGTCAGTGTGCTGTGCCAATTCCAGGGCATTGCAGTGGAGAGATGATCAGGTCAGCGGCACAGAGAAGACTTGGAGACAGAGGCCTGGAGCAGCTGTCAGGGACTCATAGGAACCCGGCAAGAGGCACAGAAGAGTGGTGGGGGCTTGGCCAGAGCAGCAATATCCTCAAAGGGGATGTGCCTGTGGATGTGTAGGGCTCGTCTATGGGTTCCAGAAATACTTGGGAGGGACTTGCTGGGTAGGAATGGAAAGGTTCCTTCAGTTATCCCTGTAGGTGCCACAGAGCCAAGGAAATCTCACCTGTCACCACCCATGTGTATGTGTGTGTTTTGGGGCAGACATGAGGGTGCTGGTATTCTCTAAGATGAAGGTTCCTGTATTGTTGATAATCTTTGCCTGATTAAACCCTGACAGTGGGGTAGAATTCCAATAGTTAGATGAATATCAGGGCTTACGATCTGGAGAGGAGGAGAAGGTACTGCTTAGCAGGTGGGAAATGAATGAATAATTGAAAGAAAATACTGATTTTTCTTTCCTTGATTGAAGTAGAAGCCATTGGGGTGGAAGGAGGGGAAGATGAAAATGGGCAGTTTGGAATTCTCTCAAACTGGAAGAGAGGAATTGAAAAGCTACTATAGTCAGGGATCTTATGTAAACTTACTTTTTGAATTTTTATCATTAGAGGTCCATGATAAAACAGAAAAGGCAAGCACTTGTATTTCCTTCTAAAGGAGAGAGTTCTTGTTTCTGAAATTTCCGTTGGTCATTTTGAGTAGTATGTGGGAGTGTGTGCCCGCTTCTCTCCTGACTTTGCCCACTAACACTGTGAGCACTCATTGCTTCCCAGGAATGGAAGGAAGTTTCTCAAAGTGCTACTCTCTTTGGAACAAAGAGGGGATTTCTACTGTTTTGTGGGACTGGTCGCCTTCAGGAGCACTCAGTGAGGCAGATCCAGGCTTGGCATCTGGATTGCAGAGCCTTTTGATCTTGAGGCAGCGCTTTGATCCTGGACTTGATTCAGGCCAGGAGGAATGTCACTGGTGGTTTGGTTTAATCATTTGCTCATGCCAAAGACCAAATCCTACCTTGCAGGCATGACATAGTGAACAGAATGTTTCAAAGCAGAAACTTATTTTTATTCATTTTTTAAAAAAATAAAACAATGATGCCTCCCACTTGTAGGACATTTTACCATTTACAAAAAACATGCTCACAACTCATGTTTGGCCTTCACATTCACCTCATAAGGTAGGTAAAAGAGGAGGCCAGCCACCCTGGGATCCAGGATCCCCATCAGGGCTCTCAGTCCAGTGTCCCTTCCTCTGCTCCCCGGCTTCTCCTTGCAGCACATGGGCACTCCCTAAGATGCTTGCTATGAGAGCTGACTTTCGCCCGTCTGCCTCCTTTGAGTTCTTCATCTGCCCAGGACCAGCTCTGCATGCAGGGAAGAGCTGTTGGCTCTTGGGAAAACCTGGGTCTCCCGGGGCCGCTAGGGACCCAGAGAGAAGACCCCCCTGCGGTTTCCCCTTCTTGTGAAAACACAAGTTCTTGTGTGGTTTGGGAGAGATTCACCCTCTCTTTTCATGAAACCACCTGGGAGGAAGAAATATGCCCCAGGAGAGTTTATTTTCTTTGACTGATAGAAAATAGAGTCGTGTTAAGGGAGCTTTTGCATGGCCCTGAGTCTCGGAGGATGGGTTTCAGGTCAGCAGGCTGCTAGATTTCTGTGGGGCATGTGTGTGTGTGTGTGTGCATGTTGGGGTGTGTGTGTGTGCATGTTGGTGTGTGTGCACCTGCTATTAGGTGGCAGTACTCTGCATGAGCCTCCATAAAAGGTATAGCACACGTCAGTGCGTCACTCACAGTAAAGGTACCACAAGGGAATGACAGCTAATTTTGGGGTGCCTTCCTCACTTGTAAGAGAGGCAGCTTCCACGGCAGCATTTTTGAGATCCCTGGAAGGGGAGCTGGTAAGGGAAGGTGCTTCCAGTAGCTTCATGGCAGTCTCCTCCTGAGAGCACAACAGGATGGTTCACACTGAGGTGAAACCCTGACTTGGTGGCTAAGAATGATCCTATAGAACCCGCCCCACTTAGTTTTCCTCTGCTGGGAAGTAGAATCAAACATTGTTGTCTAAGTCATGTTACACATTCCTGCGGGATGTGCTGGAGTCCAGCCCGTTACAGTTCATCACCCATGCAGCTTTGCGCCCATGTCTGTAGTCAGAGGGCATATAAAGTTATACACTGGAGAAAAAAGCACCAGATCCTAAAGGCACATCTTTCCAGGCTTAAATGGAGATGGGAAATCTGGAAAATGCAGGTGTTAATATGGTAGAACCAAAAGAACCAGCCAATTCAGTGAAAAACAAAATAAGGTACATTCATGTTCATAGCAGCTTTATACACAATAACCAAAAGGTAGAAGCAGCCCACATGTTCATCAATCAATGAATGGATAAGCAAAATAAGTTGTATACATACAACGTAATATTATTCAGTTTTCAAAAAGAAGGAAGTCTGACATGCTATTATTTGGATTAACCATGAGGACACTATGCTAAAGGAAATAAGCCAGTCATAAAAGGACAAATACCACATGATTTCACGTATATGAGGCACCTAGAGTAGTCAAATTCATCGAGACAAAAATAAGTATGGTGGTTGCCACGATGGAGGGGGAAATGAAGAGTGAAAAATGATTAAGATGGTCAATTTTATGTTATGTGTATTTTACCACTATTAAAAAACAAAAACACAAAATAAGGCAAAACAAGCCCTTGGTAAAACAATTCACGGATTGACAGAGCTTTGTTAACTGGTAGCTTGGACTTCCTGGAGACACAGCCACACATGGCCAGCCAGAGCGGGATCAGGTGAGGGGGTTTCAAGCCAGGAAGATCAGTTGCCCTGGGGAGGGCTTATTGAGGAGGGAGTTGGGTCTTCTTCTGACCTTCGCCTTCCTGGGAATTCTTCCCTCCATCTATGACTTACAGAGGACAACCCGTTGTGAAAGTATCTATCTCTGTGTTTTAAATACTGGCATTGTCCTGGGGTGAGTTTTTCTTTCCTTTGGCACAAACGTTGATTAAACTGGTTAAAGAGATAGGGGAATGCTCTCAGGGGTGATGGCTGGTCTAACAGCATGTTTCTCAAACTGGGATCCACAGAATCTCGATGCAAATTTTATAATCTTATTTTAGCTTAACCTTATAAATATGACTTAAAATTATATATTTAATGCAATAATTGAAGCAACGGGGTGACCAAGTTATCGCTAGTATGCAGGTACAATTTCAGTGCTCACATGTATGGTTGTATTCCCTCCAATGAAGGGCAAGTGACATCTTGAAGCTTGGCATGAATGGAGGGAGGTGTAGCACCAAATTAAACTGAGGAAAGTGGTGGGAGAATTGAGTCATCCCACAGCACGGGGTAGCATAGGCATGCCACACTCAAAAATGCCAACATCTTAACAATGTCAGCATGGTATGTGTGTTGCAAATTAGTTTCAACAAAATAACATTACTGGTGTTATTAGCTTAATGTGGTTGATTTGAATTTTATTGACCTTTGAAGGTTTGTTTTTCATTTAATTTGTGAGTTTGTGTTACTTTTCAAGTTATATCAGAGCTGTCAGCATGAAGAGTTTATACCCAGATTTATGTTGGTATATTTTTAAGTAGCAGTATAGTAAGGTTAATTCACATTAACACTGAAGGTCAGGGATGCCTTTTTTCTCTTTATAGCTCCCACAGCTTTCAGTGTGAGAAGCCCTAACCATCACAGGGGGGTCAACAGGCTCTATCTATATTTGATCTGACCTGGAGGAGATCTTTACTTTTGGACTTTACAAGGCCCAAAAAAATGACTTATTGCAAATGACAGGAACTACATTCAGGAATTCTACCCATTGTCTTCAACATAAATTCATAAAAATATGCAAAAATAAATAATAGCTCCTGTTCCTGTTCATGGAGAAACTGGCACTCCTCAACTTCTTAGCCTCTTCTCCCAGGCTTGGTGGATCATCTTCTGTGCTTCATACTCTCCTTGTCCCTTCTGGTCAGAGCTAGGGTTGACAGACTCTTTCATGCAGGATGCTTGTTTTGTGTACAGAAACTTCTAGACTTGACATCAGGAAATGCTCATATTTAACTTCAAACACAATTCTGATCAGTAGTTTCTACGGAGTTTGGCATCCCTAGAAAACATGCTGCAAACTGCTGTCTTCCTATTTTGCTCATGACCCCAAGGCTTGCTCTGCACATCTGCTGTTTGTCTCTCTGTAACATATATACTCTGCCTTTCGTGTTGCATTCTCTGTTGAGATTTGGATCCTGCCCAAGCAGCACGAGGGGCCTTTGGAGCTCTCTGGGCAGGAAGTCACATCCTGTGCAGGAGCCAAGTTGAAATGGCTTCCGATTTGGGGCAGAAACTTGGGTACACAG
Organism: Homo sapiens; assembly: GCF_000001405.40. Classification (NCBI taxonomy): domain Eukaryota; kingdom Metazoa; phylum Chordata; class Mammalia; order Primates; family Hominidae; genus Homo; species Homo sapiens. The sequence goes on along the minus strand of NC_000013.11, from coordinate 44,278,328 downwards.
ACATTTTGTGAAACCATTGATGTTTCTACTTGCAAATATTTCTGCAAACAGGAACAATTTCTGTTAACTTTCCATGACCTGTGTCACAGAGGCATGATGCCTGTCTGCTATTTGTTCATTTGGCAAATATTTACTAGATATCTTTTATACGACAGCCACAGTTCCAAGTTTTTTCAACACCAAGATGAATAAAATACAGCATTTGTCCTTCATGAGCCTGTGGTATTGTTGGGGATGATATGCATCTAAATAGGCCTAAGTGCATTGTGACAGATGTTCTACCTTCTCATATGGTGACATACTGTACAGTAAAGCCTTCTGCAGGTGACGAGGAGGAGCCCCCTAACTATCTGAGGAGGTAGGGATAGACATCCTGAAGGGTGTGACATTTAAACTGGGTCTTGAAAGTTGAGTGAGAATTCTCTTGGTAGGAAATGGGGTAGGGTAGGCATTCAAGGTAGAGAGAAGAGTTTGTGTAAAAGCTCAGAGGAATGGAACTGCATAGAGTTTGGGTGGAAATACAAATTGTTTGAGATGCCTGGAACAAAGGTTTTGGTGCGTGTATGTGTATGTTATGGGAGGGGGAGGGTGGTGGAATCTCACACTAGAGGGAAGGAGGCTGAAGATCCTGAAGAGGCTCAGAGACTTCAGGCCATGCAGACACAACTGTATACCACTCCTTCTATCTTTGGGCTATGGTGCTTTGCTTCCCCATTTCCTTTCCCCTCCCCTCCCCTCCTCTCCCCTTCTTTCCTCTTCCCTCCCTTCCCTTTCCCTTCCCTCCCCTTCACTTCCCTCCCCTTCCCTCCCCTTCACTTCCTTCCCCTTTCCTCCCCTTCCCTCCCTTCCCCTCCCTTCCCCTCCCTTCCCTTCCCCTCCCTTCCCTTCCCCTCCCTTTCCCCTCCTCTCCCCTTCACTTCCTTCCCCTTTCCTCCCTTTCCTCCCTTTCCATCCCTTCCCCTCCCTTCCCTTCCCCTCCCTTTCCCCTCCTCTCCCCTTCCCTTCCGTTACCCTCCCTTCCCCTCCCTCCCCTTTCCCTCCTCTCGCCTCTCCTCCTCTTCCCTTCCTTTTCCTTCCCCTTCCCTACCCCTTCTTCCCTTCCCTTCCTTCTCTCTTTCTTCCTTTCCCTCCCTCTTTCCCTTCCCCTTCTTTCCTTCCCTTCCATCTCTCTTTCTTCCTTTCCCTCCGTCTTTTCCTTTCTTTCTTCCTTCCTTTGTTCAGCATTATAATTCACATACCATACATTTTACCCATTTAAAGTGTACAATTTGATGGATTTATATTCACAAAGTTGGGCAACCATCATCATAATAAATTTTATTATATTTTTATCACTTCCAGAAGAAACCTTGTACCCTTTAGCTATTATCCCTCAACCTCCTATCCTTCCAGCCCTAAACAACCAAATTTTTTTTTGTCTCTGTGGATTTACCTATTCTGGACATTTCTTAGAGATGGAATTGGGACTTACAGTTTCTGGTTAGGCATGTAAGGAGTTTGGAAGTCACCACTCCATCCTAAGGAATAAAAAGCTGAACAAACGGAAACATCCACAACTCTTTAGATCCATCAGAGAATTGAGATCACAGGGCAAACTGCTGTCCTCTAAATTGTAGAGGCAGACAGGTAGACACGGAGAATCACAACTTACAGAAGCTGAAACCAGGAGAAGAACCCTCCACAGGGAACAGCGCTGAAGTAGTTAAAACTGGAACTATAACCAACAAATTGCTGGCGGCTCAGTATGGACAAGTCTCAGAGTGAAAAACTCCAGGACGACTGGGTCATAGGGGTTCTGCATACTTCTGTGAGTTTTAACTTCTGGGGCTCAACCAGGTTCTCACAGTGACTATCAGAGAAAAATCTTCTCATTCATTCAGCAGGAGATTGGGAAAAGGAACCATTTTAAAATACAACAGAACATTCTGTTCTTAACAAGGTCTGCACTCAGGAGAAACTGTTTTACCAGAGCATAAACTATTGGGGTTTATCAGACCCTAACTGACTTAGAGGATGGGAAACACCCAACTCCAGCCCACTGTAGCCATCTTGTCCCGCCTAAAGGGGGCTGGGCTGAGAACACCTGTGAAGTTCACAGTTCGCAGGCAGAGGCTCACTAAATTAAGACCTAATTATAGGACTACAGATTACTTCCCCTCCCCACACCTCGCCACCACATTATTAAAGGCCTGTTTACAGCAGTTCCTTTTACCCAGTATATCATACCCAGCTATCAAGAAAATTAAGTTAAAAAAAAAATATTACCAGGCATACTAAAACTGAAAAAAACACAGTTTGAAGAGCCAGAGCAAGCCTCAGAACCAGACTCACATGTGGCAGAGATGTTGGAATTATTAGATCAGGAATTTAAAACAAATATGATTAATATTTGACTCTACTGGATAAGTAGACAGAGAGCAAGAACAGATAAGGCAATGTAACCCAGGAGATGGGAATTCCAAGAAACAAGAGAAAATGCTTCAAAAACACTTCAACAGAAATAACAAATGTCTTTGATGGGCTCATTGGTAGACTAGATAAGGCTGAGGAAAGAATTGCTTGAGGATATCTCAACAGAAACTTCCAAACTGGAAAGAAAAAGATGGAAAAAATTAGACCAGAAAATCCAAGAACTGAGGGACAGCTATAAATATGTAACATGTAGATGGAATCATACAGTATGTGGCCCTTTTTAAATGGTTTCTTCCACTTAGCAAGTTTTTTTTTTTTTTTTTTTGCAGCTGCAGAGTCAACAGCAGTCCTATTTCCCCTAAATTTGCAAAGGGATAGTGAGCTCATGGGAGAGAAAAAGAAAACAGGAAAACAGTGATGGGGTATTTGGGGACTGAAAATGCAAAACTAAATAGATGCAAAGTTCATTTTAAGACATTTTCTTCCTGGGACCATGGCTTACTCCCCAGGTGTAAATATTTCTCTTATCAAAAGACTTCCTTTTGTTTTGGGCAATGGGTAATTTATCTGGAGTCCTTTGGCCTCTAGATTATGTCTTAGTATACCGGTTGGTAGAGAGTCCCTCTCTTTCCCGCTGTTGTGTTGACATGGCCTCCATTAAACACCACAGAATTTAGGATTTGTGCTGCTTGCTTCTTTATGAGGCTGGTGCCTGATAGTGGGGCCACACAAAACTGCTTCCCCTCCAGAACAAACTTGATGAGCTGATAAGTGATATAGCCATGCCCGGTACTGTTTTCATAAGTGGGTTAAATTCACATTTGCAAATTCAGTAGAGCAGCCCTTGTCCATCTCACTGTGTCGCTGTGCAGAGGAGCTGAGTTCTGAAAAGCTCTGGTTTCCTTCTCTGTAAGCCTTGCTGGCACATTTTCAAAGACCACATCAGTCAGTGTGAGTGGTCCTGGGTCCTTTCCATGCAGCTGGCTCAGAGTTTTACAGACCCTGTAACAGAATCTCATAAAGACTGGCTGCCATTTGGGGTTAAAGTCTGGTGCTTCTCCCTCTTTTCTTGTATGAAGATTTGATTTTTAGATTTGTTTGGAAAATGACTTTGTTAGCCTAAATCATCTTAGGCTTCAATGTTAAAATAGAGTGGAATATGCAGTAGTTGACTCATACTATTGTAGCTAGACAACTTGTCACTTAATACTTCATGACTTTAGGGATTGGTTAAATTAATAATTTTATAAGGCACATAGACGCCAGAGAGCTTCCTCCATTTTGTTCTTTTCTCTAGCAATGTGCGTCATCATTACACCCCTACCAAATAGTGTATTTTAGAACCTGTTATGCATAACTCTGCCTCTGCTTTCACTTTCTGTTTCCCTCTCTCTCTGCCTCTCCCTCGGCCTCTATGTCTCTTTCATTCACTCTTACTTATATATACTAAAATATTGCAAATTCGCTCCCTAATAATTAGGAAGTTTTTTGCATGTGGCTTGAGGTTGTCCTTCAAAGGTTTTAAATATGTGTTGATGAGAATAGGCATAGGGAGGCAGGTGTGGGACAGCAGATGGAAGGGATGCTCTGTGTTCAAAGATCCCACCCTAGTGAAGTGAAGCTTCTACCTGGGGTTAAAGACCAACTTCCTGATTGTAACAGCTGTGACCCAGAATCTACTCTGGGGTTGACTTCTTCTGAGAGCTGATTTGGCTGTGTGAGCCTGGAATACTGAAGTCAGGAGTGGGAGCAGCAGCAGCGACAGCAGGAGTATGTTTGCCATCAGGCATCAGTGAGCTCCTAACCCCTGGCCAGCCCGGTGTGGTGGGAAAGCACAGGTTTTGCAGTCAGGGGAGCTGGGTTGGAGTTCAGGGTTCAGCCATTTACTAGCTTTATGGTGCTGGGCAATTTATTCAATATCTCTAGTCATCAATTTACTTTTTTATTGTTGTAAAAGAAATACCTCATGTTGGTTATTGTGAAGGTTAACTGAGCAATGAATGTGCAGGTATGGGGAGTTTCAGATGCAAGCTTTGTCTCTGTCCCTTGAGAGGACAGTGTGTCATGTGACCCATTTGAGAATACCAGTGATTTAGCGCAAAAAGTTGCTTTATCTCTTCATTCCTTCAATTTTTTGTTAATACATTTGCTCATTCATTCAATGCTGGCCACGAAGCATGTGACACCAGTCAGGTGTTGGGGATACTGCTGTGAAGAGTCCGACCCTCTCCTCCTCCTACCAGTCTGGGGGAGATGCTGACCACAAATGACAGTCACAATCCAGTGTGGAGAAGCACCACACTGGGGAAAGTACAACATGCTCTGGTGGCTTTGGAGTGTCAGACAACAGAGCGGGGAAGAGGTTAGGAAAAGAAGTGGCCCACAGGATAAAAACAAGCAGCTGGGTGAAGGTGAGGCAGAGGATGTAGCATGGCACACAGCAGTGGTGAAGAAATGAGGATGGCGGGCCCTCTGTAGATAGGTGGACATGCCTGGAGTATCGAGTGTGAGGGTCGTGTTGAGATATATACAGAGATATGGAGCCATCACAAGCTATCTGCACCCAGGAGCTTTCTCCTGGCCTCCCCAGTGACGTTCTGTACCTCAGATGTTGATTCCATGGATGCTGTCATCACCAAAGATGGGATGGATGCTGGGACACTCCTAGCACTTAGAGTTAGAACTTGCAATACATGTTTCCCGTAGAAACAGCATGTTAAATGGTAGTTCAATGTAGTTAGGATATTGCTACAAATAACACCTTTGAGTGTACTTAATTTAAACCTGTGAAATGTAGAAAAATCAAAGAGGACAGGTCCTGTTCCAGGCTAGAGGTACTTTTTGCAATGCAGAGCACTATCCTTCTAGATCTGGCCAGCAGAGCATGAATCGGGACCTCAGGCTGGCTTTGCCTGCATTTGGATTTGAATTTGAATGTTTTGGTCTAGGAGGCTCTCTGCACAGGGTTTCCATGATTCCATCACTCCCTGCTGTTTCATATCTGGCTGACTTCCTCACAGTGAGGTTGCCTACTTGCCCCTGGAGGTACTGGACTTGGAAACCCTTTCTCTAGGCAGTAGGGGTTGGAGATAGCATCATCGTTTCCGACTGATTCATCATCAGCTTGGTGTTAGTCCACTTACAAAGTCAAGCATGACAGTTGAGGCAGTGTTTGGAGGTGCCCTCTGACTTTCCACCAAATGCTTTTTTTTTTCTTTTCACTTCTTCCAATCCTCCTTTTTTTTTTTTTTTTTTTTTAATCATTTCCTCTAGGCACTTTTCTTTTCTAGGGCAATTGAATTCAATTCAGCAAAAGTATATGGGACGTCTTCTATGTGTCTGGTACTTAGGATGCGAGGGATAACAGAGCACAGTGTCACTTTCAGGGAGATCACAGTCTAGCATGAAGGGGTGGGAGACAGACAAGTAAAAGGGCTGGTTCTAGATGGTGAGGTGGATGCCCTGATGTGGCAGAGGCTAAAGAAAAACCAATGAGGAGTACCTGAGCCATCTTGGGGATGAGGAAGAGGCCAGCAGGAGTTAGCTAGACAACTGCAAGTACACTCCAGGCACAGGGTCAAATGGGAGCAAAGGATCAGACACTTAGCAGGGTGCACTCAGCATCCTGCAGGATTGAGCAAATGGCTGGGGGCAGAGCCAGGGAGAGAGACAAGAACCGTGAGAGCTGAGGATGGGAAGGCCAGCTCCTGCCTTTCCTGTCTTTCCCCAGTGGCAAGTAGGGTAGTACTTAGCATCTCCTGGCACCACTCCAAGCTGAGATGGGCAGTGACCCTGGCCCTGTAGGAAGCCTGTATTTTTCAAAAGCTTCTTTAGAGAAAAGAGCCCCAGGAGAGTAGAGGGCCTGAGTCTGCACTGGCAGGAAAAGTGGACTAAATTCAGGCCAGACTCAAAATAGCTCCTGGAGGTTGACCAGATGGAAATTAGATTACTGCTGTATGTGGGCATAGCACTCAGGAGGCCAGTAAAACAGTGAGAACAAGGGAGTGATCCCTTCTAGAGAACGGGGTGCAAATGTTACAAAATATTTGTGAGCCATGACTTTTAAAAAAATTCAAACGCAAAGATTTTTTTGAGTGCCACAGGGGAAAAATTACTTTGTTAATAGATGAGTATCAAGAGATCAAGAGGATTGTCAGTCCTGCTGTTTAAAATATTAATATCTGGACAAGTTAGGGATGTAACAAACTGCAGCCAGCTTTTTAATGTTTCTTCCTGAGCTCAGAACAATTCAGTCATTCTCCTTAGGTTGCTGTAACCAGGCATGTGGTATCCCATTAGGAAAATGCACCCAACCTTAGACAAGGGCTAGTCTGTAACTCTCTTGTGTCTGTCTGTCCCCTGGATTTACGTGGAAGACCACCTGCTTAAGATAACCCAGGGCCAGGTGCTATGTATACCTGTACCATCTATGCCACTTTGGTTTTCTTCTGTCATTACTGTGTTGTTTTGGGAACTTGGTTCAGGGAAATGATGATGCCAGCAGGGCAGATTCCCTGAGCTGCCCAGAATCCCAGAGGGTACCCCTGGGGCAGGCGGGTATGGTTTACTCATCTTCAAGCTGCAGGAAGTAGTGGCTCCAGGATAAGCACCTCAGCCTTCGGAGAAGGACGGGCTTGGGGAAGGGAGATTTTAATGTAGTGTAAACAAGACAGAGGATTTCATAAGCTTCTCGGAAACTCCTGGACCTGACACTCATCATCTGCTACTAAATTTGGCCCTTTCATGTTCCTTGCACAGGATATAATGGCAACCATGACACAGACTCTGGGCTGAATTTAGATAAACAACATGGCTGCTGAGGATTTGTACCTGTTAAAAGTCTAAGAAATGTCAAAGGTTGTAGTAAGTATGACTCAGGACAATTTCATTTAAGTTGTCAAAAGTAGGAAAAAGTCAGCAGTATAGCTGATCACTCTCTTTTGTGCTTTTTTGCACTTGTAATTTCCATGACTCTCACTAAACTGCGGGAGGTAAAACTATTTTTGTTCTCTGGGCTTTTGCGTCGTGTGTAAGCTGATTCCCAAGTTTGGGTAATATTGTGGAAAGCGTCAGTACCACCACTGAAGCCTCCTGGAGCCCCATCACCTCCACCCTCTTCCCGGGCAGGTGGAGTGAATCTCCCTGACTTTGAATTTCCAGAGTACTCGTGCATGCCTCGATTACAGCACTAGTTGCTTACAGCAAATTATCTGTTCACGAGTCTGCCTCCCCCACTGATCTTTGACCCCCATAAGGGGTTCTTTCATTGCCTTTTGTATTCTCAATGTGAGGACAGTGCCTGGGACACAGTAGGCACATATTTGATGCTGTGCGGTCATCCTGATTCTGGAGGATGATGTTTTTGGTAGTCAAATGACAATGGAATAGAGCCCCATGGAAAGACAGTTCGGAGGTAGAGGAAGGAGCAGAGAATTTGGAGACCAGAATTCCTTTTTTATTTATTAGATGTTCCTGTCACTATGGGCCAACCATCAGTTTGACCTTTTGTCTCCCATGCAGTGATAATAGTGCTTTCCTTCTAGATTTTTGGGAGAGAATTAAATGATGCAATAGATATGAAAATGACTTTGCGACTGGGCTGAGTTTTATGGAGGAGAAGCATCATCATTAATGAAAAGAAGCAACTGTAGCCAGGGATTGGGACAATCACACTGCTGTGTAGTTTCCTCACATGCTCTTTGGATGATCTTGGGCACGTAAATTACTTCTTGCCTGTTGTGGATTCTTCATCTCTAAGGAAATTGTCAGTTCTATTTCCCAGGGTCGTCGTGAGGATCAAAAGAGATAACACACGTGAATATAGTTTAAGATTATTTGATAAAGGGGGGATGAGTTTGTCCAGGGTCTTCCTTTTGTCTATTTTCTTTGCTGTCCTCTTGTCTGTCCCTGCCTCCACACCACCAATTCTGGGCCTATGTACGTGCATGTAACCCAGAGGGTTCTTGGCAGTCTGCTATGAGGATGGGATGGAGGAGGGCAGTGGAAGCCACCTGTGCTGAAAGCCCCCTTTTGGGGAGATGCTTTCAGGTGTACAAACAGACACATACATTTCTGATATATCTGTATCCAACTGGGCCCAGGTAATGCTTGCCACTCTTAAATAAGATCAGCTTTTTCTGTCAGCAAGACAATGTAAGCAGTTAGGGTTCTTCCCTGTGCACTGAAAATAAAGCACTTTGAAGCCTGATTAAGTAGATAACCAGGACCCTAGATTCACCAAAATTATGTTGCTACATTAGTATTTACAAGAAACATTAGCAAGCCAAGGCACACAGCTGGTGTGTCAGGGTATATGTTAAGACAGTAATCTGTGGTCTGTCCTCTGGTAGAGGAATACAGTTGGGTGAGACTCTGTTGTACTTTATTCATTTTATCCCAAGTTTCTCTTTCCAACAGGTCTTTTAGATTGTGAACTCCCAGAGAAGAGAGACATGAGGGATCTTGGGGTGTCAAGTGGAAGCTGAGAGGGAGCAGACGATATCCCAAGCCTGGGGGGCTGTTAGAGATTGGTGAACCCACCAAGTGACAGCATTTTCACCCTTCTCTGTCCACACCCCAGGTTAGCAATAAGACATGGGCAGAAATGGTTGTGTAGAGTTCCCAGAAGGACTGAACCCCAGGGAATGAGGCTACTGGCTCCAGCACCAATTGGATTCCTCTGCCCCTTACACAGGCTGGGAAGTACCAGGCACTCAGACTTCAAGAGATCATGTCAGCTCTTTGTTTGACCCTGGTAGGTCAGAAAACCCCAGTAGGTACTGAGACAGGATCTTGAAACCATTGCTCAGAGTTGGATTTGATTAAAATAAATAAATGTGACATTTCTTGGGTGGCTGAATATGAGCAAACTTACTCTCACTTTGTTGGCACTATTTATTTTAGAAATTTGACTCCCATGGGGCTCTATGGGGTCAGTTGATATCCAGTCCAGTTTCTAGCATCTACATCTTCAGGAATGTAGGGGTTCGAAGTGTTGGCAGTGGAGCAAGAGGAAAAGCTGACAGCCAGGTTTCAGAAGTCAGACTGGCGGGGTGTAGTGGAGACTGCCATTCACCTGAGCTGGGAGTTCAGGTGTCTTTCACTTCTCTTCCCATTGAGAATCTTTCAAAGCCGTGGAAGTTGTGACAATGGCAAACCACTAACCAGGTACCATGCTAAGAACGTAACACACATCAACTCATTGTTGATGTCAATACCCATAGCAACTTTGGGAGCTTCCCATTGTAGAGATAAAGAAACTGTACAGAGGTACAGAGATGTGCAAGATCACAGAGCTAGTCAGAGATTGAGCCAGGAGTGAACCAGGTAGCCCATCTTCAGAGTTCATGCCCTTAGAAACTGCATTCTTCTGCCCGTCCATCTTGACTCATCTAAGCTGGGTTGTTAGGTGTCATTTGCATATTCTTTTGTGGTAATTAAGAGGTAGAGTACTTATTTTTTTTAGGACAAATCTGTAGAAGTCCTAAAACAAAAGGGGATCTCTGGATAACTCTTGGTTGTTTCATGTCAGCAGTACAAAGCAATTCTCCTCCTAGCACATTTTGCTTAATCTAGATTTTGCGTCAACAAATAACTTTCAGTAACTGAGGCAATCTTGAAGCGGATTAGAGCAAATTCCTCCTGTGCTACTCCATAACTAAACCAAATCTGGTCTGGTCTGTGGGGCTTGTCTTTGGAAATGCTGAGATATAGGGAGTGGCAGGGTGAAATCACAACATTCTCTTTGCTTTCTGGCAAGAATGTTGAATTCTTACTGAGCGGATGTGGCAAACACAGAGTGGTTGGTTTTATCTGAACCGTTCCATTAAAATGAAATTTGACTAGGGATTTGAAGAGTATTATGACTACCTTGGGGAATTCCTGTGTGGATGTAAATAGAGCTTAGTATTTGTTTATAGGTAAATACCCAAAAGATCATCACAGGTGAGGGTTTAAAAGATACAGCAAGAGTAGCTTTTAAATCAGGGCTTTATTTTATATGTGGGTACTTCGCACATAGCACTAATTTCTGGATATGAAGATGACATTTCTTATGGTACTTTCAACTCATAGTTATATAGCAGAGGATTCATATAAAGACAGGTATATTTGTGCTCTATGTAGGTTTTAATTTTATCCTTAATACTAAGAGAGAGTAACATCCAAGTGACTAGAAGCTTCCCTTGTTAGAAGCCTTGAAACTGCTCCATTCCTCCCCTCTTTCTCCCTGCCCAGGGAATCTACCACAGGGCTTTTTGCTGCAATCAAAATAAGGCTCAGCAAAGAGCAAATCATTGAATGCAAGTCATCTGGGAGGCCCCTCCCAGCCATTTTGTCCTTAGTGCCCTTATACTACTTTTCATTTCTGATCCAGCTTTCCCCTTGGACTGAGATTTCTGACTCTCTGCTCCAAAGCCATCTGTCCATCCATCCATCCATCCATCTGTCCATCCATCCATCTATCCATCCATCCAGCCAGCCATCCATCCAGCCAACCATCCATCCATCCATCCAACCATCTATTCATCCATCCATCCAGCCAGGCTCCCATCCATCCATCCATGCGTCCATGCATCCATGCATCCATCCACCCACCCACCCATTCATTCATCCAGCCAGCCAACCATCCATCCATCCAGCCAGCCAGCCATCCATCCATCCAGCCATCCATCCATCCAGTCATCCATTCATCCATTCATCCAGCCAGCCAGCCAGCCAGCTACCCAGCCAGCCATCTATCCATGTGCCCATTCATTCTCCTCCTCAGGTATTATCTATTCCCTGCCTTCTCCACACTAGTCCTTCTTCAGTGCCCCAGACCCTCCTGCATTGGCTGTCCTTGCGGGGCCTGTGGACTTCCAGTGGCTCCTTCTCTCATCACACAGGGGTATGCAGGGCACTGTGAGGCCATCCTCAGGCTCACCTTCCAGGAGCCCCCTCCTGGCCAGTCTGAGTCCACTGTTGTGCTGGGGTGGCTGGTTGGCAGTTCCCATCCAGCACACCCCTCTGTGATTGGGTCTAAGCCCACATGCTGGAGTGGGAGGAGGGGAAGTTTGGGGGACAGAAGGCTCCACTTCTTTCTGTGTGGTGTGAGCTCCCTTGCATACCTTCTTTTATGCCCTGCTATGCATGGTCAGCTGGAAAAGCTTTGAGTCTTTATACATTGTTTTGTTTTGTTTTTAAAGCTTTAGAAACCCTGATAAAATCCTTTCTCTTACCAGTTGTTCTTACTTCTTTCTTTTTTTTTTGAGATGGGGTCTTGCTATGTTGCCTGGGCTGGTCTCAAACTTCTGGGCCCAAGCATCCTCCCACCTCAACCTTTTGAGTAGACTTACAAAGTCTATCGCCTTTAGGGTGAAGAACAATTTGAAATTCACAGCATAACAATGGTGTCTTTCCTCCAGTTAGCACGTCCCCTTCCTGGGGCTGCGAGTCTCAGCAGCACCCTCCAGTGTTGCTGGCAGATGAGTAGGGTCAACAAAGGGCCTCTGGGAAGACACAGCAGGTGAGAGTTCAAAGCACCCCTGACTGTGTGTGAGCCCACCTGCATGTGGATTTATCTTCCACAGACTGTCCTGCAGTGGTGCTCTTTTTCATGGGACATGGGAAGCTGCTTTCTTTTTATATTGCATTCAGATTCTGACATCAAAACTTGAATGGAAGTTCTTGATCTGGGAATCCCTGCCCACAGCCCTAGACCTGAGTGCATGGGAAGCTCTGTGCTGGGCTTGGCCATCACACTGCATCATCTCTCTCCCACTGCCCCTAGGAAATTTGGCCTCAGGTCTGTCCTGAAGCAGCAGCCCTGGGGTATGACCATCTGTGAGGCTGGCAGACTAGGGAATCCTCTGGGAGGGGGACCCTCCCTAAATTTAGACTCTTTTGTCAAGTGCAGGCACTCTCTTAAACTTAGACAGCTTGATGCTTGTTTCCTAAGGGTGTAGACAACAAGGCTACCTGAAGAGCTTCAACATTTGGCCCTGGATTGTGGCTACAACCATCTGTCTGACATAGTGGCACTCCTCCCAGCCATACTGAGGGAGCACTTCCTAAGTTTCTCATCTTTATGGCCTCAGAATTCAGCCATTCCGTACTGTCTTGCCTCTGTCTTTGTATATATTTATTCCCTCTTAGAACACTTTCTACTTGTAGTCTTTGATTCAACACACATTCACCCAACTAGCTTGGCACTTCTCTGGGCACCAAACCTGGTTTAGGTCCCATTTGTCCTTTGGGCCTTGCCCATCATTTAATTCCATCTACTTTGATTACTTTTCTCTCCCTTTTCCATCCTTTTCCTTTTTCTCCCAACCCTGAATTAGAGGCTCCTCCTCTGATGGCTTAGAACCTGTTGCAAATTCTTCTCACAGCAGTTACCCCAGGTATTGCAGTTGCTTCCTGGACCAGTTTCCTTTCCGACCTTATGATTTATTATTATTTATTTATTTATTTATTTATTTATCTATTTATTTTTTGAGACAGAGTCTCGCTGTACTGCCCAGGCTGGAGTGCAGTGGTGTGATCTCGGCTCACTGCAACCTCCGCCTCCTGAGTTCAAGCAATTCTCCTGCCTCAGCCTCCTGAGTAGCTGAGATTATAGGCACGTGCCACCATGCCTGGCTAATTTTTGTATTTTTAGTAGAGGTGAGGTTTTGCCACGTTGGCCAGGCTGGTCTCGAATTCCTGACCTCAAGTGATCCACTCGCATCGGCCTCCCAAAGTGTGACCTTACAATTCTTGAGAGGGCAAAGATAGCCTCTGGTTCATCTTTGCATTCAGCACCTACAATACTATCCACACATACTAACTGTTCAATAAAATGCACTAAATGAATGAATAAATGCATGATCATTTTTATGTATTTTACAAATACAAAATACAAAATCCTGGTGAAGAATTGGCTAAGAAGATATTTTTGGGACTGGGAAAACAAGCAAGAGCTGGTTTAGTATGATTTTCATTGTAACCTGACCTTGAGGCTCTAGGCTGAGTAAACAAAAGATGAGAGACAAAATATTGGATTTAAGAAATGTAATTGTCTCCATGTTTAAAATTTTAAAAATCTGATGCTATTTGACTCACAGAGGGAAAACAAAAGTGTTGCTATGAGAGAGCTGTGAATTTTATCTCATCTCCGGGGCAACAGAGTGAATAATTTTATGGAGAGAAGGGGAGAAATTAAGACAAGAGTCTCACAACGCAAATTCAGTGTTCCAACCAAAAGTCATTTAAAGAACAAAACAGAACAAAACAAATGTTCCAAAACCACAAGGGTAGGTATCAAAACCCAAATAAAAGGAAATGAGGCAGATTCCCGATACAAAATCTTCTGTGGTGGAGGCTAAGATGGCGAAACAATGGAAATTTTATGAGCATCAGCTTTGTCGAGGCACAGCAATGCAGATCTTGTGATGCTGACAGCAAGGAAGAAATTGCAAGTCAGAAGGAACTGTAAGTGTGAACCACCTCCCAAGGCCAAGTGGGAAACACAACCAGCCCCACGTGGTGTATGAAGGAATATGATTAGGGGATTTCCCTGAAAAAGGCTGGCCGGGAGGACTGCCCCTCACCTCTTGCTATCGTTCTCTGGCCTGGAGTGTTCTCACGTCATCTCCATCAGGAAAAAGTTTCAAGTCTGTTTTTCAGTGGGGTTGATTCCCTCCTGGTTCCGGCATTCTGCAAATTAGTTCGTTGTCATGGGGACAACATTTAGACAATTTGTCTGCACAGGGCCTCGTTAAGTGGGCAGAAGAGGACTGAGAGAAGTATCCACTTCGGCTTGCAAGCGCCTCCGGGGTGGGAAAGCTGTCACTGTGTGCGTGGGCGGTAGCCATGGTGGGTTGTCACAAGGCTTCCTGAGTCCGGCCTTATCCATTCATTCTTTTTTCTCTCCATCTACTCAGAATACAGTGTGCATTGCTTCATATGTGTGCCCATGATGTGCGACTTCAACAGCGATGTCTCTGACTTCCTGGACTCTCAGGATCCTCTTGCAGTGTCCAGGCTCCCCACGCTTGGTCAGTACATTCCCACAACAGACCACAGTGGTTGTTTCTGTTTCCAGCATTTCATGTTTAGAATGTGGAAGATGTGAGCTTCTCCTTACTGCTGATGGCATCCATCGTGAGCTCTCCAATTGCCTTGAGCCCTCTGGGCAGTGCCATCTGCAGGAGTGTCCACAGCGCCAAGCCTAGCAGTTGAATGGCCAGCACCCCAAGTCATGTAGTGGGTGTAAACAGGTGCATGCTTATGGCACTAGTGTACAAGCCACTGGGGAAAATAGCCCACAGGGCACGTGCATTTTACAGCATGTATGCCATGTGAAGCCATTCTCAGGGCCTCACCATGAACAGTATGTGAAATAAAGCATCATGCAGATTTGGAGGCAACTGATCACATTTAACACAGAGAGCAACATCTACTCAGAGGGTATTCTGGGATCATTTAGCACCCCCAAAATGATTCTGGAGGCAAAGAGTATTGCATATCTCAATAGCCACCGAAGGCCTTGTTCTGTTTCCAGAGGTACAAATATTGGTGATCAAAACAATACCAATACGTCACCAAGAAAAGCTAGATATGTATGCATATATACATGCATGCACACACATATATATAGATTCTAAGGTGATGAGTGTATAGTAATATTTCAGGAAGATTTCCTACTGACTTGATAACATAAAACAGGGGAAAACATCAATTTTGTGGAAAATGAAGTTCTGTGAACTATGACTTTCTAGTACAATGTCATAAGAATTAAGAGTTCTTATGCATGGATTTCACAGAAACACTGCTAGAGTGGGAGGGATTTTTCAATCCTCTGTTATGGCGGTTTAAAAATAATTATCAGCCTTAGAACCCTTTTTACAATAGGATCTTGTGCAGGAACCCCATCTATATGTGAAAACCCTTCTCTCTCTTGTGGGGAAGGAGCTGTAAGAATGGTGGTTCCAGGTTCGAGTGTTGTATTCGTTAGCTCAGGCTGCTGTAACTAAGTGCCACAGAGTGGATAGCTTAAACAATAGAAATTTATTTCTCATAGTTCTGGAGGCTAGAATTCCAAGATCAAGGTGCCAGCATGGTTTCTGGTGAGGGCCCACTTCCTGGCTCATAGATGGCCTCCTGTCTGCATCCTCACATGTCAGGTAGAGAGAGAGAGACAGCAAGCTCTCTCGCGTCTCTTCTTATAAGGGCACGAACTTCATCACAAGGACCTTATCTAAACCAAAGGAACTTCCAAAGGCCCTGTCTCCAAATACCATCCCATTGGGGGTTGGGGCTTCAACATATGAATTTTGGGGGAACATAATTCAGTGCACAGCAGATGTGGAAGCTGAGATCTACGGAGATCCTGTGGCTCATCTAAGCAGAGGGGGACTTGTTCCTAGGTCTGATAGCATCTAATCCAGGGCTCCTTGCCTTCTAATGCACAGCTTTGACCTCCAGAACCACCCTGGGTCCTGCCTCCTTAGTCTCTTTTGTCCTTGTGAGAGCTGGGTGGGTTTAAGAAAGTATTGGAAAAGGAGGCTGCCTTTCCCAAACATTATCAGGAGCAATATTAATAATTATATTAGACACAGCCCTCATTTATAGACCCCTGACTCAAGTCAGTGCCGTTCTAAGTTCACATATAATATTTCATTTGCCCCTCACAATGATTCTAGGGAAACGTATTCTCTCTTTTCTACTTTACAGAGCGAGTACAGAGGCATCATGCAAGGTCACACAGCTATAAGTGGCACAGCTGGGGACTCACCCGGGCTGTCTGGCTCCCGAGTTTATGCTCTTAATCAGTACCACCTTAGGGATGGGATGGTCAACAACACAATCAGGAGGTGGGTGAGGGTCAGCCCTCCCCTGAGCTGGGTGCACTGGAATACACCTACCATCCCCTGGTCAGGGCTCAGGCCAGCACATGGGGCTGATTTTGTGAAAAGTTGTAAGCATAAGCAAATAATGGGTGTTTGCCAAGTTGAAGACAGGCATAGAATTGAATCTTCTGTCTCTCCTAATGTCAAATAATGAAGTAGACAGTCGTATTCTTGGCATATTATGAATTTCTTGTTTTCTAGTTGGACAGAGATCAAGGGTCTCTTGGTTTAGAATCACAGGACCAAGGGATAATGCAAGGCCTGTTAAGACCTTTTGGTGCCATTGGCCAGGACCACATGGAGCAGGGGGTCATTTTGGTATTAAACAGTGACTGCTGGTCTATCCTCTAGGGGGTGATAATCTCCCCTTCCTCTTCTTGATGGACATTTATTCAATAGTCACCAAGGAGATTCAGCAATCTGGGTGTCCTACAGCCTAGATATGCTGTCCTGTGTTGTTGAGGTTTATGCCTGGACTTTGATTGATGCCAGCCCCTCCAAAGGCTCTTTCCACAGCTGTTGCTTCTGGTTGGATGGTGCACTCACTGTGCTCAGCACCTCAGGAAGGGATTGAGGGTTGTGAATAGTGGAGATGTGTAGGGAGAGTAGGGAATATGTTTCACTGCCAATATACAAGCAGTATATCAGATTTGGGAATTCTACTGGCAAGGGTTGAGTCTTTGCTTGTCACCGGGCTAAAAGTTGCTTCACCTTTCCAAACATCAGCTTCCTCACTTACCAAGTATAACCACTGCATTGCAAGTTGTTGTCTCGATTAATTGAAGATGCTTGCCATACAGTAGGGACTCAACCATGTTAGCTTCTCCCCCCAGATGCTAGGGGCTGTGTGCTTTCATGGAAAGAAATGCTTCTGCTAGACTTAATTGACATCATCTTTGGTGGGTCTTTTCTTTGCTTCTGACCACACGTCTTTTAAACTTGAGATGCTTTTATGCTTCCGGGTAACAAGCAAAAGTCAGGCCAAGGAGGAAGCAAAACTAGGATTTATTGGTGGGGGGTCATGGAATAGGGATGTTAGAGATTAGCAGAAAAGAACTGCAATGATTTAAAAAGGCAAAAAAAAAAAAAAAAAAAGAATATCCTGGAAAGAAATAATTACATTTAAGTTGATTTCATTGTATCAAGTCTTAGAGTGCTTTTAAAATTATGGTTTTATGTCATGTTCTCAAGTGCAGCCTCAATGAAGAATCAGTCTCCCAGAAAGATTCAAACAGTTGAAATAGGGGAATTAGAAGATGAAGACCTTAAAAAAATCACCCACCAGCATGGGGATGAGGAGAGAGAAGCATCTTCACAGGCTCAGAATCCTATTTGATCCCAGATTCTTCCCCAAGTCAATATTCATTTAACACACTTGTCCCAGGGGACAGAGCTGGTTAACAGGAAATGTGCCCTTGAAGAGTTAAAAAATTATCTTACTCTTCTTCCCTGCAGATTTTAGTTTTCCCACCAACTGTTTAGTAGCAAGGAGCAACTGATGCGTTATGCTGTGTCTTTCCTATGGGAACACGCAGTTTGGTGGCAAAGAAACAGAGTAAAAAAAAAAAAAAAGTTACCCAAGTGGAATTGACAAGGGTGAAGGGATTCTGATTGGCCAATGTAGAATGTTAGAAAGTTATTCATGGAGACAAAGCACACAGATTTAATTTAATATTGATTTCAGCTTCAGGAGGAAAAAACTGCTCTTGCAGCTGAGCGTGGTGTCATGCAGAAATCTGTTTTTTCATTAGGAGCAGGACTCTCTTCTCCTCCCCATAGCCTCCCCACATGCATATCTCTTACACTGGTGGCATTTTGAGGGGCTGTTTTTTCACCCCAAGGGCAATGGAGGGCAGCACATATAGTGCATTCCGTCCAAGTCACCCCTGGAGAGTGACCAGGAAATCCCACACAGAGCAATTCCCTGAATCAGATGTTTTGCTATCTTATAGCCTAGGTTTGTTAGGATTTTCTCTAACAAGCCTAGAGCCTGTTCTTAAAATGACTTTTAATAACCATCACTCTGGTTTTGCCTCCTTGACACAAGGGGGTTTAAAAATAACCAGTGTTAGGATCAGACACCAGGTTCACTATCACTCTGGTACCCATTTCTGGTGCATGTTTTCCTTTTAAGCCATGAAGAAAATGACATCATTCAGGGCCCTGGCTGCTGTGTGTGGTGTCTTCCTGTATCTCCGAGCACAAACACTCACCCATTCATCCCCTGGCTGCCTGACCACCTGAAAACGTGACTGATACAGAAATAGTGCCAGGCAAGGAACAGGTGGGTGAGCTGAGCTTGGGGTCCTGCCAGCCCTCCCATCGTGGAATAAGAAATCTTGCGAATAAACACCGTATGATTTAATTGAATCTGAGCGAGAAGATAGGGTTTTTACAGAAACTAATTATGGCAGGCAGCTAGGCATATTAGTGCAGTAAATCTCGCTGATGTCAAGCCCTGGAGCTGCTGCTGTGTGGTGTTATTTTCTCTCTTTCTCTCTCTCTCTTCCTTTGCTCCTCAGTTTCTTTCATTCAATCTCTCTCCACTTTCTTTCACCTCTCTGCCTTCTTCTTGGCATGCTTAGATTTCAAATGGGGGGACAGCACCCGTAGCCCACTGATTTCCCTGTATCAGGTCGATAAACATATATGGTTCTGTGTGTGTAAAAGTGTGTGCATGTGGTTGTGTTTTGTCCTCTCTGCCTGTAATGGGAATGACAATTCAAGATAGAAATGGTATAATGAGTCATCTATAGCAGGCAGGGGTGGGGGAAAGTGGTGGGTACAAAAATGATTCAGACAAACTCTCTGCCTTCTTATCATTGGTGACATGGGGGCGGGGGCAGTGGTTATGAAAAGGGGAAGAAGAAAGTTATGTAAACAGCTGTCTTGGAAACATCAGGCAGAATGAGGTACAGTCGCCATGAGACTGCAGAGAGAGGGGTTTTAATGTTGACTACAAGATCTGGATCTAGCGTCATTAAGCTCCTTTCCTTCAAGGCCGCTTTCTGTTTCACTTAGGAACAGAACACTTGACTAAGGACTATAAGTAAATAAACTCGTAAATGCACTTTTTATTTCCTTAAAAAGTCTGGATGTAAGTGGCCCCGGAGTTTGTTGGCTGACTTGGTTATCTTTCCAGGCTTTCCCAGCCTCTCCATTGCCATGCTCCATGCTGCTGGCTTTTGTCCTCATGCTTCTTGGTTTTAGGGTGCTTATTGGTGGTTTCCGTCCTTGCATGAGCATCATAAGGGCAAATCTTCTCTTTATTAGGCTCTAGATTTTTATTTTTTAAGAAACAAAAGTCTTTTCTAAAGCCCTCAATACTTTTTTTTTATATTTCCTTCTCAGTCCATTTGGTCTACTATAACAAAATACTGTAGAGTGGGTAATTTATAAACAACAGAAATGTATTGGTAAGAAGGGAGGCTGGGAAATCTAAGATCAAGGAACCAGCAGATTTGGTGTGTGGTGAGGGTGCGTTTCCAGGTTCATAGATGGCGCCATCTTGCTGTGCCGTTACATGGTGGAAGGGGCAAGGTGGCTCTCTGGGGCCTCTTTTGTAAGGACACTAATCTCATTCATGAGGGTTCCACGCTTATGACCTAATCACCTCCCAAAGGCCTCACCTTCTAATACCACCACCTTGGTGATAAGATTTCAACATATGAATTTTGGTTTGGACAAAAACTTTCAGTTCATAGCAGTAAGTATCTAGCAAAGGGGAATGAAAGAGAGCCATGATTCCTTTCTTAGGGATGGTTGCATTGTCACCCTATTAAAATTAAGATTCTCCCATATATATCATGTTTTGTCCTATACATACATATATACCTAGAATATAGTTTAGTTTATAAATTAGACACAGGAAGAGATTAACAACAACTAATAATAAAATAGAACAGTTACAACAATATGCCAGCCTCACTATTCTTGTACTTTGGGGCCATTATTAAGTAAAATAAAAGTTACTTGAATACAAGCACGGTGATGTGACATTGGATCTGATAACTGAGTGACTAATGGGTGGGCAGCATACATAGTGTGGATACACCCTGGACAAAATAGTGATTCACGTTCCTGGGGGGATGGAGCAGGATGGTGTGAGATTTCATCACGACACTCAGAGTGTCATGCGATTTAAAACTTATGAGTTATTTATTTCTGGAATTTTTCATTTAATATATTTGGACCATAGTTGACCATGGGTAACTAACATGCAAGAATAAAGGGAGACTACTGTATACCCATGCTCATAGAAGCATTATTCACAATAGCCAAAAAGTGGAAGCAAGCCAGGTGCCCATAAAGGAAGGAGCAGATAAGCAAAATATGGTCTATACATACAATGAAACATTATTAAACCTTAGAAAGGGAGGGAATTCTGACACATGCTACAACATGAATAAATTTTAAGGACATTATACTAAGTGAAATCAGTCTGTTACAAAAAGAAAAATGCTGTACGATTCCGCTTACATGAGGTACATAGTCACACTCATAGAGACAGAAAGTAAAATGGTGCATTCCAGGGGCTGGAGATATAGGGGAAATGAGGAGTTATTGTTTAATGAACACAAGGTTTCAGTTTTGTGAGACTCAAATTGAGTTCTAGAGATGGGTGGTGGGACAAATAAACGAACAAAAGTAAAAAAAAATTGAGATTCTGTGAGAAAGGGGGAAGGAGACTGGGAATGGCAGTTGAGTTGGCCAACCAATGGCGCCTGTCACACTTCCACGAGCATGTTTGAGAAAGCGGGTATTTGTCTCCCATCAGCTGCTGGTCTACACTCTCCACCCCCACCCCCAGCAGATGCTCCTCTCATAAGTGCCCTTCACAGCCACTGGCTTTGCAGTGGGTCACCACGAGAATCCTTCAACGGCAGGTCCCTTGACACAGTATTGCTTCCTCCACACAAGCCTCCACGTAAGATTTCAGATTAGACAGACCTGGGTTCCAGTCTTGCCCCAGACTTACCACTCATTAGCACTGTGGCCTTGGGCAAGCTACTTACCTGCTCAGGCAGTAAAAATGCACATAATAGTTTGGATCTCATTGAGTTATTGTGAGGATTAAATAATGAATGTAAACTGCTTAGCACTGTGCCTGACCCAGAGGGGTGCTCAATGAATGGCAGTTTTCTCTTGTAGCTGATATTTGTTGAGCACTTATTATATGCCTGGCACAACACTAGGTGTTTCATACAAAGTAACTCATTTAATCTTCAAAACAACTCAGTGAGGCCCTTCACAGCTGAAGGAATGAAAAGTAAATTTCTCCAAGATTCCAGAGAGTGTCAGAAGCAGAATTAAGATAGAATCCAGGCTGGTGGTTCAAAGCCTGGCACTTAACCACGGTGTGATACTTCCTCCCACACGTGATATTTCCCCCCCTGGAAATGGGCACATGCCCAGCTAGGACAAAGCTTCCCATTGGGCAGTAGACATTAGACAGCAGGCAGCCTGAATGAACCACAAGCTGTGTGGACGTGGAGAAGGGTAAGCTCCTCAAGGGGGTGAGGGCTGTGTCCTGTCTGAGAAGGGGACCCAGCAGGAGAACAGGGTCCCGCGGGGAATAAGGGGCAGCAGTGCTCAGCACCCCAGTCTTTACCCCATGGCAGGACTTCCTTCTGTGGGGCTAGTTAGCCCCACTGCAGGGCTAACCACCCACTGTGAGGTTGGCCACTCTCATGGTGCCTTAGAGTATCGGGCTCCTTATGCAAGGAGGCTGCTGGCTTCAGAGAATCAGCAATCAGAAGCCTCCGGCTCCCAACAAAGATCCTGAGAAGTACATTATTTTCCAGTGGGAACCACTGACATATCAAAATCATCAGTGTTAGACTGCAGCAGCATGACATCATTTGATATTCTCCCTGGAGTACAGTTTTTCTGATGGATATGAGACAAAATGGTATTTCATGGAGCTTAGGCCACTCTTCCTCTTGCTTCTGAAAAGCCTACACAGGGCATATTCACTGATTCCAACCAAAGGACACAGGCAGCAGTTTCAAAACTGTGGTGCCCCATGGAGCTCGTAGGCTGAAGCACCTTTTGCTCTGACATCCCAGAAAGCCAGTGAGAGGAAGTAACAGGATGGAAAATGAATTCCCTGCTTTGCTGGCTGTCCTAAGTTTCAGGAATTTCAGTTTGGATTTTGGATGGTGCTATTTCTTTCCTAAAGAAACCATGCATTCCGAACACCAGCGCCTACATTAATATACATGCTGTGAAAAGAGACAAATCAATCACAACCAGGCTGGAAAGGTATTGTATGAGCATTTAACATTCTTTAAATTTTTAAATTCTTTAATGGGATTACGCCAGAACCCATGAGGTAGGATGGGGGATGGTGGGATGGTGCAGGTAATTTAACAACGGTACTTGGAAGGGAGAAACTCCTCGGCACACTCCCTCACCCCTTTTGTTGTTTTGCTGCCTCTGGATTTTGTCAATAACATAAAATTGGGTACTACAAGAAGACTTTCTCCCTCATTGAGTTAAAGATGCGCACCCGCAAAAACAGACCAGAAAGTTTAGACAGCTCAGTGGCCATCGGCCTGCCTCGAAATATAGGCTCTGCATTGCATATATGAACGGCATGTGGAATTTTTATATGCCAGGCATTGAATCAGGTGCTTACTTAGGCCTATCTGAGCATTGCTGAACTCTAGTTAATGGCAAGTTTTCCATTTTAAAAGTGATTTATCTTGCATGACTTCACAATAACTTTGGATGGAACTAGGGTAAGGAAGACTTCATTGTTATCCCAATTTTACAGGAAAAACCTGGGCTCAGAACAACTAAATGACTTGTGGTAGGGGTAGGATTCTGCCTCCTGTCTCTGGAATGCAAATCCTACCAGACCACAGTGCATTTCTATTCATGATTGGAAACTCTCCTTCAGCCTGTCAAAGATGTAGGGACGTGTGCATTCCCAATGTATCAGGAAGGTGTTGTCCAGCAGGAACAAGGATGGAGACGTGAATGGTTTGAGTCACAAACTTGCTGCCTCCATAGGGTCCGGGTTGCCCTTAGATTCACTGGGGTTTGGGAATATGGTAGCTTATTAGGAGGGTTGGAGTAGGTTCATATTCTAGAATCATAGCCATAGAATTTGAAAACTGGAAGGAACTTCAGACGTTTCCCAGGCTAGCTATCACAAAGGCAGGAAATGAGACTCAGAGGTTAATTGACTGACCCAAGGCCACACAGCTAGTATAGAGCGAGCACCTGAGCTGAGCTCAGATAAATCTTCAGGTGCCTGGTCCAGGGCACTTTTCTCTATTCCTCACTGCCTCATGTATTGGTTTCTTTCTGCTGGCTGTCATTTGTGGGCCAATGAAATGATTGAAAGGAGGCAATAGGACATGGTGGTTAGGAGCATGGCCTTTGGAGTAGGCAAGACCCAAATTTGCATTCTGTCTCAGTTGTACAATCGCTGTGGACCAAGTGGCATGTTGAAGGCAGGAAGAAGCGGGAGTGGTAGAGTCAGGCCAGCCAACACTGTCCTTTTTCCTCAAGAAGGGAAAATTCATTCTGGAAGCTGCACACAGGAGTCTTCTGCTTATATTCCAGAATGGGGTACACTGCCCTTGCGTTGTGCTGAACCCCTGTTAACCTCAATAGGGAAGGCACCAGTTTCAAGAAGGCCGAAGAAGAGACCTAGAGCCAGCAGACGAGACATAGGGTTTGATTAAGGGCTCACATACAGGGGAGGGAATCCAGTGGCAGCAGGCTGGAGGGGAGAACCACCTTCCGTATTGGAAGAGTCCAGTGGCAGTGGACTGGACAGCATAACTGCACAGCCCAGTGGTGGCAGTCTGGGCAGGAAAACTGCAACCACTTGCAAACAGCATATGGTTCACATGGCATTTTCAGTTAACACCCTCCCACCAATGACCTCCACCTGGTAACCTTCACTTAGCCCAAAATGCAGGACCTCAATCACCTGCATGGCCCATGTTCCACGGGACAGGCCGAGGGCTCAGAAGTTTATCATAGACAAGGAATGAATCTCTGGGTTGGCCACTCCCAGATTCCCTAGCACAAAACACACATTCAGATGCATCTGCCAAATGGGGTCATTCCAAGAATGTGCTTAAATTATTGCTGTTAGGTGACTACACCTTGCTTAGCTGCAAGGGAAAATGCACCATTAAACTCAGGCCTCTGTAGTAGGCAGCAATGGAGTAGAAGGAGTTGGAACCCATCGTATAGGGGTCAGCCAAGTGTCTGCCTCAGATCACGCTCTGAACTTCAGGAAGTAGGAGGATGGGCTGTAGTCCATAGCTTAGCCCTATATGTTGGAAAAGGTAATCCAGAGAGGCGGGATGGTAGTGAGAGGCGCAGGATTGAGTTCCTAAAAGCCTGACGGGATTCTTCCTTCCACCTGACCATTCTGTCTTCATTTCCCAGGACCACCTGTGGAATAACAGTAATAGTCTTTCTCTGGGAGCAAGTTAAGGCTTTGGGGAAGAGAAAATGAGGTCATGGTTATTGAAATATAAAAACTTTCCTGAAATACAAAATTTTCTACTACCACCCAAATATCACCCCGGGGGTTTCCTACTCCTTAAGAACCAGATAAAATGAGCTCAAGTCTTTATTTCTTGGTGCTCTTAAAGCTGTCTCCAGAATGTCTTCATAGAAGAAGGAGGTTTGTGTTCTCATAGCCACTCCAGCATGCAGTTCCATTTGGGCTGCCTGTGAGTTCAGTCCCTGTTTTCCCCCAGTTGGCCCAGA
The DNA here is from genome assembly GCF_000001405.40 of Homo sapiens. Lineage (NCBI taxonomy): Eukaryota > Metazoa > Chordata > Mammalia > Primates > Hominidae > Homo > Homo sapiens. The sequence continues at coordinate 44,253,303 of NC_000013.11, read as the reverse complement.
CATGGATCTCAGGGTTGTTTTTTTTAAATTTCCACCAACCTCTCTCCAAGTTCTGGGTATGTGCATTTTACTAAGAAATGAGTCTAGGGCTGGGCCAGCTGACATCAAAGTCAAGGTAAATTCAATGGAGGAAAGCAAACCGGATGCACCATTGTTCTTTCGATAGTGTAGTTAGATCTTTTAATTGTATTTTCCCTTTCTGGGCAGGCTGACTCCATTTTACAAAGACTCTGTGTCATTGTGTGATGCTGAGTTCTCAGAGCAGAGTGGGTGTTTAATAAATTAGGTAAGAACAAGGAGGACGCTCTTCAGTCTGGAAGCAACCACTCAAATATTTGAGACCTTTTGAGAAAGTTTGGGGAATACGAAGAACAACCTCTTTTGGTAAACCAGGGTTTAAAATGGCATTTTCTTCTTGAAGCTTTCACTTTCTCATGTGAAAATGTTTCTTATTGTTATCTTGGTGAAGGGAATAGTTTTCACTGTGGAACTCTAGTCACCTCCCATGGGTCAGTGGGATTTTGCTCTCTGTGTGCATATATATACATATATATATGTATTTAAACGTTTGCCTGTAACTTATCTCTTCCTACCACCCCAGCCACCTACCAGTATTCTTCGCAGGCTCTTTGTGCTGCATTCCTGAGTTTGCCTTGGAGAAAGCAGTTCCAGGATCTTAGGCCATAAGTAAGGACATTGAATGTTTTTTTCTTTTCCAGTGAGGAATTTCTCTGGGTCCAGAGCGTCCCCATATCCTTACTGTGGCTCAGTTTCCTTCGGTGAAGAGTGGAATTGTCAATATTCCGATGGCTTAATGCCCTGAAGACTCTCTGATGGTCAATTTTCAGGCAGTTTGTGTAGGAAACATGGCCTGGCAATGGCCTCAGGAAGCCTGGCTGTGATTTCCAAAGATGCTGTGATCAGATCGAACACGGAGATAATTTCACTGCTGATGGAATAGAGAAAATATCTTTCTAGGACCAGAATGGGAAAGGAACTTGTGTCAGACCACTCTAGGTGATGGGTCAGATTATTTAATAGATCTATCAGCTCATCACTGAAGGCCCTCATAGATTTTAGCTGTATTTCTTTGTCAGGGCAAAGGATGAGGGAGGATGGCTGGGAGGAGCTTAAGTACTTTCACCTGTGTTAATGTTTCCTCCTTCTGTGCTGAAATGTAAGACCCCCTCCTTGGAGGAATCAGAAGTGGAAGCAATAGTTAGGTTTGATAGCTCATCACTCTGCAGGTGGGAGCAGAGGCGACAGGGAGAAATCAAGTTGGGCCATGAGGAGATGAGAAGAGATTTATTCAAGATGTTTATTACCATGTGTGGAACTGATTTCCAGAAAGTTGCTTTGCATGATCTTCTTGAAGGGTATGTTAAACAACTGCTTTATTCAAATAATGCCCCCAAATAATTTCCATCAGTGGGTGATGAGAAACTGAGCTTTGCATGACATTCTTCCTCTAAAGAAAGAACCTACCCCAAACCTATTTTCTGATGAAGAAACTGAAGTTTAAGAAGACATTTGTGTTGAGCATGGTGGCTCACACAAGTAATCCCAGCAGTTTGGGAGGCCAAGGCAGAGGATTGCTTGAGGACTGGAGCTCAAGACCGGCCTTGGCAACATGGTGAGACTCCATCTCTCTCTCTACACACACACACACATACACACACACACACACAGATACACACACACATGCTGGGCATGGTGGTATGCACCTGTAGTCCCAGCTACTTGAGAGGCTGAGGTGGAAGGATCACTTGAACCCAGGAAGCAGAGGTTGCAGTCAGCTATGATCTCACTACTGTGCTCCAGCCTCCATGACAGGGCGAGACTCCATCTTGAAAAAATAAAAAATATAAAAAAGAAGACATTTGTTTATACAACAGAACAAGAGCTGAGAGAACCACTTAAATCATGTTAAGACAATTATTGTTCTCCTCCCTCAGTGGCTGGGGGTGGGGGGACCTTGAGGGTGGGTGACAGAGCCAGGCTGATTGTCTCATTTTGGTGTCTCAGTGAGTGGCCTAGGCCAAACTGTCACTGTAGCAGAATAGATGTCCCTAACAGTCCAATTTTTCCAGATGAATTTCTTCCCATTCCAACCACATGAACTATTTATTATATCATTCTCCAAATAGGGCATTTTCTTTGCTGTTTTTGTGCCTTTGCTTATTCTCTCTGCCTGCAATTCCCTTCCTCATTTTCTCCTCTGGGTAAGCCCCTATTCGAGACCCTTGTCAGAGGACACCCCATGTAGGGAGCCTTTGTTGATGCCTTAGCCACTTCCCAATGTCTTCATCATAGCCCCACAGAGTTCACCACCCTGAGAATTGCCAATATCTGATCGGGTGTCTCCATCTCTCCCTGTCCTATGTGCACAGCCTGAGGATAGTGACCTGGGCCTTTTCCTCTCTGTAGACTTGTGCCTCAAAAGTGCCTGACACCAAAAATGTTTGTTGGATTCATTATTCCATCACTCAATCCCGCCATTCCCAAAGCTGGGAAAAAGCACCAGTGGCATAACAACTCCCAGAGAAACCTGGATCAATTCACTCTCATGCTTAGCCTCTTGAGAGGGTTGCAAGGAGTTCACTCAAGCAAACCCGAAGCTGCTGAGTGTGCTTGAGGAGAGCTCAGGTGGCTGGAATTTTATGTTCAGATTGTACTGTATTGACTATCAACATGTACCAGCCCTTCCCAGCCACCATCTCATTGAACTGTCACAACAGCACTGTGAAATAGGTGCTACTCTCCTTCCTTTACATTTGAGGAACTGAGGGAAAGTGAGATAATGAACTTGGCTCAGGTATGTCATAGAGCTCCTGAATCCTACTGCTGAATATGGATCTGGCCTGGGACATCGTATTTATTTATTTATTTTTTGTATTTTTTAGTGGAGATGGGGTTTCACCGTGTTAGCCAGGATGGTCTCGATCTCCTGACCTTCTGATCCACCCACCTCGGCCTCCCAAAGTGCTGGGATTACAGGCATGAGCCACCGCGCCCGGCCATATTTATAGTAATAAATATTTGTACACAGGCTCCCCAAAATGGCAAAGCTAGATATGGCTCTTGGTCAACTGAAGGCTACAGTGGTGCTATTGACTGTTGAGTTGTACTGCCCTTTAATGCATCCACCATGGCACACCATAAGTGGTATGGAGATGGCAGGTGGAGAAGGCTGGGCAGTGGTGACTCTGCTGGGGCTAAGCCTTGTTTTCACCTCCAGGCTTAGAGTAAGACTCCTAAATGGGTTCAGGCTTGGAGGCATGGACCGGGGTTGAGTGTTCAGGCAATCTATTTGGAAAGACACCCAAGGACCTCCCAGGACAAGGGTATCTGTAATGTCTACAAGCAGCAGTGTCATTGTTGAAGACAGTTTTGATGGGCTACACACACACACACACACACATACACACACACACACATTTCCCCAAACAATTGCTTGTTGGAGACCAGGCAAGTATCAAGGGGAAAGGTCCTGGGTAGGGCCTGACAAGAGGCAGCACAGCTGACTCCAAAACAACACCAGTAGGAGGAAGCCCCTGGGGCCAAATGCTGGGCTCCTGCCCTGTGTTTACTGAGAGTTCTGAGCAGGAGTTTGGGGTGGGAGGGGAGGCTTCTAGCTGTTCTTCACCACCCCTAGGCCATGGTCAGAGCCTGGGATTTGTCTGGGCTTTGCAACCCCAGAGGGTTTTGCTGCTTTCTCCAGACCAGAGCTGCCAGGAGGCCCCAGAAAATGCTTGAGAACAAAGAGGCAATAAACACATGCTGAAACCTTTTACCAGCTGGCTCTGTCCCAAACCAAATGAGAAATGAATTTCTGGAGTAAGAAAGAGAGAGAGTCTTAAAGTTAACCGGAAAGAAAAACCCTGTTTTAGCTGGGAATGTTCAGTTGGGATTATGCAAAGTTGTCAAATCAATACAGCAAATCTAATTTCTGCAAATGGATCCCCCGAAAAAATTGACCTAATAAGCTATTAAATCTTAGCACCTGATGTTTTCGTAAGTATAACATTACTGGGGGGAAAGACAAAGTGTTCGTTCATCCTGAGAATTTTTGTTTTGTTTTGTTTTGTTTACATTTATTTATTTATTGAAACAAGTTCTTGCTCTGTCACCCAGGCTGGAGTGCAGTGGCATGATCATGGCCCACTGCAGTCTCGACCTCCTGGGCTCAAGTGATCCTTCTGTCTCAGCCTCCTGAGTAGCTGGGACTGCAGGCTTGCATCACCACGTCCAGCTAATTTAAAAATAATTTCTTTTTGTAGAGAAGGGATCTCACTGTGTTACCCAGGCTGGTCTTGAACTGCTGGGCTCAAGCAATTCTTCTACCTAGGCCTCTCAAAGTTCTGGGATTACAGGTGTGAGCCACTGTGGCCAGCTGAGAATGTGCTTTTTGAATAGGGAAGGCCAGCATTATCATCATCATCCTTTACTAAGTATCATTTATAAATGAGGCAATCTACTGGAAGCTTACAGATAGTATCCATAATTTTTATACCAGCATTGCTGGGTTGCTATCCTTGCCCACATTTTACAGAACAAAGTTGTGTTCAGATTACATAAGTAACTTGTTGAAGGTCATGCGGCTGGAATTTGACTTCATCTTTCAGATTCCAAAATCCATGCTATTTCTGCAGCTCTTCTCTATATGCAAATATTTTTTATTACAAATGCAATGTCCCAAGCCAGATTCAGCAGTAGAATATGAGAATGACTGTTTTCTCAATGTATTGGTTTTTAATAGAGAACTTTAGGTGGGTGTGCAGTTACTTAAACAGTGCATCCAGGAGAGAGAGAATGGATTCCATTGCTGGTTCTTAATGACTTTTTCTGTTCTCTTTGGTAAAATAAATATGAGGCTATGTGCCCTTACATCCTATTTTATAAGACTTGGTGAATCCATGTCTGTAAGTTGTTTCTGATACCTTAGAAACAGGTATTCACACATTTTGCTAGTTGTTGTTTTGATTGTTTGCTCAGTTTTTGATTAAAGCTAGACCATATGTACTTTGTTTTTCATTGAGCTGAAGCTTTTGGAGGGGTCTAGGTGAGAGGCCTTATCTGTGAGCCGGTATGAGCTTTAGGGATGGTGTGATTCACCGCCTGAAGAGGTTGGCCTGGCTCACCACCTGGAAACCTCTTGGAGGCCTTCTTCCAAGAAGGGGCTTGATACTACAGAATCATCAGGGTGTCTAGGACGTTACATGTTCCATTCTTGTAGGAAGGAGATCAACCAGGGAAAGTGTCCAAATATAATGTGGCTCTTTTGGTATCACGGATGAGTCTGAACACTTCATATAAAACCGTGATAATAAAACCAAGCACCTTATACACATCTGGCCTTTTAAGAAAACAAGTCAAACCAAGCAACAACCAACCACCAAAAATCCTTTCAGGACTTTTTTTTTTTTTTTTTTTGGAGATGGAATCACGCTCTGGCTGGAGAGCAGTGGCGTGATCTCGGCTCACTGCAACCTCTGCCTCCCAGGTTCAAGGAATTCTCCTGCCTCAGCCTCCCAAGTAGCTGGGACTATAGGCGCATGCTGCCATGCATGGCTAATTTTTTGTATTTTAGTAGAGATGGGGTTTCACCATGTTGCCAAGGCTGGCCTCGAACTCCTGACCTCAGGCAATCCACCCACCTTGGCCTCCCAAAGTGCTGGGATTACAGGCATGAGCCACCGTGCCTGGCCTCTTTCAGGACTTTTCTAACATGATTATTTGAGTGAAATAATTTTCAGGTATATATGTTACATCGCTGAATATCTATCTGCCAATCCTCTGTGAGGACATAGAAAAAGCACAATCTCTATGGAGCCCAAAATAGGTAACATTAACTAGCACTGCTTTAAAGACATTTACACAAACCAACAATTCTTACGACAATCCTATTAATATAGCCTTTTCAGGATGAGGAAACTCAGCAAAGAGATGGTAAATAACTCACACATGAGACAGTTCACAGCCTCCACTGTTCATACTTGGTTCATGTATGATTCATTTATTGGTTCAATAAATATTTATTGGCTGCTCTGTCTAGGTGCTGTTCTAGGCACTGGCTGTGCAGCAGTGAACAGACCTATGGCAAATCCCTGAACACATGGAGCTTACGTTTGAGTGGGAGGCGACTCTCAGAATGCAAATTTTATATGTAGCGTGACATCAATGCCTTCTCTATCAGTCCCTTTTGCATTACTATAAAGAAATACCTGAGACTGGGCAATTTATAAAGAAAAGAGGCTTATTTGGCTTATGGTTCTGCAGGCTGTACAAGCATGGCACCCCAATCTGCTTGGCTTCTGGTGAGGTCTCAGGGAGCTTTTACTCATGGCAGAAGGTGAAGGGGGAGCGGGCATGTCACATGGCGAAGGAGGGAGCAAGAGAGAAGAGGAGGAGATGTCAAGCACTTTAAACAACCAACTCTGACATGAACTAATAGAGAACTCACTTATCACCAAGGGGATGGCACCAAGCCATTCATGATGGATCTGCCCCCATGACCCGAACACCTCCTACTAGGCCCCACCTCCAACATTTGGAATTACATTTCAGTATGAAACTTGGAGGGAGACACACATCTAAACTATATCACCTTCTGAAGCACCTAGCTGGCAAAGGCTGTTTTTTGTTGTTTTTTTTTTTTTTTTTTTGCAGTGGGTGTGTGCTTTAGTGAGTTAATTTTACACCATTGAGTTCCATAGTAACAGACATTGGGTTGCTGTCTTATACCTCACGTGCATCCATGTGAGGGGGTGTTTGAGAACTGTGGGTTCTTTTTAAAGATTATGAAACGATCGGTCCCTTGCTAATTAAGACGTTTTGCCTAATGGGGCAAAAACTGTATTTCATTTGGGGCAGGGGAGGGTCTCAGCAAGGAAGAAAGCCGGAAGCTGAGCTCTCAGTGTGGACTTTTTGGTTCAGTCCTTCTGTCCACACTGCAGGCTGCTTTGCTTCTCTTGGATTTGTGCTGCTTAGGTATGAGCTGCATTCAATGGAGGATGAGAAACGTGCGGAGGCTGGCTCTCTAAGCATCCAAACACCTCTCCCCCTTTGATGTTAGCTCCCAGCACTTCTTGCCATCATAGCAGCAAAGACCATGGGCTCCTTTTCTTTTCTTTCTTTCTTTCTTTTTTTTTTTTTTGAGGCGGAGTCTCCCTCTGTTGCCTGGATGGAGTGCCGTGGCACGATCTCGGCTCACCACAACCTCTGTCTCCTGGGTTCAAGCGATTCTCCTGCCTCAGCCTCCCAAGTAGCTAGAATTACACGTGCCCACTACCACATCTAGCTAATTTTTGTGTGTTTAGTAGAGATGGGGTTTCACCATGTTGGCCAGGCTGGTCTCAAACTCCCGACTTTAAGTGATCTGCTGCCTTGGCCTCCCAAAGTGCTGGGATTACAGGCGTGAGCCACCGCACCCGGTCCATGGGCACCTTTTCTTATGCCCAACTTCTGAAATAACTGGCTTACTTAAAGGCTTGCCAAATGTAGAATGGATAAGTGAAAACATCCCAAGACCAAGACTCATGATAACTAGTTTCTGGTCTTAACTCTAAGAATAAGTAGCTGGAAACTTGGTCAGCACTCAGGGTTTCTGGGCCTCCATATCCTTGTTTTTGAGATGAGAAAGTAAAATCGCAGGTCCCTTCAAACTCAGACCACTGCATATTGTCTCTGCTCCAGGAATTCTTATTTGTAATAATAATAGCTTGTAACTTACATTGTACTTCTGCCTCATAGTGAATCCTAAATGGTAAACCACAAACAGAATCAACCCTGACTTCCTATAGAGCGCCAAGGAGCTGAGAGGTCTCTCTGTCAGGAAAGAGGAAAATTCTATTATTGTTATTGTTATGATTATCAATCATTTATTGGACAACTTGGAATATTCCAGGCACTGTGCTAAATGCTTTATGTATATTATTTCCTTTGATGTTTCAACAATACTGTGGTTTGGTACTTTAATTTTCCTCATTTTATAAACAAGTAAACCAAAGGTCAGAAAGGTTAATCAACTTATCCAGGCTCACATGCTAACAAGTGGTAGAGAGGGATCAAAACCAGGTTTGTGTGGTTTCAAAATCTGTATTTCAGAAAAGATATGTCAAATAGGTATTTACTCTGCACCCAAATGGCGTGTGTGTGTGTGTGTGTGTGTGTGTGTGTGTGTGTGTGTGTGCAGGTATATGAAGGTATTGCTGTCTTGCTGTGAGAGCACTTCTTTTTCCTTTTATCTGCCTCAATTCTGCAGTGGGAAGTCTGTCCATTCCATGGAGATTATCAGCTGAAACAAGGCTGTTTCCCGTCAGACCTGCTTAAGCCATGTCAAGGTGTAAGAGTAACTGGATGCTTTACGTAAACAAAAGGACAAATGAAGGCCAAGCTGGAGTCTCACCTACCTGACTTTTACAGCAGTAAGAGCCTTAATAGGGGCATCAGCGATCTTTATATAAAAACCTAAAATGATTCGCAAAGGGGAAACTGGGATTGTTGGGATTGTTAAAACTTTTGATGACTTTTGTGACCATTAATTACAGTTGCTGAAATGCCTTTCCATAAAGAAGACAACTTCATTCAACTCTTCAATCTCAAGATTACAGCCATTTTCTGCACAGAGAAGGGTACACACTGAGGCATCCACAAGACCTTGATTTCAAACAAATTTGTCTTCCTTTCAGTTAACACTAACAAAGCTACCATTGATGGAAACTAAAGGCATTAAAACCCAGAGCACATCCCCCAGCATGAGAAAATGAATCAGACGATGACCGCTTTGAGAAATGGGCTCTGTGCTGGGACACACTGGGCTGTCTCCTCAGTACAGTCCCAGGCAGGACTTCATTATAAACCGCAGCCCCACCTCACACAGCGCCTCCTCAGCATGACTCACTCACAAAATCATCCCTGCTGGTGGGATGGCCGGCCTCTAACGATGGATTTGCTGTGCTGTTTCATGGAAAACAACAACAACAACAACAAAAAACACACCATAAACCAAAGACTTAATGTCCAGCTGGTGGCTGGGACACCTTGGTGAAGAGGACCCAGTAAACTCAGGGAGGCTAGTGGTGCTGTTTGTGTCTCATGTGGCCCACACCAGCCCACTGGCTGTTCACAATACATTCATCTAGTGTTACTTCAGGGGGCCTCCAGGCCGACCTCCTAACTGAAAACATCATAGACCTTTCACGCAAGTGTTCAACGTGCTGGTGTTTACTCCTGCTGCTGGGCATTCAAAACAACTGCTGATCCCTCATGTTCTCCTTACCTTTGTTCCCCTCCTTGCGAGTTGGGTGTAGGCCCCAATCAGCCTCTGCAGGCCTCTCTGAACCTCATGGTCTGAGTTTGAGGGGACCCAAGAGCTTGCCTTCTTATTTTACAGATGGGGATACAGAGGCCCAGAGACTCTGTGCACCTTGTCAAGGTCCCAGCGCTAAGTCTAGAAACTAGCTGTCATGTCATATCCCTTGGTCTCGGGATATTTTCACTTATCCATTCAACACGTGACAAGCATTTCAATAAGCCAGCTCTTTGAGGAGCTGGGAACAGGGAGATGAAATGGGCCTCTGCCCTGAGCAGCCCCTGGTCTTTGATGTTATGATGGCAAGAAGCACTGGGAGCTAACATCAAAGGGAGAGAGGCCTTCGGATGCTTAGAAAGAGTCTCCCCACAGTTGCTATCCTCCTCTGAATGCGGCTCAAACCAAATCAGCACAAATCCGCTAAATAAAACCACTGGAAAACAAGGTCAAAGTGACAGAGGCCAAGAGCACCAACAAAAGTGCCTTCTTATCCATCTTGGAGCCAAGCTGAAGAGCGGCCCCAAGTGACCAACGGTGGGACTCACGGCTGGGCCTTGTCCCCCCACCCCAGCACAGCCTTGGATGAATCACACACCAGAGAACAACAGGGCTATTTCTCACCAGTCATTTGTCAAGCTGACATCCCTGCCTAGAGTTATTTAGGGCTTTCTAAAGACACTTCTTTCCCTCCCTGCCGCAGGAAGCACCTGCACGGCTGTTGAGTTGTGGTTTTGCTCAATAGCGCTTTGATATCCCTTAAGGCCTTCATCAATTACTCTTCTGTCCCTGATGGGTTGGACTTTGGCTGAGGCAAAGACAGGGAAGCTTAGAGAGGATGATGGAGAGGAAGAGGATGGTGAGTTCCTCTGAGATCTGAGGCCAGCCACTGTCTGGAGGTGGGCTCTTATTGATTTCTGTGGGGGAACCTTCAGGAGAGGACAGTCTGAGTTCTTGGCCAGCTGGACTTGGACCATAACTGCCATGTTCCCATGAGGACAGGTCCCCCTCCTGGAACAGAGCTATGCTCCTGCCAGCTACTTAGAGGAAAAGAGCAGGCCTGTCAGATGAGTGTGACTGGAGCAAACCTGGTCTTCCGATTCAGCTAAATGACATAAGGCAGAGGGGACTTGGAGCGGGATCAGGGAAGAAAAACGGAAATAATGAGAAGACTCAGTGAATGGATCTCTGAAAGCAGTTAGGAGAATTTGAGTTGTTGAGTCTAGAGGAGGCAAGAGTGAACTAAGAATTAGCTTTGATTATAGGCAGAAAAACTGTGCATAAATTAGTGGTCATTTCTACTGAAAATATGGTGTGGGTTGGATTCTTGCTTCCATGGCTGCCCGAGGATTTTGCTCCAGTGTGCTGGCCTGTCTGGGTTATTGCATTATTCTTATTCATGAGGTGGTGGGTCTCCTTCCTTGGAGATTTGCATGAATGGAAATGACATCCTCCCAGATGGAATGGTTTAGGGAAAGTCTTCACGACACATATGTTTCTTCCCTTCAGTTTGCACTGCCCAACATCCCAGCTTGACCCTTATGTCTGAATCAGTTTAGCAGCCTCTTGACTAGTATACAGATGTTCCATCTCTGCCTCCTTCAGTCCACTCTGCCTATGGAGGTCCCACTTATCTTCCTTAAATTCATCTTGGATAATGGCAATGTCCTGCTAAAAATATGTTGATGCCTATTTATTTATTCATCCAACAAATACTGAGCACCTATTGTCTTGAGCACCGATTATGTGCCTGCTGCTTACTCCCGGGCATACAACATGGCACAAAGTGTAGTAGGGCCTCATCAAGGCATTCACTCAGCCTTCCTGTCCTTGTCCTGGAACCTTTTAAGGCCTCATCATCTGCTTTTAACAGATCTTTCTGACCTTTTGCCCACACAAAACCTTTTCTTCCAGCCTAGCCCATTCACCATGATAACCCACCTGGTGTCTTTCTTGTCACCCCAACTTCTGGATAGACTATCCTTATTCGGAGCCCATCTCTCCTGTGAAGCTAACACAAGTCTCCTTGCCTTTAGGAGGATTTCCATGGCCGCTTGGGTTTTAGAATTCTCTAGCACCTCTGTCCCCACAGTGTTTCTTCCTTAGCACTGGGTATGTTCTTCCTGAGTGGAGAGAACTGGCAGCTGCTGTGCCTGCCCTGACCTCCTGTGGCCTCACTCGCCGTGGACAAGTCCTGAGAGAGCTGGAACCTGTGGACATTCTTTCCCTGTCCGTGCTCTGCTGTGGATGATGACAGGGGCAGCTCAGGTGTTTGCTGGGGCTTCCAGAGCATTTGACACCATTAAGAAGACGGAGAGTATACTGAATGTCTAAACTTAAAGGGGGAGAGGCTTTGGGGATCATTTAATAAAACGACCTTGTTTTGCAGATATGGAAACTGAGAACCAGAGAAACTGATTTACCCAAAACCACAAGGTGACGTAGTAGCAGAGTCAAATCTTGTCCACTGTTAAGTTTAGCCTAAAGCTCCCTCCTTATATATTTTAAGTTCATCCTAAAGGTTTCTTCATACATAGTGAGCTGTAACCTAATGGATGTGTGAACAGACTGTAACTTGCTGTTGTGCCAATCATCAAGTTTTGGCCAGTCAAGGCCGTCCAACTGTTTAAATGGTGTTCAATAAGGTAAACACTGAGCTGTGATCAATCTGGCTGTTTCTGTACCTCAATTCTGTTTTCTGTGCATCACTTTCCTTTTTCTGTCCATAAATCTTCTTTGTCACCGTGGCAGCAACAGAGTCCCTCTGAACCTATTCTGGTTCTGGGGCTACCAAGTCATGAATTATTCTTTGCTCAAGTAAACTCTGTTAAATTTAATTTGTCTAAGATTTTTCTTTTAACTAAACTATCCTGTCTCCATATAGTTCAGCAGTTGGAATCCTAAGGAACCTAACATTTCAGGACACACGTAAAACAAATAGAAAGTGTATTAATTTCCTATTGTGCTTGTGACAGATAACCATAGATTTAGTGGCTTACACAAGACAGATTTATTATCTTGCAGTCTGTAGGTCAGAAGTCTAACATGGGTCTTACCAGGCTGAATTCAAAGTGTTGACAGTGCTGTGTTCCTTTCTGGGGGCCCCAGGGAAGAATCTGTGTTTCTACCTTCTCTACTTTCTACAGGCTGCTGGTACCCCTTGTGGCTCCTTCTTCCATCTCCCAGGCCAGCAATGTCAGGCTGAGCTTTTCTCACATTGTCTCATGGACTGACCTAATCTTCTGCCTCCTCCTTCTATTTTTAAAGACCCTTGTGATTACATTGGGCCCATCTGGATAATCCAGGATAATCTCCCATTTTAAGTCATTGTAATAGCAATCTCAATTCCCCTTTGGCCATACAACATTACATATTCATGGGTTCCAGGGATTAGGATGTGAGTATCTCTGGGCAGCCATTATTCTACCTACTACAGGAAAGAGGAAAATGAGGACAAAAACTCCACACACTCTCTCTTGCTTTCTCAATTTCTTTAATTCTCTATGAGGAGAAACAGTTAATTTGAAGATGTTCTAGACCTCTATATTCAACCTCAGGATTTTGTTCTGAGTCATGATCTGGTGAATTTGGTCAAGACACGAAGGAAAGGAATAAAGATGCCAAAACATACAGAAAAGAGGCTCACAAATGTTGACTAAGAGGGTTTAAGAACTAAGAGGAGACCCTCTAGTTTTTGTTTGTTTGTTCTTTTGTTTTTTGAAACTGAGTCTCACTCTGTTGCCCAGGCTGGAGTGCTGTGGTGCAAACTTGGCTCACTGCAACCTCCGCCTCCCAGGTTCAAGCAATTCTCCTGCCTCAGCCTCCTGAGTAGCTGGGATTACAGGTGCATGCCATCACCCCTGGCTAATTTTTGTATTTTTAGTAGAGACGGGGTTTCGCCATGTTGGTCAGGCTGGACTCGAACTCCTGACCTCAAGTGATCCACCCACCTTGGCCTCCCAAAGTTCTGGGATTACAGGCGTGAGCCACCATGCCCAGCTGACTCTCTAGTTTCTAATGGCTTGAGAATTCCCCTCTTTAAGGGTATGGGCTTAATTTGCAAAAGGTGAGTTGATGTGAGACATCTAGATGGAACGCCCAACTTCAAGGCCTATTGGTCAGTAAAATCAGCTAATAAGAGTGGAGGGAGTGGGGGAATGTCCCAGAAAATTTAAGGAAGGAATCAACTAATTTCAAGTTGGAAGGGTTTTACGGACTCATGATCTCACAGAGTCTAAAGGACCTTAGGAACTTCCTTGTCCAGCCTCACACCAAACGCAAGACGGCCATAGATCTTCACCCTTTTTTGTGAGGCTCTGGTTAGGGGTAGGAAATCATCTAGATTCCCTTAGATCTTCTCTAATTCTCTGAGTCCATCACAAATTTCATCTCTAATTAATTATTGGTATTGATGGAAAAATCAGGCAAACGATTCTTTCTGATTTTTTCTCTGCCAGAACACTAGGATGTTGATTGTTACTATATCTTCGTGTGGAGGGTCTAAGATCTCCTAGGCCACATGTAGTATTTAATCCTCACTTATGAGACTGTGAGGACAGGGAGAGAGATCCGAGGGAGGAAATATCTGCTAGCAGACTTGGTGGCCTTCACGGAGGTCTCCTCCTCAGATGTTGTAGTGGCTGTTGTTCAATCTGCCTAGCACCCCTCTCCCACCTCTTCTGGTAACAGACCCAGTTCCTTTAGCTGCTTAGGGGGAACATGTCATAGTGAATGGGCCAATCCACATAATTCCTAGAGGAACTTTTCAATCCTTGTGGGTTGGGAGATGCCTATCTACTCAGGTCACAAGCTTCGGGGAAGTACACGTTGCTGATGGCCACATCCCCACCTTATGGAGAGTGAGCAGGTCTGGGAAGACGGCATCAGACAGGAGCACAAAGGAGAGGGAGGGAGTCCTGAGGGTGTTTTCAGGTCCCTCAGTCCACCATCCTTCGTTATGGTTCAGTTACATGAACAAATACATTTCCCTTTCAGGCTTAAGCTAGTTTAAGATGTATTTCTTCTATTGGCAACCCATGAGTCCTGAGTAATTTAGAATTTTTCATTCTCAGTTTTCCTGCTTTCTAGAGAGTTGGAAGAATGAACTAAAGATCAGAAACTTTTCTTCTCAGAGTCCAACTGGTCCATGATGGTTTGGGGAAGAACCTGCAGAAAGAGAGGGCAGGAAATTAGCAAGGTGAGAAATCACAAAGGTTCTTATATACAGGATCCAGTTGGTGAATTGCAGGGTCCTGTTATCTTTGCTCCTTTTTAGATCTCCACTTGCCTAAAATAAATCATGACCCTACACTTTCAAAGATCCAGGCCAACCTTGGGGCCCCAAGGTGAGTTTTTTTCTGTCTTGTGAAACTGGTGCTACTTGTGTGGTGTAAATCAGAGGGTTAGCAAGTATTCAGTGGATTTGCTGGTAAGCCCAACCTTTTGACAAAAGAGGGGGAAGAAAGAAATAAAAGTAGGGGTGGGGGAAGTAAGCTAGAAGAATAAGGAGAGAGATAGAGATGTGACTCCATCAACAAAATACTGATTGAGTATCTTCTACGTGTAAGACTGTGCTAGTTTCAACTTGCCATTCTAAATCAACAAATAGAACCCTTATTTGTGACTACAGAGGCTGAGAGTTAGGTGTGTCTGGTGTAAGACAGATGCACACCCAGGTATGACCAGCAAGCAGCAAAGTCAATAGGCAATTACTCAGGAAGGCTGTTATGGAAGGAATGAGAATGAATGGGCCCACGCTGACTTAGAAATTAAGTTAAAACATATGGCAAATGTTTTTCTGATATGCACTTAAAGCCTGGAACAGTCCAAGAGGCCCTGGGTTTCCCTGAGAGGGAGGCTTTTAGGAAGAGTGTAGGCTGCCTGTGGCTGCTGCACCTAACTGGATTACAGGCCTCTGTGACGCTGCCCATCACATCTGCTTTTCAGTAATGCCGTAGGGGAGGCAAGCTGTCCCCTTAGACCCTTAGCATGATCTGTCTATGGGTTTCACATTTTTTCCTGGCAGAGTTAGTTTTTCGTGTTTGTTTTGTGAAGAAAAACTTTGTATACTTCTTTCCTTTTTTTTCCTTTGCAATAAAGTGTTGAACAAAATGTATACTATTTTGTCCAAACTTTTTAAGCTTCCAGATTTGGATATGGTGTTTATGTCTGTGGCTTTTAGAAAGTCTGAATGGATCTGAAAGGTCAGAAAATACCTAAACATTTGACTCTACCCTTCAGCTCACACGTGATTGGCTGTGCATTGTTTTATTTTTAAAAATGGTAAATGAGAAACTATTCTTTAGTCATATCTTGTTCTCAGAGCCTTTCCCCCTCTTGCAGACTGTGCCGCCACCCAAAAGCTTGAAAACACCCCAGGAAGCCATCCCCTCATTGTGAAATGACTAATCACCACACACCACTTGGTTTTCCTTCCTGGACGTCATAGGCCATAGCCCTGTAGTTCCCACATTGTCTCTGTCATCATCCCAAGGAGTGTGACTCTTGATTCTGAGCCTGGGCAGGACAGCCTGTCTCAGCACAGGCTGTTATATAAGCGGCTGTGGGGAGAGCTGGCAATAAACAAACATTTTTCCAGCCCTTGTTTTCTCTGCAGCCTTGAAAAATATTTTTCTGGGGCTGCTGCTGTGCTCCTGCAACAGGATGGCAAATTCCCAGCTTAGAAATGTCTTGCTCTGCATTTCCAGATTCTAAAATCAGAACAAAGTGAACCAGCATGTTCAAAGGAACTGAAATTTTGAGAGCCAGGACACATAGATGGGTTTCTCGACAAGCGGCTTTGCAGCAGTCTTTCCAAAGTTTCATCCACACATCCTGACGGCGAGTAACCATTGGGAAATTACATGGTGACTTTAGGGCCACAGAGAGGAGAATCAGAAGATGACAGGAACTCACTTGGGAATGGAGAAGTGATGTTATGGCTGCCAGTGTCAAAGTCAGACCCACTGTATAAACACAGACATTCACACATATGAGAACCATGGGACTGAACATTGGTAAAGTCCGTTCCTCCTTGGGCCACTCCATCTTGGAAACTCAAAGGAGGAACACTTTACAGTAGTGTTCCACACACTCTACCTCTAACTCCCAGTACTGAATTTAGTGGAAGTCCAACCACAGTTCCTCCCACCCAAACAGACAGTTCCTTGTGAGTGTCTCAGAGGGACACTTAGACAGGACAGCCTCCTCATTCACTGGTGAAAGATTTTCCAGAGCCAAAGCTCTTGCTTCCATGGCTGTCACCTGTAAGGGTTGCTGGTACCAGCTGCTTTTCTGAAGCCACTGCACCCTCCCCATTCCCCTGCAGTAGTCTCCATTGTGAGACCTCAGCCAGAGTGACCTTGTGCTCTATTTCCCTTCAATGGCTGATGTTCTGGTGTCACTCCCTGTGCTGAAAGCCAAGCTGATTTCTCCACATCTCTGAGTAATTCAGATCATTTTACAATGAATTAGCAAGTGAGTTTGTTATTGCAGTGCGGAGGAGGAGGGATGGGAAGCACTTTCAGAGTTTCTTTTAGTTTTCCCTGAGTCTACTGAGACCCCTGAAAGAAAACTTACTGCCTGTAGCTTGGAAATGTTGCTGTGTATCCAAGAAGCTGCCACTCTGCTCATTGGCAAGGCTACATCTATGGCTATATCAATCCACCTTTCTCATCATTGTCCTCATACCGTGGAACTAGGACAGAGTCACCCAGAAGGAAGCATGGGTACTGTAGTTTATCCAAGGTCACTAGGCTAGTCTTTTGGTCCTGTGTAGCTAGGATTGGCTGCGTAATATGTAGGGTGCAGTGCAAAATAAAAATGTCAGGCCTCTGTTGAAAAATTATTAATAATTTCTAAATGGCAACAGGTGAGCATCAAACCAAACTCAGGCCCTATACAATCATACAAGTCATGTGCTTATGAAGCCAAAGCCATTCTCAGCATAGCTTTTATTTGAAGCCTCTAGTTTTCACAGTGGAGTGGCTAAAAGAGGTAAGTTCTTTGAGGGTTGTGCAAGAAAGTTTAGGAAGGAGAGATGACAGCTGGCTGCTTTTAGCAGGACATTCTTTGTAAGTGGGTAGCACCTGTGGGTCACTATGAAAAACAGGCGCCATCCAAAGTACTTTCCATATGTTAAATCATTTCATATACATACATACACATGAATAATGTGTATCTATTAAATCGTGAATCCTCACAACAACCATTTAAAGTGGGTGCTGTTGTTTTTCTATGCTTTTATAGGTAAGGAAACCGAGGCACAATAGAGTTAAATGAAATGCTGATTTAAAGTTTGGTTCTCAACTTTCTAATAGAAACCCTCTATTGTTGAAGTGAACTTGGAGCTTACTAGACCATGAGGGACTGAATCATGCTAAACTCACAGAAAATTGATGTATATGCAACAAAACAAATTTATTCCTATAAAATGAGAGGCACTACCGTCCCAGTAACTGAGATATTTATTTCTATGACCCAAGATACCCCTTTTGAGTATTAAGGTGCCTGGGGTGACTGAAGTAACAGTCAGAAGCTTGCTCAGTGATCACAGAATCAAAACAAAGCGAATTGCAAAATCTCAGGGGAGATGCTGACCAAACAGATAGAGTCTGAGAAATCATCCCTGTGCTTAATACTTTTCTTCCTGGTGGATGAAGTACTCTTGTCTGCTAAATACAGGGTCTTAATTCATGCATGGTGTTTAGTTCTCCTTTGCAGGAGTCATCCCCACCACCTCATGTCAAGTCAGTTACAGCACAACTGAATATGCTGCCCCCTTCTTAATGTTGCTGTGCTCTGGTCTGGGGTGTGATCCCAAACATCATGATCCCAGCAGTAGCTGGTTTACAAACCAACTCTGAGGATGCCACATCCATAGAAAACCTGTCGTTTTCTTCTGGTTTCCACTTCAAAGTGTGAACTGAATCTGGGCCACCATGTGCTCCCTAAACTTAGCATTTAAGTAGCTCTGATGAGCAGAATGTTAATGTGTTAAAATGAGATTATGTTCGTTCCCTTACAAATTTAGGATAAAGATGCTAGGCTGGCCCTTTGAAGGTAAATTAACTCCTCAGAAGCACCTGCTTGTGTGGCATTAAGTAATCAAACAACAAAACTACACTTGGATGGGTTTAAAGTGGGACTGAAAAAGTAGACAAAAAGTAGATGACTTTTGCATCATCAGGGAATTGATTTTTTGCTTTGTTTGTAACTCTCCACTTGAAAGTTGTCTTTTTCCTGCCAAATTCAGGGTGATTCATAAAACCATCTTCTCTTAATGTGAAGAGAAATTGCTGGAGGTTGTTTTGAAGGGCATCTTTGGGAACCACCTTAACAAGTAGCTGAATAAGGAAGAGGAGGATGATGATCGCTGACATAAAAAATGCTTACTATATAGGTGGCAGGCATTGTGCTAACTGGATTAAATATTATTTTTTAACAACCCTATGAGACTATTCTCATTGTACTGAGAGAAAACGGATTTGGGGCCAGCAATGGTGAGAGAAAATGGTGATGATTCTTAAACTCTGAACTTCAAGCATTAAGAATTGGCTGCAATAGAAAACTGGTCCTAGATGGTCCCAAGTGGCCCATCATGAGCCAGATACTAGTGGGGGATATAGGGAGGACCAGAGGCCACAGAGAACCACGTGATGAATGTAGAAGAAAGAGGGTTTTAAAAGGGCCAGGGCAGAGGTGTTCCTGTAGGATTAGGCACACATAGACCAAGCTCTCCTGAGATCCCTCACTGAGAAGGAATTGGAAAGAACACCAGAATCATGTACTCCCTAGTTCGATGTGGATATTAATTGTAACTGATTATGTGTATACATTTATGCTGAAGTTAACTGTGAGTAAATTGGTTGTATGTCATTCCTTGGTGTGTATTTTGCCTTTCCTATTCTTTTTTGTTCCATTATAAACTCGGGTTGCTAGAACCTCATACGATCCTGTGAGAGGTGGGAGTTAGCTGGTCACTCAGTCTTCTCCTCTTTCCTGGGAGGTGGTGGTTTAATCATATCCATTTGTAAAAGGGGAAATGGTGGCTCAGAGGTCCTCAGTAATTTCTACAGCTAGATAATTCATGGGTGCAGAGTTCAGATCTGGGGTTCAGACCCCTACAGTGTGTGTGGCAGGGAGTCTAGGCAAACAGCAACTCTCACCCGCAAGCACCCAACAAGGTTTGTCCTTGTTTTCAGTGGGCCTCCTACTTCCCTGAAAGGTCTAATCTCAGCAACACAGTCTCATTTAGCTTATTGTTTTGGCTATTTATGTGCAATAACTGTGAAAAGCAAGAAGATGGGTTGCAATTTCCTTACCTACTTGTTATGTTCAAATCAGCTCTTTGAAAGCAGAGTCAAGATACAATAATAGTAATAATAACAATAATCATTTATAGTTAAAGCATGGAATCGAATGGTGCTTCCATAGCATCCATGTGTGTCAGGTGCTCTTTTAAGCAAGTTACATTCATTCAGTTTGTCCCACATCTTCATAAAACAAGGGGTGAATTGTATGAGGAAAAGGATGCTAGAATTTCAATTTTGTCTTGCTCCATTCCATCTCTGAACTTCTCAAAATGAATTTTAGCAAGGCCTGACCTATATAGAAATCTGTTTCTTATACATGGCTCCAAAAATGGTCCTACTCTGAAGTCTGCATTTTTGGCAATGGGAGGTGCCAGACAAGAAGTGAGGGTCTGAGGCCCACCCTGGACTCCTCCAGGCCTAGTCATCCTGGTGTGTTTCTCAGAATCTATGGTTCCTTCTCTCCTCCCTCCTCTTTTGCTTTCTTCCTGCCACAAAATCTCTTTTTTTCATCGTGAAGAGCCACATGCCAATTACTTTATACAGCAACACCCCATCCTCCTCTAGCTCTCCAGGGTCCAGGCTCTTGGGGCCCTCATACATGTTCCCACACCCTGGAAGGGTAGAGACCCCTCCGCCTCCTGGTGCCAGCAGAAGGGTGGGAGACCTACGTGCAGTCAAGTGGAGAATTTGTCTCCCAGGGCCCAAAGAGACATTCAACACCAAGCTCTGTGCGGCAATTCCCCTCATAAATCTCAGCTCTAACTACAAATTATTTACACTATCCAGTTTCACTTCCTTCTTCTCTCCCATCGGATTCAAAGGATTTTAGACTTCAGAAAAACATTGAGTCTGAATTAAACATCGGCATGAACTTGATCAACTTTAAGTCTCTCATTTCACATCAGAAGCCAGGAGTTGGGAGTGGCGGGGGCAGGGATCAGAAGATATCTACAGACAAAAAGACATTTATAAAGCAATATAGTATTAAAGATGGAAAAGCCCACATGAAAAACGCAGAGGCCAGCCCACCTCCCTGTGACACTATTGCCCTTAATCATGGTACTGGGATGGTATATCTCCAGAAGTTTGAAACAGGAAACAAATAATATTTCAAAGTTTCCAGCAAGAAAGTAATGACAGCTTTGGAGAGCAGCTGCAGCCACTTTCTTCCATTAAGCCTTTGTCCCTCCCCTTGGCCTTGGCAGTGGGTCTAGGGCGCCATGCGATCCCTACAGCTTTCATTACACCCAGTTCAAGAACCTGCTTGCAAGCGTCTCCTTGCCCAGCACACAAACAAACTTTAAATGATAAAGGAAAACACTGGCAGCATGTTCCTGTGTTCTGAGGCAGGCCTGGGGCGGGGCTTTCCCAGAGTTTGTTGTGAGAGACAACCTGCTCTCCCACCAGGTGGAGAGGAGCCTGGACCAAGGTTGAAAAGCCATGAGTCAGGCCTAGAGAATTTCAGTTGCAACACCCTCTTGTAAGAGGCTGTTTAGTCATAGCTGTTGCTTTCAATGAAAAGGTCACCCACTCCATAGTGAATGGTTATTTGCTGGCTGCTTCTCACACTGTTGCAATTGTGATCCTTTTGCATCTTTGATTGTCTTTCATCGGAAAACTATGACATGCTTCATTTTGTTTCCCAGGGTGGTAGCCACAGTCGGCGGTCAGTTGGCGAGCTGGCTACATTCGATGGTATGCAAACAACTCGGTGGCAGCTTAAAGGGTGGGGTAGGCAGTGTGGCCCTCAATGTGCAGTTCGAGTTTCCCAAGTTGAAGGCTCACAGAGTGATTGGAAACCAGGAGAAAAATTACTGTGGTCTGAGCAGGGAAGGAAGAAAGGTCCTGGACACTCGGCTTCTAGAGAGATCCACGTGCGCCATGCCGCAACTGCATTCAGTGTCTTCCAGCTTCCAACTTGTTGTCAGCCTTCAGAGTGACTGACCCGGGGAGATCAGCTGGGAGCCCCCTTACGACCTGTCAGCATGCGCCCCGAGAAGACACCTTGGTCAAGCGTCTCTCAGCCTGGTCACACTTGCTGGCTTTTTTCATTATGGTCATGGCTAAGAGGGAAGAGGAGAGTTGCCAAATTTGACCTATACTTCGACATTATAATTTAGCCCATTCATTTTCCTCTTGAGGATAAATGTTAAAAGTCCAATTTATGGGAGGCCAAGGCGAGCGGTTCATGAGATCCAGAGATCGAGACCATCCTGGCTAACACAGTGAAACCCAGTCTCTACTAAAAATATAAAAAATTAGCCGGGCGTGGTGGTGGGCGCCTGTAGTTCCAGCTACTTGGGAGGCTGAGGCAGGAGAATGGCATGAACCAGGGAGGCAGAGCTTGCAGTGAGCCAAGATCTTGTCACGGCACTCCAGCCTGGGCTGCAGAGCGAGACTCTGTCTCAAACAAACAAACAAACAAAAAGTCCAATTTGTTGGAGAATTTTTTAGGAGGGATGAAGGGAATGGGGGATTGGAAGATAGGAAGTCAAATGCGCTCTAATCTTTTCTTGCTTTTTTCTATGCTTTTTCTATGTGGGACTTGTTGAATGTTTATTGCAAGCTCTTTAATGACCAGAAGCACATCATTTGTATCTATATTCAGGAGCCAGCCCGGTCTCCTGGGGCATGCGGCTGATCAACTGTGGGGACCTCGCTTAAGAAAAGTAAATATTTATTCAGAATAAGGAAAGAAACCAAAATAAATTACAGATTTTAAAATGCTGACAAATACCACAAACATCACAAAAATCTGGAAACATAGCATACTGTTTTTATTAACTTCCTGACATACCTCTGTATGACATGCTTCCATTGTTCTCTTCACACCGTTTTGGCTACACACTCTTTAATGGCCTCTTCATAGGACGACAATTTTAAAGAAGAAATGATAGAAAGATAATGCAGTCTTCTCTGATCAGCCCGTCTAACATGGCTGATCCAAAGAAATTCTTTTACATTTTAAATTCAATACATAAACATGTGACTGACATAAGGCCAATCTGCTATCGCTAGTGCCACTATATTTTTGTGCCCTGAAGAGACAGAGAGAATTATCCTTTTGAATACATGTTCCTGAAAATTCAAATCTCTGCTTGTAATTTTGATGACTGGAGAAATTCCCACAGACCAGTACCTGCCTCCAAAATCTTGAACCTTGATCCTCCATTTCCCACATATTTTCAGGGCCAGATTCTGCACAGCAACACATTTATATCATGATATGACTTCTGTCCATGTGCCTCCAAATCGTGATGCTGGTTAAGTTGACACGAGTTATAGGAGTATTTTTAGAAGCAATTCCTACACCACCATGTTAGCAATAACTTAACTATATACAGAGGTGACTGTGAACCGTGTAAACACTGTTTATCCTCTAAGCCCAAACTAAACATATCTCCATCTCAACTTGGCCTCAGCAGAATTCCAAAAATGCTGTAGTGGCGACTCCAAAGCAACCCTACGCAAGGGACTTGCCAGTGTGTGGAGAGGACGTCACAGTGGAAGAGATAGCCTTAGCTGATTACAGTTAAAATATTTCAGCCTTAGCTGATTACAGTTAAAATATTACGAACTTTTGCAAAGTTCATAAAACTCATGTGACCATGGGCTCTGGAGCTTAGACTTCATTAACTTCAAGGTGAATTTTCCTCTGCTTGTATCCATTTGCAAACCTAGTTTGGCTCTCAATCAATAATTGTTAATTGAAGGAATGGAGAAATTAATCTGTAAAAGACAATGCAGATGGATGGATGGACACATCAAAGGCAAGGCTGCTGCCGGCCATGCGTGTGTGCCGACGGCATCTCCACCCCAGTGGGGCCCCAGGGACGAAGCCGGTTGGCCAGCCACAAAGCCCTCCAGGGAGACCTGTTTTTCAGATTATGACAGTTTTTAGAAGTACAGATTATCTTGGCTGATAGTGAAGATGAGAGGGCAGCCCGAATATGATAGAGAAAAAGAGAATGAGAGGTTAGGTAGGGAGTGGGGCAGGAAGGATCAAAACAACTTTTCTTCCAAATGAAGCCATCAGTTCTCCCCCAAGCAATGGCAATTCCATGCACAGGTCCTAGGAGAGCATGTCACAGGTCACTTGTGGGCACGTAAAACACAAAAGGTTTCTGAAGTGACCCACCAGTGACAGCCATCTGCTGGCTCTAGGGAGAATTCATTGCATAATCTGAGGATTCGTCTATGTGTTCCTAGGACGTTTCTATGGTTAGCTCTTTTTCTGAATGAGAAAACACGTTGGTAGGGGGCAGGAATGGAGTGTGTTCTGTGTGACTGATTTGTGAACTTCAGGAGATCTGTTGCAGAGCTAGGGCAAAACCTCATATTCTCCATATCCTTGTCCGCTAGGGCACTGATATTCTCTTGTTCATTCATTGATTCAACAACTGTGTATTGACTGTGTATTGTTAGCGACTACATGCCAGGCACTCCTTTGGAGCCAGAGATACAGCAGGGGACAGGACCAGCAAAGCCCTGCCCTCATGGAGCTTCTATTAGTCAGGGAAGAAATAGTGCATTAACAAACAAATAATGCACTCCAGTTCCAGAGGGTGTTAAATGCCATGGAGACAATGAAACAGGGCTGGGATGGGGGTTTGTGGAGGTGCATCTTCAGGAGTGTCCTCCCTTTCAAGGAGCTGCCACTTGGGGCTGGAGTGGTGAGAAGGAGGCAGCTGTGTGGGCATCTGGGCAGGAGTGTCCCTTTCCAAAAGGAAAAGCAACACCAGACATGGAGGCCAGAGACCAAGAGGAGCTGGCACGGCAGAGGGACAGAGAGCATGCCAGTGTGTCTGCCGTGAAGTAAAAGAGGCTGGAAGGAGATGGGCTTCATAGATTATAGTGAGGATGATAGATTTGTACAAATTAGCCTATCTGTTTAGCCAAATTAACTCTCTGCTTTCACAATGCATTCCACATACCCAGAAAGGTACGCAGAAAGTGACCATGGTGAATGTAAAGACCACCAAAACAGTTCCAGAAGCAGGTCTAGGGACTTATAAGCATGATGGAGGGAGTCTGCCATCCCTAAAGAAAGAATGGATGAAGTGAATGGGTCTCACATAATCTTATTCGGGCATGTGCCAAGCCACCCAAGACAGTGGGCTGGCACCAACTATGAAGAAATAATCTTCTTTACAGTTATAAAGACTTCCCTGGTTCCTGTGGATGAATAGACAAGTAGGATAAGAGAGGTAGCAGTGAGGCCAATTAGAAGGTTATGGCAATAGTTCAGGCCAGAGATGGTGGTCTATGGTCATACTTGCAGGGACATATGTTGCAGGTAGAGCTAGGAAGTCTTGCTAAACAACTGAATGAGGGTGTAGGAAAGTAGGGAATAGATTAGACTAATGTTGTCATTTGCTGAGAGAGGAAAGATGAGAGGAATAGAATTTTGGTGGGAAGATAAAAAGTTCTATTTGGCTGTGTTGTTTTTGACACTTAACGGTGTATTTAATAGGACACTGGACAGAAGAATCTGGAGCCTAAGGAGGAGGTTAGGGCTGTGTTTATTTTTTCTCAGTTTTATTAGCCCCATTGATGCTTCAGCAATGTCGTGAGCAAGCAGGCAAATATATGGTTCAAATTTTACCAGTGCCACCATGACAGGATGACTGACTAGATGTTCACCAGAAGTTCTTGCTCCCTAAAGAAGAGTTGTTGCTGGAAACAGCTGCCCCCTCAGACTAATTTCTCAACCCCTCTTGCATTTGGGCAGGAGTTTCATGACTATATTGATCCAGGTCAAGACATTTACAAAGTGGCTCAGTCTTATCAATTCCCTCTCTTATAGTTTAGCTGGCTACGTACAGAAGATGACACATCCCTTGGGCAGCGTTTCTCAACCTTAGCACCAATGACATTTTGGACCAAAAAAATACTTTGTCGTAGGGGCCATCCTGTGTACTATAGGATGTTTAGCAGCATCCCTGCTCCCTACCCATTAGATGCCAAGAGAATCTCGCTGAGTAGCGACAATCAAAATACCTCCAGACATTGCCAAATGTGCCCCAGGGGGCAAAGTCACCCCTGGCTGGGAACCACTACCCTCAGATGGTGATGCCACAAACTGGAAGGACTTGGGTCCCTGAGACACTGTATGGAGGAGAGCCATCACCTGCTGAAAACCCACATTGTATTGTCACATCCGTGATAAATAAACATTTATTGTGTTAAGCAATTAAGCATCAAGGGCCTCATTTGTTACAGCAGCTATTTTACTCTGAGAAGTCCAGCACTGTAATAATGCCATAAACAAAGACAAAAAAAAAAAAAACCTAGAAACTAGAACCTTCTTGTCACTTAAATGCCACTAATTACCTGTGTAACTCTATATAAATCACTGACTTCATTAGCTTCTCTGAGCCTTAGCTTATTTCTCATCTGAAGATAAGATAATGTTGGACTCAATATGTGGCTTCCATGCATTAAAGACTGCAACACACAGGAAGAAATGGATTGTGACTGAAGATACACATGAGTTTCACAGAGCAATGCTTACTGTGAGCACATAACTTTGATATGGACAGAATACTAAACCACCATTACAGTTATGGGTGTAAAGAGTGCTTAAGAAAATGGGAAAATGTTGATTTTACAGTTTTGAAAAGCAAGACGTCTTAACTGAGTTCCTTCTCATGGCAATTACGTTGAACACCATGCATGAAAGCCCATTTTTGCTTAGAAATGTTGTTTTTCTAATAGAAAGGAAACCTAACACTACATTTTGAATCCAAAGAAAACCCAGATTCTGGCTTCTACAACACTTCTGACAGACTATATAATCTATAAAAGTGGTGTGAGGAAAATATGTTGCTTCCATTAGGAATTCTTGAGGGGGGGGAGAGAGTGGCATTATTTGTAGCACTTTCCAAGGACCTATTCTATATAGATACAAGATGTTATTCTATCTGCCTTTCACAATTAAAAGAAAAAAAATAGGAAAATTTTTCTTTTAAAACATAAGACTTTGAACCCTGAGTCATTGGTATCATAGACATTGATTACAGCATGGAGGACAAACTCAAAGAGTAACCTATTTTCCTGTCCCCAACTCTTTTTCTTAATTGAAAAAATTCTACATCTGAAATCTACAGGCTACAGGATTCCTGACAGCTACAGTGGAAGTGAAGGAATCAGTCTTGGTTGAGACGTTCCCCTTTCTGGAGGCTTCACTGGAAAGTTTCATGAAAAGTAAGATATAATAGAGTTAATGAGGTAGAAGCACATTTTTTGAAGACTCCAACTTTTCCTATATGTCCTTGCAGTTGCATCCTTTGCAACATAGTCTGGTGGGGTTATACATTACTTTGCCAATTGGTTCCAGAAGTTGGTCAACTGTTTTAATAACCCTCTGAGGAGTTATCCTTTGTTGCTCATAGCATAGACACCTCCTAAGACTGCAATTTCCTGGACCTCAATTGCCTGTGAAATCGCTTTTGGAAAGGCTACATCAAGTATCAAGGGTACCATTATCTTCCTTTTCCTACCTAGATATATTAGTATTTTATGCCTCAGTGGATAAGAAGAGAAATTATGGAAAGTGGAAGAGGGAGGTTTGAAACATATTTAACTCAAGGGATAGGGTTGCATATCAGTGGAGAGGATATATAATGAAATGTTTCTTATTCCATAAAGATGGTAGAATGGAACATCATCACTATCATTCATCACAAAACTGTCTCGCCTTGAATTTCCTAGGCACTCTTGATGATGATGATGATAATGATGGTGATGATGAAGTAAGAATACTGATGCTTACACAGGGTTAGTAACTTGCCCATATACCAAAGCCAACAAGTGACACTGCTAGGATATGAACTTGAGTCTGCTAGAATCCGAGTTTGTGCCCTTAGTCATTATGGTATGCTGCCTTTTTCGTTCCCCTAAGATGTCCACAGTGGAAGTAGCTGTGGCATTCTAGAACAGATATCATGGATAGTCAGTGCTAGTGCACCACTGATGATGATGGTATCCTCTTTTGTTGACACCTTGTCTTTTTCAAAGAAATAATGCTTTCTCTGAAATCCTAACATGTTAGCTTCAAGGCTTTGTAAGAGCATTTCTTTTTGCTTCTTTCAAGTTTCCCTAGGTGGCCATCTACAATCCCATTTTCTTCTGGAAATATATCCACTTGCCTGATCACATGCCATGTGGGCATGTGACCTGGGCCCAGCCACAGTGGTTGGGCCACACTTTAGCACATGGTTCAGCTGGGCCAATCAGAGTCATTCCCTGAGGTCTTTCCAACTGGAGGCGGTAGAGAAGACTGTTTAGCTACATGAGTCAATAAACCATCTTTTTTTGGTTTTGTTTTGCTTATTTTAATCTGGAGTTCTGAAAGAGTCCCGATAAATACAATTTTATCCCCAGTTCTTTTCAGGTTTTGTCTTATTGTAGGCCCCAGTGTACTTTAGCTATAGGAGAATTTGGTTTTGTACCAATAAAGACCAAGATGTTCATTTGAGAGTCAACCAAACATGAGATAAAAATGGGAATGGTACCTATACGGAAGCATCCTTATTGTAAGTGTTGGAGGACATAGTTCCAAGGGAAGTTATAATATATCTTCTCAAAGTATTTGTTTAAATATGGTAAGAAATTTTCACAAGGAGGAGGTGCTAGAGAAGATGTTGTTCTGGCTAAATGTAGGAGAGTCCTGAGGATTTTCTGGATCTAATCTCTACTACTTTATGCCAAGTTTGAGGACTCATCATACTTTAGGCTTTATAAAATATTTCTCCTCTGGGTGCTTCTGTTTGCGTAAAATTTCTATATTGGGTATGCATGTTTTTTTCTAGTGGAACCTTTCTCCATTGTGTACATCATTTTCCCCCCTAGGGACCCACAAGGAAAAAATATATATCAGCTTGTTTTTCTAAATGGAGGTTTGTACTCAATACAAAATTCTAGCTACAAGTAAATTATGCTCTGATCTTGAGGGATAAAATAAACACAAAGCAATGCAGAACTGTGTTTTGCCAGAGCCAAATGGAACATGACGTTCAGAAGTTTCCAGTTGAGTTCCAAAATTAGACAAAATCTTGGCAAAATGCATGCTCATGTCCCATTAGGAATCTTATCATTTGAACTCAGTTCTGACTATTCCACTCCTTACTCATTCCAGTAGCTCCTAGGAGGCCTGAGGACCTGCCTCCATGTGTTTCAGATCTGCCCCAGGACTGCTGATTTCTTTTTTGCTATTGGCAAGACTATGTCCCAGTTGGGATGGAAATAGGGCAACAAAAACCTATTAAGTGATCTAAGATTTGAAGGCCATCCTCCAGCTCCATTGCTTCTAGGAAGTCCAGTTGTTGCTGATGGGACATTGAGTATTTATCACCACTTGGTTTTACAACTGTAGCCCTCTCAGAAGCACTTGGTGGTAGCTGCTGGATCTAAGCCTTTTGGCTGGTCCTTGAATGCTGGCTTACTATGAAAGGCTCTCTGGATTATACAGTCTATAAGACATATTTCATTTTCAGATTAGAGGCCTTCTTGGATAGGTACTCTCGTTCAAGTGTGAGTGTAAGAGTCCTTATCAGCTCCTATCTGGAAGTTGTTAAAAGCAGCCATATGATTGCCAGTTAGTGTCAAGCAAGGATACGTAAATACCTGCTGAGTTACCTTCCAGGGGCCAGAATACCAACCTTCACCAGCAAGCTGGACTTGAAACTCTTCCTTCTTTTGTTTATGTGCCTCTAAGCACAAGATGTTAGCTTATCTCCCCCAACTCATGAATCAGAGTGTACATTTTAGTCAACCAGTGTCTTCTTAATCCCTTAACATGCTGAGTTCATTCTAATCTCAAAATTTTACTCATTCCAGTTTCCCCTCTTGGAATGCTTCCCTCCATTCCACTGTCTAACTTCTATTCCTCCCTCAAGCTCATCTCAAATCTTCAAGATCCTCTGTGAGGCATCCCTGTCAACAATTTCAGCTCATTTCAATTGCTTGCTTCTTTCTTTTCTCATTGCCTACTATCACACAATGATGGCTTCATTAATATTCAGGCTTCTATTTTTCTGCAACTGAGTTCTACTATTGGACCAAAGCATCTTGAAGTCAGGGCACGTATTTCAAAATTTCTTTTTATATCTCTTGCAATTTTGAAAGATAGGTATTTGCTCGAAGTTTCATGTACATCCAACAAAAGATGTGCAAAATCTTTATACTAAAATCTAGAGAACGTTACTGAGATAAATTGAAGAAGGCCTGAGCAGATCTTAAGCATTTTCATCACACCCACAAAAAAGGTAACTGTGTGAGGCAGTGGATATGTTAATTAGCTTGATTGTGGCAATTATTTTACAATGTATACACATGTCAAAACATCACATTGTACACCTTGAATATGTACAACTTTTATTTGTCAATTATACCTCCTAAAGAAAAAAAAAAGCTTAAGTTAATAAAAGTATAAATTGGGCTCTTGGATGGGACTCAGTGTTACGATGCAGAAGAACATCTTCGCAATAGTGGGAAAGACAAAGCTTTCGTAAGTAGCACATAAAATGTACTAAACATAAAGTTGATTAGACATAAAATAAATTAGACTGCATTAAAAATAAGAATCTTTGTTTATCAGAAGACACCATTAAGAGAGTGAAAACAAGGCCATGGATTGGGAGAAGATATTTGTGAATCACATATCTGAAAAAAAACAAAACCTTGTATCCAAATATATAAAGCTCTCCTACAAATTAATAAGAAAAAGAAAGATATCCCAACAGAAAAAATGTACAAAAGACTTGTAGAGTTTACAAAAGATGAACTCTAAATGGTCAATAAATGCATAAAAAGCTGCCTCTGACTTCATTACTCATCAGAAAAATGCCAATTAAAATCATGAACTTCAAAAACACACCCACCAGAATGGCTAAAAAGAAAAAGACACTCAATACCAAGTGTTGGCAAGGATTTGTAGTATTTGGAACTCTTAAACACTTACACACAGTTAGTATATGGTGTTAGTATATAGTTGTTACAACCACTTTTCAAATCTACGCAGCAGGATCTTCAGCTTTAGGGCTGAACATACATGTGCCACATGACCTAGCACTTTCACTCCTAGATATACATGAGTACGTATGCATATCAAAAGACACGGAGGAAGAACATTCATAGCAGCACTATGCATAATAATAAAAAAGCAGAAACAACCCAAATTTCGACGGCAGAATGGACAAATAAGTGTGGTATGTCCATACAGTGAACTTCTTTCAGCAACAAAAATGAACAAAATATGGCTACATGTAAGCCTTGATGGATCTCACAGACATTTACTGAGCAAAAGAGGTTAGAGTCAGAGTATCTAGTGTATCGTTCCATTTCTTTAAAGTTAGAAAAGAAACACAAAAAGTCTAAGGTAACCTGTGAGGGGAGGTAGAGATTGAATAACCAGGAGAGTTTGTGGATATGGTACTATTTTATTTCTGCATCTGGGTGGTGGTTACAGGGTTTGTTCTTTTAGTGAAAATGCATTGAATTGGTCACTTATGATTAGTGCACTTTTTCTTTATATGAAGTGTTTATGCTTAAAAGCAAAAGGCTGTGTCCTAGGAGGATGAACTCCTGCTCAGCAGGGATTCTTCTCACTGCTTCGCTTCTGCTCATAAGCTCAGGAGTGGGAAATAAGGAAAGTTTGATTAAACAAACAGACTCATAAATCAGTTTTTAAACCTCGTCATGACCCTGGAAAGGATAAAACACTGGTTTGAGCTACTCAACTCCTCCTGCTTCAACAAATTTACTCATAAAACCATTTTATAGATGTCACTTTGTTGGCTTTCAACAGGGAGAGTATCTTTATTAGAACATTCCCGTCCTCATTATCTCCCGACTGTGGCTCATCTCCTGGCTTAGAATTTCATGTCTCATGACTGTGATCTTGTTGAATCCTGCATTATAATTGCGTATATTCTTTTCTTATTCTACCACCCCCACCTCCTGAGGGCAAAGTGGCCCTCTGCTGCTCAGTTGTCTACATAGAAGAGGCTCAAGCCTGAAGTTTTATAAAATTTAATTTAGTTGGATTAACTGTAAGGCTCAGTTACAAGTTAGGTGGGTGGCTACAGCTTCACCTCATTAGGCCACCATTCCCACCAAAACTCATTGTGGTGCTGAGGCATTTTTGCTGGAGTCTATATGACCATAGGCATGATTTCCTAAGGTTCTTCTTGGATATGCAAATTGGCTTAGGATATTCCAACCAGAGCATTCTTGAAGGTTAAAGGCAAGTTGGTAAATGTATTATCCTATTTTTGTGTAAATTCTATCAATTACACCAAAGTAAGGTGTGAAAGTATTGGGTTTAGAGTCTAGAAGTTCTGAATTTAAAGTTTCTACTGCAGCACTTACTAACTCTGGGACTTTGATGGTGTTGGAGGAGGGCATTTAGCATCTGTTCTCTTATCTTTCCCAATGGGGCAGCAATGCCACCCCTCGGGAGTATTGGGAGGATTCATTCATGCATGCATGCATGCATTCAGCTTTCAACAGCCAACATTTCTTCAAAAGCACTCCATGTGTCAGGCACTCCACTGGCTCTGGGGATTCACAGAGGACTCACGGTCCAGTTGGTGAGGAAGACATACAAACAAACCGGTTTAGTATTTCTCAATCTTTTTTTCATTATTGGCCTCTAAGGAGCCTTGGTAGACATTTTTTCATAATCTTCCCTTCTCTATCCTGTGAAATTTTAATATCACAGATATACTGTATTTGTGTACTATATGCATATCTGTGATTTATAATAAAAAGAACAAAATTTTTCCAGCCTCCCTTGACCAAGAACCACTTCTGGCTCCCTTGAGGATATCAACTCCTTTGAGAATGAAAGAAATGAATGATTAAGGAGGGGTGTAGTGAGTGCAATTGGTTGAAGGACAAGCTGCCAAGTTTGCCTCACCGTGGGTATGGGAGACTCACTGCAATGGGTGAAGTCAGGAAAGGTCTCAGGGAGAAAAGTAGGATGCCAGCGATCCCAAAGGAGGAACCTGAACTCTCCGGTGGCCACAAGCAGGGGAAGTTCTCTTGGAAAGGCACAGGGGTGCACCTACTCAGGGTAGGCATAAGAAGAGAGGCCGAGGGACAGGAGGAGGGCAGCGGCAGCAACAGAGGGCCTCGAATGCTGAGCCCAGGAGAGCAGATGTGACCCAAAGGAAACCGGCAATGCATAAAGTCTTAAGAAGGGGAATGACTTGCTCATATTTATACATTTCCAAGTTTATTCAGGCTATGTGTGGATGAGTCAGGGAAATCCAGTCAGAGATAAAGGCAGAAATCATGACTTCAATGAGAGCGGTTGCCTGTGAGGATGACAGGAGAGAGATTTTGGAATAGGATCAAGTGAAACAGTTTATATACAAGCACTTGGCATGCAGTAGGTCATTGATAATAGTGCCTATGACTAATGTTTGGGCATTTGGTACCATTTAGCAGGTTGGCATTGCAGAAGCTTCCTACAGGCCACAGAACCTGATTGCTTCAATGTCTCAGGGGTCCAAGGTTTGATATTTGTTAAATCGATGTTTTTCTTTGAGATGAAACTAGGCAAGGTAAACCTGGCCAACGGGCTCCTGGGGGAACTGCACAGGCTGCTGCAGTCTGGCTGGGCCCCGACCACTCAGTTACCAACTCCATGAATTAGATATAAATGTAACAACAGCACAGGCCAGGCCACGGGCATTCTCAGAGCTGTGCAGGGTTTTATTCATTCGCTTCAGACGTTCCCTTGCCTCAGCTCCAGCCA
This sequence comes from Homo sapiens, assembly GCF_000001405.40. Classification (NCBI taxonomy): domain Eukaryota; kingdom Metazoa; phylum Chordata; class Mammalia; order Primates; family Hominidae; genus Homo; species Homo sapiens. Next base: position 44,219,915 of record NC_000013.11, on the reverse strand, counting down.
AATCACAACCCACTGACTACACTAGCTGCTACATTTGCCATCTTTTCTGCCTGGCTTTGATCTCTTCTGGGAATCACCCGACCGGTCACCAACACCCTTGAGAGATGACCACACTGTCCTGTTTGTGGCTCTTGTTCACAGTAAATGAGATTGCTATGGATTATCCAACGTAGACTTATTCATTTCCTGGTAGCAGTTTTTAGGGCTTTTGAAAAAACTAAAAGAAGTCAGCAGTGATGTAACATGCAGAGAACAGTGAGGACTGTTAACATGTGATGGTTTTTCTGTGAAGTGGAGGGGTGGTGGTTGGGGGCCTTTTGGTAATGGAAGGACCGTTTGCCCTTTCTAGAAGCTGAGAAGGAATTCAGGGAGGCAGAATAGGGAGGGCGGTATGCTAGTGGTGCCAACTCTCCTGTCCAGGTCGGGAGCTGCCCAGTAAGGCCTTAGGGTTCGCAGGGAGGTGTCTGCCTGTCCTCTCTGGGACCCTGAGATGTATGCTAGAGCTGGTGGTCTTTATCCTTATGCAGAGCACACTTGCTGTGTTTGATAAATGGCTTTGAAGTGAGGATGATGCCTCTTTTGTCTATTCCCAATCAAATGCATCCTCTGGTGGCCACCTCCTTGGCTCTCATCTTTACGGTCCCTTTCAAGGCTTCCAAAGCCCACTGCAATGGCAGCAGAAGTCAAGAACTGCCAAAGCCTCCCTCTCAACTGCCCCCTTCAAACCTCCCTTCTCTTTCTTTCCTCGGCTTCTCTTGGCTTCCCACGCTGGCTGTCCACGTTGCCTAACCCCGGTTGGACCGGCAGCTGTGTCCCAGGCTGTTTACCTTGGCTCTGACACTGAGTGCCTTTAGAGTGCTGCTTTCTGAAACTGTCCTTCATGGGTTTGTAAGGAAACTTGGGCAAAGGGCCCTGGCCCTCTGCTTGCCCGGGGTGTGGCAGTTGGATTCAGGCAGGCCCACGGGGCCCTCCAATTTCCACTTATCTGTTAGGAGAAGAAGGAAACAACAGTGCTGAGAAGGAGCTGGAGCAGGAGAGAGTTAAGGAGCTTGCTAGTGAGCTCCCAGGTGCTCCATGAGGCCAGAGTAACAGACATGGCTCAAGTTCCATTCCAGGCAGGGCTTACTTAATGAGTGAAAGGACATATCCAAAGGGTGCTGCTGATTCGTGCATTTTGGTATCTATCTGGAGGCCTTCCTTCGGTACTGTGCTACAGGTTCTGACATAGCCAATGTTTACCAATTAACTGGATTAACAGCTTTGGGAATACGTTAAATAAATACTGACACAATGCAAAGCTGGGAGTGGAGATAAGTACACTCATAAACTCAGGATTTAGAGCAACTTCAAGAGGCTGAACAATGAACATAACATTCAGGGAAGAATGAGAAATGTTAATGAGAAGGGTGAATGGTTTTTCTCTTAGCTACAAAGTGCAAGAGAGAGGAGATGTGGGATGTTCTCATGAATTAGAAGAGCCTTTACGATTTTAGTTGACAATAAGGTAAAGGGCCTAATGCACTTGATCTGGCATCTCAAATTTCACATACCCAAAACTGAACATGTCAAATTCTTACCTTCCCTGTCAGTCCCAGTTTCTGTTGATTACAGCAGTTAGCCTCCCAGGATTATTTATTATATGATTGCATTCTGTGATCAACTATTTAATAAGCATATATACGGTATATAATCCTATAGAATATTTTAACGATCATTTGATCATTCATTCATTCATTTTTTTTTTTTGAGATGGAGTCTCACTCTGTCACACAGACTGGAGCGCAGTGGCACAATCTCAGCTCACTGCAACCTCTGACTCCTGGGTTCAAGTGATTCTCTTGCCTCCACCTCCCGAGTAGCTGGGACTACAGGCATGTGCCACCACACCTGGCTAATTTCTGTATTTTTAGTTGAGATGGGGTTTTGCCATGTTGCCAAGGCTGGTCTCGAACTCCTCAGCTCAGGGAATCTGCCCGCCTTCGCCTCCCAAAGTGCTGGGATTACAGGCGTGAGCCACCACATCTGGCCTCATTCATTATTGCAATAAATATTTATTGAGCACTGAGTAAGTATCACACATTGTAGTAACTGAGACATCGTCTCTACTCTCCTAGAGCTTGTTCTACCAGGGGAAATGGACATTAAACTTGTAATACACACAAACTTATTCAAAATTATAATCCTCATTGACTTTATGAAAGAAGAAGGTTCTAGACAGCATAGAGTGGGCAGATGAGGCCTAATTTTGGAAGGAGGATGAAGGGAATTTTCCTTGAGGAAGTGAATTTTGAGTTCATGGAAAGTTATATAGCTATGTTGTCCAATATGGTAGCCACTAGCCCCATGTTGGCATTTCAGTTTAAATAAATTAAATGTAAATAAAATTAAAAGTTCCATTTCTCAGTTGCGCTAGCCATATTCGAGTGCTCACTAGCCACCTGCAGCAAGTGGCTACCGTATTACATAACACAGATAATGAATGTTTCCGTCATTGCAGAAAATTCTATTGGATGGTGTTGTTACGTAGGATTTAACTAGATGAAAAGGCCAGGCACGGTGGCTCACGCCTGTAATACCAGCACTTTGGGAGGCTGAGGCGGGTAGATCACTTGAGGTCAGGAGTTCAAGACCAGCCTGGCCAACATGGAGAAACCATGTCTGTATCTACTAAAAATACAAAAATTAGCTGGGCATGGGGCCAGGTGCCTGTAATCCCAGCTACTGGGGAGGCTGAAGTGGGAGAATCACTTGAACCTGGTAGGCAGAGGTTGCAGTGCTCCAAGATCATGCCACTGCACTCCAGCCTGGGCGATAGAGGGAGACTTTGTCTTAAAAGCAAAAAACAAATAAACAAAAAACTAGCTGAAAAGGAGCACAGGGGAAGAGGAAGGAAACACCTTAAGCAAAAAAGATACTACTTAATTTAGAGAAACTTAACTATAACTTAAGATAATTCTTCAGAATGTTCATTGATGGTGACATTGGATGATGGGGTTTTGGGGAAGGATCAGAGGATATTGGGAATGTCTCCTTTTCCTGTTTTCTAACTCAGGCTCTGGACAGTTCATACCTAGCCAATTGTGCAGTGCTTATTAATGGATGGGGCCCCTGTTCTCAACCCTTGCTTTGGTTCCCAGGTATACAAAATAGTGATCAAGACAACATAACATAGAACAATATTGTGCTTGAATTGTCCAATGAAATATAAAATGAGGGACATAGAATAGGATAATTGACAGTAAGTTTCCAATTGTATGGTAAAAAGTCACACATACCTGAATATTGGAAGTGGTTGCCCTCTGTGTCTTTTGCCATTTACCACAGTTCCTTGTCCTCTGTCCATCACATAAGCACCAGTGCTCCTGGGCATTCTATCCTGGGCCCTGTTCTTTTTTCATGCCATCTATTCCTGAGCAAGGTCATTCATTCCATGACTTAACATGTCATCCACGTGCTGATTGTTCCCAAGTCTGTATTTCTAGCCCCAGACTGCTCTGCTTCAGAAATCCAAATTCAAATGCCCAATAAGAGACTCCAATCAGCTGTCCTACGGACACTTCAAACTTACCCCATATAGTGCCCACCTAAACTGCACTTCCTTCTCAGTTCCTACCTCAACAATGGCAACTCCGTCCACACCAGAAGCCAGAAGACTGTGCCTCATCCTTAACTTCATACTGAAACCCCATCAGTTACTAAGTCCTGTTGATTTTACCTTCCAAGTAACCTCTCGAATGTATTGACTTTTCTCCCTTCCCTTCAGCATCATCCTAACTTGTCATGCACTGCCTGGATAGTGTTACCATATCCTAACCAGTCTCCTTGTTTCTAGTCTTGGCCTGCTCCAAACCGTTCTTCACTCTCCAGCCATAGCAATCTTCCCAAATCTGCTAATGTCCTTGTGTTGCTGAAAACCCTTCAATGCCTCCCCATTACATCGGCCAGATTGACTTTGTGGTTACAAGGCCCATCTAGATTTGGCCCTGATTACTTCTCCAGCTGCTTCTTTTACCCTTTCTTCCTTGTACTGCTAAGTATTCTGCAGACACACGTAGCTTCTTTCAGTTCCAGGTATCCAGGATGCTTAACTTTGTATTGGGATCTTTGCACATATTATTTCCAGAAACACTTTCACTCCTCCACACCCTTCTTTCCCCCCTTGCCTGACTTATTCAGTTTAAATGTTAACTTATTCAAGGAGACCTCCCCCAACTCCCCAGTGTGGGGTTAGCTGCCCTGTCATAAACCCTCTGAAGTGAATTGAGTGGTGATCCCCACCCCTCACCACCAAAGATACATCTACAACCTGATTCCCAGAACTTGGGAATGTTACCTTAGTTTAAAAAGGGCTGTTTGCAGACATAACGAAGTAAGGATCTTGACGGGAGATAATCCTGGATTATCCAGGTGGGCCCTTAATACAATGATGAGTGTCTTTATGAGAGGCATGCAGAGGAGAGACACAGAGAGAAGAGGGAAATGGCACGTGGAGAAGGAGACAAAGACTGGAGCTGTGCAAGCCCCAAACCAAGAAGCACCAGAAGCTGAGATTGGCAAGGAAGGATGCTTCCCTGGAGCCTTCAGAGGGGGCATGGCCCTGCTGACACCTTGATTTCGACTTGTCTCCTCCAGGATGGTGAGAGAACACATTTGTGTTGCTGTAAGCCACGCGGTGGGTGGTAATTTGTTAGAGCAGCCCTGGGAAATGCGTGCATCCTCCCCTTACTTCTTCTGCGACATCTCTGGTCACACTGCACTGAAGTGACCCCTTTACTTGTTTGCATCCCTAACTTCATCAGGCAGGGGCTTGCACATGCTATTACAATCATATGCCCCACACTGGCTCAGTACCTCCACAGATTAAGACATCAATAGTCATGCAATGTGTGAATGAAGCACTGTTGGCTGATATTAATACACAGGGCACACTTTGTGGACTTGAGCTGCTCTGAGAATGTGTGCAGGATTTGGGTAACACTGAGAAGGGGAGTGATTACTCCTAGAAACTGGATTTGTATGAATGAGGGCCTGGAGATGACCGTGTGACTAATATGTGAACTCACAGAGATCAGCCTGACTGCAGGATAAGCTTCCTGAGATAAAGCTGATGAGAACTATAGTGAACTCACGGGCTCTCTCTTGCAGGCCGGAACTTCCCTCACAGGTGTACTCAGCATTTTTGGTTGAAGCTAAAGAGTCACAATTTGCCATCACATCTGTTTTCTCCTGCATGGCTGGCCAGGCTCTGGGTTTCCAGAGCAGCCCACTGCAGTGTACAAATGTTATCACGTTCTTTGTCATTGTTCAGAAAAGATGGAAATACTACTAAGGTTAGAAGTCATCAAAGCTTCTTGAATTGAAACATGAACAGGACCAGCTATATTACTTGCCAGCCCCAGTGCAAAATAAAAATGCAGGCCTTTGTTCAGAAATCATTAGACATTTCAAAATGCAATAGCAAGGCATAAACCAGCTGAGGGGTCCTTCTAAGCAGGGGTCTTATGTAACTTCACACCCATGAGGCTGACTCTGGCCATGAAAGAAGGATTTGCTTGCAAATCAAAACCATAGTGTGATACCATCTTACTCCTGCAAGAATGGGCCATAATCAAAAAATAAAAAAATAATAGATGTTGGTGTGGATGCGGTGAACAGGGAACACTTCTACACTGCTGGGGGGAATGTAAACTAGTACAACCACTATGGAAAACAGTGTGGAGATTCCTTAAAGAACCAAAGGTAGAACTACCATTTGATCCAGCAATCCTCACTACTGAGTGTTTACCCAGAGGAAAAGAAGTCATTCATTATACAAAAAAGATACTTGCACATGCATGTTTATAGCAGCACAATTCACAATTGCAAAAATGTAGAAGCAAACTGTATACCCATCAATCAACGAGTGGCTAAAGAAACTGTGGCACATATATATATATATGTATATGATGGAATACTACTCAGCCATAAAAAGGAATGAATTAATGGTATTTGCAGCAACCTGGATGGGATTGGAAACTATTATTCTAAGTGAAGTAACTCAAGAATGGAAAACCAAGCATCATATGTTCTCACTCATAAGTGGGAGCTAAACTATGAGGATGCAAAGGCATAAGAATAACACAATAGAGTTTGGGGACTCAGGGGAAAAGGGCGGGAAGGGAGTGAGGGATAAAAGATTACAATTCGGGTTCAGTGTATACTGTTTGGGTGTTGGATGCACCCAAATCTCACAAATCATCACTGAAGAACTTACTCATGTAACCAGATACCACTTGTCCCCCTAAAACTTACAGAAATAAAAAAAATAAGAAAAGAAAGATTTGCTGAAGATGAATATGAAGGTTTTGAATGGGTGGGGGTATGTTAGGGGGTCAGGTGGAAGGCTACTGCAATAATCCAGGAAGGCAGAGGTGAGGAGTCTCTTGGCTAAGATAGCTTTTTGGGAGATCAAAGGGAGGAAAAAGACGAACCTAAGGGATGATACATGCTCAGAGCCGGGGGGATGCTTCTGGGTCTTTCCAGGCTTAGAGCAGAGGGAGGCATCAGGAGGGCCCCCCGAGGAATCCAGGAGACTATTCGTGTGTTACTGACATCGTACTGGGAGTTGCATCAGGCAGGAATGACTAGAATTCAGCAGAGATGAGAGTTACTGCAGGCATTTTACTCCACAAAGGAATCACGTACAGATACCAGATTGTTGCCTAACAACTTTATGGCTTTAGAGAGGAATATGGATGTAAAAGGCAGTGGGAGAGAAGTCAAATCCTCAGATGCTCCCAGGGGCCCGGTGGTTGCCTGAATGTGTGAGGATGAGGAGCAGGTGGACTGTGACACAATCCTGGCTGTCCAAAAGTGACAGCCACTGGACAGCTCCAGCCTGTCATGGTTACATGAGAACACAGGGGCAGGGTATCCAGAGCTTCAGATTTTTAAAGCGAAGCCAAAGATTAAGAACTATGAAACCTCTCCCAATTTTTAACTGTTGGCAAGTAAGTTAGATTTTTTAAAATAAATACAGTAAGCCACAGCAAACATATCCGTAAGCCAGATCTGGCTCGTGGGACTCAGGTTACAATCTTGGTACAGGATTCTGTGAATAGAGCTGGGGCCGAGTTCCAATCCTGCCTCCACCTCTTAACTAGCTGTAGTCCTCAGGCAGAGGCTTTCTAAGCCTCATTTTTCTGTAGAATGGGAATAATTGCAGTATCTACCTCTCAGGGTAGTGGTGAGGGTTCAATGGCATCTTCTAGGTAAAGCACTGAAGCCAACATCTTCATACAGAAGTTAAATAAATGTTGGCTGTCACTGTTCTTACCCATTTACTGCATGCCCAGTTCCTCACGTGTGCACTTTATATATTCCACTTTATTTTATGCTCACAGTCGCCCTGTCCCAAAGGCTTTATTATAGAATACCTATTTCCCAGAGGTGGGTTAGAAATGAGGGGTATAGACAATAACCTCACTTGCTTCATATCATTCTCTATGTGTGAGCAAGAATTCAAATCTTGTTATTTCTGTCTCCGAAGGTGTTGCTTTCTAAACAGTATCTCTTACCCTGTATTGCCTCTAGTATTTCCTACTGGAGGTTTCTAGAAAGAATGTTCTAACAAATGGTATTTTTCAAAGAAAATTTTAATAACAAAGCAAACTCCAAAAAGAAAAAAAGGGCTCCTCCCCGCCCCACATACTGAAGTGTGCATGCACACGTGCGCGCACACACCCAGCCACCCACATACACACATATGCACGCGTACACACATGCGTGCTCAAAGCAAGCATAAGAAAAGCTGCCAGTACATTTTCCCCTATCTGATGGACTGTTAAATAACACTGTTTCGGGGAATACATTATCCTTTGTGTTTTCCCAATCCCACGGGACAATTATTGCATTTTTATTCCGCCTCAAAGGTGAAGGAGTTGACAGTATAATGAATAAGGGACCTTCGTACAGGCCCTGAGGCGACAGATTAACAGGTAGGACCCTAATGCCTTTATTGAGCAGACAAACTCCCTTGGGTCCACTCAAGAGTGGTGACAGGTGTCAGAGCCAGGCGTGGGGCCTTAGGGCCTCTGTGTCCTGAAAGGCAATTAGATATTTGCTCAGTGGCCTACACTTCATGTATATGCTCTAGTCGTGCAAACTGATCATTCCATCTCCCTCTTTTACTCAGGGGCTTTAGACTCTAGAGCCCTCTGCCCAGGATCTTCCCGCAATCAACATTTCTTTTCTTAACAAAAAAAGAAAAGACTTGCATTATTAGTAAGTCTGAAACTAGCAGGAATTTTAACTTGTTCCTGAAACAAATTCTAGGGCATTCGAATTGAGAGTGGAATTAGGGTAGGGGTGGGGGGAGATCCCAGCTGGGCAAGCCAGAATGATGAAATTCATGGCAAACAGCTTTGTTTGATTCTTTTGACTATGGCCAAGCCAGTAGGGCTGAGAGCATGATGTTCTCAGTAACAGCCTTGACAATAACATGATTTGTTTCTCTTCCAAAGCCGAAAATGGCATCTCTGCCTGCAAAGGGGAGCTTTCTTCTGAACCTGTGGGATGAGAGGGCTGCTTTCGTCCTACAGAGTAGGAAACGAAGGCATTAGGCAGAGCAGACTGGAATTGAAATGTCATCCGGCAATAACACTTGCCTAAACAATACATGTTTTATTTTATTTTATTTTGGACTCTTTTCATGGGTAGGATTTCAGACTAAGATGTTCCTTCCCCTTTCCTAACCACCAGATTGAAACTGAATATTACCTTGGTCCAGGGAGCACAATACCTGTGTTATTTCTGTGTGGTTTTCTTTTCTTTACCTTTTCTGGATTCTTTCAGGGAACTGGGAGGATGTAAAGTAAGCCTCAGTGCATTCTCAACAGTGAAAACTGAAAGCTTGTAGGCATTTATGCCACTAAGAAAAATAATTGGTGCAGTTAGCTAGCAGTTTATAATAATCGCAAGTGATTGCAAATCTCCTGTTCTGCAAACATTTCTACAGACAGAAGCAAGTGACAGTTCCTTTACTTTCTTCATCAGTGGAAAGCATAGATTAACCTCAACTCTGGCCAAAGTGATGCTCTAGTGCTGCAGGGAAAAAAACAAGTCAACAAAACATGTGATCCCTGCCCCTACTGAACTTCTAGTATAGTGCAAGAACAAGGTGCACACAGTAGCATGCATGCACACACAGATGGTAGAGGCAAGTCTCCAAATACGTGCATTGCACAAGTTTATTTCTAAGTCAATGGTTTGAACTCACATTGCATCTGCCAATATAAATTGTACTATAAGGGTTAAGTAGGTTCTTAGGCCGGCAAACCACAGCCAATCTGCTTCTTCAAACAAGTGTAGGATTTGTCCACCTTTTATAACTTTGTCTCTGTGGACAAAGGTATTGATTGATTCCCATGGTGTTCATAGCAAAATCCAGAGCCACCAAGTCACCGTCCTGCAGGAGGGAGTGTCTCCCCCTTGTTTCTTTTGCATGAATTCTGTTTTCTTAAGGGTTTCAGTGGGAATGAGAAGATGATACTTGGCCATTGGTGGGAGTATTGAGCAGTAGGTGGCTTAGGTGGGAATGGGAAATCAGGGAGGCATTCAGGGAGTGGCTCATCTTTAGGAAGAAATTTAAATCTTAGCCATGGCACTTATTAGTTATGGGGCCTCAGGTAACACCTTCTTGGTGAGACTTTTTATTTTCTTTCTTTCTTCTTCTTCTTCTTCTTTTTTTTTTTTTTTTTAAAAAAGAGATGATATCTTGCTCTGTCACCCAGGCTGGAGTTAAGTGGTGCAATCATAGCTCACTGCACCCTCCAACTTCTGGGCTCAAGGGATCCTCCTGCCTCAACTTCCAAAGAAGCTGGAATTACAGACTCACACACTGAGCCCAGCTACAGGGAATCTTTGAAGCTCAGTTTTCTCATCTGGAGAATAGGAACAGCAATAATAATAAGTGAGGCTTCCCTCACAGGGTTGTTGTGAAGATAAGGACAGCACCTCATACTATTCTCCGTCTCATTGTTGGCATTTAGTAAGTATTGAATCTGGATCTGTTAGAGAAAGAGACAGCATGTACAAAGGTATCAGCAGGTACAAATACATTGAATGCAAACTGTTTATATACAGACTGAGAGACAGGTATGGAATTGTTTGGATATGAACTAATTTGGGGGCAGTAGATAAAGCTAACCAGGTCAGTTCTGGAAAAATTATATGTGGATGAACCTCTGTAGGGCAAATCTTTTAGGACAGCAATAGCCAGGCTTGGTGGGTTCTTCATGAGGGTTTGGGTTTGGTCAGCACTTTCATGTGGGGCTCTTGGCTCTGCTTCTGTTCCTGTTAAGAGAGGACCAGCTCTACCTGTCTAGGGTTGCAAGATTTAGCAAGTAAAAATACAAGATGCTCAGTTAAATAAACAATAAATAATTGTTTAGTATAAGTATATCCTATTCAGTACTTGAGATATACTTATCCTAAAAAAATCCATTTTTTGATCTGAAATGGAAATGTAACCAGGTGTCCTCTTGTATTTGGCAATGATTCTCTTGTCATCTCAAGGTCTAAGGGGACAAGAACAGAGCTCAACAGGATACTCCACACTGATGTCTTGGGGGAAGAGGACTTACCTATGCTCCGGGTGGCCGTTTTTCAGGAAAAACAGTGAGTGTGGTGCCGAGTGACACAAAGAAATTTCTGTTGTCAAGAAAGTTCTGTCACCTGCACTCTCCTTAGCTCTTCTCTTTGGATCAGGGACTCTCCTTGAACAAACAGCAGGACTGATGGCCCTGGACTGTGGTAGCCTCGGGACTTCAGCCTCAGAGGGAGACTGCTTCCTGCCCTGGCTAAGGATCTAAATGCAGTCACATGTGACCGTAGGTCAGGAGTTTGTCTAGGTTCCCAGTGGTTCACCGCCTCAGAGTCAAGCCTTACAGCATCAAATCCACTGCCCCCTTCAGTGCCACCATCTTTATGTCTCCCTGATGGATACTCAGCCTACACATGGGGACCTTTCATTGGTCCTTTGCTCTGTGGAGATGGAGCTTTGTGAATTCTTCCCACAACAGCATGGCTTGAAGAGAAAGATATAAAGGGGAAAAGAGAACCTTGAAAGTACACAAATAATGGTATCACTGACAGAAGTGTGGAGGGAGGTGATATTAGGAGAAGTGCAAAATTTTAATCTTACACAGTGGATGGTAAACCAATGCTGTCTAAAGTAGATGGAACAAGATCCAAATACATAATTTACAGTGATGTGCATAGCCAATAGGAAAACCTAAAAAGAATAAGAAAACTAATCAAACTCAAGAAATGGGCTGTATGAAAGCCCAAAGAGAGTGTAAGGGAGATTCATTCTTCATCTTTTAGAATAGGGAGAAAAAAAAAACTATAAAAGAGTTTATACATAAAGATATGTAGTGTACCAGTTAGCTTTTGATAGGTTATATTGAGGCAACAACTGATTCCCACATATTAAAAGCATACTTTTTCCCCCCCCTTAGTCCTCCTGTCTGTGGCTGTGACAGCCAGGCTTCAAGATGGCCCTAGTGATCCTTGCCTCTTGGCATGCACACCCTTCTGTTGTCCCCTCCCACATGGCACTAGAGTTGGTATTCTACAACCAACAGAATACAACACAATACTACAGAAGTGATGAGATACCATTTCTCAGATTAGGTAATAAAAGACACTGTGGCTTCCATCTTGAGCACATGCTATCTCTCTCTTTCTTGGATCACTTATTTTGGAGGAAATCAGTTGCCATGTTGAGCAGCTCTATGGAGAGCCCCATGTGGTGAGAACTGAGACCTCCTGATAACAACTAGCAAGAAATTGAGGCCTCCTGCAGATGTCCACACAAGGGAGTCATATTGGCAGCAGATGCCTGAGCCCCAGTCAAGCCTTCAAATGGCTGAAGACCCATTGGCGGCTTGACTGCAACCTTATGAGATCCTGAGCCAGAATCACCCTACTAAGTTGCTTCCAGATTCTTGACCTTCAGAAATTTTGTGAGAGAGTAAATAGCTTTATGTAAGCTGCTGTTCAATTTTAGGGTGATTTGTTTTGCAGCAATAGCTAACTAATACATGGCTGTGAGTTTGCTGAGACTGCTCCACAAAACATATGAAACCCAGGCTGGAAGAGCAGCTCCTCGGACATCTGTTCTCATGGCAGAGGAAAAGAGTCGGAAGGGAGTGGAAGCCCACAATGGCTTTAGGCTTTCTGCTTAGAACTGGCATACATGACTTCTGCTCACATTTCACTGGTCAGAGTGAGTCACAGGGGTGTGTCTGTTTATGGAGTGGCAGGTATATTCCTTCCACTTCTTCCAGAAGTGCATCCTTCCAGAAGGCACTGCCCAGCCAACAATGAGGAAAGAGGCATTCCTCTTTACTGGGAAAAGGGGTATCAATAACTGGAAACTGTAATACATTTTATCCCAAGAGGCATGATTTATTTGCAAATCTATGCATAAAATATCTCCGGAAACATACACAGGAGGATACTAATATTGGAAGAGAACTTAGTATCTATGAAATAAGGATGGGAAGGAGATTTTTCTCTATATGCCTTTTTGAACCATCCAGGTAAATATAGTACCTACTTAAAAATGCTTACTTTAAATTGAACCGTGAAGTGGAAGACATGAGCCTTCTGTTTTGAATTATGCTGCCTGCAGACACTTGGAGAAGCAGCAGTTACTTACGGAGACTGCAGTGAGGGTAAGGCAGGAGCAACGAGGAGCTGTGATGTTTTCTTTAGGTTGTGTTAGTTATTTTTAAAAAATAAAATAAACGTTTGCTTCTAGGAAGATGGAGTAAATGTACTTTTCCCTATTTCTTCACTAAATACAACTAAAATCCCTGGATATTCGATCTAAAACAAACATGAGATGTTTCTGAAAGGTGGGGAGAAGGAGGCGTTAGCAGCTAGGGATCTCAGGACCTGTGAAATGACATGGTGGTGAGTTCCCTGAGTTTTCCTTTTGCTTCATTTATCCCAGGCTTGGAGCTGAGGAAGCCAGCTCAGCTCCAAGCCTGAGAAAGCCTTTCTGAGAACCCAGAAAGGCTAACAGGAGCAGACCCCTGACCCCTGAAAAAAGCCCCAAGGAAAGCCTGCTCTCTCTAGCCAAATGAAGACGGAAGGGGCAGTCTAGAAAGACAGACTTTTAGCCAATAACTGCTCTGCTGTATTTTAGCCAAACACCTTAGAAAAAACTGTGGTCCCACCCCTACCCATGCCAGCGAAGGCCCGATGGAGAACCTACACTTCCCCTTCTGTGAGGCTGTATTGAGGAACCCCCATCCCCCAGTGCAGTACTGTCAGAGAAGACCATGTAGGGAACTAGGACTTGCATCTCTGGCCTGTACAAAAGTCTCCCACTCCCCACCAACAGTGTCAGTGGAGATTATATGGGGAGCCCAACTCCCATCTTCACCCAGCAGTAACAAGGAGCACCCATCTCTGGTGCTTATACAGGCTGAGTGATGGACCTGGATTTCTAGCTCCATTTGGCAGTAACAAGGAGGTGACTTCCATCCCCCACCCACCATCTGTCCAAAGCAGGGTCAGAAGAAGCCAGATAAAAACAGGTTTAGATAAGATCCAAAGTCTTGTAACGTATTTTGATATACAGCTTTTTACTGGTTTCCTATAACTGCTGGAACAAATTACTGTTAACCAAGTGGCTTAAAATAACAGAAATTTATTCTGTCCCAGTTCTGAAGGCCAGAAGTTTAAGTCAAGGTATTGGCACTCAAGCCCTTTCTTCAAAGGCCCCAGGGGAGAATCCTTTCTTGCATTTTCCAGCTTCTGGTGGCTGTCAGCATTCCTTGGCTTGTGGCCTCACCACTCCAATCTCTGCCTCCATGATGATCACATGGCCTCCTCCTCTGTTGTCTGCTTCTGTGTGTCTCTTATAAGGACACTTTTTGCTGGATTTAGGTCTCACTTGGATAATCCAGGACGATCTCATCTCAAAGTCCATAAGTTAGTTACACTGGCAAAGATCCCTTCTCCAAATGAGGTCACATTCACTGGTTTCAGAGATTATGACATGTATATATTTTTGGAGCTACCACCATTCCACCCACTATAAGGCTTAGCCCAATTCTATCAAAACCTTGGCAGGAGTTTTGTAGACATAGACAAGATTATTCTAGAATTTATATGGGAAGGCAAAAACTTTAGAATGGCTAAAAGAATTTTGAAAAGGAAGAATAAGAGGAATCAATCTATCAGATTTCAAGACTTATTAAACAGTTGCAGTTATCAAGACTATATGGCCAGGTGCAGTGGCTCACACCTGTAATCCCAGCAGTTTGGAAGGCTGAGGTGGGCAGATCACTTGAGGTCAGGAGTTCAAGACCAGACTGGCCAATGTGGTGAAACCCCATCTCTACTAAAAATACAAAAATTAGCCAGGCGTGGTGTTGCACACCTGTAATCCTAGCTACTCAGGAGGCTGAGGCAGGAGAATCACTTGAACCCAGGAGGCAGAGGTTGTAGTGAGCCGAGATCGCGCCACTGCACTCCAGCCTGGGCAAGAGTGTGACTCCATCTCAGAAAAAAAAAAAAAAAAAAAAAAAAAAGACTATATGATAGTGGTGGAGAGATAGACACATGGATCAATGCAACAGAGCACAGAACCTAGAAATAGACCCACACAAATATTCTCTACTGGTTTTTAACAAAAGGTTAAAAAAAAAAAAGCAAGAAAGATGGCTCTGGAGCCATATCCATAGGCAAAAATTGAACCTCAATCTAACTTTCACACTTTACACAGAATTAATACAAAATGAATTACAAACTTAAATGTTAAATGTACAACTATAAAACTGTTAGAAAAAAATAGGAGAATGTTTTTAGGATACAGGGCAAAGAGTCATTAGACTTGATACCAAAAGTACAATCCATAAGAGGAAAAATTAATTAATTAGAAATGTCAAAATTTTGCTCCATGACAGACCCTATTAAGTGGAAGAAAAGACAAGATACATAGTGGGAGAAAATATTTGCAGACCACGTATCTGACAAAGGACTAATATCTGAATATACAAAGAACTCTCACAATTGAACAGTGCAAAAATCAAACAACGCAGTCAGAAAACGGGCAAAAGATATGAAGAGATATTTCACCAAAGAGGAGAGATAAATGGCAATAAGCACATGAAAAGATATTCAATATCAATGGCCATTAGGGAAATGCAAATGAAGACCACAGTAAGATATCACTATCCAGCTAGCTGAGCTAAAATAAAAAATAGTGACAGCACCAAATGCTGGTGAGGATGCAGAAAAACTGGGTGATTTATACATTGCTGGGGGGAATATAGAATAGTTCAGACACTCTGAAAACAGCTTGGCAATTTCTTAAAAAAAACTAAAGATGCAACTACTGTATAAGGCAGCAATCATACCCCTAAATGTTCATCCTAGATAAATGAAGATTTATGTTCATACAAAAATCTGCACATGAATGTTGATTGTAGCTTTTTTGTAGTAGCAAAAACTGGAAACAACGCAGATGTTACTCAAAGAGTGAATGGTTAAGCAAACTGGGATACATCTCTACCATGGAATACTACTTAGTAATAGAAAGGAACACACTACTGACACGTGCAACAAACCGGATGAATCTCCAGGGAATTATGCTGAGTGAAAAAAAAAAAAAAAAAGATCCCAAAAGGTTATATACAGCATGGTTCCATTTATATAACAGTCTAGAAATGACAAAATTCTAGAAATGGAGAACAGATTCGTGGCTGCCAGGGGTTAAGGAGAGGGTGCCGGGGTTAATTAGTGGATGTGACTCTGAAAGAGCGATCTAAGGCATTGATGTCTAAGGCATTGATGCCAAAAGCTGGTTGTGATGTTGTGCCATAGCTTTGCAAGATGTTACCACTGAAGAGAACTTGGTAACGAGTAAAGAGGATTGTCTATATTATTTCCTGTAATTGCATGAGAATCTACAATTGTCTCAAAAGAGTTGAATTAAGAAATCTGAAGCAAACTTTAAAGACTATGTTTTTGTATTGCTTTCAAAACTAAAAAGAAAATAAGTGACCTACGGGGAATATATATTTAACACAAATTACAAAGGATTAATATTATTATTATTATTATTATTATAACGCGACCTTTATGTGATTAAGAAAAGAGCAGACAACTCAATAGAAAAGTAAGAAAACGCTACAAACAAGGAATTCTGAAACTAAGAAATGCAAGTGGTCAGCCATAGCGTGACCATAAGCCCTCACTGACCCTCCAGTCAGCACTCACTTCTACTCTTAAAATACTCCAGATTGGACAATAAATGATATGATCGTCTTACTAATATACCAATAAAAAGATGTTTACCTTTGTAAGTAGTGAAAGAAACGTGAACAGTTATTGTTTTTCCCTATCAGCTGTTGAAGAATAAAGGTTTGCTAATTCTCACTGTTGCAGCAGTGTAGGAAAGGTATATGCTTATGCTGTCCTGATGAGCCTATAAATAGACTCAGCTTTTTGGGAGGGTGATTTTCAACATGTTTTTAAAAACCTTTAAAAAGTGTATTCCCATGAACAGCAATTCCATTTCTAGAAAATGAGACAAGTATACAAAGATGAACGTTCAAAGATTTTCATTGAAATGCTATATATGCATTGAAAAGAAACCAAGCAGCAAATGTTCGTTAATTAGGGATTATGGACAGAATGCTTATATAAATAATGGCACACACATACATGTATATTTGATGAAATATTATGAAGCCATCATACACACACACACACACACACACACACACACACACACACACACACACAGGAAGCATATACCAGACATTAATGTTGCCATATCTTGGTAAGTGGGATACTTGTTAAATGCTTACTTGCTTCTTTATTCTATCCTATATTTTCTAAATTATTTTCTTTTTTCTTTTTATATATATATATTTTTATTATACTTTAAGTTCTAGGGTACATGTGCACAACGTGCAGGCTTGTTACGTATGTATACATGTGCCATGTTGGTGTGCTGCACCCATCAACTCGTCATTTAGCATTAGGTATATCTCCTAATGCTATCCCTCCCCCCTACCCCCACCCCACAACAGGCCCCGGTGTGTGATGTTCCCCTTCCTGTGTCCAAGTGTTCTCATTGTTCAATTCCCACCTATGACTGAGAACATGCGGTGTTTGGTTTTTTTGTCCTTGCGATAATTTGCTGAGAATGATGGTTTCCAGCTTCATCCATGTCCCTACAAAGAACATGAACTCATCATTTTTTATGGCTGCATAGTATTTCATGGTGTATATGTGCCACATTTTCTTAATCCAGTGTATGGTTGTTGGACATTTGGGTTGGTTCCAAGTCTTTGCTATTGTGAGTAGTGCTGCAATAAACATACGTGTGCATGTGTCTTTATAGCAGCATGATTTATATTCCTTTGGGCATATACCCAGTAATGGGATGACTGGGTCAAATGATATTTCCCAAATTATTTTCAAAAGGCATATACTGTTTGTATAATCATGATACAGCAAATCTGTTTTTAAAGGATCAAGAAAATTATACCTAGAGGATCAAGGTAACTTCAAGGAGATGAAGTGAAGCAAGAAAACTCAGTGTCACTTAGGAAAGTGGCCTTGAGGATGTGGAAATTGATTCGGCATCTAAGAATATTGTTAGGGATGGGCCTAGCCAGCTTGAAAAATATCGTCACCTTACTGTTCTGTGTTTGAATGCAGTGACTCTGCATTCAAAATGAGAACATGAGATAGGTATTTTGTAAACAATAACATGTAATGAAAATGTTGGTATAATTATTAAAAGTGGCCTCTCCATGGAGCTGAGGTAGGATTTAAGGGCTGCTCTGAAACTGATGAGCAAGTTGGATTGTGAACCAGATCCCCAGCCCTCAGTTTATGCTCACCCTTTGGCCGTCCTTGGGTGTCACGCTGAGATGCCACGTAGTGTGGTACCAGAAGCAAAGATTTGGGCAATGTTTAAAACATGGGCTCAAATTCTGATGGACCCATTTGCTACCTTAGAAAACCTGGGCAGATTGCTATAATTCCCCATGGTGCTTCATTCACTTAAAATTGAAGAAAATAATGATTCTCATGTTACAGGAGTGTTCTGAGGATCCAGTGACACAGGGCATGTGGAAGGGCTTTGTCAGTGCACATCTGCAAAGCTCAGCTATGATTATCAGAGAGGCAGTATCCATAGTAGGAAGAGCATGGGTGCTCCAGTTAGAAGCCAGAGTGGCCGCTTTGTAGTCACATGAACTAGATAAGTTACTTAAACTCTAAACTTTTGTTTTCTTGTCTGTAAAATAAATATAACAGCTTCCTCATAGTGTCTTCCATGAAAACCAAGTGAGATAGTGAGGGAGAGAAGAAAACTCACATTTATTGAGTACCTGCTTTGTGTCAGGCACAAACTAGGTGCTCTTCTATGACAGTAAGCAAACAAATATAAGGCATATTTTCCCCCAAAGTATCCTTTGATATAGACAGCTTTGCCTTACACTCAGGTCCTTACAATGTTTCTTATATTATGGGATGTTCTCTGTTATTCTATTTTATATTTTTCAGTTTTATTTGAGACAGGGTCTTGCTCTGTTGCCCAGGTTGGAGTGCAGTGGTGTGTTCATGGCTCCCTGCAACTTTGGCCTTCTGGGCTCAAGCGATCCTCCTGCTTCAGACTTCAGGGTAGCTGGGACTGCAGGTGCACACCACCACGCCCAGCTGATTTTTAAATTTTTTGTAGAGACGAGTTCTCACTGTATTAGCCAGGCTGATCTCGAACTCCTGGGCTCAAGTGATCCTCTCACTTTGGCCTCCCAAATTGCTGGGATTATAGGTGTGAGCCACTGCGCCCAGCCAATTATTTTAATTTGGAACAACAAAGTACCATTTGGGGAAGGCATACGAGAACAAAATGACTCAATGGTGCTGATTTTGGACACATGGAGGTAATCAGGTGGGACCTGTAAAACAGGAGGCCTAAGCACCAAATCAGAAGCAACACTCCAGGGTGGTGAGCCAGCCCATGAGGAGCCTGATCATGAACCAGAATCTGCAGGGGCGTTATTTAGCATTCCCCACATCTTCAGTGAAATCACTTCTTTGGTAATATGAATATTGTCAAGACTGGGAGTAGTTAGAAATATTGCTTTGCTCTCCTTTATGAACAAGGCACAATAAGGTGGTAAACCTAGAACCACAGTCAGCCCATGACCCTCTGTCCCTTCCTTCACAGAGGACCCTCTTGCCTGATCCCACCCAGAACTGTCCAGTGCTGTCCTAGAACTATCACGACATCTGCCCCAGCTGGAGTCTTCAATGCATGGTGCTTGCTGGAGTGGCTAGGCCAGAGTGGGTCTTCCCCAAACTGCCGAACAAGTTGAATGAGTGTATTTGTGCTTCCTTGCCAATATGCATCTATATGTCATATGGAGTTCAATTAGACATTTTTGAGGTCATAGGGAAGGGATTTATAGTTCCCCAGAAGTCTCTAACCTCAAGAGGTTAATAGTAGTTGTAAAAAGAACCTGAAATTTTCTGAAAGGCTGAATTTGCTTAAGTCAGAAAGCAGCACTGTCTGTTTCTCCCCCAAGACTATAAACTCCTTTAAAGGTAGGGATCATGATATTTTAGCTTCTTTCAAATGCCTAGTATTTGTACTAGCTTTGTACAAAAGTAAATATAGGAAGCAGATATGTTTACTGACTAAAAGTGTGGGATTTGGAATAAAATTTCCTATGTTCTAACCCTGGCTTTTGCATACAGTGAGAGACTTTGGGGAACTTACTTAAGCTCACTATGCCTCAGTTTCCTCCTCTGTAGAATGTGAGTGGTAACAACAGTACCCACTTCATAGAGTCATTGTGGATATTAATAGATATGTAGAGCTCAGAACAGCATGTGACCTTCAATAAAGGTTAGTTATTCTCAATAAGTAGGTGTAAAATGTTTGTTATGTAAATGAATAGTAGTAATATAGAGTTCTGGCAATTGCTCAAGAGCTCTGTTCGGGCCAGCTATTATTGTGCAATTAGTTGCCATAAATCTGTTACCACTTCCAAGATATGTATCCCTGTCAAGAAATCCACCTGCACCTCACACTAAGCCACCGCTGGCAGGGTTGGAAGGAATCTGCACAGCCAGCCTCTCTGTCTCTGGTTCCTGCTTCTCACAAGACAGCAGAATGCTTTCTGGGAAGGCCACCAGGAATCCAATCCCAACTCATTCATAATGGGTCCTATTTTTTCCTCACCAAGTGACCTCCCCACCAGGATGTTGGTGATGACAATGGGTAGACATTCTTCTTTGCTCCATTGCATCTCATTACTTAACTCTCCTCCTTCCCCAGCTATGCTAAGTGATGCCCAGAATGTGAACCTGAATTTGGTTTCTGTCAACTCTTGGAAGAGGCTTTTCACATTAGAACTGGGTTTGGCAATGCTTCTGTGGTTAGGCTAACATGTGGTGTGCTTGTATAGTTTGCAGCATCATATGGGTTTGTACACGTCCAGAAGCACCAGCACATGCACACAGGATCCACATGGAGTGGTGTACATACCCTATTGCACGTACACACGTTCACACCCCTTCTCTTCTTCACACAGTGTTCAGACTTATCCTGAAAAGACCTGACATAGCGACCAAGGTGTGGGGCCTTGGAGCGCAATCCACTTTAATTCATTCATCCTGTTGCTTCACACTGTTTTGAAGACCCAGGGCCCCTACCCTGATGTTTATTCTCTTCCTGTCACCCACTTGGCTCCCATCCTTTCCTCCTCCACCCCTGGGGAGGTTCTGCCCTGCGGTACAAGGCTGGGGTGTGTGTGTGTGTGCTCAGTGTGATGACTCGCTCTAAATGCAGCCTTCAGGCCCTTTGTGTCCCACCAGGAGGGTGTCAGGGCATGGTCCTCCCATGCTGACAGTCCACCCATTAGCCCTGGGCTGTGATGGTGAGGATAGGTATAGGGGAAGGAACATTCCAGACTTGAGGGCTGAGATTCTATCTTCTCAGGGCTGACTTCTTTACTCTGGTTGCTGCTTGTCTTAGGAGACCGTGCCCCTAAAACCCCTAAGCATTTAGAGGCTGCTGCCTCCCATATCCTGGAAATAGTCCAGCTTGTTAGGCAAATCCCTGAGATGGCTGGTGTTGCATGCCGAGAGAGCAAATAGAAGCATGGTCTCCATGAGGAGGAGGAAAGGTATCTCCTCCTTGTCTAAGATGGTGACAACATGGCCTTCACACACAGAGGAGGCAATTTAACAGTTGGTGTCTATGGCTACTTCAGTGTGTCTCTATAAATAGAGAGCTTTCCAGAAAAACCTTCCTAGTGAATTTTCTT
Organism: Homo sapiens; assembly: GCF_000001405.40. Lineage (NCBI taxonomy): Eukaryota > Metazoa > Chordata > Mammalia > Primates > Hominidae > Homo > Homo sapiens. The sequence continues at coordinate 44,198,562 of NC_000013.11, read as the reverse complement.
ATCAGTCCCTTAAATAGTGTTGACTGAGAGGGAGAAGCAAGGCTATATTAGCTTTTCACCAGTAAGTGAAAGGCATGGCTGATAAATGAGGCAAGGGAGATGTTAGTGAGGTTGAGTAGGTGAACTCTCCACCAGAGAGCAATGAGGGATATTGTTTAAGAGCTGTGGACTCTTTCATCTTGCATGTATATTTTTCCCCAACTAATTATGCACTGGCTTTGGCAAAGAGAATGGATAATTCAGGTAAGACATGTTTGTATTCTGGTTGTCAAGGAGACAGGGAATCCATTTGCTTAGCTTAATGCACAGGTACACTTAGTAAGCACACCCAGCATTTAGATTTCTGGACTTTTACCAAATCTCTACATCTCTGCCCCAAATCTATCTTGAGTTTAGTCATTGTGGCATATTCTCTTCATGTTTCTCTTATCTCTATCACTCCCTCAGCCTATGAAACTGCTGACATAAAATGAAATCCTTTGTGGTGAGAGAGTTTCAGCCAGCAGGAGACTCTGCCCAATGTTGGCAAGCCCCTAGAATGACAGACAGCAAAGAGAACATCTACAGCTCAGCTCCCAGCACCCTTTCCTCAGCCCACAGATCAGCTGGTTCAAAGGACAAGTGACTTACATGGAGTGATGTGGTTGTAAAAGGCTGGAGGGAAAGGGGCTTGGAGCCAGAGGGGAACATGCTGGACTTGAGGGCAAGAAGGCTGAATCATAGATGTTGTTTGGATAAGACAACATTGAGTGTTGTCAAATGCAGGTCAGAAAGTGACAAATGTGGAATTCTGACTAGGAAGGGAGAGAGGATGAGATGTGAGGAAACATGGCAGCAAAGTGTCTTGGATCCAGGTGCTGAGATGACAAGGTTTGCCTGGCAGGATGGTGGGAAAAGTTATGGGACCAGCTAGGTGAGCCTGGCCAGCTGTTCTGTTTCTCCTGGGATCTCTTGTGGAGACTGTTTTGCTTCAGTCAATGGGTAAACTACTACAGAGCCATAACTAGACTCCTTGTGAGTGTTCCCCAGGCCTCATTAGCCTTAGACCCAAGTGAGACGGACGACTGCAGACCAGATTTTGCTTGCCCAGCTGCATGCCCCTGTGGGACTTTGGTCCTCCCTTCACAATACGAGCCCCTCCCCGCCCCAGTATCTCTGAGAGTTCCAAGGCTCTGTCTCCTGTGCTCAGTGGTCAGCTCGGCTGTATAGCCACTGCATCCTAACTTTGTGGTCTGCTCTTTTAAAGGGTCTCACACGAAGTTGCTTGGACTACAGAAGTTTTGTGGATCAGGTTTGAGTTACATGTAATCCTTTCTCTTCAGGACACACTCAGCCATCACCAAAATGGATAGTTAGGAGGAAGCCCAACAAAAGCCACACCTCTCTCTCTCCCATTATCTTCCTTCTCTGGGATCCAACCTCCTTAAGGAGACACACCATTTTCATTTCTTCCAGTTGGCCTTCTTTTGTCTTCTCCTCCCCCATTACAGTTCACCAGTTGAGGAGGCACGTTCAGCAAATATATTGTTGCAGATGAATAAATCAACAAATACAGATATATTCTGAAAATTTGGCATAAATGAGAGGAGCAGATGAAGCGTCAGGCACAGAAAGCCCCCCAGGAGAGGTAAGTCGGGTCAGACGGAGAAGGCTCTGAGGGCTGATGTTATTGGAGATGGGGAAGGTAGATGACCTAGGTGCTTCCATAGCAACCTGGGCTTTCCTCTGAATCACCTGCCATAGTGATGGGACTTTGTTATTGCTCTTTCAGCTGTCTTGCACTAATCTAGGAGCATCAGAGACTGAAGTTTTAATCTCTGTATTCCCAGAACCCAGCTCATTTCCTGATATGGGACAGGTGTTCAAAACACAGAAGAATAGCTCAGGAAAAGATCTGGAGGCAACACAGGCAAATCACAGGCCAGGGGCAGTCAACAACGCTGCTTGGTTTAGAGTGATAGATACATGTAGGGAAATGACAGTTAGCCTTGAGTGCTGAGATTTTACTCAACAATGAGTCAGAAGCCAAAATCAATCCTGGAGTGTGGATCTGACAACAGGGCTTGAGAATTAATTTTTAGGTGTTGTATGTGTTGTGGGGCACAGGGAGGGAGACAGGAAAAAAGAGGCTGTGGGTTGAGGAACCCACCAATGAGGTGCTGCAGGAAGTCAGTGTGAGACAAGGGAGGTCAGGGCTGGAGGGGTACTTAGGGGACTAAAAGGGAGGAGCAGAGGGTAGGGTGAATGAGCAGGAATGAAAGCTGGATTGTATGAAAGACTCAGAGAGTGGGTTTACTCACTTGCTCCTTCACCTTTCATTCATGCATCCACACCTGCCTTCTTCAGCATTGGGCTGTGCAAGTGCCTGGGTTCAGTGATCGTCTCTGCTGGCTGTAGGGCAGCAGTCAGAGGGGACATCACAGGCCTCCAGAGGGTGGCCATGCAGCACAGTGTGGACTCGAGATTCAGTCTGTGCTGGTTAACGTCCTGATTCTGCCTGTGTGGTCCTGGGCAATTTATTTAACTTCTTCAAAGCTCACTCTCCTCATCAGATAATGACCAACTCCATAGGGTTATATGGAGGACTGCCTGAGATAATGCGCTGAGCTAACAAACGCTAGCTATTACACGATAAAGGAATGTTTGTGAAACACCTGCTATGGGTTAGGCACTGTGATAGATGTCAGGATGCCGAGAGAGATAAGACCTCATCTTGTCCTCTAGCACCCCAAAGACAACCTTAGGGGACAGGGAGGGAAATTAGCAAACTACACTGTGTACTGTAATGTGGTAAATAATCTAATAGAAGGATGACATTCGTGCCATGAAATTCAGACAAAGGGATTAATGGGGCTTGGGGAATTCAGGCAGATGCCACAAAAGAAATAGTAATTGAACTGGGCTTTGAAAAGGAGTAGAAATTTGGAAGGTGAGTGGAGGGAGAAATCAAAAAGAATTTCAGATAAAAGGAACATCATGGACAAAAGGAACATCACAGACAAAAGGGACATCATGTACAAAACAGCAAAGGCTAAGGGCCCACCACTCTTGCAGGGTTTTCTTGGGGATGAGAAGAGGCACCACATGCAGGCGGCCGGGCCACAGGTACAGAGGAAGCAGCAACCAACCAGTGAACACTCATTTCCTCCCTCTCTTTGCTGAACTCCACCTATGTCATCTTTAGAAAGCTTATAGCTCAAACCCAGAAAATGAAGAAACATCTCAAAAAAGAGGAGAAAGAAAGCAGGGATCCTGTTCATATCCTTCGCCCACTTTTTGATGGTGGGGTTGTTTGTTTTTTTCTTGTAAATTTGTTTGAGTTCATTGTAGATTCTGGATATTAGCCCTTTGTCAGATGAGTAGGTTGCAAAAATTTTCTCCCATTCTGTAGGTTGCCTGTTCACTCTGATGGTAGTTTCTTTTGCTGTGCAGAAGCTCTTTAGTTTAATCAGATCCCATTTGTCAATTTTGGCTTTTGTTGCCATTGCTTTTGGTGTTTTAGACATGAAGTCCTTGCCCATGCCTATATGAACAGACACTTCTCAAAAGAAGATATTCATGCAGCCAAAAAGCACATGAAAAAATGTTCATCATCACTGGCCATCAGAGAAATGCAAATCAAAATCGCAGTGAGATACCATCTCACACCAGTTAGAATGGCGATCATTAAAAAGTCAGGAAACAACGGGTGCTGGAGAGGATGTGGAAAAATAGGAACACTTTTACACTGTTGGTGGGACTGTAAGCTAGTTCAACCATTGTGGAAGTCGGTGTGGCGATTCCTCAGGGATGTAGAACTAGAAATACCATTTGACCCAGCCATCCCATTACTGGGTATATACCCAAAGGATTATAAATTATGCTGCTATAAGGACACATGCACACATATATTTATTGCGGCACTATTCACAATAGCAAAGACTTGGAACCAACCCAAATGTCCAACAACAATAGACTGGATTAAGAAAATGTGGCAGATATACACCATGGTATACTATGCAGCCATAAAAAATGATGAGTTCATGTCCTTTGTAGGGACATGGATGAAGCTGGAAACCATCATTCTCAGCAAACTATCACAAGGGCAAAAAACCAAACACCGCATGTTCTCAGTCATAGGTGGGAATTGAACAATGAGAACACATGGACACAGGAAGGGGAACATCACACACCAGGGATGGTTGTGGGGTGGGGGTAGGGGGGAGGGATAGCATTAGGAGATATACCTAATGCTAAATGATGAGTTAATGGGTGCAGCACACCAACATGGCACATGTATACATATGTAACAAACCTGCACGTTGTGCACATGTACCCTAAAACTTAAAGTATAATAATAACAAAATAAAAGAAAAAAGAAAAAAAAAAAAGAAAGCAGGGATCCTAAGACCAGATTTTTGTAACCGTGATTAATGAGTGAATGAAGAGAGAGTGAAGTAAGTGTCTGCAAAAGAGGCTGACAGAGGTCACTCAGGGTGAGAGGAGCAGAACCAAGAGGGTTCATGTCACATAAACCGAGGAAGGAGAAGTCTCCAGAATGAGATTGGTCAATTATGTCAAATGTAATGAGAGGTCAGAAATGGAAGAATGTTACCAAGGCTGCTTCTAGTGGCCTTCGGCGGTCTCCTTGGGAGTTTCCATGGTAACAGTGGTTGTTGTGCAGGGCCTGGCCCTCCAGTGTCTGCCACAGCTCAAGTGACATTTCTTCTTCCCCTGGTATCCCCACTTGCCCTCTGCACCCCCACCCCAGGACATGACCAGGTCCACAGTGCAGGCAGATCCCAGAGAGGTGGGAGGAAGAGGGTACCCCAGCTCTATCCATGGGCCACCTCACAGACCCAGCCACTCCCCCTGGAAGGCCCCAGCCACCTGAACCTTCTGGAAGGTTGGGGCCTCAGGCAGGAGAATCTCAGTGGCATGAAGGACAGCTGCCTGACATTCCCTATTCAGCTTAGGGGAGCAATGAGTTAAGACCAAAATAAAGCAAGGCAAAGGCTCCTTATGTTACTATGTAGCTGGCGTTGGTCTTCAAACTACCTGGCAATGCAGTTCTCCCAGGAGATGACTTTAAAGGACTCAGACCACAAATATTTAATGACAAATAGACTTGGTTGACAAGATAAAGTCCTACAAGAATGGGTCATTCACAAATGCACTGGTAAGTAGTGAGACCACATTAAATCCTTTCAATATCCACCTATTCCAGCACCTGTAATGAAACTCAGGGAGTTTACAGTTCCCAAAAACTGCATATTCGTGGGTTTGCCTTTGCTCGAATCTTATGTCAATACATAGGATATGGACTCCCTCTGCTTCATAGTGGAAACCCTGAAGACAGAAATTACATTTGAAAATATGGTAATACAGCGGAGAAGACAAACACAGTATGTTCCCTTTTTTTCTGGCTTCCTCTTCTTTGCTCCCCAAATTGCCTCCTATTTTCTAAAATTTAAACAGTGAATCGATTCTGAAGAACTACAGTAGATAGCAATGTAAACTAATATGTTAATGTTTAATTCACTTTTGGTTTACCAGGCATTGAAAACTTTGAACAAAATGGACTTAAATAAAGATAAAAGATGGATGCAAATCTTTATATAATTTTGGCAGGAAAAAAAGGCAAAAGCAAAGGATTAAGGAGGAATTAGTCCCATCAGGGACTGGGCTGTATTTTCACTGGTTCTCATCCTGCTAGATCTTCCTCACTTGCTAGTTGGTCACCAAATATGAATCTAGCATCTGCTAATTGCAAAGCAGAGTATTTGGCACGTGAGAGTTCAACAAAGAAGAATGATACTCTAAAAACCCCCTTCATCTTCACCTATCTCAGAGATCCTTTCCTGGCCCCCAGACTAGGTGAGGGCACCCATTGTGTGCTTGTGCAACACCCTGTGTGTTTTTGTGTCTATTTCACAACAGCTATCATGCTTGTGTTTACTTGATCAATGTCTGTCTCCCCACAAAATGTAAGCTCAAAGAAGACAATGAATCTTGATGAATCGATCCCACTTGTATCTGGAACATCTCATACACTGCCTGACACACAGAGTAGGTCTTCAATACACAATGCGTGAATGAATGAAATGAGCAAACAATGGAAAATAAACACCATTTCTAGGTTACTGAGATTATTAATTCATCCCTCTTCTGGAACAGCAATGGAAGTTAGGTCCTTCAAATATCAGCTCACTCCCCACTCCTCCTCTATATCCTTTCTTTCTTTCTTTCTTTCTTTCTTTCTTTCTTTCTTTCTTTCTTTCTTTCTTTCTTTCTTTCTTTCTCTCTCTCTCTCTCTCTCTCTCTTTCTTTCTTTCTTTCTCTTTCTTTCTTTCTCTTTCTCCTTCCTTCCTTCCTAACTTCCTTCTCCTATTACTTCCATGTGCCTCACTTGCCACCTCTCCCACCAGTCCCTCAAATATTAAAAGAACAACATCATCATCAACAACAAAATGCACTCTGTCTGCATCCTGGAGGAGGCGGTGGTGTCTTCCTGGACTGCACAAGCACAAGCCCACATCCTTGGCTGTGTTGCCTGGGGTTTTTATGTAATAGGAACATGTTGATTGGTATGTACTCAGTTTGGAAAGAGAAGCCATGCCTTGTTGTGGCTTTGAGTTCAGACCATTTTTCTTTCATCTTTGAAGATGACAAGCGCTATAAGCAAAGAAAGTCAAAATGAGCCTGAATGTTTCAAGCTCTAGGCAAGGCAGGAAGAATGCCGTGCGGTGATATTGTTTAGAGAGAGACTCGGTAATTGCTGTACTGGAGAGCCGACATTTGCAGAACTCAATTGTGTGGCGTCCGACTGAGTAAGTTAGCAAAATAAAGACAGATGGCAATGGATTAACTCCAACACGCCCACCAAACAATGGCAGCCAAAATGGAGAACTGTGGTGTGCTCTAAAACACGCTCCTTCTGGGAGAGTTCACCCGGTGCCTCAATTAGATGCCACCTAGTGACTGACCAAAACATTGCATATTGCACAACCCTGCATATTTCGGACACAGCTTAAGGAGACCGCACCATAGATTGTTTGGCTTCGTTTTCAAAAGACGGAGAGATGCCAGGTCATGGCTGACTTGAAAACTTATAGTTTGATGTTTAGTTCACTGAGAAATAATGGTTGAAATCTCTGTTCTTCCTTGTATGCTTAGAGGAAAATAGAAAAACAAAAAGGAAAGAAAACAAATCCTGCAAGACAGGCAACTGCCTTTGATTTAGAAATGCATGACCTAGAGTTAGAGAAAAGCTTGAGGACAGTTTGTACATTCTGGTCCTGGCTTTATACAACTGAAACTGAGGATGGCAAATAATTTCATTACATCTAACAGCTCCAGTTGATTGTGAAGGCTCTCTGGACCATGAGGAATTATGAGGTGAGCTCCAAGGCTTGGGTTGGGACCCTGTGGTTATTGATGGTTGTCTGCCATACTGCAGAAGAGGAGAGTGGTGGAACATGGGTCCTTGTTGAACAACCGTACATCCTTAAACAATTAGGAAATCTCCTAATTTGTTTAATCGTGAGTGTTTAGAGAAACAGTTCTCCATATTCCTGAGAGTCTGAGGGCAGAAGCTGAAATGGGCAAAGAACATATAGAAAAGGTGACACTTTTCCATCTAAAGGAGAGACGAAGAAATAATGAGCAATTTTGTTATGATCTACCAAACTAAGGTTTCATTATGTTTGCCCCTCATTGTGGAAGGCACTGTTTGATTGGCAATTTGCACCACTACCATATATAATTTAGTCCTGGAGTATGTGCCAAGAACTTTGTAATGAAACCCTGGTTATTCCTAACTATAGGATTTATTTTTCAAGTGAAGGTCTAGACAATTTCAGTAACTGGCCCAGAGTGTGAGGTTGAGAACGGAAGGAGCTTTAGTTCTCAGGCTCCTCAACCACTACCTACCATGGTGGGCTGACGCTGCATTTCTTGCTTTTCCCTAGCAGTCACCTAGTCAGTGCTCCTGGCTAAAAGAGAGATCCTTTTCTCTTTTGACCCTTAACATCCACTGGTGACCAGGAAACAGTGCCAGCTATGTCTACAGATCTCGGGGACATGCAGTGTGGAGGGTCAGGTAGTTGTGTGGTTAACTGGTCTAGGTCTGCCCAACGGAGTCCATGTGTCAGGGTAAGAACCTGGATCCCCATCTGCTATACTTTTGTTTTCTCAAGTAACTCCCTAGAGGCCCATGTCTTTTGAGCTCAGTTTATAAACAGGGCAGAAAGCTGCACACACAGGCATCAAACTGCTCAGCCTTTTCTAGTTTTAATTCAACTTAACACTCATTGATTAACTGAATGCTTACCACATGCAAAACACTGTGCTAGGAGTCAAGACCCAGGAGTCAGACAAGGGTTCTAGCTTCAGCCCTGCATGGGGCAAGTTATTTTGCTGTCAGAGATCTCTGCTTCCACTTCAGTTAAATGAGAATACAGAGCTCAAGTAAACCCTCCAAATTCCTTTCTTAATCTAAAGCTTTACGGCTTTATGAAAAGAACGCTTGAAAAATGAGGCTTGGTTTCAGATTTGATGTGTTAAAATATGATAACTTTATTATTTCTTCATTCAAAAATATTTTTGAGTGCCCACTAATGTGCAATGAACAAGACAAAGCCCTTGACCTCACAGAGCCTACAGTCTACTTGGGGGAGACAATGAACAGACTTAATAGTAAATGCAAAATAAAATGTACCAGATGTGCCGTGAAGACACAAGGCAGAATAAGGAGATAAAGGGAGAAGGACCAGAGAAAGCCGCTCTGACTGATGTGGGGGAGAGAGCTATGTGAGGTCTGGAGAGAGTTCTGGGCCGAGATAGGTGCAAACGTGAGGGCTGTGGGGGAAAGCAGGCTTGGCACGCTTGAGGAACAGCAAGGGGGCACTTAGATAAATAGTTTACTCATCGCCACATGCAACCCACCCATCTGAGGAGCCTAGAAGAGTACCTCCAAGGAGACTGTAGTTGGTGAATGCCCCCTCTGTGCCAGGCACTATCCTAGGCATTGGGGGCACAGAGATGGGAAGGAGACACTACATGTGTGGGAGAAGTTCACATTTTAACGAACAGTCAGGGATGCCAATATGATGAAAGAAGCATTGTGACTAAAATTATGGCTGAGGGCAATGGGAATTCAGCAGAGAAGGTTGAGTTCAACATTTTAGTTGGGTCTTGCAGGATAAGGGGAGAACTGGACAGGCTGGAGATGAGGGACTGGAGGTTGCAAGGGCAGGCCCACATGGAAGTGTAAAGCATAACTGGGAAATAATTAGTCAAAGTCCAGATTGGCAAAGCACAGGGCAACAAGACTTTATTGTCAACAAAACCAGAATGGCTTTTGTGTCTCATCTGTTTTGATGTGAGTGTCATGTTTGGACTTTTTTCTGTAGGCCAGAGGTCCACAATATTCATTCTTAAGGACTCTCTTTAAATATTTTTTTCCTATGGCTCACGTGTCTTCATAAATTTGTTTTTAATCCCCCCAAATATTGGAATTAGTAAGAAGTAACTATTTTGTTTCCCCATTCAAAAAAGCCATCCAACCTTCATGACTTCCAATCAGAGCCACAGATAACCATGAAATACAGCATGTTACCACATTGAGTTGATCAAATTAGTCCCATGCTCCAACCTGACTGCAAGGGAGGCTGGAATATATGGGGATACACAAGGAATATTTGTTAATCACTAACTACCTCTGCTACATGGCATAAATGTACAATTTTGCCCCTGGATTCTTGGAGTTCAGGGGAGTCTTCAGTTGAGAATCCTACTCTGGCATTAAGAAGCAGAGGAGTGACAGGATTGGTTTGTTTTCCAGAAAGATCACTCAGGTGGAAGGTCAGAGGATGGACTGTCTGGGTAGACTGGAAGCAGGAGGACAAGTTGGGAGGCTCTTACTGCTCCAAATAAGAAAGGAGGAAGGCCTGACTCAACACATTGGTAGTGGGATGGAGCAAGGAACAGGCTCAAAATATAGTTTGGGTTAAAATTCCTCCGTGTTGATGACCAGGTATGCCATGCATGGGAATGAAGTGTCAGAGTTGATTCTTGGGTTCTTAGGCTGGATGAGTCAAAGGCACTGTCACGACTACAGCATGAGTCAGCAAGAGAGGCAGGGCCAGGCAGGCAGGACCCTCTTTCCCAGGGTGCAGGAATAATGGTTGCCAGTTATTCTTTTTTCACTTCTTATCTCATAATTTGCTGTATTCCTTTCCCATCCCAGAAAACACAGGTCTGAGTCACAGCTGTGGGAATGCAAAAGCCAAGACACCCAGGTAAAGGCAGACCTGGATGGAAGTTTTGGATCCAACCCAGGCATCAAAAACAATCTTGGCTCTACCCATCTAGGCTTAGGTGCTCTGTTGAGTGTCTGGGTCAAAGGCACCTACAATGGCCACCGTGGCCATCCCCTGGTGCTCCTTCTTCTCTTCCATTCACTTTCCTTCATTAGGTTTCTTCTTTTGGACTCTTCCCACTTGTCCCTACTGACCTTTCCTATTTGCACCAAGCATTATAGCAACCCCCTCAATCACTCAGGGAATACTGAAATCAAATGTATTCATGTACTTATTCAGAAACCCAGCCTGTTCTATCTCCCGTTAGACAACCACCTCACCTGTGGAGAGACCATGCCTTCCCAACTGCTGCAAAATAGAACCTCTCCCACCCCTTTCAATAAAGGGCCTACACTCCTTAATAAGGTTAGCCCACTCTGGACATTAGAACCCTGAATGAAAAAATCAACTGCATTTCTCTGCTTGAAGCATCTTCTTCTTAGCAGAATGTGCATGATAGGGTTTCTTTGAACTTTATATAGGCAATTAAAAACAAACAAACTTGAGATGAATTGAAACCACACTTAGAGACAAACTCTGCCCAGTTTGCTAAAAGTCCATCCTGTTTACTCAATATGATGAACTATGAATAACACATAAACAACATAATGCTATAGCCACAGTGTGGGACCATTATAACGGATATCAAAAGAGAATGGGCTTGGGCATCATGGAAAACTTGGTGGTTGGGTTCTAACTCCACCACGTAGTGCATCTTATAGAGCGTCACTATCCTTATCTGCAAACGAGGGATCCTACAAGTCAAATGGCAGTGCTGTGCTCAGCTTAAGCCCATGATATGTAGAGCACCTAGTGCAGGCCTTACAGAGTAAGAAACACTCAACAGAAAGTAGCCAGTGCTGCAATTATTCGTCCAGTCCCTTCTTGATGATGTTATGGTGTAACCTGAAATGTTTCTGCCTTCCTTCTTGTCTAGCTCCCGTTTGCTTGTTATCATCCTGACTTTGTGTCCTTCACTGATCCTCATCCATGCCTCACACCCAACCTTGATGGGCTCATCACTTCCTAGTCTTAGTATTAATTGCAAAGGGTTTTCTGTATACTGTTTGCTCAAAACTTGAACCTAAAAGTAGTCTACATCAACTGCTTTTGTGCATACAGATTGAGCTCTTTATATTACTATTTGCTGCTCTATGAGACCAGGCAAATACTGGAAGAAAAACATGCTTCCAATTCTCCCAGAGCTGCCTGGAAGTATCTTGTGGTGGATGAAGCAGAGCCAGAGAAATGTGTTCAGCTTGAAATAAATGATTATACTACTCATCGATAAATTACTGTAAGGATCCAGCTTACCATGGATTATTCATGTTAGCTACAGAGAAGCTGGGGTTAAAAACTGGACTATTGTTGCCTTGCTGCAGATTTTCTATTCAACCATTCTTCACTCATTTATATGTGTAGGAGCAGTGAGTACAAGGCTGTGTGGTATGGGCAGCACTTAAGCTTCTGTTCCACATATTTGATATGTTCCCAATATAGTTTGGATATTCAAAGCTGCTATATATAGCCTTTCAAGAAAAGGATCTGTAGAAATACACCAAAGCAAACAAATACATACAAATATTAAACGACACATTTTTTTCCACCTGGGCCTGCATACAGTGTCTTGGCATCTTTACAGTGTCTTAGTGCTTTGATTTCCTTTTACAGATGTTTGATCAACATGTGGAAGTAACCAAAGCAAACCAAGAAGAAGAAAGTTACATCTTGGGAGAGGCAGCGTGGTTGGAGGGTGGCTGGAATAGGAAAAATGTCCATGGTGGAAGAGGGAAGGGGTGGGAAGCACGCTGAATTGTGCCTCCTCAAATTTCATATATTGAAGTCCTAACCCCCGATATCTCAGAATGTGACTGCATTTGGAGATAGGGCCTTTAAAGAGGTAATTAAGTTAAAATGAACTCATTAAGGTGGACTGTAATCCAGTATGAACGGTGTCCTTATAAGAAAAGGTGATTAGAACACAGAGGGAAGACCATGTGAAGACACAGCAAAAAGGTGGCCATCTATAAGTCTAGGAAAGAGATCTCAAAAGAGACTAACCCTGCTGACACCTTGATCTTGGACTTCCAGCCTCCTGAATTGTGAGAAAATAAATTTCTGTTGTTTAAGCCATCTAGTCTATGGTACCTTGTCACAGAAGCCCTAGGAAACTAATGCACATCCCTTGCTGGTATGTAGTCACAAGTGAATATTTCACAAGTAAAGAAGCTACACAGTGCTAGAATAAATGATTATGTATCTATAAAATATTGTGGGTAGGCATGTTGGTATTTTATACAATTTGAAAGTGCCCTATACCTTCTACACCTAAAATTATTGTTCAAGTTTAAATTGTTCAAGATCTTGGGGTTTAACTCATGCAGAATCATACTCCAAGACCCCTCTTTTAAAGAGCTATTAAATGAATAATTCTCAAACTCTTCCTTCTAGGTATTCTTAAAAGCAGATCAGAAAAAATGGATGCAGCAGTGAATTTGCCTGGAAAGGGAGCCTGGAGTAACCTGACTTTCCTTAAAGTTAGGTTTAAGATATAATTTACATAAGTAAAATTTTTATTGTATAGTTGGTTGAATTTTTACAAATACATTCAATCATGTAACCACCATCACAATGAAGGTAAAGGGTATTTTTTATCATTCCCAAATTTCCTTATGCTCCTTTGCAGTCAATTTCCTTCCTCTACTCCCAGCCCCTGGCAACCACCGAGCTAATTTGTACCCCTGTAATTTTGCCTTTTTCAAAATATAAATGGATTCAGACAGTATGAAGCCTTTTGTATCTGGCTTCTTTTGTATTGTTTAAGACCTGTTTTCCCCCTTTTTATTGGTACATAATAGTTGCACATATTTGTGGGGTACATGGATATTTTCATACAATCATACAATGTGTAATGCTCAAATCAGGGTAATTGGGATATCCGTCACCTCGAATATTTATCTTTTCTTTGCATTCAGAACATTCCCAATCTTCTAGGTATTTTGAAATTTATGATAAGTTATTGTTAACTGTAGTTGCCCTACTGTACTATAAAACACTAGAAGTTACTCCTTTTATTTAACTGTGTTATTGTACCTATTAACCAACCTCTCTTCATCCCCCTTTCCTCTCCCCTTTCCAGCCTCTGGTCACTACCATTCTGTTTACTACCTCCATATATTTTTCACCATATATGAGTGAAAAAATGCAGTATTTGTATTTATGTGCCTGGCTTATTTCACTTAATAACTTCCAGTTTCATCCACGTTGCTGCAAATGACAGGATTTCATCCTTTTTCATGGCCAAATAATATTCCATTACATATATATAGCACATTTTCTTTATCCATTCATCTGTTGATGGACACTTAGGCTGATTCCATGTCTTGACTATTGTGAATAGTGCTGCAATAAACATGGGAATGCAGATATCTCCTTCACATACTGACTGTCTTTCTTTTGGGTATATACTCAGCAGTGGGATTGCTGGATCATATGGTAATTCTGTTTTTAGTTTTTTGAGGAATCTCCCTACTGTTTTTTGTAGTTGTACTAGTTTACATTCCCACCAATAGTGTAAAAGTGTTCCTGTTCCTCTGCATTCTCACCAGCACTTGTTATTTTTTGTCTTTTGATTATAACCATTTCAATTGGGATAAGGTGATATCTCATTATGGTTTTGATTTGCTTTTCTCTGACAACTAGTGATTTTGAATATTTTTTCATATACCTGTGGACCACTTGGTTGTCTTCTTGTCAGATATGTCTATTCACATCTTTTGCTCATTATAAAATCAGATTATTTGTTTTATTGCTATTGAGTTGTTTGTGTTCCTTATGTATTATGGTTATTAATTTCTTGTCAGATGGATAATTTGTTTTCTACCATTCTGTAGGTTGTCTTTTCACTTTGTTAATTGTTTCTTTTGGTATGCAGAAGCCTTTTAGCTTGATGTAATCCCATTTATCAATTTTTGCTTTTGCTGCCTATGCTTTTGGGATCTTACTAAAAAAAAAACTTTGTCCAGACAAATGTTCTGAAACATTTTCCCAAAGTTTCCTGCTAGGAGTTTTATAGTTTCAGGCCTTACATTTAAGATTTTTAATTAATTTTGATTTTTGTATATGATTAGAGATAGGAGTCTAGTTTTATTCTTCTCTATATGGATATCCTGTTTTCCTAGCACCATTTATCAATAAGACAATAATTTCCCCAATGTATGTTCTTGGCACCTTTGTTGAAAATTTGTTGGCTGTAAATGCATGAGTTTATTTCTGGACTTTCTATTCTGTTCCATTGGTTTATGTGTCTGTTTTTATGCCAGTACCATGCTGCTTTGGTTACTGTAACTTTATAGTATATTTTGAAATCAGATGGTATGATGCCTCCAGCTTTGTTCTTTTTGCTTAGGATTGCTTTAGCTATTCAGAATTGATACGAATTTTAAGATGGTTTTTTCTATTTCTATGAACAATGTAATTGGTATTTGGATAGGGTTTTCATTGCATCTGTAGATTACTTTGGGTAGTCTGGACATTTTAACAGTATTAATTCTTCCAATCTATGAACATGGGCTGTCTTTCCATTTTTGGGGGTGTGTCATCTTCAATTTTTTTCACCAGTGCTTTATCTTTTTCCTTGTAGAAATCTTTCTCTTCTTTGGGACAGGCATGGTGGCCCACACCTGTAATCCCAAGCATTTTGGGAGGCTGAGGCAGGTGGATCACTTGAGGTCAAGAGTCCAAGACCAGCCTGGCCACATGGTGAAACCCTGTCTCTACTAGAAATACAAAATATAGCTGGGTGTGGTGGCCGGCACCTGTAATCCTGGCTACTTGGGAGGCTGAAGCAGGAGAATAGCTTGAAACCAGGAGGTGGATGACAGAGTGAAACTCTTGTCTCAAAAAAAAAAAAAAAATTCTTTCTCTCCTTTGCTTCATTTTATTCCTAAGTATTTTATTTCCTGGTAGTTACTATAAATGGGATTGCTTTCTTGATTTCTTTTTTTTTTCAGATTGTTCGCTGTTGGCTTATGGGAATTGCTGCTGATTTTTGTATTTGGTTTTTTATCCCGCAAATTTACTTAATTTGTTTATCAGTTCTAACAGTTTTTTGGTGGAGTCTTTAGTTCTTTTCTAAATCTAAGATCATTTTACCTGTAAACAAGGATAATCTGACTTCTTTCCAGTTTGGATGTTCTTTATTTTTTTTTCTCTTATCTAAAAGAGATCTGTTGTATGATTCTAGAAACTATTTGAATTTTATATTCAATGCTGACATATATGCTATGTATATCAAAAGTTGAGTAATGTATCTATGTTTGTTCTAGTATTGGAATATATTTAAACCTTATATTTGAAACTTAAACAATTAAATTACTTAAATGCAACTGAATAATAATTAAACAAAACTAATACTCTGTGAAGATGCATCATTTTCAAATTTAACAACATCTCTACTAATTATAAAGGTGTTGTGTTCCACATGTTCTCACTCATAGGTGGGAATTGAACAATGAGAACACATGGACACAGGAAAGGGAACATCACACACCGGGGCCTGTTGTGGGATGGTGGCGGGGAGGGATAGCATTAGGAGATATACCTAATGTAAATGACGAGTTAATGGTTGCAGCACACCAACATGGCACATGTATACATATGTAACAAACCTGCACGTTGTGCACCTGTACCCTAAAACTTAAAGTATAATTAAAAATAAATAAATAAATAAAGGTGTTGTGTTAGAAGACACCCCCAAGAAAGTTCAAAGAGAGATTCATTAAATATTACAAATATATGGAGCAGGCAATAATGAGCAGTAGCCTTCTTACCTTTACTAGAGATTGAAATTATAAGTGTCTTACACCAATATTATATGTGAAATAAATGAAAAACATTTTTAATAAGAAATACATCCAAATAGGCCACATGAAATGCTCAATAGTAATGAGTCATTGAAACATCATCATACCCTAAAGTCTAAAACTAGTACATAACAGTAGGAATAATAGTAGTAATGGCCGTGGGCCCCTGATGTTAAGTTGGTAACCACTAAGCCAGTTCCTTACAAATGGAGTCTTTTGTGGTTGGTTGTTTCCATGGGCATGACTCATTTGTCGGATATGTTTAATACCTGTCTCTGTAATGTTTATTTTTTTAAAAAGTTATTGTATGAAGGTTGTTCTTTCCACTGAAGGTCTAGGTTATGGATGAGATAAACACAAAAAAGAAGAGGCACCCACTTGGTCAGCTGGACAAGCTTCCTGGGCTGCTCTTCTCAGCCATTCCTTACTGAATTCTTTAAGATCTAGATCAAATATTGCCTCTTCTGTGCTCCCATCATGACCCATTCCCTAGCCCAAGGCAGAATGATTTCTTACTTTTGGCCTCTCATAACACTGTGCACATATAGTTATCACATTTTATGGCAATTAATTCTTATATGTGTGTATCTGCTGCTACACTTTCATCTGCTTGAAGACAAGGATTGTCTGACCTCTGTATTATAGATCCTGGCATATGGCAAATCCTTAATAAATATATGCTAAATTTAGTTGAGCCTTGCCAGGCACGGTGGCTCACGCCTTTAATGCCAGCACTTTGGGGGGCCAAGGCAGGCAGATCACTTGAGGCCAGAAGTTCAAGACCAGCCTGGCCAACATGGTGAAACCCCGTCTCTATCAAAAATACAAAAACATTAGCCGGGTGTGGTGGCACGTGCCTGTAATCCCAGCTACTCGGGAGGCTGAGGTAGGAGAATTGCTTGAATCCCGGAGGCGGAGGTTGCAGTGAGCCAAGATTGTGCCACTGCATTCCAGCCTGGGTGACAGAGCGAGGCTCTGTATCAGAGAGAAAGCAAAAAAGAATTTAGTTGGCCCTTGCAATCCATGATATGCCACATGTCACAGAACTCCCCAGTCAGACTTACGAGAACTAAGAACTGGCCTGTGTAGATGGAAAGCTAGTATCCATTCTAATTTGTGCATCAGGCCTCAGGTTTCCTGCCAATCTGCCAAGCTTTTGACACAGATTCCTTCTCTGAGCCTATTTGCCCAGTCCAACTACAAGTATAATTCCTGCTCTGACCCAGATCCACTGCCCCTTCTTGTTCCAGCTCACCAAGGTCTCCTGGTTTGGCCCCATGCATGAAATCTAATACGTGACCAAGGCAACCCTGTTGAAGAGCCTGGCAGGGCAAGCCCACACTGCCAGGTCCCAAGTGATACCCAACTCTCCTGGATGTCTGCAAGGCAACTGGGAGGGCCAAGCAGAATAAACTTTCACATGAGTATTGGGTCAAGTAGCTTATGTACTGCCCACAGCAAACCCTGAAGCAAGAAGCAGTTGCAGGTGTGGGCCAGGTTGAAGCCCAGGAATAAGCAGATTTGTTGGTTGTGATTTCTTGCTTGTTCCTCTGGCTGTGACCATTCCATCTACGGGAAATAGACAAAACTGGAACAAGTGTTCAGGGAAAAGAAAAAAGGAAAAGGAAGTACAGGTAGGTCCAAACAAGGTTAATGGGTGCTTTCTATTCAGCCCCAATTAGGGCTCAGTTACCCCTCTTATAGTGAGTTCAATAGTTGACCCCCAAAGATATGGCCACATTCTAACCCTTAGTTCCTGTAAATGTGAACCTATTTGGAAACGTGTCTTTGCAGATGTAATTAAGTTAAGGATCTTGAGATTATCCAGAATTTAGGGTGAACCCTAAATTCAAAGACAAGTAATAAGAAAAAGGCAGGAGATTTGGGACAGAAACAGACAGAGGGAGAGGGCCAAGTGAAGACAAACAGAGATTGGCATTCTGCTGCCTAAAGCCAAGGAATGCCTGGAGCCACCAGAAGCCAGAAGCGGCAAGTAAATTCTCTAGAGCCCTTAAGAGGAGCATAGCCCTGCTGACACCTTGATTTCAGATTTTTGGATCCAGAACTGTGAGAGAATAGATTTCTGTTCCTTTAAGCCAACAAATTTGTGGTACTTTCTCATGACAGCCCTTGGAAACTAATGCACCTCTCCTTTGTTTATCTGCCAGAGAAATGGGTATGTACTGGAGTGTTTGGGTCTATGAAGAAGGTTCTCAGAACATTAGACAAAAAAGGCAAGCCAGAAGGGGTGTGACTGGCCCAGAACCATGAAGAAACAGCTTCTTTTCTCCCAAAATTGTCAGTTGAGACCAGAAGTATCCACAGGAAGGTTTCTATTAATCAATTTAGTTCACCCTAGAAAGGATATTCTACTTACAAGAGAAGTAACAGTAATGGAAATAATATAATTACTGAGAATGACCCATATGTGAGACATTGTACCAAATGTTCTACATATGTCCATTTTTTCTAATGAGAAAATTGAGGCTTAGAATGGTTAGGTAAATCTAGTATAGTACTTACTATTTGCCAAATGCAGTTCTAAGAACTTTATAATTATTAACTCCTTAACCCTCATAATAGCCCTATGAAGCAGGAATTATTATTCTCTGCTTTACAGATGAGAAAACTGAGGCACAGACAGGTTACATAATGTGTCTAATGTTACACAGCCAGGAAGTGGAGAAGCTGAGATTCAATTCTAAGAAGTCTTGCCCCAAAGATTCTGCCCTTAACCTCTACCCCATAGCTCTAGGGTAAAGAATAGGGATTTGAATTCAGGTGTATCTGACCCCAAATCCTATGTTCATTCCATGAACTGCACTGCCTCTTAAATAAACAAATGATGGAATTGCACTGTGAGCAGCAGTCCTGCCCATGTGACTGTCCATGACTGTCCTGGTCCTTCTTGGTTGCAGGCTCTGAGAGTCTTCAGCCAACAGGTTGATTCCTCCCTGTTCCTTACACAATCTTAAGTACAACAGCCAACACAGATAGGGGCTTAGACCCAGCCCCTGGCAGAGGTGGGCATTGGTTCTGAGGGCAAGTCTCTGGGATATTGCAAAGGAGCCCTGGCCAACCCCTTCCCCATGCTGTCACATCCATGTTTGCCCAGTTGTGTAACTGAGAATTTCATTATTTTAACAAACATTTATCAGGTATGTATTGCATGCTCTTCAATGTACCGAAAGCTGGAGATACAGTGAAGGCCCAGGAGGCCCAGGCATACAATTCAGAATGATATGTACTATCAAGGAAGAATAATATCAATAGTGGCCACTGTCTTTAGAGTGTTTATGATGTGCCAGTCATTATATCATGCTTGCACATATGCTGCTCTGGGAGAACACAGAAGGGTCACCTAACCCAGTCTAGGGAGGTCAAGAAAGGCTTCTTGGAAGGTCCTGGTGGACATCTGAGGGATGAGTAGGCATTATTCAAGTAAAGAAAGAGTGCCAAGGAGAACGGTCTTCAGGTAGAAGAGTCAAGTTGAAAGAGCACACAGCATAGAGAGGGAAAAGAGTTCAGTGTAGTGGGGGAGCAGGACAGGAGGTGGGAGTAGCAATGGTTGTGGCAAAAGAGTATGTCTGGGCCAGGTGCAGTGTCTCACATTTGTAATCCCAGCACTTTGGGAGGCCAAGGTGGGTGGATAACAAGGTCAGGAGATTGAGACCATCCTGGCTAACACGGTGAAACCCCGTCTCTACTAAAAATACCAAAAAAAAAATTAGTTGGGTGTGGTGGTGGGCACCTGTAGTCCCAGCTACTCGGGAGGCTGAGGCAGGAGAATGGCACAAACCCGGGAGGCGGAACTTGCAGTGAGCTGAGATCGCGCCACTGCACTCCAGCCTGGGAGACAGAGCGAGACTCCCACCTCAAAAAAAAAGAGTATGCCTGCAGGGACAAGATCATCATGACCTTATAAGCCATGCTGAAAGTTTACTAGTCCAGCTGAACTGGAGCCCTCCATATTAGTGCCTGTCAGCATGACCCTTAGCATCTTTCGGCTCTTGCTGAATTCTCTGTCCCTTTTCTAGTGTGTGGAGTCCTGATTCCAGTTGGATGGACAACCCAGAACTACTGCCTGACCACCCATCTGACTGCAAGCACTACCACTTCCCAAAAGCTCCTTGGATACTGACACTGGCCTGATTGGTGCCCAAGTTCACAGCCTCCTGGGGACACCTTCAATTTGATGATTGGATACTATCAGCTGTGAAAAGCAGATCCACAGGAGAGTTACTTCTTTAGCCCTGGCCCAGCTGTCCTTCCTCCCCACTTTCTGATGCCTTAAGGAGTCCCTGATTGCTCCAGGAACATATCTACCCTTTCCAGTTTAAGAAGAGATTCAGAGCTGTGTGTCTTGGTGAAGTCTGCACAGCTGATCAGTGGGACAGGACCCTGGCTGGTCTTGTGACTCTATGTCTAGGGTTTTCTCTGCTGCTGATGGCTCCCTTTGCCAGGGACGCTTACATTCAGTGATGGGTCGAGGTGGGAATACAAAGTCTGGCCCCCTTTCCCATGGGCTTGGATCTTTGTCGTCACTACAAGGGGCTCAATTTCTCCTTCCGAGAGATTGTTCCCTAGAGCAGACCCCAATAAATTTCCTGCATGCAAATCTCAGACTCACATTACCCAAACCCTAATGATGAGGAAGATGGGATGGTGATTATACCTCACTGTCTCTAAAAATTGAGCCTGAGCTGATATTGACAAGAATATTCAAGTGGTGGCAAGTGAATTAATTGGCTTATATTTACTGCCTATTTTAAAATATGTTATTTCTTTATTTGAAGTTCCCATTAGGAAGAGAATACACGAACTTGAATTTCACAAGTATGTGTGAATTACAAAAGTGTGATAGATTTTTAGCAAGAATACATTTTTAGGTTGCTTTCAGACATTGATTATTCTCAGTAAGGCATGGAATCTGGGTCGAGAAATATTATCTTTTATGTTAGAACTGTAAACTGAACAGCTGATTAATAATTCACTAATAACTGTTGTTACCTATTTCTTCCCAAAGTCTAAATATATCATAAACTCTATTATTAGGCTTAGTAAGAATATAGGACCTTTTAGGAAAACTAATATCCTGATAAATAGAGTTGTCACATTTCCATAATGCTTTATCAATTTTTAATGAATTTTAAAATAGTAAGATATATTTAATACCAAAAGTCTGACGCACATAGTTTAATTTTATTTTTGGTAATTCCAAAGACATTTGGCATATGAGTAATTATCCATGTGTTATAAACATGCAGTGATAACAGTTATTAGAGAATGACGGATAAAGCCAGTTTTAATTTGACTGTATCTATGATGATGTTGTATGGATCTTATTGAATATAAATATAAAGACTGTTATAAATATTGGTAATTGGGAATAGAGCTGCTTATGGGTACATCAGTAAACTCATTAATTAAAATTGGATTAGACAGATTAAAAAAAGTTTAAATTAAGATAGAATTCACATATACTGTATATTAGGTGTAAATAATCTGATTTATATTGTAAAGAGTATATAGCCATGTATCCAACATACTATTCAAGATATGGAACATCTCCAAAGCAGGGATTATGTGGGAAAGATCTTTTGGATTTCTGACTTTCCTGGACAGTGTGCTCAGCTCCCTGATAGGGCTTGTTGGCAGGTGAATCCTGATGCCCCTCCACCTACCTTCTCATCACTATTGTTTCCTGCGACTTCCAGCGCTGTTTATTGCATGTTTAATCTGCTGATCCTCACCATACAGTTTTTGCCAGATTAGAGGCAATTTCTTTCATTTCCCCAGGCAGGGGCTGTTTCAATCTTTTCCTTCTCAGTAGTTTGTTGTTGGTTTACTAGTTTCAAATGATCTTTCCTCACAATGAACACCGAAGGTAGTCAGACTTCTCCACTCCTGCCAGAAGTGCTCCATAAACCTTTGTTTATACATCTTGCCAGCAAAATCCTGGGTGATGAGTAGGGAGCAAAGAATAAGCTTTGCTTTTGTGGATGGAAACCTTGAAGCAAAGTGAAGTTAAACAGTTTCCTGGCTAATGAGTCTGACACCAACACAGAATTATATGACCCAGTATGTGCCATTGGTTTCAGTTTTTTTCCTCCAGCTGGAGAGAGAATATGGTAGAGTTGGGGAGGCAGTTATCTTATGTTTTTAAGCCTCTTGATTTTTCTCACCCCTACTTGAGGGGCCACTCCGCAGGCCAGGTGTGAGGAAGCAAAGGCTGAGAGTAGGACACAGCAAGTGGGAAAAGACATAGAGAAATTTGATGTGAGCAGCCTGAGGTCTTGGTGATATTTTTAGGAATTAGGAACAAGGAAGAGAGAGCAAAGGGTCAAAAATGGACCAAAAAAAGTCAAAACAACTGTTCTTCATACTTCTTACATTTTCTCTTCACATTTCTTGCAAGTTTATCTTCAGCAACTTGAGAGTTTAATTTAAATATAGGTTAACATTTTTAAATTCGACTTTCAGGATCAAAAAAGTGATCATGAAAAAGTTATAACAAATTGAGAGAGGCGGAGCAAGATGGAAAAATAGAAGCCCTCAGTGATCAGCCACCCTGCAGGAACACCAAATTGAACAACCGTCCTCACAATAAAGCACCTTCATAAGAACCAAAAATCAAGTCAGTGATCAGAGTATCTGGTTTTAACATATTAAGGAAAGAGGCACTGAAAAAGGTAGGAAAGATAGCCTTGAATTACCCACACCACCACCCCCCACCATCCCCCAGCAGCAGCCAGGGAAATGCAGAGGGAGAATCTGTTTGCGCAGGGGAGGGAGAGTGCAGTGATTGTGGGATTTTGCGTTGGAACTCAGTGCTGCCCAGTCATAGTGGAAAGCAACATGGGGCAGAACTCAGCTGGGGCCCATGGAAGGAGCATATAGACTAGCCCTAGGGAGAGGCAAATTGTCTATCTCAGCAGTTGAACCCTGAGTTCCAGCAAGCCCTGACACTGTGAGCTAAAGTGCTCCAGTGTCCTAAATAAACTTGAAAGGCAGTCTAGGCCACAAAGAGTGCAATTCCTAGGCCAGTCCTGTTACTGTACTGGGCAGGGAAGCAGTGGACTTGGGGTGCATACAACCTAGGAAAACACCAGCTTGAGGCAGTCAAGGGAGTGTTTGAGTCACTCCTCCCCCATCCCCAGGCAGCATGGCTCACAGCTCCAAGAGAGACTGTTTCTCTCCACTTGAGGAGACGAGGGGAAGAATAAAGAGGATTTTATCTTGCAACTAGGATACTGGCTCAGCCACAGTAGGACAGACTACCAGGCAGAGTCCTGAGGCCGCATTCCAGGCCCTAGCTGCTTGATAACATTTCTAAGCACACCCTGGTCCAGGGAGGACCTCTCTGCCTTGAAAGGAAGGACCCAGTCCTGGAAGGATTTATCACGTGCTAACTGAAAAGCCCTTGGGCCCTGAATA
The DNA here is from genome assembly GCF_000001405.40 of Homo sapiens. NCBI lineage: Eukaryota > Metazoa > Chordata > Mammalia > Primates > Hominidae > Homo > Homo sapiens. The sequence continues at coordinate 44,174,921 of NC_000013.11, read as the reverse complement.
ATCAGCAGTGATAGCCAGGCAGTACTTGCTATAGGCATTGGGTGAGACTCAGAGCTGCACTGGCTTCAGGAGTGACTCAGCACATTTCTAGCTGTGGAGGCTATGAGAAGACATCCCTTCTGCTTGAAGAAAGGAGAGGAAACAGTAAAGGAGACTTTGTCTTGCAACTTGGGTACCAGCTCACCAAGCTTGCAGCTTGGGACAGATCACCAAGCAGGCTCCTGGGATCTCTTATTCTAAGCCTTGGCTCCTGGACAGCATTTCTAGACCTGCCCTGGGCCAGAGAGGAGCCCACTGCCCTGAAGGGAGAGACTCAGGACTGGCAGCATTCAACAAAGCTGACTGAAGAGCCAGTGGTCCTTGCGTGAACATCAGTGATAGCCAGGTAATATTTGCCCTAGGCCTGAGGCAGTGGTGGCCATAGGGAGAGACTCCTCTGCTTGAGGAAAGGGGAGGGAAGAATGGGGAGAACTTTGTCTTTTGGCTTGGATGCTAGCTCAGCCCACAGTAAATAGAGAACCAGGTAGATTCTCAAAGTTCCCGACTCCAGGCTCTGGCTCCTGGATGACATCTCTGGACATGCCCTCAGGGGCAGGGGGAACTTGCCTGAACTTCCTGAAGGACACAAGCCTGGCTGGATTGTAGAGCCCTTGGGTCTTGAGTGAACATAGGTGGCAGCCAGACAGTGGTCACTGCAGGTCTTGGGTGAGACCCAGGGCTATGCTGGCTTCAGATCTGACCCAGAGCAGTCCCAGTGATGCTGGCCTCAGGGGTGCTTGTGCCACCCCTACCCCAGTTCCAGGAAGCTCAACATAGAGAAAGAGACTCCATTTGTTAAAGAAAAATAAGGGAAGAGAAAAGAGTCTCTGCCTGGTAATCCAGAGAATTCTCCCAGATCTTACTCAAGACAATCAAGGAGGTATCTCTATGAGCCTGCAAGAGCCACGGTATAACTGGGCTGAAGATATACCCTAAAGCAGATACAGCTGCAGTGACCAAAGCCTTAGATCACAACACCCAAGTCTCTTTGAATACCTGGGAAGCCTTTCCAAGAAGGACAAGTACAAAAAAAGCCCAGATTGTGAAGACCAAAATAAATACCTAACTCTTCAATGCTCAGACACTGATAAATATCCAAAAGCATGAAAACGATCCAGGAGAACATGAGCTCACCAAATGAAATAAATAAGGCACCACTGACCAATCCAAGAGAGAGAGAGAGATGTGACCTTCCAGACAGAATTCAAAATATCTATTTTGAGGAAGCTTGATGAAATCCAAGATAACACAGAGAAGGAATTCAGAATTCTATCAGATAAATTTAGTTAAGAGATTGAAATAATTAAAAATAATCAAAATTTCTGGAGGTGAAAAGTACAAATGGCATACTAAAGAATGCATCAGAGTCCCTTAACAGCAGAATTGATTAATGAGAACAAAGAATTAGTAAGCTTGAAGACAGGCTATTTGAAATTACATGGTCAGAGGAGACAGAAGAAAAAAGAATAAAAAACAAAGGATGCCTACAGGATCTAGAAAATAGCCTCAAAAGGGCAAATGTAAGAGTTATTGGCCTTAAAGAGGAGGTAGAGAAACAGATAGGGGTAGAAAATTTATTCAAAGGGATAATAACAGAGAACCTCCCAAATGTAGAGGATACAATATGCAAGAAGGTTATAGAACACCAAGCAAGTTGAATGCAAAGAAGTACCCCAAGGCATTTAATAATCAAACTCCCAAAGATTAAGGATAAAGAAAGGATAAAGATCAAGGATAAAGAAAGCAGCAAGATAAAGGAAACAAATAGCATACAAAGGAGCTCCAATACACAGCATCAGACTGTGTATTACAAGCCAGGATAGAGTGACATGATATATTTAATATGCTGAAGGAAAAAAAAAAAACTTGTATTCTAGAGAGGTCAAGCAAAATGGTGGAGTAGAACTTCATCAGTGGTCCCTCTGGCAAGCCCACCAATTTAACAACTATCTACACACACAAAAAAGCACCTTCATAAGAACCAAAAATCAGGTGACCACTCACAGTACCTGGTTTTAACTTCGTATCACTGAAAGAGGCACTGAAGAGGTAGAAAACATAGCCTTGAATCCTGACACCATCCCACTCCCATCCTTCTGGCAGCTGCAGCACGGTTCAGAGAGTGTCTCTGGTCACGGGGAGAGGAGAGTACAGCAATTGTGAGACATTGAACTCAGTGCTGTCCTGTTAGAGCAGAAAGAAAACCAAACTCAGCTGTTGCCCACACATAGAGGGAGCATTTAAACTAGCTCTAGCCAGAGGGCAATTCCTGATCCCAGTGGTGGAAAGTTGAATTTTCCCAGACCTCACCACTGTGGGCTAAAGTGCTCTTGGGCTCTAAATAACCTTTAAAGGCATCCTAGGCCACAAGGATTGCAACATATAGATGAATCCTAGGGATGAACTGGGCCCAGAATCAATCGACTGTGGGGTGGGAGTATGTTACCTCTGACACACCAGCTGGGGCAGCTAAAAGAGTGCTGGCCTCGCCCTTACCCTAACCTCAGGCTGCACAGATCATGGCTCTAAAAGGGACACCTTCCTTCTGCATGAGAAGAGGATAGGGAAGAGTGGGGAAGACTTTGTCTTGCATCTTGGATCCCAGCTCAGTTACAGCAGGATAGGGCACTGGTCACAGTTGCAAGGCCTATTTTCCAGGCCCTAGTTCCCAGATGACATTTCTAGACATGCCCTGGGCCAGAAGGGAACTTGCTGCCTTGAAGGGAAGGACCCAGTCCTGACTGCATTCATCATCTGCTAACTGAAGAGCACTTAGGCCCTGAATAACCAGCAGCAACACCCAGGTGCTATGTCAAGGGCCTTGGGTGAGACTCTGAGACTTGGTGAGTTCAGGTCAGATTCAGCACATTCCCAGCTGTGGTGGCTATGGGGCAAGAATATTTCTGCTTGAGAAAAGCAGAGGGAAAAGTAAAGGGGACCTTGTCTTGTCCCTTAGGTACTAGGTTGGCCACAGTGGGTAGAACACCAAGTGGGCTCTTGGGATGCCTGATTCCAGGACTTGGTTCTTGGATGGCATTTCTGGACCTGCCCTGGACCCCAGGGGAGCCCACAGCCCTGAAGGGTGAGTCCCAGGGCAGGCAGCATTCACCACAAGCTGACTAAAGAGCCTTGAGCCTTAAGGAAACATTAGTGATAGTCTGGTAGTACTTCCCATGGGCCTGTGGTGGCGGTGGCCATGAATGAGGCTCCTCTGCTTTTGGAAAGAGGAGGGAAGAGTGGGAAGGACTATGTCTTGTGGTTTCAGTGCCATGCCAGCCACAGTGTAACAGAACACTATCTAGATTTCTAAGGCTTTTGACTTTAGTCCCTGGCTCCTGGAAAGCACTTCTGGACCTATCTGGCACATGGGTAATATCACTGCCCTGAAGAGAAGGACACAGGCTTGGCTAGATTTGCCACCTGATGATTGTAAAGCCCTAGGATCTTGAGTGAACATAGGCAGTAGCCAGGGAGTGGTTATAGCAGGCCTTGGGCAAGACCCAGTGCTGTGCTGTCTTCAGGTCTGACTCAATGCAGTCATCGTGCTGGTGGCCACAGGGTTGCTTGTGTCACAATATCCCCAGCTTCAGATGGCTCAGAACAGAGTGAGATTCCATTTTTTGGGGAGAAAGTAAGGGAGAACAAGAGTCTCTGCCTGGCAATCCAGAGAATTCTCTTGGATCTTGTCCAAGACCATCAAAGTGGTACCTCTACAAGTCTGCAAGAACCACAGTGCTTTAGCCTTAGGTGCCCCCTAAAGCAGATATAGTTTAGATCACAACACCCAAGTCTTTTTGAATATCTGGAAAAATTTGCCAAAAAAGGATACAAACAAGCCCAGCCCATGAGGACTACAATAAATACCTAACTTCAGTGACCTGAAACAGATGAACATCTCCAAGTATCAAGACAATCCGGGAAAACATGACCTCACCAAATGAACTAAACAAGGCACTAGGGTTCAATTCTGGAGAAACAGAGATATGTGATCTCACAGACAGAGAATTCAAAATAGCTTTTTTGAGGAAACTCAAAGAAATTCAAGATAACACAGAGAAGGAATTCAGAATTCTACCAGATAGATTTAACAAAGAGATTGAAATAACTAAAAAGAATCAAGCAGAAATTCTGCATCTGAAAAATGCAATTGGTATACTGAAGAATGCATCAGCCTTTTAATAGCAGAATTGATCAAGGAGAAGAAAGAATTGCAATAAGTAATCATCTGAAGGTACAAAACCCACGAGTAAGTACACAGGAAAACACAGAACATTATAACACTGAATCTGTTGTGTAAACTACTCTTATCCTAAGTAGAAAGACTAAATGATGAACCAACCAAAAGGAATAACTACAACAACTTTTCAAGACATAAACAATAGAATAGGATATAAAATAGAAACAACAAAAAGTTAAAATGCCAGGGAACAAAGTTAAGGCATAGAGTTTTTATTAGCTTTCTTTTTGCTTGTTTGTCTGTTTATTCAAAGTGTTGTTATCAGCTTAAAGTAATGAGTTATAAGATAGCATTTGCAAGCCTCATGTTAACCTCAAACCAAAAGAAATGAATACACAAAAAATAAAAAGCAAGAAACTAAATAATAGTATCAGAGAAAATCACCTTCACTAAAGGAAGACAGGAAGGAAAGAAAGAAGACCACAAAACAACTAGAAAACAAATAACAAAATGGCAGAACTAAGTCCTTACTTGCCAGTAATAACATTGAATGTAAATGGACTAAACTCTCCAATCAAAAGATATACAGTAGCTGAATGGATAAAAAATAAACAAACAAACAAATAAGACCTACTGATCTATTCACTACAAGAAACACACTTTACCTATAAAAACACACATAGACTGAAAATAAAGGGTTGGAAAAAAGATATTCCATGCCAACAGAAATGAAAAAAAGCAGGAGACGCTATACTTCTATCAGACAAAATAGATTTCAAGAAAGAAATTATAAGAAGAGACAAAAAAACTCACTATATAATAATAAAGGGGTCAGTTTAGTAAGAGGAATTTTAAATATATATGCACCCAATCTTGGAGCACCCAGATATATAAAGCAAATATTATTAGAGCTGAAGAGAGAGATAGGCCCCAATACAATAATGGCTGGAGAGTTCAACACCCCACTTTCAGCACTGGACAGATCATCAAACAGAAAATCAACACAGAAACATCAGAATGAATCTGCACTATAGACCAAATGGACCTCATAGATATTTACAGAACATTTCATCCAACAGCAGCAGAATACACATTCTTCTCCTCAGCACGTGGATCATTCTCAAGGATAGACCATATGTTAGGCCCCAAAGCAAGTCTTAAAAAGTTCAAAACAACTGAAATAATGTTAACTATCTTCTCTGACCACAAAGAAATAAAACTAGAAACTAGTAAGAAGAGGAATTTTGGAAACTTTACAAACACATGGAAATTAAACAATATGTTCCTGAATCACCAGTGAGTCTGTGTAAAGTTTTCTGTTTTTTTTTTTTTTGAGACAGAGTCAATTTAAAATTTTCTTTCTTTCTTTCTTTTTCTTTCTTTCTTTCTTTCTTTTTTTCTTTCTTTCTTTCTTTCTTCTTTCTCTCTTTCTCTCTCTTTCTTTCTCTCTTTCTCTCTCTTTCTTCTTTCTTTCCTTCCTTCCTTCCTCCTTCCCTCCCTTTCTTTCTTTCTTTCCTTCTTTCCTTCTTTCCTCCTTCCTTCCTTCCTCCCTCCCTCCCTCTCTCTCTCTCTCTTTCCTTCTTTCTCTTTCCTTTCTTTTTTGAGACAGGGTTTCACTGTATCACCCAGGCCAGAGTGCAGTGGCGTGATCTTGGCTCACTGCAATCTTCACCTCCTGGGGCTCAAGTGATCCTGCCACCTCATCCCCCCAAGTAGGTGGGACCCATGGGCATGCACCACCACACCCAGCTAATTTTTGTATTTTTTTGTAGAGATGGGGTTTTGTCATGTTGCCCAGGCTGGTCTCAAACTCCAGGGCTCAAGCAATCCACCTGCCTTGGCCTCCAAGAGTTCTGGAATTACAGGTGTGAGCCACCACACCCGGCCTAAATTTCTTAAATGAAAATTGAAGCACAATATACCAAAACCTATGGGAAACAGCAAAATAAGTACTAAGAGGGAAGTTTATAGCAATAAGTGCCTACATCAAAAAAGTAGAAAAACTTCAAATAAACAACCTAAACATGCATCTTAGCGAACTAGAAAAGCAGAGCAAAAGAAACCCAAAATTAGTAGAAGAAGAAAAAAATCAGAGCAGAAATAAATGAAATTGAAATAAAAAAATACAAAAGATTAATGAAATGAAAAGTTGGTTTTTTGAAAAGATAAATAAAATGGACAAATTCTTTAGCCTGACCAAGAAAAAAAGAAAGAAGACTCCAACAAAATCAGAGATGAAAAAGGAGACATTACAACCAAACTGCAGAAATTCAAAGAATCATTAGAGGCTTCTATAAGTAACTGAATGCCAATAAATTGGAAGACCTAGAAAAAATGGATAAATTCCTAGACACATACAACCTACCAAGATTGAACCATGAAGAAATCCAAAACCTGAACAGACTAACAGGTACCAAAATCTAAGTCATAATAAAAAGTCTCTCAGTAAAGAAAAGCCGGGGACCCAATGGCTTCACTGGTGAGTTTTACCAGATATTTAAAGAAGAACTAATACCAATCCTACTCAAACTATTCCAAAAAATAGAGGAGGAGGGAATACTTCGAAATGCATTATATCAGGCCAATATTACTCTGCTATCAAAGCCAAAGACATCAAATAAGGAAAACTACGGGCCAATATCCTTGATGAACATTGATGCCAAAATCCTCAACAAAATACTAACAAACTAAATTCAACAGCATATTAAAAAATCACTCATTGTGACCAAGTGGGATTTATCCCAGAGAAGCAAGGATGTTCAATATAGACAAATCAATCAATTTGATATATCAACAGAATGAAGGACAAAAGCCATATAATCATTTCAGTTGATGTGGAAAAAACATTTGATAAAATTCAACATGCCTTCATTTTAAAACCCTCAAAAAACTGGGCATAGAAGAAATATACCTCAACATAATAAAAGCCATATAGTATGACAGATGCACAAGTAATATCATACTGAATGGGGAAAAACTGAAAGCCTTTCCTTTAAGATCTGGTATATGACAAGAATGCCCACTTTCACCAATTTTATTCAAAATAGTACTCAAAGTCCTAGCTAGAGCAATCAGACAAAAGAAAGAAATAAAGGACATTCAAATTGGAAGGAAGAAGTCAAATTATCCTCATTGCAGATGATATGATCTTACATTTGGAAAAACCTAAAGACTCTACCAAAAAGCTATTATTAATAGAATTGATAAACAAATTCAGTAACACTGAAGGATACAAAATCAACATACAAAAATCAGTAGCATTTCTATATGCCAACAGCAACTAATCTTCACAAGAAATCAAGAAAGTAATCCCATGTACAATAACTAAAAATAAAATAAAATATATAATAATTACATTAACCAAAGAAATGAAAGATCTCTACAATGAAAACCATACAACATTGATGGAAGAAATTATAGAGGACACCAAAAAATGGAAAGATATTCCAGTTCATGGACTAGAAGAATCAATATTATTAAAATGTCCATACTATCCAAAGCAATCTACAGATTTAATGCAATCCCTATCAAAATACCAATGACATTCTTCACAGATATAGAAAAAATAATTCTAAAATTATATGGAACCATGGAAGACCCAGAATAGCCAAAGCTATCCTGAGCAAAAAGAACAAAATTGGAGGAATCACATTGTCTGACTTCAAATTATTCTACAGAGCTATAGTAACCAAAACAGCAGGTACTAGCATAAAAACAGACACATAGACCAATGGAACAGAATAGAGAATCTAGAAACAAACTTTGTGGGGAACAAGTTTACTGCACCCAGGCTCTGGAGCCAGGCTATCTGTATTTGAATCATGGCTTTGCCATTAACCTTGGGTAAATAGCTAAATCTCTGTGAACCATAGCTTCCTCATCTGTAAAATGGGGGAATAAGGATAATTCTCTCATAGGGTTATATAAATGAGTAAATGACGTGATGGATGAAAAGGGTTTAGCAATAGTGCATGGATGAGGCAGGTTAGATGTTGCAACTATCAAATCCCACAGTGTAGTCATGATGGTAAGGAGATGAGGTGAACTATGAGCCAGCCAGTAAGCATGGCACATAGTATGTCTTAGCTTGGTAAGTGTTAATTTTTGTTTTCACATGTGGTACACAGTACCCATGCAATAAAAATTTGCTGGATCAAGTGAAAAAAAAAAAGAAAAAGTTATAAAGAAGATGCTGAATTTTCTGGGAAGCCCTCCTTCCTCACTCCAAATGTTCCTCTCTCCAAACATTGTTCTTTAACTGATTGACTTTGTTGAAACAGGCACATTTGGTTATTAGGGAAATATATGGTTAGAAGCTTAGGAAATTGTGACAAAGGATTTTCCATGCTTTCAGCAATAGGAGGCGTAGTCAACCAGTGTGTTAAACTTTGTAAAAAGGAATTGCGGGACTGGTTTCGCCCCTGCCCTGCCTCCCTAGACAGAACCAAGAGATGACCGTGATTGGAAATGGTACCACTCAGCAGCTGTTCTTATTGGCTGGCTCACAGTTCACCTCATCTTACCATAATGACTACACTGTGGGATTTGACAGTTGCAACATCTAACCTGCCTCAAAATCTCTTCCTCACTTCCAGGGAGTTCCACTGTCCCTCCCTTAGTTTGGTGTAAGATGTAATCACAGCTTTAATTATTAGTTTGAGAGAAACAGGGAGGCGGTATCACGACTCCATCTACTCAGCTATGAATGAACAACCCAGCTCTTTACGACTAACTCCCAAAACAAACATCAAACCCCAAAGCATGAATAAAATAGCTATATTCATCATACAACACAACCAGGGCATGCCTCCTGTTTTTGCTCCTTGTGCAGTATTTTTACATTCATCTAAAGCTTGAGTACAACTTTTTCTGATACTTTCTTCTGACTCATGAAAGCATACACTTAATCTCCTGTAGACAATAGAGGATTCTATTTAGCTGTAATTGTGGAAAAGGCATCATCAAGGTTGCTAAGCAGCAGAAATTGGTTTATTGGAAACAACTTTCTGTGAGGAAAGCACCCCTTGTTCCCCAAGGATGTGTGTCTTCTTGTTGATTGACTTGCTGAGTGAATTCTGCAAAAGATTTTCCCCTTATACCTATGGGAGTACTGGGAAGGCAAAGCGGTAGAGAAAGAATCAATGTTAGAAAGTGGATGAGGCACTCTTAAGCAATTAAGGGACCATGTTTCTTCTGTCCAGAAACCTCTAATTAGGAAATCTGAGGCCCTGTTTGGCTGTGTGTCCTTTGCCCTGCTGTCAGGCCTCATTATGGGCTCCACCAAGATGAGGAAGGAACTCAGAGACAGAGAAGGGACATGTGTCATGCTGGGATGGCGATCAGTCAACCCAGGAAAGGATGTGGACTTAAGCTATTCCTAGTGACTTGAAGTATCACAGTTGCCACACTCATTTAGTTTAATTATCTAGACTAGCAGTTATGCTCATGGGACCATGAAGGTAAGAAAAACAGTAAAGCTACCTGTGTAAGTGTATGTGTTGGGGGAAAACCATTGGCATTTATTGAATGATTAATATGTGATAGTTTTAAGCATTTTTTGTGTACAAAAATTAATACTATTAGTTTAACATTCTTTGAAGAGAGTGTGGAGAATGTGGGTCAAGATTTCAGATTTGTGATGGAGTAGAGTCTAGACCTGCCTGTTTAGGCCACAGTGCTATAATCCTATAGTTCAAAGATTCCCAACCAGCCACATAGTGGTATGTAGTCAGTGGGTCACATGTGAGCTGAAATACTGACCCTCTCAGTCCTCAGGAGTCTAGGTAGTTTCAGTGGTCATGAGGCCACTCAGGTGGTCACGTGTGGCCATAAGAAGATTCTCCTTTCAACTTAACCTATGTAGCAGATGTTATAATTTTTAACAAATGTATGACAGGAAGTTAGAAAGTTGTGAAGCAATACTATGGTCTGTTTCCTATGTAATATGGATTGCCCTGACTTAACCATCAAGTGAATGGGATCTACATCTCTATATAAATTCTTTAGTGTAACTTTTCTGTTCTTCTGCTCGTCTAGATAATAGGATATCCTCCTCCGGGTTTTTCCCAACATATTCATGAAGGTTTTAATTAAAAAAAAATCACTACATTTCATTCATTCATCCCTTCTAGTTATCTTCCTGACCACCAATCTCACATAGCAATTTGCTGCTATTTAGTATCAATTCATTCAATCGTGGTTTGTTTAGAAAGGTCCCTGGGTGAGGTATGGGGCCTACCAGGGTGACCAGCTTGTCTCAGTCTGCCAGGAATATTCCTGATTTTAACACTGAAAGTCTTGTGTCCCAGAAATCTCCTCAGTCCTGAGTAAGCCAGGATCATTGGTCACCGTAGGTCTAACACACATGTAGATTTGTAATTACAGACAGAAAGAAAGACCCTTCTTTGTATGAGTAGGTGGTTTGGGGAGGAGGGAAGGAGGAGGAGAATTTGGCTTCATATGGATAGGTAGGTGTAGGGGTGATGGGGGTGTTTCACACAAAATAACCTCATATTTTCTTTACTGGGTAGATACAAGGTCATCTGCAGAGAGGAAGGTGGGCCGATGGTAGAAGAATTGTCACTTAACAAATCCTACTTCTTAATACATTCTTTTAAAACAACTCAACAACAACTTGGGTGCATTTATATGCTTTGCATGAATGTATTCTGCCATTTCTGTGAGGAAGCAAATTATTACGAATAACTACAAAAATGAAATGGTTATATATTTATTTTTTCAAAAACAAAAGGCAAATTCCAAAGGTATAATCTAAGATGAGGCATCATGATCACAGAGGTGCCTGTTCCCATTACTGCCATGCTTTAATCCACTTGCCCTCAACTGTCTACCATCCTCCGGCTCCCCATCCCTCACATCCTAAATAACACACCTAGCTTAAGTAACAATTACTCACTTAAAAGTGGGAAAATATGGTCAGTATTGAGGGAGTGTAGCACCAAAATCTGTATCAGTCAAGGTTCTCCAGAGAAAGTGAACCAATAGGATATGTATGTATGTATGTATGTATGTATGCATCTACTATCTACCATCTGTCTATCTATCTATCTATCTATCTATCTATCTATCTATCTATCTAAGAAGGGATTTATTATAGAAATTGGCTCATGCAATTATGGAGTGACAATATGCCACCTGCAAGCTGGAGACCCAAGAAAGCTGATAGTGTAATTCAGTCCAAGACCAAAGGCCTGAGAACCAGCGGGGGAATGCTGCTGGTGTAAACCCTGGAGTCTGAAGGCCTGAGGACAAGGAGCTCTGATGTCCGAGGGCAGAAGATGGATGTCCCAGCTGCGGAAGAGTGGAATCTGAATTGTGGCCCTCAAAGACCCACTGGAGGGCAGACACTGGCAGGCTGTGGGAGAAGCTGAGGATAGGGTGAGTGAAACTCCACACGTGACCTTGGACAAGTGCCTAAACTTTCTGTGCCTCTGTGTGTACATCTGCAAAGTGAAGTGGTGGACTTTGTGAGCCCCAAGGTTCCTCATGCATTCTAGAATTGCAGCACTTTCTGAGGGATTGTAAGAGGAAAGAAGCAGTTACAGAAACACAATTTTGAAATGCTAGGTCTTTGGTATTTGAAGCCAAGGAAATGGCTAGGGGTCTCTGAAAAAAAAATAGTATTATGAATAAGATGGAACCAGACAGCACCCTAAAAGTTTGTGACAAAGGAAGTCTCAATCCTCACATCAGAAGCAAACTTCTCACTGTATACCTTTACATTTTATAAAACATGGTCACATGGAACAATAGCTTGCAGACTGGGAAGCACTTGAACATAATAGTGTTTCATTTGATCCTCGTACACTCTTGGGAGATAGAAAGCATTATTTTTACTCTCTCTATTTTATGAACAAAGAAAATCAGTTTCCAAGTAGTTAAGGTCACAGAGCTGAGTATTGGGCTCTGTTCTTATGGATTTCTGTACCCTCCATAGAGAATGGGGTCAGTGGGGTCTTATCCTTGAGCAGCCGTGTCAGAAGTGGGAGCCCTGGGCATAGAGCCTTAGGGACTTATGGAACATACTGTGTCCTCACTAGGCTGGAGCAGGGACTATGGTTGTGGATGCCATAATTGGTCTGCTTTGGAAAGGGCTTCCTTTATCTCCACCAAAGAGATATCACCAAAGATCTGGGGGCAGCTTGGCCAGTCTATGTGCTGACTCTCTGCTGGAGCTGTCTCCTAATCAGGTCACTGCTAGAGTTCCTCTTCCTAAATGTCCCAGTGCCATGACTTTGGTGCTCTAGCTTGTGGGATTGAATCAATCTAAGAGTCCAGAGTCTATGAGGACTCCTTCTTCTCTATTGTATGCTGCTGTCTGAAGCTAAATGCTATTGTACAAGTTTTGTTGCTGTTTAGATTTTTTTTTGTTCCCAGATTATTGTTCCAAAAATAGACCTACGATATATTCTTATACATTTGAATTTAATTAAGAACCTTTTTCTCAATGACATAAATATGGTTTTACTATTTCCAGCCAGGCCAGACAAAGATGCCTGAAGACAGATTTCTAAATGATGCTATGTGCCAATTTCTCTGATCTTTTTAATATTGTAACTAAGGGGCCTTGCTCTGAGATGGTGGTTTACGATTTTGACATGCTGTCCTGTACCACTCTCTGATCACAAGGGAATACGTAGAAACTCACCAAAGCAACTGCTGTCAGTCATCAAAGTGGAGCCACATTGTCCCTTCTAACCTCATAAGGATCCTTATGGGATTCAGGATGATCACATTTTCAGTGCTCTAAGGACTGTCTCCGTATGACCCCAGCCATACCATGCCCATTACTGATGTATTTGACCTGTTGAGCCTCCAACAGCATTGCAGACTCCACTTTTTGTGTTCCAACAGGACTAAGGCCAGAAGCGAATGTCCTATTTTTTCCTGCCATTTCTCTGCTGAGCAACAGTTCACCCTTGAAGCTGCTGCTGCCTAAAGAACAGGAGAAGATTCAGGAATGCTAACAATAGTTACCTACATATCGCATGCCCTCTGCCCTTGCCCATTGTAAGAGCCTCACCACTTGGATCAGTAAGAGTCCACACTTGCTCAGTACATCTTGGTGCTCACTTCAGCTGTGGGCTCTGATTTAAACATCCAGCTCAGGGGATGCCTCTTTGGTGCATGTCATAATCAGGAGAAGAATGCTGGCTTTGGATTCTGGAACTGACTCCATTTGTAGTGAAGAGTTTGGAGAGCATCAATAATGGGATGGCAACATTCATTCATTCATTTATACCTCTAACCAGTCTTTCCTCACATACTGGTTGAGTACTCAATACGTGCCCTGTGCTTAGCTGAGTACTGTTCAATGGTGAACAAAGAAGACATGGTCTTAACTAGAAGTTCCTATTTCAACAGAGTAGCCCAAGGAACTTCAACCACTTTTGCTACAGGTGTATTAGTTACTGCCAAGAGTCTGTAAGTGTTCATGGGCCTCATTAAGCTCTGCCTTCCTTCTGCTTTTTGGAGCCTGGCCTTTGGTTGGCCTTGAATGAAGAGTGGGGCCCCAAAAGTACCACTGTCAGCACTCTCCAGGTGAGTATTATCCTGGGAGAGGCCAGGGCATGAGGAGGGCCAGGGCGTGGGGCCCTCTGAAGGCTGTGTCATCCCAGGCTTCAGCCACAGAGGTTTTATTACGGAGGAAAGCTGAGCTGTGAGCACGTTGCTAGGCTGTGGCTATTTATTTTTATAAACGAGCCTTGTGCTTAATTTAGAAACCTGCTTTTTCTTTTTCTTTCTTCTTTCCAGCATCATCTGGCTGTCTGGCACCATCAAAGAATTGCATTTCTGACCCAAGAAGAGCTTATGGGTGGATGGGGGTGGGATGGAAGCTGGGGAGAGGATTGATGCCAGCCAGCTGCCTCACAGGGTGCTGGAAACACGTGGCCATGCCATTAGCATCCTGTTCGGCTTCTGGACGAGTTTCATCTGTGACACCTACATAGTCCTCGCTTGGATCAGCAAGATAAAAGGCAGCCCTGATGTTAGTGCCTCCTCTGATGAGCCATACGCCAGAATCCAGCAGAGCAGAAGGCAATGCCACGCAGAAGAGGACCAAAGTCAGGTGCCAGAAGCAGGTGACATCTCCACTCTCAGTTCTTTGGAGGCAGCTATTTTAATAGAACCACTTTACTGCAGCTATTTTGACATGAGGATATTTTGGTATGGCTCAAAGATTCAGCCGATAAATGTTCAGCTTTTTAAAAAATAAATGATGAGTAAAATAGGCATCTTGCAGGCCATCTGTGAGCTTCACCTCAACCTTGATCTTCACCTCCCCCCCTCCATTGTCAATCTTACCTCCAGGCATCAAGGGTGTATGGATTGGTAACAGATGAAGGAAAGGACTGGTAGAGGTTCAAAATGAAAGAAATAGCAGGTCAGGACTCCAGGAGGGTTGAGGGTCTTTTAAAGTAAAACAAAACAAACAAACAAACAAAAAAACAGGGTCAACCAAATTCAGAAGTCAGGTAGAAGTCAGAGAAGGAATGAAAGATGGGAAACTGGTTATAAACCAAATACAGCGAGTCTGAATTTTGGCTTGTTTTGAGGCTGCTGTATCAAAACAGTTGTGTTGGAAGAGCTGCATGAAATTGTTGGGCAAGAAATAGTCCACTCATGATTCAGATAAGCTCATTTTGCCTCTTCCATGGTCGATTTCTGACTCATAAATGTCTATACATTTCACTTTACGGCTTATGTGAGCCTCAGTTTCCCCACATAAAATGCAGATGATGATGTTGGCCCTTCCTCTTTCCCCACCTTTTGCTCTCCTTCCAAGTGGCATGATGAGGAATGAGCCAGCATCTTGTAAACTGCTCCAGGCCACCTGGAGAAATGTGCTTGCGTAAATAGTCGGCATTAGTATACGTGAGTCTTCCATGAGTAAAGAATTTCAGAGTTGGCAGCCGTCTCTGCCTGGTGATTCATGTGGGCACGATGATGCCCTTAGCTACAATGTATGGTGTGGGTGATGAATTTGTTCTTGTCACAGCAGAGGACTGAGTATTCTTTACCCAAATGCTATAGATTGAGTTTGCACATGGGAACTAGATTAGCTCTGAAGAGAGTTGAAAGGAACCTGACATTTCTGCCTACAATCTAGAGTTTCATTGTACAAACAACCGCAGCAGCACATTTGTGCCCAACCATTGGCTCCCTTTGCCAGCAAAGAAAATCTTCTAAATTCTTCTGCCATTTGTCAAACCTGCCAAAGTCCCTGGAGGCAGTTCTGGTATAATTGAAGGTGGAGAAAGATAATATTCTCTCTACCAGGTTTCACTACTTCCTGTGTTGGTTGTTCACAAGGGGAGAGCTTCTGCATCACAGGATGAAGCTTCGGTGATTTAGATGTGGAATATCCTTCCAGGATTAGGGCAAGGAGGCCCCAGCTTCCAGAACCCTGTCCTGCAGCCTCCGCGTGGCTGGGCAGCGGCCTTCCTTTGAGCCTTCAGGGTGGAAACGAAGGACACGTGCGTCTCTGCAGCACTTCCGGCTTTCGCTCAATCCTATTTTCAGAGCCAAAGCGCCATCTCCTCTGGTACAGTTAATCTTTGTTCCTGCCACTGACCCTTCTATCTTTATTACTTTTCACCACGTCCTGGCCTTCAGATTTCTTATGGATTTGTCTCTCAGGCGTTGTGTTTTGATTCCCTCCTCACATTTACTTCCAAGTGCCAAGAACAACTTTGTTCCGGCAGAAGGATATTATTTGGCTTAAAAAGAAGAATGAGCAGTGGCTTCTCTCCATCAGCATTCTTTAGGTTTACGTGGGAATTCATTCTGGGAACCATTTAGAGTCTCCTTCAAGCCTCTCCCTGACCGACAAAGTTTCTGTCCCAGAGAGTTACTTTGCTTCCATTGTTTCTAAGTGGATGATAAGAACCTTTCTTTCTGAGCCTGTGTAGAAGGACTCAACACCCCTCCCCTCAATACTCCCCAGAGTATCCATTGGCTGGGCCCACAATGGATACACCCTGAGTATTGTTACCATTGTTATAGACTTCAGCATCAACTCCAGTATTTGGTGGTCCAATAAACCTTGAGTCCTCTTCAAGAATTGTTAGTTTTTCCCACCTTTGAGAACCACACTCACCCTTTAAGGCAGCTCTTCCTAAGTGACTGACAAACACTCCCTGGTTGAGCTGGTGGGGGCAGGTCCAGCCAACAATGGCTTCTCTGTTGACATCACACAGGCCTTAATGACACAGACTAGTCACAACAGCTGGTGCCCTCATGAGTGCCTATTAATATTTTGGGTAAGTTGTATTGCCCCATCCACCACTCTGTATAGTGATTCTGGAATTTGCTATTTGATACAAGCAAACGAAGAGATGGAAGGGGCTGTTCACCACTCAGTCTGCAAGCAAGCCTGTCGTGCCCATCTGCCAAGAGGAGTCCTTGTGTGCCTCCAAAATGGCCTGGTCCTTAACTTGATCTGCTTGGACTGATTGCAAACAGTGGCTTAGCTTCCTCTAGACCAGAGGACATTCTGTGCTCCCAAAACAGAATGCTACACATGGGAACAAGGGAAAGGGAGGCTTTGAGAGGTCAGCCAGCAAGGCCCCTGCTTCAAGCCTAAAACCAACGTAATTAGGTGAAGATTGAGCAGGATAAGGCTTTGCAAGGAACATCCCTGCCACGTCAAGGTGATCCCAGGTACGTGAATTGGCTCCTTTTGAGTCTTCCTACAACTCTTGGAGGCAAATAGGGCGGGTATTATTACTCTAGTTCTACCAAGGGAGAAACTAAGTTCTAGAAGTCAACTAAGGAAGTTATGTAACTTACTGGCGGACAGGACACAAGAAACCTCAAATTCCTGACATCTGTTCCAGTTTTTCCCATCACCCCATGTTGCCCTTCAGCAGGGCTTAAGCAAAACAGCCAACGCAAGTCCTAGCCTTTCCAGCTGGGCTGAAGTTAGAAACTGGCATGGATTTACAATGGAGTAGCTGGGGCCTGGGAGGCTACAGATAACTGCTTCTACTTGCTCGTATTGCAAGGCAAGGCTATATGGCTCAGCAGGGCTGAAACTATTTGGAGACTCGATTTTTACATGGTCATGGTGAGGGGGAGTGCAAATGAGAAAAAGGTACAACAATTTGCATTTGTGTGTGTGTGTGTGTGTGTATGCACATGTGCACATGTTTGGGCACACAGATGAGAAGACATTACTGTCATGATGGCTGTTGCAAGTGGATGGAGCATGTTCCCTTGCA
The DNA here is from genome assembly GCF_000001405.40 of Homo sapiens. Lineage (NCBI taxonomy): Eukaryota > Metazoa > Chordata > Mammalia > Primates > Hominidae > Homo > Homo sapiens. The sequence goes on along the minus strand of NC_000013.11, from coordinate 44,157,461 downwards.
GGTCATCTGCAGCTTCATGGACACACTGTAGCTTCTTACCTAAAGCTTCCACATCTCTGCCTGATGGCTCTCTCTGGCCACAGAAATTTGTTAAGCCCCATGCATGGGGAAGCCCAGAAGAGCATCAGAGTTAAAGGGGCCTGGAGCAACCCTTAACCAATGAAGGATGGAGCTTGTTAAAAAAAAAAAGTCTCCGTTTTTTTATACCCCCTGCCAACAGGAAAATCGAGGTGTTTTCCACTGAGCCTTTGAGAGGGACTCCAGAGGAAGTAAAACCCAAGTGCTCTGTGCAGCATCCTGCTCATGTACACCCCCTTTATTGGCTAACCCACCTCTCTCTATCTTGCTTCTCCAATCCCTCACTGTGTTTCTGGGGATCATATCCCCAGTAAACATGTGCATCTAGATTCCTGTTTCAGGAATTGAAACTAAGACAGTGGCCCAGTTCCTGCCTCCTGAGAGTGCCTTGTATGTGGTGGGTTTTCAGCCCCGCCAGATTCCTGCTAAGCGTGGCAGGTATGCATTTCCATGTTGAGCATTGCCCCCTTTCAGCCATTGACCAGGAAGATTTTGGCTCTGGCAGAAATAATTATAGAGTTTTTCAGGTTGGAAGAATCTCATCTCCAGGAGGACCCCTGCAGTAGTCCAGCAAGGATAAGAAACAAAGAATGAAGATGGGTGCATGCTTGTGGTCTCAACTGGGGAGGCTGAGGTGGGAGGATCACTTGAGCCAGGGAGTTTGAGGCTGCAGCGAGCTAAGATGACACCACTGCTCTCCAGCTTGGGTGACAGAGACCCCATCTCAAATAAATAAGAAACAGTGAATGGAATTAAAACAGTGAACGTTCACTAAAAACAATGCCAAATTGAAGCAAGCTTGGAGTTTTCTTGTTGAGCACATGGGCTCCTGAGCAGGTGCAGCCTCAGCTACTCCTCATTACCTTTCACCGGGCAAGCCATGCCAATAAGATCTCACTTTCACAGGGCATGTCTGGATTGACTTACTGTCTAAATTTCTCTTAGAGCTGCAGCAGGAGAGTCCTCTGCAGCATAGGAAGGTAGCATCAGAACTCCCTGGGGTAGGATCAGGTTCCTGGATGCTGCATTCCTATCAGTTCTCCGGAGTTCCAGCAGACAGCAGATTCGACTTGCAACCAAGCAGACACATGAAAGTAAATGTGCACTCCTAACATTTTGTAACCTGCCTCCCACAAAACAGAAGGCAGTCTTCCCTTTGCCTTATTCCCAGCCTTGCTCTTGACATTTTTACAGCCGACTTTGCATTTCTGACACCTCCCACTTGAATTGGCTCCTGGTCTCTCCTGGCTTGAGAATCCTAGTCACGTGACCCATCCCAGTGCACGCTCTCGGCTCTCTTTACGGCCAGGCCACACACCTCCTCGTCTTGACATTTAGGGCTTGTCATTTCTTTTCCTCTTCTGCTCCAATAAATCAGGACCAGTCAACATTCACTGCCCCCTGGGTGGTGTTTAGGGAAGCTGATACTGGGCTGAGGAGGCTTTTCTGTGTGCACGGGGGTTGAAAGCAAGCATTGCCTTTCTGCTTCCAATCTGTGGCTTTGCGACAGTGAGAATGAAACCCTGGGCAGGAGCCCAAGCTCCATGTCCAGGCGTCTTGTCTGACTTGTACAAAGCTGAGTGCTCAAACCAGACAAAGCAACAATGGCCTGCTCCTGGGTGCTGCCTTGTTTATGGCTCAGACCTGTGCCGCTGCTTTAGCTCATTCACCTCAGAAGGTCTGGTGTGGAATGGAATGATCAGCAGCCCGAGAACACAGAGGCTGTGCCAGTTCTGGCCCTCCCTGCCTCCCATACCACATCCTGGAACGTGGGTTTAATCCAGCCTAGAAGCAAAGGGGAAGCAAACCTCTTGAGGAGTGCCTAGTGGCGGGTGCTAAGCGATGCCCTTCAAGGGCATGAATGTATGGGAGGATAAAGTCATCAGAAAGAGAGAAAGCAGAAAGCAAGGGAAGATAGGAAATGGGAGAGAGCAAAATGAGAAAAGAGGAAAATGAATACACAAAGTGATCAGTAGGCAGAGGAGTAGCTGGCTGCCACTTACAACTCTTTGAGTGGCACTGATGCCATTTGTTATCCATCCCTGTTTCAAAGTGGGGTCAGGAGCTAGTGGATGCATGTGCTCTCTCCAGAGAAGACACACAGCTCAGATTTTCAAACCATGTTGCCCCCCATGGTTCCCTATATTAGAATTCAGCACAACTCTACTTGCTCAACTGTGAGAGGTCTTAACCAAACGGTTTGAAGCTGCTTTATAACAAATAAATAACCTGTGCAAATGTAAGATGATATATTTTTCCTCCTGTTCACCACAAGACTTGAATACACATTATCAGCACAATCCCCAAAGGTAATTTTAAGATGCAGGTTTAGAAGATTCTTTTCAAGAGACCATGACAGGTAGGCTGAGCATAATGTCTGGCACATAGTAGGTGCTCAATAAATGTCTGAAATTGAGTTAGTGAATGATTGAATATGAGAGACAGATCAAGAAGAATATTTTAACAAGAAGATACTTCAGTATTTAACACTGATACTTTTCAGAACATCTGATTGTTTTTGTTCTGGGCCTCACGGTTTTAAGGATGAGTGAACTTTCCAAGTGCACACTCACTGGCTGGCCTGTGATCACACACACATGCGCCAGGGTGCTAAGTGCAAGGAAGATTTGGACAATGCACAGTAATGGTGGAGGTTGAACCTGGCCAGGAGATTCTGGAGAGGTCTCTAGAAAAGCAGGTTCCAAAGCTGCTGAGGTCTCACCAAGCAGACCAGGCCCTGGAAGACAAACATAAAGATAGCAAAGGTATATGAAACAGCCTATTGTGTCAGAGAGGTGCAATAGTATGGCTGGGTCAAATTGGAGTGTGTGTGTGTGTGTGTGTGTGTGTGTGTGCGCGTTGGAGGGTGGGGCAACCACTGGCCTTTTTGGTCACCATGGGTTTTTCAGCGCCTTCTATGTGACCAAACACTGGCATTAGTAGGTTTCCCTTCTTTAGCTCTTCTGGGGGAGCTGAAATCCCATGTATAAGCTATTGCCTTGTCATGGCGGAGGGTGTGAGTATACTCATGTCTCCCTAAGGCCTCATGGTTTATGGTAGAGGACAATGATCTTTTATCTTCAAATCGCTTCATGGTGCTTATCTGGTTTCTAGTCTGTATTTCACTCTGCTGTGAACTACCTTGGGGAAAAACCTTCCTGCTTTTTGAGCACAGTGAGCACAAAACAGTTTTACAGAATGGATGGGTGCATGGGTGGACAACGGCCGGAAAAGATAGGTGGCTGTTCAGAAACCTACGAAAGCCCTTAAGCTCTGCTGTTCTCTCTTAAGGCAGCAAAATTCATTTTTTATCATGAGTACTCTTTGTTTATTACTAGCATTGCAAGTTCTCCCCTGAGGCGCAGAGCCCAGAAGACATCAGCGTGGAATGAAAAGAGTCAAGGATGGAGCCCCCACAGGACTTAGCAAGAATGCCAAGTAAGGGCTGTATAGGAGGGTGGCCAGCACAGGCCCTGAGGCCTGGGAGGAAGGGGAAGGGCTTGGAGGCTTTGCAGACCCTCAGACTCTTGGGCCTCGAGCAGTACCCGCAGACACAAGTCCTAGTGCTGGAATATTGTGCACACATCTGCTGCAGAATGCCTTGGGAGCCAAAGGATTTGATGAAGCTCAAATCAGAGTAGATAGAAAGCAATTATGTTTTTGCATCCTCAGCTCCTGCCACCCTGCACCTCCCTGGGGATGCACTTGTGGCATTTGGGTGTTTTTCTCACAAAGGCCTGGAGAGAGAAAAACATCCAGTCACCATCTAATAAATTATCCATTATGTCACCGCTTCTGCTGGCCTCGTTCTGACACTTCTCCCCTTCTGATTGTAGACAATAATTACCCTCTAATTGCTAAGATAATCTTGCTTATGGAGCTACAGCAGCAATGAAAAGCTGTTGTTTGTTAGGGCTCATCCTGAATGTTGATTTAAGCTGAATTACACCTCAGTTCGATCTGAAGAGCAACCCCCAGTCAAATGAGGCAAGGTCTTTGGAGACCTGGAACTGGGTGCCACAGCATGTTTCTAGCTTCTCTCCTGGCCTAAGAGCTACAGAGCTACACCTGACTTGAGAGAGGTTACTTATCAGCCCCTCCACAAACAGGGCCCTGCAGTGGGATGGATCCCTTTGTGTCTGAGGGCCACCCACCCGCAGTGGATAGAGAATGACTGAAGGAAGGCAGAGAGTGCACCCAGTGCCCCCCACCAACAAGTGGATTTCTCTGCAATTCAGATTGGCCTTTGACTCTGTGCCATTATGTCTTTCTTCAAAGCACATAACTGAATGGCAGAAAAATATCACAAATCATTAACGTAATTAGTGTTTATTGGACACCCCATATTCACATTGCTTGGTGCTGGATGCGGTACAGCCTGAGAAGCTTATTTCCTGCAACATGAGCACAGAGTCTGTGTGGAAGGCACGGGGCATATATGGAAATCTGCGGCAGTAGTATTGGACACACTAACAAGCATCAATTTTCAGATGGGGTAAAATGGAGGAAGAGCTTGAGAGAATGCCTGAGTGTGAGCTGAATGGCAGGCTTGACAATATACGTCACTTAGTTGATTACTTCATTTATCTACCTCTATTTATTGAGGACCTACTAAGTGAGAAGTATGGAACAAGGCACCAAGAATTTTAAAAATAACCATTGCCCAGACATTTTGAAGAGCTCACATTCTGCTGAGAATTGAAGTGTGAATATACTATATAAATGATTGGAATACAATATCCATGGAGAGTAGGGAGTATTAGGAAAGCATCAAAGAAAGGCTGATTGATTCAGCCAGAGGAGATGGGAGCTAGCTTTGAACTGGGCCTCGAAGGGTTGGTGAACTTTTGAAAGGTTGGCTGAAGGCATTTTTGGCCTGGAAGCTGGAAGGGCATGGAGTAGTTAAAGTAATGTGAAATAGTTCTGTGTGACCAAAGAACATCCAGGGCAAGGCATCGTGAGGGGATGCAGCTGGAGAGAGGCTGAGAATAGCTAGTTCTGAAAGCTTCTGAGTGTCCTGTGAAGGCTGTGGGCTTTACATAACCGGCTTTAGGTAGACAGAGGGCATAGAGAGCCTCACTCTGGCCGGTGTGGAGGGGACTGGATGAAGGGAGGGAAGGACAGGGCCAGCAAGGCCTGCAGGAAAGTGGTCAACATTACTGGAGTTGCAGGAAAACCTTTCAGAGATGCATGGGAGATGGAGTTCATTCGGCTCTTGTGTTGCTTTTCTCTCTTCAGTGCCTTTGGGGTACCCCTACACACAGTTGTCTTATAATTCTCCTAATTTTCTTATTCTGGAAGACTTTCCATATATTTCTCTTGGGCTCCGAGTTCTATCCTCTATTTCTGTAATGTCAGGCTGTATGACCAGTTTTGTTTTTGGTTGGGTAAGAGAGACCAGGGTGCACACTCAAGTTAGTGGAAGTTTCCCACCACAGGCTGGACTCAACCTGAAGTCCCTTTTTATGGCTGAAACAACTCTTTTCAAGTTGATAGATTCTCACTCGAAGTGGAAGTTATTTGCTTAAGGATCTGGACCCCTTTCTACATACTCCATCAGAGATGCTAATCATTTAGGGGTCAAAGGTCAGCTAGCCTATAAACACAAATTTATTGGACATCTGCTGTTTACACATCACACTGCTATTCCAGGTTGTGTTCCAGAAAGAGTCTAGACTCTGAGTCTCTGCGAAAGTCCTTTTAATCCCTTCCACTGCCAACAATGCTTGCTGCTGGCTTGGGACAGCCTGCCTACGTGCTGTTGCAAAATGAATCTCTCTTAAAACACTCACAAAGCCTGACACATGTCAGTCAGTTGGACTGCCAGCACCTGCCAATGGACACAGAAACAAGAGAAAGGCTGGTCTCTGGACTGTTTTCCAGATAATAAATCTAGCCATATGGAGGAAGCAGCCTCTCCTTTGGAGATGGTAAATCAATTTCCCTAAAAACAAACAAATCTGCATTTCTCTGAGCCTGTTTTTCCCATTTCCCAAAGTTAATATATTCTGGATAATAAAACAAAAGGAAAATAATAGGTTGATGCAGCACCTTCTATGTATGTGATTATCTGTAAAACATCATACTGGGTACTATAGGCTCATAAAAAAACCAAGGCTTGGCCTCTGACCTCATGGACCTTATATTCTACTTGGAGATGTACAGAGCTGGATTAATACATTTAGGGGCTCCAACCTGAAATGATTATAGTCCTTCTCACCCACATACAGATAATTTTTTTAAAAAAAACCAGAATTTATGAGTAAGCAAAATTTCTGCATGTTCTTATTGCAAAACTCTGGTTAAGCTAATTGAATTGAAGATGAGCTTTTCTCATGTTCTAGTACCCTTGTTTTGTTGGTGTTCTAAGCATGGGCTTCATCTGCCTACTAGTAACCCGGATGGGCCAAAACTATGCACATCGGAAGCTGTAAAACTGTATATACCAGACGATATTACAATAAGAAAAGTACATGGTGGGTCCCTGTGTCATTCAGGGTTCTCCAGAGAAACAGAACCAACAGGAGAGGTGTGTGTGTGTGTGTGTGTGTGTGTGTGTGTGTTGAGAAAGAGGGAGAGAGAGTTTTATTTCAACGAATTGACTTAAGTGATTGTGGGGGTGGCTTGAAAGTCTAAAATTTGTAGTGCAGGCTGGCAGGCTGGAAACTCAGGAAGAGGTGAAGGTACACTCCAGAGGCAGGATTTCTTCTTCCTCAGAGAAACCTCAGTTTTGTTCCTAAGGCATTTCACTGATTGAATGAGGTCCACCCATACTAGTGACAATAATCTCCTTTACTTAAAGGCAAGTGATTGTAGATGTTAATCACATCTACAAAATATTGCCATAGCAACACCTAGATAAGTGTTTGATTGAGTAACTGGCTATAGCCTAGCCAAGTTGACACACAAAACAGACCATCACAGTCCCCAGTAAAAGTGTAGACATGAGCACTGTGGATGGTCAGAGGTGGGAATCTGACGATGTGATAGCTGGAAGGGAATTTAGAGATCACCAAGTTTAATCTTCATGCACAGGGAAGGTGCCTGCCGTGCTTGGTTTGTATGAAGTATTGAAAACAGGCTTTCCCAATCTAGTAGCATGTTTTATATGAGGGATTCAAGTGGACTTTTACAGAGGCATGGGGTCTGGATTATTTCTTGATTAAGCGTGGTGAATCAGAATGTACATAGCAGATGTCCAAATAATATTTTTTAATTAGATCACATTGGATCTAGGCCTGAGGCTTAGTCTTATCCTTTGAGGAAAGGATCCAAGACTATCATTTCACTGATATATCCCTAGGGCCTAGCGTAGTCTTGGTACGTAATAGGTGCTCAAAAGCATTGGTGGAATTCATGAGTAGAATGAATGCATGGAATTCAGGCCAGTTGGAGGTGCAATATCCTGATTCTATCATAGGAATGTAGACACAGAAAGGAAATATTCTAAGCACTAATCTGAGTTTCATCTGCCGGATGGAAATGCTAGTATATTACCTTTCTAACAGGTGTATCCAAAGGAGTATCTGGGCAAATACATATATTTAGCACAGCACTAGGCATATAGTAGGTGCTCAATAATCGGTAGTGATTACTATGACAATATTTCTTTTTTTTTTAACTCGTTTTTTTCATTATACTTTAAGTTCTGGGGTACATGTGCAGAACGTGCAGTTTTGTTACGTAGGTCTACATGTGTCATGATGGTTTGCTGCACCCATCAACCCATCACCTACATTAGGTATTTCTCCTAATGTTATTCCTCCCCTACCCTCCCACCCCACAATAGGCCCCATTGTGTAATGTTCCCCTCCCTATGTCCATGTGTTCTCATTGTTCAACTCCCACTTATGAGTGAGAACATGCAGTGTTTGGTTTTCTGTTCTTGTGATCGTTTGCTGAGAATGATGGTTTCCAGCTTCATCCGTGTCCCCACAAAGGACATTAACTCATCCTTTTTTATGGCTGCATAGTATTCCATGGTGTATATGTGCCACATTTTCTTTATCCAGTCTATTATTGATGGACATTTGGGTTGGTTCCAAGTCTTTGCTATTGTGAATAGTGCCGCAATAAATATACCTGTGCATGTGTCTTTATAGTAGAATGATTTATAATCCCTTGGGTATAAGCCCAGTAATGGGATTGCTGGGTCAAATGGTATTTCCAGTTCTAGATCCTTGAGGAATCGCCACACTGTCTTCCTCAATGGCTGAACTAATTTACACTCCCACCAACAGTGTAAAAGCATTCCTATTTCTCCACATCCTCTCCAGCATCTGTTGTTTACTGACTTTTTGATGATCGCCATTCTAACTGGCGTGAGATGGCATCTTACTGTGGTTTTGATTTGCATTTCTTTAATGACCAGTGATCATGAGCATTTTTTCATATGTCTGTTGGCTGCATAAATATATTCTTTTGAAAAGTGACTATAACAATATTTCCCACAATCCAACTCTGGTAGATGCTGGAGGTGCCATGCCCAGAGCACCTTTACCAGCCGTGCACCCATCCTCCAGCTCTGGGTACTGACTTTCAATAGCTCACAGCTGCCCACTTTTCCAGAGAATTGCTCTCTACTGAAATAAGAGCTGTGTTCACTAGGAGGTTATGGTTCCTGCCCCCAGGGATAGCCCACAGCCAATGACTAATCCACACAGAGAGACAAAGGGTTGGCCAGCTCCATAGCTCAAGGTGATCAGGCTGCAGCCAGTCGCCAGCTGAGCTCTCCTCTAGCTTTTCTCCCTGCCTATTATGCTCCTCTCACTCCTTTTCTCCTGAGAGCATGAGCTCAGTAAATCACTTGACCAAGAGTCTTCGTTTTATAATCTGCTTCTAGGGAACCTAACTTAAGACACTGTTACTTGGAGAGAGCCGCCAATTATTTGTCTGTGCAATAATGAGCCATTTTCTGGTTGTGATTCTGATATTCAGACCCCTGAGTGAGTCTCTGCCACAGAATGTTCCTAGCTAGAAGAAGAACATGGCCTTGCAACTGCAGCTGGCAGCTGGCACTTGGCTCATCCACAGCTGATCTCCTCAATCAGCAAGGCTGGTGTACTCATCTTCTTTGTGTTACATTTTGCCTAATTGTGCCTGGCCAAGTCAATTCAATCAGCCTAGCTTGTTCCGTAAACCAAATAATGACAAGTTCAACCATCAAGGTTTGAATTTCAGGGAAAACATTCACTCACTCACTCACTCATTCATTCATTCCTCCAACAGTTACGGAGTGTTGTCCACAGAGCCAGATACCGGGGATGTGGCTACTAACATAGATAAGACATGCCCTCTGGGAACTCACAGTCTGGAGGGAGAAATGGACAAATAAATAGGCAACTGCAAAGGCGTTTGTGATCCATTCTATAATATGATGCTATGAGAACACAGAGGAGATGAGCCAGGATGGAGGTCAAAATGGCTTGTTCTTCATTGTGGTTGACCTAAACAGAAATAAACAGAATAGATATCCCCTAGCACACTGCAAACCAAAGTGGTTACTTCAGAGTAGAAGGTGTCACATGTACAAAGATGTGTAGTTTTAAGCACAAAGAATGGTTGCCTAGTGATGGACAGAATAAAGAGATATAAATGCAAAAGGACTCTGCCTTCTGTGTTATTACTGCTGTAGCTTTTCTCCCACTCAAACACTCACTTCCTGGGACTCAAAGAAAGTGCAGCTGAATTCGATGGCTTTTAGCTGGGGACTGGCTAGATCAGTGGAAATCACAACCAAGTTCTCCCACTGCCTTTCTATCCAACAGCACTGTGGATCACCCGCAGACAAGGTGAGGATGCAGTGGTCTCACTGCACGGCTGCCTTATTGTTGCTTATTCCTCCTGTGCCATTCATCAATCTACTCTGGCAAGACATGCAGAGGTTATAGCCTAATTATGAGGTTAGGAATGTTAATTGTTCTATGTTGATATTAGTGTAGCTGGTGCTAATGGGAAAATAATTACTACTCTGTGCCTTTATGGCCATTTTCATTGCCCTCTTGTGGTTTTGCAGTTATTTGGCTATAGATGGTAATGACTTAATATGTGGCTGCTATTATTGCTGTGACTATACAATTGGGAGAGTCAGAAAAGAGGAGGTGTTTGGGAGAAGTTGGAGCCTTTTAAATACTTTTACTTTTCTTAAGTTGTTTTTTTTCTTTGCAAGGGGTTTTCTTGGGCAGTAAGAATGTAAAATTCTAAAAATTCCAGTGTTTCGGTGTTTCAAGGACCCCAAGATCTTATTCATAAGTCAGCTGTTGGTGATTATGTGTTGGGCTCTGAAAGATAAGGAGTGCTCCTGGTCTCTCTGAATGCCACCTCCCACCCATTTTCCTGAGCTGTAGGCCCAGAGGTCAATCTAGATCTCTCCATGTCACTTATTCTACAGTGCCCCACCTCCAGTCACTCTCGAAGCGCATCGATTGTATCCTGAGCATCTCTTTTCTGTTGCCTCCTCTCTGGTCCTGATCACGGCTCTGCTCATTTATCTTTTCCTTGGACCACTGATTGGCAACCACCAACTTACCGGTCTCTGCGCCTCTATTTTCAGACTCCATTTTTCGGTTCCTTATTTAAAATCCTCCAATGGCTCTTCATTGACTGCAAAATAAAATACAAACTCCTTTTCAAGACACTTCAAGAGCTAACCCTTGTCCACCTTTTTAACTTCTTCTTCCACATTTCCTTCTCGTTTCCAATAGCCCCAAGTAGCACTCATTATTTGTTCTTCTTCAGGTACATCGTGCTGTCTCCTCCCGCCTCCATGCTGGTGCATATGCCGCCCTTCCTCCCTGGAATGCCCTCGTCTTCCAGAGGCTGCTTCATTTGAGAGCCTTCTCTGATTCATCCAGGCAAATTAACAGATAATAACTGTTTTAGCTACTAAATATTAAACTCTCTCAAGGCAGGGTCTATATTTGTCTTATTTACCACTGTGGTCACAAGCCTGTTATATCATCTGGCCTATGGAGAGTACACACTAAATATTCAAAATAAGGAACTGAAAAAGTCTCTATTATGGTTTGGATATGGTTTATTTGTTCCCACCAAACACATGTTGAAATTGGATCCCCAGTGTGGTGGTGTTGGGAGGTGGGTCCTAATGGGAGGTGTTTGGGTCATGGGGGCAGATCCTTCGTGAATGGCTTGTCATGGGTCTCACCAAGTGACTGAGTTCCTGCTCTGGGGAGGCTAGACTAGTTCTTGTGAGAATGGATTAGTTTCCACAAGAATGGGTTGGTATAAAACCAGGAGCCCCTTAGGTTTTGCCTCTCTTCACAAATGTTCGCTTCCCCTGCGACCTTCTCTGCCATGTTTTTTAACCCAGCACGTGGTTCTCACCAGATGCTGAGCAGATGTTGGCACCATCCTTCTCATACTTCCCAGACTGCACAGCTGTGAGCTAAATAAACCTCTTTTCTTTATAAATTACCTAGGCTTAGGTATTCTATTATAGCAACATTGAACAGACTTAGAAAAGTCCTCAAGGCAACACATACTTTTGACATCTACTTAGACACACAGATTAAAAGGTTACATAACCACATCTCTTTCTAGAGATAGGTTGCAAATGAATGTTTTCATCCATAACATTTCAAGTAATACATTGAAACCTCATCAATTCAGACTAATGGGAGCAGGAAAGAAAAAGTTTCTTTTAAATTTGTGGTATATTTCAATTTCAGGCTTTTTTCCCCAGGCCAGTTTATTTTGACATCTACCAAGCACCTACCATGTGCTAGGTATGGTCCTGGACACAACACTGGCTATATGAATGTAAATACGACATGGTTCCTGACTTGGAGACGCCTAAAGCCCTTTGATAAATGCCTTTCTGTAGACTTAATATACCTATATTCACTCTAAATATAACTTGTTTCTTTAAATCATATGGTTATCTCTGCCTGGTTTTGTCTGGAACTTTCCTTCCTGCCTTTCCTATTTGGTTAATTATTACTTGTCTTTCCCACATCAAAACCTTCTCTGGCTAAGACCACACCTCTCCTTCTCTTCCTCCTTTCCTTCCCCAGAATCATTCTCTCTGTTCCTCTTCTGTTTCCCCAGGGCCCTCCCTATAGCCTTGTCCACTGCACCATCCTCACTCCTTTCCCACTATTCTGTGTGTTCCTTCAGGGCAGTGACCATCATTTTATTCTGTCTTTCTAGCACAGTGACTGACACATGGGAGATGCTCAATGATTTCTGATATTGTTACAATGAATGAATAAATAAATGAAACTAGAATTTTTAACTGGAGATCCTGCAAGCCTCTTTTTAATGAATTGTTTATAATTGGGAACACTCACTCCTAGAGACCTAGGCCCCCAAAGTTCCTCATTCTCCCCCAGTCAACTAAGTTAACATCTCTTAGAATATCTTATTACCTCAGGATTTTATTAGATTCAGCCATAGGAAATTGCTATGTTTTGTGCATCAAAAACAGCTGAACATCAGCACATCATACAGTTCAAACTAATACTTAACAAATCTGCTCAATACTAATGGTGCCAAGGTGAACATCAAAGTGTCCATATTCAAATGTTCTAGGTTCCAAATGAGAAGACTGGTTTCCTTATCTCATTCTGGGTCTCCCTGGCTTATGTCTCCAAAGCTATTCAGAATGGTCTGCTAAGCCTGCTGCTTCTTTCAGCTTTCCTGACTGGGTCCACAAATGCTTAGAGAGCTGTGCAGAAATCATCCTTTTTAGAGTCACTTATGAAAGGTTAGCACTTATAGCCAATTAGCAAAAGCCCAGTACAAAGCAAATCTATAATAATTGTCTTTGCATACCATGTGGCACAATAGCTATTATTCATGCCATAGAGAGAATATCCAGTTGTTGGATGGAGGGGCTTGGGAAATGGTAGTTTGGTGAGGTCCCAATCTTGCTGGAAAGGGAGTCACATTGCTTGTCCTTGGGCCTTTAAGTCTGCAGCCCTGCTCTTGTCCTATATGGCCAACCCTCCCCACACCTCACCCCAGGACCAAGCTTTTGTGAGCTTCACAGCCTTTGCTGGAGACTTTGCTCCATTTCCAAAGCAAGTGGTGCCACTGACTCTCAGCCTCTTGCCTCATTTCCTGTCTATCTCACGTTCACCCCTTAAATCTCACAACCAATATTTCTCTACAGGAATCACCCTAGACTTCCCTCCTTCATGGAGACTGCATTTTCTCTGGTCACTCAAAATATCATTTCAGGATGTTGACAGATCACTTGGGACCCAACCCCCGCACTACTTTTACTTGGCTGATGTTGTCCAGTGCCCCTCTCTGTTCTTTACCAGTCCCAGAGAAAATGATTGAGAGCTAATTGATCCAAAGGGGCAGAAAAAGGGATGAGAACATAGGCCTGCCTCCCAAAGGATCTTCCTTTTGCCATAGGTCAGGTTCAAATGTCATATAACATTGGTCAAAACTCAGCCTCCACTCACCCCTCTCCTCACATCTCATATTCCCCAGGCTGACCTGGAAAGGTGGAGGAAAAGAAGGCAGAAGGGAGAGATGAAGCCCAAGAACCTGAGTATTTTTCTCAGGCAAGACTCAGGACTGCTCTGGACATTCAGAAGCTGAGTGTGCAAGTGTGCTGTGTAGTTCAAGGCCACCACCACTGAAGAGGCCAAGGACACCTTAGTAGGAATTCTAACCTGGCTTCCAGGGAGAGGTGCTTCCAAATTGGCCCTGTAGGCAAATTCACTTTTTTCACCCTCTAAGCGAGTAAGTGCTTGTTCCCAATTTCCATGGTTTAGTCTTCAGTTTCAGTCTTTGGTCTCCTCTGGTCTATCAGCTCCCATCTCTCTCCCAGTCTTTTTCTTTATTCTGTGACACCTGTTGAATGAGGCACATAGGGTTTGTAGTCACTGTAGTGTTCCTTGTGGTTGTGAGGTAATAGGCTAATATTATCACTTTCTCAGAAAGTCTTCAAAATTATCATGAGGAGGTGATGCATTCATCTGCTGGGAGGTGTCTGTGTGGTCAGATAAGATGATGGCTACATTCCATTCCTATCCTGTCATTCAATCATTCTTCCTCCAGGGAGCCACTGAGGGACGTGATAGTCCAAAGCACTCAGCTAAAACGGAATTGCAAACATGGTACCCACAACTTTGGTTTCTTATCATCCATTTGTATATCTGCATGTAGTCTGTCTCTGATTTAGGGTTTAGGTTCCTCTGTATTTTTTTTTCTTTTCCTGCCCTTTGAGAGTTTAATAAAAGCCAGAAGCATCTTGTAAATGGTGACACAAGAATCATTATCAAATACACCTCTTGCACAATAATATATAGTACAAACATTAAGGTGTGTGGCTTTATCAGCTAGATTGCGTGAATGTAAAACAGCTCCCACATTTTTTAGCTAGATAGGTATTTAACGTCTCTGTAAAATGGGAATTATAATAGGATGTACCTTAGTGTTCACTGTAAAGATTAAGTGACTTAATGTATACAAGCACTTACAACAGTCTCTGGCAAATAGATGACAAAATATATATTATCCATAACAGATGTGGTGGAAATATTTATTATCTCTCTTAAGAGTGTTCCTCTGCAGTTTAGAACTCAGGGACCCCCTTGAAGATGCCCCTGGATCTCCCGAAGTCTCTGGACCTCTAAGAATCCCTAGTTTAGCAGAAAGAGTCCCAGACTAGAGGTCAGAAGACCTGGGAATGTTCATAGCCCCATACACACCATTAAGAGCCGACCACGGGCCAGTCCTCTTACTAGATTCTGCTGTCAGTTTACGAATTCTTCACCAGTTATGCAAGGTGGCTATCTTTTCCCCATTTCACAGACGAAATAAATTCAGAAGGGTTTAACGACGTAGTTAATGCTAGGAGCAGAAAACACGGGTCTGTCCGAGCCACTGTTAAGATCCTCCTTTAAAATCCCGCCACATGGTTCTGAGAGTCAATCTCTCTTATTTCTGTCGGCGTCAAACAGGAATATCACTACCTTGCCCACCTCACAGGGTGAGATTCCAACTAGAAAGTGTTTATGCAAGTCCGCCGTGGGTCGCGAAACGGCGGCTGCCGTCGGAACTGCGATGCCAAACACAGTAAACCTCAAGGACAAGCGAGCCGAGCCGAGCCGAGCCGAGCCGAGCCGAGCCGAGCCGAGCCGAGCCGAGCCGAGCCGAGCCGAGCCGAGCCGAGCCGAGCCGAGCCGAGCCGAGCCGAGCCGAGCCGAGCCGAGCCGAGCCGAGCCGAGCCGAGCCGAGCCGAGCCGAGCCGAGCCGAGCCGAGCCGAGCCGAGGAGGCTTGGGATCCCTCCTCCAGGCCCGAAGCCGGAGTCCGGCGCGCGGCTGAGTGGCAGGTGCACTAGCCAATAGAGCTGGGGGAGGCGGAGCGGGCGGGGCTGCCCTTTGGCCGCGCTCGGCCTTGTGGGAGAGCTAGTGGCTGCTGGCTTGTGCGCGCCGGTCTCATCGCTGCTGAGGGTCAGCAGAGAGCCGCGGCCTGTGGGGCGTTGTCTAATCCCAGAGCGCTGACTGCGGGCACCGAGAATCCTGGCGTTAGTCCAAGGGGCCTGGCGAAATCTCGTTAACGAGTACTGCAGGCTGTTGGTGAAGTCACGACGTAGTGCCAGTGGCCTCGTCCCGCTCTGCTCAAGGGACCCTCACAGGCTGTGGAATCCGGGCGTCGGGACCTCCGGGGACCTGGGCCTTCTGCTTCCACTCTCATTCCTGAATGTTAAAGGGGCAGGGCCGGACCGGTAACAAGGGAAGGCTGGAGAAATAGCAGGGACGGATTTTCCTCCCGGAAACACATTTGCAGGCCTCCTAGAAGGAAAAATCTAGAAACAGTGGGATTGGGGAAAGAACGACGTGGCGGTTCTCATGTCTTGATGGGATCCCCCTTTGCCCTTGGGACACCAACATCTCTCACCTGCTTTATCGTCATAATCTTCTGACTGGATTTCCTGCCCCAAGATTTGCCCATTCCTGTCAGGCCCACTCCAGCCCAGGGTGATTGCTGCCAAATGCTGCTGATCACTACATTCCCCAACTTAAATACCTTTACAGAGTTCCCCGTTGCCCTCGAGACAAAGGCCTGACACTGAACTTAGCTCTTGAGGCAATGGAGGTTCCGGCTTCCTGATTACTGTTCCAGCCCCATTTCTGACCACTTTCCACTCTGTTTCCCCCAGTCAGGGGTTTATGAGATTAATAAATGGATGAACAAGCTATTTCTAGAAATATCAGCAATATTATCAGAGTAAAAGGAACCATTATAATCTGAATGACGATGAAAACCTATTGTGCTCATGTATCACTTCAGATGGGGAAGTCAACTCTGTCCTGGAATCCAGGGAACCTGAATTCTTATGTTTGCTCAGCTACTAGATTTTTCGCATAATCTGCCACATGTTGCATCCAGTCTTTGTTCCTTAATTTATAAAATAGGGCCAGTGAAGGAATGTTTTCTATACTCATATCTTTATCTTTATGAGCTACTTCAAAGATAAATCCAACAGAACAGGGAGAAGCACTTTACACATTCAAAGTATTACTAATGTGTAACAAGATAGACGCCATGATACACACCATGAATTACCTTTAAAATCCTTTTCTGGGACACATAGAACTTGCACTTTATATATCATGTAAGACAGTGGTCCCCAACCTTTTTGGCACCAGGGACTGGTTTTATGGAAGACAGTTTTTCCACAGACCAGGGTGGAGGTGGGGAGAACGCTTTTGGGATGATTCAAGCACATTAGATTTATTGTGCCTTATTATTATTACATTGCAATATATAGTGAAATATACAGCGCACCATAATGAAGAATCAGTGGGAGCCCTGAGCTTGTTTTCCTGCAGCTACACGGTCCCAACTGGGGGTGATGGGAAGCAGTGAGAGATCATCAGGCATTATATTCTCCTAAGGAGCGTCCAACCTAGATCCCTGGCAGGTGCAGTTCACAATAGGGTTTGCACTCCTATGAGCATCTAACGCTGCTGCTGATCTGATGGGAGGCAGAGCTCAGGCGGCAATGCAAACAATGGGGAGTGGCTGTAAATACAGATGAAGCTTCGCTTGCTTGCCTGCTGCTCACCTGCTGTGCGGCTCAGTTCCTAATAGGCCATGGACTGGTACCAATAGGTGGCCTGAGGGTTGGGATCCCCTGATATATGATACCCGAGGTTTATCTTTATATCAGGCATGCATTTAAAACACCCCACAGATTTCTTTTCTTACGGCTGCATTTGAGGAGCAGCCTGGCTTATAAGCCTTGACTACTTCTGCTCACCACCTGTACTTTAAATAGAAGGAGCCATGGGGGCCTGGAGAGAAGATGTAGAAGAAGGTATTAGCTAAGGAACCCAGCTTGGATGAGGTTAAGATGGTTTTGACTTGAAACTTTAAGAATTAATGGCCACAGAGGAATTGGAATACCATGAAAAATATTAGAATGTGGAGTCATGGGCTGCTGTAGGTCCTTGCTCACACCACTGTCTTAAACACCTCATTTTCTCTACCTTCAGTGCCCTTTCCCAATCTGGGGTGCTTCTCTCCCTTTCTTCCCCCAACCTCCCAACATGCATACATTTTTCACTTAGCTAACCCTTGGGAGATATAATACATGTTGCATGAATGAATAAAGAAATGAAAAACTGATAGATGGATGAAATGGACACCATGGGCATGAAACCAGAAGATCTGAGTTCTTTCTTGGATCAGCACAACAACCTTGTGAAATAAGTGGGGCAAAAATTTATGGTGCCATTTTACAAGTGAGGAGACTGAGGTTCAGAAAGTTAAGTGACTTAGTTGAAGACACTTAACAAAGTGGCAGAACTGGCCCTTAACCCTTAGGATTTTTTTTTACTCCCACAACATCATAATTCTTGAAGGCAAGAAAGTCTTAATTTCCACATTTTCAACTGAAAACAAGCCTTCTTTAAAGAAAGGAATGTATACACACCTGTCTCCTTCAGCACCTCCCCACCTAGGCAAGTGATTGCAGAGGCAAGCCAGTATTCACAGGCTAATTTTACAGACAAGTCTAAATGGAAAGTAGCACCTGTTAGGAACATACTCAAGAAGAACTGGACCTCATGAAATTTCAGCCCACTTTTGTGCACTCTTCTAGTGGAAGACTTCTGCACAGTTCTCTGTGTATCAACAGAGTCTGGTTTCATGGCAGGGGAGGAACTGAAGGAGGAAAGAAAGAGAGAAATAATACAGCATATTTTTTCAGAACTATTTCTCCAGAAACACTGAATAATTCAAAGGGCAAGGGCAATTCAGTGATCAGAAGTGCAGCAGTGAATGAGCTCTAAAAAATAGAACCACTCTTTAGGTCTCCAAGGGACAAGATAAATGAGAAACTTTGGGCATGAAAATGTTGATGTGAGCTCATACGCCTCACCTTTTTTGCTTGCTGTGATTCACATCTGTTCCTATAGACTGAAGCTACACTTCCTAGGTTTTGAACCCTGGCTCTACCACAAGCTAGCTTTGTAATGATTCTTAACCTTAACTTTGCCTATTCCCATCTCATAAAATGGGGATAATAATAATTAATACCTCCCTTGTTGGATGTTGTGAGAATTAAATGAATTCATTGATATGAATTCCCTTAGATCAGTGTCTAGCACATTGTTAATGGTATTGTCACTATCTTCATTACAGCTGCCTCTTGGTAATTGAAACAGAGCATATACTTTTAAGATAGTTATTTTCAACGGGGTTTTTAAAAAGAGGGAAAGATTGGCCAGATCATCTGAGGTGCTTTTACACATTCTGGCTTTCCTCCCCCATTTTCCATTTCTACCCTCCTGGAAATTAAGATTGTTTAGGTCTGTGAGCTGGGTCTGGTGGCTCACATGTGTAATTCCAGCGACTTGGGAGGCTGAGGCTCTGAGAGGATCACTTGAAGACAGGAGTTTGAGACCAGCCTAGGCAACATAAAGAGACACCCATCTCTCAAAAAAAAATTTTTTTTTAAAGTTAACCAAGAGTAGTGACACATGCCTGCAATCCCACAATCCCAGCTATTCAGGAGGCAGAGGTAGAGGATTGCTTGAACCCAGGAGTTAAAGATTGCAGTGAGCCGTGAGCATGCCTCCGCACTCCAGCCTGGGCAACGGAATCAGACCCTAACTCTAAAAAAAAAAAAAAAAAGATGATAGGTCTGTGATGGGGCATGGGCATGTGTATTTAGAAAAGGCAAATATGGGCCGGGTGTGGTGGCTCACGCCTGTAATCCTAGCACTTTGGAAGGCCTGGGTGGGCAGATCACAAGGTCAGGAGATCGAGACCCTCCTGGCCATCATGGTGAAACTCCATCTCTACTAGTAATACAAAAATTAGCTGGGCGTGGTGGCATGTGCCTGTAATCCCAGCTACTCGGGAGGCTGAGACAGGAGAATCGCTTGAACCTGGGAGTTAGAGGTTGCAGTGAGCCAAGATCGCAATATTGCACTCCAGCCTGGTGACAAAGCAAGACTCTGTCTCAAAAAAAAAAAAAAAAAAAAGAAAAGAGAAAGAAAAGGCAAATCTGAAACGCTTTCTTTCATCTTACCCCTAAACCTAATATCCCACCAGAATCCCAACTTGAAGAGATTTCTCTGGAGACTAAGAGGTATTTTTACTTTATGAGGATTACCAGTGTAGTATAAGCTTGGGCAGGACACGCATATGTTGTAAAGTCCATCTGCCTGTCTAAGAAGAGCTGTATTGAAACCACCTCAACTTGTGATTCCAGTTTCCTTTTGCATTATGGATATGCTGATGAGATAATATCATCTCAAACTTAGAGATGATATTATCATGATGGCACTCTCTGGGGAAAGCCCTAGTAATTTAAAGTTTGATAATATGCTATTGTGTGTGTTACTCTGTAACTGACTTTTTTTCCCACTTAATAATCTATGTGGATATCTTTCTAGGTTCATGCATATAGATCTAACTCATTCTTTTTTATAGCTGCATGATATTCCATAGTAGATATTTCCCATGCTTTCTTCAAACACTTCTTATTGCTAGAAATGCAGATTGTTTCCTACCAGATTTTTTTAACCATGGGGTATCATGTTGTAATAAACATGCTTGAACATATTTTCCTGTGTACTAAGTCATGCTTTTCTTTTCCCTTAGGATGGAATCACCAAAAAGTATAATCATTAGGTCACTAGATGTGCACGTTGGCAATTTTCGAAAATATTGCCAGAGAGATTGAAATAATTCACCACTGCCCCTCCTCCAGCTTCTCCTGGGCATGCCACATACACTGTGGGAAGGGGAAAGGCTGACCTAGAACACCTTCAAGTGGATGCTACAGTGAGTATGACAAGACTATGATTCATGGTTTCTGAAGTGTTTTGGATTTTATGGGTCAGCTAAAACCTCATTTAATAACATGCTGTCTGCCCTTTGCTTAACATAACTGTATCCATGATGTGGCTGAATTAACCACCTACCATTTCACAGCCATAAGTATCAAGCCACCCTTCTTCCCTATTTCTAGTTTTGTATGATAACCTGCTTGAGGGAGAGAGGGAGTGGGCGGGAGTAGATGCTAAAAAAACTGCAGGGGTAGGAAAAGGAACTGTGGGAGGGGAATTCACGTACGCTGAACCCAAAGACCCTAGGAGAGATGACAGGGAGCAGGATAGAATCTATTTCCTTATGTCTCTCTCTGCTCAGAGACATTTTCAGCATAATAGCTGTTGACTTCTGTAACACCCTTCTGTAATCTTTTGCAAATCCAATGGACTCTGTGTTGTCACACTTCATCAGCTGTGTTATAATTTCCAATAACTAGCACACAACTGATGTCCTATCCCTGAAAAGCTGGCCCAAAATAAATGGCTCCAGGGGGCTTAATGATAAATCAGAGGCATTATGAATGGATTCTGAAAGTATTCTAAGTCAGGACAAATCCTCGCTAGAATCCAATTTGGCTGTTTCATTACCAGTTCTATCTCCCGCATGCAAAAAGATGATAAATAACATTGTAAAGATGTAGATGAGATTGGCTTTTGTGACCTAATGTTTCTGGTGAAGAGAGAAGTACACGTTGTTAAAACAGGAAAAATGCACAAAATCCACTGGCAACAGAATATTATAGCCTTCATTTTTGAATAGGAATCATTTGTGATTTTATTACCTCAGAAACAAAGACCTGGCTGCTTTTGCATTTTGTAGTGGTTTAATTAACCTTTAAGTGTGCACAGAGAGCTGGTACACCTACTCTACAAACTAAAAGCCACATGAGAAAAAAGTAGAAAGTTGCCAGATATTTCTTACCGACCCAGACTAAGATTCTGTAGGGGCATGTATCAGAGTAGTGAGAGCACAGTTTCCAGGACCAGGCTCTGCAGGATTCCAGCAAGTGAGTTAACCTCTCTGTGCCTCAGTTTCTTCATTTGGAAAACAGGCTAATAGTAATTTGGACACCATTTTTTTTAAGTGGCAATAAGAGCAACCAACAGATAACAAAATGGGAGAGGGTGTATGGACAAAGAGGGAAAATTTAAGAAATAAATCTACCCATAGTGATCATTAAGAACTGTTAGGATTTGGATATCATTTTAGTGGAATGAATGTCTATGTAGGATGCTGGAATTTACAGTATAGTGTAATCTTTCTGTTCGTGGTTTTTGGAGTTAGACAGACCTTAGTTTGAATCATTCCTCTGCCATTTAGTAGCTGTGTGACCTCAGTTTCTTCATTCACCTTATGAGAATGAAATGGAGGACTGTATGTCACACAGTACATACCCAGTACATTGCAAGGGTGCAAGGCATGGCAGTTATGACTATTATTGCATTTAAACTGTTTTGGCTACTATGTATTGACCCCTGTATCAGTTTCCTATTGCTGGTGTAACAAATTGCCACAACCTTGATGCCTTAGAACAACAGAAATGTATTCTCTCACAGTTATGGAGGCCAGAAATGTGAAATCAAAGTGTCAATAGAGCCACACTACTTGCAGAGGCTCTAGGGAAGAATCAGTCCCTTGCCTCTCCTAGCTTCTGCTGGAAGCGTTCCTTCCTGTTCTTTGGCTTGAGGCTGCATCACTCCAGTCTCTGTTTCTGCCTTCACATTGCTGTCTCCTTTGTGTGTTTAACTCCCCTCTGCCATTCTTTCATAAGGACACTTTTGATGGTATTTAGGGGCCACCCAGATAATTCAAGATTATCTTCTCATCTCAAGATTCTTAATTTAGATGTATCTGTGAAAACTTTACCATATAAAAGAATATTCACGGATTCTGAGGATTAGGGCCTGATATCTTTGGGGGCACCACTCAGCCCACTTCAACCCTTGCCAATGTGTCAGACTATGTGTCAGGCATGTCCAGGGATATCTCTCATTCCTAGCTGAGGAAGGGAGGAAACTGAAAGGAAAGCAACCATGATTTTATTTAACCAGAATGCTAAGAGTAAAAGACAATATTTGTCAGTAGAAAACAAAGTAGTGATTTGTTTCTGTGCTACTGGATCATCATCTCAAACATCAGCAATGACCCTACATAGGTGATAATAGCATAGAGGTGGAGACCTTGGATTCTGGACCTAGGTGGCCTGGGTCAACAAACCAGGTGTGCCTTGTATTAGGTGTAACTTTGGAAATGCTTGATTTCTCTACGCCTCAGTTTCTTTATCTGTAAAATGAGTTAGCACCTATCTCAATGGGTGGCTACGAGGACTAAATGGGGCCTAGTTCACAGTAAACACTATGTGAGTGTTAGCTGCTATCATACTTTTCTGTGCATACAGGTGGACAAAAGTCTGGGGACCAGGTTAAATACTTGCTACATTTCTGCAATAGAAATCTCCACTATCTGCTTCCATTCCTTTAATTTCATTAATTGCTTCTAAGAGCATTATGTAGACAACATTCTGCTTAATTAAGAATCATGGTGGCTGGGAGCAGTGGCCCATGCCTATAATCCCAGCACTTTGGGAGACTGAGGTGGGCAAGGAGGTCAGGAGTTCGAGACCAGCCTGGCCAACATGGTGAAACCCAATCTCTACTAAAATCACAAAAATTAGCCAGGCATGGTGGCGGGCACCTATAATCTCACCTACTCAGGAGGCTGAGGCGGGAGAATCACTTGAACCCAGGAGACAGAGGTTGCAATTAGCCAAGGTGCACTCCAGCCTGGGCCACAGAGCAAGACTCTGTCTCAAAAAAAAAGAAAAAAAAATCATGGTTATGAAATATCCATTAGTTGAGATTTCCTGTGTGATTATGCACACTAAGAGCGTGCACTACATGGGTAGATATATGAAAGGGCGGATACAACTTTGTAGGGACTGAAACTTATATAATATGGGGGCCCTCTTGATGAAAAGGAATACAAAATCACAAAAGCAAAATTAGATAGAAAAGTGAATATTAGCTGGGCACAGTGGCTCAGGGCTGTAGTCTCAGCTGCTCAGGAGGCTGAAACAGGAGGATTACTTGAGCCCCGGAGTTCAAGTTCAGCCTGGGCAACATAACAAGACCTCATCTCTTAAAGACAAACAAAAAAAGTGAACATTTACTTAGAATGAGAAGTGAAAGCATAACAAATCACTTGTTCAATGATTTGAAAGGCAAAAGGTCATGAAAGGCAAATGAAATGGAGATTCCAGGGGCTGGCCTGTGCATACGTCCATGGTGTAGGTGGTTAAGAGCAGCAGCTTCAGAGTGGTCTTGATGAGGTGGAGGACCTGATTCACACGTCTCTCCCAGACCAAAGTCAATAAAGTTAAATCCATTCATCAATAAAGGAGATTTGTTACATGTAAACTGCAGCAATTTCGTTTGTTTTCCTTTTTTTAAGACTTCATAGATATAAATATTTACAGATATGTCTGATCCTACATTCTAATTTGGGATCAGGAAAATACAGTTGTGTGTTTCCTGTTAATCATAACCTTCATCTAGAAAAGGATTCTTCTTCAGATCCTGGGTCTTACCTGGTTGGGGAAGGGAGCCTGGAAATGTGGGCCTGGGATATCAGGTCAAGATTACAGTGCCTTTACTGTACAGCACACTTTGTTTTGATCTTCTTCTCCTTCTCTCCCATCTCTCTCATGTGTGTGAGTTTTCAGATGTTGTATGGCTGACAGAGAAAGTATGTGTGTAAGAAGACATGTGGAGAGTCCTGACCCTGTGGGCTTCTCATGGTCTTCTGGGCAGTTTGGAAGAGCTAAAGCTATTCTTTTGAGAAAGCATTGTCCTGCTCAAGGACAGGGAAGGGTGCAAAGCCTATCTGTATCTTCCTCCCATTTCTTTTTCTCACTGTCTTCCTCACTTGTCCTTCTCTCCCTATACTGGAAGCCTACACAAATACTCACTAATTGAGATCTCTGAAAGATCCAAAAGCATGAATAGCTAAGGGTGGTAGAGTTTTGGCTACTGTAACAGGAAATGGGAAGTTCAATGTCGGGGGCCGTGGGATGGTCAGCTTCCGGGCACTTATCAAATGACTCAGGCTATGCCTGCCCACTCAGCTTACTCACAAGGCCACTACTGCTTTTGGCAACAAGCTGACCCCTGTATTGGGCGGTGCAGCTGGCCAGCTCTGCCAGGCCCAGTGAGAGTGACATGCCCACGCCAGCCTGTTCACACTTCCTCCTCAGCCAGAAACTGTGGTGCGTAGAAGAGTGTTGTAGATTCCAGTGTAGGACATCATAGAACTAGTGCTTCCTGAAGCCAGGGTTCATCTAAATGGATCAGGGAGGTGCAGAAAGGTAGGAACAAAACTGACATCAGCCCCATGATGGCAAATGAGACCCGATTCTGCTGAGTGACTCAGAGTTTCATCTTGTTAACAAATATATGTAGCAGCCATTTATTCAAGTATTCATTCAATAAACAACTCAACATATGCCAGGCACTTTGCTGGTGCAAAAGATATAAAGTTCACATGTTCATTTATAAAACATATGAATATATCAGAAATAATACAGTATAATGTGATAAATTCTGTAATGAAAGATAAATAAAACTTTAAGTAAGCCAAAAAATAGCAAAGATTAATTATGTGTATCTGTATGTGTGTGTGGGTTCTCATTCAAACCAGGGAAATGTGATTTTTTGTTTCTTAAGGACCTCAGTGTCTCCTGCCAGTACAGCCCCTTTCCCGGTAAGAACCAGCTTTCCCCTCCCACCTTGCCATCAGGGCCACCTTCTTCTAGTGCATTTTGAATGAAAGGGGGTCATCTTACACCCACTCCTGAGGTGAAGTGGCCTGTGCTCCAGCCTTTCCTCCATGACCGCCTCTTCTTAGTGACCACTCACAGCTCCTGCAGTTACTGTCCTATCCCTCCTTCCCCTCACCAGACAGCATCTCATGTCTTTTCTTCCCCAAATATCCCCCCACACAAAGCTGCCATATGTAAAGACTTATGGGAGGGCTGAGGTTATGGAAGGGGTCACAAGATGATGCAGAAGGAAAACTATTTAGAATAAAAAATCAAATGCCACCGTTCTTTAAAATGCCATAGCTATCCTCACCTCAATAAATATCTCACAGTCCTTCTTGAGCCCCTCACCTGCCACATGCACATGACCCTCGTGTCTCTCACCAGAGACCACTGTTTGTTCCCAGCGATGCAGTCCCTGTGGTGTCTCTTTGTTTCCCTGAAGAAAACTCAAAATTCCCATTACTTCATTCAGCAAAAGTTCAATAATTCTGTGTCCCAGCCTCTCCGGGTCAGACTCAGACCTCGTGTGCATAAATCATGGCCACACCTTGATGTCTTTTCCTTTGAGAAGCTTCTCCCCTAGATGCAGAACAGCAGCTGTCCTTTTGTTGTTGATGATGTTAAAGCATTTTGTTTTCATTGTTGTACACATGAGAGGTAGAATGAAATTAGTCTGTAGACCAGAGTCTCCTATGGAGTCCCCCATAACCAAGGAGGTGTGGGGAATGATGCAGAGCCCAGGGAAGGCAGGGTCCAGAGACGGATGACTGCTTGGGTTAAAGTTTTGCCTGTGAGTCAGGGAATGTGTTCTGACAGTCTTCTTGAATCCTACCACTCTTAAGTAACATGGATTTGATGTTTTCTTTTTTACTTCAAACCTGTGGTTCTAAGCCATGAAAGGATCCAAGGGCTACCGCAACACGGCAGTCTCCCAGTGTGATGTGGATGGCAGATGCTTATGTACATCCCACCTCCTCGCCCACATGGCTTCATCTGTTTGCCAACTCAGCATGGCCAAGTAACCTGTTCACAGTGCTTCAGATAATTCAGAATGAGAATAAGCCAAAGGGGAAAAAAAGCAAAGAAAAACTTTCTTTTGTGTCAATGACCTAGGCAATGTCGGGATTTTTTTTTTCAACTTAGATCATCCAGAATTTGGACTTGGGTCTTTTTGAATCGCTTCTAGGGATTTTTTTTTTTCTCCTGTTTTGGGAGATCATTCTAGCCCATTTGAAGGGCTGTGATTTCAGCACCAGCTGGGTTCCCTATCTTGGTTAGGTGTCCACTCTTTCCTTTATGGCTGACAGTTGTCCCCTTCCCCAGCACACGGCAGGAAGGGGCTCTCCTCTGAGGCCACTGTCAGGTCTGGGCATGTTAGCTCCCTGGCTGCCTGCCTGGCAGACATTACTGCCACACAGGGCCAGGGGGACACTGGGTTGAGTGGGCAAGAATGCTGGTGGTGGTAGCACCTGGGCTGCAGTTCACCATCTGGGACAGAACAGTGAGATGGAGCAGCCATGAGCAGATGGAGGGTGCACATCCATGGAGACTCAGTATGTGTCAAATACAGCCTCGTAAGGAAAGGGCACAGGCAGACACCGAAAGCAAGAAGGTTGTCACTTACAAGCTTTAAGAATCCAGAGGGAATTCTACCATGGAGAAATGAATGCAAAGAAAGACGCCTAAACGAAAAGAGGCAATGAATCCAAAGCTGAGACCAATAGGCAGCAAACAACTTGCAACTCAAAGCCACCAGCCTTGCCTTCCAGCCCTCCCTGATCTCCCCTTTTCCTGAACATGTATCACATTTTCCATCTTTATCACTTGTCTTGGCATTTACATCATACCCTATCTGACATTGTTTCCCAACTCTGGTCTCATGTGTATCCATTATGTCTTCATAGCTTAACTATGAACTCTTGGAGGGTGAGAGCATGCGTGACAACTGGCAAAAGGTATGGAGAAAACCAGTTTTTAAAACTCATATGCTTACTATATGAGAAATGATACAATTTAGCCATTGCGTTGTAAGTTGAACTAAATTGAGTAATAGTTATCATAAAAAGCAAATTGGCGCTATAAAAAACTATTCTCCACCTAATTTTTTGGTCCAAAATTATTTTTAAGGTTTTTATAGGAAAAAGTTTTAAACATAAGCTAAAGCAGAGGGAACAGTATAACTAGCCCCTATATAAGCATTATCTAGAGTCCAGAAATTTTAATTGAATTTTTCACCACTTTTGCTTCATTCATCCCCTTTTTAACCCAGAGGCATTTAAAAAAAACTCTAATTATAAAACCCAGATATGTTATTTACCCCTGTATACTTCAGCATGCATCTTTTAAAAATGTGGACATTTTCTTTAATAACCATAATGCTTTCATCCACTTAATGAGCATCAACTTAATATTAACAGTAGTTCCTGGGTATCATCTGAACTTGTCAATTGTCCAGAACATCACTGAAAAGAAGTCCTGTTACTCAGCCCTGTCACAAGGAGCCATGCTGGGAACTGACCTTGATTACACCTGAGGCCAATTCTTACTTGGTAGTAGTAGCAGAATCTGAGATTCATAATCACAAGCCCTTAACTTCCTACTCTCTGGCCTGGCCGCAGGACTGGCCTGGAGTCCAGCTTTCTGGAGAGAGGCTGCCAGGTTTCAGATAGCTGATGGTGTTTAGAGGGGTGTGTGTGTGTGTGTGCACCTAACCTAGGAGCCATCTTTGGGGTTATTAAGGTACGAATAGATTTCAGGGATGAGGGATAGAATTCAGGTGTCTGTGAATTTAGATGGGAAAAAAAGATACCTCTGAAGTTTTTACTAACCTCTAATGGAAATTTTAAATCTCTTTCAACTATGATGATAGGCAGCAAACTGCAGAAGTAGTTGCAGTATCTGTGACTGTCACCAATAGAAAGAAAATTATTTTAATATCACATCACATTATTGCAGGTATTGTCAAATATTGTGAATACTTATTACTTTGAAATTTTGTTAATTCTTTTCTCACCTCTAGATCTGGTTGTGGAACATGTCAGCAAAGAAACACACATATTATTAGATCACAAACTTGTTTTTGTTTCTACAATTCGGATAACTGTATTTCAGTATGCTTTGTTTCCTTTGTAATTCCATGTATTTTATTTTACGCATTTTAAAACAATATTCTGAAAAGGAGTCCGTAAGCCTTTACCAGATGGCCAAGGAAATTCACAGCACAAAAGGCAAAGAACCCCTGGGATGGAGCCAGCCTGTGTGGAGATGCCCAGAAAACATCTTCAAGGATTGTTCCTTGATTAATTCATCAATTTCTTGAACATAATAACCAGGGGTGAGAAATTGGCCCCTATAAGGAGTTCGGAAGTTGCAAGCGCCATGTGACAGCCTGTCTCCAAAATGACATTGCTCCTTGTGTTGGCATATGAGTCACAGACTTTGGCCAGCTCTTCTGAAAAGATGCTCCAAGTACTCCAGAGTACTATAAATATCCAAGGTATTAATAGAATTCCTCCCACCTCAAGGCTGCAGTTCCTCCCACTGCCTTCCCGCTGCATATTGGGCACATGTGGGGAGGACAGTTGGAGAAGCTCAGCTCACAGGCAGAAGCCTATGCGTTCTGTAGCCATGACACTGACTTGCCGTCCTGCGCGTGGGGAGAGGGAGGGAAAGCAATTTGTCTAAACTCCCTTTTCTGGAAAATGAAAATGATGCTACTTGCCACCTACCTCACAGAATTTGAAGTTAATCAGTACAGTTTATACGCGCAATCTTAGGAATATCACATTGTCATATCATAAAAAATTTACCAAGCTCTGCTAAATGCAGAGGGTAAAACTGACCAGCTGTTGCCAGAATCACATAGATCCCTATTCTTTACCTGAAAATTCATCAATCTTGTTTGCTTCTCACTGTCTAATGACTACTGGCATTATGCAATGAACTGCATATAATTGCTTATACAGTATATAATTGCCTTATACGGTAACATATCTTTAAGTTTTCTAATCAAGATAAAAGATCCTTTACAGTTATTTTTGCTTCCTACGGCCACAGCAATTTATCAGCCCTTGAATTTCACATTCACATTTGGTGCGGCTTTTGGCAGGGGTATGTAAATAACAATCAAACATTAAAAACAGGCTGGTAACTGTTCACATTAGCCCTAAACCGAAGATGATCCAAATGTCCATCAACAGTAGAATGAATGAAATAATTTATGATACATCCCCACAAAGGCATACTATACAGCAATGAGAATAAATGGACTATTGGCTATTGGCAAGGCCATGTATCAGTCTCACAAATATAAAGTTAAGGAAAAGAAGCCAGACAGTAAAGAGAACCCATTAAATTATTCCATTTATGTAGAGTTCACAAACAGGCAAAGTGAGCCTGGGGTGTTAGCAGTTAGAAGCGGAGGTTACCTGTGGAGAGGGAACAGTGGCTGGAAGAAGATATGAGAGGGTTTCTGGATGTTAGCAATAATTCTGTTTTTTGACTTGGGTGCTGGTTACTTGGATGTAGTCATTCTGTAAAACTTCATTGAGCTGTACACTTAAAATTTGTGCACTTACTTTTCTGTGTGTATGTTAAACTTCAAAACAAAGATTTAAAATTTTTAACAAAGAGAAAAGAACAGGGTACAAAAAATTGTTTTCAAACGCTCTTCTCCAGTGTATATAGCTTCTTGGAGAACTGGTGATGTTTGAAAACAATGTTAAGAAATCTGAAATTCTTGGGCAGTGCAATGGCTCATGCCTCTACTACCAGCACTTTGGGAGTCTGAGGCAGGCGGATCACTTGAGGTCAGGAGTTCAAGATCAGCCTGGCCAATATGGTGAAACCCCTTCTCTACAAAAATTAGCTGGACATGGTGGCAGGTGCCTGTAATCTCAACTACTAGGGAGGCTGAGGCAGGAGAATCACTTGAATCTGGGAGGCAGAGGTTGCAGTCAGCTGAGATTGTGCTGCTGCACTCCAGCCTGGATGACAGAGTAAGACTGTCTCAAAAAAAAGAAAAATCTGAAATTCTTAATTCGGATTTCTGGTAATATGAAAGTCACCAGAAAATAACCTACCCTGCCTTCTTTCCCTCCTTGGATTATAATCCTCTTGATTGACATATTTGTTAACCTTAGTGGGCAGATGTCATAAAACCAACCAGGATCTGTTCTAATGACTTGTTAAAGTGGCCTTAAATAAAGGGAGCTATGATGAGGGCTGCCCTACTAAGCGCTTCGCCCAGGGGGCTGGGTGATGATGTGGGTTTTGCTCTGACAAGGGCACTCAGCTAAGCCAGGGCAGTCAGGGCTGAGACCCGCTCTTTTTCGGCCCCTGTGATGTGTGCAGCATGGGGCTGGGTCAGCGAGATGAAAGGGAACCTTGTTCTAATTGGTCAGCAGAGAGGGCCTTTTTTCGCTAATTGGTAGGCCCAAAGTGGGTGCTGTTTTCTAAGCAGGTCTGCTTGTGTCTCCTACAGAGCCCTCTTTTTTTCATCACTTCCACTGCTGGGCTCGTGTTGGCCTGGAGCAGTGTCCCTGACTCCTCTGATTGCCTGCCTTCTATTTTCCTGCTTGTACATAGGAGGCCTCTGGGAACCACCTTCTTTCTTGTACTTCTCCCTTCACTCACACAACACACACCAGAGCACAGCCACAGCATAACCATAGGTTGTTTTTGTGCATTGTTGGGATACAATGCAGGAGCCCTGTTTAGGAGTCATTGAAACTCGGTTCCTATCCCAGTGCGTGGTGTTTAGAAGGAGCTTAATAAATATTTTTTCAATGAAGGAACTGCAGATTCTTCATACCTTTTTTGGCCTCTTGGGGTATTTGTTCTGAGTATCAGTGCGGTATAGTGGAAAGGGGGGATATCAGAATCAGAGCCCATGCCAGAATCCAGCAGGTTGCTCTTTAGGCCCTGGACAAATTACTTTCTTCCTGTCTCAGTTCCTCATCTGAAAAATGGGGATGATACATCTTCTTTGCAAGGGGCTGGGAAGGCTTACAAAAGCAAAACATATGTCGTTCCTTGAACAATGTTTGCACATTGCACTGCATGTTCTTCATTTACTCACTCATTCAATAAACATCCTATAAAGTTGGAATCAATGCCAGAAACCAGCCTGGCTGCAGTGATGCATAGAACAGGGTTCCCACTCTCATTGAGTGCAGAATCCTGTGTGGGATATATTTGTGATCATTAAATGCAAATAAAAAGTTCTTGTGGGTCTTATAATAGAAATACGTGCAGGGTTATATATCTGTCTATCCATCATTTAGCTTTCTAAGCATCCATTCTTCTATCTATACATGTACGTAATTCTTCTATCAGTATCTCATATGGTTTAGATCTCTGTCCCCACCCAAATCTCATGTTCAGTTGTTATCCCCAGTGTTGGAGGTGAGGCCTGGTGAGAGGTGTTTGGATCGTGGGGGTGGTTTCTCGTGAATAATTTAGTACTATCGTCTTGGTGCTGTTTTTGTGGTAATGAGTGAGTGAGTGAGTGAGTTCTTGCATGAGCTGGTTGTTTCAAAGTGTGTATCACCTCCCCTCTCTCTGTCTTGCTTCTGCTTCCACCATGTGAGACGCCTCATTCCCTCTTTGCCTTCCACCATGATTGTAAGTTTCCTGAGGCCTCTCCAAAAGCAGAAATACTGTGCTTCCCGTACAGCTTGAAGAACCATGAGCCAATTAAACCTCTTTTCTTTATAAATTGCCCAGCCTCAGATAATTCTTTACAGCAATGCGAGAACAGACTAATACAGTATAAGTATATAATAATAATAAGTACTATATGTGTGTCTATTGTTATTATTAATATTGTTATAATTCTGTACATAGAACGGTGACTGCTACAAAAATACCTAAATATATAGATGTTCATATTATGATTATTTCTGGAGCATAGGATTTGGGGTGGATTTTTGTTATTTTTTTTAATATTTTCTATATTGTTTGAATTCTCTATCAACAGGTATCATTTTCAAAAAAACACTGAAATACTAGAAGAGGGATGTGAACTTATTAAAATATAAAAATTTTGAAAACCTAATCAAAATGAAAAAATATTAAATGCCAAAACTGACATAAAGAATAGGACACTTGACTAAACCAACAGATTTTAGAGATTAAATGCAATCAATGATCTCTCCTTTCAAAAAATTGTAAGCCCAAATGGTTTTACAGGTGCGTTCTATCAAACTCTTGAGGAACAACAAATTCTAATCTGTATTCTAAATTATTCCAAAAGAGATAGAGCAAAAGCTACTGAGTTCATTTTATGATATTGGCGCAATCAGATGGACATTTTACAATGATGGTGTTTTACAAAGAAAGAAAGAAAATTATAGCTCAATTTCTCATACTCAAGTAGATGAAAAATATCTTTTAAAATATTAGCTAATTGAACCCAATGGTATGTTTTAAAATAATACAGCTTGATTAATGAATGATTCCTTATTAGGGATTCTGCCAACAAAATTAAGAACATTAGTAAATTAAATTTTTTAAAATCTCACAATAATTTCAATTGATGCAGAAAAAGTACTTGATAATTTCCTTGCTTATTTATGATAAAAACTCTTAGCAAAGAGTAGAAAAGGATTTCTTTAATTCCCCTAAGTGGATTTTGGTTATATTCCAAAACCTCCACAAACATTATAGTTAATGGAGAAAGTTTAAGTGCATTCCTGTTAAGACAAACATTCTCACTGTGATAAGCCACTATATAACACAACCAATACTATACTGTTGGTAATCCTAGCCCACATTGAAGGAAAGAAAGATAAAAATGGTGATCGAAAGGAAGAAATTAACTGTCAGTGTTTGCAGATTTTATATACATCTACTCAGAATAAACAATAGGATCAACAGCTAAACAATAAAAACTTGGTGGACATTTGATCAAACTATAAGAGCATTTCCAACAGCAAGCAAATATAAAATGTAATTTTTTAAAAAGCAAGATACCATTTACAATAGCAACAACAACTAAAAATATCTGGTAATTAAACAAGAATACATACAGCCCCCTTGAAAAAACTTAAATATCCTAATAACACAGAAAAAAACCTGAATGAATGAGAAATATTTCTTATTGCTACATGGGAAGATTTAATATCATAAAGATGTTAACCCTCTCCACATATATCTAGTAGGCACAGTGTAATTCCATCAAAATTCTAGTCTGAAATTCATCATAAGTTTGTTCTAAAAATGTATGTAATGTTGGGTCAGTAGAGCATTTCAAAACTTAAACAAAAACTTCAAAAAAGCCATGTGGTATAACATTGATTCTTGATATATATCAAAATTAAGTTTTTTTATTATACAGAAAGACGCATGACATGGATAACATTAGAAAGACATTTAAAAATAGGGACAGAGACTTATAATGTTCAAACAGATGAGGGATTCCTATCTAGAATATACACGAAGAGACCAGATCAAAGAAGAAGTCAAATCAAACAAGGTAAAGAGAGTAACTTCATTTACAGAAATGGGCAAAGTATATGAACAGGCAATTTACAAAGCAATAAACCCCAAAAAACGAACAAATCATAAGTACCTCAGCAAATTAATATAATAATGAGATATAATTTTATGCCTATTTGGAGAACATTAGCAAGCTGAATAACTCCATGTGCTGGGGGATGTGGGAAAATGTTCTGCTGATAAGAATAAGAACTTGGCACAGCCACAGGGAAGCACAATCTGTACTGCTCAGGCAAAGTAAGAATACCTGTGTTCTATAAACTGGCAAGATTGAAAGGAGGGTAAAGAAACGAGAGGAGCTGAGAAAAGAATGAGGTTTCTGGCATAAGTGAGAAGGTAGATTCAGGTGACTGTACCTAAGATAGAGAATGGAGGATGAGGAGGAGCTGGTTTGGGGATAAAGATGATGTTTTCCCAAACACTGCATGTTCTCACTTATAGGTGGGAACTGAACAATGAGAACACTTGGACACAGGAAGGGGAGCATCACACACCAGGGCCTGTTGTGGGGTTGGGGAGGGCGGAGGGATAGCATTAGGAGATATACATAATGTTAAATGACGAGTTAATGGGTGCAGCACACCAACATGGCACATTTATACATATGTAACAAACCTGCACCTTGTGCCATGTACCCTAAAACTTAAAATATAATAAAAAAAAAGAAAAACAAACAAAAAAAAACTGTAGAAAAAAAAAAAAGATGATGTTTTCCATTTTGGACCTGTTAAGAATAATGCATTTATGGGACACGAATGGAAATAGTAGGTGCTCAATGAATATTAACTTCTTTCCCATCAAATAAGTTTCCCTTTTCTTCTGTGTTTAGGAAAGACAGAAGCTTAATTTGTAATTTTCTCCAGTTTAAATTCATAGGTTAGAGACCAATGTTTCTATTACTATTCCTCTCAGTAATAAAAAATATATAACACTGATTTTCAGATTATCAAAATTTTAAAGCCGTAATTAGGAACTAATGGAACAGATACTCCTATTTTTTCCAGGTCACCTGATGTCAACATTCTTGGGAATTTTTTTTTTAAAGAATACTTAAGAGATATCATTTCAGATTGTAAAGCTCATGTTTTTTACTGCCAGAAACCCAGATTTTAAATACCAGCTCTGTTAGCATGCTATAAAATTTTGGGCAGAATACTTTCAACAAATGGGCTAATAATAATTACCTTTCATAAATGTAATTAGAATGAAATAAAATCATATAAAATGCCAGACATAGTAAATGTGCCATAAAGGCTAGTTATTACCATAGGCCCTTACCTTCAATTATTACCTTATTAATTCTATATTTCATAGAGTAGTCTACACCAGCACTATCTAATAGGAATATAGTGCAGGCCACATACGTAATTTTAAATTTCTAGTAGCCATATTAAAAAAGTAAAAAGAAATAGGTCGAATTGATTTTAATGATATATTGAATTTAATCCAGTATATACAAAATATTATCTTGTTAACATGTAATCAATATAGTTACTAATAAGATATTTTGCATTTTTTTCCATTTGGCTCTGGCTCATGTGCCACTGTGACCCAGCAGCCATATATTAGGCTATTCTGTTTGGAATAGGTTTGGGATGAGGCAGAGAATAAATATGCATAATTGCATACCCTTATGGCAACCACAAATTGGGTAAGACAAGAACTAATGATGCTTGGAAGAAATGAAAATATATGAAATTATTACCTTTTTTCTGCCATATCTAATGGCAAATAGAAATTTTTTGGTGAAAAAATAGAAACAAATTTTTACTGGGCATCAACTATATGCTACATGCTATACATGTGAAGCCTATATTTGCGTCGAGGAACAAGGAAGCTGGAATCCTCAGACTCCAGTTACTGTCGCTATAGTTAGGACTTCCTTGAGACTTAGAATTTTAAGTCCTAAAGAGCGTCCCAGGGAATAGACAAGCATTGTGTCTAATTTATATTCTATTCCATGCTCTTCAGCCAGGAACATTATAACTCCATGTTTTCTCACTCTCCAAGGGGATGATCCAGGCCCTCAAATTATGGGGAATATGGAGAAGTAAGCATGGAGAATGTGTGTGGCCTTGAATGAAATGGGGATCAATTCATAAGCTGCATCTTTCATGCTCAGTGACTGGAGTGGGACACAGGCTGGCAATCAGGAGGCTGGCCAATAGCAAAGAATTCCACATCACCAGACTCCGTCCTTCCCACTCCTGATACTTTTGACATCTCCAGAGCGGTAGGCAATTCAGCCCTGCCATGTGTATCTTAGGTCAAAGGGAAAAAAACACAGAGCCTCAATGTGCGATTCCCAGCCTGAAAGGAACTAAGTGTCTTCTGATACACAACACTTGAGATTTTTTTTTTTTTTTTTAAATGAAGGCATTAAACTGACCTTCTTTTGAAATGGGCTAGACAGGGCAAACAAGGAGAGATCTTGTTTTTCCTTCATCCTGGAAAAATAACATTTCTCGCTTTCCAGCTCAGTACAGTTGACTGAATTGGAAAAGAATCTATTTTCTCTGGAAAGATTTATTTGCCCAACAGTTGTGTTTTTGTATATGTGTGTGTGTTGGCAAGATAGATAGATTTTCCAGAACAAGGGTCGTCTTGTTCACGGTTTAAAGGGGCCTAAGAGTTGACAAGGGAATTTAATGTTAGAGAAGGCTTTTGCAGACTTCAGCGTTATGTACAGATTCAGAAGCATCCTAAGTTGCCCTGGGCGCTAGGACAGGGAGGTGGTGGTGCTGAGGCAGTGACTGTGTGGCACTGCCCCACTTGCCAGAGAGCAGAGAGAAACATCTCTATCTCTTCACCTTTCTGAGTACAGTCTCAAGGCATGGGACCATCGGGATCTGTCAGGAAGCATCTATGTTTCTATTTTTCATATATAAAAATTGTTCCCAAAAAAAGTAAAATGATTTTTTAATAAAGCCATGTGGAAAAGCTAACAGTAGAATTTTCTCCTCTCCCTACAACCAGATTTCTTTTCCCACCTGGGGACACATGTTTTGGAATCAAGCAAAGAACAACATGTAAAGCCCTCTGTGGCTGAATTAGAGAAAACACTAATAGATATTGTTAGGAGTCCCTGTTTTCTACCTCCTCCTTTTTTCAGCTCCATAAAAGACTAGCATCACATAGGAAATTTTAGAGCAAATATATCCTACTTTATGGAAAATGGTTTTCACTACTTTTCATTTTCTCCCATTTCATTTCAAGCATTAATATAATATAAATTAAAATGGTATGTTTTGGGATATTTTCTCGAAAACATTTGTTTGAAGGTGAATTCAATCTACTCCTTGTCATATAACACCAAAATAAAATATATCTGAAGATGAGTTTCTTTCCCTTAATTTTTTTGTTTCCAAGTCACTACTTGCTAAGCTCAACTGACAGCTTGGCTGGATTTTGCACAAATGACTTTTCACTCAGCTGGTCTTTGCCTTGCCAGGCGTGGCTGGCCAATGTAAAGGAAAGGAAAGGAAAGGAAAGGTGTTTTTCCTTTTAGCATGAGCATTAAAACTTTTACCACATTTTCCATTGCCCGGTGTCTGTTTTCAAGAAAGCACAGGCCAGCAGAAACCAGAGGAGTCTGAGATTTCTCCTTTGTAAATGTTGGATCCCAGCCTCTTAGTGCATTTAATTTAGCAAAAATCCACATAATTAAATGAAAGGAAATATTTTTGTTTGATGGCAAATGGCTTCCCTGAGGAGAAGCCGTCATCTGATGGCATCCACTCTGAAGTGTTGCTGGAAGATCTTACTGCCCCCGGCCACCATCCTTCAGGACCAGGCTGTCTGCATTCCCAGGGCTGGTAGGACTAGGGCTGAACAGCTTTCTACTTTGTAAGTGTACACTTTCATAAAGCATTTTTAACTTTTATAAAAACATTTTGATTGCGTGCCAAAGTCCATGTATTTGGCAAAACTGGAAATTTAACTAATTCCTATTGTGTTCTTTCTTCCCCCAGTAGGAAGCTGGTTGGGACTGAATCTGGGCAGAATGGCTGTCGCACTTGCTTTGAAGTTACGAGCACAGCAGTACCAGAACAATCAGCAGGCATCTCCGAAAGTTTCCAGGGCAGGGTGCGGGCATTTTCTTCTCAGTCTATTCTCCAAATATCTACCCCAGGCCTGGTGTTAAACAAATATTAATTGGAAATGCTGATCATGAGATCAAAGGAATAGAGGAAAGAAAATGGCAGCTTGCTGCACATTAGCAAAACGTAAAACAGGGCAGACTTGGACCTAATTTTCAGTTACTGAAAATTGAAAATTATTCTCGCAGGGCTCCCAGACAAGTCAAGCTTTGAGCCTGTCTCTGCCATGGTCCCTTCTCTGAGTCGTCTCCAGTGGTGCCACCTAAAGTCTGCCCCTTTGTCCTTTGATCAGTGCTCTTTCTTTCCCACCCCCATAGTGCTGAGAGCCTTCCCAGGTAACCTCTTCTCTTGCCTCACTTTCTGTCTCCTCACCTCCAGTCAGTGGCCTCAAGGGTTGGAGAAAATTAAAAACAGCTTTCACACCAAGAAGCCCACAATCTCTACAATGGAATATTAGTTAAGGGTTAATGAATCCTGCACCCTGGGTTTCTGAACAAAGGACAAGAGGCAGTTGCCTTGAGTTGTAAGAGAGAGAATTAAAATGGGATGTTGAAACTTGCTATGTAACTGTCAAGGTTGGTTAATCTCAGAGATGCATTACTTATTCCAGTTGTGGACAATCTTTATGCCATCTAAGAAAACAGACTATCTCAGCAGCTGGCTTCAGAATTTCTCCTACCTTGATGAGCCAGCCTGATGCAAAGAGTTGAGCAAAAAAGCCTAAGGAAAGTTATGGAAGGAAAAGATAGGACAAAGACAGGGTTGACTTGCTGTGCATAAAAAAAGGAAAGTGTACTATTTTTTTACTCGTGAGAATCTGGGTAGAAGAGTGGGGAGATTGTTGAACCACGTGGTACAGGCCCCAGTTGATGGAAAAAAATTATATAACATCAATTTTAAATTGTTTTAATTTGTTGGAATTGGTATCATATAAACTCCTTTATTTATCCAAGTCTTCAGCAAAGGATCTAAAGTATATATAAATTACAAAACAGAACAGATAAAGACGTGTGTGTGTGTGTGTGTGTGTGTGTGTGTGTGTAAATTAAGGGAAGGGATTGGATTTTTGACATCCAGATCCACATGTTAGAGAAAGCCCACAGTGGACAACGTGGGGATACACATATTTATACATAGATTTAATATTTCTGTGGAAAGAATTGGAACTTGACCGGCAGCATATAAAGCTACACCTTCCCTCTCCATCTAGAATCCAGGAGGAGAAAGGGGTGCAAGCATCCCTCAGATGGGAATATGAGGCAATTCATTTGAAACTCAAAGGACAGATTTTGGTTTTCTCTGAGACTTTGGTTAAATTAAGAGGACATTTAGCAGAGAAGGGGAAGGTGCCTGGGCAGCCATTTATCTGACTTGGTTTGAATCTAGTATTATTCTTGGGAAAAGAGGCTATACTAATAGAATTATTAAACTTCTGTCCAGCACTTTGACTATATTAAAAGAGAAGTTGGCTTTCTCTCACAAAAATTTATGAATCACAGACATATGGAATCACCCAAAAATGTTAATGTTAGGAACCTACATTTGGCAAGGGTCGTAGAGCTACGAATTCAGCCTCTGGAACCAACTGCATGAACTTGACCCCACTTACTTGTGTGTGGGGTCAAGTTCCTTAATCTCTCTATGTCCCAGTTTCTTCTTCTGTAAAATGAGAATAATCATAGTTTCTAGCTCACAAGGTCCTTGAGAAGATTAAGTAAATGTGCAAAAAGCATTTAGAATAGTTCTAGCACATTCAGAATCTGAATTATTACTCTCTTACCTTCCTACAAGAATCTGGGAAGGGGCCTGTATGCTAAGAAATGTAAGCACATTATCTCAATCCTCCCAACAATTAATTTTCTTAACAGTGGGGGCGTTATTAATCCTGTTTTTTTTAACTAAGACCTGAGACCAAGGAAAATAAGTAACTTGCCTAAGGTCACACAACTGGCTAGAAGCAGATGCCTTTGTAGGCCACTGGTTATGTAATTTACACAATAAAATTAGACTTACTGATTAAAGCCCACACAGGGAATAGTGCAATGTCTTTTACAGTATTTAAATAGAAAAGGAAAACCAAACAGGAAATGGCTATGCTAAGTGCATTAGCTCAGCGACATACCATTTTAAATGGGCAAGTGTGAAATGAAATGAAACGGTTACAGTTAATCTCTGAGCAGAAAGTCCACAGAGTAAGTAGTGTAATCGAGCTGACACATCTGAGGAAGCCTGCATATCTCTCAATTTGTGGTCTGTTACTGCTTGAACTTTTCAAAATAATATTAAGGGTGGATGTAGCCAACATCTCAAATATTAAATATATTTGTATTAGTTGAAAGAGAAACAACTTTTCTTCTTAAAGCTATGTTTAAAGCAAAAGTTCCTTTTTTTTTCTTAACCACTTTGAGCAAGCCTGGTTTACTGGAAGTCAGCTTCGATGTCCCCCTTGTGGTTTACAGGCTGCTGTTGGTAACAATTCTACGGGTGGGTGGGGAGGTGGGAGAGAATGCTCTTCACTGAGTACCTCCTGTTGTCACCACCGTGCTAGACATTTGGCATCCATCCTCTTTCCCAATCCCCACAGCCAACTTCTGCTGACGTGGTTTAGCACAGAGCCCTGTTCCAGGTGCATAGGAGATCTTGCTGCTGAGCAAGTGTAGAAAACAGTACATGATTAACACTGAAGGCACAGTTAGAACATGATCAGGCCAAAATCTTTTCCTCTCTTGTTTTTCTCTGGAAGAGTAGGGAGCCAGACTACATAGCCTAGAGCTTCCCAGCTCGTGTTCCCCACAGGGATGAGTTACAGGTGTATGGAGAGAAAAATGTCTCTCACCCCTCAGGGTGGCTGGGCCAGGCTTGTAACCACCCAGTCCCCAAGGGCCAATGGCCTCCATCCATTACTCCAGTGTGCCTTACAGATACACCATGTGGGTCCTGTGAGCGCACACACTGCCAGGGGAAATGGCATCATTTGGATTTGACATCCTATCTGTGGGCATAGCAGGAAAACAGAACCTGGAGTCAGGAGCTGTATCCCAAACCCATCCGTTACACCTGTGTGTCTTTGAGCAAATCATCCAAACTTTCACTGCTTCTGCTTCCTTGGGGATTTTTCTTCTTTGTCTCCTTTTTTGTTTTGTTTTATTTGGTTTTACACTGGCTTATTTAGGATTATGCAAAAGCTGTGATTTGAGGTTTCCAGGCCCTTTCTGACTTTGGCCAGAGCAGCTCCCTTCGGTTTCTTTTACATACTGGGATAGCTGAGGGGCCTCCCCTGGAGAAGGGATTCCACAGCTGTACTGCCACTGGGCTAGTGACATCCATGCCCCCTTTCAATGCTCACCTCCTCTGAGTCTGTGAAAAATTATCTCCTGTCACTCTGTTAAAAGTAAGTGCATCAGTGCACTTTAGGCCAAAACTTTTTCATTCTTAAAACAGATTGTTTTTCTAATCTGGTAACTTGATCATTTGGTTTTCTGAGAAAGTAAAGCCTCTAGGTGAGGTAAAGACTTTAACGATGTGGGTGTAAAGTCACCCAGTGGACAGTGAATACCTTCACTCCTCCTGGAAGATTGTAAGTGTCTTTTGGGAGCATAGAATGCCATCAATTTTATCTTCAGGTGGCTTGTTTCTCCCCCTCCCTGTTAAATATTATGTGATTGTGAGCTAATTTTAGAAAAATACAATCTGCAGGATTTGTGCTGTTCATTTCTTAACCCAACAAATAATTGCTAATGGTGACCATTCACTGCTTGCCCAGCAGTCTAGGTTTGACTTGTTGTGGGTCAGGTGATCTCTACTGACTCTTGCTACTGACTCCCTTTCACTCTGCATAGTGGGAATCTCCTCTCTGCTCCTCCTCCAGCTGGGTTAGTAGAGATTCACAAATGATTCCTCTTATTCAAAACAGAGAACTAGGTCAAAACAACCTCCCAGAATCTCTGTTTCTGAACCTTAAGGTGGTTAGTAGTAAATAAAGGAGGGTGGGCCCTGAATGAATTACAAGATTCAGAATCAAACCCTCTAGCTCAGCCCTGATTCAATCTTGGATATTAATTTGTAGAAGATTCTGAATTCATGCTTTACCCTCTGTTTTGTGTAACTGTGGCTTATACCAATTTGATATTGTACATTAAGATTTTTGTCATTGGCATGCATCTTGACCGCTGCAGAATGTTGCTTGCTGGGTCAGAGATTAGTCTTTGAGGCAAGATTTAACTTGATGAATGAAGATAACTTTTAGGTACAAGGCTCCTCCTTCATCATTCACAAGCATGATTTATTCACTCGTTTCCACACACTGGCTTCTGTCTCCATCTGGAGAACTGGAAAGAAGGGTCTTGTTTATATAAGGTGGTTTAAAATGAATCCACCCCTACAAGGCCTTCTCCTGTGCCACAGGAAGGACTCCCAGACATACTTTGCACCCTATAAGCACTCCCTTTCATCCACACTTGGCACACTTTCTC
This sequence comes from Homo sapiens, assembly GCF_000001405.40. Classification (NCBI taxonomy): domain Eukaryota; kingdom Metazoa; phylum Chordata; class Mammalia; order Primates; family Hominidae; genus Homo; species Homo sapiens. The sequence continues at coordinate 44,115,164 of NC_000013.11, read as the reverse complement.
CATTTATAGGCGGTGAGCTCCCTTACTCTATTCTGACCTGGTAATGCTTCTTTCTTCATTTGAAAACTTGATGTGGTTTCTGGAGTCCGTTCTCTCTTAATCTCCAGCCAGAACATGGTAAGGTTCTATTTAAACACAATCTCTTCCAAAACCTTCACTGACCCCTAGGTAGAAATACACTCTCCTTCTTGTTAGTGCCTATGCTATTTATCCATATCCTCTCTCCTTGCATGTATCATTTTTTACCCTAAAATACAGTAATTTGAAATGGGAGAAAATTTTCGCAACCTACTCATCTGACAAAGGGCTAATATCCAGAATCTACAATGAACTCAAACAAATTTACAAGAAAAAAACAAACAACCCCATCAAAAAGTGGACGAAGGACATGAACAGACACTTCTCAAAAGAAGACATTTATGCAGCCAAAAAACACGTGAAAAAATGCTCATCATCACTGGCCATCAGAGAAATGAAAATCAAAACCACAATGAGATACCATCTCACACCAGTTAGAATGGCAATCATTAAAAAGTCAGGAAACAACAGGTGCTGGAGAGGATGTGGAGAAATAGGAACACTTTTACACTGTTGGTGGGACTGTAAACTAGTTCAACCATTGTGGAAGTCAGTGTGGCGATTCCTCAGGGATCTAGAACTAGAAATACCATTTGACCCAGCCATCCCATTACTGGGTATATACCCAAAGGACTATAAATCATGCTGCTATAAAGACACATGCACACGTATGTTTATTGTGGCATTATTCACAATAGCAAAGACTTGGAACCAAACCAAATGTCCAACAATGATAGACTGGATTAAGAAAATGTGGCACATATACACCATGGAATACTATGCAGCCATAAAAAATGATGAGTTCATGTCCTTTGTAGGGACATGGATGAAATTGGAAATCATCATTCTCAGTAAACTATCGCAAGAACAAAAAACCAAACACCGCATATTCTCACTCATAGGTGGGAACTGAACAATGAGATCACATGGACACAGGAAGGGGAATATTACACTCTGGGGACTGTGGTGGGGTGGGGGTAGGGGGGAGGGATAGCATTGGGAGATATACCTAATGCTAGATGACGAGTTAGTGGGTGCAGTGCACCAGCATGGCACATGTATATCTATGTAACTAACCTGCACAATGTGCACATGTACCCTAAAACTTAAAGTATAATAATAAAAAAAAAGAAAGTAATTACAAAAAAAATACAGTAATTTGTTTAGTGCATGTAGCACTCCCATTATTACTATAAACTCTTGAAGGGCAGGAGCTCTGTATCTCCATCAGGACTGGGAGTAGTGTGAGGCCACTGAGGTGTTTACCTCAGACACAAAATTTAAAAGGGTCCCCCAAAGTCAAAATAAATAATATTTTAATGGGACACTCTAAAAAATGAGTGCAAAATCTGTGATGAACTATATGTCAACATTGTGAATAAAGACAGGATCAATATTTTTCCTTCTACTTTCTCTTTTCCTTTCAATTTTCTCCTTTTGCCTCAGGCACTAATATGGCCTGGGATAGCACTGTTACTGATTCTGTCTTTATTACAAATTTTTTTTTGGCATTACTTTTGACTTCTTGAAATATTGCATTAAGGTATTATTTACCTTGATTCCTGTTTTTTTGTGTGTGTCCCCTTAAATGATGCCCCTGGGATGAGTGCCCCACTTGCCTTACCCTGGGCCTGGCTCTGATCACTACGGCTACTAGCACAGATCTTTGCCTGTCAATATGCACTCAATCAGTATTTCATGAATGAATGAATGAATGCAAGAAGAGATAATTTCAGGTGCTTTTCTCTTTTCTTTTTTTCTAAAAGCAAAATAACATCTAACACACAACCCAGCATCTACCAGAACAGAGACAGGCAATAGTGAGGAAAGTTATAGTGGTCTCAGATGGCTGTCTGGGGTCCCAGTCAGCACTGCTTCTGCCAATTAAAATTATTTGTCCTGGGCTTCTTTCACTGTCACAGAGCACCCTCTCCAGTCTTGCTTGATTTCATAAGCAAACAGTTCTCAAGGAGTTGAATAGCCACAGAGGTACAGAATTATCTTTCACCATCTTCTAATGAGTTGTAAGTCACAAACAACAAAAATAGCCTCTTGAGAAGCCCAAATATTGAAAGCAGTCGTCTACTAATGCGTTTCTGCAGAGAGAGGAAGAAGGCAAATGGCTGGAATACCAAGAGGGATGAGATCTACCTCTGCCACTTCCACGACCCAGCATGACAGAAAGTAAATTTTCATCTCTACGCAATAGCAGACACGTAGGAGGGATTCCTAACTCTCACAGGAAAAGGAAACAGGTCATGAAGGTGTTGAGTCTGAGACTCACACATACCCTGAAGATTGTAGTTGATTTCTCAGTGTATTCATCACCATTTATCTTTAAAAGGCAAGCACGACCATTTGTGAAATCCTCTCACAAAATCATCTCTAGAAAGTTGAGCCTGTAATAACAAAATTATTTCTATGCCTTGGTAGAGGGCCCACGAAAATAATATTTTTGATTTAGTTACAGGAATTCTCTTCAGCAAACAATACTGTTAAAGTGTTTTCTCTGGGCTCTGTCCACCTAATAGTTACTGTTTCTAAGTGGGGAAAATGGATTTTGTTCTGTTACAGTTACTATGATTTATACTTTTTTGTCCGGTTATCAAATTATTGTTAACCTTTATCTATCTTTACTCTTTTTAACCTTAAATAGTTCAACTGTTCAAAATTTATCTAAATTACTTTAAAAAAGAATCTAAATAATCTACTCCCAAATCCAAATCTAGAAGAAAGAAAATGATTCTTAAGAGACTACTTCCTTGTGTCTCTGACAGTCTTCAAATCACTTACTTTCCATTTAGTTTCTTTGCAGTTTCACTGTGAAGTGACTGAAACTTCATTTCTATTATATTCTGGAAATTTGGGGATCTGAGATCTAGCAATGTACTCATTTTAAGAAATTACCTTACAGGAAAAATGTTGAGAAATTCCCTGGAGTGTTCCTAAACCAGCTTTGCTGAGGTGTGGGGTTTGGACTCCACTTTTAGTGAGGGCCTGCTGTGTGCTCACCACCATGCCTGGCAGCTTCTGCTGTCATCTCGTTTCACCCTTTGAAAAGTCTAGAAGGAGAGCAGGTATTGTCAGGCCCATTGTGAAGAAATTAAAAGCAAGACTCAAAGAAGCTGTAAGGTGCCTAGGATCATAAGACCAGTAAGCGTGGGTGAGGCCAAGGCTTGGCCTGGATCTCTTACCTCCACTCCTTATTGCTTGTCACATTGTGTACCGATGTCTGGGTATTTTCCCAGCCTGCCATTGATCTTAGAAGGAAAATTCTGCACTGGTGCTGCTCCAAGAGATACAGAGGATGCATTGATCTAACCCAATGTGTTATGTGGTTGATTTCTAAGGTGAAGTGAAATCAGTTCCAAAAAGGTTTGAAGAGATCAGCGCTGTCCATCCAGGGTTAAGACCCTATGTGTACCTTCCCTGGAATTCCATATTTATTGGTGATGCTATTTCTGTCTCAGAAAAGTCCCCCTAATTTCCAAAGTGGCTTACAAATAATAGGTTCTAGATCATCTTGAAAAAATTGGTCAGGTGATTGTGTATAAGAAAGAGGACAATTTTATATCACAAAAAGGAAAATGCACCAACATTTATATGTTTGCATTCAACTGTATGTTGTGCACAGTTGTGTGTGTGTTGGGGTTGGAAGAGTAAGTGTCATGGAAACTGAACGATGCTGGGAAATACATCCTAATTACTCAGGACCATATGTTTTTTATAAACAAGCAAACAAGAGTCATGGATTCAACTATAATGGATAAAAATCTCTCAAGTTAAAAACAATACAAGGAAGTAAAGTAGAATAGCACAGTACAGTAGTTAAGCATGAAGTAGTTAAGCTTGAAGCCAGTTGCCTGAGTTTATAACCCAGTCTGCTAATTACTAGTTGTGTGACATTTGATAGGTCAGTCACTTAAAAACAAAATAAAACAAAACAAACAAATCCTCTGTTCAATATTCCCCTCTATAAAGTGGACACAATAATAATAAGTATGCATAAGGATGTTGCGAAGGTTAGATGAGAAAGTGCAAATGAAATGTCTGATACTTCATAGAAGTGTGTTATAAAAGAGAAAAATATATATACGATTTTTGAACTCCTTGTAATAGAATAATATATTTCTCAGGTTCAAGAAGTTGGGAAAGAGTTAATCACAACAGAATTGTCACCATGCTAAGAGAGAGAGCAAGTGATTTTACTACTAGAAGCCAGTATGAACCCAATAACACAGTATGGGGAAGAGAACATCTAACCAATGCATAATAATTAGGATATTGTTGAGAACCGAGCCCTCCGAGCTTCTACATGCCTTTAACAATTAGTAGGTCAATGACCTTGCTCAGTGGATCTCCACTCATATGGGAGGCACCAGCAAAATGAAGAAAAACCCGCAGACGCTCTTGTAGGAAATGCAATTAAAGTGGAAAGGCCTAAAATAACATTTCCATTGTGCCCCTCACTTACATTGGAGAGTCAGGGCCAGACTGGGAGGCTGGCAGGGAAACAGCTTGGCACTGCAGGCCACCTGGGGTCCATTTGCCAACAGGACTTGTGGCTAACATCCTTTGATAACAAATTTCCCAGAGTCACAGGGCTCTTTTAGATCACCATGATTCCGGGTCACAAGACGGATGGGAAGCCACAGAGCCCCGGGTCCTTTCCGTGAAGTTAAATATTACACCATCCATAATGAAACATCTTTGTATCTCCTCGTGGCCACAATTACTTAGTCACTGATTATACAATAAACTCTTCAGAAATAATTCACAAAGATGAGAAATCAAACCCCACCCTTTTATGTTCTGAGGCATGAACCAGCTCCACCTCTTGAGAGAGGGAGGTAAAGCCTGTTGCACATCTTCAGCCCATGGTATTTTCCGGCAAATGTGGAAGACCCTCAATATTGGAAGGTGATCTGCAGTTCCACAGGGAGACAGTACAATGGGTGCCTGCCTGGGAATGGCAGTGCCTGGCTTCAGATACGATTTCAACCGATCAGCTGTATAGCACTGGGCAAATTACTTAATTTCCTAGGCATCTCAGTTTCCTTATTCACCAAATGGCAGTAATAATTGCACCTACTTCATAAGGTTGTTGGACCTGGCACACTGTAGTTGCTAAATAACCGTCAACTATAATGCCCATTCTCCTGAGTCGTTCACCTTTTCGATAGCCTAGCAAAAAGTTCTTTGAAAAAATGACAACTACCAAACAAAAGGCATATTTCATATAGACAAAATAACTCACATTGTCTCTTACACATGATAGGGACCTTGCCCATGATTGTGGCCCTTACATAATCTGGATAACCATTTGGGTTTTTATTGCTATGTGGTGCTTCTTCTGCAAATGGTATTGTCCTTTGTGAAACCCACTGCTTTTACCTTATCATTGGCAAATACTTTTGGGGTTTACTCGAAATGTATTCACTGGCATGGGGAGTATGGATGAGGTCCCTCCTTCATGGAACTTAGATTCTGGTTAGGTAAGGGGTAACAATAAAGCTTAAGAAGTTTTAGGATCCCAAACTCAGAGTTCAAGGGGCTCATGTGTGAGGAACTCTAGGGGGAGGAAGAAAAGAAGTAAAGTTTAAGCTCAAAATTGAAGGCGGCTGAGAGTTTTGCTTGAGAAAGTGCCCCAGGTGGGTGGAAGAATGTGGTTCCAATACCTAAAAGGAAAAGAAGCTTGGAGTTGAGAGGAGCCGAGGCCTTCCACCCACCTGCAGCAATGTCAGGCGGTAAGAGGATGATGGTCAGGCTGACCTAGGCTTGGAGACCACATCAAAGGGTCAGGCTTGATCCCAAAAGTATCAAGGAATCACGGAAGGGTTTCACACTGGGAGTGAAATGGTCTGACCTGAGGTGAGGCTGGATCATCTTGGCTGCTCTGTGAGGCAGGAGAGAATGTGGGGATCCTGGTGGGAGGCTGTGGCTGTCAAGTCGGCACAAGTGCACCATCTTTTAATGATTCTGGCCCAGACTTGGGTGGTTTGGAGGTAAAGAGGTAGATAGATTTGAGAAACATTTAAACATTTGGCTTAAAACTAAAGCTAGCCCTCCCTGCCCCACAAATCAGGATAAGTAGCAACATTAACCTATAGTCGGCCCTTCTGCTACCAACACCCAGGACGTTTTTAGTTTGGAAAAAGAAGGGACCTGGTATCTAAAGTGCAGCTTGGGGGTTTTCTACTGAGGTCAATGACCTGCACTGCTCTGCCTGACCCATTGCCACCTCAGACACTGAAGCCTGCTCAGCCTCCTCTCACCCTAATTACACTTATCATGCAAAGCCCTAATACAGCCAGGAAGGGCTCAACACCAGTCCCTCTAGCCAAACAATCAGCAAACTAAGATAACTTTAAAGAGTGTCAAGCCCAACTTTATGACTCCTTCATAGGCACCAAGGGCATTGTCTCAGCAGCCTCAGCCACCAGACAGGATGGCCCAGGGCTGCTTGTTCCTTGACCTGCTAGGACCAACTGTGACTCATCTATTTACTGCAGAGCAAAGGTAACTTGGGTTGCACAAGTTGACAGCTGTCTCCCAGGTGACAATCAGTACTGGAAATAAAGGCACTGGGCTTTAACTGGAAAAGTTTCTACTGGCATAGACCCAGGCTGGATGAGGCAGGGACGTGAGAGATGGCATGCACGTATTTTAAAGAACTGGGGTCCTCACAGCTGACTGGCTATTTCAAGTCACTCTTGTTATTATCTCACTGAGCAGCTTGGAGCCTAGTGATGTCACTTATATGTGCTCTGTTATTTACAGTTTGGATATTTTAGGCCCACAACCGTACTTCCTTTCTTGGCAGAAGGAAGATTAGGAGCAGCAATAATATTATAGTAATATTGGTATCATTTATTAATGGGATAGTCTATTCTGAAAGCAGTATGTCACTCAGGTTATACACATTGTCTGTAACCCAGGGTTCACAACCTAGGGTTCGCTTAGGAATCTCCCAGGAATCTTCAAAATACTGGTGCCTGGGTCTACTCTCCAAAGACTGATTGGGTAGGACCAGGGCATTGGCATGTTAAGGCTCGCCAGGGAATTCTAATGTGTACTTAAGGTCGAGAAACAGCTTTCATCATCACAACAACCTGCAAGGTAGGGATTTTTAGCTTCATTGGATAGATAAAGAAAATAGGGCCCAGGGACAACAGACAACTTGTGCAAGTACAAGATCAGGGACTTCAACCTTGGATCTGTCTGGCCACCAATCCCTGCTGCCAATTTGCTTCACGTGTGTTTCATGAATCCGTAGGTAAAGAGTAAACAGACAGAGCACACAGATGAGGAAAAGGGAGCCCAGGGCAGCAGCACCCCACAGGAGCTTCGTGCACAGGAGGCTCCACCACCACCCTGAGCCTGCTGTGCAGCATGGGGGTCACCTGCAGGTGAGGGTTCCAAAAGGAGAGTAGCCCAAGTTAGCAAATAATGGGTCTTCATGGTTGCAGCACCACCTGGCTTCTGTCCAATCCTCAGAAGCTGGCGCAGAGGAGAGATATTTGGTGGAAAGTTGAACGGGTCATGGCCCGGCTAGGGCAGTAGCCCCATGCACACTCAGTTACCTACAGTATCTGCAGAGAGATGAACTTCCTTCCCTAGTGTCTGCCTTCTCATCCTGCACTGTGTCAGCTCAGGGCTTGCACCAGGTTCTCTGGGCTGCCTCTAAATCGTACTTGAAGATGTTGGGGTTAACTCAAGAAAGTCGTGTTGATTGATATATACTGTCGAATGGGAAGGAAGCATCCTCTGATTCTTGTTTCCCCAACCTAGAGCACCTTTAGCCATAACTGCCGAAGTAAATATAATCAGGTGGGATTCTGAAACTGCATCTTCCTTCTCCTCTGCTAGGAACCCACCAGGGCAGAGCCTCAGCTCTCAGCCTCCCGGAATGAACCATGAACCCAAAGCAAAGAGCAGAACTCCTTTGACACCTCCAGCTTCACAGACAAAGATGAATCTCCTAAGGCATTTCTGGTATCGTTGCTACCAATGACTGAAAGAGCATCAAAGTCTGAGGGGTGGCAGAGGAGAGGGGAAGTTTCTGTAGTCAGGTAGGAGGTGTCTGGCCCTCTCTGTACTCCAGATCTAAACCCTACTCTAATACTCCCCACAAAGGCTTGGATTGGCCACTTTTGTTCATTTATTCACTCAACATTTATGAAGTTTATAGCACTAGGGATTCTTAGCAGAGTAAAACCGAATGCTGACCTTAAGTAGCTCACAGTTTAGCAGGAGAGAAGTCACCTAAAGGGCAAGTGTGATGTCAGAGGAAAGCACGGGTGTGGTGGGAACACAGGAGGTAGGAGGGTGGGTGTCCTAGAGGGGCAATTCCTGACTTGGGACTTATGAATGCCTAGCAGGAGTCGGCCAAGGGGAGAGTGGGGGAAACAGTTTTCTAAGTGGAGGGGGCACCTTCAGCAAAAGAGCAAAGATTCTGTTCTTTGCCTCAATAAAGGGTGCTCCTTGTTGAAAGGTCACCTTGGCTTAGCTCCAGAAACTCTTCCTTCTCTGGACTTCAGGGACTTGGACTTCTTTCTCTGCATTCAGGCCAAAGGGCTGAGTCTAAGTGAGACTAAATTCCTAACTCAGACTTTTTTTTCTTCAACAGAAACATGCAGTTCTGAAGTCTGGCCAGCCACACCAAAGAGCTTTTCGCAAGAAGGCACAGGCCAGGTAGAGGCAGCTGTGCAGTGGGAGGACTGTGATGTTTTGGACTAGAAAATAAGACGCAAATGAGGCCAAAAAAACACAGGCACTGCATAAAGGTGTCTTCTCCCCACTTTATAAGCCTTATGTGTGATAATATTCAATGCCACAGCAAGGCAAGCAAATAGGTCCTTGGAGGGAGGGATAGCTGGATTTTAATCCTGGCTCTACACTAAGGTCTTGGACTACTTACTGCAGGTCTCTGAGCTTCATAGTTTTATGTATAAAATAGGATGAAGACCATCCCCAAATCCACTTCGATGGTGAGAATTAGGTGACATGACAGCAGAAGGGCATTTAGAGTTTGGCACAGAAGGGATCTCAACAAATGGTAGCTGTGTTTCATCGTTCATTTGAGAACTGATGTTTGGATCCTTTTCTGCATCTTGAAATGTCCCAAAATATTCCTCCTTAAGCCCTGCAGTTGGATACTCATTGATACTTCTCTGTTCAATTTATACTGCGAGCAGGGGAGGGAGGCTTGAGCTTGGTTCCATGAACGAGGTTGAAGGGTGTAAGTCTCCCAGCTTCATTTCTGTCTCCTCCTCACCTGGGGAGCCATGGCCAATTCTCTTCCCAGGTCACTTGACTTCTCCATGACCATGACTTTCACCTTCTGCATTTTGGAACAATATACTCATGAATGCTAAGAAGCTTTTGTTTCTTTCTGCCTGTGCTGAGCCTGTCTACTATAAAAGAAAAATCACAATGGTTGTCATAGTTATGCTCTTTGCTTCCTGAGTGGAATAGCACCGGTTTTTATGTTACATTATACTATATTCTGGATCTCTCTTTGATGGTGGGTTATGGAGAAGGTTTGCCAATTCTTTCTTTTACAATTCTTTTTAAATAAATCCTCAGAATTAAGGCCATTTTATTATCTTCTTTTACTTTTAAATACACACACACACACACACACACACACACACATATACATAAAATGCTCACCAACTTTAAAAAAACATATTTAAACACCTGGAGTCTGCCATATAGTGGTATTGGGAAAGAATCCAGAAGAAATTGAGGCCACGGGAATATTTTAAAAGGCAGGGCTTGAACACAAATTCCTTCTGCTCCATTTGCATTGTAACCATTTAAGGTGAGGCCTTCTCAGCTCCTACCAGGACTGTTTAAGAACCTTGCACTTGCTCTCTGGCCTCTTTCCCCTGCAGTGTGTGCTGCTCAAGTATCTCAGTCATCACGTGATACGCCAGCTCAAAGTTCCCCAATAGCTCCCCACTGATAGCAGGATAAAACCCATTGTCCTGAACCAGACATTCAAAATCCTTTACTATCAGCTTCCTTCTGACTTTCCAGGCACTTGACCCCCGTCAAGTGGGTTTGCTCATTGTCTCGGTGTGCTGTGAGAGTGCTTAAATACCTTTATTTTGTGCCCTAGAGTTACGGATCTCTCTGTTTTCCCCCTTCAGAAATCATTTTCCTCTTCCTTATCTGTCCAAATCTCACCCATGTCCTTTGTGTACTGTGACTGGAAGCTCAGTCTCCACATAGATGGAGACTGCAAAGGGCTACCTGTCTTGATGAGTAGCCATTTTGTGCTCCATTTCCCTTTGCCCACAAATGGATGGATATTCCTGGGCCGCATGGTGTCCTGTTCCCCACTTTTTCTTTGACTTTCACTGGCAGCTCTACTATCTTTCCCCTGCTCTGCTCCGGCGACTTCTTAGTCCCCTTTCTTTACAAATCCAGAAGGAACTTGATAGCACAGAGGTGTTGTTTCTCTGCTATAATCTGTGTCCAAGCGCATTTGCATATAGTTTTACAATTTTGTCTCCCACATTGTGAACCTGTCCTCCAGGAAAACTTCCCTGGGCAGGCAAGGAGAGGGGGAGTACCGATGTTTCCTGCCTGTCCTGGACACATTTGAGCGCATGTAAATTGACCTACAAGCCTGTCAGGAGGTGTTTTGATCCACATTTTCAGAAAAGAGAACTGAAGCTCAGAGAGGGTTAATGACTTTCTCTGGGAGCGTTTGATACCAGATATGATGCCAAAGATGAAAAAAAAATTGTTGTGGGATGGAGCTTGTTAGAACAGGCTTCACAGCTGTGGTGGGACCTGAGCCAGGCCTTGGTCTGTTGGGCAGGAGGAGAGAGCACCATGAGTGTGAGCAGCATCACAAAGATTTCAGACTCAATGTGACAATGTGATCCTTTACGGCTTCCAGAGATTGTACCTGATTTCCTTTAAGAATGCATATTAAAGTTAATTGCTTGGTTTTGAGCATGCAAACGCTGAAATGTGCTAGAATGGTCAAAGTTCAGGGGTAAGTGAACTTTACTGCAGCATGTTGAGAACAGAATGAATGCTGACAAAGAAGCAGAGACTTTTTAATTTTAACTGCAGGTCAAAAGAGGACTCTTAACACAAGGTAGCTGAAACTGGGCAAACACACGATCCCAGATGGTTTTATACAGCATAAAAATGAATGAGCCAATGTGGGTTCATCGATGGTAACAAATGCATCACTCTGTATGTGTGTGAGGGGGTATGTGGGAACTCTCTGTACTTTCTGCTCATTTTTGCTGTGAACCTAAAACTGCTCTAAAAAATAAAGTGTATTTTAAAAGAAAATTAAATTAAATGTTTAAAAATTTTAAATGAATGAGTCTAATTACCAAAGCTACCAATTGTGGCCGGAGGGGAGGGGAGGACGCACCCTCCTCTTAGTGTTTTGGAGCATAGACTCCTTGCTCAGCTATGTGAGCTTCATCGTCTTTTATTTTTCCAGCTCACTGGGTAACGAAATGCTTACGAGCACTGAAGGCCTAAAAAAACAAGGCATGAAATATTAACAAAAGGAGGAAGAAGAAAATGAAGAGAAGGAACTGGAACACATTTTATAACCCGTATATTGAAAAATAAAAAGCTGGCTGCACATAACAGGTTGTAGAAGCATAATGATGAGGCGTCCAGGAAAAGGAGTTATACAGAACATTTTACATATAATGACCTTATGAAGTTACTTATCTCTCTAATTTTCTGTTATCTCTTCACTAAAACAGAGCTAACAATACCTGCTTCATATGGTTGTGGAAAGGATTAAATGAGATAAAGTATGTAAAATGCTTAGACCAAGAGCCTATATTCATTTTTTAAAAATATTTATTGAGTGCCTATTCTGGGCTAGATATCAAGGATTCAGTGACAAGCAAAACACATGATTCCTGATGGCCCACTGAGTTTTCAGTCTAAGGGGGAAACAGATGTCAAATAAAGAAACATAAAAATAATTATAAACTGTGGAGAGTTCAATAAAGAAAAAACTCAGAGTGATGTGAGGAAATAACAGGACCTCTGAGTAAATGATCAATAAATAGTAGTTAAAGAGACTTTTTTTTGTAACTATGACAGACTACCTTCTATTAGACCAACACTTCACAAAGAACTGGGAAAAAATGGATAATATATTTTAAAAACTACTTGAAGGATTATGAGAGCTATCAAGGCAGCAAGGGCATCAGTAGACAAAATTCCAGAGAGAAGATAAATACAAAGAAGTTAAGATCAAAATGCAGTTCTACTTTGTCCTTGAAGCATTAGCCTGCTCATAAGTGGCTGAAGATAGTTTTCACAATCTCATGAACAAAATTGGAGGTCATGGCTCAATGAGGAGAGGCACTGAGAAACACCCTAGGCTTTCAGCTGGGATCCCTCAAAGACAGCAATCTAAGCATAAAGGCAAACTAGGTATAGACCAGCTCTCACAAAAAGTAAAAGCAGCTCAGCCCAGTTGGACTAAGGTGACTTGGTTCACTTAACTGCCTGGCATTAACCTCTAGGAAGAAAGATAACATCATCCAGAACTTCAAATAATCTCTATAATTTTTCAAAGAATAAAGCCCAGCATTCTTTTTAAAAATATTCTAGAATACAAGGAGATAAGCCAAGTGACCAAAAATCATTTGGAGACAATAGAAAGAGATCCACAGGGGATCTAGATACTATATCGATCCTGGAGTTATCAGACACAGAGTTTAAATACTTTATTAAATATATGAATGAAAGTTGTTGATGAGATGGAGAATTTCAACGGAAAACTAAAATCTATAAAAAAGAATAAGAAGGAAATTCTAGAACTGAAACACAATAAATAAAATTTAAATTCAAGAAATTAATTAGGAGCAGACTGAACATAGCTGAAGAAAGAAATAATGAACTAGAATATAGGTCAGTAGAAAATATCTAGACTGAACCACAGAGAGGAAAAGAGAGTCAAACAAGATAAAAAGACAGTAAGAGATATTTAGGACATCGTAATGTCAGAAAGAGGAAAAAAGAAAGAATGGGTAGAAGCAATATTTGAATTCACAGTTATAAGAAACACTATGAATCCAATGATAGACAAATACAAATAAACTTCAGCAGCGTGCACAGTAATAAAATTGTTGAAAACCAAAGACAAAGATAAAATGTTAATAGCTAGAGGAAAAAGGACACATTATCTTTAAGAACAGTAAGGCTGACAGCTGAATTCTTAACCAAAATTATGGATGCAAAAGACAATGGTAGGTCATCCTAAACTGTAAAATATCCCTGCCAAAGTAAGATAATAAAAATACTGAAGCTGAAATTTTACTAATTTCTAATTCATTTTTTACTTTGTATATTTTTATTGTAAAATAAAAAAACACAAAGACAGAAACCACTCAAAACAAATGTATAGCTTAATAAATTATTTTAAGGCAGACACTCTTGTAACTGCCATAAAGAAATAGAACTTTTCCAGCCACTTGGAAATGTTCCTTGTGTGCTATCCTGATCACAATGCACCACCTTCCCTAGAAGCAACCTTTACACTTTTATTGTAATCTCTTTCTTGTGTTTATAGCTTTATTACCCACATATGCATCCCTAGACACTATAGTCTAGAATTGCCCATTAAAAAATGTTTGATATATAAATCTCTTTTAATCCACTGCACCTCCTTCTATTCCTTTCTTCTCCTCAGACTTTATCTGTTGAAAATCTAAGGCTGTTTGACCTATAGAATTTCCTGAAGTCTAGATTTCATTAATCTCATAATCATAGAATATAGCCCAACAAGTCCTCTGTTCTCTGTGTTTCCAGCAAAATTGTAGCTGGACCCACAGCCTTGAACACTGTATTTTCCGGAAGAATTTGTCACTAATGCCTGCTCTAAAGGAAATACACAAGGGAGTTTTTCAGGCAGAAGAAAAGTGATGCTAAATGACAGCAAAAAATTGTAGCAAAAAATGAATAGTAAAAGAAAGATAAATATGTAAGTAAATCTAAATAAATATTGACTGTATAAGCCAATACTACTAATAATAAAGGTTTTAAATTTTTAATATGTAGATTTAAAATACATGACAATGATAGCCTAAAAGGCAGAAAGAAGATAAAGTCAAAATGTTCAAATATGCTTCAATTGTACAGAAATTGATAAAAGTACAAATTTGTATTATACTTTAACCAAAGCAGAATGCATGTTGAATCTCTAACATAACCTTTGAAAGTATGTAAAAAGATTATTTATAACTGCCAAGATGTGAAAAAATGGCATAGCAAAACAAATTTGATTAACTCAAAAGAAAGTAAAGGAAAAAATGTAGAACAGATGAAACAAATTGGAAAAAATAACATAAAAAACCCCAAGGGTTTCAGCAATTATATTAAATGTAAATAATTCTTAACATTTATATTGTCAGACTGTATTAAAATGTAACAAGACCCAATAATGCAATGCTTACAAGAGAAGCATCTTGAATACAAGATACAGAAAAAAAAGTGAAATAATGGAGAGAGATACACCATACAAACCCTAACTAAAAGAAAGCTGCCATAGTTATACTAATATTAAAACAAAGTAAATTGCAAGTCAAGAAGGACCCTCTGTAAAAGTGAAAATCCACTAGGATGATCAAATAGGCTTAAATTTGTGTGTTTTATCGTGTAGCTTCAGAATGTATAAAAAAAGATACAATTAAAGCAGAAATAGGAAAATTCACAATCACAATGGAAGCTTTTAAACATATTTCTCACTGAAACTGGTAGAATAAACAAACAATGATTAAAAAAAAAAGTCAGACATAGTCCCCACCTATATTGAACTTACAATAGATTAAAGGATGAATGAATGTAAAATTGCACATTAGCTGTTTGCTCTGAAGTAAAGGAAGACAGTTTTATGACAATGAACATGGCTGGACTGAGGGAATCAAGAAAGGCCTTTCTGAGAGGGTGACACTTGATCTCAGCTCTGAAGGATGAATAATGGCTAATTAGGTGAATGGAAGAAGAAGTGTGAACCAAAGAGCATTAGACATTGGGCACATGTCATCCTCAAAGATGCTGTGGTTGGAAGTAAACATATGAGTTTGAAGAACTGGAAGGAGGTCCAAGTGACTAAAGCACAGTGGATCACAGTGTATGAAGAGAAGTAGCTCAAAGTCAAGCTGAAGACGTGGGTCAGGCCAGAACATTCAGAATTTTGTCAGTCATGTACAGATCTTGGACTTTATCCAGAAAGCAATATTACTATTGGATTTATGTTTGAAAAAGATTATTCTAGCTGTGGCATAAGAATAAATTGTAGAAGATCAGAGTTAACAGAGGAGGCTAGACAATCCAGCAGTTTTTACCAGTGATATAGTTTGGATATTTGTCCCCACCCAAATCTCATGTTGAATTGTAATCCCCAGCACTGGAGGTGGGGACCTGGTGGGAGATCATGGGGGCAGATGGATCATGGGGGCAGATCCCCCATGTCTTGGTACTGTCTTTGTAGTAGTGAGTTTTTGTGAGATCTGGTCATTTAAAAGTGTGTCACCTCCCCCGTACCTCTCTCTCTCTCCTGTTCTCACCATTTGATGTGCCTGCTCCCCTTTTGCCTTCTGCCATGATTGGATTGTTCCTGAGGCCTCCCCAGAAGCAGATGCTGCTATGTTTCCTGTAGAGCCTGCAGAACTGTGAGCTAATTAAACTTCTTTTCTTATGAATTACCCAGTCTCAGATACTTCTTTATAGCAGTGTAAGAATGACCTAACACAACCAGTGACTAGAGATGAAGGATGATAGTGATGACAGTGGAGATGGAGAGGAGTCAGAGTCAAGAGATATTTAAGGGGTAAAATCAACAGGCGTTGGTGAAGAATTCTACATGGTGGCTGAGGGCAAGGGAGTCATCAAGGATGTCTTTTTAGTTCTTTGGTTGTACAAGTGGGTTTAACAGTGATGCCATTCTCTAAGAAACACAGACCGGGTTTTGGAGGGAAAATAATAAATTCAGTTTTAGACATGTTGAGATTGAGGTTTTTCTTTTTTTTTTCTGTAAGGGATTGTTCTATAGGACATCTCTCAAGACACTTAATATATTTTCTCTTTGTGGTGTTTTTGGTTGGTTTTATTTGCTTGTTTTACTCCCTTCTGTCTGACATTTCAAAAATGCAATTGCAAGCCTTGACCGTGGATATTTATCATGTCACTGCATCAAAATATTGATGCTTGCCTAATGTGAACCTTCCCAGGGAGTAATGGAAACAAGAGAGAAGATGGAAAATGTGTCACTATCCCTAGGAGTGCTTGTGGGGTGCTGAACATTGACCCCAGTCAGAGTCTAAATGTGTCAGGGAATTTTCCTGGCTCTAGGTGTTAAAGGCCATTCAAGGAGGCAAGATTGTTTTCCTGGACGATGCCACACAAGGATGTTCAAGTCAAGTTTAGGAGAATTGGCTCTCAATGCACAGGGCCATTTCAATGAATTAGTAATGAGCTCTCCTTTCATTGAAAATTAATTCTGTCAAGGATATGAATCAGGTGTCATATGAAAACAGAGGCCAATCAGCTCTTCCAAAGCAATTTCTTGTTAGAACACCAGGGTGGGTGATGCCATTTCTTTTGTTCCGGCTGGTTGGGACCCTGTTGGCAGGTCATTTTGAAATTCTTTACATAAGAAAGAACACAGTCGGCCGGGCACAGTGGTTCATGCCTGTAATCCCAGCACTTTGGGAGGCTGAGGCGGGTGTATCACGAGGTCAGGAGTTCGCGACCAGCCTGACCAACATGGTGAAGCCCCATCTCTACTAAAAATACAAAAATTAGCCAGGCATGTGGTGCATGCCTGTAATCCCAGCTACTCGGGAGGCTGGGGCAGGAGAATTGCTTGAATCTCGGAGGTGGAGGTTGCAGTGAGCTGAGATTGCACCACTGCACTCCAGCCTGGGCAGCAGAGCAAGACTCCATCTCAAAAAAAAAAAAAAAGAACACAGTGAAGATGACAGCCTGAAGTGAAGTCTATTTATATCCAGAAAAAAAAGGCATATATTAATGATTATTTCTCTATTTTTTGGAATATTGACCAATAACTTTATGAGGATGTATCAGGCTTTTTTTGTTCAATACATTTTTCCTTCTTCTGTCTCATGTCACGTAATTCTTTCAGAATTTAAGTTATAAGAAATTGCATTTCTATTCATTAAGGTCTGATAAGAAAGTGTTATGGTATCTGATCTGAATGAGGATTGTAAGATTGTTTATGTGGTTAAAATTATGTGTTCTTCCTTAAAAGAGCTTGAATTTTAAGGTTTTGCCCTAAGTCATTATTATTGAGTCTACCTAAAGTTTCAACAGTTGCAGAACTGAAGAGAAGATCTGCTTCCTCACTTGGAATAGAGTCCTGAATTTTATAACTATATGAAGAATATAGTTGGAGACAAATGATTTACAACTATTTCGTAAGCAGTGGTAGATGTTCAGGAACTTATTTCTATGGTTTCTTATATTTCTGATGTGTTTGAGGATCATCCCTTAGAAGTCTATAAAGTATCAGGCTATATATATCTAGCCTAGAACTGGGTGGAACAATGAACCATGACTGCTTAATATCAATGCTGCTTAACATAAAAGCACCAACAAATTTTGAAGCAGGGAGGAACTTAAGCTATTGTGCTTAAGCCACTGCTCTCTGGTGGGCCAGTGATTTAGGATCCTGACTTATTTTAATCCTTCCACCTCCCATTATCTATAAGGAAGCAAAGGCACAGAGGGAAGTGTCCTGCCAAAAGTCACACAATTTGTATTTTAGAATTCACCTTCCTACAAGTTCTTCTTCAGAAAAAAAACTGAGTGTGTGAGCTAATCTTTATCTAACAGACTGATTTCACATATTACAAAGATAAAGTCTTGGATGATAGCACCAGACAGAACTATCCTTCATGAAGTTCCTCTTTGTGGGCTCTGGAAATTGGATGTGGGCTCTGTGAATTGGATGGCCATTTTTATTTCCTTTTTGTATTCTTGCAGACTCTGTCATAAAGAGGAAGCCATCAGGTTCTTGGATAATTGCTGAATGGAACTAAGGGAAATGAGAGGAGAGAAGCATCTCAGAGCATGTTTGGACTTGCTGCATGCCTTGGACCCTGCTACACACTGATAACTGAATATTGAGCCCTTGAGCTGATAAACAAGGGTCTTTGACTCGAGAGTGTTTTGCCATCCTGTTTGCAAGCTTTGTGTTTGTTTCCTTTCCTCCAAGAGTACATTTTCTTACTCCTCATATGGCCCCAAACCACACATTGAGAACTATGGCCTAGAGTTTGTGATTAATGGAACCCTATCTCCACTCCAACCTCCACTCATTAACCAATGATCTCTACTGGTGCCTGTCACATTTACAAATATGTGAGAGGCCTTAATTTAAATCTGGAACTAAGCTAGTGATTTCAATTACAATAGTCTGACTCATTCCGACATTATCATTGGGTAAAATAGCCTCAGTTTCCTTATCTGTAAAATGAATTCAATGTTGGCAACACTGGTCTTAAAGTAAAATAACTTTAAGAAAATTGCTGAAGGCTATGGCGTATGACTTAGTGTATTATTATTTTATAATGGAGAGTTTTACCTACCAAAGAAAGGAGTTATCAGCTGCCCGTTGCATTGCTGGTAATTTATTATTAATGATTTCTAAAAACTCTAACATTGCAGGAAGCTTCAAGCATCATTACTGCATTACATTTTGCTTTTGTGTTAATGGACAGCTATTTTTCACTGTCATTTTCATGAGTAGAAAGAGAGCACAGATGAACAATTTTAACAAATATAGGACAATAGAAGACATATTCCAGACTTCAGCATTTATTAATAGAATGATCAAATTCAGCCTTATCAGAATGGAGAACTTCCTGGTCACAGACAGTAATCTATATACCTCCTTCTCACCAGTGCCCTCACCTCGTTAACCCACTCAGAGGCAAGGGTCAGGAAACACTGCACTTAGTACTTTTGTGCTTAAAAAATTAAAGAATCCAAATTATCACTTTTTGCTTTCTACATAGTTGAGAAAAAAAAGTAATGTTACAATCTCAGACCATGGAGGAACTTCTATTCACTTCAACTGAACTTCTTTATGGATTAGAATGAGGAAGCCCTTTGATGTCACCAAAGAGGTCTTTTCCTTCTAGAAGGCTTTTAAAAAATCATGTTCCAGGGAGAGTTCTCTGTTTTTCAGACAATTCTTGGAAGTAAAGACCTCCTTCTCCCCCACAATCTGGAATAATCAACTGGGCTTGACAGCCCAGTTGCACATACTACAGAAGCAAAACTATCCTAACCCCCAATGTTAAAAAATGGAAGCAATTCTTTTCTATTGAAGTCACAAGTCCCCATTCTACATCTTCAGCTTGTATTCTCTCCCGATTCCTAATATACCATTCATAGTAAAAATGCATGTGCCTAAGGATGGTTCTGTCTGAAGATGCTATCAGTCAGCAGAAACAAAGACATTGGGGGTCTCGTTTTATCTTCTTGTTGCAGGTAGTTAGACATAGACATGAGGGAGGCAAGACAGGGCTTTTCTCTGCCACCCACTAGGAATGTCAGGTGATGGTTCAACAATTATCATACTGCCTCTCTAAAAAATGTGGCCAGAGCCGGGGAGAGACAGTCTCCAGCTGATCCACAGCTGTTAACATTAAAGTGTTCATTGAATGCCGATGTCAGGGAGAAGCAACTTCCTGGGCATACGCATTAAGAGACAAAATGGTAGAATATGACCTTCTGGGGGCACTCCACTAGAAAAGGGAAGAAAGCCTCAGATGGCCATGCATACAACTTCCTAAACACCCTGTGTGTGCTCACTTCCCAAGGGTAAGGAGGGTACTACACATGTGGGCAGCTCACCTCAAGAGAAAAATCACGGGAAAGGGATGCAAGATGGCAGCCTATAAAGTCCTAGGATCATGGTTAAACACCACACTTGTTGTTCACCCACAATCTGGAATAATCTAAGTCTTGTTCTTCACATCACCCACTTCACGTTCTTCCAAGTGTTCTTTCCTTTTCTAAAGCCTTGTTTTTTGTTTGTTTGTTTGTTTGTTTGTTTGTTGCTTTTTTGTGGGTTTTTTTTTTTTTGACAAGAGTTTCACTCTTTTGCCCAGGCTGGAGTCCAGTGACTCAATCTCAGCTCACTGCAACCTCCGCCTCCCAGGTTCAAGCAATTCTCCTGCCTCAGCCTCCCGAGTAGCTGGGATTACAGAGGCCTGCCACACTCCTGGCTAATTTTTGTATTTTTAGCAGAGATGGTGTTTCACCATGTTGGCCAGGCTGGTCTCAAACTCCTGACCTTGTGATCCACCCACCTCGGCCTCCCACAGTGCTGAGATTACAGGCGTAAGCCACCACACCCGGCCCTAAAGCCTTGTTAATAAACTTCCACTCCTGCTCTGAAACTTGCCTTGGTCTCTTTTTCTGCTTTATGCCCCTCAGTCAAATTCTTTCTTCTGAGGAGGCAAGAATTGAGGTTGTTGCAGACCCGTATGGATTTGCCACCAGTAACTCATATACCTGCCGCCAGTAACAATCTCTTCTTCTCCATGCTGCCCTTTGGTTAACTGATGCTGTAAGAACAAATTAACAAGTTTGAATGGTTTATTTTCAAAAGGATGAAGAATGCCAAGATAACAGCTCTCTGCAAACATGTTACAATTAGCAGATGTAAAAGGTGGAGGAAGGAGATACTTAGCAAGATGTATACATTCATTCATTATTTACATAGCTTATTTATATAGCTTAGAGATAATGAATTGCATATTTTGTTTTGATATCTTCTGACTTCATTGAGTTTTCCTTTATACAGTCCAAACATGTGCAAAAAATATTTTTTCATCCAATTACAGATGGTAGTGTATTTTTTTTTTTCCCAATCAGCAGGGATCTTAATTGTGTAGTAACAGTCAGCAGGAACAAGGACATCAGGGGTTTGTTTTTGTCTCCTCTTATTTTTCATGCCTGCCCTGTTGTTTAGCTTTAGGTTATCTGATGCCAAGAAACAGCTCTAGATGCATCATATTTTCCATCCATTAGTCAATGCTAATCCAAAGAAGTGTTTCGTATACTGAGACATGGACAGGGAAGGTCTCTTGCCTTCAGTTACAAAACAAGTCATTGTTTATACTTGGAATCTGTTCTAGACGAATTAAAGGACAAAAGAGAATGCACTATCCATTAAACATCATGACAACTTGACTATAAAAACTCACAATTTGTTCAGAGTCAGTAAATGGATATTGTGATATCTGTTATGTGTATTATGGTCTAGTGAAGTATTTCCAAAAGGGTGTTTCATAGAAGAGAAGTCCCTGGGGATGCTTGAGAGAAAGGATTCTAGGTTTCAGTAAGTTGAGGAGTGTTTTATACTAGATCTCCCTCTTTGAGACTCATAATGTATATTAGAATTTTATAACTCTGACTGTTAAAAAACAAAACAAACAAAAATTGTTATAGTTGTGTAACCCAGCATTTAAAAATACATTATCCTGGATTTTTTTGAATAATACCTATTAACATCTGAAAGCAGCAAGTGAAACAAGTGATCTATAAATTATAGTTTGGAAATAGATAGGTATTTTTAATCAAAAGATGAAGTTTCCAGGCCCAGCGCGGTGGCTCATGCCTATAATCCCAGCACTTTGGGAGGCCGAGGTGGGCAGATCACCTGAGGTCGGGAGTTCAAGACCAGCCTGACCAACATGGAGAAACCCCATCTCTACTACAAATACAAAAATCAGCCGGGCGTGGTGGCACATGCCTGTAGTCCCAGCTACTAGGGAGGCTGAGGCAGGAGAATTGCTTGAACCTGGGAGGCAGAGGTTGCAGTGAGCCGAGATTGCACCATTGCACTCCAGCCTGGGCAACAAGAGCGAAACTCCGTCTCAAAAAAAAAAAAAAAAAAAATGAAGTTTCCAATCTGAGGTCTGCTACTGATTAGTAGAGCAGCACAATCCACCATCATATCATACAATACTCCACTATGTATCAATAATTCTTTCTTTTAAATGAAAATAACAATACAAGCAAAAATTTGTTAAGTTCGTTCTTATGATGTGTCAGGCACTATACTAAGTGCTTCATATGCCTTATAACTTATAATCTCTTAAACTTGTTTATTTTTAAATAAACTCAAGTAGTACAGGAATACATTTTCATTTTAAAAAGTTAAAAAAAGGTATAAATAAAATTTCTTTACATTTAGTCTGTAAGCATCTGGATCTTTTTCTGTGCATTTAAATAAAAACGTGTCTTTGCAAAAGAACATATGTTTCTCATTTTTTAAAACATAAACCATAAACAGAGTCATGTTATGTATATTGTTGTGCAACTAGCTCTTTGCATTTAAAAGTATATGTTAAACATATTTTTATGCCAGTACCTGTACATCGACCACATTCCTTTTCATGATTTCATGACATTTTATATGTACATCTCATACATGTATACGTACCATAAATTTTTTATGGGTAAATATTCAGATTATTTGCAAATTTTTCACCAATGTAAACAAACAATTTTTGTTTCTGTTTCTTGTGGTATGGCTTGTAGATAGCCTTGAAGGATGTGGTAACTGAAACAACCATAATGCTGGAGAAGAAAGAATCTAATGACTGGTGCATAAGGAAGGAATCCACAGAGGTCAAAAACAAAGTGAAAGCAGAGACCCCATGGAGAAAGAGATTGCCAAAGTTATCTTTCTTTCTGAGATTTTCTGCTGAACTCTGGAAAATTTGAGCTAGTCTAGTGAAATCAGAGGAGTCAGGAAGTGAAACTTAAGGTCCATATAAGGAAATGAAGCCTATAGAGAACGCCCAACATAAAGCTGGTATCCAAAGGGCCACACCTTCAGTGTAATAGTAAACAAGGAGTAAAACCACCATTAGAAGGGACAACAAAGAAATTTGCCTGGATCAACCTGGGTGCTGGGTAGAGGATGAGGGGAATCTCTCCTGAGAATTCAAACCATTAAACCTGACTTCACGGTGGGTTTGCTGTCTAATTCACAATGTCTTTGTGTTTCAAAGAAAAATTAAGAATATAAAGTGGCCCCATGTTAGTGGTGTCTTTCATCATATTATTAAGCCAAACAAATCCAAATACTCTTAGAGGAATTTGAAGTCAGGCCTCAAAGAATTCCCACTGAAAATGTTATAAGAAAAATAAGCAGTCTACAGTCAAAATTCACAAAACACTTAATGAACAAAGAAGCCATAAGTAAAAACCAGCAGAAAAAATAAACAGAAGAATCAAACTTGCAAAGACTTCATATACTGGAATTATGAGATACTAAAGATAAAATATATTTAATGTTTTGAGAAATAAAGGAAAGGAAGAATATCAACAATAAGAAATTTTCTAAGAAGAACCAAATATATTTGTAAAGGAGTCACTAGAGAAGTTTTAGAGCTTCTAGAAGTAATAAACATACAACTTGAAATTAATAAGGCAATGTAAACAGCAGATAAGACAGATGCAGCTAGAGAGCGAATTAGTCAATTGGGAGATGTAGCTAAAGAAACTATACAGAATACAGTCCAGAGACATTAAAAGATAGAAAGTATGAAAGAGAGTAAAGAGAGATGGAGAATACAGTAGGAATATTTGACATATATTAGTGAAAGCTTTAGAGAGATATAATTCAGATAATGAGAAAAATACAATATTTGGAGAGATAATGACTGATAATTGCTTTTAGCTGTCAAAAGACTCCAATCCTCATGTTCAAGAAGGCCAATGAGTCACAAGTCTGATAAACAAGAGAAATTCATACTTAAACATATTATAGTGAAGCAAAACACCAAAAGAGAGGAAGGAAATGATTTTTAAAACAGCAAGTAGAAGACACATCCACCTACAAAGAAAAGGCAATTAGAGTGGTGGCTAACTTCTCAACAGCAATAATGACAGCAAAAATTTCTTCATGCTGAGAGGATATAAATGTCAACTTAGAATCTTGTACTAGGAAACCATCTTTCAAGAATGAGGTTGAAGTAAAGATATTTTCTATCCTTCTGCTTAGCCATTTTTACTGTGTTCTATTTACCTGTTACAGACTGGTTGCTTCACTTCTGAGCACTGCCTCTGCATTCCAGATAGGAAAATGGGAAATGACAAAGGGCAAGAAAACATGCCAGCTGGGCCCTCTCCTCTTTTCCTGGAAGTCCTGTCCACATTTCCATTTACTTCTTATTGGCCAAAATGCCATCCGATAGCCTCATTTATCTGCAGAGGAGTCTGAGACATGTTGCCTTCCCCAACAAAATGTAGCTTTTGTTTGTAAAAAGGAAGAGTATGGTAGACAGCAGATAAGCTACTAATTAATGATTTCTATTATATCAAGAATAAAACATGGTTCTATCCTCAAAGAAATCATAGTCTAATGGGGGAGATGGACCTATAAGAAAAGGTAAATATAGAATTCCACACAGGTATTTCCATCGTCCTTCTTAAACATTAAATGGGGAAGGTTGACTACCATCATTTTGGATTTTTGTTGGTTGATCATTCAATCAGAAAACCAACCATTGAGGGTGTGGTGGCTCACGCCTGTAATCCCAGCATTTTGGGAGGCTAAGGTAGGTAGATCACTTGAGGTCAGGAGTTTGAGACTAGCCTGGCCAACATGGCAAAAACCTGTCTCTATTCAAAATACAAAAATTAGCTGGACATAATGGCGTGCACCTATAGTCCCAGCTACTCAGGAGGCTGCGGCACGGGAATCACTTGAATCGGGAGATGGAGGTTGCAGTGAGTCGAGATGGTGCCACTGCACTCCAGCCTGGGTGACAGAGAATCAGACTCTGCCTCAAAAATAAAAAACAAAACAAAGAAAACTGACCAACTGAGTTTAGCAATCAGCCTCTTGTGCTAGGAATTATACTGGGTCAGGAATAAAGAAAAATCAAATGTGGTTCGCACTAGTGGAAGATGTCAGGCAGAAACAAATACTCTAGTTCAAAAAATTATTACAGTACAAATAGAGGAAAATAAATAAAATATTTATTTTATGCTATGGGTGGAATTATTTCCCCCAAAATCCATGAGTTGAAGTCCTAACCCCCAGTACAACAGAATGTGACCTTATTTGGAGATAGGATCTTTAGAGAGATAATCTTACAGAGTTAAAACGAAGTCACTGGGGTGGGCCCTAATCTAATAGGACTGGTGCCCTCATAACCAGGAGAAATTTGGACATAGACACACACAGAGAGAGGAGATGTGAAGAGACATAGGAAGAAGGCCATTTGCAAACCAAAGAGAGAACCTTGAATCAAATCATTCTTTTACAGCCCTCAGAAAGAACTGACCTTGCTGACACCTTGATTTTAGAGCTCGAGCCTCCAGAACTATGAGACAATCCATTTCTGTTACATAAGCCATGCGGTTTGTGGTACTTTGTTATGGCAACCCTAGCAAATTAATACAGAGACAGTGGTAAATTCTCCTTGAGGCATGAAGAGTGAAAATGTTTTAGGAAAGCCCTCATGGATTATCTGAAGGTTGGGTTCCAGAATGAGCAGACATTCCCCAAGCAGAGTTAGAGAAGAAAGGGCAATAGGAATTTCAGTCCAAAAGGATGTTATGAGTAGAGATTTAGAAGTGAGATAAAGCATGGTTTCTTAGTCCTTTTGGGTTTCCATAACAAAATGCCACAGACAGTGTGGCTTATAAACAGCAGAAATTTATTTCTTATAGTTCTAGAAACTGGGAAGTCCCAGATCAAGCCACCAACAGTTTCAGTGGTGAGGGTCCACTTCCTGTTTCATAGATAGTCCTTTTTTCACTGTGTCTTCACATGGCAGAAGAAACAGGGATTTCTGGGATCTCTTGTTAAAGCTACTAATCCTGTGAGGAGCGCTTATGACCTAAAAACCTTCTAAAGTCATCACATTAGGATGCCTCCAAATACCAGCACATAAGGCAACAGATTTCAACACATGACATTCAGTCTCTATCCTGCGGCATGACCTGAGAAAGCACTACAGCAGGAACGTAAGTTTTGCGGTAGAATGTCATGAGAGAGGAAACTGCAGTAATAAAGTAGCCAGATTAAGAAGGACCTTTGATGCCACAAAAAAAGTGTCTCTTTGAAAAAGAAATATGAAGTAGAACAGTCTTTGTGACTAATTTTCCATAGGACCCAAGTCTGTTTTTTATTTCTATGATGACATTTAAATGAGCCTTCCTAATCAGTTAAAACTGATGCTCAGTGGAAATTTGCCCCCTCCATTCTCTGGTGAATTTTGCACAATACCCAGGGTGTTAGTACATTTTGCATTGCTGTAAAGGAATACCTAAGACTGGGTAATTTATAAAGAAAAGATGTTTATTTGGCTCATGGTTCTGCAGGCTGTGCAAGCATGGGACCAGCATCTGCTCAGCTTCCAGTGACGACTCAGGAAGCTTTTACTCATCGCAGAAGGAGAAGGGGGAAGAGACATGTCACATGGCCAGAGAGGGAAGCAAGAGAGAGAGGAAGGGGTGCCACATTCTTTCAAACAACCAGCTCTCATGTAAACTAAGAGTGAGAACTCACTCATAAACGCAAGGACAGCACCAAGACATTCATGAGGGATCTGCCCCCATGAGCAGAGACCCGAGGGAGGTGAGGGAGGTGGCTATTTGGATGGCTGTCTGAGGCAAGGGTAGTCCAGGAAGAGGGAAGAACCAGGGCACAGGATCTAAGCAGCACACAGACTGTGTCAAGGAACCACAGGGAGTTCTGTGTGGCTGAAGCAGAGCGAGCAAGGAGGGCACAGCTATAGCAGCTGAGGTATTGCAGAAGCAAACGTAAGGGCCAGATCATACAGGGCCTTATGGCCATTGTAAGAATGTTGGATTTGATTCTGAGTAAAAGGAGGAGCCTTTGCAGGCTTTTGAGCAGAGGAGTGGCATGATCTGATTCATGTTTAGGAAGGGTCAGCGCTAGCTTCTGGGCTGATGACAGATGGTGGACAGCAAGGGTAGAAGCAGAGAGACTGATGGGCATTTAGAGCAAGTGATTCAGGCAAGACATAAAGCTGGTGCTGACCTGCTCGGTAAGAGTGGAGGTTGTGAGAAATGGCTGGATCCCTTCCTCTGTCCTCATCCCACCCTCGAGTCCATAAACACTGAGAAATGCACTCACTCCTCCACTCAGCAGAGGTGCAGAAACAGGATAAAGGAGAAAAGTCTTGATATTCTTGTGCAGATGGAGGCTGTAAAATTGACAAGATAAAGAGTGTATTTGGGGGTTGATAATTTTTGTAGGGTTAAGTGGTATGTCCAGGGAAATAGGGAAAGTAAAGATACCAAGAAAGGAAAGGAACAAAAATAAGACTTCAGGAAGAGAGGATTGCGATCTAGGAAGGGAAGGAAAAGAAATTCACTTGGGAAACAGCCTTCATTGTTTAGTGCAAAGGAAGAAAGAAGTAGCAGGACATCCAACCCCTCCCGTGATCCTTTTACCTTTTGACCAATGGTTCTTAACGATGGCTTTACCCCTCAGGGGACATTTGGTCATTGTAACTGCTGGAAAGGAGTGCTACTGGCATCTAGAAGCAGTAGAGGCCAGGGATACTACTAAACATCCTACATCGACAGGACGGAGCTTCACGGCGAAGAATTATGTGGCCCAAGATGCCGGCAGTGCTGTGGCTGAGAAGTCCTGCTTTACACTTATAACTGAACCTTTGAGTAAAGAACTGGTTTTGTCATTCTCAACATGTAATATATTTATTATCATTGCAAGGAAAGGCAGGTGAATGGTTTCGGAAAAGAAAGGGCCCATGACTCTCCTCCACAGTTAACGGTACAACCCATTTGGAAGATGTTTGATTGTCCTGACAACCTCTCTCTGTGTCCCACTGCTCTATTCAGCATCGAGGGGGCTAAGTGGGTGGATATATTCATGGTGGTACAAAAGAATTAAAGTAAAACAAGTGGAGGTTACACTTTCCTGACACTCAGAATTATCCTGATATTGGTTAATTTTGAAAGCTGGCTCATAAAATTGACTTAATTTATTATGTGACCAAAATAGTATTTTAATTAGTTTAGATTATAGATTAATAGTTATGGTATAGGTTTTTTAAAATCTGAGAAATAACTCAAGACCCTAAGCATCACAACATGGATCCTATGGAAAAATGTATTCTGAGTCAAATATGACACAAGTACCATACAACTTGACACTGAAGAAACCCTCCTTGACACCGTGCCAGAAATTCCCTTCGAAGACCCATTTCACATGTACCTTGAAATCAATGGCTGTTTGTTACAAGGGTCTCCAAAGTAGGGTGCAGGCATCCCAGAGCTAAGCATAACAGATTTCTATTTACTTATCTTAAATAATAAATAAAGGAGTAAAATTCACCATTAACATGAGGACTGATACAGGTTTCCTCAGTTGGTCCAAGTGTTAGAGGTTTGTGTAACCCACAGTTGGCAGGGGTTTCACAAGACAGAGGTGTTAATGGCAGCACCTTCCAGCACTTTTTAATTTTCAGCATATTCCGATATTTTGCAGTTTACATATGCCTGTGACCATGACCACAAAATACTTTTATACTACACAGAGTTTCCTTAGTTATCTCATAGTAAGTTACTTAGAAGAGCTGTTAAATTTTAAAATGAGTTACTTTCTTCTGTAAAGATACTAGTGTTCCAAAATTGCTTACCACTTCTACCATGACAAGTGGCTAATAGTTAAGCTAGTTGATATTTTTAAAATATTAACACATCAATTTTAATGATAAGTAAGAAAGAAATTGCTTTTGAAAGAAATGGGTGCTATAGAAAGAGAATTTGAAAAAAGATGTTTGAAAATGCTCCTTGGTTATGTGATCTTGATGCTGAAAACAATGTAGACAACCTATTTAGAAATCTCTTGTCTGTACCATTATAAAATTCAAGACAATTTTTTATTATGTCAAAAATCTTTCAGAGAGTTTCATTGAATTTTTAAATCAATGTTTTAGAAAATAAAAAAAATACCCACCTTCAAAATTGTGAGAAAAATGAATTGATGCCAGAGAAGATGAAAATTAATAAATTTTAACAAAAAGATTTTTTTATATAATTATGAATGAGACTAAAAAATCAGAATATTATATTGTAAACTCAATCAACAACTTTCAATGAGATCTTTGTAAGATATCTTTTTAGCTTAATGGTTATTAAAACCAAGTAATGAAGTCGACTGTTGTTATAGCCCAGAACTTGGAATCACTATATCACAAACTACAAAACCAAGATAAAAAACAATGACAAAGTCGTGGTAGATTGTTTATTGAAGGACTTCACAATTCTCTCTTGAAAACCATGCCTTTTGGGTATTCGCTTCCCACACAGACATGGGGCTTCGTCTATATGACTTGCTTTGCTGAAGAGATCACTAGCAAGTATGATGCAAACAGGCTTGAAAACATACTTAGATAAATTCAAGCAATAATAAGCTTGAATTTTACTACATATCTATTAGAGTAACTAAAATCCAAAACACTGACATATAAAATGCTGAGTGAGGTTGTAGAGCAACAGGAACTCTCATTCATTGCTGGTGCAAATGCAAACCAGTATAGCCATTTTGGAAGGCAGTTTGGCAGTTTCTTGCAAACTAAACATAACCTTACCAAATGATCCAGCAATCACAATTCTTGCTACTTACCCACATTAATTGAAAACTTAGGTTCACACAAAAATCTGCCCATGAATGTTTACAGCAACTTTATTTCAGTGGGTGAATGAATAAACAAAGTATGGTACATTATGCAATGGAATATTATTTAGTTACAAAAAGAAAAAACCTTATCAGTCATGATAAAACAAGAAAGAACTTTAATAACATTTTGCTAAATGAAAAATACTGGCCTGAAAATGTGATATACTGTAAGATTCCAAATATAAGACATTCTGGAAAAGGCAAGTTTCCAGAGATAGTTAAAAAAAAAAAAATCAGTGGTTACCAAGAATATGGGGGGAGAGAGAGAGGGATGGATAGGTGGAACTTAAGGTATTTTAGTGGAACTATTGTATATAAAACTGTAATGGTGAATACATGACATCATGCATTTGGCAAAACCTATAGAACTGCACAGCACAGCGTGAATCCTAATGTAAACTGTGGACTTTAGTTAATAATAATGTATTGATATTTGTTCACCAACTGTAGCAAAAGTACTGTATTGGTGCAAGATGTTAATAGGGGAAACTGTTGGGGGAGGATGCAAGTGGGTAGAGAAGGGGTATTTTGGGAAGTTTGCTTTTCTGCTAAATTTTTTCTGTAAACCTAAAAATGCTCTAAAAATAAAATCTATAGGCTAATGCAGACAGATCACAAGGTCAGGAGATAGAGACCATCCTCGCCAACATGGTGAAACCCTGTCTCTACTAAAATACAAAAAATTAGCCTGGTGTGGTGGTGTGTGCCTGTAATCCCAGCTACTCGGGAGGCTGAGGCAGGGGAATTACTTGAACCTGGGAGGTGGAGATTGCAGTGAGCCAAGTTTGCCCACTGTAGTCCAACCTGGCCGCAGAGTGAGACTACAATTCAAAAAAAAAAAAAAAAAAAAAAAAAAACACACATTTGGACCTGCCTCTGTTGCTGCTGGGAGCCCTGTGACCATGTGAAAAAGCCCAAGTTATCCCACTAGAGAGGCCACATGGAGGAAAACCAAGACATCCAGGCTGCCAATTTCCAACTTAGAACATCCTGGACCATCCAACTCCAGCTGAGATGCCAGCTGACTGCAGTCGCATGACTGAGCCTGGAAGTGAGCAGCCTTTGAACCATCCAGAGAAGCAAAGCTCAAGCTGCCACCTCACAGAATTGTGAGGAAGTGAATGAAAGTTGTTTTCAGTCACTACGTTTTTGAGTGTTTTGTTATATAGTAAAGGCTAACTGATACAGAAGTATATTCAATAATAATGTTTATAGTGAGAGCACATGGGTTCTATTTTATTAAGAAAATATGCATTTATTAAAGTATTGTTTATTTCACCTATATTTCATCTTTTAAAATTATTGTACTTGAACATAATAGATGCACATTATATACATTCTTAATATATAATAATAAATTAATATACATATAACTTTCAATGATAAAAGTGAATAATCAAAATATTTGAAAGAACATCCCATGCTGGGGATAAAGGACTCTGGAGACCCAGAAAATTCTTTGCAGTCTTCAGGTCCTAGGAGTGCCCCTCCTCCCTCCTAATCTTCCCAGTGGTTCAGCCATTTCTTAAATATGAGATAATAGGACAGGTAAGTATAATTCAGAGTGGCCCGTAATTATTTTATGCCAAACAGAACTTCAGCCAACAAATAAAGGTAAAATCTACAAATGTCTACTTAATTTTTCATTTTTAAAGAACAAAATCCTCGAGCTGTCGTTGTTTTTATAGTTGTAAACCTGTTACTGATTCTAACCTGATGTGAGAATTAGTATGAGTCCTTGATGTAACTGCAATTCTTTCAAACTCAGTTTCAATAGGAAGAATCAATGTTGTGAAAATGGCCATACTGCCCAAAGTAATTTATACATTCAATGCTATCCCCATCAAGCTACCACTGACTTTCCTCACAGAATTGGAAAAAAGTACTTTAAATTTCATATGGAACAAAAAAAGAGTCCACATAGCCAAGACAATCCTGGACAAGAAGAACAAAGCTGGAGGCATCACACTACCTGACTTCAAACTCTACTGCAAGGCTATAGTAACCAAAACAGCATGGTACTCGTACCAAAACAGATATATAGACCAATGGAACAGAATGGAGCCCTCAGAAATAACACCACACATCTACAGCCATCTGATCTTTGACAAGCCTGACACACACAAGCAATGGGGAAAAGACTCCCTATTTAATAAACGGTGTTGGGAAAACATATGCAGAAAACTGAAACTGGACCCCTTCCTTACACCTTTTACAAAAATCAACTCAAGATGGATCAAAGACTTAAAAGTAAGACCTAGGACCATAAAAATCCTAGAAGAAAAGCTGGGCAATACTATTCAGGACATAGGCATGGGCAAGGACTTCATGTCTAAAACACCAAAAGCAATGGCAACAAAAGCCAAAATTGACAAATGGGATCTAATTAAACCAAAGAGCTTCTGCACAGCAAAAGAAACTATCATCAGAGTGAAGAGGCAACCTACAGAATGGGAGAAAATTTTTGCAATCTATCCATCTGACAAAGGGCTAATAACCAGAATCTACAGAGAACTTAAACAAATTTACAAGAAAAAAACAACCCCATCAAAAAAATGGGCAAAAGATATGAACAGACACTTCTCAAAAGAAGACATTTATGCAGCCAACAGACACATGAAAAAATGCTCATCATCACTGGCCATCAGAGAAATGCAAATCAAAACCACAATGAGATACCACCCCACACCAGTTAGAATGGCAATCATTAAAAAGTCAGGAAACAACAGATGCTGGAGAGGTTGTGGAAAAATAGGAATGCTTTTATGCTGTTGGTGGGAGTGTAAATTAGTTCAACCATTGTGGAAGACAGTGTGGCAATTCCTCAAGGATCTAGAACTGGAAATACCATTTGACCCAGCAATCCCATTACTAGGCATATACCCAAAGGATTATAAATCATTCTATGATAAAGACACATGCACATATATATTTATTGCAGCACTATTCACAATAGCAAAGACTTGGAACCAACCCAAACGTCCATCAATGATAGACTGGATAAAGAAAATGTGGCACATATGCACCATGGAATACTAAAGAGCCATAAAAAAGGATGAGTTCATGTCCTTTGCAGGGACATGGGTGAAGCTGGAAACCATCATTCTCAGCAAACTATCACAAGATCAGAAAACCAAACACCACATCTTCTCACTCATAAGTGGGAGTTGAACAATGAGAACGCATGGACATAGGGAGGGGAACATCACACACCTGGGCCCGTCGTGGGGTGGGGGGCTAGGAGAGGGATAACATTAGGAGAAATACCTAAATACCTAACGTAGGTGATGAGTTGATGGGTGCAGCAAACCACCAGGGCATGTGTATACCTATGTAACAAAACTGCACGTTCTGCACATGTAACCCAGAACTTAGAGTATAATAATAATAATAATTATTATTATAATAATAGTTCCCATTTTAAAAAAAAGGTGGCAAGATGCTTAACTCAAATGATATCCATTTTTATATTCAATTAACATCACTATAAATACAGGAATACATTGAATTAAAAACAATCAATCTCTGCATAAGCAAAGCCAGTGTTGATTCTAAATAAACTTCAAGCATCATCTTCCAACATCAGTTCTCAATTGATCTAGTCTTTTCAAGCAAAAATGCTTATTTTGCTGTAAGCAAGACTACTGGAATATTGCTATTTTAATCCTAATGTGCTTCATTCAGATGAGGGGGCATCTACTTCTCCTATTCTTATTTTACTGATGAAAATACATACAGAAGCATTCTAGTAATAAAGGGCTTATCAAAATCTCACAATAAATGGACAGTAAATTTCACAAATGGAACCTGGGTTGCGATGCTATTTAGATTTCCCTGTGTATAATGCTTTTCATATCCTGTATTATAGCAACAAATAATTGTAATATATTATTTTATGTAATTACTTTAAAATTTTAATTTCCAAATAGAAGATAGATAAACTATTGCCTCAGAATGCAGGCATAACAAATTCAGCAATGAATGGCTTCTGTCCCTTGCAAATAATGGCCATTTTGATAACCTTGATTCAAGGTGTGACAAATATTATAATGAAGGTTATGCTAGGTTAATTATATTTCATGTTGCAGGCATTGCAAATTGAATTGCTTATTTACAGCCATTTATTACAGTTAGAAAGTACTGTCATCAATTTTGATTGAGATGAATTTTATTGAGCAGGAAGGGGTTGGCTTAATTGAAAAAGTTTCTATTTTAAAACACACTTGTGTTCTATTTTCTGGGTTTGAACATGTAAGACCTATACTTGCTACTCCTCAATGACTTCTTGCATGTACTTGATTTAATTGAATTGAGTAATAAAACTTATACCCTTAACAGAAATTTCCAATTAAAATGTACAGGAATATTACAATTATTTGAAGAGACATAACTGTAGCAGATATATGTCAACCTATCCTCTGACAATATAATCGTCTACATTAAGTGATTTCACGTCTTTGAGTAAAGGCCCAAATGTTACACTATCTCAAAAGGGTCAAGAGAACACATTTGGATTAGAAGGACTAAGATCTTGACTTCATGAAAGTGTGTCAAGCCATATAGTTTATTGTACACTGTGTTTACAGCTCTATATTTCCATCAGTTACTATTTGTTTGACACAGTGTGCCTGGAAGTATACTGGGTGCATTAGTCTGTTTTTGTGTTGCCGTAAAGGAATAGCAGAGACTGAGCAATTTATTTTTAAAAACTGGCTTAATTGGCACACAGTTCTGCAGGCTGTGCAGAAAGCATGGCACTGGCATCTACTCCACTTCTGGTGAGACCTCAAGGAGCTTCCACTCATGGCAGAAGGTGAAGCAGGAGCAGACACATCACATGGTGAGAGAGTGAGCAAGAGAGAGACTCTTTTAAACAACAAGATCTTGCATGAACCCAGAGTGAGAACTCACTTACTAGTCAAGGGGATGGTGCTAAGCTGTTCATGAGGAATCTGCCTCCATGATCCAATACCTCCCACTAGACCCCACTTCTAACATTGCAGGTCACATTTCAACATGAGATTTGGAGGGGAGAAAACATCCAAAACTACCATTTCACCTCTGGCCCCCCAAATCTCATGTTCTTCTCACATTGTAAAATACAATCATTGCATCCTAATAGTTCCTCAATGTCCCAACTTGTTTCAGCATCAAGTCCAAAGTCCAGTCTTATCTTGTCAATTTTACAGCCTCCATTTGCACAAGAACATCAAGACTTTTCTCCTTTCTCCTGTTCTGCTAGCTCTGCTGTGTGATGATCGAGTGCATTTCTCAGTGTTTATGGCCTCAAGAGTGGGATGAGGACAGGGGAAGGGATCCAACCACTTCTCACAACCTCCACTGTAACCAAGCAGGTCAGCGCCAGCTTTATCTCTTGCCTGGATCACTGCCCTAAATGCCCATCAGTCTCTCTGCTTCTACCCTTGCTGTCCACCATCTGTCATCAGCCCAGAAGCTAGCGCTGACCCTTCCTAAACATGAATCAGATCATGCCACTCCTCTGCTCAAAAGCCTGCGAAGACTCCTCCTTTTACTCAGAATTAAATCCAACATTCTTACAATGGCCATAAGTCCCTGTATGATCTGGCCCTTACGTTTGCTTCTGCAATACCTCAGCTGCTATTGCTGTGCCCTCCTTGCTCGCTCTGCTTCAGCCACACAGAACTCCCTGTGGTTCCTTGACACAGTCTGTGTGCTGCTTAGATCTTGTGCCCTGCCTCTTCCTGGACTGCGCTTCCCTCAGACAGCCATCTAAACGGCCACCTCCCTCACCTCCCTCGGGTCTCTGCTCAAATGTTAGCTTCTCCGTGAGGCCCATTCTGCTTATCCTGATGAACAAAACACTTCCCATTCCCTGCCACAGCTTTCCCAACCACCTTACCTGCTCTCCTTTTCTTTCTCGTAGCATTTACTAATACACATATACTTGTTATGTAATAAGACGTCTTATGTATTTACTATTTTTTGCCTTTGTCTGTTTTTGTTTGCCAATGTATTCAGTGTCTAGAATGGCATATGGTACATAGTAGGCATTTGATAGATAGTTATTAAATGAGTGAGTGAGTGAAGATTAAATTCTGGTCTTGTTGGAAATGGGACGGAGAATGGAGAGGGTCGACCTCTCTTACAATCCCAAGATCATGGCATTATTGACAGTTCGGGCCAGATAAGGCTTTGTTGCATAGTGCCTAACACAATGTCCATTCAGAGGATTCATTTCCTCTTGAAAGCCCTTATCTGGTCTGTACCTCAGACTCATTTTCTCCCTACTAGCATAATTTTAATCTTATCTCTTGCATAAAAGAGGCAAACATTGGAAAGCATTTATCCTTTCTCTACTCCAGTTTACATGACAAAGGCTCGCTACTGGACTTCTCTTGGAGCTGGAAGGATTTAGGGAGTGAGGAGTCTCATTGCATACCCCCTCCCCCTACCCAAACAATATATTTGAAAACTTCCTTTGTAAATTAGATTTTGGCTGAATTCAAGGTGTAAATTACAACTGCAAAGACACTTCGGTTTTGTGATTTGTTTAGATTCTATTAATGATTTCTACTAAAACTGTGTTTTTTCTTTAGAAGAATCAAAGTGAAAGAGGTGAAGAAAAGAAGCAAAAGGTAGAAAACGTAAGGAAAGAAAACTTCTCCCTCTTTGTGTTTTCAGTTACTCATATTTGAATCTAGTGCCTCCAGTATAGTTGTCAATCAATGTCTTAAAACATCTGTCAAGTGCTGCCTACTGGCTCTTAACTCAGATTTTAGATACACAAAGGCCAAAGAAGCTCAATTTTCCATCTAGGTAGCACACTAAATGACACTGGCTTCTTCTTAGACTAGACTGCAAACTTACGCACTTTTACTTACAGCAAAAATAAAATCTGTTAACTTTGACTTTACTAATTTGTAATATTTGATAATTCTACCAGGGGCTAAAATTTGCCTAATAATTATTTATAAAGAAATAATTTACTAACTTAAAATGTAAGTAGGAATGCAAGTAAATAGTTAAAATATTTGTGGAAACGTGTCATTTTTACAAATCTTGTACTCCTTTGAAATTATTGATTTAAATCTCCACCTGGGGCAAGGAGAGAATGTATTTCTCTTTGTATTCTCACATCTAGGGTGCTCCTGGTACAGAATGGATGTATAATAGGTTATAGTTGAGTGAATGAAATAATTCATACATTAAAAATATTTATTTAATAAGGAAGGTCCCCAAAGAGCATTTTACTCGAAAACAGTTTGTTGACCTAGTCTTACACTGCCTAAATCTGAAAGTAATAAAAATGCTTGTCTTTAAAAAATAACCCCTGAATCCAACACTATTTGTCAACATTCAAATGTTAGAGGTTATAAACTAAGATGTTCATAACCTCTAACCCAGTAATTACACTTGTGGCATTCAACCCTGAGAATGTAGTAATAAAAACTTAATGTGATTTAAAATAGCGGACTATTTTATGTAACCTAAAATGACCAGCAGTAGAAGATAGTTAAGCAGCCAGCGGCAGCTATTGACAAAATGTGATGCAGACCTTAAAGGCTGTATTTATAAAGTATTTTATAACATAAAAAGTTCTACCATACTAAGTTTTAAAAGCACGATTTTAAATTACGTATACAATATAAATGCAAACAGGCCAAAACTATGTGCAGAAAAATTGCTTGACAGAAATATAACTTGATGTTATCTATGGTTGTGCGTGGGTGCTACAATTAAGGATTTTCTTCTTTTCAACATTTTTTTACCCTGAATTCTTTTTAATATAGTTTATATTCCAAACTGCCATCATCTCATGCCTACTAACCAGTCTCCCCACTTTGAGTATTGTATGGTTTTTTTCAATCTCAATAGTAGCTACAGTGATCTTCTTAAATAAGTTGGATCCTTCTTAATAGGTTGGCCTTCTATTACAAACAGAAATCCAAAAATCCTTAACTGGTTGAAAATAATTTGCTTGATCTGACCTACTATCTATATCGTATAGTTATCAGGTACACATTTAAAGACATTTCCCATTTCTCTTGAAATTTATTATGTCTTCTTGAAAAATTTTAAATCTATTTATGCTTTTCAGTTCACTAAATTTCACCAAAATTGTTGACTATAAATTATATTTCACACTCACCACTTACTCAACTTAATCATTTCAACAACTTTTACTAATAGAACCTGTGTGTATTTCACATTCTACCCACAGAAATATAGTGCAACCAAAACAAATCATCTGAAAATGCTGCTAGTAATATCCACTGAGGTAAGGGAATATGAATGAATGATTGACAAGATGAATTCATGTTAAGCAGTTTTTTCCTTTTTTATTTATATAAGAGGAGTATGCTTCAGTGTCAAAAACCCTATTTATTTGAGAGAGATGAAAACTATTGCTCTAGGGGAGAATTACATTGAGTTCCAATCTCTAGTGGTAGCTAGTTCATGTTTGTTATCTCACCTAAGTCTAGAAGTGTTAATAGATACCTGACATGAGGAAAACAAACAAAGATTTCCAAACAGCAGTTTAAAATAAGGCGGAATCTTTTTCTTAGTTCTAGTTCAGTGGGTCTCCCTGGATAAAAATTGAGAGTGCTGGATTAGGCCGGGCGCGGTGGCTCACGCCTATAATCTCAGCACTTTGGGAGGCCGGCCGAGGCGGGCGGATCAGCTGAGGCCAGGAGTTCGAGACCAGCCTGGCCAACGTGGTGAAACCCTGTCACTAAAAATACAAAACTTAGGACGTGGTGGTGGGCGCCTGTAATCTCAGCTACTCAGGTAGCTGAGGCAGGAGAATCGCTTGAACCCGGGAGGCAGAGGTTGCAGTGAGCCAAGATCGTGCAACTCCACTCCAGCCTGGGTAACAGAGCGATACTCCCTCTCAAAAAAAAAAAAAAAGGGGGGGGGGGTGGGGCTAGATTACTGCTGTTTAATAGCAAATAATGCAAGCCAAATAAATAATTCTTTTTTTTTGTTTTTCTTTTTTTTTGAGACAGAGTCTTGCTCTGTCACCCAGACTGGAGTGCAATGGTGCAATCTCTGTCCACTGCAACCTCCGCCTCCTGGGTTCAAGCGATTCTCCCGCCTAAGCCTCCTGAGTAGCTGAGTACAGGTGAGTGCCTCCATGCCTGGCTAATTTTTGTATTTTTAGTAGAGATGGGGTTTCACCATGTTGGTCAGGCTGGTCTTGAACTCCTGACCTTACGATCCACCTGCCTCAGCCTCCCAAAGTGCTGGGATTACAGGCATGAGCCATTGCACCTGGCCAATAATTCTTAGTTTCTAATAACTACGTTAAAAAAGTAAAAATGAAACAGATAAAATTAATTTTAGGTATTAATTTTAATACATTTTATTTAAATCAGTACATTTGAAATATTACCATTTTAATATGTAATCAATACAAAAATTATTAATGGGATAGTTTACTTTTTTTTTGTACAAAGTCTTCAAAATCCAGTGTACTTAGAGCACATCTCAGTTCAAACTAGCCACATTTCAAGTGCTCAGTAGCCACATATGGCTAGTGGTCACTGAATTGAGCAGTACAGGACTTGATAATAAGGCGAGAGGAGAAAGTAACCAAACAAGAGAGAGTCAAATTAAGTTCTTTTGGCTCATTGGGCAAATTGTAAATGCTTCTCTGGGATTAGCTGCCTTCAGTTTTTACAACACCAAAGCTGAGAAGTCTGGTTGCAAACAGTCTGAGTTGGGCTGCCCAAGATTCTAGCCAGCCAAGAGTCAATCAGTCGATGAGCTTAGTTGCACATGGGTGAAACTTGGCAAGATTTATCTTTGCCATCCAAACACGTTTGCAGTCCACACCAGATGAGAACATATATGCTTTTTATTATTTAATCAGCCATCCTGATCTTCAGTTAGGATGACCATAGAATTTTTTGTCCAAACCGGCACACTTTTGAGAGAGAAAGAAGGCACTATTAATAATGGTCCTGGGACAACAGGCATAATATGAGACTGTTCCTGCTGGCAAATCAGGACATACGGTTACCCTACCTTTAGTCAATGTTTCCATCTCTCAAAAGAACTTGGGTTACTGCCAGTAGTCACATGTATCTCCAGGATACATGTAACTCCAAGTAAGAGGTGCCAGTTCCCACAGCAGCCTATGCACAAAGCCCTAAATTTATCTTATAGGATTCATCTCAAGAGCCTGCATCATACAGGGTCCTTTACTCCCATGTCTAATAACACTGCTTTGATGCAATTTGCAAGCTTCTTGTTTTGCAATTTTCCACTCTGAGTCTTGTTTAAATTAGGGGTTTAATGAGAAATTGCTGTTGTTAGTTAAATGACACCTCTTTTTGGCAGGGTCTCCCAAGGAAACTAGAGGACCAGTAAACAAACTGTGCATGAAGGTGGATAGAATAGCCCTATTTTTTTTTTTTTGGGTCCTTTCTTTTCTGTCTTTCTTTCCTGTCTTTCTTTCATTTTCTCTTATATATGAAAAGAAGTACAGCAATCAGCTGTGACAGCCGAGAGAAATGTTTCATGGGAAGTAACAGATGGCTCAAAGCCACCTTCATTTCTGAGGAGAGGGAGAGTGCCTGTGGGCCTGGAAAATTGAAGGTTTGGAAACTAATTTTGTTTGACTCTTTAATCCTTTTCAAACATAGGCCCCAAAATGGAAGATTAAAGGATTTTACTTTTGCTGCTCAGTAAATTCAGCTCAGAAAAGTAAAAGATATAGAAGTAAAATGGCTGTGGATAAAACAAGACCCAACAGGAGGAACTTACCTTTATTAGCCCAAGGATAGTAAATTCCTCTGCTTAGGATTTTGTTGTTATTATAGTTGTTTATGTGAAGACTGGAGTGTTTTATAAGATTGGAAGACAGTGGGTCACCAGACAACTAAAGTTATATTTTACATGGAAACTACAGTCAGAATATTCAGAGCAAAAAGGCATAAGTGAGATTTAAAGATAGGTTTGTATGAGCATTACAGTAAAGTAATGAAAAGCACAAAGGACTCAGATCCATTCATTCATTCATTAGATATTTTATGGAGCACCTACTATGTATCTGGCAATGTTCAGTTCTAGGGTCTGGGATCAGCTGTGAGCAAGGTAGAGAAGGACTCTGTACTCTATGACAGCAAGAAGTTGACAGTAAAGAAGTGAACAAATAGTAAAATAATTTCAGATGTGTATAAGCATGTGAAGAAAGTGTAAGAGTATTAGGAGAGAGTATAACTAGAATGAGATGATGGTACTTTAAATAATGTGGTCAAGAAAGGTGTCTCTGAGGTGACATTTAACCTGAAACTGGAATGCTGAGAAGGACCCTTCCAGTGTCAGGAGTACTATATGAAATAGTATATTGGACTACTATGTGTCAGGCACCATTCTAGGTAGTGGGGATATTGGGTGAACAAATTAGTCAAAAGTTTTACCCTCATAGAGTGTGCTGCTCCTGCTTCTTCTTCTTCTTCTTCTTTTTTTTTTTTTTTTTTTTGAGACCAGGTATCCCTATGTTATTCAGGCTGAAATGCAGTGGCACAATCACAGCTCGCTCAGCCTCAAACTCCTGGACTCAACCTTCTGAGTAGCACTGCAGGCACTCAACACCATGCCTGGCTGATTTTTTTTTTTTTTTTTTTTTAGAGATAGAGTCTCACTATGCTGCCCAGGGTGGTCTCAAACTCCTCCCACTTTGAGCCCCCAAAGTGTTGAGGTTCCAGGTGTGAGCTATTGCACCTGGTCAACTTTGTATTTT
Source organism: Homo sapiens (assembly GCF_000001405.40). Classification (NCBI taxonomy): domain Eukaryota; kingdom Metazoa; phylum Chordata; class Mammalia; order Primates; family Hominidae; genus Homo; species Homo sapiens. The sequence goes on along the minus strand of NC_000013.11, from coordinate 44,073,615 downwards.
AGTGGGGTAGGAAAAATAATAAGAACTAAGTGGAAAAACTCAACAGGGAGGTGTTTATGGAGAAAAATTAATCCATGAAGATGATAGATTATAGTCAGGGAAGACTTCATTGAGAAGGTGAAGTTTGTGCAAGTACCTGTAGACAGCAAGGGAGTGAGCCATGCCAATTTATGGGGGAAGACAAGGCAACAGAGAGAACAGCTGGTGCAAAGGCCTTAGGCAAGAATATTTGTAGCTTGTTTGAGTAACAGCAAGGAGGCAAATGTGGCTAGAGTTTAACCCTAAAAAGAAGACCAATGTATACTTAATAGTTAATATTAGAAGACAGTGGGTACCTCAAAAGTAGAGAGCGTCTTTATATTCCAGAACTGTCATCTTCTTGCCCAGAGAAGCTCTTTATCCAACAGCGGAAGGCCTGTGTTTAGCTCTGGGAGATAACACTTTAAATAAAGTTCTCTTTTCATATTTTCCTCATCTACCTCAAACTTCACAATTCTTTTAACATATTATATACACCAGAAGTTTACATGTGTCCACAGGTAGGTTGCTTCAATATTTTCTAACTTGATTTATTCATTTTTAAGAAAAGATTAAAGATTCTCTGGCCAATGCTATAAGACTTTGTTCATGATTTCAACCAATTATTAGTATAATCTTCCATTTTTTAGGGGAACTTCCACATACCTTTCTGTTATTGATTTCTACTTTAATTCTGTTGTGGCCAGAGAAAATACTTTGTATGATTTCAACAGTTTTACAAAATTGAGATTTGTTTTATGGCATTCAATGTGGTCTTAATGATTATCCTGTGTGCATTTGAAAAGAATGTATATTCTGCTGTTGTTGGGTGGAAGATCTCCAAATATCCACTGTCTACTGGCTTGCATAACTTCTGAAAATAAGTCTTCTGTAACTCTTATATTTGCTACTCTGTATATATGTATGTGTGTGTATATATATATCTTTTCCCCCCTGCTGCTTTCTATTTTTTTTCTATCAATTAGTGATAGAAATATGTTGAAATCTCCAACTCTAATTGTGGATATGTGTATTTCTCTTTTGAGTTATACCAGCTTTATCTTTATGCGTTTTGAAGCTCTATTATAGAGGCATAAACATATATAATTATGTCCTGTCAAGCAATTTGTTAATCATTATAGTAATATTCTTCAAATATATTTTGTCTGATGTTAATATAATTGGACTTTGCTTTTTTGTTCAATCTAAAAATTTCTACATTTTAATTGGAGCGTTTAAACAACTTAAATTTAATATAATTTTTATATAATTGGGTTGAAATCTACCATCTTGATAGCTAAAAGTTTTATTTTTAATACTTTTTTTTTCTTTTATTCTTTTCCTGACATCTTTTGGAGTGAATACTTTTTATGATTCCATGTCATCTCCACTATGGTCTTATTAACTATGCCTCTTTTTAATTGTTTTAGCAGTTTTTCTAGAAGTTGTAATACTCATTTCTGAATTATCACTTTCTACCTTTGAATAATCAAATACTACCTGACATGCAGTATAAAAACCTTACGACAGTGTACTTCCCCATTCTGTCTTTTGTGTTATTGCTGTGATGGATTTTTCTTCTACATGTTATAAACGCCACAATACATTAATATTATTTTTGTTTTAAAAAGTTAATTATCTTTTAAGCAGACTACACATGAAAAAAGTTCTTTTGTTTTGTTTTGTTTTTTGTTTTTTTTTGAGACAGAGTTTTGCTCTTGTTGCCCAGGCTGGAGTGCAGTGTCACTATCTTGGCTCACTGCAACTTCCACCTCCTGGGTTCAAGCAATTCTCCTGCCTCAGCCTCCCGAGTAGCTGGGATTACAGGCGCGTGCCACCATGCCCAGCTAATTTTGTATTTTTGGTAGAGATGGGGTTTCGCCATGTTGGTCAGGCTGGTCTCGAGCTCCCGATCTCAGGTGATCCACCTGTCTCGGCCTCCCAAAGTGCTGGGATTACAGGCGTGAGCCACTGCACCCGGTGACAAGAGTTGTATATTTACCCACATATCAACCATTGCTGATACTCTTCATTCTTTAGTGTAGACCCAAATTTTCAAATAATACTCTTTCTTTCTGATTTTATTTCTTGCATTGCAGTTCTGTTGGCAGTGAATTCTGTCAACTTTTTTTCTTTTAAAAAAGTCCTTATTTTTTACTTAGTTTTTCAAATATACTTTTACTGGATATGGAATTCTAGTTAGATTTTTTTCCTTCTTTTGGCGCTTCACTTCATGGTCTACTGGCTTGCATAGCTTCTGAAAAGAAGTCTTTCATAACTCTTATATTTGATACTCTGTATATTTATCTTTTCCCTCTTGCTGTTTTTAAGATTTTCTTTTTATCATTGATGTTCTGAAATTTAATTATGATGTGCCTTTGTGTGGCGTTCTTAAAATGTTTATTCTGCTTCTTCTATTATCATACCGTTTTTATTAACCATCATTCCTTTTCTTCTCATTTCTTACATTTTTTTGGAGTAATCAAGTATTTTCTATTATTTTCTTTTATTAGCATATTAATTATAATTTTAGTGATTAATTTAGATATTATAGTATACACACTAGACTTATTATGGCCCATAATAAATTAATATTTTTAACACCTCCCAGACAATGAAAGGACTTTGGATATTTTAACACAATTTTTTACTTACTGCCTTTTGTGCTATTTTTGCCATATATTTTAAACCCTATAACATATAAATATAATGTTTATTTATAATAATATAAATATATTTATATTGTTACCTTATTGTTCATGCAGTCAATATATTTACTGACATGTTTACCCTTTCTTGTGCTCTTTCCACCTTTGTGCATTTCTGTGAGTCCATTTAAAATAATTCTTCAACTTCCTGAATAATTATTTTAAATATTTATTATTGTATATTTGTGCTAATTTTTTGTTAATATGCAAACATTTTTTCCCCCTTGATTTTTGAAGAATATTTTCACTCAGTATAGAATTCTATGTTGGCAGTTATTTCAGTAGTTTACAGATCCTATCCCATTGTCTTCTGACTGCCATTATTAATGTTGAGCATCAGTCAATTTATCATTGTTACTTTTAAAGTAATAAGTCTTTTTCTTTTAGCTGCTTTTAAATTGCTTTGTTTGGCTGGGTGTGGTGGCTCATGCCTGTAATCCCAGCACTTTGGGAGGCTGAGGTGGGTGGATCTCCTGACATCAGGAGTTTGAGACCAACCTGGGCAACATGGTGAAATCCCATCTCTACTAAAAATACAAAAATTAGCTGGGCATGGTGGTGGGTGCCTGTAATCCCAGCTACTTGGGAGGCTGAGGCAGGAGAATCACCTGAACCCGGGAGATGGAGGGTGCAGTTAGCCGAGATCACACCATTGCACTCCAGCCTGGGTGACAAGAGCAAAACTTTGTCTCAAAAATAATAATAATAAAAAATAAATAAATAAATTGCTTTGCTTTTAGCTTCCAGCAGTTTGAATACCTTGTGACTGGAGTAGTTTTCTTTGTATTTAACCTTTGTTGAGTTTCTTAGAGCTTTTTGAATGTGTGGGCTGATATGTTTCATTGGACTTTGGAAATTCTCAGTTGTTATCTCTTCAAATATTGCTCCTGTCCCATTTTCTTGCTCCTTTACTTCTAGAAATCCAATCACAAATGTTAGCTCTTTCTTATTTTATATACCCTTACACTCTTGTCATCAATTGTCTCAAAAATACTGATGACAGTAGAGTTGAAATCTCTTTCTGATAACTCCAATATCTGAGATACCTGTGGATCCATTTCTACTATTTGCTCTTTATCTCTTGATATTCAATTGTTTGGTCCTATGTCCAGGCATGCTCAGTTATTTTCAATTGAATAATTCCTATTACCTACGAAAAACTCTAGTGGCTCTGGTGATATATCTTCTTGCACAAAAGATTTATTTTTCTTCTTGGAAGTAATTAGAGTAGAAGTATGTAACCTTGGTTCAAAGGGGAATTGGGAGAAATTGAGGCTGAGTTTCTGGTTTTGTGAGGACTTGTCTACTTCCAGTCTGCCTTTACTCTCAGTGTGCAGTTCTTTATGGGTCTCAACTCAATAGCAGAATGTTTACCACTGCCTCTCATCTTTGGTTGGGCTTTGAACTCCAATTTTTATCTCCTAGCACCGTGACATGAACAAAACTTTGCTAGGCTTTTTAATCTTTCTGTGCATCTTTCTGTTTGCCTTCTAACCCTGCACAGTTTAGCAATAGCGCAACGTCTCAAGAGGAGGAGCAACAGATAACATTAATTTGTTTCATTGCATTTCCTTTCTTTCCAGGATATTTATCTCCTAACTCCTTTCTCCCTTGATTATTGTCTAATGCCTTCAAACCGCTGCATTTTACTATTTGTCCAGGTTTCATCGATGTTAATAAAGGAAGAGCTGATTTGATATAAGCTACTCTCTCATTCTTAAAAATGTGGATTAACTGTGCTTTTAAATTTCTTTTAATTCTACATATAATTTTGATTAAAATTTTATTTAAACATCAAAAGATTTTATATTTCTTCCATGTCAAATAACAATCTGAAGTTAGGATGCCTATTACTTGGCAACCACATTTTTAATAGATGACTACAACGTAGTCACTCTAGAAACCAAGCGGTAGGAGGAAAGAAACAAACCAAGAGATCATATTACCAGGAAGTTGTTAGTTGAAACCAAAGGGAAAGGTACTGGAAAAAAAAGCTCTTCCATGTTGGCGTGGGTGTCTGTAGGAGAAAGAGAACCATTAACAACTCATCTATTTTTAGAAAATATCTTTTTCTTTCTAAAAATATGACTGTTTATCAAGTAGCACTACGATCAGTGTAATTTTGTAAAATGAGATGTTGATTGAAAATCAGGTGATAATAATCATTCTGTGTCTGCTGAGGTTTTGAAAATAAAGTGGCAGAACTGAGTAGCCCCTTTTCCTCAACTATTGAAAAATCAGCGGTGGATCAGTCATGGTGAGAATCAGTACCGCATGGTAGCATTCACAGAAAAGTGATAATCTGTGCCAAATTTATACTAAGGGTAGTTATGTAAATGAGTGAATGACGGAAGAAATTAACAAACACAACCTCTGGGGTCTTAATTGGGTTGTCAACCTACAGCAAACTATTAACTTGTGCTCCCACAACAAAAATGTAAAACCACCAGGGAGTGGTGCTGCAGTTCACAAAGCAGGTGATACCAGAAAGTGCATGGAAGAAATCCTGCGAGACAGTCAAGGAATGAGAAGGAATCTTGGCATCGTTGTGTCTGGAGTTCTGTTTCCCAGATTTTGTCACTTCTTAGCTATGTGTTCTTAGTCATACAGCCTAAGTCTTTCCTTCTTCACTTGTAAAATAAGAATAATAATAATACCTACCTTGTGAAGCTGTTGCACAGATGAGCAATTTCCTAGCAAAATGGCAGGCATGAATAAATTCTTAATAAGTAATTGGTATTTCTGTCACTTCCTCCTCAAAACCTCCAGAATAATAATACATATTTGGTTATTTATTGATGTGTAATAATTTACGTGGAGGACAATTGGCGTCATTTTTTTCAGAATGAACTTTCAATTTTTATATTAGAAGAGTCATGTGAAACCAGAAAAGAGTGCGATAATGATTTCATTAAAATAACTCATAATAATTATACCAAGAGCTGTTAGAAATTTCTCATGAGGAAATGAAACAATTAAAAACTACGAGGTTGAGAAAGAAGGAAATCAAACTGGGTAGTCTTTGTAATTATGATTTGTATTCCATTTATCATTTGAATACAACGAGACTTCATTGTAGCCTTGGTCCTTTGTCATCAGTGCTTAGAAGCACAAAAATTAATTGTGGCACAATGACCTTGACACTGATCAGCATGCTATTTCTTGTACCACAATTTTAATGGTTATTCAGAAATAAGAGCCTTTTACTTTATTGAGCCTACCTCATCCTCTTCTTCATGTCCTCAACTTAGCTCCTTACTGGTTTAGAATCCACAGCCCACAATTAAAATCATTCAGTCTCCCTCTTTTTTTTTTTTTTTTTTTTTTTTGAGACGGAATCTCGCTCTGTCGCCCAGGCCTGGAGTGCAGTGGCGCGATCTTGACTCACTGCAAGCGCCGCCTCCCGGGTTCACGCCATTCTCCTGCCTCAGCCTCCCGAGTAGCTGGGACTACAGGCGCCCGCCACCACACCCGGCTAATTTTTTGTTTTTAGTAGAGATGGGGTTTCACCGTATTAGTCAGGATGGTCTCGATCTCCTGGCCTCGTGATCCTCCCACCTCGGCCTCCCAAAGTGCTGGGATTACAGGCGCGAGCCACTGCACCCGGCCTCAGTCTCCCTCTTAACTTCCTTGCCCCTTCCTTTTCTAATTATGAAGGCTGCCGAAACAGCAACTTTCTCACTATCCCTCCATTTCCCTTTATAAAGAAACTTGAGATTTCTAGGCTTGTTTTCCCTACTCTGTCTCCACTAATTTCTCTTAAATCTTCTCCAGTTGGGATACTGTGCCCACTACTCCTCTAAAATTGTTCATATCAAAGGTATCAAATCCAGCAGTCAACTCTACATCCTTAACTCATTCAGTAGTATTTGATACAGATTCCCCACTCTGACAAGCCTTTAGTTGACGACGGGGACACAAAATTACCCACATTGTCTCAGATTTCACAGGCTGCTTCTACTCAGTCTCCTCTGAGGATCCTCTTTTTTTCTGATTTCTGAATATGGGAGTGCACTGGGGCAAGTCCTCAAACTCCTCTTTATACAGATTCACTCCCTTGATGATCTCATTCAGACAATGGTTTTAAATGATATCTACATATTTTATCAAGTCTAATATGAAATGAAGGAAGAGATCAAGTGGAGCAATTCACTTTAAAGTGTTTTAAATTGTTCTTAATTAATAGACTTGATTTCTTACAGGAGGTTTAGATTTGCAGAAAAATTGAATAGAAAGCGCAGAGAACTCCCGTATACTCCCACTCCTTCCCCTAGTGTCCCCTGTTATTAACATGTTGCAGTAGTCTGGTATATTTGTTTTAAGTGATGAACTAATATTATTAAATAACATTATTATTAAATAAAGTTCATAGTTAATATTAGAGTTCACACATTGAGTTTACATCCTGGGGATTTTGAAAAATGCACAGTGTCGTGCATCCACCATTATAGTTTCATATATGATAGTTTCACTGCCCTAATAGTCCCTGTGCTTTCCCTGTTCTTCCCTCTCCCTTCGTCCCCCACCCCTGGCAACACTGGGGTGTTTTAATTGTACAGACTAAATGACTTAACTCTTCCCAGGAGCGACAAGAAAAAGCCCATCCTGGAGTTTTCTGCTACTCCTGACACACTGCCTTTGTGTTTAATGTTCTTGCTTTTCAAAGCTATTAAGGAACAACGGCACACTTCTTGGGTGTAAAAAAAAAAAGAAAGAAAGAAAAAACCACTTTACCTAATAATGTTCCATCTTGTACTTCTTTCAGAAAGGTTGCTTGGTTTCTAATTATCACTCGGCTGTAGCCTCTGCTACTGACGTCTGAAGGCTGTGATTAGCATGGGAGTTCATTGGGAAATAGTTTCTCACATAGATTCATTTCCTTTCTAGGATTCTTCCCACTCTCACCTTTTTTCTCTCTCTTCTCATCTCCATTTTCTAATAACTTTGAGTTACTGACATGTTTTCATCTGTTTTTATGCAATGCCACTTTAATTAAAAATGCCAAAAGCAAAATGATTTTTTTGAGCCAGTCCTGAAGGAAGGCTGTGCTTGAGAGTTTCCAAATGGCAGATTCTCCAATATTGGTATTGGGAGTGGGGGAGTAGGGAGTATGGAGAGCTACCAAAGGCCTCGTGTCTTTCTGGAGGATGGAACAGAAGGACCGCTAAGTGGATGGCTTGTCTTTACTGGTAAGGAGAGGGTTTCCATCCTAGTTATCTCAGGACTACCTGCAAAAGTGATGGAAACTTGGCAGGTGGAAATAAAAGTTTGTGGCCTTCAGATTGACTCCTGGGGGTTTCTCCCTCCTTTACTCATAGGACCACAAGCATTGGATTATTTCATAAGCCTTCCATACTAGGGTCTTTCCTTGAAAAAACCTGCCAGTTGCAAAATCATAGCTATTACCAAATGCAGAGAAATCTTCTCAATGCTAAGGAAGAAGATCATGTATCTAAGAGAGGAAATTATATTCATTGGGCAAACTGAGTTCTAAGAATGGTTCGTTCTCCCAAATGGCTTGCCATTTCCCAAATGCACATATCAATCCCAAGTGCTCAACCAATGTCAGTGTTGCCATTTCTTTCTTTCTCCCTCCTTTTCTGTGATGTCTCCTCTGTGGCTCCAGGGAGAGCCGGTCACTCCTTCTTCAATCTCCCCATGGTTCTTTAGACATACCTTTAGTATAACACTCTTCATTCTCCACTAAGTGACAAGTTCTTTCTGAGAGGCAAGAAGTTTATCTAGAGCAGGGGTCCCCAACCCCCAAGCCTGCAGACTGGTACCAGCCCGTGGCCTGTTAGGAACCAGGCTGCACAGCAGGAGGTGAGCAGTGGGCAAGCGAGCATCACTGCCAGAGTTCTGCCTCCTGTCAGACCAGCAGCAGCCTTAGATTCTCATAGGAGCACAAACCCTATCGTGAACCATGCATGAGAGGGATCTAGGTTGCCTGCTCCTTATGAGAATCTAGTGACTGATGATCTGAGGTGAAACAGTTTCATCCCCAAACCATCTCTCCCTCCCCCTCCCAATCCATGGAAAAATTGTCTTCCATGAAACAGATCCCTGCTGTCAAAAAGGTTGGGGATTGCTGATCTAGACCTCGGTGATCCATAGTCAGGTGCTCAAGGAATTGTTAATTGAAAGAATGAACTTTGATCTTTTAGACACAGTATAGCAGGAGTCCTGGCTGGAGTGCAGGCTGCGTTGACCCTCTGGCCACTCCAGCATGTCTGGAGGATGAGTGGAACTAGCCTGCTAACTGGAATTTCATGAGGACTGAGAACATTCTGGGAAAGAATTAGTTCTATAAGACTCGTTCCTGGAAAAACCTAATCTCTCCTGCCTCCAGGCCTCTACACATGCTCTGCACATGTTCTGCCTGAAACTCTGCCTCCACCTCTTTACTGAGCTAATTTTGTTCATATATCAGAGCTAAGTGTCTTAGGAAACTTCCTTAGGAAACCTCTGCTAGCCACCCAGATTGTCAGCCTCCTTGTTCTTCCCCCCTTGCCCACCCCCTGGCTCCAATTTCTGCACTGGTACCTATATCATGCTTAGTTACTTGTCCAGTGTTTGCCCTACCTGCTCGTTTGTAAACTTCCTAAGGTCAAAGGTCATCTTTGTTATGTTTACTGCTATACCCCTAGAATTAGGCTCAGTTCCTACACATAGTAGAGACTCAAAAATATATGTTAACGAATGAGTATATGCAAATGCCTACTCAGTGCTTCACTGCAGTGTCTCATAAGCATAACAAACCTAATATGTTGCAGACTTTTGATTTCCTCACCGCAGTCTGTTTTTTATCTTCCTGATCTCAGTAAATGCATCATCATCCATCCAATTGCTCAAGCCAGAAACTTGGTAGTCATCTGATTCTTCTCCCTTACTGCACCTATATATTGAATCTATCAGCAAATCCTTCCTATTTCAAAATGCATCTCCCATTTACTTATGTTCATCTTCACTGCTGCTGTCCTACTTTAAGCCATCATCATTTCTCACCTGAATGATTACAAATAACTTTCCTATTTCCCTTCTTGGTATCTTCCAATCTACTCTCCACATAGCAGTCAAGATGAGCTTTACATTTTTTTACAAAATGTGAAGAAAACTATCCATTCCCCTTCTATTTAATGGCTTCTCAGGTTCAACCTACAGAAGTCAAACATAGCCTGCCCCACCTTGCTGCTCAACCCAGCCTCCTACCATTCTGCCTCTCTCTCACTTGACTCTAGCTACACCCACTGCAGATTTATTTTAGGTCTTTGAATGGCCCATGTGTTTTTCTTCCTTATACTCCCTTTGCCTGTGAAACTCTTTCCCCGGCTCTTTAAATGGTTGTTTCCTTCTCACCCTTTGGGTCTTAATTTAAATGTCATTTCCTGAAGGAGGCCCGCTCTTGACCACTCCATCAGCTCTTATTCCTGATCACAGCACCTTGACTATTACTTTCTTAGCATTTCACATAAGTAGTTATGCATTTATTAATTTGTTCACCTGTTACTGTTGGTCTGCACACGGGAATGTAAGCTCCATCATGCTTCTTTTGCACATAGCCTCTACATCATCAGCCTATTTTGGTGCTCAGCACATAATAGATGTTTAATAAACATTTGTTGACTGAACGAACAGACAAATGATTGAACCAAACTCAAGGACGATGGGGTGGAGATGAAATGGAAGGGTGGCCCTAGGAGTGGTACAGGGTCTGTCATAACCGGCTGTTGTGGCTCAGACACCAGTTCCTTCTGCCTCAGTCACCATCAGCTTTGGCGTGGACATCAACAGTTAACAATTTGTCTAGTGGGAAGTAGAGGCCAAGCTGTCACCTCTGGCAGAGATGAGATGGATGCAGCCCCACAGTAGGCTGGACAGTCTGGGGTCCAGTCACAGTTGAGGAGGTTTATTGCCCGAACCCTTCAGTGGTGCCATATGGGAGGAATTTAGGCCTTGCTAAGACCCATATGGGAAGAATTTGAAGGGACTGTGGACTCTACAGAGGAAGTGAGGGTGGAGCCAAGAAAATGTCATTTTGTGAGAGTTGTGGTGGCCAGGGACATGTAGGTCTTGATTGCCTGTCTTTTAAGTCTTGTCTCTCAATTGCTAATGTATTTGGAGTTTGATTTTTATCTTCAAGACATTTAGAGTGAGCAGTAATGGTAATCACTGGCATCAATAGCACTGGAAGATGAGGACTCAAGGAGTTAAACGAAACCCCACTGGTGGTAGTGGTTGCAATTTTATGAAGTCACTTTGGAAGTACATTAAAAATCAAATACAAAAGATCTTTGAGCCATGTTCCAGCTGTTATAAAAACCCTTCAGGTATTTATGTCAATGAGTACATTAACAGTCTTAATATGTCACAGGTGGCTGCATTTTATTTTTTAAAGCATTCTTACAAGGCGATCCAATTTAAGTATACATTTGGGCTAAATTCTCATCCTTTGTGGCTCCATAGGGACATTAATTCATTAGTGAAAAGGCATAGAATTCTTTAAAAGGAAGAATTGTCTACTAGTTAGTGAGTTGGCCTAAAATATTGGGAGCTCTATATCCTGTTTCCACTCTGTTCATGGTCAAATTATTTCCTTCAGTGGGAGCTGGTTTGTCTCAGGGCTGATTTCTTTTGTTGTCCTCCTCAACATGAGTCCTGGGTGAGGAAAATGAGATTACAAAGAACCAGCATGTATTAGTCTTGCCCAATACCCAGCCTTTTTAGACTTCCTTGACGTCCATAGCTGAGGCTACTTAAGCCCACTTTCAGACTCAGCCATTTCCCGGGTTTAAGCAGCAGTCAAGTGTTCCAGCACATGCCCTAAATCACTGCACACAGTCAGATGTACCTCTGGTCTGTTCTGACCTTGAGCTCCGCATTGCACACAGGCCCTTCTGTCACCCAAGATCTAGTATCCACCTCACATGCCAGTTCTGAGAATTGGGCTTCTCCATTGTTGCTAGTACCTGAGTTCCTGTGATGGAAATCTGATGCTGCCACTGTCTCTCTTTTTAAAAAAATTCATTAAAATTTTTTTGTATTAAATATACATAAGCTAAAATTTACCATTTTGACCATTTTTAAGTGTGTAGTAGAGTGGCACTAAGTACATTTACACTGCTGTGCAATCATCACTCCCATCCATCCCTAGAAGCTATTCATCATCCCATACTTGAGCTCTGAACCCATTAAACAACTCCTCATTTTCCCACTCCTTACCCCTAGTCCCTGATAACCCCTGTTTTGCTCTCTGGCCATGGGCATTGTCTCTCTCTCTCTCTCTCTTTTTTTTTTTTTTTGACACAGTCTTGCTCTGTCGCCCAGGCAGGAATGCACTGGCACGATCTTGGCTCACTGCAACCTCTGCCTCCTGGGTTCAAGCAATTCTCCTGCCTCAGCTCCTGAGTAGCTGGGATTACAGGCATGCGCCACCATGCCCAGCTAATTTTTGTATTTTTAGTAGAGAAGGGGTTTCACTGCATTGGCCAAGCTGGTCTCGAACTCCTGACTTCAGGTGATCTGCCTGCCTCGGCCTTCCAAAGTGCTGGGATTACAGGTGTGAGCCACTGCGCCTGGCCTTGGCATTGTCTCTTGTATTGACTTTTGCCTCATTCTTGCCTGCCCACTTCTTTGTTCTTTGGCCACAAGGACTAATCTGGGACCAGAGTCTTATTTTTTTAAGCCCAACATAGACGGTGAAACTCTTCTACGTGCTTATTTTCTGTCTTCCCAGACTCCTGATGTGAAGGTTAAAGTGACTCCATCTTGGAAGCGAATCCGCCATATTGACTTCTGATTAACCCCCTTTCCAGGATTGACTCTCAGATTTCCAGTTTATCTTTGCTTCTTGTGTAAGAGCATATAGTTACCATAAATCCTGTCCTTAGATCAAATCAACCTTCATAAACTCATACTTCCCATAAATCCTACCCTTAGATTAAAGTCCTTCCCATTCCCTCTGAAGTATGTGTACCCTTTTCCTATGGTATATAATCCCTGGGTCTGGGGGTGATGGTAAGGAGGTTTACCTGGCTTATGTCTACCTAAGACCATGCTTCTGTCTGTAAGTTCTCCAATAAAATCTCTCTATAATGCAAGCAGGACTTGTGTGCCTCCTTTGGTTATCAAATTCCTTCTGCATTTTGGGGGTTGATTTACATATACAGCCCTTTCACGAAACGACTGAGTATTATTCTATCCTTCAGTCTTCATTGCTTTTCTCTGGTTGTCTTTCATAATTTTCCTACTACGTTGCTTTGAGATCTTTGCTTCCAACACATTCTCTCCACCTCCAACCCCCTTCCCCCGTATCTATTTCCCTACCCTTGGATATAGCATTCTATCTGCTAGACTACACTTCCCAGAGCCTGTAGCCAACATTTCTCCCTACTCCCTAATTCCAGGCCTTGGCTCTCCCAGCGTGCTCCATTCCATTGCTCTTCCCCAGGCTATCTGGCTGCCCCTTGAGGCATGAGAACATTACCCTTCAGTGCACAGTCACATGGAGACAAAGCCACTGGCTCTGCAACCTTTAGAAGTGCAAAGATCTCACTCTCTCTAAGAGGATATAGATTCAAATTCAGAATTATTAGCAGAGGGCAATGAGAATTTGCAAAGCGTTGCACAATGAAAATAGCACTCTGGTAACAAAAATTGAGATGAGTTTTAATAGGCTACAGTGACTCAATATAAAATCTCATTTTATATGTAGGTTTAAAAAAGTAATTTCTTTCTTTTTTTTTTTTTAAATATGGAACGCTTTGCGAATTTGCATGAAGTGATCAACAACATTTCCCCAGGCCCTTCACCCCAATGTGTAAAATATGAATCTCTTTGACAACATCCCCAGTAAGGGTGGCCCTGACTTCTTTTGGAAAACTCGCTGACAGAGATCTAAGTACATCTCAAAGTGTCCCGTTGTTTCTGAGTTGGTTGGATTTTTAAAACCTAAGGTCCTATTCGGAAGAGACATTTCTTCTTCTAATGTGCAGTATTATTCTCTGCTTCTATTCAAGTCTGAGTTCTGCCCAAGAATTGGTTTCTATACATTTTAATAGGAGGTATTTTTAGAGGTCAGTGAAATATTACTGTGAAATTGAAAGGAATGACCCAATTCCTCATCTCCTTTCATTAGAAGTGATACATATTAAACCTTATCTCCCACATAAGAGAGATTAGGCAGAATTAGATAATCTTAATAACTCTGAATTATCAAGTACTCCAGTTTCCCAGTGAACCTTTGAAAATAGTGCAGATTTTCAAATCAAAATAGCATTTGGGTCTTCTCCGATAGTCTAATACTCTTTGTCATGTGGTCAAGACCACGGCAAACAGGAACAAGGACTAGGGTCTCAGCATCAGGCAGATGAGAGAGGTGATTAAAGCTGAAATGCAGTGTGGAAGGAGAACCAAATAAGGTGAAGAGTGACTTCACCAGCTGTGCAGAAATCAAAGACAAAAATGATCAGATTAATACAAGAAACAGAGATGGTGAAAGCATTTGAGGGACAAACTGAAAGAAGAAGATAAATGATAGAACTGAGGCTCAGTGTTGCTCAGAAGAATTTTCTGGTTAGTGTCGACACCCATTGGGAAGGCCAAAGCCCACCTTGCTGCCTTCACTCATCAGAAGGTGACGTTTTTGTTTTGGATGTCTGATGTCCGCTAACATGTGCCCAAACAACAGGACAAAAAATGTCTCAAATCATTTTTAGTTGTATAAAGGACATTCAGTTTTTATTTGAAAGACCTAGGTTCAAGTTCCAATTCCACAACTTACCAGATGTGGATTCAGAGCAAATTACTGACCCTCTCTGAACCTGTTTGTTTTCTAAATAATAATAACAAAGCCCAGTTCTTAGTCCTGAGGCATCCAATGAGCTCAGGAGTCTTTGAGCATTAGGGAGCATTCTACAGTAATTAAAGGTAGATTTTTCTAAAAGAAATAAATCTTGCAGGCTCTGAAAAGAAAAACTCAGCTCTTTGTTTCTCAGGAGATGTCTGCTGCATAAAGAGAGCAAAGTGGGAGAGTTTGTATTTTCCTGTACAGTTCTGTTCAAGTGTTCCATGGCATGTTTTTTCAGCTGCTAATAATGGAAATTCCTGCTGCCAAATATGTATTAATGATAACACCATTTAAACCCTTCCTGGCTGCCACTTTAGCACTAAGCCAGCACATTTGGGTTCCACGAAGCCAGATGGTACACATTTTTCTGGAATTTAGCTTTATGATGCCACTTCAATTGATTCTAGACTTTGTTATATGGCTCTCCCCTAATCTGTCTTACATTATTACAGGAAAGAGAAGTACTTTTTAAAAAATAAACTTGACTTTTTAGTATAGTCTTAGATTTACAGAAAACTTGCAAAGACAGTTCTTATGCTCCATGCTCTGTCTCCTTTGTTATTAGCATCTTACATCACGGCACATTTGCTGCAATTAATTCACCAATGTTGACACATTATTATTAATTTCAGTTCATACTTTATTCAGATTTCCTTAGATTTCACCTAACATCCTTTTTCTGTTCCAGGATCTCATCCAGGATGCCACATGATATTTAGTAGTTGTGTCTTCTTAGGCTGCGACAGTTTCTCACGTCTTTCATTTCTGATGACCTTGACAATTTTGAGGCATTTTTTTGCATGTCTCTTCATTGGGAATTGTCTTCCTCATGATTAATCCGGAGTTACAGGTTTGGGAGAGGAAGAACACAGAGGTAAAGTACCATTTTCCTCATGTCAAGGATACATTCGATGAACATGACTTACCACTGTTGTTTTTGATCACCTGGCTGAGGTGGTGTCCAGCAGTTCTCTCCAATGGAAAGATATTCTTTTATTCCCTGTTTTCACACTGTGCTCTTCTGAAGGAAGTGACTGTGTGCAGACCACACCATCTCATCTCTTTGAAGGTGGCGTATCCACATGAATTACTTGGAATTGTTCTGCATGGGAGATTTGTCCCTTTTACCACATTTATTTCTTTATTTATATCATTATGGACTCATGGACATTTATTTTATATGTTGAGTTATAATCCCATGCTACTTTATTTAATTTTTTGCTCAAAATTTTCCAGCTTTGGCCATTGGGAGCCTTCAGTTAGCTCCTGTATTCCTTTATAATATCTTCCTTATTGTGGAGTTTTGTTTGCTTTTTATGTTTGCTTTTGTATTTTGGACACTTCCTTACTTTCTTGCACTATAAGATACTCCAGGCTCATCCTGAATAGGTCTTTATGGTGTTGGGGTACATATCTTCTATACTCAATTTGTTGAGAGTTTTTATCATGAAGGAATGTTGAATTCTGTCAAATGTTTTTGTGTTTCCGTTAAAATGATTATACGGTTTTTGTCTTTCTTTCTGTTAATGTGATGCATTGCATTTATTGATTTCTCATATATTAAACTATTCTTGCGTCTCTGGAATGAATCCTACTTAATCATAGTTAATTATCTTTTAATTTTAAAATTTTAATGATCTCTTGAGTTTATTATTACTTGCTTTATGGCCTAGCATAAAATCTATATTGGAAATTTTTCCATGTGTACTTGAAAAGAATATGCATTCTGCTGTTGGTGGTGGAGCACCTTGTATATGTCAATTAGGTCAGGTTGATTGATACTGTTGTTTAAATCTTTCTAGTTGTTATATCAGTTAATGAGAGAGGAGTATGTGAATCTCCAACTATAATTCCAAACTATAATGCCAACTATAACTCCAACTGTTTCTACTACCAATTCTGTCAGTTTTTGTTTCATGCACTTTGGGGCTTTGTATAAATTATGTATTATAAATTATACATTTATAATTGTTTCATCTTCTTGATGTATTGATCCCTTTATTGTTATTAAATGTCTCTTTGTCTCTAGTAATACTTTTTGTCTGAAAATCTATTTTGTCTGATATTAAGGCAATAATTTCAGCTTTCTTCTAGTTACTGTTTGCATAGTGTAGCTCTCTGAAGTGTGTCCATTGTAACACAAATCTGCTGTAATTTACTTTTTGTTTCTTCATTGTTGGTTATTTATGTTAAGAATTGTTTTGTAGATAGTTTCCCTTCAGATGTTCAATTATTTTCTTAGAATAAAATTCATTTAATTATCATCCCTCAAACCAGAAATATTTCAAAAATTTTTCCATAGTTATATGGGCATAGTGATTATCCTTGGGAAATTATAAATTGACGAAAGTTATAATTATTTTGAAAGGAGTTGTACTATATGTTTTATATTTATTATATAGTTTCACATAATCCTTAAAACCATCCGGTAATATAGATATTTTTATTATTTTTATAATTGTTTTTTGAGACGGAGTCTCTCTCTGTCACCCAGGCTGGAGTGCAGTGGCACAATCTTGGCTCACTGTAACCTCCACCTCCCGGGTTCAAGCGATTCTCCTGCCTCAGCCTCATGAGTAGCTGGGATGACAGGCATGTGCCACCATGCCCAGCTAATTTTTGTATTTTCAGTAAAGATAGGGTTTCACTATGTTGGCCAGGCTGGTCTTGAATTCCTGACCTCAGGTGATCCGCCCACCTTGACCTCCCAAAGTGCTGGGATTACAGGCATGAGCCTGTAATTTATTTTTATTTTTACAGGTAAATACCTAAGGATCATAGAGATTAGGCAACTAACTGGTTCAAGTATACAAAACAAACACTAAACGAAAGAGCCAAGGTTTGAATTCAATTTCTGTTAGACTCCATTAGATAATATGAAGTTTTTCTTTAACTCTTTCTCTTTTCTTACTTCACTGCTTTCCCCACACAAGCATTTTTTTTTCTCCTCACCTATCCCCGTCCCTTTCTTTTTGTTTTTCTTTTTGAGACCAAGTCTTACTCTGTCACCCAGGCTGGAGTGCAATGGTGCGATCTCGGGTCACTGCAATCTCTGCCTCCCAGGTTCAAGTGATTCTCGTGCCTCAGCCTCTCGAGTAGCTGGGATCCCTGCCCCGTTCCTTTCAGATACTTAGTGGTTCATAGTGTGAAAGGAAAGTTAACACTTTCACTATGCCAAAAAGAAAAAAATTAAGCTGAAAGCTGAGTCATGCAAGAAACTGCCTTTCCTTTTGTTCCTAAGCAGACAGCTACAGATAAAAGGTTAAACATCTCCACGGGTAGCTACTCCATGTTCACCTTATCTCAATTTACTGAATGTGAAACAAATATTAATTGCCTATTCTCCTACCTGCTTTTTATCTCTTGCAACATGTGGATTCAGCAATGTGACCATCCATCCCCTTCCTCTTTCCACTCGTGCCCACTTTCCTCCTTTAAATATTGAAACCCTCAAAATCATCTCTGGAAAAAGGCACAGATCATAGACTGTTTCTGTGGTTCCATGTTCTTTTCTCCTGGTCCTGTCCTTAACCTTGGCAAAGTAAACTTCTGAATTGATTTAGACCTGTCTCAGATACTTTTTGGTTGACAGTAGCACGTTATTGGTCCCTCTCTGTCAGAGCCCAGAAACTGTGATGAACTCATTCACAGTTGTTGATGCCCTCTATAAAGGTATTGCCACAAGTGGGAATCCCATTCCATAAGAATATTATCTTATTGTTTCAGTGGAAGGTCAGGCAGAGAAATACAAGACGAGGACTTGGGAAAGGGGAGTTATTTTTGTTGTTGCTGTTAAAGTGATATATATATATATATTGTGTGTGTGTGTGTGTGTGTGTGTGTGTGTGTGTTTGATGGTGGTGGTGGTGGCCTATGTATTCTTAATGAGATCTCCTAAAAATATCCAATCCTGTCTCTCCAGGCTGATAAGTAATATCTGCTTATATAGCATCCATCACATATCATTTAACAACAGTTTCTAGGAGGAAAACCAAAACTGATGATAAAACATAGAAATAATTGGCAAGTAGATTGATGATAGTGAAATCCTTGTGTACATAACTGAAGAATAATATAGGGAAGGCAAAGAGGACTTTTGTCTGAATGGGGATTAGTCTATCCATCTATCAATCTATCTATCCACACAGATATACATAAATACACACATCTGTATATTACTCATTCTATATATGCATTTGTGTAGATATAGATATGGCTTCTCTATGTCAAACTAGCAATTACTTTTTCAGCACAAAATACCTCACTCAGCAATGATCCTCATCAATGAAATCAGATTTTGTTACATCACCGGAGAGTTCAAAAGCTATTCTCCCTTTTGTATTCTGTGCCAATAGAAAGAAACACACAAGAAGAAGACTGAACTTTAAACTTAGCAAATTTGAAATGCTGGGAGAATTTTATGCATGGTATAAATGATTTTAGATACAAATAGTGTTATTTCATGTTAATACTTCCCCAGAGCCACCATCCTTTTTTGAGTCTGCAAAGTGATTTAATTTTGATCTTTTAGAAATGTTCTTTTCTCCTGAGAAAAAAATTTGTCATGGAAACAGTGGCAAATGCAAAAAGGGTGGGCATTTACAGTTTCCCAAACTGTTAGAATTCTCAAATTCTGTCCCTGTTTTTTATGATGATGGGGGCACAAGGACAGGGATATGGACCGAGGGAGTGTTTGCACCAAGAAGAATATCTAGAAGAGAGTTCTGTACATTTCAGTCTGAATTTCACTGGGTATATGTCTTATGGGGAGAGACTAAGATGTAGAAACAGAGAGAAGAGACCACTGGTGAGAAGATGAGGCCATTCCTAAGATTTTTAATATAAATTTATAAACATACAGGTGTATGTGTATATATATATGCTTTGCACACATATGTATTTATGTGTTGTGTATACATATGTCTGTGCATGTATATGCATATACACACATATATACATACATTACATACATACACACATATGCATACTTTTTCCCACTGAAGTTGTTGAAACTCTTGAAAGTTGGACTTGAGTAATCAAAAGCAGTGCTTATTCTTTTCCATTCAGTACCAAGGAAATCATATTTACCACGGGTCCAGAAAAGTCTTTTCTCTCTTTCTCCTCCCCACTACCCACCAGTCCCCACTCCTTTTGCACATGCTATTTGGTCACTGGCCATCCCGAGTGGCTCATCTAGACAGGGGTATGTGGCCAGGAGAGGTTAGGGGTCGAGATAAGGTGGATGTTTGCTGTAAGGCAGTGCCTTCCTCTCCTTCTTAACCTGGGGTTGTGCTTCTGAGCATGTGAAATGTATTGTTCCTTAGTCCGATTTCCCAAATACAACCTGAAAATGTGAATGTAAATGCCTCTGTCCTTTAGCCAGACGTCTAGAGGGCTATCTGAGGGCCTCAGAAGTAAAACTGACCTCCCCAGGGAAACTAGGCTCTCAATTCCTTTCTTAATTCTCTGTAGGATAATAAAACATGAAGTGGAAGATCTTCTAGACCAGCACCTTAAATTTGCAGATGAGAAAGTTGGAACCCAGAAAGGCTGAGAGGCTCAAGGTCTCACAACTGTTTATGCTCAACTGGGAAATGAATTTGTTTCTCTGGCCCATCAGGTCAACATTCTTTCCACTCAGCTATGCCGCCTCCTACCTCCTGAAAAGATTCTAGCAGGACCCTCTGATGAAAAGGACCTTATCTTTTTATATCTGCTGTTTAAAGCTTTTTTTTAAAATCATCGCACGATTTTATGAGTTAAGTTATGTACATAAACAAATACTATTACTTATTACTTGTTTACTATCGCCCTTCTTTTGGACATCAGAAAACCGAGGGTCTGAGTTGCAGCAACTCCCACAGAATCTCAAAAATGCACCCAGACTGCTCCTGCTTGCAGGACAAACACTCAGTACAAGCTTCCGATGAGGAATGTGGCTGTTGCAAGAACAGGACGCCACGATTCAATCCCTTCCCACGGCTGGCCCTGGCTGCCCACTCACATCAAGCAAGGGCACAGCATCCCTTCCGACAGCCTGACCCCCGCCCCCAGATAAACCGACATGTGGATTGCCAAAGGCATTTATATGCGATGGTGCTAAGACTGCTTGACGCTAACACCACACTTTGATCATTCAGTCAAATCAAAAAGCATTTATTAAGCATCTGTGTGAGGCTCCCTGCCGGGGCTTCTCTTTGTATCCCTAGCATTCACACTTCCCTGCTTTTCTTCTGTATCTCTTCACCCCTGCCCAAGAAAACTCCCCTATCCACAGGAATCTCACTGCTGGTGTTATCATGTCTTACCCAGAGTGGGATCCCATTTTGGTTCCTCCCAAGATGCTATTCAATGTCCAGGATGGAACTTTGAGAGTGGACCGGTCCTCTCTCCATTGTAAAATCTACCCATCCATCTCTGCTTCCTGGAGATTCTGTGTGAGGAGCACCTTAGTTAGGAATCAGAGCAAATGGCGATGAAATTTCAGTCTGTGTTCTTCTTTCAGAATGCAGAGTGAACATTTAAGAGGGTTTTTAGAAAAGCAGTTTACAGCCAGTAATTGGAAGCGTTGAAGTGTTTTTGCAAGACCAGTATCTCAGATTACAGATTTATGATTTGCTTGAAAATAATCATTTATTTTAGGCTTGAACTTTAAAAAGAAAAAAATAAAAGCTTAGAATGATTTTCTTCAAGTTTTCTATGACATTCTTTACATCAGGAAGAGATGAGGGAAGGCAAGATGGAGGTTTTAGAGAGAACGGGGTTCCAATGTTATTTTCCCCTTGGTTCATTTATGAGACTACATTTTCCTAGCTGCATACGCTATTTCCATTGTATGACTCACACAGACAATTTACTACATTTAAAATTGTGTCAAATTCTTTCTGAAAAGCTTGGGTCAAATACACATACTATGTATACAGTTGGAAATTCTTCCTCATAGATCCAGCTCATGGTATGGATGTTGTATTTGTGTCCTCGTAGCCATGGCAACTAGAAAAGGGTTAAGCCAGGGCCTCAGAAAACCCAGAGGCTGTGCAGTAAAATATCATATGTGTGTATATACTTCCTAAAATATACTACTCAAATATGGATTAAGAAATCTTAAAACCACTGTCTTAAAATTAATTTTTCATTCCTAGTATGCATGTTATTGCCTAAAAAGGATACTCTCAAAACAATCTCTTTCACCTCACTCCTTTTCTCTCTAAATTGTCATCTAATGACCATTTATCTCAAAAGACAGACTATGTAAATCCATGAGAAGTGCTTTGGTTTTTAGATATGGATGAGAGAAATACCAATGAGAATATGAATGAAGTTGTTTTCTGGCTGAAACAAACTGTCTTTTTTAGATCTCTCTTTTAAATCCATTTATATGAGAGTAATAAAACATTCTTCTCCATTTATTTAAGAACTTACTAAATAAACTTGGGCAACCCTGAACAATGCCAAGATGTTAAACATTCACCAGCTCTAAGAATTCAGACTCTTCTTTGTGTTGGCTGATGGCCCTCAGGTCCCTGACTACCCCTTTTAATTTTCTTACACACTTTACCCTGTGAGATAAATTTTAAGAGTTTATCCTCAAAATAACACTGGATAGGAGTACAGAATGCAATTCTGTTTTTTTTGTTTGTTTGTTTTCTGAGACAGAGGCTCACCCTGTCACCTAGGTTGGTGTGCAGTGGCGCGATCTCAGCTCACTGCAACCTCTGCCTCCCAGGTTCAAATGATTCTCCTGCCTCAGCCTCCCAGGTAGCCAGGATTACAGGCACTGGCCACCATGCCCAGCTAATTTTTGTATTTTTAGTGGAGATGAGGTTTCACCACATTGGCCAAGTTGGTCTTGAACTCCTGACCTCGTGATCCGCCTGCCTTGGCCTCCCAAAGTGCTGGGATTACAGGCGTGAGCCACTGTGTCTGGCAGGGAATGCAATTCTTATAAGGCCCAGAGCCATTGCAGCATTGGATAAAACACCATCTTTTATATCCATACATCTTTCTTATTTACATTTCCAGGTGCAAAAGGAGGATGGGTAAAAAAACTTTCACTAAGTGGTTCTCTGTCCCACTGCCCATTTCGTAAGGATATCAGAGAAAGTATTAATACATCCCCTGGTCTAAAATGCCTGGCTTAACTTTTAACCTTTGACACAGTATCAAAGTTTTCCACACCCTTTATTTATTTCAAGATATTTCTCTGTAGGAAATATATTTTATAATGAAATAATAAATAATAAATCATAAATGGCTTTATGATTTTATAATAAACATAAATTTATGGGAATATATTTAAATGTTCACTTCCAACCTTTGATACCATCTCATATTTAATATCTAAGAATCAAAAAAAATTTCAGGGTCAATATCCTGGCCCTTCTTCTGCCATCTGGTGGAGAAATAGAGAAGCAGTGAAATTGATGCATCAGGAGTTTCTTCAGAGTCCTTAAATGCATCAGTCAGCGAATGCTTGTGGGGTATTATTATTATTTATTATTATTATTCATCAAACAGTACTCATCAAGACACTTGGCATCATTAAACGTCATGCTCTGCAAAGTAGCCACATTCAGTCTCTGTCCCCAGAAGAACTATGAGGCATTACATGATTGAAAGCTCCCGGACGATTTAGTTATTTTCAAGCAATCAGTTCAACACACAGTGTAAGGAAAGGACTCCTTAAGACTATGAGGTTGGCATTTAGGTCATTTTAGCAGTAATTTGCTTTATAATGATATTCTGACCCCAAGATGCTATGCTTTTCTAAGCACTTCTAAAGAGAAAGAAAGAAGGGAAGGAGAAAGAGATGGATGCAACTCTCTAATGCCTTACAAATCCCCAAAATGACATTTTAGGTTCATTTTTAAGGCCATTTAAGAGTGTCAGAAAGACTCTTTATGAGCAAAAATAACATCTCCATGAGGTATCTGCACTTTAATCAAATTTATTATAGTTTACAGAGTATGGAGAGAAGAGATGTAATAACAAACATCCTAACTGCCACAGATTTGAGGCAAGTGACAGCCTCCTCAAATTAACTTCAACAAAATGATGTTCCAAGCCTGTTGAATTGCCCCATACATAGCCACATCTGAATTCCCATCTTCTTGCCAAAATCCATAGAAAAGGGGCAGCCATAAATCATGTAGGAAATACATTGATTGCTATTAAATATCCTGTATATTTCATGGAAATGTGGCTCTTTATGCTGATGGATTCTGGCTGAAGGCACTCAAGACCAAAGGACCATGCTGTTTTGTATTGAAAGTGGCTATTGGCTTGGTCCATTGCCACCTGCTCTTTGGTTTTAAAAGGGCATTGAAATCTAAGGAAGGCCCTTCACAGTGTTCCAGAATCACTACCCGTGACATAAATAGAGAAAAAAGCAGTGCTGATGTAACCAATGCTTTCTTAACTCGATGGGGCTCTCAAAGGGGTTATGGAGCATAGTGAACTCCCACCCTGACTTCCTGCTTCCTCCACTCAGCACCCTCTTGGCCCAAATAACCCTTTGGCTTAAAGAGGGGAGGAAGGCTCCATCTTGAACATTGCCCATTATAAATAATCAATGTGCATATTTTGGATATGCACTGGATATGTGATGCTTTTCTAAACAAGATGAGAATTTATGTACCCCCAAAATAGACACATAAATTACATCCTTTAAAAATACATCCTCTAAGGTTTTTGTTTTCTTTCTTTTTTTTTTCTGTAGCTGCTTCTTTATTTCAACTTCCCCACACACATCCTTGACTGCTGTGGCAATGTGAAAGAAAGGTCAATGCAATTTCACAATTGATTCCTACAAATTCTTTCCCTACCAGAGTGTCCACCAGGGAGATCATGTAACATCTGCCCGTAAGTGGTGGGTTTGGGGGCCATGGAAGAGTAACTGGTGATCACCTGGAGCCTGTATGGGTTTCTTAATATTAGGTTATGTCAGTCTAAACTCATTTCTTTCATTGAAATTGGTACTGTAGTATAAATGCAGTGTATCTAGATGATAGCAAAATTTCCTGAAAGATGAAGGAGAAAAAAATGAACTGAACCCAAATGTGCTGGATTTGGGATAGATAGATAGATACCAAAAGAGGGACATTTCCAGTAGAAAGCTAAACCATTCTGTTCTTTTTTCACATTTTAATTAATAACTTGAAAGAAATATAAAAGGCATGCCTTTAGAAATTTGCCCAATAAACATTCAACTGAGGATGCTCTTGATGACAGTCCATGTGCTGGGAGCACAGGCAACGCAGAAAGCCTGACCTTTGGGAGGCTACAGGCTCTTTAATTATGCCAATGCTAGAAAGCAGGAAGAACTAAAGATTGGACAACAGAATCACAAGCAAAAGCCAGGCAGGCATTTTTTAGGCTAAATTTCTCAGAGATGTATGTGGTATTCTAAATTCAAGATCAAAAAATGTAAGAATCCAGCAACAGAAGAAGAATCCTCTTCCAGAATAGGAAGCTATGGTGTTAGCAACTGTTTCATGAAAAAAAACTTAATGGTTTGAGATGACCGATAGAGGGTGACAATGTGACATAGCTCCCCAAAAGACCAGTGCAATCTTGGACTGCATAATATAGATATATGAAACCAGAGCAAATTGGCAACCACTCCTTTATATTTTGTGATGTTTCTAGTGATCTCAGAGTGTCGTATTCTCCAGTGGACACTGCACATTAGTCGGGTCACAGACAAACTAATGCCTTCCCAAAAGATCTACTAAGATGATGATGGACTAGACACTAGAAGCTACTCACCAGCAAATGTTTATTGAGTGCCTACTTTGTTTCAGTCACTAATTTTGGTGCTGGGGATAAATGATGGCTACAACAGACAAGGTCCCTGTTCACATGAGGATGACTACTTAATGGCTAAACAAAAGACAAATACAAAGTTGATAAGATAACTTTATATACTGATAAAACCTACTTTAAAAACCACCAAAAACCATGTCATGTGAAGCCAGTGGGAGACAGAATTGACTCAACATACAATAAAACTGCCTATAAATCTAGTTATCCCAAAGGAAATCAAGGCTACTCCAGAAGAAGATATATTGTCCAATCTACTTACCAAACCAGAAACTGCACAACCTTTTTGATCAGGAGTTGTTGGCCCACAGCTGGAAGGTTCAACCTCTGTGTGTCTTCAGTACTTTGTAGGTGCCACTAGTAGCTCTTCTCACTCAGCCTATGGAGGTGTCATGTCTGTCTCCCCAGCTAGACTGTGAACCTCAGGAGAACTCAAGCTGTGAAAACATATTGTGACTTTCCTCCTAGCGCTGTACATGATCCCAGCAGGCACTTAATAAATGTTCAACAGAAGGAATTAAAGTATCAAGTGAGTAATATGATGGGAAGACTTTTAAGATGCTTACCATCATGTGGTTTTATAAGTTGCACGTATTTCAGGGAGTGGGTTATAGAAAATCTTAATTGTTTACTTGAAAATTTCAACTGGACATCCCTCAAATATATAAAACCCAATAAATTAAAACGTGTATCTCTTTCCCAAAATAATTGTTTCTCTTCTTATATTCAACATCTTATAAGGTGGCATTGTTATTCACTGAAACAAAGGATCTGGGCATCATTTTGGTTGATTTTTTTCCCCTTCCACTCCATAGCCTCTCTCTCTCCAATTCCTGGGTGGTTTCCTTAACTTTGCCTAAACCATCCTCTCCGTCCCCTACAACCTTGGCTCAGGTTGCCGTCATTTTTACCTGGTTTCATAATCAGGAATCATTCAGTCCCAAGTGACTAAAAACTAACTCAAGCTTGCTCAAGCAAAAATAAACTTATTGGCATGTATAACTCTAAAGTCCATCGGTAAACTGGTTTCAGACACAGGGGGATGTAGGCTCTAGACTGTTAGAGGCTCAAGCAATATTAATACAGCTCTGTTTCCCCTTCTTCTTGTTCATTTTCCTGTAAGTATTGGCTTAATTGATCAGGTGTTCTCCATGTACCAGGAAAGATGGCCTCTGGAAGCCGCAAAGCTACATCCTTTTATGAAGAAGAAGAAGAAGGAGGAGAAGGAGGAGAAGGAGAAGAAGAAGGAGAAGGAGAAGGAGAAGGAGAAGGAGAAGGAGAAGGAGAAGGGGAAGGGGAAGGGGAAGGAGAAGGGGAAGGGGAAAGGGAAGGGGAAGGGGAGGAAGAGGAAGAGGAGGAAGAAGAAGAAGAAGAGGAAGAAGAAGAAGAAGAAATTCTATGTCTGGGCGTGCGTATGTGAATTTTCAGTAAAGAAGCTTGATGAATACTGCTTGGATTATGTGCCCACCTGAACCAGGGATGGGTACTGTAATGGGTTGAGTTTGGGTCATTTGTCCACCCTTGTGTGAGTGGGCCAGGCAATGAGAGACAGGTGACTCTCTTCCAAAGGAACAGATGCTAGACAAAAAAACAATAGCTATTCTGTACAGTCACGCTCTCTCACTAACTTCTAATTACTCCGTGTCTCCTACTTCCTCAGTACATGCTCTTCGTTGCCAAAAAAAAAAAAAAAAAAAAAAAAAAATCTTCCTAAATGGCAATTCTAATTCTCTGTCTTCCCTCCTGAAAACCCTTAAGTGGCTCCTACTGGCCTGTAAAATAAAGTCAAACTTCTTCATTCGATTCTCACTCCTGCCTACCTCTGATGTATTTCTCCCTAGACTGCTCTCCTGGCCAAAGCTCCAGCCATTCTCAACTACTTGCAATTTATCAAGCATACAAGATTATTTTGTGCCTTCAGTCTTTACTCACAGTGTCCCTCTTCCCTTCCTTTCACTAGTCCCACAATCCCATTAATTTCTTCCCAAGAGTTTGCCCAAGAAGCATCTCTACCTCACCTCCCATCCCCCACCCCCGAAAAAGCCTTTCCAGCTCTCCCTCGGGTAGGATTTTTCCACGTGTGCCCTGTACACACCTTTGTCTCTTTAGCTCATGCATTTGTTTACATGCCTATCCCCATCTAATAACCTGTCAGCTCCTAGAGGACAGTGATCAAGCTTCATTCATTCTTGTGTTTCTGGTAATTACCTGCAGATAATAGGCACCTAATAAACCCTTTTGAGAGAGAATGAAAGAGAGGAAGGGAGAAAAGAATAAAAGGGGGGAAAGACAGGAAGAGATTCCCCAAGGCTTGTCTTTTCTTCCCAGAAAATAAATACATTTTGAAAATAATATTCTGGGCAAAAGCTCTTGCCTTTGTTATCTAAATCAAGCAATGAGTAATAGTGAGAATTTCGGGTCCAGTCACTGTGAAAGGTAGGTGCAGGGAACATGGGAAGAGGGGACCAAAAGGTGACGTTTTATGGCATGGGTCAAGGCAGAGCACCTGCATATCCCACCTGTGTAGAGCGGGAGCCAGGTCACAGGTTGGTGAAGCGGCATCTGCAGCAACGTGCCATGGCCGCCCTGTTTCTGTCTTGCTTCTGACTGGGCAGTCATGTGGAGAAATGAAAATGAATGGAGAAATTAAAAAGGTGACCTAATTTTCTGCTGAAAGCATTTCCAGTCATAGGTCTGAGTGCATTTTAATTATACCTGGACACAGGGGCTCCGACTCAGACGTAACTGCAGTCCTGAGTGGACTGTCCCTGTGGCTGTAAAGAGTTGTCTGAGCCTGTGCTTCTCTCAAGAGCCTGGCATCACACTGATCATTAAGCAACTGCGCAGAGGAGCAGCTGGGCATTTCCATGGCAACCTGCACTGGGTTGCCTGCAGAGCTTGGTAGCAAGAGCATTTTATTATGGGTCATTAAGGGCAAAAGGCTTGATTTACATTATTTCCTGCAAAATCCTTTTATTTCAGGTGTTACATTCCATCTCCATCTATGCTGCTTTTCTAGAAAAATATCATGAGGGTTATTAGGTGGAGAAACCATAAGAGGCTTCAGGTAAACCAAGCCATGCAGTGATCTGTAGATGAGAAAAGTATTTTGCCAAAGGGATGTGTGGTCCAGAGGTATCTAGTGTTCTCCGAGGCCAGAGAATTCTTGCTGTGAAATGTGAAGTCATTCCTTTTATTGTCTGTTCCCTTTGCCTGAGTCATGCTTTTGAGTGGCATTCATGAGGATTCTTGGATTCTGTGTTCTGCTAAATAAATAACAACAAATCTGGCCTGACTGTTCCTTAGCCACATTAGCTGCTGTCCCAGGTGTCTTATATTCCAGAGTGACCAACATGCAGCAAAAGGTAGCTCCTATCAGCGCTTAAGCACATAAAACTCTAGAAAGCCATGAGCCTCTCTCTCTCCTCTTGTCTGTACTTGGGAGCAGGGAGATTAAGCATTCAACTCTAGCTAGTGTCTTTCTGGTAGCCCGGGCCCCTGGCCAGTACTGCACGGTGACCTGGAGCGGATGGACAGTGATTGCTTTTGAAGTGTAGTAGCATTAAGTCTATTTGGGGAAGGGACCCTGGAAGGTCATTGTCTCACAGCTCCATCTGCTATCTATGATTAAGGATATCAAATCTACAGAGGCCATACCACAAATGCCGTAGAATGTGCTCAAGCTTCCAAACCTGTGTAACCCGACGATAGTTAACTTAGGCCTTTCTGAATGCTCACAAGTACTTTATGACTGAGAAGATGCTGAGGGTCTTGCCCGCCAGGATGAAAGCTGAAAACTAGAGACAAGCAGCAGTGGGGTATCATTCTTAAGTTTTTTGAGTTAATTTAGTATGTAAGGAATATGCGAGAATCTTCCCTGTTCAGAAAAAGCGTTTGCCTAAATGAGTGGAACAATGGGCATGTCATTGAATTAGCTCACGATTTCACTGGCATTTCACACCATCCTCCAAGGATGCAGTAATCGACTTCAGATGACCTAAAGCAGAGCTGTGACCAGCAAGTGGGTGATTGTGCATCCTCTGCTTATAAAGACGATGCTACTGAATTGAAGGCTATTTTTTTTTTAACAAAAGACTTCCTCCTTTTAATATTCACCAGAACTGTTAGAGCTAGAAAAAGTAGATTTTTGTGTCAAATTTCAATCTTTGAACTATAGGATTAAGGCATCCCTAATATGAACAGTGCAGTCTCTTCTATTTGGGTTGAGTGACCCAAGGCAGAAGGCAGGGGAATTAAGACAATGTGGAGAATGTTCTTGGGTGTATCTCCTGGTGAGACAGAAGGACCAGAGAGGTGAGAACAGTTCAGATTTCCTGCTGAGCAGCATGAGGCACCAACACATAGGACATCCAGCATACCTTTCAAGTCCAGAAGATATGACTTGAGGGTTATGACAAAGAGATTATTTTACAACTTGCTTTTCTTGCCCCACCAAACTGTTTAGGCTAGATTAGATTTGGAAAATGAGGCTATACTATAGATACACAGTGTCCAGTATGTCAACACTTAACAGAACAGAGGTGCATATGAGTTTTGATAGTTTTATATCAGCAGTTACCTCTAGCTAAAAGGATTGCCGCTACATGATGTGTCAAACATCCCTTTAAAATGATTGCAATTTAAGAAGTCCAAGGCCGAGGCGGGCAGATCGCGAAATCAAGAGATCGAGGCCATCCTGGCCAACATGGTGAAACCCTGTCTCTACTAAAAATACAAAAAAATTAGCTGGGTGTGGTGGTGTGTGCCTGTCTTCCCAGCTACTAGGGAGGCTGAGGCAGGAGAATCACTTGAATCTAGAAAGTGGAGGTTGCAGTGAGCTGAGATCACGCCATTGCACTCCAGCCTGACTCCGTCTCCAAAAAAAAAAAAAAAAAAAAAAAAGGCTCCTATTTCAGGAGGCAAATCTTCCAGCTATGTAAATCAGTGAGTATACAAATGATTAGAGAGAATTTTAGAGTGAAAAGGGCAGTTTTACAGGCAACTCCCCACAGCTGGATTAAAAGATGGCATTTAATCATAAATTATTGTGCTAAACCCCCTCCTTCAGCTCTGATATGTTTATAGTCAACTCTCATAAGGCATTTACAAATGAAGAACTGTTTTTCTTGTATAAAGATAACTGAATAGGAATGGTATTTGTACATAAAATTAATCCTTTGCAACCTATGTTTTAAATTTCCTCTATAATACATTGAGATAATTTCTGTTTGGTGTAAAATTTAAGATAAAATTTGTATGTTTAAATATTGTGAAAAGAACACATACAGAGCAGATTTAAGGAATGAAAACATATTAGACACAAGAATGACAAAAAAAGAGATACAAATTTAAATAAAACCCAATTCAATAAAATGGAAAGGTCCTAAACTTGTAGTGGTGTTAGTTACTTCTGAATATGCCCTTCCCTTGTATATTCCTGGCTTCTAAATAAATGATCTGTATTACCAAAAATAACAGTGAATTAATATTATAATGGCTTGAGCAAGATGAACTAATTTAAGGAATGAATCAATTATATCTTAAACCATTAAAAATTAAAATAATCTTGTTCTGAATGAAAGGTCCGACCTGCTTGTGAACATGTCTCAGAAAAGATTCCTCTTTCACATTATTTCTCTTCTTAATAGTTGGGAAGAAAATCATTGCAACTTTTCCAGGCCTGTCTCTCCTCAGTTCCTGAAGAAATCGTTACCTCGTCATTTAGTGTTGGGCCTATGAAAAACCAAAAAGTGGTGTTGAAAATGAAAGGTTTAGTTATTTCAATACTTTGTCTAGGCAAAACTGTTACTTGAATGATTTTTCTCTTCTTTATTCAAAAAAGAAAAGTCGTATCTATTTATGACAGGAAATTTAAACTAATACTGACTCCTGGCTTGACACTTCTTTCTGCACTGCTGACGTCAACACTCCCGATTCCATACCTCTTGCTAACATATGTGATCATATAGTGTATTAACATAGTGACATTACACTTCCTCAGTGTAACACCTTTTGTTCTTTGATTGGATGAAATGGTCAAAGATGTCAAAACAGTCCCCTTATAAGATAACTTTACTGGCTAATTGGAAGTCAGCAATGGTCAGGCCTGGAGACCTTTTAAGTCACAGCAATCTCCAGGGCTGATTAACAAAGAGATCTGTAGTTAAAATTTCATAGACTAGCAAAGCAGAATAATAGCTTTTCACTGTCTATGTCTGAGTCTCAGGAGTTTTAAGGGCTTCACAAACGCCACCTAATGATTTTCTGCAGCATCTTGGTAGGATAGTAGGAGGCTGGCATACTGGCTATGGAGCGCAGATGGGGCTACTAAGCCATTGTAGTGGGTATGGGATTTATGTTGGTAATGCATTAAGCCATGCTCTTTTTAATTTCATTTTTAAGGATTTTAAGTACATAACACAGGTTGATCATACTCATTAGTCAAAGTCATGCTATTAGCATCAATCTGAGGACAGTCCTTGATTTGTTATAATACTTTTCTATTCATCTTCCATTTCTCATCCTATTCCTTTCACTATTATACTGGGAAAGTATGTAAAAGTATGTCCTGTCCTTCCAGGTCCACCATATGTAAGTGTGTGCATTATGATCCAGCAATTTTGTCCCTGGAAGCAGACCCCAGGGAAAAGCTAGTACAGATTCACAAGGAACTGTGCACATGTTTCTTTTTCACAGAGTTGTTTGGAGAACAGTAAAAAGTTGGAAGCCACATGTGTCCATCACCAAGTGAAGAGATGCATAAATTATGGCTTATACACATGGCAGAATACTATGTAGCATTTGGAGGTAAGGAATTAAATTCTCATATAGTAGCATGAAAAATACATGAAACAGAATGAGATCTAGAACACAATGTCATTTATGTAAAACTTTCAAGCCATACACATAAAACAAGGCTAAATATTTCTCAAGATACATGATTATTTCTTGTTTTTCAAGGAAAAAATGGATGTACTTGATTAAGAATGAAGAGAAGAAAGACAAAGAATAAATGTAAGAGAAGGGGAAATGGAGTGGTCGATGGATACAATTCATTAACTACGTACCAACACAACACAAAGTATGCTACACTCATTCTCTTATTTCAAACATATTAACAACCTATGAGGTAGATACTATTATTTCCCCTACTGATAGTTGAGGCAAAGGAGACTTGGAAAAGGTAAATATCTATCCAAAGTTTCACTGCTGGAAAGTGGCAGAGCCAATTCACACATGTAGGCAATCTGGGCTAAGCCACCATGCAGTCATAAAATCTTCATCTCTGGAGAGCTGTACTATGGTAAAGTTGAGATCATTCATTAGGAATTTCCCCATAGCCAGTTTTCTGTTACAACTCTATGTTAGCTATCAACTAACTATTAATGGTTTTTGTTTCCAAGTATCTAGATTCCAGGAAGTATTAAAAGTAGAAGACACAAATATAACCAACATTAATATATTCAGCTTCCTGGAAACACATACATTTGTGTCTGATCTATTCCTTAGTGTTTCATTAATTTGGTTAGCATGAGTTGATATCTAAGAAACAAATAAGGCTAAATGCACTTCAAAATTTAATTTCTGGATGTAGAAAACTGAGAAAGTTTCACAATGTGGTGACTCATCTCCTTTACTGACTCTGAAAACTTGACTTGACCCTATGTATTATTTCTCTTTAAACTCTGTAGATTTTTCTCAGTAGATTATTAAGCTTCTGAGAGTATGTGTTGTGTTTCTTATTAATATAAAATATAGCATAGTTGAACTTTAAAATATGAAAGAAAAATGTTAATTAACTGTAATAATCCATTAAATTTTCTTCCTAGAGGTTTTATGGGATGTGTCTAGGTTGCTAGAGATTAAATTTAGCAGCAATAAAATATCTTGGCTATAAATCTAAGTTAATAAAATTCTTTTGAAGAAAGTCCATAAAGCCAGGCCACACACCTATCATTGAGTTGAGGCTCTACTTGCTCTATAATTGCTTCACGGAAATGTCTTGTGAGAGCTCCAGCAAAGATGGCACAAAGTCTGCTTCTGATCAATGAAAGAAACCAAGACAAATGTGAATGGGTCACTCCACTGTCATCACTAAGTAATATAAATGCTTGAGATTTTCACTATTCTAATAAATATTTTCAGTATGTAATCCAGAAAGAGAAGTAAAACATTCAATTAGGAAGCCATGACAAAAAGTATTGTCTGTTGATAATCTCATATGAATCCTCCAAAACTAGAATAAAAAATTGGGGGTAGAGTAGGAGGGGAGATGAAATTTGTCTTAGATGAACTTTGATATTCATGGTTCCAGAAATAGAAAAGGAATTGAATAGTAATAGTGGAAGGCAAATTTAATACTTTCTATCTCTCAGATATTTACTAGCACCTATTACAAAAATATTTTTATTTCCACTAAGAAGTACCTAATTAAAGGATTCTACAGGGACTCCATTTCTTTCTATAAAGCAATGGTTATTTGTGTTTTGGTGGGTTATAAACCTCTTTTAAAATCTAATGATAGTTAAAGACAATCTTTTTGCAAAACGCACACTCGTGTCATTTTGCATAAAATTGCAGGGGTTCATACATCCAAAACACAAGGACCTAGATTAAAAAGATCAAATGTATAGACTATACAGCAACTCAATCTACATTTCCCTCACCAATTCTTTTAAAATTTTTTAAAGTTTTCTAAGAAACACCTTGACATTTACCATTTTTGCAGGTGTTCACAGATTTTACAGAAAGAAAATCAATCATAGTAATTTGAGCATAGCCCAGTTTTGACATAATTAGATTTTGTTTATTTAACTGGAGCTGCCACTGAATTCTGCAAATTGCAGACATCATAATGACACTTCCAGGAACTAGTGCTGAAGGACAAAAAAAAATCTGGTTACCAAGGAGAAGTCTAGTGATGCCTTGTATCTGTAGAAGGGGGGGCAATACTAATCAGTGGCTATACAAAACTAATAGCAGACAACTAAGAGTTCATCAATGTTTCTAGCTTTTTGAAAAAGTAAATCTATAAGGGTATTCCAGTGGTGTCGTTGACACTCAATTAAAATATTCTTGTCTAACCCCCATGACAGGTACATTATTAAGGTTTAATGCAATCATATTTTGGCAGCAAATAGAAATGTTATTTCCCAGGTGCACTGAATCAAATTGAAAACATTTGTTCAATGATGAGATCAATTCTTTGTCTTGGGATGATCTAATGAGAAGCATTTATCCATTAGAAAAGGCTTTAGACTCCAAAGCTATATGTGCTACTTACCTGAATGTTCATCTCCATTCCTCAGTGTCTTCAAAACAGGGGTGCAACAGAGATCTAAGATATCGTTAGAATCTGTTCATCTAGCTCGGCCATGCCTAATGAAGGACGTCATTTTCTATTTTCAGTTTTTTAAAGTTGTTTCTGTGTGGATGATATTATTTAAAGCAACATGACAAATACAAGCTAGATAATGAGAATTTGGGAGGTATTATGAGGATCCCTGAAACAGGAAAGCAGAAAGACTGGGTTTGTTGCCTGGCTCTGTCACTGAATAACTTTGTCAACCTGCACAGTCTCTGTGGGCTTTAATTTCCTCACATATAAATTGAAGATAGAATGCTTATCTGTTAGGGATTTTTCCGAGTTGTCACACCAGCCATTATAGGGAAGTATGTTTTTCTCAACATTCCAAATGTACTTTACGTTTACTTTTTTAATTCTTTGTAGTATCAATGTATACAATTTAAAAACGTGAATATTACCACAAGACCCAAAACAACAACAATTTTTAAAAACCAGAAGTTTTGGCGTTTTAGACATGAAGTCCTTGCCCATGCCTATGTCCTGAATGGTAATGCCTAGGTTTTCTTCTAGGGTTTTTATGGTTTTAGGTCTAACGTTTAAGTCTTTAATCCATCTTGAATTGATTTTTGTATAAGGTGTAAGGAAGGGATCCAGTTTCAGCTTTCTACATATGGCTAGCCAGTTTTCCCAGCACCATTTATTAAATAGGGAATCCTTTCCCCATTGCTTGTTTTTCTCAGGTTTGTCAAAGATCAGATAGTTGTAGATATGCGGCATGATTTCTGAGGGCTCTGTTCTGTTCCATTGATCTATATCTCTGTTTTAGTACCAGTACCATGCTGTTTTGGTTACTGTAGCCTTGTAGTATAGTTTGAAGTCAGGTAGTGTGATGCCTCCAGCTTTGTTCTTTCAGCTCAGGATTGACTTGGTGATGCGGGCTCTTTTTTGGTTCCATATGAACTTTAAAGTAGTTTTTCCCAATTCTATGAAGAAAGTCATTGGTAGCTTGATGGGGATGGCATTGAATCTGTAAATTACCTTGGGCAGTATGGCCATTTTCACGATATTGATTCTTCCTACCCATGAGCATGGAATGTTCTTCCATTTGTTTGTATCCTCTTTTAACTCCTTGAGCAGTGGTTTGTAGTTCTTCTTGAAGAGGTCCTTCACATCCCCTGTAAGTTGGATTCCTAGGTATTTTATTCTCTTTGAAGCAATTGTGAATGGGAGTTCACTCATGATTTGGCTCTCTGTTTGCCTGTTGTTGGTGTATAAAAATGCTTGTGATTTTTGTACATTGATTTTGTATCCTGAGACTTCGCTGAAGTTGCTTATCAGCTTAAGGAGATTTTGGGCTGAGACAATGGGGTTTTCTAGATAAGCAATGGCAACAAAAGCCAAAATTGACAAATGGGATCTAATTAAACTAAAGAGCTTCTGCACAGCAAAAGAAACTACCATCAGAGTGAATAGGCAACCTACAAAATGGGAGAAAATTTTTACAACCTACTCATCTGACAAAGGGCTAATATCCAGAATCTACAATGAACTCAAACAAATTTACAAGGAAAAAACAAACAACCCCATCAAAAAGTGGGCAAAGGACATGAACAGACACTTCTCAAAAGAAGACATTTATGCAGCCAAAAAACACATGAAAAAGTGCTCACCATCACTGGCCATCAGAGAAATGCAAATCAAAACCACAATGAGATACCATCTCACACCAGTTAGAATGGCAATCATTAAAAAGTCAGGAAACAACAGGTGCTGGAGAGGATGTGGAGAAATAGGAACACTTTTACACTGTTGGTGGGACTGTAAACTAGTTCAACCATTGTGGAAGTCAGTGTGGCGATTCCTCAGGGATCTAGAACTAGAAATACCGTTTGACCAAGCCATCCCATTACTGGGTATATACCCAAAGGACTATAAATCATGCTGCTATAAAGACACATGCACACGTATGTTTATTGCGGCACTATTCACAATAGCAAAGACTTGGAACCAACCCAAATGTCCAACAATGATAGACTGGATTAAGAAAATGTGGCACATATACACCATGGAATACTATGCAGCCATAAAAAATGATGAGTTCATGTCCTTTGTAGGGACATGGATGAAATTGGAAATCATCATTCTCAGTAAACTATCGCAAGAACAAAAAACCAAACACCGCATATTCTCACTCATAGGTGGGAATTGAACAATGAGAACACATGGACACAGGAAGGGGAACATCACACTCTGGGGACTGTTGTGGGGTGGGGGAAGTGGGGGAGGGATAGCATTGGGAGATATACCTAATGTTAGATGACGAGTTAGTGGGTGCAGCGCACCAGCATGGCACATGTATACATATGTAACTAACCTGCACATTGTGCACATGTACCCTAAAACTTAAAGTATAATAATAATAAATAAAATAAATAAATAAATAAATAAATAAATAAATAAAAAACCAGAAGTTTCCTTTCCAATTCCTGCTTTCCAGGGACAATGATTTTCAATCAATTCTTTTATTTTGTCTTTTATCTCCATTTTTAATTTTTTTTTTTAAGACGGAGTTTTGCTCTTGTTGCCCAGGCTGGAGTACAGTGGCGCGAGCTCGGCTCACTGCAACCTCTGCCTCCCGGGTTCAAGAGATTCTCCTGCCTCAGCCTCCCGGGTAGCTTGGTATACAGGCACACTCCACCATACCTGGCTAATTTTTGTATTTTTAGTAGAGACACAGTTTCACCATCTTGTCAGGCTGGTCTCGAACTCCTGACCTCGAGATTCACCTGCCTCGGCCTCCCAAAGTGCTGGGATTACAGGCGTGAGCCACCACGCCCAGCCTATCTCCATTTTCATAATATGCTTATAATTTCTGGATGTTTCCTCACATTTAGATATGGTATATTAAATTTGTAAATTGGATGATGTGAAATTGCTTCTTCTACAACAGCCTCAATACACACACACTTTCCTCTCACCCATCCTCACAAAAACAGTTATCACAATTTGTGTTTAAATAGTATTCAGGGCTTACATTATCATGGCAATAAAAATGTTTAGAGCTGAGCCATGTAATCTACTATGATGCCATTTTTTTCTTAGACAACTTTTTCTCATGTTATTTGTTTGTATATATGCCTTTTCTAGTTTAGTTTTCATTAATTCCTCTTCCAAATCTCCCCCTGAACTACAAATACCCTCTCAAAGTGATGAAATGCATCAGGTTCAATTTCTTTCTCCTATAACCTTCTTGCAGTCCTTTGTCTTGCTGCTGTAATCATTACTCTTTCTTTCTTCCTTCCTTCCGCTCTTCCTTCCTTCCTCTCTCCCTCCCTCCTTCCCTCCTTTTCTTCTCTCTTTCTTTCCTTCTTTCCTTGAGAGAGAGTCTTGTTCTATCACCAAGGCTGGAGTACAGTGGCATGATCATGGTTCACTGCAGGTCAACCTTCTGGGCTCAAGCAATCCTCCCACCCTAGCCTCCTGAGTAGCTGGGACTACAGTTGCATGCTACCATGCCTGGCTAATTTTTGCAGAAACAGGGTTTCGCCATGTCACCTGGGCTGGAATCGTTACTGTTTCTATGAACTCCTAAGGATGTAGCCTCCCCAACAACCAGGTGATTGCATTTTTCTCCTGTGATTAGAGCCCCTATTTCCTAAATTTCTTTCTTGTTTGTTTTTTCTTAATTTAGGTAGAGTACATTATCTTGTTGCTTCCTAAGAAATTATGTGTGAAAGGTAAATTTTTGAGATTTGAAAGTGCCTCATTCTTAATTGAGAGCTGAGTTGGGTATAAAAATAAAAGTCAGAAATTATTTTCTTGGAGAAATAATGTGAAGTGAGGTATGTTTTTCTCTCTTCAAAGACATTGTTCTATTGTCTGCAAGCTTTCAGTGTTATTCCTGAGAAGACTGATGCCATTCTAATTCCTAAACTATACTGTGTGACCTATTTTTTCCTCTCTGGAAATGTGTTATGTTTCATTGTTCATGAATGTGATAAAATTTCAGGACCTTGGCAGCTTTGTTGTCTTTTCATTTTGTTGTGCTGCTGTACACTTGAAAGGCCCTTTTATCAGAATTCTTATGCACTTCACTTCAGGGAAAATTTCCTGCATTATTTACATGGTAATTTCCTCCCCTCTGTTTTCTAATCCCTTTTCTAAGAACACTTCAAACAGTTTGGTTTTCCGTCTGATTCCGCACTGACCCCTTAAGAAAAACTTGGTATCTTCAAATCCTAATTCCTGGAAAGGACGGACACAGCAATGCTGGCTTCATAGGGCTGCTCATACATGCCAGTCAGCCATTGTCAGCCACAACCCTGGGCCCTAACTCAGGTCACAGGGATGCAGCTTTGCTCATTGCTTACACAGCCAGCCAGAACAAAGATTCTCACATTGCCCTCTTTTTCCTTCTTTCTCCCCACTCTCCTTCCTTCTTCCTCCTTCTCCCTCTCTTGTCCTCATTTGTCTTCCTCACCTCTCTCCCTTATGACCACTTGGTTCTCTTCCTCTTTTACCCTCTTCCCTTTTCCCTTAAACTTCACCATCTGCCTCCATCCTCAAAGCCAGGGACACAAACCCCTGAGCATTGTGCCTAAACATTGTACAGTGCAAATTCCACTGAAAAGGTAGACATTTTTTTTGATGTAATACAATGCTATATTTCTTTTCTTGGGCTGCCGTAACAAAAAACCAAAAATTCAGCATCTTAAAACAACACAAAGTTATTGCCTTGTGGTTCTGTAGGTCAGAAATTCAAATATGAATCTCACTGGACTAAAATTAAGATGTCCATAGGAGGCCAGGTGCTGTGGCTCACACCTGTAATCCCAGCACTTTGGGAGGTCGAAGCAGGATGATCACTTGAGCCCAGGAGTTCGAGACCAGCCTCCACAACATAGGGAGACCTCATCTCTACTCAAAAGAGAAAAGAAAAACAAAGATGTCAGCAGGGCTGAGTTCCTTTCTGGAGGGTCTGGGGGAGAATGTTTCCTTGCTTTTTCCACCTTCCAGAAGCCATCCTCATTCCTTGGTTCCTGGTGTCTCCATCCATCTTCAATGTCAGGAACAACAGGTCAAGTCCTTCTTACAGTGCATCTCTGAAGAGGTAGATTTTTATATTGTCTTTGCATTAGCTAAGTCATTAGAAAGTAGTCTTTATATGTTCCAAAGGCAAAAATCAAATAAATCAGTAAAAGGTTTCTAGTTAATTGCTAAGTTTTATTGAACACTTATTATTTGCCATTCATTTTGCATGTGTTATCTGATTGAAGCCTTTTAACAAGTCTATGTAATAGGTACTCTTATAAGCACCGACTTAGACGTGATGAAATGTAGGAAAATTAACTTCTTTACTCATGGAGCCAAAAGAGAGACTCATTCACAAGTCTGTCTGGTTCTCAGGTCCATGCTGGTAACTTAACTGCTATGGTGCTTCCTGACAAACATTGTTTAAGGCATTAACATAACCTGCTAGGCATGCTCAAATAATCCAAGCGCCCATACAATTTAAAAATTGCCTTGAAATTTTTCATGCCCTCTGCCTTGTTAGCAATACCTGCCTCTTCCACCTCTTTGCAATTCTCTAGATTCAGACACAGATGAGTTCTGTCAGCTCCTCTCCACATCCTGAGCTCTCCCATCCTCATGGGAAAAGGAAATACAGAAAAAGTAGAGTTTTCCAGATTGTTTCTAGTCTGGCTTATTTCTTTTTGGATGGAAACATTTGGCAAAGTGATCTTCTTAAGGCTATTATAACAACTATATGCAGCAAGCTTCTTAGTGTTCATTTAAATAGAAGTGATTTTCATCAGTTCAAGTTCCTGGTCTGCACTTCAGTTACCGTGACTGTTCTTTTGAGCTGTAAATCTAGTCTGACTAATGCAGGATAATGAGCAAAGTCTCCCTGCTCTCTCTTCACTATAACTCAGCCATATATCATAGTACAAAATCTCGATTCTGACTTTAGATATATATTGAGCAGCTTGTCAGAAGCTCAGCTGGCATTGTATATGAGGGTAGGAGGAGTTGCTACAATTTAGACGTAACAGAGTTTTTTTCAAAAAATTTTTTCTTTCAAGTGACTTCAACCCCCTGATTCATTTTCAACTTGGAAAAAATATCAGGTACACGATGGACTCTTAGAGCTGGATTTTGGTAAGCACAATGTACAATTCAGTATCTTTTTCTGTAAAGGCAATTTTTATTTTTTAATTTTTTTTAATTTTTATTTTTTTATTTTTTTGAGACGGAGTCTCACTGCGACCTCTGCCTCCTGGGTTCAAGCGATTCTCCTGCCTCAGCCTCCCCAGTAGTTGGGATTACAGGTGCCCGCCACTGTGCCTGGCTAATTTTTATATTTTTAGTAGAGACGGGGTTTCACCATGTTGGCCAGGATGGTCTCAAACTCCTGACCTCAGGTGATCCGCCTGCCTCAGCCTTCCAAAGTGCTGGGATTACAGGTGTGAGCCACCACACCCGGCCTGTAAGGGCAATTTTCAAAGAGCTATTTCTATCATTTTTTAAGCTGATGTGTTCTTCTTTGACTGCCACACCAACTTTATGCCTTATTTTCAACATCTTCAGGGTATTTATTTTTTTAATTATTGCTTTAAAGCCTAATGAGGCCAGGCATGGTGGCTCACACCTGTAATCCCAGCACTTCGGGAGGCCTAGCTAGGTAGGTGGATCACCTGAGGTCAGGAGTTCAAGACCAGGCTGGCTAACATGGCCAAACACTGTCTCTACTAAAAATACAAAAATTAGCCAGGTGTGGCAGGCACCTGTAGTCCCAGCTACTTGGGAGGCTGAGACAAGAGAATTGCTTGAACCTGTGAGGAGAGGGTGCAGTGAGCCGAGATTACACCACTGCACTCCAGCCTGGGTGACAAAGTGAGACTCTGTCTCAATAAATAAATAAATAAAAATAAAAACAAAGTCTAATGAACCATATAACAGATATTCTAAAATATGTTCTACCCTTCAAAGCCAGTTAAGTCTAGTACCTGTTTCATAACAAACAACGATCCCAGTGAATGTTCTGCTGTAATTTCCATGGTGAGAAATAGTTCTTCATAGTCATGCGGCTCCCAGGGTTCTTCTGAATTGGTTTGGAATCCAAGACAAATGGTAGCTTGTTACTTTTAGCAGTCACCACCAGGTGACCCTGTATGGTGTGTGTGAGCAGAGAGGCAGGGTCAGCAAGGTCCCTGAGTATACTGGGTTAAAAAGTGCCCCTCCCCTCCTCACTCAATTCATGTCCACCTGGAACCCTCAGATTGCTACCTTATTTGAAAATAGGGTCTTTGTAGATATAATTAGTTAGGTTAGGATGAGGTCATACTGGATTAGGATGGACCCTAAACCCAATGACTGGTGTTCTTATAAGAAGAAAGAGACGGCTGGGCGCAGTGGCTCACGCCTGTAATCCCAGCACTTTGGGAGGCTGAGGCAGATGGATCACGAGGTCAGGTGTTCGAGACCAGCCTGACCAA
This sequence comes from Homo sapiens, assembly GCF_000001405.40. Classification (NCBI taxonomy): domain Eukaryota; kingdom Metazoa; phylum Chordata; class Mammalia; order Primates; family Hominidae; genus Homo; species Homo sapiens. Next base: position 44,031,420 of record NC_000013.11, on the reverse strand, counting down.
CATGGTGAAACCCCGTCTCTACTAAAAATACAAAAATTTAGCAGGTCCTGGTGGCGCGCGCCTGTAATCCCAGCTACTCAGGAGGCTGAGGCAGGAGAATCGCTTGAGCCCGGGAGGCGAAAGTTGCAGTGAGCTGAGATCGCGCCACTGCACTCCAGCCTGGGCCACAGAGCAAGACTCCATCTCAAAAAAAAGAAGAAAGATGGCCGTGTGATGACAGAGGCAGGGACTGGAGAGATACAGCCACAATGCCAGGAGCCACCAGAATCTAGGAAGAGGCAAGGAAGGACTCTTCTCCTTCCTTCAGAGGGAGCATGGTCCTGGCAACACCATGAGTTTCAACTTCTTGACTCTCAGACTTTGAAAGCATAATATTTGTATTGTTTTAAGCTGCGCAGTTTGGGGTAACTTGTTTCAGCAGCCCTAGGAAATGAATGAACTGAGGAATCCCTGAAGGATGTCACTAAAGGGGGGCAGGCAGAGTCAAGACTGTCCTCTCACTTGGGACTCCTGGGCAGAGGACTCTCAGCAGCTATGCTGTGGGCAGCGGGTGAGAGGAATGTCCTGGAGGGCCAGAGCACAGTGACCAGAGATGGGAGTATCTCATTTCAACCCAACTGCGGCTGCTGAGATGTGAGGAAAGTCCAACTGATGCAATCCTGGGAACGCAGAGTTAGAGCTGCAAATTAAATAGACTCCAGGAGTAAACTGGGAGAGAAGAGCCTCTGTAACATGGTGATCTTCTCAGTATACCAGCATGCATAAATTTAGGGCCACTGAGCCCAGCCTGAAAATTCTGCAAATAGTTGAACCACAGTAAATGGAAAGATTTTCATTATGAATTATGGGAAAGTGTTCCTTGGGGAAATCCAAGCTTGGTACTTGAGCCAAGACTCCACTCTAGCTGAATTTGGTCATGTATGCTTATATAATAATGAAATTGATACACTCTTTCACTATTTGATGGTCACAGCCAAATTATTTTTTAATGGTTGTGCTTAATATTTATTTACAAGCAGTCCTCCAGAAGGCATGGATTTCACTGAGGAGCTGACCTTGGTGAGGAGCTGTACTCCCACCATGATCGCATGACTCTGGCTGCTAGGGCTGCTTTGAGTTCCTTTTCTAAAGGGTGTTAGTGCTGGCCAGTGAGAAATTATAAATGGTTATTCTCAGACACAGCTTGGATTGATCCAAGACCTAGTTAACAAAGATGCTCTACATTAGGACAGAAAAGGTAACTGTGGAAACTTTTCTTTAGTTCTGCAAAACTTTTTCCAAACTATTATCTCTTCACATAGACTTTCCTAGACCCATATCCTCAAGGCTTTTAATAAGTAATGATTTTCTAGTCTGGATTCAAACCAAGACCTAAAGCCTCGAGTGCCTGCCAGGCCCAACCACATGGTGCTGCTCAGCGTCAAACCTGCATGAGTCTCCTCCCTTCCTTCTCTTAAAACCAATGAAGCTGGCCCAAAACCTTATTTCTGAAATTTTTATGTTTCATTTTTCCCAGAGGAATAAGATACATTCTGATCCCATAATAATCGAATCACAAAAGAAACCATTGAGGGCATTTGCTTTGCTGAACTGATGAGATGAATGATTAATTGTCTGGAATTCAGCTTCCTGGAGAGGCAAATGGAGGTATAGGAAGGCCAAAAATTAAAATTAAAATTAAAAACCAGAGGAAAGAGAAGAGAAGAAAAGGAAAGTAAAAGAGAAAAAGAAAGAAACGAAGGAGAAAAAACTATAAAGTGGAAGAGGGAGAAAGTGGAAAGAATATTCCTTTGGGTTGTATATTGTCTTCTAGGGCCACCATGACAAAATACCACGACTGGGGGATTTAAACAACACCAGTTCATTTTTTTCACAGTTCTGGAGACTGGACCTCCAAGATCAAGGTGCAGGCAAGGCTGGTTTCTTCTGAGGTTTCCCTCCTTGGCTTACAGATGTCCGTCATCTTACTGTGTCCACACATGGCCTTTTCTCTGCGTGTGTACCCTCTGGTGCCTCTTCCTCTTCATATAAAGATGCCAGTCATATTGGATTAGGGTCCAGGGAACAGGAGCAAAGGACCTGATGTGAGAGTTCAGCACTTGGTTCCAGCCTTGATTTCTCCCTTGGCCAGCCAATTCCCAACACCTAATCCAATATGACTCCTTCCAGCTGAGTGACTTCTTCAGGGACCCTATCCCCAAATACAGTCACATTTGGTACTTGGGGTTAGCACTTCAACATATGAATTTGAGGAACACAATTCAGTCCATAATAGGTTTTTTGGTGCCTACAGCTCGCCTTTAACAGGTTGTTTGGTGACCACAGCTATGCCTTCCCTGGTTTAAACTCTTTACCTCATTTCTTCTTGTTTACTATGGACTGAAATGCTATAACGAATGACTTCTCAGAGCTTAGGCTAGGCCCTGCAATTAGTTCATCCTTTTTCTTAGGAGAAATTATGTCCAGAATAATAGTGAATTAACATGCCAAAGGCACATACTATGTGCATTCACTATACTCACAACTACACCCAGTTTTTTATCTTTGAGAAAAATAAGGTTTAGAGAGATTAAGAAACTTTTTTAACACCCTGAAGCTAGTAGATTCAGCACTCAAACCTAGGTCTGCAACTCAAAACTCCATGCCTTTAAGCACCAAGTCACGCTGTCATGCCTAGAATTGAGGAGAAATATCAGAATGTTCTCTCTTGGCATAATTTAGCAGCAGCAAGCGGGTTTTATCCCCTGGATAGTGTGGTGAGGTGGTTTGCTTGAAGAAGCAGCCATAGTTTGTCTTTTCAAATTTCCTTAGATGCGGGGAGATTTCCACCCCCAATCCCTAAGCAAGAAAGGACAGAAGAAATACCCCTGCTTCTCTCTACCCCAGCCACTTATGCCTCCAGGGAACAGGAGCAAAGGACCTCATGTGAGAGCTCAGCGCACTTGGCTCCAGTCTTGATTTCGCCCTCAGCCGGCCAATCCCCCTTGCGCTCATCTTCTCCTCACTGGTGTAGTAAACCTTCTAGAGCAATCTCTTTCCCAAGAGAGGGAGAGGCCCCACAGGGGTCCTGCTGAGCCAGGAACCACGAAGACAAGGATTTCCAATTCCCTGTGAACTACAGCAAGCAAATTAGTCACACATCGAAAGCCACATTTTCCAGTCATTTTTATTAGTGAGAAAATGAGTGCTTTGATCTGCATCTCTCTGTTTTATTTCTCAATTGAGTTCAAATTCAGAGGGACGTAGGGGGTTTTTAATTGGCCTCTCATACAAAGAGTGAGAGTGAATTTTGGAAGCATACAGATCTAGATTTGAATCCTAGTTCTTCACTTACTAGCTATATGACTTTGGTTCAGTTACTCAAATTCTCTGAGCTTCAATTCCCTCAACTTCAAAGCAATAGTCATAACACCCACTTCACAGGACTCTTTTAACAGTTAAATGATGTAAAGTATATAAATCTCTGCACCTAATAAGTATTTAACAATTGTTAGTTTATTTCCTTCTTTTCTCTTCCTCTTAGTCACAATTCAACTTTCGTGAGTTATTTTTATTAAAGAAATATATTTCCTAGTCTGTAATCCTTTATTACAAATATTTAAGTTGATTTTAAAATATCTCATGGATATTGGCAATAAAACTAAACTTGTATAAATAAGTCTTACTGAGTTGCTATCTTCTGTAGATTTGGTCTTCATAGCTTGAATCTTTGAGAATATTTATCCTATTGGAAGCAATACATCTGATGTGATTATTTCAGCAGCATAAAAACTTTTTAATTGTATGATTTGGTTGTAGTAATTAGGCCCTTTAAAGGAACTACAAAATAGAAATTTGAACATGTAAACAATGTTAAACTTTTTAGTATCTGAAGTTATTATTTTGCCTTCAATGTACAATACTATTTAGAGAAGGTAAGAAAGGGATAAAATATTTTTAGACTTGAAACAACAATCTTTCAGATTTCGTTATTCAATTATTTTACATTTGTTCTGATGAGAACTAAAAGCTCAGCCTTCAGAGGCCACACAATGTTGCTTGCCCAATAGGTCCATGATTAAATGTCTTCTCACATAGAAAGAGAGCAAAAACAAACAAACAGCTGACAGGTGAGAGCTGAACATTTCTCACTGATGTGCAGCATGACTCTTCATTTGGAAGTGAAAATGACAAACAGGTGTGTGACATTGCCTTCAATAAGTAGTCAATCCCCATGAGCAGATCATGGCAGCTCTGCCTTTAGGCTCTGTGCTTAAGCAATTTTCTGGTCCAAGGCAGAAGATGTGCCTTAACAGGGCCCTTTGAACACAGGGTTTACAAAGATTCTACCTCGGGATGTAACAAGCTGTCATGGAGGCAAAGGCTAAGTTAGACAGATCCATGGAGATTTTGGCCTAATTCCTGGCTCAAAGCTTGAGCTCAGCAATGCTAATGATGACAGGGGACAGTCATAGTCCCAGGTGATGCTGAGCATCATCCAGGGCATCTTGGTCCCTTCTCTTGGGTATAGGCAATGATGATATTACCTTTCTCCAACATGGACTTGCTCAGTGCTGAACGCTGCCTTTCCTTCACCTTTAGATTTCTTTCTGCATTGGCTCCAGATCAAGGAAAAGAGAAATAACAGAAAATAACTCTAAGTTAGTTTTCTTGAATTTTTGGGGGATTGTTTGCCCTGAACCAATGAGGAAGAAGGGTCTGCTAGTGGGGAGAGGGGCACACCAGCTGGTTTCTTCTGTGCCTTCAGCCCATCCTCAACTACCCCCTCAGAAGTCCATCTTTGTTTCCTAAACTCACAATTCTTTAACAAGGGTCACAAAAGTGTGGCCCTTCCCCCTCTCCTGTTGGCTTAGAGGTCAGGAAAGGTAAAATAGAACAGAAACAGGGAGTGGGCATGAAGTCCCAAATTCCACCCCACTGTAGTCATACTCTTAGCTTTAAAGGATGTTGACTTAATATTTACCCTTCCTCCTTATAATGACATAAGGGGTTATAACTGCCATAACTTTGGACCGCCACCAGGGTTGGGGATTTGAAACAAAGTAAAGATGCCATCTCTGTGTTTTTTGAGAGCAGCAAGTTGTGGCTATCTTCCGTATGTAGTTTTTGAAGTGTGATTGAAGTTATTCCATTGTAATGAAACTTCATCGATTTTTCTATAGTAATTAGTGGAAAATAATACGAGATTGTATGAAGGTTATACACTATCTATTTAGTGACTGCCTTTGACATTGCTAATTGAACCAACTTATTGGAGCAGTAAAACGCTATTGAATGTTGCTTGCCTGGAACATGCTTAGATTGCCAGCATTAGACAGAAAGAACTACAAGATATAAGTAGGTGTGAGGCTGTTGAGGTCATGCTTCTTTTAGAATTAAGTTTATTTGGGATTTCAATAGTACAAAAACATTTCAATAGTATAACCAATATTTCAACTGTATAACAGAACACATACGCCCTGTGACAGGGCATGTCACTGTGACAAAATTAGTACACCATAGCAGCAACCTTGGAATTTGCATTTTTTAGGTTTCACAAGAAAAGGACTTGACCTCTATGACTCTGTGGTGGGGATGAAGGAGAAAATTGAGGAAGCCCCTACTGATTTTTCCCTGATAAAGGAGAGATTGTCCTTCCTGGGAAAGGACATCATGGTTAGCCTCATATTAGAGAAAAAAATTGGAATCTGTGGCAAATCTAATAATGATATGTCCTCAAATCGCATTTCATCCAAAAGTCAAGGCAATTGATGAAACACAGTCAGATCGTAACACCCTGGTCTTTTGCTAACATTCACACAACTCCTACTGGAATAGTGGAAACAACTAGAATTTAATGACCAACCCCCACCTGTTCCAGCAATCATTGACACTCGTGATTATGATATTATTTGGTTGTTTATTTTGCCCTTCCCTGTTACCCACAGAAAGGTAGCCCTTCACTAAGAAAACTCTATTAGGTGCCGAGAGGCTTATCTGAGGGAGATTTCAATATTATGGGATAAAATGAATGGTTGCACAATCCCATGTCCTAGAAATTCAAATATTCCAAGTCTTACATAGTTATCAGGTATTATGAAAATTCTCCTGGTTTGCTTTGTAAAAGTAACCAGAGTCTTTCCAAGGAGCTGACTTGTGTGGTTGTTGGAGGGTCTAAAATGTCATTAACTTGGGATACTCCTGGGTGTTTCCTTTCAGAAATATTATCTGACCCTACCCATATACTTCCTACTCTAGTCCCTATTGGGGATACTGACTGTGAGCCATCTCACAAAGGTAGGAACGCTATTAGGCCATCACTATTAGGCGTTTTGGTTTACAGGACTCTATTCTCCTTTCCTCAAAACTCGTTTCCTCAAAACTTTGACAAGATGGAACTTCCTTGCTGAGCTAATCTGTTGTGTTGGTTGTAGCATTTTATCTTATGCCTTATTACTCACTGTCAGAGCTCAGTGATGAAATGATAGAAAACTTGAGTCATTTTAGTGATGGGGACAGACTATCAGCTATAAAAGTACTGACGCATGTGTCCTAGAGAAATTGAAACAGGCTTATTGCTTTTTTTTTTCTTTTCCCCTCTGTAAAATGTCTTAGTTTGGCATAAGTGAAACATTATAGACCAGGATTTCTTAAATGTTAGCATGCTGCGTGCATCAAAATCACCTGGAGAATTTATTCAAACACATACTTCGTGCTCCAGCCAGAGTTTGTGACTCATTAGGTCTGGGCTGGGAGACACGGATTTGCATTCCTAAACTTCCAGGTAAAGCTAATGCTTCTGGTCCGGGGACCTCACCTTGGGAGCCCCAGTTGGTCACCTTATGTGAGACCAAAACTATTTCTAGTTTAAGTAGAAATCTTGTAGTTCTTGGTATTTCTGAAAACCACTTTCAAGAATGCTATGACTTTATATTTAGATGACCAATGGGACTTTAAAACAACTAGATTTAAGATCCCCCATGTATCTAGTACCTATATTTCTAAAAATAGGAATGGTCTCATGGTATGCTGTAATGACAGTAATGAGCATTAACTGAGGCTCCAAAGCTCTGTATGTCACTGTGCTAGCACTTAGCATACATCATATGTAATTCCTACAACAGTATAGCTTCTTAGAAATTATAGTTAATATGAATGGGAAAACTAAGCTCTCAGAGGTTACAGGTGACACGGTGGTTTCTCTGCAACTGGGATTTGAGCCCACACATCTCTCTGCTCCCAAACTTACATTAATTATTTCTTGATGAACTGAGTGGGTATTTGTTATTCCTAGGGTTTGAGAGTTGCCATCACTTAACAGGTATGGATATTCAAGACCAATCTTATGGAGGCTGATTATTTGTTAAATAATTTATGAAAGTGCACTAACTCTGAAATTATAATGTACCCCACTGTGTATACACAGGTATCAGCTACAAGTACAGAGGTCTGCAGACAGGCTTTCCTTCATTAGGAGAAACTGGAGGAAGCAGGAACACAGTTGATTATGCTCTTTAAAATAAAAAAAATCAAAAAGCAATTTCATTTTCATATTAAATTTTTCAGATATATAAGGTACAACACAATATGGAATGAAAGTTGAAGAAATGTGCCTAACTAGAATGTGATCATTCACATTTCAACCATTACCAGCCAGTGCTACTGCAAGAAGACCAAGTCTGCTTTCTTTCCCCTCCTTGAGCACTTTTGAGTTATCCCCTGTGCTTTTTGATTACAGACAAGTCCCAGATCTTTATCCTGTTTATGGCACCTCCAGGAGCCCTGCATGAAATTTCCTCCACTGCTTCCTCTCCTGTCCCTCTTTCCAGAAGGCTTCTGAAGGTTTCATTTTGTTGCCCGTTCAGTCTCAAGTAGTCCCCATCACTGACTCAAGTTTTCTATCATTTCATCACTGAGCTCTGATAGTGAGTAATGAGGCATAAGACAAGATACTACAACCAACACAACAGTTTAGCTCAGGAAAGAAGTTGCATCTTGTCAAAGTTTTGAGGGAAGGAGAATAGAGTCCTGTAAACTAAAATCCCAGTGATGGCCTAATAGTGTTTCTACCTTTGTGAGATGTCACACAGCCAGTATCCTTGACAGCTCATCCTCTTCTGAAGGAGAGCTGTTTACCCATCTCTTGGGAAGGTTCAAACTTTTTTTTTTTTTTCCTATTCTGCAATCTCTCCTTTTCAAGGTCAGACACAGAGGGAGAAGAATGAGACCTGGTCAAAAACATCTCTTTCCTCCTGACTTCTCACCCTTGATCATTTTCTTCCAGTTAAGAAAGTTACCTTTCTAGCTCACTGAACACATTCAATGGCTTCCCCCCTTCCTCCTTGAACAACAATTACAGCAAGCATAGAACCAGTTCACTTCATGCCAATTTTGTGACTCAAAAAGGGCACTCTTCTTATTTTTGTTACTTCGAAAATATTTGAGTCTGTGGGAAATGTCTTGGAGGACTTGCTTTTATTATTTCCTTGCACATGGCATTCTCAGTGCCTAGCCTCCTCTCACATTTAGGTGACCATTAGGGTCCATGCACAGTCTGTAACAACAACACTTCATAGCTGCCTTTTCTCTTTCCTGACTTCCATTAAGCAGAGTTATTTAAATTGTTTAGTTTTGTTTCTAACCATAAGAAAATACAGTCATGAAGGCAAAAGTGCTCATGATTCTTGGCTGTGCTCCCCTCCAGTCAGTGGCAGAGAACATCCATAGTCCCCCAACTCCCACTCAGGCTCCCAGCTGAGGTGAGCAAACATACCTGATCATGGTGGAAAATCCAAAAACAGGGACAAAAAAGCATTCCTGACCCAGGAGCAGAGTCTTCATGGTGTTACTGATCACTCACATCACCCCTCCAGCCTGTGCCCTGCTGGGCTCTGGGTCTGAATCTTCACAACTTTATGTCTTGGCTCTCAACACTGTGTCTCAGGGCTTGGTCTGGTCAATCTTTGCCTATAGTTCAAGTCATAAACTGGTTACCACATAACCTTCCTTTTACCCCAAATGTTGCATAAGATGAAGATGAAACTATGCATGTGGTCATAACCTGGCACCCACAAGTGAGGTTCATGTCAGTGAAACTTTTGAAGAATGAGAAAGTGGTTGCGTAGGGCAGTGGGTAGCAGGTAAGGCAGTAGCACCAATGACTTCCGTAAACAAATAGCAAATTCCATCCTTCCAGGCTTGGCAAATAGCAATCTCATTCTTTTTTCCTTAGGTAAACATTTAAAAGTAAAATATCTGGAACCAGACACTGGACAAAGAGACATTTGTTTTCTTTTTCTTTTTAAAAATAATCAAATAAGAAAAATTATTAACAGAAAAGAGATTGAGCATAAATGCCCAATATCATAAAAAAGATTTGTACTTAATACACATCTAAAATAAAGTTAAAGTGTCCTAAAAACATTTAGCATTTCAAACTAAGATATTTGCAGGAAGTGTAAGAAACTAACAAACAGTTTTTTTTTTTAATCCTCTAATGCAAAATTCCTTTTGTTGTTTGCTCGTAAGATCAAATTGCCCCTTTTTGGCACAGATGGGATGATATTTTAAACTGAACTGAATCAAATAAAAGATGCTGGTGGTTTCTTCCTCTTTAGGGTGTAGACCAGCCAAGGCCCTGCCAGGCCTTGGGTCTTCCCAGTGTCACCTAGCGTCATTTCCTGACCACGGAGCAGGCACTATGAAGGGACACAGTATTACTTTGATATCTTTGTTTCAGAGCTTCCAGGGCACAAGCTTTCATTTGAGTTTCTGGTTGGCAAGTTCCCAGAAATATGATCTTTTAGCCAATATAACCAACCTCAATGTTGTCCCAAAGGATTCTAAAATAGATGTTAGCCAATCAGGTTTGTAACTAGTACAAGTTTCCCACCAACCCTTCTTCTTGAACCGTAGCTCTTTCTGGAAAGCAAGCAATTACTACTGAGAAATTATTTGTTTCAAACCCATGAGCAGAGTGCAGAAACAGTATTTTGAATAGGATGCCAGTCTTCTGATGTTTGTTCAATCATTAACATACTACGTTTTCTGGATTGAATAGCTGAAGTTTACCTAGAAAGACGGGGAAGAGGATTTTGAACCAGAAACACAGATTAGAGAATTTGACTGATTGTTTAATTTTTCAGATGACATTCAGAAAGTTTAGGATTATTAAATCTGGCCTGAGCTAAAGTTTTTCTTTCAGTATCTGGGAGGAAACGTTTTGCTAAGCAAATTAAGAGTATAATAAAATTATATAGTCCATTTTAACCTATTAAAAAGAATAAGGTAAAACTATCTTCTTTTTATGTTTTATTTCTATAGATCATTGCTTTGTTTTATAGTGAAAACAATTTTATTTCACATAGTGATTCGTGTAACTTTTTTATATGATAGCAAGAGAATGAAAGAGTATGTTTAGAGATACTCGAAATTGAGTGGCAGAAGATTTTGTTTCAACATCTCACTTCTTGATCTAGCTCCATATTTTAAAATTAATTTTTGTTATATTCAGTCAGTATTGATATAATTATATTATGATTGTAGGTAATTTGATGAAAAATAGCATCAAATCTAATAGGACTAGGAATGACTACATTACAGCATATTATGTCTTTGAATCAGCAGTACTATATCAAACTACTTTTTCTTTACATTAATTACTGTCTTCTTTTCACAGTCCAGCTGAAATAATTTCCTTTTTGGGAAGCCAAAAGGCGAAGCAGAATTGTTTCTCAATTTAAGCAGCAGGACATTTCATATTCAAGGTGTAAGATGTGAGGAGAGAACCAGGTGAGATGGGCCAGAAATGTGGCAGCAGGTAAGAGCCAAGCAGCTCAGCAACAAGACAGCAAGAACCTCCTGTGTCTGGAAGAGGTCACTCCAGCTGGTACCCACTACTGAGACAAGGGTAAGGTTTTTCTTGAGTCTGACTCAGCCAAGAAGACCCAACAAACAAATATTGGTGAAGCACAGGATACTCATATGATTTATTGCCCAAATGCGCACACCTTTGGTTCTGAAAGAAGATGCCATTAGTATTGATGCTAAGACACAAGGTATACACCAAGCCTACTTCAGGCAATGTCGGACTTCCAGTCACCCAGGTAGGATCCAGACAGAGCTATACAGTTTCCACATCAGAAAAACTTCGAGCAGAGAAAATCATTTACCAGCATTTTCATTTACAGGTCAGGTGGTTAAGGTGTGGGCTGTGAAGGGGACTTTCTCAAAGGCCGATGGCAAGTTACTGGCAGAATTGGGACTAGAACTGGAATTTTCTGCTCCCAGCTCAGTGTTTTTCTATTGTACCACATATTTGCATAGTGTTTTTATTCTTTTCAAAGCATGATCACAACCTCACGTAGCCCCAAGTTTCTGTAGGCCACAGCATTCAGGAATATAAACTAAGGTCGTAACAATAACAAACAGTATTTTCCTGGTTCCTTCTCTACTTGTGATTTCAAAAATTCCAGTTTTACTTTAAATTCCTATTAAACAATTCCTAGGAGTCTCCTGGAGTCAGCTCATGTTTGTTCATGAATAAAATCCTCCCTCCACTATGTGGAATCCATCTTTCCCCTCCACACCCTCACCCTAGGGCAGCATAAACACCATGTGCTGGTCTGGAGTCAGAGCTGGGCTCGAGTCCCTTACCAGTATTATGACCTTGAACATAACATTTAAGGCCTAACATTCCTCTAGGCCTATATTTCTATAAAATTGGCCCTTTATAGAATTACTTTATCGACCTGTAACTATTAAAGGAAATAACGTACAGTTGATTCTCATTGTTTGTGGCAGTTCTATTCCATAAAGTCACTCCAAGTACTGAATTAGCAAATACTGAAACAATGCTCCTTACAGAAATACAGAGTTAGGTTCTTGTGAGTTACTGGTCACAATACTTTTGTCAACCAATCAATACATTCCCTTGTTTTATATGTGTTTCTGTTTAAAGGCACTTTATTCAATATATTTGACTGATTATTTAACATTAAACTCCCAACCAACAGAACTATAACTCATGCCTAGTGGAGATTTATGTAACCATGTATTCTCTGTAAGGCAGACCACAGCCTCCTTGCACATGGGAACGCCAGACAGCACTTCAGCACTAGCTTGGAGGCTATTTGAAACAGTGAAATATCTACAAAAGTGCAAAAAAATGTGGCACTGAATAGACCACCACAAGGACCCCAGTTTATGGTATGAGAGCTGAAACTAAAAGGCAAAGCGTCATGAGGAAGGTGCATGCTCACTGGGGGACTTAAATTATCCTCTGCTCTGTACTTGTCCATGAATGACCATGAAAGCATTGCAAGTATTGATTTTGGGGTCATAAATAAATTTTAGCAAGTAGATGAATGCAGAATTTGTGAATAGTAAGGAGCTACCGTATATAAAGAGCTTAGCACAGTTCATGGTCATGAAACTGTCTAATCGATGTTCACTGTTGTTCTTGTGTGGTTTTTGTTACTTAAGAAAAGCCCCCTGCCAAGTCCTAAGACACAGGAAAGTCACCTCTCACCAAAGGAGATACTGTGTTCTCCAGGACAAACAGTAGGCGGGTCTAGCTCATCAATGAAGCCTCGCATCCCACATAAGAAAAGTGTTGTAAATTTTTCCTAAGAGGTTCCACATTTCACCAGTTAATGGGCTCCTAGTGAGCCCATTCCAGGTTCTCTAGAGTTAAACACTACCAAAGCCTTAGACGAACGCGTGTAGGTCTGAATTAAACATCCCTTTCCCCTCCTGGGCCCCAGCTCTCTGCATCTCACCCTCACCAGGTGTTTATGTTATGTGTGCAAGTGCATGCTACAACAGAATGAACTAATGACCCATCATCAAACAAATTCCACACTCGAACACTTCCCAGTGTCTCATACAAAAGGTGCATTCAGATTTTCATTTCCCTCTTCTTAGTTTTTGTTTCTCAAGTTTCTCCTTTAGCTCTCTGTGTGCCCTTGCATGTTCTCTCCTATTCTTGGAGCATGTTCTTGAAGTGGGTTTATTCCTCCTTTGACTGCCCTCAAGGTTTTCTCTTTCTCTCTCCTCCTTGAGCCTTTGATTTCTGGCTTATTCACTGTCTCAAGTTCCAATTTCTCCCTCCTCCAGCAGATCCCCTTTCTGCAGATCTTTCTATAATTGTGCTTGTTGTTTTCCTCTGGCCGTCTTAACTTCCAAGAATGGCCTCCTCCTTGGCTTGCCCTTTCCTCCCTTGTGGCCCTGGGATGGGGCTGTTTTCTCCGGGGCAGGCCCAGATTGTCGCCTTTCCTCAGCAGGGAGGTGTCTTCTCCCTGCTGTTTTCTTCCTGTGCTTTTTGTTTAGCCCTAGCTGTTCTCTCAGTTTCCCACTTCCCCTTCCTCTCTTATCTTCATCTAAATCCATCACCCTTGACTCATGTGATTTGTAGCTTTCAATTTTGCAAAAATTGCCTGTCTTAAAATAGGTTGTACTTGAACACGCTGTGTACCTCCCTTACAGAACAGCGCATTATTACATGAATCTGGATACACTGCAAGTCACATCCTGACCTCTAAATTGCAACTCCTCACAGGCCAGCCTGTTGTGATTGCCTACCAGTGATGTGCCTTATGTCTTCCAATACCAGACTCAGAAAGACCTGATGCAGTTACTTACAGTTCCAGAATTTTAAATATTATGCCCAAACATTAATTTGCTCTGTGATTTAGGCACTATGATCTTTGCTGCTTTCACTTCCCCTACCCTGCCCCACTTATCCACTCCACTCTCCAATTACTCTCCTGCAACTGCTCTCCTTAGCATTGCCAAGCACTTCCTAAAACATCCATCCAATGACCTTGCCTCGGTACCATTCTCCTTTCCTTCTCAGCAGCATTCAACACTGTTCATTCTTCCTTCAATAAATAGTCATCGAGTGTTTCTCTGTATCAAGCACTGTTCTAGGCACTTAGGATAGGTTAATAAAACAGAGATCTCTGCCTTCATAAAGGTTATATTTTATTGGTGTAGGGAGGCAGACACTATATAACATACATAATATGTAAATTATTAGTAGTGGTTATGAATTAACCACATAGACAAATTAGTAAGTAAATGATCTAGTATTAATAAACAAAAGCTAGAGAAAAAAGGAAAATAGGGCAGGGTAGGGAGTCACAGAGGTGCATGTAGGAGGAAGTCTTGGTGTTGCAAGGGCCGTTGGGTACATTTCACTGAGAAGGTGACAACAGAGACTTGCAGGAGGAGAGAGAGAGAGAGCCATGTGGACCTCAGAGAGAGGGTGCTCCAGGTAGAGGCTATAGCCAGTGCTAAGGCCCTAACAGGACATGTCTGTGTGTTCAGGGAGCAGCAAGGAGGCCAGGGCACTAGAGAGGAAAAAGTTGAGGGAAAGCTCATAGGAAGGCGTCAGAGAGCTACAGAACCCAGGCCATCTAAGTAAGGCCTTGTAGGCCACTGTTGATTACACTCTCCCTTGGCCTCCATACAAATGCTCTGTGCTGGTTCTCTCCTTAGTTTATTTCCATTTCCTCGTTTCCATCTCCAGGGATTCCTGTCCTTGGCCAATCCCCACACAGTTGCATTTTCCAGGTGTCTTTTTCGCATCCTTCTCTGCTCCCTCACCATCTCTCACTTTTTGATCATATCTACTTCCTTGGCTTCTACTATGACTAATTCCTAGAACTTTTTCCAAGTCACTCCTGCCTCCAAGGTACTGTTTCTAACTCGGTATCTCTCCAACATCTCACACTCAGCATGTGACATCAGCTTTCTCTCAAGCCAGTCATTCCTGGGGTCTTTTCTATTTCCATTAATGGCAACTCTATTTCCTTGGCCACTTGGGTTTCAAATCTTGTAGTTGCCATTTTCCTCGTTATCTAATCAGTGTTGAAGGGCTCTTAAATGAATCTGCAAAAAAGGAAACTTCACGTGGGGATTATATATCCAATAGCATTAGGTAGAGTTCACCAGGTCACTTTTAGACCTTTATGATATTGTTGTATTTGCTTACGTGAGTTCTGTATTACCAATAATATTTTCATAATGAGTCTAACAAATCAGAAACTAACTTTGCTTTATGCTCGCATCATTCAAAAGTTTATAATAAAGGGCAATTCCAAGGTAGGACCTGGGTTGTAAGCTTTTCTTTTGGTGCCAGAAACTTCAGATCCTGCCGTTTGCTGGGCCTTCCCTTACCCTTGTTTATCATTTGGATTGCCGTGCTGCAGCTCCTGCCTGACACTTTGATTCAGCATTTTATCCCAGATCCATTCAGGAAGGAATTCGAGGAACGAGCAAAATCCCTGGAAATAATTTATCGAAAGTAACCCATCCACCCTCCAACCTAATGAAAGATTTCATTAGTTACAAGTCTGAGTAACTCACAACCAGCTTCCACTGCCAAAGTCCAGTTTTCAATAGGAAGTCCATCCCTCATCCCATTCCTTCTTGCGCCACAAGGGCACTTTATTTACTCTTTCTCCAGACATTGTTATTTCCTGTGGCACTTCTTTTGCAATAACAAGATGCCAGGTTAATCTCCTTCCCTGCATATCTCTCCCGTTCTCTCCCTCCCTCGCTCCTATCTCTCTCCTGAGAAGCCACTGAATGGCCTACATTTAGGCAAACCAAGAAAGACACAGTTAGACACAGCTTCTCCCTCTTAACAAGTGTTATTTCTCCCTCTTAGAGGCACTGCCCTTCCTGAAGCACATAAATTCTCCTTTCCTGTTTGCAAAACTGTCCACTCTTCTTCCTTTGGGAAAAGGTAGGCAGGCTCCAAGGAGGGGCTATGCTCACTGCATGTGGCACGAGCTCTGTGTTCTGTTGGCCAAGATTCAAAACCAGCACTGGAACAAGACAGTATCAACCACAGGGTCCCTGTGCAGGGTCCCTGTCCATCCCAACAAATGGACGACTCACTTCCAGAGACTGGGCACTCAGCAGCCACGCCCAAGGCCCCAACAGCGTCCTAACATCAGGGCTAAGGCACTAGAGGGTTTGATGGTTCTGAGGCACTCGTGGAGAGAAGAAAGGAGTGGAAGATAGAGGAGAGAAGAAAGCAGGGCTTGGACAGATAAGGCCAGAGGGGATTTCCCCCTTCCCAAGTTGCTCCCAGCCACCAAAGAGTTTCCGGGCCTCACAAAGGCTTTTCCCAGCTCACCAGCCTGTCTGACCACAGCCTAACAGTGAGATCCAGAACAGATACATCCTTAAAGCACTTAGGCTTACTGCAAAAGGCCAGCATAGTTGTGGAAAGAGTCCAGTTTATTTGGGCTAGGGTCTATGGGCTGCGATTTTCTCACACTTGATTTTAGCCTACAGGCTGAGAATTGACTAGGTTGTGATTTCTTAACTGAATTTTGTTGGGAGCTCTGACTCTGAATTTGAGTGCCACTGGCTGCTGCATCTACTTTGTATCAACTCCAGGTGCTCCTCCCACATCTAAGTCTGAGGTTTAAGAAGTACAGTAAAGCTGCTATGAATTCCCAGCTATGGGAATTTTCCTCAAAGCTTCATTGTCTAAACTCTGAACCTCATCATAACCTCAGTTCTGCCTAGCTCCATAACTAGTAGGTTTCACAATTTGATGTCCTCTTGCTGTGCTGACCCACTTGGAACTGGTAAGTGAGTTCTGGACAGGTATTATTGGCCCGTGATCCCTGTAGAAACCAGACTTGCAGAATCGTTTTCAGGCTCCGTTCTTACTGTCACGCGAAGGGCTTTGACTTCTAATAGCCAGGAAGGGAGCCTAGGCAGACAGGATATTCCCTGAGTATAACGGGATCTGGCAACGGGCTGTAGGGTGGGAAAATGTACAAGGGGAGGAGACGCTTGTATGTAAATAGAGACTTATCTAGATTCCAGGGGTATGCATTTGATGGGGCAAAAACCTTGGGAATGCATAGTTGAAACATCTTTGGTTGGCCTGACATATTCTGTCACTGTTTGAAACTAGGAAAACCTCATTGACCAATCTGATTAGCAAATATTAATTAACTAACTCAGTGAAAATGTATTTAACTCAAATGAGCGACAGATGTAATGTTCCATTATAGACCTTATTTAAATATTTATCTGGTCAATTTGGTCAACATTTTAATATTCATTATATATATGGGCATATTCTGGAAAGATACATTTGGTTTTCCAGTTTGCCATCTCTTTCAAGAGGTGTCCTGGGTTATGTAGCTTGTGTCATTTGCAATTAACTGGTTAGCCTTTTAATTGGTTCCATTGTGTGAAGGAGAATGATGGGAAGAACACAAAGGGAGAAGTTTCTGGAAATGGTGTTAAATTTTGACATAACTTCCTAAGCCATCTCTCATTCTTTGCTGACCTGGACTGCAAGGTCAAGTGCACAGATGTGCTTAGGAAGCCGACAGTGCCAGGTGCCCCCAGGGCCTCGGAGGTAGAAGTTTGGGTGCACTCAACTCCCACAGAGCTGACTCTGAGCTCACTGCCCAGACGATTGCAATAAAACCCTCCTTTCACATGAAAGGAAAAAAGAAAAACATAAAACAACCCTGCTCTGTACCGTATTATCCCAGGCAAGCATAGGAAATCAAGTCTGAGTCACCCATTTAAATCCAAAGTGCTATTTTTAGTTGGCAGTGTCAGCTGTTATTTGACATTCATCCTGATGTCTAGGCCTTTTGGCCAGAGTTCTAGTCATTTGCTGATCATTAATGGAGTGGATGAGACAAGACTTATTAACAAGGTTCAGTTTGAGGGTACGGATTGGTGGCATAACGATCTTACCTCTTTTCTGCAGAATGATCAAAGCTCAGCAGCTAACGGCCTGTGAACAAACATTACTCCCATCCACATCTTCCCATCTCCACCCTTCCAGAAATAGGCAGGGTTTTATCAAAGAGCTTTCTTGTTTGATGCTACTCTATAAATATAATTTGGGAAACGTACTATTTTGAAAACCAAGACATTTTTAAAAGGGGCTTTTTTCAAAAACGTAAAGCTGGACTTCACTACTGATGTGTTTATATTCACGGATCACTCAGGCTTTCTGTGGCTCAAGCTTTGTACGTATTCCCAGAAATTTGGCAAACCTTCTTAGGGGAAGCCTCTGGAAAATGTCTTTTGTCCTCAGGCCATTCAGCAAGATCCTAGAATCTGGGGATCAGAGACTACAACCCGGAAGGGACCAGGCTCAGAGCCCTGTGGGGTACTAGGCAGGAGGTAGGTCCTTCAGCCCCTCTCCTTGAGGTTATGTTTACTGCTACCCCTTATGCATCCACCATGCCTTTTGTTTAATCTGGTAGATAAAGCCTTCCTCTTGTTGGTTGTCATGTTTCTAGATTCCAGCACAACACACCTGCTGACTGCCAGGAAGTGCTTTTCACCCCAGGCTGACCAGTCAAGGGAATAACCACAGTCTGGGAACCAGAGAAATTCAGCTGCATGTCTGAAGCAATTTAATTTATCTTAATACATTTTCACAAGTGGAAAATGTGGAGGCCAGCACTGTATAACTTAGTAAATTCAAAATATGGGCAAAAACAATCAAATCTGGTTTTTCCCTAAGTGTGTCAGATGATTTCTTCTGGCTTTCCATTTTACCATGTTATGTAAATGTGTTCAACCAAAGGCAAAGGCTTACATTCTCTCAGAGCTTCGTTATCATCAAGCATTTGAGTTACCGGGAAAACAATTTGGTAATATATGTCAAAAGCCATAAAAACATGACTTTTTTGTGCACGTGATTCCATTTCTTGACATTTTTTGAAATATATCCTCAGGAAATCACCACTGTACACAAAAATTTAGATGACTGAACAATCATCTTGAAACAGACCAAATGTCCAACGAGATAAGTAATGATTAATTCATGTCACAGAATACAATGCAGCCATTTAAAACCTGTATCTGTGAAGAATAGCTAATTGCATGGAGAATATTCCATATCACACACAAAAAAATGATGGAGAGAGAGAAAGAGAGAGGGGTTGAAGGGTTGATGTGGGGGGGTGGGGGGAATGA
Organism: Homo sapiens; assembly: GCF_000001405.40. Taxonomy (NCBI): domain Eukaryota; kingdom Metazoa; phylum Chordata; class Mammalia; order Primates; family Hominidae; genus Homo; species Homo sapiens. The sequence continues at coordinate 44,012,460 of NC_000013.11, read as the reverse complement.
GATTGGAAGCTGGGAGAAAAGAGAAGAATAGAATGTGAACAGCTGTACTTCTGATATGTGGGACCACAGGGCAGGGGCAAGGTGTGGGCTATTCCTTGGAATGTCAAGATGAGCACATACACTCTCTAGAGGACTTGTCTACTGCTCTGTTGGTTGGTGTTGGTAAGCTATTCCTGAAAATTTTAGAGTACTAAGAAGCAAGGGTAAGTGAAATTATAAGCAAATGGAGACCACATGCCCTCTGCTCAGACCAGGAAGTCACTCCACTTACGGGGCATTCCTGACATGTTTGGTTAAACTCTTCTTTAATTAAAAATAAATACCAATGAAGAGTCCTTCATCTCCAAGCTTTCTTATAACCACAGCACTATGCATCTTCTTTCCTTCCCAGGTGCACTTCTTGAACTATCAAAGTCAACTTGCTTGTAATCTATTCACTTTTCAGCTCATTAAAACTGGGCTTTGACTTCCACTACGTCTTTGAGATTGCATTGACAAAGATCCCCATGTGGCTTCCTGATTGACAATAGACTCTTTCACGTTGTCAACTACTTGGACTCACTTCCATTTTTAATAGCATTTAACCATTTCTTGTTGAAATTTTCTCTAACACTCTCCAAAGAGGTCATTCTCACCTGGTTGCCCTTCTCTTTCTCTCTTACCATTTCTTCTTTTTCTCCTTTGCTGGCACCTCCTACTAGGCCTGGCCATTTCCACTGACCTCCTAAAAAATATCTCCTTATCTTTCAAGACTTAGCTAAAAGTTTAATACCACTGTGGAGTCTTCGTTCACCCACTCAGGTTACCTACTGGCCTCCCCAGAGGCAGACTGAGGTACGGGTTAACTAAACATCAGCATCAGGGCCTTTTATTTTCAAAGACACTGGGTCTCATATGTTCCTGAGGTCCAAGAACTTTGTAAAATTTGCAGCTCTAATCTATTTTAATTGTGACAGGTTAAGTCTAGGGTTTCTTTCTACTCTGATCAGTCCCTAATTCCCTTTGTACAAGTCTCCTCAAGTTGGGTAGCTTGGAATGGCTGAGAGCATTTTGGGGATTCAGCTTAGGGAGAGTTGAGTTAGAGAATCACTTATTTGGCTTTAATAAGCTATATTTATGTGGTTTATAATCACTTCAATGTCTAGTGAAGTGACACTAGCTGTCTGGTGTAGCATTGGCTTCTAGAAATACCTCCTACTGCCCATGGGGCTGATTCACCCTGTGCTGTGACACTCAGGGGCAGGCAAGGCCAGAGGCTACATCACAGTAAGAACGGTCTGATGTGCCCGGCACTTTGTGAAGGTACTTAGGTGGAACAAGGTTTTAAATCTATTGAACTTCTTTCCAATCTTTAAGTATACAAAATTGTAAGAGAATGATTTGGCTTTCAATCAGATCTAGTCAAAAAATCAATTATTAAAAAAACAAAATTTAATGAACCATGCAAGAGGAGAGACCAAATTATGTTTCTGGTCTCTCTATAGAAAATCATATTTAAAAGTCACTGTTACATGAAGACATTATCAAAGAGTACACAGCCAATATATATGAGGAAAAATCTAACAGAGGTTTGTTAGACAGTTTATTAAGAAAAATACCATGTAGGGTTTTTTCCCTTGGATTTTGTGATGTTTGTGGTATTTGTTAGATTTTTTTTTTTTATTTGAAATTTGTTGGCATCTCTTTTCTCACTTTAAATAAAATCCCTTCTATACTTAAATTTATATTTGTAATTTCAAAATTTTTTTCTTAAAGAGAGTCCTGCAAATCACACTAACTTGAGGTTGCACAAAACTGAGTGCCCCTGGCCTCCCCTACAGACCCCATAGCAGCCTCAATTCTTCACCTTGTAGCTCCATTGCTTAGACCAGGCCCAAATGCCCACTGCATGCTCAAAAAATGTTTGCTGAAAAATATTTATCTAAATATTATGATATTTAGATTAATATTTTAAATATTAAATATTATAAATATTTATCTAAAATATTATGATGTCACACTTAGAGTTCACTTGATCTTAATGAAATCAGAGAATAACAGCATTAGTACACCCTCAAAATCCAATCCCAATTCAGAGAAATTGCCTTCAGTTTATATGCTCCTCTGCTCATATAGTGCTTCCTCCTACTGGGTCTCATTTAATCTTTACCATATCCCCAGCTCCTAATAATTTAGAGACAGAATAAAGAAGAAAAGTAGGAACGTCTATCATAGGTGACTCATAGTATAGTGTGCAACAAAGTAAAAAAGAAATTCAAGAACAATGATGGAAAATATCTGCCAAGCACCCCTTGAAACAGTGGGCTCCTGAAATTCCATTATCTGCAGAGACTGCCCAGCAGTTAGGAGAAGAGTCAGGGCCTAATGTCTCATTTTCAAACATCAACTCCTTTGCTTTATGACTTTGCTTTGCCTTAAGGCCTTGCTATTTCAGGTGACAAACTCTACCCAGAGGGCTAAATTATAGCTATCCAGCTAGTTGCTCAGTCTGCAGAGTACACACCCAAAGTCTAGCTTTTTCAAATTTCAATCTGTCTCTTGCTGGTCTTCTGGGGAAAATCTTTACATGGGATTCCAGATACACTTGCCTTAGGTTGAGTCTAATATTGATTCCTTTCTTAAGTCATTGAGTCTTAATTCTGGAGTCATGGCTACTTAATTTGCCCCTTCCTCTGGGTTTTATAATCAGAACCCTATGACCTCACTGCAACCTTGACCTCCACCCTCATTCAAGTTCTTTATTTCTTTGATGACTAGTCTTTCCCTAACATTTAGGTTTTCATAACCATGGAAATGCAGTCCTATTCTTTTATCCTTTGTAGGTATTCATCTGGCATCTTTATCATCAGATCCTTTACCTTGGCATCCCCTCTCTCTATAGTTATTACAAGCAAATTTTCCAAAAATAATTCACATTTTTCTGAAATATAGCTCCTCTGGTTCAATCTGCTTATCCTCCATATTCTGATCCTGTCAGTCAACTTCTAAATAAATATAAAACTGATATCCCCAAACCTATGTCTACAGTCCACTTATCCACTATGCACCTGCTTTCTATGAGAAAGAGAGAGAGAGAGAGAACACAGAAATGAACCCAGGATTTATGAATCAAGGAAAAGGCCTGGATAACCCAATTGAGAAGTCAATAAAAGTAAACACAATATAGTCAGTATAAATAAAAGAAGAGCCCATGGGAAAAACTAGCCATGAAGAAGGCAGAATTCTCATCCAACGTTCTAGAGAAAATAAAAAAGAAGATCTGGAAAACCAAGTTGTGAATGGTCTTCTAGAGAAAATTGAAAAATAAATCTAAAGCCTTTAAGCATAGGACAGATACTTGAAACAAGAAGCAAAATAAAGAACATATACAAGTATATAGCAAGAGAAACATTATCTTCTTCTGTGAAGAAAGGCCAACTAAACTGAAGATACAACTTTTGGGCCTTTGGGGTCCATATGGGAAAACAGTGAAGAAGAAAATCCAATCACCAAGACAACAATGTGGGCAGATGACCTTCATAACTTGTAAAGAATAGCTTTGCAGTTCATTTTTTTAATATGCTGCATTTTGAGATCTGATATTTAAAAGAATAATAATTAGATTAAAATAGAAATACATTAGCACAAGAAATGTAAAAGGTTAAAAAGGGAACACTTAATACATTAATTCATATGAGAATTACTTGGAGGTGGAGTCAAAGTATATTCGAGTCTGAAGATATAGGGACAATGCATTTCAAATACATTAAGAACATTTGCTTCTTGTTTTGGAATAAATTTGGGATGACTCCAAGAAACAGTTATTCATAATTATAAGTTTTTCAGAATCATAAATTCAAAACCAATTAACAATAGTCCCAACCTGGATTTCTCCCCAGTTCCCTTGATAAATTGGCTGTGGGTGTCTCTTGAAAGAGAAATATAACCAAGTTCCATTCGAATTTTTTACAGGCTCTGACATTCTGCCACCAACACACAGGAAGCAAACAGGTTTTTTTCTACTGGTGTTGGTGTACTTTGTGCTCAGAGAATAGAATATCCCAGGGGAGTGTCAAACCATGAGAAAAGGAAAGGTAAGATATTAAAATCTGCATCATCTGGTCTTGGCTACGTTTGGAGGATGGTGTTTTGCACATACGGATAGTGCAACCCTGTGTTTACACTAGAAAACTTTTCCTACTCCAAGTCAGAATAAATGTATACATCTTTGACAAATGAAAGTTTCCACTTGAGAAAACAGGAGCCTCAGGATTTTACTCTCCTCAGATCACTAAATCTTGGTATCTTGGGGTAAACAAAGGCCAGTGACAATATCCACACCGTTCTTCATCCCCCTTTTCACCCCCTTGCTAGGACTACAGAATTTCCAGGGACTGGATATCAGTTGTTAACCAAACACAGTGACCATCACTGCTTTCTGTCAATTCACGAGGAAGCCCCCAAAAGTAATTCTAGCAGTATGAAACGGCAAGAAAAGTAAAACAGAAAGGTGCTTTTCTTTTTGTTTATCCTAGATAATGTTCCCCCAAAAGGATTTCCTAAATCCATTGCAAAGGATTGCATTGTAGACAAATACACTCATACCAGGGAGATGTGTTACACTTTCCTGGTTGTTGCAAAGAAAGACACCCCCATTCTCTTCCACCTCTAACCCCATTCTTATGTCTGTTTGGTACTCCTGACTTTGGCATATTTCCCTGGCAGGGGAGACATAGTTTGTATAATCTCTGAAGTCTTGTCCCAGGAGGAGACCAAACCTTACAAAAAGAGTTGTGTTTCCTGAGGAGGCACTGAATAGCCTCACTGTTTTCTCAGGAAGATACTTATGTGTCCACTTTGTGCTTAATCAACCACAGGCCCAGATAATTCAAGCAAAGAGGTACTGTAAAGAGTTCACATCTGAACTGTTTTGGACAGTTTTCCGGCAAGAATAGAAGTGTTCCAAGTTAGGGCTATTTCTTACACAAGAAAAGCAGGCATTACTTGGTTGACAAGTCTCCCAACAAGCTCAGCTTTCACTTCTTTAGCTGCAGTGAAGGGTATTATCTCCATGAGCCAAATTCCAGGTAGGTACTGTGGTAAGGGTCATCTCGGTCTATGAGGACTCATCAACACAGGTCCCAACTGGAATTTATACATCTTGGGAATATTTTCATTGATGAATTGGAGCCATATTACTTGAATCAAAGGGAAATATCTAATATTCTAAAAAGTCAAACTAGCTCTGATAGTCTCACAAAATTGATATTATTTCAATACAATGTGTCAGTGAAACCTAATTTAGATAGGCAACATTCAAGATTAAGATCACTGGCATTTTAAAAAGATGACCCCTAAATTAGTTGACTGTCCTTCTATTGAGAGACAGGTCTATGTCCCCTTCTCATAAGTCTGGCCTTTATGACTGCTCGAGGAACTGAATTCAGAGAAAGAAACATTATGGTAGTTTTCGTACCCAGGTTTCAAGATACTGGGTTTTCATTATCTATCCCTTGGGATGCTTATTTTTGAGATCCAACCACCATGTTGGAAGGAAGCTCAAGCAGCATCTGAAGAGACCTACATGAAGAGAAGCAATGTCCCTAGCCCACACTCTCACTGACTTCCCAGATAACAGTAACAATTTGCCAGGCATATGAGTGAGCCATCATGAAAGTGAATCTGCCAGCCTTAAGTCAATCTGCCCAAGCTGACCCCCATGTTGAGTAGATGAGTTGTCTTTGCTGAGCACTAAAAAAATTGTATTTTCATGAGCAAAATAAATTATTTCTTGTTGTTGAAGTGTTTAAATTTTAGGGCAGATTATTGTGAAGCAATATATAACAGATACAGTCAACTTGCCACAAGGTATTTTTGCAATCCAAAGATTTAGTATAGATGAGGAGGCAGGACAGATAATCTTGTAGAAGCTATGGCAGATAGAACCTTGGCCAAGGGCACCCCACATGGCAGATGTGGGGAGACTCATGGAGATTTACATGTCACAGATAGCCAAGAACAGGAGGGTGGGCAGAGAGAGGATCTCGACCAGTACAAGTCAAGAAAGAAAGATTAAGGGACCATCAGCTATAAGATACCAACAACAAAATGAGCCTAACACTCCAAAGCAGGTGACAGCCAGGGCCCACTCAAAGTCCAGCACCAGGCCAAGGGTCCCCTTCTCCCCATGCATTAAGGGTATATGAGCTGCACTCCCATTACCCAGACATCGCCTTACGCAGAGTTCCAAGAAAAGGGGAGACATTCAAAAGCCTAAGCAATTATCCCAAAGCATTGATTTAACTCTAAGGAGACAGTTTAAATGATAGAACCAAATTGGACTGAAATTAGTGTGTATGTGGGAAGTGGGGAGAGTTACCACTCAGTAAGCTGGAGCCTCCTGAGGATTTTGTATCCCATTGACCAGTGTCTGTACTAAATGCCTACCGAGTCCTTGATGCTTTCTTATTCTTCCTACCACAGAGTGATTTGATTTCTTTTTTGGCAACACTATTCCCCAGGCTTGCCCGATCATAAAAACTCAGCTGGAGAATTTATTAAAAATACAGATTCTTATATTTTATATATACAGTCCCAACTAGCTCTAACTGAATTAAAATCTCTAAGGGAGAGTCTAGGAATCTGCACTTTTTATAAGTACTTCTGTTGACTCCTGTGATCAATTTGACAAACACTGTTCTAAGTTCTAGCTGAGCTTCACCAGGTTAAATATGATCCCACAAGGCCTCTAAAGTCCTGCTGCCTGACAGGCTGCTCTTGGCTGTGTTTGCAACTACTATGGAAATATGGTGTTACTCTTGTTGGACCACAATTCTTCCTGATTATATTTCTTTCTCCTTAAACGTCTGGGGTCAAAGTGTTATTTCATCATTATGCTTACACACAGCCAAATTAAATTATGCCAAATTTGGTTAAAGATTTCAAGTCCTTTAAGTCATGCAGATGAATCAACAGCTTGGATGGCTACATTTCCATGCTTGAACCCAGCCATCCAGATTGGTTTGGGGTGAATGAGGCCAATCAGAGCAAAGCTAATGGTTCGGGTTACCTGTTGAGGCAAGGGGTGCTCTTTCTGTACCCCAGATGTGAACAGGGATGCGTATATCCCTGTTTGCTAGGGTATTAATTATAATCCTTGGGGGAAAACCCCAGAGTTGAACGTGAATCTACATGTTTAATCTGCTCACCAAGAAAATTTATAATTACTACACCACACAGAGAGCAAGAACCTATGATCCTATCAGACGCAGTCTAGACCCTGGAGAAAATAAAGGTAAAGTAGCCAGGAATCCTGGTAATTTACAGTAAAGAAAGAAGATGGCAACAAATGTGCATGACCTGAAGGCAATTTAAAGAGAATCTGTGGCTCATACAGGAAAAGCCCTTCTCTTCTGGGCACTGAGTCATCAGCGTCAGCCTCCGGAGAGCAGTGCAGGGGATATGTAGTCAACTGCAGATCAGCTGGACACAGCAGGCCCTCTGGATAATGGACTGTTTAGAAAGGGGGACAGAAGGATGAGTAGGATATGGTCCCTGTCCTCCCACAGTCAACAAACTTTTCAGCCTATGTGGGAAGTGGCCAGGGTGTGATCACAGTCCTGTGGGGGCGCCAGGAAGAAGCCACCTGCCCTACCACCAGGGATCAGGAAAGTCTCTGAGAATGAACCTGATTCTGAGAATGAGTAGACTTTAGTTGCTGGATTGTTTGTGTTGTTTCATTTTGTTTTTGTATTTTACCATGTTTTACTATGTTCCAATAAGGATTTGAAGCAATTTTGAGTTGGGATCTTCCAAGTGGAAGTGCATCAAGGGCAGAGAAAACAGCAGAAACTAAGGCATAAAGTCATGATAAATGAATATAGCCAGAATAGTAAGTCAAAAGGGGCAGAGTGGGGCAGTAAGACTTGTGGCATTGACACTGTTAGGAGGTGATATCACCCAGCTGGGCTGGGCACAGTGGCTCACGCCTGTAATCCCAGCACTTTGGAAGGCTAAGGTGGGCAGATCACTTGAGGCCAGGCATTTGAGACCATCCTGGCCAACATGGCGAAATCCTGTCTCTACTAAAAATACAAAAATTAGCCGGGTGTGGTGGTGCACCCCTGTAATCCCAGCTACTACCAGCTACTACCTCAGGAGGCTGAGGCAGGAGAATCACTTGAAGCTGAGAGGCAGAGGTTGCAGTGAGTTGAGATCATGCCACTACACTCCAGCCTGGGAGACACAGCAAGACTCTGTCTCAAAAAAGAAATAAAAATAAAAAATAAATGAAAAACAAAATCTTCAAGGCTGAACACATATGGGATGTGGTGACTTAAAGAAAGGAGGAATCATTGAGAATAACTCTGAAGTTTCTAGTTTTGGCACACTCTAGATGGAAACAATTAGCCAAGATGGAAAATACAGGATAACCCTTAGGTCAAAGAAGAAGAGAGATTCTCTCTTAGTCTGCTTGTGCTTCTACAACAGAACACCTGAGACTGGGTAATTTATAAAGGTCAGAAGTGTATTGTCTCACAGTTCTGGAGTCTGGGAAACCCATGATCAAGGTGCTGGCATCTGATGAGAGTCGGCTTGCTGCGTCCTCACATAGTGGAAGGAGGAAGGAAAAGAAAGAGCAAAACCACTCCCAAAAGCCCTTTTTATAGCAGCATTCATGCATTCATCAGGGCAGAACCTTCATGACCTAAACACCTCCCAAAAGGCCCTGCTTCCCAATACTGCTGCATTGGAGATTAAATTTCCAACACATATATTTTAGGTGACACATTCAAACAATAGCAGACACCCACGCAGGTGTGAAGCACTTACTTCAGAACCACTCTGTTCAGAACTGAAAAATATAGGTTATGTAAAAGAAACATCTTGGAACAGCTACCAGCCACAGCTGGGAACTTAAGCTCCAACCTCAGGAGGGAGCAGAACAAGGTTAATTCCAATGGGAATACAAAAGTTCAAACACAAGATGAAAATAGGGTAGGAGCTCGATTTGCACAACACCTTTAAGACCCAGGGACTGCTTTTCTGGCTACACATATGCATCCTTTGATCCTCTGTTTCTTTGAGTTTTGGTGTTGCAATTGTTTTATTTGATTTTGGTTAAACAGAAAATGCTCTGAGAAGTGACAGGGTACCAACGGGCTGGGGGACAGCAGCACTAGCCTCTCAGTCTCACTCCAGAGAAGAGCAAGGAAGGGGGACAAGACAGTGGGAAATAATGAACAAAGCAGCTTGGACTCTGGAGCCCAAAAGTCAGCTGAGGGGCCATGGGAACTGGTCGGACCTGCCAATCACCTAAAGCATTAGCCTGTGAAAAGACTGTGCCCACCCAGCCCAGGCCTCTGGATTGCACAGGACAAGCCCCTGTCCCAAAATACAGCACAGAAACAAACTGTGAGCATACCTCAGCTTTACTGCTGAGCATATAAACCACTTTAGAGAAAAACAGTGGTATTTTGTATAAGAAATTGGCAAGACCCACGGTGTTGACAATGTGCTGAGAGTTCATGTTTGACCTCACCAACTCTCAACCTATTTGAGTTTCCAGCCCCTCTGAAGCTTGATGACTACACATCAGTAAGACTTCTGATTATGGAAACATTTTCTCTACTGTGTCCTCCAACTGTCACTTGAACTGACTGGTAAAATTTTAGCAGACAATAGTGAGACTGTCAACGAAAACAGTAACTCTTTTAGTGATTCCAGAGAGATCTCTGGATTTACTTGGATGTCAAGAGTTCAGGCATGGTGGAGGGGTACTGAGGAAGAATGGCAACAATTCGAGCAAGACATATTATCGGAAAGAAATTGTCCTTTCTGGAAGAAAAGAAGTATCTCTGGGTGAGTAACTTCCTGCCGAATATATAATTAAATCATAGAATAAATCTGTAGGAACCAGTTACTTCACTACCTTTGTTAATTTTTCATTCAAATATTTGAAGCCTACGCAGGGTCCTGAATGTCTAAGAAACAAGGACTGCAGCAGCATTTTAAACAGCAGAATAATGGGAAATAGTGTGGTTCAGCATGAGGTACACTTTAAGGGAAAATGACATCAATGTGAGTTTTCTGTGATCACAGAGCACCAACTCCAGATAACAGCACCAATCCTGAAAGGCCAACCCAAGTCGGGAAGAATAGGGTGGAGTCCTGCTCAAGTGGGGTTTAACATTTTCCCTTACCATCTCTGTTAATACCAAACTTTTGTCTGTTGTTAGTGAAACAGGAAGGAGGGATATTTAAAATATTTAATAAATAGAATGGCAAGGTCTGGGCCAATCAAAATGGATGTGGGAAATTGTCTAAGCATGTGGGCAGAGTGTTGTTTCAATAGCCTGGGCAGGAAGCACTAAGAGGCCAAACTAGGTAATGACAGTGGGAATAGAGAGGGTGGTTTGGATGTTGTGTCCAGAATTTATTCCTTCTGGTAGGTTCTTGGGCTCACTGACTTCAAGAATGAAGCCACGGACCCTCGTGGTGAGTGTTACGGTTCTTAAAGATGGTGTGTCCAGAGTTTGTTCCTTCAGATGTTCAGATGTGTCAGGAGTTTCTTCCTTCTGGTGGGTTCATGGTCTCGCTAACTTCAGAAATGAATCCGCAGACCCTCACCGTGAGTGTTACAGCTCATAAAGGTAGTGCAGACCCAAAGAGTGAGCAGCAGCAAGATTTACTGTGAAGAGCGAAAGAACAAAGCTTCCACAGCGTGGAAGGGGACCTGAACAGATTGCGGCTGCTGGCTCAGGTGGCCAGCTTTTTTATTCCCTTATTTGGCTCCATCCACATCCTGCTGATTGGTCCATTTTACAGAGTGCTGATTGGTCCATTTTATAGAGTGCTGATTGGTGCATTTACTATCCTTTACCTAGACACAGAGTTCTGATTGGTACGTTTTTACAGAGTGCTGATTGGTATGTTTACAATCCTTTAGCTAGACCCAGAGCACTGATCGGTGTGTTTTTACAGAGTGCTGATTGGTGCATTTACAATCCTTTAGCTAGACAGAAAAGTTCTCCAAGTCCCCACTCGACCCAGGAAGTCCAGCTGGCTTCACCTCTCAATGTGAAGGACATTATGGCATATACTTAACAGCTCTTGGTAACTGACTGGAAGCACGTGCAATAAGGGGTCAGAATCAAAGATGTTGGCAAAGCCGTGAGCCTCCATTCCAGGGCGAATGTGGTGCCTTTAACAGAAATGAGTAATTTAGAAAAGGTCCAGGTTAGGGTCAGGTTGGAAGGGGAAAGAGAAGGAAGGACTCCAACAATGGCATTTGATTCAATGGACTAGGGGGGAAACCAAGGGGAGGACTGCAACAGAGAGTTGCAAATGTGGGATCCAACATGAAGAGAAAAATGAAACATGGAGATAGAGAATTAGCTCACACAGACTTAAGTTTTTACTGATCATAAAAAGACATAGCTTAGTAGCTGCTCTGGATACTTCCATAGGTGGATTGGGACACTGGTGCTGGCACCCACTTGCTTATTTGCTGAGGCTTTTTGGTCCTTCTTGTTCCTCAGAGAAAGGTGAGTGGGGCGCATGGGAAGTGTGGCTTCTGAGCCTTCTAGCTGGGCTGCATTGTGCAAAGTGGTTTGGTAAAGAGGCAAGGCAGGAGAAGAGGTCAAGAGAAGAGGCAAGCTTCAACTAGAGCTTTTCTCAACCACCAGAGAAGTACATTTTTAAAAGTTTTTTAAAGTAGATTTGTAAATCAGTAAAAATGGAGAAAATATTTTACAAAACAAAAATTTTTACATAAAGAAAATACTTAACATATGACTAGGAAATGCTAGATTGTTCAGAGAAGTTTTAGTCTAATCCAAAAAGCTCAGTATAAAACTATCAAACTATCAAATAGTTCTTTTCCCTCTTAGAACATAAGACAATATTAATCAAAAATTGGTATTGTCATTATTAATTTTTAAATGACTAATCATAATAATTAATAATAATAGTAATACAAATCTCACCTCATCAAGTAGAATCTTTTTGTATTTTGCTTTAATTATATTTACTTGTCAGTAACTTTATTTATCTTTGCTGGGTATTAATTCACTATTTCATCCTTCGAAAAGATGTCTTTAATTTTTAAAAATTTATTCTAGGCAACTTCTGGACTGGACATTTAAAAAACTAAGGGTTCCAACAATCCCACCCCTACATAACAACTTAGCTTGTGTGACAAAACATTTCCCCATTTAACCATTCCACTTCACCAAAAACAATTATAACCACATTCACTTCGATAATTTTCTTTTCTCCCAAATTTACTTATATTTCAAATAAAAAGGGAAAGTAAAACAAAGTGATCAAATGTTAATGTTCTGGAGTCAGAGTCCCTCAATTTCAATCCGTGGGCCCTGTGTTCATTTCCTAAAGCTGCACAACAAATTACCACAAACTGGGTGGTTTACAATAACACACGTTTATTCTTTGGCAGTTCTGGAGGCTAGAAGTCCTAAAGGAAGGTGTTGGTAGAGCCATGCTCGCTCTGAAGGCTCTAGGGAAGAATCCCTTCTTACTTCGTCTGAGCTCCTGGTGGCCCCAGACATTTCTAGGCTTGTGACACTGTTACTCCAGTCTCTGTCTCCATCTTCCCTTTGTGTGTCTGTGCATCTGTCAGTCTCTTAGAAGGACACTCACAGTGGATTTAGGGCCCACTCTCATCTAGCATGACCTCATTTCTAGAGCCTCAATTTAATCGCATACAAAGATCCTTTTCCAAATAAGGCCATATTCACAAGTACCAGGAATTAGGATTTGGACATATCTTTTTGTTGGGTTGGGGGTGCAGCAAAATTCAACCCACTCCAGGCCCTACTACCAGCTGTGTGACCTTGGGCACTTACTTTACCTTTCTGTGCCTTTGTTTCCTTGTCTGTAAAATAGATATGGTGCTAGTACCCAATAGTTATATAAATAAATAATACATGCAAGCCACTTAGCACAGTACTTGAAACATAAATATTAGGTTATTCCTATTTGCTTGGTATAATGGAAGAAACACACAAGCAAAGAAAAAACCAAGATCAATATGACACTGCTCCTTTAACATGCACTATACATTTCTATAGTATGTATTTTTCATTTTAAGTTTTATACAATATTTATATCATTTCTGAATTACCAAATACTTGTGAAATAGAAAAACATTTTAAGAATAATATTATGGCCCATTGTATTAGTCTGTTATCACACTGCTATAAAGATACTACCAGAGCCAAGCGTGGTGGTGCACACCTGTAATCCCAGCACTTTGGGAGGCTGAGGCAGGTGGATCACTTGAGGCCAGGAGCTCACGACCAGCTTGGCCAACATGGCAAACCTCCATCTCTACTAAAAATACAAAAATTAGCCAGGTGTGGTGGTGTGTGCCTGTAGTTCCAGCTACTCAGGAGGCCGAGGCACAAGAATCGCTTAAACCCAGGAGGCGGAGGTTGCAGTGAGCCAAGATCATGCCACTGCACTCCAGCCTGGACAACAGGGCGAGATTCTGTTTCAAAAAAAAAAAGATACTACCAGAGACTGGGTAATTTATAAATAAAGGAGGTTTAATTGACTCAGTGTTCTGTCTGGCTAGGGAAGCCTCAGGACACTTACGATCATGGCAGAAGGGGAGGAAACCACCTTCTTCACATGGTGGAAGGAGAGAGATGGGCAAAGGAGGAACTCCCAAACACTTATAAAAACCATCAGATCTTGTGAGAACTCACTCACTGTCATGAGAACAGCATGGGGAAAATACTGTCCCATGAAACAATCACCTCCCTTTCTTTACATGTGGGGATTGCAGGTCCCTCCCTCCACATGTGGGGATTACAATTTGAGATGAGATTTGGGTGGGGACACAGAACCAAACCATATCACCCATGTTGCAACTTAATAAACTGAAGCACTGTGTGGTTAAGTAGTTGCAATTGTTAATAGCTAAGCTAGAACTTGAACACTGGTGGTCTGGCTGTAAATGCAGCACTCTTTCTACTACGGCAACTCACCCAGGCAAGTTATTTTATATTTTTATGACAAACCATCCTCCCACATCCAACCCTTTATCTGGGTGTAAAGAAGGGATTGTGGTAAAGATCTTGATTGAAATATACCTCTGACCCCTTATTTGAAGAGATAAAAAGGGAAGATGAATTAGAAAAGGGGGAGGGAAAATATGCAGTGATTAAAAGGTGGGCTTTATTTTAAATTTCCTTTTCTTTCAAGTTTTATATTTAATACTTCAGTGTGTTTGCTTCAAAACAGGTTACCAAGCAACGGCTTCAGGCAAATCACCTCAGATCTGCTCTCCATTCCCCCAGGGTTGTGGGGGTCCGAAGCACAAGCAGATGTCTGGAGGGAGCTATTACTCACATCCTCCCCTTCTTAATTTCCCCTTCTTAATTTCGCTCGGTGGCAGTAGCAGCAGTCACAGACCAATCTCTATCACTTCAGGAAAGAAGGGGGCAGAAACAGGTAAGAAACTGGCAATAAAAGGGCAATAGGAAGAAAGCTTTAATCTAAGCCTTTGCCAACTGTGGTGAGGACAAACCCACTCTGTTTTGTTCAAAAGGTATTCTTTGGAAGGAAAAAAAAATTAGATATGTTGAAAGGAAAGAACATTAAAAAGGGATTCTGGTGTTTTTATCCAGATCACTCAGCCTCTAGTTCTGAAATTCTCCTAAGAGCTCTTGCTAGAAGTCAGAGTTCCTTCAACAGAAAAGAAGAAAAGAAAAAAATTAAGGGGGAAGTGGTGAGATAATTAGGTAGGAACACACGCTTATAAGTTCTATCCCCAAAATACAGAGTGTGAATAATTATATAAGGAGATGAAATATGAGTAAATATGGATATTACAACCTTCTTTGAAATTAGGCCTTATACTGTTTAATGTCATTTTAATAATCTTGTGGTTTATTCTATAATGTATTTTCCAAATTGCTGTAGAAAGCCTGAAGGCACATGTACAATGAAATCATTCAGCAAAGTTTTTTAAACAATTGATAATAGTAATAAAATGAAAACTGGCTGTGCTTAACTGTAATTCACAGTGAGATAATTCTCTGTCCTTTTATGGCATTTGTCTCAAAGTGACTGACCTCTGGGTAAGGATTAATTAAATCCCACAACTAGAATGAGGGGCAAAATTCCAGACAAGTACAATTAAATCCTGTTATAAAGCACCTTTTGATTCATAGATTGGGTTACACCTGGGTCAGATTATGCCCCTGGTGTACATGAGAATGCAGAATACATTTTTCACTCTGTAACCCCGAATGCATATAACACAAGGTTATCCTTTCTTCAGGAAAACTGATTTAATGACTGACTCAAGAACATTTTGCTTTTCCTCATCAATCCCCTGCTGCCTTATAGCTGCTAGTTCTCAGATGATGTCCATGTAATCCTACATTTAAAATATTACAAGATTTGACAACATGATACAATAATTAATTTCCCGAACTCAACTGCTTCTCATTTCTCCAATCTGTCTTCAATAAAAGAAATGAACAAAATGTCCCATGTGCTGTAGCAGCTACTTCAACTAAGCATTAAGAGACTGCTCTTTCTTCCTGCCTTCAGTACTGGGTTTTATTTAGTTATGTTATATTTTTGGAAACCGTATTTTTTTAAAGATATGATTTCTTTATACTTGTGAGTTGAAGTCTGCAGGGCATATGTCCTCTAGTAACTGAACTAAGAGCCCAAAGCAGGAAATGGCCAAATAGCCGTCAGTTGTGATACTAGGGCTTTGAGCCACGACAGTTCTCAATTACATTTGGACCAGGAACCTTAAAATGGAACACAGCCCATTCAGGTAACTCTGTGCCTTTTTATCAGCCACCCTTTGGGCCTTCATGTCTCATTTCCTCTATGCCAAGTTAAACCTGTTGATTAGTTAGACTCTATTAACATCATCCACCATCTGCAGAATATGCTTCTCAAGATCATGCCACTATCAAAGGACTTCCTTGCCCATGTGGGACAGATCCAAGGCCCAGGTTAAATGAAAAGACTTGACAATGTGCAAATAAGACACAGAAGTCACATATGTAGCTTGCTTTGGCTTCAAATAAGCTCTGACTGAGCCAACCAAATCTGAAGAGCTCTAGAGAAGGGTTTTCTGAAAAGTCTTCAAGGAGGCCAGAAGCTTTAGGATATGTTTTAAATGTTAAAATTTCAAGGAATCAAGAGACTGGCTCCATGAGAAAAGAGTATGCTAAGGGCTAGAAAACATTTTCCGAATGTCATAAGCACAAGGAGGTGAGCTATCAGCATGCATCAGTGTGCTTGGCTGAAGGAGATAAAAGTCCAAAACAGCTATGTTTTACCCAAAGCCTCTCCAGAAAGTTGATAAGCAAATATACCCTTGAAAGAAAAGCTGCTTTTCTGTTGTTATATTTAGTGTAGCATATTACAGATCCTCAGATGCCTCTTCTGACTCAAATGATAAAACAATAGATAATATTTCCGTATTGCTAATCTCTAAAGGACAATGAGTTGCTCATTGTCATTTTGCTCACATATTAAAGATAACACAGAAACTGTTACAGTAGGTAGCTAGTCAGACATGAGCAGATCAGGAGAGGGCCCCTGCCAACCAGGAATGTCAGGCAACCATCAGGTGATGTCAGGTGGTTGTTAACTATCTCTCTAAAATAATAATTTGTTGCAGTTGGCACCAGGGAAAGGCAGTCTCCCAGGAGATAGAAAAAACCAGAAGCAGGTGATCAGCAGCTTCCTGATAGGATCTCAGGAGTTGGGAGAGCAGGCTCACACATGCGCATTAAGAGGTAAAATGGTGGAGTTTAACTGGTATATGACCTTCGAGGAACATTCAGTTGGTAAGGCAAGTACGCCTCAAGTGAGCATGCATACAACTTTAGTAAACACACTGCGCATGATCCCCTCTCAAGTGCTGGCAGGCTGCTGCGCATACAGACAGCACACCCCAAGGGAATAATCAGGGAAGAAGGGACACAAGACCCTGGAAGCATGCCAACATATAAAACCCCAAGTCCAAAGGTCAGACTGCACACTTGATCTCTCAAGTCACCTGCTTGGCCCTCTTCCAAGTGTACTTTACTTCCTTTTATTCCTGTTCTAAAGCTTTTTAATAAATTTTCACTCCTGCTCTAAAACTTGCCTCAGCACTCTGCCTTATGCCTCTTGATCAAATTCTTTCTTCTGAGGAGGAAAGAATTAAGGTTGCTGCAGATCCACAGAGATTCACTGCTGGTAACATACTTTGGTGCCACATGACTCGGATGCATTCTGCCGCTAAAAAAAGGACTTCATAGAAGTTTGCAAGCAAGGAGCTACAACAAAGATGATGCCCAAAGGTAATGCCTTAAACATGAGCATAGCAGGTCAGAGAAGATTCCAGCTCCAGTATTCCAAGGTTAGACATGATAAGAACACTGTATGCTATTACAAAACTTAAGCCCATGTTTCTAGAGATGATACCTGCATTCAGCCCTGGCATTGCTATCTCTATAGCCAGAGCACAAATCCACTCCTCGGGGTAAGCCTATAGAATTCTCCAGTCAAACGCACAGTTACAACCCTTCTTCACCATTTGCTAAAGGAATCTCTTCTAACCCACAAGCTCTGGAGATAACAGTGAGGATGAGAGCAGCCAGACCCGGTGAAACTGAGAATTTTTTCTCCTTCGACAGCTTTTCTAATCACCACTGATCCTGCTGTTCAAGGATTTCTGAGCTAGCGGAGCAGAAAGCCCCAGAATCCCAAGAAGCCTCCTTTCTCAGTGTCTGGGCCACTGAACTTCTCTAGACCTCATCTCATTACCGAGGCCCAAGGAGCT
The DNA here is from genome assembly GCF_000001405.40 of Homo sapiens. Lineage (NCBI taxonomy): Eukaryota > Metazoa > Chordata > Mammalia > Primates > Hominidae > Homo > Homo sapiens. Next base: position 43,994,654 of record NC_000013.11, on the reverse strand, counting down.
CAGGGGCTCGCCTGAGGGCTTCCTCTCAGATCACCTCGCTCATTCTCTAGAGCATAAAAAAAAACCTGCTGATTTTAATTTACTTGTAGAGTGTGTTCTCCTGGCTCATTTTCACCCAGAGTAAACCTAGAAAAGTAACATCAACTAGTTAATTCACTTTTTCATTAACTCAACAGACACTTTTCAGTCTTACTCTGCACAGGATGCTCTGTTAGGTTTTATGAAGGGTGGGGCATGGAGACAGGGATCTCTGGGAATGTGGAAGGGAGGGCATTCAGAGGCTGACATGTGGTGGCTGCCATGGAACTCTGCCTCCCACCCTGCTCTAGGAGTTCACTGGGGCAAGAGTGTGAAGAAGGTAGGAGGATCCAGTGTCTTTGGGGGCAAATACTACAGGATGAAGGGACTGTGAGGGAGGCTTGGAGAAGTCAGTTTTAAGCCACTTTTTATTTTACTTTTTGTATTGCTCCTTTTATTCAGGTACTTTTTTCTCTTCCTTAGTAATTTGATATTCAGGGGTACATGTGCAGGTTTGTTACACAGGTAAACTTGTGTCATGGGGGTTTGTTGTACAGATTATTTCATCATCCAGGTGTTAAGCCTAGTACCATTAATTATTTTTCCTGATCCTCTCCGTCCTCTCACTCTCCACCCTCCAGTAGACCCCAGTGTGTATTGTTCCCCAGCCATTTCTGCTGGGTGAACACATTTCCCCTCTATGTGTTCATGTGTTCTCATCATTTAGCTCCAACCTATAAGTGAGAACATGCTGTACTTGGTTTTCTGTTCCTGTGTTAGCTTGCTACGGATAATGGCCTCCAGTTCCATCCATGTCTTTGCAAATGACACGATCTCATTCTTTTTATGGCTGCATAGTATTCCATGGTGTATATGCACCTCATCTTCTTTGTCCAGACTATCACTAATGGGCATTTAGGTTGACTCCATGTCTTTGTTATTGTGAATAGTGCTGAAGTGAGCATATGCATGAGTCTTTATCACAGAACAATTTATATTCCTTTGGGTATATACCCAGTAATGGGATTGCTAGGTGGAATGTCATTTCTTTCTTTAGGTCTTTGGGGAATCGCTACACTGTCTTCCACGATGGTTGAACTAGTTTACACTTCCACCAACAGTGTATAAGTGTTCCTTTTCCTGCACATCCTCACCAGCATGATATTTTTTGATTTTTTAATAATAGCCATTCTGCTTGGTATGAGATAATATATCATTGTGGTTTTTATTTGCATTTCTCCAATGATTAGTGATGTTAAGCTTTTTTAAAAAAATGATTGTTGACCATATGTATGTCTTCTTTTGAAAAGTGTGTTTATATCCTTGCCCACTTTTTAATGGAGTTGTTTGGCTTTTTTTCTTGTAAATTTGTTTAAGTTCCTTATAGATGTTGGATATTAGATCCTTTGTTGGATGCATAGTTTGCAAAAACTTTCTCCTATTCTATAGGTTGTCTGTTCACTCTGTTGATAGTTTGTTTTGCTGTGCAGGAGCTCTTTAGTTTAATTAGATCCCATTTGTCAATTTTTGCTTTTGTTGCAATTGCTTTTGTAAGCCAATTTTTATATCATTTTCCAAACAGCCACCCTCCTCCTAACTTTGGACAGAGCTTACTCCAGAAGACAGTCTTGGAGTAGAACACCATGGACCAAGTACTTGCCGAGCATGCCCACTGCCCTCGATTGTACATGTGCAAATACTTTCTTTGCCTATTCAGAAATTAGCAGAAACTGTTGAATAAAGGGATAAAGGAGGTGAGAATACTGGTCCTTTATCAGAGAATGAAATAAGCAAAAAGACAAAATCAGAAAAGTAGAAAAGCAGAAAATGACTGTGTTCCTTTGTTCTTGCCTCTTTTTTCCCCCCAAAAAGGGAGGATGCACCACTCTCTCCATTTTCTAAGAAAAGAAGTAAAAACTGAGCGGATAACTCATGTGCCTTCTAAGGATAGTGCCAGCAAGAATAGAACGCAGACCTCTTTCTCTGAAATTTTGATTTGCATGAATTCCTCATCTTCACCTTGAGAAAGGTTCTCTTTCCCATCTAAGCCTCAGAGTAAGATACGTTTGGGCTCTGATTTTTGCATAGCATCTGTTCCTAAGTGAGAATGGCCACTGGAGTTTGGAAACCAGAAAGCAAGAGAAATGGTGTCAAGGGACACAAAACTGTTTAAAAAGGGAAAAACCACCAAATCTCTCCCTCAATCTCTCTCTCTGCTCTCACACACACAGATGCTCAATATTGGCAATGTTAATATATCTTCTGAAGAGACAGAAATGAATAAACCTAACAGAATTCATCTTTGGGGAAAAACAGATGGTTATATAATATGGCTTTTGAGTGAGAAGAATTCCTAGAAAGAAAAAAAAATCAATTGACAATGCAAATTAATTATTGCCACTCACTGCCTTTTTTTCTTTGCACAGAAGATAATTAAGATGACACCAAGAAAAACTGCGGGTTCACAGAAATCAGACCTAACAAGTCAAACAGGTTCCTCCTATGTAAAACCAGAGCTATTGGTGTCCTCTCCCCACCCCCAACCCCCCACCATTCTATCTTTCTTCACTTCCTTCAGCAGCCATTTCTGCTGGGTGATGCTGAGCTTTTTGTTGAGTCAGCCTGGCATATCTTTCATTTGGCAGGCTTCTGACAGGCGGGATTGACAGATCTTTGAGACTCACTCCCATCCATCAGCCTGAGAGGCTTCACAGGGGTAGCCTTCAGTGCCTGTAACAGCACTTCCCCAGGGCCTGGCACACCAGCCAGGCTAATATCAGGGAAAAGAGCACGCGGCAATTTGCCAGGCATTGCCCTGCATCCTCATGCACTCACTTGCCAGGGTAAGTGGGGAATGCTCAAGGCCTCCTGTTGTAATCTGGAGGAGGCCAACCTCAGCTTAGTTCACATTTGCAGTGTGCACAAACACATTCATACACACATGGGTGAGCACATACATAGGCATGCACAGGTGTGCATGTGACAAAGTGAGCTTAAAAACAATAAATTTTACATATTTCTCTTGTTTTTTTCTTATTTCTTTAGCAGAAAAGAATGCTATCAGTCTCCTTAGATGGAAGTGCCTATGACAATTGCCACGCTTTCCTTTTTCAGTCACCCGCAGAGAAAGTCTATTCTTTGGATTCACACTCTCAGCACAAGATGCACAAATGACCATTCCAGAAAAGTGATCAGGAGAAATGTGTGGGGAAATAATACTGTTTTTTAGTTCAACCTCAGTGAATAATGTTTCTTCACACTGCAAATGTGGGTTAACATGCCAGTATTTATCTGCTAGACCCTGTGAAATTGCCTCCCACCCACTCCCTATTCCTGGGTTTCAGATTCTCATTTCCACAAAAATCTGCAGGTTAAACTGTTTGTGACATGGAAGAATAATATTAAGGTGCAAATTAAATCTCAATGGTTTGTTGAAACATTGATACTTGGTAAACATGTATTTGTGGAGGACTTCAAGTTTTTTTCACTTCAAATCCAAGTGAGATTTAAAAAATAATCCCCATTGTTTATTGTCAGAAAGTCATTGGCCATTTATTAAAGAAGCTGATGCAAGAAAATGACATTTGCTCTACTCCGATGTCAACCAACGGAAGCAAAGTCCACTATTTGACCTCTGGGTGTCCTGTTATTTAACAAAGATTTCTGGTGCCTTTCTTTAGGAAGGTGAACATATCTACTAGCAGAACGTAGGTATTAAATCTAGTGGTCCTTTGATAGTAAGAATCACCCAGGTGTTTGTTAAATATACAGATTAACAGTGTTCTTCAATGACATTTCCCATTCAAATAGTGTGTATCTAGAGCCCCAGGCACCTAAATTTTTAACAAGCTCTTTAGATGAAGCTAAGTAACTTGCTTAGTATCACATTGCTGGCTAGAAGTCAAACTGGGGCTAGATCCAGGTTTTTTGACTTTTAGACCAACAGTATGGACAATTCTGTGCTGTATCAATTTTATCGTGGAAAAATAGCAAAGCTGTCAGGCAAAGAAATACAGGATGGTATACCTTTAAGGCAGCTATATTTACATGAAGCTTAGGTGGCAGTGGAACTTGAGAGTATTACTGAGCCACCACTTAAGGTTCTAGTTTTGAAGAACATATGCTATCCTTCTAATTTTAGTAACTATTTTTAACTTCCTAAGTTTGTGATAAAACTAGGCTATCCCTTTATCCCCCAAGTGCAATGGTCAGGATTTCACAGTCCCGTCATCACAAAATGTTCAGAAATCCAGCCTATTCTACTTCAAATCTCCATTTCTTCTTTGTCCCACTTTCTAGGTTCTCTGAGAGTTCATAGGTATCTCAAAGGAAGGAGTCTAGTTTACTGTATGCCGGTAGGGAAAACATATCCATGCCCCCGCCCTCGTAGTATCTACAAGTCCAGGACAGAGTCTTGCTTTCATCACAGTGACAATTCAAGGGTGATCTGGGCCATTTCCTCAGTGTTACCCATAATAAAAGAGGCTCCCAGCCCTTCTGGCTATGGCTTTTTGGGTTGAAGTCCATGTGATTTCCTCTGCCAGACCCTGGACTGTCCCAGGATGGTTGTGGGCAGCATCTGGATGGAGCCGGGTAGCAGAGATGGACTCTAGGACACCCCACAATGAAATATATTTTAAGGTCAGCTCAGAAATAGAAGTGTTTTTATAAATTTCTTTTCAAATCTCAGTTTTAGTTCTAGCTTCTTGCAATAAAATTCCCTACTCCTAGGACTTCTAGTCAGTATCAATTTCATATAAGAAGTCTCAGCCTATTTCTTATATGTATATTCTATTCTTCATCTGAACTTGAGATGCTCCCAAACGATGCCCAAATTTGGTACAGTTAAATGAAGTCAAGCAGGAGGAATTCTCAAAAAAATCATTTTATCCAAAATAGCAGTAAGTCTCATATTGGAAGGTCACCAGCAAAGACTATCAAAAAAACAGAATTTTAAAATTCTTAGTTAGGACCTACATGATATGCTTTAGCGGCACCAAAATTTATTCCTGAAGCTAAACTATTATTTTGTGTGACTGTTCTGCAACCAGTCATGAACTTCTTGGGGACAGAGACTGTTTGTTATTCATTATGTGTCCTCAGCACTTAGCCCACTGACAGGCATATAGTGAAATTTTAACACATGTATACCGAAAAAATAGATTGCGAAAAGTTGTCTTTTCTGAATTGTGCTGGATGCAAGTTCAGAGAAAGCAAAGGCAAAAGCCAAAAGCACACACTATTGCTGACTTTTGAAAGTAATGGGTTGGCCAGGTGGGGTGGCTCACACCTGTAATCCTAGCACTTTGGGAGGCCAAGGCGGGTGGATTGCCTGAGCTCAGGAGTTTGAGACCAGCCTGGGCAATATGGTGAAACCCCATCTCTACTAAAATACAAAAAAAAATTAGCTGGGCATGGTGGTGGGCGCCTGTAATCCCAACTACTTGGGAGGCTGAGACAGGAGAATCACTTGAGCCCAGGAGGTGGAAGTTGCAGTGAGCCGAGATCGCGCCACTGCACTCCAGCCTGGGCGACAGAGCAAGACTCCATCTCAAAAACAAAAAGAAAAAAAAAGAAAGTAATGGGTTAAAAGACTACAAGCATGTGTGTGTTGTAATGGACCTAGAATGTCGTAAAATATATTAAGATTTGGGCCCTGGTGGTGGGGCCGGGGGGAGCCGGGAGAAGCACTCTGCAGAAAGAACCTTCTTGTCCTTTGTTAACTATAAAATCCTCAGCTCTCCGGGGAAGTAGCCCTCCTTTGGTGGAACTCCCTGGAACATAGGGTTCACTTGAGGGGCATTTACCAGTCAGCCCATATTCTCTGGGGAAGAACAGCAGGCAAAGTAATGCTAAGCTGATGGGCCTCTTAGGCCTGAGGAATTCAGGGATGACTACCTAGGTGGCTCAATGGCAGCAGAAGCTGTGGGAAATGGACAAATGGACAAAACTGGTGTGAGTTTTTAAGCAATACCCAACTTACCTTTCTTGGTGACATTTTACAACATGTGGCTTTTTTTGCTTGATTTACAGTCACATCCAAATCACTGCTGAAGCAGCTCTTCTGCTTCCTACTCCTAAATGCTAAATACCTTGGCAAGTTTGGCACATTCTTTACCGATATTACTCATAAATCTTTTCACTAGAGACTTTGACATTTCTTAAGTAATGCCTGAGATGACAAATTAGCTTGGAGTCAATCTTCCCATCTATTTTTATGCAAAGTTTGTTTCCATTTGACTATAAATAGAAAAAAAAATGGGGAAAAAAGATAACTAGGAAAATTGATTTTTAAAATTCTCACATTAAACCAGGTTATAAATGGATGGAAAACTGGGCTTGAAGGTTGACATTGAGCAGGTTACTTAGTCTCTTGCTGTCTCAGTTGTATCATCTGTCAAAGAGTAAGATTGGATTCAATAATTAAATTGTCATTTTAGGATTGGCACAAGGAAAATGAAATTTCCTAGCAGCCTTAAATTTTTTAAAATTAATTTTCTATTAAATTTTAACATATATATAAAGAAAAGTGGCATATTGGCCAGGCACGGTGGCTCACACCTGTAATCCAAGCACTTCGGGAGGCTGAGGTGGGCAGATCACCTGAAGTCGGGAGTTTGAGACCAGCCTGACCAACATGGAAAAACACTGTCTCTACTAAAAATACAAAATTAGCCTAGTGTGGTGGCACATTCCTGTAATCCCAGCTACTTGGGAGGCTGAGGCAGGAGAATTGCTTGAATCTGGGAGGTGAAGGTTGCAGTGAGCCGAGATCGTGCCATTACACTCCAGCCTGGGCAACAAGAGTGAAACTCCATCTCAAAAAAAAAAAAAAGAAAGAAAAATGGCATATTATGATGATCTCGCTTAATGAATTATCACAAAAAGAACTCAACCATCTAAGCACAACCTTGATGAAGAAATCAAGTATTACTAGCATCTCAAGCCTCTCTCATGGCCCATCAAGTCCCCACCCTGCTCAGCCTTTTCCAAACATAAACACTCATCATTACTTCTAAAATCACAAATTAGTTTGCTTTTGAACTTTATAAAAATGAAATTATACCATATGTTTTTTAACGTCTGTAAGACATATATTGGTCTATAATTTGGCGCTAATCAAAATTCAGATTTATCAACATAGGTGACCAAGGTTTTGGGCCTTCGTGCTTAAGCCTTTATGTCATTCAGAATTACTCCATATGTGGGGAGGGAAATGACTCTATGTATTATGAGCTGAAAGATATTTAATGTACATAATTAGAGTTTCACATAACCATTGAAAGAGCTGGGGAGGCAAAGGTCAAGAAGGCCACTTTAGGAGACCTGGTGGTATAGTGATCACAGAGAAGCCACCACTGATGACATCGGCTGCCTGTCCACGGGAACCCGGAGCCAAAGGAAGCCCTCAGTGAAGATCTCAGCTCCCCAGCCAAACTGTTGCAAGAAAAAAACACCTTCTCCTTCTCTTCCACCTTTGAAATCTCATGTGAATTCTTCCTACTGGCAGCTTTAACCCAGAATCCGATTCAGGAAAACGTTCTGTGACCTAGGGAAAAAGAACACTGAGAAGGGCAATGAAGACACAGAGCTAAAAGCAGATAATGTGGCCAACACTTAGTTATAAACTAGCTGGTGGAAGCAAATTGACCTCTCTGCATTTCTAATCTTCTAGTCTCTCCTAAGTCTTCAGATCCATTTCCAATACAAATCCTATAGTGCCCTCCTTAGGGATACTTAAAAGCCTGCTTCTATGTTACTTCTTTCAAAACCAGTGAGTGACTTAGAAGGTCTTCTCTTTTATTGCAGATGCGTAGAGCAGCTTCTGAAGATCAGCAGGCCTGTGCAGCATCATCTGAGGGTCCCCAGAATTAAAGCAACATGAAACCCTTCATACTGAGTGTGGCCACTTCCCACTGACCATGACTCACAAATGGTGAGGCCACCTGACAGCGTTGAAGATAATTACTATTCATCCTCTTCTGCTAATAGAAACTATTTTCTCCCCTAATCTAGGTTTCCAATTTTAGAAGCTGCCCTGTCCTCATAAAAGAATTACCAGGAAGGTAGGAGGTTTGTTTGTTTGCTTTTCTGTGCATCTAAGTACCCTGACAATCTAATCTCTGGAGAGTCTCAGTAACCAGGCAACACAAGTCATGCTCCAATTGTGCGGTCCTCAATCCACTTTTCCTGTGCTATTCCAGTTCAAAGTAAGAATACCAAAGCCAGAACTGCAGAAGATAAATGTGGATCTTTATTACTACAAGCAGATAACGGGGTCTGCCCCCTCTTCTTATTGCTGAGTAGAAATTCTGAGGCAAGTGCTTTTAAAAAGACTAGAACAGCACATTTTACCTAAGAATAAGATTATAGCTAGTAACCTGTTTTTCTTACAAAAAAAGAAAATGGAAGGAGATAGCTTTTGTCTGGTGACAGTTTATTTTAACCCAGATGCTTCCTCCACTTGTAATTTGGCCTCATTTGTGTTTTCAGAAACATCACCAATTCAGACGGGTTTCTTGGGTAAGGACTTAATGGACAAGGTTAAACACAGCTGTTCTGGTGCCTGAAATCCTTAAGAGTCTAGCAGGACCGGAGCAAGTAAAATAAACTCAGAAAGAGCTGTCTGGATCAGTGTTTCTAGAGACAAAATGAGTATAAATGAGCATGGAGTCAACAGGCCTCCTGGGTCAAGGTCAGAGGCAACCTGGGGACACGGATTAACAGCGGAAGAACACTGCCTATAGTACATTTGCTATGAGACAGCACAGAATTGGACATTCTGGCCTTTAATCATCAGGCTATCACAAGGAAAAGTGGTCCAGATTTAGTACTGTGTCAGCACTTTTTATAATAAATGCTTCATTTACTAGGAATTTAGCTATCGAGTTGCAGATGATAAAAATGACACTCAAATGCAAGGTCAAACAGCAAACATTTATAATTCCTGTCTATTAGCTAAATACACAGTCCTAATTATCCAGGTGAAAGGGGTAATTGTTTTCCCAAACAGTGCCTCAATCTCCAGTGATTTACAAAGCACTTTTACACACATCATCTCGTCACAGTGGTGTGTATGCCCTTGTTACACAGATGGATTGAACTGGAAATTGTTTCATTTGCCAGTTTTAAGTATCTTCCTTTTCCCTGTGGGTGGTTTCTGTAAGGCCTGATGGACATATTATCATCTGGATCTTCCAGGCAATGACACCTCTAAAGAGGCCGATGAACTAGAACTATCAGTTCTAACACCTTAGGCAAGAATCCCTCAATCTCTCTGGGTTTCAGCTTCTTCATGTGTATACTGTAGATATGTTGTCAAAATTGTGCTAATCTTCACCAACTAATAAGAAATGATAAGAATGAGATTTTGTGGATATGGGACTTTAATATACAGTGAGAGGAATATAAATCAGCATGACTTTTTGCTGGTGTTATGTAATAAAATGTAAAACGTACATACCATTTCATGCAGAAAATTTATATCCAAGAATCTATCCCAATGAGGTAGTTACATAAATATGCAAGTATACACAAGATGTTCATCACAATTAGAAACAACCAAAATGTCCACCAACATGAGACTAGTTCAAAAAGATACGAGGTATTCATACAAGAGACTTTATGCATCCACTGAAAAGAATCATGTAATTCATATTGGTTGACTCAAATAGAAGCTCCATCACATATTTTCAAGACAAAAGGAATTACAAAGCAGTATGGTTGATATAATCCCATTTATGTGCAAATCAAATAAATTCCAGATTTCACTGTGGTTCAATTCAGCCCAGTGTCACATTCACAGAAACAACCCAGCAACAAAAAGGCATTACAGAGTAATTTCAGCCTTGGCTCTCCATTTTCAGAAAACATTAAAGAACCTACAATTCCTAACCCACAGCACCACATCTTAAAATAGTCTCTGTATCCCACCTTTTTCATCTTGTTCTCTAATTCTCACACTGTAATAGCTCCTGAAGGCTTTCTCCTCCCCAATATGCTTTTCTACTCTCAACCAAAGACATCACAATGATACTCAAACAGATCAGCCACTTCTCTTTTGTCCCTCTTCCTTCTTCCTTTGTTTTTTTTCTTCACTGATTACCATACTCCGAAAAATAAGGTGGAGAAAGAAGAAAATGCTAAGTGGACAAAATTTCCTTTCCAGAGAGTAGGAGAAAAAGAGATTGACTATGCATATACTACAATGTCTTAACCTTGTAGCAAGCGCAAAATTATTTAAGTGATATCTACTGCATATATGCCTAGAAGTGTCTGCAAGGATGTTGACAAAATTCTTAAGAATAATTATCTCAGTTGGGATTTCCCTGTGAACTTTGCTTTTAATTTTATATCTCTCCTTATACCTCTTTGAGTAACTCATGATGAACATGTTTTGTTTGTGATCAAAACCACGAAATAAACTCATGTCAACATGTAAAAAAAGAGGTTGTAATGATGCTCACAAGAAACAATAGACATGAAAAAATACACAATTTAAGTACAAAGTATAAGCATTTTAAATAAATACGATTGGACTGTCTCTTCCAGTTTCCAACATTAATAAGCTCCATTATTTTGGAATTATTTTAATTACTCCTACATGTTAGAGTTGGTTAATTTCTGAACAACAGTCAGATACTCCCCTGTGTTGCTTAATTTGTTGTTTTATTATCAGTCAGCCCTGTTTAATTTGTGAGTCCACTGGGTTATGACTTGTACAGCATTTAATGATTTGTAAAATAATGTTAAGTATTTTAAACTCATTGCAATCATTTTTATTCATGTGCTCTGGAAGCCATCATTTTGAGGGGGTCTCTTTGGAGAAGAAGGAGTTGGTGTATGTATATTTGTATACATTTCAATTTCTCCAAATCCACACATCCAGTACCTCTTTCTAAATATATGGCACTTATTTATTTTTATAATTCACGAGCCAGACAAATTTTCCTCAAAATCAAGGTACTTGCCTGTGCAGTTCCCAACATTCTGACTCATGAATCTCCTCTTAGCTGGGGAAATTCTGAAAAGAAGTTTGCAACACGTCGCCGTGGGGCCCAGTCACACAGCTGTTAATAACGACTACCAGGCGGCGAGTGCTCTTTGTTCCTGAGAAGTGAGCTTGTCAGACTCCCCACCCAGAAATCCCAAATGGTACCCTGCTCATGGCTGGAAATTCCATCCTGGGAGTTTCAGAAAGCAGAATTTTTCCCTTAACTACTATATTTACACTTCAACATTTCTTCAACATTATAACTAAATACCTGAATCAGTTCTAGTCATGGACAACTTATTGCAAGTGTCTTTGTGAGAAGAAAAGAAGAAATAACCGCTGTTCAAAAATCCTAAGAGACCCTGAAAAATTGGAAAAAGTGATTGGAATCAGGTTTTAGCAGGCTGGCTATAGAACAGAACCTTCAGAGTGGGGAAAGTACCCAAAGTAAGTGGAAAATGGCTATTTGGCCCCACAAGATGTAGGTGTCAGGAAGGGACTCTACACTTCAGTGATATTCTATAAATATTAAGTGACATTTTAATACATTTAGCAGGCTATAGCTATTGGCTTTCTTTTTATTCTGGAGAAGCTTATCTTTTTGTCCTTCAAAGAGTCACTTGAGTATCCCTTAGTAATGTGAATAAGGGCGAGTAAGCCCCATTGAACTAGAACTATAATCTGATGGGACCCCTTTACCTCCCATTTTTTAGTGTGACCTGGGAAATATTGCTTCACTTTCTAGTAGGAAGTAGATCAACCTGCCCAGAAACCTAGGCCCTTCTACTCCTGAAGGAAGAGCTTGGTGGGGTTATCACCTCCTGAGGGAAGCCTCCTCAGACTTCCCTCACTAGACGATTCTTCTTTTATGTAATTTTACCTTGTAGAACTCCATCATTGCCTTATCACAGTTTGGCTTTGCATTTACATTGTTATTCTTCATTTAGTATTTCAATCCTACCCTGGGCTTTAAGCAACATTACAGCAGGCCTAAGGTTCTCTTTGTTTACTATTATATTCCTAATGTCTCACAGAATGTCTGACTCACATTAGCACTCAAAAAATCCAGTACCTGTTGAATGAATAAATGCATGAGTTGAGAAGATTTTTTTAGAATAATACCAATCAAGCTCCCAGGGACAGAGAGCATTAATGTTCAAATTACAGGTATCACCAAGGTAGAAAGACCTAAAGCCAGTAGACAGGCCCTAGATTTGAGTTAGAAACAGAAAATGAGGTGGTTGTTTAATTTCTATGATGTGGAAGACACTAGAACTGGTCCTGACCCATTGTTTCTGGGAAGGCCTGTGCTAGCACCTGGCTGGGTATATAATGAAAAAACAAAACAAAACCCATGTCTATGGATGATAACAAGGGCCTCACTTTATTATGGTCTAAAGTGATCTTAACTGAGCAATGGACAGGAAGTGACCTTCCCTTTAAGGATTGCTCCGGTCAGGAAAAGACTGTCAAAGCAGAAGGTTTCACCCAGCCCCACTTCCATGTTCCTGGACAGCATGCAGTGTTTAGCAACAAAAGCAGGCAGAGTCAAATCAATACACAAATCATGCTTCACCTCCCTGCCTGCCTCTTCTGCTGGAGGGATCTAACAAGTCACCTTACTCCATGTGGGGTGCTTCACATCCAGTGGGTGGTACCCCATGGACTCTCACCTACCTTCCATTCATTTTCACCTGAACCTACCCTACAGGAGATAGCACCTATGAAAGTCACCACATGAAGGAATTGACGTCTTTATAACTCAAAGGTCAGTTGGTTTGAAGCCAGTGCCACCAAGTATAAGCCAGGCCACCCTCAAATGACAATTTGTAGCCTATATCCTGACACCATTAACTATTCTTGGAACCGAGAACTCCCATCTCTGTATTTCCAGCAAGCCCAACCTCTGCTAGGAGCTTTTTTCCATTCACCACCATTGTCCACCCACATGACTCAAAGCAAGACTGAATTTATCCCTTGCCAACACTTAATTGATGCCAGGATACAAGAGGGCAATGACATTAGAGCTGAAAGAAGGAGAGACTGAGTGTCTGGACTGTCTGTTTTTATAGCCACTTAAGGACTTGTGTACCACAACCTAGGAACTTCCAGTGCAAGTTATTCCCACCCAAAACTAGGTAGAGAAGCAGTCTTGTTATATAAAGACCAAATGATAATATATCATTAAGCTCAGTCTGCCTCTCACCAGTGTAACCTAGTTCTCAATTTTATCTGTTATCATCCAAAAATATAGATTGAATCTCATCACCCTTCGGTTAAAATTCTCCAGGTAATTCTCATTACCTACAGCAGGGGTCCCCAACCCCCGGATGGTTGACTCATACCAGTCCCTGGCCTATTAGGAAACAGGCCTCACAGCAGGAGGTAAATGGCGGGCCGCTGAGCATCACCACCTGTGCTTTCCCTCCTGTCAGAGCAGTGGCGGCATTAGATTCTCATAGGAGCATGAGCCCTATTGTGAACTGTGCATGTGAGGGATCTAGGTTGCATGGTCCTTGTGGGAATCTAACTAATGCCTGATGATCTGAGGTGGAACAGTTTCATCCTGAAACATCCCCCCTACTCCATCATGCCCCGACCCCTGCTTCATACATCCTTGAATTTGTATTAACTGCACAAGTTTTTAAAATTTCTTCTTAGATATTTTAAGTATAAAATAATATGTACTCAAAAATTCAAACAGTATAAACAGTACAAAGAAAAAATATTATGTTCCCCTATTTTATCTCCACATCGGAGGTAAACTGTTAATGTTTTGGTATGTGGCCCTTCAGATCTTCTTCTGTATATAAACTTGTATGTATTGGAGTTTCATCATAACTTGGCAAACCAACTAATGTAAACATGTAAAAAACACATAGAAACAGATGAAAGGACATATTAATACAAAGAGAAAGCAATATATGTCTTCCTTAGTAAACTATGTGCTTCTTTAATAAAAGAAGCATGCCTTGCTACTTGGTAAATCCCCAGGGCCTATTAAAATTACAGTATAGGAGCTCATTAAATGTTATATAAACAAAAAAAGGAAAGAAAAACATTCCGTTAGTAAAGATCGATCTTTTCTTAGTTTTAATGTGCACCTGAAAAATATGCATTTTATGTGCCCATTGATACAGGGGACATTTGTCAAGCATCTGCTGAATGGTAGACATTATGGCCTCTATGGCCATGAATGGGGGCAGGTAGATACATAATGATGACAAATAGAGGTAAGGGCCACAAGAACATCAAAAAGGAATTCCCACAGGCAATCAGAGGTAGCCAGAGAACATTTCTAGAGGGCAATGTAAGCTTAGTATCAGTGACCTGCCAGTCAACTTTGAGGTGGGGGTACAGACAAGACTTGATTAGTAGTACACAGTGATTTTCATGGCCAATTTCAGGTAATCGATATAGTTAAGAATCTGTTCTCTTAAGCCAATACAAGCCTTCTCCAGCACACCATTGAATGAGGGGATGCCAGCCAGCATTTTGGAAACCCCCTTTCTCCTTCTGTCACCATGACCTTCCAGTGCCATATCATTTCAGCTACTGCATCATTTCCCCTCCCATGCACTCTGTAAGTGAAACAAGGTGTTCTTTGGGATGTCTGGGTGAATGGAGACTGGGAGCAGTAGAGAATTACTTCTAGACCTGATTCAGCTTATGGAAAACAGCCCTCTCCAGGGGCATACGCTTTATGTCTGTCTTACTGGCCCTCAAGGTGTCCATTCCCCCCTCTTTTCCCTTTTACATGGCTTGAGCTGATGAGTTCTTCACCAATACTTCCAACCCAGTTTTGTTGAATGAGCCAGAAATCTCTCAGAAAGACAAAGAAAGCCAGTGGCGATTGCATATTGTAAGTAGAGTTCGACTCTAACCAAGTTCACATCCCCTGAGACTTCAACCTGTGTATTTAGATATCAGATTTACAGTGGAATACATGGCCTGGAGTCTGACAGATGAGTCAGAGTGTATTTTAAGAGGTATTGGACACATCTTAAGATTATATTTTTCTTTGAAGTCAGGAACAAAGTGTACCAGCTATGCCATGAGAAGTTATCATTTCAAGATCCTGTTTTGAGAAATCATATAGTATAAGTTTCTAGAAGACAGACTTTACAAGAATTAGTCCATATGAGCCCAAAATGTTTTCAGTAGGATTATTTGGGTTTGAGCTCTGCCATTTATCACAAATCTTGAAAAATACAAACAACCAACAAAAAAACTCATATCCACCTCTTTGGGGTTCGAAATGTGTTTTTCCAAGTAGGGCATCAACCTATAATATTCTCATTCCTCAGACTCAGACTTGCAAACGAGTGTGATATTCTAATTTTACACTCAAAATAAACCGTGAAAACTAGTAAGTCAAAAGAGATCCCTTGGAGAATTAAATCATGCCTTCGAGGATAAAAACAAAGGGTGGGGAATTGTGGAGACAAAATTTAATCCAACCCAGTTAAAGTCAATGAAACAATATTTTTTGTTGTTTAAATTAAGAATATCAATGCACTATCCCTGAAAATTAGCAGTACATTTATTCTACTTTTTCTCTGGAAGATTTCAGACATAGGGAATTATTAAAGTAATTACTGACACGGAAAAGAAAGCAATGTTTTAAGATGAAGTATAATGCATCAAAAACCAAAGACTGAAGCAGGAAAGAACTCAGAACAAGAAACAGACCCAAGCAACAGATAAAGGCTGGGCTGGATAACCTTTCACACAACATTCCCAGCCAGGGCCAGCTTCATGAACATGCCACCTGTGCAGTCTCACAGGGCCTCATGCTCACAAGGGCCCCGTAACGCTCTGTGGTTGTCGTTTTGAAATTCTCCATTTTATCTTGGAATTTGTGTTTTTAAAATGAAGTCTAATTAGGCAATGGAGCACGTGCTGGTTTCTTGGAGCCTTAGTCCACAGGAGGGCCTATCTCCTGCCACTTCCCTGGGGAGGATTCTCAGCCACCCGCTCTTCCACTCCCTGGTGCCTAAGGCCATGCCCAGCCTCCCCTTCCTGACCCTTCCCAGACATGGCTGCTGCCCTCTGGCCCCTGCTAAAGCCTGGGCACAGGAAGGGTCTGAGTAGAACTAGTGTGTCTGGGCCAGGATGTGGTGGTGGCTAATCCCACCCTAGGCTGGCAGCATCACTGTGCATTAAGAAGATGACTTGCATCTTATATTTCATAGGATGAACTGTATGTGTAGGATATACCAACCTC
Source organism: Homo sapiens (assembly GCF_000001405.40). Lineage (NCBI taxonomy): Eukaryota > Metazoa > Chordata > Mammalia > Primates > Hominidae > Homo > Homo sapiens. Next base: position 43,978,416 of record NC_000013.11, on the reverse strand, counting down.
AGTAATTTCCAGAAAGGGTCCTTGGCAGTCTCTTTCTTTCACTCAATCAATATCTATTATGTGCTGGACACAATGCTAAGCCACCCAGCATACATTTTGAAAGGGAGCTTAGGGTCTGATAGAAGAAAATGGAAAAGGAGAGGGAGAAATAATGTCAACACAGTGTTACAGTTGAGGAATAGGAAAGATACAGTGCTGTCTCAGAGAAGAAAGTGATCCACCCTAGGGACTTAGAGAAAGGTCAGAGAATGAACCTTGGTGGTGAAGGATAAGTGGTAGTTTGCCAGGCATGGGCATGGTGGTGGTGGAGTGGGGACAACTCAGGCAGAGAGGGCAGTAAGCACAAAGACATGTCAGGAAAATCAGAAACACATGTTTGGAGAACTTTCTAGGAACATGCACTATTTTTCATAATGACTGAGAAGAGAAAAAAAAAGGAAGGGAAGGGAAGGACGGAGGAAAGAGAGGGAGAGGGAGGGAGAAAGAGACAAGGAGAGGGAGAGAAAGAAAGAGAGGGAGGGAGGGAGAGGTAGGGACGGAGGGAGGAAGGAAGAAAGGAAGGAAGAAAAGAGGGAGGGAGGGGGGAGGGGGAGGGAGGGAAGGGAGGGGAGAGGGGAGAGAGGGAGGAAGGAAGGAAGGAGAGAAAGAAAGGAAGAAAAGAGAAAGAAAGAGAGAAAGAAAGGACGGAAGAGAGAGAGAGAGGGAGGGAGTGAGGAAGGAAGGAAGGGAGGGAGGGAGGGAAAAAGAGAAAGAGAAATGGGAGAGAAGGAGGAAGGAGGGAAAAAAAGGAAGGAAAGGATACAAAAGGAATCAGGGTTGCTACTGGTCTGGAGTTTGAGTGTGGAATTAGGATCCAAGAGACAATCAGAAGCTATATTTTAAAATGGAAAGCTAGTGTGCAGATTTTGGGAGAAGCTGGATGGAAAACTTCACTTTTACAAAGTGAAGTTACAAATGCTTAAGGCTCTCCAGAATCTCTCTGAGGTCTTCAGGATAAAATCTAAACTCCTTTGGTGAGGTGTGTATCTGTTTTTGGTTTGGTTTGCCTTCAATTTATTTGGGGTTGTTTGTTGTTTTGCTGTTCTAGCTTATTCTCCTCCTCCCTAACTTTTTGAAAAGTTGCCATTCCCCATTGTGTATAGGTTTGGTGGGGTAAAGTCCAAGAATGAAACTGTTACTGTACTATATTTTCTAGTTCCAATTTCTTGGCATTTTAGAGCTCTCTTGGTTTCTGACAATTGCCAAGCCCTTGTTCTCAAGCCTATGATCAGACACATGAGAAGCATGATGTTCTACTAATAACCTTTTATGGACAGATAAACCCAGTCCATTTCAGTGACTTCCAGTCATTTTGACCATTTGACCACGTGTATTAATTTTAAATTGCTGCCATAACAAATTATGCCACATGCTTGGCAGCTTTAACAATACTTATCTTCACAGTTCTGAAGGTTGGACATCCAACACAGGTCTTTTCGGGCTAATATCAAGGTGTTGGCAGGACTGTTTTTTTCAGGAGACTGGAGGGGGAGAATCCATTTCTCTGCCTTTTCCAGCTTCTAGAGGCTGCCGTTGTTCCCCAGCTCATGGCCCCCTTCCTCTATCTTCAAAGCCAGCATTGGTGGGCTGAGTCCTTCTCATCCTGCTGCCTCTCTAGTTCTCTGTAGTTTTAATAAAGGTTTTGCTCTTTATGCAAATTATAAAGATTCCAGATTATACCCACCTGGAAAATCCAGGATCATTTCCTCCTCTCAAGGTCTTAGATACATCTGCAAAGCCCTTTTAGCAATTTAAGGTAATATATTTGCAGATTTCTAGGTTTAAGTCTAGGACATCTTTGGAAGCCAGATCGTCCACTACATGAGGTGATCGAGCTTTGCATCATGATTGTAGGATGGTGACGTAGGACGACTCTGAATCATGCTGTCCACTGATGTGATGCCCTGAGAAGAGCAGAGCATCGTGTCTTCAGCATTGCGGCCGAGGATGCATGGCCTGGGTCTGGGCATGGGGGTCTGGACAGACCCAGGCCTAGAGGGAAATTATACAGAATTAAAGACAAAGTACAGAAGTTAACACATCAAGGCCATGGAAGATGGGGAAAGAATGAGGAGCTCTTTTGGATAGAAAGTAACTGAAGGGATGACAACTAGATGCAGTACCTGATTCTGGAGTGTGGCCTGGGTTCAGAAAGGGAAAAGAGGGGAGGAGCCAAGATGGCCGAATAGGAACAGCTCTGGTCTACAGCTCCCAGCGTGAGCGACGCAGAAGATGGGTGATTTCTGCATTTCCATCTGAGGTACCGGGTTCATCTTACTAGGGAGTGCCAGACAGTGGGCGCAGGCCAGTGTGTGCGCGCACCGTGTGCGAGCCAAAGCAGGGCGAGGCATTGCCTCACCTGGGAAGCGCAAGGGGTCAGGGAGTTCCCTTTCCGAGTCAAAGAAAGGGGTGACGGACGCACCTGGAAAATCGGGTCACTCCCACCCGAATATTGCGCTTTTCAGACCGGCTTAAAAAACGGCGCACCACGAGACTATATCCCACACCTGGCTCGGAGGGTCCTAACGCCCACGGAATCTCGCTGATTGCTAGCACAGCAGTCTGAGATCAAACTGCAAGGCGGCAGCGAGGCTGGGGGAGGGGGGCCCGCCATTGCCCAGGCTTGCTTAGGTAAACAAAGCAGCCGGGAAGCTCGAACTGGGTGGAGCCCACCACAGCTCAAGGAGGCCTGCCTGCCTCTGTAGGCTCCACCTCTGGGGGCAGGGCACAGACAAACAAAAAGACAGCAGTAACCTCTGCAGACTTAAATGTCCCTGTCTGACAGCTTTGAAGGGAGCAGTGGTTCTCCCAGCACGCAGCTGGAGATCTGAGAACTGGCAGACTGCCTCCTCAAGTGGGTCCCTGACCCCTGACCCCCGAGCAGCCTAACTGGGAGGCACCCCCCAGCAGGGGCACACTGACACCTCACACGGCAGGGTATTCCAACAGACCTGCAGCTGAGGGTCCTGTCTGTTAGAAGGAAAACTAACAACCAGAAAGGACATCCACACCGAAAACCCATCTGTACATCACTATCATCAAAGACCAAAAGTAGATAAAACCACAAAGATGGGGAAAAAACAGAACAGAAAAACTGGAAACTCTAAAACGCAGAGTGCCTCTCCTCCTCCAAAGGAATGCAGTTCCTCACCAGCAACGGAACAAAGCTGGATGGAGAATGATTTTGATGAGCTGAGAGAAGAAGGCTTCAGACGATCAAATTACTCTGAGCTACGGGAGGACATTCAAACCAAAGGCAAAGAAGTTGAAAACTTTGAAAAAAATTTAGAAGAATGTATAACTAGAATAACCAATACAGAGAAGTGCTTAAAGGAGCTGATGGAGCTGAAAACCAAGGCTCGAGAACTATGTGAAGAATGCAGAAGCCTCAGGAGCTGATGCGATCAACTGGAAGAAAGGGTATCAGCAATGGAAGATGAAATGAATGAAATGAAGCGAGAAGGGAAGTTTAGAGAAAAAAGAATAAAAAGAAATGAGCAAAGCCTCCAAGAAATATGGGACTATGTGAAAAGACCAAATCTACGTCTGATTGGTGTACCTGAAAGTGATGTGGAGAATGGAACCAAGTTGGAAAACACTCTGCAGGATATTATCCAGGAGAACTTCCCCAATCTAGCAAGGCAGGCCAACGTTCAGATTCAGGAAATACAGAGAATGCCACAAAGATACTCCTCGAGAAGAGCAACTCCAAGACACATAATTGTCAGATTCACCAAAGTTGAAATGAAGGAAAAAATGTTAAGGGCAGCCAGAGAGAAAGGTCGGGTTACCCTCAAAGGGAAGCCCATCAGACTAACAGCGGATCTCTCGGCAGAAACCCTACAAGCCAGAAGAGAGTGGGGGCCAATATTCAACATTCTTAAATAAAAGAATTTTCAACCCAGAATTTCATATCCAGCCAAACTAAGCTTCATAAGTGAAGGAGAAATAAAATACTTTGTAGACAAGCAAATGCTGAGAGATTTTGTCACCACCAGGCCTGCCCTAAAAGAGCTCCTGAAGGAAGCGCTAAACATGGAAAGGAACAACCAGTACCAGCCGCTGCAAAATCATGCCAAAATGTAAAGACCATCGAGACTAGGAAGAAACTGCATCAACTAACGAGCAAAATCACCAGCTAACATCATAATGACAGGATCAAATTCACACATAACAATATTAACTTTAAATATAAATGGACTAAATTCTCCAATTAAAAGACACAGACTGGCAAGTTGGATAAAGAGTCAAGACCCATCAGTGTGCTGTATTCAGGAAACCCATCTCACGTGCAGAGACACACATAGGCTCAAAATAAAAGGATGGAGGAAGATCTACCAAGCCAATGGAAAACAAAAAAAGGCAGGGGTTGCAATCCTAGTCTCTGATAAAACAGACTTTAAACCAACAAAGATCAAAAGAGACAAAGAAGGCCATTACATAATGGTAAAGGGATCAATTCAACAAGAGGAGCTAACTATCCTAAATATTTATGCACCCAATACAGGAGCACCCAGATTCATAAAGCAAGTCCTGAGTGACCTACAAAGAGACTTAGACTCCCACACATTAATAATGGGAGACTTTAACACCCCACTGTCAACATTAGACAGATCAACGAGACAGAAAGTCAACAAGGATACCCAGGAATTGAACTCAGCTCTGCACCAAGCGGACCTAATAGACATCTACAGAACTCTCCACCCCAAATCAACAGAATATACATTTTTTTCAGCACCACACCACACCTATTCCAAAATTGACCACATAGTTGGAAGTAAAGCTCTCCTCAGGAAATGTAAAAGAACAGAAATTATAACAAACTATCTCTCAGACCACAGTGCAATCAAACTAGAACTCAGGATTAAGAATCTCACTCAAAGACGCTCAACTACATGGAAACTGAACAACCTGCTCCTGAATGACTACTGGGTACATAACGAAATGAAGGCAGAAATAAAGATGTTCTTTGAAACCAACGAGAACAAACACACAACATACCAGAATCTCTGGGATGCATTCACAGCAGTGTGTAGAGGGAAATTTATAGCACTAAATGCCCACAAGAGAAAGCAGGAAAGATCCAAAATTGACACCCTAACATCACAATTAAAAGAACTAGAAAAGCAAGAGCAAACACATTCAAAAGCTAGCAGAAGGCAAGAAATAACTAAAATCAGAGCAGAACTGAAGGAAATAGAGACACAAAAAACCTTTCAAAAAATTAATGAATCCAGGAGCTGGTTTTTTGAAAGGATCAACAAAATTGATAGAACGCTAGCAAGACTAATAAAGAAAAAAAGAGAGAAGAATCAAATAGACACAATAAAAAATGATAAAGGGGATATCACCACCGATCCCACAGAAATACAAACTACCATCAGAGAATACTACAAACACCTCTACGCAAATAAAGTAGAAAATCTAGAAGAAATGGATACATTCCTCGACACATACACTCTCCCAAGACTAAACCAGGAAGAAGTTGAATCTCTGAATAGACCAATAACAGGCTCTGAAATTGTGGCAATAATCAATAGTTTACCAACCAAAAAGAGTCCAGGACCAGATGGATTCACAGCCGAATTCTACCAGAGGTATGAGGAGGAACTGGTACCATTCCTTCTGAAACTATTCCAATCAATAGAAAAAGAGGGAATCCTCCCTAACTCATTTTATGAGGCCAGCATCATTCTGATACCAAAGCCGGGCAGAGACACAACCAAAAAAGAGAATTTTAGACCAATATCCTTGATGAACATTGATGCAAAAATCCTCAATAAAATACTGGCAAACCGAATCCAGCAGCACATCAAAAAGCTTATCCACCATGATCAAGTGGGCTTCATCCCTGGGATGCAAGGCTGGTTCAATATACACAAATCAATAAATGTAATCCAGCATATAAACAGAGCCAAAGACAAAAACCACATGATTATCTCAATAGATGCAGAAAAAGCCTTTGACAAAATTCAACAACCCTTCATGCTAAAAACTCTCAATAAATTAGGTATTGATGGGACGTATTTCAAAATAATAAGAGCTATCTGTGACAAACCCACAGCCAATATCATACTGAATGGGCAAAAACTGGAAGCATTCCCTTTGAAAACTGGCACAAGACAGGGATGCCCTCTCTCACCGCTCCTGTTCAACATAGTGTTGGAAGTTCTGGCCAGGGCAATCAGGCAGGAGAAGGAAATAAAGGGTATTCAATTAGGAAAAGAGGAAGTCAAATTGTCCCTGTTTGCAGACGACATGATTGTTTATCTAGAAAACCCCATCGTCTCAGCCCAAAATCTCCTTAAGCTGATAAGCAACTTCAGCAAAGTCTCAGGATACAAAATCAATGTACAAAAATCACAAGCATTCTTATACACCAACAACAGACAAACAGAGAGCCAAATCATGAGTGAACTCCCATTCACAATTGCTTCAAAGAGAATAAAATACCTAGGAATCCAACTTACAAGGGATGTGAAGGACCTCTTCAAGGAGAACTACAAACCACTGCTCAAGGAAATAAAAGAGGACACAAACAAATGGAAGAACATTCCATGCTCATGGGTAGGAAGAATCAATATCGTGAAAATGGCCATACTGCCCAAGGTAATTTACAGATTCAATGCCATCCCCATCAAGCTACCAATGACTTTCTTCACAGAATTGGAATGACAGAGGAGCGGGGAGGGTCGCCGGAGCGGGTGCCAAGCAAGGCAGGGCAGGCAAGTGCAGCAGGCACTGAGTTTCCGGGAGGAAGCCCGGGGGAGGTGGGGTGGGGCAGGAGCGGGGGCTGGGGACCCGGCCGAAGACCAGGGGGCCCAGGAAGCCTCTTCCCGAAGGCCTTCCCCTCTCCAGCCCCTCCACTCCTGGGAGGGCATCTGCTGCGGCCAGGGAGCGCCCTGCCCCAGAACCCCGGCAAAGGCATATCCAACCCAGCCGTGTCTTGTTCCCTGTGAGCCTCCGGGTCCGGCGGGGTCCTCAGGGGAACAGGTGAGGCCCCCCAGCTCCTGAGTCCAGCCCTAGGTCTGTGCGGCTCCTTAGGGGGCGGCATGGGGCTCTTTCCCTGGGGCCTAGGTCCCCCCGTGGCCGTCCCACTGGAATGTGGCAGTGAGGTGGGCAAGGAAGGCGCTCATCCCCTGGCCGCATTGTCCCTCCTGCTGCCCGTGGGCGGCCCGCTACACAGCCGTCTCCTGGTCCTCCCGCTGGATCATCTGGTAGTGCTGCCGGTTCTCCAGGTAGGCCGCCAGCTCGGTGTCCTGAGCCTTCTCAGCCTGCTGCCGGGGAGTGTCGCCCTGCTGGTCTGGCCCCGGCCTCCACGATGTAGTGGCAGATGGTGCGCTGGCCCAGGGCCGCTGCTTGGTGCAAACAGGTCTCCCCGTTTTCCTCCACCGCATCAAGGATCTCTGGGGGAGCGTGGTCCAGCAGGTAGCGGACCACATCCTTGCTGCCAGTGCTGACTGCGTGGTGCAGGAGCGTGCGACTCTGCTTGTCTCGGTGCATGATGTCGCCCCCAGCTCGGTGCAGCTCCTGGAGCTTACAGAAGTCGTTCCTCTTGGCAGCCTCAATCAGCTCTTCACCTTGAGGGGGTGCAGCATCCCCTTGCAGTGACCGGGGCGTGGGTGAGCAGGGTGAGGTGGGGAGAGGGGAAGTGGGGGTTGGGAGGTCAGGCCGGGCCGATGCCCCCAGCAGCTCAGGGTCCAGGATATAAATCTCATCCTGTGCGATCTCAGTCACATAGTTGAGGTGCTCCTGGGCTCGGTTGATCCTGTAGAAGCGGCTGGCAGTGGTGGCGTCCAGGAAGCACCACTTGGGGGACAGTTTCTGGCATGTCGGGGACTTGGCTCCAGCACCATCGGGCTCCTGCTGGAGTCTCTCAATGTGGGCACGGCAGAGCTCTAGGTCACTGTCTCCTGGGACCACCACAGTGCCCAGCGGCACGGAGGCCTCCTTGAGCTGCTCCTTGTCGTAGTGCAGGGCCTCATAGTCGTGCATGCTGACGCGTCTCACCTGGATGCGCAACTGCTCTGGCACCGGCTGCTGGTCGCTGTGCAGGGGGGCGGCGCTCCGCCGCTTGGCCTTCTGCACCATGGTGGCCTGGTTGCGCAGGGCAATGCGGATGCGTGAGGCTGCAAGCTTGCAGGGCTCGCCATCCACCTGCACCGGGATGGCCTTGGATGTGGTGAGCACCACCTCGCGACACTGCGTCAGCCGCTCGCCGTGTCCGCCCACCTGCAGCGCGGCCAATGACGTCATGGTGAAGCCAATGACCTCGAGGTAGCCGTCGTCATGCCGCTGGGGCTCAAAGTCGTGGTGCTCCCCAGGGTGGCCGCAGGGCATGGTGCCCGCACAGTACCTGGGGATGTTCAGGAAAACAACACACTGGGGTTTCAGGTCCTGGATCTTGGGAGTCAAGTCCATTCCATCACACACCACTCGGATGTGCTTGGCCAGGTCCTTGGAGCTGCCCATCAGGAAGTCAGAGAAAGCTGTCCCGGCGTAGAACATCTTATTCCGAAAGCGGCTGTTGAATTTCTCTGGGTTGGCCTCTCGAGACTCGTGGAACTCCAGGGTGACGTGGGCGTCAAAGCCCAGGCTGAAGTAGTTGTTGAAGACATCCAGGGGCAACCGGTCGGTGGCGCCTTCATCTCGGTCCTCAGGCCCTGCCTCGGGGTTGGGCTCAGCGTGGAGGTCCCAGCGGTCCAGCTGTACCACGTTCCCCTCCTCCACGTGGGAGAGGATCTTGGACACAGGCTCATCTGTGTAGCCCCCACCCCAGTTGAGGGTTCGGGCCAAGTCGTTGCCAGTACCCAGGGGCAGGATGGCAACAGGGGGTGGCGGCTTCAGGCGTAGCTGGTCCAGGGTGGAGAGGATCCAGCCCACCGTGCCGTCGCCCCCGCACGCCAGGATCCGCAGGTTGTGCACTTTGCGGTACATCTCCAGCGCCTCCTTGGGCCCTCCCTGGCTCAGGTCGAAGACTTGTCGGGGATTGAGATACCAGAGGAAAGACTGGATGATCTTTGCACCCTGGTTGCCCCCACTCTTGGGGTTCACAAACACCAGCAGGGGCTTCATGAGGGGGGAGGGGGTGGGCCTGATGATGAAGGGTCTCCAGCGGCCCTCCTCAGGCCCTTTCTTGCTGGACTTCCTCTTGAAGGATGCCCTCTTCTTCTTCTTGCTTGCTTTCAGAGTATTCTGGGGCCTCCGGGCGCGGAGGATCCAGGTGGGCGGGATGACCACGGCTGCGTGGACCCCCAGCGAGCACGGCTCCTCGATCTGCTGCAGCACGAAGCAGGACACCTTGCTGTGGTATGCCTGCTTGCACCACGAGCAGCTGATGGCCACAATCTCCTTGCTGTGGAAGGTGAACTTCTGCTGGAATCCCTTCCCACAGTGCCGACACTTGCCGTCCTGGCGTCGTCTGTGTACCCAGTGGTGCCATACAAAGGTTGGCTCGAGGACATTCCTGGAGCCTGATTCACGGAAGGATGGCTTACAGCGGAAATTTATCTTCTCCAGCTGCTCGATGCAGGGCGTGTGCACCACAATCTTGCAGGCTGCGCACTTTCTTCGAGACACTGACTTCTGCAGCATCCTGGCTACACAGTACTGCTCCCCAACGTAGCAGAAGTCCCCGGACACGTTGGTCTCGAACCAGATGTGCTCCCCATATGTCGCCGACTCGCTCCAGTCCACTGTACTCCGGATCTGCCGCTCTGACTCGCTGCACCGGGCCCCAGGGGTGGGCGGAGGGGGGGCCAGGTGCTGGAGGCCAGACTTGGTGATGGCTTTCCTGTGCCCGAAGAGCCGCAGCCCCGGGAAGCGCCGCTTGTTGAGTCGCCGCGGCGCCTTGTCCGGCTCGGGACCGGCGTCGCGCTCGGAGCCGCTGGACGAGGCGGAAGCCGACTCGCAGTCGCTGCTCCGGGCCTCCGGGCTACCGTCCCGCGGCTCCATCCGGCCCTAGCCCCGGCCAGCGGAGGGCCCGCGGGAGACGCCCATGCCGGGCCGGCGGCCGGGGCTCAGCACGCCCGCTCCGTGCCGCCCGCCACCTCCATCTGGAAAAACTACTTTAAAGTTCATATGGAACCAAAAAAGAGCCCGCATCGCCAAGTCAATCCTAAGCCAAAAGAACAAAGCTGGAGGCATCACACTACCTGACTTCAAACTATACTACAAGGCTACAGTAACCAAAACAGCATGATACTGGTACCAAAACAGAGATATAGATCAATGGAACAGAACAGAGCCCTCAAATAATGCCGCATACCTACAACTATCTGATCTTTGACAAACCTGAGAAAAACAAGCAATGGGGAAAGGATTCCCTATTTAATAAATGGTGCTGGGAAAACTGGCTAGCCATATGTAGAAAGCTGAAACTGGATCCCTTCCTTACACCTTATACAAAAATCCATTCAAGATGGATTAAAGATTTAAACGTTAGACCTAAAACCATAAAAACCCTAGAAGAAAACCTAGGCATTACCATTCAGGACATAGGCGTGGGCAAGGACTTCATGTCCAAAACACCAAAAGCAATGGCAACAAAAGCCAAAATTGACAAATGGGATCTAATTAAACTCAAGAGCTTCTGCATAGCAAAAGAAACTACCATCAGAGTGAACAGGCAACCTACAACATGGGAGAAAATTTTCGCAACCTACTCATCTGACAAAGGGCTAATATCCAGAATCTACAATGAACTCAAACAAATTTACAAGAAAAAAACAAACAACCCCATCAAAAAGTGGGCGAAGGACATGAACAGACACTTCTCAAAAGACGACATTTATGCAGCCAAAAAACACATGAAAAAATGCTCATCATCACTGGCCGTCAGAGAAATGCAAATCAAAACCACTATGAGATATCATCTCACACCAGTTAGAATGGCAATCATTAAAAAGTCAGGAAACAACAGGTGCTGGAGAGGATGTGGAGAAATAGGAACACTTTTACACTGTTGGTGGGACTGTAAACTAGTTCAACCATTGTGGAAGTCAGTGTGGCGATTCCTCAGGGATCTAGAACTAGAAATACCATTTGACCCAGCCATCCCATTACTGGGTATGTACCCAAATGACTATAAATCATGCTGCTATAAAGACACATGCACACATATGTTTATTGTGGCATTATTCACAATAGCAAAGACTTGGAACCAACCCAAATGTCCAACAATGATAGACTGGATTAAGAAAATGTGGCACATATACACCATGGAATACTATGCAGCCATAAAAAATGATGAGTTCATGTCCTTTGTAGGGACATGGATGAAATTGGAAACCATCATTCTCAGTAAACTATCACAAGAACAAAAAACCAAACACCGCATATTCTCACTCATAGGTGGGAATTGAACAATGAGATCACATGGACACAGGAAGGGGAATATCACACTCTGGGGACTGTGGTGGGGTGGGGGGAGGGGGGAGGGATAGCATTGGGAGATATACCTAATGCTAGATGACGTGTTAGTGGGTGCAGCACACCAGCATGGCACATGTATACATATGTAACTAACCTGCACAATGTGCACATGTACCCTAAAACTTAAAGTATTAAAAAAAAAAAAAAAAAGAATAAGACTTGACCAGTAAAAAAAAAAAAAAAAAGAAAGAAAGGGAAAAGAGACATTACAGAGACTGCTGAGGAAACTTATATGGGGTCTGTAGATTGGAGGGTAGTGTAAGATCAATGTTAATTTCTCAATTGGGAAGGTTGACTGGTAGAAATGTAGGAAGTGTCCTTGTGTGGGGGTGGGGGGGAAGTACACAAAGGAGGATGTAAAGATGATGGGGCACTATGTTTGTACCTTTTTGTCAAAAATGATTCAGAAAAATACTAATGGTGATGGAGATTGTACACACACACACAGAGAGAGAGAGAGAGAGAGAGAAATGGAGAGGATGAAGAAGTAAATGTGGTAAAATATTAATATAGGGAAATCTGCGTGAAAGGGATATGGTGTTCTTTAAATTTGAAATTATTTCAAACTGAATTATAAAAAATGATGTATAAGGTTTATGTTTATTGAAATAGAAATATGTCCGTGATTTAATTATGTAGAGTATTCCATATATTTATATGTTAAAAGAACTAATGGCCAGAGAATTATAGGTAATTATTAACATTTTCTTTTTACTTCTTCAATTACTAGAGATTTTTATGAGCTTTTAAAAATTTTCCTAATCAAAGGAAAATAAAATATATTTCCATTTTGCAGTCAATCTTTTAAAAACTTCACAATTACAACTTCTTCTTTGCAAAGCTTTTCAAATCTCTTTGTTTTCACAAATGGCAGGAGTGAAATTACAGTATGCCTACAAATAAACGCATGCATATAAGCAACTCATACTTAGGAAAGACACAGACACATAGATGTAAAATCATCACTTTTTCTAAAGTATACATTTTGATAAGTTCTAAGCAGTGACCTAAAGTTGTCATTAAATGCCCTCAATTACCTAATTATAAGTACTCAATTACATTAATAGTCCTAAGTCTTGTAAGCCAGCAGCTCAGAAAATTAAAATTAAGTCGAGTGACATTTACATAATACTTTACAGTTAATAAGATTATTTCATTAAATCTTCAGAATCTTGTATTATTATTACACAAAAATCCATTTGTGCCCCAGCCCAGACCTCTCTGCATCATGAAACAGGAGCCAGCAAAGGCCTTTTCTCTTTGATGTGGGTCATGAGAGTATAGGAGCAATCAAACAAAACAAAAGTGGGAACAGCGGGAATGTAATGAGACACTGTTTCTTTGAGACAGCGTCCTGCTCTGCCGCCTAGGCTAGAGTGCGGTGGTGCGATCACAGCTCACTGCAGCCTTGAACTCCTGGGCTCAAACAATCCTCCTGCCTTAGCCGCCCAAGTAGCTGAGACCAAGGTGCGTACTGCCACACCCAGTTAATTTTTTAAAGCTTTTGTGGAGATGGGGTCTCACTATGTTGCCCAGGCTGGTCTCAAGCGATCCTCCTGCCTCAGCATCCCAAAGTGTTGAGATTATAGGCAGGAGCCTCTGCACTCAGCCAACTAGCTACTTTTTAAAGCTGGCTCTTGTAACTTCTCACCCTGAACCACTGATGCAGGCAGTCAGCTTGCAGTCATGATTAGGGCCTGGTCTGCTTTCCAAATCTACATCAGTGAGAGAGAGGGGGCTGTGCTCAGAGAGCTGCAGGCATCAGTGTTCACCACCAAGCTCTTTATTCATTAATCCCAAGAAAGAGGCCTGAAACCTATGGATATGGGGAAGTAAGATGTTACATAAAGAGAAGGGAACATACATCTAAGCAAATGAATGATTAAAGCTATTTTTCCCAAATCAAAAATCATTCATAGATCAATACCTTCATTTATTGGGTAAAGGTCAACCTCATTAACAATGAAGCCCATGCCTCTGGAATTCTAGCTGTGGAAACTGGAGCTGTGCAGCTAGTGCCTAATTTTGCAGGTATGTCATCTGGTGAGTTACAGATCAGCACAGTTTGCAAAAGGAATTTTGTCTTTTGCATACCTCGCTTCTCTCTCACTTTTGAGTGGCTTTTAGCAGATTACTCCCCACAGCTTCTCTGTTCACAGTGTAATTTTTCAATTGTGACAGATTTGCACCATTCTGTTGGAATATAGTCTTCTTACTTCTTTGTTGGGAATCTGTGGTGTCACCAAAGGGGAAGGGAAGGGAGATTCCACAACATTTGAAGATAGTGGTGAGGAAAGAAAAAGTTGTTTCTGGATTATACACTAGAGTCCAGCCCATTCACTAAACCAATTCCCCCAGTTGTAACTCGGACGGAGATAGAGCTGGACGGGTGTGAAACTGCTCTTTGTCAGAAAGGCAGAAAGACAGACATGGAGGAAGGGAGGTGAATATTCAGGAAAGAGCAGGCAGGAGGCAAAAAGACCAAGCACCAGAGAGAAAAAAAGAGACGCAACCAAGATTCCCGAGAGAGACATAAGGGAAGAAACACATTTATTCATAAGATTTAATAAGAAACTGTCTTCTAGGTATGCATGTGAAATCACCTTTTTTTAATCCCTCATCTATTCCCCTATCAAAAATCCTCAACTAACACCAAATTGTTTACTATTGGCCTTATGCAAATGGTTGTTTTTGAGAAGAAGATAGCAAACATAATAAACCAGCCTATCTAATTTTTCATGGAAATTCAGTTCCTTCCCATGCCAACAACAATAACAAAAAAGATTGGACAATTGTCTCATTCAAATATTGGTTTGAGAGAGTACTAAATTGTTGGCCTCCCTGAAAGTGTCCATCTGGGCCTGAGAATAGAGCGTTCCTAGGTTATCTGACATTGTTTATGTTGTTACATGGCCTCAGAGAATCATTGCAAAGGTTTTCCTGGCCCAATGCCGCACAGCCCAGAAAGGCCACAGTCAGCCTGCATGCTTCTATTTCACATGCAGACTGCAACAGACCACAGGGAGGAGCTGTAAGAGATGCACACCACTGTGTGCCACAGGCAGGAAGAGGACACCTCCCCTACCACTGCCACTCCTGCCTCTCAGGCTTTTGTCATTTCTCCACATATACCCACATGGTCACTCTTCCCACCATGGGAACCCATCGTCATGTTGGGAAATGTTCCTACTACGGCCATTAGGAGGTTCTTCCTTCCCCATCTGTCTCCCTCTCACAGTTTCTTTCCTTCTTCCAGTGTAACTATAAATATTTCCAGACTCCAGAAGTCTGAAGAACCACTTGCCCTGCTTCTCAGGCTGGCATGATACTGTTGATGAATTTCTACTTTCCAGTTCCATTCTATGCCTTGCCTGGTATTCTGCCACTTCCCCTTTGTGATGGTTGTTACTTTTATGTGTAAATATGGCTGGGCCACGATGCCCAGATACTCAAACGTTCTTCTGAATATTCCTGAGAAGGTGTTTGGGATGAGATGAACATTTAAGTCAGTAGACTTTGAGTAAAGCAGAGTGCCCTCCATAATGTGAGTGGGCCTCATAGTTGAAGGCCTTAATAGATCAAAGGTGGACATCCTTCAGGGAGATAGGATTCTGCCAGCAGATGGCCTTCAGACTGTAACTGCAGCTCTTACCTGAGTTTCCAGTCAGCTGGCCTATCCTGAATATTTTGGATTTACCAGGCCTGCGCAATCACATGACCTAACTCCCTAAAATAAATCTCTGTCTCTGTCTCTGTCTCTGAATGTACACACATCTTGTTGGCTGTTTCTGTGGAGAATTTTGACTCATGCACCCTTTGTGCAGAGTAAACCAGGAGTGTCCTCATTAACATGTGGCACTTGTACCCCATTGCCCCCAAGACTCTTCAACAGGCTTACCTCAAACTTCACACACAGCAGCTTAGGCATTGGGCAGAGGGTGGGGAAGGGGCTAAGAGGACCTTTGCTACATGAATGTAAACAAGTATTTTATTCACTGTGGGAAGATGCGGTCTGCAGGCAATAGCATCCCATTTAATGAGATAAAGCAAAGGAACCAATCCCTTCTGAAATAGTTGCTTACCCAAATAAGAGTTAACAGAAAAATATAATACTAATCTTTGTTCATTATTCACTGGATTCTCTTAATTTTCAGATATCCCCTTGGATTAAATGTTTTCTTATTTTTTGGTTGTTTAGGTTGGGCATTAATTAATCAACCTGCTTTTCACCAATTTTCACAAAATCTCTCATGTAGTTGACACCTGTGGGACTTTTTGCCTAGTACCCTTCTATCAGTCATTGGAGACCCCTGAAGAAAATTTTCTCTTCAACTCTCCTAAGAGAGCTACCCCCTCTTATCCACTTCCATGGTACTGTAGGGTTCACCCTATGAGCCCAGTGCCACCTCCTCAGCACAAATGACTCCCAGGAGGAAGACCCTAACTCCAGCAGACCAACAAGCTTCTTATCTTGCAGTTCTGGACTTGGAATAAGAGAATGACATTCTGTCCCCTTCTACGTGGCTAAAGCTCTGAGAGATTTCAGCAGCCACATTTCCTGTCATGGGATAAAGCTGATCAAAACTGAATGCAGGGAGTTAGAGAGGATTTTCAAGAACCTAATTCCCATTGTTCTGGAGGCCCAGCCATCTTTCTGACCTTAGTTTCCATGAGGCATGTTTCTATCCTCACAATAAATACCCTGCTTCATTATGGTAATCCAAGTTGGGTTTCTGTCATTTGCAATCAAAGGAGTGCTAAGCAATATGTGTGGAAAAGAACGGCATCCGTGAAACCAGCATTCTGTCCTGGTCTCAAAGCAGCTTGAGTCACGTTATCTCAGACAAGTAGAAACCTGCCCTCGGCCCAAGGGGGTGCCACCTTCAAGCCACTCCACAGGTGCTTTGTGTGATGGAGTCCTCCAGAGGGTTATGGGTTCTTGCCAGCATTCTGGGGCTGAGTGGGAAAGGGGGCCATGGTGGGGGTGGGGAGGGATGCAAAGCTGGCTTCTTATCCACCATCAAGAAAAAGATTTTTGGCTGGGCGCAGTGGCTCACGCCTGTAATCCCAGCATTTTGGGATTACCGAATGCGAGATTTGCCGAGGCGGGCAAATCACCTGAGGTCAGGAGTTCAAGACCAGCTTGGCCAACATGGCAAAACCCCATCTCTACTAAAAATACAAAAAATTAGCCGGGTGTGATGGTGGCAGGCACCTGTAGTCCCAGCTACTCAGGAGGCTGAGGCAGGAGAATCGCTTGAACCCAGGAGGCAAAGGCAGAGGTTGCAGTGAGCCAAGATCATGCCACTGCACTCCAGCCTGGGCGACACAGTGAGACTCTGTCTCAAAAAAAAAAAGAGTTTTCTTCAACTCTCCTAGGAAGACATTTCCATATATCATCTCCTACAGAGGTCTCATCATCTTAAACACCTGCCTGATATGTAGGCTTTCAGAGTCAACACTGCTGAAATTAACTTTGAAATATTTAAATATTTAACAATTTAAAATATTTAAAATATTTGGAAGAATTTTAGAGGATAAAAAAAGAAGAAAAAGGGAAATCAGGAAATGCTCAAGTGTTGATAGTCTCTCCCACTACTTCTTGCCTTCTCTCTAGACTTACTTTGGAGAGGAGGTAGAGGGACATCTAGAATTTTTTTTCTGAGTTCCTACTTTATCTAGACAGAAATATCAGTTTTCCTGCTGTCTTAATCAGTTTAGACTGCTGTAATAAATATATCATAGACTGGGTGACTTAAATGACAAACATTTATTTCTCACAGTTCTGGAGACTAGGAAGTTTGAGATCAGGGTGTCCGCACATCCAGTGTTTGTTGGGGGCTCACTTCCTGATCTGCAGAGGATCATCTTTTTATTGTACCTTCACACGGCAAAGAACAGAAAGAGAGCTCTCTGGGGTCCCTTTTATAAGTCACTAACCCCATTCATGAAGTTTCTACCCTCATGACCTACTTACCTCCCAAAGACCTCATCTAATAATACCATCACATTGGAGGTTGGGATTTCAACATATGACTTTTAGGGGAACATGAACATTCAGTCCATAAAATTTCTTTTGTTAGCTTTTCCTTCAAGAGGAACTTTTACGCACTTAAGGTATTCAGAAGGTAAAACAACCTTCTTACTCAACTTCCCATTTCAACTCATGTTCCCTTCACCCATTCTTCACATAGCAACCAAAAGGCTATTTTTAAGATATAAAATCAGAACACTAAGTCCCTTCTGTAAAATATTGCATTTGTTTCCCACCATATTTAGAATCAAAACCAAATTTCTAACCATGATTCCCAGAGCCCAGTATGATCTGAGTCTGTATATGTCCCTAGTCCCAACGGATGTCATCCTTTTCCTCACTTAGTCTCTTCCAGCCACCCTAGCTTCTCTCAGCCCCTGGAAAGCACCTGGTCCAAAAATTATTATTCTAAACCAGACAAATTGTGCTTACAGGGAAGCATCTGACAAAACTCAGGTCTTAGCGAAGCCTGTGGAAAAGACTGCAATTCCAGTCAATAAGGAAAGTTCTATCCTGGGAGACAAAGACTTTTATGGCAGCAGATGCATATCTGTTATTCAACTGTCAATATACGGCAAAACTGAGTGAGCAACTGCCTAATTTTCCCCCTGTTCTGAGTGCCATGGGATCTCATTCATCGCTCGAGTGAAACTAGAAAACTAACACCAGGCTCCTGGCAGTAAACAGAGTGTCATGGTTAATAACAGAAGTTAGGCCGGGCACAGTGGCTCACGCCTGTAATCCCAGCACTTTGGGAGGCCAAGGCAGGCGAATCACAAAGTCAGGAGATCGAGACCATCTGGGCTAACACGGTGAAACCCCGTCTGCACTAAAAATACAAAAAAATTAGCTGGGCGTGGTGGCAGTCGCCTGTAGTCCCAGCTACTCGGGAGGCGTGAACCCAGGAGGTGGAGCTTGCAGTGAGCCAATATCACGCCACTGCACTCAAGCCTGGGCGACAGAGCGAGACACCGTCTCAAAAACGAAACAAAACAAAACAACAACAAAACAAAAGTTTGATGTAGACGAAACTGGGTTTGAAACCTGACTTTCCCACTTCGTGGCTGTATTCCTTAAGCAAGTCACTTAATTTTTCCAAGCCTCAATTTTCTGCACTTTATAATGTGTTAATAATTTGACTTTGTGAAATTTAAATTAGAAAAAAGTATATAAAGCCCTTTCTTGAAGCAAGCATTTAGGCACTGCTAAATTCTGAGTGGTAACTAAACAGAACTGTAGTCTTGGCTTTTATATTTGCTTGCATACTCTTTGTAGGTGCAGAAGCTAAAAGATTGGTTAAGTAGGGAAGGAGACAGCAAAGCGTCAACTTCTTGTTGGTTGTGATTGTGCTAGACTTTGCCTGCAGCCTTTACAATACCTGGTGCAGTGCTGAGTACATGGTGAGGCAAGGTTACTCAAGTGAAGCATATAATCTCCTGCATCAGAAACACCTGTCATAATGCGCATTCCTGAGCACTGCCTAAGAATTCTTAGCCAGAGTCCCTGGGGTTGAGGACAAGGATAGACATTTTAAACAAATCCTCTAGATGATTCTCTATACACATATAAATTGAGAATATGTAGCTGAGTCTCAAAACAAAACTGATGGGTTGATTGAGCAAAAAAAAAAAAAAAAAAAAAAAAATTACAACTCTGGTCCCAGATGCAAACAACCTCCGTCTAGCTTTGCATCTTTTAAAAAATGCTTTCTTCCAAACATAAGTAATATATTAGAATTTTTATGAAAGGAAATGCAGTGAACAAAAGGTCAAGAGTTGCTGGGATATTTATTTCAAAGCCTTAGAGACTACCTCTTTGACATTTCAAAGGTCCTCAATGGGCCTGTAAATTAAATGTATATGTCCCCATGTTCATGAAAATCCCTTCTGCTAGAGAGCTTCCTCCCACAGAGCAGGTTCTATCAGGTAGAGGCTTATAACTTATTGATAATATTAATGTAGCACCCTGAGTTAGCACGAAAGCACTCTTACCACCCTGCATTTGTGTAATAAAGTGCCTGGCCCCCTTTTTGATGTTTGATTGCTGATAGCTTTCAATATACATAATTCCCCTTCTCCTTTTGTCTCATATATTAGTAAGCTGATAAAAAAGCCTGGGTGCTCCCTCCCTTGGCACCCATGGGAAGTTCAAATCAACACATGTGAGGGAACCCCTCACCCCAGCCCTGTGCCCTAATTGTCATAAAACTCCAAGCCAGTAACCTCTCCCTGCTCTCTCAATCCATTTTTGGAACTTCTTGGGAGTTTGCTGTGATTTCCCTAGAAAGCCTAATCATGAGAATAGTGTGCACATGCGTGCGTGTCTGTGTGTGTGTGTGTGACATCATCAGTCTAGACATAGGAACTAAATTTTTTGGAGGAGGGGGAGTCTATCCGGTGTCCATAAAGTGACCTAAGCCATCTGAAAAATGAAAGTAGCCTTTTCATCCATCTCGGTAGTTTCTCTGTCCAGTCTGCACACAGCTGAAAGTGTCATTTCCACAATGTGCTGCTCTGATTTTGCTACTTCTTCACTTAAGTTTAAAATTAAAAATGTCAAAGGGTTCCCTACAAAATCAAGTTCTAAAGCCTGGCATCTAAAGCCCATAATTTTAACCCAATTTATCTTTCCAGACTTTCCCCCCTACCATTTTCTCATACCTTGTTCTTTAGCCAAATAGCTGATCTACTGATTCCCAAAGGAATTTTAATGTCTGACTTGTATTAATAATTGGACTTGTATGTCCTTTTCCACTGTTTTCTTAAGGTATTACTTTTATCTCAGGATATTATTTTAACTTTCAGTTCTTAAAATTTTTTCTCTACTAGATTTTAAGAAACCAGGAATCTTCTTTGTTCACTCTGTAGGACTTAAGGCAAAACCTGGCACATCGTATGTGCTTAATGAATATTCATTCTTCTGATTTGATAAAGCATCATAAACCTACTCCGGGATTTCTCAAGGGTAAGAAATTAAAACAAAGGATAATTTTTGATGTTAATTTTTCAGCAAAATGTTATGCTTTAATCATGAATGACTTTATGGAATTGGGTTTGAGGTTTTTTTTTTTTTTTTTTTTTTTTAGATGGAGTCTAGCTCTGTCACCCAGGCTGGAGTGCAATGGCGCAATCTTAGCTCACTGCAACTTCTGCCTCCCAGGTTCAAGTGATTCTCCTGCCTCAGCCTCCTGAGTAGCTGGGACTACAGGTGTGTGCCGCCATGCCTGGCTAAGTTTTTGTATTTTTAGTAGAGAGGGGGTTTCACCGTGTTAGCCAGGATGGTCTTGATCTCCTGACCTCGTGATCCACCCACCTTGGCCTCCCAAAGTGCTGGGATTACAGGTGTAAGCCACCGCGCCTGGCCTGAGAAAATATTTTTAATATAAAATGAAATGAACTAATTTACACTCCCACCAGCAGTGTAAAAAAGCATTCCTATTTCTCCACATCCTCTCCAGCATCTGTTGTGGAAGATAGTGTGGTGATTTCTCAAGGATCTAGAACCAGAAATACCATTTGACCCAGCAATCCCATTACTGGGTATATACACAAAGGATTATAAATCATGCTGCTATAAAGACACATGCACACATATGTTTATTGTGGCACTATTCACAATAGCAAAGACTTGGAACCAACCCAAATGTCCATCAATGATAGACTGCATAAAGAAAATGTGGCACATATACACCGTGGAATACTATGCAACCATAAAAAAGATGAGTTCATGTCCTTTGCAGGGACTTGGATGAAGCTGCAAACCATTATTCTCAGCAGACTAACACAGGAACAGAAAACCAAACACCATATGTTCTCACTCATAAGTGGGAGTTGAACAATGAGAACACATGGACACAGGGAGGGGAACATCACACACTGGGGCCTTTCAGGGGGTAGGAGGCTAGGGGAGGGATAGCATTAGGAGAAATACCTAATGTAGATGAGGGGTTGATGGATGCAGCAAACCCACCAAGGCACGTGTATGCCTATGTAACAAACCTGCACGTTCTGCATATATATCCCAGAATTTAAAGTATAAAAAAATTTTTAAAAAAAGAAATGAATCTGTCCTTTAGTCTGTTGTGATGAACAAATTTGAATATTTCTCAAAATTGTCATTCATTAATGATAAAATTAGCTTAGGCTAAATTCAATTAATTGGTTTGTTTCAAATGTACTATTTTTTGCAGGCTTTTTCCAATCATACGCTTTTAGTACAGATCTTGATCATTTCATTAGCAATAGTAGGCACCTTATTGCTAAAAAGTACAACATGCTAATTTTCTCCCATAGGATTGGTGTTCACATGGGCATACACAACAAGGACCTGTTGCTCCTTTAAAAAGCACTTTTTCTCACGCTTCTAATCCCAGCACTTTGGGACTGCTAATCCGAGGCGGGCGGATCACAGAGTCAGGAGATCGAGACTATCCAGGCTAGCACAGTGAAACCCTGTTTCTACTAAAAATACAAAAAATTAGCTGTGCATGGTGGCGGGCACCTGTAGTCCCAGCTACTCGGGAGGCTGAGGCAGGAGAATGGTGTGAACCCGGGAGGTGGAGCTTGCAGTAAGCCGAGATTGTGCCACTGCACCTCCAGCCTGAGTGACAGAGCAAGACTCCGTCTCAAAAAAAAAAAAAAAAAAGCACTTTTCTTCTTTAAGCCTCTAGTTAGTCTCTTCTCCAGGAAGATAATAATTCAAAGATCATAGCTTTTTCTGTAACATCTTTAATCATGCCAGTAAAGGTTCTATCACAAAGACAAAAGATACACCATGGCAACTGATAGAATTCTCCAGTATTTACATGATGGATAAAAGGTATAAGTGACTTACCTTTCCCTTATAATTGGTTAATGCAAAGAAAATGATATCTAGCAGAAAGTCTTCTATAATGTAGAATCTACTTGAACATATGATACCAATGCCTCTCTCACAAAAGATACTAATAATATCCCTGAAAACAGGTTCTATTCTCATTTATTAGACAACTTGCTTCATAAAGACTAGTCTATAGATCTGGACATATAACAATCTGGGAGCTGGGTGCTGTAGATTAGAAAGGAAAATGACTTAAGTAACAAATGCAGTGGGTCACATACTTAAACCTCCTCAAACATTTTTGGGAACCATGTTAAAGCTTGAGTTGATTATTTGTGCTGTGTTTTTGTAAATGTGACACTACTTCAGGACTGGACCACATGGGTCATGGCTTTATAAGCATCACATCAGTTCCAAACTCTAAATTCTATAACACCTTTTCAGTTTTTCTGCCACAACTTCAGCTGCCATTCACTAAAAAGCTCACTATATATACAACACTGAAGACATTTTTGGGTGTGTAGTCTTCCCCATCTCACTCAACACTCTTCATATGTCTTCAAAATTGCTTCCAATTAAGCATAAATTCTTTATTCTCTATTCTCCCTCAAAACTCCTGCATACAGCCTCACATGTCTGAAATATTTTTCATTCAGCTACTGTCCACATTCTTCACCTTTAAATGCTCCATGTATTTGGATACTCTGAAAAAAATCTCAAAATTTCTGAAGTCTCCTTAGAGAATTTTATATCTGCCCCTATTCATTTGTTACTCTGAAACATACTTTCCCACATTTTCTTCCTATCTGGCACTTTTTCTGGCTATGTAATATTGATTATAACAGCATCTACATCTAGCTTTAGCAGACTATCCACTATCAATGCTAAATACATCTTTATTCATAATAATGGAGGTTAATGAAGTAGTTATTTCAAATAAGGCTGCACAATTCACTAAGAATGACATGTGAGCAGTGTATCACTAAACTATTCCCGTCCAGGATTTATTTTATCCTTAAAAAAACAAAAATACAGTCTAGTTTTCTAGCTCCACAAAGCAACATGGAAAAAGAAATCATTAAAACAAACTGATATGAGGTTTCTTAACAAATGTGTATTATTTTGAATACCCAGAGTTACCCTTTTTATGACTGGTTATAACACAAACAACATTTTTTGTAAAATATGGAAATGATTCTATGAAGACTAAAAGTGCAAGTAGAGAATATTGAAATATGCTCATATATTTTAAAGAGATCTGGTAAATAAAATCTGAATGTCCCATTGATATCCCAAATTAGATCTCTAATATTTGCATCAAATGAATAAAATAATTTATAAATAAAAAGCATGTATTCAATAATGATTATATCTTATTATTTCTTTTGTACTTGTCCTGTAATAATCACGCCAACAAATCTAGAATAGCAGTTTCATATTATAATATTGTCATCTCTTTGTGGGGATTTTATTCTATTTCTTTAAAAAATTAACTTTTTTAGACAGGAGCTCATTCTGTCATCCAGATTGGAGTGCAGTGGCATGATCATAGCTCTCTGCAGCCTCAAACTCCCAGGTTCACACAATCCTTCTGCCTCAGCCTCCCAAGTAGCTGGGACTACAGGCATGAGCCACAGTGCCCAGCTTTGGTTCTAAATATGACCAGAAAGCCAATCCCAAAACGTCTCCTTGGCCATGATTCACTTCTTGGCTCCCATTTTGTTCTATTGCATTCCTGAAAAGAACATGCTAACAAGGGGCACTTTTCTTATCAATCAGCCATTAGAACAACAACAGAAAAAGTGGCAATTCTTATTTCTGTTTCAAAGACATTTTATCAAGAGCTGGTCACTCTATTTTCGGGCAAGAGCTGATTTTAAATTCTTAAATATTGAAAAACTAGCTTCCAGTTAAAATGCAGATTGAACACAAGTATTTACTATTTTTTCTCCAGAAACCTCATAGGGAAAGCAGTAAAGATATTCAAATATATAAATCCACAAGTACAAAGAAAAGAGGAAAATAAATGACTATAAAAAGTTGAAAATCAGAAATCAGATGTGTGAATGATTGCTAACTTGGGAAACTAGAAAAATCCTGGAAGAGCTATGGGGTGGGGAAACCTCCAAGGTAAGTCCAGAAATAAGTAGATGCATATTACAAAACCACAAAAAGCCTTAGTATTTGGGGGATCAACTACCTCTGAAAGTGTGGGTCTCAAGTGAGGCTAGAAGCCAGAAATTTCATTGAAAATTCGTATAAGAAACAATTATCCCCAAAGATCTCTTCCAGCAGCCTGCTCAAGCAAAGGACTACCTACTTTCCCCGCTTGAAAGAAAACAAAAGGTATATTCATTTCCAGGAAAGACTGAACCAGAGAAACTCTAGCTTCATCTCACTACACGTAGTACAGAAGAACTATAGTGAAAACAGGGAGAACATGCCAAATGTGAAACTTCTGAAAGGTGAGCCCTCCCCACCCCCACCACAACCCTCTTTGCCACTCAGCCCTAGAAATGCTGGCAGGAAGTCATAACCCTCAGGCATGAAACAGGAGGATTCATATCCAGGGAAACTGGCCCAGCAAAAAGGTCTGCAGGTATTAAAGCTGGGTTTCCTCTAAGAAAATACCTCAGCTAGATATTATGTTAGAGTGAAACTCACTTCTCAACAAGTCCCATCCATACTCATTCAGAGGTTATAAGCAGCCTGCTTTTGTACCTTAACCATAAATAAGCACACAGCCAATAATAACAATATGAGAAAGACCTATGGTATAGAAGACAAAAACCACACCAAAACAAACAAAAAAGAGAAAAAAAGAAATTTAAGGAAAAAGGCATTGAGTAAAACACTAAGAAACCATCAATCAAAACATAACTAATCCTCATAATTCTCAGGGAAATAAAAAAGAATTAGCACCCATAAAACAAGAACAGGAGACTAAGAAAAGCAATATTTTGTGAACAAAAACAAACTCTTGGAAATCAAGGGAACAAAAGCAGAAATGAACATTTTAATAGAAGGAATGGAAGATAAAGTTTAGTAAATCAAGTAGAAAGTCTGATAGTTCAAGAGATAGAAAATAGAAAGATTTAAAAATTTAATTGATTTAGAGGTCCAACATCATTTTAATGGAATCCTAAGAGAGATTAAAAAAAAACCCAGAGAGATAGAAATTATTAAAAAAAAATTTGAAAGTGTATCAGGACTAAAAAACATTGAAGGATCCACAAAATGCTCAGAACAATGCATGAGCAAAGATCCATATTAGTTCCTATAGTCAGGACATTTTAGAAGCTGAAGGACAAAGAATTTCTAAAACCTTCTTGGGAGTAAAAAACAGACAAGGATCAGGAATCAAACTAACATTGATTGCATTATGTTATTACAACTGCAAAATAACAAGTCTATTATCAGAAGCTAGAAGATAATGGAGAAATGCCTTCAAAATCCAGAAAGAGAAATAACTTTCCATCTCACCACCTAGTCAACTGATCAATTAATTACAATACTAAAACAAAGGGAGCAAGTTCTCAAAACACTTATGTCCTATGAACTCTTTCCTCGGAAACTACTACAAAATGTGCTCTATCAAAACAAAGGGTGAAATCGAAAAAGAGGAAGATGTGGGACGCTGGAATTAAGGAGTCCCACACAAGAGGAGAAGGGAATCCCAAAACTGGTAATAAAATGCTATGGTCTGAATATGTCCCCCCAGATTTGTATATTGAAACTTAATTGCCAATGTGATAGTATTAAGAGGTGTGGCCTTTATGAGGTGATTATGTCATGAAGGCAGAGCCTTTGTGGATGGGATTAGGGCCTGTATGAAAGGGCTGGAGAGAGTGAGTTCCCTCTTTCGCCCTTCCATCAGGTAAGGACACAACATTCCTCCCCTCCAGAGAATGCAGCAACAGGCACCATCTTGGAAGCAGAGAGAAGCTCTCACCAGACACAAAACCTGCCGATGCCTTGATCTTGGACTTCCTAGCCTCCATAACTGTGAGAAATAAATTTCTATCGCTTATAAATTACCGAGTCTGTGGTATTCTGTTATAGCAGCACACATAAATTAACAAATGAAGGCAGATTCTTTGGCAACATCTAACTCTCATTGTAGACCTAGAGATCAGTCAGTCCAGACTTGAGGGGGAATAGAGGGCTATGAGAGAGATATTTTTAAGAAAAAAAAATGTGATAGGTTTCCTGATGTAATTAAATATATTCAAAGGAAACATTTTTGGGAGAGTTCAAGAATGAATTAATGGTAGTAAATTATATAAAACAAAATGAATGCGGGCAAGGAGGTGATTATTATCTCTAGGGAAAACAAAAAGGTATAGAAGAATGCTGTGAAGGCCGAGTGCAGTGGCTCATGCCTGTAATCCCAGCACTTTTGGAGGCCGAGGTAGGTGGATCACTTGAGGTCAGGAGTTTGAGACCAGCCTGACCAATATGGTGAAACCCCGTCTCTACTAAAAATACAAAATTAGCCGGGCATGGTGGCACACACCTGCAATCCCAGCTACTTGGGAGGCTGAGCCAGGAGAATTGCTTGAACCCGGGAGGTGGAGGTTGCAGTGAGCTGAGATCGAGCCATTGCACTCCAGCTTGGGCAACAAGAGCAAAACTGCATCTCAAAAAAAGAAGAAGAAAAAAAGAAGAAGAAGAAGAATGCTGCGAAGAATATTTACATGGAAATAATAATAATAATATAACTAACAAATATTGACCTAACAAAAGTGATCTATGTTGAGAAAATGTAAGAGAGCTGAATTATGCTCCATAGTAGACAACATCTAAAGCTGAAAATCAAGAAATAAAATTATATTATTGAGAAATACTAAATTAAATACCAGAAGAATGCTAAAAGACTTGAAAAGGTTGCTTCTTGAAATGAGGTTTAGGAGTAAAGGACTACTTTTTTCATTTAAAGGTTTATAGTGCTATTTGACTATTTAAATTATGTACATATGTAACTTTGACTAAAAAATTAGAGAGTGTGCTAGCTACAACTTAGTGGTACAAAATTGTAAAGAAGAGTTTACTTAGAACCGACTGTAAAATGTATATGATAATGCAAACTATCTAGAATCACCAAGATAAGCTACAAATGCTTTTATAAAGCTTTGTAATTGAGTCAGTGTGATACTGGCATTAAGATAGACAAATATGGCAATAAGACGAAGAAGAATGGAGAAAAAGACCCAGTTATATGCAGTCATCTGATATACAACAAAAACACCACTTCATTTAGGGAGAAAAGACTGGAATTTTCAATAAATGTTGCTGAGAAACAGAAAAGAGAATAATATGTTTAAAAACTTGGAATAAGAAAAGATCCAAGCCGTGTAAGGAAAGCACTATTTTTAAAACAAAAAATTGATAAATTAGATTTCATCAAAATTAAGAACTTCTATTAATGAAAAGATACATTAAGAGGGTGAAAAGGCAAGCCACAGACTGAAAAGAAAGAAAGTTGCAATATCTGACAAAGGGCTTATATTTAGAATATATGAAGAACTCCCATAAATTAATAATAAGAAGTAAATCCAAGTTGAATAATTGGCAAAAGACTTGAGTAAGAACGTTGCAAAAGTGGATATCCAAACGAACAATAATTATACAGGAAAAATGCTCAATTTTATTACCCATTGGGCAAATACAAACTAAAACCAGAATGGTTACTACTCTACACTCACTGTAATGACTAAATTTAAAAGACAAGTACTAGCAAAAGTTGCTGAAGATATGGAGCAACTGGAATCCTCATATGTTGCTATAAAATTTAAATTGTAAAACTGCTTTGGAAAAATGTTTGGCAATATCTATGTGCCTATCGTGTGACACAGCATGTCCACTTCTTGGTAAAGACACAAGAGAAATAGATGTGTATATCCACCAAAAGACATATAAAAGAATGTTCATAGCAAATTTATTCATTAAAGCAAAAACACTGGAAACAACCCAAATGATCATCAGCAATAAAATGGATAAACTATGGTATTTCATACAATAAAATATATGAATACCAATTTTAAAAAGCCACTGTTATTACATGAAACAATATAGACTCTCACGGACATATGTTGGGTAAAAAAAGCTGGATGCAAATGTTGTGAATATAGTGCAATTCCATTTATATGAGATTTACAGGCAAAACTTACATTTAGTGACAAATCAGAATGATTGCCTCTAAGGACAGGGATATTGACTGGGAAGGAGCAAAAGGAAGCCTTCTAAGGTACTGGAAATATTTTGTATCTTGAACTGGTTTGTGGATCCATGTATCTGTGCATAAATAAAAATTCAACAAGCTGTACATTTAAGATTCATGCACTCTCCTATATATATGTTATACCTCGATATAAAAGAAAAGTTCATTTGGGGGGACATACTGTCATCTACTTCATACCCCTTCGCCTTACTCTAGGCCTCATATCACCATTGCCTTTGATTTCCAGTACTCCTAGTAAGGCCTGTTTATTCTTGTTCAAACTGAGAGCAGGTTCCCAATTGTTCAGCCCCATGATTTTTCTAGTGTCACATTATACCTCTTCACACACCTCCCGCCAGAAGCCATCTTTTGCTTAATCATCTCATAAGTATATACCATGCCAGACACTCTAGCCTTCCATCAGCAATAAGTAAAATGCACGCTCTCAGGAAAAGTGCACAAACTATTTTAAAAATTCCAATGCCATCAACTTATTCCACATTCTAAGTTTGCTAAAATCCCCAATTCCTACTCCAATTCCCTAAAAAGGAGCAAAGGAAGAAAAGAGAAAAAAAAAAGAAACAAAGAAAAGATGGTTCTCTAAATTTCTAATATTTTTTTTCTGGTGGCACAAATTCATTTTCTTTGTCTTATAATTCTTATATGTTTCTGCCTCTCCCTTTGCTTTACACTCTTCTTGTTCCCTCTTTTCTCTCTACCTATATCTGTTGTATTTTAATAAGACATATAAAGAATGAGATATCCTTAAATGACTTTTTAATTAATAGATTTTTTCAGAGCAGTTTAGATTTACAAAAAAATTAAGCAGAAAGTACAGAGAGTTTCCATATACCCTCTCCAACCTACCCTCCCTTATTCCCAGTTTTCTGATTATTAACATCTTGCATTTGTGTGGTACAATTAATGAAGCAATATTGATACTTTATTGTCAACTAAAGTCTATAGTTTACATTAAGATTCACTCTTTGTGTTGTACAGTTCTATGAGTTTTGACAAATGCATAATATCATCTATCTACCATTATAATTTTATACAAAATAGTGTCCCTGCCCTAAAAATCCCCTAAAAATCTCTCCTCTCCCCTTCTCCATCCCCCATCAAACACACGACAACCTCTGATCTTTTTACTCTCTACAATTTTGTCTTTTCCAGAATGTCATATAGTTGGAATCATATAGTATATAGCCTTTTAGATTGGTTTATTTTACTTGCAATATGATCTAGTTTCCTTCATGTCTTTTTGAGGCTTGATAGCTGATTTATTTTTATCATTGAATGATAGTTTATTATATGAATATGCCATCATTTGTTTATCCATTTCCCCATTGAACAACACATTGGTTGCCTTTAGTTTGGGTAATTATGAATAAAGCTATGTAGAGTAGGAGAAAAAAGTTTTCTTTGCCTTCTTAGGTTCAATGAAAGAGGCTTGCAAATTAAAGGAACAAAGGACTGATTAATAGGAGATATGGTTCACTTTACATGCACAAAGGAGCTTCACCTAAAATAAATGAAATCCCAAATAAATAAGTGAAAACCCAGGACTTATATACCACTTTAACAAAGGGTGATAAAGTGTGGAGAAGTGACAAAACAAAGGAAAGCAGTTTGAGTTTCTAGGGACATTCAATTACAGAAAGGTAAATATATGGGGGAAACTAATGGAAGATAAGTGTTATTTTAGTAAGGTTTGCTTATGCAGACACATCTCATGCCAGCTTTCTGTCTCCTGTGATGAGAGTTGTTTACCGCCTCCTGGCATGGGAGAGCAGAGGGAGGATGCCTTCACAAAGGGAAATTTATGTCATGCTTTAGGCAGAAAGAGAGATGTCAGAGAATTCCTCGTATAATTGCCTTGAGCCCAAAATAATACTTATGCCGAAGTGGCATATTTTGGGCTGACATAGTCTGATCCCCTTTGGCTACTATAAACATTTGTGTGCAGGTTTTTGTGTGAAAATAAGTTTTCTACTCATTTTAGCAAATACCTGGAAATACAATTGGTAAATCATATGGTAGGACTATGTTTTCCTTTGTGATAGAATAACTTTTTAAGCATTCTAAAAATAAAGAAATGAGATACTTCTTCAGAATAGGATATTAGAAATAGACTTCCTTCTGTTGCTACTCCAGTCTTGCTCAATAATGAGTCTGATAATTGTTAAGGTATTAACATTTTATCCTCTACATTTCTTCTCTTGAAAAAACCTCTGAATTACTTGGTATAACAAATCTGAACCAAGTAAATAATATGGCTGGGCAAGGTGGCTCACGCCTGTAATCCCAACACTTTAGGAGGCCAAGGTGGGTGGATCACCTGAGGTCAGGAGTTCAAGACCAGCCTAGCCAACATGGTGAAACCCCATGTCTGCTAAAAATATACAAAAATTAGCTGGGCATGGTGGTGCGCACCCGTAACTCCAGCTATCTGGGAGGCTGAGGCTGGAGAATCACTTGAACCCAGCAGGCAGAGGTTGTAGTGAGCTGAGATCGTGCCACTGCAATCCAGCCTGGGTGACTACAGAGCAAGTCTCCATCTCAATAATAATAATAATATATGGATGGTGAGGAAGAGAACCCAATGTCTTCAACAAAATTCCATAGGAAGAGTCCCTATCTTACACCTAATAACTTCCACAGAATACCACTGATTCTTGAAATTATTTTCAGTAATTCAATAACGTTTAAATAACTTCACTGTTTAATAATTCACTTGGAAGTCCTATTAGGGGAGATTTCCTGGTCTCCTGAGTGGGGGTGCCTATCCACTGGTGTTGCCCTAGTGAAGTGGGGAGGGAAAATGTAATGTGATATTCAAGTACTTTTAATCAAAAGAGAAAAATAAACTTTTGTTAAATTTTTCCCATCTGCCCAGCTCTCCTCTGTGTCTTTTGCATATGTCATCTAATCAATTCCTCCCTTCAGTGCTACTATACTGTTACTATTATCACTGTTTTACTTTCATGGGAAACTGAGACTATGGGAGGTTAAGTAATTGCTGCAAGGAGCTAAAGAGTAGCAGATCTCAAATTTGTACTTATCTCATTTCAAATCTCATTAAACCAAGTAAAAGATAGGGACTCTTCCTATGGAATTTTGTTGAAGACATTGGGTTCTCTTCCTCACCACCCATGTATTTATTCCTTAATGCTCTTTAATGTATTACTCTCTCTGGGTATTTGCATTTTAAATAAGGGTGCCAGAAAATAATACAAAAGAATTGGCATCCAGTTGAATTTTATCAATCCTGTGGTTCACTCTCCTTAACCTGCCCCACAAAATACCAGATTTCATCTAACTAATTTGTCTTAGGATTGTTCACGGAATTCATACTCTTTAAACAACAAAGGAATGTGAGATCATTATTCCTACAAGGACTTCAGAGTTCAAATGAAAGGAATACCGTGTTGGCACTGCTTAGAGCCTTGGGAAAATGAGACTGCATGTTTAATGAATGAGAGTATAAAAATCATTTTTTGTGGAAATAGATCTATCGTTGGATGTGTTAGCCTTACCTACTACAGGGAGTATCCAGTCAAAATTAAATGACTTCACACCAAGCAAAAGTGCTGAGATTTGCTGATCAGGACTAGGATATGTCAGATACTTTAGAGCTAGCTCTGTGTTTTTAGTATCAAAATAAGTGATTTCTCTCTCTTGTCTCTCTAGATGACTACTGGGGGACTAACAGCTGTTTAAATGCACCAGTATTATGACCTTCTGCCAGTCATAGGTAACATTGTTATTGCCCCGAGATAATTTACCCTCCCAAGTCTCAAGGTTACATTTCCATCATGGAGCCAGTATTTTCCATTCCTCAGATGAGTCTTATTTGTCCAAGTACTTTGTAGCATGGTGCTTGTGTACAATGGTATTGAATATTTACTGGCAAATGCTATAGCCTCATTGTAAAACCGGAAATTAAATATGCAAGTTATTTCTTTACAATGTGATTACTGCCATGATGGTTTAATAATTTGCATTTTGCAATTTGCTATACAACAAGAACAATGTGTTAGTATTAAAAATAATTACAAGAGACCCTGAAATTCTTAAGAGATACACCCTGAGACTTGTACAAATTCCCCAAATCACAGATACCATTATAGCACAGAATTTCTCCCATAAAGTTCAGTCAAGTATTACTAAAAACTTTTAATTAACCCCTTAAGACCTTTAGAATTCTATAAATAGAGGGCTAGACTCATTTATAAGGCTAATAATACAAATTCTGTCTGGAAAACTTATTGAAACTGTTTGTGAATTAGCTTTCTTTATTTCCTTATAGAGCACATGGTAAAAGCATTCATAGCATGGATCCAAGCCACTGCCAATGTGGCATTCCCACTCCATAATTTATCCAAAACTCCTGTTTTTCTGTATATCATCTGTTTCTTTGGTTTTTTAACTTTTTCTTCACTTCTATGCCAGCACAATTTGCTAATTGGTTTTAGTTTAGTTTTTGTTTTTCTGTTTGTTCCTTTGTTTAGCAGAGACATTTTCCATAAGATACAGAGGTTTTCTTGTTTCACAAAAGGCATGCAGATGGGAAGATGAGCTAAGAACCATGAAGTCAGGCTGAGATGAGGATGCTTGCCATTGGATAGGCTATACCCCAGATAAATTACTCACTCCTGCAAACCAGCCTCTTCTCAGTATGTAGGATTTCAATGTGCACCTTGGCAAAATTCAAATTGTTACATTATGTGGACCATTGGAATTACTTGGTAATAGTCAAAACTGTACATGTTAATTATCTGGATGCCTAAGGTCTTGCAATGATTTTTTAAGATTCTAATATAATCTGTAAACATATAGTCTGTTTGACAGCGGTAGGGAGGGAGACTAAATTAGTTAGCCCCATTGTGAGTAAGAAGCTGGGTTATTTGCTTTATGCTTTAGAGACATGACATCATTTAATTCTCCTGGTAACTTTATGAGGCAGGTATATTATTCTTACTTTTACAAGAAATTAAACTCAGAGAAGATTTAAACTTCTCCAATATTACACAACTAATAATTGGCCAGGAAACAATTCAAAGTCAGGTCTGTCTGACCCAACGATGTTATTTTCACTGGAACCTTGCTACACAAAATGTCCTCAGACCACAACCTCATTGTCACCTGAGAGACTGCTGAAAATGCAGAATCTCTGAGAAATGTAAAGCAGCTTATAATTATAGATATTGAGGTCTATCAGATCTCATTGTGGCCTAGGAAAGAATGGAAAGCAGAGAAACTGAGACAAAGAGAGACTGAAGGGGTTAACAAAGTTGAAGTCACTACTTAATTAAAAAGGTAATCTAGCTCTCTAATCTGTTCTTTTTCTCTGGAAACTTTGTACCCTGTCCTTAGGTAGCTTTATATCCTCTGCTTCCAACTATGCTCCTCTTTTCCTTCCCTACTAGTGGTACTGCTCCTTGCTCAGGCCTAACCTAGGGGTCATCTTTAATTATTCTCTTTTCATTGTCCTACATTGTAATGCATCACAAATCCTTTTGGATTCACCTCCAAAATAAATATCAAAAGTCAACCACCTGTCGCCATCACCACCCATCTCTTTCTTGGGGTGAGACTATTATATAGTCCCATAACAATATATATAATAACTATAATGATTGTCTCTTATTCTACTCTTCAAACTCCTGTAAGTCATTTAGTACTCCTGTAAGTCAAAGTGGTATATTTAATTACTTCTAGTAACTCCTTATTGCATTTAGAATAAAGTTCAAATTCCATGATCTGGCCACTGTTTCCATCAGCCTCATTCTCATTTGTCATGCCTGAGTTACACTGACCTTCTTTCTTTTTCTGGAACATGTTAAGCTCATTGTCACCTCAGGGCCTTCATATTTCTTTCTGTCTGGAATGGTACATGCTACTCCCCCAGATCTTTCTGTGATCTTTCTCATCATTCACATCTCAGCTCCTTAGAGACTTATCTGATCATCATAACTAGAGTAGCCTCGCCTTGTATCTGATCTTCTATTTCATTTTGCTGTTTTATATATTTTTATAGTACTGTTGCAGGTGGATGCCCAGGGAACCAGAGAGTGAGTAGTGGTTTTGCATGGAAGAAGTTATTAGAGGTACTCTTGATCAACACCTGAAGAAGGGAAGGAAAATAAGAATGCTGGGAAAAGGGAGAAATTAGGCTATAACTGCAGTCTCAACAAAGACCTCAGCCAGCCCCACAGGGAGTTCTGAAGCTAGAATGGCTTTTTAGAATATACCAAGTTTCAAAACGAGGAGACAAGTCTTTATACCCCCAACATTGGATGCTAGCTGCCCCAAGAAGTCACAGCAGCTCTTAAGTTGAGACAATTTCCAAAGACACCTGAAAGCTAAAACTGTCTGTTTGCAACATTCTCAACCTCTTGAGGAGTAAGATTTTAAGTATTGAATAGGAATATGGGCAACATTTCACCAGAGTCCACCCTTTGAATCCACTGCTTTGTATAAATTCTGGAGGCAGCTTAGTTAGGATGCTGGGGCATCTGATTCTCAGTGAAACTTATTGAGGTTTAGTGGAATAAAATACATCTCTAGCCACTGCAGCCAGTCTTGGGATCACATTCTCCCTCCTCTACTCTCCATTCTATATGCTCCCTAAACTCACCTAGAAACTCCACAGGTTTATTTGTCTTGCCTGGTAACATGAACCAGACCCTTATCCTGTGGGGTCTGAGCTCTCAATCACCATGTCCTTCTCTGATTATGGCTTTTGCACTTGTCTACTATTGTCAAACTTGGGCAAAGGAATAACAAGAGGCACCTAAATAAATAATGTGGGTGCCATATATATTCTTCCCTGTCTCCATTGTATAACAGTAGCCCAATGTCCTAATGATGCCAGGAAGCATCCCCTTCTTGCCTGTCGGTCCCTTAGCACGAAGATCTCAAAGTGCCCAAGAGTCAGCTTCAGCTTATAGTTTAGTAAGATTCCTGCTGTGTCCTCTGGTGAAAGCATTTCCTCTCTGGGAACCAGGACCACTAAACCCACAGAACCCAGAGATGCCAGGAAAGGAAGATACATCCCGCAAGCAGATAACTGGGAGAGATGAAGGACCATTCATGCCTCTACCCCTTAATTCCAGGACCCATGTATTCTATCTAGTGGGGATGTAGCACTACATAAAATTCATTGATTACTGGTAAGCACTGCACCCTAGATAATGACACCCATCCCCACAAAGTATAATCTCAAAGTTCCTGCTTCAGCTGTTCTTTGAACATACCTTTGCTCTGCTAATCCAGCAGCTTCTGGTGGTGCAGTATATGAGAGGATCGGTGGATTTCTTAGTCATGTGCCCACTACTGCATCCCCTTTCCTTTAAAGTGAGTCCCTAACTCTGAGGCCAGTATGAGTCATTCCATGCTCATGGACAAACACTGCATAGGTCCTCAAGTAGTAGTGCTGGTTGAAGCTCTGTGGAAAGGAAAGACAAACTTTTACATACATTCCCCAAATATATTTCTATTTCTATCAAAATAAGCCACTACTCTTTCCAGGGTGGAAAATGTCTAATGTGTTTAACTTGCCACCAAGTGGCTGGTTGGCATTCTGGAGGGTTGGTGCTGTACTGGGGACTCGGCATTGATCTCTGCTGCTGGCCATGCTGATTTCTGTTGGGCTCAGGCATAGTACTAATCTCTACCACCAGTGATGGTGTCTTTACTCCTAGCTAGGCAGCAGGTCATCCAGCCCCTAAATGCTAAATCAGTGTCTGTTTCCTTGATATTCTGCTAGTACTAACTGCTGCAGGTCAGGACTCCCAAGAAGTAGACTGAGATAAAGATTAATAAGTAGAAAGTTTGTTAGGGAGTCCTCTTGGTCCTCACTGATGGAAAGGATAGAAATAGGATTAGGCAGAGGAAGAAGTAGGGTTGTGATGTGGTCCCAACAAGGACCAGAGCTAATCCTACCAAAAGATGGAATCGACCTTCAGAGTTGTCCTGAGCTGGGTTAAGGGGGTCCAGTTATTGGAAATGACTACCCTATAGGTAGGAAACATGACCTTTGGCAGGGTAACTCTCTTCAGATAAGGCAATTCCCAAAGAAAACTATGTTACTCAGGGTTCTCCAGTGAAACAGAGTCAATGGGATGGATAGATAGATAGATAGAGAGATAGATAGATAGAGGATTTATTATGAAAATTGGCTCACATGATTATTGAAGCTGAGAAGTTTCATGATAGGTCATTTGCAAGCTGGAGAACCAGGGAAGCTGGTAACTTGCTTCAGTCTAAGTCCAAAGGGCTGAGAAACAAAGACCAGAGAACCTGAAGTTCTAATGTCCAAGGGTAGGAGAAGACAAGTTTCCCTGCTCCAGAAGAAAGAGCAAATTCAGCTTTCCTTTGCCTTTCTGTTCTATCCAGGCCTTCAGTGGAATGGATGGTGCCACACACATTGGGTGAGGATAGATCTTCCTACTCAGTCTATTGATTCAAATGCCAATCTCTTCCTGAAACAACTCTACAGACATACCCAGAAATAAAGCTTTACCAGCTGTCTAGGTATTCTTTAATCTGGTCAAGTTGACCCATCAAGTTAACCATCACAGGGACTGAGAGGTGAAGGCTATCTACAGACAGCATTCCTAGTGACTAGGGAAATAAGAACACCATACCTGAAGGGGTGTCTGGGAAGGCTATGGTAGAGCTCATTACAAGTATGTGTCATTATGTGAAATTATTTTACTTAATTTTTTCTCTCATTTATTAAATATCTACGCTAAGTAAAACTAGACACTATGAGGGCTAATAACTTATCTACTTGGCATGTAGTAGGTAGATTCTCAACAAATATTGTTGAATTTTGAATGAGTAAATTAAAACTGATTATAACTCCTATCAAAATAACCAAATATAATTTATAGAATGTTATTTGAGGGTACAATTTCACTGATAGATTGGAAGGATTTTTGTGTGTTTTTTGTTGCTCTCTTCTTCCTTTCTTCCTTCCTTCCTGTTTGTCTTTTTGTAGTTCAAAGCCAGAATATAAAGGTCTATAGAAGTCATAACCAGATACCTCAAAATCATTCATTTTTTGGATGCCATCAAAAGAATTGTAGATATTTGGAGGAAGGAAGGAAGGAAGGGAGGGAGGGGAGAGAGAGAGAAAGAGAAAGAGAGAGAAAGAAAGAGAGAGAGAGAGAAAGGAAGGAAGGAAGGAAAGAAAGACAAAGAAAGAAAGAGAAAGAAGAAAGAAAGAAAGAAAGAAAGAAAGAAAGAAAGAAAGAAAGAAAGAAAGAAAAAAAGAAAGAAAGAAAGAAAAGAAAGAAAAGAAAGAAAGTAAGAAGAAAATAAAAGAAAACAGCCTTAGAAATTAGTTTGCCCACCCCTGGAAGAATTCGTATTTAGGAGTAACGGCATGAGGAAAAATAAATTGAACTGGAGTATTTGGGTGTGCGTTTATGTGGCATAAACCTGGGAGAGCTGGTTGCTCCCAGCAGCTGCTATGGTGAAGCCGAGACCACATCCCTTGCATATTGAAGCCGTAATAGTTTCAAGAGATGTCACCTTTGTGAGGCAAGGGCTGGAAAAATGCTGTTGTTATAAAGAGCACATTTTGGGGTAGATTCTTTCTCCAGCTTGGGGCAAAGTTGCAAGGGTGAACTGGAAACACTTTAAGGTCCATTACAAGTTTAAAATGTGATGGAGGAGTGAAAAAAATATCAGAGTTTGGTGACTGGAATTTCTGGAGCAGTTCAGATGGTAAAGTTATGGCTCCAAGCACCAAAGGGTTACCCTATTAAACTTCAGGAAATGTCTGGGCCTCCAGTGATATTTTACTCCAACTTCAAATCACAACTTCAATTCACATTTTAAAGAAAACTAAGAAAAAAAATTAAGCTGTTTTTAAATTATATACATTTACCAATTAGATGAAAACCTAGATGCCAACTTGTTACAAAAGCCAAGTGGAACTGCAGTTTTTATCTGTAGTTACCTAAAGAAAACCACGCATAAATTTGGTTAATATTTTATATCTATAACTATATATCTATGTACATTTACATATGTAGACAAATAAAGATATATCAGATGCCAGCTGACTTCCAGATAGTGATTTGTAATATTCTTTTGAAGATAATACCTTCATAACCATCTTTTTTTTTTTTTTGCTAGGATGTCTAGCCAAAACACACTTACTTTTCATAATGGCATGAAATATGTGAAGAATAAGAAAAATTACCTATGAAAACAGCTAGTGCCAAAATCAAATTGAAAATTCAAGGAATGCCAAAGTCTGAAAGGGCGTTATGTGTGCACACTAGTGAGCTGAAGTGGTCAGCCAGATTCACCAAACAGCTCTCAGTTCACTTGCAAGGTCCATTATAGGATTTTCTCATCTGCCCTGTTCTTTCTTCTTTGGCTTCTGCATGAACCTAAATAAATACATTCTTTACCCAGAAGGGTGTGTCCACCCTGTGGTGTGGGTCTGGTGATTGGCTTCAGGAAGGAACTAAGTATTGAAATTGGCTGTGGACACCATGGTCTACATTGCCTTTGAGCCACAGTCTTGTTTGCTTAGGGAGAGGAACAGGCTGCAAGGAGGAGGCACCTTCTTCCTCCACTGCTGAATTTCAATGAGCAGAATCTATCAACAAAGTCAGGGCAGTGTAAGGCCTGACAGGCCCTGGGCCTCTTCTGGGCTGAGGCCAGATGGGATTTGAGCCTGATGCAGAACTTGTTACATTTAATATTAAAGAAGCATGAAGCAATAGCATGACCCAGGGAGGCGTAGAAGTTATGGCCAGGCAGCCTTCTCTTTC
This sequence comes from Homo sapiens, assembly GCF_000001405.40. Taxonomy (NCBI): domain Eukaryota; kingdom Metazoa; phylum Chordata; class Mammalia; order Primates; family Hominidae; genus Homo; species Homo sapiens. The sequence continues at coordinate 43,939,073 of NC_000013.11, read as the reverse complement.
CTGCCCTGCTGTCTGATGCTACTCAGAAATAAAGGCATCTTCTTTTTCAGATAACTATATAAACAATACATAACAGGTGCTAGTTACACATTTTACTACCATAATTCACAAAAAGAAAATGCCACAGCTTATAAATTGTGTGTGAATTTCGAATTTCATTTTGTCCTTAAAATGATTTCCTTTCCCTAAAACTTGAAAGCCAGTACATTCAGTTGCCTATATAAATTAACTCAACAGTTTGGGGTATGCCTGGAGAGCAGGCCTAACTTCAGTACCAGGCTTGCCAGATTCAAGGGTTCAAGACAGAGCCTGGTCTGTTTCTGGTTTTATCTAGCTGTGTACTGGTGGGAAAACATTTCACAGTGGTATCTTGTTCAGTATTACTCCTCCTAGGGTGTCTCTGTGCCCTCTCAATTTATTTCACTGACAAAAAGCATGTTTTTAATCTGTCTGCATCACTGAACTGACTGAGAAAACAGAGAGCACAAAATAGATTCTATTCCTTGTGAATTATTAAAGCAAGTTGTCAGCAACTGTAAATCCTGCTAACGGATGACAGCCTCAGAAACAGAGAATACAATCTGTACAGCCTAGTGGAACAAAAGAAAGAGAATCACTTCTTGAATGGAAAATTGAAGAAATTCCTATTTAAATTTAGAATATGAATTTCAAGGCCATCCTGACCATCAACCCAAATCCAAATTAACCAATAAGTCCTTTTAAGCCATGGTTGGATAAAGTTTCATACCATTTTGTTATTGTTGTTGTTCTTGTCTTTCCTTAATACCTTATCTGGTTGAGAGCAGAATCAGCCAGAGTGATTTAAATGATGTTTCAGAGGAAAAGTTTGTGGGCACTTAATATAGATACCTTTTAAAGCCTTTGTAAAAAGATGTAAAAATTGTACATAAAATAAAACAAATGTATGACTTTAACCACTAAATGAAACTAAAATAAAGGATACTGAGTTCATGTGAGTTCCATTCTCCCTTTTGCCAATTCTAATTCATTGTCTATTCATTTGGCAAGTGTTTGCTGGAGTCACACAATAATTTATTTCCTCTCTGTTCTTTTTGCAGCAAATACTCTTGGGAAGGTATTTAGAACTTCCTGGCCAGCAAAAGAATATGAAAAAAAAAGTCTTTACTATAGTGTTAACCAAAATTTTTTTATTTCACCAGTTTGGGCGTTTATTTGTATCCATCCTACATTAGAAAATGCCAGGGAGTAGCTAAATATTAATAATGTTGTTTTTCTTTTTCAAGAAACACCATGAGCGCCACAGACTCTGATTCAAAATGAACTCATGGCCTAACATCAATGAGACACCGAGCACCAGATGTCAGGTCCAGAGCTGCCCTGCCTGGGGTGTGAAGGGGCCCCTCCCCTCTCTGAGCCTCAGTGGCCCCACATTCATATGACCTGAAGAGTAAATGCCTCCTGAAGTTTTGTACTTGAGGCACCTCACTCACCCACCCTGGTCCAGTCCCTGCCTCAATGTTACTACTTTGGTAAGCTTTATGACTCCAGAACCAACAAGTATGAAGGGCTTTCTTTATTCTGTCTCTTCACAGTGTAAGATGGGTGAAAATTTTAACAGTTCACCTTGCCTCCAAGATTAATCACACTCCCAAAGCCCAGCAATAGTGGATGCTTTCTACATGAGCTGCCTCAAGTTGGGGTTAAAGAAGCATTGCTGCCCCAAGAGTGTTCAGAAATTGCATCGAGGGCAGTGTCTGAATGCTGACACTAGACTGTTTTGCTCAACAGTGATCGCTCCTTTGGTTCTTGTCTTGTGCTTTAGCCCTGATTTTTGCTAACTGTGACATTTGGCTTTAGTTCCTCTTGAGTTTCTGCCTCCTGGCTTCCACCTTGTCTCAGCAGCAGAACTTCCAACTCTGACCGTTAGCCATGTCCTTGATCTGGTTTGTCGTGTGGATTCTCTTTGGGTTTCCTGCCCTCTTTTCCCCACAGTCCTGGGCTAAGGTCTGGAGGCCATTTCAAAATCCATGACGGTCACTGTGAGTGTGTCCTGGAAGCGAGAGAGGAGGCCAGAAAAACGTTTTCTAATGCTCTTTTCCTACCATATAAAACAGATTTTAAAAAATATATTTTGCTCTTCTGGAATGCATAGGTGTGTTACAAAAATTAACATCTGTGAAGCCTGTGTAGATTAATGTGAAAAGCATTTGTGTAGAAGAGTGCCAAGCTATTGCCTTGGCAACAACTCCACAATAGAAAAAGAAAACCTCTAACATCAGCTATAATTACAAAGTAAGGCGGCTGCTTTTGTTTTTACCAACACAGCAGCTCTGTACTTCCAGGTGCCAGTTATCCCCTTCAAATTAGCTATTGTGATAAATTATCAGTTATTTCATCTATTTCAGCAGTAAACCTCTGTCCAAAAAATTGTTTGGAATGACCTTTTGGTATTTCCTTTATGACTGGTAGCAGGGACATTAAAAAAAAAAATCCTTAATGGTAAAAAGTCTTTGTCCTACCAAATGTGGGGGGAAATTTAGCCATAATCTAGGAACTATTGGAAAGAGACAGAGACAGAGACAGTGACAGGAATGGATAGATAGATGATAGATAGATAGATAGATAGATAGATGATTGATAGATAGATAGATAGATAGATAGATAGATAGATAGATAGATGATAGACAGACAGAGATTATGTCTATCACTATTAGACCTGGCTCTAAAGTAGTAAGGTAGATGTGTGCACATGTATGCATGCACGTGGGGCAAAGGGGAGGCAGGTGTATGTGTGAGGGAGTGAGAAAGAGACAGAGAATATCCTAGGCATTCCAATTTGTTGGTGGAGTGTGATTTTATTTCTCACCAAACAAAGGAAGCAAATCTAACAGGCTGTGCATGCTACAACTTCCACTCTTGTCAGGAAAATTTCTCAGTTTCAGTCTTGATTGGAAGCAGAAATTTTTTTGAAGCACAGATGATTTGTCAGCTGGAAGGCAGAAGGTCTCTTGGGACACACCACAAGAATGTCTTTCCTCCATCCAGGAGTCACACAGTCTTGTCATCATCTCTGCTGCTGCAAACCAGCCAACACGGTTAGATGTACAGACTTGTGAACACTTTCAATTGGATTTTTGAGAAAAAGGTTACCCTCCAAACTGGTCAATTTGTTCCTAAGCTTCAAGCTCTCTCTCCCTTCCCCATCCAAAACACTTCCTTCTTTTTCTGCTTCCACTAGTCTTTATTTCATTATTCTCTCCCTCAGACCCCTCTCTGCCTCTATAAAGATAAGCAATTATTTTAAGCTTCAAACAAGATGCTGACCCTTGGGGGGCCTTCAAATGCAGAAAGTCTGGGAGAAGATGGAGGATTTGCAGATCAACAGCTCCCTAGTTGATACTCTGGGATACTTTGCAGTTAAGACTAAGGGACTGATGCTGATAGTTTTACTACCTATAGAAAAGTGTGCAAGTAAAGAGAACCAAAGCCTCTCCCCTTCTCTTGAGGAATCTGCTTGCTGCTTCCCTTCCTGTTGGCAGACAATTCAATTTTCAGGTGCCCACAAAGAGGCAGAAACATTCTTACTTTATGAATTCTGGTATTTCTTAACTCATACTGTATATGATTCCTGACCAACATTAACAATGGACTGAATTCCCTGGGATTATAATATTCCCTGAATCCCAGGGTATCTGCCTGTCAGATTCTGGTGAGGACCACCTGAGGCTAAATCAGGACGAAGGCATTCATCCTGTGTTATTGCTCCTAATTCTCCATGGTGCTATTCAACTTCTCACTCTGTAATTGGCATACTACCTTCCCAATTTGCCAGGACTGGCGATTTGCCACATTTCAGAAACTACTTTTGTGTATGCCAGATTATACTGAGGTTCCATGTTCATGGGGTTTTTAAAATCTCTTTTAATCCCTTTGATTGATAGATTACTAAAATATTTCAGGGTGGATTTGTTGGGTCTGTTTTCCTGTTGCCTAAATTCAATTTAGTTTAATTTATATATGGAATTATTACTACAGATAAATATAATCTTTAGTAAGAATTCCATAATTCCATATTTAAAGATGCAGGGGGGAACATACAAATTTAAGGCACAGTTTACATTCTAATTGGGTAGATAATTCAAGCACAAAGAGAAACATAATATAGGACAGAGTAAGGTGTTGTGTCCTAACACATAGAAAGTTATTCATTTACTACTATTCTGTCATGTGTTGGCCATCAGGAATGGGATACTTATGAGAAAAAAAGATGAACAACACAAAGAAGGAAAAGGGCTCTATCAAAGATAGATAGATAGTTAGATAGATAGATAGATAGTTCTTACCAAAGATATGACTAACATTGAATTCTGAGAGGGGCCTGTGCTCCTCTAGCCACACCAGAACCCTCTAAATAGTGTTAAATCAATCTGTTTTCAGGGTATAAGGGTGGAAAGCTATTAAATTATTTTTGTAATGGTGAAATTCAAAGAATAGAAGAGACCTCACAGACCACTTGAGCCAACCTTCCAGAAGAGGCTGAATTCCCTCTTTCAACAGAAATCTCCCTGTATCAGTGAGAGCCCTTCCACTAAACAAACCCAAAAGTGATTCATTCACCTCTTATTGACTCAGCAGCTCATTCCCTCTTCAGACAACTCTGTTCAACTTTCTTACACTAAGAGGAAATCTGTTTCCCTAAAATCTACACCAGATGGACATCTAAACCCTTCCAAGAAAGCCCTTGGATGTTTGAAAACAGGTATTGTGACCCACCACCCATCCTGTTGCCTGTCTCATCCCACCACATTTTTCTCTTCTACAACTAAATTCCCTCAATGGATATCCAATTTCCTCAATGGATAGCGCCCTTCACAATTATTTTATTTTGTTAAAATGTAAAAATAATAAGTGACTATTGTAGAAAACACAAAAAATATAAAGAAACAACCCTACAAGTGTGTGATCTAGTTGGAAAGATAAATGTGTGATAAGGATGCTATAAAAGCACAAAGAAAACTGTACGTGGCATAGCCCAGAGGTACGAAAGTGCATGATATTTAGAAAACTGGAGGACCTCATTCTGGGAAATGATCTGTATGAGAGAGGGGTAAAAGATGAAACTAGAGATCTAGATGGGCAGAAACCAAATCACAAAGGACTCTATGTGTTAAGACGTTTTATTTTTCTCCTAAAAGTTGTAGGGATACATGCCATTAATGTGTTTAAGGAAAGGAGAGATAAGATAAAATGTTTGTTTCTGAAAGGCCATTCTGCTGGCAGAGTGAAGAAAGAATTGAAAGGAGCAAGCTAGGATCAAGAAGAGATCAATTAAGAGGTTATTGCAGAGAAAGAAGTGATGAAAAACAGACTGGCAGCAATGTGGGAGTGGGAGAGAGGCATGGAAAAAATATTTAGGTGATAGAGTCATTATGATTGGTGTTCAATCGAAATTTAGAAGTGAAAGGGTCTGGGAACTGAGTGCATGGCAATTTGAGGAACTGAAATACTCAATGTGGCCAGAACAGAGTTCATTTCAGAAAAGTGGTAAGAAATGAGAGTAGAGGTATGATTGGGCCTGGTATAGGCCCTTGAAAGAGGGGTAAAGGAGTTAGAACTTCATACCCAGGACAATATGAAGGCTTCGAAGAATAGTCATCAGAAGAGTGTCCTAAGTAAGAGTTCCATTTTCAAAAACCATTCAGGTTTCAGTGTGGACAATGAATTTTAGGGAAGGGGGTAAGATAGGAGGTAGAGATAAGAGTATTGCAATAATCCATCCACATGAGACAACATGGTAGCCTGGATAAGAATAGTAGGACTGGAGAGTGGTGGATTAGAAATACTTAGAATGAACTCCAACAGGACTTAGTTATTGATATGATTATAACATTATAACATAATACCTCAAGTCTAGTACACATCTACTATGTGCCTGGCACTGTGCTCAGCAGTTGGTAGGGTGAGGTCAGAGAGTAAGAAGCCATGGATAATTCTTAGGATTTTTCTTTGGTCAATACAGGAGGTAAGGGCAGGTTGAAAAGAAAGACAAGAGGTTCTAGTTGATGCAGGAATATCAATGAACAGTGGAACATACATGTCTAAAGTTCAGGAGAGAGATTGGGCTAGATTTGGGAATTATTACCTTAAAGGTGGCAATTAAATAGATGAGAGAAGATGAGGTTCCTGGGAGAATGTGCAGGGTAAGAAGGGACCGTGGTCTAGATTAAAACACTAAATAAAGAACAGAGGAAGTCGGTGACTTTTTCTGTTGACCCAGAATTGGTACTTAAGCCTGTAGCTGACAACTACTGGTTGTAAGTGCCTAACATTATAAACATAAGTATCAATAATCTGTGCTAAATGTTCCTTCTAGGACTTACTAAGAATTTCAGACTTGCCCCTACAATAGTCATCCCTTGAGTAGATTTACCATGAAGCTAATGAAACTTAACCTTTAGGGTCTCTCACTTGCACAGGCTGTTTCTACTGTCTCAATAATATATTTACAAGTCATATGTTGTTATAAAGTTTGAAAAAGTAAAATGCTTTAAATACAACCATTAAGTCTATTCCAACTTCTCTCCATCACACTTTCCTAGAAACATTAGGTATAACAGGTTTTTGAGTTCTTCTAAGAGGATATTGAGTTGGGGACTCATTTAGTTTGGGTTTAGTGGGGTATTTTATGTAATTCATAGTCACTTCCAATGTATAGTTAAGTTACTGCTAGCTGCACTGGTATAGGAGAAATGTTCGTAAAACGCTCACCACACCAATCACTCAGAATTGTGACAAAATAATGCATGGCCAGAGGACATACAGTGATATGAACATTGCACTTGCCACTGGAAATACACAAGTAGCAAAGAAAAACAATATGAAATGCTTGGAACTAGAGGCTAGTCCTTTAGAAAATTCTTCCAAATCTTACAAATCATATATGAAACTAATTTGGTCAAGGTTTTCCCAAATTTGACAAAAATCCTAAAAATGTATCTAACTATTCCTATAATGAGTTGTGAAAAAGTTTATCCTTTGAAGAATCAAAGGGTAAAAGAATACACATCAAAATTATATTAAAGAAATTAATTTAAGGTTGAGCACAGTGGCTCACACCTGTAATCCCAGCATTTTGGGAGGCCGAGGCAGATGGATCATTTGAAGTCAGGAGTTCAAAAGCCTGGACAACATGGTGAAATCCTGTTGCTACTAAAAATACAAAAATTTGCCAGGCAGTAGTGGTGCATGCCTGTAATCCCAGCTACTCAGAAGGCTGAGGCAGGAGAATTGCTTGAGCCTGGGAGGCAGAGGTTGCAGTGAGCCGAGATCACACCACTGTACTCCAGTCTGGGCAACAGAGTGAGACCCTGTCTCAAAAAACAAAGAAAAAAAGGAAAAAAGAAATTAACTTAAAGACATGTCTTTTTTCCAAATTTCTTGTAGTAATTGTCAAGTTTCCAAAATGTGTAATTTAGTATGATCATTAATAAAAAATAAATAGAAAAAGCATAGAGGTATTTGTTTATTTATTGTATTATTTTTGTAGAGAAGGTGTCTTGCTATGTTGCCCAGGCTGGTCTCAAACTCCTGGCCTCAAGTTATCTCCCTGCCTCAGCTTCCCAAAGTGCTGGGATTATAGGCATGAGCCACTGCACCTGGCAAAAAGCATAGATTTAAACTCAACAATCACTAATTATATTAAATGTAATTGATCTAAACACACCAAATAAAAAGCAGAGATTTGTCAGATTGGATAACATCGAAAAATAACTACATGCTGTCTGTAAGAAACCCACTTTAAATTTAAAAAGCAGATGGGTTAAAAGTGAAAGAATGAAAAAAGATCTTCCATACTAACACTCATTAAAAGAAATCTGGAATAGTTTTATTAATATCAGATAAAATGCATTTCAAAGGAAAGAATTAGCTGGAATAAAGAGGGTCATTTTTAATGATAAAGGAAGCAATCCATTAAGAGGACATGACAATTCTAAATGTTTTGGCACCTATTATCAGAGAGCTTCAAAATACATGAAGCAAAAACTGATAATACTGGAAAAAGAAATAAATAAATCCACTGTGAAAATTGAAGATTTCAACACCCTTCTCTCAATAATTGAAAGTGGATGAAAATTCATGAAATACATAGAAGACTCAAACAGCACTATCAACAAACCTGACCTAACTAATCTTTTAGAAGACTACATCCAACATTCACAGAATACAGGTGGTCCCTGACTTAACAATGGTTTGAGTTACAGTTTTTCAACTTTAAGATGGTGCAAAAGCCATATACATTCAGTAGAAACTCTACTTCGAATTTTGAATTTTTATCTTTTCTCAGGCTAGTGATATGTGGTACTATACTCTCTCAATACTGGGCAGCAGCAGCCAGCCAAAGCTCCCAGTCAGTCACAAGATCACAAGAATAAACAATCAATACTCTACAGCATACTCTGTTACCAGATGATTTTCCCAACTGTGGTCATAAGTAAGTGTCCTGAGCACGTTCAAGGTAGGTTAGGTGAATTAAATGCATTTTCAACTTAATATATTTTTAACTCACAATAGGTCTATCGGGACGTAACCCCATCATAAGTTAAGGAGGAACATCTGCACACATTTTTTTTTTTTTAACAAATGCACACGGAACATTTACCAGGTATATTCATTTCTTAGGGACACCATAACAAAATACCATAAACTAGGTGACTTTAAAACAACATAAATGTGTTATCTTCTAGTTCTAAAGGCTAGGAGTCTAAAATCAAGGTATTGGCAAGGTTGGTTTCTTCTGGAGGCCCTGAGGGAAAATCTGCTTCACGCCCTCTCTCCTAGCTTTTGGTGGTTACCAGCAATCCTTGGTGTTCCTTGCTTTGTAGGTGTGTCACTACAATCTCTGCCTCTGCCATCACATGGCATTCTTGCTGTATGTGTCTGTGTCCAAATTTCTCTCTTCTCATAAGAACAACAGTCACTGGATTAGGGTCCACCCTAATCCAGTATGACCTCATCTTAACTTGACTACATCTGCATTTGCAAAGACCTTATTTCCAAGTAAGGTCACATTGATAGGTACAAGGGGTTAGGACTTAAACATATATTTTGAGGGAACACAATTTAACCTGCAAGACCATACATTTAAGAGGATTGAAATAACACATATTCTCTGACCACAGTGAAATTAAATTTAAAAATCAATAACAAAAATGCATTTAGAAAATCTCCAAATATTTGGAAACTAGACAACACTTCTAAATATCCCATGGGTCAAAGAACAAACCATGAGTGAAATTAGAAATTGAGCGGAATGAAAATAAACACTTCTGATTGGCTACAGCGTGGTGTTTGCCTTATTTGAACATGGTTCAAACAGTTGGCTATGTTTGAATGGCTAAAACTCAGTAATTAGCATAAGTGTAGGCTATGGTCTGTTTACACTTCCACTTGTTACAGTACACAGTGAACAGAGAAACCTTTAGAACGAACTTAAAATATGTAAAGAGGCAGCTTTAGGCTAAACTTGATTTAACAACACAATATATTAAAACCTGTTGGATCCAGCTAAGGAGTTTTAGGGACATCAGTGGTTTAAGAGCTTATAGAATAAGATGCTTGTATTTGGAAAGCAGAAGGAAATTAATGATTTAAGTTTGCACCTTAAGAAACTATTAATAGAGAAAGAAGAGAAAAGCCCAAAATAAGCACAAAAAACAATTAAAATAAAAATAGAAATCAATGAAAGAGAACACAAAAAAGCAGTAAAGAAAAACCAATGAAACAAAATAAAAACCCCAGTTCTTTGGGGAAAAAAGTCAATAAAATTAATAAACTCTAGCTACTCAGCTAAAGAAGGCAAAACAAATAAGTTGCCAATATCAGGAATGAGAGAGGAAATATCACTACAGATTCTATAGTCATTAAAAGGAAAATTAGGAGCAACTTTATGCCAATAAATTCTTCAACTTAGATAAAATGAACAAATTCTTTAGAGGACACGAATAACCAAAGCTCACCCCTAAGAAGAATTAGCTAACCTAGATTGCCCCATATCTTTTTTTTTTTTTTTTTTTTTGAGACAATCTTACTCTGTTTCTCAGGCTGGAGTGCAGCAGTACGATCTCAGCTCATTGCATCCTCAACCTCCAGGGCTCAAGACATCCTCCCGCCTCAGCCTCCAGAATAGCTGGGACTATAGGCACATACCACCACACCCAGCTAATTTTTGCATTTTTTTGTAGAGACAGGGTTTCACCATGTTCCCTAGGCTTGTCTCAAACTCCCCATATCTTTTTAAAAAATTGAATTTACAGTTAAATTTCCAAACACATACATCTTTAAGTTATTTTTTAATGTTGATTTATATATTTCAACTTTTTTCTCTAGTTGGTTTTAAAAATCTTTATCTTTCGTGTTCTGTAGTCTCACTATAATGTTATCTGGTATATTTTTTAGCATGGGATCCATTGTGTTTCCCCAGTCTGAGGATTCATGGCTTTCATCAATTCTGGAAATTTCTCAGTCATGCAGTCAGAAGTAGGACTATTCACTCTACATCAGCAGTTTAAGGTTCCCTTTTATGTCTACAGCTGCAGAACATACTTGAGCACACAGCTTTTACCTAGCTCGAATTCCAGTTCCCATAGGCCCTAAATTATTATAACTCTTCTAAATTTAGATAGATTCTTTTTATAAACGACTGGTACCCTGTCTCTAACTTTAATTAGTAGAATATTGAAAAAATACAATCCTGAAGTAGACACATTTTGGAGTATCTGCAGGGTCCATACCCCTTCTTCATATTTGATCTCTCATTCTCAACCCCTGTAGCTCTATTGTATCATAGTACCTTTATTAGTCAGGGTTCTCTAGAGAGATAGAACTAATAGGATATATATATATATATATATATATATATATATATATATATATATATATATATATATATGAGTTTATCAAGGAGTATTGATGCACATGATCACAAGGTGAAGTCCCACAATAGGCCATGTGCAAGCTGAGGAGCAAGGAAGCTAGTCTGAGTCCCAAAATCTCAAAAATAGGGAAGCCAACAGCGTAGCCTTCAGTCTGTGGTGGAAGGCCCAAGAGTCTCAAAGCTGAAGAACTTGGAATCTGATGTTTGAGGGCAGGCAGCATCCAGCACAGGAGAAAGATGTAGGCCAGAAGACTAAATCAATCTAGTCTTTCCACGTTCCTCTGCTGCTTTTATCCTGGCCTCGCTGGCAGCTGATTAGGTGGTGCCCACCCAGATTGAGGGTGGGTCTACCTCTCCTAGTTCACTGACTCAAATGTTAATCTCTTTTGGCAATACCCTCACAGACACACCCAGGAACAATATTTTGCATCCTTCAATCCAATCAAGTTGACAGTATTAACCATCACAGTACCTCTTCTCTCTTAATTAAACGAAACAAAGGTGGGCACCTAGCTCAAATTGAGTTCCCTTTTTTAGAGTTTTAGGCTGAGCATACACGAGAGTAAGTCAGTTTATAGAAGGTAGGAAGAGGAAAAAAAATGTAACCAAGGCCTTTTGAAGGAGGGTCAGTAGGATGAGGATCAGAAACTCATAATTAGTATTGTCCTGAGAACTGACACACTCTTCCTAAAAAATTAGATTCCACAGGATTTTAATCCCCAAAAAACCACCCAGTTTACTTAAGTAAGATAGTTGGTGTGGGGATATTCTGGTTGAACCAGAAAATCAGAGCATTTTAATTTTCTAGTCATAGGCCCTGAATCTAGTCTAGTTTAATTTTCTAGTCATAGGCCCTGAATCTTTGAGTCTGATCTTGGGAGATAAATAAATTTTTACTTTCTTTTATAATTAACCATTTTACAATTAACCATTTGTGATGGTTAATACTGAGGGCCAACTTGATTAGATTGAAGGATGCAAAGTATTGGTCCTGGGTGTGTCTGTGAGGGTGTTGCCAAAGGAGATCAGCAGGCTGGGGAAGACAGACCCACCCTTAATCTGGTGGGCACAATCTAATCAGCTGCCAGCGAATATAAAGTAGGAAGAAAAACATGGAAAGGTAAGACTGGCCTAGCCTCCCAGCCTACATCTTTCTTCCGTGCTGAATGCTTCCTGCCCCCAAACATCAGATTCCAAGTTCTTCAGTTTTGAGACTTGGACTGGCTCTCCTTGTTCCTCAAGTTTGCAGACAGCCTATTGTGAGATCTTGTGATCATGTGCATTCATGCTTAATAAACTACTATATATATATATATATATATATATATATATATATCCTATTAGTCTATTAGTTGTTTTTTTTGTTTGTTTGTTTTTTGTTTTTTTTTTGGGGGGGGGACAGAGTCTCTCTCAGTTGCCCAGGCTGGAGTGCAGTGGCACTATCTTGGCTCATGGCAACCTCCGCCTCCTGAATTCAAGCTATTCTCCTGCCTCAGCCTCCCAGGTAGCTGGGATTACAGGTGTGCACCACCACACTCAGCTAATTTTTGTACATTTATTAGAGACAGGGTTTCACCATGTTGGCCTGGCTGGTCTCAAACTCCTGACCTCAGGTCATCCACCTGCCTTGGCCTCCCAAAGTGTTGGGATTACAGGCATAAGCCATTACACCCAGCTCTATCCTATTAGTTCTGTCTCTCTAGGAAACCCTGACTAATACACCATATTTTATGTGGCACAGTTGTGTCAATTACCAATTAGAGTTCTATATTCGATGCCATAGATATTGGTTTTTTGTTTTTGTTTTGTTTTGTTTGAGATGGAGTCTCACTTTGTCACCCATGCTGGAGTGCAGTGGTGTGATCTCGGCTCACTGCAACCTCCACCTCCCAGGTTCAAGCGATTCTCCTGCCTCAGCCTCCCAAGTAGCTGGGACTCCAAGTGCACGCCACTACACTGGGCTCATTTTTGTATTTTAGTAGAGATGGGGTTTCACCATGTTGGCCAGGCTGATCTCAAACTCCTGACATCAAGTGATCCACTCGTCTCAGCCTCCCAAAGTGCTGGGATTACAGGCATGAGCCACCGCGCCTGGCCTGATCTTGTTTCAGAGGAATTTCTCACAAGATGTCATTAGCAAACTGTCTTATTAGTGGCTGGTATTTTTTAAAAATCAATTCTGTTCTATCAATGTTGTAGCAGAAAGTGGAGGATGGCTCAATGAGAGACTGCTACCTTGACATTCTTTCTTCTATCTTGACATATAGAAGTCTATAGATAGTCTATGACTGTCTTGACATCCTTTCTTCCATTCACTTTTATAAAGCAAAGCTATCAATAATGCTGTCTGATTATCTGAACTCTGACTTTTCCACTGTCATAAATAAGCTTTTCTAAAATAAATTTCTTAACAAAAAATTTCTAGCTTCACAGATTTCAAGAACATTCCTCCAAACCTATACACAATCTCACAATGTCTTTAATCACTTTAACTCACCCATTAGTAAAATGATTATTTTGAATCAGTTCTCTATCTATAATGCTTTTCATTATATATATACATATATATATATTTTTTGAGATGGCATCTTGCTCTTGTTGCCCAGCCTGGAGTGCAGTGGCACGATCTCGGCTCACTGCAACCTCTACCTACTGGGTTCAAGTGACTCTCCTGACTCAGCCTCCCGAGGAGCTGGGACTACAGGCACGCACCACCATGCCCAGCTAATTTTGTATTTTTGGTAGAGACAGGGTTTCTCCATGTTGGTCAGGCTGGTCTCAAACTCCTGACCTCAGGTGATCCGCCTTCCTCGGCCTCCCAAAGTGTTGTGATTACAGGTGTGAGCCACTGCACCCGGCCTTTGTTATATTTTTATAACAAAATCTAGCTCCCTCTTCCAGAATAAATGCCCCTGGAAAAGTCTCAGTTATAGCCTCATACTTATAAGTATGTGACTAGCATGGGCAAAAGCATTAGAATGTTTCACTCAGAGAATTCACTAGAAGACGAATCACATATACTCCTTTTTCCTCCTTTGAACAGCTAGTGGTCAAAAGTTCTAGAGTGCAGCTTAGGGCCATTCCTGGCTTGATTTGCTCAGTGACCACAAGAATAGTTTCACTACCTGTTCTTTAGTCTCAACAAGCAGAAATAATAATTCCACTTCCTTTATGGGCAAGAGTATTAACATGAATGTGTTGGTAAAACAATTTGATGTTTCAAATGATCAAAAAGAGAGGAAGAGTCAAACTGTGAGTACTGGAAGGAAAAGTAAGGTGATATACCCTGAATATTTGTTCCCTCCAAATCTCATGTCAAAGTTTGATCCCCAGTGGTGGAGGTGGTGCCTGGTAGGAGGCATTTGGGTCCTCGGGGCAGATCCCTTATGAATGACTTGCTGCCATCCTCTTGGTAATGAGTGAGTTCTCGCTCTATTAGTTCATGCGAGAACTGATTGTTAAAAAGAGCCTAGCACCTCTTCTTTTCTCTTGCTTCCCTCCTCTCGCCATGTGATACCTGCTCCCCTTCACTTTCTGCCTTAAGTGGAAGCTTCCTGAGGTTCCTTGCCAGAAGCAGATGCTGGTGGCAACCTTCTTATACAGCCTGCAGAACTGTGAGCCGAATAAATCTCTTTTCTTTATATATTACCCAACCTGAGGTACTCCTTTATAGCAATGCAAAAGGGACTAAGAGAGAAGGTTCTTATCATTCTAGGAGATTGAAGAGCTTCTGCTTCTCAACAGTATTGCTGAAATCTTAGGAAGGAGTGCTCACACACATTTCTCTCAATTCCTGATTATTTCACCAATGGCAGGAGAATTTAGGCCAAATCATGCATGCTAATTTTGCTTTTAAAATTGGAGTTAGAGACATTGATCAGTATAAATATTCAAGTAGAATTTATACTAGGTTCATATAATCTCAACTACAGATCAGCACCACATGCCAGGACCAAAATAGGGAAGGAGGCGACAAAAAAAAAAAAAAAAAAAAGAAAAGATGCAGGTACAGGTACAGTATTAATAACTTCAAACTTTATTTTCTTAGATAAAGCAGATTAGAGTAAGTGTATGCATATACTATTCACACCTGAATCTACCACCCCTCATACTCAGCTCCATCATCCTCATAAAAAGAAAAAAATATTAAAAGTTTAATTGCTCACAATTTAAATGAATAATAAATTACATTAAATCATCCTCAATAAACATAATTCTATAAATTTTTCTTTAGTCCCAAGTATGGTCCAGTTAGAGAAGAAGGGAGAAAAGGGAGTGGAGAGTAGGCAATAAAAAAGAAAATGGTAAATAGAGAAGAGAAATAAAGGAGAGAAAGGGGGAAAGATAATGAGGGAGGTGAAGAATAACAAAAAGAAAGTCAAATATATCAAAACAATTGGAACGAGTACAAACTTGATTTTTTAAAAAAACTGAAGTAATTATAAAATGTCTCTCCCTCACTTTTTTTTGCCTCCTTCTTTATTGAATTTGTAATAATCTTTTAATTTAAATGTTAATAATAGGGGACATATAACACTTGAATTTTAAAAACTATTTTAATTTAAATTTTAAGAAATTTAAAAAATATCATTTTCTAGATATTAAAAATTCAAATGAAGTCTTATTTGACCAAATATGCCAACTCTGCTTTTTGCACCCTTGTTGTGATACTACAGTTTGTAGAGTTAAAATATAGAAGGAAATGGAAAAAAAAAACCAACTTGTATGAGTTTTTTAAATTTTCTCTTTCAAAATTCCTTTTTCACCAGAAAATGAACTCTGAGCTTGTATTCAAGGGTATGTCAACTGTTATCTCTTTGAAACAAAGGAATGAAAAAAAAAAAAAAGAAGTACTACTGCCCAATACCTGTTAGCTAAAATATAATGAAGCTCTTGTGGATTTTTTGCAGCGGGGAGAGCAGAGGGTTAAACGGTCAGCCAACAGCTCCAATTTGTTTCTGTCAAATAAGTCTGTTAAAATCTTAAATCAGCTGGGTGTGGTGGCTCACGCCTATAATCCCAGCACTTTGGGAGGCTGAGGCTGGTGGATCACCTGAGGTCAGGAGTTCCAGACCAGCCTGACCAATATGATGAAACCCCGTCTCTACTAAAAACACAAAAACTAGCCGAGTATGGTGGCATGCGCCTGTAGTCCCAGCTACTCAGGATACCGAAACAGGAAAATCGCTTGAACCCGAGAGACGGAGGTGGCAGTGCGCCAAGATCACGCCACTGCACTCCAGCCTGGGCGACAAAGCAAGACTCCGTCTAAAAAAAAAAAAAAGTTAAATCAAGTGAGTGCACATGGAAGAAAAGCTGCTGGTTGTTGTGGCCATTATTCCCTATACTACCTATAGCAGTAACCAGAGCAACATTATGTAACGTAAAAAACGTTTTAATTTATCAAATGAAACCCACAGCAAAGATTCTATCCTACATGAACATGAAGATCATGCCCAGTGATTGCTTCACAAGGTTCAACTATTTAAACTTTCATTTCTTAATAGGTCCTATTTTCCTACTTCTATGTCTATATTAACAAACTATAAAATCCTTATTTAATTGTTATATAAAACCTCTACTGTAATGTGCATTAGTGCTGAGATTTTTTGGTGCAGATTCTCAGATCTGCAGAATAAGATACCTAGAGTGCCCCTACTGTAGACTGGGGCTCACCAGGTCAAGTTTGGAAGAGACTTTGATTAATATCCTATCTCCTAGACAAATATTTCCCATTTAAGCAAATTTTGAACTCACTTTAAAGAGAAGTTTTTTTAAAAAAATCTGTATTCATACTATTTTACTTTGGTAAAAGCATAAGCTATATATAAAACTCCTTACCTTTTAAACACACAATTATGAAACCCAAAGAAATTTACAAATACATACTATAAACACACTAAAACAAAATTAGGAAAACTCAAATTTGCAACATTCATTTAATGGGTGGTGTTGGTTTGCTGAAAATAGATCTCTGATCTCTGATGTAGAAAAACAGAAACTCGGATCTGGTTTTAAAATGTACTCTTTCTCAGCCAGTGGCAGTGGCTCAGGCCTGTATTCCTGCAATTTGAGAGGCTGAGGTGGGAGGATCACTTGTGCTTAGGAGTTTGAGACCAGCCTGGGCAACAAAGTGAGATCCGGTCTCTACAAAAAACAAAAAAATTAGCTGGGCTGGGTGGCATGTCCCTGTAGTCCCAGGTAGTTGGGAGGCTGAAATGGGAGAATCCTTTGAGCCCAGAAGTTCAAGGCTACAGTGAGCTATGATCACACCACTGCACTCCAGCCTGGGTGACAAAGCAAGACCCTGTCTCAATTAAAAATAAATAAATAAATAAAAATGTAAAAAAACAGTATCTCCCACCTGTGAAAAAGATCCCCCATATTATATAGAATGAAGTTTAGCTCCTTAGCATGGCACTCAAGACACTCCAGTCAGATGCTTTCCAACCTCATTTCCCTCTGCGTTCCTCACTCACCTTTCATCGCCTTCCAGCTGGATGACTTGCCATTCTTACAGAAAAACCCAGTCCTCTCATGGACCTGTGACTGTGCCCATGCTGACTTCTCAGCCTCCACTCTTCTCTGCCTACCAACATTCTAATTTTGCTCTTAGATTCAGCTCCAAAGCCATCTGCTCCATAAAGCCACCTCCCAGTTTCCTGGTCTCAATTAACAACTACACCTTCCCCTGAGTTTCCAGAGTGCATTGCTCATATTTGTTTATATGTTGCCTGGAAATGTTAGCTGGTCATAGATCTATCTTCCTCATTATACTGTTAACCTTGGGGGGAAAAAATACATGCACAGCTTTATTCTGCTATAATCCCATAGAATTCAGTCATTTAAACTACACAATTGAATGATTTTTAGTATATTCACAAAACTGTGAAACCATCATTACAAACAATTTTAGAACATTTTTTCTACCTCAAAAGGAAATCCTATATGCATTAGCAGTCACTCCTTACTCCCCTACTCCCAGCCCTAGGCAACTCTTACACTACTTTCTGTCTTTATAGATTTGCATATTCTGGGCATTTCATATAAATGGAATCATCCAATATGTGATTTTTTTGTGTACATGTAATCTTCTAAGGGCAGAGATCAAGTTCTATTCATTAATGGAAAAGTAAAAGAGCAGGATCTATGAAAGTGAGTTTGGAATCAGACCTGAGTTAAAAATCTCAATTCAGCTATTTACTAGTTGTGTGACTTTGAGCAAGTCACTTCAACTCTCTCAATACCAGTTTACTCATTGTAAAATGGGGATGGGGATAACAATACTTCCCTTGAAAGATGGTTGTGAAAATTAGAAAGAAGATACGAAAAAAGTTCCTAGAAATGGGTTTGCTTAATAAACAGAGGGTGTTATTTGTATTTATCTTTGTATACCCACAGGGCATAGTGGATAGTAATGTGTGTTGATTAATTAATTCATTAATGACGAAGAACTTGAATGCCTTTTCTTCAGCATGCCAATAGACTTTTAACAACTTTGCGGAAGGAGCTAAAGTTAGCAGGGCAAAATCTTTCCTGGAAGATGTAAACTAGTTTCTATTTGTTTCCAGCTACTGTTCTCCCTCAGAAGAAAACAAACCTGGCCAATGGACCAGTGAGACAACACAGCCAATAAACAAATCTAGGATCTGAAATCAGAGGGAATACATTTGGGTTCTAGCCCTGATACTGGCATTCTGAAGTCGCTTAGAAATAAAATCAGCTCCATCCATCTCAACTTCTGGTTTTCATTTGCATGCACTTCATCTAATAATCATTTTTGCTTTCCCTATTATGGGACCAAAAAACCTGAATCTCACCTGAGCAATGTTTGAATTCTCCTTAAGATAGTTGAACAATACCATCTGAACCATGAAAAAAGAAAAGTACAGAAAGGGAAAGGCACAGAATAGGTGTTTATCCAAAGGAAAAAAGTTCAACCACCAAAAAAACAATTAAATTGTATCTAGAGATGTCCAAATAAATAGGAACCTTCATTACAGGAACAATAAGGCTCCCTCACAGAAAAGAAATTCATTAGCATATTGATTCAATTTCCCAAAATAAAGAGAGGAAAGAATAAAAAAAAAAACCCGTAATAATAAGTTTAGTTGAATTATACTTATAATAGAAGTGATGACTGAATCAACAAACTGAAAGAAATTGAACAGTCTGCCTTAAAACAAAAAGGATACACAAGTAATTCAATCTCTACAGGAGAGAAACATGAAAGGATTTTTAAAGGAGAAAGGAATGATTTGCAAAAAATTTCAGTGCAAGTTACATGAGTTTTCTATAGGACTTAATTTTTTAAAAAACCATAACCCTGCAAGCCATGGAAATAATTAAGAAAACAATTATTTAATTAGAATAGATCATTTGGCAATTGACTATTGAAGCAGTTTCATTTTACCAAAAGGAAAAAAAAAACAGAAAATGATCTTGTAAACTTTTGCTATTCTGACCTTTTTTAAATATTCTGAAAAAATACCTTCTAGCTAAAAGCATTTGTGAAATTCAGATGGAGAAATACAAAACTGATGTCACGGAAATGCTTAAATTGATAAATTCCAGCCCTTCCAAGCAGGCTGAGGAAATTTTTAAACACAGCAATGAGGAAGGATCCATTATTGGCATGAAAATAGGTTGAGTATTCCCATCTCAAATTGCTCTCTTTAATGGACTTGTTTCCAAATAATCCATCCCATGATGAGAAGATGCTTACCTTCTGATCCTAAGGAAGAGGGCCAAAAAGTTTTTCCATCCATTTGTCTCTTTAGAAATAAGACAAAAAAATTAAAAAGAAAGTATATTAATTTCCAATAGATCTAGTTTCTTATGCCCGTGGTCTGCTCATATAGGTTCATAGACAAGTCATTCTAAAATATCATGCCATCTCCTCACCTCCCTTTTGTGTAAACAAATTTCCTTTCAGAAGATAAACATCTGAGAATCTGTTTCTGCCTCAGAAGCACACAGGTGGAAACAGCCCCTAAAGCTCTCTAAGGGTATTTGCCCACTTTAAATAAGGCAGTTATTCTCTGAGTATCTAGACCTAAAATTAGGAATGATGTATGTATTTTTCTTGTCATTATTTTCCTGATTCTGTGGAGGTCTATTGAAAGTATTTTCTAACACATTTAATATTGCAAGCTACCTGAAGAATGGGCCCAGTCCAGCCCCGTTCCAGTGCTCAGGCCTCAGGAAAGGGAAGCAAGGTATGCAGCTTTGACTGGGATTATTTGAGAAAGAAACTCTCAATACTGAGACACACTTTCAATACTGAGCGTCCATGGAAGCAATCCTTCAAGTACTGACAAGCTTGGGAGTTGTGAAAGAAGAGGGAGAACTCAAGTAACAAAACACTGTCATTTAGTATTGCCCTAACCATAACTGGAGCGTACTGAAATCAACCCCAAACAACCAACGTGAAACTCACTGCAAAAAATAAACGGAACATAAATATCCTTCAGTATAAAATGATGGCACAGAAATATTGTGATTCAACAAGCTTCTGAGCCCTTTCTAATATTCATAATTATCCTGGTTTCTTGCCCCAGCATTAAATGTGATGATTCAATCTTTTTCTGAC
The DNA here is from genome assembly GCF_000001405.40 of Homo sapiens. NCBI lineage: Eukaryota > Metazoa > Chordata > Mammalia > Primates > Hominidae > Homo > Homo sapiens. The sequence goes on along the minus strand of NC_000013.11, from coordinate 43,918,566 downwards.
AAGCCACACAAAATTAAGCCTTAGAGGTTGAGTTTATTTTTGTGCCCTTAATACTTCCCTAAAAGTTTTGTTTCAAGAATCAAAAGTCTACTATCCAGGCTAGTAATAACTAGACTCCAGTCCTATCTTTGACTTTTCCAGTGACTTGGTACTTTACCAAAGTTAAGCGCATATTTTCTTTCTCTCTCCAGTTTCTCTTTCTTAACATGGAAACAATAATATGGTACCTATAATTTGCCTCAATAGGGTTATGGCGAATATTCTTCAAACTCATGAAAATTCTTCTGCACAAATATGAAGAGCCATTTTATATTGAAACTGTTATGATACACATTAAGAAAATATTAAAATAAAACATTACAGTAATAGCTTCACAGTGGCTAATAGAGCTGAAAGTCATAATTATACTTACACACTAGCCCTCAGGATACCTGATTACTGACCACAGACATTTTACTTCTCAGAAATGAAGGACAAAATGGTCTGTTCAGTTTATACCTTTGTCATCAGAATCGTTTATATTAACAAAAGTTCTATCCACTAAAGAGTTATTGCCTGTGACTCACATATTTTAAAAATATGCAGCCTGACTAAAGCATCCTCCAGCATCTAAGATCTCTCTTAGCCCAAAAGAGGTATGCAAATCTGACTTACTGCTTAATATTATTATCAAGATTAGTTTGATGGGCACTCTAAGTAAATCTAACCAAAGTAAGAAGAGTAGAATTATGGAGCAGGGGAAAGCATATGTAATTCATTCTAAATCTGTTATCCTGGGGTCAATTGACCAAGATGTTGGCATTATGTCACCTTACAGATACCAAGAGCCCAGTATCAAGTGAGGTATTAGACTGGATCACCTCTGTGCTCACTTTCAGGGGAAGGTTATGTGGAATGATAGGAAGAGTTTAAGGTTTTAGTTCCCACTCCCAAATTTGAACTGAAATTTGAATTTCAGTTTTATCTGTTGTATAATATTGGACAAATCATTTAATCTTTCTGAGTATCAGTTTCTTCTGTGTAAAATGGCCACAACACCAACCTCAGAGAATTGTAAAGGCTTTTGTTGCATTCATCACATCAAATTTTGTTTACAGTTCCTTCTGTGAGATTCTTGAAGGCAGAGACTATGTCTTATCCATTCCTAAATTTTGGATAATTAACATAGTGCCCAACAAATAAAAAACATTCAATGAATATTTGTGAAATTGTGTTGAATCAACTATTTGTACTAGTGCAGCCCTTTGACAACATACTGAATAATATTTTTGTAAAAACAAAAATTCCATTTTTAAATTCAGGTAGTATGGTAGATTAGAATTGTTCTGCAAATATTCACCTTTATCCTCCTCTTTGATGAGAAAAGTATATTCCCTAACCCCTGGAATTTAGTCTTGCCCATATGCCTTGCTTTGGCTAATAGGATGCTAGTGACCATGACCTGAGCAGAGGCTTGAACTGAGCTTGCATAACCGGGCTTGCTCTCTTGAACTCCTGCCTTTCACCACGAGAAGAGCATGTCTTGTGCAGCAAGTAGTCCAAGGAGGATGAGAGACATTTGGTGCCAAGCCCTCCCAAAGCCAAGCTGGGTCAGCCAAACCTCAATTGACTTTTAGATGTGTCAGCCAGAAATACTCATTACTCTACACCACAGTTTTGGGTGGTTTGCTAGACAACATAATTGTGGTGTAGCTTATTAAAACAGATGGTGTTTGATTAAAGAATGTACACCATTTGCTATGCTATAAGTTCTCAGAGTGGACTATACTTTCAAGCTGGGTCAATTTTTCCATTGAACTTAGTAGATTACCTACTAATATAAATGTGTTATTATTTATGTCTTATGATTCCAATGGTATAGTGGTTAAAATTGATAATCTGAGAGCAACTTCCTCAAGCAAAGTATTTTTTTCTAGGTGAAGTTCACCATGAGAAGTTCAAGTTCATTTGAAGTTTAATCTAGTGGAAATATTTTCCTTCTCCACTGCCTCTCATGTCACCTATGAATGTCTGGTGCCATTTTGGGCAGAACCAAATTTTTTTCTCTGCAGGCAGTATGATATAGGGAACTCCCATGGGGCCATATGTACAAATTGAGGGAGAAATGGTGATGAGCAGCCTTCTATTCATGGGAGTGGAAACAAGTCCTATTAACGTCTTAACACTGCCTTTGGGTTTTGCTCAGGCCCAATGTCATATACAGCATTTTTATTTGCTGATGGAGAATCTCTAGACACATTTAACTTTATGATCAGCTAGATCCAAACAATCAATTGATATTGGAAAGCTTAGGTCATTTGTAGACCTATGGTCAGGTATTCACTCCTATCAGGACCTGGCAGCAAGCCACAAACTGTTTTCAGAAGGAAAACAGTGACTTGATAAAGAGGTCATAGACTTGCTCCAAGATCCTACGGGCTCACACCGTGATTCTCTTAGTTGAACTTGGTGCAGGAGCAGGCTCCATTTAGATTCCTTATCTGCCACAGACACTTAAAGAACCTATGATCCAGCTGGGTGCGGTGGCTCACGCCTGTAATCCCAGCACTTTGGGAGGCCGAGGCGGGCGGATCATGAGGTCAGGAGATCGAGACCTTCCTGGCTAACACGGCGAAACCCCGTCTCTGCTAAAAATACAAAATGTTAGCCGGGCGTGGTGGTTACTCAGGAGGCCGAGGCAGGAGAATGGCGTGAACCTGGGAGGCGGAGCTTGCAGTGAGCCGAGATCGCGCGACTGCACTCCAGCCTGGGCAACAGAGTAAGACTCTTGTCTCAAAAAAAAAAAAAAAAAAAAAAGAACCTATGATCCACTGGTTTAGAAAAGCTGAAATTGCAGAGCCAGAGCCTCTTATAACTAAAGTCTGTACAACCATGGATTTCTTTTTGCTCTGGACTCCATTCAAGGCTGGAAATATTTTTGGTCAGTGACTAAATGAGTCAGAGCAGAACAACCAAATGTAGTATATGTTGCCTCAAAAATCCAAAGACACCTGTTAAACATTGTGCCTCTTTCTCAGTGGTAGGGGCACAAAGGCGCACAGTGTTTGCCTCTGGACAGAATAATCCAATATGATGAAAACAACCTGACTCTAGAAACTTCGCTGACATGGTAGGCACCTAAATGTTCATGGATTTTCTCCTCCAGCTACTGCCACGCATGTGCCTTAAAGGTTTCTAGGGTATCTGTTACTCCCTGCTATGCAGATCTTAACAGTAAAATGTCACAGATGTAGTGTACTAATGTGATGCTCTGTGAGGTGTTAGGACAGTTAAGGTCCTTGTGGGCCTAATTTTGACACAGAGCCAAAGAGCTGACATAAGCCTTAGACAAGATTGTTCTTTGGAATAGTGGGAAAATGGGCTAATTTAATGACTACATGTTAGATGCCAAGAGAGGTGTCAGTTTGTTTCAATAAAAAAGGCCACAGCTGAAACAGCAGCTTAACTGAAGTAACCATTGGTTGAGTTTTAATAATCCATTGCCATTCATGAAAATCCAGTCAAATTTGTATGTTAAATCTGAATATGAAAGGAATCACTTCTCCAAACAAACATAGCTTCTAGGTACATAGCTTCTAAGTTTTCAGTGGTGGCAATGATCTCTATGGTGCTTCAAGGATGCAGTATTGCTTTTGGTTTACTCTTTTGGTAGCATGAGGAAGGAGCTCCAGGAGCTTCTGCTTGGCCCCTGTATTAGCCTTTCAAGTAGTGTTCTATTTTGGCATGCATCAGAATCTCTTGAATGGAGAACATAAATTGTTAAACCCCACCCCCAGTTTTTGATCCAGTAAGTCTGGTTGGGGTTTGAGAATCTGCATTTTTAACAAGTACCCAGGTGATACTGATGCCAACGTAGATTATGACTACAGACTGCAGATTGGGTAAGTGAAAAGAAATTTTCAAATAAATTTACCAGCCTCAAGCATTTAACATAGTACCAGCATCAGTCCGTGTGTTTGACGAAGAAGAAAGTGGAGACGAGTGGTGAAGTTAGTAAGTCAATTCAGTGGCAGCTGGTGAAGAGATCTCCTATTATCCACCTCATATAGTTGCTGTAAATTTTAAATGAGGGTATGACTGTAATGTGATCAGCACAGTGCCTGGTATATGGAAACACTCAATAAATATTATTATTTCAGTTTTTTAAAATTAATTTTAAAATCCACCCAATATAGCCACTAATCACCTAAGCATCTTTGTATTAGTTATTTAACCATTTGGGCACTGAGTTTATTCATCTATAAAATAAAGTGGTTGAAATAGGTGATCTTTAATGTCTGTAAAAATCACTGGTTTTACATTAAAAGGAATCTATCATAGCTGTCTTAATTAAGGTTTTATACTCACTGAGGGTGATCTTTCTTTATAGCTCTGATGTTCTGAAAATCTTGTTTCTTATTTATTTTATCTAAATTTTGCATCTTGTGGAATACATATTTTTCTAAAAAGTAGATTGGACTTTAGGTCAGTTTCTACCTATATTTATGCCTGGGAACTCAGAATTGAGGTACTATAAAAAGAAAAACCCAAATAGTAAAGGTTGTCTTTTCTGTTTATAGGGTCATACTTTTCCCATTTGGGTTTCTCTGAGGCTTTACTGGAGAGAACTAAAGCCCCGTTAGCAGAAGTGCCACAGAGACATAAAAGAAGCTGCTATTGTTTTAATTATATGGGTCTAATTACGGTAATGTGATGGATAATTTACCATACACTAAGGGCTGGAAATTTCAAGTTGTTTTGGGATTAGAACCTGCAAATCATTTTGATTAAAATACCAATGACTTCACTGAAGGGCCACTGTCTAAAATTCTGCACAATCATATTCTTCTTATTATAAAAATTTCATACATGTCATTAACCACAACTTGATGAGAAAGCAAAATAGACCAAAAATGAAATGTATGCTTGCCAAAATGGTTAATTTACCATTGACTATCAGTTTGCCCTCTTTCGAAATGTCCTATCTTTGAATCTCACTGCGTCTTGCCTGTACAATAACCCCTCTCTGTTTTGTATCACCAGTTTTCCCTATTTCCTGCATCTTTGTTTTTGCACATAAAAATACTGTGATTTCTCCCATCTTAAAAAAGAACAACAACAATAACAACGAAAGCCTCTTTTGGTTTCACAGCTCTTTGTAGATACTGCCTCTTTTCTTGTTCCTTTTGTAGCAGTGGACCTCAAAGACACAGTGCACATTCATCTCTCCATTTCTTCGTCTCCTGTTCTGTCTTGAAGATTCCTATCAGAGTCCCCCCACATTTCAGTGAAGCTACTACTATAATGGCGGTAACTCCATTAACTTCCACATTGCCAATCCAAATGTCAATCTTGGTTGTAGCCAATTGTCCTCCTTTTTGAAATACTTTCTCAATTCAGCTTCCAAAGCACTGCTCTATCCTGCTTGCCCTTCTCCCTCTCTGGCTGTTCCTCCTCAACCTTCCTTCCTTCCTGAACCCTCCCTGTCTTCCCTACCTCTAACTGTTGGAGTGCCCCAGGCTGAGTCCTCACACATCTCTTCACTAACCACGTTATTCTTCAGATGATCTCACTTACTCTATCCTTTAAATACCATCTATGTTCAGATGATTCCAATATGTCAGTATGTCCAGGCCTTTCCTGATTATCCTGTCTAAAATAGCACTCCCTCCTGTCATTTTCTATTCCCTTCCCTTACATTTTGTGACAGCACTTACTTTTTAGCAGTGACTTTATATTATATGTCTATTTGTTTATTTGCTTATTGTGTACCTCCCTGACTAGAATGTAATCCCATGAGGGCGGGGACTTGGTTTTATTCTCTGCTATATCCCAGCACAGAGAATAAGGTGATGGTGGTATGGTATATATTAGGTATTCAATAAGTATTTGTTAAGTGAATCATTAATGTCCAAATTTATTCTTTCAAATCATTGAGCACTCATTTATGTTATGTAACAGTGCAAAGCAAGCAATAGCTTTAGCTCTAAGAGTGGGATCACTGCAGGCTGCCTGGGTTATTTACCACACAGCACGCGGAGGTGAAGGGCACAATGGTGAGAGGGTGGAGAAGTGGCAGCAATTCTAATTTGTGCCCAAATAAGGGAATGGCAAATCCAGTCTAGTTTAAGACAGTTGAGGTTGGGATGGGGAAAACAATGGGATGGGTGGGCCTCAGCATAGGGGCACAGCTTCATAACTATCAGGTGAAGAATAGAGACAACAGGACTCCAAATACAAACAAGGCAATCCAGAGAAACTATCAGATGTTCTGAAGCAGAAGAAAATTTGCCTAGCCCACAGGCGACCCACAGGAACCCAGAGCCTGGTTCCTTGATTTCCGCATAGGCTCATGGCCACCTGCAGATGCTGGATGCTCAATCCAGAATCAGCTGTGGGGATAGGGCTGGGGCAGGTTCTCTGGGGAATGCAAAAATAAATATAATCTCTACCTTCAAAGAGGCTGCAGATTTATAGGAGATGCTAAGACACAGCTAATAGAAGTAAAAGCATTACGTAACATGTAATGTGCTCAGCAGAGCCGTGAAATCACAGCAAATTATATCTGTAAAGGAGGCTATTTATGGATTGTGTTTAAATATAGAACTAGTCTCTTGGGTGCAAGAAAAAGAACAATTTACTAGTTACATATCTCTTCATTTGCAAAATGTAGGGTTTAGAAAGAATTCTTTTTTATGTTTCCTTCCAGTGCTAAATTGCTATGATTCTTAATTCACATACATGTAAGCCTATATAGGTAAACTTGTATACATAGATAATAAAATCTCATTAATTTGGACTTTGATTATTTTGAACTTATGACCAACCATCAAAGTAAGGCTAGTTGAATTTTCATTTTATTTTATCAGTAATATTAGTAGCTTGTTCAAAAAGAGTGTAGACAAATTATAAAAGGAATGCTTACCAACTTTAAAGAACAAACTGTTTTCAAAGCATTTAGAACTCCTATTTGCAAACAAATAGCTGAAGTGGATGTCAGCCACTTGGACTGATGTTTTGATGCATTTCATACAGATCCCTGAACTAGGGCCGCTTGGAGAGAAGGGAGTTGACACACCAGGTCCCTGACCCTCATCTCACCTCAGAGCACCAGGAAGCCAGAGCTTGCCTTGACTGAGGACAAAACCAGAGGAAATCATTTGCAGAAGCACCGGGCCTGGCAGATTATGCCCTGAGCCTCCTGCTGTATTTCTTGCTTTGGCAGAACAAACTTTTTTAACAAAGAAGATGCAGTCTTCTTTAGGTTATTGTGTAAAATTCATCCATTGAAAATGTTTCTTGAATGTCTACTACATTTATCGAATGTGCAGGAGGCACTATTATATATCCTTATTACATTATAGATTTTCAGTACCAAGTGTTTATTTCATTTACAGCTCTTGAGGATATATTTTATCTTATTATTCACAGTTAATTGTAATAAAAGTTTCAATTGTATTACCTCAAAAGGCTACATGTGGACCTCACAGGCAAATGGGGATGTTACTAAAAGGAGAAACAAGGGTGATTATGTAATACTAAAATTTATCAAAAGCTTTTATGACTAAGGTCAGAAAAGCTGAAAATCAAAATGAGATGCAAATTGAAAAATGCCAGGAAGGGAATGAAAAAACAGAATCTGGAAACCACAGAAGTAAAAATTTTCATTATACCTTAGACAAATCATCACAAAGTTGATCCCAAATTGAAGATACATATAAGAAAGTAGTGGGAGGCCGAGGCGGGCGGATCACAAGGTCAGGAGATCGAGACCATCCTGGCTAACACGGTGAAACCCCGTCTCTACTAAAAAAAAATACAAAAAATTAGCCGGGCAAGGTGGCGGGTGCCTGTAGTCCCAGCTACTAGGGCGGCTGAGGCAGGAGAATGGCGTGAACCCCGAGGGGCGGAGCCTGCAGTGAGCCGAGATCGCGCCACTGCACTCCAACCTGGGCGACAGCGAGACTCCGTCTCAAAAAAAAAAAAAAAAAAGAAAGTAGTAATAGGAATTATACAACCCCCCTCAGATGAATTTAGTCACCCTCTGTGACTGAGCCAAAAGGCTAATCAAGAGAGGCCAAGGTCTTCAATCTCCCTTGAACGCACCAAAGTCATTCGAACCAGATGTTTTTCCTGATGCTGCTTTCTTCACCCACTGTCTGACTTTGCAGCTATTGTTCTATCTTCAGATCCTTGCTGCAGTTCTAGCTTCTTGGTGCAGCCCTTCCTAATTCCTCCTACCCAAAATGAGAGCCACTTTCTGGATGCCCCGGAAACCTTACAACATTGCAGTTTACCACTAAATGGTTCTCTAGTGAGTATGGAGTTCTTCTGGATTAGGCTACAAATACCTTACTTGCAGAATTCATACTGTAAACATTTTAGTGATTTATTAACTTGTAAGAAAAGTCTTACAAGACATAAAAATTTAGTCATATTAAGTAAATATTGAATGAATGGCATTTGTCAAAAATAAAAACTGTAGAAAAATAAAACCACTTTGGAAAATTTGGGATGTAAGGTTCATAATACCCATTGCACCTAACTCCTTATAAGACATAAAGGAGGCACTTTTGGCTGACAAATCGATTGATGAATGAATGGTAGTAAGAAAGTTTTCTTTACTGAGACCTTTCATTCTAACCTACATATTAATGTATGAAATTGATTAGTGCAAATAATCATACAGTCATCTCAAAGTAAACTCAAAACATTCACCACCACCACCACTACCACCACCACCCCCTAAAAGCTGCTCAGCCTCCTGTATCCTTTTATGCCTAGTTAAAGGCATCACTCCTCACTCAGTGACCTAAGCCAGGAACCTGGCAGTCACAAAGTACTTTCTCCTTATTCCCATATTTGATTCCTCACCAAATTCTGTTGACTGTCTCAGATCCATCCCTGCCTCTCCTTCAGCACAGATTTTACTTGGTTCAGGCCTTAACATCCCCACCCACCCAGACTCTAGGGTTATTTCCCAGCTGGTTGCACATATCTGGTCTCACCTCTCTCCAATCCATGCCACATCCAGCCAGAGAGGATCTAAAATGCAAATCTGTTCACATCATCCCCTTTCTGTATCTTGTAATGGTTCTAATGCCTAAAAGATAAAGTCCTAACTTCTTTGCATGTCCTTCAAGGGCCCTTTTAATCTGGTTTCAGCCTTTCTTTTTAAAATCAACTTTGGCCACTTGCCTATATGCATCATACCTTCTTCCCATCTAAAATTTCAGAGTCTAAAATTGTCAGACTTGAAGTGCCAATGCATTTTATCTCACTGTGTAGGACAATATTTGACCCTGTATCCATTTAAACTAGTTGACTTACCTCTATATCTAAACCAAGGACCAATTTATTTCTTGATCACCTCTGCAAAGCTGATACTTTGGTCACCACGATGGCTGGTAAATGCCCCTAATATAGCAATTATTTGATCGTATACGCATTTAACCTACTAGAACTTCTCTACTGTCAGAAGGGCAGGGAGGGACATAGCAGATGCTGGCATGTGAGGAAAGTATATAGTTTGGCATTTCATATATCAGCATCACCATAACAACCACTCAAATATTTGTTGAACATTGGTGAGTCAATGATGAAAGAGTTTAGAAGAAGGAATTTCAGGGAAATGGAACAGCAGGAGCAGAGGCAGCAGTGAACTTGCAGTAGGCTAAGAACAACCCAAGGTAGTTTTTTTTTTCCCTGACACTGCTAAATTGAAGGTTTTTATAAAGGAGCTAAAGATGAGGAAAGTAGCCAATCTGAATAAGCTGTGACTCAATAAGTAGAAGATGAAACCAAAACATACCTCAAAAACTTCTGCCTGGGAGACTGGAAGATTGGTGACACCTTGATGGAAAACAGTAAGACTGAATTGTACATTCAGACCAGTTCTCACCATCTGAATTTGAAAAAGAAAAAAAAAGTCTAAGAGGAAAAACTGAATAGTTACTACAAATTACCTACAAACGTCCTTGCCAGTATGAGGATTTATGCCACCTGGTGGCAGTTTATCTAATTTTGTTATTCAATTCTTTACAATAGTGCAAACTCTCAAAATTTGTACTTACAAACTTGAGCACTGTGTCAGGCATGAAGGAGCTATTAAATTTTTTTTGTAGAATAAATGGATGAGTGGAATGTGTAAATAAATTATTCAATGAAGCAAAGCTCTGTGATGAAAAAAGCTCTGATCCAAAGGTCAAGACAGTTGGCATCTAGTTTCACACTAACTGTCGAGTGATTCCCAGGAGGTCACAGACCTCTCTCCCAGCTCTACCATTCCTGACTTTATATTGGGGTTTTAGTTTATTTATCTAAAAAAAATGATATGTAAAAATTTCTTACAGTTATAGTATTTGAGTTTTTTATATATAAATTATATATATATAACAATATGTTATATATAGCACAAACTCAACAAAAACTCAAATATAACTGTAAGAAATTTTTACATATCTTTTTTGTTATATATGTATATTGGGATTTTTATTTGAAAAATTATTAGCTGAGTTCAAAAGTCCTTGAAGAGTCACAACATCAGAGGGTCTGTCAGGAGTGATATGTACACTTCTGGCAGTTGAATTTGAACTCACAGCTGGAGGAAACTTGCTGGTTCTAAGTTCTCTTCTGATTATGTCATCATTGTTTCTCTTTAGCCAGATGTTTCTAATGATAGCTTTCTAGATGACATTCCTCCTATTTTGTCCAGCCTCCGAATCCCCTCCTACACAGCACATTTGACCCCTTCCTATGAGTATCCAGGCCATACTCACAGGTGGGGTTTGAAGGGTGAGTACACACTGCTATGTGGATTTTTTTCTTTTTAGGCTAATATTATGTTTAATAAATGGGATTATGCTATTGTATGTATTTGTCTAATTTTCTCAGCTAAAGCAAAAGATCTATCCAAAAGGAGGCTTTTTAAAAAGTCGTATTCCTAATACAAGGTCTTTATGCAATAGACACTCAGTGTGTCCTTTTCAATACTGATCTTTATGATGAGAGTTAAAAAGCATTATCCAATTTAGGGACCAGGGAGGGGCTATATAAGATGATTCGGAAGTACTAGTAGTGCCAGCAAGTAGCAGCGTGCTAAAATCACACCCCACAATAGTGGGAGTACGTCAAAGGGACACAGGAACCCAACTGAAAAAGCACCAATGGCCAATTTAAGAAAAACAAATAAAATAATATTAGATTATAATCTAAAGTATATAATAAATATCCATGAGTTCATACTAACTTAAATAAATGATTGAATAATGGGAGAGAGTAGACAAATCTCAGGTATAGAAGAATTTGTAATAATTGATGTAGATACTCCACCGTCACAGTGTGAAACACAACCCTCCACTCTTTAAGTGTGGGCTCTGCACACACTGCTATAGAGTGTAGTATGGGAAGGCCAATGAAAGAGTAACCTTGTGATAGAAAAACCTGGCAAACACTGCCTCAGTCAGACTATCAACAAATGCTAAGTCAGGTTGGTAGCACATACCCTCCATGTGAGGTAATGAGAATAGCACGTTACCTCTGTGGTCTTCCTCCCCCAAATCCATATCTTCACCCTAATCATGAGAGAAACATCAGACAAATCCCAATTGAAGGACATTCTGTTAATACAAAATACCTGGCCAGTGCTCCTCAAAGCTGCCAAGGTCATGAAAAATAAAGTCTGAGAAACTGTGATAGCCAAGAAGAATCTAAGGAGATATGACAAATAAATTGTAATAAATTATCCTGGATGGGATCCTAGAACAGAAAAAGAACACTAGGTGAAAACAAAGGAAATCTGAATAAAGTATGGAATTTAGTTAATAATAATGTATCAATATTGGGTCATTAATCACAACAAATGTACCAAACTAATGTAAGATGTTTCTAATAAATGAAACTGAGTGTTGGGTGTATGGGAACTCTGCACTATCTGTGCAACTCTCTGTAAAAAGTTTATTTTAAAAAATGGGTCAAATCTCCCATCACACTCATCAGAAACTAGTGCCATGTTCGGAGATGCAAGGAAACGTCAAACTATTACTAAATATCTTTTGGAAAATTAGATAGCAGAAAACTAGATAGGATATTTTAAAAGCAAGAATCTTTCCTTTGAGGCAGGAGGAAGATAAAAGATGGCTTAAGAGCAGTTATATATTTTTTATTTGAAAAAAGTATAGTTCATTAAAGAAAATATAGGAAAAACTACACAAATGCAGAAAAAGGAAACAAAAGCTTTCATAATTTCACCATCTAACACAACTAAGTTAGTATTTTATTTTCAGTTTTTAAAATATGTTTATTTTTGTGATTTCTTCTCATAGTTGTAGTCCTACCTGATTACACAATTTAATTTCTTGGAAGGTTTTCCCTCTCTTCATTGAAGACAATCTTACGTAGAGCAAGTTAATTGGTGCCATTCTGCATTTCAGACAGAATTAATTTAAGTGAAAGAGAACCATATGACTTTGCAAGACTATGTGAATATCTAGAATCTGCTCTATTTGTCTAGGAGGTAGTGCAGAACTAAAGGGGTACATATGGTACTATACAGAAGCTTAAAGGTCTATCTCTTGATTTCACTGTGGAGAGGGTATGATATTTAAGAAACAAAATGGAGAAAGGGAAAAGTCTATCACCAGGCAAGTTCCTTAGAACTAAGAGATAGGTTACAGAAATAAGAGGTAGGATAATAGGTATTTACCAGTTCTCATGCTAAGAGTATTGTTGGCAGAAGAAAGAATATGATTGAGAGTAAATGGTAGGAAGTATATAATATTAACATTATTATAATCTCCATAATCATCTCTAGGGAGGAGCTTGCATTCAGACAATACTGTTTCTTAAGATTCACTACAATGGCTATTTTCCAGATAAAAAAAGTTTGACATCTTTAAATTCCGTTAGATTGAGGCAACTAGAAACAGTAAATATTCTTGAGTACATACTGCCACCCAGTGGATATATCTGTGTGATGCACAAAGCATTTGCGAACGAAGAGGACAAAGAGGTTTTGACTATGATGCTAGTGTTAAAGCTTTGCTTGCATTCAGTGAAGGCCATAGATCCTATGTAATCCCAAACTGAATTACACCACTCATTCAAAATTCTAGACTAGACTTTAATACACATTTTCAAAGTATTCTGATAAATATTACCAGAGGCTTTTGGCAATGGGAGAAAAATATTATGTGTGCTTACCAACACTATAGATACTAACTTCTTATTAATATTAATAAAACTAATGTCAGTGAATTTCCAATAAGATGAATCAGAGATACTCAACTTCTAGTAAGGAAGGAAGAGGGATGTCATAGCAGAGACTAGACAGTGGAAAAATTTGGCAAACACTGCCTCAGTCATATGATCAACAATACTAAGTCATATTGGTAGTATATACCTTGGATATGGTAATCTTGACTGCCTTGGATGCTAAGAACTCTGGCATGAAGTCTAAGAGAATTACACTTTTGGCATAATAATCTTGGATTTCCCTTTATCTGAAAGCTACTAAAGGTTTACTAGAGTGGAAATACACGCAGACAATGGATGGAATTTGGGTCATTTAAATGAATATTGAGACCATATTTATGTAGAGACTTCCTAGGGAGTCCTGGTATTCTGTAGATAAGTCCAATTATATTTGTGTTTCCTAAAAAGGAATAATACAATTTACGGAACTGAAATAACATTGAAAGTCTAAGAAAAACTACTTGTCTGAAACTTTATTTTTTGCTACGTTTATACATCATCTTCTCCAAGAAGTTTACACATCCACATGTGAACACTTCTGGATAGGAAATCTGCTAACTAATGTGTTCTCCATTGTTGGGTATGAGATTTCTTGACCTCACCATACTTACAAGTTAATAAATTAGCCTATCACTGTTTCTTAAATGTTGGCGGAAGACATGAGATAGAAGACTTCATTATTCATGCTTAGCAAGCAGCATGAACATCATATTTGAGTAAGTTCTCCTTATGTCCCATGGAGGCACCATAGAAGGGTCCAGGTATATCTCGTGCATATAGTGGATTTGTGTCTTAGGAATACTGAGCTTGGGGAATCCACTGCTTTTATAATAAGCAGAAAGTAAGGTGGCTCTTTTTCCCAAAGTGGGACCTAAACTTATCCCTTAAGGTTGCTTTCTGCAAACACAATCTTGAAAAATGGTGGCATTAAAAAAAGGTCAAAGCTTTGCATTCTTGGTATGCCCAGGAAAAAATGCTCTGGGAGGTTTAAGGCCTATTGGCAATTGTTTTTCCTAACATTCATACAAAGCCAAAATCAGCCTTCCTATAATTTCCACTAATTGGTTCTGTGTTTTCCAATCTCTTTGGTATTTTGTATGTCAGACACCTGCAGTGTGCTATGTTATGCCACTGAGATTTATTTTCTCCATGCTAATCATTTCTAATCCCTTTGAGACCATTCCTCCATGATCATATATGGCTTTGGGATCTCTCACCATTAGTATTGCTTTCCTCTGAACTTGTTTAGGTGTTACTTCCCAAAATGGACTATGATATTGCAAGTATGGACCATAAACTGTTATTTAGCTATACATTTCTATTCCACTCTTATGCCAGTGGATGGAAACTATGTAGTTTTTCATTAAAGGAATCATCATGCCAACCAGATTCCATTTAATATAACGGAAAATCTAAGAGTAAACTCCTTCTTTTAAATAGTTGTTGTTTAGCAGTTCTAGTAGAAAAGTGTTAAGTCATTACTGTCTGTATTTTGCAAATTATGGACCTCCTGTATATGAACTGTTTGTTTTCCATGTTAATATATATGGCATATGACTCCCATATTCCTTTTTGGGGGGCAGGGGAGGGGTGCAGCATCTCACTCTGTTCCCAGGCTGGAGTGCAGTGGTGCAATCATGGCTCACTACAGCCTCGACCTCCTGAACTGAAGCAATCCTCCCAGCTCAGCCTCTCAAGTAGCTGGGACTACAGGCATGTGCCACCATGCTAGGCTTTTTTTTTTTTTTTTTGTGGTAAAGTTGGGGTCTCGCTATATTGCCTAGGCTTCATATTCTTTGTTCAAATAAGAATCCAACAGTCACAGGCTTTTGTTTTCTCCTCCAACTCATGCACATAGAAGAGTAGGGGATTGACAATGTTTGTCTTCTGCTTTAACAAAGAAAACTGACATGTATATTTACTTTTTCAAAAACAGAGATATTACTTTAGATATTATTATGTTTAATTTTTTAAAAATTATGACCAAGTTACAAACATACAGAAAAGTATGGAAAACAGTATAATGAAGCTCCAGATGCTCATCACTCAGATTCAACAATTAAAGACTTTCGCCACATTTGTGTCATCCATGCCTTTTTTATTATTATTAAAGAATTTAGTGGCCTCTCTCAGATAACACATTAGTTTATCCCTACATAGTTCAATATGTATTGACATGGATATTTCTAACATAACTTCAATGTCATTAACATCTAACAAGATTAACAATAATTCTTTAGTATCATTTAATACTTATCCTTTATTTAAATTTCCACAATTATCTAAAAACACCTGTCTTTAGAGTTGGCTTATTCTAATGAAACTCCAAACTAGGTCCACTCATTGCTTGTGATTGCCATGTCTCATAAATCTCTTTTAATCTAATAGTCCCCCTCTCATTCTTTCTTTCAATTTTTACCATTGACCATTTGCAAAAATTAGACCAATTGTCCCACACTTTGAATTGTGGTATCCTTTAACTTACTCCTTCCTCCTCCAAATTTTTTATAAACATGTGGTTAGCTCTAGAGCTTGATTAGATTCAGACTCAACATTTGTGGAAGGAATATTTCAAGGTGTTTCTGTGTGCTTCCTATTCCAGCAGATTGAGAAGCAACAATGGTTGCTACACTGATGAAATCATGTCAAGGAATTATTCATTGACTCTCATTTTATTGAATTTTCCTTCCTTCCTAGAAATGTGATTTCCCATAAAGCTGTAACAAAACATAACATGAGATTTTTCCTGTTGTGCAGTCTTTGTTAAGAGGCCAAAGCTGGCCGGGCGCGGTGGCTCACGCCTGTAATCCCAGCACTTTGATAGGCCGAGGTGGGCGGATCACGAGGTCAGGAGATCGAGAACATCCTGGCTAACACGGTGAAACCCCGTCTCTACTAAAAATACAAAAAATTAGCCGGGCGTGGTGGCGGGTGCCTGTGGTCCCAGCTACTCGGGAGACTAAGGCAGGAGAATGGCGCGAACCCGGGAGGCGGAGCTTGCAGTGTGTGGAGATCGCGCCACTGCACTCCAGCCTGGGTGACAGAGAGAGACTCTGTCTCAAATAAATAAATAAAAAATAAAAAATAAAAATAAAATAAAATTAAAAAGAGGCCAAAGCTAAGAGCGGTAACCCCATATTCTTGCAGAGACTAAAGCTTCAGAAGGGAAATTGATCAATTTTTTTTTTTTTTTGAGACAAGTCTCGCTCTGTCGCCCAGGCTGGAGTGCAGTGGCGTGATCTCGGCTCACTGCAACCTCTGCCTCTCAGGTTCAAGTGATTCTCCTGCCCCAGCCTCCAGAATAGCTGGAACTACAGGTGCCTGTCACCACGCCCAGCTAGTTTGTATTTTAGTAGAGACAGGGTTTCACCATGTTGCTCAGGCTGGTCTCGAACTCCTGAGCTCAGGCAATCCACCTGCCTTGGCCTCCCAAAGTGCTGGGAATACAGGCTTGAGCCATCGCGCCCAGCTGAGAATTTTTTAAAGAGCATTATCATAGTCTTGTGCATTTCCCTTTACTCCTGAAAAAAAAAAAAAAAGCCCCATCTCCCTACATCAGAGCCAGGTGCTGCAGGGAACCAAAGCAGATCGTTTAAGTTAAATTCGACCTATGGTCCCCTAAGTTTGGGAGTTGAATACACTGTGACCTTTGCCTCACTCTCCTCTGCTTCAGTCTGAAAAAAAGGAGGCTGGTCAGTGCCTGGAGCTGCCTGGATAGCAAAGAAACAAGGCTATATTGGGAATCGTTTGGACATCTAGAATTTGATGGGGCAAAAATGTCAAGTTTCCTGTGGGTTTAAGGGAGCATAGGTAGGCTACAACGGTCTTTGTAAAATAGGAAGAGGCTATGTAGAGTGTACCATCAAAGCTGGATGGGTGCGGTAAATGGTCCGCTGGAGAGCACTTTGTTTGAATGGGTGTGTGGTAGTGGCGAGGAGGCGAGTTGCAGAGGTGGCCCCCTAACACAACCTATTTCTCATCCTCCCTCGCTATCAACACCCTGGCATTAGTAGGTGAAAAAGATGATCACAGTTGGGAAAATAGAGAACAAATCATGCTTTATGCCCCAGTGCTTGTCTGGTCTAAGCTGGGGAGGTGAGAAGCTCTAAATTTAAATCAGGTTAGACTTAATAATAGTCTAAAGTTTACCACAGGTGAAACAAATGTCTAAAGATGGGTAAAGAAACATGGCTGAATGCTTTAAAACAGATCTCCACTGCAAGCATTCTTTATTTGTAGTACTTTTATTATTACTATTTTATTATTTGGAGACAGGGTCTCACTCTGTCGTCCAGGCTGGAGTGCAGTGGCGCGATCTGGGCTCACAGCAACCTCCGCCTCCTGCGTTCAAGTGATTCTCGTGCCTCAGCCTCCCGAATAACTGGGGCTACAGGCACGCCACCGTGCTGGGCTAATTTTTGTATTTTTAGTAGAGATGGGGTATCGCCATGTTGGCCAGACTGGTGTCGAACTCTAGACCTCAGGTGATCCGTCCATCTCGTCCTCCCAAAGTGCTGGGATTACAGGTGTAAGCCACTGCACCCAGCCTGCAGCACTTTAAATATATATTATTTTAATAAATGCAACTAAACATTGAAGATATAAAAGTACCTAGTGAGAAGGGGTCCTCAAAATTGGTTATACATTAGAATCCTTCAGGAAGCTTTAAAAGCCTTGATGTTGTCCTACCCCAGATTCTGATTTAATTGGTCTGGCATGTGGCTTAGACATCAGGGTTCCTAAAGCTTAACAGGTGATTCTATTATATAGCCAAGGTTGAGAACTACTCTAAAAATAGAGACTACTGAGAGAAAAAAAAAACACAAAAAACCATTTGACTATTTTACTATCAAATATCAACAAAACTATAGAAAAGTTGGAATTTTTGTGGAAAAGATCTACGTTTGGTCTTCACTCTCTGGGTAACTGTCATAGAGCATTGATTAAATAGTTTGCATTTGTTTCACTAAAGGCATGGATAGGGTATGCTATAAGATAAATACTAAACATATATTATTACAGGAGTGGAAAGAATTAGCTTTTAAAAATAAATATTAGCTTTTAACATACATGATTCCCACAGGAGACATGTATCTTCAAGCAGTATTTTTTCTTTTTAAAATTTTTTTGCTTTTATTATTTTTAATTGACACATAATACCTTTGTATGGGGCACAGTATGATATTTTGATACATGTGTACAATGTGTAATGACCAAATCAGGGTAATTAGCATATTCAATACCTCAAACATTTATAAGGTCTTCGTGTTGGAAACGTTTAAAATCTGCTTGTCAAGCTATTTGAAAATATACAATAAATTGTTATAGTCACCCTACAGCACTGTAGAAAACTAGCTTATATACCTCCTATCTAGCTGTAATTTTATGTTATCCAACCTCTTATTATCCCTCCAAAACTTCTACCCTTCCCTGCCTTTAGTAACCTCCACTCTACTCTCTACTTCTATGAGATCATTATTTTTTCTTTTTTTTTTAGCTTTCACACGTGAGTGAGAATGTGTAGTATTTATCTTTCTGTGCCTGGCTTATTTTACCTAACATAATGTCCTCTAAGCTCGTCCATGTTGCCATAAATGACAGGATTTCATTCTTTTTTGCAGCTGAGTAGTATTCTATTATGTATATATGCTACATTTTCCTTATCCATTCATCTGTTGATGGACACTTAGGTTGATTCTATATCTTGCCTATTGTGAATAGTGTTGCAAAAAACGTGGGAGTGCCTTTCAACATACTTATTTACTTTCCTTTAAATATATACCCAATAGTAGGATTGCTGGATCATATGGTAGTTCTATTTTAGGTTTTTGAGGAACTTCAATACTGTTTTCCATAATGGCTGTATTAATTTACATTCCCGCCACCAGTGTATAACAGTGCCCCTTTCTCCACATCCTCACCAGCATTTTTTGTCCTAAAGCAGTATTTTAAAGTTTATGTTGCTATACAAGTTGGAAACAGGAAATTCTAATGATGGATAAGGAAATATGGCCAAATGTCTTAAAACAGATTTCTATTATATGCATTCTTTCTTTAGTGATTTTGATATGTCATTATTATTTAAATAAATTCAACTAAACACTGGAAATAGAAATGAACCTTGTGAAAATCAATAAAACACAAACACTCCAAAATATGATTTATTTATCCTTCCAGACCTTGTATTAGATTATTTAAGGATTCTTTCCCCTCTGATATGGTTTGGCTGTGTCCCCACCCAAATCCCATATTGAATCGTAATCCCCACATGTCAGAGAAGGGGCTTGGTGAGAGGTGATTAGATCATGGGAGTGGATTTCCCCCTTGCTGTTCTGGTGATTGAGTTCTCATGATATCTGATGGTTTAAAAGTGTGGGCACTTCCCCCTTCCCATTCTCTCTTTCCTGCTGCCATGTGAAAACAGGTGCTTGCTTCCCCTTCACCTTCCACCATGATTGTAAGTTTCCTGAGACCTCCCAGTCATGCTTCTTGTTAAGCCTATTGAACTGTGAGGCAATTGAACTTCTTTTCTTCATAAATTACCCAGTAGTTCATAAATTGCTCAGGTAGTTCTTTTTTTTTTTTTTTTGAAATGGAGTCTTGCTCTGCTGCCCAGGCTGGAGTGCAGTGGCACCATCTTGGCTCACTGCAACCTCCGCCTCCCGGGTTCAAGGGATTCTCCTGCCTCAGCCTCCCAAGTAGCTGGGACTACACGTGCGCACCACCATGCCCAGCTAATTTTTGTATTTTTAGTAAAGACAGGGTTTCACCATGTTGGCCAGGATGCTCTTGATCTCTTTACCTCATGATCTGCCTGCCTCGGCCTCCCAAAGTGCTGGGATTACAGGTGTGAGCCACCGTGCCCAGCCTCAGGTAGTTCTTTATTGCAGTGTGAGAAAGGAATAATACACTTCCCTCTTTCCCTTTTTTCTCCTATAGATATTAGATTATTATAATGTGATAATATCTTTGCTAGGTACTAAAAATATGAAGATAAGTAAGATATGCTCCTTATTCTGATGGAGCCTATATTTAGTAGTAGACAATTAAACAGACCAACATTTAAAAATAAGTTCACTGAGGACCATAAAAAATGATGCTCAGGATGGTTGCTAATGAGGCAAACAACGAAGAAAATATTCTGGAAGAGAAGACCCCAGATCTGAGTCTTAAAGGATAGTTAAGAGTTATTCAAGAGAGGCGACATTGACAAATGCCGTGTGTATGCAATGTGTACGAAGAGCCAGCAATGTGTACAAAGCCAAGAAGCAAGAGAAAACATAGCTGTGGAAGATGATGGTGATCATGGTGAGAACTGCTGTTGACCCAATAACACAGAAAAAAATATTGTGCACGCTTTTCAATATAGTAAAACTTTCTTTATACAGTAGAAGGTAGACCTTTGAGCATTAGTATGGCCCCTCACACTGCCCATGGAACAAAAGCTACTGAGCTTCCATGTACAATCTGGCATGGTACTCGCTATATATATGTGTGTGTGTGTATATATATATACATATATATATATACACACACACACACATATACACATACATATATATACATATATACACATATATATACATATATATATATACACACACACATATATATATATATGACATTGACAACTGAATTTTGGCCATATCTCCATGAGAAACTAGGGAGACACTAGAGTGTTGTAATTATTTACGTAAATGTTTATATTGTAGATGTCCTTGCTACTTCCTATTTGCTAATTTAGTAGAAAGCCTAAGTGAAGATAATCCTAAACAAAAATCTGAGTTCTAGTCAGTCTTTGAATGCCAACCAACCTATTTGGTCTGGCCTAGCTTAATGGCATACTCTAGGAAATGAAAAAAGTACAGAATGGCTACAGCATGGGGAGTGGTAGAAATTAAAGAAGTATGCAGGGGCAAGAGGATGACAGCACTTATACATTTTAGTGAGTAGGTCTTTACCTTGGAGGCAGTGGGAAAGCCATAAAAATTTTTTGAGAGATGTAATATGACCAGATTTGCATTTTAAAACAATCAATAATGATACTGTAAGAAGGGATTCAATAAGGAAAGACTAGTCAGAAGGCTGCTCTAATGATACAGGTGAGAGATGATGACCTGAATGTCTGTGAAAGTTGAGAGACATGGGAACACATGGTAGACATACAGTCAGTAGTGTGGGAAGGGAAGGGGAGACGGAAAGGGAGGCATTCAGAAACACTCCAGGGTTTCTGGCTGGGCAACTGCATGAATAATGATTTCATTCTCTGAGACAGAAGACAGGATGGGAGCAGGTTTTGGAGAGAAGATGATGAGTTAAGTTTGGAGGATATATTTGAGGGGACACAGGATATGTCAAACAGATAACTCTATTAGCCAAATCTGGATATGTATTGAAAAGTAGAAAACCAAAGGAATGAAGGTACCTTGTAAATATGAAATATCAAGTATGAAAACGAGGCTGATGGGAGGGATAAGAAAATACAATCTTGGCCGGGAGCGGTGGCTCACGCCTGTAATCCCAGCACTTTGGGAGGCCGAGGGGGGTGTATCATGAGGTCAGGAGATCGAGACCATCCTGGCTTACAAGTGAAACCCCGTCTCTACTAAAAATACAAAAAATTAGCTGGGCGTGGTAGCGGGCGCCTGTAGTCCCAGCTACTGGCGAGGCTGAGGCAGGAGAATGGCGTGAACCCCGGGAGGCGGAGCTTGCAGTGAGCCGAGAGCCCGCGCCACTGCACTCCAGCCTGGACAACAGAGCGAGACTCCGTCTCAAAAACAAAACAAAACAAAACAAAACAACAACAAAAGAAAGAAAATACAACCTTAAAACATGAGCTTTAAAAACGTAAGGAACAGGAAAGCATGGTGAGATGTAAACTGAAGCAGCGTGTGATGCAGAATTCTGAAAATGAAGGGTATTAAAAACCCAATTGTTACCATGAACAAATCTCTTTTCTACAAATGTTTCTCATGAAATGAGAGTACTCCCTTTACTCCCCTTTTTTGTCTTTTGTTTTGTTTTTGGTTAGAAAGGAATGTGGTATTTTGAGCTATAGTGTCTGCTGGAAATTTTGTTTAACAAAATGTAGTAACTGGACACCTCAACCTTCTGAGAATTAAATAAAACAAAAAGTCTGCTCCAAATACAGCAGAGACATAGCTCACCTCAGGCGCTTGGCAAAAGGACATGGGGAATGTGATGTAAGCATTTCTTTCTCTACAAAAATGCATCTAAGGAGAGTATGAAAAGTTTGTCTCAACACAGTTGACATGTAATCACTGTGACTTCAAACCAAACGTGTTAATCTGGAAAAAGCAGTACTGGCAGATTTCTTTTTTCTTCATTAAGCAATGACCTAGCACAGAACAATGCATTGCTTATGGCAATCTTTGAAATCACAAGTAAACTTTAAAAACACTGCCTACAATGGAAATGCACGTGCCCTAGATCAGGGTTCACACAAACACATCCAGTAAGCATATGGACCATGCTTTCCATTCTTTACTGCATAATTTATTAAAAAATCTATAGAGAGAAATCTATTATTCTACTGCATCCAATGTGTTATGTGTGTGTTAATTTATATTAGCTAGGGCAAAAAGGCTATGTGTCATATTTAACACACATATTTCTTATTTGCCATTTAGCACATACACAAAGACTCATGCATACAAACACGATAACACACAATAACTGAGTAATGCTTTCTTTAAAGTGCTGAACTTTCATAGATTGGTAGCATTCTCTAAGAGTTCACACAAAAAGTAAGATGGATACATTGGAAGTATAACTCTAGGACAATCAAGTAAAAATAAATATCAAATCCCACTTTGAGATATAAAAGCATATAACTCGTATGTCACTGTTATCTTTCCTTCCAGCTGCTGAATATATAGATATTATTTCTGTTTTGTCATGTTACATAGAATAAGCTTCTCTGAGTTTCTCCCAAAAATCTACTTACAGAAAAGCAATTACTAGAGATTCTGTAGGAGTGAGATAGAAGTGGGTGAGGGTTCCTAAATGCTTTTATCTACTTGAACTACCACGTTATACCTAAAGTAAGAGCAATACATTCACTAACTTTAAATGCGTCCTCCCCTCCCTTTTTATTCCACAAGAAAATACAGAGTTTAAGATTAGTTCAACTTCACATGACTGTGATGCACAAATTCTTTAAGTGTAAGGAGTCTATGCATTTTACAGTAACTTATTTTATGATTGGGAGATGAGACAGTTATACATTCAACTGCCATTATTTTTATTAAGTGCTTTCATTTTCTTTACAGTTATTACAAAATTGTATTTATTTTATACAGATGGGTTTTCATTTTCCTGATGCTGTAATGTTTACTTCAGCTTGTTGACCTTTCTTTGTGTTATCTGCATGTTGTAACGTGTGATAAGAATGAATGTAAAGGCTGTGGCAACTGTAATTAATTTTTGTAAAGGGCTGGTCACACGTGGATCTGGTTTATGAATGTATTTGGGATGATTTTAGTAACCAGATCACCTTTTCAGAAATTTAGATGTGAACACCAAAAGATGCATTTTCTCAACAAAAATTAATAGCTGGTTCTATTTTTTTAAACCTAGAAAAAATAAAGTTGATTTTTTTCAAAAAAAAAAAAGATTAGTTCAACTTTATACCAAGAAATAATAGTAGAGCTACTTGTTGAAATACCACCTCCTAGTGGTAAGGTCATCTTATTTGTTTTATAAAGCACTGGGGTATAGCATATTTGGCCACTGTGCTATTTTTCACAATTTAAAATTACAGTTGGATAAATGGCCCAGTAAGTTTTAGTTTGATAGTATTTTCAAAAAGGTATTTCATTAATGTTTATTTGACTTACAAACTTAATTCCCCTTATTAATAAAATAGCAATCAATATTTCCTATGTGCAGTTAGTAGCAGTGCTTAGATTAAAAACAAAACTTTAAGAGGAATAAGTTCTAGTGTTCTATACCACTGTAGGATAACTATAGTTAACAATAGTATATTATATAGTTTGAAATAGCTGGAAGGAACATATTAAATGTTCGTAACACAAAGAAAAATGTTCGAAATGATAGATATGCTAATTACCTTGGTCAGATCACTGTACATTATATGAATGGAAACATTATTATGTATCTCATGAATAGGTACCATTGTTATTTATAAATTTAAAATAAAATTAAAAACAAAAACAAAACTTACTAGAAATCTTTGTTGTTGTACCCCAAAAGTCCTAGAAACCTACATACAAATATGTGAGAGTGACAGCTATCTTGTAGACACAATAAGATGATTATTTAATAACCTGATAGTTTGGAGTTACTAAATCAACACTTTTCATTCAGTAAAGCAGCAAGGAGACAACCTTTCATTATATACTTTGGCAGAGATAATCCAAAATCAGATAATCAAAATAATTTTTATTTGGTTGTAGAATGTTGTAGTACATAAAGCAAAATGTGTCTGCAGGATACTCCAAATTTACCAACTTCAAACAAAATAATGCACAGTGAAGAATTAGAAAATTATCAACCTTACTCAATACATGGAAGTATTCCTTAATCTTCATCATTTTCATTAAACAAAATAATATTTTGGATGAGTTCAACATTTCTATCCTATGCTTTATGTTTAGTGCCTTCCCTGAATTGGAAAAAATGAGGTGTTTTATTTAAATTTAACACTGGTCTAAGGGAGATATAGAATTAAACTAAACAAGAATCGGTTATCACAACCTCACAACATATATCAAAGTATTGAGATTGTTGGTTTACTGACTGTCACTTTTCACTGGATATTAAATATCCTGAGGGCTACAACTGTATTTTTTAACCTGTCCCAGTACCTCAACAAAATTTTCACTGAATGTATGAATAAATTATGTTAACAAAAAGTTAACAATAAAAGTATAATGAAGATCCCTTTAATTAATTTTAAAATCTGAAAGGAAAACTGGAGTCACAAAACATATGTTCAAATCTTAATTCATCACAAATTTTGTGATTTTTGACCTCCACCTCAATGAAGCTCAGTTTTCTCAGCTGAATAAAAGGGATAATGCCTGTGTATTTCAGAGTAGCTGTAAAGGTAAAATGAGGCAATGTACATGAAAGTCCTTTGGAAATACCAAACAAATGTTATTTGCTATCATGCTACCACATATACATGTAGGAAATATATGTATTAAATAAGAATATTTTTAAGATGCAATGTGATAACTTACATTAAATATATATACAATTTTTCCCAAATGAAAACTAACCTAATTCCTCTCTTTAACTGACAAACACACTCAAAACTGCTCATCCAAAAAAAGTCCCTTCCTTGAAGATGTAGTCCCCAGCTTTTTCTCTTCTCTAGTAAATGCTGTCAGAAAAGAGTTGACACCTATGCATCTTCTTCCTAATGCACTGAAAGCTGACTCAATGACCACTGCCTATAGAACAGTTTCAATATGTTTAATCCATTGATTTCTTTTAAATTATCACTTTATTTTATCCCTGAAGATTTCTTTTTGAGTACTTTCCACACCTATCCTGGCTTCTTCAAAACAACTACCCTTTTTTTCTTACTTCTGTGACTATAAGGTTGTATTATTGGATCTCCTTTTTTCTCATCCTAATTTCTGCCTAGATGATCAAACCTGCTCCAATAGAATCAGGTATCATCTCTGTATTGTAAGCTTTGAAATATTTGTCTCTGTCTCAGGTTTCCTCCTAATTTCTAGGTCTATATTTCTAATTATTAACCAAAGATTTCTATCTGGATGCCCTTCATTCTATGTAAAGTCAAACTCATTATCCTTCTCTCTTTTTCCAAACCTTCTCCCTCCCTTTGTTGCCAATCTTGGTAAGCAGCCAAGCAGAAATCTTAGAGTCATTAATGACTTTTCCACTCTTCCTCACCTCTTACTTCCATTATCTAGTAACAGGATCTATTGATTCCATCTCTTAAATGTCTCTCTAATCCATCTACTCTCTTCCCTATTTTAATTTCCACTTCCTTCATTGGATCTTCATTATTTCTTTTTGAAATATTTTGATCGCCTCTTATCTAGTCTCTATGCTTTGGTCTCACACAATTTAAATCCATCCTCTTAAATATGATGCCATGGGAAAAAAAAAAAAAACATCCTTACTTTTTTTTTTTTGGCTGCCTACTCATTGCCTGGAAAATAAACTGCAAGCTCTTTGACATTGCATTTGAGACCCTTACTTATCTGTTTCCAACCTGTTTTTCCAGCCCTAACTCATGCCCACACCCTTCTCTCTCTAGAATATGTTATGCACTTTCAGTTTCATGCCCTGGTTCATGGTGTTCCCTCTACCTGTTATGGTTGTTCTTCATTTGTCAAAAACCTCTACATCTTTCGAGCCCATGTGATATGTGATTTTCTCTGTAATATTTTCTCTATCCTGCTTCTGGGTAAAATTAACCTCTATTCCTTATGTTCTCTTCTACTGCTATTAAAATTAAATTTAAGTTGTAGAAGTGTTTATCTCCTTCACTGTATCAGACTCAAAGGAAAAAGTTGTGTTCATTTTGATTCACATATGCTTAACACAATGCCTGACCAATAGAGGGTATCCAATAAATACTGAACTGAACAAATCTATTCCTGATCTGTGTAATAAACAGGGAGAACAAACTTTAAGAATAATTCTCATGCATAAAACATATTAGCTACAACATACTGATTTTTGTCAGTTATTATTACAATTAAATGAAAATCATTTGGCTTTGAATAATAGTAAAAATATACCCAAAAGATGAATTATCCATTGTAATCCATTTGGTTTTAAGTAAATCAAACAGCTAAATTTCTCTCTTGCAGTCAGTTTGGAAGGAGGCAGGAAGCAGTTATACAAAAATCCAGTCAAGTATCTGTAAAATACATAGAAATCAAATATGAGACGCTTACTGGTGTTATTAGAATATCAAGGTAAGAGTCATGAAGTCTATTAAAGTTTTTCTGTAAGTTAAAGAGCTAAAAACATTGTAAAGAGTAAAAAATAATATTAATTCAGCTAGAAGTAACCTTAGGGAAAATTACACATATCTTATAGGGGCAGTGCTAAATCAGTGCCATGAAATATTTTTGTATAATTCCAACAAAACCATCTCTAATAAATACTATTTTAAGAAAATTACACTCAGTCTTGCTGTATGACTTTAGATCATGTGTCAGTGTACTATAGCCTATAGGCCAAATCTGGCCCCTTACCTGTTTATTTTACTGTTTACAGACAGGGTTTATGTTATCCATGCTGTACTCAAACTCCTGGCCTAAAGCAGTCCTCCCACCTCAGCCTCCCGAGGAGCTGGGACTACAGGAGCAGGGCCACTGTGCCTGGCTCCCTCGCCTGATTTTTGTAAACAAAGTTTTATTGGAACACGGACATATTCATTCATCTCTATGTTGTCAGTATCTCTTGTTGCTCTACCTCTACAATGGCGAAGCTGAGTAGCTGAGATATACTGTATGTCCCACAAAGTCTAAACTACTTACTGTCATTTTAAAATAAAAATTTGGGCAACTCCAACTGCAGATAATCATTTGGAAATCTAGTTGAAAATCAAGCTAGTTTCTTTGTGAGAATTTCTTATGATTCTAGAATTCAGAATGTTTATGCAAAGATTTGTTTTCAAAAATAACATGAAAGTTATAAGGATGTGAGGATAGGGAATGTACAGATATCAAGTACATAGTAGAGAGAAAGGAAATACTTACATACCTTTTTAAAGATTAAATTGTTTTATTTTTATACTTTTAACATAAGCCTGCCTAATTATTCTTCATTAACTAGGAAAAGGAGTGGCTGCTCTTCATAATAGAGTGTTATTGGAAATGAACGTTGCTACCACTATTACATCACTAAAAAAGTAGAAACATCATTCTCCCTGTAGGAATAAAGGAGTAAAGTTTAACATAATTAACTTTTTTTTTTTAAATAAGGGGAGGAATAGGCTAAAAGAGGAAGAAAGAGAAAGGGAGGGAGAAGTGGAGAGAGGGATGAAAGAGAGGAAAAACGGAGAGAGGAGAGAAAACCTACTGTACCTCATTCTTTAATTGATATGAAGCCAATCTGTGTACCAAAATTAAGGCCATCTCGGACATGGGAGAAAAACTTGTCAGGATGGCAAGATGTACAGAGGTTGAGATCTTGGTTCTGGTCCTGAATATTCTGTGGAAGAATTCCTCCCTGTTCTAGAAGAATCCTTAGGAAAAATATTTTTCAAAAGAGAGCAAGAGTTTATTTTCCCAATAGCCAAAGCAATATGAAAAAAAGTATGGATGTTGGCATGAAAAAGTTCCAGGAAAGATGTACCTAGAACAATGTATATTGTTATTCACTTACAGAACATGGACTAGTCAGGGAAAAAAATGCTACACTTTATCAGCATTTATCACCTAAGTTCATATATGCACAGTACAACCTTCCATATTGTCTTATAGACATAATCTAGGTACAGAATTTTATAATCAAAATCAAGTGCTTATTTAAGAAGAAATGTCTACAAAAGTTACCAGGATATCAGGCAAAATTCACCTGGCTCAGCCAGAGTATGCTTTTTAGTCATCTGGCCCTTCATCTCCTTTCCTTCTATTAGCCAGATTTTTCTCAGAAAACTTGCTTCTCCATGAACACTTTATGATATGAAATATGACTACAAGTTAGTGATACTTGATTTTAAAAGTCACATTTAAGAATCAATTTCAAACTTTTCCACATCTGTACTAAATGAGGCAGACTCTGGGTAAAGTTTTGGCGACTGGAATAGAAACATGATTTAAAACATACATTAATTTGCCTTTGTAGTAATGACAAATAATTTTCACCAGTTATTAATAACAAAACCTTGTAAATTAAAAGATGCGAAGAACTGTAAAAAACTTAAAAGTAAAAAACCGTGTATTTATATTATCTAATATTTTTTCTAAAAAACATATTCCTCTAGTTAATTAGATAATAAGAATAATTTTAAAATATCAGCTTCCTGATAGTTCATTACATTTAGGAGAATTTAGCTGAGGAATGGCTGTGAAGTAAAGTACACGCCAACTTTTCTATATGAAGTTTAAGTAGATCTCTTAAAATTAAATGCCAAATATTTCTTCCTTCACTTTTAAATCAATGAAAGATACCAGACAGGAAAATTTCTGTTATTCAAACTCAAATGAAAACAGATTTCATATTTAAAATGAGTGTTTGTGTACATGTGCATGTCAGCTGCTTAAATAACCACCACCTAAATTCTTCTTAGAGTTATTAATTGTTCTCCAAAATAAATTTCATTTTAGAACAATCAGAAATAATCAAACTTGCAGTTGAATGAAATCAGACATACCTTGTGGCTTTACGGATGTCGATACAGGGATTTGGTGAATCAAATAGTTGTACACATGCAGGATGAAGATTATGAAATGCCTCTGCTGATTCCCTTGGAAGAGTAAAACAGCAAGGTCCTACTGAAGGTCCAAGTACAACAACAATGTCTTCCAAACTGCAGCCATATTCTGCTATCATAGCATTCACTGTAGCCATAGCAACACCCAACAAAGTACCTTTCCAACCTGGTAAATAGGAATAAAAAGAGATAAGAGAAGTCAAAACATAAAAAATTTCACCTGAATTTATGTCTAAGTTAAAAGTGAGCAGATTTAGTTTGTATATTTTTCAAAGTCCAGAAATAATAAATTACATTATCATGTGGTTTTTAAATGAGCCATACTACACAAAGCACCTGACACAGAAGAGACATGTAATGGGAGTTTTCTTCATCTTCCATTTAAAGATGCTCTATACTTTTAGTTTCCACTGAGATCATAGCTTCTTAGTCTTCTATTTTTCACATTTTAAAAGATTGTGGTTAAAAACCCACAAAATTTACTATTATAACCACAAAAAAATACTATTCTAAGTATACAGTTCAGTAGTGTTGAACTCACATTGTTGTATAACCAATCTCCAGAATTTTTTCATTTGATAAAATGGAAACTCTACAACTATTAACAATAACTCCTTGTTTCTTCCTTTTACCAGCCCCTGGCAATCACCATTCTTCTTCCAGTTCCTGTACATTTGATTACTGTAGGTATATCATATAAGTGAAATCAATACAGTATTTATCTTTTTGTGACTGACTGATTTCACTTAGCATAATGTCCTTAAGGTTCATCTATATTGTAGTATGTGTCAGAATATCCTGCCTTTTTAAAGCTAAATAATATTCCATTGTATGCACACACATTTTGCTTATCCATTCATCTACCAATGTACCTTAGATTGCTTTCACCTTTTGGCTATTGCGAATAATCGTGTTATCAACATTGGTGTGCAAATATCTCTTTGAGTTCCTGATTTCAGTTATTTTGGATATACTTCCAGAAGAGGAATTTCTGGATTATATGGTAATCTATTTATAATTTTTTGAGAAATTGCCATACTGTTTTCTATAGTGGCTACACAATTTCACATTCCCACCACCAGTGCACCAGGATTTCAACTTCTCCATATCCTCAACAACACTTATTTTCTGAGGTTTTAAAATATTAGCCATCCTAATGGATGTGGGGTGATATTTCACTGTGGTTTTGATTTGCGTTTCTCTAACTTCTAATCCATGAACACAGAATTTCTCTGCATTTATTTGTGTCTTCTTTAATGTCCTTCAGCAATGTTTTGCAGTTTTCATCTCTCCCTTTTTACAAAAATATATCTATTATATTTCAATTAACAGCCTCTTTTTACTCCCTTCCCACTTGCCCAGACTATCGTTCCCTTGCCATCTTTGTCTTATCTGCCTTGCATCTTACAGTGTTCTAAGATAAAACCATCTTCTTTACTTATGCTACCTTCTTGTTGCCAAAGACAGAAAGCTAAGAATATTGCATTTTTCCTTTATTCCCTATATCTGGGTTTGATTCAGCTGATATGGTTGGCCAATAATGAGTACCCTTACACCTTCCTTAAGCACTCCATACTCATACCCTTCAAAAGGTAGGCACTCAGGTGAAGGGATCAATTTTTACAGATAAAAGGAGATGATGAAAGCAAGAAGGACTTAGGTGACAGGTTCAGCCTCTACAGGTAACCCACTGAATATGTGGTTATGGGAAGTACAGAATGAAGACATCAAGTTTCTATCTGTAAGTGGGTAGGATATCAATAATTAAAACAGGAAACCTAACTGGCAGAGAAGACTTTAGGAAAAAAATGTTGAGTTTTTGACATAATGATTTTCAGGCACCTAGGAAGATGCAGACAGTGATGTTCAAAGGGAAGCAACTAGATATAGGCATTTTGAGTTAAAGAGAGAAACTGTCAGGGCTTTTCTACAGATGAGAGTAGCTCTCTTCCTCAGTGAGCCTCCTTAGTTATCCTCTCACTTGTAGTTCATCCACCTCCTTTCTATTTGATTTTTCTATGCCTATCTATATATACATATCTAGTTAAAAGATCTTTATTAAATTAGTCCCATAGAAGAATTTTATTCTTTTTGATATCTGATAAAAGTAGTATACAATGTAGCTAATTATATTATATTTTAAAGTTAATTTATTTTTATTCTTCCAACTTTTTAGGTTCGGGGTACATATATGCAGGTTTGTTACATGGGTAAATTGCATGTCACTGGGGTTTCGTGTACAAACGATTTCATCACCCAAGTAGTGGACATAGTACCGAACAGACAGTTCTTCAGTCGTCACCCTCCTCCCACCCACCACCCTTAAGTAAGCCCCCATGTCCATTGTCCCTTTTTTTGTGTCCATGTGTACTCAATGTGTAGCTCCCACTTAAAGGATACATATGGTATCTGATTTTCTGTTCCTGCATTAATTCATTTAGGATGGCTTCCAGCTGCATCTATGTTGCTGTAAGGATATGATTTCATTCTTTTTTATGGCTTTATAGTATTCCATTATGTATATGTACCATATTTTCTTTATCCAGTCCACCACTGATGGGCATCTAAGTTGATTCCATGTCTTCATTATTGTGAAAAGTGCTGTGATGAACATACGTGTGCATGTGTCTTTATGGCAGAATAATTTATATTCCTTTGGGTATATACCCAGTAATGGGATTGCTGGGTTGAATGGTAGTTCTAATTTTAAGTTCTTTGAGAAATATACAAACTGCTTTCCACAGTGGCTGAACTAATTTACATTCCCACTAGCAGTGTGTAAGCATTTCCTTTTCTCCACAATCTCACCAACATCTGTTGTTTTTTGACTTTTTTTATAACAGCCATTCTGACTGGTATGAAATGGTATCTCATTGTAGTTGTGATTTGCATTTCTCTAATGATTAGTAATATCAAGCGTTTTTTCATATGCTTGTTGACCACGTGTAAGTCTTCTTTTGAGAAGCGTTTGTTCATGTCCTTTGCCCATTTTTTAATGGGATTGATTGTTATTTGTTTGTTGATTTAAGTTCCTTATAGAGTCTCGGTGTTAGACCTTTTCAGCTGCATAGTTTGCAAATATTTTCTCCAATTCTGTAGGTTTTCTGTTTACTCTGTTGATAGTTTCTTTTGCTGTGCAGAAGCTCCTTAGTTTAATTGGGTCCCACTTGACTATTTTTGTTTTTGTTTGCTCTTGAAGTCTTCACCATGAAATCTTTGCCAAGGCCTATGCCTATGTCCAGAATGGCATTTCCTAGGTTTCCTCCTAGGGTTTTAATAGTTTTAGGCTATATGTTTAAGTCTTTAACCCATGTTGAGTTAGTTTTTGTATATGGTGAAAGGAAGGGATCTAGTATCAATTTCCTACATATGGCTAGCCAGTTATGCCAGCACCATTTATGGAACAGGGATTCCTTTCCTCATTGCTTGTTATTGTCGACTTTGTCAAAGATCAGATGGTTGTAGGTGTGTGGCTTTATTTCTAGGTTCTCTATCCTGTTCTATTGGCCTATGTGTCAGTTTTGGTACCAGTACCATGCTGTTTTGGTAACTGTAACTTTGGAGTACAGCTTGAAGGGAGGCAATATGACTCCTCCAGCTTTATTCTTTTTGCTTAGGATAGCTTTGGCTATTTGGGCTCTTTTTTGGTTCCATGTGAATTTTAAAATAGTTTTTTCTAAATCTGTGAAAAATGACATTGGTAGTTTGATAGGAGTAGCATTGAATCTATAAATTGCTTTGGGCAGTGTGGCCATTTTAACAATATTGATTCTTCCTATCCATGAGCATGGAATGTTTTTCCATTTGTTTATATTATCTCTGCTTTCTTTCAGCAGTGTTTTGTACTTCTCATTGTAGAGACCTTTAATCTCCTTGGTTAAGGTAACTGTATTCCTAGGTATTTTATTCTTTCAAAATTAACTTATTAATGACTTGAAATTCACATTTATAACTTCATTTTGACTGCTTGATCTTGGATATGTTTAAACTAAATGTTTTCGAACCTAAGAAGTAAAAAAATAATATCCTCTTTTTATATCCAGGAGCCAAGACTCAAATTTTAAATAACTTTTTGACAATGTCATGTAGTAAACCTGACTTCTACTCATTCAATCCCATTATTTCAGCTAGGTCAAAATAAAAATATGCTACTTTCTTTTTTACCTATGAGCTAAAAAGCAAAGTAGCCATAGATTTACAAGTAGAAGGAAATTTTAAAGATCATCCCTCATTTCACACAAAATCACAGCTATGGGGTAATCTAAAATACTATTTTAAAATACCTTCAGAAAACAAAATTCCATATCCTTAACACAATATACCTTCTAAAAATACTTCTTTGCTCTCAGAGAATAGTTACAGTTAAATACATTAAGTGATGTAAACTAAAAACAGTTTTCAAAACATCTTGCTTTTTCCTACCTCCCTAGCTTTACACATGCAGCTCCATCTGGGTGAACACTTCTCTGCAACATGCCTAACATTCCTATTTCCTATGGCCTGGATTTCAAGGATTCTCAACCAGAGGCAGTACCACTCCCCTAGGGAGTGTTTTGAAAAGCTTGGAGGGTTTCGTTGTTGTTTGATTGGTTGGTTGGTTGGTCTTGGTTATTACAGTAACTAGAGGTGCTACTGTCATTAAGGATTTCAGGGGCTAAAGACACTTAATCTGCAATGTGGGATTATCCTGCCCAAAATGTTAATAGCACCCTTGCTAAGGAACACTGTTACCCAGCCAAAACCAACAAATTCCTCAGGAATCAACCTAGGTGCCACCTCCTTTGGGAATTCTACTATAATTCATATAATTTGATGCAGATACTCCTCTTAGCTGTCCCTATAATAAAACTATGCCGCCTCTCCCATCATTACACTTACCACAGTGTAATGTAATTAACTGTTTGCCATGTCCATCAGAAAGAAATTACAATTTTTCCTGCACAACAAAATGAGTAAAATTCTAAATGTTTAATTAAGTATACTTACCAGCGTGAGCAACCCCACATGCTTTTTTGACTGGATCTGCAAAAACTATCGGTATACAGTCTGCACCAAGAGCTGCTATTGTGACTCCTCTCTGATTTGTGGTTATTCCATCATAAGAGTCAGGCTCCTTTCTTCCCATAATCCAGATGTCATTGGAATGATGAGTCTAATACCAAAAATGTGCAACAAAAATGTTTTGGAAATAGTATTTCTTATACCATAAGCTTTCTCGAAGGTACTCATTGTAGTATAAAATTATATAACCAGTTTAAGATTACTAGCATTCATTAAATATATCACTTTTATATATGGGAAAACACAAAATTTACTTATAATTTAACTATTTAAGATTTTAGATTATAATCTCTGATAGTTTATGCAAAGAAAAGCAGAGTTTAACATTATAAAATTCAATATAGTGAATAATGAACATCTTTCCATAAAGATAGGTATATCATTTCTTATAGCACTTTCTACAAAATGAAAATTTTTCTTGTAAAGGAAAGTTAATTAACAAATCAATGATACTTTTACTTTTCCAAGACTCAAGTAAAGCTAGAATTCTGTAAGGAACAAGACATTATCTCATCAACTATGACCCTAGTTCCTCCTGGAGTAGATTTATAAAATAATGGCCTTTCTCTACCACCATTCAGTTCCCTTTCTTCTAAATCAAAAAGAGCAGTGGTAGTATACTCTCTGAGAATTAACTGTACTTTTAGAATTGAGGACTCCAGATGAAATATACAGTAGGCTCTTGAATAATGTCATTTTATTCCACATCATTTCATTATAATGTTAATGAAAAAAATTGATTACCCACCCGGTCACTGACTGTGTGAGGTTTGCACCTTCTCCTCACGTCCACATGGGTTTTCTCTGGGTACTCCAGCTTCCTCCCACATCCCAAAGAAGTGCATGTTAGATGAATTGGGGTGTCTACATGGTCCCAGCATGAGTACGTGTGTGTGTGTGTAAGGGCACCCTGCAATGGAATGGTGTCCTGTCGAGGGTGGGTTGTGGCCTTGCATCCTGATCTGCCAGAATAGACTCCAGCTACCTAAAGCCCTGAACCGAAATAATTTGGTAGTTATCTTATTTGTCTTTCTTACTGTTTTGTAAATATATGTCTAGCTCACATTTATTTCAATGTTTAATACTAGGAATGTGTTGGTCTTTATTTAGAAGTTTGGTGATGTTTTTGTGACAAGAAATATGCCTTAGAAACTTTATTCTTATTTATATCAATTAGCCTATGGTAAAATTGGTTTTATTATGTCGTTTCACTTAAAGTCACAATTTCTAAGAACCTATCAACATTAAAGGATGACTTACTATATGTGTGTGTGCATATATATATATATATATATATCTGCACGTGTGTGTGTGTGTGTATAAAATAGAACTTATCTTTAGGCTATGGTGTATAAATCTAAGAAAGACAACCACAGCATTATTCTAAAACTTTAGATAAAAAAGCAGATACAAAAGTTAAATAGCTTAAAGTCCATGTAGTTACTAGCAAAGTAAAAAATATACTTTAGATCTTTCAAAATATAAAGCAAAATTTTACCTTTATTCGGTAAAATTTCTCCACATTAAATCCTGCAGCATTCGCCAACCTACGCAGATTTTCTTGAACCACTACCTTGGGATCTCTCCGTTTGGAACTACTGAAGAGATTGAATGAGCTAAGAGTTGGTATATAAGATATCCCACCTGTTCTTGTAGTAAATCCATGTATGAAAATATCTGTTGAAGATAAGCAGTGAAGATTTAAAAGATGCTATTCAAAATACCAGTCTCTCAATTAGACCTTCCCTGATCACTGCTACCTGCCCTTGTTATTTGGCTTCTAATTTCTATGGCATTTTGTACCTCCATATGTTCTTATGGCATTCTGCTTTGTGTTTGTTTTACACTCCCTATGAGATTGTTGCTCTTCAAAAGGTATATTGTGTCTCATCTGGCTTTGTTATATCTAATAGCATATAGCTCACAGAAAATACTGTTTAACCAAGAAGTAAGATTGATTGTTTTAAATTTTACTCTTCTATGAAGGTGCCAATGATTTGAAATTTCAGAATTTCTAAATAGAAGATTTTCAGTGTCATAAATCTCATTGCAAAGGAGGGCTAGATTATTTGTCTCATCATCAAATTTTTGTAAAGCAAATTTATTTATTTGGGGTGGCTTTGAAGGCTTTATCCCTTGACACCCCTGATACTACAGGGCCAAACATGACACCTCTGTGTTGCCACTGATGCTAATGAGTAATCAGCCCACAACAGTCAACAAAAGAAAGGAGGAAAAAAAGAGGTGAACTACCTCTGAAGAAAGACTAGTTTTCCATGTACAAAGTAAAAACAACAGTTAGTGGTTAATATACCTGGGATCAAAGAAGAAGTGATAATAGTTAATTTTCCTCTCAGTGCTGGCAGACTTCTCAAAAATGTTTCTATTTCATTCTGAATTCCTCTTAGTTCTTGAGCTGTGATTACGTTTATTTCAATGGACTGTTTAAAAAGCCCTCCCCTAAAAGTCACTTGCAAATCTTCAAATTCAAAATTGTAAACATCAGTGAAGAGTTGATCAATAAAAGCTTTCATTAATGTCTTCCTGTGCCTGGGTACAATTACCTTAATGCTGCTCAGATTTTTTTCATCAATTTTCTGTTTAATGGTATACAAAGTGGCAGCCATGCTGGGACAGCTAACAATCTCAAATTCTTCCAAGAGAGCTGATAATCCATTGCTTGTTTCTATTTCACAATTATCTTGTTCTCCATCCCTTTCATAGCTGATGTTACTGCAACACATTATACAGAGAAACTTGGCCTTGGCAGCATGGTGGTATTGGACAGCATTCAAAGTCTTCAGTAATGTCTGATGGCAGTTTTTTTGAGAGTTCAATTTCAAACCAAAAAGATCAATCAAAACAGCTTCTGCCATCCTTGAAAGAATACTTTTATGCCAAATAAATCACCTGCAAATAAAAATTAGTGTAAGAATATAAGATTATATAAATCTTATAGTTACAACAGAAATTTGTGGTAGATTAAAAACGAAGTAATTACACTGATTTTAAAATGTAACTAAAATAGTAAATCTAGGCCCCTCCCAGAAAAGCCAGTCTACTCTGTCACAACAGAACCATGACAGTGAAAGCAAAGCCATCTTTTAATTCGTTTTGTGAAAATGCTGGTACATCTTTCCAGCAGCACGACAGTTCCTCTGTTTTGTTTACACAGAACTTTTGAGTAAGGAATTACTTGTGGAGTTTAGACAAAGTCCTGTTTTTAAATTGCAGAGTGTCAACCTGTGTGATATATCATTAGTCCTGACATGATTGTCATATTAGGTCTCATCCTTTCATATGCGGGGGCTTAAGTTTACGAAGCTAAATGGAGCTGCACGCGAAATTCGCGTTTTAAGATGATAAAAGCTGAGATGGCTAATAGAGTTCCCTTCAGGATTTGCGCAGTACTCCACACTTAGCAATGACCACAAAAGCTATAGTGATTTGGATGAGACAGGCTTCCTCTCAACTTTCTTAATTCATTCTCCCCGTGCAGCTTTGCTCACCTCCAGCCCAGCCCTCCCACCCCAACCTGCGGGGCTCCGGTGACCCCCTTTGGTGACGCCCTTTGCCCCAAGAAGGTTTTCTCCTGCCGCTTCCCCTAACCTTTGCTCCCCATCTCTCGGGGCTCCCTCTGAGGTTCATTTAGCCAGTTTTGAGTGGGTGACCGTCCCCCCTTCCCTGTTCATTGTGAATTTCCGCCCAACGTGTGTCGCCGCCAGGTCCCTGTTCCTCCTACCCGCCTCGGCTCACGGGGCGCAGGCTGTGGCTCTGCACCTGCCCGGGCACCTCCACCGGCGGCTCACAGCCCATTCGGGACTTCCTGTCGGACAACGCACACCAGAGGCGATTCGGTCCTCGCCTTCCCGCTCTTCACCTTCGGTTGCACACCGGTCTACGGCGACCTCTGTGACAATTTGCCGCCCCGTCCCTCGTCCTGAGCCTCAACGAAATTGGGCAGCCGCGAGCGGGTCAGCTGGAGTCGTAAGCTCGGCCCAGCGCGACGACACCCGCCCCGCCTCACCTCGCCCACCTCGCCCACCTCGCCCCGCCTCGCCTCGCCCCGCCTCGCCCCGCCTCACCTCGCCCCCCTCGCCCACCTCGCCCCGCCTCACCTCACCTACCTCGCCGCGGCCGCACAGATTCCCCGCCTGATACCGTCCCAGGATCCCAGGGGAAACCTGACGGCCAGGTTCCCTCGTGCCAGCTGCCGGGAGGCGGGAGGGAGGTAGGCCAGGGCCGCCTGGCGTGCTTGGTGCGAACGCGGCGGGCCCAGCGCGAGAGCTGGGGAATCCCGGGATGAGCCAAGCGCCGCGAGCCCGCTGCTGCCTCAGCAGTTCCGGGTCTGGGCGGTCCGCGGAGTCGGCATCCCGCAGCCCCGGCGGCGTTAGAGGAACAGGAACCAGAGCCGCGCGAGGGCTCTCGCCCGGGAGCCAGGCGGGTTAGCGGGCAGGAGTGGGCAGGCCGAGTCCGGAAAGGGTCGCGAGGAGGCAGCTAGGGGCCCCTTGAGGAGGGATAGGGCGGCGGAACGACGGGCCCTGGGAGCGGGCGCAGGGCGGCAGGAGCTGCAGGTCTCCAGAGGGCACGGGGCGGGGAACTAGGGGCCCGGTTAGAAAGCCGGGCGGCGGGAACGGCGGGCACCGTGAGGGGGCGGCGGGAATGGTGGGTCGCGTGAGGCCGGGCTGCTGGAGCGACCTCGGGACTAAACCGCAGTCTCCCTTCTGCTAATGGAAGCCGTTTCCCAAGCGAGCTGAAGTCCGCGTTTCCGGTCTCTGAGGGACGCCTCGCTGACCCAGCAGTGTGGTCAGGACGCTGGGTTTCCTCACCGCAGCCCAGGGCCAGTCCCTTGTCATGCTAGCTCTTGGCAGCTTTTCCCATGCAGGGCTCAAGTCAGGGGCCCCCTCGAGATGTTTTAGTGTTTTTTTGTTGTTCATTTGTTTCCAGAAACAAGCTGTTGTCTCTCCTCCAATGTCTTTGTGCTGATTCTTGCTGACCAACACTCTTCCGAGCGCCTTCACTTGTGTTGACAACACGGATGTCCTCTATGGCCTTTTAAAATATGTGCCACTAGCAGGACTTAAGTAAAAGGCGCTCATCCCTAAAATCATGATAAAGGTGCAGTTTAGCATCCCTGATCTGTCCTCCAAGAATATAACGTTCATTTATTTGAAAATAGCAGTTAGGACATGGAAGGCCAGTGTATGGTAAAGGGAAAAAATATCCGACCTTCCAAGAGTAAGAGAAATGGTGCTTCCTGGGGAACTGGTTATGATGGAAGGAGAGGTCCCTTTTATCTTCATTGTTGCTCATTTGGTAGGCGCTAAAGAACCTTTGTCTCATAATCTCAGATAGCTGGGAATTTGGAAGAGCCCTCTGGGGTAGGCATGTTCTTGTGCTTGACTAGAGACTGGGAGCACTAACCCAGAATGGAAACCCACCCTTCAATAACCCTAGCACCAGTTATGTCAAAATTCATGTTTTCTTTGGTCATTTGTTAAAGAGCCCCGAGCGGTAGATGGTACACCCAATCAGAAGGTGCACTCTGCCCTGAGTTTGTTTATGTTAAATATCATTAGATTGGTGCAAAGGTAATTGCGGTTTTTGCCATTGACAAAGACCACAATTACTTTTGCACCAGCTTAATACCTCAAGCAAAACAGAGGTCTTTTAGTTACAAAGGTTTTAAACATTTATCTCTGTTTTTACAATGGTGGGATTCGTATTCTTTCATGCAAAAGTAGTGGCAGTAAAAAAAAAATGAAAAAGAAAATATTTCAAAAGAATGAAGTTGTCAGGGAAGAGAGTTTGTTATATTGTATTTGCATACCATTTCCTTTCACCATCTGGTCCTAGTGTCATGTCCTAACACTTCCTCATCCCATTTTCACTCTATCCTACTCCAGTGGTTCTCAGTCTTGGCTGCAAATCAGAACTGCAAGTGCAACTGAAAAAAAAAATAATTAATGTAGAGACTCTATCCCAAATATACATTGAATCAGAATCTCTAGGAGTTAGGCCTGAGCATGTTTTGCTTTGCTTTTTTGTTTTGTTTTAACCTCTATGTATGAGTTAGATGCATAATTAAGTTTGAAAAAATAAAAACACCCTATTCCCAAGCCACTCAAATAAAAGCTGTTCTTTGGAGGCCACATGATTTCATTCTTTACATTTGCAGTTCCTCTACTTAGCAAAATACCCTCCTTTTTATATGCCTAACTGCTACTTTTTGTTCAAGGCTCTTCAAGCTCAAACATAATCTTCCCTGAATCCCCATCCCTCATCAAGCAAAATTAATAGCTTCTTTACATTTTGTTCATATGAAGAAGCCCTCTCATAGATGTAGTCTGGGCCCCTAGCCAAGAAATAAGTGGAAAAAATGGTTAAATATTGAATTGTACACTTTATAAGGATGTACTTTGTGGTATGTAAATTATATCTAAAAAAGGCTTTTTTTATAAGAAAAAAGGTCAGTTAAACCACAGAATCATGAAAAAATATAACAAATACCTTAAACTGTATTCTAACCTAAAACAACTGTGTGTTCATTTGCCCATCTATTGAGAAGATCCAAGACCTTTTCTTTGCATGTAGTCTACTGATTGGAATTCTGCATACTATCTCTTGCATAAACCGTACCCATAAACCATCAGCTAAGATTTCCCAAGATTTTGTTCTTTTAAGGGGAAAATAACTTAAAGGCACCTGTGAAGCAATCTGAGGGCAGATTTATACTTTGTAATTTTTTTCTTTTTTGAGATGAAGTCTCGCTCTGTCGCCAGGCTGTAGTACAGTGGTGCGATCTCGGCTCACTGCAGCCTCCACAGGGTTCAAGTGATTCTCCTGCCTTAGCCTCCCAAGTAGCTAGGATTACAGGCGTGCACCACCACGCCCGGCTAATTTTTGTATTTTTAGTAGAGACGGGGTTTCACCATGTTGGCCAGGATGGTCTCGAACTCCTGACCTCTCTTGATCTGCCTGCCTCAGCCTCCCAAAGTGCTGGGATTACAGGCATGAGCCACCGCTATATTTTATAATCTTTTACAGTTAATCTCACATACTTTTGTTGGGTCTTTCCAAAATATTAAACATAGATTTTTAAAGAAACAACAATTTCCACACTATTTCATTGGTTTATACAATATTAAGTTACGAAAGCACAATATCAAGCACAACTGGCAAAAACAGGTTTGCAAACAAACACAAGTAAGTCATAAGATTGAACTAGTCAATTGATAGGAGCAGAAATAGGCAGATTTACTAGTTAACAGTTTCCTAGCATGATATGGGAATTAGTCACTTATGACTTACAAAGGTAATAGAGTGAGTTAAGTGGTTAGAGGTTATGTGTAGATAGGCTTAGACATAAGCTGCTGCGCCTCTCCATTTTAATTGACTGTGTGTCTTTCTGCCTAGAGTGTTTTGAGGGCAGAGATAGTGCCTGGCTATTAAGGGAACTATTGAAGAACTCACCAGACATTTTTATAATGCTATGTAAATCTTCTCATGAGAACAAGTATAATTTTAAAGAACAAAACAGTTGTTTTTAAGCCATTTACACTAAGGTTTATGGATCTTTCCAGAAAAAGCCATGTAGCAGATGCAAATTTCCTTGCTAAAAGCTTCTGTTAGTTTCCTAGGGCTAGCATAACAAATTGGCACTAACTGGGTGACTAAAAACAACAAAAACTTGTTCTCTCACAGTTACGGAGGCCAGATGATGAAACTGAGGTGTTGACAGCACCTTGCACATTTTGGTGGTTCACTTACCTCTTCTGTTGTCTGGTGACTTCAGGTGTTCTTTGCCTAGGGGCTAAGTGACTTCAAGCTCCATGCCTCCATCGTCAAATGGTCTTATTCCATGTGGGTCTGAGTCTCAAGTAGCCCTCTACCTTTCTCTTATAAGGATTCTTGTGTAGAAATAAATGAAGATCAATCAAATGAGAACAAGCAAAAGCTATTTATTCAGGCCTTGTAAGGGAGGGAGCCACAATCTCCTGCATTTTAGCAAAGTTGAAGGCAGGCAGAGGAGTGGGCATGCCCTGATTAGAGGCTCTCAGCATGAGGAAGCTGCAGGCAGGCTAACTAGAAGTGGAGCATTCTATGGCTTCTTTTTGTTAGTCTCAACTTGGAAATGGGGACAAAAGTTAGGGAAGATGCCAGTTATTAATCCAGTACTGGTCATTTGGGACAATTGTTATAGTTTGTCTCCTAGGATTGTTATTAGAGATAATGATTTAACTTTCTACAAGTCTAATTTATAGACTTCCTGGACTGGTTACTGTAGATAATGGGTTAGTCTCCTGGGTTGCTTGCTGCAGGTTGTGGGTCAGAGTTCTGTTTTTACATATGGTCTGGCCATTGTCCATTTGCATATTCAGTCACCTACCCTAAATCCAGGATGATCTCATCTCAAGATCTTTAACCCAGTTAAATCTGCAAAACTCCTTTTTCAAAATAAGGTCACATTTACATGTTCTGGGAGTTAGGACGTGGATATATCTTTGGATGTGCGGGAGGGCACTATTTAACCCACTATAAAGTTCCTCTTGGTTTGGAAATCATGTTTACTTGTTTAGAGGGGGAGGAAATAAAAGACCTTGCCCCTTGCCTCTCTGAATGAGACAAGCAGGTAGGTTATAACTGGATTTCACCAAAGGTCTATATAACTTCTGTCCCAGAGGTAGAAATCTTTTCGAAACAGTTGCCTGGACATCCTTTAAAGCTTGGATTTGAGCTGCAGACCAACCCCTTAATGTCTACACTCCAAAACAAGAGATGTTTTGGTAGTCCAGTACTGTCTATACATTCAGCAAAGCCCCTCCTTTGGTAGAAACCTAGAAGCAGTGTGGATAATGTATGAATGTTGCCTATTATTATCTTGGATAAGGAGGTAAGGAACAGTACAAACCCTCTGTTTTCTTTCTTTTTCAGTGCCCTGAAACTCTAATCTCATTGCCTGGCCAGAAAAGGAAGTAATCCCTAGTGTCAGCAGATTCAGCGGTACTGGTGTATAATAGGTATACAGTTTATTTTTAATTATTCAATTAATTCTTTTTGGATGTCTCTGATGATGTTCTAACTTCTCTTAAAAACATGTTTGAAAAGAGTTGTCTCTAAAGCCTGTTTCCTTAATTTATGCAATTCTAATGAATTATCGGTAGATGGCAGTAGTTTGTTTTCATTTTTCTTTTCATTGCACAACAGAAGTCTGGGGAAAAAAAACTAAAACTTTTCCAATTTTACAGCATGAATTTTATGAATATTTGGTTTAAATAAATATTATCCAAGAGTTCTTCAATTTATGTTGCTATAGAAATAGAGATCAAGAAGTACTAGTTACTTTATTTTTATTGTATAAATCCAATTTTCTTTATTCTTTAGGTTACTTTATCAAATACTTTAAGGAATACAAAAATAAATAAAACACTGTATTTGTCTTCCCGGTGCTTACACTCTAATGGGGAAAGATACTATAAAATAATGAAAATAATAAAAATAAAAATATGTTGATTATTCATTGTGTGACAGGAATTTGCTAAATGCTTTACATGCATTATTTCATTTAGTCTTCACAATAACCCTAATGAAGCAGGCACTAATATTGTTCCCATTTTATAAGTAAGGAATCTGTGGCCCAGGTTGGAAATAATTTTCCTAATAAGCTAATAAGTAGTGCAATCTAGATTTAAAACTAGCTCTGTCTTACT
The DNA here is from genome assembly GCF_000001405.40 of Homo sapiens. Classification (NCBI taxonomy): domain Eukaryota; kingdom Metazoa; phylum Chordata; class Mammalia; order Primates; family Hominidae; genus Homo; species Homo sapiens. The sequence goes on along the minus strand of NC_000013.11, from coordinate 43,874,151 downwards.
CTAGACCTATACCTTTATCTAAAATGGTATAATAGAAATACTGAAACAATTCTTCTAAAAAGAGAAAGACCATATCTTCCCAGAAAGATCGAGAAAGACCTCCTAAAGAAAATGCCATCTAAATGGAATTGAAAGATTGGCTGTGATGTTGACGTGATCAGAATAGTGCTTTTGGAGCATTATTCTGTTAGAAAAGGGCAAACTGGAGTGGAGATAGACTATAATTAGACACCTGTTATATGCCAGGCACTTCTAGACATCTGCCATCATGGAGCTTACATTAGTAGAAGGATATGGAAAAGACGTGTATGAGATGTCGGTGGTAATAGATGCTGTCAAGAAAAATGAGGCAGGGCAAGGGTGAAAGAGAGTTATCAGGGAAGGCTTCTCTACTAAGATAGTATTTGGAATTGGTAAGGAGTGATTGGATTCCAGTATAATTTAAAGGTAGAGCCAATGGGCTTTGCCAAAAGAACTGCATGCAGCTTGTAATGGAAAAAGAGTGAAGGTTCTGGCTCATCCTTTGGGTAGGTCAATCGGGGCAGCAGCCTTGGAGTGTTAAGGATTTCTCAAAGGGCCTATGAAACATCAACAATAAGATCTCCTTTATTATTGCCTTGGGCAAGTCTAGTTGAATTGCCTTGGGCTCTATATCCTTGTAGAGACCTCCCTGCTAATGAACTCAGGGTTTTTGGCCTGAACAACAAGAAAAATGAACTTATAATTTACTGAGATAGAGAAGACTATGAAGGTGCAGGTTTAATGGTGGTAATAGAGTGGACAGAGGAATCAAAAGTTCAGTTTGTGATATATTGAGTTGAAATGCCTATTAAAAATCCAAATGGAGTTATCAGGTAGGCAATGAGTATGAGTCTACAGCTCAAAAGGGATGTTCAGGGTAGAGATATAATTTGGGAATTGTCAGCCTATAGGTGGATTTTAAAGCCATAGAACTAGATGGCATCACATGTAGAATAAGTATGAGAAAAGAAGGAAGCCTGAGGACCGAGCACTAGGAGGTGTGACATAAGTGAAAAAGATGAGAAGGGACCAGCAAAGGAAACCAAGAAGTATGGTATTTCAAGAAGGCAGTAATTATCAAATGTGTTAAATGATGCCAATAGGTCAAGTAAAATGAAGACGGAACTTGTTCATTGAATGTGGCAATGTGGAGCTCATAGATACCGTGATAAAAGTTTTAAAAGTACAGTGATAAATGACTGGTTCTAGTGGGTTCAAGAAGAAAGAGGAGAGGAAGTGGAGACCAAAGATCTTGGCTTTAAAGGGGAGCAAAGAAATGGGTCAGTACTGAAGGAGGTTATGGTGTCAAGCAAGGTTGGTGGTGGTAGTGGTTGTTGATTTATGATGGGCTGTTCAGAATAATACGTTTGACCAAGTAAATGGGGAAATTCTGTTGAGGGACCATTCAAAGAAGTAATGTCTGTGAGAAAGGAGTACAAAAGTAGAGGATTGGCCTTAGATAGGAGCAAGAACACTATTTATTGCAAGAAAACAGTATGCTGATATACAGGTGCAGGTACAAAATCTGGTAGATGGGTAATTTACCATCTTCTCTGATTTTTTTCTTCTATCTCAGTTAGATTAGAAGGTAAATTACCAACTCAAAGGAAGGGAAAAGAGGTGTGAGAGGTTTGAAGACAGGATAAAGAGTGAAACAATCATCTACATAACTTGGTGCATGTTAAGAGCCTAGGATCAAGGGCCCACTTGACATAAATGGTCTTGAATTTAAAGTGAGTCAACAGCATAGTTGCATGTCTTTCTTTAAGCATATTCAGCTACTTGAGTATAAGCAAAGCAGCTGGTTGAGATTCTTCCAGGGAATTAGGACAGGGAGTGAGCTGTAAGGGAAATGAGGGTGAATGCAAAGGAATCTAAGCCAAGTAAGGAGGGAAGAATACATGAAGGGCTAAGGGAATGTGTAAAGATACAAGAGTCGATGGATTGGAAGTCTTGCGGGGTTAAACAGCACATACTGTCAAAATACTAGATGGGATGAGCTAGAAGAATAAACAGTAGTTTGCATCTGAGATTATGGATAAGGTAGAGTTATACTCTATGGGTTGCTGGGGAGAATAGATGAAAGAAGACATCAAGCAACTGAACGTTCAGGGATTTAGATATACTATTTTTGTGGATATTGAAATTTCCAAAGAAATACAAGAGAGTAGTGATAGAGGAACAGTAAGTCAGATGCTGTAATCTAGGAATGAGCCTTCCAAGACCTGTAAGACAGCTGATAACAGCAAGGAAAGTTAAAGCCTATATAGTCTATGGCCTGAATTTCAAAGAAACTAGAGAGGGTTTTAGAGAGAAGAAAAGGAAATATGGTGGCAGTGGAATGGAGAACAGAAAAAAATGTTTCATCTCCAGACTTAGTGGCTTGAGGATGAGGAAGCTGTATCTTTGGACTTCAGTTAAAGCCAAAAGGTAAAAGGGAAGTTCACTGAAAAGGTTGACAATAGAAAGGACTTTGCTGAAGATGGCCCATGAATTTGAGAAGTCAAAGTGAAAGGATAGAAAAGGGTTGGGGAGTGGGTAATACAGCATCACACTAAAGGACTTACCAAGCTGAATAAGGATGGGTTCTTATGATGAAGAATGACCTGGTTTCTTCTGAAGACTGAAGTTAATAGGGATGTAGAATTTAATGGGAATTATGCCCACAATATTTTAGGCAGCTTATGGAAATTGCACTGTGATTTGGGGGAGAGAGAAATGGGGACTCGCCAGGAAAGTAAGTTACCTAGCAGGAATTTACTGCTAGGTAAGAGCATGAAGAACTCATTGGATTACCTCTTCAGGCATGCAAATTGTGTCATTAGGCCATTGGAGGTCTGTTGGAACTGCAGCAGCTCTATAAATGCACTTTACCAGAATAGTTTCTCGAAGAAGAAATATAGATGGTAGTAGTGGGAATAGAAAGAGTAAGTTGATTAAAGTGACGTTTTAGCATCATAGGAATACAAAATATAGTGGACCCTTGAACAACACAGGTTTGAACTGTGCAGGTCCACTTATCCATGAGTATTTTCAACCAAACTAGTATCAAATATACAGTATACGCGGGACTTGAAACCCACGTGTAAGGAGGACGAAGTTTTCGTGTAAGTCAGCTCCGAAGCACTGACTTTGGGACTTGAATTTGCACAGATTTTGATATGAAGTGGGGAAGGGGGTAACTTGGTACAAATCCCCTGCATATACTGTGGGATGACTCTAGTTTGATTCTGGAGTGATATATGGAAGACATAATTCTTCCCATAAAAAATCATAATCTTGGTAGTCTATCATAGTCTAGCATTAAGAGCATGAACTTTGGAGCCAAAATACTTGAATTCAAATCACATATCTTACATTGAATGGCTCTCTTTGGGTAAATTCTTATATCCATTTGTGTACCTCCCTGTACTTTTTTTTGTAAAATGAACATTGTAATAATATCTACCTTATAGGGTTAAATGAGTTACTATTTGTAAAGTTCTTAGAACACCATCTGGCACAGAATAAACACTATATAATTTTTTTTTAATCTAAAGCACTTGGAACAACAGTGACTAGCACAAAGTAAGTATGATGTAAGTATTTACCATTGTAATTAATTGAGAGAACTGACAGTATATACTGAAAGTATAAATGTAGAGGGCATGCATTTTTCAAGGTAGATATATTAAAGGATGAAGTCTGTGACCATGAAACCCAGATGAAAGAGCTAGAGAGAAAATCAGATTTGGATTCATTAGCACTAATCTGGGACAGTTCTGTGTGTTGAGCAGAAAGGATGTAACATGAACGGAGTGAATAGCTCAGCATCAGGGAAGACTTCATGAAGGAGTAAGTTTGAAGTGAGATTTGAAGGAAGTGACATGAAGCGACAGGAAAGAATTATAAATTTCAAGGAATGGTTATGATAATCTGCTAGGTAAGCTCTCAGGATTTCTTTAGCTTAGTTGTATATTTCTAGATAGATTTGATCTCTACACAGGAATTGATTTAACTTTGCTTTTCTTTTTTGTTGCATATATATCAGGTTTCAATCCTTTAAATTTTTTTAAACACATGTAACTAGTACATGAATGCTTTGTAGTTAATTGATCTTTAGAAAAGATATTTAGTGATTTAAGGAGAAAAATACTTATTCCTCCTATCATTACTCCTAAATAAAGAGTAGATCAAAATTTGCTTAGGGCCTGCCCTCTCCAGAATAGCACTGGACAGGAGTGCTATATTTCCTGGATTCCACACCCATAGCAGAAATTGTTAATCATTATTGATATTGTTTCTCACAGATTCTGGTTATAGTCTCAGAATCTATTTCATCATAGTACTGGAGTTACATACTATTAATACTAACCCAAAATAATTATGCAGTGTATATCAGGTACTGTTCTATGCATGCTACATATATTACTTTAATTATTAGAACAGCCTTATGAAGTTTTGAAGATGAGGGGCTGAAGATCAAAGAAGTTAAGAAACTTACTCAAGGTCACCACAGCAGAAAAGCAGGAGAAGCAAAATACAAATGCAGTTCTACTTTCATTCCAAAATCACTTAACCATTGTATTCTAATTCTTGGCACTAATGATAAAATGTCATTGACATCCCTGTGACATGTTTGACAATTAATTTACCTTTCAGGATCACCAATATACAACAGGAAAAAACAAAAGTGAAAGATTATCAATATAGATTATTGAGTAGGAGTAAAGAAGGTAAATCAAAAAGGGGAAAAGAGATTACAGACACAGAAAATGTCAGACAACAAAGAAAGGAAGAGTCAAGGATTTCCTAAAGAAGGTAATGAAACAGTCTTAAGAAATAAATAATTAAAAGATCAGCAACAACAAAAAAGTAGTCTGGCAGGATAATTGTGTTAAAATTGATAGCAAATTAGAATAGATGGAAGCAGTTACATTTAGCTGGGACAAACATATACAGTGTTTAGCAAAGGCATATCAACCTGAAAATACAGACCTACAATGAAAATGCATCAACTCTAATTGCTATAGAGTTGTTATGGTAGCACTATAATTATAGTATATGTGCAAGTGGTCTGGATAAAAAAAATTAGGACAATCAAAATATTTATACTGTTCCGTAGAGGAACGGGTATGACATTGCAGTAGGCAACTTTGAATTGCCTATTATTGTTGCCTTTACTTTTGGTTTTGTTTATATCAGCAAGGGAAAATTACTAATTCTAAATTTAGTTTAGAAGGAAAAAGTATCAAATATTTCATGATTTTGAGTAAAGAAACATAACTTTCTTAAAATGGCTGTATTTTAATTTTTATTATATACTTTATTCTTTTGTCTAATTGTAGATAACCAAGACACAAGTTCATTAGCTGATGCTGTAGAGAAAGTTGCAAAGCAACAACAATCACAAGCATCAGAGATAGAAAAAAACAAAAAGGTTCTGTTCAATTTGAAGGTAACTTCTTTATATAGTCTTTTAAATGTCTTTACTTTCTTCAAAAGTAAATGACCAGGAGATTATTAAAAATACTTATTATTGGGAGTCACTTTTAAAGTTATTCTCTGTCAATTATTCTGTTCTCCCTAAGTAAGGTTTACATGGCTATTCCAGTTTTATGGAAAATTTTACACTCCCAACATATAAAGATTCAACAATGTCATTGCAACTGTAGGATAAGCATATAAAACCTAACATGTTAGATAGAATTATTTTACATTCCCTTATTTGATAGTGTTTCCTAAAATGCTGAATTGAAGGAAGGTTAAGTTTTAAGCCAGTGTTTGTAAAGCTATGGATTGTGAGTTACTTGCTGTCAGTGAACATTTCAAGTAGCCTCCCTCTATGTTCCTTTCCTTTTTAAATATATTGATAATCCTACTGCAGGGAATTTGGGAGCCATACTTGGTCTTCGCATGCAACGTAATTAGATATAACTATACTATGTGAATATGACTAAAGAAATGAAAATGAAAACAGTATCTTGTGCTCTGTAACGATTGTTATTAAATATATCATAGAAATGAGAAGAGTAGGCTCAGGAGCTGAACTGCCTAGTTCAAAAGGCCAAATTTACTACTTTTTGTTCCGTGAATTTGTTGTGCTCCTGTTTCCTTAGTTGTAAAACAGAGATAACAATAGGACGTGCCCATAAGCTTTTCATGAGGATTAAATGAGTTAATGTGTTTGGTGGGGACCAGGTGGACATGGTACTGGTAGGGCCCTATTTGACATTGGCTTTAAGTATCACTGGTTTTAAGTGCATCAGTAGATATATGATGACAATAATTGTATTATCATGGTGATATGGATTTCTTATAAATACTTGTATTATGTTAGTCACTTCTAGAAAAGAATACATCTATACAGTAGAATATAATTCAAAAAATAATGTCATATTTTTGTAAAGAAATTTTTTGTAAAACTTTTCAGTCTTCAAAGAGTTTCATAGACTTTATTCCATTTATATTGAGAGCCTACTTTGTGTTAAGCATTTTGCTGAACATTGTCCTCACTCTTATGTTACTTACCATCTATTGGGAAGAGAAAGAAGTAAACAAATAATTACATGTAGAGTAGTAGTGTCAATGGTAGAGGCATGAACACAACACAGATTTAACACTAGAGAAAGAGTGATCACAAAAGAAATGATGTTTCAGTTGAGTTTTAAATGGCAGCTGGAGTTCATCTGAATGATTAGGTGTCTAGGACAGGTTTAAAGGTTAGGGAGTAAGGAAGATAATATTCAAAATAAAAAGAACCTGAGGATATTCACAGAGGACATTTGCAGAGGCCTGAAATAGCATTGGTACATTCCTAGAACCATAAATAGTTTGATGGTAATGTAAATTACAGTATGTTTTGAAAAATCATGGAAGATTTATACCACGATAAGAAACTTCAACTTTATTCTAAAGTTGATGAGCATTTGACAGATTTTAAGCAAGAAACAAATATTAAATTTATATTTTAGAAAGAATTCTAGATACATAAAAAGCACTTATTATAATCCAGTATCCATTCATGATAACTCTCAGCTAACTGGAAATAAAAGGGAACTTCCTTGGTCTAAGGAAGAACATCTACATAAATTCTACAACCAGCCACATACTTAATGGTGAAATAATGAATGTTTTTCTCCTAAGATCAGGAAAAAGAAAAAGATGTCTCCTCTTACTTCTATTCAGGATGGTACTGGTAGTTCAGGCCAGTACAGCTATGCAAGAAAAAGAAATAAAACTCATCCAGTTTAGAAAGAAAGAAGTAAATCTGTTTTTATTCACAGATGGCATTTTTTTTTAAAGAAAATCCCAAGGAAGCTATAAAAAGCTATTAGAACTAATAAGTGAGTTTAGAAAGATTGCAGGGCATAAGATTAATATACAAAAATATATTGTATTTCTGCACATTGGCAAGAGAAAATCAGAAATTAAAACTTCAAAAGCAATACTACTTACAATGCCATCGAAACCATTCAATACTTAGGGGCAAATTTGACAAAAGGTTTACAAGACCAGTATGCTGAACACTGTAAAACATTGGTGAGAAAAATTAAAGAAGACTTAAATATAGAGGTATATCATTTTTATGAAACAGAAGACTCAGTATTGCTAATATGTTAGTTCTCTCAATTTTATTTATACATGAAATGCAGTCCCAGTCAAAATTTCAGCAGGCTTTTGGGAGAGAAATACATAGGCTAATTCTAAAAGTCATATGGAAATTTAAAGGACCTAGAATATCCAAAACAATTTTGAAGAAGAAAAGTGTTGGAAATCTTATACTACCTGGGACATTTTCTAACACTAACAACCAATTTTCTGATTCTCTGGATGCCAACTTGGTGTCCAATGATTTGATTCAGTTCTGACACTACAACAGTTTTCCCTTATTTGCAGTTTTGTTTTTGCAGTTTCAGTTACCCACAGTGAGCTGCATTCTAAAAGTATTAAATGGAAGATTACAGAAATAAACAATTTGTAAATTTAAAATTGCAAGTCATTCTGAGTAGCATGATGAAATCTCGCATTGTCCTGCTCCATCCTGCCTGGGATGTGAGTCGTCCTTTTGTCCAGCACATCTATGCCATATGAGCTACCCATTCATTAGTCACTTAGTAGTCGTCTCAGTTATCAGATTGATTGTGGCAGTATCACAGTGCTTATGTTCAACTAAACCTTATTTTACTTAATGGCCCCAAAGTATCAGCGTAGTGATGCTGGCAATTCACATATGCCACAGAGAAGCTGTAAAGTACTTACTTTAAGTGAGAAGGTGAAAGTTCTTAACTTAAAGGAAAGAAAAAAATCATACACTGAAGTTGCTAAGATCTATGGTAAGGACAAATCATCCATCTGTGAAGTTGTAAAGAAGAAAAAATAAATTCCTGGCTGGGCGTGGTGGCTCACGTCTAATCCCAGCACTTTGGGAGGCCGAGGCAGATGGATAACTTGAGGTCGGGAGTTCGAGACCAGCCTGGCCAACATGGTGAAACCCTGTCTCTACTAAAAATACAAAACAGCTGGGCATGTTGAGTACAGTACAATAAGATAGGAGAGAGAGACCACATTCACATAACTTTTATTATAGTATATCGTTATAATTATTTTGTTGTTATTGTTATTCTCTTATTGTGCCTAATTTATATATTAAACTTTATCATAGGTATATATGTATAGGAAAAAAAAACATAGTGTATATAGAGTTCAGTACTGTCCATGGTTTCAGACGTCCACGGAGGTCTTGGAACATATTCCCCTTGGATAAGGAGGGAGTACTGTATCTACCTGGAATTAGCATCAGATCCCACAAGTTAAAGGGCTCAGTCCCATAAGACTGCCCCTGCTTCATGTGCCAATCACAAGTCCCAGGCCACCCATACTTCTGATCAACTGGCTATAAAATCAGAGGTTCTCACAACCTACTCCCATACTTTCCCCGCACCCCTCACCAGGTTTGAGCATTTTTAGAATGACTCACAGAACTCAGGAAAGCACCTATTACCCATTTATTATAAAGGACACAACTCAGGAATAGCCAAATGGAAGAGATGATGCGTGGGGATAGGTATGTGGGAGGGGGCCTGCAAGGAGCTTCTATGCTGTCTCTGGGCGCTCCACTCTTCCAGCACCTCAATATGTTTATACCAACCCAGAAGCTCTCTCAACCCCGCATAGTTTAAGGTTTCCTATGGAGGTTTCATCACATTATTAACTCAATCTCCAGCCCCTCTTTCCTCCCAGAAGACTGGGGAAATGGGGCTAAAAGTTTCAGTCTTCTAATCAAGGCTTGGGCTTTTTGACAGCCAGCCCCCATCCTAAACTATGTAGAGACCCACCAAGAATTAATTCATTCGAACAAAAGATCATCCTATCACCCTTGTCACTTAGGAAATCCCAAGGTCCTATGGTTTGGATGTTTGTCCCCTCCAACCCTCATGTTGGAAGTTAATCCCTAGTGTTGGAGATGGGGCCCAGTGGGAGGTGTTTGGGTCATGGAGGCAGATCCTGTCATGAATAGATTAATGCCCTCCTTTGGGAGCAAAGGAGTTCTCATTCTATTAGTTCCCCTGAGAGCTTGTTGTTAAAAAGAGCCTGGCGCCTCCCGGCTCCCTCTCTTGCTTTCTTTCCCACCATGTGACTGCTGCAAAGGCCAGCTCCTCTTCACCTTCTACCATGAGTAGAAGCAGCCTGAGGCCCTCACTAGATGTAGATGCCCAGTCTTGAACTTTCCAGCCATCAGAATCATGGGCCAAATAAACCTTTTTTGAATAAATTACCCAGACTCAGGAATTTATTTTAGCAACACAGAATGGACTAATACACAAGAGTTTTAGGAGCTCTGTACCAATAACTGGGAACAAAGACCAAATATCTTTCCATGTTACCACACTACCTGATTTTAATATTTATTATAGGGCATAGTAATCAGGATAATATGATATAGCTAGACATATAGATCCATGGAACAAACTAAAGTGCCCAGAAATAGCCCCACACATATCAATTGATTTTTGAAGACGTACCAAAGCAATTCAGTAGAGAAGGATAATCTTTTCATGAAATGGTAGAAGAACAATTGGATATTTTCATGCAAAAAAAATTCTGAACCTCAAATTTCACCTCAAACCATATACAAAAATTAACTCAAAATGAATCAAAGGCCTGAATGTTAAGAGTTAAAACAAAAAATATCTGGAAGAAAACATAGAAAAACTTATTGATGTTGGGCTTGGCAATGATTTCTTTAATATGACATAAAAATTTTGATGAATTTCATCCAAAAAAATTTTTAAACTTGCTCTTCAATATACACTATTATGAAAACAAACTAAGGTATTCTTGGTGGGGCCCTTTGGCCATTTGGGTTGTCACAGACTAGGAGAGAATATTTGAAAACACATCTAACAGTATACTTAAATTTCCACTATAATATCCACACACACAGGCACACACACACACACACACACACACACAACCCACTAGAATGGCTAAGTTTAAAAAGACTGACCATAACAAATGTTGTTGCAGATATGGAAGGCCTGGAACTCTCAGACCTGTTAGATGGACTGTAAAATGACACAACCACTTAGGAAAACAGTTTATACTTTCTTGAAAAGTTAAACCTATCCCTACTGTATAATCTAGCCATTTAACTTTTAGGTATTTACCCAAGAGAAATAAATGTGTATGCCCACTGGAAAACTGGAAACAACCCAAATGCCCATCAGTTAGATGAACTAATAAACTAATATGGTATATCCATACAACGGAATACTACTTAGCAATAAAAATGAAGAATTATTGATATATACAACAACATGGATGAATCTTGAAATAATTATGCTTATTGAAATAAGACTTAAAATTATGTATTAAATGATTCTATTTATATAAAATTAGTGAAAAGCAAACTAATCTTTAGAGAAGGAAGGCAGATCAGTGGTTTCCTAGGAATGGAGAGATGGAAAGGGAGGAATGAATTTACAGAGTATCAGGAGAAAACTTTTTTGAATAATGACTACGTTTATTATCTTAGTTGTGGTGATGGTCTTATGAGCACAAGAAGGTCAAAATTCATCAAATTGTAAAGTTCGAATATGTATTTATATTAATTTTGCTTCGATAAAGCTGTAAGTTTAAAAAGGAGAGAGAAGAAGGGGAAAAGGATGAAGAGGAAGAGGGAGGAAAAGAGGCAGAGGAGATTAAAGAAGAGAGGGAGAAGAAAAAAATAACGTAATTCTCATGTAAGGGCAGAAATGGATTAAAGGCAAAAGAAACTAAAGCCAATAAGAAAAATTAATAGTCAATTACATTAGTCCAAGAAAGAGAAGAGATGATAACCAAATTGTATGGGTCAATATACTTCTTCTATTGACCAATAGAGTTGATAGATAGCCTGATGTAACCAGCAGGGCATATGTCCCTTTCCTGACCATTGGTTGTGCATCAGTCATTCACTCATTTATTGAATGAATTTATTTATTTATTGAGCACCTACTTTGTGTCAGTTACTGTTTTAAGCAGTGGGAAGATGGTGGTAATGAAGACAGACATGGTTCCTGTAGCCACAGAGCTTACTTTCTAGTCAGGGGAAGCAAGCAATAAATTAACAAAATAAAGATAATTCAAAGATTGATGTATTACAAAGGAAATACAATGGGGTAATGTGTAGAGAGTAACTAGAGGAGGAGTGGAATAGTGGTTGGTTCATTTATATTTTGATTTAGGGAAGACTCTTCTGAGACATAATAATAATACTGAATTGTGAAAGACAAAGACCCAACAGATAATAGCCAGGGGTAGAGAATTTTAAAGTAGACCAAACAATAATTTAAAAAGCCGTTAGGTCGGAAGGAACTATACATATTTAATCAACACAAAGGAGACTGGAAAAAGGGAGAGTAGTAGATGAGAAGCATAGCAAAGTAGATAGGCACTAGGGCATATATGGCTTATAAAACACTTTCAGGAATTTGAAATTTTTTATTAATGCAATGGGAAACCACTGGAGGATGTTGAGCAGGGAAATAACATGATATGATTTATGTTTTGAAAAGATTCTTCTGCCTGATATACACAGACTAGTTGGGGGAGTGGGGAGGAACGGAAATAGGGAGATGAGTTAGACATTAGGTCACACTACAAAGACTGGTCAGAAGTGCATTGGGGATTTTATTTTGGAGGCCCAACCATCAGGATTTGATGAGAAATAGGTTGTGGGGGTAAGGGAAAGGGAAGAATCAAGAATGATTTCTAGGCTTTTGAGTATCCAGGTGGAAAGTGGTACAGTTTATTGAAATCAGAAAGTCTGGGGGAGGAATATGTTTGGTGTGTAAATTAAACTTTTTTTCTGAATATGTATAGTTGAGATGTCTGGTAAACATACATATAAAAATGTCAAGTGAGCATTTGAAACATCAGAGCTGATGATAAAAATTGAGGTTCATTGCCATATTGTATTTTTCAGTGAACTTACCTCCTTTTTCTCTGCCAGGAAAAGGATACAAGGAAGTTTGCATTTTTTAAAACAATGCCCTCTAACATTACAAATTTACTTAAAAAGAATGACCATAGTAGATAAGAAGAGGACTATGGAGGATGGCCTACAGAGTTATTTTGGTGGGAAGATCTACAGAATTTGAGAAACATTTAGACAGTTATTTAAAAGAAGGGAAGAGCTAAGGTGGTAACATTAACTAAGTTGGGGAACATAGGAGTGTGATCATTTGCATTTTTGGTCCCAGTTTTTCATCCGTTAGTCTATCCGTACCCTTTGCCATACATTACAATGCTTTCCCATAATGGATGGACACACTTCCACCCCTTGACTCTGGGTTTGATTATGTAACTAGCTGGGGTGTTATCAGTTGTGACTGAAACAAAAGCTTTAAAAAACTCTTCCATAACTGAATTTCACTCTTCTGCATCTATTATTATCATAAGACATGCCTGGGTTGGCCCATTGGAGGAGAAGATACACATAAAGCAAAGCCAAGACACCCCTGTCAGCCCAGTTAAAGCCAATTTAAATCATCTTACAATCAGCCAATCCCCAGACACTTGGGCAGATTCAATCAAGATCAGCAGAACCACCTAGCCAACCCTTGCTTCTCCCAGGCTTATGAACTACCTAGCCAACCTCAGCTGCTCCTAGTCATGTCAGCAATATATACTTATGTATTGTTGTATGCTACTGAGGTTTTGTGATTCTGGCAACAGATAATTGATACAAGGAGTAATAGGCTGAGGTTGTAGAAAGGATTCATTCAATTTTTGGATATAGTGAATTAGAGGTGGCCATTGGCAGCTGGGTGTAGAACTCAGCAGCCACTTATATTCTGTGAATCATCGGCAGATATGTAGCTGAAGATGTAAATTTGGGTGAAATTACCCAAGGAGCATATATAGAGAGTGAGAAGAGGAAATTATGATGACTGAAATCTGCAGAAGACCTATATTTGAAGGAACTGTTGAGATTGAGAAGGAATTCTCAGAAATTTCTAAGGAGAACCAGAAGACTGGTGGTGTGAAAACTAGGCTTTAAAAAGAAGGCAGCAGTTAGCAATGCAAAATGCCCCAGGGAGGCAAAGTAAATATCTTTATACTCATTTTACAAATGGAGAAAGTGTAGTTTGAATGGGGTAATTAAGTTTGTTATGCATGATCATACGAAGTAGTAAATAGCAATAAGTGTGCTGGACCTAGATCTTTTGATTCTTAACTCAGGGCTTTATCATTTTTTATCATATTGTCTTCCCTGAGTGTATACTTCTGATGCCTATAAATAAATTAGTAAAATTATTATAAAGTATCTTACATATATAAAATGTCAAGATAAAACAATGAGATTTTAATATTTAGAATTAGATGAACATTAAAAAATATATAACTGAGGTCCTTCTGAAATTATAAAATAATTGTGTTTATTGCATGTTTCCTTGTATTCATTAATTTTTAAATATCTGATAAATATATTCTTATAAGTGATTTTTCCTATATTCATTATGGATTAAAACATTGATTTTCCTCTCATGTTTAATATTTTGAATTAATAATGATAATGTTAAAATGTATTACAGAATGAACTTCATGAGCTTGAAAAAGAAATAGCAGCTATCTCTGCAGAAACTAAAGAAACAGAAAGACAAATTTATCAACAAGATTCTGCCATAGAGAATACCAAACTTCATTGTGATAGCCTGGAAACTCAAATCAAATCCTTACATTCAGAAAATGTAAAGCTTAAATTTGACATAGAAACAGCCCAAGAAGATTTTGAGGAACACATGATAAAATATAATGCATATTATGCAAAAATAAAAGCACATAAAAATAGTTTGGGGGAAGTAGAGAGCAAATGGTCATTTATGACTGAACTCCATGAAAAGCGAGATTTTGTTAAAAAATTAAAGACAATGAAAGAAGAACTTATGCAAGATCTTCAAAATCCAGGAGGGAACCGAATAACACAAGTACAGGTGTGCAAAATTACTTAGTAAAACTATTTTTTCTATTACTCCTTTTTTGCAAGTACATACATTAAATGATAAATTTATTGTGAAGTTAATAAAATGCCCATAGCTGTCCTATTACCTTCAGAAACTATTTTCATAATTGAAAAAAACTTGGAATAAGTACATGTGTTATATAACAACGACCCTAGATGCTCAAATGCATAAAGGAAACATCCACAAATCCCCTGTAGATTTATAAAACTACATGGTCAAATAAAATCACAGTGAACAATTAATCCATTTGTTGTAGAAAATGTAATTCACAAAAATGTTAAAGACTTAGCTTCTATGCCAATGGATCCAGACCAATTCAAATCAATTTAGTACACTTAATGGTGTTATGCAAGCAATATAAATTAATAACTGAACCTTAAGCATCTTACTATTTCTCTTACTGTTCTTTGAAGACGATAGAAGACACAAACTTAAAATATTGATCATTTCTTGCTAGAGAATTAAAAAGTGTCTTTTACACTGTTGTTCGGCAGTTGCCACCATAACTACCACTTTCCTTTTTGTCTTATTTTCATTTGGTTTTTAGTTCTGTGTCAAATGTAAGGTTTCTTTGAGTAACAGTTCTTTATTTTTGTATACGTATAGAAGTAATATTCTAATGCTATTTATCAAAACTAAATTTTGATTTGGCTAGTTTTCTTAAATTATAGAAACACTGAAAAATTGGATTTATATTGATCATCCTTTTTTGACTTCTATATTTCAAATGTTGTCAACATACAGGAAGACATTACAAACTTAAAGGATAAAATTATAACTGTAAAAGAATCTATCATTGAAAAAACTTGTTTTCTTGAGGAAGAAAAAAAGACACATGAAAAATTAAGAAAAGAAATAGAGGTAAGTCTTAATTATCTAGATTTCAATGTTTTATGGGACCATTTTTAAAACTTAACACTATATTCATATTTCCATAGTTTACTCTCAATACTCAAAACAGTTGAAGAACAAGAAAGAACTATAAAATTTAGTAAATACAAATCATTAATAGATAACTAGAGATAACCCCCTCATTCAAAGATGTTCAAATATGTGAATGTGTTCAAACAATGCAAGCATTCACTCCTATTTAAATCTGGGCGAGGGTTCTTCCAGGTTTTTCTCATTCCACTAAGAACATGATACCCAATTAATGGCTAGAAAGCAGCTATGTAGTCAAAGAGGATGCCCATTCTTAGATATCAAAGACTCCTCAAAATAGAATAAAACACAATGGAAAGCATCGTCTTTCCAAACCTCTCTGACTTCATATTCGCAATTATCAAGAGTCAAGTTAAAAAAACAAACTGAAAATATGCAAAATTGAAAGTCAGAGTAAATTCATAATGTGTTGTGGTGCTGCCTGTGGACTTCTATTGTCATTATTGTTTGGATGAATGGTGAACAGAAATGTAAAATAATATGCTATTAAGGGCAAATAATTTTTGCCTGAATACATTAATTTGGAAAATAAAAATATGCATGTTTCAACTTGTTTTTGACTAATTTGACACAATACAAAGCATCTGAGGAAATTAAAGATAAAAATCCTCATCTTTACATATTCGCTATTAAAAAATATCACGATTTTACCTTTTAGTTTACTAGGAATCTAAATAACGATTCTTTTTGCCCTTGTAGACATTAAGGTTCATTATAAAACAATAAATAGTAAGACAGTGTATCAGTGGTAAAAGAGTAGAAAAAAATATTATTATTATTATTTTTTCTTTATTTTTGAGACGGAGTCTTGCTCTGTCACCCAGACTGGAGTACAGTGGTGCGATCTCAGCTCACTGCCGCCTCGGCCTCCCGGGTTCCAGCGATTTTCCCATCTCAGCCTCCCAGATAACTGGGATTACAGGCACGTACCACAATGCCCAGCTAATTTTTGTATTTTTAGTAGAGATGGGGTTTCACCATGTTGGCCAGGCTGGTCTCAAACTCCTGACCTCAGGTGATCCGCCTGCCTCGGCCTCCCAAAGTGCTGGGATTACAGGCGTGAGCCACCACACCCGGCCAGAAAAAAATTATTAATGAAAAAAAGAATCCAGAAATTATGCATCCTTGAGTGGTAAAAACAAAATAGATTACCTCTATGGAAAAATAAAGAAAAATGTTGAAATAAAACTGGATTCCTACCTCATAATACACACGTGCACACACACACACACACACACACACACACACACTTCTAAGTATTGAATACAACATAGGATAAAAACTTAAAAATTTGTGTCAGAAAAGCATTTATTTTAAAAGAGAAAAACACTCCATAAATTCTGTGGTTAAATATCTTTAGTTTTGACTATGCCATAAATTTCCAGATTATGGGAATATACCATCACAAGAGAAAGAACAAGACTCCATTCTAGATTATTATAACACATGTATGTGATAAGAAAGAGATAAGAAAATGTCAAATCAGTGAAACATTGGGCAAATGGTATAAAAAGACCATTTTTCTGAACCATGAATATCAGAAATAAAGAAAAATATGACCATCCTCATTAGCAATAAGAGACTGATAATTAAAACCACAGCAAAGTTCCATGTTTAGCCCATCTGATTATCGGTATTACAGTTGGGAGATGTTGAGCGTGGGAATTTTAATACAGTATTCTTGTGAATGTAAATTGCTAAAAGCACTTTGGAAAGAAATGTGAAATTACCTTTTAATTTTTTTACAGTAACATATTTTATTGAGGTATAATTGTCATAAGAGTAAGTACACAAATTATAAATGGATGGCTTGATTTATTTAGACTAACATGTACATATATTTATGTTGGCATTACCTAGATCAAGATATAGAACTTTCCCAGCATGTCCAGAAAGTTCTCTTCTACCCTTTTTATCAAATAGCCACTATTCTGATTTTTATAAACAGCTTTACTAAGATAAAATTCACATACCATACAGTTCACCGATTTTTGTCAGATATCCTGCAACAAAGTTTTATACATGAAAACAAATTATTGAGAGATTTTTTCTTTTCTTTTTTTTTTTTTTGAGACAGAGTCTCGCCCCATCGCCCAGGCTAGAGTGCAGTAGTGCAATCTCGGCTCACTGCAAGCTCTGCCTCCCAGGTTCACGCCATTCTCCTGCCTCAGCCTCCGGAGTAGCTGGGACTACAGGCGCCTGCCACCACACCCAGCTAATTTTTTGCATTTTTAGTAGAGACGGGGTTTCACCATGTTAGCCAGGATGGTCTTGATCTCCTGACCTCATGATCCACCCGCCTCGGCCTCCCAAAGTGTTGGGATTACAGGCGTGAGCCACCGCGCCCAGCCTTAATTTAACTTTTAAGTTCAGGGGTATGTATGCAGGTTTGTTATATAGGTAAATTTCTGTCATAGTTTGTTGTACAGATTATTTCAATAGCCAGGTATTAAGCCTAGTACCCATTAGTTATTTTTCCTGATCCTTTCCCTCCTCTCACCCTCCAGTGTGTGTTGTTTCCCTCTATGTGTCCATAAGTTCTCATCATTTAGCTCCCACTTATAAGTGAGAACATCCAGTATTTGGTTTTCTGTTTCTGCATTAATTCACTTAGGATAGTGGCCTCCAGCTCCATTCATGTTCCTGCAAAGGACATAATCTCATTCTTTTTATGGCTGCATAGTATTTCATGGTGTATATGTACCATATTTTCTTTATCCAGACTACCACTGATGGGCATTTAGGTTGATTCCATGTCTTTGCTATTGTGAATATTGCTGCAATGCACTTACACGTGTATGTGTCTTTATGATAGAATGATTTATATTCCTTTGGGTATATAATCAGTAATGGGATTGCTGGGTTGAATGGGATTCTGTTTTTAAGTCTGAGGAATTGCCACACTGTCTTCCACAATGGTTGAACTAAT
The DNA here is from genome assembly GCF_000001405.40 of Homo sapiens. NCBI lineage: Eukaryota > Metazoa > Chordata > Mammalia > Primates > Hominidae > Homo > Homo sapiens. The sequence goes on along the minus strand of NC_000013.11, from coordinate 43,855,770 downwards.
TTACACTCCCACCAACAGTGTATAATAAGTGTTCTTTTTCTCTGCAACCTTGTCAGCATGTTTTTTGTTTGTTTGTTTGTTTTGTTTTATTTTTTTACTTTTTGATACTAGTGATGATGGTATCTCCTTGTGGTTTTGATTTACATTTCCCTAATGATTTATGATGCTGAACTTTTTTTTGGTAGTTTAAAAGGAATAGCATCAAATCTATACATTGCTTTGGATAGTATGGCCATTTTAATGATACTGATTCTTCCTATCCATGAGCATGGAATGTTTTTCCATTTGTTTATGTCATCTCTAATTTATTTGAGCAGTATTTTATAGTTCTACTTGTAGAGATCTTTTACCTTCCTGGTTGGCTGTGTTCTTAGGGGTGTGTGTGTGTGTGTGTGTGTGTGTGTGTGGCAACTGTGAATGGGATTTGACTCAGTTTGATTGGTGTTATATAGGAGTGCTAGTGATTTTTGCATATTGATTTTGTATCCTAAGACTTTGCTGAAGTTGTTTATCAGCTTAAGAAGCTTTTGGGCCAGGACTGTTGGGTTTTCTAGATATAGCATCATGTCGTCTGCAAACAGGGCTAGTTTGGCTTCCTCTCTTCTTATTTGTATATGTTTTATTTCTTTCTCTTGCCTGATTGCTCTGGCTAGGACTTCGAATACTATGTCAAGTAAGAGTAGTGAGAGAGGGGATCCTTGTCTTTTGCTGGTTTTCAAGAGGAATGCCTCTGGTTTTTGCCCATTGAGTATGATGTTGGCTGTGGGTTTGTCATAGATGGCTCTTATTATTTTCAGGTATGTTCCTTCAGTACTTAGTTTATTGAGAGTTTTTAACATGAATCGTTGTTAAATTGTATCGACAGTCTTTTCTGCATCTATTGAGATAATTCATGTTGTGTTTGTCTTCAGTTCTGTTTATATGATGAATCATATTTATTGATTTGCATATGTTGAACCAAACTTGCATCCCAGATATAAAGCTTACTTGATGGTGATGGATAAGCTTTTTGATGTGCTTCTGGATTCAATTTAACAGTATTTTGTTGGGGATTTTTGCATCGATGTTCATCAAGGATATTGACCTGAAGTTTCCTTTTTGTTATGTCTCTTTCGGGTTTTGGTATCAGGATGATTCTGGCCTCATAGAATGAGTTAGGGAGGAGTCCATCCTCCTCAATTTTTTGGAATAGTTTTGGCAGGAATGGTACCAGCTCTTCTTTGTATATCTGATAGAATTCAGCTGTGAACCCATCTGGTACTGGGCTTTTTTCAGTTGGTAGGCTATTTATTACTGAATTAATTCCAGAGCTTGTTACTGGTCTGTTCAGAGATTCGATTTCTTCCCGGTTCAGTCTTGGGAGGGTGTATGTCTCCAGGAATTTATCCATTTCTTCTAGATTTCCTAGCTTATGTGTGTAGGGGTGTTCATAATATTCTCTGATGGTTATTTGTATTTCTGTGGGGTCAGTGGTGATATCCTCCTCATTTCTGATTAGGTTTATTTTGATCTTCTCTATTCTGTGTTAGTCTAGCTAGCAGTTTATCTGTTTTATTAATTTTTTCAAAAAACCAGCTCCTAGATTCACTGATCTTTTTGAAGGGTTTTTTTTTTGGTCTCAGTCTCCTTCAGCTCTGATTTTGGTTATTGTCTTCTACTAGCTTTGGGCTTGGTTTGCTTTTGGTTCTCTAGTTCTTTTAGTCGTGATGTTAGGTTGTTAAATTGAGATCTTTCTAACTATTTGATGTGGGCATTTAGTGCTATAAATTTCCCTCTTAACACTGCCCTTAGCTGTGTCCCAGAGATTCTGGTATCTTTGTTCTCATTAGTTTCAAATAACTTCTTGATTTCTGCCTTAATTTCATAATTTACTCAAAAATCATTCAGGAGCAGGTTATTCAATTTTCAATTTCCATGCAATTGTGTGGTTTTGGGTGAATTTCTTAGTCTTGATTTCTAATTTTATTGTGCTGTGGTCCAAGAGATTGTTATGAGTTCAGTTATTTCACATTTGCTGAGGAGTGTTTTATTTCTGATTATGTGATTAATTTTAGAATATGTGCCATGTGGCGATGAGAATAATGTATATTCTGCTGTTTTGGAATGGAGAGTTCTGTCGATGTCTGTCAGATTCTTTTGATCCAGTGTTGAGTTCAGGTCCTGAATATCTTTATTAATTTTCTCTCTTGATGATCTGTCTAATATTGTTAGTGGGGTGTTAGAATCTCCCACCATTATTGTGTGGGGGTCTAAGTCTGTTTGAAGGTCTCTAAGAACTTACTTAATGAATCTGGGTGCTCCTGTGTTGGGTGCATATATATTTAGGATAGTTAGGTCTTATTGTTAAATTGAATCCTTTACCATTATGTAATGCCCTTCTTTTTCTTTTTAAATCTTTGCTGGTTTAAAGTCTGTTTTGTGTGAAACCAGGATTGCAACTCCTGATTTTTTTTCTGTTTTTCCATTTGCTTGGTGGATTTTCCTCTATCCCTTTACTTTGAGCCTATGTGTGTCATTGCATGTGAGATGGGTCTCTTGAAGACAGCATACCAATGGGTCTTAGTTCTTTATCCAGCTTGCCACTCTGTCCCTTTTAACTGGGGCATTTAGCCCATTTACATTCAAGGTTAGTATTGATATGTGTAGATTTGATCCTGTCATCATGATGGTAACTGGTTATTTTGCAGACTTGTTTATGTGGTTGCCTTATAGTGTAACTAGTCTGTGTACTTCAGTGTGTTTTTGTGGTGACTGACTCTGGTGTTTCCTTTCCATATTTAGTGCTTTCTTCAGGAGCTCTTATAAGGCAGGTCTTGTGGTAACGAACTCCCTCAGCATTTGCTTATCTGAAAAGGATCTTATTTCTCCTTCGCTTATAAAGCTTAGTTTGGCTGGATATGAAATTCTGGGTTGGAATTTCTTTTCTGTAAAAATTTTGAATATTGGTTCCCAGTCTCTTCTGCTTGTAGGGTTTCTGCTGAGAGGTCCACTGTTAGTCTGATGGGTATCCCTTTGTAGGTGATCTGACCTTTCTCTCTAGCTGCCTTTAACATTTTTTCCTTTCATTTCAACCTTGGAGAATCTGAAAATTATGCATCTTGGGGATGCTATTCTTGTGAAGCATCTTACTGGGGTTCTCTGCACTTCCTGAATTTGAATGTTGGCCTCTCTAGCTAGGTTGGGGAAGTTCTCATAGATGATATACTGAAATATGTTTTCCAAGTTGGTTCCATTCTCCCCATCTCTTTTAGGGACTCCAATGAGTCATAGACTTGATCTCTTTACATAATTCAATATTTCTCAGAGGTTTTGTTCATTCCTTTTCATTCTTTTTTTCTTTATTCTTGTCTGACTGTCTTATTTTAGAAAGCCAGTCTTCGATCTCTGAGATTCTTTCCTCTGCTTGGTCTATTCTGCTATTAATATTTGTGATAGCATTATGAAATTCTTGTAGTGTGTTTTTCAGCTCTATCAGGTCACTTAGGTTCTTTTCTATACTGGCTATTTTGTCTGTCAGCTCCTGCATTGTTTTGTCATGATTCTTGGCTTCCTTGGACTGGGTTTTAACATACTTCTATAGCTTAATGACCTTCCTTCCCATATTCTGAATTCTATTTCTGTCATTTAAGCCATTTCAGCCCAGTTCAGAATCATTGCTGGAGAGGTGATGTGGTCATTTGGAAGAAAGAAGGCACTTTGGGTTTTGGGGTTATCAGGGTTTTTGTGCTGGTTCTTCCTCATCTTTATGGGCTTATGCTCCTCATCTTTATGGGCTTATGCTTCAATCTGAGCTGCTGACCTTTGGATGTTTTTTTTTTCTTTTATCCTATTTGATGATCTTGAGGGTTTGATTGTTATATTAGGTGGATTCATCTGACTAGCTTCATTTCTGGAAGATTTTAAGGGCCAACGCTCTGTTCCCAACTCCTGGACTGTGTGCTGTAACTCTGGGGGACTTGTATCAGGCCCCAGTTTTGTTCTCTGGCCCCTCAAGGTTAGGAATCCACTGTGCTGGGGGTGCCAAGGTGCTCCCAGACTGCTGGTCACTATACTCAGATGGGTTGTGTCAGCCAAAGTGTTCAGTAGTGCAGTGATAGCAGGATCCATTCTTGTTTGTGCATGCCAGCAGCAGCAGTAGTGGCAGTGCAGTGGGGTGCACACTCATCAGCTGTGGCAGAGTGCTCATGAGTCCTGGGGTGCTTGCCTCCCTGCGGGCATTCACTACAGTGGCAGAGACAGTGTAGTTAGGGGGAGACAGGGGGTCCCTGCTGATGGCTGTGTGTTTGGTCTCGCTGGTGGTGGTGTTGGCTCAGGAGCAGGGTGCTGGCAGGCACAGATCTGTGTCCAATTTACCATTTAAGGCATATACTTCAGAGACTTCTTATATAGTCATATATGTGCAACCTTCACCAAAGTTAAATTTAGAAATTTTCATCACCTCACAAAGAATTTTGTACTTTTTAGCTATGACCTCTTTATCTGTCTATTTACTCATAGTTTTGCTTTATTATGTTCTTTCTTCCTGACATTCTATGATTTCTTCTTATATCATTTCCTTTTTTATATACAACTTCTAAAATCATTCTTTTAGGGTAGGTCTGCTGGTAACACATTCTTTTATTTTTTTCATGTGAGAATGTCTTGATTTCTCCTTCATTCCTAAAGGCTATTTTTGCTGGATATAGAATTCTGGGTTGACAGTTCTTTCCACAGTTGAAAAATGTTATGCCACTTCATTTTGGTCTCTGTGATTTCTAGTGCAAAATCTGCTGTAATTCAAATTGGTTTTCCTATATATGTAAGGTATTTCTTTCTTGGTGTCTTCAAGATTTTCTGTCTGCAGAGTGAGCGAGATTGGGGAAAAAACATTCTTCTGTTTTCAGAAGTTTTACTATGACATGCTTTTGCATGGATTTCTTTGCATATATCCTTTTTGGAGTTCTCTCAGCTTCTCAATTCTGTAGTTTTGTATCTTTTGCCAAATTTAGGATTTTTCAGCCATCAGTTACTTGAATACTTTTTTAAAAAATCTGTGCCTTCTTTCTCCTCTCCTTCCATAACGAAAGATATGACATCTTTTGTTATAGTTTCATAAGCCCCTGAAGTTCTATTTATTTCTATTTTCAATCTATTTTCTCCCTTTTGTTCAGATTGAGTAACTTTAGCTTTCTATTTTTCAGTTAACTGATTAGTTTATCTGTTCTCCCATCCACTCTTGAATTCCACTGAACTCTTCACTTTGGTTATTGTACCTTTTAGTTCTTAAATTGCCATTTGAGTCTTTCTTATATCTTATATTCCTTTGCTCAGACTTTCTATTTTTTACATTTTTTCCAGGCATGTTTGTAATTGTTTATTGAAGCATTTTTATGACAGAGGCTTTAAAATGCTTGTCAGATAATTTTAACTTCTGTGTTATGTTCGTGTGGTGCATGTTGATTGTGATTTCTTGCTCAGTTTGAGATCTTATTTTTTGGTGTTATGAGCCATTTTTTATTGAAATGTGGACATGTTGGGTATTATGCTTTAAGATTCTAGATCTTCACTATTTCCAGGTGGCCATTGGGGTCTAGATTCTCCTACCAGTCTCCACTGACTCCATTGTTTCCCATGGAAGGGGGAAAGACTAGTCTGTAGGCCTCTGCAAATATCATTCTGGGTTGGAGGGAAAAGGAATCCTTGCTACTACTCCTAACATGGCCTCCAGTGACACTGCGAGGACATAGCCTGGTTACTACTGAGTCCTGGTGAAAGTCCTGACTCTCTACCAGAGCTCCTTTGATGTTACATCAGGGAGGAGAGGAATATTACACCTTGATGGGCGGAGAAGTCCAGGATCCTCAAATGGGCTCCAGCGACACCACAGTGTATGGTTTCTTGCTGCTTAGAGAGGATTAAAACTCCTGGCTCCACAGTTAAAACTCCTGGCTCCTTAGTTAGCTTTCCCTGAGAGTGCACCAGCAGAGGGATTAGGCACTTCATTACAGCCTTGCAATGGTAGAAATTTAGGCTTTCCACCCAGCCCTTGCTGGCATGAGTGTTGGAGGGGCCATAGTTTTTTCTGTAGTGTTTGACTTTAGTAAAACAGTTACTGCCTACAAGTTTTCTGTCTCACTAAGCTGCTATTTTCCTTATCTTTTGGCTAGATAGAACAAATTTTTCTTAGGGCTTTTTGTCTGTATTTCTTGGCATTTCCAGATTGCTGTCTTCTCCAGAATCCTCTCTGGGATATATGAGGAAAAAAGAAAACCCAGGACATTACTTGGGTCTTGAGGTTCCCTAAACAGTTTGCCTTCTTCTCTCCAACTTTCATGAGCTTCTAATGTTTGTTTTGTATAAAATGTCCAGAGCTTTTAGTTCTACTTATCAGGAAGAATAGGTAACTGTAGTATATCTACTTCATCTTGCCAGCAGTAGTATAAATTGGTAAAGGATGATGTAAGTGGTCACTAATGTTAGATTTAGAGGAAATGTTACTGAGATTAAGACTTCTGTTTTTTGATGTTTCCATCATAAAACTTCTTGTCATGAAATTTAATAAACTTTTTAAGTTTTCATAATAGGGACCCCTCTGTTAAGATTCTTTTGAACTTTTTCATTTCAATTCTATTACTTCTAATTCATTTAAAAGTTGTCCTCAATTCAGTTAAAAAATGAAAAGTTAAGAACTTAAAGATTCTTCACAACAAATTATGAAGCTGAAGGACCAATATAGTCAGACCATTTTCTTAAAACGTTACATTTTTGTGAATAATTTTATTTATTCCATGATGAGAATCGATCATTAATATGAGTAACCTTCTTCTCAAAACAACCAGTTTTTAGAGAAGGTGAATTCCAATACCAAAAGATTTTTATTACTTCTTTTTGGAGTCTTTTTTCTATCTCTTCTGAATATCTTTAGCCATGGCCTTGTTACAGTTCAAGAATCATCTTTTGCCTGGACTACAGCATTATTTTGTTCTAATTATTTTAAATATTGTGTTTTACATATTTTGGTTCTCATATTAATCTTGCTTTTACATTTTTTGGTTCATAAAAATAAAAAATGTTTTTTTGAATATCAGTGTTTTCCTGTCAAGTAAATGCTTTCAGTATTTTTAGGCCATATCTGAATGAAAAGAGCCTTTTCAAATATTTATTCCCTAAATGTCCTTCCCCCCAGTATCTATTGTCTGTCTTCTTATATTTTGGAAGAAAGGAACTAAAGATAGAGTGGAGAAAAAAGATAAGCTATGAGTCATTGACAAAAAACTGGGGAAGCAAAATACAAGGCAGGCAAACACAAAGCTTCAAATATAACACATTGAGCAACAATCAGTGGTTTCTAGTTCAAGGTAAAAAAAAAAAAAGTGTTATTTCCAAATCCAAGAGTTTTCAGACAAAGGACACTGGAGCAGTTGAGAAGTTTTTAGCAAATGATGAATGCTGCAAGCAATGCTTTGGCATAACAGACATTGTGTAAAGCATTGATGGCTTACTCTTGCCTAAATTTTGTACAGCATGAGTTTAAAATGTAAAAGAATATGGGAAAATTGTGTACACTTTAAGAGCTGCTAAGAGTGATGAACAAAGCATATTTAATTTAGTATGATGTAATACACAGCTATATAATTAACAAATGCATTCATTTATTGAGGTCAGCAACAGAAATGATTACACAACTAGAAAGCCAGTCCTATGAGAAAAACCCAGAGCCTGGGCACGGTGGCTCATACCTGTAATCCCAGCACTTTGGGAGGCCAAGGTGGGTGGATCACTTGAGCCCAAGAGTTTGAGACCAGCCTGGACAGCATGGCAAAACACTGTCTCTACTAAAAATACAAAAATTAGCTGTGCATGGTGGTGTGTGCCTGTATTTTCAGCTACTCAGGAGGCTGAGGTGGAAGGATTGCTTGAGACTGGGAGGAAGAGGTTGCAATGAGCTGAGATTGTGTCACTACACTCCAGCCTAGGCAACAGAGCAAGACCCTGTCTCAACAAAGGGAAAAGAAAAACCCAGAGAAGCAAAGGGAAAAAAGCTGATCTGAAGGCAAAGTAAGAATTATTCAGGTAGATGCAAAGATAATATAGTAACTAATTATTCTCTTTTGTAGAAAGTATAAGAAGAAATGTCCAATGTTATTAAATCTATTATTATTTATTGAATGCCTGGTATTTTTGTGGCACTTTTTATAGGCTATCCTATTTAAATTCCCCATAATAACATGTCTTACAAAGTTTTAGAAAATTTAAATAACTTGCACAAGGCTATATAGCTAATGATAAATGACAGAGTAGGATATGAATCCAAACCTGTTGGACTCTATTTTCCCACTTCTTTTTTTAAATATGGTTTTTGTTTTTAGGAATACATTCTCCTTAAAAAAGATTAAAATGTTAGAAGAAAGGCTGTAGTTCCTTTTATACCACCTTCTAACATGTTGTTCTCTATCATTACTCTCACCTCTTATTAATGGTACACACAAACCTCTTATTAATGGTACACACAAACACAAACCCCTGTGGGTGGAAGAATATTATGTAAATGTAGTATATGTATCATTTTGCAACTAATTTACTTATTCAACAATCTGTCTCATAGATTTTTCATATTGGTGCAAATTGGCCTACGTAATTATTTTTAACTGCTGCAAAATATCTCACAATTTGGCCATACCTTAATTTATTTAGCCATGCTACAACTGGTGAACATTTAAGTGTTTTCCAGTTTTTTCATTATTAAAAGTAATGTTGTAGCAAACATAATAAACAAACCCTTTGCACCAAGAAGTAGAATTACTGGGTCATGAGATAAAATCTGTGCTCTTTCTGTTACGTAATACTTTCTCTCAGTAACTATGAACACAACTAATAGTAGTAATATCTTATAGTTGAAATAATTTTATACTGTCTTGTGGATTCTTACTCCTTCATGAGGTTGGTTGAGTAAATGTTGAATTTTTCCTTATTGGAAGCCCCAAATTTGCATATTAGCTGCCCTCAAAAACTTGGCTGTAACTTAAACTGCACACACGAGGGATAAAATTCCAAGGAGCACAGTTGGGAAACAATTAGAATGCTTATAAGCTGAGTAGAGATTTCAGCATCTGCCCACTACAGCAACTGCCCAATTCCCACAACTGCCAAACTTTAGGAGTAAAGACATCTGTAACTAAGAACTAAAACAAAGCTGGACTAAGGGCAAGACCTAGATCTAAGGACAAAATTGAAATAGATGTACTCTAACTTAAAGTATAAAACAAAGTCTCACAAGTTCAAGATGATCCACCAGTAATTTAACTGACTATTAGAAGAAAACACTTTTCAGAGGAAAGTAACACAATTCAGAGTTTTCAACATGTGCACAATGGTTAGTAATAAAACATTACTCGATGTGAGGAAAAAGAAATATATTGGCCGGGCGCAGTGGCTCATGCCTGTAATCCCAACACTTTGAGAGTCCAAGGTGGGCGGATCACTGGAGGTCAGGAGTTTGAGACCAGCCTGGCCAACGTGTTGAAACCCTGTCTTACTAAAAATACAAAAATTAGCCGGGCGTGGTGGCGGGCACCTGTAATCCCAGCTACTCAGGAGGCTGAGGCTGGAAAATTGCTTGAACCTGGGAGGCGGAGGTTGCAGTGAGCTGAGATCGTGCCGTTGCACTCCAGCCTGGGCGACAATAGTGAAACTCCGTCTCAAAAAAAAAAGAAAAAAGAAAAATATGATCCATAGCTAAGAGTAGAATCAACCAATAAAAATAGCAACAGTTGACTCAGAAGTTGTTAGACAAGGACTGGAAAACTATAATAAGTATGTTAAACGTTCTACAGGATGTTTATAGTGGATATACAAACATCCTTTTCATTTTATAATTAAAAGAAGCGTATAATGATTGATATTGTGGGTAAAGAGAGAGGATTTTAATCACATAAACCAACCAAATGGAAATCTTAGAACTAAAAAAATAAGTTGAATTTTTAAAATGTATTGATAAACAACAGTTGGTGGACTTTGTTCCCAGTAGACTTGCACTACAAAAAATGCAAAAGAAACTTTTGTTTTGTTTTGTTTTGTTTTTAGAGATGGAGTCTTGCTCTTGCCCAGACTGGAGTGCAGTGGCAAGATCTCAGCTCACTGCAGCCTCTGCCTCCCGGGCTCCAGCAATTCTCCTGCCTCAGCCTCCCCAGTATCTGGGACTATAGGCATGCATTACCATGCCCTGCTAATTTTTTGTATTTTTAGTAGAGATGGGGTTTTGCCATGCTGGCCAGGCTGGTCTTGTACTCCTGACTTCAGGTGGTCTACCTGCCTCAGCCTCCCAAAGTGCTGGGATTACAGGCATGAGCCACTATGTCCAGCCTAAAGGAAGTTTTTAAAGCTGAAAGGAAATGATACTGGAAAGGACTAGAAATGGAAAATATGTAGATAAAGAGATGGGTCTTTTTTTGAGTAATTCAAAAGTCATTTGACACTTTAAAATCAAAGCAATAATGGATTTTGGGTTTTATAGCATGTAGAGTAAGATATATATCAAGAATAGCCTTTTGTTGTAAGGTTCTTATATTTTTACATGTACTGATATGTTAATTGAAGACAGATTGTGATAAGTTAAGAGAATATATTAAAATTCCTAGAGCAGCTTAAAAAATACATAAAGATATAAGCATAGCTAGAAAGACAAAGGAAGAAATGAAATGGAACAACAAAAAATACTCAATCCAAAAGAAGACAGAAAATGAAGAAGAAAGTAAAAGGACAAAAGGGACTAATAGAAGACAAACATTATGATGGTAGACTTTAACCCCAAAATATCATTAGTTACATTAAATGTAAATGAGCTAAGCATTCCAATTAAAAGGGAAAAAATTATTAGACTGAATAAAATAAATCAAGTGGCAAGCATAACCTCTTCACAAGAGATGCACTTTTAATATAAAGCCACACATAGTTTGAAAGTTAAAAAAAGGAAAAAGATACACGATGAATACACCAATCTTTAAAAAGCTGGTGTAGCTGTGTTAATATCAAGTAGATTTCAAGGTAAGAACTACTAACCAAGTTAAACAGGGTCAGTCAATTCACCAAGAAGGAATAACAATTCTACATGTACATTTACATAATAACAGAGTTTCAAAATACATGAGCAAAAACAAACAGAACCAAAGAAAAAAAGAGACAGATCTATAGTCATATCAGATATCTTAACTTTTTTGAGTAATTGATAGAACAATACAGAATATCAGTAAACATATAGAAGATTTGAAGAACTTATCCATCAACTTAACCTAATTAACATTTATAAAGCACTCCACATAACAACTACTGATTACACTTTAAGTGTACATGAAATATTCACCAAGACACACCATATACTAGATTACATATTTCAAAGTTGAAATTCTATTATCACAGCAGAATTCCATTAGAAATCAATAACAATGAGATAGCTAGAAAATACATAAGCTTTTGGAAATTGACCATACTTCTAAATAACCCATGAGTCAAAGAAGAAATCAGGAGAAAAATTAGAATATATTTGAAATTGAAGGATAATGAAAACACAACGTATGGAAAATTATGGGGTGAAGCTAAAGCAGTGTTTACAGGAAAATTAAGTTTTTAATGCCTATAATAGAAAAGAGAAAAAGATTTGAAATCAACTATCTAAGCTTCCACCATCACAGACTAGAAAAATAAATTCAGCAAAAAGTAAATAGAAGGAATTAAATGATAGATAACAGAAATCAATGAAATAGAAAACAGAAAAACGAGAAAACAATCAACAAAGTCAAAAGTTTAAAAGAGTAATAAAATCGAGAAACCCATAGCAATACTGATCAAGAAAAGAGAGAGATTAGTAGGGACATTACTCCAGGTTCTGTAGGCTTAAAAGGGTGATGAAGGCCTATTATGAATAACTTTATGCCAATTTGACAAACAGACAAATTCCTTGAAAAAAAAAAATACTATAACACAAGAAGAAAATGCATTCATGTTTAGCCTTATGATCCATTTCAAATTAAGCTTTATGAATGGTGTGAGGTAGGAATCAATGAAATTGAATTCATATTTAAAAACTCTTCCCATATATAAGGCTCCAACTGACACATTTTCATTAGTGAATTCTAATCATATATTTAAGGAAAAAATAATGCCCAATGTAAACAGACTGTTTCAGAAAATAGAAGATGAAACTCCTCCCAACTCATTTTAGGAGGTGAACATAACCCTGATACAAAAAGAAACAAAATTGATAGGAATCCTATCAGAGAAGAAATTACAGACCAATGTCCCTCATGAGTATAGATGCAAGTCTCTAACAAAATACTTGCAAATTAAATTTAGCAATATACCAAAAGTCTAATACATTATAACCAAGTGGGATTATCCTAAGAATACAAGGCTGATTCAACTTTCAAACATCAAATGATGTAATTTACTATAGTGACAAAATGACAGAAGTAAAAAAGATATAACCAACTTCATAGTTTCAGAAACAGCATTAGACAGAATTCAACACTCTCAACAAATTTTATGAGAATAGCATATTTTCTGAGAGTAATATCAGCAAATTAAGAATAGAAGGAAACTTCATCAACTTGATAAAGGGAATTTATTATAAAAAAACAATCTTATAGCCAACAACATATCATACTTACTGGTGAAATGTTGAATGCTTTCTCCCCTAAGACTGGGAACAAGGCAGAGATGTCTGATATCACCTTCTTTATGCATCATTATTCTGGAGGTCCTAATCAATGTTATAAGAAAAAAGTAAATATAAGGCATAAAGATTGGAAAGAAAAAAGTAAAACTGTCATTATTCACAGATAGCATAATTGTTTATGTAGAAAATCTTAAGAAATAGAAAAGACTAACAGAACCAGTAAGTGAATTTAGAAAGCTCATAGGATAAAAGGTCAAAATACAAAAATCACTTACATGTTTATGTAGTTTCTATGTAGTAGCAATAAACAATGAGGAAGTAAAATGAATAAAACAAAACTTTATTCATTAACACTAAATGACATAAAATACTTGCTAATGAATTTTGTGAAAAAATGTGCAAAACTACAATAAAAATTGCTGAGAAATTAAAGATACTAAATAAATGGAATGATATCCTATGTTCATAGTTTAGAAAACACGATATTATTAGTGTCAAATTTCCCCTCAAATGATGTATAGGTTCAACATTGTTCCATAAAATTCCCACTAAGTATTTTTTCCAGGAATTGATAAGCTAATTTTAAAATTTACGTGAAAACGCAAAGGATCTAGTAGCCAAAACAACCTTATAAAAGAAGAATAAATTTGTAGGACCTAATCTACCTAATATTAAGATTTATTATAAAGCTATAATTATGAAGTAACTGTAGTATTGGTAAAAGAATAAATAGACCAATGGAACAGAATAGAGTTCAGAAATTAATCATATTTTGTCAATTTGACAAAGTTTTCAAGGCAATTCAATGAAAAAAAGGAAAGTCTTATCAACAAATGGTACTGAAACAACTGGATATCGGTGAGGAAACAATGAACCTGTATCTCCACCTCACAACAAACACAAAAATTCATCTGAAATGGATCATAGATCTAAATGTGAAAGTTAAAACTCTAAAGCTTCCAGAAGAAACTATAGGAGGATATCTTCATTATGTTGGGTTAGCAAAGATTTCTTGGTACACAAACTTTGCTAACCATAGTGAAAAATATTGATATGTTAGACCTCAAACTTTGAAACTTCTACTCTTTGAAAGACACCATTAAGAAAATGAAAAGGGCTGGGCACAGTGGCTCATGCCCATAATCCCAGCACTTTGGGAGGCCAAGGCAGGAGGATGTCTTGAGCCCAGGAGTTGAAGACCAGCCTGGGTAATACAGTAAGATCTTGTCTGTACAAATAAAAAAATTAGTCAGTGTGATGGCGCACACCTGTGGTCCCAGCTACTCAGGAGGCTGAGGTGGGAGGATCACTTGAGTCCAGGAGGTCGAGGCTGTAGTGATCTGTGATCATGCCACTGCAGTACAGCCTGGGCAACAAAGTGAGACCTCCCCACTTCAACAACAACAACAAAAGAAAATGAAAAGACAGAATCACAAAAGTAAAAATATTTGCAACACATGTATGTGCACAAAGGACTTGTATCCAGGATGCGTAAAGAAAGAAATCCTATCAGCCTATAATAAAGTCATACAGTCATTTTTTTAAAAATGGGCTAAAGATTTGAACAGAACTTAACAAAAGAAGACATAGTATGACCAATAAACACGTGAAAAGATGTATAACACCCTTAACACCAAGGAAACGTGAATCAAAACCACAATGAGATACTATTCACACCTTTTTACCCCTAGAATGATGAAAGTTTCAATGAATATTAATACCAAATGTTGCTAAGGACATGAAACAACTGTTAAGATCATGCACTACTGGGGAGATTATAAAATAGTGCAACTGCTTTGGAAAAACAGTTTGAGAGTTTCCTAAAAAGTTAGCATATACCTGCTGTATGTCCAAACAATTCTCCACCTAGGTGTTTACTCAAGAAAAATGAAAAAAATATGCCTTAAAAAAGTTGTAAAGCTTGTATATGAATTCTTACAGTAGCTTTATTGACAAAAACCCCTAAATAGAAACATCACAAATATCCCTAGAAAGGAGAATGGAAAAATAAATTGTGATGGGTGCACTGCACCCACTGTCCTGCACCCACTGTCCGACACTCCCCAGTGAGATGAACAGGTGCTGGAGAGGATGTGGAGAAATAGGAACACTTTTACACTGTTAGTGGGACTGTAGACTAGTTAAACCATTGTGGAAGTCATTGTGGTGATTCCTCAGGGATCTAGAACTATAAATACCATTTGACCCAGCCATCCCATTACTAGGTATATACCCAAAGGATTATAAAACATGCTGCTATAAAGACACATGCACATGTATGTTTATTGCAGCACTATTCACAATAGCAAAGACTTGGAACCCACCCAAATGTCCAACAATTGTAAACTGGATTAAGAAAATGTGGCACATATACACCATGGAATACTATGCAGCCATAAAAAATGATGAGTTCATGTCCTTTGTAGGGACATGGATGAAGCTGGAAACCATCATTCTCAGCAAACTGTTGCAAGACAAAAAACCAAACACCGCATGTTCTCACTCCTAGGTGGGAATTGAACAATGAGAACACATGGACACAGGAAGGGGAACATCACATCACGCACCGGGGCCTGTTGTGGGGTGGGGGTAGTGGGGAGGGATAGCATTAGGAGATATACCTAATGTTAAATGAAGAGTTAATGGGTGCAGCAAACCAACATGGCACATGTATACATATGTAACAAACCTGCATGTTGTGCACATGTACCCTAAAACTTAAAGTATAGTAAAAAATAAAAATAAAAATAAATTGTGGTATATTTACATAATGGAATACTACACATACTACCTGTGAATAGATAACTTGTCCAGCCCTATTATTCTATCATTTTATCAGTCCATTTAAAAGTAGGTGTTTTACTGTAATGAGAGGCCACTTCACTTCCACAAGCATGGTGTTAAAGCGAACAAAATATGGCCTGGGAAGAACTCTGTACATCTATATTTGAGTCCTAGTGGATGAACTGCAACCTAACTCAATAGGTAGACAAGATGGAAAACCTAACTTAGGAGTATGTGTCTGTAACAACAGCTGAGTGTTGGACAATCCCAGCGGCCATACTTCAACCACTCATAGACTGCTGAGTGTTCAAACTGTGTTCAAATAAGGCAAACACAGAGATGTAACCAATCCCATTGTTTCTGACCTCACTTCCAATTCCTGTACCTCAAATTTACTTTTTTTGTCTATAAATTTCTTCTGACCACGAGGCACCCCTGGAGTCTCTGAATCTGCTCTGATTCTGGGGTCTGTCCAGTTTGCGAATCATTCATTGCTCAATTAAACTCTTTAAATTTAATTTGGCTGAAGTTTTTCTTTTAACAGTGGCCATGACCAAAAACATAGATAATAAGTATTTTCAAGGATGTGAAGAAATTGGAACCCTCACACATTACTGGTGTGTAAAATTACACTGGAATGTAAAATTATACAGTCGTTTTGAAAAACAGCTTAGCAGTTCCTGAAATGGTTAAACATGGAGTTACCACATGACCCAGTAATTCTACTCCTCACTGTATACCTGAGAAGTGAAAACATATATTCACACAAAATCTTGCACACAAATGTTCATGGCAGTATTATTTATAATAGCTAGAAAGTGGAACCAACTCAAATGTTCATCAACTCATGAACTGGATAAATAAAATGTGGTATATCATATAATGTGCTATTATTTGGCAATACAAAGTAATTAAGTTCTGTTACATGGTATGCCATAGACCCTTTAAAAGCCATTATGCTAAGTGAAAGAAGCCAGTCACAAAAGACCACCTATTGTACAATTCCATTTATATAAAATGTCCAGAATAGGCAAATGTATACAAGGAGAAACTAGATTCATGGTTGCCGAGGGTTAAGTGTGGGGACAGGGGAATGGGGAATGACTGCTAATGGGTACCAGGTGGTGAAAATGTTTTAAAATTGATTGTGGTGATATTCGTGAAACAGAGTAGGAATGGAATTTAGCCCTCACCATGATTTGGCCTCCACCCCTACTAATACATTTTTTCCATACCCGCCCATTACCAGACCTTGCACCACCCATCCACTGGAGTCATCCTTGCTGACCACAAGATATCTCTTGAAACGGAGATAAGCAGCATCCCACTGTAAATCTTACTCAAGGGAGTTAACCTTATTGCAGGCATGTGCACAAGACCAGAAGAATGACTGATCTTTACCCTATCCCTCATTATAATACTGAAATTCTCACCCAGGGAAGAGCTTATCCATCATATTTTGATCATGCAATGTATGCGCTAGCATGATTTCTCATTGTGCCTGCACACCCTGTGCTCCACCCGGCACATGTAATGACACTTCCATACCTCATGCACATTCCTGTCACCTTTCCTAGAAACACCACAAAGACCTGCCCTCAGAAAGCCAGCCAGCTAACTCTTGCTCCTGCACTGTCTCCATTGTGTTCAAACATAAGCCCCCAATAAAAGCCTTGTTTGGGAAACTTGCTCAGCCTTGTGTCAATTTCTATTAAATGAGAGCCTAAGAACCTGTGGTTGGTAACTTCATAGAGTTGGTACAACTCTATGAATATACTAAAGGCCCTTGAGTTGTACACTTTAAAGGATGGATTATATGGTATGTGAATTATATTTCTGTAAAGCTGTTTTTTAAGAAGATTGGGTGTTCTTGTGGCCCGACACGAAGACCAATGAAGCACTTTCCACTATGCTTCATTGCCTTCCAGTGTATCCTCGTCTGGCTCAGCATAAATGATGGTTTATTTAATAGCGGGGAAATGGACTACATGATCTCCTGGATCTTTTAGACCAAATGATCTGTGTTTCAGTGAATCACTGTATACAGGAAATGGGAAATGGAACCATTTTTCTTAACTGATGTTAAAAGAAAAACTTTAGACAAATTAAATTTGATAAATATAAAACTTTAGACAAATTTAAATTTAATAAAATTAAATTTAACAGAGCTTAATAGAAGAATGATTAGAGAAGCAGCAGCCCTCAGAACCAGCAGAGGTTCAGAGAGCTCCACTTCACAAAGTGGGCAGGCAACATTTATGGACAGAAAATGGAAATGAGGAGCAGAAAGGGCTTGATTGCTCTCAATGGCTCAATGTCTGTTTTATTTGAATATGGTATAGTCAGCGGACCACCTGTGATTGACCAAAGCTGGCTGCTGTGGTCGACTGAGTCTCAGCTATTGTTACAAAAATATACTCCTAGTTAGGCTTTTAGTTAGTTTAAATACTGTTAGATTGTAGTTCCTTACATAGGGACTCAAAGTAGAGTCCCCCAGGGCAAATTTAGTTTAACACCGGTAACTCTCTTAACAAGAAGGTATTCCATTATGGATATTTCACTTCTGCTAACCTCCCAAACTCCATCACTTGCTAGCTATGAAACTTTGGTCAAATTACTTGAACTCTTTTATCTTTGGTTTCTTCACACAAAAATGAGGATAATAATACCCATATCATAAGGTGTTATAAGAATTTAATTATATGCAGAAAGCTCTCAGCACAGTATCTAACATGTAATAAGTGTTGAATAAACAGTTTTACAATTACTGTTTATTTTTATCATAATTATTTATAGTGGATAGTTTCTAATTAAGTGCTTCCCTCTTTAGAGTAGTCAAAATATTATTTATGGCTGTTTACTATTTATACTTCACAAGCCCTGTTGATGTGTGCTCTTCTTTTGATAGGTACAACATAAGAGGTATGATGCAATTCTTAAGCGTTTGCATTGTCAGGTGAACAAGCTTCAGTCAAATAGACGACAGTGGCAATGGAACATTCAACAATTGGAAAAAACTGCAGCCGAATTAAGAAAATGCATTGGAATGCAAGAGTAACATTGCCATAGGGCAATGTGGAACACAGACCATGACAACAAAAATTACTGGACAGAACATTAAGAAAATCTTTTGGATTCTTAATAACAAGCATCCACTATTAGAGACCTGTCTTAATGACAGATGTCTTCGGTTGTTGTTTTTTTTAAATCAGTCATCGATTTGTTAAAATGCCTTCTAACCCTACACTTGATAGCAGTAGACAGACAATAGGAATGTCTACGGGAAAATAATGCAAGAGTCTCTGTGACTATTTGGAGTGTGTAAAATGTATTATACTCATGAATACCTGTTTATGTTGCATTCACTACCCTATGAAGTAAAAATTTAGAAGGGAAAAAACACTCGAATTTTCACTGATTTAAATTGTTAAGATTTTTAAAATGTTTGTCTGTTTCGAACTTTTTTTTTTTTTTTTTTTTTGAGACGGAGTCTCGCTCTGTCGCCCAGGCCGGACTGCGGACTGCAGTGGCGCAGTCTCGGCTCACTGCAAGCTCCGCTTCCTGGGTTCACGCCATTCTCCTGCCTCAGCCTCCCGAGTAGCTGGGACCACAGGCGCCCGCCACCGCGCCCGGCTAATTTTTTGTATTTTTAGTAGAGACGGGGTTTCACCTTGTTAGCCAGGATGGTCTCGATCTCCTGACCTCATGATCCACCCGCCTCGGCCTCCCAAAGTGCTGGGATTACAGGCGTGAGCCACCGCGCCCGGCCTGTTTCGAACTTTTTATTGGAACTTGTTTTTTTACAGCTGCCTTCACAGTAGCCCATAAATATTGATATTTATAATAATGTTTTTGTATGTTCAATGCTTCAAATATTTTACTCCATTTTCTCTTTTATCCAGAAGGTAACAATCATTTTTCTTTGTTATAAAATAACATATTTTGAGTGATACGATGAATAAAATATTTTGTTCACTTTCTATAAATTATTCGTATTCTGTGACTAAATTAAAGTTATAACATCATGTAACTCTTAAGAGTATTACTCACTATAGACTAACATATTTTTTCTCACTGAAAGGCAAAATGTCAATAAATCAAATGTTAACTTGTCCCTTTCAAGATAAACGTGCTCCTCCTTTTCATGGTTCCATTGAGTCAAATACTTAGAAACAAAAACAAATAGGAAGATATGGTTTTAAAATATTCATTTGTAGGATTAAATAATTTCAAACAGCATCAAAAAATATTTAAAATCCATTTTCTCCTTACCTTTCTATGTGCTAAAATTCAGTAAGTGGAGCTGATATAAAACCTGATATTAATAATCTTATTATGTCTAACAGTAATAGTTTTATTGTGGCTTAGCATGGCTTAATGTGGCTTACACTTCAAACAGCTTATCCTGTAACACAATCAGCTTTGGTCCATGACTCAGAAACAAAGCTACAGTGAAAATGGTGAAACCTACAGATTGTGGGGAGTACACACTATACTCGGCTGGAGATAAGCCAGAACCAAATGCTGATTATATAAGTATATTTTAATGTAACTTGCATATTAAAAAGTTATTATATTTTCTAAGTGTAGTTATCGCTTATAAAAAATTATAGTTTTCTAAAGTGTTTTAAAGTTTATATTGAGATTCAAAATATTTGTAAATGATAACACCTTGAGTTATAGATTCAAAAACTTGTTTTTAAATTCAGATATGAAGAAAATAGCTGTAATCTGCTTAAGATAATGTGCTCTATTTTTAAAAGTAAGTTTTAATGTAGTTTTCTAAAATATCCTTAATACATATACCTATTTTACATTTTATGACAGTCAAAAATTCTTTGAAAAAGAAACTTTTTCTCCTTGTTCTTTCTTTTTTTATTATACTTTAATTTTTAGGGTACATGTGCACAATGTGCAGGTTTGTTACACATGTATACATGTGCCATGTTGGTGTGCTGCACCCATTAACTCATCATTTAGTATTAGGTATATCTCCTAATACTATCCCTCCCCACTCTCCCCACCCCACAACAGGCCCCAGTGTGTGATGTTCCCCTTCCTGTGTCCATGTGTTCTCATTGTTCAATTCCCACCTAGGAGTGAGAACACGCGGTGTTTGGTTTTTTGTCCTTGCAATAGTTTGCTGAGAATGATGGCTTCCAGCTTCATCCATGTCCCTACAAAGGACATGAACTCATCATTTTTTATGGCTGCATAGTATTCCATGGTGTATATGTGCCACATTTTCTTAATCCAGTCTATCATTGTTGGACATTTGGGTTGGTTCCAAGTCTTTGCTATTGTGAATAGTGCCGCAATAAACATACGTGTGCATGTGTCTTTATAGCAGCATGTTTTATAATCCTTTGGGTATATACCCAGTAATGGGATGGCTGGGTCAAATGATATTTCTAGTTCTAGATCCCTGAGGAATCGCCACACTGACTTCCACAATGGTTGAACTAGTTTACAGTCCCACCAACAGTGTAAAAGTGTTCCTATTTCTCCACATCCTCTCCAGCACCTGTTGCTTCCTGACTTTTTAATGATTGCCATTCTAACTGGTGTGAGATGGTATCTCATTGTGGTTTTGATTTGCATTTCTCTGATGGCCAGTGATGATGAGCATTTTTTCATGTATCTTTTGGCTGCATAAATGTCTTCTTTTGAGAAGTGTCTGTTCATATCCTTTGCCCACTTTTCAATGGGGTTGTTTGTTTTTTTCTTATAAATTTGTTGGGGTTCATTGTAGATTCTGGATATTAGCCCTTTGTCAGATGAGTAGATTGCAAAAATTTTCTCCCATTCTGTAGGTTGCCTGTTCACTCTGATGGTGGTTTATTTTGCTGTGCAGAAGCTCTTTAGTTTAATTAGATCCCATTTGTCAATTTTGGCTTTTGTTGCCATTGCTTTTGGTGTTTTAGACATGAAGTCCTTGCCCATGCCTATGTCCTGAATGGTATTGCCCAGGTTTTCTTCTAGGGTTTTTATGGTTTTAGATCTAATGTTTAAGTCTTTAATCCATCTTGAATTAGTTTTTGTATAAGGTGTAAGGATGGGATCCAGTTTCAGCTTTCTACATATGGCTAGGCAGTTTTCCCAGCACCATTTATTAAATAGGGAATCCTTTCCTCATTTCTTGTTTTTGCCAGGTTTGTCAAAGATCAGATAGTTGTAGATATGCGGCATTATTTCTGAGGGCTCTGTTCTGTTCCATTGGTCTATATCTCTGTTCTTTCTTATCTTGGAAACTATTTCAGATAATAGAGAATTTCAGATTAATTAAGAACTAAAATTTGAGGTATCCAAAGCCTGATGATTTAGTGGATATGATATTTCAACACAATCATAAACTCTAATATTAGAAAATTGAAGTTATTTTTAATTTTAGTTCTGTATAATTGAACCTAGCTTAGAATATGAGCTCTTTTGCTTAGTGGCGTTTCACACACATGCTTCTGTTTTAAAGCTCAGTCTCTTTGAGGTAAATATTCAGTTCAAAATTCTCCTCTTCTTCGTTTTTTTTCTGCATGGAAGTGTTCTAAGTACCTGGTGGACTTGTTGTGTCATCAGGGACACTGCTCTGCACCAAATGTCATTTTCTGATCTCACTGGCCTCTGCAGAGATCTAATAATCCATTCTTCCTGGTGCTTAGGATCATCGTGAGTCTGTGCTATACCTGCAATTGTTTAGTCAATGCGGTCAGCTTCATTGTCCAATCACAAGACCTCTTCTAGCCCTAGTTCATTATCTGTCTGAATGCTGGTCAAATTTTATCTCTTTGGGACCTGTTATTCTATCCATGCATTCTTCCCCACTCCTTGATTTCAGTATAAATGGATTCTTCCAAGGTTCTCAGTGCTTTTAATGGCTCAGCAAAATGTCAACTCTCAAAATACTGAGTCTTCTGCAAAGGAAAGCTATAATTTCAAGAATACTGTTTCTACTGTGGACTTTTTAAAAGGCCTCATATGAAACTCAAAGCAAACAAATTACTTCTGAATTCTCAGTAGTATCTGTCCTGATCCGGGCCTGCTAGGCACTGTTACCTAAATGGTCAGTAAAAGGTAACAAATGCAAGGAAGCGGAGGGAGGGAAAAAAACCCCACAGTTAATATCTCAAAATATTACTTACTACATGTGCAACCTATGGACAAATTATAGTTGACCAATGTAAAGAAATTGATATCTACTTTAAGCCATATCTTAAAAACCATGGGAGTCACCATATTTTACACATTAAAGCCAGTTAAGTCAGCCATTATGGACACTTTCATGGCCAATATAAATGGTCTATATATTGTCTGTTAGACTGTGTGTCTTCCAGTCAATTGATTAATCATGCTATTTTCCAAAAACACTGTAGATACAAAATAACAACACTAAACAATGATAAGGTACTGAGTATGCTGTGCCCTGTTTGACAATTTGTATACATGATTTCATTTAATTCTCAAAATAATAGTCTAAAGCATGTATTATTTTCCCTGATTTGCAGATGAGGAAACTGAGGCTTAGGTTGAGTAACTTGCCTAAGATTTCATCACACAGCTCATCAGGGGCAAGGTTGAAATCAAAGCCCCATTTTAGCTACATGGAACTACAAGAAAATGATTCCAAGGACAAGCTTCAATTTTGTTATAAATAATAATTTATTTATACATTTAATCTATCATTTTGATATATTGCAAGGCATACAATAAATTTAATCAAGGGGAGAAATTTTGTAATTAAAAGTAAATGGCACACAAATGCATAGGTAACAGTTCATGAGGGTCAGTGTCAGTATAGTATTTTGGCTGTGGAAAATGGAATCCCATTTATGAAAATTGCTTTGGAAACTTTTAAAGTTTACATAGGACATTGCAATTAAAACTCTAAATTTCTGTGTTATTTTACATTGAACATGGAATTCACTGTTTATCCACAAAGGTTATTATAGGGCTATGTGAATACTATAGTGATTTGGAACTATTTGCGGGGGAGTCAGGAATTCAGAAGAACGTGGTTTTGATTTGTTAGTTGCTCATAGTTTAGCTTCTCATATTTTTAATATTATAAGTATTTTATTTTTCATTAACTAAGCTAATGATTACTAAAGCTAATTATCAGAAGCTAAAATATATTCCTGTCAAAAACAGCCCATGTTATCTGTTATTTTAATTTATAATGTATTTCTAAGGGAAGTAGTTTTTTTTTTTTTTTTTGGCTGATAAATATGGCAATGTAAGGAATGGGTCTTCTATATCACATTAGCTACCATATAATACTCTCTCTTGAATATTACTGAACTATGACCAAAACCAAGAAAGATAAATTGAAACAGACACTAATAGAAAAATAGATCTATTCAATACATAGCTAAGAATAGGCCGCTTCAAATTCCTTTTTCTTTTCTGTAATGTTCTATTTAAATAATGACTGTGAGCTCTAGATCTTTAGAAAAATAAAAATAGCATATGATTTGGTAATGACAGGGTTGCTGTTTACATAATCCCGTGAAGACAGACATGAAGTAATGAGACTTCAACCTCTTAATTAATGAGATGATGTATTCCAAAAGAAAATTAGAGTTCATGAGGGAAATAGTTTTAAAAGGCTTCTTACCCATAAAGCTCTCTGGCATAAAAATCATGTCGAAATTGGAATAAAACACTTAAATTACAGATATTTGCCAGCATTACTCACTCACATAGCACAAAGTAGTTTAGAGGCATTGACAATATACTGCCAGTCTAAGATGAATTTTTAAACATTTTTTGTCCAAAATCAATAAGCCAAGACACATTATCTACTCCATCTGCTATTGCTATCTCCCTAACATTATTTTACATGAAATAGACATATGTAATCCCAATGCTTGTATTGGAGAGGCTTCCTTGAGATGCTTTTGAGACTGTTTCTCCCAGAATCCATGGTGCTTCTTTGTGTATATGACACTGAAAAAAATATATAGCAAGCCTACAATTTGCATTAGTTATTTTGTCTTCAGCGACCTAGTATTAACTGACTCATGCACAGGGATCTCAGCCAGATGTCTGCATCCCTGTGCATGACCTACACACATACTTGGCAAAAAACAGCACATGATTTTCTCTTCCACCTTTTCCACAGAGACTGTCTAGCCACTCTCAAGTGTCGTTCTTTAAAATGAAACCTCTCTGAGAACACTTTCTTCACTTAGATGTAATATTGACTTTGCTGGGCAGTTAAATAATGTTGATAGTATTTTAATTTTAATTTGTGTTTCATACAAATAAAACATATAAAACATTCAATTCAGAAAAAGATCCATCCTTATTCTAACCTTCCACTAATTTAGATTATTTATCTTCTAAGCCTTTCAGTCTCAATTAATCTGTCACTGTAATTTACTCATGCACAGTTTCCTAATAATCAGTGTAATTCTCTCATGTTTCTTTCATCTCTTTTAATAAAAAATGCAGCTTCCTCATTCAGACCTTAGCTTTTTCAGTCCCTACACAGCCATAAGTTGCATCATCTTCAAGCTCCAATTCTCATTTTTTGTGGTAACTCCAAAGCTTAGTCCAGTGGCCTCAACTTAGATCTTAGTCATTGAAAATAATCTCTTCATTTAGAACCGGTTTATGCAAGAATCTATCATCTCTTTACTTTGACATGCCTCGCAAAGAAAAACTTTCTGAAACGTTGTGTAACAGACACAGTCACTGCTTTGCCTAAATCCTCTCAGATTTTTAAAAAATCCTTTTTGAGCAGCCCTCTCCCAATTGAGTCATGCTTTCGCCTCCAAAACTCTTACCTAAGACTTTCTCCGGGATGTTTGCTACCCTTAAAGGGACTTTCCTTGATATTGCAGCCTTGCTCGGCTTCTTTTCTCCTTACCAGTCTTGCTTCCCTTACTAATTTCTCTGGGGAAGACTTCAATAATAAATCACTCGCTCAAGAATCTTCATCTCAGAATCTGCTTCTGGGAATCCCAAACTAAGTCGCCTTACAAGATTAATCGCACATTGAAATCTCTATTTTCAAGAGATGACTATTCCACTCCCTGTTCCTCCCTCCTCCCTTACCCAAGATCGGTTCCACTTCCAGCAGCAGCCAAAGGGAAGAAATCTAATCACTGTCCCATTCAATGTAATTTTGACATGATTTATTTGCTTTAAATAGAAAAGCAAGCCAGGTTGGGCGCGGTGGCTCACTCCTGTAATCCCAGCACTTTGGGAGGCTGAGGCAGGTGGATCACCTGAGGTCAGGAGTTCAAGACCAGCCTGGCCAACGTGGTGAAACCCTGTCTCTACTAAAAATACAAAAATTAGCTGGGCGTGGTGATGCGTCCCTGTAATCCCAGCTACTCGGGAGGCTGACGCAGAAGAATCACTTGCAGCCAGGAGGCGGAGGCTGCAGTGAGCTGAGATCACGCCACTGCATTCCAGCCTGGGCAACAGAGTGAGACTCCATCTTTAAAAAAATTAATAAATAAATCTAGATTCTGAAACCCCAATTTAAAAGTTTAGAACATTTTTCAACTATGTTGAGGTCACACAATTTTTTAGGCAGATTTATTAGAAGTCTCATGCAACCAGACCAAAAGAGTGATATTTGGGGAAAATATTTTGGTTGTTCTCATTCCGACTGGATGACAAAGACAGGGACATGGACAGGAGCAACTTATGTCTGTACAGATTCTATGTCCTTCTATAATCATCTTGGTTCTCTCAAACCATTCTTTCTCAGCTTTTAAAATGAGCTGGCCGGGCATGTTGGCTCACACCTGTAATCCCAGCACTTTGGGAGGTCAAGGCAGGCAGATCACTTGAGGTCAGAAGTTCGAGAACAGCCTGGCCAGCATGTCAAAACCCCATCTCTACTAAAAATACAAAAATTAGCCAGGTGTAGTGGCACACGCCTGTAGTCTCAGCTACTCAGGAGGCTGAGGCAGGAGAATCACATGAGCCCGGGAGGCGGAGGTTGCAGTGAGCCGAGATCGCACCACTGTACTCCAGCCTGGGTGATAGAGCAAGACTCCGTCTCAAAAAAATAAAAATAAAAATAAAATGAGCAATTCTCCCTTTTAGCCATTCATTATCACATCTACAGCTCAAAAAACACTAGCATAATAGTGTGATGCAGACGAAGAGCAATTAACTCCGAAAATTAGAAAGGAGTATGGATCTATAGGACATAACATTGCAAAATATCAGCCACAGCATTTGTCATCATATTTAGAGAAAATTTATAGTAACTTTAACAGTATTTTTGTCAATAATAACATGATATATTTGTAATATTTTTACCATATCAAAACTTAAAATATAAGATTAGTAACAATTTATCAAAAGTAATTGTTAGTGTTGTAAAAATGATTTTAGCTTAGGCTAAAGTCAATATAACCTTTTTTGCCCTGGACTTCAAAACACTTGTAAACTTGTAAATTAATGATGCTAGTCCTCAAAATTTGTAGCTTATATACAAATAATTTAAAACTGCTGCAAAATGTCATACACTTATGGAAGTGGGACATAGTAATAGAAACAAAACTTGAATATCAACTTTTAAAGAACTAAATTTATTTATTTAGTTCTTTAAATTAAATTTGTCTCACACTGATCAGTGTGAGAGCCCCAAACAGGAAACTGATGGCAAAGAATTCTAACCAATTTTCATGTTATACCTCCTCTGTGTTAGGTAACTGCAAGAATAAATATGATGTAATTCTTGTTACCCAGGAGATCAATTTAGTTGACAAGAAAGACACGTGTGTGTGTGTGTGTGTGTGTGTGTGTGTGTGTGTGTGTGTGTATCTGTCTATAAAATAGGCTCAAATATGATGTAAAACATCCTGTAACAGAAGCATAAACCAAGCCCTTATTTTATTTTGGAAACACAAAATAAGGAGCAATTAATCCCAACTGGGGAAGGATGTTGCTTAAAGGAAGACTTGGCATTTGATGTGGCTGCAAAGCAAGTATAAGTTCTCATGGATATTCTCATTCATTAGGCTCGAAACATTCCTATTTTATTCTCCGTTGTAATCTCCACCAGCTAGCAGACACCTGACACATAATGCGTGCTCTGATGTATGTTGAATAAATTAATGAGTAAGATAATCAGTCTCATCAAAATCTCCCAATATCCTATCTTCAGTCTTTCCTACCTCTAATCTTCACTGTCAGTACCATTGCTTGAGTTACCTTCTTTGAGTAAAAATTGAGCATGTAATGCCTCTTCTAAAAAGTCAGAAGAAAAAAAGCCTTTCCATGGGCACAGAATCCTTGCCATGAGTAAACAGTAAACACTTTAAAATCTGTCCCCAACCTGCTTATCCAACCTCATTTTATCCCATTCTACCTAACAGATAAAATCTGCAATTCAGCTAAAACAAAATTCTAACTCTTCTCTAAGCATGTGCTTTGACATACTATTCCCTCTGCCTAGGTGTTCTCTCTCCTACATCCAGGAGTCAACTCCAACTCCACCTTTAGGACAAATTTCAATGGTTACAGCCACAATAAAGCTGAACTTCATTTAACATGTCTGAATTTCTCTGCAATGCCACAGTTTAGAAGTAGAGCCATCCCTCCATATAAACGAGGGATGGGTTCCAGGACCCCTATGTGTAACAAAATCTGAGCACGCTCAAGCCCACAGTCAGCCCTGCAGAACTTCTGTATAGCAAAAGTCAACCGTCCATATATGTGGGTGTACATCCCTAGAATACTGTATTTTTCATCTGCATTTGGATGAAAAGGAATCCCGTATAAGTGGACCCACGCAAGCCATGCAGTCCAAACCTGTGTTATTCGAGGGTCAACTGTACCAAAAAATCTGTATCATGATTTCTGAATCAAATTTATAGAGACAGAGGTTTACAACTTAGAGAACTTATGTAAGCCTTTTGTTTAGAATAGGTTAAAATCATTTTAAGCTTTTGAGTCTTGGGCTTCATTATGGACAGTCTAGCATTTGATTGACATAAGATGATACCAAATAAAAGATAATTCACTTATGATTTATAAAAGAACATGAAAATTAGTTTTTCCTGGACTATTTCCAAAATCTACTTGTATAATTTTACACCAAAATGTATGAACATTTATAAATATCAAAGCTTTTTTTGAAAATGCTTTTCTGGAAAATGTAATGATACTTTTAGGTAGCTCTAATGAAAGTAAATGTGCTTAACAAACCACAAGAAATATGCTTTTGTGTCCTTTCATTATAAATACTTTGAACCATGCTTTAAAAGAGTTTGATATGTTGAAAAATTATGTAAAGTGTTCCATCTTTAAAAGAAAACGCTGTAATAAGCTTCATGAAAATATAGCTAACCAAGTGGGACTGTCTGGGAAGAGAAAGGAAAATTCTTATTAAAAATGGAAA
Organism: Homo sapiens; assembly: GCF_000001405.40. NCBI lineage: Eukaryota > Metazoa > Chordata > Mammalia > Primates > Hominidae > Homo > Homo sapiens. Next base: position 43,826,974 of record NC_000013.11, on the reverse strand, counting down.
TCATAACAGTTCTCTGAATACAGTATTATAAATTAGTCATAAATGTAATAAATATTTAAGATGACTTTGGGCAATTTAACTTTGTTTTATTGTTTCTATATGACTATGCATGATTATGAAATTTAACTATAATTCTAGTATAGTTTTTTCCAATGATATGCTTTATAGCTTTCCTATTACACCTAAAGCAAAGTCATTTTCAGAAAACCAGCTTTCTGTGTCTATTAAATTATTTTTTGCACTGCTGAAAATAACCTCTATTTTGATCACTTTCAAGTAGTCTTTACTTTTTTTCTCTAAAGTTACAATATCCTATTAGTTGATGGCACAGGGGTTTTGAGTACTTTTCAGAGTTTTGGCATCACAGGTATTCTTAACCACGCTTATTAGGCCTTAGAGAGTGCAAATTTTCTAGTACAAAGGGAGTTTTGAGCTTTCATTAAGATGTTTCCCAGATGCTTTAATTATCAAATACAGTTTAGCACAATTATGGCTGCTTTAACCAGGGATATTTGAGAAATAATGTACATAGCAAAATGGAAAAGCACTGGGTAGCTAATAAATAAACGACCACAGTAACATGATTTAATATCCCATATATCAAAGAGATAGTGTGTGTTTTATGATATTAACTATTTTAATTGTGAATACATCACAATTTAGGTAAGTAAGTTCAAAAATACAGTGTCCCTGAAATTGTATGCATTCTTTGAATCTGAATTAACAATATAGCACTATTTAATATGGTGAGCACTAGAGTAGAGTGAAGAAAAAAATGAAAGGCTAAATGTACCTTACCAAATAATGGGGGAAAAATAACTTAATAATGTGCATATTTCCAAGAGTATAAATTCATCGAAAGAGTTAAGACAAAAAGTAGATTACAAAGCATTACAGACAATATATTCTACTTGCGTTTTTTAAAGAGTGACTGTAAGTTGTGTTTCAAATTGCTGGGAATATTTAGCCCATGTCCAGACCAAGTACTGTTTTCTCTGGGTTAAATACTTCCAGTTCTTCTTTTCTAAAAATGTTTATTTTCATTTTAGATTCAAGAGGTACATGTGCATGTTTGTTACAGGGTATATTGCATGATGCTGAGGTTCCACTTCTAGTGATTCCATGACCCAGATAGTGAAGACATACCCAACAGGAAGTTTTTCAGCCCTTGCCCTACTCCCTCCCTTTTTTTTTTTTTTTTTTTTGAGACGGAGTCTCACTCCGTCGCCCAGGCTGTAGTGCAATGGTGTGATCTCAACTCACTGCAACCTCCGCCTCCCGAGTTCAAGTGATTCTCCTGCCTCAGCCTCCCAAGTAGCTGGGACTACAAGCGCACACCACCACGCCCAGCTAATATTTACATTTTTAGTAGAGACAAGGTTTTGCCATGTTGGCCAGGCTGGTCTCGAACTCCTGATCTCAGGTGATCCACCCAAGTTGGCCTCCCAAAATACTGGGATTATAGGCGTGAGCCACCATCCCTGGCCTACACCCTCCTTTTAGAGTCCCCAATCTCTATCTTTATGTCTGTGTGTACCCAGCATTTAGCTCCCCATTTTTCAGCCCTTGCCCTACCCCCTCCTTTTAGAGTCCCCTGTACTATCTTTAGGTCTGTGTGTATCCAGCATTTAGCTCCCAGTTATAAGTGACAGCATGCAAATTTTGGTTTTCTTTTTCTGTGTTAATTCACTTAGAATGGTGGCCTCCAGATGCATCCATATTGCTGAAAAGGACATGATTTCATTCTTTCTCATGGATGCATAGTATTCCATGGTGTATATGTACCACATTTTATTTATCCAGTCCACCATTTATAGGTACCTAGGTTGATTGCATGTCTTTGCTATTGCGAATAGTGCTTTAATTAAAGTACATACCCGTGCAAGGGTCTTTTTGGTAGAACAATTTATTTTCCTTTGAGTATATACCCAGTAATGGGACTGCTGGGTTGAATGGTAGTTCTATTTTTGGTTTTTTGAGAAACCTTCAAATTGCTTTCCACAGTGGCTGAACTAATTTACATGCCCACCAACAATGTATAAGCATTGTCTTTTCTCTGCAGCCTCACCAGCATCTGTTGTTTTCGACTTTTTAACAATAGCCATTCTGACTAGTATGAGATGGTATCTCATTGTGGGTTTGATTTGCATTTCTCTGATGATTAGTAATGCTGACCATTTTTTCATATGTTTGTTGGCCACTTGTATATCTTCTTTCCAGAAGCATCTGTTCATGTCCTTTGCCCACTTTTTAATGGGGTTGATTTTTTCTTGTTGATTTGTTTAAGTTCCTTAAAGATTCTGAATATTAGACCTTTGTCAGCTGCATAGTTTGCAAATATTTTCTCCCATTCTGTAGATTGTTTACTCTGTTGATAGTTCTTTTGCTGTGCAGAAGGTCTTTAGTTTAATTAAGGCCAAATTATCAATTTTTGTTTTTGTTACAATTGCTTTTGAAGACTTAGTCATAAACTCTTTGCCTAGGCTGATGTCCACAAAAGTATTTTTTAGGTTTTGTTCTAGGATTTTATAGTTTGAGGTCTTACATTTAAGTTTTTAATCCATCTTGAGTTAATTTCTGTATGTAGTGAAAGGTAGGAGTTCCGTTTCTATCACAACTTATGTGGCATAAGTGCGAGTCCTTTCACCATGCTAGTTACATCCCTTTGCATATACTCTTCCTTCACATTGTCCTATGAAAGTTGAAGAAAACAAAAAGATACTAAAGATATAGTCTTATTAGTTGCTTATAGAAGAGGTCTATTTCATCCCATATTTGGGACTCAGGTTTCTACTAATGCAACCTCAGTTTACATGTGCTTTTCATGGTAGTCATAGCATATTGTTCACTCATATTGAACTGACTCCTCCAATCTGAGAGATTCCGTTGGCATGAAAAAGGGTTAAACTCCTTGCTAAAACATGAAATCATTATTTATTGTCATTTAATACATTTTTTGGAAGGCAAAGCGAGATGACCCAATAGAAGCCTGCACCACTCATTCCCCAAGCAGGAGCATCAAATTCTAACTATACTCAAGAGCACCATCATCACAAGAACCCAAATCAGGTGAGCAATCACAGTACCTAGTTTCAACTCCATATTTCTGAAAGAGGCTAGAAGAGATAGTCTTGAAGAGCCAAACTACCACTCCTCCATACCCCAGCAGTGACTGGGGGCTCAGAGAGAGAATCTGTGCACTTGAGGGAGGGACAACTGGGGGACTTTACACTGAACTCAGTGCTGCCCTGGGAGTAGAGAATAAAGCTGTGCTGGGCTCACCTAGCGCCCACGCATGGAGGAGGCTTTCAGAGCAGACCTAGCCAGAGGGGATTCACCCATCCCAGTGATGGAAACTTGAGTTTCTCTGAAGGCCTTGCCACTGTGGGCCATAAGTGCTCTGATGTCCTAGGTAAACTTGAAGAGTAATCTAGGGCACAAGGATTGCAATTCCTAGGCAACGCCTAGTGCTGGGCTGGCCTTAGATCCTGGGAACTTGTCAGGTAAATGGCCTAGAGCAATACCAGACAGCGAGGCCAAGGGAGTGCTCGCACAACTCCTGCCTCAACCCCAGGCAGTGCAGCTCACAGAGATGAAAGTGACTTCTTCCTTCTGCTTGAGGAAAGGAGAGCAAAGAGTAAAGAGGACGTTGTCTTGAATCTTGGATACCAGCCCAGCCACAGTGAGACAGGACATCAGGCAGAGTCATGAGGCCCCTCTTTCCAAGCCCTAGCTAGTGGATTACATTTCTAGACACACCCTGGGCCAGAATGAAACCTGCTGCCTTGAAGGGAAGGACCCAGTCCTGGTAGGATTCATCACCTGCTGACTAAGGAGTCCTTAGGCCCTGGATAACAAACAGCAGTACCCAGGTAGTACACCATGGGCCTTGGGCTCTGAGATGTGTTGGCTTTAGGTGTGATTTAGGACATTCTCAGCTGTGGTGACTACAGCAAAAGACTCCTTCTGTTTGAGAAAAGCAGAGAGAGAAGTAAAGGGGACTTTGTCTTGCACCTTAGGCACCGGCTTGGCCACTGGGGAGTAGAGCACCAGCAGACCCTTGGGGTCCCCGGTTCCAGGCCTAGGCTCTTGGATGGCCATTTCTGGACCTGCCTTATAAAAGAAGGGGAGCCCACCACTCTGAAGGGTGAGTCTCAGGCCTGGAAGCATTCATCACAAGCTGACTGAAGAGCCCTTAGGCTCTAAGTGAACATCAGCAGTGCCCTGGCAGAACCCCACCATGGGCTGGTGGTGGTGGCAGCCACAGGGAGAGGCTCCTCTCTCTGTGAAAAGGAGGGAGAAGAGTGGGAAAGGCTTTGTATTGTGGTTTGAGTGCCAGCTTAGCCACAGTAGAATAGAACATCAGGTAAATTTCTAAGGTTTTTGACTCTAATCCCTGGCTCCCAGACAGCATCTTTGGACCCAACTGGGGCCTGGGGGAACTTACCACCCTTAAAGAAGGGACACAAACTTGGCTGGCTTCGCCACCTGCTAATCATAGAGCCCTAGGGCCTTGAGTGATCATAGGCGGTAGCCAGGTAGTGATTACAGGGGGCCTTGGGTGAAACCCAGTGCTGTGCTGTTTTCAAGTCTGAATTGGTGCAGTCCCAGTGGTGGTAGCCTGTGTTCCCCACCCCCAGTTTCAGGGAACTCAGCAGACAGAGACAGACTCCATTTGCGGGAAAGTGAGGGAAAAGAACACGAGTCTCTGCTTGGTAATCCAGAGAATTCTTCCAGATCGTATGCAAGACTGCCAAGGCAGTATCTCTATGAGTCTGCAAGAACCACAGCATTATTGGGCTTGGGGCTCAAGTTCCTTCTAACACCTGGAAAGCCTTCCCAAGAAGGAGGGGCACAAACCAGCCCAGACTGCAAAGACAACAATAAATGCCTAACTCTTCAGTGACCAGACACTGACGAACATCTACGAGCATCAAGACCATCCAGGAAAACTTGAGCTCACCAAAGAAACTAAATAAGGCACCAGGGACCAATCCTGGAGAAACAGAGATATGTGTCCTTTCAGACAGAAAACTCAAAATAGCTGTGTTGAGGAAACTTATGAGAAATTCAAGATAACACAGAGAGGGAATTCAGAATTCTATCAGATGAATTTAACAAGGAGATTGAAATTATTTAAAAGAATCAAGAAGAAATTCTAGAGTTGAAAAATGCAAGTGACACACTGAAGAATGCATCAGAGCCTCTTAATATCAGAATTTAGGCAGAAGAAATAATTCGTGAGCTTGAAGATGAGGTATTTGAAAATACACAGTCAGAGGAGACAAAAGAAAAAAGAATAAGAAAGAATGAAGAACACTTAAAAGATCTACAAAATAGCCTCAAAAGGGCAAATCTAAGAGTTATTGGCCTTAAAAAGAAGGTAAAGAGATGGGGTAGAGAGTTTATTCAAAGGGATAAGAGCAGAGAACTTATCAAATCTAGAGAAAGGGCCAGGCCTAGTGGCTTACGCCTATAATTCCAGCACTTTGGAAGGCTGAGCCAGGCAGATCACTTGAGGTCAGGAGTTCAAGACCAGCCTGGCCAACATGTTGAAACCCCATCTTTACTAAAAATACAAAAATTACCTAGACATTGTGGCAGACGCCTGTAATCCCAGCTACTCGGGAGGCTGAGGCAGGAGAACAGCTTAAACTTGGGAGGTGGAGGTTGCAGTGAGCCAAGATTGTGCCACTGCACTCCAGTCTGCACTACAAGAACAAAACTCTGTCTCAGAAAATAAAAATGTTTTAAAAACCCCTACATAAAGATATCAATACTCAAGTCCAAGAAGGATATTGAGCAGCGAGTAGATTTAACCCAAAGAAGACTATCTCAAGGAATTTAATAATCAAACTCCGAAACTCCCAAAGGTCAAGGATAAAGAAAAAAATCCTAAAACACATTTTTCTTACTGGCTTATCCTGGACCTTATGGAATAGCATATGGAATAAGACATTTGAGAATAAAATTTGGTTTAGGATAGCACTATTATAAGTTGATATCAAACATTGTTCTAAATAGAAAAATACTTTTCAAGAATATTCTCAATAGCATGTGTGTTTTCTCTACAGCAATTTTTAAAAGAACGCATACCCTTCAAAATGTGTAATTATAAAAGCTAACGTGTACTGGACCTTTACTGTGAGCCACAGCAACACTATAAAGTGGATCACAAATATTCTCATTTTAGAGATGAGAAACTGATTTATTTCCCGTGATTCTTATATGAAGAAAAATTCTGCTTCATCAGCTCTTTGATTAACTGGAAACATGGTTCATAGAAGAGAGGCAGGATTGATACTCGATTCTTTCATTTTAGTTTTCAATTTTTAGAATAAGAAGCCAGTGTTCTAGCCATATTCAAAGGTAATAAGCCAGATTCCCTTTTCAAAGCATTATAATTAACTCGTAGATTTTTATATATTTGATGTTGTAATCAGTGACAGTATTATTATTGATGTTCAAATAGCCCTATCTTTGACCAGTGAGAGCTTCTCAAGTTACCTTTAATGTCCTTTCGGCAAAACCCCAAGTTTTTGTAACTTACTTGCTTAAGGAGTGTCAAGTTGTCTCATACTTACCATCTATATTCCCCGCCTTAGACCTGAAACCTGCTACTTTACCGTGGAGCTCCTGTGTTTTTTTAAATTAGGAAATAGTATTTAGAAACCACAAGCTCAGCATTAAGGGTGTTCATCAAAACTAGGTTGTCACTATCCCTCAGGCTTTTCTGTGGGTAGAGGTAGAAAACAACAATATTTTTGGACTTATAAGTAAATCATCAGTTTCTACTGTATTTTTGACAATAGTTTGGACTGATTTTTAAAAACCCATCAGTTTATACTATGTTTTTCAAGTCAAAGATTACATAGAGTTTTCCTTAACACCTTCACTTTTATAGATGCACTTTTTTCTCCTGTGCTGAAAATTTTAGATCCTAAATCACATTAATACAAATATTTATTGTTTCAAAATAATAATAACAATTTTATTGACAATAAAAAAAACTTCAGGTTTTTGGGTCTTTTTGTCCTTATGATATTCTACTGGCAACGAACAGACAAAATATGTATTTTGTTTCTCTTTTTCATATTTTTAGAAATCACATTTTTATATTTTTAGAAATCACATTTTAAAATCTTTATTTCATCTTATTTTTTAATTATGTGAGATATTTACATGTTTACAAATTAAAATTATAAAATAAGGTAACTTTAGGGAGGTCTGGATTCCATTTCTGCTCTCTTCTTATTTTCCTTATCCCTCTATGGCATACAATTTTTATTTTTTTGATTCATTATTTCATTGTTTCATTTTAAATATAAGAAGTACTGTATTTATCCCTTTATGAGACAAAAAGTAGCGTAGTATAGGCTGTTTAAACTTTGTTGGCTTTGTTGCTTATTTTTACTAAATATACTGGACATATCTCCACAGTGATACATAGAGGTCTTCCTAATTTCTTTTTCATAATTACATCACTTTTCATTCTAATGGATGTCCATGGATTATTCAACTTTTAATGAATATTTGGGTTGTTTGTAATCTTTTGTTGTTACAAATAGTACTGCAATGGATGCTCCCTCATGAAAACGTCATTTTCTATTTTAGCTAGTATATCTTTGGAATAGACTCCTAGAAGTGGAATTGCTTGCTGAAAACATACATACACACATAATTTTGCTAGATATTACTGAATTCTGTCCCCTGGTGTTTTACCTACCATTTTTATAATCACACCAACAATGTATGAGACTGTTTGCTTCTCCAAAGCCTTACCATCGCTGTACATTGTAAAGCTTTTGGATTTTTCCTACATAACAGGTCAGAGAACTATTATACAAATATATTTTAATATGCTTTTATCTAATAAGTGAGGTTCAACATCGTTCATATGTTTAAAGGCCATAAGCATTTCTTTTTCTGCTAAATATTTTTTTAATTATACTTTAAGTTTTAGGGTACATGTGCACAACATGCAAGTTTGTTACACATGTATACACGTGCCATGAAGGTGTGCTGCACCCATTAACTCGTCATTTACATTAGGTATTTCTCCTAATGCTATCCCTCCCCCCTTCCCCCACCCCACAACAGGCCCCAGTGTGTGATGTTCCCCTTCCTGTGTCCATGTGTTCTCATTGTTCAATTCCCACCTAGGAGTGAGAACATGTGGTATTTGGTTTTTTTGTCCTTGTGATAGTTTGCTGAGAATGATGGTTTCCAGCTTCATCCATGTCCCTACAAAGGACATGAACTCATCATTTTTTATGGCTGCATAGTATTCCATGGTGTATATGTGCCACATTTTCTTAATCCAGTCTATGATTGTTGGACATTTGGCTTGGTTCCAAGTCTTTGCTATTGTGAATAGTGCCGCGATAAACATACGTGTGCATGTGCCTTCATAGCAGCATGTTTTTTAATCCTTTGGGCATATACCCAGTAATGGGATGGCTGGGTCAGATGGTATTTCTAGTTCTAGATCCCTGAGGAATCGCCACACTGACTTCCACAATGGTTGAACTAGTTTACAGTCCCATTAACTGTGTAAAAGTGTTCCTATTTCTCCACATCCTCTCCAGCACCTGTTCATCTCACTGGGGAGTGTCGGACAGTGGGTGCAGGACAGTGGGTGCAGCACACCGATCACAATTAGATGAATGGCTAACTAAAATAACCAATGCAGAGAAGTCCTTAAAAGACCTGATGGAGCTGAAAACCACGGCACGAGAACTACGTGACGAATGCACAAGCCTCAGGAGCCAATTCAATCAACTGGAAGAAAGGGTATCAGTGATGGAAGATCAAATGAATGAAATGAAGCGAGAAGAGAAGTTTAGAGAAAAAAGAATAAAAAGAAACAAACAAAGCCTCCAAGAAATATGGGACTATGTGAAAAGACCAAATCTACGTCTGATTGGTGTACCTGAAAGTGACGGGGAGAATGGAACCAAGTTGGAAAACACTCTGCAGGATATTATCCAGGAGAACTTCCCCAATCAAGCAAGGCAGGCCAACATTCAAATTCAGAAAATACAGAGAACGCCACAAAGATACTCCTCGAGAAGAGCAACTCCAAGACACATAATTGTCAGTTTCACCAAAGTTGAAATGAAGGAAAAAAAGTTAGTTGCCTTTTTACATCATTTACTATGTCCTTTGGTGCACGGAATTTTGACATTTTGATGTAGTTCAACTATTTATCTATTTTTCATTGCCTGTGATTTTACATCATATCTAAGAAATCTTTGCTAAATCCAATGTCATGAAGCTTTCCACCATGTTTTTTCTTCTAGTAATTTTATTGTTTTAGCTCTTATGTTTAGATTTTTGATACTTTTTTTTTCAGTCAGAGTCTGGCTCTATCACCCAGGCTGGAGTGCAGTGGCACAATCTCGGCTCACTGCAACTTCTGCCTCCTGGGTTCAAGTGATTCTCCTGCCTCAGCCTCCCAAGTAGCTGGGATTACAGGCATGTGCCACCATGCCTGGCTAATTTTTGTATTTTTAGTGGAGACAGGGTTTCACCATGTTGGCCAGGCTGGTCTCGAACTCCTGACTTCAGGTGATCCACCCACCTTGGCCTCCCAAAGTACTAGAGTTACAGGTGTGAGCCACCATGCCCAGCCCAATATTTGATACATTTTGAGTTGATTTTTGTATGTGGTATAAAAGCAGGGGCCAACTTCATTCTTTTGCAAGTAGATACCCAGTTTTCCCAGCACCATCTGTGGAAGGCTGTTTCTTCCTCATTGTATGGTCTTGGTCCCCTTGTCAAAAATGTTTTGACCATCTATGTGAGAGCTTGTTTCTTGGCATTCTATTCTATCCTGTAGGTCAATGTGGCTGTCTTCATGCCAGAATAATCTTTCGTTTGTGACAGAAGTAGCAATTATTTTCCCCAGCTTGTCATTTGTCTTTTTACTTTTTTATATTACTTTTGCCATGCAAAAGTTGTTTTATTTTTATGTAGTTGAACTGATCAATTGTTTTACTGTTTTTGTATTTTGTGTCATAGTTAGGAAAGTTTTTCTCATACTCAGCTTATTAAGAAATATGTCAATGTTTCCTTCTAGTACATGAATAACACCATGTCAATTTATCTAATAATTGTTATCTTCAATTCTACTACAAAGTGTCCATATAAAAAGAGAAATTGACTCCTTTTAGTGAATCCATAATAAGAAACCAAATTGAAAAACACTGCAAAAAGACTGATGGCCAAGCTCGAACGTAATGTTTTGTTTATAATAATGATGGCAGTGATGATAATGACAGCTATTGTCTGGTGACTTCATAATCAGCACAAGGCACTGTAGGAGATCTTTGCATATACTAAGTACAGAAAAAGAAAAGCACAGCTTTTAAGAGCTTTAACTTCGGATTTACATAAACTTGAGTTCAAATATGTGTTTTATTAGATTTTATTCCAAACTCTCTCACTTACTGGTTGTGTGACTTTGGGCGAGTTTCTTTTGTTCATTAAATCTCATTTTAAAAATCTGTAAAATGGAAATAATAATAGGATTACTTCATGGAGTTGTAAGATTAAATAAGATAATGCATATAAAGCCCTCAGTGATTAGCATTATGTATTTAATACACATTAGCCACTGTTAATCACCAGTTTAGAAATGAAATTACTAAAGTGATGAGAAATTAAATAAAGTCATTTAATTAGTAAGTGTCAGAACTGGAATTCAAACCCAAGCTTTAATCTGTTTTCACTCCAAAGTTCTTACCCCTCTTCTACATCAGTAGAAAGTATTTTTTATATGAATACTGATTTTTAGAAAAGCCTTAGAATAGAGCATACTGGAATGTTAAGGAAACAGCTTTTTTTAAAAAAAAAAATTAGAAACAATGGCTTTATTTATTTATTTATTTATTTAATTTTTCTGAGACAGAGTCTTGCTCTCTCACCCAGGCTGGAGTGCAGTGGCGCAGTCTTGGCTCACTGCAACCTCCTCCTGCTGGGTTCAAGCAATTCTCCTTCCTTAGACTCCTCAGTAGCTGGGATTACCGGCATGTGCCACCACACCCAGTTAATTTTTGTATTTTTAGTAGAGAGGGGGTTTCACCATGTTTGTCAGGCTGATCTCGAACTCCTGACCTCAGGCAATCCGCCTGCCTCGGCCTTCCAAAGTGCTGGGATTACAGGTGTGAGCCACCACGCCTGGCCAGAAACAATGGTATTTACAAAAGAAACTTAGTGTACAAAAACATAGTGCATTACCCCATGATCATTGCCTCTTTGTCCACAATCAAATGGGATGTATTCAAAATTTTTGAGCTGAGAAGTTAGAGAAGAAAAGGACTGAGAACGTGTGGCTAGATTGGGTAATTAAAATCCTATGGCTGATTGTTAAAGCAGAAACCACAGTATGTGTGGTTAAGGAGCAAGTGTATACCAGCAGCATCGGGGCTGGTGGAGGCTGGATCAGGCTAGCCAAGATTAGACAAGCTTTCTGGGGGCCGAACAGGAACCAGGAGAAGCCCTAGAAGGGAGAGAGAGGACTGATAGCAGGGAGCATTTATTCCTCATGACTCATGTTTCCATTAAGGGAAGAAAATGTCAAATCTACTCCCCAGGAATGGAAAATTATGAGAGGAATGCTTTCAGCTTATCTCTGATTTTCCTCTTTTCCTAGTAGATGACTGATTTATCTTTTGCAAAGTTGGAAGAACACTTAACCCCTGACTCTCCATAAGCCAGCCTGCAAACCAAGTGCAGAGAGAGTGCATTCTGGGCTGCTGTTGTAGGAGAAAATTCAACTCAGCAAGGCTTTTGACCAAACATCTAAAGACATGTTCCCCAGTTGGCTTTATCAATAATGAAGTTAACATTTTGAGGTTGATTCTTCCAAACATGAGAGGGGGAGAAAGTAGTGTGCAAGGGGTCAACAGGCAGAAGCTGAAGCAGGTGAATATCCAGGTGGCATCAGTATGCTTAAGTAACAGTAATGCAGGCAGAATCCCATCCCAAGGTGAAGCATTTCCACAGACACTCTAAACTGTGAATCTAACTGCACTAGTTGCTTTCTTGTGACTAGATTTAGCCTAGAACCTAAGTGCAAGCTCACCCCCTTACAGGTGGAATTTGAGGCCTTAGGTGTGAGAAATAGAAGGATAATATGCCTCAAACCAAAAGAGTAGAAAAAGGGAAATTACATGTTTATTGCACTTTTGAGAAATGAGATAGTAAATGAAAGGCTAGAAATACAATAATTTAAGAGGGGGATTTTCTAGAGCTTGGGCAATAGGACTGTTGCAGAGCTCATGAAAAGGGTGACACTGAAGATGCAAGAAAATAGAAGGTAATTCATGCAGTAGTCCTGGAAAGCCAGGAGGGGACAGGATCCATACAGAGAGGAAGGCATAGCCTTGGGAAGAAAGAGCATTCCTGAGACAGGATGAGAAAAATAAGAGAACGATCAAAGGCAAAAGAAAATTTTAAAGTGAGGAGGAAGGAAATCAAAGGAGCTCTTGTTTAGATAGAGGGTGAGGATAACAGCTAAGGGTAAAAGCACAGAGCTAGTGCAATTGAGAATGAAATGATGTGAACAGACATAAAGCTACTGGGAAAAAAGGGATTGACATTAATGATCTAAGTAATGCAGATCAGAGTAAATCCATGGTGAGCCCACTGAGCTCAGCTTTGCCATGGTTGTCCAGCAATGTTCTGTTGTCCAGGATTAGGAGGCACTGCAAAAGAATGGTTGGCAATTGAATTAATACATTCAATATGTCAAATGCATTTTAATTTTTCTTTTTTTCTTCTTTCCTCCCTCCCTCTCTCCTTCCCTCCCTCATGCTTTCCTTCCTTTCTTCCTTTATTTGATTTTACTTGTAACTGACTTGAAACTCAAACTTTTCTTTTTTAATGAGTTTGGATTTTTACCACAGGGTCATCATGTTAAACAGTTATTCTCTCAATATGGTAGTAGAGTTGTAAACATAGAAGTTATAAAAGGTAACATACCTGGGAAGTAGCTTGCTTACTTTGTTGGCTTATTTTAAAACCAAATTCAACATCTCAGGTTACAAGTGCAGTATTAATATTTATTGAACACCTAAGAAGTGCTAGACATTTTCTAGGGCACCATACAAACATGTAACTTGATTTAAGAAAGTATTCCAATTGGTATGATTCTGGACCATTTATTCAACAAGTGTACATCTACTAAGGGAATCTCTGCAACATAATGTGCAAGGCATGGTCCTCTCCTTCCTGCCACTAATACCTGAAGCAGATGAAACAGTTCAGCAGCACTGAAAGAGTTAATATAATGAAATACCAAATATGTTTCACAAATTTTCAAGGAGTGAACAAGATGAGCTATCTTTGAGACGATGGGCAGGATATGGATGAAATAGAAAGGAAAGGCTGGGATATTTCAAACCATAGCCTTTGCGTGCTGGAACAACCACGAAACTGAGCACGGGGGTCTAACTATCATGGAGAAGGAATAAAAGAGAATCTTTGAGTCCAAGCTGTATGGAGACTCAGAGGCTGGGTGGGAGTCGGGAAGCAGGGAAACATGTCTCTGAGGATCTACACCATTGGTTCATGTGCTACTCCCTGCGTTGGTTTAGACATGAAATCATAACTATGGCAGGATTCTTTATAAAGTGTCCTATGAATATTATTATTTATAATCATTCCATCATTATAATGCTTTTCAGAACATGAAGTCTTTAAGAATCAGTGTTGTCTGTAATCATTAAAGTAAGTCCCTCTCCAAAGCAATCCTTAGCTGACCAACCCATTAGTCCAAGTTAAACTGGAAACTACTGACTCTGGAGTAAGCCATAAGGCCTTTAAGAGACCTGCAATTATTTCTTTTTTAGCCTGTGAATATGCTAAATAAATATGAAGAAGTGGCAATTTAATTTTTAAAATTTTTCTCTTAAAGGCAGACACTAAGTTGAGATGTTTCTATTGTTTATAGGTATAAATGCTACTAATGGGTTGATGCCATTTTAACATGCCTCTTGAAAGTGAAAAGAAATGGCCTGGTAATTTTTTGTTTTGACAAGTGCTTGAACAAAACCTATCATAATATATCTTATAACCCTCAAAGCTATGGCAGGTCATATGTAAGACCAGACTGACCCTGAATCAGAAAGCCCCCGGACAGTTGGGTGGGTTGTAAGGGATCTCAGGAGACGACTTAGTCCAGATCTACTCACCCCTCCCAAATCCCCTGCTCTTCACACAAAGAGGCTGAATAGTAGCCTGGTCCTGGCTGCCACACTCCTGACCTACACCTCCCAACATACCTAACACTTTGACAGATTCACTCATTCATATAACAAGAACGTACCTGTGGAGAAGAAATTCAGATCCACAGTGAAAAGACAGACATAGTTTCGGCAGTCATGGAGCTTCCAGTTGAGCATGGAAGGCAGATATGTAAGAGCTATTAGGCTAATTATTTAATTATAAATATGGTGAGTTCTCTGCTTCCCCTCTTACACAGCCCACATAAAGCACAGGGAAGAAGGCAAGCATATGCTGTATAAAATATGCTGTGATTCATTTAAGTTACATTCATGTTCTGTGTCCAACAGCAAAACCCAATCAGCTCAAGATTGACTAAGTTCCATTAGAAATCAAAGCAGAACAGCATATGGCTTTGATATATAATTTATATTTTTTCCTCACCATTTTATTTGTCCTTTGCCCTTTCCATATTCATGTCAATAGCCACTACTTCAGGTGTAGAAAGTAAAGTAGCCTTTGCCCCTTCTGGCTTTTGTTTCTAAAAATAAAATGTAAGCCCATAGAAGAACTTACACTGTTTATAGAGGATACATAAGGGAAAAAATATTTGCAGGAACAAGTGGAATTTGAAAAAAGTAGGAGAGAGAGAGAGGTTTCCCAAGAAAGGGAGGCCTGGGAGCAGGGAGGAGTCAAATGCAGCCTCCAGGGAGGCAGTGGGAGCCTAGTGCAGAATGGCTTCAGGTAATAGTTGTGACTGGGGAGGAAGGAGGACAGGGAGGCTTCAGAGGGCAGCCAGACTGGAAGGGACAAAGCACATAAGCACATTCTCTTTAGGATACAATCAGCAAACCACTGTCTTCACCCATGCCCTGCTAGGTGTATCCTCCCTACCACTTGGCAACATCTCAGGGAGATTCCATAGCATTTCTGGTAATTTTCAACTACAGCTACAGTCTTATCTTTAGGTACACATAAGTCTTACTTTAATTTTTTAATTTAAACTAAAGCTTCTCTCCTCTTAACTGAAGCCTGACTTCTGGCTTTGTTTGGGTACCAGGAGTAGGAAGTGCAGGCTGTTTCTACTGCTGTCTTCTTCTAAACTCCAGGTCCCAATACCACATCCCCTCCTCCCCTCCAGTGGGGAAGAGGAGGGCTGAAAGCAAGAGAAAAGGCCTTTTTACTTAGCTTTTGCTGTTTGTGGTTCTGTCTCAATGGTCATTAAAATGTAGTCTCTGTTGGGTTGTATTTGCAGATTAT
This sequence comes from Homo sapiens, assembly GCF_000001405.40. NCBI lineage: Eukaryota > Metazoa > Chordata > Mammalia > Primates > Hominidae > Homo > Homo sapiens. Next base: position 43,811,485 of record NC_000013.11, on the reverse strand, counting down.
TTAAATGCCTCCCCACCAAGGAATGCTAATCTGCACCATTCTCTATGAGACACTTTCCAAATGACCTCTTACCAGCCTCCTCAGGTTCTGTCCTCTAGTGATGACCCACAGTCTCCTTCTGCTTGCTGGGGGCCATTCACTTTAACAGGCAGCCTCTGGAGATGGCTCAAACCTGGCTCCTCCCAGTATCCACTTGGTGGTGTGCAAAATCCCAGAGCAATGGCACATTTGGGGCTGGAGGAGGCTTCCAAGAAAGGCAGAGGATAAATTCTCCTCCAAAAAATGGATGATGGGAATCCTAGAGTCAGAAATTAAGTTCGGTTATAGAAAAGAAATGGGTATGTCTTGCACAGTTATGTTCATGGTTTGAGAGTCCTACCTGCTATGCAAAAATAGGAAGTCACCTGCATGAATGTTGTCCCCTGGAATCGTATAACACATGGCCCTAAGCATCTATTAATGTAGGCCAATAAGGTTTTGTCCATTGCAATACATTTCCCTGGACTTCTTTGAAATAGTTGCAGAGAAGAAGTCAATTGCCATTATCCTACAAGAGGATGATGGCAGGATATCTAACCAGCTTGTAACCTTATAAATTATGATATTCAATAAAGATTATCTAGGCTGGGCATGGTGGCTCACGTCTATAATCCCAGTACTTTGAGAGGCTGAGGCGGGTGGATCACTTGGGATCAGGAGTTGGAGACCAGCCTGACCAACATGGTGAAACCCCATCTCTACTAAAAATACAAAAATTAGCCGGGGGTGGTGGTGGGCACCTTTAATCCCAGCTACTGGGGAGGCTGAGGTGGGAGGATCGCTTGAACCCAGGAGGCGGAGGTTGCCATGAGCCGAGATCGCTCCACTGTACTCCAGCCTGGGTGACAGCGTGAGACTCCATCTCAAAAAACAAAACAAAACAAAACAAAAAACCCAAAAGTATCTTCTGGTTTTTATTCAAGGGTTAAAAAACAGAATTTTCTTTAGTAGAGCAAAATAGAGACAGATTTATTTCCCTCCCACCCCTTGCAGTGTCGCCTTCCTTCTCTCGTCAATTGATCAGTTGCTCAAAACCCTTGAGTCACTGCTAATCACTCACTGTTACAAAGCAGGCTTCTGCTTGCCATCTACTTTCTAGTTTTACCTTGTCCTTGCTGTGGCAGCAGGGGACCATCATGTTTTGACAATGTTCTATTTTATTGATATTCTCCGTTAATTTTGAAGATAGGAAAGAAAGTCCTTTATTCTGGGCCGGGCGCGGTGGCTCACGCCTGTAATCCCAGCACTTTAGGAGGCCGAGGCGGGTGCATCACGAGGTCAGGAGATCAAGGCCATCCTGGCTAACACGGTGAAACCCCGTCTCTACTAAAAATACAAAAAATTAGCCGGGCGTGGTGGCGGGCGCCTGTAGTCCCAGCTACTGGGGAGGCTGAGGCAGGAGAATGGCGTGAACCTGGGAGGCGGAGCTTGCAGTGAGCAGAGATCGCACCACTGCACTCCAGCCTGGGTGACAGAGCGAGACTCCGTCTCAAAAAAAAAAAAAAAAAAAAAAAAAGTCCTTTATTCTGTTCTGGGAAAAAAATCTTACCTGGGCATTTTCCCAATCTTAATAACTGTTCTAAAAGAACAAAACTTCATGCTTAAAAGTAGTGATTCTGCTGTGTCATTGTATTCTGCTTCATCTCTAAAGAGCTATTAAATGCTGCTGGGTCAACTTTAACCTGCTTAGTTGACAGGGTAAAAGAGAACAAAGAAAATACACCTACATAACAGGTCTGCAAATTAAAGAGAAGGCAGCATGGTTGGGGGTCTCTCAAGAATCACACATTTGTGTATTCTGTCTCTCACTCTGGCTTTCTGATTTGTCAAATCTTTTTGATTTTTCAATTACTCATCTATGTATCTTTACAAAAGTAACAAAACCTAGACCTAGCAAACTCTGTTAACATTCTCCAGTGAGAAACAAAAAGCAAGGGAGGAGGAACAGAAATAGAGAAATGGCTGTTCAGAACTCAAACAGAATATGTTTTTGGGAAGATGAAACGGTTTCATAACAATTTTGGGCCAACAGTTTATGCTCCTCTTCCAAGGCTCATCCTCCAATTGGTTACAAGTTCTTTTACAATTGTCCTCAAAGTTCCCTAAACACTCATAAAGGCCTTTTCAGTGAACTGGCAGATAAAAACTCTCATTCTGTAAATGTGTTCAAAACCACATTTTATAAACTAATTATGTATTTAAACCCACTAATTTTTCCTGATAAATTAGATGTTAGGCGTGTAGATTTTATGCCATCATCATTTCCATTGATTGCTGACAGAAATATTAGGGATTCAATAGTGTAGAATACAATTAAATAAAACAATTTCAAATGGATGGAGGAGGGCATTCTGTCCTAATGTGAATCATTTTATTTTAGCTAAACCTATTACACACATATATTTATTAGCCATTCACATACACCCCAGACACTTTATGTGTTATACAAAACATAGTGATGGGCTGAGAAAAATCCCATGCCATTGTACTCAATAGTAATTAACATCAAAAATCCTGGAAATGGTACAGAGTGGGCAGCAAACCCAGTTTGATTTAATCATTGGCAGCATCTTCTTTTGGGCAGCACATTTGAGTGGGAGTCATGTGTTCTAAATTCTATTCAAGGCAATCCTTTCCTTGAAGAAAATCACATTCTTGACTCCTTGATTTCTCCAGCATTTGAAATTGGCAGAAATGCTTGGGGAAATTGGCAGAAATGCTTGGGGAAATTGGCAGAAATGCTTGGGGAAATTGGCAGAAATGCTTGGGGAAATTGGCAGAAATGCTTGGGGAGAGCGAACATTGGTAGAGATTCTCAAGATCTTGTTTCACCAGATCTTTCAGTTTCATACCAATTTATAATTCATATATTAACTAAGCAGTTCTTAAACCCATTTGGGGAATCTCTAGCCTTAAAATCTTTAAAACATCTGAGGATTCTAGTTATCTCCACAAGGTAGCAGAAGTAGAGCAGAGTATAACACTCTTCTATTATACATTATGTTTATATAATTTTATTTGGTTTTATTTTACATAGTCTATATCACTGTTGGCTTTTTAGGTAAATGTCTATACTTGCAAATATTAATTTTTAACAGTTAAACTGTAAGCTAGGGTTCTGGCCTAAATTTGAGGAGAAAGAAAAAATAGGAACTTCTTAGCTGAGCACAATATAAAACAGAAAAAAAAAAAACAGAAAATGGAGTGTTCTCAATTCTGACTGCATGTTAGAATTACCCAAGAGAATTTTAAAAACATCAAATTCTTGGCCCCCTCTCTAAACCAATTAAATCAAACTTGCTTAGAAGCTTGCATAGCAGCATTTTACAAAGTTATATTTCTAATGTAACTGGAACAGAGAAACCATCAGTAAGTTAGAAGAGGATATGTCTATGGCTGTGGGAGACTGGGGAACAGGACAAACATTATTCTTAGAGAATAGCACAATTGCCTAAGGGGAAGATCTATATACAGGAAAAAAGCATAGTGAACCAATAAGAGTTTGATAGAACTAAGCAGAAGAGGTAGGCATCTAAGATCACCAAACAAAGAAGGACTTCATCTGGGAAGGGTCTGAATCTGAGACTCCAGAGGGTCTCTTACCTGAGACATTTCCTACTCGGTGGCTTTGTAGTTGTCAATCTGGAGAATATTCAACAAGTCCTACATTAAAAGCACTTTTGAGCACTCCAGTAAATTGCTGTTCATGCCTCGTTCCTGAGGAGAGATGCAAGAGAAAAAGCTGTATCAAATGAACTAATATTTATCGAGCACTTGCTCTGTGTGAGACCCCATGCAAGATATAAAAAAGACAAGACATAGTCCCTGCCTCCAATGAGCATCTTTCCAGTGAGTTGGAAGGATAATGGTAAAGTGAATAATACTTATGTTACATGTCATCCCGAATTTTGACTTTCAAACCATCCTTCTTTACACCTTCTTCTTTAGCATAACTTCAGGAATATTTCAAAACAGTCTGTAACTAGTTGTCATTTGGTGGATCAAAGTAACCCTGCTGTGGTTTTGGAAAAGAAGAGATCACTATGAACAGGACTGGCCTAGGAGGGCTCCATAGGGGGCTTAGATGTGAGCTGGGTTTGATGGCCAGATTGGCTAGAGATAAGTGACAGAAGGGTATTCTTGGTCCTGGAGATGAATGTCTTTACTTGGTGTCACTGTTGTCAGGTAGGGAAGTCAGAGACAGCTCTGGTTTGCTGACACCTCACTGCCTTTGTGGTGTCCACCATCTCCAAAATAGGTGATACCTCACATGAGTCAATTTTCACAAAGGTCTCCAGAAGCAAGGCTCTATTCATACTGCCACACTGTTCACAGTACGCTCTGGTCAAACCACACACACTCCCCCTCATGACAACCTGGCAGCCTTTACCAGGCTAACACAATGACATTCTATCTAAAGAAGGAGCACTTGGCCAGGCGCGGTGGCTCACGCCTGTAATCCCAGCACTTTGGGAGGCCAAGGCAGGCAGATCACTTGAGGTCAGGAATTTGAGACCAGCCTGGCCAACATGGGGAAATCCCATCTCTACTAAAAATACAAAAAAAAAAAAAAAAAAGCTGGGCATGGTGGTGCATGCTGGTAGTCCCAACTACTTGGGAGGCTGAGGTAGGAGAATTGCTTGAACCTGGGGAGCGGAGGTTGCAGTGAGCTGAGATTGCACCACTGCACTCCAGCCTGGATGACAGAGTGAGACTCCGTCTCAAAAAAAAATAAATAAATAAATAAATAAAGAAGAAGCACTAAGTCTGAAGACATAGTTGGTTTGGATGCTACATTACAATATATGACAAACAACATTTCATATTTCCAGATTTTATAGACCACCTGTGGGCATCTAAGTTCATTAAAAGCTAATGTTTTGGGAGAGGTTAGCTGCCATCAACCACCCTTATCAAAAATGGGATAAATGGCCGGGCGCGGTGGCTCACGCCTGTAATCCCAGCACTTTGGGAGGCCGAGGCGGGCGGATCACGAGGTCAAGAGATCGAGACCATCCCGGCTAAAACGGTGAAACCCCGTCTCTACTAAAAATACAAAAAAATTAGCCGGGCGTAGTGGCGGGCGCCTGTAGTCCCAGCTACTTGGGAGGCTGAGGCAGGAGAATGGCGTGAACCCGGGAGGCGGAGCTTGCAGTGAGCCGAGATCCCGCCACTGCACTCCAGCCTGGGCGACAGAGCGAGACTCCGTCTCAAAAAAAAAAAAAAAAAAAAAAAAAAAAAAAAAAAAAAAAAAAAAAAAAAAAATGGGATAAATGAAAGGAATCAGAGAATTGGTAGTGAAAGAGAGAGGAGGTGCCCACAGCAGGAGGTGGAGTATCAAGAGGAAGGGGAGGGTATATGCAGAAGACAGTAGGAGACAGCAAACATGTTCTGCCTGCTTCACAGTCTTCTGGGGACTGTCTTTGCAGGGGTAATCCTGGAGTTTCCCTAGAGCTGCGGCTTACCAAGCCTGGCTGTACATTGGTGCAGCCTGAGGAGGTACTCAGTGAATCGCAATCACTGAGATGGGACCCAGGAAGCAGAACTTTTCAAAGTGCCACAACTGGCGCTGATGTGCAGGGCTACATGGCTCTAGAACTAGTCCTTGCTGGAAAGGCCTGGGATAAAGCATCGTAAGTCTTCCCACTGGCAGTTTGATCTTCGGTCCCATGGAGGCTACAAAAGTAAGAATCCTAAGATTCTGGTCAGTGGTTATCAGCCTCCAAAATGCATAAGAATAGCTTGTTCGAATGAGAATACATGGACACAGGGAGGGGAACATCGCATACCGGTGGGGGGTGGGGGGTGGGGGGTGTTTGGTGGGGGGTGGGGGGCGGGAGAGCATTAGGACAAATATCTAATGCATGGAAGGCTTAAAACCTAGATGATGGGTTGATGGATGAAGCAAACCACCATGGCATATGTATACCTATGTAACAAACCTGCACATTCTGCACATGTATCCCAGAACTTAAAGTAATAATAATAAAAAAGAATAGACTGTTTGATGCAGATTCCTGGATGCCAGACCAGAGGTTTATGATTCAGCATCTCTTGGGTTCAGGCCAGGAACATGCAGCTTCAACAAACTCCCCAGGTGAAACCGATGCAGATCATCCAAGGAACACAAACACTGTACTGAGGCGTTACCAGAGGGTGAATCACAAACCATCTTCCTGAGTGAATTGACAAAGACTGAGTCAGATGAGCCAGGGCACTGAGTTCTCCTTTGGAGAGGATTGGGTACAGCACACTCAGCCCCCTCTTTTCCACCATGCTGGAAGGATAGAATGATCATTTGTACACACTACATAGGGCACAGCCTCCTCGCTAGGAAAAGTGGTTCTCTTTTCCTCCTCTTTTTTGTAAAGAGGGAAATATGTTAGCCTCTGGGACGGATCAGACAGCTTGGGAAGAAGAGTTGTCAGCTGAGCAGAGAAAGTGCATCATTTCACAAACCTGTGACAGTTTCTCTCAAGTTTTACTGGGTGATGCGTCTCTGCAGGGGAGTTTAACTTTCTTCTTCAAAAGGTTTTGCAAAATATTGAGATAACATTTATTTGAAGGTAATTATTTTGTTTTTCCTGAATATTTCTGTTAACACCAATAATAAAGTGATTTAGAATGTATTCATAAAGAAATAAACATAGCCACTCAATTATTTTTAGGTAGCTTGAAATCTTCATAACAAGTAACAGATGTCCTTTCTTATTTACGTATTCAATATACATAATAGCTATGATCATCCGCAAGACCTATAACAAAGAGAAAATTAAAGCCCAGCAGATGGCAGTGTTTGCTACTTTTTACAAATTAATTCAGTGAGGAATGATTCCCCTTACCCCGAAATATATTTGTTTTCAGATTAGTATAAATCTTGTTTCAATTTTTAAAAAAACATTACTTGTAAGGAGCCCAGTCATTTTGTCCTTTTCTGAGCCCACATTGAGTGATTCTGTCACAATTTATTAAATAAGAAAAGTATTTTAAGGGTTATTAATCTTGTCTGAGAGTAGAAAGCATTTAACTTGATCCTTTTCTTTCAGTGTTCCTGGAACTGCTGTTTTTCTCCTCCCCCACTAACCCCCATATACATTGCAGATGCCATTTCCTCAAAAAAGATGGAAGTTAAAAATCAACTTCAGGCCAGAAATACATTTGTGTTTAAATGAAACTGTATTGGGATTACACCTAGCTGTTCACTAATATTATTTTTTAAACATTATAATACATTTATGAACAAATACTTTATTGTATCTTTTGACATGAGAACTAATATATAATAGATGTTGGTAGGTCACTGAAATTAGAAGGGACACAGATATGGGCTTTGGCGTTCCAGTCTCAGCTCTAATCATGTAACCCTGGGTATGGTAATTAACTTTTCTGAGCATCAATTTTATAATGTGTATACTTGTGATAATAATGCCTACTCCATAGGGTATTACAAAAATAAAATTAGATAATGTATAGCATCCAGTACAACGCATGATAGATACTAGGTGGTACTCAATAAATGGTATCTGGTTTGGGTTTTGTTTGTTTTGTTTTGAGACAGGCTTTCACTCTGTCACCTGGGCTGGAGTGCGGTGGTGCAATCACATCTTGACTTCCCAGCTCAGGGGATTCTCCCACTTTAGCCTCCCAGGTAGCTGGGACTACAGGTGCCTGCCACCACACTCAGCTAATTTTTTTGTATTTTTTTGTAGAGGTGGGTTTTTGCCATGTTGCCCAGGCTGCTCAAGCAATCCACCCACCTCAGCCTCCCAAAGTGCTGGGATTACAAGCGTGCACCACCATGCCCTGTACCACCCTGCCAGGTATTTATTTTTTATGTTGTTTTATCAAACTTAATCAATTTTTTGCATGCCCTATACAAAACATTCTTCAAGAACTTCAGAAAAATTAATTCCATAATCTTCATTAGCAATATATTTCATCCCAACTCTCCTCCAACCTAAGTGATGTTAATTTACTGTGTTTTCTCATCATTAGCATCAAGCCTACATTTTTAAGCTTCCTGGGTTTTAGAGGCACATGGAGACATCCAACAAGCATCATTTACTGTTGAAGGTTAAAGCAGCTGTACCCTATAATCTCCTACTCAGCTGCCAATACTAAATTTAATACAGAAAGGTGAACACATGGCTGAAATGTTTAGCACAGCATCTATTTTTCCCATCTTTGTTTAAGATTATGAAAATTACATGTTGTCTACAAATGCTGGTATTTCTAGTTAGTGATAGTTTCCCAACATCAGGGCACTAAATACATCAAAGTTCTAAGGTATTCTACAATGCATTAAAGTTTGATTATCTGTCAGCTTTCAATTTAATTAAAATTCAGAAGCCAAGCAGGAAAAGATTAACAAAATGAACTGAAATATCAAGAAGAAAGAAAAATATCAAGTGGTAAAGAGAAAAGAGGAAAAAAACCCACCCTAACAGCAACTTGAATTTTCTATATTTATCCATGTGTATTTGCTTCACTTGGTTGTCAATTTTAATTGGTCTGCAACATGCTGTGGTTCTAATGTATTCAGAATTTCAATTGTTATTTCTGACATCTATTATAGTATCCCTCAATTCAGTCTATTCCTAGTGAATAATAAGGGTTTCTCTCATTATAAAAATAAACAGCTTATTAAATCTATTGTTAGCTTTCATACCTGATGACACAACTCTTTAGAGGTGCAGAAAATGGGAAACTGTCTCTTTCACAAATCATATTTACTTTACTAAGAGCAAGGATGATTCATCAAGGTTGGCCCAGTGCTAATTGAGATTTTGTAAAGGTTAAAACCAAGGCAGGTATATACCAAAATGTCATAAGTTCACCATCAAAACTCATGTCTTTCCAATGCAATTATGTTTTGGTTGTCAAGGCTATTTTTCAAAAGAAAAGAATCCTACTCTGCCTGGGTGTATATGTGTGTGAAAGTGCATATATTTGTATAAACCTTGATAGTTTTAAATTTTGAGAGGCTACATGCTATACTGAAAAGAGCATAGGCCTTGGAGAAAGACAGATTTGGATTCCTAGACAGGTTCTAGCATTTATTAGTTTTCTTACCTTAGGAACTTATTTAACCTTTTTGAAGCAGAGTTTTCTCATCTATAAAAAATGAGAATAATAATCCATGCCCTACAGGAAGTGATTGGTGTATTTTATCACAACACCTGAAATGTAGATGTTCGATACTTGATTAAAAATTGACGTAGAGCATAGGTGAGTCCTTAAGCGACTTCACATATGAAAATCTAGACTTGCAACAACAAAAAAGTAGTTGTGGATAATTATTTTAAAAGATTATTTTAAGAGAAATAACAACAGAATTACTTTAATGAGCATCTATTAGCACATTTAAAATTTAACAAAAACAACATGGTACAGAATATTAAGTATGGTGAAATATACTGGTAGAATTAACAGAACACCAAAGGACAAGACATTGTATTATTTCTAAGCCATTCATTTTCTCACTCCTATTAATAAAAATGACCCCCCACTACCACCACATACACACACTTGAATAACACCCAATAAGTATTTTATTTATTTATTTACTTAAAAAATTTTTTTTGAGATGGAGTCTTGCTCTGTCACCCAGGCAGAGGTGCAGTGGTGTGATCTTGGTTCACTGAAACCTCCGCCCCCTGAGTTCAAGCAATTCTCCTGCCTCAGACTCCCTAGTAGCTGGGATTACAGGCATGTGCTACCATGCCTGGCTAACGTTTATATTTCTAGTAGAGATGGGGTTTCGCCATGTTGGCCAGGCTAATCTCAAACTCCTGACCTGAAGTGGTCTGCCACCTTGGCCTCTTAAATTCTATTGTACTTTACACAAGTAAAACATATTACTCAGATATTTAGGTAATTTCATTTTTAAATTTAACTAGTGTCAATATGCGTGTAATAAAGAGCTGGGACTCACTTTCTCCTGTGAACTTTCTCTGCATGTCCCTCAGGCCTTTGACTTAATATGAGAAGTTGGCAAAGTACTTACAAATCTTAGATGGCTTTATTAAAGGGATAATAAAACTGGATGACCACATGTTGACACTGAATGCACTAATGAATCCAGGATTGTATATTCTATAATTATTCAAAATGTTATTAGAATATATTATCATAAGGTCTTCACTTTAAGCTTTTCTTCTAACAGAAATAATTTAATTGATGTTTTGTCAGTTTTTCTGAAAAATGAACAACTGAACTAAAGATAGGAAGTTAGCTGTAATAGAACAATATGCGTGTTTAAGAAAGACTGTGTGGGTGAAAAAGGATTGGTGGTCTCTTGAGTTGATTATGATTCTGAGAAATAAGATATACTAAGTTCAACCACCAGCTTCCTTGATGAACCATTTTGAAAAGTTACTTAGCTAAAATGCTACCGAAAGACCAAAATGCATCTGCTAACTTACAGTATATATAGAAAGGATGTTAAGGAGGCTGATATGGTCTCTAAGCTAGTGTATATATCATATATGTGCATTGTCATTTGATTTGGCACAATCAAGAGTTGTAGGGCATTCCTAGCAACTAACATCTGAGCATTTCCTTCAGCCCAAATCTAGCATGGCTAATGTTACTGACTGTCTTCAGCCGCATTTAAAGAAAATAGCCACTAAGAAATGCACAGCCATTCTCTTACCTTTCTTTTATTTTCTATGATTCTTCAACTCTCTTATTATAAAATTCAGATTGTGTGCTCAACATTCTTCAAAGCTCAACATAACACACAAATGTCTTGGAACTCTTATATGCCATTCACACAAACAGAGGACATGAATAGCAGACTCTCAATTGTAAGTCACATGCGTCCTGATATCAGTGTCTGGCTTCTGGGGCTTGACAACTCACAAGGTTTAAATAAACATATCACACATTTTCTTAATGAAATGAAAGGTTAAGCTTAAACTTTTTAAGGCTCGTGCTCGTCCATTGATTGCATTTTGCATGATATAATTAAGTTTATTAAAGAAGTGCCTATGTACCTGAGCTACTGAATAGAAGTAGCAGCAGTTGGGAGAATGATATGACTGGAAAGTAGTATTGACAATTGGCATTACAAGTTTCACTAAATGAAACAGAAAACTAACAATATGTAATGGATTTTGTGGGTTGAGCAGCAGCCAAGATGGCGAGGATGTCAGGCCTTGCTATGGATTCAATAATTAGTTCATGAGTTCTGCTGACTTGATGTCTATAATATTATTTATTTATTTATTTATTTTAATTAAACAACTATTTACTAAGCACTGGCTGTGGGCCAGAGTCAGAGTTAAGTGCTCTCTCACAAAGGTAACAAAATAGATATACTTCTTGTCATGTTCAAGACCTGTCAAGACCCATATCACTATGAAGTTCCCGCAGCATTAGTTGAGAAAGGCAGGGAAATTACCATATGATTCAGCAATCCCACTCTTGGGTATTTACTCAAAGGATAAAAAGTTCGATATCTGCACTCCCATGTTTATTGCAGTACTACTTACAATAGCAAAGGTATGGAATCAACCTAAGTGTCCATCAGCAGACAAATGGATAAAGAAAATGTAAGAATGAAATCCTGTCATATACAGCAACATGGATGGAATTAGAGGTCATTATGGTAAGTGAAATAAGAACAGGCATGGAAAGACAGATGCTTCATGTTCTCACTCATATGCGGGAACTAAAAAAGTTACTTATAAGGACGTAGAGAATAGAATGACAGATAGCAGAATCTGGGAAGGCTGAGTGGGTGGGAGAGGGATAACAAGAGGCAGGTTAATGTGTACGAACATATAGTTAGGTAGAAGGGCTAAGTTTTAATATTCACTAGCAGAATGGGGTGACTATAGTTAACAACAATGTATTTTATATTTCAAAATAGCTAGAAAGGGGACTTGAACTGTCCCCAACACATAGAAATGACAAATACTCAAGGTAATGGATACCTGGAATACCCTGACTTAATCATTACATGTAACAAAATATCACATGCACTCCATAAGAATGCGCAAATATTTGTACCAACTTAAAACCAGAAGAGCAGGGTAGAGATCCTGTAGGCTGGGATTTCCCTGATGACGTGGACAAGGCACTTAACCTCTTAGTCTCACTTTCCACTATCATACAAGGACAGAAAGAGGATAACAGTAAAACTGCTCCATCTGGCTTTCTCCCATTGTCGGTGTGATGTACAAATGAGATAATCGATATGAGAATGCTTTGAAAATTGTAAAGCACTCATTTTATTTTCACCTTGCTATAGACAGAAATAATAATTTCCACCTATTCACCTCATATGGATGTTGTTGCTTCTTGGCATTTATTGAACAACAACACTCTCTCTCTGATTTACAAATAGAATTAGACAGAGTTCCTGCCCTGTGATTTTAAACCAGGCAGACATGCATGATAAAAAGATGAGAAAACATTCAAGGTAGACAATATTTTGTGATGATCACTAATGTATTTATAAAAGGCTTATGTATTTTTTAGATGGAAAGTGCTATGGGCATTTTTCATAGTTCTTAAGATATTTGCTTATTGTGAAAAATGATAACCTAAATGATTTAAAAAAAGAAGAAAAGAAAGATACAAGAGGATTGAAAAAAAATGAAATTGGAAAGAAGGAAAGAAAGAGGCATGGGGCAGGTGAGACCAAAAAATGTACTGAACATCTTGTTACATGCTTTAAATTACACTGCGTCCTAGATGGGGGAAACATTGATATAGGCATGAGATGAAGAACAACCCAATTTGCAAGTGGACTGTTTGCTGTGCTCAGTAAACTATGCCAAGTAGTTCCACTATGATACTATTATTTAGCTTTGAAAATATTAATATTTAAAATAGTAACAACTATAGCAATACCCCAAAATATGTTAGCATTTGTACAATGCCTCAGATTTTTCAAAATTTTTATGCAAACATTTTAATTTAATTCTCATAATAACTTTGGGGATGAGCATAATCATTATCTCTAATTTAGAGATGAAAAAGTTGGGACAGAAGTTGGCAAAATAATTTACTCAAAGCAAGACAGTAAGAAGGAGACCCATGGCGTCAACCTAAGTTTTCTGACATGAAGATATGTGCATTATTTATCTTCAATTCACAAAAGTAAATCAATGGTCTAAAATAAAGCAGTATCATAATACTGCTTTCTTATGGAATAAAGACTGCTTTATTATGGCTGGGGAAAAAAGAAACTCTGGAAAATAAATTTAAAAGAAAATTCAAAGCAAAAGTTGAATTTGGAAACATTTTCCCTCATACTCCTCATCTTAATCTAGTTCTAGAGTTTACAAATCAATTTCATTGGCTTTCAAAGTGATGCAATCTTTAGAAGGATTTTATAAAACGGTTCTTCCAGGCTAACACTGCCTCCTTAAGGAATGTCACTGTGAGGGTTTAATTGTGGAGTGTGGTTCTGTGTATGCATAGCACGTATTTCTTTCATATTTGTTAGGATGCTCAAAAGAGAGCCTCGATAGGATATTCACTAAAATGTTTAAAGCAGTTATTTTATTTTTATATAGTAATAGGTAAGCATGTGCAAAAATGATCTCTAAAAAGAGAGTGAAAATGGTTTTAGAGAAAAGTAAGACAAAGTCACAATTGACATTTCAATTTCAAGAATCAAACAGGATTCTAGTTAATTGTATTAATGACAAGACTAGACAAACAAAACACATACACATTCAAATAATTAAGCATGGTTGTTAGCAAAACTTTAATGATTTCCTTGAAATCCAACAGTCTTCTGGTCCAAGAACAGATTACTTCATGACCCCTTCACCGAAGTCAGGGTAAAAGATAACTCTCTCTCTCTCTCTCTCTTTCTCCACAATAAGAACAATATCTTTAACATTAACACAAGATCTTTTGCTACAATAAGAACAAAATCTTGTTTCTCCTCTGATGGACTAGTAACTCCATTCTGGAATCTAAAATGTAGATTGTCTCACTAAAACAGCTGCTAAAAGCCAATTGTCATTTCTTTACCCTTTCATTTTTTTCTCCTATAATTGTCACAGAACAAAACTACCAAAATGTGTCAGAATAAAACCACAATCTAGAGTTTCTATAGCATCAGAGAATCTTTTGACGAGAAGAGTACTTGATTGATCTTCAGTGTCTGGCTTTAGGAAGGACTGTGCATAAATACTTTGAAAAAAACTATAAAGATCTTCAGAGAAGACAATTCCATCTTCTTTCTTATTAACTCATGTTGGGTACAATCACTTTCATTGCCAGGAAACTCTTTATACTTTGATTAAATCCCTCATGCCACAGATTAAGAAACATAAATATACAGACTGAATCTCTAAATGTGAAAATTTGACTCATAGAATGTTTTAGATATGGGAAGAACTTGAATTCATTTATTTCAAACACTTGTGATTTTTATAATATGAAAGAAACTCACCAAATGTTTCTGGCTGGGTCATACGAAAGAGGCATCTCCTTAATGAGAGGACCTTTATGGTCTGGGGCTGGATCCACAGTTTTGCAGTTTTAAAAGTTGAGGAGCAGGCCAGGCACAGTGGCTCACACCTGTAATCCCAGCACTTTGGGAGGCTGAGGTGGGAGGATCACCTGAGGTCAGGAGTTCGAGACCAGCCTGGCCAATATGGTGAAACCCTGTCTCTATTAAAAATAAAAAAATTAGCCAGGCATGGTGGCATGCACCTGTAATCCCAGCTACTGGGGAGGCTGAGGCAGGAGAATCGCTTGAACCCAGGCAGTGGAGGTTGCAGTGAGCTGAAATTGTGCCACTGCACTCCAGCCTGGGCGACAGAGTGAGACTCCGTCTCAAATAAATAAATAAATAAATAAATAAATAAATAAATAAATAAAAGTTGAGGAGTGGTCTAGCCCTGAGCGATGGAATCATTTTAACTAAAATCATAGGAAACTGATTTACAGCATGAGAGTATGGTGTGACATGAGGGCTGGGGAGTTGAGCTGGAAGGAGGAAGGGCAGATGTATATATTTTCTGCTGGGCTGTTCTTGTACAGATATCAATGTGTCTGAAAAACAAGGTTCCAGTAGTACTTTATTCATTTAGAATGCAGCTTAGATATGGGAAGCTAGTAAAGAGAGAATTCATAATGAAACATAGATGTTCCAGAGTCTATGTAATAGGTTCTCTTTTGAGCCGATAAGAATCTACAGTCAGTCACACTGAGAGAAACAAGAAGAGCCAGCTGACATCTTGAAGAAGCACAGAGGAACCACACAGGTGACCTCCGTGGTCTGTTTGGTAGAGAAGGAAGGTAAACTCTACATACACCTGGTATCCCTTGGGGGTCAGTGACAGTGGTTATATCCAAAATCACTTAATAAGGTAGGTATGTCAATGTTAGGGAAGAAGGGAATGCTTCACATTGTCTCATTTCATCTTCATAAAAAGTCCTAAGAGATAGGTATTAAATAATCTCTATTTTCAGATGAGGATATCAAGGTTATGAAGTTTACCCAAGTTCACTTCTGATAGACCCATGATTCAAATCCAGCTCAATCTGATGGTAAATCTCATAATACTTTTACTTTTCCATGCTTGCCTATCTTTCCATTAAATATTAATATTTATTCTGATGATTCTGATTTGTGAATATTAAGTTAAAGGAACAACATACTTTATTTTAGTAGAACTGCCACCAAAGTAGTTACATTTAAAAATGTTTTGATACTTATTTTCATTTTTAATCCTTCTGGTCAAATATGGTTGTATAATATTCAAGACTGGTTTCTGATGATGCAGTCAAAGGAAATAAAAGTGGAGAGCCTCCATCTCTTTGGACTTTATCTAAGCCAGGTATCACATATGAGGCGCATTCTGCGTCCACTCAACTCTCACAAACTTGGTTCTGGACCCCTGGCCTCATCCTCTCAGTTCCAGAGTTTCTGTTTCTGCTCTCACCTCATTTTTCAGATTTAATGCTATAAACTTGACATCTCTGAATAAAGACTTCAGTACCTCCTCCTGCCCAAGGTCACTTTTCAGCCCAAGGTGGACCTATGCAAATACATCTACAGCACCTAGCACACAAAAGAATCAAGATAAGTGCCCCTGTGCAATTAGTTCACCTTTCCAGTGCTAAAATTCTCTAATTTCTTAAACATGATGACTCTCTCTTCACTGATTAATGCTAGAGACAATATACCCATTCTTTGATTCTTCTTTTGCAATTTAGCACTTACCAAAACTTTTCAGGGTATATTGTTATACCATGTATAGAGTTTCCAAGATACAGCTTGTCTTATGAATGTCCCATTTTATTATCTCATTGTGTTCTGAGAAAAGACTTGCACATGAATTGTACTTAGAACTTTCATAATTTACAATATAGTGTGTATATTCTACAGAGAACTCCTATAGATAATTAATCCCACCTCGTGTTCTCTCCCTCCCCTTCCTTCCTTTCTTCTTCCACCAGTTCTCTAGCTTTCATTTTAAGAGTGGCACTAGAATTCTGTCTCAGATTTGCAGAATGGGATGGGCTGGGATTGAAGCTCTTTTACTTTGGGAACCCATATCCCTCTATACAACTAGCAAATTGGCAAAATTATAAACACTGTTAGACTTTTTATTAATAGTGATACCTTCCTGGGTAAACTAGTGTGCATACTGAACTGCAGAAGTAGGAAATTCTATTGGAATTTTAGCTATCATTTGCATTAATTGTTAAGGAATGTTTATAGATTCTTCAAAGCAAAATAAAACAAACTTTCCAAAATTTGCCTGCAGCAATGGACATAAAACATGAATTCAAATAATTCACCACCTCTGGGCCAAGCTTCTGCAGAGGCAGTATGTAGATGGTCACTCCAATGAACACTCTGGTTACTTATTGAAATCAAGAATCTTTTCTGCTCTGAGGGAATGCAGTACCAAATCCAAGGTTAGCACTGGACCTCATTTTGGGGGTAGAGGTTAAGTAATGCAAAGCACCCACAGAATGGCCAGAGGCCAAGGGCAGGGCTTGTGACTCCAGAACACATCAGCATCAGCACAAGGTGAGATTAAGTTTTTAAAGGGCCATTAAAAGTATTAATTATTAGAAGTGTTAAAAGTGGGGAAATATAAAAAGAAGTTTCAATGATGACCAGTGAAAATCCTGTTTTAAAGGACTTGCTGAGGCCGGGCGCGGTGGCTCACGCCTGTAATCCCAGCACTTTGGGAGGCGGAGGCGGGTGGATCATGAGGTCAGGAGATCGAGACCATCCTGGCTAACAAGGTGAAACCCCGTCTCTACTAAAAATACAAAAAATTAGCCGGGCGCGGTGGCGGGCGCCTGTAGTCCCAGCTACTCGGGAGGCTGAGGCAGGAGAGTGGCGTGAACCCGGGAAGCGGAGCTTGCAGTGAGCCGAGATTGCGCCACTGCAGTCCGCAGTCCGGCCTGGGCGACAGAGCGAGACTCCGTCTCAAAAAAAAAAAAAAAAAAAAAAGGACTTGCTGAGCAAAGAGCCTATCTTGGAAAGAAGGTGTAGGAAAGGAAAAGAAACACATTTGAGCCTTTTTGTGAAAGTGTTTTAACTGTTTGTTTCTAAAATGGTAACATTAAAAATGGCTGAATCTTGACTTGGATGACTTTTTTTTTTTTTTTTTTTTGAGATAGAGTCTTGCTGTCCCCCAGGCTGAAGTGTAATGGCTTGATCTTGGCTCACTGCAACCTCTGCCTCTCGGGTTCAAGCGATTCTCCTGCCTCAGCCTCCCCAGTAGCTGGGATTACAGGCACATGCCACCATGCCCAGCTAATTTTTTGTATTTTTCGTAGAGACAGGGGTTTCACCATGTTGGTCAGGCTGTTCTCGAACTCCTGACCTCAAGTGATCCGCCTGCCTCGGCCTCCCAAAGTGCTGGGATTACAGACGTGAGCCACCGTGCCTGGCCAACCTGAATGACTTTTAAGTAGAACAAATATATGCAAAGAAAATGTCTGGAAGGGTATACACCAAAATAGTAATCGTACTTGGTCCCTGAGAGGCAATACTACTTACTGCATTTTTTTTTTTTTTTTTGGAAACAGAGTTTCGCTGTGTTGCTTAGGCTGGAGTGCAGTGGCACGATCTCAGCTCATTGCAACCTCCGCCTCCCAGGTGCAAGCGATTCTCCTGCCCCAGCCTCCCAGGTAGCTGAGATTGCAGGCGCCCACCATCACACCTGGCTAATTTTTTATGTTTTTAGTAGAGACAGGGTTTTGCCATATTGCCCACGCTGGTCTCGAACTCCTGAGCTCAGGCAATCCACTCTCCATAGCCTCCCAAAGTGCTAGGATTACAGGCGTGAGCCACCGCGCCTGGCCAATCTTTTTCTTTATACATTTTTGTATTGCCTATTTTTTCTCCGTAAGCACACACACTACTTTTACAATTGGGATGTGGTGGGGAAGAGAGGACAGTGAACTATTTTTGTTTAAAAGAGAGACATTTTCACAGTTGGTATTAATCTATAAAATGAATGTTCGCATAGTTAAATTAGCAGGGCAAAGCACCATTGGGGAGGCAGAATATGTGTGACAGAAACAAAACAGAGACTAATTAAAAACAAATGAACACAAAGCTTGGGTTTTGTAACAGCAGCAGAATTTATAGAATTACAGCACCTCTAGAATTATGGAATCCACAATTTCCTGCATGTGTCAGTTTCTGCCAACTTTTGGTTGTCTGTGGTTTTCTTAAAATATCCTTGGAAGGGACTCCCAGGAAATCAGCTCAGTTCAACATTATAATAAAGATTTAAAATTTCTACAGGAGCTTCCTATTCATGACTGTGTTCCAATTTTCTGCCACACACTTTTGATTTAGATCCAAGGTCTACAAAGATTTACTGAATTCCTACAACACAACAAAGGGACTCTTTCTCATGTTACTTAATGTAACTTAATGTTACTTGATGTAAGCTTCTTAAGAAACTGATGAGGTAGGTGTTATTATCCACATTTCCCAGACGGGGGCAAGTGAAGCTCGGAAAGTGTGGTGCACAATCTCACACAGCAAGTTGTTGCCTGGGCTGGGATTTGAACTCAGATCTTATGATTCAGTATCCTGTGTTATTTTAATGCTGTGCTAAGACCACCTCTTGAAAAATCAAAAGATAGCACTAACAGTCCTAGCTTCCCCACATGAAGCCTCTGGGGCCCATCGGGAGGCAGGTTATATAAAGCATTCAATACATGGATGGTTGGGCTTCAAACAGCTCTAATTAAGTAAATGGCTTTATGTCAATTCACTCTATAAGAGCTTTTTAACTCTTCATAATTGTGTCAGGAATTGAGTGAAGAAGTTGTGTTTTTAAAAACTACATTAAAAATAATTCTGTGTTAATAAGTGGAAAGAAATTGAGAAAGTGAAAATTTTAAAAATTGTAAGGAGAGTAATAATAAAATGTTAAAATTATACAAGAAGAGACTTCTGGGTTTTTGTAGACATAGAAATTTCAAAATACTGTTCATGGGTTGCCCTATAAATTCTTGGATGGGTTAAATATAAGCTCTAGCATATTCTAACTTATTCCAGTCTGCCCAGTGATCCCAGGGAAAGGTAATCCACAGCTGCCATTGCCCACATGGTCTATCTCTCCTTGTCAACTTCTTCATATCCTCAATCTAAAATTCATGCTACAGCAATAGACTAGCTTTTTACATTATATATGGTGTGATCATCTAAATGATTGCTACTAGGGAATATGAATATGAAAATATGCATATATACATTGGCCACTGATAATCAATTATTACCCAAGTGGTTTATTTATTTAACAAATAGCTTTATTAAGTCCTACTGGTAATTCAAATTGAAGTTTGTTGCACCTGGTCAAGTGATAAATTACGCTTATGTTCACTTTTTTTGTCCTCAAGAATAATGATTACTACACTATAGGCTCCCTAAAGGAATAGATAGATCGTATTTTATACTTTATTGGTAACAAACACAGCTTGAAGAACAGAACTGATTATGAAGTAGGTACTCAATAAATACTTGTTCAGTTTACTGATTTGCTTATGCATCTTCTTGGTGTTGACAATCAAATAAATTATTAGATTAAAAATAGAAGTGAGATTAGTAAATCTACCAATTCTTTTCCCTTTAGCCATAAAATGTCATGGTGCAATTAATCTATATTAGGCAGTAGCTCTTAATGTGAGCTTCAGAGGAAGTTCCTTTAACTCCCTGAAATTTTATTTAAACATTTTTTATACATTAATAGGTTCATTTTCCTGAAGAAAGGATCCATAGCTTTCTTCAGTTTCTTGGAAATACACAGCTCCATAAACTGTTAGAACCACTGACACCAAGTATATCTACCTGCACCCCAAATGTCAGCAATGATGACTAAGAAAGAAAACCGGTCTTGTTTTGCTTAGTATAAACTATAACATTTTTTTCTCTGATTTTTTTTACCTTCCTAAAGATGTCTGATCTCCAGTCAGAATTAAGTTTTCCTAAATAGTATGTGGAATAAGGCAATGTTTAAAGACATGGATACAAATAGGATGACTTGAGGCTGCTTCTTGTTCCTGTACTATACTCTGGACTGTGTTGGTACTTTCTTTCCAGGTGCAGGTCAAGGTGTTTTTTTTTTTTTATCATTTAAAACTCTAATGGACTAAGTGATCTGGGACCTAATTATAAGGGAAATGACCTGTATCCTTATGTGTGCTCACAGCCACTAAAATCAACAGCATTTCAGCTAACGGTCCCTGCCTTCTCACTTCAGAGGATTTGGGGCAATGGGCTCCTAGAATGAGGAGTTGACTTTGGAATTCACGGTACATCTCACAGTCTAAATGCATCAGTCTTTAAAGGTAGAAAGCCTTTTTTTTTTTTTTTTTTTTTTTTTTTTTTTTTTTTTTTTTTTTTTTTAGTTTAGACTGACAAAACAGTTGTGATCAAATAAGTTTAGAGTGTTTCTCCACAGGCCCCACACCTTCACCATCCTGTGTTTTTAAGTTAATGATTGACTAGTTTACTGCACTGCTGCAAACTGAAAAAAGCAGTTATGTTAAGGAACATTCCCTTTAGGAAGAAAAATAGAACTTTTACAAATATGCTATTGATTTTAAATCCGGCTGATAATAACAAATAAAAATGAACCTCTCAGCTGTACATTTTATTATTACCTAGTACTTAAGTAGCAGAAGGAGCTATGGGGATGATAGCATATAACCCTATTTGCTCCTCCAAACTTTTATGTTTAAGTTGGTCAGAAACCTATATATCTATGTTGTTATTCTTTCCTTCTATTACCTTTTAACATACATTAACTTATTTAAGTTAACATACATTATTTTTAAGTTAACATACATTAAGCTTGTGATATGCCTACATTCTTAGGTGCTGGCTTCTTATATTTGTTTTTACGAAGACAAGACTGTCCCCTTTGGTGGTCATCAGAGAAGTTACAGCTTTATTAACATTCCTCCCACCCACCAAGTAAGACAAGCACTTGGGAAGCTGTTGAAACTAGGGATTTCAACCTTCTGAAGGTTCACTGAAAATCACCTCGCAAAAAGCAGATTAATAGGAGAAAAGACATACAAAACTTATTTTCATGTGCATAATCCAAGGGAATTGCAGGAGAATGATTGCCCAATAACCCAGTGGGGTACACAGATGCTCATATACCCTTCTTCATAGGGGAAGAATAGAAAGGGAAATGTGGATGATTTTAAGGGGGATAGTAAAGAATTTTTAGTGGAATTCAATGAGCTTGGTGAACATAAAATGGCCTGGGATAAAGTCTGTTGGGCCCGCAGAGGAGTGTGACAAAAGTATGTCCAGTTGTGTTGACAGGCTTCAATCTTTCTTCCTACGACGTGAGTTAGATTAATAAAAACTCAGGGAAGGCAAGTGCGTTCTTCTTTGGCAGATCTGGTTTCTAGGCAGATGAAAGACCTTCAGAGAACAATTTCATCCTGTGCTTTGGGTGAGACAGACGACTGAGAGACAGGAGGCAGAGAGAGGGTCAGAGAGACTTTGAGGCTGCTTCTTCAGTCCAGCATGTCAAAGTGCCATATTTTCCGGTATTAGTTTCTGAGCCCAACAAAACCCTAAAAGCAACTTTCTAAGGAAAATGAAGCTTTAAAATTGTTTTGGAAAATTCTGACTCATACCCATTCTATAGGTTGGCTGTCAAGGGTCCATTTTCGGTATCAGAGTTTTTCTGCTTCTTTTGCAAGTTTTAGAGCTTCCTTTCAAGTGAGAAATTTAAGTAAGCTTTCAACCTAATAAAAAAGCTCCAATATCACAACAAATGTCTTCTAAGAAGATTGTCAATTGAGTGAAGGTAGATAAATCAGTTAAAGGGACCCCCACTAAAGAACACACGGTACCCAAATAAATCCATTTTAATTTTCACTTTATTTCAGTTATATTTCACAGCTGTGGTATCATGAGTGGAGAGAGAAGCAGCTCATAGGCGGGCCTGAGTTCAAAGGAATTGAAATTTAGCATGAAATGCAAAATTGAAGACTTCTGCTTCTAAGACGATGATTGTAGAAATACCGAGGTCGAAGGATGTGGACTTGGTGCTACACCAGACAGCAGAATTAGCAGTCTGGGGTGACCCTGCATGTATTGGTCAGTGTCCATGAACACTACTCTTTACAGGAGAAAAATGCGTACCTGATAAGCTATTAGAAATGTGTATTTCTGGCCTGGAGCGGTGGCTCATGCCTGTAATCCCAGCACTTTGGGAGGCCGAGGCAGGCGGATCACTTGAGGTCAGGAGTTGGAGACCAGTCTGGAAAACATGGTGAAACTGTGTCTCTACTAAAAACTAAAAACTAAAAAAAAAAAAAAAAAAAAAAAAAAAAAAAAATTAGCCGAGCGTGGTGGCCGGCGCCTGTAATCCTAGCTACTAGGAGGCTGAGGCAGGAGAATTCGCTTGAACCCGGGAGGCAGAGGTTGCAGTGAGCCGAGATCGCGCCACTGCACTCCAGCCTGGGTGACAGAGCGAGGTTCCGTCTCAAAAAACAAAAAACAAAAGTGTATTTCTCTTAAAACTGTTTTCCCCATCCTTCTGCTCTAGAAGGGACAGTATAAACTGCTGGTGAACACTGACTTTCACATTTTGAGAGGTTAGGTTCTGAGCTTTGGCCCCCTCACACCCAGGGCATCCCACTGGGGTCCCTGCAGAGTGCTTCTACATGCATCCTTTGTTAAGGGTGCACAATGGATAAGTATTATTTTCTTTCTTTGCATTGGGGTTCTGACCGCCAGGGGGAAAAATAGCCACACACAAGGAAATGGCATAAGTTAAAATCAGGCAAGCCTAGTGGGGTGGTAATGACTTTCCCAGCATCCAAGTCTTTGCCTTCAGGTTACGTGAAGCTAGAAAACAATGTCATTCATTCAACATTTACAGGGAACTCACAAAGTACAGAGTACTATGCTAAGCACTGGAAGGCATGCAAAAGTGTGCAAAACACAATCCCTGCATTGAGGATTCCTGCCAGAAAGGGTATTTCAAGTATTACCCAGACCTTACGACCCTTGAAGAAATGCTTGTGTGAATAAAATCCCACTCAGAATTTAAAATAAGCAAGGAAAAGTATACTACTAAGACAATATATCTGTTAAGAGGCAGAGAATGTAAATGTGCTTTAAACATTTATTTCTGAAGTATTACAATGTAGTTGGGATGGAGGATCGGGGGATGTGGGTGTGTGTGGGGAGGTGGTGGGAGCGGTTCTTGGACGAGCCTGACTCTAAGGAGGCACTGCTTAGATGCCTGCACAGCTAAGTTGAATCCTAACAAAGAGGAGGCCGGCATTCTTACCTGGGAAGTGGGTAACTTTGAGAAAAAGTAGCCTCCAAGGAGGAAAAAAAGGCAACATGTCACCTGGGGTTAGGATCCCCTCACCCTTACCAACCTGAATGCTGACCGCACCCCGGCCGAGCCACTCTGGGCCGCACACCCCGCATCATCTGCCCAGGCCACGCGGCCCAATTCCACCGTCTACCCCAAGCCCACAATCCTGTAACACGCCCGCTCCAGCCTGGAGTCGGCCACGTGCGCCCGGGTTCTTCTCTTGGCCCTTCAGCGGGCCCGGCCCCTCCAAGGTCGCCGTAGCAACCGTGCGGTCCCTCTCTCGGTTCCCCCGCTCCCAGTAGAGCAGTCCCGACCGCGGCGGCGGTGGCGGGAGCGAGCGGCCTCGGCCCCTCCCGAGAGGGGGCAGCGCGACCGTGGGCTGCGGGCGCCGCCTCTGCTGCATCGGTGGCTGCGCGCTCCGCTCGGCTCTGCCGGGCTGGGATCCGGAGCCCTAGCGCGCCTCGCTGACTTCCCCTCCTCCTCTGCTGCCGCCCCGTGGGCAGCTTCTCCAAGCGAGACACGCGTTCGATCCTCCTTCCCCGCGTTTACGGATTTCCGGGGTCGTAGAATTTTGCCTCGGTCCCTACGAGCATCTCTCGGCCTCTCTCCCCCTCCCCTCGCGACTCCCCCACCCCGTGGGCGCGCGCGCACCCATACACTCACACTCGCAGGCGCGCGTGCGCACGCCCGCGCGCCTCCAGCCGCGGAGTCTCCAGCGCCCCTCAGCAGATCCCCGCTCTCCCGGGCGCCGCTACTCACACAGGCTTCCAGCCGCCACGGGGCGTCCTCTGTCTGCTGCAGCGGCGGCGGCAGCAGAGGGAACGGCGACTGCAGCCCGGCCGCGTCTCCCAGCTCCGTGCCCGGGACAGAGTCCGGGAGAAGCAAAGGAGGAGGAGGACGCCGAGGCTAGGAGGAGCCGCGCCGCGCCCGGCGCCCCACTCCGCGCAGCGGGTTGCCTCCGCTCCCCATACGGCGGCCCCAGGTAAGCAGCTCCGGGGCCCGCAGCCTCCCTGGGGCGTCCGGGCTCCGAGCCGGGGTCCTCTGGTCTCACCCCCGCCACGGCACCTGGATCTAGACTGAGAGGGGAGTGGGCGAGGGGGGAGGGGAGTGGAGCTAGAGGTGAGGCTGGTGAGGAGGGGTGCGTGGACGCGTGGGGGCTTCGGTGCAGCCCCCACGCCCTTCCCCGCCGTGCCCCGTCTCAAGCTCCCTCACTTTTACGCGCCCGGGGGTGCCCAGCGCCCCAGACAGCTGTTCCCCGCTCTCCCCTCCGCCCGCCAGCCAGTGTCAGCTCCGGGCTCCGCGCCCGCCGCGCGCCAGTCACCTCCCCTGCACCTTGGACAGCGCACCCCGCACCCGTCTCCCCCTGCGGGCGTCGCCCCCGGGACCCGTTCCTGCCCACACAGTGTTCCCGCTGCCCTCTTCTTTCAGGTTTTCACCCTCCCGCTCTGCATCCCTTTTCCTCCAGCCTTGGCGGACTCCGCTCTGCTGCGGGCCGGAAACTTTCCTCCCCGCCTAGTCTGCGCTGGGTACTGTTGTTATTCGTGACTGTCCCCTCTCGCGGGGAGCTCGGACACCTTGGACAGGTCTTCGTCGGCGGGAGCGCGCCCTGCCTGGCCCAACGCGAGGTAAAGGAGGCACTGGGGCAGCCGGACTCGGCCGCTGCCAGGGTGCAGAGCCCGCGCCTCGGCCGCTGGACGCCGGCCGCCTCCCCGCCTCTCCGGACCCGACACGTGCGAGCCTCCCACGGACGCGGCCCCTCCCAGACCACCCCACGTCCTCCCCCTGCACGGCCACAGCCACCCCATAGGTTGGACACCCGGGGCTCGCGGGTCCTGATTGGCTGAAGGCGTAACCCCGCCCTCTTTCGGAAGGGGGGTGGTTCTGGAGTGTTGTGGTTGTCATCCCGCGGCGAGCACATGGGGAAAGTGGGGTCGACAGGTGGGCAAGCCCAGCTCTGTGGAATCTCTGCGTCTCACTGTATAGCCACTGAGCCACGCTTCTTCACCCAGATACACTCCTGCTTCTCTCCTTTTCTCTCCCTCAATCTTTCACTGCTGTAACATTACATGAAAAAAACTGGCTTTGTAATCCCAATTTTGTTAAGATTGCATTTGTTTGGTGGTAGCAATTTTTAAAAGCAGACCCAGGAGAATGCAGGAAATACGTGCGTATGGAAAGGTTCCTGGCCAACTGGGCTGCAGATTTGAGTCTGGTAGTTTGGAGAAAGCAATGAAGCGTGCTTAAGGGATCTGAAGAGGGTGGAGAAAGTGGGAAGGAAATTGATTCCTGGAGGAGAGACGCAGGTGAGCGAGCTTGGAAAGCTGAGCTGGTGGGCCCGCTCGAGAGGTGGGTGCGTGCTGTTGGAGACGGCTCTGTCAAGCAAAGTGGTAATATTGGCTGGTACTTAGTTTATGGTTAACACACTCTGCTTTTGTTTTACTAGCGTTGCCACTTTGATAGAGACTTTATATTAATAATGTCTATTCATGTAATGGATATTGCTCATTCCAGTTTCTTGTAATATACAGATTTGAAAGTGATAATGAGTTTGAAAAAGTGAAAGCCCTCTTGGAGGAGATGCGTTAAACAGTTAAAGTGCTTTCGGAATATTGTGAGGGAAGACGGATGAGCATTGCATAAAATGCATATTGTTCTGGCATTATTTAGAGCCTTTGAAGAAATATATGTGTACGTATAAATGATACTGATTTCTCTTCATTTCAAAGCGTGATTGCCTCTAGCATTTTCCAGCTTTAATTCCTTCAGGCTGTTTTGATGTTGTGTCTGTACATCTAAGAATATTGTAATTCTTATCTTTAGAAGCCTTGTCAATGTGAAACAAACAGCAACTGATGCAAGTTAATGTTGACAACTTTATATTGAGTACACTGTGTGTTATTTTATTTGTAAGCTAGTGAAATATGCAAGAGTAACATAGCATGACTGTTGTTCCCCAGGGACCCATATCAAAACAAAGTGGGGAATCACATGAGGCTATTCCATGGAGAACAATTCAATTATTTTTAAGATGAATAAAATTTAAGATTCTTGGTTGTAAACAGCAACACTCTTTGAATTATCTTTGTACACATTGGTAGCATATGATAGTAAATCAACATATTAAACGTATTACATGATTCTAAAGTAGATGGTAAAGGCTTTCCATTATTATCATTTTTATATAAGTAGACAGGATTGCTTTTCTGACTGGAGGACCTCCTATTCAAGAAACAGGATTTGATATATGTGACAAATTGGAAATTATTGCTATTGTTAAGAAAATAATTCTGTGTTTTTATTTCTCTAGTTCATACCTTGATTTCCCTAAGGGATTTAGTTTCAAGTTGTGGGCCTATTAAATTTAGATGGGTTTGTATGTAGGAGAATGTATATAATCACATATGCATACATGCAAAATATTTGTATGTCTATCAGCACACAGTTGTATATTTATACACGTAATTTTAGGGTACATTCAGTGTATTTATTCGTATATATGTTATTGTCATCCTTAGAATTTTTTCTCATTTCTTTTTGTCCAAAAGGTGGCCCTGTTTTAAACTGTAGAAAGCATTATCACCAGTAGAATTGGCCAATAGATCATGGAAACAGACAATAGTATTTTGTTGCCTGGCAACCACCTACTGTGAATGAAAAACAAAGCAGTGACAGCTGCTTCCACATCCTGATACTCACACTGTAGCTCAGGCATTGCAACCCTCCAAATGAGACAGATCCACTAAGTTTCATTTGAGTAAGGTGAAGCTGTTTCTTTTTTTTTGGATGTTTTTTAAGGAATATTAAATGTTTTATTATAATAAGAATTATTGTGGGATGAAATGAAGCATCTAACTTCAATTGCCCTCTTAAGCCTAGTATAAACTGAAAAATGCAAGATTGGGAGGATTGTTTAGACCCTTCTCATTCTTCCCTTTTCACTCATTAAACATCGTAAGCAAATTTTCTGCTGCTGCCAGGTGCTCTTAGGATATTACAAAAAGCTGAGTTTTCTATAATACCTAAATAGATGGCAGGATTTTCCTGCTAGGAATGAAGTAGAGACTGAGGCTCTAGCCTGACCCTTTAATATTAAGGAACACTGAGGCATAGTGAGATTATGTGACACAACCCTGGTGACAGACCCAGTCTCAGGATGTCTTCCCCTGGGTCACACTTGACCATTTCCCCCTCATTTCTCTCCTTGATTATTCTTTCTTTGTTTTTTATTTACATAACATTTGCAACCAAGATTTTTATCTTAATAAAAACCTTATAATGTAATTTCTAATATTGTACTTAGAAAATACATTAGCATTTGAGAGTAAAAAATCAACATTGACATGCTAGGCTAGATTGTGGTCTTAGATGCATTGTGTATAATATATTGTGCCTTCAATCTCTAAAAGTCCTATGATTCCTGCCTTTCCCTAAACTGGGAAGCCCAGTCCCTTGCTTTGGTAGTTGTCTATAGCTTTGGGCAGTCTTTAATAATCTCTTATTCTGTGTGAATTTTCAACAGGAATGAGACTCAAGATTGTATTGGTCAGTTTGTATACCTGTACATTATAGCTAATTAATCAATCACTCATTACAATCTCCTATCCTACAAAGCAATGGACATACTGTTGGTGTAGTGATCTGGGCTCTTTAAGGTTTGTGGGGTGCCTGTGTCCCTGCATAATATTTGTTTCAGTCTTTTATCAAAGCCATCTTGCCAAAGGTGTTACCTAATGCCTGTTAGTGGAAGATGAGTCATCTATCTCTGAGAGAGGTGATAGTGCAGATTGTTTCTTAATGCTAAAATGATAATGAATGGATTATAGGATGGAAAACTTGGATCATATATGCATTATTAGTCATTTCTTCTAAACTTAGGAAATATATATTGTGTGTAATACATTTTGAGGTTCCGTGTGCTATTTTAAATAATCTGTATTCCATTGTTTATTATTTATGACAAAAGTAAGCATTTAACTTTAATATAACTCCTTAAGTAGAAAACCTTGACATTGACTGATTGGAGAAACAATGTAGTGACAGTATTAAGTACCATTAAAGAGGCCTTTTCACCAGAAAAGACGTACTTTAGTAGATTTGTAGAGGGGAATAAATGGATTTACAGCATGTTAAACCTAGTTTTAGAAGCCTGCTATTAACTTATTCTAGCTAGAAGGATTTTCCAAAAGAATAATAATTTGGCATATTTCAAGTGAACTTCACTTTAAAAAAAATCTATTTTCCACTGTCTGGATATAATTTGTCTAGGAGAAGTACTTGTTTCAGATCCACTAGGATTAATCTGAATTTAAAGGTTATGTTTCTTAAAATTTTCTGAACTATTTCTGCATCCACTTGCATAGTGTGATGTTAAATATTCTTTAGTTCATACATTTAATTTAACCAACTGGAATCTTGAGATTTAATTAACTTCCCTCTCCTATTTTCATGTGCAAGATAATTTGTGTGTATGTGCAAACACACACAATACTTACATTTTTTTCTTTTTGTCACTTTTCATTCCTATGATAGAATATCAGAGGGCCTGATTTGTGTTTCTTTCATACACTAAAGAGCTTTAAACAAGAGATATTTATGTTTTCAATTTTCTTATGTCAGCTTCTGCTATTATAACCTGTAAACTCTTACCCACCCAAATGGGATGATTGCTAAAAATAAGCAAACAAATAAATATATAAGCAGCATTCTGTTTGCCACCCTCCAGGATAGCCAGGAAGGCATATTTTCTCACTCTTAGGTACACATATACTTCCACATACACATAGAGTTTAAGGTCCTACAGACTCTTATTTAAATAGTGGACAAGGCCGGGCGCGGTGGCTCACGCCTGTAATCCC
The DNA here is from genome assembly GCF_000001405.40 of Homo sapiens. NCBI lineage: Eukaryota > Metazoa > Chordata > Mammalia > Primates > Hominidae > Homo > Homo sapiens. Next base: position 43,781,778 of record NC_000013.11, on the reverse strand, counting down.
AGCACTTTGAGAGGTCGAGGCGGGCAGTTCACCTGATGTCGGGAGTTCAAGACCAGCCTGACCAACATGGAGAAACCCCGTCTCTACAAAAATACAAAATTAGCCGGGATGGTGGTGCATGCCTGTAATCCCAGCTACTCGGGGGGCTGAGGCAGGAGAATCGCTTGAACCCGGGAGGCAGAGGTTGCAGTGAGCCAAGATTGCGCCATTGCACTCCAGCCTGGGCAACAAGGGCGAAACTCCATCTAAAAAAAAAAAATAGTGGACAAAAGTAGTATTTGATTGGGAGAACTGTGTATGGTAGTTTTTCAAGTAAAAATAATGTATTCAGATTTTTAGAAATGTAGCAGCATAGGAAGAATTCATTTGAATTACTCCCTCTGGAAAATTTTCATATTTACACTGTCAACATAACCCCCAGCACTGAGAACAGTGCCCGGTACCTACGACATATAGCCTGGCATATGGCAGACACTAAGTATATATTTTGTGGAATTAATGCATCATCTCTCCCTCTTTGTGTAATGCTGCAAGTATTTCAAGCTTCATTTGTGTGGATAGTAAAAGTTTAGAGAATGGAGAAGAAATTACTGTAATTTCTAATTGTTTCTGGCACTGCATATTTTAAGCCAAAATAGCCAACTTAGCCAATGATATTTTGGAATATATTTGTCAGTATAGAAAGTAATGCCAGGGCTATTTATTTTCCACAAATACAGCCATCCTAAGTATGGAATAGCCCTTTAATAGCCCACAGCAGCATAACAAAGGTTATGGCAGCAAGTCCAAAGGAATACTTTGTTTAGTTGGTGCTGGAGGGTAAAGTTTGCTGGCCCCAATGTAATTATCCAGACTGGAATGTGACCAAGGTGCTGTGTTAACATCTCTAACAGTGGGAGAAAAGCCACAGGTGAGGTCTGTAATGACTTCAGTAGCCAAAGCCTTTGCTCTGGTCTCATTTGCAAGAGAGTACCTTGAGCATCTCAAAAGCCCCAGAAGCCATTGTGGATGTAAGGGATAGAGCCCAGAGTTACCATCTGGATCCCAAGTACCACATTTCTAGTCACTGGAAGAAGTCATAATTCCAGGTGTTTGTGCCATTGAAATAAAACTTTCTTCTTTATCCTGTTGAATCTTTGTGAGGGAGGAGGTAGTGTCCCTGAAGACAACCCTGACAGAATCACAGGATAGGTAGTCTTTCATACCTCCAGTTCCTTTTACAGTGAGTGCCCTTTACCTTTCTACCACTGCCCAGGTGTTTATCTCCTTTGTAGGGTTTTATTCACATCTGTGTATCAGCACATCTTTGTCAAAGTGTAAAAGCTGATAAAAGGTTAAAGTTCTTTTCTGGAGGGATTCCTGAGTGTCTTGCATATATTAGGTGCTCAATATGTATTTGCTTAGTTTTAATAGTGGAATTGTACCTACTATTTTAATACATAGGGAAGATTTTTTTTTTTTGTCCAGGGAACCTTTCAATACCACTTAAATAATATCATACTATGTATTTCTTTGGGGATTATTTCTTTAATAAACATTTGTTGGGCATTTACCATATAAATGGTACTGTATTTGGCTTTGGGGATCATACAGATTTTTTTTTTTTCTTTTTTTTTTTGAGACAGAGTCTCGCTCTGTCGCCCAGGCTGGAGTGCAGTGGCACCATCTCGGCTCACTGCAAGCTCTGCCTCCCGGGTTCACGCCATTCTCCTGCCTCAGTCTCCCGAGTAGCTGGGACTACAGGTGCTCGCCACCATGCCCAGCTAATTTTTTGTATTTGCTTTTTAGTAGAGATGGGGTTTCACTGTGTTGGCCAGGATGGTCTCGATCTCCTGACTTCGTGATCTGCCCGCCTTGGCCTCCCAAAATGCTGGGATTACAGGTGTGAGCCACCACGCCCGGCCTCATGCAGATTCCTAAGGCACAGTTGCTGCTCATGGAAGAGAACATGCTGCTTGCAGGGAAGTGCACAGATTCAATGTGTTCTGGCAAGTGGACTGTGCATGGAGGTTGGTATGGAGAGCAGGGCAGAAGACACAGACCATGGAGGACCTGGTAGAGTCCACCAAAGATTTTGGACTTAATAATGTTGTCAGTGTTTTTCAAATCTGTCTGTTCATAGGAATCCCATGATGTGTTTGTCACAATACTGATTTCCAGATCCCACCCAAGACCCACTGAATGGACATCTTCAGGGATGTGGCCTGGTGCAGCAGACATAGTCAGTTTGCTACTCATGCCCTGACACTCCCTGCTTCAGGATGCAATTCTGCAAGTACCTCCTATTCCCCACCTGGGGTTTCTCTCCCGTGTGTGGGGAAGCTTAGTAGTGCAGCACAGTTAATGGCCTCAGGAATAGACCTCAGCCAGTGACATGAGAGAGTTGGGTAACATGCTAGCATCCTCAGTTACCCACAGTCATAGCCAGCTAGACAACCTGTGCTTTAAAAGTGGCTGTCTCCCTTCTCCATTCCTCTACCAGTACTTCCTAGGATCCCCTCCCCAAATAAATAACTTGTACTTAAATTCTGTCACAAGGTTGGCTTCTTCAACGTAAGATATGGAAGAATCTGCTTTTTTTTTTTTTTTTTTTTTAAATAACGAGGCAAGTTTGGGAGACCTGGCCTCAGGTGATAGAGACCTACTGATGAGGGCATTGCTCCTTAGATTTGCAGCTTAGAAAGATGATTCTGGCAGATGTGTGGGAAATGGATTGATGGAGGAGGAGTTGGGGACATGGAGACCAGCTAGGAAGTGGCACTGCTCAGACAATCATGAGTACCTAAGCTAAGGTATAACTGTGGGGATGGAGGTACGGAAAGGATTTGAGATGGATTCTCTAAAACAGTCAGCATGACATAGAGGCCTGTGCCATGTGGTCACTTACCTGCCATTCCCCAGATGAGTGTTAGCCCTCCACCTCGTCCTGTTGCCCTGCCCTGCCCTGCCCATTGGACTTGGCACCCCTGAAAGGGCTGGGAATCCTCTGTCTTGCCTATAATCTATAATCTTAGGCTTTTTACAGTCAAGTAGTACATGTCTGAGCATAAATAAAAGAAGGAAAGATAAATTGAAGAGTATGAATAATTCACTATCAGATCATTAAAGGAAGAAAGTTATATTTTACGGGAAGGATTTGTGGAGTTGTAGAGAAGGAGAGCTGAAGAGAGATCTGTGGTGCATCATTTTGTGATGAATAGTGATTTTTCCCCCCTTGCTCTTGGCGAAGAGGTGATTTTCATCCACCATCAGTTTCTGGAAGACCTAGTATGACTCTGTGCATTTGTATCTGTTGTTTTCCCTGATGCTTTGATAGCCTATATTTTAGCTAAGTGAATGAGTGGTAGCTGGGGGTGGGGTTGCTTTTTTTCCTCTTGTTCTGTCATAATGCCAAGCTTTTGACTGCAATTTTTCCTGCCAGTTCTTAGGCCACTAGCTCCCAAAGGGGATAAAGGGGTAAAGAGAGTGAGAGAAAGAAAACATAAATCTGTAAAGAGAGCTGTTTTGAATTGAATGCTTAATTATGAAATGAAGAGGTTGAAGCTTGTTAGAAGATATGAAATAAGATAAGGCAGGCTTCTAATTGTCCCATGTAGGAATACTAATATTCTGGCTCTCTCTATAGTTAGAAATGCAAAGGCTGAATAATCAAACAATAGTAACCCAACATCATCCCCATATTTTTGCAAAAGTAGTTTTGAGTCAATGACAAAGAAAAGACCAAATTATAAGAAGTGGTGGAGTGGGTCAGCAAAGAGCTTACTGGGCTTTGCTTATCAGCGAGAACAAAAGAGTGCTGACAGTAGAAATACTGAGCATGTGAGTGTAAGGGGCCCCGGATACACAGTAGAAAAGAAGAAGCCTTGTTAATTGTGGATATTATGTACATACTTATGCTATTTTTTATTAAACATTTTATTTCGGGATAATTGTAGATTCACATGCAATTTTGAGAAATAATACAGACTTTGGGAGGCCAAGGGGGTGGATCACTTGAGGTCAGGAGTTCGAGACCAGCCAGACCAACGTGGTGAAACCCCGTCTCTACTAAAAATACAAAAAAAAAAAATTAGCCAGGCATAGTGGTGGGCGCCTGTAATCCCAGCTACCTGGGGGGCTGAGGCAAGAGAATCACTTGAACCCGGGAGGTGGAGGTTGCAGTGAGTCGAGATCATGCCATTGCACTCCAGCCTGGGCAACAGAGTGAGACTCCGTCTCAGAAAAAAAAAAAAAAGAAATAATACAGAGAGATCCTGTGATATCTTTGCACAAAGATAACATCTTATAAAACTATAGTGTACAGTTTTATTAGCAGGATATTGATATTGATACAATCCATCAATCTTATTCAGATTTCCTCAGTTTTACTTGTACAACTATGTGTGTGTACGTGTGTGCGCACATATGTATTTACTTTTATGGACTATTATATTTCTCATTTTAAAAGTCAGCCTTTTTTAGTGTAGAATTTTTCTTAAGAATTTTTTTCACGTGTTTGGACTAGTCCTGACTTAATTGTAACTGAAGAAAGCGTAACAGAGAATAAATTCCCCAACCCCTTCCAATGTGGATTCTGCATAGCAGCATCAGGGGCCGCTTGAATGTGGCAGGAAGGTCAGTCAGCTATTCCAGAAGGTAGAACTTCTAGTTTATTTATCCCCTGGTGACCATTGTATGGCAACAAGCGAACCTTTTTAAAGTATGCCTATTGTAAAAGGAGCTTCTTATTCAAGCTCACTGGAACTCCTCTTCCTTTCACCAGCATTTCTATCCTCCTCTCTGGTGTTGGGTACAGCATTCCTTGCTCTTCCTTCCTCCTCTCTGTATATGAAGGGCTCACCCCTGCAGGCTGCTTTCTCAGATTTCTGAGTCAGCTGGCTTGCTGTGTTTTACCCTTGGGAGGCACTGGTGGGAGACCGCAGGGAAAAGGGTGATGCAGGATTTTTTTTTTTTTTCCCTAGCTGTGGGTAGCATCCCTGGCAATGGGAATTCACGTCTGTAGCACAGCTTGTGCTCAACAGACCTTCTCTGGTTCTAGCTGCTTACTAGTGACTTTGTCCCACAGATTCCAGCAATACTACTTCCTGCTATAGTCCAGGGGAGGTAGTGCTTCCTGTTCATGCTAATCTCTAGATTACCTCACTATCTGGTGGTAGGCTGTCTGCACCTCCATCACCTGAGTAGTCAATTCTCTGCATTTAATTTCCTCAGTGGAAAATCTTGAAGGTATTTCTGTTTTCCTAATTAGACATTCCCCAGTTCCTCAAAGCATGGGAATGTTATAAATCTGGTGAGATTTTTTGTCTTCTGACATTGTAGCTTCTTCCACTCCAAAAAAATCTTACTAGTTCCAGGTGGGGTAGACGTTACCTGCATTTATAACTTCACCCCTGCCACTAGGAATCTCTGTCCCTTTGCTGATTCTTCATTCCCTCCTCGACTGTGGTTTCCAAGCACCTCTTTTTCATACATGTTTGTCAACTTGGCAATCTCCCTCCAATGTCTTTGTTATTCTGTCCTTCAAACCCTCATTTGCTAACACTCCCTATCTTATTTTCTACCAGCAGTTCTTACTCATCTCTTATGTATTATACCATTAACATACTAACATATTGGTCTTATGATTCACTCCTAAATGTATGTTGGCTTTCAGTTCATACCTCTGCTCCATAGGGTTTGGTTTGGCTGGCACTTTACTGCATGAAAATACTTTTTATAGTATTATCAGCCTCCTCCACCTTATTGCCTCCGGAAGTATATGTGGTTATATCATAAAAACAATGTCAAGAACATTAATAAGAATGCTTGGTTAAGAAAAAACAGGCCTCAAGTAGCATCTTCAAACAAGGCAAATTAAGAAGGTCTGTCAATGGAGCAAAGCTGGGGGCCACCATAGTGGTCACACACACTGCCTTAAGGAAGGAGGCACAAAAGAGCAACTTGAATTCCTTAGGGGTGGCAGTGGGGCATTGTGGTGACTCTTCAGGCTCCCTGTCTCTGTTGGAAAGAGGTTTTATTGGTTGCAACCGTGTAGGCCCCCCTAGCAGCTTCATTCTTTCTCCGGGGGCCCCAAGTCAAGCAGAGAGAGCAGGAAGCTGGAGCCTCAATTAAGAACAAGCTTTAGCGCTATCTCTAAGATGTTCAAAAGGGCACATCAACCACCCAATCGTGGGCACTCCATCCTCAGATGCCAGGAGCAGTTTAGGCATTGTAGCACACATGGGAATAATCTTAAAATTAGTAGCCATGCAGATCACCACCAGGTCTACTGACCTGAGGCCTGGGAAAACTCAAAGCTTTAGCAGAAGAAAACTCAAGTACTGAAAAATCACCTTTGGGCTAGGTGAGGTGACTCACACCTGTAATTCCAGCACTTGGTGAGACCAAGGTGGGAGGGTCACTTGAGACTAAGAGTTCGAGAGCAGCCTGGGCAACAAAGTGAGACCCTGTCTCTACAAAAAATAAAAATATTAGGGATGCACACCTGTAGTCATAAGCTACTCAGGAGGCTGAGGTGGGAGGATTGCTTGAACACAGAGGAGTTTGAGATTATAGTGTGCTATGATCATGCCATTATACTCCAGCCTGGGTGAAAGATCATGGGAGGCTTTGTCTCTAAAAAAAGAAAAAAGGTTGGGCACGGTGGCTCAGGCCTGTAATCCTAGCACTTTGGGAGGCCGAGGTTGGCGGATCACTTGAGGTCAGGAGTTTAAGACAAGCCTGGCCAACATAGTGAAACCCCGTCTCTACTAAAAATACAAAAATTAGCTGGGCATGATGGCAGGCACCTGTAGTCCCAGGTACTTTGGAGGCTGAACAGGAGATTGCTTGAACCTGTGGAGCAGAGGTTGCAGGGAGCCGAGATCACGCCATTGCACTCCAGTCTGGGTGCCAAGAGCGAAACTCCATCTCAAAAAAAAAGAAAAAAGAAAAGAAAGATTGCTTGTGGCTTGTGGCATGGATGGTAAATGTGTTCAGGTTTTGATGTTTTGTTGCCCTTGCAGTGAGAGCAGGGCTGGGGGATGTGTTGTGGGCTGGTGCACACAGTTATGAATAGGTGGATCTTTTTGGAACCTGTCTGTAAGGCCATCCCTTGCCTCTGCTCTCCATAATGATCAGAAGTGGTGAGTGCTGGGCGGGAGGATTGTGGATTAGGTGGCTCTGAGTGAACTGACAATGGAAAAGAAATCAGCTTATTTTAAATGGGCATAAGCTTTGAAGGCAAGTAATTAAGACACACTTCAGCCTCATGGACAAATTAGGGTTCTAGTTAATACAAGTGCAAGATTGGAAAAAATCAATCACGTGCACACCTATAATCACTGAAGAGCAGTTTGTTTAGTAACAAAACACCAATTATGCCTGCCTTTATGTGAGTTTCTTCTCCATTTTCCGTTTTCTTTATCTCTCAGAACCGACTAAGTCCAGAGCCCTTATTTTCTGGTAGTACTCTATACACCCTTTTTCAAGAAAGTCATGCCTATGTGAAAGTAGCTAACAGTTTCTCCTGACATCCTTCTGAATTCTAGTCTTTGATCCATTTCAGTTGTATCTTTCTGCAGAGATGTACACAATGTTTCTTTCCTTATTACTTAGTAATGTGCTGTGGCATGAAGAGAGAGTTTTTAAGTGGAATTTTCTTGGGCATTAGAGACTTGATTCTATCAAGCATCACAAAGTAGGTGCTGTAGAAGTTAGAGAAGCTGTTTTCTGTGCTTGGTGGATGTACTCTATATTGAGCTGATTCTAAGAAGTTTCTGAGTTTCCTCATCTAGTTATTATGAATTTTAGAATAACTAACATTTTATTTTTCATATCATATTGCGATTATAGGCCTTTAATCATTTTGTAGAGATTTAATGTTTTTGGAGAAAAGCATGCTAGATATTCATTGTGCGTGCCTAATGAATAGGTATTTGTTGTGCCAAGTTCACATGAGATGCTGGGAACATAGTGGTGAACAAAATAAGCAGCATTCCTGTCTTGGGAGTCTACAGTTTACTGGAAAATACATCAAACAGATAAACAGAACAGTAATTATGTAATTGGATCTTATGATAAGTACTTTGAAAAAACTGGGTTTCTCTGAAAGGGCATAATGAGGGTGAAGTGACAGAGGAGGCTTATATGGAAGAGTAATTTATAAATTCATACCTGAAGGGTGGTTGGGGTTATCCAGGTGAGAGTCCCAAGTATGAAGTCCAGATGTGTGAAAGCTTGGCTTTTAGAAACCAGAAGGAGGCCAGTGTGGCTGGAGAGTATAGAGAGAAAGGGTGAACAGTGGCAGGAACAAGGCTGCTGAGGTGGAGGTTAGGACCCAATTATGCTGGACCTAGTAAACCATGCTGGGGACTTTGGATTTTCTCCTATGTGCAGTGGAGAGCCACTGAAGTGTTTTTGCTTTTGCTTTTGTCTGCCATGTAAAAAAAATGAGGTGAAATTCACATGACACAAAATGAACCATTTTAAAGTGAACAATTCAGTGGCATTTAGTATATTCACAATATTGTGCAGCCACCAAAAGGAAATCCTATACTCCTTAAGCAGTCATTGAAGGGTTTTAAGGGAAGTGATGTGGTCTGATTTGTAATACATAAAACCCTTCTGGCAGGTTTCTGGAGGAGAGATTGGAGAGGGCAAGACTAGAAACAAGAGAACTAATTTGGAAATTATTTTCAAGTGCAGGAATAGATGGTGGTGGGTTCCTGGACAAGGGACAAGAATAGTGACCATAAATGTAGAGAAGAGTAGAATCATCCAGGATAGAGTCATAGGATCAGGTTTGATTATCTGTAAGGGGGACAAAATCCTCTTGTAATGATCTACATCATTGTTTCACAAAGGGTGATCCATACACTATTCAGATCTATCTAGGTTGTTTTTAAAATTATAGCTAGCAGCCCATCTCAAGCTACTGATGCAGAACGCTGAAGATAGTCCATAAAGGATTCTTGTTGGAACTGAAGTTTGAGAACCACTCAGTATTGTCTTCTCTTCTCTTTCCTTCTTTTTTTTTTTTTTTTTTTTTTAAAGACAGAGTCTTGCTCTGTCGCCCAGGCTGGGGTGCGGTAGCACAGTCTCAGCTCACTGCAACCTCTGCCTTCTGGGTTCATGTGATTCTCTTGCCTCAGCCTCCCGAGTAGCTGGGATTACAGGTGTGTACCACCACGCCAAGCTAATTCTTTGTATTTTAGTAGAGACAGGGTTTCACCATGTTGGCCAGGCTGGTCTCAAACTCCTGACCTCAGGTGATCCACCTGCCTTGGCCTCCCAAAGTGCTGGGATCTTCTTTCCCATTTTTATGCTCTGTAGGATTGAAGGCTGCCAACAGTCCATCTAGGTGGGAGGGAATTACAATCAGACACAGAATAGACAAATGGATAACCTAGTGCATGCTTGTAATTTTGAGTGGGAGGAATGCTTTTTGGGGAAGCATCTTTAACTTGATCCCAAAGCCAACATGTAGTATAGACAATTTGATACTTGGTGTTTATTTTAGATTATCTTCTTTGAGTACCGTGACTTTCTCAGAACAAAATAGTGTCTGACTGTGAATAATGCCAGTATCATGAAATACCATGTAAGTAGTGTAGTAATTTATTGTAAAAGCAACAAATAACTGCTAGAAATTAACTTTGGAACTGATGGAAATTATCCTACTATCTTTGCAGTTACTTTATAAGATTCCTTTTACTTTAAAGAGATATCACACCAATGCTGTAATCCCAGCACTTTGGGAGGCCCAGGCGGGCGGATCATGAGGTCAGGAGATTGAGACCATCCTGGCTAACACGGTGAAACCCCATCTCTACTAAAAATACAAAAAAAAAAAAAAAAAAAAAAAATTAGCCGGGCGTGGTGGCAGACGCGCCTGTATTCCCAGCTACTCGGGAGGCTGAGGTAGGAGAATGGCGTGAACCCGGAAGGTGGAGCTTGCAGTGAGCCAAGATGGCGCCACTGCACTCCAACCTGGGCGACAGAGCGAGACTCCATCTCAAAGAAAAAAAAAAGAGATATCACACCAATGAACTGATTTTAGAAGCCAGAGTTTTTGAGAACTTTTTGGGAAGATTCTACAAACTCTGGTAAAAAATCACCAGTAAACAAATAGAGATTTTTATCTTTGACTTCTGTTTGCCTTTGGTAGATATTTCTAAACCCACTGTTACCTCTTAGACCTGTCACTTCCAGCCTGAATCTACAGCACTCAGATGTCTCTAACCCATGTTTTTCAAAAGTCTTTCAAAGAATCTCTCTTCACAAAATGTATATAATGTACTTAATTAATTAAGTTATAATTGTAGAACTGAAAGAGGTCACAGAGAACATCTAGTCTTCTAATTTCCTTGAAATTATTACCTTTGGAGAGCCTGGAGTGACTAGAATAAGGCTCCTTTACTGATGGGTGGGTTAGGTCCTCGGGGGTTTATCCCACACAAAAAAAGATGTGGATACCTAGCGACAGTCAGGGAGGTACCATCTGTCTAATATGATAGTGCTGAGAACCCCTTTGCAGCTTTTACGTGGCCTCAAAGGTTCCTGCTCTTTCTGGAGGCAGCTGTGTCATTGCTCTGTCTATGCCTCTGCCCTCCCGCCTTGGATTCTCTCTTTTTGGGATAAGAAGTGTTCAGCTTCTGTAGGATGTTTCATTTTGATTAATGTTATTTCCACTCTTCTGGAAAGACACTTAGGTACCGCTGGCTGTGTTTCTTTTTCAGCATGTATAAATTCAGATCTGAAAGGGGTTTCATTGCTTCATCATGGAATTTTATAATGAAATAATAATTTGAGTGCCTGGCTAGTTTTCTTGATTTTTTTTTTCTCCTGGAACACAAGTTTGGAGAGGGATATGAAGCAAAGCCATCCATTTATTTCACACTAGAGACAGACAGAATCAGTAAATAGCTAGTTTTTAGAAGCTTATTTTTCTCCCACAAAAATGCTGTTGTTGCACCCGGGTAAACACTGTAGAAGAATACAAAAAGAAAGTAAAATTACTCAGAATTCCTACTAGAGATAACCATTGTTGATATATCCAGGCATATCTCTTGAGTCTGTGTGTGTGTGTGTGTGTGTGTGTGTGTGTGTGTGTACACATACGTATACTATATGCAGATAAAGTAAATAAATGAGATTTTTGTTGTATGTACTATTATATAATCCATTTTTTCATAATAACTCATAATAACATGTAATGGGCCTCTCTCCATGTCAATAAATAAAATTTTTAATGACTTGAATACTTTTATTGGATGCCTTTCATTGTAATACATTTCCCAGGGCAAACTAGCATAAATAGAACATACTGAAAAATCCAGTGGGTAGGGGATTCAGGCATGATTTAATCAGGATATAGGATTTCTTTCTTTATAATTGTCTATTTCTTACTCTTTTTCATGCTCCTAATGGTAGCAAAATTTCTGCATCTCTAGGAGCACATTAACTTTCCAGAGAAAAAGAGCTTCTCTTCTTTTACTCCTTCTACTTACACCATTGTAGGTCATGTGACCAGGGGGAATGCCATTTTCTCATTGTCTCAGATCTGGGTAGAAGCATATGCTAACTTCGTCCAAACTTCATGAATTGGAAACTAAGAGTTTTGTTAAAGAAGAAGCGGAAATGCCTCACTGACTAGGCAGCTAATGGTGTTTGTTAGAGTTTACTCTAGATTTACTGATAGACATTTGTTTCCAATTTTTCATTCTAAAATTCATTGCTGCTCTAAGCATACTTGCATGTATACCATTCTACACTTGGGCAATTATCTCATTTGGGTAAATTCTTATTAGAGAAATTGCTGGATCAAAAGATACGCTCCTTTTGCATTTTACATAAGCCATCTAAGCCATGAAACTACACTATTGCCAGTTAGGCGTTGATATCCCTCAACTGCCTGTTGTGAGCTTTTGTTTTTAAGTCTCTGAACCTTTAAGTGGAGGCTTCAGAATTAAAGCAGAATTTCAGGTGTCACAATTTCTCTGAGCATGACAAATTGGAACTGACATCATTTGAGGTTAATCAAAGCTCCTGTGGTTTTTAAGTGTTTCACGAGGAAGGCAAAGAGAAAGGGATGGAGAGGAATGTATTCTACCAGCCATAAGCCTAGTGCTTGGTGGGTGATGGCCTAGAGATAGACTATTTGGGAGCCCCTGAGTGGCCACCTGTATCTTGCTGTCAATACATGCTTGCTCTGCAGTCAGTCTGTTACTATCTCCTTCTCCATTCCAGTATAGGATGTAAAGACCAGTGAAGCATAATTGAAAGTGCTTGGAGCTAATGGCCATCTATGCACTTACTCTCTGCTCTCAACTGTAGTTTTTCTGAAATTCTTGCAGTTGAATTTAGTAAAAAAAAAAATTAACTTAGAAATCAGTGATTTCTGGGTGGCAACACTTAGTGTGCCTTGGTCATCCTTTTGAGGAAGTGAATGGGGAAGCTCATTAGGGTGGCACACTTGTGGGGACCCAGTGGCAGAGGGGTGCTATTCGCTATAGTAGCCTTTATTAATGTGAAGGAGAGGGCATTTAGAAACCTAGCAGAAGATTCAGTGTTATGGGTAATGTCTTTTGAGTATCTTCAGGCACAGTTGCATATGTCATCCTATTCAATCCTCATGGCAGCCTTTCTAATGACAATAAGAGGAAGCCAAAACATAGATTAAGCAACTTGCCCACTGTGATAGCTGGTAAATAGAAGCAGCAAGAGTTCTGAACACCTTCCTTTACCACATTGTTCACCATGTTGCTTCTTCTCTCCTCAAATAGAAATTAACTAATAGCAATTTGTTTATTTTATTTTCACTGATACTAGAAAATAAGCAACACAGTGTTAAGTATTGAAATTGAGATATGGCATTGGAGAGATTCACCTAATAATTGTAAATGATAAGTGACTGAAAGTGTAAATGGCCCAAGTAAGGTTTGTGACCTAGGCAGACAACGAGGAAATCGGATTGACAATGACAAAGTGAACAGGCTTACTTGTGAAAAGTGACTGCTAGTTGGGAGTATTCATGAGCATGAGAAACATGGAAAGAGGCCAAGTGGTAAAAATAGATGAGATAAAGTAATATGGTGTATGTATGTTTTAAAGCTGTAAATATGCTAAAGAAATGTTAGTACTTATTATTGTCAAATTAAATATTTATTTATGTTTTAAGAGACAGTATCTTGCTTTGTTGCCCAGTCTGGAGTGCAGTGGCATGATCATAGCTCACTGTAACCTCGAACTCCTGGGCTCAAGTGATCTCCATCTCAGCTACCCAAGTAGCTAAGACTGCAAGGCATGTGCCACCATGCCTGGGTAGTTTTAAAATTTGTTTTGTTTTGTTGTGTTTTGTTGCAGAGACAGGATCTCACTATGTTGCCCAGGCTGGTCTTAAACTCCTGGCCTCAAGTGATCCTCCTGACTCAGCCTCTCAAAATGCTGGGATTATAGACATGAGCCAACACACTCAGCCTAGAAATGTTTACTATGGAAGCATATGTTCATTACAGAAAATTTGATTGGTGAAGATTTGGAGATGTCTGAACTTGTCTGCTATGGTTTTTTGGGTTCAGAATGCTAGAAGGATATAGAACAATTAAACAGTAATCAAAAAGGAGGAAAAGCACAACATAAATGAAAGCACAACTTTATCAGAGTAAAAATGTATGTATGTAAGAAGGAAAATGTTAGGTTGTAGAGTACTTAGTGGGGAAAAATATGGCTTAAGCTCACTGGAATGGAGTTATGTAATACAGAACCAGTTCATTTGACATTTAGAATATGGAACAGTTCTTTGTGGGCATCCACTAAAAGAAGCCCCCCTCCGCTCCCCCCCGACTCTCTTAGTCTCTCTCCCTCCTCCTCATCTCTAATTGCTGAGTGCCAGGTGGAGCTGGAGGGCACTGACAGATTGAGTGGTCCTAGTGAGTCTGGTATTGCATCTGGCATCCAGTGTATTGCTCCCCTCAGGCTCCTGCCGGCTGCTATGCACTGCCCATGTTTGTGGTGTCTGCCAGTGGACAACTGATTAAGAGCCATGGGGGAGAGTAGAGGGCTTTGGCAAGTGCCCAGCTGTGTATGACAGACCCTGCTCACTGTAAGTGCTTTGGTGGAAGCTGAGTGCATTATTTCCCACTGATGCTCTAATGAACCCATTACAGCATATCTGCTGTACTGTCTCCTTAGTCACCTTTATTGGGAATTGACTTCATTGCCCAATTGCACTGATTGTTAGAAACTTCCTTTTAAAGCACAGTCTAAACTTTTCCCTCCTTGGCGTGAGGCAATTGCTGCCTGCCCTATTTGGCAGTTGCTGGGAGTAGCTGTGAACACTGGTGATATTGTTGGCTGAGGAGTAAAACAGAAGCTGCATAAAGTTTGGCTCCCTGCATACTTCAGGGCACAGGTTCTGATCCCAAGGTTAAAAACAACACAGAAACAGTAACTAAAAATGTCATTGAACAGTGCATACTTGAATGGCCTTCAGTGCCCAATGGGGACATCTGTGTTTCATTGTTGAAGATGCCACTGCAAACTTCCAGTGCTCCAAATTTTTGCTCCTGTCTCTTTATACTGAAAATCTTAGCGTGAAATATTTAGTGCCCTAGGAAAGCTAAATTAATGGTGAGTCAGAGTAATTAAGGCAAAGTAAATAATCTCCAAGGTTCTCATTCCCCGTGAAACTAATTTCATATCGTATCCTTCATGTGTTAAAAATAGTTCTCTGCTAATTCAAGATGCCTGTGCTCTGTGTTGGTGAAGTGCACTTCAGTTCTATTGAAAGGATGCAGATTAGAGAGTTATTTTCAATTGGGCAATTTTTTTTTTTTTAAGAGAGACATTCATTTTGGCACCATGAGAGCGTGAATCTCTTTGGGTGAGCTGAGAGTTGGATACAGCTGCAGCCGGGCAGATGATGGGCCAACTAGCTTATGATAACTTGCAGCTGGGATATCCTTTTCATCCTTTTAGTGAGAATTCTCAATTCCCATTCTTCTGTTCCATGATGAAATTAGTTTAATTTTTTTGGATGGTTTTTGACTGTCCGTAGCTTGACCTTGTCTGTGTCTACAAATTTAGAAACCAAGTCTATTTTACTCTTCTGAGCAATGGGAACATTGGGACTTGAATATAATTTTAATTATTTGTCACCTTAAAATAATCATGAAATACAAGCTCATAACCGTTCCCTGAATACATTTTTAGACTTCAGTGCTCCAAAGTTTACCTTTCTACAGTTGAGCTATAGCAGTGTGCTACCCCATTGTCCCGGAGGCTGGGACGATTGTGGTGCTTTGGCTTGAGTGCGTGGCTAGGATACTATGCTTCCTCAAGTGAATGAACTGTGTTGGGATTTATTGTTACAGCAGTAGCCTTAATCAAATAAGATAATTCTTTCTCTCTCTGTGACAAGAAAGTGTTTTGGTTAGAAAGAACGTAGGTCTTTAGAGGAAAATGTTTAACATACAGTCCGCAGTTACCTACAGTTGAAATATGAGACCATTATCACTGCTCCTGTGCACCTTCAGGATCCCTCAGTCCCTTTCTTCAAAGGGTTGCCTCAGTCCTTTAGTGCATCAGGGACCTGTTTTTCCAGATAAATGCAATTTTGCTTTTAGAATGTTTTGAGGTGGCAACACGGGAGTGGAATATGCAGTGTCCAGTGCATATCACAGAGTAGAATCTGTGTCTAGCCACATGTCCAAGCGGAAAAATGCAGCTAATCAATGGAAGGAGAAGCACATATAAAATGACTAATGATTCTTTTGTCTTTTAGAGATTTAGTTTTAGTGTCATAAGAACACTTTTTGGACAATGAAGTCTCTCCTTTTGCTAAAATTTAAATTTCTTTTTATGAGAAGAAAGATACTGAAATTGAGTATAGGCAGACTGTATGTGAAGACATCATACTCTATTTGTATGTTATGACTTTTTAACATTACTATCTTTATTATAATCATTACCTAACGATGTGAAAAGCATCATTGCATCTTTGGATCACTATGATTTCTGAACGAACTGGGTAATGATTATTTTCCGAGTTATAAAGGTGATGAAATTGAAAGTTGGTGAAGTCAGTTTGTCATTCATTCCTTCATTGATTCATTGTTTATTTCGTAAGTGTTTACTGAGTGCTTCCTAATGTTACTGCAGCTCTGAATATACAAAGATGACATGTCCCTGCCCTGGAGGAGCACTTAAGCTACTCGAGGAATGGATAGCTATAGATAACTAACAGTGTGTGATCAGCATTAGGAAGCAAATAATTACCAAGCATTAGAGGGGTGCACAGCAGGGTGTCAGATTAATTCTGACAAGGGAGTTGGGGTGCCTTTCATAGACAAGGGAACTAAGCTAGGCTCCAAGGGGCTCTCCAGGTGGAGGTCATTCAAAGCAGAGACACAGAAGAACACAGTATGTCCAGGGAGCATAGTATTAAGTGGGTGGGATGTTGAGAACATGTGGAGAGTACAGGAAGATGAGGCTTGGAAAGGTCACGTCGGTTGTAAATGACAGAGTTGGGAAAGTACAGGGTTTTCTGCTTCCCAGTTTGATGTTTTTCCTTTAGACTAGGTTCTTTGTTATTTAGTTTTTTTCTCCCTAAATACATCATTAGCACCCTCTATATATGCCATGTTGAGGAATATGACAACTAGGAGTTTCACTTGACAAGGTTATCCATTTAAGCTAGAGGTGTAGCTTGCATTTGGTCCATGTACAGGTCAGGGCGTGTTCCTATGGATCAGTTAAGGTGACGTGAGTGGGGGCTAAGGCCCAGACATTCTCATTTAAGTGTTCTGCCCGTGAAGCAAATGTCATTTTAATCAACCCCAAGTTGCAAGCACTCTTACCTCATGACCTTAGCCCTAGTTTAGAGGGCTCACAGATTATGTATATTTGGCACTTGCAAATGTAAAAGCTTTAGTAATTATTTTGAAGGAGACAGTGTTTTTTAAGCTGTTTCTTCTGATTGAAAAGTAACTTTTTTGTTCACAGACATGAGGAAATGTTAGAAATAATTGAAAACAACTTGAAGAAGGAGGATAAAGTGAAGGTAAGGCATATTAGCTCTTAGCTGATATTATTGCTTGAAAGCAGGCGTTTTTGTTAGATTTTGTACACTGTATGTGGTGTAAAGAACAAACCTTTCCGTTTTTTTTTTCTGAGAGCCATGATGTTATCTTAGTAATTGAAAATAATCTTCTAAAGTTGCTCTTTAACTAGATTTACACAATCCCCTTTCAAATCAGCTGTTATCTGCCTTTACATTTCACAGTAAATGTTGCTGTCTGCACAGCCCCTGCTAACAAGAAGATCAAGTGTAACTCTTTTCATGATTTGAAATAAAGTGTTTCCATCATAATTATCCTGGCTCCTGGTTGTGCTGTTACAAGTGGGCTCATTTCTTAGCTGCCTTTGTGAGGATGTTTCATTGTGGAATATAAGGCCCTCTATTCAAGCAGAGTTTTCTTTCACAAACATCTTAAGGATTTATCTAACTCTCCAATCATTTTAACTTTTTGTTAGAATATGTTTTTGTAGATGTTTCAGGGTTGTGACTGCAATTAAGACAAGGTAGACTTTGCCTCTGAAGTGTCACTCAGCTATACTGGGTGACACTTAAGAGGCACTGTATCCCCTGTTTAAATCTTCACTGACCTCGTTTTGGCAAAATTAGAATAAACAGGATGCCTATTAAGCTGCAGTAGGCAGGTTTTAAATAGGTGTTTTATGTCAGCGGTAAGAGAGGTAAACATTAAACTGGGCTACCTGGGAATGTTGTGAAAAGCCATGGAATCTCCTTTGGGATTCTTCAGGAATCAGATAAATTCTCATAGGTCTAGGATACAAATTCTCTATGAATCTTATATATCTGTGATAATACATGTAACTCTTTTTCTAGATAGTGTTCACATTTTATGTTGTTCCACAGGCATTATTGATCTAAAAGTTTTTTGCTTATTCTACGCTAGCAACATTTTCAGTAATGTTTTCTTTAGCTCAAAATTGCTAATTGCTTACTTTCTCAGGGAAGATGTCAATCAACTGCTATGGAAAGATAATAGGACATGAAGTTCTATTCAAGTTGGAGTATTAAATCAATCTGACATTGTACTTAGGAAGTTCTCAGAGGTATTCATTTCTGGTATTTTGGGAAGTGAATGAGGCTTGAGGGTTGAACTGAGGTTGGGGTTGTAGTGAGAAGACACTGAAGCAACTAGTTGATTTTCAGACTTGTTTTGAATAGAGTCCTCGTAGCTCCACTTCATGATGTCATTTGGGATGTTTAGATTAAGATCTGCTATAGACTGAATGTGTGTGTCCTCCAGAAATTTATGTGTTTAAATCCTAATCCACCGGTAATTAGATCATGAAGGCAGGGGTCTCATGAATAGGCTTAGTGACTTGTAAAAGAGCCAGGAGCACTCCCTTGCCCCCTTTACACTCTGTGAAAATGCGGTACGAACACAGCCATCTATGAGCCACGGTGTGGGCCCTCACCAGACACCGGATCTGCTGACACCTTGATCTTGGGCTTCCCAGCCTCCAGAACTGTGAGAAATAGATTTCTATTGTTTATAAGCCACCTAATCTATGATATCCTGTTATTGCAGCCCAGACATAGACAAGGCCTAACTCTTCCACTTAGCAAACTGTAATTGCCTGAAACATTTTAAGCCTAACTTCCCTCGGATGAAAAGTAAGAAGGTTGAATAAAATTATTTTCTAAGATTTTCAACTTCTCCAAAAATGACGATTTCAGTTAAATATGAAGAAGATTCAATGCATCATATACCATTAATAAAGAGAGTTAATTTATTAGCCATATTTACACAGTTTGCCTTTTTCAGCTATCCATTGCATTGATTAACTTCCATTAGTAGGGCTAATTGAGAACGGATTGAATCACTTAGACACCTTTCTAATTACATTAACAAATATAGAAATTTCCCATAAATATTTCTTGTAATGCTTCAGAGGCTTCATATGTGACACTTTCTTTTTAAAAAGTATATTCTGACTTTAGGTAGACTAAGCATTGTTTTGCATTGTCAATAGTAAGAAGTAAATATCTTGCCTAATTCCCACAGCTGGCTACCATGAGTGCATTTTCAATACTCTAGGATTCCGAGTGAGTGCTTGTCCCAGATTATTAACTTTCATCTGGTGAAAATGGATGCCACTGGCTTACATTTACTGGAGGCTAGAGACTTAGGTTGTGCTTCTCCATTTCTTTCTATATTGTGTTTTGATTAGTGCAATGCTTACTAGTACTACCACTTAAAAGACATAGAGGGACAATCGTAGGGAGTTAAATTCAAATTTTATCTCATAGTTAACTATATATGTGAGAAAATTGATAAGAAACTCAAATCTGATTGTGAAGCTTAATTTATCTACCCCTAATTATCTGAGAAGACTGAAACGTGGCTGTCCTGTGGAACGAATAATAGCTCCCAACTTGCACACCTTTCCCTCTTCTCAATAGTAGGCTGTTGACAGCACAGGGAGCAATGGGAAAACTGGAGGGAGATGTTTGCTTAGAGGAAATGGAAGTGGCTACATCTGTAGTTTACATTCATCCTAGAGCTCCAGACCGACCTGGGTAATGAAGTTTAAATTGCCCCTGAGCTGCTTTAATTTATGAGTTTCCCGCTTAATCGAGATGTTGCCAGATGAATTCTTCAGACTTTTGCCAACACTGAGCTATCCCTCAAGACATATCTCAGCAGCCCTATCCATCTCAGATACACCCATGCACATTAAACATTACCCTTCTCCTTGTACCAGTAAGTCCAGTTTTATAGGACATATGGTTTAGAAAAAGCAGACAAGGAGAATATGCATTAATTATATTTGTAGGAGGAGGCAGCATGACCCTAGAGAAGAGCAGAGACACACTTTTATTTTATTTTATTGTTTTTTATTGCTCTTTCTCTTCCTGTTCTACAGCTGACTACTTGGAATGATCTTTCCAATTCCTTTCCTGTAAAAGTTTGTAATATTTTACTAATTGGAGCTGGAAGGAGACACAGATTTGGCTTAAAGCTGCAAGAACATGGTGAGCACTTTAAAATGTTATATTCCAAGAATCCTGAGTAAATTCAGCAGATGCAGAGGCGAAGAAGGAGGACCTACAGTCCCTCAAGTTGAAGAGCAAGGAAAGGCTCTCCCAACAAAATGAAATTCTTCTGAAAACAATCTAGTCTCATGCTGAAAAGTGAGCAGACATCCAGAGATAGTGGGCAGGGAGTTGATATTTGTAACATGCTAATGCAGAGTCATTTCTGTGGAAGTGTGTAGGTAGTTTTTTATACTCTCACAGAACAGTGTGTTTTTTCTCTGTATAAAAAGTGCTCTGAGAGTTACTGCATTTATCTGAAGTAATTTCAAGGTGTTTGGAAATGTGATGAGTCCATGTGGCAAATTTAGAAACATGAGGGTATTTTCTTTATCGTCTGAGGTAGTTCCATGTGTTTTTGTATGAAATAAAGGTGGTTTCCTTCAGATTGAAAATGTCTATTAAAAATTTTCACTGGTTTTAGTGCTGAGGAATTTGCATTCTCTTGCCTCAATTTTTCTATACCTGAGGGGAAAATTAGGTATCTTGTGGGCATCTCTGCTCCGGGAGCATTGTTTCCTGGAAGGAGAATGAGGACAGGAAGGCAGGAAGACCTTTGGGCCTCTTTCTGTGACTTTGGGCAGCTCACTTAGAATCTTGGTGGTCTCAGCTTCCCTCTCAAAATAATAATAATTGTACTTGCCTTTTTCATATCCCAGGAATTTAGGGAAAATAAGGGAGATAATAGTACAAATGTTTGAGCTTCTTCTAGGGAAAATTCTGTATAATCCTAATCATAATTGACATAATGCTCATTGCCAGGCAGGTGGCATCTGCTTGCTTGTTTGCTTGTTTTTTTTTTTTTTTTCCACTTTAATGCTTTTGGAATATCTGTGATCCTGGAATAAAGTCAGGAAAGTGCAGTGCCTCTTGTCCCACTGAAAATATTTTCCACAAATTCTGTGCATGTGAACTTTGTTTTGGGCAAAGAGTCTTTTTACTTTATATATGATGACAGTTGTTTGGATTCCCTTGGAAATTTTTATTTATGTTCCAGCTTATAAAATGCAAGGAGAAGAACAATTTAGCTGAAGAGAGCAGGATAGAAGGGAGGGATGATGGCAGAGGTGGGCAGTGTGGACAAGTGCTAATGGAGTCAACGGGCCCTAAAGAAAACAGAATGCATCACTGATCCAGGGATGTTTAGTGTGGGGCAAACATGCACACGTTGGGTTCCAGGCATTCGGGGGAGGGCATGGACAGATGGCAGGGGACAGCATGCAGTGGGAGTTCTGTTCCTCTACATCCCTCAGAGAGTTCTGTGTCTTCCTGGTATAAATACATAGTACTAACATTCATGAGGATTACCAGGAGCACTGAAAATAGTATAAATTACAATCATTTGTCTATTTTAGTGATTCAGGGCAGTACCTAATGTTGCATTTTAGAAGGACTTGGTTTTAGAAATGTTAAATAAACCTTTAGTACAAGGTGATACATTCTAGCCTTCTACAAAGTGCACTTAGACCAGGATATTCTTTCATGATGGCAGACAAATGAGGAGTTTCTTTTCATTATCTAATGAAAAAAGAGTTGGTCTATATTTTCTCAGTGTATTCCTATAGGGAAGAGAGTCTTATTGTTGATAACCTTTCAGACAAGTAGATGCTTCTGCATCCTATGAGGTATTCCCAAAGCCCCTCTTTAATCTCCACCATTGTGCATAATTTTGTGATAATGAAGCAGTTATTTTCTTCTCTTGATAGACATTTTATGAAGGCAGAGACTATGCCACTCTTGCTTACAGTTGTAGCTCCAGCATCTAACATGGTGTCTTAACACATAGAAGATGCTCAGTAATTACTTGTTAAATGAATGGATGGGTGGGTGGATATGCCCTAATATGATGCAGCTTGATTATGCTGTAGTCTGGCTGGATTAAGACATCATCCAAGAAGTAAATACAGTATCTTTAACTGTTGCCTGTATCTACACACTGAAGAGACATCTTCCAAGGTGATGAAAAAAAGTCATACCTTTGAAAATCATTAAACTCTTATTTTTAAAATGTTTATCAAATGATTCTGATGTGCAGTTTAGAGTGTCATCCTCTGATTTAGAGTTAAACAATTATATTTTACTCTGCAAGATAGTGGCTTCATCACTAGAAGTTAAGAAAACAACTTTATCAGATATTGTGGAGACTGTTTCAGTATAGCATGAGGGGTTGAAAAAGTTCAGTGAGTTAAGTTCTAATTTAACTCCGAGGTTCTATGACTCTTTGGATATATGTTTACTTACATAGCTTTATAGAAACTGATCAGTTCAAGCAGCTGGGAGCAGTGGCTCACATCTGTAATCCCAGAACTTTGGGAGGCTGAGGCAGGTGGATCACTTGAGGTCAGGAGTTTGAGATCAGCATGGCCAACATGGTGAAACCGTGTCTCTACTAAAAATACAAAAAATTAGCCGGGCGTGGTGGCAGGCGCCTGTAATCCCAGCTATTTAGGAGGCTCAGGCAGGAACAGCTTGAACCCAGGAGGCAGAGGTTGCAGTGAGCCAAGATGGCACCACTGCACTCTAGCCTGTGTGACACAGAGAGACTCAGTCTCAAAAAAAAAAAAAAAAAAAGAAACTTATCAGTTCCAGGGGCCAGGTTTTCACTTACTTAACTTTCTGTTTCATTCTCTAGCTGTTTGTAAGGTAGAGCTGTTTTTCTTGGTTTTCTAGACCTTGAGCAAACAGAGCGTCCTTTCCTTTGCTCAGACTGCTGTCTGCCTTGCTGCCATCCCTGCCAAATCTGGTAGAACTTTAACAAATAAAATTTTGAATTTATGACTATGTTTATTGACTGTTGTTACTATTACTACAAATATCAACAGTAACATTTATTGAATACTAATCATGCACTAAGAATACTGTAAACATCATTTAATCGTCTAATTTAAGCCTCATTAAGTCCTATTTTCCCCCATTTTACAGATAAGGAAACCAGGGCTTAGGATTAGTAACCTGCCCAAAGCCATTCAGGTAATTAGTTTAAATTAAACTTATTTTGAGATATAGATTCCTACACAGCTATAAGAAATAATGCAAAGAGATTCCTTGTACTTAATTTCTCCAAATAGTCATATCTTACAAAACTGTAGTGCAATATCACAGTCAGGATACTGACATAGATACAGGACACTTTCATCCAACAGGGATCCTCATGCTGGCCTTCTATGCACATCCACCTTCCTCTCTTCTTGTCCCTCCTCTGTCTGTGAACTGGCAACAGATCTGTTCACCATTTCTATAATTTTGTCATGTCAAGAATGTTATATAAACACAGTGTTCAGCCTTTCGAGATTGTCTTTTTTTTTCCTCTCAGCATAACTACCTGGAGATTTATCTAAGTTATTGTGTGTATTTATAATTTGTTCCATTTTATTGCTGAGGAGTAATCCAGGTTTTTAAACATTTATCTGTTTTTTGTTTTTTTGTTTTTTTTTGAGAGGAGTCTCACTCTGTCACCCAGGCTGGAGTGCAGTGATGTGATCTTGGCTCACTGCAACCTCTGCCTCCTAGCTTCAAGCAATTCTTCTGCCTCAGCCTCTTGAGTAGCTGGGATTATAGGCACACACCACCACACCTGGGTAATTTTTGTATTTTTAGTAGAGATTGGGTTTCAACCATGTTGGCCAGGCTGGTCTGGAACTCCTGACCTGAAGTAATCTGCTTGCCTTGGTCTCCCAAAGTGCTGGGATTACAGGCGTGACCCACCGCACCCGGCCAATCTGTTGAGAGACTTCTGTGTTGTTTCCAGTTTCCAGTTTTTGACTACTGTGAATAAAGTTGTGATGGACATTCCTGTACAGGTTTTTGTTTGAACATAGGTTTTTATTTGGCTGGATGAAAAAAAAAGTCATACATTTTTGGGATAAATGACCAAGAGTGTACTAGTAGGTAATTGCGTGTTTAGTGTTATAAGAAACTTTTAAAATGCTTTCCGCAGTTGTACCATTTTACATTCTCACTTGTAGTGTAAAATGGCTTTGTTTCTCTGCATCCTGACCAACATTTGGTGTTGTCATTTTTTATTTTAGCCACTCTGATAGGTGTGTATTGATACCTCTCTATGGCTTTAATTTGCATTTCCCTAATTCTTTGCTGAAATGCCATGCATCTGTGCTAACATGACAGAGTGGCTCAGAGCCGGCTGGTTGAGGGTGTCCTCACTCACATGTCTGGTGGTTGGCTGACTGAAAGCTGGAGTGATGAGATGGCCAAGCCACACAACCACATGTGTCTCATCATCCAGCTGGCCAGCTTGGTGGTAGGCAGAATTCTGAGAGAGGAGAAGCTCACAAGACCTTTGGAGACCTAGTCTCAGAACTGGCACACTTTCACTCCCCCTGTATCCTGTTTTCAAAGCAAGTCACAAAGCCAATCCAGGTTCAAGGGATGGGGAAATTGACCCTACCTCTTGATGGGAGGAGTTGCAAAGTCAGATATCAGAGGGAATGGATACAAAGAGGAGCAGAGAATTGAGGGCCATTTTGCAATTAATCCACCATATCAGGTCTCTCGTATAATTATCTCCCATACATTTTTATCTTTCATAACACACATTAACCTTGGAAACAGTATGTTTTAGGGGAAAAATATTCAGCTGGGAGTTTGAAAATCAATATTATATGTCTATGTTAAGAAATTGGATTAACGATGCTTACAACCCTAAAATTATCCAGCTTTTTTTTTTTTTTTTTTTTTTGTTGTTGTTTTTGTTGTTGTTGAGACACAGTCTCACTATGTTGTCCAGGGTTGGAACCCTGGGCTTAAAGGATCCTCTTACCTCAGCCTCCCAAGTATATCCTGCTTATTTACAAACATTTACCTGTGACATATCCAGGATGGCTTTTGCCTAAATCACAGTGGGACAGTTATAACTAGAGAAGGTAATTTTCATCTTTTTTGTAACATGCATAATGCAGACTTGTTCCTGCCTGTCCAATTTCAGCTCAACTGCTTCTGGGATAGCCCCTAATGAGCAAATCCTTACTAAGTACTAGGCACTGGAGATAAAAGAGAGGAATAAGATACCTGCTGAGAGCTCCCAGTCCAATGAGACACACGGATGCACATAAAAATGGCCAGTGGTGTGTTGCATCTCCACTTCATGCACATCTCTCTCTCTGCCTCCCCTCCCCTCCCCTCTCCTTTCCCTCCCCTCTCCTTTCCCTCTCTCCCTTCCCCTCCCCTTCCCCTCCCCTCCCCTCCCCTCCTCACCCCTCCTCAACCCTCTTCTCTCCTTGTGACAGGGTCTCGCTCTGTCGCCCAGGCCGGAGTGCAGTGGTACGATCCCGGTTCACTGCGGCCTTGACCCTCTGCAAGACTCAGGTGATTCTCCCACCTCAGCCTCCTGAGGAGTAGCTGGAACTGCAGGCATGAGCCACCACAGGTAGCTAATTTCTATATATCATGTAGAGATGGGGTTTTGCCATAGTGTCCAGGCTGGTCTCACACTCCTGGGCTCAAGTGATCCACCTGCCTTGGCCTCCCAAGTGCTGGGATTACAGGCATGAGCCACCATGCCCAGCCTTTTTCTTTGGACCTCTGGCACTTAAGTTTTTGTTCTTCTCACCAGGAACAATTCAGCCTCAACTCTTTTCCACTATGTCACCCCGAATGTGTCAACCACATATATTTATAGCCTGCTTAAAGCTTTGTCTGTGGACTGGACTGTCTCATATGACCTGGCTGAGGGATGGTGTTCTGATTTTTAGTTAGTAAGGTATTTCTTTATTTGCTAGTTAATTCTGCTCATCTTGGTAATGAACCATGGGCTGGCTGGAGATAGTTCAGGTCTCACATCATAATTATTTTATGGCTTTGGCTTAAGGTCCAATTATCTCTAATGCTTTACTGGTTTTGCTAAGATCATACCAGAAAGTAATCAACATGTATTCTTGCCATTTTACCTATTTTAGAACTTAGAAAACAATTGTGGATGATTTTATAATTTTATTTTTGTTGAAAATGTTTTAACAGAGGAGAAAAGTGTGGGAGGATATGTACCAGATGTTAGGAGTGGTAGTCTCTGAGTACTAGATTTAATGATGATTTTAGTTTGCTTATCTAGGCTTAATTGGGCTTTCTAATTTTATACCGTCAACATGTATTATAATTGTAAAAACATTAAAGATTTTTTATAGGAAAGAAATGTAAGGCCCACAAGTGGTTATTTAGAGTGAGTGAGAGAGAGAGAGCATGCAGGAGTGAGAGGTGTTAGAGCTTCACGGGTACATGAGCCCCTGAACAAAGCAGTGCCCGAGGCCTCCTGAATGACTGTGACACAACCTGGAGAGACAAGAAGCAGGTTAGGGAATTTTGACCAGATTTCACTCTTTGATGTTATTTCTGTATGTTTTTCTCCTGGTGTCTATTTCTCTCTGCCCTTCATATAGCATGTCATTCATACTCAAAGATGATGGTTCTGACAGTGATGGTCATATGGAGATGTGGAGGAAGCTGTAAAAGCTCATGTTTAACCAAAAATCCTTTCAATTAGGAAATGAGGAACATGCATTGATTTTTTTCTGTGTGGAATGGAGAAGTGTTTTGTGTTCTGGAGTTTATAACAATGGTATCTTTTTTTTTTTTTTAATCTCCTGAGCAGATAGAATTCTGGTGAATTGAAGGATGGAGAAACATGTGACCTCTGAGTTTTCTATTGTGGAGAATCAATGCAGCAAGCAGGAAATGCTGCATTGTTAAGCCAGCATTTTATTTACAGATGCAGGATCAATAAGAACAGAAGCAGATTTAGTTATACAGGCATACATTAATATGCAGATTTTAGAGTCAGGAGTCTAAGACCAGTCACTCAAAATATGAATGGAATCCCAGCACTTTGGAAGACCATGGTGGGAGGGTCACTTGAGACCAGGAGTTTGAAACTAGACTCGGCAACATAGTGACAAAAAATTAAAAAATTAGCTGGGTGTGGTGGCATGCACCTGTCACCCCAGCTACTCAGGAGACTGAGGCAAGAAGATCTATTGAGCCCAGGAGTTTGAGGCTGCAGTGGGCTATGATTGTGCCACTGCACTCTAGCCTGGGTGGCAGAGGAAGAACCTGTCTCTAAAAAAAAAAACAAGCTGCTAAAATTAAAAGATACAAGTAGAGGAGTTCGAGACCAACCTAGTCAACATGGTGAAACCCCGTCTCTGCTAAAAATACAAAAACTAGCCAGGCGTAGTGGCACACACCTGTAATCCCAGCTGCTTGGGAAGCTGTGACAGGAGAATTGCTTGAACCCAGGAGGTGGGGGTTGCAGTGAGCCGAGATCACACCACCACACTCCAGCCTGGGTGACAGTAAAAAAAAAAAATAAATAATAATAATAATATATATATATATACACACACACACACATACATACACGCATATATGTGTATATATGTATATATGTGTGTGTGTATATATGTATATATGTGTATATATACATATGTATACACATGTATGTACACACATATATACATATACATATGTATATATACATACATACGTGTAATGTATACATATATACATATGTATATATGTGTATATACGTATATACGTATACTTATGTATACATATACGTATACATATATACGTATATATGTGTATTTATATACGTATATATGTATATATATGTGTATTTATATACATATATATGTATATATATGTGTATACATATGTATATATACACACACACGTAGATACGTAGAAGAAATACATCAGTTTATGTCTCTGAAATGTCAGGACTAGATTCCTATTAAGGAAATCTGGTCGTAATTGGATAAGGAAAAAAGCAGAAACCAACTGAAAAGAATCAAGACCAAAAGAAAGGTGACGTATTACTCTTAATAGGCCCCTGAGTTTCTCTTATGTGGTTAGTGATTATACTGTTTCACATTTCAGAAACTGTTTTAGGAAAAACCATAGATACTACATATTTGAATTTTTCCCATATCACTTGACTGATGGGCTTAAAGGCTCAAACTATCTAGGCCAAAGGCATAGAAATATAAATGCTGAGGATATAGCTCTATTTCTCCTCTCTCCTGAGCAAATGTGTTTCCACAGCGTGTCTTTCCCTATGGGTAGTTGTGAACAACTTCTTTTGTCCCCTTAGGCATCAAAATGTTGATCTTAATTCTTAATTCCAGTGTCCTCTGGCAAGGTTCTGGGGTGCAATATCCATAAATAAAAATCAATTGTGTTACTATATACCAGCAATGAACAGTCAGGAACTGAAACAAAAATGCCATTTACAATAGTATCAAAAATACGAAATACTTAGGGATACATCTGACAAGAATGTGCAGAAGCCGTACAATATTTCTCCCAATCTTGTTGAGAGAAATTTTAAAAGACCTAAATTGTTAGAGAGTTAAAGCTTGTATTTGATAAAAAGTCTCAATATTGTTATGATGTCATTTTTTCCCAAATTGATCTATAGATTCAACAAAAACCCAATCAAAATGCCAGCAGTTTTTAAATTGAAAAGATGAATCTTAAAAGTTATATAGAAGTGCAATGAGGCCGGGCGTGGTGGCTCATGCCTGTAATCCCAGCAGTTTGAGAGGTTGAGGTGGGTGGATCATTTGAG
The DNA here is from genome assembly GCF_000001405.40 of Homo sapiens. NCBI lineage: Eukaryota > Metazoa > Chordata > Mammalia > Primates > Hominidae > Homo > Homo sapiens. The sequence goes on along the minus strand of NC_000013.11, from coordinate 43,753,090 downwards.
GTCAGGAGTTCGAGACCAGCCTGGCCAACATGGTGAAACCCTGTCTCTACTAAAAATACAAAAATTAGCTGGATGTAGTGGCGCGTGCCTGTAATCCCAGCTACTCAGAAGGCTGAGGCAGGAGAATCGCTTGAGCCTGGGAGGCAGAGGTCGCAGTGAGCCGAGATAGCACCACTGCACTCCATTCTGGGTGAGAGAGTGAGACTCTGTCTCAAAAGAAAAAAAAAAAAGAAATGCAATGAACCTGGAATAGCCAAAACAATTTTAAAAAAGAAGAAGGTTGGAGGACTAAATTTGACTGATTTCAAGACTTGTAATGCTACAGTAATCAAAAGAGTGTGGGACTGGTGTCCCAACAGAAAAATAGATCCTTGGAACAGAAGAAAGAGGCAGAAGTAGATCCACATGTGTATAGACCGTGGATTTTAGACCAAGGCATGGGGGCAATTCAGTGGAGAAAGGATTAATTTTTCAACAAATAGTGTCAAAACAAGATATCCATAAGCAAAAAATGAACATCAAACCATATTTTATAATATATACAAAAATGAACACCACATGGACATATATGTAACACCTAAAACTATAAATCTTGTGGAAGAAAACCTAAGAAATAATCTTTGTGAGATTGGGTTAGACAAAGATTTCTTAGATATGACACTGAAAGTGCAATTCATAGAAGAACAAATTGATAAATTAGACATCATCAAAATCAAAAATTTCTGCTCATCAAAAGATAGTACTAAGAGAATGCAAAGATAAACCACAGATTGGGAGAAAATATTTCAAATATATATGACAAATCATATATAAAATACTCAAAATATATAAATTACTCTCAAAATGTAATAATAAGAAAACAACCTACTGAAAAATGGGGAAATGAATTGAACAGATATTCTGCCGGATAAGAAATATGGGTGGTAAATAAGCACATGAGAAGATGCTCAACATGATTAATCATTAGGGAAATGCAAATTAAAACCCCAGTGAGATAATACAACAATAGACATAGTAGAATGGTTGTAATTAAAGCAACAAACCATATCAAATGTTCATGAAGATATGGAGGAAATGGAATTTTCACACACTGTTAGTGGGAATGTAAAATGGCACAGCCTGTTGGAAAATAGTTTGGCAGTTTCTTAAAAAATCAAACATATACCTACCACATGACTCATTTATTTCCACTCCTCAGTTTTTCCCCAAGAGGAAAGAACACGTGTCTGTACAAAGACTTGTATGTGAATGTTCATAGCAGTGTTCTTTGTAATGAACAAAAACTTGAAATAACCCACATGTCCATCAACAGGTAAAAAGACAAACTCATTATAGTATAGCCTATCCATGCTGAAACTACTCAGCAGTAAAATGTAACGAACTGTTGATTCATACACTGTGTATGAATCTCAGTATAATTACGTTGTGTGAAAGAAGCAAGGCAAAAATAAAGACTACATATTGCATGATTCCCTATATTTCAAACTCCAGAAAATGCTAATGACTCTCTAGAAAGCAGATCAGTCGTTCCCTGGGGATGAGGGACAGAGAGGAGTGACAGAGAGAGTTGACAAAAGGGCATGGAAAAGTTTTAGAAATAGTGAATGTGTTCATTATCTTGATTGTGATGATGGTTTCACAGGTATGGATATATGTTCAAACTTACGAAATTGTACACTTTAAAGTGTGGAGTTTATTGTGTTTAAACTATTATTCCATAAACCTATTTTTAAAAACCCAGTGCAGTAAAGTGCTGTGGCAACCAGAAGAGCAGTGATGCAGGAGATTCTGTTAGTCCAAGAAAAGCAGTGGGTCTCTCCTGGGAAAGGAAAGTTGGTAAAGGCTTTACAAGGGTGGCTGACCTTAGCTGAGCTGGGAAAGATGAATAGGCATTTGTTGAAATGCTACAAAGACAAAACATTCTAGGTGCAGAGATATTGCCAGTAAGCATTGAGAGATAAGAAGGAGCATGACAGATAATTTGGGGACTTACGAGGAATGTGGGGTCCTGGCAGCCAGAGAGGTAAATGAAGCTAGAGAGGTAGGTAAGGTCCAAACCAGAGGTCTTGTTTGTCATCCCAAAGTGTTAGGATTTTAGCCTGTAGGCCCAGGGGAGCCACTGAAGGTGTCTAATCTGAGGAGTAACAGGCCACGTTTGTGTTCCAGGAAGATTATTCTCACTAGAATGAATGCTAAACTACAGTGATTAAGGATATGTAGGATTTTAGTTAAATAAGAGGAGAATTTCCAACCAGTAAAGGTTCTCTGTTATTACTTCCCATGCAACTATTTTGTTTTGAATGGGCCTGAAAGAAATTTGATCGCATGGAACATTATGCACCACGTGTCAACTGTGTAGCTGCATACACATGTATATACATTTCTGGGTTTCTCTCCTGTCTTTGCCTTACCCTACCTGTTGATGTAGAGGGGACATCTGTCAGTCTTGTTCCAAGACTCGTTTGACAAAAGGTTCCAGATCAGAGATCTTGCCTTAATCTGAATTGTAAAGGTGCTACACTGCAGAATCACATCAGAGTGGAGTTGAGAACCAAGCTTCATACTTGGAGACTTGGAAGGTATCTCAGTGTAGTTGAGCCATGGTACAAGCACTAAAGACCAGGCCTATCTACCCTAGGGTGTTTTGAAAAGCCCCCTGCTGTGTTGAAAGCCTGCTGTGTGCTCTGTTGTTAGGGCAGCTATTAATCCCTCAGCTGGAATGTTATGCTTTTGACACTATTAAGGGATGCTGGAAATAATAATACTGGCACAAAGCATGGAGCCTTCTAATGATCACATCTGCACTGATTCTACTGTAGATGTTTCCACTTCCTGATAATCTTTGGTCACTAAAACCCAGAGTATGCCAAATTTTATTTTCCTACTCTGGGGAGAAGCTTCCTGTTTTTTCTTCCTCCTGGGAGTGGACCTTCAGCCTTATGAGTTGGAAAACTAAATCTCCAAGGGAGACCTCTGTGTGCATCTTGTGAAAACCTAAAGGTTTATTGCTGCTGACTTTTTAACACTGGTGATTTAATAACCTTTTAATTGTTATAATTTAAAAAAATGAGATCCAGCCAGCATTTGCATTTTTGGTAGTCCTGGAGATGGTGATGTGTATTAATTTTAGAGTATAGTCGAATTATTGGGGTATGTATCATAATTTGACTCTAATATTCATTGTCTTATATGTTGGGAGGACTAATAAATTCAACAAAGGATCCTGAATTCTTAAAGCTCATAAGTAAAAAACTGAAATAAGATGATGGTGAGAATACTTTTACATGCTTCATAGTTTTGCTGTGATGACTAATTGTTGAGTTACTAATTACTCAACTACCTTAAAAGATGGAGAGGAGTGAAGTGCTTGTTATTGTCATTATTGTTGTTTTACTGTTACTCTCAGTACAGAAAATAACATCAGTCATATTCTCAGAGATCAGTGGTTGTGTAGGCTTTAAATTAAGTCAAACCTTGCTAATTGCCCGTGAGGAGCAAAGCTGGTTCCCTGCTGGGAAACAGGTGCATCTTTGCTACTTGATGCTGATGTTGTCCTTGCTGTTGTCACCAAGCCCAGCATTTCCATGGCTCTCTTCTCCAAGGTGAGCTCCAGCCTTGGGCACAGAGGTGCCTCTCTGTACCTGTTCAAAGGTAAAAAAGCAAAATTATGTTTATTCCTGTAATTCATAGATCTGTTGCCATAAAATAAGCATTTCAAACTACAGAGAATCTTTCTTGTATGGGCTTTAACTTGGTTACAAAGCCAAAGGAAATGGGGTCTTCCTAATTCCTCCTTGTAAATAATTGTAGCTGAATTTATTCCCTGCCTTGTTCTTATTGATGTCAAATACATTCATGCAAATAGTATGATTAATGTGGCTGACTCCATTTATAAGAAATTTTCACTAAAATTCAGATTAAAGAGGAAGAAAGACTCCTGTGTAACTTGACGTGAAACTATTACATAATTACTGTTGGTAATAATAGCTAGTAATTACAAAGTATCATGTTCTAGGCATGTTTTAATGTGCTTCACCTGTGGTTACTAATTTGACCTTCATAACAACCCTATGGCATAGATACTATTTTCCCTATTTTACAGATCTAAAACTAAACCTCAGAGAAATTAAGTAACTTATCCAGAGGCACACAGCTTGTAAGTGGTACAAAAAAATTTAAACCCAGGCAGTCTGTCATTAGAGTCTGTATTCTGAAGCAACATGCTCTCTTATCTTTTAATTATAGAATACTTTAAAGAAATCATCTTAAAGACTCAATATAAAGTTTTACTTAGATTAATAAGTAAAATAGGACAATAACATTGCTGTAAGTTATTTAGTACTTATTATGTCTGGTACTGTGCTAAGTACTTTGTATCCATTATTTAGTATTTTGCATGTATTATTTAATTCTCTTAATAATGCTTTGAAGGAGGAGGTATTTTCAACATTTTGTAGATGAGAAAACTAAGGCTTAGCTGGGTTTACCGACTTGCCCAAGGTCAGGTAGTAAATTCAAGACAAACTTCAAAGCCAAGTCCTTGATAGAAATACTTATGTTTTTAACTCTGTGCTAAAATGTAATAACAACTCAAATCAGACTGTTTCATACATAGGCTGCTCTATTACGTAAATCAGGCCATTAGTTTAGAACTTTTTAGTCAATGTAAATAATTCCTACATATCAGAATGATTGCAGATTCTCAAGTAATGTTTTCATCTTTATAGTTAAAAGTGCTTCAAGTAATGGGATTTGTACTTGCATAATACTTTTAATTGTTGGGCATTATAGTTTGGAGCAGGGCTTCTTAGCCTTTTTAGTGCTAGGGACATCTTTGGTAGTCTGTTGAAGTCCATGGACTGTTTCTCAGAGTAAAATATGTAAATGAATGAAATAAAACACATAGAATGACAAGGAGCCGATTATATTGAAATAGTTATCAAGTTATTAAAACAAACTCGTGTTATGGTAATATACATGCTTCTTCATTAACACATTGTATTGGATTTAGCAGAGCACATAATGACCACTAATTTTAAAGTGGTGATAAACAGATAATATTTTGAGATAACAAGAATTGCAGTGAGATATGAAAATATCTGTGATTTCTGTTGGTGACACATATGTAAGTACTACTAATGCTACCATGATTTGTTGTCTAAATTCCTACTTGAAGCAAACGCTAAATTTCAGTTAGATACTGGTGACAAAAGATCTGATTTTTTTCCATCTGAATTCAAGAACTTCCATGAATTCTATCCATGGATCCCTTTGGGATCTGAGGACCTGAATTAACAAACTGTAGTCCAGAGGGTATTGCTGAATCTTATATCCTTCAAATAAAAAGGTATCCAATTTGAGGGCCTGTTCACATCTAGGTCCTCAAAATGTTTTTGCCTCAACATTACCAAAGAATCTGGAATCGCCTTCATTGCCACCACATAGGTGTTGGCACCAGAGGATTCTGCCTGGGCCTGAGGAAGGCTTAGACATGTTTTCTCCTCTGCATGGTTTGTTGGTTATAAGCCTGTCCATGAAGTGTGAAGACACAACCCTCACCATCGCAGAATGTATAGTTCTAAAGAGAGAAGGCAACAGGTCCAGACATAAACTTGCAAAGTTGGAGGTGGGATTACAGATGCCTGGGAAACTTGTTTATGAAGGGCAGTTATGGCAGTGGAAGCAATACATGCAAGACTTTGATGATAAAAGGAAGTTACTTGACCTTACTACAGTGATAGAATTCACTAGAATACTACCCTTTTCCATACCTTCTTTTTGTGCACAATAATAATACCATATAGTATCATAACACATTGGTTCATTTGTTCATTCAGAAATATTTATTGAGAGTCTACTATGTCCCAGGCATGGAGCTCTCAGTTGTTTGTTACTTGAATCTCACAATTCTTGGAGATTATACCCGTTTTTCAGACTAGGAATCTGAAGTGGTACGGGTTGTGATGTGACTGTAAATGGTAGAGCCAATCATTTTACTTTTTATACTGAGGCATGCCACTTATACTTGTCACCATTCCCAGCTTGCTAAACTGGAGGGGAGGTCCCAATAGCTGAAACACTTTTGGCTGCCCCGATTCCTGCAAGTATCTGAGGCATGGTGATGCAGACTAGCATGAACAATGGTGATTTTCAAGTGAAGTTTGCTGAACTGGTTAAGAGGAGACAAACTGCCGTTTGAAGTTCAGATTGCATTTCAAAACAAGAAAGTGGATTTCAGGTTAATGGATTTGGAGTCAGATGACTTTGAGCTTGACTAGCTTTTGGTAAATCGGCCATATGTTATGAGTCCCCTCATAAATTCTGTGTACTTTCCTCCAGTTTTTCTTTGTGCTGTTTTATTCACCGTTACCCACTAGTTTTCAACCTCACTTTTTTTTTTCTACTTACTTTCTTCTCTCTTTCAAAAATTCCCTGTTACTTTTTCTTAGAACTATATGGATGAACAGTGATCTGTTGTACTCTATGAAATACCTTCTCTTATGTTTATGTTCAGGTGATTTTCTCATTCCTGTTACCCCTCAACTTAGTGTTGATTGGTTTACTACTGGCCAAGTAAGAGTCCAGCTTATCGACCACTTATTTTAATTTCCTTAATTACACTGCCTGTCTCCTGCCCTAACCTCCATCTGCCCTTCAAAGCTCCTCTTAAATTTTAACCCTCGTTACCATAAAATAAATGTCCAAAGAATTTTTCCTAACATGACAGTTATTTTTTAAAATTTTAATTCAGTTTTTATTCTTTAAAGTTTTTTTCTAATGACATATGTAATCCAAGGTTACAAAACTCAAACCTACAGAAATACATTAATATAAAAAATATAAATCTCCCATTCCATAATTTCTTTTCTATTTAGTGTATATTGCTTTAAACTTTTTCTTTCTGGTGTACACACTGACATATATTAATATAGTTGTTTATATTCATATAAATATGATTATACCATATGTATTTTTCTCACTTGCCTTTTAAAAATTTTGCTTAGCCATGTATCATAGACATATCTTCAAGTCAATTCAAATAGATATACCTCAATTTTTAAAGTGGTTATATTAGTCCATTCTCATGCTGCTAATAAAGACATACCCAAGGCTGAATAATTTATAAAGGAAAGACTCACAGTTCAGTGTGACTTGGGAGGCCTCAGGAAACTTACAATCATGGCGGAAGGGGAAGCAAACATGTCCTTCTTCACATGGCAGCAGCAAGGAGAAGTGCTGACCAAAAGGGGGAAAAGCCCCTTATAAAACCATAGGATCTCATGAGAACTCACTATCACAAGAATGGCATGAGGGTGACTGCCCCCATGATTAAATCACCCCCTACTGGGTCCCTCCCACGACATCTGGGGATTATGGGAACCACAATTCAAGATAAGATTGGGGTAGGGACACAGCCAAACCATATCAGTGGTATAGCAGCTCATTTTATGTATATGCCAGAATTCATTTAATATGTTATCTATAGATGGATATTTTAGTTGTTTCTATTTCTTTTACCATCACAAACAGAGCTGTAGTGAATATTCACATATACTCTAATTGCCTTTTAAAAATATAGTGTATGTGTTCTTACAATATGATTAAAGGAAGTTTCAAAAGAAAACTGATATGTCCACAATTCTAACGTTTTCCTTAAGTGGTTTTGATTTCTCTGTATTCCCTTCCAGTTTTTGGCCTTTGTATATATGTATGATTTTATGTTTTAATCATTTTATATTTTGCTTTTTTCATTTAATGTTATTTTCTGAGCACTTTTACATGTGGATAAATTTTATTTTGGTTCAAATGGAAGTGTAATTTTATATTAAGTAGATATTTCAGTTGGCATTTTTGTTGTCTTCTCCCTCTTTTGTTTTCTGTTCCGTCTCATGATGCTTCACCACTTCAAACTTTCTATTGCAGTTACTTTTCCTCTAGCATATTGTCTGTTAACCATCATCTTCTTCCTCCACTCTTGTGAAGCCTTCTGGCCAGAGACTGTCATCACCCTGCTACCTCCTCTGTGGAGCTCAAGGCCCAGCATACTCCTAGTGTTCAATAAATAAATGATCATCATTTGCAAGTGAATGTTTTCCAGTTTTCTCCCTAAGAATTTCCTTCACATTGCAATGCCTCTACAAACACTGCCTTCTGGAAAAATTGTTAGTAATCCGTAATGCTAAGATGCATTGTAGATGTAATTTAGATTCACAGCCATTTATGCAGTGCATTATTTAGGCAGTTCAGCACCAAGGAGAGTGACTATTTGCTTTAGCTTGGGTTCAAGGTCAGTGGAGGATTTGCTGTGTTTAGACCCCTATAGTACTGTTGGCAAGATGTAATTTTTCCATAATAGCTGGAAAGCCAAACCCTGTATAAACATACTTTAATAATGGTGAAAGCACTAGCGGAGATGTACACTGAGGAAATATTAAAGTTCACACTCCTGTAGCTAAGACTTAATTGAAGCAAGTAGTCTTTTATTTACATTTGGGTTGCTTGTTTTAATACCAGTTCCTAGAGTAGTTCATCACGTCTTCCATTCCTCTAGACGTGACTGCCAAAGAGCCCATTTTAGGATTCCATTTGGTCTTTGTCTTGTCACCAGGCCTGAGGAAAGATTTACATCTTCCTTTGTGTGTCTTGGAGATCCTTGGCATGGTATCCTAGCCTCCTTTCCTCGTTAAGAGGCACAGCTTCCTCATTAGCTGTTGGTACACTGAAAAAAGAATGACCTGAGGGGTTTATTAGGGTCTTGAACTGAACTCTTTCTGTCTGTTTTTGTAACAGGTTCTCAGAACCTAAAGTGGGTTGCCCAGAACTTGTTTTCAGAGAAGCCCTGAAAAGTATGAGAAAGCCTCATACTTTCACTGTAAAGGAACATTAACTAATGCCATTCCTGTTCTCTGTGGAGGCAGTAGATTTTCACTGAAATGGAAGTTGTTTCTAGGATAGAGAGAGTGAAAAGCTGCTGCTGTGGTTTTAAATGTGTCCTCCCAAAGATCATGTGTTGGAAGCCCCATCACCAACGCAACAGTTTTGAGAGATGGGATCTTTAAGAGGTGATTAGATCATGAGGGCTTTGCCCTCATGGATGGATTAATGTCATTGTCATGAGAGTGAGTTTGCTATTGTGAGACTGGGTTTGTTATAAAAGCAAGTTTGCTCCCCTCTCTCTGGCTCTCTCTCTACCATGTTTTGATGTAGCAAGAAGTCCCTGACCAGATGTTGGCCCCTCAATCTTAGACTTCCTAGCCTCCAGAACTGTAAGAAATAAATCTCTGTAGTTCATAAATTACACAATCTTAAGTATTCTGTTATAGCATTACAAAACAGACTAAGACAGCTGCTAAATCCGAAGAAATTCATCCATTTTTACGCAGAAAGAGAGATCTTCGTGATTTCATTTCTTCCCTGTGTGTTGCAGTACTTATCCTGCTTTACCTGCCTCTCTTAAGGCCAGGGGAGGAAGATCAAGTCTCTTCAAAGGACACTAGAGCTTTAGGAGCATTTTTCCAGTTCAGTGGTATGAGCTATTCAAGTTGTGCCTTGACCATCTTCTCAAGAGGCTTTACTAGAACTTGAGGATTTATACCTGAGAACCCCCTGGGCTGGACCTATTAGAAAATCTACCACAACAGATGCTTGAAAGAGTTTCTGAGTTAATAGGAAATGAGGCTCCTTTGTCTTCCAGTGAAAATGTTCTGGAGGAGTGTGATTTGAGGGGTTCCTGAATTTCTATCTATCCTGTAATGTTTTCTCCACTGTCTTGTGGTAAAATTTGTAGTTCTCACAGTTAATTATTTTTTTTAGGTTAGTCATGATGTCTCTAAGAAGTTCTAATGACATTTCAAATAAATTCCTGATGAGAGATTATCAAGGTCTCCTTCTGTGAAAGTATGAGGCTTCAGGGCTTCTCTAAAAACAACTTCTGGGCAACCCTGAACTTGTTCTGAGAACCTCTTATACAAACAGACAGAAAGAGTTCAGTTCAAGACCCTAATAAAGCCCTCAAGGCATTCTCTTTTCAGTGAATAAACAGCCTCTTTCACTGTAAAGGAACATTAACTAGTGCCATCTATGTGCCCTATGGACTCAGTAGATTTTCAATGAAACAGAAATTGTTTCTAGGATAGAAGGCTTTCATCCTATCCCCCAATTCCCTGTTCCCAGTCTATTTTACACACGGTAGTTTGAGCGATCATGTCCCTATTCCCCAAAATTGCAGTTTGTCTAACTGAAAAATCAAAAATATTAGAGTCAACTGAGTCCTTTCTTTATCTCACACCTACATCCAGTCTCTTAGCAGATCCTATCAGCTCAACTTCCAAAACATCCAGAATTCAACCACTTCTCTCCACTTCCAGTGCTACTCTCTTGGTTGAGCCACCATTATCTCTTATTTGGTGTGTGGTTAATTTTATGTGTCAACTTGACAAGGCCAAAGAATGCCCAGATAACTGGTAAAACATTGTTTCTGGGTATGTTTGTGAGAGTGTTTCTGAAAGAGATTAACATTTGAATTGGTAGACTGAGTAAAGAAGATGGCTCTCACCAATGTGAGTGGGCATCATCTAATCTGTCAAGGGCCCAAATAGACAAATAAGATGGAGGAAGGGTGAACTAACACACTCTCACACTCACACACACACACTGTCTCTCTCTGTCTCTGTCTCTCTCTGTCTCTCTTTGCTTGAGTATCCATTTTCTCCTGTCTTTGACTGGACATTGATGCTTCTAGTTCCTAGGCCTTTGGACTTGGACCAGGACTAACACTACTGGCTCCTCAGCCCTTCAGATTTGGATTGTTACTATGTCACTGGTTTTCCTGACCAGCATGTCGATCATGGGACTTCTCAGCCTCAATAATATGTGTGCCAATACTTCATAATTTCTTTCTATATGTCTCTATATATCTATTGGTTCCTTTTCTCTGGCAAGCCCTAATATACATGATTTATGATAATAGCTTTCTAACTGGCTTCTCTGCTTCTACCCTTGCCCATTTTGTCTATTCTTAATATGACTATAGAAATTCTGTTAAAATGTAATTTAGTTTTATAAGAGTGCAAGGTAATTCAATGTGAGAAAGAATAATCTTTTCAACAAATGGTGCCAGGACAACTGAATCTCTACATGCAAAAGAATGAACTTAGACTCTTTCTCTTATACCATATGCAAAAATTAATTCAAAAATATTTTAAAGGCCTAAAATAAGACCTAAAGCTATAAAACTATTAGAAGAAAACAGATGTAAATCTTCATGATCTTGGATTAGGCAACAGTTTCTTAAATATGACACTAAAAGCACGAGCAACAGCAACAAAAAACAGATAAATTGGACTTCGTCAACATTTTATAATTCTGTGTTTTAAAGCACACCATAAAAAAGTGAAAAAGCAATCTACGAAATGGGAGAAAAAGTTGCAAATCATGTATCTGATAAGGGACTTGTATATTGGATATGTAAAGAACTCATGCAACTTAATAAAAAAGGTACATAACACAATTCGAAAATGGGCAAAGATCTGAAGAGATCAAAAAGCACATGAAAAGGTACTCAGTCTCTGAAATGTAAATCAAAACCACTATGAGATACCACACCAGCTTAGATGGCTATATTCAAAAAGACCAATAATAACAGGTGTTGTTGAGGCTATGGAGAATTTGAAGCCCTCATACACTGCTGGTAGAATATAAAAAGGTTCAGGCGGGCGCAGTGACTCACACCTGTAATCCCAGCACTTTGGGAGGCCGAGGTGGGCAGATCACAAGGTCAGGAGTTCTAGACCAGCCTGGCCAACATGGTGAAACCCCGTCTCTACTGAAAATACAAAATTTAGCCAGGCGTGGTGGCATGTGCCTGTGATCCCAGCTACTTGGGAGGCTGAGGCAGAAGAATCTCTTGAACCTGGGAGGCGGAGGTTGCAGTGAGCTGAGATCACGCCATTGCACTCCAGCCTGGATCACAAAGCAAGACTCTGTCTCAAAAAAAAAAAAAAAAAAAGTTTCAGCCATTTTGGAGAACAGTTTGGCACTTTTTCAAAAGGTTCAACACAGAGTTACCATATGACCTAGCAATTCTTCTCCTAGATATTTACCCGAGAGAACTGAAAATGTGTCTGCACAAAACTAGTACACAAATGTTTATAGCAGCACTATTCATAATAGCTAAAAAGAGGGAACAACGCCAATGTCCTTCAACTGTTGAATAAACAAAATGTGATATAGCTAGACAATGGAATATTATTCATCGATAAAAAGAAATGAAGTACTGGCACGTGCTACAACAAGGATGAACCTTAAAAACATGTGAAGTGTAAGAATCCAGACATAAAAGACCACATATTGTATGACTCCATTTATAAGAAATGCCTGGGACCAAGAGTTTGGGGTGGAGGTTGAAGTGACTGCTGATGGATATGGGGTTTCTTTTTGGAGTAACAAGGATGGAGGGTAGAGGAGGGAGAGGATCAGGAAAAAATAAGTAATTGGTACTAGGCTTAATACCTGGGTAATGACATAATCTGTACAAAAAACCCCACGAGACATGTTTACCTATGTGACAAACCTGCACTTGTACCCCTGAACTTAAAAAGTTAAAAAAAAATAAAAAATGTTTTAAAGTTGTCTGTGATCATGATTGTACAACTCTGTGAATATACTAAAACTCCTTCAACTGCACATCTAAAATGGATATCATATGCCAATTATATCTCAGTAAAGGTGTTAAAAAAAAAAGGTAAATTGGTTGAGGTCACTTCTTTGCTAAAAACCCTCCAATGGTTTCCCTTCTCTTTCAGAGTAAATGCAAAGTCCTTCCAGTGGTTCCTGGTGTTTCCCTACCTTGAACACCTACTACCTTTTGTCTCATTTACCCCACTGCAGGCACATGGCCTCATTTCTGTGCCTCAGAAATGTCGCTCTTCTAACTCACGACTTATGAATCTGTTGTTCCCTCTGCTGGGAACACATTCCCCATATTCAGTTGACCTTCCAACAATGTGGGAGTTAGGGGCACCGACCACTTGCACAGTTGAAAAGCTGCACATAACTTTTGACTCCCCCAAAATTTACAACAAAGTAAACTTGAGAAAAGAAAACGTTACTAAGAAAATCATAAGGAAGAGAAAATATATTTTTACTATTCATTAAGTGGAAGTGCATCATTATAAGGTCTTCATCCTTGTTGTGTTCAAGTTGAGTAGGCTGAGGAGAGGTTGAGGAAGAGAAGGGGTGGGTCTTGCTGTTTCGGGTGGCAGAGGCAGAAGAAAATTTGAGTTTAAGTGGACCCGTGCAGTTCAGACCCATGCTGTTAAGGGTTAACCGTATATCACACAGCTTCCTCCCTCACCTTCTTTAGACTTTATCCATCACTTTATTTAACCATCTTATTTATTAATAAAATACAACCTCATCACAACAGCTCTTTTCTTATGTTATTTTTCTCTCTTGGTCTTAGAATCATCTAACTCCCACACACGTTTATATATATTTAAATAAATACATTTATTATATAATAATAATAATTATTATTATTTGAGACAGGCTCTCACTCTGGTTGCCCAGGCTGGAGTGCAGTGGTGCTATCTCAGCTCACTGCAGCCTCCACCTCCTGAGCTCAGGCGATTTTCCCACCTCAGCCTCCCAAGTAGCTGGGACTACAGGCGCATGCCACCATGCCCGGCTAGTTCTTTGCGTTTTTAGTAGAGATGGGGTTTTGCCATATTGCCAAGGCTGGTCTTGAACTCCTGGACTCAAGCAATCTGCCCGACTTGGCCTCCCAAATTGCTGGGATTACAGGTGTGAGCCACCACACCCACCAATATATTTATCATTAATTGATAACATTGTGTTAACCTTCGATGAAGGAAAGAATTTTGGCCTGGTATTGTTCACCAGTATGTCCCCAGTACTTAGAAAAATGCCGGTACATAGTAGATATTTGTTGAAGAAATGACTTAGTGTAAGATTGTTAGTGAACAAATGGTGTCAATTAATCTGATTAGCTAGTTGGAACCTAGGAAACAGTTGGAGATAGAGGAAATGGGAGATAGGATAGTTTTTTTATTTTAGTGTGGCCTTGCAGATTTGTCCATTTTTGGAAGGATGGGCACTGTCCATAAAGGGCAACCCCGCTAAGCCATGAGTATGGAGGGTAAGGGACCTGGGTGCTAATTGAGAAAAAAAGTTCAGAGAGGAAATGGACTGGAAGGACTATGAAAGCAGAAATGGGCCAGGTAAAAGGCAATACCTCTTGCTTTGCAGTTTTAATTGGGATGAGTGCTGGACCTCCTTAATAATTGAGTTACTGATTGGCAAAACTAGCATGAATAGGCAAAATGGTTTCAGAGTTTGGGAACAAAAAAATCTATATATATTACTATAATCAAATATCACTGTAAATAACTGAGCAAACATTACCCAGGAAGAATCAGTTGCCATCTTGGTATGCTTGTGGGACATTTACTTGCTTTATATATTTTTTCAAAACCTTTCTAATGATATGCAACTAAAGAATTATTGTTTGGAAGACACCTCTCTTTGAAAAGTAGTAAATGAAAACATTGTTTCTATTTAAATGTGGGTGAGTGGTGGATTATCTAAATAGAGACTGTTAATATTGACTAATTTTTAAAATGGGTAATTTAAGAACTAGTTCCTTTGTAATTCTATACATGGCCTGAGAGAATGTTAGCCATAGACTAGATGTTTTCAATATAATATGTTATTTTCTTTATTCATTTAACGTCAGAGAACTTTAAATTACTGCATTGTTTGATTATATGCTTGGCTCTATAACTACATATTGTTATGTTGAAAAACTGTTTAAAGACATGTTTAAAATACTATGGCCTAATTTATAAAATTATTTTCCTCTAGGTGGTATCATGTACTATGTACTCTTTAAGCTTGGGTAAAAGGGCTTTTGTGAAGGTATTCATACTCTAAAGAATTTGGCATTTCTAATACTTTAAGATATTTGGAAAATACCATTTAATTAATAACATTTTCATACACATTTTACTTACGTATCATTTTTCAAGAAAACTGATTATGGTGATTTGGGTCTAAATTAAAGTAGGAATTCTTCAGAAGGACACAAAAATGGTTTAAAATCATAGCTCAAATTTTCCTATCAGAAATTATTTCAGTAAGGCTGATTTTTTGATCTGCTGTGGGGGATATAGAACAAAGTAAGAATTAGACACCACATTAGTAGGTATGTTTGCTGTGTAAGGGCCCATTGTGTGTTCTATGTAATTGGCAAATTAGCTGTATGTGTATTTTAAATAATAAAAGTCAAGGTAAATGCATGATGGTCACAAATTATGACTTGTTTGATGACATGTGTATTTGTGGATACCAGATCTTTAACCACGTGGTCCCTTTTAGAAGGCCAATCCTAGTCTCCTTCCTAGTTGTGAATATATTATTCAGCTTTTCACTCATGGTTTATAAATATGTTGAATATGCATTTGGGTAATGTATATAACTCATGTAAATGGGCGGTGTCCTTGGCTAGTGAGATCAGTTCTGAGGAAGGGTTCCCATCTATTTGGTATAGTTCACTGAAGGTCTGAACCAAACAGAAGCAGCATTCTGTGGCCTCCGGAACAGTGAAGCTTGGAAGAGAGTTGAACCTGACAGACTATTCAAGCATTTGTTGCCACTGCTGAGCAATGCAGAGATTCTTCAGAGATCCAGAGCAACATTTGCTTGAGGATATCTGCTTCTGTCACTAGTCAAGTGCCCAGGCTTTCTGGTATTTACTGTTAGTGCTCCATGTTAGATATGTGACACCTCTATTCATATTCAGGACCATTCAGTCCGGAAGTGGCAGGTCTTCTTGTTATTGTCTAGAAATGGAAAAACCTAACAGACTCTAGAAGGTAGCAACACAAATTTAAATTATTATTTCAAATTCTGGGGTGTTTTTTAGAGGTTATACTTGATTTTATTACACACATCATTGCCTTGGTATTGGAAAGTATAAGGTGCAATGGCAAACATATTTGCTGGTCAGTATTCTAAAAGAAATGTAAGCATGAAGCTGGCTTCCACTGGAAATCATCTATGGCAGGGTAGAATTAAGCCTGTGTTAAGACAGTATCTTCCGGTTCAGTTGGTTCATCCAAGTTTACATTGACTATTTAAGGCTAGCTGAAGTAGTATTTAGAGGGAGAGATGGGGGAGAAGTTTGCATGGGAAAGGATGACCATCAAAGTTTCATCTCTTTCCACCTTGAACCTAAATGTGTTTTCTGCCTCCCTTTTCTTCAGTAAGAACTCAGCCCCACCCCTTCCACTTCTTCTAAAGCCTGCAGAACCTGCCTTTTGCTACAGCCTGGTGGCTGGTTCTGCAGAGCTTCCCACCTAGACAGTCCCCTTAATTCTCATTTTGAATATAGTACAGAGTATCTGGGTGAGAATGTATCTTACTCTAGGTCTAGAGGGCCATACTGCGGAGACAAGCGGGATAAAGTAATTCACCAGACAATGCATGCCACTTCACAGTTTGTCCACAACCGTTAGCACAGGATCCTATCTTATGACCATTTTGACAGACAGCTTGCTCACCTGATGGCTCTGTGCAATTTGAAAATGGCCACACTGGAATGGAACACTTGCTTGCCATCTCCAGAGCCAAATTAAAGGCATCACAGTAATAATAATTCTAGAAATTAAAGTTTTCATCAGAGAACTGTTCAGGCTTATATAATTCTGACTTTAGAAAAAAATTCTCATTGACAGTACATTTGATACATAACCGGTTGATTAGCCTTTTCAGAGGAAATAAGCAAACTACCATGTTTCATTTGTTGACAATTTTTGATAATTTTCTTGTCATAATTTGAGAGAATAAAAAATATTTACAATAAAGCTCTTCAGGTTTTGTGGCTTACATTAATAATTAAAAGATCAATAAATGCACTGTAGCAGAAGTTTCTACACAAGTATAAATGTGTATGATTGAATCAATAAGGTACATTAAACGATGTTCCCTGCAACCAAGCTGACTGAGTGCAAAGTGGGTTTAAAAAAAAATCAATGAAAGAAGGGAAATGGAAGGAGTTAGTCCTGAAAATGGGTTTTGATCATCATTGTCTGTTGCTCACTTTACCTTCTGTAATGTTGCACTTTTACGGGAAGTTTCCAGAAGCAAGGATTCTTCCTGTCATTGTCTGTGCTATGGTCACCCCTAAATGGAAGGATAGATATTTTAAGCTTTAACCTTGAGTGATCTTCTGGTGTGATTATATATATGTGTTTCAACTGTCCTACCACTGTAGAGATTTTGAATTATTTTTATCCCTGGTCTTTTATCTCTCACATTTTATTTTTGCTCCACATTTGCCTTTTTTTTTTGGAGACTGAGTCTTGCTCTGTCACCCAGGCTGGAGTGCAGTGGTGTGATCTCAGCTCACTGCAATCTCCACCTCCTGGATTCAAGCAGTTCTCCTGCCTCAGCCTCCCAAGTAGCTGGGACTACAGGCGCACGCTGCCAGGCCCAGCTAATTTTTTGTATTTTTAGTAGAGACGGGGTTTCACTGTGTTACCCAGGCTGGTCTTGAACTCCTGAGCTCAGGCAATCCACCCGCCTCGGCCTCCCAAAGTGCTGGGATTACAGGCATGAGCCACCATGCCTGGCCCACATTTCCCTTTTTCCTTTTACCCTCCTTGATTCCACAAGTAGTCGTATTAATTAAAATGGGTGGTAATAAATTTTATTGTTTGTCTCAGTTTGGTAAATACTGTAATATGTTTTATTATATGATTGTTTTGTTAAATACAGCAGAAAGGAATTTTTTATGTCTGTTTAGAAAAGCCAGGTTGTAATTGTGGTCTTTAAAGGCCCAGTTACTAGCATGTTGTCCTAAATGTCATGCTTTCTGATACATTTAAACATTGAGTATTTGGGGATTTTATAACATGGTAATATGTTCCTCATTTTCCACTTTAAAATGATAGACATTCTTTTTTCTTTCTTACAAAACTGGTTTTTCTTTCAAACAAAACAAGTTTTAGTTGGGATATCTGAAGCACATAATAAATATTATCATCCTGCCTTTGGAGGTGGGAAGCATTGGGATCACAGTCTGGTAGAAAGCCTGCCTAAGCCAGAGCCCTCAATGGTGCCTCAAAGATGTATCTTGAGCATGATTTTTCTCATCTGTAAAATTATGGTATGGGATCTCTAAAAACATAACTAGCTAACAACAAGTTCTCTGATTCTGTCTTCCAGAGCTGTCCTCTATTTTTGTGACTGTATCTCATATGTCTTTGTTCCAAACCGAGCAAACCAGAAACTCCTTTAGAGCACATTTTATTATAGCGCCTTCAATAGGAATGCTCTGTTTTCCCAGTTGCTAGTGGTGCATGCTGTGATTTCATTAAATGATAGAGAGTTGTCATTGCCTATGTGCTCATACCCACGGATGTTGAAGCATGAAGTTTTTGAGATCTGGGTATTCTGAAAAACACATGACGAGAGTGAAAAGTTGCTTGCTGGTCCTTTTGGATTTGCCTTGTTGCCTCCTCCAGGAGGATTTCCTTAGGAAAGGAAGGCAGGATGACCTCAGCAGTTTTCAAAGATACTTTCAGGTGGAAAAGTAGTGAATTGGAGTAACACTTTTTTGTTTCTGTTTTGGTTACAGATAAGAATTTCTAATTTGGGAGGTCTTCTCCATTAGGATAGATTACAGAAGGTTCTATAGCATCTAACACAGTCTGCCTATCAGGATTAATTTTTACCTGCAGCCCTGCTTGCAGGTAAAAGAATGGAACACACAACCCTTGTACTAGTTCTCTAGGGTTGCCATTAAGTGGAAACTAGGTGGATTAAAACAACAACAACAACAACAACAACAACAACAACAACAACAACAACCAACAACAAAATTGTCTCTTAGTTCCAGAGGCTAGAAGTCTAAAATCAAGGTGTTGAGAGGGCCATGCTCCTTTGACATCTGTAGGGGAGAATCTTTTCTTGTTTCTGGTGTTTTGTCCGAAGTCCTTGAGGCTTTCCTTGGCTTACACAGCAGCACTTCAATCTTTGCTTCCACTGTCACAAGGTGTTCTGCCTGTATCTCTTCTTCTTTCTTTTCTTTTCTTTTTTTGGTTGGGGGGCAGGAGCAGGGTCTCACTCTGGCACCCAGGCTGTATTGCAGTGGCACAGTCATAGCTCACTGTAACCTTGAACTCCTGAGCTCTGTTCTCTCTTATAGGTTTACCAGTCATATTAGATTAGGGCTGACCCTAAGGACCTTATCTTAACTTGATTAGATCTTGAAAGACCCTATTCCCAAATAAAGTCAGATTCACAGGTACTGGATGTTAGGACTTTAATATTCCTTTTAGGGGGACACAATTCAACCTTTAATAACTCAAGCTTTTTTTTATGTCAATGATGCAGAAAGTCTTTTAGTGAAGGATTGAACCTGAAGATCAGCAATCTGAACAGGGTATATTTGGAAAACAAGTGTCTGGTACAAGGCAAGATGAGAAGGCTTTTTAAAGGGCAGTGCTTTTGGTGTATTGAAAAACTAGGTCTTTTTCTATGGAGCATTCAGACAAAGTTGAGGATAAATCGCCTCATACGATGTGGCTTACTCTAATGCCTTTTGATGCTTCTGACATGTTTGTAAAGCCCAAGATTCATTTGTGCATAGAGGTTATTATCTTTCAGTTCTTTGTGTGGAAAATAACTGAACTGATGGTGTTTTTCAATAGCACAGTTACTGTGCCTTCCATATGGGAATTGCTATCTGGTCTTCGCTCTTCTGTTGCACAGAAGGTATTTTACCTACCATTTGTTGTATTTGGGAGGTGGTGGGGCAGGGGTTGTTCTTGTTATTACTGTTTCCTTATGTGTATGGTATAAAATTATTTAGAATTTATGAAATCCTTATATTTTTGTATTCCAGCCTCATAATGCTCACGGTGTTGTGGGAGATGGGTCTGGTTATCCAGGTATGAAGGTATATTCTTCATGTATGAAGGGAGTTTAATCCTTCACCAGGTATGGAGGGAGGTTTCCAGGAAGGGACTAGATAATAGCGAGATCTGTCTTGCAACTGACCCAGCCAGTTAGGTGTGGGCCGTCTTTTACTCAGCATGTGTGCCTCCGTGCAATTAGATGTAATTTGTGTCAGTGATGTGAACTGTCACTGTCTGCAACATGGGCACTGACATTGCCATATTCAGAGCAGTCTAATGGGCAAGTGGAGAACTTGCTTTGTCTTGCATTACTGGGGCTGAATGAAAGGCCAGAGAAAATGCAGTGAGTGTTGGGGGCCAGTAAACCAAAAACATCAATAGGCAGCATTGTTGAACCCATGCTCTGCCCTCTGAACTTTTTAAATCTACCAACTAATTCTTGTGTGGATTCTCATTTAAGAAAACCTTGGAGCAAGATTTAAGAGGCAACATATCTTACTATTCTTTGACGTAATTGTGCATTGTCTTTTTCTTTAGGGTACTGTTTTTGGTATTGGTTTTTCAGTGTTTAGCAGTGGGAAGCTAGTTCACTTCTAAATTTTTTAAAAATAGTAGGTGGCTGATTGGGCGCTCACCATTACTTGGTACATATTTTTCAATGACTTGGTAGAAAATGAAGTGAATTGTATGAGAATGGAAACACATTCTAGGTGCTCACATTGTTTATAAATCAATTTCAAATAGTCTTTGGTAATGAGGATTTGAGAGTATATTCTCATGAACAAACAGTGTGAAATGAATACAGGTTCAGTGTATTTTCTGTCATTGCATGCTTTGTCATAAGGAGTGAGGAAGACAAAAAGCTAGGAGAAAATTTTTGTGTCATAAAACAGGAACAGGTCCTTGGAGTTCGTCTTATCCATCCTGTATCTTTAGGCAGTTCTGCCCATTGGCTGTGTGAAGCTGCACAAGAATCAACCCCATAAATATGCTGTTTAGGTGATAGCCAAGTAGGAGGAGGAGTAAGGGGCTATCAGGCAGGCTTGGTAGTGTTACAAGCTTCTCAAATTATATTCACGTTTCAGATGACTCCTATAAGGTTGAAGTAAATTCTGATGCTGTTAATATTGATTTTAATTTTCTTTCCCCTTTCCTTCACTGCTTGGGATAAAATGTTAATTAACTCTCACCTGTGAAACTTGTGCGACTTATATTGCTTGTTTAATTTAGATTACAAGCCCAGGGGCAAGCTCCTTTCTTTTCTCTGCAGTGCTAAGGACCTCAATGGCAGAAATGTTTATTATCATTATGTATTATAAATCGTGATGTTTTGCTAAAATATTGTGCTGATTGCATTTACTCAGAAGTGATAGCTTTAGTTCTTTTTCGCTTAAAAATATTTTATTTTGCTTTAAGCCAGTTAGACAGTGATTTCGTGAGGGAGACTAAGCTAGATACTAAATTAAATGTAGTTTGAATACATTTTTGAAATATGTTGGTTATTCTGAGCCAAAAGCAGTTACACCTTCAATGTGAAGTATGTTTTAATAATTTTCAATCTTCTCTTACTCCAGAATGGCAATTTAATTTTTTTCTCAAATTCTTCCTAAAGAAAAAAAAAAACAAAAACAGGACTGGGACCAAGCTTAAAAAAGCTTGGCTGAGGAAAGGAGTTATGATTGAGTGAAAACAGGTGGCTATACTATTCTGCTGAGAAATATCTTCAACAGGAACTTTTAAAAATATTATAAACTTTGTCATTTACTATACAAAGCTCTTCCCATGGAAAGTGGCAGAGAACTGAGGCACACAGAATAATTCAGTCCAGAAAATACTCTATGTGAAATATCTCAACAGAGAGAACATCATTAATTAAAACTGACTTGGAAAGGCCAGCCAAATTAGTGAAGTTTAAATTAGAGTAATTTTTAGTGTATGGCAAATTGATGTAATTACCCGGGGTCATTACCTAGAATTTGGCAGGGGTTCTTGGGACTGAGGAGGAACTCAGAAAGAAGGTGGCCTTAGTGGGTCTGTGCTTGTCATTACTGGTTTCTCGTTTTATTCATTCAGTAGACATTTATTTGGCATACATTATGTAATAGGAACTGGGTATACGCAGATGAGTAAGAAACTGCCTCTGCCCCCAAGGATGAGACACATCATGAAGAAAGAGTTGGGGAGCAATGTTAAAGAGCAGCAGCTGCTGCAGGGTATCATAGGAGTGCTGAGAATGAATAGCTAGACTATCCCAGATGACAGGAAATGCTTCCTGGAGGAGCTGAGGCCTGAGCTGAGTCCTGCGGAATGAGGGTGAGGATGAAGGAACAGCTGGAGCAAAAACACACAGGTCAGAAGCTGCACAGACATTGCAGGGAGCTGCAAGTAGTTCCTGGATCACACAGAGTGTGCGTCATGACAGTGAGGCTGGGCTGTGGGCAGACACTAGATGGGAACCTGTGCTAGGGAGTTTGGGCTTTGTCCTGTATGTGACATGGTACTACTGAAGGGTGTTAGGCAAGAATGTGATGGAGCCAGTATGATGTTTTACAGGGACTTCTGGGGATTTCTTGATTTGAGCATGGTTTTGAGGGTGGAACAAAGCCAGAGCCATGCAGACCAGGTAGGAGACTTATTGATTTCTCCAGGCAAAACAGAAGAATTATTAAAATCTTGTTGGTAAAAGAAGCAGACTTTGGAGAGTGATCGGATGTAGGTTCTCAGGGCAATTGAGAAATATAGAATGAACCCCCAAGTCCTTGTTTGGCTATCTGGTGGATGGCTGGTGCTAACAACAGATTGAGAATAGAAGTGGAGAATAAGGTTTATGGACAAAGATGAGAAGAAGGTTAATTAGATATGCTGGTAGGGCATAAATAGTGCTCTGGTGTGAGGTCAGCCCTAGAGATACCACCTTTCTTCCTCTCCTTTATTTTCTTTGCTCCTCCCCTACAGAAGTATTTAAGGTAGCCAACTACAGCAAAGGATTTAGGAGTCATTAACATATGGATGGTAGAAAAATTGTGAGAGTAGAAGAGATTGCTCCTATCCCCCATGGGTGAGAGGGAATGCCCCTGAGAGTGATGAGGATCCCCCACAGGGTGGAGGAGATCTTCCGCAGATAGAGTGGGGATCCTCTGGAGAGAGGGGAGGGATCTCTCCCAGAAATGAATGGGAAGTTCTCCCAGAGTAGGAGCAGAGGAGATGTCCCCCACAGAGTGGGTGGTAACTCAAGAAGAGATCCAGTGCAGTGCTCACTTTGGCAGCACATATACTAAAATTGGAATGGTACAGAGATCCAGTGCAGGGGAGAAGGCCGTTTACACACCCAGCTTTAGCTTACAAAGTTGACTTTCTGTCAATAAAGACAAAGGTATACTCCTCCATCAGAGAGGCATTATTGTTTTCAGCCTATTGTTCTGTCATCTGCTTCCTTTTGTAGTTTCCTTTAATATATTAACTTTTAAAACTTAATTCCACTTGGAACAAAACATTGACTTCTAGGGGTTGATGGGGAGAGATGGTAGAGAATGCACATGTTAACCCAAGGCTGCTGTTACTATTTCTAGTGCCAATTTATTTTTCAAGATTTAAGTACCACAACAAAACATTACAAAAATGTTTTAATAAATAGATGAAAAGTAGATTAAAAACTCAGTTCTTGGTGGGTTACTGTTAAGATGTTTCCAAATCATTTTTTTTGTCTGTCGTATATGAATTAAGTGTTTCCTGTGCTACTTGTGTTTATATTAGACATATTCCTTCTTCATAAATAATACAAGAGACACGTTTACCTAGACCTAGCTGAATTATCACAAATGCCAATTTTGCAGAGTAGAAATTAATAGGCTTTACTATAACTTAATCAGAAGAATGGTGTAATCTGAGTTAAATAGATACTTATTTAGCTCTTATACATTATCTTGACATATATAATTACATCCAGAGTACATATTGGGTAAACATAATTTCAGGGAATGTTGGATTGTGGAACATTGAATTTTCTGTTCCATATTCTGCCACTTTCTCACTGAATGACCTCAGGCAAAGCAGATAACTTTTTTGGGCCTCAGTTTTCTCATGTGCAAAACAAAGGTACGGAACTAAGTGGTTTTTGTGGTGGTTATTATTATTGATCAAATGAATACAGCTGAGAAAGAACACATCAGAAGCTTAGCTAGCCAAAGAAAGGGCAGAAATTTTCTCCCAGTCTTTCTTTCCCAGTCAGTCAGATTCTTAATGATACTTTCCATATTTTGATTTGCCATTTAACGTAATTCAGAGAAAATATTTCACAAATACGCATGGTTGAATTGTAGATATGTGGTCAATTTTTTCTCCAGCTTGTGTTTTATAGAACAAAGGTTAGTGACATCTCACCCCAAAGGAGTTAGTTGTCAGCTAAGTCTTGGGAAATACTACTTACTATATCCCCCTCTTAGAAATTCCCAGTGCATCTCCCAGTCTCCAAGAAGTTCTGCTGTAAACAAATATGGTTTTGTTTTTTTTAGACACAGCAGTTCCCAAGTGAATTTATGAGATGCTTATTTTCTTCAGAATCTATTACCATCCCAGAGAGCCCTCGGTCTCAGTGCACATTTTGGGAAACAATGATCTATTTGCCCAAGCTCTCTAAATGTTCACTGAGGGGATAGGGTATTAAATGCCAGAGAGATGAGTAGTACTGTGGTGGACTTAGATGTGCATTAACACCCCATGAATTCTTGCAGTGTAAAAGGGCCTGGAAAATGGGTATGATATGGAAAGAAATAAATGGTTTTTTCTCCCCTCAAAATCTTTAACTGACAAGTGCTGCTATTTTGTTTAGATTAACTTTGATCTCACATTAGGCAAGAGAATGGAACTAAGACTTAACGATTTTGAGGTTTTCACTTTTTCTTTTACTCCAAGGACTGTTCAAGAAAAAGAAGGTTCTCTGACTTGTGGGAATGTGACCTGGTTTGATTCACAGGTCACTTGCCCTAACCCCACCTCATTTCTGTTTTTTCACCTCTCTCCAGAGAAGAAGGAAAAGAAAGATAAAAAGAAAAGAGCAAAGGAGAATAAGAGGAAGGGAAATTGGATTTATAAAAGCCCAAGGGGTATTAAATTCTGGCAGCTGCTGCCATGGCCTTTAGTACATTAAACTATTGCATATTTTCTATAGTAGAAAATAGCGTTGGGGAAGCTTTTGTTAACTTAAAATAATTTCTTGTTATGAATTCTCAGTATTGTTTATACCAGATGTGTTAATATGGTTGTTTTGGATCTAAAATTAGCCTTTTTAAAACTTTGACTTCTTTAAAATGAAAGTATCAATAAGCAAATGCATAATGTTAATGGCAATAATATTAGTAGCCAAAGGTATTTTAAAAACCACTCAAAGTTGTTAATATTTTTCAAATGGTTCTATACATTTATTTAGAGGTGGGGGCAGTAGGGAAAAGTGGGGTAGAGGGGAGAATAGAGAGGAGTTGCCTAATTATCTCTTTTACTTAGCCATTTAATGTAAGATCTAATTTATAAGCTCCCTCTCCATCCTGCCTGGCCCTTTCTGTCTACCCGCGGCCCCAACAGCAACCATACATGGACTTCAGCACCATCTTTATCCATCCCAGTTTTCCTCATAGAAAGCCAACTGACAGCAGGAACCCCATGCCTAAAACAAACTTTCTGGAACAACATTGTAAGGATGGCCTAGTTCTGTTGTCTGCCAGCCAAATAGAGAAGAACATGGATTCCGTTCATTTTTATCTATGTCTAAGTTGTCTGCTAAGAGTGATGAACAGTACAACTTGGGGTATCCTTGCAAAGCAGAACTTCAGCTGGGGGTGGAGGGGACCCATTATTGCTGAGTCTAGAGGAAGATGTTGGTCTCTTATTCCCACCTGGTTTAACATGTGTTAAGGAATTAGCTGCAGGATGGTTTTAAAAAAGAATGTAACTGGAGTCTGTTAACCTCATTTGGGGGACATCTGCCTTTGCTCTGGAGTCTGAGATGGTGAGAAGTGCCCCGTGAAAGAGCTGGAAATTCAGTACCAGCACCCATGAAGGAGAGAACAAACACTAAGAAGTGCAGGGTGTTCTTCGGTGCATCACTTTGGATTTGAGACAAAAATCCATGCACACGCCTGTAATCCCAGCAGTTTGGGAGGCCAAGGTGGGTGGATCACTTGAGGTCAGGAATTCGAGACCAGCCTAACCAACATGGTGAAACCCCATCTCCGTTAAAAATACAAAAATTAGCCAGGTGTGGGGACGTGTGCCTGTAATCCCAGCTCCTCGGGAGGCTGAGGCACGAGAATTGCTTGAACCTGGGAGGCAGAGGTTGCAGTGAGCTGAGATCACACCACTGAACTCCAGCCTGGGTGACACAGTGAGACCCTGTCTCTCTCTCACACACACACACACACACACACACACACACACACAAAAGTCAATGCGTTTCTTCAGTTTCCTCCTTTAGAGCTGAACTCTAATCCTAGGAGAATTTCTACGTTGCCCATCGAGGCCAATTCTTCTCCTTCAGGCATGTGTGTATTTGTTGAGTGAGTTAGGTGTTCTCCAACAGTTCATTTTTTAAAGCTCATGCAGATGATAGAGTGGTCAATGAATGATTAAAGTTGAAACATGAGGCTGGGCGTGGTGGCTTATGCCTATAATCCCAGCACTTTGGGAGGACTAAGCAGGCAGATCACTTGAGGTCAGGAGTTTGAGACCAGCCTGGTCAACATGGTGAAACCCTGTCTCTACTAAAAATACAAAAATTAGCTAGGTGTAGTGATGCACGCCTATAATACCAGCTACTCAGGAGGCTGAGACAGGAGAATCACTTGAATCTGGGAGGCGGAGGTTGCAGTGAGCCAAGATCACACCACTGCACACTCAAGCCTGGGCAACAGAGCGAAACTCCATCTCAAAAAAAAAAAAAAAAAGATGAAAAATTTCATAACAAAAGTCAGAGTTTAAAACTTTAAAGTTTTGTTTTTTTGGTGTATTCTTTATTGTGGATTTATGTTTTAATTTTATGGTCACACTTTATTTTTTGTTCCTTTGTTGTATAAGTATATGGCTTGTTAAGAAAACAAAATGAAACAAAACAAAAATGGTATTGTTATCTTATGCTCCTGAGACTGTATCTGGTTACCAAAGAAAGTAAGATAATCAGAACCTTTTTTTTTTTTGAGACAGGGTCTTATTCTGTTGTCCAGGCTGGAGTGCAGTGGCATAATCTCAGCTCACTGCAGCCTCCACCTCCTGGGCTCAAGCAACCCTCCTGTCTCAGCCTCCTGAGTAGCTGGGACCACAGGTATGTACCACCATGCCTAGCTTCTTTTTTTTTTTTTTTGTAGAGACGAGGTTTTGCCATGTTGCCCAGGTTGGTCTCGAACTCCTGAGCTCAAGTGATCTGCTGGCCTCTGCCTCCCAAAGTGCTAGGATTACAGGAGTGAGTCACCGTGCCAGGCGAAAACTATCTAAGTGGCTTCTAGCTGGTCAGGGAAGAAAGTGGCTTTAGAAATGAAAACAGCAAAGAGTAGCAGTCACTTTTCTTGCAGAAATTTCATACTTGTGGCAGTTAAATTTGACACAGGAGTCGAAGATATGCTCTTATTTATAAAATTCATGCATCCAGCTCTTGTCCTTGTCTCGGAGAGGAGCAGACTTTGGCTGATACTGTTTTAACTCTTTAGGTCCCTCTGTTTAAGTCCCTTTACAACAAAAGAATAACACTACTACTTGGTGAGCTCTGAGGCCTGTATTCTTCAGCTTGGCTACGATTATAAAGGTCCAGTTAGTCATATTGTAATCCCTTAACCTTCAAGCATTTCAGGGAACCAAGGTCTTTTGTAGTCATTGCATTTGGCTCAGAGTGATTGGCTGGTAGTTGCTCAACCAGTGGGAAGGGAGACCCTATTTGGTTTCCTCTTAAAAGCAGGATTTAAAAGTAAAATGATTCTACCCTTCTTTTTAAATACTCATCAGAAAAAGCTTATCCTTTCCTGCTGGTCAAATACTCTAGAGTTACAACTTAATAATCAAGGAAAGTGAGACATATATCCATGTAATCATGTCTGAATTCCAGGTATGCCAGAGAACTTTACCTTGGCTTTGTCATGCCCAATAACAGGGTATTCCGTGGAGGCAGCTGTGCCCTCTCTCTCCCCTTGTCCCAGTGGGTCATGATGAAAATAAGAGAGTTAGATACTCTTTCTTTTGTACTTATCTCATATATACTGCATTCATAGCAAGAAGAAGCAGGGTAACACTGACCAAATCACTAGTATAAAATGTATTTCTTGCATAGCTTTAGATACAAGCTGTGTGTGAGAGAGAACTGGAGAAAGGGAAAGACAGGCAAGAGCCGATAAAGAGGAAGAAAGAGAGAGCCTTCTTTTGAGAAAGGGTGAATTAGATAACTATGGATTAGGAAAAAAATCCAGACTCTTTAAGTTCATTTTCCTTTTTAGTTGAATTTCCTCTAAAACCTATTACCAGAGTTACAATACAAAGGCAAACTTGACTGGTTTTTGTTTAATCTACACTTATGGATTCGGTGTTAATTGTTTCTACTATCCTGCTAATCAGGGAAGATACGCAAATGAGTAAAATGGTCCTTGTGCATAGGTACAGGCAAATAGATTATTTTATCAATGTGGTAAGATAGTGTTGCCAAGGAGTGAGGGATGCATAGGTGCTAGGAGAATTCCCTCCCCGTCCTTTCATTCCATGTGTTGGAGGTACTGTTCAAACAAAATGTAGACACAAAGAGAAGCAGTGTCAGACCTCTAAGAGGTAGAGCACATAGAAGACAGACCAGGCCTGCTTGAACTCAGCATTCTGTGTCCTAGGGAGGATAGATATGCCACTCCTATTTGTGTAGAAACATGTGGTACCTTTCATGCATGAGAAGTCCTTTGTATATATTTGATTTATTTAACTGAAAAGGACTGGTGGAGAGGCAAAGTAGACACTTCTATTTGGGTAGTAGTTAAAAGAAAGAGCATGAAAAATGGATTTCTGGAATATTTTCCTGGTGTTCACAACATTATTTAAAAGACCTAATGTGATGTCATGTATGATTTATGCTGTGTAGGTGTTTTTCTACTGTGTTTGAGGCAGATAGGTATTACAGTATAATTTATGATGTGGTTTCAAATATAAAAACTACCCTAGTGATGTGAAGAGATAAGGTGTTGTACGGCTGATCAGATATCCCAGAATAACTGTTTTCAGTAGCAAAGCTTGTGTTTGGACATTTTTATCCTAACATTTTTATCTTAATGAAATATTCTGGAGTCTCATTTTCTTTTTTTTCTACAGCTTAAAGGTTTGGTGCAATTCTTCCTGTCATGTGTATGTGTGTGTGTGTGTGTGTGTAGATTCAGGCATTTGTATAGATGGTTAAAATGCCACCACCAATTTGAAGTATAGCAACACCTGGACAGAAAGTGTCTTGGGTCCCATTTATAGTGTGATATAAACCCACTTTTAAATTTTGAGTATCTTCAGTGACTCTCACATTGTCTTGGCATTGGCAAAAGTCTGTTAAAATGCATTTGTACTCATGGAGTGCTTTGTTACCTACTTGAAATGAATATAAGAAGATTAAGAGTTTGAAGTGCTTTTAGGAATAGCGGATAGAGTCGGCTGTCTTCCAATTCTTAATTTTCAGTTGAAATTTGTGGTGATGTCATTTCAAAACAATCCTAACAGGTAGAATACAGAGTACTTACAAGGCTCCTGAGTAATTTTTTTGACAATGGAAATGTTAAATGAATGTCACAGCTTTGCTTTTACAGATTTTGGTTTTAATCACGTTCTGGGCTTAAGTGGTGGGGAAGTGAGCAGTGTCCCACCAAGAGATAATTTCACACCTGCTATACTTCTAAGTGCCCAAATATGGCTTTCCTAGAGTGATTTTCAAGATGCTTAAATATAAAAAGCTATATAGTATATCTTCAAATGGGACAAAAGTGCTGTCTGCAGGCCCAGGCTCCCACTTGCTCTGCCAAGGCGGGGCCTAAGATCTGTGTTCAGGAATCCTTTGTGTAGAGAGAGAGCTCTAGAGCCCCTAGTGTTTCTTAAGGTGTGGGGACAGTTTGGGAAGGGCTAGGAACTCACAAACTGTGTTGGTGCCCTAGGAGGAAAACCTTTTGTCTCCTTGATATTTTTAAAGTTCTGTTTTATGATGATGTAATTTTCTTGGTATATCTTTTAGATTTCTTCATGATTCAGATGATTATTGTCATGTTTGTGTGAAATTGAGGATGCCATTTTGGGAGTCTTTAACAAATAGACCTGGGATTTGTAATCATTATTATTTCTTTTAGCAGCCAGATAAATGTTCAATATTGACTTTGAATTCAGTGGAAGGTGGTTGGCTTTGTGATCTTGGATAAATTACTTAACCTATTTTTTTTTTACCTTTAGAGTAATAATAACAGTGATAAGAGTAATTTTACCCACTTTATGGATTTGTTATGATTTTAAAAAATAATGTATGTAAAGTCCCTGTCATCATGTCTGGTATTTAGGATGCACCAATAAACAATATCTACCACCATCATTATGGTTATTATTTTATGTCCAGTTGTTATCTGATGTTACATGTTTCTTAAAATCTTAGGTAGTCCTGTACTCTCAAAGGACAGGGAACTTACTGTATCCTCAGGCAGGCCCACATTTACTTCTTTGGAAATTTTTCCTCATGCTCCTTTCCTGCCTTATTATACATTTCTTCCCAGAGGTTTTTACTGTGCTCTCACTGGTCACTCTTAAACCTACATCCCTCTGTGAACATTTAACTGTTAGAAGTCAGTGGCTGTATTCCTCTTAGATCCTCTCTGTTGCCTAAGGCCCTGCTGTTATGCCATCTCATCATTCCAGTTAATTTCCTACAGACACCTTCCAGTTAGGATCATAATAACTAACATGTGTATAAAGCAATGGAATTTGCAAAATGCTTTCACTTACATTGTCTTTTTAAATACCCTTTTATCCCTATTTTGCAAAAAAGAACACTGAGGATCACAAAGACTAATCCAATTTCTGTTTGGTTATATAGCTAATAAGCTGATGAAATAATTTGAACCCAGTATCTTTTGATGAGTTCTTCTCTACATTCCTGTTCAAAGGTGGCCCTGAGAACTGGACATTGTACCCCAGGTGTGGTCTGTTTAACAGAGTCGAGAGCAGGGTTATTGTCTTCCTAGCTTGGGACCCTAAGATCTTTCGTCCTTATACACCACATTCTATGTTTAACAAGTGTTTACTGAGCACTGAATGAACATAAAGCAATAGCCTAGGTGCTGCAGTTAGAGAGCCATGCATGAAGCAGAGTCCCTGTGCTCCAGGGACTGATGTCTCAGTGGCAGGCTGTCTATCTAATTTGTAAGGTCCAGTGCAAAATGAAAATGTGGGGCCCCTTGTGCAAAAAGCAGGGGAAAAAGTGCCAGTAAAGATATAAAATATAGGCCGGGCGTGGTGGCTCATGCCTGTAATCCCAGCACTTTGGGAGGCTGAGGCGGGCGGATCACGAGGTCAGGAGATCGAGACCATCCCGGCTAAAACGGTGAAACCCCGTCTCTACTAAAAACACAAAAAATTAGCCGGGCGTAGTGGCGGGCGCCTGTAGTCCCAGCTACTTGGGAGGCTGAGGCAGGAGAATGGCGTGAACCCGGGAGGCGGAGCTTGCAGTGAGCCGAGATCCCGCCACTGCACTCCAGCCTGGGCGACAGAGCAAGACTCCGTCTCAAAAAAAAAAAAAAAAAAAAGATATAAAATATATAAAAGCTTTTTCTTATTTATGTAGTCTCTGGATTTATGGTGTTTTAAATTTGCTATTTAATATCCTAAGAAAATAATAATTAAAAATTTAAATTATTAGCATGAATTTTACCATTCATCTGTATATTGTGCAATACTGGTTTTAAATGTAAGTATAAGGGTACTAAATTTGTATGTGGAATCATTGAAATTACACAACTCCGTCCTTACCAAACCAGTGGAAACACTGCACAAAACTCAGTTGTTTTTATTTCACTTCTTGGTATGTGCACATTCTACCCACCACTCTCTCCTTTTGGACTACCGGTAAATAAGGAAGGACTGAAAAGAAAATAAATAATGGGTTGCCCTGTGTTTCCCTTTTCTTCTATGTCATTATTTCCAGCAAGTGGTTGACTACTATTTAGAACAACATTGCCTTCTTTCTGCCTGTGAATCAAGTTCTGGTTCAAGTGGAGAGCATGCCCTCTCAGGGTTGTCAGTGTCCCTCTTTACTCACTACTTAGTCATAAATGTAATATGTTTACCTTGTACTTGGCTTTGAGTCTTGTTAGACTTCCTCCCACCCATTGTGGATCCACTGGAATTCTGTCTTCATGGAGCATCAAAAAAGCTGTATACAAATAAGGTAGAAAGGAATGGGGACACACATGTGCATACCCCTCTGCTCGTGCCCATGCTCTAGTGTCCCATCAGGCTTCACTTACAAAACACAAGTTCAAAAATAAAGTTCTTGAAAATGTCAAGATGATGACAGCAGAGCATTAAACTCAGATGGAGTTTCTAAGAGTGAAGCTCTTTGTGGCTGCACAAGTCACATGCCCATAACACCAGCACTGAGTAGTAGAGAAAAAGGTAAGTCCAATTCAAAGCAAATGGAAGCTGAGCTATAATTGAGACAGCTCAAAGGGCTTGGGCACCTGGGAAGAGTGGGCAAACTTTCAAGGAGGTGATTTTGAGTAGCCATTGAGGAAGGAAATGATAGAGAGAGGCATTGAACGGGCTTCCGTATGAAGGAAAACTTGTGCGAAGTCACTGAGAGATGGAAGTACAGAAACTGGTAGGTTCAGGGAGCAGCCCTAGTCCAGGGCTGCCTTATCAAAGAGAATGTAGTGTGTTTATAGAACATTTACTTGTGTGGCACAAGAAAATTGAATAAGATCATTGCTTTCTTATTTATATTGCATGGGATCTATAAGTCTGCAAGCACAGTCCTGAGAGAAACGTCAGACTTACATATGTGATTTTTCAATAATAACATGTAATTTATATTAATTTTAGACAATTTCCCTTCAAAATGAAACACTGTTCTCTGTCTTATTTTTAGAATGATTACAGTTAAAGATATACATCTTGAATTTTTAAAAATATATCTGCTTGAAGAGAGGATTAGGTGAACCTGCTGTAGGTTATTTTCTTTACATGTGAGAATTCCAGCAGATTTACAAATGTTGCTGTTATCGTGTCTCAGAAATAGGATATGAGGTCTGATACCTTCTCTAGAAGTCTTAAACAGAAGGTCAGAATTGGGCAAGAGACTCATTCATTTGGACAGGCTAGAGCTTGGGTGCAGGCATGGCCCCTTAGGCAAAAAGCTCCATAGCCAAAAGGTGTGGCAAGCTTTTTCAGGATTTTGGCCAGTCTTTTTAGGGTTCTGGTGCTCCATTGCATGTTCCGAGACTGTCCACACTTGGTGCGCTACGTTAGGGTTCTCTGGTGGTTAGTTCCTTTGGATATCTTGTGTTGAAATGAGGGATTAATCAGGTGTTTTGTCTATGAGTGCCATAAGACTTGGTGCATTTCTGGTTTCTAGAATTTCGCGTGTGATCTTCTTATCTCTCATCTTTCCAGCCACAGCATTGATTATGACCACTGGGATGTAGATGATTCAGGGGGAGCCTGAATGCCCAGGCGCTGCATTGAGCAGCTCCAGCAACCAGGCAGAAGGGCAGGCTAGAGCAAGACAGAGTCACAGAAACCAAAGCCCACACCTAACCTTGAATGTGCGATTGCTGGTGTGTGTGTGTGTGTGTGTGTGTGTGTGTGTGTGTGTGTGTGTGTATTTGAATGAATATATATGGAGTACTACAACTCAGTGGTAGGTATAAAAACACAGTTAACACTGCTGAAGGACACCTGACTTCTAATAGGCAGTAATAGAAGAGGCTTAAGAAGCTTTGTGGAAACAAATACTTAGAAGAGTAACTAGCTCCAGACCTTCAGGGAATGGTTGCCAGTGGGAATTAAAATGCTGATTGTCTTACATCTAGATCAGCTTGGAATCAGGCCCTGAGCCTTCAGGGGATAAATCAGTTGCCTCCTTGAGAGATGGAGAAGAATAGTGGTAGGAAAAATAAATTACAGGATGACGATAATTTTTTCCTATGTATGGAATATTTCTTGGTTAATTCATCTCGTCCATTGTATCTGATCTTAATGTAGTTTTTAAAGTTTCTCCATAGAGATCTTGTGCATTCTTTTTTAAAACTATAAATGTGTAAAACCTTTATGAAGAAAATTTAAAAATACTACTAAAGGACACAGTAGAATACCTGCACAAGGGGGAATATATAACAAAGTCTTGTTTGAAGGGTCCAACAGCAACATTATATCGTTATTCCTAAGCTATTTTAACAGCTTTATTATGATTCTAATTTTTTTTTTTTTTTTTTTTTTTTTTTTTTTTTGAGACGGAGTCTTGCTTTGTCTCCCAGGCTGGAGTGCAGTGGCACTATCTTGGCTCACTGCAAGCTCCGCCTCCTGGGTTCACAACATTCTCCTGCCTCAGCCTCCCGAGATGATTCCAATTTTTAAATAATTTCAATTTTTATTATAGATGAAAGGGTACATGTGCAGGTTTGTTACATAGGTATATTGTGTGATGCTGAGGTTTGGGAGACAAATGATATTGTCCTCCAGGTAGTGAGCATAGTACCCAGTAGGTGGCTTTTTCAACCCATCCCCTCTTCCCTCCCTCCCTCTCCCATCTGGTAGTTCCCAGTGTCTGTTGTTCCCATATTTATGTCTATGTGTATTCAATGTTTAGCTCCCATTTATAAGTGAGATCATATTGTATTTGGTTTTCTGTTGCATTAATTAGCTTAGGATAATGATCTTCAGCTCAGTCTATATTGCTACAAAGGACATTATTTCACTTTTGTATGGCTGCAGTGTATTCCATAGTGCATATGTACTACCTTGTCTTTATCCAAACCACTGTCGAAGGGCAACTAAATTGAGTCCACATCTCTGCTATTGTGAATAGTGTTGCAATGAACTAATAAGTACATGTGTCTTTTTGATAGAATGGATTATTTTCTTTTGGGTATATACCCAGTAGTGAGTTGCTAGCTCAAATGGAAGTTCTATTATAACTTTTTTGAGAAATCTCCAGGCTTCTTTCCACAGTGACTGAACTAGTTTGTATTCCCACCATTGTGTATATGTGATTCCTTTTCTCTGCAGCCTCACCAGCATCATATTTTTTGACTTTTTAATAATCGCCATTCTGACTGGTATGGGATGGTATCTCACTGTAGTTTTGATTTGCATTTCTCTGATGATTAGTGATGAGCTTTTTTTCATGTTTGTTGGCCACTTGTACATCTTATTTTGAGAAGTGTCTGTTCCTGTCCTTTGCTCATTTTTAAATTGCTTTATTTATTTTTTGCTTGTTGATTTGTTTTTGCTTGTAGATTCTGGGTATTAGACCTTGGTCAGATGCACAGTTTGTGAATATTTTCTCCCATTCTGTAGGCTGTCTGTTTACCCTGTTGATAGTTTCTTTTGCTCTGCAGAAGCTCTTTAGTTTTAATTAGGTCCCACATGTCAATTTTTGTTTTTGTTGCAACTGCTTTTAGGAACTTAGCCATAAATTCTTTGCCAAAGCCAATGTTGAGAAGGGATTTCCTAGGTTTTCTTCTAGGAATTTTATAATTTGAGGTCTTAAATTTAAATCTTTAATCCATGTTGGGTTAATGTTTGGTTATGCTGAGAGGTAGGAGTCCAGTTTCATTCTTCTGCATATGGCTAGCCAGTTATCCCAGCACCATTTATTGAACAGGAAGTCCTTTCCCCATTGCATATTTTTTTTGATTTTGTTGAAGATCAGATGGTTGTAGATATGCAGGTTTATTTCTGGGTTCTGTATGCTATTCTGTTGGTCTGTGTATCTTTTTTTGTACCAGTACCGTGCTGTTTGGGTAACTGTAGCCTTAAAGTATAGTTCGAAGTCAGGTAATGTGATGCCTCTGGCTTTGTTCTTTTCGATTAGGATTGCTTTGGCTATTCAGGCTTTTTTTTGGTTCCACATGAATTTTAGAATAGATTTTTCTAATTCTGTGAAAAACAGCGTTAGTATTTTGATAGGGATAGCACTGAATCTGTATGTTGCTTTGGGCAGTATCATCATTTTAACAATATTGATTCTTCCAATCCATGAGCATGGTCTTAATATGTTTTTCCATTTATTTGTTTCATCTCTGATTTCTTTCAGCAGTGTTTTGTAGTTCTCTCTGCAGAGATCTTTGACCTATTTGGTTAGATGAATTCCTAGGTAATTCATTTTTTTTTTTTGTGGGTATTGTAAATGGGATTGTGTTCTTAATTTGGTTCTCAGCTAGAATGTTATAGCTGTATAGGACTGCTACTGATTTTTGTACATTGACTTTATATCCTGAAATTTAACTGAATTAGTTTGTCAGTTCCAGGAGCCTTTGGTGGAGTCTTTAGGCTTTTCTATGTGTAGAATTATATTGTCAGCAAAGAGAGATCATTTGACTTCTTTTCCTATTTGGATACCTTTTATTAAATCTTTCTCTTGCCTGAATGCTCTGTCCAGGACTTCCTTGAGCATTCTTACTTTCAAGTTAATTTCAAGATATTTCTGCTTGGCGGAGCGAAGATGGCCAAATAGGAAGATCTCCGGTCTACAGCTCCCAGCATGAGCGACGCAGAAGATGGGCGATTTCTGCATTTCCATCTGAGCCACCGCTGTTCTGCAGCCACCGCTGCTGATACCCAGGCAAACAGGGTCTGGAGTGGATCTCTAGCAAACTCCAACAGACCTGCAGCTGAGGGTCCTGTCTGTTAGAAGGAAAACTAACAAACAGAAAGGACATCCACACCAAAAACCCATCTGTACGTCACCATCATCGAAGACCAAAAGTAGATAAAACCACAAAGATGGGGAAAAAACAGAGCAGAAAAACTGGAAACTCTAAAAAGCAGAGCGCCTCTCCTCCTTCAAAGGAACGCAGCTCCTCACCAGCAACGGAACAAAGCTGGACGGAGAATGACTTTGATGAGTTGAGAGAAGAAGGCTTCAGAGATGATCAAACTATTCCGAGCTACAGGAGGAAATTCAAACCAATGGCAAAGAAGTTAAAAACTTTGAGAAAAAATTAGACGAATGGTTACCTAGAAAAACCAATGCAGAGAAGTCCTTAAAGGAGCTGATGGAGCTGAAAGCCAAGGCTCGAGAACTACGTGAAGAATGCGAATGGTTACCTAGAAAAACCAATGCAGAGAAGTCCTTAAAGGAGCTGATGGAGCTGAAAGCCAAGGCTCGAGAACTACGTGAAGAATGCAGAAGCCTCAGGAGCCGATGCGATCAACTGGAAGAAAGGGTATCAGTGATGGAAGACGAAATGAATGAAATGAAGCCAGAAAGGAAGTTTAGAGAAAAAAGAATAAAAAGAAACGAACAAAGCCTCCAAGAAATATGGGACTATGTGAAAAGACCAAATCTACGTCTGATTGGTGTACCTGAAAGTGACGGGGAGAATGGAACCAAGTTGGAAAACACTCTGCAGGATATTATCCAGGAGAACTTCCCCAATCTAACAAGGCAGGCCAACATTCCAATTCAGGAAATACAGAGAACGCCACAAAGATACTCCAAGAAGAGCAACTCCAAGATACTCCGAGAAGAGCCACAAAGATACTCCAAGACACTCCGAGAAGAGCAACTCCAAGACACATAATTGTCAGATTCACCAAAGTTGAAATGAAGGAAAAAATGTTAAGGGCAGCCAGAGAGAAAGGTCGGGTTACCCACAAAGGGAAGCCCATCAGACTAACAGCGGATCTCTCGGCAGAAACTCTACAAGCCAGAAGACAGTGGGGGCCAATATTCAACATTCTTAAAGAAAAGAACTTTCAATCCAGAATTTCATATCCAGCCAAACTAAGCTTCATAAGTGAAGGAGAAATAAAATACTTTACAGACAAGCAAATGCTGAGAGATTTTGTCACCACCAGGCCTGCCCTAAAAGAGCTCCTGAAGGAAGCACTAAACATGGAAAGGAACAACCGGTACCAGCCACTGCAAAAACATGCCAAAATGTAACGACCATCAAGGCTAGGAAGAAACTGCATCAACTAACGAGCAAAATCACCAGCTAACATCATAATGACAGGACCAAATTAACATATAACAATATTAACTTTAAATGTAAATGGGCTAAATGCTCCAATTAAAAGACACAGACTGGCAAATTGGATAGAGTCAAGACCCATCAGTGTGCTATTCAGGAAACGCATCTCACTTGCAGAGACACACATAGGCTCAAAATAAAGGGATGGAGGAAGATCTACCAAGCCAATGGAAAACAAAAAAAGGCAGGGGTTGCAATCCTAGTCTCGGATAAAACAGACTTTAAACCAACAAAGATCAAAAGAGACAAAGAAGGCCATTACATAATGGTAAAGGGATCAATTCAACAAGAAGAGCTAACTGTCCTAAATATATATGCACCCAACACAGGAGCACCCAGATTCATGAAGCAAGTCCTTATTGACCTACAAAGAGACTTAGACTCCCACACAATAATAACGGGAGACTTTAACACCCCACTGTCAACATTAGACAGATCAACGAGACAGAAAGTTAACAAAGATACCCAGGAATTGAACTCAGCTCTGCAGCAAGCGGACCTAATAGACATCTACAGAACTCTCCACCCCAAATCAACAGAATATACATTTTTTTCAGCACCACACCACATCTATTCCAAAATTGACCACATAGTTGGAAGTAAAGCACTCCTCAGCAAATGTAAAAGAACAGAAATTATAACAAACTATCTCTCAGACCACAGTGCAATCAAACTAGAACTCGGGATTAAGAAACTCACTCAAAACCACTCAACTACATGGAAACTGAACAACCTGCTCCTGAATGACTACTGGGTATATAACGAAATGAAGGCAGAAATAAAGATGTTCTTTGAAACCAACGAGAACAAAGACACAACATACCAGAATCTCTGGGACGCATTCAAAGCAGTGTGTAGAGGGAAATTTATAGCACTAAATGCCCACAAGAGAAAGCAGGAAAGATCCAAAATTGACACCCTAACATCACAATTAAAAGAACTAGAAAAGTAAGAGCAAACACATTCAAAAGCTAGCAGAAGGCAAGAAATAACTAAAATCAGAGCAGAACTGGAGGAAATAGAGACACAAAAAACCTTTCAAAAAATTAATGAATCCAGGAGCTGGTTTTTTGAAAGGATCAACAAAATTGATAGACCGCTAGCAAGACTAATAAAGAAGAAAAGAGAGAAGAATCAAATAGATGCAATAAAAAATGATAAAGGGGATATCACCACCAATCCCACAGAAATACAAACTACCATCAGAGAATACTACAAACACCTCTATGCAAATAAACTAGAAAATCTAGAAGAAATGGATAAATTACTCGACAAATACACCCTCCCAAGACTAAACCAGGAAGAAGTTGACTCTCTTAATAGACCAATAACAGACTCTGAAATTGTGGCAATAATCAATAGCTTGCCAACCAAAAAGAGTCCAGGACCAGATGGATTCACAGCCGAATTCTACCAGAGGTACAAGGAGGAACTGGTACCATTCCTTCTGAAACTATTCCAATCAATAGAAAAAAAGGGAATCCTCCCTAACTCATTTTATGAGGCCAGCATCATCTTGGTACCAAAGCCGGGCAGAGACACAA
The DNA here is from genome assembly GCF_000001405.40 of Homo sapiens. Lineage (NCBI taxonomy): Eukaryota > Metazoa > Chordata > Mammalia > Primates > Hominidae > Homo > Homo sapiens. The sequence continues at coordinate 43,713,382 of NC_000013.11, read as the reverse complement.
CCAAAAAAGAGAATTTTAGACGAATATCCTTGATGAACATTGATGCAAAAATCCTCAATAAAATACTGGCAAACTGAATCCAGCAGCACATCAAAAAGTTCATCCACCATGATCAAGTGGGCTTCATCCATGGGATGCAAGGCTGGTTCAATATACACAAATCAATAAATGTAATCCAGCATATAAACAGAACCAAAGACAAAAACCACATAATTATCTCAATAGATGCAGAAAAGGCCTTTGACAAAATTCAACAACCCTTCATGCTAAAAACTCTCAATAAATTAGGTACTGATGGGACGAATCTCAAAATAATAAGAGCTATCTATGACAAACCCACAGCCAATATCATACTGAATGGGCAAAAACTGGAAGCATTCCCTTTGAAAACTGGCACAAGACAGGGATGCCCTCTCTCACCACTCTTATTCAACATAGTGTTGGAAGTTCTGGCCAGGGCAGTTAGGCAGGAGAAGGAAATAAAGGGTATTCAATTAGGAAAAGAGGAAGTCAAATTGTCCCTGTTTGCAGATGACATGATTGTTTATCTAGAAAACCCCATTGTCTCAGCCCAAAATCTCCTTAAGCTGATAAGCAACTTCAGCAAATCTCAGGATACAAAATCAATGTACAAAAATCATAAGCATTCTTATACACCAGTAACAAACAGAGAGCCAAATCATGAGTGAACTCCCATTCACAATTGCTTCAAAGAGAATAAAATACCTAGGAATCCAACTTACAAGGGATGTGAAGGACCTCTTCAAGGAGAACTACAAACCACCGCTCAATGAAATAAAAGAGGATACAAACAAATGGAAGAACATTCCATGCTCATGGGTAGGAAGAATCAATATCATGAAAATGGCCATACTGTCCAAGGTAATTTATAGATTCAATGCCATCTCCATCAAGCTACCAATGACTTTCTTCACAGAATTGGAAAAAACTAAAGTTCATATGGAACCAAAAAAGAGCCCACATCGCCAAGTCAATCCTAAGCCAAAAGAACAAAGCTGGAGGCATCATGCTACCTGACTTCAAACTATACTACAAGGCTACAGTAACCAAAACAGCATGGTACTGGTACCAAAACAGAGATATAGATCAATGGAACAGAACAGAGCCCTCAGAAATAATGCCGCATATCTACAACTATCTGATCTTTGACAAACCTGAGAAAAACAAGCAATGGGGAAAGGATTCCCTATTTAATAAATGGTGCTGGGAAAACTGGCTAGCCGTATGTAGAAAGCTGAAACTGGATCCCTTCCTTACACCTTATACAAAAATTAATTCCAGATGGATTAAAGACTTAAATGTTAGATCTAAAACCATAAAAAACCTAGAAGAAAACCTAGGCATTACCATTCAGGACATAGGCATGGGCAAGGACTTCGTGTCTAAAACACCAAAAGCAATGGCAACAAAAGCCAAAATTGACAAATGGGATCTAATTAAACTAAAGAGCTTCTGCACAGCAAAAGAAACTACCATCAGAGTGAATAGGCAACCTACAAAATGGGAAAAAATTTTCACAACCTACTCATCTGACAAAGGGCTAATATCCAGAATCTACAATGAACTCCAACAAATTTACAAGAAAAAAACAAACAACCCCATCAAAAAGTGGGTGAAGGATATGAACAGACACTTCTCAAAAGAAGACATTTATGCAGCCAAAAAGCACATGAAAAAATGCTCATCATCACTGGCCATCAGAGAAATGCAAATCAAAACCACAATGAGATACCATCTCACACCAGTTAGAATGGCAATCATTAAAAAGTCAGGAAACAACAGGTGCTGGAGAGGATGTGGAGAAATAGGAACACTTTCACACTGTTGGTGGGACTATAAACTAGTTCAACCATTGTGGAAGTCAGTATGGTGATTCCTCAGGGATCTAGAACTAGAAATACCATTTGACCCAGCCATCCCATTACTGGGTATATACCCAAAGGATTATACATCTTGCTGCTATAAAGACACATGCCCACGTATGTTTATTGTGGCACTATTCACAATAGCAAAGACTTGGAACCAACCCAAATGTCGAACAACGGTAAGACTGGATTATGAAAATGTGGCACATATACACCATGGAATACTATGCAGCCATAAAAAATGATGAGTTCATGTCCTTTGTAGGGACATGGATGAAACTGGAAACCATCATTCTAAGCAAACTATCGCAAGGACAAAAAACCAAACACCGCATGTTCTCACTCCTAGGTGGGAATTGAACAATGAGAACACATGGACACAGGAAGGGGAACATCACACTCTGGGGACTGTTGTGGGGTGGGGGGAGGGGGGAGGGATAGCATTTGGAGATATACCTAATACTAAATAATGAGTTAGTGGGTGCAGCAGCACACCAACATGGCACATGTATACATATGTAACAAACCTGCACATTGTGCACATGTAACCTAAAACTTAAAGTATAATAATAATAATTTAAAAAACCAACTTTCTTAATCCTAGATAGCCAAACCAAAAAAAAAAGGTATTTCTTTTATTGTGGATGCTATCTTATTTTCTATTTTTCTACTTGATTATTGTTTCTGTAGAGCAATTTTGTAGATGTTAAGTTGATCTTGAATTCGACCACCTTGTTCAAATTTGTTATTATTTTTCTACTTTTGTATTGATTCTGTTAATTCTTATCTATTGGTTCAGCTTACTTTTTTATGTTGGTCACATTTCTCTTCATTGATTGTGTTAATTTTTCTATGTTGATAGACACATTTTATGTTCATCACTTTTTTCTCTCCTCCTTCAATTATTATCCTTCTGATTTCTTTTTGTTTTCTCATAGTGTTGGCCTGAAGTAGTGATAGCAGGTAGTATTATGTGTCTAAAGTTTTTCAATTAATTGAGTGCTTGCTGTACATTTTGCTATATAACCTTTACCTTATTAAGGAAGTTACCCTCATTCTTAGTAGTCTGATAATTTTTAACATGAATCATTGTATACTTTTCAAATGTTATTTCTACATTTATTGAGATAACCAAGTGATTTTTTTCATTTAATCTATTAATGTGATGGATTACTTTCATATGTTTTCTAATGTCAAACCATCATTGAATTATTAGGAAATATGTTATCCAGACATAGGATATATCTGAACATCGGGATAAACTTTATCTGATCCTGATGTCTTTGTTATCTTTGCCATAGTCTCCTTGCCCTGCCACTGTCTTTCCCTCCTCCTGCCCTCTTTTTCCTCTCCCCTCCTATTTTAATACTCTGTTGGATGTGATTGACTATGTTTATATTAACATATTCGCATCTATGTTGATAAGTGAGATTTTCTTTCATTGTCCTTATTAGGTTTTGGAGTTAAGGTACCAGTGTTCTTATCACATATGCTGGGCAGCTTATCCTCTTGTTCTGTGTGCTTTAATAACATATAAAATAGGAATGATCTGTTTGTTGAAAGTAAAACTCACTGGCAAAATGATCTGGGCCTAATATTTTCCGTTTTTGGAAGAGATTTAAAAATTATTATTTCCGGTTCTGTTTTTTATGATTATTGTTTTATCCAAGATTTCTATTTTATCTCAAACAATTTTGATGCTTAATATTTTCAAGAAGATTTGATATTCTTTTCTCATTTAAAAATCAGTTTGTAGTTATTTCTGTTTTTTAATTTAACTTGCAACTTCTACCTTTTTATCTTTTTCAGATTTTCTTGAACTATGTATAATTTAGGAATCTTTCCCAAGAACTAGCTTGTTAATCTTCCTTCTCCCTCCTTCTCTCCTCCTCATCTTCTTCCTTCTTTTCCTCCTCCTTCATGAATGTTTTTCACATTGATCCCTGCCCTCATCATTGTTTCCCTTTTTTGTGTTTCAATTTGTTACTTGCTCTTTGCAGATTCTTGTGTTGACTGTTTAACTTGCTTGTTTTCAGTCTTTCTTGTTTCGTTAAAAATGTACTTAAAATTATAATTTCTCTTAAGATTTCTTCTGTAATGGTTATTTAATATTTATTTTGCAAACTTATTTTTTACTTTTTTTGTTCCTTTGTTATTAATTTCTGATTTTACTACATAGTATGGTCATAAAAAATTTTCCATATGATGTTGAGCCTTTGGAATGTATTGTGTTTTTCAATATTGTGGCCTATTACCTCATCAATATTTGTGGTTTTAATTGCATTTCTCAGGTAACTAATGATGTCAAGCTGAAGCCGTTTCTTATACTAATTCGCCTTTTGCATCTTCATTTCTCAAGGTTCTATTTCTTTTGTCCATTACTTATTGTGTTGTCTCTTTATTAAACTGTAGAATTAAAAATTATATTTTGTATATACATCATTTGTCAGATATGTGTATTTTAAATATTTTCTTCCTTTTTACCCCAGTAATTTTATATCCTTATTTTAAAAACTATAATTCTCATAGACAGGCTATTTGCTTTTTAAAGCCACTCTGGGAATCTATGGCTTGCCGTTTCATTTTCTTAATGATGTCCTTTGAAGAGCAGAATTTTTTTATGTTTTGTTTTGCCTAACCCTTAGTGGGTTTTGTGTATGGAAAGATCTTTACCATCCTAATGTCATAAAGGTTTTTTCTTCTATCAGCTTTATATTTTTAGTTTTTATATGTAGCTCTATGAATCGTCCTGGGTTACTTTACCTATATATTGTGAGGCCTATTTATTCATTACAGATTTACATTTGTTTCAGCATCATTTGTTGAAAAGATCACACTTTCTGTCTGTATTGAATTACCTTGGTGCTTCTGTTGAAAATTAATTTGTCCTATTGTTAGCTGCACCAAATCCATATGGGTCTGCAGCCACCTTAATTCTTGCCTCCTCAGAAGAAAGAATTTGACTGAGGGGCCATAAGGCAATGCAAGAGACTAAGGCAAGTTTTAGAATAGGAGTCAAAGTTTATTAAAAAGTTTTAGAGCAGGAACAAAAGGAAGTAAAGTACACTGGAAGAGGGCCAAGCAGGTGACTTGAGAGATTCAAGTGCACTGTTTGACCTTTGCCTTGGGGCTTTATACATTGGCATGATTCCAGGGTCTGTGTTACTTCTACCTTGATTCTTCCCTTAGGGTGGGCTGTCGACATGCGCAATGGCCTGTCCGCACTTGGGAGGGGCTGCATGCCCAATGTGCTTATTGAAGTTGTACGCATGCTCACTTGAGGCATTCTTCCCTCACCAGACAAATGTTCCTAGAGCAAGGTCATATACCAGTTAAACGTGCCAGTTTGCCTTTTAGTGCTCATGCTTGAGCCCACTCACCCAACTCCTGAGATCTTATTAGGAAGCCGCTGATCATCAGCTTCAGGTGTTCTCTATCTACTGGGAAACTGCCTTTCCTGGCACCAGCTACAACCAATTATTTTAGAGAGGCAGTTTAAGAACTGTCTAGCCATCACCTGATGGTGTCCTGACATTCCTAGTATAAGGGGGACCCCTCTCCCACTCTGCTCATGTCTGCCTAACTACCTAGTCTAACAATATATGTCCACATACATATCTTAATTCCTTATTCCATTTAATTGATCTTTTTTTCTGTCGTTATATCAGAACCACATTTTCTGATAGCATTTTTGTAAATTTTGGAATCAGGTCCTGTAAATCTTTCTACTTTGTTCTTGGTTTTTTTTTTTTTTTTTTTTTTTTTGAGACAGAGTCTTTCTCTGTCACCAGGCTGGAGTTCAGTGGCGTGATCTCGGCTCACTGTAACCTCCACCTCCCGGGTTCACGCCATTCTCCTGCCTCAGCCTCCCGAGTAGCTGGGACTACAGGCGAGCACCACCACGCCCAGCTAATTTTTGTACTTTTAGTAGAGACAGGGTTTCACCACGTTGGCCAGATGGTCTCGATCTCTTGACCTCATGATCCGCCCGCCTTGGCCTCCCAAAGTGCTGGGATTACAGGCGTGAGCCACTGCGCCCCACCCTGTTCTTATTGTTTTAATAACTATAGGTTCTTTACATTTCCATACAAGTTTTAGACTCACCTGTCAATTTCTGTAAAAATCCTGCTGTGATTTTCATTGGGATGGCATTGAATCTACAAATCAACTTTGGGGCAGGTCACGGTTTAATGTTGAGACTTCCCTGAAACATGAAACATCTATTCATTTACATAGGTCTTTATTCTTTTTCTTCAATATTTTTTGGTTTTCCGTATAGAGGTCTTGCATATTTGTTATTATGTTTTTTCTCTATTTAATGTTTTATTATGCAATTTTTAATAGTATCGTTTTAAATTTCATTTTCAGTTATTCACTGCCGGTATATAGAAATAGAGTTGATTTTCATATATTCACTTTCTGTCATTGGGCCTTACTAAAGGAATTTTTCAGTTCCAGTAATTTTATGTGTATGTACATTCCTTAAAATTTTCACTGTAAGCAACCATGTTGTCTGGGTCGGGAGTGAGGGTGGGGGCAAAAAACAGTTTTACTTCTTCTGTTCTAATGTTTATGCCATATATATATATATATCTTTCTTGCCTTACTGCACTATCCAGGACTGGTAGTTCAATGTTGAGTAGAAGTGGTAGGAGTGGATATTTTCCTGACTTTAGGAGAAAAGCATTCAATATTTCAACATTAATTGTGATATTAGAGTGAGATTTTTTTTAGATAGTTTTATCAGGTTCCCTTCTATTACTAGGAGCTTGTTTTTTTTTTTTCTTTCTTGATCATGTGCTCAATTTTGTAAAATGTCCTTTCTATATCTCTTACAATGATCATAGTTTTTATTTTTACCCATATATTGTTAATATTTTTGTTAATCAGATACAGTTTTGAATGTTGAACTAATCTTGTATTTTTGGGAAAAATACCATATGGTCAAGCTGTATTATCTGTTTATGTATTACTGGGCTTGATTTGCTTAATATTTTGTTACAGCTTTTACATCTTTCTGAGTGATATTGGTTTGTGATTTTTCTTTTTTGTAATATTGCTATCACATTTTGTTATTAGGGTGATAATTGTAAATTGTGTTGTGGTATGCTCCTTCCGCCTCTTTCTTTCTTTTTTTTTCCAAGAACCCAAATTGGCCCTGCTGATATTCATTACTGTCTCTTTTCTATTTCATTGTTTTCTGCTTTATTTTATTGCTTCCTCCTTTCTAATTACTTTGTATTAATTTATTCTATCTGTAGCTTCTTAACTTGGTAGCATAGATCATTCACTTTAAACCTTTCTTACTTTTTTAAATATAAGCTTTTTAAATCTACAGATTTTTTTCTAAGCATTGCCTTAGTAAATCTCACACATTTTTATATGTTATTATTATTTAGTTCTAAATATTTTCTAATTTCACTTATGATTTCTTTGTACCCATGGATTGTTTAGAAGGAATATTCTGAGAGGCCTGGTAATTTCTAGACCTCTTAATATTGATATCTTATTAAATACTTTGTAGACAGGAAACATATTCTATCTGATTTTTAAAAATTTATTAAGATGTTTTTTATTCCAATATATAGTCTGTCTCATTAAATATTTTTCAATGTACTGGACAAGAATGTGTACTATATGAATTTTGCTTTGTTGAGTTTACTATTCAAAATATATTTTAAGTTGAAGTTCACTGATAATGTTCAAATCTTCTGCATTCATACTATCCCCTTGGTCTGTTGTTTTATAATTTCCTAAGAGAGGGGTGTTAAAAATCTCCAACTATGTGAATGGTTTCTATTTTTTCCCCTTATTTCTACTAAGTCTTTGTTTCATATATGTTAAAATTCTTGAGCTTTATTAATGAAACGGCCCTCTATAGTAACACCCCCTTGTCATTATGAAATTACCCTCATTTTCTCTGGTAATATACATTGGCTTGAAGTCTACTTTGTTTGATATTTATATAGCCATACAGGCTTTCTTATATGTGGAATATTTGATGTATTTTTTTCATTCTTTTTTTTAAACTTGCATATATCTTTACATTTAAAGTGCATCTTTTTTAATAGAGCATGTATTTGTTTGCTTTCTTATCTAGTTTAAAAATCTTTGCCTTGTAATTGGAGTGTTACATATATATATATTACAAATATATATATATATAGAGAGAGAGAGAGAGAGAGAGAGAGTTGTTGTTTGTTTGTTTTTTGAGATGGAGTCCCACTCTGTCACTCAGGCTGGAGTGCAGTGGTGCAATCTTGGCTCACTGCAGGGGTGTTACATATATTTAATTTAATTTTTGATATTTGTTTTTAAGTGTGCAATTTTGCTATTTGGTTTCCATTTGTCTCCTCTATTTTGTTTCTCTGTTCCTCCTTTCCTGAATTTTTTAGGTTAAATAATTTTAGTATTATGTTTTATATCCTCTGTAGTCTTTTACCTATATCTTTCATATTATTGGATAATATCCAATATCCAATTATGTTACTGGTCAATATTAGGCTTTGTTAGGGTAGAACTGTTTTTGTTTTGCCTTTAGTTGTAAGGAAAATAGTTCTTCAAATAAGTATTTATTCTTAACTCATGGCCCTTCTGTGATGTCACTAGAAAGCCCAAGTTATTTGCCAAGCCCCCACTATCTGGCAGGACTTAAATTGCAAATTCAAGATAATAATTATTAGCAGCTGAAATATACAGCTGCTGAAATCTCTATTTGGTTCTTTCCGCCTTCCATTGGTTCGTTTTATCCTGTGCTCTTTGGAGTCTTGCCCCATGCATGCATGTACGTACAATTTAAGTGATCAGCCAAGGATTTAAATGCGGGATTCAGGTCTTATTTCTACGCATTTCTTCGTTGTGGATCACCAGTCCCACCCCCTGTTGCTTTTTGCAGTGCTCTGGCAGCCTCAGACTCTGTCCTCTGACTCTTCATACTAACCAGACTGGATTTCTGCTTGAATTCCACCTATCTTGTCCTAAGGGAAAAGATGTATAAAAGTAGATCTTACCCAGTGTGTTGTTTTTTTTTCTTTCAAAGGTCAGTTTCCTTCTTCATTTGGTTTCCCTTCAGTGCCTTCAAAAAGTTGTTTTTATGTTTTGTGTGGAGCTTGTACCTATTTTCAGCAAAGTGTTAGTCTGTTATAAGCTACTCCACCATTATTAGAAGTCAGAACTTCTCTGAGGGTCTTGATTGGTGGGCTTATACCATTTATAATGACTTTAAATACTGTTACATCAGGACTTATTCCTGTTATCTTAGTCATATATATTTTCTGTTTATTATGTTTTCTTTTTGTTTTACTTTTTCTTCTTCTTTTCTGATTTCCTTTGTACACATCACATTTTCTTTTGTTTAAAAGACACTAGTTCAACATTATGTGATTCTCCCTAACTTATTAAAGTGCACTCTTCTTTTTTATTTTTCTCTATCGGTGTCTTAATTTGTTATCCATAATTCTATCAAGAAGAATACAATGGCATACCTATTCTTGGTGTCTTTCACCATCCCTGTTATTTTTAGTTCTTTGCTACTAAGGTCATTTTTTTCAGGTTTGAGCATGAGGAAGGGATACAATAACCTGTTCTAGTTTACCATTTTGCTATAAATTGCAAAAAGCTGTTTTTTAAAAAAATATATATATAATGTACATATATGTCATTTTTTAAAATAGGAAAAGCTAATAAAGAAATAGCTTCTAAAGGAAGGTTACTATAGAACTGGTAAGCATAGGGTATTTTTAGTAGTCAGTTATTCCTTTTTGGGCAAACATTAGGGGAAACAAAACAGGTAAAGTCTTCATTTGGAAATTAAGGTAAATTCTCTTAACTCCTAGCATATTGCCTGTTTGTTATATATTTTGCTTTAAATTTGTCATCTACTGAATAAAATCTACTCTCAAGAAATGTTATTGAGATATTCTATAGAACAAAGGAATAGGACTATGAATAGGACTTCTGAAGTAGAAAGGAAGATAAGCGTATAACATTCCCAGAGACGCTTCAGAGAGGTATCTAAGAATACTATCTAAAGCTGCCTGGATTTATGGCCCCGAAAAGCAGTCTTCACTCAGGGGAATAGCAACATTTCTGGTTGCCCATAAATGGAAGGGAAAAACTAAAAGACAGTGAAAGGGATAAGGGGGAGAAAATCTAGATTGTTGGCTACAATGTCTATTCCATACTCTTTATGTTTCTACAGAGGACAGAATGTACACACTGCACCTGAGGAAGGAAAAATATGGAAAGAACACTACCCATTTTTCTATGCCTCCCAAGTCATTCCTCTCCTGGATTTAAAGTTACCTATCTTAGTCTGTGCCTGGTACTATAACAAAATACCATAGAATAGGTAGTTTATAAACAGTAGAAGTTTATTGCTTTCTGTTTTGGAGCCTATGAAGTCCAAGATCAAGATGCCAGCAGATCTGCTGTCTGGTAGAGGCCTGTTTTTCATAGATGGTGCCTTCTGTGTGTCCTCTCTTGACAGAAGGGGCAAAAGGGCTTCCTCAAACTTTTTTTTTTTTTTTTTTTTTTTTTTTTTTGAGACAGAGTCTCACTCTTGTTGCCCAGGCTGGAGTGCAATGGTGCAAACTCAGCTCACTGCAGCCTCTGCCTCCCGGCTTCAAGCCATACTTCTGCCTCAGCCTCCCGAGTAGCTGGGATTACAGGCACCTGCCACCACGCTCAGCTAATTTTTTTGTATTTTTAGTAGAGATGGGGTTTCACCATGTTGGCCAGGCTGGCCTCGAACTTCTGACCTCAAGTGATCCACCCACCTCGGCCTCCCAAAATGTTGGTATTACAGGCATGAACCACTGCGCCCAGCCCAGACTTCTTTTATAAGAACTCTAATCCCATTTGTGAGAGCTCTGTCCTCATCACTTAATCACTTCCTAGAGGCCCCATCTATTAATACCAAGTTTCTACATATGAGTTTTGGGGGGACACATTTTGACTATAGCATTACCTGAAAGGTGAGTTACAGAGTAGGAATTCAGCATGCCCCGTTCTTCCAGATTTGCCTGCCAGTAGTTTTCCATCTATGCCAATGGATAAGTTTAATCCTGCAGTAGAGTATTAGCCAACCCCTCTGGCATCAGATATAAAGCTATATTCTTCAATCAGACTGAACAGTAAAGCATTGATATCTTTTTATCCCCTATCTGCCTGCTTCATTTGCCTTTTAATTTGTTTTGGAACTTGTGAGAAGTGCTATTTATCTATCTATTTAAACCTCAACAAGATATTTCTGCATTCAGTCAATTTGTATGATGATCAAAATGAGAGTAATATTTCAGAGCACTAAAAAGAGTACAAATGAACCATTGATACGTGCAGCAACTTGGCTGGGTCTAAAGGGCATTATTCTGAGTGAAAAAAGCTAGTTTCAAAAAATTTCATAGTGTATAATTCCATTTATATAACATTCTTGAAAGGACAGAATTATAGAGATGGAGAACACATTAGTGGTGGCCAGGGGATAGGGATAGGATGGAGGGAGTAGCATAAGGGTGTTCCCTGGTGGGGTTAGAAGAATGCTGTTTCTTGATTACAGTGATGGTTATCAGAATCTACACAGGGACTACACCTATGTAAAACTATATATATACATACATACATACACATGTACAAATGAGTGCATACAAAAGCTGGCAAAATCTGAATAAGGTCTGTAGTCTGTATAAGGGTATCATACTATTGTAGTTTCTTGGGAAGATTATTATAATTCCAAAAGACACAATTCCAAATGCCATAATCCCAAAAGATAAAATTCCTTCAGTCTAAAATCCCCAAAATCACAATCCTGAAAGATAAAAATCCCAAAAATATAGTTCTGGAAAAAATAATTTAAAAATTCTTTAAAAGATATGTATTTGCATTTTAAAAGGGGATTTATTTATGAAACATATAAAAACATGACAGAACACTTCATAGGTTACCTTACACAATAAAATACACAATACTAACATAGATATTTTGTGTAAGCACTAAGGTATACACACAATAATTGCATGGGTATAACAGTTATGAGCAGATAAACCCTATTCATAAAGAAATAGGTAAAAAGGGAAATAATGAGTGCATATCATTGTGGTTTGTAACCGTGTGCACCCAGCTTTGTACCTGTGGTCATCTGAAATACTGTGATGAACAATCTAAGTCTTTTGAGGAGATTAGTTAAAAAACTAAGATGGGTCACCACAACATATACAGTCACACAAATTGCTGAGATCTTGAGAAATGTTATTTTTTACAAATGCACGTGTACAAAAAGTACATCTCTTTATTGAGGAAATTTCAGTGTTTTTATGTACATGCACAAATGCTTACAAACAAAAATTAACATTGTGATAATGCACTTTCGTGGAGTCTCTTGCAAAAAAATGCGTAAAACTAATTGGAACCCTCTAAAGGTCTCTACAGTTTTGTACCTCCAGTATTGAAATGATGTGAAGATGAAATACATAGCAAGTGAATTGTAGAAAATAATGCTGATAATTTTAAAGAGTGAAAAACTAAAATAATAAGAAAAAATCTTTTAAAATTCCATGTGTGAAAAAGTGTATTGCAAGAATAGATTGTGGACAGTTGCCTGGAGATAGTTTATAAGAGTTGGGTGACTTTCACAATCATTATATCTTAAAGTCTTGTATCATGATGAATAGCTGAGGTTTTTCTTTCAAGACACAGCTCTCCTTAAATCATATTCAATTTCCAAATAAAGACAGTAAGAAGGTAATAGTTTCATCTAACATGATACAACTATCATGTGACTATAATTTTCAGAATTTTGGACTTTAAGATTTTGATTTAAAGGGCGTTTGATATTTAGGGATTTTGATCCTTTGGGATTTCAACATTTGGGATTGTATCTTTCAGGATTATGATCCAAACCAAGTTTCCTGGATTTGATAATTATGTTGAGATGTTACCATCTGGGGAAGCTGGCTAAAAGAACATGGAACATTTGCAACTTCCTGTAAATTGATAATTGTTTCAGAATAAAAAGTCAAAAATAACTGTGCAAACATTGTCACTTAATCTCAACCACTTCTCACCTAACAGATAGCAAGCAGGGAGATGAACTATAATGTATAAAGCGAGACATGCTACCAGACTCTTTTCAGAAATAAATTTGGTCCCAGCTTAAAGTCATGATGTAAACAATCTCGAAAACCCAAGAAAATATCCCACTAAATAATGAATTTCTAAAATTCCATTTATCTCTTCTTGAAGCTTGTTCATTTAACTCAAAAGAAGTTTTATTTTCCCCCTTACTAGATGGAATTATTGGCTGTCTTGCTTCTTGGTTTAAAAACCCAATTCTTATGAAACTCAAACTCGTTTATGAATGTACAAGTGAGTTTTCATTTAGTAGTGGCTCTAATAAAAGTCAAGATGCTTTTTAAAAACAAACAATTGTTAACAGGTACAAAAATACATTTGGATAGAAGGAATAATATCAAGGGTTTTGTAGTACAGTAGGGTGACTATAATGAACAATTAATATATAGTTCAAAATAGAAGAATTGGAATGTTGCCAACATAAAGCAAAGATAAATGTTTGAGGTGATGGATATCTCAGTTATCCTGATGTGTTATACATGCATACACATTGTACATATGTTTCAAAATATCACATATTCCCCAAAAATATGTACAACTATTATGTATTGTTTTAAAAAAGAGAGAAAATAAGCCAAATAAGTGATTGTTCGTGGGGAAGGAAGTGCAGACTTTAAAACAATTAATGGTTTTGGTAACTATTCTTCTCTGCACAAGTATTAACCAGTTTTCACTCTTTAGCAGTAATATATACTTCAAGCCCTAAATATTCAAAACATGAACTAATTTTTCTTCATTATTGAAATCTCTGTATGCAAACCTAGTAGCATTTGAAAGCTAATCTCCCTATGTGCCAAAGTAATTACAGCAAAGTAAATAATCTCCAGTGTTCTTATTCCCTATAGAAATGGTTTAATATCTTATCTTTCGAAACTGGTTTTCAGCTCATTCAAAAAGCCTGAGAAAAGTTCTTTAGTATTCAGAAAAGGAGTAACTTTAAGAACGCTCTGTTGCATATCTGCCCTCTAGCAATCCCGATTGTGCTGGGGTACCATTCTAGAAGGAGAAAAGAATTCTTTCTACTTCTTTTTGCTAGCATGGGTTGTGTGTTCCTCTGTAGAGCACCAAATCAGACTCCTGAACCAGAAGTGTATAAAAACGAAGTGATCTGTTTGACTTGTTGATGATTCCATAGGAGGCATTCTTCCCTCAAGTCATTTCTTAGCTGATGCCTCAGTGCGATATGAGGGGCCACTGCACTTTTCCATGATACTACTTGGAGGGCCTGAGCAACCATGCTGATTTATCACCCACTGGGATTTTTTGTCCTTTACAAGGTTTGCAGTGTTTGTCCCAGTATCTGCACAAGCTCCAGAATTAGTCATTATGCAATTGCTTCCCAAGTTATGAGGCAGTCATCAGCTGGGATGAGCTCTTTGCTTCTCTGTCTGAAATGTTGGATATCAGTGCCAAAGAGAGTCTTGCTTTTTAAACTGTGAAATTGTTTTTCACAGGCTCTTTACTAGTGTATGGGCTGGAAGCTATGCCTTTTTTTCCGCAAAAGGTTAAAACTGTAAGAAGAGTTTCTCAGCATATATGACTCATGTTCTTTCTAGAGTAAGATCGTTGGGAGACATTTAGTTTTGAATAAATATATCTCTAGTGAAGTGTGCAGAGACTTGACATGTGCTATTTGCAGTTTTCAGCCTCTTATAATTTTGTGAAAAGTGCAGTGTTGATTGAAAGTTTCTATTTTTGATCATGGTGTTAAGATCATTGTTTGTTTTACTTCTTGCCTCAATAAAATATGAGGTAAAAAAAAACTTCATTTTTGTGAATTTTTATATGTGTTAAAATTGTAGTATTTTAAATTTTCAAAAGATGCCTTTCTATAATATGGTTTAATTGTTTAAGTTTTAGCTCACAGTCTATTTTTATAACCACTGAGTTTTACATTTTATTATTTATGCTGTGATTTGGCATTCTGTAAAGTTTCTGATATGTGCTGGCTACTCTAACAGTTAGGGTCTTTGGAGGTCTGTATTTCCAACTTTATATAATTGATCTTTTCTTTGTTTTTACTGTAGCTTCCAGGTCAAGATTGAATGTGTTTACCAAAAGGTACTTATGTAGGAGTTGTGATTCTTACGTATTGGTTGCTGAAAACTAAAGGGGCTTTTGAAGGCAGGATGACAAGCAAAGCATTATTTGTAATAGAGCATCACTGTTGGATATGGTAAAGTAAAATTTTAGGTGAAAACCAGTGACACAAAGGGATTCCCTGATGACTCACCCATTTTTTTTGAGTCCACTCCTTCATTTTCTCTGATCTCCTTCTCTCCTGCTTCATCATTACTCTCTGCTGATATACAGAGTGTTTGAATGTATCCACCACCGTATCTTCTTTTTCTCTCTTCCTTCTTTGCCCTGCCAAATGTGAATGTACTGCAAGGCCCTATCCTTTCCTTCCTCAATGCTGATTCTGGTGTGATGGAGCATCTGGAAGCTTAGCTTCAGTCAGTTTGTGAGCCTTTCCTGAACAGGGCAGAAGGAACAATAGAAGCTTCATCTACAGTAAGTAGCATATGGGGACCCAAACCAGTCTTGCTCCTGTAAACCAGGTGTTGACAGAGGGGAGGTAGAGTTACTTCTGGTTACTCGTATTCAGACCATCCTGTATCCTTCCAGCAAAGCCTATCAGATCTGTCCAATTTGTGTGAACTAGAGTCTTTCTGGAATCCCGTCCCTTTGGATGGAACTTGTCTATTTTGCCCAGGTCCTGCTAGTTCTGGAGAGGCTGAGTTCTGTCCTTCATCTCCTGATCCCGTGGCAGGTGATCTGTCCTGATATGGCTAGCCTGTGACTGGAAATTCCTGCTGCTGTGCCTGACTTTCTAGATTAAACTTCCTAGTTATCAGCTCTGGCCTGATTAAGCCTGTGTTTGCACTGTCCTTCAGAACATTGTAGTTGAACAGCCAGCTCCCTTCCTCAAGGTTGAGCCCTAAAATTTGGTCAGTTTCCCAAGCCCTTGCATGGCCTTGTCCTGGTCTTCTTTGTTCTGCAGTGGACTGAGTTTCCTCTTTGAGGGTAAGTTATAACAGGCCACTTTTCTTCTCCCTGTGTTCCCACTGAAGGCTTCAGCAATGACCTCTATTAGGAAATATATTTCTTAAGCTCCAATTCTATATTTTATTTGCTTAATGGACCCTACCTACATATGTTCCCCTGATAGCTTAAACCCAATCTATGTCTAAAATTGAACTCATTTCCTTCCCGCTCCTACTAGTTCTTCCTTCAGATTTGACCATCCTTTCTGTTAATGGCACAGTGGTCTATCCCATCTTCCATGCCAAAAACGTAGAGTCATCTTGTATTCCACCTTCTAAATCACCTTTCATATTCAATGTTAATTGTTTCATTTCTTTTGTATCTTTTTCCAGCTCCTCATTTGTATGTTTCACTCTGTGCCTTTCTTTATACAGTTGCCTCTGCCTGAGATGCAACTCCTCATTTCTGCTTGTTTAAGACATTTTTATCCTTCAAGAGCCAGTGAAGATGGTTTCTGTTCCAAAACCATCTTCTCTGATATGGCCAGCTGGAAATATTCTTATATATTCTTAAAAAAAAAAAAAAAGCAAAGGAATCTCAAAAATGTGTCCTGTCATTATTTACGTACGTCTTGAATTGTCCTGGTTATAGTTTAAGCACCTGAGATAAAGGTCTAAGTGCGTGCATCCATGTGTTGTTTATTGCTATATCATATCAAAACCCACCCAGATCTTCCTAAATTGTTCTCTGAACTCCAGGTATCATTGCTAACTAGCATGGATATCCTTTCGGTGTGCCCTATAGCACCACATTCTGTGGCTCCCAAGCTCAGCCACTGTGTATTTGTGTCTACCTATAATGGCTAAAAATTGTCCACTATGTGTAAAATATCTTTTGAAGTATCCCAATTACTTTCCCAGCTGAGCCCCCAAAAACCAGAAAGCAGACACAGAAGGAACCAAAATATATCAAATAGCAAAGAAAATGGCACAACCACTTTGGAAAACAATTTGGCAGTTCCTGAAAAGGTTAAACGTAGAGTTACCACATGGCCCAGTATATCTCTTAGCTATGTATCCAAGAGAACTGAAAACATATTTCCATACAAGTACCTGTACATGAATGTTCATAACAACATCAGTCATAATAGCTAAACAGTGGGAAGAACCCACATGTCCATCAACTGATGAATAGATAAACAAAATCTGGTATTAATATATCTATACCATGAAATATTATTCTGGCATCAAAAGGAATGAAATACCAACACATGTTGCAACATAGATGAACTTTGAAGACATTATGCTGAGTGAAAGAAGCTAGTCACAAAAGGCTACATATTATATAATTTCATTCATATGAAATGTCTAGAATAGCCAAATTCATAGAAACAGAAAGTAGAGTAGTAGTTATCATGGGTTGTAGTGGGGGGATGGGGAGTGACTACTGATGGATATGGGGTTTCTTTTGAGGATGATTAAAATGTTCTGGAATTAAATAATGGTGATAATTGCCGAACTCTGTGAATATATTAAAAATCACTGAACCGTACACTTAAAAACGGGGAATATTTAGGGTATGAGGATCATATTTCAGTAAAACTGTTATTTTGTAAAAAGTGAAGAAAAAAATGAGGCCGGGTGCGGTGGCTCACGCCTGTAATCCCAGCACTTTGGAAGGCTGAGGCGGGCCGATCATCTGAGGTCAGGAGTTCGAGACTAGCCTGGCCAACATGGCGAAACCCCGTCTCTACTGAAAATACACAAATTAGCTGGGCACGGTGGTGCATGCCTGTAGTCCCAGCTACTCAGGAGGCTGAGGCTGGAGAATTGCTTCAACTCGGGAGATGGAGGTTGCAATAAGCTGAGATCACGCCACTGCACTTCAGCCTGGGTGACAGAACAAGACTCTGTCTCCAAAAAAAAAAAAAAAAAAAAAATTAGATTTTTTTAAAAGTAAAAGGAGAATGGGTCTGAATATGTTTTGTTGAACCAAGGTGAGCCCTCTGGCTGTGATTAGGTCAGTTAAAGCACTTTGATGGATGAGGAGATCAAGGCTCAGAGAGGTTAGGTAACCCCTACTTAGATCCCTGCAGTGTGTGGTGGGAATGGAGTAAAGAACCATTTTTTTTTTTTTAAATATGAGCTTATTCTGCTAATCATGGGTTACCTTCTCAGAAGAGCATGCAGTTCACATCAGGTGTGTCTTTGTGAACATATCACTCTGCGGGGCCTGGTGACTGCAGGAGATTGAAGTCTAGATGTGCTCAGGACTAAGCCCCACTCACTCAGGACTAAGTCTGCCTTGCAGGATCTTGAAGTGTGCCATCGATGTGTGTGGTTAGTGCTTGTGCTCTTCTCACTGTGACTTGTGTTTTCTATCGTCGCAAGAAACAGAATGGTTGCTGGCCTTGCCTTTGAGAAGAGAATGTTTGGGGCACATGCTTAGGGCTGGCCTTAATTTCTTAGACAAAATGCAGCAGACAATTAAGGGGAAGATTTTAGTTAAGCTCTTTCAAGGGGGAGAATGTTCAATAATGAGGATTGTCTCAAAGAAACGGGAGAAAACTTGGGTTTTATAAAACAAGGAAGTCACTGAGGAAGGGTAGAAGTGAGTCTTGTCTTGGAATAGGAGAGGGCAAAGTGGTCCCTTGCAGCCAGTGACTGCTTTAACCACATCTCTTCTAAGATTAACCATAAATTAAAATTTTGCCTACTTCTACCATATGTGGCATTATAAAAGTGACAGCAATCTTCAAGTATCACTCAAGGGAATATATTATCATCCCCTTTTTACACAATTGGCATACGACTCACTCATTTACTTCTCAGTGATCAGTTTTAAAGGAAACTCAAAAGACAACCTACCAGAGAGTAAAAGAAAGAGAAGGACTGACTTGTGTGAATTGCATTGTGTGAGTGTCCTGGCAAAGTGACTGCTAAGCCAGACCCAGTGCAGGTGGGAAAGCATAAACTCAGCAGGAGAGGAACTTTGGAGAGATGTGATGGAATTATTTTTCATAAGAGCTGAGGGAGTTACTTTTGAACATAAGAAGTGGTCAAAATTTCCAGGCTTGGGGTTGTTAAGACTGATTTTGTTCTAGCACAGACTAGCTCAATAACAAATTAGTCTCTCTCTCTGTTTTTTTTTTTTTCCCCTAAGTTTAATTTCCATGATTTTACCATATGGAAACTCTGACTTTTAAAATGAACTTGCTCCATTGAGCAGGCTTGGTGCATTTTTCAAATGTTTCTTGACATTAACAGCTCTATTTCTCAATTAGCAAAGGGAATAAAGTTGATTATGCATATCCATGGGGTGACAATTTACATCGGATTAGCAGCTCTAAGGTAAACATTAAAAGGTCACTATAAATAACTTTTACTTCTTTTGTTCTCAGGAAGACCAGTCACCAAGTCCTAGCTTCCCCATACTCCCTATGGTTGATAAACCCTATTTTAAAATGATGGACTTGAACTAATATTGGGTAATAAAATTTATAATATTGGGTAATAAAATGAATTTAAAGCTTAGTCGACATTTTTGTTTGTTGGATTTTTCTGCCTATGTTACTGATACCCTTCTGTTTTGTGAGAATTATTGGCTAATCATAGACATGATTATTGTTCATATGAGAACATGCATATAAACTTGCAACATGTCCTGGTAACCTGTGCATGCGTTTATCCTTAGAGCTGAAAGGCCATCCAACATTTTTTGTGACAAAAGATGGGCAAACTTTCAGAGACAGAGAAAGGAAATTAGCTTCACCTTTTCTATTATAAGAATGATCAGAGTTGAATGGATATGAAACAGTTCATTCTTGTTTCACGGCCACTGGAATTAGAATAGTAGCTGACTGTTTTGTGTATGAGAAAGATTCAGAAAAGGAAAACTATAGTGTTAACTGTCCAGGCAGTCTATGGTATTTTGTTAATTGGATTTGTCAAACTTTGTACAAGCTGGACTTTATGAGTGTTCCTTGGTTGTGGTTGGTATAATTTAGTTAAAATGGCAGCTTTTTTAGACATGTGACTCTTCTCTATCCATTCACACAAACATTGGTTTTTGTCTTTCTCCATTCTTATTAAACAGTAGAAATAATTATATTGTTCATAATAATTTTAATTATAAAAGTATACATGCTCTTTGAAAAAAAATCAGATAATTCAAAAATCTATGTATAGGAAAGAAGGTATAAAGAAGGAATTCATAGTTCCACCTCTTAGAGATGATGATTTACATTTTGAGAAATATCCTTCTAAGTTTTTTTCTTGTTGTACATGTAAGCACACCTATTTAAAAACACAACTGTGTTATAAATTGTTTTCAAATATAGTTTTTAAAATAAATTTATAACATAGGTGTAGCTTTTTTTGTAAATATGCGTGTTATTGATTTTGATGGTACATGATACTGTAATATAAAGAGCTACTATAATTTAAGAACACCTCATTGATAGATGTTTAGGTTGTTATTTAGGATACATTCTGGTGAAAATTCTGGGTCATAATTTTTAATATGTACTCTTAAACTACTTCCTGCAAATTTTTATCAGTTTACTCTCAGCAGTATTTAACAGTGCCCATTTTCCCACGTCTTCAATAACTCAGAGTATTTTTTAAAATCTTTGTTATTCTGTTATACAAAACATGTAAAATTTGAACTTCTTTGGGAATTTGAAAATTTTACATAAATTTAGAGGCAATTTGTATGCCTGTTCATGTCATTTGTTTTGCTTTTTCTAATAGGAGGTTTGTCTTTTTTGTGTTGGTTCAAAAGAGTTCTTTATATATTAGGGAGATTAGCCCTCTACATATAAATCAGTTTATACAAAGTAAATTAGATGTCAGGCAATGTGCTAAATATGCAGTTTTCTCTATTTGTTGATTGTCTTCTTACTTGGATTTATAGCATTTTTTTTTCCCAATTGAAAAGCTACTTATTTGTGCAATCAAATGTATCAATCCTTATAGTTTCTGGCTTTTACAATTATACTTGGAAAAACTTTCTCCCCTTGGATTATAGAAATTGTCCATTAAATTTTCTTCTAATTCTGTGATTTTAAAAAACATTTAAAGATTTAATCTTTCTGGAATTAATTTTGGGGGAAGATACTTAGTAAGAATCCAAAATTATTTTTTCTGTATGTTAACTTGTTATCCCAACACCATTATTTCAGAATCCGTGGCTTTTCCAGTCATCATACACTAAGTTCCCCTGGATCCTTAGGTCAAGTTCTCTTTCCTCCATTCTGTTCCATATGTCAATTACCATCCACTAATTCAGAGATAAAAAAGTAGATTCACATATAGAAGTATTAGAGTTCACTCACAGAGTTAGGTAGAGAGTGTTTGGAGAGGATTAAGAATGAGTCCAGATGGCCAGGCACGGTGGCTCATGCCTATAATCCCAGCACTTTGGGAGGCTGAGGTGGGTGGATCACAAGGTCAGGAGATTGAGACCATCCTGCCTAACACGGTGAAACCCCATCTCTACTAAAAATACAAAAAATTAGCCAGGCGTGGTGGCACGTGCCTATAGTCCCAGCTAGTTAGGAGGCTGTGGCAGGAGAATCGCTTGAACCTGGGAGGCGGAGATTGCAGTGAGCCAAGATCGCGCCACTGCCCTCCAGCCTGGGTGACAGAAAGAGACTCTGTCTCGGAAAAAAAAAAAAAAAAAAGTCTGTGGGCTTCCAGGAGATTATCCCTGAATGAACATTAAACATATAGTAGGAATGAACCAAGGGAGGGTGGGGTGATTAATGAGGAGGTACATACTAGGCAGAGACTTGAGTGTGAAAGTCTCTTAGGTGAGGACTAGCAGCTGTGTGTGTATGGTGTGAAATGTGTGACAGAAGTCATGAGAAATGAGGTTGTAACCAGGGAATAAATGTAGATTTATTCTCAGATGGTGTAATTGTTGTGAGGGTTTATACAAAGGCATGATACTATCTGATTGGTGTTTTAGATAGTTTTTTTTTTTCTTTTCATGGAAGACGAGTAGGATGGATTCCAGAGAAATTAGGCAGTAGGCAAGAAGATGACGAGAGGTACTAGTCTAAGTAAGGAGTGATGGGCACCCGGACTAAGATAGGGGTGGTGGGGGAGAGAACAGAGGCAGATGAAAGACTTGTTTTGGTACTTACTTATGAAAAATGATGCTGATGGGAGAGTGAAAGGTGGTCCTAAGTTTCACAGTATTGGTAAATGGTTTTGATTTTCTAGACATAGAGGAGACAAGATTGTCTTGTGAAGAGAAGGAGATGGCAGGGTTGACTTTGTGGCTTTAGAAGAATGGCAGAGATGAGAGAAGGATCTGACTAAACAAAGTTGATGGAGTTCCAGCCTAGTTGCCAATTGAAGGCTAGATAAAATGTCCAAATTGTGAATTTTGCATTCACATACTCTTTTGAACAAATGCCTAAGAAGTTTCACAGGCTATGTACACATGGTGTTGGCGAACTCTTGCCCTTCTCCCACCTCAGACTAGCTGAGAGGTTCTAAAATCTTCTAAACTATATATTTAACTTAGCCAGTGGGAAACAAGTAGTGGTTTCTCAGTTTCATACATTATCTGCATCACCAGCTAAATTTCTAGATGTGCTTTGCAGATGATATTTGAAGCTAGGAGACGTTGAATAATGATGACCCTATAAAAGTAGCAATAAGAAAGACTTGTTGGAGCTGACAGAAAATCTCCTCACAGAAGCCAGAAATGCTGCTTGCGGAGTTTTTCCTTGCTTATATCCACTGGCTGGTCTCTTTCAAATCAAACGAAAAATTAATTTTGCTAATTGGAAGGCTATTTCCAATGGTTAAATTCATTCCTGATATGAGTTACAATGTGAAGACGAGTAAAGGAAGAGTAAAATGCATATGATTTGTGCTACTGAACTGCCAACTGGGTGTCATTAAGTAAGGAAATATGGGTAGCATTGTCACCATCCTCAATTATATTTATTGAACACCATGGTGTTCAGACTTATAAATAGTCACTTGGTCAAGCTGAGTACACTAATAATTTATGCTGGGCAAGTAGAAGAGGTTACTAATTTTGTTTTTTCTATGAGTGCCTCCTGGGCAGCTTTTTTTAATCTGCTTGTCTTTTTTTTTTTTTTTTTAACTTATTTATAAGCAAGGCTGGATGTTCTTTTGCTAAAAAGAGTGTTCTAAATACAAAAATCTCAGAACTCCCATGGTTGTCCTGAATACCTTACATTCTAAAGAGAGAGAGAAGAGGCTAGATTGATGGATACCACTCTGTTAGTTGGTAACATGCCAGCAAGATTTCAGATCTCCCTTTTCCTAGCTGAGATCTCTTGGAGGAAGAGCCAAGGAACAGGGGATGGATGTTCTGGCCTGGATTTTTCATTCAGGCTACAGACTCTGTTGTATTCTCTAATAATGGAGAAGGACTTAAAATGTTATCAGGGTGAAGTCTAGCTTCTTTTCCTTGGTCTTTCCACTGAGAGCCAAGAACAGACATGCAAAGTGGGATGGTTTGGGTGGTGGAGAAGAAGCCTTGGGCAAAGCAGAGAGCATGGAAAATTGCAAAAAATGGAAGTGAAAAAGAAATGCATTTGATAATGAATCCTTTGAGTGTTGAGTGTGTGTATACAACGACAGATGTATATTCATATTTATATTAAGTTCATATGTGTATAAGATCACATAAAATGTTTGATGCAGAATATACATTTCTCCTATAGAGAGAGCTTGATTTATGGACACAAAAGTAAATGGAAAAAATGAATATTATGACACATAGCCCTAAAGCAGTCCATCTGCATGGTAATGAAAATCTGGCTTTTTCGAGAAGCTGATTTTGCCATTTTCTCTTAAATCCAATTTGGCTTATTTTTCATCTAAATATCAGAGGCACCAAATAATGTCAGCTTGTCAGAGATGTGCTCAGTGCTTAATGATGAAATTTGTACTCACATTTCTACATACATTGATTAAGTATCTAACACAGTCTCGTTTTATTTTTGTTTTGTCATTCTTCTACTTTGCTGGATCTTCCTTTTACCTCTTCAGTGTATCTTCTAACATTGGTGTTCTTTGGAGCTCTGACCTTGGTCTCATGCTTTATAGTTGCCTGAATCACTTTTATTCATTTTCATGCCTTCTTGACCTCTCTATGTATTTTTGACTCTGGTGGTAGATCCTGGTAGCTGTTCACCAAAATTCAGTCTACTCCTGATCCTAGAAACAAACACAGCTAGACTGCATTTGTCACCTCTCTGGAAGTTCGGATCCCTCCATAGAAACCTCCTACAAATGCTTGTCTCTGAACTTTCCTCCTTTTGGCTGAGTAGGATGGATGCTGCCATCAGATGGGCTCCTGGAACAACTGTCCTCCCCCAGCCCTGGCCTGAGTTCTGTCATCATATGAGAAAGAAATACTTATTACTGAAGCCACTGATTTTTGTGGCCTGTTAGTATATTTTAGATGACCCTAACTAAAACAACTTACCTAGAGCCCAGATCTTTTTTCCTGAAACTGAGATCCAACTGTCTAACTGCTTATTAGACACATCTTGGGTGATATATTTCAGGTATATTGAACTCAGCTTGTCTAAAACTGGTCACTGCCTCCTTCCCTCTGACCCTGCTCCTTCTCCTGTGCCCCTTTCTCTGCAAATAGTAGCCCCGGACAACCAGACGCTGAGTTCACATACTTGGGAGCCATTTTTACTATTCTGATTGCCACACTCCTCATTTAATCCAGGAGTTGGCATGCCCTAGCCTTGGGTCGAATTTGGCCTATGGCCTGTTTTTTTGTAAATAGGTTTTTATGGGGACACAGGCATGCTCATTCATTTATATATTGTCTATGTCCACTTTCTCACTAAACAGCAGAGTTGAGTAGTGGTGACAGGAACCATATGGCTGGCAAAGGCTAAGCATTTCTTATCTAGTCCTTTGCAGATAAATTTTGCCAACCTCTCATCTGGTCAATTGCCAAGGCCTGCTAATTCTGTCTAGTATTCTTTTGAACCCATCCACTTCTTTCCATTTCAAATGTCACCATTACCATCTTCATCTGGACTACTGAAATAGCATCCTAAGTGGTTTCTACACATCTAGTCTCACAGTTTTATAATCCATTCTCCATATGGCACCACAGTAATCTTGCTAAAAGGAAATGTTGAAGGTCTACTTGTTGCAGTTAACCTCCCGTTAATGATACCACTCCCAAATCTATGTGACTTTACCTACAACCCAGGTCTCTCTCCCAAAACTCGGATCCAAATGTCACTACCTTGGTTAAAATCCTCCAAAGGCTTCCCATTGCCCTTAGGATAAGGGCAATGGGAAAATAGCTGGAGCCTGAGTTTGCCTTCTCACTTAAACACTAGCCCTCCTCAGTAGCTTTGAGTATTTTGTTTATATTGTGTTCTCTCTAGTTTCTGGGTCTCCTCCTCCCCCTTCCTACATTCTCCTTTCACCTGGATAAGTCTCACTTATCTCTCAGGTCAAAATGTAAAAGGTATGTTGTCTAGAGGCTCTTCCTGATCTCCAGATTGGCTTTGGTTTCCTTCCTGTGTGGCCCATAGCACCCTGTGCTTCATCTGTCATTATAGTTACTACATTTGATTGGCCTTATGATTTATCTCTCTTTCTCCCACTGACTGT
The DNA here is from genome assembly GCF_000001405.40 of Homo sapiens. NCBI lineage: Eukaryota > Metazoa > Chordata > Mammalia > Primates > Hominidae > Homo > Homo sapiens. The sequence continues at coordinate 43,687,740 of NC_000013.11, read as the reverse complement.
AAATTCTGCAAGAGGAAGGGCCACGGATGTACTGAGTCTTGCTGAATATCCAGCCTCCATCATGCTTGGAACATAGCATGCACTGTAGGGTAATATCAAGTGATGTTTCCCGCCCTCCTCTCTCTCCTGCAACTTAAAATAAGAAGAGTGCCTTCTTAGAGTAAGGATTTTAATTGACCTAATTAAGTTCAAAGAAAATAAGTGATTAAGGGAGCCAATCATGAAATAGGCTGGCTTGGTGGGTACAAGTGGGGAAGAGACAAACTCTGTAGAATACAAAAGCAGAGGAAACTATGAGATACATGTGTAACCACACATACGACACTCATTCAGTAACTGCCAGAACATCTGAGACACCCAATACTCCAGATTGACATGATCCATTCCCCCGTCCAATATGACTGTGTCAGCCATTTTCAGTCACAAAGAATAGAGGAAAAAGAACATTACTTTTGTCCTAGTTAGAGAGAGCCCTTGAGCAAATGCCATTTATTCAACCTTTCATTTGTTTGTTTAGCAAATATTTGTTAAATGTGATACCAGATGCTTGGAATACAAATGGTAAGGGAAAAAAGGAGTTATTACACTAGTGAGAAGGCAGACACCTAAAATCTAATTATAGGACAATATGGTAAGCATTGTAATTTAGCAATTTGTACAAAGTGGTGTGAGAGCACAGAGGAGGAATCAAATTCCGTCGTTACCTATTTCTGGCAACATGAAAATGGAAATGTATATATACTTTTTTGTGAGGAGCGGAGGAAGTGAGTAAAGTTCACTTCTCTTGTGCTTTGGTTTTGCATGAGTAGTTTTTCATTGCTGCCTTTTCTACCTTTCTTTGGGGCTGTGATGGAGAGAGTATGCTGTTTTCCACGAGTTTGCTTGGCAGATAGGATAATTCATGCTGCAGGACTAGCATTAGCAGCATTTCTTTGACATACTCGGATGAGTCATAGGAGAGAAGACAGACACTGTTCCCATGATGTCACCACCCCTCCCTGACCTCCCCAAGGAGACACAGGAGGAAAACGCAGTTTCTGTGTGTTGACTACTTGAAATAGCCAAATGGGGAAAATTGCATTTGAATGAGTGTGATACCATGTGTGTAAGGTCTCAGAGTCTATGTGAGAATCTTTAACCAAAGACTCACTTAGCTAAGAACAAACCCTGGTCTTTGTGGGTCAACATTCATATGGTTCGAGTTCAGAACCTCCTTTTGCCTCAGTAAGCCAGATAACACAGAAATGGACTGACATTGTGTTCTTTCCCTGTATTATCTTCACTTTGTTAAAAAATAAGGAACTCCTGCATTTTTTTTCTGCTCATCTTTTCCTTCATCTTTCAAAATTTATTGGATGTAGGCTAATCCTGATAGAAAATATCATTGACCACTGATAAGCAGAAGTAATTGATAGCATGCATTCACATCCCATCTCTGATTAACAGGGGAGACTTGAATGAGTTACTAAAGCTTCCTACACTTTGATTTTCTCATCTTAAAAAATGAGAATATTAATACTACCAGTCTACCTCAAGATATTATCATGAGGATTAAATGAGATAACACAAATAAAGTCCTGGTATATCCCGAGAGCTACTTAAGGTTATCTTTTGTTATTAAGTCCCAATATCTAAGCTTTACTGATTTGTTTCTTCTTTGTTTAGAAGGTCAGGTGCTTTTCCTTTGCTATTCCAATCATGACAGTGGCAAGAGCCTGCTTAAAGATTATCCCTAAGGACTCATACATGACTTTTGACTCCTTGGTTGCTGTATGTTGGCCAAGACTTCACATATATTAAGAGATTTCTGAGTGTTTCAACCATGTAGTGTGTGTGTGTGTGTGTGTGTGTGTGTGTGTGTGTGTGTTTCCTTCTGGGATTTCTAAAGGCAGTGACAAGTCTGTTAGATTCTTGAGGAGGGCTAATTTGATAAGTAATGGGTATGCCTCCCAGCAGGCAAATGTGTTCTCATTTCTCAGAATGCCCAGGAGAAAATACTAGCTGAGCTCAAAGTTGAGCTTACAGTCATCTAAAAGTCCAGAAGGAGGAAGACAGCAGAATAATACAGATGTTCATAATTCATTAGCTTTTATCCTACCACCGGCAACTTAAAAAAAAACCTGTCACCATATAATGCCTTTCTTTCAGAATTTCCTTTTGAGTTCAGGCCTTACCTATTTTAGGGCATGAGTTGCCAAGTGCACTGACTCATTTTTTCATGATGTAAGCCATGAACAGGTTACTGCTCAGAGGCTGGAGGACCTACTTTAGGCCAGCAGCGAGGTACGCACATGGCTGTCAGCTGTGCCCTTACACTTTCACTCACCTGGGCTCCCCTGAGAAATGCCATACTCAACTCCTTACCATTAGCTATGAGTCCTACACAGAGGCCTTGTTAGCATCAAAAAGCTCCTCTTCTCCTCTGCCTTCCTGGCAGCAAGCTACCCAGGGGAATAGAAGGAAACTATGCAAGATGCAGATTGCAATTGCTGGGAAGTGAGACTTTGTGCAGAAAATGCGGATCAACTAGATCCGGATATAGTGAAGTATGAAGAGACCCATTGTAGGAAAGTGTCGTCCGGGTGAACTTGAAAGCTGCGGCAGACTCTTTGGCACCAAGTTTTATTTAAAGCAAGCATTGTAGAGCACAGCCTTGGGGATCCTGGGAAATCGAGGAAGAGCAGCATGATTTACACAGTAAGGCCAAAAAGAAAGTAAATGCTTAAGGGACAGTAATTTCTAAAAACTAGCAGTTCTAAAGAGACATTCTAAATACTACTTCTTTGAAAACCATTACAAAGTTCAAATATTTATAGTGGTATTATTTAGCTATGATCATTATTTTTTTTGATTTGACTGAGTATAACATATGCATTCCTATTTTGTAATTAGGGAAAATATTGCTCCAAAAAATCTGTAAAGAGACACAACTTTCGCTGTCTATGGTTGACTATGGCTACTATGCAGAAAGAAGCATTGGCTTAGTTTAGCTCTTACTTGTTCCTTCCCTCCAAAGAGGTCATATCAGTCTCTGTGGTAAATGTAAACATGGGAATTCAAGTGCTTCTGAAGATTACCTGTTCTCTGTAGGGCGATAGTCCTCAGAGATGTTCCAGGGCCTCAAAAACAAATATATTATTATTCTCCAGTTGTTACTGTCACTAGTGTGGATTAGAGGTGCTATCATGGGACTGATGAATCTGCTATAAAAGGACTTTGGATCACCCTTCATGGCCACTCAGAAGGTTGTCAGAACTTCCTACATTTTAAATATCTGTGCTAGGAGACATCCTGGGACATCTGACTTTTGCTCATCTTCTTACTTAATTTAAAACCTTCCTCTAGACAATTCAATTTTAGTGTCCCATCAAATATAGCTGAGTGAAATCCTTTCTGACCACTTTGTTTCCTCAATAATTGAGATACCTATGTCTACCACACAGTCAAGAACTTGACATCTTCTGACATATTGCTCTTACCAGTTATTAAAATATCACTGCTTAAAGAATTTAAAGGGGCAATAAGACAATTTCATAAACGGCTAAAATAGAAGATAGACAAGGACATAGGAGCTCAAGTGAGGGAGATGTTGTTTCTGGTTAGGACAACCTTATGGAGTAGGTTACATTTTTTTTTTTTTTTTTTGAGACAGAGTCTCGCTCTTTCGCCCAGGCTGGAGTACAGTGGCGCGATCTCTGCTCACTGCAGAGTAGGTTACATTTTAAGGTAGGCCTTGGAAATAACAGGGTTTCAGCAAGTAAAGTTGCTTCCTTTACAGACATGTACATCTTCATTAGCTTAGAGGGTAATCTATGGAGGCAGAATATGAGTTCTCTTCCCATAGTGTCCTTTGCGACACATGGTTCAGTGGCTGACACAGAACCATGTCTAAATACATATTTATAGACTTGAATTCTGGCCAGAGGCAGTGAAATAACCACCCCTCTACCAGGAGGAGGAGGTCAAGGTGGTGTCGCCAAGACATTCAACTACACGGTAGAACAAAAAGTTGTCTTTGTCCTGTAGCCCTGGAATGTTTTTCAGGAGGGCACATACCCCTGTGCTGGCTTCTTGGACCTGACTGCTTTCATACCATATTAAAGAGAAGGTGAATGAGTGAGTGGGGCTCTGAGGAGACAGCCTGGTTGAGCCTCCAGTTTGGAGGTGGATCTGTGGCTGTTTCATCTTGGGATGAAAAGAAATCATCCCAAAAACCCAACTGAAGTTGGTGTATTTTTAAATCTCACTGTCTTTTGTCTGATTCTCTTGTCTTTGATGCATCTGCCCTGCATCTCATTGGGAAAGATGATAATGGACTGACAAATAGCCATTACATTAGTGTAGTGCATCTCTCCCCATCACCAGCTGGACCCCAGACCTGCTTCTGTAACTGTGGAGACACTGCAGTCCCTTCTGAGCTCCCCATTTCCTTCCCAACCCCTACCTCTCTTGTCATGGGATATCGAAAGGCAATTGAGGAACTGGTATGGTGTTGGGTGGGGGGCCTGAAAATTTCTGTTGCCTTGCAGCTCACCCCCAAATAATTGCTTGACAAGTGCCAGAACCTCAAAGTACTACACAACAGTCAGTCTTAGGAGGAGAGTTTCTCAGTAGAGTGTCTGCCATTGACCTTGGCCTGATTTGTCTTATTTTGGCTGACAATTCCAAAGATAAAGGATGAGATACCTTAGATTTGACGTGCCACATTCTCCCTCTGAAGCTAAGTTTGTTTTACTAGCTAATGATTTTGTTCTGTTATATTAAAAACCCAAAGTTTATTTTATAAGCATGGCAACCAGCCCTTATATGAGTAGTATTCCAAAGGCCCTAAGCGGAACACATAAAATGTCATTTCAAGTGCCAGGTTTTTTCTAATGCCTTTTTTTCTTTTACAGAATTTTGAAAGCACCTTAAATCTAATTGGCTCCCCCAGGATCTCAACTCCTGTTATATTTGTGGCATTTCTTTTTCTGAGAGGCATCTGGAGAGACTGAACTGCCACTGCTAGCTGGCATGCAGGGTAGGAGGATGCAGCAATGTGGTTTTTTTTCCCCTTCCTTAGAAACTTTCAAATCTTGGCTCAACTCTTTCTGAGCTTTGAGTGTTTAATTTTTGCAATTTTTTTTGTAATGTTGAATTCTACTTTTTCTATTATTGAATTTCTTATGAATGAGAATGGTAACTACAACTGCCACCACCCATGGTGGCCAGCCTGCATTTGCTGTGAAAGAAAAATTAACAGAAAAAGGAAAACAAAACACATAGTAGTAGTAGTATAGATCCATGTAAATAATACTTACCAAGCATGGTTCTAGTAAAGTGGCCTTCTGCAGGTCTAGCCTACTAAAAGTAAACACCTATTTAGACCGTGGAACTGAGTTGGTTTTAGTGGCCCAGATTCAGATGTTCCTATTATCTAAACAAGTGTGAGAAGACTGCCAAAACCTTTCCTTTAGTCACAGTGAGTTCATACCTTTTATGAAGCCCCACATAGTGAATGGAAGAGAAGATAGCTACCTTGAATACTAGAGAAATGGGGAGAGTATAAGCAAACCAGGAGGCTTTGTTTGTTTTAAAATGTTTGCTTTATCCAGATCCTTATACTTAAAGATCTGACATATAACAACAACAGAAAAGTATAGTTATTGGCTCCATTTAAAAAATATATTATTATAAGGCTCTGATTTCAGAGCCTCAGTCGTTCATTATGGAGTTGAAGGCTGGGAGTAAGGAGCAGTGAACGTTTAGGAGGCCGTATACCTGATCTGGGCAAAGCATAGTAAGGACATTCTGAGCACAGATATGAAAACTTATGGAGTACAATGGGCAGGCAGTGGGGTTAGAAATAGCATATGAGGAAATGACAAGAAACTTGTTCCTCCTTTGGAAGATAAATGATTTGAAGTCTGTATATTAGAAGAGCCTTTTAATATTTAATATCTCCTTCTCCTAAACAGGCCAGAAAAGTGACAACGAGAATGTGCTGAAACTTTAAGTGCCTCCTGATAGTGTGTGTGTGTGTGTGTGTGTGTGTGTGTGTGTGTGTGTGTGTGTTTATGCATTATGGCCCAAGTGGGAATATCTGTTTAATTGCAGTCTGGTTGTCCTGTTATTGGTTAGACAAGACATACCCAAACATAGAGAAATCTAATTTCAGGCTTAGCAAGCAATAAAGTCAATAATAAAACACATTTATTAAATTAAAAACAGTAAGATTCTTGTTAACTCATTTAAAAAAAATTCTCAAGATTTTCTTCCCAAGAGAAAAATTTAAATATCTGCCATATGGGATAAAGGCTAGCCATATTGCTTTTGGGTAAATGTATACATTTTGTTGTCCTAAGGGAAATGGTGTGGACTTAGGGAGTCCAGTTTTGATTTTGTTTGTGCCATTATAGAGCTATACAACCCAGGACAAATGTCTTTGTCTTACAGGCCCTTAGTTTTTCTCATGTATAAATTGAGAGGATTGTGTTAGGTGGTGACTTCTAAAGCCTTTTCCATTCTATAAAACATATAAAGTCTCTCCTCATATTCTATAAAACAAAAGTATAAATGGGAAAGAAAAGCAAAGAAATGGTTAGGACAAAAGTGTGGTAGCTCAATGCTTGAGGAAGGAGTTTCTGAGAGGAGAAGGGAAAGGGGCAGGGCAGGGCTGCAGCAAGTGTGGCCTTCTCTCCAACTTTAGTTCAGTGTCTGCCTTTCTAATGGCTTTGGATAATACAGAAATGCACCTCCTGTTTGCTCTCTCTTTCTCTCCTTTCATGTTTCTCTGTTTTTTCTTTCTTCACACCTCCATTCTCTGCTATCTCTATATCTCTCTGAGGAATAGTTGTAGTTAGGATTCATCAGGAAGACACAAGAATAATGATGAAGGTTGGAAAAATAATTTTCCAGATTGTTTTTGTCTTTTCATTTCCTGACATCTGTTATAGCTTCAGTTTTACTTATAAAAAAATAGTTCATGGGTTGTATGTTCACAGGGATGATACTAACCTTGAGTACTTGCTGTGTGCTGGGAATCATTCTTAATGCTTTAGGAGTAATTCTCCGTTTAATCCTCATAACAACTCAATGAGGTGGGTACTGTTATCATCACCATTATGCAGATAAGGACACTGAATCAGAGAGGTTAAATAACTTGCCGAAGTTTTACAGTTAATTATGGTGAAGTTGGGATCTGATCCTGGGACATCATTTTCCAATGTCATTACCCTATGCACTCAGTCTTGCTGCATCTTCTCCAAGGCAGAGATGATGTATTTTTTCATTTTTTATCCCCTTTAGAATTGGTATAGTGCTTGAGGAAGGTATACTTTGAATTGAACTGAAGGAACACCATCCTATCTGGAATAGAGAGTTGTCCATGACTTCTCTTGCCCTGGGCCTCTAGGGGCAAAGCTGTTCTCAGAATGCCTTCCCAAGGTACTTGTTGAAAAATATTTGACTTGTTATTTGAAAGCATCTACTTCTTTTCTGTGTACACTTATGAAACTTCTTTTAATTTAGAAGTTTTAGTTTTAATACAGTTAAACCATACTTTAAGAAAGTTGGATTTCATTTCTGTATAAAGAGTAAAACTGGAACACTAAACAAATATGTGAATAAATTAGTATATGAACCAAGTGGTGTTTGAGGAAATAACTATGAACAAAAGGTAGTGAAGCATTGCATTACTGCATTTAGTTATGAGAAAAACCCCTTTAGGGTTGTATTTGCCTGAATGCAGTTGACTTCTTTTGAGATATGTTAGGTTTTTCATTTATTATGAACATTTGACACAAGGAAAATAAAAAGGTCAGTATGTTTACACTCCAAGGTCAATATGTCTACTCTTGTATATGGTATTCAGGTGAGAGAAAGAAGTAAGAAAGCTAATCTTTTGGGCATTTGTTTCCATGATATGCAGATAATATCTTTTTGATAGGATTTTGCATTTGAAGGCAAAGGATGCATTGTTTATTCATTATGTCCTCTAATACCTCACTTATCCAGTGGTCATATTTCCAGCAGTTCTATCATCTGGAGCTTTGGAGTATTAGATCATAGAATATAAGTGTTGAAAAGGATCTTAGGGATAATTTAACCCAATTGTCTTATCTTAAAGATGAAGAAATGTAGCCACAAATGAGTAAAGGGCCTAGCCATGGGTTAGAAAAACATCTCCAAATAGAAACTACAAATAGTTTTTATCTCCAAATACTAATTACAAAAGTTACATACTGTTTACTCAGTTCACTTCCTAAATATTGTTGAGTAGGTATTATGTGTAAAACATGAGGGATGGAGCAGTCCTCCTTTGACTAGGGTCCCTCCTTGAAGCTTTTACCAAAACGTGTGTGTGTGTCATGAGGCCACAGATAAGAAATAGCTGGGAATTGTTCCTGGTAAACCCTCAAAGATGACAGGGACTTGATCTTGTTCATTCCCCAGTGTCTCATGCTGCTGACCACAGGAAGAAATGGAAGAAATGATCATGGCATAGAAATCTGGGAACATTTGGTACGAGCAGATCTACTGACTTAAAAAACCCTCAAGGAATTATTATTTTTCATTACGGTGTTAAGTCTAAGTTCATGTTGATAACTGAGTCAAGAAGAGGTTAGAGTTCTTTCAACCTGCTGCTCAGCATAGTGGTTGAGGGTATAGTATATTTTTGAAAGCTTTCAAATGAAGAGAGTATTAGTGCCTAAAAGAGTGAGCTTCAATTCCCTGGAAATTTTTTTTCTAAAATTATCAAAATTTATTGAACACCTGCTATGCATAACAACCTATCTCTAGACCATGAATAAATAAGTTTAATGTTAGTAGAGGGGAAATTGAGTCATTGTAAATAAAGTTGATGTTTGGCCATTAACTTTACAACAGGGTTTTATATACTGAAACACCATTATCAAGGTTGGTCTTATGAAAGGGGTCATGCTAAATGTGAGACAGAGAGAGGAGAGAGGATAAATAAGCTATATTAATGGCGGCAACCTAGGCAGTGTATCGAGTGTGTGACTTCACTTTAGCCTCACAGCAGTTCTGAGTGCTACTCAGTGTTGTTACCATTTTGCTGATGAGGAAACTTGGAGTCCAGAGGTGAGATAACTTGCTTAAGATGATGTAGCTGACAAACAGCTAGATTGGAATCTGTATCTGTGGAATTCTAAAGTCCAGGACTGGTCCATTGTGCCTGATGGAAGTGGCATTTAACTCTCCAGCTGACATGGAGTGTAACTTGACAGACACATGCATTCATTCATGTATGTATCCATCATCTAGTCAACAAATATTTGAAAACCAACTTTATGCCAGACTCTACAAGGACAGGCAGATCTGAATTCACAGAAAAATTGAACTACAGGATACTATGTTACATAATAAAGACGTGACAAAAATCATAAGGATGTGATAGTTTTTAAAAATTAGCCTGTAGACTAAGTACCATTAGTTTAAGATCATATTTTTTATATTTGAGGAATTTTTTTGAGTTTTATAGAATATTAACTAGACATGAATTCAAAATTAAGTCATTTATAGTTAGCAAATCCATTTTAAAAATTTCATATTGATGTTAAATTGCTGATGTTGGCCCTGGTGACTAAAAGAAGGCAAGCTTTCTTTTTTTCTCCACTTTCAGGATGGTAGCTTCCCCATTCAGCCTCCTGGATATATTGTATGCACATTTGTATAGCACCTCCCAGATTTCCAAGTAAATAGGGTATCAAATGATGTTTTATTGCCTCACCAATTCCGAATTAGTGAAGTCTAAATTAGTGAAATGTAGAGAATAGAGAATTAGAGGACAAGACAGACTAACATAAATATGTAATTATTGTTTGTCAATTTAAAATAAAATGAAACCTAAAAATAAATAAAAATAACAAGAAATAGACTAATAGTATATTCTAGAAACCACAGGATCGCAAGTCAGAAGACCTGGATTTGGATACAGATTCTTTCACTTGTGTAGCATTGTGCATGATTCTAAATCTCTTTGAGTCAGGATGTGTGCATTTAATAATGCTTATGTCACAACATTGTGAGAACTAAAAGATACCATACATGTAAAAAAATGCTTTGCAAAGAAAGTTATAGTGTGAAATTGTGTACTTTATAGAATCATCACTATGATAATTGGCACCTCAAGGTATCAAGTGTCAAACATTGGGCTCAAGATTTGAAGGAAAGAAGAGAAAGAGCGCTCTAGAGAGAGGTTGTTTTGAGTATGAAGGGAGAAAATTGTCAGTATTTGTCCTATTTTTGAGGGCTCAGTTTCTTGCCCTTTCCAGTTTAGGTGGCATTGGCACTCTACAGCCTCCTGCTTCCAGCCTCAGAGCCACCTGTACGATGTCTCATAGTGGCACCAAAAGCCCTCATCTTGAATCTTTGCTTGTTCCTGACCCATTGCTTCCTTTTGGCCACTCTCACTCATGTGCTCTTTGCTCTCCCTGCCTCCCATTGGCAGTCCATCTCCATGGCTGACTGACTCGGGCTTTTCCTGGGAGCAGGCTCTCTGAACCCAGGCCCCTCCAAATTACTCCCAGTTTGCCTTCATGCTTGCCATCTGCCTTTCCTGTATTCTCTGCCAATCTCATTGACTACACTCCCAGAAAGGAAAGAAAATTTTAATGATATGAGAAAATGGGAAAGTGATGTGTCCAGAAGTAAAAAGGGTTCTGTAGGGCAGATTGGACAGAGAGATAAGGCCTTGTTGAAGGGTCTTGGTGGGAGACTCGGTGGGCAGTTTCAGAGGGTGACCCACTTGAGTGTTTAATGGCAGGGCAAGTTTCAACTCTACTTTGTGTGTGCTGAGAGCATATTACTGTGTATCTTTGTGAAAGTATTGGCAAGACAACCAGTAATAAATGGAAATGACTCCATCTTCATAAGAAGGCAACACATATGACCACCATGATTTTAGCCCTGACAAGTGATTTTCTAAATCTGTAGACTGGAGGTCAGGGTGCAACGGACCAGCTATCTCAAACTTCTTTTCCCTGAACCCCTTTCTGTGGGTGTTCTCAGTCCAGTTATTTCAGGCCCCAGTAACTGTGATCACTGTGATCATGCATAATTGCCTGTTGTTCCTTAGTGGGACTGTGCTTGCAAGGTAGGGGTCCTTTGGAAAAATATTATTAGAGAAAAGCAGCAGAGAGGAAGTCTGCAAATCAACTAGAAAACAACCAACCCACATTTAGTAGGAACAGAAAATGTATGACTCACAGGGACAAACATAGAGGCGGACACCCCTTCACTGTTTCTCTTTCAGACTTCTAAATTTGAGGTGGGAGTCCTCACAGCTCTGAGGGAGAGCCTGGTAGATGAAAAATGAAAGTGTATTTTTAAAACTTGTACAGGTAGTATACAGACTAAACAAAGTGTCCAGGCTTCCCAGTCCTGCCCCTAGCATGTGTCTTTAAATATGATCTGACTTATTTTAGTGGTAATTTCATCTAGATAAATTGTATTCCTTTAAATAATGTTACAAAGACCAGACCTGTGAACTCTTTGGTTCTAGTGTTTTTGTCTTTTTTTCCTAAAATGTGTGCAGTGCTTTTGATGTTCTTTGAGAAACCTAAAGACTGGATGAAGAATTCCAGATGAGGCTACTGATAGGCCTGTGATTCCTGGGCATGAGTGTTTCTTCCATTCATGAGGAATCTCCACCTGTGCAGCCCTCAGAAGGATTTGGAGAGCTTGTGCAGTAGATGCCTTGTGGTTCATAATTTAAATGTCTGTCTAAAAATCTATGCCACAATATACCTTAATACTTGATTTGCTCTCTGTAAAGTTTGCTTTGGTGTTAACGATCTTTTGGTTTTATCAGCCACATTTTATGGGTTATTAAAATAGCACCTGTGATGGGATGAGCAAAAAGAAAATGGCATGGGTGAGGGAGCAGCACCTCCACCCTTACCTCATCCGAGAATGTTCTCTCGCAGTGCTTGCAGGGTGCCCCACATGCTCCAGATGATAGGCAGAGGGTGTGATGTACGGCAGGGACTCCTGAAAGGAAGCCGGGCCCCTCCTTTCAGTGCTGCTGACTGCTTGCTGTGTGACCTTCAAAAGACCTTTCACCTCATTTGCCATCAGCTTCCTTGCATGTTAATTGGGACAACAATAACAACCCTGCCTCTCTGTTCTTCGAAAGATTGCTGACATGATTTAAAACTTGCTTTGAATTTCAGAAACAGTATTAAAACATATATGTTTACATATATCCATGTATATATGCATATATGTGTGTGTATATGTGTACACACACACATTTGCTATTCATGCTAAGGCAGAGATCAAGCAAGCTGAACTTGATTTCCCTTGGAGGACTGAACATTCCCACTGCTTCCAGAGATCTGTACCATGGCACATGGCACTTTGTGTGGTCTTTGTAGCTAGGGTTTTCCCCATCTCAGTGCATGGTCTCTCCTCTCATTCAGAAATCATCTTTGATTCCTCTTTCTTCTTTATCCCCTACATCCAATCTGTCCATCACCAGTCCTGTCAGCTCCTCTTTAAATCCATCTACTTCTGCTGCTCTGTTGCTACTACTGTAGACTAGACCACCATCATCAGCCTCTGTTGATTGCCTCTCTGTGATCCATTTTCCATACAGCAGCCAGAGTGACCTTTCAAAAATGTAGAACACATAATGACAAGCCCTGCTTGAAACTATTCAGTGGCTTCTTGGTGCTTTTAGAATGAAATTCAGGCTTCTAAACGTGACCTGCCAGGCTTACTCTAGCCACTCTGCTGGTTACCTTGTTCACTGTGCTTTAGCCAAGCTGGGCCTTTCGGTTCTTCAGCTCACCACATTCTTTTATACTTTAAGGATTTTAAAGACTTTATTTTGAGGGGCAGTTTTAGGTTGGCAGTAAAATTCAGTGGAATGTACAGAGATTTCCCATATAGCTCCCCACAACCCACATGCATAGCTTGCTGTATTATCAGCATCCCCCAACAGACTGCTACATTTGTTATAATCCGTGAACCTGTGATGACACATCATTGTCATCCAAAGTTCATCATTTGCATTAGGGTTTGTTTCTGGTGTTGTATATTCTATGGGTTTGGATAAACGTATAATGACATGTATCCACTCGTAGTATCATACAGAATAGTTTCACTGGCCTTAAAATCTTCTGCCCTCTGCCTATTCCTCCCTCCCTTCCCTCCCCCACAACCCCTGGCAGCCATGGATATTTTCACTGTCTCCATAGTTTGAGTTTTCCCTCAATGTCATGTAGTTGGAATGGTATAGTATGCGGCCTTTTCAGACTGACTTCTTTCACTTAGCAATGTGCTTTTAAGGTTATTCCATGTCTTTTTATGACCTTGAGGATTTTGCTGTAGCCTTTTGCTCTGTTTGGCTTTAAATTTTCACCTTATTTTTCTAGCCTCTCATCACCCTGTTGCATTTTCTTCATAGCACCTATTGCACTCTGACATTCTCTTTTTGGTTTATCACCTGTCTTTCCCATTAGAACTTTAGCTCTGTGGGAGTGAGAGTCTTGTCTTGTTCCTGGCTTGTACTCCCAGTACCTAGAACAATTCCTGCTGCATAATACATACTCAGCAGATGTTTGAAGAGTTAAATGCATGTGTGTCTTGGACATTCGTTCTTTTTAGCTTTACTCTTAAGGTGACAAACTCTTTCATTCACTCTGCTCCTGGTTTGGTCCAGAGAAGAGGCAGAAATTCATGTTAAGTCACTGAGTCTGGGAATTATTTCTTGTTCACCTTTGACTTCTGAAGCTCTGCTGGTTTTCTGCTGAATTTAATGGGTCTCCAGGCGAATGGCAGTTTGGTAGCCTTGGTGGGAATCAGTCACGCGGCAAGAGAGAACAGAGGCAGTAGAAAATGATTAAGGGAAAATTGCAGAAAAGTATGATTTAACATTTTTTGAGTCACACATTGTACTCAAAGCTGTGTATAACATAAAAAGCAAATTAGGAGACAAGTCAGATATAAAATGAGTGAGCACACACAAGCACACAAATACTGCAGAGAGAAAGGTATTTCTTCAGATGCCTTCTTTCATTTACCAAACTGTAGTCTTATCAAAAAATATAGGCTACTTCAGGAGAGAAATAGTCCAGCCAGTGTTTGTAGCCCAGTTATGCCCTGTGGGGCACAGAGAGGCCTCAATTTCATTACTGGGTTTTAAAGAAACTTTCTCTTAGGCTAACAGACTTTCTAGAGAGGCCAAACCAAGTGAAGCTGAGTTAATGTTCTCATTAAAATGTTAAAGAGGCTTTATTCATGAACGACTGAAGCTGTAATTGCTTTATCCTTGTAAACTATGAAAATATGTGGTGATCTCTTATAGAGGCATTCACCCAGTCCCTGTCAGGAAGAGCTTTGTTTAGTGGAGGGCTTGGCTGCACCTAGGGACTGAAAAGTGGATCCTCTGGGTGAGTCGTATGTGTCAGGGATATGGTAGAAGTGGTGGTAAGGGGTCCTCCATCAATCTGTTTTAATTTTATAGATCTTGTTTTGTAAGCATGATTTGATCATTTGAACTTGAGTTCTAATTTGGAAATCATATGAGAATCGAACATGTATATATATATATATATACACACATGCAAACAAATTTTATGGAAGGAAGCAGGTTTTTAAAAACCTGCTTTTTTTAAAAAAATAGGTTTATCTTTTCTGTAAGCCATTGCTTATTGAGATGGGAATAGAAGAAATTGAAGATGCTGATGTACTGGTGAAACTAAACAAAGAATTGATCTAGAAAAGGTATGGCATGTGATTTGCAGGGTGAGAGGGCACTCAGATGGCTTTGGGAGGTAAGAGACTTTTTTGTCCCTACTTTTTGCTGTCCTTCAATGCCCCAGTACAAAAACATAGCTGTAGAACTGTAGGTAGTGAATTCAGATGGCAAATGCAACTATTTTTTTCTTTCTGGAAATAAGGATGAAATCAGACTTATAGCACTGAAATCATAGAGCGGTGGTTTTTATATAATTAGGAAATTTATATTGGAGATCTCAAAGTGAAACTTAAGAGGAAAAGGTTAGAACATTTTACCTTTTCTCTAATTCCTTATTATTAGAACCCCTGTTTGTTGAATGGTAACAAATCTAGGTCTCACGATATGCAGATATAATATGAGCAGTATCTAGGGATTGCTTTAAAATGGTGTAGAAGGAGAAAATATCTTTTCCTCATTCAACCTAAGTTCGTGGCTGATGCCCCTCTTAAAGAAGACATTAAAAAGAGAAAAGCATACAAATTTATTTCATATAAATTGTACATGACAAAGAAGCCTTCGTATGGACATAAAGACCTGAAGAAATGGTTAAACTTGTTTATTTTTATGCTAGGTGATGAAAAAGTGGATAGTTGTGGAGAAATAGGATTGGTTAAAGGGAATATTATCTAACGGTAATAAAGTAGGAGAGATTTACCAAGGCTTTACTTTACTTTAGTAAATTTACTTTAGTAAGTACTTAACTAAAGTTTTTACAAAATACTTTACTTTGGGTTAGAGTTACACTAAAATACATATATCCTAGAAGTGTCTACATTTTTTTCCTTCAAAGGGTCAACTCCTTTTCAGATGTAAGTGCAGGGCGTTTGTTAAAACTGGCTCAAGTCTGAGGGGGCAATGGAGTTGAAGGTTAACAGGAAGCTCGCTCTCTCTATGATAGATTGGGTAGGTTTCTAAAGAGTTCTTTTCTGAAGGGGTGATGATCTCAGTCCAATGATGTCAATGGTATGAATGGTAAAAAGCACCTCTCATAGTTTTTGAATACAAAGTAGATTCCAATATCTGGAACACTATTGATGATATTTAATAAAACATATTTTTTAAATTATTAAGACATTTAGAGCAAGTTACAACAAATTTCCACTACTGGCTTTTCCACTAAACTCTTGGTTGATTGAAATGGAGTGACTTGCTATCTCGCTCTTGGGGAACTGCTAGCCTAGTCCCTGAATTCAGAGGTGAATCCAGAGAGATAGGGATCCTTGAGCTCTATCCAGACACAGCTCAACTTGTCATGTCTCCTCTTCCCCTTCCACAAAATAGGATTCCAGTCCCTTTCCTGATCTGTAGAGCAGATCTATTCTAGGGGTTTCTTTTTGGCTTGCCTCGGAAATCGTAGTGGGCTGTGATCAGGTCGTCACTTCCCAGGGTGAGTCAGAAACCTTTGAAGAAATGTAATGGTGTAATGAGACCTTCAGTAATAATGGGGTATGTGTAGAGAGTATCATGGGAACAAATAGAGGGATTGACTAATTTATTCTAGGCTGCTGTAGTTTTTGAGAACTTTTGTTTGCTTTCTAGAGTTTTCCATTTATTCATTTGCTGTTAGAATGTTGACACATCTGACTGCTCAGGGTCTCTGCCCAAAGCAGCACCTCTTTTCATTCTAGTTCTGAGAGTTGAGTTACATCCAACACCCTATATTGACCTTATGATTAGATGATGTGTTAGTCCGTTCTCACACTGCTATAAAGATACTAACTGAGACTGGCTAATTTATAAACAAAGGAGGTTTAATTGACTGACAGTTCTGCATGGCTGGGGAAGCCTTAGGAAACTTAGAATCATGGTGGAAGGGGAAGCAGACATATCTTACATGGCAGCAGGCGAGAGAGAGAGCATGCAAGAGCAGGGAAAACTGCCTTATAAAACCATCAGATCTCATGAGATCTTACTATCACTAGAAGAGTATGGGGGAAACCACCCCCTTAATCCAGTCACTTCCCTCCCTCAACATGTGGGGATTACAATTTGAGATGAGATTTGGGTAGGGACACAGAGCCAGATCATATCAGATGTCAATACCAAAAATCTAGGGGAAATTTTCAAAATGCATTATTGTGTGATATTTTCCTTCAAATACTGGTGTTTTGTTGTTGTTGTTGTTGTTGTTGTTGTTGTTTTGTTGTTTGAGATAGACTCTCACTCTGTTGCCCAGGCTGGAGTGCAGTGTCGCGATCTTGGCTCACTGCAACCTCCACTTCCTGGGCTCAAGCAATTCTCCTGCCTCAGCCTCCTGAGTAGCTGGGATTACAGGCATGCCAGCTAATTTTTGTATTTTTAGTGGAAGTGGGGTTTCATCATGTTGGCTAGGTTGGTCTCGAACTCCTGACCTCAAGTGATCCACCTGCCTCAGCCTCCCAAAGTGCTGGGATTACAGGCATGAGCCACCGCTCCCAGCCCTATTTTCCTTCAAATACTTAATTCAGTTGTGTCTTAAGGCTTATGTTGATTGGCCAGTGATTGTTTGACTAGTTAACTCATTCATTCAGCAAATATTTTGGGAATATGTACTCTATTTCAGGGGCATATATGGTATCTAGGGGCTGGAATAAAAAGATTGGGAAATCAGATTTGCCTACAAAGTTTCGTTCATAGTTCATATGTTGAAAATAAAGAGTGAAATACCTAAAGGAAGCCAAATTGCTTTTCTGCAGTTCAAAGACTATATGCAAGATTGCCATATCACAGCCTACTCTGTAGAGTTCTCCATAAGTGCATTTCATGTGGGAAGTGGTACCAGATGTTTTCTATATTACGATAATCTTCATATATTTATTAAGCTGTAACTTGTAAGGCTTCCTAATGGGGCATTAAATGAGGCTCTTTGTGTGCTACTCTGTGTCGTTGTAAAGAAGCACTCTGTTAATTCCTGCCTTGTCATTTATCTGGCTCTTACTGGTAATGAAGCGTGTTTCAGTCATTCCAGGAGGGTTTGGGGGATATGCAGAAAGAGGAATAAGAGTAACAGAAGAGTTGGTTTCATGGTGGGTTGGAGGAAATACACTTAGGGAGAACCAGGGGTAGAATGAAACCTTTGGTCTAGTATGTTTTACATCTTTATCCCCTTTCAGTACAACAGCCAAGTACTCCAGAATTGTTCTACATTTTAGGAAATGCTAAGAAAATGCTAGGTTTTGAAAGTTTTTCTTTCCTCTCTCAATCATTGACCTGGCAGTGGGTTAGGAGAATCCGAGAACTCCCAAGAATTACAACGGAACAGTCTAGGAGTCGAGCAATTTTCCTATCATTTCTAAGCTCTATGCTTGGGAAGACAGGTTATGTACTGATAACAGGGATTTGATTCCAGGAAAGAAAAGAGAGGATAGAAGAGGGAAATAAAAATGTGGGGACGTTAGTGAAGAAAAGGGAAAGGAGCAAAGAAAAAAGGGAAAAAAAGATGTTTGGTTGTCCTTCCTTCTCTCCCTTAGCTCCTTCTTCTCACAAAAGGAAGGGCCTTAGCTCCTTCTTCTCACAAAAGGAAGGGGTGAAAAAATGGGCAGATTGAAAGGGAAAAGAAGGGAGTTGAATTAGAGATAGGAGGGCACTTGGAGGTAGTGAGGGAGAAGGAAAATGAGTCAGAGAAATCACAAGAATAAGTGAGGGGGAAGGAGATGGGATAAGAACTGTTTAAATTCAGGAGGAAGAGAAGGGCTCAGAGAGGGGAGTGCATACTTTGGTCACACTGAGAGCCTTCAATTACTCCCAGCAGGGCATCTGCCAAATAGCCAGTGTCCCTTGCTGAAGACATTTTCCTGACTTTTGTATTAACTTTAATGTGATTCTCTTTATGGTCCCCGTATTGCTGGTTGCAGTTTCATTGACACTCTGTGTGATCAAATAGCAAATGTGGAGGTACAGTTCTGCTATTCCTGCCCCCTTGCAGTTTGCAGCCGACTTCTGAGTAGTGCATCTTGTGTTTGATGTTTGCCATTCCTCCTTGTCTTGTAGGATAGTTGAAAGGGAAGAGACGTGTTCCTAAGGGCTGTCACATTTATAGCTCATGCATACAAATATTAAAGAAGCTGAAAAAACTTGATAAAATCACATTTGGATATTTTTTTGAAATAAGGTAGTTGGCTCCTTGCTGGTCTAGTGACCTGCCCTCATTCACTATACCTGTAGGCGGACTGCTTCTTAAAAGATCTTTCCTCATCCTTTTTCAATACTCAGCTCAGGAAGCCTTCCCAGTGTTTCCCACCTGGGTCAGGTACTTTCTAAGTGTGTACCAGTACCTTCCCCTGCCCCTGGCTTCTTGTGCTGACCTTTCCCTATTAGATCTATCATGCCATGTGGTAATTTTTATCCTTCCACTTTGGGGCTCTTTACACAGTATTAGTTATTACTGAGCACCTAGTTATGGAACAAATAATGTCTATCTTCAATGTCTACAGATGCTGGTCTTTAGAGTGTAAAATACTTCCAAATTTGGCTATGCTTTTAGTTATCTGTTTACAATTAGTCTACATGTTCTGGAAAGAAAAGAGATTTAGCCAGATGTAAGGTGTTTCTGGAGAGTTTAGTAGAATATTTGTTTCCAGATTCGTGCAATTATAATAGAGGAATTGTGATTCCATTAAGTTTTAGATACCAGAGGATGGTCTTGAAGTTCGGGGCAACCTATTTCTTATGATTCTAGCACTCACAGGCCTGATGTATAAGGCACTTTAAAACCATGCTTCTCAGACTTTAATGTGCAAAGGGATTATCTGAGGATCTTGTTAAAATGCAGATTCTGTTGCAGTAGGTCTCAGGTGGGTTCTCAGATTCAGCACTTCAAGCTCACTGGTGAGGCTGATTTTGCTGCCTGTGGACCACACTCTGAGTAACAAGGCTTTAAAATACTTTCTAGAAAATAAAGTTGGGATTTATCCTATGAAAATATCTAGGTGCACTTTATAGTTTGCAGAACAACAAATTTCCTGAGAGAAAGCTTATAAGTGTGTAACTCTTATTTCAATTTGGAAACTTGCAAGAATTTCTCATACTTAAAAACAGTACGTCTGATACCAGTCAACCCCTAAAACTGCTTCTGAATGACATTTTTAGATTGTACTGCCATTAATTAACACACAGCTTTATTTATTTAGGCTTTCTTAGATTTGGGAGGCCCTGGCCCTAGCACTGGCTTTAGTGTAGCTACTTTAGCAACAAAGACTACTTTTAAAGCAGAAATACTCTTTGAAAGATTGACAGTTCGGAGGCTTTGTTTATGATGAGACCTTCACATTTATTGATTGTTACCAAGTTAGCACCATGCGGAGACCTTCTCCAAGGGCATTCAATTGCAGTGGCCAGAAATGGAAAGGGCTATGTTCAGCTCGAACTTTGCAGGCGAAACCTTGCATCTGCTTACATATATATGTTCAGTCAGCTCTCTGAAATTGATGTTTGAAGTTTTTTCTAACAAGATGGCCTTTATTTTACAGGTCCTTTGCTGCCAGCATGATGTCGTATTTATAATATGTGGAGGAGAGAGAGCTCACCATGCTCAGGTAAAGGGATGGTATGTGCACCACAAATAACAAGCAGGTTGGTTGTCACCATATGGGAAGGGATGTAGTTTAATTATACCTCTGGCATCATTCTCTAATGTGTGTCTTAGTTATATCTGGGGTTCAGAGGGCCTGTGGCAGAAGATCTCTGAACTAACATGCATTTGGGGAGCATTTACAAAGTACCTGTGACAGGGCCTCTGTAAACAGCCAGCAAGGAAATAGGACTGGTCACTTGAAATCTCTTTCCAACTTCTATAGAGTTTTCATAAAGGTACTACCATTGTTCATCTTTATCACCTTATCATGAAGCCTTTATCTTTTCAACACTTATGTAAATACATGAATATTGAAGACTTCTAATTAAAGTCTTATCTCTGTCCCCTTATCTAAAGTTATCCTTCTAAATTTCCTTTGCATTTTCTTTAGAAATAAGTACATGTCTCACAACTTTGATTTGCCCAAACAGGTCACTTGAGATTAATTTTCCATTAACCTTTATTGCTTCTGTTTCTTTCTAATCACCTTCTTAGAGGATTAAACAGTCCCCATTGGGTTAGTCTCTCCTTAGGATATGAGCTATCTTTTTCTTTGATGCCCTTTATAGAACTGACGTGGATGACAGTGATCTATATCATCCAGTGACCAAACCTGGACCCATTAACTGAGCCAAAGCTTCCATAGATAGACCCACATTAGGAGTTCTGATGACCATGGTAATTTTGTTATTGGACTTGCTTATTTTGTGACCCAGTCTGTATTAGTCTCATCTGACTGCCTTAACAAAGCACCACAAACTGGCTGGTTTATACAATAGAAATTTATTGTTTCACAGTTCTGGATTCTAGAAGTCCAAAGTCCAGGTGTCAGCAGGGTTGCTTCCTTCTAGGCCGTGAGGGAGAATCTGTCGCAGGCCTTTCTTCTACCTTCTGGCAGCCTCAGGCATTCCTTGACTTATAGATGGCATTCTCCCTGTGTCTTTACACTGTCTTCCCTACATGTGTGTCTGTGTCTATGTCCAGGTTTCCTTTTTGTAAGGACACCAGTCATATTGGATTAGGGTTCACCCTAATGACCTTATCTTAACTCGATCATCTGCAAGGACTCTATTTCTAAAAATGTCACATTCATATGTATGAGAGATTTGGATTGCAGCATCTTTTTGGGGTACACAATTCAGCCAATAGCACTATAGGGGTACAGGCATACCTCAATTTATTTCACTTGGTTTTATTGAGCTTTGCAGATACTATGTTTTTTTACAAATTGAAGGTTTGTGGCAACCCTGCATCCAGCAAGTCTATCAGCATCATTTTTCCAACAGCACATGCTTACACTGTGTTCCTGTATCAACATTGTTTTAGCAATAAAGGATTTCTAAATTAAGGTGTGTTCATTTTTAGATATAATGCTATTGCACAATTAATAGAGTATAGTATAGTGTAAACATAACTTTATACGCACTGGCAAACCAAAAAGTTTGTGTGGAACCGAGCCTGTAATATATTCAAGGCATGCCTGAAGTGAATTCCTCTAGATAACCCTAAAGCATCTAGTATGGTGCCTGCTGCTTAATATTTGTTGAATTAGCGAATGGCAAGGACTATAAAGGCCATGGCCAAATTTAATTTGACAAAGCAAAGTGCAGTGACCAGAGGTGGGCAGGTATTACGCTGGCATTTGTCCTCAGGGAGCTCTTGCCTTCAGTTTAGTCCAGGCTAAACAACCTCATAAATGAGATAAGAGTTTTCCTTTAAAATTAGTAGCAGATGGGGTTTTTATAAAATATAGCCCTTTGTGTGAGCCGGTACTGCTGTCTGTGTTGGCATCGCAGGTTGAACTGCCAATTTACATGCCGCCTCTATCAGTATATCAAGATATCTTTCCAGCTAATTCAATACCGTTTAAATCATACTTAGCCAGGCTATTCTTTCTTTCCAGCTGCATCTCTTTGCACTTATTAAATTTAACATTCTCTTCTCTGGCTTTAATCTCTAAATGCTATCCTGAAATAGATCTGCCCTAATCGCGTCTTCTTCCTTCTTTATGCATCCTTAACTCAACATTATTACAAGTTATCTTTTGAGTGTTCAGATTTGGGTGTTGATAAATTATTAGGATACTGGTCTCAAGGTAGCACTTAAATGATCTGTTCTTTAGAGTTGCTTATTTGGGAAACCCTTTATTTCCTCTTGGGGTAGTGCTTTCTAGCCATGTCTACTGTTACTTCCAGGAAAGGATTACCTTTTTAATAGCAAAAGGGAGCCTCCTGCTGAGAAGAGTGAAAGTCCAGGGTCAGATCTCCTCCTAGGAGTGAGGTAGGCATCTTTAGGAGCCCTGCAAATTCACTTAAGCCCCTGGATTAGTGCTGTGTGGAGCTGCTGTAAGCAGGCAGACCAGTGTCTAGAGATTGACTGTGTGGGTCAGGCCCAGGCCTCCAGGAAGGTGGAATCATTTACTTACAAGCTTTTCCAGCCCCGCAGGAGATTTTGTGTTCCTGGGGGTGGGGCTGCAGGCTGTCCTATGGCCAACTGATAGCATTGGCTTAGACAGCAGTGGATTTATAAGATGATGACAGGCAGTAGAAAATGAAAATGAAAGTAGAAATTCATTTTAGCATTTTTCTGACATTAGTCCTAAGAAAATTGGTAAATCAAACAGCAAATATTTATGGCATGTGTGATGCATGCAGGCAGAGTTCCACCAAATACCAAATATAGATGTATAACTTCATCCTGTGTCTCCATTGCTTACTTTTCTTTTCCATTTTATGCAAGAGCTTACTACCCTTGATTAGAGGTCTCCCATAACTTTTCACATGAACTCTCCTAGTGTGGCTTGTGGGCATGTCTATAGGTTTCATTAAAATTGAAACAGTTAATTTGTTTTGGTTATACAGTGATCAAACAGAGTGATGGTGGGCCAGCCCTTGCTGGCTGCAGGTAGGGCCTGGTGAGCAATTATATTCTAGTAATTCAGCTGTCCCAAAATAGCCAGTGAAGTACTCTACAGTGTGTGCTACAACAATTATAACATCCCAATAAGTCTTATTTTAATAATTAACTTATGTGTATCTAACACTTCTCTATTATTAAGGAGAAAATAACCCAGAAATAAAACCTCAGGTGCCTTGAACATGGAAAACAAGTTTTATTGTTGTTGCTTTGTCTTTACTCCATTTTGCATTCTCTAATTTCACATTTCTGAAAACTCAGCTATAAGATTCTCATGGACTTGATAATAATTTGCTAACTTGTTAAACTCTGATTTTAAAAAAAGGCAAATGAGAAAAATGATTCTTATGTCTTTTTAGTTAATAATTAACATGGTAAGTTTTTCTTAGATCTCTGACATTAGAATGTAATTATTATATTATGGAAAGTATATTAATTAAACAAATTATACTTCAAAATTCTATCAACATTTTTCAGAAAATTTTTGTACACAAATCAGTTAAAATAGGAATCTTAATGTCTGCTTTCTGTAGGATCTTCTGCCTCTCCCTCTGATGGGTCCATCTTTGCTTCATTTAAATCATGAGTTTATGTTAAGTGCTTATGAGCTGGTAATATAAAAATGAGGAAGAAGAGCAGTGGCTTTTGGCAGGGAACTCAGAAGCTTGGAATTCTCTTTCATCTACATTTAGTTACCACTAAACTCTGTCAAATTTCTGTAATTCTTTCATATTTTTACTTTCCTTTTTTTAAATCTACGATTATCCTTTCCAAGCATTTCTTACCTTTTTCTTGCTTGTTCATATGACCACTCTGTTTTGTTTGTTCATTCGTTTGTTCATTCATTCATTCATGTAGTACCCTTTGGACGTGTGCCAAAAATTGTTCTGGGCATAGTATCAAGTATATTATAATTTATGTGGGAGAAAGCAATGATTTTTGCATGACTATGATGGAGCTATAAAACTAAGTATACCTTTTATATAGGAAACAGAGCAACTAAACTGGCTTGGGACAATTAGGAAATACTTTATAGAGAAGATTGTATTTGAATGGAAATTGGTAGGAGATGAGTGGTAGAGAGAGAACATTCTAAATGAAACAGAGGGGAGATTAGCAGAGTGGTATGAGGGGGCAGGGCATGTTTCTGTATTCCATGCTGTTTAGGTACTGCTGGAGCATAAAGTGTGAAGAGGGATATAGGGCTGGATGAGACTCTATAGGAAGGCAGAAATCAAATCTTGAAGGTCCTTTGACACATTGTTGAAGCTTCTTTTGTATGTCTTCAGTTCATCCTGCTCCTTGCAGGGAGAATGGCTGTGTGAAAGAGTGCTTATATCCTGCCAAACTCTTCCTTTATGACCTTTGTCCTGGTCTCACTGCTTCACCCTTGTCCTGGTCTCACTGCTTCCAAAGGGAAGTCAAGCTCTCTTTAATTTACTCCATTGAATCATTTACTCTACTAGATTTGCCTGCTTTGCTTTTCACACAGAATTGGTTACTTTGCTCTCTTAGATTCCATTTTCAAAATCCTTCCCTCCTTTAAGACCTCACTGAAATTCATATCCTTTATGAAAACTTTTCTCTACTCATGAATGATTTTATCCCTTGTGAATTCCAGAACTTTGAATAGATGCTGCATATTGCAATTTTCGCATGCTTCTCATATATCACAAGTTATTTTTATAACATTCTTAGACTATCCACATGTTGAAGGGAAGGGCCATATACCTATCTTGTATCCTATTTATGCTGGAAGTGCAGCTTCTTGCATTTATTAATAGTAGACATTGCATGGATGTTTGTTAAAACGGTAGAGGAAAACAGAGTTCCTTTAATTTGAAAGGCTGCTACAGAGGTAGAACTGAGGGATTGATTAATTGTCATCTGGAAGGGGTAGTAGTTAACATAATGTCCAGATGAAACTCTTAGAGGGAAGAATAATTGTCAGTGAAGGTAGAAGGATTACATTAAACAAAAGTCAGAAATATGTACAGAAAAGAGATGCAGTTTGAAAATCAGTTAAACTGCCCAAAGGTTTAGACATGGGAAGAAGATACTTAGAAAGCCATTCAGCATGTGTGATTGTCTTTGACAGTGAGTGACAAATGGAATAACAGGGAAAAGCACCTATATTGCATGGAGATGCTCTGCATTATTAAATAAAATGGCCTCTGGAAAACTTGATTCAATTTAAGACTTCTCAGTTGCAGATCTGGAGACAATCACAAATTCAGAAATATATTTATGAAACTCTGTTGCCACTGAGCTCAAAAGACCGTAATCCTATTACTTGTGATTTTGAAAAGGGTAAACATGAAAAACTGAAAAGAGTTATTGATTAAAGAAGTAATATGAACAGGAATAATGGAATTAAAGTAATTGAGGCAATATCGGGCCTAATGGACCTTGTTCTCTTAATGCCTTTCTTCTGCTTTTGTATTGAGTTGGCCCCAAAGTCGATAGGACTATGTGCACAGAAAGAGAAGGACATGATGGAAGAATTAGTATTGCTGTCTATAAAAAAAAATCAATCTGTTGTTCTTGCAGAAGAACATCAATCAGTCTGTGAAATTAATTAACTGGATTTTTTTACATTTGGCTTCTAAGATAATGAGACAAATGATGAGAAAAGACTGCATGCCTTGCATATAGTAGATACTCGGTAAATGTTTCTTGAATTGAAAACCAAATGATATCACAGATTTAGTTTAAAAACTACTTCACTGTAAGTCCTTTTATCAGTCCTAATTCAGTCCCGTTTCTTTTACTGGGCTGCCTGTATCTATAGTACTGTAAATGTAGATCCCTCATTTTTATTGATTCTTGCTCTGAAGTGAGTTCTCTCACATTTTTACTGCCAAGGAATCCAGGCCAGCTTCACATGACTTTGGATCTCTGTATTATTTAGTGTCTTAACTGTTTTCTGTGACCAGACTTCCTGCCCTATACAGTATTGGCAGATTACATTTTTTGAAATATCATTTTAACAACATTACTCTTTATTCAGAAAACATCAATGTCTCTTTGTTGTCTACAAAATTGTGGGCTCATTGTACTTTAGAGTTCATTCCCTACTACTTGGGTTTGAAAGCATCTGTGTTCAGACTTGTCCAGACACCCGTCTATACTTAACTTCCACCGGCCTCCTACCCAGACCCTATGGGGAAGACAGATTCGTCTCTTCATTCTGTCATCCCATTTTGCAACGCGCACAGTATTCTGCATCAAATCCTCTCATATCTATATCCATCCAATTAAAGTCAGTTCTGCTCCAGGCAATATAGTCCTTAAAACTGCACATTATCAAAACCTGTGCTATAAAGACAATTATTTCAGTGGCATAAATAGTGTTGGAGACTTGAGAGTTGCAGGGGCACAATAAACAAAGTTGTTTTACCTGAAGTTATTTAAGTAATAATGGTATTTTCTATCTCTGTAAAAGTATAACTTTAAAACCTGAACATCACGAAAAAATGCATTTTATTGTATCTCTTTTTATAAGATGGTAGTGAACTAAGCTGGTATTTTAAAAAATTGTTTCAACATCTTAATGATCCACTATTGTGAGAAATGGAGAATAAAGACCTTAAAACAGCTGTGTTGTAAGCAGAAGAGCTTTTTTTTCCCTTATGCCAGGAGCCCTAGTCTGCATAAAATAAATTGTATTCCCCAATCAATTGATCACTTTATACCTAATACACATTATGCAAACTCTGCAGAAGAAATGTCTGTAACACTTATTTTTCAAAATGGAGTTTAAGGTCCTTTTTGCTCCAGTGAGTTTGCCTTTTACCATTCTTCCTTGCCTGGTGATTTTTCTCTCTGAATACTCTCTTTTAGGTTAATTATCAATTTAAGGACCTCTTTAATTGTTCATCTTTTTCAGAAGTTTTAGAGACTGTTTTGAAATAGAGACATATTTTTATTTCCCACAATGTCCAATATATCGTTAGGGCAATGATATACTAGTTTATAAGAGCATGCGATTATTAAATTTAGTTTCATCTAAATCCAAAAATTGCTATTTTCTCTATTTCCTGTTCCTCTTGAATGTTGGGCCTTGGCTTAATGTTTTTGAGGGAACAAAAAAGAGTAATCCCCATTTCAATGTCAATGCAAAAGGATAAAGACTGACTGATCATTTTCAGATTAAGGATAAATACATGTGTTAGTTCCTGACCCTTCTTGAAACTTCATTAAAATGATGTTTAAGGGATTTTTATTTTAAAAGGCACACACCGATGAGAGCAAAGAAATAGGGCAACAGTTACAGCACTTTGGGATTTGGGATATAGATGGATGACTGCTAACTTACTTAGCAGACCTGAGAAAGTGAAATTTTAATCTAGCAGAGGAGAAAGGAAAAAGGTAAGCCAAATTATACTGATGAACACTGCAAAAACTCAGGAACAAGAACCCCTGGAAGGGAGAGTGGAGATACAGTTGAGAAGTATTGGTTGAAAGTTCAGATCTGCTTCCTAACTTTATACAAGAAGGAAACTGCTCCTCCACTCCAACAGAGGGATGAAGATTATGTTTTCTATAGAGTTGGTAAAACAGAAGGTTTCTGGATTGAGAAGTATCAGGAAAGGTTAAAAGTGGTATAATATGGTCCTGAAATGTGGTAGATTGTGGATTACACTGATTTACCAAATCCCAAGAATGACAATACCTTCTGTTCTCTGCTCCTTAGCCTACAGGCAGCTAAGGATACCTTTCCTGCAGGAAACTCCAGGAAACATCCCTGGGACTCTAACCTAAAAATAGAACTCAAGGATACTGATATCAGGGATTCCCTCAAGGAAGGGCCTAGCCAGAACAATTCTAAAATAAATCCTATATCAACAACCACACTCCCAACCTTTCTGTGGACCTTCTAGTGCTCGGCCCTTAAATATCTCAGACAGCCAAGGATCGTGAGACATTTAAGGAAATGTCTAATATCATGAGAGAAAAAAACTAAAGCATGCAAACAAAAAAAGCAACTTGGAGGAAACAACCTTAATAGGAAGAAGAAAATTTTTTTTTTTTTTACACAGGGTTTCACTCTGTCGTCCAGGCTGGAGTACAGTGGCGTGATCTCGGCTCACCACAACCTCTGCCTCCCAGGCTCAAGCGATTCTCCCACCTCAGCCTCCCTAGTAGCTGGGATTACAGGCGCGTGCCACTACCACCTGGCTAATTTTTATATTTTTAGTGGAGATGGGGTTTCACCATGTTGGCCAGGCTGGTCTTGAACTCCTTGCCTCAAATGATCCACCTGCCTCTGCCCCCCAAAATGCTGGGATTATAGGTGTGAGCCACAGTGCCCGGCCAGAAGAATAAATCTGAAAAAAGAAATCATCAGTATCTCCAGACAGATAAGGCATGATATTATAACCATGAAACACAACAGAATTTATAAGGGTTAGGAGGTGAAATTAAGGAAATTTTCAAGAAAGTGTAGTAAAAAGAGAAAGAATAGAAAATAACGTAGAAAAAATAAGAAGCTTAGAGGATTGGTTCTTACATCCAAAAATAGTACACCAGATTCAGAGAACATAAAAAATGGAGGACAGAAAACCATCAAAGGAATAATTCACCAAAATTTCTCAAAAACAGAAGTTTCCTGATTAAAAGGGAATAACAACAGATGATCATGAAACTTTACAACACTAGAATGTGGTCCAATAAATGATATGGTAAACTAATAAAAAGAAAGACCTGGTATCCCAGAGATAGGACCAACACAAGAGCGAGGCGAAAAGAATTCACAGGTGATGGTAAAAGAGATCTCAACAGCTGTGCACTGGACTAGTGATCAACTGATCTAAATTGCAGTAGGTAGAGGGATTCAGGAGAGAGTTCTTCAAGATGGTAAAATTGATTAAACACCTAATGTGTTTGCTCTGAGAGGAGATTTACAGATCTTGGGGAGGCTTTGGGGATAGCATCATGATAAGTACATAGGAAACTAACGCAAATTAAATATAACAATGATTAATTCCAAGGAAGACAAAAAGGCAGAAAATGAGATATAATCATAGAACACTACATGATTCTAAGGATGTAAATATGGATATTTAACACAACCAGAATTATTCTGAGAGGATGGGAACATGAGGCATGCGTGTGTGTGATAAAAAACCTAACCCTCATCTTCCTCATTGGGAGGTCAATCAATAATACCTGAAATCAAAAAACTAAGAAGTAGTAAGAGAAACATGTTATTTAAATCAGTGCATATAAATTTTTGTCTTTAGTATGACAAGCATAGAAACTGATACTAAATAATGTAGGAAGCTGGAGACATTCATTTGTAGAATATTAAGTAGATATAAAACTTCAAATAACATATTTTCAGATTTTTTCAATGAAAAACCTGAGCTTGCTTTCATAAACATAACTTTTTATATTTCTTATATGCCTGAAATGGCTGAACACAATTCTTGATCAATATCTTAATGATTCTCTCTTCAAATTCTTTTTAGTCATTGTCAGTGAGATACTACACAAGTAGTGATTTTTAAAAAAACAAGCCATTTCACCACCGTTTCATATTCTATAAAAGTTAAAGTTATCTTTAAAAACATTAATAGTTTTAGCTTTTTTCTTTGCTAGACAAATGCAATCCTCTGATAATTCCAACAGATTTCAAATTCAACTAATTTTTTTCCTATCAAGTAATTAAAATAATAATGAGGCCCGAATTTATAAACTGTGTGTTTATTGTTAGAGCAGTCACTCCATAGGTAGCCTGGATGCCAGTAAAAGACGATATTTGACTCAACTGGAAAGAAATGTCTGGTATGTATAGACAGAATTTTTGGGGCTGTCCCTTGTAGCTTTGCCTACCAGGCGCTTCTGCCCACACCTTTCTAGAGCTCCACTTTCAACCAGCTGTGCCTTCTATACCTGGAATGAAACCTCCTCCAGCAGCTACATGGACTGCTTCTGCACAAAGTGAAGGGGTGCTTTCTGCAGCAGCCTGTTGACATGGGTGTCCATGGATGTTTCTAGTGCCTCTCAGCAGAGCCATGAGGACCATGCCTTTATACCTTGAGGAAGCTGATGGCCAGGTGTTATCTGCCCAGAGGCACCTGCTACCTCAGAACCCCACCTGATTCCCTGAGGCTGAGAGACATCCATACCTCATTGCATACCTGGAATCAATTCTTTGCACAATAGTGAGCCAACACCTACTGATTTCCACATGTGGAAACAAATCTAAAATAATTACTTAAAGAATTGAAAG
This sequence comes from Homo sapiens, assembly GCF_000001405.40. Classification (NCBI taxonomy): domain Eukaryota; kingdom Metazoa; phylum Chordata; class Mammalia; order Primates; family Hominidae; genus Homo; species Homo sapiens. The sequence continues at coordinate 43,657,287 of NC_000013.11, read as the reverse complement.
CAGTTATCTCTGGGCCTAGTCCTATGTAACAGTTGAGACTATATTATGAATAAATTGGTTTAAATACATACTAATGTTTAAAAATCTCTTGTGTAGTCTTATTGGATCTTCCAGACCTTTTGCCCTCTCAAAAGATTGGACAGAGCCGCTTTCAACTTTGTTTTTATGAGATGAGATGACAAAATGTGGACTATACAACTGTGGACTATGGTCTACTTCTTAAATGCAGAGGCTATTTAGTTTGTGGATTATCCACATGCCATATTTTACCCCAAGGATTAAGATAAAAGGAATATAAATCTGAAGATAGCAAGCTTCATTTTTTAATACAAGGAAAAAGATAAGTTGAAATTCATGATAAATATAGATTGTGTTTTGAAACTTTGATTATTTTCCTGTTGTCCCTTTAACATGTTCCTGGGGAAGTTTATAATAATGATTTAGGAGAAGAGGTGGGAAACTGATAAATTAGCTGAAAAAAAATAGAAAGGCGCTTGAGAATACATAGCAGAGAACACACTTCTTTCACAGAGGGTACTGACAGCGTGGTCTATTTGGTGCCCTCCAGATTCAAGGCTGAAACTGGAAACAATGGTGCTTTAATTTGCTGCACAGCTAATGGGCCTGCTGATTTGTTCTCATTTTTTAGTCCTATAGTATGTCCTTAAAACCCTCTCAAAGGTTTATACTTTTAGCCAGAGGTCTCTGTGCTTCATTTTCCCTTTTGTTCTCTAAACACTTAGGTTGCCTCTTCCCGATTCATCTTCTGAGAGGCTCAGCGTAATGTATGGTAGGAATTGAATAATTTGGATGAAGCCTGTGACATGTCTTGATGATGTTAAACCACTCAGAATCCTAGGAAATAGTCCCAGCTTGCATTAGCAGAAGATTAATGCAGGTGATCTTTAAAGTCTTAATTTTAAAAAATTTACATTTTTGCCAGTGATGATTGAAAAACACTGGCATTCTTTCTGCCTGCATTACTGATTACAATTGCAAATACTTGCAAAAGTACTAGAATGGCATCTAACTGTTCCATAAGGAGCAGAGAATTATTTTACCCTTTTAATGGCTATTAAATATTTAAAAAACAATTTTCTAAAAATATATCCATAACTATATGTAACATGGGCATAAATCACAATGGGAAATGTATTCTGATACACATGCATAATAAAACTTGCTGGATAAGTTTATATGTCTAATTTGCCAAGAAGAAATTTAAATTTTTGAGAGGTTTCTTACTTGAGACATCATTATGAGAAAAGGCAAAAATAGGGGTCTTTTGGATGAGGTCAAGACAGTGATTACTCACATTGTTACTACCGTTTTGCCCCAGGATATTCTGGATATGAACCCAAACCTTAAGATCCCCGAATCAGGAATGGTGGAAAACCATGGTGAACTAGTTATTTGGAAGGTGGAATCAAGGAAACCCACCAGCTCTTGAACTTTTCCAGAACGGGAACATATTAAGAGGAGAGGTAATGAGAGCAAAGAGTTTGTCCTGCTATCTGGAGAACAGAGAGGGTACAGTGAGCCTTGGAGAGCAAGGGAGTGTGGGGAGCGGTGGGGCAGGTTGCAGACCACAGCCAGGAAGAGGAGAATCAAAGGAGTCAGCTGTGGACTTGTAGAACTGGGGTTGAAATTTAATTCAAGAAGAAACATTTGGAACATTTGGCAACAAGTGACATGATCAACATGACATTCGGGTAGATGATTGTTGCTGTGTTATAAAATAGCTCAGACAGGAGGAAGACAGTTGGTGCATGCTAAGAATGACTGCAGAAGAGTGAGAAGGAGAAGGAATTTGACTTGATGACAGGACTGATAGAGAAGACAGAAGATAAAGGTAAGTTATAGACAGTGTAAGTCAAGGCTGGATTGCTGCCTTGGAGAACAACTTCCATATTTAACAGTCCAAAAAAAACAAAAAGCAAAGTGACCAGAAGATTATCCAGCAAATGTCCAAATGCCTTGTGGAACAGGTCGGTTCTCTTCCCAGCTTAAAAATCATGGAATGGTGGACATGGAACAGTTTGCGAAACATAGAACTTTGCTAAACCAATCATTTCTCTTTTGGATGTGCTATGACTGTAGTCCTTGCCCCACCCATTCCCAGAAGATCATCCAGACACCAATAAATAAGGAGCGCGGTAGGAATTAGAGGTCAAGGAAGGAGGCATAGGTCTGGGGATCATCAGTGAACACAGCAGTGGGGTCTGAGTGTATGGATGAGCATTCTGTGTCACAGAGTGAAGAAAGGGAGGAGCAGAGGTGTGGCAGCAAATACTGTGAGATACTTCATGAAAAGGCCAAGGAACAAAAAGAAACAGAGTGGTTGGAGTGGCATTAAACTCATGGAATTGTTTGATCTAAATTTAAGTGGATACTTGCTTCATTGGGGTAAACAGTCTGATTAGTGTTTTCAGACTATACATAAATGAAGGGATAGTTCCATCTCTCAAGACTTAGGAACCACAGAGAATTCAGAATATAAATGCAGCAAGCTGAGCCCCAAAACCTTCTGGGCTCAGCCACCAGAAAGATTATCATGAGCCCCTTTTCTTTTACAAATAAAATTCACCCTTATTTGTCTTAGGGTTGACTATGGAAATTCTTTAAATGGATATCAAGAAGGAAATCTTCCAGTAAATTCTGCACTGCAAAGCAGTAGCATTATTTAAACAAAGAATACATTAATTTTTACATTGCAATCAAGATCAACCAGCACTTACCCATCCACCAGAATGCATTATAATACTGAGCACTTTTTTAGTTCTACACTGAAAATCCCTTTGAATCCTGTATCAGTGTTCACTAGACAGAATCTGTCTATCTATACATTAGATACATAAATATGTATTTATGAAGAGATTTATTTTAAGGAATTGGCTAATGCAAATGCGGTGCTGGTAAGTCCAAAAATCACAGGGCAGGGCAGCAGTCTGAAAACTCAGGCAAGAGTTGATGTTATAGCCTTGAGTATGAAATACGTAGGGCAAGTTAGCAGGCTAGAAACTTAGGCAGGATGTCTATGTTACAGTCTTGAGGGAGAGCTCCTTCTCTTGGAAACTCAGTTTTTGCTCTTAAGGCCTTCACCTGATTAGATGAGGCCCATCCACATGATCAAGGGTAACCTCCTGTAGCTAAAGTCAACTGATTATAGATGTTAATCCCATCTATCAAATACTTTTACAGTAACATCTAAACTAGTGTTGGACTTAAGAACTGAGCACTCTAGCCCAGCCAGGTTGACTCAGATGATTTTGCCATCACAAATCTCATATTTTTACTATAGTGGAAAGAGCAGAGTCAGCTGCATTTTGCTTCATTTCCCCAGTGTTGTAATCTTTATAAGGGAGTAAAGATTCTGTTAGTGGTTCAATGGTGGCATTTTTACTGGCACTTTTTTTTTCTGTCAAATTGTTAGATAATTTGTTTGAAAAGCTGGGCCATGTTAGCACCTTATCCCTGTCCCACATGGTGCCAAATGGTCTTGTCTTCTTTGCTTGCTAAGAAGAGTAGGTATGGGAAATGCAAATTTTCATTGAACAAGGTTATTGACTACTCAAGTTCTGTAGTGAGTTTGCTCAGCTGACTATGTGACAGTCACAGGGGATATGGGGAGTTAATATTTTCTGGAAAGAATTTTAATGTTAGAATTTACTGTCTTTTGCACATACAAATTTGAAGCCTTAATGTTATGCTCTTTTGGTTATTTGCATGTAATATGCATGCAAATTCACAATATATACTATGTGCCAAGAACATAAATTATAAATTGGTACTTTCCCTGGTTGTTAGCAATTTTGGCCGCTTTAAAAATTAATACTTTGAAGAAATATATGTTTTCAAGTTTGTTTGTAGTATCTTTAGTTTCCAAAGGAAAATATGTAGTACACTCTCAACCAGGAAGGTAGATCTCTGCTGTAACATTCTCTGGATTTAAAAAGTTGTGCATAATGCTAAAGGTTAGAATGTTTTTATGTATCTTTCCTATGAATGGGTTTCAATTAGGTGTTGCAGATGTTTGTTTCCATTAACAATGCTGAGAAATACATGTTTCTGTAGCATGATTGCAGCCTACTGCAGTCCAGTATACTTGGGGGTGAGTCTTTTCAGTGATAAACACACCTCCAGTAGCAGAGCAGCATATTGTACTTCCAGGTGGAAGAAGACCTGCCTGTGCTGCGCAACTGAGGGCAGGATACTCCCAGAGAGGGACTCTGTAGCCTCTCTGCCTGCCATTGAGGCTTGTTGCCTTGGCAACTAAAACACAGCCATCCATCCTTTCCCCAGGCAGGGAGCTCCAGTCATCCTTGACTTTGCCATGACCTTTTCTCCTCCCCTTTACAATCTGTTTAGGGTTCTGCCATGCATCTCCCAGGCAGCTTTGAATTTTCTCTCCCTTGGAAATCTCCAGGCCACCTCCTGGTTTTGTCTTTCTCCTTTGGACCAATGAATGCTCATCACCGGCATTCCGGCTACTCAGCTTGCTTACTTCTTCCTGAGTCCAAAGCAAGGCCTCCCAGACCTTCCTGCCCACTATGAAAGTCAGGTCATCTTGCACTGTGAAACTCTAGAGTGCAGCATTCTCTGCAGGGTGCAAACATCCATCCTCAACTTCAGTAGTCTGCTCTCACACACTATTTGGAATCATTTTAAAAACTCTTCTGTCTGTGCTGTACATCTTTCATGACTTAGTCACCCTCCTCCACCTTACTAACCCTATGGACCACTTTATCCTCTATGTTTCTAAGTTATTTCGTCTTGTGAAAAATCAGCCCTCTTTAAGTGGTCCAGAGCAAGGGCCCTCAGCTGACAAGTTTTATTGGTGGCACCATCACCACCACCATGACAGTAAATATTATCACTAACTTCTGTGCCAGCATGTTAGCATACTACAAGTAGCTACAGAAAATGGGCCTGTGGACATTGACTCAAAACTTAAGTTAGGGCCTCTGTGTTATTGTGAAGCCTGGTCAAGGGCTCAAGTAGGGATGAGAATCCATCTTGGTTCTGCTCTTCATTTATGTCCTTGGAGATGGCTGGATCTGCCAGGATTAACCGGTGACTTCCACCCCTCCACCCCTGACTCCTGTTCCCTCCAAAAAAGTGACCTGTAGATAGTCAAATGGTGCTAAGGTATAGACCTGAAGAGGCATCATTTTCTGATTCACTTTTGGGCCAAGTAGGCATTATATACTAATTTGCAGCTGGGTACTTTATAGGCTTATAGAGGCCTTCACTTACAGAATAGATATAACAATCAAAAAGATTCAAAGTGAAGTTTTTTTTTTTTTTTTTTTTTTTTGAGACGAAGTTTCACTCTTGTTGCCCAGGCTGCGATGGCACGATCTCATCTCACCGCAACCTCCGACTCCTGGGTTCAAGTGATTCTCCTGCCTCAGCCTCCCAGGTAACTGGGATTACAGGCATGTGCCACTACCCCCGGCTAATTTTTGTATTTTTAGTAGAGATGGGGTTTTACTATGTTGGTCAGGCTGGTCTCGATCTCCTGACCTCTCAAGAGATCTGCCCACCGTGGCCTCCCAAAGTGCTGGGATTATAGGTGTGATTTTTTTTTTTAGACAGAGTCTCGCTATGTCGCCCAGGCTGGAGTGTCGTGGTGTGCTCTCAGCTCACTGCAACCTCCGCATCCTGGGTCCAAGCGATTCTCCTGCCATAGCCTCCTGAGTAGCTGGGATTACAGGTTCCTGCCACCACACTCAGCTAATTTTTGTATTTTTCAGTAGAGACAGGGTTTTTCCATGTCGGCCAGGCTGATCTTGAACTCCTGACCTCAAGTGATCTGCCTGCCTTGGCCTCCCAAAGTGCTGGGATTACAGGCAAGAGCCAACATGCCCGGCCTCAAAGTGAAGTCTTTTATCACAAGGAGAAAGTACTAGGTAAGGATAATTTAATTTTGTAACCATTATTGCATCCTGGCAAAATTTTCTGCAGTAGTTTCTTCTCCTTCCCTTCCCTCTTCATCCCTGTTCCTCTTCTCCTCCTTCCCTCCCCCTCTTCCTTTTTCTTCCTCTTCTTCCTCCTCTTCTTCCTTTTTAGATAATAATCATAGTAGCTAATAAATGTATAACATATTCTGACTGGCTGAGATGCATTTTTCCTAGGCTTGATTGTATCATTGGAAACTCTAACCACAGAGGTCCCATGTGCTGTGGGTGGAGCAGCCTTCTAACTGTCATAGAAACACGGAAGCCACATGCTAGATTTACATAGAGCTTAGGGGCTCTGAGTGTAAGAACTGGAGCTTGACTCATTTTTGGCATTCAGACGTGCACTGATCTCTCTTATAGCTTAGGATTCCCCAAAAAAGGTTGGATTGAGGGACGTGATGAGGTTCCTGAACAAAAGCCATGAGTGAAGAAGTCTGTTAACGTGGACCAGACCGACCTATAGGAGTTTGGTTTTGTTTTGCTTTTGAGACGGAGTCTTGCGCTTGTCGCCCAGGCTGGAGTACAGTGGTGTGATCTCAGCTCACTGCAACCTCTGCCTCCCACGTTCAAGCAATTCTCCTGCCTCAGCCTCCCAATTAACTGGAATTACAGGTGCCCACCACCGTGCCTGGTTGATTTTTGTGTTTTTAGTAGAGACGGGTTTCACCATGTTGCCCAGGATGGTCTCGAACTCCTGACCTCAGATGATCCACCCGCCTTGGCCTCCCAAAGTGCTGGGATTACAGGAGTGAGGCCACCATGCGCGGCCAAGCTCCTGGGTTTGAAAGTCCCAGGGGCAGTGGTTCTAGGTACCTCCCCTGACCTAATGAGCCTCCCCTCAATTCCCCCTACTGGCAACAGACTCCTGCTCACACAAAAAACAAGTATACTATGGCATGAACGATAGCTGTGTCATAACGCAGGGATCAGTGAACTATGGCCCTTGAGGAAAATCCAGCCTGTGGCCTGCTGGATTGTTTATGCATTTTTAAAGGGTCATAAAAAGAAAAAAAAGCAAAGAAGAATATGCTACAGAGACAGATGTGGTCTTCAAAAGCTAAAATATTTACTATCTGGCCCTTTATTGGTAAAATTTGCCAGCCCCTGCCAAGAACTGGTCAGTGATACCTAACGGTGTTACTTTGGCAGCCCTGTTTTGAAAAAGCAAGGCTCAAGAGTGGAAATGGCTTCCCTGATGGTGAGGCCTTGAGGTTCCTTCCCTTCCCTCTTCACCCCATTCTTTGTGCTGTAGAAGAAGTTGTCTTCCGTGAGAACGTTGTCAGAGGTGTTGATGGTGACTGGTGGATGGCAGAGTGATGAAGGCATGTGGAGCAGAGGAAAAGTTCAAGAGAGTAGGAGAGGAGGGTTGTCAGGTAGCAGGCCATAAGTCTGACTGTCAGGGAATCCTGGAGGGAGTAACTGAGGAGGGGATCCCAGGAAAAGCTCAGACTTGTTAGTCCATGCTTGGAGCTCAGAGGATTGGGACTTAGGCTGTTGCCTTAAATACAACATATCTGTAGCGCTAGGAGGCCAAGGGACTTTTGGTTTGCACTTGTGTTCTATAGTTTACAAAGTCTTTCTCATTTTGTGAGAACCCTCTGAACCAGGCAGTGTGTGTGCTACTTTTGACCTCAATTCATAGAGAAAAAATGGATTGATGCTATGTCAGGGAAATGTCTTCTTCAAGGTCATAGAGTTATTATATGATGAAGTTGGAAATCAAATCTAGATACTCTGGCTCTAAAACCTGAGCACCATTCTTGGAATCAGTGAATTATCAAAGTGTGAACTCTGCACCTCTCACCCCCAACACAAAAGCCATCTTACTAGATATTGTTTATTTGTAAGTTCATTATATTAACATATACAACACTAGAAATGGTTAGAGTAGCTTCAGAATTGGATTCATTTTATGCCTCAGCTTAGCCCCTTCTCACACAGTAAGGCATCTGTAGAACAAACTAACCAGGGTGTGAAGGTAATTTGCGTTGCCCTGCATTGTTTGCGTGTGTCTGGGAACTCTGGGTTGAGACAGATTACTTGGATGTTCTAGTTTTACTTTTATAGACAACCTATGAAAGGGGTAATTATGAGATGTAATTATTGACACTATGACAACCTGAATAAAAATTGAAGTTGTTTGTACTATTTTCCCATAGATATTAGAGCAAGACATTACAATAAATGAATTGAGTGGCCTGTTTTGTGTGTGTATGATTTGGATATCAGAGACCATCATTCCTACATGATATGACACTTTATTTGCCACCTTCACGCTTTGACATTTTTGTCATAACTAAATGTGCAGTAGAGACAGCTGTGGTCTGCGTAGGCTCTAGCACTGTGTCTGGGTCTAACCCTGAGCAATGCATTTGGTTTCAGAGCCAGTGTCGCTGATACAGGTTGCAGCCAGCACAGGGAAATCTATCACAGTAACAGCAATGTAGCCGTCACAGGGAGTCTAACCACATCCATATTCAGATAAGGAGAACGCTGAGTACTCTCACTGAAAATGATATGCAGGGACTCTGGGATAATGCTGCCTTTACACTGTTCATAAAATATGGTAAAAATAAAGCCTTAAAAGTCATGCTTGTGAAGAGTGGAGACAGGAAAATTAGAGTAGCAATTCACACAGCACACTTTTCCTTGGAGTGAGAAGTCATATCAATTTCTCAAAAACAGGTATTTCACCTCTTACAGCATCCATAAGAAGGCTAGGTCAGCCACGAGTTAGTGGCTTATGAACTCTCTTGGACCTTTGCTTAGCTGGCAAATGTCATTTCTTAGCCTTCCATCCACCCAAATCTGGGGTTTCTGTTTCCCCAGCTCTGCCCTCTGTGTTCTCTATCTCATCATCTTATTTTATTTTCTTCACAGCACTTTCTACTGTTTGCAGTTATCTAATTTATTAATTGGCTGCTTAATCTCTATCTGTCAGCTTTGAGTTGTAAGCTGCGTGGTTGCAGAAGCTGACCATGGCTCTCTGGTTCACTGTTGTTTTCTGTAGCCCAAAGAACAGTGTCTGGGCTGTGGTAGGTGCTCAATATGAATAAAAAAGATGAATCAATGAATGAATTGGTGAGTAAATACATGCTTTCCTGTTGCTTAACCCTACAGAATAGTCCCAGTACTGGGTTATGATCTTTCCCTAGTGGAAGAATCCAGAGATTCTATTGTTGCCCTAATAAATTACCACAAACCCAGTGGCTTGAACAACACAGATGTATAGTCTTAACAGTTCTGCAGGTCGGAAGTCCAACACAGTTCTCACTGGGCTCAAATCAAAGTGTCAGCATGGCTGAAGACTTTGGGGGAGATCCATGCTCTTGCCTTTTCCATTTTCTACAGGTCACACACATTCCTTGGTTGTGATGCCTTTCTGTCTTCAAAGCCAGCAATGGTGGGTCGAGACCTTCTCATTCTGCCATCTGTCTGGTTCTCTACAGCTGAAAAAGGTTCTTCGTTTTTAAGGACTGATGTGATTAGATTGAGTTTACTTGGAAAATACAGGATAATCTCCCATCTCCAGGCCATTAATCATAATCACATCTGCAAAATCTATTTTGCCATATAAGGTAACATATTCATGGGTTCCAGGAAATAGACGCTGGACATCTTTGGGGGTTTGGTGGTAGTCATCATTCTGCCTGTCACATGGATTTATTCACAAAGGGGGTATAGGGATAGTCAAGCCCAAAGCCTCATTTCTCTTCCAGAATGTATATTGCAGAACAGAGAGTCTTCCTAAGTCATTTATTCATTCCACAAGAAATATTTGTGGAACTTGTCACATTCTTCTTGATAATTTGGTTCCTGATGGCAGAGTGAGCCTAGATTGCTGTTTTGCAGGGTTGGATATGGAGACCCTGGGGAAGTTCACCTGAATTCCTAACCAAGCCTGACAATCAGAAATTGGGCTTCTAACCAGAAAGGGATCAGTGTGTCTAAAAGGGACTCAAAGCAGTTGTAGTGGTAGCAATGGTGGTGTCAGATACAGTAGTTTATTTATTTTATTCAATCTTTATAATAATCCTACAATAGAAGCACTATTATTATCCCCATTTTACACATGATGACACTAAGGCACACAAAGGTTAAATAAATTGCCTAAGTGACTGAGCCAGGAGTGACTGGCTAATGAGTGAATGAGACAGGATTTAAAATCTCAGGCAATCTAGCTCTTGACTGTGTTCCCTAACCACTGCACTTCCCTGCCCCTTACAAGGTCCATTAGAGAGTAGCCAAAGACGCCTCTGAGAGGGCCAGAATGGGTGCTGAGACCATCTATTGGCCTCCTTGGTTTTGTGAAGTAGAGAGAACATGGAATGGTAAGAAGCTTCTGCTTCCTTGGTTACCAGATCTGGGCCTGGATCAAGCCACTTCAATTCATTGAGCCTCTGTGAAGAGAAAATAGAAATTTTGCTTGTCTGCATCTCTAGTGTGGGAGAAGGATAAAACGATTATTGAGACGTGCTCTGTAAACGTTGCCCGTTACTATCTAGTGTTGTATCCATCTAAATGATGAGGCGAGAAGGGAAAGTGAGTATGATCACCTCAGTGCCCCAAGACTCTATCTGGCTTTTGTCACCCTGGGGTAAACTGGAGAGCATGATTGAGACATGAAATCTTCCCATATCCTCTGTGAGAGAGGGTGATTGATGACAGGGATTTACAGGTTAGCCTGTGACAGCATGTAATCAATCAGCGCATGAGAAGGATAGCTTGTCTTTGGTGTACAGATGACGATTCTAATAACCCAACAGTGGCCACCAGAAGGAAAAGACTCCTGCGCTTGTCTTCACTTCCTTCATTTCAGTAGCTGCAGAGTCGTCAGGCAGTCCCAAGAATTTCATGTATGAAGATGGTATTCCTTAGTTTTGCCCTAACTGCGTGAGCACAAGTGACAGCTGTGAGTTCTGGGCTTTAGAGGGAGGAGTAAAAATTTACCTTGGAGTTAGCCAACATCTGCAAACACTTATTTAATCAATCATATAGAGCTGTCAAGAGCAGTGAGGAGTCTGAGATTTTAACCTGCCTGTGAAGTAACAAGTTAGCCTGCCTGATTCATACATGCTCGCAGAAGACACGAAACTCCTGGATCAGACATAAAGGATGTTACTGCTCAATGCACAGCAGGCAGCATGGGCTACAAGCTCTCATCTTGTAGAGCTTGAGGGGAACCTCCCTTGAGGGCAATGCAGAGGGGGCCAGGTGGTTACTTCATACCTGTTGGATCTGTGTCACAACTGAGGAACACAGAGTTTAGGAAATAACCAGTCTTATAAACTGTTTCTGGCACACTTGCCCAGCCTTTGCCCTGGAGGAAGGCATTATCTTTGACTCTTGCCAGGAAACAAAATTATCCTCTGTCCTGGAGGAGGAAGACATAATCTTTATCCTCCCAGGCTGTTTGCTTTACAGACATCCTTGAATAGTAGTCTGAGACAAAAGGTACCACAGGGTAGAGAATTGTCACCCAATAGAAACTAGTGCATAATTAGCTAAAATAATGACCATAAAAGGTGTTTTTTAAATATGTAAAATTTTACAAGTGAATTTATATAATCTGAATTCTGAGAAGAACTATTTTCTAATTCTTTTCACTTACTGAGTTCTACTAAATAATTTGGAATAGGGATTCAACCAAACTTGTTGCTTAAATACTCAATTTCCATGGAGTTCAGAACTTCCAATGAATTGGTGATTAATTGATATTGTAATGAAAGATTGTTTACATAGAATGTGCAAAGGGCATATGATTGGTTGTCTCTTTAATCACCTTTAGTTACAGTAGTAAATGAAAGTATACATTTTGTACTTTGACAATGGATGATGCCAATTGAATCTTATTAAAGACTTCTGTGGCCGAGCACAGTGGCTCATGCCTGTAATCCCAGCACTTTGGTAGGCTCTGGTGGCAGGATCAGTTGAGGCCAAGAATTCTAGGCTGTGCTGGGCAATATAGTGAGAACTTACCTCTCTTAAAAAAAAAATTAACTGGACATCGTGGCATGCACCTGTAGTTCTAGCTACTCAGAAGGAGTTTGAGATGGGAGGATCACTTGAGCCTCAGGTATTAGAGACTGCCATGAGCGATGATTATGCCACCGTGCTAGTCTAGCCTGGGCACAGAGTGAAACCCTTCTCTAAAGATATAAATAAATAAATATTTTGGCTAAGAAAAACACACATTTTTCTTTGATTTCCATCATGATTTTTTAGCCAAATTCTTAATGGGAAAACTATTATTTGATACATGTTTCTTTATATTTGATTTTTAAATTAATTAATTTCCAAAATATGTTATCTTTAGTTATGGTTAATATTACAGACCTATCACTGCCTACCCAGTGTGTGGTCAGTGACAAATTGAACCCAAGTAACTCGTATAATCTATGAGATAACCAAAACCCAGATATGTTTTTTAGGCTTAAACTTGGTATAAGACCTGAAAGGTACTGTAAATGTTGGAAGAGCAAGGATCCATGTTCTGCCTGGGTTGGTGTAGTACTGTGAATATGGCTTTAAAGGCAGCTGGATCTGGATTGAACTCCAACTCTGCCAATTCCTAATTCTGCAATTTAACTAAAATAGATGAGCCTCAGCTTTCTTATCTGTAAATTGTATATAATGATTACTACATAATAGGATAGTTATGCAGTCCACATGAAATAAGTTATTTGAAGCTGCTACCTTCCTTTAAAAATGTAAAGAGAATATTGAAGTCAGTGCAGGACCATTATAAAGTTTATTTGATTACTTTCAGCTTGGGTGAAGCTTTAAATTCTTAGTTAAATTCCTTCGCTAAAGCATTCACTTATTGTCTATTATTTTTCTAGTTATCTAGATGCATTGGGGAATTAAAGTCGTCATTTAAAAATCATCCCATGGATATCAAAAGCTCATAAATTGTTAGATGCTAATGGGAAAGTCAAGAATCTGCTTCAACTTATAATTGTAGGCGTACACAGAGCTATCTAGGGAAATGCAAGGGTTGCCTTAAATTCCCAGAATAAAATACTTTGCAGATTTCAAAATATGTCACTCACTATAAAATTAATTATTTACCAGCCACTCACATACTAATCAGGGTTGAAAGTATGAAAGACCACAGGAAAGAATGGATGGTTACCTTTCTATCACAAGTGCTGGTACTAAGAAATAATGATAACTCACATGTGTGTGTGATGCCCTCAGTTTTATGGGAAATCGGGAACTGAATATTTTAAAACTAATTACAATTAATTAAGATGACTAAAAGAGCAATGGCAGTTTGGGATTCTATTTTTACCAAATTAATCTCTCCAGTGAAAAGTAGGAGAGATTTTAGACTTGACAAACAACTTAAAAGCTTTGCGATAGGAATGGAATGAGAAAGCACAATGAGCAGAATAATATTTAGTGAAATTATGTACTCCTTAAAATAAGCAGCTACTGTATTTTGCATGTAAAGGTAGACATGACTGAAGAGGTAGGGAGATGAGGAGAGGAAAGTTAATGTGTTTCAGCATTAACACATGATGGAAGATAAATGCCTTCTCTTGGTATGTAATCTTGATTTGCTGCTACTATGTAGAAAATAGCACTATATCACAGTGCCAGCTTATATTGATATATATTTATGTATATATGGATATTTATATGTATGTGCATGTATATATATATGTGTGTGTATATATATATATATACACACACACATACATACATATACATGCACATACATACAGGATGTCTTCAGATTATATATAAAATGTTAAGGGCTTTACTTAGTGGAGATTGGGTTAAATATTTACTTCTTGCTAAGTATTGCCATATGCCTAAACTTTTAAAATAGTAGCTATTCCAAAGGAAGAAATCAAACTAAACAATTGGGAAGATATATCAAATCTAGTTTCAATTGGTGGTTCATAGAGATAACTGGATAACACTGATGTTACTTCCCTGTTGTCCAGCTCATACTAAATAGGCATCTGTCATGAATGGCCAGGGTGCTGTGCTGGATCTGTCATGACTAAACTGATCACGATCATTAGTCTGTCTTCTTAGTTCATTCACAGCCAGGAGGTAGACGGTGGGGGAACACAAACACTATGTACCTACCCTCGGTCCTTGGCATCCAATGTAAGAGGTGAAGTTTCTGAATCTAACCCCTGCCCTCAAGAACCTTATGATACAGTAGGGGAGCTTGCACATTTGTGCGACAGGACAGTTGTAAACATGTAAATCAATAACAATTTTTCTTTATAAATAAAAAATGTTTTGAGTTAATTTTTACAAGTAATATTTTTCCTACATAATTGTAATTGTTTTACTTTGAAAGACAGTGAAATGACTGTTTCTTCCTCTTAGTTTTCCACTTGTATTTTTCCTTACATTGGACTGTATGATCATGGACACAAATATTAATATTTCATGCCTTTCAGTACAAACATAGCTGTAGTATAAATGAGGAAAGAGAATATCAGCTTACGTGAAGGAAGTTCAAATTCTGAGCTCTATTAGGCAGGAAAATTGATATTCCATTAAATAGAGTAGTTGAGGCTATAGCACGTTGTCTACACAAAGCTGTAGGATCAGCATTTTTTAGATAGTATCATGGATGAGTAGTTAATTAAGTAAAGGAATCCAATCCCAGTGGGATCTTGAGGGAAATGAAGTCTATACTTTCCTCTCCTTGAACATTGGGGCAAATTGGTCTTTGATTCTGTTGAAGCCATCTCTTGGGTGCTTCTGCCCTAAGTTCTGCTTCTGTTACTTTGAAAATCCTTTTTGTTGAAATGACCTTAGTGTCAGTGACACCTATCAGCTAAATTTAATTGCTTTTCTAAAAATACTGTCCTTTTTTCCCAATAATTACTTCAACTCACAGTTAGTTAAAGCATAACATGTTGGAAACTTTCTTGTTTAAACTCTTCCTATTCTTCACCTTATTGGTTAATTTATTTATTACCAATGACCAACTCAGTGTGGGTAGTATTTTTCTCAGCTTCCAGCTCCCAGCTTTCTTTCTTGATATGGCTGAATTTTGAGATACTCAAAGCAAGCAGACCATAAAGAGAGACAGATAAAACTGGACCTGGGTGTTCATATGTGTATGTGTGATTGTGTGTTGGAGGGTTATTATCCCTTTTTAAAGAACTACTTATAGGATGGTGGCAGGACCTTTGAAATTGCAGGCTGAATTGATTATTAGCATATGTAAATTTGGGTAAGTTATTAAGCAACTTTCAAAGTGTTTTTGTTTTCTCTTCTGTAAAATTAGGATGATAATAATATCTAATGATCTTGTTGTAGATTAAATGATGAAAAGCACCTTACAAAGTGAGTGTTACGTAGTAAGTAGTCAATAAATGTTAACATGACTATTATCATCATGTTGTTTCTATCTTGATTATTTGTATTTTATAGCTTTGTCAAACTGAAAACTTCCTTTTGTTTTGAAATATCTTGATAGACGCATGAGACTTCTTTTAAAAAAATTTAAAAAGTGGCCCAGCTTGGTGGCTCATGCCTGTAATCCCAGCACTTTGGGAGGCTGAGGCAGTTGGATCACGAGGTCAGGAGATGCAAACCATCCTGGCTAACACGGTGAAACCCCATCTCTACTAAAAAACACAAAAAATTAGCCGGACATGGTGGCGGGTGCCTGTAGTCCCAGCTACTCGGGAGGCTGAAGGAGAATGGTGTCAAACTGGGAGGCGGAGCTTGCAGTTAGCCAAGATGGCGCCACTGCACTCCAGCCTGGGCGACAGAGTGAGACTCTGTCTCAAAAAAAAAAAAAAAAAAAAAAAATTAAAAATTAATGTTACTCTGTTACTTTTGTGTCTCTGATTTCAGTTGTATTGATTTAAATCACACAATTCCTTATAGAGACTCAAGGGCCTTGGGGGCAGGATCATACCTTACTCTTGTATGTATCTCAAGATAGGGATAGCACTGTTTCAGATTAGGTTCTTAACAAATGTGGACAAAACTCTGGGGCATGGAATTGAGAGGCCTGGATTTGGTTCTTGTTTCTTACCTGCTTTGGGCTTTCTTGGGTCACCTCTCTGAACCCAGGATTTTGAGGTCCTAAAGCCAGGTTTGGAAACCAAAAAGCCTGATGTTTGGGTTCCAGCTTTGCTGAGGGCTGTTCCAAGTTATGTGGGGTTTCCTGATCAGATATACCTTGATGCCCCTCCAAATCTATATTACTTAAATATTTGATGTATATTTATTTAATGGAGGCGTGGGGGAAACAATTTTTAGTTAATAAAAATGTAGTATAGTAATAGATGCACTAAATCATTTGCTTTCTCTTTCCAAGGCAGGATCAATGTTCTGGAGGAAAAATAGTGAAAGATTGTTCTATGTTTTACTTAAGGTTGATTTTGCTGTAGGTTACGTGTGTGTGTGTGTGTGTATGTGTGCGTGCGTGTGTGTGTACGTGTGTGTGTGCGCGTGTGTGTGTGCATGTGTGTATGTGTTCTAAAACAAGTAATTGGGAGGCATATTAAATAATTTAAATCTTAACAATTAAAATATCTCACTTTCTTCAGTCAGTGAGCACCAGCCATGCTTATTTGATTTTACAGTTTTAATACACAGTATTAGTGAGTTATTCAGAGATAGACAGGTGATGCTGGGTAGGTACTCTTTGTGTAGGTGGGTGGAGGTGGAGGGGACACAGTCTTTTCCTATTGAGAATGAGAGTTATAAAGGATTATATAACAAAATTTGAGTTGATTGGTGCATATTACTCAAGTAACTACTTTAGTGCTGTAAAATACATTGGCCTATTGTTGTGAGCCTGCTCCTTATAGGTTTCTGTGTACCGAGCATCTAGAAGAACCTGGTGAGTTGTAGGCATGCAGAAAATAGCATATTTTCTCATGTCTGATACACCATGGATTGCTGGATGCAATAACAGCATTTTAGAAGATAAAAAAGAACAGAGCCACATTTAATGTAGATACTATTTTAAGATGTATCTTGTTTTCAAAAATGTTCAAATGTGAAAAAAGCATGCATCCTGGAATTGAGGAGCAGTGGAATTAGAGATGATAATGAACACCCTGAAATTTAATTTTTTCCTTAGAAAGATTACATTTTTCAATAGGCATAAACTTATTACATGGTTTCAACTACTCAAAGATTAAAAACAGATGCCCTTGTTAGGGAGTATATAATCTACTTTTACCATAATAATTTAGGGAAAATATTGTAAGACTAATTTTGTAAGTTGGCCAGAATATGTATTTCTTATATAATAATATCAAGAGAACAATAGGTAAATATTTTTATTTTTAGTTTTGAGACAGAGTCTTGCTCTGTTGCCCAGGCTGGAGTGCAGTGATGCGATCTCAGCTCATTGCAACATCTACCTCCTGGGTTCAAGTGATTCTCATGCCTCAGCCTTCTGAGGAGTTGGGACTACAGGCACACACCACCATGCCTGGCTAATGTTCATATTTTTAGTAGAGACAGCGTTTTGCCATGTTGGCCAGGATAATCTCGAACTCCTGGCCTCAAGTGATCCACCAGCCTCGGCCTCCCAAACTGCTGGATTACAGGCATGAGCCACTGTGCCCGGCCAAGATTTTTATTTATTGTTAAAATAGCATTGAAAAAAATTCTAAGTGAATCACATATACATGTGAAGTATGTGTTTTTTAAAACATAAAAACCATGTTGGCTTAGAGTCATGAATGCTGGTGGTCTCTTCAGTGACACCAAAAATGCATTATGGGAGGGCATAATTGTCAACTCCAATAATTAAGTGCCTGCTCCTAACTGAGGCTATCTGCATCAGTGCCTTTTATTTCAATCCAGGTCTATTGATAAATAGGAATTGAATCAGGTACTGGTGATCTTAGACCGTCAATGTATCTTCAGGGCAAAACTTTTTAAGAAAATACTAGGTTCTTAAGAGTTTTGTACAATAAACAGTTTGTTCTCATTAATCAATTTTGCCTAATTTCCCAATTTTTTTCTCTTAGTGAAAAGGTTTGTATATGTCACAGTTTTTATTTTTTATTTTTGAGGTGGATTCTCACTCTGCCGCCCAGGTTGGAGTGCAGTGGCGCCGTCTCAGCTCACTGCAACCTCCGCCTCCCGGGTTCAAGCAATTCTCCTGCCTCAGCCTCCTGAGTAGCTGGGATTACAGGCGCCCACCATGGCCAGCTAATTTTTTGTGTTTTTAGTAGAGACAGGGTTTTGCCCTGTTGGCCAGGCTGGTCTCGAACTCCTGACCTCAGGTGATCTGCCCGCCTTGGCTTCCCAAAGTGCTGAGATTACAGGTGTGAGCCACCACGCCCGGCCTGTATATGTCACATTTGTTTTGTGGTGAAAGTACTAATATTCATGCCAATTCTGTGCTGTCATTCCCAAAATTGTATTAATATTCCTAGAAGAAAGGAAAACAAAAACAAAATATTTAGATTTGTAGGAAGTTTTAATCTGAGCCAGAAGTCTCAAAAATTAATCATGTAATGCCATCCATCAAAAGTGGTTTTAAAATCCAATATTTAGATATATTACACATGCATAGCATCCTTTATCATCAGTTATTTCATCACAGTCTAAAGTTAGATGAATCTGTGCACTGCCCCCCACCACTCAAACACATGCATTAACACACACAATTTATATAAACAGATTGTGAAACAGCCTTGGAGAATAAAATACGTAACCATAAATAAATGAAGACCCTGCAATGCTGCTGGGAGACACATGGATATTTTAAAAATCCAGCTGTTTGGTTCTGTTACCTTTTACTATGCACTGCACAGATTTAAACTTTTTGGTTTGCTGGCAAGAAAGTTTACTAGGTTAGGAATCAGTTTCTTAAATTACAGTCTTTGCTAGAGCTCAGTGCAGTTAAGGAAACTTTCTCTGAATTAGGGGGTCAAATATTACAGTTTTCGGAAAAAAAAAAACCCTAGACACTTATGATGATAGTGCAAGTTAATTCCATTTCCTTGGGTGAGGTTTCACTATGAGGACACAATGTACCACTTTGGCTGAGATGCTGTTTTCAATAAATATGGAAATTATGGCTTCCAGTGCTGTGGCCTGGTATGAAATCTCATGGGAAATAGCTTGATACTATGTGATAGATTTGAAATTAATTCCTATCCCTTCCTGAAGTAACCAACCTATATTTACAAGATGTATCATTATTTCTTGGCCATCCAGAAAGATGGGTAAATACAGTCCTATTTTATAGAATGAGGCTGCAGCAATAAAGATTTTCTAGTCCATATCCTCTTAGAGGACGAGTTGAACAAAGCAGGCTCTGCTTTTATTTGTTGAACAAAGTGGGTTGTACTTTTGTAAGTTAGAGGTGCTCTCGGACCCTTTTCCCTTCTATTGCTTTGGCTTTTTCTAATGACTCCCAGCAGAAAATTATAATGGGAGTCTTTCCTATTGCCGGATGAGGATGGTTTTGTAATGATGGATTTCAAATTAAACCCATATTCTCAACTTTGTGAAATCCTGGCAGGGTGAAGGTGAAATGTGTCTGTCATTTTCAAATTATTTGTTAGGGAACAATTAGAGACTTATACTGTAAAATTTTGGGACAGCTGTTTTTAATAGTGGGGGAGGCATGGGCAATGAAAAGGTAGTTTGAAAATCTCAGTGGATAAAGCAGAGATAATCAGAATTTGTTAGAGTGCTATTCTTTAAGTCTTGAATTCTTTCTGGCAACTAGATTGTCCTGAGATCAGAACAATCTAATCCATACATGTTCTAACTTTGCCTTCTGCTGTATCAGTATCTGCAACTAGGAAGGACAGAGAGGAGACCTGGCCTCCCCTGGATGTTTATGAGCTGCAGATCTTCAGGGAACAAAGGCTGTGGACATGCCATTGATTTGGGACCAGTGTTTTTGAGTATCCTTAATTTTTGGTATCATCTGTGGCAGATAGGCTGCTCTCCTTAAGTCATGGCTTCCCGGTTGAAACAAGACATGAGATTAACCCACTTTTTTCATTTCTAACCAAAGAGAAGGAAACTTTGTAAAGTCTTAATAGATTAATAAAAACAAAAGCTTCTGTGGAACATTTTGAGGCTTGGTAAGTTGATTCTGACTAAATCTAAGCTATGAGTGTTGTGTCAGAGTTGGAATTCCATAAAAAGTAGGGAGCTCTGGGCTGAACACGCTGGGCTTTTCATAGCAGCACTCCCAGTCAGAACCATTTGAAAGGTACAGTTTTCTCCATAAAATTAGGTCCACATAGAATGTGGTTCTACTCCATTTGTCTCATTGTGTACGAAGTCCACTTATCCTTAACTGTCATCTCACCAATCCTGATTTCTCATTTTACAGAAAAGAACCCAAAGCCCAAAGAGTTGTAACTTGATTGAAATCTCAAGGTGAGCTATGACAGGACTTATGTTCCAAACCTTTCATTCATGGTCCTGTTTTCCCTAGTGCACTATGGAACATAGAATATGCGCTTGCCTGCCTACCGTCTCTTCTTCCCTCCCTCCCTTTTCCTTAGTGTATTCTCAAAGCTGCACCTTCTTTGCTAGTGATTGATTGCTGTGTCCCAGAATTTCTTCAGTGGCTGATTTCCTCCTCTCCTTAGCACTGTTCCTTCCTGACTTGTCTTCCTGGATCTCTGCCACCCGTGCCGTTGGTTATGCTGTTGCCATGTCTACTTTCCACAGGATTTCTGTGAAACAAGGTGGAATGTTCTGGACATCTATTTTGTAATGTGATTATTTCCTCTAGATTTGTTGAATAATTGAAAGTGTCAAATATAGGATAATTTTTGCTAAGAGAATATTTGTAAGAAGAGCTTCCTGACAAAAGTTCGTGGGCCACAGAGTTTTCCAGGGAGGCCAGGGAGACTATTGGGATGAGAAAATCAAGACCCTGTAAGGTTTAATGATAATGCTCAAAGACAAACAGCAAGTTACACTGGAACCTGGGCAGACACTAGATAATCTGCTGGCTCTTCCAGAGTTATCTTCCCATGGTTCCATGAAACAGTTATTAACCAGACTTTAAATGCAAAAACTTCACCTTCAAGAAGATGTTATCGTTTGAAATTGGATGTGATGTCCTGCTACTACCAATAACAGGAGGCCCTTTTATAGTATTTGCTGTATGTCACTATTATTTGCGTGACCATGAGCATGGGACCCAGTGCTCTTGACCCATCATCAGCTCTGCCCACTTGTTGTCTCTTAGTTACAGCAAAACTTCTGTGCCCGAGTTCTCCAACCTCAGGCAGCCTGAGGTGGTGTAGGACAGAACTCTCTTAGTTATTTGGTCCCCACTCTAGGAATGAAGCCCTACCTAGCTGTGCTGACAGCAATTCTGGCTGTGTTGGGGCTGCGTTTCCCCAGAAGGTCAGTCCCATGATAGGGCCCTGCTTCTTCCCCATTGATTGATAGTTGTGTGCTGACTGGTGCGAGAGGGCTTATGAGAACTGCTGGCCCCCTTTCTGCATCTTGCCCTAGTTCCTGAAACTAGCTGTTCTTTTGCCCCTGGATTGAGGTCAGAGTGAGCATTATGTTTTGCCCATTTCAGTGCATGTGTGTGCTCGCTCGCTCTCTCTCTCTCCCTCTCCTTTATCTCTCTGTCTCTTTAACTGCAAGTCTAATGCAAGTTGTGGCCCTTCCTTTCCTGCCTTATCTGCCTATGAGTAGCTGACAAGATCCAACAAAATCCTGATATACATCATATTTTATATTGGATAATTTTAGACATTCTCACTTCTCACATGTGGAAATTACAGGAAATATATGAGCTGAACATGTATTTTTACATTTCAAATAGAGTGGAAGATTTCCTTCTAGCACGTTTATCTCTGTCAAAGACCAAAAAAGTCATACATTTATTCTTTTTATATTATATTTTTTTCCTTAGTTTCTTCATAGGAAACAGCACCGGGTGCTGAGTAATTAATACAATTGTGGCTTTGCTTTTTGTAACGGACATTTGTTGAAAGAAATGCTCATCAGTAGAAAGGATAATTTTGATAAATTGCTTCAGCTTTCATGCTTACCTACTCTCTTCTGGTGGCACCAAATCCCGGTTTTAAGTCTGAATAAAACTAAGCTGAATGACTTTTCCAGTGGAGCTTCCATTTCCCACTGATTACTTACAGAGTTTTTCTCTTATACCCCCTTTTGGAGTCTGTTCTCTTTTATCACTTCACAGGTATTAATCCCCTTTTTATCCCCTACTGTCTACCTTTATTTCTACCCAGATTTCAGGCTTTCTGTGTTCGTTAATGCTTTCCTTCATTCCTTTCTCTCCCCTTGCTTCTGATCTTCCAGGCAGCTGCCATAGAAACGTTCCCCTGTTCCCTGCACACATACACAATAAATGGGTTCTTGGTCCTTGGGGGAATTAATACCCTGGAGAGCCACCATGCCTGATTAGTAAGCAGCAGATACAGCCACCATGATGTAGAAACATGTTCTAAGAGTGGTGTGTGCCCACCTACAACTTCTGTGTTTATGACCTCTTTTGCCCATTAACATTGTTATTTTATGTTTGAACTTTTAATTACAAAAGAACATGTTTATAATATCACCTGGCTGATAGACCCTGAGGCAGCCTCTCCCACCTTTCCACTTACATACCCATGATGACATAAAAAGATAAAAACATATTGGTAGAAAATAAGACTGATGGCCTTTTGCAGGATTTCTAGAGGAATTTCTGCTGATTACAAGATGGATGGAGCTGAATTGAGAATAACTATCATTAGCCAACACTGGATTTCTGTAGCAGTTAGAAAGCCTGGGCAGCCGTCTCCTGTGGGTACTGCTTTTTGACCTGTTCCATATATTGTTGCAGAGCTCCTTCTCTACAACACCCTTTTAAAATATCTACATAGACAGCATCTCCCAGAAATTTACTATCCTTGTTTAGTAGGTCGTGCTGGAGAAGAAGAATGAAATCCATCGTAGGTGGTAAATCTCCCTCTCCTCTGTAACACACCATCCAAGTATGTAACTGGAAGCAGGAAGAGCTTGTCTAGCACTGGGTGCATGTATTGTGGCTTTCCTTGTACTCTTTGATGGGAGTTTGGAGTAAATAAATATGCAACAATAGGAAATAATACACCTCAGCCCAGTTGCTTAGGTTAGTCCAGGATGAAAACTTGCTAAACATTAAAAGTGTGCAGACCAACTTGCACTATAGGATGGAACCCAGAAAGAGATTCAGAAGCTACCACCCAAGGGGTTTTGCCAGCAGGAGAGTACACATATTATCTGTTGGCCGGTTCAAATATGAATAACTTTCTGCCAGTTCAACAGTAAATAAACATACAGACACACAAAGTGGTGATCCAGGTAAAGGTGATATTAATAGTAAGTAGGTGTTGCTTTTAAGTTTTTAAATTTAAAATATACAAATATATTTTAAATTTTCACTTACTCATTATAAGATTACATTTATGTGCAATTTGTATATTTGAAATTAAAACTTTTAAGAGAAATACCTACATAGTACTCAATACTATAGAAATACTTAGATTTAAAAGTTATAAGCTCTTTTTACTCTCTAACCTCACCTCCCCAAAAGTAAATACTACTATCCTTTTTGTTCTTATCCTTCTAAATATATGTATACATATATACACTATCAACCCACCTATCCACACACACACACACACACACACACATACACACATTTTAAAATGTAAATAGCATTATGTTGGTCACATTACTCTGAAACTTGTTTTTTTATATAATAATATATCTTAAAAGATTTTCCCCATATTATTATACATATATCTACTTCATTATTTTTAATAGCTCTACAACATTCCTTGGTATGGATACTTAATAATTTACTTTTATCATTCCCCTACACGTGGACTTATTTGTGGATCCCAATGCGGGATTTTTACAAACAGTGCTGTGGTGAACTACCTTGTATCTTTGTGTACATGTGTAAGAATATCTATGAGACAGATTCCTAGATGGGGAATTATTGGATCAAATGATACTCATATTTTGCATTATGATAGATACTGGCAAATTTCCTCTAAAATAACTCTACCAATTTATTTTCTCATCAATGGTCTATGAAAATGCCTATTTTACCCATATTTATATCAACATTGAACATTATCAACCTTTAAAATGTTTTACTTATTTGATGGCAAATAATTTATAATTCCATGGTTAGTAGTGAGTTTGAATGCCTTTTTACATCTTTACTGCTATAAACATTATATTTGTCATGAAATTGGAATCTAGCTCAAATTGTTGACTCTGAAGTTCATTTAGAAATTTTGAAACTTGAATTGTCAAATCGAAAGTCATTTAGAAGAACAAATAGGGTGAGCTACTTAAAATTTTGAGGAAAAGAAAAAGTAAATGATAGCAGAAGAAAATACTTGTTTTACAAGATATTAAATATATGATACACCTCCAGTGAACAGTCTAAGAAGCAACAGACATCACAGTGGTACAGCTAGCAGGGTATAAAAACCTAATGTATGAAATAATTTAGTATATGATAAAAGTTGAATCAAAACCAATGAAAACTCAAATCTCTCAAAAATGGTATTTTATTACTGTTTAAAATTATAATAAAACAATTAAAATTATAAAAATCAGGCCGGGCACTGTGGTTCACGCCTGTAATCCCAGCACTTTGGGAAGCCGAGGCAGGTGGATCACCTGAGGTCAAGAGTTCGAGACCAACCTACCCAACATGGTGAAACTCCATCTCTACTAAAAATACAAAAAATTAGCTGGACATGGTGGCAGGCGCCTGTAATCCCAGCTAATTGGGAGGCTGAGGCAGGAGAATCGCTTGAACACGGAAGGCAGAGGTTGCAGTGAGCTGAGATCACACCACTGCACTCCAGCCTGGGCAACAAGAGCAAAACTCCATTTAAAAAAAAAATTAAGATTATAATAGAAATACATTATTATAATCTTATAAGGCTATATATATAATACACTAGAAAAAGAAATACATTAAAAAAAGAAAATATAATTGATGAATATATATGATTTTCAGGTTGAGATGATGTCCTAATTTTGAAATTAAAACAAATGCTAAAGTAGACAACATTATATAATGTACTAAATTTAAATATTTCTGAATGGTAAAAAAAAATTCACCATCTATGAGATCAGATGGCAATGAAAAGTGGGAAAAATTATTTTAAACAAATATGACAGACATAGACATAGGGTTAATATAATCAGTACTTAAAGGGCTTTCTCAAATTCAGAAGAAAAAAACCTAACATCTCAATAGAAAATTGATCAAAGGGCATGAATGGATAAAACATTAATCCTTTCCTGCTCAGGCTGCTCCAAGAAGGGCAAACAGCTGATGAATATTGGGTGTTTTAAAGTAGGGTGACAGATGAATGCTTCTTTTGTGTAAAGTTACTGCTGTTTGTCTTGACGGCAATGGAGAACACTCTTGTTTTAAAGAAAAGTGTTCTTTAATAATTTTAGAAGGTAGTATACAACAAGCCACGTTTTTACAATTTAATAACTTTCCAGATTAAGAAAGAAAAGCCTCAGAAATGCCTTAATGACAGCAACATGTGATCAGAGATGAAGCATCACGATCAGATAATGTGGTAAAACAATATAGTGCCTAAATTTTAGCCAAAGAAAAAAGAATAAAAGAAAAAATAATAAAAGCCTACTTGCGTGTAGATATTGTGTTCCCGATTTTGTTTTAAAGATACTGTTTCCTCGTGGTATGGAAACTATTATATTTGTTCTAAAATTAATTAGCAGACAGGGGTTCTTGCAAAAAAAAATTTCTTACCTTTCTACTGACTCAAACTGGCAGAGTACAAACCAGAGGAAACATACAAATCTGACTCAGTTTCCCGATTCCTAGCAGTTCTTCTCGGAGCAGAAGCAGCAAATACACTTTGTGCAAGCTGAAAGAGCCCCAGGCTTACCTGGCCGCACCACTGACAGGAAATAAGAATTCTAAAGAGAACCTCAACAGTGTCTTGCCAGAGGGGTGCAGAATCTGCAATCTCTTTTCAGTGCTGAGGCCAAGAGTGAATTTGGCCCTAACCCAGAACCAGGTTTCCTGCTGTGGGAGGGAGCCTAGTGCAGCTAGTAGCTGCAATTCAGTAATCCAAATTCTAGCAGTCTACCCTGAGGAAAATAAACTCAAAGATTTATGGAAAAGGACATGCATTGCAGTGTTATTAAAAGTGGCAAAAATGTAAAAACTTAAATACCCACAAATAGAAGAATGTTTAAGTTATGGCACCTTCAGAAGGCAGAATATTATTATTGCAGTCATTAAAGACTCATGTTTTTAAAGACCACTTAACCAAATGGGAAAATACATTATGTTAAGTGAATAAAGCAGAGTTCAAAGTGGTATTTACGGTATGAGCCCATCTAATTATATGTATTACATACACACACACACACACAAACACACACACACATATACGCACACGTATGTATGCGTGTATATATATGTGTATATATATGTGTGTGTGTGTGTATATATATATATATGTGTGTGTGTGGTTGTATGTATATATAAATGCCTAGGAAGAGACTAGAATAAAATATTCCAAAAAACATTTTACAGTAATTTATAGCTAGATAGTATTATGTGGAGTTCCATTTTTATGTATTTTTTGTATGAAATATTCTAGTATAAGTAAATATTTTATCAGAAGTATTTACATATCTTTTTTTTTTTTAGTTTGAGAAGTTGCAGTATATCTGTACACACACCCTCTATTCTACATTGAGGCTCACAAGGTAATCCTTTTACTTCATGTGTATATGTTTCTTTGTAGTAAAGGGCAGGAGCTTCAGCTTTTGAAGTAAAACCAACAAAAACCCTTCTGGGGACTGTGTATTAATGGCAATAAGCTTTAATTGAGGGGAGAGTGTTTTAATTGTATTTCTATCTTAAATGATAGGGATTCCTAGTTACTGCTGTCTTATTCTTGGAATACTCTTTTCACACCAGTGTTGAAAGTAGGGTTTAAGGACTACCATACAAACAAGCCCAGAAAATAAAGATGTGGTGTAATCAAGTGTGAGGGACTAAACAGCGAAAGTGGATACTCATCTGGCAAAATTGCTGTTGCTCAACCTTAGTTCTTACACATGCAATGGCTTATTTCCGCCCCTGAAAAGAAGCTGCCTATAAAGGGTGTCCACTTAATGCTTATTTGAATGATAGCAGTCCACCACATTCTCCCAAAATACTGACTAAAACATACAAAAATAAGCATACATGGTGAGAATGGTGGGATTAGGGAATAGTCCCAATAAAATACCTCAAACTTCAGGGAAGTTTTGTTTAATATAATCTGATTTAGAATAAAATAGAAGACACCAGGAACTGGAATAAAAATTCCCTTCTCAGAACTCTGCGTAGTGTTCACTTTTGTTAAGTGGAGGAGGCTTAGAAAAGCTCCACTAATCACCTTCAAATTAGATGAACTAGGGCTAGGTGGGAGGCAGGCAAGTGAAAGGAAGGCATCTACTAGAAGCTCACTCCTGAATACCATTACTTCTTTTCTACCCTGTAAGAAGAATTTTCTATAAAAAAAGTTCTTAAGTTGACTCTAAAATGGCAGATGTGAGGGCAAAAACAGATGGCCAAGAGCAATTTCTGGAATGAAAACCAGTGGTGTAAACCAGTGTTAACTCTGCAGAAATGTAATTGGTTCAACTGAAATGTAAATGTAAATTGATACATGTATGGAAGGCAATTAGGTAACAGCTATGTGAATTAAAAATACAGAATTCCACTTTCGAGTAATTGGAGTGGATGTGATTTTCCTATTCCTCCCACTAAATACAATGAAAACTCCTGGACATTCCATATAGAACAAACACAAGATTCTGAAAGGCAGAGAGGAGGAAGTAGACTGGTTAAGGACATGAGACCCAGAGGAATAACCTGGTGGTAAGTTCCCTGTGTTGTCTTCTTATCTTACATATCCAAGACTTGACACTGAAGAAGCTAGCAAGCTGGGAATACCAATGGGCACAGACAAAAAGCCCCCAGTGAAGCCTACTCTCTCTAGCCAGAAATGTAGAAAAAGGGACATTGCAGCAAGACAGAACACTTTTAGACACTAATCTCTTTGCCAAACAACAGAAATAATTGTGGCCCCACTCTTACCCGTGCCAGGGAAGCCTGAGTGCAGAAGCTAGACTTTCTTTCACTTTCCAGAGGCTATAACTATTCTCCTGTGGGGTAATATCAGAGACAAAGTAGGGAGCGAGGACTTTCATCCCTGCTGGTTGGTAACGACTTGTCCCCTCTCCTCATTCATGCTGCAGTATCAGATGGTAGATTTCCACTTCTACCTAACAAAAATTATGTACCCCTGCCCCTTCTTGCTGGGGCTGTGATATTGGAGACCTAATGGAGACTTGGGACTTTTACCATTGCCTAGTGGTCATGGTGCTACCCTCACATCAGTGTCTGAGGAGGCCACAGAGAGATCTAGAAACCCCAACCATATCCAGCAGTTAAAATAAATTCCCACTTGGGTGTCAGCGAAGGCCAAGTGGGGAACCTGGACCTTTATACCTGGCAATATGAGATGGCATTCTTCCTTCCCCTATGGGAGCAAGGTCAGGAAAAGCCAGTGAAAACAGAAGGTTTAAATAAGGTTCAAGGTCTCAGAGCATAATATAAAAATGTTCAGCTTTCAATTGAAAATCTCTCTTTATACAAAGAACCAGGAGGACCTCAAATTGTATGAAAAGAGACAGTCAATAGCTGCCAACATTGGGATGACTGTCAGAATTATCTGAAAAGGATTTGAAAGCAGCTATGGTAGAAATGCTTAAACTAGCAATTACACTTGAAATAAATGCAAAAATAGAAAGCTCAGCAAAGAAATAGAAAGTCTCACCAAGGAAATATGAAGAGGAACTAAATGAACATTTTACAACTGAGAATACAGAAACTGAAATAAGATGCTCAGCAGATAGACTCAACAGCATAGTGAAGGGGAGAAAGGAAGGCATCAATAACTGGAAGACATAACAATAGAAATTCCAATCTCAATGATGAGAGTAAAGAGAATAATGATAAGCAAATAATGAACAGCACCTCACAGACCTGTGGGATTATAACAAAACATCTAACATTCACGGCATCGAAGTCCCAGAAGGAAGGAGAAAGAGAGCAGTGCTGGAAAAGTACCTGAAGATATAATGGCTGAAAATTTCTCAAATTTGGAAAAGATATAAACCTACAGATTCAAGAAGCTGAGGAAACCCCAAACAGAATAAACACAAAAAAGTTTACACTAAGATGCATTATAATTAAACTTCTGAAAACTATATTCAAGAAAAATTCTTGAAAGTGAGAAAAAAAATGACACAGGAAAAATCAATTAGAAGGACAGCGTGTTTCTCCTGAGAAACAATGAAACCCAGAATAAAGTGGCACAATATTTTTCAAGTGCTGAAAGAAAAATTATCAACTCATAATTCTAAACCCAGTGGAATTATCCTTCAGGAATGAAGGAGAAATAAAGACCATCTCAGGATAAGGAAGACGAAGGGATTTAGTCACCTTAAACCTGCCCTAGAAATGCGATTTGAAAAAGTTCTCTAAATAGAAAAGAAACAATAAAAGAAGGGACTCTGGGAAATTAGAAAGGAAGAAAGAACACAGTAAACAAAAGCATGTGTAAACATGGGTAAACATTAAGCTTTCCTTCTCCTTTTGAATTTAATAAATATATTTGGTAGTTGAAGTAAAAATTATAACCCTGTCTGATGTAGGTTGTAAATAAATGCAGAGGAAATATTTAAGACAACTATATTTTAAGTGGGGGAAGGCAAAGAGACTTCAAAGTAGATAGGGTTTCTATAGTTCACTCAAACTGATAAAATGATACTAATAGACTGTCTGAATTATACATATATATGTAATAACCAGAGCAACCATTAAAATATAAGAAATACATTTAAAACACTATAGGTGAATCAAAATGGAATTCTAAAATGATTAACTTACTTGGAACACAAGAAAAAACAGAGATGAAAAGCAGAACAAAAAAACAAAAGATAACAGACTGAAGCCCTAACATATCAATAATTGCATTAAATGCAGATAGTCTAAAACGATCAAGACGGAGGCTGTCAGGGTGATTAAAAACATGAACCAACTGTATGCTATCTACAAGAAACATCAGATATAATGACATATGCACATTGAAAATAAAAGGGCAGAAAAGATATACAAACATTAATCAATGGAATTCAAGAGTGGCTATGTTAATATCAGATAAAGTAGACTTTAGAACAAAGAAAATTGTCAGAGACAGAGCTGGACATAATATAATGATGCAAAGGTCAATCTACTAGGAAGATATTGCAATTCTAAATGTTAATGCACGAGACAACAGCTACAAAATACGTGAAGTGAAAACTGATAGAATAGAAAGGAGAAACAGGCAAATCTACAATTATATGTGGAGAGTTCAACACCCCTTTCTCAAAAGTTGATAGGACAGTTATACAGAAAATCAGTAAGGATATAGAATATCTCACAAAACCATCAACTAATAGGATCAAATTTACATTTATAAAACAGTCCACCCAATAACAGCAGAATATATATATTTTTTCAAATGCCTGTGGACTATATCCCAAAAAAGATAATAGCTTGAGTGATTTTAAAAACCCTTAATATAAGGCCATTGAAACCGTATAGAGTATGTTCTCTGATCCAAATAAATCAAGCTAGAGATAACAGAAATATAAGAGGACAATTTCCAACACTTTGAAACTAAATAATATACTTTTAGTCAATGCGTGGGTCAGAGTATCGGGGACATAAAAATATATTGAACTAAATGAAAATGGAAACACAACATAAAATTTGTAGGTAGATAAAGCAGTGATGAGAGGGAAATTTATAGGACTAAATTCATACATTAAAAATGAGGAAATAATCTTGAATTAATAATTTATCACCCCAAAAAACTAAAACAAAACAAGTTAAACTTGAAGCAGAAAAAGGGAGATAAAGATAAGAGCAGAAGTCAAAGAAATTGAAAACAGAAAAATAGTAGAGAAAATCAGTGGAATAAAGTGCTCTTTATTTGAAAGATCAATTAGCTTCTAGCAAGACTGACAAAAAAGGGAGGATACATAAATTACTGTATCACCAAATATATTGTATATGTCACTGAAGACCCTGCAGACATCAAAAGGAAATTAAGATAATACTGTGAGCAATTCACTGACATGAATTTGACAACTTAGAAGAAATGGGCCAATTCCTTGAAAAACACAGGCTACCACAACTCACCCAATATTATGTTTGTAATTTGAATAGTACTGTAATTACTAAGGAAATATGATTTATAATTTTAAAACTCCCCCCAAAGAAATATCCAGGCCCTATTTGTTTTACTGGAGAATTCTATCACATGTTTGAAGAATAATTAATACTAATTCTACAGAGTCTCTTCCAGAAAATAGGAAAGGAAGCAACGCTTTCCAATTTATTTTATTAAGCTAGTATTTCCTTGATACTAGAACCAGACAAAAACAGTACAAAAAAGAAAACTGTCTACCAGTATCAATCATAAATAGAGAAGTAAAAATACTTAGCAAATATTAGCAAATAGAATTCAGCAGTATATAAAAGAATTGTTTACCATAACCTAGTGGTATTTATTTTGTAGATGCAATGCTGGTTCAATATTTGAAAATCAATCTATGCAATCCACCACATTAACAGGTTAGAGGAAAGAAGCCACGTGATCATATCGATTGATGCAGAAAAATCATTTGATTAAATTCAACACTTATTTATGATGAAAATTCTTGGAAAAAAAGAAGGAATAGTGGGATTTCTTAAACTCGATATATGACAGTCTACAAAAACAAAAATCCTAGAAATAACATTTTAGTTAAAGGTGAAAGGCTGAATGCTTTCTCTTCAAGATTGAGAACAAGGCAAGGATATTCAATCTCACTACTCTTATTCAACAGAGTGCCAAAAGGCAAGAAAAGGAGCAAAAAGCAATAGACTGAGAAAGAAGAAAAAAAGTTTTTATCTGCAGATGGCATGATTGTGTATATAGAATATATCAAAGAATCTATAAAAAAATCCTGGAGTTAGCTCAGCAAGGTTGCAAGATACAAGCTGAACATATAAAAGCCAGTTGTATTTTGATATACTGGCAATGAACACATTGACACAGAAATTGAAAAATATGATACCATTTACAATTGCTCTAAAAAGAGTTACTTAGGCATAAATATAACAAAACATGTATAAGAAATGCATGCTGAATACTATACAATACTGATGAAAGAAATAAAAAGGATTTAAGTAAACAAAGAGACATACCATGTTTATGGAGTGGAAGATGTCACTTCTCCCCAAGCTGATATGTAGATATTGGTAGCAATTCCTATCAAAATCCCAAGAATATTTTTTGAGGATGTCAACAAAATTATTCTAAGTCCTTTGTGGATTGGCAAAGGAACTGGAATATTTTGAACAATTTTTAAAAAGTGGAAGGACTTAGTCTAGGCAATTTTATGAGATTATGTAGATACAGTAATCAAGACTGTGGTTGGTGATGGATAGAGATATATCACTGTAAGAAAATAGAGAACACAGGTAAAGACCCACACAAATATGAACAGAAGTGCATATTTGCATGATTTTTGACAGAGGTGCAAATTCAATTCACTAGAGACAAGATGCTCTTTAAATAAATGGTTCTGGAGCAATTTGATATCCATGGGCAAAAAAATGAACTTCATTCTCAGTAGCACACCTTATGTAAAAATTCGAAATGGATTATGGACTTAATGTGAATCACAAAACTATAAAACTATTGGAAAAATACGAAAAAATCTTTGGTATCTAAAAATAGAAAAAGTTCTTAGACTTCATATCAAAGCAAGGAAAAATTTCACTTCATTAAAATTAAAAATTTTGCTCTGCAAAAGACCTTGGTGAGTAGATGAAAATATAAGCTATGGATTCGGAGAAAATATTTGCAAAGCAGATATCTGAGAAAGGACTAGTACCCTAGAATATATAAAGAACTCTCAAAAGTCAACAGTAAAAAACAATTCAGTTAAAAAATAGGAAAAAGACACAAAGA
The DNA here is from genome assembly GCF_000001405.40 of Homo sapiens. Taxonomy (NCBI): domain Eukaryota; kingdom Metazoa; phylum Chordata; class Mammalia; order Primates; family Hominidae; genus Homo; species Homo sapiens. The sequence goes on along the minus strand of NC_000013.11, from coordinate 43,624,238 downwards.
AATATTTTACTGAAGAGTATATAGAGATGGCCAATAAGCCTATTAAGAGATGCTGAACATCATTAGTCATTACAAGAATGCAAGTTAAAATCACAATGAGTATCACTATATATGAATCAGAATAAGTAAAATAAAAACTACTGACAACATCAAATGCTAGCAAGATGCAGAGGAACTAAATCCCTACATTGCTGGTGGGAATGTAAAATGGTACAGCCACCCTGAAAAATGATTTGACAGTTTCATAAAGAACTAAACACGCAACTATCATACAGACCAATAATGGCATTCCTGGGCATTTATCTTGGAGAAATGAATACTTACATTTACACAAAAATTTGTACACAAATATTCATAGCAGCTTTATTTACAATACTCAAAAATTGGAAAAAACCCTGATGTCTTTCAATGGGCAAATGGTTAAACAAATTATGATATACACATATCATAGAATAGTGTTCAACAATGAAAAGGAGGAGCGGGATCATCATGGCAGATGGGAGGCAGGACTAGATTGCATCTCTGGACAGAGCAGTGTGCGGGGACTCACACTGTGAATTTTAGCTCCAGATCGACCGCAAGAGCAAACCAGCCATCCCAAGAGGACCCACACACCCTCTGAAGGAAGTGGACCCGGGATACCACCCCGCAAAACTGTTGAGTGCCCCAACCGTGAAAGTGAGACCATCCTCTCCCGAACACACACTCCCACTGGAGAAGCTGAAGGTCTGTTCGTGGAAGAAGTTTCCGAGTTTACCTGGAGCTGAGTCAGTTTGGAGAGCTGAGCAAAATACAGGAGTAGAGGAAACAGTGAGAAGGGCCCTGGGAACTCACTGGGTCCCCTAGCAGGCCATTCCTGCCTGGCACCATGGGGATCCAACAGGAGAGGAGCAGGGGGTAAAACCACACAGGGAGAAGGACATCTCTAGCTGAACTTTGTAACAATTTGAACGGGATGAGAAGCCTCCTGGCCAGAATTCAAAGGAGGGCGCAAATCCGGTGTGCAGACTCCACAGGCAGGCAAAAAACCAAACCCTTTTCTTTCGTAGTTGGAGGCAGGTATCCTGGGGCAGGTTTTCAGACTCGTATTGCTCTCTGCCTGGAAACAGACGTGGGGCTGTTGAGGGGGGCATGGTGGCAGTGAGACTGGCCCTTCGGTTTGTGTGGGAGCTGGGTAAGGCCTGTGACTACTGACTTTCCCCACTTCCGTGACAACCTGCAATGACTCAGCAGAGGCAGCCATAATCCTTCTAGGTAGACAACTCCAGTGACCTGGGAGTCTCACCCCCATCCCTGAAAGTAGCCTCAGCAAGACCCTCCCAAGGAAAGTCTGAGCTCAGACATGCCTAGCCCTGCCCCGACCTAATGGTCCTTCCCTACCCACCCTAGTAGCGGAAGATAAAGGGCATATAATCTTAGGAATTCTAGGACCCCACCCCACCACCCATTCCTTCCCATACTACCACAGCTGACGCTCTCTGGAAAGTGCTACCTCCTGGCAGGAGGCTAACCAGCACAAAAATAGACCATTAAACCACCAAAGCTAAGGACCCTCATGGAGTCCATTGCATCCCTGATCCCCATCCCTGCCACCTCCACCAGAACAGGCACTGGTATCCCAGCTGAGAGACCCATAGATGGTTCACATCACAGGACTCTGTGCAGACAACCCCCATTACCAGCCTGGAGCCAGGTAGACTTGCTGGGTGGCTAGACTCAGAAGACAGACAACAGTTACTGCAGTTTGGCTCACAGGAAGCCACATCCATAGGAAAAGGGGGAGAGTACTACATCAAGGGAACACCACATGAGACAAAAGAATCTGAACAATGGCCTTCAGCCCTAGACCTTCCCTCTGACAGAGCCTACCCAAATGAGAAGGAACCAGAAAAACAACCCTGGTAATATGACAAAACAAGGCTCTTCGACACCCCCCAAAAATATCACACCAGTTCACCAGCAATGGATCCAAACCAAAAAGAAATCCCTGACTTACCTGAAAAAGAATTCAGGAGGTTAGTTATAAAGCTAATTAGGGAGGGACCAGAGAAAGGTGAAGCCCAATGCAAGGAAATCCAAAACATGATAGAAGAAGTGAAGGGAGGAATATTCAAGGAACTAGATAGCTTAAAGGAAAACAAAATCAAAGATTCAGGAAGCTTTGGACACATTTTTGCTCTGGAAAGTCTCAGCAATAGAATTGAACAAGTAGAAGAAAGAAACTCACAGCTCGAAGACAGGGTCTTCGAATTAACCCAATCCAACAAAGACAAAGAAAAAAGAATAAGAAAATAGGAACAGAGCATCCAAGAAGTCTGGGGTTATGTTAAATGACCAAACCTGAGAATAATTGGTCTTCCTGAGGAAGAAGAGAATTCTAAGATCTTGGAAAACATATTCGGGGGAATAATTGAAGAAGACTTCCCTGGCCTTGCTAGAGACCTACACATCCAAAAACAAGAAGCACAAAGAACACCCAGGAAATTTATTGCAAACAGATATTCATCTAGGCACATTGTCATCAGGTTATCCAAAGTTAAGATGAAGGAACGAATCTTAAGAGCTGTGAGACAGGAGCACCAGGTAACCTATAAAGGAAAACCTATCAGATTAACAGCAGATTTCTCAGCAGAAACCTTACAAGCTAGACGGGATTGGGACCCTATCTTCAGCCTTCTCAAACAAAACAATTATCAGCCAAGAATTTTATATCCAGTGAAACTAAGCATTATATATGAAGGAAAGATACAGTCTTTTTCAGACAAACAAATGCTGAAATAATTTGCCATTACCAAACCACCACTACAGGAACTGCTAAAAGGACCTCTAAATCTTGAAACAAATTCTGGAAACACATCAAAACAGGACCTCTTTAAAGCATAAATCACACAGGACCTATAAAACAAAAATACAAGTTAAAAAGCAAAAAAACAAAACGAAACAAAGTACACAGGCAACAGATAGCATGATGAATTCAATGGTACCTCACATCTCAATACTAACATTGAATATAAATGGCCTAAATGCTCCACTTGAAAGAACCACAGAATGGATAAGAACTCACCAACCATCTGCTGCCTTCAGGAGACTCACCTCGCACATAAGGACTCACATAAACTTAAGTAAAGGAGTGGAAAAAGGCATTTCATGCAAATGGACACCAAAAACGAGCTGGGGTAGCAATTCTTACATAAGACAAAACAAACTTTAAAGCAACAACAGTTAAAAGAGACAGAGATGTTATATAATGGTAAAAGTCCTTGTTCAACAGGAAAATATCACAATCCTAAACATACATGCACCTAACACTGGAGCTCCCAAGTTTATAAAACTATGACTAATAGACCTAAGAAATGAGATAGACAACAACACAATAATAGTGTGGGACTTCAATACTCCACTGACAGCACTAGGCAGGTCATCAAGACAGAAAGTCAACAAAGAAACAATGGATTTAAACTATACCTTGGAATAAATGGACTTAACAGATATATACAGAAAAGTTCATCCGACAACCGCAGAATACACATTCTATTCAACAGTGCATGGAACTTTCTTCAAGGTAAACCATATGATAGGCCATAAAATGAGCCTTAATAAATTTAAGAAAATCGAAATTATATCAAGCACTCTGTCAGACCACAGTGGAATAAAACTGGAAATCAACTCCAAAAGGAACCTTCAAAACCATGCAAATACATGGAAATTAAATAACCAGCTCCTGAATGAGCATTGGGTCAGAAACAAAATCAAGATGGAAATTTAAAAATTCTTCAAACTGAACGACAGTAATGACACAACCTATCAAAACCTTTGGGATACAGCAAAAGCAGTGCTAAAAGGAAAGCATAACCCAAAACCCCTACATCAAAAAGACTGAAAGAGCACAAACTGACATTCTAAGGTCATACTTTAAGGAACTAGAGAAACAAGAACAAACCAAGCTCAAACCCAGCAGAAGAAAGGAAATAACCAAGATCAGAGCAGAATTAAATGAAATAGAAACCAAAAAAATATAAAAGATAAAGGAAAAAAAAGCCGGTTCTTTGAAAAGATAAATAAAGTTGATAGACCATTGGCAAGATTAATCAAGAAAAGAGAGAAAATCCAAATAACCTCACTAAGAAAGGAAACAGGAGATATTACAACTGACACCACAGAAATACAAAAGATCATTCAAGGCTACTGTGAACACCTTTACACACATAAACTAGAAAATTAGAAGAGATGGATAAATTCCTGGAAAAATACAACCCTCCTAGCTTAAATCAGGAAGAGTTAGATACCCTGAACAGACCAATAGCAAGCAGTGAGATTCAAATTGTAATTAAAAGATTACCAACAACAAAAAAGCCCAGGACCAGAGCGATTCACAGCAGAATTCTACCAGGCATTCAAAGAAGAATTGATACCCAATCCTTTTGACACTATTTCACAAGATAGAGAAAGAAGGAACCCTCCCTAATTCATTCTGTGAAGCCAGCATCACCCTAATACCAAAACCAAGAAAGAATATAGCCAAAAAAGAAAACTACAGACCGATATCCTTGATGAACATAGATGCCAAAATCCTTAACAAAATACCAGCTAACTGAATCCAACAACATATCGAAAAGATAATCCACCATCATCAAGTGGGTTTCATACCAGGGATGCAGGGATGGTTTAACATACACAAGTCAATAAATGTGATACACCACATAAACATAATTTAAGACAAAAATTACATGATCATTTAAATAGATGCAAAAAAAAGCATTTGAAAAAAATCCAGCACCCCTTTATGATTAGAATTCTCAGCAAAATCAGCATACAAGGGGCATACCTTAATGTAATAAAAGCCATCTAAGACGTACCCACAGCCAACATAACACTGAATGGGGAAAACTTGAAAGCATTCTCTCTGAGAATCTGACAAGATGAGAACAAGACAAGGATGCCCACTCTCACCACCACTCTTCAACATAGTACTGGAAGTCCTAGCCAGAGCAATCAGACAAGAGAAAGAAATAAAGGGCATCCAAATCAGTAAAGAAGAAGTCAAACTGTCACTGTTTGCTGATGATATGATTGTTTACCTTGAAAACCCTAAGGACTCCTCCAGAAAGGTTCTAGAACTGATAAAAGAATCCAGCGAAGTTTCCAGATACAAGATTAATATACACAAATCAGTAGTTCTTCCATACACCAACAGTGGCTAGAAAATCAAATCAAGAACTCAACCACTTTTACAATAGCTGCAAAAAAAAAAAAAAAAAAAATTTAGGACTATACCTAACCAAGGAGTTGAAAGACTTCTACAAGGAAAACTACAAAACATGGCTGAAAGAAATAATAGATGACACGAACAAATGGAAACACATTCCATGTTCATGGATGAGTAGAATCAATGTTGTGAATAATGACCATACTGCCAAAAGCAATCTACAAATTCAATGCAATTCCCATCAAAATACCACCATCATTCTTCACAGAATTAGAAAAAACAATTCTAGAATTCATATGGAACCAAAAAAAGAGCCCTCATAACCAAATCAAGACTAAGCAAAAAGAACAAATCTGGAGGCATCACACTATCTGATTTCAAACTATAAGGCCATAGTCACCAAAACAGTGTTGTACTGGTACAAAAATAGGCACATAGACCAATGAAACAGAATAGAGAACCCAGAAATAAACCCAAATACTTAACAGCCAACTGATCTTTGACAAGGCAAACAAAAACATAAAGTGGGGAAAGGACACCCTTTTCAACAAATGGTGCTGGGATAATTGGCTAGCCACATGTAGGAGAATGAAACTGGTTCCTCATCTCTCACCTTATACAAAACTCAAGATGGACTAAGGACTTAAACCTGATACCTGAAACTATAAAAATTCTACAAGATAACATTGGAAAAACCCTTCTAGACATTGGTTTAGGCAAGGATTTCATGACCAAAACTCAAAAGCAAATCAATAAAAACAAAGATAAATAGCTGGGACCTAATTAAACTGAAGAGCTTTTGCATGACAAAAGGAACAGTTAGCAAAGTAAACACACAAACCACAGAGTGGGAGAAAATCTTCACAGTCTATACATCTGACAAAGGACTTCACAGTCTATACATTCTGACAAATGTCCAGAATCTACAACGAACTCAACAATAAGAAAAAATCAGTCCCATCAAAAAGTGGGCTAAGGACATGAATAGACAATTCTCAAAAGAAGATATACAAATGGCCAAGAAACATGAAAAAATGCCTAACATCACTAATGAGCAGGGGAATGTAAATCAAAACCACAATGGGATACCAGCTCATTCCTGCAAGAATGGCCATAACAACAACAACAACAACAACAACAAACCAGTAGATGTTGACGTGGATGCAGTGAACAGGGAACACTTCTACACTTCTTGTGGGAATGTAAACTAGCATAGCTGCTATGGAAAACAGTGTGGAGATTCCTTAAAGAACTAGAAGTAGAACTACCATTTGATCCAGCAATCCCACTACTGGGTATCTACCCAGAGGAAAAGAAGTCATTATTTGAAAAAGACACTTGCACATGCATGTTTATAGTGGCACAATTCACAATTGCGAAATTGTGGAACCAGCCCAAATACCTGTCAGTCAACAAGTGGATAAAGAAACCGTGGTATATATAAACCATGGAATACTATGCAGCCATAAAAAGGAATAAATTAACAGCAACTCATCAAGCTGTGTGCTATTCTGTATGTGTATTTTACTTTAAAAGTTTAAAAAGTAAGCATATAAACAAAAACAGACTTTTTTGTCTCTCAAATTAGCAAATGATGTTTTAAAAGTGAAATTGTCTTTTGATTGTACTGTAAATTGATGAAACTCTTCAGAAGGCACACTGGTATTGTGTTCCAAAGTTTTATCCCGCAATTTTCATAACAGGGATTTGTCCTCAGGACAAAATAAGGAAAGAGCAAGAGGGAGCGTGCATAAGGATATCCATAGCAGCTTCATTTATAAAATGAAAATCAGAAACACACGGAATGCCCAGCATTGGCAGATTGTTTATATTGATAACCATACATACGGAATACATTCTAGCTCATGATGAGGCACAGCTACTTTAACTGTATGAAAAAGGTGTATCAGTGGTTTGGTGGGCAGGACAGCAATTTCTAGATCTCTCTCTCATACAGTTATGTATATGTTCATACATACACTCACATGTAACTCTCAAAACCACACTGTTAACATCTTACCTAAATAGTTTGAAATACTAGTCACTAAAATGTCACCAGAATTTATCTTTTTAATATGTGTATGTATGTATATGTGTGTGTGTGTGTTTACTTGTTTTACCTTTTGCATTCTTTAAAAAATGTAAGTAGATATGAGTTTCAAACCTGAGGAAAATAATAAAACAAAATTAAACAAAAATTCCTGAGGAACATTTTTGGATATTTCCTCTAGTACCTCCCCACCTCTGCAGTAGTTAGGTTTTTAAGTTAAAATAGGAGGAAAAGAAGAAGGGAAGAGAGAGAAATGTCAACAAACGATATATTTGTTAAATTTAATCATGTTAAATGATAACATGGAAAGAAGAGTAAGATATGAACCATATCATTACAAACAGTTTTTCTTACACATGAGCAGAATTATTCCTAGGTCATGTGTCAATTAAATTGTTATTTTCATTTGTAGTTTGAATGATAGTGATATAATTCTAAATGTTTCCCAGTGTATTGAAAGGATTTAAAAATATTATATGTCGGCTGGGTATGGTGGCTCGTGTCTGTAACCCCAGCACTTTGGGAGGCTGAGGCGGGAGGATCACCTGAGATCAGGAGTTTTAGACCAGCCTGGCCAACATGGCGAAACCCCATCTCTACTAAAAATACAAAAATTAACCAGGTGTGGTGGCGGCACCTGTACTCCCAGCTACTTGGGAGGCTGAGGTGGGAGGATTGCTTGAACCCAGGAGTTAGAGGTTCCAGTGAGCCGAGATCACACCACTGCACTCCAGCCTGGGCAACAGAGTAAGACTCCGTCCTAAAAAAAAAAAAAAAATATATATATATATATATAGATAGATAGATAGATAGATAGATAGATATCTATCTATATAGATATCTAGATAGATAGATATCTATAGATCTATAGATATCTATCTATATAGATATATATATATAATGTCAAACTTAAAGACACAAGCACACGTATGTTTATTGCAGCACTGTTCACAATAGCAAAGGCTTGGAACCAACCCAAATGCCTATCAGTGATAGACTGGATAAAGAAAATGTGGCACATATACACCCTGGAATACTATGCAGCCACAAAAAAAGGACGAGTTCATGTACTTTGCAGGGACATGGATGTAGCTGGAAACCATCATTCTCAGCAAACTAACACAGGAACAGAAAACTGAACACCGCATGTCCTCACTCATAAGTGGGAGTTGAACAAAGAGAACACATGGACACAGGGAGGGGAACATCACACACCAGGGCCTGTCGGGGGGTGAGGGGCTAGGGGAGGGATAGCATTAGGAGAAATGCCTGATGCATATGACGGATTGATGGGTGCAGCAAACCACCATAGCACGTGTATACCTATGTAACAAAACTGCACGTTCTATGCACATGTATCCCAGAACTTAAAGTATTATAATAATAATAATAAACTTAAGAAGAGTTTTCATGATTAATTAGATCAGGCATGGTTCCAGGTTTTGTGAAGTTTTAAGATTATGTAATTTTTGAGGCTGTCTGTAAGAAGAGAGAACAAAATTTTGAATGCAAAGTTAGTTCCTGGTCCTTGGAAGGGGCCTGTGTGGGCCCCGGAACTTAAGTTTCCATCATGCCATGCTGGATTCACCTGTTGAAATGTATGCGACACACATACATTTTGTTTACTTATGCCTTGCTCCGCCTCTTTTGGGGGGCGTTATTGCTCACTATTATTCCATTATGAAAACATACCTACTTGTCACTGATACAATTTAAAGCTCTTATGCAAACAGATTTATTAAAATACAAAGAATAAGAATAGGTATTTAAGCCTTACTGCTGAAGATTCCTTAAGCTCACTGATGTCTCAAGGCCCTATACATATAGTAATTGGATTTATTTATTCCTCTTATTTTAAAGAAAGTAAATTATTCAGTATTTAATGAATGTTATTTGTTTTCTCTGTAAATAGCCCTGTACATAAGAATCCTACCACTTCCCCATCCCCCACCAAATTCCACAGTCTTCTCTCAAAATATATTCAAATTTTATACCAAGGCTCCTCAAACTTTAATGTACATTCAGATCACCAAGAGATCTTGTTAAAATGCATGTTCTGATTCAGTAGTTCTGGGGTGGGGTCTAAGGTTCTGCATACTTAGCAAGTTCTCACATGATGCCTTGTTGCTGGTCCTCAGACCACATTTTGTATGTAGCAAGGCTCCAGAGTCCACATCCCGCATCATTCTAACTGTATTTAACATACCCTCATTGGAAATGGGGGGCTCCTCCCAGACCTACCACATGTAACTGGTAGGAAAATGTTCATTACAGCCTAGTGGCTCTTAGGGGCTGCTGGTGGGTCATTAGTCATGAATGTAGGTGTAGAAACTGGATTGGGACCCAGCTGATGACAGTGAGCAGGGAGAGAAGGAGGGAGGGAGAGGAAGACAGAGAAAGTGAGAACACAAGTAAGCAAGTGCTAAAAAAAAAAAAAAAAGCCCTTTATTTTGGGGAAATGTTTATGGGGAAAGTAGGCAGACTGTTTGCACTTTTAGCTTGAGGTCCAAAGCCAGGTGAGGAGGTAAGTGTGAGGTTCTTGCAGGAATCTAAGAGCTTAGAAAAAGAGCCTCAGAGTTGTTCAGTTCCTGATCACACAGATAGGGGTAACTTCATTCCAGGGTTCAGGGCATGCTGTGTGTAGTGACAACCCTTTCAGCAGGCAGCCTGTCCAATCTGTGGGATTTTCTTCTGAAACTGTCAACAGAAACTAACTGTATCCAGTGTTTTTTGTGTTTCTGATGCCACAATAGAGTCTTCCCATAGTAACCCTGATATGGTGCTCTGTATGCTGTCAAGCTAATGGCAGATTCCTGTTCCTGATGGGTGAGGACTGTTGAGAGGCTGATTTCCAATAAATGCTATTCCAGCAGCAACAGAGATAGGAGTTTTTATTGTCAAAGTAAACTAAGGAAAGCACCACATGCCCTGTTGCCCCACCTTTTATATTCTGCATTCCTAGGACAGCTGACACTTTTATTTTTCATTATTGTGGAATGAAATGGGTAAAATGAGATATACCTCCTTTATTTATTTATTTATTTTTTTTTTGAGAGAGTCTTATTTTGTAGCCCAAGCTGGAATGCAGTGGCATGATCTCGGCGGCTCACTGCAACCTCCGCCTCCGGGGCTCAAGCGATTATTGTGCCTCAGCCTCCCGAGTAGCTGGGACTACAGGCACCTACCACCATGCCCGGCTAATTTTTGGTATTTTAGTAGATTTAATCTTCTTACTACTTATAGGTCTGTTAAGACCTTCTATTTATGGTTCAGTCTTGGTAGGTTGTATGTTTCTAGGAATTAATCCATTTCTTTTGGATTATCTAATTTGTTGGCATATAATTTTTCATAGTAGCCTCTTATCCTTTTAATTTCTGTGGCATCAGTTATAATCCCTCCTCTTTCATTTCTGATTTGATTTGAGTTTTTTCTTGATCTAGCTAATGGTTTGTCAATTTTTTTGAACTTTTCAAATAAACAACTCTTAGTGTCCTTGATTGACCCATTTTAAAAATAGCTTTATTGGGATATAATTTACATACCATAAAATTCACTCATTTAAAGTGTACAGTTCAGCAGTACATAATTTTTTCATTTACGTTCAGGTTGTACAACCATCATTTTAGAACATTTTCACCATCCTAAAAGAAACCTTGTACCCAATAGTTGAGTCATTTTTAATTGTATAAATACAATAGACTTCCTAGAAACTGTTTTTGACTGTAATAAATATAATGAACTTTGGGAACCAATTTCTGACTGTAGTTAATATGATGAACTTTTGAAGATGGACTAGTAAACAATAAAATTTATTAAGGAGGTATGTATGTATTCTGTTAACTCATCTAAATTTGTTATCACTCAAATATAACACTCAAAATTTTTTATAATTGATAAAAATTGTATGTGTTTATCATGTACAACGTTTTAAAAAAATGTATACAATGTGAAATGGCTAAATTGAGCTAATAAACATGCATCTCTTCAAATGCCATCATCAAATATCAAATTTTTTGATCAGTTGGAACATTTTTATTACTCAGAAATATTTATTACAAAATGTAAAGCTTAATATTTATTTGCAACTGTGTATCAAATACATTTTGTTGATATGATGAAGTGAGTAAAGAAAAGTAAGAAAGGTAGTGATACATAAATGTTCATTATATTATGTTTATGGAGCAAAGTACTATGCTGAAGTGGAAGGCACAGATCATAATGCTTGCTACTGATTTATTTTGGGAACCATATCATGAAAATCTGCAAGAAAAATACTAAGAACAATTTATGAGAATGAGTTACCAGACTAACTTTTTGAAACAAGTTCTTGTGGAGGAAAAAGCATTAATTTTCAAGTTTACATTATAGGGAATTCTTGGATGTAAACTTTCTAGGAGCCCTGAAGTCTGCCTTTACTTTTCGCTTTTGGAAGGTACCCTGAATCCTGTTCCTAAGGTTTTTGCAAAAAAAATCGGACCTTTCTAGCTGATGACAAGTAGGCACCAACAAAGATGTTGCTTCTATTTATGTAGTCTTTTTGCCAATGAAAATTCAGTTCCCTTTTTGATCTTTCTCAATTATCAAGAAAAACTCTGTCTCTCAAATATGATACTCTCAAACTAGTGACTGAGAAAATATGAGGGTAATCCATACAGGGGGCATCTGTATTTTCATGACTAACAATTTCAACTGCTGTTAGCTGGGCTGGTCACTGTGAGATCTACTCTGTTGGCTCTTCCTAGCTGTAATACACACCATCTTATTCAAAAAGAGCTTGCCTGGCTCCTTCATCTGTTCTCTCTGACTGCTTTCCAGAGGTCAGCTTCCAGAGTAGTTGAAATGTTTTTCCTTTGGCTTCCCTTCCTATAGTCACCCCTCATCAACTCTACCCACAAAACAAATTACCAGGAACTCTTTAATAATATGCTATTAACATTCATATGTGAAGATGCCTGTTGACAGCAATTGGTTGGATATGAATGACTGTAAAAAACTGCTGAATTGCAACAAGGGAAAAAATGTGTTAACCCTGAATGTGATATCAGACTCTTGGAGAGCATTTAGGGAATCTGTGTTCATAAGGCCAGTGCATTAGCAGGCTAGAAAGCAATGTGAACTCATAGAAAAGAGCAAGGTACCATGCCAAGGGCAAGCCTAGGCCTCTCAGCCAAGCTCCCAGCTGCTGGGAGGTTTACTTGTTTTGCAAACTGTACAAGTAATTGGTTGTTAAGTCACATTCTGTGGTTTCTGGAAGTGTTGTATAATTTCACTTTACAAAAAAAGTATTGCCAGAATGCATTAGAAATAATGATTTAAGATTGAACTGGCTCTGTTGAAATTACCTAAATTACATGCTGCAACATTGTTTTTCCTAGATGGCCAAAATCACTGACTTAAGATATTTAAAATGTCAGAGATGTATATTCTTAATGGAGTTGAAGAATCAGCAGTACTTCAGGGAGTATTGTGGATCTTCATCATCATCTAAGTAGCCTTTTGAGACTACATGGGTCGTGACTTGATTTCTGTCATTATACATAAATCCAAAATGACGGATGCATTCTGACATCCAGACAGGGCTGAACCAAATGTGTGATGCAGTCGTGTTTGCCAGATCCTTGCTTCAAACCCTTCAGTATATATTTAACATTTAAATATGTACACCAAAGGATTGTTCTTTATACTATTGTAATTCTTAATGCCTAACAGATGGATTGATGGGTATATGTGTATGTCTGGGTGAGCAGAGCTGGATTAAGGGATGGCAGTTTCCCCGGGCACCTTGCATTGGAACATCAGTGGTATAAATGGGAAACATGACACCTGTTAACTTAGCTTTCCACATATAACACTTAGGCAATTTGCAAGCAAAATTTATTACAAGGCCCCCAAGGTGGGATAGGAGGGAGATAACAGTAAGAGTTGCTGCCATTATTGAACTATCTTTATTGAATGTTTTGATAATAATAACAAAAAATTATTGGCATTCCTGAACTCTCTCTATTGAATATTTTGCACAGTGTAACCACCACCATCCTATTTTAGAATTGCCTGAATTTGACAGGTCACTGTCAGTTGAAATTCTTACACTGAGTAGTATTTTACATAGGTATATTTATTGGCAATGAGCAATTTTATTTGTTTTTAATATTAAGTTTAAAAGTTGTTACTGTGCTTTCCAAGCATTTTCCTGGATCGGTAAGTCATAAAACTGAACTGAAAAAAAAAAAAAACTATGGGAAATGTTTTAACAACATGAAAGTAAATAAAAGAACTTTGAAATCTATTTTGTAACTTTGTAACCATATCTGTGAGAGTTACCTCTGCCCTCCTGAATATGAATAACTAATGCTGTCCCTTAATGAGAAACCACAAAATTGTGAAATGAAAGACTGACCCAAATAAAAGTGATATGTTCATTTAGTGCGTGAACTAATCCTGTTCGTTAACTAAGCATAAAGAGAGACATACTTTTCTTAATGGAAAATAAGTTTTCCCCAACTCCATCTAATAAATGTTGAATAAGTACTTTAAAAATATCATTTTGAATGGGTACCAAACCTTTAGCCTTTCTCAGCATTCACATGATCAAATCTCAGTTGGACAGATTGTGTGGGGTGGGTGTGGAGGATGAATGAGCAGGTACAAGCATACACAGTTGAATACACAGCACAAGAAAAGTGCTCCCATGCATGTAATTAGATGAGTCCCAGTTTGAAAAAGTTACAATTTATTTATCACCTGCAAAATGTTGCAAAAATATTACATAAATGCCAAGAGCACTTTGACTTTACAATATTATGTTGGAGAACTATCTGGACCCTATCCTGATGGCCAGGGCAGATGGTAGATATCATGTGCTAAGAACAGGCACTTTGCAATTCCCAGCATTTGGAAATCTGCCATATAAATTTGAAATGGGTCAAAGTGAAATGCTGAGATTCTTTTATACTTATGAGAAGGTGCAAAATTTCAAAACTTGGGAAAATAGGAAGTTATTTCCTGATAAAACAACTCTAAAAATGTTTGGAACCAAAGATTAATTTATCTTGCTCTTCTCCAGATGGACAGAAGATGGAAAAATTTCTTACATGAATGAAGTAAGTCCCTAGTAGTAGATTAATGTTTTTCTTACTTTTGTAATGGTCCTTTTAAATATTTGTGTTGATACACCTTACATTAATTGTTATGCCATAATAATGAAGTTATTACTTTTCAATGGAATAATAATATGTGTGCAAGCTTTAATGAGAGTCTGCAAGGAAGTGAAAATAAAATAAAATGACATGGTTTATGTTACAAATAACAAAAGAACATTTTTCCAATTGCATGTGTGACATTATATGTGGAAAAATAATTAGATGCTACATGTGCTATACTTTATAATTGCTTTGCCTTTTAGATTTGAATCTTAGACTTTTATCTCTTCTATGAGGTTGTTGTCATTAGATGAGAGGAGGCAGCATCAGAATGGTAGTGAAGAGATTCTAGAAAGCTCAAACTGTATATTCACAGTCACATAACTCACATCCAGAATTATTCATTGTACCAAAACATAAATTACTTACAAAATATAAATACAGCCACAGTGACTACTTTATTAAATTATAACCACTGGGTGGAGAAAATTTATGAAAATAAAAAAGAACCTTTAAGCTATCTATACAGTTGCAAATGAGTTATTAAGGTGTAGATAACCTAAGAAGTATCTTATGCAGGGGTAAAAGGAAAAAAAGCTTCATTCACAGATACATACAAATAGAAAGTAATGGATTGTGATTTTTTGGTTTGCTAACCATAAAGAAGTACCTATGTATATCCACCTGATCGTAAAAAGACACAGAGACAGGAAAAATGTCAGATCAAAGATTAGACTATAAAATACAAGGAAAGGGGCTCTAGCACTTACTGAGTGCCTGCTCTGTGTCAGGCACTGTGCTGGACATTTTATACACATTGTAATTTGAGAACGGAGAGTTCTGAATAGCAGAATAACTGGCAGAGCTTAGAAGGGGTGATGCCAGTTGGTTTAGAAATTCAAGTGATGAAAGGAGGTGGGTAGCTGACACTGACGTTAGAGGAGGCCCAGCAATAAGGAGTAACATTTAGGTCAGACCTGGACACTCTGCAGGGTGCCCGACAGGAAAGGTCTTCAGCTGTTGCTACCTGTATACCTCACTGATGGCTAATGGCGGTTTTGTGCTGGTTCAAAGCACATTAGTCATGAAGCAGGTCTTTGGTTCATATATAGGATGGGAGGAAAAAGGGAAAAGACCAAAAAGCAATCATGACATCAGGGTATTTATATCTGTTATCTATCCAGCCCCTCATCCACCCAATTTGAGATGGCAGAAGGCAGTTCTTGGTTAACTCCTATGACCAGTAGCCCTGAGCTCCTGTCACACTCATTTCTAGCTGCAGCTGTGCTTATTGTTGTGGCCCAGAACATCAGCTGGCTTGGAATGATGTCCCTCAGTCATCAAGAAGAAGTTGTATAATATTCAGTGTACTCTTTCAAAGATAAACACGGGAAAATGTATTCTAGAAAGATGAGTTTCATCTTTTCATTGGATTGGCGATTCCTTGAGGGAAGAAATGATCTCAGTCATCTTTATATCCTTTGACATCTAACACAATGTTTTTTACATAATAGTTAAAATATATGTGACATTAAATAGGATAGAAATAACTTCAGTTTCGGGGAAAAAGTCATATCATATTGTTTAAAGTCCGGTGTTCTTATTCTCAGGAAATTCAACCAGAAATGACACTTTGCCCTCCCCATGCTCGTACCCATTCTTAGACCTCAAAATAATGATGCTTTCATTTATTGAATTAAGGAGTCAATTACTGAAATGTCTTTAGTGAAGAGGATATGTTTCTAAAGTATTTTTCAGGAACACATAACAAAGGAAGATATCGTAAAGTGGTGTCACATGATGGAATGATTCCCAGCCATTCTGCATCATACATGCATGCCTGTTCCTGGATGTTTCTCTGCTCAGTGACTTGGTGCTTCCAGCCTTAAGCCATTGCAACTCCCTGAGCTCAAGAGAGGATTAGACAGATATTACCCAGAGACAAAGACCACAGACATTTCACAGGATGTCTCTACCAGAGGTTTTATCAGAGAATCCTTATATCTACCCATGCCTAACACATACCTCTGAAGATTCCAAACTTACCTTCAAGAGAATCAGCATCATGCATTAGAAAGAGCAGTAGGGTCTTGAGTCTGCAGGCTGGGACTTCAGCAACTGTACTTGCCCTAATTGGTGAGCAGTAACCTCTGTGAGCTTCAGTTTTTATACTTATCTACATGCATATAATGAGTATTATAATATTCAGGATTTGCAATATTTGCTCTACAAAATTGTTGGTCAGATGATATGTAATAATGTATCTCATATATTTGGGGATTTTTAAGCACTAAACACACATCAAGCCAGGGTTTTCTATATGGCCAGACTTAACATTTTTGTAGCTTTGCTCCCATGAATGTGTTAACTTACTGCCATTGGTAATATTTGAAAATAAGGAAAATTGTAGGGAACTTTTTACCAACAAACTATGCGGTTACAAATAAATTACTTAGGGTATATTGATAACTCTAAAGAAAGGAAAAACAGAAAGCTTCATTAATAAAGAAGGAAACTCTATGCACAATAAGCACAAACTCTGTATGCACACTTTTGGCCTAATCCAATACTCTGTGATTTTTTTTTTAATTTTTAATTTTTGTGGTTACGTAGCAAGTGTACACATTTAAGGGGTACATGAAATATTTTGATACATGCATACAATGCATAATAATCACATCAGGGTAAATGGGGTATCCATCTCTTCAAGCATTTATCATTTCTTTGTTACGAACAATCCAATTATCCTCTTAGTTATTTTTTAATGTATAATAAATTATTGTTGACTGTAGTCACTCTATTGTGCTGTCAAATACTGGATATATATGTATTTTTTGAGACAGGGTCTCGCTCTGTCACCCAGGCTGGAGCACAGTGGCACTATCTCAGCTCACTGCAACCTCTGCCTCCTGGGCTCAAGCGGTACTCCCCCTAAGTAGCTGGGACTACAGGCACATGCCACCATACCCGGCTAATTTTTCTATTTTTTTTAGTAGAGATGGGGTTTTCCCATGTGGCCCAGGCTGGTCTCGAACTCCTGTGCTCAATGATTCGCCCACTTCAGCCTCCCAAAGTTCTGGGACTACAGGCCTGAGCCACCATGCCCTGCCATCAAATACTAGATCTTATTCATTCTATCTAATTATATTTTTGTACCCATTAACTACTCCCCTTCCCCCTGCTCCTACTATTCTTCCCAGTCTCTGGTGATCATTGTTCTACTCTCTATATCAATTAGTACAATTGTTTTAATTTTTAGCTCCCACAAATAAGTAAGAACATGAGAAGTTTGTCTTTCCATTCCTGGCTTATTTCACCTAATATAACGACCTCCTTTGCATCCATTTTTGTTGCAGATGACAGGATCTCATTTCTTATGGCTGAATAGTATCTCCTTGTGTAGATGTACCCCATTTTCTTTATCCATTTGTCTGTTGAGGGCTTCCAAACCATGGCTATTGCGAATAGTGCTGCAATAAACATGAGAGTGCAGATATCTCTTTGAAATACTGATTTCCTTTCTTTTGGGTATATAACTCACAGTGGCATTGCTAAATCGTATGGTAGTTCTATTTTTAGTTTTTTGAGGAGCCCCCAAATTGTTCTCCCTAGTGGTTATACTAATTTACATTCCTAAAAACAGTGTGCAAGTGTTCCCTTTTTTTCACATCCTTGCAAACATCTACTATTGCCTGACTTTTGGCTAAAAGACATTTTAACTGGGGTGACATGATATCTCATAGTACTTTTGATTTGCATTTCTCTGATGGTCAATGATATTGAGAATCTTTTTCATATACATGTTTGCCATTGGCATGTCTTCTTTTGAGAAGTGTCTATTCAGATCTTTTGCCCATTTTTTAATTGGATTATTAGATTTCTTCCTAGAGAGTTGTTTGAGCTCCTTCTGTATTCTGGTTATTAATCCCTTGTCAGATAGATAGTTTGCAAATATTTTCTCCCATTCTTTGGGTTATCTCTTCACTTTGTTGATTGTTTCCTTTGCTGTGCAGAAGCTTTTTAACTTGATGTGATCCTATTTCTTCATTTTTGCTTTGGTTGCCTGTGCTTATAGGGTATTACTCAAGAAGTCTTTGCCCAGTCCAATGTCCTGAAGAATTTCCCCAGTGTTTTCTTGTAGTAGTTTCACAGTTTGAGCTCTTAGATTTTAGTCTTTAATCCATTGTTATTTGATTTTTGTATATGATGAGCAATAGGGGTCTAGTTTCATTCTTCTGTATATGGATATCCAGTTGTTCCAGCACCATTTATTGAAGAGACTGTACTTTCCCCTAAGGTATGTTCTTGACATCTTTGTCAAAAGTTTACTGTAGATGTATGGATTTGTTTCTGGGTTCTCTATTCTGTTCTGTTGGTGTATGTGTCTGTTTTTATACCAGTACCATGCTGTTTGGTTATTATAACTCTATAGTATAATTTGAAGTCAGATAATGTGATTCTTTTACTTTTGTTCTTTTTGCTTGGTATAGCTTTGGCTATTTTGGATCTTTTGTGGTTCCATATAAATTTTAGGATTGTTTTTCCTATTTTTGTGAAGAATGTCATTGGTATTTTGACAGGGATTACATTGAATCTGTAGATTGCTTTGTGTAGTATGGACATTTTAACCATATTGATTCTTCCAGCCCATGCACATGAAATATCTTTCCATTTTTTGTGTTCTCTTCAATTTCTTCCATCAGTATTTTATTATTTTCATTGTAGATATTTTTGTAAAATACATATTTTTATGTATTTTATTTCATTGTAGATATCTTTCACATTTTTGTGAAATACACAATTTCTGTGGATTTCATTTTATCTGTAGCTGTTGTAAATGGGATTACTTTCTAGATTTCTTTTTCAGATTGTTTGCTGTTGGCATATAGAAACACTACTGATCATTGAATGTTAATTTTGTATTCTTCAACTTTACTGAAATTTATCATTTCTAATAGTGTTTTGGTAAAGTCTTGAGGTTTTTCCAAATATCAGATCATCTGCAACCAAAAAATTTGACTTATTCCCCCCTAATTTGGATTCCCTTTATTTCTTTTTCTTGTCTGATTGCTTTGGCTAGGACTTCCAGTTGTGTTGAATAACAGTGGTGAAAGTGGGCATTGATGTCATGTTCCAGATCTTATAAACTTGATCATTCATCATGACCAAGTGGGATTTATCCCCAGGATGTAAAGATAGTTCAACATAGGCAAATGAATCAATGTGACACATCGTATGAACAGAATGAAGGATAAAAACTATATGATCATTTCAATTGATGCTGAATAAGCATTTGATAAAGTTCAACATCACTTCATGTTAAAAACCCTCAAAAATCTAGGTATTAAGGAATATACCTCAATACAATAAAAGTCATAACCAACCAACAGCTAGTATTGCACTGAATGGGGAAAAATTTTTTAGTACTGCTTTTGCTGTATCCAAGAGGTTTTGGTGTATTGTTTTTCTTTTATTATTTGTTTCAATACTACCATCAGAGTGAACAGGCAACCCACAAAATGGGAGAAAATTTTCGCAACCTACTCATCTGACAAAGGGCTAATATCCAGAATCTACAATGAACTCAAACAAATTTACAAGAAAAAAACAACCCCATCAAAAGGTGGGCAAAGGACGTGAACAGACACTTCTCAAAAGAAGACATTTATGCAGCCAAAAAACACATGAAAAAATGCTCGCCATCACTGGCCATCAGAGAAGTGCAAATCAAAACCACAATGAGATACCATCTCACACCAGTTAGAATGGCGATCATTAAGAAGTCAGGAAACAACAGGTGCTGGAGAGGATGTGGAGAAATAGGAACACTTTTACACTATTGGTGGGACTGTAAACTAGTTCAACCATTGTGGAAGTCAGTGTGGCAATTCCTCAGGGATCTAGAACTAGAAATACCATTTGACCCAGCCATCCCATTACTGGGTATATACCCAAAGGACTATAAATCATGCTGCTATAAAGACACATGCACACGAATGTTTATTGCAGCATTATTCACAATAGCAAAGACTTGGAACCAACCCAAATGTCCAACAATGATAGACTGGATTAAGAAAATGTGGCACATATACACCATGGAATACTATGCAGCCATAAAAAATGATGAGTTCATGTCCTTTGTAGGGACATGGATGAAATTGGAAATCATCATTCTCAGTAAACTATTGCAAGAACAAAAAACCAAACACCGCATATTCTCACTCATAGGTGGGAATTGAACAATGAGAACACATGGACACAAGAAGGGGAACATCACACACCAGGGCCTGTTGTGGGGTGGGGGGAGGGGGGAGGGATAGCATTAGGAGATATACCTAATGCTGAATGACGAGTTAATGGGTGCAGCACACCAGCATGGCACATCTATACATATGTAACTAACCTGCACATTGTGTACATGTATCCTAAAACTTAAAGTATAATAATAATAAAATAAATAAATAAATAAAATAAATAAAAGGAAAAAAAAGCAGCTGGAACCATTTTGCCATCCCATTGGTATCATTATTATTAAACTCTTAGGAGAAGGGATTTTGCAAAATAAAAAGCATGACATATTATAACTTATGGGGAAAAGCATGACAATATAGCATGACATATTGAAAGAGCATGGCATGTTTAAAAAAGTAAGATATGGTAAAGCATGACACCTTATAACTTCCTTATAACTTGTTACTTTCTGATTTCCAAAGTCTTACACGTTTATTACAGTGAACAATAGTGAGATGATGGATGATTTCCATCATCTTCATTATAATATTCAACACTTAAAGGTAATATTATTATCCTTATGTCTGTTCTGTATTTTCTTTACATATACACATAAGCTGTTATTATTTATATAATTAAGTTCAGCACTCGATGTGTTGGCTAAATGAATGATAGCATGTACTTTTTGATACTTTTTCCCTTAGAAATACACTGTCAATTGTTTCCATAGTTCACTGTGTTTGTCTACTACTTAATTTGTGTCATCTTCATATTATTCCAATCCTGTGCACATATTTCATGATTGGTTTGGACATTTTGGCTACTGGATACTTAGATTGCCCTATCCTTTTTTTTCAGTTACATATGATGCTGTAGTGAATATCATCTCCTCAAACCCTTGGTATTATCCCTAGGAGAATCTGATATCCTAACGTATATCCTACTTCATACAGAATACATTTTAAGGCTTTTATATTTATTGTCAAATTGTGGATTAGAATGGTTAGTCCAATTTATATTTCCATGAGCTGGCATGAATGTTCATTTTCCTACATTTTTATTAAGTGCTGGGCATATTCATTAAAAATAAAAATGTTGGCCAGTTTTATAAGATAAATGTGGAAATTGTGTGTATATATATCATATGATAAATGTGTTGGAATTATTGAAATTTTCATTTGATCACAAATAAGGTTTTAAAATTATTTCATATATTTGCCATCCATTTTACCATATATTATTTCTAGCTCTTCTTCAGTGAGTTGCCTGTTTATATCTTTTGCCAGGTTTTCTATTGATCTATTGATGTATTTACCTTTTTTATTATTTATAAAATATCCTCATATAGTAAAGATATTAGTCTTTTCTCTGTCATGTATATTGTGATGTGTGTGTGTGCATGTATTTTGAAATGTTATGTTTTATGTAATCATATATAATGCTTATTTATTTGGTGGGATCTTTCTTTGCTCTTATGCTTACATAAGACTCTTCTACAATAAAATTATTCCTCTAAAAATATTATTTGTTTCAATAAATTTTTAAATTTCCTTCATAATTCTTCATTGGCCCACTAGTCATTTAGGAGCTTATTGTCTAATTTCCATGTGTTTGTATAGTTTATTTCTCCTTTATTTCTCCTTCCTATTTGAAGGATATTTTCACTGGATATACTATTCTAGGATAAGAAGTTTTTTTCTGTAAGCACTTTAAATATGTCATTTCACACTCTTCTGGCCTATAAAGTTTCCACTGAGAAGTTTGCCAGCAGACGTATTGGAGCTCCATTATATGTTATTTCTTTCCTCTTGATGCTTTTAGAATCCTTTCCTTATCCCTGACGTTTGGGAGTTTGATTAGTAAATGTCTTGGTCACCTTATCTTGGTTACATCTGCTTGGTGTTCTGTAACCTTCTTGTACTTGAATATTGATATCTTTCTTTAGGTTTGGAAAGTTCTGTGTTATTATCCCTTTGGATAAACTTGCTACCCCTATCTCTCTTTCTCTCTACCTCTTCTTTAAGGCCAATGACTCTTAGGTTTGTGCTTTTGGCTTTTGAGGCTATTTTCCAGACCTTGTAGGCATGCTTCATTCTTTTCGATTCTTTTTTCTTTTGTCTCCTTTGTGTATTTCCCAATAAGTCTGTCTCCAAGGTCACTAATTCTTTCTTCTGCTTGATCAATGCTGCTGTTAAGAGACTATAATGTATTCTTCAGTGTGTCAACTGCATTTTTCAGCTCCAGAATTTCTTCTTGATTCTTTTTAATTATTTCAGTCTCTTTGTTAAATTAATTAGACAGTATTCTAAATTCCTTCTCTGTGCTATCTTGAATTTCATTGACTTTCCTTAAATCAGATGTTTTGAATTCTTTGTCTGAATAGTCACATAGCTCTCTCTCCCCTGGATATAACCCTGGTGCCTTATTTAATTCATTTGGTGAGGTCATGTTTTTCTGGATGGTCTTAATGCTTGTGGGTATTCGTCCAGTCTTGTCATTGAAGAGTTAGGTGTTTATTGTAGTCCTCATAGTCTGGGCTTGTTTGTACCCGTCTTTCTTGGGAAGGTTTTCCAGGTATTTGAAAAGATGTTAGTGTTATAAGTTTTTGGTCCTTGCAGCCATATCTGCATTAGAGGGTAACCCAAGCCCAAGCTGTGACGCTTGCAGACTCAGAGAGCTATCACCTTGTTGGTCTTGGATAAGATCTGGAAGAATTCTCTGGATTACCAGGCAGAGACTCTTCTTCTCTTCCCTTACTTTCTCCCAGACAAACAGAGTCTCTCTCTCAATGCTGAGCTGCCTGGAGCTGGAAGAGGGGTGACATAAGCATCCCTGTGGCCACCATTATTGGGATTGTGCTGTGTGAGACCTGAAGCCAGCACAGCACTGGGTCTTGCCGAAGGCCTGCGGTAACCAGTGCCTGGATACCACTTGTGTTCACTCAAGGCCTTAGGGCTCTACAATCAGCAGGTGGTAAAGCCAGCCAAGTTTGTGTTCTTCCTGTTAGGGCAGAAAGATCCCCCCCAGGTTAGAGATGCTGTCCTGGAGCCAGGGCCTAGAGTTGGAAACCTTAATAATCTACCTGATTCTCTATTCTACTGTAGCTAAGCTGGCACCCAAGCCACAAGGGAAAGTCCTCCTGAATCTTCCCTCTCCTTTCCACCAGCAGAGGAGTCTCTCCTCATGGTTACCACTGCCCCAAGTCTGCAGTGAGTACTGCCTGGCTACCACCATTGTTCCTTCAAGACCCAAGGGCTCTTCGTTCAACTTGTGGTGGATACAGCCAGCCTAGAACTCTCCCTTCAGGGCAGTGAACTTCTCTCTGGCCAGTGCTGGTCCAGAAATGCCGTGCAAGAGTCAACACCTGGAATTGAGAACCACAAGAGCCAGCATGATGCTCTATCCCACTGTGCCACTGTGACGGAGCTGGTTCCTAAACTGTAAGACAAAGTCTCCTTTACTCTTCCCTTTCCTTTTCTCAAGCGTAAGGGGTCCTTCCCCATAGCCACTTCAGCTGGCAATATGCTGGGTCACACCTGAAGCCAGCATGTCTCTGAGTCTTACCCAAAGCTCACAGTGAGTAGTGCCTGGGTCCTACTGCTGATTATTCAGGGTCAAAGTGCTCTTTAGTCAGCATGTGATGAATTACCCAAGATTGGGTCCTTTTCTTCTGGCCCAGAATGTGTCTAGAAATGTCATTCAGGTGCTAGGGCCTGGAATGGGGGCCTCAGGACTTTGCCTGGTGCCCTTGTCTACTGTGGCTGAGCTAGTATCCAAGTTGCAAGTCCTGAACTTGGACTTGCAAAGTCTTTACTCTTCCTTATTCTCATCTCAAGCAGAAGTAAGGAGTCTTTCCCAGAGCTGTGAGCTGTGCTGCCTGGGGTTGGTGGAGGGGCGGTACTCGCACTCCTTTGGCTGCCCTGGCTGGTGTCTTACTAGGTCATATGCATCTCAAGTCCACTGACTTTTGGCCCAACAAAGCACCAGAACTTGCCCAGGAATTGTAGTCCTTTTAGCCTAGACTGCCTTCAAGTTTATTGAGATCTGTAGAGCACTTTAGTCTGCAGTGATGAGGCTTGCTGGAACTCAAGTTCTGACCACTGGGGTGAATGATTTTTCTCTGGTTAGGGCTGGTCTAAATGCTCCCTCTGTAGGTGCCAGTTGAGTTCTGCCTAGTGTTGCTTTCCTCTGTGACAGGGCAGCACTGAGTTTCAATGCAAAGTCCCACTATCACTGCACTCTCCCTTTCCCAAGTGTGTTTAGGGGAGGGAGAGTGCAGCGATGGTGGGATGTACTGCCATGGAATGAGGAAGGGGTGGCATCAGGAATTCAATATTGTCTTTTATATCCTCTTCAGTGCCTCTTTCAGTGATATAAATTTAAAACCAGGTACTGTGATTTTTGGTTCTTTTAAAGGTGCTTTTTGGGTGTGAATAGTTGTCCAATTTTGTGTTCCTGAAGGAAGCATGATTGGTGGAGGGTTCTATTAAACCTCTTCCCTCTTTTCTCCTAGTTCAATACTTTGATTGTTATCTTAATCACAGACTCTCCCACCTGCACCACAGAATTCAGACCTCTTCCCTCCATCATGTTCACCAAGCTCACGAACATTCTAGAATTCCCACTTCAATTGAATTAAGGCACTGTTAACACATTTACGTGGGTCAGTGACATTCTTTCTCTTTTACTTACCAAAGAGTTATCCTCCATGTATGTGACAGAATAACATGTTTCCTCTGCAGATCCTTATCAGTTTGCTCTTTCCTTTAGAGCCTCTGTTAAACTGCTCCTTGGATCCTAAAAAAAATTTTTACTTTCTAAACAACGTGTTTTTAAAGGGGTCTTCTTAAACATGACCCATAGTTTTAACACACATTTTTCTACAGTTTTGAACATAGCACACTGTATCATCTGTAGTTTAATATTTGTTTTAACAAGTTACAATAAAAATGAAAAAACAGTTTTGTCAGGCTTTTCCCAATTTACTGCTTTGCCGTCTGTGAGTTAGAGGCATGTGCAGAGACTGGAGGGCACTGGCAATCCTTGTGTCTTCTGCCCATAGACCATGCAAGTGGAGAGGAGCCCCCGTTAGGAACAGATGGAGTAGGTTCAGGAAAATGGCCACGCTTTCTAAACCACAGAACATGCTTAGAGCAGTTCTGAAAATGAAGGTTTGGAGTTCTGATACTAGTACTTTCAATCTGCTTGAGGATAGGAGAAATGTTCACTCATTTAACAAACATTTATCTTGTTCCTATGATGTGCCAAGCACTAAGGTTCTGTGGAGAAAGCATGGAGCAAAATGGACAAAAACTCTGCTTCATGCAGCATATTTTCTTGTTGGAGGGGGCTATGTGTTCTTAGGAGGAGAGTGCTATACACTAATTTGGCTGTCTTTTTTTTTTTTCTTTAAAGGCCTATTTTGTAGTGTTTGCTGATCACAGCTGATTTCAGGCTAGCAATATGGTATCAATGGATGGGAGCTGGGAAGAGATGAGCACAGTCAGCTCTGTAGAGCCGGGAGACACAAGAGGCAGCCAGTGAACAATTTCAACATGTAAAGTGTATGTCAGATGGTGATTTGTACTGCAGAGAGTGATGAGGCAGGGAAGGGAGAATAGGGCATGCTGGAGGAGGCTTGCTGTCATAAATATGGGCAGGATAGGCCTTGCTAAGCTGGTACCATTCGGAAGGGATGAGAGTTCTAGGCAGAGGGAACAGCAAGTACAGACTCCTGATATGAGAAGAGGCCAGATATGTTTGAGGAACAATAGAGAAGACTGTGGGCCAGAAAAGAGTGAGCAAGAAAGTGAGCAGTGGGAGATACAGTGACCCAGTACATTGTATAGGGCCCTGCAGGCTGATGTAAGGACTCAGCTTTTTCTCTGAGTGAGATGGGAGACTTTGCAGGGTTTTGAGCAGAAGAGTGACATGTCTGACAAAACATTTTAGCAAGACCCAGATGGCTGTCTCTTGAGAACAGAATAAATAGAGAAAGGGCTAGAGATGGAGAGATTAGTTAGGAATGGAGGTAATAATCCAGGTGAGAGATGGTTGTGATTTTGACCTGGGTGGTTAGATGTGGTTGTAATCTGGATTGATTTTGTGCCAGAGCTAGCCTGATTTGCTGATGGATTGGATGTATTGTGTGTGACAGGAAGAGGTGAGTCAAAGGTGACTTCAAGGCTTTTGGTTTAGAAGTCAGTCAGACCTGATGTTTTGGTTTTTGCTTTGAAGTCAGATTTAGATTCCATTCCCACCTGTCAGTGGCCCTTTGTTTCCCTTTCTTGGCCATGGATGGTAGGCTCCATGATATCATTTGGCTCTGCGTCCCCACCCAAATCCCATCTTGAATTGTAATCCCCACGTATCGGAGGAGGGCCCTGGTGGGAGGTGATTGGCTCATGGGGGCAGACTTCCCCTTTGCTCTTCTCATAATAGTGAGTGAGTTCTCACAAGATCTGGTTATCTGATAAGTGTATAGCTCTTCCCCCACTCTCTCTCTCTGTCTCCTGTTCTGCCATGGTAAGACATGCTTTCTTCCCCTTCGCCTTCTGACGTGATTGTAAGTTTCCTGAGGTCTCCCAGCCATGCTTCCTGTTAAGCGTGTGGAACTGTGAGGCAATTAAACTTCTTTTCTTCATAAATTACTCAGTCTCAGGTAGTTCTTTAGAGCCGTGTGAGAACAGACTGATACACTCCATGAGGGTGGGGCATGCTGTAATTTTTACCATTACATTCCTGTTGCCTAGCACAGCACTTGCCCAAGCATAGGCACTTAATACATGGTTGTGTGAATGTTGTACCTCTCTCCATAGTTTAATTTTCCAAAGTAATAATACTAACTACAGGTAGTTTTGAAGAATAAATGAAAAATAGTATGTCTAAAGTATGTTGTACATCTGCCATTCAGAAAACATTAACACATGAAACCTATAATTTTTATTGCCCATATTCTATGCTCTTTAGAATGTTGGTTAAATTTTGAACACACAGAAAGGATGCTGCTTTATAGAAAAAAATAATGCTAGGTTATTTTCACCATTTCCATTAAGACTTTGTCATTAAGAGCCATCTCTTGAGTGACTCAAAAATATAGGAAGGACTTCCATGTCTAAAAGCCAGAAAATATAAACTGGTTTAACTGCATTGCTGCAAAGAGGAAGGATCTGTCCTACCCACAGGATTAAAGCAGGATGGAAATGAAAGAAACACTCTCCCTAGGAACTTTCTACATATGAGTATTATTTCCTATGATAATTGTTGTTTTTAAGTGGTGAAAAATGGAAGGCCTGTGGTGGTGTTAAATGTAGATGAGCAGAGACTGAACTATTTGAGCAACAGTACACTTCAGTTGTCATGGTAGTGAAAAGCTCCCGATAGATCTTTTCCCCTGTCCCCAGATGTTTAAAATCTATGTTAACATGCCCTAAATGGTGACAGAGCCAGATGTGAATGTATAATGTCATTTTTTTAATCTTTAGCAGTTTAGAAAATCTTTTTAAAGCTCAGAGATTGAGTTTAGCTGGGAGTAAGCAAGTGAGAATTTGGTATAACATCTGTGTTTCTGAAGTTTGTATTTTTAAGCCGTATATGAAAACTCAGTTGCCTTTCCATATGATGCGTTACTTGCACACATTTTGAAGAGGAATTCTTAGAAACAATTAATAAGAGCATATATGGTAATTGAGACTACAGAATTTAAAATGGTCTGTGTAAGTCTTTATTTTCTCGTAACATGACTTGGGTACCAATTCAGGCTAATGACTGGTAAAGAAAAGAACAGACACTAATTTGCAAGTAGCTCCTGAAGTTGATTGCTTTAAGAAAAACCTTAGCCTTTATTTTAGCTCTTTTAGTAAGTGAAATTGTATATAGATATTTTCTAAGTGAATTTGATTTTCACTAGTGTTTTAATTTTATAGGATAAATCTTGTTAGCCAGTATTTTCCTATGAAAATACCTCTGATGAAAGTGAAAAGTGTACCCTCTTCTTACCATTGACCCTATGACCCTATGAAAGAATGTTAATTGAGGGCCATGATACATGTTAAAAGAGCAGTTAACTCTTCTTGAGAAAGAAAAATTTTAATGTTCAATTAATCTGTATGGAGAACAACGAACATAAAGTCTAATACATAAGAGACCTGCACGTTGTGCACATGTACCCTAGAACTTAAAGTATAATAAAAAAAAGAAATAAAATGTTCATTGGTATGTTTTTCTGCTGACTGGAGGATGAAAGAAAAAGGACAAGAGTATGTTTTTTATAAGGAGATTAGAGTTAGATAATCAAGGAGGAAGAAGAAAACAGGAGACACCAAAGAAAAAGAAAATGTAAATAATTCGTTCTACCTGCTATTACTCTACAAACTTCTATTCATTCAATATCTATACCTCATTTGGGTCCCGGTTTCCCTTCTCACTTAACAGCCTCTTAAAATCTGGTACATTAAGCTCCTTCTGATCTAGGTATGCCGCTTTCCCTCCCTAAGGCACCATCTCTCCCTAGCTGTGGGTTCACCCCAAGGGAGCCCTGGTGTCTCTGAGGCATCTGAGATCCACAGCACTGTCCTTCCAGATCTCCACCCGCCTCTCTGATAAACTGCCTGAGCCTTTCACTTCTGACAACCTTCTTAGCGCATGCTTAGACATGGGCTGAGAGAAGCCCTGGAAAATCTTGGTCTTGGAGTGAAAGCTGTGGTGATGCAAAGGTATGGCAACTGGAGGCTGTTCATCACCCATGCTCCTTGCAGCAGAGTCTCTTGAAGGAAAATGGGAGCCAGGAATCTCCCTGCTGCCTCATGCACCATCTCCCAATAAGTATTGGTTCAACTTCGGTCGTGAGGTTTGGAGTTAGGCCTGGGTTTGAATGTTGGCTTTGCTAATAGTTAGCTATGAGCCCATGAGACATTAAGTAAGTTCTCTCCCTCTTTGTTTCTTTCACTTACAAAATGGAGATAATAATACCTCTTTCCCAGGGTTGTTGTGAAAATTCAGTGAGATAATAAAGGGAGGGCTACACAGCGCCTGATATATCCTAACCACCTATATATAAACCAAAGATAGTTACTTTGGGTTCCATGTCAGCCTCAGCCCCTCTTCCTCAGCTTAAACAAAATAACTAATTAGCCTTTTGAACTGAAGTGCTAAGTAAACAAAAGAATAATTCAGGAATTGTTGCTACATTGCCTGTAATTTTCAAACACGTTCTTTTATACAAATATAACTCTCCTTATATGAAGATACTATTTTGAGGAATTGTATGTATGTGTACAGACTAATCTTTATTCACACTATTACACCAGACAGGAACAGTCCAGCTAACAGTTTTTTAAGAAGGGATGACTTGACCTCGGTTTGTAGACAGAAGTAACTTGCTGTTTTTACCACTGCTATTTATACCTATCACCCAAATCAAAGAATTATACCACATTCCTGGATACTGCATTCCAAATTGTAAAGGGAACTTCTCCTTCCTTGCTAGTATCTCTGGATGGTGCAGAGATATTAGAAGGGAAGTATCTGTGCATCTTGGAAGAGTTTATTTTGCCCTCTTGTAATCCCTTCACTCCTCCGAGCACAATGGGGCCTGGCGTTGTTGGGCGCAGTAAGAGACAATCACTTAGGTAGGAGCACATCTCCCTGACCTTGTAGAGATACCTCCAGACCTAGAGGGCAAGAGGATTAGACTCTGGCACAAAATCCCAGATAGCTTTACCTGGATGAACTCCCAGTTTTAGCGTGCTTCATAACTCCATTACTCAGTAGCTTCTTTGGTACAAAACAGGTCATTGTCAATAGAAGAAGGATAAGTTAAGAAAACTAATATTTACTCCAAGACTTTCCCCAGAAGAAAGCCTGATAAATTGCTTCAAAGGGAGTGCCTGTGTGTGTGTGTGTGTGTGTGTGTGTGTGTGTGTGTGTGTGTGTGTGTGTGTGTACAGAGATTGGGTGGCAGGGTGGGGGTGGGGGAATAGAATTGCAAATCCAAATGGACCCTCAGGGGTGAGGGCGCCCTTGTTGGCTACCTCCATGGTTTCGAATTCCTGCTGAGTACGAACACTCCATAACCTCTCCTTAATTCTAGTCACTTCTCAGGTGAGCTTCGAAGGGCTTCTTTGTTTTGTTTTGTTTTGTTTTAAGGGTTTCGCTGCAGACAGAATAACCAAGAAAACAAAGCTGGAGGAGTTGTGGTTGCCTCAGAGACCTAGAAGGGCCCTCCTGCAGTGGCTTCTCAAGGTCACTCTCTCCCCACTCACCCTCAATTCCAAACCATTTTATTTCTGATCTCTGATGTAGGCTATGGGATCATTTATTCGTTTGGTTCCTTCTCCCTGAAAGGAGGTAGGCCTGAGGATGCATTTTGGGCAAAATCAGTAGAATTCCTTCATTGCCAGTGAAATGGTCTCCAAAGCCTGTAGGAAGGTAAACAGATGAGAAGTCACTCCAGACAACAATCTTTGTCAGACTCTAGGCTGCTGGTCTTCTCTACAATAATTATTAGTGAAATTTTTAATCCAGTTATACAAGCAGTTCTTGGAATTAGTTGGCATGTATTCTGTTACTATATGAAATACTAGCACAGCGTTGCTGCTGAATAACTAACGTGATAGTTACTGATATTTTTGAGAACTTCAAGGATGCAGAATATTAAGTAAAACCTTAACAATTTATGAAAGTGTTTTTGTATGGGTATCTGGCAAAGGAATAATTATAAGGCAATATCTCCTTGAGATCAATTTTTAATGTGCCAAAGAATTATTGATTTTATCAGATCCTAATGTGACTTTAGGAGAATTTGTGATGAACATTAGTGTTTTCAGGGCCTTCCTCTGCAGAGGAGGATAGCAATCTGGCAAATATCAATGCAGTTAAGTTAAATTGGCTTAGTTGAATCATATAGCCTGTCTTTAGAAAAAGCTTAATTTCTTCTTCCTTCCTTCCCTTCCTTCTATATTTCATTAAGATAGCATTTACAGCATAGAAAAATCTATACCAATAAGTTTTGCATTCTGATGTAAAAACATTGAAAATCCAACCAAACTAATTTTGAGGAATTAACTTAAATCACATTCTAATAGATACTGATATTCTATTACTGACAAGAATAAATCAAGCTGTTCTTTGTTCTATTCTTTGTGTACTTGTTTTTACTTAAAAAAAATGCAATGATGGTATTTTAAATTATCTATAAATAAAGCTGCATGAATGTTCCCATAAATTACTTAATCACATATTTTACATGTCCCAGATGCTCAAGATTTTAAATTTTTTATTGCAGTATGCACTAAGTTATGCTTATAAGGACTGAGTGTTTCAGTAAACATATTGATTAGTTGACAAATAGTAACACAATTCTTAAATTCAGAAGTCACTAACATTTAAATAGTAATATAAGAAGTGTGACTTGTATGCATTGTTGGACTCCTTTCACATTTTATATCTAGTCAAAAAGTTGGTCAAATTATTTGTCTTTTCAACTAAGGTGAATGACTAGGAGCTTGTTGAGCACACACGGTGAAAAATATAGAGAAAGCATTGTGATCATTAGGGGTAACTGGCCCTCTAGAGGGGCTCTGGGATGCTCTTGTAAGTGGTCCACAGGCTGGCCCTCCAGTCACCCCCATTGTGGAGCTGAGTCGTGTGTGGGCTGCTGTGAGAAGGTGTCCCCTGGCACAGGGCTGTTTTGGGGAGGGTGTCAAAGCCAGGCTGGTCTTTTGCCTTCAAAGTTTCCATGGGAAAAGTTACCTCCAACTTCTATTTGCCAACACCAGGATTATCACATACTCCTTTGGCAGTATTCGTGGATGGGAGCTGTAATTGGCTGAGACAAAATGCAGGTGGGAGGGGTCTGAGACAAATCTGGCCAAAGCTCCAGTTTTCCCTGGGGTTTGCTGCTCGTTCCCAACTCCAATGCTCTTTTTAGAATTTTAATACTTTTAACAAAACATTACATACATATAAAAGAAAGCATGTAACAGGTACTTACATTATAAGACTAGAAAGACAAAACACCTGTGTGTGCACTGCCCAGCTAAAGACCATTGCCAATAAATGGAGTGTCTCCTACGTACTTTTCTCCAGTTTGCTGCCCCTCATCTCTCTCCCACCAAACCTCCTTTCTGTGCCTTTTATGTTGTCTTATGGTTGTATTCTACATGTGTGATCTGTAGACAATATATTGTTTTATGTGTTTTTGAGTTTATATAGAGGGACTCATACTCTGTTTGGCTTTTCTTTTATTCAACATTTTATCCCTGAGATTTATCTGTATTAATTTGTGTAGCTACACTTAATTAATTTTCACTGCTGTGAAATATTCCATTGTATGACTATTCAGAAGTTTTTAATGATCTCTTGATTCATTTGAATTGTTCATAGTTGGGTTTTTTATTTTTATTTTGCTACTACAAATAATGCTGCTAAGACCTTATATATCTGTAAGACATAGGTGCAGATGGTTTTCTGGGAAATAATACATCTAGTCATTGAAATAATTAGCCAATGGGTATGTGTATCTTCAAATACAGTGCTAAATTACTGTGTAAAGTGGTTGTTAAGTTTAAATTCCCACCTGTATTCAATACTCTGTGCTCTTGTCAACATTTGGAAACCACAACTTTTCTAATTTCCCCCAATCTTGAGTATCAAATGATACCTCCTGGTTTAAATTTATGTTTTCCTGGTTACTATTGGAACATTTTCTCATACTTTTTTTTGACCACTTATGTTTCCTCTTCTTTGAAATACCTATTTCTGACATTTGCGCATTTCTCTGTTGGGTTGTCTTTATCTTTTGATACATAGGCATTTTCAATGTTTTTTTTTTTTTTTGAGATGAAGTTTCACTTTTTCGCCCAGGCTAGAGCACAGTGGTGTGATCCCGGCTCACTGCAACCTCCACCTCCCAGGTTCAAGTGATTCTCCTGCCTCAGCCTTCCGAGTAGTTGGGACTACAGGCGCGTGCCACTGTGCCCAGCTAATTTTTTTTGTTTTTTTAGTAGAAACAAGGTTTCACCATGTTAGCCACAATGGTCTCGATCTCCTGACCTCCTGATCTGCCCACCTTGGCCTCCCAAAGTGCTGAGGTTACAGGCGTGAGCCACCACACCCGGCCCATTTTTCAATGTATTCTATGTAACATCCTTTTGGGTTTTATGTTCACCATGTTTGTGGATTAACTCTTCATTTTCTTTATGGTGTCTTTGGATAAAGACAATTTTAATTGTAATGTGTTCCTTCTCATTTTCGATCATTCATGCCTCATAACCTCTAATTTACATTTTCTGTTTTCTTTGTCACTCTATGCTGCAATCTGGGGTTGCTCCTTCAAGTCTTTGTTCTAGTTCACTGAATCTTTTTTTCAAGTGAGTTCTAATTTGTGGTGTAACCCATCATTCAGTTTTTTGTTTCAAAAGCTTTCTTTTTTATTTATAAAATCATCTGTTTTGTTATTTTTTTGTCTGATTGGATATTTTCTGATCATTAAAAAATTTTTCCTCTCATTTATTCAGCCACTTAGAGCATAACGATTTTCTGTTCTATGTCAATTAATGCTAATACCTGAGGCCATCAAGCAAATTTGTAGCTTGCTGTTGGCTTAGTTCCTCACCTACATATATTAATGTTTGCTTGTGAGCTCATACTTGGCTGAACTTAATCTGTGGGAATTATGAGGGATGTATATTAAGGATTTTTTTTTTTTTTTTTTTTGCAGAATAGACTTGCCTGTGCTTCATTGGGGTACCAGGGCTTCAATAAGTAGCCAACTAAGGGCAGCTTTTATTTAATTATTTGGCCTGGGCCAGGCATGGTGGCTCATGCCTGTGATCCCAGTGCACTGGGGACAAGATGGGATGATTGCTTGAGGCCTGGAGTTCAAGACTAAACTGGGCAACATAGTGAGACTGCATCTCTCCAAAAAAATGAAAAATAAAAAATTAGTTGGGCATAGTGGCATTCGCCTATAGTCTGGCTACTTGGAGGTCGAGGTGGGAGAATTGCTTGAGCCCAGGGTTTCAAGGCTGAGTGAGCTATGATTGTGTCATTGCAATTTAGCCTGGGTGACAGAGTGACACCCTATCTTGATAATAGTTATTATTTGGCCTAGAGTTTTCCTGACACCCCAAGTAATATAAACTTCACACCATCTGAGATCTGGTCTTCTGTTGTAGATTCTGAGGGGAGACAATTATTTTCTTGCTATATTTATCCTGAGAGTAGGCAGGGACAGGTAGGCTTCCTATCTGTTTCCTCTGCAACAGGCTATTGGCTTTTGGTGCTCTCTTTCACTGAGGGTGAGGTTGTTTCTAGTACCCGTTGAATTTAGGGTCTCAGACTTAACAGCACTACTTTCTGCAGACCCTTTGCTTTTTTTTTTTTTTTTTTTTTTTCCATTAATGTCCAAAGCTCTGGGTTCCTGGTTTGGTCATTTTTTTCCTGCATGGAAGGCCCAACTTCAGGGTTTGCTTAGCATTCTTGTTTTAGTTTGTAGGTTTCATCTTTTGTTAGCTTCCCTTGTTTTCTGGAGAGCTCAGCAATGTGTTTATCTGTAAGTTAGCTGTTTATCCATCATGCAAATGTTTTATGAAAGGAGAGCTTTCCTGAATATTTAGCCTACCAAGGATTAGAAGTCCAAATCTGTACCAGTGCTCTTTGCCATTAAAATACCACTTCTCCCTCACCCCACCTCTGGCAAGTGCATATGGTTAAGAGACACCAAGACTTGATAATTGAAAACAATCATATCTAAATCGCTTCCATTGGTTTTAAAATTTTGTTCCATGCAACTTTTGCTGGGGCCATAGAATGAAGGGTTAGGATGCGAAGTGCCCCACATCTGCCACATTGGCATCACCAGAGCAGCCCTGTTTTCATCATTTGTTTATTGAGGATCTGAGCAGAATTTCACCTCCAAGAACAAAAACTTGAAACTAGTGTAGTCTATCTGACACAGTAATGAGGAAACCACGGCTCAGAGGCCATATGTCTAGGAGGTATGGGAATGAGGCTCCAGTAGGACTTTCAACTTCAAATTCCAACCTCAACTTCCCTATATTGAAGTGTCAGATTGTATTTTAGAGATCATACTGGTCCACATTACAGGGTTGTATTTTAATCTTATTCATTATTTTTTTAAGGGTTATATGGATTTCTCAGCCACACTCACATCAGAGGGAAAAAGTAGATTGTTGTAAGCGTTATGACGATTACTGATTGTCATTATCATGTAAAAGAAATGGAGATCTTAAAGAGTAATGTGACTTTTTTGATCTTATAGTGATTGAATGCACTAAGACTATGATCCAGATGTTTTCACTCCAAAGCACTTATCTATACATTTTGCTTTAATAAGATAATGTTCAATCTGTCATGAAAGTATGTCAAAAAATTTTAGATGTATTTGTATGCTTTAATTTTACTAGGTCAATATGAGAAAATGAAATTAACTATATATGTTAATTAACAGAAATATACTTAATCTGGACTGAAATTTTTTAAGGAGTTAATTAGAGATGAAATTTTTTGCTAAGCTTATCCCGTTTCACTTCAGAAGCATAATTTGGGTCTCCCTTTCCATTGCTTTGTTAGAAAGGCAGATAACTTAAAATGCAGTCTCTGCCTTCAACTGTCTTTCCTGTTATAGATTTTTTTTTTTGGAAAATGCAAAGAGAATTCCATAAATGGAATTGGAGGATACCTCCTAAAACTATTTCCACATGGTTTATCTAAATCATTGTTTCTGATATTTATGGCTTCTAAAGTGAAGTTGTATCAACTAATAGTTGAAGAATAACTGTATTTATTTTTACTTTGAATGAAATTGTTATGTACCCACATAAATATATAACATGTTTAAAAATAAAACTCAGAGAATTTTCAGAAGCTCTGATTTCAGTCTAATGGTTCCAATTATGAAGTGGAACATCAAGTCAAGATGAGCTATACTGTCAGTGCATTAGACAGCTCTTTGCAATAGGTGATGTTTTTATTATTCCAGAAAAAATATACTGATAGACTATCCTAGCCATCATAAAGATTGGAATTGACATGTAAGTACTCTATAGGTAAAAAGCCATTCTCACCTGTCAGGGATATGTGTCAGCAATATAGGGCTGTTATCAAGAAGGTGAACATGATCTGGGATTGCATTAACCAGAATGTATGTAGTACACAAGAACCATGAAATTTACTCACTGTGTTCACCATTGATAAGGTCTATGTTAGAGCCTAATTTTGAGCTCCATATTTTAAACACAATATTAGGAAATTGGAGATGGGCCAGAGAAAAGTAATGGATGATTTGAAAGTAAAAAACTTATCTATGCTGAAAATTGAAAGAAAGTGGAATTCTTTATAACCAAGAAAGGAAAGCATAGAAGTAGTTTTGCGTGGGTCCTCATCTGGAGCAAAATTGAGACTGACAAGTGCTTCTTACCCTAAATCTATCTTTTAAAATGAAGGTCTTAGCATTAGATGAAGTGGCCAGGATATCAGAGCTGATTGTTCTTTTACTATTTCTTTTTTTTTTTTTTTTCTGAGATAGTCTCGCTCTGTCGCCAGACTGGAGTGCAGTGGCACAATCTTGGCTTGCTGCAACCTCCAACTCCCTGGTTCAAGTGATTCTCCTGCCTCAGCCTCCTGAGTAGCTGGAATTACAGGCACGTGCCACCACGCCCAGCTAAATTTTTTTTTTTTTTTGTATTTTTAGTAGAGACAGGGTTTCACCATGTTGTCCAGGAGGGTCTCGATCTCCTGATCTCGTGATCCACCTGCCTCAGCCTCCCAAAGTGCTGGGATTACAGGCGTGAGCCACCGCCTCTTTTACTATTTCTTAAATCTTGCACCTGCTCACTGAAAACACAGGAGTGTGAGGACATGGTGTCTGACTGGGCGGGTATCAACTGCTAATTCTGAAAGTAATTCCAAAGCCAAATATGAGCTGAAAGTAAAAGTAAGCTAATGTGGCAGGAAAGAAGGTAGGCTAGCGGTTATGAGAAAGGAAGTCTTGCCCCCTCCTCTTCATTCAGAGGGAGGCCTCAGCTAGCCACTGCAGACAAAGAGATGAAGAGAGGTCCCAGCCCTCAAGGAGCTCACTGTCAAGAGCCCGCCAACACAGTTGGTTTAGTACTGAAAGATATTTAGGGGTTTGTCAGTTAGAGGAGCAGTGAGAGAACAGCAGACAAAGGCACAGAGTCATGTTGAAGCACCAGGTATGAATGTCATGCTGGTCAAGCAGCAAGTTTGACCAGGAAGCAGACATTACAGTTGGATGCCTAGGTAGGTGTCAAACTGTGAAAGATATTTTATCAGGTAAAGAAAGGTGATTTTCATTCTGCTGTCAATGGCAAGCCATTTGTCTTGAGATATTTCAGATTTATGTCTTAGAAAGACCCTCTGGGGCAGTTTGGTGAATGGCCTGCCCAGCTTGGGGTTGGCGAAGGGAGTGGCCTG
Source organism: Homo sapiens (assembly GCF_000001405.40). Lineage (NCBI taxonomy): Eukaryota > Metazoa > Chordata > Mammalia > Primates > Hominidae > Homo > Homo sapiens. Next base: position 43,586,155 of record NC_000013.11, on the reverse strand, counting down.
AGCAGACGTAGGGAGAACAGTAAGGAGCCACAGGCTGAAGTTTTCTCTCAGAGAGTAGCTGTGGAGACAAGGAAAGATGGATGGAACATAGACGCTTTAGGAAAAGATAGGCTTTTACACATTCTCACCGTAAAGAAATGATAAATATTTCAGATGATACATATTCTAATTAGCCTGATTTGATCATTTCACAATGTATACATGTATCAAAACATCACATTGTAACCCATAAATATAAACAATTGTTATTAGTTTGTTAATAAAAATAAAACAAAACTTGGCCAGGTGCAGTGGCTCACGCCTGTAATCCCAGCACTTTGGGAGGCCAACGTGGGCGGATCATGAGGTCAGGAGTTCGAGACCAGCCTGGCCAACATAGTGAAACCCTGTCTCTACTAAAAATACAAAAAATTAATGGGGCGTGGTGGCAGGAGCCTGTAATCCCAGCTACTTGGGAGGCTGAGGCAGGAGAATCACTTGAACCCAGGAGACGGAGGTTGCAGTGAGCTGAGATCGCGCCATTGCACTCCAGCCCAGGCCACAGTGTGAGACTCCGTCTCAAAAAACAAAAACAGAAAAACAAAACTTAAAAGAATTTAGGAGACAGAATCAATAGGTCTTGGCAAGTCAAGTGGCAGGGTGGTTAACTGTGAGCGATCAATGAATAAGGATGCTTTGAGGTGGTGCTATAGACCAAGAACAGAATTGTCTGTCTAAATTTCCTATTACTGCTGTAACAAATTGCCACCAATATAGTGCCTTAAAGCAATATAAATATGTTATCTTACAATTCTGGAAGTCAGAAGTCTGAAACCGGTTTCAATGGGCTGAATTAAGGTGTCAGCAGGGCTGCCCTGCCTCCCAATCTTCTAGGGCAGAACCTTTTCTTTCCTCTTCTAGCTCCTAAAGGCTGTTCACATTCTTTGCTTCATGGCCCCCTTCCATCTTCAAAACTTGCAATTGCCAGTCAAGTCTTTCTCACATTAAGCCACTGTAACACTGATTTTTCTGCCTCCCTCTTTATAGGACCCTTGTGATTACATAGAGTCCATAGGATCATCCAGGATAATCTCCCCATCTCAAGATCTGTAACCTAATCACATCTGCATAATCCTTTTTGCCTTATGAGATAGCATATTCAAAGATTATGGGGATTAGGACGTTCACATCTTTGGGAGGCCTTTATTCAGCCTACCACAGTTGGGGTGGAGAAAGTGATCCCAGTTTGTGCTTGCGATGGGGTAACAAACTGGGACAGCTGGGTATCTCCTTCTTGCCTGCGGATGGAGATTTTGGTGACATGAAGAATGATTGTAGTCAGGCTGGTCTTAAAGCTGTGGATGGATGGATCAACAGGGGGAGCAGGAAATCAAAAGTCACTACTAGATTAGCCTACAAGCAAAGTGCTGGTGATGTCGACTTCTTTGATTCACATGGTCTCAAAATAAGCAGGAACTCTTGTATTCAGAATGAACCAGAGATTTGTCATTTCATTGTATTTCATTGCTATTAAAATTGCACCTAGAATAACTGCTTTATATTGAAAGTCCACTTCTCCAGAAGTGTATCAACAGTGGTTGGAATGTGGCATTTTTGTACTGTTCTAACCTAATGTCAGTTTATCACGTTAGATCCCATAGTCTCTGCTCTGTTTAATATTCTGTTCCTAGCAAACCTTCAGGTGCATTTCTGATAGGACTGTTCACCCTGCCACGCATAACAAATTATACATGCATTTTGAAACTCGACATTATGACTCTCACTAGCTTATACATCTTCCCTGAAATATTAGAACACAAGTTAATATTTTGGCATTATGAGAAATGAAAATATGAAGCGGATGGATGTGTATAGTGGGGGGATGGGTGTGTTTGTGAAATACTTGCTTCCAAACCAACAACCTAATGAAACCAACAGTTCCATCCCGACTTCTTTCCTTATTCCCACCTCCGTGCCTGGAATTGAAGGTTGTAGCTGCTTTTGCCTCCTGCAATAGCTGTTACTGTCAGTTTACTTGCTCGCTGAAGGTAATTAGAGTTTCTTGGTCTGGAGCTTGAGTGCAGTTCATGCTGCTGTGATTCTGGCTATGGAAAGGTAGCAGGGCAGGCATGGCTAGTGCCCAGCTGATTTTCAGATTCTAACTCTTCATCCTGTGCACATGCAGTTACATTTTAAGGGGAAACTATTCTTCGCAAGTCTTCAGTTTGCTTTTACAATCTGGGTTTTTTTGTGCTCGTGCGTCAAAATGTTTAAGTATGGAAAGATTTGTGCTTGGAGTGATTAGAATACAAAGGTACATAAGACATGGCCCTTACCCTAAAAAAAAAAAAAAGAAAAGTTTATATCTGATAGGAGATGTAGAGCCTTTACACAAATATCTGTAATACATGGCTGAAAATAACAAGTGTTTACTTGATGACAATAGAAGACCTGATGTTTTTAAAAAATATATAATGAGTGCTGCAAGAAAGATAGCATTTTGGTTGTTCAGCAGAAGAAAGGTGTCTGTAGGGAGAATCAAATAAGCTTTTTTGAGTTAATATTTAGATTGGGTTTTATGGGTAGATAGGATATTTAGAACTGGGAGGAAGTTTAGACAGATGGCATTCCAAACATAGATACAAAATTAGCGGAGGTTAAGGGATAGGAAATAGCATAAGTACAAGAAAAAGTGAGTAATAGTGTTTGACTGTCATTGAAATAGTGGGATTAATGTGGAAGAGAAAACTGTGTCATCTATAAAAGGCTTTGAATGCCATAATGAGTAATTTGGTGTTGATAGATTTATTTCTAAGTTTTTGGTCTTTTTAAAAAATTTATTTTACATTCCTGAATAAAATAAATTTCACTCAGTCATGATGTATTACTTTAATTGCTGTTGGATTCTATTTGTCAATATTTAATTTAGAATTTTAGCATTGCTATTCCAAGATGAGTTTGCTCCATAATTTTCTTTTTGGTACAATCTGTCAAGTTTTGGTATCAATGTTACTATTGCTTTGTAAAAAGAACTTGGAAACTGTCCTAGTCTTTTCTTCCCTTATGCTTTGAAGGAGTTTAAATGGCATTGGAATTTTTTGTTATTTGAAAGGTTTGGCAAGTTGTGCTATGAAACCATCTAGGCTGTGTGTGTGCGTGCGTGTGTGTGTGTCTGTCTGTCTGTCTGTCTGTGCATGTGTGTCCAGTTTGGGGGATAACTCTAACAATCTTCTTTATTTGTGTGATAATTAGTGTAATATTTCTCTCTCTTCTGGAAGTAGGTTGACATACAATAATTTCTAGAAAATTATCTCCTTTATCCATGTTTTGAAATTATTTGCACAGAGTTGAGCAAAGGAATCAATTATAATTTTTAAAAAGGTCTTTAGCCTAGGCAACATAGCAAGACCCCGTCTCTTCCAAGAAAATTTAAAAATTAGCTGGGTGTGGTGGTGTGCGCCTGTAGTTCCAGCTGCTTAGGAGGCTGAGGTGGGAGCAACCCATGAGCCTGGGAGGTTGAGTGTGCAGTGAGCCATGATGGCACCACTGCACTCCAGCCTGGGTGACAGAGTGAGACCCTGTCTCCAAAAAAAAAGAAAAAGAAATAAAATGTCTTCCATGTTGGTATTATCTGGCTCTTATTATTTTTATTTTGTGTAATTGTTTTAGCCTCCTTCATTATCCCCCTTGATTTGGTGAACTAATTAGGTACCAGCTTCTCAATTTATTTATTGAAAATAAATAAGACACTTTCAGTTAATTTATATTTCTGTATATTTATTACTTTTTCTGCTTTCTGTAGTTTTGTTTCCTTTAACTCCCTGGATGGAATGTTTAATTTAGTTTTTATTATTTCATGTTTATTAATCAACTGTTTAAATCTATGAATTTTCCTTTCAGCATGACTTTAGCTATCCTGTGGATTTTTTTTAAAAGTTATTTTCTGCATGTTATTAATTTTTTTCTTCCTTGACCTCAAAATTATGAGGGAAGTTTAAAATTTTCAGAAGATAAGACATATTTTTTCTAGTTTTGTTAGATATTGATAGTTTTATTGTATCATGATACAAGAATGTTTTCTATACTTTTCTTTTTTGGGGAATTTATTGATGTTTTATTTGTGGCATAATAGATTTTCAAATTTTGTGCCTGTTTTGTAGATATTGGAAAAGAAGGTGTGTTCTGTGTTTCCAGGGTGCAGATATGATATATACATGCATGTAGAACATACTATATATGATTTACCATTTTAGTTAGGTTATTTGGATACTCTGTATAGTTCCTTTTTTTAAATCTACTTGATTGATCACAAATGGAAAGAGGTAAATAATTCCTGCTATTAATTGGTTTCTGTATTTTTCTCTTGTATCCCCATGTTGACATTTTGGTTGGCACAGTCCTTTATTGTTCATGGCTGCCATGTGCATTACAGGAGGTTTTGCATCCCTGGCTCCTCTGCACAGTAAAGGCCAACAGAGTCTTCCAGCTCATTTTGACAATCAAAAATACCCACTAGGAGAGTAGGGAAAGTATCACTCGTAATCAATAACCGCTGATGTTTGGAAAATGTTTTTAAAACTTTTTTGTGTCACTTGTATGATAATTCTTTGTCTTGTGCTAAGACTTAAGCTTTTTAGAAAATGATTTTTAATTGTATATGTAAGAAATGGACTTTTCCTCCTTGGGGATGGAATAAAACTGATGAAATATTGATGCCAGAGGAAGCCATTAAGAATCAGGTAGTGGGCCGGGCGCGGTGGCTCACGCCTGTAATCCCAGCACTTTGGGAGGCTGAGGCGGGCGGATCACGAGGTCAGGAGATCGAGACCATCCCGGCTAAAACGGTGAAACCCCGTCTCTACTAAAAATACAAAAAATTAGCCGGGCGTAGTGGCGGGCGCCTGTAGTCCCAGCTACTTGGGAGGCTGAGGCAGGAGAATGGCGTGAACCCGGGAGGCGGAGCTTGCAGTGAGCCGAGATCCCGCCACTGCACTCCAGCCTGGGCGACAGAGTGAGACTCCGTCTCAAAAAAAAAAAAAAAAAAAAAAAAAGAATCAGGTAGTGCTAAAATAACTTAGGTCAGATACCTGAGTATCTCTCCATTTTGCTCTATGTTTAGGTATAAGAGAATACAAGGTATAGCAAATAAACTAGCTCTTCCAATAGCCTTAAAATAAATTCATCTATCATATTTCAACACAAGGTCCTAACTTTCATTACCACCTGCTTCAATTAATCTCCTAAAGGACAAACTATATTAAATTGACAAGTTCTTGAATTTAAATATGACTTACTAAATAACATATGTGTAAATTTAAAACTTCTCAAGTTTCTAAAATAAACTTCTAAAGACTCAAGCAAATTTCTGTACATACAGTACAAAATGAGAATTCTATTAAGAGAGGCTGTAACCTTACCTATAAAAATAAACTTTGAAGTTCTTTGAACTCAGAATGAGCTTACCAATAATTGCGTGCAAACAGTGAGGAAGGACTGTAACATTTTTGAAGCAATTTTTGGCTAGCTCATCAGAATTTGAAAGAACTGCCCCAAATGTGTATATAGGATTTGCAACAGCTTAACTGAGGCTGACACACACTGACATCAAAGTCTTTTGTAGGGGAGGTGAAAATGGCTTTCACTGCTGTAGAAAGAAGAATAAGTGTGTATTTTTAGGTATTCACCTGAGCATACAAGAACTGTTCTTAGTGCAGCTATTCTGGTCGGCACTTGAAAATACCTCACAGAGAAGCTGCTCCAAATTTACGACTGGTGAGAATTAAGTCATACTATGTCTGTGAATGCTACGTAACATTACTTGTTGGCGACAAAAGTGTCCACTGTTTACAAAAAAACCCCAAATGGCTGAGTGTCAACTAACTTTGTACACATAAATTGCTAATTTTTAGACAATGTGAATATGATAAAACCCAGTTAACATAAATATTAAAGTAGAATGTCATTTAACTGATCTTTTCTGGTATAGCAGGTGTTTTGGAATTTTTTGTACAGGTCAAGGACATGAATATCCCAGATAATGTTCTGATGATGTACATGTAGAAGCCCATTGACTCATTCTCATTCTCAAGTCTGCACCTGGATTTAGATTTTTCAGGTCTCTCTTCTTTTTTAAAAAGGCATGATTACTATCTGCTTGCATGTGGGTGCACCCCTTTCCACAGCCCTCACCACCCTACCCCTACCCTCCTTGCTGGCTGTATTGGTGGGCATCTGGAAGAACACCTTGAACTCTTTCCTACTGTAGGACCACTTTGGGAAATGTCAGTTGGTTTCCAGTGTCATATCCCTCCACTTACAGTAGAATATGGGCTGCTTTGAGTTTGGATAAATTTAAGTTCTTCCTTTCTAATTAAGAATTGTAGTGTTTTTGTTTTGTTTTGTTTTTGACTTATTTGAAGATCTCAAAGTCTTTGCAATTCCTCCCCTTCAGGTTTGCCTTCAATTTTCTTTACCATGAGCCTTCTGAGCAAGCATAGCTCTCAGTGTTCTGTCTCCCAGAATGCCTGTGCTCCATTTCCCATGTTCCTCCACCCTGATTCCTTGTGGTCTCATGGGGAGATCAATAACATAGACATGGATAGTGAAAGATAAACAGGAAGTTCTGCAAGTATGGAGAAGACACTGAATCCCTTGTGAAAATAGTAGAAATGCATCTGCTGGATATTGGAGACTGAAATGCTCATTGTCTTTGCATCTGGGAAGTGTACTGTGTACTTCTCAGCTTCAGTTCACAATGGGAGCTTAGCACTGCAAGAGTAGAAAGGGAGCTGTTAAAAGTTATCTAATGTAATTGGATTTCTGATACATAAATCTTCTTTCTAATATCTCCATCAAGTGGATAATTATTTCTGTTTGAACACCTCTGGGTACAGATAACTTACTCCTAAAACCATCTGTTTCTTTGAGAGGATAGAAAATCCCACATTTTGTTAAGCCACCATTCTTCCTCATTTACTACTTCAACCCATTATGGAATTTACATTTAATGTGTGCTTAGTAGGTCCCAGACACTATTCTCTACACTTTGAGTCTTCAAGCAACCCTATGACATAGCTAATATTAATATTAATCCCTTGATTTTAATGATGAGACTAAGTCATAAGAAGGTTAAGTAGCTTACCCAAGGCCACACAAGCAGAAGGAAAAAAAAAATGAAGGAACAAGAATTCCTATCTAGGAATATGATTTCTGGTCCCACTTGCTTAATTAACTCTATAATACCTATTAAATCTAGTAAGACTTCTAGAATAGAAATAAAATTAACAAATTTTCCAGTTATAAAGTTTTATATATCATTGGGGGAGGAGATCAAAGGTGGAATTAAGTCAAGCAATAATATTTTGATTTTGTGTTCATTGATTCATTCTACAAAGATACCTACTAAGGGTTGGCACTCTGCTAAGGGTGGTTGCAGACAAAGCAGTGAATAAGACCATATCAGCTGTGCTCTAACAGAGCTTACATTCTAGAGAGAGGAGGCAAATGTAAGCAGAAAAGTGGATGCATTGTGAACAAAAAAGTGTCAGATAATAATCTGCAGGAAATAAAGCAAGGGGATTTGATTGTACCTCTTGAGTGACGCTACTTATGAAGGGAAGGCCTTTCTGAGAAGATAACACATGAACTGAGGATAAATTTCATTATATTAAGTATTAGGTAAATTTTGTCATTAAGTATATTAAGTATGAATTATTAGCATTTCATTATTAAGAATTAGAGATAAAAGTTTTCAAATGTGTCAAAAAATTTTATAAACAAAATTATTCTAGAGCACAAATATAATACATTTTCCTCAAATTACCACTTCTTTTTTATCTAGTGTACAGTTGTTTGCATCAATTCTTAGTTGAAATAAATTTCACTGATATTCCCAGGTTGTTTTTAAATCTTTCTCAGCCACAGGAGAAGCCAAGTGGCCCTATCCACTGTCATGTATATCCTGTGATTTTGATGACCTCTTGGTTTTCTTCCCAAATTGTGTTTAGGGCTCTATGTCTTATTTTTATTAGAAGCCAGATCGTTTCAAATGGCTGTCGTGTGTCGTCAGGTAAAGTCTAAGCAAACCTAGTTTTTTTCTTCCTTTCTTCTCTCTGATTATATATTACATGCATATTTTGTGGGATTGCCCATAGAGTTGATCAAGCCTCTGGATCCCATTCTCCTTTTTTTTATATAGTTTCCCATTTTGAACAGCTTTTTGCTCCTTGGGCTCTGTGACTCTGGGTAATTATGGTGACTATGACTTCAAAGATTCAGGCTTTACTCTCTAAGAACTGTCAATCAGGATAGGGGCAAGGAAGCAGAAAGTTGTCAGTTAATAGAGAAGGCCAAGAGTTTGAAGAGCCATCTAGGGATGCTATAAATGAGCTTTCTGTCTGCAATATTCCTCCTTCTACAATCTGCATGGTTAATGCTGTGGTCTGGAGGACTCCTCCAAAATTCATGTGTTGGAAACCGAGTCCCCAGAGCAGTAGTATTGTGAAGTGGGGTCCTTTGGGAGGATTTTGGGTTGTGAGGGCTTCATTCTCATGAATGGGTTAGTGCTGTTATAAAATGGCTTGATGGAGGGAATTCCTCTTTTCTTTCTTTTGCCCTTTTGTCTTTTCCGCCACATGAGGACACAGTGTTCTTCCCCTTAGGGGAATACAGCCATAAGGTGCCATCTTGGAAGTGGAGACAGCCCTCTCCAGACACTGGTCCTGCTATCTAGTTTGAAAATATTGAGGCCGGGCATGGTGGCTCATGCCTGTAATCCTAGCACTTTGGGAGGCTAAGGCAGGCAGATCACCTGAGGTCAGGAGTTTGAGATCAGCCTGGCCAACATGGCGAAACTCCATCTCTACTAAAAATACAAAAATTAGTCGGGTGTGGTGGAGCATGCCTGTGATCCCAGCTACTCAGGAGAGTGAGGCAGGAGAATCACTTGAACCCAGGAGGCAGAGGTTGCAGTGAGCCGACATCGCACCATTGCACTCCAGCCTGGGCGACTGAGCGAGACTCTGTCTCAAAAAAAAAGAAAAAAAAAAATATTTTTATCACTCTAAAAGGAACATCCATACCCATTAAGCAGTTACTACTTATTCCCTTCTCTCCCATTCTCTGGCAACCACTTCTTATTATACTTGTATCTTCAGTGCCTTACACAATGTGTGGTTCATAGTAAACGCTTAATAATTTTTTATTGGAATAGTGATTGAATTACGAATTATAAAGGGGGTAAAACCTTCTTTAAATTTCTTTCTTTAATCCACAGTATTTTGGACTGACTATATGTGTCAGGAAGCATGCTGGGTGCAGAACATGGAGCAGCTGAGAAAACAGACATTTTCCTGCCCTCATGGAGTTTATAATCTAACCTAGTGCTGTTCCATAGAAATACTATGTGATCTATATATGTAATTTAATCTTTCTGGAAGCCACATTTATTAGTTTTCTATTGCTACTGTTACAATTACGATAGACTAGTGTCTTAAGACAACCTAAATTTATTCTCTTCTGTTACTAAAGCTAAGAAGACTAAAATTGGTCTCATGGGCTAAAATCAAGGTTTCTGCAGGGCCACATTTTTTTTTTCAGTAGCAGTATGTACTAAGTTTGTCAAATCTGGCATGTGTTTTACACTACAGCACATCTTAATGTGAACTAGGCACATTTTAAATGCTCAATAGCTACATGTGGCTGCCATATTGCTCATCACAGGTCTGAGGAGAAAGAGAAACATTGAAAAAGTAATTCTAAGTGTGATAAGTGTCAAGAAAAAGTATACAGTCCTACAAGATTATACTATAGGGAATCTAATTTCCTCGTCAGCTGTGGGAAGCTTTCCTAGAGAAAGCAGAAAATAGCGGCAAGTGGATTGAGTCTTAGAAGTAGGAAGACAGAAGTAGGAAGATTGCATGCTTCCCTCCCCTCCCAGTTTGAAACCCTTTAATAGCTTCTGTTGTCCTATTACAACAGTCTGTGTTAAGGATTTGGTGCCAATCTAAGTAGGCAAGTGATGGGGTTAGATATGCACTTCTTAAACAATTAACTCTGGTTGCTTTTTATGAGTCCTTTTCCTTAATTCTTAACATTTCTTCCTGAGTTGTGTTATTAATTGAAGAAAATACTTTTTGTTTCATTGTCTTCTATTACGTTTCTCATTAGACTACAAGGGCCAGTACATTTCAATGGAATGTACATTCTTTTAGTTGTTTTTTAGTTTTTAGAAACTTATGTATTACAACATATTGCTAGGATGTGGTTTCTTATATTCTTTGCCCAGGCATTTACCTCCAAAATACAATCAAAGTGAACATCATCCCTTGTCACCATCATGACTGTCAGGCCACTTGTGTTGGTTGACTTTACAGAAGAGGAACCTGGAGTAAAATACCAAAGGGCTAGCCAAGCATTTTACTGGGCAAGGAGTACTACAGCTGGAAATTTGCTAAATTACCGAGGAATCTATGTCTTATTCTTCTGGTAACAATCCTCATCCTATTGTTTTGAGCCTCTGGGATAAATGGTAGCTGTTAATAACCACAATATAAAAGCATCTTGTGTTATAATCCTCTTGAGAAGATTTTAAGGTCAACAGGAAGGCAGAGGTTCTTCTTAGGAACAGTTTAATAAAACAAGTTGTTCAGGAAGGTGTGACCTGAACACTACCTATGGAAATCTTCTGTGTCACTTACCTCTGCCCAGAGTGTAGTTGATGTATTTCCCATCTGTCAGGAGCAGGGCATGGAGAATAGAGAAAGTAGTAGTAGTGTAGCTTCCTGAGACTTAACTGAAATTTGTTTTCTGAAAACTGTCTCATTTTGGCCGACTTTCCACTCAAGTCTCACTTGGGAAGCAGGTACTGTTTGCTTCCTTTTGCAAGGAGGACTTGGAGATTTAAGATGTAAAATGGAGTCAAGCTTCCTAATGGTTCTCATTATGCCATCAATTGAGAAAGTCCTGTGCAGTCCCCTGCGTTCTTTTAAGAGGACTTCACGAGGTTTCTTTTTCAGTGAAGTTAAATATTAAAGGGCCAAGCGATTCACTCCATGCTGGACACTTGTACCTTTTCTCCCAAGATCTAAAATGTTCTTTCATTATAGGTGCTTAAAGCAAATTTTAAATTCAATCTTAGGTGAACTTTTAAAGCAATAAGCTCCTAAGCAGAATGTGGCTCTCTCTTTTGTCATGCCATCTCCCCAGGCGCACTGCTTTTCCTTCCCTACCTTCCCCGCCTCAGAACTGGTTAAGAAGAGGCATGACATTTGGTGTCTCTCCACATGGATGCCAGTCATTGTGGGAAAATCTTAAATAACCTCAATCGTACACACCCAGTGTCTCGCTGTGAATCCTTGAAAATATCCACACAGAGAGTCTAGAGGGAAAGTGTCCTACTAAGATAAAGTATGTTTGTAGGAAACCAGTGGTTTCTCTTTCCTGATAATTCAGGCATGGCAGATTAAAATAGCACAGATGCCCTGACTGAGATGAAAGTGGAAAACAAAAGTGGTATGTTTTAGTCAGCAGTGGGAGTTTTAGAATTCTGAGTGTTCTTCCACCTCTCATATAATTTTGGTTTGTAGCAAATTACAAAGATTAAAAACTTTTGAAACAGTATGCATGACACACATATTAAATCATTTCCATTAATGTCCTCTAAGCATTGATTTTAACCCAAAACATTAATTTTAGTAGAAATTAATGTATTGTACAATGAAGGTCACTTAATAGAGTGGGTATACGCCATTGAGTGCTCAGGCTGAAAGGATTCTTTCATTTGTAGAACTCGCTGACAATACTGCACTTTTACTAATTGGACGGGAAAAGCTGTGTGGTGGCTTGCTTTCCTGATTACCGTCTTTATAACCTTTTAGGACCCATGTCTACCTGAAAAGTCCTTCGCGTGGCCTCTTGTTTTTTCCTATCAGATTGACAGATATATTATTACATTTTAAATAGCACTTAGTCTGTCATATGCAGCATTAGCCTTGAAGATTTGCAGTCCATGTTGTAATTTTGAGAGGGAAAATTGGCTAAATGACAGGAGAAATATGGCAGTTCATGAACAAAATTCTTTCTGAGTTTCATTTTCTGTTCTAGTCATCCATATCCCTGTCACTAACCTCATTAGGTCAAGGGCTTAAAGGCATTTTGTACAGAATTAGCACATTTTACCACCCAAACAGTGGTTTTCCTTCCTGTTTGGGGAAGCAATGGTTTTCAAATACCTCCAATTTTTAACTTGAAAAATTAATATTGCACAATGTATTTTGCCTTGGAAAGCCTTTAATGCTGGATACTGAAGTTTATCTCACTTTTCCCATAAGTCTGTGAACTCCTCAAACTTTTATCAGCAGCTGTAAAGATCAAGCAACTGAATTCACTTCTGTGACAGGACTAGGTTTTTTTCCAGTTTGGAGGTGAACAATATACTATGGGTTTGAATCTTTAAGGAATGTTAGCCATATTTATATTGAATGGGAACTATGGAATGAAATGTGTAGCCCTCCATGGATGTCTGTGTTGCCAGTGTTGTGTTGTGCTGTGTTGTGTTGCCAGCTTACATCTGTGAATTCATCTTAATGGCAGGGCATGAGAACACACACATTTCTTCATTCTTGCCGTGACAGCCACTGCATTTTATTCATGCTAATGTCACGCCCTCTCTTTAAAGAATTTAAAGAATGCACGTATGGTAGTGAGTCTTGGACGCATCTAAAGGTAAAATCAAACAAGCTCCAGAGAATTCATAAAACACTATTTCCATGGTACAGACAAATAACTCTCTTAATATTGAGGCATGGGATTGGAGAAATAAATGGGAATAAGGGCATGTGGGTTCTAATTTTTCAGTGCCTTCTTGGTTGCAGACACTCAGAATGGTGCCAATTTAAAGAAGTAAATCAGTCCTGTGAAGGGAGAAGTCACTGAGATAAGAAAAATGAATAGCATGAGGATGTGAGGCAGTGACATTCAGTCACTAGCAGACCGGCAGTCATTAGCATGCAAGCCTGCTATTAGTTCTCCATGCTTTATGTGATTTCCTTGACCAAGCAGGGAGCCTTTGGAACACTAGTAGCAGTTAATGTCACACAAGTTATTGTTTCTTTCTGGAATGCCTTATATTTTCAGTACCAATGAGATCCTTCACTGTCCCTATGAGCCTCTAAAAATTTAAAGAGAATCGAAGAATGCATAATTTATATATGTCCCAGAGGTAATGAAGTGACTCAATGATATGTATGAGGAGATGATTTTAAATTCCATGTCTTATGCAAGAGGTGATTTTTATGTGAAAATGGCAAGAACTGGCCTCAGGGATAACCAGATAATTATCCCTCTAACAGCAGGGATAGATGCCAGGAGGATTACAGCTGAAAGCTGTGGTGGCTCAGCTATGCCCTTGTGAATCACAATTGCCACAATGGAACACATAGCAACTGATGCACTGCACAGAACACACCTTCCTTCCATCTCTGGAGAGCACCCGCTGGAGACCTTGTGTGTCTGAAAAGGCAGAAGAGCAGAGATTTTCTGTGAAAGAATTCAGTGCAAGACTGACTGAGATTTCTGTTTAACAGAAGACAAAAATTGCTTTTTCCACTTTGGTCTGAGAAATGTTCACTGATGAATCAGCTGAAATCCATTAGTGTTGAAGACATGAGTGCCATGACTCCCCTGGATCATCATTGTTTTCATTGAGCTGTGAGCCTGGAAACCCTCTTCACCTAAGCCTTTTGGTCTATGGAACGTTGGAATTGGAAATGTCTTCTTAGTGCTTCCAACAGGCAAGAAGGCAAAATAATATTCCACTGTCCTCAGCTTAGTTAAGGGTCTCTGTTTTGTTATTTGAGCCAAACAATTCCTAGCATTTGCTTTTAGGCATTTTGTGGCCTATTCATTTTTTCTCTTGGAAAATTTAGGTGCAAAGGTACAAAATCTTATAATCTAATGAGGGAAGGGGTTTATGTGAGCATGGAAGGGCTGGTGAATTGGGGAGAATTTTTTTCCAGCCTGATTCAGTATTTTGCTTTTTGTTTATCTCTATGTATTATAATGTATATGTATGTGTATATATATATTTTTGTTTATATATAGCAACCTTCATTTTTGTCTCAGAAAATGCTCTTCATAAGTAAGTTGCCCTCTAATCTCTTAATTTTTCTTCAGCCTAGGAGACCTTTCTGCTCACTACCCCGGTGACTGCCTGCTCCTGCTTTGAATCCTCCCTTCCTTTTACCTAAGATTGTCTGACTCCTTGCGCATGCACCACCCCCACCGCCCCACCGCTTGTCTGATATATACACACACACAATAGCAAACAGACGTGTAGAGATTGCTGGGAAGGACTTAAAGATTATCCACTTCAGCCCCTTCACCTCACAGATGAGGAATTGGAGGTCTTATATTTCTCTATTTTTAAACAACCTCCTTGAAGTGTAATTTTAAGGTTTGATTTTTGTTTGTTTGTTTGTTTGTTTTTTGAGACAGAGTTTCATTCTTGTTGCCCAGGCTGGAGTGCACTGGCACAATCTCAGCTCACTTCAACCTCTGCCTCCAGGGTTCAAGCGATTCTCCTGCCTCAGCCTCCCAAGTAGCTGGGATTACAGGCATGCACTACCACGCCCGGCTAATTTTGTATTTTTTTTTTTCTTTTTTAGTAGAGGTGGGGTTTCTCCATGTTGGCAGGCTGGTCTCAAACTCCTGACCTCAGGTGATCCACCCACCTCGGCCTCCCAAAGTGCTGGGATTACAGGCGTAAGCCACCGCGCCCGGCCTACTTTTAAGGTTTTAAGGCAATAATAATTAAGCACCCGATTCCCACCTTGAGTTCACATCTAGTTGAGAAGCAAACATGAGAGTGAGACAGATGGAGTGTATACCATAAGCTTTATTACCAGCATGACCGAATTGGAGAATGTGACTTACATCTGTGACCACTTGGACTTAATACAACTCCCTTCTATGTAAACTGAGCCCCCAGTTACAGGCATTGGTAGACAGCCGTCATCCTCCTCTGCTGTGGCAGGCTGCTTAAAGCATAACAGAATAGGAGATTCTGTGCCTTTTATGAATTTAAGGGAGGAAGATAATGAGCTAGTCATGTTCAATTTCTTCTCCCAAACTCAAAAATCAGATAAATTATTCCTTCCCAAGAAGAAGTGAATGAGAAGCCAGAGACTGTATCTTCTGGTGGAGTTGATGTTCTTTCCCCTTTATAGAAACATGAGAAATGAGGGAATAGGCATTTATCAACAAAAGGGATTATGGAACCATTTGCCTAGGGACATCTTGCCTAAAATATACAATATGTAAAATGTTGTCGTGCAAACAGTAGAATCCTTCCTGCTTTGCCCATTAGCTGATTCCTTCTCACCACACCTTTCCATCCCTCTTCCCCTCCACTTCTCACCCAGATGGCCACTGAGGGCTTCTTGCTTAAGCCACAGTTTCTGTAATGAGTCTGGATGAAAGGCACTCATTCACTCTGACTGACTGCAGTTTGTTCTATCCCGGGCTTTTGCCTCCACTGAAATTGCTCTCGATGTCGTGCTTTGCCCTGCACACCCCTTTCTTCATATTAGAAAATTCATCTCATCTGTTTAGCTTTCATCCCACTTAACCATTATGAGATGCTAACATGATCGATACCCCTTCTTATTTGAAATTTTAATGTCCTTGGCCTCTGAGGTCCTCCAGGTTCTTCCTTATCATTCTTCCCAGTCTTCATCTATCCACATGTTCTTCATTGGCTCCTAAATTTGGGGCCAAATTTTTAGTGAACTACAGGGTTCTTGCCACTTTTTCTAGTTTTTCATTTCTATGTGCATCTATGGCTTCCGCTACTGCCTATGTGTTGCTGACTCTCAGATGACCATCTTCAGCTCCAAACCCCTTTCCTAACTCTAAGCCCAGATTTCCCAAACCCTCTAATTTCTTCTGTGGTACATCTAACTGGGACTTTGAAACGTGACTATCTCCAAATGAAACAAATGGCATCTCACAATGCAGTCTGCTCCTGTTTTTCATTTTCCTTTCTTGGATAATATTATCACTATTCCCTTTTTCTCCCTAATGGAAAATCTTAAAGGTATCCTCAGTTATATTGAATGTGTCCTAAACTATGCTGGGTGCTAAGAAAACAGAAAATTAAGACAAAGTTCCTGCTCTCAACCAGTTCACAGATACTAATTTAAACTAACAAAGCACCTGATTCGTGCAACTATAGAAATATTTATGGGAACAGTGCAGAGCTAACCCAGAGAAGGGAATGATTAACTTTTTCCAGGGTGTGGTGTGGGATGATTATGAACTGGGTTTTCAAAACCAAGTCAGAGTTTGTCAAGCAGACAAAAAAGCAAAAACACCAGTGAAGAGAAGCAGAACTTTAGAAACATCGTGGTGTAGTTAAGGAGCTTTAAAAGGCTCATTGTTGGAGAATGATGATTGGTTGTATGAAGCTGAGCAAAACAGCAGGGACCAGATGGAGAAATACAGTTTTTTTTTTAAACCACTAAGGAGCTTGCCCTTTATATTCTAAGGAAAAGATTCTAATAAAGGATGAGTTGTCGTCTCAATCTGCCTCTTCATGCAGTAATGCCAGGGGACCCTTCCTCTTCTGAGAGTGTCACTGGGAGTCTCTTTTATCTTAATCTGTGAGCTACAATGAAGTCAAAGGTTTCAAGAAGAGAACATAGGTCTCTGAGCCATAGCAAAGAGTCTGAGGTATTGATGCAAGGGAACAGAATGCAGAGAATAACCAGCAAATTGATTAATGAAAGTGCCCTAGTTCTATCTATCTATCTCTACTTACCTACCTACCTACCATCCATTCACCTCTCTGTCTAATTTATCTATCTATCTGTCTGCCCTAGGTGATCTTTATATGCTTATGTGATATGCTTCCTAAGAGAGCCTTATGAGAATAAGGAACCAGGGATGGAAAAAGCAACCATGATCCAATTTAGAAAGGTCATTTTTATATCAGTATAGCTTGGAAAGAGGTGAGGAAGGGCTATTGAAGTATTTCAGATAAAAGGTAAGTGAGCGGATGGCTGCATTTCTATCTAAGGGTATACAGCCATTGATTTTCTATTACTTTTGTTTTTAAAGCTTCTTTTCCAAAGAGACCTCAGCCATTTTGCATAAAACCAAAGATTCAACAAACATTTTTTTGATTACCTACACATGCTGCAAGCCCTGGGGATCTGACCCTATCCCCGTAGCTAGCAGATATCATGAAATCATTAAGTTGTACTTTCTCACCATGCTCAGCCTCAGAATTCTGCTCAAATCAGACCCCAAAGACAGCCACTAGTAATAGATAAAAATTGGCTTTTGAAATGAAATCCATTTGCCTTCTTCTGTTTAGTCTCATAGAATGAGTTTCAAATGTGGGGATGAAAATAATAATTATACTAATAGACCCAAATCAACAAATTAGTGTAGGAACTTGAATTTTGGCAGACCCAGAAAAAAAAAAAAACTCTGGAGTTGTAGGACCCGCTCTAGATAAAAGAAAGGCTGAAGCTAGAATTGGTAACTGTGCTAGGGATGCCTCATTTTGGGTTATTTCTTATTTGCATTGCTCTCCCTCCTCTCAGCTTGTGATCTGGCTTAACCCCTAGAAGCTCAAGTGGAGTGGGCCAGTTTATCAAAATGTTTCTTGGAGGAGGTAATCACCTCCACACTAGTTGGTTAAAGTATTATTTTCTCACACTTAATGACAGAAAAGACCAGAGGAGTCTCTGTCTTTTTTCCCGGGGCACCCTGACACGGCTGCTGAAGACAACTCTTCTTTGGCAAAAGCTGGAATTTTAAGTCAGATACTGTGTGTTCTCAGTGTGTGCCACTCTCTGTGGGCAATGTGTCTCGTGCCTGTCAACTGCTTAAGAGGTTTCATGCAAGAGGAAGGGGAAAAAAGTTTTCTGGATTAGCCTTTTCAGGCAAAGCATTTATCTGACACCTTTTATCAAAATATTGTTGCTGTAGTTATATACTATCCTGTGTAACTCAAGTTTATAAATAATAGTGCCACTTGTCAAAGAATTGAAAAAAGTATTACTCTATCACAAAGGTTCGTCACCTAGGGATTTTTTGCATTATGCTTTGAAAGTTTAGAGATCAGTATTTTTATAGTATGGGAGCATTTCTGTGTTTTTTAGAGATGCAAAGTAAACATCTATAAATGTCATAAAGCTTTAAAACCCAAACAAGCTGTAGTCTCATTAGAGAGCAGTCTGGCTAGAATTCACAAATCTAAATATCCTGCCACAAAATTTATTGTAAACAAGAAACCAGGAAAAGGCATGTATGCAATTCAACAAATATCAAGCTCTGGGTTTCTAGCTTGTTAAATGCAAAGATATTTGAAGTTACATAATCATATCCTGACTCATGTTATCAGGATTTACAAATCTACTTTATAAATTCTGTTTCTCTTCCTTGCAGACTGTGGGAACAGAGTAGACATGTAGATTAAGCACTGATCCCTCATCTGCAAGGTACTCACCTCTCTGTGTCTCGGTTCCTTTCCTCTAAATTATGAACATTTATGATTCTCTTTCCCCTATTTTTCATAAATATAAGATTAATTAATTATCAAGCCACATGTAGACAGGGATGAAATGAACTTTTACAGTTAATCATTTCAGCCAGTTTATCTTTTTTTAACAAAGTTCCTCTTGGTAAACAGTTTATTTCCTGGATATGATTTGTCCCATTTTAAAGCATATTAAACATTGAAAATTATTATAAGAGGACTAGATAAAGAGGAGAGTGATAGAACTCACTGGGCTGAAGATCACATTTTAAAAATAATAATATAGGTAAATTAGATAAAAAACAAATACTGACAGGGAAAAAGCACATGGTACTGATTTGCACTAACACATGTATTTTGATAACCATTCAAAGTATAATGAATATGTCTTGATATTGACCTTCCTGTTAAGGATTTGGTTATGTGGTTTTTACCCCAACTTCCAGTCCACTAATTATGCTATCAGGTTTTAGTTGTATATATATTTTCCTCCATCTGTTATGGTGAGTTAAAAAACAAAAAGACCTTGGAGAGACCAATCAGTAATTGGCATGGAAATACTTTGTTCAAATTATGAATAAACAAATTGATTTCTTGGATGGAATAACATTTTCTGTTGGCTGTCTCTTCCTCTGGGAGGGCTCATTGTTCTGCTCATTCTTATTTTGATGATCTGGACCTGGTCACTGAAAAAAGAAGAATTGATGGGGCTTTAGCTATAAGAATTGCCATGATAAACTAACTCCGAAAATAATAATGGCATGCCCTTAAATTTTGTGGTAGCTTTTAATTCACAAAGCATTTTCACATGTGTGAACATTTAAACTTATTTAGAATATAATTCAGTAAATTATTAAATTTTTCGAAGATCTATACCTTCTCTTCTGAGCGTGGAGACAATATCTTACAATCATTCATCTCTCAAATGATACTAGATAACATTTAGTACAAATAACTCAAAGTTCTTAGCTTTTAGTCTTTGCTCTATTTTTTTCAGAAATAATTATCTCCCAAATAACCAGTGTTCCTTCTGTATTGCTGCAGATAGAAGTATTTTTTAAAATAACATTCCAACAGAAGATAGACATGCTATTGCCACTGAAAATAACAATTTGTATATTCCAAACTCAGAAATAAAATATATTTATTTGTCCTGGGTGTTCATCTTCCTTAGAAATACTAGTACAGTAGAATATATATCATATAATAAATATAAAATTCATTGATCTATGCATTGATGGGTTGCATTAAAATTACTATACCTGCAATATCAAAATACCTATAATTTGTCACCAAGTTCATTGACTGTGAGATAATCATCCTTTTCAAGAAAGCAATATGACTGCATAGAGAAATGTAGTCTTATTATTGCAAGAATTAAAAAAAATCTTGTGTCAAATACAAACTGGCATATTAATTCATGCTAATAAATAACAAATGGGAAAAAATGTAAACACTAACATCCCCAGAGCAACTTACTTATATTCAACATTTGTGTAAGAAAGCATAATTTTAGTAGCAAAAACATTTAGTTGAAACTTGGCTCAGGAAAACATGCATTTCTTAAATTTCCTTTTCTTAATTATCATCAGTCACAAGTTATTTTGCTACTGCAACCCACATGGTGATTACGAGGATCAAGAATTTAAAAATTAGGCCAAACAAATAGAAAAATCTCGTTAAAAACTGCCATAACCAGTGAGATTCATTTTCTATCCATCAGTGGATCTGTTTTGTTTTTCAGAATGATCCTAAGGGATGTTTACTAGGATGGCATGGTGGGGTTTTTGCTTGCTTGTTTTTTAACATAAATCTTAAAAGGTTAGTGATGCACCAGCAACTGTCCTAGTTTTCCTGGTCTTGATTTATACATAGCTCACCCTTGGATTTCCTGCTGTTCCTGATTTTGTCCAAACTGCTAATTTGGAAGCTCACAGACAAACTAAGGAAACAAAAGGCAAGAATCTTTCCTTATCTAAAAAATTAACTAAACTTAACTGAAATTCTCCCAAATGGATTGAAATCCCCTACTTTCTAAAGAGCGTCTTTGTGGGTACTGGAGCTGTGACCACCCTGGTTATCCTTCCCTCCCCTAGTCCTTTCCCTTTCCTCACATCAGGCTCTTGATCCCAAGGCTTCCTCCTGGATCCATGAGAGAGAACCCCAGGCCACTGGAGCTTCTGAGGAGCTCAACACCATGCATTTTGTGTCCAGAGCTGAGGAGCTGCTAAAGCTCTGGCAGTCAACAGAACGAAGGGAGAAATGTGTGCTTGACGTTCAAAGTTGGACTTCACAATTACTTTTTGCTTAGGACTCTGGCACTTGACTCCAGCCTCACTGCCCTTTCTTTTGTTCTGTGAACACATCAAGCTCTTTCCAGCCATAATGTCTTTGTTCTTGCTGTTCCCTCTGCCAGGGACTTCCTGGTACTTATCTTCTGCTTCATCATTCAGCTGTCAACTCAGATATCACTTCCTCAGAGGGGCCTTCCACCCCATGACAGCACCTGCTTTGATTTGCTTTATTGCTCTTTCCACTGTCTCAAGTAATCTTAATCTTACTCATCTGTTTATTTTTATGCTCTGTATCCATTGCTTCTCCCCTTCCCCACCCTAAAGTAGAAGCCTCACGAGAGTAGAGACCTTGTTTCTCTTTGTTCACCACTACCACTTCTTTTTTAAGAGAGTGATGGACTGGTGGTAGGCATTCAGCAGATGCTTACTGAGTGAAGGAATGAATGGGACTGATGATAGTACAATATCATTACTCTGCCTTCCCATTTGTAGTCAGGGGCTGCAGGGACCAGCCTGGAAAGCCCTCCATCCTGGACATCAGTATTTCTGTGGGAAAGGTGTTTCTTTTTTAAAATTATTTGCTCTAAAGATTCACATTTGAAATACTACTCTGATAATAGCTGATTCAGTTTATTAATTGAGAGCAAAGAATAAGTAAACATTTTCATTTAAATAAACAGAGTTTGAGATGTTGGCAATCTGCATTTTTAAAGTAATCCTCTCCTACTATCCAGTCACAGCCTTTCACTGCACTCCCACTAGTTTATTCATTGTCCCTGAGGTAAGTGTTTTTGTAAGGCTCTTCTCCTCTTTTAGAATACACACAATACTTGATTTTGTTTATTTTAGGCCTCCTCCTCAAATTCCGTCTATTCCTCATTGCATTTCTTTTTTCTTTTCTGTTTATTATAGTTTTTTATTTTGAATTTTTGTATGTACATAGTGTATATATTTATGGGGCACATGAGATATTTTGATACATATAAATTTTAGGATTTTTTTTCTATTTCTGTGAAGAATGTAATTGGCATTTTGAAAGGGATTGTATTGACTCTGTAGAATGCTTTGCGTAGTATGGATATTTTAACAATATTAATTCTTCTAATCCATAAACATGGAATATCTTTTCATTTTTTGAGACCTCTTCAATTTCATTAATGATTTATAGTTTTCATTGTAGAGATCTTTCACTTCTGAATTCATTTTGCTGGCATTTTGTTAAGGGTTTTTGCATCAATATTCATCAGGGATATTGGTCTGTAGTTTTTTATTTTATTTTTTAATGAGTCTTTGTCTGGTTTTGGTATTAGGGTAATACTGGCATTGTAGAATGAGTTTGGAAGTATTCCTTCCTCAGTTTGGAAGTATTCCTTCCTCCTTTTTTTTTCCAGAATAATTTAAATAGAAGTGATATGCTTCTTTAAATGTTTGGGAGAATTCAGCGGTGAAGCCCTCAGGTCCTGGGCTTTTCTTTACTGCGAGACCTTTTATTATGGCTCCATTCTCATTACTTGCTGATTGTCTTTTGAGGTTTTGGATTTCTTCATGGTTCAATATTGGTAGACTGTATGTGTCTTTATCCATTTCTTTTAAGTTTCCCAATGTATTGGCATACAGTGGCTCATAGTAGCCTCTAACAGTCCTTTGCCTCCTTTTTCATCTGTTTTTATTTATCTGGGTCTTTCCCTGTTTTTCTCAATTAATCTAGGTAAAGGTTTGTCAATTTTGTTTAACTTTTCGAAAAACCAACTTTTCATTTCATCAGTCATTTGTATTGTCTTCATTTTAATTTCATTTACTTCTGCTCTGGTCTCTATTATTTATTCTCTTCTACTAATTTTGTGTTAGGTTTGTTCTTCCTTTTCTAGTTAACTAAGATGCATTGCTAGGTTGTTTCTTTGAAGTTTTTCTTCTTTTATAGTGTAGCTATAAACTTCCCTTTTCTAACTGTTTTCTCTGTAACCCATAGGTTTTGGAATGTTGTGTTTCTATTATCATTTGTTTCAAGAAATTGTTCAATTTCCTTCTTAATCATTTCATTGACCCACTAGTTATTCAGAAGCATATAATTTAATTTCCATGTGTTTGTATACTTTCCAAAATTCCTCTTGTTGTTTGGTTTCTAGTTTTGTTCCACTGTGGTCAGATAAGATACTTGATGTGATTTTATTTTTTTTAAAAAATTTCCAGACTTGTTTTGTGGCTTACCATATGGTCTGTCTTTGAGAATGATCCATGTGCTGAGGAGAAGAGTGTATATTTTGCAGCCATTGGACAAAACGTTCTGGAATTATCTATGAGGTCCATTTAGTCTATAGTGCAGATTAAATCTGATGTTTCTTTGTTGATTTTCTGTCTTGATGATCTGTCTAATGCTGAAAGTGGGGTGTTGAAGTCTCCAGTGATTATTGTATTGTGGTCTGTCTCTCTCTTTAGCTCTAGTAACATTTGCTTTCTATATTTGGGTGCTCCACTGTTATATTTAAAATTGTTATATCCTCTTGCTGAATTGACCCATAGATTATTATATAATGAAGTTCTTTGTCTCCATTTATAGGTTTTGTCTTGAAATCTGTTTTGTCTGGTACCAGCATAGCCACTCCTGTTCTTTTTTTGGATTCCATGGGCATGGAGTATCTTTCCAGTTCTTTATTTTCAATCTATGTGTGTCTTTATAGGTGGAGCATGTTTCTTGCAGGCAGTGGATCATTGGGGCTTGTTTTTTGTTTAGTTTAGTTTTGTTTTATCTGTTCAGCCACTCTGTGCCTTTTGGTTGTAGAGGTTAGTTCATTTACATTCAGTGTTATTATTGGTAAGTAAGGACTTACTGCTGCCATTTTGTTATTTGTTTTCTGGTTGTTCTGTGGTCTTCTCTTCCTTCTTTCCTGTCTTCCTTTTAATGAAGGCGATTTTTTTCTGGTGGTATATTTTGATTTCTTGCTTTTTAATTTTTATGTATCTATTGTATTTTTTTATTTGAGGTTACCATGTGGCTTGTAAATATCTTATAACCCATTATTTTAAATTGATGACAACTTACACTAATTGCATAAACAAACTAATAAAGAGAAGAGTATTAAAAAACTCTACACTTTAAACTTCATTCCCCAACTTTTTAACTTTTTATTGTTTCTATTTATATGTTATTGTACTGTCTATATCTTGAAAAGTTGTTATAACTATTATTTTGCATTGGTTCATTTTTTCATCTTTCTACTCAAGATATGGTGTTCCTATGAGGAAGATGAGTGGTGGAGGCTTCTATTTGGCCATGTTGCTCCCCATCTCTTCTCCTTGCTGCATTTCCCTCTCTCCATCCTTCCCTCCCTCCCTCCCTCCCTCCCTCTCTCTCTTCCTTCCTTCCTTTTTTTTGACAGGGTCTCATTCTGTTGTCCAGGATGGAGTGCAGCGGTGTTATTATGGCTTACTGCAGCCTCAGCCAGTGATCCTTTCACCTCAGTGTCCCAAGTACCTGGTACTATAGATGTACACCATCACGCCTGGCTAATTTTTGTATTTTTGTAGAGACGGGATTTCACCATGTAGCCCAAGCTGGTCTTGAACTCCTGGGCTCACACGCCTCAGCCTCTCAAAGTGTTGGAATTACAGGCATGAGCCACTGTGCCTGGCCCTTGCTGCATTTCTTGACTGTTCCTTTGGGCCTCCCTTTTCTGTGGTTATGTAGTACTAATACTTACTTGATTTTTGTAAAGCCTATTGGATTTCATCACACTCTAACTTTTCTATTGTGCTATATGTAATTACTATATTGATATGCCACATTTACTTAAAATGTGCTATGTGTATCCCAGGCACTACTTTACATCATAACTCCATTCACCCTATAGCAGTCCTGTGATGTAGCTGCTCTTCTTATTCTGATGGCACTGTTCCTATATGCATCATATGTATTAGGAATCTGAGGCTCTGAGAGGTTAACTGACTCCGAGTAACACAGTTATCAAGTAGGAGGGTCAGGATTTGTACCTTGCAGCTCAGCTCCGGGGTATACTCTGCCTCTCTATCTGCACAAGTACAGGGAGCTTTGTCGGCTGTGCTTTTGCCTTGGCATTCTTTGCCTGCCAAACCAGGGGTGAGTCTAATCGGTGTCCTACACAGACTACACTCTAGTTAGTGGGGTGATGATAAGAGGTAGGTGCAAAACCCTAAAATATAAAATCTAGGGTAATCACTGTGAAGCAGGAATATTGAGAATTTGCTGAATTATTTTATCAATAAAATAATAATTTGCTAGGTCTGCCTTTTGATTACGCACTGTTCTCTCTCCCACTCCTCCCAGAATTATTGATAGGGAAGCAGAGGAACAAATAAAAGAGAACAGAAATTTTGATTACTGTCTTTTAAATGACTTCTAGATACAAGGAGCAACCACTTTGTGGTTGAGATTCCAACTGAGATTAAGAAAGGAGGCTGCCAGGTGAGTGAGAACACTTTATAGAGGGCCACTGAGATGATCTGAAACTCAGCAGGATTTTCACTAATTAATCCTGGTGACCTTGTTACCTAAGATAAGCATGACACCTGAACAAAGCACATGATGGCTGGCGCCATACAATCTGTGCTTTACAATTACCAATATATTATTTAATATGTCTTATTTTCTAGAAGACTGTCTCCTCATTCCAAAACAAAACCAAAGCCAATAGACAAATGAAAAATTAGGAATTATATTTGCAGTACACATGACAGATGATGGGCTAATTTCTCTGTGAAACAAGGGACTCAATTAGTAAAAAGTAACAACTCAGTGGAAGAAAACAAATAGAGAATATGAATGGGCTATTCAAAGAAAAATATAACAGCCAAGCAAAGATGGCCTCATTAATGATGGCAAAAATTAAAATAAGAGAGTATTTTTCAGTTGTCCATTGGACACAATTTAAACAGTTGATGCTATCTAGTGGTGGTGAGAAATTGTTACTCTGTTGGAAGGAGTGTAGCTTGGAATAATAATTTTTGGAGAAGTTTTAGTTCTATCTATACAAGTTAGAAAGTTATAATTGTAAGAAGACATATTGCGTATTTTTTAATTGTTAAAACTCAGAAGTAACCTAAAAGCATACCAATAGGAATATAGGTATTATAGCATACCTGTTCAATAGTACATAAAATAGCCATTAAAAAGAACAAACCCATCTATGTCAATGATACAGAACAATGTTGCATGAATATTATATATGGTATGAGCACTTTTTAATAAAATAGCAAATGTTTCCATATTTTAGGCCTGTACCAGCAAATACACACGTGTGTAAATATGCAGCTGTATATGCTTGTTTATGTGTGGGCTGCACATGAAACTTTTATGGTTATTATCTCTAGCAAGTGGGACTATGGTTGGAGGGAAGCCAACAGTTCTTGCTTAGTTCATTGAACTACTTGAAAGTTTTAGTTTAATCATACCTTACTTTTAAAGAAAAGGCCTAGAGTATATTAAAGCATTTTACTAAAGGAGTTTGTGTTTTAGTCTTTTCCAAAAGTTACTTAGCCCACCAAAATAGATATTTTTTCCTCGAGGTCCATGCTCTTAGCATGTTATAATTTCTGTTGGAATGAAAGTTGTATTATAAACACATCTTGCTAACCTTCTTCATGATGCTAACTCCCAATATTGTTCTGTATGGCACCTTTCCTACTGTCTTATCTTTTGCAACTGAGTTGATATATTCTCTGCAGTTTGGGGTCTTGTTCTGTTGTTCACAGTTTTGGATAGCTATAACGGGATAATTTATGCATACCTCAATAACAATAAAATAAGCATATTTAAATAAGTATTTCTTTTCAGAAGTCATCTAATCTGCCTGAGAGACAGTAAGACCTAAATCTGCAATTTGGGAATTGGGCTCCATAGACTTAGTTTTAAGTCCCTCTGATTCCCATATTGTTTTCCATGTCATACAGAAAATTAAGGTTGTACATGGAATACTGAATTCCATTGCAGTTTATAAAGTGACAAAGGATAAAAATAGTTCTAACTAAAGAAGATGGCTTAGCACTGAAAAGAAAAAAGTATAAAAACATCAAATAAGTATGCATGTGTTTGGAGGAGCCATTTTTTGTGAAGCATTTTGTGAATAAGCCCCTTGCATATTTGAGGATTCAGCAGGCCATAGGGCTGTCTAACTCTAAATGCTGTTCCCCTGCTTCCTTGTACAGGCACAGCTGAATTCTAGTCAGACTTGCCAGCAGGCCAGATGTGTATGAGTTTGCCAGATTTAGCTGACTGAATATTGCCATGAACTGAGAAAGTCTCTGGTAACATATTTTTACTCTGTTTGTGTCATCCTTTTTGTTATGGAAGCCGAGTGGTTTGCAGAGAAGAGAGGTGAGGAATTGGGAGACTGAGGAAAACAGAAAAACTTTCCTCATATTGTTTTGTCCTCATTAACAGGATGAAGTGTGGCAGGGGATATAAGTAGAGGATTCAGTGACAGAAAATACATACTCTTATCAGAAAGATATTTCAGTCCCAAAGATTATGTTGGCCAGCCTGTAAAAGGAAATCTGCTACTTTATAAAACAAATCCAGTTGCTTTTTATAAAACTCTACTTCTCTTTAGTCTCTGTATCTTTCATTGATTTCTCATCTATAATTCACCATAAGGATCCATTTTCCCTTTACCTGGAAGAGTGAAAAAAAGAAGAAAACAAATGAATCGTCCAGTCTGTTTAATGTTGAAATGTAGAAGTGTCTCCTTGTCACCCAGGCAAAAATAAATGAAAGCCTGCCAGAGCAACTAAGGGAAATAGTGACTAATTCCCAATGATCAGGGTTAGAAATGCTAGACTTTTCCTGAAGCCAACACAAAGCAGACCCATCCTAGAAATATCCTGGCTCCTTCAGAGTGTTCTGCTGGAATCTTAGTCCAACCTGGTAGCCCATCCAGTATTGCTTTGCCTTAAGGAAGTGAACAACCAGCTAATTGTTTTCAAATTAACTGCTGCTTGAATAAGGACACCCAGAGGAATAGTTCAGACTGGAGACTGCAAAATTCTTCCAACCAGTGAAGCCCCATCATTAACACAACAGCTGATGGCCTTTCTGCTGAAAAACTGACAGTAATCAGAAAGGTGCTTATTGGGGAGCAGAAGGGGCAGCTGTTGACTAGCAGCTGGTTCCCTAGTAAAGATGTGTCCTGTTCTTCCCAGTGGTACCAGAATCAGCAGATGCTGCCTTCTGGACAGCTCAGCACCAGGTTGGTTTCCCAGCTCTCAGAATGACCACAGAAGCAGCCTTCCAAGTAGCATGTACTCATGGTGCAGCTCTCATGGATGGGACCCCTCTAAGTCCTCTTGTGATTTCCCTCAGTGGGACACTGGGCCTAGATTTGCTTAAACTTCTTAAGACAGGAGATAGTGTGAGTGTGGGAGAATAGCAGTTGTAGTAAGTAGTACACACCCTATCAGCTATGATCTCCTAACCAACAAATCTTCGTATATCTTTTTTCTCATCATTATTGAGGTTTTTTTTGTACTTACAACCACAAAATGAATTTTTTAAAAATTTAAAACTTCTGTTAGAGACAAGATCTCACTGTGTCACCCAGTCTGAAGGGCAGTGGCATGATCATAGCTCACTGCAACCTCGAATGCCTGGGCTCAAATGATCCTCCTGCCTCAGCCTCCTGAGTAGCTGGAACTATGGGTATGCACCACACAAAATGAATCTCCTGTTTTCAGCTCAACTACTTATACGGTTGGAACCTGGCTGGTGAGGTGGAAGTGGGGTGCTATTTCTAGGCCAGAATGAGGCTCCTGAACCAGCAAGACACTAGGTTCCATTTAGACCAGGAAGATAAGTCAGAGCCACCCTGCTTCTCATTTCTGCCTTTCTTGCCTCTCCCAGGCAGGAGCTCCTCCCTTAGGCACTCATCCCTGTTCCTGTGAGGAGGTTTCTGCTAAAAGAACCATCCTCCCAGTGCCCCTTTCCTGAAATTGTGTCTTGTCCCTGGGTCTTCTGAAACCCCTTTTCTATAAGAAACAGGCTTCCTGATAGCCTCAGACCGCTTTATGGAAACCCCTACCACCTTCTGGCCATACATGAAATCTGCTGCTTCTAGAGAAGATATTTCTTTCTGTACAGTTTTGACTCCCCAAATGGTCTTGGACTTGGACATGGTATCAGAATTCTCCTGACTCTCTATTTTTCTCCCATCTGAAGTAAAAACTTTCCTACCTTAAGATATGCAGTCCAGCCACTGTCTTTCCTGCGTGTTGGGGTGGGACTCTAATGTCCTGACCTACCACTGATCTGCACTGTGAACTCTCTCCTGCTTCGCACTGCACTGTGTGCCTGCACTGGCTTGCCCAGGCTTTTCCTACTGATTGAAGCATGTGTCCTTTTCTTTTTCACTTATTCAAATTCTATGTAGCTCAGGTCTTTTACCCTCTCCCCTAGTCCCTTCCCTGGTAATCCCTGCCAATAGAGGTTTCTTTATAAAAGTTTACTGTAGCCCTTCTTTGGCACGTAGCCATATATGGCACTTGTGACAATCAGCTTTTATATAATTTACATCTTCTAATGTTAGCTAACATTTTAAGTATTGGGTGACTTATGTACCCACTTAGATGGTCAGACTTTTTTTTTTTTTTTGAGAATAGAACCTTCTGGGAACTTTCTTTGATATAATTATCATCAAGCCCAAGCATGATACTCAAGTGTCTAATAGATAATTGTGGAATGAAAGAAATAATTAATCATGAATGAATGTTTCAAGATGTTGAGAAGCCCTGCTTTCTTTTGTTGCTGATTTGCCAGTTATGACCTATCTAAATAAATTTCCTGATGTGACCTCTTAGTTCTCAGCTTCAACTTACTACGAAGTTTGAGAGATCTACAGTAGAGTAATTTGAGCTTATAAGAAAAAAACCTATTTTTAATTAAACAGTATGACTGCAAAGCAAAAGCTGTGGTGGAGTCAAAATAGTGTCAGTATTCACTATCATCTCTGTAAGTGAGGAAATACGTATCCTTAAGGGAAAGCCTAATGTTCTATAATATGAATCTCTGCAAAATGTTTCTTTTGTCTTTTACTACATATTAGAAAAGAGAAATAATTAGTTCTAGAGTTAAAAAAAAAAAAACTGGGCAAGTTAGCCTAGTAACTTCTTTTAGTTGCTTGCTTGTTTTCCTGGAAGCATCAAAGAGAATGGGAGCGATTAAAGATTTAGAAAAAATACAATTATTTACGTCCCATGTTACAGTGAGAGCTCACCATGGGATGCTTTTTGCTATACATTGAACATTCATTGGTATCGAAGTTCTTTTCATTTTAGGAAGCCATCCCCAAAAGACAGCAATTTAAGTAAGGGGAGATTTGAGAAGATTGAGAACTGTTAAATGTGGGAGGAGGTAAGTTATAATGGCCAAACCTTCCTCTACTTTGATTTCTCTGCTCTGTGCTATCTCTAAAAAGCAGTATGTCATCCCTAGCTGCAGTGGGCAGATTCATACATATTTACAACTTGCGAATTATGAATGTGCAACCCAGAGAGTAGCAGTGTTCTTTGTCTTTCTGCTTTTCTCCCTTCACTAATGATTCTAAACTCTTAGCACATCCAGGATTTGGAGACTAGTTTTGTAGCTTGCCATTTCCATTGTACATGAATTGGGTCTTTGTAATTTAAATGGAATTTTATTTTCCAATTTGGAAGCTTCCATGTAGGTAGACTGAGGTTTTCTCCATCCTCTGTCGGGGCTTTGATGTGATGATTTATTAAGGTACTAGGAGAGATATTGATCCTGCTAATAGCTTCTGCCTTGCCACATAATGTTTTACATTTTACTCAGCTCAAAGACCATATTCCCCTTTTCCTCATCTGATTGACCGTAAATGCTTTGGCCTTTCCTCAGCAATTATCTCACTTACCAAAGCAGTGGCTAAAAGTCAAGTATTTATAGACTAATTAGTGAAGTCAACATGTCTAAATAGAGTACTTCACATAATACCAAGAAGTATCGTACAGTACTGTGAAATTAGCAAAGTTTGCTACAAGGCAAAAAAGCAAGGGTTGAGAACACAGATGGTTGAGGACACATATACGGCTGATGCTAGTTGTCTTTGTGTGATTGTTAAGACACAGCTAAGGTGATGTTTTCTGATAGCACTTTTCCTCTGTAGCTTCTCCTTAATCCTAACATCTTTTTACTCATGAAAGCTTTGGGATATTAGCGGGTTTGCAAGTTGTTCCCAATTTTTTTTATAATTTACTATTTTGGGATACCAATAGAAAGGAAGATATCATTTGACACTTGAGCTCTTAGATAGACAGGATAAGAATGCAAGAATCACTTTGTTATTTTTAAAGCTACTTTGTATTTTTAGAATGTCTTTAAAGTATTCTCATCCAAGATATAATTAGTTCAGTTTTGAAAATAAGAAAACATTGCTTAAGAGTTTAAGAGAATATTGGGCTAGGGGTCAAAAAACCTGGTTAGGGCCAGGCACCGTGGCTCACACTTTTAATCCCAGCACTTTGAGAGGCTGAAGCAGATGGATTGCTTGAGCCCAGGAGTTTGAGACCAGACTCCTGAGCAACATGGTGAAACTCCGTCTCTACAAACAATACAAAAATTAGCTGAGTGTGGTGGTGTGCACCTGTGGTCCCAGCTACTCAGAAGGCAGAGGTGGGAGGATCGCTTGTGCCCAGGAGGTCAAGGCTGCAGTGAACCAAGATGGTGCCACTGCACTCTAGCCTGGGTGACAGAGTGAGACCCTGTCTCAAAAATAAAAACAAAACCTGATTGGAGTCCTAGCTTTGAAACCAGTTACTGCATGTTTTTGTACTGGCTACACAAGTCTTCTGGGTACCACTTTTCTCATTTTGGAACTGGAGATACAAAACAATTACAAAAATCAAAGGAGATAATGAATGCCCAAGTACTTTGTAAATTGTATAGCACTATACAGATCTAACTATGTTTTTAAATCACTTGCATTTACATAAAGGGCAGCAAAGGATTCCTTTCAAGGTAACTGTAGGCAGAAATAGGATTTTAGCCCAGACTGCTGTTAAGTGCCTAATGTGGCTCCCTATTTTTGCCATAGTCTTTCCTTCTGATTCAATGTGTACATGGATTCTCATGTATACCTGCCTTTCGCATTCCATATGATTCGGGAGGGATGGAAAATCTCTTTGGAATCTCCAAAGATTATGGAATTTTTTTGGAAGTAACAAGGAATGTCTCCTTATCTAGGATCCACCTGTAATTATTTATGTTTTCCCCAAGTAGCATTAGTGCACTTAGAAAGATACTTTGTGATTTCTCAGCCAGGCGCAGTGGCTCATGCCTGTAATCCCAGCACTTTGGGAGACCAAGGTGTGTGGATCACTTGAACTCAGGTGTTCGAGACCAGCCTGACTAACATGGCAAAATCCCGTCTCTACTAAAAATACAAAAATTAGCTGGGCGTGGTGACAACACACCTGTAACCCCAGCTGCTCGGGAGGCTGAAGCAGGAGAATCGCTTGAACCTGGGAGGCAGAGGCTGCAGTAAGCGGAGATCGCGCAGCTGCACTCCAGCCTGGGCAACAAAAGTGAAACTCCCTCTTTAAAGAGAAAGAAAGAAAGAAAGATACTTTATTCTCACAATA
Organism: Homo sapiens; assembly: GCF_000001405.40. NCBI lineage: Eukaryota > Metazoa > Chordata > Mammalia > Primates > Hominidae > Homo > Homo sapiens. The sequence continues at coordinate 43,553,722 of NC_000013.11, read as the reverse complement.
CTCTAGGACTAGAATGGAGAACAACAACAGTCAGTTCTCCAACATATCAGCCTTAAGTAAACATCACTGTGTGCCTGATTTATATCATGCTTTTTGTTTGTTCATTATCCTGCACTTCCTTTAATCCCTCTACTTGTCATTATCTGCAGGAACTAACAATTTGCAAAACCAGAAACCAAAGCAAAAGTGAATCGTACAAATGACATCAAAAAGGGATAAGGCAGATATATTTAAGTGAGCCAGTTTTAAAGAAGCGGTGAGTACTTTGACACCAGTAAAACAGGAACTTTTTCTTTGGGCCTTCGTTGTCAGAGCAACCAAGTGTCAAGCCCAGTCTGTCTTATGGGATAGCATTTTTTTTCTCGTTTGTTTTGTTTTGAGAAGTAAAGTAGCAAAATGGTGATGGTCCTACATTCACTATTAACTTTAGTTATTATTTATTGACTGCTCAATGCAAGATTTCCCAATTCAGCACATATGAATTGGTGTTATGACAATAGCTACCTAAACCTACATTAAATAATAGTATTCATGTTGAATTTTGCTGCTGTATTTCGTTTTTGTGTGCCATTCCCAACTTCTGGTGCCTCCTAACACCTGTCTTTAGGTACCGGTGGTGTCTCTAGGTTGCCTCTGACTGCTCAGATTTCCCAACCCCCATCTCCACTCCCCATATTTCCCCATACAGAATATCCCAGGTTCCAAAATTACCTCCTCTTCCTCTTCAATATTATTACAAACTCCCATTTTTTATCATGACTACTTCTATTAGGAAGGAGCAATATCCTTAAATTAATTGGTAATAAGATATCTGTGACCAGTGAAGCTCCTCCCTAATTCTCCTAGGGCTGTATTTTCACTTTAACAGAAAATGATATGCTATTTGCTTGGATAAGCAATCATTTGTTCATTCATTAGCTCAACAAATAACTGATTGCCTAGTCTTACCTTCATGTATTAAGACAGGCAGAGGACTACAAGGTTAGGTAGTTCTTTTTGGGTAGTCAGTCCTGGACCTCAGTTAATGACCCAGGCAAAACCATTCATGTCAGGCTTATTTTGGTCCTACTGTGTATACCCAGGAGTGCCTACCATGTAGGCAGCAGCAATTTCAGAACAAATGAGAGGGGGAAGAACAGTTGCAGAGAGGAGAGGAGAAGCAAGCTGGGACATGGAGATGCAGAGAAATAAAAAGGGAGGAGAATGTATAGCCAGAAGAGCTAAATTATTTAACCAGCAAGGTTTCTTCTGACCCTAAGATTCTGTGTAAATGAGAAAGAAGAAGGGAGGGAATAAGCTAAGGAATGAAAGGGGAATGAGGAGGGTTCTAGGAATATACTAAAAGGCTGCATTGTTTTCTTTTTTTTTTTTTTTTTAGTTAAGAGCCTCTAGGTTAATAAATATCTTATGAAGTACTGTTTATCTCCTAGAGCAGAGGTGAGCCCTTTTCTATGGCTTCTAGGAATTTCAAAAATCAATTGATGGGTGGCCTCCCTGGCATGCTCCTTTCATGACATCAGAGAATGTCTCCCACAATGAAGTTGAAACTGTCAATGAATACTTCGGTGTTTTATTTTCAAGCATTTTTTTTCTTAAGTCAGGGCTCTCAAAGAGGGTTGGTAAGAGATCAGAAACCTCTCAGAGTGACAGGGCGAAAGGTCCCTGCTTCTTCCTGGAGAGGTTGGAGATGACTCAGACATCAGGGTATCAGGTAGAGACCAGGTCAGGCCAGCAGGACATTAAAATACAGAGAAGCTGAGAACGAAACCCAGCTCCTCATAAAACCAGTGTTTTCTAAACTAAAGAAGCAAATGGAAAAAAATTAAGGCCTGCGTAAAGATTATTTAAATCATTTCATTAAGCTTACCACATACCCTTTAAGTCAAAATAACCTCATCTTGTCTGAGGTGGTGTGTGGACACAATTGTGCTGGGCCCATCCTCTCCTGCACTGGCTGAGTGTGCTGTAGAAGAGGAAAGGTGTAAGGAACAGCTAGAACAGCTTTGTGGGCAATTTTGCCATCATGATCGGGTGAAATTTAAATTGATATTAAGATACCAAATGTTCTTTTGCTTTTCAGTCATCGTATTATCAAATGTAATAATCAGTTGTTGCAGCTTATGAAGCCCATGACTATCAGATTTGACTAAATTATAATGTACCTTTTAAGATAAAAGTTTTTGGTGTATAAAAATGTTTTTATCTTAAAAGATAAAAAATGGGTCAGTAGTTTCCTGAAGCAGAAATATTCTGCATAATTTTCATTTTTTTCTCTCTTTATTATTATTTTTTCTTCCAACAACTTTTGAGTCAACAGCACCTCAAAAAGATAATACATCGTGATCAAATTGGTTTCATCCCAGGGATGCAGGGATCATTTAACATATACAAGTCAATAGATGTGATACATCACATAAATAGAATTAAAAAGAAAGGCCACATAATTTTTAGAAAATAAATTATCCCCTGAACTTGATCTAATTGCTCCATTTTGAAGCCTCACCATGGACAAATGTAAACTATGTTCTGTGTTAGGTATGCTATACTTGGAAAAGTATTTGAGAAAGCATATCTTGAAACAGCATCTGTAATTTTTATTTTATTTTAAAAATCCCAGTGAAGTTAAGTTTAGGATTGTGTATCTTTTTAAGAGTTATGCAAAATTACTTAAAAAAAATACTTGTCTCTTGGATATGATAATATTTGAAAGATGTTACTGGGAAAAAGCACAATGACACCAGGGTTTTGCTCTCTAAATATGGGTTACTTATGGTCTAAACTCTTAAACAGTTAAGAAGCAGCATGTTTTGTAATACGAACTCCTTTCCTTAATAACGTAAACTGCTGATCTAAATTGCTATCGTAATGTCACAAAAGGCTCATTGGCTAGAGATGATTGATTCTTTAACTCAATACAAAGTACAACTTCTTTGCTATGTCCACATACCCTGAAGATAAGTCTTAGAAACTTTGTAAGGAGGAGAGTTTTTGTAGTTTTTGAGCACATTATCATGGGAAAATTACTTAACCCCTTTGAGGCACTGTTTTCTCACCTATAAATTGGGCCAGTAATAATTTAACCCTCTCAGAGTTTTTGTGATAGCTGAGGCACTGAGCAGTGCAGTCACATCTTATCTCAAGCAAGGATTGGATATACCTTATCTGCAGTCAAGTAGAAGATGAGAAAGATGTGTAGGCAAAACTATTCTTGACATGTGCCTAATTTCTCATAAAGAACAGCAAATGTGGTTCTCTCCCTACTTATACCATCTCTTGGGAAGTCCTCACAGCCCATTGTCCCTCCAGTATGACACCCAACTGCTGATGGACACTGGAGGAAGACACCGTGTTGAATGAGCAATAGCATATTGTGGGGCTCCAACTGTGTGTAGGATACCCAGCACCATGCCTCACACAGCTCATATTAGTTTACCTTCCCTTTATTAATATTAGTTCACCTTTTCCTGCACCCTAGAGCAGGGGTCCCCAACACCCAGGTCATAAACCAATACCAGTTTGTGGCCTGTTAGGAACAAGGCTGCACAGCAGGAGGTGAGAGGCAGGCGAGTGAGCATTATCACCTGAGCTCCACCTCCTATCAGATCACCGAAGGCATTAGATTCTCATAGAAGCGAGAGCCCTATTGTGAAGTGTGCTTGTGAGGGATCTAGGTTGCACACTCCTTATGAGATTCTGATGCCTTATGATCTGAGGTAGAACAGTTTCATCCCAAAACCATCCCCCTGCTGCCATCTGTGGAAAAATTGTCATCCACAAAACTGGTCCCTGGTGCCAAAAAGATTGGCAGCCGCTGTCTTAGAGCCTTGATACTAGTGTCTCCTGAACCAGTGGGACCTGAATGTGGAATTCAGTACAGCTTTTAAGGCCTTGATCACAGGAGTTCAACTTGAAGTGGATAATTCTGAAACCAGACATGTTGGAACTGGGTTCTTTTAGGATCTACCTCATTTTCATTGGACACTGAGGAGGAGCCATAAGAGCATTAGGCTCAGAGCATATATACATTTGCAAGATACAGAGGAGTATCCTCTAGAATCTACTGATGCAGTTAGTATATTTTAAGTAATGGTAAATTTCAGCAATGTTAAAAATAACATCATCTGAAAAGTCATGCATTTTTGTGCCGTAACTATTTTTACATGAGGTATTGATCATAGTAGAATACAAAACTTCCATTCTTGTGAAGTCAGAAGATGAACTGAAAATATAAATGAAGTTAGAGATGAATTAGTTATTTTACTCGTTTTTTTGTTGAATAGAGGGACTTGTGCTTCCTAATGAGTTATTTTAAAGTACTTTTAGCAGTTGTTATTTTGCTATTCTTGTCTGAGTTTGAATTCTATTGACTAGGTAAAAATGCATTTCTCAGTTGCTGAGTTTTCAGATTTCTGTTTACAAGATAGAGACATTAAAGGTGGGAGTTTTGCTAGAGACTGTTTCATTGATATTTCAGAATAAATTCAATGTGACTGATATTACAGTGGACTGATTGATACACTCTGAGAGAGAAGAACTGTCTCTGTCAACAACAACAGTCTAATTCCATAAATTTTTACTATTTTGTGCCAAAGACTTTCCTACATGGCAAGGATAAAATGTCTTTTGGGAAATTATGCTTAAGACAAACATATGGACAGAAAGTTTCAAAAAGTATAATAAATTCAGTGTTAGAGGGAAACAGAGTTTGTGGGAGGATCAGAAAGGGCTTTACACCAAAAGGAGAGACTCTAGGAAGAGGGTTTTTTTTGGTTGTTTTTTTTAAATTAACCATTTTCAAGTAAACAATTCCATGGAATTTGGGAAGCGCTTTTGCAGAAGGTAATATCTGAACCCAGTTTTGATAGGCTTTTGATTGAAAGAGGAGGAAACAGGTAAGTGGAGGGAGAGACATGGACATTCCATTAGTGATATCTGTCAGCCTGTATTCCTTTCCTGCCAGCCGCACCTTGGGTCGTCCCGTCTTAGCTTATGGAATCCAAGTGGTACATCTGTAGGAATAGGCCACCAGGGCTGGCCATTCAGACCACAGGAATAGCAGACCACAGGGATGGCATGTGGACCCAGCCAGATTAAGGAGACCCAATCCTGAGACATTTGTTGAACTCCCAGAAGAAGTTTCGTTGTGTTTTATAAAACTGAGGTTGCTGCATGATGTAACGTAAATCTGGAAGTCCTGATAGTCATTTTGCCTCCAGTTAAAGATAACCTACTTAAAAATGAAGCCAATGCAGAGGGCAGCAGAATTAAGAGATGGAGAAAGGTCCTCATAGTCTAAGCACCTAGTTCTACCCATACCTGAATGCTTTATCCCTTGAACTTTCCATTAAGTGTGCCAGTACATCCCTGTTTTTACTTCAGCCACATTGAATTTGGTTTCTATTGTGTGGAACTAGAATACTTCTAAGAAAGGTTTCTTTGGAGGGTCAGGGAGAGGGATGTTAGTTGTTTTGCTTTTATGAAATTTTGTTATTTTTGACTTAAAAAGAAACTGTGGCAGTTTCCAAATAACTATGCCTTCTGAAATAGAAACTCCTTTTCTTTTTCTAATGTGTTCAAATAATCAGGAATTTAAGCTTAGTTCTAAAACTATTATTTTAGAGCAGAATTTTATATCACTAACACTCAAAAGAAGAGCCTTTGGCCAAATTCTAGTCATAGAAAGTCATTGTTTTTCTGTGAAAGGTTTATTGTGTTTGCATATACTCTCTAGCCACTCTCTTGGGGAGGACTTGGGTTTCTGGACAGGAATGCCCACAGCAGTGGGGACATCAAACCTGTAAACTAAGTTAGGGCTTGCATCTGTCTTTCCTGATTGCACTGGGGGTCAGAGCTGTCTCCCTTTTGGGGTTCACAGTGCTATATCCCTAGTACCAGAGAGTCCCACTTTCTAGAAGAGCCTCTCAAGAGGTCATGTCTTTTTTAGCCTCAATATTGGGTTTGTAGGCCATCTGAAGATTTGTGGATATATTTAGGCAGAACACGGTTTTATAATATCTGGTCACTATTGTTAACTCAGACTACTCATTTCAAATAGTAAAGTTTCCTGTGCTGTTTGCTGACAAACTACTGAAAATGAAAGTATTCCTTTAGACCTACAACAATAAAACAAACCAAAATTGCCCCTTTATATGTTTTATCTGGTGAGTATGTAGAAAGTTCACTTTCAGATCTTTCTCTTTGATGTCTTTATCAGTTACCTTTTTCTATCAAAGATAACTTTTATCTTCACACATTGTTAATGAATGTTTGTAGAAGTTTGCTTCTCTTATACATGTATCTTGTCATTTATCTGGAAGTACATATTAAGTTAGTGCATTCTTCCACAGGGCTCTCTGTTTGAAACTATTTTATTTCCATACTTTTATCTCTGGCTTGTTTTTATTTAAGGAAACCAAAGCAGATACAGACTTAAGAATGTGAATGTTTCAAAAATTGTGATTGTAGTTGATTATGTTGGAGAAACCTTTCTTCATGGAAACAAAATTCAGAGTTTGCTCAAGAGCCATCTTCCCCAGTTGGTCTGTGAACCTGGGGTGGAACTCTCAGAGATATTAACTGTGATCCAGTTCAGAGGCAAGAGGATGGGCCAGGCCTGACTCTCCTGTGATTTTATGGTTGGCTGGGCCGGCTTAACAAACAATTAGCTTGCATGTATTGTTGAAACAATAATCCTCGATTGGCCCAGAGGGAGGTATTGGCAACTCAAATGGGAAGAAAAGCAGTTTAGTCCTGCCTGCGTTATCCATGTCTGAGATACTTTGCAGAAGGCACTCACTTCCAGAGAATCCAATCTGACAATGAACAGGACTTGGCAAGTCAATCTCAGTGATGTTGTGAGAAGGATAATTTAGATTAAATTGTACTGTTTTGACTATTTTCTGGTTCTGTTTCTTTTTGTTCAAGTCATTGGGATGCATGAGAATGGTTAAGTGAGATGTATGGTGATAGGTGAGAGATCTTACATATTTTAATGATTGGTTTATTTATAAATAATTTGTCATCAAAATTCTGTTTTGATAGTCACAAATAATGAAAAAGCAGAAGCTGGGGGTGTGAGGAGCATATCTCTGCTGTCAAAATCTGCAGAGCTCTGGAAGATATGGATCCTTCAGATGTGGTAAGCAGGGCTCCGACAGTGAGGCGGCAAAGGAGATTTATTTGATTGCAGTCTCAGTGTTTCCCTTTACAGTTAGAGTGACATAGGAACTCCTCCCACCATCCCCAGGCTCCTGTGGGGTCTGGCCCTACTGCTCTGCCCTGTGACCTCTTCTCATGCACGTGCCTGTAGTTGACCAGGCTCCAGGCACACAGCCAAACTGTCCTCCACATCACTGCATGGCATTTGCTCCTGCTGCCTGGGATGCTCTTGATAGGGCTTGGCAGCTCTTTCTCTTCCTTTACTTTTTGGTTTAATGCCAACTCATCTGAGAGGCCTTCCCTAAATCTGCTGAAATCTGCCCCCTCCACAGCCATTCAGTCTCTATCCATGTTTAACCATCTTCATAGCACTTATCACTCTTTGAAAATTTGTTTTAGCTTGTCTGTTTTGTCTCTTCCTACTAGAACACCTGTCTATGAGGGCAGGGACCTTATTCAGCACCGTATTCCTAGCACTTAAATATTATCTGGCACAATATAGAGATTCAATTAACACTGAACGTTTTATCTTTCAAGACTTGTTCGAGTGCTGATTCATTATTTTATGTTTGAAACATAAACAAATAGTTCTATTGCCTCCTGCCATTACAGAGAAAATGCCAACCTATCGAAATGGCACCCCCTCCAACATCCTCCCCTGCACCTATCAGAGGTCTGTGTAGCTCAGATAAGGTGGATCACTTTATTGAATAAAAGAGGAGAGAGGATAGTAGATGCCAACAACTAGACATATACTATTTGCTTGGAGGAGACATCTTCTTCTGAAACATCTTTCTGACATAAATAGCAATCTACTTCCCCCTGGGGAACATGCACACTGTTACACAATGTGGACATTAAGTTTCCAAAATCAACAAGTCCCTGGAAGTTTCTTGCTATTTCTCAGTCCATGACCTTTGGCTTTGCTTTAATGAATTGTGTGTTCCTGCTGCTTGGCAGAAAACAGGGAGAGAGGCAGGATCCTGGGAAGCTCCACACTCCCCACCGACCCCTCACGGTGACTGGGGCCCACAGACCAGGCCTCTGATGGAGGCCATTCCCAGGAGCCCGGTCCATCCCTCCCCATCCTAACACTGCCTCCACCCCGGGGTCTCTTATGCATGTATGAGAGAGGAAACAAAGAATCTTTACAAAAAGATGATTTTTGTGAGGTAGTTTAAGAGTAGACAGCAAATGCCACCCTAGGGTCAGCTGGAAAGGCTAGTTGCATAACAATTGCATTTTCTTTATCACTTTGAAGATGGTAGGATGGGAAAACTCAGTAACTTCGTACACCTCGGGGTCCTTTAGAGAAGACTGTCAGTTTACTGAAACATGACTGGCCTGTTTTATTTAGAGGCGCAGACACATTGTTTTAATGATATCTGAAATTCCTTTGAGATAGCAGAGATACCATTGAAGGTTGTGCCCCTACCTCCCTTGGACGCAGCTGTGTGGTCAGGAGAGCATGTGCTGCCAGTGAGGCCAATTGGGGCTAAGAATTTCGAGGATAAAACAATGGATGGAGTTTAGGGATATGTGTTGTTTATGTATAAATGGGAGCAGAAGAAAGGAAGTTTTTGAAAGAAAATAAGTACGGACCTCTGTGTTCAATATAGTTTGTCAGGCTGGTTTCAGAGCAAAACCACTGTTCTCTCTTATCAACTCGTTCTTTCCTTTTAAAGATAAGCAAAAATATCACTCCCTCTTCAGCCTAAATGTTCTGCTTGTCTTGACCAGCAGATGCTTTCAATTATTGGCTTCTTCCCAGAGCAGAGAGATGCGCTAAACCTCTGCCAGGTAAGGTGACGCTTACTGGATGAAGCTTGACTTTTGTTCTCTTTGTAGTTGGATCATTTGGGAGATAGGCGGTTCTCTTGTGATTATGCTCCCAGCCTAAAATTAATGAGCTAATTTGGGCATAAAACTTGATTTCTATAATTATTTTGGCAATAAGTGTACTCTATCAGGAAAACACAACAGCACCGCCCCTTAATTCAATTCTGTCAACTTTTATCAAGCATCAACTGTGTGTCGGGCCATGTTTTGGCCCTTGGTGGGGTGAGAGGAGATTAAATGGGCTCTTCAAGGCAGTAGACAACAAGAGGCCTGCTTATATATGAGGTTACTAAGAAATAGTTGTGTGCTTGGGTTCTCATTTTATTATAATTCAAAATATCATTTAGTGAGTGCCTAACTTTGGTCAGGCACTTAACATGAATCATCTCCACTCCTTACAACAATCTAGATAAGGAGATAATATTAGCTTTAATTTACAGCCCAAGAAACTGGCACTCAGAGAGAATGAATAACTTTCCAAGTTTATACAGCAAGAAAGTGATTCTGATTCACTGTGTACTTTTTTTTCTGGTAGACAGTAGCTTAGGCTGGGCGCGATGGCTCATGCCTGTAATCCCAACACTTTGGGAGGCCAATGCAGGCAGATCACTTGAGGTCAGTTTGAGACTAGCCTGGCCAACATTAGCCAGGTGTGGTGACTCATGCCTGTAATCCCAGCTACTTAGGAGGCTGAGGCAGGAGAATTGCTTGAACCCTGGAGGCGGAGGTTGCCATGAGCCAAGATCGTGCTGCTGCACTCCAGCCTGGGAGACAGAGTGAGACTACATATCCAAAAAAAAAAAAAAAAAAAAGAAAAAGAAAAAAGACAATAATGTAGATGGGAATGTATTTTTAAATAAAGCCACATCACATGCCAGTTTTAAAAACCATCTACAAAAGAGATAAAAGAGAAAGATGATTTTCATAATCTTTAAAAGCTCAGTGATCTAGTATGGCTTGAGATTTGAAAACTATTTAACAGGAAATCAATGCATGGCATGAAATGAGAACAATAAGACAGGATTTCTGAAAAGTCAGAAGCAAGGGTTTTTTTTTCTTTGCATCATTATGGGTAACAGAAATAAAGAAAAAACTTACTATTTTGTTCTAAAGGCATAAAACACAAGTAAAAAATGAACATCAGGTCTTTAACATAACAGTCCTGTACTGTGGGAAGCAGGGGCAGGGAACCTTAAATACTCTAGTTCAGTGACTCATTTTTTACTACAAACCGTAATATGAAAAGCATTTTATATGATAAATCAACACACAAAAATTTACATATACCCACACAATAACACTCATCTATATGTGAAACAAAATATTTCATGAAATGTTACCTCTATTACATACAGTATATTCCGATAGCTTCTGTTCTAGCTTACCAAAACAATTTATGTTTCTGATCCATTCACTAATAGCTCAAAACATGATGTTTGGAAAACAGGGCTCTATCTGATCCCCCAATTTTTCCCCTCCTCTCTTTATTCCTTCCTCTTTTTACCACTCAACCCCAGGAGAAGCATCACTATAACAAACAGTAGAAGAAAGAACAACCTTCACCTTCCTTCACACCCTTCCCCATTCCATGTCCCCATGTGTAACATACATACTCCCCTCCTCTCAGCCCTCATGCATACTCGTTCTTACAGACTGAAAGTTTGTCCCCTGCAAATTCATAAGTTGATATCTTCACCCCTAAGATGATGGTATTAGGTGGTAGGGCCTTTGGGAGGTGATTGGGTCACGTAGCCGGAGCCCTCATCAAGGAGACAAGTACCTTTATAAAAGAGGCCCTAGAGAGCTCCCTTCCACCATGTGAGAACTCAGCAAGGAGACAGCCGTCTATGAACCAGGAAGCGAGCCCTCACTAGGAATTGAATCTTGGACTTCCCAGCCTCTGGAACTGTGAGAAATTGATTTCTGTTGTTTATAAGCCACCCAGTGTACAGTATTGTATTACAGCAGTCTGAATGAATGATGACACTTATGGCTGGCACCGTGGCTCACGCCTGTAATCCCATCACTTTGGGAGGCTGAGGCAGGCAGATTGCCTGAGCTCAATAGTTTGAGACTACCCTGGGCAACACGGTGAAACCCCATCTCTACTAAAATACAAAAAATTAGGCAGGTGTGGTGGCAGGTGCCTGTAATCCCAGCTACTCCGGAGGCTGAGGCCTGAGAATTGCTTGAGCCTGGGAGGCAGAGGTTGCAGTGAGCCAAGATCGTGGCACTGCACTCCAGCCTGGGCGACAGAGTGAGACTGTCTCATTAGAAAAAAAAAAAAAAAAAAAGGCCGGGCACAGTGGCTTAAGCCTATAATCCCAGCACTTTGGGAGTCTGAGGTGGGTGGATCACAAGGTCAGGAGATGGAGAACATCCTGGCTAACACGGTGAAACCCTGTCTCTACAAAAAATTAGCCGGGGCTGTGGTGGCACGTGCCTGTAGCCCCAGCTTCTTGGGAGGCTGAGGCCTGAGAATAGCTTGAACCTGAGAGACAGAGGTTGCAGTGAGCCGAGATCACGCCACTGCACTCCAGCCAGAACGACAGAGCAAGATTTCATCTCGGAAAAAAAGAAAAAAAAGAAGAAGACACTTATGCTTTAAATTCCAGGGACCTCTGGCATCTCTACTGTTTGTTTTTGCAGTTGAGGGAAGTGTATCATTTGTTATTGACGTTCTGCAGATTGATTGCTGAGGGGATTTTCTGGAACCCCCGACAGTGAGTGAAGCTTTTCTAGTGTTCAGAAACCGTTCTCTTTTTTTCGGAGGGATTCTTTTGACATAACTTTTATAACTAGAAAAAGAAGAAAAATGTTCAGTTACTCAACAGTCTTATGATTCCATTAGAAACTTTATCTTTTTATTTTGGAGAGAGCTCAGAACTTGAAAACCTAAATGGAATGCAGGCCCAATAATGATTTGACATTATTATTTCAATTACAAACATGATGGTTGTATAATAGAAATGCTTCTTTTGAAAGCAGCGGTACTCGAGTATTGTGTTAGGGAAGAAACAAATTGTGTTTTGCAAGGACTGCCTATTTCAATTTATTTTCTTGTGAAAATGCAATACGATGAAACTTTCATGTTTTAATTTTTTTAGAGACAGTGTCAACCTGGTCTGAACCTCTGAGGTTCATTGTGCCTTTTGTGAAAAGAATAATATAGTATGTGGTGCACTGTTCAGTTTTATTGGAAATCGTTTTTGTTTCTTATTTTTTAGAAACAGCTCTCGCACTTTTGCCCAGGCTGGAGTACAGTGGTGCAGTCATAGCTCACTGCAGCCTCGAATTGCTGGCCCTAAGTGATCTTCCCACCTTAGTCTTCTGAGTAGCTGGGACTACAGGTGCATGTCACCATGCCTGGCTAGTTTTTAAATTGTTTTTGTAGAGATGAGGTCTCACTGTCTTGCCCAGGCTGGCCTCAAACTCCTGACCTCAACCAATCCCCCTGCCCTGGCCTCCCAAAATGCTAGGATTACAGGTGTGAGCCACAGCATCTGGTCCCTGAAATCATTTTTAGCAAAAAAAAAAAAAAAAAAAAAAAAACAGAGGGAAGAAGTGTAAGGTTGGAGAGTGTGGAACTATGAGAGGTTTTCATAAGCTTGTGATATTTGTAAATATTAAAGAACAGAAATAAGACAACAGTGATATGCAGTAGATTTGATAAATGGTCTATAAGTATTAGACTTTATTTACTGTAGATATAAATTTACTGCAAACACCTCTCATCAGCCTGTTGATTGATTTAGAATTACCAACATCATCCTTGACATCACCCTGTCTCTTATTCCCCACATGAGATTCTTATGTGCTGTTGATTCCACCCTCAGAGGCATCTCAAAGCTATCTGCTTCTGTTTCTCAAGTTAAAGGCACCACCTTTTTTGAGGGGGGGTCCTTTAGAAGACTGAATGGTTACCTTGTCCACTCCCCTACATTCTTGCCTCCTCTAATTAGTTTTGGCCACAGCTGACTGAATAAACAATTGAAAATGTAAACCTGACCATGATATTGCACTACATACTGGGAAGTGCATTTCTAACAAAGTCAACAACCCCACAAAGCTCTGCAGGACCTAGCTCATAGCCATCTCACCAGTCTCACCACTTCTCACCACACTGGCATCTTTACCATTCCTTAAACTCACCAAGCCCTTGCCTCCTGAGAGCCTTCCAACATACTTTTCTATGCCAAAGGTCATGAGCCCTCTTTCTTTTAAAAGGGTCATCTTGGGAGTCTTATCATGCTGCCAATACTTGTTTTTAGTTTTTTTTCTTTTTTTCAACTTGTCTGAAACTGCATTCGAGAGCCTGCATCAGAGATCTTTGGAAAATCTTTAATAGAAGCATATTTAGTAACACGAAGTTGGCTTTAGGACATTGTGATTTTCAAAGCACTTGTACAAATCTCATATAAATGTGTTTAATCCTCATAATACATGTTTGAAGTTGATGCTGAATAGTGTTAGGGAAAAAAACAAATTATGTTTTTCTGAACCAGATCTGATACTTGGTTCAGAATAGCTGAGTAGATGCTAAGATGGTAGACTTAAACTCGAATATGTTTGTAATTGTATTCATTGTCAATAGATGTAATGTTTCAATTAAAGGACAAGACTGTAAGACTGGATAAGGTCCAACTTAATGCTACATTCAAGAGATATATCTAAAATATGAGTGTGTAAAAAGGTTGAAAGTCAAAATATACAAGAATGGATAAGTTGTAAATACTAATGCTCTCCACCTAGCAAAGGGTGATGGTAGCTACACTAACACTAATAAGACCTTAAATAAAAAAAAATTACTAGATACAAAGAGGATATTTTACAAGTGTGAAAGCTTTAATACACCTGGAAGTTAAAATAATCTCAAAGTTTTAGTTAATAATATAAACTATTTAGATCAAAGATTGACAGAACTAAGAGGAGAAACAGGAAAATTCAGAGAGTAAGACATTGCAATATATCTCTTTCAGGAATTGAGAGTACACACAAAACATTAGTAAGCATTTAGAAAGTTTAAATAATATGACAAACTTTATGGGCACATAAAGATATTGAATACACAAGTGCAGAAAATCATTTTTTTCTAGTATACATAGAACATATAAAAAAACTTGTGAGCCAAAAAGCAAATCTAAAATTATTTCAAAGGATTGAAAACTTATAAATAATTAAAAGTTGATCATAATTTATTTAAGCTACAAGACAGTAACAATAATCCTGAAAACAACAGCAAAATCTTGAATATTTCTATGTTTAAAAATTAGGAAACATAGTTCTGTATAAATACTGGGTTAAAGGAGAAATCACAGTGGAAATTAGAAAATATTTTGACCTGAATGATATTGAAATGTCGACATATCAAAATATATAAAATGCAACTAATGCCATCTTTGAGGAAAATGTATAGCCTTAAGTGCATATGTTCAAAGGAAGACTAAAAATTAAACAACATTCATCTCAAAAACTTAGAAAAAGGGAAAATAAACTAAAGCAAAGTAGGAAGAAGGAAAGTAACGAGGAGAGCAGAAAATAATGAAAATTTAGAAACAAAAACAAGAAATAAATGTACAGCAGAAATCATCATCAAAGCCAAGAGCCAGGTGTTGTGGTTCATGCCTGTAATCCCAGTGACTATGGAGGCCGAGGCAGGAAGATCACTTGAGGCCAGGAGTTCAAGACCACCCTGGGCATCATAGCGAGACCACCATCCTTGAAAAATGAAAAAATTAGCTGGGCATGATGACATACACCTATAGTCCCAGCTGCTTGAGAGTCTGATGTGAGAGGATTGCTTGAGCCCAGGAGTTTGAGGCTGCAGTGAGCTGTGATCACACCACTGCACTCCAGTGTGAATGAGAGTGAGACCCCGTCTCCAAAAGGGCAGGGGCGGGGAGGAAAGGCAAATGTTTTCTTGAGAAGTCTATTAACATTTTCAACCTCAAACAAGGAAAAAGAAGAGACTAAAACTATAGCCAGGTGGTAAGAATGAAAAAAGAGGAGGACATCATTATAGTTCCTTGCAGACATTAGAAATATAATAAGAGGATATTAACAACTTTATGTCAAATAAGTACAAAATCCTGATGAAAACATTAGCAAGTAATATATTAAATAGTTAATACATGAGCAAATTGGAATTAAACCAGGGGCACAAGATTGACTCAATGTAATTTTTCATACTAATTTTATAAAGAAGAAAAAGCACATGATTACCTCATTATATGATGATAAAGTATTTATTAAAATTCAACATTAATTCATACAGTAATTTTTAGTATAAAAGCAATGAAAGGAAGTTTTCCTAATCTGAATGTTATTTAACCCACCCCAAAGTCTACAATAATTTATATATGTGTACCCCAAGTCTACAATCTAAAATGTGTCACGTTAGGGTCATTCTAGCCTTATTCAGACCTGTGACATACCATTCCACATTTAGTTTCTCATCTTCTCTATGGTTTTTTAAAAAATGATGAAATAAAAGAGAAATGAAGGAAATATTTTATGGGAGGATTAAATATATCATGATGTTAAGTTAGGCATTACCTGAGAGAGTGGCTATATCAGCGTGCACACACCTGGCAGGAGGGCTAGGCTCAGAGGCAGCCTGATCAGATGGGTTGAACCCTGGTACAGGCTGAGGGAGATCAGCTAGCGCTAAGAGCACTGTGACAGTCATAGATCTGGAGAGGCTGGGTCCTTAGCCCAGGAAAGGCCAGTTCACTGAGAGGCAGGACTATTGTGTGGTTGCAGGACAGAGGCTAAGTACCCTGTAGGATGTCTTCTGCCTCCAGGTATGTTTGAGGAGTGTTCCTCCCGGGTAGAAGGCTGGGCAGATGCAGGGGGTGCCCCATACAACCCTGAGACTCCAGGGAAATCAGATAGTGCTTTTTCTACTCCTTAGTTCCAATCAGTAATAAGCTAGGTAATGTTCTCTGTCTGTGGTATATCGTGAGAAAATAGAGGAGACATTGATTTTCAGCAGTTTCCTCCACCTGGTTCAGTACTTTTGGATAGTGTGTCTCACATCACAAGATCTTTTATAATTTCACTTGAGAGCTTATTAATTTTCAGTGAAATATTTTGATATAGTTGTCTTACTTCACAGAAACAATGCAGAGAACTACATAGAAAATAAAGTAGCTATTATCGCAGTCATCATTACTTCTGCAAGTTTCCTGTATTTCCCAAGCCACTTCATCCTGGGGATAAAAACAAATCACAGTAACAGTTACAAAACAGCATTTCTTTGGCTTCAGCTTGCTCACTCAGATTCCTCCCAAATAGCTCTGGAGACTCCAGTGAGTGTCTCACATACATTCTGTGAATGAGGCCTCTTATTTACCACTAATCACCAGCAAGTTATTCCCCTTCTACCCTGGGAAGGTTTCCAGTTGCTGTGCCTTCACTTGTCATTGGTAGCTGGGAGTTGTGACTTCAACTGATAACCCGTCCATGGTGACAGAGCCCCATATCTAGTGGCAGTTATGTGTAGCTCAGTAATGAGTATTATCTCCCATCAGTGGATGAGTGCCAACGTCATGCCTTTCTAGTGCCCCACTGAGATTTCAGATAAACCATTCTGAATTATTAGCTCTGCATTTATTGCAGTTTCTCTGCCCAGGATTCATGAGTGCCCACTGAACCAGTCTCTCAGTATTCAAAGACTTTACCTATGTGTGGTTTTTTCACCATTACTTCATTTTTCTGACATCATTGTGTCTTGTCCTAGAAGCAGATTGTTTCCTTGGCACTCCATTTTCTTCCATTCCATCTGAGGAAGCTCCTTGGTTTTTTATGTAAATTGGTCTAAAGATAATCCACCTTATATCCTCCATATGTATCTGATACATTTGATAGAGACAGATACAAATAGAGCATCCATTTAGATACAGGACAAATATACCACTAGGACTGCCCCAGCATAAGGGTGAACAGCTGGGCACTTTTTACATTAGATCTTACAAATATTTCTTTCTGAGCATATAAGGTTGTGAGTGACCAAAATGATAGAGCAGATGTTATGGAAGGTGGTGATGTATTTTGAAGGAAGAAGGCTGTCATGCAGACACTTCTGTGCCTCCTTTATCATTCTGGTTTGGAATGTATATTTTTCTTAAAGAAGCATTTATAGAGTTGAGAAACCATGGAGTTTTTTTTTTTAAGTGAAACTCCCTGCTTCCTAAATAGTCCAAAAAGTAATTATCTTGTGTCCTTTTATGGTTTGAAGCCTCTCAGCAAAGTATGGGATTTTTGTATTACATGCAAGTAAATCAGCAATAAATTTCTCCAAAGCAAATATTGTAAACTTTTCTATGAAACAGGACTAAAATTCTAAAATGCAAGGCTAGTTACCTGCTTCATTCAAAAACATGAATGCAAACAAATTTTATGAAAAAATTATGGAAAGCAATCGGCTAGAGAGTGATTATAGAGGTTAATCTCTGTACTAATTGGCTTGTTTGGGACATACCACCAAACCAGATTCACCAATCATTTCTAGTTTAAGTAAATGATGCAGCATTATAGCAATTAAAACATGATTCATTTTTCCACAGTGTTTTTACATTAACTTAAAAATAATCATTTGGGTTTAATCCAAATCAACAAAAAAAGATGGCATTTAATAGGGCTTTTACCTTCCAAGTAATTTTTCCTGCCGCTGAATGTGTAGAACGGTGCAAGACAGAACCTCATTTCTGAACTGCACAGCTTAAAGGATATTCTCCTAAGGCATATACTTCCCTTATGACCCCTATTTATTTATGCTACAGGCCATTATTCTAGTGAATGTGACGCTGCAGTCATTCTTACAGTTACAAATTATAATGTGTATGTGCAAATTAAAACTTTCCTGCACAGAACAAGGAGTGGAACTGTATCAGGTGATATAAGAAGGATAAGTAAAAGTCACTTGATACAATAAGGAAAATAAATTATGAATAATATTTTAGCAGGGATTTTTTTTTCCTTGAAAGATGCTTAGTTCTTCTAAATTAAGAGTTTCTACCTGACAAATCCCAAAAATACCATGGGGAGCAAGTAGCCTGATGATATGTGCTGACCGTGTGCTGCTCATGGGCTGAAACTTTTAACACCTGAATCGTGAACTTGGTGAAGATTTCTGAGGTCCTTTCTGAGGTCCACGAGAAGTCATTCACTAGCTTGCTATTTTCTCTTTTTGTGAGAGTAACTCTTTGCTACAAAGTGCCTGAAGTACTACAGTGTATTGAGTTAACGATGGGGGGAGAGGTACTGGAAGGCAGGGTATAAGAAGACCCAAGAGGGCCAAGCATTGCTTCCTGGGATGCTAGAGGCAAATGAAAAGATGGATCTTGCTACATAGTCAGATAGGTCTTCTCATATGTTTTTGCTCAGCTAGGTGTTTCTGTGAGTTCTTTAGTGATAGGTTCTAAGTCTTTATTCTTTCTTGTATTTTCAGAATATAAGAAAATGTGTTTGTATTTCTAAACATAGTGTCAGGCACCTAGTAGTTATTAAGTCTTTCATGATAATGATGATGATAATGATAGCAGCAGCAGCTAACCTCTACTCACTAAGCACTTTATATGTACTCTGTAGTGTAATCTCTATGACAATTGTGTGGAGGAGTTATTTTCCCTATTCATAGATCAGGTGTGGAGTGTTTAAGCTCCTTGCTAAAGGTCACACAACTAGTAGATGTTAGAGCCAGGCTCAGATCTCTGATAATGAAAACTGTACATGAATGCAAATAATTGAATGAACTATCAAGTAATGTAAGCAATATTTTCATTTAAATCCATGGATCCAGAAGCATGCATTTGACATCAGACTGGGACAGGATTTCTTAACCTGTTGTCATTTTGGGCTAAATAATACCTTGTTTTGGGGTCTGTCCTGAGCATTGTGGGTATTTAGCAGCACCCCTAACTTCTGCTTACTAGTTGCTAGTGGCAACACCCCCCAGCCCCATTGTGATAGCCAAAAATGTCTCCAGAAATTGCCACATGTCTCCTGGAGAGCAAAATTGTTGCCAGTTGACAAATACTGGACTGAAGAGACCACCTTAGGCATCTGCGCTTTAGGAGCACCCATTCCTACTGTGGTCATCTTGGAATATTGTAATTTGCAAAGAGACTAAAAGCATCATTTTCCACAATCCCTAGAAGACCTAGCCTAGGTACACCTACCGTCTTCAGTCTGTGATAGCATTATTGTCTTTACCCTCTAGGAGTTAAGGGATGGGGTAGCGAACAGTTGTTTTTTTTCCTTTTTTCATAGGAGTGAGAGAAGGTAAAATATTATCCCTGGAAACTGATCAGACTCTGTACCTGGTGTGGAAATCACTGAACTATTCTGGGAGAGGAAAGGGGTAGACATCAGGGCTGTGGACGAGGAGTGTGGTGGTTGGAAATTTTAACTCAGCAGTTGCCAGCAACACTGAGCCTGTTCTTCAGAACACAAGCCTGTAGCCCAGGTGCAGTTATCCTAGGCCCAGAGGAGCCTGGTTAAGGACCCAAGTGGGTTGCTACTTACTCCACTATGTTTTCTTGAGAAATTATTTCTTGAGGATCTAAAGTGTGTTTGTGGTTGGACTCATACAACGGAAAGGGTATGTTGGATTAAGGAGGCTGTGGCTTGGTTTACAACAGTAAAAGCCAGTGCAAATTTTTGGAGGACAAATTCAACTTTTGCACTTGAAAATCACTAATAAAGATTCCCACACTCATTTTACACTAAATTACGGAATAAACAGCATCAATGTTCACAGTTTGAGAACCTTACATGGCTGTACTGTCATTTAGTTCTACTCTCTTTAGCATTCTGGCAAGGATATCCTGGCCTACTAAAAAATGGGTGCTCAAACGCCTCCATAACAATGAAAATTCCTCAGTACTTCAGAATACATTTTAGGGAATATAGTCTGCTTCAGAGTTACTTAGGTAGGTCTCCCAGAGACCATTCGAGTTTAATGAGGCTAACTCTGTATATATTTAATTTGTTAAGTAATATAAGGCATGAGAGAATGGCATTTTATAGAATTTGTATGCTTTCAAACTCTGGGCAGATGTTTTTTAATTTCTAAACTAATTTTAAAAATTAATTAGTGTAAGTAATCTGATTTAAGAAGTCTAGAGTTAGAAAACGTATAAACTGGGCCATGTCATTAAGGGCCGTGTGCATCACCAGTGATGGACTCAGAGGTAGTGAGGACAGGAAGGTAGTTGGGTGACAAAACTCATGTACCCAGGACTCTACCTGATAGAATGCCAATCAGAAATGGAAAAAATATATCAGAGACTTCATGAGAGCTAAAGGAAAATACTCGATTTATTGAAATAAATTGTATTCCAACTTCTTTCAGTGTTTTTCTGTGGAAATCCTAGAAAAATGACACAAAATATTGAGAAGGGAGAAAAAAACTCAGCAGGAGAATGAATGTAGGCACCCATAGCTGAGGGGGCTTTATCTAGTCCTAGATCCTCTTCTTCAATCAGCCCTCCTCCTGGGGGAAGATATGATGACCATGAACTGTGGCTCCAAAATCAGGTCATTACTCACCGGGTGCACATTTCTCACCAGGCCCTTTAGGATTTACGTAGTAGTCCTCGTTTTCAAGAAATGTATGTATATTCCAGGGCTAAATAAATTAAGGCATGTCCATGAAAAAGATCACTGTGCTTTCTGTAAAAGTGCTGTTATAAACTGCACGTCTCAGACTTTTTCTCAGTACTTCTTAATACTCGTAAAAATTATTTGGGGCTTCAAAAAGCTTTTGTTCATGTGGTTATATCCATCAATACTGTATTAGAAATGAAAATAGAAAATTTTAATATATATATTTAATATATTTGTATATATATTTACACATTTAAAAATAAAACACATTGTTTAACATAAGATACTCTTTAAAAATATATTTTTGAAAACAAAACATATAACAAGAAGGTTAGTATCCTTTCACATTTTTGCAGATCTTTTTAGTGTCTTACTCTGGCTTGATGGAAGACATTTGGATCCTCGTAGCTGCATTACTATTCAACCTGTTACGATGCTTCAGTGAGGAAAATGGAGAAAATCCAGCCTCAGAAATATAAGTAGTTGTAAATAGAGGAGTGTTTTAATAATTTCTTCAGATAACTTTGGATATTGTTCTTTGATACTACATCAACAATCAAAATCTGCCTTGTTTCTTTTGAATCTTATAGCAGTTTTACCAACCATTGCTTTTGCCCCATCGGTGCAAATGTCAACACAGTAAAAAAGGCAAAAAACATTTTAGTATTATGAAAATAGACTTAGCCTCCCAGACCATAAAAAAGGATCTATCAGGGACATCTAGGGTTCTGTGGACCATACTTTGAGAACCACTGTCATAGAAGAACATTTTAAAATGTAAAAAAAGTCCACAGTGCATTGTTAAGTGACAAAGGAACAGAATTGTTATTAACATTATAGTTTAAGAGTTACAGATTTTAAATTAAAAATATGAATAATAAAGAGAAAAACTGGAAAAGTATATACCAAAATGTTAAACTGGATAGAAAATAATACCATTTTATTTTCTTCTTTTTCTTTATTTTAACAGAGCTATTTATTCAGTCTTTAACATGTTAAAAATTAAAACTTTTTTAACTTTCTTTTTTTAAATTTTATTTTATTATACTTTAAGTTTTAGGGTACATGTGCACAACGTGCAGGTTTGCTACATATGTATACATGTGCAATGTTGGTGTGCTGCACCCATTAACTCGTCATTTAGCATTAGGTATATCTCCTAATGCTATCCCTCCCCCCTCCCCTCACCCCACAACAGGCCCCAGTGTGTGATGTTCCCCTTCTTGTGTCTGTGTGTTCTCATTGTTCAATTCCCACCTATGAGTGAGAACATGCGGTGTTGGGTTTTTTGTCCTTGCGATAGTTTGCTGAGAATGATGGTTTCCAGCTTCATCCATGTCCCTACAAAGGACATGAACTCATCATTTTTTATGGCTGCATAGTATTCCATGGTGTATATGTGCCACATTTTCTTAATCCAGTCTATCGTTGTTGGACATTTGGGTTGGTTCCAAGTCTTTGCTATTGTGAATAGTGCCACAATAAACATATGTGTGCATGTGTCTTTATAGCAGCATGATTTATAATCCTTTGGGTATATACCCAGTAATGGGATGGCTGGGTCAAATGGTATTTCTAGTTCTAGATCCCTGAGGAATTGCCACACTGACTTCCACAATGGTTGAACTAGTTTACAGTCCCACCAACAGTGTAAAAGTGTTCCTATTTCTCCACATGCTCTCCAGCACCTGTTGTTTCCTGACTTTTTAATGATCACCATTCTAACTGGTGTGAGATGGTGTCTCATTGTGGTTTTGATTTGCATTTCTCTGATGGCCAGTGATGATGAGCATTTTTTCATGTGTTTTTGGCTGCATAAATGTCTTCTTTTGAGAAGTGTCTATTCATATCCTTCACCCACTTTTCAATGGGGTTGTTTGTTTTTTTCTTGTAAATTTGTTTGAGTTCATTGTAGATTAAAACTTTTTAAATTAAAAATTTAAGGAAAGTATAAAACCTCCTACAGTACTGTTACCCTAATAATACTATTTTTACTTCTTGTAAAAAAAAAGTATTATTTACTTCTTGTAAAAAAAAGTATTATATTATTTTAGTTTTTTTGTATTATATTTTGCATAATGTCTTTTATAGAGTAGGACAATTTGTTTTCCCACTTATTATTTTATAAGGACTTCCCCAGATTGTTTATGGCCAAAAAGCTTTCATTCTAATTATATATAAATTACTAACACTCCTATTACTGATACAGATTTTGGTTATATTGAGATTAACTGGCTAATCTAAATGGTACCCAATGATATAATTTAATGTAATTTTTTTCTTAAAAGGGTGTAACAGTAATTTTTCATTAACTGGGTTTAAATAAATGTAATCACATTAATACTCTAACAATTTTAGATCCTTAATTATGCTAATTTGATTTTAATGATTTGGCAAATTCCTGTTCTTGAAGATTTAAAAGTAGCCAGAGGTACTTTCAATTTAGACACAGTTTTGTTTTATACAATTGTTGCTATAACTATATTGTTGCTATAATCTGTTAACTTTTGATCATTCTCAACCTGGTTTATTCTACACACAGCATGGGACTAGTGGGTAAAGGTAACTATTTTCAAATCCTGGGGTTGCATAATATCTGCACATGAGATAGTTCTGCTTGTTGGCATTCTGCTAAACCATTTTCTAAGCCATATAATTTTCATTTCTTAGTACCACTTGCATGATGAGCTAGCTCTATGTGAAGAAATTTAACACAGGTAGACTCTGCAGATCACCCCCAGGTGGGTTCCTATCAGAGATGACAAGTAGGAAATAATTGGATGGAAGCACCTTTCCTTTGTACAGCTCTGATTCTTTTGGAAAAATTCTACTCCTTCTATCAGGAAATAAATCCTGTAAATACATTGTCTGCTCTGATCATATACTTTAGTTCTTAACAATATCAATGTCAAACTTGCTATCTCCATTGAATAAGACCATTTATGAAAGTTGATAGGTATTGTTTGAAATACTATGAACATTGGATGCTTTGTTTAGTTGCTTCCCCTTCTCTCCAAGGTAACCTTCACTCACAGGCAACATAAAATATTAGATGAGTATTGAAACAGCATATGTACACAGGAGAGTCATCTGACTTTAGTCACTGATTCAGAAGGATCTTGAGTCAGAGGCATTCTTGGCATTTAAACTCAGACTACCTGGATTGGACAGGTTAGTGTGACAGCTGCATTCATAGTTTGTTGTTTTAATAGCTGTGCAAACAATTTTTAGTTATTGGCTTATATAATTGGGGCCTAGAGACAGTTGGCCTAGGAGTAAACTTGGCACTTCTGCTTCTAATAGTATCATTTAGGAAAGTTACTTAGCTTCTGTCGATGTCTTCATCTGTAAAATGGGAATACAGTAGTGCCCCCTTAACCAAGGGGATGTGTTCTGAGACTCCCAGTGGATGCCTAAAGCCACGGACAGTACCAAACCCAATTGCTGTCAATTGGAACTCATTTCTGTACATGTCGTCCACACACAAATTTAATGCCTTTTGTATCTTAAGTAAGCACTTATCACACACTGAGGCCATAACTTTTGCAGTTTGAAGAGATGTGACAGCAAAACTAGCACAAATTTCTTTTTCCTTCTTTATAATTTGACAAACAGATTCTTAGCATAGATCTTAGCAACCTCAGCATATGATTTTTCTTTCCATATTAAGAACTTTCACTTTTTCACTTAAAGGAAGCACTGTCTAGTTTCTCTTTGGCATCTCCAAATTGCCAGCATCACTACCTTGTGCTTTGGGCCCATTAGTAAGTCAAATAAGGGTTACTTTAACAGTAGCACTGAGATACAAGGACAGTTGATTTAGCAACTGAGAGGGCTACTAAGTGACTAACTGGGAATGAGTGCCTACAGCAAGGATCCTCTGGACGAAAGGAGGATTCACATATTGGGTGGAACGGTGCAAGATTTCATCATGCTACTCAGAACAGCATGCAATAATACTTTCAGACTGTGGTTGACTGTGGGTAACTAAAGCGCAAAAAAGTGAAACTAAGGATGGAGGGGCTACTGTAACACGGTTTCTATGAGGATTAAATGACCTAATACATGTAAAATATTTAAAACAAGCAGAAACGTTTAACGTATATTAGCTTCTGTTATCATTATTAATATTATTACTTGAGAAATTGAAGCAGTCCTCTCAAAATACAAGGCAATTATCAAATAAATAAGATAATTTCTCTAAATCGAAGACAGATTTGTGCCTTCAGATTAAGTGGGTCAATCACTTTCCCAGCATGATGAAAGACAAATAACCTATATATTAAAAAATCTACCTAAGAAAGAAAGAGGATTCTGTTAGTGGACTTCTTTTTGGCCGCCCTGGATTCTGTAATACAGTGAAGCACAAGACTTTAAAATTCTCGTGGAAAACTTTTTGAACCTAGGATTCTCAAACATAAAGGCAAAATACTTTTAGAGGTACAAAACCTTCTATGAAAGAATAACTTACAGCTCTACTGCAGCAAAATGAAAAATAAATATTCAAAGGCAAGATAAGAGATACAATTTTTTAAATGGACAATAAAATACTCATAATTTTGAAATTTTATATTAAGATAACTTTTTATTCAATAGATCAATAACATTCAGTGTTAATAAATATAGGCAATAGGTATTCTCATCTATGTGCTTTTGGTGAGATTATAATAATGTAGTGAAGGCTTTTTGGAAGATAGTTGGGCAGCATATATTACTATTTAAAAAGTGCATTCCTTTTGATCCAACAATTCTAGTTCTTAGTTTCTGTGGTAAGACAACAGTCCTATGTATACAAAGGGTATATGCTGGGGGCACGTTGTACATAGGGTAGGACTGGAGGACTAAGGCAAAGAAACATATTCTCTGTTGGCTTCTGTACCCTTTATATTACTTAAGTAATTATTTTAAGTGCCCAAGAAGTTGAAAGTAAGGTGGGTCTAGAAGTCTGTCATAGGTTTCATCAACAAAATTAAGCCTTGTCTACTTTTAAAGGAAACACACTCATATGATCAACAGAAAAGACTGAATTGAGTCTTTTCTACATACAAGTGAATGAAAACATTCAATTTTGAACTGAAATCAAGCTTAGAAAATTTTAACCCCAAAGGAAACTCTCTTGGAAAATTATGACAGAATGAAAATTGGATTATAATGGAAGTCTATCTACTCTATAATTTTATGGTTTTCCAAACAGTATATCATCTCACTTTGTATTGTGTTTACTTAATTAGATGTTTGAAATATGGAAAACAATATTTAGAAGAAAGCAGAAACATAGTCTTAATGAGACTGAAACAGCAGAAGCAGAAAAGATAAATTCAGGTGTCTTTATGTTTTAATCATACAAATAATAATTCTGGTATAGACATTGCACTGGCTCACTTTTATTCCTTTCCATCAGTCAAATTCTTTTCCACACACATTATATCAGATTTTTCTTCTTGTAAGATGCATCAGGCTAAATTCAATGACAGAATGAATGTTTCAGTGACGAAACCAAAAAGCATATTATTTTTAGATTTCTTCTCAGCTGAGCTGAAATTAGCTATGTAATGAACTCTATAAACTGTATACAAAGATTTAGAAATGTAGGCTCCAAAATCAATATATTTTTTAAAAAATCAAGTTCTCCTTTCCCTAAGTAGCATATTCTAGTATTTTTAGGGGAGAGAAAGTCTGTAACTTGGGTTGGGCAAGTTATGGGGAGAAATATGCAGTTAAGTGTAACATTGTATAGTGGTCATCAAGTGACCACAGCTGCCTATGTAGTTGTTGTGACATTGTGAATATGAAGCACACAGTATGAGGTTTGGCCCAGAACATCCACCAAATTCTAGCTAATGGTTTTTAAATTATTAATTTATTATTAAGTGTCTGATATTTGTGAGGGTCTGTGCTGGGCACCCTTATGCGTGGATCTTCGGGAGGAGGGAGCTGAGGTTGAGGGAGGTTCTGTCTTGCCGTGTGTCTTAGTTCATTAGTGTTGCTGTAACAAAATACCTGAAACTGGGTAATTTATGAAGAACATAAATTCATTTCTCACAGTTCTGGAGGTTGGGAATTTCAAGAACAAGGCTCTGGCAAGTTTGATGTCTGTAGGGCTGCACTCTGCTTCCAATAGAGTGCATTGTTTCTGCATCCTCCAGAGGGGAGGAATGCTGTGTCTTCACACGGCAGAAGGGCAAGAGGGCCGAATGCTGTGTAATGCCTGTTTCATATGGGCCGTAATCCCATTCATGAGGAACAAGCCCGTATGACCATGTCACCTCTTAATCCTATCACATTGGCCATTAAGTTTCAATACCTGAATTTTGGAGGGGGCACATTCAAACCACTGCATCATGCCATTTACTTCAAAATAAATAATGATTCCAAGTTAAGAAAAAAGTAAAGTAGGCTAGAGTATAACAATAGCTTTCCACTTTAGGACCTTGAACTGGTACCCCTCAACTGTGGTATCTTTCAGTTAGTGTGAGTGGGAAGGTAGAGAGAAATTATATAGTAGCATTAATTCATTTTAGAATATAAAAGAACATTGAACTCCAAAATGTTCTGCTAAACACTGCTTTTCTCTGTTTCTTTTCCTGGCCTTCTAGTTCAAAGAACATTAAAATTTTATTTTTTTTCAGTATTTTAGAAAGCTATGCCTTTTTATTATTACAGCATGAAAAGCTCATTTAGAAACGTTTTTGCTTTTACTGTTTTTCATCCTGGTTTTTCAAGGCCAGAATAAAGAATGAAAATAATGGGTACGAAACAAAGGCTTTTAAGTGGAAGATGTGGAGGTTTTAATTAAAGGATGATGAAAAAGTGACTAGTCCTCCAAATCTTTAATAAAGCTAGTTAATTCTCCACTAATGCTGTAGGAATTGTGCTGTAGTGAGCTGGGACATTTTACTCATAATCAGGCAACATTATGTGCTTTTAATTAACAGTTGTACTTCCATTTGTCTGCCACTATTGAAAGAAAAGTGATACCAAATAGTACACTATATTGTTGTATAATCTTCAAAAAACTTTAACCATCCAGCCTGCATAGAGCATTGTTTGTTAAGCATTGCATGGATCAAATCAACAGGCACCATCTCTGTTCTCTGTGAGTACACTGTCCAAAGTAGAAACCGTTATGGATAGATTAAGAGAACCAACCAACTTAAAAAATGAAGAATATAAATTATTTAGTAACCCCACTGGATGGGAGAAAATATTTGCAAATCATATATTTGATAAGGGGTTAATACCCAGAATATCTAAAAACCTCTACAACCCAACAACAACAAAAACCCAAGCAGCCTGATTAAAAAATGGGCAAAGGACTGGAAAAGACATTTCTCCAAAGAAGATATACAAATGGCTAATAAGCACAAGGAAAGATACTCAGCATCACTAATGACTAGGGAAATGCAAATCAAAACCACATGGAGATACCATTTCACACCTGTTAGGATGACTACTATCAAAAAAAACCAAATAAGTGTTGGTTAGGATGTACAGAAATTGGAACCCTTGTGCATTGTTAATAGGAATGCAAAATGATGCAGCTGCTGTGGGAAACGGTAGGACAGTTCCTCAAAAAAACAAAAATAGAATTGCCATATGATCCAGCAGTTCTACTTTTGGGAATATAGGCCAAAGAACCAACATGGATGAACCTTGAGAATATTATGTTAAGTGAAATAAGCCAGTCAAAAATTGAATTGAGTTGATGCAAGGTTTAAAGAGAATTATTCAAGTTTTGCATATAATGATTTGTAGTTTATAGGATTCCATTTATATGAAGTACCTAGAGTAGTCACATTCATAGAGACAGAAAGTAGAATGGTGGTTGCCAGGGGCTAGAGAAGGAAGAATGGGGAGTTATTGTCTCATGGATGTGGAGTTTCCATTTTGCAAGATGAAGAGAGTTCCGTGGATGGATGGTGATGATGCTTGCACAATGTGAATGCAATGACTGCTACTGCACGGTACATTTAAAAATGGTTAAGATGGTAAATTTTGTTAAGTGTGTTTTACCACAATTTAAAAAATTTAAAAATATACATTATTTAATATTAAATGTGAAGGAGTAGTTGATAAAATGAGGGATTTAAAGATGAGTTAGATTTTTGTTTAATTGAGTGATTGACTTATTGAAAACCTTCAGAGTGCCCTATATCATTCTAGACATCGGTGACACTGGGTCAGAAACAAAGTTACCACTCAGACTTCATGCTGCTCCACAACAAATGAGAGTGGAATCAGATAATAAATGTGTCAACTGATGCATATATAATTGAATTTCAGGTGGTGATGTTATGAAGAAAAATTAAGCAGGGTAAAGATAGAGTTGTAGAAGCACTCTTTGAAATAAGGTGCTTAGGGAAGACCTCTCTGAAGCAGTGATATTGAAGCAGAACCTCAATGAAAAGAGGGCTATATCCATGCAGACATCTTGGGGAAGAGCATTCCAGGCAGAGGAACAGGCATGTACAAAGGCCCAGAAACTGGAATGTGCTTGGTGTATTGGAGGACAGCAAGAAGGCTAGGGAGCTGGAGCAGAGTGAGCTGAGCAAGAAGAAAAGTAGAAGAAGATGGGAGCAGAGAGCAAGCCAGGGAGGCATGATGGTGGCCAGGGTGGAGGGCGTGAGGAGGGGCCTTGTTTCATACATGTGGGTAGGATGGGGATTTGAGAGAAGTAAACATGTCAAGAGTGACTATAAGGATTTGATCTCAACACCTTGGTGAGTGGTGGAATCTGTCATCTCCTGAGATAGGAGCCTGGAGAGGAACACGTGTGTGAGGTGTGGAGCAGGAGCTTGGACCCTGATGACTCAAAAAGACCCCTAGACCAGTGTGCTTTTTAATGAGAGGAGCTAAGAAATGTGAGTGTCTGGGGTTAATGAGTTGGAATTGTCTCTATGAAGACCATGGGGTGAGAACTTGTTTTCAGATGTCACTATCAAGACAATGAGTTGGCAAGAAGATATTAGATGGACTAAAGGGGTCTGAAGGCTAGGATGATGTGAAGAAGGTGGTTGGGTGGCCTTCCTGAAACTTGTACGATGGCTGTAGCCATGGAGGATGGAAAGGAAGCAACAGATTCCATGGGTCCGGTGAGGAAAGAAAGGGAGCAGATTACTTGGTGAGAACCTCTGTGTTAGGTGAAGAACAGTAATGGACTAAAAAATTAAGTGTGGTACCTTCTTATTGATCATGTTTGTGGTGTGCCATGCTGCTTAAGATGTCCTGCACGTGAATCACTTTTCAGGGAGAATCTGGTGATTGGGTGGCTACATTTTCTGTGTTGATTATATTAAAATACATAGCATTAGTTAATGGTTAGACCTACCTTCTCTGGAATCAGAACAATACCTCAGAGAGCAAGCAGGTCATTCTATTATCTTCTAGCATAGGGGGCCTCAGAGGCTACCAGGAGGATGGAGGGAATGAGATAGGGCATTGACGGGACAGAACTCTGGGCCACTTCTACTAGAGCAACTCTGCCTTTGTCAGAAGACATTGCTTTCTTAAAAGATTTATTTCCTTAAAAGATTTTCTTTGAAAATAGTTTAGCTGCTAATGGGGTGGTTAAAAAGTCATTGATCCCGTTCACAGTCCTTGTTCATCAGGTAAGAAAACTAATTTAAGAATAAATGGTTTGCCCTCCTCGCATCTTCTCTTTAGTCCTTATTCTTGTCTTCCTTTCCCTTATTCTCTGTTTTCTATTTTTATAGTTGCTGCAGTTTTCCAAAGGAATTTTATCTGCATAATCTTACCATCAGCCTCTGGTAATTAGAGCAGATGTTGTAAACTATCATTAAAAAATAACAACTCAGGCTTTGTGCCTTCTAAACTAAACCACTTAAAACCAACCCCATTTCTTGGAAACCTCATCTGGGTTAGGTTCAAGGAACTTGGGTTTTTAATATGCACCTCAGATTATTCTGATGCAAGTAGTCCTGAGCCCACCTTTTGAGAATAACAGAAGTAGATATCTTTGAAAGGAGCAACTCTTGCAGAGGATGGGAGTGAGGGACTGTGGTGTGTGTCAGGAATTACTATTGAACTTTATACATAAGAAACAAAACTTAGAAATTAAAATGAGTCATTCAAGATGCACTGCTACTGTGATGTGGTTGAAATCCAAATTCTATGTTCTTGCCACAAAACCACTGCTTCCCAAATGAAGGTCTACAGAACAGTGACTTTCCACATTGAGGATTTTTTCCTGTTATTCTTAGTGAAATGAGAAAAATGTGGAACCATGCTGTGTTTTATAAATAATTTCTATTTATTCCAAGATTCTCTCCTCCAAATGTTTTGAGTTTTAAAATATCCCTTCTTTTATGACATGATAGTAATTGTATGTAGTCATTCTTTATTTTTTTACAGTAGCATGAAATCCACAAATCTGGGTACCAGTGCACTAAAGCACAAGGGTCTGCATGAAAAGACAGCATGATGCAAAGAGGGGAACTGTGCCTGCCAGGCCCCCTCACCTGCTGTCCCAGGATCCTCGAAGGGCTTCTACAGGGCACTGTTTGGAAATCACTGATGTGGTAGAAGTGTGCCAGACAAGGCGTTGCGAGACCTTGGTTCCAATCTTATCTCCTTCATTAATTAGTTATGTGACTTTAGCAACTCACTTCATTTCTCTGGGCCTGTATTATCATCTAGGATTCTGTGTGCTTGAGGACAAATTTCTGTATTTTGAAATATGGGAATTATTAAAATGGATTAGGGGTTATTTTTCTTTATTATGAGTAATTCATCAGCTCCACTATATTTGTATAAAATGACTAATACAATTTTTTATTAAGCCCAGTACACAAAAAGCTCATTAAGCCAATACTAGCTTACCCAGAGTGGTATTTAATTCAAGGCAATTTCTGTTCCCTAGTAATCTAGATCTCTGTGGTTTAGTAGTAAAAATATTGAATTATCTGAATCTAGCTAATCCAAGACTCATTTTTTTCAGTCTCTCTACTTTTAAATAGAGTTTTTCCTCAGATTTCAAGAACTAGATGTGACTGAGAGGCACACTCCAATGAGCACCAGCCTCTGACATTAGAAAGTGAGCCCACCTTGATATCCACAATGCTGCTCCTATGATCTTGTCTACAAATAAATTGTTATACATGTAGGATTGATTCTATTCATGATTCTATACATGATTCTATACAGTTTCTGCAGTGTCTCTTAAGTACTTATATGCCATAGCAACTTTAAAACTCAAATTTTCATTTAGGGCCACTCTCCTGCCTTGTAGCATTTATTTTTTGTATACTCAAAAAAGCATGTACTGAGCCTACACCGTCCACTGAGCACTGAATGAAGCCTTGGAGACACCATTCAGACCAGACCTCAGGGAGCTCCCAGTCCAGTAGAAGAGTTAGGCTTACAAATAAATCATTATTAGAACATTTATATTTTCAGTAGGTCTTTGCACTCAAAGCCTTCTATTTACATTCACTCCAAGCAAGGACCTTCCAGGGCAAAGTATATTTTATATCTCTTACTTTTTAGGGGGAAGGACATGAGAGTGGTCTTATAGGGCTCAGTAACAAAATTACTTTGGCATCAAAGGACTTGACTTGTGTGCAGTCTGTCTAAGGTATAGGGGAGACTTTGCAGCCCTCCTTATGTGGGATTTGGACACAGTCCCCCTTGATGAGAGCGGGAATACCCAGCCCAGCTCAGTGGTTGTTAAGCAGCCTGACATGAGCCTCTGATATCAGTCTTTGGATAATACTGGCTGCTGCTCTCTAGGGGCCTATAGTACCCTGCACAATATGTGTCATCACATCGGGTTGTACCCAGATACATCTTATGGTGGCTATCTCATTGGTCTAAACTTGAACTCATCCTTTGGAGTTTATTGATTGGTGTTTTTAATAATATATTCATAAAATATAAAATTTAATTATTCTCTTACTATAGAAAAAAACCTGTTTCTAGACATGAGTCAGTTTACCTTATTCAGAAGGTCTGGACAAAAGTTAAGTTTACTTTTTCACACAGCTCCAAATAAGAGAGTAGGGTTGAGTATGCTGTTCTGGGTTTTGTTTGAAAAATAGTGATATGTCCTCATGCATTGCTATATTAAGGAAAAACCATTGTTTCCTGCATAGTGTACATATATTACCAAATTTCTACAAGTAATTACACTAAGAGCTTCCCTCATTCCCTCCCTGCTTCCCTTACTCCCTTCCCTTAGCTAAGTTGGAAGAATCATATTGTTTGGATATGGTGGGTGACCACCACTGATCTTAAATAGAGCCTGTTTCGACCCAGCCTTTCCACTGGGCCTGATCCCGGCCTCTTCTTGCTCACTGCTGGGGTTGCTGCAAAGCATTTTAGAGCCTAGACTTGCTTGCTGCCACTTTCCTGACCTTAAGTGCTTAAATTATGTCTTCTGTCTCAGTACCACTTTCTTTTCAAATCCTCACATGCCATCTCTACCTGACCAGTGGCCGCCCCCCGGCAAAGCCTCCCTAATCCTCTGTCTGCATGGTTCGTGTGATGGTGATTCAGTTCATGGGTCTATATCCTGTTCCCCATGTAGATAAAAAGATCTGTGAAAAGAAAGATGATATCATATCATTTTTGGGCCCCACCCAGCTAGCCTAGTTTCTTGCATATGGTATTTATTAGTGATACCGGAGAGTTTTTAAGAATTTAAATAAAACATTGTCATAAAATTGAAAAACAAACAAACATGCCTTTTACTTCAGGGAATTTATTAGTAAGATAATTAAAACATCAAGATACCGTGTGTGTGTGCAGATTGACTGTTGTACTTACCAAGGATAATGAAAACCAGGGATAATGAAGTACATTCCAGTAAAGTTTGTTGGGGAAGGGGCTCAAGGGCTTGCTTCTGATCCACTATGGAAGAGTTTGAGAATGGGTACTATCCAGGGTCATGATAATGAGAATCTAGATCAACAAGCTATGCAGTAATGAGGAAGTGCTGTTACATTTCTAAACTAGAGTGCACTTATTTATTCACTTATTTGATGAACATTTTTAAAAGCATTTACTATGAGCTAAGCACTTTGCTAGGTTCTGGGAACACTAAGATGAATGGGGCCCAGGCTCATTTAGGAAATGTATAGCCCAGTGAGGAGTCAGTTACGTTAGTAAATACTTAAAAAGCAAGGTAAAGCATTCAAGGAGGGAGATGTAATACATGTCACTGGGGACCTGGGAGGGACACTAAACCCACTGCAAGTCCAGACCAATTCTGCAGTCTAAATCAAGGGCATAGAGAGCAGAGGAAACTTGACGAGGGCTTTGAATATGAGTCTGGGACTGCCAAGAAGGTTGCTTATGGCACAAGACATTTCAGGCTTCACGGGGTAAGTCAGAGAGGATCGCAGGGGATTCAGAGTTCCTTGGACTTTCTTTGCTTGGTGCTGCCTTCTCTTGCTGACTAGCTACTTTGTCTACCTCAGGCCTACTCCTGGGGTCTGGGGTCTCCTGGTCTTTGGGTGGCCCAGTTTGTCTGGCTGCCAGACCAACATCCAGTATAAGCTTTCTGCCACGTGCTGTGGTGAGACAGATTAATTTACCACATCCTCAGAGCTAGCTAAGGGTGGATCCTTGGAGAGGTGTGAAAAGTCATTTTGGTTATTGAGACTAGCTCACACTGACATTCTCAATGGAATGGGAAGAAATGGTCAAAGCAGTCGCCAACCAGGCTATAGAGGTAGGTTGAAGTTTTGTTTTTAGGCTAAAGAATTTGTTTCTTATTAGTAGGCAAATACTTTTTTTAAGCAGGCATGTGATTAATGCAGTCCTGTAAGCCAATAGTTCAAAGCTGGCATATAAGGTTGATGGTGAGATTGGGAGAAACACAAGCATGTATTCCATAATGTTATTTAACTCAACCGAATTGAACCTGTTGCACTTGTCTGAGGAAGAACTAATATGTATCTCAGTTGGTCTGACAATACCTCTTAGGGAAACTTTAGCACAAAAATTCCAAACTAAATGGACTTGTATGGTTATTTGCCTACCTGGAACTAATGCTCAGGGTTGTTGTTGTTGTTCTCTATCCATGCTCTCTGGATCCCCAGGCTTTCACATACTGTAGAAAGGAAACAAGATTTGCTAAGGACTCTTGACATGGGTGGGGAGAGTTTTGTCATGTACTTCCTGGAATCACTCATTTTGATGCTGAATTTAATGAAAGAATGTTAAAAATAGAGGTTCCACTTGTTTTTACTTTCTGTAATTTACTTTTAAATTCTTCCATGTGGACACTGTGGAGTGTGTGTATTACACATGAATTATTCTATCTCTCAGAGATGGTAAACCAATATCTGAAGCACCTAATTGAGGATATTCAATTCAGAGTGTTTAGTATTTCAAAGATGCATGAGGTAGTTACCATAAACATTTCAATTATCAACATATCTGATCAACAAAGAAGACTTAGAAATGTATTTTTTTTTACAATGGTTAAATGGAGTTTAAGATTTGTGGATTCTGTACTATTGCATGAACAAAATTTGGGAATCTAGTGATACAAGTCTGGAAATCTGGTCACCTTTCTAATATCACTGTAGGTTTATAGCCTAGACCATTCTGCTTGCAGGATTGTTCTATAGTAACTAAAATAATGCTGAGTATTGCACTAGAACATCAACGCATCTGCCTCCCCTGAGCTCTTGATGCAAACTGCTGGGGGGCACTGAAAAGAACAGAGACAGTGAATTATCATGGAACTGATTACCTGTGCTGTGTCTGCTTGCTAATAGACATTTGAACGTATGACAAATTTGGTAGTAAGGTATGGGAGAGGAGACCCACGTATCTCACCTACCAGAAGGAACCTAATATTGATAATATTGATGATTACATTGGCTTAGATCTGTTCTCACAACACACTTCCTGAGAATGAACTGAATAAAAAGAAGCAAAAAATAGGAGTTTAAAAGAGAGAACAACATGTTAATATGGTTGATAAATTCTTCTTCATGAGGAATGCACTTCTTAGATTGGTTTTGTTTTGGGGATGCTGTTTCTTTGAACAAGCATCTATGTTTCCTGCCTAATTGTCCCATAGGATCCATGTTAAAAGGAAATAATAGTACATTCTTTGACTGTTGGGCAGAGCAGACATCTTAGTCTGTTCAGGCTGCTATAACAAAATACCATAAACCATGTGGCTTATGAACAACTGAATTTTCCACAGTTCAAGATCAAGGTGCCAGCAGATTTAATGTCTAGATAAGGCCAACTTTGTTGTTCATAGATGGCAGCTTCTAGTTGTGTCCTTGCATGGTGGAAGGAATGAGGGTTCTCTTTTGGGCTTCTTTCATAAGAGCACTAATCCCATTCTAGTGATGTAGTCACCTCCCAAAGGCCCGCACCACTGAATAACATCACCTTGGAGGTTAGGATTTCAACATATGAATTTTGGGGAGACACACACATTCAGACCATAGTAGCAGAGATAACTGGCCCATACTGGAGTTGATTAAACCTGTGACCATAGGCAGAGGGCACTCACTCCTGAACTTCTGGTCAAAGACATTGATTGGGATTTATTCCATGAGATATGGCTTTCACAGAACTCCATATTTCACATGAAACTTGTAGAGACCTACAAACTTAAGGGCATTTTTTATGAGACAGGGTTTCACTCTTGTTGCCCAGGCTGGAGTGCAATGGCGCGATCTGGGCTCATTGCAACCTCCAACTGCTAGGTTCAAGTGATTCTTCTGCCTCAGCTTCCCAAATAGCTGGGGTTACAGGCACCTACCACCACGCCCAGCTAATTTTTGTATTTTTAGTAGAGACCGGGTTTCACCATGTTGGCCAGGCTGGTCTTGAACTCCTGACCTCAAGGTGATCCACCCGCCTCGGCCTCCCAAAGTGCTGGGATTACAGGCTTCAGCCACCACACCCAGCCTAAGGACATTTTTCTTAAATGACCAGGCCAAAAGCTCCGTAAACATATATTCCACCATAAAATATAATTGTGAGGCACACTCTAGTCTGTATTCTGTAACACACATTGTTTATTTGTGTGGTAATCTGTGCCTTCCATCACTGGATTAGCATAATGGCTTTAGCCTGTTTTCATCTTAGGGTATTGTTTAGAAGGAAAAATTAATATGCTCTGTTTCTACTAATCACAAATTCCATTTTGTATTTCTTTGATATACATTCTTTGATGTGACAGAAAACTCAAAATCTTTTTCAAGGAAGAAAATGGCAGTGAATGTGTTTAACATGTACACAATCTCAAGAGCTTAGAAAACTACACAAAATGGGGAAGCTAATATTCTGTGTGTTTGGGGCTGCTTTGTTTGAGGAATTTAATTTACAACCCTGGTGGCTTTCTAGGCATGTAAGAAATTCTTCTTCCCCAACACTGTAGAACATTTTGCAACTATCCTGTTTGATTTACTACACCACTGAGAGAACAAGCTAGATAAAATACCAACTAGAGTTTTCCAGAAGCGGGAGCCAAAGAACCAAAGTACTGCAGCTTTGTTCTTCCCTGTTGCTCCCTATGTTCTTGTGCAAAAGAATTTTGTTTTTCCCAGATGGCTTTGATGGTCATTGCAGAGCAGGGAAACATGATCCTTCAGTAGACAGGAGAGCAGAGTTCTCAAAATCCTTGCTTCTGCCAGCTGGAGAGAAAAGGACTGAATTCACAAGCTGTTTCATGTCCCCATCTGCTTACATGTTGATAGCACTGAGGCAAACCTTCTCTAACGTGTACACTCCCTTTTGTGCAACAGGAGTGTCCTTGAAAAGCTGTGTCTAATTCACATTTTTAGATCCCGTAGAAGCTTTCCCACTGACTTACATCATGACTTCAAAGATGTTTTATCTGATACTGGATTGATCTCCAGTTGGCAGTGGCTTTACCTTTCAGTCCTTTAGGCTTTCTGTCAAGACATTAATGATATGTCAATGAACACAGGGATTCAGAAACTTTTGGTAAATTCTGTTATAAAGGGAATAACCATTCTTTACTGTATATTCCACCATTCACTTATTCCACAAGCATCTATGGAGTTCCCGCTGACTGCTAGATACTTAGGGCAGAAAATAAATAAGGCTCAATATCTACCCTTAGGAAGTTCTAGTTTCCTGTGGAAAATAGGCTTAGATTTGCAGGTATAGGTTAGTATAATTAGTGCCAGGAGGCTTGTGTGCACTAGGCCCTGGGAACAAAAATGAGGGACATCAGGCTCACTCTGGACATCCAGGAAGTGTCCAGGTTTTGTCAGATTAGGAGGGCATACATGGCATGTTAGCAGGGAGAACAGCTGTGAAGGCATTGGAGTATGGAGCAGGACATCCTGGAGGAACTCTGATCTGTTCCATGAAGCTCAGAGCAAAGATTTCCACGAGCAGTTGCTCTCCAGCACTTTTCAGTGACTGTGATTCTTTGTTTGAAGCTGTAGCACTAGCATAGTGTAGTGGTTGACAAATGGACTCTGGAGCCAGATGGCCCAGGATCACATCTTGTGTGTAATTTGAGGGAAGTCCCTTTAGCTTTTCTGTGCCTAAGTCTCCTTATCTATAACATGAGTATTGTAATACTATTATCTACCTTGTAAGGTTGTTGTGAGAATTTAATCAATTAACAAGACCTAGGATGTAGAAAATATTATATAAGTATTTGACTTGTTCCTAAGACAACCCAGGCAATTAATTTAAAGATCCCAGAAGCATTTCTGATGAAAAACGGATACTCCAAAGTTTAGGAATAGAAGAAAAGACTTAGCCTTTCTGTAACTCTACTATGAATGAAAATTACCTAGGGACCTCATTAAAATGCAGATTCTTGGCCCCACTCTCAGAGAATGTAATTCTTAGGTCTTGACTGCATCCAGGAACGTGCATTTTAAAAATCACCCACAGCGATTTTATGCAGATACAGTCTGAGAATTTTTGAGAGACATTGCCAAAGACTTTGCTGTTTTGGAGTACATGACACACAGGCACTCAGAAGTCCTGTGTTTTGGTCCCACCTCTGCCGTGTACTGGTTGCGTGACTTGAACAAATCAGTTAATGCTCTGAGCATCCATTTCTTTCTGTGGGGTTAATATTGTTGCATTCCCATGAAAATGAAACAAAATGTGTATCTGAAAGTTACTGATGAAGCTACCATAGCTAAGTAGTCTTGTTGAAACTGTGGGTGCCTCAACCTACAATCTGGCATATAGAAAGCCTCAATCCTGGTGACAAGGTTATTTTAGGAAGGGGGGGCTACAGTTGGAGCTGGACCTCTGGCAGCTAGCTGCTTTTCTCCATAGAAACCACCTGTCTCCTCTATGGCATCTTGACAGTCCAACTAATATTCCAATGCTCAGCAGACATAGGTGATGGGAGTTAATTTGTAGAATATTCATATAACAAGAGCTGTTGTAAAGGTATGACTTGTAAAGACACAAATATTCTACAAACTAATCCAAAATAGGACTGGCAGTAAGTTTTGCCATATCGCTTTAGACAACTGAGTATGGAAGAGTTAATTAGAAGAGGCTGGTTGGATTGGGTGAAGCCAAAATCTAGAACTTGGGTGGGGAGGAAACAGAGGAAGGCTGGCTGGGTGATGGGCTGGCCAAGCATCTTCATCATTCCCTTCCAGCTGTTTAAGATAATACTCCCAGCTCAACTGATGTGTTTGGCTACAAGTACAAGTTCATATGCCAAAGTCAAGAGAGAAGAAAGGGTGGACTTAGAAAAAATAAGGGAGAGGAAAGACATTTTATAATTTATTAAGACAAAAATACATTTGGTGCTAGATACAAACATTTAAATGACTCTTTCCTGAAATATAATTGCTTCTGGTTTAAGAATTTAGCAGCTACCCATAGGGACTTACTGTGATGGAGCCAAAGTATTTAGGACTAAAAACAAAAAACTCTCAATTACACATTAAAGATATGTAAAACTGGTTTGAATTGTATTTTATTCTACCTCAACTTTAATAGAATCCAACAAAAAGAAAAGAGCTGAAATAAAAAATTGCCTCTTTGTCTCAAGAAGTGAACATGAAGTAGATAGATATTATTGTTCTACTTAACCCACAAGAATAAAAGCTAATTATTACTGCTCCTGTAACTGCCTATTGACAGAAATAAATGCACATGCAAATATGTATATAAATGTACCTGAACATAAACAAACATTGCATTAATATATACATTTCACTGTTAAATATTGATGTTTTCTATGAAAACATTTATACAATAAATTAATGCAGAATCATAGTTTTGAGATCCTTATATTTCTTTGAAACCTATATTGTTTTTTAAACTATGTGATTAATAGCTAAGGGTTAACTTTTCCTGAAAGGTAAAGGAGTACTTATGATTTTTCTCCTTTTTTATTGATTTTAAATGTATTGCTTTTGTATTATTTGTCCTCATTATAATAAATCTCATAAAGGAAATGTCAGTCACAAATGCAGATATGGTCATAAAGCCTGACCTATCATCTATTAATAAAAAAACTAAAAATTTCCTTGTGGAATAGATATATAGTTGCTTTGGGTTTTGTTACAGATGATTCACTGGGTTACAAGGAGAAGTCTGTGTTAAGAATAATGGAATAATAGTTTTATTGTGTATTATTACTTCAGGATGTGTTGTTAGTTACCCAGTCCAGTATTTATTAAAACTATAAATGATCATAGAAGAGTGACCAAGGGCAAAGAATGGATCTTAGAAAAACAGTAATAGTCCCAGCCTGTGCTCACCTCTCCGGTCTTTTTTCTTACCGCTTTGCCCCTTGTTTTCTCTACATACCAGCCATTGTTTTTCTGAAAACAATTTTTTTAATGTTTTACACCCTTTCTTCCCCTGCTCTATCACCCAGGCTGGAGTGCAGTGGCGTGATCTCAGCTCACTACAACCTCTGCCCCATGGGTTCGAGCCATTCTACTTCCTCAGCCTCCCTAGTAGCTGGGATTAGAAACTTGCACCAGCACACCCAGCTAATTTTTGTATTTTTAATAGAGACAGGGTTTCGCCATGTTGACCATGCTGCTCTTGAACTCCTGGCCTTATGTGATCTGCTTGCCTTGGCCTCCCAAAGTGCTGAGATTGCAGGCGTGAGCCACTGCGCCCAGCCACAAATTATGATTATTATTCCTTTAACTGTGACCCTTCCCAGATAGGCTATAAACTCCATGGTGGCAGTCACATTATATTGCCCATCATTATCTCTCTGGCATCTAACCCAATACTTGACATATCTTAGGTGCTTAATAAATACTTGTTAGAAAGATAGATGGATGGAAAAATGCTCATAAAAAAGCACAGATGCTGACCTCATGAGGCAGGATCTTATAGCAATTTGCGCCAAGATATCTGTACTTCTAAAGTTCTCAATAAATACAGGTTTATTACTGACTGATGTGACTGCTATGCAAAAATGCAAGTGATAGGCAGCAGGTCAAATATGGAAGGCAAAGTGTGAGAACTGAGAATATCAGAGTTATTTCTTTGGCTCCAAAATGGGAAAAAAAAAAAAAAAAAACCCACACACATTGGTTTTGGAAGCTTTCTAAAAATGTACTTCTAACATTTAATTCTTTTCTGTAAATTGTTTTATTATGTAGTATTTAAACATCTCTGGAATAGTGCTGGCAAGTTTTTCAGTCAATTATATGCTCATTGGCAAAGTGTTTCAAAATATTATGGTAGACTTTGGAGCTGTGTGCCATTCGGCAGCTCACATGACATTTCCATGTCAGAATGTTGCTTTTTTTAATACATTTGTTCACCCATCACTTGAGTGCTTCTTGCCAGCTTTTGTTCTCAGGATGGAGTAGGTTTGAATTTTTGGATGAAAATATGCAAAATGGTATGAGAACCTAACCGTGCTGGGTAATTAGAAGTATATAGTACATAAGAAGGAAAGCAGGTTAGAATTAGCTTTCTGGGCTCTGTGACTCCGGGACAACTCTCATGTAATTGTTTGTAATGGTTTAAATCTCAACAGCCTTTGTAGATCTGCCAGTAATTGAAAAGCTCAACTTGATTCTATAAAATAATGAATACATGTATATGTATGTATATTAGATATGCATCTACATACAGTATTCGTAGATTATGCACATATAATATCCATGGATGGCATATGTATAATATCCATAGATACTATATATATTGTCCATAGTGTATATATATATAATATCCATAGGCTGTATATACATAATATACATAAGTATACACACATACGCACTTCTCAGCCTTAAGCTAGGGAATTTGCATGATCGCCTGTGGAAAGGAAAGGAAATATGTGGTGCTCGCCTTTTGGATTCCCTAGAATGAACCTGGAAGATTATTACAGTTTGAAGCAGCAGTTGCTGGTGACAGTTTTTCCCCTACAAGGAGGTGAAATGATGCAGACCAATGGTCTAACATTTCCCAAAGCACTATAAAAGAACGAGTAAGAATCAGTGAAATGTTATAGTGCTGTGTGCCTTATTTTGGGAATTTTAGAATTACTTTGGCAAACTCCTTTATCCCAGGAGAACCTCTTGACCTAATTTAGTAAGTTCTAACTGAAAGATCTTGCTCATAGCACAGAATACATGCTTGAGAGGTGGTGTGTTGTTTCATTTTGGCGTTTGCCTTTTAAAAGTTCTAGAGCATTTCAGGTCAATCTGATATGCTTATACTGAAGTAAACTGATATTTGGATTTCAGTACTATGGAGCACAAAGTCCATGTAAATGTAACTGCATGAACTCTATTGTGCAGTTAATCTATAAAATAAGGTCTTCTGAATAAAATTATTGTCTAAAAATATTACCAACACTAAGAATGTTCCTGAAGCAAATCTCAATAAAAATTGAAACTGTTTTATATTTAAAGAAGCTTGTCATGTCCAAGTAACTTTTAAAAAACTTTATGAAAGAGAAAACACATTTAGCAATGTGCTTTGAAAAACAAGCCAAGAATGGATAGAGAGCCTGAGGCTGCTTCTATGATTAAATGCCTCAGCTCATATCCTTATTTTATCCAAAACACATAACTTACTGAGCTGTAGCTCCATTGAGCTCTTTAAGGAACTAAATATGTAGAAGAATAGTTCATGAAGTTGAAACTTCAGAGGAATTCAGCAATGTAAAATATAGCCTTAAACTTGCACGTGGCATTAGTAGAAAAAGTTCGCAGTATGGACATTGCTGAATTTCCTTATATTTTTTCTGCATCCCTATAGTAATA
This sequence comes from Homo sapiens, assembly GCF_000001405.40. Taxonomy (NCBI): domain Eukaryota; kingdom Metazoa; phylum Chordata; class Mammalia; order Primates; family Hominidae; genus Homo; species Homo sapiens. The sequence continues at coordinate 43,510,922 of NC_000013.11, read as the reverse complement.
GGAGTGGTAGCAACAACACTAGCAGCCGTACTTAATGCTTACTTTGTACCAGCCCGTTTTCAATGAGTTACAGATAGTAATCTATTTAATTATCACAACCCTATAAGTTAGGCATCATTATCATCTCCCAAATTACATATAAGGAAATTAAGCATAGAGAGGTTAAATAACTTTCTCAAGATCATATAGCTAGTCAGTCAGTCATAGAGGTGGGATTTGAACTCAGGAAGTCCAGTTTCAGGGTTTACACTTTGAACAACTGCATTATCCTGCCTCTCCCACGTAGATGAGTCTAATTATGGCCCAGTAGAAGGAATCAAAATGCGGGCAATGGCTTTGTCAGAGCCTTTAGGAGCGGGCCCCAACAGGAATTGGATTATGCAGAGTAACAACTGCTCACCTTTTAGAATTTAATTTGCAAAGCACTTTCACCTGTACTTATTCCTTTGCTCTTTACAGTAAATTTACAAGGTGTTTATTCATTTAAAAATTTTACAGAATACCTATTATATGTCAGACACTCTTCTAAATGATTGAATACAGTAGTGGATGATATAACATTCTTGCTCTCATGGAACTTACATTCTTAAAAGGATTGTATAAGTAATTACAATGTTAGTAACAACCATCACTCTGTATGAATGCATCAGAAATAGGAGTGCCGGCTGGCAGGAGAGCAAAACCTTGTCTGTTACCAATTCTAGAAGGCCTGTAAAATCTCACATGGATTGATCTGGAGGCTCTTTTTGAGCTCTGATTTTATCCACACCAAGAAAGTCCTATAATATTTATAGATTATTCTTTTTGTTGTTGCTGTTCTGTTACAAAATTATTTTGGTGACTTCCATCTCCTACTTAGATCTATACATATGTACAGAGAAACCCTTTCCACAATGACTTCCAACAGACGTCTGATGTGTACCACTACTCATGAAACTTTCTGAGCCCTAATTTTGCTAAAAATGGGTAAATATAAGGCTGTCCAACACTGAGAACATAGGTCTGGAAACTTCCAGCTGCTGGAAAATTCTCTTTCAGGAAAGGGTGGGTGTTGGGGGTTGGGGAGACATTTTTTTTTTCTTTCTTTAGGAAAAGCAAACCAGCTTTCATTTTTAAGGCTTCTGCAAGAAGGGGACTTTGCTGTTGAATTTCAGATGTTTGCCTGTGTCAAATGACATTGGAAAACCTCTTCATTTGGTTTAAACACAAAGCAAAGGAAATTTGAAGATGAATGAGAATACCATCCACAGACTGTAATCTTTCTTATTTGGACATTTGTCTTTTTAAGGTTTTCCACTTCATTTTCACATTTTCCAAATCTATATTGCAGAGTAGTTAACACACTTAGAAAGTCCAGTTCGTGCTACATCAGATGTATTCCAAATTTTAAGTGACAATTCTGTTGTATCCCACTATGCTTCAAAAAATTTGAGCTGTGCTGTGATTGACGGCAGAGGTATTATGTCCTAGAAATGAAAGTGGAGGATGTGGCTCACAGACCCTGATTCTAGTGGGCAATTTGTAATCTTTCTCATAGGAAATCAGAGGGAATAAATGACAGACTCAAGGTATTTCAGGATGGCTGCAATTTAAGCAGTCATCCATTGTTGTACTAGTGAGCAGAGAGACCAGTGTTCCTCTTTCTCTAACATGTGTTAGATACTAGTGGGGAGACTCATTAGGACAGGCATTTATTCACCTCATATTTTTAACAAATATTTTAACCAGTTTTATTTCTTTAACACCTAATATCCCTGATATAGGCTATTTTGTCATCTGTTCTAAAATATTGCTGTGATATTTCCTACCACAGAGTAGAATGTGTAGAAGACATTGCTATTTGAGCTTTAAAATGTAGTAATTTCTGAATTACCAACAAGACCTTATTTAAATGCTGAGAGCTGCATTATGATGAAGCATTAGTCTAGCTGGATGATTTCCAGATGGATTTTTAAACATTAATAAATGTTTCACATTTATTTGATCAATAAATGCATATATATGCTTTTAAAAATTAAAGAGTATAGGAGGGCTTATAATGAAAAACTATAGTCCTGGATCCCACCTCTAGACTTACTGCCCAAAGAAAAACTAATAATTTTTTTTAGCTGTTTCTATGTTTATATTTTTGTTAGTTCCTTTTTAGTTCTAACTGTGTAATATTGGCTGAATCAAGTATTGCATGTGTATGTGATCACAATTTCTTGATTTATAAAATTTCAATATTATCTGTTGACTTAATCACTGTGATACATAATGATCTAGCAGCTCCCCATTGCTAAAATACCCTCCTATTTTAGAGAGTAAAACCTCTAAATATTTTAGAGAGGAAAACCCAGAAGTTCTCGTTACCTGTATACCTTTGAATAATATACTTATTCTTTCATTTCTATCTCAATCATATACAGTACCAAATGATTCCTTTTTAAGATGAGACTATTACTTAGTCTGTGTTGCTGTAACAAAAATACCTGACACTAGGTGATATATAAAGAACAGAAATTTGTTTCTTCTAAGTTTAGAGGTTGGAAAGCACAAGATCATGGTGCTGGCAGTTTCTGTGTCTAGTGTAGGCCTGTTCTATCCATAGTGTGTTTTCATGGAAGCATCCTCACATAGAAGAGGAGGAAGAGCAAAAGAAGAAAATGCCATATCCTCACATAGCAGAAGAGCTAAAAGGACCTACGCCAGTTCCCTCCAGCCCATCTATAAGGCACTGATCCATTCATGAGGATGGAGCTCTCGTGACTTTGTCACTTCCCCAAAGCTTCCATCCACCTCTTAATAACAGCACAATGAGGATTGAGTTTCAAATTTTGGACAAGTTCAGACCATAACAATCATTCTTTCTATAACTCCTCCCTTTAATGCCTTCCAGTTTCTCTCATATGTGCTTTTAATTTTAAATTATTAAGGTTGATATAATGTTTTTCAAATATATTACAACTCTAGTTGTAATATTGTTAGGTTGATTCTAATGGTTAAAAATCAATATATAGGTATGAATATGTAGTTATAACTACTGATCTAAGTTGTATACTATGATTGTATTTGTTTTTCCTAGAGTTTCTAATTGCTTTTACTTTTCTTTGTGTAATCTGCCTTTATTGCATTTTTAAGTACTTTCACCTCAGGAAATAGAATAAAATATTTAGAAATCCCCTTTTTCCTAGATACCTCCCTCTGTCCCAGGTTGGGGTAACTGGTACACAGGCATCTTGCCTTGCTCTTGCTTGGATTCATGCCTTTTCTTACTTTAATTTTATTTACTGCTGAAGCACATCCTCAAGAATTTTTCCAGAAAGGACATGTGGGAAGTAAATACTCCGAATCTTTGTATATCTGAAAGTGACTTATTATTTTGGCTAGATTTGGCTAGATTAAGACATATAAGTTAAAAACAATTTTCCCTTGGAAATTTGAAGGCATTGCTCTATTTTTTAGTATCCAGTATTGCTGACAAGAAATTCGATTCCTGCCCCTTTGTAAGTTACTAATTTTTTCCTCCTCAGTTTTTAGAAACTTATCTGTAGGAACTCTTACAAAAACATATCTGGTTATGATTCTTTTCTTCATTGATTATGTTTACCTCTTGATGAGCCCTTTAATTTTGAAAACACCTGACCTTCACTTGTGGAAATTTCTTTTGAATTCCTCTCCTTTGCTTTTCTTACTGGGAATTCTCCTTGGCATTCTTAGTAGTTGGGTCTTCTGGTTGGATTCTCTATATCCTTTGTCTTTTGTCTTCTGTTTTTCATTTCTCTTTCAGTTTTTAAAAGCTTTCTGGAAGAATTATTAAACACAATTTTCTTTATATTGATTTTTGTAAAATTGATAATTGTCTGATTATTTCTTTAATAAAATCTTCTTTATGTTTTTAGAGTTTTAAAAGTTCTATTCTGTCAATCACTCAAATTCCCTCAAGGGTTTTTTTTTATTATACTTTAAGTTTTAGGGTACATGTGCACAATGTGCAGGTTTGTTACATATGTATACATGTGCCATGTTGATGTGCTGCACCCATTAACTCGTCATTTAGCATTAGGTATATCACCTAATGCTATCCCTCCCCCGTCCCCCCACCCCACAACATTCCCCGTTGTGTGATGTTCCCCTTCCTGTGTCCATGTGTTCTCATTGTTCAATTCCCACCTATGAGTGAGAACATGCGGTGTTGGGTTTTTTGTCCTTGCGATAGTTTGCTGAGAATGATGGTTTCCAGCTTCATCCATGTCCCTACAAAGGACATGAACTCATCATTTTTTATGGCTGCATAGTATTCCATGGTGTATATGTGCCACATTTTCTTAATCCAGTCTATCGTTGTTGGACATTTGGGTTGGTTCCAAGTCTTTGCTATTGTGAATAGTGCCACAATAAACATATGTGTGCATGTGTCTTTATAGCAGCATGATTTATAATCCTTTGGGTATATACCCAGTAATGGGATGGCTGGGTCAAATGGTATTTCTAGTTCTAGATCCCTGAGGAATCGCCACACCGACTTCCACAATGGTTGAACTAGTTTACAGTCCCACTAACAGTGTAAAAGTGTTCCTATTTCTCCACATCCTCTCCAGCACCTGTTGTTTCCTGACTTTTTAATGATCGCCATTCTAACTGGTGTGAGATGGTATCTCATTGTGGTTTTGATTTGCATTTCTCTGATGGCCAGTAATGATGAGCATTTTTTCAGGTGTTTTTTGGCTGCATAAGAAGAACAAAGCTGGAGGCATCATGCTACCTGACTTCAAACTATACTACAAGACTACAGTAACCAAAACAGCATGGTACTGGTACCAAAACAGAGATATAGACCAATGGAAGAGAACAGAGCCGTCAGAAATAATGCCGCATATCTACAACTATCTGATCTTTGACAAACCTCACAAAAACAAAAAATGGGGAAAAGATTCCCTGTTTAATAAATGGTGCTGGGAAAACTGGCTAGCCATATGTAGAAAGCTGAAACTGGATCCCTTCCTTACACCTTATACAAAAATTAATCCAAGATGGATTAAAGACTTACATGTTAGACCTAAAACCATAAAAACCCTAGAAGAAAACCTAGGCAATACCATTCAGGACATAGGCATGGGCAAGGACTTCATGTCTAAAACACCAAAAGCAACGGCAACAAAAGCCACAATTGACAAATGGGATCTAATTAAACTAAAGAGCTTCTGCACAGCAAAATAAACCACCATCAGAGTGAACAGGCAACCTACAGAATGGGAGAAAATTTTTGCAACATACTCATCTGACAAAGGGCTAATATCCAGAATCTACAACGAACTCAAACAAATTTACAAGAAAAAAACAACCCCATCAAAAAGTGGGCGAAGGATATAAACAGACACTTCTCAAGGGTTATTTTTGTTTGTTGATTGCAGACTTCTTTATCTTTCCAACTTTCTTCAAATGTCTGTCAGTAAGTGTTATACAATTATATTTAAGAAAGAAAATTTGACTGCAAACTTTGTATCAGAGATTATAGCCTGATATCTTGCTTTTTAGGGTATAGTCTAGAAATCTGGTTGTTTCCCTACAGAATTCTCTCAAATTTCTGCCTTCTTTTGATCATCCTTTCTTCTCACATGTACTTAGGCTGTAGCTTTCTCAGTCCTGTTCAATTCTATCATCTAGAATTTTTCTAGCATTTCCTCATTCACTCCAATTTTCTTTGGCTTTGTAGATTTATGGCTATTTGGGAACCTGAGAAGGCATGGAATAAGTTGATGTGATCCGATTACCATGTTGAACTGGAAGCATCTAGAACAAGTATAAATCTCATGTCTCTTTACAGTTGTTTGAAAGTTAAAATGTAAAATAATTGGATATTACCTCACCAAAAGATAGGTGTTTCTTTTATTTCCTAAAAAAGTCAGTACTATCTACCTGACTTTTGAAGTCAGAGTGGTTTTGGATATTGATCTTTTTAAAGAGAAATCACTTTGAGGTAAGAATAATGTAAAATTTTTACATATTTAATGTATGTAACTTGGTGAGTTAGAGATAAGTATATAACCATGAAACCATCACCATAATCTATGCCATAAACATATTAATCACCTCCAAAAGTTTCATATTATTTTGCAGTAAGAACATTTAACATAAGATCGAGCAAATAATGTCACTGCAAATTTTAAGTCTTACAAAATATTAACTATAGGCACTCTACTGTACAGTAGAGCCCTAGGACTTGTCTTTTATAACTGAACATTTTTACCCTTTGACTAATACCTCCACATTTTGCCCTTCCTCTGGCCCTTGGCAACCACCATTCTATCTGCTTTTATGAGTTTGATTATTTTAGATTCCTCATATTAGTAGTATCATGTAGCATTTTTCCTTCTGTGCCTGGCCTAGTTTACTGAGCATAATGTCTTCCAGATTCATCCATGTTGTTGCAAATGACAGGATTTTCTTTTTCAAGGCTGAATAATATCCCATTGTATGTATATACCACATTTTCTTTATTTGTCCATCTGTCAACAGGTATTTAGGTTGTTTCTATATCTTGCCTATTGTGAATAATGCTTCAGTGAGCATGATAGTGCAGAAATCTCTTTGTGACCCAGACTTTGATTCCTTTGGTTATATACTCAGAAGTGGGATTTCTACTATCCAGTGGTAGTTCTGATTCTTTAAGGAATCCCCATACAGTTTTCCACAGTGGTTGCACCAATTTACATTCCCACCAACAGCTTATAAAGGTTCCTTTTTCTCTGTGTCCTCACCAACATTTGTTATCTTTTTATTTTTTATAATAGCCTAACAGGTGTGAGGTGGTATCTCAGTTTTGATTTGAATTTCCCTGATGATTGGTACTGTTGAGTATGTTTTCATATACCTGTATGTCTTCTTCAGAGAAATGTCTACTCAGTTTCTTTACCCATTTTTATTGGATTTTTTTGCTATTGAGTTGCAGGAATTCCTGATATATTTTTGACATTAACCCTTTATTAGATAAATTATTTTCCCCCATTTTGCAAAGGTTTTCTCCCATTTTGTAAGTTACCTTTTCATTTTGTTGATTATTTCCTTTGTGGTGTAGTTTTCTAGATTGATGTGATCCCACATATCTATTGCTTGCTCTTGTTGCCTGTCCTTTGGTATCATATCCAATAAATCATTGCTGAAGTCAACATTATGGAGCTTTTCTTCTAGAAAATTTGTGGTTTCGGGTCTTCCATTTAAGTCTTTATTCCATTTTGAGTTTTTATTGTATACAGTGTAACAGTAAGGGTAAAATTTCATTCTGTTGTATATGGATGTCCACTTTTTCCACCATCATTTGTTTAGTCTTGGCACCCTTGTTGCAGATCATTGGATCTTACATGCCTGGGTTTATTCTGGATTCTCTACTTTGCTCCATTGTTCCATATGCCTGTTTTTATGCCAGGTTATCCTCTTTTGATTACTATAGCTTTGTACTATATTTTGAAGTCAGGAAATGTGATACTTCCAGATTTTCCTTTGATCAAAATTGCTTTGGCTATTCAGGGTCTTTTATGGTTTCATATACGTTTTAGGATTGTATTTTTTGTTTCTGTAAAAAAATGCCACTGGGATTCTGATAGAGGTTTCATTGAATCTGTAGATTGCTTTGGATAGTGTGAACATTTTGATATTCTTCAAATCAAAATATTTTTGTTTGATATCTCAAGTCTTTCCATGAACATGGGATTTTTATTTATTTGTGTGTGATTTAATTTCTTTCATCGGTGTTTTACAGTTTTTGTGTACAAGTCTTTCACCTCCTTGGTAAAGATTATTCCTGAGTACTTCGTTCTTTTTGATGCAGTTGTACATGGGATTGTTTTAATTTCCTTTTCAGATAGCTAATTGTTTATGTATAGAAACAGAACTAATTTTTATATGTTGATTTTTACAACCTGTAACTTTACTAAATTTATTATTTATAACACTTTCTGTGTGTATGGACTTCTTAGAGTTTTCTGTATATAAAATCATGTCATCAGCAAACAGATTATTTTATTTTTTCTTCCCAATTATTTCCTTTACAAAGTAAAAAATATATATATATTTCTTTTTATTGCCTGATTGCTCTGGCTAGAATTTCAGTACTCATTTGAATAGAAATGGTAAGAGTGGATATCCTTACTTGTTCTGGATTCAATAAGATCTTTCAGTTTTTCACCGTTGAGTGTGATGATACATATGGGCTTTTCATGTAAGGCCTTTATTTTGTTAAGGTAAGTTTCTTCTTTACCTAATTTGTTAAGTTTTTATTATGAAAGCGTGTTTAATTTTATAAAGTGCTTTTCTGCATCTATTAATATTATCATGTGATTTTTATCCTTTATTCTGTTACTATGATGTATCACATTGATTGATTTTCATATGTTGAGCCATCCTTGCATCCCAGGAATAAATCCCATTTGCTCGTGGTGTATGACCCTTTTAATGCACTATTGAATTTGGTTTGCTGCTATTTTGTTGAAAATTTTTACATTAATGTTCAACAGAGATATTGGCCTATTTTCTTTTCTCATGGAATCTTTGTCTTGGTTTGTATTGGGGTGTCTGGACTCATAAAATGAGTTTGAAAGTGTTTCCTCTTCTAGTTTTTGAGAGTTTAAGAATATTGGCATTCATTCTTTAAATGTTTGATAGAATTCACCTGTGGAACCATCTGATACTGGGCTTTTACTTAGTAGGTGGTTTTTGATTACTTATTAGCTCTCCTTATTTGTCATTGATCCGATTAGGCTTTCTATTTCTTCATGATTCAGTGTGGTAGGTCCTGTGTTTCTAATAATGTATTCATTTCTCCTAGGTTATCCAATGTGTTCGTATATATTGTCACATATAATAGTTTATTATGATATTTTTTATTTTTGTGGCATCAGTTATAATGGCCCCTCTTTTATTTGACTTATTTGAATCTTTTTTTCTTAGTCTGGGCAAGAATTTGTGTATTTTATCTTTTCAAAAAACCAACTCTTTGTTATATTATTTTCTAATGTTTTTCTGTTTTCTAGTTCATTTATTTCTGTTCTAACGTTTAATATTTTCTTTCTTCTGTTAGCTTTTGGCCTGGTTTGTTCTTTTTCTAGTTCTTTAAAGCATACAATTAGGTCATTCATTTAGCTTTTTTTTTTTTGTTAAGGTAGGTGTTTATACTATAAAATTCCCTCTTATTATTTCTTTTGATGCATCCAATAAGTTTTAGTATATTTTTCATTTTTATTTTTCTCAACATACTTTTTAAATTTCCTTTTCATTTCTTTTTGTGAGCCAATAGTTGTTTAGGAGTGTGTTTTCAAATTTCCATGTATTTGTGAATTTTCTCTTTTTTTGTTATTGATATTGTGTTTGATTTCACTGTGGTCAGAAAGATACTTGGTATGATTTTAATCTTTTTAAAATAAAGATTTGTTTTGTGACCAAGCATGTGATCTACCCTAGAGAATGTTCTATATGCACTTGAGAACAATGTTTGCTCTACTGCTGCTGGGTAGAATGTTCTGTACATTTCTGTTAGGTCCATTTGGTATATAGTGTTATTCAAGACTGCTGTTTTCCTTAATAACTTTCTGTGTGATCAATCCATATTGAAGATGAGTTATTGAAGTCTACTACTGTTATCTTCCTGTTAAACTGACTCTTTTTTCCCCTATATAATGATCTTTGTCTCTTGTGACAGTTGACTTAAAAGCATTTTGTATATTTCAAAAATAGCTACCCCTGCTTTATTTTGTTTACTGTTTGCTTTGAGTATTTTTTTTTCATTCTTTTACTTTCAGTCTGTGTGTCCTTAAATTTAAAGTTCTTCTCTTGTAGACAACACATAGTTGAATCTTATTTTTATATTTATTTGGTGAGTTTGATCCACTTAAATTATTGATAAGTAAAATACTATTGTTATATTGTTAGTTGTCTTGTTTTATAGTTCTTTTGTTCCTCTTCCTTTTTGCTGTTTTATTATGTGAGCTTTTGTAGTAATAAGCTTTTATTCTATCTTTTGTATCTACTATACTTTTGTAATTACCATGAGGTGTACATAAAACTTCTTATAACAGTCTATTTTAAGATAACATATCTTCAATAACACACAAAAACTATGTTTATTACACAGTTATTGATGTGATAGTTTACTTTTTATATTGTGCATTAATATTTTTGGTAATAGTTATTCTTAAAACTAATCTTTTTACTTTATATTAGGATTATAAGTAATTTATACATCTTCATTACAATATACATTGTTATGTATTAGTCTGTGTATTTACCTTTACCAGCCAAGATTTATATTTTCATATACTTTCATGTTGCTGTTTAGTATCCTTTTGTAACAACTTGAAGAACTCCCTTTCACACTTCTTATAAGGAGGACCCAGTGTTGACATACTTCCTTAGTTTTCATTTGTCTTGGAACATCTTTGTCTCTCATGCATTTTTAAAGGACATTTTTACCAGATATAGTATTTCTAGATGGCAACTTTTTTTCTCTTTCAGCACTTTGAATATAACATCCCACTCTCATCTTGCCTGCAACATTTCTGCTGAAAAATCTGCTAATAGTTGTATGGAGATTTATATATGTGAGGAGTCCTTTTTCTCTTGCTTTCAAAATTGCCTTTGACTTTTGACAATTTAATAGTAATTTCTCCTAGAACTCTTTAGGTTCCACCTATTTGAGTTCTCTCATGAATTTGAATGTCCATTTCCGTCTTCAGGTTTTAAAAAGTTCAGCCATTATTTCTTTAAATAAGCTTTCTGTTCCTTTTTCTCTTCTTCTGAGTGTCCCATAATGCATATATTAGTTTGCTTGCTGATGTTGCTTGCTAGTCCATATATTAGCTTACTTGCTGATTAGTCTGCTTGCTCTTAAGTCTAGTGGAATTTCCTCACACTTTTCTTTCTTCTTTAATAATTCGAAATGACATATCCTTGAGTTTATTCTTTCTTCTGCTTGATTGAATCTGCTGTTGAAACCGTTTAATTTTTTAGTTCAGTCATAATAACTGCAGCTCCAGAATTTCTATTTGGTTCTTTTTTATGGTTTCTATCTCTTTGTTGAACTTCTAATTTTGTTCATTTATTTTCCTGATTTGTTCTCTTGTAGCTCACTGAGCTTCTTTAAGATAATTGTTTGAATTCTTTTTCTGGCAGTTATAGGTCTCCATTTCTTTAGGGTTGGTTACTGGAGCTTTATTTTGTCTTTTTGGTGGTGTCATTTTCCTGATTCTTTGTGATCCTTGTATCTTTGTGTTGGTGTCTGTGCACTTGAAGAAGCAGTCACCTCTCTCCATCTTTATAGACTGGTTTTGGTAGGGAAAGCCCTCCACAAGTCATCCTGGAAAGAGATTCTGGGCAGGACATTTGACAGGGTCTGCAGGTGGCCCTGTTGATGAGGGCTGTGGGTGGGCCGGGTGTCAGTGTCTGTGAGTAAGTGGATTTGTGTCCAGGGTCTTTGTATTGTGGATATTGACCTTTATTATTAATTTTTCTATTGGCAACCTGTGTCTTTTTTGGAAGTAGTGGTTATAGCTGTTACCAAAGATGTTTCCAAATTACTCTTGCTTGCCCCTAAATATAGTATATTTATCAAACTAAGAAATTAACATTTACACAATACAATTAACTATAGTCTATACTTTACTCTTTTTTTAAGTAGTTTTTCAACTGTGTCCCTTTTTTGTTCCAGGATCCAGTCTAGGATACCACAGAGATCATATTTCTTTAGTATCCACCAATCTGTGACAGTTTTAGGTTTTCCTTGATTTTCATGACCTTGACAATATTTAAGAGTAAAGGTCTGATATTTCATAGAATATTAATTAGTTTCCTAATATGTTATCACAGTTAGAAGAGCATTAGGGATATTAGGGAAAAATACCACAGTGGTAAAGTACATTTATCATAATATCAAAGGTACATGATATCAACATGACTTTAAATGGTGATGTGTGAACCTTGATTACTTGATTAAGGTGGTGCTTGCCAGGTTTCTCCACAATTACTACTTTCCTCTTCCATATTAGTTTCAAGCAAGTCACTAATTCTATCATCCAGTCAAGGGGAAAAAAATTAAGTTCCATCTCCTGATGGAAGAATATAAAAGAATTGTAGACACATGTTAAAAGCCACCATAGTAATTAATATGTTAGGGATACTACTTTGAGTCATTTTAACTGTCCTGCTCCTTGTTAAATGAGTGGCTTTTGGCCACTCATTTTTTTGTATTCATCATTGAGTTTTGCCTGTAGCAGTTCTAACTAGATGTTCTAATTATTGTTTCTCTCATTCCATCTTTTTTTTTAAATTTAGAATTCTGCAAGAAAGATACTTTTCTCACCCATTTATTGATTCAGTCATTCAGTTGACTATTGACAATATTATGAACTCATGGATCATTATTTTATTCTTTGAGGTATATAGTCCAGTATTATTATTTATTGTTTCTCAAATTGTTGCAGTTTGGCCATTGGAAGCGCTTTAAGGTTGGCTTCTGTTACTTTGATGTGTCCAATCTTAGTTATTATTATCATTATTTTCTAACATTTTCATGCTTCCTGTTATTACTATAAGATGCTCCAAGCACATCTGTAATAGATATCAAGCTAACCAACAGTGAACAAATCCATAATCTCAGAAACACATATAAAATGTTAACAGACTATGCTAAATTCCATGGAGAACAATGAAAGTTTAAGATATTTCCGCCTCTGAGGACACTATAATCTGTTTTTCAAAGGTAAAACAAACTAATAAAGATGACTGAAAACACATGGCAGTGCAAAATTATGTCAGTAAGGGCTGGAGAAGCTCTCAGAAGAGGAAAAAGTACCAGCGAGTTTAATGTACCAAGAAAGGAGGTCCAGTGAAATATATATGGTTTAGTCAAGTGAAGGAATTATTATTATAGGGTATGAGAAGCCATAAGAAACAAACTTATCTTAGATGAAATGGACAAGTTTTTTTTATAAGATAAAATTTACTAAATCTTATATTAGAAGAAACAGAAAATGGGAATAGCTCTGTATTTGTTAACTAAATTGAATTTATAATTCAGAGGCTTCCCACAAAGAACACTCCAGATCCAGATGCTTTCACTAATGAATTCCTTCAAACATTTAAGAAGAAATACCAGTCTTAAACAAAGACGGGAAATAGAGGTGGGGAGAACACTTCTAGTCATTGTTTGAGAGCTTTGTAATTCTAATACCAAGTCCTGATAAGGACATTATTAAAAAAGTCACACATCGATATGCCTTATGATCATAGACACAAAAATGTTTAACATACAATTAGGAAATAACACATAATCACTGCAGTGATGTGTTATTATGTATTAACATACAGTAATATATCCTGACAAAAATGAATTTCAAGTATGTATGCATTCTTTAATATTCAAAATCAATCCACATTAATAGAAAAAAAGGTTATCTTACTAGTTAGAGAGACAGCATTTAATAAAATTCAACCTCTAATCATGATAAAAACTCAGACTAGGAATAAAAGGTATCTTTCCTAATCTGTTAAAGGGAATCTGTGAAAAACCTTCAACTAAGGATGTTAACAGTGAATACTTTCCCTCCAAATCAGGAAAAGAGATGTGGGTGTTCACTCTCACCAGTTCAACATTGTACTGGAGGTCCTAACCAATGCAGTCAGGCCAGTAAAATAAATAAAAAGTATATAGATTGGAAAAGAATAATAAAAATATTTGGAGACAGCAAGTCAAAAATTTACTTAAAAAATTGTATAGAAAATCCTATGGAGTCTAAAAAAGATCTATTTGAACTTAGCAAAAATCTCTTGAATTTACAAGGTTTCAGGATGCAAGATAAATGTAAAGTATCAGTGCTATTTCTATACAGTAAGAAACATTTGGTAAATGAAATTGCAAATGGAAGACTCTATATTAAGATTTTTATTTCAAAATATGTGTATATTTAACACAGTCCCAAAAGTTTATGTTTTTTTGGTGGAAATTAATAAATTGGTTCTAAAATTTATACAGAATTATAAGGACTTATTAGTGTCAAATTATTTTAGAAAAAGATGACAGTGTTGGGGGACTAGCTTTCTGATTTCAAGACTTCTATAAAAGTGTTAAGAAAATATGATACTAGACAAAGATAGACAAATAGATCAATGGAACAGAATATGTTATCATGAAATAGACACAGACTTATACAGTAAATTGATTTAATAACAAAGCAATTTTGTTACATATAGGAGAAAGGCTCATTAAGAAATGGAGGCTGGGTGTGGTGACTCATGCCTATAATCCCAACACTGTGGGAGGCCGAGGTGGGAGAACTGCTTGAGCCTAGGAGTCTAAGACCAGCCTGGGCAACATAGCGAGACCCTATCTCTAAATAAATAGTCAAAGTAGCTGAGCATGGTGGTGCACATCAGTAGTTCCAGCTACTTGGGAAGCTGAGGCAGGATTGCTTGAACCCAGGGGTACTCGGTTACAGTCAGCTATGATTGTTCCACTGCACTCCAGCCTGGGCAACCAGAGTAAGACACAGTCTCTTAAAAAAAAAAATAGAAAAAGAAAAAGAGCCAATTGCTAGAGCAATTATTGAAACAGAATGAACCTTAACACCTTCTTCAGACCATACACAAAAATTGATTCAAAGTATATACTTTGAATTAGATCTTTACATGAAAGTAAAATTTATAAGATTTCTAGAAAAAGTCAAAAGATGATAACTATTTCTTAGGATACTAAAAGCACTCACATTATAGAAAAAAATCAGTTAACTATACTCCACAAACATTAAAGGCTCCCTATAAAAAAACATTTTTAATAGGCAAGCCACAGAAAGGGCAAATATTAATAGTTTGCAATACATATGTATGAAAAGGAATTGAATCTAGAATATTTAACAAAGCTTTACAACTCAAAAAATACAAAGAAAATATTTTTCTTCCAATTGGCAAATTACTTAAACAGAACCTTCACAAAAGAAGATAAGAATGTTTAATAAACATTTGAAGCCATAATAATGACATCATTAGCCATGATGGAAATGTAAATTTAAGTACCACTTCACATCCACAAGAAAAAGATAAAAATAAAAGGACTGAGCTCACCAAACATTGGTGAGGATGTGGTAATACTGAAATTCTTGTACCGTGCTCCTGAGGGTATAACATATTACAGGATTTTTTTGAAAACTAGTGGTTCCTTATAAACTTAATGCCCTGGCAACCTCACACCTATTTACTTAAGAATGAAAGGATATATGGCTTTGTATAAGAACATAAAGCCCTGAGAAGAATGTTTGTAATAGCTTTGTTTATTAATAGCCAAATACTGGATCAAGCCAAATGACCATAGACAGGAGAATGGATAAGTTATGGTAAATTCATATAATGTAATATTATATGTAGTAGGTTATTAGTCGTTTATACAATTGAATACTTATGAATTAACTACTGGAAGATTTAACAAGAATTATAATCATTACATTGAACAAAAGGAACCAGGCATAAAAGAACATATGCTATCTGGTATACCGTATGATTATATACAGAGTTCAAGTATAGGCAAAGCCATTTATGGTGATAGACATTGAAATTTCACATTTGAGTGGGGCTTGACTAGAAGGAAACTTTCAGGGGTGATGGAAATGTTTTGTATCTTGACTTGTGTGTAGGTTACTTGGGAAGGTATATTTATCAAAGCCTAGTGAACTGTACACCTAAAATCAGTGCATTTTACCATATATTATACTCGCTGAACAATAAATTAGAGATAGTCTTTGATAGTCTCTATTGATCTTTGGTGAAACATTTATCAAACTTAGATTTTCTGTATTCATAAAACATAGGAAGGAATGTGGCATTTCTCAAACTTGGCATATCTCAAAGTAAAGTCACTATCATTTTATACTCCCTAAGCATGCAGACATATACCAGCTCCCCTCTTGAATCTCCACATTCTGTCAGTGTTCTTACAGTCTCCCCCACACCTAGGCTCAAAATATTCCTATAATTGTTGACTGCATCTTTTTTCTCATTATCCATTTCATCTAATTGATGGAATTTTTTCTCTGCATTTTTCTTCCATCCAACCCTACTTTTATATTTCCACTGCTGTCTAACTGACCTATTCAAATAGCAATAGCCTTTTTTCCTATTCTAAACTTTGATGCCACGTTCATCTTCAAAAACACTTTTAATTGAAATCTGATACTTCTGCTCTAAAGCAGCCTATAAAATTTCAAATTTGTTATTCTCAATTTCACAATCATCTTATTCTCCAACTCCATAAAACTCCACTCTGTGTGTCACTCCCGTGTGTCATGATTTGTCTCATCTCTACTATTTTGTTTATTATTGTGAAAGAATGAATATATGTGCCTTCTTACAATATTAAAGGTACCTTCAGTAAAGGTACAAATAAATCGTAAACAATAAGTTAGTTGGGGGACTGTTCCGTCATTTTCTTAGGTTATATGAAGACACTGCTGGAGAAGCTTTAGTTTTGACTCATTTGTTTAACAAGAATGTAGTCACTGTGCTGGACACAGTACAATATTTGTTTGCAAACATGATGTACGTGGTCTCTGCTTGACAGAACATGAAGCTTACCATATTAGAGAGGAATCCAAAAATTATAATTCATTGTGATAAATGTGATGGGAGGGCTGTCATATTAGTCTCACAGTATCTGTGGGTCTTCGTATTAGTTAATTGTGATTATTGTGATGGTTGATTGGGTGTCAGTGTGACTGGTCTAAGGATGATATGGTTTGGTTGTGTCCCCACCCAAAATCTCATCTTGAATTGTAATCCCCATAATCCCCACATGTCAAGGGAGAGACCAGATGGAGGGAATTGAATCATAAGGGCAGTTTTTCCCATGCCATTCTCATGATAGTGAGTTCTCACGAGATCTGATGGTTTTATAAGTATTTGGTAGTTCCTCCATTTATTTTCCCTCCTGCACCTTGTGAAGAAGATGCCTTGCTTCCCCTTTACCTTCTGTCATGATTGTAAGTTTCCTGATGCCTCCCCAGCCATGCAGAACTGTGAGTCAGTTAAACCTGTTTCCTTTCTAAATTACCCAGCCTCGAGCAGTTCTTTGTAGCAGCGTGAGAATAGACTAAAACAAAGGGATACCCAGATAGCTGGTAAAGCATTAATTATTCTCAGTGCTTCAGTAGGCACTGAGCTTGTCCTTCTCCTGATGAAAGGGAAACCCAGATGGACTGTTTTGGCATTTGATTAGAATGATAGGCCTGCCCCCAGGGGAATCTGTGAAGGTGTTTCCAGAAGAGATTAGCACTTGAGTCAGTGGACTGAATGGGGAAGATCTGCCTTCAATGTGGGTGGTTACTATCCAATCAGCTGGGGTTCCCAGATGGAAAAAGAAGGCAAAGGAATGGTGAATTCTCGCTCTTTCTGGGAGCCAGGATGGCCTTTTCCTTCTGCTGTTGGATATCAGAAGTCCAGACTCTGTTGTCCTTGGACTCCAAGACTTACACCAGCAATGCCCCTAGGCTCCTGGGCCTTTGGGCTTGGTGTGAGAGTTACTACTTTCTTGGTTCTAAGGCCTTCAGACTTGAATTGAGCCTTGCTATCAGCTTCTCTTGTTCTCCAACTTCCAGATGGCTGGCCTATCATGGAACTTCTCAGCCTCCATAATCAAGTGAGCCAATTCCCCTAATAAATCCCTTATTATACATCTCTCTCTCTATAGGTCCTATCAGTTCTATCTCAACAGTCAAGGTTCTCCAGATAAACAGAACCAACAGGAGAGGGAGTGGGAGGGGGGAGAGAGAGAGAGAGAGAGAATCTTAAGATATTTTAAGGAATTAGCTCATGTAGTTATAGACACTGGCAAGTCTAAAATCTGCAGGGTAGGCCAGCAGGCTGGAGATCTAGGGAAGAAGCTCAAATCCAAAGACAGTCTGGAGGCAGAATTCCCTTTCTTGGGGGACCTCAGTCTGTTTTGCCTTATGTGCTTCAACTGATTAGATAAGGCCCACCCACATTATGGAAAGTAATCTGCTTTACTCAGTGTCTACTAATTAAATGTTAATTTTAACATCTTCACAGTAACATCTAGACTTGTGTTTGCAAATATCTAGGTACCATGGCCTAGCCAAGTTAACAACATAAAATTAACTATCACTGCATTAAAATTTAAGGCATAAAATTTTAAAGAGTTTGAGTAAGAAACAATTTATGGATGGAGAACACCAGATTGCAAGAGGTTTAGTGTCTCAATGACAGAATGAGGCAAGTATTTATTGGGAAAATGCTAAGGTAAAATAAAATTATTTGACCGGTTTGCAATGACAAAATGGCCTTTTCTTTGGTACTTTCTTGGAAAGTCCAGTCACATAATTATGTTCATTAGCTGCTTACGATGCACTGGGGTTAAGTTTTAGTTCTAATGTAAGCATTTATCAGAAGTGACCTGAGTTAAGTTTTGCTTATGTTGGCAATTTAAGCAAGATTAAGGCTATTTTTAAGACCTCTGGTTGTATTTGCTCAGGAATTTTTCAGGCCTGACCCCCTATTTTAATTGCTTAAACAACAGTCAGGAATCTGAGCATGCCTTAGCTGGGTCCTCCAACTCTGGGTCTCTCACAAGGCTTCAGTCAAAGCAATGGCCAGGCCTGTAGTCATCTCAACTAGAGCAACATCTACAGCATCTCTGCTCAACTGGGGCAGAATATATTTCCAAGCTCATTGGTTGTTGGTAGGATTTAGTTTCTCATAGGCTAATAGATAAAGGGCCCAAGTTTCTTACTGGCTGTTGTCTTGGAAAGATCCTTCAGTTTCTTTCCAAATGGGCCTCGCCATAGGGTGGTTCACAAAGTAGTAGCTGATCAGAGAAACAGGGCAAGAGAGATGTCATTTATCACTTTTGTCATAGGCGACACCCCATGCACCTGTGATGCACCTCTAGTTGAGATTCACTATATAACATAGTGAGCAGACCATTTCTACTGGATCCAAGGGTTTTGGTCAGAAATAGTCTGTTTTGAGATTACAGAGGATGGTGGGAACAGATATTTCTGGTGAATAACTTAGGTCTGATCTTTGGAAAATAGGGAGCCCTTGTAAGTTCTTTAGTAGTGGATGTACATAATTAGAGTTACATTTTAAGAATTATCTCATCTATGCATTTATTCACTTATTTTATTTATTTTTGAGATGGAGTCTCACTCTGTTGCCCGGGCTGCAGTGCAGTGGTGTTAGCTCACTGCAACCTCCACCTCCTGGGTTCAAGCCATTCTCCTGCCTCCGCCTCTCAAGTAGCTGGGACTACAGGCACACATCACCATACCTGGCTATTTTTGTACTTTTAGTAGAGACAGGGTTTCACCATGTTGGCCAGGCTGGTCTCAAACTCCTGACCTCAAATGATCTGCCTCCTCAGCCTCCCAGAGTGCTGGGATTACAGGCATGAGCCACAGTGCCCTGCCTTATTTACTTTAGTTCAAATGTTTATCACCACTATAGCCTGAGGATGACCCATTTTGGGCTCTTTTCAGGATGAACTACAAGAATAAATACTAGCTAGAAGTTATGGTTGATATGATTTGGATGTTTGTCCCCTCCAAATCTCATGTTGAAATGTGATTCCCAATGCTGAAGGTGGGGCCTGGTAGGAGGTGATGGGATCATGCGGGTGGATCCCTCATGAATGGTTTGGCACCATGTCCTTTGTGATAGGTGAGTTCTCACTAAGTCCATGCAAGATCTGGTTGTTTAAAAGAGTCTGGGACCTCTCCCTTTTCTCTCTTGCCCCTGCTGTCATCATGTGATGGACCTGCTCCCATTTGCCTTCCACCATGATAGTAAGCTTCTTGAGGATGCGCCAGAAGCAGACACCAGCGCCATGCTTCCTGTATAGGCTGAAGAACCATAAGCCAAAATAAATTTTTGCTTATGAATTACCCAGCCTCAGATGTTTCTTTATAGCAATCTAAGAATGAATTGACACAATGGTAGTGCATAAATTGTGATGTTATGAGTTGGAATGAATGGAAAATAGTGTTAACAGGTTTTCAGTGAAAGGGATAAAGAAGGATACTGTATTTATTGCAGGCTCACTCTCTTAGTCTATTTGTGCTGCTATACCAAAATACAATAGATGGGGTAATTTATAAAGCATAAAAATTTGTTTGCTTACAGTTCTGGAGGCTGAAAAGTTCAAGATGAATGCACTGGCAGGTTCAGTTTTCTGGAAAGGGAAGCTTTCTTCCAAGATGGTTATTCCGGAGGGGAGGAACCCTTTGCCCTCACATGGCAGAAGGCAGAAGAGCAATTATCCAAATGCTGTGTGAAACATTTTTTAATAAGGTCCTTAATCTCATTTACCTGGGAGGAGTCCTTATGGCCTAATCACCTCTTAAAAGCCCAATTTCTTAATAATATCACATTGCCAACACCTGAATTTTGAAGGGGACACATTTTAACCATAATATTCTACCCTGGCCCCTCTCCCAAATTTATGTCCTCTCACATGCAAAATACATTGATTCCATCCCAGTAGCCCAGTCTAAACTTGTTCTAGCATCAACTCAAAGTCTAAAATCCAGAGTCTCATCTAAATCCTCTATGGGTGAGACTCAAGGCATAATTCATGTCAAGGCAAATTGCTCTCCTGCTATGAACCTGTGAAGTTAAACAAGTTATGCGCTTCTAAAATATTAATACGATGATGGGACTGGGCGCAATGGCTTATGCCTGCAATCCCAGCACTTTGGGAGGCCGAGGCAGGTGTATCACTTGAGGCCAGGAGTTCGAGACCAGCCTGGCCAACATGACAAAACCCTGTCTCTACCAAAAATAGAAAAAAATCTGGCTGGGCGTGGGGGCAGGCACTTGTAATCTCAGCTACTCAGGAGGATGAGGCAGGAGAATCGCTTGAACCCAGGAGGTGGAGGTTGTGGTGAGCCGACGTCATGCCACTGCATTCCAGCCTGCGTGACAGAGCGACATTCTGTCTCAAAAATAAAGTAAAATACAATGATGGGACAGACATAGGATAGACATTTCCATTCCAAAAGGGAGAAATAGCAAAGAAGAAAGGGGTAACAGGTCCCAAGTAAGTCTAAAACCCAACAAGGCAAACATTAAATCTTAAGACTTGAAAGTAATCTTTTACTTCATATCTTCTTCAAGACATACTCAGCTGGGTTGGGTCTCCAAGCCTCCAGGAGACCCTTCTATGACAATATTGTTGAGCATAGCCCATGAAGCAGCTCTCGCGGGCTGGAGTTCAGCCCTTGTAGCTCTCTCAGGCTGGAGTTGCATGCTGTGGCTCTACAATAATGGGATTTTATGAGTGAACCTGCCCCCATGGCTGCACTAAGGATTGCCCTACTGGGGACTCTCTGCAGTGGCTCTGACCCCACAGTTCCACTAGTCATTGCACTAGTGAAGGGTCTCTGCCATGGTCCTACCTCTGTGGCAAGCAAGTTCATGCCTAGGTCCCAAGGCTGCCTGAGACATCCTTTGAAATCTAGGCGGAAGCAGCTGTGTCTCACAGCTCTTGCACTCTGTAAGCCTCAGAATTACGACCATATGGAGGCTGCCAGGGTTTACAGCTGCAGCTGGGTCCACTCAAGCCACAGCTGGGGAGGCTGAGGAATGCCGTAACAGAATGTGGGGAGCAGAGACTTGAGATTGCCCTGGGCAGTGAGTCCCCAGATCCCCCAGGCACCCTGGGCCCCTTCCTCAAAACCATTCTGCCCTCAAAGCCCTAGCACTCTGGGCCCATGATGGGAGGGGCAGCCTCAAAGATCTTCAAAATGTGTTTAGAGCCATTGGTGCATTGTCAATGGCTCCTGGCTTTCTTCTAAAGCACCTGGCTTTCTTCTATCCATACTAATCTCCTTACCAAACAGTCACTTGGTCATGCACTTGGTTTTCTCTTCTAAACGCACTTAATTTTTATTCTCCACATGTCCAAGCTGAAAATTTCCCAAATGCTCACAATTTGAATTAATGGAAAATTCAGAATTTACTCCACCAAATAGTCTAGTTAATTGCTCTTAAGTTCTGCATTTCACAGAGTCCTAGGACAGGACAGAATTCAGCATAATTCTTTGCCATTTTATAACAAAGACGGCCCTTCCTCTAGCTTCCAGTACCCTGTTCCTTATGTCCATCTGAGATCTCAACAGAATAATCTTTACTGTTCATGCTTATACCAACATTCTGTTCACAAACACTTAAGTAATCCATAAGGAAGTCAGGCTTTCTCTAGTCTTCTGCTTCTTCTTAGCCCTCACCACAATTGCCCTTAATGTTCTGTTCATGACGGTACAGGCTTTTTCCAGCATTTACCCATTACCATTCCAGCTTCTACCCATTACCCAATTCCAAAGCTGTTTCTACATTTTTAGGTATTTATTACAGCATCATCCCATTCTTCTGGCACCAATTTCTGCCTTTGTTGTTCCTATAACAAATACCATTGATTAGGTAATTTATAAAGAATAGAAATTTATTTTCTCACAGTCCTGGAGGCTAGAAAGTTCAAGATTAAAGCACCAGAAGATTCTGTTGTCTGTGGTGCTGGCTGCTCTCCACTTCCAAGATGGTTTCTCTGGAGGGGAATATTGCTGTGTTTGCACGTGGTGGAAGGCAGAAGGGCCAGCTACCTGAATGCTGTGTGAAGACTCTTTTATAAGGGCCTTGATCACATTCATGAGGGAGGAGTCCTCATGGCCTAATCATCTCTTAAAGGCTATACCTCTTCACACTATCACATTGGCAACACCTGAACACATTTCAACCATAGAACTCTCCTTGATTAGACCTTCCATGGCTAGGAAACAGGGAGGGTATAGGAGAATTCAAGCCACTGTGGGCTTTTAGCTCCTCTGTTCAGTACAATATTGTATGGGTCTGGCAAGGACAAAGTAGTGTGGCTTAGTGAGCCCTTGCAAAATGAATGTATCCAGAGGAACTATATGTTAAATCTATAAATGATGAGATTCCTGCCAAGCTTTTTTTGAATTAAAGTCCCGAATATGCGGGAAATAAGAATGTTCATTAATGCAATAAGACATTTCTAAATGAATGTTACAAATCAAACAGCCTTTGCTTTTATTGCTTCTAGGGAATTATAGCCACCATCATTTTGTGGCTCTGTGCTTGTAAAATACAGTACATCTTTATATTATACTTTCCAGAGTAAAAGGGTGTGTGGTTTCTGTCCACAGTGACAGACATGTTTTCTTGAACAACACCCAGGAAAGGTCACATTGGAGATTTGAGTCTCAAGCCCTATGATTTAAATTTAAGGCTAAGTTTATAATTGGCACGTCTAGAGCTTGCCAAGCTCCATTAAAAGCCATGGTGTCATTTTGGATTACAGTTAAATAGAACAGGACCCCATGGGATCGTGTACCTCTCTTGGTAGCAGTACGTTGATTTTCTTTGTACTATGACCTGGCTGTGTTGTTAGGTTAGGTGTCTACTTTCACACCAAATCCTGGAAAATAATGTCTAATTTCATGAACCTATGTTTTTCTAAAGTATATCATATTCTGGCTTTTCAATTATAATAGAATTTCTGTAAATGCCTAATCATGTCTCTCTGTTTACTTATAGTTGATCTTAAATGCTACTTTCTTCACTGAAGCCTTCTTGATTCCATTCATCCCCAACAGAAAGGATCTCCAATTCCTCTGAGCTTCATAGCACGTTTTCCATCACTGATACCACCCATGATCTGTTATACAACAATACTACTAATATTTCCTAACTTTTTTTTTTTTTTTTGAGACAGAGTCTCACTTTGTCACCCAGGCTGGAGTGCAGTGGCACGATCTCAGCCCACTGCAACTTCCACCTCCCAGGTTCAAGCAATTCTCCCTGCCTCAGCCTCCTGAGTAGCTGGGATTACAGGCATGCACCACCATACCTGGCTAATTTTTGTATTTAGTAGAGACGGGGTTTCATCATGTTGGCCAGGCTGGTCTCGAACTCCTGACCTCAGGTGATCTGCCTGCCTTGGCCTCCCAAAGTGCTGGGATTATAGGCGTGAGCCACTGCATCCCGCCAACATTTCCTAACTTTTGATGAGTTCTTATTGTATGTTACTCAGTGCACAAAGCACTTTATGTGGCTTCTCTTACTTAATCCTCGAACAGCCTTTGCGGGAAATACATCCTGCAGATAAGGAGGCTAAGTTATACAGTTTTAGTACCTTGCCCAAGGTCATACAGCCAGGAAGTAATGAAGCAGGAACACCCCCGCCAGTTTGGTTTCAGACCCCATTATTACAAACACCTACTGGTACCACCTTCTTATGGTTTTTGACATCCTAGTTGTATCTCTTTACAAGACAGTTAAGATGCTTGACTAAAAGGCTATCTTGATTATTGCAGTGTTCCTGGAATTTTCCAACTTATTGTTTGGCTCATAAGTATATAATGAATAGTGGCTGAATGAATGTTTAAAAATTGTCATTAGGATTTTATAAAAACTGGGCCTACTAGTTTAGGCATTTAATCTGAAAATTTGGTTGTTGGTTTTTTTGTTTGTTTGTTTTTGTCTTTGTTTTTTTTTTGAGAGAGTCTCACTTACTTGCCCAGGCCCGAGTGCAGTGGTGCAATCTTGGCTCACTGCAGCCTCCACCTCCTGGGTTCAAGTGATTCTTATGCCTCAGCCTCCCGAGTAGCCAGGATTAATAGGTGTGCACCACCACACCTGGCTAATTTTTGTTTTTTGTTTTTGTTTTTGAGACGAAGTCTCGCTCTGTCACCCAGGCTGGAATGCAGTGGTACGATCTTGGATCACTGCAAGCTCTGCCTCCCGGGTTCACACCATTCTCCTGCCTCAGCCTCCCAAGGAGCTGGGACTACAGGCACCCGCCACCATGCCCGGCTAATTTTTTGTGTTTTTAGTAGAGACGGGCTTTCACAGTGTTAGCCAGGATGGCCTCCATCTCCTGACCTCATGATCCACCCACCTCGGCCTCCCAAAGTGCTGGGATTACAGGCATGAGCCACCGCACCTGGCCAATTTTTGTATTTTTTGTAAAGACAGGGTTTCACCACATTGGCCAGGCTGGTCTTGAACTTCTGGACTGAAGTGATCTGCCCGCCTTGGCCTCCCAAAGTGCTGGGATTATAGGCGTGGGCCACCGTGCCCTGCCTGAAAATGTGTTTCTGAGTGGTATGAAGTAAACAGAATGCTAGTGTATGAGGTTTTAAGAAGAGTTGCTATTCATTTCACATTCCTCTCACTTAGTTTAGATCCATTGGTTCAAGTCTTTTTTCTTCATTCTTTGTCAAGCTCACCTTTCTTCTGTCATGCAAAGATAAACTAGCTCTGTTTTCCTCTGTTCTTTTTCCTTTTTCTTTGTGTAATAATCCTAGGCTCTGGTTCTGTAGAATTTGAAAATACCATCAATCGTTTTCCCTTGTTTCTTTATTCATGACTGAAGCTTTTGTGGCCAAAAATCCAATAAACTAAAAATTTCAAAAGTTATGCATGACCTTCCTGGCTCCATCATTTTCTAGTCTCTCTAAGGGACTTTTGGTCCTGCAGTGGGGCCATGAGCTAAAAGGTTCAGGACAGACAAAAGTCTATGGCATCCAAAGCTATCATTTCAAGGGATGTGTTGAAGCATTTATTTGGTGAGCAGTAGCCCTGCAACACAGTGTGAGAGTGGGTACTGGGACAGCTGGTGGTGGGTAAGTTGCAGGGGGTCTCTGTGTTGCACTGGAACCATCAGAAACAAATATAGAGATAGCTGACTAAAAATGAGAATGGAAATCCAACTAGAGCCCTCGCTTTGTCACCCTCAGCCATTAAGGTGAATGTAGCCACAAAGAGATACAGTAATATCACTCAGTAATAGCCATAGAGGATGTGGGCTCAGTTCCTGATGCAATCAGGAAAACTAAGTGTTCTCATTCATCAGGACAGTGGAGGAACTGTGGGTCACATGGATGGGCCAGAGGAAGATGAGAAGTTTGCAGTGCCAGCCTTGATGTAGCGCTGCATGTAATCCCACACCAAACACAAAGGAGCTTCTCAGTTTCCAGCAAGTTCTCTCTTTGTCTAAGGAAGAAAAGTTGGTAGAAAAAAATATACTGCTTAAAGCTGGGCATTTGTATTTATGTGGGCCTGACTGAATAAGATGATATTTAATATAAAACTAAAGTAAATTAGGCAAGACAAGTTCTTAATTAATTAGTAATATTTGAATTAATTTAGTATGTTGCAGCATTATCTGTTCTCTTGTCAGTTCTGTTTGGGAAATATTTTTCTAAATCACCAAGGCTACAGAGTGAGATGAGGGAAAGTACCTGCCCTAAGGCCTTTGAACTTTGATGGTTACAGGTTCTAAGCCTGAGGTCAGCAATCTGTGCATTTTTTTCTCATCTGTAAAATGGAGCCAATACTTTTCAATTGCAGTGTTGTTTGTATTAAAGATCCCAGATTTAAAAGCCACTTGCACAGTGCCTTATATCTGGTAGACACTCAGTAAATACTGTCACTGTTCTTGTGCTCATACCCTGCCCACAGTTATTCAATCCCAGCCTAGATAAGAGGAAAAGCAGAGGTTTGCTTAGTTATAAATACTCCTGACTTTTAGAAATTTCTAAATACGATATTGAAAGGTTAGTGTCCCACTCTGCCATTGATGAATAAGATGATTTAGGGTACAAAATTGATAATAGAAATTAATAACATCATGCTGATAACACATATAAGTGATAATAATACCATTACAGGCAGTAATGGTACTTTAGACATATCCTAACGGTGTGCTTTTCTTTGCTTCCAGAAGCCTCTGATATGTCAGAACCATGCTGTCTTCCATGAGACTTCCTTTGTGAAGAGCATCCATTTAAAAGACTTTTATGAATACATGGTTTCAATCAAGTCCCCAGAGAACACATTTGTCTTCTGAGCTGCTGGCAGTTTTGAGGTTTGTGTTAATTTTTTCATTTTTCTTACTGAAGATACTAAGTTTGAGGGATATTTTTTAATGGAAAATATTTGTACTCTATTTCAATTAGAACTCTGGGGGTAGATTTTAAACAGATTTTCATTTCTTAATTTCATTGAAAGTTAGATTTAAATGAAAATAAATATCTTGTCATACTTATTTATGTATACCCTGTGGAATGTAACAAGGATATTAGAAATAAAATATACCCCACATTGACTTAAAACAAATTTTATTTTTGTGTTTATAAATTCTAACTGAATAGATTCAATAAATTTATGCCAAGCATCTACATATATCAGATTTAGTTAAGTACTTTCAATTGTTTAAGACCTTGTGGATAAATTATATTTTGAAACGTTGAAAATCAAAACTGAATTTGTCAATATCAACTAGTATTATCATTTTTCAAATTATAAAAACTCAGTGCCCTGAATGTTTTCATTTAGTTCTACCAGAGGATATTCACCCTATGATTTATAAATGATAGAATAGGGCTTGTTTGGGGTTTTGTGTGTGTGTGTGTGTATGTGTATTAACAGTTTGAAAAATTACTAACAATATTGTTGCTTACTCAAGGAAAAAGCTTGCTAGTAGAGCAAGCATTTCATTTTGGAAATACATGTTTGCTATTGAGATAGTACCAAGTAAAACACTTTTATTTTGAAGGTACTTTCTGACAAAGACCTAACCAAAGGCTAAATTCAGTCCATGCATCTTTCAAAGCTGGAAAAGGAAACAGGATATAGGATAAGGCTTGGTACATTGAGTGGATGAAAACTAAATGAAGAGCAAAGGAGAAGGAACACAGTACTTTCTAGCATGACACATCTTTTCCCATAGGCATTTATTTCATTTGGTGGTACTTTTATTCTGTCCACGGTGACAAATGCTTTCTCTCTTAGTAGCCCTTTACTGTGGTTCTACTTTTTTTATTTCTTTTATTTCTACTAAGAATCAAAGTAGATGTTACTGTAGTGCTGGGCTAGACTCCAGTTTTCCCACTGTACCCTTCGCTGTTGGGCC
This sequence comes from Homo sapiens, assembly GCF_000001405.40. Taxonomy (NCBI): domain Eukaryota; kingdom Metazoa; phylum Chordata; class Mammalia; order Primates; family Hominidae; genus Homo; species Homo sapiens. Next base: position 43,482,961 of record NC_000013.11, on the reverse strand, counting down.
TCATGATTAACCCCCATTGAACAGTGAGGCAGGGGGTATTTACTAGGGTATGGGGTAGATGAGAAGTTGTGCCTCCATCCTCAGCTCTCTAGCCTGTCAATTCAGTAGGATATCACAGTGTGCTGGAACCTAATAACTGTATCCATAGAAACAGAAGTGCTGGGAAGGACGTGAGAAGTTACCTAAATGCTCCTCCCTAGTCTACAAGCAAGATTCTGCGTGAACTGTCTGAAACCAATAAAAATCCATTTGTTTTCAAACCTTCATACCCAGGGATCCAATTTCCTTTTTTTCTTAGTTTTTTTTTTCATTTATTGTGGTTAAAACACACACACACAAAATATGAAATCTACCCTTTAACAAATTTTTAAGTCCATACTTTAGTGTTGTTAACTCTCTGCATGTTGTACAGCAAATCCTTACAATTTTTTCATCTTGCTTAACTAAAGTGCTATACCTGTTGTAAAGCAACTCCCTGTTTCTCCTCCCTTCAGCTCTGGCAACTACAATTTTACCTTATTCTATGAGTTTGACTACTTTAGGTACCTCATATGAATGAAATCATGCAGTACTTGTCCTTCGGTGACTGGCTTGTTTCACTTAGCATAATGACCTTAGTTTATCCATGTTGTCACATATGACAGGATTTTCCTTGTTAGGCTTAATAATCTTCTGTTCTACATATAGACCATATTTACTCATTCATTTGTCAGTGGGCATTTAGGTTCTTTCCACATCCTAGCTATTGCGAATAATGCTGCAGTGAACATGAGTGTGTAAATATCTCTACAAGATCCTGTTTTCAGTTTTTTTGATATGTACCCAGAAGTGAAATTGCTGGATCATATGGTAGTTCTATTTTTAATTTGTGGAGGAATCTTCATACTGCACAGCAGAAGTACCAGTTTGCATTCTCACCCTCAGTGTACAAGGGTTCCAATTTCTCCACAACTTTGCTAACCCTTGTCTATTATTTTAAATAATAACCATCTTGAGGTGATACTTCGTTGTGGTTTTGATTTGTATTTCCCTGATAATTAGTGATTTTGAATATCTTTCATGTATCTGTTGACCATTTGTATGTCTTCTTGGGAGAAATGTCTATTCAAGTCCTTTGCCCATTTTTAAATTATATTATTTGGATATTTTGCAGTTGAGTTGTAGGAGTTTATTACATATTTAATATATTAACCCCTTATCAGATATATGGTTTGCAAATTTTTTCCCATTCTGTAAGTTGCCTTTTCACTCTATTGATTGCTTCCTTTGCTGCATGGAAGCCTTTTAATTTGATATAATTCTACTTGTCTGTGTTTGTTTTGTTACCTGTTCTTTTCTTGTGATATCTAAGAAATCACAGCCAAGACCAAATATGGAGCTTTTTCCCTGGGTTTTCTTCTACTAGTTGTGTAGTTTCAAATCTTATATTTAATTCTTTAATTCATTTTGGGTTGGTTTTGGTGTCTGGTATAAAATAAGGATCCAGTTTTATTCTGTGGCATGTGGATATACAGTTTTCCCAGCACAATTTATTGAAGAATAAGTTCTTACACTTTTGTGGAGTCTTGGAACCCTTGTTGAATATAATTTGATCCCATATATATATGGGTTTATTTCTGGACTCTCTATCCTCTTCCATTGGTCCATATATCTGCCTTTATGTCAGTACCATGCCATTCTGACTATTGTAGCTTTATATATTACAATTTTTTCATCTTGCATGACTGAAACTCTGTATATAATATATAGAGAGTTTGTTGTTACATTTCGACATCGGGAAGTATGAGGCTTCCAAATTCAACAGCATACTGCATACTGCTGTTGAATTTGGTTTGCTAGTATTTGTTGCTAGCAAAAAGTTGCTAGTATTTTGTTGAGAATTTTTGCACTTACATTCATCAGGGATATTGGCCTGTAGTTTTCTTGTGGCATGGTTGACTTTGGTATCAGGCTTATGCTGGCTTTATAAAATGAGTTAGGAAATGTTCCATCCTTTTCAATTTTTTAGAAGAGTTTGAGAAGGATTAGCATTAGTTCTTTAAATGTTTGGTAGAATGATCTGGTGAAGCTATCTGATATAGGACTTTTCTTTGTTGGAAGATTGCTAACTACTGACTCAATCTCCTTACTAGTTATGGGTCTGTTTAGGCTTTCTATTTTTTCTCTATTTAGTCTTGGTAGGTTGTGTGTTTCTAGAAATGTATCTGTTTCATCTAGGTTATCTAACTGGTTGGCATATCATTGTTCCTTGTAGTCTCTCATAATCCTTTTTATTTCTGTGATATCAGTGATATCAGTTGTAATGTCTCCTCTTTCATTTATGATTTCAAGTCTTTCTCAAGAAAGCCAATGTAATTTCTGAGCTCATATCATGTTAATTTATTTCTGCTTCCATTGAAAAAGAAAATTTATTGGTCAGACTTCCCCTGTATCATCCTAGTCTCAGTTTTTAAATCATCCTTTTTCTCTTTGGGAGAGATAAGCCCATTTTTAAAACTTTTCCTATAAATCTGCATAATCCAAAATTTTAATTATCCTCACAGTTCTTTCCTGAGTCTCTTAAGTTCCCTACATTTCACTTAAGTTTTAGAGGCCAAATAGGTTGAAGGAACATTGAAAATCATCTATTGATGTTTCTTCATCAGGGCAGTATTGGCATTTTAAGTGGGACAGTTCTTTGTGATGCAAGGTTGTCCCATGCATGTTTAGAATGTTTAGTAACCAGCCAGGTGCAGTGGCTCATGCCTAGAATTGAAGCACTTTGGGAGGCCGAGGCGGGTGGATCACCTGAGGTCAGGAGTTCAAGGCCAGCCTGGCCAACATGGTGAAATCCCATCTCAACTAAAAATACAAAAAAATTAGCTGGGCATGGTCGTGGGTGCCTGTAATCCCAGCTACTTCAGGAGGCTATGGCAGGAAAATGGCTTGAACCCGGGAGGTGGAGGTTGCAGTGAGCCAAGATCACGCCATTGCACTCCAGCCTGGGCAGCAAGAGAACAGCTCTGTCTCAAAAAAAAAAAAATAAAAATAAAAATAAATAAAAGAATGTTTAGTAACCACGGTTCTCAGGAACCAAAAGCCAACATCTCCCCCAACCCCAGTTATTGTAATAACCAGACTCAAACCTTCTTTCCCTTGTCCAGCAGTGGAGGTCTGCAACTGCCCAGACTACAGAAACTTCACTTAGAGCTGACAGTGCCCAAATGGGCAGAAAGATGGAGCTGGGTGTAGCCCCCTTTTTCTAACTCCGGGTACCATTCTCTTTCCATTCTATTGCACTTCTACTCTGAGATTACATTTATTTTTTAGCTGCCTAGAAATACACTAACATACATAAATGGATGGATAGACTCTTTCGAAGAACGAGAAATTCTGGTTTGGTGTTTAAAGGAGATCATTTTTCTTGATATAGGAACATGGATGAGGGAAAGATAATATTAGAACTCAGTACAGGAAAATGGCAGAGAGAGGACAGCTGTTGGATATGGAGATGGAGACAGGCTTGGACCTCAGGAGAAGTGGTGGGGCTGATGCCACAAAGGTGGCCGGTCAGTTACTGAGAACGGAAAGGGTAGAAAATCTGAAATCTGCAAGATGACTGGGAAAAGGTAAGTAATAAAGTAGTAGTTGTTTTTTTCACTTGCTTTTCACCAAGCACCATAGTTTCAGCTGTCTGCTCTAGGCCACAAGCTTCCTCAGAAAATCAAGGATCGGTTTGTGGGGAGCTCAAAGAACCCTTGATTACAGCCTAACTGCTCTCTCCCTTTAGTCCCAACATCCTTGGCCTCACCTCCTGCCATCCCCCTCAACACTTCTGCCTTCTGCCTCACTTACTTACTGTTGCCAACACCCAGTTCCATCTTTATGCATGCGGAGTATGGGGAAATGACTTGACAACTTCTGTTTCTCCTGATTTCTCCAAGGGCTCAAGTAAAGTTATAAACTAAAAGGAGAGGACATAGAAACAATTGACCTTTGGGGAGTTTCTCCTCCAAAGGCTTGGGGAATTTCTCCCCCGAAATGGCTCTGACCTCTTGAGGCTTTTACCGTAATATAATATGAATACAGCCTCTCCATGAAAAACCAAATTATCATTCACTACTATTTTCTTTGGGTTTAAGAAATCATTGAATTCCCCAGTACACAGGTTACTTAATAATAAAATGAGAAGAATTCATGAATTAACAATACAGTTTCCAGTAGGGGTATCTCAATTTTTATAGTGGGATTACAGTGAGTATCTGCCTCAGCTTCCACAAAATACACACAGTGAGTACAGTGTTGAAAATGAGAACTGGACTAAAGGGTCCTTTTCTTTGATTTCTAGTAAAATGAGGAATACTACATGATAAGATGTATCATCTATGAAAAGGCTACATTTATGGGAATAGAAAAAATAATATCAAAAGACTTTCATTATGTTGTGTTATTTAATTATTTAAAGCTTTATGAGTGAGTTCCTGAGTCAGGTTTTTAAAATATGGGGATTTTTCTGTCTTGTCTTCTTTTTTGCATACGACATCAAGTTATATTTGGCTTCTCAGAATTTCTCATTTCCTGAAATGCACTACTAGCTGTATAAACATGGAAGAATAAATATTAGCTTTATGAGAACACGTTCCTCTACTAGTTGAAAAATAGCATATAATAAAAAATACAAGGATGTAATACTGAAAATTATAGATCAATATGCCCTCTTATTGTGGGCGTATATCTAATCCTCATGCACGGAGTCTGTTTTTTCAGAAAAATGCCCACTGTATAATACCACTTGTGTCTGTGATTTATTTCTACCCCTCATATTTAATAATATATCTTAAGTGACTCTTGCCTTACTAGTGAAATGTTTCAGGCTTATTTTCCACTGTGATTTAAAAAATGAAAAAAAAAAAAAAAAAAAAAAAAAACCTCTCTGGCTCCTTGCCATTAATCCTAAGAATTACACATGATCCAAAATTAATAAAATGTTAGTAGGTTTCCTTCCTGCTGGAGTCCCCCAGCACCCAGTGAATGAGCTCCTTGGGGATTATGTTTGAAAATGTTTATTGGCAATTTTGAAAGAAAAGGAAGTCTTTGCGAGGAGCTTAAAAAAGTAATATTAATTGCAATGTTGCCCAGCTAATCAACACTTGTAAGTGTGCAAATTGTTATTCCAAAATCCAGACTCTATAAACATTTGTAGAAACAATGAAAACTTGGCATCTATTAACTGTGTCCCTTAAACCTCATATTCACACCCCATAAAGAAAAAAAAGAGTAACTCAAATAAATAGTGTATGAGTTGAAACATTCTTTTAAAGCTGGAGGACTCAATATAACTACATTCAGATAATTCACTTCCACCTGAAAATGACCATTCATTTGCCAAAAGTGCCACTGACTTCTCATTGCAAGGATAGTCTTTTCTTCTACAGTAAGTCTCCATTGTTTCTCTTTCTGAAGATGGAAAATAATCAGCCTTGTATATTCTCAGCTCAGCTCAGAAATAAGAAAGTTAGACTTACTAGAACAGCTCCTTCTAATTGTCTCAATTTCTACAGCTTTCTTTTTTTAGACAACAAATTTCAAAAAAATGTTAATTTTTATTGTCAAGTAGCTTAAACCTACAGAAAAGAGCAAAGCGTATGTATTCACCCCCATATTTAAAAATTTTAAAATGTTCTTCAGATATCTACTTCTCCTTTCCCAGAGGTACTATCATGATAATAAGGTTGTTGTATATTATACCATTTATCACATATATAGTTATAATTAATCTCTCTATATATATGTGTGTATACTATATATATATATGTATGTGTATATATATGTATACACACATATATATGTGCAATATTTTTTAAGTTTACATAGATGGGATCATACTGAATATATACCTTTGGAACTTGTTTTTTCTCAATTTTTTTTTTATTTTTTTAGAATCTCTCTCTTAATATATGGAGATCTGTTTCATTCATAGTGGTTAATTGTTGTATAGTTTTCCACAAATGAAGTATGTTCACTTTCTCATAATAGAACCAGTCTGTTGCTTTTTCTGGACAATTACCTGCCTGCACCCACCCATCTCCTCTTTTACAGTGGATATATGAGGTGACTGTATGATGCTGCTATGTCCCACCTACCATAGAAGAGGCACTTGGGAAATATCTGTTCCGTACATTCTGCTACAAAAACCTCTCACTTCCTTCTTCCTAACAGTGCTTCTGTTTTGTTGTTTCTGTTGAATGTGCCTCTATCCTTTTCTATTGATTTTTCCATGAGTAGTTTCTAATGTAGCTTTACTCGTTATATCTCAATCAACTATAATTGTGTCTGAAGAGTGGGAAATGACAAGGGAAACAGAACAAAGACAAACTAGAGAGAGTAAAAGAAGGAAGAAGGGGTTATTTCCCGCCTTTAGCTTCTAAGGGTTCAGTTGGTGTCCAGGAGAGTTACTTTTTGAAGTACATTTGCACATTCTTTTACACTTCATTATCTGGGAGGTCAGCTAGTTTTTGAGGCCTTTTCTCTTCCATTAGACAAATAAAAAATTTCTTTTTGTCTCTTTGTTTCAGAACCACATTAGAAAAATATGCACTTTTTTTTAAAGTTTAGTATGTTGTTAAAGGTTCCAGATGTATCTCAAGTTAAATGTTGTTTAGTGTCTGGTACCTTCACTAAATGAGAGCTATCAGAAATTCTCAAGTGAATACATATTTGTATTTTTGGTAGATTTTAGGCTTGTTTTATGGAGCGTTATACCTAGCATGTGCTCAATAAATCTTTTTTTGAATTACTGAATGAATAAACAAAGTAACAAATATTTGTAGCGATTACAGTAATATTTGTAGAGGTTACATGGTCATTTGACTTGGAGAGATATTAAAGTTTCTATTAATCATCTTTCATCTATTGAAACACTCTAACACTTCAATGCTTAGACCTCCTGTAATTGAAAACTGAGGTCTATAAACAAATATAAGATTAGAGTTAACTGAGACCATCCATTCCCAAGAGTTATTAAAATTAAGGTCTGTGTTTAAGGTTCCCACCTTATTTAGGGCTCTAAAAAAGTGTCCTTTATGGTAAAATTTTAAGAGCTGTATATCTTAGAGTTTAGGCTCTTCTCAAATTCTGTTTTGCTATTCTAAGAGATTAAAGCCTTTCTTTTTTTTTTTTTTTTTTTTTGGTCAGTTATGTTTTTGTATATGATTGTGGCCTGGGCCAATGCCACCACTAAGAAAATGGAACTTTTAAAAATTCAAGAGTAAAAGCCACTATTTCTAGAACTGACACAGCCCTTCCTAGGTTCAATCATTACCCCTTTAAATTATTTATTCCCTTCCATATCTGGAAATTATTAGGCTGTAAATGATCTCACCACTTCTCAAATATGATTTCGTTTATGAAAAGATTAATTAATAAGTATTGAGAACTTCCTTTGATTTTCCTTAGCAATGCTCTGGTCTTTTCTGAAAGTTGAGTTTATAGGATTTCCCTCTCCTTAATCTTCATTTTTGTTGTATTTGATGGAATTCTACTAAGCTACAGTATTTATGCCAAGTTTCATTTTCAGCAGACTTTCATAATTGAGCCTAAATCCTCAGAAAATAGAGTTCCTATCAGAAATGTTGGCACACGTTCCCTATTGCTGCTCCGCTGGCCATCTCCACACTGCTTAGGCTGTTGTGGACATGTGGAATCAGCAGGGAAATGCTTTTCACTTTTAGCTCACATATGTTTTTAAGTAGAATTTTTCTGTAGTGGTACTGATATCCCCAGTATGAGATTAGTAGTACTATTTTCTTAATGGTCAAATTTTGATATTTATCAATAGCCATCATAATGATAGATCTGCTGATGGCATCTGGCACATTAATTTGTAAATGTGGTAGAATTCCAACACCGTGTAAACTCTTTCTGGTGGATTTTACTTTAGAAAATCAACTCACTGCTCTTCCAATCTGTCTGCCTTCAAGTTGTTGCATGAGGATTCATCTCAAATCACCAGCAAACCTGCAACTTCTTTACCTCCTTCTCCCTTTCTCTGTGGGTAGGCCCATTCTCTCAGGAATACCAGACAAGAGGGTCAAGCTACCGAGAAACATGAGAAAACATGTCTAGTAATAGACCTGCTGAAATCACTCTATATTTGTTTTTCTTTTCTTTTTACATCAGGGTCCATATTAATTTTTCTTAAAAAGTAATAGTTAGACCACCAATGGCTTAGCAGGAGGAAGATTGGTCATGGTATTGGATTCTAAATTTTTCAAATACAGTTTGAGAAAATATTCATCAAACTTTGAAATAGAATAAAGAAGAGTGAGAAAAGTAAGTGTAGGTCTTAATTCCAGTGAGAGGAATCAGCAACTTCGTTTCAAATACATTGAAACCTGAATTTGGAATCTTTCATACAGAAACTGCAAAGCAAAATTTAAGGATAAGCAATGCATTATTCCCAAAAGTGTTGAGAAGACAAAATTAGATTAACAGGTCTAAGCAAAAAACAAAGCTAGTAAGTGTTAGAAACTTAGAAAAATCTTAAATTTCAAGTGTGCTCTTAATACTTGAGACATAGACATAAATAATTAAGCACAAAGAGTCTCAAGGATGCTTGTATAAGAGACAAAATTAATATAGGGAAGCCTCCTTAATTAGGGTGAACTAGGGAGAGAGCACACTTGTTGGAAGTAGGTGATGTTTCATTTCAAGGGCAGTTGTACACTCTCAAGTAAATCCAATAATATAAGCTTGTTCCTGATGGGAACCTCAACAACAACAAAAACCCTCGCTATCTTGCTTCACGAATATCTAATTTTCCCCTATGAGTTTTGCTCCAGGATGATACATAGTGGAAGGAATCACAACAGTTTGGCCTTTCACCATCTTAAGCAACTTGTATTAATTTTAAAAACCTAAGCCAGTGGTAAACTTAATTTGAATATAGATGTCCTAATATACTTTTTTGACAAATTCATTACTATTAAAAGGATGTTTTAAGATTACAGGTGTATTGGTGCTGTAGCCCAGAATGATGATTTCCAAGTGACGATGTTCATTTACATATAGCATTTTATTTCCCGTTAACAGTTAGGATTTACTCAAGGAGAAGAATAATAAGACATTAAAGTGCAGGGCACCTGACTTCCTGCTTCTGTCTCCATTCAGAGAAAGAGGTTACAGAGTACAGACATCCCAGCACCCCTAGCACAGGAGAGATAAGGGGAGGAAAAGATAAGGACTAGGAAGGGAGATTGCCAACCAGCTTTCTCTTCCCTATTAACCCAAAATTTGGCATGCAGCCAGTGTTTCTTTAATTTTTTCTTTAGCTTCTATTGATAGCCCAGAGATGAGTGCGTATGCTGGAGTTAGGAGAGGGACTTCCCTTTTAAATAGACACAAGAGAACTGCATATTTTTATGAAAAGGACATTTTTGAAGTTCTTTCCTAAAATGTGGACAACACTTGAATAAATACTATAGGCAAACATTTTCAAGATAAAATTTCTGAGATCATTTCCACTCATTTAGAATTTTTCACACACACAAAAGACTGTTAGTTACCGAACAATGCCATCACTGTTAGAAATTCCATCCTAAATTTTAGCAGAGAATGTGTAATCCCCCCAAAAAAGAAAAGTTAAGGGAATAGAATGTATTTTTCATTTAATTTAAAATAACTTTTTGTTGTTTTAAAATTCTGGATAAAAATCCATTAGTCATAGTTTCTTAGAATTATCACAAGAATATATATTCAACAAGCCAAAGGATGACAGTCATAGTAGGATGAAACAATGTTCAACATTCTACAGCTCAGTTTGCTCATCAGAAAGATTACTAAATTGAGAGACGATGTGAAGAAATTCCACTTGCTTGGAAAATATCTGTTTATAAAAATGATAATACAAGACCCATAGAAAATATAATTTATGAAAACCTATTTTCATTTCTGCCCTTCTTAGCAAAGTGAGACATAACCCACTTAAGAAATTCTACTCCCTTTTATTCCTGTCTGAGAATTCCTGCCATTTGAGAAAATATGCTGTTGCTTAATTTATTGGTTGGAAATGCTAAAATTGTATTTGTGAAATTAATATTGTAAAAAGAGATGGCAAGACGTAAATAGTATTAACCTTTCATTACTCTGTACTTAGAACATTTTTTTCCTGAAATTTCCGTACCCAGCTTCATTTTCCAAAGGTCCTGGAAGACCTTCATAGAACTTGGCTCATATTAGGCTACAATTTAAATGTTTACTGGACAAATAAACAAGAAAAATAATTAAAGGTAGCCTACAAAGGTGAATTTCCAAAAATCCCATAACCTCAGTGGGCTAAATACCAGATGGAGAAGGGTGCTGCAGATATGATGCTCCACATTTTCCTTTTATGCTTCGTCTCCAAGGCCCTACTCTATTTATTGCTGTGGCATCTGGCAGGCTTTCTTTTCTGGGCTCCACATGCACCGTGCCGTGTGTTAGAATTTTCCTGGAATGAAAGTCAAGGAAATACCGTTTCTAAAAATATGCCTTATGGGGTTTTTTAAATATAATATTTCCTTTCTACTAGCTCATTCACTTAGGGAGCCTAATAAATGGTATTCACATGTAGAAAAAAATCACGGTGAATCTGATTTTTTTCTATGCAACAAACATAACAATTGTTTTAACAAAGTGTGCAAACATTGTCTTCTTTCTCAGGAAGTTTTATTTTTGTGGGTTTATGGCTACAGACGTTCTATGCTTACTAAAAATAGTAGCTAAAACATTTATTCAGTGCTTATTTATACCAGGAACTGTTTTTTACATATATTGGCAAGTATAGTCCTTTAACAGTCCTGTATAGTAGATATTATTTTTTATATTTTATAAATGAGGAAATTATGCTTAGACTATTTATGAAGCATGGCTAGTAACTTACAAAGCTGGGATTGCTTTCTCTTTTTTTCTTTTAATTTTTCTTTTCTTTTTTTTTGTGAAAGTCTTAGTTTTAAAGAATTTTTTTATTTAAACATTTTATATTCAAATGTTTAACTATTCCAAATAGTTTAAAGAAGTTTACAGTAAATACTCATATACCCACCACTGTGCATCATTCTATCCCTCTGTCCATTCATCATTCATGAATCTTATTTTTGGACACATTTCTTTCTTTCTTTTTTTTTTTTTTTTTTTTGAGACGGAGTCTCGCTCTGTCACCCAGGCTGGAGCACAGTGGCACAATCTCTGCTCACTGCAACCTCCGCCTCCTGGGCTTACACCATTCTCCTGCCTCAGCTTCCTGAGTAGCTGGGACTACAGGCGCCTGCCACCACGCCAGGCTAATTTTTTGTATTTTTAATAGAGATGGGCTTTCACCATGTTAGCCAGAATGGTCTCGATCTCCTGACCCTGTGATCCTCCCACCTTGACCTCCCAAAGCGCTGGGATTACAGGTGTGAGCCACCACTTCTGGCTTGGACACATTTCAAAGCAAGTTATAGACATTAGTACATATCCTCCTAAATACTTGAACGTGTGCATTATTACCAGAATTTAAATTTTACGATTCTTTGTTTTTTCTTTTGAGGTAAAATTTACATATGATAAGACACACAACTTTTATGAGTGAATTTCCGTGAGTTCTGACAAATGTATCTGCCTGTTGCACCCGAATCTATATTACCCCAGAAAGTTCCTGCAGGCCCCTCCCAGTATCCCTACCCCACCAAGAGTAAATCACTTCTTTCAGGGCTTTATATAAATGGAACCATACTCTATATACTCTTTCGTGTCAGGCTCCTTTCATATAGCATAATGTTTTTGAGATCAGTCTGTTCTTGAGTTCATTGGTAGTTCTCTATTGCTGAGTTGTATTCCATTTTACCAATTTGTTTATCCATTCTTCCACATTTCGACTAGTATGAATGAGCTTCTATAAACATTCTTGTGCAGATGTTTTTGAGGGCATAGGTCTTCATTTATAGTAGGTCAACATCTAAAAGTAGGATTCTGGTCATAGATAGGTGTACTCTTAATTTTTGAAGAAATTGCCAGATCTTTTCCAAAGTAATTGTTTATATTCCCACCAACAAAATGTGAGAGTTTTAGTGTTCTACATCCTCACCCATATTTGGTGCAGTCTGACTTTTTAGGTTTAGCCATTTTGGTGGGTTTGTGGTGATGTTTAATAGTAATCTAATATGCCTTTTCCTTGATGACTAATATGTCGAAATCATTTTCATATGCTCACCGGTCATTTATATAATTTTCTCTGTAAAGTGTTCATTGCAGTTATTTTCCCATTTTTAAATTGGATTATTTGTGTTTTTCTTATTGAAGTATAGAAGTTCTTTATATGTATGAGCCATATATAAAAATATATATGTATGTAAATATATAAACAAGTATTTTATTAGGTATATTTTGCAAGTATTTCCTTCCAATCTGAGCCTTGCTAATTTATTCTCTTAGTGATGTCTTTTGATGAGCAGAAGTTTAAATTTTGAGGTCTAATTTATCAGGGCTTTCTTTTTCTTTCATGGTTAATTATTTTCTGTATCCTGTCTAAAACAAGGTTATCTCTGTTATATATATATATATATACACATATATATACGTATATATATGTATATATATACGTATATATATACATATATATATACGTATATATATACATATATATATGTGTATATATATGTATATATATGTGTATATATATATGTATATATATGTGTATATATATGTATATATATATGTATATATATACACACACACACATACACACACATATATATATACACATATATATATACACACACACATATAGTTTGAAAACTTTATAGTACAGTTGTAGCTTTTTATGTTTAGATTTATTATCCATATTAAATTAATTTTTATTTGTTGTGTGAGGTCAGTGTAGAGTTTTTTATTTTCTGTATGGATATTTAATTCTTCCAGCACTACTTGAAGACGTTCCTTTCCCCCACTGGAATTTCTTAATGTTATTCTTAAAGATCAAATGACCACATAAATATGCATCTATTTCTGAGCTCTCTGCTCTGTTCCATTGGTTTTGTAGCTCTTTATATATCAGTGTACCAGACTACACTGATTTCTGTAGCTTTATAGTAAGTCTTCAAGTCAGATGGTATAAGCCTTCCATCTTTGTTCTTTTTTTGTTTTTTACAAAATTGGTTTGTATATCCTAGTTCCTGTAAAATTTTAGATTTATCTTAGAATTATGTTCCTGGTTTCTAAGAAATTAGCCAAATGGGATTATGATTGGGAATATATTTATTCTAGGGATCAGTTTGGGAAGAATTGACTTCTCACCAATATCAAGCCTTCCAATATATGAACATACACTATCTCTGCATTTATATAGATCTTCTTTAAAACCTCTCAGTAATATTTTATATAAACATCTTAAATACCTACTATTATATTTATTACTCAGAATTTTATTTTTAAATATTTCAGATAGAATTTAAAATTTTTATTTTTCAAAGTTTCCTGTTAATAGATGAAACTACAATTGTAATATTACCCTGATAGCAAAACCTGACAAATACATAAGAGGAAAGGAAACTGTAGACCACTATTCTTTATTAATACAGGTAGAAAAATTCTCAGCAAGATACTAGCAAATTGTATACAGCAACATATAAAAAAGACTATACACCAGAACCAAATATAATTTATCCCACTAATAAAAGGTTACTTAAACATTTGAAAATTAATCGGTATAAACTCCATATTAATAGAATAAAAGAAAAACATACAATCATCTTAGTAAACTTAGAAATAATATTTGACAAAATCCGTTTCATGATAAATATGCTCAACAAACTAGGAATATAAGGAAACTTTTTAACCAGCTAAAGAACATCTATGGAAAACCCACAACTAACATTACAGTTATTAGTGAAAGACTGAAAGTTTTCCACCTAAGATTAGGAACAAGACAAACATTTCTACTCTACCCACTTCTAGTCAATAATGTACTATTGACTATGAGCTAATAAATGAGTTCTGTGAGGTTGCAACGTATAAAATCAATATACAAAGACCAGTTATATTTGTATACACTAGCAAGGAGCAATTTAAAATGAAATTAAGAAAACAATTTTATTCATAATAGCATCAATAAAAAATGCTTAGGAATAAACTTAACAAAAGCAGTGTAAGACATGCACGCTGAAAACTGCAAAGCATCATTGAAAGAGATTAATCATGACCTAAATAATGGTGAAACACACCATAATCATAGAAAGCTTAAGTTAGCAAAATGTCAGTACTCCCCAAATATATCTACAGATTCAGTGCCATCCCTATGAAAATCTTATCTGGCTTTGTTTTTTTTTTTTTTTCTTTTTTGTGGAGAATGGGGTCTCACTATATTGCCCAGGCAGATCTTGAACTCCTGGGCTCAAGCTATCCTCCTGATTCTGCCTCCCTAAGAGCTAGGATTACAGATGTGAGCCACTGCGCCTGCTTTGACTGGCTTTTTAAAAGAAATTTATAGGGCAGCCATGGTGACCCACACCTGTAATCCCAGCACTTTGGGAGGCCGAGGCGGGCAGATCACGAGGTCAAGAGGTCGAGACCATGCTGGCCAGCATGGTGAAACCCCATCTCTACTAAAAATATAAAAAATTAGCTGGGTGTGGTGGCATGCGCCTGTAGTCCCAGCTATTTAGGAGACTGAGGCAGGAGAATTGCTTGAACCCAGGAGGCGGAGGTTGCAGTGAGCCGAGATCACACCACTGCACTCCAGCTGGCGACAGAGTGAAACTCTGTCTCAAAAAAAGAAAAAAAAAGGAATTTATGATCCTGAACTTCATATGGAAATATAAAGACCCAAAATAGCCAAAACAATCTTGAAAAAGAACAATGTTAGAGGACTCACAGCTCCCAATTTCAAAACTTATTACAAAGCTAGAGTAATCAAGAGTCTTTGGTACTGGCAGAAGGATAGACAGATAGATAAATGGAATGGAATAGAGAATCCATGAATAAACCTTATATCTGTGGCCAGTTGATTTTCAAAAGGGTTCCAGAGCAATTCAATGGAAGAAAGAATAGTCTTTTCAACAAATGGTTCTGGGACAACTGGATTTCCACATGTATTAATAATACAAAATTATGAATTTGGATGCTTGTGTCACACCATATACAAAAATTAAAAATGATCCAAGATTTAAATGTAAAAGCTAAAACTATGAAATTCTTATAAGGAAACATAGGTATAAATCTTTATGACCTTGGATTAGGCAATAGTTTCTTGAGTGAAACACCAAAAGCATGTACAGCAAAAGAAAAATATAGATAAATCAGACTTTATCAAAATTTTAAACTTTTGTGCTTCAAAGGACACTAGCAAGAAAGTGAAAAGAGAACTCAAAGATGGAAGAAAATATTTGCAAATTTTATATTTGATAAAGAGTATACCAGATATATAAAGAAATTTTAAAATTTAAAATTTTAAAATTTTAAAATAACATTTGTCCAAAGAAGATACTATAAATGGCCAATAAGCACATGAAGAAATGCCCAACATTATTAGCCCTTAAGACATGTAAATCAAAACCACAACGTGGTACCACTTCATACCCACTTGGGTTACTATTTTAACTGTCTGTCGAATTACTATAGTCTATCATTTTTAGACAGTAAATATAGTAATATAGTATATAGTAATGTAGTAATTGTCTAAAATTGACAGACAATAACAGTGTTGACAGAGATGTGGTAAATTTGGAGCCTTCATGCATTTTGATGGGATTGTAAAGTGCTGTAACCACTTTGATAAAACACCTTGACATTTTCTTAAAAAGTTAATCATAGAGTTATCTCGCTCCTAGGTATAGACCTAAGAGAACTGAAAACATACATTCACACAAAAATTGTATGTGAGTGTTCATAGCAATTTTATTCCTAATAACCAAAATAATAGACAACCCAAATAGCCATCAGCTGATGAATGGATGAACAAAATGTGATATACGCATGCAGCAGAATATTATTCAACCTAAAATCAGAATGGAATACATTTACATGCTACAAAATGGATAAACCTTGAGCACATTAAGCCAGACACACAGACTACATATTGTCTGATTCCATTTATATGAAAAGTCCAGAATGGGCAACTTCACAGGGACAGAAAGTTGAGTAGTGGTTATAAGGGACTGGGCTGGGGGGAATGGGGAGTGACTGTTAATGGGTACAAGACTTCATTTTGTGTGATGAAAGTTTCCGGAATTAGATAAGAAGAATGGTCACACAACTTTGTGAATGTACTAGAAAGCATTGAACTGTACACCTTAAAAGAGTGAACTATACATTATATAAATTATATCTCCAATAAAAAAATAAAGTTGTACTCTATAATTTTTGTAAATCTACTTACTAGTTCTGATAGTTGTTTGGTAGGTTTAATGGGATTTTTTATACAAAATATACCATTCAGAAAGTTTTGTTCCTTTCTATTTTTTGTAGTTGTTCTTTTTCTTTATTATAATGACTCAGACTTCCCATTTGAGGAGTAAATGCTGAGTACAAGTGGTGAGAGTGGACATCTTTGTCTTGATCCTGATTTTATGAGGAATTTTTTATTATATTAACAATCAAGTATAATTTTCACTGTAGAATTTTCAGAGATGCATTTTATTGTATTAGGGAAGTTCTCTTTCATTTCTAATTGATGAGTGTTTGTTTTTAAATCCTTAGTGGATTTTTACTTTTTTCAAGATTTTTTTCTGTTTCCATTGAATCGTCATATAGTTTTTCTCTTTTATTATTGGAATTTTCCACTGTGTCTTATACCTGGTATCAAAAAAATAGACAATATATGTAGAGAATCCCACAACAGATTATAGAGCCTAGGGCTACAAGTGGTCAGTATCACTTCTACCCACATTCCTTTAACTGGAACTGGACCTAAATACAAGGGATCATGAGAATTATAGTCTTCCTGGGTGCCTAGGAGAAACATGAAATGATTTGATGAAAACAGAGCAATTGGAGTGATGGTAATGAATAAAAATAAAGCCCTTTTATATATTATTATTTTAAAGTAACAGAAATCTCTTCAAAAGAAGACCCAAATACTGAGGCTGAACAAATAAATGAATGGATGGTAGGTGGTGCAAGCCAGGTTTCTCATTGTCAGGACAATTTCCATAAGCTAGGAGAGGGGGCTGCAACAAACCCTGTAATGCTGGATTAGAGTTGGACATATCAGCTAACTTCATGTTAGCTTAACTACTATTTAATTTGATAAATATGCATACGGACAGACACAGAAACAATTATAGACATGTGCATATAACTGGGTTTGAATATGTATTTATACTTCTTGGCTCTTTCTGCTGAGGGGGCCTGGGAGCAGTGATACCTCAGTAGCATCAAGCACATGCAGTGCCCAGACCGTGGTTTCTAAATATTATCCTCCAATAATAGGAACTAGGGATCCTCAGAGAAATGACTGAGTTTGTGGCTGGGACAGTAAAAATACAAGATCTTGGAGCACATGGTATGCCCTAAAAAAATAAGTGCTCAAAAAACAAAAAGATGTAGGCATGTGAAAGGCATACAGGAACCAATTTAATAGAGCTCCCAGAGACCAAAGCTGGAACAATTTGAGCCACAAAATAAATAACATGGTATTTGATTATAACCGAAAGTATAAAATAAATGTCTGAGTTCATCCTAATATAAATAAACAATCGAACAAATAAATAAATAGAGTCTTTCTTCTAAAAGAATTCCAAATAGTACAGGTAGATATATCCACCTTCAGATAGTGAAGCTTACCCTCCCCCTTAAATGTGGGCTGGATTTATGACTGGCTTCCAAAGAGGGGAAATAGTAACTTCACAGTGAAAAAGCCTGGTAAACATTATCTTAACCAGGTGATCAAGGTTAACATCACCATGATAAATCAGGCTGATGTCATTTGCCTGCCCCCTGATGTGATGTGATGAGAAGTTTACCTTACCTCGGTGATATTCTTCCCAATAACCCTAATCAGCCAAAAGTGAGGGCATGCTTTAAAAATACTTGGCTAATACACATCAAGACCGTCAATGTCATGGGAAGCAAGAAAAAACTGAGAAACTGTCACAGACCAAAAAAGACTGAAGAGACATGATGACACAATGCAATGTGATATCCTAGACTGGACTGGATCCTGGAACAGAGAAAGGACATTAATAGAAAGACTGGTAAAATCCAAATGAAGTCTGGAGTTGAGTTAGTAGTGATGCACCAATGTTGGCTTCTTAGTTGTCACAAACGTACCAGGCCATGGTAATGTGAGATGTTAACAGTGGGGGAAAGTGGGGGAGGAGTATGTAGGAACTCTTTCTATTATCTTTGCAATTTTTTCTGCAAATTTAAGATTATTCCAGTATAAAAAATTGTCAAAAACACTAATAATAAGAAGGCCCAAAAGGTGAAACAGATATTGGCAAAGCTCTTGTGGTATGAGTAGAGGTACAGGGCCTGAGTCCTGACTGCTCAGCCTCTTCTCACTCCTCACTCCCTTCCAGGCTGCCTCCCTCCTTCCCCAGGTCCCCAGGGTTCTCTGTCACATATTCTGAAAAGTACTGCCCTGCAGAACTAAATGCAAGCTCCTCAACATATCTTCTGGGGCCCTTCATATTCTTACCCTTGTCTAGCTTTCATCTTCATCATCTGTTGACCTCTTGCCTCCTATATTTATTTCTGTATTTATTTCCTTCATATATTTTGAAGGCACTTTTTTTCCTCAAGCAGATCCTGACCTTCTTGTTGATTTTGAACATGCTACTTTTTTCAGCTTGGAAGACCATTCTCAAGCTTACTCACCCTCAAAAACTCTTCAGAAATCATCTTAGAATTCAGCTTAAGAGTGAGCCTTCTCTTGAAAGACTCTAAGGGAAAGGGACACCTTTCTGAAATGTTTCTACAATAGCACATGGTTCTAGTTGCCTGTGTGTGTGCCTGTAAGCATGCCTCTTGCCTGCAAATAGTCCACAACCTCCTTAAGGAGATGTCATTCGTCTCTCTCTGCCAAATGTCAAGCACAGTACCTGCACATAGTAGGTATTCAATAACTGTCAAATAAATGAATGGATGAATAAGAGTAGCAATTTTATTGAAATTGGATTATTTTCTTTTTTGTAGTCTTCTAATTTATTTGAATCTAGTTGTCATGAAAATACAAATTCAACGTTTTAATAAGCAAATTGATCCCAGTTTGCCAGTTTAAAAGAAAAGCATTGGCTTTTTAGGAGTAAGTACTAGCCTCGATTCAGCCGGCATGTGTACAACATATTGAGAGGGGTTGGGTATTTTTTCCTTTAAATAACAAAAATTTCACATGGTGCGTACTTTACAGTAAATGAAATAAGTACTGTAGTGTTGCTTTTTCAGTCTGCTGGTGTTTGAAGTAGTTGTCAGTAAAGCTAGCTGCATACATTTATCTTCATTAGCCATTCCAAGGTGATGCTTTTTGATGCAGGTGGCCCAGCTCTTCCCAGGCACTTTAATTTGCCAATTATTGTACCCACTATCTGTAGAACAGATAGTGATTAGTTTCACATTTTACTCACTGGGCAGCTTAATGTTCTTGTCACCTTACATTGAGTTTTAAATGTGCAAAGCGCAAAGAATGTGAAACATGTTTCTCAGACTTGGGGGCGGTAGTGGCTGTCATGCCTAGTAACTTGAATTACTCCTGGATACAGAAATTAAAGGGCCTGGTTCATTAACAAAGAATCAGATAATCTGACAAAAGTGCATCAAAAAAGGCAACATGAGTGTGTGTGTGTATAAAGGTTAGATGCATCTTTTCATTTTCTTTCACAAAAGCATCATTTGCTAGCGTGTGGGATCTGAGTGCTAGTTTGCTGGCTTAGATTACTACCGTTTAAAGAAAGAGAGAGATAATGGCAGGATCTTATTTAGAAAATAGCATTCTACCTGAATAATTTTCTTCTTTGAGTATTCTAAGGCAACATAGTTCATCCAAAACAGAGAATGAGAGGCACCGATTTTTAACGTAACGACTATGCACTACCTTACATTTTGGACAATTTTGCTCTAGCTATGACTCATTAACAAATTTTTTTTTAATTGCCAGAGAAAGTTGAGAAGTTCCCTTTGGAAAAATCCAAACCACACTTAGCAGTTTCGTCTGATGTTCATTTGTTTAATTTCCTGGGAGTGAGGTTGACTCGTTTATGGGGACTTAACCTAGTGCCATTATTAGCAGAAAAGATTATTTAACATTTTAAGAAAACATGGGAAAATGCTAGGCACATGGCATCCCAAACATAAACTTTATTTGCTACCCTCTCGAAGAATTTGTTTGCACATAATGTTGTTCACACCAGTGATAACAGAAAATGTAGTAATAACTACTCAGAATTAATATGCTGTAGTATGCATGGCTGCCTAATTTAATTTATCTCTGATTAAGCCTATTATGTTTGAGATCGCTTTACAGAAGAGATTTTTTTGCCAGCTGTAAGCTTATTTGAATTGTAATATAAGTTAATAATGTGTGAAATAACCAGTGGTGCCTACTTCTAAATGTTAATTTTGCCAACTGACTTCCTGAGTTGCATACCCAGACTATTAATGGGCATTTAGTTAATATCTTACATGAAGACCAGCTATTGGAATAAATATGAGAATTAACTATTTTCGTAGGCAAAGACAAATGGCGCAGAAATTCTTAAATTCTGAAATCCAGAAGAAAAGCTCTTGCATTATAAAAGTAATTGAAAATCAATGACTGATAATCACATAACATCACATATAAAGTAACATGTACTTTTTACATGACTTGTGTTCTAAATTTATTTCTTCAACCCTAAATCATCTCACTGGATCAGATAGAGTGGGTCCCTCGGGGTTCTTGCAGTGATCTATGCAGCACCTGCCTCACTGTCTGTGTGATCAGGTCTCTTGAGTGGGCCCAGCACCAGAGGGAAGGGGCTTGGCTATTGCTATTCAGTGGCTTGTTCTCCACATTACAGACCAAGCTTTGTATGTTTATCCAGAACCAATTGTTTCATTGGTCAGTCTAATCCTCTTTTTCAATGTCTTAAGTAATTAGCACCAAAAAAGTGATTGCGCTAATTACATTTCCTTGCTCAGCAGTTGGTCTCATACAAGGTTCTGTGCCTCCTTAGATACAGTTTGCATGGCTCAAAAGGTGAACTGTATTATTTGTATACATACTTAACTTTGGTAAACTGATTCCTCCCTACTCATTCTCAAACTGCTTTTCTCCCTTTTTGTAGTTTTTATTTATGGCTCTCTAATTAAAATTCCACCCAGTCCTCAAAGCCCCTTAAAAATCATACCTGCTCTATGAAGATTTCCTAACCATCCCAGGCCATGACCACGTCCTCCTTGGTTGGCGGTGGGGTCATTTGCCTTGATCATGTAGTCACCTTTCATATATTCTACTTATAGAGTCCGTGAGGACAGAGACCTTGCAATTTAAATCATTATACCCCACGGTGCCTAATACAGTTTCTTGTAAGAAAAAAATATATATATCAATAGATGGTGGTGATTGATGTTCAGAATACAAACATGACAAGGGAGATGCTTATAGATCATGAACCCTAGGTGAATAAATGAATGTAGATGAATACATAAAGTCAGTTTGCAGGTTCTCATTTGTTTTAAAGTTGAAGTAGAAACTTGCATGTAATAATTAACAAGTCAGAGATCACAAAGTAGATTTCTCCTTGCTTTAAACAGCTCTTGCTAGGCCTATAGTTTGAATCTCAGAATGTGTATAAAGTAGTGTTTCTTAACTCTGACTTACATGAGAATTGGCTGGGGAACTTCAAACATGTATGCCCATGGCAAAGACTCACCTTCAAATCAGTTAAATCAGGGAGCACTTTTTAAAAAGCTAACCAGATGATTTTAGTAAGAAACCAGAATTGAGAACCACCAGTGTAAAGGAAACTTAAAGGTCATTAAATTCATATATCCATCTGGTGTTTGATTGTTGTACATAGCTGCTTAGCAGTGAAAGAAGAGTGTTTCTAATAGGATCAAAATTGCAGCTCTCTGGTGCAGGTTTCCGTGCCATATCCAATCCTTCTCTCAAGCTAACACCCAAGGCGACCTACTCCCTTGGTTTGTAGAGAGCTATCCCTATTTTTTTTTTTTTTTTTTTTTTTTTTTTTTTTTTTTTGAGATGGAGTCTCGCTCTGTCGCCCGGGCTGGAGTGCAGTGGTGCGATCTCTGCCCACTGCAAGCTCCGCTTCCCGGGTTCACGCCATTCTCCTGCCTCAGCCTCCCGAGTAGCTGGAACTACAGGTGCCCGCCACCATGCCCAGCTAATTTTTTGTATTTTTAGTAGAGACAGGGTTTTACCGTGTTAGCCGGGATGGTGTCGATCTCCTGACCTCGTGATCCCTCAGCCTCCCAAAGTGCTAGGATTACAGGCGTGAGCCACTGAGCCCGGCAGCTATCCCACTTTTTAACACAGAAAGTTCCACATAGTAGGAAACTCCTTATTACTGGGCAAACCAGGACAGTTGGCCATCCTACTACCAACACACTTATGACTTGGATACCACAGAGGTGGTTTTGGATAAATTTCCTCTTGAGAGGAAGTGGGGTTTCTGATAGAATTTTTAATGAAAAAAATAGAAACAGAACACTTTAAAACCTTAGCAGCCTTGAGGGGAAAGAGACATATCAAGAGAAAAAGGGAAAACATTGCAATAGGTTCTCACAGAATTTCTGCAGTTAAGATGAAGGAGGGGTATTATGGCATGTAATTAATTAAAGAACATCAAAATATTCACTCACTTTTGTCTCTGTTATGTAGGTAAATTAAGGATAATTTTGTAACAAAAGAAGGCATGGAGCAAAAATCCCAAACTTGTAAATATAATTAACTAAACAATAAGCCCCTTGAGGATAGTTTTTTCTTGTTGTTATTTTTTGGTTTTGGTTTTTTGTTGTTGTTGTCGTTGTTTGTTTTTTGAGACAGAGTCTCGCTTTGTCACCCAGGCTGGAGTGCGATGGTGCAATCTCGGCTCACTGCAACCTCTGCCTCCCAGATTCAAGCAATTCTCCTGCCTCAGCATCCTGAGTAGCTGGGACTACAGGCGCGTGCCACCACACCCAGCTAATTTTTTTGTAGTGTTAGTAGAGATGGGGTTTCACGATGTTGGTCAGGCTGGCCTCAGACTCCTGACCTCGTGATCCACCCGTCTCAGCCTCCCAAAGTGCTGGGATTACAGGTGGGAGCCACCGCACCCAGCAGAGGATAGTTATTTTTACAAAGAGAAAACAAAGGATTATTGACAGCTACATAGAAAATTACTGACAGAACTAACATATGGCTCCTAGATCATTTTCTGGTAGGATCTTTGGCCCTTTTCCTACTCTACATCCTTTTAGTCCCAGTGACGTTTAGCATAGTACCCTCCTTTCAGATAAAAATAAGTGTTGTTAGATTGATAGAAAAATGAAAGTATTTTACTAATAAAAATACTTTTAGCAGTTTATTGTATAATGATAGCATTAACATTTTTTCATCATGAATGTCCATTTGAGTTTTATGCTGGTATCATGGTATAGTCCTGCAACCTAAGGATTAACTTATCTCTGTTATTTTCTGTTTTGATTGAGCACTGGGTAGCCAGTCTGACCACTACATAGTTGATTCATGTTACTTATTGATTGCCAAAATTGCCAGAGGTACCCTGGTCATTCAACTGTCTTTATAATCAAGGCAAATCCACTATGCAGCAATTCAGTCAATGGTTTGGTGTTCATCTGTCTAAAATGTTGATGGTACCACATAGGGACAAGATAAAATAGCTCATTTCATTGAAATCGTAATAGATTTTTCTCCCACTCTAAAATTTGTATGCTGCTATAGGAGGGAGCATCAATCAATCAAAATTAGCACATATTCTGTTGTTCTTTTCTTCCTTAAAACATTTAGCTGAAGTTGTAGAAACTCAGAGAAACATATGTTAGAGTGGGAAGTCGCAGAGCAACTCATCCAGTCTTTTCCAAAGTATGTCAATAAATATTACCTGAAAGAAAAGAAAAAAGGGGGAGAGTCTGTAGTCAAGTAAGTTTGTATAACGGAAGGTAAAACAAAATGGGACAGATACCTTGAATAAACTCATATGTGTTTCAAAGCTTCAAGAATGGGGAGGGGGAGGTGTGAGACGATCGAGGTGTGTTTCAAAATCATCTAACCACAGAACTCTTTGTCCTGAACACTTGGAGGGACTTCATATAACCTCCTAATTTTGTAGTTAAATAGAATTCTAAAGGGGTCAAGAAACTGATGCTGGGCCAAATATTTTCCTTTATTGTTTTTGTCCAGTCCTCCCTTTCCCCTACTTATATAAAAGTAGATAGCAATATAATGATTTTCTTAATATAATCAATATATCAATATAATGATTTTCTCAATTTTCTGTAAGAGCTCTGCACACCCCTTTTCAGTGGCTAACTGATGCGTTGCTTCCAGGTGACCAGCTTACCAGTGATGCGATGCCTAAAAAATGGAAATGAAAAATTAGTCAGTTGGAAAAGATGTACTTTTAGACAGCTTAAGGTTTCAATATCATCTCATATTCTGACTTGAATAGCTTTTTTTAATTGGGTACCTACAGTATGCCAGGTGCTTTATATGCATTGTATGATTTAATTCTCATAAAATCCTGCAAAATAGAGAATATGTCCATTTTCCTATCGGGGAGTTTATTTAGTAAATGGAAGACAGGGGATTTAAAATAAGGTCAATCTGACTGTAAAGTCAAGCTTTTTGTTAAGCTCAAAGATATGATGATGGCTACATTGGAAGTGATGTTGTTGACAACATAGTTAACTTTTTTAAAAAAGTTATTGGTCCATAATTGAGTATGACAGAGGATAGAGGACTACATAATTTGAGCTAGACAAATTTATAAGAAATATAAGCAGGAAAATAAACATATATTCAAGTAAAAGGATTACCTGCAAGCTAACATAAATTTCTTTGGGAGATGAGGGGAGGAATACACACATATATACCTTGGTACATACATATACACATATATTCTTGAGCCAAAAAATAGATATATTTCAGAGTGGTAAGAGTCAGTATATAGTTAGAAGTTGGTCTGGACATGTAATTGTGAAAAATCATTATGTGATAGGTTCTGTTGCAGGCTATACTGCTTTTCATATGCATTTTGGGTACATTTTGTTGACTGATAAAACGTAGTTTGACCATTAACATTCAGTGACATAAATTGCTTAACTGCCTTCCAAGTCAGTGATCATTGTTTGGAATTATCTTAAAGCCAGATGATTTTCCGAAATTTATCTTCTTATTTAGTGAACATACATAGCTTTTCTTAGTATAGTTATTTAGTTGGGCCAGTCTTCCTGCTGTTCTGTTTTAAAATCTTTTATGTCTGTTTCCTTTTTCTCCTTCCCCCTCCCTCCCTTTCTGCTTTCTTTCTTCCCTCCTCCTTATAGTCTTCCTTCCTTCTTATTGATAAATTGATATGCGTCTACCTCAAATTGATTATTTGTCCAAACTTCTGGAGCCAAGATAACAAAATGCTGTTATCTGGATAAAGATAACATTTATGGAAAGTCAACTTGACCTTGCCTGATAATCCCTAAAAAATAACAAAGAAGTAAAATGATTTTGTCAATACCCTCCTTAACAGTAGTTGTGAGGTGGTTACTAGTTTGTCCAAGTAACTCATAAAGTTCTCTGGACAAACAAACTAGACCAAAACAAAATACATAAGTACATATAACTACAAAGTAAAATGTATAACACTAGAAACTTCTGGTTTTATTAGATTGAACACATGCTTTCATATCTTCCTGTTCCAGAAATCTCACTAAAATTAGTAAAGAATAAAAAATAAATCTCATTAAAATTAGTAAAGAACAAAAAATAAATCTCACTGAAATTAGTAAAGAATTTTAAAAACCACAAAGCAGGGACACAAAGCAAATGAGAGAACAGAGGA
The DNA here is from genome assembly GCF_000001405.40 of Homo sapiens. Classification (NCBI taxonomy): domain Eukaryota; kingdom Metazoa; phylum Chordata; class Mammalia; order Primates; family Hominidae; genus Homo; species Homo sapiens. The sequence continues at coordinate 43,456,979 of NC_000013.11, read as the reverse complement.
GAGGCTACTGAATGTGAGATATCAGGCAATTTGTGGAAGACAGCAGAGTGATGGAGGAGGAATAGCTGAGGTGCACTGAGCAAAGCCTTCAGATTCATGCACGGGATGCTGTGGAGGCTTAGGAGTCATGAGACTGGAAAAAGGAGAATTGATTGCCAGGAGCTTCAGACCAACAGAGTATATGGAGTAGTTAGGCCCTGCCCTCCCTAGCTCACACTGACTCTACCAATTCCCCAACCCTATGTGAGGTATCAGGGATAGTCTTAGGCTACATTGAATCAGAGATACTCTAGACTCAGGGATTGGGCCCAGGAGAGAGGATGAAACTCCACAGAGAGAACAGGTGAAACCCTCCTGGACTATTCCCTGACATAGCTCCCAGGGAACCTACAGCTAGGGACTGGCTCCTTAGGCAGGGGTTTGGAGATTCTTATCTGCAGAAACTCAGTCCAAAAAATGACTGATTGGCAGAGTCCCTGTTGAAATGGTTAGATTCCCCACTCTGTTACCTCGGAGGGATGCCAGTCAAGGAAAAAGCACACCCTGTCTACACTCAGGGTTTCCCTTGGAAACTAGACCCACTGTTTTTAAATATAAATGAATCGTTTGTTTCATATATAATGTATATATATGAAATAAACATATATATTTCTTAAATATAAATGAGTAATGAAGGGCCATCAGATATTTGAGGATATCCACTGACATAAAATATAGAATAAAATATAGAGATCAAAACAGAGAAAGGGGCTAAAGGAGCTCAGAGAAGATATAGATATTTCAGGAAGCAAATGAAAGCCTTTAAAAACCTATAGTAACTTCAGAAAGATGAGAGATACTGTTATATCTATAAAATAAAAAGCATTCTATAGAACAGGAACAATTAGAAAATAAGAAGGAGGTATTGGAAATTAAACTTATAGAAGAATATAAAATGATTCAGAGGTATAGAAGTCAAACTTTCTAGAAAGTAGATAGTCCAAACGTTTTCACACTGCTGATAAAGACACACCCAAGATTGAGTAATTTACTTAAAAAAAGAAGTTTAATGGACTCACAGTTTCACATGGCTGGGGAGACCTCACAATCATGGCAGAAGGCAAGGAAAGAACAAAGTCACATCTTACAGGGTGGCAGGCAAAGACAGAATGAGAAGCAAGCAAACGGGGTTTCCCCTTATAAAACCGTCAGATCTCATGAGACTTATCCATTCCCATGAGAACAGTATGGAGGAAACCACCCCCCATGATTCAAGTGTCTCCCACTGGGTCCCTCCCACAACAATGGGAATTATGGGAGCTACAATTTAAGATGAGTTTTGGATGGGAACACAGCCAACCATATCAGACGGACGTGGGGTGAGGTGGAGGTGAGAAATATAGTGGATTAATCCATGAGGTTCCATATTTTACCATAAGCATGCCAGAAGGAGAAAACAAGAAAAAAATGATTCAGAGACAAGTACTAAAGAATAATAGAAGAAGAATTGTCAAAATGGAACAATGCTATTTTCCAGATTTTCAGAGACCATAAAGTGCCCAAAATGATGGGTAAGAAAAGATTCTCATTAGCTCATTAGGGTTCTTTACTCTAAGACTTCAGAATACCAGGATTAAAAAGAAGATTCCAAAACCTTCCAGAGGAGTAACACAGGTCACATGTAAAAGATCATACCTGGTAAAAGGAATAGTAGTGGCCTGAGACTGCAATACTGGAAGCTAGAAGACAATGAAGTACAGCCTAAACATTATGAGGGAAAATTACATTTTACTTAAAATTCAATTACAAGTTTAACTCAGTATGAGAGTAGAATTAAGACATTTTCAGACACATGAGGTCTCAACAAATTCACCTCCCATGTACCTTTTCTCAGGAAGCTACTAGAGAATGTGCTCTACAAAAATGAGGATGTAAACCAACAAAGAGGAAATCATGGGATCCAGGAAATGGGGGCTCCAACACAGGAAAGAGGCATAGGGATTTCACAAAATGGTGTTAAAAAGAAGCCCCAGGACAACAGGTGGGCAGCTGGCCTGGAAAACCCCTAGACCAGAGGGGCTGGACGGGAGGCTCCTCCAGGGAAAAAGAGATCCAGTAGACTAACCAGTGGGCTAATTGTGTAAAAAAAAAAAAAAAAATGGTTTCAATATAAGTTCTATAGTTCTTTTGGGTAGTTCATGAATGGTTAATGATAGATACACAAAAGAGGTGAGCAAAATAAAAGACAACACCAGGAAAAATAAGATGTTGAACAACATCGAACGCATACTCTTTTACTACTTGTCTTGGTAGTAAACAATATTACATGGTCATAGTAAGGTAAACTGGAATATCAATTTAACCCCAAGTTGCCATTTAACCCACTGGAAAGATCAGGAAAGAAAACTTGGGAGCGTGTGATAGTATCAGAGTGCTAAATTTTCCTTATTTTGCATAGTAGTAAGGCAGATAATCTCTAAGAATAAGTTAATAAATATCAGTATATACACAGTACTTAAGTATAGGGATGTAAATAGCATAGTTAAAAGTGGTTTCCTCTCCCATGGTGAAATTCAATCTCCCTGGTTACAGTTGCTGGACAGTGCTAGTTTTCCTGCGCTGGACAAGACTATAGATTAACCAAACCAAGAACAATTGATTGCAGCAAAAGTCTTACCTATATATGAGGTTACACACTCTGGAAAATAAACATCTTTCATAATAAAAGCAAAAAAAAAAAATAGTTTCCCCTGAGAAGCAGGAAGGAGGAGTGGTAGGCAAAGTGGGGGAAGGGAGTACTCTTTTTAATTATAGGCCTTATAATACTATTCACCTTTTTAAACTATAGGCATATATTACTTTAATAAATACTAAGCTGATTTTTAAAAATTACTGGAATAAGAAGTAGAAATTATAAAACCAACATGGACAATGCTCCCACACCCCAAATAAAGCAAAAACAAGAGAGGAAGAAGCTGATGGTGATTTTTTAATCTTTCAAAACTCATTTATCTATCTCATGTCTAATAGCAAAGTAGAACTCAGGACCCTCTGCCAGTCTTACTCTAACCAACATTTCCCATCATCTACACCTACTCCCCACATTCTTTCTTTAAACTAAACAGAGCTACTTCATGTTTCCTGTACAACACCTATATTTTCCTTTATCTGTTCCTTTGCTTGTAGTGCAATTATTGTTCACCTTCCATTCACACATATTCCTAACACACACACTCACATACACTTATCCCTTACCAAGGTCCCCTTGCAGCACCTCCATCCCTTGAACACTTCCCTACCTGTTTACATATTAGCTCAAAAAGCTCTCTGAGGGATCTTTGAGGGACCCCGGATAATAGTGTTCTCCCCTTTCTTTTCATTCCTGCTGTATTGCCTTTAACACCAGAGGACAGGAACCATATTACACTGGTATTTGTTCCTCCTATAGTGCCAGGCAGAGTGCTGGCATATTCCAGGGATTGCCGCAGATATTAATCAAATGGGCAAATTAATCTTCCATTAAAGGTGAAATCCACTCTGTCATGACCCAGTGCTAAACATCTCTATCTGCAAAAATAAACATCACTAGAATGTATGGCTTTTTGTTTTTGTTTTTGTTTTAAGGAAGCTCATGTGCTTTCCTCCTAAGCACGGAGAGTGTGCACAGAGCCCAGAGGTACTGCTCCCTAAAAGTTTGCTAGTACTTCCTTCGTGGGGAATGTGGAAAGCTTGTAAGTTTTAATTTGACTCTGCAGGGTTACAGGTAGCCTGGCACTGATGTTGCTGTGGGAAGGATGTCAGTTAGGTCTCCAACTGAAGAATCACCTAGACATGACCCTGGGGCTGGTGAACAGCCCAAGACATGCCAGGAAAATGGAAACCCTGTCATGAGGCCAGAACAGGAAAATAAAAAAGGAAGTCCACAAATAATGATATAGCAAGCATAGCACAGCTTGGACTTGCATTCATAGCTTCCCATGCTTAGTTCAGGTTTCTTTCTATTTAATCAGGCTTTATACCACAAGCCCCAAGTCTCTTTTATAACCATTCAAATGATCATCTAACAGACTATAACAGGATTAATCTAAAACATCCACCTGTGGCAATAACAAAAGCCCAGCAATATTATGATACATGCAAACAATGGGGTACAATGGAGTCTTTAAAAAGAATAAGGTAGGCCAGGTTGGTGGCTCATGCCTGTAATCCCAGCACTTTGGGAGAATTAGGCAGGCGGATCACTTGAGGTCAGGAGTTTGAGACCAGCCTGGTCAACATAGGGAAACCCAATCTCTACTAAGAATACAAAAATTAGCCAGGTGTGGTGGCGGGCACCTGTAATCCCAGCTACTTGGGAGGCTGAGGCAGAAAAATGGCTTGAACCCAGGAGACAGAGGTTGCAGTGAGCTGAGATCATGCCACTGCACACCATCCTGGGTGACAGAGAGAGACTCCGTCTCAAAATAAATAGTTAGATACAATGATGGACAGGATAAAGAAAATGTGGCACATATACACCATGGAATACAATGCAGCCATAAAAAGGATGAGTTCATGTTCTTTGCAGGGACATGGATGAAGCTGGAAAGTATCATTCTCAGTGAACTAACACAAGAACAGAAAACCAAACACTGCATGTTTTTACTCATAAGTGGGAGTTGAACAATGAGAACACATGGACACAGGGAGGGGAATATCACACACCAGGGCCCGTCAAGGGGTGTGGGGCAGGAGGAGGGATAGCATTAGGAGAAATACCTAATGTAGATGATGGGATGATGGATGCAGCAAACCACCGTGGCACGTGTATACCTGTGTAACAAACCTGCACATTCTGCACATGTACCCCAGAACTTAAAGTATAATAAAAAAAAGAAAGAAAGAGGTAGATCTGTAAGCCCTGCTGTGGTGAAGCATTTAATACGTACTGTTAAAGGAAAAAGTAAGTGTGGAATAAGATTACCTCCTTCAGGTCTCTACTCAACTGTCACCTTTCCAATGAGGCCTTCCTTAACCACTGAATTCGTACTTGAAAACGTTTTGTCTGCTCTCCCCTTTTTCTCTGTTAGCATTTATCCCCATCTGATATAATCTATAACTTATTTGTTTATTTGTGATCTATCTTCATACTGGAATATAACCTACATAAGGGATTTTGTCTGTTTTATTTACTGCTTTTCCCCAAGTACCTAGAATAACCAAATGAATGAATTTATATGAGAAAGGTTTATTATTTGCATAGAAACAGTACTGCAAGGCTATACAAACTTCACAGTAGTTACCTGTGAGCAGTAGAAGTAGGAGACTAGGAGCAAGACTAACTTTTTATTGTATATATCTTACCATGTACATGTACGTATCTTTTTTAATAAAAACACTAGTTTTATAGGGACTCCCATTTAAAGTGTTTTGTGAAGGCTATGATAAAATAATCACTTATTAATAAACACCATTTATTTCTAATTGTGAGACAATAAGTACCATTCTGATTTCTCTTCTTTCCATAAGTCAAGTTGTAAATGGGCCACTATTGAAGTTCATGGGCTTTATATTTTATGAAGCCTTTACCAACAGACTTTTCATTTTCCATCAGAGGAGTGCCCTGTGTACTTACATTGTGGTGGGAGAAAAATGGATTTTTAGGCCAGATACATTTATATCTACTACCTTTTAACTAAATGACCTAGAGCAGGTTACTTAACCAGCCTGAGTTCCCTTACCTATAAAATTGGGATAATTTTCCCACTAGCAAAGTTTGCTCTTAAAGCAAAATAAGACCAAGTATATATATTCAGTGCCTTGCAGCGTCTGGTCCAAGGTAAGACTCGGTATGTAAGGTCCTTCCCCTTTCCTGACCGAAGATGAGCCAGAGAGAAGACCCTTCATGATATTTTTACTTCTAACTACTCAAAATGTGGTCCCAACATCACCAAGAAGTTTATGAGAAATGCAAGGTCTCAACGTTTACCTGATTTAATGAATCAAAATCTGCAGTTTAACAAAATACCCGGGTGATCCCTGTGGACAGTGAAGTTTCAGAAGCTCTGTTTTCATGTTTCTTATAGCAGTGTTTCAGACAGGCTTCTATTAATTATGTTGTTGTTTTTAAAAATTTTCTGTATTTTACAGTGCTTTGACATCTTGGGGCCTTGTGGACTTGGGATGCTAAACCTTCCTGGGTCAGCTGATACCTAGAGATAGCAAACATCTTGCCCATGAGCTCGCCTTTGATATTCAAACCAACCAATCCTGAGTCCACGCCACTACCTGCTTCCTTTTATCAGGCTCCTGCAATCCAGAACACTATTTACCTGCCCTGAATCACTCCAGGGCCAGGTACTGCATAACTAGGAACCGTCCCTATACCACAGAGCCTGCTGAAATTATTTAAATTAGCTATCCTAAAGCTGCTTACTCTGTCTTGCCTGTTCTTTCCATGGAAACCATAATAAAGGCCCTTCCCCACATTTTCCCCGTATTTCCTCTGCCTCCTACTGACCCTGGTGCCTCCCCAGGTAGCCCAGTGTGGTCTGGCATGCCTGCTCTTCTTGGAACTGTGACAAACTATCCTCTCAATGACAGTCACCTCCTGATCTGTTGGCCTCGTCGTACTTGAATAAAACCAAAACCCCAGGTACATTTTCTTAAAAAGCTGCCTTTGTAAACTTCTTTCTTAGTTGAACTCTTCCTGCCATCTGCTGCCCCCCACTTCACCTTGCAAATTTAAGGTTTATTTGGAGAGGTGTGAGGGTGTCCAGCAGAGCCAGATTTTCTGGCAGGGGACGGCTAACAAGCCAAAATCCATGAGGATACTAAGCCACCTCATCAGCCAGAACTTACTTTTAAATAAAGATGATCAGGGATAACCACATAGAACGTTGTAAATCTGCTTAATATCATATGACTATATTGAATGCCAATAATACTCCTTAAGCACAAGCTTTGGACGCTTCCGAAATTGCTATTACAAATGATTAAGGCCTCCGAGGTAATGGAACCATTTGAATTGAAACACACAAACTTATTTACAGCATTCTAAAATGTTAAAAACAAATGAAAACCTGCCGTTCCATCCTTTCATTTTTCACTATGGCCTCTTAATATGGTATATATGCTTTAGATAGAAATAACTGCTGCCAGGGAGCAGCTAGTGTGTTACCAAGCAGCTTCCCTTCCCACATTTGCATTTACCTCTTGTCTCTTCGGTTGTAGAAAGAATCTTGATATATGGAAGTGAGCTAACTGAAGCTGAGGTTAATAAAAGCAAGTATTAAAAGAACATAAAAGGGACTTTTCTCCCTGTGACTCAAACAAACAAAAAAAAAACAATAAGAAGTATCTATTTTAGAAGTATTTCATGTTTGTTAGGTAAGACTGTGAGAATAGAAGATATGAACTTTTGCCTTATGAAAGTTACTTTACTACAATTTTATTAAGAAATTAAAATTTGTTTAACACCTTTTAATTCAAAATATTAGAAAAGGAAACTTTCTATTGATTGTTTTATGATCATCAGTTTTGTTTCCATAAGAAATACGCCCATTTATTATTACCTTAAAAAGAAACTGCAGGTAGCAGGATTTTGCTCCCCATAACTAGCCCTATCAGATTCAACATTACTGCCCAACCAGTGTCTAAAATTTGACTTGTAGCCTGCATAAATCACAATGTCCCCTGAAACCACTTGTTTCTAGGAGGTATTTTGTTTGATCGCTCCTTGACCCTTTTCCAAGAAACCTAATTTGCCCAAGGGAGTCTCACACTGGAAAACAGTGTTTGCGTCTGCTTAGGGAAATGTGCGTGAAATAATGACTTATTTAGAACTGAGAACAGAATGGAATGGAATGGATTGATAAGCCAGTTTGAACAGGCAGAGAGCAACTTGGGCCTCTAAACTCTTATAAAAGGAGCTCTGCAGCAAAGCACTTTGCCTAGACTGTATCTGGCAAGGCCCATCTTCATTCAACAAACATTGTCTCTGTGAACTCTGTGCAAAATTCTTACTCTTATAAATGCCTTAAGGCATGCCATTTCATTTTAAGTTTCACTTACACTTCTAAGATGGTGCGGATTTCTCGATTCAGCCCTGCAGACCCCAGTGTAGAAATTGCTCTCCAAGGTATGTTACCCGTTTTAAACTCAGTTGCGTCCTTTTAGATGGCTGCAGAATGCTTGTTGGTGGCGATGCCGCTCTGAGTTAAAGTGCTTTCTTGGTTGCCAGGAGAGTTGGCGAGTGTGCTGATGCATGAATTACCCAAAGAGAGGGCTTGACTCAGCTTCTTTCTCACTTACTGAACTGAAAATGAACCAGCAGTCAAAAGTAGGGAGGTGACATCTCATCTAGATCAATGAAGAATGAGTTGAGGCAAAAAAGGGGGAGAAAAAAAAGAACTGTACTACTGGATTGCTCTTTGTGCTGCTGCATTTCCTGTTTCTTTTGCTTTTTCTTTTTTCTCTTCACTTTTCTCCCAATAAAATATAGTCAATTTGTCTTATAACTATAGCCTCAAGGCTAGTAACTCTTTGAAATGGCAAAGATGCAAACAAAAAATGCTCTTAAATTTTAAAAACCTAGAGCTAAGTTGATCTTCATCTTAATCTTTATTTGCCGTTTGAAGTTTTTTTAAAAATTAAACCATTGACAATATTTAAATTGGCAAGCCTAAGCTTAAACAAAGTCCTATTTAGGTACAATGGTAATGAGAGTTAACCTTTTTTATTTTTATTTTAAATCTGTCTTTGCACAATTAGCAAATTATTAAATGACCTCTCCTGCAAAGTTTGCAAGCAATTGCCTGTTCCAACTAATAAGAGAACATGTTTTACAAGGTTCATGTTGATTAATTGACAAATGCTGATAAAATCAAAGCAGTGCAAAAATGCAGTGCACCAGCTGCAGCATAAATTACTTCTGTTCAATAATGTTTCCAGTGGCTATACATTTATGGTTTACCTTTCAATAAATATTACTGTCTTAATTGAAACATCCATTGTGGAAATTTATCTCTGAAGATGATTGTCAGGAACCACGGCTAGGACTAAACATTTCTATATCTGTATATGCTTTTCTGCTCAATTAAAGGCATTGATTGCTGTGAACATTTTAAAGATGGATGCTTTATGTTTTGTATGAAAGGAACACAAACACATTTTAATATACTTGGAAAATCATATACTCTTGATTGACCTCAGTGTTCTCTACATTTCTGATAGCTTCAACAATAAATACAAAATATAACTTCAAAACTACTAGCCTTACACCAATCCATCAGCTGTTATGGCAGCTATGAAGGTCTCCATTAGAAGGGCTATAGCTGGCTGTTTTATGCTCATGTACATTTCATGTATGCATCAGAGATGCTTGGCCAGACCCAGATTTCTGCTTTTGCATATGAATGAGTGAAAAAGGTGTCAAAAAGATCTCCTGCATTCTGGATAAAACCCAAAGGTCCAGAGAATTCCAGTAGACAGGGAATGTAAGTCAGGGCACAGACTATCTTGCAGGGTTCCTACCCCTCTCCTATTGTGGTCCCTGTCCATCTGATAGACTTCCATACTCTAGTGCCTTAAGAACACCTTGGCATGTAAATTTAGGGGCCCAACCAAGCTGATCCTTTAGTTTAGACATCCTAAGATGTCCTGCTCATCCACACTGCTGGAAAAGTAGATATCCTCCACCAAGTGACATCGACATACTTTTCTCAACAAAGTCATTTCAGTTCAGCAAATATTTATCAAGCCTACTATATGTCAGGCACTGTGCTGGGCCCTTGGGATATACACACGAATCAGACAGTTTATCCAGAAGAATCTTACAATAGACAGTCATATCCTCAACATTTGCAATGTGTTATTTAAAAGACATCTTTCTATAATTTGCCAATTTTTTGAGCTCCTATTTTGTACCAGGCATTACTCTAGGTGTTCAAGAAATATTCTAGATGTTTTCTTTCTTTGGTATTAATCAGAGGCCACTATGTTCTCATGGCCCTCTAAGGCAAATTTCATTTGCCAGTATTCTGTTTGAGCTACCCCACTTGCTGATTACCAGTTCGTATTGTACTCAAGATTATCGCAGCTTCCAGACCTGGATTGAGATTAGGGTTTGACTGGTAGGACAGGACTGACCAGAGACTATCATTCTAAACTTTAGTCAAAGAGTACTGTGCCCCCAGGATGGGCATGGAGACTGTGGAATAGGAATATGGGATTGTTGGATGAGGGAGTTAAGGACAATTTGGGGCACATGAGAACCAAGCTGATTTGGGGATGTGGATCACAGTAGAGACAGATTAAACTGGCAAGCCAAGGCTGAAGGTTGGGCAGAAGTTAGATGGGGCTTATAAACAGGAGAATTCCAAGTATTTGACTAGAAGGTAAGCCCAGAAGGCAGAATAGCCATGGAGGGCATAGAGAGGTAGCCAGTTAGGAGAGATCAACGCAGGTTAACAAGCGGGTGAGTTAGAGCCATCAGCCCAGTAGGCATTTAAGCATTCTAGAAGATAAGGAGCCACTGGGATGTATTCAACCATCAAGAAACTCAGGTTTAAGAAGAAAAAAAAAAAGGAAATCCTTGCCACTGAAAATTCTGGTAATCTGGGCCACAAAGCTCTGAGCAATAGGCAGTGAGATGGAGAATTTCTGAGTCCAGGCTCATTTTGTTCTCTCAGCCCAGACATCATTAAGACAGTGTCTGGCATGCTGTAGTCACTCCACAAATATTCCACGGAACTGACCTGGGTTCCAAAAGGGAGGCAGATTCCAAAATGAGGCCATTTTTATATGGCAGTTTACAAATTAAATTGTCTTGGCACTTAATGAAAAAAAAAAAACAAGGCACAGGACAAACCCACAAGAAGGAAGATGATCATTTGTTTCAAAGATACCTGCATTGTCTCAGTATTTACATTTGTTCCCTCCCTTGATTTCTTTTCTTGTGGGTTGGCATTTAGGAAGAAGGGAGACAGACTACTGTGGAACCTGGAAAGTTCTGAGTGTGTGGTTAGCTATTACCCAGATTGGAGATGTTTTCCTCGTGGGAGCTTTCAGAAAGAAAGCAATGAAAAGGGAAGGCTGAACTGATTAAACCCTGCAGAACTCCCAGGTTTATGTCTGTGAAGATTTCAGTGAGGAGCCAGAGCTTAGCTGAATTGCTTGCGTCACACCCAGAATCTCTTCTTATCTCCCAGGAAGGGGCTGCCTGATGACCTGCATCCCAGGAGGCTCTTTTGCTTTTGGTGATAGCTGCCAGTAAAAATAATAGGAAAGATTGTTCCATGTGCCCTTGGTAATGGTCCTATTATGCTGGTGTTGTACATCACACATAAAAGTTGTAAAACACAGTCTTTTAAAAAATGCCCTCTTTGAAAAAGTTGGGTCATTGAGATCCAACAAAAACCACCTGAGCAGGATCCATGCCCTTCAATCGCCATTCAGAACCCCCAAGCCAGGAAAGACCTGAGCGCCATTCCTCATTCTGCAGTCCTGGACCATGTTCCCTGTTTTAACACTAGATGGGACATTGTTGTTATTGCAGTGGCTTTTTTAAAAAAAAGAAATGTATAAGACCCAGAAAGTGGGCCGGGGGCAGTGGCTCACACCTGTAATCCCAGCACTTTGGGAGGCCAAGGCGGGCAGATCACGAGGTCAGGAGATCAAGACCATCCTGGCTAACACGGTGAAACCCCATCTCTACTAAAAATACAAAAAATTAGCCAGGCGTGGTGGTGGGTGCCTGTAGTCCCAGCTACTTGGGAGGCTGAGGCAGGAGAATGGTGTGAACCCAGGAGGTGGAGCTTGCAGTGAGCCGAGATCGTGCCACTGTGCCCCAGCCTGGGCAACAAAGCAAGACTCCGTATCAAAAAAAAAAAAAAAACCCAGAAAGAAGGAAACATTTCTCTAGAACATAGTATTGTTCTATAGAATCAGAAAGCACTGGAGCAGAAAACAGCCAGGAAAAGAGTCCAGTCCAGTCCTTGCTTCTCATTCTTACTTGAGAAAACTGTGACCAGCCCGAGTTCACATAGTGGGTCAGTGGCAGACCCAGAACTGGAAGCCAGAACCCAGGTCTCCCTAGCCCAGGGCAGCTTCTGCCCCCTGCCTCGTGGCCACATGCCCAGGGAAGAGGTACGGGTGGCACGTGGATCCAACAAACCATCTTCTTTTATACAGAGAATAATAAAAGAGTGAAATCCCCAAGGCTTGTCCTCCTGAATACATCCCTCCTACAACTTGACTCTGTATGTAGAACTCAAAGAAAGGTGAACAATGAACACAATTCAGTTTTTGTACCTCTCTTATACACGTTTTTTAAATGCCAATATGAATGAATTAACTTGATTTTTTTAAAATGTGAATAAATGAAATATGTTTCTAGCTAACTTAAGAATTTGAAATTCTGGTTTAGTTAGGCACTGTGAAACGGGTCACAGTCTGTCTTCTTGGTCTTCTCAGCCATTTACCGGCCATCTTCATTTGAGCTATTGTCACCCCTGGCCTTTTCCTAGAACCCAGCTGAAGACAAGGGATGTCCCAGAACTTTTTTCTCTCTCCAGGTCCACCCAGGGGACCTTGCTTTTCTACTCTTCCTTTGCCGTCTGTGAAAGAAGTAGAATATGAAGCCTGCAGCTCAGCCTTCACCTCCACTCACACCAGTGTGATTAAATTATTGAAAGAAAATGATCCGCTCTCCTTGCTCTCCTTGCTGATGACTAACAGGTCCCAGCTCAGAGCAAATTCCTCGCAGACCCTGTAGTTGATAGGCCTGGCAGACTGTGTTTTAGCAGACTCTTTCTTAAGAAGGTTAAGGCTTATGTTTTAAGCAGACTGAAAAGGGGTGCTATTGCAGTCTGCTTAAAACACTTTTGCTTTTCCTCAATTCACTGGTAGCTCCCCCGACCCCACTCACAGGCCTACAGTGCTAATTCTAATCTTTAGTTCAGTTACTGCAGCGTTCTCACTTTCTCTGTGGCTACCAAAGTACTTCACATCCTCTTCTTACTACCTGTACTTCCTAAACAGCTAGGATCCGTGGGAGAAGAGCAGGCTAGTCATAAAGAAACAATCTAGATTGTAATTTTTGCTTCTTGTTAGACATTGCACACTTAAACCTTTTTGAAGTAAAACGCTTCTAAAAGTCAAATCTGAAAAACTTGGCATGTGTGGATAATTGTTTTTTCTTCACTTGGAATGCCTCTCCTTCGCCTGGTCTGATCCTATTCTTCCTTTACAACCAGCTCAAATGTCACCTCCTCGGGTGAGCTTCCACTCTCCCTACATGCAGGTTGCCTTCCAGGATCCTCGCTCTTTACTCCGTGTGCTGCCAAAGCCTCTTATTCCCACCACCGGGATATACCAGTTATCTCAAGTACATTATAATCAGTTATATACGTGTCTGTCCTGCCAGCACAGTTGTGGACTCCTTAACAAGAGGGACAGTGGATGGTGCCTGATTCACCTTGCATCACGCAGGCAGAGCATAGTAGATGATGTACATCGGGACTTCCATGCATATTTACAGGATTAAATCAAATTATGTCAGTGCCAGCTCTTTTAATATAAGGATTCTGAGCTTTTGGAAGGTGGATCAAGTAAAAGCGTAATTTAAAAGTCATAGTCTTCTGAAATTTCCTGAAGACAGTTCCTGAAGATTTAAAAATTTTTATGTTCTTATTTTTAATGTGAACATGTTATATAAAATTAGCCATATATTACTATGTATATGGGAACATTGGTCATTTATTTGCTCCCCACATCCGAATTGAACAGAATTTTTGGTCACAGATTCTCTTTGCTATATACGAAAGATTTATACTGGAAACATGTGTAAATCTAATGTCTGTAAATAAAAGTATGTGTTAAAATGCACTAAGGGAGCTGTTTATAGAAAACATTTTTCCAAGTGAATAATATTTATATAAAAAGGATAATTTCTGAACTTATCAGAGGATGTGGCTTTTATAGGGTAGTATTTTTCCCAGAATGATAAAGGCATTTCTATATTCCAGTCAAAATTCTCCTGGCATTAATTTTGTTTTTCCATAGTATATTTAAAACACTGGACTTATTCTTAAGATTTTTAATTTATACAACAGATATTCTAAAGTTAATAACTCCTCTCGCTGTCATAAAATTGGTATGTATTATGTATTATTTCTCATCCCATTAATAAAAAATTACTTGCATGGGCATTTAATGATTTTAACACAAATATTATTTGAAGGAATCAGTATATTATACCCTTGATTTGCAAGAAGAACTGAGGGCTGATGTGAACGCTGACACAGAGCCGGGATATGGAAAAGGACCCTAGGCATAAATCTCAGTGAAACACTTATTGTCCAAAGAACCAAAAATATTGTGCTTGGAACTGAAGTTTTATGAGTTTTATTTAAAGGTTTCCATTTTCATTTTTTCCAGACTGCCCAAATTCAGAGCAAGGCATGGGTTAGGGTGGTGTGGGTTTGGGGATATTGTCATTGGTATTTAGAGTGAGTGACTGTCAGTGTCTCTGTGCATTCAGAATGCAGGGTCACTGCTGCCTCTTGCCCTATCTCCCAGTGGTGGGCACAGCAGAGGTCTTTTAATAATGCATTCGCTAAGTTGAAAAATAATATTCTTGGCTCTGGAACTACATATTTAACACATTCTCAGGCTATGCCATATGGAAAGCCTAGTGCTTTTAGACTGAGGTTCTGCCGTGCATAAATAAAACACTTGAGTGTTGACCTTTTTCAGTAAACAATACTAGAAATGTTGAGTACCTTTAAAATTCAAATGCAGGTTTTAAAATGTGTTCTCATTTTCATGGGCAGCTGAGACCAGCCTGCACTAATACCCAGCTAATCTGGGGGCTGTGAAGAGCTGGGGAATCAGTCCGACTCGGCTCCTCTATGCTTGTTTTAGCTCCATGTGCGGAGGCTCTGGGGCCCTGGTCTGTTCAATTCTCCCTACGTGTAGGCGTTTTAATTTCCCAGGAGATCTCTCTCGTGTCTGGGCATTTGTATGGTGAGCATCAAATTTGGACCCACATATATGCCTCTACCCAATTTTAATTAAGTAGTAAAACTGATCTTTATTTATTAGAATTTTATTTCAAACACCAACATCCCTCCTTCTACCTCTACCTTTAAAAACATTTCTAATGGCTTAAAAAAAAAAGTGTTCTTTCTTGCTCCTAAAAAAAAAAAATCGAAGGAGAAAACCTCCACTTCATTGTGAGATCTTGTCCAACTTTTATTACTGGTTCTTGGGATCACAACATACAGAGCGGGTGTAGCTGACTGGAGATTTCATTTGCCCAAAGATGATGATTACCAGCAGACCCGCAGTGCCGCCTTCGGGCAGGTAGGTTCTAGGGCAGGACCTCCAGGTGGGAGAGCTGTATCTGACCTATTCTACTGAATTAAAAATTAAAATCTGTTTAGAAGCAGCCTGGTCATTTCTAGCCTAGAGCATCTAGTAGTAGCCCTGGGTTAATGAATGTGTTTTAGAATCGTGTTTCCTTTCTCCTTGCTGCAAATGGCCCCTCTCCCTTTGTTTTACTACTCCTGTCTTTTTTCCTGTCTGAACAATGGAAGTAACCATGATAATTCCAACAATTCGAGCTGAGATACTGATTTATAAAAACATACAGCCCTTGTAAGAAATGACATGTATATTTAGCTTAGTAGAATGTAATTTCAATCAGTTAACTGGAGTCATTAGTTAATAAGGAATTTTTTTTCTTATAAGTCATGGGGGAAATTGCAGCTAATATACAAACAACTTTGCATCATAACACTTAGTTAATACGCTGGATGCAACATGGAATCATTCCAATTTCTTAGGCCTATATTTATACAACCAATAGTATGTAATGACTACTGATCTTACATTAGAAATATCAGAAATCAGTAGGACAGATCTTCAGTCTTTTTTTGTCTTTCATGGCTGTGAAATTTTTGAAGCGTACTGGTTATCTTATAGAATATCCTTGATTTGGGTTTGTGTGATGTTCTTTCATGATTAAATTGAGGTTATAAAATTTTGGCAAGAATACCACAGAGGTGGTGTAACCTTCTCAAGTGTATCAAGCATATCATGTCAATGTGTCTTATTACTGCTTTCAAAACCTGTTTGATAACATCAGTTGAAACAATGTTTTCTCCAGTTAGCCAAATTTATCATTAATCAAAACATAGTATTCTTGTATCATTCTTATGATTGAGGTTCATATTTAGTATTTTTAAAAATACACTTTTATACATATGTATAAATTTACCTGGATAAAATGATACTTCAGTGATTTGTATTATAATTAACACTTTTTATAGCATTCTAGTTTTAGGCATTCATCTAAGGTTGCTCTTATTTTTAGTTTTCTGATTGGTAAAGTACAGTTTTTATGGAAACTACATGAGATGATACATGCGAAAGTAGTAGCAGATAGTAGTTGCTTGGCAAATTTTAGGTAAAGTAGAATTCTGATTTTGATAATTTTTTTGTTAAAAAAACTCACATTCAATCTCAGGGCAGTAAAATGTCTTTAAAAATGTCGTGAGTTACCTACATATTGTAGTAAGCAGTGTCAGCAAATGTTTAACTTGGAACCTAAAAACACTTCAGTAATCACTATTAATACAGAGATTTTTAACATTTCTGGCTCTTCAAGTTAGCCACTTGTTTCTACTTCTTTAATTGCCATGCTAAAAGACCCTCTAAGTTTCTCAATAATTCATCTTTTCATTCATTTAGTGGTTTTTTGTCTAACTGTTAGAATTGATCATTAGATATAAATGACAGGAAAGCTCTAGATTTATCAGACTTCAAGGTTCAGGCTTCTGAGATCTATTAATAGATAAGGAACAGGAACGAGGTTTAGCTTCTATTTCTCAGGCTACACCTCTGTGCCTAATTCACCCTTTTAGATATTTATTCCCTATTTTTAATTTTATTTGCTGATGTAAGGGGCTGTCTTACATAACATAAAAATTTTGGGAGTCAAAGGTTTCCTCGAGGTAAAAAATATACATATATATAAACATGTTTTGCCTATAGCTGTATGCTTTTGATTATTTCTGAAACCATTTTCTGAATCTATAATACACTCATGGATGTACCTATAGGCATATTGAAAATAATGCATTGTGGCTTCAAATGTTTCACCAGAAAAATCTGGCTCGTTGCTCATTTATTGACTGAACGTGTGTGTTTTGCTAGGTCAGTGCTTACATACACGATAGTGAACAAAAGAAACAGAATGCTTGCTTTCATAGAACATCAGTCTAGTAGGAGGAATAGACATTGAGAAAAAAGTAAATGAAAAATATGTAAAAGCACACAAAAAATGTTAAAGAACGAGTTGCTATAAGAAGGGATGTTCATCAATAATGTAAAAAAATATAAGAAAAGATTGAATTTGAGTGAGTCCAGTAATCTCTCAGCCAGTGTTCTGTCTGCAAGTTGAAGCCAGGAACACTATAACATCACATTTGTGGACCCTTAAGATTAGAAGATAGGAAGGCCAGGGACGGTGGCTCACGCCTGTAATCCCAGCACTTTGCGAGGCTGAGGTGGGCAGATCACGAGGTCAGGAGCTCGAGACCAGCCTGACGAGCATGGTGAAACCCTGTCTCTATTAAAAATACAAAAATTAGCCAGGCGTGGTGGCTGAGGTCAGAGAATCACTTGAACCTGGGAGGCAGAGGTTGCAGTGAGCCAAGATCTCACCATTGCACTCCAGCCTGGGTGACAGAGTGAGACTCCGTCTCAAAAAAAAAAGTGAAAAAAAAAATACAAAAAAATTAGCCAGGTGTGACCCACGGGTGCCTGTAATCCCAGCTACTCGGGAGGCTGAGGCAGGAGAATTGCTTGAACCCGGGAGGTGGGAGGCAGAGGTTGCAATGAGCCGAGATTGCACCACTGCACTCCAGCTTGGGCAATAAGCATGAAACTCCGCTCAAAAAAAAAAAAAAAAAAAGATTAAAAGACAGGAAAGTTCATTTAGTAAATTTCTCACACAATAATACACTGTTGAGCATAGAAAGTCAACCAGCTGCTTCTTCAAAAATTTCAAGAAGCCCTCTCCTTCCCTTCCTCCTTTTAACTAATCACTCAAAGAGCTATGGATCGACTGTATACTACAGTGGCTGTCAGATTTGGATGCATATCAGAATCTCCTTTGGAGCTGTTTTAAAAAATGCCTGCACCTCACATCAGATCCACTAAATCAGAATCTCCTGGGGGTGAAGACCAAGCATATGCATTTGGAAAAGTCTCCTCAGGCAATTTGATTCAAGTCCAATGCCCATCAGAGGTTGAGAGCCACTGTGTGCCAGGCATACAACATAGCTTTGTGGCTACTGAGGGAAGCAAATAGCCATCCAGGGGACAGATACATTTTTGTATGGTTTGTAAGTTTAATATTGAAGCATTTGATTGCTCTGTGGAAAACTTACATTTTCCTCCTGAACTAAACTAATCCTTTAAGTGTTCTTGTGCCATGGAAATCCCTATTTTTATCCAACAATTCCTTTGAGGTGGAAACCTGGGATTCATTTTTGAATGTTACCTTCTTGGGCCCTCACACATGTCACTCACTCCCTCTCACTTCCACATTCCAATTGCTATCTCTTCTGTCTCCAGAAGTACCTCTTAAATCTGTTCCCTCTCTTCATCTCCGCTGCCACTGCCTCATCTTGTCTGGTCTCCCATAATTACCTCCAAATAGATTTACCCTCCTCAGGCTTGTCTTCCTGTAGAGCTTACTCTGTACTTCTCTAAGAATTATTGCTCTAAATTACAAATTTGACCCTGTCACTCCCCATTTAAAATATTCCATTTGGTCTCCATTGCCTGTAGGAATTAAACTCCTTAGCATGACCCCTGCCTACATTGTTAGCATCGTTCTCCACTTTTTCACCATGTTCCCTTTAAACTACAGCCAAACAAAAATACTCATTTTCTGTATCATGCCACATACTTTTCACACAGAAGTATTTTTGATCATAGTGTTGTCATGCCTGAAACACATTTTAAGGTGTTTTATTATCCCTCCCCACCAATTTTTTCCTCTATTTAACCTTGGAGAAAATCTAAAATTACCTTCAAAGTTAATTGTTTTTTCTTCTGTGTTGTTTCTGTTAACCTGCGTTTTAATGCATTTACCCATTTATCTGCTTTATACTGACCTATTTTTCCAGGTCTCCCTTCTTTGGAGTGAGTTTCTTGTTCACCTAGAATTTAAAATGGTGCTGCACACAGTGGAAGTTACTAAATATTCACTGAATGAATGGGAAAAAGAATGGATGACCCTGAAATCGGTCCGCCATAAACCCTAACCATTGGCACTAAGTCCATTCTTTGGCGTATTGCTTAACTAATCTAGTTCACCTTCTATATCCGCTTTACTTCTAATATGTGAAAATCAGTCTCATCCTGTATCTTTTGCCCCAGGTCACAAACCTAGTAAGTTGTCATTCTAAAACTGGCACCAACTCTTTGGAATTCCGGTAGTCATTATGGGTCATTTCCATAGTTGCACTAAGTTCTCAAGGTCAAATGATTGAATCCCGATAAAGTTGCCACAAGCTCAGATTTTCGGGAAAGGAAAGTGGAAGCATTTAACCTAGTGTCATATTATGTTGGTTGCAGGATTGGGTCTTACTGGCTTGTTCTGTGAATGTCTGATGCTAGCTCTGGGTTGGTGAGTAAATCCCCCCATCACCACGTCAGGCTGAAATTCCATGCGTATTTTGTTTATTCTACCCTTCCCAATGTGCGGATTATTTTGCTTGCAGGGGTGGATTCACAAAATGGGAGTTGAACAGTTCTGTCATCTTTGCTATTTATTGTTAATGGCCTTCCCCAAAAGTATTGCTATTTTTCCTTGTTCTTCTTTTGAAGACTTTAAAAAATATGTTCTATAAACATCCCTTTGGTATGTTTTTTCAAAATGTTCGATCCCAGTCCTGTATTTAGGCCTCTTCAGCATTCTTCTAGGAATTATTCCCACACACTGGTGTTTGTCTTTACCCTCGTGTCCTTGGTTCCATTTATTACTTGTCATTTTAGAATCAAAATTCATCAGAGAAATTATTGTAAGCCATAGTGATTTCTACAGTGGCATCTCTTTTTGTTTCACTAGGATTATGACTATCCAGTTATAGAATCAAAATTTTATTTTTCTAAATCTCTCTTACACTTATTAGCCCTGATACCTGTGTGTTTATATCACACTTGTATTTTCTCTGAACCTTAAAAAAAAAAGTTTTCTGTAAATAATGATGTGGATCTGATTAGAATTAATGTTCTCTATCCTCACATAATATTATGAACTCCAAGCTGTATAGTAACTTTCTTCCAAAAGTCCTGTCATCTTCATATTGTTATTGACTTTTTTTGCAGCTGGCCAATATCAAGGCTGTTATATAACTCTTCTCTGCCATGAAAGGTTGTGAACAGACTCCTGCCATTCCTATCCTGGTTCAATTAAAGCATTGTAAATCTGCTCTCCATGACTTTATTTAAAGCTCCCTTAACATATATAATATTTTAGGTATTGTTTTTGGTCTCTTGGTTAATGAATTCTGAGATTACTTTCTATGTTGTAAAAAATGTGCTTTATTTTCTTTCTACTGAAATGATCTATTTTATGCTTTCTTTGAGCAGTAAAACCTAGTTTTAGTATTTCATGAGTTGGTGAGTAAATGTATGTTTATATTGTCAAGACTTTCCTAATCTTTTCAGTCTATCTTTTATAAAGAAGCCCACTTTAGTTTTCTAGTTGATAAACCAGCATCTTTATGTAGGAAAACATTGTACTTTGGAAGCATGCATTTAAATCCCTTGACATTTTTCTCAAAGCAACTTTTTAGAGAATAAAACTACTATTGTCATTATATACATACAGAGACCAATATAATCTGAATAACTTGACTTAAATGTAAAATAGTAAAGAGGCAGCTATGTCCTTTCAGCAGCCTCCAACGCTCCCGATTTCACACATTTGAGTTTACCATTTCCTGCCTGAGCTGCCTGCGCACTTTCTCTCTGTCTCTCTTCCCACATAGGTTGGTTTTTTTTTTTTTTTAATCCTTTGAGACTCAGACCATATTCTTCTCCATTCATGGTGTTTTCTTGATACCCCAGATGAAAATAACACCTTTCTTCTGCCTCAACCACAGACTTCTACAATAAATATTTTTCTTTAATATTATTTGTTTCAACATCTAGTTATTGACCTCTTAGGTATTATGGAGACATAATTTTTTATGAATGGAAATAAAGACTGATTAGCAGGCAGAATTTTGTTTCTGAACCATTATATTTAAAAAAGCATAAGTGGCAAAAGCTTTCAAAACACCAACAGCATGTAAGTATTTTGTGTTTTTAAAATAGAAATGAAATATGTAGGTTGTGTGAGTACCGTGGTTTATTTCTTGAAGCATATGAATCATAATTATCCCTATCCATTTCAAAAGACCCAGGCACCATTGTGTAAAGGACAGTATTAAACAGAATCTGAAGCTTGGTGCCGTGGTCAGTAACTGGGCAGAGAGGACAGGAGCCAATAGGATATCCTAGTAGGTACCAGCTTCCCATGGCCTCCACTTTCTCAGCTATTGGTGGCATTGTCAGTTGGAATGGAGAAGTGGAGGATGTAATGTACAATCACACTGCTGAGAATGAGTCCAGATGGTCATGTTCTGACCAACAGGCCACACTACCCCTTAATGCTTCCCAGTGGTGAGGTTAGCTCCCAGCGTGGAGTGCTCCATAGGAGTCCTGTGTTTTCATTTGCTCCAGGTTGTAGGTTTCCTGGCTGGAATGGCATACTCCATTGCGTGGCCCATCAGTTTCCAGTTTTAGAATGACCATAAGGAAAACAAATGGTGTTTCCTGGTAAGATCTCATCATAAGTGACCAGACAAATCCCTATGTCAAGTCCGTCTTCTGCGTGCCGGGTATTATGCTAAGAGGTTTGTAATCTCTCCTTGCCTCTTGTGTACAAATATCCAGGAAACTAATGGAAGAGAAAACACAAATACATAGATATACAAAAAAAAAAAAAAAAAAAAAAAAACCACACACACACAATAATAAGACACGTTAAAAGGACACGTAGAACAGTGATTGTCAAAATACATTTGGTCAGTGGTTCAGTAGTGGATACAAGCTTAATAATTTTTGCTGTATCTGTACCATCAAAACGTTTATTTACTTATTCATTTTTACACAGTTCAATAAAGTACTCATTTTAGCCTCATCCTAAACAATGATGTCTGGTTTTCTTTTAATATTTTTTCCCTGACACATATTAGGTTGAACTACATGAAACTGCCAATATTTGACCATTTTTTAAATCCACAGAAACATCAATTTCACATGACTCAAAGCAAATATAGCTATTAAAAATTAAAATAATGGTGTTGGGTCCCACATTAAATCCTCTGACATACCACCCTTGGGGAACTCTGGGGTTCAGAGGAGCAAGTGGTTGTAGAAAATTGATCTTACATGGTGTCTTGGAGGAGGTGGGCCTTTATATGAGCCTAAAAAGAGAGAAGCATAGAGAAGAGAAGGAACAGCCACACCCACAGTGGAGCAGCTGTGAGCACTGGCGTGTGGGAGGCAATGTGCAACACCAGGCAGAAAGGAAGGCCGAAGGACTAGAGGGAGAGCGACTAGCTCCTTGGATGTCTCAACCCTTGCTTTTATTTGAAAACCATGTTTTCAAAAAAAGCATATGAGCACAGTTTTAAGACCTCTCTCAAGTCTCCTAAAAATTATTCTCTTATTGTTTCTAATACCTTGAGCAGGGTCAGGTATTTCTGTTAGAGAGCACATGGTTGTCACCAGGGTGACCATGTTGGCAAGAGCTCTGTAAGGTAAGTAAAGGAGGCATGAATCTGAACTGCATGAAGACAGCTGCATAGGCTATCAAATCCCAGGGAAGGCCCTACTGCCAGTGTTAGCAACTGACTGGATTGAGGCTCCCTCCAGTGCATTCTAGTGGTTTCCTTGGCCACTTCTGTGGACATCTTTATATCTTGCTGGCCCATCTCTACTGTGCAAAGACTCTAGCTTCAGGCCTGTGTCCTTACCAGGTACAAGTAATGGGTAATCACCCAGCACATTCCTCTGAGCTTACTATGAAAATATATTAAAGGTCAGTTTCCCAGGATCAGTTTTCATGGTTGCCATGCCCCTGGAAGGCCCTGACTTAGCCCTGTCTGAGGTGCGTTCCAGCAGGGAATGTTGAAGCATCTGGCAAATTGGCCATGGAACAACATGAACCATAGTTTTTGGAATAAAAAAGGAACAAATGTGTTGAAAAAACTCAGAGTGCATCACGTCATAGAAATGTGTTCTTATTACATTTAGAGCTAACTATAATTTAGGAAATTATGGATAGGATTTATTATTTTCTTATATTTAAAGAGAATAAACATATATGTGTATGTATTTTTTTAAGACAATTCTTTTAGAGCACTATTAGATTCACAGCAATTTTGAGCAGAAGGTACAGAAATTTCCCATATATCTGCTATGGTTTGAGTTTGTCCCCACCAACACTCATGTTGAAACTTGATCCCCAGTGTGACAGTGTTGGGAGGTGGGTCTAATAGGAGGTGTTTGGGTCATGGGATTAGATCCCTCATGAATGGCTTGGTGTTGTTCTTGAAGTAGCGAGTGAGTTCTCGCTCAAGGAAGACTGGATTAGTTCACTGAGGAATGTTCTCATGAGAGTGGGTTATTATAAAAAGGATGCCCCTGAGGTTTTGCCTCTTCACACATGTTCACTTCCCCCTTGATTTTCTCTGCCATGCTATGATGCAGCATGAAACGGCCTCACCAGAAGCCAAGCAGATGTTGGCACCATGCCTTTTGTACAGCCTGCAGAACCATGAGCTAAATCTTTATAAAGTACTTGGCCTCGGGTATTCTGTTATAGCAACCCTAAACAGACTAAGAGATAGCCCCAGACCTCAGACATGCATGGTCTCCCCCATATCAACATCCCCCTCAGAGTTGTTACAATTGATAAGCCTACGTTGACACCAGAGTTCACAGTGTGGATGTGTTTTATTGACAATTAATTGCTGTTTGGTGAATAGGGTTAACGATTTGTATCTAGCAAAAAGAATAAGGCAGCGCTGCTCCTTTGAGGTAATAGTGTCTGAATCCCCCTTAAAAAAAAGAAATAAATAAACAAAAAAACTTAAAGGGCGAAAGTAGAAAGCAACAATAATAACCACAAAAGCAATTCATAAATGAATCTCAGGGCTGAGACGGAGTTGAAACTGTACACAGATCTTTAAAATGTCAAAGTCATTTTCTTTCTTTCTATTTTTATTTATGTATTTATTCATTTTTTGAGACAGAGTCTCACTCTGTTGCCCAGGCTGGAGTGCAGTGGTACAATCTCAGCTCACTGCAACCTCTGCCTCCCAGGCTCAAGCAATTCTCGTGCCTCAGCCTCCCAAGGAGCTGGGATTACAAACATGCGCCACCACGCCCACCTCATTTTTTTTTCTATTTTTAGTAGAGATGGGGTTTCACCATGTTGGCCAGGCTGGTCTCGAACTGGCGTCAAATTGATCCACCTGCCTCGGCCTCCCAAAGTGCTGGGATTACAGGTGTTAGCCACTGTACCCTGCCTGATTTTATTTCTTATGAGTCCAGAAAAATCATAACTTCTGGCGATTACTATATTTCATTGTCCTTGAAAATACAGTGAATTTTATTTGAGTGTTTATTTGTTTGCATTTGAAAATGCAGTTTTTATTATTATAGGGTGTGGTAAGGCCAACAGATCAGGAGACGACTGCCATAGAAAAGATAGTTTGTTATTCACAGTTCCAAAGAGAAGGAAGCTTGCCACACCACACAACGAGGAGCCACACAGGGAGGCGCCAGGGTCAGTCAGAAGGGAGAGGAAGTGAGAGCGCCTTTATTGTGATTTCTGCAAAACAGGAGGCAAGGCAAGGTGGAATAAACAGGCGTAGGATGGGCTAGTTTGAATAATTTAAGCTCTGGGGTATAAGGCCTATACTTGGCTCCGGGGTGATTAGGCCAGAGGAATAGTGGTTCAGCATCTGAGAGCCAGTAAAGGAGGTGTTCGAGGGTCTGGGATCTGGATTGGTTGGTTTGCCTATGACGTGTGTGCTCCCAGGTGAGGCGTTTGCTCTCTTGGATTGGCTAGCCCTGGGAGGGGAGATCCCTCCAATGTCAGCAAGGACCCATATGTCAAAGCATCAGGAATATAGAAAATCAAACAGTAATGATTAATACGGTGTGTTTATACATATTTATGTGTGTATGTATATATACACCCACTCATAATATTTAATCAATGAATTTGCGTATGTGGGAGGGAAGGGTGTGTGTCTACTAAGTACTAGGCACTGTTTTGGCTGATGGCAATTTACCAAGAAAAACATTTTTAAAAGGTTAAAAATAAGTGTGCCCTCATGGATGACTAATTTATCAAAGAAATAACTATGTAATATAACCTCAGATGCCAAGAAATCCTAGAGAGAAAGAAAATAAGGCTAGTAGAAGGACAGAAGGTGACGCAGTTGCTATTTTAGGTAGAGGTCAGGGATGACATTTCGTCAGAGAAGGGCCCAGGTGAGGGAGCAGGGTGGTTGCGCAGTTACCTGGAGGAACCACAAGTGCAGAGTCACTAAGAGAAGATCACACTTGCTAGGCTCAAGGAAGAGTAAAAGCATCTGTGTTGCGGGAGCTCCAAGAGAAGAAGCAGCTTTAGGAAATGATGTTGCCAAGGTGACCAGGAGCCAGAAACTGAAGGACTTTGGAAACCACCTAAGAAGGATGGGAAACTGTGTCTGTTTCTGCGAAGCTGAAAACCTAAGCCCTATGAAGACAAGAGTTAAGCTTTAAAATCAAAATGCAAACGAAGTAGCCATCAGCCCACTCTATTTCCTTATTTTCTACACTATTAGATTTTTTTTTTATGTTCATTTGAAATGGCTTAGTTTGCAAATAGGGAAGCTTAATATCTTTCTCCCCAAAGATCTACATTTAGAAGTCATTTTTACAGTTTAAAACAAACAAAAACTTCTCCACACAATGCAAAAGGACAGCTTCAGGTCATGACTGAAAATGACTTTCTATACCTTTGAGTTGCCTTGGCATCCATGTGGTATTTAAATAAAACGAAATGCAATTTTTTTAACTGCTACACTTTTGTAAATCTAAGAGATGAAAAAGGAGCTATGAACAATCAACAATTTGTTTTTATTTTCTATTAAATTGTAGTGTTTTTTGCACTTGGTATCATTTACTGAATATAAAGTAAAATTCGCTTGCACTCCACTTACTGTAAGAGCGCCTACAAAGAAAACCTCATTTCAAATCTAATTGTGGACATTGTGCCTTCATTAAAAATTCATAGGGTTTGTGAATGTGTCACATAAGTATGAGTCTCCGTTATTTCCTCAGCTCTTTTCCCACTGCCAGTTCTGATCAGAATTTTAAAACACCCATATCAAGAAAGGTGTTCTCTGAAGAACAAAAAAAAAGAGGGAATAAAGAAAAGAAATTATGAATGGAAATAGAAAGACCTTGTGACCAAATATGCTGCAGTTTTCCAATTTTGCTTCAGTATATGTAGGTCAATAGGCAGGGGCAAAACAACCTTCCCTAACCTCTACATCTTGGTATTGCTATTTAACTACTTCCTCTCAGCAAATTTAAGTTTGTTGATTACTAGTAGCTGATCAGTTGTTTGTTTTGTTTTATGTAAAGGGAGGACACTAAAGAGTAGACTGTTGAAGTTAGCTTCTTCTCCATCCTAGTTCTCACACTTCTTCATCCACATCAGCAAGACCTCCGTAACATACAAAATGCATATTTTGTGCACGTTGCTCACACAGTGGACAAGATAATCAATGCTACACAGTTAAATCATTTGGGTAGGCTCCATGTTGAGAGCCTATTGTTTACACTTTATATGCATTCACTGATTTGCATCAAGAATATGCAAAGTCAAGAAAACTAGTGGAAAGCATAAAATAAGAACATAAAACTGTAACAAAACTGTGATCACATGGCGTGAAAGAAATATACCTTTCTGGATTTCATATATAAGTGTGCAGTAATTGTATTATGTTTATTATATTTTGGAAATTACCTTTTCTCCTCATATAATCTTATTTTTGCAATTTAGCTTAGCAAGGAGCTTCCAAATCCAGAAACAATTTCAGCTCAATACAATTGGAAGGATATGACTATAACCTCCATTTTATTTTGCATCACATTTTTAATATTAATTCATGTTTTCTCTTTTCCTTGCTGCCCTTCCTAACATGGCCTGCTCATCTATTTGGTCCCCAAGCATGGCTCCAACAGCAGATTACATATCCAAAAGATCCCTGCCATTGCTGGTCATTGAATTTCACATTACACAAGTCTTTCCCCATTTGATCTACTGAACCAAAGGAATTTACAAACCAAAATTGTGATGCTTATGCCGAATCCCAGTCACACACAGGCTCAAACTACCTAGTTTATTATTCTGCTGTCATGTGTATCAACAATGAATCAAAGCAAAATACTTGTAGAAAAAAAAATGCAGACCAGAATATGTACTTTTCAGGTGGGAATAGTGGCTGGGAAGTTGTGCTCATGAAGCTGTCCTTAACAGAGTTTTTGCTGCTGCCATCGTAGTCGAAAGCATTTCTTTCAGAGGGCCTATCTAAAGGGATCTAGATTTTAACTCTCAAAATATATGACCGTTTTGCTAGTAATGTTTTATTCCTTTCAGCTCCTCCAAAAGGCATTATACGTTAGCCTCTCCAATGACTCGTGAGATGAGGCTTGAAAGCATCAAGTGGAAAAGCTCAGGAAACTGGCCCACAGGGTACTTGTGACAGGAGCTCTCCTCTGGTATGCAAATTGTGCTGCCAAACTGCTGTGCACGTTTCTTAGGAGAGTCAGAGAAAGCGACTTGCCCAGATCAGTTCTCAGGGTTTCAGTTTGTCTCTACTGAGAATGAAAAAATAGCCGCCACAATGGGTGATGATTCTAATCAGCATGCAGAGGGACTTTGATTTCAGTGTCCCACATGATAACTGACATAGATCCTCACTCTTTCAGCACCTCTAGAATGTCAGCTATCCCTTGGAATAGGAGTTAGAAGTTGGGTTTTCTGGTTTATCCAGCTTGTGGCTTTACCCACCTCCACAGTACCCCCCACCCGCCTCACCAACCCTAGTTTCTGTAGCTCCTATTCCCAATGACAGGTAGAAAGGAGAACTGCATTCCAGGCCTCTTCCTTGTAGCTAGCTGCCAACATGATGAGATAGCTCGTGTTAGAGAGAGTGTATTTGGTACAAGTAAGAGAAGTAGAACAGAAGAAGGTTCTGGCAGAAAGGGGATGAGGTAAGAAAAAGTAATAGTAACCTGACTCCACCTCCCAGCCTTTCTATATATAAAGCTGGGACCAGCCTTTCTACTTTGCCATCCGCCTCACTCACTAGTGCATTCTATCAGGCAGTACAGTTGTGGTGAGGGTGTGGATGATTTAGAGATTGCAAATAGAAGCTGTTGACATGGGGAGAATGGACCTGGACAGTCCTTGATAATGATGATGTTTATACCTTCTTTATCCCAAGCTCTCAGCTTAAACCATCAGTTTGCCCTCAATATATATATTTGGACTGAGTTAAGCCCAATTTGGATTACAGATCAACCCTAGGTAGAAACTTTATATGTTTGTTCTCTCTCTCTCTTTCTCTAAGTACACAATTATTATTCTGACTTATTTAAGAAAAATGTGCCTCTCAATAAAGCATGGGTCTTGAGTTGTCTTTCAGCAGTGATTTCTGCTGGTTTGCCCAGATTCTTTCACTTGCCTACTTCTAAAACTGAAGTCGAGAGTTTGAGAAGGCTGACTGGGGTAAGGGCCATGTAAAGGTGCAACAAATCTTCAGGTCCTGATTGCCATGGAAACCTCAGACCAGGGCTTGACCTTGCCATGACAGGCTATCTCCTGGTGCATTGCTGATGTTGGCACTTTCCCTCCAAGCAACTTACTACTCCTGGCTCATCCTTCTGGTTTCAGCCAACTTTTTTTGTTTTCTTTCTTTTTAGAAGCAGATGTCTAGCAGGGTTTCCTTTACCAAGCCTAGTAGAAAGCCTAGTAATACATAAATAAGTGGTCTTATCCAGAATCTAGTTGTTGTTTTCTTATAAGAGGCATGTTCCTAAGAATATCTAATTTGCCATGCTATAGCAAGTTCATGTCTGCTGGTACTTTTTAGTTTGTTTAGTTACCTGACTGTATTATTGCAAACTTTTTGAAGACAGGGTCTATGTCTTGTTCACTATTACGTTCTTGGTATCAAGCACAGTGCTACATACAGTCAACATCTTATAAAGATATGTTGCATAAATAAATCTACCCCCAGGGATGGAACTAACCTTTACCCTAGACTTCTTTCTCTCTTTAGAGCCAGTTAAACCCAGAGGAACCTTCTAGTCTGACTCTTTGTGGGAGAAAGTTGGAGTTCCCCAAATCTGTAACAACAGACATCCAGGCTAGGGTACATTGAGTCCTGGGCTCTGCCATTCATTGGCTTTCTGACCTTGGGTAAAAATCCAAAGGAATAGCCTTCTGGACCTTAGTTTATTTTCTTTTGTAAAAAGTTGGAATAACATCTATCTCATAGGTTGTTGTGAGTCTTTTTCATGAGATCGAGGATGTGAGTTTCTTGCCACAGTGACTGCTGTATAGGGAGCTATTTTCCCAGCGGTTCCATCTGGGGAGTGTGTTGGCTGGCAGATAAGGAGTAACGGAATGGCATTCCCCTTTTACTTTATAGACTTTAGCTTTGTTTGAACTCATTACATGTATCAGCAATAATATTTTTAAAACAAAAAAATCCCCACCTCTCTAGTGTATATTGATATTTACTCTCAGATTGAAGAGAACTGTGTCATTGCATTTCTGTGCAAATTTTATCCCTAGAGAAAAGGATGGTGAATTAGCCAGTAGTTAAGAATGATAGCAAGAGTTTGGGGAGTGCATTTGAATGAAGGTGGTGACCCCTATTAAAGTAAGGGTTTGGTCATACAGTGAGAAGTCTGGACATGATGGTGCATTTTGTTTTATGTTGATTATGTGTCTCACTGTCACATCTACCTTATTTTTATCTTATTAGCAAAATTCTGTGTGTAGTAGACACTGTCAAGTTGATATCTTGGATGAGTACACAAAAATATGTCTACTTCAGTGTGCAAGTAATAAAATCATCATCCTAATTGCCGTAATAGTCAAGACCTGGTGAATATTTGGAGTTGACAGCCACTGCAGTTCTCAAATGCCCTCACTTCAGACACTGCACTGCTTAACCACCACTAGTTGCTGGTTATTTTCTTAAGTTGTTATTTTTCAATAAACATTATCTCATCATAAGCCATAAAATTGAGAATTGCTCAAGAGTAAAGATATCAGAGGACTTGAAAAGCAGAAGATCTTTTTCATTAACACTAGAAACGAAAAAAAAGTAATAATGCTGGTGGGAATTCTTTTAAAATATTTGTTTAGTTTGGGTTTAAGCCATCTAGCTGTGAAAATAGTAAACCATCGTAGCAATAGCAATATATTGCAGTTCCCACAAAGAACATTCAGCACGATTTCTTTTTTATAAATAATAAAACCTAAATACATACGATGACTCTAAGCTAACATGAAATTGCATTCGGTACCATGAGCCAGATATTTTTCTCTCTCATCTGTATTCTTTAAGGTCAATTTTTGCTCATGCCTCCTTCTTCTTTTCCACAATTATTTATGTAATCCATGAATAAATAACGGAATGGCATTCGATCCTGAACTGAGTTTGGCAAATTTGAGAGGAAGTATAGCTTTATCTTACACACAGTAGGCAGGAAGGAGACAGTGCCTCAGAACACAACCATTTAAAACCTTTCTAGGCAGCAGCAGATTTACTTACTCCATATCAGATCAAACATAACAAGTGTGTTCACATCTGATGTTTAGTATAAGTTTGTTTATAGGAACTTTGGAGATGATTTTTTAAATCATTTTGCTTTTGAAATTATTTGCCTGCAAGTTATTTCTTTCATTTAAAACCAGCTCTAATTTCTCCATAATGGTGCACACTCAGTAATTTCTGCAAAGTGAGATAGCCCAGTTACAAATGGTTTTCAACTATAATGACTTTCATGTGAATACTAAATTTGATAATTAGAATTGTCATAATATGGAATTTATAAACATTTAGTTAAATATTTGTTTTAGATAGTGTGCTTTTCATTGCATGTTGACACAAAATATTTTCAGGTCTTCATCATTATTGTAGACCTTATGCCTCTAGTGCCTAGTTGAGAACACAGCCCTAGTTAAAAAAATAGACTAGTTGCTCAGAGGCAGATGGGTCCTTTGGTCTGTAAGACTGTAGTAGAAAAAGAGACTATTTGAGGAACATAGTCCTCCAAATGCCATCTCCTTGTAAGGAAGGATTTTTATGTGGCATTCTTAAGAGGCAAATATCTCCTCCTATTGAAAAGGAGAATGTGTTAATGGGGGACGGTAGGGGTGGAGGACATTTTAATGCAAATCTGTGACCAAGACAGACAGAGGGTAAAGGCCTTGGGTCTGTAGCAACAGTGTTTTGTAGTGCCCTTCAACTTTGCCTTCAGAGCTGGAGCCTTTCCATCAGCATTTATTCTCTCATCTCTTTTGATGGGGGTGGGAGCCTCCATGGAGGTTTTCTGGGTTATGAGGGCCTGCTGAGATAACCAGGTGTAGCCAATTCCTGCTTTTGATGATGCCTGACCTCCAAAAGCAGCTAGAACATAAAGACCTTTTACCAAGAAATAACCAGGATTCAGCTTCTGAATCATGTATGTTCCTGGAGGTTGGAACCACCTTTCTGTGCCCCCTAATCTGCCTCTAGCCTCAGGAGCCTGAATACCTTTTGGACACTCAGGCCTTTTTCTCTTCTGAGCACCTTCATTTAAATCTTGCTGGATATAACCAGCAGCACTAAAGGTTTGACCCATTTCCTCAGAATGCTCACTGCTGAACTGGAACTTTCCAACTGGATGTGCTGCTGTGCAGTCATTTGCATCAGGCTCCTGTGCCCCCATAGCCCTCCCCTAACTACCCCATCATGCCTTCTGGGTTACTCCCAGTGATATAGCCATACCATTTATGAGGCCCTGAGAAGCAAAAAGGACCATCACAGGGGACCCAAGGCTCCACTGTTCTTGCTCACTGGTTACAGAGCATGAGCAAGGGCTATGGGTGGTCATTTAGAGAAAGATAAAGCAAAGTCTCTCACCCAGGGCAATCCATGCAAGGTGGGTGTGTTCTGCTAACGCTCCCTGTCCCAGGGCGATCATGACTGCAGGGCTAATGCTTTATTCATCATGCGGCAGTGGCATCATTAAGAGCACATTTGTTTAAAGAGTAACTAATATGTTATTTGTCACCCTACTGGGAGAAATGTTAAACAGGATGAGCAACTGGCTCAGGCTGGTCTTGGTCTGATCTGGGTTTTATTGCAGGTAGATTTCCATAAATTAAAGGGCTCTAACCAGGGCTTTTTGGAAAATAGATAACTAATTTGCCAGTTTGCCACCATTTAAGGGTCAGTTATTTATCCACTACAATTAAAATGTTCCACTTTCTAGCTTAATATGTTTTCCACGGTTGGGTCAAGGTGTAAAATGAGTACATAATGAAAAAGCTGAGCACAAAACAGCACAAATTATAGAATTATATATTGTCTGATTTCCTTTATGTAAGAAGACAATAATGTTTACAGAAATTGCTTTCTGTGTATCAGTGCAGCTGAAGAGGCCGGGATGTGACCAACATTGCCTTTCTGTACTGTGTATGCATACAAAATTATGCTTTGATTTGTTGCCATGTGTATGGTTTATAGAATTCACCTCTTTTGATGGCTATATCTTTGAAGCCTGACATCCACCTGAAATCTTGTCCCAGAGGCCTTATCCCTTCCTCAAGACGACTCTTTCCTGTCTCTCTTGCTCTGTCTCAGGAGTCCATAGCTTTGCCATTTTAATTGAGGCTTTTATTTAGTTACAACATTCTGTTTACATTGTCTACTCTTTAGAACTTTTAGAATGTGAATGTGAAAAGAACACAAGAGTGCAAACACAGAAAAAATTTGACCAGGGGGAGGCAAGAATTATCTGATATGTCCTTAGTTACTTTCATAAATTTATCTGTGGCTAGGTAAGATGGTAGTTAAGCCTCAGTATCCCTATTCCAGGGATAGAAGAGTCACTTTCCAAGACCACATATCACTGCAGAGGTAGGGTTTGAGGACAGAATTTAGATTTAGATCTCCTGTTCTTCAGATAGGTGCTCAGGAGAGAGAACGGTGAACTCTTAGGACTATCTGGCACAGTGAGCTGCCACACCCATCACTAGCTGAGGCTGGATAGTTGCCTGTCAGAAACATTTTGGAGACATGTTTATCTGGGAGAAGTAGGAATTGATAAACTCAGGTTTTACCTGATTCTTCAAACCTTGATGAATTACTCTATGAACCTGTATGTGTTTGCCCTGAATCCCAGGGGCTTAGAAAAGCTTTGCGTAAAATGGGACTCTTCTAGCTTTAATGGATCCAGGCTTATGTTTACTGATAATATTGCTTTCTTGAATAATTTACTCACCAGCAAAGTCTAGCGGTGATCACTTTTTTTTTTATGGTCTGTGTATTTTGGAAAGTAGAAAACAACAACATATGACAGCAGGTTGTGTATGTGGTTGATTGATATCCATGAATGAGGGGAAGGAGTTGAGCCATTACGTATTTCATAAACTGTCTTCAAGTCTAATGTTGCCCTTTTCAGAAAATCTCTAGAAGTCTAAATGTGAAAGGTCCTACACTTTAAAACCTGCCTATACAAAGACTTTAAAACTGCATACAGTAGCCTCCCTTCCCCACAGAGGATATGTGGCAAGATCTCCAGTGGCTTCTGGAAACCTCCGATGGTACCAATCCCTACATATTACCATAGTAGCATCAAGGCCTGTTTTCTTTTCTTTTCTGTTTTTAATGGAAAGAGGGGCACTTTATACATAAGGTCTCAAGATTTTTTTTGTTATTTGTTCAATTTAGATATATAAAGCATATTTTTTTCCAAAAGCAAAGTTTTCCTGAGAAAAATAATTTTACTTGTCATGTCTCTACACTTATATTTGTAATGCCGAGTGATATTTTTCTTTGTGCCAAAAGAAAATTGTTCTTCTCTGCTGTCCTGCACATGCTAGTTGAGTTGTCTCCTTGGCAAATTTGGTCATTTTGTTTGATTGCATGTTTTTAGAGGGGGGCCTTCAGGTCATCTCTCTTTCTGTCTCTTTCTCTCAATATAGAGTTCTTCAAAGATAGACATGCTGTGGGTAAAACCTTACCCATTTAGAAACCATGTCCTCTCTAAGATGGAAAGATGATGATTTGTAGTTTAAAATTGGCTGCTATACAAAGTAGAAAAGTGGAGGATGTAATCACAAACCAATAATGGAATTTCATGTTTGAGAAATGGTTGGGTCTGCTTTTCATCCTCTGTGGTGCATGCCAAATGGAAACTTTTCCTTTCTTCCAACAATTTCACTTCTTTAGTACTGTACATATATGCCTTTGTTACACTAATGTACTGCTTAATGGGTCTGGAGATGCAGTTATTTATAGATTTCAGCTCATTCAAAGAGCAGCTGCAAGAAGTCTCACAAAAGGAGAACATCACTGTAACCTGCTTGTGATCCTACATTGGTTGCCAGGGAGGTGTGGAATCTTAAAGCTTAGAGGGTGACTTGTTAAGTGCATCTAAAGCTTATCTTGAAAGATCTGACAGATTTTTTTTTAATTGTCATTCTTTGACACTTTGAATTCATCTGTATTCTAGTATACAAGAAAAATCCCTCCACCCTCATTGTGTTCTTTAGCTTTAAACTTCCAAGCTTTGGGACTAAATTCTGGAACTGAGATTTTTTTTTTTCTTGGTTCCTTTATTATTTCCTTCTTTTCCTTTTTTTTCTTCATTTTTTACTTTCCTCTCTTCTTTCCTCCTTGCATGAATTCATTTGAAATTACATGTAAAATATTTATATTTTATATAAAACGTAAAATATATTTTATAAATTTATAACTATATTATATATATATTTAACACCTACCACATTTCAGGTACTTTGCTTGCTAGCTGCAGGGTATGCACAGATGACTAGTTTCCTTGATCATCCTAAGCTTATAGTTTATTAGAGACATGATAGAGATAAACTAACTAGAATATGAGTGAAAGTGCTGGGATAGAGCAAGGTACAGAGTGCTATGAGAGCATGGGAGAAAGAGTATATATCTCCTTTATCTTTCTGCCTTAACAGAAAACTGGAAAAAGAGTAGGAGTGGCATCTCTCCTTAGGTGCAATGTAGTGTGATGTGACACTTCAGGAAAAAGTTCAGTGATTTTATAAACACAGATGGTCCCTGATTTAGGATGGTTCAACTTATGCTTTTGGGACATAACTCCATTGGGATGTAACTCCAAGTCAAGAAGCTCCTTACAACTTGTGATGGGGTTATGGTTTCTACTGAATGCACAGTGCTTTCTCACCATCGTAAAGTTAAAAAATTGTAAATTAAACCATCGTCATTTGAGGACTGTCTGTTGTATTGCCAGCATTAAATACATTTTCATCTTACTATTTTTTCAACTTAATGGATTTATCAGAATGTAACCTTATCATAAATTGAGGAGCATCTGTATATGAATAACTAGTTAGATACTAAAGAAGACCTTTTGATTTCATGGGTTTGACACTAAGTGCTATAGGGTTCTCCCCTATCTGAATTGATCTTTGTCCAACTCCATTTTCTGCCCATACTGTTTCCAAGAAATGGCTTTTCTCTCCATCACTGAGAAAGAGCTTTTAAGTGTTATTTGATATAATACTCCTACTTTACAGTCATCTCATCAGAAATTCCCCATGATATGCCTAATCTAAATCTATTCCTCAAAACCTTAATCCTATTATTTCCCATTAATCAGCTGACATTGATCATTAACAAATAATCACCATCCTCTATATTTAACAGATTTGAGTCTTTATCATGCGTTATCATGTAGGATGTTATATAATCCCATTAGCTACCTTTTCATTCTTTTCTTGAAACTCTCCTCTAAGTGCTCCCCAATACCCCAAAACTTACTCCTATCTAAGAAATAAGGAGTAACAGATTTAGCTGACATTTCTGGGGAGGGGCTGAGGAGAGATTTACACTGTATGCTTCCCAGTGAAACCACCTGAAATTCTGCTTAAGTCATTGATCTTCTCTGTAGTCATCTTTTCTTCATGGGTGGGCACCAAAGATCCCTCCTTTCTTTCCCCTCAGAACATTCAGCTTTTATGTTTTCTTTTACCACACTTTACAGAGCAATTCCTACTCTGCCCCTAAACTTGCAGATTCCACTCACCTCCCTTAACAATAAGATGAAACACCCAGTAGTTAACAGGACCCATTCTCCTTAGAAGCCAGATTAGTAACCCACTACAATAATCAGAGAATGTCCTTTGAACTGCTTTTGTATATGAAAAGATGATAGTGAGAATTTTACAAAACTGATGGAAGATATTAAGATTTTTAGTTGTTCCTCAGTGGGAAGATTGATCTACAGTTACATAGTTTATCATTACAGGAAGCAGAAGTATCTCCCCTACTATTCATAATTGCTTAAAGAATCAAAGAGTTAATACATAAGCATACCTACTTCACAATTATCTATATTGTTTTAAACCGTGGAACATTTCCATAACCTCGAGAGTATGGCACTGACTATGTGAAGATCGAAGTTAGGTATTTCCTTAGTGATGGAAAAGGAGAGTGAACTTTGGAAGGAAATGTATCTTTCTTTTTACTGTAAATATATACCATGATAATGCTAATGGAGAGTTCTTATAAAATAAGAAATTTGCTGATACCATATGAAATAAGCTTCCTTTGGTATCAGCTCTTTTCTTTTTGAGATGGAGTTTCACTCTGTTGCCTAGGCTGTAGTGCAGTGGCTTGGTCTTGGCTCACTGCAACCTTTGCCTCCCAGGTTCAAGCCATTCTCCTGCCTCAGCCTCCCAGGTAGCTGGGACTACAGGTGCACGTCACCACGCCCGGCTAATTCTTGTATTTTCAGTAGAGATGAGGTTTTACCATGTTGGCCAGGTTGGTCTCAAATCCTGGCCTCAAGTGATCCACCCACCTCGGCCTCCCAAAGTGCTGGCATTACAGGCATGAGCCACCGTGCCTGGCCTGGTATCAACTGTTTACAAGACATTAAGAAATCTGATTCTTTCACCACAATTATTTTGTTATTGAAGTAGGTATAAACCTAAGGACTTAGACCAAACAAAATCATGCTTTTTTTTGGTTTTGTTTTGTCTTTTTTTAAGACAGGGACTCAATCTGTTGCCCAGGCTAGAGTGCAGTGGCACAATCTCAGCTCACTGGAACCTCTGCACCCCTCACTCCCCAGCTCAAGCAATCCTCCCACCCCAGCGTCCTGAGCAGCTGGGACGACAGGAGGGCACTACCATGCTTGACTAACTGTTTAAGGTTATTGTAGAGATGAAATCGCCCTATGTTGCCCAGCCTGGTCTCAAACTCCTGGGTTCAACCAATCCTCCCACCTTGGTCTCCCAAAGTGGATTATAGATATTAGCTCCTATCTGGGGTTGTAGATATGAGCCACCACACCCAGCCTTTTTCTTTTTTTCAATAAGAAGGATTTTTCAATACCTAGCTGATCTCTACCCTCCTTTAACAGGAATCTGTGTTTTGTGGACAATTACAGGTAGGTTTTATTATTCATGATGTGTGCATCGCTGATACCTATAGAAATTGTTCAAGCGATTCTCCTGCCTCAGCCTCCCGTGTAGCTGGGACTACAGGCACCCGCCACCATACCCAGCTAAGTTTTGTATTTTTAGTAGAGACGGGGTTTCACTATATTGGCCAGGCTGGTCTCAAATTCCTGATCTTGTGATCCTGCCACCTCAGCCTCCCAAACCTGTGCCATTTTTTAAGCCAAATAGTATTTTCATAGACTTGATAAGTTTCAAAAAATATTTGCCCCATTATCTAGCCCAATGAAATACTGAACATAAATATATTTTGTTGAACAGTTATGAAATTGGTATGAGATTTTATACTTGAATATATCTTAACAGGAAACAAGTTAGATATCTGTTAAGGCCAAACAAAGCTGTACTTTTATCCTTGGCATTTTGTGTATCAGATTGTTTTGTGGTGCTCATACTTCATTAAAGCTGTAAGTAGAAACTGCCAATTTCATAATTGGTCATGAATCTCTTGAAAGTTTTTGTAGTTGCATAGGCAGAAAAAACCTAGAGAGAAAATATTTATACATCTTTTAAGTTACATCGTATTATTTATTTTTATTTATTTTTATTTTTTTGAGACAGAGTCTTGCTGTTGCCCAGGCTGGAGTGCAGTGGCACAATCTCAGCTCACTGCAACCTCTGCCTTCTGGGTTCAAGCGATTCTCCTGCCTCAGCTTCCCAAGTAGCTGGGATTACAAGCATGCACCACCACACCCAGCTAATTTTTATATTTTTAGTAGAGATAGGGTTTCACCACGTTGGCCAGGCCAGTCTCGAACACCTGACCTCAGGTGATTGGCCCGCCTCCACCTCCCAAAGTGCTGGGATTACAGGCTTGAGCCACTGCGCCCAGCCTTAAATTACATTATATTATTTTATGTATTTACTTTTTTAGAGATGGAGTCTCACTCTGGCAACTAGGCTGGAGTGCAGTGGTGTGATCTCGGCTCTACAACCTCTGCCTCCCGGGTTCAAGCAATTCTCCTGTCGTAGCCTCCTGAGTAGCTGGGACTACAGGCATGCGCCACCATTGCTGGCTAATTTTTGTATTTTTAGTAGAGACAGGGTTTCACCATTTTGGTCAGGCTGGTCTCAAATTCCTGACCTCAGATGATCCACCCGCCTCGGCCTCCCAAAGTGCTGGGATTACAGGTGTGAGTCACCGCACCTGGCCTACCTCATATAATTTTATAAAGGAATGGTGGAAAATGAAATATTGTGCTCCAACTGAGGTGTGGCACAGAAAACTAGGGCAACACTTACTTTTAGAAATATCAAGTGTTACTCACTGTTTTAGAATTAATTACATAATTATCTACCAGAACACAAAGATCCCAGGGTATCTTAATGGAAACACTACATTTCCAAATAAAATAGTAATAATTATCACCTACTGTATTCAGAGTGCTTTATTAGCTATAATTTTTAACTCCCCACATCTCTGTGTGTAAATAAACATCGCTAAGAAGATTAATCTTTTCTATAGTTTAGAAATAATAAAACTAAGGCAGAGAAATTGATGTGAATGATAAATTAGGCATTATGGTCTTGAATCATTTAAAGAGGCAGGTATTCAATAGGAACAATAGATGCTAACAAAGTACCAAAATCATTCTTGCAACTATTCATAAATTACTAGTTGGTAATTAATTAAAAGTATTACCTTTCTTCCAAAATGAGTGACCGAATCAACTTAAATTTTGTGAACAATGTCACGGCAGCCTTGAGACTATTGGAAATTCCTAAGATGTGACAGAGCTTACTTTAGAATCACCATCCCAGGCACATGGTAGCCACAGTAAGTTGTATGTCATTAAAACCATTAGATTGGCCCTCTCCCTCTCCCTCTCCCTCTCCCGTCTCCCGTCTCCCGTCTCCCGTCTCCCGTCTCCCGTCTCCCGTCTCCCTCTGTTGCTGAGGCTGGACTGTACTGCTGTGATCTCAGCTCGCTGCAACCTCCCTGCCTCGGGCTCCCCTGATTCTCCTGCCTCGGCCTGCCGAGTGCCTGGGATTGCAGGCGCACGCCACCACGCCTGACTGGTTTTTGTATTTTTGGTGGAGACAGGGTTTCACCCTGTTGACCGGGCTGGTCTCCAGCTCTTGACCTCGAGTGATCTGCCCGCCCCGGCCTCCCGAGGTGCTGGGATTGAAGACGGAGTCTCACTCACTCAATGCTCAATGTTGCCCAGGCTGGAGTGCAGTGGCGTGATCTCGGCTTGCTACAACCTCCACCTCCCAGCGGCCTGCCTTGGCCTCCAAAAGTGCTAAGATTACAGCCTCTGCCCGGCCGCCACCCCATCTAGGAAGTGGGGAGCGTCTCTGCCTGGCTGCCCATTGTCTGGGATGTGAGGAGCCCCTCTGCCCGGCCGCCCTGTCTGGGAAGTGAGGAGCGCCTCTGCCTGGCCGCCACCCCATCTGGGAAGTGAGGAGTGCCTCTGCCCCGCCACCACCCGGTCTGGGATGTGAGGAGCGTCTCTGCCTGGCCACCCCGTCTAGGAAGTGAGGAGCGCCTCTGCCCGGCTGCCCTGTCTGGGAAGTGAGGATCGCTGCTACCTGGCCGCCCTGTCTGGGAAGTGAGGAGCGCCTCTGCCCGGCCACCCATCATCTGGGAAGTGAGGAGCGCCTCTGCCCGGCCACCCCATCTGGGATGTGAGGAGCGCCTCTGCCCGGCCGCCCCGTCTGGGATGTGAGGAGCGCTTCTGTCCGGCCGCCCCGTCTGGGATGTGAGGAGCGCTTCTGTCCGGCCGCCCCATCTGGGAACTGAGGAGCGCCTCTGCCCGGCCGCCCCGTCTGGGAAGTGGGGAGCATCTCTGCCCGGCCGCCCCGTCTGGGAGATGGGGAGCACCTCTGCCCGGCCACCCATCATCTGGGAAGTGAGGAGCGCCTCTGCCCAGCCGCCCCGTCTGGGATGTGAGGAGCGCTTCTGTCCGGCTGCCCCATCTGGGAACTGAGGAGCGCCTCTGCCTGGCCACCCCGTCTGGGAAGTGGGGAGCATCTCTGCCCATCCGCCCCGTCTGGGAGATGGGGAGCGCCTCTGCCCGGCCACCCATCATCTGGGAAGTGAGGAGCGCCTCTGCCCGGCTGCCCCGTCTGGGAGATGGGGAGCGCCTCTGCCTGGCCGCCCTGTCTGGGGTGTGAGGAGCGCTTCTGTCCGGCCACCCCATCTGGGAACTGAGGAGCGCCTCTGCCCGGCCGCCCCGTCTGGGAAGTGGGGAGCATCTCTGCCCGGCCGCCCCGTCTGGGAAGTGGGGAGCGTCTCTGCCCGGCCACCCCGTCTGGGAAGTGAGGAGCGCTTCTGCCCGGCCGCCCCATCTGGGAGGTGTACCCAACAGCTCCGAAGAGATAGCGACCATCGAGAATGGGCCATGATGACAATGGCGGTTTTGTCAAAAAGAAAAGGGGGAAATGTGAGGAAAAGAAAGAGAGATCAGATTGTTACTATGTCTGTGTAGAAAGAATTAGACATAGGAGGCTCCATTTTGTTCTGAACTAAGAAAAATTCTTCTGCCTTGGGATGCTGTTAATCTATAACCTTACCCCCAAC
Source organism: Homo sapiens (assembly GCF_000001405.40). Classification (NCBI taxonomy): domain Eukaryota; kingdom Metazoa; phylum Chordata; class Mammalia; order Primates; family Hominidae; genus Homo; species Homo sapiens. The sequence goes on along the minus strand of NC_000013.11, from coordinate 43,415,556 downwards.
CCTGTGCTCTCTGAAACATGTGCTGTGTCAACTCAGGGTTAAATGGATTAAGGGTGGTGCAAGATGTGCTTTGTTAAACAGATGCTTGAAGGCAGCATGTTCGTTAAGAGTCATCACCACTCCCTAATCTCAAGTACCCAGGGACACAAACACTGCGGAAGGCCGCAGGGACCTCTGCCTAGGAAAACCAGAGACCTTTGTTCATGTGTTTATCTGCTGACCTTCTCTCCACTATTATCCTGTGACCCTGCCACATCCCCCTCTCCGAGAAACACCCAAGAATGATCAATAAATACTAAAAAAAAAAAAAAAAAAAAAAAAAAACATTGGATTGGGAGACTGAAGAGATGTAATACATTGAATGTCACAAGAGTTTCATTGGGGGATAAATCTAGGTTTATACACCACATCTTGCCAACAGAACAATGCTTTTTTTCAGTGGAACAGTAGCAGTTGCTTACTGTTTTCAATGAAACACTTGCAGTCTGTTAAGATGGCCATGAAAGTATTAGGTAGAAACGATGGGTCTCCAGGACACTTGATGCCCCTTTATACGACTGTAACCACTAAAGTGAGAACTGCCATTGGAGCAGACTGTTACAGAGCCAAGGAAAACTAAAGCCATCCCTAAAACAGTGTAGCAAAAAGTCAAGGTGAAATGTGGTGGGTCAGGCACAAGTCATGAGCCTACAAAGTAGAGGGATGTTCTCTGATATAGTGTTCCAGAACTGCAGACTCGAGAAAAAAATGTGTGATTAATGCCCATTTGGGAAGAATCTGAGGTAGAAGGAGGCTAGCCACTAAACTTCATTTGGGGAGATAAGTAAGACAAATAGTGACGTTGCAAAGATCTGAAACAGCTCTGCTACAGGGCCATTTGAACAAAAGAATGAACACATTCTAGCCTGACTCTGCCTTGCTACTCTGAAATGGTTGGAAGTGGAGAGAGAAGTGCTTTGAGATTTCATCGTAGAAAGATCGTTGGTGAATAGACCAGACATTTAGGTTAGCTATGCATTTCTTATGCTGTTGAATTTATTTTCTATGGTGAGAATCTCTTTGTCTGATGGCACCCATAGCCTAAGATAATTGATGCACAATACACATGCAGGTTCTGAGTTCATTTGGATAGTATAGTGGGAAGGAATAAAATATTTATTCTCAGTACAATTTGCTTCCAAAGTTAGAATCATTCACTGTTGGATGATGATGATGATTCATCTTCCTGACAGACAATTGGAAAAAAATTCCACACTATCTTACATACCCCTCTAGTTGAGGGCTAGGGATTTGTTGAGACCATAAAAACTATTTGCTCATTATTCACCTGTTGTTGAGAATTGAACCCTTAGCTTCCATTTGAATTAAACTTCTGCTCAACTGATCAGAAGTTCTTTTTGACAGTGCAGTGCTCAAGGAATTACTGATTCTTATACCTAAGAATGAAAGAAACAAAAAGACATGCCATAAAAGGTTCGAACTTCACATTAGATACACTGTCAAACCATAAGATCTAATTCTAAAATCATCATTAACAGGAACATGGTTTAGAAAAACTTCTAAATTTATACTAAAATAAAAATAAATATTTAGACTTAGTTGTTATATCTAATCTACTTAAGATCAAACTTGTCATGCCACTCATCTGAGTTTTGAAATGGTGAAAGTGCACTTAAAATACATGTGAAAGCTCTGTTTTTGCATTTCTAAGGGTGGAGAGAAGGCATAGCATTTTATAAATAGTGTGAGATTGAGAAGAACTTTGTAACTTTAATGTTTAATTGTTATATTTATTAGATAAGTGCATTAAAAGACTATATATAAATATATATATATAAATATATATAAATATATAAAAATATATATATATATAAGCTGGGCAATTCTAAGGAAAATTCAAACCAAAAAGTTGTGGCCAGTTAAATTATCTTTCCAATGAGCTGAAAAAACCAAATGCTCTTCCTTTGCCTCCCTAACACCCTCTAGATCTTCCTTTATGGACAGCATGCCATTCTTCTCTTCTGCCTTTCCTGACTATTGTAATTTAGGTACCCTCCTTTTCCAGCTGCATGGTGAATGGGTTCTTCCTTTTTCCTTCCTCCTCCCAACTTTTTTCCCTCTCTGAATACATTCCACAGACGACCATCTTCCAAAGTAACAGCATCAATTAATTTTTTAACTTAAAAAAATCTTCTTTAGCCCTGACTCTGCCCTCTCCATTGATGTGTAGTGTGTGTGGAAAAGGCTGTGCAGGGACTGATAAGCCCCCATTTGTGAAGGTGCTTCAGTAGGAAGCAAGGCCTTTGAGGTACTCACAAATGGGGCTGTTTATTCAGCCAGCCCAGGCTCCTGGTGAGTCGATGAGTTGACCCACACATCTCACAGGGCTCTAAGGTTTTAACTGAGCCACAAGACAGCCGCTGAGCGATGGGAAGCAGCATTTCTTCTGTGCCTGAGACTGGAAATCGGTCTTTGTTTTTGATTTTGAATAGATAACAGTTTGTTCCTTGACGTTTTATCTCAGTTAACTATTAAGGTTTCTCACCACACTTCTGTCCCGTTTTGCAGAATCTGATGACCTCCGAGGGGACCCTGCACTCAGCCATCAAAGTGTTCCTGCCCCTCTGGACACTCATAATTCAATGGTAGATGCAGGTGGAGTTGAGAACATCACCCAGCTTCCCCAGGAGCTTCCTCAGATGATGGCTGCAGGTAAATGCCAGTGGCCAGCACAGGACACAAACAAGGATTTTTTGAGTTCTTAGTGGAAAAGCTTGCCCCACCTTGAAAAATATGCATTGAACCAGGAGCCTGGGCCCATAAAGAAATCAGTCTGTAGAACTAGTGAAAATGAAAGAGCACTAAGTCAAATTTGACACATTCTTCTGTTTTGTTTTGTGTTTTCTTAAGCTTTGTGCTACCTGTTTTTAAATTTGATTTATTTATTTAGAAATCCTTCAGAAAAGTCACGTTAGGTAGACACCTGTATTTTCTTAGTGTAATAATGTAAAAGTTTGTAAAGGAAGGAATAGATTACGAGGTAACACTTAATAAATTCAGTCAGGACCAGTTCTACTGCTTGACAACTATTTTCTTATTAGATAGAAGGCCTGCCTGCTCAAGAATTACACCTAGAAACAGTAAGCCAATTAACTTGTTTTACCAAGAGAGTATTACTGCTTTGCCTCTCAGCCTTGTGACTTAACTAACGTTGTTTCACTGGGAGAAGGAAACAATTCTTCGATTTTTTTCCAGGGGTACCTCCTTAATAGCATGCTGTGTATAATATAAACTACATGTCATTAAGTTTTCTCCCAGAAAGTATTTGGAAACACTTTGTGTTTATGTCTAGAGAAAACATTGCTGCAGATTATAGTTCTTTATTTTTTTTTTGTAGTTTGGGAATGTGCTAAATGAAGCCTCACATATCTAGAAATGTGATTTTCTTTAAAACAAACACCCTTGCCTATGGACTCTAAATCATGGTTTGTTTTTCCCCACAGCAGCCGATGGTTTGGGGAGTATAGCGATAGACACGACCCAGCTCAACATGTCCGTGACAGATCCCACAGCCTGGGCTACAGCCATGAATAACCTGGGCATGGTTCCCGTAGGGTTGCCTGGACAGCAGCTCGTGTCTGGTAAGCTTTCTCCTGGTTTCAGAGATGCTTGCAGCAGTGCCGAAGGGTGTAGGTGACAGGTGCCTGGTAATCTCTCTGTACCGCGAGTGTTGGACACAGTCTTTTATTTATGACTGGGGCATGTTTGGCAAGTTGTACTTGAGATTCTTTTCCTCATCACCTTTCTCTTCTGCCTAATAGCCTTGTTCTCAGAAAAAGCCACACTAACTGTTATTGCTATACACAGTCTTGCAACATCAATTGCGTTTTTTAAAATTGGTAAATAGAATGGCTAATATTTGCTTTCCAATTTGCAAAACTCATTCACCTACATTATCCCATTTGATTGCACTGTCTTCCCTTTATGATAGGTAGATATTTCTTTTTGTTATTGCTCTTGTTAATGTTTCCATTTTACAAATAGAGAAACAGAAGAGCAGAGTTTCGGTGACTTTTCCAGCATTGAAATGGCAGAGCTATAAACTCAGCTCAGCTGACACTAAATTCCCTGTTTTCTGTCCACCACGTGGTGAAATCCTAATACAATGCATGCATTCAGCAGAGAAAATGTTTAGAAATACCACAAAGTCAAAAGTCATCTAAAAGATTTAACCATTGAATTTAACAGGTGTTTGCTGAGGATTTTACATGTGTCCTGTAAAAAGTGCTTTGAGAAATAGAATAAATATATATGTATATAAGTGTCTTTGAAGAGCCTTTCTCTCTAAATTGAAAAAAACAAAACAAAACACCAACACCTGAAAAACAATGATAAAAATGATGTGTAGAGTCAGGTGTGTTAAGTAGTGGTGCACACTGGTAATATAATAATCAGATCGGTCACTGGGGCTTTGAGGAAAGATGTTATCAGGAAGGTGGGGCTTGAGCTAAGTCTGGAGAGATGAGTAGGATTTGTATATTCACTCACTCATTCATTCATTCAACAAATACTCATTGAGCCGCTGTCTGGTGCAGGGGCTCCCGCAGTAAACAAGACAAGTATGGTCTGCCCTCTCAGAATTTATAGTGGAGAGGTGACAACCAGGTATTATGCAGTAGTCATTGTTACAGTGGCAGAAGAAAAATTCACTTTTTGGCCATCAAAGTAGGTGAGGGTAGATGGTGTTCATTAAATAGAAACCAATCGCATTTGGAATGTGCTAAGTTCTACTCCCACATACCTGTGCACTTCATGCTGAGTTGACCAAGCATTTGTTTTTTGTTGTGTTTCTTTTTGGTCAATAGTGGCCATAAATGAAAAATTCCAAATTAACTGTAGTAATATGTGTGTGTGTGTGTGTGTGTGTGTGTACATGTGTGTATGTGTATATGTGTATACACATATATATAATATATATGGTTTCTTTTTTAATATAATAAGAAAGAATATGAAAATGGATAAGAGACCAGGGAAAGTAGGAGACAAAGGAAATACAAAGGCTGAGTTTTAAAACATTATATTTAGGATATTTATTAAGTTCTTCAAAATGCTATCAAATTCATACAATTGAAGATTAGTCTGCTCTAGGGAGGTAGGTGTACATAAATGACATTTTCTATGGCTTGAACATGTGTTTATCCCAGGCCCCTTTTCCCTAAAGCTTACATAGACAGATACTTTCTTCTAATAACTTGAAAGTAAAGATTTCTATTTTTCCACCCACATTTCCCCAGCTGCCTAATTGAAATATTCAGAGAGCAGAAGTTACTTACTCTCGTCTCACCTCCTACTTCTCTCAGAAAATGTAGTACGACTTCTAGAGTAAGCCAAAACCTTCATAATTCATTATTTTTTCTTGTAATTTTGAGTCTTCTGACGTTTTAACCATGACCAATTTATGATTTTCCCAGCAACTTGCCATGAAAAGAATTACAGCCCTACGCGTTATAGAAGATTTACCGTATCTGCCCCAAATTACTTTTTCTATCTCCTGTGTTAGCCAAATTGCTTAAACTGTTTTTGAGCCTTTCAGGGTCTTTCTGGGCTTCCCTTCATCATTTACACGGCCTGATAATTTAACTGCACTTTGCTTTGTTCTCAGGGCCACCAGCCGACTACATTCCTTGATACAATCTCAGGGTCAGGTTCTGTTGTGTTTGGTTAGTGCTTATTTATTTTATTCCAGTCTTTTTTCTGTGTATTTCAATCATACTGAATATAACATTTTCTATTATGCATTTTTAACATCTTATCCTAAACTATTTTTCCATTGTATTCTTTTATATTAAAAATTTAAAAATAATTCATCAAATCTCTAGATTACTTAACCATTCTACTATTTACATTTAGGCTGTTTCCATTTTTTCACTGTTACTAGCCAAGTTTCTTTAAAGAACTTAGTCTCCCTGAGCATGCAAAAACATCTTACCTTTTCTATAAAATGGTGATCATATCTACTTCATGGAACTGCTGTGAGATTTAAATGGGATAATTTATATAACCTCCATATGGTAAGCATACATTAAATATTCTTCTTACTCCTTTGTTCTTATTTCTTTCTTTCTCCTTTCTGCTTTTTTTAAAGCAAATAATATTTTGCTTTAAAACATTGCAGTGGACATTTTTATGCATGGGGCTTTTTAGCTGTTAGAATTATTTCCATTGGATAGACTCCTACATGTGGAACTAGTACATCAAAAGAAATGAGCATTTTCAAGTTTCTTGTTAAGTACTGGTCAATTAATTCCCAAACTATACATATGGACTTAATATTTACTAATTTGATATGCAAAAATGGCATCCTATTATTTTATCTTAAATTATTCTATAACTACCCTTGTTTATTTCCTTATTCTCCTTCATTTTCTATTCACATTTTCTCTTTTGTAAATAATTATTCTCACACTGTATCCATTTATCAAATAGGGTTCCTGGTAATTTTTTTTTTTTTTTTTTGGTTTATATTTGGGCATTTGTTAAACATTTTAATCCTTGGACTTCATATTTCCTAAAAATATTTATCTACTCCATGTTTTGCCTCTTAATGTTGGTTCTTTTTTATGGTTTTTATATTTAATTTTTCATTTATGAGTTCTTTATTCCATTTCTAAATGCAGAAAGGTTTGCCCACTCTGGAAGTTGTTATATTCCCTATTTTCCATGCCCCCAGTGACTTAATTCTGCCTTTTATTGGAAATTAAATTCTTATGCATATTTTTGTCTATTTCTGAAATATCTATTCTTTACTACTGATTTATCTATTTTTATTCCAAGACCACATTGTTTCAGTTCTTATGGTTCTATGGTATGTTTACATGACATATCTGATGCCCTTTTTACTGTACCTGGTGTGCAGCACTATGTTTCTTTTCCACGTAGCCATAGAGCCACGGATGCCACTGCTTGCTCAGGTGTCATGCTGGCCACCTCTGGAGTTCTTCAACTGTGAATGCAGAATGTTAGAGGCAGCCTTTAATGTTTCAGAAGGGACTTAAAGATTATTTAGTGTAACCTTCCTTCCAAGAAATCCTCTTTAAAACATTTCTGACAGGATTATGGAGAGGCTGGATTTTATGAGTACTTGGCTTTCTCCCAAAGTTTCTGATATTTCTAAATGACCAACCACTCTTCCCATATTTGTTGAAATTAAACTGACACTAAATCCCTTTCCTCACTGCTTCTTCAATTTATTGAGAGATTAAAATTATCAGTAAAGCAAGGCGTAAGATTTTTATATCCTCTGATTTTATCAAAAGGATTTCCCAGGAAATCAAATCCCTCATTACTGTGGTAGCACACCTTTCAGATGTGCTGTCGTGCACTTCCACAGTGACGCCTCTTCCACTTCCCTCCCCTTTCATCATCACCAAATGTTCCTCTCACCGTGATT